>NC_000001.11:69553835-74553835 GCF_000001405.40 Homo sapiens
GTGGAAATAATACACTCCTTGGAAAAAGTAAAAGGAAAATGTAAAATGGAGTCTACCTTCTGGATGCAAAGAAATTCTCATCATCACGTGATAGCAAGGTACCATATATTTGCATCAACTATATGGATTATTGAATAAGTTGTATTATGTGGCTAGGATATTTTTACCTTCTTTCTATTCTCTAAGACACCCAAATATCTAAGCCAGTCACTGCCAAGTTAGGTAGTCTTGCTATTATAATTTATATTTTTTATTGCACTTAAAGTGTTTTGCTCATAGTATGTGCTCATTAAATGGGTCAAACGACATTTTATACAATTAATCACGTATTCAGTAGAAGTAAAACGTGAAAACAGAACTTTAAAAGGCTTAAGTTTTACAATTTTATAGAAATCAGCTAATGTTCTATAATTTAAAGAAAATAGGCATATTATTGAACACAGAAACAACATAATAGTGAAAGCATAAATAAAAAGGAATATTTACTTAAATCATTTTGATGTAGATTACAGTTACAAAGATATTTGAACATACATTATGGCTAATATAAGCAGGCAATTCCATCTTAAATTAAGAAATTTTTAATGTAATAGCTCTTCTACCTTTATAAAGTTTCTATTTCTAGGAAAGTAACCTAATCTATTTAAATTTAATGTTAACATAGCTTGAAGATCTTAAATTAACCAGATGTGTACTTTAGAGAAACAGGAATACATCTAGACATATTTAGATATACACAATCCCTAAAGGTTAAATACCATGGTGAGAGCTTCCTGGTTCTCTTAGATATGCGCTTAACATCGTAAAATAACCTGTTGGATTTTAGAAGATAGTGTCAACATTCTGATCCAGTATCTACTTATGTAATAAAAGTAAATCACTTCCACAGGTTTAATACTGCAAATAAATTGCATTCATAATGATTTTCATATTATCTATTCATTCTCAAAACTTTTCAGATTCTTACTTATTTTTAAGTGCTTTGTATTATATAGAGAAACTACTATAGGGAAAAAGACACTTCATTTTTATTTGAAATCAAATATCAAGCTTAAAACAAAAATGACTGACTGAACTGTATTTAATTTTATTTTCTTATGCAGGAAAAAATATACTAAATAAGTCAAGCTCAGATATACTGGTCTATGGCATTTTCAAGCCGTGAAACTAAAAAAAAATAACTAAAACAATGTTATTGAGTTGAAAATTACACAATGTGAACTCTCAGTGTGTGATAACAAGAATAAGGTTATCAAAAACCTTTTGGCTGTACCTATGTAATGCCGAATTCCTGTATGAATCTTAAAACATTTCTTTAACTCAAGTGGGGTAAGGTTAGTTTATTGATATGGTTTAAATCTTAGAGAATATCAGAGATTCTCAGCTCTGTGAACTTTTCTTGAAAGAAATGAGAAGGAGCTGGACGATGGGATAGTGGGGATATATAATGAGTTGACAAAACTTCAACACGTTTTCCTTTTACTACTATAAGGTATCATGAAACTTAACTAAAAACTGATTTTCTATGGCAAAAAATTTATATCTATATTGATACCTAATTTTCATGTATTTTTTGCCACAGATAGAAAATATGGTGACAACAAAATTTTGACCATTTATAAATAATAAGGTAAGTCCTCTGCATTTCAAGCTTATATAATTCTGTATTTCAAATTTTCATTGTTATAGAGATTAAATAAATGAAATATGTTTGTCTATCAGACAAGGAACAGTTAAATGATGATTGGTACACGGTTTGGTAGTAGGAAAACAGGAATTCTGAACATGAACTAGTTTAACATTTTGGGAAGGAAAGGTACTATCAAATTTTCGTAAATGTATAGTTTTTGTATTGTCAATAATATTTCTAAAAAACATATGCTATAAAAGTGTTACACAAGAATGCAAAGACATATGTACAAAAATATTCATTGCAAAAATTGTTGCAATAGTGAAAAATTTAGGATCCATCTAATAATCATTAATAGGAAAGGGGTAACATGCACGATAGTACATCATGCAATAAGATTCTATGAAGCCTATAGAAAGAAGGGATGATTAGTAAATTGGTACTAAAATAGAAGGATATTTCACAATATATTCAATAAAAAGCAAGTTATAAGGCAGTTATATATAATAAGAATACATTTCTGGGAGATAAAACCACTAATATAACTATGTTTCTATACACTGAATAAATTTAGAGAAGTATTCGATATTAATAACTGCAGTTATTTCAGGTATATGAATTATACAGAGCTTTTATATTTCACAACATAAAATGTCTATATTGCTTTGGATCTTAACAATAAGAATATATTACCTCTATGTTCAGAAAATATAAAAAATATAAAAACTGTCAGAGAAATAATTAGGTAATTTTTGTTCCTTTCTTGAACAATGCTATAATGCTACTAGTTTTTTTATTACGTAATTTCTAGTTTATTGAATTATCTTGTATGTGTTTATCAGAAAGTTTAAAAAGAGCTGAATTTGCTTGGCTTTCAGTTTTTTAGGTCTCAGTGTTAATTGTTAACTGAACAGTCAGAACACCTTTCATGATTCAACTTGTTTATGCATTTTGTGTTTACAATATGAAGAGATTTCAATCAAGTAATTACCATTAATGCTAACCATGAGTGTGCCCTACGATAAAAAGTAACAAATTTTGCATCTAGCTGATGGAAATAACTACTATTTAAAAGAGATTTTTGCTTACACTGAAACCTGAAAATATATTAGGGTCATTAAGAAAACAACCAAAAATATGTTTTTGTTTGTTTCACTTAAAAGCTATTGGTAGTAAAGTTACCATTATGCCTGTGTAACAGCATCACGGTGGCAAGGCTTATTTCCACTGCCATCTCTTAAAATACCATGCTTGACAGAAAGGTAATATACAAAATGCTACTTAACCTAGCTAACTTCAACATTTCTACACCAAAAAAAAAAAATCACCTCAAAAATTGTAATGTAAACAGATGTTCGTCTACTTCCAAAATATGGCAGGCTAAATACCATGAAAATAGCTCTAGGACAAAACACCTGGAAATGCTGGGGAAAAAATAACAAACTACATTTTTTATTGTTTTGTGAACAGTGAACTTCCAAAAAAGAAGGGAAATGTTTGGAGACCAAAATTAAGAGAAGCCACAATGGTAAGAAACATTAAGTTTACAATTCTGCTAAAGGAATTTGTCCATTTTCATAATCTAGAACTTGCCTACAAAGTGGTAGCTGAACAAGATCCTAGACGTCTAACCTAAGAAAGGTGGGAGGTAACTGAGATCTCTACTTAAATGTGAGATCCTTGAAGGGTTACATCTTCACTAAATGGTTTATTTAGAAAATATCTACCCTCTTGAAAATACAGATTATAAGACACTTGTCTGCTTCAATCTTGATTCTAGGTGGGGAAGAAAGTCGTTCTAAGGATTAATAATCACAGGTGTGTCCTTTTCAGCCCTCGGGGTTTGTCTCAGTCATCTGGGAAGTCCACAGCTTAAGTTGAAACAGTTTAGGTAGTTAGCTCCCTGAAGCACCTAGAAGAAACAAATAAAAATCCTCATTGGAAAGAAACAACCAAGGGTTTATGTAATTTCCCCAGATAAAATCTAACCCAAAATCCAAGAAAACATACCAGCATAAGCAAAACTAAGGAGAAAATAAATTAGTACCTCAAATTAGATCCCATGGAATTCAGATAATAAAATTATCAGATACAGCATGAAATATGCTATATACAGCATATACAATTCACTCCTGTATCTGAAGGAGTGAATCAAAAATATAGGGAAGGAACATGATGCTTTCAGAAAAGATTAGAAAAAATTGGCATATAACTTCTTGAAAAAAAATCAAAAAATTTTTTGAGAACTTTTGCATCACTGTTCATCAGGGATATTGACCTGAACTTTTCTTTTTTTGTGTTGTATCTTTGCCAGGTTTTGATATCAGGATGATGCTGGCCTCATAAAATGAGTTAGGGAAGAGTACCTCCTTTTCAATTGTTTGGAATAGTTTCAGAAGAAATGGTACCAGCTCCTCTTTGTACCTCTGGTAGAATTCAGTGTAAATCTGTCTGGTCCTGGGCTTTTTCTGGTTGGTAGGCTATTTATTACTGCCTTAATTTTAGAACTCCTTATTGGTCTATTTAGGGATTCAACTTCTTCCTGGTTCAGATTTTGGGAGGGTGTATAAGAATTTATCAATTACTTGTAGATTTTCTAGTTTGTTTGCATAGAGATGTTTATACTATTATTTCATGGCTGTTTGTAACTCTGTGGAGTCAGTGGTAATATCCCTTTTATCACTTCTGATTGTGTCTATTTGATTTTTCTCTCCTTTCTTCTTTATTAGTCTAGCTAGTGGTCAATTTTACTATTTTTTTTTTTAAACAGCTCCCTCCTGGATTCCTTGATGTCTTGAGGGGTTTTTGTGTGTGTGTGTCTCTATCTCCTTCAGTTTGCTCTGATCTTGGTTATTTCTTGTATTCTGGTAGCTTGGGGTTTGTTTGCTCTTAATTCTCTAGTTCTTTTAATTGTGATGTTAGGATATTGATTTAAGATCTTCTAGCTCTTTGATACGGGCATTTAGTGCTATAAATTTCCCTCTTAAAACTGCTTCAGCTGCGTCCCAGAGATTCAAGTAGGTTTTCTCTTTGTTCTCATTAGTTTCAAAGAACTTCTTGATTTCTACCTTAATTTCATTACTTACCCAGGAGTCATTCAGGAGCAGGTTGTTCCATTACTATGTAGTTCTGTGGTGTTCATATCTTAATCTTGAGTTTTAATTTGATTGTGCTGTGATCTGAGAGACTGTTATTATTTTAGTTTTTTTGCATTTGCTGAGGAGTGTTTTACCTCTAAGTATGTGATCAATTTTAGAGTAAGTGCCATATGGCACTGAGAAGAATGTATATTCTCTTGTTTTGGGGTACAGAGTTCTGTGATATCTATCAGGTCCACGTGATCCAGAGCTGAGTTTAGGTCCTGAATATCTTTGTTAATTTTCTGTCTCAACGATCTGTCTGATATTGACAGTGGGATGTTAAAGCCTTCCACTATTATTGTGTGGGAGTCTAAGTCTCTTTGTAGGTCTCTAAGAATTTGTTTTATAAATCTGGGTACTCCTGTATTGGCTGCATGTATATTTAGGGTAGTTAGCTCTTCTTGTTGAATTGACCCTTTAGCATTATGTAATGCCCTTCTTTGTCTTTTTTGATCTCCGTTGGTTTAAAGTCTGTTTGCCAGATACTAGGATGGCAACCCCTGTTTTTTTCTGTTTTACGTTTGCTTGGTAAATATTCCTCCATCCCTTTATTTTGAGCCTATGTGTGCCTTTGCACATGAGACGGGTCTCTTAAATACTGCACACTGATGGGTCTTGACTCTTTATCCAGCCTGCCATTCTGTATCTTTTAATTGGGGCATTTAGCCCATTAATATTTAAGGTTAATACTGTCATGTGTGAATTTGATCCTGTCATCGTAATGCTAGCTGGTTATTTTGCAGACTTGTTTATGTAGTGACTTCATAGTGTCACTGGTCTGTGAACTTCAGTGTGATTTGTAGAGGCTAGTCATGGCTTTTTATTTCCATATTATGTGTTTCCTTCAGCTGCTCTTGCAAGGCAGGCATGGTAGTAATGAATTCCCTCAGCATTTGCTTGTCTGAAGAGGATTTTATTACTCCTTCGCTTATAAAGCTTAGTTTGGCTGGATATGAAATTCTGGGTGGAAAATCCTTTTCTTTAAGAATTTTGAATATTGGCTTCCACTCTCTTGTGGCTTGTAGGGTTTGTGCTTAGAGGTCTGCTGTTAGTCTGATGGGCTTCTTCTGTAGGTGACCTGGCCTTTCTCTCTGGCTGCCCTTAACATTTTTTCCTTCATTTCAAACTTGGAGAATTTGATGATGATGTATCTTGGGGATGCCCTCTCTCACCACTCCTTTCAACATAGTGGAAGTTCTGGCCAGCACAATCAGGTAAGAAAAAGAAATTAAAAACTTATTTAATGGGAAGATACAAAGTCAAATTGTCATTGTTTGCAATGATATGATTCTATATTTAGAAAACCTCATCATCTCAGCCCAAAAGCTCCTTAAGTTGATAAGCAACTTAAGCAAAGTCTCAGGATGCAAAATCAATGTGCAAAAATCACAAGCACTACTATACACCAAAAACAGGAAAGCAGAGAAACAAATTACAAATGAATTCCCATTCACAATTCCTAAAAAGAGAATTAAATACCTAGAAATACAGCTAACAAGGGAAGTGAAGGACCTCTTGAAGGAGAACTACAAACCACTGCTCCAAGAAATCAGAGTAGACACAAACAAATGGAAAAACATTCCATTTTCATGGATAGGAAGAATCAATATTGTAAAAATGGCCATGCTGCCCAGAGCAATTTATAGATTCAATGCTATTCCCATTAAACTACCATTGACATTCTTCATATAATTTAAAATAAAACTATTTTAAAATTCACATGAAACCAAAAAAGAGCCCAAATAGCCAGGACAATCGTAAGTAAAAATAACACAGCTGGAGACATCACACTACCTGACTTCAAACTATACTACAAGGCTACAGTGACCAAAAGAGCATGGTACTGGTACAAAAACAGACACATAGACCAATGTAACAGAAGAGAGAAATCAGAAGTAAGACTACACGTCTACAACCATCTGATCTTTGACCAACCTGACAAAAACAAGCAATGGGCAAAGGATTCCCTATTTAATAAATGGTGCTGGGAGAACTGGCTAGCTATATGCAGAAAATTGAAACTGGACCCCTTCCTTACACCTTATAAAAAATTAACTCAAGATGTATTAAAAACTTAAATGTAAAACCCACAACTATAACAATCCTAGAGGAAAATCTTGGCAATGCCATTCAGGATATAGGCATGGGCAAAGATTTCATGATGAAAACACCAAAAGAAATAGCAATAAAAACAAAAATTGATAAATGGGATCTAATTAAACTAAAGAGCTTCTGCACAGCAAAAGAAACTATTATCAGAGTGAACAGACAACATGCAGAATGAGAGATTTTTTTTGGCAATCTATCTATCTGACAAAGGGCTAATATCCAGAATCTACAAGGAACTTAAATTTACAAGAAAAAAGCATACAACCCCATTAAAAATTGGGCAAAGAACATGAACAGATACATCTCAAAAGAAGACATTCATGCAGCCAACAAACATATGAAAAAAAGTTCAACATCCCTTATCATTAGAGAAAGGCAAATCAAAACCACAGTAAGATAACATCTCAGTCAGAATGGCGATTATCAAAGTCAAGAAACAACAGATGCTATTGAAGTTGCAGAGAAATAGGAATGCTTTTACACTATTGGTGAGAATGTAAATTCGTTCAACCATTATGGAAGACAGTGTAGTGATTCTTCAAAGATTGAGAACCAGAAATACCATTTGACACATCCATCCCATTACTGGGTATATACCCAAGGGAATATAAATCATTCTATTATAAAGATACATGCAGGCCAGGTGTGGTGGCTCACACATGTTACCCCAGCACTTTGGGAGGCCGAAGTGGGCGGATCATGAAGTCAGGAGTTCAAGGCCACCCTGACCAATATGGTGAAACCCCGTCTCTACTAAAAATACAAAAATCAGCTTGGTGTGGTGATGCATGCCTGTAGTCCCAGCTACTCGGGAGGCTGAGGCAGGAGAATCACTTGAACCCAGGAGGCAGAGGTTGCAGTGAGCCAAGATTGCACCACTGCACCCTAGCCTGGGCAACAGAGTGAGTTTCCATCTCAAAAAAAAAAATAATAGGCCGGGCGCGGTGGCTCACGCCTGTAATCCCAGCACTTTGGGAGGCCGAGGCGGGTGGATCATGAGGTCAGGAGATCGAGACCATCCTGGCTAACAAGGTGAAACCCCGTCTCTACTAAAAATACAAAAAATTAGCCGGGCGCGGTGGCGGGCGCCTGTAGTCCCAGCTACTGGGGAGGCTGAGGCAGGAGAATGGCGTTGAACCCGGGAAGCGGAGCTTGCAGTGAGCCGAGATTGCGCCACTGCAGTCCGCAGTCCAGCCTGGGCGACAGAGCGAGACTCCGTCTCAAAAAAAAAAAAAAAAAAAAAAAAAAAAAAAAAAAAAAAAAAAAAAATAATAATAATAATAATAATAATAATACACGCACACTTATGTTCATTGCAGTACTATTCATAATAGTGAAGCATGAAATCAACCCAAGTGCCCATCAATGATAGACTAGATAAAGAAAATGTGGTACATATACACATGGAAAACTATGCAGCCATAAAAAGGAACAAGATCATGTTCTTTGCTGGGACATGGATGGAGCTGGAAGCCATTATTCAGCAAACTAACACAGGAACAGAAAATCAAACACCACATGTTCTCACTTTTAAGTGGGAGCTGAATTATGAGAACACATGGACACAGGAAGGTGAACACACCCACAGGGGCCTGTCAGGGGCAGCAGGGCACCATGGCTGGTGCATGCTGGGCTTAATACTTGGGTGGTGGGTTGATAGGTGCAGCAAACCACTGTGGCAACCATTTACCTATGTACATCCTGCACATGTGTCCTGGAAGTTAAAATTTAAAAAAATTAAGAGCATGCAATTTCTTAATATAATAACACAATTTTAGAATTAGGAAAACTTTTGCTTGCTTTAACTACATAATATCCATTTTAGAATGAAAAAAAAGCATTTAAAATTTTTGTATACCTATAAAACCACCTAGAGATGGCAGAGACTTTTTCAGAATGTTTGTATACGGTAATGTGTTGGTGAAGTTATCTACATTGTTTTTAAAGATATATTTCATTCTTGACTAGCCTTTTTACTCAGTTTTTATCTAAGGTAAACTTTCTGTTGGAGTACTGGCATGATAAATTTAGTCTGAATTTCTTGTGAGACAGAATTGCTAATTTGTTATAACACTACACAGAACAAGGTCTTGTGAAATAGCAATCTGTTTTTAAAAGACTTGTGGTGTGAGAAAAATTTTAAAAACTATTATGAATTTGCATCATGCTTAAAAATTAATAGTACAAAAAGAAAGGATGAAGAATAGTCAAACATTTTGAAGAACAAGATGAGGCTCCTTGTTCTCCCTAGATATCAGTGCTGATTATAAAGCTTGAGTAATCAGGACAGTTTTTTCAGTTTTCAACTTGCATAGAATAGAAAGAACAAATTGCCCATCCCCAAAAATAAACCAATGAACTGATACATGATATGCTATGCAGTAATGCAAGCATTCATTCCATGGGGAGGAAAGTAGAAAAGTAAAATGAATCCCTACCTCACACCATACAAATAATCAATTTCAGATGATTTAAAGTCTAAAAGGTAAAACATTAAAATTGTAAGCCTTTTAGAATACAACATAGAAAAATACATTCATAACCTGGGAGGGGGGGGTAATAAAGGTTTTCTTAAGCTAGATATAAAGCATATTCCATAAAGGAAAGTATTGATAAAGTTATCAATTATAGCTTATTTTTATAAAAATACACCACCATATGAAGATTGAAAGTCAAAGAAGTGATACAACTGACAGAGGATTAAAATCTAGGCTACACACACAGACATAGATATACAAATCAAGAAAACCCAATGAAAATTAGTGAAATATATAAATAAGCAATTCATATTGAAAATGGGAATGGTAAACCTATTAAAAGCTGCTCAACCTCATAAGTAAGAAAGGAAATGTGAATGTAAACCTTAATAAAGTACCTTTTTACACCCCTTAGGCTGGACAACATGAAAATGTCTGATAATACCAAGTATTGCCAGAGTGTGGACCAAGAAAAACTCTTACAAATACTAATAAAACTGTAAACCATGTGAAAAACAATTTAATATTGACTGTATCATACCCTGAAACAGAAATCCACTCCTAGGTGATACATTAACTAGAAAAATTTTTATGCACATTCATAAAGAGATATAAACAAACATGTTCCCAACAGTATTACTTATAATAGTAAAAACTGTCATCAGAATGTGAATGTGGTGAGTTTATACAATTAACTATTATGCAGCATCAAAAATCAGTCAACCAGAGTGACACATATGAATATGAATCATTATTATTTACATAATGTTGATATTTTAAAAATCAAAAGCAATTTGCAAAAGAATGCATACTGTATTATATCATTTATATAAGGGTTACCTATGCTAAGCGATACAAAAATATTGTTAGTACTCAAAGTGCACAAAATGTATGAATGTATAAATGTACAAATAAATACAAAATTTAGAAATGAGGTTATCTTTTGTGTGTGGGGGAATGGGGTGGACAGAGAGAGGAATGGGAGAGGAGGCTTCAGTCATATCCATAATGCTTTCTTAATGGGCATAATGGGTATATCAGTGGTCACTGTATTTTTTCATCTTAGGCAAATTAATGTTTACAAAATAATTATTCAAATGAATTAAAATCCACAATAAAGAAGCATTTTCTTTAGCTAGAACAGATTGTTAATTTGAGAGGCCAATTTCATAGTAAAAGCCCTCTAACAAATTCATTTGAAGAAAAATCTTAATGACCTACCTCCATTTTCTATTCAGAACCTCAGCCTGGTTTTTCAAAAACTAACCACAACAAAGCATCACTGTCCACCCTTACAGTACCCCACTCATACTGATCCTGTCTTACTAAGGTCTACTGTCTCTGAGGTTTTCAGACCTTCATCTTCATGCATCAAAATTCAGTAATGTTTTCTATTTCCCTAATTACCAGTATCTAATTAAGCCAATCCTGTTAAGATACTAACAACTCAAAAACTAAAAGTGTTATCCTGTCTATATGTACTTTTATTTTAATGAGTAATTGCCAAAGGGGATATCTTTTACGACAAGTGTAGCATTTCAGGCATCCAAAGGGAAATATTCAAAGATATTTGACATCTTATTGTTTAATATCGCCATGAGTTTTATTTTCAAATAAGGTTAGTCTTGCTTATCCTAAGAAGCATTATCATTTCAAAGATTTTAGCAGTGTGGGTCAAAGAAATTGATTAACAACTTGCAAAATTTTATAGCCTTAATGTCTAAACATTTATAGATGTAATAGGAACATCAAATCTGTTAAAACTGCCTTGATCTAATTTGTAAAATGGTGATAGTTTTTAGTGTTGGGCCTCTGCTTGAACAACATCCAAAGTATATTTAGCATTTATCTTTCTCCAATTTTTAGACAGTCATCTGCATTTCCAGAGGGTTGATGACAGGGCAGCTTGAAGTTTAAAGACAGCACCTGCATTTGCATTTCAATAGTTCCATAATTCTATGAAACCACTGAAATCTCTTCAATGTCTCATTGTTTAAATAGTAAAGGTGGCCAGATTTTGTTCAAGATTCATAATCTTACAAAAATATGGAGCCGTTGTATTCAAAGCTTATTCTAAAGAGAATACCTTCTCTTTACACCTTATAATCCTGTTTGTTAAAACCCATAACAATTAGGTGGACATCTGAACATATTTAAAGTATTTTATCCATTGGATTTTTATGGTCCAAAATCAAGATTCTAGGACAAGATAAATGGGAAAGGAGGACATGTAGTTTGAAATGTGTTATATCAGCACCATCAATTTTTAATTCGGGGTTCCAAAATTATCTTTTTCTCCATTGGAAAGGAATACGTTTGTTTCCACGTAGGAAACTACTTCCACTTAACACACAGAAGGTAACTTCATTGGTAGGTATGCTGCCTGTATGCAAGGATCTGCAGTTACTCATAACTGGCTGTGTTTTTAAACAGAATAATTTTTGTCAAATATTTTGATACAAAACAATGAAGCCTGAAGTTAAAATAAGAAATTCTGGGCTCAAGTGCAGGGCAACTGGACACCCTTATGAGATGAGCCTTTGTGCCCTTCCTGTAAGTGTGGATTAGATTATCCACCACCTAGATTTAAGAAAGGATTAAATGAAAGAATATATGTGAAAGTACTGTGTTGACTGTATTAAAAAGAACTGGAAACCCATAAAGGACCGCTATAATTGTGTAATTGTTGCGCCAGGTTATTTTGTCAATACATTTTTAATCAGCACCTAAAATATTTCATGTCACTTCATCCAGCAGAGACATTGAGATGTGGCAAAATGTTTAAAAGGACAACACTATAGGTGAAAAAAAAACAGAGCACAACAGTAGTCAATTCAAAAAAAATTCTTTTAACAATTTTATTCCATTTCCTTGCCATTTTCAGAGCCCTTTCTTTTGGTGTTTTGTAACAATATAAAAAACGATCTGGCTTTTCAAAATATACTCCTTTTCCTTTCTATATGCAAATGATATGAAACACTGGCAAGTTGTCCTTAAAAGTCAGCCCACCTTCATGGCCCAGATAAAGTGGGCAATAATTCCTCTCTAGGTCCTCCGCACATTAGGTGCCAGTCTCTCAAGTCTCTTCCTAGACAATTTCTAGCAGCCAGGAAACATAATTTTTGACCTTGAAGACTTTAGCATTCCAAATCTAAGAATACAATCAGGTGTGTTTTCTTTTGGCAAACTGTGAGCTTACACACACCCCCAGAGTGGCATTTGAATGCTGTGCACAGTCTTGACTGTGTTCGAGGTTAGAGAACTAAAGACAAGATTCTTTCTCTCTTGTAATGAAGAAACAAAAACCACATAGCCTATATTCCACAAAAGAATACCAGCATAATATATCCTTTTTTAAAGATGTAATTCATTAGATGTGTGTAGAGAATAAAAGTGTAAATATAGGCTGGGAACGGTGGCTCACGTCTATAATCCCAGCATTTTGGGAGGCCGAGACAGGTGGATCACCTGAGGTCAGGAATTCGAGACCAGCCTGGGCAACATGGTGAAACCCCCGTCTCTACTAAAAATACAAAAAAAATCATCCGGGCGTGGTGGCACGCGCCTGTAATCCCAGCTACTCGGGAGGCTGAGGCAGGAAGATCGCTTGAACCGGGGAGGAAGAGGTTGCAGTGAGCCGAGATCGCGCCATTGTACTCCAGCCTGGTCAACAAGAGCGAAACTCCGTTTCAAAAAAAAAAAAAAAAAGTGTAAATATAGTACTAGCTTCATTGATATGTCTTGCTGCTTCTGGGACTTTAGAGAAGCGTATAAGAAGAAAGTGTGTGTGCCTTTACGTAAGGGAGCATATGAGAGAGAGAGAGAGAGTGTGTGTGTGTGTGTGTGTGTGTGTGTGTGTGTGTGTGTGTGTCAGAGAGAATGTTCATGGCAGGAGGAGGGGCGGTGAATATATGAAGGGAAGTTGGGAAAACCCTTCCCTTTTTGTGCACTCCCAGGGCAGCAGCCGCAACCCCAGAATGAGGAGAGGACTTAAGAGCAGGCACAAGGTTCGCTGCCATGACTGATGTGAAGCGACCTGACGCACAAGCGGAGACTTTTCTCCTTGGCAGCCAACAACCTGCAGCAGGCAAGGCGGGCGGGGGAGGAAACCCCGAGGAGGCGCTCCCGGCCGCCTCTTTGCTGAGATAGCAGGAGCAGCAGCCTGAGGAGCCACGAGCTCAGCGTCACTGAGCTAGTGCGGGTGCAGGGGCGCTCAGGCAGGCGCACAGGCCGGGAGCCGCTTCTGCCGCTCAGGCGGCCGCGCTGCAGAAAGCCGCGCCGCGCTGCCCGAGCGCCCGGGGCTGGCCCGCGAGCGGGAGGAGCCGGCAGCCGCGCTCCGCCCCGCGCTGAGATTCGTGCCACCTGCCTCGAACACCACGGAGGCGAGAGGAACCCAGAGAGCTCGGCCTCTCGTCCCGTTCTCGAAAAGCAGCCTATCGTGACGGAGCCGGGAGAAGGCTAGCGTTTCAATCCTGTGCAGGACTGGGATTTTTCTTCTCATAATTTGGGGGAGCCGGAGTAGAGGTCAGAGGGACAGGCGAGGATCTCAAAAAGAGACCGAGGGTTGTGAACATGGTTACCCCCTCCTATCATTGGAAAATCTCCTTGACATTTTTCACACTTTGAAGCAGCTGCAGCTGGTGTCGTCGGAAAAGGGGGTGGGAAAAAAGAGAGGGGGCGGGGAGAGCGGTGAGACACAGCCAAGAGCCATGAGCGGCGCCTCCTCGCCTGCCAATCCTGGCACCTGTGCGCCGAGCCACTGCACCGAGGAGGACCCTACTCCGGGTGAACACCGGGCTTGAAGCCACGGACACCCAGCCCCAGTGCAGCGGGTTCTCGCCGGCGGGACCTGCAGCCGCCCACTCGGGCCACCGCCACCGCCTCCTGCAGTTGCGGAGCGCTCAGCCCCTCCGAGACGCCCGCTGCGCCCTGGCCCCTGGGGATCCTCGCCCTGCACAGGCGCGGCAACGGGCAGGGGTTGTTACGGAGTTGGGTGCAGGATTCGCCTTTCCTGCTTGTCTCTTCTCCGCCCAGGATTTATTGTCTGTGGAGCCTTCTGGGGGCGGGGAGGGAGCTGCGCCTCCGCCACCGCCGCCGCCGCCGCCGCTGCTGCTGCGGTCGCTAGCGCGGCGCGCTGGGCAGGCTGAGGCTGGGGAGTGGACGCGCTCCTGCCTCCCCCGCCGGCGCTTCGGGCTTCCCCTCAGCCGCTTCCCGCGGGAACCTCTCCAGCCGTCCACCTGAAGGGCACTGGCATCATGGTCTAACGTGGCACCTTCCTGGATTCCCCTCTATCTCCTGTTCTTCCTACCTTCTACTCCTTCCCTCCTCTTCTCCTCCGAAGACCCTGGCGCCCACTCCACTGCGGACCCCTGAACACTTAAGGAATAACCCTTGGCAGCTGCACGACTACGCTCTCCGAAACCTCATGGGCAGTTTCTCCCGCCGGCGATGTGAGTAAGGCACGCTCGCTCCGTGGCGGAGGGTGCTGCGGGGGCCCGGCCGCGGCGACCGTAGGCGCGCGAGGTGTGGGACCCCAGAGGCCGGCCGGGGGCGGGGGTGGCAGGGCGGGAGGCTTCGGCGCTCGCGGGGAGCTGCTTGTGCGGTGGCCGAGGGAGGCGGCGAAGATGTGGTAGGTTGCAGAGCATTTGGAAATGGGGTGCTAACTGGGCGGGTGCATGGGAGCACCGAGTAGCTTGAGCTGGCAAGAGACCTTAAAGGGTTACATACTGCGAAAAGGAAAGGTAAATGTTGGGCGCTGGTGCTGGGACCATTGGTTCCGCTGAAATTAGGTTTAGCTCCTCGTTATTATCTTGGGTATCTCCAGTCAGCTTTTTTCCCAGAGGTGTCTGAGGGATGAAGCGCGTGTTTGATCGTGACACACACACACACACACTCACACACACTTGTGGCAGGACGCACTTGTCTCTTTATCTTGGAAGGTGTTGTATCAATGTCTCGATGTCTGTTTGAAAAAATACAATTAGAAGATTTTTATGTGATTGGGATTGAAGGGAAAGGGTGGGGTTTGGGGGGATGGAGGGGACGAAGGAACATGAAAGACTGGAGGACGGAAAGAAGTGGGGGAGCGTGTTCCCTGGGAGTCAGGGAGAACCTTGCCTCCCTCCCTGTCAGCTAGACAACTCCTGCCCACACATCTCCTTTGTGTGGCACGAGAAGCTGGTGAACCTGCCTATTCCCAATCCAGCGCTGGGTCCCCTTGAGGATCTTGCGTCCTCCTCTCCGAGTTATTAAGGATGCAGGACGTGTTTCGGATTCGACGTGGAAAGAGGGAGGGAAGCACATTAGCATTAAGGTAATCATGGCACCCTGGCTCGTGGACTATTAGATTGGCTACCAGTGGTCTCTAATCTTACTGTTTGCAGAGTCAAGAATGGGGGCGGGGGTTGGGGGACTGTATAGATTGCCTTTTAAAATAGTGTGACTTCATAATAACGGAGATGGCTGAAAGATTGCTTCCTTACACTACTTCTCGGCCATCAGGGCTGAATAAAGGACCCGCCTCCGCCCTCTACTCCGGCTCTTCTCTGGCTGTCTCTTCCCCATCAAGTCATAAAGCGAGCGGGTTGGGCGAGAGGGCACAGCTCGAGGCAGAGAAGAGACGGGGTCACTTTCACAACTCCCAGGAATCGGCTTCAGAAAGGAACCATCTGCGACTCCCACGTTCCTTTCGAAGTTCTCCTTCAAAAGGAATTACAAAAAAAAAAAAAAAAAAAAAAGCGATGGGGGTGGGGATCGGTAAGACACAGGGGTCCTCCCCCTGCTCTTTTCAATTACTTTCCCAATACTCTTTCAACACATCGAATTTACCTGCAGTGGTAACTGGGTCAGCAGGTAAATAGATTTGTATCTGTATATGTCGAAATGTGGCTCTCCTGGTGGATGAAAAGCAATTTTTTGTGAGCATATTCTAACCTAGGCGAAATTTCTAAGCACAATAGAGATTTTTATAGCGTGGGCGAGAAGAGTGCATTCCAGCGAAAGCAGGACACGTGATCCCTCCAACGGGTGAGATACAGTATTAGGAACTCGATTTTCTTTGTTCCAGCCTGAGCCTATGAGATGTTCAGCATCCTGGTTGCTTAAGTCCTCCTATAGAAGGAAAATAATAATAATAATAATAATAAAGTTGATCGGAGGCGAAATAGAGGGAAAATAAGCACAGGTAGACATGCGTGAACGGTTTGAAAGCTTCGCCTCTGCCTTTTTTTACCGCCCACCCTTCACCCCCACCCCTTGCTCCAGCCAGCCCCCTATTTTAAAATGAGGCATTTCCTCTGGGAGACGGTGGAAAAGTTCTCCAGCCCCTGCACACGTGGGTTCTCCAGCACTTCAGAACCTGCTGTGATTCGCAACAGATTACACCACCTTCCCAGTCCAAGTGTCACGCCTCCGTCCAGGCTTCCTTGAATTGGCTTCCAGGAAGGACTCTAAGGGAACTACCACGAGGTGTTTTTTGTTTGTTTGTTGTTTTTTGTTTGTTTGTTTTTACAAAAGACAGTAAAGCAATGAAGTCTTTACTTTTTAGAAATCATTGATTGCACAGGGGGAAAAATGAGCAAATAGGGATGTAGGAATGATTTTATGTTTCCTTAAGAGTCATATGGCTAAAGTATATTGGGGGTGTGTTTAGTGATTGAGTTTGGACTTCTGAGGTGTCTCAGGCCTGTGGAAAATGTCCTGAGGTCAGAATATTTATTAATTTAGTGGAGATATAACTTGTTTATGACCCAACATTTAGAGTTACCTGACTTGGAGATTTCTTATTTCATTTTCACTTAATGTTTTATAATCCATCTTAGTAGGCTAAAGTTTTTAAAAGGTGGTTTATTTATGTGTTATGCTGCATTGCATCATACTAATATGTAATGATAAGAAAAACAGTCAATTTTCATGACTTATTATGAGGTGAGAGTTCTTTATACATTTTTAAGAAAAAACTGACTATCCAAGAAAAAATGTGTACTTACCATGGCCAACACATAAATTCTACATCACTTGTGTCTGCACATATGCAGCTTAGAATTAGAAACAACTTCATAAAGAAACCTGGTCCAGTTGCAGTAGCCATGTTTTATTCAGAATTTTAGTGCAGCTTTAGGCTGTCATTAACATTTTCCCAATTAAATTCTTATTCCACTTTCTTTTTTAAGCTTTTAATTTTTCTAATTCCCTTATAAAATACAGAACATAAGCTTAAAGTGTTTTTGTGCATCTGCATTTTTGTTTTCTTTGGATTTCAAAAAATCACGAAGATATAAATTAATATGAATGTTATTGCTTATGAAAGTAATAAACTATATTATCTATATGATGTTCATTCCAGTGGTACTTGTAGATCTCTCTTATTTCAGCATATAGTACATGATTAAATATTTGATACAAAAACTTGGTCTTGTTAATCACAACTTTAAAACATTCACTTTTTAGAACAGATAAAATATTGATGTTAGGTTTTAATTGATGTATCAAAATTACACTTAGAGATACTAAAATTTTATTTGCTGAATGACTGTGGCCCCAATATAAGAAGGAATCACACATTCCACGAGATTATAACTTCATTGCTTACTCAGATTAACCGACTACACGAAGAGTAACCAATTATTGATGAATTATCATCTGAATTATTTATGGATTCTTATTACATTTTCTTTCTTCACACAAATTATTTCATAGTTTTTTGAAAAAATTATTTCAAACATATATGCTGTTGAACACAGTAGTTATAATAGCCACACTACCACTGAAAGACATTATTTGGTGTATTTTGTTGTCTCTAATAACAGTGACTACTTTGCAGAGTATCATCCACATTCTTTTTTGGAGCCATGTAAATTTGCAAGATGACTTTAGGGGAATGTTAATTCAAATCTGTGACATATAACAGACTTTTAGTTTATGACAAGCCGAGTTACCATTAACTAATTTTTATTGCCACGGAAAGATATCATTGGAGATGACTCTAGGCTCTTTGGAGAATGTTGAAGTTTTCACTCTGAATTTCTTTAATTTAGCAGTCAACATCAGTCTTCAATAGAGAGTTTTCAATGTTTCAATATTAAGAAATAAAATTTTAATATAAAGATAGCAATTTAAACCTATAATGAAGCAAATTATATTATATTCTGATGGAACAAAAAAGCAAATTATATAAGCTATTGTAATTAAATCAAATACCTAAATCAAAAGAAGGAGATTCATAGACAGGCTTCACATATGTTTTAAAAAACTTATTTGTGAATTGTCAATAAAAACTCAGAATGAAAAGTGGCACTATAAATCAACAATGTTTGAATGATGGTTGCCACAAATCAATAGTATTTTTTCTTTATGTGGCTTTTAACCATGTTATTTATGTGACTCAGGTTTGAATCATTAGAAATAATTACATTTTTATAGAAACAACTGTAGAGTATTACCCTGAGATAGTGAAAGAGGAGTAAGAAAAACTTAGGTATGTCTAGAAGTAATATGCAATCTTAGGTAATACATCTCTTTTAACAAGATAAAATAGAGGTGGCAATAATTACTATTTTATAACTGCAGGACATACCAAAGAAGACAAAGGGGTACATGAAATGTGGTTTGGAAATTTTAGAAGAGTGAAGTATAAACTTTTTTGTATAGATTAGTTTTTCTGTAGTAATGTGTGTGTGGGGTATGTGTGTGTGTGGTTCTGTTTAGTGATAGCATAGTATAATTATGTATATTATATAATGGTGTAATTAAAAGCATGCCATTTAAATAATCAAATATGTCTATTTCCTATCTCAAAAAAAGTGAATATGCTCAGAAATCCATGAACATCACTTGTCATACTGCCTCCCCTACCATAGTACCTGAACTGTAATCATAATTATAATAAGTTACTGCTTGCTAAACTCCTACCATGAGTCATGTGCTTTACTTCAAAATAATCCTACAGGAAGCATGATTCTCACTGTTTTGAAGATTAGAAAACTGAAACTCAGAGACAGCAAGTGGCAAATCCATGCCACGTGGAAAGTGATGGGCCAAGATTTAAGCCCAGATTTGGCCCCTGTTCATTTTTCCCCATTCTGTGCTCTCTTCTTCATGGCATAAATTGAAGTTCGGTAAATAACTTAAATCTGTAGATTATGGAAGTTTTTCCTGGTGTACAAAGAAAGATTAAGATTTTGAACCAGCTTTTGAAAGCTGTATATTTGGTGATAATACACCCTATTATTTTTGGACTATTATTTAATGTAGGTATAGAAAATACTGTTGCTTATTATCTTGGAATAATTCATTCACGACAGAAATTTAATAATCTAGTAGAATCTGTCATATAAAAGTACATTATGGAAGTTTTCAATAAAGCAAATTTTGAGTCAATAGCTGTCATGTCTATTTTGAAACTATGATGATGCACTTGATAATTAAGCCCCTGGGGAGGCATCATATATGCTAATTAAATTATTATTCATAATAGAAACATTATCATTTGTCATTCAAAGACATGGGAAAAATATTAAATACATTAATAACCCAAAGGATTTCCTGTGTACACTCATTCTCATTTTATTGTTCATTGCTTAATAAACTACTTAAAATCTCTATACAAAATATTATTTTACTTCAATACACGTGAAAGAAATAGTAGTTGTCAGGGATGAAGCATTGAAATGTCTATTAACATTGACATGATGTGTTTAAATATTTTAACAATGGAGCAGTTGTTTACATTGTTTAAATAATTCATTTATAGGCTTCTTAAAGATGCAGTTTCTTCAGTTGTGCCAGGATATTTTTGCTGTACACGAAGTTCAGTAAGGTTGAAAGCATACTTAACACAAGGGGATAGGTATGCCCAAGGTAGTATCATAACAAATGGCTTAAGTTAAAAACAGTGGAACTCTAGGATACTTGTGTGTGTGGCGGGGTGGGTCAGATGAGGGAGATATTTAAATGTTGTAGTACTCAAGAGGTAAAGTAGTATGAGAACAAGTGAGAAGCTATTGATTTCAATTATAGAAAAGAGGTAGCTGACCTTAAAACAAAACAATAGCATAAATACTATCATTATCATCATGAAATTTTCATAGGTAAAAAGAAATGGTATTGTGAAAAGCAGAAAAACAGAGCTAACAGAGGAAAATATGGGACAAACAATTGGAAAAGAGCTGCTAGACAAGTCACTGAGAAACTACAGGATTTTATGTTATTATATTGAAAAAGATAAGAATACTCTGGTGTAGTGGCAAAATACTTTATAGATGCTTGGCTGTATTGTCAATTTATTCAATACTGGAAGGAAAGGTAAGAAATGAACTTTATTAAGATAGTGCCTAAGTATTATGAAGACATTTGTTGCACTAAAAAGGTAGGTAATGGACACAAAGCTAAAATATGCCAGCTGAACTTAAAGAATTAATATGTCACAGATGGCGTAACTAAAACAATTAAAAATTGCAAATAATAGACTTATAAATACTAACTACTTAAGTGTTCTGCATCAAAAGTATTCATCATTGCAGTTCTTACCACCAGTAGGCACCTTACAGAATCATGTTGGATGGAAATATACCTTGGACCACATATTTTGAGCACTCATAAAATTAAATAGTTACTATCCGGTGTTCTTCTGATCAGTGTAATTCAAGACATGAAAAAAATTTCTTCCCTATATCAAGTGTGATTAATTTATTAAGACAATTATAAAAGCTATTGTAATTAAATCAAATACCTAGTTAAACTTAGAGTGAGTGTTAAATATTAGCGAAGTCCTTAGGCTAATATCGTATTGTTGAACACTGGGCACACCACACACATACACATACAGCTGTAATTGTTCTATTTCACAACACATATGCACACACAAACATAGCTGTAATCTTACTATTTCAGGAGTTTATAACACTTCAGAGCTGGAAAGGAATTTAGAGGGTCTCATTTTATAAAAAGAAGAAACTGAGGCCCCACTAAGTATACTTTCTTGCTGAGGGTCATCCAACTGTTAATGGGAGAAATAGCAATAAAATCAGGTCTTGTAGCTCCCACTGTCTGCCAGTAAAACCACACCCTTGGAACTACTGGGGTCTCTTACACCCGAGCAAAGTAGAAGAGAGAAAGGAATCTTAATTCAATAGATCCAATTAATATAGCTAGCCAATTTGATGACACTATCCAAAAAGCATTTCTTTTTCATTGAATTTTTGGCCTGAATTTCAATCTGAGTTTAATTTTTGGTCTTAATTATGCCCTGAGTTTTTATTTGGCTTAAGCATTTTGGACAATTGCCTTATCCTCCACTTTGACTTGACTGTCTAGGCAGACTCCTATGCTATAAATTTAACATCTGTTAAGTATTCTATTTTTAAAATATCTTTATTTAAGAAATGTGGAATTAATTTTCACTAATATTGAAGCACTCTAAATTTGGATACTATATCCTTTCTTAAAACATTAAAATTAAAATGTTCTTTTTAAATCATTGATCTTTTTAGGATAATGCCAGCTAAATGAATGTTGGATGATGAAGAAATGTTCAATTCATTTTAAATAAATAAATTATCTTCTAAATTTGCTAATTTTATTAGGGGTCAACCAATAAGTTTTCTCACCAAAAAACAAGGAGGACTTTAAGTGCTGTTAGGGCTTTCTATAAACTATTACTTCAAATATGAATTAGGAAACCATTCTAATCAGGAAAATAAAATACAATACAGTTGGAATTTGTAAAACAGACTCATTTCTGAGAAGTTTTTTGCATTATTAAGTTACATTTTGGGCTGGGTGACTGTAATCCAGCACTTTGGGAGGTTGAGGTGGGGTGATTGTTTGAGTTCAGGAGTGTGAGACCAACTTGGGCAATATAGTGAGATGTTGTATCTACTTTTTTTTTTTTAAGTAGCCAAGAGTGGTGGTGCTCACCTGTAGTCCCACCTACTCAGGAGGCTGAGGTGGGAAGATTGCTTTAGCTTAGGAGGCAGAGGTTGCAGTGAGTTGAGATCACACTACTGTACTCCAGGCTGGGTGACAGAGTGACACTCTGAAAAAAAAAAAAGTTACTTTGGAAGGTCCTTTAAATAGTAAGATCCTTCCTTCTTCTAAATATCTGGTTAAACATCTGTTATGACTTAGTTCTTCTGTTACAAGACAAATTTGAAATAAACGTTTCATTTATATTTTTTCTAATGCTAAAATTCTTAGTCCACCATATCTAGAAGCTTTGATTGCAGGTAAATTTAAGGCAAGATGTTTTATAACCCACCAGCAAACCATATTAGCAATGATTATAAAGCATTTTTGAAATTATGAGATTAAAGCTCTTAAAATATGTATTTGGGTTGTAAACAATGAAATGTAGAAATATTTACAAAGAATATCTGATTAAACAAGATATCTACATACATACACAGTCCCATCTAATAACCCTTTTTAAAAGACATAACTCCTTATTAAGGAAATAATGTTTTAAATTGAAGAAACACCATGATGACTAAATTAATGCATCACATATCAGCACATTAGCTATGCTTTTCATTTGTAAAATGGTTCTTATTCATGCCAGCTTTCAGTGTACTGTTCAGAGGCTCGTGGGTGTGATGGAACAGAACATATTTCTGCATCTGTGAATGTAATCCCACACACCATTTTACATGACAAAATCTGAATGTCCTAAGTCTAGGTGTTAACAGTAATACGAGATGTCAACCTCTCCCAGTCCAGGGTTTGAATTATTCCAAAATAATACCTGTTTTATCTTTTGCACTATCTAATTTTATTTAATGAGCGGTTATTTACACACGTAATATAAGGAGGATGGACGTTTTTTGTTTGTTTACTCGCTTTTTCTGCCTCGTCTCGTCATATCTAAGATTTGCTTCCTGCAGACAAAAAGCAAGCCACTGAAACTCAAACACAGTAGACATCAATGTGGGACGTGAACACAGGGGACTGGATACAAAGATGATGTGCTTTTGTACTTTGGTACAAGAAGAAACTACTAGAACTGTTATGCATGTTTAAGTTCCATATAAAAATCATAGGTAAACTTACCCATAATTTATATAAAGGAATATGTTGTTAATCTCCTTCCCCCTCTTCCCTAGTAGAATTTCTTTGTATAATCATGTGTGAAAAATAGATAGAAATGCATGAAAATCTGATGGTAGTTTCTTTTGCTGTGCAGAAGCTCTTTAGTTTAATTAGATCCCATTTGTCAATTTTGGCTTTTGTTGCCATTGCTTTTGGTGTTTTAGACAGCAAGTCCTTGCCCATGCCTATGTCCTGAATGGTATTGCCTAGGTTTTCTTCTAGGGTTTTTATGGTTGTAGGTCTAACGTTTAAGTCTTTAATCCATCTGGAATTAATTTTTGTATAAGGTGTAAGGAAGGGATCCAGTTTCAGC
Organism: Homo sapiens; assembly: GCF_000001405.40. NCBI lineage: Eukaryota > Metazoa > Chordata > Mammalia > Primates > Hominidae > Homo > Homo sapiens. The sequence goes on from NC_000001.11 coordinate 69,577,587, forward strand.
TTTCTACATATGGCTAGCCAGTTTTCCCAGCACCATTTATTAAATAGGGAATCCTTTCCCCATTGCTTGTTTTTCTCAGGTTTGTCAAAGATCAGATAGTTGTAGATATGCAGTGTTATTTCTGAGGGCTCTGTTCTGTTCCATTGATCTATATCTCTGTTTTGGTACCAATGCCATGCTGTTTTGGTTACTGTAGCCTTGTAGTATAGTTTGAAGTCAGGTAGCGTGATGCCTCCAGCTTTCTTCTTTTGGCTTAGGATTGCCTTGGCGATGCGGGCTCTTTTTTGGTTCCATATGAACTTTAAAGTAGTTTTTTCCAATTCTTTGAAGAAAGTCATTGGTAGCTTGATGGGGATAGCATTGAATCTATAAATTACCTTGGGCATTATGGCCATTTTCATGATATTGATTCTTCCTACCCTACAAAATGGGAGAAAATTTTCACAACCTACTCATCTGACAAAGGGCTAATATCCAGAATCTACAATGAACTCAAACAAATTCACAAGAAAAAAGCAAACAACCCCATCAAAAAGGGGGCGAAGGACATGAACAGACACTTCTCAAAAGAAGACCTTTATGCAGCCAAAAAACACGTGAAAAAATGCTCACCATCACTGGCCATCAGAGAAATGCAAATCAAAACCACAATGAGATACCATCTCACACCAGTTAGAATGGCAATCATTAAAAAGTCAGGAATCAACAGGTGCTGGAGAGGATGTGGAGAAATAGGAACACTTTTACACTGTTGGTGGGACTGTAAACTAGTTCAACCCTTGTGGAAGTCAGTGTGGCGATTCCTCAGGGATCTAGAACTAGAAATACCATTTGACCCAGCCATCCCATTACTGGGTATATACCCAAAGGACTATAAATCATGCTGCTATAAAGACACATGCACACGTATGTTTATTGCGGCACTATTCACAATAGCAAAGACTTGGAACCAACCCAAATGTCCAACAATGATAGACTGGATTAAGAAAATGTGGCACATATACACCATGGAATACTATGCGGCCATAAAAAATAATGAGTTCATGTCCTTTGTAGGGACATGGATGAAATTGGAAATCATCATTCTCAGTAAACTATCACAAGAACAAAAAACCAAACACCACATATTCTCAGTCATAGGTGTGAATTGAACAATGAGAACACATGGACACAGGAAGGGGAACATCACACTCTGGGGACTGTTGTGGGGTGGGGGGAGGGGGGAGGGATAGCATTAGGAGATATACCTAATGCTAAATGACGAGTTAATGGGTGCAGCACACCAGCATGGCACATGTATACATATGTAACCTGCACATTGTGCACATGTACCCTAAAACTTAAAGTATAATAATAATAAAATAAAATAAAATAAAAAGAAATGCATGGAAAAAAAAGTTGTATTTTAGTCCTGGTAATATGGATGAATACTTCCTTGTTTTAAATGCCACTTAATGGTTTTAATATTATTGCTTAACAATGGAAACAATAGCATATTTTAGTTCAGAAGATAGAAACTTTATTGGGTGTCAAGAGTTGTAATTTAATGAATCAACATAATAAAATGTAATGTGATAGCTTCTAGTATTTATATTAAAAAGGGAGGTAACAAAAAAACCCTAAAATGTTTACTTGGGTTTTGTATTCTCTTTTTCTGGATGTGAGTCAAGTTAGAAATTTACCCTCACACTGAGTAAAGATCACCGTTAATTTGAATATGAATATAGTTTAATGAAACTTCAGAATCCCTTGGTTACATTCTCCACATATCTTTTTTTAAAAAATAAAAAAGGTTAAACCTTTAAACTGTGTGATTTGTGTGATCACACAAAGGTCACTTTATATTGGTATTTTTAGGATACTTCAATATATGGACCATTCATTCATTCCCAGCATCATTGTTTAAATAATTATTTAAATGACTGTTTCCCAAACCAGTACATATGTGGAGACTCACTGGATATTTTATCCCAAGCAGACTAGCTCACAGCCTGGTGCAGAAAAAGATGCATGTTGTGTGAATGACTGTTTCAATGAATGAATCGTTCCACTTATTCTTCTGAATGCCTCTAAATGACTCTTGTAGCCATTAGCACAGTTTCCCTCAATTCCTTCTTCTCCTCCTTTCTGAGAACATCATAGGATTGTGCTTCCCAGCCATAGCCATATGACTTGCTAAGGTAAGGAGTGTCTCTTTTGAATAGAAGCTTTTTTTTTTTTTTTTTTTGGTAGAGCCAGCATCTTCCCATGTTGCCCATGCTGGTCTCAAACTCCTGGGCTGAAGCAGTCCTCCTGCCTTCGCCTCCCAAAGTGTTGGGCTTACAGGTGTGAGCCACTGCACCTGGCCTGAATAGAAGTGTTTATGACCCAGTGCACTGCTTGCTCTTTCCCTAATATAGTAATTGTGGAAGCACATGTCATGATAGAGCCTCCATCGTCCTGGTCCATGAACAATCACTCTAAATGCAGTCCTCCTGGCACATAGGTATTTGACATGTGGTGTGAGAAAGAAATAAAGGCATTGATATGTTGGGATTTGGGGAGTTGTTTGTTAATAGAGAATAACCTACTCTTCCCTCCTTCTCAAATTTATTGAGTTTCAAAGACAAAGGGTAAGTGAAATCCTATTCTATTAAAAGTAGAATCCTAATTTCCAGTTTATAGTGTCACAACTACAGAAATAAGTATGCTACTAATTTGGATCGTAATATTAAAATATATTACATTTTATGACTGGTTAAAAATATAATTTTTAACAAAACTATTATTTAATACATAAAGATATTATTTAAAAGATAAAAACATCAACCTATTTGAGAAAATTTTATAAGTCTTAAGCACTTTGACTTTCTCAGTTGGTAATTTTGTGCACAAGTATATTTTAATACACCAGAAGTCTAAGAACTAAGCTACTGTTCTTGCACAACTCAGGAATAGCTCCTCCGATTTGTAAACAAATCAAAGACACTAGGGTGCAATATATTTTTTCATTCTGTATATTGTTAGGAGAACTTTTATAATAAAAATCTACCATATCTACTGGAATCTGCAACTTTTTCAGTTTAATAAATTTTACTAAGTTCTTGCCTGCCTGCATTCATTCATTCTAAATATTTACTGTGTGCCAGGCCTTGTGCTAGACACGGTTGAGTACAAACCTGGTCTCTGGGAGTTTACAGTCTAATGGTATAGACAGACCTTAAATAAATAATAATTCTAGGGATATACAATTACAAATTATGATAAAAGCTAAGAAGAAAAAGACCAAGGTACTTAGAGTGAATATTTTGAAGTTCTGAGAAGAAGTAGCATCTTTGATGAACTGCTATTTAAATAAAACCTCTAAGATGATAGAAGTTAGCCAGACAAAGAAAGAAGATAGGAGTAATGGCAAATGCAAAAACTTTAAATCAGAAGAGGATGGTACACTGGAGGGCAATGTGATTGGCAGGAGGTCAATGTGACTGGATATGGGGAGCACAGGGAGACTGGCACGTTATGAGGCAGACATGAGCCAGACATCCAAGGACTTACTGACCAGGTTAAGAATTTAAGTTGTTTATCCTACATTCTGTGCAAAGTCATTAAGCATTTATGAACACAAAAGTGGTGTGAATTGATTGACATTTTTAAATGATTACTTGGGCTGCTATGTTTACATAGCTTCTACTTAGATGAAGGTGAGAGTGGAAATAGGGATTCATGAATTAGGAGATGTTTACAGTGAGCTGGACAATAAATTATCTTGGGCTAGAATTTTGGTAGTGGAAATGGAAAGAGATAGATGAAAGTGAAATAAGCTTTGTAGAAGGTATTGGATTCACTGCTGAATTGATAGTAGTGAGGGCTAACAAAAGAAAGTGTGGTATCAAAGATTATTCCAAGATTTCTGGCATGAGAAACTGGATACATATAGGTACAATTTGTTGACTGGAGAATCTGGAGAGGGAACTAATTTATCCGTGTATAACTAGAACATTGACAGAATGAAGGAAACTGAATAACGCTGACATATTGAAGAAGCATCAACTTGTAAACACTTATTCCTATATAAAATTACTGGAAATGAATTGAATACTTCTATAGGGAAAAGTAATTAAAGCCTCTTTTTAAGAAAAAAGTTTTTAAATATATGAAAATTGGGTATGCATTAGAGTGACTCACCTTATATTGCTATCTTGGCTTTGTTTTAATTTTTTTTTGGCATGAAAAGAAAATACTAATTTCTTCCATCTTTACTCACTATGCTTTACAGTTTGGAAGGGCAATTTACTCCTGGTCCTTTTATACTTGGATTCCTAAGATGAGTAGAAGAGTGTAAACCATTGATAGTGTTTGTTTTAAGCCACCCATCTCAAGCACTTCCTTAGCCTCTTGCAGCACTGTTGCTACCAAGGGATCCATGCTGTGGGATTCTCTGGGCAAGGTTACACCCATTTGCAATTTGTCCCATACGTGGTATCTTTTCCTGGAGCTCTTCATCTTCACATTTTTTTTCACTGCTGAGTTCTGTCATTTAAGACATGCTGTAAATTGTTGCCCAGAGGGTGTACAAATAAGTAGAATGAGAATCCTTTGCTCATGGATACATAATCTAGGAATGTATTTAGCTGAAAATAAAAGAAGTATTAATGATTAGTAGCTTAACTAAGATACTTATTTTACCCTTTCTTCCAGTTAGCTTTTGCAGTGGTAAATATAATCTCAAAATATCTCAGTGGCTTACACCACAAACATTCATTTCTCCCCTACAGACCTGTGGAACAGCAGCAGCTCCACTCAGCTCTCTTTACCCAATCTTCTCACTCCAGGATCCAAGCTGAGGGAGCAGCCTTCATCTCAGATGTGCTGTTTTCCTGGTAGAGGACAGGAGCAAGAGGCCAAACTGGCCAGCTGAAGTTCAATGAAAGCTTCTGCTCACACATAGCATATTTTAGGTCCATTTGCAGTCCTTTGGCCAAAACAAGTCACATAACCAAGCCTGGCATGGCAAGGGAACAAATGGTTAAGCATCCATCTGGTATAAGTGGCTCAGTGATGCCATCAGGAACTCCAAGTCATTCCAAATCTTTATCTATTTCTTTGGTAGTAGTTTAGCATTTATACTTTGAAAGACAGTTTTTTCCTTCCTAACATAACTGCCTCTGAGTGGACTGGCACCAAAGGAATGGCAGTAATGGATATCCACCAACTGTTGAGTTCCCTGGGTCTCTTCCTTGGCTCTTGTATCCTGGCCAGCATGCAAGTCTGTTTAATGCAGTTGTACTTATGAATATGTTTTGATTTTTTTCTGCTTTGATTAGCTTGAAATGTATTTTACAAATTTCTCAAGTAAATTACTTTTGCCCTATTTTCCTAAGTTATAAGACATTTGGGGAAAAATAACATTCATATTAAAATTTAGATATTAATCTAAATATCTAATATCTAAACAAATCAGTTTTAGTTTGGTTAAACAGTTTCTTTCAAGCACTGAAGTTTAGTTATAAAATAAAATTTTATTTTTTTATAATATCTGGAGGATTTATGGAGCATTTTATATTTTAGGAATGGACATACTTAAGAATTTTTGAGATAACTATCAATTCATAAAGCCTTAAATTCCCTTTCACATTCAAAACCTTATATATTTTAATTTTGCTCAGATCTACTGTATCTAAAACTTTGGATTATAACTATTATTTATTAAATTAACTATACTTTTACAAATAAATTTTTTGTTTTGTTAATAAATGGAGTCACTAAAATATGAAATATAATCTAATTAATTAAATTCTTCAGAAGTAAATAGATTAGATTATTTATGTTGCTACTTCCTTAGGTGTTCTTGGGAAACTAGTTGGACTCCTACTTTCAAGGGTAACACAGTCACCACTAGGTCAGTGGTTTTCAAACATTTTTATAATTGGGGACTGCTTTTATCCAGTAAAATATTACAAAGAACTCCAGTACATAAAACAGAGACAAGTAAGACTGCTGTGTTTAAAATGACTGTGTTTTATGTTCAAGAATTATTATGCCAATGTATAATTATTTTATAATTTCTCACTTCCTCTTTTAACAGAAAAACAACTTACCCCCAATTGGGGAAATGATATAAAAATATAGGCATTATTCGTTATTTTCAGCTACAGATTTGTCAACAAACTTGGGGTTGAGCAAAGTCATTTGAATTGTTTTATGGGTACAAATAGGGCTGCATTGCACTGTCTCTCAATTTTTTTCTTTGATTGACAAAGGGTGATATTATCCACACAAAGACTTTCTGAGGGGTTCATTTCATCACACCAATTATCAGTATGTATGCAAGGCCTCTCCAAGACAGAAAGGTATTTGGGACTGCCAGTTCTGCCTCTTAATGAATATCTTCTGTGCCCAGCTAAATAAGCAAAACGGCAGAGAAAAACACAACTCTAGGGTAATCTGCAGCAGATGAAAAGACTTACTCATTTTGATGAATATGGCTCATTAGGATGGCTGGTTTTGTACTTGTCAATGCTTGGAATCGCTTACTTCTCTCATCCTAAATATCCAGTTGACATCGGCTATAGTTTTGTGAAAGTGAACTCCAGGCTGATCAGCAAAAAATAGTTTCGGAGGCAAAGGTGGAAAGAATTATTATTTCCTTAAAATTTATTTCTCTGTTATCCCATTAGACAAAAATATTTGAGGTTATTTTGGGGGTCTTCTATTCTAGAAGACTTGGAAGTTTTACTACTCTTTGTTGCCTAACCTCCGTTACTCCCTTGCCATCTGCTGCCCTGGCCTTCAAAATTTTATTTTATCAAATGTCTCTCAAAATTGTGTTTTGCCAACAGCTGTGGTTTAGTAGCATGCATAGTTGAATTTCAGTAATACCAAAGATATGGATTTAAATTTGTTTTCTGTTACTTTTTAGCTAGGTGACCTCAGAAAAGTTATTTTAACTCTCTACATCATAACTTATCCTAAAAGTGAACATAATACCCATCTCACATAAATATTGTGAAGATTTAAGTAATTTTAATTAGGAAAAGCAATCTAACACACTATTACCGTAATAATTCTTTAGAAATAATACTTTAGATATACAAATTGAATCATCTTACCCCTTCCCCAGTTAAAACAATTTATTGCTTTGCAATTTCTTTTGAGATAAAGACAAAAATTAATATGTTTTCTTATGAGGCATAGGAAAACATATGGATTCCTGTAAGTCTAGCTATTATCTACACTCCAGCTTCACTTCCTCAGTGTCCACAAATGTGAGTGTTCTTTCAGACTAGAAAAGGCCTTGTTTCCTACCACCTCAGGCCCTTTGCCTGTGTTGTTCTCATTAACTTCTCTTTTTACCTGGTTAACTCCTATTTTATCTTCCAATTTCAACTCAGTGATCACTTCCTAGAGGAAGCCTCTACTATCATCTTCTCTTTTGGCACTGTACATATAGCAAAATGTTATACAAAATGTTCCATCCATGTTCATTGATTGTAAACTGCTAGACTGATACACAGTTATATCTTCCTGATATTTTGAAATGCTTTATCTCAAACATTTACAAAACTACTTCAAAATGAATTTGTATTCAAATGGAATAAAAGGAGAAGAAATGAGTTAATATTTATTGGGGGTCTACTATTATTTGAGGAACTCATCTAGGCATAATATATATACTTTTCTTTATGTAATCCTCACCATATTTACTCTGTGAGCAAATATGATTTTTTAACAAAAGAATGAAAATATGTAATCATTAAAGATCTTTGTGCCAATTCAAAGAGCAAAAGGGAAGCATATACAATTTATAGACTAAAAAAGTACCTTTCTCTTTTGTTGAAGAGATAGAGGAATCCAGGAAAGTTTTATTACATCAGAAAAATTCTGTGTTGTAGAATGTTCTAATCTTTCCAAAGATGCCTTTACCATTTGCATAGATCAGGCTAGATGAAATGCAAAGCTTCTAAAAAGTTGATAAATAGTATATAACTTGCACATAGTGTAATATATTTACAAATTGTGTCATTATGAAAATAATTCCCATCATATGTATAAGTATCTATGATACCAATACTAATTTGCAACATAAACACAAAAAGAGATACTTTGAAAGAGTCTGCAGATGTCAAGAATAAGTTGTGAGCTATCACAGTAAACATTTCTTGGAAGTACAACATGTGATAAAACACTTGCATCCTTTTAAATGAAGGCCACGGACCCTGTCAGAATGACACAGCCAGCCACCAGTGAGTTCAGAAAGAACTACATAAACTATTACCAAGAAATATATCCTTGTAAGACTTTTAATTAGCAAACTGTTCCATTGTTTATCTTAAACATTGCACAAGAGACTGCTTTTGCTTCTTTTATGTCATAGACGAAATCAGCTACTAAAAATCTGGCTTACAAAAATGATTCTTAAAATGAAGAGACTATAAATTTCTGTAAATCTGTAAAGAATTGAGATTTACTGTAGAATTAAATCTACTGTTGTTAAATAGTGAAAGTACCAAGAGCTAGTCTGATACTCAGCCAGCTTTACTACCTCCAGATGTTAGAGGATAAGTCAAAATACTGAAATAAAATTAATTTAAATTTTTGTCAATTTAAAATACTGACCTACTTAAAAGACTTCTTTCCTTGTCCTTCCTCCCTATGTGTAAGAACTTAAATATTATTGTAATTGGTCTCTCTGACTTTAGTTTCTGTCACCATCTGTCAGACTAATCTTTGTAAATGCCTTCTTTGTAGAATTAATTTTCCTTTTAGAAGATCCCCAATAGTTTCCCCTCGACTTAAAAAAATTCTCATTTTGGCAGGGGGTGGGGCAGGGACAGATGACTTTATTGATGGTACATGGCAAAATGGGGCTCCCTAAGCCTCTTCCAGTCTTCAGGGTGTCTGGCATGAAAACTGTGAGTTGGGGAGATTTTCAATGTGGCGGGGGACAGGATGCAGCAGGGACTCGCCAGCAGCTGAGGGCCTCTCTGTTTTTCTGGGATCCTAGGGGGAGAATTCAGTGAGGTACTGCATACCATTTACTTAAAATTATTCCAATAACTCTTGATAACTGTTATTTATTATTATCATAATTGAAGAATGAAATAAATCTTTCAGCTAAGTAGACATCAGTGTCGATTTTGAAAACTGAACTGTTGATGTAAAAAAGGCATTTTACCAAAGTTTATTCTAGGCATTTTGAGTGTTATTTAAGGCTGTAATATTTGCGCCTTAATTCTTTAAAATACTACCCTTTGTTGATTATTTAGCATCAAAAGCTGAGATTCTAAGAAATTCCATTTATTGTTAAACTTTGGATTTTCTATTTTCCAAATTCTGAGGAACAATATAGAATTCAAGTGACTCTAGTAACTCCCAAAATGTTCTTGCTGTTTCACATTTATATCTAAATAATGACATTTGTAGAGGTTTTTTCTGGCATTCAGTATACTTACCTGAAGAAATATGTTGTACATGTTTGCATATCTAGATATCTGTTGTGCCCTTGGAATATTTGTAAGTATGCAAGTAGTAAAATGTGGTATAATATAACAGAGTGTTTTTCTGATTGATAGGAAATGGCTTCCTTCTTAAATCCCTTCTCTTTGTCTTCATATTACTTACTCGTCCAAACTTAAAATATTCTACTTCTTTCTTCCCTTATGAGCATATGCTTTTTCTTCTAATTTTATGATCTCCAATTTCTAAATAGTTTTCATTTTCCTCTTCTCTCATTGTACCCACAACAGTTCCCCAGTTCAGGACTCTTTAATGTCTCCTGTGCCTGATTCCAGTGGGCCCTGAGTGGACCTCACTGATCCCTCACTTCCTTTGGACTTTTCTTCCTTCAATCTCACCTCTGTGGGGTCCTCCCATCTTGAGATTTTGTGAAATACAGGCCTATATAGGACACTTCTCCTGATTAAACCATCACTGACTCCTTGTGCCCCAGCTCTTTGATGTGGCTAACATATTCACACAGTTGTTCTGCTCTCACCCTCTGATAAGGTTTGGCTCTGTGTCCCCGACCACATCTCGTCTCAAATTGTAATCTCCACGTGTTGAGGGAGGGATCTGATGGAAGGTAATTGGATCGTGGGGGTGGTTTCCCCCACGCTGTTCTTGTGATAGTGAGGGAGAGCCATGATAGTTCTTGTGATAGTTCTTGGAAAAGCTGATGGTTTTAAAAGTGTTTGGAAGTTTCCCTATTATTATCTCTCTCTCCTGCTGCCATGTAAGACGTGCCTTGCTTCCCCTTCACCTGTCTCCATGATTGTAAGTTTCCTGAGGCCTCCCAGCCATGTGGAACTGTGAGTCAATTAAACCCTTTTCTTTATAAATTACCCAGTCTCAGGTATCTTTATAGCAGTGTTAGAATGGACTAATACGCCTTCCTATGTGCATTTGATATTCTGGCCACACTGAGCTATCAGGAGCTCTAAAAATATACCCTGTCTTGCCCAAGCCTTATTATTTGCCAGAAATACTGAAAAATTCCTTCTATTCATTCCTTAGGTTGTAGTTCCAAATGTCATTTTCTCCATGAAGGCTTTCTATACCTTCTGCCTCCTTCCATCCCAGGGAAAGTTAGTGGTTTTTTTCCTCTGTGTTTTGAAAGTGATTTACATACATTTCTACTGTAAGACTGACCATGTTATATTTTAATTGTTGATGTGTCTCTTTTTCAGTAAGATGACCATTATTTTATCAGAAATGGCATCTTATTTTTTTTGCATACCTAGCTCTTAACATACATTATCTATTCAGTAAATATTTATTTGAAGAATAAATGAATAGCAAAAAAAGAATAAACCGGATGTGAAATTAATGACTAACCTATAGACACATCATACTTTATCAGGTATAATGTGAGCAGGCCTATATTCTAAATTATATGAAATAATATATTAAGCATGTAGTTTTGTAAATTGAATAGATAAATATAAAATAAAACAAATGCAATATAGTGGATAAAGTATGAGCTTTGACATTGTAAAACCTAAATATGGATTCTAACCATGCCAAGTAATAGTGAGGAAATTTGAAACAGGCTGTATAATTTTTGTAAGCCTTGTTTCTTTCATCTGTATGAAGAAAAATTATTAATATCTATCTCACCATTTGGTCATAAGAATCAAATGAGATAAATGAATGGAAATATTTTCTAAACTATTAAAGTCTAGAGGTTTTTAATTTATAGTTTAGTAGGTTTAAATTTATAGTCACTGTCACAAATTCTGATGTGACAAAATATAACTTTAAAAAATCTATAACTGATATCAAGGTATTTCACAAGGCCTAATTTCTGTACTTGTTAAATTTCTGTTTCCTTGACAAACTTATCAAGTTGCTTCATGTCTGAGACAGTATGTTCTTCTTTCCTTCTTCCCTATGCAGTTGGTGCTGCTGCTCCTGCTGGGGTCTGTGTGTGTGTGTGTGTGTGTGTGCGTGCATGTGATGTAATATACATGTAATATACATTTTTAGTTCAATTTGTTCATATCAATATCTAAGGTTTCTGAGAACTTTTTGTGTTACCACTTCATAAAAAGGGTGTGTGTGTGTGTGTGTGTGTGTGTGTGTGTGTGTGTATGTCTGTGTGTGTGTGAGAGAGAGAGACATGCTGTGGGAGGGGTACTTATTCCCTGTGCCATCCTCTTCCTCTGCTGTCTCTGACCTCTGCTGAGGTGTCCAACCACTGGATCAACTGACCTCACTGAAACTGTCCTTAAAATTTCCATACATCCGCCAGGACTACTAATCACTCAGGTATCTATATTTTATGTTCTTATCTGAACTCTCCATCCTTTCAAATCCTTCCACCCTTTCAGCACTTCATGCTCACATCAGAAACATTTAGCTCAGACGCGTTCATGTCTCACTAGGGTATGAAGAATCCAATCGGGAGTGAGTCCTCTGGCCCATGTCTGTAGAGATCTCCCTTAGTCTCTAAATGGACACTTTGTTGCTCAGACCAGTTGTAAATCTGAGATGTTCTTAGAGGTTTGTAGACTTCCAGGGTTGTATTTTGGGAAGAGAAGCACAAACTTGAATAAGGGATGCTATTAAAACTATTAATATTTGGATGTTTCTGCCATACCCACCCTGAACTTTTAATCCTAGTGATGGGCCCCTTATTAGGCACCCACTAGGATTCACACTATAGTTTGGCTTACTTTGAATCATTCTCTTTTTCTAGATGGTGAAACACTTGTTTCCCTTGGGGTGGGAAATCAGATACTACATCAACCACTCTTTTGTAGTCTGTGGCTAATAATCACAATCTATACCTATTTCTCCTAGCTTGATACATAATGTCCAGCTTTTGAAATTTCAAGAAAAATCTCTCAGCAAGTGTTTGGCTTTCTGACTATTATGTCAGAGAATGACATTAAACACTCTATTTTGAAATTCAAGCCTGAGCAATAGCTTCTTTGTCCTCGGCTATATTTATCCTCACCTTCTGCAATGAAAGCCACTGCCTCCACAGTTGTAAGGAAGAAAATGTAGGAAAAAATATTATCCATGAAATATCTACAAATATTTTCTGTTCATAATATTATTAGTATAATCATCTGCAATTTGAAGATTCCACTGTTTCTTTAAGCTACTGATAATATCCTAAAATTTCCCCAAAATATAGGTAACAAATTTCATTGTTCTGTGTGGTATAGTTCCAACTAGGTTATAAGCTAAAGTCAGGAGGCATGGTTAAGTTTCCTGATCTATAAACTGGGGCTAATAATGTCTATATCATCAAGTTATTCAGTATTAAATGTGATATAGCACGTGGTAGGTGCTCAAACAAGTTAACATCTTAATCTTACTTTCATGGTGTTATGTTGTATTCCTCCAAAGTACTTAAAAGAATTAGTTGGCAACCAGGATCAGCAAAATCTAATAATATCAACAATAAATGCAACAACTCACAATTATATCCTGTGCTAAGTAAGACCTACTGTACTCCAAAAATGGTCCGTAACAATGGGGATTGGAAAGCCTCTTCCACAAATCACTACCATGACGAGTGAAACACATATAAAAGAGACTGCAGCATCACATAAAAATAGCTTTTCATGTCTTTGGGGCATTCAGAAAGTAGTAGGTTTCTAACTGGTGTGTCCAGCTAATCACAATGCCAGCCATAGGCTAATTGCATCTGCCTATATTGTATTGTTAGGCTCTTTTAGATAGTCTCTGGTTCCAGCCAGTTCTTTAGTCCAGGCTTGATATCAAATATGAGCTTTAGACATAAAAAATTCATACAGGAAGTAATCTTTGTAGAAATGTAGCCTCTCTGAGTTCTTTAATCTCACAGAGAGGTAAGGATTGAGAAATAATTAATGTTGAAAAAAGTTTAAAAAATATAAAACATGCTATAAAATGTCAGAGACAAGTATTATTATTACTATTATTGAGAAGCAATTGTTAGAAACTATAACTGTTTTTTAAATATAGAATACCTTAGCTACACATAAAGTTTAATTTTCGATAAAGATGATGATGAATTGAAATTGGAAAAATTAATTCTAAAAAATCCTATTAAAACATTGATCATTGATTTTGGATTACATATCAGAGGAATACCCTGTGCCAAGCCAATTATAGGAGTTTGCTTGCTGTATCTCTTGAAACTTTTCAAAGATTTCCTGACAATAAGCAGGCAGAAACAAAAACGTGACAATCAATGCCAAACAAACATGAGATGTTCAGTTACTGTGGAAGAGCTTCCACAGAATATACATTTTAGTTCAATTTGTTCATATCAGTATCTAAAGTGTCTGAGAATTTTTTTGGGTTGCCACTTCATAAAAAGGGTGGGAATAAGAAGCTATTTGACAGAACAGTGGTTTCCTCATAGATGTCAAGAGGAAAAATCTCTCTGCCCTGCAAAGATACATCACACATACTTTGAAGGAAGGCCATATGATCCTCAAATAATCTCCCTATAGAAAATTGTAGTAAAACCGATAGCTTCCGTGATGGATTTACTCTAAGGGCATTTATAAATCTGGTCCTTAGTGTTTTCACAACTCTATGGTTCCACAGTTTTACATAATCCAATATCACCAAGATAAATATTTTTATTTTTCTATATTATCTGGAAATTCACCAGAAATCTAATATGTGATTCAGGATTGATGATCAGGTGAGTACTTACCTATCCATTTCTTCATCCAATCAGAATAAACAAGAATCAGATGAAGCAAGGAGTGGCCATTTTTTATTCTTATTAATGAGTCATTAGCAAGCTTATCACATCCATCTGCAGATGCTCTGTTCAAGGTTGGTCTACTGTTTTACCTCAGTAATACAAAAACTCCCTCCCCCATATCATTTCTTCTTTTATTTCCTCTTTTTTAATTCTTTTTGCCTTGTATACATTTATTCAAAAATATATTAATCTAATTAAGTTCCCTATGTGCAAGGCACTATGTCCAGTGTTGAGGAAGGAACTGATCTCTAGTCTCATTCACCTTATAGTCTACAGGAGAATAAAGGCAATTACATTACTTTGTGCTGCTTGCTATAGGGTAGCATAAGTAAACAGAACTCTGCCATAAATTTAGTCCTAACTCTCTCGTTTTATCTTTCCTCTTTCCCCTCCCTCACACACATATACACATACCACCCACAACACATGTACTGTATCTCTTTAGTTTGTAAAAAGGTGCAGACATTCCATTTAAATAAAAATTTTAAATGAAATTAAATTTTTACGTAAAGTCTGCTGATTCAAAAGAACATAAGAACATTGCCTAAAATGGATCTGCCTCTCAAATTCAGGCAGATTGTATTGTAATTCAGACAAACAAAACAATTAGAAAAGAAAGAGTGAGTGCATATATTTTTTTTACTCGAAAAAAGCTGACTTTTTAGAAACACTTGAATATTTTCATAACTTTTAAGCTTTAAGTCGTTACATTAAAAGTACCTAATGCTAGCCAAACACTATTGTAAATGTTCCATCTAGCTGGCGAAGATCGCCTGATTTGAGTGCAGGACTGGATTTATGGCTGTTTTCTTTCTGTTAAGATTTTGGCTGAAGCATAGCTGAGCATTTAGGGGAAATTGTGGAAATTTAAGAACGTATCATAGGAGTAGAAATGCTAAGCCTCTCACTTTTATATTTAGCGATAACAGCTAATATTTTCATTTACCAGATATAATTCAGTATATGCCTGACACATACAAGTACTTAAGCTTCACAACATATCTGGGAAAAAGAAAAATTTATATTCCCAATTTTACAAATAAGGAACGTGTGGATGAGTGGTTGGGGAAGATGAGTAATTTTCCCCAGGTCTTAAAAAGCAAAGCTAGGATCCAAACCTGGGAATCCTGACACTTGAATGCTACCTTCTAATATCTAAAAGTTTTTAGCATTTTTTCTTTTTACATAAATATTTTAAACACACCCACACAATGCAAGTTTAATTCTCATATATTGTAAAAATTCAAATATAGCTGATCCTGGCCATGCATCTCACTTCTAAACAAATGTTTCTAATTAATATTTGTTTAATTCTGTATATAGGTTTTTCAGAGAATCAGTTCCAGAGAATTAAATTTGTTTGAATTTGTAGTGTATAGCATGGAAGACAGGCTGAGTAATGAAACATAAAAAAGAACATTTTAAAACTTGAATTATTAAGAAATCTCATTATTAGAATTTAAGAAATTAAAAAGTCATAAGCAAATTCGTGAAAAATAAAGTAAGGTCATGAACAACCTACAGTAGAATCCAAACGTATTTAGTAATAACAAAACAATATTTGGACATGTAACACATGCTTTGTATTTTTTTTATTGTTTTTATAGTTTTGCTTTTAGAACCAATCACAAATGGTTGAAGGGATATTTCAAATTTATTCCTAAGCAAATAGGAGATATTGATTTTCAAAAATATACTGACAGTTTAAGGTGTCAGCAAAAGATTTGGGTGTGTAAGATATACTATAAAATACATAAGTATTCTCATATGATTCTCATTTTTTTCTTAACCTTAATATCCTCTTGTTTTTAAATGCTCTGTTTTTGTAACACCAAATTGCAACAATAAGGAAATGTTTAAAACTTACAAAACACAGCAGTTTTCATTTCTCATTCAGTATTCTTTTATTTGCCTTTTAGGTGTACATATTTACAGCTGAAATCAGAGACTGGGCATGATTTTCATCTTTTGTCATTTAAACAATAATTTGTGAGCTGGATATTCAGAACACAGGTTTTGCAGTCAGGTAAACCCGATCTGAGTCTGAATCTATGTTCTGTTATTTCCCATCTGTGGAAGCAGAGGCTGGGAACTTCTTACAACCATGAATACACACAATTGACCTTAACTCCCTTAACACAATCTATCCCTAGGCAGTATCTCCTGAGTCTTTGCCACTCATAAGCTGAGAGACCTTGGGAAGTTTTCTTAATTTTCTGCAGGTATTTTTTTCCTTTTGAAATGGAGATGACAATTCATATTGTGGTATATTGAGATGGATGGATAAAATAAAGTGTCTAATATATTGAACTCAATAATTGGTAGGAGTTATTAAAATATTAATTTTTACTGTCCGTATAACATTCAATGAAGTTGACATACTACATACCCATCTAGTCTAAACAGATATACACAGACATTTTCCCTATTATTAGTAATTACCAAATTACATCTTTGTGTACGCCGCTCTTTATCCCCTTACTGTAAACTCATTGAGATAATTTATTAGAAGAAAACTCTAGCATGTTAGATTATGAACGTTATGACTTTTTATATGTACCATTAATTTATTATCCAAAAGGATTATAGTAACTTTTAGTGTTTACTGGGACCAGTTTTATTTGGCAAGCATTCCAGATATAAACAATCACATAAGTATTCTCATGTTTTCTTCTTCAAAGTAGCCCCTAGGACGGCTCTTCTTTGATGCTAACAATTCTGTTACAGCTCCTAACCATTCTGAAATGGCTTTGGAATTACTTTTATTACCTGCCTCTTGGGGCTTCATATTGAATTTTCCCTCTCCTTCCATTCCTATATTCTATACTAAGTCTCGTCCATACTCCATCCGTACAGACTTTCACACTCACGCTATTATCTTGTTATTAGTATACTAGTCCAGATCCTCATAATCTCTAGGCTGAAATATTCCAGTTGCATCTTAACTGATCTCTCTGCCACTCATATTTTTCCCCTCCAAGTCATAGTCTCTGGTGCTAATGGGTATCTTTCTAAAACCTAGATGTGGTCAAATCATCACCTTGCATTGAATCCACTCATGCTGTTTCTCTCCTCAGTGACTTTGTTACCTGTTTGTTTGGCTGACTCTTACTCAACCTGGAAGACATGCTACCTAAACTATATGAAAAAATGAAGAGTTTTTCATCAGTCCCTTTTATTATTAACATACATAGAAGATGACATTACTATACCTAGTGTTTTGTAAAAATGATCATTTTTTTTTTTTACTGTTTACTATATATCAGGCAACTTCTTTAAACATTGAATATAGACCAACTCATTTAAACCTCACAACTGTGTTATGAGACAGGCACTATCAATGTCTCCACTCTTCAAATGAAGAAACTAAGACACAAGCATGTTAAGCAATCCCAGCACTTTGAGAGGCTAAAGCAGGTGGACCATGAGGTCAAGAGATCGAGACCATCCTGGCCAACATGGTGAAACCCTGTCTCTAGTAAAAATACAAAAATTAGCCGGGCGTGGTGGCGGGCACCTGTAATCCCAGCTACTCGGGAGGCTGAGGCAGGAGAATCGCTTGAACCCAGGAGGCGGAATTTGCAGTGAGCCGAGATCGTGCCATTGCACTCCAGCCTGGCGACAGAGACTCCATCTCAAAAAACAAACAAAAAACAAACAAACAAATAATGTTAAGCAACTTGCTGAAGATCTGCAGTTGATAACGGATGGGGCTGGGTTTCAAACCCAGGGAGTCTGGCCTTCAGCCACTACTGAAACAACAGCATCCTAGTAACTCATATATTTTTCAATAGTGGTTACTCTGCTGCAAGTACTAACTTTACAACCTTACTTTCCCTGCCTTGGCTTTCCTAACTGTGCTAATGGACACAACCACACTTAGTAAAGTTTAACTTGTACTGACTTCACAGCATGTCAGATGTGGTGAAATGATGCATGGCATTCCTCATTTCGACAACATTTCAGTCTGCCAGATGGCACTTCAATAATATATTACGGTGTATTACAAAGACTGTACAGATATCCCAGCATTTACCTCTTGAAAATACTTAACTACAATTATACCATTTAAGTCTCCAGTCACTTTTCCTTAACTTCCTTAGCTTTTACAATAAAGCACATATTTTTATTAAAAAACATTTAATAACATACCCAGTGAGTGATTGCCTACTCGTAGACTGTTAAACTGTCTCATATAAAGTAGCTTGTGTGATTTGATGTGAGAATTTAATTACTTTTTAAGTGAATCTTTTATGCAATTATCCTTAATCACTCACAGGACGATGATACCTGTGAGTCTGCATCTGCAGAAGGACTGCCCAGGTGCTTTAAAGCATAAGACTTCTTGTTTTCTGTTCACAGGCAAGTCCATTATAAGAAGAGCACCAGCGTTATTCTAACCAGTTTAAGAAGATTATCTCCTTTGCTCTTTGCAGCAATACTAGTGTCACTACCCTTTTTGGATAAAAAGTTAAAAATCCGGAGAGGTTAGATAACTTGATCAAGGTCACACAGCATACTAAGTGATTAAACCGGAACAAAACCCTGGAAATTTGGCTCCAGAGCCTTTATTGTTAATGACTGTGCAACAGCTGTCTCCATAATGTAATGTCCCTGTGCCTATATTCCTGCATGTAAATCTGATAATACTTATTTCTTCACAGAGGTCAGTTGAGGCATAAGCAAGCTGGTACATAATAACATGCTCTAAATTCTGATGATAAACCACCTGATGTAAACAATAGTATCCACGGAAGTGTCGCAGAAAGAGAACCTGTTTTATAACTAAATTGTGGTTATAAATACATGTTAAGCTTTAAGTGGGACAAACTATTTTCTTTCAAGTGAACTGGAAGTCAATCATTTGAATATTGGAAAAATCTGTCACAAGATTTAGCTAAAAGCTAAATCACTTGTCTTCTCCTTTAGAATTAAAACTTACTTTTAAACATTTCCTTGTACCTATTTTGAGAGCAAAATGGATGGCAGATGATATCAAATGAATTCCCACAAGTTCACCCACAAGTGGACTTTAGATTCATTGTGCAGTGTGTGGTTATAAAGTGAGCCATGTTCCTCTTTCTCCTCTTTCACTGGTGTCAGTTGGCTGCATTTGGTGTACATAGAGCTAATTTCAGTGTATTGAATGAGAACAATCTGGTGTCAGTCACTTACTGTGTTGGTGAGGCACGCAGAGAATGATTAACTTCAGATATTAATTCAAATTTTTAACTGATGATTTTATATAACTGAAAAATCAAAGCCAATAAGTATTCACTTTCCAAGTTTCCATTTTCTAATATTTTCCCCTCTTATTGGAGCAGTAATCAAATGAATGCTCAAATAAAAATAAGTCTATATGTGACGGTAAGTGTCTTATGACATTTACTTTTAGGTTTATCTTTCAATTTTAAACATAGTTTCAGTGTCTATATTCATGGAGGGGAGGACTAGGAGAAGGAGTAAAAGACAGGGGTTAGATAGACCTGGGAATTAATCTCATTCCACCACATTCTAGCTAACCTTGGATGGGTTATTCAATTTTGCTGAATCTCAGGTTCTTTATCTATAGAACAAGGATACCTGTCTGAAGAATCATTACATGAGTTAGAGATAATATATGTAAAGACCTTAATATGTTGCCTAAAACAAAATAAAAAACCAATAAATAGTACTACTATTACATACGGTTTTCCCACTCTTCTAGGTTTCTACCATATGCTATAAATTAAAAATTTCCATTAAATGAGACTGGTCTCACTAGCTATAATTTGAGCAATACATCTTCCAGATGGAATTTGAATCCTGGCATCAAGCATAATGTCCGTAGCACCTAAGAAAATGCCTGATCCATAACAAATCTCAATAAATTGCTGTTGACTCAAAAAATTTATTGATTTGAAACCCCAAAGTGGCAGACTTCAGAATGGATGTAGATACAAAGTAGAGCTATCCGAGGGACATTCTTCTAGATAGACATCTATTTCACATGATGGCCATTTACGTGTAACTTCAAAATAGAGTACTAGGATATTAATTCAAAGAATTAGCATCATGCAATACCATGCAGCAATATGATAATTTTCTTTGCAGTTTGCACCTTTCCAAGTATTTGTGATCTCATTTAAATCATAGTAATAGAAAATAGGGAGAGTGGAAACAAGAAAGACTCAACTACCTTTCAAAATAATCGCTAGAGAATATTCTAAGAGACTCCTTTCATCTACCAAACAGAATTTTTAAAGTGACATAAAATGATTTGTTGAGCAAAATCCTGCTAATATATACTTGAATCCATTTAAAACCGAATGTGTTGTCCTGTCTGCTAACGCATATCTGGTAAGATGGGTTTAGTCACAGGTAACTAAATTCCAGCTTTCTAATGAGGTGTGGGCTTTTCCTACTCTGCTGCTATAGGGTCAGGTAATGAAGCTTCATTTACCTATGTCCCTGAGACTAAACTTTCAGGAATATAGTCTATGGTAAAGTACCAGAAAGTATGTTTTGATCTGGTTTAAATAAACTAAAATAAGTAGTGATGGCAAGATCTTGGGCAAAATCAGTAGTACAATTATTGCCTGATATATGAATATATATATTTAGATATATCTATCTATCTAGAGAGAGATTTATTTTAAGAAATTGGCTCACATGATTGTAGAGGTTTTGCTCACAGGATAGGGTAGGTTGTGGAGACTCAGGGAAGAGTGTGTGGGTCCAAAGGTAGTCTACTGGCAGAATTCCTTCTTGCTAGGGGAAGTCAATCATTTTCTATGAAGCCCTTCACCTAATCAGATGAGGCCCACCCACATTATGAAGTGTAATCTGCTTTATTCAAAGTCCATTGATTTAAATGTTCATCTCAACCAAAAAACAACTTCACAGAATAATGTTTGACCAAATATATAGGCACCATGATCTAGCCAGTTGACCCATAAATTTAACCATCACACATTCCAACATGTTTCCAGCCAAAAATGTTTCTCAATACAAAAGGATATTGGATGCAATTAGTTAAATCAAAGATCCCATCAGCAAAGTCAATAATCCAACATTCTACAGATTTCATGTTCCAAATATTTCTACTGAACATTATTCACTTTGTTCCCATTTGAAGCTCTTACGTTCTTTAAATATCCACTTGTTTCAGACTATTTCAGGTCATCAAGGAATTCATATATTTTGTTCATACATTTCCTACCTGACCTAGCATGACAAATGAAACGTAATAATTGGCTCAAATGTGACTGAAGCTCTAGGAAGAATCCCTATAAAGTAGAAAAAAGAAAAACAGCATGTATGTGTACCACTAGCTGATGTATGCCACACAGGAATGAGGTAGACATTATCTCAGTTTTACAATAAAAAAAAAAGGGCCAGATAGGATAAGTAATAGGTCTAGGATCACAGAAGTAGGATGGAATATAGTTGGAGTTTACGCCCATTTCTTTGTGGTACATGTTCTTTTCCTTTTGTTCCATGTGCCAAAAATAATTGTGTATATCTGAAGATGCAGACTGGCAACTTTCTTGCCACTTATCTTGTTGCAATTTTCTTTTAGTCTGTGAGCATATGTGCAGGCTAACTTTGCACTGTAAACCTTCTATTCTCATGAGATAATTTATGTAATTTATAACAGGGGACTAGATAGAACATAAAATGAACTCTAGTCTTTATGTCCTAAGCCATTTTGTAAGCTATTTGCCAGTATCTTTAAAACTCATTATAAATAAAATCTATAATAAGATCTCTGATTATATATGCTTTAGAAAATAATATTCATCAGGGAGTCACATGTGACAAATTAGAAGCAACATACTATAAGTGAAAACTAATAGAAGTTGAAGCTTGGGTTATATAGCCTTGGCTCCCAATTCCTTGGTTCTGGGATGGCAGCAGACATAGCTGGTTATCTGCTTGCCATCCAGTCCCTTTTTCTTCCTTGCTGGCAGAGCTCCAATTTTATTTGGATATCTTTCCTTCCCCACAAGTCCTGGGGAAGGATAAATCTATTTTCACTTCCAGGATAAATCATGGTTGTTCTAGCTCAAACATTGCCATTCCAGTCTCTTTGCCAAAGATTGGTTTAAACCCAGTTCTGAGACTTGAAAGGAGGTCTGCAAAAAACGTTTACTCACTCCTAAGAAGACACATAGAAAATAAACTGCCACTTTGAGCAGAATGGGCAGATAGAAGCTACCTAGTTCCTTGTGATATTTTGAGACACAGATTAGACTAAGTCTAGAGCCACTCCACCTCTAGGCTTTACCTTACAGGTCAGGCAAAACAATTCTTAAAAAAATTTATTAAATTTTATTTTAAAATACATTTAGATTTATAGAAAAATTGCAAAGATATTACAGGGTGTTCCCATATAACCCTACACCCAATTTCCTCTTTATTATCATGTATTAGTATAATACATTTGTCACAATTAATGAACTATTATTGAGATATTATTAACTAAAGTCCATATTTTATTCAGACTTCCTTAGTTTTTACCTAGCATCCTTTTTTATGTCCCAGAGAATCATCCAGGATATCCGGGATACCACATTGCCCTTAGTCATCTTGTTGCCATAGGCTCCTCTTGGCTCTGACAGGTTTTCAATGTTGCTTATTTGTAATGACCTTGACAGTTGAGATGTGTAGTGCACAGGTGTTTTTTTAGAATAGTCCTTAACTGGGATTGTGTTATTTTTGTTCTCATAATTAGACTAGGCTTTTGAGAGGAAGGCAAGAGAGATAAAGTACCATCTATATCAGTATGGACTCATTGATGTTGACTTTATATTTTGAGTTATAATCCAATACTACTTTGTCTATTGTATAGCACACCTTGTTCTAGCTTTCACTATTCACTGCTCTTCATTTGGCTCCTATGCCCCTTTGACTTTCCCCATGCTTTTTTCTTATAATAACTTTCTTGCTTCATGGACAGTACAAGATACTCCAGGCTTATCTTGTATTTATTTTCTGCTCCAATTTTAGAATTAGCCATTTCTCCAAGGATCTCTGGTTTCTTTTTTTTTTTTTTTTTTTTTTTTTTTTGAGACAGAGTTTCTCTTTTGTCACTCAGGCTGGAGTGCAATCGCACGCTCTCGGCTCACTCCAACCTCTGCCTCCCGGGTTCAAGCTATTCCCCTGCCTCAACCTCCTGAGTAGCTGGAATTACAGGCAGGCACCTGCCACTATGCCCGGCTAATTTTTGTACTTTTAGTAGAGACGGGGTTTCGCCATGCTGGCCAGGCTGGTCTTGAACTTCTGACCTCAGGTGATCCGCCTGCCTCAGCCTCCCAAAGTGCTGGGATTACAGGCATGAGCCACCGTGCCTCGCCCCTGGTTCTTTTTATTAAAGAATTGTATTAAAAACCAAGATCAGGACACTAGGTGTACTATTGCGGTAAGAGTGTCATTGCTTCCAGGCCCTCTCCGCTGACAAAGCAAGGAAATATATGTGTGTATACTAAAATGTATAGATACACATATTCAGAAATATTTCTGTTTGTAACCATCTGTGTCTGTATCAGCCAAACATGAGTTCATACTCTTTCCAACTCTAATCCATTACTGCGTGGATCATTCTAGCCTCCCCCTTTTGCTTCTCTGTAACCTCCCCGTCCAACAGTAAGAAAACTGGTTTCCAACATCTACCATCCATCTTTTAATGTTTAAATCCAAATATATATGTATAATAGTTTCAGAACTATTCAATCATATTCTTGTGGGAACCTATTTTCTCAACTAGAGGATAATGCTTCTGTGTGGTTACTTGTGCCTTTAGTGTTATAGGCTCTTTTCATTTACAAAGTTACTTAGATCGTATTTTTCCCCAGTTAATAATGCCATTTTTAATTTAACAATTTAATCTTTGATTTGTTAATGATAAATATGTTTAAAACAAATATCAATATATAAAACTTTTTCCAGGTCAACATGGGAAAATAAAAATATTGGGTTAGGCTACTGACCTCTTTTATACTATTCCCTTTTTTGCTTATTAACAAGGATAAAGTGAATATACATGCTCTTTTGAGGCCCAGAGCATTTTCAAATTTAAAATTTGTTAGTCTAAGGTATTATTTTTTGCACCCTGCTGCTTTGGGACAGCTGAATTCAGTTTTGTAAGGGTACCTCCACTGGTTCACACGTGTATTTTCTTTGTAGTTTTTATGATAAAAACATTATTTAAATAAGAAAACTTTGAAGTATGTAACTCCAACAATGTATAAAACATTCTTATATACCTGTCATTTAGTTCAACGAGAATCTTAAGAAGTTGGAAGGGCAAATTCTATCAGTTTTACTTTACAAATAAATGAATTGAGACTCAGTTACTTTTATGTTCACATGACTTTAAAATGTCAGAACAAGAACAGAACCCAGATGCTCTGTCTTCTGTCATTCAATTATACATTTTCCAGAATCTTTCTGTTTTCTCCAAATGGATTCAATCTAATACATACATTTCATTTTTTTTACACTTCCATAGTCAACCGACGGTATTAATGACAAAAGTAACATTCCTAAACAGCAGTGCATGGTTGACTGTAGCTTTGCATTAGAATATTGTACACAAAGTACAAGATGGTGAATGTCCTTTGGAATAAACTAATGACTCTTTCAAGTGGCAGACAGCTAATGCTATGATAATATTTTATTATTTTACAAAACCTTAAAGTGGAACATTTTAAATAAAATAACATTTGGTAAAAATAAAGTTGATTTTAAAAGTATTGGTGTTTATTACTAATGTCAAATCTTTGTTCTATGCTATCATGGTATTTAGTTTTCTAGGGCTATCATAGCAAGTTGTCACAAACTGGGTAGCTAAAACCAACAAAAATGTATTCTTTCATAATTCTGGTGACCAGAAGTTTGAAATTATGATGTTAGCAGGTTGAAGCTCCGAGAATCAATCTGTTCCATGCCTCTCTCCTAGCTGTTGGTGGCTCGAGAATCATTGGCTTACACAGTCATGGACCGTATAATGATGTTCAGGTTAGCAACTTATGGCATACACAGCAGTGATCCCATAAGATTATAATACCTTATTCTTACTGTATCTTTTTATGTTAAGATAAATTTTGATACACAAATACCATTATGTTACAATTGCCTGCAGTATTCAGGATAGTAACCTGCTGTACAGATTTATAGCCTAGGTGTGTAGTAGCCTATGCGATCTAGGTTTGTGTGAGTACACTTTACTCTGTGAGGTTCACACAATAACAAAATTGCCTAACAACACATTTCTTCGACTGTATTCCTAGTATTGAGTGAAGCATGACTATACATGCATTATTCCAATTTCTAGCTCTGTCTTCACATGGCTTTTCCCCTTTATGTCATTTCTCTTTTTCTCTCTTACATGGATACTTATGATTGGATTCAGCACTCACCATAAATCCAGCATGATCTCATCCCAAGATTTAAAAACCCTATTCCCAAATAAAGTTATATACACAGATACCAGAAGTTAGGACTTGGTCATATTTTTTGAGGCAATTATTCAATCCACTACAGATATATAGCTTAGATAGAATTCATGAATACATTTTGTTAATTACGTTATCCTGGTGACATTTGGTAATGCTAATGGTGGTTGTGATAAACAGAACTGCTCCCTTGCATCTTAGGAAAACAGTTTAAGTATGAAGTATTTTGCAAATAATTTAGTATGTTATCGTTGTTACATTTTATAATGCTTTTGTTACATAAAGTGATAATTTCTACATATACTGTAATTCATATTAACTTGTATTACTGAAGTAGCATTCTGCTAGATCTTTTTTACAGATATTATACAAATAGGATATCTGTTTGTCTAATACCTTAATCCAGAAAACTAATAGAAATGTAAGTTTATAAGAAAAATGTAAGTAGAAATTCTTACTTTAATTATTGCTTTTTAGGTCCTAGAGGCTAGATATTTTGTACACAGTAGCTGAAAAATAATTGTATTCTTTTGTAATAACTCTTTGATAACCTTCCAATTTCTTATTTTCTTTTAAATTTATTTTATATTATTTGAAACACCAGAATGTAGATGACAAGTTAGGAAGCACAATAACCACTCCCGTTTGTGGTTGCTTTGCTTGTGCCTTTTTCTTCCTTTATTCTTCGTAGTTTGATACATTTGTGATATTAAAAGATAGTTCTATTTTTCATTCCCAAAAAATTTAATAAAAAATAAGTGAATAATTCTTCAAATATATGAATAGTGTAAAAAATTCGAATATCAAATTTATAAAATTGCTTTTTTTTACCTTATCAAACTCTTGAATATTTTAAGATTTTGTTTCCTTTTCTTCGGACCTGGGGAAATGATTTGTATGCTTTGGACTTTTTAAAAAGACAAGCTATGGCTTCTGTGTTGTTTTCTCTGGGAATTTACGTAGATGAATTTTTCAAATTCAAAATCTAAAACTCCAAACCTCTCAAAAATTGTATAGTTTGCTAATTTTACATGATTTGGCCAAGTCATTCCATATTCTATCCTACAAAGTTAATGCTACAAAGTTAAATGCTACCATTTTATTTTTGGTCTTCAAAACAAACTGACTCTTCATTTTAAATGTGTCAATAAAAAATAATGTGAAGTTATGTATTGGCCCTTTAAAGGAATTTACAGCTTGTAAAATCCCCAAATAGTTCTCTTGATTGGTGAGAGGCAGATGAATTGTAGAAGTCTGCTGTTAATATTCAAAACATGAAACTAGAAAAACATTAATTCACTAATACCTTAACTTGATTTAGTGATTTGGTCTATTGGATTAGCTCTAGCAGAGAACAGAACCCCAAGAGAGTAACACACATGATAGATTGAGTTTTGATGAAGGAATGTGGTGTTTTTGGCATCATTTTTTATTGTTTTATGAGTTTTGCTGTAATTATTTTTAAGTAGTTCTAAATATACCATTTTTTTTTCACATTCCCTGGGTTTGCTTACATTAGGTTTTAGCTGGTAGCATGTATTAGGGTGGCTCTAAGGAACTTCTTGCCACGTTAAGATTTGTAAGATAAGAAAATAAAACTTAAAAAGTGTCCACTCTGTAAAAGAAAGTTAAGCTATTTACTACTAATGACATTACACAAATAAATTAGAAAAGACACTTCATGCACGTGTAACAAAATGTTAAAACTAGTCTTCCAGCAAATGTGTGAGAACAATCTAGTTTTAACATGTGATACCCCATTGAACATCAGAGTGATTGACTAGGCTGGCTGGATAGGCAGGTGTCTTCTCACCTTAGTGAGGATGTGATATGGTGTGGCTGTGTCCCCACCCAAATCTCATCTTGAATTGTAGCTCCCATAATTCCCACATGTCAGGGGAGAAATCTTGTGGGAGGTAATTGAATCATGGGGGCGGGTCTTTGCCATGCTGTTCTCGTGATAGTGAATAAGTCTCAGGAGATCTGATGGTTTTATAAAGGGGAGTCCCCCTACACAAGCTCTCTTGCCTGCTGCTATGTAAGACGTGCCTTTGTTCCTCCTTTGCCTTCTGCCATGATTGTGAGGCCTCTCCAGCCACATGAAACTGTGGGTCCATAAAACCTCTTTTTCTTTATAAATTACCTAGTCTGGGGTATATCTTTATTAGCAGCATGAGAGCAGACTAATAGAGGATGATTGCCCTGATTGACCTGGATGATTCTATTAAATACATAAAATGCATTGAACAAAGCTATTGAGAACTTGCTTTGTGCAGGGCACTTACTGCATGTCATAGAGGATGCAAAAATTAATAAAGCATCATCTCTTCTTTAGAAGTAGTTCTGTTAAGGGACATGCAATGTATATATGGATAATCATGATTGATGCTACTGGGTAAGTGCCATGTGATGATAGCTTTGATTACATGTAGAAAATCCACAACTGCCTCAGGTACTGGAGCACAGTTCCTAGAAAAGGAGACATTTCATTTGGGTCTTAAAATATAGAAAGTATTTTAATAGACCAAGAAGAAATAAACATATGCTACAGAAAACACACACACATACACTCAAGTAAGAGGACATGAGTTTTTATTTATTTATTTATTTATTTAGAATGAAAATCTACTTTGACTAGATTATAGGGTTATTTTAGGACTCAATGAGAGTTATGACTGGAAAATAAAGTGTGCCAGACGTAAGGAATGATTCTAATGCTATGCCAGAAAGTTAGAGTAATATTATCTAAAAAACTTAAGACAAACTAAAAGTCACTTTTTTATCTTTCAAGTAATTGTGTTGTTCTTTTTAAATGGATAAACTACAGTTGCTTTAAGTGCGTATATGTTTATACATGTCTCAAACTTTCTGGACTGAACTAATTCCCTTTCATGCAAGTACAAAATGCCCTTAGCATTCACACATTCAGCATTTGAGATTTTTTACTAAATAAGGAGCTCTTCAGAAATTCCATAGCACAATAATCTGGTTTTGCTGAGGCATCACACTGAACAGCATATCTTTAGAGCTGGTTCAAAGCTATTCAGAACACCCCGAGCCTAGAAAACCATCAGTTCTCTAATTATGATGTCATACATTTTGTCTGAGAAATATAACAATGGTATAAGGGATTCACAAGCAACTTAGGATGAACCCTCCTCTAAATGTCAAGGATTTACTTTGCTCAAATATCATAATAAAGAGTTTTTAAAAATCTCCTATCTTCAAAAATCATTCACTCTCCTATATCCTACCAAAGAAAAAAATAAGATACCAAAAGCTGATAATTAAAATCTTATTAATTTCCAATGATGTCACTGTAATATGCATTTATACTAAAACAAATAGTTTTAAATTAGTATATGAAATCTCTATTATAGTGCACAAGTCCAGCTATTTATATTCCAAAGGAAAAATAAACCTAGATTTATTAAAGGCTTAAGGTAAAGTATACTTTTGATGAAGTGTTCATGAGCTGTAGAGTCCATGGCAGTTTGACCCACTTGTGAACTATCTTATAGATTCTTTCCTTGAGCAATATGGGGGAGGGGGTAGGTGTAGAATGAATTGCAACAACGGCCAACAAAAGCATCATTGCATTTGGTTAATACTTTCTTTTTTAGAGTTTTCTTTTTATTATTGGGAAATAGAAGATTTCAAGAAACAAATTTTAACAGGTGCCATCTTGTCAGTTTCAAAGTGACTTTGGGTTCCTTATAGTTCATGCTGGCTGTGCACCTACACTTAGGTTGTCAATGCTGGGCTTCATTATTTTTTGGAGAAACATTTGGTTTTATGATTTGACTATAGGAGATAAATAGACATTGGTGATACTCTTCAGAATGAAATGAAGTGACTGAAGAGTTTCAGGTGGTCCAGCGATGCGAATTTTTGTTGGTTTGGAATATTCAGTCTACTTTTCTATATTTAAAACCCAGTGAAGTATGGTTTAATGCTCTTCTGGATGGAAGCATGGTAATTGGGCTCCTGTCTGATTCTTTGGCAAGATTTTGAGTGTACTTGTTTATGTTTTTGGAAGGCAAGTAAAAGTCATTTTAATAATCTCCTGGACTTGGTTCACTAGGGCTCATCTCAGACTCATTGCTACTTTCTTCTCTTTTAGAATAATTTCTCATTTTATTTTATTATAAAGGAGTGATATAACACAAAATTAAAATTGTAAGCATTGCTAAAAATGACAGGCCCCTCCCAATATTTTTAGAAAGTTTTTTTAATTTTCATTTTTCTTCCCTTTATACCTTGATATACATTTTGATTGGTTCCTACTGTCACTTTTTCTGCCTTATGCATCTCTAAGCTTAGCTTTAGCTTGTTCATATTTAGGATCAAAAATGACTACTTTTGATTTATAAGTCTTCCTAGGTGAATCAGCCTTGATGATGGGTTAATTTTGTCCTTATTTCATTGAAAAACATTTTGTTCTACATTTTCTAGTGTGTGTGTGTTTACTAGAAGCCCAGCAAATCTAATTTTTTTCCCATTGAAAAGATTTTCCTGCCAAATGATTAGATTAGGTACAGTTCTATCAAAGACATTGTCAGTAGATTATGTTCAACTAGAATAGTCAATATCAATTTTTAGTTTGTCCTGAGGAATAGCAGGTATTGATTCTTCTATTTGGAATGACATTCCTTATCCTAGAAGGTCAGTTTCCTGAAGAGGAACTTGTATAAACCCTTCCCAAATGAACCTTGGAGTTGTCATTACTGTTGGAGTCCATTTCAAAGGGACATATTTCCTGGTTTTGAGCACGATCTTCTGTTTCTTCTGAAATACGTTTATCTTTTGAAGCAAATAGCTGACGTGGGAGGTAGTAACGTTCTTTTCTCATGTTGGATGATATCTTGGACTTACCTCACTTTGGGTTTTTCATTTCCCAAATCTCAAACTAACATTCCATTGTTGTCCAGCTAATTTTCAATAATATACAAGTGTCGGTGATTATTTAGCATAGCATATCTACAAAAAATTTGTCATTTACCAATTTCTGCCAAGTTTTTCTTCATTTCTTTTAGTCTTCAAGGCTAATCTGAAAGGGCTTTTTTAGGCATCTTTTCTTGGCCATTTTCTCTTTCGGCCACCACCTCTGCCACAGCCCTCCTTTATATTCCAAGGCTCTGCAAGCCTATTAGCATGGACCTGTGCCCCAAGACTATGGCATCATCTCCAGTCACCTATGACTTCTGCAAGGGTATTTAGAATTGTCTGCTGTAGTTGCCCACTGGCTGGCTGAGAGGTAGTCACATGAGAAGATCATGCTGCCAGCCAGTGCAGGCAGAGCCTAACTCAGCCAGTCAGTGTCCCATAACACCTTAAAATCACTTAACAAAAAAGTACCACAGACCAGTCACCTTGCCATATTCAGTTCCTAATATAATTTCTTTACAGCTTCTTTAACAAATTCAGTTATATTTGTTAAGTGCTTAAACAGGCTGTACATTTTGCTGAGTGATTGACATACAGAAGTGGACAAGAGATGTAAGAACTCTGACCTTAAAAATCCTGTATTTTACCAAATATTTTACCTAAGTAACTTTAAAGTAAGAACTGGCATCTCCTATAAGTTGCTCTGTCTGTCTCTCTCTCTCTCTCTCTCTCTCTCTCTCTCTCTCTCTCTCTCTCTCTCTCTCTATATATATATATATATATATATATATATATATACACACACACACACATATATATAAAATTATATATATATAATTTTATACAGAAAAAGATATATTTAACAGGAAATATGTTCATATTACCTAACATGATATGATTTTATAAAATTGGCATTTCTCCATGGAAAAAAAATGTCCAGATAATGGGATATTTGAAATATGAGCAGAGACAGCTTGAAAGCACCCAGCTTTGCAGTTTGGATGGGAGAAAAACTAGTCTGTAAAAGCAAAGAGAAAGAACAGAGGGAGACTATGGACTCCACAATTTGACCTTGGGCTAATTTGTTTATTACAGTTCTTAGAATATTGCTTTTGATCTTTCATCAGAAACTATGATATACTCCAGTTATTTAAATCTGACTCATGTCTACGTATTCATAAAGGTGATTAATTAGGCAGAACAGTGGTAGGAAATGATTTAATATGTTAATCTATATATTATTCTAATCTCAGCTGATGACAAGTTTTATTGTATGAAATTGAGATGAAATAAATTTATTAGTTTATCTTAATTTTTTTCATATATATACATAGAGAGAGGAAATAAAGTAAAAGTGCAAGGAAGAAAGAAAAAAATAAAAATGACCACCGTTTATCAGAAATGAATACTGATGACACTGAACTCTAAAGATATCTTGTTAATATGTGTACTATTATAATTACCATCTTATGGATTAAGAAGTTAATGCTTAAATGAGTTTAATATATGTGATGGTGCTCAGCTGGTACATAGAATGGATGCTATTTGAACCTGTCTGCTTAAGTTTAAAGCCCTGTTTTAGCCAATGTGAGAACTGCTCTTCTAAGTTACAATTTTTAATGAGTAATATATATCTACTTTATCTGTATTTTCTGATATTTAGATTGTTTCTTTTAATTATACAATGCAACAATAAAACATTGAACATTCCTGCCCATTGTTTACATAGAATAATGCCTAGAAATGAGATGACTCATACAACCGGCATTTTATAAGCTGTATTCCAGAAAATTTTTCACAATTTTTATATTTATAACCAAAAAGTAGAAAGAATGTTAAAATGGACCCACTATGTCCAATCAGCTATCTTCAATAGTGATCACCATTTTATTACTCTTGTTTCACCTATGTTGGTATTTATTTTGCTTACTGTAATATTTTAAAGAAAAATCCTGATATAATACCATATAATTTCACCAACAAGTGTTTCAGTGTATATCTCTGACAGATAAGAACCAAACTCTATAATGGGTTCTTGTCTCTTTCTTTCTTGCAATTTATTTGTTGAAGAAACAGGATCTTTTTTTCTAAAAAATATTCAATACCCTAAATTTGACTAATCCTTCACTGTAGTGTTCAACCTGTTCCTTTTTCCCTCCTTTTCTCCTGTGAACTGATGGTTAGATCTAAAAGCTCAATGAGATTCAAAATCAGTTTTTCTTTGGCAAGAATATTTTATCTATGGTGCTGTGTACCATGTCAGGAAGTATCATAATTGCATGACCATTTTCAGTGAGACAAGATTGGTCATTGGGTTCAGGCACATGTCCTTTAGTCTGTGTCTCCCACTTCCTTTTTCTCCCCTTAGCCTGAAATTGATGACTTCTTGTTGTTTTCTATGTCTATGATTACTAGTAATTTGATTTTTTAAACATGCTTATTGGCCTTTATAGTGTCTTTGTAAATAGCTTCTTTGTCTTTTGTTCATTATAATGTTTGCTGTTGTGGAAAAATAAATATTTTTGTTGTATTTTAATGTAATTAAATTAGTGATATATTTAATTTTTTACATAGGACATTTTTAAGAGAGAGCACTTTTAAAAATATGCTTAATGTAACAAGAAAACACATACAAGATTGGTAAGTATATTCATCTCCAGGGCAAAAATATTTCACAAACATAAGAAAAAAATACTTTTCTACACCAAATATTTTAACAAATATAATTTTCAATAATAAACATCTGCAGACTGAGAATTACATACCAACAGTCCTTGATTTCTTAATGAAATCTATTGTAGGAAAGACCATTGCTTTTCTTATTAAACACACTTAGGCAAAATGCAGCTTTATGATGACAAGATACAAACTAGATATAAATTTAATTAAAGTATTTTTATAAATATACATAGTATTTGCTAAATTGAATTCAACAAAAGGCAAGTAAACACATTGTGTTTTCATTCTCAAAACACTTTTGTCAACAGCTCTTTTAAACTTTAAGTTTCCCACTAATACTTTTGAAACTTTTGACCAATGATTTTAACTATAATTTATCAAAAGCTAAGTTAAAGTCACACCACTTTAATATACTTTATTTTCCCACCTTTATCTTTTTTTCATATATCGTCAATATTAAACCTTTGTTTTCCTAAGTATTATAAGTATTTTTCCTAGGTTGTCATTTGCCTTTTACCTTATTTACCTTATTTTGGTTTTATATAAATTTTTTTAATATGTGAGATAGTATAGGTCAGTACAATAAATTCTAATTCGTGTTCTATCAAGTTGTGTTTCATGAAGTGATAGTTGTATTCTGAAATGTTGCTACAGGAAATACTGAATTAGTGAGTACCGAGTCATTGCTCTTAGAGGAAATACAAGTTTAGTTTCCTGCAAGCCTTTAGCCACAACATGTTCATTAACTGATCAAAACCTAATCTTGTTTTATGTGTTTCTGTTTAAAGACACTTCACTTCATACATTTTGCTGATTAATTAATGTCGAACTCATGGCCAACAATGCTATAACTCATGCCTGAATCAAGCTTACCTAACACACACATTGTCTCCATAAGGCACATGGAACCCTTTTTGCTCTTAGCAACACTAGACAGTACTTCAGCACTATGTTTGATGGCTGTTTTCAACAGTGGAATCTCCAATAAAAAAAGCACAGGAAGCAACAATGTGGCACTAAAGATCTCAAAAAGGACATTTGTTTATAACATGATGACACAACAAAGCAAAGCATCACCTTAGCCAAACTCAGCTGGAAATGTGCACATCGAATGACTCAAATATTTTACCATTTTCTGCATGCACATGTCCACAAATGACCACGGAAGTGTCACAAGCATTGATTTTGAGGTACAAATTAATTCTTGCCAGTAGGAAGCTACATAAATTTGTAAGCTATGCATATTGAGGATCGACTGTAATTTCCTTCACGATTTTCCCTTTGCTTTTCTATGCCACCCACATTTAATGATGTCTTAGAATAATTCCTATGCTACCCTAATATCATTGACTTATATTGCATTAAAAGTGAATAAATGTATTTAAGCAAACTGAAATTAAAATAATATACCAAACCAGTGTTTTCTGCAATAAAATAGTATACTATATATTTTTCAGACTTAAGAATTAATGCTACTATATCAAAACTTGATCTGATATGAAATTTAAAAATCATCACTCATACTTTCTTGCAATCAATAATAATTATATTTTATATAACTTTCTATTTCATTTCGCTAGACTTAGTATCCCAATAACTTGAAAATACTTGAATGCTGATGAATTAAAGACAATTAGGTTACTGGACATTCTGCTGTATGCTTTAATATACTGGGTTTTATTACTAGAAAGTGGCTACAGCCTAGCGTGAATGTAAGAATAATAAAATATTCTTACATTCAATATAAGGAAGGTGGAAGATTAGGTTTATTCTAAAACTCTTGTTACTGTCATAGAAGCTTTCTTTTGACTTAAGGGAATACCCATAATGGTGAAGGAACATGTAAGGAATTTCTGGATATTGGTGTGAAGAAGTGTCTTTTTTGAATTAATTTGTGTATTTTATACCATATACTGTAATTTACCTAAATAAGTTCTAATGTTTTGACTTAATTTTGTAACCGTAACTGAAACATATGTATATACCTATATAGTCGTTTTTACAATTCTATATTCAATATATTATTATCTCTGCTATACAGATGAAGAGACTGAAGCTTAGGGATTCAAATAACTTAACGGGGTCAAGTAGCTTGCCCAAGATCACATAGCAAATAGTGCTAAAGCCAAGGCTCATCCTTCTACTCCCCCATTACAAGCTCTCGACACACTAAACAAATTCAGGTTCTCTATGTGCCATATTTTTTCTCACTCCTTCACTTTTTTACATGCTACTTCATCTTCCTGAAATAATCTTGCCTACCCCACCCATCTTCACTTAATGAACTTTCAATCACTGTCTTAGCCAGTTTGGCCTGCTATAACAAGTATAGCATAGACTATATGGCGTAGACAGCAAACATTTCTCACAGTTCCAGAACACTGGGAAGTCCAAGGTCAAGGTGCCAGCAGATCCTGTGTCTAGTGAGGGCCTTCCTTCCTGATTTGCAGATGGCCGTCTTCTCATTTTATCTTATTTAATCTGGCAGAGATCAGAGAAAGAACCAGCAAGCTCTCTCAGGTCTCTTCTTATAAGGACATTAATTCCACTCATGAGGGCTCTATCCTATGACCTAATTACCTACTTCCCAAAGGCCTCACCTCTAGATATTAGTATCATTACATTGGGGGTGAGGATTTCAACATATGAAT
The DNA here is from genome assembly GCF_000001405.40 of Homo sapiens. Lineage (NCBI taxonomy): Eukaryota > Metazoa > Chordata > Mammalia > Primates > Hominidae > Homo > Homo sapiens. The sequence continues at coordinate 69,613,433 of NC_000001.11, forward strand.
TTATGGCGGACACATTAAGTCCATAGCACTTATCCTTTGATTTTCACCTCAAATATCATGTATGAGGTGCCTCTCAAATGATACCGCTGAATGCTCAGTGCATCTCTGTTGTTATTTACCACAGTGTATTAAATGAAGCAGCCTTCTTTGCCTGCATTTTCAATTGATGAGGTCAGAGAGAGCATGCGTCATTCACTGTTACATTCTCAGCCCATAGCACAATGACTGGCATACAGTGGGAACATTTGATTTGAAATATTTGCTCATTAAGTGGATGTATATTTCAAATGTTGGGCAAAGCAACATGTTTCTAGATTTGGCAAGCAGAAGCATTTTCATAACTGCTGGTGGATTGCCTCAAACCATTATAACTGGCTTATGGGAGGAAGTTAGAAAAGAATTATTCTGGAAATATGTCTTTGTGTCATTAGGTTACACTTGCAGAATAAATGACAGAAAAAGTACATATCAAATAAGAGAGAATAATGAAAGACAGTTACAGATTTTATTGAAAGCCTGGAAAACAATAAGGAATAATAAGAAAATATAATAATATTTATCTATCCTACAATTGTGATAATTATCATTCATAAAGTTTCAGACATTTGAAAATTATCATTTATGAATGATAATTATCATTCATAAAGTTTCAGACATTTGTTCTTGACAAATCTGCCTACTTTTCATTTCATGTTCATTAAGAAATACACATGGATACATCATATACAAACATAAACTCTTCATTGAAAAATTTTATTGGTTTATTTACATTGCCAGGAGCATTTGTTAATCACCTTTGTGCTCGAAGTGACACATGTGATAACAATGGAAAATGAATGTGACAGACACAGGTCCTCTCCTCAGATTTTGTTGTAAAGACAAACACCAGGAGCATAATAAACTGTTCATTATGAAAAACAATTTCCAAATGCAGTCCCATTTATTTCAAGCAATATCAAATACAATTAGAGTACACCCCTGGAGTACATGATAACTGTGTATCGCTATTTTCTTTGCCACTAAAACTGAATGCAAATCAGCTGGGGAATGTGTTCATTTTTACCTATTAGTACTGTAGGCAGATAAAACTCTCATTTGCCCTGGCCTCTGAGGCACGTTGATATCATTGACCAAACACCAATTTGGACTGTGCTCTTTTGTGCAAGAACGGGAGCAATTTAAAATGACCCTTAGGCAACTTTCATTGTCTTCATTCATGTTTCCTTTCTTGGCACTGATTTACTTATCGTGGCTCTCCTGTTAACTTCTGTGTGACTTGAGGAATACAAAAATTTAACAACATGTGTGATCTCTCTTATTTGTAAAATGCAACAAATCTACTTACTGTGGCAATGTGTGAAATTCCTAATGACACCAGGCAACTGTAATTTCTTGACTGACTAGAAATAATTTGCCCCAAATTTACAGACTAGGCATGGGTTCTAGAAAAAGTCTCTCAGTGTGACATATAGATACCTTCACAACCTATCCCACCTAACAGGATAAAACTAGCTGAAGTAAATTTTATTTGTGGTTTTGCAAGAGCCTGGGATAATTTTCTTCTACTTTTTCCATCTTTGAGCCAAATATTTGGCATAAAACAATCAGACCAAATATAAATATGCTGAACTAGAAATCCATGCAATTATCTCTGCTTTAAAATTATTGTTAAATTTTATCACCAATAATCCCTTTTATGAAGAATTTATAAACACTTATGTAGGAAACACTCTTAACCTCCCTCTCCCTTGCCACTTCCATTTAGGGACTGAAAATTAATTTCCTTTTAAGAATTTTTTATTTCCATCTCCCTTTCCTCGTAATAAGATTAATTCTCATTTCCTCAGCTTCCCTTGGAGCTAGGGTCGGGTTTGCAACAACAGTTCTGATCAATGAAAATTCAGCAGAAGACTACTGGGAGTTTCTTAGAATGTTTTTGCTTTCCTTGTAATAGAAGCAGGGACTGGTGATAAGGTGTCTTCTCCCTTCTCATGTTGAAAGAAAGTTGCATTAGCCATCTTGAGGGAAAAAAAGCATAATAACAGACAACATGGAGTTGACATTGTTAAGCTACTCAATCAATGCCAACAGCTTTCTACTTTCAGAATTCTAATCATGTGAGAAAAATAAGACTTTTTAAAATTTAAGCCACCGTAAGTGGATTTATTTTAAGCTAAACACAGTCTTGAAACAAGATGAAAGAGTCTATATATACATGCAATTTTATATACATGCATATACATATAATTGTTAATAAAGGAAGAAATTTGAGAAGAAAGGGTTCAAAAGATTCAATTGTACAAAATTCAGATTTGGGTTACTGTGAGGTTAATGAAAAATCACTACTTTAGCATAATTAGTATAATTAAAGATTAAAAAATGTATACAGTTCATGACGAATCACATACTGAATTGGAAAATCTCAAATGATCAGGAAGCAATCCCTTCCTATGGCTAAACCCCCCACTTACGCCCCACCATAGGAAAGACATGAATTTTTGCTCCTTCGGGGCTGGTCAGAGGATGGAACTTAATCACGAATTATGTATTACCCAGATTTCTATTAATTTACTCTAATGAAAAAGACAAGGCAAATTTTAAATGTGTTTATCAAAGAAATTCAACAACTGTTTCTCTACTACCACTTATGAATCCAATGTCATGTTAGCATTGTGAAGTATACAAGAAAGCACAATTCTTAATACCTGTCTTTAAGTAAATATCGCATTTACTTAAAATAGTCTTCAATGTTGTAATCATAACGCAGTAAATAAAATTTAATGTCAATTTTAAACGTCTGGGAAGTTAATTTTTCATTGGTAAAGCCTAGGTCTTTTGGGTTACTTTAAACAAATATGCCTAACTTTTGCACTTACATTTGAAAATGATTAATGGATCAATTATTCTCTATTAAAATTAAAATGGCTAGTACTATACTGTACATAAATCCATAATAGTACCCTCATAATAAAAATTTTTAGTAGAATAAAAGTATTCTATAAGATAGCATAGTGAAACCTTCAAGCTTTTTGTGAGTTTGCTTCCTCAATTAAGCAATCAAAGTTTCGGCAACCTTTTATTTAAAGTTATTATTATATTATAGAAAGCTTAATGTAAAATGTTTCTTTCCAATGGCTTGATGACTTGATACATTTATGGACTTTATGATGAGGAAAGGTAATAATGTAAAGCTCAGACAGACTACTATTAGAAAATAAGTTTCACTTAAAATATTCCACATTGCTCATGAGTGACCAGCTTAGTTTAGGCTCTGCCTTAAAGATATGCTGTCAAAAATGTCAACCTTGCTAGGCCTCTAGAGAAATGAAGTGGTATATTTCACAGGAGAAGGGCATATTCAAAATGGCAAGGGATAGGCTACTGTAAGGACGATGCGGGTAACTTAGGAATTGTCCTATAATAAATCACTTATTTACAACCAATCAAACTTCAATGTTTTGAATATACTACTGGAAAGTGAGAGGAACGTATGTTCATAAAGAAACTGTCAGAACTTGTGCCTAACTTTATATCACTAGATAAAATTCAAATGTCAGAAGTCAAGGTTATTCACTGTCCTTTGAGAAGAATTTAATTTTTGTAACGTATTTGCATTTGTAATCCTACATCTATATATCCCAAGCTGCATGTCAAAGAAATTCAATTTCTAATCCGTAACATGGCTGAGAATTGCAGTGGTCAGTTTCATTGTTAATGCCTCTCTTTTTCAAACATTTGACTCACAGCTGTGATAATTGAATGGCTGTGCAAATTATATTGGAATATGAGCAGAAGCAGTTAGAATTTGGGGTTCAGTATTAAGCAGGACTAGTATGGCATATAATGCAAATCGAGTCAAATGCAAATATGTCAGCAAAAGCAATCATATTATTTATATGAGAGGAGGGACCACATCTGATTTGCTTACCATTGTATCACCAGCACTTGCTACAATGCCTGGCACTAGTAGTTTCACAATCAACAGTTTTTGAGTCTCCAATTTTAAAAAGTTTAGAATCATTTTGGGAGTCATTTATAAGAAGAATGTATTAGTAACAAGGATAGATTGTGGTGCAAAAATCTTTGTGAGCTGAAGGTTGTTATATACTCACAGTAAAAAAAAAAAAAAAAAAAAAAAAATCAGAACTACTCTGAGACCTTGTGGGAGCTGGAGTCTACAAGTGGAGGAAATGATTTTGTCTGTAGGACTCAGCATCTGGGCCCTTACGGTAGTCGGTTAGTATAAGCACTAACAGTACCTGTTGCAGTCTGCTCTTCCTAACTTCATGTATCTGTTTTACACTTCTTCCCACACATAGGGTGTACTCACTCCTCCTCAAGGAAGTTAATCCAAGATTGCATTTAGCCACTGGATCCAGGTCAACATATAGCTACTTGGATAACAAGCAGTTCTCCTTATGGAGAACTGGCAGAACGTGGGCCTGCAGCCCACAAACTAAAAAGAGAAGTAATCCAAAGCCCCATACATGATGACAATAAACAGCGTTGGGGCATAATCAGAGGGACATAATAGGAACTCTCTCTAAGATAGAGAAATAATGGAAGACACTGGCCCATAACAATTATGAAATCTGACTAGACAAAATGGGAAGATCCCTACTACGGTGGTGGTGGTTTAAGGGAGTGGTGTCCCTTAATTAGAGTTCCATTCTGCTATGTAAGAACACACTTATCTCATTTTTTTCCCCCGCAGGAACTCTGGCTCCAAGCTCTGGGAATTTCTTCTTTTTCCATTACTCTCCATTACCAGATCTGATCGAAGCACTGGGGCTGTGCCTTTCTTGAGGGCTACCTAATATTCATAGCCCGCATCTGGCTCATGCAAGTATTGAGGCCAGAGAGTTATATAAATACCAAAGTTTCAGGTTCCTAGTTTCTTTGGCCATACAGTTTCCTTGAGAACTTAGTAAGCTTTTGATCTATTTTATTTCAGTCAATTCTGTTTCAGCAACTATACCCAAAGTTCTTTCATCTTCATTCCAGTGTCTCTCTGCTTAATCACTGCTACATGAGGCCATCAGACATAGTTGGAGAGGCTATATCCTTTGTTCCATCTTTGCTATGAAGGCTGTCTTAGTCAACTTAGACTCTCAGAGACAATTGTTTTTGGTCTTATCCTTTATTGCAAGAAGCCTACAAGTAGTTGGTTTTCACATTCCTTCAAGGCTTCAGATTTATGAACTTCTTCTTCCCTATCATTTCTGCTAATGAAACCTGCCAATTCTTGTTTGAGCTCAACTCTTTCTGGTAATATTCTACTTAAAACAGCAATAACAACTAACACACATGATCATGGTGATATTTTCTCATCACTTCGCCTAAAGCTATAGGATCCTGTAAACTGGTGCCTGCTTTCCAAGTTATCACTAGTAATAGTTTTACCAAATATTTGAAAAGGCAGAATAAGGCTTTCTAGCCTCATAGCTTCTGTCTCCTTGCCACCTGTGTTCCAAACACTTAGTATTAGCTTAATGACCAATATTTTAATTTTGTGTCATAGTTGCACCCAATTTCAAACTATCAAATTTAGAAGCACTTACTGCTGCAATAAACAACCTTGACAGTGAGTGGCTTAGATAATAAATGCTTATTTCTGAATCATGTCTCAGTCCAGTGTAGATCTGTGTTTGGTGGAAGGGTCAGCATGTGTGAGGGCTTTGCTCCAATCCATCAAAATGTATGTCCCTTTCATCTGTGATTTCACTTTCTCCTGATCAGCAGTTCTCAAACGCTGGTCCATGGACCTGAAATGGAGTGCTCTGCAAGATCAAAACTATTTTCTCAATAATATTTGAACATTATATGTCTTTTTCAGTATGTTGACATTGGCACTGATAATAAAAAATCAATGGTGAGTAAAACTACTATTATCTTAAAGCAGTGGCATCAAACTGTAATACTAGTACTTCTGTTCTTCACTGCAGCTCGCTTACTGTCAAAACACCACCGGTTTCTACTAAGAATGTCCTTATCATTATCATTCATTCTGCATGAAGAAATGGGAACTACATGTAAAGAACTGCTGCACACAAAAGTACAATGGTTGTCTCAAGGAAAAGCTCTTGAAAAGTCTGAATTTCAAGCTGAATTTGTCTTTTTTCCCCTCGGAAATACTATTTTTGCTTGAAAGAACAGACAGCTCGGACTTGGATATTTCATTAATTTCCCCCCAAAATTAACAGAGTGAGCTAATCATTTAAAGGACAACAAACAGAAGGTATTTGTGGCAAATGGGTTCAAGTGAAAATTGGAATTTTGGAAAACTTTTATCGGCCATCAGAAGCTTGAAAAATTCTCAATATTTAAAAACTTCTCTGATAAGATTGGTGGTGAGATTGATACTGTATAATGAAATGTGTCAACATTTAGAGAATATGTATAACTCAGTGAACCAGTAGTTTCCAAATGACCAATGAATGAAATTGCAAACCTATGTATTAGTAAACAGTCCATTAAAAATGAAAGATAGAGTCATGGATTTTAATATAACAATATAAAAAGTTCATTGCTTTGATTGCAGATTCTATCTTGCAAAGAGACTTCAAGAAACAATGAACTTTTGTGTCATATCAAAGAAGAATATCCAAAATATTCTGAAGACACTCCTTCCTTTCCCAACGATTTATCTGTGTGAACCTGGATTCTTCATATGCAGAAGTAGATATGATAAGCCAGCTATCTTACATGAAGCCAATATTAAAGAAATTTGCAACATTCTTCTCACTATTTTTTTCTTTTAGAAACCGTAGCCACTTTGATTAAACTGTTTTTTAAATTAACATTTAATGACTTTAAATGGATTGATAACTATTTACATTTTTTTTTTACTTTTACACTCTAATACAGTAAATATATTAGATATAATCCACATTTTTTAAAACAAAGCTCCTTGGGCTCCTTGGATGATCAATAATTAATTTTTAAACATATATAAAAATTCTAAGACCAAAAAGTTTAAGAACCACTGCTCTAGAATCGCACTCTTTCAACTGGTAATGGGGAAGAAGACTAAGTATTACAAGTGCAGGTTTTAATAGTTTGGTCCCAAAATGACACATACCACTCTCATTTATTTTCATTAACTAGACTTCAGTCAGACAGCTACATCGTGCTGCAAGGGAGCTGGACAGTGTCTTGGTGTATGTCCAGAAATAAGAGAAGAATACTAGTGAGCACTGACCATCTCTGACATGGCACTGAAAGTTCGTAATGACTATACTTTTCATGTGACTGTAATTGGAAAGTTCTTAACGATATTCCTCCTTTCATAGGATATTGTTCTCATCTTCTCCTATTCATTTCTACTGGATGTTTGCCTGTCTTGTAAATATGTGTCCTCCTTTTATGTAAATGCACTTTGTTGAACCCTAACCATGAGTTGGCCTTGACAAGATGCTTTACTTGTATTACTTAAAGTAATACTCACAAATATCTTATGAGGTAGTTTTGTTATCCCTGTTTCACAGAAGTCTAGGTAAAAGACTGAGATAGCTTACCCAAAATCCCCTGGAATTAGAATTCAAATCTAAGTTTATCTCACTGCCTTTTCTCTGTTCTTTCTACTTTCTTATATTTCTTTCTTCTTTTTTTTTTCTTTTTTTTTCTTTTGAGACAGATTTTCACTCTTGTTGCCCAGGCTGGAGTGCAATGGCGCAATCTCATCTCACTGCAACCTCTGCCTCCTGGGTTCAAGCGATTCTCTGGTCTCAGGTTCCCGAGTAGCTGGGATTACAGGCATGTGCCACCATGCCCGGCTAATTTTTTATGGTTTTAGTAGCGACAGGGTTTCTTCATGTTGGTCAGGCTGGTCTCGAACTCCCAACCTCAGGTGATCCACCCGCCTTGACCTCTCAAAGTGCTGGGGTAATAGGAGTGAGCCACCGCACCCAGCCTCTTGTATTTCTTTATAGAGAAAAATGACTGTTCCACATCAGAGTCTGACCATTTGATCTTCTGTCAGATTCTATTAGTTCTTACATATTCTGTAATTCAGATTGGATCTTAAAACATCAGCGAATCTTTAGAACTGAATTTACATCATGTTCTTGACTCAGATGCATATAGGAGATTTTCTCTCCCTAGAAAATTTCCTAGTTGAAATATCATAGTTGTTTAATAATCACATGCGATCTCTTTACTAGAATAAGGTCTTTATTTTTCTACTCTCAGAGTGTTAGCTTTCAAATTGCCTTGTCAGGTTATATTATATTTATTTGTGAAAGTATGCCCATACCAGACTTTATAGCTGGTCTAGCAGCAACTGGAATTGTATTCAAAGCTTCTTTCTATGCCTTGGCCTCTTTCCTTACTGCCATGTAGTTTCCCTAAACCCTTACTGGACTGGACCACTCTTTTTCTGACTTCTATTGCATTCTGTCAGCCATTTCCTTTCATCAGTAATGTCTTCTTCATTCTATTCAATGCTTTTGATTCTTCAATGTCCCTCTGAACCATAACCTTTCCCAAAGCTTTACCAGATTATTATCTATAATGTTTTCCTTCTCTGAACTTGAAGTTTTCTATTTGTATCTTTTTTAGAGACTCTTATATGTTATACTTTACCTTATCTCTATTTGCATATTTGGCTTATCCTGAAATTAGACTAGTAACTTCCTCGAACAAAGAAATGCTAGCTACTCATCTTCTGTCTTAACAATGCCTTATACATAACAGCTTTTAATTCTGTGTGACTGTAGGTGAATATTATTTCTCCCCTTCTCAGTTTACTAATTATCCACTAATAGGCAAAAAATTCTGAATTTTAACATCGTAAAGAAAGTAAATGGCTTTCCAGATTATAATTCTCTTGACACTAGTTTTGGGACAGAAACTTTCTTGTTCATATGTGGCTTACACTTTCATTTTAATTATTCCACAAATGACTTTGTCTACTTATGGCTTTTAAATTAGTTCAGACCATTTCCTACATGCTAATCTATTGAGAAAAGTCATGAAAAGATGAAAATTGTCTCTTTTCTAAGAGTCTGGAGATAATTTATTATTTTGGCCCTACCATCTCTGATATGGACTTCAGGACAACCCAAGATTAATTCTAAAACTGGAATAAGACATCATAGACTTTATATATTGACATACAAAGATGTAGAACTCTTAGGAAGTACTGGCTCTTGCGAAAACACAAGACCTGAGGTAATGTTGAGAATTAAGAGATTCTGGAGAACTATATAGAAACTCACCTTGAGGGTGGTGGTGGTTAGAAGAACAATAAGGAATTTTTATGGGACTCAAGGTCTCAGGAGAAGTAACAGTGCTCTAATCATATGTGTTGCTTTTCCAAGGAGAGGAGAGATCTTAGGAATAATTCTCTATAATGTAGCAGAAACCATGCTATTATTCAATTTGGCAAGTAAAAACTCAAGTTACTTGGCAAATGAAAACTCAAGTTACTAAATATAGGCCAGGATAAGAAGCTTACCTGTCTATTTGAGGTGGCTACTCTTAAGAGATGATGGGCTCAGGTCCTTCTTAAGACTGTGTCTGAGTAGCTCCTACTTCCTTGTCTGTTTCCTCTGGACAAGAACCAAGTTGTCTACTGCTGGGGATGTTCAGAGTATCCCTGTAAATCAGAGTTCAGGTTTTCTACCACTTGGATCTTTGAGAAGGGAGAGAAAAAGCCTTTTACCCGTATCCTAAGTTCTGATCCTATCTGAAAACAAAGTTCTTCCCTGTATAACTGACAGTGAAAATTGACATTCCTTCAGGGAAACTCCAACTCCAACCACAGGAACATGACCTTAGGAAACCTTGTGAAGGAAAATTAATTAAAATTGAATTGACTTAAATCAATACCTTTGGGGTTATGGAGTTTTAAATGGTACTTTAAGACACAAGATAACTTTTCTGTAGTCCTCCATGACTTGGAAATGGAGTGATTATCTATTGGCACAGAGAAATCTCAATCAACTGAGAGAAAATGAACATTTTAATCTGAATTCCAAAGATACATAGCTCTGCTATGAGGAAAAAAAAAACAAGTCACATAAACCTACCATAAACCTAAGGAAATTAGCAATTTAACTTCTAAGAACAAATAGTTGATTTTGCTTACCTTAAGGCAACTTAGAAAAAGACATACTTTTTTTTTTTTTTTTTTGAGGCAGAGTTTCACTCTTGTTGCCCAGGCTGGAGTGCAATGGTACGATCTCGGCTCACCGCAACCTCTGCCTCCTGGGTTCAAGCAATTTTCCTGCCTCAGCCTCCCGCGTAGCTGGGATTACAGGCATGCACCAGCACGCCCGGCTAATTTTGTATTATTAGTATAGATAGGGCCACTCCAAGTTGGTCAGACTAGTCTTGAACTCCTGACCTCAGGTGATCCACCCACCTCGGCCTCCCAAAGTGCTGAGATTACAGGCGAGGCATGATATTATATTTATGAAATTCAGTTTATCCATGTTCATTTTTGTATAGCTTCTATTGTTTGGCCACATTCACCTCTATTTGCTTGTTTCTTTGTTTTTGTAATGATTGATGAACACTGTATGTTTCTCATTTGGGGCTACTATAAATAATGGTTCAGTGAACATTCATTTCGTGTACATGTGCACACATTTCTCTTGGCTATATATACCTAGGTGTAGAATGGCTGAAAAATAAAAAACATATACTCAACTCCAGGAGATGACGCCAAATTCTTTCCCAAACTTATTGTACTGTTTACAGTCCCTCCAGAAGAGAATTTCTGCTATTATATATCAGCCCTAATGCATAATAGTACTATTAGTAATTTTTAATTGTAGACATTCTGGTGGACATGTAGTAGAATCTCATTGTTTCAATTAGCATCTTCTTGATAACTAATGATATTGAGCACCTTTTTATATGTTTATTAGCCATTTGTATATGTTCATTTAAGAAGTTCCTGTTAAAGATGCACATATATATATGTATATATGACAATTCATTTTGGTCTTATTTATTAATAGAAATCCTTTATTCCACATAAATATTCTATATTGATTATTTGCAAATATCTTCTCCCACTCCATAATTTGTTTTTTCCACTTATCATTCAACGAGCAGAAGGGTTAAATTTTTTTAATATCAAATTTATTAATCTTTTTTCAGTGGGGTAGGCTTTTTGTATCCTGCTTAAGAAATATTTAGATATCCAAAGGCATGAAAATATTTTCCTGCATTAAATTCCAAAAGTTCTTTGATTTTTACATTTTAATCTACACTCATCTAAATTTTACTTTTGTATATGTCATGATGTGGATGTCAAGTTTTATTTCATTTTGTCCAATATGACTATCCAATTCACCTAGCTGCATTTACTGAAAAGCTCATCCTTTTCTGAATGTTTAGCAGTGTCATATTTGTTGCTAATCAAAGTCCACATATGCCTAATCACCTTCTGGACTGTTGTTTTTCATTGATCTATTTCTCAGTCCTTAAGCCATTACCATATATCTTTATTACTGTAACCTTATATTAATTTATACCATTTGTGAGAATATTCTCTTTCCTTATTCTTCAATACTGTCATAAAACTAAGCTATACCATCCCCATTTTCATATACATTTTAGAAACAATTCGTCAAAGACCTCAAAAAATTGTCATTTTTATTGAGAAAATTTGTATAAGGCTGGCATTATTTTTTCTTTAAATGATTAGCAAAATTCATTTCTAAAGCCGTCTGAGCAAGGAGTTTTCTTTGTGGGGAGATTTTAATTACAGATTAAATATCTTTAATAGTTAAAAGGAGTATTTTGGTTTTTCTCCTCTTATGTCAATTTTATTAAGCTGTATTTTATGGGAATTTGTCTTTTGATTTCAAATATGTGAGCATAAACTTGGTTATAATATTCTTTAACAATTTTTTATATTGTGGAACCTATAGTGATGGCCTCATTTTAATTCCTGATATTTATACCTCCACTATTTTTTTTTCTGAATCAGTCTTAGGATCTTTATCAATTTTGTCAGTCTTTCCGAAGAACCAAGTTTGGGTTTTATTAATTATCTGCACTCTATGTTTTCTTGATATTTTATTAATTTATTCTATTAAGTTTACTATTTCCCACCTTCCTATATTTTTAGATGTTTAATTTACTGTTATTCTTAAGAACTGTAAATGAATGCTTGATTACTTATATCCAGACTTTATTTTTAATTAATATATTCATTTATAGCTATAAACACCTCACAAGTTTGGCTATAAATAGATTTTAGCTATAAACAAATATAGCTACAAAATTCCCACAAATGTGGCATGTAGCATTTCCATTATTGTTGTTTCAAAAATATGTTTTAATTTGTATTTTGAGTTCTTCTTTGATCCGGGGGCTGTTTAGAATACTTTTTTCTGAATTTCTAAACATCTGGAATTTTCTAGTTACCTTTATGCCAATTATTTCTTGCTAAATTCCAAATATTTGAAATTTGAAGAAACTCGTATGTTCCATGTGTATTTGAATACAATGTGTGTTTTGCCATTGGTCTGGTGTTCTATAGATGTAAATAAGATAATTTTTTAAAAATCGTATTGTTCAAATGTCCTATATTCTTACTAATTTTGTTATTGCTTGTTCAATGAAAATTTCTCACTATGTAAATGATCTATTTTTGCTTTTAATTCTATAAACTTTTACTTAACTTGTATGAGGCTCCATTATTAGTTATGTAACATCTGAGATTATTCTGAGATGGATTTCAGTCCATCTTGGGACCCGTTAATATCTGATTCATTCTTATTTCTAGGGTGTAACCCTCAGGAACATCTTGCTTGAGGACCTTGATCTTATTTTGGCCCCAAAAGATTGTCAGAATCTATGGTATGTTTTGAGAACTGGCAGATGCCCCTGAGGAAAAGGCTAGACTCAGCTTTCTGGGTATTTATTGCCCTGGATCTTGACCCCATATTTCTTTACTGCCTTGTTAACTCTCTGATGCATTTACTTAGAATCTAAAAAAAAAAAAAAAAAAAATCCAGATTTTTAAATCTATTTTCAGTTAGAAGGGTTGGTCTGAATTACATTCATCACCATTAATGAAAGCAGATTTTTAAATATTGCTTATGATTTTATTCCTCCAGAAGTTTCACTTTAGTGTAGACATTTCTTATAATACTTTATTTTAAAATTTTATTATGATTATTATTATTATACTATAAGTTCTAGGATACATGTGCACAATGTGCAGGTTTGTTACATACATATACATTTGCCATGCTGGTGTGCTGCACCCATTAACTCATCATTTACATTAGGTATATCTCCTAATGCTATCCCTCCCCCCTCCCCTCTCCTCCGCCCCCCCATGACAGGCCCCGGTGTGTGATGTTCCCCATCCTGTGTGCAAGTGTTCTCATTGTTCAATTCCCACTTTTGAGTGAGAACATGCGGTGTTTTGTTTTTTGTCCTTGCGATAGTTTGCTGAGAATGATGGTTTCCAGCTTCATCCATGTCCCCACAAAGGACATGAACTCATCCTTTTTTGTTGCTGCATAGTATTCCATAGTGTATATGTGCCACATTTTCTTAATCCAGTCTATCACTGATGGACATTTGGGTTGGTTCCAAGTCTTTGCTATTGTGAATAGTGCCACAATAAACATACATGTGCTTGTGTCTTTATAGCAGCATGATTTATAATCCTTTAGGTATATACCCAGTAATGGGTTGGCTGGGTCAAATGGTATTCCTAGTTCTAGATCCTTGAGGAATCACCACACTGACTTCCATAATGGTTGAACTAGTTTACAGTCCCAGCAACAGTGTAAAAGTGTTCCTATTTCTCCACATCCTCTCCAGCACCTGTTGTTTCCTGACTTTTTAATGATCACCATTCTAACTGGTGTGAGATGATATCTCATTGTGGATTTGATTTGCATTTCTCTGATGGCCAGTGATGATGAGCATTTTTTCATGTGTCTGTTGGCTGCATAAAGGTCTTCTTTTGAGAAGTGTCTGTTCATATCCTTCGCCCACTTTTTGATGGGGTTGTTTGATTTTTTCTTTTAAATTTGTTTAAGTTCTCTATAGATTCTTGATATTAGCCCTTTGTCAGATGGGTAGATTGCAAATATTTTCTCCCATTCTGTAGGTTGCCTGTTCAATCTGATGGTAGTTTCTTTTGCTGTGCAGAAGCTCTTTAGTTTAATTAGATCCCATTTGTTAATTTTGACTTTTTTTGCCATTGATTTTGGTGTTTTAGACAGGAAGTCCTTGCCCATGCCTATGTCCTGAATGGTATTGCCTAGGTTTTCTTCTAGGGTTTTTATGGTTTTAGATCTAACATTAAAATTTTATCATTAGAAAAGTCTTCCCACTCGGAGAATATCATGAGTATATTATTCTCTTAATTTTTGTTGTATATGTTTTGGTTTCAATTTGTTTTTTATTTAAGTCTTTAATTGAATTGGAATATAATTTGGTATATAATGTAAGATAAAGATCTAACTCCTTTTGCTCTAAAAGCTTAACCAATTATTCCAACATAATCAGTTTTTACAAATACCACAGTTTACAGTTTACTTTTGTTAGCTTTATATTATACTTAATATATTTGGTATATGCCTCTTTTCACTAGGCATTGTCTTCTCAAAATTGTTTCCTTAATACCATATTTAATGGGGAGAAACTGAAGCTTTCCCAGAACGAGGCAAAAATATCTCTCTCACTACTCGTTCTCAGCATTGTACTGCAAGTCCTAGCTAATGCTATAAGAGAAAAGAAGGAAATAAAAGGTATATGTATTGGAAAGAAAGAACGAAAATTGTCTTTGTTTGCAGATAACACCGTCATCTATATGAAAAGTCAGAATGAGTAAAAAAAATTCTTTTGGAATAAGTGCTTATACCAAAGTCATAGGATAGAAAGTCAACACACAAAAGTCAGTTGCTTTTTTATATACAGCAATGAACAAGTGAAATATGAAATTAAAACACAATACCATCTATATTAGCATTCCCCCAATGGAATACTTAGGTGTAAGTCTAACAAAATATGTACAAGATCAATATTAGGAAAACTGCAAAACTGTGATAAAAGAAATCAAATAACTAAGTAAACTCAGAGATATTCACCATTTATAGATAGGAAGATTCAATATTGTCAAGATCTCAGTTTTTCCCAGCCTGATCCATAGATTCTGTGTAATCCCAATCAAAATATCATCACGTTCTTTTGTGGATATCAACAAAGTGTTTTTGAAGTTTATGTGAACAGGCAAACACACGAATACCTAACACAATATTGAAGGAAAAGAACCAAGTCCAGATGATGAAAGTACTGAACTCCAACTACTATGAAGCTATAGTAATCAAGACAATGTTGGTATTGGCAAAGAATAGACAAATAGATCAGTGGAACAGAATAGAAAGCTCAGAAATTAACTCATAGAATATAGTCAATTTATCTTTGACAATGAATCACAAACAGTACAATGGAGAAAAGACAGTCTCTTCAACAAATGTGCTAGAACAACTGGATATATATGGGCAGGAAAATGAATCTAGACACAGACCTTACACCCTTCACAAAAAATAGCTCAAAATGGATTATAGACCTAAAGGTAAAACTTAAAACTGTAAGACTTCTAGAAGATTACATAGGAGAAAATCTAGATGACCTTGGGTTTGGAAGTGCATTTTTTAGCTATAACACCAAAGGCATGATCAATGAGAGAAATCATTGATAAGATTTCATTAAAATTTGAAATTTCTGTTCTCTGAGAGAAACTGTCAAGAGAATTAGGCAACAAACTGGGAGAAAATATTGGCAAAAAACATAACTGAGAAAAGGCTGTTATCCAAGATGTACAACTATTAATATTCAACATAAGAAAATGAATTATCTGATTAAAAAATAAGCAAAAGATGTGGACAGATACCACTTTGGCAACTTTTTTAGTTGAATAGAGATTTTGTTTGAAACTATAAATAAGAATACATAAATGAAGAAGTATTAAAATATTTATAGTATTTAGACAGTATTTCCATCGAGGAGTATATTATGCCTGCCTTGAACCATGTTATCAGCTGGAAATACCAACTCTTTGTAACCGTACACTTAAGCATCCCACTCTGCAACCTGCACGTCTCCAAGCTCAGTCACTTGGTCTATAACCTATTATTCAAACACACAGAGATTCTAGTCCCAGGATGACTACACTTTCTCTCTCCAAATTCTCTTTATTTCATCTCTATTTTGACATAGTTTTGACTCTTTAGTATGTCACTTTATCCAATGTATCTTCAATATATTCTCAATTACTTTCTCTTTGTTATTCTTAATTACTGTCATGTTCTTTCCCTCTCTCTCTGCCTATGTTAACTGTAGAGGAAAGTAAATAATGCATAGATTGATGCTATTAAAGTTAATATTTCTATATTTTATTATTAATTTCTTGTTCTCATTTTATTCAGTAACTATTTCTTATCTTTGTCACTTTCCCAAAATCTAACTTCACTATCACCCTTTCAACTCTCAACAGCTGAGCTAGTTTTCTTCTTAAATCACAGAGAATATAGACATCATCAGATGTGAAATTTATCAATTTCTTGTCACCAAATATATAATCATCTTGGCATGTGCACCTATCCTCTTTTTTTCCCTCCAGTGTCCTGCTTCCTATAATGGTGATTTCTCTGCCTGTGCATTAGATTACATTGTATTCTGCCTCCATCCATGCATTTATCCATATTTTCTGTATCTCCAACATCTCTCTATTTTCTTGTTCCTTCCTTCCTCATTTTAACTTCTACAAGAATTTTCTATTAATAGCAAACAACTTTGGATGTCTTCCGTATATATAATCTATTTCTCTGCTATCCACTGCAAACATTCTTAAAAGAGTTGCCCACTTCCCTATTGGTGGACAGTTTTCAATATTGTGCTATTTCAAACAATAGTAAAATTAGCACATATTTCTATATGGTAGATTTACAGAATTCCTATTAATAGGTTGAGAGTTAAGTGTTTAAAGGCATGATACTTACTGCCAAATTGCCTTATAAAATGTCTGTAATGATTGCCAGCCCATCTACAGTCCAGTTTACCTATACTTGCTACCTTTATTTTGTTATTAGTAACGAATATTATTTAATCTAAAATCTAAATGTTTTAATCTAAAATCTGAAATTTTCTGTCAATCATTTTTAATTGTACATGCTTTTGATTAATCATTTTACTTCAGTTTCAATTTTTTATTGATTAATAATATTGGGCACCTTTCCAAATATTCATTGGCTATTTCTTTTTCTATTAGATGCCTATTTTCTATCTTTTACCCTTTTATTTTTATATTTCTTGGAGCCATTTGTGAATAAATATTATAATTTTTTTCTTTTTTAATTGCTTGATATACCAAATAAAGTTGAAATTTCTGCTGTGTGAAAGAAACTGTCAAAAGAATTAGACAAGCAACAAACTAGGAGAAAATATTGGCCAAATACATGATGTATAAGCAATTTTGTAAAAATTTTGTAAAAATTGCTTATATAGCCAGATCTGTAACTTCTTCTTTTTGGCTTTTGGGTTACATGCTTTAAAAATCACTCCTTTTGAGGAAATTGTGTACATTGACTGCCTGCACTTCTTTTTTTCATTTTTTTTTATTGAACCTTAATAGAAGTACATATTTTCAGAGTACCTGTGATAATTTTATACATCCATATAATGTGTACAGATCAAATCAGGGTAATTGGAATGTCTATCACCTTAAATATCTTTTCTTTATGTCTGCACTTTTCGAAACCCTATTATACCTTAATTCACTGCAATGTGGATTTCTGTCTTCACTGGTCGACTTAACTTGCCCTTACCAAGGCTGCAAATGACCAAAGTAAGCACATTTTCTATGAAATTTTTTTTTCTGCTGTTTTACATGATACCATATCCTACCCATTTTGGTCCTTGCTTTCTGACTACTACTCAGTCTTTACACGCCTTGAACTCAAATCATCTCATTGTTGATATTCTTCAGAGTTTTGCCATAGGACAGCATCTCTCCTCATTTTTTAAAACTCTGACTTGTAGCTACAAGGTTTATCTCAAGGTGTGATGTCATCTTGATGATTGTGGATGGGGGTGATGTTCTAGTTTTGTTTGACATCATTATGGCCAGGGCCCCAGGGAGGCCAAGGTCCTCCCCCGACAGTCGCTTCTTTCCCCTCTCCGTAAAGCCCCATGAGAGCTTTTTTGGCAAGAGTTGCCAAAAAGTAAAGAGAAAATGCCATTTTGTTATCAAAGGTGGGCTGGTGTGAGATAACCCTCAATGCAGAGCTCTGTTCAATTAGATAATAGTGAAGTGTTTAGGCTTCTTCTACCACTTTTCCTAAAAGCCCGATCTCTACCTTTGGATCTTACTACACTCTAGCTGGCTGCTTGATAAACTCAAACTCATAATCATCCTGCTCAGTGTGTTCAGAGTCTGTTTTCAACTCTCTTGCCAGAGTATACATCTTAATCTTAAATCTGATCATGTCTGTTTCCTACTCATATCACTCCAAAGCCTCCCTTGTTGACTTAAGGTTTAAATAAAAACCTTTATCATGTCTTACAAGACTTTCTGATTTAAAGTCTTTCCTCCTTTTCCAATACAGCCTCTTTTTAAATTTTTAAATATTTTTCTTCTCTCTGCATCAGCCAGTCTGAATCTTTAGGTTATCTAATAAAATGTCTTCTCTATAACCTTAGTGACTTTGTGCAAGCTGTTCCCTCTGGCTAGGACCCCATGCATTTCTTCCTGTGGCAAGTGGCCACTCCCATGTGCCCACAGCACCCATTGTTTCCCTCCATCCCTCCAGCAATGATCACATTATATTGTACTTCCCCAGATACTTCACATTGTAGCTTCCACACTAGACTCTGAGCTATGTGAGGATAGGACACAGTTTTGTCCTCAGCACCTAGCACAATACTTGCACTGTGATATATGGCTTATAAATATTTATTAAATTTACAGTTAGCTGAGTGCCAAGTACTCCCTTATAGCATTTTAAATTTTCTCTATCATTCCTTCTAAATTGTATTTAATTTTGATTAATCATTTTATGTAATTAGAGAGATAAAGCCCACTTTACTGATTTTATTTTTCAAGAAGCCATTTTACATTAATTTTCCCTTTAACGTCTTTTAGTACTCCAAATCACTGTTCTATTATCATCATATTTTGTTCTCTTCTCATAGTGTTTTGCCCCACTGTGGTTATTTGTTGACTTGGGTTTATTGAGTGAGTGAGTGATTGAGTTAATGAGTAAATGCCTCTCACTTTTCCCCAAGCAGACACTAAGTGCCATCCAAGCAAGTACCGAATTTATCTTGTTCATTATTGGAGTCTCAGTGACTAGAATAATGACTATATATGGGATTAATGAATAAATATGTAATTTTATGACTACCATTTTGCTAAGTAGTTTCTAATTTTAGAAGTAAAATTAATTAAAAATTAAATAGTTTTAATTTTCTCTTTGGTCCAAGAGTTAAGTAGAGCATTTCTATAATTTCCAAATAATTGAAAGTTTTTTCTTTCCTTTTTGCTTTGTATTAATACTTTGTAATTTTAATGCAATGAGATCACAGAAATAGAGTATTTACAATTGTACTATTGAAAACTTGTTAAGTCTTTCTTTGTGGGATAATATCTGAGTAATATTTTTAAATCTTCCATGATTACTTCATAAAGTTTCCATAAGATACCAAGTTTGACCTGGAACTATTAAATCAACAATAATATAATATCCAGGTGTCATTCCTTATATATTTTTTGTTTACAAGTTCTGTAAAATGCTTTCTTAAAAAATGAGTTAAATCTACAATTACTGTCCTTTTTATTTTAATTTTCTTGATTCCAACACTTATACAGATTATATGTTAATGTCCTGTTATTGTTAAAGATTAATGATTATGGAATAACTTTATCTTTTTATCAAAATTATATTACTGTATCTGTCCAATTTAAGGTGATTTGCTTTAAAATGTGCTTTTAATTTTTTTTGTTATTTATTTATTTATTTATTTAATTTTTGAGACAAAATCTCCCTCTGTCACCCAGGCTGGAATGCAGTGGTGCGATCTCAACTCACTGCAACCTCTGCCTCCCAGGTTCAATCAATTCTCCTGCCTCAGCCTCCCAAGTAGGTGGTATAACAGGCATGTGCCACCATATCCAGCTAATTTTTCTATTTTTGGCAGAGATAGTATTTCACCATGTTGGCCAGGCCGATTATGAATTCCTGACCTCAAGTGATTTGCCCACCTCTGCCTCCCAAAGTGCTGGGATTACAGGCATGAGCCACCGTGCCCAGCCAAACATACTTTTAAAAGGTTATATTTTATAAAAACTCTTTTTATTATTTTACTTATTTATTTTTTAATCTAGGGCCTGCCATGGGGCTAGCAGACCCCTCACCCTGGCAAGAGGAAATAATTCTTAAATAATATTATCTTAATGTTTGATTTCTTTTTTTCTTCTTGTTTGCTGATATATTTTTGTCTAAACTTTACATTTAATCTTTCCTGTCATTTTGTTTTGAGTGTGACCCTTATAAATAGCTTATAGTTGTACTTTGTTTTCTGATCCAGTCTGAGTCTTTTCAACATGTTAGAAGAATTTAACTCACTTATACTTAGTGACATTAAAGCTAATATTTAATAAAAAATTAACATTTTGAAAGTACTTACAATCTGTCATGTGCTACTCTAATTTTATCTATTAATACATTTAATTTTTATAATAGTCCAACTAGATAAAGAGTATGAATATACTCATTTTACAGATATGGAAACTGAGACATAAAAAGATTATAAGTGATTTGTTAAGGTCACAAGAGTAAAACGTGAAAGAGCCATGAAGTGTTCCTAAGTAGTCTGGCTCTAGAGCTTGCTATAGCTACAAGCTATATTGTCATCTAATTTTATGTTGATTTTGAAAACTTTAGATAATACATTATATATTCATGCGGTCTGCAAGATCTTTGAGATAATCATTTTAAAATGTTGCAGATAGATTCCTTAAGAATCTGTTTTCCCATGTGGCCCAGCTCTTCTGTGACAGTTTTCATCTATGCTTTGAGTCCTAAAAATACTTCTTGGTTCTGGAAGAATAATGCTGTTCATACCTGATTTATGGTTCTATTGAAACCTTGTAACTTTTATGTTTTCCGGATAAGCAGATGCTCACTCTGTCAACCTAACTATGAATTCCATTAGATTTCTGTTCCTTTATGTCTATGAAATCCAAATTACCCTTTCTCTCTTAGCTTTGAGCTCTGGTTGTATGTACACAATTCCTGTGACCACCTTTCTTAGGGTACTTTGGACATGGCACAATGCAGCCACTGGCATCTCAGCTTCTGGGATGGTTTTTAAACTTAAAGATGATTACAGAAAGCCAGTGATCCTAATGACAGAGTCAGACTGGGCCGCAGACTGAAGCACACATAAAAGAAAATTTGACTGAGCGGAAAATTGAGAAGTGAGAAGCAGAAAATGTCTGACATTCAAGTATTTAAAATTGCTTGTTTAAACTTTTTATTTTAAGTTCAAGGATATATGTGCAGGTTTGTTACATAGACAAAGTTGTGTTACGGGGGTTTGTTGTACAGATTATTTCATCAGGCTAATACCCATAACTTGTTTTCCTGATCTCTTCCCTCCTCCACCCTCCACCCTCCAAAAGGCACCAGCGTTTGTTCCCCTCTATGTGTCCTTGTGCTCTCATCATTTAGCTCCCACTTATAAATGAGAACATGCAGTGTTTGGTTTTCTGTTCCTGTGTTCATTTGCTAAGGATAATGTCCTCCAGCTCCATCCATGTCCCTGCAAAGAACATGATCTCATTCTTATTTATGGCTGCATAGTATTCCATGGTGTATTTAGTGTTTGCTTTAAGCTTAGCGAAAGTGATTAATCCATAACTACCAAAAGACTAAAAAGAATTCTATTAAAACTGCTTTTTAACAATGTTTATTATGGCAGGAATAATTTTGGTGCATTGAATTTAAAAGGATAATGCAGTTATTTTGAGAATCTAAAATAGATAATAGATAAGGTCAAAAAGCAAAAATCAGAGGTAATAAATGGTATAGATAACCAAACAATGCAAACTTTGTATTTTTGACAAAAAAAGATTTTTTAATTGTTTATCCATCTAAAATGCTTTTGTAATAAAAATAATTGGAATTTTTCCTGTTGAAATTTATTTTACAGACCACATTTTCAATATAATCTTTTTATGATGTCCGGATTTTAAAAATAATAACAATTTAGAACAAAGGATAATGTTTGCTCACAGAAAACAACCAAAAGTTGATAGTGTGCTTGCACAACCTAGCAATATACTCCAGTACCTATGAAACTAATGCAATTAAAGATATATCAAAATAAGATACACATCACATTACTGATGTTTTTTTAAAAAAATAGTATGTCAATATTAATGGCATGAATCATAGAAAATCATCTAATAGCAGATATTAAATTAGTGAAAATGAGCAAAACACATATCAATTTTTACCTAAATCATGCAGATATTAGTAAATAAATTAACAATTTCCCTTAATAAATGGGATTTGTTCATCTTTTTAAGTTGGTAGGTAAAATATTAAATTGAAAAAGTTTGTTTAGGACATATTCATTGAATGATTGAATAAATGAATGAATACCAAACCTACTTCCTGGTTTCAAAGAATCTACCATGCATCAATTCAATAGTACCTAGGATAAGTGTAGAGTTTTATATTTCTTGAAAAAAGAATGGCCAGATTTGTGTTTTCAGGTCATGCAACCACATATGTGATTCTATTCAGTTCCGTTCAATTCTAAATCTATTGAGAAATTTTTATGTTACTTGTATATGACAGTTTCATCTGTTAGGCATTTTTCTTAGGCAAAATGAGAATTCAAAGTCCAGCTGCATTTTAGAATATATTCTCCTCACCAATAAATTCAAAAAATGAGTTCTACTATCACTACAAATCCAGAGGATTTTACATCCAGGCACAGACACACACACACACACACACAGAGACAGATACATTTTGTAGTTAGCAAGTAGGAGGATTAAAGGCTATGGTTATCTAAACACCTTCTGTAATCTTGTAATCATTTTTTTTCTTATTATGGCTGTTCAGAAGTTCCAGCAAAATGTTAAATACAAATGGTGATAATGGATTCATTTATTTTGTTTTTGGCTATAAAGGGAATGTTTCTTATGTTCACCATTAACCATGATATTTGTTTCTTTAACCTTTCTCAGGTCAAAGAAATTTCGGTATTCCTCATTTGTTGACAAATAAAGACCTCAGAGTTGAAATTCACCTAAAATATTTCTGCACATGTTGAAGTGGTTGTATTATTTTTATCCTTTAATATATTCATTGGAGGAATTACAATGGACAGTCTAGTGTTAAACCAACCATGCAGTCTGGAATACTTGGAAACTTATATTGATCATAAAAGATATAAATATTTATATCTGACTGGATTTAATTTGCTAATATTTTATTCATGATGTTTCAACTTTGTTTATGAATGAAATTAGACTCTAATTTTCTTCTCTCATATTGCCCTTGTTGTGTTCTTTGGTATAAAAGTTACAGTGACTTCGTATTAGTTGGGAAACTCTCTCTTCACTTCCTTCGCCTTCACCCTTCTCTCTTTCTCTCTCTCTCTCTCTTCCCCTCCCCCGCTCCCCCGCACACAGAGTTTATATAAGGTGGGTTAACTAAACACCTAGATTCAGTGCGGGGATTTAGGGTGGCATTTGTTTCATTTTGAGGAGGTAGGTTTTAAACTACTGAATAAATGTCTTTAATAGCTCTAAATAAATTTAGGTGGTTTTCTAATTCTTCTTTGAGTTTGTTTCACGTCAATGTCTCACACTGTTTTTATATTTTCCATAAAAAGTATTATTGTCTTTACATATTCATATTAAAAATAATTTTGTCCTAAGTCTTGGGGTTAATTCTACATAAATATTTGAGCATTGCAGAGTTGGAAAAAAGAGTAGCAATACAAGACTGCTAGTTAGAAGACCTGATCTCTTATCACATCCCACAACCCACTTATCACAACTAAACATGGAGGCTTTGGCAAGATATTTAATCTTACCAGTTCTATTTCTACCTAAAATTTTGGAAAATTGACTGGATTTTTGGGGAATTAAATGAGGTAATTTATTTAAAAGTCAAATAGTATTCCTCAGGGTTATGAAATACACGTTAATCTTCTTTTCCTTTCTTTTCTTTCATGACTATTTGTAAGCATCTATTCTGTTAAATAGCTTTACCTTATGTAATCCATCTCCCTGTAACTAATATATTTTACTTAATTACACAGAATCATTTTAATATGTCAACTGTTGATTTTCTAAAGGACAAAGAATGTTTTTTAAAGATAAGCAGAGACTTGATGAAGCAAAGCTGAATTTCTTAAGCCTAGTGCAGTAAAAGAAAATGCCACCTTGAGATAATCTTAGTATTAGTCCAGAATAGAAAGGTGACACATTTTTAGGGTTTAAGAGCCTCGCCTGAGATTTTAAGGCCAGTTTTGCAAAGAGAGAGAAAGGGTGGGATTGGAGGGCACAATGAAGTGAGTCTTGATGAGCAATATGTTAGTGTCAAGAAAAGAAATTTTGGGTTAGTTTACAGAATTATCTTTCAGAAGCAAATATTTCTTAGAGAATAGCCAAGTTTATTTTGTTTGTTCTCAATTTTAATATAAAGATGGGAAAGTATGCACTGTCTCAATGTTGCTTAATTTAAATACAAGAAAGTAATCCAGCTCTCAGTAGCGTTTAACACTATGTCAAAAATTATATTCATTTTAGTACTAAATATTAATCATTCATTTGGTCATTTCTAACCCTGTGCCTGAATACAGACTATTATTGTCTGGGAATAATTAATTCAGATCTGTACTTCTGTTTGATACGTCATGATCAAGTGTAGAATTTCTGATGGTAGTCATTCCAGTTTCTGAAAGTGGCATATATTCTTGTTCTTTTCATTAGAAAATCATTTGTTGCATTTTTAATGAGACAGAACAGTGACTGTGGAGCAGCACTTAAAACTGGAGATCACAATTTGATTCCTATAATGGATGAAATAGAGGATTAGTATCCTTGGAGTTTGTAGTCTGCTTGCAAGTTAAGAACCGAGAGTATATCAATTAAGCCAAGAGCACTCACCCCTAATCTGAAGAATCTGTAGAACCAGATATGGGTACATTAAATAAATTATCTAATTTTACTATTTCTTTGTTTTATGAAATTATTTTTGTTTTTTGGAACCATAGAGATCTGTTCAAATGAAAGTACAATGTTCTCCACCTAAGACAACACATATTCCACTTCAAGATTATTATTATATTTAAAGCAACTCTGTTTTGAATCACCACTTGACGAATTTTATGAACCTCTTGGGTGAGTTCTATGGTGTATTGTCTTGTTATCCTCCTAGTCTTTGCACTGTACTTTGTTATAGCAGGTAGCCATCTGCCCAATTTTCAGACCTCCAGTATAAAGAGTGAAACAAAGTGTGAACAAAGAGGCTTGGGCTGAAAAATTTAATCTAATCCAAAACTCCTTTTAGTATCTAAGTTTTTTAACTCAAACTGAAACCCAGTTTTCTCTTTCTAAAATTTTCTATTTTTTTGTCAAAGGAGGAAAACTGATGGTCCAAACAGGATTCTGGATAATATCAAAGACTAATTTAATGACAGGTATCAGTTTATTAAGTAACAGATCCTGTCTAAATTATAGGTAGTAACCAATGGGCTTTTGTGTCCCAAATTTAGTAAGAGTTATTAAAGGCTACCCAATGATCTGTTTCAGCCACAATAACCAAATGGTGTTTTTGTATTGTATTGTTCTGTCATGACTCATCAAGAATTATCATGCATTAGATAATGAAACTTTTAGTATATAGATCATTAGTTACCCCTAAAGCAAAAATGTAGAGATGAGCCTAAGTGGTATGGTTTTCTAATCACTTCTGTAAAAGTGAAACATCAGCCTCACAATTATACACCAGTACTTCTCTAGCTTTTCTGCAAACTCTATTTTTGTGAAAATTTTACTACCCAAACAAGCTCTATGAAAGGACTCTGAATGTTGATTCTGTGAAGACAGGAGCCTTCCTGTATAAGGACATCTTTAAAGGGGTTTTAGATTTCTGGCTCTCTGGCCCATGGCATTGTTTGCCCTCAATTAATGCTTTAGGAGTTAGATCAAATATCCAGGAAACCAAGTCACTTACTTTTATAAACTGGTATCAAAGGAAGCTGAGTAGAAACAAACTCAATGGCTAGATTGCTTATATATTTTAGCTAAATCATAAGAAATTAAATTCCTGCCAGGATTTGAATTATATCAATACCTACAAATGCAAAAACCAATATTAAGGATAGAAACTTTCAAGAATCATAGTTACCAGCTAAAAAAAAAATCGGTTAATAATCCACAACTTTAAAACAGGAAAGAGGAAAGAAAATAGCTGGGAAAATAAAAACGTGCAGTTTGAACCATAACTGTCTGTGACTCTAGATATCTGGTTCTTGTTCTGTTGGCATTAGGTGCAAGATATTTACTCCTTGCCATTGTCTACTTGATCTGAGGGTCTTTGGCAAAAACTTTATCATACTCTCAAAGTTTGTCCACTTCTGGAGGATTCCTAAATGTCTTCAGCTTGAAGTCTCCAGAAGGATACAGGTCTGAGGAAAAACATTCTAGCATTTTACTGTTGTTAGTTTTTAACGGTACCAGATAACATCCATTTCACTGTCTTAAGGGAGATTTTTTTTCTGATGTCTTTTCCACAAGATGAAATCTCTCAGAATGTTATAATGGTAGAAATTGAAATCCTCTATTTACATATAACACACAATTAATTCTTGAGGATGTAATCCATGATTGTCCTGGGAGGAAGAACATGTTATAAACAGTGTAAACTTTTTGACTTGTGTAATAGATACTTTTTGACTTGTATAATAGTGAGCACTATGATTGTTCCTGATTAGTAAGAATAATGAATTAATAACTCAGGAACAAAGTCACTTTTTAGACTCATTATGCATTGTTCTTTTTAGAGAACACAAGGGTGTTTCTGAGAAATACACAATCATTAAACATAGATATTTTAATTTATTATGTTAATATAAATAAATATTTTGTTATATTTATTTTATTTAATATAGGAGGACTGAATTTCTCTTTTGTCATTTTTTTTTAATTCTAACTTTGGTAAATAAAGTACCTGTAATTTTGAGTTAATTAAAATTTGAGAAATGAATCACAAATAGTTCCATTGTCTTTTCACTTGTAATATGGAGGAGCAAAGGTAATTCAGGTTTAAATGAAATCTTAAAAGTTTTATTATTTTTAGTTGCTACTTGAATTTGGAAAAGAAAAAATCAATAAAGGTTGTTAATGCAGTAAAATACTAACATAAGTCATAATATCTACAAAGTCATTATTGGCAATATTTCATAAACACAATTAAGATATTTATTAGGAAATTACCTTTCAAAAATAATGAAATTTTCTTTCAAAATGATTCAGGAAACAAAAAAGTTCAGAGGGTCAATAAAATATTTTTGGTGATACAAGGAAATTCTTTTACCTGGATAGAGAACTTGGACATTTTATGACAAGACATCCCAGATTCTGAATTTATTCCTTTATTTTTTCCATGTAACAAGTTATAGTAATATTTTATAACTTTTTACATTAGGAATAAATTCACTCACTCTGGAACAACAGTACTCAAAACAATTTTGAAGACAATGCATATATTTATTCCACTTACATATTTCTCATACATTTCATATATTTATTCATTCTCCATCAGCACTAGAAACCTAGACAAACTGAAATTACCTATCTCAGACCTTTTACATGGGCAGTACTTTAAGTTTGTCTTCTATTTTCTTTTTATTATAAATCTTTCAATTAATCCTTAATACTCTGTTTATTTATTTAGACATATACAAATATATATGAGTAGAGGGAAATAAAGGGTAAAATGAAAACTCTAAACATTAGCTTTAAGAAATAAATTAATCAGCATTCATATATATATTACTAAATTTATCATATTAATAACCTTTACAGCTTATTAAAATTACAAGCTACTTATAATTTGTATGCATATTTTTATTCCTATGGAAGCATTATAGCTAGCATTATCTCAATTTTTTATATTAATTACCACCTTTAACCAAAATAATCAACTTGCTTTTCGGGCAAAAGAGAACTAGAAGCTGAAAAATTAATAATTTTGTAGCTATATTTTCTATAAGCACACTTTTTTTTTAGAACTTAAACAAATTTTAAAATATATAATCATCAAGACATTTGTACATAGCATTGCTTGATAGCCAGTCTACATATAAAAATTTTAAAAGTTAATTTAAAACTGTATGGTGACATATGCCTGTATCTTTTCCTTAAAATTATTCAAGTAGTCAAATATCATTTATTAGTTACCTCGTTTTAATAATAGTAAAAAGTTTTAAGTTGAATAAAGATCTGGAAGTTATAATTTAAGCTAGCTGTTAGAGCTTCATGGTTGGTAGCATGGTAGCATTAAAATAATTCATAACAGTAAACCATTTAACTGATGCTTAATATTATTTCATGTGGTTGAATACAATTTTAGGTTTTTGTAATTTGAAAACCTTTGAGGAAGCAATAATAGTTTACAAGGCCTATTGCTATTATGATAATTTTATAAAGTTTAAATCATGAAATGTTATAACTAAATTTTCTTTTAATAAAAATACTATGCTAATGCTATTTTTACATGGGTACCATATCAGAGAGAAAAATGTAGTCATTTTACATTTTAAATTAAATCACTCTAACTTATTCAAAATATAACAAATCTTGCTTGAAATTTTTCTAATGCAAATAAACCATTATATTCAAATATCAAAAAGTTATGATCAATTAATGTGTAATATTTCCCAAGAAAAAAGGAAAAGATAAGGATAGGAAGGTAAAAAAGGAAATATGAGAAGAAATTACCTTCAAGCAAAAGTAAGGAGATCTATTATAGTAAATATAATAACTTACTTTTTAGGCAGACAAGACAGAATCTGTTCATGAGGAGTTTCTCTTTCTTTCTCGTCTTTTCTTTTTCTTCTTGTTTGCTCTAACGTGCCTCTCAAACACACTCAATAATGTCAAAGTTTTCTCAAAATAGCCAGTGCAACTTCAGATTTTCCCTGATAAAATCATGCCAGTTAAAAAGATATGCATATGGCTGACAACATGAAAACATCATGTGTTTAAGTAGATGTTTTAAATAGACTGAAAACTTTATGAAAATTGCAAAAGTCATTGTATCAGTTGGTATTCTCTAGAGAAACAGAACTAATGACAGATGATACATAGATAGATAGATAGATAGATAGATAGATAGATAGATAGATAGATTATACGATTGATTGGAAGAGATTTATTGTGGAAAATGGCTAATGTAATTATGAAGGCTGAGAAGTCCCATGATATGCCATCTGCAGGCTGGAGAGCCAGGAAAGCCAGAGGTGTAATCCAGTCTGAATTAGAACCAGGGGAGCTGATGGTATAACTCTCAGTCCAAGGCTGAAGGCATGGGAATAATGGGGGCAGCCAGTGGTGTAAGTCCTGAAATCTGAAGGCCCAAGAAGCAGGGGCTCCTGTGTCCAAGGGTGGGAGAAAATGGGCCTCAGCTCAGGAAGATAGGGGAAGCATTGGATCTTCATCTGTCTTTTGTTCTTGGTTCTAAATGGATGAGATGATACCTGCTCACATTGTTGAGCTCGGATCTTCTTTACTTAGTCTACTGATTGAAATACTAATCTTTTCAGGAAATACCCACACAAACACACAGAGAAATAATGTTTTACCAGCTATCTGGGCATCCCTTAGCCCAGTTAAGTTAACATATAAAATTAACTCTCACAGTCAGTAAAAAAAGAGTGCTTGTACAAATGTGTATCTGCAGAACCTGGCCAACTGCCAGCCAATATCACATGAGGGCCCAACAAAACAACTCTTTTCTCCAAAAACAGAAATTCCTCTGCAGCACATTCTCCTCCAGCCTCCTTCAGCTGTTTTCCTAATGGTGTGTCCCACATTCTTTTGCAGTTCAAGTCCTCTTTCCCAATGATGAGCAATATGTCTTATTAACCATAGGAAAGTTTTGCTCCTTGCTAGGTCATGTGATGGATGGAGGTAAACTACCCTAATCCCTCTCTCTGTTTAAAATTACTCTCAACTTCTTTGCTCTCTTTACTCATCAGGCTGAGGGATTAATGTCAGATTACTATAGGAAGTTGACAGAAATTCCAAAATTGTATGATTGTTTTGAGGCATCCTCCACTCCCTTATTTGATTTGGAAAGAAGGCCAAGTAACCCCTCTGCTGGCTTGTGAAGTGTATTTTCTGGTAACAGCATAATTAGGAATTAAAAAAAAACTAGAAGATCCCTAAATGTCCTAAATTAAACAACGTATTTAAAAATAACCCATGCATTGAAGAAGGAATCACAAACAAATTAAAAATATTTCAAGCTGAATAAAAATAAAAATGTAGCAAAATTTGTGGGATGCAGTTAATGCAATGCTTGGCAAAATTTTTAGTTTTAAAGGATTTCATTGTTTCAATGTCCTATATATGGTCTATCTTGGAATATATTCTATGTCCATGTGAAAAGATTGCCTGTTCTGCATTTGTTGGATATAGCATTCTATAAATATCAATAAGAACAAGGTGATTGAGAGTGATATTCATATCTTCTGTACTCTTACTAATTTCCTCTAACCTTTTTCAATTTCCAAGAGAGAGATATTGTGTTTTTTAAGTATGGTGGCATATTTTTGTATTTCTCTCTTTTTTTCTGTGAGTTTTTGCTTCGTACATTTAGAATCTCTTACTTGGTGCAAACACATTTACGGTTGCTACATCTTCCTGATGAATTATCCTGTTTATCATTATCAAAAATCTCTGTCTCTCTTTTTAAAGTCTTTGTCTTATATTTTACATTTTTCTGATAAAGCTGTAGCCTCACTAACTTTCATATGCTTCCAGTTTGCATGATAGATTATTTTCCATCCTTTTATTTTCAGTGTACTTCTTGTAAACAGATAAAATTAGTTCTTGCTTTTTTAACCATATGGTTTCACTGGTGACTTCTATCAACTATTAAAGGAAGAAATATTACCAATATTAAGCACACACGTTCAAAAAATACTGGAAGAGTAAACACTTCCCAATTAACCTTGATACCAAAACCTGGTATCAAGTTTTTTGCTAAGGAATAGACACAAAAATCTTTGACAAAATGTTAGCAAATTTAATCTACCAATATATAAAAAAAATGCATCATTAACAGATTAGGCTTATCTGAGGATTAACACTGAAAAATCAAACAATTTTATTCACCATATTAACAGGATAAAGGAGAAAAACCTTGTGACCATCAAAATAAATGCAGAAAAAAGCATTTGACAAATTAAATAACCTTTAGTCATAAAACCCCTTACCAAGTCTAGAATAGAAAAAAATTTCCTCCATTTAATAAGAGTACCTACAAAAATCTATAGCTAATGTCAGACTTAATTAATCGAGTGCCTTCTTCAAGATAGAGAACAAAGCAAGAATATTCATTGTTGTAACTTGTACACTACATTGTATCAGAAGGTCTAGCCATGGTAGTACAGTAAGAAAAGGCACAAAGTTTGGAAAAGAAGTAAAATCTTTTTTTTTTATTCACAGATGACATAATTAATTTTATACAAAACCCAAAGGAATCTATAAAGCCAACTACCTGAACTAATTAAGACTGACAAATTCTAAATATGCAAGTTCAATATAAAATAATCAATTGTATTTCTGAAAAATTTAAAACTGCATTAACTGTAGCATCAATAACTATAAAATACTTACTTATATGGTGGGCCTTCACCATATAGAGGCTCAGGCCTTCAGTTCTGGAAAACTACCTTGTCTTTCTGTAATGTTTCCTTCATTTTGTGTGTTCTTTATGGAATTGCAATTAGTTAAGACACTTGACCTCCTAAATTAATAACATGAATTTTCTTTTCCCTTTTTGTTCAATTCTCAACATTTTCTTTATATTTTTCATCATTCTTCACTTTTAGAATGAGGCACAGAGAACCTGGGTAATTCTTCAGGATCACTCAGTCTTTGTTTGAACTGCTCTTTGGAAACAGAGCACATGACTTTAGCGACTACACAATACTGCTTTTTTTAGAAAATGCTTTTGTAATGAATAACCTGATGTTTAATTAATAAGTGTATCCTATAGGGCAGAGAAGCCACAAAAAGATATAAAAATGCATTCATAATACTATGAGAAAATATAAAGATGAGGTTTTATAAAAGTGATACCATAAAATGTTCCAATTGTTTTGGTTTGGAACTATGATAAATCTTGGTATTGAATTGATTTTTCTAGTAAACATTTACAATAAAATAGAACTGGAATTTTTTCTTGTTCCAGATTGCAAATTCCTCAAGGTCAAAGGCCATATTGTATTAAGTTTTATACCTCAGAATGGAATAATAGCTTGTTATAGATGACTTATCACTGATATTCTAAAATTTTGGAAGTCAAGTTATTTATATGAATGATTAAAAAGATGTACATAATGGCTAATTGGACAGCATACTTATAATTAGGCTCAGAGCTTACTCCCTTTTTTTCAAACTGAGAGTATGGATAATACATGCCGTATGTTTTTAAACTCATTTTTGTAACTATAACTTAAAATTGCTATTAAAGTGCTAGAGCCTTATATATTTATTTTACTTTATTATTTTTTCCATTTGCTAAGGGATATTTTAAATAGATATGAGAGTCTGATGAGTATCTTTGCATAGATTTCTACTTAAGCCATTGTTTACATTTTTCTTCATCTTTTTGGAATAAGGCAATAAAATAGTGTAAATAAGTAAATTCATATTTCAAACAGTTATAATAGTATGTGGTACATATATAACATTTAGAATAGCACTAATATAAAAAGGGATATTAGGGACTTACCAATATTTGGCTTTGTAGTTTCATGCATAATCAAAGTTAAATGTTGACTTCTAATTTGAAAGTCAACACTTCCTAATCTAGCTGGAGTCCTTGATGAAACTCCTTGGCTGCATGTGCTATGCTGTCACAAAGAGGGAAGCTGCTGCCATTAA
This sequence comes from Homo sapiens, assembly GCF_000001405.40. Classification (NCBI taxonomy): domain Eukaryota; kingdom Metazoa; phylum Chordata; class Mammalia; order Primates; family Hominidae; genus Homo; species Homo sapiens. Next base: position 69,646,623 of record NC_000001.11, read on the forward strand.
AGACAGGAATGTTGGTCTTTGAGCATTCCTATGCAATCTTCACATGGCTTCAGTACACATTCACTGCTTCCTATGATATCTACTCCTTGGTTCTGAAAAATCTGTATCAATTTAAAACCAGTGCAGCCGAACCTCTATAGTAGTGCTTATCAATCCTGGCAGCACTAATACATCTGTTAAATGATTTGACACCAACACAGTCTTTTTTAATAAATCTGAAATAGGGTTTAAGGATCTCTATTCTTAAGAGGTTTCACTGGCTATTCAGATTGAGTACCCTGCATCATGGGAGCTGCTTTTAGAGGCAGCCAGAAGTTGGGTCCAGCAACCACATATCAGAGCTGGCCTACGTCATTCTAAAGATTACAACATCTAGAGGAAAATCTTGGAAAGAAAAAAAAATGTCATAGTAGGAAACAGAATCCTAGAATATATGTCCCCACTAGAAATGTATTATGGGCACAAACCAAAAGATTCCTGCTATTAATGCCAAAAAATATATAACACATTTTCAGGTCTTTTGGTCTTCAGTGAGAAATGAGTTTGTACTTAAATGGGCAGAAAATTAGCCAAAAGTCATCCACACACTTTGCTAGCCAGCACTAGATGTGTATAAGGCCCATGGGGTGGGCATTTGAATTCTACTTTCCTACCAGATTTAACTTTCTTTTTATAATGCACCCTTTAAAGATTCTGTGAAACAAAAGAATGTCTAATTTTCAAATTAAAGTGCCTTTATTTTGCTTTCAATCTTGAGTGCTAGAACTCAAGTGGATGTAAAATGCTAAATTTTTGCTTACTTTCCTCAACACAGAAGATATTTTCAGTTCTAGCAACCATCTTTGTGGATAAACTGGCCATGATTCTGATTTTGATGCTCTGTAGGCTCCCTAGTAACTTTCAAGAATTTATTTTGTATCTAATGTTTTCCATTCCTTCTACAATTTATTTAGTGTAGATTTATTTTTACTTGTTTTTTTTCTAAAGCCTATAGGCCCCTTCAATTTGAAGCTTATATTTTTATTTACTTCTGGAAAAATATCTTTCAGTTCTTCAAATACTATTTCTAACTCATTCTCTCCTTTTCAAAATCCCATTATATGTATATTAAGTATGCACAAGCAATCATACATGTTTCTTAATATTTCTCTCATATTTTCTATCTACTTTAGACTACATGCTACATATGGGATGATTTTTTCAATTGATATATTATTTTATTGAGTGTATACTTGCTATTTGCTTCTTTTCCAAATTTACCTGAGATAGCTAGCTAGCTAGATACATTCCAGATCAACACATGTAAAATTCAGTGATTCTTTGAATAGATTTCTCTAAATACAAATGAAAATGCCTTTAGCTAATATAAAATGTTTTCAAAAGTTTATCTAGTAATCCTTTTTTTCAGATTTATTTCTAGGAATTTTAATGATTCAATAATTTTAATGATTCAATTTTAATGATTCAACCAGAATACTAGGTTAATAATACTAAACAAGGTAAATAGACGTGGACCCTGTCTTCATGGAACGTAACCTTTAAGAAAAAATACAGACTTGATTTTATGATTGTTTGGAGGTTTAAATGAGTGTGTGTAACATTTAGTGTCTGTCTCTTGGTAATTGTTCATAAATTAACTATTATTAATTTGTATGAAAATAATACTCGAGGTGTTATGAAAAGGGAATTGTATGGTTCTGTGGGAGTCTATAAGAGGAACAGGGAGATCTCCTGAGGAAGGCCTAAGAACGACATACTCACTAGATGAGCAAGGGTGGAGCCTATTAATCCTGAAAACCAATTATTGTCCTTCTTCTGCCTTGCTCCATGTCCAGGGAGAAGACCTATAGCTGGTTTCTGGCTGCAATTAACCAGTGGGAGACACTGGTTGGAGAAGAAAGAGAAATGGGAAAAGCCAGAGTATTTCTCTCCCACCACAGGGGCCTTCACTAGCAGCAGCTACATATCCTCCATCATGTTTTTGGCTCCTGCCCAGTAAGCCTACTAAGGTTTCAACCTCTGCTATATGAATCAAGGCCCTGGGCTTCAGAAACATGCCTCTTCCTGTTTACATACATACTGGCTTCCAGCTCTTGCTACTCTCTGCCCTCTCTTGGGCTTCTCAGCTCCTCCACCTCCTGTGTAACCAATTTCCTTGCACTCAGTTCTCTCTGTGACAAATATTTGAAGTGGTTTTTGACTTTTAGTAACACTGTGAGACACTAGGTAAAAACAGGTGATGAGATATGTTGTAGACAGCACAAATAGTATATTTAAAGGTATCACTATGAGAAAAGGCAAATGGGATTGTATTTTTATGGATTCTAGAAAGCTACCAGAAAATGTTGAGAAAATATTCTTTTGAGAAAGTAATCATGTGCTGACACAGAATTAAAGATTTTTTAAAGATTTATTAAACATTACGATGCAGTTTTTCAAGATTTCCCATTCTCTAAAATGTTATTGCTATTGGAATGTGAACATACAGATATTGTTAGATTCTGTCTCACTCACTATACACTTCAGTACCTGGCTTCACCACTCACCAGTTACATGACGTACAAGTTACTTTACTTTTTGTTGCCTCAGTTTATTCATACATAAAGTGGAAATTATAATAGTAACTTATTTACTTCATAAAGTACCTACAATAGTGCCTAGTTACAGTGAGTATTCTCAAATTGTTAGTTCTTGTTTTATTCTTATTTTTTTCCCTCAATTTTGAAGGGAGAGAAAGCTATGGGAAGTGAGGATGATATATGTGCTTTGCCTAACCAAGATTTTAAGCAGACCTACAGTACTACGGAAGAAAGGAAGTGAAATCTGGAAATGTTACTAGGCTTCAGATTTTGAAGATTTGTGTATGACATATAAAAGGTAATTAAATATCTAGAGCATTCAAAAATATTCTGGGATTGCTTTAGATAATGAAATTGGAAGGAAGTGATAATAGAGATTAGAAGTAATTTGGGAAGTTCTGGTAACCCTCTAGGAAAGATGTCAACAAAGAGACCACTAGCCCATATGGCACCTTTGCTAATTGAAAAATGACTCCCCTTCCTCCATGCACATGCAATTCCATGCAAAAGTATATGGTTTGGTAGACAGGCTCCTAAGCCTGGTTCTTTTACGCAGTTCACAAACTGCCTCCAGCTTTTTGTGCAAGCAGCTTTAGACATTACAAAACGGCTTAAGGGTGGTAAAGATGGCTTAAAGAATCAAAGTGATTGAAAAAAAAAAACCAAAAACACCCTCACAGGATAATTCTTGGCCTTCAATGACAGTCGCATAAGGATTAGGCTCACTCCTCAAGGAGATTTAACAGATATGAATACTTTATGGATGATGACAGGCAAGCATGCGATAAGAGATGGTAAGATACAGTTAGAGAATCCATCAATGTTTTCCAAAACAAATATTAATTTCAAGTCAGTGTGACTCTTTCTTCTAATGAAACTCAAGGACATAGCACAACAGTAATAATCTTACTCCATTATTAATTTTCTGGTTTTTTCTTCAAGGAAAATTATTTCCCTGGCACATATTAATTTTATTCCTTATAAAAGAAGAGCAAATTTGTTTTTTAATATTCTTTGGAATATTATTGAAAAACATTTTCATAAAAAGCCAAGCATCAGCCAGGCGCGGTGGCTCACGCCTGTAATCCCAGCACTTTGGGATGCCAGGACGGGTGGATCACGAAGTCAGGAGATCGAGACCATCGTGGCTAACATGGTGAAAACCCGTCTCTACTAAAAATGAAAAAAATTAGCCGGGCGTGGTGGTGGGTGCCTGCAGTCCCAGCTACTCAGGAGACTGAGGCTGGAGAATGGCGTGAACCTGGGAGGCAGAGCTTGCAGTGAGCCGAGATCGCGCCACTGCACTCCAGCCTGGGCGAAAAAGAGAGACTCCGTCTCAAAAAAAAAAAAAAATGCCAAGCATCTTTGGCATTTGTTACACAAGAATACATTGCTTCATACATGTAGCAAATATTCATTAAGCATGCATTATAGGCTATCTGTGAAGTCTTTGTCTGTGTTTGATACACACGTCTTTAAGCTTTGTATAAAATTAGTGTTTTTAGCCATAGCTTCCTAAACAAAATATGTTGTGCAATTTCTTATAATCAGAAAATCTTAATCATTTCTTTTAAAATATACTCTGAGTGCTTCAAAATTTTCAGATACTCCTTGGCAGAATTTGGGAGCATATTGCAAGCATCATTGGTTTGGCACTGTCGATAGCTTACCTAATTTACTGGGTATATTTTAGCACATTTTTCATTTGATTATAGCTGCCACTGATATAAATGCTATCCTCACATGAAAGTTACAGCAGTAGTGACAAGTATAGATGTCAATTTCAAAATTATGGACTGAAGCATCGAGCTAAATTATTCCCTGAGACAGTTTGGCATGTCTAGATTAATGAAAATAAGTGACGAATGTCAACTCTTTCTAATTAGGTGACATGCTGGAGGTACCATATGAATACAGCTTAGTTTTGGCATGAACTTAGAAGCATAAATATGTTAACTTTTCCATATTTTATTCATATACTGTATAAGTAATTTCAAATCTGCATATTTATTTAAAGATATATATTTTTAAAAACATTGTTTTCTGAGGCAAGTTTAACCTGGTTTACAAATCATCCTATGGTACTGATTAGAAAAAAAAAGTGCACTACATTTGAAGCAAGAGCAACTATAACTTTCTCTATAGTTGAGAGCAAAATTACGCATCCTTTGGGACATAATGGACCTTTGCAAATCCAATTATATCTGCCAATTCAAAGAGTTTTCATTTTGTCTTGCTGTATCTACCAAAGTTATTTTTAAAAGCACTGGCAGATAAAATTAACATAATTTATTTAAAAGTTAAAAGCACTGTGGGAGTACTGACATCAGTAAAATGACATAATAAGAAGTCCTAGCCCCTCCACAGAAATATTGATTAAGCAATAATACATGGAGCAAAATACCTTTATGAGAATTCCAGAATCCAATTAAAAAGTTGCAGTATCCCAGGTGAGCACAAAGCTGGGAACACTTGCATTAAAACAGGTAAGAAGAGCAATTTTACTTTACCTGCATCAGCCCATTCCCAACACCAAGAGAGAATGTCCTGGCTCCCTGCTTCTCGGTCAAGGGAAAAGAGAAGAGTGGAACATGCATGTAAAGTTCTAGCTCTTTGGAGGGCTGTCTGGGGGACTGGTTTCTGTCAGTACCTCATTCAGAGCACTGACAGAACTGGCAGAGTTTGCATTCCTGGAGGCCCACTGAGAACAAGAAGAGGAGGGCATGGCTTGGTCCAGTCAGCATGACTTGGTGTGAATAGAAAAGGTACACAACTTGAAGCTTCTCCTTCAGGAGGAAAGGAGAGGAGTGGAGAGTGTATCCTGCATTTCAGCTCCTGGAATGGCTACCCAAGCAACTGGTAATAGTCTTGCCTTACTTAGGGCCCTGATTAGAAGCCAGAATACTTTGGATTTGGAGTTCAACTCTCCTTACATCTCAAGGAACTGTTCAGAACAATTAGGCAAGAAAAAGAAATAAAGGGCATACAAATAAGAAAGAGGTACAATTTTCTCTGTTCACAGATGACATGATGTTATACGTAGAAAACCCTATTCACAAACTGTTAGAACTAATATATCAGTTCAGCAAAGTTGCAGGATACAAAATCAACACACAAAAAATAAATTACATTCTGTACATTAACAATGAATAATTCAAAAAGGAAATTAAGAAACTAATCTTATCTAAAGTAACACCAACAAAAATAATTAGGGAAGCAAAAGACCTGTAAACTGAAAATTATTAAATATTGATAAAATGAATTGAAGAGGACCTAAATAAATGAAGAGGCTCTTGTGTGCATGGATTTGAAGACTTAATATTGTTAAAATGCCCATGCTACCCAAAGCAATCTACAAATTCAATGCAATCTCTACCAAAATCCCAATGGCATTTTTAAAGTGAATTGTGTAATTGTTTTTTCAATTCTATAATTTGGAAAAACTCCCCTATCTCCCATGGAACCTCAAAGGACTCTGAATAGCCATAACAGTCTTCAAAAAAAAAATAATAATAACCAAAATAGAGGCTTCACATCGCTTGATTTCAAAACTACAGTATTAAAACATTATATTACTGCCATAAAGACATATAGACCAATGGAACAAAGAGAGCTGAGAAATAAACTCACTCATATATGTTCAAATGATCTTTGTCAATGGCATCAAGACTATTCAATGGGGAAAGGATAGTTTCTTCAAGAAATAGTGTGGGGAAAGCTGAATACCCACACACAAAAATCAACTCAAAATGGATTAAAAATTTAAAGATAAGATGGGAAACCATAAAATTCCTAAAAGAAAACACAGAAAAAGCTTCTTGCCAATTGGTCTTGGCAATGATTTATTGGATTTGACACCAAAAACAGGGTCAACAAAAGTAAGAATAGACATGTGGGATAACATCAAACTAAAAACTTCTGCATAACAAAACAATCAACAGAATAAAAAGGCAACTACAGAATGGGAGAAAATATTTACACATGACATATCTGATAAGGGGTTAATATTCAAAATATACAGAAACTGTTAAAATTCAAAAACAAAATAACCCAATTTAAAAGTGGGCAAATAATTTAAAAACTTTTTTTTAATTTTTTTATTATTATACTTTAAGTTTTAGGGTACATGGGCACAATTTTTTCCAAAAAGAAAAACAGATCTGTGAAAAGATGCTCAGCATCACTAATAATCGGGGAAATGCAACTCAAAACCACAATGAGGTATCACCTCTTATCTGTCAAGATGGTCATAATCAGTTTTTTTAAGTGTTAGCAAGTATGCGTGCTAATAAAAAAAAAGAAAACTGTTAGCAGGGATGTGGACAAATTAGAACCTTTTTGCATTGTTGGTAGGAATGTAAAATGTGCAGCCACTGTTTTCTAACAGTATGGAGGTTCCTCAAAATTTTATAAAAAGAACTACCATATAATCCAGCAATCCCACTTCTAGGCATTTATCCAAAACAATTGAAATCAGGATCTCAAAAATATATTTATGCCCTTATGATTATTTCAGCCTTTTTCACAATAGCCGGGAAGTGACAACATCTTGAGCGTCCACAGTATAATATTACTTGCCATAAAAAAGGAAAGCCTGTCACGTGCAAAAACATGGATGAACTTTGAGGATGTTATTCTAAGTGACATAAGCTAATCGCAGAAGGACAAATACTAAATGTTTATACTTATGTGAGGTATCTAAATAGTCAAACACATAGAAACAGAAAGTAGAATGGTGGTTTCCAGGAGTTGAGAGGAGGAGAAAATGGGGAATTGCTGTTCAATAACTATAGAATTTCAGTCATGCAAGATGAAATAGTTCTAAAGATTTGCTGTACAACAATGTGTATATAATTAATAATCCTGTAATGTACACTTAAAAATTTGTTAAGAATTTAGATCTCATGTTATTTATTTTTTTTTTTTACCACAACAAGCAAAAGCACTATAGGACTAGAATAGGCATGATACTAAGCACCTTACATTTATGTTAGGAACAAAATGAAAATATCAAAGTGTGAAAGTACAAGAAACTTTAGATAAAAATATCAAAAAAGGGGAAACTTAAAACCTATGTCATTGGTTTAATTATGTTGTTATACTTTCATCTTATCAATGGAAACTATACGTATAAAATGCAAATGAAATTTTGGGTGAATTATAATAATGTAAACTGCTGATAGTTTACCTTTTATTTCAACAAATTCAAGTGAGCAAAAATATATCATAATTGCTTTTTTTCCATTTTAATTCCTGATAGAGCCTTGCTTCCAAAATTAGAGTTGTGATAACAAGTCATGATAACCCTTATTGAAGTTGCCAGTCTTATTGCACAGATCATGTGCCAAATAGACTTTAAGATGCCTCTATATCAGTGCACTTATGTAGTTATGCTAGGTGAAGAAGCAATGTTATTACTCTAAATTTAGGAAATCCAGCTTCTTAATTTTAAAAACCCATTTTTGAATCTTTTTTCTATAAGTTCATTTTTACAAAGATGATAACTGCTATTAGGTTTCAAGGGAAGTTATACATATTATCTTTCTTCAAACAAGTGAGACAAAAGTTGAGACAAGTTAATAATGAATATGGCAACTTGCCTGCTACTTATTCACCATTAATAAATGATAAATTGTTTTAATAACAAACTGGCTGTGCTTCTCAGAAATGAAATTAATTTTTAAAATATACATTTTGATAAATTATCAAAATTATCCATTCCAAATATGTTGGCCAATATTTCAAATAGTTTGGCTTCAACTTGGATGTCCTGTTGTCATTCATCATAACTGAGGTTTTCCCCTAAGCTGGTGCAATGTTCTATATCTCGAAGCTAATTTGTCTTATCCAACCAGTAGGCAAATTAATCCCTGGAGCAAGTTAGGCACTTCAAGAAAGCTATGAACTTGCTCAGGTTCTGTGATAAATTACTACTCCATAAATATTTAATGAAGTTAAATAAAAGAGTTCACAAACCTTACAGGTATGGTTGAATATATTTACTACTAAGACAGTTGATAAGTTATGGGTTACATTCAAGTAACCACCCAAAACTGTCCCAAACCAACCTGTGTTTTATTTTTTCTGTAATTATCTCTACTACCACGTAGGCGGCTGATGAGATAGCTCAGAGACACCCCTGGAGAGTACAGCTTCTTGTAGTTTTCTGCCTAGCAATTTGGCTCTTGTCTTCCTGTTGTTGTGTGCATGTTGTATTCGCCACCAATACCGTCATATCCATATTACAAGCAGAAAGATGGGAAAGGCAAAGTGAAGAAGACACTAAGAAGCCAACAGAACCTGTCTTCTTTTTCCTTTTAAAGAGCTTTCCCTAAGACTCCTAGTAACTTTGGCTTACATCATTTTAGCTTGTATTGGGTCACATCGCCACTCATAGTCACTGAAAGTTAGGAAATGCAAGATTTTAACATTTATGTACAAAATTGGGGCTCTTTTAGTAAAGAAAAGGAAAAAGGATAAAAGGCAGCTAGCAACATCTTCCAAAACATGCCTGAATAGTTAATTGATAAATGCAAGAAATTTTATGGTTTGTTTCTTGAGCTATAGATACTAGAATTGTATCACATTACATGTAAATGATTTAAAACATAGTTTGTACCTAATGTTAATAATGCTTCCTGCAAGTCAAACCATCAAATCTTCAGTGTGGCCCAATGTTGTAAATAAGAATATCCTAACTTAATATTATCTATTTGAAAAGCCTGTATGTTAATTTGAATATTAGACTACATATTGAAATTAATGTTTCATATTTACATTGTTTTCCAGATAAGGAGACATTTGAACTGCCTACATTCTCACTTAGAGTTATGGCTGTTTCATATGTTGATAAGAATGCCTTTTGTCAAAGAAACAATAAGTGGTTATTTAATTTAGATTTGATATACACAGAAATGGGATGCAAAAGAGCCAGTTAGTATATTTTTTCAAGTAGAAAAAAATAGTAAGAATTTTAAGCATTCCCAGTACCATAATCACCAAGATGGAAACATGCTTACTTTTTTGTCAGCTTTTAAAATTTTACCCACAAACATTACTCTAAGGAAATTCCTGAAAATTTGAGTTCTTAAATTTATGAGATGGTATATTGTCAGTTTGACATACTGGCTTCTGTAATAATAATAAGCTATGTAATAACATGAACAAAACTGCAACTGTATAATAATTGTTAGCAAGGCCTGATTAGTGATCCTGCAAATAGACTATATTATATCACATTTGTCATATGAGTTTGTAGCACTAAGGTAGACTAATGCTGTTTTGAAACAATGTAGTACTTGGTTCAATTCCAGTATGTGGAATGGTAACTTTCTTTTTTACTAACTAACATATTTTGGGGAACCTTCTCTGAAATACCCATAAACTTAAGACTTCATAGTTAAAACTGCAGGTGTTATATTATCAAACTCTGTTGCAGCATATGTTTATTTAACATTCGTCAAATGGAGTACTGATTTGTTCAAACCACTTTAATTGACATTGAGGCTACAGTGGTGAACATGACTTGATTTCTTCCCTCAAGGAGTTAATAGTCTGATTCAGTGAATGCCAGTGGTAATTCACACTTGAAAGATGCTTCCTCCATGTTATTGTAATGAGAGGGCTCTAGGTTAACCACTTGGGTATAACAATAACAATAGTAGAAATAAACAATTTTAGCAACAATGTAATGGGAAGTATCAAGAAATAACTACCATAATCCCTTATTACATTATAATTATTTAAAAGGAAAAGAGAGAGAATAGAAAAAAAAGGAAAGGAGAGGAAAAGGAAAACTAAAGGAAAGGACAAGACATAAATATTTAATGAGAAGCAAAACATTATAATGTTTCATTTTATTGTAAACCTCCACAGTCTGTTATAAACCCCAAATTAGATACTTATATTGTGTGTGTGTGTATGTGTGTGTGTGTGTTACTGGTTACTGACCTAAATTCACACTGACCTAATTTCTCACCAGCATTTCTATGTTACTAATGTGATAAACATTCCTAACATATCATTATTCTATGATTAATCTGAAAGACTAAAAGAATAATATTTAAAAGTATAGTGACTAGCTAGGAGCATTATAATTATTTAAGACAACAATTTATTGGAGTTTCAATAGCACTATCTTTTGCATAGATGATTTCATGCAAAACATTAGCAGTGCTTCAAGATATTTATTATAGGTAGAATTATTTCAGAATGACATATAAAATCATATATGGAAGCAGATTATAAATTTATCCGTATCATCCGATTTGAAAAGTATAAGATTCCCAAGGATCCTCTTCATCCAGGTGCTATGTATCTGAACTGCCACAAGTAAAATGTATACATTGTATTTTTCCCCGATGTGTCTTCTGTATGTAAAGTATTAAAAGTTATAATATTGAATTAATTTACCCTATGATATTATTGACTTACCTAGGTCTGCAGAGAATGTAAGAAGAGATAAAAGCAGAGAAAGCATAGGAAGAAAGGAAAATTAACAAAAGGAGACTTGAGGGCTCATGCAGATGAATTTTCTTCCTATTTTAAAATTTTGTCTAGGAATAGTCCTGCTAAAATAACCAGTTTCTGTCATGTTATGTTTCAGGCCGTTCCTTATTTCAGGTTCTTCACCACAGTCACAGACTTATTTATCCTCTGTGCTTTTTCATAGAACATTTACCAGTGAAATAAATTCCTTTGATTTAATACTATCAAAAATGATGGGAGACTTTTGGTTAAAATCCATATACTATTTTATTGATTCTTTCCAATGTATCTCATAGCAGCTGTTTTTCAATTCATCATTTTTATACCCATAGAATCAGCATTTAATGGCTCTTACTCAAGCCTAAAGTAACAATATGTATTCTTAGTAATATTATTCTGATGTAATACAAAAAAACTAGGGTTAACAGAAGTGTTAGAGATTTTGGAATGAGTGAAATGTGAATCCTATCTTTGCTACTTCCTGTCTGTGTCATTTCTGGCAGCTTAGAGATGGCATTTCTAAGCTCCATTACATCATATTTTTAGTATAACATATTTTAAATAATTCATATTAGCTTGTTTTATCTCTTCTAAAATATATCATCATGACAACTGAATTTATTTGTTTTTTAAAATGGGATCTCCATTATTGTCAGCATGAAGCACTAAACACCCTGAAAGTACCTTTCCATAAAATCAACTAAAAAATCTGGATAAAATACAAGCGATATATTTTTAAGTGAGTTGCCACACTGGCTAAAAAATTAGGAAGTAGCTAGAAGCTAAATCAAGGAGAACCTCCTAGAAGGTAGGTAAGAATTGAAGGTAGATTTAACTGTAGAACTTCAGCTCCTGTTTTAGTGGCTGGAAATGGTCTTGGAGTCGGGAAATAAAGCTTAGATATTCTTTGGAGTAAAATACACTAATGAGGACCTAAAAAAAATCCTCAAAGACAAATGTCCAGAAAAGTAAGTTCATTATATAAAACATACAAAGAAACAAGAAACCATAAAAGGAACCACATCCTGTATCAAAGTCAGCAGTAACAAGAATCAGAAGAATCACATCGCAAAGTTTTTAAATACTAGAACCTTCTAAAGTGTATGTGTTTCAGGAAATACACAATGGAAATGGGAGAAAAGAACAAGAGTCTATAACAATAACTGGGTGGATTTCTGAAAATAAGAAAGGTATAATTAAATAAACCAACAAGGTATGATGACACATACTGAGGTTAGCAACAGCAAAAAGCCATTTTTGCCTCCATGTCTAAAGGAGCATAGAAAAGGAGAGGTTACAAGAAATTGGAGGTAGCTGTAATTGGAGCTATAGGATAGGGTTGTCCAAGAGGAACTGCAAACTTTGGTAGAAGAATGCAGCTTCTGCTCACCCACAGCCTACTAAGGAGGCAGGTTGGGAAATAAATACTCCTTTCTCTCCCCACACTCAAATGTCCTGCTGGTACTTTTCATTGGCCAAGCATACCTGGACACCAGAGACAAGAAAACTTAGATGATGCATAATAGAGAGGTTGCTGAGCCAGAAAATAGAGCAGAATGGAGAAGAGAGAATCTAGAGGGATAAAAAGAGAATTCCCAACACAGGAGAACAATGAGGATAGAGTGAAAAGGCTTAAGCTACAAACAGAGTTATAAAAGGAAAAAAAAAATATTCAAAGATAAAATAGATGACAGCATTTCAGAATTGCTGAGAGACAATGCATCTCTAATCCAAAAAATAAAACCAGTAAAAAAAATGTATAAATAGACAATGTCATAGTGAAACTGAAGAACACCAAAAACAAACAAGACCTTAAACAATCAGCCAAAAAAAAAAAAAAGATTACCTTTCAAGGAAGGACAGTTGAATAATAACTGATATCTCAACAGCTGCAATGACTCCATAGAATACAACCATATACATTTAATTTCTCATCTAGCAAAGACATTTTTCAACAAGAGGGACAAAATATGGACATTTTCAGAAGAACAACAGAGAGGGTTTAAAAAATGTCTTGACACACTTTAAAGAAAATTCTAAAGGATGAAGTTCAGAAAGAAGGAAGATAATCAAAAGCACTACATACAATAAAGAACAGTAAACAAATATTACATATGTAGATATATCTAAACATAGAAAAATCATGATTTCCAAAGTAGAAAACATAAAAAATAAAATGAAACAAGAAAAAAGGGTCCCAATTCAAAAGAAGAGAAGAAAAGCAAAATGCAAAATCTGTATAAATAGCACAAAATAAGATAGTAGACTTAAATTCAAGTTATCAGCAAATCAGATAAATGCAAATATAATATTCTGATTTAAAACTGAATTTAAAAAATCTTTTAAAATTCACAACCATATTTTTTTTCAACAGGCATATCTTAAATATAAGAACCCCAAAACAACTTATTGCCAAAGTATGGAAAATGATATTCCAGGCAATTAATACTCATGAGGGGTTCTGCAACTATATTATCAGATAAGCAGATTTTAAGGCAAATATTATTTTTAGCTCTTACAATCACTACATAATGATAAAAGGTTCAATCCATCAGAATATTATAACTTCTGTATACTCAATAATATAGTCTCAAATTACATAAAGCAAAAAGAAATGACAGAACTGTAGGAAAAATAGACAAATTAACTATCATATTGGGGGCAGTGTTTATGCTTTTCTCACTAGTTAATAGACAAACAGAAACAAAATCAGCAACATTTGGATCAATACACATTCTTTCCAAAGCACACCTCAACAATGAATTCGGCAAAAACGTAGATAAAAGCCGATGTTAGATGTTGATATGCAGTAAGGTAAAAGAAAAAGTACAGCCTGGTAAGGAGGATCAAGAATGTTGATGTAGGAGTGGTATGCCAAGTGTAGGATTAACTGTGGTTCTCAGGAAAGGCCCCTGAAAAAGTAACATTTGAATAAGGACTTAATGAAGGGATTCCAAAGAGAAGACATTGCTAGTGTAAAGGCCTAAGGTGGGAGAATATTGTCTATGCTCAAGTTGATTAGAAGGGGAAATAAAAGATTTAAGGGAAGGTTACAGGCAGCCAAACATAAAGCGCCTTTGTAAAGATGTCTTTTGCTCTGTGTGAAATAGGAAGTCCTTGGAGTGTTGGAGGCAGTGCAGTGACACAATTTGACTCATGATTTAAAAGGACCCTCTGGATGTTGAATTGAGAATAGATAATGAGGGAGACGGATTGTAGCATAAAGGCTGTACACGTATGCTCTAACATTCCTTTAATGTGTTATGTATTTAATATATTTACATTAATATAAATAACTTATTTAGATATGCACAAAAGAAGCCAGTAGAAGATAGCCAAAAAGAAAAAAGAAAAGTCCTTGGCCATGTTTGGGGTAAGGAACAGAAAATGAAATGCCAGGTTCAGAGTTTAAAGGGGAAGTGTTATGTCCCAGAGATGTGATACTTCCTCATGACTCCACAAAGTTTTAGAAAAAAAAGAACAAAGATTTTTTAATGCTCGTGGAACTAACACAGAACTATGTGATGTCCACTGACCACTTCAAGCTGCTAGTATATTCACTCAATCGCAAATAAAAATTTAATTTTTCCCAAGAACCTATCTTCCTAAATAAATGAGTCATCTTGATTCTTCTTTCCCTAGTAAAAGATACAGCATATTCCATTTTCTCATCTCAGTATAAAATTCTAAGAGATTAAAAGTATTTTATGCCTTACAACATCCCAGAAATTATAACCATGAGTGTGATCATGTTTTATTTTTCTCATCAATGAGTCATAGCCATCAAACAGTACTCACTTGATTAATCGTAACAGTTCATTTATTTTAAAAAATGCTGAATATCTTTTACTCTGAGTGGTCAGCACCATCTGCAACAATCCTAGAAAATTTACCAGGAGAACATTGTGTCAATACTCAAAAAGCCCCAGATCTAGTGACTAGAAACCATTGCCTTATGATCATAACTACAGCTCAAAGATAATCACCATGGGTAGGACCCAGAAGGAGAGCAGGCTGAAGGCAGAAGTCCAGGGAAGCACTTGGTCTTTACTTCCCCAGATTATAAAATGAATGTCATTTATATTCTATGTATGGTATATATTTAGACATTTATGAACATTTTGAAAAGAATGACATTTTTTTCATATTTGCCAGCTCTCCTCATTTCACTTTGAGGAAGGAAAGCATGCTTTTCTTACAAAAGCATTACATTCCCTCCACACACATTTTTTATTCTGCATCTAACAGCTACCATATATGGTAGTAGTTCCTTCCCTGAGACATAAGAAGCCTCCAGGGGAAGGTGCAATAATCTGAACATGAGCAGAACAGTTTTTTCATTTAGGCAACTTTGCTCAGGTGGGAAGATTGTAGGAATCAGAAAACGTGAGCTTGAATCTGGCTTTGCAGTGACATTGGACAAGTGGGTCTTAATTTCTTCGTCTCTAAAAGACTAAACCCACAGGTCTTATCCTCATCTTTATGAGGATAAATAATATATGTAAAGATGCTCTATAACCATAAGCTCATTAGTACTGTGTAGGGCATACATTTATTGCTAAAACCATTCATTCAATCATTTAAAAATAAATATTTAATGTTTGCTGTGGTCAGTGTTGTTTACAAAAGGTAAAATCTAGATTTTTCAAGACATTCATAATGATACCAATCTATTCTGAATTCTATTTCTTTATAAATAAAGTGAGAATAATGTACTATTGTGTTTGCTATTTTCCTAAATGCGTGACATGGCAATGCACAAACAAGTTTCTTGTTGCTGAAACATTGCTGGTCTTTGTTCTTTTGGTAAATCATTGCTGCCCTTACAAATGAGGAATTTTGTTTAGTTTCCAACTGGACAGCACTTCACAAATCTTTTTGTTTTGTTAAGCATTTCACTCTCTTTTAAGCAGTTTAGGTGTGGTTAACATGTGGTTTCTTTTCACACTAATCTTGCCATTAAACTTTAGATTGTCCTTATTAACTATCAACTCAACATAGTTGGCTGAGATAATTGGGTATCGATTATTTTTGCACTGTCATTTGCAGTTCAAATTGGATCTTTATAAACACTTGAGACTATTTATCAATGGCTATTGAAACCTTGATATGCATGCTTTCAGCATAGTCCTGGTCTGGGGTTTGGTTCACTGTGCTTCAAACTCTACTTTCCTTGGAAAAAAACTTAGTACCTCACTGATAAGGCAAGGCATGTGTCACTGCTTCTTCAACAATTTTCTCATTTCTCTTGAATTCAGAGCCAAATAAGGAAATCTAGAATTCTGAAGAGGTTTCTTGGTTTTAGGGTTTCATGAGGTTGGATGGTCAGAGTGTTGCCCTGTTCTTTTTTTTCCCTGGGCAGGACAGAGAAGACTATTTATTATTATTTCCAACAATAAGATAGAAATCTTATTTCTTCTTTTTCCATAAGAATGGTTAGTCCTACTTTCATTTTTAATTCCTTTTTTTATTTATTTTTTCTTACCATGAATTATTTCTGTTGAATTTTGAGACCTACAGAAATGTGAGTCATATGTATGTTCAACAGTCATGCCAAGTAGAGGCTTTCAGATGTGCTGTAGTATGTAATACAGTTTTCACATGGTTATTTGGATTCAATAAGTTAAAATTCAATACATTTTTTAATTTTAATTTTTAAGGACACATAGTAGATGTATATATTTATGGGTTACATGAGATATTTTGATACCGGCATGCAATGCATACAAATGATATTAGGATAAATAGAGTATTCATCACCTCAAGCATTTATCCTTTGTGTTATGAGCAATCCAATTATGCTTTTAGTTATTTTTTAATTGCACAATTAAATTATTTCAACTATAGTCACTCTATTGTACTAGCAAATATTTAATACTAGGTCTTATTTATTCTTTCTAATTTTTGATACCCATTAGCCCTCCCTACCTCTTCCCCTACACCCTCACTACCCAGCCCAGTCTCTGGTAACCATCGTCCTACTCTCTGTCTCCATTAGTTCAATCGTTTTAATTTTTTTTTTTTTTTTTTTTTTTTTTTTTTTTGAGACGGAGTCTCGCTCTGTCGCCCAGGCCGGACTGCCGACTGCAGTGGCGCAATCTCAGCTCACTGCAAGCTCCGCTTCCCGGGTTCACGCCATTCTCCTGCCTCAGCCTCCCGAGTAGCTGGGACTACAGGCGCCCGCCACCGCGCCCGGCTAATTTTTTGTATTTTTAGTAGAGACGGGGTTTCACCTTGTTAGCCAGGATGGTCTCGATCTCCTGACCTCATGATCCACCCGCCTCGGCCTCCCAAAGTGCTGGAATTACAGGCGTGAGCCACCGCGCCCGGCCTCGTTTTAATTTTTATAAGTGTGAGCATGTAAAGTTTGTCTTTCTGTGCCTGACTTATTTCACTTAACATAATGACTACCAGTTCCCTCCATGTTGTTGTAAATGACAGGATCTCAACCTTTTTCATGGCTGACTAGTATTTCATTGTGTATATGTACCACATTTACTTTAGGCATTTATCTGTTGATGAACACTTAGGTTGTTTGCAAATCTTGGCTGTTGTGAATAGGTCTTCAATAAACATGGGCTACAGATATCTTTTTGATAGACTGATTTCCTTTCTTTTGGATATATACACCCAGTAGTGTTAATGCTGGATAATAAAGTAGCTGTTTTATTTTTAGTTTTTTCAGGAACTTCCAAACTGTTCTCCATAGTGGTTGTACTAATTTACATTCCTATCAGCTGTGTACGAGGACTCCCATTTCTCCACATCTCGCCAGCATTTGTTATTTCCTGACTTTTGGGTAAAAGCCATTTTAGCTGGGGTCAGATGATATCTCATTGCAGTTTTGATTTGCATTTCTCCGATTTTCAGTGATGTTGACCACATTTCATATAATTATTTGCCTTTTGTATCTCTTCTTTTGAGAAATGTCTATTCAGATATTTTGTCCATTTTTAATCGGATTATTAGATTTTCCTATCATATTGCTTGAGTTCATTATATAATCTGGTTATTAATCCCTTGTCAGATGGGTAGTTTGCACATATCTTCTCCAATTCTGTGGGTTGTTGTTTCACTTTGTTGATTGTATCCTTTGCTGTGCAGAAACTTTTTAACTTGATGTGATCCTATTTGTCTGTTTGGGCTTGGTTGCCTGTGCTTTTGGGGTACTCTTCAAAAAATTTTTGCCCTGATCAATGTCCTGGAGAATTTCTTCAATGTTTACTTTTAGCAGTTTCATAGTCCAAGGTCTTAGATTTAAGTCTTTAATCCATTTTGATTTGATCTTTGTATATGGTGAGAGATAGGTGTCGAATTTCATTTTTTTTGCCAGTGGATATCCAGTTTTTCTACAACCATTAATTGAAGAAACTGTCCTTTCCCCAATGTGTGTTCATGGCACCTTCATCAAAAATGAGTTCACTGTAGATATATGGATTTATCTCTGGGTTCTCCATTCTGTTACACTGATCTATATGTCTGTTTTTATGCCAGTGAAATGCCATTTTGTTTACTATAGCTCTGTAGTGTAATTTAAAGGCAGGTAATGTGATTCCTTCAGTTTCCTTCTTTTGCTCAGGATGGCTTTCGCTATTCTGAGTCTCTTGTGGTTTCATATAAATTTTAAAATTGTTTTTTCTATTTCTGTGAAGAATGTCATTAGTATTTTGATAAGGATTGCCTTAAATTTGTAGATTGCTTTGAGTAGTATGGACATTTTTACATTGATTGATTCTTTGTTCATTGTTGATTCTTCCAATTCATGAACATGGAATATCTTTCATTTTTGTGTGTCCTATTCAAATCTTTGTATTAATGTTTTATAGTTTTCATTGTAGAGATCTTTCACTTCTTGAGTTAATTTAATTTCTAGGTATTTTATTTTATTTGTAGCCATTGTGAATGGGATTACTTTATTTAATTCTGTCTCAGATTGTTCTCTGTTGGCATATAGAGGATACTACTGATTTTGTATGTTGATTTTGTATCCTACAACTTTACTGAATTTGTTTATAAGTTCTAATAGTTTTCTTGGTGGAGACGTTAGATTTTTCCAAATATAAGATCATGTCATCTGGAAACAAGGATAATTTGACTTCTTCCTTTCTAATTTGTATGCCCTTTATTTCTTTCTCTTAGCTCATTGCCCTATCTAGAAATTCCAGAACTATGTTGAAAAACAGTGGGGAAAGTGGACATCTTTGTTGTGTTCCTGATCTTAGAAAAAGGCTTTCAGGTTTTCCCCATTAAGTATGATACTAGCTGTGGATCTGTCATAGGTGGCTTTTGTTATGTTGAGGTATGTTTCTTCTATCCTCAGGTTTTTGAAGGTTTTTAATCATGAAGGGATGTCGAATGTTATCAAATGCTTCTTTAGCATCAATTGAAATGATCATATGGTTTTTGTCCTTTATTGCATTGATAGAATGTATTACATTAATTTATTTGCATATGTTGAACCATCTGTACATCCCTGGGATAAATCCCACTTGTTCATGATAACTGATCTTTTTAATGTATAGTTGAATTTGGTTCGCTAGTATTTTGTTGCAAATGTTTGCATGAATATTCATCAGTGATACTGGCTGATAGTTTTCTCTATTGATGTATCTTTGGGTTTGGTATCAAGATAATACTGGCCTTGTGAATGAGTCTGAAAGTATTCCTTCCTCCTCTATTTTTCAGAATAGTTTGAGTAGAATTGGTATTATTTCTTTAAGTGTTTGGTAGAATTCATCAGCGATACCATTCGGTCCTAGGCTTTTCTTTGCTGGGAGACTTATTATTATGGCTTCAATCTAATTACTAGTTATTGTTCTGTTTAGATTTTGGATTTCTTCATGGTTCGATCTTGGAAGGTTTTATGTGTGTAGGAATTTATCAATTTCTTCTAGATTTTTCAATTTATCATCATATACTTGCTCATAGTAACCACTAAAGATCTTTTGAATTTCTGTAGTATCAGTTGTAATATCTCCTTTTTTATCTCTGATTTTATTTATTTGAGTCTTCTCCCCCTTTTTACTCTGGCTAAAGGCTTGTCAATTTTGTTTGCTTTTTCAAAAAAAAATTATTTTTTTCATTGATATTTCATATTGTTTTCTTAATTTCAAATTCATTAATTTTAGTCTGATTTTTATTATGTCTTTTCTTCTACTAATTTTGAGTTTGGTTTGCTCTTGCTTTTCTAGTTCTTCAAGATGCATCATTAGGTTGTTTATTTGAAGTTTTTCTTTTGTGATGTAGGCACTAATAGCTATAAACTTCCTTCTTGGTACTGCTTTTGCTTTATCCCATAGGTTTTGGTATGTATTTCCATTATAATTTGTTTGAAGACATTTTTTCATTTTCCTCCTTAACTTCTTCATTGTCCCACTGGTTATTCAGGAGCATATCATTTAATTTTCATGTGTTTGTGTATTTTCCAAAATTCCCCTTTTTATTGATTTCTAGTTTTATTCCCTTGTGGTCAGAGAAGGTGCTTAATATTATTTCACATTTTTTGAATGTTTTAAGACTTGTTTTGTGATTTAACATATGGTCTATCCTTGAGAATGATCCATGTGCTGAGGAAAAGAATATGTATTTTGTAGCTCTTGGATGAAATGTTCTGTAAATATCTATTAGGTCAATTTGCTCTGCACTGCAGATTAAGTCTGATGTTTCCTTGTTGATTTTCTGTCTGGAAGATCTGTCTAATGCTGACAGTGGGGTGTTGAAGTCTCCAGCTTTTATTGTGTTGGGTTCTATCTCTCTCTTTAGCACTAATAGTATGTGTTTTGTATACCTATGTGCTCCTGTACTGGATGCGTATTTATTTAAAATTGTTATATTCTCTTGCTGAATTCATCCCTTTATCATTATATAGTGACTTTTGTCTATTCTTATACTATTCATCCTGAAATATATTTTGTCTGATTTAAGTATAGGTACTCCTGCTCCGTTTTGGTTTCCATTGGCATGGAATATCTTTTTTCTGTCCCTTTATTTTCAGTTATGTATGCCTTTATAGGCAAAGTGTGTTTCTTGAAAGCAACAGATCATTGGGTCTTGGTTTTTAATCTGTTCAGTCACTCCACAACTTTTGATTGAAGAGTTTAGTCTATTTATATTCAATGTTATTATTGATGAGTAAGGACTTACTCCTGCCTTTTTATCATTTGTTTTCTGGTTGTTTTGTCATCTTCTCCTCATTCCTTTCTTCCTTCTCGTCTTCCTTTTAGTGAAGGTAATTTTCTCTGGTGATATTATTTAATTCATTGCTTTTTATTTTTTGTGTACCCATTGTATGTTTTTTTTTATTTGAGGTCACCATGAGGCCTGCAAATACTATCTTATAACCCATTATTTTAAGCTGATAACAACAACACTATTTGCAAAAACAAATGAGCACAAAGAAAACTAATAAAAACTCAGCACCTTAACTTTGCCTTCCCACTTTTTAACATTTTGTGTTTCTTTTCTCTTTTTATTATACTTTAAGTTCTGGGATACATGTGCAGAATGTGTAGTTTTGTTACATAGGTATATATGTGCCACGGTGGTTTGCTGCACCCATCAACCCATCATCTACATTAGGTATTTCTCCTAATGCTATCCCTCCCCTAGCCCCCCATCCCCCGACAGGCCGCAGTGTGTGATGTTCCCCTCCCTGTGTCCATGTGTTCTCATTGTTCAACTCCCACTTATAAGTGAGAACATGTGGTGTTTGGTTTTCTGTTCCTGTGTTAGTTTGCTGAGAATGATGGTTTCCAGTTTCATCCATGTCCCTGCAAAGAACATGAACTCATCCCTTTTTATGGAGGCATAGTATTCCATGGCGTATATGTGCCACATTTTCTTTATTCAGTCTATCATTGATTGGCATTTGGGTTGGTTCCAAGTCTTCGCTATTGTGAATAGTGCTGCAATAAACATATGTGTGCATTTGTCTTTATAGTAGAATGATTTATTATCTTTTGGGTATAAACCCAGTAATGGGATTGCTGGGTCAAATGGTATTTCTGGCTCTAGATCCTTGAGGAATTACCACACTGTCTTCCACAATGGTTGAAATAATTTACATGCCCACCAACAGTGTAAAAGCATTCCTATTTCTCCACATCCTCTCCAGCATCTGTTGCTTCCTGACATTTTAATGATCACCATTCTAATTGGCATGAGATGGTATCTCATTGGAGTTTTGATTTGCATTTCTCTGATGACAAGTGATGATGAGCTTTTTTTCATATGTTTTTTGGCCACATAAATGTCTTCTTTTGAGAAGTGTCTGTTCATATCCTTCACCCACTTTTTGATAGGGTTGTTTGTTGTAATTTTTATTTATATCTTATCATACTGTCTATGTCTTGAAAAATTCTTATGGTTTTTTTCATTGGTCCATCCTTTAGTCTCTCTACTTAAGATAAGAATAGTTTATACACCGCAGTTACAGTGTTATAATACTCTGTGTTTTTCTGTGTCCTTACTATTACCAGTGAGTTTTGTACTTTTAGATGGTGTCTTATTGCTCATTAATGTCTTTTTCTTTCTGATTGAAGTACTTCCTTTAGCATTTCTGGCAGAACAGATCTGGTGTTGATGAAATCCTTCAGCCTTTGTTTGTCTGGGAAAGTCTTTATCTGCATGTTCAAAGGATGTTTTCACTGAATATAGTATTCTAAGGTAAAATATTTTTCCTTCAGCACTTTAGATATGTCATGCCATTCTCTCATGGCCTATAAACTCTCTACTGAAAAGTCTGCTGCAAGATGTATTGAAGCTCCATTGTGTGTTACTTGTTTTTTTGCACTTGATGCTTTTAGGACCTTTTCTTTATCCTTGACCTTTGGGAGTTTGATTATTAAATGAACTGAGGTAGTCTTATTTGGATTGAATCTGCTTTATGTTTTCTAACCTTCTCATACTTGGATATTGATATCTTTCTTAGGTGAGGAGTTATCTGTTATTATCCTTTAAAATAAAATTTCTACCCCTACCTCTACCACCTCTTTAAGGCCAGTAAGTTTTAGATTTGCCCGTTTGAGGCTATTTTCTAGATCTTGTAGTCATGCTGTATTTTTTTTTATTCTTCTTTCTTTTGTCTTCTCTGACTGCATATGTTCAAAAGGCTGTTTTCATGCTGACTAATTGTTTTTTCTGCTTGATCAACTCTGCTATGAAAAGACTCTGATGCATTGATGCATTCTTCAGTATGCCAATTGGATTTTTCAATTCCAGAATTTCTGCTTGATTCTTTTTAATTATTTCCATCTCTTAGTTAAATTTGTCTGATAAAATTCTGAATTCCTTCACTGTGTTACCTTGAATTTCTTTGAGTTTCCTCAAAACAACTATTTTGAATTATCTGTCTAAAGGTCACATATCTCTGTGTCTCCAAAGTTGGTCTCTAGTGCCTTTTTTAGTTCATTTCATGAGGTCATGTTTTCCAGGATGGTCTTGATGCTTATAGATATTCATCTGTGTCTGGCCATTGAAGAGTTAGATATTTATTGTAGCTGTCAAAGTCTGGGCTTGTTTGTGCCCATCCTTCCTGGGAAGGCTTTCAAGGTATTCAAAAGGACATGGGTGTTGTAATTTAAGCCGTATCTGCATTAGGGAGAACCCGAAGTTCATTAATGCTGTGGTTCTTGCAAACATAGAGGTACTACCTTAGTTGTCTTGCATAAGATTCAGATCGTTTCCCTTACTTTCTCCCAAAGAGAGTCTCTTTCTCTTTTCTGAGCTACTTGGAGCTGTGGGTGGGATGATACCATCCTGGGACTGCACTGGATCAGACCTAAAGCCAGCACAGCACTGGGCCTCACTGTAACCACTCTCTGGCTACCACCTATGTTCAGTCAAGGCCCTGAAGTTCTAAAATCAGCAGGTAGTGAAGTCAGTCAGGCTTGTGTCTCTCCCTTCATGGTGGCAAGTTCCCCCTGGCCCCAGGGAGGTCCAGAGGTCCCATCTGGGAGCCAGGGACTAGAATCAAAAACCTTAGGAGTATACCTAGTATTTTAATTTACTGTAGGTGAGCTGGCAGTCAAACCATGAGACACAGTCCTTTCCACTCTTCCCTCCTCTTTCCATTGGGAGAAGAGTCTTAGCCCATGGCCACCATCTCCACAGACCCATGGGGATTAGTGATAGGCTACCATCAATATTCCCTTAAGGCTCAAGGGCTCTTTATTCAGTTTGTGGTGAATGCTGCCTGGCATGGGACTCACTATTCGGGGCAGCGGGCTTCCTTTTGGCCCAGGATAGGTCAAGAAATGTCATGCAGGAGTCGAGGCCTGGAACTGGGGACCCCAGGAGCCTGCTTTGTGCTCTTTTCCTCTGTGGCAAAGCTGGTACCTAAGGTGCAAGACAATGTCCCCTTTACTTTTCCCTTCACTTTTCTCAAGCAAGAGGAGTCTCTTCCCATAGCCACCACAACTGGGAATGTGCTGAGTCTCACGTGAAGCCAGCAAGTCTGAGTCTCACCTGAGGCCACAGCATAGTATCTGGGTATCACTATTGGTTATTCAGGGCCCAGGGGCACTTTAGTCAGCAGGTGGTGGATCCTTCCCCTCAAGGCAGCATGTTCCCTTCTTGCCTAGGGTGTGTCTAGTAGTATCATGTAGGAAGTAGGGCCTGGAAAGGGTGCCTCATGACTTTGACTGGTGCTCTATCCTACTGTGGCTAAGCTGGTATCAACGATCCAAGACAAAGTTTTCTTACTCTTTTCTTTCCTCTCCTCAAGCAGGAGGAAGGAGTGAGTCTCTTTTGGAACCATGAGCTGTGCAGCCTGGGGTTAGAGGAGAAGTGGCAGACACATTCCCTTAGCCAACCAGTTGGTATCTCAGTAGGTCACATATGCTCCCAAGTCCACTGGCGCTGAGCCCAGTTCAGTCCTAGGACTTACCTTAGAGTTGCAGTTCCAGTGTCCTAGACTGCCTTTCAAGTTTACTTATGGCCTCAGAGCATTTTAGCCCATGGTAGTGAGGCTTCCTGGAGCTCAATTTCCTGCTGCTGGGATGGGCAATACTCCTGTGGCTAGGGCTCGTTTAAAAACTCCCTCTGTGGTCGGGCATCAGCTGAGTTCAGCCTAGTTATGCTTTCTGCTATGACAGGGGCAGCATTGAGTTCAATGCGATGTGTCATGCAACGGCTGCATTCATCCTGTCTCAAGTGCTAAGATTCTCCATGCCATGTGGCCGCTGCTGGGGGATGGGGCAGAGTAATGTTTGCAATTCAGGACTCTTTCCTGCCCTCTTCAATGCCTCTTTCAGTGACATGAAGTTAAAACCAAGCACTGTGAGTGTTCACCTGGTTTTTGGTTCTTATGAAGGCACTTTAAAAAAATTTTTTTTATTATACTTTAAGTTCTAGGGCACATGTGCACAACATGCAGGTTTGTTACATATGTATACATGTGCCATGTTGGTGTGCTGCACCCATTAACTTGTCATTTACATTAGATGAAGGCACTTTTTGTTGTGTGTGTAGATAGTTGTTAAATTGGCGTCCTATCAGGGTGGGGTGGTGATGATCGGTGGAGCCTATTTGGCCATCTTCCTCTGCCCTTCTACTTAATACATTTTTTTAAAAAAATTGTATTAAGTAAAGTTCAGTTCCTCAGTCATACTAGCCACATTTGAAGTGCTCAATAGCTGTATGTGGCTAGCAGCCACTTTATTGGACAGCACAGATATTGAACATTTCCATCATTGCAGAAAGTTCTATTGCACAACCCACTTCATAGTTAACTGATCTGAGGTCAGACAGATCTGGATTTAAATCTTGATTTTTGCACTTATTCTATGTGTGATCCTAAGCAAGTCACTTATATTTCTTAGACTTAGGTTAACCATGGATAAAATACAGATGACATGGATAATGTACATATAAAGAACCTAACAAAGCACCTGGCATATAATAGGCATTTGAGAATATTTATATTTGAAACCTTTATTCTATTATCCCAACTCCCTTTTCCTCCAGTGAGCCAATCATTCTCCTATGTCCTCCTCCATCAAGTGTAAATCTATTTCAACTAGATTTTCATGCAGACTTCACATCCTTCATTCACTAGCCACACTGCCATCTCAGTCCATGATTCTAGATTAGTCCAAACATATTCCCTGATCCAACTGAGTCAGCCAAACCTTGTTAAGGGATATCATTTCACTATTGAGATTATCAACAGTGAGTTGATAATGTTAATGAGCAGCCTGTCGGTTCCTGTGAGTGACCTCCAGGCAACTTGGCAAGCCTTTGATTGTGCTTTTCTGGCTACTCTTTTCATTTTTGATAATTTCTATTCTAACTGCAGTCTCTTCCTCAGGCCCTACATATCTGTGTTAATAGACAACTTTATCACCTGAATGAATTCAATGGACTTGTCTTCCCTACAATTCCAAGTATATATTTTTTATTTACAGAGGTTCCCAAATGCCAGGATCTAAACAAGTGTACACAGCTGGCTGGCTACTTTAGAAGCACCTGATTAATCTAAAAAAGAAAACATCAACTAGGACTTGACCTCAACCTACTGCATGATAATCTTTAGTACTGGGAAAATCACTCCTTGGGTGATTTTGAGACTCTAGCCAAATTTGGGAGACACCATCAAGAATGTCATGGACACTTTTTGCTTATAACTGTTAATTGCTATTTCATGCTATTTGATATTAACCTGGCTGCCCTTATTTCCTCCTAGCAGTTGAACACGTAGGCTGCACTTTTTCAGAGCTCTTCAATGAGTTGTTAGAGCATCTGTCTCACCTGTGGTCATTACATTTAATCTCTCTTTGCTAGAATTGTTAACACACTCCCACTGGTGGCTTGCCAAGCTTGAGAGTAGCTAGAACAGCTCCTTTGCAGTGACCTGGCTGTGCTCCAAGATTTCATTTTTGGTCATTTTGTCTGACTATTTAATGCAAACTGTAGATCATAGATAATGGTGGTGAAAGAGTTCAAGTAACCAGAAGTGTAATCTTGAGAAGATGCAAGTTTCAGTTATATAATAATTTAGACACAAACATTGCTCTGCAAAATTATTAACTTCATTTTAAGTATGTTTCCAGTGGGCATCACATATAGCATTCCAAGGAACAAAACGACTTTTAGTATTTTTTTTATATTTTCACCTATTTGTGTATCGTTCATGTAATTTATAGTGAATTGTTTTGGCCCCAGTTATCTTTTTGGCAGTTCTCAAAAACTTAAAATGTCACTGATGGAAGCAAAAATTTCAGTGACAATAGCAAAATGATAAGAAATCAACATGTAATCAACATATTAACACTAAAAACATATATTTGAATATAAATATCATATTTATATATATTTTACATCTATAACACATAAATATGGAGGCAGGGCCTCGCTCTATTGCCCAGGCTGGAGTGTAGTGGCATGATCACAGCTCACTGCAGCCTCCACCTTTGCGTCCTCAAGTGATTCTCTCACCTCAGCCTCCTGAGTATAGATATTAAAATATAAGTGTTAATATTATGTTAATGATAATTTTACCAGAATTAAAAATACATTATATATTTGAATCTCAGGTATTCACTCCCCTAGTGGAATTATAATCATGAACTCATGGAAATAATGGACTAAGAAGCAACTAGAAAAGTCCAGAAAAGATTGGTTAAATCTTAGTTGAGCCTTCTTCTACTTCTGATGAGGCCATGAGCAAGTCACTGAGCATATCTGGGCTTAATTTCTTCATCTTTAAAATATTCTTTCATAAAGTTGTTCAAAGGATTAATGAAGTAAATGGTAAATGGTAAAGTAAATGAAGTAATTTACTTCATGAAGTGATAAAGTAAATGGTAAATATATTACAAAATATTTTAATTGTTTCTAAGGTCCAAGGTAACTATAAAATTTTGAAATATTTTCTAAATTCTCTACAAAACCTGGAATTTTCTAGAACTTTAGTTAATTCATGATGACGACAACCCACTTTTATCCCTGTTAGTGTCCTCGGAAAATTGTCATTAGTAATCCCTTAAATCTTATTGATAAAAAATGAAGTATATTTAATTAAGTTCTTCATCTATAAAAATTGGCCACTTATATACCTGGATATTTTGTGTTTCCCTAATAATCAGAAAATTTCTAAGCTAATTTTTTTTCCTCAACAGTACTATCTGTTTTCATTTTCTTTATTAAAGACCAATTGTAATATGTTTCCAAATATATGGAACATTTAAAATATTAGTATATGATCACATTTTTATTTGTGATAATCATTATTAATAATAGCTTCATTTACCGAGCTCTCCATTGTGACAGACACAACGCAAAGCATTTTACATGTGTTACCATATTTAATCCTCACAACAATCCTGTTGTGTATGTAAGCACATTAAGTAAGGCACAAAGTATGTGAGTAACTTTACCTAAAATCATCCTTTAAGAAACAAAAAGAGAGGTTAAGCCCAGGCATTCTGATTCCAGAGCTGAGGAACATTACATTTAAGCCATGCTACATTGCCAGCATTGTATAATCTCTTGCATATCTGCTCATGAGTATTCCCAAAATACAACCTCTGAACACCATGATTCCTGGGAGGCTAACCTGAGGGTCTTGGATACCAATAGT
Organism: Homo sapiens; assembly: GCF_000001405.40. Classification (NCBI taxonomy): domain Eukaryota; kingdom Metazoa; phylum Chordata; class Mammalia; order Primates; family Hominidae; genus Homo; species Homo sapiens. Next base: position 69,675,267 of record NC_000001.11, read on the forward strand.
AATCGTTTAAATCCTCCCATAGCCTTTGAAAGTACTTTCTAATCTGTTTTTGAGTTTTTCTGACATACCCTGAACCATAATTACATGGAAATCAAGGAGACCACTTTTGTTTTCACATATTTGATAGAGATAAAAAGGAAAAATAATAGCCTATTCAAGAGAGTAGTTTTCATGTATTCCCCAACCAACATAACTTGTCATTCCCCATCAGAGTGTAATCACAATGAGTAAAAGTGTTTTTAAAAATTACACTACAATTTTATGTAGACATTTGCATGTGCAGGTTCTGTTTGCTATAATTTACTATCTTAAGCTTGTAAATACTAGTGAATAATTATAAGCTCACTTAAATTGTTATTAGATCATCATGGAGATTTCTGCATTTGCCGAAACACATAATCAAAATTGTGCGATGAATTAATTCAAGAGTCAGAAACTAGAAAATTTGATATAATTTAGTTCGCATAGCTAATCTTCATGATGAAACTGCAGGGACAGACCTAGAAGCTTAATCTTCACCCCGCCCCCCACACGCACACATATAATGTTGAAGCAATTTATGTCTTCAATTCTTCAAGTTTCCACTTGGTTTCCTGTCGCTGTATTATCATTATCTTGAGAGAAATAACTTTTTCTCACTTGACATGAATTTTGAGTGAAACTAAGATTCAAGTTATCACTGCACATTAAAAAACAATTTCTTATACTTTACAAACATAGGGATAGGCATATGAGTGCATGCACACACACACACACACACACACACACACACACAAGCACATAAAGCAGCCTCTACATATGAATAGACTGATTTCAGAAAGTATATTTGGAAGACTTTTTTTAAGCCCCAATGATAAGTTCCCATAGGAGTAGTATTATGTTATTATTCCACCACAAAAAGCCTTTTTATCTCATATTTTCCACCACTTAACATACTGCTTTTGTGGGATGATCCTTTGTCAATTTCCCCTCCAGACACAAGGAACATAATCCTCTCTCTATGCTACTAATCCTAGGAGACCCTCTGCCAGTATACCCGTAATAATCACACTGTTTTCAATGGTATGCATGCTATCAACCAGGACAGTTATCAAAACCAGTGATATCCCTGGTTGAGGATAATCATATAGATATTAAGAAATCATGTTTATATTTTCAAAATGATAAATACTATGATTTAGTTCCAAATTTTCAAATCCTGAGCATTCAATTTTTTTAGTGTTATAGAAGTTAGTAAAGTGTACATTGATGTGCAAAACTGTAAACTTTATGGAAAACAGAAAATACTGACCACAAAGTATATGCTGTTAAAGATGCTCACCCAAGTTGTGTTTGATTAATTTATTATTTTCTGGTTGTCAGCATCGCCGTGTAACTAGTAACTGAAAGGTACAATTTATATTAACCACTTTTTTCAAGAAATCACAATTATTAGAATTTAAAAACATTCTGATTCAGTCATTAGTATGGAATTAAATCAGCAATTCCATTCTTGAAAACTGGTACTTTTTAAAAAATTTTCTTATTTCAATAGCTTTAGGGGTACAAGTGGGTTTTGGTTACACACATGAATTGTATATTGGTGAAGTCTAGGATTTCAGTGCACATGTCACCTGGATAGTGAACATTGTACTCAATAGGTAGTTTTTCATTAATTAACCTTCTCCCACCCTTTCCCTTCTGAGTCTCCAGTGTCCATTTTACCACTCTGTGTGCTTTTGCATACTCATACCTTAGTTCTTACACTTAAAAGTAAGAACATATGGTATTTGGTTTTTGTTCCTGAGTTACTTCATTTAGAGTAATGGTCTCCACTTCCATCCGAGTTACTGAACATTATTTCATCCTTTTGTGGCTGAGTGGTATATATAAACACATATACATGGTGTGTGTAGATATATATGAGCGTGTGTATATATTCTACATATATATACCCCACATCTATATATATAATATATAACATATATTATATATGTTATATATATATCATATATATATCATATATGTATCATACATATCATATATATCCCACATTTTCTTTATCCACTTATAGGGTGATGGGCAGTTAGGTTGATTTCATATATTTGCAATTGTGAATTCTGGTGTAATAAACATATGAGTGCAGGTGTTTTTATGAAATAGTGTCTTCTTTTCCTTTGGGTAATCAGTAGTGGGATTACTGGATCAAATGGTAGATTTACTTTTAGTTCTTTGAGAAATCTCCATACTGTTTTTCATAGAGAGTATACTAGTTTACATTCCCAACAGCAGTGTATAAGTGTTCCTTTTTCACATCCATGCCAACATCTATTGTATTTTGACTTTTTAATAATGATCATTCTGGCTGGGGTAAGGTGGTATCTCATTGTGAAAAACTGATATTTGAAATGTTGGTGAAAGATATGCTTTTTCTTTCTGAATGATGACCTTAGTTTTTTAAATTTATTTACTTTGCAAATAATTACTCTTTAGTCGATAGGTCTTTATTTTATTCAGCTTGGGCTGCTATAACAAAATACCATAGACTCGGTGGCTTAAACAACAGACTATTGCTCTTAGTTATGGAGGCTAGGAAGTCCAAGGTCAAGGTGCTGATAAATTTGGTTCCTTGTGCAGGCCTTCACTGTGGCTTGAAGACAGCTTCCTCCGTGTGTCCCCACATGGTGGAGAGAGAGAGAAGTCTACCTTTTTCCCTTTTTCTCTCTCTCTCTTCCTATAAAGACACTAATCCCATCATGGACGTTCCATTCATAACCTCCTCTAAAACTAATTACGTCCCAAAGGCCCTACCTTCAAATCACACTGGGGGCTGGTGCTTCAATATTTGAATTCTGTGGGGACATATTCCGTCCATGGCAGTCTCTAATTAGAGAATGTGCATAAGTTTCATACACATGGTGTTTTTAATTTTTTTTAATTGGGATGCTGGAAAAGTCAAGCACTCTTCAATTTACTATGGTCCCCGATGCTCCCTGCCAGCTTGCTCCTTGCCGGATCATCTTCATGGTGTTGTCTAGCAAAGTTCTGTGGGAATTTGAATTTTAGACCATTTAACTTGTAAACATTTATCCAAAAAAAAGAGTATGAAAATACTCTTCTGATTCTCTCTTATAGGATGGAGAACCTAATAAGGGGAAGGAATCCCCCGCAATACCAGAGAAGTCCTTGTAAAGAGGTTCGTGCAGCACTTCGGAAGAGGCCTGAAGAGGAGTGTAAGTATGTTTAATAGGATTACCTGTGTTCTAGATAGATTTTGGTGAGTAGCATAGTAAAATGAAATGAGTGACCTTTAAATGGTTAGTCAAGCAATAGAATATTTGTTGAGTCGAGTTGGTCTTTTAAAATAAGTTACCATATGTTACCTGAATGTAAGTGCTTACTTAGAACATTGCTTTCTTAAGAATATTTCTCTGGTACTTCAAGATGTTCTACTGATAATCAAGTTCCATGTTCAAATGAGATGGGAAAAGGCTGTACAGTCTGACAGATCTTTCTTGTATATTTATACCATGCATGGTAATGGTTCTGAGACGTCCTGAAGTAAAGAAACTTTTGAAATGTATCTAAAGTCAACACTTTCCAGTTTCCATTTAGCCACAGGGCTCTTTTAACATTTTTTTTAACTGAGAACTTTTTAAAACCACTGCATTAGACAAAATAATAGATATCTGCCGGTAAATGTAAACCTGTTTGCCAAATGGAAACATTTGATTTAATTGAATTTAGGAAAATGTTCTGAAAGATAGATACCATGAATCTCAATATAAAGTCATTTTAGTTCATCCTCAAATTATTAAATACTAGAATATGCCATTGGCTGTAGGGATTATATTTATTTATTATCTGTAGCATGTAGCAGATTGTTGGAGACTCTTGACATAATATTCACATTTTAAGTTTATAAAATGATCCATAATACCAAGTTTCCTCATGGTATTTGCATATAATTATTTTCAGGGAATGAAATCACATTTCATTATGATAAAAATTTGTCAGAATTTTGTCCTTTTACAGGAACTTACATTTTACAAGGATAAAGCTAATGTAGTGGGTTCACTGAAGTATACTGTTAAGTAGAATTTTAAGATTATATTGGCGTTTTTAAATTAGTTTGAAGTATACTGCTCTGGGTAAAGACCAACTATATTAAAGCAGGGCACACTCATGGCAAATGAATTGTTCTTGTTTTGTTTATTATAAAGTTAATAGATAACCTTACTGAGCTGACATATATGTCATTCAATAGTGTTTTGGCCTTCTTTAACCTGGTAGATTTATGGCTTATAACACCATAAACAATATTTAACTAAAACTAAAACTTGAAACTAAAGATAGAGTTCATGGGCATTTATAAGATGCCAACTCTTGCATAAAAGTATTGCGTATTTCTGTTGGGTTTATAGAAACACTTCGGGGTTTCTTCTCTATGCTTCAAGGAGACCATCAGTTTAGTCTCTGGTACAGTTCTGTAAATATTTAAATAAAACTTAAAAGGGATATTTGTAGATATGTTTGCAAATGGTTATCACAGAGTTACCATTTAACATAAAGTGATTTTTCAGGACTCTTGTACTGAGTTGGTCTAAGCCAGGGGTTGGCCAATTATGGTTTGTTGATGAAACTCAGCCTGACACCTTTTTTGTAAGTACAATTGTATTGAAACACAGCCATCATTTATTTATTGTATATTATGCACAACTGATTTTGCACTACAAAGGAAGAATTGAGTAGTTGTGACAGAGACCATATGCCCACAAAACCTAAAATATTTACCTGGGTCTTCATAAAAAATCTTTTTGAACCCTGGTCCAGGCCAGTGGTCCTCAAATTGTGATCTCCAGGCTAAGAGCAGCAGCAGCAGCAGCATCTGGGAACTTGTTAAAAATGCAAATTCTAGTGCTGCAAGCCACACCTACTGAATCAGAAACTCTTAGAGCAGGGCCTGGTGACCTGTATTTTAAGAAGCTCTGCAGGAGATTCTGATGTAAGCTCAAGCTTGAAAACTACTAGCCTAGGTAAAATGATTGACATCAGACGATACTAAATCGTTATCTATACAAAAGAGGAATAATCATTGGTATAGTTCATAATCAAGTTTTATTGTTCTCTAATATAAAGTATGTATGTTAAGCTACCTAATATGTGCTTAACAAGGTACATGATATAACCGTCACTTGTGTTATAAATTCTCATCAATTGGATTGTGACGATCAGGGAAGTCTTTGAAGTGTCACCACAGAAATTCAGCTGGAGTTATGTTATCGAACATGGAAAGATGTATTGAAAAATGCAAAATCTATAAAATTGTTTTCTCTTGCATAGAGGTCTTTATTTTCCCCTGTTAGTACAATGAGCAATTCTACTTGCTCTGTGACAGACTAGTGTGAATTCCATGAGAAAAAAAAAAGCCACAATTTTTTTTTTTTTGTAATGGAAGCAACATATCATGGTAGTTAAAACTATTAACTTTAGAGACACATGAAAGGATTTATTCTCTAATTTGACCAGATGCAGGACCAGGAATAGTTATTTTAAATACAAAATTCAGTTTATTTATCTGAAGAAAATGAGGACATGCTAGAGCCTACTTAATAGAATTATTTTAAGAATTAAGGGAGATATTTATATTAAGTAGTTGGTACAAAACCTAGGATGTAGCGAGTTTTCTTTTCTCTCTTCTCTTTTTCTGTCTCTTTCTTTAATTGTTATTATTGTTCTCTTATTTCAAACTAAACATTTGTTTGAGGATAATAAGGCATTTTTTGAGATCAGGAATGCAAATGCACACATATTACCACCACTATTTTTAGAAACAATAATGCATGGCAAAGAAGAGGTTCTAAATAAATATCATAAAGCTGAAATTCTTGCAGCAATGTTAGATGGTCATTCATGTTTGATATTAGTTTAACACAATGGCCTAGTTGTTTTTCTGTGATTCTACAGATTCAGTATAGATCTACACCAAGACTTGTCGGTCAACTCCCACACAAAGGTGCCACCTTCGAAAACTATCATAGAAAGTCAAATCATAGTAGCTTTTCTGCACTAAGAATTGAAAGGAATAAGGAAACTTGGTTCAGACCATAGGATCCTCCAGAGTAAGGAAATCACTCTTTCATTTGGAGATACTGTATACGGGAAGGTTTTGCTAAATAGTATACTTTGTATTGTTTTCTTTTATAATTCTCTATACCACTTTACAATATTTGCAATGTTAAAATCAACATAGACGTAGATCTAAGTTATTTAATGGGAATTATATCTACCTATGCTGCATCCGGCATAGTCAAATAAACTTTCAATAAAAATGGATTATTGTGGAAGACAGATTTTTAAACATGTTTAAGGTATTCCCCATTAAAATACAAAATAAAATAAAAACTTTGTCCTCAAAGCCACAGCCCCTTTCAACTACAGCCCTACACTCTTGTTCTCTGTCCAGGAAAATGTTTTGATTTATCTAAGAGTTATCTACACTCACTCCATTTACTTGCCTCCCACTCACTCCTCCAAACCAGTCCAGTCTGATTCCTGTCCAGTCACTCTACTGAAACAGCTTTTGTTCAGAGCACCAGTAATTTTTTATGTTGCTATAATAGTTTTCTATTGCTGTGTAACAAATTAGCACAGACTTGTGTCTTAAAACAACATTCATTTATCATCTCACATTTTCTGAAGGTCAGGAGTCCAGAGTTCGCTGCTTCAGTTCTCACTAGGTTGAAGTCTTATCAAAAGTTCAACTGGGGAAATAATTCACTTCCAAACTCATTTAGGCTATTGGCAGAATTTGTTTCCTTGTGGTGGTATGACAAACAGTCCCAGCTTTTTGTTGGCTGCCAGCTGAAGTCACTTTTAGGTTCTAGAGGACTCCAGAAGCTCCTTGCTGTATAGACTTTCTAAATTAGCCAATTTACTCCCTCTTCTCAGGGAGAATTACCTCTCTTTTAAGTACTTTCACCTGATTAAGTCAGGCACACCCAAGATAATTTCAATTTTGATTAACTCAAAATGTGGGATCATAATTACACCATTGCCTTTGCCATATTTTATTGTCCAGAAGAAAGTGATAAGTCCAGCTTATATCCAAGGAGAGGGGATTATACAGGGTTCAAGCATTAAGGAGTATGTTGATGATCATGGGGCCATCTTAGAAGTCAACCTATCATTTGCTAATCCATCAAGCATTGTTTTCAATGCTCATCTTACTTGATTTTTTAGCAGGAATCAATACTGTTGACCATGTTGTCCTTTTGAAAACTGCAATGCTGTTAATATTACTATCCCTCCAAACTGTATATGTTAAAACCCAATTGATGTTATATCATGAGACAGGCATTTTGGAGGTAATCTATGACAAGGAACCATCTATGAACCAGAAAGCGGGACTTACCATCTACCAAATCTGCCAACATCTTGATCTTGGATTTCCCAGCTTCCAGAACTGTGAGAAATAAATTTTTGTTGTTTATAAGCTACCTAGTTCATGGATAGGCTAAGAAAGAGATCATCTAATGCTTTGGCTACCATAATAGAATACTTTCCTGATTTTTCTATAGTCCCTCTGGTTACTCTTTTGCATGCTCAACTTTCTCTTTTCAGCCATTATATATTAGAATTTTGGAAGACAGTTTGAAGTCTTCTTTTTTGTCCCAAATATACTTCCTCTACAAACAATGTCATTACATGCAGTATTAGTTTTTCCTATAATCAGATGACTCACAAATTGATGTCTCTAGACCAAACGTCTCTCTGTTCATCCCAATGTGCACTTGACACATTCTTGAATGTTTCAACAATGCAACAAACGCAACAAATTCAAAACCAAAACTATGATCTTTCAAAGCCTGAGCTTCCTCCAGTGTTTTCTGTCTGAATGAGTGGTGCTGTTAATCATCTAGATTCAAAATTCATAAACCCGGGAGTCCTCTTTCATACATTTCTTCCCCTTTTCTCTCCTACGTTCACTCTAATTTCAAGGCCTCTCAACTTGACCTCCTACATATGTTTTGAATCTGTTCAGAAATCACCTTTGCAAATATTCTGTGTAAGATTCTACCAAATGCTCCCCAAAGTGGCTTTCCTGCATACTGTTAGAAAACCCTCCTTATCTTAAAATAACCCTATGGTTTTCCATTGCTCATTCAAGAAAGACAATAGCCATACTGTGGATTATAAGATTTTGCAGTCTAGCCTCCACCCACCCATTCAGCCTCATCTCATACTCTATTCCTGTGCTCTCTGTGCTTCAACCAAACTGGCTTTCTTATAATTGTTGATCATATTCAGTGATAAGAGAAAAATATGTATTTTGAAATAATATAGAACTAGAGGGAAGAAGTTAACCTGGAAAGGAAGAGTTTGCCTTCAAAAATAATACATGAAGAAACTAGAAGAAAAATTAAAAAGATTAAATTTTTGATAGTCACAAGAAATACTCTAAGAAATATCTGCAAAATAAACAATGTGGAAAAACTTTTTTAGAGAAAAGAAAAAGAAAAATGAACATTATTGAGCAGGGAATTATAAAAAACTAAACATGAAGATCAGAATTAAAATCTTTACTGGAGTCAATAGAATAATTTACATGTAAAAATATCAGAAATTGGAACAATTGGAACTGGAAGCACTCCATGAATACAAAGGAAAGATGATGAAATAATAAATAATTATGGGAAACAATTACATGTGGAAAAATGGAGAATGAAAATCCAACCTAAAAATTATAAATTGTCATAAAGGAATCAGAACAATTCAAACAAAAATGATAAAAGATTTAATGTAATGTACTTTTTGAAGTTATTAAAATATCTGATTGTATATTCAAATGTTTTCTGATGTACTGTATAAAAATCAGTTATATAAGATCCATACCCAGATACATACAGACAGATATTTTAGAATTATACTATCAACTCTCTGAGCAGCAAGAACTCCCTCTTATTCACTATATTAATAACACATGACATATTGCCTGGCAGTTAGTAGGTGTTCAACAGATATTTTAGAATGAATGAGAATGAGTGAAGGAATTAATTACTTAATTTCAAAAATAAAAATGCATCACAAGAATCTGCTGGAAATAAAAAGATGGGTAGGGGAGATGAAGAGAAGGAGTAAAAGGAAGGAAAGAAAGGCATAAGGAAAGAAAAAGAGAAAGGGAGAAAAAGAGAGTTGGAAGGAAGGTGAAAGAAGGGGAGGGAAGGCCAAGCTTTTGATTCTGGAACAGATGGCATAGACTCACCTTTCCTGATACTCAATTCTAAATGAAGCTAAACACTCTGGAAAAATTCTTCAACAGACCATTTTGAAAGGACTCTGAAAGCTTCAGAGAAGAAGGCAAACTGACTAGGACAACAGGACTTGAAGAAAGACATCATGGTATGCTTCTTGCATTTTCTTTTTATCTCCTATACATCCCTGGACTGCATACCAGAGAGGCTTGCAATCTGGTACTGTCAACAGGCATGAAGAAAAGAAGGAAAAAAAAAGCAAAGCCTACTCGCTCAGTCCAGAGGACCAAGAGAGAGAAAAACAACAGAGGTTTGGAAGAGAGCCACCGATATCTTATTCTATAATCCCAATCGACAGGCAGTTCAATTCACCTGCAGAAACAGAACAGTAAGGCCCCAGGCCATCCCTGCTCTGCTCTCCCTGGTGGGCAGACCTATCTGGTGGTAATGGTGGCAGCAGTAAAGCCCTGTGTCTTCCTATCTTTCACCCAGTGTCATAAAGAGACCCAGGCTCAGTGGCTTCTGTGCCTTCCCAGAGGTTTACCTAGGAATATTAGAGAATCCAGAGCAGCACTTTTAACTCTAGCGGATGACACCAGCAGAGTTTTAGCAGAAGCCCCGACAGTGCCAGAAGAATGAAGCAGACCAGATCAGCATTAGCATTATAAAAAATCAGAACACTAACTGCCATTGGAACTAAAGCCCACAAAATTAGTCCAAAACCTATAAGCTAAACCTAAACAGGATACATACCTGCTAAAATAAAAGGTTTCAATAGGGTTAAAAGTCTCCTAACATAATAATCAAAATATTCAAAATGCAGTTGACTGTAACCCATCATACCATGAACCAGAAAAACCACAGTCTGACAAAAGACAATCCACTGACCCCAATACTAAGACAAATTAGATAATGGAATTTCTGAGAAGGAGACTGAAGCATCCATCATAAGAATGCTTCAGGAGACAATTATATAATCTCTTGAAACAAGTGAAGAAAAACAGAAAATCTCAGGGGAAAAAAAAGAAGTTATAAAAAAGAACCAAATGGAAATTATGTAACTGAAAACCAAAATTACCAAAATAAAAATATCACTTAATTGAATCAATAGTAGAGTGAAAATTACAGAAAAGAGATTAAATGAATATGTAGATTAGTGGAATTTACTCAATATGAACAACAAGGAGAATATACACTAAACAAAAATGAACAGAACCTCAGGGATTTGTGGAAAAATAATAACATATATAATATTTGTATCATCAGAGTCCCAGGAGAGGAGAAGGAGTATGGGACAGAAAAAGTATTTGAAGAAGTAATGGTTGCAAACTTCTAAAAGTTGACAAAAGACGTAAATCTAGATATTCAAGAAGCTGGGTCAACTCCAAAGAAGATAAACCAAAAAAAAAAAATCCACAACAGGACATTTCATAATTAAACTTGTGAGAACCAAAGATAAAGAAAAATATTTAAAACAGCCAGAGTGCAATAACACATTACATATAAAGGAACAGAAATAACACATTACATATAAAGAAGCATCAATTAAAATGACAGTATATTTTCATCTGAAACCACAGAGGCCAGAAGGAAATGACATACAAGATTTTCAAGTATTATAAGAATTGTCAACTCTGAATCCTATATCCAACTAAACCATCCTTCAGCAATGAAGGAGAAATAAAATCACTCTCAGCAGAAAGAAAACTGAGAGAATTTGTTGCTAACAAACCTTCCCCAACACAATGGCTACACAGAACTCTCCAAACACAAAGGAAAAGTTTAACAAAAGAAGACTTGTACCTTCAGGAAGTAAAGAACAGTAGAATGAATAAAAACAGAAGTATGAATAATAGAATTTTCTTTACCTTATGTTTCATGGTTGAAGCAAAAACTATAATACCATCTGATGTGGTGCACATGTATGTAGATGAAATAAGTCAATTAATATTTAAAAAGTGGAAAGGGTAAAGGGACCTAAATTGATATAAGGTTTCTCTACTTCACTTGAAATGGTATAACACTGATACCAGTAGACTGTGATAAGTTACGTATATTGTAATACCTAGAGCAACCACTAAGAAGACTACAAAATAATACACTCAAAAACATTATAAGTAAATCAAAGGTGAACTAAATATACTCATGTAACCTAGAGGATGTGAAGGAAAAAGAAACATAGAAACAAGAAACCAAGAGAACAGAACAGAAAACAAATAATAAAATTAGATGTATTAGACTTAAGTCCTAATACATCAATAATTACATTAAGTGTAAATGGTGTAAATACCATGGTTAAAAGACAAAGCTTGTCAGATTAGATAAAAAAGAAAGACCAACTATATGTTGCTTATAAAAATGTCCTTTAGATGCAAAAATAAAAAAAAGGTTAAATATAAAGGGATAGAAAAAGAAATACCATGCTAAATTATTTAAATGAAAGCTAGAGTGACTATATTAATATCAAGATAAAGGTAACTTCAAAGCAAAACATATTACAAGGGATAAAAAAGGTCAGTTCATCAAGAGGACTTAATAATCATGAAATTGTATGTATTCGATTTAATTTTACAAATATGTATTTTCTTAAATTTTGTTTCATTAGCTTTGCTGTATCTTTTTATTGATTTATCTTTTATTTAGCCCAACTTAGTTGTCAATAGCAAATAAATTCTTGTTAGCATAGTTGTGGTTGTGGTCTGCTTAAAAAAAGAAACTATTATTTTAGGACAGGCACGTTGGCTCACACCTGTAATCCCAGCACTTTGGCAGGCTGAGGAGAGTGAATCACCAGAGGTCGGGAATTCGACACCAGTCTGGCCAAGATGGCGAAACCCTGTATCTACAAAAATACAAAAAAATTAGCTGGGTGTGGTGGCACACGCCTGTAGTCCCAGCTACTCAGGAGGCTGAGGCAGGAGAATCACTTGAGCCCGGGAGGCGGAGGTTGCAGTGAGCCGAGATCACACCACTGCACTCCAGCCTGGTCTACAAAGCAAGACTCCATCTCAAGAAAAAACCAAAAAAAAAAAAAAAAAAGAAAAAAGAAAAAGAAAAGAAAAAAGAGAAATTATTATTTTTATAGAGAAATATTTATGATGGTGTAATATTTTTCTGAAATCAACCTGAGTCAGTATTATGTACACTAAAAATACATGATGCCTCTCTTGAGTTTTTGAATAATAACAGAAATTCACTGAAGGGTTTTGGTCCCTTTTTTTTACCCTTCTAACAGAATTTCTTTAATATTAGCAAGAGATAACACTTAAAATTATTTTGTGTTTATATAACTGAATGTTACTCTTTCAAATATGAAAATATTCTAATATTAACCAGCTTGGTAAAAATCATTTTGATTAGTGACATTCCTACCTTCATAGTAGAAGCCATTGAATATGATTTAGCCTTTTTCTAATAACTCAAGGATGGTTTTATAACCTGCCATTATTATAAAGTGTGATAATGGAATTCTGTCTGTTTGCTTCCCTCCATATCAAGTTGTCAGCTGTTACTTTTGCTGTGACTGTTCTTGCTTTTTAACTACCTCTTCTTTTGACATTCTGTTTTCCATTTTAGTTTTCTCCTTCAAGAACTGAGAAGTCTGACAAACCATTCTTGTTAAGAATTGTATATTAAACATGTGCCAATGAATCTGGGATTGAAAATTAATCAGGCTTCAGATGCTTTATGGTAAATCAGCTAAAAGAAGTAAGGAACATTAGTGAAATGTAAGGAGTAGGGTTCATTTGTTTAGTAGATCCTGGAGCCACCCCTTTTCCAATTGACTTCACCTCAAGTCTGTACTGAGTCCCCAGATACTTGTGTTCTTTATCAGTTCCTTTTTTGTAAGCCATGTCCCAGTGACCCAACTGTGATGTTGATGACCTGGTGCTACTGTGGTCAGGAGCTTATGCAACATGGGGTGGGGGAAAATCTCATATCTACTAAAGAAATTTGATGGTTTGCATAACTGGAAGTTTAGAAATAAGACAGGCGTCAGAACTTCACCATTCTCTGGGTGTCAGCTTTATTCTTGGGCTGGCATCGATGTTCTGCAGTTATGAACCTCACACATGTGCATGAAAATTTGCAGAGGAAGAAATGCTATCTGTTTCTTGGATTCTTTTTATGGTTTTTTTTTTTTTTAAAAAAAACCTCTTAGAAGCCTTAGGAAAATACTCCCTATTTTATCATTTTATTGGCCTAAATGATGTTACATCCCTATTCATGATCATTACTGTACACCAGGAGAATGCTATGTACTCATTGGCCTCACCCTATTGTGCTGGACCAATCACTTTCAAGAGCTGGTTTAATATTAGAAGTAATCTCAGATTTTGTATTTGCTATTTGGCTTAGCATAAGTAATGGAGCAGGTAAGATTACTCAACACTATATCTCATATTTTGCATATACTACATATTTGTCTATACATACTCAACTATCCCAAAATATTTTATGGTTGTGAATTGGAGCAAAGGATAGAGGAGGTGGTACTTGGGATATCAGGAATCAGGGCACTAATGTCACAGTGACTTCCAGGCACCTATAAATCATTCAGTTCCCTCTTTTTCTATTTGAGCCCTGTAGTTTATGAGCAGTTTACATTGTCATCATCTTCAGTTTCTCCTTTAAATTCCTTAATCCAGTTTCTTTCCATTTTAAAACCAGACTCACTTCCCCTATGTCTCTCACACACTATGGTCAGCCCTTCTTCCTTTCAACCTTAAACGACTGTTAGTCAGATTTTACAGAAAGGGCTGCAGGAGCTCAGAAAGGTTCAGTAATTTATGCAACGTCACATAGCTAGTAAGTGCTGAAGCTGAGATATAAACCTAAGTTTAACTCTAAAAGCTATCTTAGTCCTACTGTTTTATGCTATCTGCCTATACCATGCTATGTCCTCATTTTCCCTCTCTGGAATTCATCTTCTGCTTAACCCTTAAATTTTTAAAATAAAAATATCATACCTACAAAGAAATGCATATAACATGTATGTATAGTTTCACAAATTATAAGTTAATATTCATGCTGCAATATCAGAGACACCGAACTAAACATTCCTACCCAGCTCTGTTTATCTCTAGTCAGGTGCATTCATTCCAGTCTTCCCCACTCCTCATTGCTTAGGTTCATCATTAAGATGACTATTACTAAGTTTTACAACAAAGCTGAAAGAATACCGTATATGATTTTAGTACAAGGGGGCTCAAGACAAACAAGTGGTCAGTGATTTCTCATTATCTCTAATAGTAAGCTAGAAAATCCTATTACATATTATGCTTCTATTAATACCTCGGGTTCCAGTTAAACAGTGTCGTAACAATAAATTTAAAAAGTGAAGTTGTACTAGGCTGAATTTTCTCTGCACATCCAAAATTAATACAGTTGATTATTTTAGCATAATATAAAAATAAGATTAAAGGATTACATCAAATTAGATTCACAGCCTGAATATTCTTAGACCTTCAGAAAATTGAAATCAAGTTAATGCAAATTTGGTACCAAGTTGAAGCATTTTAGTTATATGTAGATGGTTTTTTCATTCAAACTTCAGGCAAATAACTTACCAAAATTACATCGTAAGCTCTTCTATGGAAGGTCCATAGCTTTGCTCCAGCCTCCATAGTTATTTTTGCAGCCAAACCCTTCCTGAGATGCTACATAGGATATAATTTTTTTAAAGATCCATTGCCACTTATTTTCCTAGCACCTCTGGCTTAGCAAATCAGTCGTTTGTGTAGGACTTGAGCTCCCACTGGGCTTTTTAAAAAATGCAAATGTCTCTGAGGAGTAACTGTAGTCAAGTCATAAAACTTCATTCAACATGAAAGTGTTTTCAGATCAATGGCCTCAATAACTAGAAGGAATCAGGTAGCAAGAGATCTTTGGATGTCCGGGAAGAAGTAGGAAAAAGTCAGAAAAATATTTAAGTGAGGGATTTGAAAAGCAAATTTCAACTACTACATATTTTTGACAAAGGTTAGTTTTGTTATTTGATGAAGGATTTTTTTGAATAAAATTTCAGCCCTTTTTACACCCTTCCTTTCGTATTAGCAGTAACTATTTTGTTATTCATTCCTTCCTTATGAAAGCTTCCCTGATGCCTCTCCTCCTCTTCTTGGCAGACATCAGGACTGTTAAAGGACCAACAGGTTCATATGCCCACTATACAATAACACACCAGATACACTGAGACAGCTGGATTTGCCCCAGAGAAAAAGCTAAATGACCACAGAGCAGAGCACCAAGTGCGGAGATGAAGGAGACCCTCAAATCCATTTCCCCATCCTGAAGTTCTGGGCTGGGCTTTTTAAGGGAATCATAGAGGGTAAGGGCCTGGAAAATTGGAGTTGTTGGTTGAGGTAAGGAGAATGAAATCATCATTACATTGAAACCCATTCTTTGGTGACTCAGCTTCTTGTGGGGTCTTTCAGACCAGCTTGTGTCAATAGGGTCCTACAGAGCAGCTGATATCAGCAGTTTTACTAGTATGCAGGACCTGAAAGAATATCTCAAAGGGAAAACAATGTTTCATAATGTTCAGGAAGTTATCTATAGAGCAGCTAAGGGGAAATAATCTTGTAACAGGGTCTGGGTGATTCTGAGGTAATAGGCCCCAAACAACCATGGGGAAGCAGGTCAGAGGGCAAGCTGGCCTAGTGTTTAACATTGAATGGGCTGAAAGTTTGGTTTATTTTTGTTTCTTGTTTCTCCCCCTCCCTTCTTACCTGAATAATTTTATGAAGTTTATAGGGATGGTTTCAGGACCTCCATTCTATCTGTTCCTGAAATATTACAAAAAGATTATTATTGTAGCACTCATCTAATTGTGTTTTATCTCGTTGTTTGCATGTCTGTTTCTTCCCCAGTGAGTTGTAAATTGCTTAAGGGCAAACAGACGCATCCTATTTATCTGTCTGTCACTAACATTAAGCACAGCATTTGGTATACAGTCATCACTCTAATAAAGTTTGAAAAAAATAAAAAGGAATGAATTATAAAGGATACAACTTGGCCAGGTACAGTGGCTGACCCCTGTAATCCCAATGCTTTGGGAGGCTAAGCCAGGTGGATCGCTTAAGCTCAGGAGCTTGAGATGGGCCTGAGCAACATGGCGAAACTCTGTCTCTACAAAAAGAACAAAAATTAGCCAGGAGTAGTGGCACATGCCTGTAGTCCCAGATACTCAGGAGGCTGAGGTGGGAGGATTGCTTGAGCCTGGGAGGTCGAGGCTGCAGTGAGTTGTGATTACACTGCTGCACTCCAGCCTGGGCAAAAGAGGGAGACCCTGTCTCAAAAAAAAAAAAAAAAAAAAAAAAGAAAAGAAAAGAAGCAACTTGATTTAAGCCACAGTAGTTGTAGTTGACAGTACAGTTGGAGTTTAAAGGCATCCAATAGATAACTTTCATATTGCAAAACAATTTTGAAACCAATTAAAATATTGACAAGATATCAGACATTATTTTTAAGTAATAAAGATTTTTATGATGCTTGATCTTTATTACTTATAAAGGCTAGATTGGAGAACACAGTTGGGATTTTTGGCAACTATGGGGTTTTTCATAATATACTCTAGAAATGGGCATACCTATCCACCTAAACACAGCAGTACAAGAAACCACAGGGCTTCTTTTTTGGGGAACTCCTGCTACAAAACTTACAGCAGTGAGGAGCAGATTAATGTAGTGTATCTTAGCTGAAGCAGTTCCATCTCAAAGAAAGATGGAGGAAGGTACTGGGCTACTTATGCCCAGTTCTCCTCCAGTATTTATTAACTGGGTAAATCACCTCACTTCCTAACGGAGTTAGAAATGATATAAGAAGTCAAGAGTATTGGGGAAATCCCTCTACACAGAAAATAGATGAGTGCATGATAAGCACCTCACTTCTAATGTTCCCTAAAGTCTTTATCTCTTAAGGCATTAGGCTTAAATATTAAGCCTTTAGACAGCTAGAAGGGCATTTATTAGGGCAGCCTTTACCCAGATATCAATCCCTACTTTTTCGTGGGTCCTTCTGAGATTACTGGGAGCAGAGAGGAGGAGCAATGTGGATTTAACTGCAAGACCATTCTAAACCAAGGCCTTGACCCTTCATATTCTACTGTCATCTCAAATTGTGTCTTACATTATTCTTGAAGCTTCCAAAATATGATGATCAAATTACACTCATTTATTCAACAAATATTGACTTAATGTCAGCTGTATGGCTCTCCCTCTTGTGTGCTTGTAATACACAGCATGTTGGATAATTTTGTATGTAAACTTGACTGGGCCACAGTATGCACAGATCTGGCTAAACATTATTTCCAGGTGTGTCTATGCGAATGTTTTCAGAAAAAAAAATAGTATTTAAGTTGGTAGCCCTCCCTAATATGGGCCTTCCCTAAAGCAGGCAGCCCTCCCTAATGTGGGTGGGGACCATCCAATCCATGAGGACGTGAATAGAACAAAAGTGTGGCTCTGCTCACTGCTGGAGCTGGGACATCCATCTTCTCCTGCCTTTGGTGCTCCTGGTTTTCAGGCTCGCAGACACGGACAGGAGTCTACACTGTTGGTTCCGTGTCTCGCATGCCTTCAAACTACATCACTGGCTTTCCTGGGTCTCCAGCTTATGAACAGCAGATTATGGAACTACTCAACCTCTATAATTGGTTGAACCAATTCCTTGCAATAAATCTCATTGACCCCTTTCTATATAAATTGATAGATTAGATATAGATATAGATGATATAGACATCTATATATCCCATATAATATTTAGGCTCATTTCTACTAAAAAAAAATTCATTGCTTATCTGAGACTCAAATTTGACCGAGTGTCTGTGTTAGTCACTGTTCTCAGGAGAAACAGAACCTATAGAATGTATGTGTATGTATAGAGAGAGATTTATTTTAAGAAATTGGCTCCCATGATTTTGGAGACAGGCAAGTCCAAAATCTGCAGGATAGGCCGATAGGCTGGAGACCTAGGGAGGAGTTGACATTGCCATTCAAGTCTAAAAGCTATGTGCTAGCAGAAATACTTTCTATAGAAAGGTTGGTCTTTTTCTGTTAATGCCTTCAACTGAGTAGATGAGACCCACTCACATTATGCAGGGCAATCTATTTTACTCTAAATCCAATTTAAATGTTAATCTCATCCAAAAACACCCTCACAGAAACATCCAAAATAAGATTTGACCAACTATATGGGCACCATAGCCCAGCCAAGTTGACACACAAAATTAGCATCACAAGTGTCTTTTATTTTTATTTCCTAAATCTGACAACTCTATTTCAGGGGGTCTGAACTGAGTTGCTAAGGGTTTAAATTGCTCCCATAGTCAATCTCTTTCTTTCTTTAACAATATGAAACTGGCACTATTTAACAGTACTTTGTATTTTAGTTTTCTATTGCTTTCAGAAGCAAGCATATATTTTTTAAACATATTTTCTTAAATGTCTCATGAGGTTTCACATGAGAGATATGAAATCAATAAGTTCTGAGTCTTCCAAAGGCCTACATTGTTCAAGCAAATCATGTCCATTCTCTCCTTCCTGGGTTTGATAATCCCATCCAGGAAAAAATTTCTCATGAAGTCACCATCAAACCCAAGCCTGGACTTGATCTCTTATTGTTCTGCCTGCCTTTTCCAAGGCCTCTTGTAACTTGCCTCATCTTGCTGCATTTCCCCTAATTCCTGAGATTTCTAGAGTGTTCCCTTAGGGCAAGGCAATTACATGTATCCTCACCTATAATAATTTTATCACTTTGAAACTCATCTCAGAATGCTTTAAATTTTTTTTATCTTTTGCCTTCTTATATCTGCTCAAGTTTCCTGGACATTTGATATAGTGTCATCATTCTTCATGCTGTAATTCTCTAATTGCTCTCACTCTGGACTTGTTATCCATAGCTTTAAAAGGCTGATTTTCCCTGATTTTTTTCTCCTCTTGGAGATTCATTCCAGACATTCCACACTGCTCTCTGAATTTCTGTTTCTCAGCTTCTGTTAGATATCTTTAGGCTTCAGTCACAATTTTTTGACCTGGTGATATGGTTTGGATATTTTCTTCCCTCCAAATTTCATGTTGAAATCTGACCTTCAAAGTTAGAAGTGGGCCTAGTGGGTGGTGTTTGATTCATGAGGGTAGCTCCCTCATGAATGACTTGGTGTTGTTCTCATGATAAAAAGTGAGTTCTTGCTCTGAGTTCACATGAGATCTGGTTGTTTAAAAGAGTGTGGTACCCCTACCCCCCCCCACTTCCTCTTCCTCCTTCTCAGCATGTGATATGCCAGTTCACCCTTTGACTTCCACCATGATCATAAGCTTCTTGAGGCCCTCACTAGAAGCAGATGCTGGCACCATGCTTCTTGTACAGCCTACAGAACCATGAGCCAAAATAAACTTATTTTCTTTATAAATTACTCAGCCTCGGGTATTCCTTTATAGCAACACAAATGGACTAAAACAGAAAACTGTTACTGAGGAGTGGAGCATTGCTATAAATATACGTTCGGAACTGGATAATAGGCAGAGGTTGGAAGAGTTTGGAGACCTTGAAAGAAGACAGGAAGATAAGGGAAAATTTGAAACTTTTGAGTGGCTTCTTAAGTATTTGTGACCAAAATGCTGATAGAAATATGGATAGTGACATCCAAGCTGATGAAGTCTCAGATGGAAATGAGGAAATTGTTGGGAACTGGTATAAAGGTCACCTATGTTATGTCATAGCAAAGAACTTGACTGCATTGTGTCCATGCCCTAGGAATATGTGGAAGTTTGAACTTATGAGTGATGACTTAGAGTATCTGGCAGAAGAAATCTATAAGCAGAAAAACATTCAAAATGTGGCATGGCTTCTTCTAACAGCCTATCATCAGATAAAGGAGCAAAGAAATAACTTAAATTTGGAACTTATAATTGAAAGTGAAGCACAGCATAAAAGTTTAGAAAATTCACAGCCTGGCCATGTGATAGAGAAGGAAAGGTTATTTTTAGGAGACGAATTGAAATGAGATTCAAAGCCACCACCTGCTAGAGAGCTTTGCATGACTAAAATGGAGCCAAGCACTAATAGCCAAGAAATGGGAAAAAAGGCCTGAAAGGCCATCAGAAATCTTTGAGGCAGACCCTCCCATCATAGGCCCAGAGGTCTAGTGGAAAAGAATGGTTTCAGGGACCAGGCCCAGGCCCTTGCTGCCCTGTGCCACCTCAAGGACATAGCTCCCCACATGCCAGCCGCTCTGGCTTCAGCCTTAGCTTAAAGGGTCCCAAGTACAGCTTGGACTGTCACTTCAGAAGGCACCAACCCTAAGCTTTGGTGGCTTCCATGTGGTGTAAAGTCTGCAGCTGCACAGAATCCAAGAATGAAGGAAGCTTAGCAGCTTCCACCTAGATTTCAGAGGATGTGTGGGAAATCCTGGGTGCCCAAGCAGAAACCTGCTGCAGAGACAGAGGCCCTGCAGAGAGTCCCTACTAGGGCAATCCCAAGGAAAACTGTGGAGTCAGAGTCCGCACTGGAGCACTGCCTAGTGGAGCTGCGGGAATTGGGCCACTGCCCTCCAGACCCCTGAATGTTAGAGCAACTGGCAGCTTGTATCATTGGCCTCGACAGGCTACAGGCACTCAACTCCAACCTGTAAGGGCACCCACAGGAGCTGCATCATGCAAAGCCACAGAGGTAGAGTTGCCCAACGAGTTGCCTTGGGAGCCTGCCCAGCACAACAGTGTTCCCAGGTTGTGGGACATGGAGTCAAAGATTATTTTGGAGCTTTAAAGTTTTAAGTCTGCCCTGCTGGGTTTCAGACTTGTGTGGAACCTACTGCTCCTTTCTTTTGGCTGATTTCTCCCTTTTGGAATGGGAAAGTTTACCCAATGCCTATACCACCATTATATCTTGGAAGTAAATAACTTGTTTTTTTAATTTACAGGCTCATAGGAGTCTCAGATGGGACTTTGAACTTCGGACTTGGGACTTTTGAATGATGCTGGAATTAGTTAAGACTTTTGAGGACGATCAGGAAGTGATGATTGTATTTTGCAATGTGAGAAGAACAAGAGATGATGTGGAGGGACAGGAGTGGAATGATATGGCTTAGATATTTTCTCCCCTCCAAATCTCATGTTGAAATGTGACCTCCAGTGTTTAACATGGGCCTAGTAGATGTGTTTAGGTCATGGGGCAGATTCCTCATGAGGCTTGGTGCTGTCCTCGTGATAATGCGTGAGTTCCTGCTCTGAGTTCATGTGAGACGTGATTGTTTAAAATCACTCTCTCTTGCTTCCACTCGTCATGTGATATGCTAGTTCTCATGTTGCCTTCTGCCATGAATTTATAAGCTTCCTTAAGACCTCACCAGAAGCAGATGCTGGCACCACACTTCTTGTACAGCCCACAGAACCATAAGCCAAAATAAACCTCTTTTCTTTATAAATTACCCAGCTTCAGGTATTCCTTTATATGAATGCAAATGGACTAACACATCTGATAATAGCTGAAACATCTGCTTTTCTACCTTCCTTTTTAAGATCAATCAGATCTGGGTCTATCCTTTTGCTCTTAATATTTGTTTCTTTCAAGCATCAAGATTCCATTCTCTATTTCATGGCTATCTAATTTGTCTCATAAAATCTCTATGTTTCTCATAAGGAAATCTCTCTTTTCCTCCAAAGTAATCAACTAGTTTTTCTATTTTTTTATTTTTTTCCCACTTCTTCCGTTCTAATAAGAAAACTAAAACATGCCTCTTTCACACAACTGCAATTCCTCCTGGATATTTTACACAAACTCAATTCTTAAAATCCAGGTGCTCCAAACA
Source organism: Homo sapiens (assembly GCF_000001405.40). Lineage (NCBI taxonomy): Eukaryota > Metazoa > Chordata > Mammalia > Primates > Hominidae > Homo > Homo sapiens. The sequence continues at coordinate 69,697,308 of NC_000001.11, forward strand.
CAGCCTTTATTCTTTCTCTTCATAGCCTTTAAGTGTGCAATAATTTTAATAACTTGTTTGTTACCTTGTTCAATTCCACTGAAGATAGAGTAGATTCTCTGTATAGTAAGCACTTGCAACTACTTTTCATGTTTTTTAATCAGATTCACTACCCCGCTGTGGGCAAAACCATAATAAGTGTTCTCTGAGTTACAAGACCATGGACAGTGCTTGTGTGATAACACAGTTCAAAGATCAAGATCAAACTGCAGTAGCTCAGCCAGTATCTACTCAGGCCAGCAGGGGCTATACACTAATGATAAAATTGTCCCATCTGCCCCAAAACAACTATTTGCTTAGGAATAAAACTGCTATGCCCTACAATAAACCCCAAAGTCAAAATCTTGCATAGCTAAAGCTGACAGCCCATAGCCCCATGCCCTAGTTTCGCTAAAAATGTCTCCAGGTGTTATTTGAGTCACCAAAATCTACTTTGTGTCTATTTATGTTCATTAGTGATAAAACTGATATTGGAGGAGGTGGTTTAAGTGCATGGCTACAAGGATCTTCCTAAGACTTAGTGCATCTAGCCTCATCCCATGGGGCTTACTGCTGTACAACTGAGGCCTTGGAGGCAAAACCAAATATCCTCAGGTAGACTCCAGAAGAAAGATAGGGGAAGTGTCTGAGCTTTGCATCTGTGCTCACATCTTCAGACCCTGCCAATCAGACAATTCCTTAAACATTTGTGAGAAAGAAAAAATGGGGCAAGAGTTCAGGAAGTTTAGGGAAAGTGCCTCCTCTTGAAGCCTGAGAAGTGAGCAACAAGTCTGTCCTCTCCAACAATACTCCAGTGGCATTTATAACTATCCGCAAGCTCTGACAGAAGTTTTTGTGGACTCAGTCTGCCATGATATGACTGCACATCAATATCTAGAACACCCGTTCTGGATTAAAGTGCAATCGAGAGAGCCTCTCTTGATAAGACTTGCATATATTCAAGGCACATAATCTCATGAAGATTGCCCTATTTTAGCTTAATTTAGTTTCAACCCCCAGCACTTTCTTATACTGATGACAGTCTATCTGATATTTGACAAAAATGATGCATTGCCAAAACATGTAATCCAGAATGTCTTCCAAATCATGCCCCAGAAAGCAATGGCTCTCGCCAAAGCTACAATTAACTAAATGAATAAGAAGCTTCCCGTAATCTTATAGAGAAACCCATCTAGATCTCCTTTTATTATTTCTGCTTCCTAGGAATATCCAGAAAACTGAACAAAATTTCTAGTACCCTTCCTCACCCCTGCAACCAGGCTCATGGCATTCTCCTTCTATTCTAGACATCCCAGTATGTATAACTGAGAGTTTGAACAACCATATTTCATGACACAATTAAGATGTAACTGTATTTTCATTACCTTCTGTGCATTGAAAGGGGGATAGTCTTACCCTGCCTTGATATCATTAATTCATCATTAGGTAATAAACAGCCTTGTGATTGCTTTAATTCACATAACATGGTCTCAATGTTGTTGTTAGACTATCTCAGTCCAAATTATTGGTCAATGCTTTAGTCTTCATTCAAATTTTAGATTTTTCCTACCTCACTCACCTTCCCATCTGTAACTCTCTGTCTGTCTGACTTTAAGCTATAAAGTATAGTCAAACTTACTCCTATCCCTTTTGCCTTCTCTCTGACTTCTTTGCTACAATTTCAGAGCTCCTTGAGATTTATATATACTTTAAGTTCTAGGGTACACGTGCACAACGTGCGGTCTTGGTGGGACTGTAAACTAGTTCAACCATTGTGGAAGACAGTGTGGCGATGCCCCTTGAGATTTGAAAAAGGAGCTGGAGACACTTTGTGGAGAAAGGGAAGAACTTACCTGGCTAGAGGACTTGCCCATCTCTGAGAGAAAGTTCAAACTACTGTGAGCTATTATCATGGCTTTTCTTAAGAGAATCCCAACCGAGTGTGGTGGCTCACGCCTGTAATCCCAGCACTTTGGGAGGCTGAGGCAGGTGGATCACAAGGTCAATAGATCAAAACCATCCTGGCCAACATGGTGAAACCCCATCTCTACTAAAAGTACAAAAATTAGCTGGGTGTGGTGGTGCACACCTGTAATCCCAGCTACTCGGGAGGCTGAGGCAGGAGAATCACTTGAACCCGGGAGGCAGAGGTTGCAGTGAGCCAAGATTGTGCCACTGTACTCCACCTGGCGACAGAGCAAGACTCCATCTAAAAAAAAAGAGAGAGAATCCCTTCAGTGGCAGAACTTCTTTCCTGACCTCTGCAGATACATCTCTGTTTTGAATGTCCTTGCAACTCCTTCAGTAGCATCTAGAAATTCAATATGTGTCTCCAAGTTTTTGCCTGTGGGGTTCACGTGTCCCTCCAGGCAGCTTTACTGAACAGGGCCAAAGATGGCCCCACACAAGTTATCTCCTCTGTGTGGCCTACTTCTGATGGACAGGAAAACTCGCACATTTTTTGCTTTCAGCATGGAGATAAATCCTGATGCAGCCGGGTAGCCTCGCATAACCCACTGACATCCTGAATTACTTCTCTAAGTGTGAGCCAAGCACCAGTCTTTTATGTTTTCAACTGCAGGGAATTTATTTCCAGCTGGCTGAGGGGTCCTATGGAAGCCTTTCTCACTAAACTGAAGTAGTAGAGGGTAGCATCATTGACTTCACCCCTGGGTGGAAAATGTACTCATGTTATGGTAATAGCTTTTGGGGAGATGTTCCTTCACAAATTCACCTTCTTTTTCAACATTCTGATCCCTCTTAAATCAGTGATCTAGGGGTCCAAAAGGTACAGATCTAGGGATCCAAAAGGTGTGGACCTGAACTTAGCTAGCACAAAACAGTCAGGAGTGCTTTAGGTTGTAGATCCTGAAGCCAAACTGTCTGTGTTTGGGTGATAGTTTTATTACTTACTAGCTGTGTAACTCAGGCAAGTCACTTAATCTTCCTCGCCTCAATTTCCTCTTTGGAAGCAACAGTAAGTATTGAGTTAATGTATGTAAAGCATTTAGAACAATTCCTGGCATATAGCAAACACTATGTAACTATGTGCTATTAGTATTCCTTTGTAAATTCTTCATATATTGATCTGGCTTTCTTACTCCCTTTACTGAAATCTGTATTTTAACACCCTGTAATACTTATAGTATCCTGTTCTTCTACTGGCCTAGCAGAATCCCACATTAACCTTCATGTCTCCTTCCTCACAGCATAGGACAGGAATGTGAAAGATTTCCATCTACTGTGAGGCTGGCTTCGCTATTTTATAGAATAGCAATGCTAGCCCCAAAAGAAAATGACGTAGGAGCTTAGAAACACACCCAGCTACCTCAGTCAAGCCAAGGGGGAAGAGAAGACCAAGAGAGGAAGAAAGGAACAGGGATCCAGAAAATTACAGGGAACTTGGTTATAGGAGTTTGTGTTTATTCTCTCTCAGTTGCCACCATTAATATGACTCAGTTCCAAAGTTTGAAATTACTATGTCCCCATTTCAAGTTTATTTCTCAGCAGAGAAATAATGTGATCAGCCCAAGACCAGGGTCATGTTGTGCTGTATATCAAGGCCATTCCAGAAAGAAGAAATCCTTGCATGTCAGACAACCCGTCAGTAGTCCACTGTAGCTCTGAGCCCATGACTGTCCTGCGCCCCCTTGTGACTTCCTCACTGTTGTTAACCTTATGCATCCTTAATTTCAAACCTGCACCAGCCCTAGCTATGAAACTACAAGTGATTGCATTAGGTTCAAGATATTTTTTAAATTCTACTAAATAAAACTGTACTTTTGGCCTTAAAATTATGGATGAAAGGTACAGACCAAACCTCAATAAACTCCTCTCTAAATTGTCAAATCAGATGTTACATATAAGGTACTAAAAAGTACCCTAGAAGAACATATCAGTGAGAATACCAACACATTTCAGATGTTACAGGCTCATTGAAGTAAATGAGTATAAAAATTCCTACCCACCCCAAGCAGAAATACTATTCATAGAATATTGTGCTGTTCATTTTTCTTCACTAGACCCTTAGGTCGGTGGAAACACGGACTGTGATCTGTTGCATCCATGTGTATCACACACACTGAGCCCAGTGCCTGACACATGGAGATGCTCAATACATACTTGCTCATTGAATGACTGAATTAGTGAATAGGACAGAAGACATTTTCATTTAAAAAAAACCATACACTTCCATTTTTGTTCTCATCTCCCATATTAAATGAAAATGAAAGTCATTATAATGATAGCATTTTAAAGTCAGATATATTTATGAATTCGTGTTCCTTGACATTTACTGATGAACCCATTAATGACTAAAACTCTGTTTCACATGAGGCTGTTTTTATATGTGGAATATGTAAGTGTTCCTACGAAATAAAAGTCCTGAAAACAAGGAATGCATTCTAGCCTCTTTGGAAGATTCTCTGGTTTTATTAAATTATAGAAAACTTAACTATTTAATCAGAGCATGGTATTTTAGAAACAGTTGACTTAATTTACTTTCAAATTAGTGCACAGAGGATATTCATAACTAACAATTTAAAAATCATATCACTAGTGTTATACAAGCTAAAGGAAAGATTCCATTTTACGTATTTAAAATGCTTGAGCTGATGATGTGTCCATGCGGTATAAAGTTCAGAAAGTCTTTGCATTAATAATTTTTAAATTCTGTTTTTAAGTTATTTACATTTTTATAACAATATCCGAAAACAAGGCATTGTGTTTTATTTTCTGCAAGTTTGAACACCTTCTAGTCAAAAGCAAAACCAAATACTTCCTTTTTAATTTTAAAAGCAAAAATATATGTGACATTTGTGCCACTTGGCCACATGCCCAGAGAATGAATAATGTTACCTATCTGCTCGTGGGTCATCACACACCGTATTTAATCAAGAACATATTTTCACCTATAGTATTTGACATGTCACATGCCTATCAGTTTACTGTCAAGCAAGACAGAACACATCATCAAGTGCATCAGTTCTTACTGCTCTCTTTTGGAACACAGCACTGCAGATGACAGTAAACATGACAGCTTTTGTGATCAGCAACATTTTTGTGGCATCTTGTTATTAATAACACTTTGGCTAGACAGTATTTCCAGGGATAATCCATGGTAGAACAATCGTTCCTGCATCATTGACCGCAAAATGATTTTTAAGCCTTTTCTGAGGCTTTTTCTTTTCAGACTTTTTTTCTCTCTTTGGCCAAACTCTTAACTAACTTTGTTATAAAATTAATTGGGAAGGGGAAAAAATGGGAAAGAGACCATTAAGACTAACTTTTTAATTCTTGACATGGAGGCTATTCAGCAACTTTTAAGAGCCACAATGTGTATGGAAGTATCCAATCAAGAATAAGTGTGGTAGAGAGGGGGACCTAAAAGACAAATATAAATGATGGAAAAATGATTTTTGATTGAATATACAATTCTAGCACTTTGGGAGTTTATTATTAAGATGAATATATTTGATGAGATGTGAAATATAGATAGTATCCTAGGCACAAAATAATATTACTTAGTAGCCATAAGGACTTTTATGTGTTTTTTTCTTTAATCAATAGCAGTCAGGAAAGGGTGAGCAGTTTTATGACAAACCATTATTCAGATGTGTTTTCCTCTCCTAGGATCAATTGCAGTGTTTATTACATGGACGTAATTAAGCAAAGTTCAGCAGGTGACTTGTTCTCTGGCTCACTGATCTGTCTGCAGAGTCCAGCCTTTAATTACTTAATGTTTTTAGTTCTTATGAGACCCTAGAACAGTCTGAAGAGAAAACAGTAAAATTTTTATGAATTTTACCTCAAAATACATTTTACTTTTACATCAAACAATGAAAACACATTTCACTTTTACCTTGTCCTGACTTATTTTATCTTGAAAAATTTCACAGGACTGAGTCTCTCCTGGGATCATTTTCTTAAATTATAAGTAGTAAAATTAAATAGATTATTTACTTTCAACGATTGTTCAATATTTCAAGATAAAAATAAATAAATCTAGTTTTACTTCATTTCATAAAAGTAATACTATAGTTTTACATTTCTATGACAAATCTAAGTATTTTAGATAAATTTTTAGATTTCCTAGAACTAATTTACTCTAAGACTTAACAAAATTTTGTTTCATTTCATATTTGTATTCAGAGTAATGGGACCATGAGAATTGAGGAAGAACATTGTATTACACTTATACTGTACTAGCTGGCTAGTTTATCAAAGGAAATATTACTTTAGAGCTATTTATAATTTGTATTATTACATATCTATATATCTATTCTAAGAACAAATTTACATTTCTGATCTATAAATCAGAAATTAGGAAACCTTCAACAGTTACGTAATTGTTGCTTCAAACTCATAAGTTGTTTAAGTATGTTTGCCGGTGTGTGTACATATAGCATGTATATGATGTTTATATTCATATGTATTTGCTTCATTTTGAGGTTTGCCTTTTAATTAATAATCCTTCCTAGTTAAAGAATATCAACAAGAAAGTATGCATAGGTAGATAGTGCAGATAATAATGTAGTCAACTTTATCACTGTTCTTTATTTTATCTAAAGCGTTTACCATTTCTTTCAGAAACTTGAAAAAGGATTTGGTCAGCGTTCTTATTTATAGGTGTTCTAGGTTCCAAGATACATACATCAACAGATTAAATACCTTTAAGATTTTTGTAACAAAATTAATGTGCTTCTTTGTAACAGATAAAGAAAATTTATAAACTATACTTTTCCTTCATTGCCTGTCTTCCAGGAACCACAAATATACACTCGGTGCTAAGTCACAATAGTTATATAAGTTTTGTGATAAGTTATCTTTTTCTTTTCTTTTTTAACTTAAAACTAGTTTATAAAAGACTTTTTTCACTTAAAACTGGTTTTTGTCTATCTTTTATTATGTCTCTTCAATTTTTTGAAGGAGATAAAGGGAAATACAATTATAACAAAATAAAATGTCTGTTTGTGTGTACACTTTATTCATTAGTTCAGTAGGCAGTTACCGACCCCATGATATGTGCACAGTTTTTAATTAGGTGCTTTAGGTAGACTGAATCTCTTCTGATCTTAAGGAATAATCCATCCAGCTTCCATTTCCTCATCAATAAAATAAGAAATATATTACTACTTCCTAGTGACTTCCGTTGTAAGTTTTTAATGTTCTAGAATGGCTTTTGTATATAGACTATTTATGGCTATTCACAATTTTTAATTTTTATTTCATGAAAGTTAACATTTTTAACTGAAATCTAGTATTTTAGTATGTTTACAGGGAACATACTAAATTATTATTCTGTTTATAAATATGATCAGTTTTAATAATCACTTTATAACTTTATTATTTCCAGACTTTGCTAAAAAATCTTTTATTTTCTTCATAAATCTAATACATTGTATCTATTTATTAAGCACTTCAAGCCCAGATATAACAAGCAAAATATCCCCAAGGACTAGAACCACTCTTGTAAATCTAATCAATTATATGTATAAATATAGTAAATTTCAAATTATCTTAAGCATTACAATACTATTGTTAGCCAATGAAATAAAATTCTCCTACATATTTCAACTACAAATCAAAATTCAATAATTTATTTCTCATTTCATTTGTAATCACATGTCCTCATACCCTAAAACCAAATTCCTTTAAATATCATGAACACTTTAAAACACCATTTATAGATTTGTTCCTACATTAAACCCAAAATTATTTCTGTAAAATGTTTTCTTTATTATCTCAATTTCTAATTTGTAAACTTTCCCAAGATTAGAAAGACACTGTTACCCACTTCTTCTTACACAACCTTTACCATTGTAATAATAAGTAACCCCCAAAACTCAGTGTTTACAACAACAAAAGTTTATTTTTCACTACAATTACTTGGCTCCATATTGGCTAGGGCTCTGCTCTACCTTCTCTTTGTTCCAGAATTTAGAAAGAAAATGAAGCCCACAGCTGTCATTTGCCACAGAGGGAAGAGGACACTGGTAGAAGCACAGCAGAGCTCTTAAAGCTTCTCCTTGACTTGTATTCCATTAGCCAAAGTGAGTTGCATTGTCTAGCTAACATCATTGGGACAGGATGTGTAATCCTTCTGTTGAAGTCAAAATAAAACATAGAGATAGGCCTCTAAATTAAACATTTTCTTTGAGAGTCACAGACTTGCAATCCAGGGCATACACACAGATGAGGGTTATCTTCAGTATGTCTGAAGAACAAAGAAAAGGTTTAGAGTTTCATTAGAAAGAGAAGCATTTTGGAAGAAATCTTGACATTAGAGAAGAGTGGTAAGTGAGGATGGTAGGTAAAACTAGCTCTAGAGTCATGGCAGGTTGTTTCAGCAGCTACTACATAAAACTGGTATTTGGGTTACAGGAGGCCATTTCAGCAGCTGGGCTTGAGAAAAACTCAGTTATTGAAGATGGTCCTATATGCCCCAAGTGTTTTATCTCCCAGGCCCCTAGACTCTGATTTTGGACATGACCAGAATGACCTCTAATTTGTATGGTTAATTTTTAACACTCTCAGAGGTAGGAACATCCATACAGATGAGCTTGATAGTATAAAGAAATGCTTCAAATATTTTTGATCAATCAATGCATTCTACCACATCTTCCCTCCAAAAAATAAATGGTCATATCATTACCTGATTATTTCTTATATGAATTTGTAACCTAGCACACAGGATGCAACTCTCTTCTTTTCGTAATTTCTTTGCTGCCTGATTGAATGCTGAATTATTTTCATGCATTTGTCTGGCTCTATATTCAAGTTAATGGCCTTGTCTTGAGGCTTAAATTAAATAATGTAAATGAAAGCATCTACACAACCTTAGCAAATATAAGTAGGTGTGTATTATTTCTTGTTCTTTTGTTTCCAGCTTCAACTTTACTGATTCCATTTTGCTTACATAGTTCTGTGGTTCTTGTTCAGGTCCAACTATCTTGAGCAAAATCACTCACCTGTGCATGGATAAGAGGAATTTTGCTGTCCTGTCCTCAGTTACTCTTGAGTGTTCCAGTCATTTTGACCTCAGAAACAGAGTCTAGCATTCGTCACTTACACCCAACCTTCTGACAGCTCTAGAAATTATATTCTCATTCATGCAGCCTTTTCACATTGGACTTTTTAGAGACTAGATCACACTGTTTTCTCATAGTACACTAATTGTTGACAATCAACAACCTGCAAGTCATTTTCACACATGGCCTTAAGAAATATTTCATTCATCCTATAATGTATTTGTGTACTGTTTTTTTAAAGCTGCAAGACTAATCTAACTAGCCTGATTATAGAAGGATTTGAAAGTCAGGCAGAGGAGATAAGATTTAATGATGCAGGAAATAGACAATAATTGAGTTTCTGAGGCAGGAAGCAGGAACACAGCATGGTGTCATTATCACAGTGTGGTAGAGTATGGGATTTATGTCAGACTTTCCTGTATTGGAATTCTGTCCCCACCAGTATGGCCACAGCTTCCCACCCATTAACGAAGAACACACTACCTATGTCATAGAGATGTTTTTATTCATTGATTCAACAAATCTCAAGTGGTTCCTACTTTGTATTTGATGTTGATGAATAAAATAAATTCGGTTCTGGGCCTTATGATGCTCACAGTCTAATGACAAATACAGAAAATATACAAAAAAGGATAAAATTACCAGTAAACAATTGTGATAAGGAATCAGAAGGAAAGAAACAAGTTTTAGAGTGTGGTAGGATGTGTCTTTAAGTTGAGCAATAAGGGAATTAAGGGTCTAAAATGATGATGATTAATGAGGAATAAATAAAAAAAAGTTTCTGTAGCTGTTGAGAATCCTCCCATGTCCATTTGATCCTTGTTATTCCAGTCATGCCATGGCATGTAAGTGCAGACACTGTCATATCTGCCTGAGAACAGTCTTTCGGCTTGTGTTCAATGCAGCCTGTAAGTACAGAGGAGAGAATGCCCCCAGATGCAGCCTTCCATTATTGACAGATGGGAGTAGAAGAATAAATAGCCAACCCTCTTCATCCCTCTGCTGAGTCACCCTGAGGCATATTCCACAGTGTCTGTCAGCATCTGCCCGCAGAATAGAGCCTCAGTTACCCAGATTGGTAATCTGCTTTATTACGCGCCAATTTCTGGCTTCCTTTCCTTCCCTGTTTTATTTCTTTACTCTTTTATTGGTGTTTCCTGGTATTCCCTCCCAAAAAAATTATTTATTCTCAACTCTGTCTCAGGCAGTCTGAGGCAGGGGAAACCAACCTGATAAAGATATAATCTCTAATCACCTAAGATAATATCTAGAATAAAATATGCATTCAGTAAATGCTAATTTTCCTTTTCCTCACTCTTGTTTCCTTGCCCCCAAGTCAAACATGCATAATAAAAATGTTTTAGAAAGTCATCTCTAGACTAGATTATAGTCTTGGAGGTAGGTAAAGTTAGAGTCATAGAGACTTGTGAGGAAGCAGACTCTTGCTTTAGAACTAATGAAGTGCAATAAAGACCCAGACAGACCAAGGTGAGATGCAGATTTCATTTTGTTATAATGGTCAGTTTATGACTCCTCTGTATCCTTCACTGCACATTATATACTCTGCTGGACCACATGGTTCTAACGGGTGGTATAAGAGAGTACTCATTTTGCAAAGAAACCCTTGAGTATCCTTTATATACACTATTAGGCTAACAAAAGTAGGCTGAGAGATCAGTCATGTTCAGTAAAATTGGTCAGAGCTTCACCAGTCCTTCTGCCTTATCTGGCATTCTTAGAAGTACCAAGTGGAAATGTAGAAGGGCCTCTGATGTCCATCAGCACCCTTAAAGCCACAATATATACGTATGACACATAAAACCTAAGTAAAAACAATGTGTTTGCTATATATATAAGTGAATTTTCAAGTCAAGTATTTCTGTCTTCTCTTCCAATTCATTTCCCACCTTTAAGCTATCCTTCAACAGTCCCTATTGGATGTTGTAAAATTTAAAAATTAATTTCCTACCACAGTCTACAAGGACTGATCTCCCCCATCTATTACTGAAACCCCCTCCTTCATGCTTATTAGGCTTAGGCATACTGACCATCGAGTTCCTTAAAATATACCACATACCTTAGTGCCTTTTTGAACGTTGTTTCTTCTCCCAGAATTTTCTTCCTTTAGGTGTTCACTAAACTGTTACCACCTCATTGAGGTCTTTATCTGAGAAGATATGTCAGTTAGTTATTAGTGTAATAGTGTGTATATCAATAACAAAATTTCTGTGGTATGCAATTCTAAACATCTATTTAGGCCAAATGTGTGAGCATTGGTTGGGGGCCTGATGGTAAGGATAGACTTCACTCAGTGGTTGTGCTGATCTCATATGGGCATGTTCATGTCTGGAGGTCAGCTGATCTAAGGAGTCTCTGTTGGTACAACTCTGCTCCATATGTCGCTCATATTCCTCCTAGGGCCAGTGGGCTAACCTGGACAGGTTTCTTTTATAGCCTTTATGTGTGGCAGAAATGGAACAATGTGAGCAGAAACACACAAGACCTTTTAAGGGATAAATTGAGAACCGGTCCACCATTACTTCCACCTATTTTATTGACTAAAGCAAGTCACAAAGCCAAACCCAACCAACATCACTGGTATATTCCTTCTATGAAAATAAGGGAGGGATTAAATATTTCTGAAATATTATCCGATCTACTACAAAAAGGCTTCCCTGTTACTTCAGTTCAGAGCACTCAGATTGTTCCCTTCAAAGCAATTGTATTTTCTGTAACTATTTGATTAGTGTCTGTCTTGCTCATGAAACTTTGTATTAGACAGGAAAGAATAGACTATGCAGTGGTAAGAAATTAAACTCCAAAATTAAACTCCAAAATAACATAGTAAAGTTTATTTCTCCTTCATGTCACAGTTCAGTGCAGATTGAGAGGCTCTCATTTGTAGCTATGCCAACTGGGTATTTGCAGCTTACCAGGGAAACAGAGGATAAAAAGATCACAAGATTATATTTTTCCAGGGTCAGGCCTAGAAATATTTTTTATTATGTTCACCCATCATTAACCAAACTTTCAGTCACATGGCCACAGTCTAGCTGTAGTAGGAGGTGGGGGCAGAAAGAATCAATCTTCTTATGTACTAGGGGAGAAAAATTGGTGTGGTGAACACAGCTTTGTTTTTGTCAGGACTATGGGGTCTTTGATGACAAGAGTCTTCTCTAGCTCCATAGTGCCTAGCAAATGAAGCTCTTAATTTGTTCAATGAATGAATGAATGCTATCTGACTCGAAAGTCAGGTTTTACATCTATGAAAAGAGAATAAAGATACATGCCTAACAAACAGAATCATTATCAAGATTTAAGAAATACTCTGTATGATAGAGAGTTGTGTTATAGGAAAGACGGACTCTCTGGGGTCTCTTTCAGTTTATGACTTCACTTCTGTTTCAGAAATGCATAAGAAATATTGAGTATGAGTTATAGTTTGTAATAATGAAAAATTATTGATTTATGCAACTATGTGTGTGGATATAGGAAGCAAGATTTTTTAAGTTTATTTCTTATGATAATGGTAGGGAGAGGGAAAATTATTGATTTATACAACTATGTGTATGGATATATGAAGCAAGACTTTTTAAGTTTCATTTCTTATGATAATGGTAGGGATGATCTAGAAAAAAAGTCAACCGGTGTGGTGTCTTACACCTGTAATCTTAGCACTTTGGGAGGCCAAGGCAGGTGGATCATCAGGTCAGGAGATCAAGCCCACCCTGGCTAACACAGTGAAACCCCATATTTACTAAAAATACAAAAAAATTAGCCAGGTGTGGTGATGGGTGCTTGTAGTCCCAAGGTACTTGGGAGGCTGAGGCAGGAGAATCACTTGAACCCTGGAGGCGGAGGTTGCAGTGAGCCAAGATCACGCCACTGCTCCCCAGCCTGGGCGACATAGCAAGACTCCGTCTCAAAAAAAAAAAAAAAAAAAAGAAAGAAAGAAAAAATGTCAAGACAGGTTACCCAGAGCAGAGAAAGGCAGAAACAGTGGCCCAGTTTAGCTCAGAGTCTTCACTACAGCTTCAGGGCTTCCTTCTCTTGCCAGCAGCAACCAGCAAAGCAGTTTTGTACTGTCTATTCCTCCCTGTAGGGTTTACAGATTTGGAGATGGGTGCATGTTTAAAGGTAACAATGAAAGCTTTATAGATATCTACAGTCTCTGTTGTTTTCATTTTCTGTCTTTTTCTTACTGGGCGTAAGGCAAAACCATGTGCATGAAAGAAACTTGAAGAATCTTGGTTTTGTTTCCTGAAATTTAATTAAAATGTAGTAAAGTGGATAAAATGCTTGGAATGTCTAAGGCAGTGACCCATCAGAAGCCCTTTATGAACCCCTAGATTGTACTGAGTGGCCCTCTTCCGGATTCCTATGATACAATGTGTACACATCCAAAATAGCACTTCTCAGATTATATTTAAATCTGTTTTAGATCCCTGCCCCTCAAAGATAAGCTCTTCTGCAGGGCTTATTCATATTGCATCCCAGAGCCCACGCTGACTAGATAACCAGAACTTAGTCTCAGTTTGGAACTCTCTTTTCCCTTTTAGTTTATGAAGACATTTATATATAGACTTTAAAGACCTGCTTTTAAATTCAAGTGACTCCTAGGGCTTACTGCAAAAACGTTCTTTGCTCCACCCAGATCTCACAAGTCCAGTGTTGAGTGTATGGCCTCATGCTTTCTGGAAAGCCCTCCAACTCTGATTCTTACAGGCTGAGCAGCTGTAAGATGTAACAACAAATCCTAATGAATCTCTGAAGATATTGGTGACCTTCAAAATATAGTAAATTCTCCCTTGCTGAGGATGGCTGTGGTGTAATTTTTCCTAAAATGATAAACTGAGTGTGGCTGTTTAAAATTTCTGTCAAACCTGTAATTCAATCTAAATATGCTCTCTATCACAATTCTTGCTTGGAGTAATGCTTATCACATTTCTTTGATATGCAGTGCCTGTACTTCAACAGCTCCTAGCACATTGTTGGCACTAAATAATCAATGACTGTTAGTGATCATGTCACAAAACACTAGAGAACATTGACCATGAGACTGAGTTAAAGTTCTTAGCCAATTCAATATCTGTTTCAAAGCATCCTTGACATTTCAAATCCCCTGAATTTTTCATTTACTCAGTAATTGAAAACCTAAATCTAGAACTGTGGTATTATCACAAGTGCCCACTGCACCCTCTGGATTCAAAAGGTTAATTTTAATGAACTTTTAAACACTTGCATTAGGCAATTTCATTTAAATATAATTGAAATGTGAAGCTGGGTAGTTGTAGTGCTTGGCATTCAAATCTGGCCTATTTACCGTGTCGTCATGGCTCAAGTGCTGTAGCAACACTTGATAAATATTACAGTGTCTAGAGTCATAAACACTGATTATAAGCATAACTGAACAAGGTCTTTGCCCCTGGGAAACCATGTTTTAAGTAGGAGCTTATACCCTAAGGACTTTTAACCGTACTTTCCACTTTTGAGTAGCATGTCGGAGGCAGGTCAAACTGGAGTCAAATGCAGCTTGGGCCACAGAAAGATGTAGAAAGTTCAGGAAGTATATGCTGGTGAGAATTAGCATGTACCTAATATGCACAATGAGTGGGGATCTTGTGTCATCATTTACATATAATCAAAGCACTGCATGAGGAGATTGTATTTCAAAAATTTTGACTAAAAATCTAGAAACCAGAAATGCCACTAAAAAGAGTTATGGCCCAAAGCAAGGAGCCTTTCAAAAGGCTTTCAAACAATACTTTCATATATAAGTTATCTCATAAAGTCGTTTAAAATAGACTTTAACCTGGAGGCTCAGTCACTTAGCCAAGTGTACCCCCAACCAATGAGGACAGTGGTAGCACTGAGAAAAAGAACACACACACACACACACACACACACGTGCACACGCGCAAGTGCTTTAAAATTTAATTTTCTAAAGTATTTTATTTAGGAAAAAAAGGGCCAGGTGCAGTGGCTACGCCTGTAATCCCAGCACTCTGGGAGGCCGAGTCAGGCAGATCACCTGAGGTCAGGAGTTTGAGACCAGCCTGGCCAACATGGCGAAACCCTATCTCTACTAAAAATAGAAAAATTAGCCAGGCTTGGTGGTGGGCGCCTGTAATCCAAGCTATTCAGGAGGCAGAGGCAGGGAGAATTGCTTGAACCCAGGAGGCAGCGGTTGCAGTGAGCCAAGATTGCGCCATTGCACTCCAGCCTGGGCGACAGAGCGAGACTCCATCTCACAAAACAAACAAACCAACAACAAAAAAAGAACCATTAGGGCTAGTATTCTGGTCTCTATTATAACAAAAAGTTATTTTTATTTTTTCTTTCAGCATTAAAAATGTAGTATCACTAGTGACTAAGTGCATTTGGTCTCTTATAAAAGAATAATAAAATACTGTGTTTAAAAGTATGTGTGCTTTGCTGGCTTTATTTCTCTTGTATGAAGGAGTGGGGTGATGATGTCCATATTGCATTAGCCATGGAAAGGCCCAGTTTCAGCTATCTGCAAGGGAAAAAAGCAAGTCTATGCATACTTTAAATAATAACTGCTGCCTATGTAACACAAAGATCTGTTGTTCTAAATTTAGCCACATATTCCCTCCAGTGTATTGAATGGCGAATCTCCCTGAACGTGGAGGGGCACGTTTTGTTTTCAACAAAATGACAAGATTACAGACAACAAGAATGTAATAGTTTATTTTTAAGATATCACTTTCATGGATACTGTAATAATATATTTTAGGCATATAATTTTACCTATTGTAATAAAAAATAATAATAACAAATACCCTTCTTCTAAGGAGAGTGTTTGCTCTTAAGAAGAACTTATTTTAAGGCCAGGCACGGTGGTTCATACCTGTAATCCCAGCACTTTGGGGGGCCAAAGCAGGAGGCTCACTTGAGCCTAGGAGTTCCAGATCAGCCCAGGAAGCATAGTGAGACTTGGTCTCTCAAAAAAAAATGTATATATATATATTTAGACAGGTGTGGTGACCTTCACCTGTAACGTCATCTACTCTGGAGGCCGAGGTTGGAGGATCACTTGAGCCTGGGAGGTCAAGGCCACCAGTGAGCCGTGATTGTGCCACTGCACCCCAGCCTGGATGACAAAGCGAGACCCTGTCTCAAAAACAAACAGAAAGAGCTTATTTTACTTTTTTTTTTAACTATGAGATGTTAAGTTTGATGATTACTGCCATTTTACAGAAAAAGAAATTAAATTATCTGATTCCTGTTTTCTAAGTTGTAGGCCTATGCTACATCAAATGGTATTTAATCAGACTGTTGAATGACTGTTTCCTTAATGTCCAGCTACGTTTATGATCATTTCAGCTAAACCTTAGTTACTTGAATTACACAGAGTTGGAATCTGCATGGCATCTCGTATGAAACTGATCAAAGGGTTTGAATTCTGGGGAATAGAGATAATTGTTTAACATTAATACAGACTTTTGCCCCAAATAAGAATTTCCAGTCACAAAATGTTAATCACAATGGCTGAATGCTTGTGTATCAGACACCTAAGAGCTTTGCTTAGAAAATTTACCCAGTAATCTTGCTAATTCCTGGGACTCTCTTCTTCTCTCTCTTCTTATTCTGTCTCTTATTAATCCCAAAGCTAAACTCATCCAGCACCCTCATAACAAATATTTTGTACAATTTGCAAAAAGAGTCATATGCAGAGAGGTATGTTATATGGACTGGCCACAGCCTTACACCAATTCACCTTGCTCTCCAGGCCTTCCCTCTTCCCGGAATGAGATTCTCCTTCTGCCACTCCCAGACACACTCAACTCCCCTGAGTTACTTCTTCTACACCAAGAAGACATACTGAGGAATTTTTCCAACAATATCTAGTCTCCCTCTAGGAGGAAATTTCTTACCAACAAAAATTTGTCCAGTTTAATACATAAGCAATATTTATCAAATTTTTAAAAGTATGAAGTGCTTATACTCTACAATATACCATCCCTGAAATTTGTTGAAATGCAAAGATAAATCATGGAGGAAAGCAGCTTATGAAAAAGTTACAGTTTAGTCATTTGATGTGATGAAACATAAATAATTAGAATCTATTGAAAAGTGTTATGAGAGGAAATGAGAAATGGCAATTTAGAGGACAGTGAAATATTACATACAATTGAAAGGAATCAGGAAAGGCTTCCTGGAAGAGGAAGCTCATTATCTGGACTTTGATGAGAGTGATGAAACCACAGGCAGAAATCAGTAGAAGGGCAGTCCTAGCGGGAGGAACAACATGAACAAAGATGTAGTGGGGGCCAGGATGGGGAAGATTCCACCAGGTGTTTCAGTCTTCCTGGTTCATAAAGTATGTATTGAAAAACTGTTGTGGGTAAAGTCAGGGGCAGAGAATCACTTTTTAACTTGAATAGCAAGATTAGGAATCTGATGTTTTTTTTAATTCTGTGAACAGTGGCAAGACCAGGAGGAGCATTTTTATCACGTTAAAACCGTAATTTCTATCTCACTTTAATAATGCATTTATTATCAGGAAATTATGTCTGCCTAAACACATCATTTGCTAAGCTTTATTGATTCTAAGACTATGCATTTTGTGCAAATAAAGAATTGTATCAATTAAACATAATCTTCAGCATTTTATGTGCTATTTATATATTGTCACCCTAGCTTTTATTTTCCAAAATATCCTTTAGAGTTCCAAATTCAAGAAAAGATTTTAGTATCTAAGTCATACTGTGTAAAATTGGCTTGTTTAAGTAGATCTTGAAGTTTGCGGCCTTTTGATTTCCTTTTTTAAATTTTTAATAGAACCATTGCACTAAGTAATAATGATAATCAATCCTCCCTTTAAGACTTTTAAGACATACCAGGCCCTGCCTGACTCTGGACATGAACTAGGTACTTCTCTGTCCCACTGATAAATGGAAATTCTCTATAGTCCTGACTTATACATTTAATGATTATATAGAGAGTCTTGGGTTTTACAGATATAGATATAAAGGCTCTATATTGAGTATTCAAATTAATAAATTTAAAGTACATTTTCTTTTTTATTTCCCATATCAACCATGGGATAATAAATGTATAGAATACAAATTGCAACACCAAGTTAATATGTTTATCTCCATCAGTCTCATGCAAGTCACTTTTCTAAAATACACTTAATTACAAATGCATTTGGGGATTTTGGGCTCAATTATTTTAGTTATAATGTACTGAATACATTAAGCTATGACTATATGCACATATAATAACTAACCAATGTCAAAGCATTTAGTTTTGTTTTAATGATCACTGGGAATAACCAAATCAGTGTTTAAGGTATAATAGCAAGATATAAAATTTTATCGATTCAGAATAATTAGAGGAGAAGGCAACTCTAACCTGTATGAATCTAAATTATAAAATATTTTTTAAATTTTTTTATAAATTCAAGATAAGGAAAAATACATTTTACATTTATTATTTAGTTATTAGAAATAAAATAGGCAAGAAGGAAAAGCACTGTACAAAGCATTTTTGCTTATAGGTACCAAAATGTTGCATTAAGGAAGAATGTTGGACAACAGTATCATCCTTTTATTCCACCCTGGATTTATATACCCACAGCTCTAATGTTTAGTGGCAGTGTTTGTGGAATTATTCTTATAGGATATGTAACCTGACAATTAGGGAAGCATCTGATTAAGCTCTTCACATTCCATTCTTGCTTATTATGTTCATTTAGATGCATTTGTCAATTTATAATTGCAGTTAATTGAAATTTTTTAAATTTTCTTTTTTTTTAAAGGAGCCCGCTACATGAAAAAAAATGCAAGTCAAAGTGGTCACAACCTAGAAGTCTGCAGAGACAGGAATAACTAGCAAGTAGATACTATATTATTTTACTATGCTTAAGTATATAGAATTCAGTAGTGTTATGGGAATTTTACACTATAATTACCAAATAGTCTTGTAATTTTAAATTTATACTTAGCAGTTTTCATGTTAACCTATATCACATCACAAAAATAATTAGGAAGAAACATGGTAACTATGAATCTCAGGAAACTCATTTTCTGTCAGTAATAATGAAATTACTTTTATAAGAAACATGAATTTAAATACTGTATCCTCTCTCAGGTCTTATTTTTAGAGCCCCTAATTCAATACTTATTCCTTCATAAAAAGAGTAAATGAATCTGCCTATGTCTTGTGACATATTTATCCACTATGTAAATGCATTGATTCCTCTCATAAGCCATTCATAAATATTATTTTATAATAATGCTTCTAAGAAATAAAGTGAAATTATATTCTTTTTTGAAGGTTACATTTCAAAAATTCAAGGTGATATCAAATGAAATCCAGGCACAAAGCGGGAGCTTTGCATTTATCAGTATTTCCTGACATTTTCAAGAAATGAAATAGGAGGTTCAATGATGAAAGCATGCAATGTTTAGATAAATGGATAAAAAATGAACTTAAGAATGTGGAAAGAGTAAATAAGATTATTTGAATAGCAAGAAGAATCTTTGAAAATCTCATTGCTCCATATTAAAGTGGTCAGAGTTGATTCTTTATCCACAAATGTATCTCGAAAATTGTAATAAAATCAGAAAATACTAAAGCTAAAAGGATTTTAGAAAGTATTTACATAAATATTTCATTGGTATGGGGAAGGGAACTAAGTTTGCAAATAAAAACTGATTTTACATATATATCTACATATATACATATATACATACTTTTTTTTCAAGATAGAACTTAATACAGCTAGTTCTTAATTTAATAGGACTTATTCAATAGTAATGATTAAAATATACATGCAAACAAAAATGTATACAAAATGATGGTAGTATCCATAATCAAAATTTTATGCATAAATGTTTTATATTTAAAATTTTATAGTAGTAGATATTTCTATAACCACAGAAAATGTGTAAAATTGTGTTTCAATTGCTTAGCAGTACAGATTCAAAAAAAATTATATAAACCAACAGACATTTCCTCCTTTTCAATCTTCTTTGATGGCTTTATGAATGACAGGTCATGAATGATAAATACTTCACAGATAAATCTATCATATATTTATACAATTGGAACCACACATTTTGATAAGAAGAATACTAAGCAAGGACTCAATAGAGATGAAAAACATTTTTATAATGAAAATTATTAGTCCTTAGTGTATTTGATTTATAAAATTAGACTCTTCATCTTAGATTGCCATAAAGTGGCACACGCTTATCCTATGAGGGGGTGGAAAGGCAAGCACCTTCAAAATTCAAAGTTCAGTTGGGCCAACTTCATATTGAGGGAGGGAAAATTGTAAAACTGTGTTTATAGATACCTTGATAATAGTCAATATTAGCTTTAGCTGAGAAGGAACTCTAGAAGGCCATAATTTAAAAGATATTGGAACATGAAAAAAAGAAAAAAAGAAAGAAAGAAAGAAAGAAAGAAAGAAAGAAAGAAAGAAAGAAAGAAAGAAAGAAAGAAAGAAAGAAAAAAGAAAGAAAGGAAAGAAAGAAAGAAAGAAAGAAAGAGAGAAAAAGAGGAGGGAGGGAAGGAGGGAGAGAAAGAGAGAAAAAAAGAAAAGAAAGAAAGAAAGAAAGAAAGAAAGAAGAAAAAGAAAGAAAGAGAAAGAAAGAGGAGGGAGAGAAAGAAAGAAAAGAGAAGCAGAGACTAGAAAGAAAAAGAAGAAAGGAGAGGGAGAAAGAAATGAAGAAATAAGAGAAAGAGAAGAGAGAGAAAAAGAAAGAGAAGAAAGAGAGAAAAAGAAAGAAAGAAAGAAAAGAAAGAAAGAGAGAGAAAGAAAGAAAGAAAGAAAGAAAGAAAGAAGAAAAGAAAAGAAAGAGAGAGAGAAAGAAACATGGTAGCAATATGAGACTAGACTGCAGGGAGTTTGGTGCTGGGAAACAGGGAAATCAATGGCTTGTTGTAAGCCAGTCTCAGGAATGTGGTAGAGGTAGAGAAGAGAAGAAGAACTTGATTTGAAAGGAATATCTTCTTTGCCAGATTCCACAGCAACTTCGTTTGTGATCTCATTATTTGAGACCTGGAACACTAAAAGAATAACAGTTAACTTCAATAGAGGATATTAAAACGGTAACTGTAGCTTGGAACATAACATTCGTATGTCTCCTGCATGGCAAAATGGGGGATGATCACAGGAATAATGAAAACACAGAACTGGAGCTCTGGGATTGGATAAAGCATGGGTTGATCTATTTGAATAGAGATGCTGATAGAAGCTGCCAGAATTTTATCAGGCAAAAAAACATGTACTGAGTGAAAAGGAAACATTGCCACAGATAGAACTTTTAGGATCATCAATATTCAGTCATCAAAATTCTGTTCGAAGAAAGAGGAATTAGCCACAGAAACTGATAGAAATAAGAGAAAAACTGACTTCCAGTGTCTGTTTTGTTAAAAGAAACCAAAGAAGCCAAGAGATTCAAAGAGGGCAACAGTGTTAAATGCTCCTGAAAATTCTAGGAGAATGATTGAGGGAAAAAAAGCTTTTGGATATTGCAATTAGTCAGTAATTGGGAGCCCCAACAGAGCTAATCCAACTTTCGATGCCAGATGGTTTTCGAATCCTCTTCAACAGCATCTTTATTCTTCATCTCTTTCCTATATCAATCCCAATGATTCATTTATGTTTTTCAGACTTATCTATGGGTAGTTTTATTTTTGTAAGTCAGATTTACTTATTCTCAGAATATCATTCAGGATATCGTTATTATAAACACTTTAAGTCTCCCCATAATTTGAATAGCAAATTCAATTTAAAGTATGTTAGTTAAGGAAGTGTTATTCTTGCGTAATCCCATCAAATATGCATGACTTATTCCATCTAATAATCGCAAAAGTAATTTCCCACATTAGAGTGACAAATATTCTATTTGCCTCAGAAATGATAATTTCAGTCAGTATTTGGCATAGACTAGGTACTCATAAGTAATTATTCAATGAATAAATGAATGAATGAATGAAAGAATGAATCAGTTCTTTCCTCTCTTTGGATCATTCCCACATTCTTTTTGTTTTTAAGTACTCCTATATCATCTACTTGCAGAAAATACACTCAGAATTATCTAACTATTTTCTAATCCTTAAATAAACAAATAGGACTAAGAAGAAAATGAGATTACATAACACTCTCATGTGCAATTTTCCACCTGATTCTCATTAGCTCTATTTTTATTTTTCTTGACCTAGCATTATAGACTTAATTTTCATAATTGTAATCAGAGCATAACAACCACTAAATCTTTTTAAACTGTTTTTATTTAGAAAGATTACTCTTAAATCTTTGTATTGCATTATTTCTTTTTCTGTCTACAGTAAAAAATGGCTTTATTGTTTTATTTCAGGTGATATAAATAATTCATGTATATTGTAAAAACCTCAAACAATACAAAAAAGTATGATGAAGAATGTAAAAATCGCTTTAAAAACCACTCAAAAGATAACCACAATTAACATTTACATTATTTATGGATTGATCACTTTATCATTATAAAATGTTACTTTTTATCTCTAATAATGCCTTTTGCTTTAAAATCTACTCTTTCTGTTTTTAGCACAAACACTGCCAACTTACATTTGGTTAATATTTGCATGGCTTTTCTTTGTGCACCCTTCTTTCAACCTTCTGGTTCTTATATTTACAATCTCTTGTAAGCATCTTATAGTAGCCTTCATTTAAAAAACCTAATCTGACAGTATTGATATTTACTTGGGTTACGTAGTCCATTTACATTTATATTTATTAAAATAAACTTGGGTTTATATCTATCATGTTACTATTTATTTTCTCTTTAACTCACCTACTTATATTTTTTTCTCTCCTTTATTAATTTCTTTTGGATTTTGGAAATAAACAGATACTTCTTGTTATTCCATTTTTAATTTGTTAATTTATTAGATATGCATTCTTATACTGTTCTTATAGTGGTTACTCTAGAGATTGCACATTCATCTTCAACTTTTACAGTCTAACATGAATAATTACTACTAGCAATTCCCTGATATTGCTAGAATCTTAGAAAATTTTAACTCCATCTTGTGCCATTATGAAGACATTTTTCACAGTTTAAGGATTACTTAGAACCTATTTCTATTCGTGTTTATATAGTCAATATCCATTTATATTTACCTGCACATTTACTTTTCCATTGTCATTCATTTCTTTTGCATATCTGTGTTTCCATCTGAAAATATTCTCCTTGTGTCTGAAGGAGTCATTTTAGGATTTCTTTTAGTGCTGGTATCCTGGAAACTTTCTGTGTTTATTTCTCTGGAAATTCTTTATTGTATCTATGTTTCTAAACCTTATTTTTGCTGGTTATAGAATTTCTTTCAGCACCAAAGATTACATTCCATTGTCTTCTAGCTTTCATCCTCTCTGTTAAGAACAGTCATTAATCTTATTGTTGCTCCTTTGATGCTTATTGGTTTTATTGTTTAAATAATGTTTAAATATTTTTAAATATTTTTACTTATGATAAAATACTCATAACATAAAAGTTACCATCTAACCACTTTTAAGTGTACAGTTCAGTGACATTAACTGCATTCAGATTGTTTTGCAACCATCACCACCATCCATCTCCAGAACTCTTCAAAATAATCATGGAAATCTTTATATGTCAACTAGTACAGACTAATGTATCCTTTCTTTTCTTTTACTCAGAATTCTTTTTACTTGAAAAAACATAGACTTTATTTTTACAGCAGTGTTAGATTAATTGCAAAACTTGAGCAGAAAGTACAGAGCATTCCCATTCACCATCTATCCCCACACATTTACAGGCTCCCCCACTACCGACATCCCACACAAGAGTGTTATATTTGTTATAATCGATGAACCTGCATTACCATATAGTTATTACTCAAAGTCTGTAGTTTACATTAGGTTTTACTCCTGGTGTTGTATATTCTATGGGTTTGGACAAATGTATAATGACTTATATCCACAATTATAGTATAATACGGAATAGTTTCACTGCCCTAAAACTCCTCTGTGCTCCATCCTCCCTAATCTCTGCCAACCACTGATTTTTTTTCTGTCTCCATAATTTTGTCATCTCCAGAATGTCATATAATTGGAATGAAACAGTGTGTAGTTTTTTCAGATTGGCCTTTTTCACTTAGTAATACGCATTTAGGTTTTCTTCATGTCCTTTCATTGACTGATAGCTAATTTCTCTTTAGCACTGAATAATATGCCATTATATAATATATCACAATTTATTTATTCATTCATAAAGTACTCTTTTTAATGGCCACATTCGATTTTATATCTGGATAATTTTCATTAAAAATC
The DNA here is from genome assembly GCF_000001405.40 of Homo sapiens. NCBI lineage: Eukaryota > Metazoa > Chordata > Mammalia > Primates > Hominidae > Homo > Homo sapiens. The sequence goes on from NC_000001.11 coordinate 69,721,668, forward strand.
TCTTAATTAGGGATAATTTACTATCCTGTTTTCAATTTTTTGCCATGTAAAATAATGGTATGTGAGCCAAATTGAATCTATCATTATTTACTTACATTTCTCAAAGGATATATACATCCTTAGGTACAGACTTGTTGAGAAACAAGTACTTTAAGAAAATTATTATTTTTAAAAGTATTTTATTGTGTGAAAATATACATAAAATACAATTTACCATTTAACCTTTTTTTAAGTGTATACTTCAGTGGCATTAAGTACATTCACACTGTCATGCAAAAAAATCATCTTTAATATCAATGGGTAACAGCTCATGTGATTCAAAAATCAAAAGCTTCTAAATGATAAACTGAAAATAGTCTCTCCCAACTCTATCCCTAGCCAATTTCCCTCTCTAGAGAGAATTAACTGGCATTATCAGCTTCTTATATAAATTTCCAGAAATAGTTTTCACATATGTAAGCCTATGTACACATATATATATATATATTTTCTCCTTTTCCATAGAAATTGTAGCACGTTTAGACACTGTTCAATGACTTTTTTACTTAATAGAAAATACTAGAGATAATTTCATATATGCTCACAGAAAAACTTTCTAATTTTATTTTTTGACAGCTCCTTACTGTCGTACATTGTATTGATTTATTTTGCAACCAGTCTTTTGCTATCATGAACATAGCTGCTCTAAATGAGCATATGCAAGACTGTTTTGCATCTATGTAAGCATATCTAGAAGAAATAAAATTGCTATGTACAATGGTATGCCTTTTTGTAATTTTGCTAGATTTTATAATGTTGCCTTGCATACAGCTTCTTCCAAATTTTTGCCAGTATCCATAATGTAGTGAATAAGACTTTCTAAATTTAATAGATGGATAATTCACTCAAAAGCTGTGATGGTTTACATTTCCACAGGATTATATATTTAATATCGTTTGCCCACATTGCTACCCAGAAGTTGGGTGTGATCACTTTTCTCATTTTTCTCGTTCTGCCAGGCATAAAGTAATGTCTGAATTACTTCAAGTTGCGTTTTTCTATTAGACAGATTCAGCATTGTTTCATATGTGTATTAGTCATATACTCTTCTATAAATTGTATATTGATATTCTTTGACTTTTTTTATTGTTGGTTTTTTCTTATCGCTTTGTAACTACTCTTTGTATGCAATATATACCATATATGGTATACACCATACTGTTTGTATGTGATATATACACATATGTACACTCTTTGTATGTAATATATATGCATTTTCTTTCAAATGCATTGCAAATATTTTCCCCAGCTTAAAATTTGATTTTTATGTTAGTTTTTTGCCATTTTTATGTTAGTTTTTACCATCATTTTTAAAGGTATATGAGGTAAAAGACATCTTTTGTTTTTGTAATGCAATGAACTATTTAATTCTATTATATGTGGTTCTTCTATTTATAATTTCTATTGGTATTTAATTCTCTCGAAGCAGTTAGGTAATTCTTATAGATATTAATGACAGGATGTCTGTCTTCCTAAATTATTTAATTATTTTTATTTTGACCCACCTATGATTGTGAAAAAGTTCACTTTTACAATTAGGGAACTTTTAACATCTGCTAGGAAATGCATAGATGACTTCATACGTTTTTTATATGGCTATCCTGAAAAAGTCATTTCCTAGATAACAGATGTCAATAAACGGAAAGCAGCACACCTTCATTTGAGACTTAACATATTAAGAGAAAAAATTGTCTCAAAATACCAAAAATGGGAAAGGCATACAGCTGATTTTTTTATCATTCTGACAGTAAATAATTTGCCAGAAGTCCTTCCGACTTCTTTCTTGTTTTCCTTTGTGTTTTACTGGACAGTTGTCAGAAATTATTAATAAGAGAATTTGGAAATTAAAACCTTCATTTTCATGACTATTCATTTCATATGATATTAGAGACTCTTCTATTTTTTACAAGTTACAGTGGTAGAAAAATATCTTAGTCCTTTTGGGTTGTTATAACAAAATGCCATAGACTGAGTGACTTATAAACAATCAGCGTTTATTTCTTACAGTTCTGGAGGCTGAGAAGTTCAAGATCAAAGTGCCAGCAGATTCAGTGTCTAATGAGGTCCCCTTCTTCATCGGCAGCTGTGCTCTCACTGTAACCTCACATGGTAGAAGGAGCAAGAGAGTCTCTGGGGTCGTTTTTATATGGACATTAATCCCATTTTTGAGAGTTCTGCTGTCATGAATTCAATATCTCCCAAAGGCCCCTTCTCCTAATACTTTACTTTGGAGGTTAAAATTTCAACATATAAATTTTGGAGATGAAAACATTCCATTCACTGCAAGTAGGACTCAAGGCTAGCAAAGACACAGAAGTCAAGGAAGCAGTGGTTAAAACCACATGTTCTGGAGTTGAATTGTCTAGTTTAAAATCTAGCACTATCTTCTATGACTGTTTAAAATTGAGCACATTCCTTCATTTTTCATTGCTTCTTTTTCCTCATCTGTGAAAAAAATGGATATAATTGTACTCATCTCTTAATATTGTCTAAGTGTTGGGAATAAAGCAGCAAACAAAACTGATAAAACTTGTGCCTTTCAGGAGAATCGCTTGAACCCAGCAGGCGGAGGTTGCAGTGAACCAAGATCACACCACTGCACTCCAGACTGGGCGACAGAACGAGACTCCATCTCAAAAAACACATGAAAACCTATGTCTTTGTGAATGAGTTATTTGGGGCTATTCATATGGAATATAAATGTGACAGCAGTTTGAGAGATGGATTAGAATAGCAAGCAACAGGACACATAGCACATAACATGCAATAAACATTGCTTATGATAATTATTTGAGAATCAAGAAATATAAATCAAATTGGACAAATTTATTTTTGAAAAGAAGTTCTTGCTCACAATTTGTAAAGAAGAATAAAATATGATAAATTATACAAAAAACTGACAAATGTATGCTTTTTTAACAGTAGGATTTATTTATGCAACTAATGTTTATTGGGCATCTGTTACCTGCTGAGTACTATTCTAGGTGCTGGAACTCTAGCAGTAAATGAGATGAGAAGTCACAGAGACTTATACTTGTGGGTGGTAGAGAAACTCCAGAAAATTATACAATTTTGTGGTTATTGAATTTTTTTAAATAAAATCATTTCACTGTACTATAGGAACTTGCTATTTTAGAATAAATCCTTTTCAACTGTTACTATAAATAATTAGACATTTATTTGGTTCATATATTTAGTTTTTTTAAAGTGTGATAAGCTTATACTATTACAAATACAGTTACCCTTGAACAACATAAGGGTTTGGGGCACCAATCCTCCCAAGCAATCACAAAACCAAATATAACTTTTGACTCCACAAAAGCTTAACTACTAATACCCGCTGTTTACTGGACAATTAATATATATACATGTTTTATATATATATGTATATTACAGAGTATATTAGACACTGTATTCTTATGATATGGCCAGAAAAAAGACAATGTTATTTAAAAAATCGTAAAGAAGAGAAAAATATATATACTGTTCATTAAGTCAAAGTGGATCATCATAAAGGTCTTCATCCTTGTCTTCACATTGAGTAGGGGGAGGAGGAGGAAGAGAAGAGGTTGCTCTTTCCATCTTGGAGGTGGCAAAGGTGGAAGAAAATCCACGTTTAAGTGGGCCCGTACAATTCAAACCTGTGTTGTTCAAGGGTCAACTGTACTAACTCCAAACAACTTCCAAGTTCATATCCTACTGAAAGTATATCAGTCATTCTGTTAGGAAGCCAAAGAGAAATTTTAAATAATATAATATTGTCCATGAAGAATAACCTAAAATTGAAAACCAATTGTTACAGGTTAGAGGTGGCATTTATATGGGCAGAAATTGAAAATCTAAAGAATGAAATTGATGACAAGATTCTTCAGATTCTGTATAGGTACGAAATGCCAACATACACTCAAGGTGCCTAAACGTTTTTAATATGATTAGAGGAAGTTATTGGAACTCTGGGGTGAGCCAGAAATAGTCAACACAGGAAAGAGAGATTGGAGGCAAGAAGGGAACTTGTCAAACCGTGTTTGTCTCTCAAGGCCATGATGGCCAGAGAGAGACTACAACCAGCTTCACACTCCAGGCTCCTGTCCAGACCTGTGCTGCTCTGGGGAGCCCCACATGACCCAGCAGCTTGGTTTCTGTGCCCTGAGTGTTCCGATACCAGGAAATCAAGTTTTGATGCTGCCATGTCTGTTTGACTATATTTCTAAATAATCTGTGCTGAACAAAGGGCCTGGACCCTACCTGTAGCCTAGACAGCACTCTCTAGCTGGAATTGACTAACTGAGTTTAGTTGTTTAAACTAAAGCTATAACCATTAACCTAGAGAAAGATGGAACAGCAGAAGAGAGTAAAATTCACATTTATCAAGTCATTTCAATGTAGTCAAAATACATTCATACACACATTTTCTTACTTAGCCTTCATATTATCTGTATAAGTAATATGAGAAACTGAGATGCAGAGAAGTTACTTAAGTGGCTTTTTGACAGTTACCCTGGTTACTAAAGGGAAAACCATTGCAGTCTATTTCTATATGACTTGAAGGGCCATTCTATTTCTACTGTATTGCCAGGAGGAAAGAGTTTCCTTGAAAGAAATTGGATGAAGAAGCTATCATAAAATTTTATCACCATAATAAACCTCTATAGAGTTATAGGCTTATTAGATAGAAATGTAAAGATTCCTTAAAACAGCAACAATGGAACAATGACAATAGTTGTATTGATGTCATTAAATATGGCACCACTGGTCATAGTGTAAAGGATGGATTGAGGGAGATTATGGAAGAAGGTAGAGAGAATGGCTACCAGGAACAGTCATTGGATATCCAGGTAGCAATACTATGTGGGTAAGTGTGTTTCTGAAATGAAGAACAGAGATCTGGGCTAAAGATGTGGATTCAGGAGATTTTACCATGAAGATCGTAACTAAAGCCAAGGGTATAAATGAGGTTGACCAAGAAAACCAAGAAGCAAGGTAAGAAGAGAATAGAGAGCAAAACTTGCCTTTAAATTTCTTTAAAATTTGAAAATGTAAGAGGGCCAGAGTCAATTATGTCCACAGAAGAAAAAAAAAAGAATACCAAGGAAAAAATAACAGAATTAAATAAAAAACTGCAAAGAAAAGAAAGTCTGAGTTCATAGAATCTGGTGGTTAAGATATTTGGGGACCTGCAGGAGAACTTTATAACCATGTAGGTTAAGCTACTGACTGTATCTTAGGTCAGATTCCTTGGAAACAGACTCCAAGGTAAAAATTTGTGTGCAGGAGAATTATTGGGTGGTTCTGGGTAGAGAGAGAATTTGAACTACAGTGAGGTTGCAACACATGCCTCAATGGAACCTAAGGGTAGCACTGGAGCTGGGAAAGCCCTTCAGTATTGTGCCAAAATGAGGCAAGGCAGCTGGGCTTTCAAACCAGCCTCAGTCATTGGAGGGATGTATCCTGGATGAGGTAATTCCCTTCAGTCAAGGGCAGGGCCCAGAGAGGGATGCACTGGTGAGCCATTAGTGGCCAACCTTCTGGCAGCTGGGAGAATGAATGATTCCATCCTGCAAGGGATCTGGGATGGTCAGCACCTCACAGCTTCCCAGGAGAGAATGAAGAAAATGAATGTGAAGAATGCTTTGCTGTAAGGGGTTTTTATAATTATAGCCACTAATTCTCTCTTCCAAATTTTCCCCGCCATCATCTTTTTGCCAATCTGACTCCTTTACTGACAGATTTTCTTCTTAGATAGCTACTTCTTTTACTTATATGTCCTGCAATTAAGTAGCTGTCTTTTCTTTCACTGTTTCACTGAGTTGTCACTAGTACCATAGGGGACAATACAAGTCTAAGTGGATTCCTATAGCCACTCCCATTAATACTTATGTGTAAAATTACCATACTTTACAGAATTGCTTTTTCTAGATCAATTTTCATTAGAAAGGAGGCTTTCTGTGTGAGCTCTAAGTTGAGGAATTTAGAAACTATAAACCAAGACTTGATGTATTATTTGAAGGCTCAGAGTGTATTGAAGAGTCTGGTTTTACATATTTTCTGTGGGACTTTACATTTCCTTAGAAGAAGACACTAAATAAATAGGCTACAATTATAACTACGAAATCTTACCATAATCTTATGTTCATAAATATAGAAAAAGATTAAAAGCTGTTAATCATTTTGGCAATTATTAATTTATGGAAGCTCTGAGTGTGAGGATGGTGTAAAAATAGTTCCCAGAAGGGATTTGAATCAACATGAACTTATATCCTCGTGTCAACCATTTTTATCACCCTGTGTCTTTCCATTCCCTGCAGGTGCTTAATTCAATATCCAGCTGTCTCTGGCAGTCACCTGAGATGTGTATTTACTGGCAGTTTTATTACTTTTTTCAGAATATATAGTACCATAGATTTATTTCTCTTTTTAATGTATTGATAGAATAGTTTAATATTTAAGATGTATTAGTGACAGGTTTTCTGGAAAGTATAAATTTCTAGTCTATTAAATTCGATTTAACCAAAAACAACCCCCACTCACACTCTCCCTATTAAAAAAATGGGAATCATGTAACATCTTTACTTAGATCTAACTAGAAACTGTTTGAAATGGGCAGATTTGTTCTTGCTTTGAAAATACCATATAAACAAAAAAAAAGTCAGTCCCATCTGTCAAATTGCCTGGAGAATGCATTTAACAAGAAATGAAGCTACATTAAAGGCCATAAAATATGCAGCAAGGGAAGGAAGGATAAAGCTATCCTGCAGTTCATTGGCTTCACCTACTGTGCAGTGTACTCCTTGTGAACAAGACAGATTAGATAGTTATTGCTACATCAAAATATCTGCCATTGTGGAGAGTAAGAGAACTAGAAAAAGAAAAAGGGACTCCAAATCCCAGCTCTTTCCATGATCATGAGCCAAAGAAATGTGAAAATTAATTACATTTTCTTTCATTTTATGAAATTGGATCAACTTTTCCTAATAGAGAATAGAACTTATTTGCAATAAAGGAAGCTTCAACTTCATTCATACTGTTACCCATTTGGCAATTGAAAGAAGTGAACTTAAAGTTTTGCAGCTGAGCCTAAAGGAAAAGGAATAAATTGCTGAAGAGCATGCACATAAGCTGGATAATGGCAATAGTATTGTATTAATCCATTCTCACACTGCTAATGAAGACATACCTGAGACTGGGTAATTTATAAAGGAAAGAACTTTAATTAACTCACAATTCAGCATGGCTGAGGAGGCCTCAGAAAACTTACAATCATGGCAGAAGGGGAAGTAAACATGTCCTTCTACACATGGCAGCAGCAAGGGGAAGTGCTGAGCGAAAGGCAGGGAAAGCCCCTTATAAAACCATCAGATCTCATGAAAACTCACTCACTATCACAAGAGCAGCACAAGGGGGTAACCGCCCTCATGATTCCATTACCTCCCACTAGGTCCCTTCCAAAACATGTGGGGATTATGGGAACTAAAATTCAATATGAGATTTGGGTGGGGACACAGCCAAACCATATCATTCTACCCTGGCCTCTTCCAAATCTCGTGTCCTCACAATTCAAAACACAATCATGTCTTTCCAGCAGTCCCCCAAGGTCTTCACTTATTCCAGCATTATCTCAGAAGTCCTAGTCCAAAGTCTAATCTGAGACAAGGCAAGTCCCTTATATCTGTGAGCCTGTAAAATCAAAAGCAAGTTAGTTACCTCCTAGATACAATGGGGGTACAGGTATTATGTAAATATACCCATTCCAAATGGGAGAAGTTGGCCAAAACAAAGGAGCCACAGGCCCCATGCAAGTCCAAAATCAAGCAGGGATGTCAAATCTTAAAGCTTCAAAATTATCTTCTTTGACTCTATGTCTCACATCTAGGTCAGGCTGATGATGCAAGAGATAGGCTCCCATAGTCTTTGGCAGCCCTGCCCCTGTGGCTTTGCAGGTACAGCCCCCCTCCAGGCTGCTTTTATGGGCTGGCATTCGGTGCCTGTGGCTTTTCCAGGCACATGGTACAAGCTATAAGTGGATCTACTGTTCTGGGGTCTGGAGGACAGTGGCCCACTTCTCACAGCTCCTCTAGGAAGTGCCCCAGCAGAGACTCTGTGTGGGGGTTCCAAGCCCTCATTTCCCTTCTGTACTGCCCTAGCAGAAGTTCTCCATGAGGGCTCTGCCCCTGCAGCACAGTTCTTCCTGGTCATCCAGGCCTTTTCAGACATCCTCTGAAATCTAAGCGGAGGTTCCCAAACCTCAATTCTTGACTTCTAGGCACCTGCAGGCTCAACACCACATGAAAGCTACCAAGGCTTGGAGGTTGCACTCTCTGAAGCAATGACCCAAGCTGTACCTTGGCCCCATTTAGCCAAGGCTAGAGCAGCTGGGGCACAGGGCACCAAGTCCTGAAGCTGCACACAGCAGGGGGCCCTTGACCTGGCCCAAGAAACCATTTTTCCCTCCTAGGCCTTCAGGCCTGTGATGAGAGGGGCTGCCATGAGGGTCTCTGACATCCCTGGAGACATTTTCCCCATTGTCTTGGTGATTAGTATTTGGCATCTGGTTACTTATGTAAATTTCTGCAGTGGGCTTGAATGTCTTTCCAGAAAATGGGTTTTTCTTTTTTACAGCGTTGTCAGGCTGCAAATTTTTTAAACTTTTATTCCCTGCTTCCTCTTAAGTGCTTTGCTGCATAGAAATTTCTTCCATCAGATACCCTAAATCATCCCTCTCAAGTTCAAAGTTCCACAGATCTCAAGGGCAGGGACAAAATGCCACCAGTCTCTTTGCTTAGCAAGAGTGACTTTTACTCCAGTTTCCAAGTTCCTCATCTCCATCTGAGACCACCTCATCCTGCACTTTATTGTCCATATCACTATTAACATTTTGGTCAAAGCCATTCAAGTTTCTAGGCAACTCCAAACTTTTCCACATCTTCCTTTCTTCTGAGTCCTCCAAGTCTCTAGGAAGCTCCAAACTTTTCCACATTTTCCTATCTTCTTCTGAACGCTTCCAACTGTCCCAACCTCTGCCTATTACCAGTTCCAAAGTAGCTTCCACATTTTCAGCTATCTTTAGAGCAGCTCCCCACTACCTGGTGCCAATTTACTGTATTAGTCTGTTCTCATACTACTAATAAAGATATACCTGAGACTAGGTAATTTATAAAGGAAAGAGCTTTAATTGACTCACAATTCAGGGCTCAGGAGGCCTCAGAAAACTTACAATCATAACAGAAGGGGAATCAAGAATATCTATCTTCACATGGCGGCAGCAAGCAGTGCCGAGAAAAAGGGGAAAAAGCTCCTTATAAAACCATGAGATCTCGGCCGGGTGCAGTGGCTCACACCTGTAATCCCAGCACCTTGGGAGGCTGAGGTGGGCGGATCATGAAGTCAGGAGATAGAGACCATCTTATGCTAATGCAGTGAAACCCCATCTCTACTAAAAATACAAAAAAATAGCCGGATGTGGTGGCGGGCGTCTGTAGTCCCAGCTACTCGGGAGGCTGAGGCTAGAGAATGGTGTGAACCTGGGAGGCTGAGCTTGCAGTGAGCCAAGATCACGCCACTGCACTCCAGCAAGACTCCATTACCCCCACCCCCAAAAAAACCATGAGACCTCATGAGAACTCACTCACTATTACAAGAACAGCAGCATGTGGGTAACTGCCCCCATGATTCAATTACCTCCCACCAGGTTCCTCCCACAATATGTGGGGATTATGGGAACTACAATTCAAGATAAGATTTGGGTGGAGATATAGCCCAACCATATCAAGTATAAACTTACTATTGTTTTACCAAAATGTGGAAGAAACACAAGAAAATGTGCTTATTTGGAGGATGCTAACAGGAAATAAACTGTTCCTAACTTAGCCCTCTGAAAAAGAGAATGATAAATGTATTTAGACATCCTCTTCAAAGGTAACTTTTTGTTTGCATTGTACATTTGAAAGGTGTTCACTTTGCTATTGCAGAACCAATTTGAAAAACATTATCTGGGACAAAATGTTCAATGTCCAAAGTATTAAAAGGTGTCTCCATCTATGAAAGTTAGCAAATCTATACAAGGATTCTCTATTGATGAATTTTGAAAGAGGGAGAATATCATTAGATGTTCTGGGCAGTTTATAAGCACTTATGAAATAGGAGCTACATTATTACAAGATCTTGCTTATTATTAGTGAGAAGTTATCTGGGTACTTCCAAGTAAAATGTGAAAATGTCCTCTCTACTGTCCCTAAATTTTCCCCTTATAGAACAAAAATAACATGTTTATTGCTAACTAGTTAATATATTTAAAATACTAGACAAAGTGTTTTGCTTGATTTCTTTTATACCAATGGAACGATTATTTGAGCCATTCAGTGCCTAGAACATGAAATAAAAAAGGAAAACAGACTCTCGATTAAAAAAAGTATTACATGTTACAAAAGTAATTCCAATTTAGTAGTAATAATAATTAGCTAGTTTTTAAAATACTGACTTTATTTAAAAATGTCTGGAAGATAACTTCAAGAAAAAGCTAAATATTTTTTTAAATAAAGGAAATACTTAATACTAGGGCAAAAAAAGATTTTTTAAAGGTTGTTTAGAATTTTTTAAAGTTCGATAGATTTACACAATCTAATGAAAAATAGGGAAAAAAAATACATACAGCTAATTGCTCAAGGAAAGATGAACACTGTTATGACTAAAATATGCAGTCAGTGAGAAATTCCAAAAGCTCTGGTCAGGTTTTAAAAAAGTCCCTGAAAACTTAGAAATAAAGGATCCAATAGTTTTCCCAAATTCACAGAACTTTAAAAGAGCAATTATTTAAAGGCCAGTATGTTAACATTCTGTTGCAAGAGAATTTTTTTTAAGTTTCATATGGACAAGCAGGGACAATAATCTAGAAAGATTAGATTTAAGTAAATATAATAATAAAGTCCCATACTGAAGAAAACAGAATTCTTCAATCCTCAATTGGGCTTTATATATACTTGCAATATTTGGATTCTAAATTTTGAGAAAATGAAGAGTTCATCTGTCTCCTTTTTATATACAAAAATATTTTAGTTTACTTGAACTAAAAATTAAATGTGAATGAGGATGGGGCTGCAACTGACACACTTTTATGAAGATACTTCAATAGAGTAAACCACTTTAACACCATAGATATAAAGCATATTTATGGTTAATAGGGATTCCATACATTCCTGAGAAGGTGGGAATTAATCAGTGGCCCAGGAATTGATCCAGAGGCTCTGTGCCAGGCAAATGTGATAGGGATATCTGATTTCTAGAAGAGATTCAGTGTAAGAAGAAATCTAGATGTGTTTCTGCAGAAAAGACAATTTAAGAAAAAATACATAGAACATGTATTTTCTTATCTATTTAAGACATTTAGAGTTAGAGAATCACAAAAATGAGGATCAATGTGCTCTATTTATAAATGAGGACATGTGAAAAAAAGATGCTTTGACTCAGATGGTGTGGCTACTTAATGGCAGAATTGAGACTAGGATTCACTTCTCTTGACTCTTAATTCAGAGCTCTTTAATGGAATTCTGGCAAGATTCCTGATGATACTTGATGTTCCCTGTTAGACATGCAATTAAGCTTATAATTGGTCCTTGTTCCACTTCTCTGTGAACATGACTTTCTTCAGATTATATGAAATGGCACATTATTCACCCAGGGACAGAGAAGAGAGTGTAAAATTAAGTCAGTGAAGTAATTTTATTTTAGTCCTCCAGGAAAGGAGGAAAAATGACATGATTGGATTATTTGTTATTTTCAACTCATGTTTCCTTATTTGCATTAACTGAGTACCTGATTCATCTTTGTTAGCTACAAGTGACTGTCAATTTATTTTTTATTTTAGTTCTGAAGAATGCTAAAATAAAATTGTTGTAAATTGGGGCCTCTCCTGTTGTAACTTCAAATTTCCCCTGAATTTTGGTGCTCTATGTCATGCCCAACATTGCTCTTCTTTAAACTATCAAACCATTCTTTGCTAACACTAAAAACCTCTTCCACTTATTTCTCAATACTGCACCTGTTTTTGTGCAGAAAAACAGTGCCTTTGCTAAAAATGTCATTTTGTTCAAAGGCATTTGGCTCTCTGCATCAGATAATGCATCTATAATAGCAGAAGTTTTCCATCTCAGAAACCATGTCATCATACTTTCTTTTTATTGTTAATTGTACTGATCACCCACCAACCAACTCAGCTAGTGTTAGTGTCTCCTAAATAATCCTATTGTAGTTTTTAGGTTACTATAAATAGGAGTTTGAGTTGATGAGGTGGTTCTTTTATTTGTAATAAGAAACCTCAAAAGTTGGAGCTGTGCTTGAAATGACATAAATAGCAAAACATTAAGGTTGGGAGTGTCACATATATTTATCAGCAATCCAAGTTCCTATTTAACTTTTTTTGTTTTATATTAGTTTGTTTATCTTATTACTAAAGCAAAACACAGACATTACAGAAAAATTAAAAAATACACAAAGTCAAAATAAAGAAAATTTAAAGCATCCATATGCCGTCATAGATTACCCCTATTAAACTTCAGTTACCTCTATCTGAACACCCTTTCACACACATATACACATACCACGGACCCATGAGAAGGGATGATTTTGAATATGCAGTTTGTTGAGCTTTTTTTACTCTTAGAAATACATAGCAAAGATTTTTTAAATAAATATCATTTTAATTAAAAAATTATAATACAGTATGTGAGTTTTACATGACCATTATTTCTGAGTGAATAAGAGGTATATGAACCAGTGTACTAATATAAACAATATGAACTTCTTATCATTATCTACAATATCATTTTAATGGCTATATAGTATTTCATTCTAAGTGCATTCTATATTTGTTTAACCACTTCTCTATGGCTAAATTTTAAGTTCTTCTAAATTTTCTTTGCTTTTATAAATGATTATGCATGACTTCATACATATTTAACTCTGGATAGATTTTTATGGGTAGAATTATTCTTTAAGTAAAATTTCTGAGTAAGAGTTTTGAATTCCTTACTTTCTATTTCTTTACTTCCTGTTTCTATAGGAAATAGGAAGCAATTAGCAATAGAAATTTAATTTGGTTTTATGCTTCAGACATTTTTTACTCCAATTTTAGTGGACTATAGACAAAATGATTGATAAATACTTCTTTTAAGTTATGTAGATAAATAGCATGTTTATTCAATGGCAATATACAATAAACATGAGAACAATAAAATGTTTCTAGATTTTTCAGAAACTGTCTATAAAAAACTGTTAAAAATAGGAAAAAAAAACCACCTATATAATCTTTACCTAGATTCACCAATTGCCAACATTGGGCCACATTAGTTTTATGTAAGTTGCAGATATTATGATACTTCCTCTTTAAATATTTCATATTGCCTCTCCTAAATTAAGGACAGTCTTTTCTATAACCACCATTATCAGGTGGTTTTCTATAACAACATTATCAGGATTAAGAAAATTTGTAATAATTCCATAATAATATCTAATATATAATTCATATTTAAATTTCCCCAGTGGTCCCACAAATGTGTTTTATGACTGTTTTGTTTTTAATCCAATCAGTGTTCACGCTACAGTAGTTTCTCTGCATTTCTTCAATATGTTTGTTTTTCATGACATTGACTTTTTAAAAAGTCTTCTCCAGTCATCTTTTAAAAGGTCCCATATACTGGATTTGTTAATTATTTCTTCATTATTGTATTTAGATTATCCATTTGGGCAAGACTACTAGATTGTTGGTGCTTGTGCTTCTTATTCGATCACATCAGAAGGCATATTATATTAATTTGTCCCACAACTGGTGATACTAAATTTGACCACTTAGTGGAGGTGATGCTAAACTCTTGCGTAGTACATTTTCCCCTTTGTAATTAGTAAATAACGTGTGGGGTTTGAAAGTGTGTGAATACCCTGACTCTAACAACTTTTTTACCCAATAGTTATAACTTCCATTGATGGTCCTTGACTGAATTCTCATTTGGGACTGCAAGATGGACATATCCTATCATTTTTCTACATGGTATTAGCATTCTTTCAAGAAGCTTCCTTTTTATTCCTCGCCCCTTTCTCTTTCTCTCTCCCACTCCCTTCCCCTCCCTATCTGTTTCACTCCCTTCCTTGCAAAACTTCCTTTTCAATCTCTCTCTCTACCTCTCTCTGCCTCTCTCCCCCTACCACCCCACACATTATCACTATTGGGTCATGAATTTATTTTTGATTAAATGATTTTTTAAATTCAATAAAACAATAGAAATTTAATTGTAAGTCTAGCTCACTTTGGCTGGTTAAAATGCTCAAAATTGTGGTGCTGAGAAAAATGGATACATTTAGTAACATTAGCATTGTTCCATTTTTTAATAATAATTTTGATGCTTTCCTACAAGTCTAATGATAACATGTTGAAATCAATTACTTCACAATTTCCCTTTCCAAAAATAACATTTGAAATTTAGGAGATTAAACACTACAGAAAAAGTATTCTGTAATGTACTTTTTGAATTCTCATAAGATTTGACTACTTTTTCTGACCAATTCACTAAGAATAGAAAATTATTGATTTATTCAGTAAACTAAGTAGGTTTAAAATTTTAACATTTGCTAAGTCATTTGGCTGTACTTCATCTCTTAGAAAACAAGGAATATTATTTATAATTACTGCTTTTCTATTTTTAGCTTTTTACACAAATAAAATTATTTAATATTTTCTTCAGACTTTAACAGAATCCAGTGGTATTTGAATGACAAAGAGACATTTTTATCATCAAAAGCAGGTTTTCAAAAATAATTTATCAGTGTTTGGGAATAAGTTAGGTAATGACTGTCTTTCCAAGGAACAAAACATCTTCTGAGAGATAAAAATTTTTACTGGGAAAGTTACAGAAAATTTGGGTTAATTTTAATATAAATGTGTGTGTGTGGTGAATAAATACAGTTTTTATAGTAAAGCCATCACCTATTTGAATATGAATTCACTTAGTCAGGGCTTTGGGACTTTGCTGCCTTATCTGAGGAAAGGGGACCAGGCTGCGGGTTCTTTCTCTTCTTTCTCCGTGTTGAGGCTCACAGTAGGCCCTTGCCTATTTAATGTAGCCATTGTAATTATTATCATCACCATCATTATCTTTACACTGCCTTTGATATTATTAGCCTTTGGATTAATGTGAGACAATAAGTTGTAAACCAAGGTTCTGAAAGGATGAGTCTTTTTTATAGAAAGGAGTTAAAGGTGACCTTTTTGTATTGGTCTTTATACTGTTTACTTCTTCATAGCTAGTTCCAAGCCTGCCAGTGCCAAACTCAAATTCTTACACCTCCGATTGGTTTACATATAGCCCAAATTATTATACTGTAAGCTACTTAAGAGTCTGCCTGCTTTGCATTCTTTACAAAACTTCACTTAACATCCACTAGCCAGAGATTAGACAAACTCTGTGATATGATTCAGCTGTGTCCCCACCCAAATCTCATCTTGAATTGTAGCTCCCATAAACCGCACGTGTTGTGAGAGGAACCTGGTGGGAGGTAATTGAATCATGCCAATGGGTTTTTCCCATGCTGTTCTCGTGATAGTAAGTCTCACGAGATCTGATGGTCTTTTTAAGGGCAGTTCCCCTGCACAGGCTTTCTTGCCTGCCACCATGGAAGACATGCCTTTGCTCTAATGATCCCTTGCCTTCCACCATGATTGTGAGGCCTCCTAGCCATGTAGATGTGCGAGTCCATTAAATCTCTTTTTCTTTATAAATTACCCAGTCTCAGGTATTTCTTCATAGCAATATGAAAAAAATGGACTAATACACCCTGTAACTATTTGATGCTACCCTTTGTAGCTTTGACCCAGAGACTCCCCCACATGGCTGCAGAGTGACATCAGGTAGACATATAAACCCCCTGTCCAATTCCCTGCTTTCCCAGAATTTCCTTGCCCTAGTTTACTTCTATGTAGTGGTCCCATGCTATTGTATCTGGAAGGTCTTCCAGTGTTAGACACTTCCCAGAACTCTTGCAAACCTGTCCAAGTGCTGCCTAATAAAGACTGTTGTGCAATACTGCCATCTTGTGGTTGTGTCTTTTCCTTGATTGGCTCCAAAATCCTTGAACTCACCACAGTCTCATACCAGAGTTTTGGATCAAAGACTAAGAAGCTGAGAGTCTTTTAATAAATATTAGGGCTGGACTTTACTCTTTTGCTTTGTAAGACAGGAGGCAAAGGGAAGGATGGGCTTTGGTCTACATTTATTTCACAGCCTCATCCTAGGGAATTTGATTGTGGACTCTATTGCACTTGTCAAATAGGAAATCTGACTATTTGGCAGAAACGGCTTAATCTTATTCCAGAGGATGACACATCTTGTCTGGGCTTACTGAGATCGGTTTTAGTGTCAAATGAAGGCTGAATTTCTTAAGGAGGACCATCTATGTCTCACTGAGACCACCAAAAATGGCCATGTACCGAGTTCTAATAAGTAATATTGCATTGATTACTTCACTCAGCTTTGTTTAGAGGGAACGTTTCTCTTTTATTGGGAAGGTAACTAGAATGATAGAGCTGGTAATTGGCAGAGCTGGGATTTGCACCCTGACCCTGTCATCCCATAAGCCATGGTCTTGCCTTCTTATCATCCTGTTTACCTGCGCCAGAGCTAGTACTGATCTACAACTAAGTATTTCACGGGACCTTTGAAAATGATACAAATCTATTTTTTAAATATTTTTCTTCATCTTTTTACTCCTTTCCTTGTTTTTCTATTATCAATTCATTAAGTATCTTATAAAATTGAAACTTGAAACTCTTTAAAATAAAAATCCTACTTTTAGAAAAATTGCCTTTGTGTGTTTTTCTTATCACACAAAGTGTTACTTTATCAGTAGGCTGCTGTATGAGCCCGTTGCTTAGGGAGACTGAATAATACCCCTTTGAGAGAGAGAAAAAGAAAGACTATTTTTATTCAAAATCAACATAGTTGGGGTTCTGTTCCTTGTAAAGGCAAGGCCTCCCAGGGAGAGTTTATGTGAGAGAGATAAGACACAGAAAGAGCTAAACTGCTTTATTTAATAAACTATCAGGAATTACACATTTGAATCTTGGCAGACGGAGTAGAAAAAAAACTTAAGTGGACCCTGGAGACAGAAAAAAGTAGATAGGCAGGAGAAAGTTCTTGAAGACTCTTTACAGCTTGGAAACAAACAGGACCTAGAAAAAGATGGCCAAGTGAGAAACCCCTTAAAGAGGAAAATCGGACTATCATTATTCCAAAAATAGCAGCTTTTAGGTTACTGGGTATAATACAAAATTCCTGTATTGAACAATAAACAGGATTTGAGAGGCTTGACTAAAAGCAAGATAGCAGTAGCTGGTCACTATGGTAACCAGAGGTAAAACGATGCTGATGGGAAAGAACACTGTTAAGATTAGGTTGAGCTTATGCATAAAGGACATAGAGAAAGAAAATCAAGTTGCTTTTTCCATATATTCTTCTCTGACTTAGAAAATGAGAGATAGAGGGGAGATAGGTACTAGCTAGCAAATATCATAATACAAACCATACAGTTTTTCCTGGCCTTGCTGGGGGCTCGCAGAAGGCATGCCAAGCTAAGGGTGAGCACAATAATTAAATATATTAGTCACAGAAGGGGCAGCCATAGGGCTTTCAGCTGGTCCCCTGTAAGCCCAGGAATGTAGAAGAAGAAATTCTTTCTACCCACCAAGGATAAGAACAGCTTGAGGCCATCTTTCTACTACTGCCAAGCCTGTTTAGCAGCTGTAGGATGATTTAAACTGTGTAGCCTCAGAATGAATACAACATCAAAGAGCAAAAGATTGTAATAAGATTGGGAGCACACTTTTGCAAAGTTAATTGATTTGACTGTAGGCCTTTGTGTTCATTTTTTTCAATTGTTCCGACTAGGATTTACATTTTTATTATCAAAGGAAAAGTGAGCTGTTTACTGGTTAACTGGACAATTTACTGGTTAATTGTGCTAGGTAATTTACATCTCATTTAATTTAATGAGTAGCTAGTTACTGAAGATACGAAGTCGTATTTTGCCAAAAACAAGTTTAATTTGTGTACAATGGTAGCTACAAATCTGAATTTTCAAGATGTCAATCACCAGAGAAGAAACTGGCTGCTGATTTATGCTGTTAAACAAAGAATTATCATTAAGCAAACTGAATGCACTTAAGTGTACAGTAAAAAAGGTCTTCTGTTAGTTAGAACCTGGTTTTATAACTATCCAGTGTTTACAGATATGAGCAGCATCGCAACAGAACGCTACTGAAGAAAGGAAGAAAGCAACCAAAGGGAGGAAATAGGCAATGAGAGGTTAGAGGTTCTACTATATGATTGGTCAGTTTTCTAAATAGAAGGAAAGAAGCACAATGATTTACGATGGCTCTACATACCATGGATGGCTGGATAAGTCTTCCAAGGCTGCCATAAGAAAACACAAACTGGGTGGCTTAAGCAAAAGAAATTAATTTCCTCCTAGTTCTAGAGGATGAAAGTCCAAGAACAACGTGCTAGCAGAGTTAATTTATTCTGAAGCCTCTTTCCATGGTTTGCAGATGGCTCCTTTCTTGCTGTGTCCTCATGGGGACTTTTCTCTGTGTGTACACATCCCTAGTGTTCCTTCTTCCTCTACTTATAAGGACACCCACCCTTTCATATTGGGGCCTCAACTTTGTGACCTCTCTAAAGGCTGTTAAAATAAAAACTTCAGCTGAATTAAATTTAAAGGAGTTTAATTAAGCAATGAATGATTAGCAAATTGGGCAGCCCCCAGAATCCCAGCAGATTCAGGGGGACTCCAGTACAGCCAAGTGGTAGAAGATTTACGGACAGCAAAAGGAAAGTGAGTTACAGAAAACAGAGATGAGGTACAGAAACAACTGGGTTGATTACAGCTCTGCGTTTGCCTTATTCGAACAGGGTTCGAGCAGTTGGCTACATGTGATTGGCCAAAACTCAGCGATTGGCACAGGTGTGGGCTATATTCGGTTTACATCTCCACTTGTTACAGTTCACGGTGTACAGAAAACCTTTAGTCCGAACTTAAATATGTAAGGAGGCAGCTTTAGACTAAACTGATTTAACAGCCCTGTCTCCAAATACAGTCACAGTGGGAGTTAGGCTTCAACATATGAATTTGAGGAAAACATAACTCAGTCCATAACAACAGCTAATACCCTAAACAGAGCAGACTAGTGGAAGTATTCATTCATAAATATATACAATATTTATTGTAAATATTGTATATATGTAAATAATAAATAACGAATATTTATTAAGTATCCATTATATGTACTAGGTACTAGAGGAACTGCAATGACCAAAGGCAAACTTGCATGTTGTTCTACAGGCTAGTGGGTAAGGGAGTCATGTCAACAATTTTACTACATGACATGGAAAGTGCTGAGCTCACTGAGCTATGCAGGAGCATTTAGCAGGGGCTCCTAATCTATACTGGCAGATAAAATATACAATGCCAAGTTATGCTTAAATTTTTTAAAAAAAAGTTTTTTAATATAGATATGTTCAAAATATGGCATGGAGCATTCCTATACTATCCATTGTTTATCTGAAATTTACATATAACTGGGTATCGTGGGGTTTTTGTTGTTTGTTTGATTGTTTTTGTTTGTTCGCTAAATCTGGCACCTCCATAATCCAGTAGGTGACATGTAATCTAAGACGTGAAATAGTAAGAGCAGGAAAAGAAGAGAAAATGAAAAGAAAAGAAAAGAATCATGGACAAAAGAGAGATAATAGAGACTAGAAGTGGAACTAGAGGCCAGACCACCAAATGCAGTGTAGATGAAAACCAGTGATGAGAAGCAGAAATTTGACAGTGATTAGCGTAGAAAGAGAGCACAGAGACAGGTATGAGGAAGAGAGGGAAGAATTAATAACCAAATCCTACTAGCCTCCAAAAGTATTCAGAATAGGGGCAAGCTAAAGAAGACTTACGAACCATGACTAGCCAGTCACCGAGTCTTGCTGATTATGACTCTAATTTAGTCATTTATTCACTGGATTTTTTTTTGCTGTGTTCACTCCTTTCTTCTGTACCTCCTTTCTGGCCACAGCTTCTTCAGGAGCCTTCTAATTAGTTTCCCAACCTTCTTCAAACTATTCTCCACAGAGCAGCAAGATACAAACGCAAATCTGATCAGACCCTTCTCCCACTTAGAAGCCTCACCACATTTCAAAATGAACTTCCATCGTGTGTGTAAGCCCATATAAATTATTCAGAAAGTGGCACTGAGATTTACACAGTGAATGGAGACTGCAACATAATTTTAAAAGAGCAAGAACAGAAATCTAAAAACATATGTGTAGGTGTGTGTTTTTATGTGAGTTATGTGACATAAAAACTCAAAAGAAAAACAGCCTAAAATCCTTAAGGTTATAAATTGAATAAAGTACAGTGAGTACATGAAATAATTGGAATTGTAAGTATTACTTTTGGAGAAGATATGAACAATCCCAGTCAAAAATTATTATTTTACATATGAAAAACTAAATATCAAATAGTTTAGGACACTTATTGGTTTGCATCAGAATTAGGGTTAGAATGAGGATTTCTTGACATCTTAATATAGTTATAATCATCCCGCTTTATACAAGTTATATATAACTAAGTAACATAGAATATTCAGTGAAAAGATTTGCAAACCAATAATTTTAGTGGCAAACATTTTATGAGTAAAATAATTTTATATAATCATATATTTTATATTGGGTGTGTTTAGCATCTTTAGATTAGATGTTCATTAGAAGATATTTATGTGTGTGTATGTGTGTGTCTTTTTGTGTGTGCGTGCACACAGTTATGTATGTAAATACTGTGAGATATCTCAGCAACCAGCTTTGAATACTTTGGGATATGAGACATTTATTTAATAATGTTTACTAAATTTTGCAGTAGCATGATCAACCATTCTGAGATTAAAGCAGAAAAATAGGGTAACTATTATTTCACAGAGATATACCATAGACCTTGGTTGTTTTAAATCTTTGTGACTGAAAATATAATTATATTAGTGCCTTTGGCTCTATTAAACCTGACCTTATTGTTTATAGAGCATAATTGTAATGTATAAATGACAAATAATTTTTTAATGTTATATATTCCTTTTGTACTCAGAACAGAAAAGAATTTCTGAGCCATAGATTTACTAAGAATAACAAGATATTCTGTTGTTAAAGGAAGCAGAGTTGTTGTCTGGTCATGTTTATTATAACCTACCACTGTATTATTTAGAACATAAGTGTCACCATAGAAGATATTTTATTAGAAGGATGTGTTGTCATTTAGAAGTCACCCATATGTAATGTCTAGTAAAGTATGAATATGCTTGGACTTTTCTTTCTGATAAAACTTTAAAAATAAATTTGAATTACCAGCTGGCTAGGAATGGCTATTTTCAAAACAAAGAATTCTAGAATTGTCTGTGTTAGTCAGGAATGAGCAGGTTAGGGTCAAGATAAATCCTCAGATACAGCTTGACAGCTTACCACAATAAATGTTAGAAAGTGCTCTAAGAGCAAAAGAAGAGAGTAACTTACATCCTGAGGAAGTTGGGAAAGATCTGCAGAAGGAGTGACATTTGAACTGTCTTAAAGATGATGATTGATTTCTCCAAGAGTAAAGATTATTCCTAGCAGAGAAAAACACTTGCAAAAGCACGGAAGAATGCAAAGGCATCATGGGTGTGTGTTGGGCAGGAAGAAGTTGACCATATATGTAGGGTAGGCCATGAGGAAACCAATTAGAAAGCAATTTAACATGTCAAAGCGAGAGAAGAAGACAACGTCCAACATTCCAGCATTGTTAAAAAAGGAGGAGCCACATTTAAAAATCGGACTTATTTGTGACATTGAAAGTGGGAAATGATAGAAAATATAGAGTAGATGATGCTTCCAAAGGTTTAGTGTAGGAGATAGAAAAGTGTTGATTCATTAGCTAGAAGGTGGAAGTAACTTAAGGTCAGTTTTGGGGAAGAAAATAATGACAATATATGTTAAACATTGTTACAAGTTTAAAGTACAGTGAAAACAACAGTGGCTAAGAGTCTGTACAGAGGGAAAAACTTACTGAGGAAAACAGTTTTATGAGACTTACTTGAAATGCAAACTTGTAACAAGAAAAAAAAGCCTTTTGTCTGATACTCTGATATTGAGATTGTATGATTATATGTATTCACTATACTTCTTTTTAAAGTGGAAAATTTCTCTAAAATGCTAAGATGCCCTTTAACTACTTACTATCCTCTACCCAATTCTGTCTATTGTAATTTTTTACCAAACAGCCCATCAATACTCATGATAACTCAGAGGCAAGCAGAAAAAAAATATTTATTATACTAAATATGTTTCCTATACTATGATTGGGGAAAATATATTTTTAAAATATAAATAAAATGCTTAACCTAAGAAGGTTAAGTGACTACTATACATTATCTAATATATTTACTTATTTCCAAGTGCCAATCTTTTCCCCTGCTTCAAAACCATATGCTCTCAACTGCAATACACACGTATATACATACACATGTACAATATATATAAACTCATTTAATGATTGCTTTTCTACTATCCTTAAAGACTGAGTAGGTGGTGCAGGTGAATGACGAAATTATGTTACTTTTCTGCTTCAGGTTAGATTTGGCTCTTGGTTCAGAGACAGTCTAGGAAAATAGTTGTCACTAGTTAATGAGAAATAAGGCACATTTTGTCTCCATCGATGTTCATTTCTGTAGCTTGTTTTGTTCTCCATATATCTAGAAAATGTGAAATAAAAAAAGGATTTGTCCTGAATGCATTCATATGTTAATCTCACTATAATTGCCGGAGGTGGATTGAGTTCCAAATGGGTTCAAGAAAGAATGTGAAACACTGAATTTAAATTGCTAAGGAATTATTTGGTGTGTGGCATTCTATGTCAGTAAGATATGTAAATATTCTTGATCTAAGGCTTAGTGCAAAATTTCAAGCCCACTCAATGGAAGTGCTACCATTACCAAGAGACATTTCCATTTGAAAAGATTTTGTTTTCCACTGTCACTAATGGAAAACAAAAATAAATATTTTTTCCCATTTATCATGCTATTATAAAAATACACTTCCCTAAAAATACACAACCAAATAAAAGATAACATAGTAAAATGCTGTAAATTCCATTAGTCTTCAACATGTAAAGATGTACCCTTTATTTAATCATTTACATGGTTCTCTTATAATGGATCCACCTGCTCAAAAACCATGGCCAGTAGTAAACTTCCAAAAATATCTGGATTGTTTATACGCTGTGCTGGAACTCTACCTGAGAATTAACCTAATTATCAAAATGAGACAGTTCCTATAACTAAAATTGCAAAGCTATGGCATTGGCAGATGATCTTGTTCAAGATATGAGAAGGGAATTCCCAGAAATGATGTTTAAAGGCAGTGAATGGTGAAAAAATAGTTTCCTATTTGTAGTCCATTGAGTTAAATCAACAAACTAATATTATAAGCATAAATCAAAGGCATAACAAATAAAGATACAGACTTAAAACACTTTACACTTTGCTTCACTAAACTGACAAAGATTGAAAATAAACCTACCATCTGTTGGCACTGGTGCAAGAAAATTGACATTCATATACAATACTTTGGGGAGTATACATTGGTAAAAATAATTAAGCAATTTTGCAATACTTAATCAGGAAAGATGTTCAAATCCTTTCAACCTAGTAAATGTACACAAGTTTATATTTTAGGTTGTTTACTAAGGCAATAATTATAATTTGGAAAAAATGATAATATAATTTCCTAGTATAGGAAAAAGATTGGCCAAATAAATTAGTAGACATATCACAACAGAATATTTCAGTCTTCAAAAAATATGTTTCAAGGAATATTTAATGATATGAGAAAAATATTCACAGTATAATGCTAAATTAAAAAGCATAACACAAAACAATGTATTAATTCTTAATAATATATTTGTGTGTTGATGTGTGTGTGTTTGTGTATGTATTTCTTAGTGGTGCAACCTTAAATGAATGACAGGAAATAATCTACTACATTAATAGTGCTTTATTTCCAGATCATAGTAATATTATGAATTTTATTTTCTTATTTGTACTTTTCTATAATTTCAAAATTCCTAATAATAAACATACATAATTTTTATATTCTGAAGAAAATAAATAGTAATTTAAATAACAAAATTCTGATTGAGTAGAATTATGTGTCCAAAATATCTAAATAGTTCTTTCAGTACTCTTATTTTTTGCCTCTGTGCCAGTGTACAAATACTCATTAGTAAAGTATCACCCAAATATATTTCACATGATCTAGTAGCTAATAGTGTATTTTCTAGGGTAATGTAACTTCTATTTTTATCCTCTCTCAAAAGCTCTTCAATTTACATCCATGATGAATTTAGGATATCCATGTTAACATAAAGTGCTCTCTCTTTTCCACTATATCTCATTCTGCTTCATCTGAATGGGATACACCCATTCATTTTCACAGGATGTCCATCATATCCATTTTTCAAGACATTTTTGAAATCTTTACTTGATCCTTTGGGTCAAGTTTTTAGGCTCCAGTAGTTTATTATAATCACTATGTGCATGGCTCAAAAACACTGGGAATTATTTCTTCTGGAGTTTTACTTCTGAAAATGAGTGGGCACCTTATTGGTTTTGTTCTCTCTGTGGAATCACATGTTTTTTAGAGTATCTAATTTTGTAATCTTATTGAACATTTTTTTACCTGTATCTGAAAATATAGTTTTAAATCCTCTTCAACAGATTGATGAATCTAATTCCAAACAAAATTTATATATTTGCTTTGTTTATTTATTCATTTATCTGTACAAAACAGAATTTTACCGAGAACGTATTGTATGTCTGCCATGCAATGTCTGCCATCTATTAGGAGTACAAATAAAAGACAGTCTGTGGTCTAATAAACAGCTCATGCTACCTCTAGAGATTGACAAGAAAACAATGGTAATAAGTCTATGCCAGAGTTGGGCCCTAGGTTCTATAGATGTCAGAGAAGAAGCTGAAGACAGGTGTCGTATTAATTTTCTAGAGCTGCCATAACAAATACCACAAACTGGATGGCTTAAACAACAGAAATTCATTATCTCACAGTTCTGGAGCCTGGAAGCCCCAAATCAAGGCAAATCACTGTTGGCTACTTTTGAGGGCTGTGAGAAAAGGATGTGTGGTTCTGGGACTCTTTCCTTGGCTTCTAGATAGCCATTTTCTCCTTGTGCCTATTCCCATCATCTTCCTTCTGTGGACCTCTGTCTTTTCACAAGGCCTACTTTTTAGAAGGACATCAATCACATTGGAGCATACTCCAGTATGACTTCATCTTAACCAATTACATCTGCAACAACCCCTTTCCAAATAAGGTCACACTCTGAGGTAGTGACGTTTAGGACTCAAAAAATGAATGTTGGGAGGAACAGCATTCAACCTATAACAGGGATTGGAGGGAAATTTTTCTACGAAGTTAATCCTTGAGTTTACTTGAAAATGATAAGGAAAGTAACTCAGGAAAGATGAACATGCAGACAGTTCAGGAGAAGAAACAGGAAAACACAAATGTGCAAAGGCATGGGACATAAGGTGCCTGTATGGGTGTGGTCCCAGAGGAGACTGATGTCATGCCAGAGGCTTGTATGTCCAGCTCAGCAGTATGTAATTATAGTGAAGATAGCAGAGAGCCAGTGAAGAATTGTATACATATTCAGAGTGGAATTTTAGAAACAACTACGCTGGTAGCACTGTGGTTTCTTTTGATTAAATTCTGTCCACCAGCAGGACCCCATTATCTGAGCATGCTTTTTTCATTCTATTCTCTTAATTCATTCAAATCTTGTTGCCTTTCATCATTTTCTAAATAATTTAATTCAGTAACAATTACATTTCATTTCAGGAAGAAATGAATAAATTTCATTTATGGCACTTATTACAACATGAATCAGGATAAGTATGTAAATATTCAGGATATTGTAAATTGTTTTTTGAAATTGTACTTTGATCCCATATCATAGACTAACAGTAAAAAAAAAATTCAAAATGGTAACAAAATCATTCCGTTTTTAAATGAGCTTCTGATTCTTCCATTTCAAGCATTCATGAACCTTTCATTTAACAATTGTTAAATCTGTGAATGCATTCACACATGCCTTTAACTTCCTTGCAGAAGGACTCTTGAATTAATTCTTTTATTTTAACTCTTCTTTCACCCTGAGGGGGACATTAAGCAGGCTTGTATGTTTCATGAATCTCTTAAAAATCTTTCTGATTATAAAGTAACTGCCTAAATTTATACCCAAAGCAACTTAGTTTATTAAAAGATTATCACAACAAAACCCTGGTTATTTAGTTGAGTCTCAGAATTGTAGCATTTGTTCTAAGTATCCCGAAGGCACAAGTACAGCCATCATCAGCATTAATTACAATACTAATAAACTTAGAAGATATCAGAAGTTATCTATAGTTATGATTGAAGAATGAGTATAAAACAGCATGAAATAACATTTTAAAATGCTTTCTCTACATTGTTTACATCAGACAGAAAAGATGGGTCTCTTATCATGTGTTGTGAAGGGCACCAAATTAACATTGCGTCTCATCACAAAAGGCAAGGAATCTCTGAGATGAGACAACTACATAGAAAATGATTTCCTACTAGTCCTTACTAAAGCTCCTACTCAAATCTCTGGAAGAAGCTGTGGAGTAAAATGCTTCACATAAAGTGGAAATTTTAACAAAATAAATTTTGACCATCAGTATACTCAAAGTTTTATTAAATAAAGTATTTGATTAAAACACATTTAAAAGTACTAAACACACCTCTGGCTTCTCAATAGACCATGCCAAATCATTGATCTTTGTCTTGATAACTGACTCATCATTAAGAACATAAATCTTGTACTACAGTATGAAAATTTCTCAGGAGATCTTAAGGTGTAAGAACATCATCTGAGTAATATATTCAAGGATCAGGTAAGTGATTAGACTGAGGGTCCTTCCAAACTTGAGAGTCTGTCAATAAAATAGCCTCTATCTGACTACTTCTGCTCTGCTCTTTTATTCTGTGTCTTTTTATTCTTTTATTCTGGGTCAAGCCTTCAGATATTATTCCAGAAACTAATTATTTTAGGTTATTACCTTATGAAAGTTAGATCTTTGAGAGTATCCTAATGCTTAGAAATGTGTTTCTTCATGCTGCTCTTGGGTCAGTTTCACAACTTGCCTGGAAGCCAAACTCTTCAAGAAACATAGGTGGAATAGTTTATTACTGAATTAGAACTTGTCTCTGAACTTTGGCTAATTTTAACCTGATGTTGTAATTTTCTTTCTACTGTCCTTACATGTATATTTGCATATTTAAATAAGTTAGCAGACAAAAATGTCAAGACAGAATGTGTGGAAAGAGAAAAACAAAAGTACTATAGTATAGTTTTTCACCCAGGTGATATGATGAGGACAGATTTTGAGTGAGTTTGTATATGCCACTACTTAGTACAAACCTTCTCTCAAGGAATTGCTTCTAGCTTGATCCTATAATCCATAAGTTGATGTTCTTTAGTGTTACAATGACTGTAATAATGGTGAAGAGTAGAAGACAGACCAGGAAAGCAGCATTATTTATAAATATGGAACAGAAGATTTTTAAAAAGAAGACAAATTTAAGCTTCAATAAGTGCTCCAAACTCAAATTCTGTGGATTTTGTTTAACAATGCACACTATGACTAGAAAACAATGACCTAAATAAATTAAAGAGTGAGACGGAATATTCTATCAACCAAAAAGTTCCAATTCTCAGGTTTCTGTAACATCAGCTACTGTGATGTTTTAAGATTTACAAATTATAATTACAAACAAAAATCATTCAACATTATTTTTTAAAAATATAAGTTTTACCATAGATTGGTAGGGTTGACATAGATGAAGAAAATAGATGAAAGATATTCAGTTTTGGGAGTAGTGTAAGCTAGAGCATAGAATAGGGAAAGTGTCTTCAGGGAAGTAGAAGGTAGAAAACTGAAAAGTTCACGCCTGTAATCCCAGCACTTTGGGAGGCTGAGGTGGGCGGATCACGAGGTCAGGAGATCGAGACCATCTTGGCCAACATGGTGAAACCCCTTCTCTACTAAAATATAAAAATTAGCCAGGCATGGTGGCATGTGCCTGTAGTCCCAGCTATTCGGGAGGCTGAGGCAGGGGAATCGCTTGAACCCGGGAGGTGGAGGTTGCAGTGAGCTGAGATCACGCCACTGCACTCCAGCCTGGCGACAGAGCAAGACTATGTCTCAAAAATAAATAAATAAATAAATAAATAAATAAATAATAATAACTGAAAAGTGAGGTTAAAGAGAACTTGAATGTCAAGCTAAAGAATCTTGTAGAGCACCCTTTCATAAAGTGGGTAATTCAGAATACTAATGAGGAAAGGTTGGTTAATGGGTAAAAAAATACAGTTAAGAGCAAAGGAGCAAGTTCTAGTGTTCAGTAGCACAGCAAGGAAACTCTTATTTAGCAATAATGTATATTTTGAAATATTTAAAAGATTTAGAATGTTACTAACACAAAGAAATGATAAATGTTTGAGGTTATACATATCCCAATTACTCTGATTTGATTGTCACACATTGTACACTTGTATTAGAATATTGCCTGTACCCCATAAATATGTACAACCATATGTATAATTAAATTTTTAATTAAAAAGGTATCTAGAAAACATTGGTTTGAACAAAGATAAATGTAGTTTTTTAATTTATCACAAGACCTCTGCCTTAGTTCATTTGTGCTGCTATAATGAAATACTGAGTAATTTATAAGCTGTGGAAATTTATTTCTCACAATTCTGGAGGCTAGGAGTCCAAGATCAAGGTGCCAGCAAGTTCAGAGTCTGTTGAGGGCCCAGTCTCCCCTTCCAAGATGATGTCTTATTGCTGCATCCACTGAATGGAATTGTTGCTGTGTCTTCACATGGCAAAGGAACAGAAGAACAGAGCCTAAACTGGTTTCCTTTAGCCCTTTTGTAAGGCATTAATCCATTCATGAGGGCGGGGTCTTCATGACTTAGTCACTTCTCAGAAGGCCCCACCTCTTGATATCACCACATGGGGATTAAGTTTTAACATGAATTTTGAAGGGGACATAAGTCAAACCATAGCAATTTCCATGAGTTCTTAATATGCTAATGCATATGGGATTATGATCTCCTCTCAGCTTATGTCTAAGAGGAAGATGTAACCCAGGAGCATGGTCTGGGAAATACTGTTGTTGAAAATGTAGACTCAGTGAAGCTTTTAAACTGGGGAATGGATGTGCATTTTAAGAGATTAATTAATGTCTTAAATGTATGTGTCAATATGTAAAAAGGATAAAACTCTAATATTTGCTTTTATAGCAATTATAATATGCAATTATGGATTTATTTAAATAACTTTTTATTTGATGCTCATCTCTCTTACTATCCAATAAATTCAGTAGAGCAGGCACCATAGCTTTTTAACTCATTTGTATTATTCAACATATAAACCAGTACCTAACATATAGTAGACAATTAATAAGTATTTATTACATGTCTAGAAATAGTGTACTTTTGTGCAGTATTTTCATTGGCATTACTACTAGAAGATGGCAAGGGTCTGAATTAGATTGACTGAATGGTAAAGAAAGGAAAAGAAAGACATAAAATATTTAATATAGAAGGAAAAAAGGAAAGAAGGAAAAGCAAAAGAGGACTGCAAGTACAGAATTAAGAGAATTAAAGTATAATCAAAACAACAAATTATGAAGGAAAGCACAATGTCTAGTACGGAGGAGTAGGAGCTTAGTAAATATGTCCAAGTTCTGCTTTTGACAAGTGGAGTTTTATTTAAATTTGGCATCTCATTAAGCCGTTAGAGGCAAAATCAGGGATGATGGTCTATAGTAAGAATCATTCATAGAAAGAAGCTCTTTGAAGTCAGGAGACGAAAATTCCTGTGAAGACCATGTAGAGAAAGAACAGAAGCATGGCTGTTCTTAGAGGAACTAATTTGCCGTAAGTAGAACTTAAAATATGTAATAAGCTCCTTCTTGATAACAGGCAGTATGCTTTTCTTCTTGATTTCATGTTTATTTGCTGATATGATACATCAGCATTAAAGACCATAAGGAGATTTGTCCCAAGAACAGTCCATTGATCTTGGTGAAGAAAAACTGGTTTCCCTGTATTGATAGCAAATCAAACCATGTACAAGGATTACAGACTTTCCGATATTGTGATAAGATGAAAACAAACCCATGAAGTCTGGGAAGTCTTCAAATGTGATCATTTCAAGAGTCAAAATATCAAATAAGCCTCAGATGCCCCTTTGGAGTACCAGAATCACCATGTATATTCTCTTGATAAAGGGGTTTCAGAGATGTACTTGAGGGTAGGTAATGATTTTAAAGATGTTCTTGAAGTAAGACATGGAACGAGTCTGGCAGATTTCCATATCCCTGTGGCACACTTAATGAGGAAAAAGGTTTCTCAATGAATAAGTCAGATACATTTGTCATTTGAAAAATGCAAGACTGTGCCAACTAATGAGGACAGCCAGGATATTTGTCACAAGAAATCTTGGAAAGACTGAACTTTCCTTTGTCTCTTTCTCTTTCCAGGTATGGAATATTAGGCAAGGATAACATAAATGAGCATTGGTCTAAAATTCTAGAGAATGCATAAGTATTGAAAGTTGAATGTTCTTAATACATATATTGTCATTATTTCTATCTGCTACAGGCAGAATTCTCAAGTGGTTGAAATTATCTTTGGTTTAAATTGTCAGTAGGGAAGGATTTGAAGAAGGTAGCAAGATGAGTCTCTCTGTTATTCACCTAGGTTAGGCCATGCTAGCAAGCACTGCTGTTCAAATGCGTTTGACTCTGTGGGAGAGTATTGAAAAGGAAGCTATTGACTGCACACTGCAGTTGTAGAAAAAGAAAAATCACCATTAGATATTCAATTTAAATTGAAAACAATATCATTCAAGAGAGAAGGGAATCCATGCAGCATTGTGGAGAAACCAGAACAGGATGTCCTTATCCTTGATTTTAAGACATTTACTAGAAGGGCCTTAACAGAAAGAGATGAATACCTGTTTTCTTCTTGCCTTTTTTAATCCCTTTGAAAAACTGTGAATCTAAGAATTCCTCTTTTGGCTGTGTGCAGACATGTGGTAACACAGGAAACCGGATTGTTACTGACTCAAGTCCAAATACTGCATTTAAAGCAATGTGTTCTCTAATGTATACTGGACGGTGGCCATGTTTCAGGAAAATGTGGATATGTACTTCCATATATTATATGTGTAACATATTTGTGATTTCTTGTGTATTATGCTCAACTCAGTTTCTGAAACACTTTCTCCATTCCACCATATTGTATGCTCATCCTTTTGATATTAAAAGATCACTGGATAAGCAAATTGTTTCCTTTCCTGCTACTTCCTCATTCTGTTTTGTACCTATAAAGTATCCTTTACATAAATCATTGTCGTGTGTGTGTGTATGTGTGTGTGTGTGTGTGTGTGTGTGTGTTAGAACTACTTCTGGTAAATTCATGTCTGTAGATTCTTATATGCTGATCTATAAATATTGCTATCAAGGTAATGCAGAGTCGGCTAACAGGAAAATCAATGGCTTTAGGGCACAGATAATGAGATCCAAGCCTAGGTCTACTAATTATTTTGTGTATGACCCTATGCACATCATAGACTCACTAAACCTAAATTAGTTTATCATCAAAATGTGGAAAATAATATATGATCTATTTCTCATGAAAAAGCACGGTGACAGATTGTAAATTGGTTTGAATTTTTGCAAGTAGTGTACAAATAAAAGTAATTAGTCATATTTTACACCCGTATTCATTTGCTTATACAGGTAATATTTTAATATATCTACTTTAAATCATAGACTTGGCAAGTTACCAGAAATACATATTTTTGAACAGTCTAGGCATGCTCTCTAGCCTCATAAAACTTTCAATCTAGTAAAGAAGATTGATATTGAGTGAGTAATTAAAATATGATCAAAGTGAATTACAGCATATGGTAATATAGTCCCAAGAATCACAACCTACCTTGATGAACAGAAAGAAGTCATTCTCCCTTTTTAATTTAAATTTTTTAAAGCAAAGGAAATGTACCTTTGTGCCTTATGCAGAGGTAGCCATAGATCTGAAGGCTCTAGTATAGGAGAGGTCATATAATCTTAAAAATACAAAGGAAGCCATAAGTGTAAAGAGCACAGAAAGCAATGAGAAGTGTGGTACCTGGCCAGGTTGTGCAATGGGGCTGGGTGTGAATCTGGAAGACAAGAGTCAGACAATGAGACCATATCGTACTTGGTAGGTCATAGGAAAAATTTTGGACTTTACTTTGAGGACAGAGAGGAGTCATTGAAGTATTTGCAGCAAGAGAGTGACATAATCATATTTGTGTTTTCAATAGGTCATCTAGCTACACTGTGGAGTGAGAACAATAGAAAGAGAAACACAGGAATAAATGCAAGAGATGATAATGGTTTGAACTAGGTCAATAGGCAGTTGCGATGAAGAAAAACAGGCTTGTTCAGGAAATGTTTAGGGTATTTAATGTTTAGGAGATGGTGATTGTTAAATGTGGAAAGTGAGAGAATTGGAGGAATCAAAATTGATGCCAAGGTTTCTGTCTTGAGAAACTAGGTCAGTGGTACTGCTGTTTGCTGAGATTGGTAACATGGGAGGAGGAGGTTTGGGTAGAACAGTAATTGCTAACACTAAGTAAATGCTTACAACTTGAAGATACAATTTTAAGTGTTTTGTATGTATTCTAGTATTTTACAGATGAGGAAACTGATAGAGGTAATATAATGTGCCCTGGGTCACATAGTCAGGCAGTTTGCTCCAGCGTCCAAGCTCCTGACAATGGTAATGTGCTACGGACCTCTCAAGAGCATTATGCCAATTATGTGCATGTGACATACAACTTCTGAGAAATGTGCATCTTTGTAAGTTGTGAGATGCCTATAAAACATAAAGTAGAAATGACGAGGGAAGTAAATCTGCATTAGACATTTAAAAAAATGTACAGTCATCCACTTACCATTTAACTTATGAAAAATGAAGTGAGAGTTGGGAAAGCTGAATGATATTGTAAAGAAAAAAAGGGTACAATTAGAAGGGTAACAGTCTAGGGGACAAATTCTAACACTGTAACTCTCAGTGTCTGGGTAGAGAAAGTGACACCTCGAAAAACTGAAAGGGAAGAACCAAAGTGGACGGATAAGTGTCAGAAGAGTTGATGTCAGGGACGCCAAAGGAAGAGTGTTTTTAAAAGGACAATATAGTTCTGTGCCCAGAACTACTTGCTAATATGTCAACTAAGGAAGGATTAAAAGGCTAAAAGGAACTAAAATCAAAACTTCCTTTAAACATTGAAATTAACCTCTTGCTTTCCTAATGTATCTATTCTTATAACAAAGACTCCACTAACATTGAAATGAATCTCTCACTTTCCTAATGCATCTATTCTTGTAATGAAGACTCCACTAAACCAAAAGGAATATATATATACACACACATATATATATATAATCTATCCTTGCAAAATATATATATTTATATATATGCAAAAGTATATATATATATATTTTGCAAGGATAGAGAAAATATAAAAGGAGACATCAGCAGATAATAAACTTCAGAAATTTTTAGAATACAAGAAAGATGTATATATATTTATATAAATGCAATGTATATCTACATTGCATATATATGTGTGTACATATATACATACATATATATATAGTACAAGTTGCAAAGCACATTATTAGCAACATTATAACAAAGTACCCACAAAGGGATATGAAAATAGATTATACACCACAGACCTTCTTAGAATCTTGGAAATATTGGGTACCAGGCAAGAAATTGAAGAGACTTAGTATTGAAAATAGGAAAACTGACTGACAGTCTCTATATACATAGTAACATGGCTATACCCCAGGCAGAAGGCCAGAATATTTTTCTCCAGAATATTTTTCCTGAATATCTTTTGGCTTGCTGCCAGATTACCCTGCACTAAAACCTATCAAGCCTGCAAAACTTCCGATTAGCTTTTGAGGGTTTCATTCTTCAGTATAGGAAGACAGTCAGGGATCACCAGATATTTGTGGACAACCTTTACCATGAAAAATGAAGATCAAAAGAAACAAGCAGAAAGTAGAACTCAAATAACACAGGGACCAAGGGGAAAAAGACAGAAAATCTGTAGTTAATATCTTCTGAGAAAATGAAAATGATATGGCACCTTGAGACACAAATAGGATACTATGAAAAAAGATGATTCAGGGAACAACATACAACTCTTGTAAGTAAAAATATGCTATTAGATAAAGGGTAAGACAAGACATGGATTTAGGAGATAAAGTTGTGAAAATCTCACAGAAAATAGACTAAAAAGACAAAAACATGGAAATTTCAACAGAAAAAAATATTTGAATTGTAGGATAAGTCCAAGAGACAGGTCCTTCATCCAGTTAATGGAAATCACAGAAAAATGATTTTTTTTAAAAAATGAAGAACTTATCAATTAAATAATAATAACAAAAATTTAACAGAATGCAGGATAAATGCTTCCAGAGTGAAAGGGCTCATCAAGTGCCTAGTATGATAGATTAAAAAAAATCAAAGCATATTGTCATGAATTTTCAAGAGTGAGGAAAAATAAAATTTTAAAACTTTCCGGTGGAGAAAAATGTGGGTGTGAAATAGGATTTTGAATAAGAATGGAACTGAGTTTCCCTGGAAACTAGAAAATATGATAAATAAAAACTTTTTTATTTATAAAGAAAAGGTATTTCTGACATGCAAGTCCTCAAAAAATACACCTTTTTTGAGGTATATTTTGAGGTATCAAAAAGGAAAATAAATCCTTTTTCAGCAAGTGAACAGACATTATGCTCCACAAATGAAGGAATAAATCTAGAAAGAAAATGACATGGGGTCAAGAAAATAGGAAATATAACACAGGAAAGAAATGAAAAATTCACAGGATGATAGTGAAGAGTAATTCTAGGATGACAGCTGGAAAAGCAACCACTCCAGACTAAATCAAAAAGATATGTTATTCCTAAAAGGTTACTCCAGAGTGGAGGTTAAGGGGAGTCATGGAGTAGCACTACAATCAAGTTGTTTAGAAATTCAGGGGGAAAAACCCCTACAAAGTTGAAAGTTATTATGTGTGGGGAGCATAAATCAGGAATAGAAGGAATTGTGGTTGAAAGTCCGTAATCTAGATACCAGAGTCATCAATGAAAGAATGGGAATGTACAAGAGATTGGTAAACGAAAGGTGTGAGGACAAGTAGAAAGATATTAATACTTTCTACTTAATACTTCCTAATTAATAGAGCATGAGACCATCAAATGAACAGGGATTTTAGAAGATGAGAGAAGATTCATAGTTTTTAAAGTGCAAGGGGGACAGCAATCCCACCTTCCAACCAGAAATTGGCTAATCAGCATGTGATGTGAGAAAATCAGCATGCTCTGCTTTTAAAGGCTATGAGGTATCTAATTACCTTAGGGGAGAACCAAGTTTTAGTTGGGTCTATGAGGATGGGAGTGAGGAGGATTCAATGAAGAGAGACTGAGCCTCAATAAAGATGTTTATCATGGTATAGACACAACTGAAGAATTCCCATGGAGCAGAGGGGAGAGAAGAAGCTGGGCCAAGGAAGTAGTTCAGCCTGTTGTGGGATGAGCAAAGAAATACAAAAGATGACTAGAAGAGTTTGTTTTAAGGAATGGGAAAGTGCCTAAGTGAATACAATTTCAAAAGTTTTGGTAGACAGTGGACACTGGCCAAATGGTTTAGGTTCAGGCCTGGATATTGTGTTTTTCCTCTTAGTTCATAATTTAAAATGTGCAATGATAGCAACACAGACATCAAGAAATAGCCATGGTGAGTGAGAGACGCTGGGCAACAAGAAGCATGAACAATTGATTTATTATTCCTCTGTGGATACAGAAGCAAATGGGTGTGTGCCGTGGATCAGCTCTATTGCATCACTGGGGGTGGGTTAATGTGACTACTAGATACTCAAATTAAAAACCTGGAAATCTTTCAAGACCCTCCCCTCTCTCCCATAGCCTCTCTTTCCACCTCTCATTTAATCTATCATCAAATTTTAGATTCTGCTTCTTAAATATCTTCCCAATCCATCACTTCTTTTCATCCTCGCTGCCACTACCATAGTCTATGCTATCACCACTTCCCTTTGCAACTGCAATAATCACAACAAACATTTACTAAGTGCCTATTATATATAATATGTTAGACACTTATGAGGGTGCATTTACTGGGTGCCTACTATGTGCTAGATGCCAGGTAACAACATGAAAGGCATCAATCCTACAATCAAGAATTTCAAGTAAGGTTATGTAAAACAATAGTTACAAAATCTTGCGATTCTGGTTCCCAGAAATGAAAAGAACAGGAGTTGGAGAGACAGAAAGTAATGGAGAAGAAAGGTCAACTTTTTAAATGTTTTTATTCAGCCTTCTACAGATTACCATGTGCAAACAATCGTCTATAAGTATTTATTCATGAACCTGTCCCTAGAATATCCTTTTATTAATTTCAGAAGTTGAACAATGAAAAAGGATCACTTTAGGCTGAACATCTAGCACCTCTTAAAGCATGTTCTACTTGATTGCCTCCAAATATTTTTTTCTTCTAACTTTTACTTATGTTCATGGGGCACATGTGCAGCATTGGTTACACGGGTAAATTGTATGTTGCAGAATTTTGATATACAGATTATTTCATCACCCAGATAATGAACGTAATACCCAACAGGTAGTTTTTTGAATCCTCACCCTCATTCCACCCTCCACCCTCAGGTAGGCCCCAGTGTCTATTGTTCCCTTCTTAGTGGCCATGTTTGCGCAGTGTTTAGCTCCCACTTATAAATGAGAACATGCAGTATTTGGTTTTCTCCTCCTGCATTAATTTGCTAGATAATGATTGTCTCCAAATTTGACTTAACATGAGCAATTTTAAAAACAAAATGCTACATTGTTTTTATAAATGTTACTAATTTCTGTGTAAGCAATAAATTTGTGTTACTAAGTAAAAATACATTAGCAAGTTAAATGCAAGTTTCAAATTCATGTTTATTAAGTTTTAATTCTGTAGTTGGCAAACTGCACTATGTACTGTAAATTTAAGGATAAGTGAAACAAGATCTCCTCAGAGAACTTGCCTGATACATGGGGAAATAGCCCACACAATTAGGAAAACAATATGATTAGTGGTGTGGGAACTCAGAGAAAGATGCTACTCATCTTTCCTAGGAAGACATTCACAGAGATAGTGACCTTTTCGTTAAAATAAGTTTTTCAAGCAATTATCAGTAGCTGACGGTGATTAGGAGGAGAGTCCTAAGTATATTCATTTATTCATTCATGCTTTCATTTGTTTATTCTACAATTGTTGTTAAATACATACTATATATCAAGTACCAAGATAAATACAAGAATGAACAAAATAATCACTGCCCTGAAAGGCCTTACTGTTTAGGAGGAAAAAATACATGAAAAACAGTAGATTGAATAAAATGTTGAAGGTGCCATGATAAAAGTCTTCGCAAAATTTCATGGCATTTGGTCAGTTTAACCTAGAGGAATAGGAGAAAGATGTGTCAGGAGTGTCACAGGAATTTCTACCATAATTACAAGTTGTTTTATCCCATATTACAAGGTTCGTAAAGATAGATCCCCATTTGGAAGTGAATAACCAATCCAATTATAATCTGTAGTTTCAACGGAATAAAAACTCCATGAAAACAGGGTCTTTGTTCAATGCATCACTGTCTCCACTAGAACAGTGCCTAAAACAGCTGTTATTCAGTAAATATCTATTCACCGATGAAATTTGTGGGCTACAAAGAGTACATCATAAACTTTGGGATTGAAACATGAATATTTTTACAGAAATGGGAGAAATGTTTTTTTCCGCAAATTCTGGAAGTTTCTGTTCTACACTGTAATTTGTGTAAAAATAGAAAACATATTATAGCTCCATGTTTCAAGTGAGGAGGTAAGCATGCTAGTAGCATTGAACTGAGACAGGATTGTATCCTAATTCGATTCTGCCATTCCAAAGCTGTGTGATGATGGGAAATCTCTCGCACTTTTTGAGCCCATTTTCGAATTTGCTAGATGGGAATAAAACCTATTTCACGTACTTCGCAGGGCTGTTTAAGGATTTAATGATACAATGCGTGTGTGTGTCCTACTTTAAAGTATTCTAGACTGTATACCAAAATTAAATTTCTAAGCTTTAAATATTACAAGAATGCCTTCCAAGGGCACTGGATAAGCTGTTTTGTTTTGTTTTGTTTCTGCGTTTCTCTAGTGCAGTGCCTGGAGATGACCACCAAACGGAAAATCATCGGCCGTCTGGTGCCATGCCGATGTTTCCGAGGTGAAGAAGAAATCATCTCAGTTTTAGATTACTCCCACTGCAGTCTTCAGCAGGTGCCAAAGGAGGTCTTTAACTTCGAACGAACATTAGAGGAGCTTTATCTAGATGCCAATCAAATTGAAGAACTACCCAAGGTAACTTTTGACAACCTAAAATATACAATGTAAATGAGTATTTCATAATTTTCAAATACTTTATTATAATGGTAATGTGAACTATGGGCTCCTATCTAGGTAACTGACAAGTCATTGAAATTGATATAACTTCCCCCAATATTCTCATTACCTTTTAATGTTACTCCATTTATGATTTCACGGGCCTCTGTTAATAACAAATTGAGCTCTATGGAAACCACCATTTGATGGATTATGCCTCGTTATCTTCATTTAAAATGACCTCTATAAAAATATAGAGTAGAGGGTTGAGATCAATAGTTTATGTTTAGAAAGAAAGGAAAAATATGACACTACTCCAGAACTGAAAATTTCTATGTTGTATATTAAGGTGACATTATATTACAACCTTGAATTGTATGCTGTAAGTCTAAGAAATGCTTTTACACACATTAATGCTATTATGAAAAACATGTTTTTGTACCTGTATGTAAAATATTTGATTATTACAAGTAGCACTGGATGTATGTGGCATAAAACTAGTAAAAAGTTTACTAGGAATTTGAAACTATCAAACTTTGTGCACATACACACACACACACACACACACGTGCACACCTGCACACACACACACTGCCATTATGGCATTGTGCCATGCAAAGAAAACCAGGTCTCCTGTGACCTTAGTCCTTATTGCAGAAAAGACTGGATGATAAGAGATTAGCTAAAGCAGACCAAGACCACACAGCAGAGAAGTTCAAAATCTAAATCAAGGGATCCTAACAGTCACCTAAGTAAGTAACCCAGATTAAGTAGTTAGCATGGTATTTACCTGTGAAGGATTTATACGGCTGAGAAGGGAAAAAAACGTCATGCACTCAATTTCTGTTGCTTATGCTAAAAAGTAAAAATGTATATTAAATATGCAGTAATCAGAAAAAGAATCTTCCACAATAAAAACTTGAAATTAATTATCAGAATCTGATATTTCAATATGCTGATCAAAATAAATTATGAATAATTATTTTTATTTAAAGTTATAAATTATCATTTGCCGGCCTTTTGGCTAAGATCAAATGTAGAATTATAAATTGTGCTGTTTACATAACACTTCAAAGTTAAGAACTTTTTAACATGTACTTCAAAAACAATATACTTCATTTTTGACAATCTGTGTATTGTGTCATCTGGGATATTTCCTTAGATGACACTATACACAGGTATAGTGTATTTTTTAGAGGTAGGTCAGGCCTATAAAAAATATTATTGACTACATGGATTCACACTAGGATTGCACATCAACTAAAGCCTGGAGTGAAATAGACTGTCTGTTGTACCAGATGAGGAACTACTTAAGGGCAAAGATGGCACCGTATTCATCTCTGTTTCCTGGTACATGGGCAGGCATGATGAATTTCACATAATAGATACTGAGTCTCTGTTGTCCCTGACTGAGAGAACAATGCAGAGAACTTCATATGCCACAGGACTTGATTAGCAAAAGTATATAAGTTTGCATAAGTCATAAATGTGGTAACCCATTCTAATTTAGGAAAATAGGCATGGGGGGTGGCGGGTTTCTAGGTCAGGCCAATCTAGGATTGCCAGAAAGAAATAGAGGACACCCAGTTATATTTTACTTTTAAATTCAGAAACAGACAACATTTTTGTAAAATTATGTCCCAAATTTTGTATGGGATACATTTACACTAAAAAAATTTTTTTTATTTACATGATGTTCAAATTTAACTTATCATCCTGTATTTTTATTTGCTAAATCTAGCAACCCTAGGCCAATCTGGTCATTTTAAATCTTTTTCCATTTCTATGCAACAAATTTTGTAAGATAGGTAGTAAAAACATGGTTAATTTATCAAGCAAGTATTTATTTAATATCCATTCTACTACACAGTACTTGAAGCTTTAGGGAGGTTACAAGAGAAATAAATCTCGATCTCTGCCCTTCCGGATCTGACAACCTAATTACAGAGAAAAACTGAAGCATTAGAGGCAAGTGCTCGGTGATGTATAATCGGAGCCAAAGAGCCAAGTACCATTGTAGAGCGTATGTATAGAGAAGAGCTCCATTTTTGGAGAAGTAAGGGAAGAACTTGACCAAAAAGCACAGATGGAAAATTTAAGATGCATCAAGAGTTGAAGGGAGCAGAGTTGTGAAGAGTCTGGAACTGCAGGTGCATGGATGTGGATGGGGGCAATATGTAGGGAGACTGGGGGAGGACTCAGGTTATGAAAGTTCTTGAAAGTCACATAGTATTGTTTGGCTTAATGCATTGATAAGATAATTCCATTGAAAAGTCTTATACATCAAGGAACTCACTAGGATCCTAAGTAGGCTTGGAAGAGAAATTTTAAGATATTTTGTCTGTTTGGTTAGTTAAAATAATTGACTAACAATAATTAAAAATAATATAAGTACACCAAAGACTTAATATATTTTACCAGTGCATTATAGTTAAGGAGAATTTATTATCCTTTATCATTGACCTGCCTTATATATTTCAAAGAAATTTTACATAATCTTTAAAGGTTTCTGTGAGTTTCAAGGTTGAATTTTTTTTACTTTCATAAAACAGCCATGTAAGCTAGTTTCCCTTAAAGTATCTGATATATTGAAATATGATCTAATGATCTGATATTGAGGTATGATCCAAACAGTACATAGATGTATTTGTGCATTATAGGAAAAAAATAGGAAATACAAAAATGAAAGGAATAATGCATCAGAGTTCATTATATGTGTTTCAAGTAACAGAAAACCCAATACAAACTGACTTTACAAAGAAATAGGTTTGATTGGCTCTCGTAAGTGGTAGGTCCATCTCAGGACAGTAATCAGAATTGATGGGTTTCTATTCACCTTGGCAGGAACAAATTTATTCCGAAGCTGACTTTTCTCATGGTAGCAGGATGGCTGCAGTAGTTCTAGAGTTCACCTCCACAGCATCCAAAAACAGAAACATCTGACTCCTTAAAACTCTTTCTGAGAAGGACAAAATATGTCTCCCCTAAAATTCTTCAACTAATTTGTCTGCAGATCTCATTGGCGTTAATTGTGTCACATGTTTACTGCTGATGTAATTCCTTTGCTATCTGAGTACAGAATTAGCTACTATAAGAAAAGTGGGATTACTGTAATTGGGCTAAATAATAACGGGTCACCTCTGTAGAGTTGTGGCTGCTGGTAGCAGTACAAGGGGAAGGGGTGGAAAGGGTAAAATGGCTGTTGCAGAGATAACCATAATGTGCACTATAAAGAAACTGCTATAAAATAATTATTTCAGGAGGAAAAATGCCTCAAAATCAAAAACTATGTATAAAGTTTTTAATGGCCTATAGGCAGAGCATTGAGCTCTTTAAGGATTTAAATCTTTAAAGTTAGATTAAATAAAAATTATTTTTGTCTGCCATTTTATTTTATGGTTTTCTTTGAGTTGTTATTCAGATTTGTTGAGTAATAAGATAGCCATTTTTATTCTTGATATTACATCAAGTAAGAATTATCTTTTACATATGTATCTATTCTTTGCTTTCTGATATTGTACACAGAGAATATTATAATTGGTCATGAATCTCTACTATAAGATGTTATGTAATACAATGGGTAGAGAACAAAAAGTCAAGGTAAAAGGCATTAGGGAAGATATATCAAGAGTGTGTCAGAAAAGATACAATAATAGATATGAAAGAACAGGAAGTATTTTGATTAGGAATAGTTCAATCTGTGTGTCTTGATTTTCTGTAGTGAAAGGTAAAAATACAAAATGACATGCCTTTCACACAGTGATAGAAATCCACGCAGCTTATAATTTAGTACTGTTTTGCTTGTTATTTTGAATTAGGAACTTAAAATTATAGACAGAGTAATAGACCATAACAGGTGCATATTATATATGAAGTAGTGTGGGATGGCAAATTTGAAAAAAAGCAATAAAGAGAAAAACTGCCAAAAAAACTTCTTGAAACTGAAGAACTTTAAAAAAGAGATTATAATTAATTTTGGAAAAGCCAACATATGACTAAAATTGAAAGACCTGGAGAGTGAATTTGGTAGATGAAATCAATTTAGCTACATGTAAAAGAGATGAGACTAAATTTTAAGCACCATACTTTCAACATTTTCTCGGCTTAAAAGTTTACAACCCACTCCAAAAATATTTTAGAGATCAAGAACCAAAGCTTTTGACCCAGGCAAATCTGGAATTATATCCTAGCATTGGTATTTGGTTAGAAAAGTATTCTTCCTGGAAACCTGTTTCTTCATTAGTAAAACTCGGGAAGTAACAACACTGTCTCCTGTGGGTGGGTAGGTGGATAGATAGGTAGGTAGATAGATAGACAGATAGATAGATAGATAGATAGATAGATAGATAGATAGATAGATAGATAGACAGACAGACAGATAGATAACTGGGCAAGATGATGTCAGTGGAATACCTGGAATAGAAAAATATTCAGTAACTGGTATTTATTATTCTATTACAGCTGAAATAAGATTTCCATGTTAATTTACCCTGAATCAAAGAAAAGTAAGATTATGTAACATCTCAGGATAGTTCTAGTGTTGACTATTCGACAAAAAATATTGTGGCATGACATTCTCTTTATCTGAAATCTTCAAAGACGTCTTCTAGGAAAACATTCCCTGGTCCATAAAATGTGATAGGGTTCTGACCCTACACACTTACATCAACACATTTGTGATAATACCACTACTTCCCCAGAGAATTTTCTTGACTCACACAATAACAATATTACATTATTTTTATTAGAAGCAACCCTGGAGATTATTTAATTTAGTCCCCAATTTTTACTGATACGTAAGTCCAAAGGGAAAAGTTAATTGACTTTCCTTAGGCCACATGGCATGTTAGAGTCCTATCCAAAATTATTACCAAAGACTATGTATTAGGAAAGGAGAGGTTATGCTGCAGTAAAAACAAATCAGAATCTCAGTGGATAACTGAACAGAAATTTTGCTTTTTGTCCATTAGTGCTGGCAGGGACCACTGCTCTTCACGAGCCCATCCTAACAAGTAGTTCAACTTTCCACCCAATGCAGAATCATATGCTTATTATTTCTCTTGCAATGGTCACCCAAGCTCTTTGTGAATATTTTTAGCAATGGAAAAAAATCACTAATTTAAAGGATAGACCATTATATTACTGGAAAGTTCTAATTTTTAGAAAACTCTGTAATACGTTAATGATGTTTGCCTATTTCCATCCATCTATCTATCCATTCAACACTTGGCTAGG
This sequence comes from Homo sapiens, assembly GCF_000001405.40. Taxonomy (NCBI): domain Eukaryota; kingdom Metazoa; phylum Chordata; class Mammalia; order Primates; family Hominidae; genus Homo; species Homo sapiens. The sequence goes on from NC_000001.11 coordinate 69,765,650, forward strand.
AGCTCAGGGTGATACAAATTATTAAGGTATGCCTTCACTGAACAAGAAACTATGCATTCATCGTCACTGTCTTAATCCTTCAAATATTTTTAAAAACTCAGGTACTTGCTTAAGGGTTCTCCTTTCTAAGACAAGTTTCCAACTTCTCTTGACTATTTTTCAGACATTCTATCTAGACTCCTAACCATCATAGTTACTTTCTTCTGCACAGATTGCAGTTGTTAGCTTGGTTTTAGATATTGCATTATCAAATAAAAATATTTATCCAAGTGAAAGTACTCCAAAAAGCAATAAACAAAATGTAATCAAACTCAGGAGAGGAGTCATAGTTGGAGACAGATATTTAACAGTCATCCTTTCAAGAAGTGAGTTAAAATCAACAGACCAAAAAAAAAAAAATGTCCTTAGAAAGGAAAAAGACAATTGCAGAGAAAAAAATATTAAACTTAGAAAGTGAAATGATAGTATAAACTCACTGCTGGAACTTGCCCAGAAGTTATTTGTGTTTCCCCCAGCAGTCATGACAACTTCGCATACAGAGGCAAAATTGGGAAATTTTATTACGCTCATGAAGCCAAAAAATCTCTCCATGGATGAGAGGAATGCAACATCCCAACTGATTTTGATCTGGGTTTCTATAACTTATAAAACCTATTTGCTCTAATGAACAGAAGACAAAGAGAGCAATTTACTGTGTAACACTTTCAAAGCTAATTCTAGATATTTTCAATCCTCTAAGACATTTGAAATTTAAGGTCTTGCTCATTTCACTTATAGAGATCACACATTAACTGTTTTGTGTCTGAAGGGTGAAGTTCTTGCTTCCTATCAGAGTGCCATAAAACACTCAGAGTGGATACAACATTAGTGAGATGTAGAAAAGTTATACAGATATTTTAAAGTAATTAGCAGGAAAACCAAGCTATGTATTCTTAATACTTACTCATTTCCTGGAGGCACGTTGATGGTGTCTTCATTTGATGCTGCTTTTACCTCAGCATGACGCAGATCAGTTGATCCCAGGCTTCTGGATTGAAAAATCCAGCAAACTGTGTGAACTAACATTCTCTTTCTTTTGCTAAGTAAACATTTTTAAAACACTCATATATGATTTTTATTATTTAATTGTAAATGCTTTCACACCCAAATGTAGAAAACAATCATAAGCACAAAACAAATGGCAGGCTTCTACAAGAAAAAATAGGTAGTAAACTTACACTGTCTTTTTTTCTTAAAAGTTTTGTCGAGATGCAATTTACATTCCATCAAATTCAGTTTTACAAATTCAGTTGTTATTTTCACAGAATTGCACAGCCGTCATCACTGTCTAATTCTAGAACATTTTCATCACCCTTTGAGAAACCGCCCATATCTATTAGCAGTCACTCCATGTTCCCTGTTTCTCCTCGCCCCTGGCAACTTATTTCTCCATCAATTTGCCGATTTCAGAAATTTCATATAAACAGAATTACATAGCATGGGTCCTTTTGTGACTGTCTTTTCACTGAGCATCATGTTTTCAGGGTTCATCCATGCCATAGCATGTGTCGGTACTTCATTCCTTTTTATTGACAAATAATGTTCCTTTGTATGATTATACCGTATGTCATTTTTTTAAAAAATAGAATATAACACTTTTATAAATGCAGAAAATTTGTTATAAAATGTTATTTTTATATTACACATATGTGTAACTATTTTCTTAATACAAATCCATCAGTTTGGAGCTTTATAGTCTTTCGTATACATAAAGTTGAACTCCAATACCCAAATTCCTCCAGTATTTAGGGTTTTGTTTTTTATTTTTATTTATTTATTTTTTAAAAGACAAGAGTCTCACTCTGTCGCACAGTCTGGCATGCAGTGGCACAGTCATAGCTTACTGCACTCTCAAACTCCTGGGCTCAAGTGATCCTCCCTCATCAGCCTCCTGAGTATCTGGAACTACAGGTGTGTGCCACGATGCCCAGATAATTTTTTATAGAGAAGTGGTACTATGTTCTTCGTTATGTATATTGTACAAGCTGTTCTCAAACTCCTAGCCTCAAGTGATCCTACTGCGTTGGCCTCCCAAAGTGCTGGATTTACAGACATGAGCCACCGTGCCTAGCCAATCCAGTATTTTGTTTTAATTAGGCACTGGTTGAAATTCAATTTCATAAAAGTATGCAGTGAAAATGAAGGTAAATTTTTAACAATATTACACTCAATATAGAATATTGTCAGTAAGCTGAGAGGTGCCAGAAAAAAACAGCCTCCATATATCTACAGTTGCTTGCCCTAGGTGAGGGAAAAAAAAACAGACATTAAGAAGCCACATCCAGGTGAGGGCTGCAGGAAGACAGCTGTATGGTGCTCACTACTCCACGCCGGCCACTCATGCTGGGCTTTGTAGCTGAAACACCGATCATTCAATATAAAGCAGTCAGGGATTTATCACAAAGGTGTTTTAGGCTGGTGAAAATTTTGTCATGGGCTGGCTTCAGTCACTGGCCCATGAAATAGCAGAAATCCTCCCCAACTCTTTAGAAAATAAATGAACAACAAAAATGCATCTGAGTCATGCCAGCTAGAGCTCCATGTTCATGACTGGTAAATGGGCTCTGACAACTGTGCTGGAGCAGTTTGGCCACATGAATGCCAAACAGGCTTTCTCCTCGGAGACTTTACCCTTGGTTTTTCCACTGCCAGGCTTGCTCTGCCCCTGGCTTGCTCCTTTGTTTCCTTCAGATCTCTGCTCAAACATCACTGGAGAAGCTTTTCCCCATTATCTCATACAAAATAACAACACCCACTATCACCACCACTTATTCAGCCTGGACAAAATTTTAAGCCTCATTGTGTCTCTAAGAGATATCTCATACAACTTGATTGTGTTAACCAGTATTAAGATACTGCCTAACTACTTTATCATTGCCATAAAACATCACTGTAAATATCTCCCTCTGATATGCTGTCTATTATTTTACAAGGAATGAGAGCTTTGACAGTGGCCATAGGTAAGGAAGGAAGGGGAAAGTTAGAGCATATCTGCATATGCATAAAACACAGAAAATATAACTCTCTCGTAGCAGTTTTTACATTTTTGATGCTGATCCTGGGAGTTGGGATGACATGGGATAGTTTATGTGATTCCTCTATAAGCCAGGACCTAATACAACACACTGTTTGCATTTTTCCTTCCTCCCAAACTCTTAGTACTTTTATCCATATAAATTAGAGTTGTCACATAATGTTTGCTCAAATAAAGGAATGTGCTGTTTGAGTCTAAGAGCAGTCAAGATGTCATGGAATGTGCTTTTATGTTTGGGGATGTGGGGTGGAATAGGTTTTCTAAAATTCTTTCCAAACAATATTTTGTGATTCACTAGTATAAGCTTCTTTTTAAATAGACAAAAATAACCAACAATAGAAGGAAGCATTCTGACAAACAGCATAGTAACTATAGTTACCAGTTATTATCACAGATGTACTACAGTACAATGTAAAGAATTCTGGTGAAAGAGGACCTAGGTTTTAACACAAGTTCTGCCACTAATTAGTCATGTGACTTCAGACATATTGTTTAACTCCTTTGAGCCTTAGCATCTTCATTTGCAGTAGTTGCTCATCTAGATTTGTTCTTGCCCATCTCCTACAATTGTGGTGATGATCAAATAATATAAAGTATGTGAAAGTAATTTAAAAAGAGCAAAGTAATCTACAGGTTGAGCATCCCTAATCTGAAAATCTGAAATCTGAAATGCTCCAAAATCTGAAACTTTTTGAGCACAGACATAATATTACAATTAGAAAATTTCACACCTGATCTCATATGACAGGTCATAGTCAAAACTTAGTTCCATGCACAAAAATTATTTTAAAATATTGTATAAAATTACCTTCAGGTTATGTGTATAAAGTGTATATGAAGCATAAATGAATTTTGTGTTTAGACTCTGGTCCCATCCTCAAGATATCTCATTATGTATATGCAAGTATTCCAAAATCTGAAAAGAAAATTGAAATCCAAAACACTCTGGTTCCAAGTATAAGGGATATTTAACATGTATAACTGTTGAGTTAAGAGAAATGGCTTATTTTAATAAGAAACAAGAGTTGTTTAGTGAAGTTGTTTTGCATATTTAAAATAAAGACAAATATAACACTAAAATAACAGAAAGTTCTTTTAGTTGCTTAATCAATGGCTATAGATTACTATTTAATATGGATTTACAGTTGTGTCAGTTAGTTTTTTTTTATTGTAGGCCAGAAAAACCAACTGGCCATTTTAGGTAAAGATGAACACTTACTAGAAAGATATCCAGGCTCATAGAACTAATAGGGGCCTAAAGAACTTTACATGGAAAAAGGACAGGAACCAAGAGAGTTCTAGACTGCTGCTCAGAATTCACAGAACAGTGATGGTCTGGGCCACACAATGCTGATTTTCTGAGGATGGCAATTTACAAAGACCTCCATGTAACCGTGACAGTTGTTCAAGATTCAAATTCCTGCTGCCTCCACAATGTACAATGAGGGATGTCATTAAAAGGAAGATCAAGGTTCTAATGCAACAAGGGGAAATGGATATCTGACAAGCAAAATAAACAAAAATAAAGCATCCTCTAATATTCTACATATTATATGCTTTCAATCGATGCTTCGTTTCATTCACTGATATTTGTAACTTAAGATGTATTAGTTCAAGGCCATGTTTTTCTTAAAACTTTAAGTAAAATTATTTGAAAACAAGGACACTTATTTATTTTGTGTGAGGTCTAATGAGATCAAAGGAGCCATGGAAGAAAGATTTTAGGGTGACAAATTTTGAAATGCTATTTCATGGTTGTGATTGTAGTTTCTCAAAACTTGAATGATCATTGATTATTTTTTTTCCTCCTACTTAAAAAGGAATCTTTTGAAATGAAAAAACTACTTGTATCACTATAATTGCTGCTTAAACAGTTGTCATGATTGAGAATATGAAATGTGTTGCTCGAGATTTAACACAGCCTAAACTTGCAAATGTAGAACAAAAAAATTGCCACTTGTTTAATAAAGTTGCCCCATTTTAAAATTTCATGTTAACACTAATTCCCTTAAGGGTTTGTCTTTCATAAACAAGGAATGTTCTGTAGCCTTGGCATAAGTAGCCCCACATATATCTATGGAGGGCTCTCCTTAGATCCTGGGTTTGAATAAAGGTCTAAAAAATGACCTTTTAAAATGTCTCACTTTCTCACCAATGATTTTGTGCATGATTCTATCCTCCAGTAGAAAACTTAGATTCACCTGACGTAAGTCATGTATCCACTCTTCGATTAATGTTTCCAGAAATACAAGAACCTATAACTAACAAGGCTGCATGATTTTGTCCCCCAGCGCCAAATGTATACAATTTTTCTGAATATATAAAACTACATCCAGGACAAAACTATCTCATATATATGCATATGTGATACATAAATGATCAAAATTTGACTCTGTTTAATCTCTTTCCTAAAGCATCTTTTTTTCCATATATGTTCTTTAATTGCAATTATTTTGGCATTTAAATGAATGCCATTATTTCTTTCAATAAATAAATAATGTAGATTAACTCTCTAAAGCCCCAAGGAAGAGTGAGATGAAGGACATGAAGATTAGCAAAAACATAGTTTGCATGTGGAAAATAGTAAATAATTTTTGCTTACTCAGATTTTAGTTTTTGCTTAAAATGTTTTATTATTTAAAAATTTATAGTACCAGCAACTCTTAATTATGTGAGTCAATGAGAAACTGACATCTGTAGTATCCCAGTCATTTTTTGAGCAGTTTTATAATCTTCTACAAGTTTATAATGAGTAAGATGACTTACTCATGCCATCATTTATTTCTAACATTTACCCAAATATCAAATATCATTAAAATCTGATTCAACAACAAATTTGCTGATTTTTCCTGCCAATTTTTGAGAAATGATACAAAAAACTCAAGATTTTAGGTAAAATATATCAATTGATTTGTTTGTTCATTCAGCAAGCATTTCTTGATTACCAATTATGTGCAAGCATTGTTCTAGGTGCCAGAGATATATTATTGAGGAAGATCAACAAATTTCTATTCTCACAAAATCTACCTTGCTCCAAAAGGAGCATGTAAATCAACAAACAATTTAAAATAAAAGTGTTAGGTGATGGCAAACGCCATTATGAAAATAAAGCAGGGGTCCAGGCACGGTGGCTCACACCTGCAATCCCAGCACTTTGGGATGCCGAGGATGGCAGATCACCTGAAGTCAAGAGATCAAGACCAGCCTGGCCAACATGATGAAACCCCATCTCTCCTAAAAATACAAAAAATTAGCCAGGCATGATGGCGGTGCCTGCAATGCCAGCTACTCAGGAGGCTGAGGCAGGAGAATCGCTTGAACCCAGGAGGTGGAGGCTGCAGTGAGCTGAAATCGCGCCACTGCATTCCAGCCTGGGCAACAAGAGTGAAACTCCGCCTCTAAATAAATAAATAAGAAAAAAGAAAGAAAAAGAAAATAAAATAAAGGAGGGGAATTGCTGAGAGGGTACTTGAGGTGGAAAGTGCAGTAAATGCCTAAAAAATGATCTTTTGTGTTGAGTTCTGAATGACAGCGAGGGGTCAACCATGCAAGATCATGCAAGATCAGAGAAAGAACCTTCTAGGCAAAGGGGACACTCTAAGGAGTGTGGCATATTTACAGGACAGGAAGAAGGAGGGTGTGTAAAGAATGAAGGGAAGAGTGGTACAAGGCACCACAGAAGAGGCAGGTGGGAGAGGTTGCAGGAGAAAGACTGGGGCTAAATCACACAAGTTCAAATAAGCTAAGAATGGTCTTAAGATTTTATTCTAAGTGACATGAAGGGACACTGAAGAATTCTAAGAGAAACAATGACATGAAATTACTTTTATTTTAAAAATACCACTCTGGCTGCAGTGGAAATACATTGTAGCAAGTCAAGAGCAGAGACAGAGATTAGAGGCTATTGCAGTTGTTCAGGTGAGAGGTTGGTGGCTTCAACTAGACTGACAATAGTGAAGAAAAGAATTTCAGACTATGTTTTGTAGGCAAAGTTAACAAAATTTGATAATGAAATGGATTTGGGAGATAGGAGATTAGGATCAGAAAGGAAATTTAGAAAGAGTTGCTATTGATAGAGGAGGAAAACAAGGAAAGAAGGGTTTTTGAAGATACAGGAAGAAAATTTATGTTGTCATGAAAGCCAAGAAAAGAACAGAAAGTGTTTGAAAAAGAGGGAGTATAAACTGAGAGATTGGCTAAGAGGATAGAGGAGAGACCATTGTATTTGCTAGTACGGAAGTCGTTGGTTACCTTAATAAGAGTAGTACAGTGAAAACCTGATTGAAGTCTATTAAAGAGACAATGGTGAATATAAACATCTCTACTTAAAATGTTTTGTTGTTAGGGAAAGCAGAAACATGGGACCAGCTAGAAAAGTGTATGAGGTCAAAATACATTTTATTTTAAGATCAGTGACCTGAAGGCACATTTGTTCATGACTAGAATTAAATAAGAAGAAAGGGGGAGAAACTAGATGCAGGAAATTGATGGAATAATTATAGGACCAAAGTCCTGAAGGCAAAAGGACAGGAGATCCTCAGAATGCATGAAGGGGAGGAATAGATGTACTTCATTCATTGTAATGAAATGAAATGAAAGAGAAAGAAGAAAATATGGGTGCAGATGATGATGGTTGGGAGGACTTGAGGGACATGATAGACACTGAAGTTTGTTCAAACCATAGAGGTTCCAGTGTGTGAAAGAAATGCTGTGAGCTGAAAGGACGGGAAGTGACAAACTGAGAGGGTGAGAGAGTGGGGTACATGAAATTTGGGATTAAAGAGGAATATCACTTATAAAAGGAATTAAGGGCCTTAAATGTATAAATTAACTGTATTTTATAAAGTTTCTTTTAAAGTGGTGGGTAGTTGAGAAACAGATATCAAAGGCAAGTTCTCCTAAAGTCTCCTTTATTGGCTTATATGCCTGGACCAGAAGAAACCGAAAAGACAGATGAACAGCTAAGAAGGCAGGAAATGCAACAAAAGTTTACTGATCATCTGCTCTGTGCTAATCACTTCATATGCAATAGCTTTTCTGTCCTCAAAACAACCCTGCCCAATAGGTTTTGTTATCTTCACTAAATTTAAGGACCTTAAAGCACAACGAGGTTAAAGAATGTACTAAAGGGTATACAACTAGAAAATAGAGCTGGGCATGGTGGATTGCACTTGTTATCCCTGCTACTGGGGAGGCTGAGGCAGGAGGATTGCTTGAGCCCAAGAGTTCAAGACTGCAGCAAGCTATGATCACACCTCTACAGCCTGAGAGACAGAGTGATAACTGATTTTACTGGATTGGCCATCTTGATACTGGGGAAAGGAGCAAAATGGGTCACAGGTGACCCCTAGGTTTCTGCTACAGGATATCTGTGGAAGCAAAAAGAAGGGAGGCATAGAATCCAGGGACCAGGGCCCAGTTCAGAAGAGCAATAAAGGAATATCTTACAAAGCCAGGTGGGCATCACCTTGAGAGAGCAATCTTCCCATGCTGCAGCCGGCTATACAGGGCACAGGAGTGAATTGGTCTAGAATAAAATGTAGACCTACCAATTTATCCGATGTGCTTTACATTTAGAAATATAATTGCTTGACATTTGACAGAGCTTTTTGAGCATTTGGAGAAAATTAAGGATAAATGTTTAGAAAAACAAGCTAAAAAATGAAGCAACTTCAGGAACAAAAAAAAACTTTTATGAGTAGCATATACATAGGATGAACAAATCTAGAAATCTAATGTACAGCATGAGGACTATAGGTAATAAAACTGTACTGTATATGAAATTGATGCTTAATGAGTAGATTTTAGCTACTCTTGCCACAGAAACAAAGAAAAGTGAGGTGATTTATATGTTAATTTGCTTCACTACAGTAGCCTTTTTGCTATCTATGTGTATTCTGTAACATCATGTTACATACTTTAAATATACATATTACATTTATGTTTAAAAAAACTTTTATGAGTAAAGCAAACACAGGGAACAAATCCACATTATTAATGTCAGCATTTACTACTGATTTAACCGAAGATTTGGATGTAAGTATGCTGGGAAGATTAGGAAAAAAACTGATGGTGGCTTTGGTGGTGAGAGATGATATGATTTTTCAAGTGCCATAATATGAAATAAATACACGATCTCTACAATTGATAGAAAAAGACAAAGAAATACACGCACATCTTTAGAAATGTAGAAGAAAATACAAGAAGTAATAGCTAAAAGAGTTGAAAGAAACTATCTCTGGAAGAGAGATTGCGGGATGTGAAGAAGAGGAAAAAGAACTGAGATATTTTTATTTAAAAAAGTTTAAAGAGAAAAATAGAATTGAGCTAGAAGAGAAAAACACAGGGATTAGTTCTTTGGTAGAGCTGATCAAATTTGACAATATAATAGCACTTCCTTTTGAAAATGATTTATCAATGCGTCTTATAAAAGCCACACTAATAAAAATATATGTCCAGGGCGCAAGTATATTATAAAACATGATTTGAGCAAATAAGGTAAAAAGTAAAAATGTAATTTCATTAAGGTGTTTCAATTTCTGCTATCTGTTCTTTTCACTACTTCTTTTAATAGTTGTTACTTGGTTATTGAATGTTTTAATATTATTCATTTCCAGCTTATTAGTATATGACTTGACAGTTTGTTATACTCTAGAGAATTAATCCCCTGTCAACTCCGAAAGGCTGATTTCATTCTAGAAGTGAGTCCAAATTGCCACATTAGTGGAATGCCCTCTCTGATTTAGAACCACTTTGAGATCCAATTCTTGACCAGGCACTCTTAGAAAGTCAGGCCACTCTTAACTTGTTACAGAAATGTAGGATTACTTCATAGAGATTATGAAGCTGACCTTGCATAGAACTGACTTCTAGTCACATGTAAAATTCATATATAGACATTTGCTTTCAAAAATTAGGAGAGCTATATAAGGCCAGGAGTCAGGATCTACTATAGCAAATATGTACTGCGTCTTTCTATAATGACAATTAATTAAATGATTTCTAAGAGAGAACCATAAATATGTTACAGAATCAAATGCGAAATTCATCTGAATTGTGAAGATTAAAAATCATATTTACTGTATTCTGTTGTTAGAGATACTGTGGCAGAAAAGTTTAAGAGACCCTGGACTAGACTTCAGAGAAAATGAGCAGTTCCCCAGATTATGAGAAATGATGGGAAAGAAAAGAAGCAAAGGATATGAATAATGTAAGCTCACCCTTATTGCCTCCTAGCCAGCATTATTTAATTTCAAAGGTCAGCTCCAAAATCCCAATAGAGCCTCTAATTACAGAGACAAAGAGCAGCCCAAAGTGAAAAGTCTGGGGTAGGGAAAACCACTAAAGTCTTAGAGTTGGGCAGACTTAAGTTTGAATCCCAGCTTGGGGAAGGTTCTCAGCCTCAGTTTCTCTCCTATGTAAACTGGAGAATATAGCATCTACCTTGAAAGATTGTCTTACTCCTATCTTATTTTTATCATCTACTGACCCTGTGGTAATTCTTCTTCACGTTATATATTATATAACATAATATATGTGAAATGTGAGTATGGTGTCTGCAAAACATAACCTTTCAACAAATGACGGTAATTGCTATGAGCTACAATACAGTAAAGAATACAAAAAAGCTGGCCTCTCCCTATAAAATGAGAAATGATAGTTGCACTTTCCAGAAAGGAAGTTATCTTCTATTCCAAATTAACAGTGATATAAAATGAAATAAATCTTTTGCAGATGTTTTTTCTTCCAAAATGTATGTGGAAATTAATTTTAATAAAATCCTAGAGATATGTATCCCTTCTATGCATAGAGGCAATTTGTTGTTTCTATAACGAACCTGAAACAGCACTAAGAGAGTTAAGACCAGTCAGAGATTAGAGGAAACAACAATATTCTACCTCTTTCTTTAGAACCATTTTACTGCTTCTTGGTTTCCTGGTAATAATGCAACCTCACTAACTTGCTATTGATTTTTCATTTTGGGGTGTGTGTGGGTGTGTGTGTGGGTGGGTGTGTCTGTGTGTGATATTTACTGCTTCTTGCTTTCCTGGTAACAATGCAACCTCACTACCTTGCTATTGATTTTTCATTTTGGTGTGGATCTGTGTGGGTGTGTGGGTCTGTGTGGGTGTGTGGGTTTGATATTTATTGCTCAGACAGTTAAGTTTCTGTTTCTTTAAATTTTAAGTGGATGAATTAAAGGTTTTTTTCCTATTTTTTGAGATTCTTTATGGTGAATTTCCCATGGCCCTCAATGGAGTCTTCCCTGTGTGTGAGTGACCTTAAATAGGATTGAATTTTAGCTTTCTACCAAGAGCCCTAAATAATTAAGAGCTGACTGATAAAAGCTTGTAGTATATGTTTATTCATTAATATTAATGATATTTCCTTCTGTCATCACCAATGGAACACTGCCAGCAGCCTACCTACAGAGGAACCCTAACACTTGGGAGGAATGGGGCAGATCCCGGGCCCACAGAGGCAGGGTATGCGGGATGCCAACAGCAGGAGGAACTCTTTTTAGAAGAATGAAATCAGGGATGTCAGAGTGGAGTGTTCTCAGAAGGGAGGGATGACATTGTTAAATGGAATAGGGAGGCCAAGAAAGGCAAGAACTGTATAATCCATTCGACCAGGCAATAAAGTGTCATTTGTATCTTTTACAATGCCTACTTCAGGGGAGCAAAGGGGAAAGCTCCTTGATCTTGCTTTTCTCTCTGGGTTATCACCTTCATCTATTCTCATATTCTCAGTGCCACAGTGAAGACTCACAAAGCTACGATGCCAGCTCAGCCCAGTCTCTCAGTCTTCAAACTTGTACATGCTTGCTGGACTTACTTGAATATTCACACTCAGCAAGTGTAATTTCCCCCTTGAAACCTATCTCCTGTCCTGTATTACCTGTTTCAGTTGGTGACTATTCAGTTTGGATACCAAGACAGTCATCATTTACTCTTTCTATTTGTTCAGCTTCCACATCAAATCAACAGCCAAGATTTTGTTACCTAAATATGCCTTAAATCTATCTCACCTCTCCATCCTATGACTGAAGCCTGTGTCAGACCTTCATCTCACAGCTGACTAATGGAATAGTCTCCTTGCTGTTACCTTAAACCAGCCTTTTCCCCCATTCTATTCCTCACACAGCCAACAGTGACCCATTCCAAATATAAATATGACCAGACTGTAACCTAAGTTAAGGAAGTTACCTGTCTCTTCTCTAACTTCAGGGGAAAAAACCATGCAGCTTAGCATGGAATGCTGACATGAGGCCTCTATAGTCTGGCTACAGCCTATTTCTGCAATCTCTTCCTTCTTCTGCTCTCTTAGGAAGTGTTCCTGAAACACAAAGCTTTTCTTGCCTGTAGGTTCATGCTGTTTCCTCTGCCTGGCATGCTACTTTGATTCATCTCAACTGTCACTTCCTCCCACAGCCTTCATTATTCACTCCCTGGCACATTTGTTCCACTCTCCTCTGTGCCTCCATATTACCATGTATACAATTCCATAGTTGTACTTGCCAAACCTGTGGCAATTATTCATTCTCTATATGTTTATTGAATGCTTACTCTGTTCCAGGGAAACAAAGGTGGAGAAGAAAGACACTAATGTGTGTCTGCCTCCCCTACCAGAATACTAAACTATGTCTATTTAATCTTTGTTTCCATGGGAACTAGTGCAGTGTTTAGTCCAAAGCTAGCTTTTCACTAAATATTTATTGCATAAATACTTATAATTTTGTAACAGTGGGTTATAGAAATATATATGCAAGAGTATATGAAAACACAGTAGAGAGACAACCAATCCTGCTTTGCTTGGGGATCAGGGAGGTCCACCTGGCAGAAGTGCATTGCTGAAGACAAGACTAGAGCACAATCTAATTGGGTTTTTAGATTAGAAATGGAACCTTAGAGAACATGGAACTAGCTCAATAATGTGGCTAAGTATGAATGGAGTCAGAATTCAAATCCTGGTCTATCTGATTCCAAAGTTTATAATCTACTGATTAGCACTACCAGTGGAGAAAATCTCCAGTTATACCATGAGCCATCTTCTCTCTGGCTCACTGACCTTGGCAGAGCTAGTCAGCAAAGTTAGGCCTTTTGTCACTCATGACTGATCAGGGCATAGAATGGCAAAAACAAATATATACACACACATACACACACACACATATATATATACACACACATACACACACACACTCATATATATACACATATATACACACACACAAACATATATATATATATACACACACACTCATATATATACACATATATACACACACACAAACATATATATATATACACACACACACACACAGATACATACACAAACCAGCTTACACTAGTATGGAACTTTAGATTAATGCCATTCAGGCTAATTGTTCACATACCACATTGATTACCCTCTATAGACAAAGCCAGTAGTTTTTTATATGTCAACTAACAAAAATTTTACCAACCAATAATTACTAAAAAAGCAACAAAAGGAACCCCCTTCAAAGGCACACCTATGAACAAGCATGCTCATCCACACATATCCTTTATAATTTACCTTAATAGAGACATCAGGAATTTACCCCAAATACCCAGAAACAATGAAGCTGGGTTGAAATTAAGAACATTTAAAGCTATGCTTTTAAATTCAGCTTTCACATTTTTCTATTTCATTGTGGATATTATTAGCTTGCTACCATCACATAAAGTAATCAAGGATATGTAAGTTAAATAACATTTTCATTTAAATATTTTAATGCAAATTATTATTGAATACAGTAGATATGGCAATGTGCTATGCCTTGTATATTCAAAGCAACAGCTGTTATTCCAATAAAACAGATATATTCCCTTCCTTCTAAGACAATGGCAAACATTAAAATAACCTTCCTCTTCCAAAGGGAAAAATGATTCAACAACATCTTTGTACAAACTGTTGTTTAAAAGATCTGTATTTTAAAAACAACAGCAGTGATATTTATTGTTTTCTAGGATAAAATCCCTAGGTATCTATTGTAGTCACAATCTTTCTGCAGGAAATAAAAGAGCTCTTCTCTGCAGCACATTCAGCATTGTTAAAATGTACTAGAAAGGACTATAATTGTTCCCTTTTCCTGTAGCTCCAATGTTACTTGATACTACCAGCACCTGTCCAGTACTATACCTGTCCCACCAACCCTACACCATCACTACTACTAGGCACACTAAAGTCTTGTTTGACTACAAAATCTTCTCTTCTTTGCCCAAGCACTGCTGGCACCAACTCTTAATGATTTCTCCTCTTAGCTGTGTCACTCTGCTCACTTCTACTAACAGTGCTTTCATGAAGACTCATTATTTTTCATCTGGATGTTTTCTAATCTCCCACCTGCCTGTCTGTTCATAGGTGCCAAATGTTTCTCAAAAACAAAAATCTGAGTAAGTCACTTCGTTGCATATGAATATTTAAGGGGTAGATGTTAGTGTGGGAGAGTAACATAGAATAGTTTTAAAAGCACACAATTCCACGTATTTAAATTCTCTACATCAAGGAAAAAAGTCTAGGGATATTTCTTTGGGAATAAAATGTTCTTTGCAAAGCCATCTCTCTGCTATAGTATTTATTACATTGAATTTTATTTATAACCATTAGTTAGCTGTATACGTGAGGAAGGGGATTCTTTGTTATTCATCTTTGAATCCTGGCACTGTGCCTGTCACTGAGTAGATGTCCAAGAGGTGCTCACTGAACACAAGCAGTCTAGGGGGAAGGGAAAGGATAGAAGGGAGGAAGAAAGGGAAAAGGAGAGATAAAGGGAGGGAGAAAAGAAGCAGGGAAAGGAAGGGTAAATGATGTCACAATTGGAAGCTTACAATTTCACCAAGTATGTATATAAAACCATTTTTACTCTCTTATTACTTAGAGTTGGCTCTTTTCTAACAAAAAAAATTATTAACACTTGTTTTAAACAAAGGAAATTTTAAAATATTTTATTATAATGTGCACAGTATAATTATTTCTTTGAAACAACTTTCAAATGAACTGAACATCTTTAAAGGAATTCAAAGGAAGAACTTCTAAGAAACCAGCCATTCAGTGAGGCCAACTCACTAGACAACCATTTCTTTTCCCTGGTGAAATCTACATGTGCCTACATATGGCATCAATAAGCCTCTCACTGAATATTTATGATTTAATATAAAGCTTTTCAGGAAAAGGATTTATCTTTTGAAAATTCGCACACAACTAATACTTTTGTATTTGTGGTGAAAAACTATCCAGCTAATTTTATTTTTTCTAAGAAACTAAACTATGTTTGAGATATAGTCATCTACATTTATGCCATTTTTATAATGTTCTTAATTTTCCAAGCATGAGTATAAGGATGTTAATAAAATGCTAATCCAAATTATGATTTTTGCATTTATTTGGCACTTTGCTAACCCAAAGTGCTATAACATATACTCGTATTTACTCTAAGCTCCTCTCTGTCAGTAGATAGTTGTTGAGTCTGAGTCTTCTGTAATTCTTCTGGGGCCTGCGGCCTTTGTGAGGGCTCACTGGATCCTTGTCTTATCCACTCTCCCCTCCCAGAAAGCCTGTGAGAGACTGTTGTCAGTTCTCACCATTATCTTTCCAAAGCTCAGATCTGATCATTCAGAGGCGATAGTGCGCTAGTATAGAAATGGCTTTGTGGCTGGGCATGGTGTCTCTTGCCTGTAATCCCAGCACTTTGGGAGATCGAGGCAGGCAGATCACTTGAGGTCAGGAGGTCGAGACTAGGCTGACCATCATGGTGAAGTCCCGTCTGTACCAAAAATATAAAAAATTAGCCAGGTGTGGTGTGCACAACTGTAATCCCAGCTACTTGGCAGGCTGAGGCAGGAGAATCGCTTGAACCTGGGAGGTGGAGGTTGCAGTGAGCTGAGATCATGCCACTGCACTCCAGCCTGGGAGACAGAGCAAGACTGTCTCAAAAAAAAGAAGAAAGAAAGAAAGAAAGAAAGAAAGAAAGAAAGAAAGAAAGAAAGAGAGAGAGAGAGAGAGAGAGAGAGAGAGAGAAAGAAAGAAAGAAAGAAAGAAAGGAAGGAAGGAAGGAAGGAAGGAAGGAAGGAAGGAAGGAAGGAAGGAAGGAAGGAAGGGAGAGAAAGAAAGAGAAGGAAGGAAGGAAGAAAGAAAAGGAAGGAAGGAAGGGAAAGAAAGAAAAAGAAGAAAGAAAGAAAGAAAGAAAGAAAGAGAAAAGAAAAGAAAGAAAGAAAGAAAAAGAAAGAAAGAGAAATGGCTTTGTACCCACACAGAACTGATTTTGAATCTTAGCTCTGGCACTTGCTAGCAATATGACCTTGTAAAAGTTACCTCCTGAGATTTCTCATCTACAAAATAAGGATAATAATACCTTATTTACAACATTGTTGTAAGTAGAGACAATATACATCAAAGTGTAGTTTAATCACTTGCACCTATGTAATAGGCACACACAAAAATGGTGACTATCTTGCTATTATGCCACTCTCCTACATAGAATATTCAAGAAAGAATAACCACTTACTGAGAAGGTACAATGTGCCAAGCATTGTGTTCCACACTTTCCGTACTGCAGGAACTGGAGAAACTACACTACAATCTTGTAATCACAAAACTCAGACATCCATGTTTCAATAGGTATAACCGTACAGAACACTACAAAAGTATGCAGGTGGAGCATGTAAACAGGTCTTAATCTGTGATCTGGAACTTGAACAACAGAGTAGAGGGGAGGTGGGATAGGGTGGAGTGGAAAAGAGCTCCAGCTGGAGACTGGTATTTGTAAAGTCAAGGCAGAGTACACAGGTGCAGAAACACAGCTGCTGAGTGTGGCTGGAGATGTGGTAATGCAGGACAGCAGAGGAGAGGTATGGATGGAGAAGGGCCAGGGAAAAGGGAAATGGCAAGATGAGAAATTGGAGAGGCGAAGAGCCTTGAAAGCCACATTAAGGAATTTGGACTGTCCTGAAGAGAGCAGACAACTACTGAAAAATTATGAGGAGGAGATGGACCTAATCATATTTGCTTTTTTAGAAGGAACATGCCATCACTTCCTTTCTCAGTGGCCATTAACCTAGCCAACAGATCCATGCCTGGGCTTCAGGTGGTTTGCAAGTTCCCTGAAATTGGTTGCAAATGTGTGTATTTGTGTGTGTGGATGCATGCACATGTGCATATGTGTGTTCTCATAAACATTTTTCTGGAGATAGCAACTAAAAGGTTAACTCAAAATTGTGAAAAATGACCATCCAAACACTTCCTACAGGATAAAGCTCAGACCCTTACAGCCTTTTACATTCTAACTAAAACCCACATTTTTCATTCCTCTCCACACAGCTTACAATACAGCCACTTGCTTTTTGTTGTTGTTGCCATTCTGAATATGCTTCTGAGCCTTTCTTTCATGTACAGCCTCTTGGGCTTTTCTGCACCTTCCAATCTTCCCTACCTCCCCATCCCCACCTTCTACTCAGAAAACAACCCCTCTCTGTAAACATGGTTGAAGTGTTTCTTCCTTCTCCAGGCATTCTCTCATATTTCTTTCCCATTTTTTAAGAAAAGCACAAATCGAAGTCATAGAATTCTGGTGACCCAGCTAGAGTGAGAGAGGGATAGACAAATAGACCAGTAGGCTAGAAATAGAAAGTCCAGAAACTAACCCACACTTAAGTGGAAATAGGATATACAAAAAGGTTGTCTTGCAAACCAGTGGAGAAATAATGAAGTTTTAAAAAATGATCCTGGAGGCCGGGCGCAGTGGCTCACAACTGTAATCCCAGCACTTTGGGAGGCCGAGGCAGGCAGATCACCTGAGGTCAGGAGTTCAAGAGCAGCAACATGGCGGAACCCTGTCTCTACTAAAAATACAAAAAATTAGCCAGGTGTGGTGGCGAGCGTCTATAATCCCAGCTACCCAGGAGGCTGAGGCTGGAGAATTGCTTGAATCTGGGAGGAGGAGGTTGCAGTGAGCCGAGATCACGCCACTGCACTCCAGCCTGGACGACAGAGCTAGACTCCCCATCTCAAAAAAAAAAAAAAAAAAAAAAAAGATTCTGGAATAACTGGTCATCTATAAGTGGAAAAGAATAAATCCTTACTTCATATCATTCTCAAAAATAAATTTCAGATAGGTCCAATCAAAGCATTAAAACATTTAGAAGAAAAATAAATAATTTTAGTCTTCAACTTTTGTGTATGTGCACTAGCAGATGTATATTAGAATATTCTTAGCAGCATTGCTCATGTTAGAAAAAAATGAGAAAGAGCCCAAAAGCCATGAACAATAGAACATATAAGAAAGTCGTGTTATATGAAACATAAAGCAGTGAAAGTGAATGAATACATTTTATACATTAACATTGAATACTATTAATAACATAATATCAAATGAAAAAGGAAAGTTGCAGGTGGAAATATACAGTATTACTCCATCCATATAAAGATAAACACACAAATCCAAACAATATATAATTTTAAGATTATTAAACCTGTTGTAAAAGCATAAACAGAAGCGAGGGAATTAGTAAAATAAAATTCAAGAAATTGGTTGCCTCTCAGTGGTGGTGGGTAGAAGACAAAGGGATATGATAGAGAGGAGCATAGGTGAACTTTCTTCAACTGGATTGAGAAATATGGGTCTTAGTTTTATTATAGTTAAAAAATACATATTACATACGCTCTTGGGTCTGTGTATTTCACAATAAGACATTTTAAAAGACACAAACAATAATAAAATAAATACAATGACTCACAAAAGACATGGTTCCTCTCCTTGAGGAGCTCACAGTTTGATGCTTGCTTCAGTTCCTGTGTCCTCCTTGTTCCATAGATTGTTGTGAAGGGCTCCTTTCTTAACTGTTGTCTCCCTTCTACATCCTTTGGGTTTATTCTGTTACCTTTTGTTGTTAATTTTCTTAAGTCGCATGCTTAACTCATTCATTTTCAGCCTTTTGTCTTCTCTAATGTAAGCATTTAAGGCTACACATTTACTACCTATTATTCTGGCTATATCGTGGCATTTCTATTATGTAACATTTTATTATTTAATTGTTTTGTAATCTCCATTATCATTTATTCTTTGGTGCATGAGTTATTAAATTTTAGTTTGTAAATGTAGAACACAATATAAATGTTTTTAAAGTTATTTTTTAGTTACAAATTTTTAACTTAATTGCATTATTGACCAAGAAACTGGTCTTTTTGTTATGAATTCTCTGGTGTTTGTTGAGACTTCCTTTATGTCTAGCACATGATCAACTGTAAATTTTTATATGCATTTTTAAAAAATACTGTGTAGTAATTGAGCTCAGTGTTCTATATGTGTCCTGTAGAACAAGCTCATTAATTGTAGCCATTAGTTCTTCTATAGCTTTTTGTATTTTTGTCTGTTTTTTAGTCAATTATTGAAAAATGTGTTAAATATCCTGCTATGATAACAGTTTTATAATATCTCCTTGAAGATCCATCAAATGTTCCTTTAAATATATTAATGTTACTATACTAGGTACATTTATAATTGTTATACATTCCTGGTAAACTGAAGTGATTATCATTATATGATCACTCTCTCTCTAGTAATGTATTTTGCCTTAAATCAGTATTGCTGTGTAAACTTTCTTTTAGTTAATTTTGACAGTTTTACAACTTTGCATCAAGTTTTGGGTGCACCACTGTTAAACAACATAGAGATTGCTTGTTTTTAATTTTAATCCATTCTGACAGTCTGTTTCTTAATTGGAGAAATTAATCCATTTTTACTGAAGGCAATCATTGATGCATTTGTATTAATGTATTTCACTCTATTCTGTATTTTTATCTGTGTTGCTACTTCTGAGTCTTTTTTCATTATATTTATCAAAGTCTTTTCCACTTCTTTATCTCATTCCATTTATTTTGTCTCTATCAACTAGAAATCATACACTTTATTTCTATTTTTTAATTTGTTATTCTAGAAATGTAAACATACCACTTTAACTTAACTTGAATATTTAACTTTGATCTAAAGTTAATCAGTATCTTTGCCTTCCTCCCAAACAATGAAAAAATCTGAAAATGTTTGTAATATAATATAATAATAATCCGAATATGAGTGCCTTCCAACAATTCTGAAATTCCTCCACTACCTCACTCATTTTATTTTCTACGGTTTCCCAAAATTCCAAAAAGACCTTCTTACCGTGTCCTCCATGTCATTTAAGCAGTCTTTTAAATCCTACTTTTATTTCTTTAAACATATTAAGTGCATTTATTTTACATTTTAAGTTTCATAATTCCATTATATCCACCATTTGCAGGCTTGATTCTTTGTTTTTCTGTAACATCTCACTCAAGTCAATTATTTTATTATATATTTAGTGATTTTTTTAAATGATGTTATGTTTCTTGCAGTGTTATCTATGAGACAAAGGCCTAAATTTAAAGTTGAGTTCCTTAGAGGAGACTTGTATGCTTCTACCTGGCACTTGGGGCAATACTAACACAGGACCACTTATAACTCTCAAGTGGGTTTAAAGAAGCCCCATAAATACTGTGAATTCCAGTCTCTAACACAAGAGAGCTCAGTCTTGTGGTTGGCAATTCCTAGAAGACTTTTTTTTCTCTCTCTCTCTGTCTTTTTATTATTTTTTCTTCCTTCTTCCTTTCCTTCCCTCTCTCCCTTCATTCCTTTGCTATTCCTTTCTGTCCTCCATTCTTTCCCTTCCTTTCCTTTTTTTCTTCTTTTTCATCCCTCTTATTTTTTCTTCTTTCACTTCCTCCCTGTATTAGTCTATTTTCATACTGCTGATAAAGACATACCCATGACTGGGCAATTTACAAAAGAAAGAGGTTTGTTGGACTTATGGTTCTACGTGGCTGGGGAGTCCTCATGATCATGATGGAAGGTAAAAGGCACATCTCACATGCTGGCAGACAAGAGAAGAGCTTGTTCAGGGAAACTCCCCTTTTTAAAATCATCAGATCTTGTGAGATTTATTCAATCACAAAAACAACACAGGAAAGACTATGATTTAATTACCTCCCACTGGGTCCCTCTAACAACACGTGGGAATTATGGGAGCTACAAGATGAGATTTGGGTGGGGATACAGCCAAACCATATCATTCTGCCCCTGTACTCTCCCAGATCTTACGTACTCACATTTCAAAACCAATCATGCCTCCCCAACAGTCCCTCAAAGTCTTAACTCATTTCAGCATTAACTCAAAAGTCCACAGTACAAAGTCTCATCTGAGACAAGACAAGTCCCTTCCACCTATGAGCCTGTAAAATCAAAAGCAAGTTAGTTACTTCCTAGATACAATGGGAGTACAGGCACTGGGTAAATACAGCCATTCCAAATAGAAGAAATTGGCCAAAACAAAGGGGCCACAGGCCCCGTGCAAGTCCAAAATCTTAAAGCTCCAAAATGATCTCCTTTGACTCCATGTCTCACATCCAGGTCACGCTGTTGCAAGAGGTGGGCTCCCACAGCCTTGGGCAGCTCTGCACTTGTGGCCTCGCAGGGTACGGCCCCCCTCCCAGCTGCTTTCATGGGCTGTCATTGAGTGTCTGCAGCTTTTCCAGGCACATGGTGCAAGCTCTCAGAGGATCTACCATTCTGGGGTCTGGGGGATGGTGGCCCTCTTCTCACAGCTCCACTAGGGGGTGCCCAAGGAGGGACTCTGTGTGGGAGCTCCGACCCCACATTTCCCCTCTGCACTGCCCTCGCAGAGATTCTCCATGAGGGCCCTGCCCCTGCAGCAAACATCTGCCTGGGTATCCAGGCATTTTCATACATCTTCTGAAATCTACTCAGAGGTTCACAAACCCCAATTTTGGACTTCTGTGTACTTGCAGGCTCAACACCAAGTGGAAGCTGCCAAGGCTTGGGGCTTGCACCCTCTGAAGCCATGGCCTGAGCTCTATGTTGGCCCCTTTCTGCACATAGCACGGGGCCCTGGGCCTGTGGTGGGAGAGGCTGCCGCAAAGGTCTCCGACATGCCCTGAAGACACTTTCCCCATTGCTTTGGTGACTAACTTTCAGCTCCTCATTATTTATGCAAATTTCTGCAGCCAACTTAAAAGACTTGCCCCCATGATTCAATTACCTCCCACCGGGTCCCTCCCACAATATGTGAGAATTGTGGGAGCCACAGGATGAGATTTGGGTGGGGACACAGCCAGACTATATCACTCCCTTTCTTCATTCTTTTTCTTTTCTTTATTCCTTCTTCCCCCTCCCTCCATCCCTCCTGCCTGCCTTCCTTCCTTCTTTCCTCCTTCCTTCCTCCCTTCCTTCTTTTCTTCCTTTTTCACTCTTCACTCAAAGCCAAGGCTGAGAAATACATGTATCCCCTGCTAAATCCCTTTGCAGACCCAGTTTTTTTCTAGTTCACTCACTGGGGGTGGTCTCTAAGCCAATCTCCCACTCTGTTCAGAGTCCAAGCAGTCTTCTATCCTTCCACTTGCAATATCTGTAACTCAGGCTTAACCCATCAAGGACCAACAGACTCCACCAGAACAAAAGCTAAATCCAGACTCATGTAAGTCTATGTGTTATTTTTCTTGTTATTCTGGAATTCAAATAATTGCCTCAAATTACAATCAGAGCTCATTTTATACAATAAAGCAGTGAGTGAGTGTGAGGGTGTTTAGTTTTGCTGTACCAAAAGATTACTCTTTAAATATTTAGTTCACCATACTTCTGAAACAGAAGTTGATTTCTTTTCATACCTTTATCTTTAGTGCTGAAGACAAATCATAGCACATAATAGATATTCAATAAATATATTTTAGATGCGTATAGATGTTGTAGACTCATACCATTCACTCCAAGATTCAAGTCTCCTCATGTTGTCAAGCAAATATCTGAAACTAGCTTGAGCTACGTATTCTTTGAGTTGAGATTATCTTTAGATGTTTCAACAAAGGTGTGACATTATTGCCTCTTTAGCCTTCATCTGGCTATCTTCTGATTGCTCTCTCGTGTCCATTTTTTCACACCTTTCCTAGAGATACTTCCATAAATCAACTCCAGCACCATCAACAATAAAATCTGGTACAGATATCCTACCTGTGCATTTTCATTACAACTGATATTTACCCCAACATAAATTTCAATTAAATTAATTAAAACTTAAACATCTGAATAATAAAGCACATTAATGCCTGAACATGAAAATATATTAATGTCTGAATATTAAAGTATAAAGAATCTGGGCTCAAGTATAGTTGTTTCCCCGCACTTAGCATAGTGTCTAGCTTGTAGCAAGTATCAATAAATGGTTTTTCATGAACAAATGAATGAATGAATGAAATATTTTGGAATATACATTTTTTAGCTCCAAATGTATTTTTATTTTCAACTTTTGAGGCTTTTTTCTTTTTGTCAGCTCTTAGAGAAGACATCTAACTGCTGTGTTTCAGTTCTAAATGTTTACTTTGGTGTCAGTAATTTATATTGTATAGTCTTCTCAAACCAATTTCTTCAGAGTTAAATTGCTTCCTTTAGCCCAAGAAAAAAGAACACTTTAGTACCCAAATATTTTAAGACTTGAAACAATTTTATTGTTTTTGAAATGTAAAATACCATTAGCAAATGAAGACAGGATAACCATGCCTTTAATTCAATTCAAGTCTTTGAGAATCATTGAGTTTACCATGTGACCACTAACAGTTTTACTCTAATTATAATAGCTATCAATTATATTTGCCATATTCTACTATATTGAAGAATTACATGTATTTTATAATCATTCCTCATTTTAATTCAAAGCTTTCGAATCTTGAAAGAGCTGTTAAAATGCCTTTTTAATTTCTTTGCCAATTTGTATTCTTCATAATTATATTAAGAAGTTCACTGTTTTATATTTGAAACTTAGATTCCACTGAGACTGTTTACCTATTGAAGTTCCCAATCCAGTGAACTACCACTCTTAGCTGGAATATAGCACTCTCTTTATTTCCCTTTTAATTAGCTATGCAGAATTTCAAAAATATTTCTTCAGTATGTACTATGTATAAGACACTGTACCAGTCACTTTTGTGTATAGAAAGAAGAAACAGGTTGATACCAACATGGATCAGCCATGATTCCTGCCTCCGTCATCTAGAAAAGTAAAAAATAAATTATTATATAGGTGTGCCTCTGTATCTGGTACATAAATATTAATAATGGCTTACAGTTTTCATGCTTTACTGTGTGACAAACAACGTCTTACATTTTCACAAGTACCTTATTTCATCAAATATTCAAGGCCATTGATTATAAGACACATCCATATTGTAGTGCCATTAAGGAAGAAAAAAAGACTCCTTAAAAATCATAACTTACTCCTGACTGCAGGGTGCATTCCAAATATCAAAGATGTTAATATGTGAAAATATGTGTGACTTAGAACTGATGAATCTATTAACTCAAATAACACTCTCAACAACTCTTCAAGTTAGGTAATGTATTGTTCTCATTTTATAGGCAAGGAAACTGATGAGTTCAAAGATATTACGTAACTTGCCCAAGATTGCACAGCTAGTAAATAGATGGGTGAAGGTTGAACACACTTCAATCTGATTCCACATACCATATTCTTAGCTTCTCCACCAAGGAGATCTTGGATTCTTTTGTTACAGGCTGTTCAGAAGTTTCTGTGTCTTTTCTTTCTGATGTGACTTCATTTAAAGTTGAAAAAGAATACTGGGACTATTAATTCTTGAGCTCACTTCAGAATTTAGTTGGGATGATGAGAAAAATTTATAAAACAAACAAATTGTGTTTTGAAGATCATTAGCCTGAACATGGCTTGAAATGGTTATATAATAGTGATCAGACTAGAGAGTTGTTAGTAAATCTTACCAAAATCATTCATAAGACAATTGCTTTTTTTAAGTCTATGAATCTGTAACTGACCACACTGTATGCAGATATAGATGTAATAGTTGTAACAGAATGATAGAGACTGGAATAAGTATAAATTAACTTATACCAGGAGTGTAGGCATCTGTTTTCCTATTTATTTAGAAGGAAAATTAATAGTAGAAACTATCCATCAAAGTATGCATCTGAGTTCTCTTTTTGAGGTTTCATACAAAGAAATAGCAACATTTATATCTAAGATATTGACAATTAATTCTACACTACATGAAGTGTTACGAATAGTCTTTGTAAGGCACCAAACATGACCCAAAGTAAGAAACTGCATATTTCATATTAAGTAACAACCAGCCCAATTTATTTTTTAAAGGCTAATGAGTTAAGACATAACGACCATGTGCTACATTGTTTTTGCCTGTAAATAACGAATTACATGGGAGAACAAATGGTAGTTAAATGTACTGTAGGCCAGTTTCATAGTCATGGATACCAGACTTCATCTGTGGAAATTCAGCAAAACAGAATTAGAAATGTCAAACAGAAAAGATCTCATTAAGATAATTCTTCCAGAAATGAATCAAAAATTCTGTCCCAGATGTTCATATCTGGCAGGAGTCAAGATGAATTGGACAGAGCTAAACCATCTAATTTATTGTTTCTCAAAATATGATACTGCAAACACCTGTATCAAAGTTTCCAGATCACCGGTGTGCTTGTTAAAAATGCAGATTTTTGACCCCCTTACAGGACCTATTTGGGTAAAGCTCAATAATTCACACTTTAAAGAAGCATCTACCTCAACCAGTGAATATAAGCATGCTGGATTTCACAGCTATTACTTTAACACTTGGCTCTTTCCCACCTAATACTTTGGACTGATGGCAGAAATGAAGCAATTACGAGTGATTTTTTTCACCAAATATCAGAGGTTAAATGTCTCATGCACCAAATATTTATGAAGCAGTTGGGGGAGGGAGCACAAAAGAAATGTGAACTCAAGTATTCCAGTTTATTGCAGTTTTTGCATATTTGATAAACAACTGTTCAATGTGATTACATTAAAATAATACCTCATGAAATCTAATGTGGTCACAGAAAAAGAGAACTGAGGTAATCCTGGTAGCTGTCAGAATAGAAAAGAAGGGACAACTCCAGAAGTTACTTAAAAGAAAAAGCAGTCAGTGGGGGATTCAGTGGTAAATTGAATGAGAGTGGTAAAAGAAGGGGCAAAATAGAATATCTTGGGTTTGAGTCTGGGTAGCCAAAAATAGAGGCACTAACATGGGAATAGAATGTGAAGCCATTCAGAAACAATTGAGAAGATGAGTATGGAGGGAAGTGAGGCTTTTATAACTGGCTCTTTTACTACTACATATATAAACATGGTGACTTTAATTTTGTTACTGAGTTTATGAATGAATTTAACCAAATTGAGATCTAATTAATGATTATTTTCTATTACAGCAATTGTTCAACTGTCAAGCTCTACGAAAACTAAGTATTCCTGATAACGACCTTTCAAATCTGCCAACCACTATTGCTAGTTTAGTTAATCTTAAAGAACTCGACATCAGTAAAAATGGTAAGATTTTTCTCTCATCATAAAATACCTAGAATTTTTTAACTGAAAATGTGCTTTAATATCTTCTCTTAGCAAATAATCTAAAATAACTTTTTCTTTGATTTTGTTGCAACTGTAGTTTAATGCTCTTGTAAAGTTAAATCCTAAATTTTAAGTCCAAGACAGACGTCCTGTCTCTCCTCCTCTTACTAATGTGCTTGACTCGTTCAAGTCTTGTTTCCCTCTGCATTCAGACATGTGATCTAATCTTTTCTAGAATCGTTTACTGCCCTCACAAAGCTGACCTCTCTCATTCTCAGAGTAACATTTTTTCTCAACATGTGTCAAATATCACCTGCATAACAAGGCCTACCTGTTCACCCTATTTGAAAATATACTCTTAATTTCCCTTACTGGGCTTCAGTTTTTTCCCCTAGCACTAACCATCCTCACAATATTGTATACTTTACCTATTTCCTATGGTTATGGTATATTTTCTCCTAACTGAGAATGTAAACTCCAATTCATAACAGGAAGAATTTTTCTTTGTTTTGGTCACTAATGTGTCCCAAACATCTAGAGCAATGCCTAATAAATAATAGGAATTTAGTAGTTTTTGTTGTATTTCTGGACAGACTTGTATATCTGGTGTTTTTGTTGATGATGATGCTGATGTTGATATTCAGGTTGATTATTTTTTCTCCTGAGTATTTATGGGAGTGACTTAGAGCTTCAGAAAGTCTCTTGCATCCTTGTTCATTCATTAAATCTTCATTTCTTTCCAAATGAACTCAGCTCTCCCTTTTATTAGCAAGGATCAGTCAAAAAGGGTTATGTCTAGGTACAATGAGGATATAAAATAGGACCCCTTCATCATTAAGATAGTCAGTTAAACTTCCTGTGTGTGCACCGTATCTGCACAAGTAGTGCTTTGGTTATTTATTTGGTTATATTTAGTGCTGAGGAGACAGGAATGCAGGCATGAACAAAACAGATCCTGCCCTTCTGAAGTTTACGTTCAAGTGGGTTGCCCATTAAACAAGAAATTGTAGATGATTAAATAAGCAATTTTGTGTGAAGATGCATTCAACATGAAGGGCATGCCTAGAGAAGGATGCAATCCAATCTTTGTAGTTAGGGAAGGTTTTCCTAAGAAGTGATAACCAGATAGGACCAAAAGAAGCTAGATAAGATTGGCTTGACATCCTGGGAAATAAGGATCTGTTTTGTGAAAGGCCATCAGAAAAATATCTTGGTCACATGTAAATATAAATTTCCTAAGAAATTTGGTGCCTTTAGAGCTCCATGACAATATCTCAGTAGCCTTGTCTCTGTTCATTTGACCAGAACTCTCCTCCACAAATATCTGCAATGCTCATTTCCTTATCACCTTCAGGCCTTTTCTTAAATGTACTGTCAAAGAAGCATTCCCAGACCACCCTATTTAAAAATAAGATACTGATATTATTATTCAATAGAAGCACATTTTACTCTTTTTTTTTTCTTATATGAAAAACTGACCCACTGTGTATTTAAATTATTTATCTATTGTCTGGAATCTCCTTACTAGAATTAAAATTCAGTGATGCCCTGAATTTTTTGTTGTTCTTTTGTTTACTGCTGTATTTCCATTGCCTAAAACAGCGTGTGTCACATTTTAGGAGCCCAGTAAATATCTATTCAATGAATTCATAAATGAATGATTGTTCCAAAACATGGAAAACTTGTTGAAATTTACCAGTGTGAAGTGCTAGTGATTTTCTTAATTCAAGTCTTTGAGAGTAATTGAGAAGTTAATAGAATCACTGTGGATAAGACTGACACTCTCAAATAATCAGTGAAAATTATAAAATACTATACAATGAAGTACCTAATTATAAAGCACATGTTACAATGATAAATTCTTAGACAATGGTGGATTAATTAAGACTGCTGTATTATTAGGGAAGAGTTCAAGTAAAAGATGTTCCCTGAAGATTTTCATGAAACACTGTAGCATCTGAATAAAGAGAGTATTTCATCTGAAGGAGACAATCAGAACATAAACAGGGGACACGGACCTCTTTCTACACCAACTTGACTTGCCACTTAGAAGGTTTTCAGGAAGAGTTCAAGTAAAACATGTTTCCTGAAGATTTCCATGAAATCTGAATAAAGAGAGTATTTCATCTGAAAGAGACAATTAGAACATAAACAGGGGACACAGACCTCTTTCTACACCAACTTGACTTGCCACTTAGAGGGTTTTCAGCAAGACAATTCTAAAAGTACCATACACAGATGTGTAAAGAGAAGAACAACTAGGTTTTGACCCATGGAAAGATGACCTTAGGGCTACCATGCTTTGAGAATAGATTTACCTATTTGTATAGATTTGTATTTCTGTACAATAAAACAATTACTACTACCTCTTTATTTATATACATTCACACTTCAAATTGTATTTTTGTTATAATTTCTGAGAAATAGTATATGGACAATTATCACATTCCTTGATTTTCAGGCAGGATTAGCTGGATATTCCAAGTAAAGAAAAATCTACCTTATTTTTAAAGAAGATCTGAAAATAATTTGTCACCCAATATAAACATGAAACTCCTAAATAATTTGACATTTTTGTGAGCATGTAAAAGTTTCTGATGGCTCTCTTACATCAAGAAATGTTTGCTCTTAGAAGGTGAACCACAGGTTATATTTTTTCAACTCAGAAGTATCTGTAAGCATCCTTAGAAGTTTTTGCAACTATTACCTCGGGGCTTTTAGCTATGCTTATGATTCTGTATTTTCTGGAAATATTTATGCAAAAAGTCATGCAAAAGATGGCGAACCACTCTGCAATACTAGTATAGTACTATAGGCTTGATGAGTATAATGATAGCAGCCATTGCTAGAACTTACACAAACAGTAAGATTTCATCACATCAGCCATTTCAGAAAGCCATACCTAAGAAAGCTGTCACTGCCTGGCGCAGTGACTCATGCCTGTAATCCCAGCACTTTGAGAGGCCCGGGCCAGGGGATCGTGAGGTCGGGAGTTTGAGACCAGCCAGGCCAACATGGTGAAACCCCGTCTTGACTAAAAATATAAAAATTAGCTGGATGTGGTGGCACATGCCTGTAATCCCAGCTACTCAGGAGGTTGAGGCAGGAGAATTGCTTGAACCTGGGAGGCGGAGGTTGCAGTGAGATCACGCCACTGCACTCTAGCCTGGACGACAGAGCAAGACACCGTCTCGAAAAAAAAAAAAAAGCTATCACTGATTCTGTGACAGAAAACTAGACAGTTACTTAAGGAACATAATACATCCTTTGGGAATCTGTCAAGTGAAGAAAGAGTAGATAGCAAAAAATAACTGCAGTGTCAGAATCACAGTTGACAAGGTTGGAATAGCCCTGCTGAAAAAGAGGCAAGACCTGAGAGAATACAAGCAGTATTGGTATTTAGGGACAGGACATAATAGACTATTTTGAAACAGAGACTCATTCAAATATTAGTCAATCTAGGTTAAAATTACCTAAAATGTGCTTAAATTAGATGAGTGACCCCTTAAAGAAATTAATTCACTCTAAGGTCAAGATTCAATCTGATCTTGATTGTTGATGTGGCCTCCTACCTTTATTTTTCATGTCCAATTCTACTGCCTGTCATCCTGATCCACCATTTTTCCTCTCTATAATTCAAAAATACTATTTTATATTAACACCTTTAGATAAGTGAACTATTGTGTACAGAAAGATATCTGCACAATTTGAGTAAACAGATTTTTTTTGGGTTTTTTTTTGTTTTTTTCTTATTTTGTTTTTCCTAAATGTATTCTTTCTATTTTATTATTATTATACTTTAAGTTTTAGGGTACATGTGCACAACGTGCAGGTTTTGTTACATATGTATGCATGTGCCATGTTGGTGTGCTGCACCCGTTAACTCATCATTTAGCATTAGGTATATTTCCCAATGCTATCCCTCCCCCCTCCCCCCTCCCCCCACCCCTCAACAGTCCCTGGTGTGTGATGTTCCCCTTCCTGTGTCCATGTGTTCTCATTGTTCAATTCCCACCTATGAGTGAGAACATGTAGTGTTTGGTTTTTTGTCCTTGCAATAGTTTGCTGAGAATGATGGTTTCCAGTTTCATCCATGTCCCTACAAAGGACATGACTCTAACCACAACTCCAGCTGGTCATCTCTCTTCCATTTCATGCTCAGATAGTACCAGATTGTAATTTCCAAATGCATCAAGCTGGTTGCTTGTGACACAAGGAATCATATTATCTTCTTATCTTCTCTACCCAAAATACCCCTTCCTCCCTACTGCTGTACCCCATCAACCAGACAGAGTCCTCTTCACCTTTAAAAAGACATTTCAGTCAGGTGCAGTGGCTCACGCCTGTAATCCCAGTACTTTGGGAGGCCGAGGTGGGCGGATCACCTGAGGTCGGGAGTTCGAGACCAGCCTAGCCAACATGGAGAAGCCCTGCCTCTACTAAAAATACAACAAGAAGAAAAATTAGCCAGGCATGGTGGCACACGCCTATAATCCCATCTACTTGGGAGGCTGAGGCAGGAGAATCGCTTGAACCTAGGAGGCGGAGGTTGCGGTGAGCCGAGATTGTACCATTGCACTCCAGCCTGGGCAACAAGAGCGAAACTCCATCTCAAAAAAAAAACAAAAAACAACAACAACAAAAAACAGACATTTCAGATGTCATTTACTCTAGGAAACTTCCCTGACACTGTATACATAAGGAGAATTAATTCCTTCTTCCTCTGTGATACTTTTTTACATTGTATATGTTTTTGTTTTGAACTTATTTCACTTTTTAATTTAATTTCTATATATTTGACTAGATTGTGAGACCCTTGAGATTAGAAGCTATCTCATTTATTTCTCTGTTTGGAACTACTAGCACAATACCCAGTATACATGGTAGGCATTCATCAAATGTTTGGCAGGTAAATAAGAATTATATAGAGACATTCTTTTAAAAATATATAATGTGTATTTAATTACATTAGGGACCCAACATAGGATAAGGTCGCCATCCAATTGTTTTAACCGAGTGCTGGAAAAGATAGAAATGACACTCCGATAAGTAATGAGTAGCCACTAAAGTCAGCTCTAAAGTGCCATATAATAATACATTTAATGGTTTTGTTCCTTAGAATAATGACTACCTCATATCAAGTTTTGGCCTTTCCCCTGAGCTTCAGACTAGAATAACAAACTTCATTTTGGGCATCACTATATTTATTCCACAAACACTCCCAATATAAAGTATTGAAACCCAAATTCATCATTCTCTCCAACCTGCTTTTTTCCTCCATTGTCCAGTTCTCTGTTAATGTTACTATGATCTACTCAGGTTTCCAAAGCAAAAATTCATTCTCTTCTTCAACTTCCATATCCATTTAGTCTTCAACTCCTGCCAAATTTACCTCCTAAATATATGGCAGGTCTTTTTCCTTCTTACTGTTCCCATTGTTACATTCATAAACTAGTCCCATATCTCTTTCCTAGATTACTTGATAGCCTCCTAACTGGTCTCATCTCCATTATTGCCACCACAATTACCAAACCCATTCTCCACAAAATAGCTTTAGCACTCTTTCATAATTGCTAATATGACTGCATTACTCTCCAATATAAGATATGTCATTTGAACTAGGGTAGAATGTAGAGTTCCTAACACAGAATTAAAAGTACCCGCAATTGACCTCTATTAACTCCTACATTCCATCTGCCAATCCCACCACACATGATTTGCACTTTGTTTTTTTTGTTTGTTTGTTTGTTTGTTTTTTGAGACGGAGTCTTGCTCTGTCACCCAGGCTGGAGTGCAATGGCATGATCTTGGCTCACTGCAACCTCTGCCTCTCAGGTTCAAGAGATTCTCCTGCCTCAGCCTCCTGAGTAGCTGGGATTACAGGCGCCTGTCAACACGCCCAGCTAATTTTTGTATTTTTAGTAGAGATGGGATTTCACCATGTTGGTCAGGCTGGTCTCGAACTCCTGACCTTGTAATCTGCCCTCCTCGGCCTCCCAAAGTGCTGGGATTACAGGCATGAGCCACCGCGCCTGGCTGATTTGCATTTTTTAACTTTATGGCCTAGATACTGAAGAGCTTCCTCAAATAGTGAATCTTGGTGACTCTATTTACATTATTTCCTCTTTCCTCTGACTAAATCATTTTTTACACCTCTTTTTACCTGGTTCAATCGTACTTATTATTCAAAACTCAATTCAGTTGTTATTGTTTCCATGTGGCCTCTGACCTGACTAAATTAAGTTAAGGGTCTCCCCTCTGTACTAATACACCCTGTGTATTGTCTATCCTAACACTTAATATTGTATTAAAAATGCTTGATAGCTACATTAAAATATTTATGCACCTTTAATTTTTAAACTATTTTAACATTTTAAGTATGAAGATAATAACATGAGACACCAATGTACCCATCATGGAAATTAAAGTGTTAATGTGTATTATAGATTTCATACTTTAGGGGTTTTATTAGTAAATAAAAGGTTAGAGAAACTTGTAAATGCTCATCTCAATCCCTTCCCACTTCCTCCCTCTCAGATTTAATGTCTTTAAAATTTCAGTGAAGTGCTACCACATTGTATATATTATTCTTCAAGTTTTTCATTCTATATTTTCTAAGATTTGCCTTTGGTGTTAGTTATACCAGAAAATTACCAATGTCCCCATTGCCCCATATCTGTGTCACACACAGGGTTACTAAATATATTAATTGTTGGCCAATCAGATGGCTATATAAGAGTAGCTTCATGCTTTATATTTCCCTAATCACTAGTGAAGTTGGCATTTTTTTTCTTTTTTTGTTTTTGTTGGCTAGTTTAGAGTCTCTTTCTTTACAGTT
Source organism: Homo sapiens (assembly GCF_000001405.40). Taxonomy (NCBI): domain Eukaryota; kingdom Metazoa; phylum Chordata; class Mammalia; order Primates; family Hominidae; genus Homo; species Homo sapiens. Next base: position 69,799,020 of record NC_000001.11, read on the forward strand.
GTCTCTTTGGGTTCATTTTAATTTTGAATGCTTGTCTTTTAGGTTTTTGGTGACTTGAAAGATTTATATACTCTGAATGCTAGTTTTTTTTTTTTTTTTGATTATGTGGGCTACAAATATTGTCTCCCAATTTGTGGCTTGTCTTCACTTTGGGATGCCATTTGTCATAAAGAAGTTGCCAATTTATTTTTAAATTTTATTTGTATACCTTTAAGGGATACAACTGTTTTGTTAGGTGCATACAATGCATAGTGGTAAATTCTGGGCTTTTAGTATAACCATCATCCAAATAATGTACATTGTACTCATTAAGTAATTTCTCATCCTTTTCCCCACAACCGACCTTACCACCCTTCTGAGTCTTCTATGTCTATTAATCCACACTTTATGTCCATGTGTACACACTGTTTAGCTTCTGCTTATAAGCCAGAACATGCAATATTTGACTTTCTGTCTCTGAGTTGTTTTACTTAAGATAATGGCCTCCACTTCCATCCATGTTGCAGCAAAAGACATGATTGCATTCTTTTTTGAATTGCAGACTAATATTCCATTGTATTTGTGTGCTACATTTTCTTTATCCATTCATTTATTGATGGACACATAGGTTGATTTCAAATTTTGCTATAGTTTGCAAATATTTTCTCACATTCTGCAGACTTTCTGTTCACTCTGTTGATTATTTATTTGACTGTACAGAGGCTTTTTAGTTTAATTGTCTCAATGTCTCTTTTTGGTTTTGTTAATTGTGCTTTAGAGCACAAAATCTCAAAAGGTCTTAAGTCATGAATTATTTGCCTAGTTCAATGTCCAGACGTGTTTTCTCTGGATTTTCTTCTAGTATTTTTATAGTTTCATGTTTACATTTAAGTCTTTAATACATTTTGAGTTGATTTCCATATATGGTGAGAGATAGGGTGAGTTTCATTCTTCTGCATATGGCGATCCAGTTTTCCCAGCAGCATTTATTGAAGAGGGTGTCCTTTCCCCAGTGTATGTTTTTGTCAACTTTGTCAAAGATCCATTGGCAAAGATATGTCACATTATCTCTGACTTTTCGATTCTATTCCATTGATATCTGCATTGATTTTTATACAAGTACCATGTTGTTTTTGTAACTATAGCCTTGTAGTATAATTTGGGGGTCAGGTAATTTGATGTTTCCAGCTTTGTTCTTTCTGCTCAGAAATGTTTTGACTATTTAGGCTCTCTTTTAGTTCCACGTGAATTTTAGGATTGGTTTTCCCAATTCTGTGAAAAACGGCATGCATATTTTCATGTGGATTGCATTGAGTCTATAGATTGCTTTGGTCAGTATGGTCATTTCAACAATATTAATTCTTCCAATCCAAGGGAGTGGAATGTTTTCCCATTTCTTTGGGTCATCTACAATTTGTTTCACCAGTGTATTGTAGTTTTCTTTGTACAGATATTCCACCTCCATGGTTAAATAGATCCCAAGGCATTTTATTCATTTGCAGCTATTGTAAATGGGATTGCTTTCCTGATTTGTTTCTCAGCTTGTTATTGGCGTACAGAAATGCTATTGATTTTTTGCACATTAATTTTGTATCCCGAAATTTTGCTGAATTCCTTTTTCAAATCTAAGCATTTTTTGAGGAGTCTTTAGGGTTTTCTAGGTATAAGATCACATCAATAGTAAACAGAGATCATTTCACTTTCCCTTTTCCAGCTTGAATGCTTTTTATTTCTTTCTCTTGGTTGAATACTCTGGCTAGGACTTCTAATACTATATTGAAGAGAGTAGTGAAAGTGGGCATTCTTGTCTTTCAGTTTTTACAGGGATTGCTTTCAGCTACTCCCAATTCATTGTGGTGTTGGCTGTGGGTTTGTAGTATATGATCTTTATTTTTTTCAGGTATGTTCTTTCTATGCCTAGTTTGTTGAGGGTTTCTATCATGAAGGGATACTGCATTTTGTCAAATGCTTTTTCTCTATCTATTGAGATGATCATATGGTTTTTGTTTTTACTTTTGTTTATGTAATAAATTGCATTTATTGATATGCCTATTTTGAACCATCTTCACACACTTTGAATAAAACCAACTTGATCTTTTTGATGTGCTATTGGATTTTGTTTACTAGTATTTTGTTGAGAATTTTTGCATCTATGTTCACAAGGATATTGATCTATAGTTTTATTGTCGTGTCCTTGTCTGGCTTTGGTATCAGGATAATACTTGCTTTCTAGAATGAATTATGGAGAATTCCTTCCTCCTCAAGTTTTTGGAACTGTTTCATGAGGATTGGTACCAGTTCTTCTTTGTAGGTTTGGAAGAATTTGGCTCTGAATCCATCTGGTCCTGGGATTTTATTTTTGGGGAGATGCCTTATTACTGATTCTATCTCACCACTCATCATTGATCTGTTCAGGATTTCTATGTATTCCTGGTTCAATATTCGGAGGTTGTATGTTTCTAGGAATTCATTCATTTCCTCTGGAATTCTTAGCCTGTGAGCAAAGACTTATTCATGGTAGTCTCTGATTATCTTTTGTATTTCCGTGGCATCAGTTATCATGTCTCCTTTTTTATTTCTGATTGTGTTTATTTGGATCTTTTCTCTCCTTTTCTTGATTAGTCTAGCTCGTAGTCTATCAATTTTGTTTATCTTTTAAAGTACCAACTTTTAATTTCATTGATTGTATTGTTTTTGTTGTTGTTCTCAGTATCTTTTAGTTCTGCTCTGATTTTTTTTATTTCTTTTCTTGTGCTGTGTATTTGGTTTGCCTTTGTTTTCTAGTTTCTTGGGATGAGACTGGAAGTTAGTCTGTGACCTTTCTATTTTTTTTTTTAATGTAAGCATTTAATACTATAAACTTCCCTCCCTCTTAGTACTACTTTTACTGTATTCCGTAAGTTTTGGTAGGTTGTGTCTCCATTTTCATTCATTTCAAAATTTTTTTTTCTAATTTTTGTCTTAATTTCATTATTGACCAAACATTGTTCAGGGGTATATTGTTTAATTTCCATTTATTTGTGGTTTTGAGAGTTTTCCTTGGTATTGATTTCTAGTTTTATTCCGCTGTAGTCTGAGAATATACTTAATATGATTTCACTTTTTTTAAATTTATTGAGACTTGTTTTATGGCCTGTCATATGGTCTATCTATATTGGAGAATACTCCATGTGCTGATGAGAGGAATATATATTCTGCTGTTGTTAAATCAAATGTTCTGTATGTCTATTAGGCCCATTTGGTCTAAAGTCCAATTTAAGTCCACTGTTTCTTTGTTGATTTTCTATTTTCAATAATCTAAGTGTTGTGAGTGAGGTGTTGAAGTCCCCCACTATTATTGTATTGCATCTATATCTTTTTTAGGTCTAGTAATGTTTGTTTTATAAATCTGGGCGCTCCAGTGGTGAGTGCATATATTTTTAGAATTATTACATCTTCTTCTATAATTGATTCCTTTATTATATAATGACATGTTTCTCTTTTGTTTTCACTGTTTTTGATTAAAGTCTGTTTTATCTGACATAAGTATAGCTACTCCTACTCTCTTTTAGTTTCCATTTGTATAGAATATCTTTTCTCATCCCTTTACCTTCAGTTTGTAAGTGTCTTTGCTTACCAGTAAGGTGAATTTCTTATAAGCAGCATATAGTTAATTCATGTTGCTTAATCCATACTACTAATCTATGTCTTTTAAAGGAACATTTGATTCATTTATATCCAAGATTAATATTGATTTGTGAGGTTGTTTTTCCTGTTGTAATGTTTTTATCTGGTTTTGTGGTTCTTTGTTTCTCTCAATGTAGTAAAACATATTACTCTTTATTGCATAATTTTACAAATTATTTAAGAAAATCTTCCCTACTCTAATATCACAAAGATATTTTTCTATGTTTTCTTCTAAAACTGTTTGTTTTTCTTTTCACATTTGGATATTTAATTCATTTGCAGTTTATTTCTATGCTCTATATGATCAAAATTTATCTTTTCCCATGTGAATAGATGACTGATTGTTTCAACAACATTGTGTAGTCCTTTGTTTCCCCCACTGACTTGTAATTCTACCTCTTTTATATACAAAAAGCTTTTCCCCAAACTATTCATCCTGCTCCATTGCCTTATTTGCCGATTCCTGTGCTATTACAACATTGTTCTAATCACTATAATCTAATATTCAGTCTTAATATCTGAAAATACAAGTCCACTTTTTTTTGGTTTTCATTTTCAAAAGTGTTTTGCCATTCTTAATACTGAATTCTTCCGCAAGAATATTAGGTTCAACTTGTTGAGGTACATAATCTATTGGAATTTTAAAAATTGGCTTTAATTGAAAGATTAATTTGGGAAGTGTTGATACCTTTGGCATAGTAAAAGTTGTAATTCATGAACATGGTATTTCCCTTCATTTAGGTCTTACTATGTGTTGTTCAATAAAACTTTGTGACTTCCATCAAGAATATGTACACATTTTGTTAGAGTTATGTTTAAGTACTTTAAGTTGTTAGCTTTACAAATTGTATCACTTTTTAAGAAATGCATTTTCTAATTTTGGTTGATTCTATGTAGAAACATTACTAATTTTGATGTTTTGATTTTACATTGAGCTACAGAGCTGAATGTAAGTTCTAATATGCAACCAGCAGATTCTTTTGCGTCTTTATTATAAAATCATTTTATCTACCTGTGACAATATCCTTTCTTTCTAATCCTATACCTTTGTTCTTCTTGAGTCCGTTTTTCATAAATTACAATCTAATTAGGAAATAATCTACTTCATCATACTGTTTTTTTAATTTATTTTCACGTATTATCCACAGTTTTCTCTTTCATAAATCTCTACTACATCTGTGAATGTTTTCTCCATTACATTCCTAACATTGTTTCACACCATTTATCTTTTAGTCTTTTTAGCAACTTTTCCAGAGGTTTTTCTACTTTATTAATCTCTCAAATAGTACTATTTTTGCTTGTTGGTCTTTTCTATTATTTGGTTTGTTTATTGGTTTGTTTTCCAACTCATTAATTTCTACTTTCTACTGCAGCTATCATTATTATGTCCCTTCTTTTACTTTCTTATGGTTTACTAAATTGTTTTCTGGTGCTCTAATACATTTGGGACCTTTTTATTCACCGTTGTTTTTATTGAAATACATTGCAGACTACATGGTTTTGATGATACTGAGTTCTTATTAGTTATTGCCTTTCACATTGTGGCCAAGTATATTGTTAATTTTTCAAATGTTTCTTCTTGCTTGTAATAAAAATATATATTCTTTTATTATTAGGTATAGGCTAGAGATCTACTAATTGTACACTTTATTCTCCATTACATTATAAACTTCTCTAAGACAAATACCACATTTTATGATTTTTACATACCTGGAACATTGAGAGTACCCAATACTTGAAATATTTACCTTCTTGGAACATTAAAAACACCTAATGAGCTGGAAATAAATGAACTGGAAAATGAAGTTTTGATCTCTTATGTTCAGTAAAAGATATTCTTTCTTTGAAAAAATAAGTATATTAACATTGAACTTTCTAAAGAAATTTTGGTTAGTTTTACTAAAACCTGGTTAGCTAGCCAGCTATCTAGAGGAAATATATAAATATCTACATTGCATGTAAATTATTCTTCCTTTCTAAATTCTTTTTGTTCCCTAATTATATGCAGCAATTTATAAGTAAATGCATCAGCTTTCTATGCCAATGAATTTTTGTCCATGATTCCTCTCATCTTAATTCAACAGTAAAATAAAACTCCTATGTGCATCAGAGATGAATACATTTCATGATATTATGATTTCTAAATAAGTAGTCCATGCATGTTTGTGGAGACAATACCTGGTCATAATGAAGTAAATTGTTTTGTTTTGTATGATAAAGCACCATAATGAATTATAAGATTTAATTAGGCAGTGATTCTATTTCAAGTCTGATTGTTGATTTGTCATTGCTTTATAGAGACTACGACACTATAATTTAAGGACTTTAATGAAAATGAATTAATTTGAAAGTGCTTCTAATTCTGCAGCAATTAAGTGATTTTTCTCTCATCCACTAAAACTTATTTCTATACAAGAATGGATTTGCACAGCATCATAGTGGGAAAAAAATCATTATTGTTAGTTATCATGAAAGGCAATCAGAATTGAAGGCATTATTATGTGTTTTACCAACTTGCCAACTATTCCACCCCTTCCCTCAAATACATGCAAAACACTGAAGACAAATCATATCCTCTACTTGAAGGATAGGAGGCGGACTTTTTTTCTCTCAAATAGGCTAGAAAAAGCATATATGGGTAATCAGTTAAATGATAGAAATCTTTAAACATCTGAGCACATTACTCTTGAGACTCTAGTAGTGTATACATTATAAATTCATAAAGGGGTCTACTCTGTGACGCCTTGTGTCAGGGAGAAAATGGTACCATGCAATTGTTCTCAATAAGCAATAAATGTGTTCTCTGGTGTTTGGCAAACCATTACACCATTTATTTAGAGTAAAGCTCATTATTTTATTCTATTAAATATCTCACTTTCAACACTGTTAATGAGTTATTTATCTGAAATGTGATCACTAGCACTTCTTTCACTTTAAGACTACCTTCCCTTTGTACAGAATCTACTTCTCCTCTGGGTTATGGTGTTAAAGTAAACTGAGGATTGACTCCTTCTGTTTCCATTAAAGAACATCATGGTAACAAAACCTAGGTTTTTTTATTATTATCATTTCCTCCTGCCACCTTTTCAGCTTAATGCTGGAACTTTTAACTCTTTCTAATATTTTCATTAGGACATAAAATAAACAAATAATGCCTTATGTGTTTCACTAGCACTTATTCCATGGGAGATAAAACTTACAATCTGGTTATGTACTAAATACAAGGAAGAACACTTCCTCACCCTTTTGAAATCTGTCTTGGGCTCTTTTACATAAACTGATCAATTTTCCTAGAGTTGCAGCAGAGCTAAGTGATGAACCTGTCTTCCATGTCTCAGTAGATCCTTAAAAAAAAATTAAAAGAGCAAACTTAAATGGGCAATGAAGCATTGTGAGTCCTTCCTCTACAATGCCATGCTACCTTGCAGCTTCAGTGTAAACTCCTTGAAAACAAGAATGAACGTTACCTTGTTTCTAGATCCACAATAGCCCCTATCGATGTCCAGGCATAGTGAGTGCTCAATAAAGTGGTAAATTGATAAGGAAGGAAAAATTCATTTGTCGAGTATGAAGCAAGATTATTAAACAGTTCATTTCACATAAAAGACTCAATGTGTTTGTTGTTGAAGCAGAGAGAGAGAAAGAGAGCGAGAACAAGAGGAATTGAAGTGTCACTTAAATTAACTCATTTAGACTAAAAGTCAAATTCATTCCCATGTGAACTTACTGTTGGCCAAGGTCATAAGCACTCCTCAAAATTTTCCTCAGATGTGTTTGTAAGGCAGAATCAGTCGTATGACTCTCTCTATTGATTACCAGCATTTGGTTTTTCACTTTACAATGCTACTAAAATAGGCAGAGTCTTGCCTATTTTTTCTTCTAGTATACAATATGTTTGTTTCCCTTCTGAAATCTCCCTATAATCTGCACTTCCTACTCAATAGAGTATTGCCCCATTTTTAATTTTGTTTTAATCACTGTGGTCATAAATTATCCTAGCAATGTTTCTTATTGCATTACCATGGTTAAATGAGTGTAATCAATGAAATTTAATATATCTGTGTTGACTTGAGTTCATTATGAGTTTGGTATTGAACTTTCTTTTTAGTGTATGTGGCTGTTTGCCTATACACCAAAATAAGAATGGTAGACATGAAGATTCCTGGTGTCAGCTTTGTCATTTTTTCCATCATCTTCTCTATAAATGATACCATCAGCTATAATTGCTTCAGGCTGATACTCAGACAATTTTAAGGAGGCATCTCTTCTTACTTGCTCCAATAGCTATTGGTCAAATTGCATATAAAAAGTACACCTGTATTGGGTGCATATGTATTTAGGATAGTTAGCTCTTCTTGTTGCATTGATCCCTTTACCATTATGTAATGTCCTTCTTTGTCTCTTTTGATCTTTGTTGGTTTAAAGTATGTTTTATCAGAGACTAGGATGGCAACCCCTGCTTTTTTTGCTTTCCATTTGCTTGTTAAATAGTCCTCCATCTCTTTATTTTGAGCTTATGTGTGTCTTTGCACGTGAGATGGGTCTCCTGAATACAGCACCCTGATGGGTCTTGACTCTTTATCCAATTTGCCAGTCTGTGTCTTTTAATTGGAGCATTTAGCCCATTTTCATTTAAAATTAATATTGTTATGTGTGTATTTGGTCCTGTCATTATGATGTTAGCTGGTTATTTTGCTCGTTAGTTGATGCAGTTTTCTTCCTAGCCTTGATGGTCTTTACATTTTGGCATGATTTTGCAGCGACTGGTACCGGTTGTTCCTTTCCATGTTTAGTGCTTCCTTCAGGAGCTCTTGTAAGGCAGGCCTGGTGGTGACAAAAATCCCTCAGCATTTGCTTGTCTGTAAAGGGTTTTATTTCTCCTTCGCTTGTGAAGCTAGTTTGGCTGGACATGAAATTCTGGGTTGAAAATTATTCTCTTTAAGAATGTTGAATATTGCCCCCGACTCTCTTCTGGCTTGTATGGTTTCTGCCGAGGGATCCACTGTTAGTCTGATGGGCTTCCCTTTGTGGGTAACCCGAACTTTCTCTCTGGCTGCCCTTAACATGTTTTCCTTCATTTCAACCTTGGTGGTTCAGACAATTATGTGTCTTGGGGTTGCTCTTCTCGAGGAGTATCTTTGTGGTGTTCTCTGTATTTCCTGAATTTGAATGTTGGCCTGTCTTGCTAGGCTGGGGAAGTTCTCCCGGATAATATCCTGAAGCACGCTTTCCAACTTGGCTCCATTCTCCCTGTAACTTTCAGGTACACCAATCAAATGAAGGTTTGGTCTTTTCACATAGTCCCATATTTCTTGGAGGCTTTGTTCATTTCTTTTCATTCTTTTTTCTCTAAACTTGTCTTCATGATTTACTTCATTAAGTCGATCTTCAATCTCTGATGTCCTTTCTTCTGCTTGATCAATTCAGCTATTGATACTTGTGTATGCTTCACAGAGTTCTCATGCTGTGTTTTTAAGCTCCATCAGGTCATTTATGTTCTTCTCTAAACTAGTTATTCTAGTTAGCAATGCATCTAACCTTTTTTCAAGGTTCTTAGCTTCCTTGCATTAGGTTAATAAAACCCAGATTCAAAAAGCAAGTTCTTAGAAACCTACACAGAGACATAAGACACCTACACAATAATAGGGAGAGACTTTAATACCCTACTGTCAATATTAGACAGATGAACAAGACAAAAAATTAACAAGGGTATTCAGGACTTGAACTCTGCTCTGGACCAAGCGCACCTAACAGACATCTACAGAACTCTCCACCCCAAATCAACAGAATATACATTCTTCTCAGCACCACATTGCACTTATTCTAAAATTGACCACATAATTGGAAGTAAAACACTTCTCAGCAAATGCAAAAGAATGGAAATCATAACAAACAGTCTCTCAGACTACAGTGCAATCAAATTAGAACTTAGAATTAAGAAACTCACTCAAAACTGCACAACTACAAGGAAACTGAACAACCTGCTCCTGAATGACTACTGGGTAAATAATGACATTAATGCAGAAATAAATAAGTTCTTTGAAACCAATAAGAACAAAGACACAATGTACCATAATCTCTGGGACACAGCTAAGGCAGTGTTTAAAGGGAAATTTATAGCACTAAATGCCCACAGGAGAAAGCAGGAAAGTTCTAAAATCGACACCCTAACATCACAATTAAGAGAACTGGAGAAGCAAGAGCAAGCAAATTCAAAAGCTAGCAACAAAAGCAAACAAATTCAAAAGAAATAACTAAGATAAGAGCAGAACTGAAGGAGATAGAAACATGAAAATCCCTTCAAAAAAAATCAATGAATCCAGGAGCTGGTTTTTTGAAAAGATCAACAAAATAGACTGCTAGCCAGACTAATAAAGAAGAAAGAGAGAAGAATCAAATAGACACAATAAAAAATGGTAAAGGGGGTATCACCACTGACCCCACAAAAATACAAACTACCATCAGAGAATACTATAAACACCTCTATGCAAATAAACTAGAAAATCTAGAAGAAATGGATAAATTCCTGAACACATACACCCTCCCAAGTCTAAACCAGGAAGAAGTTGAATCCCTGAATAGATAAATAACAAGTTCTGAAATTGAGGCAATAATTAATAGCCTATCAACCGAAAAAAGTCCCGGACTAAAAGGATTCACAGCCAAATTCTACCAGAGGTAAAAAGAGTAGCTGGTACCATTCCTTCTGAAACTATTCCAAATAATAGAAAATGGGGGATTCCTCCCTAACTCATTTTATGAAGCCAGCATCATCCTGATACCAAAACCTGGCAGAGACACAACAGAAAACAGAAAATTTCAGGCCAATATCCCTGGTGAACATCGATGCAAAAATCCTCAATAAAATACTGGCAAGCCGAATCCAGCAGCACATTAAAAAGCTTATCCACACCATCAAGTTGGCTTCATCCCTGAGATGCAAGGCTGGTTCAACACACGCAAATCAGCAAATGTAATCCATCGCATAAACAGAACCAATGACAAAAACCACATGATTATCTCAATAGATACGGAAAAGACCTTCAACAAAATTCAACAGCCTTTCATGCTAAAAACTCTCAATAAACTAGCTATTGATGGAATGTATCTCAATGTAATAAGAGCTATTTATGAGAAACCCACAGCCATTATACTGAATGGGCAAAAACTGGAAGCATTCCCTTTTTAAACCAGCACAAGACAAGAATGCCCTCTCTCACCACTCCTATTCAACATAGTATTGGAAGTTCTGGCCAGGGCAATCAGGCAAGAGAAAGAAATAAACAGTATTCAAATAGGAAAAAAGGAACTCAAATTATCTCTTTTTGCAGATGACATGATTGTATATTTAAAAAACCCCATCGTCTCAGCCCAAAATCTCCTTAAGCTTACAAGCAACTTCAGCAAAGTCTCAGGATACAAAATCAATGTGCAAAAATCACAAGCATTCCTATACACCAATAACAGAGAAACAGAGAGCCAAATCATAAGTGAACTCCCATTCACAATTGCTACGAAGAGAATAAAATACCTAGGAATACAACTTACAAGGAATGTGAAGGACCTCTTCAAGGAGAACTACAAACCACTGCTCAAGGAAATAAGAGAGGACAAAAACAAATGGAAAAACATTCCATGCTCATGGATAGGAAGAATCAATATCATGAAAATGACCATACTGCCCAAAGTAATTTATAGATTCAGTTCTATCCCCATCAAGTTACCATTGACTTTCTTCACAGAATTAGAAAAAAATATTTTAAATTTCATATGGAAACAAAAAAGAGCCCACATAGCCAAGACAATCCTAAGCAAAAAGAACAAACCTGGAGGCATCACACTACTTGACTTCAAACTATACTACAAGGCCACAGCAACTAAAACAGCATGATACTGGTACCAAAACAGATATATAGACCAATAGAACAGAATACAGGCCTTAGAAATAACACTACACATCTACAACCCTCTGATCTTTGACAAACCTGATGAAAACAAGCAATGGGGAAAGATTTCCCTATTTAATAAATGGTGTTGGGAAAACTGGCTAGCCATATGCAGAAAACTGAAATTGGATCCTTTCCTTGCACCTTACACAAAAATTAACTCAGGTCAGATTAAAGACTTAAATATAAAACCTAAAACCATAAAAACCCTAGAAGAAAACCTAGGCAATACCATTCAGGATATAGGCATGGGCAAAGACCTCATGACTAAAACACCAAAAGCAGTGGCAACAAAAGCCAAAATTGACAACTGGGATCTAATTACACTGAAGAGCGTCTGCACAGCAAAAGAAACTATCATCAGAGTGAAGAGGCAACATACAGAATGGGAAAACATTTTTGCAATCTGTCCATCTGACAAAGGGCTAATATCCAGAATCTATAAGGAACTTAAACAAGTTTACAAGAAAAAAACAACCCCATCAAAATGTGGGTGAAGGATATGAACAGCCACTTCTCAAAAGAGGACATTTATGCAGCCAACAAACATATGAAAAAAAGCTCATCATCACTGGTCATTAGAGAAACGCAAATCAAAACCACAGTGAGATACCATCTCACATCAGTTAGAATGGCAATCATTAAAAAGTCAGGAAGCAACAGATGCTGGAAAAGATGTGGAGAAATAGAAATGCTCTTACACTGTTGGTGGGAGTGTAAATTAGTTCAACCATTGTAGAAGACAGTGTGGTGATTCCTCAAGCATCTAAAACCAGAAATACCATTTGACCCAGCAATCTCATTACTGGGTATATACCCAAAGGATTATAAATCATTCTAATATAAAGACACATGGACACGTATGTTTATTATGGCACTATTCACAATAGCAAAGACTTGGAACCAACCCAAATGTCCATCAATGACAGACTGGATAAAGAAAATGTGGACCATATACACCATGGAATACTATGCATCCATAAAAAAGGATAAGTTCATGTCCTTTGCCGGGACCTGGATGAAGCTGGAAACCATCATTCTCAGCAAACTAACACTGGAACAGAAAATCAAACACCGCATATTCTCACTCATAAGTGGGAGTTGAACAATGAGAACACATGGACACAGGGAGGGGAACATCACACACAGGGGCCTGTTGGGGGTTGGGAGGCTAGGGGAGGGATAGCATTAGGAGAAATACCTAATGTAGGTGACAGGTTGATGGGTGCAGCAAACCACCATGGCACGTGTATACCTATGTAACAAACCTGCACATTCTGTGCATGTATCCCAGAACTTAAACTATAATAAAAAATTTTTAAAAAAAGAGTACAAAGACTATGAACTAAGTTTCCAGTGCTTCGCCTCAGTAAATGATTCAGAAATAAAGGACTTTGTTACCTGAGCATAACACTCAAAAAAGCCAGAAAGTTTATACTATCTGAAATTTGGCCTAAGAAAAATATAGAACAAATGGAGCTTACAATGATGCTTTAAGGATGCTACATAGTCAACCCTGGTTGTGCTTTAAACACGGAGTTCCAGAAAGTTAAGGTTGTTTGTATTTGACCTGAAGAGTACGTATGGAACAAATGTTATAAATGCTGCATCGCCAGTCTTGTGTAGCTAAAACTTATATCCCAACGTAGTTTAAATCCTAGATTTGATGGAAGCAGTTTAACACAGGTTAATATGATAGCGTTTGAAATAAGCTAGGCCTAGTTTCAAACCCTGGGTAACCTCTGAGCCTCAGTTTCTTCATTAGTTAAATGGGAATAATGAATCACTTTACAAAATTATTGTGCAGATGGAATAAAGTGCTTATTACATTCTCTCTTTCTCTAAGAATAGAAAGAACCCTCTGTTCTTTCTATTCTTTAAGTTTAATCTAATTTAATAGGTATACTAATATCTGACTTGCCTTCTCAAAATTGAAAAATAAAATTACAAAAAATTTTTAGCAATTAAAATATCAGATGTAGATATTGAAATCTTATAAACATGTTTCCTGTCTTTATTTCATATGAGAGGTATCATTAGGACTTTTGTCTTTATTAGCATATAACATTTATATCACAGAGTAAACCATTTGGGCTGATGATATGTGTAAAATTCAGAAAACATAAGCATTCAATATGCATTATTCCTATTATATGTGTATTGATTTATACAAAAATTTATAAGAAACAATTTTTATGCACTTGAGAGAACACTAAATCATTCAAAATTTGGTATTTGTTAAGAAGTATGTTATGTCTGTATGGTAGATGTTTTAGATCATCACCTCAAGCTATTGATGCGAAACTGTAACTAGATGCAATTTAACAAGCAATGGCTGAGTTTCCATTGTTTTCCTAGCATTAACTTAGGTACTGTCAGGAATATCAAGAAATTGAGTGTCAATTGATGAATCCATAACCCCAAATATCTGACCCCATTCTCCCATTTCCAGAACCCTCCCTATCTTCAAACATCTTTTACCCCATCAGAACCACCAATCCATTATATTGGCATCTTCTCATGCACTTCTCCACAACATCGATGTTTTCTCTGCCCTCTTTATATGGTTCAAATTCTATAGTCAATTATCAGATTACTCCCTTGTGGACCCCCTTGACACCCTTTCTTCTCTCTCATGTCACTGTGCTTGCTTGCTCAGCAAAATTACAACCCTGGCTGAATTCAACTCTCTAAGTAGTGCTGAAAGGAACTAGCAAAAAGACTCAACCATACCAACTGATTGAATTCATGGTTGCAAATCTGAAGTGCAGTCTTGAGGCTTACCAGTGATCATTTCATACTTCCCTAGTCCATTGACTCTCCCTCTGTTCTGGGGACAATTTCATATCTTCTCTGGCTTTAAACCATCCATACCTCCTTTCCCATCTTCATGACTACTAATCCTACTCTTCTGAAAAAACTAAAGCTCACTTCAGAGAAGAAGCATGTCTCATTTGCTATTTGTGAATACGGCAATTTTCCATTTTTTAAATTAAATATACCATTTTGCCTATAAAACATAATGCTTCCCATATAATTACTTTAGAATACAGTCCTTACTGTAAATGGTTGTTCAGCCTAGGTTTGAATATAACCTAAATATAATAAGCTTGGGTCTCCAGGGAAATCAAAAGAAGTGAACTTGTGGGTTCCCTTAGAAGAGAGTTCATTGTGGGCCTGTGATAGAAATTTTTAGTGATATCTCAGCTGAAAAATAGAGATCAGAGCTTGGATTACGTGGTCTACAAATTATTGACCCTGTTTAATCACAAGTCAGAATGTTTGGAATAAGATATATTGCTCAAGTAAGGCCATTTATTCCATGTCTGAATGAATAAATGTAAAAATCAAAACAAAGTTATATCTTAGAAAGCATGCATATGTATATATACAACAAATATATATAACATTTATAAGTAAATATATGTACATACGAATTTCTTTATAAATTGAAAACAGTTGTTTCTGAGGACCAGACAGAAGATTACAAAGGTTGATTAATAAAAGTATGGGCTTTATTTGTCTAATGACATATCTAACAATTTCAACAGGTGGTTGCATAATGGGTTAAAAAAGATATCGTGTTTTGAAAATTTTATTAAATCCCATATATATCTATTCTCATCTGTAAACACCCATTAGATATTTAAATAAAACTTCTACTCTTGTAAATGTGTGGTTCTTCATTTGAAAAATGAAAATCATATTGCTTAATACAGCTTCAAAATTATTGAAAGAATTAAATGATTTTTTCACAGTGACAAAGTGAAGTGTAAGTTACCTTATACTTATTAATTAAAATTCTTATTCATACTATAATTTTATCTAGAATTTTTCAAGTACTTATTAAGAGCCAGACATGATACTCAGTGTTTTACATTCATATCATCAAATACTCAGAATAACCCTCTGAATTCAACAAGAAATGACTAATTCTTTCAAATATTATAATGCCATCTAAGATTAAATGCTCAGTTAAGTGACAAAACTGGTACTTGGTCACCTTTCCAACCTGTGCTTTTAACCACTACACTTTTAACTACTACTATTTCTCTGTGTTTGGGTTGAACTCCTAGGTGAAGATATGCTCAAAGAACTTTCCCTAAACTCTAGAACTCATATATTAATATACATGGTGAAGAGCCACTGGTAACCTACTTTTCTAAATGTGTTCCAAGAAATTAAGCAAATTAAGATAACCACAAAAGCCTCAGCAAAAATGTTGCTGAGCATAAACTCCATCGACTCAATAGCTGAAACAAAAGCATACTCTTACTTTCTTGCCACATTTTGTTTTTCCTGAATTTAATGTTTGTTTTGTTGATTTTATTGCTTAGCTTTTTGTGAGGTTTTTTTTATCAGTCCAACCCAGAACTCTCCCTAAGCTGCGTAAATTTCCTGTCAATATGTTCAAACACATTAGTTGTTCTTTCACTTATAGCTCATTGGGCAAAAATTCTCTAGGAGCTTTTTGAACTGATGCAATCTAGACTGTGTGCTCTCCAGGCCTGCTGTGAGCCTTTGCCTTGTGAAACCTCCACCATCATTCTGGGGATTCCCTTTGCCTCTCTTATGTTGGACCATCTGGTTCCTGGTTACATTTCTTCCTTAATACATCATTTTGGTGACAAACATCCTACAGAAGATCTTTGGAAAACGGTGTGTGCAAAATAAAAATTTGGGGAACTTGAACATCTGAAAATATCTTTTAAAAAAATCTAGGAGGTTATTACTTCCAATCAGACAGCTTATTTTCAGCTCAGTTAAGTTTAAAATTTTGTTAGCTTTTCTCTTTAGTATCCTCAGAAGGTTGGCTGTGTCTTTTTTTTGGAATACCCTTCCACCTGTTTGGTAAGAACAAGGCAACTTTAAAAAATTCTGTGTTCTTAGGAAATGTCATTTATTTGGCAGGGATCCCAATGTGCAGCACAGCTTGATCCCCCTTCACAGTCCCCAAAACAGCTAGGCTTGACACCAAAAAGCTCTTTCAATGACAGCCATTCACTTATCAAAATTATTCTGAACTTAGAGAATATGGCTTTAAACAAAAAATGTACTTCAAGAAGCTCTTTCTCAGTCTGTTCAGGGGGCTATAACAAAATACTACAAACTGGGTGACTTATAAACAACAAACATTTATTTCTCACAGTTCTGGAGGCTGGGAAATCCAAGATCAAGGCACTGGGAAATCTATCTCATGAGGGCCTGTTCCTCATAGACAGTACCTCAATTGGCATATGGCCCATAGTGTTCTTATTAAAAAGACCACTGGGAGCAGACTTGCCCCTTCTCACTATGTCTTCAGCTGGTGGAAGGAGCAAGACAGCTCTCTAGAACCTTTATTTATTTATTTATTTATTTATTTATTTATTTATTTATTTACTATTTGAGACCTAGTCTTGCTGTGTCGCCCAGGCTGGGGTGCAGTGGCATGATCTCAGCTCACTGCAATCCCCACCTCCTGGGTTCAAGCAATTCTGCCTCAGCCTCCTGAGTAGCTGGGATTAGAGGTGCCCGCCCTCACACCCAGCTCATTTTTGTACTTTTAGTACAGACGGGGTTTCACCATGTTGGCCAGGCTAGTCTCGAACTCCTGACCTCAAGCAATCCGCCCGCCTCAGCCTCCTAAAGTGCTGGGATTACAGGCGCAAGCCACTGTGCCCAGCCTCGGGGGCCATTTTAATAAGGGCACTTATCCTATTCATGAAGGCTCTGCTATCATGACCTAATTATCTCCAAAATGCCTCACCTCTTAAAAACGTATCACCTTGGGTGTTAGGATTTCAACACATGAACTTGGGAGGATACAAATATTCAAACCGTAGCAGGAACATTCTGACAAATCTGCAGCCAGTATTTCTTCTCCAAAAGTTGTTTTAGCAATTGCATGGTTTTATGGGCATTTCTTATCTCTATATTTTAGTGGAAGGCCTGAAGTGTCCCAGTGAAAAAGGTGTTGAAACATTTTTGACAGTGTCCTTGTTTCACAGTTGGCATTTGACTATGTTTAACTGAAAGGTAGAATGTAAATATTTAACTTCCATTTTCTATTTAATTTAAAAAATAACTATTTTTTCAAGTATACAACACAGTATAATTACTAACTATAGTCTCCATAGTATATATTAGATCTCCAGAACTTGTTCATCTTATAACTGAAAGCTCATACCCTTTGGCCAACACCTCCTCATTACCCGCACTCCCCAGCACCTGGTAACAACTATTCTACTCTGTTTCTAAGAATTAGACTTTTTTAGATTCCCCGTATAAGTGATGTGATGCCATATTTGTCTTTCTATGTCTAGCTTATTTCACTTAGCATGTCTTCCAGGCCCATCCATGATGTTCCAAATAGGAGGATTTGCTTATGCTTTAAGGCCAAATAATATTTCATTGTGCACATATATACTATGTGCATATATTATATGTGTAGATAAGATATACATATATTATATGTATGTAGGTTTTGCTGTGCAAAAACCTTTTTATTTTGTATAGTCCTACTTGCTTACATTTGCTTTTGTTGTTTGTGCTTTTGGTGTCACATTCAAAAAAACCATTTCCAAGTCCAATGTCAAGGAGCTCTACCCCTACTTTTTATTCCAGAAGTTTTCAAGTTTCAGGTCTTATATATATATATAAGTTTTTAAAGTTTCAGGTCTTATATATAAGTCTTTAATCCATTTTGGGTTGATTTTTGTGTATTATCTAAGATAAGGGTCCAATTTCATTCTTCTACCTGTGGGTTTCTAGTTTTCTCAGCACCATTTGTTGAAGAGACTATCCCCATTGTGTTTTTGGTACATTTGTTAACCATCAGTTGATTGATATATATGTGGCTTTTTTTCTGGGATCTCTAATTTATTCCAATGATCTCTAAGTCTGTGTTTGTGCCAATATCAGCCCGTTTTGATTATAATAGCTTAGTAATGTAATTTGAAATGAAGAAAGGTGAGGCTTCCAGCTTTTTCTTCTTGCTCAAAATTACTTTAGCTACTCAGAATCTTTTGTGATTTCATATAAATTTTAGGATTATTTTTTCTATTTCTGTAAAAAAAGTCATTGGGATTTTGATAGGAATTGCATTTAATCTGTGAATTACTTTGGGTAGTGTGGAATTTTAAACAACATTAATTGTTTCACTCCGTGAATACATGATATCTTCTCATTTATTTTTGTCTTCAATCTTTTCATCAATATTTTGAAGTTTTCAGTGATACAGATTTTTCACCTCAGTTAAATTTATTTCTAAGTGTGGTATTCTTTCCCACATTATTGTAAGCATTGTTTTATTTCTTTTTCACATAGTTTGTTGTGAGTGTATGGAAACAAAATTGACTTTTAAATGTTGATTTTGTAACTTGTGCTCTACTAAATTTGCTTAATAGTTCTAATAGTTTTTGGTGGATTGTTTAGGGTTTTCTATATATAAGATGCTGGCATCCACAAAGAGGGACCATTCAGCTTTCCTTTCTGACTTAGTTGCCTTTTATTTCTTTTTCTTGCCTAACCCTCTGGTTAAAACTTTCAGTACTATGTTAAATAGAAGTGACAAGAGTGATCATCCTTGTCATGTTCCTGTTCTTAGATGAAAAGCTTTCAACTTTTCACTGTTGAGTATGATGTTGGCTGTAGTGTTGTCATATGTGGCTTTTATTGTGTTGAAGTACATTTCTTCTATACCTAATTTGTGGAGAGTTTCATTATGAAAGGATGTTGGATTTTGTTCAATGCTTTTTTCTGCATCTAGTAAAATGATCATATGATTCTTATCCTTCATTCTCTTGATGTGGTGTATCACATTTATTGATTTGTGGATGATAAACCATCTTTGCCTCCCCAGGGTAAATCCCATTTGACTATGGTATATGATCCTTTTAGTGTGCTGTTGTATTGGGGTTTCTAGTACTTCCTTGAGGATTTTTGCACATATGTTCATCAGGGATGTTGGCCTGTAATTTTCTTTTTTTGTTGTTTCTTGTCTGGGTTTGGTGTCAAGGTAATGCTAGTCTTCGAAATTGGATTTGAAAGTGTTCCCTTCTCTTCAATTGTTTGAGAAGGTTGATATTAATTCTCCTTTCAACATTTGGTAGAATTCACAGTGAAGTCATAGGGTACTGGGCTTTTCATTGTTGGGAGATTTCTGTTTACTGATTCAATCTCCTTATTAGTTATGTCTGTTCAAATTTTTTATTCATGATTCAGTCTAAGCAGGCTCTATATCAATAAGAATTTATTTCTTCTAGATTATTCAGTTGTTTGTTGGAATATAATTTCTTGTAGTGGTATCTTATCATGATTTGTATATCTGTAGTAACAGTTGTAGTGTCTTCTCATTCATTTCTGATTCTACTTATTTAAGTAGGTTCCCTTTTATTCTTACTGTAGCTAAAGGCTTGTCAATTTTATCTTCTCAAAAAAAACAAATTCTAGTTTCATTGATCTTTTCTGATTTTTCTTTTGTCACTGCTTCATTTACTGCTGCTCTGATATTTGTTGGGTTTGTTCTTATTTTTCTAATTACTTGAAGTGTAAAGTTAGCTTGTTTATTTGAGATCTTTCTTTGTTCTTAATTTGGCATTTATTTCTATAAACTTCCCTCTTAAAACTGCTTTTGCTGAATCCCATAAGTTTTGGTATGTTGTATTTCTATTTTTTTTTGTATCAAGATTTTCTTTTAATTTTCCTTTTGATTTCTTCTTTGACCTAATGGTTGCTCAGGATGGTACTATTTGGTTTCCACATATTTGTGAATTTTCCAGTTTTCCTCTTGTTAGTGATTTCTGGTTTTATATATATCATTGCTGTTGAAAAGATACTTGATATTATTTCAGTCTTTGTAAATTTTTTAAGACTTATTTTGTGGCCTTGCATATAATCTTCCTGCAGAATATTTCATGTGTGCTTGAGATTAATGTGTATTCTGCTGCTGTTGAATGGAATGCTCTCTCTCTCTCTCTCTCTCTCTGTGTGTGTGTGTGTGTGTGTGTGTGTGTGTGTGTGTGTATCTGCATAATCTACCCTGTTGCAAGCAGGGTATCGAAGTCCCTACTATTATTATATTTTATTTCATTTCTCCTTTCAGTCTGTCAATGCTTGCTTCATATATTTAGGTTATCTGATATTGGGTGCATATATATTTAAATTATATCCTCTTGCTGAATTGACACTTTTATCATTATATAATTACCCTCTTTGTCACTTGTGACAGGTTTTGACTTAAAGCCTATTTTGTCTGAAATAAGTACAGATACTCCTGCTCTCTTTTGGTTTATATTTGCATGAAATATTATTTCTATCCTTCAGCCTACATAAGTCCCTAAAGTTTGTTTCAAGCACGTGTAGTTGGGTCATGTTTTTTTCACCCATTCAATGACTCTATGTCTTTTCATTAGATTATTTAGCCTATTTACATTTAAAATAATTATTGATAGGTAAGGACTTACTATTACCATTTTGTTGATTTTTTTTCTGATTGTTTTATAGTTTCTTTGTTCTTTCTTTTTGCTCTCTTCCTTTGTGATTTAATTTTATATGGTGGTATGTTTTAAATTATTTATTTTTATCTTCTGTGTATCTACTATAGGTCTTTGCTTTGTGGTTACCATGGGGCTACATTATAACATAGGCTATGTTATAACATCTTATAGTTATAACACTATTTTAAGCTGATAATAACTTAACTTTGATCACTTATAAAAAATCCACACATCCCCATGCACATACACACATTTTAGGTATTTGATATTATAGTTTATTACTATTATCATTATAATACTTTAAGTTCTGGGGTATATGTACAGAACATGCAGGTTTGTTATGTAGGTATACACGTGCCATGGTGGTTTGCTGCACCCATCAACCTGTCATCTACATTAGGTATTTCTCCTAATGCTATCTCTTCCCTAGCCCCCCAACAGACCCCAGTGTGTGATGTTCCCCTCCCTGTGTCCATGTGTTCTCATTGTTCAACTCCCACTTATGAGTGAGAACATGTGGTGTTTGGTTTTCTGTTCCAGTGTTAGTTTGCTGAGAATGATGGTTTCCAGCTTCATCCATGTCCCTGCAAAGGACATGAACTCATCCTTTTTTATAGATGCATAGTATTCCATGGTGTATATGTGGCACATTTTCTTTATCCAGTCTATCATTGATGGACATTTGAGTTGGTTCCAAGACTTTGCTATTGCGAACAGTGCTGCAATAGACATAGATGTGCATGTGTCTTTATAGTAGAATGATTTATAATCCTTTGGGTATATACCCAGTAATGGGATTGCTGGGTCAAATAGTATTTCTAGTTCTAGATCCTTAAGCAATCTCCACACTGTCTTCCACAATGGGTGAACTAATTTACACTCCCACCAACAGTGTAAAAGCATTCCTATTTCTCCACATCCTCTCCAGCATCTGTTGTTTCCTGACTTTTTAGTGATCACCATTCTAACTGGTGTGAGACAGTATCTCACTGTGATTTTGATTTGCATTTCTCTAGTGACCAGTGATGATGAGCATTTTTTCATAAGTTTGTTGGCTACATAAATGTATTTCTTTAAATAAGTGTTATGTACTTTCTCTTCTTATTCTGGGTTTTCTATAATCCTTATTTTATTTCTCTTGAGGGTGTCCCATAAATCCCATAAGCTTTCTTCATTCCTTTTCATTCTGTCTTCATTTTTCTACTCTGACTGGATAATCTTAAATGGGCTGTTTCCGATTTAGCATTTGTTTTTCCTGCTTGATCAAGTCTGCTGTGGGAGTTCTATATTGCATTTTCCATTTCATTTATTGTATTCATCGGCTCCAGAATTTCTGGGATTTTTTTAATGATTTCTATCTCTTCATTTAACTTCTTGTTTTGTTCATTGTTTTCCTGATTTTATTGATTTGTCCATCTGTGCCCTCTTGTAGCTTACTTAGCTTCCTTAAAATATTAATTTTGATGTTTTTGTCAGGCAATTAATGGAGCTTCATTTCTTTCAGTTTGGTTACTAGAAAATTGTGTTCACATGGTGGCTCTCGCCTGTAATCCCAGCACTTTCGGAGGTTGAGGCGGGTGGATTACCTGAGGTCAGGAGTTCAAGATCAGCCTGGCCAACCTGATGAAACCCCATCTCTACTAAAAATACAAAAAATTAGCCTGGTGTGTTGGTGGGCATCTGTAATCCCAGCTACTCGGGAGGCTGAGGCAGGATAATCACTTGAACCTGGGAGGTGGTGGTTGCAGTGAGCTGAGATTGTGCCAATGCACTCCAGCCTGGGCAACAGAGCGAGACTCTGTCAAAAAAAAAAATTGTGTTATTTTGGTGGTGTCATATTCCCTTGTTTTGTTTTGTTTGTATTCCTGGAAGTCTTGTATTGTTGTCTTTGCATTTGAAGAAGCTGTCACCTCCTTCAGTCTTTACTGACTTGCTTCAGGAGAGAAACACCTTCACCAGTCAGCCAGATGATGGATTCTGAGTCTTTCTCAGACTTTTGCTGTGGATGTGCCTGCTCCACCTATTTTGTTTCCTCTTGGGCAGAATTTCTTAAGATTGCTTGCCCTTTCTCAGTCCCACAAAGCCAGGCTGTGTGCTGGGAGTCTCTCACTTGTTTTTTTAGGCAATGCTCTGAAATGCTAAAGTTTGTGTTCCTTCTCCCAATCCCACAAACTCAAGGTGGCTGGCTGTGTATGCTGGCCAGACAACGGCAAGTGCTCACACTCTCTGTCAGGCACATGAAAGGAGCTAGCTACAGTTATAGAAGGGAGGCTGAAAAACACAACGTGTTGGGAGGACCTATGAATCAGTTATGGTGGTCCACAGGTGAGGCATACCGAACAGGTCATGGGCAAACTTTGTGTTGGAGAATAGTAGAATATACAGCTCTTTGTTAAGTTTTGAACATTGGTTGCTGACAGTCCGTACCTCTCCTCCCAGCTCCTAGCCTTTCCCAGCCACTCAGCCTTGTTGATGCCCTCAGTATTCTAAGTGGGGCAAGAAAGAGGTAGGCCTCTAAGACAATGTCCCACACAGTTGGGCAAGCCTCACTCACTATATTTTTACTTTCCCCTGTGGGGACAATTGTGAGTTGAAGGAGTTTCTCCTGGCATTGAGCTGTGCTAGCTTGAGGGTGGGGTGAAATGGGTAAAATGAAACTATTCTCCGTACTATCTTCAATGAGTCTACTCTCATAAGCTTTGCTCCAATGATATGCTGGAATTTGTCCGCTGGACTCCCAAACTCCCACAAAAATACTCTCATCTGCAGGTGGTTGCCAAAATCAGTAAACTGTGAGATGTTAGAAAACTCCTATTCTGCCATCTTGCTTATGTCACTGAAAATATCTTTATTCCACACTCATTTTCATAGTTTTGGAATATTAGTTTGGTGGTGTATAGGATTTTAGTTGAAAATCATTTTCCTTCAGAAGTTGGATATAGTTCTGTATAATTTTCTTATTCCAAATATTTTTGAGAAGTCAAATGTCATCTAGATTTTGATCCTTTGTGTGAAACCTGATTTTTCTCTCCCCTCTTAATCCTCGATATTCCTTGAATGAGTGAGCTTTTCTAATCTGAAATAATCTTATTCATTGTTTGAAATTACTGAAATATTCTTGAATTGTTCCTTTCGTATTTTCTATCTTTTGTGTTCTCAGTTTACTCTTCTTTGAACTTCCATTACTCAGATACTAAAATGTCTCAACTATTATAAATTCATCTTTACTGTCTTTTTGCCTAATGTTACCACATTTTCTAGAAGACTTCTTCACATTTATCTTTTGATTCTTCTATAGTTTTTCTTTCAATCATTCTTCTGAGTTAGAACATCAATTTAAGAAAAATGTCATGAAGTCTTTTTCATCCCATTTTTTATGTCTGTAACCTTGGCACAATGTCTGGCACTTTTGGGTCTTCAAAGAACAGCAGCTTTAAAAGTGTGTGTGTGGGAAAAAAAGTGTGTGTGTGTGCGTACACGCACATTAATAATGTATATATTCACAGTATATATATTATATTATATTCTTTCAGCACACTAATTCTTTTTCCTGTGTTCTCTAAGGTAGATAAATTTTATACGTTTATACCTGAAGCCAGATAATTTTGATATGTTTTTGGTTCTTTTCTTGACTTACATCCTCTGATTCTTTTTTATTTCTAATAATTATAGATAGCATTATTACAGCACTTTGTGCCAATTGCTTTTCTGTATAATCTCTTTTAATCCTCACTACAACTCTATGATAAAACCATTCATATAATCACTATTTTTCAGAGTAGAAAACTAAGGCATTGGGAGTTTAAAAGACTTGCCTAGGGCTACCAGCCAGAAGGTATATAGCTAGGATTCCATCTCGAGCCAACAGACTGTGCTCTGAATTATTTTAAATTTAAACTGTAAACAATATAATACAAATTTTTAAACAAATAATATAGCACCATTTTCACCACAGTAGGCAATTCCATTTTCAGTAGAAGATAAAGAGACGTCATCTTTTTCTTAAAATCATATTTTAATTCACTTCTGCCTCCATGTCCTGATTTACACGTAATTCAAGCATATACCATTTTAAGACAGGGACCTGTGGTGATAAGGCATCATGTATAGCAGCATGCAATGAGCCCAGATTGGAGAGTGAACAGAAAAAGCTAAACGGAGAAAAGGAGAAATTTATACTACTGTCCATTGAAGATATTTAAAGAATTTTATGGGAAAATGTTAAGAATAATTCACAACTTAGATTATTGACATGGCTGCCTTTTTTTAGTGACTATTTAATGGAAGAAGTTCTAGGTGTTTCGGCCTTCCAAAAACAAGAGAAACAGGCTTTTTCATTAAATTCATACACAATGGAGCTCCCAAACTTTTGGAGGCTCTTATTTAGAAGTCAGAATAGTTCAGTAATAATTTTAGGACCGCATGATTTCTGGTGAAATTTTAAATAGAGAGAAATGGCGTGAGAAACATCGCAAACCCCACTTTGTACCCCTTTGTACCCCTATTTGGCAGTGGATAAGTGACCTGTCCTGGATTTGACTACCCTGCTGCTTCAAGGGCTTTGAAGTCCTGTGGACATGGTATTCTAGATGAATGAAATCTAAAAAGGTGGAATATTTTGTTTCTTGAGTATCCATCATCAAAAAGTTCAATTATATCCTGCCACAAAGTGTTCCTTATCCTTCTGTCAGATATGAAGTACTGGGAAAGGCCAGTTCTTTTTGAAAATTTTTGCATCCTTGATAATAGTTTCAAAAATTGAGAGAAAGTGGTACTGCAGGCATATCGCATAATAACAGCTTCATATAGCTTCTTCCCTTCTAACTTTTGCAGGGCCTACTACATTGATCCATTTCTGTCAATTGATTGAAATGTCCCCCACATCTTTTATTCCTCTGACCCTCACATTTATGGATTAGGTTTCAGCTTTTGCATTTTCAGTTTCATAGAAAAATCTGTGTTTTTCTGTCACACAGCCAGTAGCACAGCTGTGACAGCAGATGAGCAATTCTCCAAGGGCAATCAGCCAGGCTGGCTACCTCAGAGACTCCAGGGAGGACCCAAGGAAAACTGCTTGTCTCTTCACACTTTCAGGCAGATGCAGAGCTACACTCTGTACAGCCAACAAAAAAGAATTGTATAAAATTTAGCAGAGCCCCATATTAGTTTGGGAATATCTATCAGTTTTGGGTGTATTCCTAAGTATTTTTCACATGTATAAGTTCAACCTTCCTAACCTTATAAAATGATTATTGGAAGTAAAGATTTTATCTTCTGTTTTCTTTACATCTACTTGTTCTCCCTTCTCTCAGTAGCAGCACTATAACTTAATAACTTAAGCTATTTTTATTTCTTTAGGTTACCAAAGATCAAAGATTTATCTTAGGCCAAATACACAATTGTCCTCAATTTTACATCCAATTTTAAACTTTTATTATAAAATATTATTTAACATTCAACCTTTATTAAAAATTATGTATATATGATTAATAATATTGATATGTTATTAAGTTTTTATTTCTACTTAAATGCTTATCCTAAATGGTGTTTACATCATGTACTGACTCATAGTTTTAATAATTATCTAAATATTAGAACTATAGTTTAAAGAATATTTGTTGGAACATTTTCATGTACTTTGTTTTTTTCACATTTTAGGTGTACAAGAATTTCCAGAAAACATAAAGTGCTGTAAGTGTTTAACAATTATTGAAGCCAGTGTCAATCCCATTTCTAAGTGAGTATGAGTGATTAAATTTTATTTGTATTTATATTTCCATTGTATAATAATGTACCTAAATAGAGGAAATGCACATCATAATTTAAATTTAAATGTAGCATTGACATAGCATTTAATAGAATGATGGGAAAAATTAATCAGAATAGTTTGACAAAAGATGATTAAAAACATTGCTGAGTAGCAAGGAAGACCCAATTGGCAAAAGATGGTATGACTTTGAAACAAACTTTGTCACCATTTTCCACAGCTCTCAGGTAACACTCCATAGATAAGAGTTGAAACTAATAAAACAGTTATTAGTAATGGTCATGGTGGAAAACTAGCATCAAGGACTGCCAGAAGTTCAAGATACTGCAAGAGTTTAAGGTATTGACAAGTGCATAAAAATAACCTATCATGTAGATCAAGGGAATTAAGTATGACCAGAAATAGAAAGTACTTGTATACCAGAGATTGCAGCAAGAACAAAGAGATAACCCTAGGAGAATAGGAGAATGGAAGATATGGATAATAGAGATGCTGTGATCAGAAAATGGGTATTTGTAGTCCAAGATCTGTTCATTAAGAAATGCCATAGAAAAATGATACCCAGCAAGTGACCATGTTGGTAAATTGAGCATATGGAGTAGTGACAGAAGTCTGTGGAATCAAGTAGGTCAGGAAGCAATAAAATAAATTGATTGGAGGAGTCATGAACCTGAATGTTAAAGTCACTTAATAATGGAAGTAGAAATAAAATCTAGAGAGGCTCCTGACAGTTGTAATATTTAGAAGAGGTTGAAATAAGTCAGTTGTATTGGGCTGCAAAAAATGAGCTTCAGAGTAAGACTGGCATTTTAATTATACAAAGCTGACAGTAGGATTTGAGAAAAATTCCTCGATCTTTTGTCTGATGAAGTGTAGGAGGCTAGGGGAAACCGAAGCCCATTGGAAAGACATTTAATGGATGGAGTATTTTTAGAAGAAGACATAAATAAATTTGTCAAAGGGAAGTTGATGGGAAATTTTATACCAGTAGAGTTGAGGAGAGGGAGTAGTGAAAGTGGTTCTCTATGGATGATGGGAAGAGGCTCTAGACAAGGTGAGGAGTGAAATAGATGTAAAAGAATGAGATCGAAGTTTAGATGGAGATCTTTATAGTGAATGGTTTGTGAAATAATCTGAGGCCTTTTGTAGGAAATGTAAAACATCAAGCAACAAAATGTGTTTAAAAATTACAGTTTTTCTTCCTGAAAAGTAAATAGGGAGGGAAAAAAAAGAGAAAATAAAACTCTAAAAAGCTTTTCCCAAAACTCGTAGACCAAAATGCAATTTTTTCAACATCTCAGTGAAATAGATGTTACTAATTTCTCCCACCAGGACTACAGTCATGTCCTTGACTTGAGTCAAAACAATCCAGTGCTGTTGATAAATTGCTTTTTTCCTCCTAATTATTTAATTCTAGTAGCTCGTCTTATTTAGGAATCATGGTAGGTCTTTGGGAGTGGCAGCCAGATTAGAAATTACATCTTTGAGAAATTTCAAGTCTATGGTTTTATTGGATATGTCTAATTCCCTTCATATGTATAACTTTTTAAAAGATAAATAAATATGACCTATTTCAGCAAAAATGCATAACACTGTAAACATTAAACAGTTTTGAAATTCATAAAAATTATGAAAAGTCAACATAAATTGTTTATCAAATTTTAAAGTCATGTTTTTAAATATGTTATTTCTATACAATAAAATTTACTCTGGCCAGGCATGGTTGCTCACACCTGTGATCCCAACACTTAGGCCAAAGCAGGAGGATCGCATGAGTTTAAGATTGGCCCTGGCAACATGGTGAAACCCTGTCTCTATAAAGTATGCAAAAAATTGGCCTGGTGTGGTGGTGTGTGCCTGTAGTCCTAGCTGCTTGAGAGACTAAGGTGGGAGAATCACTTTAGCCTGGGAGGACAACGCTGCAGTGAACCATGATCATGCCCCTGCACTCCATCCTGGGCAACAGAGTGAGACCCTGTCTCAAAAAAATAAGATTAATTCTATTTAGGTGTATGGTTCAATGAATTTTAACAAATGTATACAGTCATGTGACCATCTCCATAGTCAAGATATAGACTATTGCATCATCTCAAAGAATTCCCTTAGCCCAGTCATCCACTGACGATTACTATCCCCATTGCTTTGTCTTTTTCAAAATGACAAATAAATGATATCATACTTTTGTGTCTGACTTCTTTTACTTAACATAATGATTTTGAAATTTATTTGTAATTTTTCAATAATCAGTACTTCATTCCCCTTTATTCCCAGGTAGTATTCCATTGTATGGCTATAACATTATTTGTTTATCTGTACCTCAGTTGATAGGCATTTGGGTTGTTTCCAGTTTTTGGCTATTATGAGTAAAGCTGGTACAAACTATGCACAAGTGTTTGTGTGAGCATATATTTTCATTTCTATTGAGTGAACCCCTAGGAGTAGTTTTCTGAGTCGTATGGTATGTATATGTTTAACCTGATAAGAAACTTCCAAATCACTTTCCCAAAGCTATTCAAATGTGTGTTACACCAGTTCAGGTGTTCAGAGTTCAGTTGTTCTTCATCTTTGCCAGAATTTGGTTCCATCAGTTTTTTATTTTTTTCCATTTTAGCCAGTGTAGTAGAAATGGTATTTCAATTATGGCTTTAATTTATATTTCTAATGTCTAATTAGCACCTTTCCATGTATTTATTTATAATCTGTATTGCTTTATACATTAAAGGGAGAAATAATGATATAAGTTTGCAGTGTTGTTAAAACAATTAATAGATTAGAAAGAAATAAATGAAATGATAATCATGGTTGTGCTAAGGAGGTAAAATTATGAGTTACACTTTTATCTTTATTTTCCAAATGTTCTCTAACATTATGATGTTCGTTTTATAATTTTAAGCTGCATAAATGAAGATGTTTTGATGTAAAATGCCTTTCCAGCTAGAATAGAAACTTCTACGTTGTGTTCTTATTCACAACATATAAAACTTAGAATTTTATATGGTTTAACTGTTCTATTAGAGGTCAGATGCTTGTAATATGTTTTCATCAAACTTCTAGAGTAAATGCAATTAGAAAAGAAAAAAATGTTGAAATAAGGGTGACTGAAACTGATCTTAATTTGCCTATTCCAATAGTAAAAATTAGCAATTATGAAAGTATTTAAAATAGTATTCTATTTAATGTTTATTGAAACATCAAAATAAAATTCTTACTAAATAAAAGTATTAAAATTTCTTTGATTTGCTGATTCTTACTATGGGATAGGTAGTCATTCAATCATTAGAGCAAATCTGAGCAGCAGATATTAGTATTATCATCTTACAAATAAGGAAATCAACTATTTCAAATTTAAGTAATTGCAAAGGTCACATGAAAATAATTTGAAGACCTGTGATTATAAGCAAAGTCTTCTGATATCAATACATGTGCTCAACTGCTAAACTATATGAGTGTCTGGGTCTATTGTTATTCTATCTTTGTTGTAGTTTTTTAACTGATATATATAGATGTACATTTTGGGTGGGCACATGTGATAATTTGATACATTCATGTAATCAAATCAGGATAATTGGGATATCCATCACTTTAAATATTTATCTTTTCTTTACACTAGGGACATTCTAATTCTCTTCTGACTATTTTGAAATGTAAAATTAATTAATGTTAACTAGAGTAACCCTACTGATCTATCAAACACCATATCTCATTTGTTCTATGTAACTGTGTATTTGTACATACCACTTTTAATATAAGCAATTAAAGTATTTACTTAGCAGAATGAATTATTTGCTAATTTATAAAA
The DNA here is from genome assembly GCF_000001405.40 of Homo sapiens. NCBI lineage: Eukaryota > Metazoa > Chordata > Mammalia > Primates > Hominidae > Homo > Homo sapiens. The sequence goes on from NC_000001.11 coordinate 69,829,656, forward strand.
CATATATATTCTTTGAATTTTTAAATAAATCAATTACATGTGAAAAGCCACCAAGTTATTTTAGGATAGTAAAATCATTTCATTATTGAGAGTTCCTTACTTAATGTCAAAGATTAGATTTCATTGAATACTTTGCAGGAAAGTAAAGGCAACTTATGATTGTCATCTTCATCAAGTGTATCCAGCTTGCTATGGAATATTTTCTTCCTCACAGTTCCTCATACATTTTTCTGGAAGTAATTATATTGACAAGTCAGGCCCTTTTCTCTATTAGAAACTACAAAATGTACCATAAAATTAATGATAAATAACTCCTCAATGGGAAAAGCAAGAACTAACATTTATTGAGAACCTATGTCTTAAACTTTTAGATACATTATTTAATTTAAATTTTACAGAAACCTCATTATGTAGATAAATATTATTACCTTTTTATAGAGAGAAATGCATGAAGCCAGTATTTAAATTCCTAAGTTTCTTTCACTGTATTTCACCATATCTGATAAGGTATTTTTATTTGCTGTAGGATACATTCTCAAAAATTTAAAACATTCTTAATGCTCAGCAGTGAAGAAATTACTAGTAAATTACAGTACATCTATGGGGTGGATATGAAAGTTATAAGTAGAGTGACCAAGTGTCTCTGTTTGCCCAAATCATCTCTGTTTACTATTCTTGATTTGGCATATTTACTAATAGCTGCCTTTTTAACTCTCACAAATGTCCTAGTTTGAATTATAAATTCTTTGAATATCTTTGAATATCTTTTCTGGCAGACTCACTGACTGTATATATATGATTTTTCAAATAACATCGAATCCATTTTTCATTCTATGTTATTTTCAAAGTACAATAATGGACAGTTTAAGAGATTTTAAAAATTCCTTATCCCCAAATAATTTATAATTTTTCCCAGGAATAGAAAATTTCCAATACTAGTACAAAGTATTATTGTATAAACATTCAACTAAATCTATGAACAGAATCCTATGAGGAAAATAAAGAAGACATTAATTTTGAATCTAAGTGCAGAGTAACCATTCAATAAAAAATTCACGTTGAAGTGAGTTGAAATAAAACATAGATGTCGTTAAATAAGACATACTATGTAATCGTATTCTTAACTCCACATTTTTAAGAAGAAAAGTTCAATAGAAAATGTCAATACATCTTTTTTTATAACCAGCCTGATAAAAACTGACTTACTTTGCATGCTGGTTTTTCATATAACCTATTTTTGCTGGTCCAGTTTTGTCACTGGAACCTGAAAAAATGTGGTCAATTCTTAAACTCTGAAACAAAATGTTCTATGTAATAAGCCAGATTCTTCTAGGGCATAAGCATTACCAAAGAAGAAGCAAAAAAGAAGTATATTTTTGATCAAAGAAGTAGTACAATATCATTTATTACATACATATGGAGAATAGTAGACTGAGAGAAGCTGCATAGTTTTGATATATAGGAAAAATATCTGTCCCTACCAATAGAAAATTAGTATTTTAATTTAACAGTGACACTGTTAAAATAAATTATTAGATTAATGGTTTTAACATTCGTCTAATTTTACATGTATCATATTGATCATCTTTTTTGAAAAGTCATATGTAAGTAGTTGTTTTGAATTACAAGACATCAAAGATAATAGTTAAATTCCAATTGAAATGTATTTAACATCTGTGCCATTCTCATAACAACTGTCATACTATCAGGACATGAGCTCTAATGCATTACAACAAAGTAAAACACAGAGAAAATTAATGACCTACCATAGACTTTCATTTCTATAAGATCAAGTTCAAACCTTTGAGTTGAGTATTCAAGGACTGTAAACCCTGCCCTCTCCTGATATTCTTAAATATTAACTCTGGATACTCTCATACATAAAGTATTTGCTGCAGAACTCATCTTCTCTTTGTTACACATCTCAAGTGTTTTCTTACCTCTACATTATAAAAACCCTCATTTTTCACTTGCCTCCCTTCTCTTTCTTTTCTACTTCCATAAATCCTATGTCTCTTAAAAGCAAATTTATGGCAACATCCTCTATGAAATCATATCCACAGAATTCAACTCCAAAATACAAACTAGAACAATATATTTACAGTGAAAATAACCAATATCAGAATAATATACAGTAAGTCTTCACTTAATGCCATTGATAGGTTGTTGGAAACTGTAACTTTAAGTGAAAGGACATACAGCAGGTCTTCAAATAATGTTGTTTCCTTCAACATTATTTCATTATAATGTTGTAGAGAAGATAAAAAATTGTTCTGTTATACATAGTTTCACTTAAATTTGCAGTTTCAAAGAACCTATCAATGACATTGAGGACTTATTACTAAGAATGTATAAAGAATTGCCATAAATCAGTATGAAAATATAAATGTGTTTGTTTTAGATTCCCCAGAAGCAGACGTTTAGAAAAGAATACAGCAGTGTATTTGGGAGATAAGCCCAGGAAATACTTGTTGAGAGTGTTTTTTCAAGCTGTTTACAGTATTTGGCCATTGGACTTTAACTTTCTGGGGAACTCTGGGTAACAGTGTAAAACACATACCAGGGTTATCAAACACAATGGGAGAGGGAGCAGAGGTATTTATATTCCTACTTGTCATTAGTTGAGTACTGTCTCTGAGAGGGACATTAATTCCATGGAACTTGGGCTACCAGGTGCATGAACAGACCAGGCTTTAGCAGCTGAAGAAAACCTTCAGACAGGAAGGAAAGGGGCAGGCAATCATGATTTGTTCCAGTGTACAACAAAATTATAAAGGCAGGGAGTTCTCTGGTTGGGGCACCAGTAGAAAAATAGGTAAAATAAGTAAACATGTATTTCACAGAAAAGGAAACAAATCTTGCTAATAAACTTTTATTCCTAACTAATCAGCGAAATGATGATTATTACTATTTTATATTTACCAAATTGGCAAAAATGAAAAAACTAACAAAACCGAGGGTTAGGAAGGACATGGAAAAATGGTGGAACTATTTTGAATGAAATTTGGCTACATCTAGTAAACATAGACTTGCATTCCCTATGACCAATGATGTCACTTCTAAGGATATAACTTAAGTAATATTTTGTAAATGTATACTGTATGTTCAAAATTATTCACAGAAGCCAATATTTATAATAGCAAAATGAAAAACTAGAAACAACTGTAGGTCAGGCACGGTGGCTCATGCCTGTAATCCCAGCACTTTGGGAGGCCGAGGTGGGTGGATCACCTGAGGTCAGGAGTTTGAGACCAGCCTGGCCAACATGGCGAAACCCTGTCTCAACTAAAAATACAAAAATTAGCAGGGCGTGGTGGCAGGTGCCTGTGATCCCATCTACTCAGGAGGCTGGAGCAGGAGAATCACTGTAACCTGGGAGGCGGAGGTTGCAGTGAGCCGAGATTGCACCATTGCACTCTAGCCTGGGAGACAAGAGTGAAACTCTATTTCAAAAAAAAAAGAAGAAACGACTGTAATGTTCATTAGAAGGAAAATGTTAAATTGTTTATTCATACAGTGGAATACTATGCTATGATGGCCAATCAGTCACGTCAAAATGGATGGATTTTTTAAATCTAATACTAATTTTTTTAAGCCTTGGGGAAATGTACACAGTGTGATTTGATTTATATAATGTTCAAAACCATGCAAAACCATACAACATGTTTTGTTTTAGGGAATTAAATATTTGTAGTAAAGCTGTTTCAAAACAGAGTAGTAAACATGATTCAGGAATTTGTGGGGCAAATAGGAAGATGTAGACAGGGAGGGACACCCAGAAGGTTTCAAAGATACTGATTCTATTTCTTCATTCTGTTGTGGGTACACATATATTCTTTTATACGTATATGTACGTACACACACATACATACATACAAATGCAAATATTATATGTATATATATAAGTGTTTTATATATACATACAAGAAAGTATTGGACATAGGAAGATAAACCATGGAATAAAACGCAGATATAATGTCCCAGGAGAAGGAAGAGAAGCAGGAAAATTGTAGTAGAAGCAAAGAAGGAGAGAACAAGCAGTGATGGCAACTGTTGCTAGGCAGCGTAGGATCCGAAATAAAATGAGGCTAATGGGATTGGAACTTAGGAGGTCAGTGGAGGCCTTGGTGAGTGCATTTTCAGTAACAGAATTGAGGTAGATGCCAGAAAACAATGACTTGAGTAGTAATCAAAAGCAATGAGTATAGGCAGATTTTTAAACAAGTAAATGCAAGGAGGAAGATAGGCTGTAATTTGAGGAGAAGGCAAATTTGAAGACTATTTAGGAGTATTTTATAAAATAACATAATCTGGACTAGACTATACATAAAGGCATTAAAATGTTTAAATAGAAATTTACTAATAAAAAAATTAATATTCCTCTGAATATGTCTCCTGAGAAATCCTTGAGTTAAATCTTTTTACATTTAAAATAATTATTTCATCTAATTTCTAAAACTCCCCAAAGGTTATTTTCTTAATTTTTTGATGCAGTTTATAGCCTTTATGATTGTCTAATTATCTTTTCAATGTTCTTTGTCATTTTTAATAAATATGAATTAGACCAATTTGAATCATGATTTACATACATGTTGAGCAGACATTAAAGAAATTATTAGTTAAGGGGACAACATACTCCTTCACTTTTCATACTGGGCAACTTTAGTCATCGCTGTAACAAATTGTAGACAAATTTTGATGATTAAGTGAAATAGTAACTGGATGCTCTTGCCTGACTATATATGTGAATATTCTGTTGAAAAAGGAACATTAGTTTTAAAATTACAAACAAGCCAAACAACTTGAGATTTCCATGAAAAATGTCCTGGCTAGCGTGCATAAGGTTAGGCCAGCAATAAGAGATGATGTTGCTGATTTTAGCAGTGACATAAATCTTAGTATAGGAGAGTAGCATGGAAGTGGATAAATGCTATTTACTTTAATAACAGGCAAAATTTTCGAACTGTAACAACATGCTCAATAAATTCTTTCATTACTGTAATACCAAAGGAGAGTTGAAAAATGTATTACATTTCTATTTTTTCTCCTCAGAGATACATATTTTTTTTGTTCTGTTTCTATAGCAACATCAATGCAGTGACTAAAACTTTAACTCCTTTTTAGACTACCTGATGGCTTCACACAGCTCCTAAACCTGACCCAGCTCTACCTGAATGACGCCTTTCTTGAATTTCTTCCAGCCAATTTTGGAAGGTAAGAATAAGAAATTTAAATTATGCAATTATATCTCACCTTAGGTAAGTGCTTTACCAGTGCCAGTTGATGAGACTTCAAAAGTGTCAGTTGTGATTAAAGATAGGCCTCATTATTATTCAATAAATGAAACGCTGTTAATTAATGAAACTTTTGCAAAAATATAAAGTAAAATTAGGCCTTTACATGACATTAATAGTCAAATAAATTCTAGATGAATTAAAGAGTTGGATATAAAAAAAAATAAAGCCAGAAATTATCTGAGGGAAAAAAAGGAGATGAATATTTATGGCTCTTTTGTTGAGAAATACCTTTATAGGCATAGAAGCAAAGAAAAATATCATAAATGGATACAATACATATGATGACCTAAATACTTTTAACATAAAGTATCAGAAAATCAAAGATTTAAGGTAAAACAATCAACTGAAAAAATAGTTTCATTATATATGAAAAACAAATTATTTATATATTTAACATAGAATTCTTACATATAAATATGAAAACAAAGATTTTAGAGAAAAATGGTCAAATTACAAGGAAAAAGCAATTCATAATAACACATAAATGGCTGGGGAACACATAAAAAAAGTCTGTCTTCACAAATAATAAACATAATACAAGTTAAAACAATAAAAGACTGTTATGTTCCAACATATTGCAAAAAAATTTTTTAGAGTATAAGAACAGAGATGATCTCATGCTCTCTGATAGGACTGCAGAATGTTATGACCTTCATGCAGGGCAGTATGCTTTTAAAACCTTTGAAAATATTTAACAACCATTGCCTTTGTGAATCATTTCTAGAAATGTCTATTGCCATTGTCAGATATCCCACTAGGATTTATGGACAAGTTTATTGTTATTTACAATGTGAAAAAAGTGGAATCACACATCTGTCTAGGATATTGGTTAAATATATTATGGTTCATCTATATGATAGCACTATATAATAATAATATTATCTTAGGGAAGTATTTTTTAAAATTCTTAAGATGTTTCCAATATGAATATGACTCTGTAAGAAATAAAAGACTGTATCTTAGAAGTAAAATTATGAATAATTTTTCTTGTCATCTTGACATGTTTTTCAATATTTTTCAGGTGTTCTACAATGAACTTTTTTGTGCAAAAGATATATCTCAATAACTAGGACATTTTTAAGTTTACTGTCAACTGAATTTATGTAAATGATAGTCTTTGAAATTGTTCAAATAATAGACTAAGTATAGCTTGACACCAATCTGTTGACTGAAGCTCGCACAGGACATTAAGAACTCAGTTGAATAATGAAGTCACTTAACATGTGACAGCCTCCATTTACATACTGAGAGCACATCAACCTTTCCCAGATTCCCTTACTTTTGCAGATCACGACATCACTACACTTATGAACAGCATATACTTGAGCAGTTTTAAAATTCACAGAGCATCCAAAGAGCACTGTTTGGCTTCTGAATGAATTGGCATTTCATCATTCATCCACAGAAACTAGCCTTGCCTTTCTGGTACTGACCACAGCCTTACAACATACTTTGGATTTATCAAATCAGAAAATGTTTAATTATTATCTTAAGATACATTTTTTTCTTGAATTTTTAAGTTCTCTTTAAGTAGTCCTAATGTGAGAAAAAGATTTGGGCAAGTGAAAAACATAATACCAATACCAAAACCACTTGAAAATAGAATTTAATTTTGCATAAATTGCCTACAAAAAATATGCTCTATTTTATTATTATAATCTGAAAATGTCTTTAACCATCAACTGGATAGTTTAACAAGAGGACACTTGAAATTCCTTTTAAAACCTGAGATTCTGTACTCCTAAAAGCCAAAATCAGTACAAAATATTATACTAGTACAATTGTTGAGAAGATTTGAGACATGCAAATGTTTAAGAAATCTCCTTTACTAGCAATATACCCATGCCGTGAAGAACTGAATCACTTTATTTCATATACAGATTAATCATTATAAGATTAAAATTAAATAAAAAGCTTGATAGGAGGCAAAAAAAAAAGAAAGGAAAGAGATCTACATGAAAACCTAAAAATACAGTAAATATGGGAGATGTAGATGAAAAACTTCAAATGGTAAAATATTTCCCCAAACATTAATGATTCAGAGAATCCAATTAATATCTGTTCTAAAGTAGCTTCATCTGAGTACATTTTAATGTTCTATATGGACAGGAATAACAATAGTGTGTCCTAGACTGCAAAACTTAACAAGTAACTAAGTGTGAAATGCATTCCTAATCACAAATGTTACTCAAGCAAAAGAAACTCTGAATACCTCTCATTCTTTTCACATGATTTCCCCAACCCCAGCATTGTCATGGGACAGATGATGTGACAGATTTTTACATGCATAACATTTTCATAAATGTTAAAATATGCGCCTTAGAGTCAATGAAATATGGTATATTGCAGCACTTCTCCCATTGTGTAAATAATGAAAATAATAATAGCCAATTCTTATTAAAACTTGTGATATACCAGAAATTATGCTTTACATGTATTACATTATCTAATGTTCCAAACCATATAAATCTGATACTGCTGTCACAGATTTATGGGTAAGGAAATTGAATTAAGAGAGGTTAAGTAATTTGCCCAGTGTCAGAGAGGCAGAATATGAAAGAGTTTGGATTTCATCCAGGTTTGTCTTCCTACAAAGTCCCATTTTTTTAACTCTATGCTATAGTATTTGCTTTTTAGTTTATTTATAATCTCTTGAGAGAAATTATTGCCATATTCCAGTGAACACAGCATCTGGTATTTAGTATACATTCAATTATCTATTGAATGGATAAAATTAAACAACAAATATACCTTTATAAAACATATGAAATTTAGAAGGCTGGAATCCAAAGATATCTTTAAAATATCTCAGTTAATTTTAGGAAAATGATATTTGTCATTGCCCAGTATTGATGTAACCCTACTCATAATCAATATATATATTTCTTTAAAATCTATAACAATAGTAAAAAAAAATTTGGACATAGCTGTTTGAATAGTGATAATGATAGTTTACCATAGTAAAATTTATTTTTATTTTAATTTTTAATTATTATGGGTACATATAGTTGTATATATTTATGAGGTATGTGTGATATTTTAGTACAGACATACAATGTGTAATGATCAAATTAGGGCAATTGGGGTATCCATCACTTCAAGCTTTTATCATTTCTTTGTGTTAGAAATATTCCAATTCTACTTTTTTAGTTATTTTTAAATATACATTATTGTTAACCATAGTAACCCTATAGTGCTACCAAATACTAGATCTTATTCAATAATTTTTTAGACAGACATACTAAGAGGAAATTTTTAAAATTCATTTCTGTAGACTTGTCAAATTGCGGATCTTGGAGTTAAGAGAAAATCACTTGAAAACTCTACCAAAGTAAGTGACTGTGTATTTTCTGAATTTTGAACTGTGATTTTTTTCACTAGTAAGAGAAATAACTACTTTTATTTTGTCTGTGTTTTGGCACTTTGAGTTAATTTATCTACACATTTTTCCTAAAGGCCAAAAAGTATGGTATACTGTAAAAGATTCATATTACATGAGAATGTATTCTGTTTTATAAAACTGTAATTACAGGTAAAGGTGGAAAGAGTTCACTTAAGTTTCTTCTCATGGCTGAAGATACATGCCAGAAAAGTATTGCACTAAAACATATGAAATTGTCCTTCTTATAGCTAAAAACAATAGTGTCACAAGGTTCAACCTAATAGGATGCTTAATTCTTCAAGTTAATTTATGGATTGTAGTGTATCTTTCAGTTTTTACATCAAGAATATGCCAGAAATTTTTAGGAAAAAAGATTAAAATTTTTCAAGAGATCGTAAAGTGGTTTAGGTAGAAGTTATATATTCTTGCAAATTGTTCATTTTTACTAGTCTATTTAAAATTTGGCTTACATAAAAATATAGGATATATTTTAAAGTAAAAACTAATCCTTAAAATTTTATGCAATGTTTACCATAATAAAATGCTTTGTTTCACCCAGCTTTGCCTTATTCATGTGTAACAATAGAATTTTATGTTTTACAGTTAATTATTTTTGAAAGTCAAAATGGGTTTTTTACTCAATTAAATCAGTATAACTTGTATATGTTATGATGAAAATATTTAAAGTACTATGTTGCTATTATCACCCTTCTGCAGTATTATAGAAAAATATTGAGTACAGTGAATAATTTTTTAAACATTTCAGTAGGACTTAGATTCATCTGCTGAACCAAAATGTAACCTTATTTTTTACTTATTAAATCCTTTTCCTAAGCAAACTGGATTGACTAATATTTCAACAACATACCTTCAAGTGCATTTTATGTATGATATTGTGTATTAAAATTGTCATTGCAATATAATGCCACAATTATGAAAATAACTTTCAATAATGATATGGATTTAATTTGAATATATACATAAAGATAAAACACCTCCTTAATCCTCCATAAGAGAAGACAAGGAGAGAGCATAGAAATGAGGAAATGTCTGCATATTTCACCATCCTGCACTTTTGAATTATGCCTTTCTCTAAGCTAAAGCATTGGGTATGGGCCTAACCCAAGGAACCCCTCCCAGGTTGGGGGCATAAACAGGTTGAAATATGGTTGAGGGTGTTAATCATTCAAGTGGAAATTTCCTGCAAATGCAGCTAGTGCCACTGAGTCCATCCCTGATGCTTTTGTCTGCCACATTTAAAGTAAGTGGAAACATGGCTAACTGGAAGCTAAACCAAGATAGAAAAGCAGTTGTCCCCTTCACCTAAATATATACATTTAGGTCAAGGAAAAAATATTGAGTATGCAGAGGAGAATCATTTTCCCTCTGTTCTCAAATAATGGCTTTCATTTGAAGTACAAAATAAACCTGACATAGGTTGTTAGGTTTTCAAATATATATCTTTAAATATGAATTTTAAATATAAATTAAAACCTGATATAGATTGATAATATGGACTTTATATGAAATAGCTGTGTGAATAAATCAGAGTAATGAGAAACAATAATAACAACAATAATTGGTGCTGGGGTATTGTGCAGGCTTTGAGATTGTGGCCCAGTATTAAACAGAATTAAATTAAGTAGAATAATATGCATAAACCAATTTGGACATAGAAAAATGTTGTAAAGATATATTAGAACTGATGTTGGGTCTCTTTGATAGACTCATACACATATAACTTATATAGCTGTTACAGCTTTTACACTTTAAGAAACATTTTCAAAGTTACTTGCAATCTAGTGTGTTCATTTTATAACTCACAGGCCAAAATCTAAAGAACCAAATTCAGGCATAAAATATAGATAACTTTAGTTTTGGGTCTATAGAATGAGAATTGCAGAAAGAAATTCTTCTTTGAATAAAAATAAACTTTGTTTTCACTATGTATTATACCTTTTGATCACCAGTCTATACCTCATGTAACTTAAAGCTACACGAGAGCATTATAGTATCCTTTATTTTGCACTCCCAATAAAAATAAAGGTGAAAACATAGTTTTAGGAAAAACAATTTTAGTTTAACAATAACTATTCTGAGAAGAGATAACTCATGATTTCCTTAGGGATACAAACAAGATGTTGCATTGTTAGTTATTTTCTCTTCTTTTCATCTTTTAAGTTTATATGCTTAGCAATCTGTGCAAAATGTGATTGTGTGCAAGAATCATAATATAACATACATGAAGATGTACATCCTTTAAGCAAACTGATGGAGACTCTTAGATGTATGCAAATTCTAGGATAATTTTTTTCAGTTACAAAAACAAATTAGTATTATAAGTTTCCTTATAATGTTTATGATCATTCCTCTACATACATCAAGGAGTAATAAAACTAAGTCCTTTGGATACACATTTGCCTAAAACTCATTGAAATAGTCAAGTCTTGATTATTTGTAATAATAGAATACAGTGAACTTCTGTAAATAACTAGATTGCCAAAAGGAAAAAATGTTAGATTATGTGATACAGTTTTTCCTTACACAAGAATTATCTTCCTAATTGTGTTTTTTGAGGGATAGTCAGAAAATGTGTAGATGGTAGAGAGAATTCAAATGAATGTTAGATGTCAAGGGAAAACCAAGCCTTTGTTTGCTTATTTGTTTGCTTATTTATTCCTTACTTCATTTGTTTGTGTAAGAGTATCTCAGGGTTAGGAATTAAAGAGAAGCTAGATTCTCGGTGATGCTGTCTCAGCGTGTCTCATGAGGCTTGAATGGGCTAGGGTTTGCCTCAAATCTCACTCAAATGGTGGTTGGCAAATGGGTTTCTCACTGGTGATAGACTGGAAGCTTTCCATTCTTTTCCTATAGAAGCTCAAGTGTGCTTCTCTATAGGGCTACTCTCAATGTGGCTGCTCGCTTCCTTCTGAGCAAGTGATTTGAGAGAGAGAGTGTGCATCTAAGACAGAAGCCTTGGTCTTCTTATAATCTAAACTCAGAAGTGATGTACTATGATGTCTACCATATGCTATTGATCACAGAGACCAAATCTGGACCATTTCTTCCAAAGTATGGAAGAAAACAACGTTAAGACTATAAATACCAGGAGACAGGGATTAATGGAGTCCATTGTAGAGGTTCCTACCACAGGTCTGGTTCTCAGCATTGCTGGTCTAGAAATTCAATGCTGACATATACCAAATGCATCAGATGCAGAAGGCCGATGCACACAATATAAAATAGTCTCCCTTCTTCTTTATACCATTTCATTATTGTGTTTGATTTTCATCATAGCACTTACCGCTCTCTATATGATTTTGACTCTTTGTTTACTTGGAGATTATCTCCTCAAGACAGTATGAGTGCCATTAATGAAAGATTATTTCCAATTGGTCACTGCGGACTCTCCAGTGCCTTAAACATGGTAGACATTCCAAACCAGAATGCTGAGCTATGGATTCACAATGACAAGTATCTGTCATGTGACCTTGACATTTTGCATCACTTGATTATTTTTCTCCACAGAAAATTATATGGGAAGCCAAACATTATAATCAGATTAGTCTTGGAGAGCAGCATGAAGTCAGACAAGGACAAATGATTGAGCTTTCTCAATAGCTGATAGCCCAGACTTGGATTTTATAAACCTACACACATTTTCTCTCTCTCTAGATGGTTTCAAGTTAGGCATAATAGTTAAGACATGACAGGGAGAAAAATAACTTCATATAATTAATATTTATAACAACTAAATAAAATACAAAAATAGTATAACTGCTTTTTATTAAAATGTGTCACATTTCATCAAGAAACAAAATATATGTCAAGATAAAAATGAAGGGATAAAAACAATTTTTTAAATGAAATTTAGAAATTTTTTCCACAGAAGTAACATAACATCATATAAATGGTTGGTAATAATGGTGGGTTTTAACTTTAAATAAAACTGTTCCATGTGTGTGAGAAGAATTTTTCTAATACCGTCAAGTTAAAATAAGGCCTCATTCATTAATAATTTATCAAGGCCAAGACTAACTTTGTTTCAACTAGAGTTAAAATATATTATGTAAATGCATGTGTTAATTACGAAACTATGAAGTAATATGAAGAAAAAGAAACATAAATTAAGGTAACATGAATATTCATGTCTCCTGATGCACAAGGCATGAAACATGATACCTCACTTTGCTGTCATATACACTGACTAAGAGAGGAATGTTTCAAATATATTCCAACAGAATTACTGGGGTAATATCAGTAAATACAGTAAAACCTGATGAACATATTCAAAATTGGGAAAGTGGATGGATTTGGTAGATGAAGAATGCTAAGAGTTGTTGGAAGAAGTTCTAAGTGGAAAGATAAATCTGAAGTAATGACAGTATCTTTTGGGTCAGTGACCCTTCTGAGAATCTGAAAAGAGCTATGGAATATAGAAAAGTATTAATTCTAAAACGCAAGTTGTATCTATTTTCAGTATATGAATAACCTATTGTGAATATACATGTTCTTATTTTCACCTAGAAGTAGACTATTTTGCCTTTTATGTAAAATAAGCCACATCAAAATACCTAGTATTGGCCAGGAGCAGTGGCTCACATCTGTAATCCCAGCACTTTGGGAGACCAAGGCAGGCCAATCACTTGAGGTCAGGAGTTTGAGACCAGCCTGGCAAACATGGTGAAATCCCGTCTCTACTGAAAATACAAAAAGTAGCTAGGCATGGTGGCATACACCTGTAACCCCAGCTACTCAGGAGGCTGAGGCAACTGAATCGCTTGAACCTGGGAGGCAGAGGTTGCAGAGATCATGCCACTGAACTCCAGCCTGAGCAACAGAGTGAGACTCCATCTCAAAACAAAGCAAAAAACAACAACAAAAAAAAAACCTAGTATAGAGCATCAAAAAGAGGGACCTCCCGATTTTAGGAATCAAATTTGTCAAATGGATAATTTTAGTCATATAACCATTTCTAGTATGTTCATTGAAGAAGATTTTTTTAAGAAGAGAATATTTTATTGAGTAAATTTTATTTCGGGTTGTTAATAGGATTAGATTTCATTATCATCTGTGAAGTTTTTTAATTTCCCATAGTAGAAATTATTAAGGAATTATTTAAGAGAAAAATTTTCCGAAGTACAAGCATAAATGATACTTTTAAACTACTAAACTATATATGCTAGATATCTCGTAAATGGTGTATCTATTATTTATATGATTTTATCCCTTGGGCATCATTGCTTTTATTAAGTGATTTTGCCCCTGAAAACAAAGGTTCAGAAACTCTGTAGTACCACCTTTGTGAATACCCAAGGACATGTACACAACATAAATATACTCACAGAAGATGCCAATACATTAAAACTTAACTGGACATACTCTTCCAAAAAGATTCACTTTAAATTATATATGTAAATTAAAGCCAGAGCTACACCGACAGCTGCACACTGTTAAGGAAAGATATTAGATCATGAAAGTCAAAAAAGACTAAGGGACTATTACAGATTCAAGAAGACTAAAGAGACTAAAATAAATATCATTCTGAACCGGTTCTTTTGCTATAGAGGACATTTTTGAGACAACTGACAAAATTTGGGTTTGAAGATTAGATGGTAGTAATATATCACTATTAATTTCCTGATTTGGTTGGTTGTATTTTGATCGTGTAGAATGTTTGTGTGTAGGAAATACCGAAGTATTTGGGAGGATGGGACACCAGATTAGCGGTTTACTCTCAAGTAATTCAGAAAAACATGATTTTTAGTTTTTAAACATTTTTGTAATTTTATAACTGTTTCAACAAAAAAGTCACTTTATTTTTTATTGTGTTCTTCAATTTCCTTTTTAATTTTTTTTATCGTGGTAAGACTACTTAACATGAGATCTACCCTCTTAACAAACTTTTAAGCATACAGTACAGTATTGTTAGCCATAGGCACAATGTTGGACAGCAGATGTCTGCAACTTGTTCATCTTGTATAACTGAAACTTTATACCAATTGAACAACTCCCCATTCCCTCCTCCCCTCAGCCCCTGGCAGCCATCATTTGATGCTGTTTCTGTGAGTCTGACCATTTTAGATACCTTGTGTAAGTGGAACGTGCAGTATTTGTCCTTCTGTGATTAGCCTATGCCACTTAGCAGATTCACCCATGTTCTCACATATGGCAGGATTTCCTTCTTTTCTAACGTGGAATAATATTCCGCTATATACATACATACCACATTGTCTTTATTCATTCATCTGTTGTTGGACATTTAAGTTGATTCCATATCTTGGCTACTGTGAATAATGATGCAATGAACACGGGAGTGCAGACATCTCTTCAAGATCCCGGGGTGAGTTCCTTTGGATATATATTTAGAAGTGGGATTGCTGGATCATATGGTAGTTCTATTTTAAATTTTTTTAGGAAACCATTCACTATATTTTACCATACTGTTTTCCATAGGAGCTGTACCATTTTCCAGTATAACAAAGGGAACATAAACATGTGTTTTAGAAATATATTTTCAAAGATAAGTTCCTTAAAAATAAAGATAAAAACACTTTCAACACAGATAAAATTATTAACTGTATGAAATATTTGTCAATATATAGGTTAAGAGAAGAATTTGCACTTCCATACTAAAATGCTAAGGCCATGAGGCCTATAGTTCGAGCACTTTGGGAGGCCAAGGTGGGAGAATCACTTGAGCCCAGGAGTTTGAGACCAGCCCAGGCAACAGAGCGAGGCCCTGTCTCTACAAAAATTTTAAAAAAGTAGCTAGGATTGGTGGTGTGTGCCTGTATTCCCAGCTACAAGGGAGGCTGAAGTGGGAGGATCACTTGAGCAAAGGAGGTAGAGATTGCAGTGAGCTCTGATCATGCCACTGCACTCAAGCCTGGGCAACAAAGTGAGACCCTCTCTCAAATAAATAAATAAAAGGCTTAAATATGTGTAAAAAACAGCATTTTAGAAGTAAAGGTTCTATCCGTATGTGACTAATATATGCACTGTGGTTTTTTTCCTAACCTGAATGGCAATAAATGCTACATATTTATAATTATCACTCAAATTTCTAAACTATTCATTTCCAAATACTATGTTTTATTTTTCATATAAGTTCATTTATTCTTTTTTAATAAGATTACTCCATAGACAGACTTATCTAAAATATAATAGATTTGTTATGTTTTCTTTTTTTAAAATCCTTCCTTCCTTTGTTATCTAGTTTACTACCAGTTATTATCAAAATAATGAAGAAAGCTCATAGATTAATATGTATTCTTAACTGGACAGGTGTGACTAAGTCATGTTTCCATTCTCATTTCAGTGTTCTATTAATGAATTTATCTCACTTGGCATTATGCTACCCTACTAGCTATTTTAATGAAATACATCAATAGGTTCCTTAGTGCCATTGTAATGAAAATTCCATTGTCAAGGACAGCTTACAGAATGGCTTTTTGATGTTTCTATTAACTCTGTATTTGTAATTCTGTTTTGTAACTGTAATACATAATTGGATACTGTGTGATTGTGTAATCATATTACCTTACGCTTTTACCAATTTATATCAATTTACAAGGTACAGTGTTTTTGCTGAACCCATGGTACCATCCTCTTCAGGATTATCTTTATCAAAACCCTCAGTTTGACAAGCTAACTAACCAAGGGAAACCACATTAGTGCCCTCTGCTTTTAGAGAATTATACATAGAAACAGATATTTTCTTTACTTCTTCTCACTTGGTGTTATATTTTCAATTCAAATGAAATAAGTGGATAATTATGACATTCTATATTTAAAAGTATTCTATAAATTATAATGCATTATAACAAAGTGATTATTAGAGTCACTTCTAAAATATCAAACATATGCTTTCCATAGACTCACAAAGAAAACACTGAGTTCTGCCTTGTGAACGAATTGTATTTATTTTTAAACTTATACTCTCAACACAAAATTAAGAATGATAATATTATGGTTAGCTAAGGCTGTGGCGACAATGGGAAGAGCTTGGAAGAGGTCACAAAAACCAAGTAACACCATTGTATTCAAATTGCTCTTTTCAGACTACTTCAAACAATAGCTACTCTGATCCCTGATGATTAGTTTACCAAAAGATAAAAACTGCCTGCAGTAACAGTGAGGCTGAAAGCACTCAGCTTCAGTTTTATAAGATCTCGGAGGCTTAGTCTCTAGTGGAACAATTAGCTCACACTCTTACTTCTGTTTCGCTGAGAAGAGCTGTAAAGTACTTGAGTGGGAATGTACTTTGCAGTCAAAAGGCCCTTGTTGCTTGTTTATGGGTTATTTACCTTCTTTGAATCTCAATGTCCTTATTTGTAAAGAGTGCTGGATATCATTACCTCTTTTAAGCTGGGAAATATATTTTGGGTAAGAGTTGATGAAAATAAGGCTTATTATCATTTAGACCCAGGAAAAATTTTAAATAAATTTAGTATACACTGGCACTTAGAAAATCTGGGTGTGTGCAAGAAAAGATTGACATGAGTTCTAGATATTTTTCATTTTATCTCATAAAAATATCTTTATCATAAATGAAATAATGTTATTTTTAGTTTTTTATAATAAATTCTTAAAAATAATGTGTGATGCTAACGTGCCTTTCTTACTTCACCAGCAGTACTCTAGTGAAAACTTACACAACTAATTTTCTGTCATTCTCAATAAAAAATATAGAAAATGTTTAACTAAATGATCTAGTTATTAATTCTTAATGACTTTTTGCTTTTAAAATTGGTAGCTTCTTTAGGCAAATATTGAATTTAGCAACTAAAACACGTGATAGAAATTAACACTCCACAAGGATTAGGAAAGGCATACATCCATTGTTTGTATCTTCATGTATCTTATAAATTCATTATTGTGGATTTTTGTTATATCCTTTATGGTTTCTAAATAAATGTAGTATTTTTCCTAAATGAATGTTCTGAAACATTATACTAATACTGACTTTTGTCTCAGTGTCTCAGGCCAGAAAATACACAAACAACCTAGTTAACAGATATATTCCTGTGGTCTCAGGTATTACCTCTGTGCTGATGAGCAGCAAACATTTATTTCTAACCTGAACTTTTTACCTGAATTCCAGTTCCATATTCCAGTAGCCAATATCAAATGGAATATTCACCACATGTTAACATGGAAATCATCCTCCTTGCTCTTTTCCACCCACCACCGCATAACAAAACCAAACTTGGTTAAACCAAATCAAACAGAAATCCTGTTTCTTATTATACACTGCCTAATGACAGCACTACCCACAGAATCACAGAAAGTAGAACTATCCATCTCATTTTCCTCTCCTACTAGCCCCAAATCACTAGCCATCAACTTATGTCACATCTGAGCATCCTTCCCCTCCCACATTGTTGCCCTACTTGAGTTTCTTAATAACGCTTGCCTGTGCCTTCAACAATTCCTCCCCCTTCTCATCTCTACCATTGGAATACATCTTCCTTATTGTTGTCAGAGCTTTCTTATTAAAACATACCAAGGCACATGTCAATTTGAAAGTGCAGAATGACTGCTCACAGCTTTCAGAAGACAAAATGTCAAGAATTGTCATAGCTTGAAGTCAACATTTCTGGCTTCGTTGCCTCCCAACACTTTCACAATCTCACGAGGTTTCTGCTACATCCAATATACAATGCACCTTTATATCTCGAAGCATCTTTCTTGAGACATTCCCTTTTTCTGTCTGAAAAACTCCAAATTATCCCTTAACTTTCCCACCACTTTCACCATGAAATTAGCCATAGATTTTGCATTCTGAGTGGTAGCTTAGAAATTCTTCTTGAGTTTTTGCAAGGCAAAGTTTCCATGGGAATTTGGATCTAATTATAGTTTTACTCAGAAATATAATAAGCTTAATTCTGTGAGGGTTTTTTTGTTATCTTGAATATATTAGCTGAAGCTGTAACTCCATGGTTCAACTGTCAAGTAAGCAACTGCTGAGCAGTGTGCTTTCCCTACCCAACTGCAGATTTTGGAATGGCACAGTCTCCGCAGCAGTGGACACATAACAGGTATTGAGGGACTGATTTTCACCAGGCTCTCTTCTATGATATTTTGGTAGGTGCACAAAAAAATTAAAAACAACCCTGAATTTCATCAGATATATTTTATTATAGCATCTTGAAAGATTTCCCTACCACCTATGCTTTGATTTTTACTTTTATAAAAGACCCTTCATGCATAAACAACAAACTACCCCATTATTGATAGTTGGTTCAATAAGACACACCAAATCCGCTGAAATGTATCTAACTCTCCATAGATTTTCTGCTTTCTTCAGGTCTCCTCTCTCCTCTCTACTCAAGTCAGGGTTATTTCAGGTCTTTCAATATGCAAAATACATCTTTAAAAAGCTCGCTTTTCTGTCGAACAGATGCAAGGGGGAATATTTCTAAATTGCTATAGTTTGCCACAGTTTCTGTGACATTTAAGATAAGTGGCTGAGCAATATTAAAAATAAAAATTCACATAAGAAATTAACTTCATGATATTAATTTCTTTAGATGTATATTTTATATTTTCTTTTGGCAATATGAGGTTATAGTTTGTCCTTTCATGGATTTTAAAAAAAATCATTTTCTTACCAAACTAATTTTTCCATTGTGTTTAGTTTTATATTGTTTATATTGCATATACCCCAAACCTTTACCTAACTACTTTGCATTTCTATTCCTTTTGCTTTAAATTTAGCCTTTTCCCATAACTTTAATAGGACTCCTGTTCACATTTACTACTTAACAGCAATCTTTTCTAGTTATAAAATAAATGCACTATAATTTTATGAGCAAGATTAGAAATAAAATTAGATTACAAAGCTATGAATCTTATCAAGCATTAGCTGTTTACATTTATGTTCATTCTAAAATGATGAGATAGAATATCTTACACTATAGGAATTGGTTAAAAAGTAGGAGCATTATTTAGGAAATGTTCAGTGGCACTGTAGATAAATGAATTATTTTGTATTTTAATTATAGTAAAAAGTCATTAAGGCTATCTATTGGCTCTGGATTATACTGAAATACATCTAAAAAAAGCAAAAACTTCATTTTGCTTAAATGTTTCACTGAATTTTCAGAAGAAAATGGAACAGCATTTCTTATACTAAATATAACTTAAAGAGCATCTTTTAAATTATTACTTCCATCTATATGGATATACATTGTAAAATATAAAACACATTTTAAAATATATGTATTTTAATATATATACTTTAGTTTTATAAAAGGAACATCTAATACCTAAAAGCTTTACTTTAGAGAGAATATAAAATGAAAAATCTTTGGCTTCCTTTTGTTCATACAATAACATCTAAACCCCAAAACATGGCATTCCAGGCTCTTCACAATCTGACCCCAACTTTTCCTCCTACCACTGCCTACTTAATTCCCTAAATATGACTCCCAAGTTTGTGCCTCTGAAGACATACTGATAAGTTCTCACTTTATATAGTGAACAAGTCAGTTAAAAATAACTTTAATTGATCATGTACCTAATAGGTGTCAGACACTATTCTCAGTGCCAAGGAATCTAACAATTTTCCACTGTTCAATGAATTTCAAGTGTGGTGGAAGGAGACAGATAATAAAATATAAACAAATAAATGAGTAAGATTGGTAACTGCTATGAAGAACACAGGATGATGTTATAGAGAGAGGTGGGTTTTTGAGGGTTCATGGGGATGTTGGGTGATTTGGGGTGGGGGTTGGTTTTTTTGTCGTTGTTTTTTCTAGGCTGGTCCAGAAAGACCTTTATGAACAGGTCCGGTTTGCATGTAGATTTGAATGGTAGGAATGATGAAGTTGTAAAGAAAGAGAAAAAGCAAAAATAACAACCAAAGAAAAAAAGAAGAAAATCAGGTGTACAAAACTTGTGATGGCAGCAAGCTTGAGATGTCTAAGAAGCACAAGGCCAGAGTAGTTGAACATGCCCAGTGCAAGGTGAAGGAATGTGAAAGGACAGTGGGGTAAATTTATGAACTGCCTTGTGAGCCATGTTGGGAAATTAGGATTGTATTCTGATCATAATGTGAAGCCATGGAGACTTCGAGCAAAGGAAACATGTGATTTGATCTTAGCTTTACAATGAACAGTCTGACTTCTCTAGAGAGAAGGGATTTTAGGGAGACAACACTGAAAAACGGACACCAATCAGGAGATGATTGCAATAGTGAAGATGAGTAATGTTGATGACTTTGTCTGAGATTGCAGTTATGGAGACAATGAGTGGGAAGATTTGTGACCCATTTTGGAAGTAGGTCCTTGCTGATGGACAGAATGCGTGGTGAAAAGAAAAAGTAGGAACCAAGGCACATTTCCAAATTTTGGGTTTAACTAATTGGATATGGTGACACAATTTCCTATATAGAGAAACTTTGAAGAGTAGTAGATGAGGGGAATTGGGAATTTGATATTGGCAATGGAAAGTTTGAGATGTCTATTAAACAATCAGCTGTTGGTGGCTAGATACATAAATCATCTGCTCAGGGAGATAGATAAATTTAAGAGTCATCAGTGTATAGATTATATTTAAAATTATGAAACTCTTTGAAGTTATTGAGGGAGAGAACACAAATAGAGAAGAGATGAGGAGCCAGATTTGAGCTTGAAACATTTATAGTTTGAGCATGGAAAAGGAGCCTATAAAAGATTATGAGAGTGAGCAGCCAGAGAGTTAAGAAGAAAACCAACTGCAGGTAGTGCCACTGAAGCCTAGAAAAAAATGTGAGAGGGAGGAGTCAATTGTACCAAATGTTACTGAGAAGTCAATTAAGAAGGAAAAAGAAAACTAAGCATTGGCATTAGCAAGATACAGGTCATTGAGAGGAGTTTGATAAGAGCTATTTTAGTAGCGCATTATGTGCAGCCTTATTAGAGTAGTTGAGGAGAAAATAGGGATTAGCAAAAAGAGACAACAAGCACAATTTCTTCCATTTTAACTGCAAGATGCAGCAGTGCAGATGTCAGTAACTGGACAGGCACATTGCATCATGAAAAGGACTTTTTAAAGATAGATCTTAGTGGAGCATACTAGCAGGCTGATGAAAATGACCCAGTAGAAAGAAAGGAATTAATGATGCAGAAGAGAAGGGAAATAATTACCAGAAGAAATGCTTGAAGAGGTGAGGGAATGGGATGTAGAGCACAAATGGAGAAGATGTCCGTAGAAGCAGGGACTCTTCTAACATGGAAACACTGGTGGCCCGGGAGTGGAAAGATAAAAACGTTCTCAACTAATTTCTTTGATGTTCTCTATAAAGCATGGAGAGTCATAACCTGAGCACAAGTAGAAAATATTAGAGGTTTAAGGAGACAAGAAAAAGCATGAAAGAACTCTGAGAGTGGGAAAGTTAATGGACAAGGGTGGTGTCCTAGAATCTTCTGGCGGTGTTGACCACCTATTTGTGATTTCAGGTTATATATTTGAAGAAAATCCAGTCAGAAAAGTTAGGCAATCTTCTTCAGAAAGTCAGATACTTTGCAAGCATAGAAGGAGAAAGCCAGACAGCTGGAGTTTACCAAATTAGCCAGATGGAGGAGGAGGGGACAAGGAAACATAGGTTGTTTATGGGATAGTGACTGGGATCTAGAACTACAAAATTTAAGATGGGAGGTAAATGTGAAGATATGAAAAGGTCAGGAAAAAATGTTTTATTTGTCTTTCTCTCCTTTTTGATATACCGTAAGTCTTTAAAGTGCAATCCAAATGCTACTCTCTCTACAAAGTGTCTCATGACACCTCAGGCAAACAATTATTCTTTTCTCTTTGTTACATTGCCTTTTGCACATTTCTCGATGGGAGCATTTTTCACATTATGTTGAATTTGTTGTCTACGTGTATATCCCCAAGAAGACTGTAACTTGTAAAGGGAAAAACTACATATATCTTATTCATTCGTCTTTATTTTGGCAACAATGTGGGGCATACAGAAGGCTTGCAAAGAACGTTTACAATGTAGTATGGAAGGAAGTGCTTTAGTGCCTAGACTCATGCCAAGCACTTGATGGAATCCTGTGAGTACTTGACTGATTGGCAGGAACAGAAATGAATAGGAAGTTAAGCTCTGTGATATTTTCTTATACAACATCTGGCTCTTGATTATTGGAAACTTAATGACTCAAGTACAATGTTCATTGTTTATCTTTCTTCTCATTTCACTTGCATACCTATAGCCATTACATCCATCACTATCCTTGGCAAGAGTTCACTGCAGATGTCAAATTGTTTTAGTATCTTTTGCTTTTTTAAAAATGTTGGCAATGTAATAACATGGCTTAAACTGACACTTTTCGGTTATATGTGGACTTTATTTGCTTTCTTAAGTTAGTTAATTGAACATATTATCAATTTTAATTGAAAAAATAAATATCAACTTTGGGTATATTCTTAGGTGATGTTTCCTTATAGGAAAATTTGTTACAGTACATTTTAGATGGAATGAATTTCCATAACATTATGTAAAATGAAAATGTGTTCTAAAGAAAGAAATGATGAAGAAGTTACAGTGTATTGTAAGGCAATATGGCCTTTTCTAGATTGCCAAATATTGTTGCCTGGTGAGCAAACTGTGTAAAACACTTTGTATCAGAATGTCCATAATGCAACTATAATTGCTATAGGTAGCTTTTACCAAAGCTTCTGTAGCATACTAAATGCATCATGCCTGAAAATTTTACAAAATCTTTAAGTCATCCCTGATGCCCAAATGCAGCTACTGTAGATCCTCCTTATAAAGCTGATATTGTGAGAAAAAAACTAATAAATTATAAATACTATGTTCGAATGATTGATTTATGATTTATCTAAAATTATAAAATAAGCCATATTTTACTGGAATTCTGTTCTACTTGAGTTCTTAATAAGAAATTAGCACCTTCCATTTGTTTCTCTTTTTCCTTTCTTTCTTTTTTTTTTTTTTTTTTTTTTTTTTGAGACAGAGTCTTACTCTGTTACCCAGGCTGGAGTGCAATGGTGTGGTCTCAGCTTACTGCAACCTCTACCTCCTGGGTTCAAGCGATTCTCCTGCGTCAGCCTCCCGAGTAGCTGGGACTACAGGCATGTGCCACCACACCCCGCTAATTTTTGTATTTTTAGTAGAGATGGGGTTTCACCATGTTGGCCAGGCTGGTCTCAAACTCCTGACCTTGTGATCCGCCCACCTTGGCCTCCCAAAGTGCTGGGATTACAGGTGTGAGCCACCGCACCCTGCCCATTTGTTCCTCTTAAATAATTTTAAATCATTTCTGATAGAAAATGTTGCATTTGAAATGTTTTAGACTGTTGCAGAAAGAAACGTGAAAGAGTCTAATGCAAGATGAAGGCAGAGCTAAACTCAGCAAATGGTAGGAGAAAATGGATGAGAAATATGAACTCAGCTGATTTAGGGAAGCAGACAGCTTTTTCCTTTTATAATAACAATGAGAAATCTGAAATCCTTGCTTCGGTTGTAATTCAGTCACTTATATAAATATTTTCCAGTGTTTATATTAAGTATAATGATTAGCATTCAATATTGGTTCATAAGTAAAATTTACTACCTTGTAAAGCCTGGCAGATATTTCACTGATAAAGTTTTGAATAGATGATACAGAGTCTCATTAAATTATGATTATGTTTGTTAGTCCCAGTTTATCCACAGAATAAGCATTAAATAAGTAAATCAGCATAGTTCCAACTGTGGCCTGTTTTTTAGTTGAGATCCTTGGATATATTTGAAACAAGGATAATTAACTTCTCTAAAATTTCTTTTCTTGTTTTCCATCATATTTTTCCATCTGTAGTTTTAAATAGAAATGCACACTGATTCTTCACCCTTGTATTACTAAACAAATAAGATGAAACAGGAACATGGAACCAAGCACAGTGGCTGGTCTGTAATCCTAGCACTTTGGGAGGCTGAGGTGGGAAGATCACTTCAGGTCAGGAGTTTGAGACTAGCCTGGACAATGTGGTAAGATCCCATCTCTACAAAAAAATAAATTTAAAAATTAGCCAAGCCTTGTGATGTGTGCCTGTGGTCCTAGCTACTTGGGAGGCAGAGGCAGGAGGATTTCTTCAGCCCAGGAGATGAAGGCTGCAATAAGCTAAAATTGTACCATTGCACTCCAGCCTGGGCAACAGAGCAAGACCCTGTCTCTAAATTTAAAGAGAGAGAGAGAAGCAAGATTTTGAATTTTTTGGTAATGATAAACTACCTATTTTTAAACCAACTTACTGAGGGTAACTTGATCCAAGGGGAATCCAGATATCCAGATATCTTTACACTCTCATATAGAATGAAGTTATTACTTGAAAATTATATAGTAAAAATGAGTATTCCTTTGGGGGAAAAACAGCTGTTAGATGAGCTGTTCCAACAGTTTAATAGCAAAATTAAAAGTATTAAAATCTAATACAAATTTTAAAAATATGCCAGCATTTTTAAAAATCAACAGTTCTACTGGTGATTTTTTTAAGTTTACAAAATAAAATCTGGATTCATTTTCCTTAACTTAGCCTTTGGTTCCCTGCCTTTAGCAGAAACATCATGGCGAAGTGGGGGGGACCTGGGCTTTAGAGTGCAGCAAACATGATTCCAAATCTTTTTCAACTCTTAATACTTTCATACCTTAGAGCAGGGCATTTAGCCTTTCTGATATGTATTATGTATTTAGGCATTATATGTAATATGATATATGAATTATACCCAATATTTTCTTTACATGGTTGATGCATGATAAATGAAAGTGGTTGTTAAGTTTGCAGAGGGAAGGAGCAAAAATGAAGCCAAAAGAAGCTTCTCAGAGGTTCTCACTAGTGTAGTAGTCCTTGCTTAAGATAAAAATAAATCTAGTTCTTTTAATGGTGATGTTAGGGTGTCCATTTTAGATCTTTCCTGCTTTGTCTTGTGGGCATTTAGTGCTATAAATTTCCCTCTACACACTGCTTTAAATGTGTCCCAGAGATTGTGGTATGTTGTGTCTTTGTTCTCATTGGTTTCAGAGAACATCTTTATTTCTGCCTTCATTTTGTTATGTACCCAGTAGTCATTCAGGAGCAGGTTGTTCAGTTTCCATGTAGTTGAGCGGTTTTGAGTGAGTTTCTTAACCCTGAGTTCTAATTTGATTGCACTGTGGTTTGAGGGACAGTTTGTTATAATTTCTGTTCTTTTACATTTGCTGAGGAGTGCTTTACTTCCAACTATGTGGTCAATTTTGGAATAAGTGCGATGTGGTGCTGAGAAGAATGTATATTCTGTTGATTTGGGGTGGAGAGTTCTGTAGATGTCTATTAGGTCTGCTTGGTGCGGAGCTGAGTTCAATTCCTGGATATCCTTGTTAACTTTCTGTCTCGTTGATCTGTCTAATGTTGACAGTGGGGTGTTAAAGTCTCCCATCATTATTGTGTGGGAGTCTAAGTCTCTTTGTAGTTCTCTAAGGACTTGCTTTATGAATCTGGGTGCTCCTGTATTGGGTGCATACATGTTTAGGATAGTCAGCTGTTCTTGTTGAATTGATCCCTATACCATTAGGTAATGGCCTTCTTTGTCTCTTTTGATCTTTGTTGGTTTAAAGTCTGTTTTATCAGAGACTAGGATTGCAACCCCTGCCTTTTTTTGTTTCCATTTGCTTGGTAGATCTTCCTCCATCCCTTTATTTTGAGCCTATGTGTGTCTCTGCATGTGGGATGGGTGTCCTGAATACAGCACATTGATGGGTCTTGACTCTTTATCCAATTTGCCAGTCTGTGTCTTTTAATTGGAGCATTTAGCCCATTTACATTTAAGGTTAATACCGTTATGTGTGAATTTGATCCTGTCATTATGATGTTAGCTGGTTATTTTGCTTATTAGTTGATGCAGTTTCTTAAGAGCAAACACATTCAAAAGCTAGCAGAAGGTAAGAAATAACTAAAATCAGAGCAGAACTGAAGGAGATAGAAACACAAAAAACTCTTCAAAATATCAATGAATCCAGGAGCTGGTTTTTTGAAAAGATCAACAAAATTGATAGACCACTAGCAAGACTAATAAAGAAGAAAAGAGAGAAGAATCAATTAGATGCAATAAAAAATGATAAAGGAGATACCACTACTGATCCCACAGAAATACAAACTACCATCAGAGAATACTATAAACACCTCTACACAAATAGACTGGAAAATCTAGAAGAAATGGATGAATTCCTGGACACATACACCCTCCCAAGACTAAACCAGGAAGAAATTGAATCCCTGAATAGACCAATAACAGGCTGTGAAATTGAGGCAATAATTAATAGCCTACTAACCAAAAAAAGTCCAGGACCAGACGGATTCACAGCTGAATTCTACCAAAGGTACAAGGATGAGCTGGTACCATTCCTTCTGAAACTATTCCAATCAATAGAAAAAGAGGGAATCCTCCCTAACTCGTTTTATGAGGCCAGCATCATCCTGATACCAAAGCCTGGCAGAGACACAACAAAAAAAGAGAATTGTAGACCAATATCCCTGATGAACATCAATGCAAAAATCCTCAATAAAATACTGGCAAACCGAATCCAACAGCACATCAAAAAGCTTATCCACCATGATCAAGTGGGCTTCATCCCTGGGACGCAAGGCTGGTTCAACATACACAAATCAATAAACGTAATACAGCATATAAACAGAACCAAAGACAAAAACCACGTGGTTATCTCAATAGATGCAGAAAAGGCCTTCAACAAAATTCAACAGTCCTTCATGCTAAAAACTCTCAATAAATTCGGTATTGATGGGATATATCTCAAAATAATAAGAGCTATTTATGACAAACCCACAGCCAATAACATACTGAATGGGCAAAAACTGGAAGCATTCCCTTTGAAAACTGGCACAAGACAGGGATCCCCTCTCTCACCACTCCTATTCAACATAGTGTTGGAAATTCTGGCCAGGGCAATCAGGCAGGAGAAAGAAATAAAGGGTATCCAATTAGGAAAAGAGGAAGTCAAATTATCCCTGTTTGCAGATGACATGATTGCATATTTAGAAAACCCCATTGTCTCAGCCCAAAATCTCCTTAAGCTGATAAGCAACTTCAGCAAACTCTCAGGATACAAAATCAATGTGCAAAAATCACAAACATTCTTATACACCAATAACAGACAAACAGCCAAATCATGAGTGAACTCCCATTCACAATTGCTTCAAAGAGAATAAAATACCTAGGAATCCAGCTTACAAGGGATGTGAAGGACCTCTTCAAGGAGAACTACAAACTACTGCTCAACGAAATAAAAGAGGACACAAACAAATGGAAGAACATTCCATACTCATGGATAGGAAGAATCAATATCGTAAAAATGGCCATACTGCCCAAGGTAATTTATAGATTCAATGCCATCCCCATCAAGCTACCAATGACTTTGTTCACAGAATTGGAAAAAGCTACTTTAAAGTTCATATGGAACCAAAAAAGAGCCCACATTGCCAAGACAATCCTAAGCCGAAAGAACAAAGCTGGAGGCATCACGCTACCTGACTTCAAACTCTACTACAAGGCTACAGTAACCAAAACAGCATGGTACTCGTACCAAAACAGAGATATAGATCAATGGAACAGAACAGAGCCCTCAGAAATAATACCACAGATCTACAACCATCTGATCTTTGACAAACCTGAGAAAAACAAGAAATGGGGAAAGGATTCCCTATTTAATAAATGGTGCTGGGAAAACTGGCTAGCCATATGTAGAAAGCTGAAACTGGATCCCTTCCTTACACCTTATACAAAAATTAATTCCAGATGGATTAAAGACTTAAATGTTAGACCTAAAACCATAAAAACCCTAGAAGAAAACCTAGGCAATACTATTCAGGACATAGGCATGGGCAAGGACTTCATGTCTAAAACACCAAAAGCAATGGCAACAAAAGCCAAAATTGACAAATGGGATCTAATTAAACTAAAGAGCTTCTGCACAGCAAAAGAAACTATCATCAGAGTGAACAGACAACCTACAGAATGGAAGAAAATTTTTGCAATCTACTCATCTGACAAAGGACTAATATCCAGAATCTACGAAGAACTCAAAGAAATTTACAACCTGCACATTGTGCACATGTACCCTAGAACTTATAGTATAATAATAAAAAAAAATCCACAAAGACAAGGGCCATCCAGGCTACACCAATATTAGCATACTAGAAGGTCTCTTTCTCTTTTTCCTTTCTTGTTTCGCTTTTTCCTTTCATCCTTTGAGTTGGGAATTGTGGCAGGACCTCTGGATTCAAGGTTTACCATTTCTGACCTTGCTTTGCCTGCTTTGCTTCACAGTGGCAGTTACACAGCAGGATCCAGATGACAACTGCTCAGGAAGTCAGAATATTTATATCAGAATCAACTCTTCCTATCCACTAAATTATGAGTCATAAGATATTTGCTCTAAAATGCCCATGGTGCTTGTGCTCATTTTGCATTTCCTGAGTTATCTGACCTCTAGTTCTCAAGGAATGGTCTTTTGAGTCTTTTTATTTATCTTGGTAACCTCCTCAATGCCTAGAATCTTGTCTCTAGAGACAAAGAAGTCATTACATAATGATAAAAGGGTCAATTCAACAGGAAGACTTAACAATTGCAAATATATACGAACTCAACAGCACAGCACCTAAGTGCATAAAGCAAATATTGACAGATCTGAAAGGAGCAATTGACAGCAATACAATAAATTTCACTCTTAACCCCAGGTAACTGATCAGGAATTGAATGTCACTATTCATAAACAGAAATAAATTCCCCTACCGCCTCTGCCCAAAAAAGTTTGCATGGATCTAGAACCCAAATTGACTTCTTCATATACAACTTATAATGTTGCACGTTTTCACTGAGTGTGACAAGCTGTGTGTCATCTGTGTATATGAGAATCATATTAAGAAATGCATTAGAATTGAGAGTCTTGATTTTTTCAGCAAGTAGAATGAAGACTAATTTTAATACGTCTCATTTTGAAGACAGTAAGTACATGCATCATGATTCCTGAAGTTTATTCAACAACTTTTCTAGCACATTATTTTGGCATCACACACCTATATAGAAGGCTTACTATATAGGTGGTATCAAAGCTTTATTACATTAATTTATGATCCCAAAATCCAATATGCCATTGACAGAGAGCTAATTTGAATATTCTTTCTTCCTTTGTCAGGTAGTGAAGGTTTTTATTATTAGTTGATCCAAGAGATTTTATTCCCTTTTATTTTGCTCTGATGGCAATTAGCAATAATGGATTCTGATATATATTTAAGTCCATTTCTTTTAACAGGTGTTCATTAATCACCTTTGGGGAAGCTTTTCTTAGCTAAATTGTATAAATTTAAACGTTAACCTTTCTGTAAAGGTAATGCTTTTGTTAAGAGCTAACAAAGTTGAGAAAGAAATAAGGAATTCAAAATAGTGAAAAAAAGTTTCTCAAAATGACAGTATGATATGTTCATTTTGACCCATTTTAAAACCAACAAGAAAACTTTCCTAGAGAACTTACTCAAATTAATTAATTTAGGTTTTAATAATATGTGTTAATATTTGTAGAAATTATATCAATCTTTTAGTATTAGTAAGTTAAATTGAACTAAGTGATGTGATTTACACTGAATATCTCTATTTCTACTACAGCCAACTTACGATCTCAATTCTCTTTTTTCCCAGTGGTTTCCAAAATTCACAAAATTTAATTCACCATTCTATTCCTATTATGTTTTTCTTTGTTTATGCACACATCAATACTCTCATCAGGGTTTTTGTTTTTATTTGTTGTTTTTTAAACTTTTAAATGTTTAAAATAGCTGAAATATATTCTTTGTTGAATTCTATTTTCCTAAAGAGTCAGCTGGCATTGTATTTTTTGTTTGGATCTTTTTTTTCCATGTTGCTTGGAGAATCTCTTCACCTCATCATTTCTCAGTGCTTTATACCTGCCAGATACTAAAGTACTTTATATGTATTAATACTTTAAACTCACAAAGTATAATTATAATATAGGTACCATGATCAGTTCCCATTTTATAGATGAGGAAAAAAAGACTTAAGGAGACTGAGAAACGTGACCAATATTGCACAACCCTTAAAGGTGGATTAGGGATTCAAAGACAGATCTGTCTTATAAATCTGAGTAGAAATAACGATGAGTGACAGTTATATTCTTTGCTAACCATATGGCCATACTATGTACACTTAGCAAATCTCAGGCCTAATATATACTAGAATGAATAAGAATATTTTATAAGATGATTGGAAATAAAATGAGTAGATTAATATCAATAGGTTTTTTTGTTCTAGAAAAAAAGCATTAATGAAAGAAACAGAAATAAATATTCCATTCACTAGAGCAACAAAACCTATGTAATATTTAGGAATAAGTTTTACAAGAAAGGCATATGCTTCTGAAATAAAACTATAAATTCTTATTGAAGGACATAAAAGAAGATTTGAATAAATGAAAAGACATACATAACTTCTTATATGGAAAGATTTAATATGATAAAAGTGTTATCTCTTCCCAAATTATTCATTAATGAAGTTAAATATTTGTCTAACCAACTTTCCTTAGAATTCCAAAGGCTTTTAATTAACTGAAATAATCTTAGAGTTTATAGGAGACAAAATACATTATAGGTTATATATTTGGGTCACTTGAGGCTCAGGTCAAGGAGAGAAGTAAGTGAAAGAGTGTGAGAAAGAGGAGGAAAACACTCTCATTTTATAAGTATAATTGTAAAAATTAAAATTACAAAGAAAAAGCATATATGAAATAATTAGTTATAAATTTATGAAAGTTATATTTTAATTTTATGTATATACAAAGCATTTTTAAATAGAAAAGTTGAAAAGGACTGCCATTTAATTACTTCAATTGCTATTGGCAATTTGTAAATTTTTGCATTCTTATCTGCCACATCATTAATAATGTTCATATTTTTCTAGATAATGTTCACAGATAATGTTCTTTAGATAAATTCAGCAAATGGTATTCTTAAACAATTCAGCAGACACAACTTAATATGACCTTGTTTCAACATATTGATTTAGAAAAAGGAGAATGTTAGTGAAAAATATTGCAGTGGTGACAAAAGAATATCAAATACTTCTTAATGGATTTTAACTCCTAAAGAGTAACAGATTCAATCTACATTTTGAGTCCTGCTGAACATGACAAGCAATTTAACAAGTCCAGCCTACAGAGACATAGGAGCAGAAATCAGACCAAAAAGGAGTAACCTCGCAAACAGATCTGATAAAAGTTGAGTTCATCCAAGGAGGTAGAAAATCAAGTTCAAGGATATATGCTAGGGAATAAAGTGTTAAGCTGGGCCATAGAAGTGAAACAGCAGGATTCAGGTGTCCATACAGGTGTCCAACTAGAATAGCCGTGACAGAAAAGGCTAATGGAGAATCTTAATTCTAAACCGGAGGCTCTTTGCTTTATGCCTTATACCCCGCAGTGTCTGTGTGTGGCGGACCTGGAAATCACAGGTGTTCTTGCAGTTCAAACAGAGACAAGTGCCTGTCAGGCCCTACCCACACTTCATAAAATCAGTTGCTACAGTGTAGCTTTCTGGTACTTTTTAAAAGTTATCAGAAAAACAGGGTAAGTTTATCAGGTCAAATTACTTATAATTGTGCCTTCTCTGTTGAGATAATTCTTCAGATCCACGGTAGCTGTGTGTCAGGGTAGCAGGGCAGTCTCTGGCTTGTCTGTACACAAAGAGCACTGTCTAGCTTGGATGGTCATTAGCACACCACCTTTCAAAATTAACCACAAAAGT
Organism: Homo sapiens; assembly: GCF_000001405.40. NCBI lineage: Eukaryota > Metazoa > Chordata > Mammalia > Primates > Hominidae > Homo > Homo sapiens. The sequence continues at coordinate 69,862,131 of NC_000001.11, forward strand.
ATCCTTGGTAAAGAAGTCTAATCATCACCCTTCTCATTTATAACATAAAAGAAACCATCTATGGCGCAAGATAATATTGAAAAACATTTGCAGTAAACTACACAACTCTCAGCCAGACCCTCAAGTCCAGGTTGAACGTGGAAAACTGGTAGTGTGTTCTTATAGATGGCATATAGATTATTAGGATGAGCAAAAATAGAGAGTGGGATCTTAAAAGAATCAGGCTTCTTTCAAAGGAAATGAAACTTTTTATAATAAAATCAAAAATTAAAACTGAGTATTTTCACTGATTATTATAGGGAGGAGTACAGTAAAAGACCCCAGATATTCAGATTTCTGCCTGGGAATAATTAGTCCTGGACAAAGCCTACCAAGAACTAACAGTCATGTTCCCTTCGAATGTCCACTTTAACAGAAAATTCTGAATCATCAGAACAGAGTCTATTTGCCCTGAATAGCTGGAAGTATTTGGAAAATTTTCAGCAAATGCAGTTAACTAAAGATATTGCCAGTTAAAGAGTTTCACCTAGAGAACATTATTGTAATAATTTTTTAGAGTCATTGTTCATATCTTTTTTTATTATATTTTAGTTCTGGGGTACATGTGCGGAATGTACAGTTTTGTTACATAGTTATACGCATGCCATAGTGGTTTGCTGCACCCATCAACCCGTCACCTACTATCCCTCCCTTAGACCCCCCACCCCCAAACAAGCCCCTGTGTGTGATGTTACCCTCCCTGTGTCCATGTGTTCTCATTGTTCAACTCCCACTTATGCATGAGAATGAAAGAAAGTATATTTTAGAGGTGAGTTATCATCCATGTATTTCAATGCATCACAGGTGCCTTAAAGTCAAGAGTTTCAGTATTGAATTCATCATTTACATCACTATCTGTACTTTTTTCAGTATCTCCAAGCTCAGTTAATAGAAATAACATTTTTTAGATCCTATGAATCATCTTAGGCCTATTTCTTACTCCCACATCTGATCAGTCAACAAGTTCTGTCAAATCTGTCTATTTCGCTTATTCATTTCCTTCTGTCTGGAACTCTCTGCCCCCAGAGGCTGACTCCTTTTTTATCATTTAAATCTCAAATCAAATGTCACTTACTGCAAAAGGTCTTTGATGACCCTCCAATCTAAAGTAGCCATTCCAACCCCAGGCACCTTCCAAAACTATTTTAATTTCTATATAACACTGGTTAATATTATAAATTCTCTTATTTTTTACTTGTCTCTCTCATTTTAAAAACTTGTCCTTGAGAACAGGAATCTTGCCTAGCTTGTTTATCTCTGTATCCTTATTGCCTAGTATTCTGCCCAGTGCATGGTATGCATTAATAGGTTGTACTTTTTAAATTCATTCATTAGAGCATTATTTCAACAAATATACTTATTAGACATTTCTATGCCCCGCATTGTGTTAGGCATAGGAAATATGGTAATGGACAAAAGTAAACCCTATCTTTGTCCTCATGTAGCTTACATTTAATCAGAGAGACAGACATTAACAGAATAACTACATAAATAAATGTAAAGTTACAACTATGAGTAATTACTTGTTTCTCTCAATCTCTATTACCATTGCATTAGTTCAGGTTATCATTATCTCATGCCTCAACTGTTAAAATCAACTGTTTCTCTGCCTCCACTCTGCCACACTCCACTCTGTTTTTCCAAAGCTAAAATGCAAATTCAATGTCACTTTCCACCTTAAAAACCATAATAACTTCAATGACATTCAAGAAAATGTTTCTACACTCCTTAAGATAATGGCCCTTCATGACCTGCCTATCATCTATCTCTCCTTTCTCTCCTCATGCTGTATGCTTCAATCACCCTAAATTACACTCTTATCTTGGGGCCTTTGTATATGTCATTCCTTCTGCCTGATACGTCTTTTTCTACTCTTTGATTAACTTACCTACTTATCCTTTATGGCTCAAGGAAGAAAAGCTCTTTCAGAAAGCCTTTTCTGGACCCACTCAGACTGGCTCTGCCATCCCTCTTATGTGCTCTCTTAGAAAAAAAAGAAGAAAATAATAATAATTTCATTGTGCTAGAATTGTTTATTTATTTGCTTGTTTCCCTTGCAGGTCTATGAGTTCCCTTATGGGGACTCACAGATAGAAATATGAATGTCTTTTATATTTCTATCTCCATTGCCTAGAGCAGTAGCAAGTATGTAGAATAAAATAGTTGGAAGAATAGTTGGATGAATAGATGGATGGAGGAATTTGCTTGATAAAACTAAAAACAAAAGTCTATAATGATATTCAACAACACAGCTTCAAACATGTACTATTAAAATATGTGTGAAAAAGCATATTGGCCAGAAGAGAAGGCTAGTGAAGCCCATTTGGATGTTTCAAATACTGTGACAGTCAGCACTCAGTAATTTGGTCACTAAATTTATTTCATGTTTGTTAATGTTAAGAAGAGAACATTAACTATCCATAGCCCTGTATTTGAAGTGTCAGAAGATAGGGTAACATGGCAATTAAATCAGCAGACTAAAAGACAATTTGCAGTGATGACACACTGATTAAAACAAAGAGTATCCACTTTCTCTGGTCTTCAGTGAGGAACTTTGTAACTGAAGAAGAAAATTCATGGTTACAAGTTATTTGTCACTGGATATAAGGAATTTCTAACAAGCAGAGTCAATACCCTATCATGTATTAAGGAACGCTGAATATTTAAGCCAGTAAATAAAGTATAATGCTGGCTGGGTCTTACTGTGGCAACTGGGAATATATGACAACTATTGCTGTCCTGAGAAAACAGTGACAATTATTTCTAGGGAAGAGGAGCATAAGGGCACAAAGATTGCTGGTCCTTGAAAAAAATCTCAGCATCTGTTTGCCATGAGAAAGTTGTTTGTTGCCATTAGCCTTTAGGGACAGAATGAGTAAACAACAAAAGCATAAAAATAAGGTGACTGGTTATTTCACCTGAGAACATCCCAGTGGAGGGGAACTACTTCCACCCTACCCGCAATGAACCTAGAGAAAACAACTTTCCTTGCTTGAAAAGGGTAACTTAAGCACCAGGGCAGGTGCTTATATATCAGCGATGGTTCCAGTAGAGGCTTCAGTTGACAAGATGGTCAATACGACATCTGCACAACATGCAGCCAGTATTCGTTTAAAATGTACTCAGTTTCAGGCACTCGGTTGCATGATGCCTATCAGAAAAAACGAGCTAAGGGTAGCTATAAGAATACAGCTAAGGTGAACTTTTGAAGTGCCAACACTAATAGGCACCAGATTCCTACAGCTAAGGAACTAAGGCCCTTGAGAGCATCCGAATAAGCAAGCTGCTGAAGACAGTTCCTTTTTTTTTTTTTTTTTTTTTTTTTGAAACGGAGTCCCGCTCAGTGCCCCAGGCTGGATGGAGTGCAGTGGCCCGATCTCTGCTCACTGCAAGCTCTGCCTCCCGGGTTCACGCCATTCTCCTGCCTCAGCCTCCCGAGTGGCTGGGACTACAGGCGCCCGCCACCATGCCCAACTAATTTTTTGTGTTTTTAGTAGAGACGGGGTTTCACCGCATTAGCCAGGATAGTCTTGATCTCCTGACCTCGTGATCTGCCCGCCTCAGCCTCCCAAAGTGCTGGGATTACAGGCGTGAGCTACCGCGCCCGGCCCGACCGTTCCTTTTATGTAAGTGATAAAGATAAACAGCGCTATTGAACAAATACCAGTCACCTCAGGAGTGACCTGGCCAGGATAACCTCAGATTCACCAGCAGTAATGAGTGAAAACAAAGCTCCCTAGGTGTCTCTGCCAAATGGAAAATAACATTTTGTGGCAGATAGAAAGTTTGGAAAGAAATAGTTAACTATGTCTGAAGGTACCTGTAACTTTCAATAGTGGATCAGTTACCATTGGGCAAGATGAAACATTCTCAAATGGCAAAAGAATGAAGCACAAGATAAATTCAACACAATGCTCTTGCTTTAGTATATTATTATTTCTAACACTCAAATGTTGGAAAGGAAGAGCCCAGGAGGGTGAGTCTTCTAATGATAAAGGTTTGTTGTGTTTGTCTATTTTGAAATCACTGCACCTGAAAAGAAAACAATAATAGATGGTGAAAGTGAGAGAAAGAGGAATCTTCTCCTTACTTTATCTCCACTAAGGCTAAGAGCTCTTTATGGGAGCTGTGGTTTTGAAAGGAGACAGAGTTGTTGTGTCAAAGGTGGAAGAGGACTAGGGTCTGCAAGTGGAGCATCAAACTGGAGGGAAAGTGGAGAACCAGCAAAGTGTGAACTCAGCAGCAGGCTTGGTGATGAAAGGGTATATCGTTTTACCCTCCCAAAGTGAACTTAAAGAATATTTGGAAGTTAGAATCTGATGGCATTCAGACTTTGCAAGCATGGACCTTCTGATTCCAAGGGTTATTTATCATTTTCTATTCCTAAATCTTCTTGCTATAATTGTGGCTAAATAAGAGGATATTTACATCTTATAAAATGAAAGCATCAGAACATTCTTAAACATCATAATAATAAAAATCATAGCAATAAGCATGCCTTATAGTGGTGTCATTCAAAGCAAAGTTTCCCCTCAATTAGACTCAAAATTAATTCATTAGCACTGAATGTCAGTTCTGCATTAGTGCTCCTTTGGTAATGATTACTCACTGCCAAGGCTCCATTAAATTTCCAGTTAGAAATGATGAATGTGTACCTCTATTTATCACTGCTTGTGATTTTATGAGTTATTTTTAGAATAATAATATTTTTAGCAATGTATCTATTGTTTTTCCAACATTTCTTAATCAACTAAGCCTTGGAAAGTTTATATATATTAAGCTCACAGTAGGAGTAAAATGTCATATATTTTTCAGACTCTTTGAGACACTGGAATAAATAAACTAGCAAAGTCTCTATTACAGAGAACTTTATAAAATTATCATACACCTCAATGTCAAAGGAATTTAGAAATGTGAAAAAATAGTTTTTATTTTCGTTCTGATTATGATTTTATTACAAGTTCTTTATTCTTTAGTCTCCTCTCTCTTTTAATATTCTTCCTACATTGAACCTTTAGTGAAGATATTGCCAACATAGGTATTTAGACATGTTATATATTTTTAGTTTTTATAGATTCTTCTATCAAATTTCCAATCTTGGGATGGAATCAGGTACACAGACTCACAACTAATAATCACAATATAGTTTTCTGAGAAGCACTGATGTAAAATAGAAAACTCAGGCTGATTCGCTCAGGTGTTTGTGAGAAAGACTGAATAACATTATACATAAGGTACCTAGTACAGAGCCATACGAAAGGATTGGAACTTGGTTTTGAAGGATGCAATGATCCACTGAAGAACATTAAGCTAGGAGTGACATCATCAGGTTTGCATTTTTCAAGGGTAACGAACAGTTATGAAGCAAATCTGAGGAAGGTGGAATTGAGGAGTTTAAAGACAAAAGGATGGGTTTAGAGACCATTTCAATAGCCTGGAAATTACGAGAACCAATTTAAATCAATGGCAGTGGAATGTGGAATACAGGGGAAAGATACAAGGTATGCTTAGGAGATAGAGTCGAAACATTTAGTAAATGACTGAGTTTGAATTGAGAAAGGTTGTAGGAAAAGAGAAATCAAGGATAACACACTGGTTGTTAACTTGGAAGACTTGGTGCTTGATGCTTGGGTGAATTATTATGCTATAAACAGATGCAAAAAGTTTGAAGAAACTTAGAGGATAGGACAGGTACTAGATTAAAATAATGAGTTTCATTTTGAATATGTGAAGTTTTAGTAAAATTCCATAAAATTAAATTAAGTAAAATTTTACTTCCATAAAAGTAAAATTAAGAGGTCCAAGAGATACACAGATCCAGAGACCAGAGAGAGGTCTAGAGTTAGAGGTATGAGAATCATACCATACCATTTATTATTTTACGCCCAGAACAATCAAAAACATCTTCTGAATTTCTGGTTATAGAAGTATAATTAGATTTATTGAAGTAAGCCAACATGGTGGACTATATTATGAAGCCATTAAAATTGTTTTTTAATGATGGGACAATGCTCAAAAGATAATATTAAATCAAATTTAAAAATGCAAAATTTTGTACAATAAAATTTCTATTATTTAAATAAAATGGGCCTTAAAAAGATGGAAGGAAAATAATTAAACAGTTATAATGCTCACATTAGGGTTAAGAGTTTATGGTAATTTTTCTTTTTTTTCTATGAATCAATATTTTACAAGTTTTCTATGTGCATTTCTTAAAAGTCATTTTAGGGTAAGGATAGGCTCTTGGAAAGATATTGATTAAACTGAGTCTAAAGAACTGATAGAGTTGAGTCAGATGAAGAGAGCGGTGTTAGCAGAGGTACAAAGGTGAGGAATATAGTGTGTACTTGAAACTATAAGCAGTTAAGAGTTGGTGAAGTATAGAATGATGGCAGAGAGTCATCAGAGAGGAAGCTGAATAGGGAGAGATGGTCACACTGTGGGGGTTTGCTACATTAAAATTATATCCTATGTGCTCTGGGAAACTCTTGAAGAAATATACATAATGCATGTATTCATTTGCTAGGACTGCCATAACAAAGTGCCACAGACTTGTTGGACTAAACAATAGAAATTTATCTTCTTATAGTTCTGGAGGCCAGAAGTCCAATATCAAGGTGTCAGCAAGGTTGGTTTCTTCTGAAGGCGCTCTCCTTGGCTTGTGAATGGCCATCTTCTCCCCATGTCTTTACATGATTTCTCTCTCTATCTATCTATCTATCTATATATGTATGTATATATGTACATATGTACATATATATATATATATCTTAATCTCCTGTTTGTATAAAGATATCACTCATATTGGATTACGGTCCACCCTAGTGACCTCATTTTAACTTAAATGCTGCTTTAAATACCTTATCTTCAATATAGTCTTATTCTGTGGCACCAGGAATTGAAATTTCAACCTATGAATTTTGAGGGAACACAACTCAGCCCACAACGGGGAGTGATGTGGTTAAATTTCATTTGGTAATCATGTGGAGTTTTGAGAAAGAAGAGATAAATCAATAGGTTATTGTAATAATCATGGAATCATGGCAAAACTCGGATTATTCTATAGAACTTTGTTAACAGAGATGGAGAGAAAGGGACAAATTACTGAAATATTTAGGAAATAAAATTGGCACAGGATTAAGGTTACTTGGATGTTAGAAATGAGAGGGAGAAGCCTAATCTAGGTCTCTGGATTTCTGATGTGAATGACCCAGTAGATGGTGACATCATCAATGAAGGTTAAAAAAAAATCCAAAGTAAGAAGCTTGTTCAGAGAGGAAATGATGAATTCAGTTTGAGGAATCCAATTACATTACCTGAAATACAGTTAGATAGAGGACTCTGAAGCACAAAGACAGATAATTGGGCTGGAAGTCTAGATTTTGTCTTTACTATTCTCATATGTTATGTGAAACTATGAGAGCCCATCCTCACATACCGAGTGATAAGAACAATATACTTAAAAGAAAAGAAAACCAACATTTATGGGACAGGCAGAGAACAAGCCCCTGAAAGAGACAGTAAAGTATGAGGTGAAGCAGGAAAGGCACTTATCATAGAGTCCAAGAGAGTAGAGAGCTTTGATATAGGGAATAATCAATAGAGATCCCAAAGGTAAAGATTGATAAATGTTAGCTGGATTTGAAATCAGAAGGATTTTTGGACATTTATACCTAATAACAATTCCTTAGGCTTTCATGTGCTAGCCAATGGATAAAGCATGGCATGTGTATGATATTTCATTTTGAGATTCATTATAATAGATCAAGGAAACTGTCACTATGTCCATTTTACAGATTGCAAAGATTATATCTCAAGACAGTCAAATATCTTGCCTAAGTTCAGCCTGAGAACAGCAAATGTGGGAGTCAGTTCTAGCTTTCATCTTACGTTACCAAAGCAGGTGTGATAAGTGGATGGGCTCTAAATTCAGAGAGCAGTGGGGCAATGAATGAATGGTTGGTGAGGAAGTAAGATAGACTGCCCTTTTCAGCAGGGGAGAAGGTTTAGTACATTGCCTACACACAGTAGATGCTCAATAAACTTTAGTTCAGTGAACAAGAAATAAATGTCAACGTGTGCTAGCTATCAGGTTTACAGGTTAGGTGTGGAAGAGGAGGTAGCAGAGGTGTCGAGTACACACAGCCCAAGGTTAAGGAGCCAGTAGAGAGAATAATGCCAAAGAAGAAAAGGGAAAATTTAGCAAACCAGGTCCTTCATAGAAGAGGTTGATTGAGCCTGGTATCAAGTATAGAAGCAAGAATTTTACCTGAGTAGATGGACTCCTTCTTTGAGATTGAATTAAAAAACAGTGAGGTATAGAAATAGGTGTATAGGGACAAAAGGCAAATTGTTTCATCTCCCAACAATCCCCTCCATATTAAGCTCCCTTATGAAAAAAATATCTCACCATTCCTAATAAGTTATTTCCTTTAAAGTTTTAATAAATGTATACATGCAATTCCCGATGCCTAGAATTCCTTCTCTTTTTTTGTATAGTAAACGCTTATGGAGAAATAAAGACCCAAATTATAAGTTAGCTCTTAAAATTATTTCTTGAATTCTCCCAACATTCTATCACTCCCTCCATTTTCCACCTCTTAGAGCACTCACTCCCTCTTCTGTAGAGGCTTGGAAGCCATAGATAATTATGCTTCCATTTTTTATTAAGCCTTTTGAAACACTTTAACATATCAACAAAATATTTGAAAATGTTATAAGGTATGTCTTAGAGCAAGCATGACGTAGCTTGAACACAATTGCATGTATTTAGCTCAAACTTTTATATGCCAACAATTATATGATGTAAATTTTCTTAATGGTTAGCTAAAGACTGCTCTAGCTGATGACTGCATTTTGTAATAAAAATATATTCTTAATTCATTGACTTTTAATAATGTTATACCACAAATGATGCATAAATTGGGAAAGTTTATACAATGTATTTTAAGAATAAAATGTTGCTTGCCATTATAAAGATTTATGTATTGATCACCTTGATGTTTAAAGAAAATGATGTATACGTATGCCCTATCTTCAAAGCCAAATTGTATGCTGTAATACCTTAAGCTTTCAGCTGGTGTTAAATTTTGGCTGGTTCAATAGTGGGCTGAGACTATTGATTGCTATATTACTGTTCTGTTAGACAATTTTATTTTTGAATAATCTATATGCCCTATGAGAAGATCAAATGATATGGCAGAGAGATCTGAGACAAAACACTAAGATTCAATTGTTTTAAGTTCAGCAGGATTAAGTTGCACGTTTCAGAATCATTCAAAAATGCACCGAATGCATAATTATATTCAGTTTGTGTTTGAATTTGAGCTATGTAGCATGATCCATGTGTAATTTATAAAATATAGTCGAGTATTTAAAATATAAAAATATAATATTCTTTGTAATATTTTACACATGCTGTTATTTTCCTTATATCAGCAAAATAAGAATGTGAACTTTATAAACATACATTGAGAGAGTTAAGATAATCATGTGAAATGGCTATATCAATCTGTAAACACCTCTTTTAAATGACTATTTCATATTCCATCCAAAAATAAACACATAAAACCCAACTTATAGCAAAATCCATGAGACAAAATATTCTCACAAGGAATCTGTTTATGTATTGCCTGTCAATTAAACATGAAGCTAAGTAATTTTTGTTCAAATAATCTATGTATGTTCCCAGTGTACCTATTATATACATGAAATTGTTCAACCTTTAGAGTATTTGCCAAATTTTTCTAATGTAAGTAATAATTATATGGATTTTAGAACTACACTTCTTACATTCTATTGTGAAAATATTTTAAGATTCATGTGCACTAATTTCAGTTGTATGCAAAAATACTGTAATGAAACATTATATTTTCATTTTTTAATGGAAAATATACAAGTCTCTTTAGATGGATCAAAAAGAAATTTCTAATGCAGCTAATGTGTTCAACCATCCTTTAATATTCTGTGTAGCCATAATTGCATTTGTCTGAGCATATCCAACGTTTAAATTAGTACAAGTTGGTAAAGTTGTAGCATTTAATTAGTTTGAATAAATGTAGTACATAAAAAATTGTAAACAAAATATGTGTAAGTTATTAATTGAAATGTGATTGGTGGCTTTTCTGGAAGAAATGGGGAGAAACTTAAAGTAGAGTAATAGCATGATTAATTTATTCAGGATGGTTTCTGCTGAAAAATTATGTTCAATAAGAATCTGTCATGACTTATGATCATTTGTTACTCTACAGTATATCAAATATAATGGAGTCAGGTGCACAAGCTGTAAAAGCAACTGTTATAAAAATGCCAATTTCTTAAATTAAAAAGGTGGTTACTTAAATGATTTAATTCCAAATACCCATACTTTATTAATTTGAGCTATTGCTGTATCTAGAGATGATAAATATTTTTATAAATGATTTTGTTCTCATATATACATTTATCATTCTGCATTCAAGTCAATGGTTTTTAAAATTTCCTCTCAAGATCCAAATTACACATATTTTCATTAAAACATGGAGATGCCTGGCAAAAGTTGCTATTTAAATATTTAACAGAAAAATAAATGGGAAGAATAATTATTTGTTTACAACCCAAAACATTATTTCAGTCAAAATTCTTTTAATGTAATAAAATGTGTTCTTCTACAGTTTGTTCATTTACATATACCTCTCTCATTGGTGTCTTTCAATGATGTTTTCTCATATGAGATCTTTTTCAAACACTATGGAGATTAAACTGAATTATCTTAATATGATTTGAGCTGCTATACTGGAGAAGAAAATTTCATAGAAGGGAAATTCATAAATTTTGTCATTTTCAGAGAGTGTAGGGGACATTAAAATTCATAGTAAAATATCAATGTGTCCATTTCTATTATGCCTTAAACAGTATGCGTTAATCATGCTTGTTATCTCAGAGAGTTATTGGAAATGAGTAGAAGCTTGGAAGTGATAGTGTAAGCAAGTAATTTTCATGACAATGGCTTATCACCTGATGATCATCATATGAAAGTTTTGCTTGCTCCTTTCAGGGGGTGTGCATGTTTTTCGTCATCTGGCCCAATTCCACTCTGAGTTTAATTTTCTGTTTTTATTTTATCTAACATTTTTTCCTAATCCTAGAACTATGCCTCTTTACAAAAATATTACTTAAAACCTATTTCTACAGAATTACATTAAAACAAGTAAACTTTCTACCTCCCTGTACTGTAAACCAATTGGTAATTATTTTAGTCACCTTCTGCATTAGGAGTTCCATCTTTTGGGCATTGAAATTGATTTTTTTCATCTTAGCATCTGAAGATCCAGAGTGTGCCCCTTGCCCAATCGCCTGAGACTATACAGTGACACCTACAACAGAGGATGTGGAGGGAGCAGCTTTTCGGGCACCAGAAATGGCAGCATCAGGAGCATCAGCACGAATAGACTTTGTAGAGGTAGTTCTCCCAAACTATATTATGAAACCAAACATTTTTGGTGCGCTACCTGCTGATGGGGGCTGCCTTCTTACTGCCTAGTATCTACAAAATGTTTGGTCTTTGTTAAAGTTTAACGATGACATTTCTGACTAATATAGAGAGACCTGATTTTTTTCCAAATGTGTTCAGTTGCCATAACTTTCAATGAATATGAAATTTTATCAGTCTCAGAAAAACATTAATACCCATATTTTTATCTAATTGATTTCACTATTTGTTATGTTAAGGTGCTTTTGTGTATAATTTTTGTATATATTTTTAAATGGGATCAAACTAAGCCATAATTTAAAAGTCATCCTAATGCAGTAAATAAGATAATTTCTCTAGTTTGTTAAATTCTTCAGAGACCGAATATAATTGCTCGTTTTTCTGTCATACTCCCTGATGATGTTCCATTGTGGACTTATTTTGCAAAGTTCCCAGATGGCACAAGTCAAAATATGAAATGCTGATGATTGATTGATTTTATGTATCCTTTCATCTTATGTAATTTAATGTGGAACAGTTATTTTGTAGCTCTAAAATACATTTGTTAATTAACCATATTGGCTTTTCATGCAGTTCAATGGCTTATAGCATTTCAATTTGCATAGAAAATGAATCTCTGTAATGATACTTTTGCTAAATAAATAACAATCGACATAATGGGTTCATTTGCTTTTAACATTTTATACATACAATTTAGAAGTAGGATATATTTCATATTGAAATTTTGAAAAGCTTGAAATTCAACATACAAGGTCACCATCTTGCTGATGCCTAATGCAGTACAGCAAATTCATTCTTCATCCCATGTTAACTCCTTTTTGGAACAAGTCAAAATACAAATAATTTACAATGATTGTGTTGGAGCTATTGCTTGATTAAATACAATTCAAAGGTTCTTTTTATAAAACAGGTGTGAGCAGGACACATTGCACTTACGGGCTTTTCCTATTTTTTTGGTTCTATTTCATTTTACTGCCTAGGAAAGAAACATTTTTTTGTAAAACCTATGCTATGGAACTGAAATGTACTTTATTGAATATTTCTATTCTGTTTTATGAATATCAATTATGTGAAATATATAAATATAAAATTGCCTTAGAATGCCTAACTCTTTGTATAAAACAGATATCTGAAAGTAGATGTTGGTTTTTTGTTCAAATTGTGTAAATGCTGATTTTTCCATGAGTACTTATGAAGATCTATATGTAAAAATTTTAAGTCTGCTTACTGTGTTTGTACCACCTTGTTCTTAGCTGTGTATACTCTATGCTAATTGACTTCTGTCATTGTCACATATATTGCATATGTCTCTCAAAAATTAAAAGGTATATTGCTATTCTAAAAATAAAAAATGTAAATTCCTGACATTGCTGTAGAATAAGTTGCACTATCTTAGTGTAGTTTTATAATGTGTTCTTATGAATTCTCAGTGCCCTTCAAATGCCACCAATTTATTCAGCTTTCCGAAATTTATTTTAGAGATTACTTAAAAAGAGATTGCTTAAAACATTCTATGTGAAAGTAGCTTTAAAGATTAAAGAAACATTGCTGTTTTGACTTTATGATGTTCTAAGGAAGAAACTGGACCTTTCATTATTAAAGCTTAAAAATCTTATACAGCAGCAATAAAAGTCTGCATCAGTGTGCAGACTGTTGAATAATTAACCTTACTGCAGTAAACCATGTTGCCTTTCTGGTCTCGATAATATATAACAATTGAAAACTTGTATGTGTAGCATAAAGGAAACTTTTCTTAATGAAAAGAAATTAACAAGTAAGTGGAATAACTGTTATCAAAGCTAAAGTTCTTTAAAACTTAATCAGCAGAAGTGATTATAAAAGTAAAAGGTTAAAATAAATACAATTGAATATAATATATGATTTATTTTGCCCACTGTCCATGTTATATGTCCTGGTTAGTGCTTCAACAATCATAAGTGATTGTAAATTCATTCATAATATTTGTGTGACTCTAATCTTTTATTCTAAGAGGAATTATGCATACCAGTTTAACAAAATACTGCCTGTGTTTATCTGTGACGTTTCATATATTTTCAGCCTCAATATATACTTTTTAAAAAAAACAGGTAAAATGATAATAAGATGAAATATTTTTATATGCATCTATATTGAAATAATTGTATTGAACTGTCTTTTATAAATATATTCTATTGATTTTACATTCATGAGTAGTAGGATATGCATATTAAGCCAAAATTTGGCTAAACATATTCAGTAAAGAAAAACAACAACAAAAACGACCCCTTAAGAAGAAGGCAGTACAGTATGTGGCTACCCATTCTGTACGATACAAATACCATACAACCCTTTCCTTCTTCATAATATTAGACTACTCTCAGGAACGTGGGGCATGATGTGAACAACACTCTGTATTGCCTTTCATCATTTTATTGGCATCTCATGAAGAGAAGCCAGTTGTTATGCCTTTTAGGAGTGCCTCAGAGAATAGAATACATATGCCCGTATATTTCTCAGAAGTTACGGGTTTCTGGAACTTTGTTAAGAATTTCATAACTGTATTCTACCAGCCATATTTTTTGTCCATATCAAATTTTGCCAATTAAGGTTCCTGCTATTTTGTCTTATCTTTTTAATCAAATCAACTTTTCTTGAGCCAAAACTGGCAGATCTAAATTTTGTCACCAAAAATTATGATTATTTTATCAGTTTTTAAAGGGAAGGCATGTTAGGCATAGTCAGTTTTATTTGTGTCACTTGTTTCTGCCACTAGCAATCAATATAAGTTAATAAAGACTGATAGTCTATATTTATTCATTGGCATAAAAAATACTATTACCAGGGCAAAAATATAGCATCTGGAGGTCTAGTAGAGTAAAAATAATAATTCCAGAACAGATGGGTTTAGAACAGCATGAGAATGTGGAAACTACGTCTTGCTCAAATCTCAATGAGGTAAAAATCTTTTATTAAACCAGTAATTCTTCCAACCCTCACACACGTACAACTTGCTTTGATTTCAGCTGTATTTTACATATAGATAGAACATCTGAAATCCAAGCTCTTCATCGCCTCTTGTGCTTGGGCAAATTTTAGAGAAATGCAAATCTTTAATTCAATCCAATTCAATAAACATTTGTTGAGGACTGACTGTGTGTCAAGCACAAGGATTAACACTAGAAACACCATGTACAAGGAGTCCCTGCTGTTTAGAAGCTTAAGGTCTGATAAGGAACAGAGACAAGTGAAGCATTATATTCAGTACAGCATAGTATATAAGATTATGGAGATGTGATGAAGTCCCAGAAAGAGTACAGAGAAGTTATATTTCTTAGTCCTATCTGTAAAGTCCAGGTGAAGCCTGAGGAGTCTTTCAAACCATAAATTGGAATTTTAAAATGGGCAAAAGGAAAATGAGTGTTACTCATAGAGAAAACCCCATGTTACAAGGGGTTGATATGTAAAATAGAAAGCACGAGGAAGGAGTAACCATGAGGTAGACAGAGAAGAAACTGTGAAGGGGCTCTCATGACATGGTTAGACTTTATTTTCTGGGCAATAGAGAGGTTTTGATGAAATGGTTTTAAGCAGCGGAATGACACGTTAGATTTGTAAGTGATGGGATAACATTGGCTAAGTAAGAATTCAAACTCCTTGCTAAGCAAGCAAATAACAAAAGCCACTCTGGGCCAAGTGTAGTGGTGTACACCTATAATCCCATTGCTTTGAGAGGCCAAGGCAGGAGGATCACTTGAGGCCAAGAGTTTGAGGCTACAATGAGCTATGATCACACCACTGCACTCCAGCCTGGGCAACAGAACAAGACCCTGTCTCTAAAGCTACTTAGACAATTCTTTTTTTAAAAAAAACCAGTTTTATTGAGGTGTGTGAAATACATACCATAGAATGAACTCATTTTAAGTGTACAATTCAATATTTTTAATACATTTATAGAGAAGTGCAATTATCACCACAATTTAATTTTGGCCATTTCTATTATCCAAGTGCCCAAGTTCTTCCTGCTTATTCACAGTTAATCCCCATTCTAATCTCCTTTCCTACCCTAGCCCCAGGTAACTACTAAACTGCTTTCTGTCTTTATACATTGTCCTTTTCTGAACATTTCATATAAGTAGAATTATTCATGTAGACATCTTTTATGTCTGGTTCCTTTCACTTAGCATAACACTTAGCATAACCCATAATAATCTGGCATAACCTGTAGTGAGGTTTCTGCCAGATTATTATTAGACAAACAGAATAGACATATTTTACTCCTAAAGAGACTATGAACACTGGGAAAACAACACGTGTGATAAGGATGTGGTGTGAGACTATCAAAGGTGTAGAGGAGACAAGAAATTGAGGGACCAAGATAGGACAGGATGGCAGGGAAAAAGAGTCAGCTGGAGTAGAAGAATCAGAAGTGCAGTTATGTGAAAGTAGAAGAAAACAAGTCAAGATATTTTAATAAAATTTGCTGAAGACTAAAGATTTGAACTGTATTGCCTTCCTACCTTAAAGATTTAAAACAGGTATTTGTAAAGATTGGACTTCCTGTTTGTCGTTACTACTAGATTCTAGATACTACAGGTATCACAAGCTTCATTAGTTTCTTGGAGAAGTAAAGTCACTTCTCCAAAGAATCCTTATCTTAGAAAAAAAAAAAAAAACAAGAATGCTCTTAAATAGTGACAGACTGACATCTGCATTTAAAACATAAAGGGGCAAAAGTGCATCTAGAACAAGCTGTATTATCTTTGAAAATCCACTGTGGAGCCAATGGGACATTTTGATAGTCACACTGAGATTGGAGATACAGTGTTTTTAGAGAATGCACGACTGATTTAAGAATGCTTGTTCAGATGAAGAAACAGACTTAGGTGGCATGATGAGGTCATTCAAGTCGTAAAAATTTAAAAATTCTTTCTGCAGGAGAAGACAAGGCTTCTGGCAGATTTTCTGAGTCTATATTCAAGATCCACCCCACTAACTGAGAATGGCTGCCTTGCTGATTTGACTGTTACTGTAGAACTGAAGATAAAGCGAATTTTGGAGTTGTTTGTGTGATCTACTAGTTACTAGAAAAATCACAGGTTTATAATGCAGCTAATGGGATAAACAGACTTTGATTTTAGGGCAGTGAAGACTCTCTGCATGATGGATAATGATACTATATATATAAATAAATGTATATATATATAAAAGAACAAGCTGTGTGTGATATATATTTACTCTGCTATGTATAATATTTATATATAAATATATATTATAAAATGTATATATACATATATTTATATATATGGTGTACATTTGTCCAAATCCGTCAAATATATATTATAATCCATCCATGATGGATACATGTCATTATACATTTGTCCAAACCCATCAAATGTACACTGAGAGTGAACCCTAATGTAAACTGTGGACTTTGGGTGACTATAATGTGTAGATGTAGTTTATCAGTTGAAACAATGTACCACTCAGGCCGGGAATGTGAATATTAGGGAAAGCTATGCATGTGTTCGGGTGGGGAGTATATGAGAAATCTCTGTGCTTTCCTCTCAATTTTGCTGTAAACCTAAAACTGCTTTAAAAAAAAAAAAAAAAAAAAAAAAGACTGCGCACTGGCCAGAATATGCCTGCCACTTAGTTGTTACGAGGAAGGGACAAACTCAAAAACAAAGAACCCACTAAGTAGGAAATCTGACAAAAATTTCCAGGCCTAATGTCATGACTGGCCTCAGGCCAAGAACTCTCTGATGAATGAAATTGGAGTCTCAGAAGACAGCAGCAAAGACGGTTTCTGAGAGGCTACTGAAAGGACCCTCTCTCGAGAAACCACATCTCCAAACCCCTAGGAGTGGGAAGTGGTCCTGCCAAGCACGGTTCCTAGAGGGGCCCAGGGGTCCGCTGTGGCCTCGGTAGGAATGAGAGATTTCTCAGCGCTGGTTGGAAATACTGCAGAACATCCAGGCGGGGTGGCACATGCCTGTAGTCCCAGCTACTCAGGAGACTGAGGCAGGAGGATTTCTTGACCCCAGGAGTTCTAGGCTGTAGTGTATTATGCTGATCGGGTGGCAACACTAAGTTTGGCATCAATATGGTGACCTTCCTGGAGCGGGGACCACTCGGTTTTCTAAGGAGGGGTGAACCAACTCAGGTCGGAAACGGAGCAGGTCAAAATTTCCATACTGAACAGAAATTCTCAGGAACAATCCCAGGTTAAGGACTGCAGATTCATTCCCTAAGCCATGGAGTCAGGGTCCCCTGCCTTGGTCAGGGTGAACGGGACAAACCCGGAACCCTGAAGGTTGGTCTTGTTTGCTGCTGTTAAAGTAACAAGGAGCTATTTTACCACCCATAAAACTAAGACTCTATTCCTTAGAAGAGAGGAGGTTAACTACTAATACGAATGTGTTTTAATTACAGGAAGTTGGTATTTCTCCGGGAAATGCTCCGAGACACTGGAGAAATGTTTGCATACGCTGGGTAGGGGAGAAAAAGAGGCAAATTAAAATGGGATGGGATAAAATGGAGATTTTTATATTTTTCCTTCCTCCTTTCCCACTTAGCTTTGTTCTCTGTGTCCACTTCCTGAGAGAAGAAAAGACAACAGTCACTGCAAGATGCTCTCAAATAAAAGTCAAAGGAGGAGAATTATTCTCTCTCGTGGGCTCCTTGTGGGAGCTGGAGGTGAGAGGACATCAGGAGCTTGCACTGTAGGACTTCAGCGCTGAGCAAGGGGATGATCAGGGCAGAAGATGGGGTAGACGTGATGTCAGGAAAGAGACTTCTTTGGGTAGGAGAGTAAGGTTTTCCTAGGAGTTTTGGTGTGCTATGCAGTCGGATAGAAAATACCAGTAAGAAGTGCTGTGAGCCAACTTCTTAGATCCTCTTAAATGTTGACAATAACCTCAGGACAGAAATTGCCATTTGGGGGTCTATGTTTCTCTAAGTAGCCTTTATGAAAATATCATGGGAGTGAATACGAAGGACAGGGAGACCAGCTGCTGTAATCATGACAAAAGAAGGAGAGTATTATTGATAATAGGGAAGAAAAAGTAAACAAAATTGGGAGACATTTTTGGAAGTGAAATTCAAAGGACTTTCATCAGAGTGTAGCTTATTCTTGTCATATATAAGGAAAAAAAGAAGAAGTTTTACAAAAACTGCTTCTAGGTTGTTCCTTAAATCAGGGCTTTACTCTGTGGCTTTGTGGTTTAATTTCAAAAGTATTTTCCAGAAAAAAAAGACACAGCCATGTTCAAAGCAACTAGCAACAAATTGCAAAGCCAGAATAATGCATCTTGCATTTATAACTGTTTTTGATTGACTTATAAATCTGCTTCCCTTTATTAGTTTGACTAAGATCCAGTCCAAATGTCAATGCCTCTTTGAAGATTTCCCTGGATCCCCAAACATGTGCACATGGGACTTTGGATATAAAATTTCTAAAATGTTATCACATCATATTTTAATTAGTTGTTTCAAGGTCTGCTTTCTTGAGCTCTTTGAAAGCGGGACTATGTCTTATTCATCATTATAGCTCCACTGGATAGAAAAGTGCTTTGTGCAAAGTTAGATTTGTTAAATGAATAGAGGGGATATGGCAATCAGAGGAAATGCAATCTTCTGCTGAGTGTCAGAAGTACTATTATATGCAATAACAACAAAATTAAAATGTCTAAAATCAGTCCCTGTATCTATAAAAATATGAAACTATTTCCAATATTATTCCTATCAAAATTTCCAATGAAACCAGTACTTGTATGTGCTATTAGTTCTAATCATGCTGCTAGAACATTGTTGAGTTTGAAATTGTTAGCATCATTCAACTAATATGCGTATAGCTGTCACTTCCGTTTGAATTATTATGACACCAAAAGCTCAGGCAACAAAAGAAAAACAAATGAGACTAACTCAAACAAAAAGGTTTTTACACAGCAAATGAAACAGTCAACAAAATAAAAAGGCAGGCTGGGTATGGTGACTCGCACCTATAATCTCAGAACTTTAGGAGGCCAAGGCAGGAGGATCACTGAGGCCAGAGTTCAAGACTAGTCTGGGCAACATAGTAAGATCCCCATCTCTACAAAAAAAAAAACAAAATTAACCAAGAGTGGTAGTGCATGCTTGTGGTCTCAGCTACTTGGGAGGCTGAGGTGGGAGGATCACTGAAACCGAGGAGAACAAGACTGCAGTGAGCCATGACTGCACCACTGCACTCCAGCCTGGGTGACAGAGTGAGACCCTGTCTCCAGATTAAAAAAAAAAAAAAAAGAACAAATACAAGGCACCCTATAGATGGGGAGAAAATATTTGCAAACTATATATCTAATAAGAAGTTAATATCCAAAATATATTTTAAGAGTTCATACGACTGAATAGCAAAAAAAAAAAAAAAGCAAACAAAAAATAACCCAGTTTACAAAATGGAATCGACAAAGGATGTAAATAAACATTTTTCCAAAGAAGACTTATGAATGACAACAAGTATATGAGAAGATGTTCAACATCACTAATCATCAGGAAAATGCAAATCAAAGCCATGAGTTATCACAGTATACCAGTTAGGATGGGTATTATCAAGAAGACTAGAGATAACTAGATATTGGAAAGAGAGTAGAGAAAAGGTAAACTGCTGAGAATGTAAATTGGTACAGCCATTACAGAAAACGGTACGAAGATTCCTTAAAAAGTTAAAACTACCATATGATCCAGCAATTCCCCTTCTGTATATATTATAACCAAAGAAAATAAAAAAATCAAAGAGAGATTTGCAGTCCCATGTTCATTGCAGGATTATTCACAATAGCCAAAATATGGAAACAACGTAAATGCCTATTGACTGATGAATGGATAAAGAAATTGCATTATATATGTACATACCTACACACACAAATATAAACACTATATAAATATCATTTAGCCTTAAAAACAGAGATTCTACCATTTGTAACAACATGGATGAAACTAGAGGACATTTTTCTTTTTTTTTTTTTTTAATTATACTTTATGTTTTAGGGTACATGTGCACATTGTGCAGGTTAGTTACATATGTATACATGTGCCATGCTGGTGTGCTGCACCCACTAACCCGTCATCTAGCATTAGGTATATCTCCCAATGCTATCCCTCCCCCGCCCCCCACCCCACCACAGTATCCAGAGTGTGATATTCCCCTTCCTGTGTCCATGTGATCTCATTGCTCAATTCCCACCTATGAGTGAGAATATGCGGTGTTTGGTTTTTTGTTCTTGCGATAGTTTACTGAGAATGATGATTTCCAATTTCATCCATGTCCCTACAAAGGACATGAACTTATCATTTTTTATGGCTGCATAGTATTCCATGGTGTATATGTGCCACATTTTCTTAATCCAGTTTATCATTGTTGGACATTTGGGTTGGTTCCAAGTCTTTGCTATTGTGAATAATGCCACAATAAACATACGTGTGCATGTGTCTTTATAGCAGCATGATTTATATTCCTTTGGGTATATACCCAGTAATGGGATGGCTGGGTCAAATGGTATTTCTAATTCTAGATCCCTGAGGAATCACCACACTGACTTCCACAATGGTTGAACTAGTTTACAGTCCCACCAACAGTGTAAAAGTGTTCCTATTTCTCCACATCCTCTCCAGCACCTGTTGTTTCCTGACTTTTTAATGATTGCCATTCTACCTGGTGTGAGATGGTATCTCATTGTGGTTTTGATTTGCATTTCTCTGATGGCCAATGATGATGAGCATTTTTTCATGTGTTTTTTGGCTGCATAAATGTCTTCTTTTGAGAAGTGTCTGTTCATGTCCTTCACCCACTTTTTGATGGGGTTGTTTGTTTTTTTCTTGTAAATTTGTTTGAGTTCATTGTAGATTCTGGATATTAGCTCTTTGTCAGATGAGTAGGTTGTGAAAATTTTCTCCCATTTTGTAGGTTGCCTGTTCACTCTGATGGTAGTTTGTTTTGCTGTGCAAAAGCTCTTTAGTTTAATTAGATCCCATTTGTCAATTTTGTCTTTTGTTGCCATTGCTTTTGGTGTTTTAGACATGAAGTCCTTGCCCATGCCTATGTCCGGAATGGTAATGCCTAGGTTTTCTTCTAGGGTTTTTATGGTTTTAGGTCTAACGTTTAAGTCTTTAATCCATCTTGAATTGATTTTTGTATAAGGTGTAAGGAAGGGATCCAGTTTCAGCTTTCTACATATGGCTAGCCAGTTTTCCCAGCACCATGTATTAAATAGGGAATCCTTTCCCCATTGCTTGTTTTTCTCAGGTTTGTCAAAGATCAGATAGTTGTAGATATGCGGCATTATTTCTGAGGGCTCTGTTCTGTTCCATTGATCTATATCTCTGTTTTGGTACCAGTACCATGCTGTTTTGGTTACTGTAGCCTTGTAGTATAGTTTGAAGTCAGGTAGTGTGATGCCTCCAGCTTTGTTCTTTTGGCTTAGGATTGCCTTGGCGATGTGGGCTCTTTTTTGGTTCCATATGAACTTTAAAGTAGTTTTTTCCAATTCTGTGAAGAAAGTCATTGGTAGCTTGATGGGGATGGCATTGAATCTGTAAATTACCTTGGGCAGTATGGCCATTTTCACGATATTGATTCTTCCTACCCATGAGCATGGAATGTTCTTCCATTTGTTTGTATCTTCTTTTATTTCATTGAGCAGTGGTTTGTAGTTCTCCTTGAAGAGGTCCTTCACATCCCTTGTAAGTTGGATTCCTAGGTATTTTATTCTCTTTGAAGCAATTGTGAATGGGAGTTCACTCATGATTTGGCTCTCTGTTTGTATGTTGTTGGTGTATAAGAATGCTTGTGATTTTTGTACATTGATTTTGTATCCTGAGACTTTGCTGAAGTTGCTTATCACCTTAAGGCGATTTTGGGCTGAGACAATGGGGTTTTCTAGATATACAATCATGTCGTCTGCAAACAGGGACAATTTGACTTCCTCTTTTCCTAATTGAATAGCCTTTATTTCCTTCTCCTGCCTAATTGCCCTGGCCAGAACTTCCAACACTATGTTGAATAGGAGTGGTGAGAGAGGGCATCCCTGTCTTGTGCCAGTTTTCAAAGGGAATGCTTCCAGTTTTTGCCCATTCAGTATGATATTGGCTGTGGGTTTGTCATAGGTAGCTCTTATTATTTTGAAATACGTCCCATCAATACCTAATTTATTGAGAATTTTTAGCATGAAGGGTTTTTGAATTTTGTCAAAGGCTTTTTCTGCATCTATTGAGATAATCATGTGGTTTTTGTCTTTGGCTCTGTTTATATGCTGGATTACATTTATTGATTTGTGTATATTGAACCAGCCTTGCATCACAGGGATGAAGCCCACTTGATCATGGTGGGTAAGCTTTTTGATGTGCTGCTGGATTCGGTTTGCCAGTATTTTATTGAGGATTTTTGCATCAATGTTCATCAAGGATATTGGTCTAAAATTCTCTTTTTTGGTTGTGTCTCTGCCCGGCTTTGGTATCAGAATGATGCCGGCCTCATAAAATGAGTTAGGGAGGATTCCCTCTTTTTCTATTGATTGGAATAGTTTCAGAAGGAATGGTACCAGTTCCTCCTTGTACCTCTGGTAGAATTCAGCTGTGAATCCATCTGGTCCTGGACTCTTTTTGGTTGGTAAACTATTGATTATTGCCACAATTTCAGCTCCTGTTATTGGTCTATTCAGAGATTCAACTTCTTCCTGGTTTAGTCTTGGGAGAGTGTATGTTTCGAGGAATTTATCCATTTCTTCTAGATTTTCTAGTTTATTTGCGTAGAGGTGTTTGTAGTATTCTCTGATGGTAGTTTGTATTTCTGTGGGATCGGTGGTGATATCCCCTTTATCATTTTTTACTGTGTCTATTTGATTCTTCTCTCTTTTTTTCTTTATTAGTCTTGCTAGCAGTCTATCAGTTTTGTTGATCCTTGCAAAAAACCAGCTCCTGGATTCATTAATTTTTTGAAGGGTTTTTTGTGTCTCTATTTCCTTCAGTTCTGCTCTGATTTTAGTTATTTCTTGCCTTCTGCTAGCTTTTGAATGTGTTTGCTCTTGCTTTTCTAGTTCTTTTAATTGTGATGTTAGGGTGTCAATTTTGGATCTTTCCTGCTTTCTCTTGTGGGCATTTAGTGCTATAAATTTCCCTCTACACACTGCTTTGAATGTGTCCCAGAGATTCTGGTATGTTGTGTCTTTGTTCTCGTTAGTTTCAAAGAACATCTTTATTTCTGCCTTCATTTCGTTATGTATCCAGTAGTCATTCAGGAGCAGTTTGTTCAGTTTCCATGTAGTTGAGCAGTTTTGAGTGAGTTTGTTAGTCCTGAGTTCTAGTTTGATTGCACTGTGGTCTGAGAGACAGTTTGTTATAATCTCTGTTCTTTTACATTTGCTGAGGAGTGCTTTACTTCCAAGTATGTGGTCAATTTTGGAATAGGTGTGGTGTGGTGCTGAAAAAAATGTATATTCTGTTGATTTGGGGTGGAGAGTTCTGTAGATGTCTATTAGGTCCGGTTGGTGCAGAGCTGAGTTCAATTCCTGGGTATCCTTGTTAACTTTCTGTCTCGTTTATCTGTCTAATGTTGACAGTGGGGTATTAAAGTCTCCCATTGTTAATGTGTGGGAGTCTAAGTCTCTTTGTAGGTCACTCAGGACTTGCTTTACGAATCTGGGTGCTCCTGTATTGGGTGCATATATATTTAGGATAGTTAGCTCTTCTTGTTGAATTGATCCCTTTACCATTATGTAATGGCCTTCTTTGTCTCTTTTGATCTTTGTTGGTTTAAAGTCTGTTTTATCAGAGACTAGGATTGCAAGCCCTGCCTTTTTTGGTTTTCCATTTGTTTGGTAGATCTTCCTCCATCCTTTTATTTTGAGCTTATGTGTGTCTCTGCACGTGAGATGGGTTTCCTGAATACAGCACACTGATGGGTCTTGACTCTTTATCCAATTTGCCAGTCTGTGTCTTTTAATTGGAGCATTTAGCCCATTTACATTTAAAGTTAATATTGTTATGTGTGAATTTGATCCTGTCATTATGATGTTAGCTGGTGATTTTGCTCATTAGTTGATGCAGTTTCTTCCTAGTCTCGATGGTCTTTACATTTTGGCATGATTTTGCAGCGACTGGTACTGGTTGTTCCTTTCCATGTTTAGCGCTTCCTTCAGGAGCTCTTTTAGGGCAGGCCTGGTGGTGACAAAATCTCTCAGCATTTGCTTGTCTGTAAAGTATTTTATTTCTCCTTCACTTATGAAGCTTAGTTTGGCTGGATATGAAATTCTGGGTCGAAAATTCTTTTCTTTAAGAATGTTGAAAATTGGCCCCCACTCCCTTGTGGCTTGTAGGGTTTCTGCCGAGAGATCCGCTGTTAGTCTGATGGGCTTCCCTTTGTGGGTAACCCGACCTTTCTCTCTGGCTGCCCTTAACATTTTTTCCTACATTTCAACTTTGGTGAATCTGACAATTATGTGTCTTGGAGTTGCTCTTCTCGAGGAGTATCTTTGTGGCGTTCTCTGTATTTCCTGAATCTGAACGTTGGCCTGCCTTGCTAGATTGGGGAAGTTCTCCTGGATAATATCCTGCAGAGTGTTTTCCAACTTGGTTCCATTCTCCCCATCACTTTCAGGTACACCAATCAGACGTAGATTTGGTCTTTTCACATAGTCCCATATTTCTTGGAGGCTTTGCTCATTTCTTTTTATTCTTTTTTCTCTAAACTTCCCTTCTCGCTTCATTTCATTCATTTCATCTTCCATTGCTGATACCCTTTCTTCCAGTTGATCGCATTGGCTCCTGAGGCTTCTGCATTCTTCACGTAGTTCTCGAGCCTTGGTTTTCAGCTCCATCAGCTCCTTTAAGCACTTCTCTCTATTGGTTATTCTAGTTATACATTCGTCTAAATTTTTTTCAAAGTTTTCAACTTCTTTGCCTTTGGTTTGAATGTCCTCCCATAGCTCAGAGTAATTTGATCGTCTGAAGCCTTCTTCTCTCAGCTCGCCAAAGTCATTCTCTGTCCAGCTTTGTTCCGTTGCTGGTGAGGAACTGCGTTCCTTTGGAGGAGGAGAGGCACTCTGTGTTTTAGAGTTTCCAGTTTTTCTGTTCTGTTTTTTCCCCATCTTTGTGGTTTTATCTACTTTTGGTCTTTGATGATGGTGATGTACAGATGGGTTTTTGGTGTGGATGTCCTTTCTGTTTGTTAGTTTTCCTTCTAACAGACAGGACCCTCAGCTGCAGGTCTGTTGGAATACCCTGCTGTGTGAGGTGTCAGTGTGCCCCTGCTGGGGGGTGCCTCTCAGTTAGGCTGCTCAGGGGTCAGGGGTCAGGGACCCACTTGAGGAGGCAGTCTGCCCGTTCTCAGATCTCCAGCTGCGTGTTGGGAGAACCACTGCTCCCTTCAAAGCTGTCAGACAGGGACATTTAAGTCTGCAGAGGTTACTGCTGTCTTTTTGTTTGTCTGTGCCCTGTCTCCAGAGGTGGCGCCTACAGAGGCAGGCAGGCCTCCTTGAGCTGTGGTGGGCTCCACCCAGTTTGAGCTTCCTGGCTGCTTTGTTTACCTAAGCAAGCCTGGGCAATGGCGGTCGCCCCTCCCCCAGCCTCACTGCCTCCTTGCAGTTTGATCTCAGACTGCTGTGCTAGCAATCAGCGAGACTCTGTGGGCGTAGGACCCTCGGATCCAGGTGCGGGATATAATCTCATGGTGCGCCGTTTTTTAAGCCAGTCTGAAAAGCGCAATATTCGGGTGGGAGTGACCCGATTTTCCAGGTGCGTCCGTCACCCCTTTCTTTGACTTGGAAAGGGAACTCCCCGACCCTTGCACTTCCCAAGTGAGGCAATGCCTCGCCCTGCTTTGGCTCGCGCACGGTGCGCGCACCCACTGACCTGCACCCACTGTCTGGCACTCCCTAGTGAGATGAACCCGGTACCTCAGATGGAAATGCAGAAATCACCCGTCTTCTGCGTCGCTCACGCTGGGAGCTGTATACCGGAGCTGTTCCTATTCGGCCATCTTGGCTCCTCCTCCTGAGGACATTTTTCTAAGTGAAATAAGCCAAACACAGAAAGAAAAATACTACATGATCTCATTTATAGGTGGAATCTAAAAAAAAAACAGACAGAAGCCGAGAGTAGAACAGTGGTTACCAGCTGTTTGGGGGTAGGGAAGATGGGGAGATGTAGCCCAAAGGAGACAAACTTGCAGTTGTAAAATGGATACACACTGGAGACCTAATGTACAGCATAAGAATATATTGAGTACTTGAAATATGCTAAGAGAGTGGATCTTAAGTACAGTCATACCTCAGAGATATTGCAGACTCAGTTTCACACCACCACAATAAAGCAAATATTGCAATGAAACTATTGTTTTCCACTGCATATAAACATTATGTTTACAATATACTGTAGTCTATTAAGTGTACAATAGCATTATGTCTTTAAAAACAATATACATATCCTAATGAAAAAATACTTTATTGCTAAAAATTCTAACAATCTTCTGATGCTTCAGCAAGTAGTAATATTTTTGTTGATAGAGGGTCTTTCCTTGATGTTAGTGACTGCTGACTGATCAGGGTGGTGGTTGATTAAGGTTATGGTGGCTCCGGCAATTTCTTAAAATAAGACAACAATGAAGTTTGCTGCATTGATTGACTCTTCCTTTCATGAAAGATTTCTCTAGAACATCTTTCTCTTTAAGATGCTAAGATTTCTCTGTAGCATGTGATGCTATTTGATAGCATTTTACCTACAGTAGAACTTCTTTCAAAATTTGAGTCTATCCTCTCAAACATTTGTGGCTACTTTATTAATAAGTTTATGTAATATTCTGAATTCTTTCTTGTCATTTCAACAATGTTCACAGCATCTTTACCAGGAGTAGATTCCATCTCAAGAAACCACTTTCGCTAGGTGCAGTGACTCACTCCTGTAATCCCAGCACTATGGGAGGCTAAAGCAGGTGGATTACTTCAGCCCAGAAGTTCGCTATCAACCTGGGCAACACGCCAAAGCTCTGTCTCTACAAAAATATACAAAATTAGCTAGGTGTGGTGTCATGCACCTGTAGTCCCAGCTACTCAGGAGGCTGAGGTGGGAGGATCACTTGAGCCTGGCTGGTTAAGGCTTCAGTGAGTCAAGACTGTGCCACTCACTCCAGCCTGGAAGACAGAGTGAGACCCTGTCTAAAAGTAGAGTAAGGAGATAGAGAAGAAGAAGGAGAGGAGGAGGAGGAGGAGGAGGAGGAAAGAAATCACTTTCTTAGATCATCCATAAGAAGCAATTTCCTGTCTGTTAAAGTTTTATGAGATTGCAGCAATTCAGTCACATCTTCAGGCTCCACTTCTAATTTTAGATCTCTTTCTACCACATTGAAATTACTTTCTACACTGAAGTCTTAAACCCCTCAAAGTCATCCATGAGGGTTGGAATCAATTTCTTCCAAACTTATGTTAATGTTGATAGTTTGATCTCCTCTCATAAATTATGATTGCTGTTAATGGCATCTAGAATGGTGAATCCTCTCCAGAATGTTTTCAATTTACTTTGCCCAGGTCCATGTGAGGAATCACTATCTGGCTCTACAAAATGTATTTCTTAAATAATAAGGCTTGAAAGTCAAAATTACTCCTTGACCCATTAACAGCAGAATGGATGTTGTATTCACAGGCATAAAAACAACACTAATCTTGTAAATCTCCTTGGGAGCTTTTGGGTGACTAGGTGCATTGTCAATGAACAGTATATTTTGAAAGGAATCTTTGTTTCTGAGCAGTAGGTCTCAACAGTAGTCTTAAAATATTCAGCAAACCATGTAAACAGAGGTGTTGTCATCCAGACTTTGTTGTTCCATTTCTAAAGCACATGCAGAATAGATTTAGCATAATTCTTAAGGCTCCTAAGATTTTCAGAATGGTAAATGAGCATTGGCTTTAACTTTAATTTACCAGTGGCATTAGCCTCTAATAAGCGAGTCAGACTGTCCTTTGAAGCTTTGATGGCAGGCATTGATATTTCCTCTTTAGCTTTGAATGTCCCAGATGGCATTTTCTTCCAAAGGAAGGCTATTTTATCTATATTGAAAACCTGTTTTTTATTGTAGCCACCTTCATTAATTATCTGAGCTAGATCTTCTGGATAATTCACTGCAGCTTCTACATCAGCACTTGTCGCTTCACCTTGCACTTTTATGTCATGAAGATGACTTATTTCCTTAAACTTCACAAACCAACCTCTGCTAGCTTCAAACTTTTCTTCTTCAGCTTCCTTACTTTTCTCAGTCTTCATAGTATTGAAGAGAGTTAGGGTCTTGCTCTGGATTAGTCTTTGGCTTAAGAGAATGTTGTGGCTGGTTTGATCTTCTGTCCAGACCACTACCACTTTCTCCACATTAGCAGTAAGCCTGTTTCACTTTCTTATCATTCATGTATTCACTGAAGTGGCACTTTTGATTTCCTTCAAGAAATGTTCCTTTGAATTTACAACTTGGCTAACTGTTTGGCACAAGAGGTATAGCTTTTGGTTGACTCCAGCTTCTGACATGCCTTCCTCACTAAGCTTAACCATTTCTAGCTTTTGATTTAAAGTGGAAGACCCACAAATCTTCCTTTCACTTGAACACTTAGAGACCATTATAGGGTTATTGATTGGCCTAATTTGTTGTGTCTCAGGGAATAGAGATCCCAAGGAGAGGGAGAGAGGAATGGTCTTTTGGTGGAACAGGCAGAATATACACAGCATTTATCAAATTAACTTTTCCATCTTATATGGGCATGGTTCATGGCTCCCCAAAACAATTACAATAGTAGTAACATCAAATATCACTGATCATTGGCTGGGCATGGTGGCTCACACCTGTAATCCAAGCACTTTGGGAGGCCAGGGTGGGTGGATCACTTGAGGCCTGGAGTTCAAGACCAGCCTAGCCAACATGGTGAAACCCCACCTCTACTAAAAATACAAAACTTAGCCAGGTGTGGTGGTGTACATCTGTAGTGCCAGCTACTCAGGAGGCTGAGGCAGGAGAATTGTTTGAACCCAGGAGGTGGAAGTTGCAGTGAGCCGAGATCATGACACTGAACTCCAGCCTGGGCAACAGAGTAAGACTTTGTCTCAAAAACGAAAAAAAAATCACTGATTATAAATAAACATAATAGATAAAACAATAAAGGAAAAGTTTAATATTACCAAAAGTGATACAAAGACATGAGTGAGCACATGCTGTTGGAAAAATGGTGCCAATAGACTTGCTCAACACAGGGTTGCCACAAACCTTCAATGTGTAAAAAATGAAATACCTGTGAAGCACAATAAAGTAAAGTGCAATAAAATGACACGTGCCTGTATTCTCATCACAAAAAAAGAAAAAAAAAGTGAAGTGATGGGTATCTTTATTCACTTGATTGTGGTAATAATTTCACAATGTATACATATATTGAAACATCAGTCTGTATATTGAATATATACTACTTGTTTATGTCAATTATAACTCAATAAAACTGAATAAATTGAAAACTCCAAAGTATCGTAAAAGGGGAGCAGTTATATTTCAACTATTGGAAAGACGGCAGCAGCATATCAGGCAGAGAAAATAGTGGATGTAGGAAAGTCTGACATATATTTAGTGAATGAGGAGTGGCCTGGTTTTCTGATCAGGGAAGTAAGTTAAAAACAGTGGTAGAAATAAAAGTGGAAAGGTAGGGTGAGGAGTTTGGACCTCACTAAGTGGTAACTCTTAAAGATTACCTATGTGAGTAGCAAGGACACAGTTGGTACTCAAGGCATGAGTTAAAAACTCAAATGAGAAAAAAATGTTGGAGCAACACCACGCAGATAAATCCAATGATGTATTTAAATATGATACAATACAATACACATCTTTAAAATTCCTTCTGGTACTGTAATTGACCTGAAGATACATGAAATCGTATGAATTACGACTCAAACTGTCATCCCTCTAACAAAACAGTAAGCCAGACAAAACTGATTTAGCCTATAAGTTGTCCCTTATTCCATAATAATGAGAGGTAGATACTATTTATTTACTGGACATGCCAAGCTCTTTACCTACATGTATTATTTCACTGACCCTTGTAACAACTGAGTGAGGTATGTGTTGTCATCCTGTTACACATGAGAAAATTGAGTCTCAGAGAAATTAAACAATTATTTACTCAAGAACACTTTGATAGAAAGTGGCAGAAACCAGATTCAAACCCCTTCTCTCCAGTACTCCATCTTGTATCAACTTGACTGTTTTGCCTACAGAGTATAGTTTTGCTTGAATTCTGTTTAAGAAATCAAATTACTTATGCTAGTGTTGCTTATTTGATTTACCTCCAAGGCACTTGATTAAGAATCAAATTATATTAATGTTTCTTGTGAATGACAGATATTCATCACATGTTACAAGAATTGCTTATTCTCTTGAGGTGTTTTTCATTTTTAAAAACACATCCAGGTACATTTTGGGTTCTTGAATCACAGATTAACCATTCAGTCCTCACAATGGGAGATTGAAGAAATAATCAATGGGTTTCATATGGTTAAAAGAGTATCAGTTTCTTTGCAATAATGTAATACTGTCCTTAATTTACAACTCAATGTCTTTAGCTATCAATTTTATTTTTCCAACCTTTTAAAATCAAGGTGGTTTCTTTTGCATTTCCTAAGATTCAAGATTGAAAATGTAACAAAATCTCAGACAGCTAACATGTATTAAACTTTTCAAAGCACATGAAACAATGCTTTCAAAAATATGTTTTTTGAACTACGCATTAACCTCGTAAGAGGAGCATAAAAATATTTCCCATTCAACTAATAAGAACTTTAATGTCATTTGGTATGGATAATACACTAATTTTTGTTTCAGCTTATGCTATGTATTGAAATACATTCTATATTTTTTTCTTGAAAAAGTGTTTGGAATTGTAATTTTTATTATAAGTAGAAACTTTGTAGAAGAATTTTATACAAACTGGTAAAACTTTGAAATGTAAATTATTTCCTACAATAATTACCATAAATATGGGTAAATAGCTCAGAATGTTTCTATATGTAACCACTGAGTAATGTACTTTCAGTATTCCTTGATATAAGTTATGGGAACCATGTAGCTTCTAATAATATCAAGGCATATGCTATTTTAAGAGATTTTTTAATTTAATTTTTAATACAAAATTTCTCATACTTGAAAACCAAACTTTTTTTTTTAGTCCTCTCAATGAGCTCTTGGTTTTGAGGAAGAGATATTCTAGGCCAAAGAAAGTCATGTGCAAAAGCGGGGAGATGAATGAGAAACTGATGAACTGTGCAGGATGCAAGGAGATTCATTGGTGTGGGAGGCATCGGCTACTGAATGTCAAGACATGAGGTTTGAGCAATAGAGCAGAGCCTATTCAAGAGTGGTTTTATATTCCAGTATAACGGTTAGATCAACAAAGAGAAATAAACCTCATTGCATTGATTTTTCAAGAAATAGTGATCATTTTATTTTACCTAATCTAGGGACCAGAATCTAATAGGTAATATAGTTGCTAATATTTATTGAGCTCTAAATTCTTTACATGTATTAATTCACATAGCCCTCATAGTATCTTGAAGTAGGTATTATTATTTTCCCCATTTTACAAATAAAGAAACTAAAACACAAAGAAGCAACTTGCCCAAGGTCAGGAAGCTGGTAAGGTGTGGGGGAAGGATTTGAACCCTGGCAGTGTGACTCTCGCCTTGTTCTTAATTACTATGCACAGCTGAATAGAGACCACCCAAAATGAATTCAAGATATGAGAATATGTGATGATTTTGTTGGAGGTTTGAATACATATTGAATTCATTTCCTCACATTTGTTAGTAAAATATCCTAGCCTCCTTTTTGTTTTTGAAAACAGTTTTATTGAAGTACAATTGCCATCTAATAAACTGACATACTTAACATGTACAAATTCACAATATTCAAGAAAGAAAAGCAACCTAAATGTCTATGGACAGATGAATAAAAAATGTGGCATTTGTACACATTACACACAATGAAATATTAATCAGCCTTTAAAAAGACAAAAATGCTACCATTTTTAAAAACATGGATGGACCTGGAAGACATTATGTTAACTAAAATAAGTCAGTTGTAGGACAAATGCTGTGTAATATCTCTAATATGAGGCACCTAAAATAATCAAAGGTATAGAAGTAAATAGTAGAATGATGGTTACCAGAAGATGTCAGGGGTATAAAGTTACAGTTATACAATATGAGTAAGTTCCAGAGATCTTCTGTACAACAAACAGTGGCCGTTATCAACAATAAGGTATTGTGTACATAAAAATTTAGGCCGGGGGGCGTGGCTCACACCTGTAATCCCAGCACTTTGGGAGGCCAAGGCAGGCGGATCACCCGAGGTCGGGAGTTCAAGACCAGCCTGACCAACACCTCTGCTAAAATACAACATCTCTACTAAAAACACAAAATTAGCCAGGCGTGGTGGTGCTTGCCTGTAATCCCAGCTACTCGGGAGGCTGAGGCAGGTGAATCGCTTGAACCCAGGTGGCAGAGGTTGCAGTAAGCCAAGATTGCGCCATTGCACTCCAGCCTGGGCAACAAGAGTGAAACTCCATCTCAAAAAAAACAATTATTAAGAAGGTGGATCTCACGTTGAGTGTTCTTACTACAAAAATAAATGAACACACACACAAAAACCCAGAAAACAAAAAAGCAAAGGTACACAAGGAAACTTTTGGAGGTGATGTAAACCTCCTATCTGGATGGTGGCAATAGAAACTTGAATTTATAATATATACAAACTCACCAAACTGTGTATATTAATAATATGATATTTTTGTATACTAATAAACTCTAAATAAAACAGAAAAATGTGTAGAATTTTACAAGTTTTGAAATATATACATACCAGTGAAAGCATCACTGTAATTAAGATAATGAACAAAATTCATCAGCCCCAACGGTGTCCCCAAGGCACTGTTCACCCCACTCCCCACCCAGACAAATATTGTTCTGCTTTCTATCACTATAGATGAGTCTGACTTTTCTGGAGTTTTATGTAAATGTAACTATACAGTATATTCTCTTTTTCTGCCTGGATTCTTTCACTGAGCATAATTATTCTGGGATTGATCCATGTTGTAATGTTTATCAGTTTTTATTGATGAATAATATTCCATTGTAGAAATATTCCATGGCTGTTTATTCTTTCACCTAGTGGTGAATATTTGTGTTGCTTCCTTTCAGATTTGGGCGATTGCAAATAGGCTGCTATGAATATTTATGTACAAGGCTTTGTATGAATGTTGAGGAAAAGAAGCCGCAAAGATAATAAATGTCTTCATTTATATAGGATACAACGTGAGGCAAAATTACTCTATGGTATTAGAAATTACAATACTGGTTATCTTTTGGGAAGTATGATATTATTGTATTAGAAATTACAATAGTGGTTATCTTTTGGGAAGTATGATAGTGACTAAAAGGGTGCCTGAAGGGGGGCTGCTTTTGGACTCTGGTAATAGCGTGCTTCTTTTTTTTAATTGTATTTTATATCGATGCATAATAGATGTACATATTTTCAGGGTACATGTGATAATTTCATATATTCATATAATTTGTAAAGATCAAATCAGTATAATTGAGATATTTATAACCTTAAATATTTTTCTTTTGTCTATGCTGGAAACATTCAAATTATTCTTTTCTAGCTATTTGAAATATACAATAGATGATTATAAATTATACTCATCCTCCTGATCTATCAAACACTACATCTTATTTCTTCTATCAAACTATATATTTGTACCCATTAATCAACCTGTTTCTTCATCTTGATGTCGATTACACAGATGGTCAGTATATGAAAATTCAGTGAGCATATTTTAGATATTTATTATTTTATAGGTATCTTATACATGGATTAAAAGTGAGGCTGCTGAAATGGTTGTGGCTAGATCTAGATGATTCTCTATACAGTGCCTGACTGGTATGCCTGTTTCTTATTTCAAAGCCTTATTACTATTCCACTCATAAACTCCCAGTATCCTCTCTGTCCTTCCTATACCATTGCCTTTATAGCCTGCACTATAATTATTTTTTTAGTTTAGGTCTTTCTTGTTACACTATAAATTTTCTGCAACAAAAAAAAGAGAAAGTCTAACTTTTCAGCTTTGTTTTTATTCTGTGGCATGGTACTTGGTACAGAGTAGATATTCCATGGACCCTTAGATGAATACTATAAAGCCTTCTTTGTTGGTTGCTTATGCTTCTGCTCAAAGGTTAGCCTCTGAGTCTTCATTATTTGACTTCTACTAGAGCCTTCAGTTCTCCTATTGTCTACAAATTATTGACTAGGTTTTGTGATATTGAGAGATTTTCTTCCAATTGTAATGCTTTGTTTTAGCATCATTTTTCCAATGATAATAAGTTGTGTTATTGAGTACTTACCATGTACTCTGTTTAAGCACTGTACATCTGCTACCACTCTTTGAAGATGTACAACCCAACAATATTCCCATTTTATAAACAGGGAAACTGAGGTACAGAGAAGTAGAATGTCATATCACATTGCTAGTAAGTGACAGAACTCAAATTTGATTCCAGACAATCTGACTTCAGTACTCATGCTTTTATTCAGTTTAGTCTTTTATGTGTATATATGCTATATCATATCATTATGTTTCCTCACTTCCTTTAGAACTTCAATAAAATATTAGCTTTTCAGAGTGGCTTTCTTTGGGCACTTTACATGAAGTAGCATCCCTTACAATCTGTCTATAATTCTTACCCTGCTTTATTTTTTTCACAGCACTTACCACCATTCTGTATGTTGTATATTTATTTCTACTTCCTTCTTGTACATTTCTCCCCACAATAATGGTATTTCCATGAGGGCAGAGACTTTATCTGTTTTGCTTTTGACTTTACTCCTATCTCATAGAATAAGGCCTGGGACATAATAGGTGTTTAATAAATATTTGTTGAACGAATGCATGAATGCTTCATAGAATCAATTTATGCTACGGCATTGTGGTGCTAAGTACAAAGGGACAGCAAAGGTTTATAAAAAAAAATGTTCTAGCAGAATCATTTTCTGCTTATAAACCAAAATGGATCTTTATTAGACAGAAACATGGATACCAATACATATTCCATGTAGCACGATTGAACATGCCATGTCAATCTTAATGCAAGGCCATTTTTGAAGAGTCTTTGAAGATACAGTGTCATGTGAGTTTTTATTCTGGGGAAACTTCTGGCAAATGGGAGTTGAAAGAGAGTTTCTATATTACTTGCATTTTGTCACTTGCATTTTGGAAAGATTTCAATGGCTGCTCCGTGCAGAGTAGATTATAGCGGGCACAATGGAAGACATGGTAACCAGTTAACAAAGTTGTAGTGTTAATCCATGGGAAAATTAACTGAAGCCTTGAACTAGAGCTATAAAGTAGCTATGTAGATGAGAAAGGATGTGTTTCAGAGAGAGTAGAATTCATAGGGCTTGGTGAATAATTCATCATGGGGTAAGGAATACCTCCCAGGTTTCTGTTTTAGGGAATATCAACTACATAGACAGAAAATAAGGAAGGTCTGGGGAGATGATGAATTTTGTTTTCAACATAATAAATTGGAAAGGCACATGGTATATTCAAGTGGAGCCAGTCAGTAGACAATAAGAAATTTAGACCTAGAACTTTGCACCTGTGGTTGGAGAGCTATATTTCAAAGTCATCAAATGCCTGAAGTTACATAGGGAGATTATGAAGAATATTGTTCGATTGGATTCATATGTACCACACAATAACTAACTGTGATTTTAGCTGAAAAGGACTTTAATGGGAGGACCTTGAATAAATGCAATAATTGATAGCAAGACAAGTTAAACTTAGAAACTAAGCAAAAGCAATTTTAAAAGAACACTACAGTGTAATACCATTGCAACAGCACCAAACACTGAATGCCACAGTTTGCACTGGTACTCTGCCAGCGCTGGGCACTGGCCACTGCTACTGCATCATCAGCTTGCAGTTTCTGTTGCTATCATCACTGCTGCTGCTGCTGCTGCTGCTGCTGCTCAAATGATAATCAATTCTAAGTGGTCAGGAACTTCTGTAGATAGTATCTGTGGAGGATAAGAAGCATGTGTCTGACTTGTATCGCCTGAGCGCCCAATTCACTGACACCAGAAAGGATTAAAAGCCAAATATCTGGTTTCTAAGAGGGTTAAAAGTTGAGACCCATCAAGAAGATACCACCAAATATACTTAGTTAACAACATTAGGTTTATTCATTGCTGCTGCAACAGAGATCGTATACCATGGAGAACCACGCAGCATCTCAGTAAGAGGGAGTTAGAAGGGACCTAGAGATTATGTTGAAAGTGTTCAAAAAATGGGGATTATCACTTTGGGATTGGGCATTCTCTGAAAATGGGACATTTGGCTATTGGAGATTTTAGTATTTTTTTATCTGTGAGCAGAAGGAATGGAAAGGAGTTAGAGTTATTGGAGAAGCAGCAGTAGTCTCTCATATTAGCAGAAGCACAAAGTCTTTGTTTTTATCTCTATTCAGGCATAATTATGAAGTTGTCTTGTTTTTATTTTGTATCATTGTGGTCACAAAAAATCGTCAATCATTGATGATGTTTCATGGAATTGTTTATGATCAGCAGGGAAATACCATAGCATAGGTGGTTGTAACCAGACCAGCTACCAGCTGTTCGCTGTCAGAGATGCTCTTACCTTTCTGGAGAGGAAACTTTGCCTCCTAACAAGACTCCTGAAGTAGAGAATTGCCAAAATGCCAGATGCCAGGGAGCCAATAAAAAGAAAAAATTACTAAAGCCTACAATTTCCAACTATTCCATATCACTGTAACTCAGGATTCAGCAAATTGGGTCAGATAGTAAATATTTTCCCCTTTGTGAGCCATCAGGTCTCCACTGTAACTACTCAGTTCTGCCATTGTAAGCACAAATGCAGCCATAGATGATACGTAAACAAATGATCATGGCTGTGTTCCAATAAAACGATTGCTATGGTTTCAGTGTGGCCCCTCCAAAATTCAGGTGTTGCCAATGTGGTAGTTTCAACAGGTGGGGCTTTTAAGAGGTGATTAGGCTGTAAGGACTGCTCCCTCCTTAATAGGATTAAGCTGTTTTAAAAGCGGCTTCGTGCAGCTCTTCGGCCGTATGAGGACTTAGCCTTCCTCCCTTCTTGGAGTGTACAACAAGAAGTCCCTCACCGGATGGCAGTGCCTTGATCTTGGACTTCCCAATCTCCAGAACTGTGAGAAAATAAGCTTCTCTTCTTTATAAATGACCCAGTCCGTGGTATTCTGTTACAGCAGCACAAACAGACTAAATAGCTTTGCTGTAATAAAATTTATTTTATGAACACTGAAATTTGAAATGTATATCCTTTTCTCATATAATAAAATATTATTATTTTGTCTTTTTCCAACTATTTAAAAACGTAAAAACCATTCCAAATTTGTAGGCTGTATAAAAAGAACAGCGGACCAGATTTGGCCTGCAGGCTATCAGCTGCAAACCCTTGCTCCAACTAATAAACAATATTACTGATAGGAGTCTGTTGCCTGTGAGACGGGTATGGAAGAGAGTCAATAGTTTTTATGGGATCACAAGTACACATCATGTGGATTTGGAAGAGAAGTAATCATAATAGAGGTTCCATTTAGTTTTGGTCCTTATCATAAAACCCAGAATCTACATCTGTTTTAATAGCTTTTAAATTAAGAAATAGTGATAAACTAACACTTCATTTTTCTTCTTTGTATTCTAGGATAAACTTCTTCCCATACATTTTTAAAAATTATTATTTATTGATCAGCTTCAGAGGAGAGCTCTCAGTTGGTTGCATACAAATCAAGAGTGTTGATATTGTTTTCTTATTTTTGATCTATAAAAATTATGAGTTTTATTGTAGCATACAATATTCTTCTAAGGTGCCAAATCATAATAAATATTCTCCTCAACAATTCTACCTTAAAAAGCAATTACTGGTTGAGCATCACTAATATGAAAATTCAAAATCCAAATTCTGAAATGCTCCAATGAGCATTTCCTTTGAGCATCACGTTGGCACTCAAAATATTTCAGATTTTAAAGCATTGTAGGTTTTGGATTTTCACACTAGGGATATGCAACCTGTATTCTAAATTGCATGTTTTTAATCTGAGGAGTCCTCTGAGATGTATTTAAAATGGCTAGCTTTAATCTCATGACCTCCAAAACTAAATCTACCAGAGAATGACTCCCATGAGAGAACCGAATTCATTTAGCCACTATAAATAGTTCAATATGCCTGTAAATTACAATGTATACAGTGGTTTTGCAGGCAATAAAACCAGAAAGGTAAGCTGGTGTCAAATTATGAAGTTCCTTGAATGCAATATTGAGGAATTTAGACTTTTTCTTTAAATAATTGTATTTCTGAGCCCAGAAATGATATGATCAAATTATTTTGGGGTTTACTCTGGTGATGATGTTATGGATTGGAAGCAGCTGAAAGTGGAGGCAGGCAGACTAGTGAAGAGGCTGTTACAAATGCCTGGGTTGCCATCATCCAAGAAGTAAGAAGGGCAAAA
Organism: Homo sapiens; assembly: GCF_000001405.40. Classification (NCBI taxonomy): domain Eukaryota; kingdom Metazoa; phylum Chordata; class Mammalia; order Primates; family Hominidae; genus Homo; species Homo sapiens. Next base: position 69,901,225 of record NC_000001.11, read on the forward strand.
CTAAAACAGTGGCAGAGGGGATGAAAAGAGAGTACACATTCAAGAGATAATAATGGAAATAGAATACATAGGTGTTTGTAACTAATTGGAGAATGACAGAGAAAAAAGTTTAGAATAGCTTCCATGTTTCTATTAAAGTCTACTGGGAGCATAGTAGTAATACTCATTAAAATAGCAAATAGAGAAGAGGCAAGTTATTTCTCCTTGTTTCATTTGAACTCCTCCCTTTTCTTATGGGGAAGTGGGCTTCCTCATCTAGTTTTGGTGCTAACAGTTGTTCTCCATTCCTAAGAATGAAACCCTGCTCACAGAGTAAAGTTTCAGCACAGTTTTACCCTGGGAACATGACCTACTGTAGCCTGATAGGGAAATAATTGTCTGAACCAGCCTTCTCCAAGAGCAAATTGCTCTTGAGAAATAACTATCTCTTCCTTGGCCATTAATGTTAAGAAAACAAAAATCATCTTTGATCTCCTTCATATTGCAGAGAACTTTATTAAAAAAAACTACATTGCTATTTCTAAAACATGCAAAATACTTTTTACACTTAACTGAATGCTGATGCTAGTGTTATTTTCTTTGCTTGGGATTCCCATTCTACCTTCTCCATCTGGTGAACTCATTATCTCTTAAGCCCTAATTCCAGTGTTATCTTATATAAAGCCATCTGTAGATCAAGCCCTGATTACAAGCTCTCATAGTACTCTGACTTCTGGGTATCATGATTCCCAACTGTAATAAATTAATATATTAATTTCATAATAATTTAATATCTAAATTGTATGATAGAATGTATGCTCCATCAGGGCAGGAACTGTGTCTGCTTTGTTAATCCTTGAATTGCTATGACACACATAATAAGACTTCATAATAGCCATTATTATTACTAATTGGGAGCTTTTATAACTACTCCATTAGGTTGTGAGGACCTGAAGGCAACAGCCACATGTTAATCCCCATCCTTAGCCCAGTGCCTGGAATCTAATACATACTCAAATGATGTTTGTTAAATTGATTTTAAAAATTAGTTATCTGGTTGATGAAATTAAAAAGCTTTAATTGGGACCAGGTGTGGTGGCTCACACCTGTAATCCCAGCACTTTGGGAGGCTGAGGTGGGCAGATCACTTGATTCCAGGAGTTTGAGACCAGCCTGGGCAACGTGGTAAAACCTCGTCTCTACAAAACAATACAAAAATTAGCCAGGCATGGTGGCATGCATCTGTAGTCCCGGCTACTCAAGAGACTGAGGCACAAGAATTGCTTGAACCCAGGAGGTGGAGGTTGCAGTGAGCTGAGATTGCCATTGCATTCCAGCCTGTGTGACAGAGCCAGACCCTGTTTCAAAACAAAACAAAAAAAAAAGCTTCAATTTTCAGAGACGTTATAAAGTGAAGTATCAGTATAGTACAAAAGTAAAGAGACTAGATAATCAACTTGTTTTGTCCACATGATAAAAATAATGTGAAGAATCAGACTTTTCTTGCTCTTTGAGCAATTAGCCAAGTGTTATCACATTGACAAAAAATTAATCTTTATTCAATAAAATTCAAGTTCAGAAACATACTTTTTTATGAGAGTATGTTGAAAAGCAATGGTTGATGCAAGATTTGCTTTATGTAACTATAATTACCCATAAGAAATAATGCAATTAGACTTCGTGTCTTTTACAGTTCTTTGATTGAAGTGAGTTTTCATTATGAGGCACATTTCACAATGGTCTCGTTTAGATTTCTTACCCATTGTTATTTTTATTGTACAGTCCATTATTTCTGATAGTTGTCCTTTTATATTTTATTTCGCAACTTCCAAATGCCAATTGATAATAGTCATTTTTTTAGCATGATAATCTTTATGACAAATGATAACCATGGCAAAAAGTTATTCCTGGTCAGGGCCAATCAGAAAGTTATCCTAAGTGAAATTTGTTCTTAAGTTGCCATTGCACCAGAGAGCTGGGCAAGATGGTTGAATAGGAACAGCTCCAGTCTGCAGCTCCCAGAAGAGACCAACACAGAAGGCAGGTGATTTCTGCATTTCCAACTGAGGTACTCAGTTCATCTCACTGGGACTGGTTAGACAGTGGTTGCAGCCCACAGAGGGCGAGCGGAAGCAGGGTGGGGCATCGCCTCACCTGGGAAGCACAAGGGGTCAGGGAACTCCCTCCCCTAGCCAAGGGAAGCCATGAAGGACTGTGCCGTGAGGGACGGTGCACTCTGGCCCAGATACTACACCTTTCCCACAGTCTTCACAACCCACAGACCAGTAGATTCCATCAGGTGCCTATACCACATGGGCCCTTATAGCACTAAATGGCCACAAGACAAAGTGGGAAAGATTTAAAATCAACACCCTAACATCACAATTAAAAGAACTAGAGAAGCAAGAGCAAACAAATTTAAAAGCTTGCAGAAGACAAGAAATAATTAGGATAAGAGCAGAATTGAAGGAGATAGAGACACAAAAAACCCTTCAAAAAATCAGTGAATCCAGGAGCTGGTTTTTTGAAAAGACTAACAAAATAGATCACTAGCCAGACTAATAAAGAAGAAAAGAGAGAAGAATCAAATAGAAACAATAAAAAATGATAAAGGAGAGATCACCACTGATCCCACAGAAATACAAACTACCATCAGAGAATACTATAAACACCTCTATGCCAATAAACTAGAAAATTTAGAAGAAATGGATAAATTCCTGGATACGTACACCCTCCCAAGACTAAACCAGGAAGAAGTCAAATCCCTGAATAAACCAATAACAAGCTCTGAAATTGAGGCAATAATTAATAGCCTACCAACCAAAAAAAGTCCAGGACTAGATAGATTCACAGCCAAATTCTACCAGAGGAACTGGTACCATTCCTTCCATATTTATAGACACTATTCACAAATATACCAGCAATATAGGTTTTAGCAATCAAATGGTAAGAGAATAATCTCTAGGAATATCTTACATAGAAGGAATAACTGTGTGGAGTCATAAACAAGTTGAGTCTGATGCTATATTATTTTAAGAAGAAACAACTTACAGAAAAAGAATTTTTGAGTAATTTTTTGGAAGATACAATAAATATTAAAAAAGAAGAATACTAATTTGAAAAATGTTAACATATTTAATTCTGAAGTAATTAAAAGTAAAAGAAACAATGCATGTAGAATCACAGACATGGTTTCTGAAAAGAAGAAATTATAAACTTGGAAATCACTCTGATATCCACAGAATAATTGATGAAAAAACCATGCAAATGGAAACCTAGAATATTGGAAAGTTAAATGTGGGGAGGAAAAAACATAAAGGATACTCTGAATCCTAAATGATTTATAAAAATTTCTTTTTTAGTATTTCGAGTAACATAAAAAATTATGCAAATATATTGCTATATATTTTCTATTTCTTTTTAACTTATTTAAATGCACTTTCTCCTGATCTTTTTGTTTTTTTACATTTTTAAAAATTTATTTTAGGTTCAGGGGTACATGTGCAGGTTTGTTATATAAGTAAATTGCATGTCACAGGGGTTTGATGTACAGATTATTTTGTCACCCAGGTAATGAGCATCATACCCAATAAGCAGTTTTTCTATTCTCACCCTCCTCCCACACACAACCCTTGAGTAGGCCCTGGCGTCTGTTTCCTTTTTCTTGTCCATATATACTCAGTATTTAGCTCCCACTTATAACTGAGAATATGCGGTATTTGGTTTTCTGTGCCTGCATTAATCCACTGAAGATAACACCCTCCATTATGTATAATTACATATGTAACATTCTACATTTACATCATAGAATATTACACAGTTATGAAAAAGAACTCAGTTATGTCCTCAATGGTAGACTTTATTCTATCTACCATTGATGGGCATTTAGGTTGATTCCATGTCTAATTCCATGTCTTTACTTTTGTGAATAGTGCTGTGATGAAAATACACATGCATATGCCTTTATGCTAGAGTAATTTATATTCCTTTGGGTATATATCCAATAATGGGATTGCTGGATCAAATGGTAATTCTGTTGTAAGTTCTTTTTATTATTATTATTATTATTATACTTTAAGTTTTAGGGTACATGTGCACAATGTGCAGGTTTGTTACATATGTATACATGTGCCATGTTGGTGTGCTGCACCCATTCACTTGTCATTTAGCATTAGGTATATCTCCTAATGCTATCCCTCCCCGCTCCCACCACCCCACAACAGTCCCCAGAGTGTGATATTCCCCTTCCTGTGTCCATGTGTTCTCATTGTTCAATTCCCACCTATGAGTGAGAACATGCGGTGTTTCCTTTTTTGTCCTTGCGAGAGTTTGCTGAAAATGATGGTTTCCAGTTTCATCCATGTCTGTACAAAGGACATGAACTCTTCATTTTTTATGGCTGCATAGTATTCCGTGGTGTATATGTGCCACATTTTCTTAATCCAGTCTATCATTGTTGGACATTTGGGTTGGTTCCAAGTCTTTGCTATTGTGAATAGTGCTGCAATAAACATACATGTGCATGTGTCTTTATAGCAGCATGGTTTATAGTCCTTTGGGTATATACCCAGTAATGGGATGGCTGGGTCAAATGGTATTTCTAATTCTAGATCCCTGAGGAATCACCACACTGACTTCCACAAGGGTTGAACTAGTTTACAGTCCCACCAACAGTGTAAAAGTGTTCCTATTTCTCCACATCCTCTCCAGCACCTGTTGTTTCCTGACTTTTTAATGATCACCATCCTAACTGGTGTGAGATGGTATCTCATTGTGGTTTTGATTTGCATTTCTCTGATGGCCAGTGATGGCGAGCATTTGTTCATGTGTTTTTTGGCTGCATAAATGTCTTCTTTTCAGAAGTGTCTGTTCATATCATTCACCCACTTTTTGATGGGGTTGTTTGTTTTTTTCTTGTAAATTTGTGTGAGTTCATTGTAGATTCTGGATATTAGCGCTTTGTCAGATGAGTAGGTTGCAAAATTTTTTCTCCCATTTTGTGGGTTGCCTGTTCACTCTGATGGTAGTTTCTTTTGCTGTGCAGAAGCTCTTTAGTTTAATTAGATCCCATTTGTCAATTTTGGCTTTTGTTGCCATTGCTTTTGGTGTTTTAGACATGAAGTCCTTGCCCTTGCCTATGTCCTGAATAGTATTGCCTAGGTTTTCTTCTAGGGTTTTTATGGTTTTACGTCTAACATGTAAGTCTTCAATCCATCTTGAATTAATTTTTGTATAAGGTGTAAGGAAGGGATCCAGTTTCACCTTTCTACATATGGCCAGCCAGTTTTCCCAGCACCATTTATTAAACAGGGAATCCTTTCCCCATTGCTTGTTTTTCTCAGGTTTGTCAAAGATCAGATGGTTGTAGATATGTGGCATGATTTCTGAGGGCTCTGTTCTGTTCCATTGATCTATATCTCTGTTTTGGTACCAGTACCATGCTGTTTTGGTTACTGTAGCCTTGTAGTATAGTTTGAAGTCAGGTAGCGTGATGCCTCCAGCTTTGTTCTTTTGGCTTAGGATTGACTTGGCGATGAGGGCTCTTTTTTGGTTCCATATGAACTTTAAAGCAGTTTTTTCCAATTCTGTGAAGAAAGTCATTGGTAGTTTGGTGGGGATGGCGTTGAATCTATAAATTACCTTGCGCAATATGGCCATATTCACGATATTGATTCTTCCTACCTATGAGCATGGAATGTTCTTCCATTTGTTTGTATCCTCTTTTATTTCATTGAGCAGTGGTTTGTAGTTCTCCTTGAAGAGGTCCTTCACATCCCTTGTAAGTTGGATTCCTAGGTATTTTATTCTCTTTGAAGCAATTGTGAATGGGAGTTCACTCATGATTTGGCTCTCTGTTTGTCTGTTCTTGGTGTATAAGAATGCTTGTGATTTTTGTACATTGATTTTATATCCTGAGACTTTGCTGAAGTTGCTTCTCAGCTTAAGGAGATTTTGGGCTGAGACAATGGGGTTTTCTAAATATACAATCATGTCATCTGCAAACAGGGACAATTTGACTTCCTCTTTTCCTAATCGAATACCCTTTATTTCCTTCTCCTGCCTAATTGCCCTGGCCAGAATTTCCAACACTATGTTGAATAGGAGTGGTGAGAGAGGGCATACCTGTCTTGTGCCAGTTTTCAAAGGGAATGCTTCCAGTTTTTGCCCATTCAGTATGATATTGGCTGTGGGTTTGTCATAGATAGCTCTTATTATTTTGAGATATGTCCCATCCATACCTAATTTATTGAGAGTTTTTAGCATGAAGGGTTGTTGAATTTTGTCAAAGGCCTTTTCTGCATCTGTTGAGATAATCACGTGGTTTTTGTCTTTGGTTCTGTTTATATGCTGGATTACATTTATTGATTTATGTATGTTGAACCAGCCTTGCATCCCAGGGATGAAGCCCAGCTGATCATGATGGATAAGCTTTTTGATGTGCTGCTGGATTCGATTTGCCAGTATTTTATTGAGGATTTTTCCATCAATGTTCATCAAGGACACTGGTCTAAAATTCTCTTTTTTGGTTGTGTCTCTGTCAGGCTTTGGTATCAGGATGATGCTGGCCTCATAAAATGAGTTAGGGAGGATTCCCTCTTTTTCTATTGATTGGAATAGTTTCAGAAGGAATGGTACCAGTTCCTCCTTGTACCTCTGGTAGAATTCGGCTGTGAATCCATCTGGTCCTGGACTCTTTTTGGTTGGTAAGCTATTGATTATTGCCACAATTTCAGAGGCTGTTATTGATCTATTCAGAGATTCAACTTCTTCCTGGTTTAGTCTTGGGAGGGTGTATGTGTCGAGGAATTTACCCATTTCTTCTAGATTTTCTAGTTTATTTGCATGGAGGTGTTTGTAGTATTCTCTGATGGTAATTTGTATTTCTGTGACATCAGTGGTGATATCGCCTTTATCATTTTTTATTGCGTCTATTTCATTCTTCTCTCTTTTTTTCTTTATTAGTCTTGCTAGCGGTCTATCAATTTTGTTGATCTTTTCAAAAAACCAGCTCCTGGATTCATTAATTTTTTGAAGGGTTTTTTTGTGTCTCTATCTCCTTCAGTTCTGCTCTGACTTTAGTTATTTCTTGCCTTCTGCTAGCTTTTGAATGTGTTTGCTCTTGCTTTTCTAGTTCTTTTAATTGTGATGTTAGGGTGTCAATTTTGGATCTTTCCTGCTTTCTCTTGTGGGCATTTAGTGCTATAAATTTCCCTCTACACACTGCTTTGAATGTGTCCCAGAGATTCTGGTATGTTGTGTCTTTGTTCTCGTTAGTTTCAAAGAACATCTTTATTTCTGCCTTCATTTTGTTATGTATCCAGTAGTCATTCAGGAGCAGGTTGTTCAGTTTCCATGTAGTTGAGCGGTTTTGAGTGAGTTTGTTAGTCCTGAGTTCTAGTTTGATTGCACTGTGGTCTGAGAGACAGTTTGTTATAATTTCCGTTCTTTTACATTTGCTGAGGAGAGCTTTACTTCCAACTATGTGGTCAATTTTGGAATAGGTGTGGTGTGTGGTGTGGTGCTGAAAAAAATGTATATTCTGTTGATTTGGGGTGGAGAGTTCTGTAGATGTCTATTAGGTCCACTTGGTGCAGAGCTGAGTTCAATTCCTGGGTATCCTTGTTAACTTTCTGTCTCGTTGTCGGGTCTAATGTTGACAGTGGGGTGTTAAAGTCTCCCATTATTATTGTGTGGGAGTCTAAGTCTCTTTGTAGGTCACTAAGGACTTGCTTTATGAGTCTGGGTGCTCCTGTATCGGGTGCATATATATTTAGGATAGTTAGCTCTTCTTGTTGAATTGATCCCTTTACCATTATGTAATGGCCTTCTTTGTCTCTTTTGATCTTTGTTGGTTTAAAGTCTGTTTTATCAGAGACTAGGATTGCAACCCCTGCCTTTTTTTGTTTCCATTTGTTTGGTAGATCTTCCTCCATCCTTTTATTTTGAGCCTATGTGTGTCTCTGCACGTGAGATGGGTTTCCTGAATACAGCACACTGATGGGTCTTGACTCTTTATCCAATTTGCCAGTCTGTGTCTTTTAATTGGAGCATTTAGCCCATTTTCATTTAAAATTAATATTGTTATGTGTGTATTTGGTCCTGTCATTATGATGTTAGCTGGTTATTTTGCTCGTTAGTTGATGCAGTTTTCTTCCTAGCCTTGATGGTCTTTACATTTTGGCATGTTTTTGCAGTGGCTGGTACCGGTTGTTCCTTTCCATGTTTAGTGCTTCCTTCAGGAGGTCTTTTAGGGCAGGCCTGGGGGTGACAAAATCTGCCAGCATTTGCTTGTCTGTAAAGTATTTTTTTTCTCCTTCACTTATGAAGCTTAGTTTGGCTGGATATGAAATTCTGGGTTGAAAATTCTTTTCTTTAAACATGTTTAATATTGGCCCCCACTCTCTTCTGGCTTGTAGGGTTTCTGCTGAGAGATCCGCTGTTAGTCTGATGGGCTTCCCTTTGAGGGTAACCCGACCTTTCTCTCTGGCTGCCTTTAACATTTTTTCCTTCATTTCAACTTTGGTGAACTTGACAATTATGTGTCTTGGAGTTGCTCTTCTCGGGGAGTATCTTTGTGGTGTTCTCTGTATTTCCTGAATCTGAATGTTGGCCTGCCTTGCTAGATTGGGGATGTTCTCCTGGATAATATCCTGCAGAGTGTTTTCCAGCTTGGTTCCATTCTCCCCATCATTTTCAGGTACACCAATCAGACATAGATTTGGTCTTTTCACATAGTCCCATATTTCTTGGAGGCTTTGTTTGTTTCTTTTTATTCTTTTTTCTCTAAACTTCCCTTCTTGCTTCATTTCATTCATTTCGTCTTCCATCACTGATACCCTTTCTTCCAGTTGATCGCATCGGCTCCTGAGGCTTCTGCATTCTTCACGTAGTTCTCGAGCCTTGGCTTTCATCTCCATCAGCTCCTTTAAGGACTTCTCTGTATTGGTTATTCTAGTTATCCATTCTAGTTATCTCTCAGCTCGTCAAAGTCATTCTCCGTCCAGCTTTGTTCCGTTGCTGGTGAGGAAGTGCGTTCCTTTGGAGGAGGAGAGGTGCTCTGCTTTTTAGAGGTTCCAGTTTTTCTGCTCTGTTTTTTCCCCATCTTTGTGGCTTTATCTACTTTTGGTCTTTGATGATGGTGACGTACAGAAGGGTTTTGTGTGGATGTCCTTTCTGTTTGTTAGTTTTCCTTCTACCAGACAGGACCCTCAGCTGCAGGTCTGTTGGAGTTTGCTAGAGGTCCACTCCAGACCCTGTTTGCCTGGGTATCAGCAGCGGTGGCTGCAGAACAGCGGTGGCTGTAGAACAGCAGACCTTGGTGAACCACAAATTCTGCTGCCTGATTGTTCCTCTGGAAGTTTTGTCTCAGAGGAGTACCCAGCCGTGTGAGGTGTCAGTCTTCCCCTACTGGGAGGTGCCTCCCAGTTAGGCTGCTCGGGGGTCAAGGACCTGCTTCAGGAGGCAGTCTGCCCGCTCTCAGATCTCCAGCTGCATGCTGGGAGAACCACTACTCTCTTCAAAGCTGTCAGACAGGGACATTTAAGTCTGCAGAGGTTACTGCTGTCTTTTTGTTTGTCTGTGCCCTGCCCCCAGAGGTGGAGCCTACAGAGGCAGGCAGGCCTCCTTGAGCTGTGGTGGGCTCCACCCAGTTTGAGCTTCCTGGCTGCTTTGTTTGCCTAATCAAGCCTGGGCAATGGCAGGTGCCCCTTCCCCAGCCTCGCTGCCGCCTTGCAGTTTGATCTCAGACTGCTATGCCAGCAATCAGGGAGACTCCGTGGGCATAGGACCCTCCGAGTCATGTGGGGGATATAATCTCCTGGTGTGCCGTTTTTTAAGCCCGTTGGAAAAGCACAGTATTAGGGTGGGAGTGACCTGATTTTCCAGGTGCCGTCTGTCACCCCTTTCTTTGACTAGGAAAGGGAACTCCCTGACCCCTTGCGCTTCCCAAGTGAGGCAATGCCTTGCCCTGCTTCGGCTCGCGCACGGTGCACTGCACCCACTGTCCTGTGCCCACTGTCTGGCACTCCCTAGTGAGATGAACCCAGTACCTCAGATGGAAATGCAGAAATCACCCATCTTCTGCATCACTCACGCTGGGAGCTGTAGACTGGAGCTGTTCCTATTCGGCCTTCTTGGCTCCACCCTGTTGTAAGTTCTTTGAGAAATTGCCAAACTGCTTTCCACAATGACTAATCTAAGTTATTTCCCCATCAACAGTGTTTAAGTGTTCCCTTTTCTCCACAACCTCACCATCATCTGTGATTTTCTGACTTTTAGTAATAGCCATTCTGACTGGTGTGAGATGGTATCTTATCTGACTGGTTGTTTTGATTTGCATGCTTCCTCCCTCTTAAATCATGGAGGGAAATCTTCCTCACAATCTCCTCCAGCAGAGTCCTCTTCCTGTCCCAGTGGCCAGAACTAGGTCATAAGTTCATGTCCTAGTTGCAAAAGAAATTTGGATGATGACTATATGACATTTCTCATCTCTGATGCAGGGCAGGTTCTGCTGGCAAGTAAGAAAGGTAGTTGCATGGGAAATAGCCATGGCTACTTTGGCAGATTACTTTTAAAGGTCCTTAGCCTCTAAAGTTTAAATTCTCTGACAGCTTAGTCACGGAGTTATGCCTATTTGATACACCCGTCAGGGTATCAACAATCTAAGGCCAAACTCTGTAAAAGCACGGTTAGACCTCTGCAGATAGAAAATATTTGAAAAAAAAAAAACTACAATAATTTTAAAAATACAAGTAAGAAAACAACACAGTATAACAAATCTTTACAAAGCATTTACATTGTATCATGTATTTACATTGTATTAGGTATTTAAAGCATACAGGAGGATGTGTGTAGGTTAGGTGCAACTACTATGCCATTTTGCAGAAACTAGAGTATCAGTGGATTTTTTATATCCATGAAGGTCATGGAACCAATTCCCCCAAGGATACTGAGCAACGATTGTACATAAATATTAATACTCAGAAAGCCCAATATAACAAGTAATAACTTTTTCAATAAAATATAGCCAGAAAACAATGAGCCTGACACATTGTGTGTCCTTGTATATGCACACATGCATATGTATGTGTTAAAGGGGTCTTTTAGAAAAGAAACTTTGTGGTGGTGGTGGTCCTTGCCCAGTTATCTACAAGAGTTTTAAAACAGCTTAACTTGGCTTAACTATTTTTTCAGTAACATTCAACATCTCTTCATAAGCATATAATATAGGTTGCAATATGTTCTAATGAAAATGGGCATATTAGTAACTGATTATGTTTCTCATAACCTTTTGATTGGACTGCTGCTTTATGCATTCTAGGACCTTCAGCTCTGACAGAGTAGCCCCCCACCCTCAGAAATAATGTCATTGTTCTTGCTTATAGGGCACCTTTTCCCTCACAAAGAGCTCAAAAGTTCTATCAAGCATGATTATATCTTTGCTGTGTAATCGTGAGTTAGGACTGCACAATAATTTTCAGTCAGTGGAAAATTCATGTACAGCATGAATGAATAATTGGTTCTGGTTATAAATTCAAGAAGACTATATAGAAAGTAATAAAATTCAGGTTTCTCTTCAGTCTAATTAAACCCTTCATTAAAAGCAGTAGTGCAGTATTTGTCCTATAGCCAGTTGCTGTTATTAAGGTACAATTTTACAACTTAATCTTTCTGTTTTTTTTAACAAATATACCTTACTGTATAAACAAGATGTATTCTTAAAAGGTTACTAATGAAGTTACTTCTTTGTACAGAATCTTTTTTTCGTATTGTGCATTAAACTAGAGATAATCATAGGAAAGAAAACTTTTTCAATAAGACATCACAAAATTAACCTAAACTGTTCAATGTTGAATATCTAAAAGGAAAAAATATTTCCTAAGGAAATCCTCAAAATATGTGACAGCTTAATGCAAATTATATATTTTCAATGTTTATCCTAATAATTTAAATATTGCAAGGAGTAATACCTTAACTGATAAACATTAACAAAGTGGTTTAAAAAATTAGGTCTTTCCAATATTCTTTCACAAAATAATAGATGTTTAATTTGGTCACATATCCTTTTGGAAGATGCCATAAGCCAGTTTGACTTTTTGTTGTTCTTGAGGGAAGTTGAGTTGAAATGCTGAAAAGTACAAACAATCACAGCTGTGACTTTGGTTTAAGATATAGTATTAACTAAAGAAAACATTTGATAATAGAAATTATGTTTTATCTGCCATCAGACACTAGGTATTTAATGTTTCCTGGTTTATAACAACAATAAGTTACATATTCTCATAATGAGGTGTTCCAGAAGTTTCCTTTTTTTTTGTTTTTTGTGAGATGGGAGTTTCACTCTTGTTGCCCAGGCTGGAGTGCAATGGTGCGATCTCGGCTCACTGCAACCTCCACCTCCCGGGTTCAAGCGATTCTCCTGCCTTAGCCACCCAAGTAGCTGGGATTACAGGCACCCATGACCACGCCTGGCTAATTTTTTGTATTTTTAGTAGAAACGGGACTTTACCATGTTGGCCAGGCTGGTCTCAAACTCTTGACCTCAGATGATCCACCCACCTCGGCCTCCCAAAGTGCTGGGATTACTGATGTGAGCCACTGTGCTCAGCCTGAGTTTGCATTTTTAAAGAATATAAAATCCTGGGCCTTGCAGTCTTCAGTAACTGTGCTGTAAAGAGCAATTTATTTCTAAAATTTTATAATATGCAGTTTATTCAAAGAGATGAATTAATAACAAGAGAAGACCATGATTATGTGATAAAATTGACAGGTCTAAATCATAAAATCCAAATGTCCATTAAACACAGGACACAGACTAAGCAAAGTGAAAAAATTCTTTTTTTAAGTGTCATTAAGAGAGAGACATCAGACAGCAATAACTGGGAGAAGTTTTCCTGTCCTTGTGCCATGAATAGCCAGTAATTGGAAAGAGTGAGCACATTTGAAAAACAAGTTAAAAACTGGAATGCATAAGTCCATGCCAAAAATTTGCAGAATCCTGAGTCAGCAAATCCAAGTTGCTGCACTGGAAATTTATGGGAAAACAACATTCCAGCCAAATTCATGTGGCTTCAGAGGTAATCGTACATTTAAATGGATAAAACCTCTGAATCTAATAGAAAGAAAATCATAGATTGTACAATTTTGTCAAAGTGACAGATGTACCAAAATATTGCATAAATTCCATCACTGCTTCAACTGGAATATTTTCCAGCTTTGCAATCGGATAAATGCTGTAAAGTGATAGCATGATAGGAAGGACTTAATTTTAATAAATGCAACCAAAATGACGGCATTAAGAGCAAATGTCTCTGGATTCCAGCAGTGTTCCTCATTATTTGAAATAATACATACATATAAATAGTTAAGGATTTCAAATAATACACAAATATAAATAGTTATCTAGTGACAATTTTATAATAATAAATATTCTCAATCCTTAATTTATCTGTTATATCTTTATTCATGGTCTGGAAACTTAAATATTCTTAGACTTTAAGAACAGGTATAGAATAGGGTTGATAGACTATGTCTTGTCCAAATCTGGCAAGTCTGTTTTTGTAAATAAAGATTTGTTGCAACAAAACCATGTCTATTTGTTAACATATCGTGTAATATAACAATGGTAGAATTGAGTAGAGACAGAGACCATATGGACTGGAGAGCCTGAAACATTTGCAATGTGGCCCTTTACAGAGAATGTTTGCTGACTCCTGGCATAGAATATAGTGAACTGTAGAGCACATATTTTTCATAAAAACATTCATATTTAAACAATGGTCAAGCCAGACAAAACAGGCCAGATTCAGATGACTGGCCAGTGCTAGAAAAAGAGATGAAGATCCTGTGTCAGCACTGTCACTAATTTTCTGTGTGATATGGAGCAAGTCACCAATTCTCCTCTAGTAAAAAGGGAGTGTCTCCCTTTGCTGAGGTTACAGTGCATAAGGCCAAATGGCAAAACCACATCATCTTTAAGGGGAATGTGACACTAAGCCAAAGAACTATGTCCAAAATAATCATAAATGCAAGGAGAGCCTGAAGTGAATATTGGGAGCGGAGGCGCAGAGCCTAACAGGTCAGAGTTTCAAGCAGGCAAATGAGGATGATCTAATCTAATTTAAATACTCACAATAACCTACTTAAATAAACCTAGGGCTGTGTTTTCATAAATTAAGTATGTCTATGATTTCACAGACTGAGATACACAAGAACTGTTTCATCTTCTGCAAAATGAAGTTTTGATAGAAAAACTTCTGGCAAAGTGTGCTTCTAGTCTAAGAAATGTCCTGCAGGAAACAAAGAAAGAAAAAGTTCCTTGGTTACATAAACAGGAAGTAGTTTAAACTATTTCCATCTGTTAGAGATTCACAACGAACATTTGTATATTTTGTCTGAGAAGTCCTGCCAATAAGAAGCGTAACATTTTTTTCAACAAGCTTTGCCAAAATGTACTGGCCATCTGAAATTTTTTAAAAATCATGCAACACTTATAAATCCTTGGAAAAACTTTAGAAAACACTTTCTTAGACGATCTCTAAAGCTTTTTCAAACTCTGAAAGCTTTCACTAAGTATTTTAATAACTAACACAGAGAGTATTTATCATGTGTCAGGCACTATTTACATGGTTTACCTATATTAACTATTTTAATCATAACAGTAACCCTATAACATAGGGATTCTTATTATCATTCTTATAGATGACAAAACTGAGGTTCAAAGATGTTATTTAGCTTGTTCAAAGTCAAACAGCTAGTGAGTGGTGGAACCAGGATTCAGACCCAGGTAGTTTGAGTCCAGGGTCCGTGGTCTTAGCTATTTTATATATATATAAATTTATATATATATTTTATATGTATATTTTATATATATAATATATATATTATATACATATTTTATATATAATATATATATTATATACATATTTTATATATATAATATATATATTATATACATATTTTATATATATAATATATATTACATACATATTTTATATATAAAAATAAAATTTTATTATGTATAATATAAATATATTTTATATAAAATAAAAATATAAATATAAAATATAAATATATATCATATATATTATATATATAAAACTATATATATATATAGTTTTGTTGTTGCACTTCAGATATTCAGAGAAGTAAAAACTACCTAAACATCTCACCCAATATTTCTTTTATCATTTGAATTTTTAAAAAACCTATTATTGGAAATGTCAGGAAGTTAACACAAGATTTGAACATACAGAGACTGGTGCACTTTGCCTTATCTGCCTTTAGCTCCATGCATATTCCACAATAAGTAAACTAACGTATCCTCATTATAGTATTCATTAAAATAGGCCTGTCAGGATTTTTCATTGACCATTGTTAATTAATTATAGCTGCCTCCTTGGCAACTATCAATTAATTATAGATGCCTGATAGAAATTGCGTGGTTTCTCTTTGTAAATATTCTAGAATTCCAGCTTCTTACTGGTAAAGAATCATTCATTCATGCCTGTGTAAATGTCTTCATTTAACCGTCACTGGTTGAGAAGCTATTTATGTTGTGAATAACATTGGCAAGTTACTTGCGCTCACGGACTTTAAATCTAGCAGAGGGAGAAAAACAACAAATAAACAAATAAAAACTAAGATATTTTCAGTGGTGTTAATAAGAAAATAAAATAGGGTAATATATAAAATGAAGGCAAGAAGGATAGTTTATTTTGGTTGGTGGAAAATGGACTAACTTATGAGCTGAGATGAGGAAAAGGGACTGGCTATGAGAAGATTTACAGGAATAACATTACAGGCAGGAGCAACAGCAATAATAAAAGCAATGATTTAGAAATTTTACACATTTCAACAATTTTACATGTATAATGTAACTATAGATTGGTAAATATTTAATACCACCATTTTTATTAGAACTTTCTCCTTAAGATAACTGAGTTAATATGCAAATGAGTCTAAATAATCAGCAAGATATTTGGTTCAGAGGGATGAAGTTCAAATAGTTAGCATTACTGATGGAGAATGTGTGCCAAACTTGTGATCAAGTCCTAATATTTGCTCCGTGACCTACAGTAGAGATCATATCTTCAGGTTCAGCTATTTGTATAGGGAAATCACACCAATGGACTTCCATGTGGAGAAAGGGAGATAGGCCCCAGAGCCACCAGTGCTTACTTTCATGAAGAAGGCGTAGAGCCAATGAGTGCATTCCTCAGGTAGGCTAGTTTGAATAGCTAAGGGAAAGCCACATGGGAACCCACCTAGTAGCATAAGGAGGTAACAAATGGAGGTAAGATGCTTACTTTTCTGACAATCAGTAAAGAGAGGAGACATTTGACAATGTCTGGAGACATTGTGATGGTAACAACTGTAAAGAGTGCTGCTGGTATCTAGTGGGTACTTTGGATGCTGCTAAACATCTTAGAGTGCACAAGATAGTCCCCCACAACAAACAATTATCTCATACAAAATGTCAGTTGTGCCAAGGTTGACAAACACTACATCCCAGAAGTTTCCTTTTCCATTCATGAGAGTAGGACAATAGACTTTCCTGCAACATACTCTAATGGGAATTTTTAGAGCTTCTTCACTTTGGACCAAAATCTTTTAAATCCTTTGAGGTTGTATTGCATATATAAGATTATGTGCATAATGCTATCTCGAGCTACAATCTCAAAAAAATCTGTTGATTATATCTCAACTTTAGAATTACTCTTTCAGTATTTTCATTATTTCTCTTTACATTTGCAAGTACATGTGATTTTCATAACAAGTTTCTCTAAAACCTAGCTCAAATGCCACTTCTTAAAATTATTCCTAATTACTGAACTGTTTGTTGTTCCTTCTTCTGTGTTCCTATAGCAATCTATCCATACTTTTATCGTGGCACTTGTCACTCTATGAAGTAATTATTTATTTAAAGGTCATTCCCATTTAGAAAATAAGCCCTTCAGAGCAGAGGCTGTGTAGGATGTGCTAAACATCCTACAATGCACACGATAGCCCCCTATGTCAAAGAATTAACCAGTCCAAAATGTCAGTAGTGCTGAGGTGGAGAAACCCTGCGTCTCTGGAATCTTTGTAACTCCAGTGCCCACAGGGCGCCTGCCACAAAGAAGCACGTTATAGGAATGAATGAATGAATGATTGCTCACAAAGAACAATACTAACATAAAAATACCATGAGTTCTATTTTATTTTTCTGAGAAAATCTTACTTGTTTGTATGCTCATGAAATTAAAAACCCTGTTACATATGTTCATCTAAAAGGAACATTTTTTTTGGACAATTTGACAGAATGATTATAGTTTAGCAACTGGCACACGAACAAGAAAAGTAATAGACTGTGTTATGGACTGTCTAAAATCTTGTGGGTAAGTGAAGACAGTCAAACTTAGAAGAGTGAAATACAGCCAATAATACTGAATGCCATCTCTGAAAACAGAAATAAGAATGTAATATTTTAAAGGTACAAAACGTAGGGAAACAGCAGAAAGACAACTTCAAAAGTGGAAAATGTAGTGACAGAATGAAACTATAGTGATGATAATTAAAAACTGATGGAAACTACGGTCATATAAATAAAATGAGATAAAATTAAAATAGAAGAAATGGTATTTTAAATAAATAAGCTTCAGGAAATGGGTCATAAAACCCTATGGGACAGCTTTTCTTTCCCCCAGAACAAGCAAAAGAAAATTGTTGCCCATTCAAAAGACTGTCAAAGGAATAGTAGGAAGCTATATTATAAATTTTAAAATATGGTTTCCCGGGCATGAAGTTATGAACCAAAGGTTTCAAAAGCAATAGAAAAAGACTTAGAGGTGGCATAGAGTGTACCTTTCTTCCCACAAAAGGAATCGATCAAATTTAAACTACACTAATATAAAGGTAAGAAATAATTTTTTTTAATACATTGTCTTGGTCAGAAAGTATCTACAGAGTAGAGTTTAATTCTAACTGCCACCAGGCCCTCAGAGATAGGAAATGTTTCAGGCTCTGCAGTCCATAGGGTGTCATTCTCAACTATTCAGTTCTGTGGTTGTAGTACACAAGCAGCCAAATGTATTTGCTAGATACATTAGCAAATAAATATGACCGTGTTCCAATAAAACTTTATTTACAAAAACAAGAGCGTGAGGAGGAAAGATGGCGGACGAGGAGAAACTGCCGCCTGGCTGGGAAAAGCGCATGAGCCGCCCCTCAGGCCGAGGGTACTACTTCAACCACATCACTAACCCCAGCCAGTGGGAGCGGCCCAGCGGGAACAGCAGCAGTGGCGGCAAAATCTGGCAGGGGGAGCCCGCCAGGGTCCGCCGCTCGCACCTGCTAGTGAAGCCAGTCAAGGCGGCCCTCGACCTGGCGGCAGGAAATCACCCGGACCAAGGAGGAGGCCCTGGAGCTGATCAGCGGCTACATCCAGAAGATCAAGGCAGGAGAGAAGGACTTTGAGTCTCCGGCCTCACAATTCAGCGACTGCAGCTCGGCCAAGGCCAGGGGAGACCTGGGTGCCTTCAGCAAAGGTCAGATGCAGAAGCCATTTGAAGACCCCTGGTTTGCGCGGCGGACGGGGGAGATGAGCGGGACAGTGTTCACGGATTCCGGCATCCACGTCATTGTCCGCACGGAGTGAGGATTGGGGGCCCAGGCCTGGCCTCGGGGTTCCCCCGCTGCCTGCTGGCCAGTGGCCGAACCCCCCACTCCCTGCCACTGTCACACAGTATTTATTGTTACCAAAATGGCTGGGAGGGGGCCCTTCCAGACTGGGGGCCCTTCCAGACTGGGGGCCCTGGGGTTCCCCACTCCCTGTCAGTCCCCAGTTGGGGCTGCGACCTCCAGACTCTCCATTAAGGAGTTGACTTCAGCATGGGAGGGAGGCTCGCAGACCCAGGGCAATGTGGTGGGAGGAGTGTTCCAAAGAGAAGATCTGGTCAGCAGAGCCGCCCCATGTCCCACCAGGTCCTGGAGGCAGATGCGAGGGCCCAGAGTTGTTTGTAGTTAGGCCACGCTTCTCTGTTCAGTAGCAAAAGCAAACACTCGTGGGCCCAGCTGTGGGCCCTCTGAGCAACTTTGCAGCACCCTTTCACCCCCAATTAAATCCGGAACCACTAAAAAAAAAAAAACCACCAAGGATGCCAGATAGACTTGAGCATGCTCTGTTTTGGAAAATAAACATTGGCAAATTTTAGTAAGTCTAAATTGAATAATCAGTGTGTTTAGGAGTCTGGAAACACTATTATACAAGGGATTTAAGAGATCATTAATATTTATCCTATACAAAGATAAGTCCTATTACTAATAAAATATTCCTTAATACACTGAAGCATAAGATATCACTCATTTTTTCTTTTAATAAAATTAGTTTTGTCTTGGGCCTCAACCACTGGACTGGCAAAAATCCACTCTCAGCTTTATATCATACTCTCCTGGGACATCAGTGAGAACTACGGAATTCATAGAATCCCAGAAATTGCAGAAAGACCTCTGGTCTTTAGCTCATTATGGTTCTCACTAGAATACATGTTGCCTAGAACTATACAGTCAAGTCAAAAGCAGGTGACCTACTATTCCTATGAGCATTTCTTATTCACTTGACACACTTAGTTACTTGGTCCTTCATCTGGGCCCCCAATACTTTGGTGCTTATTGTTTGTTTGTTGGGTACGTGGTCTCAGAGTAAGGTTTGAGAGAATCTGCCAC
The DNA here is from genome assembly GCF_000001405.40 of Homo sapiens. Lineage (NCBI taxonomy): Eukaryota > Metazoa > Chordata > Mammalia > Primates > Hominidae > Homo > Homo sapiens. Next base: position 69,920,908 of record NC_000001.11, read on the forward strand.
TCCATATTCCCAGGCTCAGAAGACAATTTAATTCTCTCCTCATGGGCCCCAACTATTCCCCAAGCCCCTTTCCCTGGAAGCACCTATTCAGTGGTATAGATTTAGTGAGAGGTGTAGCAGATGTTCTCCTTAAAACATTGGCCAAGGTTTCACAACCATCTTTGGGCTGCTGGTGGTCCCACACAGGACATTCTGGGTATCTTGAAACATATTTTAAGATCTGGGGGGAGAAAGGAGACTGATAGATTTGGAAAAAGTAACAATTCAAGAACGTGTGTGGTAAACTCCAAGTTAAGTCATGCAAAAGGAAGAAAATGGAATGTGGGTTTAAAAGGAGAGTTCGTTTTCAGGTAGAGTAGATAAGATTTTATTCCTCGAGTCTTTATTTCCAGTGAAGACTTTTTGCCTGAGCTCCAGACACACACATACACACACACAAACACACACACACACTTTTTCCTAATATAAGTGTCTTGCATTCACCTCAAAGCCAATATAGTATTTAAAATACAATCCATTACATTCAACCTATCTCCACCTTAGATTTATTCCATTCTAATATACTCTCACTCCTATTCAACTAAGAGACTATCTTTAATTTTTTCCTCTCCTTTACATCTGACATCCAATCAGTCATCATCATTAATCAAGTCATGTCTTTTTCCAAAGCATCTCTCCTATCTGACATCACATTATTCATATTGCCATTGCCTTATTTCTGGCCCCAATTATATCCCACATGAATTTCAAAACAGTCTGTTATCTGGCCTTATGGCTAACATATCCTGTCCCCATTGCCCACATCATTCCAAGTTGCTGATGTGAGCTTTCTAAAATAAAAACCTGGTATCTTTTTCCTACCTGAATCTTAAAGCCTTCCATTGCCTTCAAGCTAAAACTCAAATTCCTTAGCTTGACACAGGAGATAATCTCATGATCTAGTGCTTACCTACATATTATTTCTTACTACTTCCTACCATTTTTCTTATTTCTTATCAATTCTTACATTCATTCTGTTTGTTTGTTTGTTTGTTTGAGACGAATTCTCACTCTTGTCCCCCAGGCTGGGGTGCGATGGCACTATCTCGGCTCACTGCAACCTCTGCCTCCCAGATTCAAGCAATTCTCCTGCCTCAACCTTCTGAGTAGCTGGGATTATAGGCACCTGCCATCATGCCTGGCTAATTTTTGTATTTTTAGAGAGACGGGGGTTTCACCATGTTGGCCAGGCTGGTCTCGAACTCCTGACCTCAGGTGATCCACCTGCCTCGGCCCCCCAAAGTGCTGGGATTACAGGCATGAGCCACCGTGCCCGGCACATTTTTCTTACTATTCCTGCTAACCTGCAGTTCCTTGAATGCACCATGATCTCTTCCATCCTACCTCTTTGACATTTTCTCCTGAAATGACCATCTCCCCTGACTCCTCCAAAGTAAAGCTTCAGTAAAGCCTTCTATTTTCTATTCCTACCTTCCCCAAGGCTGAAAAAGTACCTCTCCTTTTTGTTCTCTAGCAACCTACACGTATGATTTTTACGGCAAATGCCATATTGGGTAGAAATTGTTCATTCCACTTGTAATTTCTCTCGATTATGAACTACTTAATACTGGGGACAACACCTTTCATCTTTAAAACCTTAAACTTGGGAGAAAATAGAAAATCAATGTATTTTTGTTATGGAATAAATAATTTTGAGTGATAAATGGGTAAAAAGCATATTGGATAGAAGAAAGAGCATTGGCAAAAGCTTACAACTTCTAAAACTAATCATCTCAAAATTACCACTAATCTCCATGTTGTCAAATTAAGTGGTCAGTTCTCAGATCTGTCAGCGGCTTTTGTCGCAATTGGTCATAGCATCCACCTCGAAATACTATTCTTTTTTTTAATTTTTTTAATTTTTTTATTTTATTATTATTATACTTTAAGTTTTAGGGTACATGTTCACAATGTGCAGGTTAGTTACGTATGTATACATACGCCATGCTGGTGTGCTGCACCCATTAACTCGTCATTTAGCATTAGGTATACCTCCTAATGCTATCCCTATCCCTCCCCCCTCCTGCCACCCCACAACAGTCCCCAGAGTGTGATGTTCCCCTTCCTGTGTCCATGTGCTCTCATTGTTCACTTCCCACCTATGAGTGAGAACATGCGGTGTTTGGTTTTTTGTCCTTGCGATAGTTTATTGAGAATGATGATTTCCAATTTCATCCATGTCCCTACAAAGGACATGAACTCTTCATTTTTTATGGCTGCATAGTATTCCATGGTGTATATGTGCCACATTTTCTTAATCCGGTCTATCATTGTTGGACATTTGGGTTGGTTCCAAGTCTTTGCTATTGTGAATAGTGCTGCAATAAACATACATGTGCATGTGTCTTTATAGCAGCATGATTTATATTCCTTTGGGTATATACCCAGTAATGGGATGGCTGGGTCAAATGGTATTACTAGTTCTAGATCCCTGAGGAATCGCCACACTGACTTCCACAATGGTTGAACTAGTTTACAGTCCCACCAACAGTGTAAAAGTGTTCCTATTTCTCCACATCCTCTCCAGCACCTGTTGTTTCCTGACTTTTTAATGATTGCCATTCTAACTGGTGTGAGATGGTATCTCATTGTGGTTTTGATTTGCATTTCTGTGAGCATTTGTTCATGTGTTTTTTGGCTGCATAAATGTCTTCTTTTCAGAAGTGTCTGTTCATGTCCTTTGCCCACTTTTTGATGGTGTTATTTGTTTTTTTCTTGTAAATTTGTTTGAGTTCATTGTAGATTCTGGATATTAGCCCTTTGTCAGATGAGTAGGTTGCGAAAATTTTCTCCCATTTTGTGGGTTGCCTGTTCACTCTGATGGTAGTTTCTTTTGCTGTGCAGAAGCTCTTTAGTTTAATTATATCCCATTTGTCAATTTTGTCTTTTGTTGCCATTGCTTTTGGTGTTTTAGACATGAAGTCCTTGCCCATGCCTATGTCCTGAATGGTAATGCCTAGGTTTTCTTCTAGGGTTTTTATGGTTTTAGGTCTAACATTTAAGTCTTTAATCCATCTTGAATTAATTTTTGTATAAGGTGTAAGGAAGGGATCCAGTTTCAGCTTTCTACATATGGCTAGCCAGTTTTCCCAGGACCATTTATTAAATAGGGAATCCTTTCCCCATTTCTTGTTTTTCTCAGGTTTGTCAAAGATCAGATAGTTGTAGATATGCGGCGTTATTTCTGAGGGCTGTGTTCTGTTCCATTGATCTATATCTCTGTTTTGGTACCAGTACCATGCTGTTTTGGTTACTGTAGCCTTGTAGTATAGTTTGAAGTCAGGTAGCATGATGCCTCCAGCTTTGTTCTTTTGGCTTAGGATTGCCTTGGCGATGCGGGCTCTTTTTTGGTTCCATATGAACTTTAAAGTAGTTTTTTCCAATTCTGTGAAGAAAGTCATTGGTAGCTTGATGGGGATGGCATTGAATCTATAAATTACCTTGGGCAGTATGGGCATTTTTACGATATTGATTCTTCCTACCCATGAGCATAGAATGTTCTTCCATTTGTATCCTCTTTTATTTCATTGAGCAGTGGTTTGTAGTTCTCCTTGAAGAGTTCCTTCACGTCCCTTGTAAGTTGGATTCCTAGGTATTTTATTCTCCTTGAAGCAATTGTGAATGGGAGTTCACTCATGATTTGGCTCTCTGTTTGTCTGTTATTGGTGTATAAGAATGCTTGTGATTTTTGTACATTGATTTTATATCCTGAGACTTTGCTGAAGTTGCTTATCAGCTTAAGGAGATTTTGGGCTGAGACAATGGGGTTTCCTAGATATACAATCATGTCATCTGCAAACAGGGACAATTTGACTTCCTCTTTTCCTAATTGGATACCCTTTATTTCTTTCTCATGCCTGATTGCCCTGGCCAGAATTTCCAACACTATGTTGAATAGGAGTGGTGAGAGAGGGCATCCCTGTCTTGTGCCAGTTTTCAAATGGAATGCTTCCAGTTTTTGCCCATTCAGTATGGTATTGGCTGTGGGTTTGTCATAGATAGCTCTTATTATTTTGAGATACATCCCATCAATACCTAATTTATTGAGAGTTTTTAGCATGAAGGGTTGTTGAATTTTGTCAAAGGCCTTTTCTGCATCTGTTGAGATAATCATGTGGTTTTTGTCTTTGGTTCTGTTTATATGCTGGATTACATTTATTGATTTGCATATATTGAACTAGCCTTGGGTCCCAGGGATGAAGCCCACTTGATCATGGTGGATAAGCTTTTTGATGTGCTGCTGGATTCGGTTTGCCAGTATTTTATTGAGGATTTTTCCATCAATGTTCATCAAGGATATTGGTCTGTAATTCTCTTTTTTGGGTGTGTCTCTGCCTGGCTTTGGTATCAGGATGATGCTGACCTCATAAAATGAGTTAGGGAGGATTCCTTCTTTTTCTATTGATTGGAATAGTTTCAGAAGGAATGGTACCAGTTCCTCCTTGTAGCTCTGGTAGAATTCGGCTGTGAATCCATCTGGTCCTGGACTCTTTTTGGTTGGTAAGCTATTGATTATTGCCACAATTTCAGAGGCTGTTATTGGTCTATTCAGAGATTCAACTTCTTCCTGGTTTAGTCTTGGGAGGGTGTATGTGTCGAGGAATTTCTCCATTTCTTCTAGATTTTCTAGTTTATTTGCATAGAGGTGTTTGTAGTATTCTCTGATGGTAGTTTGTATTTCTGTGGGATCAGTTGTGATATCCCCTTTATCATTTTTATTGCGTCTATTTGATTCTTCTCTCCTTTCTTCTTTATTAGTCTTGCTAGCGGTCTATCAATTTTGTTGATCCTTGCAAAAAACCAGCTCCTGGATTCATTAATTTTTTGAAGGGTTTTTTTGTGTCTCTATTTCCTTCAGTTCTGCTCTGATTTTAGTTATTTCTTGCCTTCTGCTAGCTTTTGAATGTGTTTGCTCTTGCTTTTCTAGTTCTTTTAATTGTGATGTTAGGGTGTCAATTTTGGATCTTTCCTGCTTTGTCTTGTGGGCATTTAGTGCTATAAATTTCCCTCTACACACTGCTTTGAATGTGTCCCAGAGATTCTGGTATGTTGTGTCTTTGTTCTCGTTAGTTTCAAAGAACATCTTTATTTCTGCCTTCATTTTGTTATGTACCCAGTAGTTATTCAGGAGCAGGTTGTTCAGTTTCCATGTAGTTGAGCGGTTTTGAGTGAGTTTGTTAGTCCTGAGTTCTAGTTTGATTGCACTGTGGTCTGAGAGACAGTTTGTTATAATTTCCGTTCTTTTACATTTGCTGAGGAGAGCTTTACTTCCAACTATGTGGTCAATTTTGGAATAGGTGTGGTGTGTGGTGTGGTGCTGAAAAAAATGTATATTCTGTTGATTTGGGGTGGAGAGTTCTGTAGATGTCTATTAGGTCCACTTGGTGCAGAGCTGAGTTCAATTCCTGGGTATCCTTGTTAACTTTCTGTCTCGTTGTCGGGTCTAATGTTGACAGTGGGGTGTTAAAGTCTCCCATTATTATTGTGTGGGAGTCTAAGTCTCTTTGTAGGTCACTAAGGACTTGCTTTATGAGTCTGGGTGCTCCTGTATCAGGTGCATATATATTTAGGATAGTTAGCTCTTCTTGTTGAATTGATCCCTTTACCATTATGTAATGGCCTTCTTTGTCTCTTTTGATCTTTGTTGGTTTAAAGTCTGTTTTATCAGAGACTAGGATTGCAACCCCTGCCTTTTTTTGTTTCCATTTGTTTGGTAGATCTTCCTCCATCCTTTTATTTTGAGCCTATATATTTCTCTGCACGTGAGATGGGTGTCCTGAATACAGCACACTGATGGGTCTTGACTCTTTATCCAATTTGCCAGTCTGTGTCTTTTAATTGGAGCATTTAGCCCATTTACATTTAAAGTTAACATTGTTATGTGTGAATTTGATCCTGTCGTTATGCTGTTAGCTGGTTATTTTGCTCATTAGTTGATGCAGTTTCTTCGTAGCCTCAATGGTCTTTACATTTTGGCATGATTTTGCAGTGGCTGGTACCGGTTGTTCCTTTCCATGTTTAATGCTTCCTTCAGGAGGTCTTTTAGGACAGGCCTGGTGGTGACAAAATCTCTCAGCATTTGCTTGTCTGTAAAGTATTTTATTTCTCCTTCACTTATGAAGATTAGTTTGGCTGGATATGAAATTGTGGGTTGAAAATTCTTTCCTTTAAGAATGTTGAATATTGGCCCCCAATGTCTTCTGGCTTGTAAAGTTTCTGCCAAGAGATCCCATGTTAGTCTGATGGGCTTCCCTTTGTGGGTAACCCGACCTTTCTCTCTGGCTGCCCTTAACATTTTTTCCTTCATTTCAACTTTGGTGAATCTGACAATTATGTTTCTTGGAGTTGCTCTTCTTGGGGAGTATCTTTGTGGCGTTCTCTGTATTTCCTGAATCTGAATGTTGGCCTGCCTTGCTAGATTGGGGAAGTTCTCCTGGATAATATCCTGCAGAGTGTTTTCCAACTTGGTTCCATTCTCCCCGTCACTTTCAGGTACACCAGTCAGACATAGATTTGGTCTTTTCACATAGTCCCATATTTCTTGGAGGCTTTGTTCATTTCTTTTTATTCCTTTTTCTGTAAACTTCCCTTCTCACTTCATTTCATTCATTTCATCTTCCATCACTGATACCCTTTCTTCCAGTTGATTGCATCGGCTCTTGAGGCTTCTGCATTCTTCACGTAGTTCTCGAGCCTTGGCTTTCAGCTCCATCAGCTCCTTTAAGGACTTCTCTGTATTGGTTATTCTAGTTATACATTCATCTAAATTTTTTTCAAAATTTTTAACTTCTTTGCCTTTGGTTTGAATTTCCTCCTGTCGTTCGGAGTAGTTTGATCATCTGAAGCCTTCTTCTCTCAACTCATCAAAGTCATACGCCGTCCAGCTTTGTTCCATTGCTGGTGAGGAACTGCATTCCTTTGGAGGAGGAGAGGCGCTCTGCTTTTTAGAGGTTCCAGTTTTTCTGCTCTGTTTTTTCCCCATCTTTGTGGTTTTATCTACTTTTGGTCTTTGATGATGGTGATGTACAGATGGGTTTTTGCTGTGGATATTTTTTCTCTTTGTTTTCCTTCTACCAGACAGGACCCTCAGCTGCAGGTCTGTTGGAGTTTGCTAGAGGTCCACACGAGACCCTGTTTGCCTGGGTATCAGCAGCGGTGGCTGCACAACAGCGGATTTTCGTGAACCGTGAATGCTGCTGTCTGATCGTTCCTCTGGAAGTTTTGTCTCAGAGGAGTACCCGGCCGTGTGAGGTGTCAGTCTGCCCCTACTGTGGGGTGCCTCCCAGTTAGGCTGCTCGGGGGTCAGGAGTCAGGGACCCACTTGAGGAGGCAGTCTGCCCGTTCTCAGATCTCCAGCTGCGTGCTGGGAGAACCACTGCTCTCTTCAAAGCTGTCAGACAGGGACGTTTAAGTCTGCAGAGGTTACTGCTGTCTTTTTGTTTGTCTGTGCACTGCCCCCAGCGGTGGAGCCTACAGAGGCAGGCACGCCTCCTTGAGCTGTGGTGGGCTCCACTCAGTTTGAGCTTCATGGCTGCTTTGTTTACTTAAGCAAGCCTGGGCAATGGTGGGCGCCCCTCCCCCAGCGTTGCTGCCGCCTTGCAGTTTGATCTCAGACTGCTGTGCTAGCAATCAGCGAGACTCCGTGGGCGTAGGACCCTCCGAGCCATGTGCGGGATGTAATCTCCTGGTGCGCCATTTTTTAAGCCCATTGGAAAAGAGCAGTATTAGGGTGGGAGTGACCCGATTTTCCAGGTGCCGTCTGTCACCCCTTTCTTTGACTAGGAAAGGGAACTCCTTGACCCCTTGCGCTTCCCAAGTGAGGCAATGCCTCGCCCTGCTTCGGCTCGTGCACAGTGCGCTGCGCCCACTGTCCTGCCCCCACTGTCTGGCACTCCCTAGTGGGATGACCTTGGTACCTCAGATGGAAATGCAGAAATCACCCGTCTTCTGCGTCGCTTACGCTGGGAGCTGTAGACCGGAGCTGTTCCTATTTGGCCATCTTGGCTGCCAGCCTCTGAAATACTGTTCTTATTTGGCTTCCAGGACTTTACATTCTTCTTATTTTTTCTCCTATGTCCCTAGTCACTTTTCAGTTTTACTTATTTGTTCTTCATATCCATTCAGACCTATTCTCTTTTTATCTACATTCATGCCCTTGGTGATCTATATTCTCAAGACCTCACAATAGTATTTTTTCTTCATCTGTTATAGGTAAATGCACAAACTGGCCCAGTTGGAAAGACTTGACCTAGGCAATAATGAATTCAGTGAGCTGGTAAGCCATCTCTATGCTACCATGCTCAAATTATGTCTTTCCTAGACTCTTTTCTTGATGTCTATGCTTGTTTATGCAACTGAATGATTAACATCTCTAGTTGACTCTAGAGTAGAAATTTCCAACTGAACACCTAAAACTGAACTTCCAGTCTACCCAAAACCCTGCTCCACTTGGTCTTCCTCATCAGTCACTTGCAACTCCATCCTTCTAGTTGTTCAGACCAAAACACACCTTTAGTCACAGTCAGCTCTCATTCCCCACAGCTGACTCATCAAGACATTTAGTTCTTATCTTAACTATATCCAGAACCCTACCACATCTCAGCACCTTTACCATTGCCTTATTATGGCCACCACTGTGGCCATAAATTTTTTATAATAAGAAAGAAGTAAAATAGATTCAGTCCAAGCCACCATCACCTCTTATTTGACTTATTACATTAGCCTTCTCTTTGATCTTCCTTCTTCTACTGTTGTCCCCCTCAGTCTGTTTATAAGCCTGCAATCACAGATATTCTTCTAAAACAAATCATTTCAGAAACATCTTTCATAAAAACCTTTCAGTGGCCCCCTATCCTACTCAGAATCAAAGCCAAAGTCTCTACATTGTGCTGTAAGATCGCATATTATGCAACTCCCCATTACATCATCTTTCTACTCCTCCCTCTCTCTCTCTTCTTTAGCCATACTGGTCTGCTAGGATGTCTTCAAGCAAGTAAAATGTCCCTGCTTTAGAATCTCCATATTAGCATGCTTTTTCATTTCCTTTCTGCCTTGGCTCCAATTTCGTATTCTCATTGAGGCCTTACCTGATCACCCTACTAAAAATTAAATCCTTATATGAATTCTCTCTATCTACCTCCTCTGCTTAACTTTTCTCTGTAGCACTTGTAACCTTTTAATATGTTATTTTATTTTATTTTATTATTTTGTTTACTCTGATTCTTCCCTGCTGAATGTAAAGTCCTTTGAGGTAGGAATTTTTATCTGTTTTGTTCTCTGCCATACCCCAGATCAGCACATAATACTCTCTCAATAATAGTTGCTGAGTGAAGAAAGAGTACATAATTTTTTTGCATTTCTGAGTATCTGATAGCATCCGGATTGCAGTAATATTTCATTTAAGGTTCATAAAAGCCCTATAAGGTAATTTCTACATCCATTTTAAATGTGATAAAACTAAAATTTCTAAGATTTCAATCAATGGTGTCTGAAGAATTCCTGTATAGGCAGGACTTAAGGACAGAATTCTGATTAGTGGAGAGATAAAAAAAAATCTTTCAGAAAAGCACTGTATTTTCTCATAGTGTATGTTTACTTGAGAGTGCTTTGAGAAATGCTGACTGCATATGGAGTGCACTTGGGTTCCCTGAACTTTTGACATCAACTCTTGCCCAAGGTTTGTGTATTAGTCTGTTTTCACACTGCTATAAAGAAGTGCTCCAGACTGGGTAATTTATATAGAAAAGAGGTTTAATTGACTCACAGTTCCACATGGCTGGGCAGGCTTCAGGAAACTTAAAATCATGGCCGAAGGGGAAGCAGGCACATCTTATATGGCAGCAGGCGAGAGAGAACATGTGAAGGAGGAACTGTCAAACACTTATAAAACCTTCAGATCTCATGAGAATTCTCACTTTCATGAGAACAGCATAGGAGAAACCACCCCCATGATCCAATCACCTCCCACCAGGTCCCTTCCTCAGTATACGATTATGGGGATTACAATTCAAGATGAGATTTGGGTCAGGACACAGACCAAAACTGTATCAGTGTGACAACTATTCATAGCTATAGCAGCTTTCAAGTCAATATGTTTGGGAGACAATGACTACAATTTGTCTGTAACAGAAGTTCATTTAAAGGAGTAGAAAATAATAAGACTGATGATGAAATGGTGCCATATTATGAGATTTTAGAATGGTTTGCTGAGAATTGGTTTCAGCCATTGATTCCCAATCCTGTGGTGACTCTTAAAAATATTGAAGTGGGGCCCCACCCTACACCTCCCACTGGTGTAGATATTTAATAAGCTTCTTGGATTTTTGTTAAGGAGCCAGCCTTGCATGCCAACCATATTGGCATTTGTGAACAGATGCTGTAGCTTTTCAGCTGGCAGTTTGCATAGATTTTGTGTATTTGAGATTTACTTGTTGCTGAAGAGTACCCCCAGTTTTGTGTACTACGCAATCAGGTAAATCTGACAGGAAGGTGGTTGGAATGTCTTTTAGAGCAATGTATCATGCACTACCTCACAATAGTATTTTTCTCCATCTGTTGTAGGTCAATGCACAAACTGGCCCAGTTGGAAAGACTTGACCTAGGCAATAATGAATTCGGTGAGCTGGTAAGCAAATGCATTTTCTAAACCTGATAAATACCCTTCAGGAGATTCTTTCTTTTGCTCTGTCTTTGTAAACCAAGGTATTAACTTGATTGCACGTTTGCATTTGCTAAATGTAAAAGTAAAAACCTGGAAGTTAATATTAGCTTTCACTTTTTGGAAAAAAAAATGGAATTGAGCCAGATACAAATTGATAGTTTTGAGGACCAACTATGTGACAGGTGCCATGCTTAGTATGTTACATATGTTATCTCTTTTAATCCTGATTGGACATGTTGCCATTTTAACCTAATGGAAATGAACTTAAAATGGTCACTGTCATACATAGCTATTAAGTGCCTGAACAGGGATTAAACCCAGACTTGATTAAATGCAAAGACCGTACCTTGAAAACCTGCTTTGGAGGCTTCTTGGTGCCATTGCATGAGAGAAGTAAGTCACCAATGGCATTCTGGTTCTTACTATATTGAAAGCGTCTTTCTAGTGAACCCATATTACTACTTCACTGCTGGCAAGACTGGCAGAATTCTGCCTTCTCCTTTTGAGCATCCATTTTGTTTAAAATTTGCCTGAAGACCAAAATCTCAGATGCAAATCAGAAAGCATATACTTCTTTACAAGACGGCTCAGCTTTCTCTATTCAGAAGTCTTCCACTTGAATATCTCAAATTTCAAAAAATTCAATTCATCTAAAGTGTATTTTAATTATTTTAAAATTAAAAGATTTAAGTAAGCAATCCATTCCCTGTCCCAGGTCTGTTACTAGCTATGTGACTTTGTGCAAGTTGCATAACCTCTTTTCGCCTTATTTTCCTCGTGTATAAAATAGGGATTATAATGTTCTCTCTTACACAGGGCTTGTGTGAGAATTAAATGAGATAATGTATGTACAGGACCTAGCAAAATTTATTCTAATAAATGCCAGTGTGCAAGGGTGAAAGGGTTTAACTCACACTGTATTTTGAATGCACAAAGAAAATTAATTTGTTTTACTTCAACCATAGCTAATCTGATCATTACCCCAGCCTCCATCAGTTGTTTATTAAGGATGAAAACTGAGTTTTATTCTTCTGTGATTAAGTTTAATATGATTTAAGAAGTTAGATAGTCCCTTTAGGTTGTTTTCATCTTTCTTGCATAAAAATTGCTAGTCTCTCATGTTCCTCTCTCCATCCCCTGCTTTCCTCCCTAAGATGGAATTTGGGTATGTGCAGAGGAGGCTAAATTTCTTTGTGACCTGGGCAATAAGGACTCTCTGGCCTCAAGCTAGTTTTCAGAAGTAGGTTGGCAGCATATGCTGGTCTCTGGGCTGCTGTCTGCAGCTGATGCTGCGTCCTGTTAAATCGTCAGTTCTGAATCCACAGTCAGGTCTGCGGGCTCAGATAAAACTCTCTAGGAGCATTGGCCATCTTCCTCTTTGGGCATTGCTATACTCAGCTCTCACTGGCTGTAAATGAATGAGACTGTGCCCTGTCCTCCCTCCAGCACAGGATGAGCAGTCCATCCCCAGTTTGTGTTGTGATGGGCCCTCACCAGCCATGACCTCAGTAGTGGCCCCATGGCCTGTCTGCTGGCTCTGAGAGTCCACATAACATACAAACTGAGAGACACCAAGTAAAGCTGAATTCCAGAGACTTCTTTGCCTGTCAGATTACACTGTCAAATTTACTCTGCTTTGGATATACCTAGTGTTGTTACAAAGCAGTTTGCAGGGTGGCCTCAACACAGATATTAAGGCAAGAGTACCTCATAAATACATAGCTTAATGCACCTCAGGAATTTTTAAAGGAGATATTTATTAACGTAGGTAGAGAGTTTAGTGGGGGTGGTAAATAACAGATAGTGGCAAAACTAGTAGTTTTATACTTATTGTTTTAAAAATAAGTTGTTAAAGACCTAAGATCTGCCCACACATTTATTAAGACATGTAGGTCAGCCTAATAATTGAAAAACATGGAGGGTACCTTTGGGTCTATAGCTCACTCTCTAACTTCAACTTCCTTATCAATACAGTAAGGGCATCAGTCTTCTCTATCTTATAGGCTTTTTGAGAGAATTTCATGCAAGATAATCTACAACAAATATTCAGTATGTTAAATGAATTTCAATTCTGTCAGGTATATTATTCTGCAAGTGCTTCATATGAATATGTGTGAATCGGTATTTTACTGTAAAGATTTGGGTCAACAATGATGAAAAGGGTGGGTTTATTTTTCAAAACTAGTTGTACTAAAAGTAAATTTTAAATTATTTTAATAATGTATGATTTATGGTATCTAAGAAATCCTACGAGCAGAAATAACTTTTATTTTGTGTTATGCCAGTATTTCATGCCAGGCACAAAATAAGTCTCTTTTTCTATTTTCTTACTTTTGCATTTGTTCTAAGAGGTTTTATTTGGTAGTGCTTAAGTATTTGAAGAGTATAACTGTGGAACTTTACATTTCTGATGTTACTCACTTTTAATCATAGTTTGACTATTACTAGTCATATGCATGGAACTGGCTGTTGTTGTAACAGTAACAACTTTGAATGAGAAAATAAGAGATTTTGCTCTGATAAGAGACCTCTAGAAACAATGTCATGTGGAGGAGAGGAGATCAAATTCTATTCTGTAGCTAGATATTGACACCGTAGGAGATTATCATTAGATGATTTATTTTTGCATGACATGGTAAAGAGACAATGTGGAGAGTAGATGACTATAATTTTAAAAATAAAATGTGAAGGCCTAATGAGAACAGAAGTTGGCTTGCTTGAGAAGCAATGTAAATGTCCCAAATAAGATTCAGAGTAGAAATATCTACTTATAGAAGCATTTGTAATAATGAAAAATTCTAAACAAAGGGAATTATTTTATATTTTTAATAGCAATTATCCCCAGAATATATTGAACAAAGTTCTGAGAACATAATAGATATTTTGGCGGGGGGGGGGCGGGGGGTGGGGGGTTTTGTTGTTTCTTTCATGAATTGTTTTGCTCAACATAAGATGAATAAATGTTCATTTTTAAAAAAATAGAAAGTTAAAAAGTGAAAAAATGAGAGTAAGGATCATTCATGATCTCATCCTATATATAACCATTATTAATATTTTTTGGTATATTCTTCCCTTTACTCTCATTTTCTTTAATGAAGTCAAACAAGTATTATTTGGGGCCAGGTCAGAGATGGAACACTATTAGGCTGATGTATGGAACCAGATAACATTAACCCTTAGGATCATCCTCTTTGCTGACCATGGCCAACCCTCCCCCTAGTCTAGACCCAGCTTCCAGCTGCAAGCCTCCTTCACTGCCTCTCTCCTCCCCTCCCTGTGCTGGAAAAAAGAGGGCTGTTCTATAAAGGAGAGTGTCACTTAAGGCCCCAACAACTCTACCATGGGAGCCTTCATCAGAAGAGTCAGTTATAAGAAGCAAAACGTGCTTTTTTGTAAGCCAGAAAGAAAGAAGAGCCCAGCCCAGAGGAGACTAACAAACTGAGTGAGAAGTAGTCTATATGTGGTTTAGAGTTCGGGAATTCAAAGAAAGCAGCATGGGTAGGGACCCACTGACCCACAGTGGCAATGGGTAGCAGGGAAGGAAGGCAGGGAGTACAATGGTTATTGGAGCAGCATCTCCCCTTATGTGAAATTCCCTTGTCTTTGCCCCCACCAAACCCCTACAAAGGACTCCTAAAAAGAATAACTGGGGAGGACTATTTCAAGAAGGACCTAATTTCCTTATCCTGTGCTATTCAAGCAGGTAGTGCTTGAATAGATTTAAAATTTTGCTATAAGTATGGCATAATACATACTGGTTATATGTGTCTGCACAGATATTTCTACCTACCAAATTGGAATTATAATGTGCATTCTATTTTATTTTAAAGCATGGTTATCAAATTCGAAATCTAGATTCCTTATAGGCATTGTAATATATAACCTTTCTTTGTAGCTAAACTAGAAAGACTGCCAAATAATGGATACAAAATAAACACTAAATTAAGTTGTCTATCCCTGATTTCTAATGAGATTGATGATTTTTTCATATGTTTGTGGCAATTTGTGTTTCCTGTTTTGTGAAATGCCGGTTTATGTATTTTTGCTCATTTTTCTATTGGTAGTCATTTTCTTGTTGATTTATGGAGATCTTTGATATATTTCACATACTAATCCTTTGTTGTCTGTAGGTACTACAATTATTTCTTTTCAGTCTCTGGAGAGTCTTTTTATTTTCTACCTGGTATATTTTGATGGATAGAAGGTCTTAATTATAAAATAAGAAAATGTATAGTTTTTTGTGGGTAGCACATTTTCTGTTTTGCTTAAGAAGTCCTTCCCTCCTCAAAGCCAAAACGTGTTTTTCATATGTTTTCTTCTAAACGTTTGAAGGTTTAATTTTTTCATAATCAAATTCATTTCTGTGGGGGGCTTAATTATTTATACTGTGTACTGTGTATTTTTTTTCCAGAGACTCAGCTTTCCAAGCACCATTTATTAAGTAGCATTTCCTTTCCACATGGATATGAGTATCACCTCTTAACAAAATATGATTTCTGTACATTCATGAGTTACTTTCCTTATTTTCTAGGTACAAAAACTACATGATTGTAATTAGCACAAACAATAAATTTTGACAGTGGATAGGGCAAGTGTCTCAAACTTAGGCATCTGGACATTTACTTTTTGTATGCATTTAGAATTAGTTGATCAAGTTTCTCAAAAAGAAAAAATGTTAGGACTTGATTACAACGGCATTGACCCTATAACTCAATTTTTTATTGGAACGATAATAAAGAGTTGACATTTCTATCATATCAAACCTTTTTAGGCATCAACATGACATACATCTTCATTTATTTTCTATTTTAATATCTGAGTTTTATAATTTTCTTCAGAAAAAGATTTCACACATTTTTAATTAATTTGTTCCTAAGTACATTATTTTTAAATTGTAGTTATAAATGTACTTCTTCAAAAATTATAGTTTCCAGTTGCTTGTTGCAGGTTTTTATTTTTTCTTCCAAATTTATTTAAGGTTCAGGTGGTGCATGTGCAGGTTTGTTACATGGATAAATTGCATGTCACTGGGGTTTGGTGTACAAATGATTTCATCACCCAGGTAGTGAGCGTAGTACCTGACAGGTAGTTTTTCAATCTTCACCCTCCTCCTACCCTCCACCTTCAGGTAGGACCCCAGTATCTATTATTTCACTCTTTGTGTCCCTGTGTGCTCAATGTTTAGCTCCCACTTATAAGTGAGAGCATGTGGTATTTGGTTTTCTGTTCCTGCATTAATTTGCTTGAGTTAATGGCCTCCAGCTGCATCCATGTTGTTGCAAAGGAGATGATTTAGTTCTTTTTTAACACTGCGTAGTATACCATGGTGAATATGTACCATGTTTTCTTTATCCAGTCCACCATTGATAGGCATCTAGATTGATGCTATGTCCTGGCTATCATGAAAAGTTATTGCAGGTTTTTTTTACTTATATCTAGCTATCTGCTAAACCCTCTTAATAAAATGAATAATTTGTTTATAAATTATTTAGGGATTTCTATGTAACTAATCAAATAGCCTGTGAATAATCACAGTTTGTTTTCTTGCACCTCAATTTTTAAACACTATTTCTTTCTCTTGCTTTATGTGTGACTAGTACTATGTTGAAGTGAAGCAACTATCATTGTCTGATTCCTGATTTTAATGGGAACACCTATAATGTTTTGTCATTAATAATTGCTTTACCATTAGCTTTGTATAGATATTCTTTATCAGGTTCATAACATCCCTTCCTGCTTCTAGATTACTAAGAAAATTTAGCATGAACAAGTACTAAATTCTATGGGCTGTTTTGTCTGCATTTATTGATATTCCATTTTTTCTCTTTTATTCTGTTAATACAAAATTTCTAATGTAAAACCACTTTTGCATTTCTGAAATACATACATGGTTCATGATCTAATCATGATCATGATCTTCTATATAAACTATTTGGTTCATTCCTGCTTGGAATTTGTAAAAATCTGTACTCATTAGTGAGATTTGTATACATTATTCTTGCATACTTTATCTGTAGGTTCATATTACTCATCAATTTTGGAAAATTATCAGCCCTGTCTCTTTAAATGTTTCCTTTTACCTATTTGCTCTGTCTCTTCTGCTGGAATTTGGATTAAATAGAAATATGAATATAAAATCATAAGTGCTTAGGAATCACTAGCTAATTTTATTAATTATTTTATATTTTCTTCTTGAAAAAGCAGTCAATCAGAGAAGAAGAATTTTAAAATATTTCTTTCATATCCTTAAAGAGAGGCTTTCTTACCTTTTTACATAAAATTATACGGTATTAATTTCCTCAGAACTTGGAGACTTGATGATGAGGTCATTTTGAGAGTGTTTTCACCTTTTTTTTAACTACTTAATGTACTCATTACTCACCAAGATATTTCTAAATTATAGGCTACTCAATTTCTGGATTAAAGAACAAAATATGATTTTAAAAACAAAACATTGAAATGATAGCAGCAAAAATATTTAAAGAGCAAGAAAAGTTATTCTATGTGAAAAAGAAAACAATATTTAATTTTTTAAACACAGTGTAAAGTTGGATTGAATTTAAAAGTTCAAAAATTCAGCAGGAAATAAGTAGTGTCATTTTAACTAACATTTGAAACAGTAAATCAAGCAGTCGTTATAAAAACATTTCATAAATTCAGCCATCCACAAACTATATTAGAAGACTTGTATTCTATAAAACTGCTTTATAGAAAAGCTTTAAAAAAATTCTGCACTCTACAAATCACCATTTTAAATGCTTAGTAAGGCTACAGATTATAATAAGGGAGAATTGTTAATCTCAATATTCAAATGGAATTTGTTTCTGTTGGCTTTACTCACTTTATTTCATAGAGTCAAACAAAAATTTCAAAGAAATGAATTAAAGAAAAATTCCTAGAATAGAGATATTCTGAGCGATACAGTTGACAAGAAATAGATGCTTTGGGCTAAATAAATGATATGAATGTGTTTTCATAGAAATTTGAGACAGTCGAGTACTTATGCTAATGTTTTCATTATAACTAAAATTGACTAGAATTAAATTAAACTCATTTTACTAAAAGCATGGCAGCCAATAGTCTCACCTCCCTAGTTCACCAAAGGTGTGCTCATTTTTAATTACCTAAAATGCATGTATACCTGAGGCAAGCACTATATTTACATAGCCAGTAATTTCCTTATAAGCAATTACAGCATAGGTTTGCCACACCTACTAATCAAATTGTATAATTTATTCTTCAAGTTGTACACACTTTTTAAAAAGAGCAAAATAATGAAGTACAATTTGTCATCACATAACTGGCCACCCAATTTTAAGGAAAATACTTGAAACATGCTAATTTACTCCTTCATTTTTCTGCATTTGTAAAGCCACTAAGGCTGTAGATTATATATATATATATATATCTATATATATATATATCTATATATATCTATATCTATCTCACAGACATTGCCAGAAGTTATTAATACATCAAAAGAAACTTGAAAAATGAAACTTATTTTTGAAGTTATTGGGAGTATGTCAATTTCTGTATCAATGAGAGTCCAGTCAGCAGGTGAAAACTATACTGATTATTTAACAAAGAAAGTTTAATAGAAAGATGGTTTATCGTGTATGAGAGAACTGAAGGAGCAAAGGGGGGACACTGAAAAAGGAAGTTTGAAAAGGTGAAATTGGGTCTTCGACTTCTAAGGAGGGGCCCCCACAGGCTAGTGCTGGTGTCTCTGACATGAAGAGGCTGATTCTAGTTATGTGGAAAAACTACACACTGGAAACACTTGCTGTTACTGAATTCTAGTGTCACCACAGTGAAGTATTGCTGAGGAAGTGCAAAGAGAAGCCAAACGTAAATAAAAAGAGCAAGTCCCTCTTCCTCCTCCAGCCCCTCCCCAGGACACTCAATTGTTAGAGCCTAACATGGAGCCACTTGTCAAAATGGCAGTGTGGCTAACCCCAGAATTACAAAGTAGAAATTAGAAGAGTTAGCTCACAGCTGAAAAGCTACTGTTTAATAACCAGCAAGTCGGTACTGTGTCCTGAAAACAATGGACAAGAGAAGTGTTGATTTTTGTGACTCCATTTTGACGTCATTTTCTCCAGAAAGTTTTCCTTGCACCTAGCAGAGTACCCAGCTCCCAACTGGTACTTGACGTTTGTAGAACAAATCATTTGATTTTAAAAGCAAACAGATCGATCAATTCTCATCATCAGAATCATGCCTATATAAATACAAATTTTTAACTCTAAACAATAGTAGAGGTAGAGAAAATACTTTAATTTGTCTGAAAAGCAATCATTCCATAGTTAGCTGTCTTTTGAAGCATCAATCCCAATTTACTTTGAGACATACTTCCAAATGAGTTTCTTGATGAAACTTTAAAGTACAAAATTTGAGATTGTGACCAATAAATACATACGCACAGGCAAATATGCATATGTACATAAATAAATAAATCTGCAGTCCCACTAACTCTGAAGTTTGAAAGGAATTCTTGAAGAATCATTCAATTAAAATGAACTTTCTGGCTGAAACTAATTACAGAGATACTTCTTTCAGAGGAGGATCAAATTGGGGTCTCCACTTTTATCAATGCAACATCTCTTGACCTATGGCTTTAATAAGCAGACTCCACTGTCATACATTGAAGTAAAGGAACTCCTTTTCTTGCTCTTGAATTTTCCCTTTGCTAGCAGTAAAATAAATCATCTTTGCTTCTGTTTTCCAAGGAAGCAGCTTTTCCCTCGTTGCCGTTTCTCATTAACAAAATATCATGACTGGGCACTATGAATGAAATTAATTAGCTCGGTTTGCGTTTCCATAAATGGATTTTTCTGAGAACGGCATGTATCTCCATGCAGTCAAATACCCTGGTGATTCTGTCAACGGTTTCTACCAGAGAAATTGAAGGGGGAATAATGTGTAAATTAATTAAAAGCTCCCTGATGGAACCAGAGTAAAGCATATTAAATAGGAGTTCAAATGTGTAATCAAGACTTTACAAAGAATCTCCCCCTGCAAAAATAAAAAAAATCAGACTTTACAAGGAAAATAAAAGTATTCTGCAAGCAAGGAGTAAACCCTATATATGATACCTATTCACAGCTCGAAAACATACTTGAGTTATGAATAGGAGTTGTAAATCACCCCAAAAAAACAAGAAAAATTATATTTAAAGTAATTCAAACTAAAATCTTCATTTATATGCTGAAATGGAAATATCTGGATGTATTGCCTAAAATCGAATTAATAGAAAACAAATGTTATTTGATTTCAGGTTTCACAACAAACCAAAACTAAAAGTAAAAACACTGAGGAGAAATATAAAGAAAGGAAAAGATGATATGGGGTGGGGAGATGTCATTGGTTAGTCTGGCTGGGTAAGCTTCAGTCTCAGAAGGTAGCATTTTAGTAAAAACTGAAAGGAGGTCAGGGAGTGAGCCATGCAAATATCTGGCTGGAAGATTGTTCTATGCAGCGGGAACAGCAAGTACCAACACCTGATATGAGACCAAGCCTGACCTGTGGACAGCAAGAAGCCCAGAAGGACGCAGTAGACCAAATGAGAAAAGTATTGGGAGATAAGTTAATTTGTGGAGTGGGAGAGAACCCTGTAAGACATTTTAAGGATTTAGGATTTTATTCTGAGTAAAATGGGAAGCTCTTTGGAAGGGTTTGAGCAAGTAGAACCTCGATCTAACTCACATCAAATTATGTTACTTTATATTACATTAGGTCATATTAATTAATTACATTATCAAGACCACTTTACTATGTTGAGAATAGACGGGTCAGGCAGTGTCAAGGTAGAGTCAGGGAAAACAGTTAGAAAGTTATTGCAGTAATCTAGGCAGGAAATATTAGCATGCTGGATTAGGGTAGTAGCAATGGAGGTGGTAAGAAACCAATTTCTGGGTAAATCTTTAAACTATAGCTAGAAGAAGATATGGTAGGATCTGAATTTTGTAAATTGAGGACACCTATCAAAAACTAATACAAAATTAGAAATACATAATTAGATACAAAAAAGAATGTTATTCAGAATAAAAAAAAGAAACTACAAATTTTAAATTACAAATAAAAATCATAAAATATAATTTTGAAAGCTGACAAAATGCCACAAACATCATAAAATCGTGGAAAATAACATAATAGCACACATCTATAATGCTTCCTTCCCCCTTACATTTTGGTTTCATGCTCTTTGACAGCCTTTCCATGTGACAAACATCGTGTAGTATTTTCTTTGGAGATTATAGAAAAACAATCCAGTCTTTCCTCTAACATGATTTTTAATATTGATAGTTTGGAAATGCTTACAATTTTCATTGATATGCCTTGCAGAATTTTAGGACTGTTGTCAAATTTGGGAAAACATTTGCCTCCATACATTCTAAACCTTCTTTTTCCTCCACCACCTACGTACTTATAGTGCCAGGAACCAAAGAACAGGTTTATGTCTCAATACATGCTCTGGCCCTGCACCTTCATGTCCTGATGGTCAGGTGAGTGGGCACAGTGGGCAGTAGGAGGATTTCCAGAAGCCATTTCTAAATAAAATGGCTAGCTAGCACAAGTTAAGTACACACAGAAATTATTGCAAATCATATAAACACATTCCACAAAACCCGTATGAAGGGTATCCCCATACAACTTCCTTTAAGCAAGCTCTGCAAAATGCCTGGGTCCATTCAATCACCATAGGACGTGATAGAAATTGCAACAGAGGGGAAGCAAAATAGAAATTCTAGTTAAAATATCTTACTTTTATCCAGAATTCCAGGCCTACATATATACCTGTGTTACTTTTCTATTTCTGAATGGTAACAAATTACCACAAATTCAGTGAATAAAGGCAATACAAAATTATTATCTTACAGTTCTGGGAGGTCAGAAGTCCTAAAATCCAGGTCTCATCAGGGCTGCACTCCTTCTAAAGGCACTAGAGGAGAATCCATTTCTTCTCTTTTCCCAGCTTCTAGAGGCCACTTGCATTCCTTACGTGGCCCCTTCCTCACATCGCCTTGATCTCTGCCTCTCTCATCACATTTTCTCTACCATCTCTGACCCCCTTGCCTCTCTCTTATAATGACATTTGTAATTACACTGGGCCCCCTCAGATAATCCAGGATAATCTCTCCATCTCAAGATCCCTAAATTAATCACATCTGTAATTTCTTTTACTATGTAAGGTAACATATTTATAGGTTCTTGGAATTAGGATGTGAACATCTTTGGGGTGTCATTATTCAGTCTACTACAAGTTTGTGCAGCCCTTGGCCTATGAGCCACCATGTAGCCCAGGACGGCTTTGAATGCAGACCAACACAAATTTGTAAACTATCTTAAAGCATTATGAGTTTTTTTGCGATTTTTTTTAGCTTATCAGCTATCATTAGTGTTAGTATATTTTTATATGTGGCCCAAGACAATTGTTTTTCTTCCAATGTGGCCCAGGGAAGCCAGAAGATTGGACAGCCCTAGTCTACTACAATACCCAAGAAAATTGAAAATGCTATGTTCACACAAAACTCATACATGAATATGCAAACCAACATTATTGATAATAGGCAAGAAGTGGAAACAATAGAAATGTCCATCACCTGTTGAATGGATGTGCATGATGTGGTATATCCATACAATGGAATAGTATTCAGCAACGAAAAAAAATGATTAAAGGTCCGATATGTGCTACAACGTGGTTAAACCTTGAAAACATTATGCCAACTAAAAGAAGCCAGAAACAAAAGGCCATGTGTTATATGATTTTACTTATATGAAATGTCTAAAATAGACAAATCCACAATGACAAACAGTAGATTGGTGCTTTCCAGGGTCCAGAGGGAGAGGAGAATGGGTATGGGTTTTTTGAGAAATGATGAAAATATACTGGAATTAGATAGTGGTGATGGTTGACAATTCTGTGAATATACTAAAAACCACTTAATTTTATACTCTAAAAGGGTGAATTTTATGACATATGAGTTATATTTCAATGTTTTAAATCTTATAAAATAAAACAATCTTACTTTTGCAAATATTCCAAAAACATATGGCCCAAGTGAACACTTTTCCAGGCTGCCTCCCAGGATCTAGAAAGGAATTCATGCAAATAGGGCTTTAAAGCTTAAGCTTCATTAACTTCAAGGTAAACCTGCCTCTAGGTAGAAGCAACAGGATTTGTTGACAGATCAGATATCAGGAATAAGAGGGAGAGTAGTTAAGTGTAACTTCAAGATTTGAGACCTAAGCAACTTAAAAAATGAAATTTCTAGTTCCAAATAGGAAACAATAAAAAATGAAAGTTTTTTTTTTCAGTTCTTATTTTTTATCATGGTAAACACACACACACACACACACACACACACACACACACACAACATGAGATTTACCCTCTTCTCAAATTTTTCAATAGCCATTTCATTATTGTGAACTACTAAGCACAATGTTGTGCAGCAGATCTCTAGAACTTTTCTATCTTCCATAACTGAAAACTTTTGCCCATTGAACTGCAACTCCCCATTTTCCTCTCCCCAGCCCCTGGAACCACCATTCTGCTTTCTGCTTCTATGGGTTTGACTTTTTCAGATATGTCGTTTCAGCAGAATCATGCAGTATTTACCTTTCTGTGACTGGCTTATTTCACTTACCAAAATATCTCCAAGGTTCATCCATGTTTCTACATGATAGGAATTTCTTCTTTCTTGAGGCCAAATCATATTTCATTACATATATATGCTACTCATCAGTTGATCCACTCATTCATCAATGGACATGTAAGACATTTATTTATTCATCCATCAGTGGACATTTGGGTCACTTATACATCCCAGCTATCGTTAATAATGCTGCAGTGAATACATAAGGACAAATTTTTTGAAGTCCCTATTTCAGTTCTTTTGGATAAGTATCCAAAAGCATGATTGCTGGATCATATAGTAGTTTTATTTTTAATTTTTTGAAGAAACTTCATATTGTTTTCCATAATGACAGCACCATTTTACGTTCCCACCAACAGTACATAAGAGTTCCAATTTCCCCCACATCCTTGCCAACACTTATTATTTTGGTTTTTTTTTCTTGATAATGTTCGTTATAACAACTGTGAGGTGATTTCTCATTGTGGTTTTGATTTGCATTTTCCTGATTATTACTGATGTTGAGCATTTTTTCTTATACCTGTGGGTTATTTGTATGTCTTTTTTTAAGAAATGACTCTTAAGGTTCCTTTCTGTTTTTTAACCAGGTTGTTTTACTATTATTGAGTCTTTTTAATTCCTCATATATTTTAGATATTGATCCCTTATCAGATATGTAGTTTGCAAATACTTTCTCCCATTCCATATGTTGTCTCTTCACTCTGTTGATTGTTTCCTTTGACTTGCAGAAGATTTAGTTTGCTGTAATCCCACTTGTCTATTTTTACTTCTTTTGTCTCTGCTTTTGGGTTATATCCAAAGAGTCTTTGCCAAGAACAACGCCAAGAAACTTTTTTCTGTATTTTCTTCTAGAAGTTTTACAGTTTCGGGACGTACATTACTTAAGTCTTCAACCCATTTTGAGTTGATTTTTGCATATGGGGTGGAATAATGGTCCAATTTCATACTTCAGCATATCCAACTTTCCCAAAAGTATTTATCAGAGACTATCCTTTCCCCATTGTGGTGCTGTTGACACCTTTATTGAAGATCAGTTCATTAGTATAAATGTGGTTTTATTTCTGGGCTCTCTGTTTTATTTCATTGGTCTATGTGTCTGTTCTCTGTGCCTGTACCATGCTGTTTCAATTACCATAACTTTTTAGTAGATTTTGAGATCAGATAGTATGATGCCTCTAGCTTTGTTCTTTTTGCTCAAGATTGCTTTGTCTATTTGTGAACTTTTGTGATTTCATGCTTGTTTTAGAATCATTTTTTATAATTCTGTGGAAAATGTTAGAATTTGTATGGGGATTGCATTAAATATGTAGATCACTTTGGGTAGTATGGGCATTATACCAATATTAATTCTTCCCATCCATGAATATAGGATATCTTTCCACTTATTTCTATCTTCTTCAATTTATTTCATCAACATTTTATAGTTTTCAGTGTACACATCTTTCACCTCTTTGGTTAAATTTATCCCTAAGTATTTTTTATGCTATGATAAATGGGATTTTCCTGATTTATTTTTGGACAGCTCATTTTTCTGTATAAAAACTCTATTAATTTTATGTTGATTTTGTATCCCACAACTTTACTGAATTTGTTTATTAGTTCTAATTTTAGTGGAACCTTTGGGGCTTTCCATATACAAGAGCATGTCATCTGTAAGCAGAGACATTTTACATCTCTTTTCTATTTGCATGCCTATTTCTTTTTCTTGCCTAATTTCTATGGCTAGGATTTCCGGTACTCTGTTGAACAAAACTGGTAACAGTGTGCATTCTTGTCTTGTTCCTGATGTTAGAAGAAAAGGTTATAGTTTTTCAGTGTCGAGCATGATGTTAGCTGTGGGCTTGTCGTGCATGACCTTTAGCATGTTGGGGTACATTTTTTCTATACTTAATTTGTTAAGAGTTTTTATCATGAAAAGGTGTTGAATTTTGTCAAATACTTTTTCTGCATCTAATAAGATGATCAGATTATTTTTATCCTTCATTCTGTTAATGTGGTGCATTTCAAATATTGATTTGCACATGTTGAACCATCCCTTTATTCCAGAGATAAATCCCACTTACAAATGTTCTGTGTGCACTTGAGAAAAATGTTTATTAAGCTGTCGTTGGGTGGAATATTCTGTACATGTCTGTTAAGTCCATTGGTATACAGGGTTTATCAAGTCCTGTTTTTTGGGTATTTTTTTTATTGATCTGGAATGTTCTAGCCATTGTTGAAAGTAGAATATTGAAGTCCCTTACTCATATTGTGTTGCTTTCTATTTCCTCCATCAATTCTGTCAACATTTGCATCATATATTTAGATATTCTGATATCGGGTTTGCATATATTTATAGTTGTTATAGCTTCTTGGTGAATGAACCCCTTTATCATTATATAATGTTCTTTATTTATTTTGACAGTTTTTAAAGTCTAATTTGTCCGATATAAATATTACCAGTCTTGATGTCTTCTCATTACCATTTGCATGGAATATCTTTTTTCATCCATTCACTTTCATCCTATGTATGCCTTTAAAGTGAGTAGGCCAGGCGCAGTGGCTCATGCCTGTAATCTCAGCACTTTGGGAGGCTGAGATGGGTGGATCACCTGAGGTTGGGAGTTCAAGACCAGCCTGGCCAACATGGTGAAACCCCATTTCTACTAAAACTACAAAACTTAGCCACTCGTGGTGGTGCACACCTGTAATCCCAGCTAATCTGGAGGCTGAGGCATGAGAATCACTTGAACCAGGGAAGCAGAGGTTGCAGTGAGCTGAGATCGCACCACTGCACTCCAGCTGAGGCAAGATCATGCCACTGCACTTCACCCTGAGCAACAGAGTGAGACTGTGTCTCAAAATAAATAAATAAATAAATAAATAAATAAATAAATAAATAAATCTAAAGTGAATCTCTTGTAGACAGCTTATAGTTGGGTCTTGTTATATATCTATTCAGTAACACTGTGTTGTCTCATTGGAGAGTTCAGTTCATTTACATTTAGAGTAATTACTGATGGAGAAGGACTTAGTATTGCCATTTTGTTAAGTATTTTATCCCTGTCTTATAACTTTTTTGTGTTATTTTTCTTCTCTTTCTGTTTTCCTTTGTGTTTCATTCATTCTTTATAGTTATTTGTTTTGACTCCTATTTCATTTTCTTTTGTGTATCATCAATAGGTATATTTTGGGCTTACCATAAGGTGCTTATAAAATATATTATAGTTATAACAATTTATTTTAAGCTGATAACAACTTAACTTCAATCATATACAAAAACTCTACACTTTTACATTTCCCCAAGTCCACTTCATGCTTTTGATGTCACAGCTCATATATTTTTATATTATATATCTATCAACTTATTTTTATAGTTATATTTATATACTGTTGCCTTTTCATTTCTGTACCAGGCTTAACAATGGTTTATGCACTACTACAATATTCCCCCTTTATCTGCAGAGGATATGCTTCAAAACCCACAACAGATGCCTGAAACTGTGGATAGTACCAAACCTATATATACTATTTTTTTTACATATACATACCTATGATAAAGTTTAATTTATAAATTAGGCACAATAAAAGACTAACAGCAATAACTAATAATAAAATAGAACAATTATAACAATATACTGTAAAAAAAAGTTATGCAAATGTGATCTCTCTCTCTCTCCCCCTCTTTCTCTCTCTCAAAATATCTTATTGTGGTATACTAACTCTTCTTGTGATCTGTCAACCTGATAACTGAGAAGGTTACTAGGTGACTAATCAGGTGGGTAGTGGGTACAGCATGAATACGTTGGACGAAGGGGTGACTCACATCCCAGGAGAGACAGAGCAGGACAGTGCGAGATTTCATCCTGCTACTCAGAACAGTGCACAATTTAAAACTTATAAATAGTTTGTTTCTGGAATTTTCCATTTAATATTTTCAGATTATGGTTGAACACTGGTAACTAAAACTATGGAAAATGAAACTGTGGATAAGCAGGAGATTATTACAGAATGACATACTATGTATTTGTTGATATGTTTACCTTTAACAGTAAGCTTTATACTTTCATATGCTTTTGTGTCACTGTTTACTGTCCTTTTGTTTCAACTTGAAGGACTCTCTATAGCATTTCTTGTAAGGCAAGTCTAGTGGTAAACTCCCTCAGCTGAACCACTCCAACTGTAAAGTAATTATATTTTACACAATTCTATTTCCTCCAGTGGATTTTCCCCTACCCCAGTCTTCCTAGGCACTCAAGCAGAGTGCTACATATTGTCTATGGTGAGTGAGCAAGCAGATTTACAAACAAGCACATATCATTTGGGTCCTTCAAGAAATGTGGGTGGCAGTAGGGGGCCCTTCTTTATATGACCAATTCCCAATTTATAGCTTCCTCTGCACGACTGAATAATCAATGTTGTGATTGATGTGCCAGCTACTTTTACGAGGCACTCTAGCTGAGTTCCAAATGAAGAGAGCTCCCCAACCCACCATCTCCTCCAGCCATTGATATAGGATTCTTAAGGCCTAAAGCTTTACTTGACAGCAAGACGTGGATGAAGAATTACTGATGAGGACAAGCACATTACAGACTTTCAGTGCTGTTTCGATTGTGCCAACCTGAAGTTAGGTAGAACACTGCCTCCTTCTATATCTGACTCTATTACTCATATTAGAAGTCAGTGGGAGCAGACATTTAATGAGAATTTTCAGCTAGTGAGATAACTCTAAGTACTAAGCCGTAACTGTCTAGAAATCTTTCAGTCTCTCCTTATGGACTAACTATGGCCTGTTTTGCTCTCAGCCCCTGCTGTTTCAAGTCTGGAGATTTTGTTTAAATTGTTAAGCTGATTATATTGCTCTTTAGTTACAAAAGTAGTTGTAATAAAGAAAAAAAAAAAAGGAAAAAGAATGTTCCCCTCACCAATCTCCCAGTCCCACCCCCCAGAGGTAGGCACAGTTTAATGTCTACCATGCCACTTCTTTCTCTATGCATTTACATTTACATGTATGTGCATCTTTTTCACTTAAAGATATATTAGGCTGGGCACAGTGGCTCACACGGGTAATCCCAACACTTTAGGAGGCCTAGGCAGGCAGATCACCTGAGCCCAGGAGTTTGTGACCAGTCTGACCAACATGGCGAAATCCTGTCTCGACTAAAAATACAAAAAATTAGCTGGCTGTGGTCCCAGCTACTCCAGGGACTGAGGTGGGAGGATCACTTGGCCCTGGGAGGCAGAGGTTGCAGTAAGTGGAGATTGCGTGGCTCCACTGCAGTCTGGGTGATAGAGCAAGACCCAGTCCCAAAGAAAAATAGAGAGAGAGAGAGAATATAAATATTGTACATCTTTTATTAGTTTTATTCTTTTATTTAATCTATAACCTATTGATGGGCATCTTTGTTGTTTCCAATATTTTGGTATTTTAACAATGCCATAAACAACTTTTTATATATACATGCATATACTTGCAAAGAATGGATTCTTACAGGTAGAACTACTGGATCATTGGATGTGCATATTTTACTTTAATAGATAGTAAATTTTTCCTTCCAAAAGCATTACTAATTTATATAAACTTTTGGTACTCATTAAAAAAGCCAAGCAATTCTGACATCCCAGAGGGACTCGTTTTGGTTTGTGTTATCACAGGCGATTGACACTGATTTTTTTAATCGAATTGAATCTACTTCGTGTCTTCTACAAAATTCTATGCATTTATGGCCTCTTTATTTTTTTTCCTTTTCTGTCCACTAGCAGCAGCATTTTTTTTCTTTCACTTGTTTTCAGTGAAAGAAAATCTGAATCAGCTTACTCTTTTTCCATTCACCACATGTTTACTCTATGTTTATGTAGCTATTCTCAACAATTGAGAATACAAAACTTAATGAAACACAAATTTTGCCATTCAGAAATCCAAGCCTAATAATAGTAATGAAAATGAAAGTACCACAGTTAATAGACAGATAGACATATGGATGGATGGATGGATGGATAGATGATAATATAGGAAAACTGAAGAGTGACTTTTGGAGGGAAAGGCAGAGAGGTCCAGGGTAAAGAAATAATTGAAAGGTAAATACGGAAGAGATAACAACTCATAGACATGAGGAGTGATGACAGAAGACAAGGCTTGGAAAGCTTGAAGAAATTATATAGGCTGGAGTTACAGATCATTTTGTAGAATAAAGGGAGGCAAGAGTAGAAAATTAAACTGAAATAAGACTACCAGAGTCTTTGAATGCCATGCTAATAATTTAGTATTTATCCTATGAATGACAAATAGTCTCAAAAATTATAAGCAGGTAAATAATATATTAGGGCCTACATTTTAAAATTTGCTCTGACATGAAAGATGAGTTAATCAACATTTTTATTGTAAACTAAGTGTTAGAAGTTGTGGTAAGTGCTAAAATTTTAATAGAAACAGACGGAAACCAATGATAATTGAAAATTATTATAATAGTTTCAGAAATATGATACAGCCAGAACTAAGGTGGAAACAGAGGAGGAAAAGAATAGAATGAAAAAATAAAGAACTGAAAGAACACAAGGGAGATGGATAAAAGAGAGAAATAATCTGCTATGTTGCTTTTAGTTGTAATCTGGATGCTTTGGGCATAATGTTAGAATTGAAATAAGAATATAGGAGGAGAAGGAAATTGAGTAGGAAAAGATGAAACAGTTCTGAACACACTGAGTTTGAATTGCCTTTGGAACACACAGGTGGAAATGTCTAAATAATAGAGAGTAAACAAACACAGAGAATGGGAGAAATATTTTCAAACTATGCATCTGACAAAGGTCTAATATCCAGCATCTATAAGGAACTTAAACAAATTTACAAAAAAAAAAACCATTAAAAAGAGAACAAAGGACATGAACGTACTTTTCAAAAGAAGACATACATGCGGCCAACAAACATATGAAAAAAAAACCCGCAATATCACTGATCACTAGAGAAATCAAATCAAAACCACCCTGAGATACCATCTCACATCAGTCAGTATGGCTGTTACTAAAAAGTCAAAAAATAACAAGATACTGGCGAAGTTGCAGAAAAAAGGGAACACTTATACACTGTTGGTGATACTGTAAATTAGTTCAACCACTGTGGAAAGCAGTATCACAAGTCCTCAAAGAGGTAAAAGCAGAACTACCATTCAATCCAGCAATCCCACTACTGCTTGTATACCCAGAGGAATATAAATCATTCTGCCATGAAGCCACATGCATGCAAATGTTCATTGCAGCGCAGTTCACAATAGCAAAGGCATGGAATCAACCTAAATGCCCATCCATGACACACTGGATAAATAAAATGTAGTACATATAGACCATGGAAAACTACGCATCCATAAAAAAGAACAAGATCATGTCTTTCACAGGAACATGGATAGAGCTAGAGGCTATTATCCTTAGCAAACTAATGCAGGAACAGAAAACCAAATACCGCATGTTCTCACTTAAAAGTGGGAGCTAAATAATGAGAACTTATGAACACAGAGAAGGAAACAACAAACACTGGGGTCTACGTGAGGATGGAGGGTGGGAGAAGGGAGAACAGAAAAGATAACTGTTGGGTACCAGGCTGAATACCTGGGTGAAGAAATAATCTGTACAACAAACCCTCATGACATGAATTTACCTTCAAGTGTACCCCCTAACCTAAAATAAAAGTTTAAAACATAAATTAATAATAATAAATAAAAGATAGTTAGAAATATAGATTTGAAACTTAGTAAATGTGACTGAGCTAGATAAATATTTGAGAATCACTGATGAAATTGACCCTATGAAAATGGATAAAAACAGAAAATAAAATGTACAGAATCAGAAGAAAAAGGGGTTCTGGAAAATAACATAACAAATACATAAAAGTTTTACAAAGTTTAAGATGTTATATAATATAACTAATTATTATCACTGTTTCTGAACAATTGAACCAAACTACTAGATCTAATTTAACTTCCACAAAATCAAGGAATTTGTCCCCCTGGTTCACCAGTATATTCTAGAACTTATAGAATATTGTCAAACATATGATATGTTTTTAGTAAATATTTATTCCTTGCCCAAATGCATTTATTGAATGCCTTAGACATATGTATTTATTATATGGGTGGATTAGGAGTCATGACATTTCCCCATGAGAGTTCTAACAATTCTCTTCCACAGCCACACTGTTGAATTTGTAAAGCCAGATCGTTAACTCTGAAAAAAAAGTCTTCCTTAAATTTATAGCCCAATTAATACTACAGAAATCGGTCATTACTTAAATGTTCAAACAGTTGGCTTTGCAGGGTAATTATTATTTTTTCCATTCCAAGTACACATTTTTGTCTTATGTTAATAAGACAAATACAAATTTAAGAAAATGTTTACAGTTAATGTGGAGAAAATGAAAAAGAAGCATACATCTATAGTAAGATTCCCAATGAACTAGAACTGCATTCTTCATGTTCAGGCACCTCCAGTGTCTTCACAGCATGACTAGAATATTGTTAACAGTGACAATCTTCTAGTTAGTGCCAACAAAATAGAGAAAACCCTAGTGGTGCGTGGTCCTCCTACATGCTGTGGGAGCCCTCCTTTGGAGAACAAAACAACCTCCATTAATCAGTCAACAGAAATTTTTTGAACTCCTACTGTTTGCCAGGCATTGCACTACATTCCAGAGGGCTTATAAAGAAATGTGAAGCCTGCCCATGCCTTCAGGAAAAGTATGTTTGTAGGAGAGACAAGGCAAAAAAAAAAAAAAAAAAAAAAGTATATATTGTCAAATGAGTTGTCAAAGGAATAAATGCTATTCTGTGGTGTAGTATTCAAGGTCTCCTAAGATCTGGCCCAGTTTACCTTTCTGGAGTGTTTCCTTAAATCCACCGCTACAAGGACAATTGTTCTTCTCGTAGTCTTTACTAACCTAAATTGAACTGCTTGCTGTCCTTCGTATGTGCAGCATGCTTCCTACCTCTGTGTTCTTGCTTTTACTAATTCTTCCTTCTGGAATATTCTTGCTTTTCTTATCAGCAACTCTATGCTATAGTTTGTAAATCTTATCTTTTCCTCAAGGAACAACTCAAATACAGCACTTTCTCCAAAATTCCTTGACTTTACTAGCTATAAATAATCTTCCCCTCCTCTAAACTCCTCTACAAAGAGATCTGTACTGCACCCATTATTTTTGCCTTATGTCTTAGTTGTCCCTATTTATGGAGGTGCATAATCATGGCACACATCTTTCCCTTCTCCCTCCTCTACTGTTTGGTGAATAGTGCCTATAACAGATTCTAACCTTTGGGAACCCACTGTGGTTTCAGTGCATCAAGTGCTGTTGACTCTTTCCATTTCCTGTTTTCCCTGAAACCATCTCACAGGCCTTTTCATTTTTTTACATGTAATAATTACATAATATATCTGTATTGGGATTAACCAACTGCACTAACTAGGATGGGAGCTTCTTGAGGAGCTCCTTGAAGAGCACTCATCTTAGTGACTCCTGTGTCCACACAGTGTATGTTAAAGAAGCATCCGCAGATTACCATCAACACTTGTTACAGATTTTTATTTCTAGGCCACACTTGTAGAAATTCTGTTTCAGTGAGTTTGGTGCAGAGCTCAGGAACCTGTATTTTATCAAATTCTCTAGATGATTCTTATCTGATAAATTTGAAAATAGTCACCAGTTAATAAGTATAGAATTTGTTGAATAAATGCTTACTTTTTTCTCTCTCTCTTAAACTATAAGCATCTTAAAGGAAGGACATGTGTTTCTACCAGGTACCTGGCCCAGCCATTTGAACATAGTAGTTTCTCAAACACTGTGGAATTGGTCTACGTTAATGGGGTGACTTATGACTGGGGTAATGAAGATAAGCTTTCCGTAAGGCGCAGAATTTTTTGAGCCTTGAAAAATGAGTTGGATTTGGATAGGTGGGGAGGGGAGAGAGCATCCTGGTCAGGAGATTGACATAATCAAAGGAAAAGGGTAGAGGAAACACAAGCGTGCTGTGGGTTGATGATTAAATTAGTTTAACAAGAGCAAGAGATTCTTGTGGCAGAGGAATGAAAGATGAGGCTGCCTCCCCACTGTATAAAATAAACATTTGTTAGCAGAGCTCTCATTTTTGTTTCAATTTAATAAAAGCAAAAATAAGTGATTTTGATGTGATTAATGACCAATAAGGGGTCCACAGTGCTGACTTGGCGAGCATCCACCTTCATGGCACATGTAGAAACACAAGATTTAGTATAGAATTAACTTGCCCAAGCATCTGTTCACAAATCCATATGAAAAAGAAAAAATAGACCAAAGCATATGTTATAAGCTAAAGTCTCAACAACTTCTTTTTCATATCATGTTGATAGGAATTCACATTTTTAGCAAAATCTCTTACTGACTGGGTAATGTGAATTCAAATATAAGATAACCACAATAATTATAAAGAAAAACTGTTTTTTTAAGAAAAGCATTCTGTTCACACATGAAGAAAATATTAGCTTGTTACAAAAAGGACAATAAATTTGTAGTTAAAATATATTCCTTCTGTCTTATGACATTGTCAGCACCAACCTATACATTTATAATTAATTCACTTGGGCATTTACTCATTCACTGATCTGATAAATAGTTATTAGCAATCTACTGCTTGCAAAGCTATACACAAGATGTTAATGGCAAAGCACTATGTGCATGATACAAATTGAAGATCATTCTTACATGGAAGAGAGAAGAAAGATTGATTAGAATAATTAGGATCAAATTATTATTCATTTCTTCGTTCATTCAACAACTCTTAGATGAATGAATACAGCCCATGACTTTGCTTTGTTCTCTGTTATATGCCACACACAGAGCATAGCACTTGATATATAAGTGCTCAATAAATATTTGTTGGATGAATACTTGTGTTGATCACTTTTTCAGGTTCTCAATATACAAAAGTAAAGTAAAAACAGAGATGTCCTTGCCCTCAGTGAGTTCATAGTCTAGTGAGGAAGACAAATATTAATCATGTGCACTCAGGAATGTAAAATTTCAGCTATGCCAAGTGTTGAGGAGCCTCTATCAGATTTGGCCTAACATACAAAGACTTCCTGAAGAAATGATATTGCAATGAAATCTAAAGAACAAGTGGAAATTAACCAGGCTAAGAAAAGGAGGAGGAGTGCTTTAGGCAGAAGAGGCAGCAGGAAAGAGCATAATGAGTCCACTGTGGCTGCCATGCAGATTGAGAGGAAGTCACAAAAATGGGAATGGAAAGGCAGGTGGCTAGGGTGAAAGTGTGTAAAGACAACTCTTCGGGACTTCAAGTTTATAAATATTGGGCAAGATTATATAGATAAGGAAATATATTGTTTAAAGTTAATAAAATCCAAATCAGGTTGATAAAATTGGTATGTTTGCAACAGACATTTGGTTAAAATTAAAACCTCAAAACTCATTGCTCATCTGTAATATAAACGAAAAATTTGTGTGATGAATCCAAGCAATTTTTTTTCAGTGACAAGCAAAACAATTGAGCATGTAATTCCAAATTACATAACCTTGGCCCTTGTACATTGAGCCAATAAATATTATAATTTTACTAAATTACACAGCAGCAATTAGCCCTCAAATGAGGGTTAATAACAAAATCAACACAGTATCATAAAAATAATTTGGGTGTACTGATGTAGAACTATATTGACAAATTAATATACCCTGACAAACAATTCATTCAACTTTTGTGTAAGACTAATAAAAAATACCTAATTTATTGATGTAGTTCACATGGTAGAATTTATGCAGAGAAAAGTAAAGCTGAGACTCTTAAAGAGCAGTTGTGGAATGTGGAAACAATGACATTAAAATATGACCAAAGAAGTAGCTGACTTTACTCCCTCAGTAGTTATTATAAAGTATTTGGTCAGGTAGACTAATATTATTTTACACAATTTCTTTAGTTTTTCCTCTTGCCTGTATCCTAGTATAATTTTTACCACAGTATTTAACTCTGGATATATATCTCTGTCCATTAACCTATATCAACATTTTGTCTGAGATAATATTATAGTAATATTGAGTTTCCCTCTTCTCCACACCCACACTCATATATCCCATAACACAGAGCTGCATATGGGATTGGTGCTTGGTAAGTACTTGTTAAATTTTCAGGAGTGGACAATTAGAATACTTGTGAATAAATATTACAAGTTTTAACAGTAATAATGAGAAGTATTTTAAGTTCTGAGTAAGTTAACTTATTAATGTTATTATTATTTGAGTAGTCAGGTTGGGGATAGATGTTGAAGAATGTTATAAATTAATTGTCCCTTACCAGTTTATATTATTTATGTAGGATATGGAAAATAAATATATTAAATATCCAGCAATAGTTACATCATTTCTATTCTAACCTGATACCTAATTGAAAATAAGTATAAAACTGAAGAATAAAAATTAGAATGTATTGTAAAAATAGGATATAACATATTCAGGGTAATAAAACTAACTGTAATATATTTAAGAATAATAAAATAAAACAAATATGAAAAATGAATAACTCATTTTCCACTTAAAATAATCCATCGAACTCTAATAGTGTTTAAAAATTTTGCATTTTTTCAAAATGCAGTTTAAAAGCCCATGATGTATAACACACGAGATTTTATTGCTCTACGTAACATTACTATGCAGTGAAGTCAAGTAGGATAAGTATAAGCATTCTTACTTCTCTAATGGGTAAATTGAAGCACAGCAAAATTAAAGGTTTCTACTGATGACACTAATCTTCTTTTTTCATTTAACATATATTTATTAAACATTCACTTTTTTCATTTAACATATATTTATTAAACATTTAACATATATTTATTAAACATTCATTTAACATATATTTATTAAATATCCACTAGGTAGAGGCCAGGTGATGACTCAGTTTAGCATTTTATATCTACCACAAATGGAAGACAGGATAACTTTGGAACTGATACATGAATGAATTTTTATTATGACTTGGTTCTTGCCTGCCTCTAATGAAGTATTTTTCTACCAAACACACAACCAAATGGTCTTTACCTGGAAAGACTTACAATTTTTTTAATATAGATTCTTACTTCCATTGAACAAACGTAAGGTACTGACATAAAAAGCAGACTATCTACCTTAACGTTTACTGACTTTGAGGCAGAAAAGATAATGCATGTACACTTGACAGCTTAACTTCTCATTTGATGAAATGCTCACTATTTAACAGATTGGTGATATAATTTTTTTGTTATTTTCTGTTCAGGTAATTGGGTATTATGTAGTTTAGTAGAGAGTGAATGCTCCTATACTAGATATTGATTACCAACTTTCAAAGAATTCAAATTTTGAATTACATTGAAATCATGCTGAACAGAAGTAGTCTTTTCTGATTCAGAAGGTATTTCAGTTTTGCAGTACATCTTTATGACCCGAATGTTATTGCCAACATTTTTTGCAACAGTCACACTGCTGAGTACCAGAGATTCAGAGATGCAAGTTCTACTTTAAAAGCTCACAATAGTTATAGAATTATCAGTAAAAAGAAATTTCAGGTTACTGGTTTGCCAATAAAAAATAATGACCTTATTTGTTTTCCACTCAGTGAACTATCTAAATTGGAAAAATTATTTATCTACTCTAGAAATGAAACATTTTTGGATATTTTCAGAGGTTAGCTCATAGGAATGCATAATAATAGAATGTGATGCAAGTAAAAACATGTATTTTCAACATTTCAAATATTAATGAGAAAAAACAGATATACTGTAGAAACTATATAATTTACTATAATTATAATTTATGTTAATGAACACCTATATATCATCTAATGATTCTAAAATGAAATATTGCATTGGCAACTTCAAATTTTCTCTATATCTTAAAAATATTTGCAGCCATAAAATTTCTTTTAATCAATTGGACTTTAATGTAAGTTTTGCATTTAGACATTTAAAATTGTTTTTTCCTCTCTAATTTGCTATCTGCCCTTTATTGGCTGACTTTACTAGCTAAGTACTTAGTCTGACTTATGTAGCTGTATTTCAGGGATCCTAGCTCCAAAATGGAGGTCATAAAGACTTCCACAAGAGCAATTTTCAGTGCCCTATCAGAGTGGGTTGAAGTGTGAATGGGAGATAAGGAAGCAAAGGCAAAGAGTTGGGCACATTATTTCTACTGTGATCCTGTGAGAAACAGAGCAAACAAATAGGGAAGTAGATGGAAGGATCTGTAGCATCTATAAAAATGGTATCTTTTTAATCATGGAAGAAACCAAGGCATGTTTGTGTGCTGCTGAAGGTGACCTAGTAGAGACAGAGGTTGAAAGTGTATAGGAAATAAGTCCAGATCTAGAGTTCCTGTAAAGACAAGAAGAGATTTAGATCTCAGATGGACAGGAAGGAAACACAAATTTGGGAGAGCCAGAGGTAGTTAATGGGAGAAAACTACTGAAGTGACCGCAAAACACATAAATGTATTGCACTAAATTCAGACTAATTGTATCCCCAATTCAACTTCAACTAAGCCAGATCCTAAATATGCCACATTTTGTCAGAGGAAGTATGATGAAGAGAAAGTGAACATAGCAAAATACAGCAGTCTTAACCAATTGTCTTAAAATATATTCCTTTGCAAATTCTCTAACTATGCATGTGAGGAGGCTGAAGCCCAAGCTTTATTACCTTTGGAGTAAATCTATCTATTATTGTTTGTGTTTGTTTCAGTAAATAATAGGGTAAGTGATGAGCTGTGGTAAAAAGAGGACAGTTTTGACAAGATTGAAGAGTTATGAAAGAGTCTCAGAGAGTTGAAAAGCAAGATGAGGAAAAGTAGCAAAGTTGCAAGCATTATTCAATCCCTATTTCAGGTATTTGTCTGGAATTTAAAGTTAAAGCAGTCAGCCAAACTGTGATTTTCTCCAACAAATCTTCGGGCATTTGCAGAAAAGGCAGAATGTTGGATTCAACCAATGTTAAGTTCAACTAGGGAAATGTAACAAAAGAAACAGTTTGCTAAGTGATGTTTGCAAGAAATTGTTCATAACGATGAACTGTTAATGAATCTCAGCTTAGGAAGGAAGGAAAGATAGGTAAATAGAGACAAGGTAAATTTAGCCTATCAGTGATATATCAATAACTGTGGCAGAGGAATTCTAGGATACTGTAATAAGTGAACTGAAAGTATAGGAGGTGATGATCAGCCAGTGGTATATTTGCAATTGAGATTTCAAAGGTAATATAGATCATTGTGATGACAAATCTAAGTGTTATCTTTGGAATAAGTTACTGAGGTGGAGAAGAACAGATTGGTTATGAACATAGATCGTTTATTTTGTTCAATTTAGATGGAATTCTTGGAGCAGTAGCATGCACAAGTTACCTTGGAAGGAACTGGAGCCACAGAGATGAACAAGATTCAGTCCTCTGCTTCAAGGAGCTCAGTATATATATGCAAAGTGCTACAGTAGGGATACTAACACAGAAGGAAGGATACCTAACCCAATCAGGGATCAGGTGAACGGTCTTAGAAAACAACATTTGTGTATGTTGAACCAACCTTGTATCCTGGGGATGAAGGCTACTTGATTGTGGTGGACAAGCTTTTTGATGTGCTGCTGGATTCAGTTTGTCAGTATTTTGTTGAGGATTTTTGCATTGATATTCGTCAAGGATATTGGCCTGAAGTTTTTGTTGTTGTTGTTCTCTGCCAGGTTTTGGTATCAGGATAATGCTGGCCTCATAGAATGAGTTAAGGAGGAGTCCCTCCTTTTTGATTTTTTGGAATAGTTTTGGTAGAAATGATGCCAGCTCTTCTTTGTACATGTGGTAGAATTCAGCTGTGAATCCGTCTGGTCCTGGGTTTTGGGGGTTGGAGGCTATTTATTACTGTCTCAATTTCAGAACTCATTATTGGTCTGTTCAGGACTTCAATTTCTTCCTGGTTCAGTCTTGGGGGATGGTGTATGAGTCCAGGAAGTTATCCATTTCTTGTAGATTTCTAGTTTATGTGCTTAGAGATGTTTATAATTTCTGATGGTTGTTTGTATTTCTGTGGGGCCAGTGGTAATACCCCCCCTTATAATTTTTTATTGTGCCTATTTGATTCTTTGCTCTTTTCTTCTTTATTATTGTAGCTAGAGAGCTATCTGTTTTATTAAGTTTTTCAAAAAGCTAGCTCCTGGATTCGTTGATCTTCCAAATGGTTTGTCCCTTCTCTATCTCCTTCAGTTTGACTCTGATTTTCGTTATTTCTTCTGCTAGCTTTGGGATTTGTTTGCTCTTGGTTATCTAGTTCTTTTAGTTCTGATGTTGGGTTGTTAAATTGAAATCTTTCTAGTTTTTTTTTTTTATGTGAGCATTCAGTGCTATAAATTACCCTTTTAACATTGCTTTGGCTGTGTCCCAGAGTTTCTGGTATGCGAATCAATAAATGTGATTCATCACATAAACAGAACTAAAGACAAAAACCATATGATTATCTCAATCAATGCAGAAAAGGCCTTCAATAAAATTCAACATCTCTTTATGTTAAAAAAAAACTCTCAATAAACTAGGTGTTCAAGGAACATACCTCAAAATAATAAGAGCCATATATGGCAAAACCACAGCCAATATCATACTGAAGGGGCAAAAGCTGGAAGCATTCCCCTTGAAAACTAGCAAAAGACAAGAATACCCTCTCTCACCACTCCTATTCAACATAGTATTGGAATTTCTGGCTGGGGCAATCAGGCAAGAGAAAGAAATAAAGGGCATTCAAATAGGAGGGGAGGAAGTCAAACTATCCCTGTTTGCAGATGACATGATCCTATATCTAGAAAACTCCATTGTCTCAGCCCAAAAACTTCTTAAGCTGATAAGCAACTTCAGCAAAGTCTCAGGATATAAAATCAATATGCAAAAATCACTAGCTCCTCTATACACTAGCAATAGTCAAGCTGAGAGTCAAATTACAAATGAGCTCCCATTCACAATTGAAATAAAAAGAATAAAATACCTAGGAATACAGCTAACAAGGGAAGTGAATGATCTCTACAAGGAGAGCTACAAACCACTGCTCCAAGAAATCAGACATGAAACAAACAAATGGAAAAACATTCCATGCTCATGAATAAGAAGAATCAATATCACTAAAATGGCCACACTGCCCAAAGCAATTTATAGATTCAATGCTCTTCCCATTAAACTACCATTGACATTCTTCGCAGAACTAGAAAAAACTATTTTAAATTCATATGGAACAAAAAAAGAGCCCAAATAGCCAAGGCCAAACTGGGCAGAAAGAACAAAGCTGGAGGCATCATGCTACCTGACCTTAAACTATGCTACAGGGCTGCTACAGTAACCAAAACAGCATGGTACTAGTACAAGAGCAGAAACACAGACCAATGGAACAGAACAGAAAACCCAGAAATAAGACTGCACACCTTCAATTATCTGATCTTCAACAAACCTGACAAAAACAAGCAATGGGAAAAGGATTCCCTGTTTAATAAATGGTGCTGGGATAACTGGCTAGCCATATGCAGAAAGTTGAAGCTGGAACCCTTCCTTATACCATATACAAAAATCAACTCAAGATGGATTAAAGACTTAAATGTAAAACCCAAAACCATTAAAACCCTAGAAGAAAACCTAGGCTACAGTACCATTCAGGACATAGGCATGGGCAAAGATTTCATGACTAAGATGCCACAACCAGTTGCAAAAAAAAGCAAAAATTAACAAATGGGATCTAATTAAACTAAAGAGCTTCTGCACAGCAAAAGAAACTATCAACAGAGTAAACAGACAATCTACAGAATGGGAGAAAAATTTTGCAAACTATGCATCCGACAAAAGTCTAATATCCAGCATCTATAAGGAATTAAAATTTACCAAGAAAAAAAAACATTTAAAAGTGGGCAAAGGACACGAACAGACACTGCTCAAAAGAAGACATACATGCACCCAACAATTACATGAATAAAAAGCTCAACATCACTGATTATTAAAGAAATGCAAATCAAAACCACAATGCAGTACCACTCCACACCAGTCAGAATGGCTATTATTTAAAAGTCAAAAAACAACAGATTCTGGTGAGATTGTGGAGAAAAAGGATCACTTATACACTGTGGGTGGAAGTGTAAATTAGTTCAACCATTGTGGAAGATAGTGTGAGAATTCCTCAAAGACCTAAAGAAAGAACTAAGATTTGACCCAGCAATCCCATTACTGGGTATATACCCAAAGGAATATAAATTTTTCTGTTATAAAGATGGATACACACGTATGTTCATTGCAGCACTGTTCACAATATCAAAGACATGGTATCAACCTATATTCCCATCAATGACAGATTAAAGAAAATGTAGTACATATACACCAAGGAATACTATGCAGCCATAAAAAAGAGCAAGATCATCTCTTTGCAGGAACATGGATGGAGCTGGAGGCCATTATCCTTAACAAACTAACACAGGAACAGAAAACCAAATACCACATATTCTCACTTATAAGTGGGAGCTAAAAATGAGAACACATGGACAGATAGGGGGAACAACACCCACTGGGGCCTACTGGAGGACAGAGGGTGGGAGGCGGGAGAGAATCAGGAAAAACGACTAACGGATGCTAAGCTTAATACTTAGGTAATGAAATAATCTGTACAACAAGTGCTCATGACACATATTTACCTGTGTAACAATCCTGCACATCCTGCACATGTACCCCGAACTTAAAATAAAAGTTTTTAAAAAAAAACAAGAAGAAGAAGAACAAGGGTCAGGCGCGGTGGCTCCTGCCTGTAATCCCAGCACTTCGGGAGGCTGAAGGTGGGCGGATCACCAGGTCAGGAGTTTGAGACCAGCCTGGCCAGCCTGGTGAAAGCCTGTCTCTACTAAAAATACAAAAAATTAGCCGGGCATGGTGGTACATGCCTGTAATCCCAGCTACTTGGGAGGCTGAGTCAGGAGAATTGCTTGAACCCAGGAGGCAGAGGTTGCAGTGAGCTGAGATCTGGGCCACTGTACTCCAGCCTGGGTGACAGAGCAAGACACCGTCTCAAAAAAAAAAAAAAGAAAGAAAGAAACAAAGAAAAAGAAAACATTTGCAAAGACCAGATTGCAAGATCAAGCATGATGCCTTTATGAACTGCAGACAGTTGAGTTTTCCTTCAGGCTGGAGGGAACAGTGAAAGGAGAGCCCAAGAAGTAAGCAAGGGTCAAATAAGAGACTTTTTGTATGATATGGCAAAGGCCTAGTGGGGGCTTTGTATTCTTTGGATAATGGGAAGACTGCTTCAAGCAGGAGTAATTATACTGAAATGGCCCACAGGCTACAGTGTAGATAGAAGATGGAGGAAGGTAGTAGCCACAGTTTTTTGTGTTTTTTTTGGAGAAAGAATATAAGACAAGTTTGAATTATAAAATGAGAGTGCATGGGTTACATGGTCTTTACTCTTAAATTTAGATTCAGACGAAGTCACCAAAGTTTGCGGTATAGGTGGAGGGTAATGCATTAAAGTGCAGATCATGAAACCTGAATTGCTTCTTTTGTCCAGTTGTTAACATTTTGTAGAACCCAGCCCAGGAAACATAAAATACTGGAATGTAACATCCATGAGGGTTTGTCTATTTTGTTTGCTTTTTCTCCACTACTCAGTACATGATAGGCCCTTAATAAAGATTAACTGAATAAAATCATTGAACGAAATAAGGTCTATCTTTAGTATCTGATCTCCTCCTATGCTACCATCATTCTAAGGCCTCCTGCTTAGGTAACATCATGCTAGGTGTGAACCACTTGTAATTTTTCCCCAGAATACTCCTTTACTTTTGAACCTTACTCATCATATTTTACAAAACAAAGATCAGGCTCTTGCCCTCCCCATATATTAGCTGTATGACTTTGGGCACATTCGTTTGGTTTTTTATGCCTAAATCTCTGTAAAATAGAGATAGTAGCTAATGTCCATTGAGCATTGAGCACTTACACTTAGAACCAGTCACTGTCCTAAAAACTTTAAATGCCTTAACACACAGTTAATCCTCAGTATCCTCCTATATGGGCTATACTACTGTCATTCACCTATTACGTATGAGGAAACTGAGCCAAGATAAGTCACACAACAAGTAAGCGACAAAGCCTGGATCTGAACTCAGTCCACCTCCTGAGATCATGCTCTTAACCATTATGCATACTGCCTGTCCAGGGATGCTACCCCACTCATTGGACAGTCATGAAGAGTCTACATAAAAACACTTAGAAAAGTGCCTTACTTATAGTAAGTACCCAATAGAAGTTAGATTTTTTTGTTGTTATTGTTTTACTCTATTTATAGCTTCTAGGATCTTATATGTTCATTGATAGATGAGTCACTATTTCTCAAAGGAAATCAGATTATTTCATTTTAGACAGATCTAATTGGGAAAAAGTCATTCATTGTTTGTTTGATGCTCACTTAACACTTAACTTCCTGTGACTTTCCTCATTGTTTCTAGTTCTTAACTGAGGATAAAGAGAGGCAAGCCTAGCTCCACTTTCTTAAAACAACTCTCAGATATTCAAAGGAGAGTGTTTTTGACACCTACATAGTCCATTCTTCAGTCTAAGCAGTTTGAATCACTTGCTGTTTCTCTTATGGCATGGTTTCCAGATATTCTGGTTTGATGCAGACACCCTTATACCTGGCCATCTAGATGAAAACAAAATATTATAGCTCATATGTGGAGTAATAGCTGCATATAAAACAGGACATTGAGAGAAAAGATTTGAGGATAGTCCTGTCAGTCTGAATTATATTCTCAGAGACAGTTATGGTGCCTTCCTTGCATGGAGTAGGTTGTAATTCTTGACTGAATGAATTCACTTATAAACAAATGTGTTAATGAACCCTGGGCTTACTCTTGACTTAAATCCCTATTCTTGTTCACATGTACTTCTGCTTCTGGTGCTATGCTTCTGTGATTGGTTTGGGAAACATATAGTAGGACATCATATTAGTCCCTATTAAACTTCATTTTGTTTGAGCTATCCAGTCTTCCAACATTTCAGATCATCTTGGATACTAATTTTGTCATTTCGTGTATTGTCATTCCCTCCAAACATCATGTCATCTGTAGATTTCTCCTCTGGGCCATTAATACAATCCTCCGAGTATTTAAATGGAATATATTATGCTCATATTCTATTAAAATATTCATAAGGGCTTATGGCTTAAAGTGTTTTAATTAATTATAAATCAATCACATCTTAGCAGTACATTTTATCATGAATTGCCATTAAGAATATCTACTTATTTATTCATTCAATAATTATTAAAATATAAAAAATTTTTTTCCAAAATATCACCCAAATTTGAGTAATTAAATT
Organism: Homo sapiens; assembly: GCF_000001405.40. Classification (NCBI taxonomy): domain Eukaryota; kingdom Metazoa; phylum Chordata; class Mammalia; order Primates; family Hominidae; genus Homo; species Homo sapiens. The sequence continues at coordinate 69,965,614 of NC_000001.11, forward strand.
TTTTAAAAAATTTTAAAAATTTATGAACATTTTAATGTGATGGGCTTCTGAAATGAATTTGAAAAACGTGAAATTAATGTAAACTGAAAGTAGGGTCAGACCTTATGGTGCTAACCTTTTCATCATCAAAGAAATTAACTGAAAAAGCTAAACAGTCTCAAGGCATGTAATACATTACTATTGGGAGAATGTACAAGTAGGGTTGTCATCAAAAGGTGAACAATATTAGTCATCTAATTTCGTGTATCAGAAAGAATTTCCACCAAGTACTATGAAATTCATGAATAAAAGATTTCCCACTTGTGAGAACTAAAGGGCTAGTAATAAACCAAGTGTATTGTTAAATAAAAGATTTAAATAAAAATGGAAGAAAGTTTCTTAAAATGAAGTCATACTTCCTTGGTGGATTGCAAAATCTAAATGTTATTAAACAAAGATAGTAAAATTAAAAAGAAATAAAAAGTTATACCCTGAAATATTGATGATCTCAAAATTTAGAAAAAAATGTAATAACTGGAATATCTCAATAAAATATCATAATTATGTCACTTTGGTTAGAGAATATAGCTTTAAAAATTTTATTGGCCAATTTGCATTTATTAATTTGAGAAAACACCTTCACCTTCATTAATTCAGATTAAAATTTTAATTTTAAAACAGGTTTCATTCTGTTGCCTTCCAGTTGTATATTGCTTCTGGGAATAACAAGTTTTTTTAATTACAGTATCTACCATGTAATCTCATACAATTTTAAAATTTAAAGGTCTCTGGTATTTTACTAGTTTTACTTTGACAAAATTAGATAAATGGCAGATTATGTTTTTCATTAGTAACATTTCTCTTAACCTCATTTCATCTTAACCTCACAGGTATAAAAATAAATACAATCAAATTCTATCATCCAAATTGGTAGATTAATAGTACTTCATATAGTCAAATAAATGGGTAGGAATACATTAGGAAAGCCAGGATAACCCACAGACTCTCTGAAGGAAGCGGATTGCTCCTGCAGGACCTGGGAGACACCCCAAATACTGTGAGTGCCCAAACCATGAAATGGGAAAGGGAGATTGTCCGCCCCGAGCACATATACCCACCAGGGAACCTGAAGGTCTAGATTACAGAAGAAGATTCTGACCTTACCTGGAGCTGAGTCAATTTAGAGAGCCGAGCAAAATACAGGGGTAGAGGAAGCAGCGGGAAAATCCCTAAGCCATTTCTGCCTGGTCTCACAGGGGTCCTTAAGCAGGGCTGCCAGAGGCACTGGGCAAAGTCCACATGGAGAAGGAAACCTCCAGTTGAACTTTGTAACAATTTGAACTGATCAAGAAGTCTCCTGGCCAGAACTCAGGGGAGGGTGTGAATCTGGTGTGCAGACTCCACAAGTTGGGGAAGAAAGAAAGCCCTACTTTCGCAGCTGGGAGGCAGGTAGCCTGGGGCAAGTTCTCAGCCCTGCTCGCCCACTGCCTGGAAACAGACTCTGTGCTGTTGGAAGGGGCACAGTGGGAGTGAGACCAGCCGTTTGAATTGCGTGGGAGGTGGGTGAGACCTCTGACTGCCACTTTTCCCTACTTCCCTGACAACCAGCATGACACAGCAGAGACAGCCATAATCCTCCTGGGAACATAACTCCATGGGACCTGGGACCCTCACCCACATCCCCCACAGCAGCCACAGCAAGACCTGCCCAAGTAAAGTCTGAGGTCAGACATGCCTAGCCCTGCTCCCACCTAATGCTCCTCCCCTACACCCTCTGGTAACTGAAGACAAAGGGCAGTATACTCTTGGGAGTTCTAGGGCCCCACCCACCACCTGTTTCTCCCCATACTGCCACAGCTGATACTTTCTTGAAAGCGCCACCTCTCAGCAGGATGCCAGATAGCACAAAAATAGTGCATTAATCAACCACCAAAGCTAAGGAACCTCACAGAGTCCATTTCACGCCCCCTGCCACCTCCACCGGAGCAGGTGCCAGTATCCACAGCTGAGAGACTCAGATGGTTCACATTATAGGACTCTGTACAGACAACCCCCAGTCCCAGCCCAGAGCCTGGCAGACTTGCTGGGTGGCTAGATCCAGAAGAGAGATAACAATCCTACAGCTCAGCTCTCAGGAAGCCACATTCCTAGGGAAAGGAGGAGAGTACTACATCAAGGAAACACCCATGGGTAAAAAGGAACTGAAGAACAGCCTTGAGCCTTAGACTTTTCCCTTCAACAGAGCCTACCCAAATGAAAAGGAACCAGGAAACCAACTCTGGTAATATGGCAAAACAAGGTTTTTTAACACCCCCAAAAAATCACAATAGCTCACCAGCAATGGATCCAAACCAAGATGAAATCCCTGATTTACCTGAAAAATAATTCAGAAGGTTAGTTATTAAGCTAATCAGGGAGTCACCAGAGAAAGGTGAAGCCCAATGTAAGGAAATCAAAAAAATGATACAAGAAGTGAGGGGAGAAATATTCAATGAAATAGATAGCATAAATAAAAAATAATCAAAACTTTAAGAAACAATGGATGCACTTATAGAAATGCAAAATGCTCTGGAAAGTCTCAGCAATAGAATTGAACAAGCAGAAGAAAGAACTTCAGAGCTCAAAGACAAGGTTTTCCAGTTAACACAATCCAACAAAGACAAAGAAAAAAGAATAAGGAAATATGAACAAAGACTCCAAGAAGTCTGGGATTATGTTAAACGACCAAACCTAAGAATAATGTATTCCTGAGGAAGAACAGAAATCTAAGTTTGGAAAATACATTTTGAGGAATAATTGAGGAAAACTTCCCCAGCCTTGCTAAAGAACTAGACATCTGAATACAAGAAGCTCAAAGAACATCTGGGAAATTCATCACAAAGAGATCATCACCCAGGCACACTGTCATCAGATTATCTAAAGTTAAGACAAAGGAAAGAATCTTAAGAGCTGTGAGGCAAAAACACCAGGTAACCTATAAAGGAAAACTCATCAGATTAACTGCAGATTTCTCAGCAGAAACCCTACAAGCTAGAAGGGTTTGGGGTCCTATCTTCAGCCTCCTCAAACAACACAATTATCAGCCAAGAGTTTTGTACCCAGCAAAACTACACAGTCTTTTCCAGACAAGCAAATGCTGAGAGAATTCACCACTCTCAAGCCAGCAATAAAACAACCGCTGAAAGGAGCTCTATATCTTTGTGGGGTTTTTTTGTTTTTTGTTTTTTGTTTTTGTTTTTTTTTTGAGACATAGTCTTGCTCTGTCTCCCAGGCTGGAGTGCAGTGGCGCAATCTCAGCTCACTGCAAGCCCCGCCTCCCAGGTTCACACCATTCTCTTGACTCAGCCTCCCGAGTAGCTGGGACTACAGGTGCCCGCCACCACACCTGGCTGGTTTTTTGTATTTTTAGTAGAGACAGGGTTTCACCGTGTTAGCCAGGATGGTCTCGATCTCCTGACCTCGTGATCTGCCCACCTCGACCTCCCAAAGTGCTGGGATTACAGATGTGAGCCACCGTGCCTGGCCAAGGAGCTCTAAATCTTGAAACAAATCTTGGAAACACATCAAAACAGAACCTCTTTAAAGCATAAATCACACAGAACCTATAAAACAAAAATACAATTTAAAACAAAAAACCAACGTATACAGGCAATAAATAGCATGATTAATGGAGTGGTACCTCACATCTCAATACTAACATTAAATGCAAATGGTCTAAATGCTCCACTTAAAAGATACATAATTGTAGAATGGATAAGAATTCACCAACCAACTATGTGCTGCCTTCAAGAGATACACCTAACACATAAGGACTCACATAAACTTAAGGTAAAGGGATGGCAAAAGACACCCCATGCAAATGGACACCAAATGCGAGCAGCAGTAGCTATTCTTACATTAGACAAAAACTTTAAAGCAACAGTATTAAAAAAAGAGAAAGAGGGTCATTATATAACGATAAAAGGCCTTGTCCAACATGAAAATATCACAATCCTAAATATATACGCACCTAACACTGGAGCTCCCAAACTTATAAAACAACTACTACTAGACCTAAGAAATGAGATAAACAGCAACACAATAATAGTGGGGGACTTCGATATTCCACTCACAGCAAAAGACAGGTCATCAAGACAGAAAGTCAACAAAGAAACAATGGATTTAAACTATACCCCAGAACAAATAGACTTAACATATATTTACATGACATTCTACCCAACAACCACAGAATGTACATTCTATTCAACAGCGCATGGAACTTTCTCCGGGATAGACCACATGATAGGCCACAAAATGAGCCTCAATAAATTCAAGAAAATTGAAATTATATCAAGCAGTCTCTCAGACCACAGTGGAATTAAACTGGAAATCAACTGCAAAAGGAACCTTCAAAACCATGCAAATACATGGAAATTAAATAACTTGCTCCTGAATGATCATTGGGTCAAAAACAAAATCAAGATGGAAATTTAAAAATTCTTCGAACTGAACAACAATAGTGATACAACCTATCAAAACCTCTGGCATACAGCAAAGGCGGTGCTAAGAGGAAAGTTCATACCCCTAAACACCTTCATCAAAAAGTCTAAAAGAGCACAAACAGACAATCTAAGGTAACATCTCAAGGAACTAGAGAAACAAGAACAAACCAAACCCAAACCCAGCAGAAGAAAGGAAATAACCAAGATTAGAGCAGAACTAAATAAAATTGAAACCAAAAAAATACAAAAGACAAATATAACAAAAAACTGGTTCTTCGAAAAGATAAATAAAACTGATAGACCACTGGCAAGATTAACCAAGAAAAGGAGAGAGAAAATCCAAATAAGCTCAATTAGAAATGAAACGAGAGATATTACAACTGACATCACAGAAATACAAAAGATCATTCAAGGCTAATACGAATGACTTTATGTACACAAACTAGAACACCTAAAGGAGATGGATAAAATCCTGGGAAAATACAACCTTCCTAGCTTAAATCAGGAAGAATTACATACTCTGAACAGGCCAATAACAAGCAGTAAGATTGAAATGTTAATGAAAGAATTACCAACAAAAAGAAGTCCAGGACCAGACAGACTCACAGCAGAATTCTACCAGACATTCAAAGAAGAATTGATGTCAATCCTTTTGACACTATTCCACCAGATAGAGAAAGAGGGAACCCTCCCTAAATCATTGTATGAAACCATTATCACCCTAATACCAAAACCAGGAAAGGACATAATCAAAAAAGAAAACTACAAATCAATATCCCTGATGAACATAGATGCTAAAATCCTTAACGTAATACTAGCTAATTGAATCCAACAACATACCAAAAAGATAATCTACCATCATCAAGTGGGTTTTATACCAGGGATGCAGGGATGGTTTAACATACACAAGTCAACAAATGTGATACACCACATAAATAGAATAAAAAACAAAAATCACATATCATCTTAACAGATGTAGAAAAAGCATTTAACAAAATCCAGCATCGTTTTTGATTAAAACTCTCCACAAAATCAGCATACAAGGACATACCTCAATGTAATAAAAACCATCTATAACAAATCCATAGCCAGCATAATACTGAATGGGGAAAAGTTGAAAGCATTCCCTCTGACAACTGAAACAAGACAAGGATGCCCACTCTCACCATTCCTTTTCACCATAGTATTATGTTGAAGCCAGAGCAATCAGACAAGAGAAAGAAATAAAGGGCATCCAAATTGGTAAAGAAGAAGTCAAACTGTCGCTGCTCTCTGATATGATTGTTTACCTAGAAAACCCTAAAGACTACTCCAGAAAGCTCCTAGAACTGATAAAAGAATTCAGCAAAGTTTCCAGATAGAAAATTAATGTACACAAATCAGTAGCTCTTCTATACACCCACAGCGACCAAGCGGAGAATCAGATCAAGAACTTAACCCCTTTTACAATAGCTGCAAACAAACAAAATACTTAGAAATATACCTAACCAAGGAGGTGAAAGACCTCTACAAGGAAAACAACAAAACACTGCTGAAAGAAATCATAGATGACACAAACTAGTGGAAACACATCCCATGTTCATGGATGGGTAGAATCAATATTGTGAAAACGACCATACTGCCAAAAGCAATCTACAAATTCAATGCAACTCCCATCAAAATACCACCATCATTCTTCACAGAATTAGAAAAAACAATCCTAAAATTCATATGGAACCAAGAAAGAGCCCACATAGCCAAAGCAAGACTAAGCAAAAAGAATAAATCTGGAGCCATCACATTACCTGATTTCAAACTATACTATAAGGCCGTAGTCACCAAAACAGAATGGTACTGGCATAAAAATAAGACACATAGACCAATGGAACAGAATAGCGAACTCAGAAATAAACCCTCATACTTACAGCCAACTGATCTTTGACAAAGCAAACAAAAAGGTAAAGTGGAGAAAGGACACCTTATTCAACAAATAGCGCTGGGATAATTGGCAAGCCACATGTAGGAGAATGAAACTGGATCCTCATCTCTCACCTTATACAAAAATCAACTCAAGATGGATGAAGGACTTAAATCTAAGACCGGAAACTACAAAAATTCTAGAAGACAGTGTTGGAAAAACCCTTCTAGATATTGGCTTAGGCAATGATTTCATAACCAAGAACCCAAAAGCAAATGCAATAAAAACAAAGATAAATAGCTGGGACTTAATTAAACTAAAGAGCTTTTGCATACAAAAGAAACAGCAGAGTAAACAGACAACCCACGGAGTGGGAGAAAATCTTCACAATCTATACATCTGAAAAAGGACTAATGTGCAGAATCTACAACAAACTCAAACTAATTAGCAAGAAAACAAACAATCCCATCAAAAAAGTGGGCTAAGGACATGAATAGACAATTCTAAAAAGAAGATATACAAATGGCAAACAAACATATGAAAGAAATGCTCAACATCACTAGTGATCAGGGAAATGCAAATCAAAACCAGAATGTGATACCAACTTACTCCTGCAAGAATGGCCATAATCAAAAAATCAAAATATAATAGATGTTAGCCTGGATACAGTGAAAGGGAAACGCTTTTACACTGCTGGTGGGAATGTAAACCAGTACAACCACTATGGAAAACAGTGTGGTGATTCCTTAAAGAGCTAAAAGTAGAACTACCGTCTGATCCAGCAATCCCACTACTGGGTATCTACCCAGAAGAAAAGAAGTCATTATATGAAAAAGATACTTGCACACGCATGTTTATAGCAGCACAGTTTGCAATTGCAAAAACATGGAACCAACCCGAGTGCCCATCAATGAGTGGATAGGGAAACTGTTTATATATAACTATATATTTTTTAATATATATATTTATATATATATAAATACTATATATATAATACTATATATAAATACTATATATATAAATACTACTAGATACTATATATATACTATATATAAATACTACTATATATAGTATATATAATACTATATATATAAAGTACCATATATATATATATAAAAAAATACTACTCAGCCATAAAAAGGAATGAATTAATGGCATTCACAGCAACCTGGATGAGACTGGAGACTATTATTCTAAGCAAAGTAACTCAGGAATGGAAAAACCAAACATCGTATGTTGTCACTCATATGTGGGAGCTAAGCTATGACAATGCAAAGGCATAAGAATAACACAATGGACTTTGAGGTCTCAGGGGGAAAGGGTAGGAAAAGGGTGAGAGATAAAAGACCACAAATTGGGTGCAGTGTATACTGCTTGGGTGATGGGTGCACCAAAATCTCACAAATCACCACTAAAGAACTTACTCATGTAACCAAACTACCTGTTCCCCAATAACCTATGGAAATAAAAAATTTTAATAAAAAAATTAAATAAAAACAAAGTAATGGAGCAGCCTAAAATTGCATATACATGGCAGGAGTTATTGGAATTTGTTGCAGTCATACAAAATATATATTTTCTTTGTGTTAATATTGATGTAACCATTTTCGTAGCTCATTTTGATTGATCATGGTAAATCACCTTGAAAAGGATACACTCTGTTGCCCAGGCTGGAGTGCAGTGGCGCAATCTTGGCTCACTGCCTCGTAGGTTCAAGCGATCCTCCTGCCTCAGCCTCCCCAGTAGCTGGGATTACAGGCAGGTAACACCAAACCTGGCTAATTTTTGTATTTTTAGTAGAGATGGGATTTCGCCATGTTGGCCAGGCTGGTCTCAAACTCCTGACCTCAGGTGATCCGCCCACCTCAGCCTCCCAAAGTGTTTGGATTACAGGCATGAACCTCCATGCCCAGCCATTTTGTGTTTGATTTTGATCTCTGTTTTAAAGAGAAAAAACACTGCAGCTGTAAAGTAGACATCTTCTATGTTCCCCCTCCGAGTCGTATTCCAATCCCTCCTTCACCAAGGAAATTACTTCTTTGAATTTGGCATACCTCTATTCCATATTTCTATTTTGAAATGCATGTATATGTATTCATCAGTATATAGCATAGTTTTTTGACTTGTGTAAATTGATTTGTGCTATATAAATTTTCTGTACTTGCTTACTCACACAATATTGTTTGCAAGATCTATTCATCTTATTTCATACATAAAAATATAGATAATTCATTTTCATTGCTGTTCATTTTAACAACATATTACTTTTTCATCATTTACCTTATACTGTTGTTTATTTAGGTTGTGACCAACTTTTTAATATTATTCTGTAATTAACATTTTTACGTTGATTTTTCTATATTTTAGATTATTTAGGTAGGATAGTTGCTTAGAAGTAGATAAGAAAGTTTTTGAGGTGTGAGATTCATATTTGAAAATGTTTTCCAAAAAAATTACAGTTTATAATCTCAAAACCCATTTATGAGAGTGCTCATCTTATAGCACTTTCACTAGCATTGAATATTCCAAGTTATTCTGGAGTTAATTCACTAATTTTTAACGGAAACAACTGACTTTGTGATTAAATTAAGTAGCATAGAAAAATGTGATCAATGTGTTGGTTGAATGTAAGCCATTTAGTTAAATTCCAAGATCCACTTTAAAATCATCTATTGATTATGAAATGCTATTGTATCATTTTATGTTGTGGTTTTGTCTTCTTTTCAGAAAGGCCATGGATCTGCTATGCTTTATCTGTGCTATTCTTAGGAAGTTTTTGAAGCTTCCTCTGTAACACATTTTATTATAACATCCAGTAATAAAAATATCTTTTTTTAGAAATCAAGCATATGCTTTACTTTATTGGGTATTTGTGATCACCAACTCTCTTCATTATTTTGGAATTTCAGTTTTAAGCTCTAAGATGATGTCATCTTTGTAGCCAGAAGACCTGAGCAGCAATATCATCTGCAGTTATGTAAACTTCATCAAATTATTCTCATTTTCCAGAGGAAATTATTATCAGATTATTTATCCATAAAGTGGGATTATTATCACCTTATTATGTTCTTAAATAGATTAAATGAGATCCTTTAAAATAAAGTAGAAATATAGATTAGAATCACTGATCTCTTTCCAAGTAGCCATAGATACCTAAAGTCCCCAGTAAAACCCAGAATTAGAGAAATTTCAGAGGTATGATTGATCATCTTTCTCTGCCACTTTGCCTGACACAGCCAAGAGAGCAATTTATGCAGTGCATCACAGGTTGCCCAAATCCTTGGAAATCATGAAAGGCCTTATGTTCCCACAGCATCCTCACCCACCTACACACCAAGATTTTATAGTTTGTACCTTAGCCAACTCTCCCCAGAGTTACAATTTGAATTTTGCCATTATCCAAAACAACTTCAGAAATCTTGAATCTCTAAATTCTACCATAAATTCTAATTTTTCCTTCTTCCACTTCTGTCTGTCCCCTCGCTCCTGCTACACTCCTCTCCGACCTATGGAAACCTGACGTCTTTTGTTTCTTCTATTTTCTCCTAGACTCAGTTCCCTTCCTGGCCCAGAAAAAAAGTTATAATTGTTATCATTGATATAACTCTTTTGATTGCTCTCAGTGATGCCTCTCAAACTACTTCAATATGGACCATTCTCCCCAACTGCTGATGTATACAAAATTCTTGTTGCCTTATGTTAACAGATTACCTCATTTCCTACTTCATCAAGAAAATTTGAGATCTTCAGAAATGCCTCCCTCAACTACCAGCCCTCCTTCCACCATGCCAACTTACACCCATACCATCCCTGCAGTCTTCCCTCCAGTCTGAACAAATGAGGTGCCTCACTTCTATTCAGTGTCAGCCCCTCCCCTTGTGCTGTCAATCTCCTCTTCATTGTCCCCTCTTGGAATTTACTCAGTTTTTTTTTTTGTACCATCTTATCTATCTTTAACCTGTTCCTCTTCGCCAGTGTCTTCATGTCAGCTTTCCTTTCCCTTGACCCCTCAGTTTTTTTTATAGCCCCTTAACTTTTCTCCTCTCCTCTCATTCAGGCTTTACAAATAATATTCTACCTGTATTGTGTCTATTTATTTTCTTCTTATTTATCTTCAGCTCACTGTAAGATAGTTATCACCTGAAATGTCTGTATTAGTCAGGATTCTCTAGAGGGACAGAACTAATAGGATAGATAGATAATATAAAGGGGAGTTTATTAAGTAGTATTAACTCACATGATCATAAGGCCCCAAAATAGGCCCTCCACAAGCTGAGGCACAAGGAAGCCAGTTCAAGTCTCAAAGCTGAAGAACTTGGAGTCCGATGTTTGAGGGAAGGAAGCATCCAGCATGGGAGAAAGATGCAGCCTGGGAGGCTAAGCCAGTCTACCCTTTTCATGTTTTTCTGCCTGCTTTATATTCGCTGGCAGCTGATTAGATTGTGCCCACCCAGTTAAGGGTAGGTCTGCCCTCCCCAGCCCACTGACTCAAAAATTAATCTCCTTTGGCAACACCCTCACAGACACCCCCAAGATCAATACTTTGCATCTTTTAATCCAATCAAGTAAACACTCACTATTAACCATCACAATGTCTATCACCAAGGTTACTAGTGACCTACTGTTTTTAAAATGGAGTGGGTATCCTCGATCTCTTATTTCACTGGACACCTTTCCTGTGTAGGATGCTCTTGTTCACTTCCTTTTTCCTAACACAACTCTATTCATTGGACTCTAGTCACCCTTACACTTCTGGACGCCATTCCTTCTTGTTGCTCTTCCTGTTTTCAGCCCTCAAGTATTAGTGTCCCTTAAGGTACTGTCCTCAGTCAACTCACTCTAGTTCCCCTCACATTCCCCTTGGAGAGCTCATTCACGTGAGTTTCTACTTCCGTGATACTTCTAAGTTGTATCTCCAGCTAATACTTCTAAGTTGTATCTCCAGCTAAAACCTATTCTCTAAGCTTCAGATTTTGATGCCAACTGATTCCTGGTAATCTCCACCTATGTCCTCCAGGAACCCGAAGTTAATTATGATCAAAACTGATTTCAGTCTCTCCCATTTATCTGCTTCCACCCCAATACTCTGCATCTCCATTGGTGACATCACCACATGCTGGGAAACTGGAAGACATGTTTGTGCATGACTCACTCCCTCGCCCCCATATCCTGTCACCAAGTCCTACCATTTTTATCTTTTAAATGTTTCCTGAAGCAGCTGCTTTTTATTCCTCATTACCTCTTTCATTACCAGCCCTGTTAAGTTTCCTGTTTTTGTTTTTCTTTTTTCGAATAGGATAGAGTATATATACAGAACACCAATCTGCCAAAATCACTTCCCATTAAAAATATTTTAATTATGCTCCGTCACTTATGCAACAAAGTCTATCTCCTTTAAAAAAAAGAAATACAAGCTTTGAGTTTCTTGAGGGCAGAGACCATACCATGCACTATGACTAGTATAATGCCTAGCACTTAGAAAATGTTTAATTAGATCTTACTTAATGAAGGGATGAATAAATTATAGAAGTGCTGTGTATCCATTCTTCTCATTCTTTTTTTCATACACTGTCACTGTGTGGCAGTGACAATACTATTTACCAAATAATCCACATCCTCCCTTTGTATTTCCCAGGCTTCCTTGTGCTAAGGGTGAGGCCATATAAATAGTTCTAGACATTGAGTTATAAGCATAATTGCTGCATGGCACTTGCAGCCCAATATCTTTAAGAGCTGTGGTGAATTTTCCACACTCTCTCTTCCCTTGCTTTGGCTCTCCTGACAATCTTGAGATGGTATCACAAGATAATGGGGCAGAAACGCATGCTGGACATACAGTAGTAGGAATAGTGGAAAGTAAGCCTTTTGTGTTAAATCACTGAGATTTCAGGGTTAATTTGTTAAAATAACATAATCTAATCCACCCTGAATAATAATAATGTTTACAGTTACAAGTTTATACATCAGTCTCTGTCTTATTGTATTCATATGAGCTTTTGTTGAACCTTGCCCAGTGGGCAGCCCGTTTGCTTCTCCTTCATAAGCATAATGCATAGGAAAAAAACAAAAAAACAAAAAAAGCATTGGGAGGCTGAGGCAGGTGGATCACCTGAAGTCAAGAGTTTGAGACCAGCCTGGCCAACATGGTGAAACCCCGCCTCTACTAAAAATACAATAATTAGCCAGGCGTGGTGGCCTGTGCCTCGGGAGGCCGAGGCAGGAGAATGGCTTGAACCCAGGAGGCAGAGGTTGCAGTGAGCTGAGATCGCACCACTGCACTCCAGCCTGGGTGACAGAGTGAGACTCCGTCGTCTGCGAGGAGAGGAGGGGAGGGAAGAGGAGGGGAGGGGAGGGAAAGGGAGGGGAGGGGAGCAACACATGAGTGATGTTTTCCAGTTCACCTGCCTGTTGCTAGCCAGCCCTCTGTCTCAAAACCTCTGCATATCAGAGTGTGCTCCCTACACATGATTTATGTTTTCCATTCTTGCCCAGCCTGACATATAGGCAGAGCAGTTCATTGCCTGTTCCCTATGATCTAAGTGACAGTAGAAGTATTTTTCTACATGCATACACACACATCCTCCATACTACCTCATGGATGCCTTTCATTTCACAGCAGAATGCCATGTCTCTAATTTTAAATTTCAATCCTTGTTATAAAGGAAACTTCTCCCAAGAATCTTACCACGTTCTATTGCAAGCACAGGCTAAAGGAATCTGAGACTATCTCCAAAGTAGATCTGGAAGTCTTAAGCCCTCCTAATTTGTTAAGGATGTGTAGATAACCTCCAATGACCTACAATTACTAATATTCTCATGGTAACTTTGATATAATTCCATTCTTTTCTACAAGTATTCTACAAAGTGCACTGCTTTTGTATTTTGGAACCTAATTAGATTCCAGATTTTATTGAACTGTTTTGTATTTTGTTGTTTCAGTAAGTAATAATTGTTTCAGTTAGAAAAAAAAAAAAAAAAAAACAGAAAATCTGCCTTCCAGGCTTATATAATCTTACCAGGATCTATCCTTTAGCTCCACTTTCTGTAGAAATGCTCCATCCTTAGACAGGCTCTCCTTTTTTTGTCATGCGTGAAGTTCCCAGGACTGCAGAGAAAAGCAATAAGCAATAGTGTTTTCCCCAGAAGTCACAAAGATTCACTGCTTTGTATGTGTTCTGAATGGGCCATGTTCCCATCCTGGATCAATCTCTGTGGCCAGGTGGATACAATGCACTAGTTAGCTGAGGCCTTAATCATCTCCCAAAGTGGTAAAAAACAAACAAACAAAAAAGGAATGGGCTTCAAAGGAAGCACAAGGCCTAAGAATAGGGAAGGGGATAATTTCTGGAGAAAAATTAGGCTACCGCTAGGAAGGTTTTGATGTTGGCAGCAATAGCAACCTCTATTCTCTCTATACAGTCTGCTGCCCGAAGTTAGAATTTAGAGACAGCATCTAGTTAGAGAAAGAAAGTGTTTCTTTATATACTACATGTTACACTTTGATCATATACTCTCTGTCCCTTCTCTGAACTTTTAAAACATATTCTAAAGTATTCTCCTATATGCTGCCTTGGTTTTAGTTATTTATAAATATTTCTCTCCCCTAGATCTAGATCTAGATCATCAGCTATTTCAAGGCAAGTACTGGTGGTTATATGGCATGTACATACAAGGCATGTACCGCATTGTACATTACATGTAGTAGGCATCCCCAACTATTCAACAAATAATTATTCATTGACAAAATGAAAGGATTAAAAGTCCATGGGTCTTCAGGTGGTAGCTTGGGGACTGATTTTTTAAAAGTCAATGGGGCTTATTCATCTTATGCATAGTATTAGGTTGGTGCAAACATAATTGCCGTTTTTGCCATTGAAAGTAATGGCAAAACCGCAATTACGTTTGCACCAACCCAGTATTATCTCATCACAGTTCTGTAACCCCTGTGTGTGCATGGATGTTTGTGTGCAAGGCGCTAATACACACACAGTAAGAAGCTACTATGTGCCCATGGTAAGCAACAGGGATGTGAGGATATAGTGATTACAAAACAAACATTCCCCAGGTCTTCAAAAGTTTATACTCTAGTGACAAAGACAGATGCTTATCAAATAGAGTGTAATCAGTACTCCAAAGAATAATTGTAAGGTATTCAGGGAGAATGTATGTGAGTAATAGATCTTCAATTTTATTATTATTGTTCTAACTGATTCCAGATCAATTCCAAATTGGCTGTCAGGGAATACCAGTTTTCCTAGAGGTCTGTTAAAGGTGGAATTTCTTAGATGCTTAACACTAGATTCCCAAATAAAAGCTCAAGATCCAAGAAATTACATCTTATGTTTGTGATAAGTAAAAACTAATTTAATTTTGTTTTCCTCTCTCCTTCCTCCCCACTTCTCTCCCAGCCTGAAGTTCTGGATCAAATACAAAATTTGAGGGAGTTATGGATGGATAATAATGCATTACAAGTGTTACCTGGGGTATGTAAGTTTTTATTCTACCATGTTGTTTAATATTTGTTATACGTTTGTTGTATTTGATCATAATCTCAACTCTTAAATTTCAGTATTTGTGTTTCAAAGTAAAATAATACTCATTAGGAGTGTTCAGTCACCAAGTGTTTTCACCATTTTTTTTTTTAGTATTTTATGTATCTTTTTGTGAGTGTTATAGGTATACAAAACGTAAGAAAGATTTTTCTTATTCCCTTTGGAGTATATTTGTCATCTCTTCCCACATTTACTGTTCTTTAAAAGCTGAAAGAATTTATAGTTATATTTTTAAAAAGCAAAATACCATATATAATACCAAGTTTTATTTTTACAAAATCAACCTTATTCTTACAGGTAACTAGACAATGGTTTTTATTCATTTTGTTAGAGCTCTTCTACAAAATAAAAATCTCTCTCAGTTCAGGTGATTTTCAATAGAACCCATGTGAATTTTTGAAAATGGCAAGGATCATACAGTATTAAAAACAGAAAGTTAAACCAGAGTCAAATTTTTTCCTCAACTAAAGTCCAGCCCAGTACTATCTCCTGAGTATAAGTTTACCAGTCAACTCATTGAGTGTGATTATTCCTACTTTTCCCATCTAACAAAAGAATGTTCCCATAAAACGCTGCCCCTTGCCACTTGCATACACACACACACACCAAGAGAGAGAGACAGCGAGAGAGCGCAAACACAAGTCTCCCTATTGTTTTGTATAACTCCAAACTCCTGGCATTGGTCTAAGTAGCCACAGCAGGTGAATATGTAATAAATCTTCAGCCAACACAGAGGTTTAGATGTGTATTCTCAAAACCAGTTTTATTTCTTTTTTGAATTGACATTAAAAATTACTTAAGATGACAGCAAAACCAACAAGAACAAGACATTTATTCTGTCTTTGAATAAGCATAAGACCACATAAAGGAGAAAATCTGAAACAAAGATTATGGAAAAATAATTAATGCTTTTATCAAAAGATGCATTTTTACCATCAAAGACACAAAACAGAAAAATATGCACATCTATTGTTCACTGATTTATTTAAAAATCATGTACCAATAAAGCTCTATGAATCAGAAACTATGCTAATGTCAGGGTTACAAAGATAATACATTCAATGACCTTGAATATATTTGTTTGAGAAGCTCGCACATAGCAGGATAAACAGATCTGGATTTCACTACTCATAGAAGAGCCTGATTTGTGCTATAGTCAAGGTATGTACAAATCCTGAGGCAACACGAGACACTTACCAATCCCTGTGCAAAGATTGAAGAATCAGAATATATGCCAGCTAAAAGTTTATACCTCTTCTTCAATATATTTATTTATTAAAAATTACATAGCATTTACCACGGGCTAAGCATTCTCTCTGTGTTGTACAAATGTTGATTCATTGAATCCCTACAACAATCCTATGAAGTAAGTTCTACTACCATCCCCATTTTATAGATGAGGAAACTAAAATACAAAAAAAGTAACTGGCCCAAGATAACACAGCCAGTACCCCAGGGAGCTGTAATTCAAACCAGCGCCAGAGGCTGCTGTTGACTGTAAAGCTCCCAAAGGCTCTCTATGGAACCAATAGAAGGTACAAATGAGAATTTTACTTTTCACAATTGTTACATTCCCAAAATCCACTGTGCAAATCAACTCACATGCCAAATTTCTCAATAAGTTTGTTATTTAAGTGGAAAGGCAGGGATGAAATCTTCCATAAAACATATAATGCTGCCTAATTTGTCTGTCTCGAGAGTAGATGTTTCATATGTACTGCTAGCTTTATATAGATTCCTTACTTTATTTTGTATACTTGCACTTGGTAATTTGTTATACGCTGTGTGGGAATACCCTACACCTCCCTGCCAGAAATAGCCATGGCTTTCTGGATGTTGGCGCTGGCAAAGAATTGCTTTTCAGTTACCCCAAAATACTTGGCTTTGAATGGTTCATCTTGAGTGTGGTCTCCAGCCTATGTCTGTCAGTTTCACAGAATAATTAAAACATTTAATATCATTAGCCATGGGGAAAAGAAGCACATTCATTTTTTTCTTAGTTCATGTATCATAATAAAGTTAATATACTTTGTGAATACTTTTGAATAGTCTGGGCTATTATTTTCCACTGTGTTTTTCACAAGTCAGAGAAGCAAATAGATAATGATCAAATATTTAGTCTTTTACATAGTTCTATCTTGTGACCATCAATCTAAGGTTAATCAACCAAAATATGACTAAATCATGTATTGAATTCACATTTATTTTAAACAAACTCCAGTATCTTCTTTTACTTGTGGCTTCTACTCTTTCCATTTGCTGCACTGCTCACCTATAGACCCCTCTATGCCCAGAGAATGTGGGATCAACATTCAATATCCTCAAGCACTGTAAGAATTTATGCCTTTACAGTCCTCAGGCTATGATTGCTTTGATACAGTGTTTTCAACATCAAAGTGTTATTCCAAAAAGAATGTTTAGGAACTGCACACCAAAATACTAAATTACGCTGAAGATAGCAATGAAGGAAGCTGGAAGCTTCAAGGAGAAAATAAATTTTCTCATGATATCTCATGATAAAGGAACAAAAAAGAAACACACACACACATATCATTCTTTCATTGCTCAATGGAAAAGAAGAGTGAACTTAGGTAACATGATAGTTCCTTGGGATGGAAAGCTATGAGTAAAGTGACAATATTTTTCCAAGTGACACATTTCCAAGCATGAGGAGAAACTCTGACTCATCCAAAGTACTCTGATTCTAGCTAGCAAATATTCAGTCACTCGAAGCCTGTGCTCACACTCTGCACCCACATGGGAAGCTGAGGGAGCAGGGCTGGAGATTTGCACTGGGTTAATTAAGGATATGTGCCCTCCAAATGGACTTTGTAGCCTGTAGTCTGATAAAATTGAGTTTGAAATCAGCTCCACCCCATATTAATGGGATAACTTTGGAGTGTTACTTGTAGTAGATGCTCTCATGCATCCTTCTCCAGGACTTAAGAATTTACTCTATTCCCCCAGCTTCTGGAAATGCTGCTTGCAGCTCTCCAGCCTTCTTCAGAAATTGCCTCACGTAAAGAGAACATCTTCATCCACGGTCATAACCCCATTCCCAGAGACCTCCATCCAATGATCAGTCAATGCAGGTATATAAAGGCTCAGCCCTTCATCCTCTACTCAGAACAACTTCAGGGCAATCCCAACTTCAGTGATCTTTGAAGTGCCAGCCAAGGACTTTCTTAAGACTTCATCACAGCCCAACTTCTTTGTCTACCCAATCCTGCTCCCTTTCTTTCCTGTCTCTTCCTTTCTACTGGTGTTGATCCTAAACACTCTCAAAAACTTCTTTCTTTGTCTCTGCTTCCCAAGGAATCCAACATGTGACATGACTTAATCTCCAATATTTAATATGTGTTAAAATGTGGATTCTGATTCAGCAGATCTGGGGTGGGTCTGACATTATACTTTTTTTTTTTGGATGGAGTCTCGCTCTGTTGCCCAGGCTGGAGTTCAGTGGCATGATCTCAGCTCACCGCAACCTCTGCCTCCAGGGTTCAACTGATTCTCCTGCCTCAGCCTCCTGAGTAGCTGGTATTACAGGTGCCCGCCACCATAGTCAGCTAATTTTTGTATTTTTAGTAGAGACGGGGTTTCACCATGTTGGTCAGGCTGGTCTCAAACTCCTGATCTCGTGATCCGCCCACCTTGGCCTCCCAAAGTGCTGGGATTACAGGCGTGAGCCACCGCGCCCAGCAGAGATTATACATTTCTAACAAGCTCCCAAGTGGTGTCAATGCTGCTGGTCTGCCGAACACATTTTGGGTAGCAAAAACATAAAATATTGAATCAAATAATATATATAAAGTACTTAGTATAGTGCCAAGTGCGAGCTTGTGTGTATGTAATAAATTTATGTATTTATTGTGTATTTGTTTATTTATACTCTGTCAAGTAATTAGAGATGGTAAAGTATGCACAGGTAGACCAGATAAACAGATGAACCATTCGTTGAGTAACTGAAATGTGTGGAACATTTATTTACAAAACATGCCCTAAAGGAAAAGGAAAATGAGGACCTTTGCCCTGCCCTAACTCCTCTAGTCCGTGTCCCGCCCACATGTTCACTCCTTGCCCAAGATATGGGTTGATCCTTCCCTCTCCTCAGAAATCAGTTACTAATCCAATCATTCCACTTCTAACTTTCTCTGGAGTCCATCCCCTCTTCATCCTCACTTCTGTTGCCTTAACAGCTAAAATACTTCTATATCCCTCTAACAGATCTCCTTGACTCCAGCTTTTGAAAGTTCCCTGAAGTTACTACTTCTAAGCATAAATCTGTTCATGTCATTCCCCATATTACAATCCTTTTGCTTTCCTTGCCTATAAAATAGAGTTTGCATTTCTTCACGTGACATAGAAACCCTTTCAGCATCTGGCTTCTCCCTGTAATCTCAACTTCATCACTATACTCAGCCACTTTGAATTTCCCACTCTTCCTCAAACATAGCATGCTTCGTCACACTTTATAAAGGCACGTGCTGTTCTCCCTTCCAGGTACAGGTTCTCTTCTTTTGATGAGCAGCATCTTCCAGGCCATTTGCAGCCCTTCCCTGTTCTGTGGCATTCACTACATGCTTTTTTATTGCACTTGTCACAGGGTGTTATAATTATTTCTTACTTGAAAGTTTCCTTCATTACTGAGAACTCCTTACTGATAAAAACTTTGTCTTCATCATGGCAAGTCTGTCCCCATACTTAGCTGTCTTATTCTTGATTGTTCTTGAATACGTAACACAGATACTGGTGCATAGTAGATCCTTCAAAAAGGGCCATTGAATGAGCAAAACATTGACTCTAATTAATAGGGTAATCTCCAAAATTATAATTTAAAACCTTTCTTATGCATTTGAAATTTTAAGGATCTACATGTCAATGTCATTGTTTCAGTGGCAGCTTCTTTA
The DNA here is from genome assembly GCF_000001405.40 of Homo sapiens. NCBI lineage: Eukaryota > Metazoa > Chordata > Mammalia > Primates > Hominidae > Homo > Homo sapiens. Next base: position 69,985,430 of record NC_000001.11, read on the forward strand.
GTTGGGAGTTATTTATTTTATTCAGTGCCAACTTCAAGATTATTGTGTGTTTTCTAACTGCTGCATTGAGATATAATTCACATACCATATACAGTTCCGTGGTTTTTGGACTACTCACATAGTTGTACAACCATCACCACAATCTAATTTTAGAACATTTTCATGAGCCCTAAAAGAAAACCTGAACCTATTAGCCATAACTCCCACACTCCCCATCCACCCAGCTCCTAGAAACCCTACTCAACTTTCTATCTCTATGGATTTGCATATTCTGGACATATCATATAAATGGAATCATACAATGTGTGGTCTTTTGTGACTGGCATCTGTTACTTTGCATGTATTTTCAAGGTTCATACATTGTATAACATGTATCAATACTTTATTCCTTTTTATTACCAAGTAATATTTCATTATATGTATATGCCACATTTGATTTATGTGTTCATCAGTTGACGGACATTTGGGTTGTCACCAATTTTTGACATTGTGAATAATGCATCTGTGACCATTTGTGTAAGTTTTTGTGTGTACATATGTTTTTATTCTCAGTGGTATATGCCTATAGTGGTATAACCCTATTTATTGTTGAGTCATTTTGAGAAACTGCCAAACAGTTCTTCAAAGTGGCTATACCATTTTACATTCCTACTAGCAATGTTTGAAGTTTACAATTCCTCCACATTCTTGCCAACACTTGTTATTGTTGTGGTTGCTTTTAAAATAAACTTTACAGTGTAGTGGTTCTTACAACTTTAAAATGTCTTGTGAAAGTCTCTCAACTAACCCTGAGTTTATGCAATGTCATCAAGTCTATAGGGAAGTTAAAGATGTTGGTATACCTGGATATGTCAAAAAACAGAATAGAAACAGTTGACATGGACATTTCTGGATGTGAAGCCCTTGAGGACCTCTTATTGTCATCCAATATGTTGCAACAATTGCCTGATTCTATAGGTGAGAATATAATATTTTGTCACAAATATTTATGTCAAATATACCATTTTCTTTTTTGGAAGTATAGTTTGTCTATAGATATAGGTAATATACTGTTAGTCTGATGTTAATAAATTTTAAAATGTGCTATGGAAATCATAAAATAGTATCTAACAAATATCTTAAGTGAAATATTAACTCGTTTCCAAATTCAAGAAGGCTCTTCTGTTAAAATGATCCTACCAAATTGATATTGTTTAAAAATTGTTATATCTCCAAAGTTGCAAAATGTTATTATAAGGAGTATGTATGTTTTCTTCAGAGTAATTTAATAATCATGTATGTATCCTTATATTATGATAGAATTACAATAGCTTCCATCCATAGGATGTTGCTATATTCTATTTGTAATATTGTTGTAACATTGGTATAATGTAGGAGTAACATATAAAAAGTATAAACATAAAATGTCTTCTTAGTTCTATTATTTTTAAAAAGTCACATGTCCTTAACATGTTAAGATTCATTAGATCAAATAATTTGCCGGTTAGTGTATAAAAAGCACTCATACATTTTTGTTTAAGGATGTTTACATGGGCCAGGCGCAGTGGCTCACACCTGTTATCCCAGCACTATGGGAGGCCAAGGCGGGTGGGTCACGAGGTCAGGAGTTCAAAACCAGCCTAGCCAATATGGTGAAACCCCATCTCCACTAAAAATACAAAAAGTACCGGGCATGGTGGTGCATGCCTGTAGTCCCAGCTACTCGGGAGGGAGGCTGAGGCAGGAGAATCGCTTGAACCCAGGAGGCGGTGGTTGCAGTGAGCCGAGATTATGCCGCTGCACTCCAGCCTGGGCAATAGAGGGAGACTCCGTCTCAAAAACAAACAAACAAAAAAAGTTTATATGAGTAAAATAGTGAAAGACTCATTTAAATAATGTGTAAGCTTTTTTGTGTAGGTATCTTGCTGTTAGTATTTGTAAGAGAACTCTACGAAAAGGGTAATCATTAAATTACTTAACTTTGTAACATAGATTTTAACCTCTTTGAAACAGATGTGTTATATGTTCTGGAACTTAATCATTATTAAGATTGACTGAAGTTCAGAATCAGTCTTCTATTAGCAATGTGGTGCTCTTATCCTTCGTGGATGCTGCAGATCCAATCCAAGCCAACTTGTGACTTGCCATAGTTTTCCACAGTGAATTTTCTGTTTCCCTTTTCACTAGCTCCACATATGAGTTGTAAATTTTTAATCATTATTAAGTTCCAGAACATATAACTTTTAAAAATTAAGCCATATCCTAGGTAATCCAGTTGAAGATGAGGCAATTTTCCAAATTTTTCTTCAATACATTATTACTTCTACTTAGCCATTCTTTGAGGCTGATAAAGAACATTAGTTTTAGCAAAATTGTGGTCCATCGTTTCTTTCTTCCTAGAATTGTTGACTTTTTATTTACAAAATCCCATATTTTATAATGATATTTCTCTAACTTGCTCAATCATGGGTCTTAACTGAGAGTTTTATTAAACACTTCCACATTTCTAGGCTTTGTCTCTTAAGATTCTGATTCAGTAAATGTGACAAGCCCCTTGATCTGTACTTTTATTAAACATCTTAGATGAAACTTGTGATCAGACAAATTTAGGAAATACTGGTTTATGTTGTAACAGATAAGGAAGTATGATTATAGAGAACATCCACTGGTCAAGATGACAGAGCAACTTAATACATAACCTTACACTCCTACTCACCACCATCCCATACCATTTTAAATATATCTTGAAAATATAAAAACTCTATATATTCAAAGAACATATTTTTCTTCATTACTGACTCCTCAGTGCCAAGAACTGTGCCTGGCATATTCTACGTGCTGTTTGAACACTTAGTAAATAAAATAATTTAGCCACACTCACCCAGGCATGGTGGCATGTGCCAACAGTCCCAGTTACTCAAAAGGTTGAGACAAGAGGATTGCTTGAGCCCAGGAATTCGAGTCCACCCTAGGCAACATAGCAAGACTCCATCTCTGAAAAAAAAATTCTAATTTTTAAAAAGAAAAATGATGTTTGCTTAAGAAGAATGAACATCAACCTGAACCTGTGATAGAATGGAAATCCAGCAATATCTCCAGGCCTGATGGGCTACAAACCACAAACAGCAGCTGTAAGTTCAGTTCTTACCGTGAAATAAGAAATAGAAGGACTTTAAGCACAACAGAGGAATCAGAACTTACAAAAGATTAGGGCGGGACCTCTTTTCTGTGAAAAGGGACTGAAAAATTTACAACTAGTATGTGGAGCTACAGAAAAGGGAAATAACAGAAAATTCACTGCGGAAAACTATGGCAAGTGACAAGCTGGCTTGGACTGAATCTGCAGTATCCACAAAGGATAAGACCACCAACATTGCTAATATAAGACTGGTTCTGAACTCCAGAAACCTGGGGGTCAGGTGGAGGTAACCAGAAAACTGCCAGACAGGGAGAAGTGAGCATAGTGAAGGGGGAAACATTCACCCTCACAAATGAGCTTGCAAACAAAAATGTTGAAGGAAACTAATGTTGCTTTGACAACCAAAAATTCAACCAAATAGGAGAATTTACCCTAAGGGAAACAAAAGTTATCAACCAATATGAAAACTATTTTAAGCATGTATAGAACATCAAATAGATAAAAGAATAACAATTAGGTGTTATAGCCAAATAATTAGGGCCAGTGAAAGAGGAATCTTTTATATTTAAAATGCTGAAACACAAATAATAAGACTTATCTAACAAAAACCTGAGCTATGACTAAAAATAGATGGTTAAGAAAAAGAATCAATTAAAAATCCTGAAAATGAAAAGGAAGATATTGGTCAAAGGACACCAAGTTGCAGTTAGACAGGAGGAATAAATGATAAGTATTTAAATTGACAGATATGTTAATTAGCTTGATTCAATCATTCTAAAGTGATACCACTGCATCACTATGTACCTGATAATTATATACAATTTTAATTTGCCAAAAAGTTTTCAAAAATAAATTTTGAAAAAGAAATCCTGGAAATTAAAATACCACATTAGGTATGAAATACCACATAGGGTAATTTTAAAATACAACAGCTATAATGAAGAAAGTATGATATAGTCAGGTATAAAATTTGTAAGTTGGAAGACAGTGCTGAGGAACAGAACAGGCACATAGAAATTTGTTAATAAGAAATATTAAAAATGAGTTAAGAGACACAGAGAATAGAATAGAAATTGCATTCTAAAAATGAAAAAGCAAACAAATTACCTTCTCCAGGAATAAATACAGAATTCCAGAAATACAGAACAGAATAAATGGAAAAGAGGAACTATTCAAAGAGAAAATAGTTGATATTATTTTTCAACATTAAATACACAAGTAATTTATCATAATAAATGCATACACATAGTGCTAAAAGAGATAAATATAATAAATTTGCACTGGCTCATTGTTCTGAAACTGCAAGGACAAAGAAAAGTATTGTTTAAAGCTGCCATAGAACAAAAAGAGCTTATCTACATAATAATAATTAGAGATGTCTTCATTGTCATCAGTGACAATATCTTCTGGATAGCGGAGTAATATCTTCAAAGTACTGAAGGTTAATTACAGGCAGATTGGATTTCTATACCCAAGTAAACATTCATTCAAGAGTGAGCACACAACAAATATATTTGAACATATACCAAGAATAAGAGAATCTGCTCTTAAAAGATGTACTTTACTCAGAAAACAAAAACAAACTCAGAAGGAAGGAAGTGAATGCATAAAGCAATGGCAAGCTTTACCAAATTTACCAACTTAATTTGGTAAATTAAGTAATTTAATTAAGTAATTTAGTTTACCAACTTAATTTGGTAGAAATTAAGAAAGAAATCTCTTCAGTATTTCTTAGTTGGGAGTATAGGATGAAGAGATGGAGACTTGCAGAAGGGCAAAAGTAGAGAGAAGGAATAGGATAAAATACCTTTGATTACTCTAGAGAAAAGAGTCTAAGCACATATGATATAGAAATGCAATAAAGATGTTATTTATGAACTTAATTTGGTAAATTAAATTAATTAAATTACTCAATTTGGTAAATGAAGTTGTTATATCTAAATAATTAGTGCCTGTAAAGAGGAATCTTTTATATTTAAAATGTTTAGACAGGATTAAGGAATGTGAAGGACCTTACCTTATTCAAGCAGAGGCTAGAAATACTGCATAACTTTAGAATTTGCATGATATTCAGTTAAATAGACATGTTAAAAATGTAAATGTATCTACTTAATAGAAATGAAGCTGATACTTCCAAACCAGGAGAGGAGGGGAAAAGTTCTGAAAGAAAATATTCATACGGTGGAAGAAAGAAAAATAAAATGTAAAAATGATAAAATAGAAGTTATAAATAAGATGGTAAAAATAAATTCAAATTGTCATAAATCACAACAAATGTAATAGATTTAATTGATTACACTTATTCTATTAAAAGATCCAGAATTTCAAGTTCAGCTATATTGTGGTTATGAGACATATCTAAAACAAAACACAGAAAGTTTGATTTTACAAAGGCAATAGAGTTGGTTACCAGACTGGGCAACACAGCAAGTTCCCAATTCTACAACAAATTAAAAAATTACCCAGGCACAGTGGCACACACTTGCAGTCCTAACTACTCAGGAAGCTGAGGCAGTAGGATTGCTTGAGCCCAGGAGTTCAGAGGTTGCAGAGAGCTATGATTGTACCACTGCACTCCAACCTGGGTGACAGAATGGGACCTTTTATCAAAAAAAAAAAAAAACAAACTGGTAGAAAATGAAGCATTATTATTAACATGATATAATTGTTTGTATGAAATAGTTTCCTTTAAGAAAGAAACTAGGAAATTAGCCTTCTGGTCTGAAGAAGTCAGCATGTAATAGGTAACAGAGAATATCAAGCTAGACACTGGATTGGCATATGACAGACTAGGATAGGTAGGTGGTATTATATATTTTACACCTTCATTTATGACCTGAATGGTTCTCAAAGTAACTGTTGTAGTAGCTTACTCCTTGAACTATCTTTGGACCTTATTGACCTGTCAGGGAAATTTGTATTTATACATCTGCAGAGTTGCCACAGTCCCTGATTCTAAATGTAGAGTAGCTGACTCTCCTCAGAGAATTCCCTTTCTTGGTCAAAATAAATATCTGGAATAGGAAACTGAGAGCTCTGTTCTGAGGCCCTAGAATGGTTCATTAGTGATAATTGGATGGCGAATTGCATCGTGTCCTCCTTATTTGGATCATGGATTATCTATTGGACTACCGACATTTAAAAGAATAAAAGATAAGAATCTTCATAGTATTAATAGAGGGATATGGCAACTTAAATAAAATCTTTACTTTCTTCATGCCTTTTTTAGTTCCTCTGCAGCTATCGGGTATTTGAATGGAATGATATACTCAACAACAAGCCCCGTGTGCTGAGTCACTTTCCCTGTGCTGGTTCCAGGGCAAATGAAAGGGACTCTTTTCCTCTTCTAGATGGAGAGTTTTCATAATCAGCTTCTTTGGATAGCAGAGAAACTCAATAAAGAAAAATAAAAGAAAAAGAAATATTTTTTGCTTAATAATTTATCTTACTCACTTAAAGGTTAAGGGCATGGGCTTTATAGTTAGGTTACTTAGAGTTCTGATTCTGGCTTTTCTACCTTACTTGCTGTGTGACCTTAGACAAGTTACTTAATCTTGCCTCAGTTTCATCATCTATTAAGTGATAGTAGTAATAGTACCTGACATATAGTAAACAGCTATTGTTACAATATAATATTTATTATAATCTTAGATTTGATGAGTGCACAACTATTTCCTTTCAAAGTTCTATTATATATTTGTAAATGTAAATATTAGCAAATTATATTAATGTTTAATGTATTAATGCTGACTGCATATATGTGTGTGTAGTTAAAATTGTAGGAAAAGGCCTTCTTTTTCTATCTCTTCAGTATTTCTTAGTTGGGAGTATAGGATGAAGAGATGGAGACTTGGAGAAGGGCACAAGTAGAGAGAAGGAATAGGATAAAATACCGTTGATTACTCTAGAGAAAAGAGTCTAAGCACATATGATATAGAAATGCGATAAAGATGTTAAATGCTGGAGGAAGACATGAGCAACAAGGGTGAGGCTTGCAGCCTAATTTCATCCCAGGGGCAATCATAATTCTACAGAAGCTCCAGACTCTGTCCGAAGAGTATCCTCTTGGATGGAATATGAGTGTTGGCAAAATAGCCACACAACAAATGAGTGAGGTTCCTTTAAACCCACAGACTTGGAGCTGAGCAGGAACTAAATTGCTTCAACCTTTAAAGATATTGAAAAAGATGCACTTAACAAAAGTTTCTTGTGAGAGCCACTACTCCAGTCTTCAGGATAATCTGTCACATCAGCATTTAGCCTTAGGCCCCAACCTTCCTCAAGGTTTTCTCTCCATTACTTCAGAGCTGGAGACTATGATCCTCTGAGAGTACTTTGCACCCTGACTTTGTGACGTTTGCTCAGTCATCTGTAACCCACTCCCAAGCTTCTTGTGACCCGATTGAGTGATGTTGAGACCATCAACCCACATACAGCTCCACTGGCAGGCAGGACACTCGTCTGATCCAGGCTACCAAGTCACAAAAAACTTAGCTATAAGTCATACTTTCCTGTTTTCTTTCCACAACTCAAAAACAAGCTCAGGTGCTCTTTTATATTTCCAAGGCTGATACTGTAACATATGCTCTGGAGAAGCTAAAATGATTCAATCACCTTTTGAACATAGATGGATATGGCAGTGGATTTTCAAACTTCAATGATAAATTGCCACAATGTGAACTGTCCCTTTCCCAGGTGATGTTGTTTTCAAGCTGATGTATTCAGTTCCCAGGTACTTGCTCATAACAGTCTGATAGTGATAACATTTCTCTCTACTGCAGTAGAGATTCTGATTGCTTCTGAAGAATACATAACAGAGCATACTGAAATGTGAAGTGCAGCCACAGCTTTATTTCAGACTTTTTGTGACTTACTCTATGCCTGTTAGGAACCCTCAAAATATTTGAGAAATATGGGCATGATCTATAGCCAGTTTCTCAAAACATGTTCACAAAACACTAGTTCAACAACATACTGTGCACCACACACACACACACAAAGACACACACATGAATTCCATAATAAATCTGGAGAGTCACATTGGTATGTTAAAAGCTCCTAGACAAACTATTAAAGAAAGCTATTTAATTTTGTTTAATTTGGCGTCTCTCAAAACATATATGATCATGAAACTTACTATGTCAATTAGTAAAATTTTTTTTTTGCAGAATGCAGCAATCTATAGTGTACATGTGTAGTTCCAATGTAAAACAAAATTTGTTAAGTGTTAATGCTTTGCCCTTGGATTTGGACTATTTAAGCCATATCAATATTGTAGGTTATTTTATGGTTGGATAAGGAAGTTGATTATGCCAAATGCAGCTGTTCTTCAATTACTGTGTGACTATTGCTCATTAAAACCCTGGGAAGAGAGCAAGCCATTAAGGGTATGGAGGCCATAAATCAGATAATGAAAGATAAATAGTTGTAACTTAAATTCTTGGCCAGTTCTAAGTTTTTGTGCTTATTGCTGATCCAAGGCAGGATTTATGGTGCCAAAAAGAATATGACGTCATATGTTGTAAATTTCCAAGAACATAATTATAACCGCTGCATTGCAATACTTCAGTATTCATTTTCGTTGATCATTGGACTTAATTCAGATTTGTTTTCAATTTGTATCACAACAGCGATGTTAGTTATTACTGCTTAGGAACTAATTAAATATTAAATCACAGCTGGCTTGAAAAATTTCAACTGGTCCATTTGCTGAAGAATACAAAAGGGAAATGTAGTAGTATTAGTGTCAACTGGGGTGTATGTGGAGCTGTATGTTTTGTTTATTTCTCTGCATTTATATTCTTGAACTGTCATTGATGTATGCAACTTTTTTGCAACTAGAAGGTCAAAATTAGACTACACACAAACGTCAGTTTTATGAGTGTGTATTAGCAGAGTTTGGCCAATTAGCATGCCAAGCATTCAACACAAGTGATTCATGTGATTTCTTTTATATCACATTTCCTGTCATAATCTGCTCTTATGTATTAATCAACCTTCTTCTCTGCTTTAGGACTTTTGAAAAAACTAACAACTCTAAAAGTAGATGACAATCAACTTACAATGCTACCCAATACAATTGGAAAGTAAGTGCCAACTTTTCATTCCAGTCTGCCTCTCAAAAGCCAGAAACTAAAGGATATATTGAGTTTTCTAATTCAAAACATTTTCTACTAAAGATACCAATAATCCTGTTCATCTGTCAGCTTATTTTAAACCATATTTTATTTATATATATTTGTGTATATCTTAATTTTATATCTAAACATTGCATTTGATATCCAACTTTATAATATCATGAGAAATGTTTACCCATGAATCTTTCACAAGGAAAATGATTACCCAGACCTTCAATTATACTCTTGCTGATATTTTTCAGATATTATTAGTTTGATGTTTTTGACTGAGTAGCAGCTCTGAATTCACTTCACTGTTTCTTGCAAAATTAAACCAATTTTTATAAGGCTCTGCAATATGTATATGTTACCATTACACTATTAGTAACATTTAATATTTATAGAATCTTAACGTATTTTTAGAAGCTAAGGAGAAAAGCATCTGCTTTAGCTAGCATTTTTTAAAACTTCAAGATGAAAGTCTAACATTGCCTTTTAAAGATAAAATATACTCCATTTATTTGATAACAATTTATTTCTAATATTGTCATTAACATTTGGTTTACAATTCTTTAAGAACTATATATATTATCAATGTTCCATTGAAGTGCTTTTGTTTACAATCCGTGTAAAGTGAGAAATCAGTAGAGGCTGTCTTCATTCTGAAATTATGTAAGGGCATTTTATTGAGATCTTGCCCTACATCCTAGTGTGAAGAATCATATAAATTCTTTTTTTTTTAATTTATTATTATTATACTTTAAGTTTTAGGGTACATGTGCACAATGTGCAGGTTAGTTACATATGTATACATGTGCCATGCTGGTGCGCTGCACCCACTAACTCCTCATCTAGCATTAGGTATATCTCCCAATGCTATCCCTCCCCCCTCCCCCAACCCCACAATGGTCCCCAGAGTGTGATGTTCCCCTTCCCGTGTCCATGTGTTCTCATTGTTCAAGTCCCACCTATGAGTGAGAATATGCGGTGTTTGGTTTTTTGTTCTTGCGATAGTTTACTCAGAATGATGATTTCCAATTTCATCCATCTCCCTACAAAGGACGTGAACTCATCATTTTTTATGGCTGCATAGTATTCCATGGTGTATATGTGCCACATTTTCTTAATCCAGTCTATCATTGTTGGACATTTGGATTGGTTCCAAGTCTTTGCTGTTGTGAATAATGCCGCAATAAACATACGTGTGCATGTGTCTTTATAGCAGCATGATTTATAGTCCTTTGGGTATATACCCAGTAATGGGATGGCTGGGTCAAATGGTATTTCTAGTTCTAGATCCCTGAGGAATCGCCACACTGACTTCCACAATGGTTGAACTAGTTTACAGTCCCACCAACAGTGTAAAAGTGTTCCTATTTCTCCACATCCTCTCCAGCACCTGTTGTTTCCTGACTTTTGAATGATTGCCATTCTAACTGGTGTGAGATGGTATCTCATTGTGGTTTTGATTTGCATTTCTCTGATGGCCAGTGATGGTGAGCATTTTTTCATGTGTTTTTTGGCTGCATAAAGGTCTCTTTTGAGAAGTGTCTGTTCATGTCCTTCGCCCACTTTTTGATGGGGTTGTTTGTTTTTTTCTAGTAAATTCGTTGGAGTTCATTGTAGATTCTGGATATTAGTCCTTTGTCAGATGAGTAGGTTGCGAAAATTTTCTCCCATTTTGTAGGTTGCCTGTTCACTCTGATGGTAGTTTCTTTTGCTGTGCAGAAGCTCTTTAATTAGATCCCATTTGTCAATTTTGTCTTTTGTTGCCATTGCTTTTGGTGTTTTAGACATGAAGTCCTTGCCCATGCCTATGTCCTGAATGGTAATGCCTAGGTTTTCTTCTAGGGTTTTTATGGTTTTAGGTCTAACGTTTAAGTCTTTAATCCATCTTGAATTGATTTTTGTATAAGGTGTAAGGAAGGGATCCAGTTTCAGCTTTCTACATATGGCTAGCCAGTTTTCCTAGCACCATTTATTAAATAGGGAATCCTTTCCCCATTTCTTGTTTTTCTCAGGTTTGTCAAAGATCAGATAGTTGTAGATATGTGGCGTTATTTCTGAGGGCTCTGTTCTGTTCCGTTGATCTATATCTCTGTTTTGGTACCAGTACCATGCTGTTTTGGTTACTGTAGCCTTGTAGTATAGTTTGAAGTCAGGTAGTGTGATGCCTCCAGCTTTGTTCTTTTGGCTTAGGATTGACTTGGCAATGCGGGCTCTTTTTTGGTTCCATATGAACTTTCAAGTAGTTTTTTCCAATTCTGTGAAGAAAGGCATTGGTAGCTTGATGGGGATGGCATTGAATCTGTAAATTACCTTGCGCAATATGGCCATTTTCATGATATTGATTCTTCCTACCCATGAGCATAGAATGTTCTTCCATTTGTTTGTATCCTCTTTTATTTCTTTGAGCAGTGGTTTGTAGTTCTCCTTGAAGAGGTCCTTCACATCCCTTGTGAGTTGGATTCCTAGGTATTTTATTCTCTTTGAAGCAATTGTGAATGGGAGTTCACTCATGATTTGGCTCTCTGTTTCTCTGTTGTTGGTGTATGAGAATGCTTGTGATTTTTGTACATTGATTTTGTATCCTGAGACTTTGCTGAAAGTTGCTTATCAGCTGAAGGAGATTTTGGGCTGAGACAATGGGGTTTTCTAGATATACAATCATGTCATCTGCAAACAGGGACAATTTGACTTCCTCTTTTCCTAATTGAATACCCTTTATTTCCTTCTCCTGCCTAATTGCCCTGGCCAGAACTTCCAACACTATGTTGAATAGGAGTGGTGAGAGAGGGCATCCCTGTCTTGTGCCAGTTTTCAAAGGGAATGCTTCCAGTTTTTGTCCATTCAGTATGATATTGGCTGTGGATTTGTCATAGATAGCTCTTATTATTTTGAGATACGTCCCATCAATACCTAATTTATTGAGAGTTTTTAGCATGAAGGGTTGTTGAATTTTGTCAAAGGCCTTTTCTGCATCTATTGAGATAATCATGTGGTTTTTGTCTTTGGTTCTGTTTATATGCTGGATTACATTTATTGATTTGCATATATTGAACCAGCCTTGCATCCCAGGGATGAAGCCCACTTGATCATGGTGGATAAGCTTTTTGATGTGCTGCTGGATTCGTTTTGCCAGTATTTTATTGAGGATTTTTGCATCAATGTTCATCAAGGATATTGGTCTAAAATTCTCTTTTGTGGTTGTATCTCTGCCCGGCTTTGGTATCAGGATGATGCTGGCCTCATAAAATGAGTTAGGGAGGATTCCCTCTTTTTCTATTGATTGGAATAGTTTCAGAAGGAATGGTGCCAGTTCCTCCTTGTACCTCTGGTAGAATTCGGCTGTGAATCCATCTGGTCCTGGACTCTTTTTGGTTGATAAGCTATTGATTATTGCCACCATATAAATTCTTACTGTAACAAATTTGGTATTCTCAAGAGGGGAAAGCCTTATTTTTTTAAATAGCTTTATTAAGTATAATTGACATACAAAAAACTGCACATATTTAAAGTCTACAATTTGATAAGCTTTGACGTAGCTAAGAAGCCTTGAAACTATCACCACTGCAATGAAGACAGCGAAAATGTCTGTTACCTCTCCCCCAGTCCTTCTCCCCATCACTCCCTCATCACCTGCCAAGTCAGCATATAGCCCCTCATCTAGAAAGCTTCACTTTTATAGAGTGGAACAACTTGCTAAAATTCAAACTCAGATGTTCAGACTTTGAAGAGTAGTAAAAGTCTCAGCCATTTTTTTTTATTTTAATGCCCTCACTATACAGTGTGTTTCTCTGTACAGTTACTTGCATTTTCTCCAGTATAGAGCAAAGAGAACTTAAGTTTAGGGGTACACAAAAGTAATTATCTTTATCAGCCCGATGCTTTTTAAAAGCAGGCACTAAGATAGGCACTAGTCTTTCTTCTTTGGGTCAATACTCGGGGAAACTGAATTCAACTTCTTTTATCCCTACTTAACGTCATGATTGGTATTTGCCTCTTATGTTCATATTTCTTATAAAACTACCCTGGCTCTTTGAAGACAAATTAAAAAGCATCAGTAGCCTAAAAATAGACAAGGAAAGGTAGCTTTTTCAGTAGGAAGTAGAACCCTGACTTTGGTCATCTTGAGAACTAGCTTTGCTGGTAATTTTTGGCCAGAATTTTGGCCTCTTGACCTCCCAGGTGAGGACCTCCCAGCTTTTTCTGGAGTCTGGTATCAGCCCATGACCACCACTGGATACATGTGTGCCTTGAGCTCCCGTCACATCCCAGAGTGAGTTCCTGCCTCTGACCTTCACCAGCAGTACCTGATGCCAGACTTTGCCTCAGGAACAGGCAACTTGAAGCTCTAACTCTGTCTCCTCCCCAGCAGCCAAGTGGGGCTTGCAGCCTGGCTCTGTACACACAGCCTAAACTACAGTCAGTCTTAGTTTCTATGTTACCACCAGAATTTAGTCATGTCCTTTGAAATCTTCCTGGTAGTTGAATTGTAAATGTTGAGAAAACTGAGCTGTTTAAATAGTGACCTGGTATAAGCTTTTATACTACTGTATTCAAAAGGAACAGATTTGGAAACATCAGTTGGCTGTCAGCAGCTTTCACTTGCTTGGACAAAAGGCTTATTCCAGAAAAGCAGGGTGAGTGACTGAGAATTAGAGCATCTATGAACACTGAGAAGGCAGAATAGGGAAGCTTCTTATTGAAAGCTGCTCATTCTCATTAAATTTTCAGATGCCACAAAGCCAGAAAAAAATACTTATGTTTGGTGACAGAAGCAGTATTTCAAAAGAGCTGGACAGAGTGGGTGCTTTGTTGAAAGACCCGATAAAACTTTAATAGAGATTCTTAGGGAAGTAGGGAGAAATCATTGCTTCAATTGGCCATCATCAATATAGCCAATATAATAATGGAACTGTCCAGAAAACCACTGAAGCATTAGCTGGGTAGATGGAAGTATCCACTCAAAATTAATAGGTACTAATAGTTCAGGTGTTCTCTGACACTTCTGATTCTGTCAGTTCTGGACATCATCTATGTGAATTGACAAGAGGGCGACCAGCATGAGAGATGTGGAACTGTGATTTATAGGAGAAAAAGCAGAAGAAATTTGGGATGTACATCTTCCAGAAATTTTTTTTTGAAATCATCTGAAGTAGGGATGTAACTACTTGAGAAATAGAGTATCTAAAAGTGTGGGACCATAGGCCCAGGTCTTCTTCTGTAAAGTTCCTGTTCCACTTCCAGACTTACTGGCACACTGTGCTCTTCCTCACTGTAGGTCCTGGGAGCCCAGAAAGCTGCTGCTGCCACCCACTCTAGTTCTGGACTCATTCTTCAATAATGGCTTCAGAGTAGGGGAGTACTTTCAATTCCCACCCTACTTGCCTTCGAAGACACAAATGTCTAGGGATCTTTGCTATAGGGCTTTCCTACTAATTACTGGGGAAACATTGCCAGAATATAACAAAAAATTCATGCTACAAAGTTCAGAAGTTTTATTATAAAATGTATAAACAGCCTATACAGGCCTGATGATAGTGATAATACGGTCATGCCAATAGTTGACCACATATACAACTGTGCTCCCATAAGATTATAATACTGTATTTTTACTGTACCTTTTCTATGTTTAGATACACAAATAGATGCCATTGTGTTACAATTGCTTACAGTATTCAGTAAATCACATGTCTTATAGTTTTGTAGCCTAAAAACAATAGGCTATATCATATAACGTAGGTGTGTAATAGATTACACCATCTAGGTTTGTGTACATACATCTGTAATGGTCACACGGTGATGAAATTACCTAATGATATATTTATCAGAATTCATCCCAGTCATTAAGTGACGCATGACTGTAATCACATCTGCCATTCAGTAATCGTACCACTCTTCTTGTTCACTAGGCTTCAGCCACACTGGCCCTTCTCCTGTGCCTCCAATAAGCTGGGCTTTTCCCTGTCTCAGGGCTTTCTTATTTGTTGTTACCTCTACCTGAAATATTCTTTCCCCACTCTTCATAAGGCTGACTACTTCACATCCTCTAGGTCCATACTCTTAAACATCAGTGAGCATTCAAATTATCTGGGAATTTTGTTTAAAAGGCCGGTTCTGATCCAGTAGGTCTGGGACCTGAAGGGCCTGGGTTCTGCCCTTGTCACAAGCTCCTAGGTGATGTTAACAATGCTGCAGATTCACGGGAAACATTGTGAATAACAAGGCTATAGATTTAGATTTAAATATATCTTCCACAGTGAGGCCTTCCCTAAATGACTTTCCACCAATATAATCACCAGCAAATTTCCTGTCCCTGTTCCGACTGTTTCTTTCATGATACTTTTCGCAACCTATAATTTTTATTTTGTCATCTCATTATTTTATTCTGTCTCATAATGTATATACCTCACCTCAATTAAGATCATTTTTGTTTCCCAGCTCCAGAATTGTATAGTTTCTGAAAATTATCAACACTAGATCCTAACCTACTTTTGTTTTTGATTCCATTATAGTTGTTGTATAGTAATCAGAACAACTATATAGAAATCGAAATCAGTGTTCTTTAGTAAGAGGATGAGAATATCAAACATTAATGATGTTTGTAATGAGTATGGCTTCATATTTAGAACTGTCATGCACCTACTCTCCTACTGAATGCCTTGATTCAGAGTTAAAATACAAAATAAGAAATAGAGAAATAAAAAAAAGAAATAGAGAAATTATGCAAGTGAATATGGATGCTAGGTTATTCACATACTTCGTTTTATTCTCATTTTAGTTTTAATGGATAATTATCTTAAAAGTATTAAAAAGTTTTATCAAAAATAAAAGTTTCATAAATGGCCAAACGATTTATGTTTTTAATGAAACATTCTATCTGTAACTTGGGGCAATGAAAGCCTGGAAATGTAAAGACCAGACGCAGTGACCGAAAATATTCTTATTCTGCACACGGAATATTTCAGTATTTCAGACTTATCTTAAAAACTCCTGGAAGAATTCATTTTTCACAGTTAAAATGGATTCCATGACATTTGTGCCAAATGACTTGTAAAATTAGTTATTTTGTTGTTGCTGAACCTTACTATGTGCCTGGGAGTTTCAGCAGCTCTAAGAGTTGAATATCAAATAATAATGAGCGCCTTTTTTTGTACTCACAGTGTTCCAGACCTCATGTTTGGTGCTTTCTTTACAGGTATTATCTTATTTACTTAAAGGCCTCATTAGCATTATTTGATATGTATTATGTCCTTATCAACAGATACAGAAACAGAGGCAGAGAGAAGTCACCAGACTTCAATGCCAAGCTGTTAACTGAACTATATGTGATGCGTCTTTATATATATATGTGATAGTTGTAAATATGTTATTTTGTAAATAACTTCATATTTGGTCATTCAGTGGGTCCCATAAGTCTAGCTGCGAAGGAGATACCACAGACTGAGCCTTATGTTCTTAGCTTTGTAGTCTTGGGTAAAAGCAATGAAAACTTAGAAATCTGAAAGGTTGTTTTTAAAAGCTATTCCTTCATAGAGTGTGGTCAAACAGAAAGACTGCTGGACTAGGAATCAGAAAATCTAAGTGTCTATGCAAAGCTAGATAAATCCCTTCTTCTCTATGGGCATCAGAATCCTGAAGGGTAATACATGTGGCTTTGAGATGTGAAGTGACTTGCCAAAGGTCATTAATAGCTATGACATAAAAGCAAGCTTCATGGACAAATAATTTTGGAGGACTCTGTATACAAGTTAAAGAAACACTGCTAACTTATCATTTCTTTTTCCAGATGTAATATCAGTCTCATGTTTATCTTTTGTATCATCATTTAACTTGTTGCTTATTTTGCCATGTCTTCTCAACTAGAATATAGGCTCCTTGAGGGCTGGATCATGTCTTGAACATTTCTCATTTCCTTCATTGTGCCAAGAGAGTATGGCCCAGAGGATTGTTTGCAAGCCTTGGAACTAGACTTTGGTTTTGATCCTGGCTCCTCCACCCATTCACTAACTGACCATGGGCAAGTCATTTCATGTCTCAGAGCCACATTTTTCTCATCTGTAAAATGGAAATAATAATAATTGTCAGAAATTGTTGTGGCACTTAGAACTAGATAGGCTTCAATAAATTATTACAGTCATTATTTTATTAATAGTAAAATCCAAAAAGACATTTATTTACTGATCATTGCTTATGTTCATCTATATGAGGTTTGGTGATATAACATGAATGAAATATCTGGTTCTAAAAAAGAAAAATATAAGTATTTGCAAATGTAGTAATAGTACAATGTCTTAGTCTGCTCCGGCTAACATAACAAAATATCATGGATGGGGTGGCATAAACAATAGATGTTTACTTCTCACAGTTGTGGAAGCTGGGGAGTCCAAGTTCAAGGCACCAGCAAGGTAGGTTTTATTCTGAGCCCTCTTCTCTTGGCTTGTAGGCGACCACCATGTTGCTGTGAGTTTACATGACCTCTTTGCATGGGTTGGTTGTCGGAGGGAAGAACAAGCCCTGGTTTCTCTTCTTGTAAAGGCATTAATCCCATCATGAGGGCCCCACCCTTATGACTTTATCCAACTCTAAATTACCTCCCTAAGGCCCCATCTCCAAATACCATCACATTGGGGATTAACACTTCAACATATGAATTTTGGAGGGAAACATTCAGTCCATAACATATATCTTTTAAACTTACAACATCTACTCTTAGGAGATGAGGTGTTTGAAATTGTTTCCATGCTTTGTGACAGAGTCCTGAAGAATAAACTGTTTTGAATCATAGCAGTTGGTTTTCAAGTCAAAGAACTTAGAGCAATTTAAAAAAGAAAAGAAAACAAATAATGCATTTGCCAGAGTAATAAAGGCATCTTCACATCGGCACACACAAAGTTATTGAGAAAAGTACAAAGAAATGATCAAATGGAATTTCACTGATGATTGTATAAGATTTCAGTTAAAGCACAAAACCACTAATGATATCCATTTAAGAGTCATCCTCCTTCACTGCCTACTTCCTCCTCCACTTCCTTCCCCAGCATTTCAGAATTGTGACTGTTTATGTCCTGTGGGCAAATATTAATTGCAGTACTTACTCCTGCATGCATGAAATGTTTCCATATTTTTCATTAGTTAAGAAATCTTTCAGTCTCCCAACTTGGAACATATAGTATCTTTAAAAAAAAAAATAGTCTTTGCTAATGAATGAAGCTATTCTCTACTCATCAGTTGCAGATATGTTCACTAAAAAATACTTTAAACAATATTTCACATTTGGATGATATTTTTCTCCAATAATCTAACGTAATTTTTTTGCAAATTCTATTTTCAAGCAGTCTAATCAACTTTCTAAATAGTGAAAAGGAAAGCAACGGTTTCTAGTTGTTTTAGATAGATGGGAAAATTGGGTTCAAATGAAAAGTTTATTATCTCTATGATAATGATAGCTGCTTAAAATCACTCAACATTTCAGAGGTAAAATCTAGATGATTTTGTTTCTAATGAATGCGTTTTCGTCATACTTTCACTGAATTCAGCATAGGCCGTGAGATTTGGTACTAAAATGGGGTGTGTTTTACTTGGAAAACAGTATAGAAAAGAATTAGTCTGACTAAAGTTTGCAAATTTCCTACCATTATTTAGAAGCAGCCCAAGCAACTTATGTAATGTTAAAAAGAAAATTAAGAATGGAACCTAAAACTTGATTCCTAGCCTAAATTAAGTGAAATTGATTGTAGAATCTCTGAAAATGAGTATAGCAGCAAAAGTTACTTAACATTTGCTATGTGCCCATTCTAAGTGTTTTACATGTACTAATTCCTTTGTGTGTGTTTAGGCCTTATGACACGTGGTTAAGTACTGCTGTCACCCACTTTTGCTCAGTGATGAAACTGAGGTACACAGTAATTAAGTAACTAGTAATTATTAGGGTCTAGACTCCAATCCCAGCTGCCTAGCTGCAGTTGGGTGTCTACTTTCGGTTATACTGGCATTTTTAGACAGTGAATAGTTAAGCAGCTCACCTTTGCCAAACAAATCTCTCTCTCTCTCTCTCCCCCCGGCTCTCTCTCCCTCTCTTTCTCTGTCTCTCTCCCTCTTCCTCCTTCCCTTCCTCCCTGCCTCTACCACCCTGCCTGTCTCTCTCTCCTATATTCCTCTCTACTTCTCTACTAAATCTTTGTTAATACAATAATAGTTTTTCAGAGTCATCTGAAATTTACCTCTCCCACATATTACTAAACAATTTTACATTTTGTGGAATAGAAGTCAGTTTTATTTTATGAAACAACTGATCTTAACAAGGGAATATCGCAGGACAACTTTTACACGCTTCAGAAATAGATTGTTCAAGATTCGTTTTTTTTTTTCCAGGTACTCTACCTCGTAACAGACCACTTTAATGGGATGTGATATCTATTCCATTTAGCATTCAGGGGTTTTGCATATATTTACTCTTCATTGAAACTCTATATGTTAGATGTTATCAACCAATTTTATCGGTGAGAAAACAGGGGTTAATAGTAGATAAAGGTCACTCAGCTATTAAGTATCTACACTAGAATTGGAGCCCACGCCTGTCTCAATATTTTCCACTGAATTACATTACTTCTGTTAAGAATTAAAAGTGAATTAAGAAGGTGAAGCCCAAAGCCAATTATTTTTATATTTATTATCATCTACATTGATCATAGATTAATTATATCTAATGGTCACCAATGATGTTAAAGTGAAATTATAAATTATCTATGTAGTATATTCACAATCTTTCTTCCCTATTAGCTAGGTAATTGAGGGTTAATGATACAGTAATATTTTCCTATCCAAGAGCAACTCATGAACATGAAACTAAAGTAGAGAAAACTGTACAGAATATTTTTAGAAACTGAAGTCAATACAGCTGATTTCAAACATTATTACTCCCAGTAGCATCATTCATTCTGAAGCATACATGACCTAAACACAACTATTGTAATATTTATATGTAGTTTAGCATTTATTGATATGTCTATTTTATGTGTTTAAATGATACTCTTGATAGATTTGGAAAGGTTTTATTTAAATCCTTGCAACTTATTGTGTGGCCCCTGCACTGGCAGCATCTCATCATCTAGGAGCTGGTTATACATGCAGGACCTGGGCCTCTCCCCAAACCACTGAATCATAATCTGCATTTTATTAAGTTCTCCTTGTGACTGGCATGCACACTGAAGTTTGGGAAACACTGCTTTAAAGTACTTCACACATTCTTTGCAACTTATTTTTACTTTCCACAATTATAAAAATAAAGCATCTGAAAAAATAAAGGTAACCTTTGGTCTTTTTTTTTTCACTTCATTACAAATGTCAGTGGCAATCTGATTAAATATGATAACTGTTTTAATACCGGATTTTGTATTAAAACAACTTAAATGATTTTTAACAAAATAGCCACCAACAAGGTCAGCTGGAATTGTAGGTTATGAGTTTGAATCTCTGGAATTTTAGAGATCATTGAGGAATATGTGTTTTGCATCTGGAAGATCTTTGTTGCAACCCAAAGATGTAAAATACTTTCAGGCTCTAAATTATTAATTCCTTATTGCCCATGGTGCAGTCAAAATGTTTTTTTAATACAGGAAGTCCTTGCTCTGCAGAGTAGTGCGGGACTGTATAGAAATCACCAAACAATTGTGGGCGCCTGTATTCCCAGCTACTGGGGAGGCTGAGGAAGGAGAATCGCTTGAACCCGGGAGGCAGAGGCTGCAGTGAGCCAAGATCGCAACACTGCACTCCAGCCTGGGCGACAGAGCAAGACTCAGTCTCAAAAAAAAAAAAAAAGAAAGAAAGAAATCACCAATATGTGTTTTTCCTACTGAATTATCAACACTCAACACAGACTAGTTTTGATCGCTGATGTGTATGGGATTTCCCACACCAAGCAACTTTGCAGTTCTCAGTGGATACCAGCTGGGTGCCCTACAGTTTAACTCAATTTCGACACACCTACCTGAAGTTAGAATCAGATCCCACAGGTTCAGGGCTCAGTCCCACAAAACTATCCCCCCTTTTCAGATGCCAATCACAAGTCCAGGCCTCCTGTACTTCTGGCTGACCACCTATAAATTGGGGCTCCCTATCACTCCCTCCTGAGGTTTAATCACTTGCTAGAATGGCTCACAAAAATCAGGAAAACACATTAACCAGTTTATTATAAAGAATATTACAAGGGATACAAATGAGCAGCCACATGAACAGGTACAAAAGGAAAGGTGTGTGAGAAGGGATGAGGAGCTTCCATGTCCTTGCTGGGTGTGCCACCTGCCCAGCATTTCTGTGTGTTTAGCAACATGGAAGCTCTCCAAGCCTTGACCTTTTGGGTTTTTGTGGAGTCTTCATTATATTGGCCTGATGGATCACATCATTGCCCATTGCTGATCAACTCAACGTTCAGCCTCTCTCCCCTCCCCAGAGGTCAGGGGGTGAGACCGAAACTTCCAGCCCTCTAATCACAAGGTGGTTCCCTTGGCAACCAGCCCCCATTCTGAGGCTATCCCAGAGCCCTTAGCCATAAGTCATTTCATTAGCATCCAGAAAGACGCTTATCACTTTGGCAATTCCAAGGGTTTTAGGAATTCTGTGCCAAGAACTGGATGAAGGTCAAATATGTATTTCTTATTATAAATCACAATATTTCACAGGGATCGTAAAAATGACCTTGCAATCTGAAACTGTGCAAAACAGTCTTAATAATCAATGGGAAACATTATGATTGTTCTTAGAAAAGGTCTTTAAAACCTTTTGTCCAAGCATTAAATACTGTTAATGTAGGTTACAAATGCATAGGAAAAATGAAAAAAATAGTAAAACTAATAGTTATTTTTGTATAATGTAATATTAAACATTAGAAACACTGAGAATTAAGGCTTATTTTAATTTAAAAAACATATCAGGGTTAGTTTGAACAATGCTTGCCGTCTTTTCATGATACGTTGTTAAACAGTGTGAACATCTTTTCTTTGCATTAATGAATTGTCATGTTCCTTTTAAGTTTAGATCCACTTCCAAAATTTTATCTTTTGTGCTTTCAGTGTCATGAGATATCTCTGAAAGTTCCTTTAATGTGAGGTTTATTGCCAGCAACTTCCTCTGGGACATCTTCATTCTTTTCATCACACTTTCCTCATTTATGTATATAAGTTTGCCTTCACTAGGTCCTCTAGAAGCTTATCTAGAGTCTTCCTAGTAGTAGCAGTGTCAGCATTCCCATGGGCAACTATTTCTTGTATGATTTCATTTACGTTAGATTCAAATTTATTTGTACAATGTGCTTGTATTAGTCAGGGTTCTCTTAGGGGAATAGAACTAATCAGAGATATATATATATATGAGCTTATTAAGTATTAACTTACACGATGACAAGGTCCCACAATAGGCTGTCAGCAAGCTGAGGAGCAAGGAAGCCACTCCTAGTCCCAAAACTGAAGAACTTGGAGTCCAATGTTTGAGGGCAGGAAGCATCCAGCACAGGAGAAAGATGTAGGCTGGGGGGCTAGGCCCATCTCGCCTTTTCACATTTTTCTGCCTGCTTTACATTCACTGGAAGCTGATTAGATTGTTCCCACCAGATTAAGGGTGGATCTGCCTGCTCCAGCCCACTGACTCAAATGTTAATCTCTTTTGGCAACACCTACACAGACACACCCAGAATTAATACTTTGTATCCCTCAATCCAATCAAGTTCACATTCAGTATTAACCATCACAGTGCTAAAAGTTTATTCTATGCTCTATGCATATTACTTATTGTCACTTTCTGCCATGATGCTTGAATGTTTTAAATTGTATGTTTCATGTCATATTTCATCTAGAACACAGGTAAAGAAACTGCATGATCACCAGTTGTAGCATGAATACCCTATTCAAAAGTCTGTTTAAGATAATACACTTTAAAAGTTGAAATAACTCCTTGGTCTATAGGCTGGATTAATGACGTTTTCCTTGGTGGTATAAAGCAAATTTTCACATTTTAATTTCAATCTCCAAGAGAATTAGGGTGACCAAGAGCATTATCCAATAGTTGTAGTGCTTTAATGGTTAAATTATTTGGTCTATAGTATCTGTCTACTGCTGAGAGACAGGAAGGCAACACATGTTTTGCTGTCTGTGTGTGAGCCAAATAACAGAAGGGCAATGACCAATCATTGACAGACTTTGAAGGAAGTGACGTGACCGGTCACTGATCACAATGTACATCTGTTATTCACATTGTAATATGTGGACTGAAGAAACTGAGATGCAGTTACTCATCTGAATACCAAGGTAACTGAAATTTGAGCCAGTTTGTTGGGAGACTGGTGTTGTTGAATGAAACATGACAACTGAAATGTTCACACATTGGAATTGTGCAAGGTGACAACCACCTTACCAAGACCAAGACTAACTTCAATACATGTTTTTATTATAAAAAAAGAAAAAAGAGAGAAACCTTAATTATATTATTTTCATTAAATACCTTCTTTAACTTCTGCCCCTGAACATAAATCTGTAATTTTTATTTTAAAAAATTCCTAGTATTTATGACTCCTTGCTGAGTACACGACCCCAAACTATTGATAGAGACCTCTTTTATGCAATTCTAAAAAATTTATTGAGTGCATTATATATGTAAGACCCAGTGCTAGACTTTCTTTTTTTTCTTTCTTTCTTTCTTTTTTTTTTTTTTTTGAGAAACAAACTCTGTTACTAGATCCCTCACATATATGGATTCCTGCCCCCACAAACACACATACACAGAGTAACACAGTTATGTACACTTGGCATCCCAGCAACATAACCATCCCTGCAAATGAGGGGCCTCAAAGGATGTTGAAACAAATTTAACCGGTTTACTGATAATAAGAGGAAAAATGTACTGAACATGTATTTTATGACAGGTACTGTGCTAAGTTCTTAATAACATTTCATTTTAGAGCCACTGCATGAGGCAGGCATTATTAGTATCCTCATTGTAAATATAAAGAATCTCCAGCTTAGAGAGAATTTCTATGATTTGTCAATATAAAAGGAAAAATGTTTACTTAAGCAATACTTTCCTAAGAGCTGTTACTCAAAATTGAATGCTGTGTTTCACCACAACTCATTCTAATCAGCTGAATCTGTTAAGGTGATGAAGTTTGAATGACCTTGGTCAGAGTCAGACTGATCCTAATTGCATTAGATTTTTTCATGACCCATGGACAGTGGTACTTGATTTGCTTAGCTGCACACAGACTTGTGCACTCATCCCACCCTCTCTATAATGCAAATTTTCAACCCTTAGTGAGTATAATCATCATGACCCACTATCACCAGCCCCTCAGTCACTGATTTTTCCCCTCAGAGTGCTACTCAGTGAATTTCTTCCCTGATGTATTCCCTTGCATATCAGATAAATAAAATCTGCTTTGTTTTTTGAGCTGTGGTGTTCTGTATTTAATTTATTGATACCCAAGATAATACAGTTAGTAAGTTACAAAGCTGGGACACAAATCCATTCTGACTTCAACCCATATGCTTAATTTCTGTGTTCAATTGTTAAATAAATAATGGAAGCAAATTGCATTCAAGCTAACTAGTTTTAACATAAAAAAGGATGCTGACCAGGCACAGTGGCTCACGCCTGTAATCCCAGCACTTTGGGAGGCTGAGGAAGGTAGATTACTTGAGGTCAGGAGTTTGAGACCAGCCTGGCCAACATGGCAAAACCCCATCTCTACTAAAAATACAAAAATTAGCTGGGCGTGGTGGCAGGAGCCTATATCCCAGCTACTTGGGAGGCTGAGACAGGAGCATCACTTGAACCCAGGAAGTGGGGGTTGCAGTGAGCTGAGTTTGTGCCACTGCACTCCAGCCTGGATGACAGAGCAAGACTACATCTCAACAAAAGAAAAAAAAAGGATTCTAATTCTACAACCTTACTCCACCTAACTCAAATTCATTTTTCCCTTTACATTGGTAGAATCTTCACCCCTGGGGGTTCCTTCCTATTATAATAATAGCAATATAATAGGAATAGTAAGAACAGTTTAATAATAATTTCAACAATACCAACGCCAACTGCAATGTATCTGGTGCTTACTCTGTGCCAGGCCCTTTTTTCCCAGCTATCTCAAACCAGGCATTGAAGTGTCTTGTTGCCTTGTGATAATTTCAATGTACATCTATACAATTCCTTTCTGTAGATCTGAAGTAAAGCCGGCTAAGTATGGACTGGTAGGGATTGTGACAAACTGGAGGCACACTGAAGAATTATGCCCATTTGAAGGCAGCAGCTATTAATCCATTTCCATTACTTGTCATGGAAGAATACAGACCCCGTATTGACAGAGCTTTCTCTGTTTCAAGAGGCATCAAAACTCTGGATCATTATGTAAAATTTTAAATACTTATATAATTTAACACTTTCTAAAATACCACTATATAAATCAAACAAAACACATCTGCAGGCTGAAATGAGCCCTGTCCATAGCACCTGCTAAGAGGCAGGATAATACAGTGACTCTCTACTGTCTGCATTTAATTCCCAGAGTTGTTATTTTGTGTGGCTTTGAAGAAGTTAGCCCCTTTAAGCCTCAATTTTCTTATCTGTAAAATGGGCTTTAAAATATTACATATCTTAAATAGTTTTTATGAGGAAGAGAATTGGTGGTTTTTTTTTTCTTTAATCTCTAAAATGCTTAGTAAAATACCTAACATTTTATCAATGTTTTGTTTTTATTGTTTCTCCCAACTCAATCATCCCCTGGACCTGCCCTCTCCACCCTTCTCCTTACCCCATGACAGTTATAGTCACTCATTCCAAGGATACACATTCTGAACATCTGGCTACAAAGAACACCTAAGTTGTAAACAAATGAAAAATTATTTTGTCGTTTTCAATGGCTGTTAAATAACAGGTAAATTTAGAAAGGGAAAAAGTAAACTATATTTATTTTACCAAGTTAAACCATTTATTTGATAGTATTAAATCATTTGAACTGGTAAATTATATAATATTATGTTGTTACCGCATGAATAACTTTTGTTTTGGTGAATTTTGGATATGTGGCTTTTTCAAAACATTTTGCTATCTAACTTTTAAAATGTCTAACTAATGTATTTAACTTTTCAGTTTATCTTTATTAGAAGAATTTGACTGTAGCTGTAATGAACTGGAGTCACTACCTTCTACTATTGGCTACCTTCATAGTCTTCGGACATTAGCAGTTGATGAGAATTTCCTTCCAGAATTACCCAGAGAAGTGAGAAATAAACTTGTTTTCTATTTATTAACTTTTAATTAATCTGTTTTGGAGTAAAATCTTAACAGGTAGAATAGCAATGTAGATTCATGAGTTGAGCTGTGAATATATATAGGAATTATCTACATATATATTTGCTAATTATTCTATTTTAAATGACAAGTTCTTATATTTGACCCAGAAATTGCATTTGACTTAAATCTCGCATGCAAATAAAAGTAAGAAAATAAAAGTTAATTAATGCTAGGAAATATCATTTAAAGTCAGTTAATTTATATCTTTTGGTTTTCAGAATAGTTATAAATAATATTTTGGAGTAATTACATTTATATTTCTGTAGCAAACTTTTTAAATGTACATATGCTTTTTAAGGTATCATGCTGCATTATAATATTATTTTAACTTCTGGATCCACCAAGAGATTCTGTTAATTTTTACATCTAAGTGGGATTTTACTTACTAATATCAAAAAAGTATAAAGTACATTTTTTAAATTTACTTGGTGCTCAAGTTTGCTGTATGTGAAGTACATTTTCAATTGAGCATTTTCTACTAAACATTCTTATAATGATGCAACAATAAACAACATATAATTATCTTAGAGCCAAAACATATTATTAAAAATGACGAAAAACACTTTAATGTGAAGCAAAACTAACTTTGCCTAGGAAATGTCAACAATATTGTATTTTTGAGTGTGTATGATCTTCTGTTATAAACAAAGATATATTAGTACTCACTTCGACAGACAAAATTATATGATATATGAAAACAATAATGTTAGCAAGTATTTTAAGCATAAAATTATAAAGAAAATTCTTCATTTTTAATATGTAAAAGAAAATTTGGTATAAATTCCCTTAATATCTAAAATAATATATATAATATACCTATATTTTAAAGAGCTACATTATAAAAACAAAACAATGCACATGTTAAAAGTTAAAAATAAGAAAATCTACTAAATTGTTTTAAAAATTAGAAAAATTAATATAAAAATAGTATTGTGGTCTGATTTTTTTACCTATTTTCTTTTGTTACCTACAGATTGGAAGTTGTAAGAATGTAACAGTCATGTCTCTACGCTCCAACAAATTAGAATTTCTTCCTGAAGAGATTGGACAGATGCAGAAACTAAGAGTCCTAAATTTGAGTGACAACAGGTATTTTTGCAACATTTCACAATCACATATTAGTTATTTGCTGAAAGCAAATTATAGTTTTTTTGCCTATAGTTTTGATAACATTTTCTGCGTTTCGACATATACGGAATGCAAATACTGATACTTTCCTTAAAATAGCAGAAGGTAAATTATTTTTTAAACCAAGTATTTCTGAATTTTGTTATTTGATTATATCAAAAGCATATGTAATGTATTAAAATTATATAAATATGAATCACACAAATTTATATACAAAAGCCTTCCCATATGCAGAAAGCATAATAATATGAAGACATGGAAAACTATAATAAAAATATAGAAAATATATTAATAAAAATGTGCATATCTATGTATGTATGTATGCACACATTTGTGTTTTCACGTCTATATTTTGGTTTCCAACAAATTAACTGGGCAATGTGTATATTTTCAATTCCATCAAAGTGCTCATTAGAATACTGACAACGAAATGGCTGTTTAGTCATGTTTAGAGCAGATGAATGAGGAAAGGATAGGTCCTTTACTTCCAATAACGGCATTATATTGATAGATGGGTAAAAAGAAAAAGTGCAAACCTCAATTCATCTTTGTTTCCACCTACTCTATAAAAGATAATTATCCTCAAATAGGAAAGGATAAGAACAAATATTGACTAGAGATAACAGCTAAGAAAATAAAATAATCACAAAATATAATGCATGAGCTCTATGTTTTCAATAAGTTTCAACTAGGCAATTGATAATAAAAGGAACTGAGAGAACTTGCAATGAAATGATCAAAGATTAGCTTTTATGGAATCATAAGAATAATCAGATTTTAGAAGTTTCAGGATAAGCATTGGAATTCTCATTTGTTTCTTAGTTTAAGGAAAAATGTGAACTTCAAAACTTCATTTACTAGTTAATAATATTCCCACATAAGGGAATAAAACATTTTATTAAAAAGTTTGGAATGTTATTTATAGTATCAGGTGACAAGGAAGCACCAAAGCTTTATGCATCAAGAGCAAGTCATGTCAAACCAACCTTGCTTCCTCTTCTGACTGTGTTACTAGCCTGGAAAATGAGGAAAATACGTTGAAAGTTGTTTCTGACTTTTGGCAAGACATTTTTTAAAATCTCTAATTATATTGTTATAAATAAGATTAGGAAATTCTTGGTATTATGAATGAAAATAATTCATTCATCGTATGCAAAATATACTTAGCAAATATTATCAATGATCCATAATTAGAAGTTCTATTAATACTTTGAAGATACTTATTCAACAACTGTAGCAGACTTGAGTTCACCTACAATGAGCCAGACACACTGCCAGGTGCTAGGGTGAAATTTATGAATAATACATAGAGGAGCTCACAATGTCAGAAGTTTAAAATAAATTCATCAGGACAGAAATATAAGCTTAAGTTATGTCCTAGTACAGTTGCTGGAACATACTATGGAGCCAAATTACTATTTTTAAATTAATGAATCAATCAGTAAATCAAGCAGAGGTAAAAATCAATATTCAGCTAAAGTTAGGCCAAAGTTAAATATTACCACCAGAGAAGGAACTGTTTGGAGAAAAGATTAAGCAATGTCATCCAAAAGTAATGATTATTATAATTTTGTATTTAAAATGTACTAGATTTTTAAAGTTTGACATTATAGTTAGGAACAATGATTCCTCTGCCTTGTCAGCTGCAAGATTGCTCCTGTGGTCAATGTACTGCACATTTATGTTACCAAATAGGAGCTCACTTGCAATAGAGGTCACTGGAAAAGGAAAGAAAATCAAGGGTATCTTGCCCTTTTCTAGCAGTTTCTTCATATTCTACATTTATGACTGGATTGATGATGATATCATGGATGTTGTTTACATGATTCTGGATAGTTTTGCACTCATGTAATTTCAGTGCAGCAGAATTGACATTCTGCTTTTAATATACCCCATACGTTGTGAAAAACTCTCCCAATAAGATCTTACTTCACAATTTCTGGCTTAAGTGAATTGAAATAACTTTTAGTTAGGAATAACTTTTAGGGGTAATTTGGCTTAAAGTTATAAATGTTACTGTAACAATTATATAAAAAAGAATTGCGATATAATTTAATATCAGTTATTCTTTATATTCATGTTTATATTTTATAAATATTTATTAGCTCAGAAAGGTTACTATATTTTTTCTAAAGTTATCTATATAATGCAGTTTTAATATTTCTATTGCCTTTCAATCTCTTTTCATATTTATTAGATTTTAAGAAGTGTTTAACTGCTTTCGCTCATAAAATTAACTATAAAATTAATTTTTAATTACTGTAAGATTGCCCACTTCCATTATCAAAATAAATTTATTTATCTATTGGCTGACAGAATTCTAATACATTAAAGACAAGGAAATTTTCATTCTATATTATATCTAAAATGTTTATCTGTATTCAAAAGTGAATATCCAGAAGTTAGTAATAAGTCTCATTGGCATGCCTTGTTTGTACTACTCACTTTGCTAACTAGCTTTGATGGTAACCCATGTGATCACGATGTGTTGATCATGCATAATTTGAAGGATATCAGATAGTGTGAAGTACTTTGGCCCTCCAAAGGCTGAAGCCAAAGCTAAATATATAATTTTGATTGAATACCAAGGCTAATATCAAGTTATACATCTTAGAAGTGCTAATTTTTTAAAGATTACCCCTTTGAATATCTACTACACATTGCATGAAGGTCAAAAGAACATACTTGCTGAAGGTCAACATAATATTGGGAGCTGTACCTTCCTTTAGTAGTAAAACAAGCATTGCCCTTTGCCCTCATGGAGCCTACAGTTTAGTTTTCAAGGGATAGCAAAGAGTAAGCAAATTATCACAAAAATAAATGTATAATTTAAAACTGCAGTATGTTCCATGAAGGAAAATACAAGGTGCTTTGAAACCAGATTGAGGGAAGTAATTTAAATGAGGAGTCAAGAAAAGCCTCTTTGAGAAGATGGCATTTAAGCTAAGAGTGAATAGATACGTGGGATTCAGTAAAGTGAAGTAAGGGAGAGAGTATGCCAGAAAAAAGAGCAGGCCGATAGAGCCAGTTGTCCTGACGGGACTGAGTCAGGAAAAGAGTTGCAGATAAACTTCTGGAGGGATTTTTAGGGGCCAGACCTTTTAAGCTCTAACCATACATGTTAAACATTTTTTATTTTTATTCAGATATAATGGGAAGTATTTGAAGGGTTGTAAATAGGATATTTTCATTTTTTTAAATATTGTTCAGGCTGCTCAATGGAGAAGGGATTCAAGAAAAGAATGAAACCAACAAGTTAGAGTATTTTAAATAATTCTTAGAAATGAACTATTATCCATCTTTACCCATGCTATTAGACTTTTTGTGTTTTTGCAGATTGAAGAATTTACCATTCTCATTTACCAAACTTAAAGAGCTTGCAGCTTTGTGGCTTTCTGACAATCAGGTAAAAGGTTTTATTGCCTGATTTATTTATTAAGATGAACTATAATTGAAAGTTTGAATTACTAATTTATTCCCAATAGATACCTTTGACAGCAGCTACAAAATGTAGATTGTTTTTATCCCCAGAAAGAGAGAATTTTGTAAAGATAGCAATTCAAACATTGCTGAAGTCAAAACAGTACTGTAAGCCCCACCCTCCTTAAATACTTCTATTTAACATCTACTTAATTCTCTGAGATCTAATACACAAAATGATCATTTTTATAGCTTTTTAACTTCTAGGTGGTACACGTAGGTCCTTAGAGGATGTACTTTAATTATATCTCTGAAGGTAAAGAATAAGAAATTGTTACCACAATCCCCACAACAGGGAATTATTATCCTCTATGTTCCTCTTTCTTCTTATCCTTTTAATTATAATCAACTTAATTCAAAAGCTTCATTAATGACATTTGAAATATCAGGCTGGGCGCGGTGGCTCATGCTGTAATCCCAACACTTTGGGAGGCCGAGGCACACAGATCACTTGAGGTCAGGAGTTCAAGACCAGCCTGACCAATGTGGTGAAACCCTGTCTCTATTAAAAATACCAAATTAGCCCAGCACGGCAGCATGCCTGTAATCCCAGCTACTCGGGAGGCTGAGGCAGGAGAATCGCTTGAACCCGGGGGGCACAGGTTGCAGTGAGTCTAGATCACTCCAGCCTGGGTGACACAGCGAGACTCTGTCTCAGAAAAAAAAAAAAAAAGGAATTTGCAATATCTTTTTGGCAACTATTAGTATTTTCTGTAAAATTGTTTTGATATTATTTTTTATCCTCTTGAAAACAGATTTTAATTGAATCAGTAATATTGCATTAGTAAATAATTTTATTAACTGGAAAATAACAAGAAACCATTGAAGATAACTGATTTGCCTACAGAAGAACTAATGATAGACAATTTTTATATAGTTTATTAGTCCTCTTTTTTCTTGTGATCCTTAAATTTTGAAACACCTATCCTCAAATATGAATGGCTAAATGAAAACAATTCATCTTGAATTTAGCTCATCATTATTTTCTGAGCATAAAAGTAGCATTACTGGTACGTGAATTGTTCATATTTACAGTCATTGGACACTTGTGGAAAATTTAAAATAACCTTTACAAATTATAAAATCTAAATATAAGAATATTGTTTGTGTTCCTACAGTAATTACAGCATTTGCTTCCATCTGAGTCAAAAATTAGTAATTCAAATTCAAATCTTATCAATAAACTATAGATTTTTCAAGGCATCAATATATCATCATAAATAATTTCTGGAATCAATGTGAACTATGCTAATGTAATAGTATATTCCACAGTATTGCATTATGGGAAAAAAATATGATTTATTATTCTTGTGGGAGAATGAACAGAGCAGTGACTGCATCATTTAACTTTTATTTAGAAGAGTAATGTAATGTGGTTATGACTCAGTTTCATGAGACAAACTGATATCAAAAATCCCCTTTGTGTTTCACTCCTATTAATGTCATTAAATAAGCAGATTTTTAGTATATTAGATAATATCATTTCCAATATATTTCTGACATGGACTATCAGAGTTCTAGAATATCCCTTCAGAATGAATATTTCTGAAATCAAACTAATAACAGAATGAAATATGCACAGAGGTCAATATATTATGATATATCAGGTACAAGTACAGTTGCTTATCTAT
Organism: Homo sapiens; assembly: GCF_000001405.40. Lineage (NCBI taxonomy): Eukaryota > Metazoa > Chordata > Mammalia > Primates > Hominidae > Homo > Homo sapiens. The sequence continues at coordinate 70,018,240 of NC_000001.11, forward strand.
AAAGTGGACCCTGTCTTTGGCTATAAAAATATCTCTTATAAATAAGTGAATGCTGTTTTAACCTAATTAAATTCATAGATGATCTTGCATAGCATAAATTTGATAGCAAATTCCATTTGTCTTTCTAGGGCAATAATCCATGAAAATGAATAGGCATATAGAACTGTACCAAAAGCTTACTTAGTTGAAACAATTTAACACATTTTGAACTGTTCAGGATTAAATCTGACATTGCCCAGTTGAATAGGTTTTGATAAGTTTTGTAAAAGGATATACTAAAGAAGAAGAAAACTTTATTATGAAAATCTTAGAATATGAAAATATTCCTCAGTAATAGTATTATTTCATGTTGTAATTTCTTATTTTATTTCTTTTTTCACTTTTTCCCCCCAATGTTTATTTATCTGAGTGAGACCAGACTATTGACTGTTATATATTTGCAATTGTATTCATCTAATTTGTATGTTCTTTGCTTCTAGTCCAAAGCCCTTATCCCTTTACAAACAGAAGCCCATCCAGAAACAAAGCAAAGAGTATTGACTAACTACATGTTTCCCCAGCAGCCTCGTGGTGATGAAGGTAAATTGTCAGTAGAAATTTCTTCTCTACTTATAATGATTATGGATAGAAATAACTAATTTTATTCAGATCTCTGGCCAGGAGTACTGGCACATGGACAAGCTTATAAAGATAATTACATGACACACAAATATCATTTGGGGATGTACTTTAAGCATAAGTCTTATTTTCTACTCTATTTTAGATAAGCTTCCAAAACAAAACTCTTCATCTTTATATCTTACATAAAAATAATGTTGATTTTTAGGAGCAACTATTTCTCTTTATGGATTGCAAGACACATGACTAGTAAAGCAGATCTGGTAACCAGCTAATTGAAATGAGCTAAGAGCAGTCAGATCCTAAGGAAGTTTCAATGAACTGGTTTAGTTGCTGTGTTCATTTATTGCATGAACACAATTTAAACATCTAGTCCAATGATCTCTGGACTCAAATTATTTCATGGTCTAAGTCAACCATAAATAGATACTTGCAAATAAGACCATTCTTTCTTTTCAAGTTGAGTTTCCCTAACCAATATCCCTAAATCCTTTTTCAATAATTAAATCTTCTCTTCTATGATCACATTATTCATTTAAAAAGGTTAAAAGAGCTTTTTGTCCTTTGCTATTTGAAACTTAGCATAGGCTCCTTAGCCCAAGCCAACACAAGCTGATATGAACATTTTCTATAGTTATGGAGTAACAATAATTCTTGGAAGAGTAAACTTATTTTAATCCAGCCATGGATTAAATCTACTCAATCCATGTGAATGAGGCCAACTTGTAAAAGAAACCATTTGTTTATGTATTTCTTATTTCCAGGGATAATTATAATAAATGACTTTAGTCTTTGACCTCCAAATGTAAGTGAATCATTTTGGAATATTTTAGGATATTTTTCTTTAAATTTTGTCTACAGAAGTAGGAAAAGAAAAGATTGTTTTAATATGTATTTTTATAAGTCAATAAAATTAACCTTTTGAATTGATAAAAGAAAAACCACCATGTTTACACATTTTATAAGAGACATCTTAAGTAAGGATTATGTTATATTCATGCAGCTTTACTTATATTTTCATTTTAATAGCTCTACATTATCAAAATATTTAACTTCAAAAGAATATAGGGAAAAAGTGAAAAGTATCTCATATTCACTGGTCATTTCTGAGATATGATCTCACAGATTGAATCCCTAATTTGTCCCAAGGTAGATTCAGTTAGGTAAGGTGTAGTGTTAAGGAATTAGCCTAGCTGAGTTTGCTTTTGTTTTTGTTTTTTTCTTTGAGAAAAGAAAGGTTGGTAATTGAAAAGTTTCCTCGAACTTAAATTAAGTCATCCTTTGGTTTTCCAGGCAGGAGTGTAATAAATGAGTTTTCAGAATCCCTTGTAACAAAGAAAGACATATATGATAAAGGACCTCCTTTGGAAAAGAATTTAGCCTTAACTAAGTACTTTTATTGCATTTTCATGTGATCTTTGCCATAATGTTGCAAAGAAGATATTATCATTAGCCAACATTTTATGTAAAAAAAAGATTCATAAGCCATTTCCCTGTTAATTTGACATATTTAAACTAACTGCAACAGACTAAATTTTCCACGTTTTCTACCAAAAAACAAGCTCCCCTCATTGACCCCACAATAAAAGGAAAAGGTTGCAATCTTAGATACCTTATTGCAAAGTCAATGTTATGTGGTAACTTTTATAAAAGAAATTTGTATAGAGTTTAGCAGTTACAAATAAGGATTCTATTTAGACAGGAACAGAATCCTGCACTAGCCACTGAGAAGTCTCTTAACACTTTGAGCAAGTCCCTTAAAACTCATTAGTAAAGTAAGGATGAGATTAGTAATACCATTGTGTTGTTGTAAGGATTGAAAAAGATAACGCTTTAAAATGCTTGGTCTAACTCTCTATATTATTATTATTGTCCTATGGGGACCCCATTTCCTACACTAGAAAATTTCCCGATCCTGAGTATTTTAGGAATACTGAATTTGAGTTAAGATTACAAAAGACCATGTAATAAATATCAAGGGAATTTTATTCTTTTCTCTTTCCTTCTTTCTCTTTCTTTTTTTCTTTCTTTCTTCTTTATTTCCGTATTTGTTTGTAGTATCTATCACCATTTTTGCATACTATATTAAATACTTTGTGTAAAATTGTTTTTTAAAAAAACAATAATACTTTGGAATCTAACTGTAGATTTCCAGTCAGACAGTGACAGCTTTAACCCTACACTGTGGGAAGAGCAGAGACAACAACGCATGACTGTTGCCTTTGAATTTGAAGACAAAAAAGAAGATGACGAAAATGCTGGGAAAGTTAAGGTGAACCTTTTAGCTTTTGTTTCCTCTTTCTTCTCCTTATCTTTTTGTTTGTCCGTTTTTCTTATTCAGATAGATTTTGGGACAAAGTCAGATACTTCTTCAAGTCTCATGGCGGTACCTTTCATTACAGCATGCTGGTAGTTCTGGAAGCATTGGTGTGCTTCAGAATGAGACTAATGTCCCAAATCTGAGTGAGCAAATTTGAAATGCCACTTCATCCAACAGAATAACTGCATGAGAGAGATTCAAGCTGAGGGAAAGTAGAAAAAAAAATCTGTGTGATAGACTTCATCTAAGAACCTTATTTCATTGTTGACATGCTACACACTACGATGATTTTTTTTAATCACTGAGCAAAGCGTCATGCAGACTGAATAAGGCCAAAATAAACATTTCTGGAAGGGCCAACAGATTAATATGTTACATTGGCATTAAAATCTCTGAAAAGTTCTGTGTCCTTGGGCTATTCAAGAAGAATTTATGAGTTTCCTTAAATATGAGAACAAATTTTAAGGAAGATTAGTGCCTAATGGCAGGTGATGTTCCTTAGGGAACATAACTTCAATTTTTTTTACCTCAAAGTATGTTTTAAAAGATCTTTTATAGGGACTACTAGGTCAAGTAACAAGATTGAATTTTAAAATATGTATTTCTCCATTACTTACATTTTTAATTATCATCAGAATTGATTTAGATTTTCTCAACATCACATTTTCATGTTGGCATGGCAACATCTTGAATCTCTCATTTACTTTTTATAACATTGTATGTGTACTTTTTCTATCATGGCTACTAACAGCTCTCACTCTTAGTGACTAATTACCTTTATAATTGCATATGTGTTCTATTAATAAAGCTAGATTGTGTGTTATGTTTGTCTCTGTCCTCTCCTTTCCACATTTTCTAAACTTTATTTCTTAAATCAGCACATGAGCACTTACTGGCAAGGCCTACCAATATCGTTACGGAGAACCCAAAATGGATTCCCAAATCCAAAATAACAATTTTGTTAAAGATTTGGGTTTTAAAAAAAATGTCTCTAGATAGTTGATTAGTGCTGTCTAACAACCAAAGAGACATCTTTTTGAACTTGTGAATTCCTAGAAAAAATAATGCTAAACTGAAAACATACCTTCAGAACATTTCAGTTCTTTTACGGATTTTGTATGTTAAATCCAGAACCAATGGATGATGCATTCTATACCGGACTTCTGATTCATCTTTATATTTCATTGAATTACCAAAAATTGCATGCTTCTTCCTGAAATTCTGTATTCAAAGAATGCAAGAAGAAAGTGCATTTAATATACTCTGGTATATGTGTCAATGAAAACGTAAAATATAGTAAATACTTACAGTTATTTAGAAGCCCTGTTTGTGTGTTATGTGTTCAAGTTTGTTTATAATCAGAGTAGGTTCATTATACTTTAGAGTGTTTTTTCTCTGTATTTACATTTGGTTTATTTATGTATTAATGAAACAATGTGTGTTTCAAAATCTCAAACTACTCAGTTTTGACTAATTTGAATATTTCCAATGCCATTGGCTATTGGACAAATTAGAGCACAAACGAACTTCTAAATAAATCATCATGGAAGTATGATGAATAGAATATATTGTAATCTTACACTAAATCACACTTTTCTGGTTCATTACATGTACATTAAATTCAGCACCATTTTACCTTTAATTTACATGAAATTTAAAAAGGAACCATTGACCTATGCTTTCAACTTTCAAATGGACTAGAGTATAATGCCCTACTTACAGTCTGTATAGTGTAGTATGAATGCTGCATTGTGTGAAGAAATTGTGACCCTTTAGCATCATATAAAATTAGTACTGTTTTATACATGGATTTAAAACTAACTTTATGATCATTATTTTAAATGCATAACTCAGAGTGAAAGAAAAAGAGAGTAGAAAAATGATAAAGTGAAAGTATTGCTACAGTGCTCCTCTTTCTCCCAGAAAATGGAGATTCCTTCTCCCACAGGATCTCTCCTGCCAAGCCCCCTGGGAAAGGGGCCAGCGTGGGATTACTCTCCAACCTGCCAGACTGTCTGGCGATTGCTGCACACCATGGGCCAGGTGTGATCAGCAGATCCAAGATATGCCCGTCCCCCAGAATGACCCACAGCTGGCATGGGGTTGTATAAGTGGCCTCCAGCAGGAAAGGAGCATGTGTACTCCATTGCCAGTTGCAGCACAATCCACCACTCTTCCCTCTCTAAGTGGCAGACAGGTAGGCCTAGGTGTCTGGGGTAGGAGAATCTCCCATGTAGAGGCAACCTTGGAACAGTGGTTTATGGGGTATGTTCTGCATGATTTGGGGTAAGAAATGTTGATCACATAGAAACCTTCAAATTGCCAGTGTTTTATCTCAATTTAACATTTTGTTTATTGACATTGGCAATGGGGTGGGGAGGACTAAGTCAGAGGGGAGGGAATATCAATGTGAGGTGCCTATTGGTGGGATATCTGGCATGGTTTTTGAGTTGGGTGCTTTTTTTTTTCTTTAATTTAAAGTGTGGGAATACCAATAGTTGGGCAGAATGTTGATGACACTATTGATACATTCTAAATTGTCTCCTCCACATATATGCACATTTTTTATAATGTGAATTCTGGGGGAGATTAAATAGCTAAAACTTAATTCTTAAAATAGCATCAGATTTAAATTGAGATTTGCTGAGAGTGGCCTTTAAGCACAAAGATAGACATCTGTTGAAAAGCATCAATTTCCTTTAATTTGAAGACACAAATCGTATGAATTCCTGTAAGAGAAGATTGAATTGGGAGTTGTGGCAAATAGGGCTTCCTTATCTCTGTGGTTGGGTGTTTTAAGAGGTTAATGGGGGGAAAAACATGTCTTACTGGAATATGAAAGAACACTGCATGTCTTGTAAACTTTACTATCCACATGTAATGGACTAGATACTTATCCATTGTCTTATATTTTTGCTACAATATAAGGCAAGCTGAGAATGCATTTTCCTAACTAAAATTGCTATAAGTTTCTTTTCTTTGTATAACATTCCAACTAATTCTCGAAGTAATATAATATTTAACAATCAATGATCAAAGTATTAACTAATATTTCTCTTACTGGAATTTACAATCAAATCAAATTAGAATTTGATCATGATGTGAAATATATTATATTACATAATATATTATAATATATTAAAAAACAGTTCTGTGTGAATTCAAGATATCATTTCTAAATGCCCTAGCTATTAACCTTAAGTGATTCTTTATTGCTAAATTTTTGGGGGTCTCCAACATCTTGCAGCTGCTATTTGCATTTACTGCACTTTATTTACATCTAAGATACAAAGAATGTTGCGAAACATTTCTTTTTTTCAAAATTAAAGTAATATTTTAGTAAAAATCTTGCATTTTAATAAAATGTATATGTGAACTGAGCAAATACTTTATAGTGAGTGATCAACACAACACAGTTTTGCAAGAATATAATTGATTTTCCTACCTATGTGTATAATAAATGAATTTATATATTTTATCTCATGCTGGAATAAGAGAACATTTATAGTCTATATATTTAGATATATACAGAAATTGCTCTTATATTTGGGTATTACTTAACTATTAGTATAACTGGGTCTATGATCATGTTTATTCACTTCTGATGCACTGCATATACCCAATGAAAAATAAAGCAAAGCAATCTATAAATGGGCATAAAATATGCTTGCATAGAACTTCCAAACATAATACAATGATAAATTATAGTTTCATCTTTAAAAATTATAAAATATTGTGTTACTTAGCTTTATTTAAAAAAATAGAAATTATTTTGCCATTTAACTCAGAGAAATTCACATTTTAAACTTACAGTATTTCTTCCACAATATTGTACAAATATGTGCTGCACCCACACTCTGAGCTAAGTAACACTTGTGTAGCATAAGCACTGGAGTCAAAAGACCTAAGTCTGAATATTGCATCTACTAGCTATGTAATCTTAGGCAAGTTACTTACATGGTCTGAGCCACACTTTTCTTTCTGTAAAGTGGCAACAGCTGCTGCAATGGGTTGTGAAACTTAAGTGAGATTTTATTATAATGATTAATTATATAATATTTAATAATTAATCATTTATTTTTAGTGTATAAATATTAATTTATATTTAAACCTATAGAATTAATAATAATGTTTATGTAAATAATTAATAATAAATTAAATATCCCTGTAAAACATTTATCATGGTGACTGGAACATGGGAGATACTGAATTAAATAACTGTTGCTATGTATAATTGAAAAAAGATCCAGACAGTTACAGATATTATGTTTAGACATATACAGAGTAGAGTCAAGATCACCAAAGGAATCCAGATTTTTAAAATACATTAAGTAAAATGTGACATTAGAAGTAGTATCTCATCTCTGCATAGAACTTACAGATTTTCCAAGAACTTTCACATTTTTCACATTTTAGCTCCGGATTAACTCAAATTTGTAGGAAATATATTATCATTTCCATTTTACATGAGTAGAAACAACAGAAAGATTAGTGGATGATAGCTAGTTGGGAATAAATCTATTTCTTAAATTTAAATCTTCTGACTCCAAGGCCAGTAAATTCTGCTAGTAGGCTAGTAAGTGAGAAGCAAGGAGCTTATTTTTTAGGTGAAACAAATGCAAGCTTTATAAGACCTGGAACTTCCTCAATTTAAGGGGGGGGGGGTCCTCTTTCAGAAAAAGAATATAAAATGACTATGTAAATAATAGGGTCCCTCACAAGACTTTGGAAGAGGTGTGTAGCTTAAGCTTCATTAATGCATAGTAAATCTATTTCTAGATTTAAATGTCACAGGAATAAAATATTCAAACATATTCTGGGGATGTGACCAAAATATCACATGTGCTTGCTTATAAAATAACCAGAAAATATTAGTACCATGCCAAATAGTGATCTAATTGTGTCAGATGGGACACAGCATCTAACAAAAAATACATTACATTATTCAATGAAGTATTTAATTCAGTTAAGGAAGAACACTTCACATTTCTTTTGCCTTCCATTCAATTTCTAAGTGTAGTTTTAGTGTTGGGGATTTTTTAAGTTGCATAGAATTTTAATTTAATGCCCTACTTTAGCTTATTTTTTATTCACATACAGCTGGTTATAAAAAATAAAATGTTCTTAATTGGCATGATAGTCATAGCATTCTACAACTTACATTTTTAATGTAATTTTTTTTACTTCTAGCACTTTGATGTCAAGTACTTTTAAACAAGTTCAATGATACAATTTAAAAATTATACTTAATTTGTGATTAACATTTCTAATACCAACTTAAACAACAGATCTAAGAATGCATGCATCCCAATGGACTTTGTCTAGTAGTCATATCATTCCTTTTATGTTTATTTAAGAATACATTACAAATTAAGTACCCTGGGACTTATTTATACTACAATCTAACAACTTACACTTTTTTTTCTGTCAATTCTAACTTTGTCTTGGGTTATATTTTTGTAGCTATATTTCTATATATTATCAATGTCATCCTTATTTATTTGAGAGTTTAAAGAGATTAAACTACATTTAAACAGCACTTACATTAACAAAATTATCTGGTTTTTCATTTGTTTTCCAAATATTTACTGGAATAATAATTTTATATCTTTAATATTAAAAGGAATGTTAGAAGTCATCTAGTGAAGTCCAATTCTAGTATTTGATGAGAAAAAATGAGCCACAAGGAAGACAAAATGTCGAGAAGAATAACACAGTTGGTGGATTTGCTAAAACTGCAGATGGGCAAAAGTGTTTGAATTCACATTCATAGTTTTCAGATCTATATCACCATCATAGTTTCTTACATCCCATGAATTACATGGGTGTGTGGGGGTGGGTGCGGATGTGCCCCTCACTCTTTCTCTCCCTTTTCCGATCTTCCTCTTCCTTTCACTGCTTCTCTTTCACCTTCTCTCCTCATACCCTCCCACCCCCACACACACTTTCCACAGATACATACCTACCACAATCACATAAATCATTTCATTTTGTAAAGTTGATTCTACTCAGATGCAAAACAGTATTGTTGGAACAAGCCAGGCCAAGTAAATCCTTTTTTTCCCAGTCCCTTTTAATTTGCATGCACAACTTGTACTTATTCTATTTTAAATATATTATAACAAGTACCGTGATGATGAAATATTCTATATGGAATGTCTCATATTTTCTCCCTCTAAATTTAATGCTAAGAATAGTCATTAACATGTGTTCCCAAAAGTTATATTGATAACCTAACATGAATTCAAGAATGGAAATAAGTAGCTGGATAGATAAAAGCCAAATTTTACACATGTACCTAAAATATCTTAGAAAGTGGTCCCAATTTTTAATTTCTCTTCATTATAAGATATTACTCAAGAAGCATGTTACTTTCTTAGGGTAAAAAGTAAATATAAAAACCACCCTGAAGCATTTTTTCCCCTTAGGGATTAATGAGAATTAGCTATCCTACCTTTTGATATAACACACTAACTAACAGAAGGCTAATGCCTATTTAGGCAGCAGATATTGTCAACTCCCCAGTTTTTAACATGCAACTCTACTTGTAAAGCTTTTGGGGTCTCCTCCCATCAGCTGCATTGCTACTCAAAAGATACTCTTAATATCAACATTATTACTTATAAATATTAAAATAGGGAAGAGAACAGTGTCTAAAGTAAGAAAACAGCTGCTATAACTTGATTAAATTTTTCAAATTACCAATCACTTAAGTGTTTTGACCTACTGCTATTTCAGCCATCTATAGGGTAGGTCTAAAGACAGAATATGATTCAAAATTAGTTTATAATCTAGAAGGGTGGGAAGGGGTGAGAAGTCCCAGAAGGCTGAATATGAGAACACTATGCGTCCTACTCTATAACAGAGTTTCTCAGCCAGCTCAACACTCACTGTATTGCATTTGATTATACTACTGAATATAAAATGGGATAGTTTTGTGAACATGCTTGCTGAAGTTATTTTTATGTTAAATTTCTTTTTGTAAACTTCTAGGTTGAAATAAACCTAAAACGATATCCAACTCCTTACCCAGAGGATTTAAAGAATATGGTAAAATCTGTTCAAAATTTGGTGGGTAAGCCAAGCCATGGAGTGCGTGTTGAGAATTCAAATCCAACTGCTAACACGGAGCAAACTGTGAAAGAAAAATATGAACACAAGTGGCCGGTAGCCCCAAAGGAGATTACAGTGGAGGTATTTGAAGGTTATTGGTAATTGCCAGTGTGGTTTGGATTTTTTGGAATTTTAAATATGTTTTTTAACTGAATAGATCTTCCTTGATAAGTGCATTTTTTTCCTAAAATATAAATGATCTCTCTACTTTTTCAAACTATGAGGGTTGCATTTAATCAGTCATAGAAAAATGATACCCTCATGGCCTAAAATCATTAACATAGCTCCAAAAGTTCCAATACACACAGAATGAATAAGTTCGTCACCCAGCAAGGCCTGGCCAGTGAGTGCGTTATATCATATTAGTGACATTATTTTGGCTACCCCAAACTTTTGTTGTATTAATCATTAAGAAAGACTAATCCAAGGTTTTCTATTATGCAAATCTCATAAAATTCCTAATTAGATCTAGAGCACAATTTTTAAAATGTTTTTATCTTTGGGTTACAACTTTTCTAGGAAACACCGATTAACAATAAAAAGAGGACATAACTTTGAAATTTAGATTTATGGAATCTAGTCATGTGAAGCTTAATTCCTATATTTTAGAATGAGTTAGAAATCCATCCTTATTGATTTTGTGGTCTGAAAAGAATTCAACTACACTTATGCCACCTCTACTATTTCATCAACTCTTCAGCTAATTTGGTTATCATATTTTTATCTTCATTAGAAACATAATTGATCTGAGTACATCTGTAAGTTCACGTAACTACTTCTCCAAAATCTAGAGTGGCAAAACTCTTTTACAAATCTGCATTTCAGAGCATCATTTTGTTGCATTTATTAAACACCAACTGCATATGTAACACTGTGCCAAACACTGTGAGAGAGAGAAAAGAAATATAAAATGTGTCAATAATACCCCAATAATTTAAAGCTGATACACTTAAGACACATGAAACAATTAAAGAGCATATTATCTAAAATATGATCACATGGTTAGTTGAGTGATGGAGAATATAATGCTCCAAGTTTAGTTTAGACTGTATATTAAAGGTAGGGTGATTCTGTTAAAGAGGAAAAGGGAGGAGGGCATTCCAAGCAAAGGGAAGATCTTGAGCAAAAATAAGCATAGTGTGCACATCTGCCAGCAGAGGTACCAACCTACCCTAGAGGAGGGGAATACAGCTAGATTTCTAAGGGAAAAAAAATTAGCATTCATTTTCATTGTTTTTTGCTTATAAAATCAGTATCATTATACTTTTTCCTTTCCAAAATATTATGCACATATTATAGTAAAGCAACAGACTGTTCTTTTATCTCAAAGATCTCGCTGCAATATAAAGGGGAAGGAAACCAACATTTAGCAGATACACACTAAATACATACATATACGTTTTATATTTAAATATCCTGTAATCACAGTTTAACATCAAAATAACTGGTGGTCATGAAAATCTATAAACTGGATAATTTTACTATAAAATAAGAGTCTAAAATGTCTTCATGTAGGGATGGGATAGATGAGACTTTGGTTATGAATTTAATAATAAATCTTAAAACTGTCTCAAAATCAGGTCAAGCATAACAAATCCAAAATTAGATTTAATGTTTCCTTTGCAAACTTGCTTTTGCTTTCATGTTCCTGACCTTGATCTCACTGGCACCATTATCCTCCATTTCATTCAAGTAGAAATTCGAGAGATGTCCTGATTTCTTTCTCCTTCTTTCTCTCCACTTCCTATCTCTTCCAAATAATTACCAAAGCCTGTGCATTCTCACCTAAGTGTATCATTTCTACCTCCTCAAGCCCTCAACTCTGTCCTGCATTACTATAAAAAAATACCCACTTTTTGGCTTCCCTTGTCCCCAGCCTCCTCATTGCCTTGTCAATGATCTTTCTAAAAAAGAATTCTAATCATTTCCTTGCCCTCCTTAAAAACACTACAGTGACTTCTTATTGCTAAGGCTAAGATTAAAGCTCAACTTTCAGCTTTAAATTTGTCTGTGTGATTTGCACCACCCCTTTCCTAGCTTTCTTCTACTAGTCTTTTCCTCTTGAACAGAAATTTCACTGGTAATTTCAATACTTTATCTAAAATTGAGATTCTAGATCTTCTCTCTCTAACTTTTAACCATCCTACAGCAAAGAGGAACTGTTGCTTTCTGTATTATCCTCCTGCCTCAAATTAACTGCAGCCAAAGTAAAGGGTCACACTCTATTTTTCAATGTCCAGATTTAATAAATGCAGATAACCAAGCATTTAGCTGATCAGTGCATACTAAACATTTATAATATGTTTTGCACTTCTATGCCATTTTTTGAATCATTGTTATTAGTTCACACTGCAAAGGATATGGAAGAGGGTATTATACACTGCATGATATATTTATTCATGTGATTAAATATAGAAAACCCCCAAAAAAAGAATAAAGGTAGGCATGACCAGAAGTGGAAAACGGAAAAAATAAATAAGGTAAAAAGATTACAAATGCAACTAAGGGGAAAAAGGAAAGGTAAATATTTATTGCTCACTTTCATTTTGCCAACTAGATGCCAATAGTTTTAACATACATTATGCCAGACAAAGAACAGGGCTGGCGGAGCCATAAGAAAAAGGAGGACAGGGAGATTTTCCTTTATAATGCCTTGTGCAGTTTGCATTTGCCTTTTCCCCAGATCTCTTTATATGGCTAGCACTTCCTCATCCTTCAAGTTTCAGCTTAAAGGCCACCTCAGCAGGAAGGCCTTCCCTGATCACTCTGATCAGTTGGACCCTCTGATATCCTCTATCATGTCACATTGTCACATTAAATATAATGAACAGTTATGATTACTTTGTTTATTGACTTCAGACTGTGAGTTTCATGAAGGCAGGGATGCTTTCTTTCTTGTCCATCCTTGTATTGCCTGAGTCTAGCACAGTGCCTAGGATAGAGTAGGAGCAAAATAAATATTTGTTGAATAAATGAATGATTGATATAGTCCAGTATAATGACTCTGGTAACATGTCTGTCTCTCCATTCAATTAGATATTCATTGAAATCAAGGACAATTTCTGAGTTTTTTTGAATTAATAATTAATTGATACCTATCCACACTTCATCACCTATGTGTTCAATACACTCTTGGTATATAAATGCCCACAGCGTCTCAGTGATGTTATGGTGATCCTAGACCAAAATAAATACCTAGGAGTTTCATTTAAGTTGTTATAGCCAAACAGCTTAGTAAATATTTATGCCCTACTTTGTGGTCATTTGAAAAAATCAATGCACATAAGTTGAAAGAGAAAATAATATTTTTACCTTATTCTTAAGAAATCAAAGCCAAAATATTAATGGCATACATGCACCTGTTAAACACCACCTATCTTCTCACAGCTAGGAATCATAGTAGACACCACAATTTTAATTTCTGTTTATCATTGATTTTCAAATGCCACTTGGTTTTTTATCACAGCAACCACCAAAAACCCAGCTTCACAAGGATTTTCTTTTTTTTTTTTTTTCCTTTTTCTTTTGAGACGGAGTCTCGCTCTGTTGCCAGGCTGGAGTGCAGTGGTGCGATCTCAGCTCACTGCAACTTCCGACTCCCTGGTTCAAGCGATTCTCCTGCCTCAGCCTCCTGAGTAGCTGGGATTACAGGCACGTGCCAGCACAGCCAGCTCATTTTTGTATTTTTAGTAGAGACAGTGTTTCACCATGTTGGCCAGGATGGTCTCGATCTCCTGACATCATAATCCACCCACCTTGGCTTCCCAAAGTGCTGGGATTACAGGCGTGAGCCACCGCTCCCGGCCAAGGATTTTCATCAAAAAGAATGTGCGATCTAATGTTGTAACTGAGAGCTACCTCAAGCTAGCCATTTGCACAGTGTCTGTCTAATGTCAATTATTGCTTTGTTTCCCTCAAACATTTAATGTAACTCACAGTGTCCCTGTTAATTGCAACAACACCCATGGGTGCCTCAGAGTACAGTTTGAGAATCAAGGGGTAGGGCTTTTAAATCTAGCAGACATGAATTGAAATCTTGGCTCCACCTTGTGACCTTGACAAGTCAAGTCTCTAAAACCTTTCTGATCCTTGGTTTCTTTATCTTAAAAAAAAAAAGCACAAAACAGAAAATATGGTAACACCTATTTATATACAGCTCCAAGCACAGTTATTGACACAGAGGAAGCCTACAGTAAATAATTCCCTCTTCTTTTTCAAGAGAATTATGTGCCAATTCCTTCCCCATCCTCCTTTAATCCTTCTGCAAGTAACTACCAAGATACCTGTTCACCATCCCAAAATGTTCTGCATTTTTCCCTTTGTTAGGGGACTCAGCCCAATTTTTTTCTATAGAGGAACATCTTTCTTCCAGTAACAGAGAATTGTCCATTACCCTCAAAATTTTCCTTAAATTACTTTTATTCATGCTAGGCCTAGACTCTCAAAAGCTCAGAAATAAGCTTGCTTTCTTTCCTTTGACTTCTTCCTGAGGCTTCTTTTCTTTATGGCAGTAGCAGCCAAGATGCAGTTTGAACAGTGGAAGGGCAATTGTGAGAAAAAGGACATTTTACCTTTTCTTTCCCTCTCATTTCTGTCTCCTCACCAGAAAGAAAATATGGTTCAATGTACTTACAATGGAATCCCCACTAAATTCTGTTTTCTACCAAAAATTTCCTCTGTCATTGCCCGTAGAAGTAGTCCCCAAAACTTTGCCCACTTTTCCAAAAGGAACTCAATTCCTCTAGCCTCTATAAAAGAATTTATAGAAACAAAATTAGTGATTTATTTCCTTTGTTGGATAGTTAACTTTACTTTGTGAAACCCATGTGAGAAATGAGCTGTTCTCAGGATAGACAATACAGCATACACAGTATCACATAGATCTTTGAGTAGCGCAGATCCCAGTTCAAATCTTGGCTTTACCACTTATTAGGTTTGTGACTTAGAATTATGATTTTACCTCACTGAGCCTCCATTTCCTTATCTGCAGAACAAAAAATGATGATAATAAATAAATACCACATAATGATAAAAAATAAGGTTGTCTTTTAAATAATTAACAAGGATAATATAGATAGAGTGTTTAGCATAGTAGCACCGCAGCAGATGTAATCAGTGCCATGTAATTTATGGCCATTATCATCATTGTCGTCATTATCATCATTGTCATCATCATCATCATCACTTCGTTCATAAGGGTAAGAGAATCTACTCAGATCAGTGCAAATTCATCATTCTTGTTTCAATAATGTCCTTCTAAGAAGAAATACAAGTTCATAATTAGCTGATAATCATCCTCTCTTCCTGGTCACTAAGGCTGTTTTTGATTCACAATAGAAATTCTGAAACAGGATCAGAAACTTGAACCTGAGTCAAACCAGAGCTACCATGCAGAGTTCCGGTCATAATTTTGGTATACAAGTTTGAAAGTCGAATCAATACAAACAAGATGACCTGAGTACTGAATGTGTAGAACATAAGGGAAAAAAGCAAAACCCATAATTATGTTAACATTCTGTACTTGTACAGCTATTTGGATTGCTTTTTTGTGTTTCTATTCTATTTTTGTTTTTCTTTTGAATAAAACAAAATTCCCATTCTTGTAATTAGGTATCATAGGAATATTTTTAAATTATTATTTCAACAAATAACTTACCTTTAGATTCATAGAATGTTAGTACTAGACAGGAATTGGCACTAATTCCTATTACTGATTACCTTTATTTTAATGATGATAATGCCCAGAGAAGTACACTGACTTGCCCAAGGTGACCTGATTAATAAAATATAAAAATAGAAATAGGATGAAAATATGACACCTTGTAACAAATTTTTTGGCAAGTCAGCATATTTTATGCCTTTCAGGGTACTGTTTCTCAAACTCATATCTTCTTATAAATTTCTCCAAAGGTATATAAAGGCTTTTATCCTCCCTTCTGTCACCTTAAAACTGTCATACATTTCTTATGCTAAATCTTTGAACTAACTTTCAAAATCAATCAAAATGAATAATATGTACCCTCTGAAATAATTTTCAAAATCAATCAAAATAAAGAAAATATGGCCTCTTTAAAAGGATTTATAAAAAAAAAAGTCAGCGATTAATTTCTTTTGTTGAGTAGTTATCTTTCCTCTGTGAAGCCCGTGTGAAAAATGAGCTTTACTTAGGATAGGCAATATGGCATACACAGTATCACATAGAACACCTTTGAGTAGCAAATATAGCCTCTTCAACTACTGAATTTTCCATTCTACTCCTTTTCCTGTTCCTCTTTGCAATCTGATACCTCATTTTAAGTTCTTTGTGTGCTCACAGCTGAGCTCACCAGGAGGCAGCACAAGGTAAGGAAAGATCACTGGAATGGAGCCCAGGAGAATCCTGCTGCAGTGCTGGATCTTCGTCTAATCATCTGTGTAACCTAGGCCTAAGCTGAGTCTCAGAACCCGCCTCTAGAAAACAAAAGTGTTGGACTAAATGATCTTTCCCTTTTCTTTTATTGAAATATTCTATTTAAAAAATTAACAAGTAACAGATATACCCAGGTTTTTCAGGCAAATATTTCCATACAAACCTAACCCAAAAGAATCCCAAAAGATAGAACTTAAACCAAGATGTGCTTCTCTGCAATAACCAAAGACCTGAGCATGTCACTATGGGGGTCCTTGGCAATATATAAAATTTATAGTAAGAGTTTCTGCCTGTTCATTATACCAACCGATTAGTTTTAAGACAGGACTTTTTAAATTTACAATATTTTTGTCCTCAAGTATATTTTTTTCTCTGATTTAACAAAATATTTCTAAATATTTTACATTAGTGCCCCAAACTCACAAGATACTAATGAATTAAAAAGCTGAAAAATTCTCATTTGAATTAAAATTAATCTTAAGGGAAAAGAAGACATAACGATAGCTGCTATGCATAAATATATATCACTACTTATGGGCATAGATAATGCATTTTTATATCTAGAAGAAAGTGAGAATTTGGTATTTTACCTTCCCCTAATGCTCTCCACCCTGCCTGGTTAACTGAAAATAGTAATTTGAATTGTGGAAGTTTAAAATCTTGGGTTTTCTACATGTTTATTTGTCATTATGAAGTTATAGTCGTGTATCGATGTTGCTCGTTACACTCAAAGAAGGGATATAGAATGAAGATTTAGTATGCTAGATTAGGTGTGAGAAAACCAGGAACCTCTGGAAGAACACATGATAGAACTTGAGAAATTGAGGAGATGATCACTTGGGATACAGTAGAAAGTTAGGAGGAAAGCGGTGGGAAGAGCAGGATTTATAGGACCCGACAGTGAAGTAATGTAGCTAGGGATGCACAAAAAAAAAAAAAAAAAAAAAATCTTAATTGGTCAGTGATATACTTTCCTCTTAAAACTCTTAGAGTTAACCACTTAGAACAATTACATGTGTATATATCATATTTGTGTGAATCATACTGCTCATATATGGCTTATCATAATTCAGTCTGGTGTTCTAATGAGTTATAGCTCATCTCTCCAACTAGATTATAAACTCCCAGAGGGCACCAGCCACATTTTGTCTTTCTTTGGAACCTCCACAGTTCATTGCACAGTGCCAGGCATATAAACAACATGCAAGAAAAATTGATGAATAAATGGACTCACTTACATTAGAAAAAAAAAATTTAATGCTTAACTCAGAGATACATATGGTTTATTTCTCCCAGTGCCTCACAGTGAACTGAATTCTAGAGTCACATTTTTTAATCTGAGCCAAATAAAGATACTGCCACTTTGGTTAACCATTGTTTAAATGTTTACTTTCCTTGTCCTGTATTATTATATCTCTCAGGATTCTTTTGTTCATCCAGCTAATGAAATGAGGATTGGGGAACTTCACCCTTCATTAGCTGAGACCCCTCTGTACCCACCCAAACTTGTTCTGCTAGGGAAGGACAAAAAAGGTAACACTGTGAACCCAATGTGGAAAATATGCTACAAATGCATGTGCATGATGAATCGCCAGTTGTAAATTATGATACACCATATTCTATACAAATGTTTTACAAATATGCATTTCTAACCTTAATCGGTATGGTTTCCATTTTTCATACTTGCTTTTCCGTGTAATTGTCAGTGTCATAGCATTATAACATTTTCCCCTTTAAATTTCAGAATCAACTGATGAGTCTGAAGTTGACAAAACTCACTGTCTGAATAACAGTGTTTCCTCAGGCACTTACTCAGACTACTCGCCTTCCCAGGCTTCCTCAGGATCCTCTAATACCCGGGTTAAAGTGGGGTCCTTGCAGACAACAGCTAAAGATGCAGTACATAATTCTTTGTGGGGTAACAGGTGTGTTTAGAATTCCCTCCTTTTGTTCCCAAACGTTTATTTTCAGCAACTTTTTAAAAAATGGAATCTTCTTAATTTTGGAATTGTATTCGGCACACAAGTGGCATAGAAGACAGAAGGGGCAGGTAAGCAAATGTTGTTCGCCTGGGACTGCCAGGAACAGATGAATCCACCTTACAGGGAGAGGCCATTGGTTAAGGAAGACATGGTAGGAGTTAACAGGATGAGATGGTAGAACAAAAAATTTAAAAAATAAAAAAAAATGTGTTTGCCCACTGATACTTATTGATGAGACATGGATGTTTTAACATACAAAATGGCATTATGAATTAAAATAAAATGCCAGTAAAACACTTAGGTGTCTGGTCCAGAGTAAGTGTTCAATAAATTTTCATTGCTATCGTCATCATAATTTTATCACCACCTGGAAAAGTCAGGATGTATTTTTAAGTACTTAATCTTTCCAAAATGCCTCCTCCTCTATATTACTCTAATTTTACAGATGAAAAAACAAAAACCACACACAGAGCACAATAAAGTGACTCAATAAGGCAATGTTTTCCCAGTTCTAATTCCATTTTGTAACTTGTTGCTATGTTTTACACTACAAATAGCAAATTAAAATTGTTATATAGGTAGTCAATAACTTTTACTCATATTTTACTGATAATATTGCCACTGTTGGCAATGTCTTCTTTAGTAATTCATGAGTAACTTTTCCTAATCATTGATGCTCATAATAAAAATCATAACTCTTTCAGTTTGTAAATTCATTATTTGCATTATCTCAGTATCTGCTAGAAATAACATGGTCAGTGGTACAAACATGTCAGTGATCTAAAGTCATAATATAATTTACATTCTACAAAACATACCTGAATATGCTCCCTATACAATAGCATTTAGTGTCTTCAAAACCTGACCTTCAAATAAAAGTCATCTGAAGACAATTTAGATTCATCAGATACACCAAGCATTTGTAAGAAAGGTACTCTCGGCCAATAGTTTGAAATGTACCAAATCAGAATCTCCAGGAATGGGTATCAGGAATCATATGATTCTAATTATCAGTCAGGTTTCAAGACCATTACTTAAGAACTACATATTTCCTTCATTGATTCCTTCAACAAATGTGTATTTAATACCTACTATGTGCCAGGCATTAGTCTAGGCCTGCAGAGAAAAAGATCTCTACCATTGTGAGTTTATATTCTAGCAGAGGACACAACACAAGATACAATACACGTAATAGATAAGTAAATTATATAGTATATTAGAAGGTGATTATTACTAGGAAAAAAAAGTTAAAGCAGGATAAAGGGATGGATTTTTAAAATATGAAATAATAATACTATCTTAATCATAAGTCAGGTGAGGATTATTGATCAGTTAAACAAAGGATGATGGCCCTCTTTGCTGCTTGTTCTCTTTCTGCCAAAGACCCAACTCTTCGTCCTTTTCAATTTCTTCTTCCCATTGTGTTCACAGGATTGCACCATCTTTCCCACAGCCTCTTGATTCAAAGCCATTACTCAGCCAGCGGGAGGCTGTTCCCCCAGGCAATATACCACAGCGTCCTGACCGGCTGCCCATGAGTGATACTTTCACTGACAACTGGACTGATGGCTCGCATTATGACAACACAGGGTTTGTTGCTGAGGAAACCACAGCCGAGAATGCCAACAGTAATCCTCTCTTAAGTTCGAAATCTAGAAGCACATCTTCGCATGGACGCAGGCCTTTGATCAGGCAAGACAGGATTGTTGGTGTTCCCCTGGAACTCGAGCAGTCTACACACAGACACACACCAGAAACAGAAGTGCCTCCTTCCAATCCTTGGCAGAATTGGACCAGAACCCCTAGTCCGTTTGAAGACAGGACCGCTTTTCCTTCCAAATTAGAGACAACCCCCACTACCAGCCCATTGCCTGAAAGGAAAGAACATATAAAGGAATCTACTGAAATACCTAGTCCTTTTTCTCCAGGCGTACCATGGGAGTATCATGATTCCAATCCCAACAGGAGTCTTAGTAATGTCTTTTCTCAAATCCACTGCCGCCCGGAATCTTCTAAAGGTGTTATTTCAATTAGCAAAAGCACAGAGAGGCTTTCCCCCCTAATGAAAGATATCAAGTCTAATAAATTCAAAAAGTCACAGAGTATCGATGAGATTGACATTGGTACATATAAGGTGTATAACATACCATTAGAAAACTATGCTTCTGGGAGTGATCACTTAGGAAGCCACGAACGACCGGATAAGATGCTGGGACCAGAGCATGGTATGTCCAGTATGTCTCGAAGCCAGTCAGTCCCAATGCTGGATGATGAGATGCTCACCTACGGAAGTAGTAAGGGGCCACAACAACAAAAAGCTTCTATGACAAAAAAAGTCTATCAGTTTGACCAAAGCTTCAATCCTCAAGGATCAGTGGAAGTGAAAGCCGAAAAGAGGATACCACCCCCTTTTCAACACAATCCCGAGTACGTGCAACAGGCCAGCAAAAACATCGCCAAGGATTTGATTAGTCCTAGAGCTTACAGAGGATACCCACCGATGGAGCAAATGTTTTCATTTTCTCAGCCATCTGTGAATGAGGATGCTGTGGTGAATGCCCAGTTCGCAAGCCAAGGGGCCAGGGCGGGCTTCCTGAGAAGGGCCGACTCCCTGGTGAGCGCCACAGAAATGGCCATGTTTAGAAGGGTCAATGAGCCTCATGAGCTGCCCCCAACTGATAGGTACGGCAGACCCCCATATAGGGGAGGGCTGGATCGCCAAAGCAGCGTTACAGTGACTGAGTCCCAGTTCCTGAAAAGGAATGGCAGGTATGAAGATGAACACCCTTCATATCAAGAAGTGAAAGCTCAGGCGGGAAGTTTTCCGGTTAAAAACCTTACCCAAAGGAGGCCATTGTCTGCGAGAAGCTACAGTACAGAGAGTTACGGTGCCTCCCAAACCAGGCCAGTTTCAGCTAGGCCTACTATGGCAGCTCTTTTGGAAAAAATACCATCTGACTATAACTTGGGTAACTATGGTGACAAGCCATCAGATAACAGTGATTTAAAGACGAGGCCTACTCCTGTGAAGGGAGAGGAGAGCTGTGGTAAAATGCCTGCAGACTGGAGACAACAGCTGCTTAGACATATAGAAGCTAGACGGTTAGACAGGGTATGTCTGGTGTTTCTCTGTAAGAATATCCCTCCTGCCTTTAGTGTTACTTTATTGGCATTTCTAAGCACATGTAGTGAAGCATGAACTACATGAATGAATTAGATGATCAGTATTTTATTTATCTTTATATTGTGGGGAAAATGGATCATAATAGTTTTTCATGGATGTGGCTAAATGCTCTTTGAGAGTTCATAACCTGCAGGTGAATTATTCATCAAATCTAACCCAAATATTGTTAGTAAGAAAGAATTCAACTCCATTAGAGGGGATGGTGCTTCAAATGCTTTCTAGCCATTAAGGCAAAATGCCTCTCCTAGGACGCAAAACTGTTCTCTAGTGACCTAAAGAGTATGATTTTTGTTGAACCTATAAAAAGTGGATATTTCCCCCGTTTCTGGATGGACTCACTTATATTAAAGTCAGGCCTAATTTGTTTATAAAATTTGCACATAGTTACTGCTATGGGACTACTAGTTATTATTTCTAATGAGCAATAATTTTCCCAACAAGAAACAGAAAAATAAGCAGGGATTGAATGCCCTCCTACACATTATTTTATTTAATAAAAAGCCTGCCATTTAGAATGTTGGTTTTTATATAGAAAGAAATATTTAAATTCAGATTATACTACAGACAACAAAAATAGTTGATGTCTTTATGAAGACAGCAAACAAAAAATTAGTATGTATATTGCAGCAAAAAAGAAAATTAATTCTAGTTCAGTTAAAAATTGAGTCACAATAGGCGAGGCATGGTGGTTCATGCCTGTAATCCCAGCACTTTGGGAGGCCGAGGCGGGCGGTCAGGAACTCGAGACCAGCCTGGCCAACATGGTAAAACCCCATCTCTACTTAAAATACAAAAAAAATTGGCCAGGCATGGTGGCGCACGCCTGTAATCCCAGCTACTCGGGAGGCTGAGGCAGGAGAATTGCTTGAACCCAGGAGGTGGAGGTTGCAGTGAGCTGAGATCACACCACTGCCCTCCAGCCTGGGTGACAAAGTGAGACTCTGTCTTGGGGAAAAAAAAAATAAATTGTGTCCACAATAAAGCATGTAATATGCAGGGATCAGGGACAGAAAAAAAAATCATATGATGCCTAGAATTACATTTTGTTGCCTGTTTGAATCTCTCTAAGAGAAACCTGTACTCATTTTCTAGAACTATCTTCAATTGACCATCGTCATTCAGTGTACTTTGTGGCTTTTAGGGTAGAGGGCTTAATGTGCTCTGCATTGACATTAGAATCTTAAAGATCTTTTTGGTGAAAATGGGGCTTTTTGTTCTCATTTTCTAGGGCTGAATGCTCAGTGTAAATTGGGGATCTGGGTAATAATATACTATCGCATTGTCTCACTCAATAGTTTTATTATTTTATTTGGTGTCCTGCTAAAAGCACAGGTCACTGCATTTATTAGGTATTTCTTTAATACTGAATTTTACGTTTACAGGTTTACTCTTTTCAAATAATTATATTGCTTGTAGGTCGTGTCTACATGACAAGAAAACAATTTTTTTTAGGGAAGGAGTGAACTAATAAATGTGGGTGTGGGTGTTAGTTTCTCAATGTAGAAATTGGTTCTGCCTTGCAAAATATTTCATCAGAATGTCTGTTTCAAATAGGTTTGCTCAGTCCCATTGAAGGGAGCCTCATCAAAGCCTCATGACTGGCTGTCAGTGGGAGACACCTGGTCGGTTGTCACCATGCCTTACCTCAAGTATACCCTCCATGTAGACAGATAACTTGGAGGGCGAAAATATTTGGGGCCAAATAATACAGTACAGTTTGGGAACTCTGGCCTCGTGTAGACACGACCATACGTAACAGGGTAAGATGAACTAGTCAAGAAAGGTTATAAGAAGCTTTTTGGAGCATATGTACAATGACTAGTAATTTGAGGCAACAGAGGAATGAGTGAAAACAACTAATGAAAAGGAAAAGATAAAATTCTAAGCATTTGGTTCCATCACTTAGTTACTGGTGTCCCAGATCAATGGTTCCTCTCCTTTGACCCCAGCGACTGAAAAGTGGGCGACTCCTCTAGATGAAGCAAGAATTTTAAGCAGGAATATAGGGTTAGGGGAGAGAGATTTGAATCAGCAAAAGTTTGGAGGCCCTGCCTATCCCAGATAACAAAAAGCAAACTCATGTATTTTTCATTGCTATGATGACACTTCCCTTCTGAGTTGATCTTCATATAACCTCTGTTTGTGTACAGTTCCCTAGGTGTCTTTCATTTTTCAAAGCAATTTCAATGTACATTCAATAGCTTCTCATTTAATTCCAAGAAATTAACTTACCTTAGAGTATTGCTTTGAGTCATCAGATCCTAGAAGCTCTTTCTTTTGTTTTCGCCAAGTCACATTTCTTTCTGTCTTTCAGTTGAGTTACTGAGCTATTCAGGCTATATCTTTCATAAAACTTCCCAGCTACTCAACAAGATGAATTCAGGGTACTGAAGCACAGACTTATTATGTAAAACCAGTTTCGACATAGCTGTGCTACTTAACATTCTGTCCAAAGGCAGACTGCACCAGAGAAATAATGTGCTTCTTTCCCAGTGAAATTTAATTGGGTCATTTGAACCCTCAAAATCAAATAGTTACACAAGAAATTACAAGATCTCTGTCCATTCTACGTAAAAGACAATTGCCTAGAGTCTTGGACATTGGATAAGCATAACAGTTCAACATAATGTTGGTGAAAGATCTAAGTGTTGACCTTGAAGAGGCAGCTCCAAGAACTACCCTAGATAAAAGATGCTTGTTTCCTCTTTTAGTTTAACCACAAGACCCATGCTTTCACTGCAGAGCCACACTATGACAGGGAATTTAAAACATGAACCCATATGTCTGAGACTGCTTCTGTTCTGCAGAAGCTGAGAGAGCACTAGACTGGAGGAATTTTAAACCTTAAGGAATTTTCCAAGTGCTAGATTGAGATGTTCAGTGTCTTTTTCAATTTTGGCATGGTGACAATGGAAAATCTCTATATGAAATAATAATGAATCCATAACAAATATGATTGGTAGACAAGCACACCATCAGGAGGATAATAATCTTTCAGCTTCACTCAATGAAACTTTGATGCTAAAAATCATTACTTTGATAATATTGCCCTCAGAATAGAATAGCTACCTGCTGCTAATGTTCAGTAATATTTGGCTTAGAAAAAGTGTGCTAAGTTAACTTCTGTGATTTTTTTTTTTCCAAAATGAGAGAATTACTTAAAGGGGCCAAATGCTGTCAATGATTACATTTCCATTGTAGATTGAAGGAGGAGATTGTACTGTGCAAACAATTTGATAACAGGGTATCTAAAATTTTACATCTAATTTTCAAATAAAGTTTTATAGGAAAAAAATTATCTATCAGTCACTTAAATGCAAATACCACCAGAGTGTTCTATAGGTATTTGTATATATTAGATAATTAGCATTAATAAATCAATAAATTATAATTGCTTTAATATTACTATGAAATTTCTTTAGTTTAAAATATAATTTTTAAGAAACAAAAAATAGAATATTTGGATCCACATAAAATGTATTTGATTGGTTTAGCTGAATTAATAAGTAAGTTCAATCAAGCCTATGGTAAGCTCAAATGGCATTTTGACCAGCTGTTTTTCTGAGTTGCTGTAATTATGCCTACAGACTGAGCAATGAAGGAGACTGATTTTGGCTTTAACATTGCAATGCATTAGCTTAAGACAAAATTAGAAACTAATATTTGTCTTTCACAAGTGATGATCTCACAATGTGAAAGAGAACAAAGATCTGCAGCTGGTAAAATTTAAGGTCTCACTGTTCGAATTTTTAAATGAATAGACTACCACAGACGAATAATACTTGTCCAAAGTCACTACTATCACGATGTATAAGAGACAGAATTTATGACGTTGAGTTAGCAGCAGATGTAAAACAGAATGTATCTTCTTTGCTTTTTGTCTTTTCTGTAGTTTTGGATGGTACTCATTATGTGCATAACTAACACTGTTTACTGTATGCTTCTGTCTGATCAAGTGCATGTTTTTTTAAAAAGTTACTGTTTGCCTGCCTAAAGTTAAATGTTATAAATTTAAACATGTTCATGTAATTTATCAGTTTGTTGAGCATGTGTTCACACCCTGTCACATGATTATTTCCTCTACTCAGAATGCTGCTTACAAACACAATACAGTTAACCTTGGCATGCTGCCCTATGGAGGTATTTCAGCAATGCATGCAGGCAGAAGCATGACTTTAAACTTGCAGACTAAGTCTAAATTTGATCATCAAGAACTACCTCTTCAGAAAGTAAGTATGGACTGCCCTACATGTGTCAGCATACCAAAGCCAATTAATGTTGTTTGTTCACTTAATGTGTTTAGGCTATACATACAACCCTGCTTACTATAGGCTCCTATGAGTCCAAAAAGCACAAGGGCAAGTAATGTAGAGCCTGAACTCTTAGCCGCTAAATGAATATTTGTAGCTGGACTGATTATCAGGTTCCTGCTTTTTGGATTGAGCTTTGCTTTTTGGATTGAGCAGGTACATGGCTTTTTGTGTTGCTTCAAGGTTCATTTTTCTTATTATTCATTTCCTTTTTTCCTCCTTTGTTTTTCTTTATTTTGTGTTTATATATATGTTTTTTACTTTTTTGGAGATAGTCCTATCGTCCTGGTGATGCATTCTGAGAACAGAGCTCAAAATTATTGTTGGATTTCAACTGATTCTTTTGGAAAAGACATAGATTCCTAAATTAGGAGAATTAAGTAGCTGGTACTTATAAGTGCTTCTTCAGCCCATTTTTTTGCAGGAACTGTAACAGAAGAAAAATATGAGAAACAAGTTTGTGGCTTAGGAAACTAGGTTAGTGGAAAAGTAGCAAGTTTGCATGGTATTAGATGAAAATGTGGGAACACTGAAAGGGAATATACTGAAAGAGGAAACATTTCCATTGTTAAAGGAAAATTTCTGTTTGTTTAATTCAGCCAAAACTGAGAATGCACATTTTACATTTAGATCGATTAATGCCTTCTGTCTTAGTTACATTTTAGTGGAAACCAATGAGTCATTTTCACAGTATGTCATTATGCCTATATATTTATATTGTCATTAGCCTAGTAAGTTTTTATGAAAAAGCAGTGCAAAGTAGGGATAATAGAATGACAGTAACTTCTAAACACTTCTTCCCTCTTAATAAAATGAATGAACATTATGACTCACCCCATCAAAATGAGGGTCATAAGACCTCAAATTCCTGTTTTATTGTTAATCTAGTTTTTTAATAACATTCCCAAACTGTGGACAGTTTGGTTCATACTGTGAGTAGAATAACAAAATCAAGAAGACATTTGTAGCCACAGCTTTTTTATCACTCACCGTAACTTTAAAAAAAAAAACACTAAATTGAAAACTTTTGAATGTTGTTTTTGCTGTGCCCGGTCTATACTGCAGGACCAGTGGAGTGCTGGTAACTTTCTCTCCAAGGAGAAAGACAAGGCCTTGATTTGTGGTATCTGCCAATGTCAGCAATATAAATACTCTCCCTATGGCTAATTTCAAGGTACCAACTTAATGTGACTGAACTTAGAATTGGGAAGATTCACGTGCAGTTGACTCTCATGAGCCAATACAAATTGGCTCCAACACACCATCAGCATGACTATTTTTACTTGAGTTCCTACTTTAATGAAACCTGTTCTTCATGTCCTCTCGGATGCCCAAGACTCTCATCCTCTTCCCTAAAACAAAACCAGTTTTCAAAAAGACCTTGAAACTTAACTGCATTAAGGAATAGATGAGATATCACAACTTTAAATAGGCACCTTTCTTATAGGGCTTGCTAATTAAATAGAAATCAAACCTTGTATTAGTCTGCTCTCACACTGCTAATAAAGACATACCCAAGACTGGGTAATTTGTAAAGGAAACAGGTTTAATTGACTTACAGTTCCACATGGCTGGGGGAGCCTCACTATCATGGTGGAAGGCGAAGGAGGAGCAAAGTCACATCTTACATGGCAG
The DNA here is from genome assembly GCF_000001405.40 of Homo sapiens. Taxonomy (NCBI): domain Eukaryota; kingdom Metazoa; phylum Chordata; class Mammalia; order Primates; family Hominidae; genus Homo; species Homo sapiens. Next base: position 70,045,811 of record NC_000001.11, read on the forward strand.
CAGGCAAGATTGCTTGTGCAGGGGAACTCCCATTTATAAAACCATCAGATCTCATGAGACTTATTCATTACCATGAGAACAGTATGGAGGAAACTGCCCCCATGATTCAATTGTCTCCACCTGGCCCCACCCTTGACACATATGGATTATTACAATTCAAGGTGATAGTTGGATGGGAATACAGCCAAACCATATCAAACCTTTAAACTAAAAAAATTGAATTTCAAAATTCAGTGAACAAATTAAAGAGATCTTGGCATGATGGAAGCTATTGCCTGAACCCCCCTGAAGTTATATCATATGAAGATGCCCCTATTTGGCTTAATTTTTGGCCATATTTACTTATCAATCTGTATGACAATATAGATATATACAGTATCTGAAAATGCCAATACACTTGAAACAATGTTTCCTAACATCTAAATTACTCTCCAGATATAAATTAGATATCACTGTATTAGCATATTAATTTCCTGATGTCATTTGGGGTACCCTAGAGAATGGACTCACTATTACTGCGAGCTCTAAGAAGAAATAATACAGAGTTATATTTGGGGACTTTCAATAGTCCTCAGTTGAGCACAGAGATGACCAAAACGAATTCTCTTTGGAAGCTACATTAATTGCAAATCAAGAATCATTCAAGTATTGAAAGACTCCACCTCAAAATAAATTATCGTCAATATTTTATTATCTGCACCAAAAAAAGAAGAAAAGTAGAGAAGGCAAGGGAGGAAAAAGATACATAAGCAGGGCAAGTAATGCATTACTCCAAAAGATTTTATGATCCAAAACTTACCACTTTAAGTCCTATAAACTTTAAGCATTTAGGCATCTGGGACAGCTTTCCCACCCCATCACCAATGCAGGAACCTTATCAGGCACTGGATAGTTAATCAGCTGCAATAATAGCTCTGGGTTCTGCTTCCTCCCACGAATTCCAGTCTAAGCTTCTGTCCCTTCACTTTTGTACCCTGATACGTCTCTTGTACAGAGCTTTCATTTGAAAATTTGTTAGGTTTTTCTGCCACACTCTAGAGTCAAACTCTCTTTAAAATGCAGTCTCTCCAATTATTCCTCCTGGGCGCCACTGACCATTGCTAACAGGTCCCATGATTGAGGTTCAATTTCCCTGAACCCTTCTCCCCAGGAGAGGAGATAGGCAAAAATTACTTAACTTTGATTTAGAAATGCATAAAAATCTGTTATAACATGTTTATCTTTCTACTTAAGATAGTAAAAATTACCATCTCAGGTCCTTAAGACTTCTTTGCAGCCCCTAAATACTCATTAGCCATAAGAACTGTACTAAAATATAGGGTAAGACCAATTTTTAAACAAACATTTTCAGCAAATAAAATTGACATAAATGTTTCTTCTCCTGTGGAAATTCTGAAGCTGTCTCTTTTATTCATAAAATTATTGAATGATAATACTAGCTATCTCTAGTTAGATGCTGTGGCAAGTGACTCTGGGGTGTCCTAGAAAGAATGAAGGAAGTTTCCTAAGGAATCTGTTTTCACCTGTTAGAATTTAAGCACTGGAAATGGAGTTGTAGTATCCATTTGTGCAGGTGCTGCTCTCCGAAGGAAACATGTATCCCCACCCTCTCTGTTTGCCAAGGCTTGCCTCTTGCAACTAGGACAAAGAAGAAACTTTTTTATATTTCTTGTCCTGCACCAAGGCTGTCTTTAAACAAATTTGTAATAAACTAATTAAAGGATATAATTATTTGTGAATGAAGCTTGAAGAACTCTGCACTTGATAAACTATTTACATAGTGAATATTTATATGAACAAAAAGGGAGCACTCTTCAAGATTTTGCAATGTATTTTAAATATTTTTCATTTTTTCATATTTATTACATGTCAGATCAAGTATGGTATATTTTTCATGTATTACAAGCTAAATATAGGCTTTCTATACTATAAAGAGTAAATTACATCTTCTATAATTTTATAGAACTCTTTCAGATATTAAGAAAATGCCAACAAATATAACAAAATTAGTTTAATAAATTTAATTTCCTTAATATATTCATTTATTTAGATGCTTATGCTAATTTCCCAGAAAATTTAGTAATACTTAGGAACCAGAACATTTAGAACATATAAATCTTTTATTAAATTATAGAATTATTAGTATTTTCTATTGATTTTTTATTCATTCATTCAGTCATTCATTTATTCATCTATCATTTATTTACTGCCTTTCCAAAAAGCATATAAGGCAACTTTCTATGATGTTACTAATGGTTCCATGTGCTTCTTTGGATGTGTTTTATTTGTAATTAAGCTTAGCTATCGTCTTGAAATTTTATGTTGTCATAGAGAAATACAAATTGTAAAATGCTAGTTCAAACCAGCATTTTTAATATCAAAATTAATGGTAGAATGGATAGATATTTCCACTGGGAGAATAATAAAGACAAGGATTTATTGAGAATCTACTATGTACCTGGTGCTATGAGGTACTTTAACTATATTTTGTCTTGCAACTCATAAAACCCTCAAAGTACATATTTATCTCCATTGTATAGATGAGGAAACTGAGGCTCATGTGTTACACCAAAGAACTCACCTGTATTGTCACTGTTTCACTGTCATAACTCCTGCACTTAGCATAGTAGTAGGTAGAATTTAAATCTGCTTCTGCCTGGTGCCCACATACATACTCTTTCTACTCTATGATGATGCTTTCTCAAATGTTTGTAAAACCTAACATTTTCATAGAACATGACTCATAGGTTAAAAACCTCTTCCATACACATTATTACCTCACATCATCTTCAAAATAATCTAGAGAAGTAGATATTATAGGATGGAGAAAAGAATACACAAGTAGAATATATTAACTAATCCAAAACATATCATGACCCCAATCATGCCCTGTGTGCTACAGGTTAGTGCTTTCTTAGTTAGCTGAGTTTAATGAATGCCAGTAATTATCTTGTGCTTTTTCAGATCCACTTGCGTTTCCTGAGCACTCAGTATCACCAAGAATTATTTTTGGTAGCAGTGAAAGGCTTAAGGTTATGGATCCAAGAAAATAACTCATTAATCATCCAGGCTACTGCAGCCCTAGACACAAGCAGGGCTGGGGAGAAAATCATTGGCCTTTCCTATCCCCATGTCTGCAAGTGGCTGGCTGCTAATATAAATAGTGTGGTCTCTTCTATAATGGATAAATTGATAATTTTCTCTTGTTCATTTTTTAATTTCTACCACCATAACAGCATACCATAGCATCCACTGCTAGTTGGCTTATTGAATTAGGCATTAATATAAATTAATTATAATTTCAGGTGAGGGAAGGCTAAAATAGTAGAAATATATGTAATAAATTATCTTATCATAGAATTTTGCATGGAAGAAATTGGCCTCACTATCTGTTTTACTAAAGTTGATTGAAATTAGTTAGTTGATATTCATCCTACCAGATTTTGAGTTAGAGAAATTTAGATAGCAATATTTGCACCTAAACTATTTTTAAATGTCTAATGTCCTTTCTTTCTGGATATATGCAAATGACTCAGTATCAGATAGTACCAACATTTGGTATGCATTTATTCACCCTAGTGCCAAGACTTAGTGGCTTATTTAATGCAGTTTTTTTCTGCTGAAAGCAAAGCAAGATTTACGCTGCACCTCAGGGCAACTCATGCCTATAATTTCTATTGATTCTGCTGCATTTATTATTGGCTACCTGTCCCTCAAGAAAGATTCACTTACCTTTCTAATTATGAAAAAAGCTTTCAGCCTATAAATCCAAATAAATTCTTATAGACAGTGACTAAATTTACCAAAATAATAATTTAGTACTCATGTGGAATTTCGTTATAATGGAATTCTGGTTTAAAAATAACTTGGGCATTATATTACCACCTTCAGATTGAAGCCTATGAAATCACTGTCATTTAGATCCAGGCTTGGCATATTTTTACCTTTGTAATACCTATTTTTTCCAAAAGATAAGATGGAAATGAATAATATAACAATAATTTCACTGGAAAAACTTTGGGGGAGATTGTTTTTAACAATTTTTACTGCAGATTTTTGAATCTGTGGTAATGTCCTTTATGAACCATGTGCCAATTATTTAGCAAAAGAGATCCTTGTATTCTTAAGAGATATGCCCTGAGACCTTTGCAAATTGCCAAATTCTAATACCACTCTCATATAATTGTAATAATAAGTGTGATTTCACAAGCATACTGTACACCCATCAATTAGCAAAGCTGCTGTACCATCTAAGCTTATTTAACTCACTTATGTGACTACTGTGCACACACATGTTTATACACACATATATACATAAGAACACACATGCATGCACTTACTCATACAAATGTGCCGACATATATAGATATAGAGAAAGAGGCATACATATGCATGCACGTTTATGTCTCAGCAAAATTAGAAATTACTTGATCAAATAGACACTTGTGATCATTCATAGCAGTCAAAATTACGAATGTTAAATCCACAAATACCCACACTCATCTTTGGGCATAGCATTTGTTCCACAAGACTTCTACTCAGCATTATTGCATGTCTTATCAAATACAATTTCTGATTTTTCACTAAATCACACCAGCCATCTTCTGTATTATTTTGAAATATTTAAAGACCTGCAGAATTTAGAAGCTAAGGAAATAGTGCATTGTGATGATTTTCTGTGTTATTATATTTAGTTATATATGATGAGGAAAATAAAACTCATTCTTACTCCTTAAAATATCCAAAGAAAATATCAAGAATGTGGTGCAAAAAAATAATTGAATTAATAGCTGAACCTCAGTTCAATTATTTTCTCTGGAATATTAAATTTCAACAGTGATAGCTTCATTTTTTTAACATTTTTCAGTAGCTCCTTTTAGCCTTTAATAGAATTTTAACTGCTGAGCTACTCAATTTATATACAATAGCTATACTCCTTTGGGAAAGAATATGCACATGATTCTCTTTTTGGTCTGCACCACCACAACCACCACCATCACCAAATGTCAATAAATTGTTTTTAATGATCTTTCTATTTCTGCAGACTTAAGCCATCCCTAAGGTGTCTCATGCAAGAAAAACAAAAAGGCCAGAGTATTCTTAAAAGGAAATTGCTTTCAGGAATTTCCTTTAATTTTGCTACCTAGTGAAAGTATCTTTTTAATGTGTCTGCATGTTTATGTTCCTTTTGGCCCCTGTAATAGAGACTTGGTGTGATTGTTAATTCTAATTTTGAAAAGAACTAGATTAATTTATAAACTAGTGAAGCACCTACACCATTATATTAGGATTTTGACTAAAAGGATTTCACATTTTTTAACACCAAAAAGAATTTGTAATTCTCAGTTTCTCTGTAACTGGAAACATGTCTGGGTGGAGGAAATACAGATAGAGTTGGGGAGGATGTGGAGAAAAAGGAAACCTATGTTAAATTGTGGCCACTTCTTAAAAATCTACATTGCACAGACCTGGCCAAATGAACATACTAATTATCCCACTTCACTAGCAAACAAACTAAGTCAGAAAAGATAAATACTAAAAATTCAAAAAGAAAACCCTGGCCAGTAATGCTTAACCTGAATAATTATGTTTTAACTCTTAATTTTAATTTTTATTTACCATATTTTAATATCTAGAAAAAATTGTGTATGGGCATATGTAAACATATTAATCTGGAAAAGGTAAACACTAGAAAAGTGATGCTGGAAAACAGACAGTCGTTGAATAGCTACCTGCTAATTTTGAAGTAACACATACTTTAAACATGTTGTCTAGATTGAATTTTTCAAATAAACACACACCAATTCATTCCTAACTCAGGAGCTTAAATTCAGTACCTTTTTTCTCTTTTTTTTTTCATACTTTTTGATAGGCTTATGAAAAAAGAATTCACATAACCAAAGAACAAGAAGAAAACTGAGTTAATTTTCATTATATCCATTAGATCCTAGGAAGACTTCATCTAGTGTCATATTAAATCCTATTTTAGAATTTTTCCAAGCAATGCCTTTAAAAAAATGCTTGTGGTTAGAATGCAGGTAAGGAGGTTCTATCATTGTTTTTCAGAAGAGAACAAACTAAGACCACTCAATATAACCAGATAAAGCTTAGCAAACGCCCATTTTTAACATGTTTTGATGAGAATAGCCCAGTTCTCCCTTTCTAGGTAGGGTAGGAGGACAATTCCTTACACAAAATATAGCTGCACACTCTCTAGCTGGGCTTTATCAGTAGGGATCCTTTAGAACATGTGCAGAAAATGGCATAGGAAACACTGGAGTATAATAGCTCAACCACAGAAGAATTCCCTCAGGAAACCAAGCAGTACTTGTGTATCTTACACACTAGGGAAGAAAGGAGCCTTTGTGAAAATATATGTAAATATACCATTGTACATCCCTCCACTGGAGGCTTTCTGATGGTATGTGATTGCTTGCTATTACTAAGGTTAGAATATGAAATTCACCCAAAATAAAGACAGGCAGGTATTAGTATTTGTTAAAAATAATAAGCATGAAATCAGCCAAAATAAAATATTTATGACGAGTTTAAATTTTAATATATATCATTTATATAAATAAATAAATTTGGTAATCAAAACAGTCATGATTTACTTACACTACGATTCTAATAGCACATTTTTAATAGCATATTTTTGATGTCCCCCCAAAGCTATTTGTTGATAACGCCATAGTACCATAAATCTTGCACTATGCCAGTGTTAGCACTATTTGGGTTTAGTGCAAGGCATATTCTCCCAGAATCAATACAACCTTATAAAATTTATTTTAGGTTATGGCTTAGAATATTAGAACTTATATTCTATGTATTGTATGGTTTCAATTTCTATTCTAAATGGTGAGATTATACTAAAATTAAGCAAGTTTTAAGTGCTGTGTTTTTAATAATTGTAACAATTGGTTAATTTTATTCTGATTATTTTTATTCAGGTACTGTAAATAATCTAAATTTTTCCTTAAAATTCAGTGAACAACTCTAAGATGGTTATTTTAATTGCATTTTTCATTGCTTCCAAAAAGCTTTCAATTTACAGTTCTTACCCAGTAAATAGTATATAATATTTGCAGTTCAGGATGTATGTTTTTCTGCAATTAAACAAAATTAATTTTACCATGATCATTAGGGACTCTTTTCAGAAAACTATGGTAAACTTCTACTACATCACTAAAGAATGCCATACCATTTTTGCAATAGACCCCGTCCCAGCAAAGCAACATTTTAGACAATGGACAAGAAGATGTATCTCCTAGTGGCCAATGGAATCCTTATCCACTTGGGAGGCGGGATGTACCTCCGGACACCATTACTAAGAAGGTAACCAATTTTTAATTAACAAGACAAACCATGAACCTTGCACAATCTACTGCAATATATAATAAATATTTTGTGTCTTATCATAATTTCTAAGTTTGTGATAACTTTAAGGTAAATATTATGCTACTACACGAGTTTGGTTGACTGTAAGTACATTGAAATGAATGGAAAATAAACACTGCCAACTGTTCAAAGTTGGTAATGAATGTTTACAAACAACATCCTGCAACCTCTCTACAGATACTCTTACCTCTTACCACCCACCTTTGAAAGGCACATATAGAATGATATGTGACATACTTCCGACTCTCTTGGCTTTAACAGTGTGTTGTAACCAGTTTGCTTAAAAGAAAATTTGATTCACTATTTCTAAAGTTATGACAATTGATTCAGCAAACAGTGAACAACTATATGTACATTGCTATGTGTGGAGCACTTGCTAGATATTGAGGAAACAAAAATGAAAAAGACAGTTTCTTACTTCAAGAGCCTTTTTATCTAGTAAGGTGTGCTGAGTGATAAGTAGGTAATTATAATATTACATAACAGATCCCCACAACAGGAGTAAAAAGAAAGCCACAACTTGGGATAAGATACTTGCCACATATATGAGAGAAGGGAGAATTTGTATTCTAAAATATATTTTTTAAAGCTCTTACAAATCAGTAATGAAGACATACAACACAGTTTTTTAAACTGGTAAAATACAAGGGGAATCAGGTGGGTAAATAAATACTAAAACAAAACTGAACCTTTTTATCAATCAGGGAAATGCAAAAGATATGCCATTTACATTTACTAGACTGGCAAAAATTAAGAAATCTGAAAAATACAAGTCGTTTGTAGGTATAAGAGCAATGGAAACTCTTTTAGACTTCTTATTGGAATATGAAACATTATCACTTTGGTAACAAATTTTCCTGCAAAGCTGAATATGCACATACTCGACATTCCATCAATTCTCCTCTTAAGGTATTAAACTAGAAAAATTATCATACATGTCATTCAGGGTACTTGAAATGTTTCCAATACCAGAAAACTGGGAAAAGCCAAATGTTTACCACCAGGAGAGTATGTAAATAAATTCTGTTAATTACACAAAGGAATATTTCAAAGCAATAAAAATTAGTAAACTATAATTACAATAATGTGTATTAACTTTAGAAACATAATTTGAATGGAAGAAAAAGTTTCTGGAAATGGCATACATATGTAATACCATGTTTACAAATCCCAAAACAAGCAAAACTCAAAATATATTATTTAAGCATAAGTACATAAGAAACCTATTGTTATAAGTAAATGGTAAATGTAGTATTCAGAATTGTGGTTATCTCTAAAGGTAAAGTAGGGGATGGAATCAGGGAGAAAGTGGATATTATTGCTGGAACTGTTCTAATTCTGAAATTGAATTATGGTTCTTTACACTCTACTTTTTTTTTTTTTTTTTTTTTTTTTTTTTTTGAGACGGAGTCTTGCTCTGTCGCCTAGGCTGGAGCGCAGTGGCGCGATCTCTGCTCACTTGCTCACTGCAATCTCCACCTCCCAGGTTCACGCCATTCTCCTGCCTCAGCCTCCCGAGTAGCTGGGACTACAGGGGCCTGCCACCATGCCTGGCCAATTTTTAGTAGAGACAGGGTTTCACCGTGTTAGCCAGGATGGTGTAGATCTCCTGACCTCCTGATCCACCCGCCTCAGCCTCCCAAAGTGCTGGGTTTACAGGCATGAACCACCGCTCCCGGCCTACACTCTACTTTCTAAGCTCATGAGTGTTCATTTTATAATTGTGCTTTGTAACCTACATATGTATTACATACTTACACTCTTTGTTACTTAAGTGATTTTTCTCTTGATGACCACTTCAATACTTCAAAAATGCATTAAATATCAAATTTTATTTTATCCAAAATATTTGGTAATGCCACTGATTTACAGGCATTTATTTTATGCATGTTATTAATTTGACTATTGGGTAATATTCAGCACCACAGGTAAATATAATATGATGTGGTTAATGCTAAGATGGGATACAGGGCTATGACAGTACCTGGAAAGGGCACCTGTTTAGCGAGGAAACTAAGAGCAGTGGTGTCAAATAAGACTAGAGGGATAAGCAGAAGCCGGATCATGCTGGGATTTATCCTGTGGGAAATGAGAAGGGGAATATAAAGTATTTTAAACAGAGAAAGGACATGATCAAGTTTTTATTTAAAGAGCACTCTGACAGCTTTTCAGAGAATGAATTAGTGAGGAGAAAGACTGGACGCAATGGAACTAGTTAGGAAGATTCTATAGTAATTCAGGTGAAAGTCAATGGAAACAATGGGTGGTGGAAAGATATGCTGTATTAGTCCATTCTCACATTGCTATAAAGAACTACCTGAGACTGGGTAATTTATAGAGAAAAGAGGTTTAATTGACTCACAGTTCCTCAGGCTGTATAGGAGGTATAGCTAGGAAGGCCTCAGGAAACTTACAATCATTGTGGAAGCAAAGGGGAAGCAAGCATGTCTTCACGTGATGGTAGGACAGAAAGTGAGAAGGGGGAAGTGCTATATACCTTTAAACAACCAGATCTCATAAGAACCCCATCACAAGAACAGCAAGAGGAAAATCCACTCCCGTGATTCAAACACCTCCCACTAGGTCCCTCCTTCAACACTTGGGGATTACAATTCAACATGACATTTGGGTAGGGACACAGAGCCAAACCATAACAAATTCATAGATCCAATATCATGATAAATATTAGAACCAAAACAATCTTGTGATTGGACATAGGGCATAGAGATAGATAAAAGTTCCAAGGTTGATACCCAAGCTTCTAATGTGGTCAAGTGAGTGATGATGTTCCATTCACTAAGATGGGAAATACAGAAAGAGTAATAGGTGGAATTGGAGGAAGAGAGAAGAGTTTAGGTTTTTACATGTTGATTTGAGGTAGCTTTAAGGCATCCGAGTGGAAATGTGCAGTGGATGTTTGGATATATTTATCCTAAGTTCAGTAGAGAAAACTTAGCTGGAGATTCAAATTTAGGAATCATTAGAACATGTATTATTGAGCCATGAGTGAGGTAGAAGGATGGCCCAGAACTCCATGGAACAGAACTCCATGGAACACCAACATTTAAGACATGTACAGTACATAGGAAGAATAGGCAGAAAAGAAATAATCAAAGATTAGATCAATACAGCGATTTTACTGCAAGCTGTAGAAAATTCAAGGGAAACGTTGAACTTCAAGGAAATACTTCACTAAACATAAGAAGTAGTTGAGATTTATACTATGCCTCAACTTTAGTACTTGGTTCTCTCTTATTAAATACTTAGCGTTTTATTTTCCCATTCCACTCTGCCCTCACGCTGTTGGCTCTATCCTAAAACTGGTTTCTCTCATAATTATAAGATTACTACCAATGGCGATTGGTAATATGAACTTCCTCTTTCAAATCCAGCAAGAGAGAGAAGTAAGCTTCTATTGTAGCTCTCTCTTATGTGCAAAACCTTTCTTCCCTGAGTCTTTCAACAAGCCTCATCTTACATCTCATTGACCCAAAAGAGCTAAGGACTTCCCATCCTAGAAAAAGAAACGGAGTTATATGACTGGCTTTGTCTGATCAGTTGGCGTAGAGTAGACAGGGCTCTCAATTTCAATTATGCAAGAAACATGTAAAGGAAAAACAAGGGAAAGTAACACTTTGGAAATAGTGAGGGAAAAATGTTTTAAGGAGGGAACGGTCAACTGTCAAATGATGCACAGAAACGTCAAGCAAGATAAGTATGACTAAAGGCTCCTTGGATTTAGCAACAAGGAGGTCATTGGTGATCTCAGCAAAAGCAATTTGCTTAAATGTTGGGGGGGGAATCCATAGGAATCTGCATTAAGGGGTAAGTAAAGAAACCTGTAAAACTCAAGAAAGAAGTAATGTACTAAATGTACCATGTCTTCTTCCTACTATTATGATAAGCAGGTTCTGATTATCCCATATTATAGCAATTTTGCCTAAAATCCGAGATTTCTGAACCTATAAATAGATATGTCCACCTATCACCTCTCAGAGTAGAGAGAATAAGGACCACTTTAAATATTCAAATTTAGTTTTTGTTATATATTATATATTAGTTGAATAGTCAAGTTAATATTCAGTGAGACTCAACCTAAGGAAAGAAAAATGGTCATGGGAGTATTAGCCTGGGCTGCAAAATTTACTGAAATAGATGCGATAATTATACTATTAGTTATTGGGTTTCTATTTGATTCTACAATGACATTTTTAAAAGTTAATATTATTTTTGCAGTTGTCACGGAGTGAGCAGTTAGGCTAGACATAATGGGAATGGAAAGATAGAAAGTGAACTATAAATTGAATGGGGAATCAAAGGAGAATAAGTGGTGAAGAATTCTTAGCCAGTGTCCAATTTGAGTCTATTTCTCCAAGCCTCTGTAGATTTTTTTTTTTTAATCTTGTCTCTCTAACTAAGCCATCAGAAACCACAGTAATGCTGTAGGGATTTGGAGGGAAATTATGGAAAGTCTTTGACTGAACTTGTGGCTCTCTGTTCTGGCTATCATAGATTTTTGGTTACTCATGGCCATGCCAGCCAGTACTTCAAGCACTATAGAGAACAAATGTGGGTGTCTTCCAAGCTGTGGATCCAAAACCTTAGACACATAAAGTAATTGGACAAGAAGTGTTTATTTCTCAGAATTTTGCTCCTGTATCTATTGTCCCTGTCCTGTGCACCTGAGAGTGGCAAAGTGATGGAAAAATGCCAAGAGTGTTAAATGCTGTCTTTTTTTTTTTAAGGGAGTAAAAGTAGGTGGTAGATTTTATTTCTCTCTTGCTATGCAGTCCCAGACTCACAATTTTTTTTTTTTTTTTTGGCAGAGTCTTGCTCTGTCACCCAGGCTGGAGTGCAATGGTGTGATCTCGGCTCATTGCAGCCTCCCCATCCTGGGTTCAAGTGATTCGCGCGCCTCACCCTCCCAAGTAGCTGGGATTGCAGGCATTCACCACCACGCCTGGCTAATTTTTGTATTTTTAGTAGAGACAGGATTTTGCCATGTTGGCCAGCCTAGTCTGAAACTCCTGACCTCAAGTGATCTGCCCACCTCAGCTTCCCAAAGTGCTGGGATTATAGGCGAGAGCCACTGTGCCCGGCCCAAAATCTCAAATTTTGATGTCTATTAGTATTAAAAGTTTAGGATTCACTGCTAGAAGAACATTTTATAGCTATGTAAATCTGACACCCCAAAATTCCAGGCAGTATTATATGAATACTTTAAGAACTGCTGTTTAAAACTTTTGCAATTGCTGAAAACAACCATGGTTTCAGAAGGAGAATTTGTATTTTAGAGTCTAATTACATCACTTCTGTTACTCCTACAGTCTATCGGATTATGCCACAGTCACTATAGTCAGAATATTTGGTTTCATGTATTAAATCTTTACATAAGGCATTGTGTTAAATGCTTTAATGTATTTCTTTATCTAACTTTCACAGCAACTATATGAAGTAAGCACTATTATTTTGTTAAAGAAGAAACTCATACTCAGAGGTTAGGTTACTTGCCAAGCTCACCTGGGTAACTTATCATTTTATATTTCCCTCCTATATGTAACAGAAAATAATATGAAGGTGATACTATAAAAGATAAATGCAAAAACATGTTATTTTAAATTCAGACATTGCACTCTGATTTGGTCAAATCCTCTATAGGGATGACAAGGCTGTTTTGCCCTAATTCTAAAATGATACTCTTTTAAAAGTATTAGGAGTCTTAAACACATTGAATATCCATAAAATGTTAAATTAAAGGATAATATCTGCAAGAGTATGTTAGAATGATGGAGCAGAAAAACATTGCAGCCAAAAGGCTACAGTGACATATTAAAACCAATGAAACCAAACACTTCGCTTCTGGAATGGATAACCAAGAAACTATAAAATCCTAGCATTTTAAAATCTGAAAATTCTTTAGTAACAAAAGACTAGGCATTCAAAGGTCTCCTTTAGCATCAGTGACTCTTTCCACCCTGAGTGTCTGTTCCCTCCCTGAGTGTTCTAGGTTAAGTGCATAATGACTTGGCAGTTGGAGTAATAAAGATGGATAACAAGGGTCAATATCAGGATGGACACAGAGGAAGAGGAAGGCTTTAAAAATTTGCTGATTAGTTTTGGCTCACAAACTTACCTCTTATGCTGAACTTGCCTGTGATTTTCTCACATCTACAATATCAGTTCAGCTATTAAGCACTTCAGGATTGCCAGGATTGTCATCTCTGAGACATGCCTAGGAATTTATCAGAAGAAGAAACTAGAAGAAAGTGTGTGTGTGTGTGTGTGTGTGTGTGTGTGTGTGTGTGTGTGGTCATTTTCAAGTTCTTATTATTCTTCCTTTACCCCACCCCCACCCCAACCCCAAATTGTCATTTTTGCTTTTTCTAAAATACTTTTTTAAAGATTTTTTTATTAAGTTTCTCAGGAGGAATATTCATTTCTTATTTCAATTATGGCATTTGTCATGTTTTTTAATGTAATACATTTCAATGCTTCTTTCTATAAAAATTTAGAAAGGTAAGATCTAAAATATCTTTTGAAAATCATAAATTGTTTTTCTGTCAACCATATGGCCAAATCATCATTTGTGCTTTAAAATAACTGGATCAAATTCCTACTGGGATTTTACTTGGTAATATAAGTCAGTCTATTATAAAAACTTTTCAGAAGATCAGAGTAAACCAATGTCATTTAAAATAAGTACAACTTATTTAAAAGATATTTAAAAGTACAACTTAAGAAAAATCACCTCAACCTATATATCTAGAAATTTAAATAAATACATTTTATTATTTTATAAATATCTAAAATAGATAATTATGTCCAGTTGTGGTGGCTCACACCTGTATTCCCAGCACTTAGCACTTTGGGAGGCCGAGGCAAGCGGATCACTTGAGGCCAGGAGTTTGAGACCAGCCTGGCCAACAAGGCAAAACCCTGTCTCTACTTTAAAAATGTCAAAAAAAATTAGCCAGGTGTGGTGGTGTGCGTCTGTAGTCCCAGCTACTGGGGAGGATGAGGCATGAGAATCACTTGAACCCAGTAAGTGGAGGTTGCAGTGAGCAGAGATCATGCCACTGCACTCCAGCCTAGGTGACAAGAGCAAAACTCCAACCCCACCCCCCCAAAAAAAAATCATTAAATTACAGTCACTGAAAAGTAAATTTATTGAAATTGTTTTCCACTGAAAAGAAATATTGCTATCAGTACTCTGTGTATGTAGAACTGGAATAAAAGTAACTATAATTTTTGGTTTTGTAATTTAACTGAGAATAGGCATTGTGCTGTTGAGGTCCCTTATGTCAAAAGGTTGGGGTGAATGTAGCTTATTTAAATAGAAATAGAAGAAAGTCTGAAATAGATGAGAGAGAGAGATGAGGATTTAAATATTGGAAAAAAATAGATGGCAGAAAGTAGAGTAGATCATGAGGCTGTAAGCAAGCAAGTCAAGATGTGGAAGAAGCAGATATGAAAATCAACCAGGTAAATATTACATATAAGAGATGCGGAAATAGAATTGTTTCTTATTTCCGTTAACCTCAAAGTCAAGAATATCTGTTCTGGTTTAGAGTAAAATTGAAATTGAAAAATGATTCTAAAACCTGAGTGATTGTCAATGCTGTAACTAAATTCTCCTTTTGTACAGAAGCAAATATATCAAGTAGAATTGTTTTTTGCCTTAGGCTTTGTATTTTTTCCCTCCCAAAGAAATGCATGTTGTTAACAGTGAAGAACCCCCAGGAGTTATGTCTTTACTTCATTGGTCCATAAGCAAATGAGAACAATCTTCTCCATCACTGGGAGTAATACCAGTCTCAATCATCACTTCTCTTTCCTGGTTCTCTTTCCCAAGCCTCATAAGCAAATGAGAACAATCTTCTCCATCACTGGGAGTAATTAATACCAGTCTCAATCATCACTTCTCTTTCCTGGTTCTCTTTCCCAAGCCTCATTTTTCTCCTCCGAGAGTAGCAAAGTTTTCACTGATCAGAGTTA
Organism: Homo sapiens; assembly: GCF_000001405.40. NCBI lineage: Eukaryota > Metazoa > Chordata > Mammalia > Primates > Hominidae > Homo > Homo sapiens. Next base: position 70,061,204 of record NC_000001.11, read on the forward strand.
ATGTTGTTTCTGGTAGACTAGGCAGTCCCTAAAACTCAGAAACAAATTGGAGTTCCTTTCAGAGAGTCATTCTCAATTCCAAACAGCTTTCTAAATGCTAGGAAAAGGGATCTTTTGAGTCATTAGATAGATGGAGATTCTCTGTTTCCCTCATCTTGTTCCCCTACCCTCCTTTTGGTGGTGTCACTTAGAACTTTGTGTCAAGCAGTATAAAGGCTGCATTGGTTTCTGTGGTAACAGCATATTATGCTGAGGCTGCTGAGGAAAAGTAGCTTCAAGAGACAGCAGCCAAATGCATTCACTGTCAGTAAGCTCTGCCCAGAAACAAGAAATGAGTTCAGTGAAAGGCCAGATTGATTAAATCATATAATTATAATTTTTAATTTAAAAAATGTTTGGCACAATCTGTAGCCCCTGGAGAGACATTTCTTAAACAGAAATTATGCAGTTTTTCTCTTGACCAAAAGCCATTTTTTTCAGGACATAAAAAAGTGGAAAAGTAGGAAGATATCAAATGTGTCCAAATAAAAAGAGCCTTCATCTCCAGTGAGACTTTGAAAATTACCTCTAGATCTACGGAAATGCAACCATACTTTCCTTGGAGTTTTGGTATCTACTAGAAATAACCTAGAACTGAATTATTTGTGTGACTAATAAGTACCTACTCTTTAATTTCACCTCTGGTTGAAAAGGAACTTTTAAATAGTAGTTACAATCATGCCGGTCACCTGAGAGGCAGTCAACCACTGTCACACAAACATCCTCCAAGTTAGGACAGGTTAGGAGAAGGAGAGGTAGGTAGATGAAAATTATACCTTATAGAACTTTTGATTAGTGGTCATTTACTGACAACATTGTCAGGCACCTACCAAACACCAATAGGAGGCTTTTGAGATTTCTGATGCTTATATTTAGTGATATATTAGTGATATATTAAGACACCCCTTTACTTTCCCTGCCTATCAAATCTATGCCTGTATCCCTACTAAACTTGTTTTGGTATGGTCTTTATGGCAGTAACATTAGTTATTGCTCTGGAACAGAATAAAAATGCACTGTTGAGGTTGTAAAAATTGTATTGTGCAGAACAATCCAAAGAACAATTATATGAATATCTGCAGGCTCAAATCAAGTTGCACTCCTTTTACGTAACTTTGCCAGTAATCTTATTCAGGTGAATTCCATATACTCTTTTAAAACATATGCTAATTTATATATTATCATATTATTTTTTTCCAGAAAATCAATAGAGCCATGCCTTTTGCTATACTTGGGAAAATAAGACTAAATACGTCCAATTACAGTTACTGTCCCCCTAACTGCAAATTATTGATATAAGATAGAGATGGTATATACATATGTAGACTTGCTTGTTAAGAATTATCAGCCAATGCCAAATAAACCAAAGTACATGACCTGGAGGAAATCAAAAATTCCATGGAAATAAGACCTTTCAGAGGCAGCTCCATGACTTAGTAATAGAAGCTGAATCAGGAAAAAGGGTTTGAAAAAATCAATGAAATAATTTATTTAATGATCCATTTCAAATATGTATTTTGTTAATCTGAAGAGCTAGGATAATATATTTCTAATTGATTGATTTTAGTATTATTTAATTCATAGGTGTTTTTAAAGCTTACTCTATTTCTATTGTTATTAGATTTGTTCTCAGAAATAATGGGGATAGGAGGTTGTGAAAATGTGAATGGAAAAAAAATCTCTAACCTAAAGCAAAAATGACAGCTGAATAAAATATTGTTTAATTTACAGTCACTTTTGTATTGGATTTTTCTTAAGACAACATTATTCTTTAACTCACAAAGCATACCTTTATTTCCTAATACCAGTACAACAATACAACTGTCTGCAGTATTGAAGGACATCACTGTCACAAAATCGGGGATTGTCCTCATCCAGTCTCACTCTAAATTATTTCCTTAATAAAAGTGTAAAGCCAAAAATGTCTGTCAAAAAGCTATCAAGTCAGAGGTAGAAAATAAATTTGCCACAGATTAAGCAATAGGAAAACGGGCAGATTAAAGTACTTACTCCATCAATATTTGACATAGATGTTCCTTAAAACAAATGACTGTTCTTCAGAAAATTGAGATAACTCAATAGCATTTATATTGTCTTTGTTTGGGGAGAAATCTAAAAGCAAAAATGCAGAATTAATCCAATGCCATAAAAATGTTCCGGGTTGAATATGTGATGAGAAGTGATGATTGAGACTGGTATTACTCCCAGTGATGGAGAAGATTGTTCTCATTTGCTTATGGACCAATGAAGTAAAGACATAACTCCTGGGGGTTCTTCACTGTTAACTTGAAGTTCTACATAACATGACAGCTGGCAGAGATCAAGGATAGTTGCCAGATAGAGATGTCAAAATGATAAGATTCCATTTCTTGCCACTTGATCTTTGTCTGACTTACTCTACTAGCTGTAGGTTCTTAGAAATCTTAAGGGTGAAATAAATTGTTGTCAAACTTTTATCGTTACTCTTAACATCTTCCATTTTGGGAATATATGTCAGCATCATCACAAAACAAACCATAGGTTGAAAAGTGTAGACTCATCCTCAGTTTCATCATTCTGCTATTAAGGATACTCCATCGTTTTTTAATTTTGGCTAATAATTTCCTAAATCCATAGCTATGTTTTGTTGGTTGACATTTAATCATAGGAGAATGTACTTATAGAGATTCAATATGCCAGAGATGACTGCCTTTGTATATCAGCCAGCTGCTATGCTAAGACACTTACACTGAAGTGAAAGGTTCTACCACCTCACTTTTTATGTGTCATTGGAGACACTGAAGTATATTACCAGTATCTGACTCCAAAAAATTCAAGGTCAGCAAATATTTTGAATGCCCTCTAAAATTACTGCAGTGTGCCACCAGAATGAAATGTCACCAAAACCCCAGGACAGGAGAAGGAACATCTTCCTGCCCCCTTTATTTTTAGCTGCAGAGCTTCCTTCCATATATTTGTGCAAGTTTGTCTTCTGACACTGAAATGGGAGAACATAGATTTTGGCATCAAGCTGGCCTAAATACAAATAAAACAGGATGAAAAGGTTCAGCTTAATAGGTTGTTATAATCAGAAAAAGAATATCTACAGTACATACAGTAGGCACTGTACTAAGATGCTTACCTTGCAAAACACTCTCATATCATCTTCACAACTTTATGGGACCAGGAGTTAGAGGTATGAAATTGAGCGATACAGGATTGGAATCCAGTGTTGTCTGGGTATACAGCCTACTCTACCCACTAATTATTCCCCTCATATATTTTATCACACACACCCCTCCCAACAAAAAAAATCAGAAAACATTATAGCATAGCCCATTGCACTGTTAAATAACCTCAACACCAGGAATATATTTGATATATATATAGCTAGTACTTTTTGGCACTGCTTGGTATTTTGTTGTTGTTGTTGTTGTTGTTGTTGTTGTTACATTTTCAAAAGAGAGAAACTCATGCACTAGTCACATTTTTTAAAGAATTTTTTAGTCCTCTTCAATTTGTTTTTATTGGTCTATGCAAATCAAAATTTTTAGAGATTTTGAAATGCATCTGTTTTCCAAACCTTCATGTTCTTTAATATGAAACATTTACAAGTTCTTTAGTGACCTTTGTGAATCTCAGAACAAAAAGAATTAGGAGCACTAAGCACAACTTAAACTTTAAAAGTTCTCTTAAGCACTAGAGGCCTTTTCTTCATATTGAATTTAGTTCATTTTGTTAATTTTGTTTCTCAATAACATAGTACATCAAACTTCTTGAGTATATTCTCTGCAATTTCTGTTAACCCTTCTTGGTTGATGCTGTCACCGTTTTCCACAAAATAACCTGAGTCCTGTCACCAAAACTACCTGTGAAAATGATACAACTGCACTGAATATTGACACGTCCAGCAAAATGATAATTACACTAATACAGGGTACCTTGCATAGGTGATACACTAAACTATGTAGTAAACTGTAATACGAAAAAAACTCAGCTTTTCTTTTAGTTCTTACTAAGATCTTGTCTTTTGTTTCCTTTTAAGCAAAAGTTCAGGAGAAATGTTCACCTTAACTTTGTCTTTATTGGCCCTTGAGCATATTAAACTTTGCTTCTCAGTTTTCCCATCTAAGAGGAAAGGATGATGATGCTTATCTTATAGAGTGGCTTTGAAAATTAACCATGATTATGATGTAAAATACTTATCACAGTGCCTGTTATGTAAGTGTTTAATTAATGGTAGCTATCATAATATTTATTATTTTGGATAAAAATCTATGTGAATTATGGATAAGCTAACTTTCATTTAGCTTTGTTCCTAACAATAGGTTGTTAATGAGACCAAAGTCATGAGTTAGCATCTCTTTGAATTAGTTATCCATGAATACAGACTCCTCTCTTTACCTAGATGGTTGTATTAAAAACATATACAATGATGGGGATGGAAATATCTAGGGGTGAAAAAACAAAGATGAATCACAGCAACCTAAAATATTAGTCATGTTAATAGTGCAGAGTAAGTAGTATCATCTTGACTTATGGCAGAATGTATTTAGTCCGTTATTGTATATTCTGTCCCCATCCATAAAAGAGGCCACATCTCAACATCTGAAACAAAATGCATAATTTACTGCTTGCATACAAATAACTTGCAAGGTACAACCACTCTGAGCTAAATAGGATTTGAAGAAGCAAGGAGTTGAGTGACTGGTGGATGTTCAGAAGTTAGAATATTTAGGAGTTAGTTGGCAAAACTTTCATTGGGAGAAGCATGGTTACTTGACTCAGACTGTTGCTGACTGGTTGACCTTCAAGTGCAGTTTCTAAAGCAAGTTGTTACTGATTGATTACAACAGGTTTAAAATCATTTTTTTCCAGTGGTTATTTATTGCTATGGCCAGACAGTTAGACCTTCACTCTGCAGATAGGAACTTTTGTTCTCATTGCCATTAGAGTGCTATATCTCCAGCAATACACTCAGTGTATTGCATTATCTTCTTTAATCTTCACCACTTTCTCTTAAGCACTAATTATTATATCTGCATTTTCATCTGATAAGCAGAAATCTTAGGTACCTTGCATAAGATTGCATAACTAAAAAGTGACAAAGCAAGGAATAAAACTCAGGTTCATTTGACTCCAAAGACTATGTTATCTGTACTGCATGTATAATTATTTTTTAATTAACTCCTGGCATTTCTATAACCCCCTTCATTTATTTAATTTTGCCATTTCAAGAATGCTATGTAAATAGGGTCTGTATGTATGTAACCTTTTGGGATTGGCTTTTCCAGCATACTTCTCTGGAGATTCATTCAGGTGTTGTATGTATCAATAGTTCTTTCCTTTTTATTGCTGCATAGTATTCCATAGTATGGATATATCACAGTTCGTTTATCATTTACCTATGGAAGGATATCTGGGTTATTTTCCATCTATGGCTACTATGAAGAAAATTGCTATAAACATCTGTGCGCACCTTTTTGTGTGAACCTAAGTCTTCATAAGTCTCTGGGATGAATGTCCAGGAATACAACTGCTGGATCATATGGTACTTGCATGTTCAATTTGTAAAGAAACTACCAAACATTTTTCCAGAGTGGCTCTACCATTTGACATTGCCAGCAGCAATATGTGAGTAATTTAGTTTTTCTTCATCATCTCCTGCATTTGGTGTTGGCACTGTGTTTTGTCTTAGTCATTCTGTTAGGTGTGTAGTGATATATACACTTACTGAAAATTAACTCAGATTATGAGGTGAATTATGCAAACATTGTGGTTTTAATTTCAATTTCCATAATGACTAATAACGTTGAACATCTTTTTATGTACTTATTTGCCTCCATCTGTATATCCTCTTTGGTAAAATGTCTCTTCGCATCTTTTGCCCATGTTCTAAATGGATTGTTTAGCTTTTTACCATTGAGCTTGAGAGTTGAGAGTTCTTTATATATTCTAGGTACTATCCTCTATCAGATACATGATTTACAAACATTTTCTCCAACTCTGTAGCTTGACTTTTTTTTCATTCTTTTAGCATTTAACATTTAAGTCTGTGATCTATTTTGAGTTAATTTTGATATAAGATTTGAGACATAAGTCAAAGTTCATTTATTGTGCTTGTGGATGTCAAACTGGGCCAGCACCATCTGTTGCAAAGATTCTTTCCTACATTAAATTGCATTTGCATCTTTGTCTCAAATCATTTGGACATATTTTTGTCAATCTATTTATCAGTTCTCTGCTCTATTTCATTAGTCTATGTGTCTATCCCTCTGCAAATACAGTAACACATGGTCTTTCTTGATTACAACTCTAATAAACTTCAAATCAGATAGACTGATTCCTCTCACTCTATACTTCTTTTCCAAACTTGTTTTAGCTATTCTAGATTCATTGTCTTTCTGAATTTTAGGATAATCATATGTATTTAGAGATAAATCTTGCTAGAATTTTGATAAGAATTAAACTGGTATATCAATTTGGAGAGGATCTTTACTTTTTAAGTCTTTCATTCCATAAGTATAGTCTGTCTCTCCACTTATTTAAATCTTCTTGGATATCTTCATCAGCATGTAAGTATAGTTTTCAGCTTATAAGTTTTATACAAGCTTTGCTTAATTTGTACCTAAGTATTGCATTTTTTGAATGATTATACATGGTATTGCATTTTAAATTTTGGTGTCCATGTGTTCATTGCTAGCATACATAAATACACTTGATTTGTGTATGTTTATCTTGTATCCCATGACCTTGCTAAACTCACTCATTAGTTTTAGATTTTTTGGTTGTTGATTCTTTTGAATTTTCTATCTAGACAGTGTCATCGTAAATAAGAACAGCTTCTTTTTTCTTTTCAATCTTCATGCATTTTACTTCCTTTTCTTCCATTATTTCACTGACTACAACTTTCAGCACTATGCTGAATAAGAGTAGTGAGAGTGTACATTTACGTCTGCTCCTGATCTTAGTGGTAAAGCATTTGGTTTTTTCCCATTAAGTATATTAGCTATACATTTTTGTAGATGTTCTTTATTGAGTAGAGGAAGTTTCCCTCTATTCCTATTTCTCTGAACACTTTCATCATGAATGGATGTTGAATTTTGTCAAATACTTCTTCTGCTTCCATTGATATGATCACGATTTTTCTTCTGTAGCCCATTCATATGGTGCATTACACTGATTGATTTTCAAATATTGAACAAGCTTTGTATCACTAGAATAAACATCTCTTGGTCATGGTATATCATTCTTTTTATATATTGCTAAATTTTCATTGCCAATATTTTATTAAGGATTTGTGCATCTATATTCATGATGGATATTGGTTTATAGTGGTTTTTTTCTTCCCTACTTCCTTCCTCTGTTTCTTTCTTCCTTTATTTGTTTGTTTTGTTTTTTTATTTTTTTGGTATCAGGGTAATATTCGTTTCATAAAATAAAGAAGTATTCTCTCTTCTGTTTTCTGAAAGCGATTGTGTAGAATTGGTATGAATTTTTCTTTTTTCTTTTTTTGAAACAGTCTCATTCTGTTGCCTAGGCAGGATTGCAGTAGTACAATCATAGCTCACTGTACCCTTGAACTCCTGGGCTCAATGATCCTCCTACCTCAGCCTCTCGAGTAGCTAAGACTGCAGGTGTGCACCACCACAGTGGCTAATATTTTATTTTAAAATTTTAGAGATGGAGTCTTACTGTTTTGCCCAAGTTGGAGAATTCTTATTTAAATATTCGGTAGAAATGTCCAGTGAAACCATCTGGGCCTGGATATTTTTTTCCTGGGAGCTTTAAATTACAGGTTTTATTTCTTGATAGTTGTAGGGCTGTTCAAGTTATCTATATTTTATATTGGATGAGTTGTGGTAGTTTGCTTTAGTTTTCAGAAGTTTAATTATAGTGTGTCTGTATTAGTGCATTCTCACACTGCTATGAAGAAATACCCAACACTGGGTAATTTATAAAGGAAGGAGATTTAATTGACTCAGTTCCACATTGCTAGGGAGGCCTCAGGAAACTTACAATCATGGCGGAAGGCAAAGGAGAAGCAGACACCTTCTTCAAAGGGTGGCAGGACAGAGTGAGTGCAAGCAGGGGAAATGCCAGATGCTTATAAACCCATCAGATCTCATGATATCCACTCACTATCATGAGAACAGCGTAGGAGAAACTGCCCCCATGATCCAATTACCTCCACCTGGTCCCGCCCTTGACATGTGGGGATTATATGGATTATGAGGATTACAATTCAAGATGAGATTTTGGGTGGGGACACAGCCAAACTTTATCAGAGTCTATTCATAGATTTCCTTGGGTTTGTTCTATGTGGAACTCTTGCTTCTTGAATCTCCTTCTTGCTTGCTTCTTGAATTTCCTTCTTGCTTGCTTCTTGAATTCTTGCTTCTTGAATCTGTAAGTTTATTTCTCCTCACCAAATTTCAGAATTTTTAAGCCATTATTTTATCATGTAATTTTTCAGCCCCAACCCCTTTCTCTTCTCCTCATGATAACATGATTATTAGAACTTTTGTATAGTCCCACAGGTCCCTAAGACTCTGCTCATATTTTTGTCAATGTGTTTTCTCTCTGTTATTCAGATTGAATAATTTATATTGTCCTGTCTACCAGGTCACTGTTTCTTTCCTCTGTTTTCTACAGTCTGCTGTTAAACCTATTCACTGACTGAGTTTTTGATTTGTTATTGTATTTTTCAGCTCTAAAATCTCCATTTGTTTCTTCTTTATATCTTCTGTTTCTTTGCTGAGACTTTTTAAAAATTTTATATATTTTTTATTGACATGGTCTCACTCTGTCTTCCAGGCTAGAGTGCAGTGATGTGATCAGAGCTCATTGCAGCCTGGACCTCCTGAGCTCAGGTGATCCTCCCACCTCAGCCTCCCGAGTAACTGGGACTACAGGCACGCATCACCACACCTGGCTAATTTTTTGTATTTCTTAAAAAGACAGCGTTTCGCCGTGTTGCCCAGGCTGGTCTTGAACTCCTGGCCTCAACTGACCCACCTGCCTCGGCTTCCCAAAGTGCTGGGGTTATAGGGTTGAGCTACAATGCCCGGGATCTTTGCTGAGACTTTATATTTCTTTGCTGACGATTTCTAGTTTTTCATTTGTTTCAAGTGTGTGTGCGTAATTGATCATGGAAGCATTTTTAAGTGCTGCCTTAAAAGTATGATAATTCTAACATCTTTGTCCTCTCAGTATGAGCATCTATTGATTGTCTTTTTTTATTTGGTTTGAGATCTTCCTGATTCTTGGTATGATGAGTGATTTTTTAATTAAAACTTGGGCACTTTTATATTATGTTATAAAACTCTGTATCTTACTTAAAGCTTCTGTTTTAGCTGCCTTTCTCTGACACCACTCCAGTTGGGGAAGGGTGGGGTGCTGCATTGTTATGGCCAGGTAAAGGTAGAAATCCAATTTTCCAATTCAGCTTCCAGTGACAGTTGAGGTAAAGGCTTCTCATCATTGCTAAGTGAGGATGGAAGTTTCATCTCCCCACATGGTCTCCACTTGGTGGGGGTAGCATCATTACCACTGGATGATGGGGAAAGTCTTGACTCTCTACTAGGCCTTCTCTGACACCACCTCGTTAGTAAGGTAAACGGTGCTTCATTACTGCTGGGTAGGACTGGAAGTCCAAGCTCCTTGTGTGGTCACCACTGACACCACTGGAGAAGAGGGGCTTATTACTAGTTGATGGGAATGAATGCTGTGCACCTACTTGCCTTCTCTAACACCACTCTAGCAGAAGTGTTTGTATGCCTTGTGACATCCTCACAAGGGTAGAAGTCTGGGCTCAACACTTGGCTTTTGCTGGCATTGTTTGGGGTGGGGCTACAGTTTTTTTTATGGTATTCAGCTGTAGTGGAGGAGTTATTGTCTAAAAGCATTCTGTCTTGTTAGACAGCATCTTTCCTATCCATTGGTTAGAGAGAGTAGGCTTTTGTTGAAGCATTGTTTATACCTATTGGCATTTTCAGATTGTCTGCTTCTTCAGCTCCAAGTCTGTGATATATGACACAAAAATAAGCCCAGAGAACTTACCACCATGCTGTGACTTGTTCCCCAGGTCCCTAGCTAGTCTGCCTTCTCTTTATTATTCATAGTCTTCTTGCATTTATTTATGTGTAATGCCCAAGGTTTTTTAGTTGTACTTAATGGAAGAAATAGGGCAAAATACATCTACCCCATCTACCTGGAAGCAGGTGTCCCACTGGCCTAATTTTTAACAACTAACCTGCATTAAAAAAAAAAGTTGGGGTGCCACAGAAAACATGATGTGAGTAGAAAGTAATAGGACTGGGTTTTTGTTGTTATTGTTGTTTTATAAAATTACTGATACTGACTTATTCATACAAGTGCTAATTCCTCAAAATCAGTAAGTAAGTTATCCTTTGGAGATGATTCTGCTTCCAGACATTTTAAGAACTCTTTTGGATTTAATTTTAGGGAATGAATTGTGTTCTTTTGAACATTCTCAGTGGCGTAAATTGTAATCTTTTAAGGCGGTGTTTGATTTTTGGAAGCAAGCCCAGGTGGTTCAAGAGCCAAGATGGGTAATAAAACAGATGACCAAATTGAGTAACATAATATACTTCTTAGTCTAACACTCTTTTTTAAAAGACCAGTGTAAACCAAATCATTTTTACAGTGATAAAGCCATGTCTTTTATATTATACAAAACCTCCCAAATACTTCCAACTGTCACATAATAAGCCTGATTTGCTGTGGGATGAATTTTGCGTGAACAGTGCCGTTTGCTATCAAATCAACAATTCTTTTCTGTGGTTTTTGACATAAATATTTTCTTGAGTCTTATAGATATTAGAGTTTTCCCTGTAAACTTTGACAGTTTTTTAGGGGGTCAACTTCAAAACAACATACTCCATCACTATTCTCCTCAAATACATGTTATTTTTTACAACCAACCTCCCCTTGAAAGTTCCAAACAAATGTCAAATTTTCTCTATTTCTTTTTACTATTCAAAATGTGTAGCACAGGCTTTACAGAAACCTTCATGTTCAAATTCCCCTTCAGTATGAGTCAGTGTTCTCATAGCTAACCCTCTGCATGAATAAGTCTAGTCTCTTACATTTTCTACATTTTCATCAGTTCTTTGAACTTCATCATGAACATCCTCATTACTTTTCTCAAGCCTTTGTGTCAGTCAAAAACAACTTCCTCTTTACAGTCCTTCTGAACCATTATTGTCCCTCTAGATGTCTTGTCATTTATGTTTGTTTAACTTTATTTAAAAAATTGTGTAATTCTTTGCTTTCTACAGCTGTCATTCCCCAACATCATTCATCACAGCCTATAGCCCAAGAGAGACAAAAAACTGCTGCTGCTGCTGCTGCTGCTGCTGCTGCTGCTGCTGCTAACAGAATGACTTTACAGCATGTTCTTTTCATGCCCATTGTTTGTTTTGCCAAGCCATCTAAGAGCATGAGCTTAATTACTTCATACTAATAGATTACTAAATACAAAAGCATCATCCTATTTGCTTAACTGTAAAGGTCGAAGTCACATGCACAGCATCTAAAACAGATGATAGACCTAATTCACTAAGTAGGGAATTGCCTTTTGGCAAATTAAAGAGCTGCTAAAGAAATTGAATAATATATCCCCTCTCAACAACTTGATCCTTTTGTTCCTTTTCATGGTTCCTTTTCAATTCATGGTTCAACTAATGAGGGTGGGTGTCAATTTGCGGGGAAAGGGTGGCAGTATAATATAGTCTTTAAAAGGATGACCTTTGATAGACAGACTTGGTTCAAATGATGGTCCTGTCAGGTTACCAGTTGTATTACTTGGGAAATGTACTTAACCTCTTCCACCCTTAGTTTTGTCCTCAGCAAAATTGGATAATAAAAATTACCTCTTTAACACTATTGTGAAGTTTAAAGAGGTAATATGTATATGGTGTTTTTTGAATGTAAACACTCATTTACACTGAGTGTTTGGGTGGTAGCTATTATTTATTAAATGCCAGTTACTGTGTCAGTCATTAAAAACTGTAAGTGGAATATGATGCTTGCTCTTAAAGAGTTCAAAATCAGCATAATCCTGAGCTCACATCCTGTCCTATCAGAAGAAAAAATATACCTGAAAAGTAAGTCTGAAGGCTATTACACCGGGAGTTCAAGGCTGCAGTGAGCTGTGATCACACCACTGTACTCCAGCCCGGGCGACAGAGTAAGACTCTGTCTCTAAAAATAAAAATTAAAACTCAATTCAAATAACAAAGGCTACTATAGTTCTCCAATATATAGCATTAGCTTTTCACCCTTGAATAGACTAGTACTACAATACTCTAATCAACAAAGTAATCCATAAGCAGTTATTAATTTTCTCATGTAGATTATATTTCATGGAACCAAGCTATGTTCTGGATCCTTCTAAGTTTGTCTGGGTGGAAAAATGCTTTGCTTATCTATATGATCACTTTCAATTAAACTGCCAGTTGTCACTTCCGCTGGTTCAAGCACTGGCTGAAGACCCATGAATATTCTGCCAGTGGAAGCAGATATAAACTTAAAAATCAATTGATTTGTCAGTAGCCAGGCCAGTCACCCTCAGTCAGATAGTTCCATCCCCGGCTCCTCTGACTCCTGAAATCATTTTCTCTAGCTATGTAACTGGGCATGCCAGTGAGTTCATTCAGAATACAGCGGCACAGGCCAGGCACTGTGGCTCCAGCCTGTAATCCCAGCACTTTGAGAGGCTGAGGCCGGTAGATCACTTAAGGTCAGGAGTTCAAGACCAACCTGGCCAACATGGTGAAACCCTGTCTCTACTAAAGATACAAATAATTAGCTGGGCATGGTGATGCAGGCCTGTAATCCCAGCTACTTGGGAGGCTGAGGCAGGAGAATCACTTGGACCTGGGAGACGGAGGATGCAGTGCACCAAGATCGTGCCACTGCACTCCAGCCTGGGCAACAGAAAAAAGACTCCATTGCCAAAAAAAAAAAAAAAATACATCCGATCAAAATGTGATACTGAGCTTATCATGGATGCCCTCTCCTCCAAACAAAAGAACACAATGCAACTTACACCCTCTGGAAAAAAAAGAAAAGATATTCCATGGCAGCAAGCAAGAGTTGAATTTGCAATAAGGAAAAACTCGACCACAAGGGTGTTTAATCTTCTAGAATGGCTGAAAAGGCTGCAATATCTTCTTTCATTAAGATTTCTGAGAAAGGAATAGATACAATAGAGAAATACAGATTTGCCCTTTATGAGATTATCTTAGTTGTATTTATGAGGTTATAGATCTGTAATCACTGGATATGCGTTGGACAGAGTTGGATTGATAATTGATTTCACATTGTGCTGGTATAGGCTGAAGCCCTTTTTTGCATCTTTTCCTCCCGTTTCTCATGTCTGAGATATCTTTACTGTTTTCAAATGTAAACAATTGTAAATTATACCAAGACAGTCAATTGGACGTCTAAAATATAATCAAATGGTTGTTTATTTTGCCTTACATATTGCCAAATAATAATTTTTAATATTTTCTTTTGAAATTGTCTCTTGTTTGGAATCCAGCAATATATTTTTCCTCTGAAAATGATTTTTCATTATCACTGTAGTGTTTTTTATGTTGCTCTTCTTTAAAAACTTTAAAATAATTAAATTTAATCTCTTCCATGAATACTTATTTAGTAATTATCTTTTTATTACTCCAACCTAACGTTTTCATAGTAATCAAAAATCTTGATTAGTCAGGACATTTCACAAGCTTTCCTAGCTAATGAATTCAAAGGTGAAATTCACTTTTGAATTCAAGTCACCTATCCTTAAAAGATCAAGAGGAAAGAAAATGAATTCAGGAAATAAATCCCCACGTCTTTCAATAGCAATGGGTGAAGTACTAAGCACAGCACTAAAATATATGTTTAAAATTATTCATGATCAGCATTCATTTTCTATGTTAGACCTCCATGTTAAACCATTCTCAGTTTAGAAAGGCATATTCTGGCTTACCAGCTCACACACAAAACTGCTTGCTTGGTTTGTAGAAAAGACATGAGATAGAATGACGCAAGGAGCTGGTGCTAAAATGAAGGTGAGAAAACAGGAGTCAACAAAGAAGTACGGGTATGATCGTATCATTTAAAGATGAGAGACCGCAGCAAGCATACCCTCTCTCCTCCACCTTTAAGAATTCAGAAATGATCATTATCGGTTTAAATAAAGGGTACTGATTAATCTCTCTGAAAGCTCATGACTAGATGATCTTCTGCAGAGAGAGCTCATTTCGAAGACGGTTCCATAGCTAGTGCCCCCACAGGAATTTATCACATGATTAATTTTTAATGTAACTTAGAGATTTCAAAGGCTGTATTTGAATAATGGTGATAATTGATAAATATTGGTTTTACTCATCTGAACAAACTTACTTGCTTCAGAATCAGAAAACTGTTTCCATCATTTTCCCCATGGTGTTACATATATTAACATCTCTCTGTAACTCTCTGGTATATTTCAAGATGAAATACCAGATACAGCTCCCCTTTATTTTTAAGTTGCGACTTAATTTTCTTCCTGAGATTTTTCAAACTGAATTTTCTTCCTTTAAAGTGAGGTTAAAATTATCTCTGGCAAGCCAGCAGATGACTATGAATGTATTTAATGTGACCTTGCTCCAATATTAACATTTTCACAAACCACAGTAGGCAGACCCTTACTGTTTCTTCATTATCCTTTCTGGCCATGGCTGAGAGCCCAAATGGTGCCGCTTTACCAGAGAGGTATTCTGTACGTGCTTTCTACTTTAATCACATCCTTTCAGCACCATGAATCTTTGCCTGACAGATTATCTTCTCCACAGGCAGGCAGCCACATCCAGACGTTGATGGGGTCCCAAAGCCTTCAGCATCGCAGCCGGGAGCAGCAGCCGTATGAAGGAAATATAAACAAAGTGACCATCCAGCAATTTCAGTCACCATTGCCTATTCAGATCCCCTCTTCACAGGCCACCCGGGGACCTCAGCCTGGACGGTGCTTAATTCAAACTAAAGGGCAAAGGAGTATGGATGGATATCCAGAGCAGGTGAGAAGTGTTTCTTTATTACTGAAAAATCTTCAGGTAAGAAAAGTCCAAAGAATCCATGGTTGGCCTTCCCTCATTAATGTGGTCCAGGACACAATGCCATCACCATGTTGAATGGGGTAGGGCCCTCTTTGTGGGGATTTTATCATTCTTTCCAGTGGTTAAGGACTACAACATATAGGAATTTATGGTTGGTAAAATACCCATTTTACAAAAGGAAAAATTGATGGGGCAGAATAGTTTTTCCAGTACCATCCTACACCCTTTCCTACCCACTCCTAACTCCAATTTAGCTCTACAGTACAGATTTTGAATGTTATAAAGGACTTCAATGGATTAGGTATATTTACCAAGTCTGCTGTTGAAACCTTCAGTGTGAAAGTAAACTATATTATTTCCCCCATCTGTGGGAATATCTTTTAAAAGTCCTATCTTCTGATTGTTGAATGGTGCAGAGATAAAGCTTTGCTATGAAGATAATTATAAAGAACAGTTAGAAGGGAAATGTTTCTGACATGCTTCAAAAGTTACTGATAACTGCCATGTAGCAAAAAGAATTGCGCTCTTCAAACCTATCTAAAATTAGGATTTGCTTTTCCATTGTAGTATCTGTTTTAGTTCCTTAGGACTGGAAAACTGAGTGGGATTGCATCTATTGAACTATATTAATCTTAGAAAGTAAAACATTAAGATCTTAATACACTTAAAATTAATTTCTCTTATTTCATTATTCAGATAGATAGGCAACATTCCTACTGACTTTTCTAACTTTTAATATGGTCTATAAAAGCTTCATTTTATTATTACTTATCAAAGTTTTTCATATCACCCCACCTGACTTTCTAAACATATCAAAATTAACTTCATTCTCCAGATTTTCCCTTTATATTGTTAAGAGCCATTTATCATTTGGATTCCAAGGGCTTTAAACATCTCCTCTATTTTGTAATATCCTTCTTGAAGCCTAGATTACGTACTAATCATTCTCAGAATCATAGGTGCATTGTAAAGATAATCTTCTCCCTCTCCTGCCTTAGTCTAGGTCAAGTGTTGAATTTAAGGTATCATAAACCAGACAGGTGCCTTTAATCAGATAATGATATGGGGTTTTTAATTCTCCAGATACTCTTAAAAGTTAATACAATTTTAAATTATGCTTTACCAAAGGCATCTTAGGAGGTTAAAAAATTATTCATAGATATGACTTGCCCACAAGTATCATAACTCAAACCAGTTCTCTGATTTAGTTATTCTTATTAACAGCTACATGGTTTTTTCCTCCCAGAATCAATGCATTTGAAAACGCACTGAGATTAATGCTATCGGTTTTCGCCTACATTGAAAAGTAGGTTTAGTGTTAGCATGCAATTATTCTGAACACCCAAAATTTAAAGGCTATTTTAATACTATTTCCCCAAAAATGTAAATTATATAAAGTTTGGCTAGTAAGAGGATTACTAAGTTTTAAAGTTTACACATGTATTGAGTTTAGAACATTATGATTATTTCAGAAAAAATGTATTTATAGTAGCTCTCAAATGTTTTCATTCACAGCTTGATAACATCAAGTACATTTCAAACTGAGAGATAAAATTTAAGCATTCAGTTGAATGCTTAAACCTGTCTGAACTATAACTCAGAATTGTAGAACTGCCTATATGTTAAGGAAGGGACTTAAATATAACACCTTTTGATGTCTCAGTTTTTTCTGCCTTGGTTTCAGGCTGAAATGGTTTTAGATGTATTGTACATTTCAAAATAGCTAGAAGTGAGGACTTGGAATGTTCTCAACATAGAGAAATGATAAATACTCGTGGTGATAGGTATCCTAAATGCCTTGACTTGATTACACGTTCTGTGCATGTGACAAAATATCACATGCACCCCATGAATATATACAAATATCATTATGTATCAATAAAAAAGACTTTTGAGTGAAAGAAAGCCTAAAGGCATTTAAACAACCAGTTCTGGTCCCCAAACTATGTTACCTGTCATCCCGTTATAAACCTTGAGTCAGTTTCTTAAAGCTGTTTTCACAGTTGGCCAGCTCATATTGGCACATTGTCATGTGCTCCTCTTCCCAATGGCACCTTCAATGACATCATATTAATAGGTTGAAGTTGTGGGAAAAATTATACCAGGAACATCAGCAAACACTCCAAATTAGGGCACTCTCCAAACCCCAACCAGCTGTTTATTAAATATTTTCCAGCACACCACTGACTACTACCCTGATTTCTTTCATCTCTTTTTCTTTTTCTAACCTCTCCACTTCTTCATTTAGCTTAGTGTTCAAGAAAGAGATACTAGGACTAGGTCTCAGAATTTGGAGTTCTAGTTTCATGTTTATGTTTATTAGCCACTTGTCCTTGGCCAAGTTGTTAACTCTTCCTGAGCGTCTGTTTCTCTCCTGATCAAATGAGAACATTGCTACCCACCAACAACATTCAAAAAGAATTTGTCAGAGTCAAATAATACAGTTCTACATATACGCGCGCGCGCGCGCGCGCACACACACACACGCACACACACACACACACACACACACACACTCCCCGTAAGCTTAGCACTGAGGGTATAGAAACAGAAAACAGTAGAAATAGAATATTTTAAGAATTCAAATATTTGAAGAAACTTAATGATTATCAGTCCCAGCCTCCTTCATCTACAAATAGAAAAACAAACCAAGAAACATTAAAAGAGGCTGAAAGGTTATATATTTCACTCTCATAATGAAACTATTTCATGTGTGTTTTACTTTCCTAAGTTATATTTCTTTTGAAAATTGAGACCTTTTTAATAAGTGTATGTGGCTGTGTGTTTTAAAAGAAGACTTTTATTCCAAATTTAACCAGGAAAAAAATGGAGAACATTTAAAACATGTAAAGACTTTATGGAGATTCACATGAAAATTATGGAGTAGTGATTTAAGTGCAAAGAGCAGTGAGGTAACATAAAATTTCTAATGTAGATTTGGGGCATATAAATCAAAACAGTCTATTTTAATAAGACATTTCTAGTGGTGCTATAAAAGAGCCATAAAGAGAAAAGCAAAGTTCAACTTAAATTATCTAACAACAATGGTAAATTTGGTCAGGTACAATATGGAAAAAAATTATTCAACATTTTTAAGAGCAAGGAGACACAGTAAACGTGGTACAAAGAAAGTCTACTCAGTATAATACAACACAATAATTTCTGTTAAAGTAAAGCTTGGAAACTTTAGTTAAACAGTAGTCACTTATTGAAATACTACAGGTAAAACAAAATCTGATTACAGTGAATACATATTTTTTCATTCAGGAAAAGGAAATCTGAATGAAAATAGCAAAGAAAGGGACAGCAGTTACCATATATTAAGCACGTGCTATGTGTTTTACACTCTATTTCTCACACACAGGTCTGGCATCAGAGGCATGTGACCTGTAGAGTTGCATAAGGTCCTGCACTTAAAAGGGCCCCACATTTGGATTAATGCCCTGCTGTCACCATCTTGTAATTCTTAATAGTTGTTGATCAAGGAGCCCACTTTTTCATTTTGCATCAGGCCCAACTAATTATATAACCGGTCCTGCTTACATATACTATTTTATTTCATCCTCATAATAATCTTATTTTCTTTTTACAAGTGAAGAAACCAAGGCAGAGAGAAAATAATTTATGGAAAGTGTAATTGGCCAAGCTGGAATTTTAAGTCAGGTTTTTTTCTGACCCCAGTCCAAGTCCTGTGTCCTAATCTCACTGTAAAATTCACCACATGATCTCAATGCCCTCTCTGTCAAATGATATTAATTAAACCTGCCTGAACTATAACTCAGAATTATAGAACTGCCTTATGGAGTGTTCAAGTGAACTCACATGAATACTTGCAATTGCTTTGAAAAGAAAAAGCTACTGAACAAATGGAAACTTTTATTATTAATGAAAACATACCTCTGTATCCCTTAATGTCACCCAAAGAACTAGTGTATTTTTAACCTGATTAAAATAAGTTCCATGTGGAAATGAACATATATAATAAGTGCCAAAACTGACGACATTGAATGAATTAGAATGAGTGTCATTTGTTATGTAAGCGGAGTATTGAACTTTGTTTAACCATGAAGAAGCATTTAGTAAGCTTTGAGGCTCCTCTTCAGTGATAAAACCATCTAAACTTTCAAACTACCCATCACAATAAAAAGGACAAAATATTCAAGAACTCTAGAAACCTAAACTTCTGGTTTAATGCACTTATTTTCACGTTTATTTTTCAGAAATAATGAGTATCAAGTCTGTTTTCAACTCTAGGTTTAAATTAAATATATGGAAGTTATGTTTCAACTATAAAATGTTACCCAGATTCAGTGTATTAATTTCTGTAGACTATAAATCTGACTTCAAATAATATCTGCAGCAAAAACCATGTGCATGTCACCTGAAGTTCATTATCAGGGGATTTTACTTGAAAAGGAGATTTTAGTGCATAAACCGTTTAGATTACTTACAAACATAATAGAGGGTAAAAGTCAGAGTTGTATTAAGTAGTGAACTGAATAAAACAGCCAGAAAGTGAAGGTTTGACTCCCATTCCACATGGAAAACCCTTCATCAGAATATTCATCCTATTAGATCTCTCCTTTGTGTCCCAGTGTAACTGAAGAAGCTTAAAGATCCCATCCACCTTATCCTCCCCTTCACAATATGGTAATGCTTTATATAAATTGTTCTTAACCGCAGCTGCAGAATCTGTTGAGGGGCTTTAAAAAACACTGATGTCTTGCTCTCATCCCCAGATAAACTGATTTTAATAGGCTGCATGTGACCTGGGCAATGAGACTTTTGAAAACTCCCCAAGGTGATTCTATTGTGTAGCCAAGGTTGAGGAGCACTGCTTTAGATGTTCTATAGCTCAACAATTTATCAGCTGAATAATATATTGAGAATATCACTATTTAAAAGCATACATAAGTTGCCCATAAGCTGTTGGATATTTTTAAAAGAAACTAACATCAGCTTTGTTTCTCCCTTTTGCAAATGTATAATACAAGACACAGTATATTTAAATAAGTAGATAGTATAGATGCCAAAGCAGAAATAAGAAGGAAAAACATCAGCATGATGCTTCAAACCTTTCAAAACCCTTTTATGTATTCACTGATTTAATTTAATTGATAATGTTGTGATATAGGTAGAGCAGTTTCCATTTTATAGACTACAAAACTAAGACTAAGATAAGTTCAATGTCTTGCCTGTGGTCACACAATGTAGAAGCTGGGCTGGGATTAGAACCCAGTCTCATGAGTCTACCACATTACATGCTGCAGCCTGCGTCACATGTCAAGAGTAAATTGACACTGGAAGAGTGAAACGATGGAAAAGTCAAGAGTAGCCAAGCACACAAGTCAAGAGTAAATTCATATTGGAAGAGTGAAACGATGGAAAAATGCACCCTTCACTCCATGTCTGCCCTGGACAAGGGGACCTCCCTAACATATCAAAATGGCAGGAGCCCAACCAACCTAACACATCAGAATAGCAGGAGCTCCATGGCTGTCTCCTGCCAGTGCCTGCAAGTATACATGCAAATTAAAGTTTGTGCCTGAAAGAGAACTTCTAAGCTCACATTAGAATCAGCCTCAGAGAGTTATAAAAAATGATATGCATCCATCATATTTAAGGGAAAAAAAGTTCCAAAACATACTCACAAGGAGATGCTGTAGTCTATCCTGGAAGAAATCACTTTAATACTTAATATTATGTGGAATACATAAAACAGTTAGCTGAGAGACAGGATTTCAGACTTCTCTTTAGATTAGATGCTCTGGTCAACTGCCCAAAGAGCACTCAAGAGTTCCAGGTGAGGACTTCATTTATTGTGTGCAGGTGAAGAAAACTACATTCTGCTGAGTGGTGTAAGAAGAAACATTTGGAGATATTTGTTTTATTTAAATTATAAATTTTTTAATTAAAAGGGAATAGTTCAGTAAAGGTATTTGTAAAATAGGTATTAATGTAGTTTTAATCTCTGTTATTTACTCAAGTTATTTCAGGGACATCCTGTGCCTTATCCTGTCCCACTTAAAGAATTGCTATTTGTGAATATTTCCCCCATAGAATTTTATTCTCCAGTCATCAAAATAATGCTTCAGTTCTGAATTTGTAATTCATAGTTTGACACAGAGAATGTGTGACTCAACATCAGAAATTCTATCAATTGACTTTATAAGTTGTGTGCAGTCATATGGTAGAATGCAGTAAACATTGCAGTGGGAATAAAAAGATTTATTTCAATGTTGCACTAAATACATATTATCTTGTTGGTTTCCTTAAGTCCAAAATGAAGGAAATGAAATGACTAATCTTTAAAATTTATTTCCAGACTAAAAATGCATTTGAGTTTCTGTTTCCTAGATACATACAGAATCAGCTAATTTTTTCTGAAAGACCTAGAAAGTGCTACATCAGGGGATTTTATTAGTCAATCTTGATACCAGTACATTTTTTTTTTTTTTTTTTTTTTTTTTTTTTTGAGACAAAGCCTCTGTCACCCAGGCTGGTGTGCAGTGGAGCAATCTCACCACAGTCTCCGCCTCCTGGATTCAAGCAATTCTCCTGCCTCAGCCTCCCGAGTAGCTGGGATTACAGCATGCTCCACCACACCCAGCTAATTTTGGTATTTTTAGTAGAGATGGAGTTTCGCCATGTTGGCCAGGCTGGTCTCGAACTCCTGGGCTCAAGTGATCCACCCACCTCAGCCTCTCAAAGCTCTGGGATTACAGGCGTGAGCCATTGCACCCAGCTGACCAGTACATCTTTTGGAAAGATTTAACTAGGAATTTTAGCTGGATTTGAATCTTTCATTCACAAGAGGAAAAGATTTGAATATAGAAGAATTTGTATTTCAAAAAATATTAATTATCCTTGAATATTAACATGTATACATTTTTATAATCACTGTTTCCTTTTTGAGCCTATTTCATGGGCTTATCAGAAATTTTGGAAAATGCAGAGAAATTTTATGTGTATTTTGTATGGCTAAGTAATGTACATAATGTAAGTCAAAATGAAAAATTATAATAGCTTATTATTGCATAGCACTCTTTATCATAAAACTGCTGTTATATAATAACCCATAAAACCAGGAGCTAAAAGTAGCAGTAACTTTAATTTCAAGCTTAATTTACATACCATGAAGCATTCTTTCTGCTTTTGTCAAGTCCTATCGTCAAATCTCCATCCTCATCTCATCTGACCTCTCAGCCATGTAGTTTGACCTTTTTCTCCAAAATTTGTATCCCCAGCCTTCGTCTCTCTCCTTCACTCCAGAAGTTTATATGCAATTAGCTACTTGTTGACATCTCATCCTGGATGTCTGATGAGTTTCTTAAACTTAGCATGGTTTTAGAAAACCACTTCCTGCTGCTAACTCTACCAAACCTACTTCCCCATTTCAGTTAATGGCCTATCACCCTTTTGATATGACCAAACGTCCTTGATTCCCCTTCCTCACAGTCTACACTCAATCCACAGCAATTTCATCAAGGTATGTCTTGAACCCACCACTTCTCACCACCCACACAGCTACCATCTTAGTTGGCCGTAACCTCACACCTGACTACTTCAAAAGCTTCCATATTGCTTTCTCTTCTTCCAGTTTACCTCCTTTTGTCTATTCTCCACTACTAAAGTGATCTTTTTTAATAAACATAAATTATATTACACCATTCTTCCTCTTAAAATGCTCTAGTGGCTTTCAACATTTCTGAATAAATTTTAAATCCTTACTATGGTATAGTGTCCCTGCAGATCTAGCCCCACCTTCCTCTCCTTCTATTCTTTCTTTAGCTCTGTCATGATGACCTTGTTTTTTAATGGCTTTATTGATATAATTTATATACAGTAAAGTTCATCTGCTTAAAGTGTATAATTTATTGTTTTCATTACATTTGTACAGTTGTGTAACTATCACTATAATCTAACTTTATGACATTTTCATCGTTCAAAAAAAAACTTTGCATCCTTGAGCAGTCACTTTCCATACTCCCTCCAGCCCTAGACAACCACTCATCTACTTTCTGTCTCTATATATTTGCCTATTCTGGACAATTAATATGAATGGGATCATACAATACATGTATTTTTGTGATTTGCTCCTTTCACTTAGCATAAGGAACTGAATGTAGCATGTATCAGTATTTCATTCTTTGTCATTGCTAAATGATATTCCATTGTATGGATATACCACATTTTGCTTATGCATTTATCAGTTGATGGTTGATGGACATTTGGGTTTCTACTTTTTGGCTATTAAGAATAGCACTGCTGTGAACATTAATGTACAAATTTGTGTGGAGATATATGTTTTCATTTTTCTTGGGTAGATACATAGAGATGAAATTGCTGAGTCATATGGTAATTATGTTTAGCATTCTGAGGAACTGCCAAATTCTTTTCTAAAAGTGGTTACAACATATTAATTCCGAACAGCAATGAATGTGGGTTCCACTTTTTCCACATCCTTACCAGTACTTATTATTGTTTGTCTTTTGTACTGTAGTCATCCTGTTCATTAGTATCTCATTGTCATTTTGATTTACATTTCTCTAATGACTAATGATATTGAGTATATTTTCATATGCTTTTTGAATGTTTATGTATCTTCTTTGGAGAAACATCTTTAAAAATATTTTGCCTATTTTTAAATTTGGATGTCTTTTTATTATTGGATTGTAAAAGTTATCTATATATTCTGGATATACAACCCTAATCAGATATATTATTTGCAAATATTTTCTCTCATTCTGTGGGTTTTCTTTTCACTTTTTGATGGTCTTCTTTGAAGCACAAAAGTTTTTAGTTTTTATGAAGTCCAACATATCAATCTCTTATATCATCTTTGGTTTCATATTTAAGAATCATTGCCTAATCTAAGGTGATGAACTTTACTCCTTTTGTATTTTCATCAAAGGGTTTTATAATCTAGCTCTTATGTTTCAGCCTCTGGTCTACTTTACATAACTTTTGTGTATGGTGTGAGATATGAGTACAGATTTATTCTTCTGCATGTGGGTATCTTGTCCCAGCACCATTTACTGAAAGACTCTTCTTTCTCCCAGTGAATTACCTTGAACCCTTTGTCAAAATCATCTGACTATAAATGTTAGGATTTATTTTTGGAGTCTCTATTCTATTAAACTGATCTATGTTGTTTCTTGACGTATGCCCTAAATCCATCTTTAGGGCATTTATAATTGCTGTCCCCTTTGCTTGGGATAGTGTTTCATTTTTCTTATTGTTCATTGTTTGATCTTTGGCATCATTCACATTTCTGCTCAAATGTGACATACTCAGAGAGGGTTTTTTTACCTACTCCATCAAAAATAGCTCTTTCCTGAGGCAAGAATAAGCTTAAAGTAAATAAATAAGTAGAATAACTCCTCATTCCATTTCAATTACTCTCTACTACCTTTCCTGCTGTTTTCCACAGTTCATCCCACTATCTGAAATTACTTATTTGTTGTTTATGTTTGCTATCTATCTTCCTCATTAGAATGTAAGTTCTTTGAGGTCAAGGATATTTTTATCTGCCTGGTACTTAGTAGGGAATCAATAAATATTTGTGGAATAAAGTCATAAATCATTATTTTGGCAACAGTTTTTATTTTCAAAGCTACAACATTTTTCCAGAGTAGTTTATTTCAAAGTCATTGATAATTGAGGTACTCTTTGAATAACTGACATTCCTTCTAAAACTCATCATGTATTTTAACAAGGAGTCATCGTATACTTTTTATTAAGGAAGGCAGGGAGAATTTTAGCCTTTATTCTTATTTATTTATTTATTTATTTACTTATTTATTTATTTTAGTGAGAGGGCTCACCCAGGCTGGAATGCAGTGGCACAGTCATAGCTCACTGCAGCATCAAACTCCTGGTCTCAAGTGATCCTCCTGCCTCAGCCTCCTGAGTGTCTAGGACTACAGGTGTGCACTACCATGCCAAGCTAATTTTTGTAACAATCCATTTTATTAAAAAAGCCTTTCCAAAATAAGACCCAGTATTGTAATTAGAGTAAGATTAACACAGACCAGAAGTTATCAAGTAAAGTAGAATTATGGAAGCAGACTCTGAAAGACCATTGATTGCACTACTACTGCATATGTTTTCGGCCAAACCATTCATTCTTTAAAACCGGTCTCTTAAAAGAAAACTGAGTCTGGCGTGGTGGCTCACGACTATAATCCAAGCACTTTGGAAGGCTGAGATGGGAGAATTACTTGAGCCCAGGAGTTCAAGACCTCATCTCTACAAAGAAAATTTTAAAATTAGCCAAGCATGGTGACATGTGCCTGTAGTCCCAGCTACTCCAAAGACTGAGATGGGAGGCAGAGGCTGCAGTGAGCCAAAATTACGCCACTGCACTCCAGCCTGAGAAACAGCAACACCTTATCTCAAAAAAATAAAAAATAAATTAAAAGAAAATTAAAATAATGGTTCTCATTAAATAAGCTATTTATTAGCTTCCTAGACCTAATCTTTTACTAGAACACTGCATTTCCTCTTTGCTGATCCTCTTTAGTTTCAGACTGCTTCCTGGATGTAAGGTATTCTGTCCTCTTACATTTTATGGCTTCTTTGGGCCTTAGCAGGCAGGTGGAACTACTTATATGTGAGAGGAATACTCTCTCTGACATGCTTTATGAGACCCAGTAGTCACAATACAACCTATTAGCCATACCTTGGCATGCCCAAGAGCAGTCTAGCCTCAGATCAGAATTTATGTTTGTTTGTCACATTTATAAAACTACAGTGTCATCATTATTTCTCTTATTAAAAAATATTAAGGCAGTTCTTCATACACTTGGCACATGTGAAATTTGTTTCTCTTAGATTTTTAGTGCCTTCCAGATTTACAATAATATAAAATAGATATAGTCGCTACCTTGAAAGAGAACAACTGGAAACTACTCTCAGCAATTTACTTTGTAAATTAAACCTGTTACATTTGTTTCCTTTGAGTTTTATAGTGGCCTGGAGAAAGCCAGAACTGCATATACCTTCTGCATATTATGTTGTGGCAATATGAAATGTTCACATTAGAAAGATATAACCCCAATTTTAAATAATATAATTGGAAATGCATAGAAACATTGAAAAACACAAAAGAAAAATGTTTTCATCATATTGGTTGCTTTCTTCTCATTTTCTAATTAATAAATAATAACAAAGAGATCAACTAGCACACTGAATAAGGCTAAAATATTTCTTTCAGCTACATCAGGCTATTATAAGTTTATATTCATAAACTAGGATCAATATAAAAATACAAAGTATTATAAACTGTAAATTCTACCACCTATGATAACTAGTTTTAACAAATCTAGCTCAATTGAAGGAAAAGTTATAATTAAACATCTTTAAAATAAAATAAGGGACAGTACTTATAGTACATTTACTCATAATTAAGAAACTATTCATTAATGACTACATAAAAATCACATTAGTGCATAGTTTTTCATCTTTGTGTTGCCAGTAAACTATCTAATATTTAAACATTATATTTACTATTGTGAAATATGACAGTGAATTAAGTATAGGATTATTAAACAGACAAACCTAATTGATCCAGGTTCTAGTGACAATATGTGCTAATTAAGTCAGAAATAGGACTCAGTTTGCCTTGAACTAAGAGGTAGGGATTGAAGATAGCTCACAATAAAAATGTAAAGAGTGTTTTGGGCATTTACATTTGCCATAAGCAAATTAATGGGCTAAGCAAGAATTCTGGGGGTAAAAATGGGCTACTTAAGAAAGCAAATGTTTACAATCACTTTTAAGAATTCTTCCAGTATGTAGCTATGTAAATACAAAATATATGCCAAAGTGTGTCATCTTATGTTTTTTCTTAACTCTTTATTAATCTTTTGCCTGCTAACCTTTGGTAACACTTGGTTCACCTAATACTTACTCTGTACTTAAAAGTTGTAAAAGAGTTGGGCACAGTGGCTAACACCTGTGATTCCAGTGCTTTGGGAGGCCAAGGTGGGAGAATCACTTGAGGACAGGAGTTCGAGACTAGCCCGGGCAACACAGCAAGACTCTATCTCTAGAAAAAGAAACAAACTGAAATTATTCAGGCATGGTGGCATACACCTGTAAGTCTCAGCTTGTTGGGAGGCTGAGGCAGGAGGATACTTTGAGCCCAGGAGTTCAAGTGAACTGATTGCAACACTGCACTATAGCCTGGGTGACAGAGTAAGACCTTGTCACTAAAATAAATAAATAAGTAAATAATAAAAAATAAAGTTACAAAGTGTTTTTTCTTTATGTAACCAATGTATACTGCCTCTTGGTCCGAAATCTTTCAATTATTTGGGATCACCCTGTCCCACTTTACCTGGAGAACTAACATTTTTACCATAGCCCACATACACATCTCCTGCTCAGGGTCTCCAGGAATTCTTAGGTTTGTTAGAGTTTCTCTAGGTCATCCCTGGCACTGATGTCATTTCTGCTGAGTTCTTGATCTACAGTCTTTTTATTAACTTCTATTATTGCTATAATTTTTACTACAGCCTTATCCCAAGGCGGACCCTACCCCTAATGCCATCATTCCCCCATACTACTATAAAACAAAAGTCATGTTTAATAGACTTTCATTCATGATTTGGGATGTTGGGGAGGTAATATAACAGAACATTAGAATGTTTGCCCTTGTGTTGCGTATTGGCCATTCTCTTTCCCTAGCAATGTCTCCATATTGTTGACCTCTTTCTTTAACTAGACCTCATCACACTATTCTCCCCTTTCTTCTAAGGTTCCTAACTCCTACTCCAGGAGCTGCTGCTAGACTTGAAACTCTTCACTGAGCATTTCATTTTTCCTTTTTTTTACCCTCACACAAGCTGTGGCTACTTTCTCAAACTAAAAGATCTAATATTCCTAAACAAAGAATTATCTAACAAGGAGATGAATTAATCTACTCTACTACAAAGCAGGCACAATTTATTTAAATAGCCATATTTTCTTTCACTCTACATTTTAAAGTTTTGTTTCACTTATTCAGACACTCCTTTCTAATCAACCTGAATACATGTGCATTTATGGTTGATAGCTAAGATAATGCATAGTATTTTAAGTGTTTATAAGACTTTTAACTTTTAAAAATGGCTAATCAAAATTTAGTCCTGTACATGGTAACAAATAAGTACTTGCTAATATCTTCTTGCCCAGGTAATTTCAAGCGAGTTTCCATCATAACTGATGCATATAGAAACATTAAACATTTTGTCAAAGTTTATATTGTCTTTTGTGTATCAACTCAACATAGGCTAACCCTAAGAAACCAAGTGAAATGTGAATCTTTTCTACTGAAATACAGTTATTTGAAAATATTTAGCTTTGATAACTGTTTACTTACCATTTTATATCTTTTTTACATAGTTTTGTGTGAGAATAGAAAAGAATCCTGGCCTTGGATTTAGTATCAGTGGTGGAATTAGTGGACAAGGAAATCCATTCAAACCTTCTGACAAGGTAAGAAATGAATATCTTGTTGACAATATTAATTAGAAAAATACTATCTCCTACAGTAACAAAGGTTAGAAAAAAATTCAAGTGTTTTTGTTGTGTTTTCATGAGCTAGTTAGTAACTCTGAAGCCAATTAGAAACTTTTTCAGCACAGGGATAAAAGAATTTACTGCAGCGCTTGACACATACTAAGAATAAAGGGAAAAGTCTCTAAACATTCTATTTAAAAGGCAGAGATTTTTTATATTTTTGTGGGGAGGCTTTGTGTTTTGTTTTTGTTTTTGCTCCACAGTTGTCTATATTTGTAAAGAAAGGTATATAGACAATTTCTAACAAGTTGTTTCCAAAGGTTAACTCGTAAGTCACTTATTTAGGAAACTGTTTTCTCACAGTAGCAGAATGATGACATAGTAATTCAATGCAAAGGCAAGCTGACTGCCATCTCTTCAATTCATCAAGCATGTAAAGAATTTTGCTAATAGAACTGTAGAATTGAGAAACCACAGAAAACAAATTTTTTATGAGAAAATCAGTTAGCATTAGCAGAAGAATTAGGTCCTCCTCTCATACTTACCCCTGCTTGTCAAACTATGGAATTAAGGCACACCAACTCTAACCTCAGCCATTTCCTGGACATTCAAGATGTTGCCTCTGCTCACATGTGACCTGCCTGACGCCGATGTGAACCACCTGATTTTTTATTTTTTAAATGTTTACCTGGAGCTATAGAACCTGCCCTGCTACCATCAGTGTTTAATACTCTCAGCTTTGAATCAATTAATAATTATTCAATGATAATTGAAGCTATCTACTTTCAACCTCATCAAATTGCATTAACTGACCCCATAAAACTTTAGGATGATGAAGAAGGAAAAAAATTAAATATGAATAAAACCTCCACAGGCTCTGTACTTACCTTTGAGTCACAACCTGGTCCATATCCTCTCAACTCATCACAATTATAAAAACCTACAGATTAATTTCTGATTATGAGACCTACTTCTGAAAAACCTGGGATGCCATTACTCTGGAGCTTTCTGTAGCCCGAAACAGAGCCTTTAACACCACATTTTCCTCATCTTCCTCCCAGTGATCTTGTTTCTTATACTCTTCCTACCCTTCTTCCTTTCCGTTTTGGGGAAGGTCAGGAGAAGAGGTTGGTCCAAAAGGAAGAATTGGTCGCATGATTATATACATTAGGAATGAAGAGACCAGAGGAAAATCTCCAGTGACCAAGGATGGGAGCTCCTTTGGTCAACAGGCTGGAGCAGCTACTCATATAAAAGGAATGTATATGAGGCAATCCTATAATTAGGGGAATGCCAGTTGGAAACATCTGTTCATAGGTAACTAGCATATTTCCATTTTGAAATGATGTTGAGGATACCATTGATTTATTACAATTAAAATATTCATGGCTTAGACCAACTGTTTACTTAATTTTAATAAATTATTGATACATCTTAAAGAAGCATAAAGGTTCAAAATTATCAGAAGCATGATGACATTTTTTAAAACCTCAAATCATTATGTCTTATTTATCTTGACTCCTCTTTTTGTCTTTCATTTTACATCTCTTTCATAAATTCTTTCAATGAAAAGTCACTAACCTTATGATACTTAAGAGAGTTGAAATTCAAGACATATTTTTCTGTTCTTTCTCACCAGCATATAAATCTTTTCACTATATTTTTGGAAGGTACAGGGTAAAAAAATATTTTTAAATTAAGGATGAATAGATTGTTAAGTAGTCAAGATGTCAGAATACTGTTGCATTTCTGCTCTTTTCAACTGAAAGAGACTAGATCTCAGGCTTTCAAATCATTGCCTGCAATTCTTCCACTGTGATGAATATGAACACTTTATAGCTATTCATTTAATTTCTCATTTGTAACATTTTGATGACTCTAGTGAGACTGAACTATGTCTATGATCTTATAATTTGCTCTTTTGGTTAAATGTAACAGATAAAGCACTTGAATTGTATAATGCGTCCATTGAAAGATTTCCCCTAAAAAGCACTTTTCTTTGGCTGATTACACTCTAAAATCATTCATAATCTGAAAAGTAAATCTCTATTATTATAAAATTGGTGGGAGCAACTAGGAGTTCCAAATCTACAGAAGAATCTCAATACTGCCTTTCACTTATTGACCAGTTTTGGTGGCATGCCAAACATATGGGGACACTTTGGTTAACTGTTCAGAGGATCTAAAGACACTGACTGACAATTTACATAAGAATTCAGTCCACTCACAAGGAAAGGGATTAATCTATTGGAAATTCAGCTGTGTTTTTTAGCCCTAGTGCCCTATTCTGAAAGTGTTGCATAAAATTTAGAGTAGAACCCAGTGCCTGAAACTACCTAAAAATATTAAACAGTAAGAAAATGAAAATGTTGAAAAACAGATTGGTTTTTCATGAAATGGCTGATTTACAGCTGGAAGTAAGAGGAACCAAGTTAAACAGATGTTTAAGATCAAAAAATACTGCCTGAGCCTGAGGTAGACTTATAAGGAGTCTAGTCATGCAAAAGTTTAAACTTTAATATGATACATACTCTCTTCAAATAAATAAGTCATTGATTAGGAATATTCTCAGAAATACACTATATTATTTTCCTTACTGCTCATGGATGTTTGAATGTTTTGCTGCTCAAAATTCTAAGTATCCAAGAACATCTGAATGTCTTAGAGGTACTGAGGACTTTCTGTACTGAAGTTAATTAATACATTTGTTCCATTCTCTTCATTATTGTTGATGGAAACTAGTTTCAGGGAAATGACAAGGACCAATGTGAGATAGCATCCAAAACGATTACAGCCAGACAGGGAAAGACTGAAACAGTCATCTCAAAAAGCTGAGAGCCACAGCTGCAGCAAAAGTGAACTATATTGTTCGGTCTGGCAGACATTCTGATCTACGTTCTGGGGTAATGTGAGATTGTTGCAGAAAAACACTTAGGGCAGCCCAAAAGTTAACTGAGGCTTTATGGAGGAATCAGGATTAAGCCAAATATAAGGGAATATTTTTACCAGACTTTGAGCATTTAGAACAGCATCTCATCTAGCAAACTTAACTCCCCTTCAAGATCCAAGGTAGTCTTGATCAAATATTGGCTCCTCCAGTTAAAGGGATAGAGCACAATTAGCCCTGCAGTTGATATTGTCAAAACAATGTTTAGTAGTGAAAAACACCAGTTCATTCACCATAGAACTCATTATTTCAGTGTTCACTGTCAAGCAGAAACTGCTTTTACATACTTGGAAAGAGAAAGCAGTAGAACACTGGATGGAAATTAGTTGCCTCTGTCCTCTCAATGAAGTGTATAATAGCCATGATCTGTTTCATTACAATAAAGAAACATTGCTGTCAAATTGTCAAGATACTGCAGAGAGATGAAAGATTTTGAGCCAACAAATCTGATAGTAAAGCAATAAAAATAATGGCCTTTTATTGAGTATATACAAAATGCTGGGCACTGTATTAGGCTCTTTATAAATATGAATTTATGAATTTATGTGATCTTCATAACTATTTCTGTTAGTTGAGTAGTATTATTATTCCCCATTTTATTGAGGCCCAGAGGGGTTAATTAACTTGCCCAAGGTCATTTAGCTGATCTGTGGCAGATAAGATTTGAAACAAAACTGAGCTGACTCCAGATGCTTTTCTTAATAAGCATTATAATACATGCCTCTATCTGCAAATGTCACTTAGCAGAAGAGCCACATGACAAATTTATACCCTGTAGAGTTGAGACTAATATGATATTCTAATATTGAGAGTATTACAGAGCCCTCTAATTAGTCATAGTCTAGATATTTTTTTCAACAAGTCCTTGGGAGTCAGCATGTATTCTCTGTTGAACCTAGATAATTAGGAGCATACTGTACAGAGAAGATTGCTAAGCAATTATATAACTTGTGGACTAAGGTATCATTACAGTGGTGATTCTGCCAATGGAGCAAGCCACAATATTCTTTGCTTGTATGTAAGCACTCATAAAATAATAATTTCCAATTGCAAAATTTAAGGAATTTACCAGTATAATTTCCACAGGATGTTGTTAGAAAGAGGAAACTGCATTAATAGATAACTGATGCCATGCTGTTGTAACATTTTATAAGGCAACCCAGGACTCTGCAAATGAGAGAATTTTTAATGATGCATTCACAAAACTCATCATTCAGGGATTCATGTTCTTCCTTGCTCCATCTGAGGGAAGAAGAACTAAGCTCCTGGATCTTAAAGAGATTAAAGAAGACTTATAGCCCTTTCCCTATATGGTGTAAAGGTGTTACACTGAACAGTTGCATGAAGAATTATCTACTCATAGTATCAAAATGAAAGCTGTTTTATGGATTCAGCCCATCCTCAAAGGACCTGACAGCAGCAAATATACATACTGGGGCATTGGGGCCAGAGAATCAGTTATCCTCCACTGTCCACCATTTATGTGGAGAATAGTCATAAGTGCCTAAGCTCAACAGATGCCAGAGAGCTCATCCATATTTCCACTAAGTTGGGCCATCTAAATGTAGCCATAGAAATGATAGAAAAAAACAAATTCATGGTTTTTTTAAAATGCCTTAATTTGCCTATGGTACAGGTAAAATTCCAAGCCATCGAAAGAATATTAGGAGCATAGAAAATGTAAACTATTATCACCAATAAACTCTAAATAAATGTCCTAGAATTTCAGAATAAATTACTATAAATTATTTACATTACATTTAAATTATTGCCTCCAGATGCCCAAACAGCCTGCAACAGGACTTAAGCCCCTCCTCTTTTCACTCCATTGTTTTTGTGTGGATATGGATATTACATCAAATAAAAGTTTTTACATGATTAATATTAAGAAAAGAAGGACCCTTAGACATGCAGAATTGAAGCTTTTATTTAATACTTTTATCCAAGGATAACAATACTCAGAGGCATGCGGGGCAACGGCAAGTTCAAAAATGCACAAGAATAATGTTCCAGTTTTGCTCAACTTCATGACATTGGGTGATCCATAAACAAAAGCTTGCTAAAGATATGCTTTTAACTTATAAAAAAGGTACATACCATATGCCTATTTCCTGTCAGGTTTTCTCCATGGATATAAAAAATGAGAATAGCAAACATATTTGTTTAAAACTCCATATAGCATAAGATGTATATTTACTATATGAATATTAAACTACTTTTAGCACATTTCCTTAACTTTGTGCAGCTACTAGACAAATACAATTTATTGTATATGTTTCTAAATTCATTTTGTAAGTAATATAATTTATATATGTGTCACATCCTTAATTCCACTTCAAGTGATTATGTAAGGCAAAGTAATTTGAAAAAATTTATGCATTATGTGAAAATAAAATTCAGGAGCAAGGGATAGAGATCAAATTGTTTTTGTACTTCAGACTAAATTTAGGAAGACGCTGAAACAGTTTTTATTTTATATATAAAATGATTTTTAAAAATAAATTTCAAGCATAAGTTCTTTTATAAACATAACTGATTACTTCAGCTGCATCTTAGTCATATTGCAGTTTGAGGTTCAGAATGCCACTAGGTTGTTTGAAGACATTAAAAGTGAGATGAGTTCTTTCTTTAATAAAAAATAAATTTTCACCTTTCAGTTCATTGTCTTAATGTTGGAGTAAAAAGTCCAAGATCTATTCAGAAACATTGGTAGAGATGAAATGTACTCTTCACACTCTCCTACAAATAGTATTCCTACAGGTGTGACGATTTATACCAAGCTTTTTTTAAAAGGTATGGTAGCATGCTTTAGCCAATTGAAAAATGTCGGTATCTAGACATTATAATAGAAAGGAGACATGAATTTCAGCTTATGAAAGCAAATAAGTATCATTAATTCTTCAGGAAACTTTCACTGGGGCATAAATGTGAAAAAGTAAGGTCACTAAAAAGTATCAGTGTAAAGCTAATGAACAATTAAATAAATGCATATATGTGTACTTTGGAACCTAAACATTTTTTAATCAAAATATGAAAGCACTTAAAATTAGCTTATCAATAAGATCTTACATAATTACTAAAAAGAATAACCAATAAATCCAGAGTTAAAGAGTAAGTAATAGTAGTTTAGGATTACTGAATAAGGTACCAAAGTACACATATATGCATGTTGTTTTTTTTGTTTTTTTTTGTTTTTTGTTTTTTGAGATGGAGTCTGGCTCTTGTCGCCCAGGCTGGAGTGCAGTGATGTGATCTCGGCTCACTGCAACCTCTGCCTCCCGGGTTCAAGCGATTCTCCTGCCTCCGCCTCCCGAGTAGCTGGGACTACAGGCACCCGCCACCACGCCCAGCTAATTTTTGTATTTTAGTAGAGATGGGGTTTCACCATGTTGGGCAGGCTGGTCTCGAACTCCTGACCTCAGGTGATCCGCCTGCCGCGGCCTCCCAAAGTGCTGGGATTACAGGCGTGAGCCACCGTGCTTGCCTATGCATTTATTTAATTATTCATTAGCTTTACAATATAAATAGTATAGTTTTACATAGTCTAAGTATCTGATTCTAAGTACAGTGGAAAAGAGAACTGCTTCCTATATTTAAAAATCGTGTTGAATAAACCCATCGCCATGCACAAACCACATTTCCATTAAAAGGGACTATCATTTAAACCCTGAGGACATTCATTAATAGAAAACAAGCAACCTCTCTAGTGTGGAATTAAACATTAAAATGATTAAAGAAAAGTCATATTTATTTATTTGTCTTTTTTTGTTCATTGAGGTATACTGAGTTCTCTGTTGAAAGAGAAAAAAAAAAATCACACGTTCCCTTTGTCCTCTCTGTCAACGAATGTTTCTACCTTGACTCAGAACGACTAACTTAATGGAGTACCTAGACTTGGCAACCTTTGCTTATTCCTAGACTGAAAAAAAAAGACCCATGATATGTTCGAGTTTTGTATGACTTGCACCTTCTGGAGTAGCTTCAGCTGGGGTGGTGGCATTAGCTGAGGTGGCTTCAGTTCCCTGAAGGTGTTCATTTCTGGGCCATAAAATGAGAATGGCCAAAGAGACGAAGAGAGAATCGAGAATGACTTTTACTTCTAAATCTTTGCTGATTCTGCTGAATGTGAACTGCTACCCCTTCATTCATCAGCCACAGGCAGTCTCAATGCTTTTACTCTGTGTGGCATAATTATCCTCCTTTAAATACACTGTCAGTCTCAGATGTGTACAACTACAGTGTCCTTTTTCTTTAACCTATGCCTTTTTAAAAACACATAGGTAATGAATGAAAATATCAGCACTGTAAATTTTTAAATAATTATAGAAATATTGAGACTAAATATGATTCCCCCACCCCTTTCATTCTGCTCTACACCACCTATGCACAGCCTTGGCCTAAGAGCCACTTTATTAGTCAACATATCAAGAATTCACAACTGTAGTGTCTTCTGGCACTTGCCCCCAGCCTTTCTGACTTCCTGAGCCACCTCTAAGAAATGTTCTAGCATATTCTGACCATATAATGATGCGTTAGCCATTGAATAAAACCATATTAAACCTATGAGAATCAGTCTGACTGAATATAGCTTACAACAAACAATTTTTCACTTCAAAAACCTTATTTTAGCAGAATTGGTTAAAGAAAGTTTCACTGAATTTTTCTTTTTTTTACCATTTTTTTATTGTACTTTAAGTTTTAGGGTACATGTGCACATTGTTCTGGTTAGTTACATACGTATACATGTGCCATGCTGGTGCGCTGCACCCACTAACTCGTCATCTAGCATTAGGTATATCTCCCAATGCTATCCCTCCCCCCTCCCCCCACCCCACAACAGTCCCCAGAGTGTGATGTTCCCCTTCCTGTGTCCATGTGATCTCATTGTTCAATTCCCACCTATGAGTGAGAATATGCGGTGTTTGGTTTTTTGTTCTTGTGCTATTTTACTAAGAATTATGATTTCCAATTTCATCCATGTCCCTACAAAGGACATGAACTCATCATTTTTTATGGCTGCATAGTATTCCATGGTGTATATGTGCCACATTTTCTTAATCCAGTCTATCATTGTTGGACATTTGGGTTGGTTCCAAGTCTTTGCTATTGTGAATAATGCTGCAATAAACATACGTGTGCATGTGTCTTTATAGCAGCATGATTTATAGTCCTTTGGGTATATACCCAGTAATGGGATGGCTGGGTCAAATGGTATTTCTAGTTCTAGATCCCTGAGGAATCGCCACACTGACCTCCACAATGGTTGAACTAGTTTACAGTCCCACCAACAGTGTAAAAGTGTTCCTATTTCTCCACATCCTCTCCAGCACCTGTTGTTTCCTGACTTTTGAATGATTGCCATTCTACCTGGTGTGAGATGGTATCTCATGGTGGTTTTGATTTGCATTTCTCTGATGGCCAGTGATGATGAGCATTTTTTCATGTGTTTTTTGGCTGCATAAATGTCTTCTTTGAAACCAACGAGAACAAAGACACAACATACCAAAATCTCTGGGACGCATTCAAAGCAGTGTGTAGAGGGAAATTTATAGCACTAAATGCCCACAAGAGAAAGCAGGAAAGATCCAAAATTGACACCCTAACATCACAATTAAAAGAACTAGAAAAGCAAGAGCAAACACATTCAAAAGCTAGCAGAAGGCAAGAATTAACTAAAATCAGAGCAGAACTAAAGGAAATAGAGACACAAAAAACCCTTCAAAAAATTAATGAATCCAGGAGCTGGTTTTTTGCAAGGATCAACAAAATTGATAGACCGCTAGCAAGACTAATAAAGAAAAAAAGAGAGAAGAATCAAATAGATGCAATAAAAAATGATAAAGGGGATATCACCACTGATCCCACAGAAATACAAATTACCATCAGAGAATACTACAAACACCTCTACGCAAATAAACTAGAAAATCTAGAAGAAATGGATAAATTCCTTGACACATACACTCTCCCAAGACTAAACCAGGAAGAAGTTGAATCTCTGAATAGACCAATAACAGGATCTGAAATTGTGGCAATAATCAATAGCTTACCAACCAAAAAGAGTCCAGGACCAGATGGATTCACAGCCAAATTCTACCAGAGGTACACGGAGGAACTGGTACCATTCCTTCTGAAACTATTCCAATCAATAGAAAAAGAGGGGATCCTCCCTAACTCATTTTATGAGGCCAGCATCATTCTGATACCAAAGCCAGGCAGAGACACAACCACAAAAGAGAATTTTAGACCAATATCCTTGATGAACATTGATGCAAAAATCCTCAATAAAATACTGGCAAACCGAATCCAGCAGCACATCAAAAAGCTTATCCACCATGATCAAGTGGGCTTCATCCCTGGGATGCAAGGCTGGTTCAATATATGCAAATCAATAAATGTAATCCAGCATATAAACAGAACCAAAGACAAAAACCACATGATTATCTCAATAGATGCAGAAAAGGCCTTTGACAAAATTCAACAACCCTTCATGCTAAAAACTCTCAATAAATTAGGTATTGATGGGACGTATCTCAAAATAATAAGAGCTATCTGTGACAAACCCACAGCCAATATCATACTGAATGGGCAAAAACTGGAAGCATTCCCTTTGAAAACTGGCACAAGACAGGGATGCCCTCTCTCACCACTCCTATTCAACATAGTGTTGGAAGTTCTGGCCAGGGCAATTAGGCAGGAGAAGGAAATAAAGGCTATTCAATTAGGAAAAGAGGAAGTCAAATTGTCCCTGTTTGCAGATGACATGATTGTATATCTTGAATTTTTCACTTTTCAATTTGTGATTTTAAAATAGTGCAGATAGTGTCAAAAAATTATACAACCAGAGGGGCTTTGAGGGAGCCTTCAGGAATTATAATCAGAAACCTGATTATCAATACTATTTTAAGAATAGCTGAAAAGAAGAATCCACAGCCTCCTACAGTTCCCACTCCTGTTTTTAATCATTTTTACTATTTTATGTTATTTGTGAAGCTGAGAGAAAAAGCCATTAGGGACTCTGACTGGATCAGTAAACTGTACAAAGCTTAGCAATTCAAATATTCACCACAAGTTGGGGTCCCATATTAAATACAGGCTTTAAAGGATTTATAAAATAAAATAAATGGTAAATATTTCTTTTATTTTTTCCTAAGAGTCCAGAAATCCAGAAGGATTGTAAGTGAATGAATATGATTATTGACTTTTAAAAGAACATATGACAAGCAAGTAAAAGAAAATTCAAGAATTTCACTAAGAAATAAACAGGATGCAATGCACTGTCAGTCACAATAGACAGACATCCCAGACATGTTTAATTGTTAAACAATAGTAGAAATACTAAGCAATTAATAAAAGTTAAAACATATAAAGTAACCAAAACCAAACACAATTTTAGCACTTACGTTCAAATTATCTAAAAAAGAACAGCCCACAATTATCAGTATCAAACTATAAAAAATATTCTAGTATTTATATATCATTTCTAAAAGCAATCTCAGAGAAACAGGAATAAATTGCTTATTTTTGGTTGCTTTTAACAGCTCTGAAGAGCATCATCTTGATATATATGCTACTAAACAAACTTTTAGACTGACCAAAAAGAATGATGCAAGTCCAAAGACCAAACAATGTGTATTTATTTTGCTAGAATATTACATTTCATTATATTGCCACTAAGAGATTTGTGATCCCATAGTCCATTTCTTTGGGTTGCACTAGTCTCTTTGTTGCTCCAATGCATTATTAATAAATTTTTTTACAAATGCAACCAAGTGATTTCCGTTGTAATATTTACTTTTTTAAAAATTAATGAAACTGAAATTCCTTTCTATGTGTAAAATTTTTGTTAAACTTTTAGAAGACTTTAGTCAGTTGCAGAATTTTTTCTTGTATCTCTTCCTTAAATTTTCTGTTTCTAAAGCAATTCTCCTTCTGTTCATCTTTTACAGATTTTACAATTAACTGGTTTGTGATGTCCTTTTCTTTCTTTCTCCCTCTTTCTCTCTTCTTCCCTCACTTCTCCTCTCTCTTAACTTCTAATTGCCATAGGATAAATCACTTCTCTTGATGCATATAAATTTATCAGTTGCTAAGGTAGCAAATTATTCAAAGCGTAAAACTTGATGCATAGCAATTAACCTTAAAATACTTTGTCATCACACTTTTGATTCCTGGAGAGGAGCACTATTGATAATACCTTTATCCTTGATATGTCAAGTGTTCTAATAATCATAGAGACTAAGTAAATATAGGCTTTTATGTATATCTAATGTTGCTTCTACAAGCCACAATATAGCTTCAATATTGATATTGCCCACATTATGAAAGAAGATTAATATTTGCTACTTTTTTAGAAAAAAAGTTTCCCCCTAAAAATTGAATCTATGGCTCTGTTTGCTGTTTTCATGAGTCAGTTTTGCCTCTAGAAACACTCTTTGAACTTCCATAGTTATATGAAAGCATAAAATGCTATATGCTATTTTTAACTCATGTGTTCTGAATTGTAATTGTATATAATTTTTACTTGAGATATAGTCTTTCTAGAAACCAATTTCTCAGCATCAGCTAGAGCCAAGACTTTTCAGAATTTTAAGGAAAAGCATATTTCATACGTTGAAGTCATAGGTCCCTTAAGACAAGTTCTATTTTGGTATCTACATTTACAATGGCTGAGACTGTCACAATCGTTCACCTTCATCATTAAAAAGCCATATAAACTTCCTTTCTCCTCTAAACTTAGAATGTTAAATGTTGGCCTTGTAAACTAACTTTCTAAGTCCTTTAAGGTTTATGTCCAGGGATGTAGAGGCTAGGTAACCAGTAAGGCAAGGTCAGATCTTAACAATGCAAGAAGCCTCCCAAACTTATCCTTTTTCCAAAATTACTGTGAAAAGCAAACTTTTCATAAGCCCATTATGAGTACTTCTGGAATAATCACTTATGACTTGTATAAAGACTATTAATAGTTTTTAAATGAGGTGGAAATAGGAAATGGCAACAGATCATGCCTATGTGGCTCATCCAGCTAGCCCTCTCTAGATTAGCTTTGGTTCAAACCTAGAGGAGTCCCTCTGTGATGCATGAATCCACAGGATCTGTGCCTGTCTCAAACATGTCTGAATGCTGGTGTCTGAGAAGAGCAAAGATTTCCATTCTTTTGAAAGGAGCTTCCAGTACCTACCATGTTGCTCTGTTGTGAGATACCCTCTAGAGGTGGTGCTGAGGGAAAGCCATTGTGCTTTCAAGTCACTAAAGAACCCGATGTGAGAGACATAAGAAAAACTCACTTAGAGATGCCACAAGCCACTAACTACAGTGGATTCTATTAGCCATTACTATAAAGGGTTGATACTCCTGACTTGGAGCTACTAAAGGAAGTAGTCCCTGAAAGTTAATAAAAAATCATTTAGAAAGCCCTCCAGATGGGACTCATGTCCACTACTAAGAGTGAACAGTAACTGGAGCCATTATCACTGTGAGCCACAACCAGGAAACCATAGATGAGGCAGGAGGAACTTTCCAGCCCCTTCTCATCCCCTTCCCTAAATAAGAGGTGCCAATGTCCCCTTATTTGTTAGGAATTCAGAGGAAAGATGGCAAATATTGTCCTTTCAATATACTCTAAACAGAGAGGAAAAGAATTTTTTCTGCCAATAAATGTGGTATAGTTGGAGACTCAGAAACTCTCAATGTGGGCTTTGCTGGATTAAAGACCTTGAGTTGTAGATTGAGTTTCAGACTTTTTTTAAGAAGTAAAAATAGAGATGGGGTCTCACCATTTTGCCCAGGGTGGTCTCAAACTCCTGGGCTCAAGCAATCTGCCTACTGCAGCCTTCCAAAGTGCTGGGACTAAGGGAGTGAGCCACCGTGCCTGGCAGAGTTTCAGACTTTTGATAATTAAAGTAACATTTATTGATGCTATACTGTGTCATCCATTGTTCTATTTTATATGGACTCAGTCACTTCATCTAACAATTCTATAAAGTATGTGCCATTTATTAACCCATTGTACTGATGAGGAAAAGTCCATAGAAGTTAACTTGCCCAAGGTCACCAATTGTAAATGGTGAACACAGACAGGTAAACTCAAGAGCTATGCTCTTGACCACTGCTTGCACAGTGTGGTAGACAGAAAAAATGGCTTCTCAAAAACATCCTAGGCTGGACACAGTGGCTCATGCCTGTAATCCCAGGACTTTGGGAGGCCGAGGTGGGCAAATCACTTGAGTTTAGGAGTTCAAGACCAGCCTGGGCAATATGGCAAAACCCTGTCTCTACTAAAAATATAAAAATTAGCCAGGTGTGGTAGCACATGCCTGTAGTCACAGCTACGCAGGAGGCTGAGGTGGGAGGATCACCTGAACCCAGGAGGCAAAGGCTGCATTGAGCCATGATCATGCCACTATACTCCAGCCTGGGCGACAGAATGAAACCCTGTCTCAAAAAGAAAAAAAAAAAAACCTAATTATTCAGAACTGTGAATATGTTACATTACATGGCAAACAGGACTTTGCAGATGTGGTGAAGTTAAGGACCTTAAGATGAGAAGATTACCCTGGATTATTCAGATGGGCTCAGTGTAATCACATGGGCCTTAAAAATGGAGAATCTTTCCTAGCTGCAGTCAGAGGGAGATGTTACAGCAGAAAAATGGTCAGAGAGGTTCACCATTGGTAGCTTTGAAGATGGAAGAATGGGATCATGAGCCTAGGAATGTGGACATTTCCTAGAAGCTACATAAGGCAGAGAAATGGATTCTCCCCCTGAAGATTCCAGAAAAGAATGCAGCCGTACCAAAACTTTTATTTTAGCCCAGTGAGACCTATGTTGGACTTCTAACCTACAGAACAGTAAAATAATAAATTTGTGAAGTTTTAAGCCACTAGGTTTATGGAACTTTGTTACAGCAACAGTAGAAAACTAATATATATTGCCTTATTGAAAAAGAGGGTTAATGATTCCCTTCCTATGGGACTTGACAGAAGCAGAGAGAATGCTTCATGGTATGTAAATTAAACTTGAAATTAAAGTTGCTGCTACTTTTATCTCCTGGTTTTATGGGTTATTATATAACAGCAGTTTTATGATAAAGTTT
This sequence comes from Homo sapiens, assembly GCF_000001405.40. Taxonomy (NCBI): domain Eukaryota; kingdom Metazoa; phylum Chordata; class Mammalia; order Primates; family Hominidae; genus Homo; species Homo sapiens. Next base: position 70,103,883 of record NC_000001.11, read on the forward strand.
TATGATAAAGCTATGCAATAATAAGCTATTATAATTCTTCATTTTGACTTACATTAGTACATTACATAGCTAGTTTTAAATGTATTGCATCATAATTTGTCCTTCATTTAGCATTCTGCCAAATGTTATAAGAAACTGAACACATTTAAGATCTTGCTAGCGGAGTTGAAAGATTTGTAAGATGCCATTATTTGTATATTTGATACACACAAGTTGGCTTCTTGTTGTTTGGAAGTTAGGAGATAGCTTTTCACCAAACAGTAGGAAGTTATTGTTTCTAATTTTTAGAATACAAACAGACTGATTATTTCCCACCAAACTCTGTCATCAGTGCCAAAGTATTCTTTAAAATCTCAGGATAAAATGAGTTGTTACAATGAGCTTTTTCAAAGCAGGGTCAACATTTTCACATTTTCACATTTCTCATCAATGTTCATCATAAAAGAGACCACAAAATGGGTTTAGATTTATCTGGTCTCTTTCATATAGCAATGTTTATATGCCTAAATACAATTAAAAATTAGGCCACTGACCTTTGCAGGCAGTCTTGGGAGATATTTCACCTCCACAAATAGTGAATGCCACAGACCATGATCAAACAAAGCAGTCATTGCTTTCTGCTTGGATTAATGTGGCAGTATGCTGGCTGATAGGATATACTTGGAAAAAAGGAAACTATACCAACGGGCAGGACCATTTTTTTAGTTAATGAAGCTTATTGATTGAAAAGACATAATAAAGTGAAATCATAAAACTTTCAGAAAAAAGCAATACATGCTTTGGAAGACTCAGGCCACCATAAGAGTAAGCAAAGCAAGTCTTCAGAACAGAGGTTGAATCCTCCAGAGCTATGTGATGAGTGAAATTAAACCTGCCACAGACACCACATTTGTATTCTTTCAGCAGTCAGGTGTGGAGTGTTGCTAGTTCCTCCCAGCATTGCAGATATGATGACCTTAATTCAGCTTCTATGATCTGGATTCATACAAACATTATTAAAACTGTTCCTGTACAATGAGCTAAAGAAAGGCAATCAAAATTAACTGAGTAGCAGTCATTTTGACTGCTGAGATAAAATAATAGCCAAAAACAACTTCACTTCCAGCAATCAGAGATGTAGTGGCTTATTTTGGGCAAAAGAGTCATTCTGCCTATTGTACAGAGACCCCAGTAGCAAAGGAGGGGCTACCAGGGGAACTGATTGTATATATAGTCTCTTCAAATGATGGAAGATGAGAGCTATTTGCCCAGTGTGGAAAGAACCATGGGGATTATATTTGTTGTCACAACTAGTGCCATTCACTGGCCTGGTTGATTAATCATTGAGCCTTATTTAACTGTCTTTTTTCAAACAACTAGTTTTCTTTTTCTTTTGAATTGACCATTTTTACAGCTGAATTGGCCAACGCTGTTAAAGCATCACTCCTGAGTGCCACCATTAACCCAAATTTTTTAAGTTTGTTTTATTTTCTTAATCTTATAAGTAGTGCATAATCATTGTAGAAAAATAAGAAAACACAAATAAGGAAAAATAAAAAAAAATCTGATGTCCCATTACTGTGTATTACCACTGTTAATGTTTAGAAGATATCCTTGCAGATATTTGTCCACACAAATATATATATAAACACATTTCAGCAAAAATAGCATCCTACCACACACATTGTTTTATAACCTGCTTGTTTCACTAAACATTTGTGTACTTCTACATCAGCCATTTAGGACTTCACTTTTAATGACCACATATCATTCTACTGTATGGATTTACTATAATTTCTTTAATCAATGCCCTGTTATTAGACTGTTAAGTATAGTTTGTAATTTTTGTTATTATAAATAATACTATGATGAACATATTAGCACATGTATATTGCATATTTGTCCAGTTATATCCTTAAGTCCTAGAAGTCTAATTACTTGGTTAAAAGTTATACAGTTTTCTAGAAATTTTGATGCCTATCTGTAGTGTCATCTCTAAATAAGAAGGAAAACAGATTAAAATATGAAAGATAAAAATCATTCAAAAGTCTTAATAGGTTTCATAAACTTCTGAAAAGCCAAGTGAAAACACAAGTAGAAGTATTTTAGTTTGGGTCTGTTACCACTTACACATACACACACATATACACACACACACAAAGTTATGAGCTTAAGTGAGTCATTATGTTTACAGATCAGCAAATAACATGCTTTTCTAAATAACAAGCAAGAATATCAAAATATTGTCTTCTATTTTATTAATAATGCTTAGGAATAAAAAACTATTAACAGTTATATTGAAATATAGTTGATATTCTACAATTTAAAGTGTACAATTAAGTGATTTTTATGTGTTCAGAGTTGTGCAACCATCATGATTATCTAATTTCAGAACATTTTTACTATATACAAAAAGAAACTCCGTACATGTTAACAGTTACTCCCCAGCTACTGGCAAATGCTAATCTGCTCTCTGTTTCTGTGCATTTGCCTATTCTTGATATTTCACATAAATGGAATTGTATAATATTTGGCCTTTTGTGACTTGTTTCTTTCACTGGGCATAGTGTTTTCATAACGTTTTCTTCTATGTTGTAGCATGTTTCCATACTTTATTCCATTCTATTGCCAAATAATATTTCATTATATAGATATATACCACATTTTGTTTATCCATTCATCAGTTTATTCTTGGAATGTCAATTAAAATCTTATCACAATCATGTTTAAAATCTTTCAGTAGCACCTGAAATTAGTAAGAAGGTTTATGAAAGGCCATCTTAATCTTGCCCTAACCTACTTTTTGGCCTGATCCTCTGCTGCGCTCCCAATCCCATCCACTACCACCCTTCCATCAGCACTCCAGCCATAGCAGAACCACTTGAAATTTCCCAGATATAACAGGCACACTCACTTATGTGCTGTCCCCTCTCTCTGCAATTTCCTTCTTCCCCTTACCTGTGTGGATGACTTTTGTGTGTTCTTTGTTATTCAGCTATCAGGTATCTTCTCCTCTTGGAAGAACCTAACACACAAATATAAGCTGGGTGCAACATATTTTTACAATCTGTTATACCTCTATCATAACACTTGTCACAATGTTTATAATTATTGGTTTTCTTGACTTCTCCTCCACTAGATTGTGAGCTCATTAAAGTCAGAAACTATATTCTGTCTATCTCTATATCATGAGCCATCCAGGCCTAGCATGTGATAGACATTCAATATATGTTTTCTTTCTATACATGGTCAATGAAATTAATTTGACTTTCTTATAAACTGCATTAATCAATTTAGGGATTTTATAACCACATAGTCATAAACTTTATTTAAAATGCATGTTCCAGTTTGCTTATGTTTAATTTGTTCATATACATTTTATATTAAAATTCTCAGTAACATATGAAACAATATGCATTAAAATAAACCAGTCGTATATATAATTCTAGTAAAGCTTTTAAAGTATACAATGAACTTATAACCTATCAAATAGAGATACTTTTTCAAATACCTTCAACTGCCTTTAATGGAGACATAGTTAAGTAGAATAACTGAAGACAAATTCAGAATTTATACAAAAAATGATTCAGCATCACATTTCAAATGATTTAAGGAAAAAATCATTAAGAATATGCCATGAGATCAATTTATAAATCATAATTGCACTTTCAAAACAAGATAAGCTTCTTTTTGCAAGCAAAAATGTTGCTTCTCTTAAACTTGACTTGGAGAGTGCTGCCTTGCTTAAAATACTATAATATTCTTTGAAGCCTACATGCATAAACTGTTTCTGGATCTGTTTTCACTGTTTTCTATGTGAATGAAGATTTGTTTAAGTAGGCCTGGTTCTTGGTAATAGAATCCTAACCTCTGTTACTTCTGACTTATAGGGTATCTTTGTTACTAGGGTTCAGCCTGATGGGCCAGCATCAAACCTACTGCAGCCTGGTGATAAGATCCTTCAGGTAAGACAGATAAAAGAAATGCATGCAAATGCCATACTGAGACAAATATGTAACCATGTTACCAAGTTAAATGATTTGAATTAAATGATTGAAAATAAGTCCTTCTCACATTGCTTATTTGCCTTTATTATTTTGGGGCTGAAAGTCAAGTCAAAAACAATTCAGTCTGACAAATCTTATATCCCTAGCACCTTACACAGTACTTGGCACATGACAGATGTTTTGCATATTTTTGTTGAATTGAATGGAATTACTTGATAATATAAGAAATATATATATTATATATATATATTAATCTATGCATAGTTATCAAGTAAGAGTAAGTTCCCAAACACAGTATGTGTGTGACTTTCATGAGGGAGAAGGAACTGGTCCATATTTAATTTCTCAACCACAGGCTTATTACTGTTTGAATGCTATGAAATATATAATACATCATTCTACTCCCCCTGCTTAGATAAACAAAAGTTTAGCTCTATATAAGGTGACTTTTAAAAATGCATTGTGTGATGGAAGATGACTTTCACTAACTTAAAGCTCTGCATATCAGAAAAGGTTCACCCCAATAAACAATTAAGCAAATACTTTACATAAACTCATTTATTTGACTTTTTTTGTCCTTCTCTCTGAATTCACTGTCTTTAATTTTTTGCTTTGTTTCTTATCAGTGATTTGAAGCTCATTAATTCACTTCCTATATAAGAGGTGCATAATCATTTTCTACATTCCAAGGAAAAGCTCTTAAGCATTATCGATGTATTTAAGCTTCAGTATTTTGACTTAGAACCCCAGAAATTTCCCGTTATATAAATAGGTGGAACTACTTGATACTGCTGATATTTGACCATCTGCAACAGTTATGAAATGGCTCAACATAATATACTGAACATTTAGATTCACTGAGAAGACAAGACATGTGAAAAGAACCTTAGATCAGCTATACAAACACAGTTGACATGTGAAAAAGGAACCTTAGATCAACTATACAAACACAGTTTAAAAATGCAAGGATCCCCTCAAGTCAGCTCCAAGGAGATCTTCTATCTCCAATGTACTGCGTTCTCTCAGAAAGTCCTAGAAAAGTAGAAATCCTAAGATTGCTTTAACATTTCATTCTCAGAAATGTTTTTTGGTTTTTTTGTTGTTGTTGTTTGGTGGTGGTGTTTTGTTCTGTTGTTGTTGTTGTTTTGTTTTTGTTTTTGTTTTTGTTTTGAGACAGCCTTTCACTCTTATTGCCCAGGCTGGAGTGCAATGGCACGATCTCGGCTCACCACAACCTCCACCTCCCGGGTTCAAGCAATTCTCCTGCCTCAGCCTCCCAAGTAGCTGGGATTACAGGAATGCGCCACCACACTCAGCTAATTTTTGTATTTTTAGTAGAGACAGGGTTTCTCCATGCTGGTCAGGCTGATCTCGAACTCCCAACCTCAGGTGGTCTGCCCGCCTTGGCCTCCCAAAGTGCTGGGATTACAGACATGAGCCACTGCGCCCGGCCTCTCCGAAATATTTTAAACTAATTAGCAAGATCACAATCAGCTACTCAAGTTTTCAAAAATGATAGTTCTCTGAAAAGTGTTTAAGCTACTTCAGCCTGTGCCAATGTCACAATAGAAACACCACCCAGCAGGCCTGAGTTCATTCTATGCAGGCAGAAGATGTAAATAGCAGTTGGTCTTTTGAGCTAGAGCTGAGAAACAATAAAAACCACACATATAATAATCTAAAATTTTCCTTTACCACTTTATTATGGAAGTTCTATATTTTTGGATAGCCTAACTAGTCCTTTGATCTTAGATATTTTAAATAATGTCTATGGGCCTCAAATTCATTATGTGTAAAATGAACTGCTGTTTATATTATATCTGAAATCCCTCCTAGCTCAAAAATTCAACTCTTTGAAAATTGTATGAATTGTAGTGAAAAACAGCTGAGAATAAACTAACAACATAACTCTCTAACATTTGGTAAATGCTGCTCATTAGCAAAGGAAATGGCTAATTTTTTTCTCCACTGAATTTCAAAGAAATTATTTTAAATCCTAGAGTCTGGAAAAAAATATAGCCAATTAATCTCAGATCTCTTACCTACTAGAATGTGAAGCTGGGTAGAGAAGTATGCTATAGCTTGACACAACGTTGCAGAGTTCCTTCCTCCATGACAGAAGCAAAATAAAGATTTTTCCCTTTTGCTAGAATTCAGAAATGTATATGTAAGTATTATAACAAAATTATACACAGTATATCTTGCAGATGGAAACATAGGTTAGTGTCAGGCCAGACATGATGGCTCACACCTGTAACCCCACCACTTTGAGAGGCAGAGGCAGGAGGATGGCTTGAAGCCAGAAGTTTAAGGCCAGCCTTGGCAGCACAGTGAGACTTGGTCTCTACAGAAAATTTAAAAATTAACCAGGTGCAGTGGTGAGCACCTGTAATCCCAGCTACTAGGGAGGCTGAGGTGGGAGAAGTGCTTGAGCCCAGGAGTTGGAGGCTGTAGTGAGCTGTGATTATGCCACTGCACTCCAGGCTTAGTGACAGAGCGAGAATCTGTCTTAAAAAAATAAAAAATAAAAATAAAGACATTAGTGTCTACTTGCAAGGTATTAGAATGCTCTTTTCTGGCTATGAAATTCTAGAATTATATGTGGGGACGTGAGGGTTATGAGGGTTCAGTATTTCTAATCCTGGAGAGGTAAAAACAACAGCAAAGTGCAAGGAAATGGATTCCTCATGCAAGAAGTAGGAAGAAATTTTCAGCCAAGAATACTGCAGAAAAGCTGCACCCAAGATGTCTCTTCTCTCCACAAATGACTATCAAGGATGTGACATTTTATTTTTGCCATAGAACTCACTTGTACCTAGTCCAATAAAATCAAAGCCCATTTTCAATAAAGGAAAAAGTACATGGACTTTAATCAAATAAATTATGTATTTACAGTTTCAGTCATACTAATTAAAAAGCATACATGGCCAATTATACTTTCTGAAAGAAACGAGAATGGCTAATTCTAAAATGAAATTGTTTGCAATATCAGATGCTAAGAAGGCAAGCTATATATTTATCTATATATAATACTATTGTCTCTTAGTTTAAAGAATGCTGGGAAAAAATGGGTTAATAACATTGAGTTATCTATCACTTAAAAGATCAGAATCTTGTGTTTTCAATGGAGCGAATTTATTTACAAAGCTTAATGGCAATGTTCAACCTGGAGAATTGAAGTAAAAGAAGAGAAAAAAGAAAAGAATGGCCCTCCCTAAGTGACAATACTTTTGGGGTTTAATCTAACCCAATAGCAAATAGCAAAAGATATATGAGAGAGCACAAGAGATATGTCTTTCCTAATCCCTCTTCCCAAACCCAGAATTTATTAGATCTCTTTCTTTCTCTATAATTCTTTATACCATCCACTCTTTTCTTCTTCAGCTATGATATTATGAGCATGTTATTTGAATTACATGAAGATGTGTGCAATAAGGGATGATGTTAATTAAAACACATTCACATCATTTTTCTGTTGTACTATTCATTTTCCCGGAATAGACACATTATAATTACTCTAAGACAGTGTGGCATATGGAAAGAGCAACTGACCCTTCATAGACTCACCTTCTGTTAAGTTCAATTATATAACAGTAAGAGAAAAAACTGAAAGCACATGGAATATAAAAATATGCTAGAATAAGCCATGTGAATTTGCCAATATTTGAAATGACAGTTTTGTTAATTTATCGTCATAGTTTCTTTTTTCTAATGTTCTTTCCAGCTAAAAAATTCAGTCTAATTCATTATACATTTTATGATTCAAAATATATATGAATACAGAAAATCTAGTAATTATAGTTATTCTGTTGAAAAGATGAATAGACTGGAAAAAAATACATACTGTACCTGATAGTTAACAACAGATTCACAGTTGTAACCTAAAACTCACTCGCAAGTATGTCCTGTTCAATCAGGGAAGCCAAACCCTCTCCTCTTCATTTACCCACCCCCATCTCCATACATAAGCCTAATTTTGGCAAGAAAGAGAAATTATATAATTTATAGAGATTTAGTTGATGACATCTAGATTTTGCCAATAACCAAAACAGATTTTTCTAATATGAGATATATAAATAAGGTACTTAATTGAAGATAATTTTATAGTCTCTTTTACCTTGTCATCATTTTAAGGGTTTTGGAATTTGCAATCCAAACATACTCTTTGTCTATGGCTGTATTTCAAGATGCTAAAAGGGAATAATCAATGAGATAATAATTCAAACAAGCTAGATATTTTTCTTTTTTTCTTGTCTTAGAAAGAACCTTGGCCCAACAATTCATATAGACAGTTCAAGAAACTACTGTCAACAATAAGTCTATCAACAAATACTTGGGCTATTAGCAGAGTCATTATTATTGCACTTTTTTTACTTTTTTAAAGTTAGTTTTTGGTAAGTTGTTCAGCTCAGAGCATCTTCTCTTGGCCAAAATCATGGGGTTTGATGCCCATTAGACCTATTATCATTGCTCTGTTCTATAATCACTGACAATTCCACTCCACATCCTGATTAGTGTCTTATAAGGGAATATCATTAGAAGCCCCTTAATAGGTAGGAGGGAAGTCATGTGTCCTAAGGGAGCTAATAGCTAGGGAGACAAGGTGAATGTATGCACTCATTAGGAAACTAATAAAGTACTTGATTTTGTGATGTATCTAATAAATGTTGTAGCTGTGTTAAGGGAATGGAGTGATTAATATAAAAGTGTGTATCCTGGGATGCAGAGAGGATGGCCACTCACAAACAAAAGTACAAGATGTAAGACCCTCCTCTTCTTACCTCCTCCAGTGAATCACTGAGGGAGAGGGAGAGGAGACCTGTGTGGCAGGGTGCACTGGGGATCATGGAGATCTCTGGTTGTGGAGGGAGGTGAAAGAAGGGAGTTTATTCCTGGTGGAGCAGAAGTTCCTCCAGGCTTAACAGAAAGAAAAGGAGGAGGAGGAGGAGGAATATCTGTGGGCTAGACTGGCATGAGTTTTCAGGAGCAGGGGTAAGAGGTTTATGCTAGAAAGGGTGAATATGGAGTATAAAGGAGAGAATATTGGAGAGGAAGACCCCAGACTCGTGTGTTAGAGTCATGAAGAAAGGAAACCCTGGGATTTTAATAAGTTTTTCATGGACTGGGAGAATTTCAAACATGGAGATGAGTTGGAGCGAGGCTCAGGATGGCGATAGGGGGAGACAGCGAGCAAGATATGGCATTCAAGGCTCAGAATGGGAGAGGTAAGTTCAGACTCCACAAAGAGAAGTCTAAATGAAATGTCTGTCTATGGCTGGATCTGTTGTACACAGATATATATACAAACACTGAATCACGCTTCCTTGTCTGAATGGAAATTTGATGGCTCTCTTAATGACCAGTAGGTGTGATCAGCTTGCTGAGAGAATTTTCTTGCTTAGGTAAAGCTCACTTATTCAACAGCCTCAGCTATAAGAAAAAAAACATAAGCTAGAAAACAAACAAAGTGCTTCTGAGGATCCATAATTAATGTCACAAAGCCCATGCACTAAATCTCATTCCTTTTACTCATAAGAGAGAATTTATATCATACCTGGGAGTCTTTTATCTAGTTGTCCAGACCACCAAGGTGAAAGCCTTTGGCTCCAGACTCATTGCCAGAAGCAAGAAGTCATAGCCAACAGCTTCACTCTGCAGTAAGAGAGAAACTTCTTTTAAAAGCGAGAAACAGAAGAGAACAACTTCTTTTGAAAGCCAGAAACAAGATTTTAAAAGCACATTGTACTTTTAAAGTAAAAGCAGATTGTACTTCTAAAATCTTGTTTCTGGCTTTTAAAAGAAAGTTTTGTACTTTCAGTATAGAACAGTTTTCTCAATGACATTTTTTGACATATCTTCAAAAAAAAAAAAGAGTTCATGGTCAACTAAGTTTTGAAATCACTTCATACTCTATCCCTTGTTTCAGGACTTTACACTGTACTAAACAGGCTAAGAACTCTGAGAATTCTTACAGATATATTTTTCAACATATTTAACCATACAGTCCTCTTTACCAAAGCATCAATTAACCACTTCCACACAACACATTTTGGGAAATGTTTGTTACAGAAACAAACTAACTGGGCCATGTATGTGCCTAAGAGAGTGTTGATGTTCACAGTTATTACCGTAAATCATTAAGAAATGGTTAATGTTCATTTTCTGAATTTTAAAAAATTCTTTAAAAAAAATCTTCCAAAAAAAAACCTGAAGAGTGAGAAATTGTTTATGGTTAAAATGAAGTGTTGGACCCTTAAAAAATAAAATATTTAAAAATTGTACTAAAGCATTTCCCAACAAGGCCAAGTAAGTTCCACATTTCTATAGTTTATCTTATTTGTGGTTAAAAATCAAAAGCACCAGAGACACTGAGGGTGGGGGACTATGGAGGAATAATCACATAACTTTTAATGTTTAGGTAAATAATTGCTTATAATGATATAATACATTGAAGAGTAAGATTTTAATACAATTGGATTAGAAGGGAACTAGAAATAGGTTAAAAACTATGTTGATCAGGCACAGTGGCTCACACCTGTAATCCCAGTGCTTTGGGAGGCAGAGGCAGGAGGATTGCTTGAGGCAGAGGCAGGAGGATTGCTTGAGGCCAGGAGTTCAAGACCAGCCTAGGCAACATAGCAGACCCCGTCTCTACGAAAAAAATTAAAAATTAGCCAGGCGTGATGGCACACATGTGTAATTCCAGCTACTCAAGAGGCTGAGGTAGGAGGATCCTTCAAGCCCAGGAGGTTGAGGCTGCAGTGAGCTATGATAGAGCCATTGCACTCCAGCCTGGGTTACAGAATGAGAACCCATCGTTAAACTGTCTTTTAAAGTGTGGTTTTATATGCCAGATTTTGACTGCATATTTTTATACATTTAGTTTTGTTCATAATATACAAAGTTCTTGCACAGAAAACCAATAAAAATGTTGAGGAAATGCTTTTTGAAAATCAAAAAATATTTTGAGTTATTTAGTAAAACATGAAAACCAATAAAACAAATTAAGTTTTTTAAGGTGACTCTATCCTTCATAGTTTAGTTAATAGAAAAGTAACATCCATTAAGTGTCTTTATTGTGTCATTTAAATCATACAACCCTGCAAGATATCTATTACTGACAGATGTTCGATAACTTATTTGAGTTCTTCCATTGTCAACAAAATAACAAGCAGAGAGAGACTCTTTAAAAGAAAATGGTGTTTATTTGGGAATAGAGCATTGAAATGGGAATACATATGCCATAGTAAACTGTGTATGTATTCAGGAAGGTAAAGAAAGACAACGGTTTTTAAAGGAAAAAATAAGGATTATGTAACTACTTTTAAATAATTATCCTTGACTACAAAGATCAATAGCAAGGATGATGCCAGTCCAAGACTGGACAACCAATTGCTGGGCAGATGTCCCTGCAGAAGCATTTTTTGTGTAAGGTTGCAATGGTTTTTGTGTAAGGTTGTGTTTTTGCAGTCTTTTGTGATAGTTTTTGTTATCGTTTTGTATATCTCATACTTGGGTATACAAGTATGAGAACCCTCTCTTCATGGCCTTCCCCGCTCTATTTGCCAGGTTTTTTGTTTTGTTTTGTTTTGTTTAACACTAGTCACTCTATTTGATTCTGACAACTTTCACACCATTACGCAATACTGATTTCTCTGGAGCAAATTTTGCTGATAGTGTCATATTTATTACATTTTCTAATTTATTTATTTACCTGGAAAATGTGCATCAAATGCCCACTGTGTACAAAGTATTGTGCCAAGCAATGTAAACAATGTTATATGAATGTAACCAAGTTCCTGCCTTCCACAACCTAGTCCTGGAAATAGACATACCCAAATTATACAGAGCAGGAACAAAGCAGGAAGAGAGATAAAAAGAGCTGAATATAAAACATTTGATAAAATGAACCTGTCATTTAAGAGCCTGATAAAATGTCATTTAAGAGCCTGATAAAACATTTGATAAAATGAACCTGTCATTTTTATCAAATGAGCCTGTCATTTAAGAGCAAGCTCTTCATCAAAATGGAGACCAGCCTGGCTACAAAGAGCCCCCTGAAAATTAGGGGTTGATTTTGCAGTTATTCTTTTTGTGAAAAGTAAAAGGAATGTGGCTTGTTGGGAAATTGGCTTGCAAATCAAGGTAGGAAATTTATTTGTTGAAGATGATCATTTGATATGTTTGATAAAAAGAAAACAAGCATTCAAAAATCAGAGCAGATAAATAAATTTATTCAGATTTACTATTTATTATCAGTTCCACACCTGAGTTTCTATTCAAATAATTCAGTCTTCAGTTGAGTATATTCTATCTTGCCATATCTTTTATGAGCCTTAATTCATGAGAAATTCAAGCTGCAGTACATGTGTGTACTTAACACAGAAGAGAAATTCTTGCTGGGCGCGGTGGCTCACGCCTGTAATCCCAGCACTTTGGGAGGCCGAGGCAGGCGCATCACGAGGTCAGGAGATGGAGACCATCCTGGTTAACACGGTGAAACCCCATCTCTACTAAAAATACAGAAAATTAGCCAGGCGTGGTGGCAGGCGCCTGTAGTCCCAGCTACTCGGGAGGCTGAGGCGGGAGAATGGCGTGAGCCCGGGAGGCAGAGCTTGCAGTGAGCCAAGATCGCGCCACTGCACTCTAGCCTGGGCGACAGAGCAAGACTCCATGTCAAAAAAAAAAAAAAAAAAACACAGAAATTCTTATTTATGTTTTGTTCTGCAAAGGTTTTTTTTAAATACTAGAATAAAACTCATTAAAACTTCAAACTTTCTCACATTTACAAAAGCAATGTAAATTTTTCATATGAACTCTCTAAGAACTGAACGTCTATAATTCAGGTTTTTGATAGAAAGGAAAGTTTTTTAAATAGCTTGGCATAGAGTCAATATAGTATTGATTATGGAGTATACTCAGCCCTAAATATATCCCAATACTTAATGAGAGTACTCTTATCAGATTAAAATTTGAAATGAGAATTAATTCTAGTTAGTTAATGTGAAGCACAATGAGGATTATCTGAGATTCCTGCTCTTTCTCATAATACCTGGCAATCATCATTGAACACCATGAAGGCTTGCTCTTAAGGCACTAATTTGGTCACTGCATTATTTCATTTTCCCTCATCCTAAGAGCTGTAGGCATTCAAAGTGCAAGATATCAATGTACTAATATTTCTCTAACATACAAAATTTATGTGTACTGGTCCTTTAAAAAGGATTATCCTTTGGGTGGTGAATTTAAATCAACCAGAAATCACATGCCCATATCTCTAAGCTGATTTCTTTTTTTGGAGTTTAAAATGAACTGTGCTGTCCTCCCTGTTGGATAATCCCACCAACCCTGTGGCCAGGCCTTCTCTGAGCTATTTTTAAGCTTAGAGCTTTGGATAATAAGAATGCAACAGAATTTCTAGGAAAATTACAACATCATCTGGACTGTTTCTGCAATATAAACATCTATAATTTATCCATTTAACAAAACATTTACCAGAAGGTAATCAAACATAAATCCAGGAGAGAACAAGAGAGGAAATTCAGAAACCAAGTGTGTTTTATGATAGATTGATGAGCTGTAATTGCAAAGCTCTACTTTTTGTTGGAATTGCAAATACTATTTTCATTAACCTTCAGTCTTTTCATGTCTAAATCATGAAAAGAGACAATTAAAAAACATTTTGTGGCACAGAAGATATCAAATAAAAAATTAAATAAAGGAGAGAGAGCTTCTGGAAATAATGTAATGATTATAGTAAAATGTTCCTTCATACTTTCAAATCAGCTAAAGCTAGAAACCCATTAATTACATATTTTTTAAGGATTAAATTTTCAGAATATCTTTTCCCTTTTTAGATTGTTTTCTTGGTAACTTCATTTCAACTTAAGCCATTTATTTCTCATTTTTCATTAGGTTGCAATTTCCTCAAAATTGTACACATTTTATTCAAATCTATGATAGTGTGTTTATATAAAACATATAGGTAGCCAAATGCAGCAATAAAATTTAAATTTTTTATTAATTTAACATTTGTTCTTCAAATCGTCTTTTGCATAGTATGCATGTATTTACTAATATAATAGACATGCACGTAAATCATATGCATTTATTTTTTCAAAGCATCATTGGGTTTATACCCTGCAATGAACATTGCACAGTACCACCATTTATTTCCTCAGCCTCTTCTTCTATGCACACACACACACACACACACACACACACGCACACGAACAAAAATGCAAAACTCCATTAGTTGGAATATTGTGATTCTTCTGGTCTTTATTTTAACTGGAGAAGCCCTACACGAATATAGTAACATAGTTGTTTGATTCCCCGTCTGAACTATCCAAGATGTAAGCCTGATAACCACATTCATTTTAACAAATACAATGTCAATTCATTTTGCTCTTCTGTCCTAAGAAAGAGTAAGTTTCTTTGGAACTGAGATTTATTCTATTATCTCCTTCCACTCAAAAAAAAAAAATGGAGATTCAGCATTTCTGTAGATTTTTAACTTAGGACTAAATGTTATTTCTACCAATATTTTTAGAATAAGTTAAATTAAATGTGATAGAAATCTGAATGGGAATCATAGTTTGGCAACCACTGTAAAGAGCAGAATTATCTTTGGAGGTGATACAGCAACAATTTTTTAAGGGAAAAATGTTCATTATTTTATCATGTCCAGTGAAATGTCAGCTCAAATTACTTGACATGATTGTGGTCTTATTATTTCAATGAAGTAATGAAAGAAACAAGAAGAAGGAATATTATGTTATCAGGTGATTCAGCCTTAGCCCTTTCCCTGGTTGTATGACCTCAGACAAGTTGTTTGGTCTCCTTAAAATGAAGGTCTTTCATTTATAAAATGACAGGATTAGACTAAACCAACAGGTTTCACACTGGGCTTTCATGAACAATGGGGGGTGGGAAGGTATTGGCAAGTAAGCTGGTTCACTGGATTCAATCTTTCTTCCACCTCTCTCCCTTTCTTTGTCTCTCTCTAAAAAGATCTGTCTAAATGTTCTACATATTGGGCTCTCTTCCTTTTGAAGAAGAGGTTTTTTGAACTAACACCTTGTTTAAAAAAAAATAGCCCCTCTATGTAAGTTTATTTTTATGGTTGCTTCCCATGCTAAAGCCTATGGTCTAAAGTCGCATGTTTTGGATTTGGTGCTTTTTTTTTTGTTTCTTAGAAAAATGATTCCACACATGAACCATTTTTGAACGCTTTATTCTGCACATACTGTTACAGAATTTACCTGAAAAAAAAACAACTGTTAACATACTGAGGGCTCGAGGAGACTCTAGGAATGAGACAAGACAAGGACTGTGGTCCTTTGGGAATCACACTTGTTCTATGCCTCAGTGAAACAGCAAAGAGAAGATGTCCCTCTCTTCTTTGCCCTCCTCTGAACTACTCCAGCACTTTATTTCCGTCTTCAGATATTAATTCAATTCAGCATATATGTACTGAGGGCTCATTCTACATGCGGCATTTTATGTTATTTTTAGTTACGTGCATGACTTATTTCCCCTTCTGAATGGCTACTTTTTGATTGGAGCCTTCCTGTTTCATCTCTTTCTTACTACCCATCCCCAGTGCCTAGCACAATGCCTATGGAAGTGAGTACAAAACAGACATTCTTTAAAAAAAAAAAATGCTTAAGTAATCACATTGAGAGCCGACTAACCTTCTTTGAAGATCTTTCATGATAAAAGTACCACTCAAAATTAACAGCTATGATTAATTTGCTAAGTTTTATACCAATTTCGCCCTTAACACTGATATTTTTAACATTGATACGATGTCAAGTATGATGATGAACAACATACCATTCATGGCCTCCAAATCCTAGAAAATTTTTTATTTCTTTAACTGTGAGATATTTAAATTTTGAACAATTCCCTGAAAATTCTCAGTGGATTTTTAATTCATTGCAATTCTAGGTTTGAGTCTGCAGATAGAGAAATCTGAGCACTCACAAAGTCACTATTATGGTTTGACAATCAAGAACTCCATTATTAAAGTTCAATTTTAATTTCACAATTAAGTTACAACTTTTGGTCAAATTGAAGGCATTAAGGTATTTTGGTCAAATTGAAGGCATTAAGGTAGTCAGTACATCCCTCAAAGCTACAGTGGAATAAATAATTATTTCATGCAAGTTTGCTATGTTCCTGATGTCTGAAACAGGTTAAGAGTAGAAAAAAGAATGGCCCATATGCTGTATTCTTTACTCTTCATCACCAACTGATCAGAAATAACATCAAATGTAACCTCATTGTCTGATTTTTAGTATAACGCAGAGCAAGAAATCTGAGCTGTGTAACACACCCAAACTTCTACTCAACTACTGTTTCCTGACACTGAAACAGCCAATGCCAACTTCTGTGGGCATTTTCATTTATTAAATGTTGTTAAGGAATGTATTTAAGATTTCTTTAATTCAAAGCAAATTTTTACTTCTAATTACATGAATTTCCAAGAATTTATATTCTGTCATCTAGTATTTTTTTACTGGCAGATTTACTATGGTTTACAAGTGTAATATTTTGGAATCTTCTTTACTACATCATTAGTCAATCAATTTTAATGAACTAGTGATGAGATATAATGTATCATATAACTTTCATCTAAGTTTTAAAGGCTGTATGGCATTTCTAGAGATATAATGCTGCTTTAAATTTGAAAAAGCTAAAGTCACTGAAAGAGTCTAATTATTAAGTGATTGGTTATCTGAAATATTAATCATATTTTAAGAAAGCATAAAAATAGTAAGTAAAATAAAAAAGGCAATGTGTAACCAAAATAAGTATCAGTCCATTGAAAATTGAAGAAGTCAACCAGTGAACTGGCTCTGTTACCTCTATTCAGCCAAGCTGTCAACTTGACTGCCTCTTTTCTTAATCAACTGAGTCTCAAACCGCAAAGAAAGCAATTACATAACCATCAGTCATTCAGTTGCCAAGATTTATTTCTATCAAGTTTCAATAAGGTTGTATTTAGTTTTGCCTTTACGGCAGTGAAGGCTTATGGGATACACTTCTTTCTGTATTAATAATAAAAATCATTCCAATCAAGACAATCTGCAACTTAATGTAGAGAAAATCAGAGACCCATAGCACTCAATACAGAGAACAATGTACATTTTGTGACATAAATATCACATAATAGACAGATGGAACTCTGAAACTGTAACCTTAGGCTATGTTTAAACTGAATATCAATTGCTTATATCAATGATTCTTAAACAGAAGACAGCAGACATGTCCTCTGTTACTAATGTCAGTGTGTTTTATCCCCAAGGGACGCATTCCTTAAGTATACTGGATTGATTGAGAACCACTCCTATAGATAATAAGTATACTTGCATTTAGCAATAAGGGAAATAAAAAATATTTCTCTAATGTAAAAGTGTATAAACCAAGAACTTTCCAGTGAGTCAAAATAAGATTTAAATGTACTATAAGTGTCCAGTCATGTTTGGCATGATTGAAATATTTGGTCATGCTGATTAGTTTATATTAGTGTTTATATAACACTAAGGTAATGGCCATATGCCCCTTTCCAAACCACCCTAATCAGCCCCTGCAAAAACAAATCAGGACAACAACAATGGAACTGAACTACTATGTCACCAGTACATCTATCTGTTATTGACCAGGGTATCTTGATGATTAGCACAGTGGCAAAGACATAATCGGTACTTAATAAATATTTGTTGAATTGATAAATTTGGTTGAATCTGGATAAAATTAGTTACTTCCATAATTGCGATTCCATTGTGAATTATAAAAACTGACAACTTTTTGTTGCTCAGTGCTCCCGTGAATTTTATGAATAGAAACAACGATACAGTGATAATAGTTTACATTGATTGCCCTGTTTTATTTGTGTATTTACAGGCAAATGGACACAGTTTTGTACATATGGAACATGAAAAAGCTGTATTACTACTGAAGAGTTTCCAGAACACAGTAGACCTAGTTATTCAACGTGAGCTTACTGTCTAAATATTTTTTATAAATAGTGAAGATACGTCTAGCCAGACCTAATGTTCAAAAATAAATTTATACATAGAAACAAATTTTGCCAATTGCTGGACCAATGGCAAACATTAGTGCCAAATGTATAATACTATATGTTAGCACTGACCATCCTTAAAAAATGTTAACTCTATAAATATGATGTTCATGTGGTTATGTATTAGTTTTAATTGTCAGCCTCTGGCTGTGCATTGGTGCAGTTTTGTTTCTGTTTTTGTTTTTGTTTTTAATCAAATAAGTTTCTTCTCAAAATGGATTTCATATAATTTCGGAGCACGGAAGCACACACAAGCTCTTTATGAATTCTGCTCTCCATCAGAAACACTGCCTCAAAGTTGTATATGCCTTTATATAGAAAATACAAATATAAAGAATTGTAATTCCCATAAAATATTTCTAGCACAAGGTATATGTTGGCATATATACAAAAAGAATATAGAGAAAAACAATATTTTCATAAACTAAACATCTCAGATAGAGAAAAAATATATCTTAAAATAAGACTTTACTATATTGAATCTTTTTCAATAAAAATTACATGATAATGCCTTATGAAAGTAACTGTACATATGGTATAAAGTGTTTATATTTGGTTCCATATTCATTTGCTAAATTCTCATGACACAGAGTGAAATATTTCATAAATTAGCCATTTATCTCTGGGACCCAAATAAAAATAGGATGAACTAATTTGTTCAATGCCTTTAGCTAATTACAATACATGCAGAGTTTAGAAACAGACTAAAGGTCATTGTAGTTAAGTCTTTTTCACCACAAATTTAAGCAGTGGATGATGGGTGGCAGGAAAGGTATTGCTTTATTTCTTTCAAGTTCATGTTGATTATAAACTGTAGCCCCTGTGATTTCTTTACTTGTAAATGTGGAATTTATTTGTGTGTTGCTTAATCTAATTTGCTGCTTTTTAAATTATTTAAAACGAATTTTGGAAATTGATAAAATTTATCATTACGAAAGACTGCTGTTAGAAAGTTATGGTAGGTGATTTTAAATCCTTGGTATTTAAATATGAAACTTCAAATATAATTTCTCAGAGCTGTGGTCTACCTGTATCATTAATTTCAATGGCTGTTTTTCTGGGCAGAAATAGATAAAATACTTTTTTTCCAAAAACAGTTTCAAGGTATGTAAAATCCTGAATGCTTTTTCACTGAAGAGAAAGACAAGCATGGTTAATGTAGAATTATTTACTTTTCCATTGAAACTATTTTCCTGCATAAATGATCAAAATTTATTTTATAATCCTTTAAAATACTTATCTTTCATATTAGTCATTAATTTAATTACAATATTAATTTGAATTTCCAGGATAATTTCCCGGAGTTGGTTGCATGCATTATCTTTCATAATTTTACATAGTTCTTTTGTTATATAATGAATTTACTTTACATGCTAGTGTTTCAAGTATTGTATGAGGATTTTCACAATAGTATCACTGAATGATGTCACCAGAGCTCTGAGAATAATATTTGTAAGTTAACTGTTTTATGGGGACATTGAAAATATTGTATTTTTGTAGGGTCTATTAAAATGAGTGTCACTTATTAGAAGTACAGTGGTATTTTTTGGCAATAGAATTTGTCACTTGGGAGAAAATAATACTTCACTTTATAGATGATGCACTAATTTTGATGTTGCTTTATGTCAGGGTGACATTATACCATGATTTTATAGGGTTTGACAATTAGCTAATGATTAACTGATTGGCCTATTTAGTATGTTTCCCAGAAGTAACTTTTAAATGCATTTTAATATATTGAGAGTTTCAGATGAGAAATGTCTTTCAGAGACTAATTTTCTTTGTTGAAAACTCATGTCAAGCCACCATATCCAGATATTATAGGATGATCATCATTAATCAAGACAGAGGCCTTTACTGGCCTCATAAGATCACTTAAAGAAAAAAAACTCATGGCTGTAGTTTGGTGGCAATGAAACATCTGAAATCATCCCATCAGTTTTTCTTAATCTTTTATGGGAGAAGTGGGAGAAGAGCCAGATATAGAACTGCCCCAAGTCTTTTTCTTATGGTTTCTATATCAAACCCAGGGCTTCAGGAGATCCTTCTAAGACACACAGCTGAAAGGATCATAATCCTAGTAAACACCTCTGCCACTCCTGATGTGACAACATTGTCCTGAGCCACTTCTTTAGTACTTCCTGTTCTGCAGTTCAGAAATGAGGAAAAGAGAAAAGGGATCCTTGACCAACTGGAAAAGTTATCTGATATGCCAAAGCACCTCACTGTCAATAGTACTGCCATGTTGCATACTGAGAACAGGCAGGTAATAATGAAAACAGGCAGGCCAGGCGTGGTGGCTCACACTAGTAATCCCCACACTTTGGGAGGCCAAGGTGGGCGGATCACTTGAGGTCAGTTCAAGACCAGCCTGGCCAACATGGTGAAACGCCATCTCTACTAAAAATACAAAAATTAGCTGAGCATGGTGGCGGGCACCTATAATCCCAGCTATTTGGGAGGCTGAGGCATGAGAATCAATCGCTTGACCTGGGAGGCGGAGGTTGCAGTGAGCTGAGATTGTGCCACTGCACTCCGGCCTGGGCAACAGAGCGAAACTCTGTCTCAAAATAAATAAATAAATTATTTATTTAAGTAGAAAAGAGGCAATTTTTTTTAGGTTGACTGAATAGAATCACTAAACACTTGAGGGGTATAAACCTCACTAATTCTATAGGTGATGAAAACCAATTATACATTGATTTTTGATTATTGACTTTTTGCAGTAACTGATTTTGCTGCCTGAAATTAGAATCTGGTTATTTTAACAATAAAAAAAAGTCAAGGGTGTGCCTTTTAAAAAAAAAAAAGAAAAATCAATAACAACAAAAAGAACTGGAATTCATGATGGCTCCAGTAGATTCTACCTCTTGGTCTTTAATTTTTATTGGACTGTTTCTGAGGAAGGTGTTTATATGTGATAAGTCAGTAAGATCTAATGGAGGAGACTGAGAAACATTAGAGGTAGAAAGAGCAAGTGATGAAAATTACTAGTAAAATTGCAAATTTTGCAAGACAAATAGATATTAGTGGACAATTTTTAAAACTATTTACAAGGCTCATAATATTTTGTCATTAAAGCTCTGCTATGATAACTCCAGCCTTCTGATGACAACACAGTAACCTAAACATACATAGTAACTCCAAAGTATAAGTGCATTTTTGACAAGGAATATTCAAAGTCAGTATGAAATAAAACATTATGCTAATGTATTGCTCATTGAAGCCTATAAAAGATATGTATCTCCATTACTTAGAATTGTAATTATTAGGTTGCTGAAAAAGTAATTGCGGTTTTTACCATTAAAAGTGCAGGCAAAAACCACAATTACTTTTGTTCC
This sequence comes from Homo sapiens, assembly GCF_000001405.40. Taxonomy (NCBI): domain Eukaryota; kingdom Metazoa; phylum Chordata; class Mammalia; order Primates; family Hominidae; genus Homo; species Homo sapiens. Next base: position 70,125,299 of record NC_000001.11, read on the forward strand.
AACCTAGTACATAGATGTAAAACAATCTCAGTTGTTTCTGGACCTTACCTTGGATCACGACCTTTGAGATGGAAAACAGCTTTGAGGAGAGACTGACAAGCCAATGTTAATTTGCTCTTAATCTTAAAGATGATTGCACACATATCACTAATGTAATTACTTATTTAAAAATAGGACTGACATATCTTTCAACTGGTGAGCTAAAGAGAGAGGGCCGGGCGCGGTGGCTCACGCCTGTAATCCCAGCACTTTGGGAGGCCGAGGCGGGCGGATCACGAGGTCAGGAGATCGAGACCATCCCAGCTAAAACGGTGAAACCCCGTCTCTACTAAAAATACAAAAAATTAGCCGGGCGTAGTGGCGGGCGCCTGTAGTCCCAGCTACTTGGGAGGCTGAGGCAGGAGAATGGCGTGAACCCAGGAGGCGGAGCTTGCAGTGAGCCGAGATCCCGCCACTGCACTCCAGCCTGGGCGACAGAGCGAGACTCCGTCTCAAAAAAAAAAAAAAAAAAAAAGAGAAGATTCAGAGGGGAGAAAACATGGAAGAAATTAGATTTATATATTCAAATATTAAGTGAAAAGTATCTGAATTTGTCAAAATGGTTAGATGAAAGAAACCAAAAAAACCATTTTATTTTTAATCATAAAATCTATTTAATATATATTTAATATCTATTAATATTTAAGCTTTCCAGTGTAAAGCTTTGGAAAATGTAGTGTGCTTGCCACCTTGTCTTTCCGTTTAGTATGTTTACTAACTGTTAAGGACAGTCTTAACGCTGTCCCTAACCAATTTCTACCCCTCATTAGCACACCGATCAAATATGTCTGATGAATACATTCTCATCAAGAGGCAAGAATACAACATAACCAGGTCAAAAGCCATACTGAAATAGGACTACCACTCAAAGTCTTTGATAAATTCGATCAAACAACATATTTGACTAATTTGTGATATGCCGACCAAACAGCAAGTTTATTGGCACACTGGGTCAATAAAAAGTTATGCAAATAATGAAATCCAATAGGTTAAGAAGATGGGTCCTTTATCTAGTATAAAGAAAAGCGGGGTTGAAGTTCCACTGTAGTTCCTTTCACAGAAATGCTAAATCTTACTGAGCTTAACTAAATGTTCAAACTCTGGGTTGGTAATGTGTCCTCTCTTCACACTTGTAGCTACCTGATCATCTGGGACTTGGGGGGCATCTCCAGGTTGGTGATCACTTGCATGAACATTTTTCCTTAGCAATACAACCACCTTCTGTTAAGAAAAGCATCTTGCCTTGGCTCAGAATATTTCCCATCACCCACCAACACCATACCCAAAGAATACATTATAGCAAGAAAACAGAATGTGGGCTGTGGACAAATAGATGTGCGCTATGTATAGAAAGCATGTGGGTCACTATTACAGGAGATCCTGAGTGTCAGCTCCATTTTGATCTAAACTGTTCAGGAAATCTATTTTCCAAGATGCACCACTTGTACAAACTAAGGTAGATGCAATCAAGTTTTCCAGTCATATCCTGAACCTTCTGGGGGCATTTCTGTTTCTAGCGTGTAAAACTGACCTGTCTTCATTGCTGCAGTTGCTGCTATAGATCCGTCCCTCCAACTCCCCATGTTTTTCCAAAGGCAGTGGATGTCTGCTTCTATCCTGCTGAAACACAGATAAGAGACCCTCTTAGAGTGATAGCTGTTCGGAGAGCCTTGAGTATCAACAGATGGTTACAGCTCCCAATTTGGGAGGAACTTTCTTGGGTAACGCAGGAACCTGGAGTAGTAGCATTAACTAAGGCCCAAAGATGGAGTGCTTATAATGTTACTGACAACAACAAACAAAGCCTGTGTGCAATGGTGGGGGTGGCAATGCCTTTATAAAACTGTTTCTGCTTCTGTTTTTAAAATGTTGGGTTTTGCTGTGTTGAGGAACTTTCTCTAAGCCTCTCAGCTTCTTACTGAGACAGGTTCCAATCTTCCTTACTTTCAACACTGCCTGCAAGAGAATGGTTTGGAAACACTCCCTGGTAAGGATATAAATTGCACAGCTTCTACTTTGGAGAATTCAGAGATTTTTGAAAAACCGAGGGGGCAAGTCTACTCTAAGTTTTTATTTAAAAACATACAGTTAAAGTATAGGAATATTGAGTCCCTTGGGATTTTAACCATGTGATTATGTCAACCTTCCCTAAGAACAGTTCTATGGGAAGTAAGGAGAAAAGACCTGAGAGAGGAGAAAATTTACTGGTTAACTTCAGAGGCATTTCTTCAGCTGGTAGAGTCTTCCCAGTTGGGTTCTGAGCTCATGCTCTTTGTAACAACACACTGAGCACTAAGCAATGTAAGAAATGGGCCTGGATTAAGGCATGCAGAAATGAGAAGGATACCTCTGCAGCTCTGTCAATACTTCCACAAATTGTCTGCAAAACACCCCTTTTGTGCCTAATTTTGTTATGGCAGCACCTCAAAAGGTGGAAGGTTGTGAAATTCACGCAGCATTTATGTAAACATTCCATGACTCTTATTAGTCTACGGTTGGAACCACTATGTAGTCCTACCCAAAGACAAGGTCTGGGTCAAATTTCCACAGGTGAGATTTTGAAACCTGGCATAATTTTCTCTTCTCCTTTTTTGAAAAAAAGACTTTTATGTGACTTTTTCTTTTCTTTCTTTTTTTTTCTTGAGACAGAGTCTTGCTGTGTCACCCAGGCTGGAGTGCAGTAGCGCTATCTTGGCTCACTGTAACTTCCACCTCCCGAGTTCAGGCAATTCTCATGTCTCAGCCTCCTGAGTAGCTGGGATTACAGGTGCGTGCCACCACACTGGGCTAATTTTTGTATTTTTAGTAGGGACAGGGTTTCACCGTGTTGGCCAGGCTGGTCTCGAACACCTGGCCTCAAAAGATCCACCTGCCTCGACCTCCCAAAGTGCTGGGATTACAGGCGTGAGCCACTGTGCCCAGCATTTTTTCATTCTTTAAGCTAGCATAGATTTCACTGGGTGTAGAAATTGGTGTTGAAAGAAAGTTAAATGAATCACCCAATCTTTCTCTAGTTTTGAAAGTGTATTTTTTTATCACTGTTGCACAAGTGTATTGTTTGTGCTTATTTTTTTTCCTTCTTTAAAATAACAGGTTGAATAAGCAGCCTAACAAATAGCCAAGTATCTTTACATCCAGAGTAAAGTATCTTAGTACAGGGAACTTTATTTTCATAGCAAACTCTTGTACTTCCTCCACAGGAAAACATTTACTGTAGCTGAATCTCTGAGGCCTAAAGTATATTATTCATAAACTGAAAACATTTGGAGACATTTCATTGAAGAATATAACAAAAACATTAAATATTATGATTATAAATATTAAAATAAATATTTGTTGGGCATCAACTACATATCAGGTACTATGAGGGATGTAATGTGGTCCCCTCAGCACAGAATCTCACAGTCCAGAGGAAAGATGAGAGAAGTTCCACATCAAAGACAGTACAAGGCAATGTGGTGAGTCCCTTTATTCCTGCCCTCAACCATCCTATTGCAAAAGGAAATCGAGTCTTTATCTAGTCAAATCTGTTTCAGTTTGAGCATGGTTTTTTCCATTTGGAGCTACAGATAGGTCTTCTGCTGGTTCTTGTGACCTTCACACAGCTCACATAAAGAGTGTCACGAAGCCGGGTGCGGTGACTTATGCCTGTAATCCCAGCACTTAGGGAGGCCGAGGCAGGTGGATCACTTGAGGTCAGGAATTGGATACCAGCCTGACCAACATGCTGAAACCTCATCTCTACTAAAAATATGAAAAATTAGCCGGGCATTGTGGCGCGCACCTGTAATCCTAGTTACTGGGGAGGCTGAGGCAGGAGAATTGCTTCAACCCAGCAGGCGGAGGTTGCAGTGAGCTGAGATGGCGCCACAGCTCTCCAGCCTGGGTGACAGAGTGAGACTCCATCTTAAAAAAAAAAAAAAAAGTGTCACGAAAAGTGTGAGCTAGATGAATATTTGCCAGGATTTAGGGCAACATTTGATAGGCTAAACGTGGCAAGTGTGAATGCCTTGCTAGACAAGATAAATAGCAACCAGAATCTCTTGAATCTCTGGAAGAGGAGCGAGAATTTTGCCAATTTGTTCTAAAGAGGAAAGGAAATGAAGAAAGGTGTTCCTCAACTTGGTCCAGCACTGAGTCTGTATGCCCCTGACGTTACGGGAGAAGGAGATGGAATTCAACACTTTAAAAAGTGTGGGGGGGTTGCTTGAAAAGAGTCTTCTAGGTTCAGCGGCCCCAAAAAGTCCCTCCTATGACCACTGTCAGGGAGCGTGGGAATCCATGCTGTCCAATGTTAGAATGACCCACTCCGAAATGCAAGGAGTTGAACAATCATTCAGCTGGCTGCATTTCATGTTTATTTACTTCACTTTTTGGGTGGAGAACATTTTCACTACACGCTGCTCAAGTGATCCCCTGAAAATACTGTTTGCATGAGATTGGATCACACATACCATGTATCATCAACATCTATTCTTCTAAGGAGTTCTGATCCTCTGAATCTGGAAATTGTTTTCTTTTCTTCACCCTATGCATACTCAGTGTTTTAGACACATATAAATCCTTACTTTTCCAAGTATTCGCTGTGTTTTATATTTCAGCTTTTGCCCACACTATCCCTCTACTGGAATGCCTTCCTCTCCCTATTCCCTTTCTAAATTATTAAAATCATATGCAGCCTTCAGAGCCCAGCTCAAACAGCACTAGAACCATGAAACCCTCCCTAGTCTTCATGGAAAAAAATTTCTGTACTCAGCACTACCATATTAATTTTTTCTTATGTTTTTTAGTATCTTTCCCATTCTGCCTGAGATCATAGCTATTTGGTGTTTGTTTTTCCTATGAACTTTAAGCTTTTTGAGAGAGAGGATCAGACAATACTTAACAAAGGACTTCTAGACAGAAGAGCCTCAGGAGAGGTAAAATGACCAGATGTTTTGTTTACCATATATCCTTAATGCCTGTCATAGTGTCAGAAACATAGTATAGGTTCTCAATAAATATTTGTGTAATTATTAAGTGGATGACAGGCCTGGCACATAGTGCACTTTATAAATATTGAACTAAACAGCAAATTGATCTTCAGTTTGTGTAACCTTAAACTACCAACCTTTCATCTTCTCAGTTGACTCAAAATTCCCAGTTAAAAAAAATTTCTCCTTTTTAAATCAGTCTTCCTCCTCTCTTCAGCATTTTTTCTAAGACATTTTTGGTCTTTTCTGCTGTGTTTCAGCAGTTACATTTAATTTTCCTTTTGTGTGTTCTAAGGACCTTAACACTATCCAAAAAGTAACACCATTCAAAAAGTTTAAGAAGTGGCTTTTATTTAATTGGAGCACACCATATCTATCCTTTTGATTTGATTGGGTTTCCTTTCTCTTTGAGAAGAAGTCATGCACATTGTCACTAGATTACGTTACCTAAGCAATTTTTACAATTTGGATGTGGAGGGAAGAATAAAAGATGTCATGAGAGAGACGAGGCTACGGAAGTGTAGTTGAGAGAAAGGGGTCTCCACCTACCTATTTAGCTCTAAATTTTAATCAAACTGCTGCCAAATGCTGCCCGTCCTTTAAGTAGATAAAAGAATAGTCTGTCTACAGGCTGTTGGCCACAGTTGAGCATGACAATGTTTACACACTGCATTTTGGCATCATTTCATGAATAGATCCCACCCCCTATATCCCTAAAGTGAAGATGTCATATAGTTCAGCCAAAATTATCAAGCCACTGTAAAAGCTATATAATTGATATGATTAACTATTTAGATAGAGCACAGAAAAAAAATCAGGGTTACCTTGACAAAACCATGTTACCCCTCCCAAACTTTTATAGAGATAGAATCTGGCCTGTTGATCTCAAAGTAGAAAGAAAGCATGCTATTTATACTGCCATGATCTTTGGCTTCATTAGATCCTTCCCCTGAAGGGACAAAAAATGGAATCCAGCCCCTTAAAACAAAAATGATATCTAACTGGGAATCTAATGATATCTAAGACCCCCAGGTTGGTAAGCTCCTAACCACAATCCCTTTATTACCTCATGGGACCTTAATTTCCTTTCAAGTAAAACATTTCTGTCCTAGCTTTCTCACAAAACTATTTCCCATGTCTTTCTATTTGGGTTTCATAGCTAAGTAACTCCAGAATTGAGTGAAATATTCCGAAACATTAAATGTTTTGTCATTGACTCTTTTACTTATACTATTAATATTAATTACTCTTATTCTACCTCTGCTTTTTAATTTCTTTGTATAAAGAGAACTTGATAACTATCAAGTTAATTATGTCTTCTTCTCATAAAATTTTTGATTTAGAAAGATTTAGATAAAGTCATAGTATATCTTGAAGGAAACAGCCACCATTGCTGTCTTTGATAGCATGATGCCTCAAACTCTCCAGGGGCCTACTCTTTGGTATCTTATAGCCCAGTGTCTATACATTTACATGGGTAAAAGAATGCCAATGTCTCTTTGAACAAAAATAAATGAAAAATGAACTGGAAAAGTGAAATATTAATTGAGAGAGTGACATTATCTTAGGATAGTAAGAATATTTTAGAATAGTAAGAGTACTTTAATGAAATATTTTTAAGTAAGAGCATTTTAGAATAATGAGAATAATGAGTGAGTAAGGAACAAGAACAGACTAGGGCTGGGAAAGAGGGGAATTAATAAGTTATTAAGGAAGAAAGAATGAGAAAGACAAAAGAAGGGCAATAGAGGACTGATACAGAGAATCAGAGAGGAACTGGATAAAAGAAATCAGATTCAGGCATATCCTCCAGTCTCTTCGTTCTGGTGACCATGCCCCTTCTTCAGACAGCCCTGAATTCCCTTCCTCTCTCTCTGCTCTCTCTTGGCCAGAGGAGTAATCGTTCAGCTCTTCTTGGTTTCTGCCTTCCCTCCTGCTCTTCCAGATGTCAAAAGAAGAATTTACAGTGAAAAATAAGGTGCATATTAGAAATATATTTAGTTTAATTGCTATTCATTTCTAGAAACTATTTTTGTCTAACGTCATAGGTAATGCTTTAGTCATACAACTTCTCAGAACAAGGAAAAAAGTTATCTCATTTTTAAAAATTACCAGAGTACTTTTCTTTTTTCTTTTCTTTTCTTTTCTTTTTTTTTTTTTTTTTTTTTTTTTTGAGACGGAGTCTCACTCTGTCATCAGGCTGGAGGCTGGAGTGCAGTGGCACGATCTCAGCTTACTGCAACCTCCGCCCTCCGAGTTCAAGCGATTCTCCTGCCTCAGCCTCCCGAGTAGCTGGGATTACAGGCGCCTGCCACTGCACCCGGCTAATTTTTTGTATTTTTAGTAGAGACGGAGTTTCACCTTCTTGGCCAGGTTGGTCTTGAACTCCTGACCTCGTGATCCACCTGCCTCGGACTCCCAAAGTACGGGGATTACAGGCGTGAGACACCGCGCCCGGCCGTACTTTTCTTAAATAAAGACTAATGTCAGACAGTGTGGCTACAGGTAAAAGCTCTGTGGAGAAAGGAGCAAAATTATTGTCCTATCATAAGACAGAAAGGGACCTTGAGAGGATCTGGTTCATTTGTCTATCTTCAGGGAAGGATTCATGCTATTCTTAAATTCCTGGAGCGAAGGGGTGAACATTTCCCTCTGTAACCCACCCTTATAAAGCAACAAATTGTGTTTCATCTCAATAAAATCCTCTAGTTTAAATTACTGCGTTCAACTCTGACAAATACTATCCTCATATTTAGTTGTACACATCCGCATACTCTTTTAAAGAAACATGTGTCTGCAGTTCAGAAGAGCCACCACTAGATGGAGACCTCATATCTACATTTTAAATCCCAGCCTTGGCAATTCTCTGGCTTGGGGGAGCACAGTCCGATTTTTGTTGTTGTCGTGGGTGTTTTTTGTTTGTTTGTATTGAGACAGTGTCGCTCTGTCGCCCAGGCTGGAGTGCAGTGGCGCGATCTCGGCTCACTGCAACCTCCACCTCCTGGGTTCAAACGATTTTCCTGCCTCAGCCTCCCGAGTAGCTGGGACTACAGGCATGCACCACCACGCCCGGCTAATTTTTGTATTTTTAGTAAAGACAGGTTTTCTCCATGTTGCCCAGGCTGGTCTTGAACACCTGGGCTCTATCGATCCGACCGCCTCGGCCTCCCAAAGTGCTGGGATGGCCTTACACAGTCTGTTTTTATGCCCCTTGTGCTGATACAATTGCTAACAACACCCCTTTCCTTTCTCCTTTGAGAAAATTTGAAACAATGCTCTAAATTTACACAATTTAAGAAAAAAACAAGAGCTTTGAGCTTATTTTAGGCAGTTTATATGTTTTTTTACTAAACCTCTCAGATTGTATCAATCACCCAAAACCTAATGAGACAGAAACCACTTTCTCAGTGAGGCTTGATTGTTTAAAGTTTTGATGTTCCTTAATTGTTCAGTTTAATTATTATACCCACCAGTTTAATAGTTCTTCTCTAACTTGTGTTTTCCAAATATTTTGCTCCTATCTCCCATTATTTTAGCCACACTTCCTTCAGGTATGCCCATTCCAAGTATGTGGGAATAGATTTGTCTCAAGTTACTCAAAATTTATTTTTAAAGTTAACTTTCCAAAACTTAAACATCAGGAACTGTGGTTAAGTTTGCCTAGCCTTCTTTATGTAATTCTAAAACTAGTCCAATCTGAATATGTGTGCATCTGGGTATAGCTTTATTTCCATCTGGCAATAACTAGGCATCTACAATAAACGCCTAATTTTTCATTTTATTTATGTGTATGAGTAATCAGCATAATATGACAATCAGATTTTATTTTATTATGAAGTGAATAAGAAATGTATTTCGAAATGTATTTCAAAATGTCTCTCACAAAGTGATCATTGGATTCCCAAGGTAGTTTGCAATCTCCCCAGCCTCTCTCCTTTCAGTGGGAATATCTGGGTGCTGAAGGCAGAGAACCCCTGGCGGCCTTGGTGACATGTGTCCTCAAGCTATTTTGGTTCTTCTTAGTCATTTGAAATTCCAGGGCCTCTGATGGCTGGATCATTGCTAAAAAGGCCAAATGTTTTTGTTTACTTCCTCTAAGCTAATTATATCCTCACCCTCACAGCTTAGCCAGCCTCCTGGTCTGAGCTTCTTCTTTGCTAATTCCATCAAAGCCCTACTTATATGGGTTTCAGGTGTTCCCCTGCCAACCATTTAATCTTTTTTTCTTCCAACCCGGAGCAAAGGTAGAGGGAAGACAAGGTGTTCTTTCCCAAAGTTTATGTGAAGCCATTTATATCCTCTGGTGTTTTCCTCCAAAAAAAACAATTTCCTTCTAGCCACATGATCACCAGATACTAATACAGAATACTCTTTCTTAGCAAATTCAATTTAACCTTCTTTGGGGGTTAATATTTTGTAAGTTCTTTCTGACCTCAAGCCTGCCAATTTTAGTGCACCATTTTGGGTTTGTTTACCAAGTGTTCTTCCTCTCTTTTCAGAGAAGTTAAATATCTCCTTAACAAATTTAAATTGTACACAACAGTGCCACCCATTTTAAAGCAAATACGGCAGGTGTCCACCATTGTTTTGGATACAGCTTTTGAGTTTTTGATTTGCCTGATGTTCTATTTCATCTTTTTTATTCCTTCTATTTTCCATAACCTTTTAATGATAGGTTTAGTTGTAAAATCCAGAACTATTTAAATACTAGAATGAAAATTACATAGAATTTTACTGAAGAGTATAAGAGAAAACGTCTTGAAAGTTTGTATGTATGTATTCCAGTTGCGCTTTTTATTTCTTTTTTCCTTTCTTTTCTTTTGCACTACCTCAGATTTTTGGTATCCACTATTAGCGAAGTATTTTTTTCTTTGTCTTCTATGGATAATCTTAATTTTTTATTCCTAGGAGCAACCTCTAGGTCAGTGCTTGCTATCCAGCCACTAGCATAGTTCCCCAGGAGCAGGCTATGATCATCTCCTCAAAGCACGGGGGCTTGTGGCTTATTCTTTTCACTTTTTTACCCATCTCCGTGCCATACTGTAGAACAAACATCATTTTTTTAGTTCTGTCATGAGGTAAAGATGTAAAGATGTAAAAAGCTCTGCTTTTAGGTACAACAAATGGAAATATCATCTAGGCTGGGTTGGGGTGCAGGACCCCCAGCAGCTGTGGGAAGAGAAGAGAGCAGGAGAAGCTGTCACTTAAAATGCACTGAGATCCTTTTGAAACATCTCACGCACTCCTCCCCAACCCCGACTCCAAGGGTGCTGCTTGTCCAACTGTGTCACCTCCCTGACAAATAAGTGAATATCCATCATATTCAAGACTTCACTTTTATTGATGATCATTAAGCTAGAATCTGTAAAAGAGAAAGTTGTTAGATAGTGAACAAGTCCCATTCTCTAAAAGTGATTTTTTCTCTAGGATATCATCATCCAAACTATTCTTGCCCTGTAATATTTGTCTATACTGTCTTGATTGTTTTAAACCAGCCATCTTTGATAGCCAGTTTTGGGATATAAATCTTCAGCCATACTTGTAGAATCGTTTGACTAAGCAACGGGTATCTTGCACTTGATAGGTTCTCACAGTCTCATTATGATCAAGACAGATATTCTAGCAGGACATCACTGCTATATTCTTTATAAAACCATGAATGTTGCTAGCAAACAGTTCAGGCATTTCTTTGTGGCCATTTCCCAGAGAAATTCAAACTTGGGAATTAATATCTCTCTCTCTCTGTGTGTGTCTGTGTGTGTGTCTGTGTGTGTGTGTGTGTGTGTGTCTATATATCTTATCAGGCAATTTTTTTTTTTTTTGCATTTCCACGTTTCCCAAAAAATGATAGTTACTATCCCTGTCACCTAGGGCCCTAGGTCATCATAAACTACTCAAAGTGAAGGGACTATATTTTCTTCTTTTGCTTGGTCTTGCCATAAATATGCCCCGCAGGTTCACCTATACCCCAAAATATATACTTATATTTTGAGTATTCATCCAGACCTGTAGGTTTGAATCGAGAGATGTTTAAGTAATTCTCTTGTAAGTCTGCCTCCGGACCATTCTAAGGTTTGTCCTCTAGCCAATCTATATGTTTATCCTTTTTTAAAAAATTATTTAACTGTTAAAACAATTTGCCTTTTTCTCACTGTGCATTCAATTTAATCAACAAATGTTAATGAACAAGGGGTTATGTTCAAAATTCTATTATAAGAACAATGGAAGATATAAATAAGCCATGGTCCTACCCCTCAAGAAACACAGTCTAGTGGGGAGACACACAAAAAGTCTAATAAATGCTATCGTGTAGGTACAAAATATGAGGAAAGAACACTGTATTGTCACCTTCTCTCACAGTTTAATAAAATGGCAAATGCTTTCTTTCTGCTTTATTGCTTTTTTAATGCCTTTTTTTTTTTTTTTTTTTTTTTTCTGAGACAGGGTCTTGCTCTGTCACCCAGGTTGGAGTGCAGTGGCATGATCATGGCCCACTGCAGCCTTGACCACCTGGGCTCAAGTGATCCACCTCAGCCTCCTGAGTAGCTGGGACTATAGGCATGCACCACCACTCCTGGCTAATTTTTTATTTTTTGCAGAGACAGAGTCTTGCTATGTTGCCCAGGCTGGTCTCGAACTCCTGAGCTCAAGTGATCCTCCCACCTCAGCCTCCCAAAGTGCTGGGATGATAGGCATGAGCCACCATCCTCGGCTCTATTGCTTTTATAATATGACCCAAGGAACGTTTTCTGTTATCTCAGGAAGGAAAGTTCTTGTCCCTTGTATATATGTATCTTGTCAAAAAGGACAAGGCTCAGGTGACAGTGGGGACGTAAATAACTGCAGTATCATCCTGAATAAATCATATCACGGAGAGATAGTCACAGGTTAGCTAAGCTCCAGCTTTTCACTTTTCTTGACTCTGTCTTTCCAAGGAGTAACCCTTTTGGGTCAAAGTCAGAGGGGGCTTGCTGGAATCAAGGGCAGCTCCTCCTTTCTGGAGGAAGGAACTTCATCTTAAGGCTTGATAACAAAGGCTTACTGTTCCACTTAAAGGGATCAATCTGAGGGAAGAAGAGAAGTTAACCTTTAGTGACCCTTGAAAGCTTTAAAATAATTCTTTTGTGTTTTAGACACCTAAGAAAAATGTACGTACATCTGGTGGACTTGCATATCTTTAACACTTATCATGTACCTACATACAAGGAAAACATTAGTCTTTACTGTTAGCAAACACTCCACCACTGGGGGTTGCTTTGTGTTTAAGTACCTAATAGACCCACCAGAGTTCAGTAAGAAATGCAACTTGAACAGCCCCTGAGATAAAATTTTCTAGGAAGTATAAAAACTAAAGAATGCCTGGAACTATGCAGACATAGATCAAGTCTCATGCATGTCATTTAGACAGACAGCTGAAATGCTGACATGGCCTATCCAGCCAGAGCCTTCAATTAAGAGTTCTCCAATGTTGACAATTTCAGCTGCCCTAGCAGCCTCTCTAAGCACTAAGAAGTATAGCCATCTAAATCCTTACAACTTATTCTAAGGGAAGAATCTCTTTAGAGATTACATTACACCAGCAAGAGAATATTAATAGTCCATATGGCTTTATTTCCAACAAAATCCCAGAGTTTTTGCTTGCTCTTTGAGGTTAAAATCAAAGATTTTTCACTCAGGATTAGCCTAGATGTAGAACAGCGACTGTATAATAAAGTTGAGTTCAAAAAGTGTATGAATTCAGTTATGGTCTGGAAAATTAGCTGCCATTTTGTGATGAAGTGTTTGGTTTTTCCTTGTAGAAACTTAGTGTCATTGCGCATCAACTTAGAAAATGTGAATTGATTAAAAATATGTGATGGATTGTGCAGCATGCTTACATTTGAAAATGGAGATTGTGCCTTTAAATACTTAATCAAAGGACTCCTGACCTTCAAGTACCAGTTTGGGCATATTACTGGAGATCCAGGTTGAAAGGTATTGAAAAAAAAGCTCTGTATCTTTGTATATTCAGTTGTCAACATGGAGAAGCCACCTTTTAAAAAAGATCAGTTCTGTAAAGCATAATGCCTACTACACAGACATCATTATTCTACTTAAAAGTCTTTTTTTAAAATTCCAAATACTTGTGGTAGTAGAAAGCAATAAATATTCTAAAATGAGGGATATTGGTCCTTTTGTGACTGAGCTATATGATAAACTAAGGAAAACTACAGAAGTTATGTCTATTAACTCTTTAAGGTACATGATATAGCAAATAATCATTTGTACAACCTCATAGAAAGTTGAGAGGATTAATCAAATTGTTTCAAAATTTTTAAGGAGCCAAATTTAAATTCTCAATACCCTATGAGATTTTTTAAACTATTTTAGATTCTTACCAGAAGAATGCATAGATGTAGTAAAACCATTAAATACAGTAGTATCTGGTGGCCTTTCTGTGTGGAGGAGCTCGTTTGTCCAAGGTATGATCTACCAGTGAGAAGATCAGTGCCAGGTCACAGAAAAAGCTAATCATTTTTAGTTTAATCCTGACCAGCTAGTCTTCCTCCAGGCATCAGCTACCTGATTTTAAAGAGACCATATTAGAAATGAAAAGCAGCAGTCTCTATCATATGTTAAATTCAAAGGCATAGCTGCTCGTGAAGACCCTATTATGTTTTATTTGCCTATCGGAGAAAGAGATCTGCCTACCTGCCTTTAGGAAAAAGCAATGCTTTATGTAGCTTCAATTAGTCCTGCATCAGGTTATTCTAATGCTTCCTACTGCAAAAACCAAGCCCACAAGTCTCCAATCCTAAAAGTCACTAGAATATTGATATAAGGAATTCTGTGTCAGCAGTATCTCAGTATTCAAACCTCTGTTTAGGGTCCTGCATGTACTATCAAACAGCAAGTGATAGAACATTCAGGCGTTTTATTGGATTTCAGAATTCAGATTCAGAATTAAGTACTCTTGGGATAAAGGAAATTAACGAGCTTTTGACATTTCAAGAACTCATTGAGATTGTCAAAGGCTTCAGTAATGAACTCTAACAAATAGATCCAGAAGTCATAAGTGAGAAAGAAAACAAGCATGTCTAGTGAAATCTGTCCAGTGTACGTAACACTGCACAAAGAGCATATTTTATTCAGACCATTTGGATTCAGATGTACCCTAAAGACAACTATGCTATAATGGCTTGTCTCCTACTTCCTGGCCTCTAGCCCTACCCATTGCCCAGGTGGACGTTATGTTTTTAGTTTTTCCTTTGTGGGTGAGGGAAGAAGAGGACATCAGGTGAAGTGTGCCATTACTATTTGAAAACTAGCTCTGCAGGAAGGGTTAAATCAAATCCTTTACAGGGTGACCTTCCTACATCTCCTTAGAGCAACTGCATTTCAAAATAGGCCAAAGCTGAAGTCATAGGAATGAGACATTAATTGTAGGTTTTCAGGAAAGCTTCGGAGACACGGCAGGTACAGTCTCCTTAGAGCCTTTGAAAATACAACATGTAGGTCCTTCTCAGATTATGCTGAAACTCCAAATCCTTGTTAAAGGTTTTCCTGGACTCCTACAGTCTGGTTTGATCAGTTTATTATTAAGTACTGAATGACAGAGAAGGGTACACAGGGAGGACTTGTATCACATGAAGTAAAATAATTATTTCCTTAATGAGAAACTTAATTCTAGGGTACTTACAATAGCTGCCTTATTGGGGGAAGGGAGGCATAGATTTGCAAATGGTGGGTTTTTTCGTTTTTTTGTGTGTTGGAGTAATTGAAAAGATACATCAAGCAATAATAAACTAGATGTGCAATAATCTTGTCGAGTAGTATGTGCTGGTTTTGGAAAGGTGAAAAGAAAATTGTTACATCAGGCTGCTTTTATCAAGCTAAGCATGGGCATGCCTTTCCAAAGGGTATATTTGATCCTACAGTTAATTTTAACATTGGGCTGCAAGCTTAACCTCATCAGGAGTGGAATTAGATTTTACAAAGTTCCCCTTATCCAAACTACAGCACGCTTACTACTTTCTCCTTCCATTTTCCACACCTCAGCCCCCTAGGACCAGCTACTGGTAAGTCATTTTGTCCATTTTCATTGATCTGGCCACATAAGGAACATCCTGTTTCTTTAAATCCTCAATGCTTAAATTGCCATGTAGAAATCAACTCCCTATCAATTTTCTACATTTAATCCTTGGCTTCTTGTCATATTTTCATTTTTCTGCACTGGTTCCCATGGCAACAAGTCTGTTGGCAGAGAAAGTATGACTCTGCTTTTAGCCTTCTGCACAAGACAAAATCCTTCTGGTGATCCTCAGGCAAGTATAATATAAAAAGTCAGGAATTGACTACAGTTCCCTTGGCTAATGCCTCTAATCCTTTACTCTCTTGCATGCATTTTCCACCTTATTCCCAAACCAGGCTTGAGAAAAAAAGCATTCAAGGGCCCTGCCCAGTATCTCTTTACTGATACAAGTATTCAAAGGCCCTCCTATCCAATCACAGCCACAAAGACTGAATATTTTGGTTCAGATGGCTTTCCCTTCTCCCTAAGTGTCAGTGACTTAACTGACATAAATGCATAATTAATGACAAGGACCACTGGGAGCAGCATCGAGAAGCAACTTTCAGTCATTTTTCTATAAACAACTTTCCTCAGTTCGCAACTGAGGTGTAGCCCAGGGAATAAGTATGTCCTGAATTGAGCCTTAAATCAGTGACTAATAAGGCAATGGAACACTCAAGCAGATTTTCCTCTAATGAGTAGTTAAGTGGCACAGGAGGAGAGGCCAAGGAGTCATCCCAGAGTTCTAAGCTCATAAAGAGGAAGAGATAACAAAAGATGTAGATAAGAGGACATTGTTAACTGGTGGCTGCAAATGAGCAAGGGAGCTTCATTCAGTTGGGACAATTCAGGGTTCAGGTACGAAAAGGGTATGAAGCCTACTGAAAAATAAGGAAATGGAGCATGGAGAAAGAAAGGGTTTTTAAGAGTTAAGTCAGTAGAAAGGGAGCCTGCAAATGAGACAATAGCTTCATGCAGACTTTGGCCCAACTCTGTCTACAAATACTTTTGCAAATAATGTTTCTCTTAATAAAATGATATATTTTGTTTTGAACTTTGGAATTCCATTGTGGCTTGGCACTAAATTATAGGCCTAGCAATCCTAAATCTCCTATGTCCTCAATATCTAGAAACAAGCAGGAACTGTTTGTCAGAAATTAAACAGGACTTATTTGAATGTGCTTTAAAAAAAAAATCAATGAATTCAGGGGAATGAAAATACATGTTAGAAATTAAAATGTGGTTATCTCAGCTATAGTTAAGAAAATTATCAAATGTAAATGATCCCTTTTTTGCTGGATCTTATAAAATATGTGATACTTAAGTACACTGAAGTTTTAAAGTTAGCTGCTTATATTGTACAAAGATATTTTTGGCTCTTTAAAGGTTATTTTCCTATATTAAGAAAAGGTTTCTTATATTGAAAACTTTTATGGTGACTCAGGTTTTGTGTCTATGTATAGGCACACATAAATAGGAGGTGTTTTTCTTTGCACATTTGTTTTGCACAGCTAAAATAATGAGGTTAAATAATGCCCAGGTATGCAGGTCAATTGACCTTTTTAATAGCTTAACGAAAGCATTTGACAAATGGACAAAAGAAATCACATTGTATTTCTTTGTATCTCTCCATTCCTCTTACCCTTCCCCAACCCTCTACTAAAGAATATTTCTTATTTAGTCAGGAAATCTTATGTAATATTTTTGGACGGTCCATAGGAAAAGCAAGATGAAACTCTCAGGCAGACAACATAAAGCAGCTCCCATATCTGCTAGAAAGGTCATTAATTTTCAGAATATATTGTTGAAATAATTTTTATTTTCAATACTTGTAGTCTTTCCACTCAGAGGACTCTTATTTGGCTTGAATGTGGAAAAGGCATCTGGTTCAGGTCAGTAAGGACTGTTGTATGTAAGTTTTACTCTAGAAAATTTGGTTTTAGCTTTGATGACACCTAGCGTCAGTGGAATGCAATGAATGCTTAATACTTCGGCTTTATAATGTTTGGGCATTTCTCTTTAACATCCTCAAATACACTTTCATCCTTGAAAACACAAGCCTATTTTCTGTTTGAAATGAAGAGAAAGGTAATTGACAGATAAACAGATAGTTTTTGTTTGAAGAGCCAATCAAGTTTCTCTTTGTACTCAGTAGGGACTAAAGGAAGCTTAAGGATAATGACATTGTCTTCATATGAAGAAGAAATTTTTTACTAGTGGAAAATTAGAAGTAAATCTACCAAATTCTGTTTGTAAATTTTAAAGACCACCACAAAAGACCTTGAAAAAAGTGAAACTACTGCAAGATTACTGTTGCTTATTGAAAGTAATAATACAGTTTTATTTTTTCCACTTTATAACTGCCCAAGGGCTCCCCCAACCAGCTATATATAAGAAAACCATAACATGAACTAGGGTCTTTCTATTCAAAAAAGAAATATTAAACTAACATAAGCAATTCTGAAGGAAGACAGTGGTAGGTTTTCAGATGGTTTGTTAAGAATTATATGTAAAAGGATACTAGATATTATGTTTTGGATGTTTTCTAAGTATCTATGAAAATTATTTTTTCCTAAACGATTTCATAATTGATTACTTTTGACCTCAGTTATTTTGGGGCATAATCCTTTTACTACTCTATAAAGAAGTTCTACTTCTACCTATATGAATTTGTATTTTCCCATATGCCAAACACACACACATAAATTTTCTTTTTCTCATTTCAGCTCATATAATTCAGTTAGTGAAATATTTCACTCTTCTGTAAGTTTAAGAAAAATTCCTAAGCAGTGATACAACTTTGGGTCGCTATTTTAGTAAAATGAAGAGTCTCTAGACTTTTTTTTTTTTTTTAATGATCTCTGACTTCACTACCATATGTGCAGCACAACAGTGACATCTTAAGGCCAAGTAACCAGAGCTCCTTTAGCCAGAGAAAGAACTTGAATTGGGATCTGATTTCAAAGAAATCCCATTATATTATCAAGTCGTTTTCAAATTTACAATATTCGACTGGTAAAGAAAGTGCTTCTTTATGACTTCTTTTGCAGTCTTTGTGAACCTTTTAATGTGCAATAGTAAACATTGACATTTTACATAGACATATTGTATATTAATGCATGCATTTCACTGCATAGTTTATTGACACTACCCTTGTAAAGCTTTTATGGAAGAACCAACAAGCCACAGCAGTATAGCAAAAGAGGCTTAATCTTTATAAATTGGGGCCTTTTCTGTCTCTTTGCTAGCCTAGGTGGCTGTATACAAATTCGGGTGGGAGGGGGCAGGAAACACCTCTTCACATTTAAGGTTTTCTACTTGGGTGTACTCTAGCCAATTCAAAACAAATTGCTTACTTTAATAATACAATTTTACCATTTTATAAAAAAAATCAAATCACAACATGTTTAACTGAAATGGCTGTATTGTAATTAATATTTTGAGATAATTGTGATTTTGAGCTTAAATTATATATAAAAAATTGTCATTTTTGTATGTGTTAAAAAGACTACTATATCACAATTAAAAGTACTTTTTAGTTGAACTACATATTGATGTAAATAAAACTGAATGAAGACATATTTACTACTTTATTAACATAGATCGTGAATGTACTTACTGGTTTTTTTGCAGTATGAGACCATAACAACCTTGAAAGCTGCTTCATTTTATGTGCAAAGAAGTCCTATGAATCTATATTTTAAATTTACTGAACCAGTGAAATTAATTACTGTCAGTTAATTTGCAAATGCAAGCTGTATTCTCCAGTTTTATTTTATGTACTGACACTAATTGGTAAAGGTGTACAATGTGATTAGAATGCATTTTGAAGATGCTTTCTGTACAGATACAAAATACAGGGACTAAAATAATGCTGTGCAGTGTATAGCAGAGCCATTTTTCGGCTTTGGTGTACTCAACTTTTTCAGTATTTAAAAAAGTGTTTTGAATAACATAAAAGTCTCCTTATTGTATAAATAATAAAATGTCACCTTATTGTAAAGTGTCTTTTGTTTACTATCAAAGCAGACCTCGTAGTCAGCAACAGAGATGTAATAAGAAAAAGGCATGTTTTTGTTTTTATTTTTTATTTTTTTGAGATGGAGGAGTTTCACTCTTACCCAAGGCTGGAGTACAGAGTGGCGCGATCTCAGCACTCTGTCATCCTCTGCCTCCTGGGTTCAAGTGATTCTCCTGCCTCAGCCTCCCAAGATGCTGAGATTACAGGCACATGCACCATGCCCGGATAGTTTTTTTTGGTTTTGTTTTTTGTATTTTTAGTAGAGACGGGGGTTTCACCATGTTAGCCAGGCTGGTCTTGAACTCCTGACCTCAAGTGATCTGCCCGCCTCAGCCTCCCGAAGTGTTGGGATTACAGGCGTAAGCCACTGCCCCCAGCCAAAAAGGCATGTTTTTTTTAAAATGAAAACATAAACATTGTAATCAATATTTGAAAAATGTAACTTTTATTCTGAACATGTAGTATTTATCTTTATTAGCAATTTTTTTCATAATATAAGCATGCCTCAATCATCCAAAAGCTATCTACCTATCTATATAAATTGATATACATGCTACTGAATTGACTTCTTAATAGAATCATATGGTAAGTGTTATAATGACTAATCAACCTACTTCTGATAATTTTGGTGTAAACAAAAATGATATTTAATTTTTATTAAATCAAGTTTACCTATCAAATTCCCTTTTAGAAAAACACTGCAAGTTTAGTCTTACCAAGATTGCAAGTAAATTTTAAAATTATGGTGCTGTAAATAAAAAGGTTTTAAGTTGAAATGTGTACTGAGATTAGCCATATCACAAAAGTCCTATCATGGGTAATGAAAAGTCTTATTTTTAATATATTTTTGTTTCCTTTTTCTTTTGACATGTGGCCCAAGATAAGAAGGTCTTATTTTTTAAATGCCAAAGAACAGTATTCAACAAAATTCGATTTAATTTTATATCTAACAAAAACATAGAAACTGGCTAGTCATATTCAAGTCAATTGGTCACATTGTATGGAATACAAAAATAAATGAGAAAAAAAACCAGTTCTACAAAAATGCTTTGTTATTATAATACTGAACCACATTAAATAAAAATTCATTTTTGAAAAAACTGCTTGCTATAAGAAAATGAAAGTTAGCAGGATAAATCATAAGCAAAACATTTAGAACAAATGTATGAACACATTGTGGTTATCACCATTACAAATGTATACAACACCTTACAAAAATCTTAAATAAAAATGTAAAAATATTTACTGGCAGTGAATATGGCCCAGGCTAATTATACCAACAGGTAGGTGATACTGGGAAACTACAAGATCAATTACAATAATCACCTTTTAAGATGATACTAAAACAAATGTTACATCCTCCTTAGAATTAACCAGGGTTAATAATACATGACAAGGGTTATAAAGCAACTCCATGTTAAGTAGGAATTCGGTCTCTCAAATATTCAAGTATAGCAGCTGTTCCTTTCATTAATATGGCTGCTCGAGGAACTCGGAATGGATTTCCATCCAGTAGTAATGTTCTAAACAAAAGAGAGAAATTGAGAATGTAAACATTTTCCATTAACAAGGTTTTTCATCTAATTTCATTTGCAATTTTATAAATAAAATTTCTGTATTTTTTTTCTATTTGCCCCTTTTTATTTTTATTTCTTTTTTTGAGACAGAGTCTCACTCTGTTGCCCAGCCTGAAGTGCAGAGGTGCAATCTCAGCTTATTGCAACCTCCACCTCCCAGGTTCAAGTAATTCTCATGCCTCAGCCTCCCGGGTAGCTGGGATTACAGGTGTGTTCCACCACACCCGGCTAATTTTTGTATTTTCAGTAGTGAGGGGGTTTTGCCATTTTGGCCAGGCTGGTCTCAAACTCCTGGCCTCAAGTAATCTGCCCGCCTCAGCCTCCCAAAGTACTGGGATTACAGGAGTGAACCACCATGCTTGAGCTATTTGCCCCTTTTCATATCTGAACATTTAAACATTAGAATTATAACTAATTAATAACCCAAAACATATTAATTGAATACTTACTTTGTGAAAGGTACTGAGCCAAGTAATTTATATTCAGTCACTCTTAACAATCCTATTTTCTCAACAATCCTATGATGTAAGTACCATTAATAGTTCTGTTTTAATAGATGAGGAAATACAAATTTAGGGGGGTAAGAAATATTGTCTAAGATCAAACAGCTACTAAATGATGGAGCTGTGATTTGAACCACCCTTTTATCCAGCCTTCTCAACCTTATTAAGTGACTGTATACTAAATGGTCAAGTAAGATTTAAACAAATATCAGCATGAGTCATCCAAGCCAAGGACTGTAATGTAATCAATGTATCACCACCACTGCTCCACCCCCTGCCTCCCAAAACATTAACACATTCTGCCCTCTCCCTCCTTTGAGCAGATACACATATATAAATCTATTTACATGTTCTGAGAGTTCAACTTAAGATTTAAGAGCTTGTTTTGTTTCATTATATAATAAAATATCTTCAATTAAGAGAGGCTTTTTTATTATTTTTAACAGTTAAGTGTTTATGTAAACAAAAATCAAAGGACTCAACCATATTGTTGATCTAAATTATATCTTCAAATATTTCTGTTTCTTGGGAATTCTTTTAAAGACTTATTTTCTTAATTTCTAGAAAAAAAGTTGATTACAGTTGATCCTCATTATTCATGGGTGCTATATTTGCAAACTTGCCTACTCACTAAAGTTTATACCCCCAAATCAATGTGTGGCACTTCCGAGGTCATTCATAAACAGGCACAGAGGAGCAAAAAATTGGAGTCACCCCACGGGCATGTTCCCAGGTGAGACTGAACAAGGTGATGCTTTGTCTTCTTGTTTCAGCTCTTATACTGTAAACGGGTCATTTTGGTGGTTCATTTAGTGCCACGCTTTTCAAATTTTCATACCTTTGTTGGTGATTTCACTGTGTTAAATGGTCACCAAGTATAATGCTAAAGTACTGTCTAGTCTTCCTAAGGACAAATGTGGATTACGAAAAAAATACATGTGTCAGGTAAGCTTTGTTCAGGCATGAATTATAGTGCTGTTGGCCATGATTTCAATGTTAATGACACAACAGTAATATTAAATGAAGTATCTTACTACAGAAACACACATATAACAAAGTTATATATTGACTGGTTGCTGAAAATGTTGTGACTAGACTCTTGCAAGAACCTAACCCCTGTATTTCCCCCAGAAGCAATAGGTCAGTATTCACTAACTGGGTGTTCAGAGTGTCTATAGAACATAACTGCCACAAAGAATAAGAATCAACTGTATTTATAGTCTCCTATAACTTACTAACATGAGGTACTAGAGCAGATACCAGTGTTGCTCCAGTGAAGTAAAATATACCAAATCATTCATATGCAGTTTTCAGCAATTAAATTACTTCTGACACATTCTGCTTAACCACTTGGCTTTCTGTCGATACCTCAAACCTCCTTTATATTCACTTAATAAGCACTTACTGGGTGTTTACTATGTTTTAGGCACTGGGACAACTCTTTTCCAAAGAAAGACCCAAAAATCGTACAAATAAGTCCAAATGAAGCATGATGGGAAATCAGGGACTAATTCTGCTTGGAGGACAGGGAAGGCTTTCAAAGGTGACATTCAATAGGCCAATTATTGATGAAAACAGGGTAAAAGTACCTGATGCTGAGGGAACAGCAGATGTAAAGAGTGAGAAAGACTGTACTGGGCTCAAAATAGAATGGTGGTAATCTGCAATCAATTTCAAAAAAAAAAAAAAAAAAAACCCTGTATTCAAAGCTAAGGAGTTAATATTTCCCCGACATTTTTATGCAGTAGAGATTCAGGTTATAAACATACACAGTGATAGCGAAAAGCCACTAGAAATAATTAGTTATTATATTCACACATATACCATATAAGCAAAACTAAAAATATACATTTGGTAAAATTTGAAAAACAGAATTGGGACTCTGGGTTTTGTTACTTGTTATTTTTAACAGGATATTAAATCTGTTACTTTAACTTCTTGCAAATTTATCTGAAAAAGAAAAACAAATCACTTCAACAAATCAATAAAATAAATGAAACAATGCAGTAGAATGGTGTAGTTACCTTAAGTTTACACAATTACCGAGCTCTGGTGGAATTTGTAAGAGGTCATTATTTTGAAGGTCCAACGTGGTCAGATTTTCCATCATCTTCATTTTCTGAGGGTCCACAGATCCAACCTGATTATTACTAATCAGAATTGTTTCAAGTGTGAAGATACGATATAGAACTTCAGGTAGCATTTTAAACCTATTAATACATGAACAGAACACCTAAATATACTGGAATCAGACCAAAATCATTCCTTAAAACATATTATCTTAAATTTGACATGACAGTTTTTTCTTTAGTGTATGTTATTCTGTAATTGGCATTAAGTCCTGTATTTGAATTTTACAAAAAATAAAGAGAAAGGGCTAATTTTGAAAACCTTGAAATACATGTTAAACAGACAGACTTGTAACAGTTGCTATTTATTGTATAAAATCAGCAAAACTTCAGAGTAAATTCTCCCAGTAAATTTTTCTGTTCACATTCAAGAGGAAATCTTCTCTAAATGTATCCATGTAGGTATTCTTCCTTTCACTTTTACTTCTTATGAAACATAATCACTCCCAATATATTAAGTAAAATTCAAGATTTATATTTTGCTTTGACTGAGGCTTCTAAAATGAGTACACTTTGGGTTCTTAAAAAGATAACAAATTAGCATAGACTGCTGGCTTTCTTGTCCAAGCAACCCTGAAGATGCCACAAGATATGGGAAGGCTAATAGCTCTCAAAGCAATACTTGCAATTAACGTAAAATGGCTGAGGACCCCGCAGGGCACAAAGGCTAGCACAGTTTTAGCATGAGGTGAACTGCAGCCTTGACTAGAAAATAGAAGAATGGGCAGGAACGAGAGCTTTGGCCTTTTCATTTCCGCATACTGCCCCCTTCCTTTGCTGCCTTGATGAAAAAAAGCAATAGTGAAGTGTAAACTCAAGGCAGTGCTGAAGTTCCAGTAAGACTAGAGAAGCAATAGCCAAGAGTACAGATGGACCAAATGACCCCTTAATAGGCTCTTCTCTTCCCTCCCTGCAACCCATGAACAAGATAATCACCTGATAACACGGAAGTTTAGGCTAGCTTTTGGCACTTCCCCAAAGACATTACTTGCAAGGCAATTGTTAGCTCAATTGACAACACAATATAAAACTGATAGCTCAATTCACAAGTAAAAATTAGGAGAGATGTGAGAAGTGCACATATTTTAAAATAATGACAATAATGGTGCAATCTATATACTAGAAAGGACAAGTAATGGAGCAGACAGAAGAAAAATTAAAATGAGCAATATTTTAACATCACTATGCATTAGCTTCCTCATCTATAAATGAGGAATAATAATAGTACTAAACATATACACTTGTTATAAGGATTAAATGAATGTATTTGAAGACCTTAGGACATTATCTAGGTTGCATTAAACATTAGCTGCTAATATTTTATTTTTTAAATTTTATTTATTTTTTGAGACAGAGTCTTGCTCTGTCGCCTAGGCTGGAGTGCAGTGACGCAATCCTGGATCACTGCAACCTCTGCCTCCTGGGGTTCAAGCGATTCTCCTGCCTCAGCCTCCTGAGTAGCTGGGTTTACAGGCCACCACCACGCCTGGCTAATTTTTGTATTTTTAGTAGAGATGGAGTTTCACCATATCGGCCAGGCTGGTCTCAAACTCCTGACCTCAGGTGATCCGCCCACCTCGGCCTTCCAAAGTGCTGGGATTACAGGTGTCAGTCACTGCACCTGGCCAGTTATTCATATTTTAATTAAATTGTTTTTAGAATCCATTTTCATCATAAGAAACAATGTGACATAGTTGTTAAGAGCCCAACTTCTGGAGCCAAACCACCTGGACTCAAATCTCAGCTGTATAATTTACTATTTATGCATACCTTAGATGAGTTATTTAGCTTCTAATCCTTGATTTTTAAATGAACACAGTAACAGAACCTACCATGTAGGGTTCTTGTAAGCCTGAGCTATTACATGTAAAGTACTTAGTACAGCACCAGCAGAATAATAAGCTCCCAATAAATATTAGTTGCTCTTAATTATCTGCAGTATCTTGATAGTGTTTGCAGAACAAAATCTAAGTTTCGTTGAGCACAAAAAGCTCAAGGTCTGGCTACTGCTTACTTGCCAGACTTTATCTGTTCCTTCTACTCCTCTACCTGTTTGCTTTATTGTCCAAAGCACATTGAACTTCTTGAAGTTTCCCAGACACCCCATATGTTCTCACATCTTTGTGCCTTGGCATATGCTATTAGCTCTAACTAGAATGCTCTCTACCTGAATGGCTGGCAAATGTCTATTTTTCAAACCTCAGTTTCAATGCTATCTCCTCTACCTTAAAGTAATCTCAGAAGACATTTTCCTGTGCACTATCCTTCCATTAGAGCAATTGTAATTATTTATTTTGTCTTTTTAGGCCACAGGTTTCTCAAAATGGTAAAAAGGAATGAAAAATATGTTAGACATCAACTATGAGAATTCTAAGAAAATAATATTTTTAACTCTAAGAAGAACTAAGTGAAAATAAAATCTGGATATTGAAATAAAGTAGAAGGGGCCTTTTTGTTTTTTTGGCTTTTGTTTTCTCCAATGAGAAAGATCTACATATTTCCACAGAATAACAATTAGAATTGTCTGTTCTCTTACCTATTAAAGGAAAGATTGATCGTTTGCAGTCTTACCAGTGATTCCATTTCTTCTGGCAAAGAATTTAAAAAATTGTTCCTAAATTGGAAATCAAAACAGAAGATTTACAAAGTTTGAAAAATTTTACAAGTTTAATTTATAATTAAAATATTGAGCAGGAAAAAAAAATATGTAGATCAGTTTGTCAATCCTTGATCTGACTTTATAAAGGCTGAGTTCTGAGAATTCTGAATCAGTCACCTACCGCAGTTATTCGGTTAGTATGCCAAATCCTAATAATACCAATATGCAACCAATTGATAATGCAATGAATTCTTTACAGGTTTAATAGTGATTACAGGGTAAACACTGTAAACTAATTAGCTCCTTCAAAGTGGGGTATTTAATATTTCCCCCATGTCTATAATACCACATAAATATTCCATTGGTGTTAATATATATGACACAGACATGAAATTCTACTCTAAGAGGAATTTAAAAATTATTTTAAAAATGAACCAAGAAGTTAAAAAGATTCTATTAAGAGATTTGGAGTTTTCTACTCCATAGGTATAAAGCAAATCTATTCCTACTCTAAGTTTAGAATTTAAATTTACACAATGACTATTTTTTTTTTTTAGCTCTTACAATGAAACATGGCAATAAACAAAATCTCATTTACTGTTGGAAAGATCTGGGAGCAATGTTAGAAGAAAAGTTAACAAAAAGGTAAAAGGATTTTAGGAGCCAATATAACTACTAATAATGAAAATACCTGTGAGAAAATTATTCCCAACTAGATGACTACCTATTACAAATAAATATTTTTCTCTAACCTATTTCTTTGTGTTCAGAAGTCAAGCCTAATATGTAAAGTCATACTTTCTACAGTACAAGCTATATTCTTTTTCTATATCTACATTCTCTGTACTTTTCTCCAGTTATTGTCTGCATTAAGTTGTGTTGAATAACCCACTCAGCTGGTTTTATACTATTTACTTTCAGAAAATAAACAATGTGAAAAAAATACTTTCCATGTCTTATTTGTAATTTTGCTTAGAATGGGTTAATATTTTCAGTAATTTTGTCTTATGACGTAACTTGTAAATTGCTTACAAATTATAAATGTCTGATTACAGTATTTTTCCTGAATTCTGTCTCGGGTTTCCTAAACACTATTTTTGGATTCTCCTAAACTATTGTTAATAAATAAAGGCCAGTTTCCATACATACCTAGGAAAATATGAGGTAAAAAGAATAAGTTAGACAAAACTCAAAGACAAGTTATAACTTTTTAAAAAGTCAAGCAATAGTATCAATAAATACCTGAGATCTAAAAAAGTCAATTTCTGAAGCACACATAACTCCAAGGATATAAAGGAAAGTTTATTAAAACTGAGATCGACATCAGAAACCATTTCCTTCAGTTCTACCATCCTGAAACAAAAATAATTTTAAAATGTTAGCACTTGAATTCACTGCCAGAACTTCAAAACTGTAAGCAGATCAAAGGGGGAAATTCCTATATTTAACTTCTGCTAATTATGACTTTTTGTACCTTTTACTTTTTCACAGGAACATTAATGAGTTTGGATATGTAACTAATAAAAATAATTTTTCAAAAAAGGCTCACTCTTATCTGTCCAAAAGTTTCTATTTGGCTTTATATATACATTAAAGTTTCACTTAAAAAACTATTTATTTTATATTTAAACCAACTATGGCACGAAGGAGAAAAATCAAACCTAGAAAATTTTTATACTTTATTCTATTAATAACTTGAATCCATAAAACAAATTGTTAAACAGACATCCTGTAACATAGTAGTTTTCTACTACATAAGTAGTGTATTACCACTAAGGAGCTTTAGTTTAAAACTTAAAGAGGAAGAATTAAACATTTCTAAGTAAGCCTAATCAAGGTTTATAGTTTTATTCCTGTTATTAATATGATTTACTAACAAATGAAAGTTGGCTGGGCACGGTGGCTCACACCTATAATCTCAGCACTTTAGGAGGCTGAGGCAGGTGGATTACTTGAGGTCAGGAGTTCAAGACCAGCTTGGCCAACATGGTGAAACTCCGCCTCTACTAAAAACACAAAAAATTAGCCAGGCATGGTGGCGGGCACCTGTAATCCCAGCTACTCGGGAGGCTGAAGCAAGAGAATTGCTTGAGCCTGGGAGGCGGAGGTTGTAGCGAACTGAGATCATGCCACTGCACTCCAGCCTGGGCAACAAGAGCAAAACTCTGTCTCAAAAAAAAAGACAACCAAATGAAAGTTAAATTACAACTTAGTCTATCTCATTAGCAAAGAAAAAAAAAAGAAAGGATATAAAATGCTGTGCTGAAAAAGATGTAGTAAAAGAAAATGAGTTTCAATGTGTAACTGATAAAACTTGATAAAACTTTTTTTGATATATCGAGTCAAACTCTGACTTAATAATTTTTCTAGAAATCTGGCCTAGAGAAACAATATGTTTCCTTTATTGTCATAATCAACCTTAAAGTATACAGTTAAATTACATTTTTAAAGTATGGTTTATAAACAGAAAAATACTTATGACAAATAAACCAGTCAAGATACAAATTATGGCCAAGCATGGTGGCTCACACCTGTAATCCCAGCACTTTGGAAGGCCAAGGCAAGTGGATCAGTTGAGCTCAAGAGTTTGAGACCAGCCTGGGCAACATGGCAAAACCTGGTCTCTACAAAAATTAGTGGGGTGTGGTGGCATATGCCTGTAGTCCCAGCCACTAGGGAGGCTAAGGTGGGAGGATCACTTCAACCTGAGAGGTTAAGGGTGCACTGAGCCGCGATTGTGCCAG
The DNA here is from genome assembly GCF_000001405.40 of Homo sapiens. Taxonomy (NCBI): domain Eukaryota; kingdom Metazoa; phylum Chordata; class Mammalia; order Primates; family Hominidae; genus Homo; species Homo sapiens. The sequence continues at coordinate 70,153,935 of NC_000001.11, forward strand.
TGAACTCCAGTAGGGGCAACAGAGTGAGATCCTGTCTCAAAAAAAAAAAAAAAAAAAAAAAGACACAAATTGCATGTATAACTCCAAATGGAGAATAGCTTGAAATAAAATATGCAGTATGCCACAAAGTTAACCGAGTAAATCAGTGATGAAACTACAACTGATATATTCCTTTATTTATTCCAAAATTTTATGAATATGTATTATTTTTATAATCTTTGGTGAAAAGCATGAATTGTTCATTAAAATTTTTTTAAAAAGGGAAAGTGGTTTGGGAACTTTCTAGAGAAAAGCATGGCTTTTTTAATGCAACATGTCCATGTAATAAGGCATGTCTTGATTATTTTCTTGACATTCTAAGTTGCTCAAAATGTGATATAATAGCTGTGTCAACAGAATGACATTATTTTGCAAAAGAAGAGCCAGATAGTGAGATAAAATGAGGCAGTAAATAATAAGTAATGTCTCTTAAGTATATCTTTATTCCCAATTAACTTATTTGATCCAGGACCCCCCGCCCAAAGCAAACTTGTCCTATCTGAGAGCAAATCTAAATGCTCAATTCTATCAAATATCCTCTCAGTCCTTTAAAACAAGAGAGAACCAGAAGATGGATTAGAGATCCCTTTTGCAATGGACTATCTTAAATTTGTCGTCTTTTAAGATCTACATTCCCTAAACTATGCTCTGAGAAATAGAAAGCAAATTATATTTTGTCTCACTTTTTAAAAGCTTTAAACATCTAAAAAATTTTTGATAGTCAGATGAAAGTCATTCAACTTTCTCAATTCATCACATCACTCTCCTCCACGACATCACCTTTTTTTTTCCTCTTAAGTATTTACGTGCATAAAAGCATTAGGCTCTAGTTAAATGCTTTGTGTGGATTATGTCATTTAGTTTAATTCTTATAAACAGGCACTATTATTATCCCTATTTCACAGGTGAGAAAACTAAGAACAGCTAGTTAACCTGTCCAAAAACTATACAGCAGGTCTGGGATATGGTATAAGCAATTGACTATATTGCTCAAGTTCCTTATCAGTACCCTATCCTGTCTCACATTGGGTTGTTTTAATTGCTAGATTATCTGTCAGCTTTCTTTGGGTATATAGTTTACTGCTAGATAACAAATGTTTTTTAAAGTTCAACAATATACTAAATTAACACTCATAATCTAAAGATTTTGCTGTAATTAACAACAAAAAATGTATTTAACAGTACAATGTATAAAGCAAATGACTGCATGTGAAGAATCCTTTTCTAGGAGAAAAATATTAACAGGCTTCAGTTAATTTTGCTTTTCCTATCAGTGGAAAAATTAGTGGCTTGGCAATTCATTAACATAAAGCCCCAAATGGAAATTCCTATTAATCCACATGGACCTGATGTTAGACAGTCTCTTAACAATTTTCCCTAATATTTCATTATGTGAGAGTATATATAATTCCCTATATTTCATTATATGGGAAAAATAATGTTTTTAATAATTCTTATACCCATTTTCCAAGTTTAAACATAAAAGAAAAAGAAACAAATTTTTTTAAAACCTCTATACCTCTCAGAACAAATGATAAAATTGTGTCAGTAAATACTTAATGACATTTTGCTAAATCCCTCTAATATTAATAATGTAAAAATTTTTACATATAGTTTTAAATTTAAAAACCAATATGGAAAAACCAATTTAAAAACCAAGATGGAAAAACAACAGAATGAGTCACAACCTATAGACATGGCATCATAGTTCTTACCTTTTTGGAATTTCACATAGTTGATTCTTACTGAAGTTAATAGAAGTGACGATGTTGCTTTTTACTGCATCAAACACCTCATCAGGAATCAAAGTTGCTTGTTTATCACTAAATGAAAAATGGTTTTAAAAAACGAACCATTCTTAGCAGTCCAAAAAGATATGATTATTACTCTTCATTTTTAAAGGTGTTTAAAGATTTTATGAAATTTTTCAAAGCCATTGATTATAAAATTTTGTAACAAATGCCACATAATCTACCAAGCCATAAAAGGTTCACTGTTAGGAATTCAGACAACATATTGTGTTATAACATATTGTGCTACATTTTCTGGGCATTCATATACTCAATGTGAATAAAAATAGATATTTATCTTTGGAGTCTAAGATATCTACAAGTCATATAGCAAATGGAGCCCATTCCTTTACCTCTGAGTAGAATTAAATCTATAATTTTAAAAGCTAGTTGTTGCCCCATCTTAAAAATCTATAAGAGGAGTTTTCTGTCAAATTTGTTTGGGTATATAATTTCTACAAGATAATAACTTTTTTAAAAAGTTCAACATTATACTAAACTAACTAAAATTAGTTTAATTAATTTAAAATTAGTTTAATTTTAATTTAGTAACCTGGACCAATTTCTCTCTCCTTTAGTATGTGACAAGGTAGACAGAGCAGTGGACTGAGATTAAACTATTCCTATTTCTACCATTAATGAGCTTTATAACTTACCTCCCCTGAATCTCAGTTCTGTGACATTAGAATCTGAAGGACTATTTATTGTTATTTATGCCACATGTTTTCAAATGTAAATATAAATAAATTTCCTCTTTATTAAAATTTTCAGTAAGGTTTTCAATAAAATATAAATTTAATCTTAAATGAAAATACAGTAGTTCCCCTTTATCCAGACCCCCCGGGGATGCCAGAATCTTCTGAGAGGACTGAATCCTATATAGTATACACCATATTTTTTCAATCTGATAACAAGATGACTACTAAGTGACTAAGGATGGGCAGCATATACAGCATAGATATGCTGACAAAGGGATGATTCATGTCCCAGGTCATGAGACATGACAGGTCACAGAGGGCAGGTCAGAGAGGGATAGCATAAAATTCCATGATGCTACTCAGAATGTGCACAATTTAAAACTTATAAATTGTTTACATCTGGAATTTTCCGTTTAATATTTTCGGACTGCACCTGATCACAAGTAACCCAAATTGCAGAAAGTGAAACTGTGGATAAGCGGGACTACTATATAGAACTCTAACATTTGCAGATTTAACTGTTTTTTTAATGTAATAATTAGCCATTATCCTTACATTCTTCTTTTAAAATTATTAGTGCTTAATACAATGTCATCTACCTTCAAGAAACTTCAACGGAATGCCAAATGAATGACTATGAACAGAAAAACATTACATATAATGTATAATATGGAAGAACTGTATAAGAAATGCATTGTAATACAAATATGTAAAGACAGCCTACATTTCACAGTTATTATACCTTCTACTTCTGCTTTAGCATCCCATTTTCTTCTGTGTAGATGCAGCATTTTCATCTCTTCAATCACAAATGCTCAAGTTCATGGGGAACTGACTCATGCTAGTCAGACTTAAAAGATTCATGCTATTTAAAAATTTTAGTTGAAAGCATTTATGCCTTGAGATTGATAATTTATATTTTAAATAAGACACTCCTTTCCAGTTAAAGTCTTTAAGAAAAACAAATCCGAATAAATTTAGAATCAAAGTAATCTAAGATTATGCTTTTGTGATATCTGTGCCTTTAAGAAGTAGAAATGGTTATCCCAAATAAAATTGGACCAATACTACTTTATAGATTGTCTGCATGATTAAAAGCAACAGCATATGTACCTAGTACAACACCCTAGATCCCCTTAGAATAGAGACTCAATAAATGGTATCTGTATATGAGGGAATGGAAGCCAGAAGTCAGGCATAAAAGAAATTCTAAGCTAAAAAAAGCCTAAGGCAGGAATGAAGTCTGTCTCATCAATCAGTTTATTTATGATACCTAGCACAGAATGTGATACTTAGTAGACTCCAAAAATATCTACTGAATAAATGGGTATATTATTTGGAAGATAAGATATGCTAAGTTGGCCAGGCATGGTGGCTTATGCCTGTAATCCCAGCACTTTGAGAAGCTGAGGCAGGAGGATCACTTGAGCTCAAGAGTTCAAGAACAGCCTGGGTAACACAGAGAGGCCCCATCTCTACAAAAAATAAAAAAATTAGCTGGGCAGGATAGCGTGCAGCAGTTCCAGCTACTTGGGAGGCTGAGGTGGGGGAATCGCTTGAGCCAGGAGGTTGAGGTTACAGTGAGCCGAGATAACGCCACTGTACTCCAACCTGGGCAACAGAGCAAGACCCTGCCTCAAAAAAAAAAAAAAAAAAAAAAAAAAAAGCTAAGTTGCCATGCTCTGTAAGAAAGAGTCAAATGTAAGTACAGAAGAGTGCTACCTGTGTTAGCGTGGCAAAAGAAACTTAGCTTAGAGTAGTGATTTCTAAGAGTGGCAGGCAAGAGGTGAGAACAATATGAATGAAACACAACAAATGTGAAATGGAGACTGTATCCTGACTGCTAAGAAGATAGTTCCTACTGATACATTAAGGATAAAAGACCATACACTGATGTTGGCTGTGTAGATTCTTGAATAAATCTAGTCACCTATCTGACTTCAGTCTATATTCTTTTGTATTTTCACTACAATACCCATAAATGAACCAATTGCTACAAAAATTTTGACAGTATTGCTTATGTTTTTGTTGTTGTTGCCTTAGACAGTACTGAAAGGATACTTTACAACTACCTTCAATCTCTGCATAGGTATCTTCTTTTCCCAATTTCATATACTTCCATAAAAAATATTTAAAATTTTTTGGCTTTGTCTCAATTTATATACTAACATTGTAATTTTTTCAGTTTTGGAATATTTGCTACCACAGCACATTATTACTATGATACATTATTTGACTTGTGTTCAGATAAATTAGCAGGGTACAACCTCTCAAGCTTTGCCTGCTGGTCAAGGTTTTCATTAACTAAAATACTAGTTTCTTATTTACTAACATAGACACCCACCAATATGAAATTCTCTTTGGATGCTGATTACTGAGTCAAAGAACTTTATTATCAATACTGTCATTCTTTTTTTTTATAACAATAAAATGTTCCCATTATAAAAATATCACTATTAACAAAACCATCTCTCTCTCAAGCATAGTAAAACACAAACTGCAGAAGGAATGGACACTGAAGGTCATTTATATTTTTAATATCCTTCTATTTTTATTATACTTTTAATATCCTTCTATTTCATCATGGTTTTTTGCAATTATTATTACTCTAAGTCAAGTACTCTGATGAATTTTTCCTCATCAATTGTCCTTTTTACTGAAGGGTTTCTTTCTGAAAAGTTTCCTATGTGTTTGGTAATGTTTAAAAAAAAATAAATTAGGCCAAGCATGGTAGCTCAAGCCTATAATCCTAGCACTTTGAGAGGCCAAAGCAGGAGGATGGCTTGAGCCCAAGAAGCTCAAGACCAGCCTGGGCAACACAGTAAGACCCTATCTCTATAAAAATAAAAATAATAATAAATTACATACCTATAGTCTAATATTTTTAATGTAATGATGGCATGTATATTGACTCTGGATTCACTTGGTAGTGTCATGGCAGTCTCAGTAGCAGACTCACTTTGGCTAGGTCCATCATCTGGCAAAAGAAAACTTATATGAAGCCAATATTTATACTACAAAGTCATTGTTAAAATTCTTGATAATATATTAAAACAGTGTACGTGATTTCTAGATATTATTGGTGAGAATGCCTTTAGTCATATGCTTTATTTCCAATGACTCAAATCTCAATCTGGAATTTAATATTTAATTAATAGAAAATAAAATTACTGTAGCATGGCTTCAAAACTGTTTAATGAATCCTACTGAAAGGAAATTTAGCAGTAAGAAAGAACCTTCATAGAATAACTATGATGTATAAGAAGAAACAAATAACAAGTAATCCTTCCTCTTAAGTAAAATAATATGGTCCACTAGAAGAAATTTGTTAATGAAAGAAAACCATTATTTCCCTCAAATGTCTACCAAATAAGCATATGCTTTTTAATTTAGGAGACAACAAAATTGATTATCCTCAATCACTTGAAATTTGACAATCTGCATAACTGAGTAAGTCTCTGGTACATTTTATATGTTAAGATTTTTTTCTTAACAAATGCAAGACTTTATTTTTTATAGATATTTTCCTAACATGCTTGCATACTCACACATTCACGCACCATCAACCACCTTACTAATCTCCAGAGACTGTTTAACACTGTCATCATATGGTATACATATTTTTTTAAATACACATTTTAAAAGAAATGGCTTTGTGTTATTTTTGCAAAAAAGACTTGAACGATAGAGAAGTAAAATAAGACTATCACTTTTCAACAATGTGAAAACGATGAAACAGTCCCAGCATTAGCACATAAGAGCAGAAGGCACGCCAAAAGAAAACAAAAAAAATTAGTAGTATACCTGATCTTGCTTCAGCCCAGTAGGCATTCAATAAACATTTGTTGAATATTACTAAGTATATTTCTCTTGCATTGAGCTCATCAGTTATTCATTAGTCAATAATGATTAAGCTATTATTGCTTCCCAGGCAAGTATCATATGAATACTTTATTCACAGAAGTAGCACAGAATAAATGACAGAATATCAAACAGAAATGAAAGACATCAAGGAAAGTATTAACATCAAGTTAATGCTCTAGTAGTAGTACTACTCCCCTAGCAGTTTGGTTAAGTTACTTTAAATAATATGTAATACAGTGCCAAAATTAAATAAGCAGAGAGACACTATTAAACCAGCAACAAAATCCAGCATTGTTTTTAAAATATCTATGTATACTACCATGATCGTATAATGAGGTAGGGTATTCTTAACAATTTCCAAAGAGCTCCTTTTAATAATTAGCATCAAGGAGAATATAAGGAGAGAGTCTATTGTCTCTGGGGAGAAGACTGTTGCGAGAGAGATTTCCTTTCATTATATATCTTTGCGTATTGTTGTTTTTTTTAACCATGTGCATTTACTGTCTTTTTCATTAAAAAAACATAATTTTTAAAAACATCAAAATTTCAAATTGAAAGGGCCATGTAAGTGCCAAACACAATAAATAAAAGTAGAACCACACCAAAGTTAATTACCATAAAATTTCAAACAATGGCAACGAATAGAAGATCCTATAGGTTTCCAGAGAGAGAGAAAAAAAAAAGTTGTAATTGTACAAGTGACTGACAAGAACACAGCCAAATAAGAGGTCAATCACATAAGCAAGAACGCAGATATCTCATTATTTTTTTTTTTTTTCTGAGAGGGAGTCTCGCTCTGTTGCCCAGGCTGGAGTGCAGTGGCGCGATCTCGCACGGCAAGCTCCACCTCCCGAGTTCACGCCATTCTCCTGCCTCAGCCTCCCGAGTAGCTGGGGCTACTGGTGCCCGCCACCACGCCCAGCTAATTTTTTGTATTTTTAGTAGAGACGGGGTTTCACCGTGTTAGCCAGGATGATCTCGATCTCCTGATCTCGTGATCCGCCTGCCTTGGCCTCCCAAAGTGCTGGGATTACAGGCGTGAGCCACCACGCCCAGCCATGGAGATACCTTTTTAAGAAATTTTTGGCCGGTGGCGGACGCCTGTAGTCCCAGCTACTAGGGAGGCTGAGGCAGGAGAATGGTGTGAAGCCGGGAGGCGGAGCTTGCAGTGCAAGATCGCGCCACTGCACTCCAGCCTGGGCGACAGAGCAAGGCTCCCTCTCAAAAAAAAAAAAAAAGAAAGAAAGAAAGAAATTTTCAAATGTATTCATTTGGTGAGTTTGGAGGGCATGATGGGTGATTTAGTTGAACGAGTGTCACCTAGAACGAAGTCTTCAGAGCTTCAACTTATCCCTTTGAAGCAAATAGGCACTGATCACTCTGCCTCTCCAGAAGGTTTAGAAGGGGTTGGAAAAGCTGTTGATCCTGTCTCTTAGAAATAAGAGTAAAAAACTAGAGTCCATTTGGTTATTTATTTGTTCCTTCATTCTATAACATTATCCATCACACATAAACTGGTAGGTACTATTATAAGTAAGAGACGAAGACAGAAGATGAACTCGATCTAGTGGACAAAATAAACAAAAATTACAAAATAGTATGGTAAGTACAGTAATATATGTATGTTGAATGTATTTTTATGGGAGCAGTATGTGTTGAGGGTAATTCCCAAGAGAGTAACCACCTCAGAATGGAGTGAGAAATTACAAGTTCTTTTCAATAGTAGAAGAATTGAAAAGAATTTGCCATCTTTTAAACTTCTCCATTTCATTTTTTAGATTTTTTTAACGTTTGATTTTATTATCCTGTATTACTCTTAAAATGAGAGGAACTAAGTGAACCATCATTTTCTGAGGCAACAGGCTGGGGGTTGGAAGAACGAACCTTAGGAAAACTACTAAATGTGTTAGCCAGGCCTGTAGAGTATAACCCCTAAGGATGGAGTGGGTGGCTACAAAAAAAAAAGCAGATAGTTCTTGGAGAACATGCAGAGCTAGTTTGTCCCCTGAGGAGACATCTGAGAGGGACAGAGGCATAAAATGCCCCAAAGTGTGGTCCCCAGAACAGCAACATCACCCTAACATGGGAACTTGTTAGAAATGCAAATTTCCAGGCTCAACCCCAAACCTATGAATCATGAATTCTGAGAGTGGAGCCCAGCAATCTGGTTCACCAAGCCCTCCAGGTGAGGCCAATGGACACTAAATATCCAAACCTATTTCTTTAGTGAAGCACCCCACTTTTATCACATGAAAGATGATGAACATAAATTGATAATACATAACCAGTAGCAATCCCTGGGTCTAGATCTAATTACTACAAATGTATTCATTTATCCCCCAAACTGTTACCGTGCTTCTACTCTGCGGCAGTCATTGTACTAAGTGCTGGGGACATAAAAATGAGTAAGACACTGTGAGTGATAAACTATGGCCAGGTCTATTGTACAGAGTCCATCCTAAGCCTGATAACAGAGACAATAATTGCCCAAAGACTATTCCTTAGTACAAGATTGCAAAGAAACTAAAAATATGATTCCAATTCATTAATATATAATTTACTGGCATAAATTATTTTATGCCCAATTTATGAGTTTTCTATGGTTGCTTTAACAAATTACCACAAACTTAGTGACTTAAAACACACAAACATTATCTTACAGTTTTGTAGTTCACAAGTCTGCAATGGGTCTCATTGGGCTAAAATCAGGGGTTTGGCAATGGCAAGTCTGTATTCCTTTTTCCTTTCCTTTTCTTTTTTTTTTTTTTTGAGACGGAGTCTCACTCTGTTGCCAGGCTGGAGTGCAGTGGCACCATCTTGGCTCACTGCAACCTCCGACTCCCTGGTTCAAGCGATTCTCCTGCCTCAGCCTCTTGAGTAGCTGGGATTACAGGCACGCGCCACCATGGAACTTTATCATGCCCAGCTAATTGCTGTATTTTTAGTAGATACGGGGTTTCATCATCTTGGCCAGTATGGTCTCAATCTCCTGACCTTCTGATCCGCCCACCTCGGCCTCCCAAAGTGCTGGGATTACAGTCGTAAGCCACCACCCCCAGCCTGCATTCCTTTTTCTAAAAAGAATCTGATTCCTTGCCCTTTCCAACTTCTAGTAGCCACCTCATATTCCTTGCTTCATGGCCTTCCTCCTCCAAGTTAAGCCAGCAACAGTGGTTCTTCTCACATCCTATTACGCTGACCTCCTCTTCTGCTTCTCTCTTCTACTTTTAAGAATCCTTGTGATTATATTGGGCCAACACAATTCATAATAATATCCTTATTTTAAAGTCAGTCAATTAGCAATCTTAATTGCCCTTTGCCATGTAAGGTAACCCATTCACAGGTTTCAGGGATTAGGGTGTGGCCATCATTGAAGGGTCATTATTATGTCTATCAAAGGTAGCATAGCTAGATGATCCTGGTGACGGAGCAAGAAATTAAACTCAGAACACAGATCAGAATCAGGTGATAGAGCTTGAATAAAGGCAATGTTTGCAATCAAATAAAGTAATTAAGCTTAATGCCACGATGGCATAATTGGGGTTGGCACCTGTCTTAGTCCATTTGTGCTACTATAACAAGATACCACAAACTGGGTAACTTATAAACAATAGACATTTATTTCTCACAATTGTGAAGGCTGAGAAGTCTAAGATCAAGGCCCAGCATTTGGTCTCTGGTGGGGGCGCTCTTGCTGTGTCCTCATATGGCATAAGGCAGAAGTGCTAGAGAACACTGCCTTCAACCTCAAACCCTTTTTTTATAAGAGTGCCAATCCGGCCAGGTGCAGTGGCTGGGATCACACACGTAATCCCAGCACTTTGGGAGGCCGAGGCGGGCGGATCACCTGAGGTCGGGAGTTTGAGACCAGCCTGACCAACATGGAGAAACCCTATCTCTACTAAAAATACAAAATTAGCCGGGCGTGGTTGCACATGCCTGTAATCCCAGCTACTCATGAGGCTGAGGCAGGAGAATCACTTGAACCCAGGAGGCAAAGGTTGCAGTGAGCCGAGATCGCGACATTGCACTCCAACCTGGGCAACGAGAGCGAAACTCCATATCAAAAGAAAAAAGAAAAAAAGAGTGCCAATCCTATTCATGAGAGTGGAGCCCTTAAGATTCAAATCTCCTCCCAAAGACCACAATTCTCAGTACTGTTGCACTGGGGATTAAGTCTCAACAAAATTGTAGAGGGGAAACCATCACTGAAACCACAGCAGCACCCACTGGGGAATTTTACCAATCTGGCAGGACCTCACCCTTGGCAGGCACAGTATCATCACCACTGGAACATATCTCCCGCCAATAAACTGGGGAGGCTTTAGAATCTGCACTCACTTAACATTCCAACTTGAGATGCTCTTCTTACAAGGGTCTTTTTTTTAAATCTAAAATCGATCCTTTGAGCTTATCACAAACTGTAATGAGTGTAAGATTTGCATGTCAGATTGCTAACTTGCAAACCTCAAACCCAGTCCTTAAAAAGATATTTTATAAACAATAAAAACAAATTTTTAAATTATAGTCCATTGATATTTACCTAGCCTATTGATGTAGAACAGAGAACAAGTAAATAACTATCAGGATTATTTGAAAGTCTGTGATAACCAAATAAGAAGGTTTAATACTATTTAGATGAATCAAGGACATTGTAGGGTAATTCCACACAATGCTACCTCATGAAATTGTGATCCTCAAAACACACCTTTCAAAAAGGTATTATCTGCATTCTACAGATAGAGATGTGTAGGCTCAACATAACAACACATCAATTAAAATGTAAAAATTATAATAATGATCATCTGTGGAGAATGATTTAAGTACTCTAGAAAAAGATTAATTTTTCAAAAATAATAACAATTTCAGAGTTATATTTGTAGGATATCTGGGACTTGTATATGTACTCTTCCTAGGAAAAGGTAAATAACAGTACATTGCAGAAAGTTTATCTAAATCCTACATGAATTACTGCACTTCTGCTAGACACTGGGAAGAATATAAATTAATCACAACCAAAACTTAATAAGCTTTAAAAGAGAACAAGATTTTTCTTTGACACAGTGGAGTCTGAGGAATCTGTGGACCACATTTCTACATTTGAAGCATCACAGACAAGTGCCTTTTAATGAAAGTTTATTTTAAACTGGTACATAACTTCATGCTTCTGGATTGTTCAGTTTCTTTAAAGTTAGCAGTCTCTACTCACTTCAGCCAAAGTTTTTATCTCATTTTACCAGCATCCTTTGAATCAAATGATCGGCACTGTTTTCAATTTTCACCAATCCCTTTTCTACCTCTAAAACTGAGAAAAGAGTAGTTAAAAAGCAGAGAAGAAAAGCTGAAGGAAAAAAAAAAATATGAAGCAATGAAGTGTCCCAACTTTTTCCTCAAAGAGCTCCAGAAAATTTAGAGATAATTAAATGCAATTCCACTCTAACTACTGTTTAAATACTTAGGCCCCATTACCCCAAAATCCAGATTTAATTGGGCTAAAGTCTGGCCTGGGCACGTAGTTTTTAAAAAGCTCCACAGGTGATTCTTATGTGCCTCTAGATACGTATGTAGATTGCTCTTTCACTGAGCATCTTTTCACAGAGAAAATACTTATTACCTATAAATAATAAAGTTATGCTTTGATAAGGAAAAAGTCTTGGGCCTTTGTATGTATGTGCAAAGTTAAGTATTAATTCAAAATAAATGTTTCAGTTCTATTTGAAATTCCCCTTAGATTATGCACACACATAATTGTTCTCCATATGATTATCACAATTTTAAGAGTCTTGCCAATATATGCTTTGAATAATTCAACCTATTTTGAAGTCCAAAGGGATTTTCTAAGTATGTATTTTCTAAGTATGTATACCTGTACAAATACCAAGAAAAATGGAAGAGATAATTAAACCCCAGAAACTACAAATGTCAGGAAATACCAAGGGATTATTTAAATGTGATTGAACAACCAGGGAGAGAAGGAAGAGTGGTAAGATGTTAATAATATGACCAATTATTGGCAAGAAGCAGAGCAACAAATAAATAATAAATAAATATGGCCTGGGCATGGTGACTCATGCCTGTAAATCCCAACACTTTGGGAGGTGAGGCAGGAGGATCATTTGAGTCTCAGAGTTCAAGACCAGAATGAGCAAATAACAAGACTCTGTCTCTACAAAAAAATAAAAATAGCCTGGTGTAGTGGTGCACACCTGTAATCCTAGCTACTTGGAAGGCTGAGGCACAAGGATTGCTTGAGCCCAGAAGTTTGAGGCTGCAGAGAACTAGTATAGTGCCACAGTACTTTAGCCCAAGAAACAGAGCAAGACCTCGCTTCTAAATAAAAAAAAAAAAAATCAAAAATTAAAGAAATTCTTTTTAAGTAAATTACTCTCTCAGGCTTTGAATATTTATATTGAGATATTCCTCTTTTTATTATTTTTTAAAGTAGCTGAGCTGGATATTTTCTACTTCTGAACTTCTTAAACAATAAGGCCATTCCTTACATGCATTTGTTTTTGGCTTGGTTTTCCCTTGCTTTACAATCCTGTTCTAAAAAAATTTTCCCCATCCCCAAAAGAAAGGAGAAAAAAGGAAAAAAAAGAAAAAAGAAAAGAAAGAAACAGGGAAAGAGACAACATAAAGGGATGAAAGATAAAAGAGCTATGAAAAACTGAGAAGAAGGCAAAGATACATATATGGAGAAGTTCTCAGTAAAAGATTCTACTGACATTTGGCCAATGGGCTTTCAATTATTGCTTATTGTGGCAGACTGCTAGTTTTGCCCAATTTTTGTTCTCCTTTTGTGTAGATTTCACATAGAAAATATACTTCCCAGAGATCAACTTCCATCATGACAGCAAGAGGAGCTCTGTTAATCTGCTCCGCAGAAAAGCTGGTTAAAAAGTGTTAAAAAAAAAAAAAAAAAGAAAAAAGAAAAAGGTCAAGGAGAATACTGAGCTGAGCGTGGTGGCTCATGCCTATAATCCCAGCACTTTGAGAGGCTAAGGCAGGCAAATCATCTGAGGTCAGGAGTTCAAGACCAGCCTGGCCAACATGGCAAAAACCCATCTATACTAAAAATACAAAAAAAATTAGCTGGGCATGGTGGCAGGTGCCTGTAGTCCCAGCTACTCAGGAGGCTGAGGCAGAATTCCTTGAACCTGGGAGGCGGAGGATGCAGTGAGCTGAGATTGCACCACTGCACTCCAGGCTGGGTGACAGAATGAGACTCTGTCTGAAAACAAAAACAAAAACAAAAAATAATAATAATTTAAGGCCTCTGAAAAGGATTCTATTTCTATTTATTTTGAGATGGAGTCTTGCTCTGAGTTGCCCAGGCTGGAGTGCAGTGGCACAATCTCGGCTCACTGTAGCCTCCACCTTCCAGGTTCTAGTGATTCTCCTGTCTCAGCCTCCTGAGTAGCTGGGACTACAGGTGTGTGCCACCACTCCCGGCTAATTTTTGTGTTTTTAGTAGAGATGGGGTTTCACTATGTTGGCCAGGCTGGTCTCGAACTCCTGACCTCAAGTAATCCACCTGCCTCAGCCTCCCAAAGTGCTGGGATTATAGGCGTGAGCCACCACGCCTGGCCTTGGAAATGATTCTAATAGCAAACAGCAAATGAAGAAATAGCTGTTCAAGAAAATCTATGGAAATTTTGTAAGAGGTGAGTCTGTGGTATTTGAACCTAGACTGCTCCCTCTCTCCCCTCTTCTAGGTCAGAGAGGCAGAAACTCCACTCCAGAAGGCTACAACTGAGAACACAGGGTTCCCTCTCCCCCAACCCTCCAGCCCCAAACCCTATCTCCCAGCCAGAGGGCTTTCTTCCTGAGAGGAGTGTCAGCATTTCTCATCCTGCCACCAGCTTCCTGTTGCTAATGCTAAATCCCTGATGAGTAGGGTGAGGACTCCCTTCTTCCACTCTGGTCACATGCACAGAAAGGAGGCTCTACCTTGAGCTTGGCATGATGAGAATACTGGGGCCCTGACTGCTCTTCCCCTGGCTCATAAGTTGCTGGTTCAAAGAAAGGAGAGGCAAACCAAGAGAACCTAAGTCTATTGCTGACTCCTTCTACTGAGTGTTCAGCTCCTAGAGGAGAGTGTTACTCTTAGAGAAGCTTGCCATCTTCCATATTCCCAGCTTCACAGCCTGTGCTCAAAGATTTTGCCTGGGGGAGAAACAGGTCATAAAAACAGTTCCTAATCTCTTCCCAAGGGAACTGACTTCACTCACAACAAAGCATGAAAGCTCTCAAAAACAATGAAGGTTATGGTAAAAGGCAGTTGGGATGAAATTCCTGGATCTACTGAAGATACAGCCTAGACTGTATACAAGCAGACTGTACACAAGCTAGCTCACAGGAGAGAACCAAGGAATAAGACAACTACAGAAAAGCTGAGTGTCTATAACAGTATCAGGCAAAACAGACTCAAAACATTTTTTTATGTCAGGGGCACATTATAATGGAAATTTAACAACATATCCTTAAACAACCAATGGGCCAAAGAAGGTATCAAAAGAGAAATCATAAAATACTTTGAGATAAATGAAAATGACACAACATACCAAAACGTATGAGCTGTAGATAAAGCCATGCTTAGAGGGAAATTTTAGCTATAAATGCCTATGTCAAGAAACAAGATCCCAAAATCAATAACCTAACTTTCCACCCTAAGATACTAGAAAAAAAGAACAAACTAAACTCTGGAGTCCTGATGAGATAAGTAAGCAACAATGAAAAGGGGTCCCAGGTGGGGGAGAACAATTGTTCCAAGAGACAGCTAATCATAGACAACTCTAATCACAGACAACTTGCTGGCACAACATCCTGTTCCCAAATACCTCGCTCTGTACACAGCCCCAGCAGCAAGACCTCGTTCCACATAGCCCACTCCAAGCATGAACCTATAAAACTCCCCTCCAGCACCTGCCTCTTGGCAGACAGCCCCTTCTCTGCTGTGCTACTTGTTGCACCCTTGCAACATATCTTTGTACTTTCTCTAATAAATCTGCCTTTCTTTACTACAACTGTCTTGGTAAATTCTTTAACCACCCAGAACGCTGGCCCCAGTCAGTCACAACTGCAATAGAAACCTAAACCAATTAGAAGGAAATAAATAATTAGAGTGTTAATTAATGAAATAGAGAACAGAAAAACAATAGAGAAGATCAATGAAACTAAACGCTCATCCTTTGGAAAGTCAACAAAACTGACTAATATCCAGCTAGTGTGGCCTAGAAAAAAAGAGAGAAGACTCACATTACTAGAATCAGAAATGAAAGAGAGGACATTATTACTAACCTTACAAAAATGAAAAGGATAAACTATGGCAACTATATGCCAACAAATTAAACAACTCAGATAAAATGGACACATTCCTAGAAAGATAAAAACTACCAAAACTGACTCAAGAAGAAACAGACAATCTGAGTATATCTATAACACGTGAAGAGTAATAAAAAAAACCTAGCCACAAAGAGAAGCCCATGCCTAAATGGCTTCACTGCTGAATTCTACCAAACATTCAAAAAATTAATAACAACTCTTCATAAATTCACCCAAAAAACAAAATAGGAGGGAACATTTCCCAATTCATTTTATGATGCCATTATTAGGCTATCACCCAAACCAGAAACAAAAAAAAATCACAAGAAAACAACAGATGAATAACTCTCAAATTCTCAACAAAACACTAAAAAACAAATCTAGCAACATTTACAAAGAATTATACACCATTACTAAGTGGGATTTAACCATGGATGCAAGCTGATTTACCATCTGAAAATCAATTAAGGTAATACAGCATATTAACAGAATTTTTTAAATCACACGACCATCTCAACAGATGCAGAAAAAAAATTGACAAAAACTCAACAACTCTTTTAGGACAAACACACTCAAAAACCAGAAAGAGAAGGGAAATTCCTTAACATGATAAAGGGCATCTACAAAAAATCCACAGCTAACCTAATGTTACTTAACAATGAAAAACTAGAAGCTTTCCCCCAAAGATGTCCAGTCTCAGTCCTTCTATTCAGTACTGTCCTGGAGGGTCTAGCCAAAGGAATTAGGCAAGAAAAGGAATAAAAGGCATCCAGATTGGAAAGGAAGAAGTAAAACTATCTCTATTTGCAAACAACATAGTCTTGTATATAGAAAATCCAAAGGAATACATCAAAAAATTATTGGAACTAATAGTTTCATCAAGGTTTCAGGATACAAGATCAGCATTCAAAAATCATTGTATTCCTATACAGTTGCAAAGAACAGCACAAAAATGGAATTAAGAAAACAATTATATGCCTAATAGCATCAAAAGGAATAAAATGCTTAGAAATAAACAAGTATAAAACTTACAGTCTGAAAACTATAAAACATTGTTTAAAGAGATTAAAGATCTAAAATGGAAAAACATTCCATGCTCATGAATGGAAGACTTAATATTGTTAGGATAATATTCCCCAAACTGATCTACAGAAATGCATAAACTTTATCTTTGTAGAAATTCACAAGTTAATTCTAAAATTCATATGGAATTGCAAGAAATCCATAATAGCCAAAGCAATCCTGAGAAACAAGAGGAGCCCTCCTAAAGTAGGAGCCCTCAATCTTCCTGATTTGATTTCAAAACTTACTACAAAACAATGGTAATCAAGACAGTGTGGAACTGGCAAAGGTCAGACATATAGATCAACAGAATAAAACTGATGGTAGAAAAATAAACCAATACATTTATAGTCAGTTGATTTTTTACAAGAATGCCAAGACCATTCAAAGTAGAAAGAATACTCTTTTCAACAAATGGTGCTGAGAAACTGAATATCCATGTACAAAACAATGAAATTGAACCCTTACCTCACACTGCATATAAAAGTAATTCAAAACTGATCAAAGACCTAAATTTTAAAACAATGGCGTTATAAAATGTTTAGAAGTATAGGCCAAATCTTTATAACCTAGGATTTTGTAAAGCTTTCTTAGATTTAAAAAAAAATGAACAAAAAAAAAATGAAAAATTGGACTTGCTCAAAATTAAAACTTTTATACTTCAAAGAACAACATCAAGAAAATGAAAAGACAACCCACAGAGAACTATAAAATATCTGCAAATCATATATTTAACAAAGGATTTGTATCTAAAGTATGTAAAGAACACTTACAGCTCAATGATTTAAAAAAACAATTAAAAAATAGACAAAGAATCTGAATAGCCATTTCTCTAAAGATGCACAAATGACTAATAAAGCACAGGAAAAGATGCTCTACATTAATACTCATCAGAAAAATGCAAATCAAAGCCACAATAAGATGCCATTTCAGACCCAACAAGATGGCTAGAATCAGAGTCAGATGACAAATGTTGATGAGGATGATGACAAATGTTGATGAGGGGAATCAGAACACTCATATACTACTGGTGAGAATGTAAATTGGTGCAGTTGCTTTGGAAAACAGTTTGGCAGTTCTTCAAATGATTAAACATAGAGTTATCATATGATCGAGAAATATGTTACTCCTAGGTATATACACCCAAGAGAAATGAAAACATACATTCACACTGAAACCTGTACAAGAATGTTTATTACAGCATTATCTGTAATAGCCAAAAGGTCTTTCTGATCTACTAACTCAGTCACCATTTGTTCACTTATGCTATGGCCTAAATGTATGTGTTACCCCAAATTTCCTATGTTGAAATCTAACCACCAAGGTAACAGTATTAAGAGGTAGGGCCTTTGTAAAGTAACTAGATATTGAGGGCAGAACCCTCATGAACGGGAATAGTGCCCTTATAAAAGAAGTCTTGGGGGCTCATTAACCTCCTCTTGCCATCTGAAAGCATGGAGAAGGTGCCATCTATGAGAAACAGGTCCTTACCAGACACCAAATCTGCTGGTGCTTTGATCACAGTTCTCTAGAACCATGAGCAATAAATTTCTGTTATTTATAAATTACAGTCTAAGATATTTTATTATAGTAGCCCAAACTGACTAAACAACTCACTTTCCAATGTCCACATGTTTATTATTTTATTTTTCCCCCATTCTCCCTATCTTTATGGAAGTACACCTTTAAAACATTTCCATTACCAATTTTCTTTTTGTGGGGTTTCTGGAAAGAATAAAATTATATGCATGGATTCACTCTCCCATCTTTGGATAGAAGCTGTCTAGCAGAAATGTTTGCATATAACTGTAACTTCCACTAAGTTCATCTTGGCTTTCTGTTCATAAAATTTTGATCAGTCTGACATGACCTCTAACTGATTCATGACAGAATAATCAATTTGTTCTGGAAGAGAAAGCATATTTGGAGAAGGAAACACTTTCCTTGGTAGAAAATAAGAGTCTTAGAAAATTATTTTAATAATTCACTTGAAGGATAAAGTAGAAAAAATAGCTAAACTACACAATTATCTTACTCATTTAATATATGTTGACTGGCAACATAGTGCTAAGCTAAGCTATGCATAACCAACAGAGTTGTGAGGTAAATTAACAGCTACTGCATTTAGCCATTATGTTTTGGAGTGGTTTGTTTCTTAGCATAGCACTCGTACAACTACTTTTTTTTTTCAAAATGTTTTAGTTTATTCTATAATGATAGACATGAAACAAAAATTGGGTATATGACATGTTTAGTGAATTATTAAAAATTAAGTTTATTGTATTATTTTCACTTTTGGTACATGTTCTTGCTAAATTAACATACCCTGAAAAGTATGTTTTGTCTTAAATTTTGTCAGAGTTTAGCAAAGCTGTGCACGAAAAATAGATAATGAAATACTTGTCAATATACTTTCTAGTCAATAGAACCCATATATCCTGAAAGTCAAGTTTTACTCCTTTTTCAAAGTTGAAGTACTAAGTGCTTACTGAATCTTTTTTGTTAAATTTCCTAATTGGCAGACTTAACACAATTCAAAGGGATTACAGATAGTACATTATTATTGTGAGTTTAAAGATATTTTTATAACCTCAGCATACTTACAGACTATATGGATTTAGAATTAGAGCCACACATGCCAGGATCTATTACTTCCAAATATGTATACCCAAAAGACATTTAAATTTATGTACTATTAATTCTTCACCACTTTTTATGAATCCTTCAAAATATAAGAGAACATTTTAAAGTACCTTTGATCTTGCTTCGTAGATATTTTAGGACTTCTTGTGTTCCTTTCTAGAAGGGTGGAGACAAAGACATTCACCAAGACATGCTTTGCAGTTTTACAGATCAACATATATGTCTGAATTTCAATTTAACAAAGAGCTGAATTCCAAATATACTTACACTTATAATTTCTCTTCGAATTGTTCTCAAAGGATTTCCTTCTAATGCCAAAAATTTCAAATGAAGGTTCCCCAATGAATAGGGAAGACTATAAAAGATTAAATTGATTTCAGGGAAAGCATCAAATATAAGTATACTCCAACCATAGTTAACTATAAAACATCATATGGCAAACAACATATCACAGAATAGTCTCAAAGAAAGGCCAAGTAATGCAGACCTAAAACATTTCCTTTCAAGATAAATGCTAAACATATAAAGGAAAAATCAGATTTGTTTTCAAAATTGTCATGCTGAGATTAATTTTAAAAAAGTGAGCTATAAAACATTTGTTAAATTATAACATTTGCTAAAAAAGTAAATGTTAAACATAAATTTGAATGAATCAGTGATTCAAGATAGACATCCTCACTGATACCAAATGTTTTGATTTTGCACTTAGAGCAAGGAAACAAAATTCTAATTGAAAAAAGATGACAAATAGAAAAAGATAATTTTTGAATGTCCAATTCATGTTTCCATTCAATAAAGAAAGTCATCTTCATCTCTGGCACATTTTAAAAACCATTCATACATAAAAATTCAATATCAATAAAATCTATTAAGCATCTACAAAATATAGGGCACTGGTATAGCGATATCAAGATTCTTGTTCTCAAGTCCTCAGTTAAACAAAGGAAAAAAACACATACAGCTAACTAAAATATAATAAGTATTATCTTACAATGCTGGTGGGAATATAAAATAGTACAGTCACTTTCGAAAGTGGAGTCTTTTAAACATATGGTCACTATACAACTAAGCAAACACACTGCTACACGTTTACTCAGGAGAAATGAAAATAATGTCCACACAGAAACTTGCACACAGATGTTTACAATAGCAAAAAATCAAAAACAACTCAAATGTCCATCAACTAACTACTGAAAAGACACATGAACTGCGGTATATCTATCTCTGTACAACAGAATAACACTCAGCAATAAAAATAAAACTACTGATACATACAACCACATGAATCACAAAAACTTTATGTTACATGAAAGAAGCCAGACACAAAAACTACATTCTATGTAATTCCATTTATGTGACATTCTAAAAAGGACAAAACTATAGTAACATAGCACATTAGTGGTTGCCAGGGGTTGGGGTATGGAAAGGGAATTGACTGCAAAAGGTATGAGGAAACTTTTTAGGGAGATAGAAATGTTCTACATGGCTGTGATTACGGTTACACAAATATATACCTTTGCCAAAAATCATCAAGTTGTATGCTTGATTGGTAAATTTTATTGTATATAAGTTACATATTAACAAATGAATATGATATAAAAAGCATATATAATAAGACAAATGCTAAACAAGTCATGTTGCTATGAGAGTAGAAATATAGACACTGGTGGGGCTTTACAGGGGAGAAGGGAGTAGCAAAAACCGGATTTGGGCTTAAAGTGAAAAATCAAATACTATTAGGCAAAAAAAAAGCATTCTAGGGTAAAGGAATAAAACAAAGAAAGGGTTGGTATATTTATAGCTCAATGTAGTCAGAGAGCAAGACACCTGCATGAGCGAAAGATGACAAATGATAAATTAAGTCTGATTGTAAGGCACCCTTGAATGTCAGGCTAAAAAGTCTAGAGTTTATCTTACAATATGGTGGTTCCCAATTAATTGCTGGTTGGAAGACCAGAAGCATCAAATTCTAGGAACTGTTTTAAAGAAAACAAAGAACAAAAATTCTAGGGTCCCGTCATCAGAGATTCTGATTCATTAGCGTCCCAGAATCAGTATTTTTTCTTAATGTTTCTCAAATGATTCTAAAACGTACCCATATTTGGGAAACAGTGCTATGGCAAGGCTTTTAAAGTAAATTCATTCCAGCGTTCTTAGAATTTAGTTCTAGGGGGTAACTAGAACTAAATTTTACTCTAGTAAGAGTAATAATACTAATACTAATGATAATCTAGTTAGAGTAAGTCATAAATATGTCTGCTTCTATTATCATATCAAGCTTGCTGTTAAAGACAAAACCTAATTAATCTTTATCTGTACATAACTACTGCTCAATCAATATTTAGTGAATTCAATTTAGAAAAAAGGAACCTCTTGGTTTTTTAACAAATATTTCAAATTATGAATTATAACCAAATACAAACACAATTTCTATTCATTTGATATTTAAACTTACCTACTAATATCATTGTTGCTTAGGTCAAGCCTTTCCAAGGACCGTAGTAGTATAATTTCATCTGGAACAGATTTTAACTTGTTATCCCTCAGGTCTAGCACAAGAATTGAATTCAGATGTTTAAGATGTTCTGCCTCTAACATTTCAATCTGGTTTTCACCTACGTGCAATTCCTACAAAATCAAAGATGAGTTATGTGTATCTCTGTATTCAATTTTATAGTAGATAATGAAAATAAAATTGTAGGTACTCTTAATTTCAAGTGATTGAAAAACACATAGAAAAAATGCAACTTTATAAATATCAAGATGTTTAAATTTTCAATTATATTTAGGCTATCTTTCAGCTAAAGAAGAATGGCAAATGAGAAAATTTTTTGGCAATTTAAAAATAATTAAACTTTGAATCTGGCAGAAACATCAAGTTTATAAAACCAAAGTAGGCTGGGTGCAGTGGCTCACGCCTGTAATCCCAGCTCTTTGGGAGGCTGAGGCAGGCAGATCACAAGTTCAGGAGTTTGAGACCAGCCTGGCCAACATGGTGAAACCCCGTCTCTACTAAAAATACAAAAAATTAGCCAGGCGTGGTGGAGCGTGCCTGTAGTCCCAGCTACTCAGGAGGCTGCGGCAGGAGAATCGCTTGAACCCAGGAGGCGGAGGTTGCAGTGAGCAGAGATCACACCATTGCACTCTAGCCTGGATGACAGACCAAGAATCCATCTCAAAAAAAAAAAAAAAAAAAAAACCAAAGTAGAGAAATAATTTAGTAGTTACATTTAAATAATAAAAATATAAATCCAAAAACTACTTGCAAAACAAAGTAATATCAGTTTTTTAAAAAGTTATTGATATTATGCAGTTGGTCCTTGAACAACAAGTGTTTAAACTGTGAGGGTCCACTTTTATATAAATTTTTTTCAGAAAATATATTGAAATTTTATTTGGAGATTTGTGACAATTTGAAAACACTTGCAAACCAACTGTGTAGCCTAAAAACATTTAAAAAATAAAAAAAAGTTACATATGTCATGAATGCATTTAATATATGTAGATACTAGTTTATCACTGACTACCACAAAATATATACAAATCTATTATAAAAAGTTAAAATGTATCAAAACTTACATACAACTTACAGAGAAATGTAAACAAATGTGAAGATGCAGTCATAACTACATAAAACTAGGCCAGGCACGGTGGCTCACGCCTGTAATCCCAGCACTCTGGGAGGTGGAGACAGGCGGATCACCTGAGGTCAGGAGTTCGAGACCAGCCTGGCCAACATGGCGAAACCCCATCTCTATTAAATATACAGAAATTAGCTTGGCGTGGTGGTGGGCACCTGTAATCCCAGCTACTCGGGAGGCTGAGGCAGGAGAATCACTTGAACTCGTGAGGCGGAGGTTGCAGTGAGCTGAGATTGCACCACTGCACTCCAGCCTGGATGACAGAGCGAGACTCTGCCTCAAAAAAAATAAATAAATCAAAGATTCTGCCTCAAAAAAAGAAAAATCATAACTACATAAAATTAACTGTAGTACACACTGTACTACTATAATAATTTTGTTGCCACTTCTTGTTGGTACTGTGGTGAGCCTATGTTGTGAGTATCCACTTAAAACCTGTATGAAGCTAATCATTTCCAGGTGAGCAGTTCAGCTCTCCAGTAAATTGCATGTCACAGTAAAAAATGATCTCTTGCAGTTCTCATGTGTTTCTCATACTGTTTAGTGCAAAACCATAAATTTCAAATAACATCATGGGACTAATATGAAGTGCCACTAGTGATGCTGAAAGTTCTCCCAAGAAGCAGAGAAAAGTCATGACATTACAAGAAAAGTTGAATTGCCTGACATATACCATAGATTTAAGTTGCTCACCATTTCAGACAGATGATTCATCCTGTAAGCAGATGATATAAACTTATGGTATCAATACAGCATGGTACTATAAACACAGTTGATCCTTGAATGACAATGGGTTTTAGGTTTGAACTGCACAGGTCCACTTATATGTGGATTTCCTTCCACCTCTGCCATCTCTGAGACAGCAAGACCAACCCCTTCTCTTCCTCCTCCTCAGCCTACTCAACACGAGGACAATGAAGATGAAGACCTTTATGATGACTGACTTCCATTTAATTAATAGTAAACACATTTTCTCTTCCTTATGATTTTCTTAATAAGATTCTTTTCTCTAGCTTACTTTATTGTAAGAACATAGTACATAATACATATGGCATACAAATTATGTGTTAACCATTTGTTCATGTTATTGGTAAGGCTTCTGGTCAACAGGAGACTACTACTAGTTAAGTTTTTGGGGAGTCAAAAGCTACACACAGATTTTCAACTCCATGGGGGTCAATGCCTATAACCTTTGCATTGTTCAAGGATCAACTGTAATCAGTTTGTTACCTAACATTTTCATTAGTGATTATTTTATATACTGATTTGCCATTAATAGAAACTATAATTATCAGATGGAAAATTATTCTTATTAAAGGAAAACTTTTTCAGTTCATTTTATATATCATCACTCTGTTTAAAATAAACTCTTTTAACACTAGAGCTTAAAGGTATATATAAAAAAGGCAAATCATGGCAAATTTACAAGACACCATTAATTCTACACACTTAAAGCCAAAAGAATGTAATTCATTTCAAACATACTTGATTATGATTAGGTAAAGGTGAGAGGTGACACTTTATAGAATTAGGTACATAATCCTGGTTGGTATTCCAGGTCTCCTACTTACAATTTTAGCCTCTTTATCTACTACTTCTCCAGTTATGAACTACTTGTCAGATGAAATGGACAAATCTCTATTTTTTAAATTATTTCTTTTAAAAAATGTATTACTAAAAATACCATTAATGTAAGTAATCATATTAAAATTCTGAAAAGTATTAACATAGGAAAAACACAGTACTTATAACTAATACACACTCCCAATGTAAAACAAGATTAGCTCCTTTAAAAATGCATTTTAATAATTAACTTTTGGAAAATATAGTTATTTAATAATCAACTAAATAGTACCTTCAATAGACTACAAGAAGGAAATTCTGGTAGAAAACGTAATTTATTCCTCCGCAAATAAAGCAATTCTAGTGATTCCATGCCAGCCAATTCAGGAGGTATAGTTTCCAAGAGATTTGAATTACAATCCAAATGCTTCAACCCTGTAATATATATTCAGTAAAAAACAAAAATAGAGAAAAAAAAATTAGTTTCTGATCGTATACAACTTTAAAGAATGTGTAAGAAATCGCTATGAGGACTTATGAACCTGTGCCATATAATCAAGAATATTCAAACACCACTGAATTAAATAAATGTAAATTTTTCTACATTTAATTATAATTAAAGAGAAATAGTAACATAAAAATTATTACTTAGGCCAGTTGTGCTGTAATGCCAGCACTTTGGGAGGCCCGAGGTGGGCGGATCACTTGAGTTCTGGAGTTCAAGACCAGCCTGGGCAACATATAGTGAAACATCGTCTCTACTAAAAATTAAAAAAAAATTAGCTGGGCATGGTGGTGCATGCCTGTAGTCCCAGCTACTTGGGAGGTTGAGGCAGGAAGAATGCTTGAGTCTGGGAGATCGAGGCTGCACTGAGCTATGATCATGTCATTGCACCCCAGCCTGGGCAATTTAACAACAGTCCCGGTCATTTTTGTAATACATTTAAAAATAAAGTTCTGGTACTCTGTTAAAGTACAACTAAATGTACTCTGTGTAACAGCTTAAAAGTATCATTGTCATGGCTGAGAAACAAAAGCATCTGGTCATTAATAACACTGGATATTAGAAAAATTACTATAAACTCAAATGTATTTTTAAGTTGATTTATCAACTTAAGTTGAGATGTTCCTATCTCTCAAGATATTTCCACTCAATTTATGAAAAAAGTCCATGCTGCTTATGTCTTCGTTCTAGATATATTTTACATTTAGCTGCTCTTTATAATATCCTTATTGAAAAAAATGACAAATACAGCAAAATCTTAACTATTGGTATCCCAGGTAAAGACTCCCCTAAAATGTCAATTTGATTTAGGGCAGATTTAACTTATTTTAAAACTCCAATTTTAAACAACAAATAACTATTAATCTAAAGCAAAACAACACAATTTTAGAAATTTACCTCAAAACTATCTGCAATTGAATGCAGGCAATCATTTCTATGACTTGCCAAACAAAAGGGAGGTTTTAAAATTGAAGAAGGCTTACAAATGATCAGAAAAAAAAAAGGCTAACCATCAACCAAGAAATAGTTACAAAATAACAGTTTTTTTATTAATTTATTTTATTTTATTTTTTGAGAGAGAGAGAAGAGGTCTCACTATGTTGCCCAGGCTTCAGTGTAGTGGATATTCAAAGGGGCAATCCCACTATTGATCAGATGGGAGTTTTGACCTGCTCTGTTTCTGACCTGGGTTGGTTCACCCCTCCTTAGGCAACCTGGTGGTCCCCCACTATGGGAGGTCACCATGATGCTGCTGAACTTATGTGGATACCCGATTGGCATAGCGCACTACAGCCCAGAACTCCCTAGGCTCAAGCGATCCTCCTGCCTCAGCCACCTGGGTAACTGGGACTACAGACACAAGCCACAGTGCCTGGTAATAACAGTTTCTTTAAACAAACAAACAAAAAAATCACTAATGATTTTAGACTCTTAAGAATTTTATATTGAAGTATACTAATTTAAAAGGTACTAAAATGTACCTTGACTTTTTTAATCCCTTAATGTTAGTTCTACAATACTTCAGATATTATGGTTTGATGGCAAATTTTAACAGAACCAATAAATTTTGACATTTTGGTTCTTTTAAAAAAGATTGACAACCTGGGACCTCAGACAAAACAAGACTTATTTCTCGACATTATTACTTATGGACCATGAGGAGGCTACAGCTATAATACAACTAAATATCATAGGTAGATTCACCAGTAAGAGGGGACTAACCTCTTTATGAATGTTGAATGAATGAATGAAAGACAGTATAGCTTAGGTATATAATCCTACTACAACGAATAATCATATTTTCTTCTTTTTCATATGCCTAAGTATCTTTATGATGGTATTTCTTTAGACAGTTGATACATAATAATGGTCTGGAGAAAATCTGACTAGTTGCTATTGTTTGCATTTACCACTATAAAAATCTACTACTTTAGTTCTCTGTAACTATATTAAAAATTACTTTCTAAATGTAAGTTGCACCAACTTCAAATTTATGTATTATGTAAAACAGAAAATATTTACTTTTCATTCTATTTATTTCTGCTGGCAAACTCTTCAGTTCATTACTAGAAAGATTGAGTCGCACCAGACTGGACAGAGAAGAAAAACTAGCAGGAACAGTTGTAAGATGATTGTTTGAAAGATCCTTTAAAAAGAGAAAGACAAAATAAATGAATAAACAAGTAAAAAAATAAATAAATAATGCCCTAAAAAGGATTTCAAATTTTTGAAGGAATTACAACATAAAAGAGACTACTTAAGATGTGATAAGTTGTGTAACTCTCATTCACTGAAAATTTCACAGATCATCATTCATTTCAAGATTGATTTTCAATATCTGCAGGCCCACTATATGTTCATCAATGGTAGTAGACAGGATATAAATGAATTCTAACTTCAAAAATATTTTACATAACGGATTCTGTTAAAACAAAGTCATGCCATATTATGCATCATATTTTCAATGCAAAAATTCATGTATTCATCCAATATTTATGAAGTGCCTAAGAAGAATTAGGCATATTATTAATAAACTGTCATGTGAAATGAAAAACATCTTTGCAAGAAAGAAAAATTCCTGAGAAAAGGAAAAATGAAGCTGAAAAAAACGGCCATTCAAATTTTTGAGGAAAAAAAAATATTTTCTATTGGTTCTTCTGCTGACCTCAGAAAGTCAGATCTGATTGGTACCAGAAGTCTACCCTCTACTCTTCATTCACTCAAGATTGCTTAATTAATCGCTATACCTCCTGTTTCTTTAAATGATTATGTTTGCTTTTTCTTTAAATAGTTTTAAGAGAACTTTTTTTTGAAACTCCCTTTAAAAGACGTTGTTATGAATCAGGTAATTTTTATAACACTCAAATTAGGTGTAAATTGCTCCACTACATAACAGCAAAGTGTTAAGCAGTGTCAATGGCAACAATGAATAAGATTTTCATTTAATATAACATTAAACAACCTAACACTAAACAATTCATTTAATCTAACAGTAACATTTTGTAACTCTGAAGAAACCAAGAAGATAGAAAAAGGTAAAAATACTGGATCAAATCTTTTTTTAAAAACATACTGTTATAATTATTTTATAACAATATATTATCATAATCTACAACATACAACATAACATATTCTACAACTCTAATACTAAAAACTCTAAGAATCAAAAGATTGCTAATAAATATTTTGTAGTATCAAAAGTTACTAACACTAAATGCAATGTGGTATCCTGCATTGGACTCTGAAACAAAAACAAGGACATTAGTGGAAAAACTGGGAAAATCTAAATAACGTCTGCAGTTTAATTAGTATTGTACCAATGTGAACATCTGAGTGTTCCTGTGGTTATATCAATATTAACATTAAAGAAAGTTGGATGTAGGGTATATGAGAACTCTTTTACTATATTTGCTTTTCTATAAACCTAAAATTATTCTAAAATAAAAAGCCTAAAATAAAAAGTTACTAACAAAAAACTTAATTCAGAAATTGTCAAAGCATTTTTAAAAACCCAAATAATTCTAATAAACCCCCTTGTAAATTCTACATAAAATTACTAATAAAGTTAAATAATTACTGCAGTTAGTAATTGTTAGATATAAAACATAAATACACTATATAAATTAATCCATATTTATGCCAAGTCATTCCTTTAACAAATAATTAGTTGCATTGTGCTAAGCAGTTTTTATACAAGTTTAAGAAATATTACTAGTTTAAATTATAGGTGTTTAATCTGTTTTAATATATTGTTGCTCACATTTATGATTTGATACTGAGTCTGTAGAACACAATTCTGAAATGAAACATTCTTTCATTATGTAAACGAGTCTCTGGGAACATGTGGGTGGATAGTAGAAATTTTATTTATTTTAAATTTTCCTTTCAGCTCTCAACTCCAAATGGACTCTTTTAAATCAACTGCTACCTTTTACCACCAATTTTTATAAGAAAATCTGATGGCTTCCTCCTTTGCCATTCATTTTATCTACCTATGCCTTTTACTTATTTCCCATCTGATCATTTGGAAAGACAAGAAGACACTGAAGGAATGGTTGAGAAGAGTATATATTTTGACTTTTAAACTCTAGAACAAATGAGGGAAGTATCAAGGAGGATGTACACACAGCAAAAATAGAAAAGGAGTAATTTCTTCCTTTAATGAAAAGCAAGCTAAAATGACAGGAGTTTTCCAAAACATGTAAGAGGGAAAAGAATAACAATGCAATATGAATTAACTATGTGGAGTAGATATTATATATTAGTACCTTCGATTTAATACAGCTAAAGTCTTTCAGATGGTATAGCCTGCAGTGGAATCTTATTCCTTTGGTGGTAAAATGGAAAAAAAAAAAGAGATGGATACACTTTGGAGTTAAATTGACTTACACTCAAATTCTAATTTTGTTACTTGTTAGTTGTGTTACTTTTGACAAATTTTCTTTTCTCTGTCTCTTTCTTTCTTCCTTTCTCTCTCTTTCTTTTTCTTTCCTCTCTCTCTCTTTTTTTGAGACAGGGTCTCCTGTCATCCACGCTGGAGTGCAGTGGCTCAATCATGGCTCACTAAAGCCTCAGCCTCCCTGACTCAGGCAACTTCCCTGCCTCAGCCTTCTGAGTAGCTGAGACTTACAGGCACGTGCCACCACACCTGGATAATTTTTGTATTCTTTGTAGAGACAGGTTTTTTGCCATGTTTTCCAGGCTGGTCTCGAACTCCTGGGCTCAAAAAATCCACCCACCTTGGCTTCCCAAAGTGACAGAATTACAGGCACGAACTACCACACCTAGCTCCAAATTTCCTTTTTATCAGCTTTACTTTCTTATTGTATTAGGGGATATTACATTGCCATATGTAATGCTCAAAGATAAATGTCTATTGTTTTTATTATTCTTAATAATACGACTAGACTAGCAGTGGCTCATGCCCGTAATGCCAGAACTTTGGGAGGCTGAGGAGGGTGGATCATTTGAGGTCAGGAGTTCAAGATCAGTCTGGCCAAATGGTGAAACCCCGTCTCTACTAAAAATACAAAAATTAGCCGGGCAGTAGAGGTGCATGCCTGTAATCCCAGCTACTTGGGAGGCTGAGGCAGGAGAATCGCTTGAACCTGGGAGGTGGAGGTTGCAGTGAGCGAGATTGCGCCACTGCACTCCAGTCTGGGTGACAGGGTAAGACCATGTCCCCCCAAAAATAAAATAATAATAAAAATATGACTAAAATAATATTTGTATTGCTTTACAGTTATCTCTATTTAAGGTAAGTGAAACAATGGAATTAAAATTTTGCCAGGAAGTGTGGCCATTCTGAAAAGTAGAGAAGACAGACCTTCAGTGAATTACCTGGACATTTGGAAGGCAGAAGGGCCGCAGGTAATATAAGGAAGGAAATGGAAATGGGTATAGAAAAGAGAATTGGTATATGCTAAAGACAACTTTCCTCTATTCTGCTATGCTGTAAAGCCTCTGAATAACAAAGTAATCTTCATTGCACCTTTCCCAAACTCTTCCTAAATTAAAACTTAAAGTTGATTTCATAATACAGGAAAACCAAATTTACAGTGACAAATTTAGCTATCTTATTGAAATGCACATTTCTGATAATCTAATCACAAAATCAGCTGTCCATGTTCCCACAGTTTCAATCATCTATCTTAATTTCTCAGCCTGATGAAAAATCCCACCAGCCCCAAATTGTACAAAAATTGGAAAATCAGAACTTACTAAATCTTCTAAATTGGAAAGTTGTTCAAATCCCTCTGATATGCAGGTTAATTCATTATGCTGGAGATACAGGCACTTCAGGTTTCTTAGGTTTGTAATTTCTTCAGGGAGTATTTTCAGTTTATTATGGCTATTGGTTGATAAAATAAATGATGAATAATTTAGTGGCAATACAATAAATATTTATCAAAGACATTTCTTGCTAACCAATGACACTGGACTCATAAAAATCAAATATAGTTACTAACTTTAAGTACTTATCAAAATTCATATCCAAAAATATGTACTCATTAAAATAATAGTAATCTAAAGTAACCACATTGGGGTTTCAAAGAAAAATAACAAAGAAATAAAGGCTTTTAGCCAAACATAAATAATTTGTGATGTTTTGATTGCATGCTTATAATCAACTCTTGATTTGACATGCAATGTGATAGGACATACTAGACACTTAATTTGTTATACTGTGATATGCTTTGGTTGTGTCCCCACACAAATTTCATCTTGAATTGTACTCCCATAATTCCCACATGTTGTGTGAGGAACCTGGTGGGAGATAGTATGAATCATGGGAGCGGTTTCCCCCATACTGTTCTCGTGGTAGTGAATAAGTCTCATGAGTCCTGATGGTTTTATCAGGGGTTTCCAATTTTGCATCTTCCTCATTTTTCTCCTGCTGCTGCCATGTAAGAAGTGCCTTTTGCCTCCCACCATGATTCTGAGGCATCCCCAGCCATGTGGAACTGTAAGTCCAATTAAACCTCTTTTTCTTCCCAGTCTCGGGTATGTCTTTATCAGCAGCATGAAAACGGACTAATACATACTATAACTGACTTTCAGAATTTTGACAAAACTATATGCACACATATACCACAATGGAGTTACATCTTATATGTTCGGTTTTAAGGCAAAAATAGCTATTTCTGTTTGAGGACCTAGGATGTCAAGTTGAATGTAATATGGAATTCCACTCTTCTTCATACTTGGTCTTTTCAGTTAAGCCCTTCTGTAGAGATATTCAGTGTAATGGTTTAGAAGTCCCAAATCATGGAGGATGATAGACTTCATGATAATTAAGAGATGACTGAACTAGTTCCCAGGTTTATCACAACTTAAATACTCACTTACGAATTCCATGCTATTTTCATGCCATATACAGTTACTTTACAAATAACAGGGGGAAAATGGGAAATACAAGGTGCTTACAATAACCCTAAATTACAGTAAAATAAAACTAGTTGGGACAAAAAAAGTCAAATGATGTCTTCTAAAACAAGAACCAATAATATTGTTAAGTCGGTTACTGTTATTGGTTACCTAGCTGAAATCTTTGCACACTTGATAGGGATCTAACTGGGGAGAGAGATAATTTTAGCTATAGATTTCCTCCATCTCCTTTTCTTAGCTAATTACTCCATCCTAAGATTCATACTTTTTTTAAACTTCTTCACTGAGAACACACCTACATACTCTTAAGTATAGAATCTAAAGCTTAAGCCATGTCACTCAACACTTACTGCTTCCTCTCTTCCTCTCAACAATCCCCACTCTTGTCTTTACAGGCCACGTCTATGCCTTTGACTTGTAAGGGGAAGATACTGTGATGGAGTTCTAAATAATTAGCACCTTTTTATGTATATATATTTTCATTGGCCAATGGTAATTTTATGTTTTCCACCAAATAAGGAGTGTTACTGGGAGGGACTATTTTCCCTCAAACCAGTTAGCTTATCTCCAGAAAACAAACTTGACTATATTACATTACATAGATCTGTAACCGTATCTATTTTATAAGCCACAGTTTTTCAAACTATGCTTTAAGTTCCTGAACCATTTTTTTCTACTCCAAAATAAGACCTCTTTAAATCTCCTTTCCCATAGCCTATGTCTATATAACAAACAAAGGCAAAGTTATTCTTTCTTAAAAGTCTGGGTATGTATCAGAGAGCAAACAGAGTTAGCTACAATCTTTGCCACTGAACATCCCATGTACCAGTATGTCCATGACAGTTACAAAAATATATCCGTAGAATCCCAGGAGTCCTTGGAGAAGTTTAAAAACGACTACTAATAAAAACTATGAAGTATTTCATTTATGAAAGAATTGTTTTACATTTCTTCCTTATTGTTTAGATATTTTTAGAATATCAAGGTAACTTAAAAGTTGAGACATCAACAAAGAGGTTTACTACAATAACAAACCACTAAGAATTGTTTTATAAAAAAAAAAAAATTTAAGCATTTAAAAAAAATCAACTAGCCTTGCATTTATAAAATCAGAAATGATGGGGGTAATGCTAAAACAAAGAAAAAAACATACAAACTAAGAATTAAAGCTTTAAAAAACTTAAAATTCTTATTCTGCTTTAACTACTTTCTGAGATAATTCAAAGATATTTTTAATGTTGAGA
Organism: Homo sapiens; assembly: GCF_000001405.40. Lineage (NCBI taxonomy): Eukaryota > Metazoa > Chordata > Mammalia > Primates > Hominidae > Homo > Homo sapiens. Next base: position 70,187,196 of record NC_000001.11, read on the forward strand.
AAATTTAAAGAATATTAGATTTAAACCATTATAAGGGCAATAATATAAGTAAATAAGCTTAATTTTTACCTGACATTAAGTTTCTGAAGATTTTCTAGCTCTCTTATAGCAGAAGGAAGGGATGTCAACTGATTATCATGTATCTAAAAGTTTTTAAAAGACAAAGTCAATATTCTTAGTCTTATCATTAACAATATATAAGCTTTGCCAGTGTACAAAACTATTAGTCAGTAATCTCCTGTTCCTCAAATTCAATGGCAACAAGTTGAACTACTGTTCAACATACTTGTTCTGTATGTAGAACAGTTTGAAGATGACCAAACGGCTGTTCAGAAATCATGAAGTAAGGCCAGGTGCAGTGGCTCACACCTGTAATCCCAGCACTTTGGGAGGCCGAAGAAGGCAAATCGCTTGTACCCAGGAGTTTGAGACTAGCCTAGGCAAATTAGTGAGACCTTGTCTCTACAAAAAAAAAAAAAATTCTTATTAGTCAGGCGTAGTGGCGCACACCTGTAGCCCCATCTACTCAGAAGGCTGAGGTGGGAAGATTGCTTGAGCCTAGGAGGTCAAGGCTGCAGTGAGCCCACATTGTGCCACTGCACTCCAGCCTGGGCTACAGAGTGAGACCCTGTCTCAAAAAATGGAAGAGAAGAGAAGAGAAGAGAAGAGAAGAGAAGAGAAGAGAAGAGAAGAGAAGAGAAGTCATGAAGTGTTAAGTCAACCACTTTAAATATTATACTAAGAAAAATTTCAACTCATTAGTAGAGTTTCAATTTCAAAGAAGAGATGAGGGGGTTAGAAACTAAAAACAGCTCTCTGATGATATGATTTATGTCAATATATACAAAAATTATATGAGAAAAGAGAAAGGGACTTTTCTCATGTTCTCACAGAATCAGTTTTTAAGGTAGAAAGAACCTTAGAGTAAGCCAATCCATTCATTTTACAAATGAAGAAAATAAAAAGTTCCCTAAAAATTGATCTATTTAGATTCTACTTTTCAACACATGAATTGGAGGACTTTTTATGTTGATAAGTAAAGTATACCAGATTGTGAAGCCCGCAGATTATGAAATATACTCCTTGTGCTTCACTTTACCACAGGACATGGCAACAAAGGACTAAAAAGAATCCCTGAATAAAAACACAAAAAAATTAAGTTCAATAATTTAACTCAATGAGGTTGAAGGCAAGTAATACATATACATATAGACTTGCTTTAATATCTAGAATAATAATGATAAAAATTGTAACAATAGGCCAGGTGCAGTAGCTCACGCCTGTAATCCCAGCACTTGGGAGGCTGAGGCAGGAGGAGAGTTTGAGGACAGGAGTTCAAGACCAGTCTGGGAAACATAGTGAGACCCTCATCTCTACACACACAAAAAAAAATAGCCGGGTGTGGTGGCATGCACCTATAGTCCCAGCTACTTGGGAGACTGAGGCAGGAGAATTGCTGGAGTCCATAAGTTCAAGGCTGCAGTGAGCCATGATCACGCCACTATTTTGCCTGTGCAAAATAGTAATAAGAAAAAAAAGATGAGCAGAAATAACCACTTGTTGAATATTGATTCTGTCTGTATTCATTAACTTATTTAATTCTACAAACAAAATTTTTAAATAGGTAGTAGTATCAGTCTTGGTTTACAGATGTGGAGACTAAGGCACAGAGAGGTAACTCTCCCCAGGTCACACAGCCATTAATAGCAGAAGTCAGAATTAGAAACTTGGTGTTCTGATCCTGCACTTTTAACCATTATGCTATGCCTAGAATGATAATTTACTATCTGTCCTTGCATTACCAACTCAACATGAAAGGTTTTCTGCTACCAAAGCCTAAATTTAGCTTTAGAGTCTCTTCAATTAATAATCCATATTTATAGTCAGTCAACTTACATCAAGAACAGTCAGTGCAGGCAAGAGTCGCAGGTCATCTGTAAGTGACTGAAGTTTATTGTTTGATATTATTAGTTTGGTCAAATCTGTCTGCTCCCACCATCTTTCAGTAGCACCAAACGAAAGATTCTGATTAGCTTCCTCAGGGATATCCACATTTATTCTCCAGACACACTGCGGCACTAGTTCCATCAGCACCACACCAGGAAAAAAAAAAAAAAAAAAAAAGATGAAAACCAGAACTAGATACTAAGTGACATGCTTTTATAATAGCCATTCCATTTATCTATTGAAAAACATTTTCTAAAACAAAAAATAAGTTAAATAGCAATAAATATAACTAGAGTGAAAGTTGATTTTATTTAAAAAGGCTATATATCAATAATATGTCCTCTACACATTAGCTCTCACTTTAACCTTCATTCAACTATATTTACTAGGTTTACATACACTGATTAGCACATACACTGCACAGCACATTGTGGTAAATATGTACAACAAAGAATGCATTCTACCATCAGGCTAACAGATTAATAGAGAAGGCATGGAAATCAACATGTATATGTAATAACTTTTATAACAGAAGTATATACTAAGGCTCAGAAAGAACTAGTAATAATGGCTAACACTTATAAATACTTCTAACATACTAATTCACTTAAACCTTGGAACAATTCTGCAAAGTAGGTGTTATTATTCCCATTGGATGGATGAGAAAAATAGAGCACAAAGAAAATGTATAATTTGGCCAGGGTTACAAAGCTAGACAAGTACCACAGATGTGATTCAATGCCTGGCAGTGCTATACTGTCTTGCTTTCTATTAACATTTGGGAGAAATATCTGACTTTGGTAGCTACTCTTTATTTTATCTGACATACAATTTTATTTCTTATGGCACCATACAACACTGTGTTATGCTATTGCAGCAAGTGATGACACCTGTATAGAAAATAAGACTGTACAAATTGAGCAGGGATAACTTGAAGCTCCAGAAGGTAGAATGCTGTAGTGTTGTAGCAAAACTATTTTCAATAGAGTCCTTCACTGCTCGGTAAAAGTAGAACTACATTTAGGGATGATGTAGAACTTCAAGCTGGTATTAATCAAGGCAAAAATTGGTTATACCTTGCTGCCACAGATTATCATTTCAAAACCATCAGAGACTAAATGAAAAGGTATAGTCAAAGTTTCAGATTCAGGACACTTAAGTGCAGTTTTGGATGATTAATCAGATAAAATGGGGTTACAGAAGCAAAGCCAAGCCCCTGAAAGGCATGAGACTTATACTCACTGAAAAAATGAGCTAGCCAGTTGTAGTGCCTCAGGGCTATAATCCCTGCACTTTGGGAGGCTAAGGTGGGAGGATCACTTGAGGCCATGAGTTTGAGACCAGCCTAGGCATCAAAGAAAAACCATATCTCTTAAAAAAAAAAATCAGCTGGTGTGATGGCACACACCTGTAGTCCTACTACTTGGGAGCCTGAGGCAGGAGGATTGCCGGAGCACAGAACTTTGAAGTTCAGTAAGTAACTGTGATCACGTCATAGAACTCCAGCCTGGGAAACAGAGTGAGACCCTGTCTCTAAAAAAAAAAAAAAAAAAACTTAAAAAAAGAAAAAGAAAAAAACTGAGCTATCTACATTCATACTAAAATAAATTATAAGGTCCCTCTCTTACTCCTTATGTCTGATTATGTATTCTCTGCTTCTCTACTCTTCTACCACTGATTCTCCATTAGGTATTAACAACACAGAATATCAATCCACCTGTGTTTCTGTTGGTGGATGGAGGTTTACTTTTAAAGTGAAGCAAAATAAAATAATTTTACCATTCTTGACTGATTTGAGAGCCAAAGCACCATACAATTTATCATCATCATTGTTATTTTGGTATGTAGGTATGGATAATTAGTTAAGTAGGAAAGAGAAAAGGAGATCAGCCAAGCAACTGGCATGTGAATTTACTGACAAAAAAGCAGCCAACAGAAATGTGGTCACATATATATTTTACTAAAAATAAATGTGACTCTTGAAAAAAAAAAACTACAATGTGCCATATAGTATGAGTCACAAACAAAAAGCTCCAGATTTAAAAAGGCAAGATAAAACAATACAAAACACTAAGAAAGTATGTAGAAAAAGCTATGTGAGATGCACCATTCTACTCCTAAAGATGAGACATAGAACATTTGTGCATGCATTTTTTTCTAACATCTATACATAGGTATATTAAGGCCATTATACCTAAAAAGCAGTGTAATAACAAATGTCTTTTTTTGGATGGAGAAAGGTGGGGATAACAAGAAATTTATACACAACATAATAAAAATACCTGTTACCCATCAACTATACTGAGTATTAATGTTTTATTATTATTACTCAGATATTTTTATTAACAAACTTGTCTTTATGGGAACCATCAAGGGGCAGATACATGTTGATACTGTACTATTATTGAACATGTATCAATTTGCTTTTCCATAAACAATTACTTACTACTCATTCTTTTCCCCACTAATCATTTTTGAGGTATCCCAATTTCTTCCAGAGCTTACAGCATCAAGATTCATGTCACTGTTGCAACTGTCCCATAAGAACCACTAAAAAGCATATATAGTCTTAATTATTAAGAAATTCTGTGGAGCTATCCTACAAGTAGTTTATCAATATCCAAAATAGAAACTACCCACATAAAAATGAATGTCAATAGCATATAAATATCAAAAAAATTACTATGGAGTTGGATATTATAAAAAATTTCAAACATATACATAAATTTAAAGAGTAGCATAATGAAATCAGGTGGTGTGATGCCTCCAGCTTTGTTCTTTTTGCTTAGAATTGCCTTGGCTCTTTGGACTCTTTTTTGGTTCCACATGAATTTTAAAATAGTTTTTTTCTAGTCCTGTGAAGAATGTCATTGGTAGTTTGGTAGGAATAGCACTGAATCTGTAAGTTGCTTTGGGGAGTATGACCATTTTAATGATATTGATTATTCCTATCCATGAGCATAGGCTGTTTTTCCATTTGTTTGTGTCATCTCTGATTTCTTTGAGCAGTGTTTTGTAATTCTCATTGTAGAGATCTTTCACCTCCCTGGTTAGCTGTATTCTAGGTATTTTATTCTTTTTGCAGCATCTGTGAATGAGATTGTCTTCCTGATTTGGCCCTCTGCTTGGCTGTTGTTGGTTTATAGGAATGCTAGTGATTTTTGTACATTGATTTTGTATCCTGAAACTTTGCTGAAAAGGGAACCCTTAAACACTGTTGGTAGGAGTGTAAATCAGTTCAACCAGTTTAGACAGCAGGATGGCGATTCCTCAAAGAGGTAAAAACAGAACTACCATTTGACCCAGCAATCTTATCATTGGGTACATACCCAAAAGAATATAAGTCATTCTACCATAAGGACACATGCATGCAAATATTCATTGTAGCACTATTCACAATTGCAAAAACATGGAATCAACATAAATGCCCATCACTGACAGACTGGTTAAAGAAAATGTGGTACATATACATCATGGAATACTATGCAGCCATGAAAAAGAACAAGATCATGCCTTTTTCAGGAACATGGATGGAGCTGGAGGCTATTATCCTTAGCAAACTAACACAGAAGAAAACAAAATACTGTATGTTCTCACTTATAAGTGGGAGCTAAATGATGAGAACTCATGAACACAAAGAAAGGAACAACAGACACTGGGGTCCTCTTGAGGGTGGAAGGTGGGAGGAGGGAGAGGATCAGAAAAAAATAACTAATGGGTATGAGGCTTAGTACCTGGGTGACAAAGTAATCTGTATAACGAACCCCTCTGACACAAGTTCATCTATATAACAAACCTACACACGTACCCTTGAACCTAAAATAAATGTTTAAAAAAAAACAGTATAATGGAATAAAACTCAATGTATCCATTGTCTAGTTTTAATAATTATCAGCACATGTCTAGTGTTGCTTCATCTATAACCCCATCCCACAATGATCTAAGCTACAATCTTAGGAACCCAGAAAAAAGAATTAATTAAATCCAAAGAAAGCAGAAGCAAGGAAATAAAAGGTGGAAATCAATGAGAGAGAAACAAACAGAGAAAAAGCAATAAAAAATACTTATTTAAAAAGACTAATAAATTGATAAACCCTTAGCTAGACAGATGAAGAAAAAAAAGAAACAAATTATCAAAATCAGGAATCAAAGTGAGAATGTCATAGATCCCACAGATGTTAAAAGGATAAGGGTATATTATGAACAACTTTATGCCAACAAATCCAACAACTTGGATGAAATGGATAAATCCCTAGAATAGAAAAAAAAAAAGTACAACCACAATAGAAAGTAGCCTTGCATCTATTAAAGAAATTGAATTAGCTACTTAAAAGTCCCCACAAAGAAAATTCCAGGCAGACATTTTCACTGGTGAATTCTACCAGACATTTAGAGTAAAAATAATACTAATTCTACATAAACTCTTTCAAAACATAGAGAAAAGAACAGTTCCCAATTCATCTTATAAGGCCAGTCTTACTCTGATGCCAAAAGCAGATAAATACATTAAAAGAGAAAATAAAACAAAAACTACAGGCCAATGTATCTAATGATTATAGACCCAAATTCCTGAACAAATTTTGCAACTCTATATAAAAAGGATAACATATCATGATCCAGTGCGAGTTATCTTAGGACTGCAAGGCTGGTTTAACATTTGAAAATTAATCAATAAAAGCTACCATATTAACAGAAAAATGAGAAATACTATGTGATTGTTGAGATACAAAAAAAGCATCTGACAAAATTCAACAATAAAAACTCAGAAAACTAGGAATCAAAGGGAACTCCTTCAACCTTACAAAGGGCATCTGTGAAAAACCTAAAACTAACACCATACTTAATGGTGGAAGACGCAGTGCTTTCTCTTTAAAAGAGTATACAAGGCAAGGATGCCCATTCTCACTACTTTAATATTTTAATAGAGGTCTTGACCAATGCAGTAAGACAAAAAGAAGAAAAAGAAATAAATAAAAGAAACAAAAGGCATTCAGATTGGACAAGAAGTAAAACTGTCCCAATTAACAGACACTATGATCATCTATGTACAAAGTGCTAAGGAATCTACAAAAAAATTATATGCAATCAATGAGTTTAGAACAGTCACAAAATTCAAGCTCAATATAGAAAAATCAACTATGTTTCTATGTATTAGCAATCAAATAAAAAAATGTTTAAATGTTAAAAGATTTACAATACAAGACATCCGAAACCATGAAATAGTATTAAATGTACAAAATATGTACAAGATCTGTATATGAAAATACAAAACATTGCTGTGAAAACTTGAAGGTCTAGATAATAAAGAAATGTAACATAAGACAGCTTGGAAGACTCCATATTACAAAGATGTCGCTTCTCCCCAAGTGACTTATAGATTCAGCACAATCCTAATAAAAATCCCAGAAAGCTTTTCTGTAGAAATTAACAAGCCAATTCTAAAATGTGTATTGAAATGCAAAAGAACTAAATTAGGTCAAAAAATTTTGAAATAAAAGAACAAAACAGGAGGCTTTATTCAGCACAATCCTAATAAAAATCCCAGAAAGCTTTTCTGTAGAAATTAACAAGCCAATTCTAAAATGTGTATTGAAATGCAAAAGAACTAAATTAGGTCAAACAATTTTGAAATAAAAGAACAAAACAGGAGGCTTTATAGTATTTGATTCCAAGTCTGACCATGAAGCTACATTTGTCAAGATAGTGTAGTATTAGCATAAGGATAAACACATAGGTCAATGGAAAAAGAGTTCAGAAAAAATTCCATACAATAAAATATTGAAAATTGATTTTCAACAAAGGTGCCAATATAATTTAATAAAAAAGGAATCATGTTTTCAACAAATGGTACTGGAATAACTATAAAATAAACTATAAAAATGAACCTCAACCTTTACCTTGTGACACACTCAAAAATTAACTCCAAATGGACCACGGACTTATATGTAAATGATGAAACTAAAAAATTCTAAAAGAAACAGAGGAAAAAATTTTCACAGCCTTCAGATGGGCAAAAAATGTCTTGGGACAGAAAAAGTTCATCATAAAAGAAAAACAATTGATAAACTAGATTTCATAAAAATTTATAACTTACATGTTTCTAAAGCTACCATTAATAAAATAAGCTAAACTGGGAGAAAATATTAGACAGATACTGATATAGATATCTGAGACGGAATTGTATCTCAAATATATACAAAGTCGTTACCCAAGAATAAAAACCCATTTAAAAAAAAAAAAAGACAAAAGTTGGAACAAACACTTAACAGAAGATATATAAATGGCTAAAAGGCAGTAGAAAAGATGCTAAACATCATTAGTTTTAAAGGACATGCAAATTAAAACCACAAAAAAATATGCCAACACAGCCACAAGAATAGTTAATATTTAAAAGACTGAATACAAAGTGCTGGTAATGAGGTGGAGGAACTGAATCTCTCATATGTTGCTAGTGGGAAACAGTTTGGTGAATTCTTATAATGTTAAATAAATACTTTTTGGGTTTTTTTGAGACAGGGTCTCACTTTCTCACCCAAGCTGGAGAGCAGTGGCGCAGTCCTGGCTCACTGCAACCTCCGCCTCCCGGGTTCAAGGGATTCTCTGCCTCAGCCTCCCGAGCAGCAGCTGGACTTACAGGCATGTGCCACCATGCCTGGCTAATTTTTGTATTTTTAGTAGAGGCGGGGTTTCGCCATGTTGGCCAGGCTGGTCTCGAACTCCTGGCCTCAAGTGATCCACCTGCCTCGGCCTCCCAAAGTGCTGGGAGTACAGGCGTGAGCCACCACGCCAGGACCTATACTTACTACTATACAATACAGCAATTCCATTGTCAGGTATGGATTCAACAGAAATGGTATGTCTACACAAAGACTTGTACATGAGGCACAGAGATCCATCATCTTATCTCACCACTGTCCAAGACACAGACACACCTTCCATTTGTAAGACCTACGAAATGTTTCTTTCTAAGAAAAAAAAAAAAGACTATACAAGAAAGCTTATAGCAATTTTATTCATAACAGCCAAAAACTGGAAACCACTCAAATGTCCATCAACAGACTAATGGATAAATAAATTGAATTGTATACACAAATGGACTATTATTCAGCAATTTAAAAAACTGCTGGCTGGGCGTGGTGGCTCATGCCCATAATTGCAGCACTTTGGGAGACCATAGCAGGAGGATCATTTGAGCCCAGAAGTTTGAGACCAACCTGGGAAAAAGAGCAAGACTTCGTCTCTATTAAAAACAAAAAAATTAGCCAGGCATGGTGGCATACACCATGAGTCCCAGATACTTGGGAAACTGAAGCAGAAGGATCACTTGAGACCAGAAGTTTGAAGTTGCAGTGAGCTATGACTGTGCCACTGCATGCTAGCCTGGGCAACAGAGGGAGACACTGTCTCAAGAAAGAAAAAAAAAGAACAACTGATGTAAACAACATGGATGAACCTCAAAAACATGATTCTAAACAAAAGAAGCCCTAAGCGAAAAAAAAAATTGCAAATGTATTATTTCATTTACATGCAATTTTAAAAGAACTAAAATTAATCTACATTGACAAAAAGCAGATCCGTAGTTATGTGGAGCCAATAGCAGGATTGACAGCAAAGGGGCACAAGTAAACTTTTCAAGATGTTGGAAATGTTCTATATCTTGATTGTAGTACTGGTTACATGATGGTATATATTTGTCAAAAGTCATTAAACTGTACACTTAAAATGGATGCAACATACTCTTTGTAAATGATACTTCAATAAAGTTAACCCCAAAAAAGAATAATTTTAAAATATAGGTGATGTAACACATCAAGGCAATTCTATCGGAAAAATATACACATATAACATATATCACAGGGTAGATACAATATCCTTAAGCAGCATGGCTCAACAGAACTTTCTACAATGACGTAAATGCCCTACGTTGGCACTATTCAATAGGATAGCTACTAGCCACATATGGCTACTGGGCACTTGCAATGTGGTTAAAGTAACTGATGAACTTGATTTTTAATTTTATTTAATTTTGATTATTTAAAAGTTAAAAAGCCAACATGAGTACAGGCTTCCACAATGGACAACATGGTCCTTATAGATACTGGGGGGCGGCGGGGGGGAGGAAGATGTATAGATGTATTTTTTTATTTTATTTTATTTTTTTTTGAGAGCCTGTCACCCAGGCTGGAGTACAGTGGTGTGATCATAACTCACTGCAGCCTCGAACTCATGGCTTCAGGAGATCCTCCTGCCTCCGTCTTCCAAGTAGCTAGAACTATGAGGACTACAGGCATGTGCCACCACATCCAGCTTATTTTTTGTAGAGACAGGGTCTCATTATGTTGCCCAGATTGGTCTCAAACTCCTGGTCTCAAGTGATCCTCCCACCTTGGCCTCCCAAAGTGCTGGGATTATAATCATGGGCAATCACACCTGGCCCCCCCAACCCCCGGCTTTTTTTTTTTTTTTAAGCAAACTGTCTTACTCTTTTTTCCACTGGTAACAGCTAAATATAGAAATGAGGACTCACAAATGGGTTGATCACAGAGAACTATCTAGTTTGGGGAGGACATTTATATGATATGGGTGGATAAAGAGACAGAGAAGAAATAAAAAACATGCTTAAAATGGTGTTTGCACAGAAGGATAAAAGAATGTGGCTGGGTGCAGTGGCTCATGCCTGTAATCCCAGCACTTTGAGAGGTCAAGGCAGGTGGATCACCTGAGGTCAGGAGTTTGAGACCAGCCTGACCAACATGGTAAAACCCCATCTCTACTAAAAATACAAATTTTTGTATTTTTAGTAGAGACGAAGTTTTGCCTTGTTGCCCAGACTGGTCTTGAACTCCCAGGCTCAAGTGATCCGCCTGCTTCCACCTCCCAAAGTGTTGGTATTAAAGGTGTGAGCCACAGCACCTGACCCCGTGTCACACTTTTTATTCTGTCCCAACAAACTATACATATTGAATAGGGCAAATTCTCATTACCCTAAAATAGTAGGTTTTCTTCATGATTAGGTGCCCTAGACCAAATTACTTAACTACACAAATAAAAGCTAACCAAACTGCTCTCTTCAAGATAAGGCAGGATAGCCTTACACCCATATTTCCCTTTCAAATAATTGGTTTCCAAGCTAATTTAACTGGCTTATTTAATGAATTATCCTCTTAATTTGCCTTTCAGATCAACAGTGCAGTTTCCATTAGAATTTACAGTATTCTTTTGTTCCAAACTCTGGCACCTTTTATTTTTCCTCAGTTTTAGATAATCATCCAATAACATTCTTGCACTACTGTTCTACCATGGTCATGCAACTGGAAAGCAACGATCAACACCTCCAACTCCATCTTCATTTTATCTAGTCCGACGAAAAAGAGCTGCAATATTGAACCAAACTGACAACATATTCTCATGTTGCTGCTCATAAAAAGAGCTGTCACTTACATGTACAGTATTTTTCTTTGAAGTTGGTTATTAACAATTATTCCTATTTGAGAATATCTTTCTAAATAAGTTATAGAACTGACACTCAGAATGATTACTTAAAAATTGCGAACAAAATTTGAATGTTTAAATATGAATACATATTAATTAATAGTAGTCATAAGATGGACTATTATACAGCCACTAAAAATAATAAGATTTTTCAAGTGACAAGGAAAATGTACAAATAGAAGCCAGAAAAACAGGAGTCAGTACAATTCTAAATTTGTTAAAAATAAAAAATAGGGCCAGGCACAACAGTTCATGCCTGTAATCCCAGCACTTTGGGAGGGTGAGTTGGACAGGTCGCTTGAGCTCAGGAGATCAAGACCAGCCTGGGTAACATAGCAAGACCTCATCTCTACAAAAAATATAAAAATTGGCCAGGCATGGTGGCACATCCCTGTAGTCTCAGACACTCAGGGAGCTGAGGTGGGAAAATCACTTTTGAGATAAGGAAGTCAAGGCTGCAGTGAGCCGTGATCTCACCACTGCATTCCAGCCTGGGCAACAGAGTGAGATCCTGTCTCAATCAATAAATAAACTAAATTAGATAAAAAAATAAAAAATAGCAGTCAAATTATACATAGTCTCACACACACACACACACACACACACACACACACACACAGTATTAGAAGAAAAACCTCCACAACATTAACAGTGACTAACTCTGGTTGGCTTCTTCACTTTTTATGCTTTTCTCTATAGATTCTAATCTTTCTACAGCAGACCTGCTTTTATGAATACGAAAATAATAAATGGTATTTTTCAAAAAAGAACTAGAGCCTACAAAAACAAAGTACAGTTTATCCTCGCACAATATGGGTTTGAATTGCACAGGTTCACTTATATATGGATTTTCTGCTGCCTCTGCCACCCGTGAGAAAGCAAGACCATCCCCTCCTTTTCCTCCTCCTCCTCAGCCTACTCAATGTGAAGATGAGAATGAAGACCTTTATGATGATCCACTCCACTTGATGAATAGTAAATATATTTTCTCTTCCTTATGATTTTCTTAATAACATTTTCTTTTCTCTAGCTTACTATTGTAAGAACGTAGTATATAATACATATAATATACAAATATATGTTAATTGACTGTTTATGTTATCAGTAAGGCTTCTAGTCAACAGTAAGCTATTAGTAGTTAAGTTTTGGGGGAGTCAAAAGTTATACATGGATTTTTGACTGCACAAGGGAGTCAGCCCCACAACCCCTGAATTATTTAAGGGTCAACTGTATACCTAAACACCCCAAAGAGTAACCAGGTTTCAGTTATGGGTAAAAGTTAATACCCTCAAGACTTACTCTACCCAAATAAGTTTAGGTAGAGTAAACCTCTTTATCACTGTACTGGACTGGGTTAATAGTCTAGTTAACAATCCTATCAGGTTAATAAAATCTCTCACTGCCCTTGTACGGCTTCCACTAAGAAAATTTCTATTTAAGGAGGCTACCATCTAAGAGCAAGAATCAACAGAATTTTAACTGTTTTTCATTATATATGTAAAAATTAAAGACTAAGTTTTGTTTTCCCAATGTAGAAATATCAGGAATGGGGTCAGGTACAGTGGCTCACACCCATAATCCCAGTACTTCGGGAGGCCAAGGCAGGAGGATTGTGGACAGAGGGAGTTTGAGACCAAGCTGGGCAATATAGCAAGACCCCATCTCTGCGAAAAATTTCAACATTAGCCGGGCACAGTGGTGCATGCCTGTGGTCCTAGCTATTCAGGAGGCTGAGGCAGGAGATCACTGGAGCCCAGGGGTTCAAGGTCTAATAAACTATCATGCCACTGTACTCTAGCCCGGTCAACAGAATGAGACCCTACCTCTAAAAAAAAAAGAAGGAACAGAAATGAATCTACTTTACAAATATGACTATGTAAATGTGAAGAGAGAGAGAAAGAATTAAAGTATAACATGAAAATTTAAATTATTATTTGTTTAACAAGTACAATTCTTAATAATAAAGCTTATGTTAAACACTTATGAGACTATGAATTGTTTGAAGGTGTCATTAATCTTTATTTCCTCTAGAACTATATCTGGAAGAAACATAGTAGATAAACAATAAATGCTATTTGAATAAGTATCTGTGTAACTCCCTATAGCATACAAAATAGTTTCATATTTATCTCATACATTTCCCATAAAATGTCTCATATATGTGTATAGAGAGAGAGAAAAAAAGAGAGCGTGCAAGAGAGAGAGCAAGGGAGAAAGCGCAATCTGAAAGAAGCCATGTTTTAAAGTATCTTTTGGCCTGGGCATGGTGGCTCATGCCTGTAATCCAAGCACTTTGGGAGACTGAGGTGGGAGGATCACTTGAGGCCAGGGGTTCGAGACCAGCTTGGACAATACAGTGAGATCCAGTCTCTACAAAAAATAAAATAGCTGGGTTTGGTGGCACACACCTGTAGTTCTAGCTACTTGACAGGCTGAGGAGGGAAGATGGCTTGAGCCCAGGAGTTTGAGGCTGCACTGAGCCATGACTGAGCCACTGCACTCCAGCCTGGGTGACACAGCAAGACCCTGTCTCAAAAAAACAAAAAACAACTAAATATATTTTGAATGTAAATCATAATTTGAGGTACTAATATTTTGGGGTAAAAACAAAAGATAATAACACTTTTTTTAGATTAACATATACTAAAAATACAACATGCAAGGAATCAGTACAAGGGACAAGTTAGTAAGTTTATATGAAAAGAAAATAATAATCACTTTCTGCAATTACTTTTGACTGGGTCAAAAAACACCTCTGCCACATTTATCTAGACTTCATATGACACAAAATTTAAGAATCGCAACCAAAAAGCCACCAGCCTATTTACATATGTCACTTACTCATTGAACAATCAGTTGCTGAGCAGAAACAAGTGGCATAAAAAGACAACTATGATCAACAACAAGGAAACGAGCCCAATGAAAAAACGTGCAAAAGTTCTTAATAGACACCTCACCAAAGAGATATACAGATGGCAAATGAGCATATGAAAAGACACTCAACATCATATGTCATTAGGAAATACTAAGTTAAAACTATAAGATAACACAATACAGGCCGGGCGTGGGGGCTCACGCCTGTAATCCCAACACTTTGGGAGGCCGAGGTGGGTGGATCACCTGAGGTCAGCAGTTCAAGACCAGCCTGACCAACATGGAGAAACCCCGTCTCTACTAAAAATACAAAAAAAAATTAGCCAGGCATGACAGCACATCCCTGTAATCCCAGCTACTCAGGAGGCTGAGACGGGAGAATTGCTTGAACCTGGGAGGCAGAGGTTGCGGTGAGCTGAGATCACGCCATTGCACTCCAGCCTGGGCAACAAGAGCAAAACTCCGTCTCAAAAATAAAATAAAATAAAATAAAATAACGAAATACACCCACTAAAATGGCCAAAATCCAAAAACCTGATCATACCAAATGCTGATAAGAATGTGGAGCAGAGAACTTTCATTTATTACTTGTGGAAATATGAAATGGTACACATTAGTAGTCTGACAGTTTCTTACAGGGCTCAACATAGTCTCTTATATGATCCAGTGATCATGCTCCTAGGCTCTTATCCAAATGAGTTGAACATATATCCAGACAAAAACCTGAACATAAATGTTTACAGCTGCTTTATTCATAACTGCCAAAAACTGGAAGTATCCAAGATGTCCTTCAACATGTGAATGAACAAAATGGTACATTCATACAATTGAATATTACTCAGCAATAAAAAAAAAAGATTAAGTCATCAAAAATACATGGATGAACCTTAAATGCATACTGATTAGTTAAAAAATCAGTTTGAAAACGTTATGCACTGGTATGATTCAAATTAAGAGACATTCTGGGAAAGGTAAAACTATAGAAACAGGAAAAAGATCACTGGTTGCCCACAGTTCAGGGGAAGATAGGTAAGGAATGAATGGGTAGAGCACACAGGATTTTTAGGGAAGTGAAATTATGCTGTATGATACTCTAATGGTGGATATACGACATGCATTTGTCAATTTCATAGACCTGTACAACAGTAAGAATGAGCCCTAACAAACCTATGAACTCCAGTTAATAATAATGTATCAATATTGGTTCATCAATTATAATAAATGTACTACATTAATGCAAGATGTTAATAACAGAGGAAACTCTAAGCTGGAGACAGAGGGTATATGAGAATATAATGTACCATCTGCTCAACTTTCATTAAAAAAGTTCGTTAAAAAATTTTAAAGTATGGTTGTTTGGGGGAAAGGTAATTTTTGTTAGTGTCATTATTATTATTTTAGAGACAGGATCTCACTCTCTTGCCCAAGCTGGAGTGCAATGGCACAATCACAGCACCCACTGCAGCCTCCAACTCAGGCTCAAGCAATCCTCCCACCTCAGCCTTCCAAGTAGCTAGGACTAAAGGCGCACGCCACCATGCTCATCTAATTCTTGTATTTTTTGTAGAGATGGGGTCTCACTATGTTGCCTCAGGCTGGTCTTGAATTTCTGGCCTCAAAGCGATCCTCCTGCCTCTCAATTTGCCAGAGTGCTGGGATTACAGGCATGAGCTACTATCATTATCAAAGTATAGGATACTGAAAAGAGGCCTCAAAGTAAATAGTTAAGGGAAAGGTTTAGAAAGACTTTTGTATGCTGTGCTAAAAAGTTTACCTATACCGTATCTTCTGGGCTATGGGAAGTCATTAAACGTTTTGAGTGATGTAAGATCTGTTTTGGAAAAATAACTCTTGGTAATGACACTAGGATTTAGAGTGTGAGGGTAGTTGTTGTTGTTGTTTATGGACAGGGTCTCACAATATTGTCCAAGCTAGAGTGCAGTGGCTATTCACAGGTGTGATCATAAGGCACTACAGCCTTAAACTCCTGGACTCAAGTGATCCTCCTGCCTCAGCCTCTGGAGTAGCAAGAGTGAGATGTAAAGTAAAAACTCCAGGAAACCAACTAGAAGGTGCTGCCATGATAACAGCAATGGTGAATTTTTACTGTGTACTTTTTATGTACCAGGCACTTTATTTCATTTTATCTCATTTAGACCTTAATAGGTCCTGTTATGACTCCTGCATAATAAATGAGAAATTAGGGCACAGAGTGATTAACCATCTCAATGTTATGTGAGCAAAGATAGGAAGATAAGAAGCACGACCCCGTAACGAACTACAAACAGTTCAGAATTATAGTGGTTTGCCTATCAAAGTTTCACTAACAAGTGATGAAACTGAGGGCTACATACAGCCAGACAGAGAAAGACTTTCTATATTATAGTAACAGGGATTCCTTTTTTATATATAAGCTACAAATACCATGAGTTTCTGCCATTTATATCTTTCCCTCCTATGAAATGCTGTTTATTCACTCATTTAAAATCATTTTATGTACCAGGTAAAGTGTTAGGTTCTGGTTATATAACAATAACCTAAGCAGTTCTAATCCATATCATCACGGACCTAAGAGTCAGAATCCATGTGCTCTCTTAAAGTTTAACAGACGAAACCACCTGAGTCTAGTCAATAAGTACATTCTAGCACACCACTTATGATTTGAGAATACTCATTCACTTACTTATTGCTTCCGCAAAATTTAATAAGACTCTACTATGTACCAAGCACTATTTTCAGTGATAGAAATACAACAAAGCACAAAACAAAGCTCACTGACTTCATGATATTAACCTTTTGGTTGGAGGGCAGAGAAAACAAAAAACATAAATGATATAAATTCTGATAGTGATAAATGCTGTTAAAAAATTAAACAGGTAAGAGAACAGAATGTTAGCATGATAGGTATGCAAGTTTAGAGAAAAATGTTTCAGGTTTTGGGGAAACCAAGTAGATATATATATATGCACAACTGTAGTTTGAAAATGAGTATGTTCCCATTGATCAAAAACTCTTTTAGGTGGAGTAAGGATTCTGTGTCTTTTCATTCATTCAGAAGCATTTGCTTGCCTAATCTACTTTATACATGTCACAATAAGAAAGCAATCATTAGAAGGAAAATGGAAGGTTTTAATCAGTCTTAAAACCTAAATATAAATGAAGAAAAACATTACAGGAAAAATGCTCTATTTCTCCATCTCTCCATTCCCCTCCCTCTCTCTCTTACACACACACACACACACACACACACACGACAATCAGAAGAGCATCTGGCCATTCATTCATGGTACCCAGATTTGTGCTTCTTGGTCTTTAACAGGTTTCTCAGGATGTCCCCACATTCAAACACTCTGTGTGGCATCTATCCTGATCTTCAACTTAGAAAATATACTCATTATTCCTTGTAAGTAGAACTCTGCACAGCTGCATACAGAAGAGCGTCTCGGCAGGGAACAGTGCAGGTTCACAAAGGGGCCGATAAAACATATAATTTTAGCTTTGGTAATTGCCCTTGAAGATTACAATAAGAGGAGGAAAATAAGGGCCAAAGAAACAAAAGATTTGCCCGTGATTTGATAGCTGGTTTCGTCACATATTATGTTGCTTATCCCACAGAATGTGGGAATCCCAGAAAGCGCCCCGTTTAAATTTAGACCGTATTTTTAGCAGGGTCCCTTTAACAGAGATTGCGGGAACCTGGGAAGGAACTGAACTGGGCTAACCAAACCGGTCGAAATGAGCACAGGGATTAGATTAGAGCACAGAAATTCTGGCTAGCAGTCTGAGAAAGGGGGCCAAAGCCAGCCCAGAGAAAAGGGAGGTTGCCTGGGCCAAAGGCTTTCTGACAGGAGACACAATAGGGTCGTACCTCTGGGTCTTACCTTCACTGAGGTTTCTACCCGACAGGTTTAACTGGCCGCTCTTCCTCGCTGCCTTCAACAGCCCTTGGGGTACCGAGGTACCGCAGTCTCTTCCACCTGCTTTGAAACCAGCGCGGAGATCCTGCCCCGCTATCCGCTTCAGGCGCGACATGTTCAAAGTCCTAGGTCCAGAAGCTGCAGCCCCACCCGTGACGCTTAAAGGTGGCGCCGTTGGGATGCCCCGCTCCTTTCGTGAGCGCGCGCTCTGGGCGCTGGGCTCGCGGCCTCGCGCTGGGCCTTCACTCTCTGCGGCGCAGTCCAGATGTCGTCAGCACCAGCGCCTGGGCTGGAGGACAGAGAAGCCTTTTCCGTTGCCGGTGCCGGCCTAGCGTCCTGGAATTACTTCAATCAAGTAAGTGCGTTTAACGGGCTTAAGAGGGGCTTTCGGGTTTATTGTTTGCACTGTTACTGCGACTCCAACCTTCTCCTCTGTGCTTCCACCGTGGCGAGGGTGTGGGGAAAGAGAACCCTCTCTTCTCCCCTCTCCTAGTCTGAACGTGGGCCTTGACTAAAACTTGAGATCTGGGCGCGGTCGGCAGCGTTTCTGGACCCCAGCCTGTGTTTGTCGCTTGTGGTGGTGGCGCCAGACCTCTGGCGTACGGAGTAAAAGAAATTTTCTGTTCTTAAGGCTTGTACTCTGACACCATTCTCGTTGTATTGAGGGTATATAGCTTACCCAGCAAAGGAGGTAATGTGAAATGGAAGGACTGGCAACATAGAAGACAAAAACAAAAATCCTTAAAATTTAATAAATGTTCTGTGTATCAGACAGTTTAGGGAGACAAGTAGTGGTACATGCTTTAGTGAAGCTCAGACAGCTTGGATTTTTGAGCCCTAAAAAGCAAGTTCAAATCTCAGCTGCTTCTTTACTTTAGAAACTGTTAACTTTAGGCAGTTTACTCAACCGCTTTTAAAGCTCATTCCTTTTTTTCATTACTTTGGGGATAATTCCTACCGCATAAGGTTTTTGAAATAAGTGAAGATAAAAACTAGAATCTTGAGCTCTCGGTGAGTCCAGAATAATAGCAAATGAAAATTTTGTTCAATGTAAGTCGGTGTTTCCTAGGAAATTAAAATTTTCATCTGAAATGTACAACTTCTTGATTCAACAAGTAATTATTAAGATTAATCCTGCCTAGTATGTGTACTATCCTGGGTGCTAGACTTTTCTTTTGCCTGAAATGATTTTGTTTTAAAAGCATATGCCAGGGAATACCATTCTAACCCCCATCAAGTCTACTGAGGATTGGTAGAATAGTTGAAAGCTAGGATGAAGGCCCTTTGATCAATTCTTCATCACGCACTTTTACCTGAGTCCAGGTTATTGCTACCTGTAAAATTCGGTTTTTAACTCTACCCTTTTTGTTCTTATTTCTGTGGAGTCCTTTACACTAATATCGAACAAGAGAAAGTTACCAATAGTTGTTACCCTACTAAAAAAGCAAAGAGTGGATTTTTGTCTTTTTTTTTTTTTTTTTTTTGAGACAAAGTCTGGTCTGTCGCCTAGGCTGGAATGCAGTGGCGTGATCCCGGCTCACTGCAACCTCCGCCTCCCAGGTTCAAGTGATTCTCCTGCCTCAGCCTCTCCAGTAGCTGGGATTATAGCCGCGCACCACCACACCTGGCTAATTTTTATATTTTTTAGTAGAGACGGAGTTTCGCCATGTTGGTCAGGCTGGTCTCGAACTCCCAGCCTCAAGCGATCCGCCCAGTTCGGCCTCCCAAAGTGCTGGGATTACAGGTGTCAGTCGCCGTGCCCAGCCTGAGTTTTAAAGGAAAACGACCGTAGCAGCTTTTGCAACGTTATTAATGAGGTCCCTGGTCAGCTTGTCTTCACAGTAATGGTAATAGCTGCCTTATTGGGCCCATACCAGGCTCAGTGCTAATAATACCTCTGTTTGCTATTTCTTATTTAACACAGTGACTAATTTTGCAGATAAGGAAATTGAGGCTAAAAGGGGTGAAGAAACTTACCCAACCTCACAAGTTTCTCTGAATAGCACGACCAGGAATTTGAACCTAGATCTGTCTCCAAAACCTTTCTTTTTAATCACCATGACTTCCCTAGTGGCTTTTCATAATTCCCAACTTGCTTTTTTTTTTAATCCTGTAATCATTGTAAGAGACACTTCAGTTGTTTTTAAGAAGATTTCTTTATTAAAGAACCACCTTTTTCTCTTTATAGTAACAACCTACCTTTGGGGAAGAAACAACCCACCTTTGGAGAATTGAATTGCTCGAGTACAAAATTTTACAGTAACCACCCCTCCCCCTACAATAGATTCTTCTTTCGTTCTTTTTTTTTTTTTTTTTAAGAGACCAGGTCTCACTCTGTCACCCATGATGAAGTACAGTGGTGCGATCACAGCTCACTGCAACCTCGAAATCCTGGGCTCAAACAGTCCTCCCACCTCAGCTTCCTGAGTAGCCATCACACCACCATGCCCAGCTAATTGTTTTTATTTTTTGTAGAAACGAGTCTGTGTTGCCAAGGCTGGTCTTGAACTCCTGGCCTCAAGCTATCCTTCCATCTAGGGCCTTCCATAGCACTGGGATTACAGGCATGAGCCACCTCAAGCAATCCTTCTATCTGGGGCCTTCCAAAGCACTGGGATTATAGGCATGAGCCACCACACCCTGCCTAGTTCAATTTATTAAAAAATAACAGCAAGGTATAATTTTTAAATTTGTTGTTCTTGAAGTTAAATATTTCATTATTGACATTTAATGATACTGTATTAAAACATTGTTTCATCTTGTATAAGGAAAGTATCTTCTGTTTAATGGCAAAGAGTAATTCTGAAAAAAAATCCCAGTGGCCATATGCTTGTGGTAAACTCCAATAGATATAAACTGACATATATAAGAATGTACTAGTTACTGTAATACAGTGTATGGTGTGTGTGTGTGTGTGTGTGTGAGTGAGATGGAGTCTCGCACTGTCACCCAGCCTAGAGTGCAATGGCTCAACCTTGGTCACTGCAACCTCCACCTCCCAGCTTCAAGTGATTTCTCCTGCCTCAGCCTCCCAAGAAGCTGGCATTACAGGTACGCACCACCACACCCAGCTAATTTTTTTGTATTTTTTTAGCAGAGGCAGGGTTTCGCCATGTTGGCCAGATTGGTCTCAAACTCCTGGCCTCATGTGATCCACCTGCCTCGGCCCCCGAAATTGCGGGAATTACAGGTGTGAGCCACCGCACCCAGCTGCTGTATTGTATTTATGTAGTAAGTGCAGATTGAGCAAGTTACAGTAAAAATTATTACCTAATGCAATAGAGAAAATAACATGTTTTGTCTCAAATGGATGGAAACTGAAAGCTAATCAACTTCAACTGAGCTTCTTTATGAAAAGATAGTTATATATACTTATGTGAGAATTAGCTCCATTTCCATTGTTTTAAGGAGAATACATTGAAAGCAAAAATTCTAACTCTTTTTCAACACTGGCATTTAAGTCAAAGTATTTGCTTTTTTAGAAAAATTGACTTTATATACATTACTAAAATAATGTGAAATGAATGTCTCCTGTGTCAAGGCTGGAGACTACTGCATAGCTACCTTTTGTAATGGAATTGTCTAGCCAGAATTTATTATATTCATTTTATTTAAGTGATGAAAGGCTTCCCTCTTCAAGCTTCTTTGCTAAATGAGAAAAGAAAATGAAGAAACCAAATTTATGTTAAACCTAAAAATCACATTGGCCAAAGGGTACAGTTTTGTTTCATAACAGAAAGTAAGACTGTTATCAAAGTATAGAGCAGCTTGTCTCTACCATTAAAATTTATTAAGACATAGATGAAAGGTACAATTGATGAGATGGATTATTGAAGTCTGAAATTGTAGTAAGGGTAAATTGAGTTAATTTGGCAGATTTGCAAGCACACTTGTTTATAAAATGGAGTCAAGTAAGAGCAAAGTGTATTTGTTTTGCAGACATTCTAGGAAGTTTCTTTTTGTGTAAAGTAACAAATTTAGCCTATTTTGAATTGTATTGTGTTTATCTTTCAGAATATTGCCTTATGTATGAGAGCTGCTATCTTATGGTAAAAGTTGTTTATTGAGAGAACATTTTAGTTTTCTTTAAAAATTTAGACTTACAATTTCACATTTGTTTTCCCTTCAGGGCTATCATTGCCAACTTTAAGAGTAGCTGGGAGAGGACATTCTTTTTTGTTTGTTTGTTTTTCCTTTTTTTCTGAGACAGAGTCTCAGTCTGTTGCCCAGGCTCACTGCAGCCTTGACCTCCCTGGCTCAAGAGATCCTCGCATCTCAGCCTCACAACTAGCTGGGACTAAAAGCACCTCGCTTCTTTTTTTTTTTTTTTTTTTTTTTTTTTTTTTTTTTTTTTGTAGAGATGAAGTTTTGCCATATTGCCCAGGCTGTTCTCAAACTCCTGGGCTCAAGCAGCCCACCTGCCCTGGCCTCCCAACGTGTTGGAATTACAGGCATGAGCCACGATGCCTGGCCAAGAAGACATTCTTTTCTTTTCAGTGAAGACAGTACATATTTTGCATTTTACTGATAGTTTCAAATGTGGCTTTGAAATTTGTATTATGTTGTTACTGGAGTTGTATATGGTAATTTTTTCTAATGGAGAGAGTGCATTGTCTTTGGAATAATGCATTTGTATATTCTTTGTTTTCTCTGCTTCTCTTATATACTTTTGAATCGTGAAACAGCTTGCTCTAGGAGGTTTAATATTTGATTCTAATATTTTCTGCTCCCGCCCCCCTTTTTTTTTCCAAGACAGAGTTTCCCTTTCTCACCCAGGCTGGAGTGCAGAGCTCACTGCAGCCTCAAACTCATGGGTTCAAGTGATCCTTCTGCCTCAACCTCCTCCCCATGCCCCCCAGTAGCTGCGACTGTAGGCTCATGCCACCACATTCAGCTAATTTTTTAATGTTTTATAGAGACAGGGTCTCCCCATATTGCCCAGACTGGTCTCAAACTCCCAGGCTCAAGCAGTCCTACCACCTCAGCCTTCCAAAGTGCTGGGATTGGCCAGGTACGGTGGCTCATGCCTATAATTCCAGCAGTTTGGGAGGCCAAGGCAGGCAGATCCCATGAGTTCAGGAGTTAGAGACCAGCCTGGACAATATCTTGAAACTCTGTCTCTACAAAAAATACAAAAATTACCTGGGTGTGGTGTGGCATGCACCTGTGATCCCAGCTACTCAGGAGACTGAGGTAGGAGGATGGCTTGACCCCGGAAGGCCGAGGTTGCAATGAGCTAAAATTGTGCCACTGTACTCCAGCCTGGACAACAGAGCGAGACCCTGTAGGGAATTACAGGGATGAGCCACCATGCCCAGCTCTCTCCACTTTCAACACAAAAAAATTTTAGTCCCCAGATTTAGGAAAAATTTTTTTCCCTCTTATATGAGGGCTTTTTTTAAATGTTAGTTTTATTTACTTGAAGGTGGAAGAACTAGTAAAAAAAAAAATTATCAAAAATGCTTTTAATTTGGGGGTTTTCTGGTTTATTTCATTATATTATAAAAAGAAACTGAAACAAGGGTGGTGGTAAACCAATCCTGCTTATGTCATTTTCAAAAAAGCAGTATAATATTGAGATTTGTTTATCGGTTCTTAAATCAGCTGGAAGTGTTTCCTATTATTCACAGTGATTATTACTCATAACCTTTAAAAGCTAGTGCAGTATTCTTGCTCTTTTTTCCAAGACTAATATGTTCTCTGACTTAAAGTCTCAGATTTTGTATTAATTGTATGGATTTTATGATTTTTTTTTTTTGGCTTTAAACTAGTAAAGTAATACAGAAGTAAAGTTAGGGCACCAAACCCTATGTTTATGTTAACACATACACTACTGAGTAAGTCTGTTTTAAAAACAATTTCAATCAAAATCCACTATTTTAAAATTTGACTTCATATCCACCCCCTCCCACCCACAATTTTGTTCAATTGGATTCTGCTTGCAATTTCATTTACTTTAAAAAGGGAGACACAGTAAATGTTTAAAAATGGCAAATACTGTTTATGTAGCAAAGCTCGCCTACAGTTTTAATAAGACATGATATGGTCCCTGAGACTTTATCCTTAACATCAACTTAAGGAGAAAAATCTGAATAATTTGGTAGTTTGTTAACAGTCACAATCAGTAGATTGTTAATTTAAAATTTGATACTTAGATTTCTAGGCCACATATTTATACTCACAATTTGGTAAGTGCTAGTTTAGCTTTCAGAATACCTTCAAGACTGCTCACAATTTTTTTTTCTACTTGAGGTTGGTTTTTTTCCATCCTTTGCAATATCACAGTTACATATACTTAAATATTTTAAAGGTATGCATCATCAGAGTGTTGAAATACTAGTGGACATTTAAATACTTGGTACCTATGATGCAAATCTGTGAACCCAGCCATCATCATTCTAGAGGTACATGTTTTTCACTCAACATTACATTTATCAGCCATCAATACAACTTTATGGCCATCTTAGAGGTGCTGACATTTTTGCTTTTCTTTTTAACTCATTTCCTAGAAATACTACATCTCTACCATCTCATCCCTCCCCTAAAATAATTACTTGATCAATATCTCCAAGTGCTTTAGACTTCAGCCTGAGCTAATTGTGGCTTGAAACTAACAACAGTTTATTGTTTCAAGTGACTGGGGTGGCAATTGGTGGAGAGAAACATGGCCCTTAAAAACTACTTACTGTACTTTATTTTTAAGAACTAAAATTGTTTAATTTTAGTAAAGTTGTGAGTAGTATTTTACTTTTAAAATTTATGCTTTGGTTATTTGATAGTTTTTTTGTTCTGACCCATGTCATGGTACTTTTAATTAATTAATTAATTAATACTTATTTTTTTATTTTTGAGATGCAGTCTCACTCTGTCGCCCAGGCTGGAGTGCAGCGACGAGATCTTGGCTCACTGCAACCTCCACCTCCTGGGTTCAAGCGATTCTCCTCCCTCAGCCTCCCCAATAGCTGGGATTATAGGCACGCACCACCACACCCGGCTAATTTTTGTATTTTTAGTAGAGATGGGGTTTTGCCACTTTGGCCAGGCTGATCTTGAATTCCTGACCTCAGGTGATCCACCCACCTTGGCCTCCCAAAGTGCTGGGATTACAGGTGTGAGCCATTATGCCTGGTTTTAATTTAATATTAATCAAAGATAGGTACAGTTGTTTGTGTCTTTTCATGTTGGTGTCATGTTTGTATTGCAGTAGCCTCTTAAAGGAGAAGGGGCATCTAATAATGGTATAATTCATATCTTTAACTTAACTGTTTATAGGGTAGGTTCTTATCAATTTAATTTTTACAATAATGCTATAAAGTAAGACAAGTATTACTATTGTTAGTCATCAATTGAAAAGATGAGGAAAGCCAAGTGTCGTGGCTGATGCCTGTAATCCCAGCACTTTGGGATGCCCTGGTGGGAATTCAAGACCAGCCTGGGCAACATAGGGAGATGCTGTCTGTACAAAAAGTTTAAAATATTAGCTGGGTGTGGCGGCGTGAGCCTATAGTCCCAGCTACTGGGGGGGTGGGGGTAAGGGGCTGAGGCAGGAGGATCACTTGAACCCATGAGTTTGAGGTTGCTGTGAACTCTGCACTTCAGCCTGGGTGACAGAACAAGACCCTGCCTCAAAAAAAAATTTAAAAAGAAAAGATGAGGAAATTGGAGAGTTTTTTCCGACTTTCTTGTAATGACATGTAACATTTGTTGGGTGCCTACGTGTTGGGCACTCTGCTAAGTGCTTTGTATTCATATTTTTAATCTTAGAAACTTCAAATGGCATCATTATCCCCATTTTTCACATAAGGGACACATTAGCTCATGTGGCTAATTAGAAGAAGTATTTATTACAGTAGATGAGAACACACATAGGGGAGTAGAATCAGGGAATAGAATAGAAGCCACTTATGTTTTTTACATTTATATAGTTTGAATATTTAGCATTAAACTTATTGCTTTATAATTTTTAACATTCCACAAAAAACCTGTGTTAAAATATGAAATCTAAATAAGCTGTTCTCACTGTGTAAACTAACTCTTCTGAGATATATCTTTCATGTGAGTTTAAATTTTTGTGGATTTATTATGACAAGACATGGTAGGAGACAGTACAACATAGTGGAAATACAGGCTTTGGAGTGAGATGTAGTACCTGGTTTGGTTTTTTTAATCCCTGCTCTACTATTACCTGCTTTATATGATAGACAAGTTGCTTAACTTTTCTAAGCCTTAGTTTCTTTATTTATAGAATAGTCATTATAATAGTAATTTATTCTAAGCATTTGTATTAGTATTCTCACGTATTATCCTCATAACAACCCCAATGAGGTGGGCATTATTATTACCCTCAGTTTAAATAAGGAAATTGAAGCACCAAGTAATGAGCTGAAGTTCACACAATTATCTTAATTGGTAGAGTCCCTTCAGGTTGACTCTAGGGCCTGCATTATTAATCACTCTAGCACCTTTTAAGTGTTATGAGGATTGAAGGTCGTTTTAAAAGCATTCAATTAATGTAATTCAGTCTTATTAATGAAATGTACTGATTTGAGTACACTTTCACTTTTTTTCCAGTTTTAAGTAAGTCTTTAAAAATAATTTTCCTTCATGAAGAGAAAGTTAATTTACTGCATGGGGGAAAAAAACATAAAAGGTCAAATGGTGCATATGTTTAATTCCTTGATTACGAAAAACGTATTAAAATGCATGAAACTATTAGAGGTAAAGATACATATAACTCTACTGGATATTTTCTTGCATTGAACTTTTTTTTATTTTTTAAGATCGTGAAGCATTCCCTCCAATGGCTTTTTGTCAGTTAAGACTCCAAAAGAATCTTTTATAACATAGAAGATAGTATTGAGAAATCAGTGTCTGGAGCTTCCCCAGCCAAATGTTTCTTTTGAGCCGATTAAACAAAAAAGCCAAGCAAATCTGTACAAATAAATTGATTCTGATTTTCCAAGCAATACATGTGCACTATAGCTGAGAATACTGTGTATACGATGCAAGCACCAGAATCTTAATGCTCTGACTACTACTTTTTTCCTCTATTTAATCATAAAACAAAGTTGAAAAAAATGGTCACAGATAGATTTTTGCCTATAATTTTAGGGTGTTCACAGACCCTGCTCTGTCAATTTAAAAACATACATATAAAATCCTTGCTATTGAAAGACAATATATATTAAACGATATGAAAGAAGTATTTGAAAATAAACACAGGTAGACTTTTTTTCTGTCCTGGTATGTGTGTCCATGTGTTCTTTTGTCTGTCAGTCAGTCCCCTAGTGCTAACTCATCCTTATCCTCTCCCCTTCATTTAGGTGAAGAATAGGAGCGTGGGATTTACAATCTGATTTTTAAATAGATATTAATATTTATAAAATTGTGTAAATTTATAGAATTAGAAATACAGTAGAAATATTATCTAATTTATAGAACTAGAAATCAAAATACATCTGCAGATAAGTTTTTTTTTTTTTTTTTTTTTTGAGACAGAGTCTTGCCCTGTCGCCTAGGCTGGAATGCAATGGCACAATCTCAGCTTACTGCAGCCTCCGCCTCCTGGGTTCAAGTGATTCTCCTGCCTCAGCCTCCGAATAGCTGAGACTACAGTTGCACGCCACCACGCCCAGCTAGTTTTTGTATTTTTAGTAGAGGCGGGGTTTCGTCATTTTGGCCACGCTAGTCTTGAACTCCTGGCGTGAAGTGATCCACTCACCTTGGCCTCCCAAAGTGCTGGGATTATAAGCATGAGCCACCACTCCTGGCCGTAAGTTTTTTAAAACTTACGGATTTGTAACCAGCAATTTATTTCCTAGGTTCTTCTCATGGCTCTGTATAGCTAAAGGGGAAAAAAAATATAGCCAAATACTTTGAGAGTTTGCTCAACCAAATTTCCCTCTAAATGGAACAAATACATACCATCTTCATTCACAAAGCCTTTGCTGCATGCATTCCCTTAGTATACTTTATTGATAAGCCATCTGCCTTACAAGAATTGAGCAGATTGTATGAGGCATTTGTAAAGTTTCTAGCACATAGGTGATGGTAGATTTTTGTCTAATGCTGGACTTGTTCCAGTATGATATTGTTAGGTATCAGAAACCCAAAGACTGATAAATTGCCTTTTCTAGCCTCAAAAAAATGTATTTGCTTGGGGGTGGAGGGAAGAGCTATTTAACAACTAATTTCATAAAAGGCCTGTTGCTTGTGCCGATTTGCAAAATTGTGTTAATTGGGAGGACTCCACTGTCTTTTCCGTTAGTGTGAACAAAAGTGGCTAAAAGGGACTTGATTTATCCAACTGCAAACAGGGTTCCCAGTGGGTAGCGGGATTATGCATACCTGTGTCTGCTCTTTTTTTTCCTTTTGAGATGGAATTTCGCTCTTGTTACCCCAGGCTGGAGTGCAGTGGCACAATCTTGAGTCACCACAACCTCCACCTCCCAGGTTCAAGCAATTCTTCCTCCTCGAGGAGCCTCCCAAGTAGCTGGGATTACAGGCATGCGCCACCACGCGCGGCTGATTTTGTATTTTTAGTAGAGACGGGGTTTCTCCGTATTGGTCAGGCTCATCTCGAACCCCCGACCTCAGGTGATCCACCCACCTCGGCCTCCCAAAGTGATGGGATTACAGGCGTGAGCCACCGTGCGTGGCCTGTCTGCTCTCCTTTATCTAAAAGACCTTCCATCTAAATACAAAGATCTTTTTAGAAGCTTGAGATGGAAAAGAACTAAAGCTTGTTCATTAGGACTAAGAGGATTAGTATTGTTTTACGGATGTGTATAAAGCCTCATTGTCTAATATTATTTGACATGCTTTCCTGCCAATATCACGCACCAGTTAATTTTTTTTTTTCAATGTAGTGGTTCCCTACGTGTCCTACCTGTGAATCTTCAGAGTATTATGGGGAACCTGTAAGTTATTTCTTGTGTTTCAAAAGCCTATCAGAAATCATGCACTTTTCTATAATGTGACTTTATAGGCCAAATGATAGGTTATTTAACTTTTTTTTTTTTTTTTGAGATAAGGTCTCACTCTGTCACCCAGACTAGAGTACAGTGTCACGATCTCAGCTCACTGCAGCTTTGACCTCCCAGGCTCAGGTGATCCTCCACTTCAGCCTCCCAAGTAATTGGGACCACAGGTGCACACCACTACACCCAGCTAACTTTTTTGTATTTTTTGTAGAGATGGGGTTTCTTTGCGTTGCCAGGCTGGTCTCAAACAACTGGGCTCAAGCAATCCACCCACCTCTGCCTCCCAAACTGCTGGGATTACAGGGATGAGCCACCATACCCAGTTGCATTAACTCATAATAAAATTGATAATAATGATCATTTATATATAACTAGAAGCTTTCCCTTACTTACATCCAAAGATGAGCCAATTGAACCTTCTCTGTGCATACTTCCTTCACTTTGCTTTCCACATGACAAGATTTCTAAGTCTCTCTCTGAAGTATAAACTGGAATGCATTCACTTCACAAAGAGTGGACTTCTTTTCTTGAAAGCTTCAAACTTGTTCTTATCCTTAGGGTCTTTCTAATTTGTTATTTCCTCTGTCTGGAATACTCTTCCTCCAGAAATTCAAATGTCTTGCTTCTTCCTTTTAGTAAGGTCTCAGCAGATAACACTTTTTCCGCCATCCCCTGTCCTATTTCATTTCATCACAACACATTAGTCCTTTCATCTTTGTGGGGTTTTTTGTGTTTTTTTTGTTGTTGTTTTTTGTTTTTTGTTTTTTTGAGATGGCGTTTCGCTCTTGTTGCCCAGGCTGGAGTGCAGTGGTGCAATCTCAGCTCACTGCAACCTCCGCCTCCCAGGTTCAAGCAATTCTCCTGCCTCAGCCTTCCAAGTAGCTGGGATTACAGGCATGTGCCACCATGCTCGGCTAATTTTGTATTTTTAGTAGAGGCAGGGTTTCTCCATGTTGGTCAGGTTGGTCTCAACTCCCGACCTCAGGTGTTCCGCCTGCCTTGGCCTGCCGAAGTACTTGGATTACAGACATGAGCCACCGCGCCTGGCTGTGTTGTTTTTTTATTGAAAGTCTGCCATACTAGACCTGAAGTTTTATGTTATCAGGGACATTCACTTCCTTTTCCCTACTCTATTTCCAGCAGCTGGGAAAATCCTTGGAACAGATTTACGTACATAATATTTGAAGAAATTTGTGAGTTTTTTGACTGCCTCTCAATGATATTGTAGATACAGTGAATAAAACAGGCATGAATCCTGTCTCCAGATTCTATATTTTCTATAGTCTTGTTTAATTGTGAGCCTAAATAAATCTGAAGTGATTTAAAACTGTCATAGATTGGTTATATTTATTTGCTTTAATATATCTGTCATTCGTCTTCAGGTATATGTCTTATTCCTATGTAAAACAGACATTAACATAATTATTTAATCTATTAGACCTACAAGAATCTTCAAAATTATGATTCAACTCTTCATTTGACTGAAAAACTGACACAGGTTCTTAGAAGTGAAGTGAAATTTTCTCAAATCACATGCTTGATGACAGGGGTGGGTTTTTTTTGTTTGTTTTTTGTGTGTGTTTTTTGTTTTTTGTTTTTTGAGACGGAGTCTTGCTCTGTTGCCCAGGCTGGAGTGCAGGGACGCGATCTCGGTTCACGCCATTCTCCCGCCTCAGCCTCCCGAGTAGCTGGCACTACAGGCGTCTGCTACCACACCCAGCTAATTTTGTTTTTGTATTTTCAGTAGAGATGGGGTTTCACCATGTTAGCCAGGATGGTCTTGATCTCCTGACCTCGTGATCCGCCCGCCTTGGCCTCCCAAAGTGCTGGGATTACAGGCATGAGCCACTGTACCTGGCCAACAGGGCTGGTATTTTAAGCCAGCCTTCTAACTTTAAATTCAGTAATTTTTTGTTGTTGTTGTTAGCTGCTAAATGATGTGAAAATAAAATATTTTAAAATCCTCTTCAGTTGCATAAACTTTTTGCCACTTAGTTTCTCTATAGCAAAGTATCATCTATTTGTTCAGTAAGTTATTGTACATAAATTGGCTTCTGGTGGTTTAAAGGATTTTATTACAACTACCTTTTTCTTTGGTTTGAATTTGTAGTTTTAATTATGAAATGTGTCAAACATACAGAAAAATGTAGAGTCATATAAAAGATTTATGTGTACCCATCACAGAGAATAAATAAGTGTTAACATTTCAGGAAAAAAAGAAAAAGGCATGAACCCTGACCTTCTGTTATTTGTCCTTTTATCATCAAATATTTTAGCATGCGTGGCATATAGTAGGCACTCACAATAAATGTTAAACTATTAAGTATCTGTAACTGGCAGTTACATATGTCTGATTCAAAATGAGAAAATTAATTACCATTCTTTGTATTCACAGATACTTATTTATGAGTGACGTGCAGTTAGTTATACAATCAGCCTCCATAACCATGTGTTCCACATACTTGGGTTTAACCAACCCCCATCAAAAATATTCAAAAAATAAAAAATAATGACATTAAAAATAAAAGGTTTTAGAAATACAGTATAAAAGCTATTTACATAGCATTTACATTGTATTCAGTATTAAAGTTGAGTATCCCTAATCCAAACCAAAATCCAAAATGCTCCAAAATCTGAAACTTTCTGAGCACTAACTGGCACAAGGTAAATGCTCATTGGAGCATTTCAGATTTTAAATGTTAGGATTAGGGATGCTAAATCAGTGAATATAATGCAGATATTCCAAAATCTTTTTTAAAAATCCAAAATCCAAAACACTTATGGTCCCAAGCATTTTAGATAAGGGTTACTCAAGAGTATGAGGGTATGTGCTTACATTATATGCAAATACAGTTGTACCAGTCCTGAGGTGAGTATTCATGGGGAATTGATACCAGGACCCCAGAGGATATCAAAATACACAGATGCTCAAATTCTTTATGTAAAATAGGATAGCGTTTGTATATAATCTGTGCACATCCTCCCAAATATTTTAAATCATCTCTATACTAATAATAATACAATGTAAATGCTGTGTAAATAGTTGTTAGACAAGAAATAAAAAGTCTGTACATGTTTAGACCATCAATTTTTTTCCAAATATTTTCAGTCCCAGGTTGGTTGAATCCACATACATGGAACCCATGGATACAGATCAAATGCTTTATTACACAACACCATTTTACATAGGGGATTTGAGCATCCTCTGGTTCTGGTATTTGTGGGAGGGTCCTGGAACCAATCCCCCACAGATACTGAGGGACAGCTATATGCTTTTCTTTAAAATTCTGAAAAGTCTTGGCTCTAGCTAATGTTAGTTGATTTCTATGAAGGCCATAATTTGTAATTTTGCTGAGGCTCACATTCAGTCAACCCATCCATTTTCTGTATAAGCACTAGTGAAAGTCACTTAGCCAGTTGGCTCTACACCCAAAT
The DNA here is from genome assembly GCF_000001405.40 of Homo sapiens. NCBI lineage: Eukaryota > Metazoa > Chordata > Mammalia > Primates > Hominidae > Homo > Homo sapiens. Next base: position 70,219,843 of record NC_000001.11, read on the forward strand.
CTCAATAACCTTGTGCTCTAATCTCTCACATATTGCATCTTGACTGCATTGTGCCAAGAGGTATTCACTAATGTAGATACTCTGTAAGGCTTCAAGTTTGTTTGTTTGTTTTTACCTCCAAAACATCTAAAACTTTTACCTCTAAAAACATTCAAGGTCAAGTGAATTATTTAGTGAACTGTCTTAAATGCCATTGTCATTAAGGTATATTTGTGCGTGTGTCCAGCACATTCATTGGGACTGACTGTGTGACAGACATTGTGCCAGGTTCTGGACTGACCCAGGAAGCTCACAACTTTGAGTGATACATGTCAATAATAAATACATGTATCTTCTGTTACTTAGCAGAAAAGAGGAAGCCCTAACAGCTTGCAGAAGTCATAGCAGTGAGGGAAGGAATGCTCTACAGAAGATGACAGATAAGATGAGTGATGTTATTAATAACTTGTGTATCGGCACAGAGACATTATGGTTTTTGTCATGTTTGGGGCACTACAAGTCACTGGACTACACACTGGATGCAGTTGAGAGAATAGTTCAGATGAGGTTGAAAACAAAAGCAAGGATTTTTTTAATAGTCAAAAGCTTCAAAATTATTTTAAGCAAGAATATGTATGTGAAACAAGTTTTTCTTGAGAAATTGCAGTATTTTCTTTAGAAATATATACTTGAATATATTTAAGTACTATAAACTGTGTTTCCAAAGTCAGCTATTGTGGAATTGGCTGGGTGCAGTGGCTCACGCGCCTGTAATCCCAGAACTTTGGGAGGCCAAGGCGGGTGGATCACCAGAGGTCAGGAGTTGGAGACCAGCCTGGCCAACATGGTGAAACCCCATGTCTACTAAAAATACAAAACTTAGCCTGGCGTCGTGGCAGGCGCCTGTAATCCCAGCTACTCCCGAGGCCTAGGTAGGAGAATGGCTTGAACAGGGGAAGTGGAGGTTGCAGCGAGCCAAGATGGTGCCACTGCACTCCAGCCTGGGCGACAGGGCGACTCTGTCTCAAAAAAAAAAGTCATCCATTGTGAATGAATGTACAAAACGCTTATTAATAAGTGTAATATTAAAATATATCTTTTCTGAAAGTTTTAGTGACAAAACAAATTAGTTACAGATTTAATGTTACCAAAATTCATGTACATTGAAAATTTCGGGACATTTTATACTGGTGGTGGTGGGGTGGCATCTTAGCTTGGGTTTAAATATCATTAGTAATCGGATAGCTCTGTAGATGATTATCAGTATATAAAGACATCGTGAGCAGTATTTAATAAGAAGAGTTGCTGAAGTGACTTTTGCAGGAGGATGAATGCTTTTTTTAAAAAAAAAGTTTATACGTGCCTCTTCGCTCTTCCAAAAAAAAAAGAGAGAAGAAAAAGAAGAATAAAACGAGAGACGAAGGTGGATAACACCTTTCTCTAGACCCCGGTGCCTCTCATTTCTCGGGCTGCAGGCGACGGCTGCTGGGCCTGCGCGGGGTGGAGCCGACGCTGACGCGCCCTGCGCCGCAAAGCATTGTGGGAGCTCGGGCCCGCTAGTGTCGTGGTTGGAGGCGAGGTGGGGCGGCCGTTTGTTTTCTCGTGGTCTCGAGCTCGCGCGCTCTCATCCCCTCCCCCGCGGCGTGCGGCGGGGCGGAGAAACGGCGGCGGCGGCGGCGGCATCGGCAGCAGTAGCAGAGGCTGTAGCATCGGACACCCTCCTCTCTCCCGCAATCCGGTTCCTCTTCCCCCTCCTTCTCACTGTTTGTTGTGTGTTTGATGTGTTAAAGCAGGAGCGAGAACCCGAGCAGCGCCATGAGCAACACTACCGTCGTCCCCAGCACTGCAGGTCCGGGCCCCAGCGGCGGGCCCGGTGGCGGAGGTGGTGGTGGCGGCGGAGGCGGCGGCACCGAGGTAATCCAGGTGACTAATGTCTCCCCGAGCGCTAGCTCTGAGCAGATGCGGACTCTCTTCGGTTTCCTAGGCAAGATCGACGAACTGCGCCTCTTCCCGCCGGAGTGAGTATCGTCCACCATCACTGTTCCTGCTAACGCCGCCTCAGCCTGGGCCTAACACACACAATTTCCTTAGGCCCCTGTCGCTGCTTCCCCGGGCCAGGCTGCTTGAGTGGCTGGTGGCTGGTGGATTTACTTAAGACGGTTGTGTTCCAGGCCTACAAAAAAATGCAGAGAGGCAGGGCCAGGGCTTTTTGGAATTAGGAAACACTGGCTGTTATTCTCGGGAAATTTTTTTTTTCCGCCTTAAATTGTGCCAACGTGGTCGTTTGGCTTTGGGGACTTAACGCAAGACTAACCGCAGTCTGTACGTCGTATATAGGTTAAATCCCTTTTTTAAAAAACTGAGTATTTGTTCTTTGCGTTCTTGGAAGAAAGGTAACAAAATTATTCATGCCTGTGTTAATTTGGTGTTAAACTTTGTAGGTTGTTCACTTATTGTTATTGCTGTTATGTGGTTCTGGCCCAGCAATATAATTCAAAGATCATATTCTTTTTGACAGACGCTTAGTTTAGTGTGAGCCTGATTACTTAATTTGTATAATGTCAAAAAACGGGTTATAAACCAGAGATTTTCCTTTGTTTGAATAATATACAGATTTGTGATATTTCACAGTTGTTCTTGAGAAGGATTTTTATAAATGTTGAAATTTGAATTAGAGTGTATGACTTTTTATCCTTTTTGTCTCACTTTTATTTTGAAAATTATTTCTATCGCAAGAATATTAAGTGGATGAATTGTAAAGAAAAAATAGTTCAAAGAAGCTAAGAAGTAAGATAAAGTGTACTACTAAAACAGACAATTGGAATAATAATAATAGTCTTGTGCTTTTTGGAAGACTTATTGGTGGAGAAGTGACAATTCAAATGTCATTATCAGTAAATATCATATATTGAGAATTTTATGATGTCACTTAAATACTAAACAGGAAATTGGAATCCTCTAAGAATCTACTGTTATGGTACGTGTAACCATTAACTTTCTGCTCAATAAAATAATTGACAAAAGTTTATCATAATGAGATATTTGTTAAGTATTAGCATATTTCATCACTTTCCACTTAAAATACTTTCACAAGATTATTGGTGTTTTCAAATTGGTATGTTTCTAATTTTTAGGGAAATGTACATGTGGAGAGAGGATTTACTTAGTTTGCATGACGTGGAGTTCTGGGAACAAACACGTAAATCTTTATTCCTGTTATTTTGACAGATACTTGATTTGGTAATGAAAGACAAATAGCTTTCATAACATGAACATACAAAAATAGATGCTTTGCTGTTGTTCAGTTTTCTCAAGACTTACTGTTTTAAGCTTGTAAAATTAATGAACAGTAAAATAGCAGAAAATAGTGATACATTGGATGATTTTAATAGTTTTATTAGTGAGATATTTGAGGTATTCGAATTACTACAATTCTTTCCAATCCTACAAGTTAAAAATTTTGTTATGGTTGCTGACTTTTAAATGCTGTTTATTCTCTGAAGGCAGTTTTATGATGCATTTAGAAAAAAGGTAAGAGAGATGTAGGCATTATACTGGTTCATCTTTTACCTAATGCATGACCAGTATACTAGAGGAAGTTGTGATGGACCAGAGTCTTTTTGTTTTGTAATCAAATGAATAGTTCCTTCATAACCAGGACAGCTAGTGTGTGCTTGAGAATGTCTCCCTCAACTATATGATCTGGGATATTCTGCATTAAAAGGACTCCCTTCCCAGTATTGGGAGAAAGAGAGATAAATTGACACATTTTTACTCTGACTCCTTCATTTATCTTCCCACATACAAGATCATTTTGTCTTTTAAAATGTACAAGGTTACAATAAGTTAAATGTTATTAGTGGCCTTCTACATTTGATCAGTAATGTAGATGGCTACTTTTATTTACTTGATGTTGCATTTTGTTTTTTTAACTATAAGTTTCAATACACTAATCTGACTGGCACAAGTTGCATATAGTTCCCAGTGGTCCACAGGGTTCATCATTCCAAAAATATTTATTCATAACATTGAATGGCTCAGATTACATAAAATTCTATCTGTTGTGAACAGGTCACCTGATTGTAACTATTATCTACACAGTTGGCCTTCTTCATCTCTGGGTTCCACATCCATGGATTCAGCCCACTGTGAATTGAAAATATAAGGAGAGAACGTCTGTACTGAACATGTACAGACTTTTTTCTTGTCATTCCCTAAACAGTACAGTATAGCAACTATTTACATTGTATTAGGTATTATAAGTAATCACGAGATTTAAAGTATGCAAGAGGATGTGCACAGGTAATATGCCATGATTTTATTTTTCCTCCACCTCTTCCCCCTCCCTGCATCATGTTATATAAGAGACTTGAGCATCTGTGGATTTTGTTATCTGCAGGGAGTCCTGAAACCATGGATACTGAGGGAAAACTATATGATTTCCCCCAAGAAGGCAGTGACATGCACCTGTAACTCTTTTTCCCCTAGACATATCTGTGACATGCTTAACTACTTTTATTTTTCCGATGTCACCTTAATCAGAGAAAACTTCCCAGACCACCCTATGTAAAATAAAGCACCTCTGCTGCTGCTTTATTCTCCTTAACACTACTTTTTTTCTATAGCACCTGTCACCAGTTGACAGGTTAAGTTTAACAACTTCTCTCCTGTAGAATATGAGGTGCTTTAAAATACATGTATGACTGAACCTCACCCACACCTACTGAAGCTCTTCATTTCGGTTCTGAATGCCTATTTTGGGGAAACATTTCTGGGATTATGACAGACATTTCAATGACAACCTGCTCTAGGAGGTTTCCTGCATTGTCATTGTTAAGTCCATCTATTTATTCCTTCTTTTAAACCAGAATTTCTGGCCTGTAATTTTACTGAGAAATAGAAATACTATCTTTACAATAGGTGATATTCTAACTGTCTCTACAGCATGATGGCTTTGCAGGTATTTGAAAGTTGAACCCCACATATACTCTTTGTTAAACTGTTATTTTGATTCTGGTTGTTTCTGAAATGCGTACTGGAAATGCAGCATTGTTTGAATATCTATTGTGTGTGAGTTGCTTTCTAAATGTACCTTAATCCTTACAAACCTGGAGGAAAAAAATGTTTTTGACCCTGTTTTACAAGTTCGTGAACTGAAATTTACATAGGTATTTTTTGTATGCCCAAGCCATACTGCCAATGTCAGAACTAGAACTTGAACCCAAGTTGTGACTCTCCTTTACCACTTGATCAGGAGTTTGCTGATTTAGCCAAGTAACTTGTAAGATCTTCACATGCTTTCTTTTAGTGGGATTGCCCAGCAAAGTGCTTATCAGGTGATGATCCCAGTGAAGTATGTCACAGTTATGCAGTAACTTAAGGCTGCTGTAATACGGAGATACATTGAAGTTCATTAGTAACTTTTCAGTGACCCAAAATGGATACTTTAATGGTTATATAAGTATAAATTAGTATATTAGGTAAGGGAAAGAGTTTAGTGCACCTTTAAAGAAAAAATGGTTTTAATTGATGCACCATTTTATTGTATATTTCTTTACATAGTGAGAAGGGGGCACATGAGGTCAGCAGTCAAGTTTTCAGGTTAATGTCGTCTTTGTCACACACCTCCTTTTGTGGGTTGGCGATACTTTTATTTATGAGCTCGAAATTCTCCACTTAGCACACTATTAAGGTGGAAATTGGAAGGCTGATATCAGTGGCCTAAACCTGAAGTTCTCGTACGTTAGTAGGCATGAATACCTTGTTAAGAATCTGGGCCTTCATGTAAAAAAGATTCTCTACAGACCCTTAGGTGAACAACGGAAATCTCAGGTTTTCTCTCTGTAGTCTAGAAGATTCTGAAATAGCCCTCAGAGGACACGTAAGAACTGTTAAAAACTACACCACCGCTCTTAGTTGGAGGACAGAAGTGGCATGCAGGACTCACTTTACCCTATCTTGTTCCTCATTTCTCCCTACTTTATATTAATTCTAAAGAGATACGGAGTAAAATATGTGTCGTATTTGGAAGCAGTACTTCCACAGAATTTTAGAGCACAAAAATTAATTTCAGGCATCAGTCCTCTATCTTATATTAACATATTATCTTATTAAGATAAATTTTATTAGGAGGCTGAGGCGGGTGGATCACCTGAGGTCAGGAGTTCAAGACCAGCCTGACTAACATGGTGAAACCCCATCTCTGCTAAAAATAGAAAAATTAGCCGGACGTGGTGGCGTGTGCGTGTAATCCCAGCTACTTGGGAGGCTGAGGCAGGAGAATCGCTTGAACCTGGGAGGTGGAGGTTGCGGTGAGCCGAGATCGTGCCATTGCGCTCCAGCCTGAGCAACAAGAGTGAAACTCCATCTCAAAAAAAAAAAAATTTTAATCGAAAAAATGTTAAGAATGTAATTGTGGGCCCAGATACCATCAAAAACTTGTTTTAAACCCATCTAAAGGAGGCCATTTGAAGTGGAGAGAGATGAAATTATATTTCTTATTCACAGTATTCAAATTCATATTTAATCTGTACCCTACCATCACTTAACAGGTTTTGATATAGCCAAAATAATTGGAGCATTCCTATGCCATTAATGAGTAGGAAAAAAAATATGAGTCACTTTAAGGTTGCCAAGTATAAAGAATACAATTTGAGCACGGGGGCAGTACTTTTTTTCCTAAAGAACTATTTATTAAAAATATCATATTTGGGAGTCATTTCTTTTAATAAGATAACAATAAAAAGTGTTAAAAGAATTGGTAGAGGTCAGTTTTAAGAAGTGTTAAGTGCTTGCTATTTCCCAGGGCATTGTGTTGGGTGTTAATAATATAAGATGATAGCATTAAAAGAGCTTTGTAATTTATTGATGGAAACATGGATGTCAGCAAAGAAATGTGAAGTGCCATAGCTTACTAAACCTGCTAAAGTACTTGACAGTGAGGCACACCTGCAGCCCCATCTATTGGGGAAGCTGGAGTGGGAGGCTGGGTAACATAGTAAGACCCCTCCCATTTCTTTAAGGAGAAATTGCTTAAACATTCTTTTTACTACTGCGGGTGCAACATTGTTAAATTTTATAGCAGCAGTGTTTCACATCTAAAAACCACTGTATTCTTTAAGAAACATTCAACAGTAAGCCTGTATAACAAGGTGGCTTAACTTGCTTGTGGATATCCTGTTAATTTTGCTTTGAACTTGGGTTAGGGTCTGTGTTTAGCCTGAGAGGTCCTTGTAGGGAAGCTTGTATCAGAAGTTCTAATGGGTTTGAGTTCTCAGGCCATATATAGCATCATGTTAGTGTTTGAGTTGTGATAAAAATTATGGGGTTTTTTGTTAGGCCTAAATTAAAAGAAATTATTTTTCTTTTCAACAATGAATCTGAAATTCTTAGTATAACCAAATCTGATGCATTTACAATTTTATGTACACATTGGTGTGTTTCATTTTTTAGAAACTGTGAAGCCTCATTCAGATAGTATTAAAATACAGGATTTTCCTTTTCATTAATGAGTCCTATGATGTAAGTGTTATATTGATGTTAAAATGAAGTAGTTTTGTACCCTGGGTGCATAAAATTGTCAGAGAGAATTAAAGGAGAAAGAACTCAAACTTCATCAGAGATCTTGATTTAATTCATGTGAAGAGTGTGGATTACCCCCAACCCCCAACCCCATGACTCTAATACACATTAGAGTGTATTAACTAGGGATGGTGTGTTTATTTCTGCCTTAGGGCACTAGCTTTCCAAATAACTTTTGGTATGGGCTTGAGCCATCCCTGTATTCATGCACAGAGTTTCAAGGCAGAAATTTGAGCTACCCTGTAACTTAACAGTTGAAAAAAACCCTGCTTCCTGTGTTATCTGTCTTACTTACACTGCCATAGCTTGCAGTTTAGCACTTGTCTTTCTTTTACCTAAGGAAGTAATTTGTTGAGGGAACTAGCCCTTTTGCTTATTGAAACTTTGCAGGGTGGCACTAGTGGAACGTAGTACTACTCCCATGTGTGCCTACATTTTTTCTTTTATCTGAAAGTGCTCCAAGCCAGAAATCCTTGATTATTTACAGTGCATAAGAGTTCTTACATGCTGTGGGTAAAAGAGTGCAGGGCATGGAACCTGTTTATTTTATGCAGTTCAAGAAAACTCATTGATTATTGAGTACATGTTCGTTCTCATGATATTCATTTGTCCCTGATATAAAAATTGTTCATCTTTCTTACTCTGAGAAAGCCATTAGGAAGTTTCTAAGCCCCAAACTACTGTTACCTGTATCTAAAAATAGCTGGTATTGGTATTATAAAGAAACTGTTGACAATTTTGTGGTCCCCTCAGTCTCTGAGACTTCAGTACCAAATTGTTTTTAACCTGATACACTGTAAATATAAGTTATGATTATAAGTTTTTATCTGAACTGCAATTCACTACATTATTTCAGTGAACAGTATATGATTGAGAATGTTTTCTTTTGAATTTAACTACATTAGTATACAGTTAGGTTTTTTTAATCTGTTTTACTTTTGAAATGTGTTGGTTTGTGAATTAGCATTTGTTTTAACTGCTATTCTGTTTCTCTTTTATGTTATTTGTTTATTTTTTAGTGATTCGCCTTTGCCAGTCTCATCTCGTGTCTGCTTTGTTAAGTTCCATGATCCAGACTCAGCAGTTGTGGCACAGCATCTGACAAACACTGTATTCGTTGACAGAGCTTTGATAGTCGTACCATATGCAGAAGGTTTGTGCTTTGTTTAACTACCTATGTGGGCATCCTAAGATGACCATCTACCTCAGTAGATGTAGAGTGAGCATTAGTAGCATGTTAAATCTAAGCTATTAACATTTTTAAACCCTTGTTATACTGCAGTCCGTAATTTTTGCTTGCAGATTTTTTTTAATTCTAAAAATTAGAAATTAGGTCTGTTATTATAAGGTATTTACCTTTTGTTTTCTTTTAAAACATTTTTAAGTTGTTTAAAACCATGTCCCTTATTGTAACTCCCTGAGATACATCTACTTAGTTAATTTAATGTTAAGTTTTATGAAAAAGCCCTGAAGGTAAATGATTCACTCCATGTATGCTTACAGAGCCTTCAAATAAATGCATGATGTTATTTCTGTTTTAAATAAATGAGTAGGTTGATTTTATTTTCTTAAAGCTTCCTCACATTGATAATCTGGAAAAAAAAAAAACACATTGAATTTCAGTATACCAAGGGTTGCAGTGATTTTGGTTTTCGTGAAAGTTCAAGATTTCCTGTAGCTTAGGTGCCAAATGGGCACTGGGTGTTTTATTTTATGCCAGATTTTCTTGTTCATTCTTGCTATATTTCTAGAATATCTCTAAATAATAAATTCTTCTCTCTGTTATTTGTGTGTGTGATTTTTATAGTGGAGAAGGCAAATGCAAAACCCTTCCAGATGCCTGAAAAACAGTGGGTCCTCTGCAGCTACAGGGGATTCTAGACATTAACTAAAGGCCAGCAAGCACTCAAGTGCCCCAAGTGTTTTCCTGGTGTAACCATTTGTTAACTACATTTTCTCTCTTTTTACATTTTAGGCTGTTAAAGTAATTTGACAGAAAAAAATGAGCAGGTTTTTTGGATCTAAAAAGCCACTGTGACAAGAAATTTTAATACCATTTTGTAAAATTTTCTAAGGCGTATTTTATAATTAGTTTGTTCCCAATGTACTGCTACTTGATTTGCATTTTGGTAACTATAAATTTTACTCGAATCACTGAAATATGATAAAACTGCTGGATTTTAAGTTAATAATTTAATATGCTGACCAGGATTTAAATGCTTTCCCCTTTCCTTAATAAACTGGTCAGTGGAAGTGGAATCTTAATATTGTTCATTTTAGATGCTATCTGAAATCTTTGAAAACAAATGTGAGCATTTACACCATACCTTGTAAAAGTTGTGAAATGTCTAGTCCTTAACAGAGAAGTTGCCTCTGGTTTTCTAAAGAAATTAACTTATATTTATAAATGGGTTAAGACATGTTATGTAATAGTACCTCTGTCTCCATGATATTAAAGTGTATGAGCCCAGTTTTAAGGTTTTGTAATGTATAGATAGATAAATTTTTGAGTTAGTGTGTTTTGGTTAAGCAATTTCTTTTATGTCAGTGTGCCTGTTGTAGGATAAGACCATCAACAGAAAATTTACAGAATTCAAATTCAGGATGAATAAAATAGAGTATAGGTCTTGGAACAAGGGTCAAATCATGTGAGTAATATGTAAAACATTTTGGTTAGCCTGTAAATTTAAATTTTTTATTGGCTAAGTATTATAGTTCCCAATCCCTGAACATAATACAGTATATCATATAAATGACTTTCATAAATATTTTCAGGCCATAGTAATTTTTCTAGACCTATTTTTGGAAGTGAAGTATTTAGGAATATACAGTATATAGAATTAGGGGAATATTTCATTCAGAATTCTATTGTTGGTGAATTTAATTCTGGTATGATATGCTGTATTAATGTTACCTCCAGTAAATACAATTCCCTCCAGATTTAGCTATTACACTTCGGTGTTAGCTCTTGGTCAGTGTTTTAGAACAGTAGACATAGTCTACGGTAAGGAATAGTCTTAATTGGTAAAACTAAGATAGCTGAATTTGGAAGGAACTCTTAATAGTAATGGATTTGGGGATTTTTTAGGTTCCTTGGTTAATGTTTGTTTCTTTTGTCTGTTTCTTTTTCTTTCATTTCTACACATTCATGCAGTATTTCATGGTTCTATCAAAGCAGCAGTAAAAAAAATACTCTTGACGCATGAAAATTAACTGGTGAGGGGCCTCATTGCTATTTTTAAATTGTAGTTTTATTTTTAAATAGTCTTTTTTTAATCAGAGGATCAGATGCATGACTTTTTTTTTTTTAATGGATGCAGATCTTCTATCAGGTGTCTCACAATAAATTCAAGAGGATTTTAGTTTGCCAGAAATGTTGCAAATGCACTAATTTGAGTAAGATGTTGATACTGAATATATCCTCTTGAGACATAATTTTGCATGCAAAATTATCCCATAATCTTTGTAGGTTTGTTAATATTGATGCATTACTGCCCTATATCTAAATGATCTTCTCCCCCTTCCCCTCCATAACTCTTGGTATCTAAATTGATGACAGCTCTGACACAAGCAAGATAACAGTGCTGTGTAGTATACATTTGTTTATATTATCGGCACTTCTCAGTATAGGTGGAAGGAACCATTACCTTTATTTAACAGTGGTTTTTCTTTTTTGTTGTTGTGTTTTACAGTTCTTTTCCCTGGTTCAGCCTGAACTATATACCAGGCCCTGCTGAAAATACCACCCAACAGTTTTCTTCTGCAGCTTATCCAGTTTCTCTTAAGTGCCCTGTACATATTGTATGTTTTATGATGAGATGCAGTTTCTTAATATGTATTACAGAAATACTACTGGTATTTGCAAATATGTAGTTTAATTGTATTATTGAACTCTCATTTTGGGGGCTTGGGCACATTAACAGATTAATCCATCTGTATAGGGCTTTTGCTGTTGGATAGAATTTAAATTGTCTACATAAATATTTGTTTTAGGACCCTTAGATTTTATCTGAATACACAGATTAGGCTTTAAAAACAGATATATATGTCATTTTTGGCTTAAGGAGTTTGGCTAAGTTAGCTTTTCAACTGGCACTGTATGGCAGCATTTTTTGGTATGGTTAGCATGGCACATGGCGAAACATAAAGCATTTTACTGTACAGGTAAGGAATGTGCCATGTTGTTTTACCTATCTCTCTTTCTCTCTCACTCCCATGCACACATCCTGTGTGTATTCAGAGACCTTCAGAAACATTCATATTCATTTTCATGAGTCAGCAAAAGCCCTACGCTTGATTCCAACAGAATATTTCCTTTACATACTTTCTTCTCTTAATTTTTACAAAATTTGTATGGTAGGTGTAAAAGAAAATCATAGTAACTGTACCATATTATTAACCCCTAAATCAAACTTTTTTTGTCTTGTGTATCTTGATTTTTCTGTGTGCTTTATAGTGAAGCAGCCGACACGAGTCGTTGTTCATAAAACAGCTTTTGAAAGTTGAGAGCACACCCCTGGAGAACCGACTGTGCTTGCTTACGTTTGGTTCATGACTTAAAAATCGAGTACAGGTGATGAAATCTTGGCAGTGTTAACAAAAAAGTAGTGTGTATTGTGCTATTTTTTTTTACTCTAGAAACTTAACCATTTGTAGAGAAAAAGGAAACAAATTTTCACACATTGAAGTTCATTCTGACATAAAATTAATGATAAATAATCATAGAAATCAAGCTTTGTATTTTAGCGAACATAAGTACTTTCAACAAACTCAGGTGGTGTATCAGGGAGACATTTTCTGGGTGTTTTTGTGTGTTTTCTGTCTTAGAAAAGAATGTGTTCTAATGCAAGGATGTTTCTCTGCAGGAGTTATTCCTGATGAAGCTAAAGCTTTGTCTCTGTTGGCACCAGCTAATGCAGTGGCAGGTCTTCTGCCTGGTGGTGGACTCCTGCCTACTCCTAACCCACTTACCCAGGTACTAGTTCTATTGAATTCTTAAAGGGTGGGGAAAAAAACAGAATTGTGCATAAAGCTAAACATATTTGAACTTTGTAAGTACTCATAAGATTCTAGTTCAGATAGCATTATCACATGTCTATATCAAAATCACAAATAGTATAGAAGATCTCTTAGACTTTTGTATTTTAAGAACATTCTGAAAAATCATAAAATATCTGTTCTGTCACTTTTACCATTGGCTCTCAAAATAACCCATGAGTAGTTTTGGAACAGTCTCCTGAGGCATGAACACTTCTCTGAACACACTGTTAAAAATATATTCATTTGGACCAGGAAAGAAAACTGAAGTTAAAATTTCACAAGTGAGCCCTTCATTTTTTTTTCCTTCCCCTTTATCTTTTCCTGTTATTTGGGGGGTTTTGAATTACATAGGTGGCTTGAAAACAAAGGCAATTCTTGATGGAGATGTTTGATATGGGAATGTGAAAGAAAATTGGTTGCAATAGTGTTTCTAACACTGACAGTGCTGTACGAAGCTTATTTTAGAACTAAAAGGCACTTTAAATACTGTGTATTCTAATTACTGAGATTGTAACTGGTCAGTAGTTTCAAAGATTGTAGTGAATGAGCCTCAACTGGAAATTTATAAAAGCATTCTTTCTAGTGTATCATTTTGCCTGTCTAAATAATTGACTAATTGACTCTTAACTGTGAAGTGCACTATAGAATGAAAGATTAGGAGTTCCTAAGCTTTTTAGGTGTGACTTTTATCACTTAACTCCTAGGTTATTTCTTTTAACCTATAAAATGAGGATCTGAGTAATTTTCTTTATTCTTTGTTCTGTTTTGTTTTGTTTTTTTTTGTTTGTTTTTTGTTTTGTTTGTTTTTGTTTTTTTGAGATGGACAGAGTCTCGCCCTGTCACCCAGGCCGGAGTGCAATAGCACAGTCTCGGCTCACCGCAGTCTCCACCTCCCTGGTTCAAGCGATTCTGCCCCAGCCTCCCGAATAGCTAGGACTACAGGCATGCCACCATGCCTGACTAATTTTTGTATTTTTAGTAGGGATGGGGTTTCACCATGTTGGCCAGGCTGGTCTTGAACTCTTGGCCTCAAGTGATCTGCCCACCTTGGCCTCCCAAAGTGCTGGGATTACAGGCGTGAGCCACCGCGCCCAGTCCAGATCTGGGTAATTTTCTAAATTCCTTTAATGTATAAAGCTATGCAATAGCTATGTTGGACAGTAAGTTAAAATAGTATTAACACAGCATTTTGCCTGTTACGAATAAACAGTTAAATTATAGAAAGTTTGATAGTTTGTGTTTACTAAATAAATTGAAACAAGGAGAACTTGTAGCACAGGTGGAGAAAGTGAGGCTGTTTCAAAAGCTACAGATGGTTTTAAAGTAGCCTCACTTTCATGGTTTGTGTCTATTACATTATGGATTAATCAGAATTGGTGTCAAGCAGGTGGCAGAACCCTGCAGTGATTTGAACAGGGAACATTTAAGGAATTACTAACTAGTTATAGGAGATTACTAGGGGAACTCTAATGAATACAGGAATCACAAGTATAAGAAACAACCACTACCTCTGAGGCTGAAGCAGAAGGAACACCCATTTAGTTCAGGGGACTCCTCTTTCCCCATCTATGCTGAAACTTAGATTTGTTTTTGGAAGGGTGACTAGTAAATAAGTTCTCTTGGGTGCCCTGGGGAGCTGCATAAGGAGTTGGTATTAAAACTTACTGAGAGGCGAGGGCTACTGGGTGTTTGACATGGTGCTGCAGGAATAATCAGAAAGGGGACACAGCAACCAGGAAGAGCCCCTTTCTTAGTCAGTGTCCTTCCAGCACTCTTTCCAAATGAAGTCTTATATCATGGCAACTGTCAAAGGAGAAATGCTTTGTAAAGGTCCTGCCTCCGGTAGCACAAAACAGCAGGGCAAAGAATAGTAGATTTGGATCCTGAGAAGCAATAAATAATTAAAATCAGCACAAGAATATGTTGAAATATTTTGTCTTTTTTTCTTAATCTAGGATTTAGGGGGGAAATGTGTTGTAATGGGTGGAACATGGGTGTCATATAGAGCAAGACTCCTATTTCTGTTAATAGATTGTTATTGGACCACAGCCATTTGTTTAGGTATCGTCTCTGGCTGCTTTCAAGCTATGATGGCAGTAGTTATATGGTTTGTGTACAACTGAGGAGTTGTACGGAGACCATGTAGCCTGAAAACTCAAGTTGTTATCTGACCCTTTACATTAAAAAAGTATTAACCCCTGGTATAAGGAACTGAAATGAAGTTTTAAATAAATAAAATTTGCCATTTCACAGATTGGCGCTGTTCCACTGGCTGCTTTGGGGGCTCCTACTCTTGATCCTGCCCTTGCTGCACTTGGGCTTCCTGGAGCAAACTTGAACTCTCAGGTATACCTTAGTAACTTCAAATTTTTCACCCATTTTTACAGAAGATCTGTTTCATTAACTGTTGGTTTGCATTTCAAGAGCAGAAGCTAATGGCTATGTTGTAGTAATTTTTTTTCTTGTTTAAACTTGTCAGAGCTTTAAACAGTCACTGAATGACTAACTCCTTTATCCATTAATGGATTTCTTTTATATAGTTCAAAATAGAAAATAGATTCACAAGAAGCCAGTACATTATCAGTGTGTCATAGAGTCAGAGTAAATAGTCATGAAAAGATAAGAATGTGGTTTATAATTTTTCTATCATGGAAATTTTTCTTTTATTTTAATTTAGCTAACCTTTTTTTCTGAAGTTCTTTGTAGAGGTCTTTTGCATTATATTGGCTAAGGTGTTTTGAGTTTTACATGTTTCTTTATGTCAAAAAGTCTTAAAGGAGACATAATTCTATAATACCTAGACTGTTCAGCCTCATAATCTTTAGATAACTTGCTAAAGCTGCTCTATCCAATACTGTAGCTACTGATGTCACCGGTTTTTGTTTTGTTTTGTTTTGTTTTTTGTTTTTGTTTTTTCTTTTTTAATGTGGCTACTAAAAAATTTATGTTTCATGGCATGTAGTCTGCATGGATTTCTGTTGTTCAGTTTTCTGCCTAGAAAATATCGGTCATTTATTGTTTTATGTATTCTCATTATTCTTATGTTTTATTTTTACAGTCTCTTGCTGCAGATCAGTTGCTGAAGCTTATGAGTACTGTTGATCCCAAGTAAGCGTTTTTTCTTTGTTTTCATTGGTGATGTGGTATCTGAATGTCTACAGAATTAGAGTTTTTTTGATAGCTTATAAGAAAGTTATCAAGTTATCTTTTCTCAAGACAAGCAATATGTATTGTTACCTAGAAACAAGGAGAGAAATACAGAAGTAAGTAAGGTCCTCTAAACTATTTTGTTTCAGTGTCATTTGAGTCTTGAATAGTAATTGTAAATGACTTATACCTGGATGATAGCAAAAGAGCTAATAAGGGACAACTTCGTTTGAAGATCAGAGGCTGAGTCCTGAGGATAGTAGGAGTTAGAGGCAAAGCTGAGGGAATCACTATCCCAGAGCAAAGTAGTATTACATATTATATAATTAATAGCCAACATTTTATTTTAGGTGCTTTTGATAAGTGCTCTTCATGCTGTCACAGAAATTGTTTCCGACTTGATGATGTGACAGATTCATCAGTTTTTTTCACTGGTTATTTGTTGGCATAATAAATTTGAACTTTATACCTTTTCCCCTTAACTTGGTGAAAGTCACTATCAGTAAGTGAGAGAGCATGAAAAGGACAGAATCGTTGGACTTCAGTAGTTAGTGGACTTTTTTCTTAGAAATTATCTAAAAATAAAACCAAGCATGTACCCATCACCCAGCTTATAAAATAAAATAATACCAATACAGTTGAAGCTTCCTATATACCCATTATTTATTACATTTCCTGTTCTGCCCACAAATAACTACTAAATTTGTTGTCTATAATTTTTTTTTCTTTCTTCTTTCTTTTTCTTTTTTTTTTTTTTTTTGAGACGAGTCTCACTCTGTTGCCCAACCTGGAGTGCAGTGGCGCAAACTCAGCTCACTGCAACCTCCGCCTCCCAGATTCAAGCAATTCTTTTGCCTTAGCCTCCCAAGTAGCTGGGACTATGGGCACAAGCCACCACATCCGGCTAATTTTTTGTACTTTTAGTAGAGACGGGGTTTCACCGTGTTAGCCAGGATGGCCTCAATCTCCTGACCTCATGATCCACCCGCCAAGGCTTCCCAAAGTGCTGGGCTTACAGGCATGAGCCACCATGCCCGGCCTACAATTTTTTTTTTACATGTGTAAACCTGTAAGGGGCATCTTTAGCCTTTCCACTCAAGACTTCATGTGTAATTTTGGTAGGCCTTTGGCCTCTGCCTCAGTTCCTCCCCACCTACAAAGTAAAAGGTAATGCTCTTCCCCAAAAAATTACTATGTCATAAATTTTTTTTTTTTTTTTTTTTTTTTTTTTTGAGACGAAATCTCACTCTGTCGCCCAGGCTGGAGTGCAGTGGCGCGATGTCTGCCTCCCGGGTTCAAGCAATTCTGCTGTCTCAGCCTCCCGAATAGCTGGGACTACAGGCGCCTGCCACCATGCCTGGCTAGTTTTTTGTATTTTGAGTAGAGATGGGATTTCACCGTGTTAGCCAGTATGATCTCGATCTCCTGACCTCGTGATCCACCTGCCTTGGCCTCCCAAGGGGCTGGGATTACAGGCGTGAGCCACCACACCGGCCCAAAAATTTTTAATTTATATGAATAAAAGTTCTTAGCATCAGCATATTTTCTTGTACTGGCATTTCTAAAAATGTGTTTGTTTATGGAAAGTTAATGGATGTTCAGCAAAATAGGTATTTTTCTAATTCCAGATGACTCTTAGTCATTAAAACAAATACTTGTAAATATTCAAAACAGTGCTATGCTATATGTTGTTTACCAAAGTTATCATGGAGTCCTCCCCTCCCTTTTTTTGAAGGAATATTTTGCTAAAATAATGTTATATACTTAAGTATTTATTTGAAATGCTCGTGTGCATTTTAAAATATTTCAGATCCCATTTCTTGGTTCTGTTTCAGGTTGAATCATGTAGCTGCTGGTCTCGTTTCACCAAGTCTGAAATCGGATACCTCTAGTAAAGAAATAGAGGAAGCTATGAAAAGAGTACGAGAAGCACAGTCCCTAATTTCTGCTGCTATAGAACCAGGTAAACAATGTTTATGCAATTTTGTTGTGTGATTCTTAGCAAAAATGATTTTGACATAAATGTGGAATTGTGTTGAGTGACACCCTAGTCGTTTAAAATGTTGTAAACTCTGATAAAAGATTGTATAGTGGAGTGCCACTCAGACGTATTTGGAGACAATTCTGGTGGTCACAGGAGTACCAACTGCATCTAGAGGGCAAAGGACCAACATGTTGCTAGATATCCTGCAACAAACAGCACAGCCTTCCACAGCAGTGGTTAATCTAGTCCAAAATGTCAGTAGGATTATCTAATACTTGAAACGATATTTTGTTTTTCTTATTATTTATGTTTTTCTAAGTTGGGATAGCCTAATTTTAATTTTTTTCATTGATCAAGAGAACCTAGTGAAAATGCTTCTGTTTAAAATGATATTTCTTTAAAGAAAATTAGTTGTCTTCTTTGCAGATTGTCTTTTTGAGAGTAAATGAATAGATATCATATTATCTGCCCATATATATTTAGATCTATGGCCCTGGATTTTCTTTCTTATAAATATCTTGTTCATTAATAAATGGGAATGTTTTTTAATGTGCCTATTGTTAGGAAAATAATTTTAAAGTATAATAGTGGATAAACTGATACCAAATGCTTTATATGTATTATGTTATTTAACCAGGAAAATGTCAAATAATTAGCCACAGTTACATGGCAAGCAGTAGGAACTTTTAGATAGCACAGCCGGGTGTATGTAAAGTTTATGACACACCGTGTTCTAACTGCTGTTTATATTGAAAATATATGATTAAAGTGACTGAATGTAGTTTCTTTATGAACTGATGTTTTTACCAATATTTTTATGAATTTATTATAATGACATTCACAATAAATTGAACCCTATTAATGAAATGACTTAAATGTAAAAGAAACTCAATCTCACTTTGATGATAGTCAGTGAATGTAGAATACAATGACTTTATTTCTCTTGTTATGTCCCCAGTTAAGGAATTTCTTATGTGTAGTTCTAGATTTCCTTTCTATATTTACACAATTGAAAATTGGTAGGGAAGAGGAGTGATGAGCAGATAATAGGAAGCGAGCTAGCTTACTAAAATCTGATTCTGTCACAGAAGTGGACTAAAATCAGTGAGTGAATCATGACTTTCTGCATTTGGGGGCCAAATATTGAGTCTGTGAAGAATCAAGGAAAGGAAAGGGGACCCCTCATTTAGAACCTTGTCAAGAGTAAATCAGAGCCAGAGAATGAGAAATTTACCCTCTTTATAGACTGCTTTACAGAAAACACTTCACAGCCTCTTAAGTCTGGCAAGTAAAATAGGCAAAGGAACCTTTAGCTAGCTGAGAATTAGAAGTCTAATTTGGATCTACCAAAAGCTTGGATGATTTGCAATTTATAGTATTTCAGTAAGCTTCAAAATCGTGATTATAAAATGGTTACTTGTGACATTCAAGGGTTGTATGTAAAAGCTGAAAACTAAGGTGAAAAATTATTAGAATAACTTCTGAAAGGGAATAATCTTCCTATTTGATGTGTTTTTTTGTTTGCTTGTTTTTGTTTTTGAGGGGTCTCACTCTGTTGCCGAGGCTGGAGTGCAGTGGTGCAATCACAGCTCACTGCACCGTCCATCTCCAGGCTCAAGCAATCCTCCCAGCTCAGCCTCCCCAAGTACCTGGGACCACAGGCACACACCGCCATGCCCAGCTAATTTTTGTATTTTTTGTAGAGATGAGGCCTCACTATATTGCCCAGGCTGGTCTTGAACTCCTGGACTGAAGTGTTGCTCCCACTTCAGCCTCTCATAGTGCTGTGATTACAGGCATGAGCCACTGCGTCTGGCCCCTATTTAATAACTTCTAAATGCAGGTTCCTTTTCTTTTAAATATAGATAAGAAAGAAGAAAAAAGAAGGCATTCAAGATCAAGATCACGTTCTAGGAGGAGGAGGACTCCCTCATCTTCTAGACACAGGTTAGATTGCTTTTTAGTCAATTATACCTTAGACAAAGATAATTTATATATGTCACATCTTTTTTAATTTGCTGTTAATCTGTTATCCTCTGGTTAAAGTGTTTTAGTAACCTCTGCTGTTAGAATGTGTGAATGACTGTTCACACATGTAAAAAGTAAGAAAAGCGACAGACGAAATAGATGATTTATGCTTTAAAACCCCCAAAAATTCAGAGGTGGTAGGAAAGCATTGGAACTAGAGCAACAAAATGAAAAATAATTGATTCATTGAATTATACAAGTTTCCAAATACTGACTTGTATTTGTTATCTAGTGTCAAAAAGTGACATCTGGTAATATCACCTTAGATCAGATCAGTAAAATGCAAGTACTAGGAATCTGGCATGCTCACAACAATGGAGTCATTTTCCAAAATTTAATTTTCTCAGATTTTTATCATTGGCAACAGATTCATCTATTTTCCTTATATAATAGACTTCATTTATTTTTCAAAAAATTGTCTGCCAAATACCCAAGTCTAATTAATCATAGTTTCTAGATTCTCAAAGGTGATAATGAAAAAGCAGTTAGTTCAGCTCATAACTCAACACAGGTGTCTTCCTTAATACAGCCATTATACTTCATAAGCATCAGAAGTGATTTATGCATACTTTCCATTTCATCACACAGAATATTACTCAAGAGACTAGATTTAATTCTGCTACTATATTAATAGTACTGAAGGGGGATTTAATAAAATTAACTTTACTGCTTCATCAAAGACATCTTTATAAAAGTGGCATTATTTTTTTCTTTTACTGCAAGTGCATACAGAAATGCCAGTGAAGAAGATAGTGAGTGACTCCTAGGGCAGTTCAATAGCCCCTACCTTGATTTGTGTTGAAGAGTCAGTATTTTTACCCACTATGGCTTTTGTGACATTGGTGCAAACGTCAACACAGTGGAAAAGGCAATAATTTGTTATTACTTTGAAAATAATTTTGACCTTATGGACCCCAT
Organism: Homo sapiens; assembly: GCF_000001405.40. Lineage (NCBI taxonomy): Eukaryota > Metazoa > Chordata > Mammalia > Primates > Hominidae > Homo > Homo sapiens. The sequence goes on from NC_000001.11 coordinate 70,240,520, forward strand.
AAAAGGGTCTTAGAGCATCCACAGTTGTGCAAACGACAATATAAAAGCCATTGCTCTAGGTTATTCACCAACTATTTCAGCCATTCTTCGATTTTCTTAATTTCCAAACTCAATCCTAATTGGCCTAGTTGCATCCTAGTTCTTCTAGTCAGAACCCTTTAGGATTGACATTCAGAACTAGGATATTCCAGTTGTGGTTATTTACTTCAGCCAGTTTCAGCTTCACTTTACATACCCCTCCATCACTGGACTTTTTTTTTTTTTTTTTTTTTTGAGACGGAGTCTCACTCTTGTTGCCCAGCCTGGAGTGCAATGGCACGATCTTGGCTCACCACAACTTCCGCCTCCTGAGTTCAAGCAATTCTGCCTCAGCCTCCCGAATAGCTGGGATTACAGGTGTGTGCCACCATGCCTGGCTGATTTTGTATTTTTAGTAGAGACTGGGTTTTTCCATGTTGGTCAGGCTCATCTCAAACCCGCGACCTCAGGTGATCCACCCACCTTGGCCTCCCAAAGTGCTGGGATTACAGGTGTGAGCCACCATGCCCGGCCATTCACCACTTGACTCTTAAACCTTCACTCCTGGCTTCATCTCTTCTGGAACCTAGTTCTGTCAGTTGTCTGCCTTTTCTTAGTGTCCGTTACCCCTTAGTTTTTACCAAGGGTTAGATAAAACCATTTCTCCTATTTATTGTCAGGATTTTTGAAAGAGCAGTGTGACTTGAATCCTAGACTTTGTCACGTCTCTATTAAAAGCACTTATATCATAAAATATCTAAAAAGTCACATTTCTGTCTCAGAGATGATCTTTTCACTCTGTTTTTATCTTTTAATATCATTTTCTTATTTTAAGTCATTTCTTGAAGTATTACAGGGGTTATCCTGTATGCTATGTCTGTTTATTCCCTGTCACCCACCTTATCCCACTGTCTTATTCTTAGAGTTGTCTTTCAGAAACCCAAATACAGATCATGTCACAGATACTGAGAAGTTCCTTATTGCCTTGATAAGGTGATACATAAAACCTTAGAATGGCTTTCAGGGTTCTTTACTATTCCGTCTGGTTTATCTTTTTACACGTGTCATTTGCCACTCCAAAAGTTACAGGACTAATTGCCTCAACATACCATTTTCTTTATGTCTTCATGTTTCTGCTCATGATCCTTTCTGCCTAATGCTTTTCCACATCTTCCATTTCCGCTTTGAGGAACTCCTTTTTCTTTCTTCAAGATACAATGCTTGCAGTCTTAATCTTCCATGACAGTGCTCTCATAGTTTAGTTTAACCTCTGCAATAGGATATACCTCATGATTACTACAATTTATATGTGTTTCCTTTTACCAAACTCTTAGGAAAAAGGAGAGCCTGGGCCGGGTGGGGTGGCTCACGCCTGTAGTCCCAGCACTTGGGGAGGCCGAGGCGGAGGATCACAAGGTCAGGAGATTGAGACCAGCCTGGCCAACATAGTGAAACCCCGTCTCTCCTAAAAACACAAAAATCAGCTGGGTGTGGTGGCGCGCGCAGCTGTAATCCCAGCTACTCAGGAGGCTGAAGCAGGAGAATCGCTTGAACCCCGGAGGCGGGGATTGCAGTGAGCCAGGATGGCGCCACTGCACTCCAGCTTGGTGACAGCGAGACTCCGTCTTAAAAAAAAAAAAAAAAGGGAGAGCCTGTGTCTTTTTCTTTATATTAAATCTTACTGGGACTCTCTCATTTTAATATTAATTACTTTACTATGACCAGTGAAAAGTAGAAGTGAAATATGTCCCTGAATCCAGATACTTGTAATACATCGTAACAGAAATCATTGTTGTGGGTTGTGGTAACCCTCACCACACACACACACCCCCCACACCCCACACCCCCACCAGGCTCAAGCCATCCTCCCACCTCAGCCTCCTGAGCAGCTGGGACTACAGGCATGCACCACCACACCTGGCTAATTTTTGCACCTTTTTTTTTTATGTAGAGACAGGGTTTTGCCATGTTGCCCAGGCTGGTCTCGAACTCCTGAGCTCGAGCTGTTTGCCCACCTCGGCCTCCCAAAGTGCTGGGGTGACAGATACAAGCCACTGAGTCCAGCCCAGTTGTAGTATCAAGCATCACATAGTGTGTTAAATGACCATGACTTTCACAAGCTTTTTGACTTTATTAAAAATATGTTACACTAATCTCTTTTGCTGGTTAAAAGCTCATATGAACTAGTAAGTGTAGAAAAGTGACGGTAGTACATTCCCCTTTGAAAACAACTGTTTAATCTCTTAAGGTTATGATTCTGATATTTTATATGCCTATATTTCATTCAAAGTATATTATTGGTGCCTTTTATTTAAATCAGGCAGTGTAGTAATTGCTCAAGAATACAGTCATGAAAAGACTTACTTCCCATGTCTTTGTGGAGCCTATGGTAGGGTAGTTAAGTAGATAAAAACATCTTAGGATGTGGAGATGTTATTGCAAGGAATTGTTTAGTAAATAGTTTCAAATATGGCTGAAAATAAGAGATTAAAATTAAAGTTAATTGAGTTCAATAACTCAAATAGTTTATTGAGGCATTACTATGGGTTTTGAGGCAGTTGTTTTAGGGAGTTATGGCAACAGAAGCTATATTAGTACATCAGTAAGAGGAAAGAAGGACATCAATATTTAATGTACAGTCCCCTCCGTATATGCAGGGGATTGGTTACAAATCCATCTATACCAGAATCCATGCATACTCAAGTCCTCTGGAATCCACATATAGGAAAACTCAGTCCTGACTATACATGGGTTCCTCATCCTTCAAATACTGTTTTTAATCCACATTTGGTTGGTGGCAAAAAAAAAAAAAAAAAAAAAAAAAAAAAAAAAAAAACACAGTGTGTAGGTGGAACCATGCCGTTAAAGCTCATGTTATTCAAGGGTCACTTGTGTGTGCCTACACTAAGGCACCGAGCTAGACTCTATATACTGCATTTAATCTTTGTCATTATTTGGTGATAGAGGTGTTACTATCCTTGACTGCTGAAGTAACAAGGTCAGAGAGGTTAGATAATACTCTTAAGTTACCTGGCTTATAAATGAGAGTTTAACACAAGTCTTTAAGATGTCCATACTCTTTCTTGTACCTTGAAAAGAAAAGTAGGCAGAAAATTTAGACTATATTTGAAATGTTGCACAGAGAGAAGTTGAATGGTCACTAAAAGTTAAGTGATCAAGACTAAGCAAAGGATTGCAACTTATTTTTAATTTTTAAAATAGAAGAGAATGGGCCGGTTGTGGTGGTTAATGCCTATAATCCCAACTCTGGGAGGCCAAGGTGGGCTGGTGGCTTGAGCCCAGGAGTTCAAGACCATCCTGGGCAACATGGCAAAACCCCATCGCTTAAAAGATAGAGGAGAATGAGTTTTAATGCAGTAGGGAGGATGACAACATCTAAAGGTTAATTGTGCTTCTTAGTCCTGGAAGAGCCAGGTCAGGACACAATGGATGGGGGCTCGGTGCAGGGAGTAGAGAAACAGATATGTCAGGGAAAAATGAGAGTAAAAGAGGCAGTTTATACAAATTGTATATATCTGTAAAAGGTCTGCATTGCCTGGAGTTTCCTAAATTGTGGATTAAAGGAGTGGAATTTGTTTCAGAGAAAAATTCGAAATAGGAGATGGCAACACAATAAGTAGTTTCTCTTTATAAAATAGAAATAATAGTGGCATTTACTTTATGGACTTACGAGACCAATTTGTAGTTTATATATAGCGTGATATAAGTATTTGATTTATGATGAGGAAGGTTTAAGCTGCACTAATGAGGAATCAAATAAGAAATACATGCTAAAATGCTATATAATTGTATAAGATGATGCAAATAAGTCATACTTTTATTCTCCTTCATGATCTAGTAGTATTTTTAACCTTGGAGTTGTAAGTACAGTGGGCATAGAAGGACCTATCTGACAGGTTGAGCAAATCATTAAAAGGTGAGGAATTCCAAGTGTTAAAAGGTATTACTAATTTCTAAGGTGTTGAAGGTGTTTGTTCTATGGGCTAAATAATAGCAAATGGAAGGGAATTATCCCCCATTTAATTGTTTAGTCCATATGTCCGAATCTTTTGTCTGATACTAAGCACAAAATTTATAGTCTTTTTACATTTATACACATGTATTGGCTTCCTTTTACACTATTAGGCGGTCAAGAAGCAGATCGAGACGGCGGTCACATTCTAAGTCTAGGAGTCGGCGACGATCCAAAAGCCCAAGGCGGAGAAGATCTCATTCCAGAGAAAGAGGTAGAAGGTCAAGGAGCACATCAAAAACAAGGTATAGCATTGGGTGAGAAAGCAAATTTTAGGGTTCCCAGTACCCCTAGTACTGTGCTACTTAGTAACAAAAGAGGTGGTTGGGGTGCGGGGCAGAGAAATAGGGCTAGACAGGGGAAGAAACTGTCAATATTTGAGTTTGAGGAGGCTGACGTTTGCTTTCTGGTGCTTCCTTGTAAACTGAAACTTCAGCTTACAGCTGAGGGCCTAAGTAAAATTTCTTAGTAGTAGGAATTGTTAGCTGTCCTGCTACCTTCTTTCATAAGAAATACCGTAACGTTTTATTTCCATCTAAAAATATATTCAAAAACCAGTCTTTTCGTGTAGAACCAAACACTTTTAAATTAGTATGCCCCCAGTCATTTATAGTTGTGAGGCATACAATTTCACAGCACTTAATTTTTTTAGCAACTGCTTTTTATCTCTTGCTAAAATATTTATCTTAATTTTCTAGAAGCAACTCTATATTTGGCATTATTTTGTTCATTTATATATTTAGTTAAATCATGTCATTAAAGTAAGTACAGCTGGGGACACAACATAACTTACTCTTGGGAAGCATAAAACTCAACTGATGAGAACAGAAGAGTGGGGGTAGCTTTACTATCATTGTTAAACCTGTAATAATGGGGCTTTTAGTCCTTATGTGCTGCAGAGTGAATCAAACAAGGTAGATTAATAGAACAGTTATACAAAGGAATTAAGCATTTCTTTAAGGACTTTCTGATTACTAGGAGAAGAGTGATGGATTTAATTACAGGGGAGGAACTGTTAAATGATGATTGCTACTTGCTGATATTGGAAGAGGTTTGAGAATGACTCGAGTATTAAATTCTGAAAGATTTGACTAGACTCAACGGGAGGCATGCTTTCAGGTGGAGAATGGTGTTTCTTGAAATAACAATATTTTGATGTAGTTGGACTAGAAAATGAGGTCAGAAAAATATAATGAGACCGATCGTGGAAGGCTTTGTTGTTCACACTATGCACTTGATCCAGGAGGCAACTGGAATGAGTTGAAAATGGTGAACAGGGAATTAATATTTTCAGGTTTGTACTTTAAAAGATTTCTGACAGAGTACAGAATCAGTTTATGGAAGGCATGACTGGGACCTACTAGGGGACTGTTCTAGTAATCTAGGAGTTAGATGATAAAGATTCAAATGAAGAGGGAACCAATGATAAAGATTGAATGAAGAGGGAACCGAGGATGACCAGAGAAGGGAAAAAAATGAAATTGAGAATGCAGAATGGAAAGATTAGCTTAGAACAGTAAGAGAGGGATACTTTGATTCTTAAAATTAGAGAATAGTTAAAGAGGGGGGTTGTTATGAGACTTCTCATTCAACAAATATATATCGTTTATCTACTCTTTGCTTAGAGTCTTGGGGAGAATGATGATCTTGGGGAAAAAATATTGTGAGGAGTAAAAATTTATAGGAATCTGTAAAAAAAAAAAATTGAGTTACGGCTGTAGTCAAAATCTGTTGATATTTTCTAATAAGCCCTGAATAGTTCATAATAGCCGCAGAAAAAGAAGCTTGCTTGATCCATGATAGAGGTTGACATGGGATGTGTGTCTTGGAAGAATATTCATGATATTGATGGATTTTGGTAGTGCTCTATGGGTTTTGGCCTGATAGGAGAGGTGGGTTGGGAAAGTGGTAATCAGCTGAGAGAAAAAGGAGTCTTGAGGAGCCTAGAGATAGTTAACTTATTGGTGTTTACCAAGTATATTTCAAGCCAACATCCTAGTTATTTTCTCACCCATAGTCTACTTTAGTCTACTTGGGAGAAAACCTAGGATAATAGGATTTTAAAAGAAGTTATTGTACTTCAAATATGCCACATAAAGTATTATTTTTAAAACAGTTTCTGTCAGAACAACATTTATGCTTTTAAGGATGGGATTAGATCTGATTATATTTTTGTGTTTGTAGTGCTATATAAATTGGCATCAGCTGAGTCTTCTAATGCATTCATAAATTGTGTTCATTTGTTAGAGACAAAAAGAAAGAAGACAAAGAAAAGAAACGTTCTAAAACACCACCAAAAAGTTACAGCACAGCCAGACGTTCTAGAAGTGCAAGCAGGTAAGGTGGCATTGTGAATTCTTGGCAATTATTTTTTTAACTTTGCTTCTAACAGTATCAGTACGCTGTCAGTATGAAGTCTTTTCCAGAACATAAGTATTTCAGTGTTGAAAAAAGTTACATTTTGCTGTTATTTAAAGTTTTTAAAAGGCAATTTGTGAAGAATAATGTAGTTTATTTTTCTTTTTACTTAATATTTTATGGTCTAGAGTATATTTGAAGTAACATGGAATTCAAGAGAGGTGAGTTTTTCTCTTTATAGTTTAAGTTTTAATGGCTAAACCATACTGAATTGTTCCATTAAGTAAGCTTATTATAGTAAGCTATATTTATCATCTGCATGTTAGTACTTGAGAATTTTTCTATCCCTTTTAATGACTGTTGAATTAATGGGAAGCAATGCAGGTTCTGGTTTGTGTCATTCTTAGACTAATTCTATCTTTAAGCTGTCAGTGAAAATTGAAATGTTGCAGACCTTACTGCACAAAAAGCACATTTTCATACTTAATTTGGGATTTATATGATAGTAAGGGCTGGACTTCATTCCATTTTTCAGATCTCATTCACATGTTTTGCTGCAGTGCTTGTTTTATTCATCAACATTACTTAAATTCACTAGGAGAAGGTTCATGCCATATAAAAAAAAATAACTGAAATGTATAAAAGACCTAAATGTAAGAGCCAAAACTATAAAACCTTTAGAAAGAAACAAAAGTGAATCTTTAAGACCATGAGCTTGGTGGTTTCCTAGATATGACTTCAAAAGCATAAGCAACAGAAGAAAAGAAAATTTTGGAATTCACCAAAAGTTAAAACATTTGTATTTCAAAGGATACTATCAAGAAAGTAAAAACCTAGAGTGCTAGTTAGAAAATTCTTTATATATTCTCTATTAAGAACTCTTAGAACTCAGCAATAGACAGGCAACCCAATTTAAAAATGGCAAAGAATCTGTAGCCATTACTCCAAAGGAGATATGCAAATATCTAGTAAGTACATAAAATCTGTTCAACATCATTAGTCACCAAGGAAATACAAACCAGACCACAGTGAGATATGTCACAGTCACTAGGATGGTTATAAATCAAAAAGACAGATGATAGCTGAGCCTGACAGATGATAGTAAGTGTTGATTAGGATGTGGAGAAATTAGAACCCTGTGCATTGCTAGTATGAATATAAACTGGTACAGGTGTTTTAGAAAACAGTCTGGCATTTCCTAAAAATGTTAAACATAGAGGTTTTTGACCCACCAGTTGTACCCCTGGGGGAAAATGAAAACATTTTCACAGAAAAACTTTTATGTGAATGTTTGTGGCATTATTTCATAATAGCCAAAAAGTTAACTATCCATTAACAAATGGATAAACAGAATGGTATATCTATACAATTGAATATTTTTCAGTGATAAATAAGGTTGATACATGCTACAGTATGGATGAAACTTGCAAACATCCATGAAAGGCCGTGTATTGCGTGATTCCTTTTATATGAAATGCCCAGAATAGGCAAATCTATAAAGATACCAAGTAGATTACTGATTGCTGGGGAGATAGGGAGGATTAGAGTGATAACTAAAGGGTAGGGAGTTTTTGGGGTGGTGAAAATTTTCTTAAAAACTAAATTTTTAAGCATGAAAATGAAACCAAATGTAAGTACAGAAGGAAATGCTGAATCAGGCCTGAGGGATAGGTGGCAAAGAGATAGAAAAGATGGAAGGTACTACATATATTTTCTTACCTTAAAAACTGTTGAGGATTTTTTTTTTTACCTGTTGCTTTATATAATGTACTTGTAAGTGCCTTCTCATGCTGTATTATTGGATCACTCTAAATTAAGGCATCTTCTGTGAGTTATTAAATACCCACTGTGTTTGTAGTTGTGCTACAGTCTGTTGAAGGACACGGAAATGTAATATAAAATACTTCTTCCGTCTAGAGAATTTGGAGTTTCAGTTACATAAGACAGTAGCAAAAAGTATAAGGTGCACAGTCGTGACAATGTTTGATAAGTGAATGCTCAGTTATGTGTAACGTTTCCAGGACAAGGGTCACAGAGGGCTGTGTAAGTAGAAAAAAAGCTTCATTTGGAAATTAGACAACTAAGTACAGGGTTTTTTAAGTCTGATAACTTTTGAGAATCAGGAACAGAATTTTTTTTTTTAAGTTACAGTAAAAAGGAGGGGAAGGCTGTATATCAGCTGTATATCTTCAAAGTAATTGGTGAAAGCAGGGTTTTGGGGGACTGCAGGAGGGCGATTTTGCTAGAGTATAAGGTTTCTACCTTTCCACTAACTAGTTCTCTGAATTTCATCTAATGATTTAAAGGTGAATGTGGGGATATTTTATTAGTAACTACCTTCTATATCACATTATTGAATTATTCTGTACTTACTCTGAACACTGAATGTTTGAACCAAAAACTAACTTCTTCAGTAATAGTTTACTTCACACGTCACCCCTCTCGCATTAGTTTTGTTAAATCAGTTTTTTCTCAAGCTTAGTATTTCTAACATTTTGTCATCAATTAAAAGAATTACTAGAAATTAGGAGTTTTCTTGAGGGTAGTAAAGGGAAAGATTCATGGTTTGCAGATGATTATATTACTCATTTAATTGTTTAGCTTATACCAGTATTGTGAAACAATCTTTCATTTTTCTGTTTTTTTGAGACAGGGTCTCTCTCTGTTGCCCAGGCTGGAGTGCAGTGGCCCTATCACAACTCACTCCAGCTTCAACCTCCGCAGGCTCAAGTGATCTTCCTGCCTCTGCCTCCTGAGTAGCTGGGACTACAGGCATGCACCACCACACCTGGCTAATTTTTTTGTATTTTTTGTAGAGACAGAGTTTCACCATGTTGCCCAGGCTGGTCTGGAACTCCTGGGCTCAAGCAATCCCCTCACCTCAGCCTGCCAAAGTGCTGGGATTATAGGCATGAGCCACTACATCTGGCCACATCTTTCATTGTTAGAATCATCTATGATGTGTCTGCATTTTTAAGATCACACTGTATTTTAAAACCTAGTTTGCACATTTGTGATTCTAGAGAGAGACGACGACGAAGAAGCAGGAGTGGCACAAGATCTCCTAAAAAGCCTCGGTCTCCTAAAAGAAAATTGTCCCGCTCACCATCCCCTAGGAGGTAAGAATGTTAATCATTTAAATGTATTTTTTATATTTTTCAGAGGTTTTTCATTTTAAAACTGTCCTGTAGTTTTTCTTTTCAGCAGTTACAGTTCTTAAGAATGTTTTAATGTATTCTCCTTCTGACTTGTGACTTAAACACCATTAAGGACTGAACATTTTAGTCCTATAAACAAGTTAGTTTTGTAGCCTGTGTTACTTCTCCAAGGTTTTGAAGTTGGATCTTTGCTGTACTACTTATATCCTGTGAAATTGAGTCAGGCTCATCATCTAAACAAGTTAAACCTGTTGCTGTACATTTTACTGTCATTCTAGACATAAAAAGGAGAAGAAGAAAGATAAAGACAAAGAAAGAAGTAGGGATGAAAGAGAACGATCAACAAGCAAGAAGAAGAAGAGTAAAGATAAGGAAAAGGACCGGGAAAGAAAATCAGAGAGTGATAAAGATGTAAAAGTATGTTTACAAATTGATTTATTTTTATATTTGGGGTGATGTTGGTACTTTCAGAAGTTATTTTTCTTTGGAGAAGTTTACTTTTATTATTCTCCTTGGCAAAGCAGGTTACACGGGATTATGATGAAGAGGAACAGGGGTATGACAGTGAGAAAGAGAAAAAAGAAGAGAAGAAACCAATAGAAACAGGTTCCCCTAAAACAAAGGAATGTTCTGTGGAAAAGGGAACTGGTGATTCACTAAGAGAATCCAAAGTGAATGGGGATGATCATCATGAAGAAGACATGGATATGAGTGACTGAATATTGCCTCTGAGGGAGTCCAACTGTATACCTGCATCAGTGTCATTCCTTTGTGTGATTTCTTAATGCTGTATTTGTTCATCTCAAACCTAGATGTATACAGCTCTGAGTTATAAATGGTTATAAAGCTCCTGTTACTCATATTAGTTATTTACATCAAAAAGCTTTTAGAAAATGGTACGAGGTAACCAATTCTTGTCATGGTGAAATCTGATTGAGTAACCAAGCAGTTTTACTATTCTGGTGCTGCTTCATAACAAAAATGAAAAGCTGCATGCATCTACAGCAGGCATGGATTGTTTATGTCGTATGATATCCTTTATTAAGTAAGTTCACTTATAGTATTTCTATAATTTGATTCATTGCCGTAATAGAGCCATGTAGGAAATGCACTGATTGCATGTTATTGTGGCAAGAATATCCTAAATGTCATTAAAATCCTCCAACATGATGGATCTACTTATGGTCTTGTTTGTTGACATGACAAATTAACATTCTTATAGTTACATCTGGAAATGAGCATTTGAAATAGATAATCCTTTAAGCCTTGTGGCAAAATTTTTGTGGCTTTTGTTTAACTTTGAAAGGTTATTATGCACTAACCTTTTTTGGTGGCTAATTAGGGTTTAAATACAGAAACAAGATTTCAAATAAAACTGTCTTTGGCAGTGAGTAAATAGCATATTTTGAAGTAGAGTTGTATACTTTTTCATAAGATGTTTGGGAATTTTTTTCCTGAAGTAATAATTTATTCCACATCTACATCAGTGAAAGCTATCTACCTATCCTGAGTCTATCTTAAAGGAAAAAAAGAAAAAAACCTTATCTCTTGCCCTTATTTTGAATTTTCCACTCTTTCATTAATTTGTTTTAAGCTCCGTGTTGGAAAAAAGGGGTAGTGCATTTTAAATTGACCTTCATACGCTTTTAAAATAAGACAAATCTACTTGATAATGTACCTTTATTTGATCTCAAGTTGTATAAAACCAATAAATTTGTGTTACTGCAGTAGTAATCTTATGCACACGGTGATTTCATGTTATATATGCAAAGTAGGCAACTGTTTTCTTAGTTACAGAAGTTTCAAGCTTCACTTTTGTGCAGTAGAAACAAAAGTAGGCTACAGTCTGTGCCATGTTGATGTACAGTTTCTGAAATTGTTTTACAAGACTTTGATAATAAAACCCTTAAACTTATGTTCATGTTCCTGTAAAACCGTATTTGTATTTATTTACGCTACTGAATGTATGACATTTACCTCATTCATTTTACAAATTCTTTCCCTTTCTGTCCACATATTTCAGTATAGTAAAAAGAGGAAGTCTATCACTGTAGTGATAATTGCCATCAAAATTGTCAAAAATGATTTAATTTCTATCCAAAATAGTCCTTTTCTTAGCTTAGTATCATTTTATTGCTTATTTTTTGTGTGGGAATGGGGTTGGATAAAGCAATGAACTTTAGTATAAACAAATCCCACCTATATCTAGCAAATTTATATTTTCGGTGAAATACAGATATTTGCCTTTCTGGAGTAGTATAGAAGCTGTCAATATGTATCTACTGTACAGTACTAAATAGTATTCATTTATGAAATGAGTAGTGTTTGGGTGGCTGGGGTTAAGGGAAAATGAGACTTGGAATTGTAGCTTTTATCCAAGTTTTGAGTATAAATAGGGTTTTGTTTTGTTTTTTTTAACCTAAAAACTGAAATGCCATATAGAAAAACAGCATTGTTTTTACAGTTTGTAGTAAGTAACTTTTTAAAGATTTTATCAAAAAGAATTGTCTATAGTGAGTAAAAGAAGTTCTAATAATGGTCCTAATCACTGCATTTTTAAAAAACAAAGTTCAACACAAATGACATTTGTTTTAAACTTTAGTAGATAAAAGGTGAACCATGTGACATGGGCATTTTTGTAAGTCAAAAACAAATTTCACATATGGTAAACCTAATATTCACAGTGTGTTCCCTCACTTGTAATCTCTGAATACAAATATACTAGCTTTTCTAAAGGGAATCATTTTTTTAAAAGTAGTGCCACTGACAAGATGCTACAGTGAAGATTATCCATTCTTAGGATATTTATTTTCAGTGAACATTTTCTGCACAAAGGTAGTGTTGCACTGGGACACAAGCCTTTTAACAGATAACCAGTTGAAATCAAACACTGCCTCCACACCGAGTTCTGTTGTGTATTTGATAGTAAATTGATTTAAAAATAAAAGTGGTTTTTGTTAGAAAAATGTTTTGTCCTTATTTATTTGCTTAAATCCTTTAGGAGTGAACGAGAGGTGGTAGCTATACAATGAGCTTTTTTAAATGGAAAGATAAGAGTCCAGTCATGCATTTGGTCTTTATTTCATAGAGCTGGAGATAACTGTGTTCCTTACCTTCAGTTTCCTACGGGTAAAATGGAAGTGATTGCTACCTTGCAAAGTACAGACATACCTCGGAGGTATTGTGGGTTTAGTTCCAGACTACAATAAAGCAGTTCATGAATTTTTTTGGCTTCCCAGTGCATATAAAAGTTGTTGGCTGGGCACTATGGCTCATGCCTGTAATCCCAACACTTTGGGAGGCCAAGGCAGGAGTGCTTGAGCCCAGGACCAGCCTAGGCAACATAGCAAGACACTGTCTACAAAAAAATAAATAGCCAGGTGTGGTGGTGCACACCTGTAGTTCTAGCTACTGTGGAGGTTGAGGCAGGAGGATCACTTTGAACCCAAGGAGTTGGGGCTGCAGTGAACTATGATCATGCCACTGCGCTCCAGGTTGGGTAATAGCAAGACCCCATCTGTATCTGTAAAACAGTAATTTTTAAAATGTAGCCTTTGGTGCCTGGGACATTAAATGATAGCTGCTATTTGATTATGGGGCCCTTAAAAGTTATGTAACTAATAATTTGTGTAGGGGGTAATGTTAAAAGCACAAAATAAATTGCATACCTTTTATTGAAAAGGCTGTGTTGCCCTTAACTGTTTTCATGAAGATGGATCTTAGGTAAGTTTCCTCGTGGCAATTCTATACATGGAAGACAGAAAAATGCAAATAGGCACTTGGGAAAAGGAAGGAGAGGATAAAAATTACTGTTAACCTTGGAGCTACATCTTAAAACTGAGTCAGGTTCTGGAGTGTGCATTATACAGCTTATGTCATGCAGATTACAGTATTAATACATCAAATTTATCTCTAGCAAAATTATCACTCAGTTGGGCACTAGATGAAGGGTTGGATCCATGCATGCTGTTTGTAGATTGATACACATCTTTTCAAATGGAATTGAGATTTCTTTTCCCTCAGTCTGCCTCAAAACCAGCTAATGCATTTCATCCCTGTGCTTCTATTTTTTCTAATCAAGTACATGTGGTTGTGTTTTAATTAAATATGGGTGTAATGGAATTGTTACTCATACTTTTAAAAGCATTCAGAATGTCTATTAAGGTTTTATTAGCAGAAGTAGTAATTGTACCTTTATAAATTTCTCAATGAGACAATTTTTGGAGTGGTAGATATTTTGAATTTCAACCTGTTTTACTCAGTTTTGTTTCTATTCCCATTTTCATTTTATGTCAAAGTATATGTGAAATTTATTTAGACATTCTTAGCAAAATATCTTAGGTGAGTACCATGACAATTCTTTTATCAGTGGTAATATTCTTTAGAATATACTTAAGGTTTATCATAGAAGATGGTTAGCAATCGTGTGTGTGTGTGTGTGTGTGTGTGTGTGTGTGTGTGTGTGTGTGTGACGGAGTTTCGTTCTGTCATGGTCGTCGCCAGGCTGGAGGGCAGTGATGCAATCTTGGCTCACTGAAACCTCCGCCTCCCGGGTTCAAGCAACTCTCCTGCCTCAGCCTCCCGAGTAGCTGGGACTACAGGCATGCACTACCATGCCCAGCTAATTTTTGTAATTTTACGCGAGACGGGGTTTCACCATGTTGACCAGGATGGTCTCTGTCTCCTGACCTCGTGATCCGCCTCCCAAAGTGCTGGGATTACAGGCATGAGCCACCGTGCCCGGCCGATGTTTAGCAGTCTTAAGACAATTTACAGTCTGATATGACTAATATTTCTAGGTGACCAATAAAATGTTCTTACAAAAATAATGGAAGTGACACATTCACATCATTCTCAGATTTCTCAATTTATTAAAGGTTATTTTTGCAATGCACTGTCACTAAAATTAGTACCATGATGTCTTTTTTAAAAAAAAAGCTAGTTAGGGCTGGGTGCGGTGGCTCACGCCTGTAATCCCAGCACTTTGGGAGGCTGAGGTGGGTGGATCCCTTGAGGTAAGGAGTTCGAGATCATCCTGGCCAACATGGTGAAACCATCTCTACTAAAAATACAAAATTAGCCGGGTATGGTGGTGCATACCTGTAATCCCGGCTACTTGGCAGGCTGAGGCAGGAGAATCGCTTGCACTCAGGAGGCGGAAGTTGCAGTGAGCCAAGATCACGCCACCCCACTCCACTGCACTCCAGCCTGGGTGACAGAGCGAGATTCTGTCTCAAAAAATAAATAAAAATAAAAAGCTAGTTTGCCAAAATATGGTTTGCGCATGAGAAATTGAAGGTCTAGGGTCACAAAAAATAGAATGTTCCAAATGATGTTTAATATCATTCACGTTCAGTTATCCCAAAATGTAATTTAAAAAATTACTTTCTAGCAGGGCGCGGTGGCTCACGCCTGTAATCCCAGCACTTTGGGAGGCCGAGGCCGGCAGATCACGAGGTCGGGAGATTGAGACCATCCTGGCTAACACAGTGAAACCCCGTCTCTACTAAAAACACAAAAAAATTAGCCGGGAGTGGTCTCAGGCGCCTGTAGTCCCAGCACTGGGGAGACTGAGGCAGGAGAATGGCATGAACCCAGGAGGCGGAGCTTGCAGTGAGCCAATATCGCGCCACTGCCCTCCAGCCTGGGCGACAGAGCGAAACTCCATCTCAAAAAAGTTATTTTCTGACGGGCATGGTACCTCACACCTGTAATCCCAGCATTTTGGAAGGCCCAGGCAGGCAGATTGCTTGAGCCCAAGAATTCAAGACCAGCCTGGACAACATTGTAAAACCCTGTGTCTTAAAAAAAAAAAAAAATACGAAAATTAGCCAGGCATGGTGGCACGGACTTGTACTCCCAGCTACCTGGGAGGTTGCGGTGGGAGGATTGCTTGAGCCCGGGAAGCGGAGGTTGCAGTGACCCAAGATTGCACCACTGCACTCCAGGCAAAGCGACAGACTGTCTCAAAAAAAAAAAAAAATGGTTGTGCTTTCTGCAAATATACTAAATGTAATTTTGACGTTATGTTAAATGTAAAAACTGCTTTTTTATTCACTAAATTGGCAAAGTTAAAATGTGTTCATTTAGGCCGGGCGCGATGGCTCAGAGGCCTGTAATACCAGCACTTTGGGAGGCCAAGGCAGGCAGATCACGAGGTCAGGAGATCGAGACCATCCTGACTAACACGGTGAAACCCGGTCTCTACTAAAAATACAAAAAATTAGCCGGGCGTGGTGGTGGGCGCCTGTAGTCCCAGCTACTAGAGAGGCTGAGGCAGGAGAATGGCGTGAACCCGGGAGGCGGAGCTTGCAGTGAACCGAGATCGCGCCACTGCACTCCAGCATGGGAGACAGAGCGAGACTCCGTCTCAAAAAAAAAAAAAATTTTGTTCATTTAAATACCAAATTTTGGAAGACAAGCATCAAGTAGATTAAGAACATTTTTATCTTTCCACAAAATTAATATATCAATCAGGATTCAGAGAAGCAGAACCACTAGAAGATATACTTTTTAACAGATATGACATCAACAATGGTGAGACCTAGTTAAGCAGTTTGTAAGGCTTCATCTTTGCATCTGATGCTGGAGGTTGAAGTTCATTTTAGGCAGTTGGAAAGCAAAGGTGAATGATTGAGGGAGGGATGGTGGCACTAGGAATAAGCTGGAACTAGCCACAAGCACAAGCTAGAACCACAAACATGGACTGACACTCTGGTCAGATCTCGCTGCTTCTGACCTTGGTGGCATGGATGTCCTTCCAAAGCCAGGACTCTTTATCATGGAGCAAAATATAGCTGGCCCATGAGTCTGAGAAGCTGAAGGAGGATTTGGGGACAGTGGAACAACTGCAGGCCCAACTGCAGCCTCATCCCAAAGGAGCAGCAGATAAGCCACAATGTGTATGAGCTACAAAATTTGTTTCACTTCAGCCCTCCAAAACTCCTACATTATCCATATTCATTAGTCATGCATTGCATAATGTTGCCTCGTTTTGGTCAACAATCGACTGCATATAGGATCGCAGTCTCAAAAGATTATAAAGGAGCTGAAAAATTCCTATTACCTAGAGACATCGTAGCCATTATAACATCCTAGCCCAGTGCATTATGTGTTTGTGGTGATGCTGGTGTATACAAACATACTCTGCTGTCAGTTGTATAAAAGTATAGTACATACGGCCGGGCGCGGTGGCTCACGCCTGTAGTCCCAGCACTTTGGGAGGCTGAGGCGGGCAGATCACGAGGTCAGGAGACCGAGACCAACCTGGCTAGCACGGTGAAACACCGTCTCTACTAAAAATAGAAAAAATTAGCCCGGCGTGGTGGCGGTGCCTGTAGTCCCAGCTACTCGGGAGGCTGAGGCAGGAGAATGGTGTGAACCCGGGAGGCGGAGCTTGCAGTGAGCCTAGATCGTGCCACTGCACTCCAGCCTGGGCAACAGAGCAAGACTCAGTCTCAAAAAAAAAAAAAAAAAAAAGTATAGTACATACAATTATGTACCATACATAATACTTGGTAATAAATTATTACTGGTTTATGTATTTACTATTTATTGTTGCAGTATGTGTGTTCTTATTAAAAAAAAAGTTACCTGAAAAACAACCCCAGGCAGGTCCTGCAGGAGGCATTCCAGGAGGTATTGTCATCACAGCAGATGACAGCTCCATGCATGTTATTGCCCCTTAAGACCTTCCGGTGGGACAAGATGTGGAGGCGGAAGACAGTGACATTGATGATTCTGACCCTGTGTAAGCCTAGCATAATGTGTGTGTTTTAGTTTTTTTTTTTTTGAAAAAGGTTAAAAAGTAAGGCCAGGCGCGGTGGCTGATGCCTGTAATCTGAGCACTGGGAGTCCGAGGCCAGTGGATCACGAGGTCAAGAGATCGACACCATCCTGGCCAACACAGTGAAACCCCGTCTCTACTAAAAATACAAAAATTAGCTGGGCATGGTGGCATGCGCCTATAGTCGCAGCTACTTGGGAGGCTGAGGCAGGAGAATCACTTGAACACAGGAGGCAGAGGTTGCGGTGAGCCAAGATCGCAGCATTGCACTTCAGCGACAGAGACTCTGTCTCAAAAAACAGACCAAAAAAGGTTAAAAAGTAAAAACAAATTTTATTAAATAGAAAAAAGCTCACAGAATAAGGATATGAAGAAAGAATATTTGTGTATAGCTGTACAATGTGTTTTAAGTGAAGTGTTATTACAAGAGTCAGTTTAAAAATTTAAAGCACTTTGGGAGGCTGAGGCGGGTGGATCACCTGAGGTCAGGAGTTCAAGACCAGCCTGACCAACAAGGTGAAACCCCCCGTCTCTACTAAAAATACAAAAATTAGCCAGGCGTGGTGACAGGTGCCTGTAGTCCCAGCTACTTGGGAGGCTGAGACAGGAGGATTGCTTAAACTCGGGAGGTGGAGGTTGCAGTGACCCAAGATTGCGCCACTGCACTCCAGCCTGGGTGACGGAGAAAGACTCCGTCTCAAAAAATGTATATAAAATAAATACATAAATAAATAAATTTAAAAACTTACAAAGTAAAAAGTTATAGTAAACTAAGGTTAATTTATTATTAAAAGAAATTTAAAAAATATATCTAGCGTAGCTTAACTGTATGTTTATGAAGTCTACAGGAGTGCACGGTAATGTCCTAGGCCTTCACATTCACTCACTACTCTCTCACTGGCTCACCTAGAGCAATTTCCAGTCCTGCAAGTTCCATTTATGCTAAGTGCCCTATACAAGTGTACCATTTTTTATCTTTCTGTATCATTTTCTTACTGTAGTTTTTCTATGTCTAGATACACAAATATAATGTAAGTACAATTTGTGTAATGCACAAATTGTGTTAAAATTGCCCACAGTACTCAGTACAATAATACGCTGAACAGTAATATGCTGAACCAGCTTGTGGTCTCGGAGCAATAGGCTTTATTGTATAGTCTAGGTGAGTGGTATGCTATACCACCTAGGTTTGTGTAAGTACACCCAATATGGTTCTCACAATGACAAAATCACCTGATGCATTCCACAGAACATGTACCCATCATTAAGTGACACACAACTGTATTTAGAACATCCCAATTACTGTCATCCTTCTTTAGTCATCAAGAACTCTATGTATGGGAGGTACAGGTAAATAAGTGGTGGGTTTTATCTTTTTGGTTTTATGTTAGACAATATTTCTACTCTAATTAAAGTCATTTTCACCGCAAAACATGATGAAAACCAAGAATGATTAACAAGCACCTTTCTTAGAAGTTCTTAAGATTTTGCTTCAATATTTTTCAGTGTGTGGAAAAAGCAAAATTGTAATTCTATGTACCATAGGTACCATTATGACTGAAAGTATTACTCTTCTAAAATGAACTGTAACAATTAAAAAGCTCATCACAAGGTAAGCTCACTCTGTAAGGATGGTTTGCATGATGTAAAAAATGTGATTCTTAACATGTTATGAAATTTTTAGGTGGCAACCAGAGTTAGTTACTATTGCCCCAGATTTCTGACATAAAATGCTTTGCAAGAGTAGTTTTGGCTAATTTATAGTATACAAACAATCATGGGCTTTTACCAAGCTTAGTTCTGCTATCTATCTTTACAAGTGACTTAATACCTCCTGTCCATTTCTCTAGTGGGGGCAAGTTTTACACCAGTTGCTTTTCTCTAGCATGTTTGTAAATATGGGTAATATCAATGAGCAGAAGGAAGCACCTTTAATTCAGCAGTTAAACACAGGTTTGGACTGCACAGGTCCACTTACATGCAGATTTTCAACTGAACCCCTAACCTCCATGTTGTTCAAGGGTCAGCTGTACTTATTTACAATATTTACTTCAGTCCTTTCATGGCCTGGAAACAGGATCTTTGTCTTCTGCAGACTTAGGGAAAACTAGGAAGAGGGCTCATTAAATAATCATTATTCATCACCCTCCCCCAGTGTGTGAATAATAAACTGTATGTGAATACTACTATAAAAACCCATTTTTATTAGCATGAGTGGGGCTTAATTCCAGTTCTGAGCAGAAGGAAACAGTTTTTCATCTACTAACATGTATCAGCAGACAGATGTGACAGTTTCCAAACCATCATCTGTACTTCTTATACTCACAAAAATCAGGGCATCTACTTCATACTACCCTTTTATGAAGTTTGGCAATTCTCTGTATGTGAATATCTACAGAGGGCAAATTGTCTCATCAGAGAATTATTTTCTCAAAGATGGAAACCATATCTTCTCTGGATACCATACCAGTGGGCAAGAATATTAACCATTTCTAAATGGCTATTGAAGATGACTATACGATTGTCCCCCTACCAATTTAAACAGTTTCAAAATCACAAATGGAGAAGAACATATAGAATTTTGTGTACCTACATTGCAAAATCTTGATTTTTCATGTGGTATTATGAAAACATATGGTGTTTTGACTTATTCATTTGAAACACTGCATATAGCTTCATTCATTAACTGGATTAAAAGGCACATTTCGAAAAATCTTCATTAAAAGTAATACTGTGAAAAGTTTATTTGCATCGATTAATTCCTTTTTTTCACCATCATAAGAGATATTGACATTTGTTTGCTCTTTGTGATCAGAGAAAAGACATTTTGGAATGGATAATCTGTTTCTACCATTCTTTAAAGAAAAAAGCTTTAAAAACAAAATTCAAGTGCAAAAATTTCCAGTAGTCTTCCTACCTCCAGTGTACCCCAGCAAAATATTCATAGCTGTGCTGTTAGGAAATTAATCAACCATAAGCTTCAATTACCCACTTTTTTTCTTCCCTAAGGTGTCTGTACTTATGAAAACATATATAGCATATTCCTGAAAGTATACCATATTCCTACAAAGTAAGGGAGCCTAGAAGCAACAGTGATCACTGCCTTTCAGTGTCTCCAACCCCATGTAACCACTGATAGGATAATTCAGTCTCTAAGTCATTTGATCTACCCATTTCCTAAATAACAGCGATCAACTTCTATTCAACAAAGCTAGTCTGGGTTTACTAACACGTTCCCCCAAAATTCAATAGGTCCATGTAACGTAGTAATTAGGTCTTTCAATTTTTTACTATGATTATTTTTCTTCATTATAAAATGTATTTAATGTCAACATACGCAATGCATGTATCAGTATGGAAGATGCAGCTTTAAAGATGTTTATTTAAAATTTTTCTTACGGTTTATGCTTTGGATTTTTAAATCATATTTTCAATAAGGGTCTCTAAACTCCTTTCAAATTACCTAAAATCCTGAAAAAAGTTTAAGCTACTGGTCAGTCTAAAAAACTTGACAGATGCATTCTTGAGACATTCATCAGGATACATTTTAAAAACATCAATCTAAGTAAGCTCTTTAATACAACATGATACTTTATAACTGTTATACATTAATCCCCCTAATTTATTTTCATACTTGGACCTTCAAACCACCTTGGAATAAATAAGAAAAATTTTAAGTGCAAAAATGAGTAATACATGATTTTATCACTTTGGAGACAATGAAATCAATATTTTCCTGTGATTTAAAAAAAATAATAGGAGTAATCAATCTTGTGTATACTTCTGGACTTTAACTTGTAACAAATATATTCTGTTAGCATATAAAATGTTTTTATCTTATTTTGAAAGGATTAAATATGTAGGGTTGTCCAAAATATGTGTATTGTTTTTTAAAACTGACACCAATGCATCCATATTCTACTAAAAACAAACAAAATAATCAGACCGATGTGTACTTATTAGGAAGCAAGTTTAAAAATTTGGATTTTTTTTTAAAGTGCTGAGATTTGGAAGAGGAATATCTTTAAACATGCTAACCATTACCTTATGATGACCATAACAAGGACTCAAACTCAAGTTTAGAAAAAAAAAAAATAGAGGTTCTATGAAAGGAAGATTAGTAACAAACATTCAGGTAAAAACAAATAGCACCACAATGAATTGCACTAAGGTGCTAAAGGAGGTACCTTATTCCCTGCAGAGTGAACGCTCCTTCTGAAATGTATTGCAACATATAAATGCAATTGTTTAATGGTTACCATTTGGTTCATTCATCTACAGAAAATTGCATTCCTTCTAGTTCATTATATTGAACAAACATTCAAATTACTGAACTATACATAATGTTACATAGTTTACATTTTATGAAAACAAAGCTCGAAGGAATATTTATAAATGTCACCTTGCATAAAGATGACAAGTTTAAAAGGGCTCCATATCTCTTAAGACATTTAATTTACGTTAATGGTCCAGGAGTGTTTTAGATATAGATATAGATATAGATATATTTATATGCATATATATTTCAACAAGAAGTGTAAAAATTTTTAAAAACAAATCACAGCACTCATAGCTGCTTCACATACGCAGGTCTTAGGGTCATTAATGTGTCAAACTATTACATTTATAATATGTATATTTTTAAAAAGACAAAAAATGGCACATCAGAAAACTCGCTGAAATTCTTATTAGAGGCCCATTTCACTGTATCGTATTACTGATGTGTCGATTCAATGTGTAATTCCCTTTTCTTCACTGAAAGCATTTGTCCCTTCTATTTGGATCCACTTCTAGGGTCTCTGTATTTTCTTTCCTTGGTTAGACGGCATCCTTTTCCACGTCAGTTAAAGATCAGGAAAACGGCTTGGGTCTTCCTTGTAGTCATCAGGTATAGTAAAGATGGAGCCATCAAATTCATCGTATCGAAACTCCTGAAAAGTCACAGTGGCTGTGATTGTGGGAAACACAGGTATATCTACAGAGAGAACATCAATGATAGCATTGTAAAATCAAATGTTAATATTCATAGACTACAAAGTACTATTGGAGATGTCCATACTCCTTAAAATGTAAAAAAAAAAAAAAAAATACTCAAGAACCAGAAGAATTCAAATATATGTAGTACTGAGTGTGTGTTTCAGGGAGAGTTCTGGGTATTGATTAGTGAGGAGAAAAAGACATTCAGGCATCCAGCATTATATTGAAAACTCAAGATCCCATGCCTTCCTAGTCTTAAGAATATAATGCCAGATTCTACCAGTCTTTTTTTCTTTTTCTTGGGGCAGAGGGACAGCTACTTTTGTGCTTTTTGCATTCTGACTTTTTTCTCTTCAGATTATAGTATATTTACTATTCTGACTCTTTGAGCTGATTTATTTTCATTCTTACTAGCCCAAGTAAAATACTCTAATCCTTTTCTGTTTTAAAACATTAAAAACAACCTATCACTTAAATGTGTGGGATAAAAACAGTCTCATCAGAAATGGAAAAATATCATACCACCACAGCCTAATCTTCCAAATGAAATATATTTCTAGCTGAAATTGTTTAAGTAAAATCTAGCAATTAAAATGAGCAAGTTAATGATTACATAAGAATCAGAAAGAGTAAAATAAATAAAATGAACAAATACACATTAAATTAAATGTTTAGTTTTATTCCTCATATGAGTTACTGACATGAGTACAAATCATAAAGCCTGGATTCAGATTCCTATAAATCATTTTACTCATGAGCCTCAGGGATTTCATATGTAAAATAAAGAAACTCTGAAATTCCCTTAAAACTCTGAAATGAGGTTGGGTGTGGTGGCTCACACCTATAATCCCAATATTTTGGGAGGACAAGGCAGGAGGATCACTTGAGCCCAGGAGTTCAAAACCAGCATGGGCAACATAGGGAGACCCTGTCTCTATTTAAAATAATAATAATAAATCATTTTTAAAAAAACTCTGAAATGAGTATATGAAAGCTAATTCAAGTGTCTACCTAGGGTAAGGGCACAGAGTAAATTAAGTCTAACTGATATAAGCTAGTATTTTATTGCAGAAAGTTATGTTCTTATGTAAAAAGGAAAACAAAATACCTTAATTAGATTTAAACACAATAATCAACATAACAATTATAGAGTTTCCAGTTATTTCTGGGGGAAAAAATTATTCCTTTGTACCTACTATATGCAGATGCTATCCTAATCCAGGGGTCTGTACACTAAGTCCTATTGCCAGGCCTATTTTGGTAGGGCCCATAAGCTAAGAAAGTATTTTACATTTTTAAATGTTTAGGGAAAAAAAAGAATAGTATTTCATGAAGTGAAAATTAGGCTGGGCGTGGTGGCTCACGCCTGTAATCCCAGCACTTTGGGAGGCTGAGACAGGTGGATCACTTGAGGTCAGGAGTTTGAGACCAGCCTGGCCAACATGGTGAAACCCCATCTCTAACAAAAATACAAAAATTAGCTGGGTGTGGTGGCGGGTGCCTATAATCCCAGCTACTCAGAAGGCTGAGGCGGGAGAATCGCTTGAACCCAGGAGGCGGAGGTTGCAGTGAGCCAAGATTGCGCCACTACACTAGAGCCTGGGGAACAGAGCAAGACTCTATCTCAAAAAAAAAAAAAAAAAAAAAAAAAAATTACATGAAAGTCAAACTTCAGTGTCTGTAAACAGCTTTTTTGGAACACAACATGCCCACTCATTTACTTACTATCTATGGCTTCTCTCATTCTCCAAAAAGAGTAGTTGTGACAGAAACCATAGAGCCCACAAAGCCTAAGATATTTATTATCTTTCAGACAAAGTTTGCTGACCCCGTTCTAGGTTTTGGATACACATCACTAAATAAGAAACAAAATTCATGCAATTATAGAGATTACACTGGTTGGGAGGGTCAGACAACAAATAAATGATGATGACTATCTAGAAAAAAATAAAGCATGACAGTAGAATAGGGAGTCTCAGTGTTGGGGGTACGAGCTGTTGAATAGGGTGGCCAAAGGAAAACCTCAATGAAGGGACTTTTCAGTAAAGACCTGAGATAAGAACAAACCATGCAGTTGCCTGGAGGACGAAAATTCCAAATAGAAGAACACGAAGTACAAAAGCCCTCAAAGGAAGTATCTGGTTTAATCTCGGAACAGCCAGGAGGCCAATGTGGCTGCAGCCAAATGAATGAGAGGAAGATTAGCAGGCGATGAGGTCAGAGGGGAAATAGGCTGCCAGATCAGGTGGAGTTTAGGCCAAAAAAAAGACCAGCTTTTATTCTGGATCAGGTGGAAAGCCAACGGAAGGGTGTGACCGGGGTAGTACTATAACTGGAGTTTTGGCAGATGTAGTGAGAATATAATACAAGGTGACAAGAGTGAAGAGGGAGATGTGCTCCAGAAGGAGCAGCCAGAGAGGGAGGAAGAAAACCAAGAGAGAGTCTATCAAAGAAGTCAGAGGAAAATGCAATGACTTGTCTCAGTTATTCATTGAGCCAAGGACTTCAAAATAAGAAAAGTCAAATCTTGAAGAGATTAGTATAAAAACAGAAAAGTTTCTACTACATTTAACAATAAGGATCAATAATAAATAAACAGGAAGAGAGAATCTGTAATGAACTAAGGAAGTGAATATGCTTTTTATTTTGAGACAATTACAGATTCACAAGCAATTTTAAGAAATAATACAGGCCAGGCACAGTGGCTGACACCTGTAATCCCAGTACTTTGGGAGGCCAAGGTGGATAAATCACTTGAACTCAGGAGTTTGAGACCAGCCCGGGCAACAAAGTGTTGAGACCCCATCTGTACGACAAATACAAAAATTAACTGGGTGTGGTGGCTCATGTCTGTGGTCCCAGCTACTTGGGAGGCTGAGGTGGAAGGATGGCTTGAGACTGGTAAGCAGAAGTTGCAGTGAGCCGAGATCATGCCACTGCATTCTAGCCTGTGCAACAGTGTCAGACCTTGCCTCAAAAAAAAAAAAAAAAAAAAAAAAAAAGAAAAGAAAAGAAAAGAAGAAGGAAGGAAGGAAGGAATGGAGGGAGGGAAAGAGGACGGAAGGAAAGAGAGAGGGAGGAAGGGAGGGAAGAAGGAAGGAAGGAGGAAGCAAGGGAGATTTCCTGTAGCCTTTATTCAATTTTATCCAACTTTAACATCTTACAAATAATACAACATAAAAATCAGGATATTGACAGTATAGTAAAACATGATGAATATTTCCATAACCACATGTTGTCCTCATGTTGGATCCCACAGTGTTGCCCTTTTATAGCCACAATTGCTTCTCTTATGCCTCACCCCTTCTGTAGTCCCTGGCATCCACTCAACTGTTCACTGCCACAGTTGTTTTCACTTCGAATACTTTATATAAATGGAATCATACAGTATCTAATTTTTGGGATTGGCTTTTTTCTACTCAGTATAATTCTCAAGCAATTCATCCAGGTTGTTTCATGTATTAGCAGTTCAATCTTTTTATTGGTGAATAGTATATCCCACGGTATAGGTGTATCATTGTTCATTTACCTGTTGCAAATTGTAGTTTTTGGCTATTACAAATAAAGCTGATATAAAATAAACATTTGTGTACTTTTTGTGTGTGTGTGAACATACTCTTCATTTGTCTGATCTAAATGCCTAGCAAACTAATACAGCTATTCTAGGTTCTTTGCCTTTCCATCCAAATTTTAAAATAATCTTGCCTATGTCTATAAAAATATCTTGCTGGGAGTTGTCTCTCAGCACTGCTTTAGCTATGTTCCACAAATTTTGATATGTTGCAATTTCATTTTCATTCAGTTCAATTTATTGTTTTATTTCCTTTGAGACTTCCCTTTGACATATAGATTATTTAGAAGAGTGCTCTTTAAGTTTCCAAGTGTTTGGACATTCTCTTGTCTTTTTTCTAATATTAATTCCTAGTTTAATTCCATTGTAATCAGAGAACACACTCGGTATGATTTTCGGTTCTTTTATATATATTCAGGTTTGTTTATAGCCAATATGGTCTACCTTGGTATATGTTCCATGGGCACTTGAAATGTATGTGTATTCTGCTGTTGTTGGGTAGAGTATTCTATAAATGCCAATTAAATCCTTTGGCTTATGATGTTGTTGATCTACATCCTTGCAAATTTTCTGTCTGTTGTTATATCAATTGTTGAGAGAAGGGTGTTGAGTCTCCAGTTATAATTGTGGATCTATTTTTCCTTTCCATTCTTTCAATTTTTGTTTCATCTATCTTGCAACTCTGTTACTTGGTATATATACATTTAGAATGGTCACATCTTCTTCATAGATTGACCCTTTTATCACTAAATAATGTCCCTCTCTGTCTCTAATAATTTTCTTTGCTCTGATATCTGCCTTAATTTTAATATGGCCAATCCTGTTTTCCTTTGATTAGTGTTTGCATGATATATCTTTTTCCACTCTTTCACTTCTAATCGGCCTATATCATTATATTTCAAGTGAGTTTACTGAAAATAGCAGACAATTGGATCATGGTTTTTGTTTTGTTTTGTTTTTTTATTGAAACAATCCTGCTCTGTCACCCAGGCTGGAATGAGTACAGTGGCGCGATCTTGGCTCACTGCAACTTCCGTCAGCCTCCTAAGTTTAAGCAATTCTCCCACCTCAGCCTCCCAAGTAGCTGGGATTACAGGGATGAGCCACTGCACCCAGCCTGGATCATGTTTTTTAATCCACTTTACCAATCACTATCTTTTAATTGGTATATTTAGACCATTTACATTTAATGGTATTATTAATATGTTAGGGCTTAGGTCTGCTATTTTATTTTTTGTTTTCTGTTCATTCTCTCTGTTCTTCATTTCTCTGTTTTCTTTTTCTTGCCATCCTTAGGTTACCTATTTTTTAGAATTTCATTTTAATTTATCTATGGTGTTTTTGAGTTATCTCTTTTTACAGCTTCTATAGTGGCTGCTCTAGGTATACATTATTGTGTGTATGTGTGTGTGTGTCTGTATCACAATTTCCCGGTGTCATAATTTTACCAACTCAAGTGAAGTAAACTTATCTCCCTTCATGTCCCTATACCTTCCCCCATTTAAAATATAATTGTAAATAGAAAGTAAGAATAGAGAGACAAAAGTAGGCTTTCAAATAGCTTGGCTGTGAAAAGCAAAGATTAAAGCAAGTGCTGGTGGAATTACAGGTGCTTTTTTGTTGTTGTTGTTGTTTTTTGTTTGATTTTAAAAGGGGAGAGACCTGAGCAAGCCTAACAACTGAGAGGAAAAATGCAGTACAGACAGGTAGAAGGAAAACGAGAAATATGAAGTCACTCATACAGCTAGCTTCCCCGCCCCCACCTTGAGACAGAGTCTTGCTCTTGTTGCCCAGGCTGGAGTGCAATGGCGTGATCTTGGCTCACTGTAACCTCTGCCTCCTGGGTTCAAGTGATTTTCCTGCCTCAGCCTCCTGAGTAGCTGGGATTACAGGTACCCGCCACCACACCTGGCTAATTTTTAGTAGAGACAGAGTTTCACCAAGTTGGCCAGGCTGGTCTCGAACTCCTGACCTCAAGTGATCCACCTGCCTTGGCCTCCCAAAGTGCTGGGATTACAGGCGTCAGCCACTGTGCCCGGCGATACAGCTAGCTTTTAAAAAGAGCTAGGAGGAGAATAGATCCATAATACAAATGAAGACATTACTCAAGCTAAGAAGAGGGGCGCCACTTCCAGTGAGATAGGAAGATGAAAGAAAAGGTTGGGCTTGGGGCAGAAAAATCTGTATGGGGTGTTGGAAGTAGTGAGGGAGGTCCCATTTCTGATATTCTCTTTTTGTATCAAAGGAAGTAAAAATCATCTGCGCTTAGGTTGTAGGAGAAAGTGGTGGGGGAGGATGAAGATTTGATGATGAAAGAGGGTCAAATTTAGTCTTTGAGCAAAATGAGAGAAGAAGCCAATCAGAGAAAAGACCATTCATAATCAGCACTTAAAGCTCTGGCTGATTCTGAAAACATGTAATTGTGTTAACAATAATTTCCAAAATTTTTTTTTGATTTTTTAGTTTTTTTTTAAAATTATTATTATACTTTAAGTTTTAGGGTACATGTGCACAATGTGCAGGTTAGTTACATATGTATACATGTGCCATGCTGGTGCGCTGCACCCACTAACTCGTCATCTAGCATTAGGTATATCTCCCAATGCTATCCCTCCCCCCTCCCCCCTAATTTCCAAATTTTTATAATTTATCCCAGTTGTGTTTTTTATCCTAAATGTAGAAAAAGAAACGGTGAAAGAGTAAACATACACAGGAGGAAGTTTTACAGGGTTGGTTCAAAAGAAGGACAGAGAAACAAAAGAGAAATAGTTAAACAAATACCCCATAACTTTAAGTATACAAGCAAAATATTATTCCTTGTTAAAAATGTGGTTCTACATCAGAGAAATGCCTGCAAAAAAAGGACTGCAGACTTTTTTCTTCTCATATAATGAAAATATTTCCTTTGCATAAAAATAAATGTATTGTGGGGTTTGATTTGGGTTTGTTTAGAACTTAAAAATAGATGTGAATACAGAGATAGTTTGAAATTCTCAACTGTTTAACTCCTGTTCTCTATTCTGGTTTGTCATGGGTCTCTTAACAGTACCTAGAAGGGAGTCTAAAACTCGAAATATTTCCCTCACCATAGAAAATGGCAGTGGAGTTTTAAACTTCTGCAGAAATGCGAACACAAAGATCCCTTATGGCTATGGCACACAGCTCTGAATTGCATTAGTTTTCTAACCATTTCTGCCTAAGATCTTATCACTGATTTCTCCAAGTAGACACTGGGTTCCTAGTGCTTTTGAATTGCAAAGGGCAACTAGAGTGACATTTTGAAAATCACTTATTTAAAAGTCATTTTTCAAAAAAAAAAAAAAAAGTCATTTTTCATCTAGAAAATGTTTATTTCCAAGTGTGCAAAATTGTGAAGATCAGGTTTAATTTTTAGCAATGAAAACATTTTGGCCTAAGTATTCTGAGATGTGGTTTTAAAAATATTGGATAAAACAAGATACATCTGAAGAATTACAGCACTCATTAAATACTGAGTGGTTGAATTGATGGATAGTGTTAAAGGAGCTCCTGAAGCTTGAATTAATGCTAAATCTAAATCTAAACACCCAAAACACCTTTTAATAGTGTCTTCTTCCTTGGTTTCTGATATGTTAGAAAGAAAACTATATGCAAAAATGAGTGTACTATTTCTAAAGATCATTGCTTAAGATGAAATTAAACATTTAGGGCTGAAAAATAAAACGTATGAGTATTACTTTATCCATCAACAGTAACTGCTTACTCCAGAAACATTCTCACTACACAGAAACTGAAAGCATAGCTGAAAATCTGGGCTAATCTCTAGTCTCCCTATTTCACATGAAAAACATTATTACAATACATCATTAGTTTACCCACACTTTTCTTGTGTGAAATAGATCCCTTACATTTAATTTAAATCAAGTAGAATAAGAATTCTCATCAGGCACTTTAAATATTTGACAAAACATAAATAAATGCATATAATTACTGAAAAACTTTACGAAAATGTAAGCAACTAGGAAATCTATTTTCCTTTAAAACAGCAGCCCCCAACCTTTTTGGCACGAGGGATCTGTTTCGTGAAAGATAATTTTTCCACAGACTGGTGGGGACTGGGGAGGGCTTTGGAATGAAACTGTTCCATCTCAGATCAGGCATTAGATTTCATAAGGAGCGTGCAACCTAGATCCCTCACATGTGAAGTTCACAATAGGGTTCATGTTCCTACAAGAATCTAATGCCACCACTGATCTGACAGGAGGCAGAGCTCAGGCGGCAATGCTCACTAGCCTGCCGCTCAGCTCATCTCCTGCTGTGCACCCCACTCCTAAAAGGTCACGAACCAACAGAGGTGTTGGGGACCCCTGCTTTAAAAGAAATTGCTTATTAAATGTTAATAAACAGCTCCATATTCCTAATGGACACTAAAATTATATCTAATTTTTTCTCTTACCTAATTTTACAGGAAAGCCTGGAGGAAGCTTCATCTGAACAAATTCTCTAAGCTTGTTAAAGTGCTTGAAGGGAGCTACTACTTCTAAAACATTCAATAATCTGAAAAATGGAAGAAGAAAAAAATGTTTTCATTGTTCAAATTGCCTTGTGTCCTTATGCTTTTCAACTACATGCTTCAAACCTGGACAGTAGTATTGACTTCCAGATACTAAGGATGAGTAAATTACAGACTTTATTCCTCCTAACTTTTTACTCTATAATGGTTTACAACTTTTGATTGTGCAGCCATAATTTTCACAATTGTTTGATTTTAGGTCCATATTTAGATGGACTCAAAGCTAGTAACTAGATTCACTGTTTGGGTGGCTGATTTCCACTGTCAATTTATTGTGTGTGTAAAAGGCTCTTATGTGCTTAATATTCCTTGATTTCCTGCATATTTGATAAATGATTGCTTCTTATCTTTAAAGGGAAACTTGACTCACATAAAATTTCAGGTTATACTGTCTTTCCTTCTGAACTACAATTTCATAATATCTCTTAGCATTCTATATCATATTAGTCATTATGCTATAATTTCTTTCATCTTTTGGTTGGATGGATTTCTTTTTTAAGTAGTAGCATTTTTCTTTGAAAAAAGTCCTACGACTGCTACGTTTCTTGAATTCTTTTGTGCTTGAGAATATCTTCAGTTGCCTCCATACATAAATTAAAGTTAGAAATACTGACAGATCACACTTTTGTTACTTCAGATAAGTAAAGACATATGAAAAAATGGAAGGCCAGGCTGATTTTATCCCTTTTCTGCCCGGATGCCTTTGGATTTATCAACAACTGAAGCCCAATAGTTTGATCAGGATAATTTTTGTTACTAATCATTCTGTACCAATTTTTCGTGGAACCTAATGTCATCCTATAGATTTAGTTCTTCATTACAGAGAAATTTTCTTCTATCATATTTTGAATATTATTTTGGTTATACTTGGACGCCTTTTAAGTAAAACATGAATGACTCATATTGAACCATTTTTGTCCTCCATATCTATTGCTCATGTAATTTCTTTAATCTCTTCTACTGAATTCACCAAGAGTTGTCAAAATTTAATTTTCAGTTACATCGATTCTGTTCATTATTGTTTCTACTGTATTTGTTTTGTAATAGTGCCATTTAGTGCTCAATTTATTTCCTCAGCTTTACAATCTCCTTTTCATTTCATTTTACTGTCTTATATTCTCATCTCAGAAAGATCTGCTTTACTGATTTCATGTTCTTTCTTGTTTTCTATGGCATTTATAGGTAATTTTCTTTTTTTTTTTTCTGAACTTTTAGAACAAATTATTTGTCTGGCATTTGTATGCTGTGTTCTCTATTTCTTTTTTTTTTTGAGATGGAGTTTCGCTCTTGTTGCCCAGGCTGGAGTGCAATGGCGTGATGTCGGCTCAACGCAAACTCCGCCTCCCGGGTTCAAGTGATTGTCTCAGCCTCCCGAGTAGCTGGGATTACAGGTATGCACCACCACACCCGGCCAATTTTGTATTTTTAATAGAGACGGGGTTTCTCCATGTTGGTCAGGCTGGTCTCAAACTCCCAACCTCAGGTGATCCACCCGCCTCAGCCTCCCAAACTGCCAGGATAACAGGTGTGCACCACCATGTCCGGCTCCTTATTTCATTTTCTTTTTCAAGAGTAGTGGTTATAACTGCCACATTTTATAAATTCTAAGATATTCTTTTTTTTTTTCATGTAACATATCTGAAATTAGGATAACTCCTAAAATTGATGACGTCTTAATATTAGCTGCAGTTTTCTTCTTTATTAGCAAGTAGAATATAAAATTGGTGAATCTTTGGCCAGGTGTGGTGGCTCACATCTGTAATCCCAGCACTTTAAGAGGCCCAGGTGGACAGATCACCTGAGGTCAGGAGTTTGAGACCAGCCTGGCCAACATGGTGAACCCCATCTCTACTAAAAATACAGAAATTATCCAGGCGTGGTAGCACATGCCTGTAGTCCCAGCTAGTTGTCAGGCTGAGTTGGGAGGATCACTTGAACCTGGGAGGCAGAGGTTGCAGTGAGCCGAGATTGTGCCACTGCACTCCAGCCTTGGCAACAGAGTGAGACTCTGTCTCAAAAAATAAATAAATAAATAAATAAATAAATAAATAAAATAATAAAATAAAATTGGTGCATCGAGTCAACTGGGTCCTAGATATGACAAATTTTGGCAGATGTGTAGGTGTGGCTAACTCTCCACATTTTCTGAGACTTATCTCTCTCTGACATAACTTGAGGGCTGTATAGAACAATCTATCTACTTATCTAAAGCCTAGATATGGGTAAAGCTCAGGTATGTATGTACTTTTTAAAAATATATGCACCCTGCTCTCTTCTCCGATCATTTTTAAAAAATGTATTAGGCCGTTAAAAAAAATTAATGCATTAGGCCAGATTTGAAAGGGAAGGAACTAGTAAGAGAAAATCGCCCAGTGCTTCATCTCCTCCCTCCCACTTTAGTGAGGAGCCTAAAACTATAGTTGTATCAGTCAGCTCTTGCTACCCATCTCTCATTCCAGCCATCTCTCCAAATAGAGTATTTTTAAAAAGGAGCATCCAATGAGTACATGTTGGAGAGGATATATTCAATATGTTTACCACAATATTGTTGAAAATGGTGACAAACTACAAATAATCAAAATGTTTATCAGTAGATGAATGATAAACAACAGTATATCAACACTACAAAATAACAAGGAAAAAGAATAGACGAAAATATAATCACTGTAAAACTTCAAGACACACTCATTTTTTCTTTTTTCTTTTTTTTTTTGAGACGGACTCTCCAGGCTGGAGTGCAGTGGCACGATCTTGACTCACTGCAACCTCTGCCTCCTTGGTTCAAGCGATTCTCCTGCCTCAGCCTCCCTAGTTGCTGGGATTAGAGGCACATGCCATATGCCCAGCTAGTTTTTGTATTTTTAGTAGAGATAGGGTTTCACCACGTTGGCCAGGCAGATCTCAAACTCCTGACCTCAGATGATCCGCCCACCTTGGCCTCCCAAAGTACTGGGATTACAGGCATGAGCCACCACGCCCAGCCAAGACACACTCACTTTTAAATGAAAACAAGGAACACACAGAAGAAAACGTGAACCATTCCCCCATTTTTATTTTAAAAAATGCAAAAACACGGATAACTCTAGACAAAAATACAATAGTCATTAACTATTGATGTGTTAAAATAACACATTTTATTCTGTAAATTTCCATACTTTTGGATTTTTTTAAAACAAGCATGTATTCACGTATTACTTTTTATAATTTAAAAACCTACTCGGCTGGGCGTGGTGGCTCACGCCTGTAATCCCAGCACTTTGGGAGGCTGAGGTGGGTGGATCACCTGAGGTCAGGAGTTTGATGCCAGCCTGGCCAACATGGCGAAACCTCATCTCTACTAAAAATACAAAAATTAGCCGGGCGTGGTGGTGGGCACCTATAATCCCAGCTACTCAGGAGGCTGAGGCAGGAGAATTGCTTGAACCTGGGAGGTGGAGGTTGTGGTGAGCCAAGATCGCGCCACTGCACTCCAGCCTGGGTGACAGAGCAAGACTCCATCTCAAAAAAAAAAAAAAAAAAAAAAAGAAAGAAAGAAAATCTACTCAAAAATTTATCTGGTGAAAGTAGTAAAAATCAATACTTTTGCGAACCAGAAAAGTTCTAGAACAGTGCACACACTATCAAGGCAATGGCTATTTGCTTTTCATTTCAAAGGTCTCAAATGCACCACTGGGGTGCAAATATTATTACAGCCTTTAGGGTTTAATAGTTTCTTTCATAAACATTTGTAGTTAGTAACAAACTTACAACTCTATCCCTAAGGGAAATTCCTGGCTCATGGCTATCGTAGCTTTAAACGTTTTCTTACTCTCTTTGCACACCAATTCTCTACCCAGATGAGGAGCTCTAAAATGGGAGGAAAAAAAATGTTAGGAAACTTTTTCCATAGTCTATCACCTTCCTAAGAAGCATCTGTCATCTTTCAATGACATTCATTAATATTTCAATTTTTCTTACTCTGTCTACAGAAATAAAGTTATGCTAAAAGGGAATAAGATATGTATAAGAAATTAAGACAAGGGCAATAAAAAAGAATAGCAAAGAGTAAAAGTTCAGAAATTATTAGATCTAAACTAATTTCACATTGAATATAATTTTAATAACCACTATTTTTAGGAATAAAGAAAATCATTAGTAAAAAAATTTTTAAGGTATTATTGTATATCTTTAAAGTCACTTATTCAATTCAATCTTCTTTACTGTCTATTACAGCCTCTGCATTGATCAATAAGAAATATTGTGAAGAATAAGGAATTCTATATTAACTATTATCAAAAGAAAATTATCAATGTAGCATAAAGATCTAATTGGCTTTTATTTGCAACTCTAGCACAGGACAATACCTAATTCTGTAAAATAGAATGAGCGTTCCAATAAGCTGAAAAGAGGAGGTTATCTTTATAGACTGAAAAGGCTGAAGTGGAAACGGTGGGGAAAAAAGGTGATCTGGTTATTTCAAAGTTGCTTTCCTTATACAGTTAAAAAAACAGAAGACTTAGTTACTATGTTGACTCAGGTTGCCTGGAATGTCCTTTTTTTTTTTTCATTTTAAACTGGCCCATTTCAAAGTTCAGTTTAATTATGTAGTACTTAGCAGAAGTAACTACATTCTGGTTTGGTATGGTCTGCTGGTGCCTAGTGCATGCAGGAGGCTAATCTAATACAATAATACCCTCATAAATTTTGTTTAGCACCATAAAATATTAAGGTCAGGCGCAGTGGCTCATAGCTGTAATCCCAGCATTTGGGAGGCCGAGGCAGGTGGATCATTTGAGCCCATGAGTTTGAGACCAGCCTGGCCAATATGGTGAAACCCTGTCTCTACTAAAAATACAAAAATTAGCTGGGCATGGTGGAGCGCACCTGTATTCCCAGCCACTCGAGAGGCTGAGGTGAGAAAATGGCTTGAACCTGGGAGGCGGAGGTTGCAGTGAGCTGAGATCACGCCCACTGCACTCCAGCCTGGGCGACAGAGCAAGACTCCATCTCAAAAAAAAAAAAAAAAAAAAACTATAAAAATATTAAGATGGAAACATCTTGGAGAATTCAGAAAAATATAACAAAACTTTCAATAAGAAAAAAAAATGACAACTTCTTCCTAAACAGGAGCAGGAAAGCAATATTTTATATTTTATTCTCCACCAAAAGGAAATAATGGTTGGCCAGGATACACTTTTTACTTATCTATTTATTAAAAATAAACCCTTTCTTTATTCATTCATCATTCTTTTAGTCAATAAATATAAACTGAGTATGAGCTATGTGGTAGGCACTCTACTGTTAGTAATATTACATCAGCAAAGGTCCTATGGAAGGACAGTGAGAAGTAGTCTAGCATAGGTTGAAACTAAAGGATAATGACAGGTGAGGAGCTTGGAAAGGCAAAAAGAAGATAAATAATGAATGGGCTTGCACACTATGCTAAAAAATCAGGATAATCACAAAATAGAAAAGCTCATCATACAATGGGAAATCTCAAATAAGCAACTGTCCTGCGCAATTTCCTATATCATATTTCCTTAGAACAGTGTCTTTTAGTTTTTTAGGTGTGTATAAATTGACAGGATGGATACAGAAAGATCTACAACCATTTGCAAAGAGGGTACATAATTTGGGACACTTTGCCCTTATCATATTTAATCCATATTTTTAAAAGGTAGAAGAATTGCTTCAGTCAAAAATATACCAATAATTCTCTCCAAAATAATTTACGCCAAAATATTCACATATTCAGTTTTTACAAATTATTCTTTCTAAAAACCAAATAACACATAAACAAGAAAAAAACTTACTTTCCATTTTCAGCAGATATATATTCTTCCCATGTAATAGTGTTCTGAGGAGGAGGTGTAAGAGACTGTCTTCGAATCGGCTGCCAAAAAAAAAAAAGAAAGAAAGTGGGGTGGGGGAGAAAGAAAGATGTTATTTTTTAAATATAAGATTAAAATACATCGTAAACTATTAAAACTAACAATCTACTTAATCTCTTCAATATAATACTTGAAAAGGTTCCTTCCAAGATCGTTCCATGGTGGTTTAAGCTCTATTGGTAATATTTATTATCAATTTTTTTTTAAATCCCAAAAAGACAAATATCAAAATAATAACACCCATTCAGTCAATGCTTCAATCATCTAAAATGTTCCTGTCATTATACTAGCTGCTGAACATGGAACTACAGAGAAGTGTAAAAACTAACTCTGGGCCAGGCATAGTGGCTCATGCCGGTAATCCCAGCACTTTGGGAGGCCAAGGCGGGTGGATCACGAGGTCAGGAGTTCAAGATCAGCTTAGCCAAGATGGTGAAACCCCGTCTTTACTAAAAATGCAAAAGAATTATCCGGGCGTGATGGTGAGTGCCTGTAATCCCAGCTACTCAGGAGGCTGAGGCAGAGAATTGCTTGAATCTAGGAGGTGGAGGTTGCAGTGAGCCGAGATCGTGCCACTGCACTCCAGCCTGGGTGACAGAAGCAGACTCCACCTCAAAAAAAAAAAAAACAAAACTCTGATTCAAGGAATTTACAATTCAGTTGGAAAGAAAAAAAAAATACAGACATGAACAGTTAACCAGAAATATAAAAGAGCATATTATTAAAGGCCAAATGAGATTATAGAAAATAGAAAATATATGAGAAAAGATAGCAATCTTCTGTGGGTAAAGATCAAGACTATGCAATTGGACTTCAGATTTAAATGAAGATGAAACAGAGTGTTTTTAAAACAGAGAAAATTAAAGGTAAAAAACACAAGAAGACTGATTTAAACTCAGATGGGAAGTTCAAAACGGAGATCAACAGTAGATGGTAAAAATCGCAAAGGTCAGATTTTAAAACTTTCACCCTATCTTTGCTAAATATGAATTTCAATCACTATAAGATGAACTGGCAATAAGGAACTAAACTCTGGAGCAGAAAAGGAAATTGGAAATTCCTGGGCCAGGTGCAGTGGCTCATGCCTGTAATCCCAATACTTCGGGAGACAAAGACAGGAGAATCACTTGAGCCCATGAGTTTGAGACCAGCCTAGGCAACATAATGAGGCTCTGTTTCTTAAAAAAAAAAAAAAAATTAGCTGAGTGTGGTGGTGCGTGCCTGTGGTCTCAGCTGCTTGAAAAGCTGAGGCGGGAGGATCACTTGAGACCAGGAAGTTGATGCTGCAGTAAGCCATGATTATGCCACTGCACTCCAGCCTGGGTAACAAAGTAAGACCCTGCCTCACAGAAAAAAAAAAAAAGAACTGGCCAGGCGTGGTGGCTCATGCCTGTAATCCTAGCACTTCGGGAGGTCAAGGCAGGTGGATCACTTGAGGTGAGGGGTTCAAGACCAGCCTGGCCTATATGGTGAAACCCCATCTCTACTAAAAATACAAAAATTAGCCAGGCGTAGTGGCTCGCACCTGTAATCCTAGCCACTCAGGAAGCTGAGGCAGGAGAATCACCTGAACCCAGGAGGCAGAGATTGCAGTGACCTGAGATCACACCACTGCACTCCATGACCCAAGATCACACCACTGCACTCCAGCCTGGGAAACAGAGCGACTCTATGTCTCAAGAAAACAAAACAAAACAAAAACCTCATAAATTAAAAAAAAATTTTTTTTCAATTGCTAATGAAAACCTAACAGGACTATGGAGCAAAAAGACAATAAGTGAAAGACTAATATGAATAATAAGATGTTAATAACATTGAGAGGGTCTCATTCAAGAAATGTGGTTTTACATATAATTAGTGTAAGATGTTAATGAGCCATATATTAGAGTTGTTAAAATCAAGGATTGCTAAGACACAAAATTGAGTTAGAATCCCAGCTCCAATACCTGGTAGTTGTGTGAATTTGGGCAAGTTACTTTCTATTATGTCAACTTAACTCACTTGCAAAATGGGAATTGGGCCACTAACTCATAGTTAAAAATTAATGGAGATAACGTATATAAAAAACTTAGTGCAGGTCAGGTGTGGTGCCTCATGCCTATAATCCTGGCACTTTGGGAGGCCAAGGCAGGTTGATCCCTTGAGCTCAGGAGTTTGAGACTAGCCTGGGCAGCATGGCAAAACCCCATCTCTACAAAAAATACAAAAAAAAAAAGTAGCCAGGCATGGTGGCACACATCTGTGGTCCCAGCTACTTGAAGGGCCAAGGTGGGAGGATTCCTTGAGCCCAGGACATGGAGGCTGCAGTGAGCCGAGATCATGCCACTGCACTCCGGCCTACAGGACAGAACATGACTCTGTCTCAAAAGAAATTAAAAAAGAGAGAGAGAGAGGGAAGCAGTAAATGGAGGAAAAGCTTTTTCTCTACCCTCCGTTTTCTGCCGAACTACAGAGTATAAATTTTGCTTCACTGGAGATAACTCTATACTCTTACTAGCCCAGTGACAGCACCAGAGGAATTTGCAAACAAACCTTACTCCTTTCCTGTCCTTGGAAACCTAAAATCACTTTCATTTGTCCTGTCATTTCTCTATAAATTTATTGTTCTTTGTTGAAGATGCTATATAAGTAGAGTTCTAAGCCACTATTTTGAGCTACTTTTTTTTTTTTTTTTTTTTTTTGAGACATAGTCTTGCTCTGTTACCCAGGCTGGAGTGCAGTGGCACAATCTCGGTTCACTGCAACCTCCGCCTCCCAGGTTCAAGCAATATTTCTGCCTCAGCCTCCTGAGTTGGGATTACAGGTGTGCATCATCAAGCCCAGCTAATTTTTGTATTTTTAATAGAGATGGGGTTTCACCATGTTGGCTGGGCTGGTCTCAAACTCCTGGCCTCAAGTGATCTGCCCAACTCAGCCTCCCAAAGTGCTGGGATTACAGGCATAAGCCACTGTGATCAGCCCTTGAGTTACTTTTCCTTGGGGTTTCTTGTGTGGTGTGCGGCACGCATTAATAAACTTGTTTGCTTTTCCCTTATAAATCTGTCTTTTGGTACGAGAGTCCATCTCAACTAAGAACTAAGTTTGGAAGAGGTAAAGTTTAGTTTCCCTTATGGTATAATGGAGGCCAAAAGAAAAGACTGTTTCAATATCACACTACAGAGACTTTGAAGAGAAAGAAGCCTGAAAAAGCCATAAATTTTGTTGGTTAGAAGTCATTGATGATCTCTGAGTAGCAGCCGAGGGATGTG
The DNA here is from genome assembly GCF_000001405.40 of Homo sapiens. Taxonomy (NCBI): domain Eukaryota; kingdom Metazoa; phylum Chordata; class Mammalia; order Primates; family Hominidae; genus Homo; species Homo sapiens. The sequence goes on from NC_000001.11 coordinate 70,280,091, forward strand.
GAAAGAAAGGAAACAGAGTTTTTTAGTATCAGGCAAGATGAAAGACAATGTTCTTTCCTTGAGAAGCTTATCAAGAGACACAAAAAGTAAATACTTATAATTGAGGGTGACAGGGGCTATGATATAATTGAGGGTGACAGGGGCTACAGAATGATATAAACATGCACAGAAGAGGTTTATGACAGACTAGGGTAGCCAAAAGACGTGGACTGGTTGACTCCTGAATTGAGGAGTCTAAAAAAGAACAAAAGAACTGGTTGAAGGAACTGGGGAAAGCAGAATGGTGAGAGAAAGCATGACATACTGGGAAATTGCAAGTGTAGTGTGTCTAGTTGTATGAGTAGTATACATGAAGATTAGTAGTAAGAGAAAAGTGGCCAGACACAGAAGAGAAAAAGTAGCCTGAAAGGGTTTTACATATGAAGTAGATCACATTTTACTCAGGAAGCAATGGACAAATATTTTGAGCAATACAATATAGTAGCTAAAACACCAACTGTGGAGCCAGAGTGATCCAATTCTGGCTTCGACAATGACTAGCTGACTTCAAACAAATTACTCAACCTCTTTTGCCTCAGTTCTGTCAACTATATAACCTCAGAGGGTTTACTGTGATGATAAAAATGGGCTGTTAAATGTAAAGTGCTTAAAATAGTGCCTCACGCATAGCAAGTACTGTATACATTTTAGTTACTGAGCATAGCCATTACATGATTCAATCTATTTCAGGGTGATTACTCTGGTGGCAGTGTATTTAGGAAGCTATCTCAGTAATCCAAATGAGAAATGATAAGGGCATGTTGTTTAAAAATGGAAGGACAGAAAATAGACTAAATAGACTCAAGAGATCCTTAGGATTTTGTGATTGATCAGATATAGAGATAACAGGAAAGCTAAGAAGTCTAAGAAGAAATTTCAGGTTGCCAGCTGGGGTAAATAAGGAGATAATGGTGTTACTACCTAAGACAGAGAAAAGAGGAAGGAGGGAAGAAAGCATTATCTGATTTAGACACACTAAATTTTAGACATCTATGTTTATCCAAGTAGAGGTAGGCAAAAGCACTATAGATGTGGTGATATGACGGAAGAATAGAGTTAAAGGTATATATCTGGTTGACAGTTACCAGTGTTTATGTACTCACTGATGAGATGTCAGAGATTGCTAGTTGTCTCCCCAGTATCTGTTCTCCCATTAGTCTTTGTGAAAGAACCTCTCTTCCAAATTTTTGGATGAGCACATGACTTCCTAGAATAGACTCCTTTTCTAGAAATCCTTGCAGCTAGGTGTTATCATGTGACTAAATTCTTTTTTTTTTTTTTTTTTTTTTTTGAGACAGGGTCTTGCTCTGTCACCTACACTGGAGTGCAGTAACTCAATCACACCAAACTGCAGCCATGACCTCCTGGACTCAAGTGATCCTCCCACCCCAGCCTCCTGAGGAGCTGGGACTACAGATGCATGCCACCATGTTCAGCTTGTTTTTACTTTTTTTTTGTAGAGACAGAGTCTCACTATGTTGCCCAGGCTGGTCTTGAACTCCTGAGCTCAAGCAATCCTCCCACCTTGGCCTCCCAAAGTGCTGGGATTACAGGCATGAGTCACCATGCCCGGGTTAAATTCTAACCAATGGAATGTGAGCAGAGTGATGTGTACAACTTCAGAATGGGCTCTCAAACAGAATAGGAATGCCTTCTCCTTTCTAATTAGCACTTTGGGAGGCCAAGGCGGGCAGATCACCTGAGGTCAGGAGTTCGACACCAGCCTGGCCAACATGGTGAAACCCCGTCTCTACTAACTACTCAAGAGGCTGAGGCAGGAGAATCGCTTGAACCCAGGAGGCAGAGGTTGCAGTGAGCTGAGGTCATGCCACTGCACTCCAGTATGGGCAACAGAGGGAGACTCCATCTCAAAAAAAAGAATTACTATTCCTGCTGGCTGGAATATGAAACTGGTACATATCATCTTTTTTTTTTTTTTTTTTGAGATGGAGTCTCGCTCTGTCACCCAGGCTGGAGTGTAGTAGCGCGATCTCGGCTCACTGCAAGCTCTGCCTCCCAGGTTCATGCCATTCTCCTGCCTCAGCCTCCTGACTAGCTGGGACTACAGGTGTCCACCACCACGCCCGGCTAATTTTTTGTATTTTTTAGTAGGGACGGGGTTTCACCATGTTAGCCAGGCTGGTCTCGATCTCCTGACCTCGTGATTTGCCCGCCTCAGCCTCCCAAAGTGCTGGGATTACAGACATGAGACACCGCGCCCGGCAATATAAATCATCTTATACCATGTGGATGCAAGGCCACATCCTAGGAATGGCAGAGAAGACAAAAGAAAAAAAGTTGTCTGGGATTAACCCACAGAGCAGAGAAAAACCACACAAACTCAGATTTTTACATGAGAGAAAAATAATCTTTTATCTTGTTTAAGTCACTGTTCTTTTGAGATTTCTTATAAGCAGCCAAACTTACATCATAACCAATACCAAATTCCAAATTTACAGTGGGAGATTATACATAATACTATGACATGTAGCAATGGCTTATCAGTAGAATGACGAAGAGGCTTAAAAGCTAGTTAATGACCCTCACAAATGCTGTGGCAAAACATTAGGTAAAATAGTATCTAGTGATATGCTAGAAAGCAGAGAGACATGCGTTTAATAGAACCTTTAATTTTAGGGGAAACCGCTGGAAACGTTTAAGATTGCTGCTCCAACCTAGAACCACAGCAAAGACTAATCCCATACCCACTGAAATCTCTATCTATTAATATTTTAAATATTATATATAACATTTTCATGGTAAAGACACATTTGTCATATGATTAGATAACATGGCATGTCACATCATTATATTTTTTCAGGTAATAACTTTTCCAAGTAAGTTTCTACCATTTCCAAATAAATTCTTTCTAAACAGTACATTATACATTCCCCATCTTAGTAAAGACTGTAATCAATGTAATTTAACCTTTTATTGAGCACTTTATCTCATCATTATAAATATCAATTATCATATTCTAAAAATGTCTTTCTAGTTTAAGTTTAAATTAGTCCTTTATTTTTTTCAAGGAATCCCAAATAGATTCAAAGTCCTTTATTATATACTGACACTTCTTGCTGAATCCTTCAGTGCCTCCTCTATACTGATGCCATGGCTATCTAATGAAACAGGAAGACATAAAGGTTGGTGCAATACCAGATAACTCTTTAAGTTATTTTGCCAAATCAATTGGCTCTGTAATTGAAATGCCTTCAAGCCTTTCCCTCATAATTAAATGTAAAACTTCTGATGACTATTTTCCTTGAAGCATATAGGAAATACTTTATTTCTAGGTTTGTTATTATTCTAATATTTTATATGGCAAAGCTTTCTGAAAGTTTAAGATATTCATGTATTTTATTATGTATTCCTCTTTAGATTTTTAAATAAAGAAAAAAAAATCCATGCCGGGTGCGGTGGCTCACACCTGTAATCCCAGCACTTTAGGAGGTCGAGGCGGGTGGATCCTGAGGTCAGGAGTTCGAGACCAGCCTGACCAACATGATGAAACCCCGTCTCTACTAAAAATACAAAAATTAGCCGGGTGTGGTGCCCGTAATCCCAGCTACTCAGGAGGCTGAGGCAGGAGAATTGCTTGGAGCCGGGAGACGGAGGTTGCAGTGAGCTGAGATCACGCCATTGCACTCCAGCCTGGGCAACAGAGCAAGAGCGAGACTCCATCTCAAAAAAGAAAAAAAAAATCCATAATCATGAATAGGGCTTAACTCAATATTCTGAACATATAGTTGGCACAGTATAAGTGCTTTTATCAATGACTCTAAGGTATAAACGGAGCATTGTTCCCTACTCCAATGATAACTGGTTACAACAAGGAGCTAAAAATACAAGAACAAGTACCCATGATTTAAGAATTTCTGAGCACTTAAATTTTGCTATCAAAAATTCTGTCAAAAATATATACTAAATACTAGAACCACATCTGGGAAGGAAGAGAAAAAAAAGCAGAAGAGGCACAGTAAAAGTAATCAAATGGCAAATAATTCCTTCTGAATACTACCTATAAGCCATTTCTTGCAGAAATTGAAATAAAATTTTGGCTGGGGATGGGGGACAAGAAGAAACCCAAAAGCTATTTATTTATAATAAAGCATATAAATTCATTCCAAAAAGGAATAGACATTTATTTTTAAGAATGGAAATTCTATTAAAACATGGCTTTAAAATATATAATTTTAATGTATTTTGAAAAAAATAAGAAATCATATATATTTTCTAGATTTTTGAAACTTTAATAATTCTCCAAAATCAAAAATATATTTTTTACTATTATGTGCTCTACTAGTTTTTACTACATTTACCAATAACATATTCCCAGGATTATTTCTTAAGGTTTTCCCCACTCTTTCCTGACTTCAACTTCCCAGTATTTTGAAAGAATTGCTAAGACGTGTTAATACCTGAATATACAGAAAGAAGAAACTATAACAAAGACAGACTAAGAAGCAAAGAACTTACAGCAAGAACAGGCTTGCAGTCAGGTTCCTAACATAAAAGTCCATCTCTGCTTCTCTATCTTCGTAACTCAGACAAATTAACTTACTTAAACCTCAATTTCTTTTTTATAAAATGGGCAATGGCACTCACCTCTTTAGGTCATTACAATAACTAAACCAGATAATATATGGAAAGTACTTAGTACAAGGCCCATGCTAACAACTTCAATGTTTTAAGCCAATATCAATAAGAAAGAAAACTTTGTTGAGGTGTATATGAATTCAGTTTTCATTCCTGTTGTTTTCTTTTTTTAGCCAGCTACGAAAGACATCCAATAAATGTCATTTTTAACCTGCAGAAGCTGAAATTGAGCTTATGGCACTCAACTCAGAATAGGCCACTGGAGAATCCTTCATTACTCTCTGATAAAATATAATGCTTTCCACACAACTGTCATTAATTAAATACATCTGAGTTACTAACCTACAATTCACTGTGACTTGAAAATTAATATAGCACATGTCTATTTCTACACTTGATTTGTTCTTATATTGTCAGCTGTGACCTTGAAAGCATCAATTTTCAATACTGATTTATAATGTCTTTTTTTTTTTTTTTTTTTTTTTGAGATGGAGTCTCACTCTGTTGCCCAGGCTGGAGTGCAGTAGCATGATCTCGGCTCACTGCCACCTCTGCCCCCTGGGTTCAAGCAATTCTCCTGCCTCAGCCTCCTGAGTAGCTGGGATTACAGGCACGCACTACCATGCCCACGAATTTTATTTGTATATTTAGTTGATATGGGGTTTCACCACGTTGGCCAGGCTGGTCTCGAATTCCTGACCTCAAGTGATCCGGTCGCCTCAGCCTCACAAAGTGCTGGGATTACAGGCGTAAGCCACTGCACCCAGCTATAATGACTTTTAAAACTTTAAATTTTCAAATCTAGTTCACCATTAAAATGGAAATGTCTCTTGAATTTATTTGATAGGTCTCTCCTCTTTCACCCCCTGTTGTTTAACCTCACATTAAATAATAGAGTTAAACACTTTTTTTTTTTTTTTTTTGAGACAGAGTCTCGCTCTGTCACCCAGGCTGCAGTAGGGTGGAGTGATCTCAGCTCACTGCAACCTCTGCCTCCCAGGCTCAAGCAATTCTGCCTCAGCCTCCAGAGTAGCTGGAATTACAGCGTGCCACCACACCTAGCTAATTTTTATATTTTCAGTAGAGACAGGGTTTCAGCATGTTGGTTAAGCTGGTCTCGAACTCCTGACCTCAAGTGATCTGCCTGCCACCACCGTGCCGGCCAAGTTAAACTTATATATACCTTTCTTAAAAAGCTTATTGTGCAGGCTTAAAAGAACTGTACTTCTAAAATTATAAACAAAATACATACAAACATTTATTTTCTTCTTTAATGACCACTATTATATATATATAAACTGCTAACAGTTCCATGCTGCTTTCCAGGTGTTAAATTCTGTGTCTGTGTCTAAGAGAAAAAACAACACACAGCTACCAGTATCTTTCTATAATTACACCTATCAATTCTATTTTGTTGTTCTTGCATCCTATACCTTACCTAATTAAACCAAATCAAATTATATGTATTGATGAATATCTGATAGAATTACTATTAATATTTTCTTTAAATTTCTTCTAAAAAGATTTATAATTGAACTCTGAGAATATTCTCAAATGCAATTCTTCGATTCCTCCTTATCAAAAGTCCAAATAACATATAAAAAGGCACATTTTCTTCATTCTAAAAAAATTTAAAATATAATCTTAAAAGGATTACTATGCTGACAAATAACAACAAAATCTTGGTTCCTAGTAATTATTAAATGACTTAAGTCAGGTTGAAAAATAAGACTAATTTTTTTTTAAAAAATTAATGTTAGTATAAAAAAGTCCCTTCCAAGATCAAGAAAAAGCCATGTGCACCTGCTCATACCATTTTTATTCACTATTATACTGGTGTTACTTCCCAGTACAGTGAGGTAAGAAAAACAAATAAAAGAAATAAGAACAGGCAAGAGAAAAGTAAAACTATCTTTATTATCTGATGACATAAGCATTTGTAGAAAATCCTAAGTAATATACAAAAGACTACAGAATAGGCCAGGCACGGTGGCTCATGCCTATAATCCCAGCACTTTAGGAGGTCGAGGCAGGCAGATGACCTGAGGTCAGGAGTTCTAGACCAGCCTGGCCAACATGGCGAAACCCTGTCTCCACTAAAAATACAAAAACTAGCCGGGCGTGGTGGTGGGTACCTGTAATCTCAGCTACTCCGGAGGCTGAGGCGGGAGAATTGCTTGAACATGGCAGGCAGAGTTGCAGTGAGCTGAGATCGTGCCACTGCACTCCAGCCTGGGGGATAGAACGAGACTCTGTCTCCAAGAAAACAAAAAATAAAAATAAAATAAAGACTATAGAATATATAAACATAGAAATATAAAAATTACATTTATTTCTATGTATAAAAACAAACTGGAAATGAAATTTAAAGATAATCTTTTATGATAGTCTCAAAAATATTAAAAATTTACACGATAAATTTAATAAAATATATGTAAGATTTATACCCTGAACACTTCTGAGAGAAATTATAGAGAATCTAAATAAATGAAGAGATGCACCATGTTCATCAAACAGAAGATTCAATATTGTTAAGATATCAAGTCTCACCGAATTGATCTATAGATTCAACACCATCCCTATACAAATCTCAGCAGGCAATACAATGGAGGAGGAACAGACTTCTCAAAAAATGATACTGGAGCAACTGGGCATCCAAGGCAAAAAAAAAATAAATAAACCTTTGACCTAAACCTCATGCTTTCCACAAAATTAACTCAAAATGGTCATTTCCTTAAATGTAAAATATAAAGATATAAAACTTTTAGAAAAAAACACAGGAGAAAATTCTAGGAACCTGGAGCTAGGCAAAAAGTTCTCAGATTTGGCATGTGACATAAGATAAAAAATGATAAATTCGATGTCATCAAAATGATAAACTTTTTTTCAATGAAAGCCCACTTTGAGAAGATGAAAAGACAAGCTGTGGAGTGAGAGGAAATATTTGCAAAACACCTATCTGATGAAGAATTAACATCTAGAAAATATAAAGAACTTTGGGCCAGGCATAATGGCTCATGCCTATAATCCCAGCACTTTGGGAAGCTGAGGTAGGAGGATCCCTTGAGCCCAGGAGTTTGAGACCAGTCTGGGCAACATGGTGAGACCTTGTCTCTACAAAAAAATAAAAAATAAAAATAAAAAGTTAACTGGGCATGGTGATGCATGCGTGTAATCTCAGCTACTTAGGAGACTGAGTGGGAGGATTATTTGAGTTGAGGCGGTCAAGGCTGCAGTGAACCAAGATCGTGCCACTGCACTCCTGGTCTGACCAAAACAGTGAGACCATGTCTCAGAAACAACAACTTTGAAAACTCAACAGTAATGAAAAAAAGAAAATCCAATTAGGAAAAGAGCAAAAGGCATGAAGAGACATGCTACAGAAGAGGATATACAGATAGCAAATAAGCCATGAAGAGATGACCATTCAATATCATTAGCCATTAGGAAAATGCAATTAAATCAAAATGGGATAGCATTGAACACTACAGAATGAGTAACATAGAAAATAATGACAATACCAAAAGCTGGCAAGGATGTAGAAAAACTGGATCATTCATACACTGCTGATGGGAATGTAAAATGAAAAACACTTTGGCAGTCTCTTACAAAACTAAACATTCAGCTAACTACCATATGACATAGAAACTGCACTCTTGGGCATTTATCCCAGAGAAATGAAGACTTATATTACATTCATACAAAAACTTATATGTGAATGTTTTTTGCAGCTTAATTCATTATGGCCCAAAACAACCCAGATGTTCTTCAACATGTGAATGGTTAAACAAACTGTGGTACACTAATACCATGAAATACTACTCAACAAAAAAAGAACAAACTATTGATACATACAACTTAGATAAATCACCAGGGAATTATGCTAAGTGAAAAAAGAAAAGCCAATTTCAAAAGGCTAAGTACTATATGATTCCATTTATAGAACATCCTTGAAACAGCAACACTAAAGAAATGGAAGAACAGATTAGTGATTGCCAGGCATAAGGGACAGAGAGAGGCTAAGGGGGCAGCAAATGTGCCTATAAAAGAGGTACATGAGGGATCGTATGGTGGTAGACATCTTCTGTGTCTTGACTACAAATGCCAATATCCTCGCCATGATACTGTTCTATACCTTGGTAAGACGTTACCACTGGGGGAAACTGGGTGAGGCATACATGGAATCCCTGTATGATTTCATACAACTGTATGTGAATTTACAATATTTCAAAATAAAAAGCTTAATTTAAAAAAATCCAAACAGGCTTTTATGTTGAAATTGATTTATCTACAGATTCAACATTATCCCAATCAAAATCCCACCACGTTTTTTATCTTTTGTAGAAAGTGACAAATTGAATTTAAATATTCATCAACTATAAAGTTCAAAATCCTATGGTTTATATGGGAAGTGTTTCCTTTAATTTCTGATTAGAAGTTGAAAGCTTAATTATTTAATTTAAGTAATATTAGTTTGTTCCATTATGTAGCTATCTGGCATTAAACTATGTTTTAATTTCAACTTGCAAAGTACGGCTGCTTAAAATGCTACTTAAAGACCTCTTTAACTATTCAAATACATCCGGTTACAACCTCTGCCCTTAAGAAAATCAAGTTGTCTATCGTAAGTTTAAATGTACATAAATCAGACCAGAAGAGGCAACTGGCAAACAGTCCATGAAACAGCATTCTATAAAGTCTTATTTCCATATACTTATCCCAAATTAGTTTGTTGCCCAAATTATTATTTTTTTTTTTTGAGACAGTCTTGCTCTGTCACCCAGGCTGGAGTGCAGTGGCACGATCTCCGCTCACTGCAAGCTCTGCCTCCCGGGGGTTCACGCCATTTTTCTGCCTCAGCCTCCTGAGTAGCTGGGACTACAGGCGCCCGCCACCACGCCCGGCTAATTTTTTTTTTTTTTTTGTATTTTTAGTAGAGACGGGGTTTCACCATGTTAGCCAGGATGGTCTCAATCTCCTGACCTCGTGATCCACCCACCTCGGCTTCCCAAAGTGCTGGAATTATAGGCCTGAGCCACCGCGCCCAGCCTGTGTTGCCCAAATTTTTAAAAAAGTAGCATTAACCACCAACACAACAAAATCACTTTTTTCAAAATAACTCTAATAAAATTTAAATCACAATATAAGTCCAAAGAGATGGCCTTTTGTCTGGCCAACAATGGGAGAAGACAGCAGCCCTGTCAAAGACTGAGCTCAGCATTCCCGCTATTAATTCATCTCCATTTCTATTTCCTGAGTGCATTTTGTCAAGTATTTCCTACTGACTGAGAGATCAGTAAATACTAGCAGGCTCCTGGAAAAATGAAGTCTGGTGAAGCTTTATCCCAAAGTCAGAAGAAAAATTAGGAGCACAAATGAGATGTGGCAGGAAGGGGATAGGATCACACTAAAGTGGCATGATCACAATTTTAAACATTTTACATAATGTACTCAACTAAACTATGGCTGATTCACTCAATATATGATCTTTCTAAATATTAAAATGTTTTACTGACAAACATAGTATTACCATGAATTAGTTGAAACCTGGCATACTATTCTGGAAACTTTGACCATCACTAAAACATAGAATCCAGGACAATACTATAGGGAAAGGACTAAACATTCCAGCAATTCAAGCCTCTTTGTAGTATGTAGTAGCCTTTTAACCTTTTTATAACTGTGACTCACAATTTATATTACAATCCGGCACTCACACATATGCATGTTTATACAACACACACAATCTTGAAACTATTGTTTCATGAAGTAGTAATGACTCTCAGTATGTGTAATGTGCTCTGATTTTTCTCCTTTTTTTTTTTTTTGTGACAGGATCTCACTGTGTCACCCAGGCTGGAATGCAGTGGCAGTGGCATGATTATAGCTCATTGTAGCCTCAGTCTCCCGGGCTCAAGTGATCATCCTGCCTCAGCCTCCCAAGTAGTTGGAACTATAGGCTCATGCCACTGCGCACAGCTGATTTTTAATTTTTTAATTTTTTATTTTTTTAGTAGAGGCAGGGTCTTGCTCTGTTGCCCAGGCTGGTTTCCACCTCCTGGACTCAAGCAATCCTCCCACCTTGGCCTCCCAAAGTGCTGGGATTCCAGGTGCGAGCCACTGTGCCTGGCCTACCATTTTTATTTAGATACAAATTTTTTTAAGTATTGCCAACAACTGAGGGGAGAAAAGGAAAAAAAAGTAGTCATGGCCCACTAAATTAATTTCTTATAATCTACTAAAGGATCCCTATATTGCAGTTTGAAAAACAGTGCTATACAAATGGCAGTAAAACATTAACATCTGGGAAATTTTTTTTTTTTTGAGACGGAGTTTCGCTCTTGTTGCCCAGGATGTAGCACAATGGCGCAATCTCAGCTCCACAACCTCCACCTCCCAGTCTCAAGCGATTCTCCTGCCTCAGCCTTCCGAGTAGCTGGGATTACAGGCATGTGTCACCATGCCCAGCTAATTTTGTAGAGGCGGGATTTCACCATGTTGGCCAAGCTGGTCTTGAACTCCTGACCTCAGGTGATCCGCCCACCTTGGCCTCCCAAAGTGCTGGGATTACAGGTGTAAGCCACCACGCCTGGGCCCATCTGGGAAATCTTGATGAAGGTGTCCAAGAATTCTTTGTATGACTCTAGTATTTTTTTGGAAATATAAAATTATACAAATAAAAAATAAATTTAAGAATGCATCTAAATTCACTTCACAGAGGAATAAGATTTGAGGAGCAGTTACCATGTCTCATACATCTTTTATTTCCTAATTTCTCCTCCCCTTTCCTTACTGTCACACAATTCTTTGCATATAGCATGCTTTCAGTAAACATATGCTAAACAAGAAACATATGGGAAGGTGTAAGTCAGAGATGACACCATGAAGTAGATGGATCTTTAGCTGGGCCTTCAAAGCAGCGGATTTTGATTAGCAAAGCAGAAAGAATTAAGCACCTGTAATCCCAGCTACTCGGGAGTCTGAGGCAGAAGAATCGCTTGAACCTGGGAGGCGGAAGTTGCAGTGAACCAAGATCTTGCCACTGCACTCCAGCCTGGGCGACAGAGGGAGACTCCAACTCTAAATAAATAAATAAATAAATAACACTAGGGGCCAGGCACAGTGGCTCACATCTGTAATTCTAGCACTTTGGGAGGCTGAGGCAGGCAGATCACTTGAGGTCAGGAGTTTGAGACCAGCCTGGCCAACATGATAAAACCCTGTCTCTACTAAAAATACAAAAATTAGCCAGGCCTGGTAGCAGGGCCTGTAATCCCAGCTACCTGGCGGGGATGAGGCAGGAGAATCACTTGAACCCAGGAGGCAGAGGTTGCAGTGAGCCGAGATTGAGCCACTGCACTCCAGCCTGGGCAACACAGCAAGAATCCATCTCAAAATATAATAATAACATTAGGTTTCACGCTTTTAATCTATTTATTAATGAAGACTCAAAGATAAAGTACAGATTCACAAAAAAATCCCAAAAGACATTTTTTTGTCTTCATAATAATGACATCAACGAAATGAAGATTCACAGAAAAAGGTAACACACAGTAAATAAAAGCTGTGAGTACATTTATATACTTACTGAATGCCACCAAGAATGAAATCTATCCCCTCTCTTCTTAGAAAACTACAAATTAGAAGAATTAAAAATTATACCTCAAAATTCTGTTCCATTATGTTTCCACCTTTACTCAAACTCTCCATGATGGCCTTATTTCGAAGAATATCCTCTTCACTGAGATGTTCTCTTCTTTTCCTTGATTCTAAAACAAGTCCATTCACCAGGTAAAAGTCTGCCAAAAAGTTTCCTACTCTTTCCTAAAACAAAACCAAATATTTAAAAGTAAAATTTTTAGGTTAAAAAAAGTGTCAAGGTAATATATTTTTCCATAAATATGTAACATGTAGGTGAAAATAAATATTCCTTTGGTACTTGAAATTATCAAACTATCTTACATTTTCTAGGTTATACAACATATACATCTAAGTTATTCAATAAGTTGAAAAATACACAAAAGCATACATTTCAAATCAGTAAAGAGAAATTTAAAATACATAAAAATGTATGGTAGTTAATTTGCAAATGATTTTAAATAAAATTGCCACATAGCATTTCTTCAGATCCTACTCCCAAGTAGCACAAAGCTATCTCAAAACTATTAAGCTGGCAGTCAAATATCACGAGTAACAAGGAGGGGTCAGGGATAACACTGTTCCCATTTTATAGATAGAAAAAAAGTGGAATAAAAAGAAATAAATAGTCCATGTCACACAAGAATCTCTAGTACAACCAGAATTAATGACCTGTTCACATTCTCTATTCTCTAACAGGCACCAAACTTCAAGTTACAGCTGCCTGTTTTCAACAAAGAAAAGAGGAAAAGAGTACCCTTGCTCACCAATACAATTAAAGTGTTTTAGGGAAACTCAAGTGGTGTAAAGGACATCAAAAAAAGTCATTACTTTCTTTCAATAAAGTCCTCTTAAACCTTCAACATTAACTTTTACCTTTTTCAGACCCACAGGTATTCAGAGTTTGAAATACCTTACTTAAAAAAAAAACAAAAAAAAGATAAATAACTTACTGAAAACAAGCTTCCCATTTCTATCTGCATGCAAATCACATGTCTCCACCCTGCTGCTGTTTACTGACATTTCAAAACTACATGTTCAGAGTTGTGTTCCAGTCCACCTTGCAAAAAAAGCAAAGCATTCTGCACCTGTTTCTACCTACAAAATGGGAACCATAAGTATTACTGACTCCCTCCTTACCTGTCAAAGATTTAAGAAGATCACCTAGATGCTTCAAGAGCTTTGAGCTGCTTAGCAGTAGTACTAGATGATTAGCAGTTTCAATTTTTATCTTCTCTTGAAGTGATCCATCTAATGCTGCCCAGAAGAACAAAGTACAAACAAATAAGACTTTAAAGCCAACAAATGGACTGCAATGTAGGACCTCACAACTGAGAATGCTATAATGCCATTAGGCTTAGAGAGGAAAATCAGTGAGCTTAGATTTCCTAACAGAATTTATCTGTGGCTGGGAAATAACCAGGTGGTAATTATCAGTTTTTGAAACCTTATAATGAAAAACCACTTAGTAAATGTAAATTATCATATCAACAAAATGTTAAGTGTGTATTCCCCATTACCCAGCCACTTAATTTCTTGCTACTTATAACAGGCAAAGGCATGTAAAAGGATGATAAACACATCATTTATAATGGCAGAAAACTGGACACAAATGTGACTATTCATTTAAATGTCCAAAAACAAGACTGAATATGTTAAGTTACAGTATATCCATCATATAGAATACTATGCAATTGCTAAAAAGAGTGAACTAGCACTACATGTACTGGTAAGAGAAGATTTCTACGACATACTAAAGAATGAGGAAAAAAAGCCAGCTGCAAAACAGTAGATACGATATGACACGACACTTTATGAAAAAGTAAGCATCAACAACAAAAGGCTACCTATTATTATGAGCTCATATTTACATATGGAGAGCATAAAAAAGGTCTGGAGGATATAAAAACTGGTGACATTCTGCAAGGGGATGTGGGACTGTGGGCAGTGGCCAAGGAGGGCTTTTTAGCTTTATGTATAAAGTTAAATGATAATTTTATGTGTCAGCGTGGCTACGCTATGATGCCAGGTGTTTGGTCAAACGCCAGTCTAGATGTTGCTGTGAAGGTATTTTTTAGATGTGATTAACAATCAACGGACTTTAAGTAGAGCTAATTACCCTACATAATGTGAGTGGGCCTAATCTAATCAGTTTGAAGGCCTTAAGAGCAAAAACTGAGGTTTCCAGGAAAAAAAAAAGCAATTCTGCCTCAAAACTGCAACACAGAAACCCTGCTTGAGTTTCCAGCCTGCAGATTTCTTTTTCTCTCTCTTTTTTTTTTTTGGACAGGAGTTCACTCTGTCACCTGGGCTAGAGTGCAGTGGTGTGATCACTCACTGTGGCCTCAACCTTCTGGGCTCAAGTAATCGTCTCACCTCATCCTTCCAAGCACCTGCGACTATAGGCTTGTGCCACCTCAGCCATCTAATTTTTAAATTTTTTGTAGAGTCAGGGTCTTGCTATGTTGCCCAGGAGGCCAAGCCTGAACATTTCTAACTCAAGAGCACAATATCCACTCTTTACTAAATTTCCAGCCTGCTAGATTGCTCTACATTTCAGATTTGCCAACTCCTACAATTTCATGAACCACTCCTCAAAATAAATCAATTTCTTCCTTCTCCTCTCTCCCCCTTACTCTTTTTTTCTTCCTCTCTCCACTCCCCTTCTATCTACTGGTTTTGTTTCTCAGAGAACCCTAATAATGCTATTTTTCTTATTTCTCCATTGAGAATATATTCATTTCATTGTGTATAATAAAAATAAATATAATTTTTAATAGAAGTCAATCTTGACCCTGACTTGATGTGGTCACTTACTGTTAAATTTAAAATTTTATAAACATGCTTCTTCATACAGCTCATTCAATTTATTTTTATTTTTATTTTTATTTATTTATTTTTTTTGAGACGGAGTCTCACTCTGTCTCAGGCTGGAGTGCAGTGGTGCCATCTCGGCTCACTGTAACCTCCACCTCCCGGGTTCAAGCGATTCTCCTGCCTCAGCCTTCCGAGTAGCTGGGATTACAGGTATGCACCACCACGCCCGGGTAATTTTTGTATTTTTAGTAGAGACAGGTTTTCACCGTGTTGGCCAGGCTGGTCTCGAACTCCTGACCTCGTGATCCGCCGGCCTCGGCCTCCCAAAGTGCTGGGATTACATGCATAAGCCACCACGCCTAGCCTCAAAATTTTCCGAATATATATTTGAATAGTCTTATATAACCTCTTGCTGACAGATACAATGGGAATTATGGAAATAATTTACACTAATGGGGAAACTTCCCCCGAGATTTGATTTAACAATTCTACAGTGTTGCAGAAATGTAAGGTTATTTAATCTTACTCATATGTATAGAATACAAGAAAAAAATATTAAGTAAATGAGAAGTCTAAAGTAGGGAGACAAACAGGTTCAGGGAAATAGAGTCAAGTTTATCCCTTTTTGTAGTCTTCTTATCGAATAAAGCACTAGAAATATAATGGAATCATGTGAAAACATTGTTCCCTGTATAATAACAAGACAGCTAGCAATAAGAGTCCTTCCTGACACAGAATTCAAATGAGCTCAGCTTTCTTTCCTGAATTCTCCAAGGACACATTCTGACTCTAACCATCCATTATAATTCCTTATCTGGATTCAAGGAAGAGAGAAAAAAACTACTTGGAGACAATTCTGTAAGCTACTTCTTGCATTTCCATCACGTTATTTTGGAAATATTAAATACCGAACAATGCTTAAAGTTTAAAAATCTAGATTTGCACATACTGTTTTATCTTCCCGAAAAAGCCATCCTGTCTGGGCACGCGTGAAAGAAATTGATTTTGTTGATAAAGTTGCAGAGTAAATATCACTGCTCATTAAAATATCCACCTCTTCTTCTGTTTCCATCTCTGATTCCTGGGATGTGAGCAAAAGTTAAATATAAAAATCTAGGTTTTTCAAAAGTTCTTAGTACTACATATGAAAATATCAACAATTATAATGGTACCAATTTTTAAAGACAAAAAGGATAGTTTCTAAATAATGTGAAGTGTTACTTACTCTAAAAAGAATTAGATGTTTAAATTGTACATATTAATATCTTCTCTAAGTTAGCATTATGACTAATTATGAATCTATAAAAGCAGGACACATGAAATACGGTACTATTATCCTGTTATAGATATGTAATGGAAGCAGTACTAGATTACCCATTATAAAACTGTATAGTCCATAGAGCAATTTTTAAAAACAACTTTAAGAATTAACTTGACAGATCTGAGAAAAAAACCCAGATAAAGGATATTTTTCTTTCAATACAGATTAATCTTACTTTAGTTCTTCTTAATGCAAAGATCCACCACTGTCATTTGAGCCTTTCTTTCCCAATAAATTGTAAGTGGAAGAAAGGAAGAACTGAAGGGAGGGATAGAAGAAGGGAAGCAGCAGAGAGGGAAGGAAGGAAAAGAAGCAAGAAAGGATCTTTTCTGTATTCCTTATAAAATGGAAAGGAATCCATAAATATCAACCGTAATTTCTAAACTTAATGAGTAGTCATGCTTCAGGTTTTATCCTGTACATATTCCCTAGTGCTGGTATATAATAATTGAGCAATAATTATTTTTTATATGAGAAAAAAGGAAAGTTTTGTGCTTGCTTCAGGGACAGAAGACTAAATGATCAAGTACAGAAGAGTAAGTGAGCAGGTATAAGATGAGATTCTATTCCATAATAGGCCAAGAAAGATACCCTAACTAATATTTAAGACGTTATAAGGAAGAAAAAAGGCAAAACCTAGGGAGTTGTCTGGAGAATAATAACAGTCCCTAGGGTTTACAATAGTTAGAGCCTTCATTCTCCAAACCTCCTTATTTCTAGGTTCCCAAGAGGCCCATTTTCTATTCTTCACCATCTAACTTTAACCTACATAGAGTCCCTTTCTGATTTTTTTTTTTTTTTTTTTTTTTTGAGACAGAGTCCCGCTTTGTCGCCCAGGCTGGAGTGCAGTGGCACAATCTCAGCTCACTGCAAGCTCCTCCTCCCGGGTTCACACCATTCTCCTGCCTCAGCCTCCTGAGTAGCTGGGACTACAGGCACCCGCCCCCATGCCCGGCTAATTTTTTTATTTTTAGTAGAGACGGGGTTTCACCATGTTAGCCAGGATGGTCTCGATCTCCTGACCTCGTGATCCGCCCGCCTCGGCCTCCCAAAGCGCTGGGATTACAGGCATGAGCCACCGTGCCCAGCCCATATAGTCCCTTCCTGAATTTCCAAAAACAATACCATTGGCGACCGGGCTAGGTGGCTCATGCCTGTAATCCCAGCACTTTGGGAGGCCAAGGCAGGTGGATCACGAGGTCAGAAGACAGAAACCATTCTGGCTAACATGGTGAAACCCCGTCTCTACTAAAAAAAAAAAATTAGCCGGGCATGGTGGCACGCGCCTGTAGTCCCAGCTACTCGGGAGGCTAAGGCAGGAGAATCACTTGAACCCGGGAGGTGGAGGTTGCGGTGAGCTGAGATCAATCACGCCACTGCACTCCAGCCTGGAGACAGAGAGAGACTCCATCTCAAAAAAAAAAAAAAACAAAGAACAAACAAACAAAAAAATAGCAATGGCTTGGGCCTGGGACAGTACCATTTCCTCTACCCCTACAAGTAAAGAATGCAAAATCTTGGTGTTACTGCTAAAGCCATAATAGGTGAAAATGTATTCCTGGTAACCCAAATTAATTCTGAACACAATATTCTTTAAAAAAAAGTTAGGTTGCAGTAGTTAAACAGAACTGTTAAACACTATACTTCAAATATATTATGAATCAAGTAGAATTTTATATATTAGCTTGGAAACTGAACACTGTATAACCCATTGTCTATGAGCAAATTTGCCTTACATTTCAAACATCCTATTTTCAATAAACTTTTGGAACAGAATTCTTATATAAATCAGAGACTATCTCTTAACCACATCACTGAAAAAGATCTGCTGTTTTAATTAATTACATTGCTTCAACATTTAATGAAGTTATTACTTATACATACATACATATTAGGATAAACAACAAGTATTCTCTGCCCTAAGGAATACTGCTCAAAATTTATCTTTCCTGTATTGTAGGCATTATAAAATACATAATACATATATGTATGTATACATACATACCTTAATACTAGTACATACATACCTTAATACCTTAAAACTGGTACCCTTAATACCAGTTCTTTGGTAATACTATGACATCCACAAATACTTATGGACTACTAGCCTTAACTTCTAGCTTCTCTTTCAAGACCCTATTTCCAATTCACTTATTGCCTAGTTGGCTATCCTGTTGTCATTTCATAAGTAAGAGGTCAAATTATTTAATAAATATCTGAGAGGCTCACATATGAGTAAGCAAACTATAATCAGCTGCCTGTTTTTATGAATAAAATGATAATGGAATATACTCATTTATTTACATATTGTCTGTGGCTGCTTTTAACAACAGCAGAGTTGAGTAGTTGTGACAGAGGCCATATGGCCCACAAATATATTTTAATATCTAAAAATATTTATTATCTCTTCCTTCACAGAAAGAGTTTACCAACCTATAGCGTAGAATGTACTGATGCTGTATTAGATAACAGGGAATACAACAAAAAGAACCCCACGCCCTTGAGGAGCTTAGACCAATAGAAGGGAAAAAAGCCATGTCAGTAAATGTAACATTAGAAGCTTTATGGTTCCAGATTTAATAGGAACATAAGGACAACAAAAGTCATTTGGTGGGAGAGAAAGTAACACCAAGTGCATGCCCTACAGGTGTGAGGGTGCAAAAAGAAAAGCATTCCAGGAAGTGGAAAGAACATGAACAAAGGAATAAAGGCCCAAATAGCCTGGCACATCTGACAAACTGCCAAGAGTGCAGTATGAGGGTATCTAAAATAGTAAGGTAAGAAAAAGGCTAGAAAGGTGAGCAAAACTCAGGTGACAAAAGGAACCATGCCGTGCTAAGGAGATTAGATTTCACTCTTTAGGTAATGGGGAACTTTTTAAGTATCTCTAAGTAACTAAGGTTTCATAAATGTGTTTCTAAAGTTTAATGTATCTCCAACATGTGGGATAATTTAGAAGCAGATGAGAAGGGAGCCAGGAAGATCATTTATAAGACTTTCCAATGGTCCAGTTGAGAAATAATGAATGTTTAAATTACAGTAGTGACAGTGTGAATAAAAGAGGAATAATAATGAGACATTAAGGAGAAAGAAATGACCAGATATGTGCTCTGATGAGAAAACACAGAGTACAAGAAAAGATATCAAAAATAACTCCTAGGTTTCTAACTGAATAGAGAATGACATCATTCTTCAAAAGAGGAAAAACAGGAAAAAGAGCAGGTTTGGAGGAAAAGTAGCAAGGTTAGTTTTAAATAAGGTGAATTTTGAGGTACCTGGGAGACACACATGATATCCATTAGGCATTTAAACAGATAAGCCTCTACTCAGAACTGTATGGACACAAACATATATTTGTAAATCATCAACCTATAGGACTGTGGGAATGGAAGGGATTATTCTGGCAGTTTGTAAAAATGAGAACCACATCAAGGGCATATCAATGGTTTTTTAACACAAAGATATGGCATGAGAGAAGGAAAATCATGTCGTACTTGAAGAGGGAAAGGACAGAGAAAGGAAAGGTAGCCAAAGAGTTAGGAAAAGTAAGACTGCAGACAGAGCCAAAAGAAGTATTCATATTAAGGAGATAAAATAAAGATGGTCAACAACATTAAAAGAAGGTAAGATAAAAAGATAATACATGGTAAAGGTCCAGCACAGGTTCAACAAATGAAAACTATAAATGAGAATGAAGAGAAGTTGGAGTTCATTGATCTAGGAGATAATCAGTTGAATTCTCAGCAGGCTCAATGGACCGGTCAAGATGGAGACCAGAGGATAGAAATATAAAAAATGAAAATAGGCCAGGCGCAGTGGCTCACGCCTGTAATCCCAGCTCTTTGGGAGGCCGAGGTGGGTGCATCATTTGAGGTCAGGAGTTTGAGACCAACCTAGCCAACATGGTGAAACCAAGCCTCTACTAAAAATACAAAAATTAGCCGGGCTTGGTGGCGGGCGCCTGTAGTCTCAGCTACCCTGAAGGCTGAGGCTGAAGAATTGCTTGAACCTGGGAGGCGGAGGTTGCAGTGAGCCTAGATCACGCCACTGCATTTCAGCCTGGGTGACAGAGCGAGACTCCAGTCTCAAAAAAAAGAAAAAGAAAAAAGAAAAGAAAGCTAGTGGTCAGGAAACTATAGCTTTAGGAACAAACCATCTCAATTATACCTTAAGCTTTTAAGCAAATTATACTGAGGTTTTGCTAAAAACCTATACTTTTTTTTTAATGATTTAAAGGAATATTGATAAGACAACATGCTCACCTCATGATGTATTCGCTGATAAACTTTTTGTTCATTGTCTAATACTACAAAAGATTCAGAGGGCGCCGCATCCCCATTGAAAATGAAGCTTAGATCCCCTCGTTGGCACTTCATGTCAGTAAAGTCTATGAGAGTTGTGTCAAGCCTGTGAAACATGGGTAGATGATAAACTCTGACAAATATAATTTTGATAAAACTTCACTAATAATTAAATAAGCTGTTCCTTTTAAACTCAAACCAAGATGCTAATACCATATTGCAAAGTCAAATTTATAGATAAAAACAAATTTATAGATAAAAACTAAATTTAAAATATTCTATTAAAAAACAAAACTACTTAAAGATATAATCCATTTTAGCTATATTTCACTTTTCTGAATATACATATATATTTTCTGAATATATATACACACACATATATATATATATATACACATACACACACACATATATATATACACACACATATTTCATTGACCCAGAAAAAAAGATGTTTCCCCATATTTGGGGTATTTCCCTTTCTGCTCCCTTGTTTCCTACCATTTCCCTTACTGTAGCTACTCAATAAAAGTGAACGGGGAAGGAAGAAAAGGAACACAGACCTGTCTGACATTATTCGATCCCTTTAAGACCAGGTTGCTAGCTCAGCAGAGTATTTAAGACCAGACAGCAATGGATGGACCACATTCTTGGAATTGAGAACTCCTCTTCTGATATACACCCGTAACCTTATGCCTAACCATCTGATACCAAACCTTGCTTTATCCTTCAACTTGATAAACCATTTAAATTCTTGGCCTTTGTATTTGACTTCTCAGATTTGGACTAATACTCTCTTTCCCAACCAATATCTCCACACCCTGGAAACCTTACAGATCATTCTGTATCTAATACTCATGGATTCACACATTTGTGTGTTTACTGTTCTCTTTGGTAACCTGGACCTGTCATGGTCTAGCCTAATGCGCTGGTCTCAAACAGTATTCCACAAAGCACTACTTGCCGAAATTAGGAAAAATACTGAAAATAAAAAGTTTACAATACACTGACGTGCTTCAGTCTTGCACATGGCTTTATAAATCACCAGATCAGGATCACCCCAGCTAATGGCTGCTCAAAACACACAGTCCTAAAGCCAAGAAACTGGTTGGCCCTGCTGTCAAAGGATGCTGATCACATCCCCAGGAAGCTCCTTTAAGGCTCCGTGAAAAATCCACCCTGGCTACTGAATTTCTAATGCAACTGTAAGAATTCATTACTCTGTAGGTTTTTCAGTTCTCATCACAGACAAGGCAAAGTGAGTTGGTATTCTTGGTTTCCCTAGACAGGAAAAACAGAAATAAAACATGCCTCACATGCTGCATGAAAATAATAACTAGGGTTACATAGAATTTATCATCAAAATTAATAAATCTAAGAATGAAAGTGACACTACTGACAATTCTGCCAGGAAAACAGGGGTGAGCCAGAGCAAAGAGGGAAGTATGGTTGCCTTATGTATCAAGAAGCCCTAAAAAAGTAACTCATCAACTCACACAGGGGCGGCGGGGGGGCGGGGGGCTGCCTGTTGCTTTATAGCTGAATTCTAGCTTTTAGTCCACTCCCAGAAGCTAGAATTCAGCTTTACTATTAAATAACACCTATCATTGCTTGAGCATGTGTCCTAAAAGAAAATAGTATTGGCCGGGCGCGGTGGCTCACGCCTGTAATCCCAGCACTTTGGGAGGCCAAGGCGGGCGGATCACGAGGTCAGGAGATCGAGACCATCCCGGCTAAAACGGTGAAACCCCGTCTCTACTAAAAATACAAAAAATTAGCCGGGCGTAGTGGCGGGCGCCTGTAGTCCCAGCTACTTGGGAGGCTGAGGCGGGAGAATGGCGTGAACCCGGGAGGCGGAGCTTGCAGTGAGCCGAGATCCCGCCACTGCACTCCAGCCTGGGCGACAGAGCGAGACTCCGTCTCAAAAAAAAAAAAAAAAAAAAAAAAAAAAAAGAAAATAGTATTAAAAGGGACTCTTCCCCTATCTCTATAAGATGTGGGCTCCTGATAATACCAAAAAGGAACAGATCATTTTATATGTAAGTGCACTATTTGGGCTCCAAGCTTCAGCTATCAGGGAATGTTATGCTCTACATAAAAGAAGAAATGGGCTAAAACAGTCTTCTGCCTCCATTCCCTGCTTGCCCATCATAGGTGAAAGTGGTAGTGGGTTGCCAGGAGTGGAGATGAAAAGGTGAGTAAAGAGATGCACAGAAAGACAGATAAAGAAAGACAAAGACAGACTGACATGGTGACCTTTGAGATTTTAGATCTAGCGATATGTAAAATTAGTTATAGAAACTTCCCAGTTATATAAATTAATACAGCCTATTTTTATTTCATTCGTGTTTCTATAATTTTGCAATAAAAAGGGTAATACATTTTCTGTATATCCCTGACATATTAGATGACCTGGTAAGCTGCATCACATATGCCTCAGTAAATAATGTTAATTATCACGATAACATTTTAAAGTCCTCACTAGTCCTTGGCTTTAAGCCTATGAACCTAAATATTTTTAATTTTTCCCATGTAATTAGCCATGAAGAACAATAAGTTCTTTATACAAATGCAAAGATTTGAATAGAAAGTATTATTTTTAAGAAGAAAGCCTGAAAAAATGCCAAATAACACTGAAAAAAGGAACTAAAGGCTTCACTTCAGACAAGAAAATCCTGAAGTAAGACAAAAAGTGTACAAATATACTTTCAATCAGTGATTACAGATTACCTCTTAATTATTTGTATTTATGGTCAAAATCTTTGTTAGTACTCTCAAGAATAATGTTGCTCACACTTTCCTATTTCTACTAAAGTATTAGTTTCTCTTTGATACCAGAGAAGACATTTCAAATGATTACATGGCTGCCATGAAATAAAAGTCAACTTAAAGATTTCTCTTTGAATATATTTTAAAATTTAGCTTTATTAAAATGGTGTTAAAAAATTGTCTCATGACATTTAAAATAGCAAGTTTTTATTTAATGTTAACAGATTTTTTCCTTTAGATTCTCATCACCTAGGCAAAAAACCTTTTGTCATACATCCTAAAAGCTATCCTCTCCATTAATCTGGTAAGCCTTGTTTGATGAGAGCTTTAGAACCTATCACATTTGTCCTTCATCCTTAGTTACTAGTAAGCCCCATGTCTAGTATCTTGCTAAGTTACTAACTTCCCCTTAACCTACAACTTTTCTCACAATTTTTCTCCCCCAGGCTTTTGCCCTCATGTTCCTGTTTTAACTTTTGTGTGTGTGTGTGACAGGGACTCACTCTGTCACCCAGGTTGGAATACAGTGGCACGATCTCGGCTCACTGTAGCCTCAAGCTCCTGGGCTCAGGTGATCCTCCCACCTCAGCCTCCTGAGTAGCAGGGACTACAAGTGCGTGCCACCATGCCCAGCTAATTTTTTGTATTTTTCGTATAGACAAGATTTCATTATATTGCCTAGGTTGTGTTTTAACCTTTTTGGTTTTATTACCTATAGTTATTATATAATATGTACTAAAACATTTACTTTAAAAAGTCATATATAAATGTGAAACAATTTTTTTTCAAAGAGATTCCTTCTTGCCTAAACCTAGGACTCAGAATAAAAACTTTATTTTTTCTGAGACAAGGTCTTACTCTGTTGCCCAGGCTAAAGTGCAGTGTCGTGATTACAGCTCACTGCAGCCTCAACTTCCTGGGGTCAGGTGATTCTCCCACCTCAGCCTCCCAGGTAGCTGGAACTATAGGCACGTGTCACCATGCCCAGCTAATTTTTAATATTTTTTTGTAAAGATGGGGTTTTGCCATGTTGCCCAGGCTGGTCTCGAACTCCAGGACTCAAGTGATCTACCTGCCTCAGCCTCCCAAAGTGCTGGGATTACAGGCATGAGTCACCACACCCGGCCTAAAACTAACTTTTTAAACTATCACATGGAAGATAATAGTATCCTCCAAAATTGCCTACCATCTTTGGCAAGCACCTATATTAAAAATGTCTAAATTAATGAAACCATAATAATTGCTAACAAAAGGCTGCTGAATTAAATCCACATCAAAAATCCTTTTCTACTTAGTTTTTCTTCTATTTTTCTGTATTTTCCAAGTTTTCTGTAATGACAGTGCATTTAAGGTACATGAGCACTTTTATAATTAGAAACACCTGAAGAGGTTTTTTTAAAAAACACGCTGGGTGTGATGGCTCACACTGTAATCCCAGCACTTTGCGAGGCCAAGGTGGAAGAATCACTTGAGCCTGTATGTTCAAGACCAGCCTGGGCAATATAGTGAGACCCTATCTTTATTATCTAAAAAAAGAAAAAACAAAAACAACAACAACAACAAAAACAGAAATATCTACCTTAACCAAATTCTATTGCTTAAGGATAATTACCCTAGAATTTACTTCCAACTAAAAGTTATTGCTTCACTAATTCAAAATACTAAACAATAAATTTCTCAGAAATAGCTGATTTTTAAAAACTTCTGCTTTGTGTCATGGTGAGAAGAACAACAAACAAGAAGTCAGAAGTCCTGGTTCAGCCATTAATTTGTAAAATGCTCTTGTAAAAAAAATCACTTAACTTCTCTTTCTCATCTCTAAATTAAGACTTTATATGAGATAATCCTTCAAGTTATTTCTAGTTCTAGACCCTTAAACTTTCAAATTAATATTCTGGAGATATACAGACACACACATACACAAAATTATATATATACATGTATACTATTTATAAATATACCAATATATGCACATATATACATAAAAGTTGGCATACTAACTAGCATTATATATACTTTACAAATAGATAATTTATAAATATGGCTATATTATTATAAAGCAAAATAAAGAATCATGTAAGTTAAATAGATGTATTTTCTATCAGATTCAAACATTAATCTTAGTTATAAAAGGAACAGAATGAGGAAAATTAAAATTAGCCTCAAAATATTCACTGGATTGGATAGATCAATGAATGAACAGATGAACGGATACACGGATTAGTAAACAGGGGAAGGAAAGACATGAAAGAGATGGAGAAAAAGGCAAGAATTGGGTCTTCCTTATGTGTCCCTTATTCCTTAATAAATCCAGGATCAGGAAGGTAACCACTGTAAATCTTCTTAATATTACATCAAGATCCTCACTGTTTGCCTTCTGGATAGTCTGTAGTTAAATAAGAATAATATCTTTGCTTTAGTCAAGATTTTATGTCTTTTCCACTTTGAGTTTGTTCTCTAAGTAATAAAAAAATAAAAAAAGGTTCTATGTCTTTGGTTTTTTATCTATTATGTCTCGAATGAGATAAAATATTGTGACTCTGTTACAGCATTTTAACGTCATAAAACACATGTAAGTTATGATTACAGGGAAAAAAATCTTCCTCTAAATCTCAACTTTCTTTTACTGAGAAAAAAATCAAATCACCTTACCTGATATTGATACCTTGTTTGTATATTTTACATGCATCGGAAGGCAGAATTCGGGAAAGTAAAGGCACTGTATTTTTAAAAACAAAAGGTAAAAAATAACTACCTAAATTTTGAGATATTTACAAACTTTTAAATTAAAAGAGTAATGTGACATTCTGTTATCAAATTATAATAATTTCCTTTCAAATAGTATTTTTCCATTTAAAAATAAATAAAATTTAAAAGGCAATTTTGAGCAACTTCAAATATCTACTATTTACTTGTAATTTCTGTATAGTTTACTATACTCCCATCCCACCCACAAACAAGGGTAGCAGAGTCAATATGATGCCACTCAGGTACAGACTGCATATTATAGATGAGTAAACAATAACCCTATGGTAACTAAACCCTCCTGAATGGGTAACCAGATAGACCTGAACCTTATCTAATTTTGTAAATATAATTTGGAAAAATTGCAGTAAAGTAATGTGTATAATAGAAAGAGACATCTTTGAAGTGAGACAGTTAAATTTGAGTTTGAATCCCAAATATGTGCCTTGGTTATTTAGACTCAATGTACCTGAGTTTCAAAATCTGTAAAATGGGAATCATACTATTTATCTATAGATTTCTACATTCCTATGTTGCTATCTATAGCTCATATACATGCCACAAGCCATATTCTGATAGTTTTTTATTATTTATTATCTGCTATTTTGGGGAGATAGGAGTTATTCTACAGACAAATAAAGCTGCATAACAGGCTATAATAAACTACCACGTACAAAGAAATGAAAGAAATGTGAAGCTCAAAATTCTTGAAATTAAGACCATATCAGAGGTACATGTGTACATAAGTGTGTGTGTATCTGTCTGTGTGTAAGATACGGCAGATATATCTTACAAAATTTAGTGTTTTTAAAATGGGTGATAAATTAACCTGAGTTAGAAACAAAGACTCTAGAGAAAATTAAAGGCTAATTTCTTAGTTAACTTTTTCAAAAGCATCAACATTTTCTAATTAACATTAAAGATAAATACCTAATGCAGGCCCGGTATGGTAGCTCACACCTGTAATCCCAGCACTTTGAGAGGCCAAAGCGGATAAATCGCTTGAGCCCAGGAGTTCAAGACCGGCCTGGGCAACATGGCGAAACCCCATCTCTATCAAACATACAAAAATTAGCCAGTCTCATAAACCAGTCTCAAATAAATAAATAAACAAATAAAATTTTTAAAATAAAAAAAATTTTAAATGCTGTAAAAAAGTACCTAATGCTTCATGACTCCTTTAGATCCTTAGAAACCATTTAATGCAAAATGACTTCCAGCACTGAAAACTGTTTTCTGAATTTTAGTGCAAAAATAAGAAAAGTTTATTGTCCAGAGAGAATATTAACGAATTGTTGCCCTAGTGAAATAATGTAAGAAATCTTCTTCTGACAAAGCTTTTCCTTTCTCAGCTGGGCACGGTTTGGCTATAACTGCAGCCATATGGGAGGCCAAGGCAGGAGGACTGTTTGAGCCCAGGAGCTTGAGGCTAGCCTGAGCAACATAGCAAGACCCTGTCTCTACAAAAATAAAAATAGAAAAATTAGCCAGGTGTGGTGGCAGGTACCTGTAGTCCTAGCTACCTGGGAGACTGAAGCAGGAGGATCACCTGAGGCCAGGAGTCGAAGGCTGAAGTGGGCTATGATCATGCCACTGCACTCCAGCCCAGGTGACACAGCAAAACCCTATCTCTTTGAAAAAGAAAAAAAGAAAGAAAGAAAAAACTTTTTTGAAACAAAAATTGAGAAGAGCAATAATAGTGTAATTCTATAAATGATCAAAGTTCTTTCATGCTCATTAATTGAGATCCATCCTGAAGTAAGTATTTGGTGTATCATGAACCAAAGATGATTAAAAGTAGATAGCACTCCAACTTAAGTTAATTTAACTTCATTATATCTCATTACTTATTTATTTTTTTAAAGACGGGGGTCTCCCTATATTGGCCAGGTTGGTCTTGAACTCCTAGCCTCAAGAGATCCTCCCACCTCAGCCTCCCAAAGTGCTAGAATTACAGGCACAAGCCACCATACCCAGCCAACATTATATCTTTTGAAGTAATTATAACACCCTACAAAAACAGAATTTAATATCATACACTAATACTTTTATTAAAAATCAGGAAAGGAGGAAAATGGTAAGGCAGAGAGAAAACAAGTTGAGGATTGAGAGCAAAAGCTAAGAAAAAAAAAAGAAAAGGGCAAGGCGCGGTGGCTCAGAGGCCTGTAATCCCAGCACTTTGGGAGGCCGAGGCGGGCAGATCACGAGGTCAGGAGATGAAGACGGTCCTGGCTAACACGGTGAAACCCCGTCTTTACTAAAAATAGAAAAAATTAGCCAGGTGTGGTGGCGGGCGCCTGTAGTCCCAGCTACTCAGGAGGCTGAGGCAGGAGAATGGCGTGAACCCAGGAGGCGGAACTTGCAGTGAGCCGAGATTGCGCCACTGTGCTCCAGCCTGGGCGACAGAGCGAGACTCCGTCTCAAAAAAAAAAAAAAAAAAAATTAAAGAAGTTAAATTATTGAGCAAAACAAACAACCAAACAAATAAAAAAACATTTCTGATAGATTTTAATGCATTCCAAAACATAGCAATTTACATTTTCCCAAGTCTGAAATAACTCTTTTTCTCCTCCACGTAAGTTAAACAACCAACCTATTTCCTGTTACCTCAGCATAAGTTTAGCACAGTATTCCAACAGTAGCATAATTCACTAAACAGAAAATAAAAAGAGAGTTTTTAAATTTAAATTTTCATTTGGCTACCACTTACTCCCCAATTTTCTTTCTTTCCTTTTTTTTTTTTTTAGACAGAGTGTCGCTCTGTCACCCAGGCTGGAATGCAGTGCCGCAATCTCAGCTTACTACAAACTCCGCCTCCCAGGTTCAAGTGATTCTCCTCTCCGCCTCCCAGGTTCAAGTGATTCTCCAGCCTCAGCCTCCTGAGTAGCTGGGATTACAGGCGCCCCCCTACCATGTCCACCTAATTTTTGTATTTTTAGCAGAGATGGGTTTTCACCATGTTGGCCAGGTTGGTCTCAAACTCCTGACCTAAGGTGATCCACCCGCCTTGGCCTCCCAAAGTGCTGGGATTACGGCGTGAGCCACTGCACCCAGCCTACTCCCCAATTTTCAGAAGAGTTTTTAAGCTTAATGTTTTCTATCTATAATATACAAATAATAGGCCGGGCGCGGTGGCTCAAGCCTGTAATCCCAGCACTTTGGGAGGCCGAGGCGGGTGGATCACGAGGTGAGAAGATCAAGACCATCTTGGCTAACACGGTGAAATCCCGTCTGTACTAAAAAAAAGAAAATACAAAAAATTAGCCGGGCGTGGTGGCGGGCGCCTGTAGTCCCAGCTACTCGGAAGGCTGAGGCAGGAGAATGGCGTGAACCCAGGAGGTGGAGCTTGCAGTGAGCCGAGATCGCGCTAGCCTGGGCGACAGAGCCAGACTCCGTCGCAAAAAAAAAAAAAAAAAAATAATAATAATAATAATATACAAATAACAGTCTCAAATACAGGATGGATTGATTCTGTAGACAACAAATAAAAATAGAGAATTAGTTTTTTAGTTAAAACGTGCTATATGCATAATGCAAAATTTAAAGTAGTGATCATATTATAAATTATTTGATACTTTATAGTATACAAAGGGCTTTCTTCAAAAAAATGATTTTATTTCATATACACCAAAAGAAAGTTTGCAACAGGTGGGGTAGTTAGTATTATCCTCATTTTAAAAATGAAGAATAAAGCTCAGAAAACATATAAAATATGTGATTTGCAATGTCAAATACTTAGGGGTCGGTATTTCTGACTCCAATTCAAAGCTTTTCTATACCTAAAAATCCAGGCTGGAATATTTCAGTTACCTTCAAACTTGTTACTAAGTCTGTGGCTATTTTCTTCGAAGTCTGAATATAAGTAAGAGCATAAAAAAGAGTGTGCTCTACTATCTCAAAAGTAAACTCACCCTGATTTCAGTATTTCTTGGCTTCCCCTTATTTTTCGCTTGCTTTTTAAAAAATATTATGTGTTTTGACAAGGGAAAGAAATATGCCAAAACTCTAATTAAAGTTTGATCATAAAATCTAATAAAAGATCTAGGCTATCTATAAGCCAATGGGTTTCGTTTTAGAATTATACATGACATCTAATCATCACGTATTAATAGTTGTGATGTTAAATCACTATAATCCTTTATTAGCAATGAAACAGATGTGCTGACTTTTTGCATCAAAGTCAAATTCTCAAAGAAGAAATACTTTGGACAACTGTCTCAGTGGTTACTTGAGGAACTCAATTATGCAACATTTATAATGTATTGTTTATAACTATAGATATATACACAATTTTAGAAGTGATTGCATGTATTTATATTTTAGTATAATTAAAATATCACTTTTAAAATATTTTATAACATTTTGTTCAGCAATATACATTGATTATTTTAGAATTCAAACCACTAATGATTACTAAGAGAATCAGTTAAAAAGCCAAAATACTCAAGGGACAACCCAGTTTAGGATCACAAAGCAGGACTGGGGTCTCCCCACATGGGAAAAAAATGGGGTAAAAAAGACAGTATTCAGGTTTTAGGCCAATCTAACTTGGAGCTCCTTTACTACACAAGGCTACTATAAACCTGTTTTTCTATGTGTTCTAGGACACCAGGACTCCTGAATGATATATAAGGCATAAAAGCAAGATGGGACTATTAGAGTAACAAGACTGCATAATCATTAATAGAGACAAACTAGCCTGATGAGCTAGAGTTATAAAAATGTGAGAAAAAACTGATTAAATTTAGAATTTAAAATTCTCTATACAAGGATTAAACACACTAGAAAAACCTTAATCATCCATGCCATAAAGTATTATGTAGCTGTTAAAATTAGTGAAGTATTTCCACCTGAAATATGGTAAGATGCCTACTATGGGTTGAATAAAAATGATGGCTGGGTGTAGTAGCTCACGCCTGTAATCCCTACACTTTGGGAGGCCGAGGCGGGTGGATCATCAGAGGTCAGGAGTTCGAGACCAGCCTGGCCAACACAGTGAAAACTTGTCTCTACTAAAAACATAAGGCACATGCATGTAGTCCCAGCTACTCGGGAGGCTGAGGTGTTAGGATCACTTGAACCCAGGAGGTGGAGGTTGCAGTGAGCTGAGATCGCGTGACTGCATTCCAGCCTGGGTGATAGAGTGAGACTCCCTCTCAATAAATAAATAAATAAATGTCAACTTGCATAATGATATAACAGTATGATTCCATGGGAGAAAAAAAACCTAATTCTGAGGGGTTGTGTGTGCATAGCTATGTACACAAACACTTTAGTAAGCACTGAAAAGCATTTGAAAGTAGTCATACGAAATGTTAACAATAGTCACCTCTGGGAAGTGGTAACAGGGAAACTTAAAAATACCTGATTAATTTTCTATAATGTTCAAAACTTTTACAGTGAATATTCTATTAAAAATAGATTAAAATCTTAGTAAACTGAGGATAATTTTAGTATTAAATAACTTGTATTAGTCAAAGCTAACTAAAAAGCATAATACAATTTTTAGAAATGTATACAGATGTTATAAAATCAATGTTTAAAATTTACACAAGCTGTAATGTACATAAGCTGGAGAGGAAGTCTGATTTGTATCTAAAAGCTCCAAATAAAGAAGGCAGTTTATCAAAAATATAATTTGTAGAAAATTATTACTTGTTGAAAAGAGGCCAGATTCTTTCTCAAGACAGTAGAAAACTACTATTTTTTCATACAGTAGAGAGAAATAAGTGCTAATGGACTTCAGATTTATGGCTGCGTTTACTTTTTCAGAAGAAATCAGAAGATGTAAGAGAATTAGAAGAAATAACAAGTATAATTGTTAATTAAAGTTTAAATCTGGTAACTTCCTAGGCATTTTACTGCTATATGGTATATTGTATAATCTATTTTCTTACTGACGAGTTGAAGCTGAATTTGCAAACCCAAGTGTATTGTGAGAATATCATAACTTCCTCAAGGTTAACAAATATCAGAATGTAATGTTTTAAATTAAGTTGCATTTATTGACCTCCCATAGACTAGGCCTAAAACTGTGAAATTTCTATTACTGTTTTTTTTTTTTTTTGAGACAGAGCCTTGCTCTGGAAATCCCACTACAAATTGCCTGGGAAGAGCAGTAGCAGCACTGGATGGGGCTAAGTACTGTAAGTAATCTCCATTTCACAGTCTAGAATTTGTTTTTAAATGTATAGAGAAAACTATAGAGCCACAGAATGTAGAACTGAAAAGAAACAGATTTGCTAGTTCAAAATTCCTATTCTACTGACTTTGAATTCTTTGCCCAAAGTTCCTCATTTGGTATAATATGCATACGTGCCTGGGCGACAGAGTGAGTGAGACTCTGTCTCCAAAAAAAAAAAAAAATTAATTTAGATGCTTCAACAAAAACTCACATAAGCTCATTATGTCTAAACCTTTAGAGATTACATTTTTTTAAATCTTTAAAAACAACAAAATTTAGTTGTTTAGTTAGTAAAATAAAGGTCACTAGAATCAAATTTCATATTTGGATATGAAAGTTTTCTCTCTAGTGGACTCATGTTTAAAATGAGGAGAAAAACCTTGTTAAGGTAAGTCAATAAATGACTGCAAAAAAATCTAGGGCAAAATTAGGATCTTTCGTAAGTCACTGGAATCAATGTTCAACCAAACAGTATGTAAAGAAAGTGGCTATAAAGTATGCAAGAGGCAAAATAACGGAAAGACAACAAAATATACATAAACAAAAAATGTTAACTAAATTCTCCACATTCAGAGATCTAAGTACTAGATTTCAAACGTCCTTAAATTCAGTAGTCCCATAATCCCATAATTAATTTTCTTTTCTGAAAACTCCTTGCATTCTATTATTAAATTTTAAATGCTGTTTGTAAAACAAAATTTTTAAAACTAAAAGTGCCATTTTCAACCTTAAAAATATAAACTATTGGCCAGATGTGGTGGCTCACTTCTGTAATCCCAGCACTTTGAGAGGCCGAGGTAGGAGGATCGCTTGAGCCCAGGTGTTCTAGACCAGCCTGGGAAACACAGTGAGATTCCATCTCTACAAAAAATAAAAATAATTAGCCAGGTGTGACGGCATGTGCCTGTGGTCCTAGCTACTCAGGAGGCTGAGCGGGGAGGACTGCCTGAGCCCAGGGGTTCGAGGCTGTAGTAAGCTATGATCGTACCACTGCACTCCAGCCTGGGCAACAGTGAGAACTTGTCTCAAAAAAAAAAAAAAAAAGATTTATTAAAGTTACTAATCAAGTTGGAATAACTAAATATTATAGGGCTTTATAACGATTACAGTCAATGTCATGAAAAATACTTTTCCTCACAGCAAGTATTAAATTTGTTATCCTAACATTTCTATATGATAGGTATTTTTGTACTTGCATTTCTGCATAAGTACATATTTTATACTAAAACATAGCATACTCTTACCCCAGCTTTGAAAATCCCAGTGAAGTTCTAGATAAAAGTCACCTAGCTGAAAAATGAAATATGAATAATTACTAAATGCACCTTAGTTAAAAGTTCTTATGCTTTAAAAATATGGCTATTCCTTAAAACATTATAATACATGCATTACTATACTTAATTACAAAGGAAAATATGCACCTGTATATTTTATAATATTTTAATTACATAGTAACATATCTGAAACTGATAAGCATTTAAATTTGTATCAATAAATATTACACTTCCCAGTATAAACAAAATAACAATAATAATAAATATTATTTTTTAAATAGTTAACTTTAGAAGTGTTATTAAAAATTAC
Source organism: Homo sapiens (assembly GCF_000001405.40). Classification (NCBI taxonomy): domain Eukaryota; kingdom Metazoa; phylum Chordata; class Mammalia; order Primates; family Hominidae; genus Homo; species Homo sapiens. The sequence continues at coordinate 70,314,085 of NC_000001.11, forward strand.
TACCAAAATGATTATTTGTATAACCTCATAATGGCATTTAAAAAATGGCCCATTGTAATAGAAAATATTTTTCTGTAAAGGGATAATACAAGTTTATTAAATCTGAAACATGTCATCATATAATATCTATGAAAAAAAAATTTTTTTTTTTTGAGATGCAGTCTCACTCCATCGCCCAGGTTGGAGTGTAGTGGCATGATCTCAGCTCACTGCAACCTCTGCCTCCTGGGTTCAAGCAATTCTCCTATCCCAGCCTCCCAAGTAGCTGGGACTACAGGCGCCTGCCACCATGCCTGGCTAATTTTTTTTTTTTAATTTTTAGTACAGATGGAGTTTCACCTTTTTGGTCAGGCTAGTCTCGAACTCCTGACCTCAGGTGATCCACCCGCTTCGGCCTCCCAAAGTGCTGGGATTACAGGCGTGAGTCACCATGCCTGGCCGAAAAAAAATTTTATTTTGCAAATTAGAAGCTAGACACCAAAGATTATAACTGTTAAGAGTATATATTCTAAATATAAGTAGAGCATTACATATATAGCAACATCAACAAGTTAGTCTTTCTTTTTCAAAAAGTGATAAAAGTGAATGTTAATAGTAGATATCATTGCAATATGAGTAAAACATTTTTCTGGCTTTTTCTATATTTCTTAAGATCTAAAAAAAAAAAAAAGCACCATTAACAGAGACAAGCTATCATCATAATCATCATGACAGGTCTATCTTTCTCCCACAGTTCTTTCAGGCAGCAGAAATACAGAGAAGAGAGTAACAATAGAAAACAAACCACTCTCTTTTGTGTGCCAGCATACCCAGCTCTTACCACAAGGAGGTAGGACAGATAAAAAGAGTTTTTGTTACATAAAGAATATACAGGCCGGGCACGGTGGCTCACGCCTATAATCCCAGCACTCTAGGAGGCTGAGGCAGGCGGATTGCTTGAGCTCAGGAGTTTGATACCAGCCTGGGTAATATGGTGAAACCCCATCTCTACTAAAAATACAAAAAATTAGCTGGGCGACAGAGTGAGGCGCTGTCTCCAAAACAAACAAACAAAAAAAACTGCCACTTCTAGTAGCAATGGCTTTAGCTATAGAGAATCTTCTAATTCAAAGGCAAAGGAAAATTATTGCCATTAACTGTGACTTACCTCCTTTTTTTTTCTTTAGAGCTCTTATCTAATTTATTGAAAGTAATAAATCTTTATCTTCCTAGTTCAAACTGAGGTGCTTCTACTAAGATCACATTCATACACTAATTATTGCTTAATTTAAGCATGATTTTTACCATTTTTTGGCCCCTAATAAGTGAGAATTTAAGTTGTATTAAGAAAAAAATGCTTAAAACTACACTTATAATTACTTCCAAGGTGCAAAATTAACAAAGAAATATAGCTTACCTCTTTCAGGGCTTTTAATAATCGAGGTCGTTTTTCTTCAACACTTTCCCTGGATTGCTGCTTAAGCTTCCTCAAAAGAGCTGTAACTAAAGTTTAAATTTTAAAAATAACTAATTTAAATTTTCATCATGCAGTAAAAACACCACTGGCTTATTATACATATAGATAGATAATACATGTACACATATATGCACGTGCATGTATGTGTGTATGTGTATGTGTGTATCTACATCTACAATATATTTTGAAAGGCCAAAAATCAAAGAGCAATGTTTAAATTACTGAAGGCCTCTTGGAACAGTAAAAGAAGCTGAGACATAGAAGTCAGAGAACATGGGACCTATATAGATAGAATAAGTTAGTAAGTAAGTTTAATAAAACTGGTATGATCCCCAAAGAATAATGAGAAGAGATATTTCAACATCAACCTATACCATATTCACACTAGCTTTTACTAGTTTTTTAATTATCAGTAACGATTTACCTAACTGTGCCAAGATAACCAAACTCATTCAAATGATGCAATGTCCTAATAGAACACTGACCTCAAGGAAGATCTCAAAAACAACAGATCTCAAAAATCCCACTGGAAGCCACTTTTCTAAAAACATATAATTACCTGCAATTGTTACCAGGTGTTATCTGTTCTTTTACCACTGGAGGATATACCTTCACATACTACCAGCACAGTATAAAAAATACAAAAATGAATCTTATTGTACATGGAAAAAGAACTTCTGAATCTAAGAAAACCTAAAGGTCCTCCATAGTGTATTTTCAGTTACTGAGATTTAAGCACATTGCTGAAGTTCAAACCCCAGCTTTACCACTTAGTGGTTGTGGGTAAACTTGGACAAGTTACTACTTAATTTCTCTAAACTTCCTTTTTTTTTCCTCTCCTTTGTCAAGTAAGAATAGAAGTAAGGGCACAGTGGTCTGCACCTGTAGTCCCAGCTACTCAGGAGGTTAAGGTGAGAGGATCACTTGAGCTCAGGAGTTCGAGACCAGCCTGGGAAACATAGTAAGACCCCATCTCTATTAAAAAAAAAAAAAAAAATTAGCCAGGGCTTGATGGTGTGTACCTGTGGTCCTAGCTACTTGGGAGGCTGAGACAGGAGGACTGGTTGTGCCCAAGAGTTTGAGGCTGCAGTGAGCTATGACCACTGCACTCCAGCCTGGGTGACAGAGCAAGACACTGTGCCTGTAATTAACTAAATACAATTTTTATCTATTAGAATGAAGGTCTAAAATTCACTGGCAAAATCAATCAATTAATCCTTAATATTTACCAAAATAAGAAAAAATATTAGACTTGAATGAAATAAGCATAGGAAAAAATAAGAACATGGAAAAATGTGCATCGGGGAAAATATATACATATATACACGCTAGTTTCCTCCTGATTCTAACACATTTTTCATATACATACATATACATATGCGTTCTGAGGGCTTTTTAAAAATCAGTAAATTATTTTTACTATTTCACAGCATGCATTCTTATAAACCACTTCAAGTCCCATGTGGAACGCAGAAGCAGAAGGCGAATAAAAAAAGAAGGTAGTGAAAGCTTGGACTAGATTTTTTTTTTTTGTCCACATAGGTCCAAAATTAGGAAAAATCTAGGGAAGCATGTAAAAATAGTAGGAGCTATTCTTATTTTTAACCACAGGTCTAACTAAATTCCAATATATTTTAAAAAGCCAAAAATCAAAGAACAATGCTTAAATTACTGAAGGTGTCTCAAAATAATCAAAACTGAGACACAGAAATCGGAATGCAGGACCTAGTTTCAGTTCTACCATTTACTAGCTCGGTGACCTAAATCAATAATTCCCAAATACGAACCTACATTTCTGTGCCCAATTGTTTGAGTTTCCAATGATATACAGAAAATGAGAAAAAATGTGTACTAGAATGAGTTTTTTCTTAATAAATTTTTTTAAAGACTATTCTTCCTACTTTTGGTTTCAAATATCTTTTTTTTAAAAATAAAATGTGGATCACAAAAGACAGTAGTTATCGTTTTTATAAAGTTCTGATAGTCTAAGATGAAAAAGTTAGATTCCCTATATCAATCACCAGTAAAAAAAATTTTTCTGGTCTGTGAAATCCAAAAAGTCTGAGAATCAATGACTTAGATAATCATTTAAAGATTCAAGTATGAATCTGACAAACCTTCCTGTTCATTATAATTTAACTTTAATGTCAAAGTTATATTACTCAAATGTAGTACAATTCTTTTTAATGGTCATTGTTTTCTACTATAAGCTCAAGTACCTTAATAAATCTTATTCAATCTACCTTGCCTTCAGATTGAAATGGACCTCAGTTGAATGCAGAGAATGAAAAGAATTCAATTCCTAGATAAAAAGGGTCTTTCAATAAAAAGCAGAGGCTACATATTTTTTTATCAGCCTGATTTTATTAACTAAATATAATTGTAACTGACTGAAGGCATTCAGTAAATAATGACCAAACATCATTTAAAAAGCTGAAGGCATTCAATAAATAACGACCAAACATCATTAAAAAGGTAATGGCAACCACTGTATATAGCACAGTATAATAACATATGCGAAGAGATTCCCTTTTCTATATGACTTCATATTGAAAAATACCATAAACTCAAACTTCTTATGGATGCACATTCAGAAAGCAATTACACAAAATTACCAATTACCAGTATCCTTTTTAGGGATCAGTATTTGTATTCCCATATTGTAAGAATTTTATTAATACTGATTAACAATGAAGATTAAAATTAGCTTTAGAGGATTTAGGTGATAAAAGAATTCATACAAAGACTCAAATGCAAAAGTCCATAAACCACAACTAATTTTACTTTCTCCTTCCTCCTTCTCCGACTGAAGTTTACAGTTTGACCTAAAGCTTTTGGAACTATGCCCTACTGCTCCAAGTATTACTTAAATCTGTTACCTTTTGCACTCCTCTTCCTTCTAAGCTCCAATCTATTTCCTGCTTCCCACCTGGACAATTCTACCTGATGTACTACAGTTGATTCAAACCCAACAAATCTAACACAAATTAAAGACCATACTGCTCTTGCTCCTATAGTCTATATATCAATTAAGTAATGAAATCACCATCAATCCATAATAGAGACCTTAGAGTTACTCTGAATCATTTTATCATTACCCATATCCAAGAGATAATCCATTCTGTTAAATCAATCTTTGTTTTTTTTTTTTTTTTTTTTTTGAGACGGAGTCTCGCTCTGTCGCCAGGCTGGAATGCAGCGGCGCAATCTTGGCTCACTGCAACCTCTGCCTCTTGGGTTCAAGCTATTCTCCTGCCTCAGTCTCCAGAGTAGCTGGGACTACAGGTGTGCGCCACCATGCCCAGCTAATTTTTGTATTTTTAGTAGAAACAGGGTTTCACCATGTTGGCCAGGATGGTCTCGATCTCTTGACATCATGATCCACCTGCCTCAGCCTCCCAAAGTTCTGGGATTGCAGGCATGAGCCACCACGCCCGGCTAAACCTTTCTTTTAATTACTTTCTGATCTATCCCTTCCTTCTCTAAAAACACTATGTCTTTAAGTCAAGCTTACCTCATTTGTTCCAAAAATGTTTTGTTCTAAATATCTCTTGCCTCCCTGACTCCGCTGTATTAATTAGAAAGTCTTTTCACTTATCTAATAATAACAAGCCCTGCTTTGAAGTCTTCTGGGGTTTTGCAGAGACTGGAAATTGGGATTAAAATCTTGACTAGCACATAAAGCTGATATCAATGTGGTCCTTTTATCATTACAACTTCATTTCCCAACACTGGTCTTTGCCCCTTCATCCATCTTTGCCATGTATCATTAAGAAGCCAAATACAGGGGCACGGTGGCTCACACCTGTAATCTCAGCACTTTGGGAGGCCGAGCCGGGTGGATTGCCTGAGGTCAGGAGTTCAAGACCAGCCTGGCCAACATAGTGAAACCCCGTCTCTACTAAAAATACAAAAAATTAGCTGGGTGTGGTGGCGGGTGCCTGTAATCTCAGCTACTCGGGAGACTGGGGCAGGAGAATTGCTTGAATCTGAGAGGCGGAGGCTGCAGAGAGCCAAGATCGCGCCATTGCATTCCAGCCTGAGCAACAAGAGGGAAACTCCATCTCAAAAAAAAAAAGAAACCAAATACATATTGTTCCCTAGCATATGCCTTTTTTTTTTTTTAATATTTCCATGCTTTATACACATTCCACTCTCGCACAGTAGAATGCCTTTACCCACCTTTTTAACTTCTAAAACCCTTTGAGACAGCTTTAATAACCAAACACCTTGCTAAGAACCTGAATAACTTTTCCACTCATCTGTTTCCCCCAGGACTTTGTAAATACTTCAGAATGCCACAGAATATTCACTGGTCTCTCTCCCTTAAGTAGGATGACTTCCTCAATATCAAAGTTAATGGCACATCCTGACTATGTTTCTGACACATCTAGTAGGTATTCAGAACACAAATAGACAATTCCTGGCCTCATACACTCTGCCTAAAGGGAATGGGCAGAGTTCTGAGACAATATATGAGCAGAGAAAACTTCCTTGTACTTGAGCTGAGATCTGAAGAATCTTAAGGAGCTGTGACAAAAAGAGGGGGATATATAAGTATGAGGAGTATGAGAAACCAAAAAGCCAGCAGAGCTGACACATAGAAAGCCAGATGGAAAGAACAAGATGAGGAAGGAGACAAGGAAGTGATAGTATCATACTGGACCTTATAAACAAAGTTAGCAATTTTGGTCTTTGTCCTCAGAACAGGAGGTTTTAAAGAATTTTATGTAGAGAATAATATGACCAGAAGACGAAACTAAAATATAACAAAATATTAACAGTGGTTGTCTTTTTTTTTTTCTTGAGACAGGGTCTCACTTTGTCCCAGGCTCCAGGCTGGAGTGCAGTGGCACAATGTCAGCTCACCACAGCCTCAGCCTCCCAGGCTCAAGTGGATCCTCCCATCTCAGCTCCCAAGTAGCTGGGGCCACATACGCACATCACCATGCCTGGCTAATTTTTGTATTTTTTTGTAGAGACAGGTTTTTGCCATGCTGCTTAGGCTGGTCTTGAACTCCCAGGCTCAAGCGACCCACCTGTCTCGGCCTCCCAAAGTGCTGGGATTATAGGCATGCCCCACCACACCTGACCCAACAGTGGTTATCTTTGAGTGATATTATTTTCTTTTCTTTTCCCTATAATTCCTAATTTTCTACGATGAATGTCATCATTTTCTTATAAGAAAAAACAAAGTTTTGAAAACTCAGGAGAGTTGTGATAAATAAAAGTCCTACTATAATACTTTACTTTTTTCTTTTTTTTTTTAGACAGGGTCTCACTCTGTCACCCAGGTTGGAGTGCAGTGGCGTGATCTCAGCTCACTGCTACCTCCACCTCCCAGGGTCAAGCAATCCTCCCACCTCAGGCTCCCGCGTAGCTGGGACTACAGGCACACACTACCACACCAGCTAATTTTTGTACTTTTTGTAGTGTTGGGGTCCCCCTATGTTTCCCAGGCTCAAGCAATCTGCCTGCTTTGGCCTCCCAAAGCGCTGGGGTTACTGGCATCTAATATAATACTTTAAAGAAAAATTTTGATTCTTGATACACAGTCTCGAATTTTCTTTGTAGTTTTTATTCATCTCTTCATTAATTCATTAAACAAATATTGTACCAGAGATAAAGGGGTGAATAAGATAACATATGCATGACTTGAAGTCTCACAAAGCTTATATTATCAAGATACACAGAGTAGGGAACACATACTGAAAAATTAATTAGAAGTATGCAACATATTGCAAAGGAAAAGACTAAACCACTTTGAAAATGTACAAGAAGAAGAACTTAACCTACTCTAGAAGTTGAGAAAAGCCTTCTCTCAAAAAGAAATTTAAAATTGAAGGCTAAATGAAGACTTCTAGTTCAATGTAAGATGGCAAACCAATATGAACTGCTGTCTCTTCCTCCACATTAACACCTTTGATGTGCCACAAAAATAAGACAAAGGCCGACAGAATTCCCAAAACTACCATAACACAAGTATACCATGACATAAGTCTGCACAAACTGTGAACAACTTCTGGAGAGACAAAAGACAACTAGATCCCAGAGTGCATAAAGAAACCAGAGCTGTCTCGATCAGAGAAAGCTAGGAACCATGGGTGAGGGATAAATTGTGGGAAAAAAAGGCTTTTTAGTTGTATCCATATCTCTATCTCATACTGGTCTGGGCTGATCACTGTTTACCAGGTAACCACTGTAAGGCAGAAAAGCAACATAATCTTGAAATTTTATTATTAATTAGTGAAATGATTCTAAACAGTCTCTGACAAGTAGTTTGCATTGTCTGTTTTGTGGTACAAGAATGTTAGCAAAATTATCAGAAATCAGAAGAAATGGACACAAAAATAGGTCACAAAGTTTTTGCCAGTAATTAATAATATTAGATTATCTCTGATTTTTCAAAAAACATAAAATGTTAATGTAACACAAGCCAAAAAATCAAAAACTTAAATCACAGTGCTTAAGATAATTTCAAAGTACAGACATAGCCGGGCATGGTGGCTCACGCCTGTAATCCCAGCACTTTGGGAGGCCGAGGCAAGTAGATTACCTGAGGTCAGGAATTCGAGACCAGCCTGGCCAACATGGTGAAACCCCATCTCTACTAAAAATACAAAAATTAGTTGGGCACTGTGGCAGGTGCCTGTAGTCCCAGCTACTCAGGAGAACCGCTTGAACTCGGTCTCAAAAAAAATAAATAAATAAAAATAAGTACAGACATATGTTTAACACCATTATACATTTATATTAATATTTCTAATAAACCGTAAGAGATATTCAATTAATTATCCTTTAAGTTAGCAGTTAAGTATTTGTTTCATGTGATGGAAAGTAATGAAAATATAAGCACCGAGCAATTATGGTTATATAATTACATAATAATGGACAATGGGATATTATTTAGAATGGCTAAGGTATCACTCTACATAAGAAAATCACTTTAAGAACAGACCTCAACTATCTGAGCCTCAATCTTTTACCTTTAAATTGATTGTTAAATATCCTTTAACTAATTTTCCATGAAAATTTTGTTTATTGGCCTTCCCAATAATTATGAATTCTTAAACAGAAGAGACCAGGTCTTTTATTCTCCACATCTTAATACACACACATGCTTTATAGTAAGGACTCAGTAAATACTGACTCTGAGTAAAGAATCCTTGAGGCCGGGCGCAGTGGCTCACACCTGTAACCCCAGCATTTTGGGAGGCCGAGGCTGGTGGATCACCTGACGTCAGGAGTTCAAAACCAGCTTGACCAACGTGGAGAAACCCCAACTATACTAAAACTACAAGATTAGCCGGGCATGGTGATGTATGCCTGTAATCCCAGCTACTTGGGAGGCTGGGGCAGGAGAATTGCTTCAACCCGGGAGGCAGAGGTTGCAGGTAAGCCTAGATTGTGCCATTGCACTCCAGCCTGGGCAACAAGGGTGGAACTCCGTCTCAAAAAAAAAAAGAATAATTGAAAGTCACAAAAGTCACACTAGACAGAAACCCAGAAGACAATCTTGTTTCCTCTCCATTCTGTTAATTAGTTAGAAAAATCAGAGGAAGTTTCTTCAGACCAGTTGTTGCAACTCTTATTATCAGTTTCTTTTGGGTTTGCACATTTTTTATCTTTTCCTTGAAATAATTCTAGGATTAGTATTGTTTCTTGCTCTCATGAGGGTCTCCTGATATTTGTCCAGAAAGGACAACTGTCAGTGTATAACAAATAAAAAAAAAATACACTCACTTTAGTTGTTAAAATATTACAATTTTATCTCAGTAAATCTTAGACCCAAATATAACTTCACCATTAAAAGTTGTTTATAGGCTGAGCACGGTGGCTCATGCCTGTAATCCTAGCACTTTGGGAGGCCAAGGTGGGCGGATCACGTGGTCAGGAGTTTAAGACCAGCCTGACCAACATGGTGAAACCCCGTCTCTGCTAAAAATACAAAAATTAGCCAGGCATGGTGGCAGGCACCTGTGATCCCAGCTACTTGGGAGGCTGAGGCAGGAGAACCCCTTGAATGCAGGAGGCGGAGGTTGCAGTGAGCCAAGATTGTGCCATTGCATTCCATCCAGCCTGGGTGACAGGGCGAGACTCCCTCTCAAAAAAAAAAATTTTTTTTGTTTATAAAGTTCAGGAAGTCCACAAAAATGTATGTGCGGTACAATATACAGCTAAATAATTTTTTTTTTTTTTTTGAGACAGAGTCTTGCTCTTGTCGCCCGGGCTGGAGTGCAATGGTGCGATCTCGGCTCACTGCAACCTCCGCCTCCCAGGCTCAGGCGATTCTCGTGCCTCAGCCTCCCGAGTAGCTGAGATTACAGGTGCCCACCACCATGCCTGGCAATTTTTTTGTATTTTTAGTAGAGACGGGGTTTCACCACGTTGGCCAGGCTGGTGGTGAACTCCTGACCTCAGGTGATCCACCCGCCTCAGCCTCCCAAAGTGCTGGGATTACAGGCGTGAGCCACCGTGCCCAGCCTGCCAAATCTTAAGAAAGCACCCAGAAGAGCCCAAAACGTAGCATCAAAATAAGACTGAATCTATGTAACACCTAGGAGAGTTCCACATTATGCATTTCTTTAATAAAACTGCCAACGTTTTTTATTTCCTTCCACAAAGTTAGATTTAATTGATCATTTTCAGCCTAAAAATATAAAGATAATATTATCAGCAAGATAATATTCCCATTCATCCAGATTAAGTTTTGTACAATTTTCCACTATTGAGATATACTTGACAAAAATAAGATCTGTATGTGAAGTTGAAAAAAATTCTGGGTAGGAGGAGGGAGAGTGGAATAACTCAACATTCAGCATATTATCAAAAAGAATATGACATGTTTTGGAAATACTCTTTTAATGACTAAAACAAAATAGAGACAGTCTTCTTCCTTGCTTCCAGCAAAATCTATACCTACCAACTAAAGCAGATAACTATTGTAACACTATGGTTATTTTTAGTTCCAATAATGGCCTATATAATTAAGCAGTTGCCAAAAAGGACAGTCAGGTATCAATTTTTTTTTAAAGTCCTGTATTATGGATGAATAAAAAAAGAATCAGAGAACATCAGTAAGGTAGAATGCAGCAAAAGAAAAAAAAATTCATAATTTTAAACGTGATTCTTCAACTCTTTCTGGGTTCCACTCAATGTTCAAGTTCCTAAGTCATGAATAATTCACATGTAAGTTTACACATAATTGCAAAAGTTCATATTATGGCAAGTTACAATGAATGAAGAATATTTCAAATGCATCACTTCATATTTTTAGAAGATATATCAACAACAGTAATTCATATTGCTTACTCATCTGCCTATCTCCATAGCTGATGGCTTCCGCCAGAGGGCTCCATCCCTGAGCATTTTTCACCTTGACTGGAGCATTGTGAGCCAAAAGTAAATGGGCACATTCTGCAATATAAAGTAGTAATAATATCAAACATCATGCAATTTTTAGAATCTCTAAATATAAATATATAAAAGTTTAATAAACCAAATTAACATAAATAGATGAAATAAACATTGTACCATGTAGAATTATGTAATTTGAAAAATTTCTATGTATCTAACTAAACCAGGTAATTTCAGATCCCTAGATTTAAAAAGTATCCATTCTACTGCCTAAAAATAAATTGGATCTCTCTGCAAAGAAGGTATCATGTTCCCTAATAATTATTCCAAGAGTATTTTTTTAATGTTTTCATACTCTAAAAGATAACCCAAGAACTTCAAGAGTGATTTACTTGCAAATACCTATCAGCTAGTAAGACCCAAAAGAGGATCTGTGTGTCCATAATGTCAAATAGTAAGTTCATTTTTTATTTCAGAAACAAAAGTGCTTTCAATAAGAGTCAGTAATGTTTCCAAAACACATTTATTTTTCAAATTTTATAATTGTTATGGTTTGGAAAAATGTTCAGAAAAAGGGCAAAACTCGGCTTATGATACAACGACAAATCTAGATAGTTTTTCAAATAATCAAAAGAAGTCTAAGGTATAGACCTTTCTATAGGTTGAGAAAACTTTTTCTTTAATTAAAAATAAAAAGTTGGCCGGGCGCGGTGGCTCACGCCTGTAATCCCAGCACTTTGGGAGGCCAAGGCGGGCAGATCACGAGGTCAGGAGATCGAGACCATCCTGGCTAACATGGTGAAACCCCGTCTCTACTAAAAAATAAAAAAAATTAGCCAGGCATGGTGGTACGTGCCTGTAGTCCCAGCTAAATGGGAGGCTGAGGCAGGAGAATCGCTTGAACCCGGGAGGCAGAGGCTGCAGTGAGCCAAGATTGCGTCACTGCATTCCAGTCCAGATGACACAGCGAGATTCCATCTCAAAATAAAATAAAATAAAAATTAAAAAATAAAAAGTTCACTTAACAGGAAAAAAGTTAAAACTGAGGCCCACGCCGGGCACAGTGGCTCATGCCTGTAATCCCAACACTTTGGGAGGCTGAAGTGGGCCGATCACCTGAGGTCGGGAGTTCCAGACCAGCCTAGCCAACATGGAGAAACCCCATCTCTACTAAAAATACAAAATTAGCCGAGCATGGTGGCGCATGACTGTAATCCCAGCTACTCGGGAAACTGAGGCAGGAGAATCGCTTGAACCCGGGAGGTGGAGGTTGCAGTGAGCCGAGATTGCGCCATTGCACTCCAGCCTGGGCAACAAGAGCCAAACTCTGTCTCAAAAAAAAAAAAAAAAAAAAAAAAAAAAAAAAAGACAGCCATCCATCCATTCATTCAATCAATAATTCAGCAAATATTTACCAAATGTCCATTATATGCAATTTCTAAATACCAGGTACTAGACAAGGTATTGCTATCGAAGAGCATAATTCCTATGTTGGAATATAACATGTAAATTAATAACTAGAAAAGAAAAATAATGCAAGATAATGATAAGTGCTTTAAAAGAAATAAGAGTGTTAAGACAGTGTAATGTGGGTTGGCTAAGGTGGGGAACAAATGGCACTACTTTAGCACTATTCCTAGTGATAGAAGAAATAAATATACTAGCAGGGAACTTTATCACAATAATGTAAAATAAATACAGAAATTTCATAGCAGTGTTTCAATCTGGTAACAGTATATAAGAATATATGTACATGAATGTTTAATGTTGTTTGTATGGCAATTATACTGGAAACAAAGTGAATGTCCACAGTAGGGCAATAACAGACATGTTGCATCTACATTACATTAATAATATAGTCATTTTTTAAGACTAGAGTCATATCAAAAGTACAGAGAAGCCAGCTTGAATGGTTAGCCAAATTTGGGAAATTTAGCATCAAAAAGAATAATGGCTAACTAGTTATAACACATTGAAAAAAAAAACTGATAAGCCCATAACAACATCAAGAAATAAAAGGGTGGGCAATAAGTTCTTACTTACAGAATAATGCAATGCTACCTAATAAATGTAGAAGAAATGATAAAATTAGAAAATTTAACATAATACCCCAGTAATAACTGGTTTAGGCAAAGGTCTTTATTGAATGCTAAAGCCACTAGGTAAAAAGCTTTATGCTGGGAATAGGATATTCACATGGAACCAAAGTATTGTCCCAAGAATATTTACTAATAACAAACAGAAAAATGTTCCTTTACAATGGATATATTTGAAGATTATCACTTACACGATCTAACTTAGTGGCAATTAATGATGAAATAATCTGATATTGTGTGTTTCCAATGTGATATATGTAAAGTTCCTAATATCACCTATGAAATATTCTATCCAGAAATGTTTAACCTGAATCTAATAAAGCCTCTATAGCTGATTTTCAATTCACAGAAAAAACAAAGGATAAAGAACAGGTTAAGAAACATGGAGAGAAAATGATCAGGCAAATCTGAGAGAAAGGACATTCTACAAGTTAACTGGTCAAGACTTTTCAAAAAGTTGGGCACAAAGGTGGGGAAAAGGTGAGCAAATTGCTCTAGATTATGAGACATAACAACCAAATGCAATGAGTCACTCTCAACTGGGTCATGTTTCAGTATAAAAAACCTATAAATGACATTCTGGGAACAATTGGAGAAATCTCAATATGCATTGGGTATAAGATGATATTTTAACAATATCATTAATTTTCCTTGGTGTGATCATGATAATGTGGTTATGAAGGAGAATATCTGTATTCTTAGAGGTGCATGCTGAAGTATTTGGGGGTAAAATGTCATGATATCTACATTTAGTTTTCAAATGGTATAACAACAATATATATAAATAAAGGCCAGGTGCAGTGGCTCATGCCTGTAATCCCTACACTTTGGGAGGCCAAGGGGGGCGGATCATCTGAGGTCAGGAGTTTGAGACCAACGTGGCCAACATGGTGAAACCTGTCTCTACTAAAATACAAAAAAATTAGCCAGGCATGTTGGAACTGGCCTGTAATCCCAGCTACTACGGAGGCTGAGGCAGGAGAGCTGCTTGAACCCAGAAGGCGGAGGTTGCAGTGAGCCGAGACTGTACCACTGAGCGAGACTCCGACTCAAAAACACAAACAAATAAAACAAACAAATAACAACAAAAAAATTTATATATATAAAACATAAAAAGATAAAATATGAAACAATGTTAATTATTGAGTCTATATGGAAAGCATTTGAATGTTTGTTGTGATAATCTTTCAATTTTGGGGGTATATTTAAATTTTTTATAATAAAATATTGAGAAGGATAAAGGAATTAAATAAATCAAAAAAAGGAATCAATCAGAGTCATCTCAACAGGCTTAAAGGAATGTTCACGGTGTACTGCTAAGTGATAGAATTCATCTGCTCAACACAGAAGTATATAATGATTGCATTGTTTAAAAAGGAATGAGTAAGCCTAGGTGCAGTGGCTCACACCTATAATCTCAGGACTTTGGGAGGCCAAGGTGGGCAGATCACCTGAGGTCGGGAGTTCAAGACCAGCCTGGCCAACATGGTGAAACCCCATCTCTACTAAAAATACACAAAGTAGCCAGGTGTGGTGGCACATGCCTGTAATCCCAGCTACTTGGAGGCTGAGTCAGAAGAATCGTTTGAACCCTGGAGGCAGAGGTTGCAGTGAGCCGAGACAGCGCCATTACACTCTGGCCTGGGCAACAGAGAGAGACTGACTCAATAAATAAATAAAAGGAATGAGTAAAAAACTACATACATGAGTGTGTATGTTCAGACACATGCACAAGTATTTCTATATAATAATAAGCATAGAGAAATGTATGTAAGAATATCCAGCAGGTTTTAACATGCATTACCATATTTATTGGGAAGGGGATTAGTAAGAAGAGGGGATGATAGCCAAGATAAAAAGAAATTTTTTTTAAAAAGAATAAAAACAAACGGACCCATCTCCCAAAAAACCATTGGGTTTTGTAAATATGTTTGTATGTATACATGTATAGGGGAATGTAAACATGTAAGATATCTACAAATTTCTATAGCTATTTCATGGTAGACTTTTGAAAGAAAAGAAAAATATGGCAAATTACTATCTGTAGGGATTCTACTTCCATGAAAACAAACAAAGTCCCTGTGTTGTAAGTAAAGAGTACGATATGAAGGGATATCCATGAGGCTGTAAATGTTAACTACATCAAGAAAAAAAAAGTAGAGAGATGATGCTTTTATGTATCTATGTATTGTATGATTTCAACTGTTTCAACATGCATGTATTAGTAACCAAAAAAATCATTAAAGAAAAAAATAGGCCAGGAGCAGTGGCTCACACTTGTAATCCCAGCACTTTGGGAGGCCGAGGCAGGTGGATCACGAGTTCGAGACCAGCCTGGCCAACATAGTGAAACCCCATCTTTACTAAAAATACAAAAATTAGCTGGGCATGGTGGCCCACGCCTGTAGTCCCAGCTACTCATGAGGCTGAGGCAGGAGAATCACTTGAACCCAGGAGGTGGAGGTTGTGATGAGCCAAGATTGCATCACTGCACTCCAGCCTGGGCAACAAAGTGAGACTCTGTCTCAAAAAAAAAGAAAAGAAAAAGAAAAAAAAGATACTATAAAAATATTAAAAAGCAGGTTGCACAACAATAGCTAAAGGAATACCTCAGAATTCATGTAAGATTTATACATTGTGCTAGACACATATCAGCAATGTTTCTGATATGCCACAGACCCAGCAGAAAAGATGCCCTTCACGCACTAGTCACAACTCAACTGAAGTAGAGATTAGCAACTAACAAAAAATCAGATAATCATAGATATGCTAATAACCTATGACATAGTCTTATAATTTAAAAAAAAAAGAACTGGTGGCCAGGCACGGTGGCTCACGCCTGTAATCCCAGCACTTTGAGAGGCTGAGGCGGGCGGATCAGGAGATCAGGAGTTTGAGACCAGCCTGACCAACATGGTGAAACCCCAGCTCTACTAAACATACAAAAATTAGCCAGGGTGGTGGCACACACCTGCAATCCCAGCTACTCAGGAGGCTGAGGCAGGAGAATCACTTGAAACCAGGGAGCAGAGATTGCAGTGAGCCGAGATGCACCACTGCACTCCAGCCTGGGTGGCAGGGCGATATTCCGTCTCAAAAAAAAAAAAAAACAACCAGATCAATCGAATGTCTTCTCTCAGTAATGTTAACAATGCATAATAAGAAAAGAAGGTAGTTAACAACTAAGCACTAAGGCTTAAAGAATGCATAAATGTGCCAGGAAGAACTCAAGGCAAGGACTGTGAAAAACGCAAATTATGAGGAATAGAAATCACACATTTAGGCCGGAAACAGTGGCTCATGCCTACAATCCCAGCAGTTTGGGAGGCCAAGGTGGGTGGATCACCTGAGGTACGGGGTTTGAGACCTGTCTGGCCAACATGGCAAAACCCTGTCTCTACTAAAAATAAAAAACTTAGCTGGACGTGGTGGCATGCGCCTGTAATCCCGGCTGCTCAGGAGGCTGAGGCAGGAGAATTGCTTGAACTTGGGAGGTGGAGGTTGCAGTGAGCAGAGATCATGCCACTGCACTCCAGGCTGGGTGACAGAGTGAGCCTCCGTCTCAAAAAAACAAACAAACCAAAAAAAAAAAAAAAAAAAAAGAAATCACACATTAATAAGTAAGAACTATAAAGACGATCAAATATAGAGAGAACCAGTGAGAAAAATAGGACAGTTGGAAACAACAGAATATCTACAGTTATTAAAGTTAGAAACCATATTAATTCTAAAGTTACTTTAAGAAAAAATAAAAAATTGCAGATCCAAAAAAGACTGAAAATGAATTAAAAGTTGCAGCAACTGGTTTGAAAAACCTTTCTCTCATATTTTCAACCAAAAGGATAAGAATTAAAGATTAGTTTTTCTATATCATCTCGTAAAACTTCCTGAAACCTTCCTTACTTAAGTATAATATTCTTCATTTCCATCCAAATCCACAGTTCAATAACCTCCCACGTGACATTACTAATATTAGTCAATGGACTCAGAAATTCAGAAAAAAATCAGTCTTCTGTGGTGAAAAACTAACGTTATTCAGTAGGTTAAGATGAGTGAGAGAAGGAAAGCATGTAGAAGTATAAAAGATTCTCTTTACCTCAATCAAAATATTACGTGAACGCCCTGGGAAATTTTGTTGTGTTTATAGACAAGTACAGAAACAGAACGTGCCCTTCAACAATGAAATCACTAAAGGTACAGTGTATCTTAAAAGAAGATAAAAGAGAATAGACTATCTAGGCTGAACAATGATATAATGTAAAAGCAAGGTATAGAACACTAAGTAGGCCAGGCGCAGTGACTCACACCTGTAATCTCAACACTCTGGGAGGCCGAGGTGGGTAAATCATCTGAGGTCAGGAGTTCGAGACCAGCCTAGCCAATATGGTGAAACCCCGTCTCTACTAACAATAGAAAAATTAGCCGGGCATGGTAACACACACCTGTAATCCCAGCTACTACTAAATGAAATCACTAAAGGTACAGTGTATCTTAAAAGAAGATAAAAGGGAATAGACTATCTAGGCTGAACAATGACATAATATAAAAGCAACGTATAGAACACTAAGTAGGCCACGCACAGTGGATCTGTAAATCTCAGCACTTTGGGAGGCTGAGGTGGGTAAATCACCTGAGGTCAGGAGTTTGAGACCAGCCTGGCCAACATGGTGAAACCCTGTCTCTACTAACAATACAAAAAATAGCCTGTAATCCCAGCTACTACTAGGTAGGCTGAGGTGGGAGAATCGCTTGAACTCAGGAGGCAGAGGTTGCAGCCGAGATCATCCCACTGCACTCCAGCCTAGGCAACAGAGCAAGACTCGACTCAAAAAAAAAAAAAAAAAAAAAAAGGAACACTAAGTATAAAGTAGATGTTTTACTTTCCACTACATATTCTAATCTCACTCTTGTGCAACCAAATATAAAAAATATCAACAGACTTTCAAGTTTGTTTGAGTTATTTTAAAAAGAGAATTATACAAACACATACATAAAGATCATAAGAAAAAAAGCAAAAAAAGGGTGCACAACTGGAAAAATGTTAATGGATCAGTATGTAATTGGTTGTGTCTACTCTATTTGAAAAGGATTCAGAAACAACAAATACCAACATTATTTGCAGATCCTGAATCATCTAACCAAGTGTTTCCCAAAATACATCCCACAGAACTGTAATCTGTCAAGATACTTGTAAAAAAGAGCAAACATCAAATAACTGTGGGGAACTCTGACCACTATGTCCAACACATGCCCCAACTTGAAACATTACAATGCATATTAGCATATCAAATTTCTAACAAGTTCCACAACAAAGAAAACTTTTTAACTTTTATTTACCTAATATTTTTCAAATTGATTTGCTCTGGAAACTCTATTTTCTTCTAAATACCTTTCAATATCCCATAAAACTAATGTGGTTTTTCTCCTGTACTTCAATGGATGCAAAGAAACTAATGTTTTATGAAATATATTTTAATTTGTTGTTGTTGTTGAAACGGAGTCTCGCTCTGTTATCCAGGCTGCAGTGCTGTGGTATGATCTCGGCTCACTGCAACCTCTGCCTCTGGGTTCAAGTGATTCTCCTTTCTCAGCCTCCCAAATAGTTGGGATTACAGGCATGTGCCACCATGCCCGGCTAATTTTTGTATTTTTAGTAGAGATGGGGTCTTGCCATGGTGCCCAGGCTGGTCTCAAACTCCTGGCCTTAAGTGATCTGCCCGCCTCGGCCTCCCAAAGTGCTAGGATTACAGACGTGAGCCACCACGGCTGGCTGAAATACATTTTAAAACAGGCTGATATAAACCGATGATGAAGCATAATAGTACATCTATCTAAAATTAGAATACCCTCTGTGAGAATATACTTGAGTGGAAAAATAAAATAAAATTAGAACCCTCAAACAGAGATGGCAGATAGGCTTCATTTCACATTCAAATCCTGGTAAATCCATATTAACTACTAAAGTGCTAAATTAGGAAGGATTCCAGAATAGCAATCAGATTTGGCAAGTTGCATGTTGGCCAACTTTGATACAGACCATATCCTTTCTGAATGGTTCTCAGTGAAAAAGAGGGCAAAGCAATACACCATTAAAATAGATTTTAGAGCCAGGCACTCCCAAGTTGAAATTAAAACTTGGCTACTTTACTCTGGGCAAGTTTTGGGGCTAATGTTTTTCTTCCATAAAATGGAGATAATAATAGTACTTCACTCACATGGTTGTGGTAAGAGTTAAATGAGTAAATACGTGTAAAGTACTAGGAAAAGCATCTGGTATATTGTAAATAATAAATTCTAGTTATTTTCTAAAGTTCCAATCCAATGTTCTTTGAAAAAAAAAAGCGCAAGTTTTTATTGATCAAATTCAGCTGGCTGTATCTGACATATTTTCACCAAGGTTGCTAGAGATGTCAATCATGGCCTGCCCTATCCACATTCCTGCTAAAGTAAACATACTTCCTTTGTATTCCTGATTCCCTCTCCTACCCCCAAATCTCACCCAAGTCAGTCTAGCTAAAGCTAATTTCACAGAAGCAAATACCTATCTTAAAGACAGATAATTCATAAGTCTGCCATCACCCATCACTTGTGGCTTGGCTTGAGATAAACTGGACCAATCAAACTTTTTGCTCAGAAATTTGCGAACCTAAGAAACCCATCTAGTTAGCAGTGAACACCAGAAAGTCAACTTAGGATCCTAAAAGAATTATTTTAGGTCTGTTCAATTTCAGTAAACAGGAAAAGTCAATCACGAAAAAGGAGAATACCGCAGATATAAAGAACAGCAGACACACCATAAGAGATTGAAAGATGATAAGGAAATAGGAGAATGACTGATTCCTCCAAACATCTTGGTTCCCACTCTTCCTGAGACCTGGCTGGTACCTACTTCTTGAGTTTCTCTAACATGTAGCCTTTTAATGAATACTTCTTTACTTAGAAGTTACTCTAGTTAATCTTACTTGTTAAGAAGAAAAAAAAGCCATAACTATAACATTGAAGATACAGATTTGAATCACCAATTATATAGAATTAAAATAAAAATTAAGGTCAGGCACAGTGACTCACATCTGTAATCCCAGTGTTCTGGGAGGCCCAGGAGGGAGGATTGCTTGAGGCCAGGAGTTTGAGAATAGCCTGGGCAACATAGCGAGACCTCATTTCTAAAAATAAATTTAAAAGTTAGTTAGGTATGGTGGCATGTGCATCTAGTCCTTGCTACTTGGGAGGCTGGAGACAAGAGGATCACTTGAGCCCAGGAGTTTGAAGCCGCAGTGAGCTAGGATCGCACCACTATACCCCAGTTTGGGCAACGGAGCAAGACCCTGTCTCTAAAATAAAAATTATATTATCCTGTGGATCATACACTTCATTTAAAGATTTGAACTTAAAAATCAAACTAGCAAAAGAACTTTGTTTTTCAACAAAACAAGTTCAAGCCAGGGCAACAAAGTGAGAACCTGTCTCTACATAAAATGAAAAAATTAGCCGGGCATGGTGGCATGTGTCTACAGTCCCAGCCACCCTGAAGGCTGAGACAGGAGGATCACTTGAGCTCAGGAGTTCTCAAGACTGCAGTGACCCATGATTGCATCATTGCACTCCACCCTGGGGAACACAGCGACACCATGTCTCAAAAATAAAATAAAGGCCAGGCACGGTGGCTCATGCCTGTAATCCCAGCACTTTGTGAGGTCAAGGCGGGTGGATCACCTGAGGTCGGGGGTTCGAGATCGGCCTGACCAACATGGAAAAATCCCATCTCTACTAAAAATACAAAATTAGCCCTATAATCCCAGCTACTCCGGAGGCTGAGGCAGGAGAGTCGCTTGAACCTGGGAGGCAGAGATTGTGGTGAGCCAAGATTGCACCATTGCACTCCAGCCTAGGCAATAAGAGTGAAATTCTATCTCAAAATAAATAAATAAATAAAATAAAATAAAAACAAGTTCTAGCAATATCCCTAGGCCCATACATTCAGATCAAATGTTTACACTGACAGATACATTATACCATATAACAACAACAGATGTTCATAATGATACTTCTAGATCATTGAAAAAAAAATCTTAACAGAAGTTCATTAGCCTGTCTAAAAATATACAATTATATTTCTTTAAAAAATTGTATCATTTGGGTGCGGTGGCTCACACCTGTAATCCCAGCACTTTGGGAGGCCGAGGCAGGCGGATCATGAGGTCAGGAGATCGAGACCAGACTGGCCAACATGGTGAAGCCCTGTCTCTACTAAAAACACAAAAAATTAGCCAGGCGTGGTGGCATGAGCCTGTAGTCCCAGCTACTCAGGAGGCTGACGCAGGAGAATTGCTTAAACCTGGGAGGCAGAGGTTGCAGTGAGCTAAGACTGCACCACTGTACTCCAGCCTGGGCAATAGAGCGAGACTCTGCCTCAAAAAAAAAAAAAAGAAAAAATTTTTACTAAACACATTTAAAATATAAAAATCTAGTACTCAAAGCATTGCTATTCAGCTATCTAAAATCCTCACTTTCCAGAATAACCGGGGATCTAAATAACTAAAGTTTTACTGCACTTAGGAATAACCTACAAAAGTAGGTATCTTTTAAATCACCTGCCTATAAGGCTTTTTAATTAAATAATGACTACTTTAATAAATACTTAATAAACAAGTATTAAGTTTTTGCAATTATCTACCAAAGGCTCAACTTATGACTTTATATATATAAAATATTATATATTAAAAATCATATAAAACTCTAATATGAAAAGTATAATAATAAATCTTAATATTTGGAAATAAGTCTTCTAAAATTATAAATTCCTGCTTGATAAAACAACCAAGTAAGGGGAAAAAAAACATAGTTTCAAAAGACATAAAAGTTAGTACAGGATTTCCACCAACACTTTTTAAAAAGGGCCATGGAAAACAAGAAAATATTTACTAATTTCAATATACTAAATTCTAAGTTCAATTAACAGATAAAATGAGTTTTTAAAAACTCAAAAGACAAAACTGATCTTAAAAATTTTAAACTGACTATATATAAATGAAGTTAAACATAAAAAAAGAAAATATTTACTAACCTTTATTTCCTAACATCACAGCAAGGTGTAAAGGAGTATTTCCTAAAAAAAATAAAATAAAATAAATAAATTAGAAGGTGTAAAAACATAAGAACATTTACTTAAAAGTGGTTTCAGCTCCTTCAGAAATTTCACTGGCAGATTTTAAGCAAAAATACTGTGACTGCAAAATAATATTGCTTATATAGCAAATTTAAAGTCAGAAGATACCATGATTTCTGAGTACAATGTACTCTCCAACCCCTCCAAAAAAAAGGATATCCATTTTGAGATTTATTTTTCAAACAGATTTCACAGATTCCTTTTGCTGCTAATTTCTCTTTCACATTATTCTTTGTTCATTTAGCAAACAATTTAAATATCTAGTCATCCTTGGGGACAAAAATCAGTAAGACTGAATCCCAGTTTTCAAGTTGTTCGGAAAGTCTGCTGTTAGAGACAAATATGAAAATAAATAATAATTATTATTTATTAAATAGAAGGGAGTACAGCCTGACCGTAGAACATATGGCAGAGCTCATAACTTTGCAGAGAGTTAAATATTGAAGAATGGACCACACTGAAATGAGCCTTAAAGAATTTGTTAGAAATCTGTAGGCGAACAAAAGCAACACTGCCTAGCATTCCAGATTTTTTTTAAAGTGATCCAAATCACCACTCAAGTGCAGAAACAATTTATATTTGGGAAACAAACAAACAGTTATTATTAGTGGGGGTGAAGAAGTTATAGAAAACAGTAAAGAATGATATTGGAATGATGAGCAAAAGACAAAGACTTGAAAGCTGTGCTATGAAGTTTGGACTACATCCTATAGTTGATGTTATAGAATGACGAATTTAATTTCAAAATGATACCCTAAGCCATACTTATGATCTAAATGTTAAACCAACAGTAATATTTGAAATTAAAAAGTCAGTAAATAAAATTTGCTAAATTTCACATATCAGCAATTTTACGAAAGTCATCACATTAACAATTACGACCAAAATAATAAGCAAAACATTATCAAGGGATCACATGCAGGACATAAGAGATGTGCATGTGATAAATTCCAGTCTCAGCTTGACAAGAGATCGGCCATGATTCAAACACACACACACACACACACACACACACACACACACTTTTGCTCAATAAAGGCAGAATGGAATGGGAATTGTTGGCAAAGTCAGCAAAATACTATTTTGAGCAAAATTTAGAAAACAGCACAAATAAATTCACTACACTAAAGTCATCTCCATGGCCGGGCACGGTGGCTCACGCCTGTAATCCCAGCACTTTGGGAAAGTGGCAGGCAGATCACCCGAGGTCAAGAGTTCAAGACCAGCCTGGCCAACATGGTGAAACCCCATCTCTACTAAAAATACAAAAATTAACCAGGCGTGGTGGCACCCGCCTGTGATCCCAGCTACTTGGGAGGCTGAGGCAGGAGAATTGCTTGAACCATGGGAGACAGAGGTTGCAGTGAGCCAAGGTCACTCCACTGCACTGCAGCCTGGGCGACAAGAGTGAAACTCTGTCTCAAAATAAATAAATAAAATAAAATAAAATAAAGTCATCTCTGTAATTAATTTTACCAAAAACAAAACAAAACCCTGGATTACAGAAAATCTCTTGATCTTAACTAGGGACAAAAAAACAAGACAGATTTGGAGATATAAGTGACATTATGTTTTTCAGAAATAAGAACCGGAGGTACAAATTTCCATTGGTACTTAGTACTTTAATATGAAAATATGCAATGAAGAAAGCATCTTTCAGCCGGGCACGGTGGCTCACGCCTGTAATCCCAACACTTTGGGAGGCCAAAAGGGGCGGATCACCTGAGGTCGGGAGTTCAAGACCAGCCTGACCAAGATGGAGAAGCCCCATCTCTACTAAAAATACAAAATTAGCCAGGGGTGGTGGCGCATGCCTGTAATCCCAGCTACTGAGGAGGCTGAGGCAGGAGAATCGCTTGAACCTGGGAGGCGAAGGTTGCGGTGAACCAAGATGGCGGCAATGCACTCCAGCCTGGGCAAGAAGAGCGAAACTCCGTCTCACAAAAAAAAAAGAAAAGCATCTTTCATTATAGGCAGTTTTATATATGAATTTAGTAAAATTGATTTCTCTCTCCTCCCACGTAGAAATTGCATACCTATCTCATGAAGACATTAAAGAAACCATCCCTCCCCTCACAAACAACTGTATGTCGGCAATTTTTCAATTTTATCCAAAGGACGAATAAAGTTAGAGACACTCAAGTGAATTTTCCGCATTAGGAACTCTCAGTAAAGCACAGTTTTCATCCTACTACTAACTAATATGTTCAGTTCAAATAAAATGAAAATGTTTAAGAACAATTTTTGTGTGTGTGTGTGTGAGACAGAGTCTCCTTCTGTTGTCCAGGCTGGAGTGCAGAGGCCGATCTGGGCTCACTGCAACCTCCGCTCCCGGGTTCAGGTGGTTCTCCTGCTTCAGCCTCCCGAGTAGCTGGGATTACAGGCGAGTACCACTACGCCCGGCTACTTTTTATATTTTTAGTAGAGATGGGGTTTCATCATGTTGGCCAGTCAGATCTCAAACTCCTGACCTCAGGTGATCCGCCCGCCTTGGCCTCCCAAAGTGCTGGGATTACAGGCATGAGCCACCACGCCCGGCCCTTAAGAACAATTTTAAACACAGTTATACACTGATAGATTAGGAGCCGTCTGTGGGTCAGATTCATAAACTATTCAGTGCCTTCAGTCTTCAGCATAATACAAGGTTAAAAAAATCAACATGAGCAAGTAACAATTTCCAATTTGATTGGTCTAGAATAAGGTCCTCTTCCTTCTTTTCAAAATATTGAACTAAATTTCCTAAGTTTAACTAAAAGTAGTCCTAAAAAGCAAATAAACTTGGCCGGGCGCGGTGGCTCACGCCTACAGTCACCGTACTTTGGAAAGCTGAAGTGAACATCTCACTTGAGGCCAGGAGTTCAGAACAGCCTGGCCAACATGGCAAAACCCCGTCTCTACTAAAAATAGCCGGGTGTGGTAGCGCACCCTGTAATCCAGCTGCTTGGGAAGCCGAAGTAGAAGAATCGCTTGAGTCCGGGTGGCAGAGGTTGCAGTAAGCCGAGATGGCGGCATTGCACTCCAGCCTAGGAAACAAAATGAGACCCTATCTCAAAAAAAAAAAAAAAGCAAACAAACTTGTCGACAATTTGGTGCTAGAGACAAAAGGTCAACACCAACTATGCCAAAACCAAAGATTTACTTTGAGCTATCATTCCATTTTTTTTTTTTTTTTTTTGAGACAGAGTCTCCCTCTTGTCACCCAGGCTGGAGTGCAGTGGCACGATCTCGGCTCACTGTAACCTCCGCCTCCCGGGTTTCAAGCAATTCTCGTGCCTCAGCCTCCCAAGTAGCTGGGATTACAGGTGCCCACCAACATACCCGGCTAATTTTTGGATTTTTAGTAGAGATAAGGCTTCACCATGTTGCCCAGGCTGGTCTCAAATTCCTGGCCTCAAGTGATCCACCCACCTTGGCCTCCCAAAATGCTAGGATTAGAGGAGTGAGCCACCGCGCTCGGCCTTCTAATTCCTTTTTATGTGCATTTTGACAAACTAAATTTTTCTAGCATTGTTTATCTCTTTTCATTTATTGGCATAAAATTTGTTCAAAATATCCGCTAATGATATACGATGACATTTGAATTTATACTGATGTAACACTTCTGATTCCTAATATCTGTTATTTGTGCCTTCTTTTTCTCTTGATCAGTACGTTTATTATTATTATTATTATTATTATTATTATTATTATTATTATTATTATTATTTTGAAACAGGGTCTTGCTCTGTCACCCAGGCTGGAGTATAGTGGCAAAATCATGGCTCACTGCAGCCTCAACCTTCCAGGCTCAAGTGATCCTCCCATCTCAGCCTCCCAAGTAGCTGGGATTACAGGCACACACCACCACACCCAACTAATTTTTTTTAAATTTTCAGTAGAGATGTCTCACTATGCTGCCCAAGCTGGTCTCAAACTCCTGGACTCAAGCAATCCTCCCACCTTGCCCTTCCAAAATATTGGGATTATAGGCATGAGTCACGGTGCCTGGTCTATTAATTTTATTCATCTTTTCAAAGAACAAAGTGTTGGCTTTGTTGCTCTATTTTTCTAATTTAATCATTCCTGCTCTTTTATTACTTCTATTTTATTTGGGTAAAATAAACTCAAATTGGGAAACTAAGCAACTTAAAATTGTTCTTCTAATTTCTTAAAACAGATTTGATGATTGATATTTTAGCCTTTTTCCTAATATATCTACCTTTTTAAAAATGTCTAGCTTATCTGCATTGCGATCAGAGAACAGGCAGTGTAATTTCAATCGTCTGAAATGTGTTGAGATTTGCTTTATGGTTGAGTCTGACCAATTTTTGTAAATGCTGTCTATATCCTTGCAAAAAAAAACTTTTTATTCTGCAGTTGTTGGGTTCAGCATTTCATAAAGAACCATTTTAATGGTGTTGTTCGTATTTTTTACATCCTTATTGATTTGTTGTTGTTGTTATTGTTGGCTTTTTTGGTAACAGAGAGGAATGTTAAAAATCTCCCACTATAATTGGGGGTTTCTGTGTCTTCTTGTAATTCTAGCAAGTTTTGCTCGATATATTTTGAAGCCATGTTATCAAGTGCAATCAAACTTAAAATTTTCATAGATTTTTGGTTAATTGAACCACTTTTCATTGTGAGACATGCACCTTTTTCTCAGATAATGTTTTCTGTTTTAAAACCTATTGGGGGCGGGCACGGTGGCTCATGCCTGTAATCCCAGCACTTTTGGAGGCCGAGGCAGATGGATCACGAGCTCAGGAGCTTGAGACCAGCCTAGCCAATATGGTGAAACCCCGTCTCTACTAAAAATACAAAAATTAGCCAGGTGTGGTGGCGCACGCCTGTAGGCCCGCTACTCAGGAGGCTGAGGCAGGAGAATCACTTGAACCCAGGAGGCGGAGGTTGCAGTCAGCCAAGATCACGCCACTTCACTCCAGCCTGGGCGACAGAGCGAGACTCCATCTCAAAAAACAACTATTGGGATATTAACACCATTATACCAACTTTTTTGAATTGGTATTTGCATGGAATATATTTTTCAATCCTCTCACTTTCAACTTTTTAACGTCCTGATGTTTTAGATATGTCTCCAACTGCATGCAGTTGGGTGTTTTTATCCTACAGTAAGACAATATTTGTCTTTTTAACTGAAGCATTTAATCCAGTTTCACATATACTTACTGATATATCAGGGTCCAAATCTACCATCTTTTTGTGTGTTTTTTTTTTTTTTTTTTTGAGAAGTTTCATTCTGTCACCCAGGCTGGAGTGGAATAGTACAATCTCGGCTCACTGCACCCTCCGCCTCCCAGGTTCAAGCGATTCTCCTGCCTCAGCCTCCCAAGTAGCTGGGATTACAGGCATGTGCCACCACACCAGCTAATTTTTGTATTTTAGTAGAGACAGGGTTTCACCATGTTGGCCAGGCTGGTCTTGAACTCCGGACCTCAAGTGATCTGCCTGCCTCAGCCTCCCAAAGTGATGGGATTACAAGCATGAGCCACTGCCAGCCCAGCCCCTTTTTGTGTTTTCTATTTGTTCTGCCTGTTCTATATCCCTTTTGCTTGTCTTTCTTACCTTCTTCTAGATTGACTATTTTTATTATTCCATTTTGTTTTTTAATCTATCTGGAAGGTATACATATTTTATTTTACTGTAGCAGGAAAGTGGCATGATACAAATTACATTTTAAAATCATTCTTGTCCTCATATAGAGAATGGATTGGAGGGGGACATAGGGAGACCAGTTATGAGTCTGGTGCAATATTCCCAGGAAAAAAATATAATTAAAATTGGTCAGTCTCAATGTGGTGGCAGAGACAGAAGTAGACTGGTTCAAAATAACTTGCTAATTACATGTGTATGGGGAGTAAGAAGTGGTGAAACAAAGAATGATCTCAGTGACTGGCTTGAGCAACTAGATAGTTAAGGATGTAATTTAAAAGAATGGGCGGCCAGGTGAAAGGGGAGGAGGCAGAAAATGATAACTCCATTTTGGACAAGTTAATTTTAAAATAACTCTGAGATTCCAAGTGAAGACAAATACAAAATCTAGACCTCAAAGGAGAAGTATAGGCTGGAGATATACATTTGGCAGTAAAAAAGAAGAGACAGGCCTGGAGCAGTGGCTCATGCATGTAATCCCAGCACTTTAGGAGGCAGAAGTGGGCAGATCATGAGGTCAGGAGTTCGAGATCAGCCTGACCAACATGTTGAAACCCCATTTCTACTAAAAATACAAAAATTAGCCGGGCATGGTGGCGCATGCCTATAATCCCAGCTACTCAGGAGGCTGAGGCAGGAGAATCGCTTGAACCCGGGAGGCAGAAGTTGCAGTGAGCTGAGATCGCCCATTGCACTCCAGCCTGGGTGACAGAGCGAGACTCCAACTCGGTGGAGGGGGGAATAAAAAAAAGAAGAGACGTTTACAATCAAATGTATAAATTCCTGAATATCCCTTTTTGTATCAATAGTGGAAGAGGTAGCAATAGTGGAAGAGGTAGCAATAGTTCCCTTTCTTCACTTCTCTATCTTTCAGGGAGAAAAAGAAGTACCATGCTCCAAATGGTAAAGAAAGAAACACACACACACAATAACACACACACACACACACACACACACACACACAAAATAACACTTGCTGCTGCCCAGGAGGGGAACTAGATAGGTAGAGATGGGTGAAAGGGAAACTTTTAACAATGTATCCTTTTATTTTTAAGAATTCTAAAGCATGTGAATGTTATATCTATTCAACAAATTTTTAAATTTAAGTTAAGGAGAGTCCACCAGAGTCTAGACAGATAACCTAGGTGAAGAAGTCAAGGTGGCCGTGCTCCTGGATAATTATCCTTTGTTTTCTTAACCCCTCAAGAACATAGAGAAAAGAGGGGGTAAAAGCATCAGTACCTACTGAAGTTACAAATGAAACCTTCCATTACAAGTCCAAATTTTAATCATATTATCACAAGATTTATGAACTAGAAGTCAGTTCAACAATTCAATCCCTCTTTTTAAAGATAAGAATATAAACAGAAATACCTTCTACTATGATGCCAAATATTATGCTCTGCTAATTCAATATTTTAAATGGCAAAATCATCATCACGATCACCTGGCTAACAGTGAATTTACTGTATTCACCAACTATATCATAAAACTAAGTGCTCCAACATCCTAGTTACTTCCATCTACTATCTCCTCAGTTTTCTATGTCCTCAACCTGCTGCTTAAGCTAATTTATTACACAAAGGATAATAAAAACATAAAATAAACTTTGCTATCAACTTTTCATAATGTACTTTTTAAATCTGAAATTGAACACCTTCATTCTAACTTGGTAAACTAAATCGAATTGTTTTGTCGAACAAGTGAAAAACATCCAGTAATATTAAGACCACTTTAGCTTTTAGGTAGGTTTGTTTGTTTGTGACAAAGTCTCTCTATTGCCCAGGGTGGAGTGCAGTGATGCCATCTCGGCTCACTGCAGCCTCTACCTCCTGTGCCTCAGCCTCCTGACTAGCTGGGATTATAGGCGTGCACCACCATGCCCGACTAATTTTTGTATTTTTAGTAGGGATGGAGTTTAGCAAAACTATGTTGGCCAGGCAGGTCTCAAATTCCTAGCCTCAAGTGATCCGCCCACCTCAGCCTCCCAAAGTGCTGGGATTACAGGCATGAGCCACCGCACCAGGCTAACTTTAGTTTTAAAATATGCAAAAAACACTGGCCGGTACAGTGGCTGCAGCCTGTATTCCCAGCAGTTTGGAACACTGAGGCGGGAGGATTGCTTGAGCCCAAGGAATTCAACACCAGTCCATGCAACATGGGGAGATCTTGTCTCTACAAACAATAATTTTTAAAAATTAGCTGGGGGCTGGGCATGGTGGCTCACGCCTATAATTCCAGCACTTTCAGAGGCCGAGGCGGATAGATCACCTGAGGTCAGGAGTTCAAGACCAGCCTGACAAACAAGGTGAAACCCCATCTCTACTAAAAATACAAAAATCAGCCAGGTGTGGTGGCAGGCGCCTGTAGTCCCAGCTATTCAGGAGGCTGAGACACGAGAATTGCTTAAACCGGGAGGTGGAGGTTGCAGTGAGCCGAGATCATGCCACTGCACTCAGCCTGGGCAACAGAGCAAGATTCCATCTCAAAAAAAAAAAAAAAAAATTAGCTGGGCATGGTAGTGTGGTATGCCTGTGGTCCCATCTACTCAGGAGGGTGAGGTGGGAGGATTGCCTGAGTGTCGGAGGTCAAGGCTGCAGAGTCGTGGTCACACTATTGCACTCCAGCCAGGATGACAAAGCGAGACCCTATCTCAAAAAAAAAAATGAATAAATGCAAATAATCAATAGAATGGCTGGCATTTAATGGGTATCTATTAAATGTGTTGGGCACTATGCTGTATATTTCTGATACCTTATTCATTTAATTTGCTCAATAATCCTATGAAACAAATATTATTCCTATTTCTCAAGAAGAAAAATAGACCTAATAATAGTTATTTTCCAAAATTACATACCTAGAAACTGGGACAGTTCATGACACAAAAATTTATATTCTTTTTACTGTATTAACAGTTTTCAAGCTTTTGAATCTCAGGACTCCTTTTATACTTCTAAAAATTATTAAGGATCACAAAACCTTTTGTATAGATATATCTATTGATATTTATCATATTAGAAATTAAGATTTTTAAAATTTTAAATGTATTAATTTTAGAACTATAATACTCACTACGTGTTAATATAAAATTTCTTATGAAAAAATTAACTACATTTTCCAAAACAAATAAGTGACATGAGCAGTCTATTTAAATTATTTAATTAAAAATAAAAATAAATTATGTTTCTTTAATGTCTGGCTTAACAGAAGACAGCAGCTAGGTTTTTATATATGCTTTGCACAAATTCACAGTTGATAAGAGTGGGAGTATTTTAATAACCTTTTCTGATATTTTTCTTTGCTACACACCAAAATTCACTTCTTAAAAGTTGGTTGCACAGCTGGGCGCGGTGGCTCACTCCTGTAATCCCAATACTTTGGGAGGACGAGGCAAGCAGATCACCTGAGGTAGGGAGTTTGAGACCAGCCTGACCAATATGGAGAAACCCCGTCTCTACTAAAAATACAAAATTAGCCGGGCGTGGTGGTACATGCCTGAAATCCCAGCTACTCGGGAGGCTGAAGCAGGAGAATCGCTTGAACCCAGGAGGCAGAGGTTGCGGTGAGCCGAAATCGCACCATTGCACTCCAGCCTGAGCAAGAAGAGCAATATTCCGTCTCAAAAAAAAAAAAAGATTGCAATGTGAAATCTAAAATCATATAAATAAGTTTTTTGTACTGTATTACACTGAAATATATTGGTCTGTCTTGTGCTTTGAATGGATCTTGTACTGATGCATGATTCTGTAACACCATGCATTGATATTTGAAAAACACCGGTTGACCAGGTTATGGAAATCTTCAAATGTTGACATATTTCACTGTACAATAGCAAAAAAACCGTATTTGGCAATATCACCTCCAATCTGACTAGAACAGTCTTTTATGTACTGGGAACCCATCAAGCTTACCATGGTAGAGATAAGTTCTTCAAATTTCTACTTTTCATTTGAAAGCTTCAATTTTTTCATTCACAACAAATAACTGTCACTTGTTTTCCTTGAAGTCATAGGTTTACTTCATTATTTTCCAAAAAATATTTGCCATATATTCAAACTGTGATTAACTATAGTTTGTCTGTAAACTGTTCTTTAAAGTAAAAATGGTGTTCCATGAAAAAGGTGGCTAGCTCAGCTTACACTCAAATACCCCTCAAACTTTTTTCTAATACTTTTTTTTTCTATTTTTCTTTTCTTTCTTTTTAATAGAGACAGGGTCTCACTATGTTGACCAGGGTGGTCTCGAACTCCTGACCTCAAGTGATCCTCCCATCTCGTCCTCCCAAAGTGCTGGGATTACAGGTGTGAGCCACTGTGCCTGGCTTCCCCACTCAGTTTAACAATGCTTTCCCTTATTTACCCAGTCAGTATGCAGCAGAGGAGCAAAAGGCACAATCCCAATTATGTCACAAATACCAAAAAAGCATGTACTCAAGATTAGGATGTAATAAAATTCATAATTTTTACAGTTTCATCAAAAACATTAAGTAAAATGGCCTTGTTTTAATTTTTAAAAATTAAAAATTAATTTGCATGGCAGTGAACAATACAATGACTACCAGCCCAGTTTGCTACTTTGACTTGCACTAAGATGTCAACAATTTTACTCACCAGTGCTTTTGAACCACCAATGAAAATGTCTGCAGTGAAAAAGGCAAGCAATGACTAGATATTATAAAAATAGTTGCGACTTTGTGCACCCCCTAACTATAGAACAAAGCAGGAAATTGCAAGTACTAGTACAGAGCTCCAGGTTCTACAGACTCCTTCAAGTCTGATCCAAGCAAGCAGTAAAAGGGGATAATTTCTGCATTCTCTCTCAAAAATGCTAATATACTACTAAAATACACACACCATATCATCTGACATCAAATCCAGCATCAACTTCTATCAGCTCTATCTTCTTATCACCCTCACAGTTTCCCCCAACTATAGTAGCTTTTTATACTGACCCTTGCCTCACACAACAGCCCGAGTGAGCCTTTTAAAATCAAATTGTGTCGGGCGGGCGCGGTGGCTCACGCCTGTAATCCCAGCATTTTGGGAGGTCCAGGCGGGTGGATCACGAGGTCAGGAGATCGAGACCATCCTGGCTAACATGGTGAAACCCCGTCTCTACTAAAAAATACAAAAAACTAGCCGGGCGTGGTGGCGGGCGCCTGTAGTCCCAGCTACTCGGGAGGCTGAGGCAGGAGAATGGTGTGAACCGGGGAGGCGGAGCTTGCAGTGAGCCGAGATCGCGCCACTGCACTCCAGCCTTGGTGACAGAGCGAGGCTCCGTCTCAAAAAAAAAAAAAAAAAAAAAAAAAAGGCAGTTCATAGAGAAGCATGGTCTCAAACTCAGATCTGATCAATACAGAAAAGGCGAAAGACCTTTTCCCTTTTTCCTATCCCTATTTTACATACTTCAGTGTTGCTCTAAAACTGATCACCCAGCTCTCCCTCAAGAAAATAAATGGTGTAGGAACAGAACCATATTGTTTGTCTGCCTGGCCCCCATCCAATTCTCTAGGAACTGCACTCATTTTCTGGAACCCAAGCATTCTGATAATTACACTGTACTCTTGAATTAAAGTAGATTTCTATGACTTAAGAATGGCATTAACTTGGGGCAGCTATCCTACCGAAAACTCAATTCTCCAATGAGTCCTCTAGAATTCAGGATGCCCAGGACCCAACATCACCAATAATCACCCATTTCTGCTACCTTTTTTGCCAAAGCTAAGAATTTCTATTCCTATTGCAGCCCAGTGCAGAAAAGGGGAGAAGAGGATCCTCCCTCCCTTTTAAGACATAGCTCTGCAGATGTGTTCTTATCACAACATTTGTAAGCAGTGGGTGAAGTTCTATAGTACTAATGGTGACACCATCAGGAAACACAGCCACTTAACCCAAGGACAGTCCTACTCTGTTGGAGATGCACATGGGGAAGAAAGACAAGAAAGAAGGAAGATGACATTCATCTAATAATGAAGATCAACTAAATCAACCCTGATCAATGGAGTAACATTTCACCACCAAATCACCCCCACACCCAGGTAAGGGGTATAACACACTTTAATGTGTTATAAACTTGAGCCTCTAGACACCACTTTCTTCCTAAGGGAAACTGAGGTCTATCCTACAAAAACAAAATTTAAAAAGAAACCTACAAAACACAAAGCAAACAAACAAACATAAAACTACTAATGTTCTTTTAAACACAAGCCATCATTTTAACCCTCTCCTGGTTAAAATTGTTCACCAGTAGCTAAAATTTTTTTTTCCATGCAGAGATTAGCTTTATAGTCACCTCTTCTAAAAGAGATCTATTACATATTATTCTTTTGTATCACCCATCATGAAGGTTTTAGTGACTAAAAGTAGAGAAAAAAATATCAAAAGGAAGATACGAGATTTATACAGAATAAACCAAAATAAACATACTGTATGGCCATGAAATAGATTATCCTATCTTCTCAATCCTCAAATGCACATTTTTTTTTTTTGAGATGGAATTTAGCTCTTGTTGCCCAAGCTGGAGTGCAATAGTGCAATCTCAGCTCACCCCAACCTCCACCTCCCAGTCCTGCCTCAGCCTCCCGAGTAGCTAGGATTACAGGTGCGCGCGACCATGCCCGGCTAATGTTTTGTATTTTTAGTAGAAACGGGGTTTCACCATGTTAGCCAGGCTGGTCTTGAACTCCCGACCTCAGGTGATCCACCCGCCTTGGCCTCCCAAAGTGCTGAGATTACAGGCGTGGTGAGCCACCATGCCCAGCCTGCACCTTTTTAATCTTTCTGAAATTGAGATTTTTTCCAATCACTGGCTAAAGAAATCTGCCAGCCATGAGGCAGAGATTTTACACATTAATCATTTCACTGTCACTTCCCTGAGGTACCTGCATCAGCAGGAATATTCTCAACTGAATTTTAACTTAAATTCGAAATCTCTAACATTGTGTGAAATAACTTCAAGAACATATTACAATGAAAATATTACAAGTAAATATGAAAATTAACAAGGAAAAATGAAAATTAACCATATATAGAGAAGATGGCTTGTCACCTGCCAGGCAATGTAATTAAAGGCAGGAGAAACTGCCAAATTTCTCAGAATAAATCAGAAATTTTTCACATCTAGGAAAGGCTGGCTTGAGCAATTCATATGTTCAGGACTTTCATCACGTTGGCACCTAAAAGCTTCTGACTAGCATCCAAGAGAAGCTGCTTAGCTTCTTAAAGACATTTAACTCAAAGGAAAAAACAAAATTACAAGTCTAACCAATCAGAAGTACAGTCAAACCAAGAAAATCTTCTATACGTTTCATATTCTCAATTCTCAATAAGTAAAATTATTATCAATTATAAAAAATGTCTTGTCATCATGATCCTTTGCCAAACTATCAATGGCAAAAATTGATTCAGAAAAATCCTTACACTCTGACTATGGAAAAAGGCTTAGATTCAATCTTTTAATTTTACACTAAAGAAAAAAGTGGTATATAACCAAAGATAGAGTTCCATAATTTTGTGTACTTTTAATATTTCTTCCCCACCCAAAAAACAGCTGTTATTAAGTGATGAGTCACAATCATTTGGCATATTTGAATACAACATATACATGATTTTATAGCTGTTACTGTACTTAAACATACCTCAAGAAATATGTTTGGACCCAGAATACAATACTTCACAAAATAATTGATGACTCAAAAAAAAAAAAAATTCCTACTCAACCAATATTTTACCACAAAAGTAAAAGCTCTATCCTTTCTTCTATTCAATTTAAGTCAGTAACTTGCAAATGCACACACACACCAAAAATTTTACCAAATCAGTGATAGTTTAAACTGAAATAGCTTATGAACTGAACTAAATAGTGACCAAATCAGGATTCAACAAGTTCTCCAGGTACAATAAAGGACCAAAACTAACAAAATAAAATGTAATAGCTCTAAAGTCCTGCGTTGAGGTTAAAAAAATAAATAAATACAAGAAGGGATAGAATGGAAAGACAGCAGATCACTTGAGAAAAAAACATAATTAAAAAATTAACATACTCTTGGCCGGGCATGGTGGCTCATGCCTGTAATCCCAGCACTTTTGTAGGCTGAGGTGGGCAGATCACTTGAGGTCAGGCGTTCCAGACCAGCCTGGCCAACACGGTGAAACCCTGTCTCTACTAAAAATACAAAAATACAAAAATTAGCCGGTGTGGTGGTGCATGCCTGTAGTCCTAGCTTCTCAGGAGGCTGAGACAGGAGAATTGCTTGAACCCAGGAGATAGAGGTTGCAGTGAGCCAAGATTGCACCACTGCACTCCAACCTGGGTGACAGAGTGAGATTCCATCACAAAAAATAATAAATTAATTAACATACTCTTGCACTGCATAACTAAGTATATGCTGCTTTACAGCAATATAGTCTCCCTGTTGTCTTTGCTCACAAGGCTAATATATCTCCAGCAATAAGGTTAGTTCTGGGCACCATCTTCTAAGGGAAGAATTAACAAACAAGTTCTACTAAACGATGATGATGAAGATTTTCATTTACTTATTTAACACACATATAGTATTCACTATGTTTCAGGGACTATTCTAAATACTTCACAAACAATGTGATGAGGAATGGATACAAAAGTTAGGAATATTTAACCTGAAGGTAATCTTGCCAAATATCTAAAGGGCTATCATGTGGACAAAGTAGCCCATTTATTTGGGCCGTTATATAAAAAAGAAATAACAAACAAGGCTAAGAGATCTGGGCTCCACAGAAAAACCTGAGCTGTCCAATGGTAGAATCTCTTTACAAGACTCTTGTACGGAACAAATGAGAAAAAAATATATTTAAAAAATACATTAAAGAACTTTGCTATAAAACACCAAACGCACATTATGAGAATTGACTTCCTTGCAATATAGAGGGTCCTAATCAATAGAAATACTTACAAAGAGGTTCATGATATGCTTTGGAGTCCTTGCTATGATTTATAGCTTTGAGATTTATACTATATAACTTTAGTGACGTTTCCTTGCCTCTCTAGGCTTATTTTTCTTATTTTTAAAATGAGTGTAAAACTATCTGCTTTGGACTTGGCACGGTGGCTCACGCCTGTAATCCCAGCACTTTGGAAGGTTGAGGTGAGTGGATTACCTGAGGCCAGGAGTTTGAGATAGGCCTGGACAACACGGTGAAACCCAGTCTCTACTTAAAATACAAAAATTAGCCAGGCATGGTGGCACACGCCTGTGGTCCCAGCTACTCAGGAGGCTGAGGCAGAAGCATCACTTGAACCCGGGAGGCAGAGACTACAGCAAGAGCAGATCATTCCACTGCACTCCTTTGCAGGGCTGCTGTGAGGATTAAATGTTACAATGTATGTAAACACTTAGCACCCTGCTGACCCACTGGATAAATTGTGTCTATAATAAGGACAATAATCATCACTGTCATCATCATGTTGTGAAAGGAATCCTTACGGTGAACATAAAACTATGTAATACATGGTATAATTGTCTGGCTCTGCTATGTACCTGTATGAGTGTCTTATTCTGCTATGCATTTATGTTAAAGCAATCCAAAGAGAATATACATCATTTATTTATTTATTTTATTTTATTTATTTATTGAGACGGAGTCTCACTCTGTTACCCAGGCTGGAGTGCAACGGTGCGATCTTGGCTCACTGCAACCTCAGCCTCCCAGGTTCAAGCGATCCTCCTGCCTCAGCTTCCCAAATAGCTGGGATTACAAGCATGCACCACCATGCCAGGCTAATTTTCATATTTTCAGTAGAGACGGGGTTTCACTATGTTGGTCAGGCTGGTCTTGAACTCCTGACCTCAGGTAATCCACCCACCTCGGCCTCTCAAACTGCTGGGATTACAGGTGTGAGCCACCGCACCTGGCCAAGCTTGCTGTTGTTTAAGTGATTTTATAAGTATTTATCTTCTATAATTTTAAAGCAAAAATATCCTAAAAATCTAAAAGCATCCAGGTTAGTAAAATGTCAAGACTAAAAGTAATAATGTATCAGAAAAATCTATGAGGCTATGGGAGAAAAAATGACTAAATAAGAAGCACATTAAATTGAAGCCACAGTTCCTAGGACACCTCACTGTAGGAGATGAGCATGTACACATTGCAGGGGGGAAAGCAATTATATTTACCCCAGGTATGTGAACCACCGGTTACATTAATCAGAAACATCAATGATATAAGGTCAGCTAAACACAATAAAAACCTTCCTTTAAAAAAGTGAATTTCAAGGCCAGGCGCGGTGGCTCAGGCCTGTAATCCCAGCACTCTGGGAGGCCGAGGCGGGCAGATCACGAGGTCAGGAGATGGAGACCATCCCGGCTCACACAGTGAAACCCCGTCTCTACTAAAATTACAAAAAAATTAGCCTGGCGCGGTGGTGGGCGCCTGTACTACCAGCTACTCAGGAGGCTGAGGCAGGAGAATGGCGTGAACCCGGGAGGCGGAGCTTGCAGTGAGCGGAGATTGCACCACTGCACTCCAGCCTGGGCGACAGAGCAAGACTCCGTCTCAAAAAAAAAAAAAAAAAAAAAAAAGTTAATTTCAGTGGGCTAAGGACAAGAGTTTAAGAGTATACAGGATTCTAATTACTTTGAACAGAATTTGAACTTAAACAAATGTACTCCTAAATGTTGGGTTGAAGAAGACATGGAAGCCCAACAATCCTGTAATTCAATAGCTTCAGTGATATTCATCCATCTCTTCTTTCAAAGGGAGTTAACTCTCAAACCTTTTATCTGTTTCAGGGATATTTCAAGGTAATGTAACTATGGCTACTATGTAAACCAAATTTGAAAAACTTCCTCATAATAGACTAATAAACTGAAGCTACAACCCATCTCCCACTAACAACTGTTTTCCAAAGGGCTAGCATAGAATTACCATCATCAACAAACAACATTATCCTTGTACTATAATAGTAAAATGATTAAGTAATTTAAATGTAGGAAAGAAAAACTGGCTGCAACTTTAACATACTTTTTTGGGGATTTATGATAAATGATAGGTGGTGATTTTATTACAATTACAACATTGTAAATTCTGAAAACAAATGCAGTTGTTAGATAATTATACAGCCAAGAGAAATCTTACTCGTTTTTTTTATCTGAATTTTTGTCCTAAAAAGCCTACGATCCAATGGAATTAAGTGAGCTTATTTCACAGGCAAATATTTCATTGATACGTATATCATTTTGAGCACAAAGTTGGTTCAGTGTGTTCTAACTGAATGTATACAATTTTCATATTAATAGCAGAGCGATCAACAATATTTGCCAACTACCCAGTTTAAAACGGCTATTAAATGTTAAAATGTCAGTGTTCACATTAGTCTTCAATAATAAATTTACTGTTGCTTAAAAGTCAACTCAGTCACATTATTTTTTAGAATTAAACAAAAAATTCAGCTGACAAGGCAAAAAGAAATGGTCAATATTGACTAAGATAAAATTACCATAAAAATCATAATACTATTTTTAGTCACAGTCATCAAGATGAGACATTACTATTAGCAATTATCTACTTAAAACAAGCAAAAAATCAAATCTCTACTCAAACAAAAATCGGCTGTTGAGAAGTCACTTTAACTGTTCTACGTATCAAATACCAACAAATTTCTACTGTGTGGCTTTCAGAAATCTAACATTCTAAGTTTACTGAAAGCAGACAAAAAAGAAACAACCTGGTGGCAGGCAAAATCACAACCAGTTGCAGTCAAGATGGGATCTGTATGTGAGCAATGAAGGGAGGAGGGCAATTTATGCGTTCAAAATTTAAAATGCCAAGGTAGGGGGAAGAGAGAGAAATAAAGATATATAGCTCCATAAACAAAGGGAGAAAACCATGTTGGGTGGGAGGCAACCTAAAATTTCTGACAGTCCAGAATCAGCAAATCGAAGGCCTGTCTCAAACAAAACAGCTTCTCACGACAAACTTTGAAGTGGGCAAGGAGGATACATTC
Source organism: Homo sapiens (assembly GCF_000001405.40). Classification (NCBI taxonomy): domain Eukaryota; kingdom Metazoa; phylum Chordata; class Mammalia; order Primates; family Hominidae; genus Homo; species Homo sapiens. The sequence continues at coordinate 70,353,788 of NC_000001.11, forward strand.
CTTTGCACCCACAAGAACCAACCCCTTGACCACTGGCACGCTATTACTGAGTCGATCATGATTTACCGAACGGCCCGGATGATGGGCAAAAAGAAGAGTCTGCTGGAGGGGGCCTAGGATTCCAGAAGCCTGGGGAGGCACACCCTAGGCTCGGGGAAGGAGAGAGGTGGAGAGGGGCTAGCACTCCTCACCGTGATTATCTTTCTGCCCGATATTGTGCGTGCGGATGAGAGAGGAGAGTCTCCTCACATCCCCCTTGAAGACGCACTCGTGCACCGGGTAGTGTGCGGGGCAACTGCCTCCATCCGCGACGACAGCAACGGGGTTGGTGCCGGCCAGAAGGGCCGGGGACTGGGAGTTGGCAGTCACGGAGGAATTGTGCAGCGGCAGAGCCGGGGCGCCGGGGGGATTGGAGGAGGCCGGAGCTGCCTTCAGCTGTAGCCGGTGGTGATGGTTACTGAAGATCTTATGACAAGCTTTGCCGCCCTTGCCAATCCTGCTTCTGGTAAAGGTACCGCCGAGGGCAGCCGCCGCTTCCTCATCCCCGGGCTCCAGCAGGTCCCCTTCTTCTTTGCTGGGCTTGTGGTCCCTCCGCAGTGAGCGGATCTTCTCCCCGGTCATCGCCGCCGCCAGGGGCAAGGGGGGGAATCGGGAGGCTCACCGCTGGCGACGGAGCTGGCGCTGCGGCGGCACAAGGCGATTAGAGCGGTGGCCAAGAGCCTCCAGCGCAGCATGAACTCCCACTGAGCCCCCGAGCCTGGGACAAACGCATCTCCCGGGGAAGAGCCGGCTCTCGCCTAGGCACGAAGGGACGCGCGCTCGCTGGGGGAAGCTAGAACTCAGGTGCCCACGACACCAGGATCTCAGTCTCGCCGTCGCAGCCGCCGTCGCTGCCTTACACCGAAAAACAGGGCACGGCCATCTTCCTCTTGCTCCTCTCGCGAGAGCTCCCCCAGGAGTGAAGAGAGAGAAAACACCGCGATAAGTGAGCCACCCGCTCCCTCCCTCGCACCTTCTATTCCCAGAATCACTAGGCGCCGGCGCCTCCGAGGCAGTGTGTTTCCGCCCAGAGCTGGAGTCTCCCAGCTGCCAGCCGACCCCGAACCCGCACTCCCGCCAACCGCGCTTTTTGTGGGCGGTCGGAAACCACAGCCTCCGTTGGATATGTTCGGTGCATGTTATAAACAACCACTTAAACCCTCCGGATCTGAGCCTCCCGCAGAGGAATGCAGAATGACGCCACGGCACGCAGGATGTGATGTCACCGAGATGCAGAGGATACTCAGTCAACCAACATTTACTGAGCATCTACTTCGTGCCGTATGTACGAAGCTAGCAAATATGTACAGCACCAGTACTGATTGCAGGGAGCACTGTAGAAGAGGAATGAAGGCCAAACAATTAAAAGCGGAGGCGGGGAGGTGGGTTGCACACAAAAAAGGGAGGGACGAATTTTAGTGTTGAGTTGTCAGGAAAGTCATAGAAGAGTTTAGGTGCTGACTTTGGAAAATGATGGGCTGTCCAGCAATCGGAAAGAGGGGAGGCCACTCAAATATTTATTAGATGAATGAATTTCGGGCAGATGTCAGAGTTAACATATATGAGGGTGGGGACACTCAAGGAGGGCAAAGAATCGTGTAACTGAAATATAATTGTATTAGTTCATGGCCAACCTCAACCTAGTGTCAAACTCTGAAGAAACGTAAATCTGCCAACCATAAAACTTTAACAAAGTAACTAAAGCTGGCCACTGAGGACGTAAGGAGGGGGCTTAGCAAAACATCCTAAAGATCTTCACCCATTTAACTCTCCAAAGTCCCCCTATGTTCTGAGAGCAAATACTTCAGATCTCTCTCTCTTTTTTTTGTTTTTTTGTTTTTTTGACAGAGTCTCTGTAGTCCAGGCTAGAGTGCAGTGGTGCAATCTCGGCTCACTGCGACCTCCACCTCCCAGGTCCAAGCGATTCTCCTGCCTCAGCCTCCAGAGTAGCTGGGATTATAGGCCTGCGCCACCACACCAAGCTAATTGTTGTATTTTTAGTAGAGACGGGGTTTCACCGTGTTGGCCAGGCTGGTCTTGAACCCCTGACCTCAGTGATCCGCCAGCCTCAGCCTCCCAAAGTGCTGGGATTACAGGCATGAGCCACTGCGCCCGGCCAGATCTCTTCTTTCTTAAAGTTTATACTACTGCTAACTCATCTCCGCAAACAAACAACTCGATGGGCCTCTCTTAATCCTCCCCAGTCACTCAACTTTTCACCTCCAATTTTCTTCTCAGTCTGTTCAGATAAATCTGTTTCTTCCTCTTCTTTCTTTTTCGGTGGAGTGGAGAGTTCCGTTTATGTTAAAACATTACCCAATCAACAGTTCAAAGCATCCTCTTGAGACAGCAGTAGAGACTGAAAAAATACATGCAATAATGTTTGCTTCTTCCACAATAGCCAATATTTATTGTTAACGCTAAGCCAGGCAGTATGCTTGGCACTTTATATGCTGTTATCTCCCCCTGATTAGCATTAGTATCCTCACTTGACAGTTAAAAAAAACTTGCCCAATACTTCAATGCTAGAATGTGGTACAGTCAAATCTGACAGTAAGGCTAGAGAGAGAGGAAGGGCCAGGTCATGCAGGGCTTTGTATGTCATCTTAAAAGTTTACACTTGGCCGGGCGCGGTGGCTTATGCCTGTAATTCCAGCACTTTGGGAGGCTGAGGCGGGCAGATCACGAGGTCAGGAGTTCGAGACCAGCCTGGCCAATATGGTGAAACCCTGTCTTTACTAAAAATACAAAAATTAGCTGGGCGTGGTGGCTTGTGCCCGTACTCGCAGCTACTCGAGAGGCTGAGGCAGAAGAATCGCTTGAACCCAGGAGGCGGGGGCTGCAGTGAGCTGAGATTGTGCCCCTGCACTCCAGCCTGGGGACAGAGTGAGACTCTGTCCAAAAAAAAAAAGGAATAGTCTTTTTAGAGATCTTTAAACAGGGAATAGCATAATGCAATCACCTTTATAGAAAATTCAGTGACTCAGGCCGAACGCAGTGGCTCATGCCTGTAATCCCAGCACTTTGGAAGGCTGAGGCGGGTGGATCACTTGAGGTCAGGAGTTCAAACCAGCCTGGGCAACATGGTGAAACCCTGTCTCTACTAAAAATACAAAAATTAGCCGGGCATGATGGTGGGTGCCTGTAGTCCCAACTACTCGGGAGGCTGAGGCAGGAGAATCGGTTGAACCTGGGAGGTGGAGGTTGCAGTGAGCCAAGATCGTGTAATTGCACTCCAGCCTGGGTGACAAGAGCAAAACTTGGTCTCAAAAAAAAAAAAAAATTAAAAAAAAGAAAATTCAGTCACTCATACTTTAGAGAAGTATGCATCAAGAACAGAACTTTAAAGAAGTATGCAGTAAATCAGATGATGAGAGCATGAACCAAGTTAGTAAGAGTGAGGCAGAAAAAGGTTTAAGAGGTTTTTAAAAATGAGTTCAATCTTAGCATATTGAGTTGAAAGTTGCTTATCTGTAGGGAGTTAGATGTTCTACATTTTAGATATTTGCAAGTGATCCTTAGGTAACAGAGAACTAGGTATGGGCTGGATTCAGAAGTTATCATTACACAGTAATTAATGCTCCAGAAGTGGGTGAGTTCCCCAAAGAAAAGTTTATAGAATGAGAAATTAAGAAGGTCCATATAGAACAAAATCTTGAAAACACCAATATTCAAAGCGTGTGTATAGGGTAAGTGGCCAGCATCCTATTACTAAAAACCTACACCAAATAATATCCCGTTATACTTGTGAAGTATTCTATCACTAGAGTCTGAATTTGAAATTTCTTTATTAGTGGCTGTCACCCATGGATGTCACCCATGGAATGTGGAAACTCATAAGTATCCCTCCAGTAAAATCAAACACCATACATATCAAAAATAATATTCAGGCCAGGTGTGGTAGCTCATACCTGTAATCCCAACACTTTGAAAGGCCAAAGCAGGAGGATCACTTGAGGTCAGGGGTTTGAAACCAGCCTGGGCAACATAGTGAAACCCCATCTCTATCAAAAAATATAAAATATTAGCCACCTGTGGTGCTAAACACCTGCAGTCCCAGCTACTCAAGAGGCTGGGGTGGGAGATCCACTTGAGCCTGGGAGTCCAAGGCTGCAGTGAACTAGGATTGCACTACTGCACACCAGCCTAAGTGACAGGTATCCTGTCTTTAAAAATAAATAAATAAATAAATAAATATCATCCTTTTTTATTTTTTATTTTATTTTATTTTTGAGACAGAGTTTTGTTCCCGTTGCCCATGCTGGAATGCAATGGTGTGGTCTCAGCTCACTGCAACCTCCGCCTCCTGGGTTCAAGCAATTCTCCTGCCTCAGCCTCCCAAGTAGTTGGCATTACAGGTCTCCACCACCATGCCAAGCTAATTTTTGTATTTTTAATAGAGATGGGGTTTCACCATGTTGGCCAGGCTGAGTCTCGAACTTCTGACCTCAGGTGATCCGCCCACCTCGGCCTCCCAAAGTGCTGGGATTACAGGCATGAGCCACCACACCAAGACTTATTTTTTGTTGTTTTTTGAGTCTCATTTTGTCAGCTAGGCTGGAGTGCAGTGGCATGATCTCAGCTCACTGCAACTTCCACCTCCCATGCTCAAGTGGATCCTCCCGCCTCAGCCTCCCAAGTGCTGGGACTACAGGGCCCAGCTAATTTTTGTATTTTTTTGTAGAGACTGGGTTTGGCCATGTCACCCAGGCTAGTCTCAAACTCCTGGACTCAAGCCATCTACCCACCTCGGCTTCCTGAAGTGTTGGGATTACAGGTGTGAGCTACTGCCCCCAGCCCATTCATTATTATTATTATTTTTTATAGAGGCCGTGTCTCACTATGTTGGTCAGGCTGGTCTTGAACTCCTGGGCCCAGGTGATCCTTCCACCTCAGCCTCCCAAAGTGCTGAGATGACAGGTGTGAGCCACTGCACTTGGCCCCATCCATTATTTTTAAGGGCTTGTAAAAATGACAGAAATGTAAGATTACAATATATTATAAAAAAGATAGAAATATGATTGTAATACATTATGAAAAATACAAGGATTGAAATTATATAAGCTCCCAATACAATATAGAAAAGGAAGTCATTAATTCTATTTGGGGAAAATAGAAATTGGATGATCAGAAAAGCTTTCTGGGGCTGGGCGTGGTAGCTCATGCCTGTAATCCCAGCACTTTGGAAGGCCGAGGTGGGCAAGTCACTTGAGGTCAGGAGTTCAAGATCAGCCTGACCAACATGGTGAAACCCCATTTCTACTGAAAAATACAAAAAGAATCAGCCAGGCATGGTGACGTCTGCTTGTAGTCCCAGCTGCTCGGGAGGCTGAGGCAGGAGAATGGCTTGAACCCAGGAGGCAAAGGTTGCAGTGAGATTGCACCACTGCACACCAGCCTGGGCGATAGAGCGAGACTCTGTCTAAAAAAATAAATAAATAAATAAAAGAATTACATCAAATTTTATCCCTTCTTAGCACAAATTTTTTTTTAACTTGGCATAGAATTCAGAGCCAGGAAATTGTGTTGAACTAACTTTCCAAATAAAATTTAGCATGTCATTCTATTATGAACGTATGCCACAAACCACAATAGTATTAGCATTAGTAGTACCTGTGACTTCACAACCAAAAAAACCACAGGTATTTTCATTTCACATAACAGTTGCTGCAGACAACTCAAAATTTCATTTATAGTCATTAGTACCTCTAAAATTATCTTAATAGGTATGCTCATTGCTATATCTTGTTCTTTAATTAGTTAATAAAGAAGCATATACATTACTGTATTACAAATTTGCTTTTAAAATATTTTGTTAGGTATTTCAATACTCAGAGTTTCCTTTTAATCCAAAATATTTTATGCATTTAAAAACACTGTTCTGAAAATGGGTCCCTGGGTTTCTCCACACTGCCAAAGAGTCAATGGCACAAAAACAGAAGTTAGGAACTTCTTCTTAGGAATCTTTGATGATACCTGCCCATTCGTCTCCTTTTCTCTCCTATCCAACAAACCCATCGTTCTGAATTAGGTGTCCCTCCTTTGTCTTCTTTTTGATTTCCCATTGTAACTTCTGCATGCCTCCTTGATATTCTTGTCTGGTCTCAACTAATCCTTGGAGCTCTCTGAGCACTGGAATCATGCTGATCATTGCTGTATGCACAGTGCCCTACAGGGAGTGAATGCTTATATTAATAATAAGCAGTTGTTGAATTAATCAGTCTATTAGAACACAAAACCCCAAGTATCTACAAGGTACTAAGACAACTGCAGACTCAGTAATGAGATGCTAAATAAACTTCTTAAATAATCCCAATATAACTACACTGAAATTAGCTGCTACACTCTTGAATTCTTACATGAAGCCAAAGAGTAGATATATCATTTAGGACTTTTTGTTTTTCATGTAGAAGTAACAATAAATTCAATTGAAACAGGGTTAAATTAAAGGAATGTATTGACTTACATACCAGAAAGGTGCAGAGATAAGTCTTCAAGAGTGGCCCCTCAGGATCCCATGTCAGTTTTTCAGTGAATCTCTCGGTGTTTCTCTCTGTATGAGGAGTCCTCCTCAGGCCTGCTTCCTTCAAGAACACAAGATAACTGCCAGCAGGTAAAAGCAGCCACGTGCTTCCTCCTTAAGGTCCAAAGGAGTTCCTGCTCCCACATAAATCTGGAGTATGACAGTTACAAGATAACTCAGTCCAATCTGTGTCCCAGAGAACGGTGATTGGCTCAAGCCTGGGTTATCTGACAAACCCCTGTGAAGGAGGGGTTACTCAGATTAGTTTCACCCAATCAGGATTGATCTCGGAGCCGGAGGTGGGGCCCAGCTCTCCAAACAGTGAACTGTTTCATAATGGGAATGAGGTGGGGAATAATGTTGGAGAGACAAATGCAAGAGTGGTCAGCAAAAGTACTATATCCAAAGACTTAAAACAGGATTTTGCTTCAAAAAAATCTGTTATCACAGTGTCTTGAATTCAATATGATAAAATATGTAGTGATTATCAATTATATCAATATGTAATGAGTAAATAACTTCACTGGTAAACACTGTATTTACTTTTTATTCAAATTTTACAAGATAGAATGCAATCCATCAATTCAAGTATAGAACTAAACTACTGGCCAGGCGCAGTGGCTCACGCCTGTAATCCCAGCACTTTGGGAGGCTGAGGCGGGTGGATCACCTGAGGCCAGGAGTTCGAGACCAGCCTGGCCAACATGGCGAAACCCCGTCTCTACTAAAAATACAAAAATTAGCCGGACGTGGTGGTGGACCCCTATAATCCAAGCTACCTGGGAGGCTGAGGCAGGAGAATCGCTTGAACCTGGGAGGCAGAGGTTGCAGTGAGCCGAGATTGTGCCATTGCACTCCTGCCTGGGCAACAGAGCTAGACTCCATGCCAAAAGGAAAAAAAAAAAAACCCTGAGAACTAAACTACTGAATTTGCTAGGTAATACTCTGTAGTTCTACAAATTAGCAAATTAATTTCTCTCCTGGTGTAGTTAACTCAATAATGCTCAATTTGCCTTGAATAGCAAAAAGCTTCTGAAAAATGAATGTTTTTCAACTTTTTCTAATGAGAGTTTTGTTAGATAGTTATGTGCTCACCAACACCAAACACTGACTAGACAGTTAAATCTGTCTCTAAGAAAGAACGTTGTGAATTTTGCCAGAAATTTATGTATCTCTATTAGCCCTACACAAAGCACCTAATCCCTGTCCTGGTGTCTTCATTTAACAAAAGCAGTAGTATGGTAACATGAAATACAGAACAGCAGTACTGTACAAAATAAAATCTCACTCGTTATATTTTTTAAATATATCAACAGACTTCCAATTAGGATCTGTAGTTACTAACCTTACTCAATTCTCATTGCATTGCATACTAATAATGTTTCTAATGTAAATATTAGTGCAAGTTTAGTCTACATCTTTTTTCTTTCATCTTCTCTGAAGATTTGTGTTTTATATTCTCACAATAATCTGGAATATGATTTCCTACATTCCACAATGGTTGAACAAGATCTAGGAGTATTTTGTTTGATAGATGATAGGGCTATCTAACTAATGAGGTAATTGTCTCTGAAATCTGACGACACAGCAGTACACTGACAGATGAAAATAACAAACCATGTAAATCAATACTTAATTCACACATTTTACTTCCATCTCCCTGGGTCTCAGTATTTTTCTCTTTCCTCTAAATCTGCCCCCTTCCTTTCTCAGAGGCAATGCAGAGCACTTTCCCTTTCTTCTACGGTTTCTGATCAGTGGTTATCAGTGATTTTGTAAAATTTCTCTTAAGTAATCAGAAAAAAAATCTGAGAAGCAGGGGTTGCCAAGGAAACCAGAGCCAATAACAGCTGGAAGTTCCTGAAGGAAGAAATTCCTTTGAGACAGATAAAACCTACAGACTGATTTGGAGGAAGAAGGAGAAAAAATGCCAGGAGCACAGTGAAAGGCTGAGTCAATGAGATGAAAAGGAAAAGATAAAGTGAAACATTCATAATTAAAATTATTTTTAGATCGACAAAGGCTAGAAACAAGAGAATTAGAACAGAGACAGGAATGGGTTTTTTAGTGAAAGAAGAGGTTAAGACACAATGGGTAGGCCCAACACTTTGGAAGACCGAGGCAGGCGGATCACTTGGGGCCAGGAGTTCGAGACCAGACTGGCCAACATGACGAAAACCCATCTCTACTAAAAATATAAAAATTAGCCAGGCTTGGTGGTACATGCCTATAATCCCAGTTACTACAGAGGCCGAGCAGGAGAAATGCTTGAACCTGGCAAGCGGAGGTTACAGTGAGCCGAGATCCAGCCTGGGTGACAGGGCAAGACTGTCTCAAAAAAAAAAAAAAGGCACAATGGGTAGTGTGTAAGAGATTAAATGGTATAGATAGACAAGGGTCAGTACATGTGTCCATAGCTTCCTGAATATGTTTTATTTTAAATTACTTTATTGCTCAGAATATATGTAACTACATCTGTATCTGTAGTCTAAATACTCCGGGCTGGGCGCAGTGGCTCACGCCTATAATCCTAGCACTTGGGGAGGCCGAGGCGGGTGGATCACCTGTGGTCAGGAGTTCGAGACCAGCCTGGCCAACATGGCCAAACCCCATATTGTATTTTTAGTCTCTCCTAAAAATACAAAAATTAGCTGGGCGTGGTGGCAGGCGCTTGTAATCCCAGCTACTCGGAAGGCTGAGGCAGGAGAATCACTTTTACCTGGGGGCAGAGGTTGCGGTAAGCCGAGATCATGCCACTGCCCTCCAGCCTGGGTGACAGAGCAAGACTCCATCTCAAAAATAAAATAAAATAAAAATTCCTCAAGAACAACTAACTCAAAACTTCCAAAATGAAACTCATCTCCATCAGCAATCTCACTGACCAAATCCATATTTCACTTCTCATTACCTTTGACTCCTCCCTTGCCATGAGGCAGGAAAATAGGGTCTGGAGGCAGGGAACACAAGGCCAATTCACACTTCAGCTATGACAGGAAATATCCTCTCTATGAGATGTATGCTGTAAATAACTTTGTAATTTTACTTCATCCTCTCCATTTACATAGGGTGTAACACAAGTAACCAATGGAATCCTCTAGGGGGTATTTACACTCCCCAAAAAATCTGTAACAGGTCCTTTGAACCCCTATGCTGCTCCCACGCTGTGGAGTGTACTTTCATTTTCAATAAAACCCTTCATTCTTCCTTGCTTTGTTTGTGCGTTTTGTCCAATTCTTTGTTCAAGATGCCAAGAACCTGGACCCCCTCCACTGTTAACAGCCATAAACCCCACATTCAGCCAGTCACAAAATCTTGACCTTTCTACCTACTGCAGAGCTCTAAAATGGAACTCTTTCTCTTGATTTTTCCACTGCCGATGAAGAGTCAAACTCTGTCAAATATTTGAAGAGATTTCTTCTGAATCAAATATGAGGACAGCCCTCAGGAGGTCCTGAGAACATGTGCCCCAGGTAGTCGGGTGCAGCTTAGTTTTATACATTTTAGGGAGGCACGAGACATTAACCAAACACATTTAAGAAATACATTGGTTTGGTCCAGAAAGGCAGAACAACTTGAGGTGGTGAGGGAGACTTCAGGCTATCGGTAAATTTATTTGTTTTTGTTTTGTTTTGTTTTGTTTTGTTTGAGACGAGTCTCCCTGGGACATCCAGGCTGGAGTACAATGGTATCTCGGCTCACTGCAACCTCAGCTTCTTGGGTTCAAGCAATTCTCCTGCCTCAGCCTCCCGAATAGCTGGGACTACAGGCGTGTGCCACCATGCCTGGCTAATTTTTATATTTTCAGTAGAGACGGGGTTTCACCATATTGGCCAGGCTGTTCTTGAACTCCTGACCTCAAGTGATCCGCCTGCCTTGGCCTCCCAAAGTGCTGGGATTACAGGCCTGAGTCACTGCGCCCGGCTTATAGGTATATTTAAACATTTTCTGGTTGATAATTGGTTGAGTTTGTCTAAAGACCTAGAATTAACAGAAAGGAATGTCTGGCTTAAGATAAAGGATGATGGAGACCCGAGTTCTTATTTGCAGAGGAAGCCTTCAAGTATAGGCTTCAGAGAGAAGAGAATGTAAAATGTTTCTTATCAGACTTAAAGTCTGTGCTGATGTTAATGATGAAGAGGTATAATGAGGCATGTTCGACCACCACTTCCCATCAGGACCTGAAACAGTCTCTGCAGTTAAATTTTAAAAGAGCCGTGAATGAGGAGGAAGTCCATTCAGATAGACGGTTGGAAGGGGGATCTTAGAATTTTATTTTTGGTTTATACCACTAGCCATATTTGGGTTCAGGCTACTATCACTTGAAACTGTCTCCTAACTGATCTGTGACTCCCATTTCCCACCTGTGCTTGCACACACAAAACCTCACATCACTCACCCCTTGGATTGCCAGATGTATCAAATAAAATTACAGGACACCCAGTTAAATTTAAAGTTCAAATATACAACAACTTTTTAGTATAAGTGTATCCCAAATAGGACAGGGATATTTGTAATACTTGAGGTATTGTCCCATGCAATATTTGGGATGTACTTACACTTAAAAAAAAAAAATATTGGTGTTGACCAGGCACAGTGGCTCATGCCTGTAATACCAGTACTTTGGGAGGCCAAGGTGGGTGGATCACGAGGTCGGGAGATCGAGACCATCCTGGCTAACACAGTGAAACCTCGTCTCTACTAAAAAATACAAAAAATTAGCCGGGCCTGGTGGCGGGCGCCTGTAGTCTCAGCTACTCGGGAGGCTGAGGCAAGAGAATGGCATGAACCTGGGAGGCGGAGCTTGCAGTGAGCTGAGATGGCGCCACTGCACTCCAGCCTGGGCGACAGAGCAAGACTCCATCTCAAAAAAAAAAAAAAAAAAAAATTGTTGTTTATCTGAAATTCACATTTACCTGGGCACTTCTGTAAACCAAAAATAAAATTGTAAAGCCCCCCAATCATCTGAATGGACTTCCTCCATGGCCAGGGAGCTCCTAAAATTTAACCTGAGAGGCTGGGTGCAGTGGCTCACATCTGTAATCCCAGCGCTTTGGGAGGCCGAGGCGGGCGGATCACCTGAGGTCAGGAGTTCAAGACCAGCCTGGACAACATGGTGAAACCCCGTTTCTACTAAAAACACAAAAATTAGCTGAGCATGGTGGCAGGCACCTGTAACCCCAGCCACTTAGAAGGCTGAGGCAGGAGAATCGCTTGAATCCAGGAGGTGGAGGTTGCAGTGAGTTCAGATTGTGTCATTGCTCTCCAGCCTGGGTAACAAGAGTGAAATTCCGTCTCAAAAAAAGAAAAAAAAAAATTAACCTTAGAGATTGCTTGAGGCCATGATGAGAAGTGGGGGTCGGATCTGCTTCATGATACCTCTCAGGCATTAACATCAACACAGATCTTAAATCTGATAAGAAGCATTTACAATCTATTCTCTCTGAAGCCTGCTACCTGGAGACTTCATCTGCTTGATAAAACTTTGGTCTCAGCAAGCCAGACATTTCCTTTCTATTGATCCCAGGTATTTAGATAAACTCAACCGTCAACCAGAAAATGTTTAAATCATACTGAAAGCCCTCCTCACCAACCACTTTGAGTTGTCCTGCTTTTCTGAACCAAACAATGTATTTCTTAAATGTATTTGATTAATGTCCCATGTCTCCCTAAAATGAGTAAAACCAAGCTGCTCCCGGACCACCTGAGACACATGTTCTCAGGGCCTCCTGAGGTCTGTGTCACAGAACATGATCACTCACATTTGGCTGAGAATAAATCTCTTCTAATATTTTACAGATTGACTCTTTTCGCCGACACCTTGTATTTCGTCTGGCAACCTTACTCACCCCTCAACCATTTGTTTGAGTTGTTTAGAGTTATGGATATAGTTAAAGTACGAAGCCAAATGTGTGGGAATAATAACGCCAAATTCAAGATAGTGGTTTCAATGGAGCACGAAGGAGAAAAACACCATCAGGGGTATATAAGAAAATTCTACTGTGTGTGTTTGTATTGTATATGTATTTTTAATTTTTGCTTTTTAGGTTTTTCCTCTTTTTAAAGAGTACTTATGTGATTTTTTTTTCTGTGATAGGTCTTGTCAACGGAAAGGGGTCCCTATCCAGACCCCAAGAGAGCATTCTTGGATCTCTTGCAAGAAAGAATTTGAGGCGAATCCATAGAGTAAGGTAAAAGCAAGTTTATTAAGAAAGTAAAGGAATAAAGAATGGCTACTCCATAGACAGAGCAGTGGCACAGGCTGCTCAACTAAGAATACTCAGTTATTTTTGTATACCCTAAACACGGGGTGGATTATTCATGAGTTTTCCAGGAAAGGGGTAGGCAATTCCTGAAACTGAGGGTTCCTCTCCTTTTTAGACCATATAGGGTAATTTCCTGACATTGCCATGGCATTTGTAAACTGTCATGGTGCTGGTGGGAGTGTCTCTTAGCATGCTAATGTATTATAATTAGCATATAATGAGCAGTGAAGATGACCAAGAGGTCACTTTTGTTATATATAAAGTTTTGGTGCCACAAAAGAAGTAGCACTCGAATATAAAATTTTCTTTTTAATTCTCAGCAAGGCAAGTTACTTCTATATAGAAGGGTGCACCCTTACAGATCAAACAATGGTAAGCGCTCATTTGGACAAGGGAGGGGAAGGGGTTCTTATCCCTGAAGCACGTGGCCCCTGTTGCTGTGTCATTCCCCTATTGGCTAGGGTTAGACTGCACAGCCTAAACTAATTCCGATTGGCTAATTTAAAGAGAATGAAGGGGTGAGTGCTTTGGCGGGAGTCAGGGCAGAGCAGGTAGCAGGTAATTGGAATGAGTTAGGGTGGAGCCAGTGATTGGAATGTAGGGTGGAGCAGGTGATCAGAATGAGTCAGGGTGGAGTAGGTAATTGAAAAAGATTGCTTTATGAGGAAGTTTAAAAGTAGAAGGCAAAGAATTGAACATACTGACATATTAATTCTTTGAAAAGAAATTTAGAACTCATATCTAACACCATCTTGCTTTTGGTGGGTTTTGGCTGGCTTCTTTACCGCATGCTGTTTTATCAGCAAGGTCTTTGTGACTTGTATTGTGCCGACCTCCTTAACTTCCTGGGAATGCAGCCTAGTAGGTCTCAGCCTTAGTTTACCCAGCCGCTATTCAAGATGGAGTCACCCTGTTTCAAACACCTCTGATAGTCTTGCTCTGTCACCCAGGCTGGAGTGTTGTTGGTTCACTGGAACACGAGTATTTATGTTTTATTTCTTAAGCTTAGTGATGTGTGTCAGACCTCTGAGCCCAAGCAAAGCCATCATATCCCCTGTGACCTGCATGTATACATCCAGATGGCCTGAAGCAAGTGAAGAATCACAAAAGAAGTGAAAAGGGCCGGTTCCTGCCTTAACTGATGACATTCCACCATTGTGATTTGTTCCTGCCCCACCTTAACTGAGCGATTAACCTGTGAACTTCCTTCTCCTGGCTCAGAAGCTTCCCCACTGAGCACCTTGTGACCCCCGCCCCTGCCTGCCATAGAACAACCCCCTTTGATTGTAATTTTCCTTTACCTACCCAAATCCTATAAAACGGCCCCACCCCTATCTCCCTTCGCTGACACTCTCTTTGGACTCAGCCTGCCTGCACCTAGGTGATTAAAAAGCTTTATTGCTCACGCAAAGCCTGTTTGGTGGTCTCTTCAGACGGACATGCATGACATTTGGTGCCGTGACTCAGATCAGGGGACCTCCCTTGGGAGATCAATCCGCTGTCCTCCTGCTCTTTGCTCTATGAGAAAGATCCACCTACGACCTCTGGTACTCAGACCAACCAGCCCAAAGAACATCTCACCAATTTTAAATTGGGTAAGCGGCCTCTTTTTACTTTCTTCTCCAACCTCTCTCACTATCCCTAAACCTCTTTCTCCTTTAAATCTTGGCACCATCCTTCAATCTCTCTCTTCTCTTAATTTCAGTTCCTTTCCTTTTCTGGTAGAGACAGAGGAGATGCGTTTTATCCATGAACCCAAAACTCCAGCGCCGGTCACAGACTCGGGAAGACAGTCTTCCCTTGGTGTTTAATTACTGTGGGGATGCCTGCTTGATTATTCACCCACATTTCAGAGGTCTCTGATCACTGGGGACACCTGCCTTGATCCTTCACCCTTAGTGGCAAGCACACTTTCCTGGGGGGCAAGCACCCCCCATCCCTTCTCTCCGTGTCTCTACCCTCTCTTTTCTCTGGGCTTGCCTCCTTCACTATGGGCAACCTTCCACCCTCCAGTCTTCCTTCTTCTCCCTTAGCCTGTGTTCTCAAGAACTTAAAACCTCTTCAACTCACACTTGATCTAAAACCGAAATGTCTTATTTTCTTCTGCAATACCACTTGACCCCAATACAAACTCGACAATGGTTCCAAATAGCCAGAAAACAGCACTTTCAATTTTTCCATCCTACAAGATCTAGATAATTCTTGTCATAAAATGGGCAAATGGTCTGAGGTGCCTGATGTCCAGGCATTCTTTTACACATCAGTCCCTCCCTAGTCTCTGTTCCCAATGCGACTCATCCGAAATCCTTCTTTCCCTCCTGCCTGTCCCCTCAGTCCCAACCCCAAGTGTCACTGAGTCTTTTCAATCTTCCTTTTCTACCGACCCATCTGACCTCTCCCCTCCTCCCCAGACTGCTCTTCCTCAGGTCACTCCCCGCCACGCTGAATCAGGCTCTGATTCTTCCTCAGCCTCTGCTCCCCCACCCTATAATCCTTCTATCACCTCCCCTCCTCACACCAGGTCCAGCTTACAGTTTCATTCTGTGACTAGCCCTCCCCCACCTGCCCAGCAATTTCCTCTTAAAGAGGTGGCTGGAGCTAAAGGCATAGTCAAGGTTAGTGCTCCTTTTTCTTTATCCGACCTCTCCCAAATCAGTTAGCATTTAGGCTCTTTTTCATCAAATATAAAAACCCAGCCTGGTTCATGGCTTGTTTTGCAGCAACCCTGAGAAGCTTTACAACCCTAGACCCTGAAAGGTCAGAAGGCCGTCTTATTCTCAATATGCACTTTATTACTCAATCTGCTCCCAACATTAAATAAAGCTCCAAAAATTAGATTCTGGCCCTCAAACCCCACAACATGACTTAATTAATCTCACCTTGATGGTGTACAAT
The DNA here is from genome assembly GCF_000001405.40 of Homo sapiens. NCBI lineage: Eukaryota > Metazoa > Chordata > Mammalia > Primates > Hominidae > Homo > Homo sapiens. The sequence goes on from NC_000001.11 coordinate 70,369,508, forward strand.
AATAGAGTAGAGGGAGCCAAGTAGCAACATATTTCTGAACAATTCCTTGCCTCCACTGTGAGAGAAATCCCAGCCACATCTCCAGCACACAAGAACTTCAAAATGCCTAAGCCGCAGTGGTCAAGTATTCCTACAGGCTCTCCTCCATCAGAATCTAGCTTCAAGTGCCAGTAATCTGGCCACTGGGCCAAGCAATGCCCACAGCCCGGGTTTCCTCCTAAGCCATGTCCCATCTGTGTGGGACCCCATTGGAAATTGGACTGTCCAACTCCCCTGGCAGCCACTCCCAGAGCCCCTGGAACCCTGGCCCAAGGCTCTCTGACTGACTCCTTCCCAGATCTTCTTGGCTTAGCAGCTGAAACTGATGCTGCCCAATCACCTCGGAAGCCTCCTGGACCATCACAGATGCTTTTGGTAACTCTTACAGTGGAGGGTAAGTCCGTCCCCTTCTTAATCAGTACGGAGGCTACCCACTCCACATTACCTTCTCTTGAAGAGCCTGTTTCCCTTGCCTCCATAACTGTTGTGGGTATTGATGGCCAGGCTTCTAAACCTCTTAAAACTTCCCAACTCTGATGCCAACTTGGACAACATTCTTTCATGCACTCCTTTTTAGTTATCCCCACCTGCCCAGCTCCCTTATTAGGTCTAGACATTTTGATTAAATTATCTGCTTCCCTGACTATTCCTGGGCTACAGCCACACCTCATTGCCACCCTTTTCCCCAGTTCAAAGCCTCCTTCACATCCTTCCCTTGTATCCCCCCACTTTAATCCACATGTATGGGAAACCTCTACTCCCTCCTTGGTGACCGATCATGCACCCCTTACCATCCCATTAAAACCTAATCACCCTTACCCTGCTGAACACCAATATCCCATCCCACAGCACACTTTAAAAGGATTAAAGCCCGTTATCACTCACCTGTTACAGCATGGCCTTTTAAAGCCTATAAACTCTCCTTACAATTCCCCCATTTTACCTGTCCAAAAACTGGACAAGTCTTACAAGTTAGTTCAGGATCTGTGCCTTACCAACCAAATTGTTTTGCCTATCCACCCCATGGTGCCAAACCCATATACTCTCCTATTCTCAATACCTCCCTCCACAACCCCTCTACAACCCATAATTCTGTTCTGGATCTCAAACATGCTTTCTTTACTATTCCTTTGCACCCTTCATCCCAGCCTCTGTTTGCTTTCACTTGGACTGACCCTGACACCCATCAGCCTCAGCAACTTACCTGGGCTGTACTGCCACAGGGCTTCACGGACAGCCCCCATTACTTCAGTCGAGCCCAAATTTCTTCCTCATCCATCCATTACCTATCTTGGCATAATTCTTCATGAAAACACAAATGTTCTCCCTGCCAATCGTGTCCAGCTGATCTCTCAAGCCCCAACCCTTTTTACAAAACAACAACTCCTTTCCTTCCTGGGCATGGTTGTATACTTTTGCCTTTGGATACCTGGTTTTACCATCCTAACAAAGCCATTATACAAACTCACACACACAAAAAACCTAGCTGACCCCATAAATTGTAAATCCTTTCCCCACTCCCCTTTCCATTCCTTAAAAAACAGCCCTAAAAGCAGCTCCCGCACTAGCTCTCCCTAACTCATCCCAACCCTTTTTTCATTACACACAGCTGAAGTGCAGGGCTGTGTGGTCGGAATTCTTACACAAGAGCCAGGACCGCACCCTGTAGCCTTTCTATCCAAACAGCTTGACCTTACTGCTTTAGGCTGGCCCCCACATTATTCTGGATACCACACCTGACCCCCATGACTGTATCTCTCTAATCCACCTGACATTCACTCCATTTCTCCATATTTTCTTCTATCCTGTTCCTCACCCTGATCACACTTGGTTTATCGACGGCGGTTCCATCAGGCCTAATAGCCACTCACCAGCAAGGCAGGCTATGCTATAGTATCTTCCACATCTATCATTGAGGCTACTGCTCTGCTGCCCTCCACTACCTCTCAGCAAGCTGAACTCATTGCCTTAACTGGGGCCCTCACTCTTGCAAAGAGACTACGCATCAATATTTATACTGACTCTAAATATGCCTTCTATATCCTGCACCACCATCCTGTTATATGGGCAAAAAGAGGTTTCCTCACTACACAAGGGTCCTCCATAATTAATGCCTCTTTAATAAAAACTCTTCTCAAGGCTGCTTTACTTCCAAAGGAAGCTGGAGTCTTTCATAGCAAGGGCTATCAAAAGACGTCAGATCCCATCACTCAGGGCAACGCTTGTACTGATAAGGTAACTAAAGAAGCAGCTAGCATTCCAACTTCTGTTGTCATGGCCAGTTTTTCTCCTTCTCATCAGTCACTCCCACCAACTTTCCCACTGAAACTTCCACCTATCAATCTCTTCCCACACAATGCAAATGGTTCTTGAACCAAGGAAAATATCTCCTTCCAGCCTCACAGGCCCATTCTATTCTGTCGTCATTTCATAACCTCTTCCATGTAGGTTACAAGGCACTAGCCCATCTCTTAAAACCTCTCATTTCCTTTCCATCGTAAAAATCTATCCTCAAAAAATCACTTCTCAGTGTTCCATCTGCTATTCTACTACTCCTCAGGGATTTCTCAGGCCCCCTCCCTTCCCTACATAACAGGCTCAGGGATTTGCCCCCGCCCAGGACTGGCAAATTGACTTTACTCACATGCCTCAAGTCAGGTAACTAAAATACCTCTTGGTCTGGGTAGACACTTTCACTTATTGGGTGGAGGCCTTTCCCACAGGGTCTGAGAAGGCCACCATGGTCATTTCTTCCCTTCTGTCAGACATAATTCCTCAGTTTGGCCCTCCCACCTCTATACAGTCCGATAATGGACTGGCAATCGTATTCCGTGGAACCTTCATACCCCTTAACTATCCTTAATCTTCAGGAAAGGTAGAACAGACTAATGGTTTTTTAAAAACAGACCTTACCAAGCTCAGCCTCCAACTTAAAAAGGACTGGACAATACTTTTACCACTTGCCCTTCTCAGAATTTGGGCTTGTCCTCGGGATGCTATAGGGTACAGCACATTTGAGCTCCTTATTGGATGCTCCTTTTTATTAGGCCCCAGTTTCATTCCAGATACCAGCCCAACTTGGACTGTGCCCCAAAAACTTGTCATCCGCACTATCTTCTGTCTAGTCATACTCCTATTCACCGTTCTCAACTACTTGTAAATACCCTACCTTTGTTTACACTGCCGGTTTACACTTTTCCTTCAAACCATCATAACTGATATCTCCTGGTTTTAACTCAAACCACCACCCTTAAGTCTCTCTTAAAGTGGATAGATAATCTTTGCTCACAAGGTACACTCCAATACTTTCACCCTGATGAAGTCCTATTTTTTACTTTTATACTCACTCTTATTCTCGTTCCAGTTCTTATGCCACCCTCTACCTCTCCCCAACTATCTCCACCATGCTATCAATCTCACTCACTTTCTCCTAGCCATTTCTAATCCTCCTTTAACAAACAATTGCTGGCTTTGCATTTCTCTTTCCTCCAAAATCGCCGAGGCCTCGACTTACTCACTGCTTTAAAAAAAGGGGACTCTGTATATTTTTAAATCAGAAGTGTTGTTTTTACCTAAATCAATCTGGCCTGGTATATGACAACATAAAAAAACTCAAGAATAGAGCCAAAAAGCTTGCCAACCAAGCAAGTAATTATGCTGAACCCCCTTGGGTAACCTCTAATTAGATGTCCTGGGTCCTCCCAATTCTTAGTCCTTTAATACCTGTTTTTCTCCTTCTCTTATTCGGACCTTGTGTCTTCTGTTTAATCTCTCAACTCATCCAAAACCATATCCAGGCCATCACCAATCATTCTATACAACAAATGCTCCTTCTAACAACCCCACAATATCACCCCTTACCACAAAATCTTCCTTCAGCTTAATCTCTCCCACTCTAGGTTCCCACACCACCCCTAATCCTGCTCGAAGCAGCCCTGAGAAACATCGCCCATTATCTCTCCATACCACGCCCAAAAATTTTTGCTTCCCCAACACTTCAATACTATTTCATGTTATTTTTCTTATTAATATAAGAAGATAGGAATGTCAGGCCTCTGAGCCCAAGCTAAGCCATGATATCCCCTGTGACCTGCATGTATACATCCAGATGGCCTGAAGCAAATGAAAATCACAAAAGAAGTGAAAATGGCCGGTTTCTGCCTTAACTGATGACATTCCACCATTGTGGTTTTTTCCTGCCCCACCTTAACTGAGTGATTAACCTTGTGAAATTCCTTCTCCTGGCTCAGAAGCTCCCCCACTGAGCAACTTGTGACCCCCTCCCCTGCCTGCCAGAGAACAACTCCCTTTGACTGTAATTTTCCATTACCTACCCAAATCCTATAAAACGGCCCCACCCCTATCTCCCTTCTCTGACTCTCTTTTTGGACTCAGCCTGCCTGCAGCCAGGAGAAATAAACAGCTTTATTGCTCAAACAAAGCCTGTTTGGTGGTCTCTTCACTGGATGCGCATGACAATGTATATGCAGATTTTTAATATTACTATGCATTTTGTGTCTGTGAAATATTTATAATAAATTTTTTAAGTCTTCAATAGAGCGCTAGGCAAACTCTAAAGAATCTAACATGGATTACAAATGCCTTCACAGTTTTGCTGACCTTGTTTATGTCTCTAATCTTGCCACTTCCAGTTTGTACACTATAGTTTGGTTATTCACATTTATTCCTCAGAAGATCTCCAAGCCTGTGCCTGTACTCTGCTGTTTCTTTTCCTCTTCTCATTGAGTCTCACCTTAGTTGTCAATATCTTCTCTGGCACCTTGTTTGTGTCTAGGTTAAGTACTTCTATGTACTCCCAGCATATTTATTGTTTTCTTTTTCTTTTCTTTTTTTTTTTTGAGACGGAGTCTTGCTCTTGTTGCCCAGGCTGGAGTGCAGTGGCGTGACCTCAGCTCAGTGCAACTTCCGCCTCCTGGGTTCAAGGGATTCTCTTGCCTCAGCCTCCCAAGTAGCTGGGATTATAGGCACCCGCCTCCATGCCCTGCTAATTTTTTGTATTTTTAGTAGAGACGGGGTTTCACCATGTTGGCCAGGCTGGTCTCAAACCCCTGACCTCAGGTGATCCATCCACCTCAGCCTCCCAAAGTGGTGGGATTAAAGGTGTGAGCCACTGCACCCGGCCCAGAATATTCATTACTTTCACCGTCACTTATCACTTATATATTGTAATTGCTGACTTTCTTCTCTGTATCTCCCATTACAATATAAGTGTCAAAAGCATGCAGACTGTGTCTTATTCACCCTAATATCCCTGGTCCTGGCTTAGTGTCTTGGACTAATGGACCTTCAATAAATATTTGCTCTGGGAATTCATTAATAATGGGATGGTTTATTTCACATTCTTGAGGCAGCTATAATTTTCCTTTTAATGTGAAGCCATTTTATAATCAGTATTTAGATGAAATCATAAAGTCCTATCATCCCATAGTGTGTAGATTAGAAATCACTACTTGGAATAAAGTTCTCTCCTGTCATTCGTATTGCAAAGTTTGGTTTCAACATCATCTGTCACCTAAACTACATCTTGATTTAGTTATTAGGATTAGCGCATCATTTAAGTGTTCATCACACTCTACTTTTGCAGCTTCCAAAATGGTATTATCTGGGTCATTTTGAGGCATGATCAAGAGTAGAAAAATAAGTGAAGCGATCATACAGTTAATGAGGGCATCCTGTTGCTAAAATCAAAACCTAATGTGGATCCTTGACTTGTTATGAACATTTGGCTCAGGGAATGCAAAGGGCTATTATTTGGAGAATAGTGATTGACAGTCAAGAGACTTATATGGTGGCCCTTACTACAATGGACTTACCATTTTCCGTAAGCCGGTCCTTAGTGTAACAAGTACAGAAATCTAATTTTGTCAGCACATTAACAATGGGTCTATTTTCCAAGGATGGGCTCGAGATAGGCAAGAATAAAAGACTAATACATCAAAATTCCAATCTAAAATTAATGGTTGAGTGGACTAGAATCACTCATCAGCACATCCCTGTAGATAAACTGCATACAAAGTCAAATAAGCAGAAGGCTGCTTGGTGAACATGGGATACAGAATAAGGGGAGTCAGTTGTTTCATTATAATGTTTAATGGCATTGCATTTTGAAAGCCTGATGTGTCCTGTTCCATGGGAATTAAATTTCTGTGACTCAGATGAAGACTCACAAAACCTGAGAAGCACCATCCCCCTCTTCACCAACCATACCTTGCCAGATGGCCAGTGACAACTTGGGCCTCTGTGACCCCTTTTTCTTTGCATTCCTGGATGAATAACATCCCATCCCCCAATCTTATATGCATCTGCTTGTCAGTTTTTTCTTTTTGTTATATTAGAATCTTCAGTGTGGTTATTGCTAAGTTGGTCCCAGCAAGCCATTATGTCTCTTTAGATGATTTTGCAGATCTCTATTCCAATTCACTGTGTGATCATTTCAAATTTTTAACTTTCAAATAACTTTGCTTATTTCTATGATTCTTATATTTTGAGGAAGCATTTCACTTCAGTGTCTGTACACTGAAAACACAAAAGCAGAATATTTTTAATGTTGCATCTTAGGGAATAGGAATTAGGAATATTACTAATGATGGGATCTACTCATTCGAATATTTATTAGACATTTTAAACTATTCTTCTGCATGGGCATTCATACACACACACACACATAGATGCACACAATATAGGGCAATTATTCTTAGTTCTTAAAGCTTTTCTAATTAGCTCTTAACCACAGATAACACAAGAGGAGGGGGAAGGAGAGCAGGAAGAAAAGGGGAAGGAAAAGAAGAAGGAACTTAATCATCCAGATTTATATTAAACAAAATATATTGCAACGTGTGTATAGCTTCAGTTTGACGAATCAGCCCCATCCAGCTGTTTTTTTGTTTGTCTGTTTTTGAGACGGAGTCTCACTCTGTCACCCAGTCTAGAGTGCAGTTGCCCAATCTCTGCTCACTGCAAACTCCGCCTCCCAGGTTCAAGCGATTCTCCTGTCTTAGCCTCCCCAGTACCTGGATTACAGGCGTGTGCCATCACGCCGGGCTAATTTTTGTATTTTTAGGAGAGACGGGGTTTCACCATGTTGGCCAGGCTGGTCTTGAAATCCTGACCTCAAGTGATCTGCCTGCCTCGGCCTCCCAAAGTGCTGGGATTACAGGCATAAGCCACTGCACCCAGCCCCCATCTAATTTTTAATACCATCTTTTCCAAGTATTCTTTCATACTAACAATGATGTTTTTCTTCTTCTTTTTTTCTTTTTTCTTTTTTCTTTTTTTTGAGATGGAGTCTCCCTCTGTCGCCCAGGCCGGAGTGCAATGGTGCCATCTTGGCTCACTGCAACCCCCACCTCCCACGTTCAAGCAATTCTCGTGCCTCAGCCTCCCAAGTAGCTGGGACTACAGGTGCACACCACCATGCCCGGCTAATTTTAGCAGAGACAGGGTTTCATCATGTTGGCCAGCCTGGTCTCAAACTCATGACCTCAGGTGTTCCACCTGCCTTGGCTTCCCAAAGTGCTGGGATTACAGGCGTGGGCCACTGCCCTGGCCTTTTTTTTTTTTTTTTTTTCCAGACAGGTCTGTCTCTGTCGTCCAGGCTGGAGTGCAGTGGCATGACCTTGGCTCACCACAGCCTTGCCTGCTGGGTTCAGGCAATTCTTGTGCCTGAGCCTCCCGAGTAGCTGGGACTACAGGTGCCCACCACCACGCCTGGCTAATTTTTGTATTTTTAGTAGAGACGGGGTTTCACCATGTTGGCCAGGCTGGTCTCAAACTCCTGACCTCAGATGATCCACCTGCCTTGGCCTCCCAAAGTGCTGGGATTACAAGCGTGAGCCACCAGGCCTGGCCTAACAAGCATTTTCTATTGTTCTTTATTTCTGAATTTTCAACAAGTCCTAGATATGTGCTGTTGTTTCTTTTGATGCTCTATTGTATGCTGTACAAGGATTATTTCATTTTGAACATAATTTCAGTTTGATGCTATGGCTATTTATCATATGTGTTGTTTTGCTGTACCTATTTTTTTTTTTTTTTTTGAGAGAGAGTTTCACTGTTGTCACCCAGGCTGGAGTGCAACAGCTTGATCTTGGCTCACTGCAACCTCTGCCTCCTGGGATCAAGCAATTCTCCAGCCTCAGCCTCAGGAGTAGCTGGGATTACAGGTGCTCGCCACCATGCCCAGCTACATTTTTTTTGTATTTTTAGTAGAGAGGGGGTTTTGCCATGTTGGCCAGGCTGGTCTTGAACTTCTGATCTCAGGTGATCCACCCACCTCGGCCTCCCAAAGTGCTGGGATTATAGACGTGAGCCACCATGCCCGGCTTGTACCTATTTTTTTTTTTTTTTTTAACATCCAGCTTATGTTACTTCAGCATCTCCTTACTTTCATCTTCACTGAAGCCTTTTTTTTTTTGCTACGAAAATGAAAAATTTAAATGTCATACAACATTGTATTAGATTGATTTGCCTTTTTTTTTTTTTTTTTTTGAGACGGAGTCTTGCACTGTCACCTGGGCTGGAGTGCAGTGGCACAATCTCAGCTACCTACAACCTCCACCTCCTGGGTTCAAGTGATTCTCTTGCCTCAGCCTCCCAAGTAGCTGGGACTACAGGTGTGCACCACCACACCCAGCTAATTTTTGTATTTTTAGTAGAGACGGGGTTTCACTATATGTTGTGCAGGTTGGTCTTGAACTCCTTGACCTCAGGTGATCCACCCACCTTGGCCTCCCAAAGTGCTGAGATTACAGGTGTGAGCCACTGCACCCAGCCCCCAAAATTGTATTAGATTGAAAAGACATAAAATTACTCTGTTAAATTTCTATAAAAGTTTCTTAATACTTATTCTTAACTTCTGATCAGTAACAAATAGTTCTTTGACGGGTACTGATGTCCAAACTACATTTTGAGTAGCACTATCCTGTAAAATCGGGATTATTATTTCTATTTTTTGTTGAAAACAACAACAACAACAACAACAGAGGCTTGCATAAGTAAAGTAGCTTACTTGCATTTGTTGTTTTCCTTTTTTGTTTGTTTGTTTTTGAGACAGAGTTTAGCTCTTGTTGCACAGGTTGGAGTGCAATGGCGTGATATTGGCTCATTGCAACCTCTGCCTCCTGGGTTCAAGTGATTCTCTTGCCTCAGCCTCCCAAGTAGCTGGGATTACAGGCGTGTGCCACCATGCCCAGCTAATTTTTGTATTTTTAGTAGAAACAGTGTTTCACTATATATTGGCCAGGTTGGTCTCGAACTCCTGACCTGGTGATCCACCCACCTCGGCCTCCCAAAGTGCTGGGATTACAGGCATGAGCCACTGCACCTGGCCCAGCTTACTTGCATTTATTCAGATAATTAATGGCAAAGACCAAATTTGTACCCAGGATTGATTCCAGGTTCTGAAGTTTTAAATAAGCATGTTATAATAATTCTGTTCTACAATGGTTCGACAAGAATTCTAAACTTGTGCTGCCCACTAACTGCTAGCCACACATGGCTTTTTAAATTTAAATTGATTTAAATCATATAAAACTAATTTTATTTCTTCAGTTGCACTAGTGACATTTCAATTACTGAAAAGCATGGATGTCTAGTGGCTACCATATTGGATAGTACAGATAGCAAGCATTTGCATCCTCACAGAACGTTCTATAGGACTGTCCTGCTCTAGAATATCAATAATTTATCTTAGAGATCATTTGTTTAACTTATAAGTTTGTATTAGATACTTTTGGGTTGCCTGGTTGGCACACAACAACACTCCCTCCCTCTTCATGAAATTTCCCTTTCATCCCTAAACAATAAAACAAGGCAGGTTTTATCTTCTATGACTCTCTGACCCATCTCATCAGTCATGGCTGATTGAACCAGCTAAAGCCAAGCCAGATACATGTGTCTTTTATCTTTAGGAGAAAATGTATAGAGATTTTTAAGTAATTTACTTTGGTGAAAAAGTAATAATAATTTACTAATTTGCTAATTAGCTAATCCCAATTATGTTTGGTTTCTTTTGTTTGTTTATTTTGTTTTGTTTTTTTGAGACACAGTTTCACCCTGTCACCCAGGCTGGAGTGCAGTGACAGATCTTGGCTCACTGCAACCTCTGTCTCCTGGATTCAAGCGATTCTCATGCCTCAGCCTCCCCAGTAGCTGGGATTGCAGGTGCACATCATCACGCCTGGGTAATTTTTTGTATTTTTGGTAGAGGCAGGGTTTTGCTGTGTTGGCCAGGCTGGTCTCAAATTGCAGACCTCAAGTGATTGACCCACCTCAGCCTCCCGAAGTGCTGGGATTACAGGTGTGAGCCACTATACCCGGCCCCAATTATGTCTTAAGAGGAAAAAAAAAATAAAGGCCTACAAAGGGAAATTGGACCTAGGGTCTCAAAGAATACTCGGTCTCAGGTGAAACAACTATAGTCAAAAGATGAGGCTGCATTGTAATAACATGGGGGCATGTAGCACTCTGTGGATGAGATGAAGGAGGGGTAGTTACCAATGAAGAGGAACTAGTCATGGGCTTTGTACGTGTACTTATAGCCAACAATGAGTGTGTACTTACTACCTACTAAACTTTAAAAAAAAAAAAGATTCCATAGAGGGTGACTGATTCTAAGTCTTAGGGTAGAAAAAAAAAATGGAAATTTATTTATCTATCTATTCATCTGTCTATTAATAGTATTACTAAAAAGCAAGGATAATTTCCAAAATTTTAGTGACAATGTTTAAAGGACAAAGGAGACATCTTAAAGCAGTTCCCACCCACCACATTTGAGTATCAAAATTATTATTATTATTCTTAATTGGAACAAATTGCATATATAAAGCTCATAAATTAATAATTATACTGGAAAAATGAAGATTAGTATAATATGTGCAAAAGTTAGTTTTAATATAAAAGTGTGAATATAATAGGAGATATTCAATTTTTACTGATTTTTTTTTGAGACGGAGTCTCATTCTGTCACCCAGGCTGGAGTGCAGTGGCACGATTTCAGGTTCAAGTGATTCTCCTGCCTCAGCCTCCTGAGTAGCTGGGATTACAGGCATGCACCACCAAACCCAGCTAATTTTTGTATTTTTAGTAGAGACGGGGTTTTGCCATGTTGGTCAGGCTGGTCTCGAACTCCTGACATAGTGATGCGCCCACCTCGGCCTCACAAAGTGTTGGGATTTCAGGCATGAGCCACCGCACCGGGCCAATTTTTACTGATATTAATTTAAAAAGGAAACATTAATATATAGGTGTTCTAGAACATGTGGAAAAGATGATAAAAAGAAAAAAACACATATTTTAAGTATGCATCTGTTTATAAAATATAGGTGTTTACTTTTTTCTAGCTGTATAAACAAGATATAACTACATAGAGAACTCTAACTGACCCAAATGCTTCCTGAAAAAGTAGATACTATGTTGGAATCAAATAGACTGATCAGCCCCATTGGTAATATATGATAACCAAGCAGAAAGTAGATTTAGCAAGTGATTAGTACTAGTGGTCATAATAACTACTTTGAAGGGGATTCATATAATATTCCAAAATATTATATAACCAGCTGTCCCAAATATAAGAATTAACTGAAAGGTCGATCTTCTGGTAGATAAAAACCTTTAAAAGACCTTTAGATGGCCCTATTTACTGAATTATAAGTGAGATTCTGATATGGCCTATAAAGTTTCCAGTATTTGTTTCAAACCAGATCCAGTATATTACAATGACATCACCTTACAGAGCAGAGTGGGTCAGTGATTGTATGAATAGGGAATTGTCATTCACAACCAGTTGGGTTGTGCTCAGACTAACTTCTTTAGGCAAGTTATTTGACTTTTCTGTATCTCAGTTTCCTTACCTATAAAGGAATTATAGTAGTTTCCATTTCATATGGTTATTATGAGGATTAAACAAGTGAATACATATGAAGCACTTACAATAATGCTTTGTACATAGTATGTGTTAAATATTGTGATTTCTGGGAAAGACCCAGACATTTTACTGAAAACACTGAAATCTGTATAACCGTGTGCATTTACAGCTTCATTGAGAAGACTCATGAAGCTTTATTTTAAAAAGTACACTACTTAAATTACTCACAGCTCAAAAAAACTAAGCAAATGGCCAGGTGCAGGTGGCTCAAGCCTATAATCCCAGCACTTTGGGAGGCTGAGGTGGGCAGATCACTTGAGCTCAGGAGTTCCAGACCAGCCTGATCAATATGGCGAAACCCCGTCTCTACTAAAAATCCAAAATTAGCCAGGTGTGGTTGCGGGCACCTGTAATCCCCAGCTACTCAGGAGGCTGAGGTAAGAGAATTGTTTGAGCCTGGGAGGCAGAGGTTGCAATGAGCCAAGATCGCACCACTGCACTCCAGCCTGGGCGACAGAGCAAGACTCTTCTCAAAAAGAAAAAAATAAAATAAATAAAAGCTTCTGTCTAATGTCTGTCTAATGACCATGGCTTGGATATGAGTTCCATTGGACTATACAAGGCTCTATCCTGACTAAGAACCAGTGAACCGCAACTGATATGAGATTGTTGAAGGATGAAGCTTTTGGGAGTGCAGGGAGGTCAGAAGAATATGGTACGTTTATTGCAACCTTAGAGAGTGTGAAAATACTATTTGGCAAACAAATGCAACACCTTATTGAACTGGTGTCAGGACTCACGCAGTGAATAACAAACCACCACCCCTAATTCCAATACTAGTGGCCAACTGAGAGGATAAGTGTAATTTTTTCAGCTGTTGGCATGCCCTGCATAGGTTTCTCCTTCAGGGATCTTTCCCCATCTCGGATAACTTTCTCAGGATTTAGCTCCCCCACCCTCCAACCCTCTATCCGTCTTCCATCTTCTCTGCTTTCCAAAGAGGGCACTCTCAGGAACTTCAGAGTACTTAGGTAGTGGGTTGAGTTGATCTTTTACAGTAATTCTTTATCTGGGCAAAATGTGTTTGGTTAATCTTACCTGAAATCTTACAATAACATAATTTCAGGGACTTAAAGGAAACAAAATGGCAATGACAACCAAAGAAACAAAGTAAAAAATTGGACAATAGCAACCCTTAGCACACTATCACAGGACCCTAAAAATAGGTGACTTTTCCTTAACTTGGGAATCTTCATTGTTCTTTGTAGAAATAAAAGTATTACTCTCATTCAGTTATTGACCAGTCTTTACATACTGGATCTGGACTGTGGATTCTGTAAGTCAATCTCCTGTAATTGTTCACTGCCTGCCAATGAACCCTGCCTTCCACTTACAGTTGCCTCTGGGAATGTATCCATGTTCTGTTTCCTTAAGTACTTTCTCCTTCTACTAGGTTTTTTGTGGTGAATCTTTAACTTTAGATCAAATTCTCACTTCCTCCTTGATTTTGCAGCCTGCTGTCACCCAGGACCTTGCAACTAAGGGCTGCTTTGCACTAGTTCCTGTGTCTTTCACTGGTCTTGTTAGTTATTCCAAGTTTATGGCAACATTTATTGAGGTATTACTACATAGGCTTTGCCTATATTAACTCATTTATTCCTATGAGTTAGATACCATGATTACCCTCATTTAAAGTTAAGTAAATTGGGCTTCAAGATTAAAAAAAAAGGTATACATGGTAGAACCAGGTTTGGGTTGGGCAGTCTGGGTTCAGAGTGATGTGCTTATTATTGTCTTCACCCCAGCAAGATACAGTCTATTCTGCTATAGCATATGTATGTAACAACAATTAGCTAATACACAATTGGCATATAGGACATCATATCAGTATAATTTGAAAGTTGAATAAATTCAGAGCAATTTTTTGTAGGCAAAGGGAGCTGTATAACAATAATAGAATTATAACCTATTGCAGGAGTGATAAAATACCCTCAGCTTGGATGCTGCACAGGCAGGAATCCCTTCAGGTCTATTTTAAGAAATAGAAAAATGAGTACTTTGTTTCATAGCTCCTCCCCAGGGAGGTGCACCTCTAGCCTTGCTGAACTATCAGCTTGTACAGGTTGTACTTTCTCCTCTGCATACCTTTACAGATGCCCCTCTATAGCTCAGTGGTCTTCCATCTACACTGTCTTCACAACTGCATGCCAGCATGCCAGCATTTCTACTCTATTGCTGTTTTGCATTTTTAGTATCCCCTGAAGCAGTTTGCAGATACAACGAGCTGCCTACTTGACCGTCCAAAGTTTCTCAGGGGAGGAGGGTGAGGGGGGACCAATTGTTTTTTGAGTTTTTTTAATAGAAGTTTGGCCATAGATTTGCATAGGTTTTGAGTGGTCTTCCCCAATCCCATTTTGTTATTTTTATTGCACAGCAGATTGTGAGGCTCGTCAGTGGTATATACGTCATACATAGGTTATAGCATCAACTCAAACACCCCCAATTAATCATCATTCTAAACTTGTAATTATCATCCCAAGCTTAGCATTTTCATCATAATAAATAAATTTTTATGGGGTCAAGGCACTAGACTTATTGTTTGTTTTATTACGAACAATATTATGAGGGTATTTTATCACTCCTGCAATAGGTTATAATTCTATTATTGTTATACATCTCCGTTTGCCTACAAAAGTGATACAAAATTTATCTAAAAAACGGTTTCTGCCAGTAAGATGCTTAAAATCTACCAATGAAGAGAAAATATGTACATTAAAAAGACAAATAGTAAGGTTGTTAGTGATAGACAAACATGACAGCTAAGCAAAATGTATGGTACCTTTATGATATTGTAGGAGAGACACTAAACTTATAATCAGACAAGCTGGATTTGAATCTAGACTCTATCACTTGCTTTGTGACCCTGGAAAAACACGTAAACTTTATAGGCACTAGTTTTCTTAGCTTTAAAACAGGAATAAGTCTAGGCATGGTGGCTCATGCCTGTAATCCCAGCATTTTGGGAGGCTGAGGTAGGCAGATTGCTTGAGGCCAGGAGTTCAAGACCAGTTTGACCAACATGGCGAAACCCCATCTCTAGAAAAAATACAAAATAAAATTAGCCAGGTGTGGTGGTGCAGGCCTTTGGTCCCAGCTACTTGAGAGGCTGAGCCATGGGAATTGCTTGAACCCGGGAGCTGGAGGTTGCAGTAAACCCAGATCATGCCACTGCACTCCACCCTGGGTGACAGAGCGAGACTGTTTCAAGATAATAACAATAATAATAAAATAAAAATAAATAAAACAGGAATAATAATACAAAGAATAATTAAAAATTAAAAACAGGAATAATAATACTTGTTTTACAGAATTTTGCAAGAATTAAATGAAAAATATATGTCAAAGTGCCTGACACTTTCAATGCAGGCACTGAATAAATGTTAATTTTCTTTCTTTCTCTCAAACAGTGCACAAACATCATTCAGGTGTCTCAGTGTATGTTTCTAAGGGCTGTACATAAATACAGCTGGGTCATTATTTTGTAGTAATTAAGAGTATGTTATAGATCTGTGCCTTCAATGCTCAACAATGAAGTCACTGCAAAGTCAATCAGGGTTTTTGATCACTGGGAAGTCAAAGTTGTGTCCTCCTGACTCTGTCCCATTCTTCTTGGTTTTTGTTCTTTGTTTTTCATTGCGGCTTTATTGAGATATAATTTACATACCATATAATTTACTCATTTAAACTATACATTCAATGTTTTTTCATATATTCAAATAATTGAGAATCATCACCACAATCAACTTTAGAACATTTTTTTTTTCCAGATGGAGTTTTGCTCTTGTTGCCCAGGTTGGAGTGCAGTGGTGTGATCTTGACTCACTGAAACCTCCGCCTCCTGAGTTCAAGTGATTCTCCTGTTTCAGCCTCCCAAGTAGCTGGGATTGCAGGTACCTGCCACCATATCCGGTTAATTTTTGTATTTTTAGTAGAGACGGGGTTTCGCCATGTTGGCCGGGCTGGTCTCGAACTCCTGACCTTAGATGATCTGTCTGCCTCAGCCTCCCAAAGTGCTGCGATTACAGGCGTGAACCAGTGTGCCTGGTCCCAGAACATTTTTATCACCACAAAAGTAAATACCGTATGCATCAGCAACCACTCACTATTTGCCCCCTGTATTAGTCCAATTTCACACATCTATAAAAAAACTACCTGAAACTGGGTAATTTACAAGCAAAGGAGGTTTAATTGACTCACAGTTCTGCATGGCTGGAGAGGACTCAGGGAACGTACAATCATGGTGGAAGGTGAGGGGGAAGCAAGGCACTTCTTACATGGTGGCAGGAGAAGAGAGAGAGCACAGAGAAAACGGCCACTTTTAAACCATCAGATCTCATGAGAAAACTCTTATTATCACAAGGACAGTTTG
Organism: Homo sapiens; assembly: GCF_000001405.40. Classification (NCBI taxonomy): domain Eukaryota; kingdom Metazoa; phylum Chordata; class Mammalia; order Primates; family Hominidae; genus Homo; species Homo sapiens. Next base: position 70,385,860 of record NC_000001.11, read on the forward strand.
GGGGAAACCACCGGCATCAGCCAATCACCTCCTACCAGCCTCTCCCTAGACACATGAGGATTACAATTGGAGATGAAGTTTGGGTGAGGACACAGAGCCAAGCCATGTTACCCCCAAACCCTTTATGAATAATTCTATATAACCTGGAAAAACCCCTGAATGTCTCACCATTTCCTCAGCTTAGTCTAAGAACCTGCCACATTTTGAAATGTGTTCTTTTCTTTCTAGCATGGTTTGGATAGATATGTACAGAATGGATGGAAACAAGGCAAAGATCTTATACCAGCCACTGGTCAATGGCTAAAGTGCTGAAGGTGATTGAGCAGAGCAAATAGGGAGCATGGTCTGGTAGCTCTGTTTTCAGCCTAAGGTCAATTCTTAAGGACTCAACATGCAACCAGAAAGGAATCTGGTGAACAGCTATCCTGATGACCAATAAAATTGACTCACATGTGATATTCAATATGTATGTATAACGCTTTACTGACTCCTAAACAAATATCTACTTCCCACTTGTGTATCTAACCTGAAATACAGATGGGAAGTAGACATTTCTGTCTCCTTGTTTTTCTTACTAAATTCTTTAATTTTTCTGTAACCAATAAAATTGACTCATATGTGATATTCGATATGTATGTATAACTCTTTACTGACTCCTAAACAAATATCTACTTCCCACCTGTGTATCTAACCTGAAATACAGATGGGGAGTAGACATTTCTATCTACCTGTTTTTCTTACTCAATTCTTTAATTTTTCTGTAATTTTTATAGGTAGATCAAGTATTATGGATAAGCGTTAACATTTGGAATCACAAGACCTGGGTTTGAGTTTGGACACATTCATTTACTTATTAGTTGTACAAATTCAAGCAAGCTACTTAACTGCTTTGAGCCTCAGGTATCCATCTGTATCATGAGATCATGATAATACTAATCTCAAAAGATTGGTGTAAATATTATATAACACAATGTGCATGAGAATTATTTGAAAATTAAAAGTACTATACAAATGGCTAGGTTTTAAAAATTATTATTGCTGTCATCTGCACTTAAAAAAGCTATATATGTCAATCTAAAATATCAGCACCAGTTTTTCCATGTTGATGACACAATTTTTTTCAACTAAATTAACACCTCATCTCTACTGTTTCATTTGACAAGAATAATTGAGTTCCGCAATGAACCAAATTATTCCTCCCTTGAAAAATACGAAATGTACTACTGTATTTTCTTTTTTAAAAAATAATTTTTAAAAGTCTACACCCTTGATATCTGATGCACTATTGTATTCTCAATTGGTAAGTATTGAGAAAAAAATAAGTTTATCTTTTTTGTCATTGACCCACACTAGTCCTCTTTTGAGGTGAATGGGCCCAAGACAGCCAGGTAGAACAAGTGAATGGTTTTAAATGAATTTGCCTTCTAACTTCAGCTCACTCTGTGGTAACTTTTTCTTTAGACTAGAAAATTGATGAACATTTGAATTTTTTTTTTTTTTTGAGGCAGAGTCTCACTCTATTGCCCAGGCTGGAATGCAGTGGCACAATCTGGGCTCATTACAACCTCTGCCTCCTGGGTTCAAGTGATTCTCCTGACTCAGCCTCCCGAGTAGCTGAGATTACAGGCAGGCACCACCATGCCTGGCTAATTTTTTGTATTTTTAGTGGAGACGGGGTTTCACCAGGCTGGCCAGGCTGGTCTTGAACTCCTGACCTTGTGATCCGCCTGCCTCTGCCTCCCAAAGTGCTGGGATTACAGGCGTGAGCCATTGCACCTGGCCGAACATTTAAAATTTTATATGAACCAGGAAACAGGTCCTCAGCAGACACAGAATCTGCGGGCACCTTGATCTTGGCTCTCCCAGCTTCCTGCACTGTGAGAAATAAATTTCTGTGGTTCATAAGCTACTCAGTCTATGGTATTTTGTTACAGTAGCCTGAGCAGACATGGAGCACAAGCAGACTAAGATATAGGGTCATTGCTGAATGCCCCAGATGTTTGAGGTCTTTACACCCTGGTATGAACTCAAATGTCTCCCAGGATTATGAGCTCTGGGAACTGCTCAGCTTTCAGCTACCTAGCAATTGTTCTTTACCTAGCCTTATGGAGTATCAGCAATGCATGTACAGCTTAGTTTTCAACCAAAGACACAAGGAAATGACTTCTAAAGATTTCTAGAGCTCTTCCTCTGAATAATTTCTTCCCCTCTGGTACTCTGCCAGGCCTGTGGATTCTGATCTCTGCCTCCTTAACTAAAGGAGACCATCATGCTCTGCTTGGGATCCCTTTCCTGCACTGTGGTCTGGAAGGTTTCTCCAGGCAGAAAGCTAGGATGACAGTAGGGTTCATCCTATTTGTTTCCCTTTTCTAAGATATCATAGTTCCACATGGTCTGTTGTCCGAATATAGTTTTTAAAAACCATATTTTGTCCAGTTTTTTAGTTGTTTACGGTGGGACAGGATGTAAGATACCAGTTACTCTGTCATTGTTTGAAGCAAAAGCCCAATTCTCTTCTTTGGAAATGCATTTTCATTTGAATACCATAAACTGTTTTCAAGTCCTTTTTGAAAGTTTGTGGGAGCATGCTGTTAGAAAAAATGAGGTCAGTCCTTAGGGTATCTTCTGGGTCTCCACTGTGTGTTTCCTCATTAAGAGCAGAGTCACTCTTTCTCTAGACAAGGGCTGTTCAATGGAACTTTCTGTGATGATGGGAATGTTCTCTCTCTGGGCTGTTCACTACAGTAGCCACTGCTCACATGTGGCTGTTGAGCTTTGAGATGTAATTAATGCAATGAAGGAACTGAATTTTGACTTTTTTTCATATCAATTAATTTAAACTTGAATAACTGCACATAGCTAGTGGCTGCTGTTTGGACAGCACAGATCTAGAAAATTATTTCTGTGTTTTAGAACCCAGTTGTCACCCTAAGGCCCTTTTGTTACCAGCTGCAGCTGAATAAACCTTCTAATTTTCTAGTTCTGAACTTTCCCCCAATCTCTTTAGTTAGAATACTGTCCCTGCTCCTCCATATCTATTAAAATTCTACCTATCCCTGAGATTAGGATTTGTGAATTCCTTCTTTCCTTCTTTTTCTCTTCTCTCCTCCTTCCTTCCCTCCCTTCCTTTCCTTCCTTCCTTCGTTCCTCCCTCCCCCCCTTCCTTCCTTCCCTCCTTCCTTCCTTCCTCCCTCTCTGCTTTAATTCCTCTCTCCTTCCCTCTCCTCCAGCTTTCCTTTCTTGTTTCCATCTCTCCATTAACAAGCAGTTGTTGAGAACTTACTTTGTGCCAGGCCCTGCCAGACTATGAAGGTGAACAGATAAATAATATGTCATCTATGACCTCCAGGATATATGAGTCCAATAAGAAAGGCAAATATACAGACAAGTAAATTATAATACAGTTTAGTAAGTGCAACAACAGAAACAAATAAAAGATTAACAAATAACATCTATGTGTGTTTGTTGTAGGGGGTGCTTGTAAGGAGGATGGAATTGGGCATGGAGAGAGAAGGCTTGCAGGAGGATAACTTGATGTTAACTCTGAAGTTTGAAACAAAAATTGGAGGTTGCCAGGTGGAAAAATGAGGTAGAACATTCCAGGTCGAAGGTGTGAATTATGAAACATCTCTATCTGTTAAGGAGACTATTAGCAGTTCAATATTACTGGAGAGCAAAGTAAGTTTGAATATGAGGAGGATGGAGAGGAGTTTTTGGAAAGTGCTAGATTATGAAATTTAAGAAGTAAGCAGGATTTACTACTTCTTTGATATTATCAAGGATCCTTGACTATATTGTGTCAGTGAAAGAGAATATTGAAGACTTTTAATCACAGGAGTGAGAGGGAAGCTAGATAGAAGGCTGTTGCAATAGCTTTGATAACAAATAGTAAGGGTTCCAATCAACATAGTGGCAGTATGAATGAAAAGGACAAGACTACTGGAAGAGACACAAATGGGAGAGAAGACTAATGAGAGGATGTCAAATTGGCAGGGCTTAGTTGGCTAATTGGGTGTGGGATGAAGAAGTGGGAAAAGCCCTGAGTGACTTAGATTTATGACTTTGATTATTAGATGGGTGGTGATCATTCCAACCAAGATTAGAAAGAATTGCAGTTTTGAGGTAAAGGATAATGAACCCTATTTTGGACATACTCAATAATCACTTGGCTATATAGCTCCAGACTTTAAAAGACATGTCTAGACTGAAGGCAGATAAGATTATATCTCTACTTCATTATATACAAAGTGAAGTATAGTGCCATGTATATACTAGATACATTATATACAATGCCAAGCATAGTGCCCTGTATATAATATGTACTAAGTAAATATTTTTGACTTGACTTGATTTTTAAAATCAGGATGAGCAAACAATTGAGACTTCTTGGTAGCATTTTGAATGGGCTTGTAAGCAATATTCTACCTCTTTGAGTGTATTTTTGGGGAAACAAATTTGCATTATTATAATAGGTAACATTTATTTTGCATTTACTATGTGCCAAGCACTGTTCTAAAAACTTTACTTGTGTTAATTCATTTAATACAACAACCAAATGTAGAATCAGAGGATTAAATGTGACATATCTCAACTGTTCATCAATTGTTTATCAAATGTGACATATCTCAAATGTATTCAAATGAATGCATTTTGAAGTTTATTTAAGGTTTTCATTTTATTCTATACTTACCATTCAATGTTAACAAAAGGAATTCCAAGGCTGGGAGCCGTGGCTCATGCCTGTAATCCTAGCACTTTGGGAGGCCGAGGCCGGCAGGTCACCTGAGGTCAGCAGTTCAAGACCAGCCTGGTCAACATGATGAAACTCTGTCTCTACAAAAATACAAAAATTAGCTGAATGTGGTGGTGCGTGCCTGTAGTCCCAGCTACTTGGGAGGCTGAGACAGGAGAATCGCTTTATTCCAGGAGACAGAGGTTGTAGTGAGTCAAGATCACACCACTGCACTCCAGCCTGGGCGATAGAGCGAGACTCTGTCAAAAAAAAAAAAAAGAATTCCTATACTTGGCTTTTAAGATTGTAAGGCATCCTGGTGAACAGCTATAAGTTAAAGGAATTTATAGAGATAAATAAGAGATAATTTTTATTTTGAGGCTGCAGAGGGCAGACAGAGTTCTGAAAGATAAAACTAGTTTAAGTTACAGATTCTAAAAAGGCAGTTAAGTTGAGAACATTTTCAAAAATATCAGTTTTCTCTTTTGTAGTATAGAGACATGAAGGAAAATTTATACCTTCAACCATCCTGTTCACTTTTCTTTTACTTTAAAAATATCCTTTTAGTATTGATAGAAAAATAAGTTATTCAAGATGCTTGAGCTTCAAAGATTATGGCTTTATTAGGCAAATGTATCCTTTATTCTCTGAAGCATTTTTCTTGTTGAATTCCTGTTCCACTTGTTAATTGGTCATCTTGAGTAATAATAATCAAATGAACATCTGTGATTTCTTAAGAAATAAATACTAGTTAGGTTGCTTTTTTGTTTGTTTGTTTGTTGAGACGGAATCTCTCTGTCAGCCACGCTGGAATGCAGTGGTGCCATCTCAGCTCACTGCAACCTCTGGCTCCCAGGCTCAAGCAATTCTCCTGTTTCAGCCTCCTGAGTAGCTGGGACTACAGGTGTGTGCCACCATGCCTGGCTAATTTTTCTATTTTTAGTAGAGACGGGGTTTTGCCATGTTGGCCACGCTGGCCTCAAACTCCTGACCTTAAGTGACCCACCTGCCTCAGCCTCCCAAAGTGCTGGGATTACAGGTGTGAGCCACTGCGCCCGGGAAGATTGCTTTTTTAGGCAGAAAAACCTTGGAATGTATCCTTTTCTTTTTATGTATAAAAGTAAATTTATGGTTTAATAGATTCCTCGTTTCATTTTATTTTATTTACCTATTAAAAATTCTTTTTTTTGATACAGGATTCCTCTCTGTCACCCAAGCTGGAGGGCAATGACACAATCATAGCTCACTGCAACGTCAAACTCCTAGGTTCAAGCTATCCTCCTGCCTCAGCCTCCCAAGTAAATGAGGTAGAGCTACAGGATAAGCCACCATGCCCAGCTAATTTTTCAATTTTTTGTGTAGACAAGGTCTCACTGTGTTGTCCAGGCTGATCTTAATCTCCTGGGGTCAAGCAATTCTCCTGTCTTGGCATCCCAAAGTGTTGGGATTACAGGCATGAGCCACCCTCCCCAGCCAGAGTCATTATTTTAAATTGATGTGTGAGAGTCTGTTGTAACACCTGTGGTGTACAGATCAGTAATAATTGTTCTTGTGTTTTGTAATTGGAAAGGATCAGTAATTTGCCCAACGTCACAGAACTAGTAAGGAGTAGAACTAAAATTTGAATCCAGGTGTGTTAATTCCAGACATCAGTAGCTCAATCACTAGTTTTTTGTTTTTGTTTTTGTTTTTTTTTAGATGGAGTTTCACTCTTGCTGCCCAGGCCACAGTGCGGTGGTGTGATCTCGGCTCACTGCAACCTCCGCCTCCTGGGTTCAAGCAATTCTCCTGCCTCAGCCTCTGGAGTAGCTAGGATTACAGGCCCACACCACCACACCTGGCTAATTTTTTGTATGTTTAGTAGAGATGGGGTTTCATTATGTTGGCCAGGTTTGTCTTGAACTCCTGACCTCAGATGATCCACCCACCTTGGCCTCCCAAAGTGCTGGGATTACAGGTGCTCAATCACTATTCTATTCAGCCTCCCTAGAGCAAGACACATACCACCTCACCACAAACAGCCACACCGTGAATATAATTATTAGGAGATAGAAAACTCTCTGCATTTTCTGAGCATCTCCAAAGCTTAGCTACTCTGACTTTGTGCTCCTATGGTATCTTGTACATTCCTCTATTGTGATAGTTAATCCAACAAGATGGAATTATGTGTTTATGTGTCTCCCCCACTAGTATATGAGTACCTCCAGGACAAGGACATGGTTCTATTCATCTTCTACTTACAGTATCTGAATCATAGCTTATGTTCAATGAATTTGGCTGAGTCAATAAATGAATAAACACTAGACTTCCTTTTGTCCAAGCAGGAGGTAGAGTTTTTAAAAAATATTTATTTACTAAGAAATATTTATTACACACCTACTATGTACCAGACCTTGTTCTAGGTGTGATATATATAAGGAAACAAAACAAAAAAGGTATTGTCCCTATAGACATTAATTCTAGCGAGGAGACAGATAACACCTAATAAACACAATAAATAAGTAGTTTATAAATCTACAGTCTTCTAGGAAGTAATAAGTGCTATGAGGAAATTAGAGCAAAATAAGGGACATCAAGATTTGGGGAGGAGGCTGGATGTGGTAACTCATGCCTATAATCCCAGCACTTTGGGAGGCCAAGATGGGAGGATTGCCGGAGGCCAGGAGTTTAAGATAAGCATGGGCAACACAGTGAGACCTGATCTCTATAAACATTTTTTTAAAAAATAGCTAAGCATGGTGGCACATACCTGTAGTCCCATCTACTCAGGTGGCTAAGGTGGAGGATCGCTTGAGCCCAGGAAGTTGAGGCTGCAGTGAGCCGAGATCACACTAGTGCACTCTAGCCTGGGAAACAGAGTGAGATCCTGTCTCAAGAAAGGAAATTTACAAGAAAATGGGTTGAAATTTGAAATAGTGTAGTCAGGGTAGTCTCACTGAGAAGGAGGTGTCATTTGAGCAAAGACCTAGAGGTGATGGGGGAAACAGCTGTGGGCTATTTGGGGGAAAGGTATTCCCACAGTAGCAGGAATGAGGGAGTAGTTTGTGCAAAGGCCCTGTGCAGGAGCATACCTGACTTGTTCAGGGAATAGGCAAGGAACCCACTTTAAACGGAGGACAGAAAAGTAGGAGATAACAGCAGAGAGAATATCGTAGGGCAATTAAAAAACTCTGGCTTTGGCCGGGCGCGGTGACTCACGCCTGTAATCCCAGCACTTTGGGAGGCCGAGGCGGGCGGATCACGAGGTCTAGGGATCCAGACCATCCTGGCTAACATGCTGAAACCCCGTCTCTACTAAAAATACAAAAAAAATTAGCCGGGTGTGGTGGCGGGCGCCTGTGGTCCCAGCTACTGGGGAGGCAGAGGCAGGAGAATGGCGTGAACCTGGAAGGCGGAGCTTGCAGTGAGCAGAGATCAGGCCACTGCACTCCAGCCTGGGCGACAGAGCGAGACTCCGTCTCAAAAGTAAAAAATAAATAAAAATAAAAATAAAAACTTTGGCTTTTACTCTGAGTGAGATGTAAAGACATTAGAGTCTTAAGGAGGAGGGACATAACTGGACATGTATTAAAAGGATCACTGGGGTTGCTATGTTGAGGGTGGACTGTGAGAAGGAAGAAATGAGGTCAATTTGGCTGCTGTGGTAGTAATCTAAGAAAGAGACAGTCAAGGCAGTGGAGGTGCTTGTGTCTCTGAGGGTTTAAATGAAGGAATCAACCATAGTATCAGTTGGGTAATGTCATAATGATACTTTATAAAAATGACTCTACAGGCCGGGCGCCTTGGCTCACACCTGTAAATCCTAGCACTTTGGGAAGCCAAGGTGGGTGAATCACAAGGTCAGGAATTCAAAACCAGCCTGGCCAACATGGTGAAACCCTGTCTCTACTAAAAATACAAAAATTAGCTGGGCATGGTGGCGAGCGCTTGTAGTCCCAGCTACTGGGGAGGCTGAGGCAAGAGAATCGCTTGAACCTGGGAGGCGGGGGTTGCAGTGAGCTGAGATCGTGGCTTTGCACTCCAGCGTGGGCGACATAGCAAGACTCTGTCCCCCCATAAAAAAAAGACTCTATGTGTTATAGTTGTTTGGTCTAACTCTCTCACTCTCCTGTAAACTGTTCAACACTAGGGACTAAGTTTGTCTTTGTGTGTGTGTGATACGGTCTTACTCAACTCAGTTCACACAGCTTCCACCTTCCAGGCTCAAGCGATCCGGGTGGGGGGTGGGGGTAGGTTGCAGTGAACACAATAAATAAAATAAAATTTTTGAGCGAATGACTGGATGGTGATATTATCCACCCTAATGCTTGTGACCCAAAACTTTTGATTAAGGCTCTGTTTTAATAAGCGAACATTTAGCAAGAAACAGGGAAATGGACTTAGAATTTCTGCTTATGGAAAAAATGCCTCAGGGGCTGTATCTAGTCTCAAAAAAATGTCCTGTAAAGATTAAAGACATTTTTAATAAGTAAATATGAAGTTATAAATGGGAGAGCATGACTTCAGAACTATTTATAATAAAAACTATTCTACTAGAAACTCAAAAATGCTCCAATATAATTGGATAAAATTACCCAGTAGTCTTTAAGGTTAAATAATAAAAAAAAATTTTTTTAGTGACAGGGTCTCTCTCTGCCAGCCAGGCTTGAGTGCAGTGTTTCAATCATAGATTACTGCATCCTCAAACTCCTGGGCTCAAGGGATCTTCCCGCCTCAGCCTCCCAAGTAGCTGGGACTACAGACAATGCCACCATGCGCAGCTAATTTTTAAAAAAGGTCTTTTAGAGATGATGTCTCAACATGTTGCTCAGGCTGGCCTCAAACTCCTGGCCTCAAGCCAGCCTCCTGCCTCAGTCTCCCAAGTAGCTGAGATTACAGGTGTGAGCCACTGAGTCCAAAGCTAATAATTTGGTTTTTTGCCATTTAAATAAGGTGGTTATGTAGTAGGCAAACTCTTTTTGGTTTATGAGTGTCAATCTGAAGATATAAGACTTAGAAGCAGTAGCAGATATGCTTATTTTTTCTCCATTTTTTTCTTGAACTGCAACTAGAGGAGGACCAAATCAGTCTAGCTTACTTTCTCTCTCTCTCTCTCTTTTTTTTTTTTTTTTTTGAGACAGGGTCTCTCTCTGTCACCCAGGCTGGAGTGCAGTAGCACGATCTCCGCCTCACTGCAACCTCCGCCTCCCGGGTTCAAGCAATTCTCCCACCTCAGCCTCCCGAGTAGCTGGGATTAAAGGTGCTTGCCACCATGCCAGCTAATTTTTGTATTTTTAGTAGAGAAGGGTTTCACCATGTTGGCCAGGCTGGTCTCGAACTCCTGACCTCAAGTAATCTGCCCGCCTCGGTCTCCCAAAGTGCTGGGATTACAGGCATGAGCCACAGAACCCGGCCTAGCTTACTTTTTCTACTGTCCCATTTTTCCTCCCATCTTAATGACTTTTCTTATGTTTTCATATTCATTTTTTTCTTTGGACAGATCTATACTTCAGAAAAATCACTCCAGTGGGCTTTAAGCAGCAGCAGCCTATCTATTTGTAGATTTCCTACATATGCTGGTTTATAATTCATTTTGGAACAAAGTTCCTTTATTAAAAAGTTGGCTTCATTTAAAGCAAATAACACAGTAAATAACTTGGTGATACTGATGTATTCTGATTATTTATTTTTTAGACTTCTTCAGGACAAAGATTAAGTCTTGGTATCCCCTTGATTGCCTAGCATTTATTCAGTCATTTAACAAATATTTATGGGGCATTTTCTGTATGACAGATACAGAACTTGATGCTGGTGACACTAAGATAAAATATTGCTCCGTTACTTTCAGAAATGCATAACTTAGCAAAAGACATTTAAATAGGCAATTACAATGAAACACAATAAGAATTCTTATTGAGACCACATCTGTGGTAGGGAAACTAATGCTGGGGGTAGTAGCTTCAGGTATATTTTAACTAGAAAAGGAAAAGCTTGAGCTGAGATGTAGAGAATCAGATGAGTGTTAGTTCATCTGGAAAGGGGAAGGAAAATTCCAGGATAACAATATGTATAAAGACTCATAATCATGAAAGGATATTGGCATATTCAAGGAACTGAATGTAGCATGGTATGGTTGGAGAAGGGTAGGGAAGGCAAGATCATGATGGGTTTTGGATGGTAGGTGAAGGAATGCAAACTTTGTATTATGCAAATCACTGAACAGTTTTAAACCGGGGCATACTATGATCAGTTTTGCATTTTCGTTTTCAAAGTTCTTTCTGATAGCAGAATGGAAGCAATACAGACAGACTAGGACACATAATAAAATACTTCAGCTAAGACAAACTATTATGCTTGCACATAATTGGCACTGAATAACTGTTGAATGAATACAGGAATGAAGAATGAATAGAGTTCAATATTTGTACTCTTGACATATCACACACATATATACAGCTATAGAGACACAGTACAAATAAAAGCCCTTTCTTGAGAGGAGGGACTTGAGAGTATTGACATGATCAAAGCTGCACTTTAAACGAATTATTCTGGCTGTAATGTGCAAGGTGAACTAACAAGGGTGCAGGCTGGAGCACACAGTAGCACCTGATCAATGATGCTGCAATGAAGTCTGGGCGTGGTGGCTCAAGCCTGTAATCCCAGCACTCTGGGAGGCTGAGGCGGGCAGAAACGCTGGCGTTTGAGACTAGCCTGGGCGACATGATGAGATACCATCTCTTAAAAAAAAAATACAAAAATTATCAGGGTGTGGTGGTATGTGCCTGTAGTCTCAGATACTTGGGAGGCTGAGGCATGATCGCTTAAGCCTGGGAGGTTGAGGCTGCAGTGAGCCATGATCTTGCCACTGTACTCCAGCCTGGGTGACAGAGTGAGACCCTGCCACCCTCACCCACACCACCAAAAAAAAAAAAAGGAAGAATGCTGCAAGGGGGATGAGGAAGAGAGAACACATTTAAAAGATACTGTGATTGGGTGGGCGTGGTGGCTCACGCCTGTAATCCCAGCACTTTGGGAGGCCAAGGTGGGCGGATCACTTGAGGTCAGGATTTCAAGACCAGCCTGGCCAACATGGCGAAACCCTGTCTCTACTAAAAATACAAAAAATTAGCTGGGTGTGGTGGCACATGCCTGTAATCCCAGCTACTCTAGAGGCTGAGGCTGGAGAATCACTTGAACCCAGGAGGCGGAGGTTGCAGTGAGCTGAGATCATGCCACTGCACTCTAGCCTGGGTGACAAGAGTGAAAACTCCGTCTCAAAAAAACAAGAAAAAGATACCATGATCATGAAGAGATTAAGAGAGAATTGAAGCATTTGCTGGAGAGGGATGAAATATTAAGAAGATTTTTTTTTAAAGGAGTGTCTTGAGCATGATTATACACTGTGGGGAAGGAGTTGGAGAAGAAGACATGACAAAAATGTTGGAGAAGGTATGAGAGAGGATGGAATCTGGAGTTTAGATTCTTCATTCACTGGTTGTGTGGCTGGAGCAAGTAACGTCAATTCTTTGAACTTCAATGTGTTCACTTGTAAAACTGAGATAATTTCTGTTTTCTGGAATGATGTAGGACACTAGAATAATAGGCATTCAACAAAAAGTAGCTGTTTAGCTATTACTATTAATGTAAGGGCATAACTTTCAGGTAGGCGAAAAGACACTAAGTGGGTGGAGGAAGTTTAGGGGGGCAGAAAGGAAAATGAACAGAGTTCACACCTATTTTCTATAAATATGTCAAGAAGAGAATACAGAAGAGAGTCCTAGAGAAGGGGTTTAAAAGGGAGTGATAGGCCAGGCATGGTGGCTAAGGCCTGTAATCCCAACATCTTGGGGAGCCGAGGCAGGAAGATCGCTTGAGTCCAGGAGTTTAAGACCAGCCTGGGTAACATAGGGAGGCCCTGTCTCTAATTTTTTTTTTTTTTTTTTAAAGACAGAGATTGGGGAAAGCATATAATAGCTGTGGTGGTCATTCAGAGAATAAACTGACTAACTGTGGACATCTAAAGAAATTTTTAATTGGTTTTAAAAGATCAGAGGAGAGAATCAAAGTACTCTCCATTTCTTTCTCATAAAAAATAGCAAGTGGAGGAGTTTGGAATTACTATTTATCATGTTCTCAAGATATCTTTTCCTATACCAGAATTATTTTATACTTTTTTTTTTTTTTTTTTTTGAGACAGAGTCTTGGTCTGTCACACAGGCTAGAGTGCAGTGGCACAATCTTGGCTCACTGCAACCTCTGTCTCCCGGGTTCAAGTGATTCTTGCGCCTCAGCTTCCAGAGTAACTGGGATTACAGGTGGCGTGTTTTAAAACCTGTCCAGAGAAGCTCTTTAAAATTGCTGTTGGCCAGATTTGGAAGCTAACGCCTGTAATCCCAACACCTTGGAAGGCCCAGGTGGGAGGATCGCTTGAGGCTAGGAGTTTGAGAACAGCCTGGGCAACATAGAGAGACCCTGTTTTTATAAAATAATAACAATTAACTGGACGTGGTGGCCCACACCTGTAGTCCTAGATACTCAGGAGTCTGAGATGGGAGGATAGCTTTAGCCCCAGAGTTTGAAGCTGCAGTGAGCTATGACCTTGCCACTACACTCTAACCTGGGTGGACAGAGTGACACCCTGTCTCAAAAAAATAAAAATAATGAATAAATAGATACATTGTTGTTACAAGAAATCTATTACAATAGAAATGGGAGACAGGTGATAGGACAGGAGGAAGTTAATAGGTGTATGAAGAAAAGAGTCTTCTCTTTTGAATTATTTCATATATAGAGGACAAAAGAAAACTTCCTCTTCACCCTCTGAAAGTTCACTGAAAATCACTGACAAGAGGCAGATTAATGGGAGAAAAGGCAAGCAAATTTATTTGATCATAGTTTTACGTGACACGGGAGCCTTCAGAATGAAGATCCACAGATGCAGGGGAAACAGTTCAATTGTATGCTTAGGTTCAAGAAAGTATGGACAGCTGTTTTAAAATATGATTGGACAAAAGGGTTGTGATCTAATTTTTTTTTTTTTTTGAGACATAGTCTTGCTGTGTCCAGGCTGGAGTGCAGTGTGCGGTGGGGCAATCTTGGCTTACTGCAAAATCCGCCTCCCAAATTCAAGTGATTCTCATGCCTCAGCCTCCTGAATAGCTGGGATTACAGGCATGCACCACCATGCCTGGATAATTTTTGTATTTTTAATAGAGACGGGATTTTGCCATGTTGGCCAGGATAGTCTTAAACTTCTGACCTCAAGTGATCCACCCACCTCGGCTTCCCAGAGTACTGGGATTATAGGCATTAGCCACTGTGCCTAGTCCATGATCTAATGTTAAGGGACTGAGTTGTAAAACCCAGCAAGATCTGTCTATCTAGATTCTTCTTGACCTCTCTGAGCATGCATTTCTTCCTTCTGAGTATGGGGCAGGACCCCCTCTGGAATGGGGGTCTTATAACCTATAGTAAAAAAAAAAGTTTGATAATTTTGTTATGGCTAGTTTTTACACAGAAAGACAGGAAGAAAGTTACAGTAATATTTTCAGGTTTTATGGCTGCCTTTGGGAAAAAGGGGACCAGGTTTCTGTGACTGGCATTAAGGAAGAGGGATTCTAGTTTCTATGGCTATCCTCAGGGGAGAATGAAAGGCCAGAGGCAGAAGGGCAGAAGGTCAGAGAGAGCTACTTCTGAAGCCTTCATTTTCGGGTATCATTTTTGAGACCCTATACATACTTGGTTTCTTATTCTAAGGCTTCTGTGACCTTTTATCATCCTAATGATAGGCATTATGAATCTAAAGATAGCTGATTAAATGTATACCGTTTCATAGAAAAATTGAGTCAAAAGACATGATATGGTGGGGAAAACAATAGTATTTATTGTACAATTTGGCTGTGTTAGACACATTGATTTCTTTTCCCAGAGTCTCCTATTTTCACAACAAATGTTCTCTCATCACCATGGTTACTATGGGAGCAACCATTATTAGAGCTGCCTCATATTATTATATCTTATGAAGCTGTTAGTATCTCTTTCAACTCCACATTCAGTGATATCACATTGGTAGCTTGAAACTAACCATAGTGAGAATATTTACACTTCATATTGGCAAGGGGCAAGAGGCAAATTGACACCTCCTCCCTCCCCACTCCAACAGCCAACTGTTACATATTGTCAGCACATCACTGCATTTAGTATTCGATAATTGTCCCTTTGGCTATAAACACTTACACAGAGATGGGCACCTGACTCCGGCTGAACCAACCAGACCTTTTCCTGCAATTCATGAAACTAGAACTGAGAATAAAAGCCAAATACTCTCCAGTGGCAGACACAGTAATAAGTAAATCTTAGGACATGTTGGAGAGAAAAGGGGGAATGTATATGTCAATTAGGTCGGAGAGTTAACAACAACAGACCTACAAAGAGAGAAATAAAAATGAAATAGAAGTACAAAGGTAGGCTGGGAGCGGTGGCTGACGCCTGTAATCCCAGCACTTTGGGAGGCTGAGGTGGGTGGATCACCTGAGGTCAGGAGTTCAAGACCAGCCTGACCAACATGGGAAGCCCTGTCTCTACTAAAAATACAAAGATTAGCTGAGTGTGGTGGCAGGTGCCTGTAATCCCAGCTACCTGGGAGGGTGAGGCAGGAGAATTGCTTGAACCCAGGAGGTGGAGGTTGCAGTGAGCCAAAATGGCGTCACTGCACTCCAGCCTGGGCGATAGAGCGAGACTCCATATTTAAAAAAAAAAAATAAGCAGAGATGAGAGATGGTGAGATAATTTAGGAATATTTAAGCTACTCTTCTATTCCTAAAAACACCTCCATTTCTATTCATGGGTTCCACTAGACACTTCATTTTCATTATAACAAATTCTTCTTTGTGCTAATTTAATTCAAATAAGATTTCTGAACTTTACAAGCTAAAAGAGTCTTAATTCATATGTGGGTCCTCAAATATCTGCTCTTTTAATCTGAAAGTCTCTCAAAGTCTCTTACGTAGTGGTGCTGAAAAAGGTTCCTCTTTGCTGTGGCAGGATAGCCACCAGGCTATCAACTGAGAATTTGATTTCTGTGCTGTTTCTATAAATCAGGTGGAACCAATCCTACCTCTTTGCAATTTGGTCTCTTATCATTCTTTTTACAAAATAACAAATTAATGTTCTCTAACTTTAAAAGTTTTCTGTAATTTTTAATTTTAAAATAAGCTTCTTCTTATGCTTGAAGTTTTAATCTTCTGTATCATAAATATACCACCTGGATTATGAAAAAGAGGGATAATATTTATAACCTTTTTGCTCACCTCAAAACTGCTGTTTACATAAAGCCATACTTACCCCAAGTCAAGACTGCAGGGTACAGTCGTGCGAGTTGTGTTCTTTGCAAAGAGAAGACTTTGTGTCCTGTACAGGACTACCCTGCAGTCTTGGTACAGTTGTTCAGGCCGTGAGTGAGTAGAGGCCCATCATGGGGTTAGGGGCTCAAGCTCTCCAACTTTGTCATGGGCCTACCAACCTACCTGACACTACCCAATAGTGAACTTGCTCTTCTATAAATTCTTATAAATTAGTTACCATCCTTTATAGCACATTCATTTGCTAAGTTTCATTTCCCCTTTATTACATAGTGAAATATCTTGAGGATGGGAAACTGCATTTTATTATTCCTCCAGGTGCCTAGAACTGAGACATTTGATTTGGCCAATGAATACCTGATAAATGAAATAATGTGTTTATAAGTGAGCCATTGTACATCAAAATAGCACAAACCTTTAGGTGTGTTATATTTTGTTTATTATGTAAACATCACTTTCACTACAACTGAAGAGCTCTGTATTACAGCAATATCTATGGGCCAAAACTCTGAGCTAAATAGGCCATGAAAAATGGTATAAGAAAATATCCAACTTACAAAAGAGTAATACAGGCACAACTTAATCTCAAACTGAGACCAAAATATAACTAGTTATTTATTGAAACATAAAGTACTTTGCCTCATTGAATATGTATGTGCCAGGTAAGGGAAATAAGCATTCTAATCAAATTGCAATGCAGGATTGGAGCAAGTCAAAGGGAAGACCAATCATTTGCAAATAGAGGAAATTAATTCCATTAAGTATGCCACAAAAATTCTGGCATTGAAAAATTCAAAAATTTTAGCTCTGTGAACTTGAAAAATATCTAGAACCATTGTTCTAAATAGACATATTTTACTCAGTTCTCTATGTGGGCTCTATTGATAGGCCATTCTTCCCAAGTTCTTATTCTAAGATTCTGATCAGTATGTATCAAGAAGCAGGAACAACTCCAATCTGTGGTTACATTCAAAGCAGGATGTGTTGATTTAACTCCAAAGATTGGACTACTGGGAGCCATATAATCAATAACCTCCAGTGATCATATTTCAGTATCTCTGCCAACTTAATTAATGTCCTTGGGCATGGATTTCTGTGTACAATATGTGCATACTGGAGCATCAATCACTCTAGATAGACCTGAATGCTTGATCTTGATTTTAGATTCCTAGGATATACTACCAGTATATCACGGGCAATAGAGAGTCTCTGGGATAAAAATTATTTGGATAGAAGCTTCTTCTCCTGCTCTCCCTTGGCCAAAATTTTCATGTTGACTAATTGCAATCTATTGATGGTTAGAATCTTACTTGAGTGCCAGTGAACTTCATTTCTGATGGGAAGATTGCCTACAAAATGGGCTCTGAATTTTCAGATAATTTTATTATTAATTCCATAGTTTAGGCCCAAGAATTAGCTTGAACCCAAGTGCACAGAGCTAAATTACCTAGTTTGTGTCACTGAAGTAATTCATTGAGAATCAAAGTCTCTGAAGGTGAACAGTATCAATTTCATTATATATAGAGGAAAATAAGCACATCAGATAAACTATTTTCTAAGCAAAAATGTCAAATTTCCTGCAGGAACCACAGCTGGGCCCTGGGCTCAATTCCTTGGAACATGCCAGTCTGACACAAGGAGTAATCAATGGCCCTTGGAGTCCTGTCCTACCTATGAAAGAAATAGGTGAAATTTCTCTATTATTCCTTCCTTCTGACTATAATCTTCTCTCACTGCCCGCTCCTCTTTAGGGATCCTCCATTTCCCAATTGCCTGCATTTTGATACTTGATACTCTGAAGAACATGGAGTAAATCAACAAACTAATTCACTAAGATGGTAATGACTAATTATATTTATTAAAGTTTCTGATCTTGTGTCCCCTTTACTATTATGGAAGGAGCTCCTAGACCTCTGAAGTGAATGAGAGGGGGACCCCAGGACCTAGAAGCACGCACCTTAGCATGAATAACACTCCCTTAGTGAGCCAAATGCACACCTGGGCCTGTCTCTCTCAGCATGACTTTCCAAGCCTACACCTCTTTTGTTCCCCCTACAAACAGCCCTCTGGCAAGCCCTCTCTCCCTAGCTCAGCCAAACATATCTGGCTTCCTCTTAAACTCAACCTGACACTTAAGAAAAATATACACACAAACACACAGGCACAGGTACAAACTCACACATGCACGTAACATCACAAAGAAACCTAGAAAACAGTGGGGACTGTTTGAAGGGAGGGGTATTTTCTTCTCTTTGTTTATCTATCTTTTCTAAATTTTTGTGGAGTTGATTTGAATTACTAATTCAATTTGAATATCTAATAACAAAATAAAGATGTGATTTTTAAATAAAAAAGACATTAATAACTAAAACATATTATCTCCCTCTCACATCCCTATTTTTTTTTTTTTTTTTTTTTTTTGAGAGGGAGTCTGGCTCAGTTGCCCAAGTTGGAGTACATGGTGAGATCTCGGCTCACTGCAACTCCACCTCCTGGGTTCAAGAGACTCTCCTGCCTCAGCTTCCCAAGTAGCTGGGATTACAGGTGCACGCCACCACACCCGGCTAATTTTTGTATTTTTAGTATAGGCAGGATGTCAGGCTGATCTCGAACTCCTGACATCAAGTGACCTCCCTCCTCAGCCTCCCAAAGTGCTGGGATTACAGGCGTGAGCCACTGCGCCTGGCAACACAGATGATAATTTAACTGCTCCCCCCTCCTCCAGTGCCACATCCTTCCCAGGATATCTGTTTCCCAAGATTTACCCTCTTATGGTCACTTTACTCTCCAATCTCTAGTACCAAGCAAATCTCAAATCACCCCCTACGGTTTTTCCTCTCAGCTCCACAGGAACCCAAGTGTGGAATTCAGCCACTTTTCCTTGATTTTTATTAAAAAACTTTTCTATACTGCAGACTTTAGTGGAGGTTCTGGGGAAATGCATAAAGTTTATGTCAATGCTGCATGAATAATCTAAAATTGCTACTAGGCTTACTTGTTTTTAAAAATGTACACTCAACATGTCTGCTGACTTGGGTGCAATCTCTAGCTGTGTTGCTCAGCTGGTGTGCTTTTCCCTCTGTCATTCCTACTTGATTGTCATTGGCAATTCCTCCCTCTCATGGCCTCCAAGTCTCTCCCTATAGCCTCTACCCTACCTGAGATCTCGCCTTTCACATCCCAAGGCTCATCCTTCCATATGCTCTGCTTCCCCATGGGCATGATCTCTCCTCCACCCATCTCTGCAAAGAAAAGGGACCAATGTGGAGATTATTTCTCTGCTGATATGAAGTATGCTGCCCCTCTCCTGAAGTTAATTTCAGTTTCATGTCACATTTTTTTTTCCTTTGTAACTTTGGTCATTGTTAAGACTTAGTACAGGTTTGGTTTCCTTGAACTAATTTTCCTGACCCACTACCCCTAACCTTCCTATCTCCACCCTATTCTCATCAGGGTAAAGTGTCTATCTTTTTGCAAGATACTAATAATACATGTTTTAGAAACCTCTTCTCTCCTAGAAGACTACATAATTCTCAAATAAAGAAACCAAATCTTATATGTTTATTTAATGCCTCATTTCCTGACAACATCCCTTTGATAATTATGTGCATAATAAATGTATTTTAAAATTTTCATACCTTAGAAAAATTTGCATGTCGAGAGGGCAATCTTTAATGTCTTTTTAACCCTTGGAACTCCTAATTATTCATCAAGATTTAGCTTAATTTTCTGTCTTTCATGAAACTTTCTCTGAGTCCCTATAATACTTTATTCCCACCTTTATTATAACAATACAATATTTTCTTTTCTTTTTTCTGGGCATGGGGGTGGACAGAGTTTTGCTCTTGTTGCCCAGGCTGGAGTACAATGGCACAGTCTCGGCTCACTGCATCCTCTGTCTCCCTGGTTCAAGCGATTCTCCTGCTTCACCCTCTGGAGTAGCTGGGATTATAGGCGCCCGCCACCATGCCCATAGTTTTTGTATTTTTAGTAGAGATGGGGTTTTACCATTCTGGCCAGGCTGGTCTCAAACTCCTGACCTCAAGTGATCGACCAGCCTCGGCCTGCCAGTGTTGGGATTACAGGCTTGAGCCACCGCACCTGGCCAAAATTATTCTTCTTTAATGAGCAGGTTGTCGAATGAATTTAGAAATTTTATTAACCTTCACAATTTTGGCGTAAGAGCCTGTTCAAACACAGCTGCACTAAGCTAAATTACACAATCTAAATCATTAAAGTAGTTGGATAAGTGTCAAAACTTCTGGAGGGATTCCACATTGACTTCATTTTACTTAAAGCACATTTCAAAGCGAACAGGCGTTGGTAACAAAGATCTCTACTAGAACTGAACAGCAATACCCCCAAGGTATGCCTGTATGTAGTGTTTCACTAACATTTCTGGCCACAGAGCCATTTGTTCATTACAAACTTTTCTAGGGACACAGTTTGGGGTGGTTTTCTATTAAATATGTCTTATATGGCCGGCTTTCTTTTTCCTAGATACCACAATCTTCAGTGTGAGTTCATTTTTTCTCAGATTTCTCTATATGTCTTCATTGTCAATCCATTCTTTTTATTGGTAAGCTTAAATTCAGAGCAACCCCGTTAGTTCCTTTATCATTGTTCTCAACTGGAGTTGTTGTTTTGTGATTGGAAATATGTGGGGTTGTGCAACTAGCCACCAGGGAAGATGAATGCCCTGCAATTAGCCAAACAGTCCCGCAACATGGAGAATTGCTCCCCCTAAAATGTTTTCTCTCTGATATAAAGTTATAAGCGAAAGTCAAGAGCTTTTCAATTGCTGCATTACTAGTTGAATAAGACATCTGCATGCCTGGATAGTGCAAATTACCTATCTTTTTTTTTTTAAATCTCTGTGCCACTTATGAACATTGCAAAAGATATTGCTTACTTTCTGTATTGGGTCACACGACCTCTGCATAGTATTCCTCTTCAAAGGTACTGCAAATATCAGTTTTGATAGAAAAATATCAAAAGTAGCTCTCTGACCTAAGTGCTTCCCATTTATTCTACTTGCCTTATACCCCTTTCCTGGCCTGCCAGATGCTTTTAAGAACCTATTTTTGAGAACTGCCAAGTATTATTTTACCCATTTTACAGAAGAAAGTGAGACTTACAGAGATTAAGTCAATTGCTCCCTCAAGGTCACAGAGACAGCAGGTTCCAGAGGTGAGCTTCAAACCCAAGCATTCTGACTCCAAACTTCAGGTGCTTAACTGCTATGTCTGAGTTGTTATTTATATTATGTTTTTCAGTCATATTTGACTCCTTTTACATCATTGTGGAATGCATCCAAATGATTTTGGGATTACTTCTTCATCTTAAATGTCTGAAGCTGTACTCAATTCTCAGCCTAGATACTCGCTATATTAATATGAGTATGTCGCTTATCTTCTTTGTATCTATCACTAAAAGAAAGCAATTGTGCTAGAAATTTGCTCTCCAGTGTCTCTTGATATTAACTTTAATAATTCCATCAACAATATCTAGACCTTTTTATTCTCAAGACATATAATTTTCAATTATGCCATATCAAAACATAATTGATATGATTGCATAATATCTTTTTGTTACTATTTTAAAAAATTGTTTCCACCAGGAAGTGAAGGTAGGTGTCATAAGTGCTATCTGGCTTGGTGCAGTGGCTCATGCCTGTAATCCTAGCACTTTGGGAGGCCAAGGCAGGTAGATCGCTTGAGCTCAGGAGTTCAAGACCAGCCTGGGCAAGATGGTAAAACTTCATCTCTACAAAAAAAACCCACAAAAAATTAGCCTGGCATGGTGGCGCATGCCTGTAGTCTCAGCTACTTGTGGGGCTGAGGTGGGAGGATCACTTGAACCTGGGAGGCAGAGGTTTCAATGAGAGCCAAGATGGCACCACTGCACTCCAGCCTGGGGAAGACTGAGACCTTGTCTCAAAAAAAAAAAAAAAAAAGTGCTATCTGACAGGCTTTGGCCCATTGTAGTAATCTACAAGTCTACCAAATTTAGATCTTATATTGTAATATCTTCTTTCCCCTGATCCCCAAATTCCCTTCATAATTCTCATTATTTCATTGACAAAAGCCCAAGGATGAACAAATTGTTTTCTTTTGAGGTAAAACAAAACAGATCTAATAATTGCGTATGTTTATGCTTGATAATAATAATAATATATTTTATGAACATCCCTCCCAAGTCCCGATTGCACTGTTTTGATATTCAGTCACGGTATCTTTATTCATAGCCTGCCTTTAATGAGAATAGTAGAGGTCTTTGTGCATAAACACAAGAAGTACAGTGCTATTTTCATAGTGTTTAAGAAGTACTTATTATAAAATAATGTACTCTGTGTTTTATAAAAGGATCAAACAGTAAAGAAATATAAAAAATGAGAAGTTTCCCATTTCCTCTAAAATATCTGCTTTTGCTGAATCTCCTTCCCAAGAAGAATTAATAATTCTTCTGTAAGTGTTATGATATTTTGTTGTATGCAACATAATTTATATGAAAAATTAGCACACACCTCAAACTATATACCATTTATTGGATTTAAAGTGGCTATCATTTAATCATTTAAAAAGCTTTTTTTCTAAATACAGTTGTCTTTCTAAAATGTTTAAATTAGGGTTTTTGGTAGTATTATTATTGTTGAAAAGGTAATATGTGCCCATGATATAAAACTTGAACACAAAAGAGAATAAAATGTAAAGAAAATCACCTTTCCACTGCAGATCCATAGTCTCTATGACCAGAAGGATTTTTATACATATGAAATCATAAATATCTGTCTGAAAATAATGCAACATAGTATATATTCTTTTGAAAAAGTGGAAGCATGATGTATACGTTACTTTGCTTTGCTGTCTTAGATATTAGAGATCAATAGGCCAGGTGTGGTGGCTCATGCCTGTAATACCAGCACTTTGGGAGGCCAAGGCTGGTGGATCACTTGAGGCAAGGAGTTCGAGGCCAGCCTGGCCAACATGGTGAAACCCATCTCTACTAAAAATACAAAAATTAGCCAGACATGGTGGCTGCATCTGTAGTCCCAGCTACTTGGGAGGCTGAGGCAGAAGAATCTCTTGAAACCTGGAGGCAGAGGTTGCAGTGATTCGAAATGGCACCACTGCACTCCAGCCTGGGTAACAGAGCGAGACTCTGACATACCAGCACATCTCAATCTCTTCCTGCTTCTTGGCCATACTGTAGCCATCACAGAGTAGTATCATAACCAGTTAACCAGTCTTTTAAGAATGAATAATTAAGCCATTTTTCACTCTTTTGCTATTAAAAATAGTAACGTAGGTTTAAAAAGCATCCTTGCTCATCTCTGTACACATATTAAGAATATATCTAAAGGATAAATTCCTGCAAGTAAAATTTTCTACAAAAGAAATTGCTGAGTCATAGAAAGGGGATATTTTAAATCCTTGATACATATTAAGCTGCATCCAATAAAGTTTTCTCAGTTTAAGAGAGTAAAAAAGGCCTGATTTATAGCATTTGTATTGGGTGCTATCTTTTTTTTTTTTTTTTTTGAGATGGAGTCTCACTCTGTGGCCCAGGCTGTAGTGCAGTGACATGATCTCGGCTCACTGCAACCTCCGCCTCCTGGGTTCAAGCGATTCTCCTGTCTCAGGCTCCCAAGGAGCTGGGATTACAGGTGTGCACCACTACGCCCAGCTAAGTTTTGTGTTTTTTGTAGAGATGGGGTTTCACCCTGCTGGCCAGGCTGGTCTCGAACTCTTGACTTCAGGTGATTCGCCCACCTCGGCCTCCCAAAGTGCTGGGATTAATAGGCGTTAGCCAATGCACCCAGCCTAGTGCTGTCTTCTGAATGATTCTTTATTACAGTACACTAAATAAAATGTCTGTATTTATGCAACTCAGGGTTTGTCAGCAAATATTAGGAGGTAAAACTAATTGGAACTGTTTTAGACCCTTTTGGCCCCTAAATGCCATATCATATTACACAAAAATACCCACCTATAGTTATACATAAATATTGAGGTGAGTTGCAGTTGATGTTATATTTTTAAAAGAAAAATATTAATTAAATATGTATTAATATACATTAGTGTTTTGAAGTCTATCCATTTTTTCCCCCAGCCATACAAAGTTTGGTAGGATTCTAAAAGCTTGTAGGCCCTCAAGCACCACTCCTCTAGTGCTTAATGGGTTAAATGTCCCTAAAGCTAATTTGAAAAGCAAATTGCCTCATTCTTTCTCTTCATATCTTTCTTTCAAACTGTAAATTTTAAGAGCTGTTTATTCCTTATTCTCCTTGTTCTTAATTTGTTTAATAAAGTTTTAGATCTTTAGCGAATATTTTGCAACAACAGAAATATCCCCAAATTTCCTGGTGCTAGAAAACAGCCACAATAGTAAGTAGGTCAAGTCTGTATTGCTTAGGGAACAGGGAGATTTTTGTTTTAAAGCAGTGATTCTTCTGAGAGTAGGGCTCTGGGCGCAGGTGAGTGGTAAACAATCCTTTTTCCTGCAGGGATGTTGCTGTTGTGTAAAAGCAAAAGCATTTTGTGTAAGGATGTTAGGCTCCAGTAAGTATTTCAAAGCCACATTATCTTTCTCATTAGGGGGAGTTTCTCTCTGTACTTTAAAAGAAGATAATGATGCTTGAAAAAGCTCAAGATTGACTAACTTTTAGGAAGCTGCCAGAGTTGTGCATAGACGTCCTCACTACAGTAGCTTCGTTATGTCTTACGAACAATTTAACCTTCACTTCTAGTCATCGTTTCGTCATCGTAAGCACTGGGTCATTACAGAGTTCAGTGTACCTAAAACGCAAGCTGTGACTGATGAGAATCCAAGCTGCAAACTGGGCGGCTTGGGCAACTGTTTTCTTAACCACCCTCCACGTTGTGGCTTACGTCTTTTAGCACCGCCCTCAGGGCAAAGGATGGTGGTCAGAGGTAACTACCACAGTAAAAGAAGGCTATTTATGTGGTCTGTTTACAGTTACCCGGTTTCAACACTAAGCCAGCTTTCCGCCACGTCTCGGGCGAACCTCCGGCCTGAGGTCACAGAGACGCCCGGGTGGCTCTCAGGAGCCAGCATGGCAGCCTCCTCAGGACGGGTACTCAGGAATTTCGCCCGCAGGGACTAACACCACTTGGACCCAGGGACTCCAGCTTCACTCCGCTTTGTGCACTGGGTGGGGCGGTCGCGGTGACGTTTCAGGCAACGCCTCTGCTGTCAGCCAATAAGGAGCGGGAGACGCGTCGGGCCTGCGCTCAATGGGCCGCGCTGGTCCCGCCCCACTGTGATCGTGAGACTGCAGACCCGCTAATAAAATCCACCCCAACAATCGCTGTGTGCCGCTTTAGTGCGCTCGCCGTCGGCTCTACCTGCGTGCTTTAGCTCCTTCTCGCCTGATCCTTCTGTCTCTCCCAACCCCGGACACCCGGCTTCGACTGGTTATATCTTCGGTGTTCTTTTCCTCTCTTCTTCTTTCGCGGTTCAGCATGCAGGAAAAAGACGCCTCCTCACAAGGTTTCCTGCCACACTTCCAACATTTCGCCACGCAGGCGATCCATGTGGGCCAGGATCCAGAGCAATGGACCTCCAGGGCTGTAGTGCCCCCCATCTCACTGTCCACCACGTTCAAGCAAGGGGCGCCTGGCCAGCACTCGGTGAGCTGGGTCTGTCTGGGGCTGTCCACAGTTGGGCGGTAAAAGAGATACGGCTTATGAATTTGAAAGGCATGTAAGTAATTTATAATATGACTTATAAATTAGGAAGGCAACCGAAAGATGTTTCTACACTGTAATTCTTGCAGCACAGCTTTGTATCGGATGGTCCAGTGATCGTATTTCTTTTGATAAGCAGGACTGGAAGGAGCCGTTTGTCCAGCTTGCCATTTAGATTTGGCCTGAAATTCAGGTGATTTTGACAAATTTGCAATTAAAAATCGAAGGTCATAACTTTTTTGAGTTACCTTTAGCAGCATAAATTTTAAAGATGTAGTACGGAGTCAGCTTAAAAAATATTAAGGGTCTGATAACTTGACTAGAATTAAGATTGTTTCCAGTAGCTGTATGAATAGTTATTGAGTACCTACTATATGCCAAATACGTGCTCGTATATATCATGTGTATTACATGTATTGTCTCATCTAATCCTAACAACAACCCTAGTCTGAACCGAATTCTCATTTTTTCCCAATAAAGAAGCTGAGATTTAGGGAGTTAAGTAACTAGCCTTAGACTAGTAAGTATTGGAGATGGAATTCAAACTTTAGAAACTTGAGGTTGCTTTAGGAACCAACTCCTAGGCACTCAGCTACACTATGCTATCTCTAATAATGCTAGTAACAATTTAGCCTATTGCGTCATTTAAGCACTGTGGCTTAGTGATTAAGAACACAACTCATGACCGGGTGCAGTGGCTTACGCCTGTAATCCCAGCACTTTGGGAGGCTGAGGCGGGTGGATCACCTGAGGACAGGAGTTCGAGCCCAGCCTGGCCAACATGGTGAAACCCCATCTCTACTAAAAATAAATAAATTAGCTGGGCATGGTGGCGGGTAATCTCAGCTACTCGGGAAGCTGAGGCAGGAGAATCGCTTGAACCCAGGAGGCAGAGGTTGCAGTGAGCCAAGATCTCACCATTGTGCTCCAGCCTGGGTGACAAGAGTGAAACTCCAACTCAAACAACAACAGAAAAAGAGAACACAAATCTTATAGTCAAAGGCTAGGTTTGCATTCTGACACCACTTCTTCTGAGCTGGGGGACCTTGGGCAAGTTAGTTAACCTATCAAAACCTCTGACTGATCCTGTATAAATGGGGATAATAATAGTATCTACCACATAAGTTGTTGAGATGTATTTAAGGCTGTATAGTACATAATAATTACTCGATGGTAATTTGTTTTTTCATGATGTTCACATTTACACTATTTCCATTTGATCCTCACAACAACCAGGTCAGAAGGCAGGACAGGTATTATGTACTTTTTATAGAAAAGGAACTGACACAGAGTCATACATGAATGATCTGTAAAGCCTACGAAGGAGCCCTCTTTGTTAATCACATAGCTTTTTTCCCCCTTTTGGTGGCATACTTGATGGATCTTAGAGAATTTAAAAGTTGCTGAGATTTGTAAGAATTAGTTAAAGTCTGTAAGTCCAAAGCCTTGATTATGCTTTGGAAACCACTTCAGTGTGTTATATAAGTTGAGGAAAATCCTTACAGACAGTCCCTTGTTTTGTGAGATACAGTTCTAAGGCCATTTCTACAACTGGTTTAGAATACTCTTTACTGTATTTTAGAATCAAAATATGTACACAGCCTCTCTTTCTTTCTTTCTTTTTTTTTTTTTTTTATTTTTCAGAGAGAGTCTTACTCTGTCACCCAGGCTGGAGTGCAGTGGTGCGATCTCGGCTCACTGCAACCTCCGCCTCCCGGGTTCAAGCGATTCTCCGGCCTCAGCCTCCTAAGTAGCTGGGATTACAGGCGCCTGCCACTGCGCCTGACTCATTTTTTATTTTTTTTAGTAGAGACGGGGTTTCACCATGTTGGCCAGGCTGCTCTTGAACTCCTGACCTCGTGATTCACCCGCCTTGGCCTCCCAAAGTGCTGGGATTACAGGTGTGAGCCACGGCGCCCGGCTCACAGCCTCTCTTTCAAACATGCAGTTCGTTTCTTGTGTAGGGTTTAATGAAAGTGTAGCTGCCCAAGCTTTGGAACTTAGTGCAAAAGTTTACCATTCAGGTGTGATATTAATAATTAAATGTTTCCAGGAAGCCAGCAGGGATGGTTAAATCCACAAAAACTCTGCTTAATATCTTTTTTTTTTTTTTTTTTTTGAGACAGAGTCTTGCTCTCTTGCCCAGGCTGGAGTGCAGTGGTGCGATCTTGGCCCACTGCATCCTCCACCTCCTGGGTTCAAGTAATTCTCCTACCTCAGCTTCCCGAGTAGCTGAGATTACAGCTGCCCGCCACCATGCCCAGCTAATTTATTTATTTTTAGTAGAGACGGGGTTTCACCATGTTGGCCAGGCTGGTCTTGAAATCCTGACCTCAGGTGATTCACCTCTGAAAGTGCTGGGATTACAGGCATGAGCCACCGCGCCCGGCCCTTTTTAAAAATCAGCTAAGACCACTAAAGGGAATTTGAAGAGCTGAATGAGAAACGGGAGGTACCTTTCTGTGGCAGAAGCCACGTGAATCCAAACTTTTTTTTTTTTAATCTGCAGGGTACAGCTGCAGGTCATGGTAAGAAGGTGATGGTGGGGAGGGGTAAGGATATCCTGGAGCCCTATAAAATATGTCTGCTCAGGTTGGGCGCGGTGGCTCACGCCTGTAATCCCAGCACTTTCGGAGGCTGAGGCGGGTGGGTCATGAGGTCAGGAGATGAAGACCAACCTCCCCAACGTAGTGAAACCCCATCTCTACTAAAAAAGTACAAAAATTAGCTGTGTGTGGTGGCGTGCCTGTAGTCCCAGCTACTCTGGAAGCTGAGGCAGGAGAATCGCTTGAACCCGGGAGGTGGAGGTTGCGCCACTGCACTCCAGCCTGGCAACAGAGCGAGACTCCCTTTCAAAAAAAAAAAAGTCTGCTCAACTTGTCATAAACAAGGGCACATAGCAACAAAACTTTTAGAAGTTATTGTTGTTAATACTGGGAGCTTCTGAATCAGAAACAAAGGTGAAAGAGTGGTTGTGTTTTGTTATGTTATGTGAAGCAGAGGGAGAAAATTATAGGACTTCTAATTAATGTTCGAATCCTTGGTTCACAATCCGGTTTTGACACTCCCTAGGTACTATTGCATTTGGCTTCACTTTCCTCAAAGCCAGTCATAAGGATTAGTAGAATGACTGGATGAATATAGCTAGCAGGGTGCCATATATGTAAAAGGAGAATAATGCAATTTTTTTTTTTCCCGAGACAGAGTCTCGCTCTGTTGGCCAGCCTGGAGTGCAGTGGCACTATCTCGGCTCACTGCAACCTCCGCATCCTGGGCTCAAGCAATTCTCCTGCCTCAGCCTCCCGAGTAGCTGGGATTATAGGAATGCAAATTTTTAAAAAGTATTGTGTGGAGCTGTTTTGCCAGGAATTGCTCCCTATGCTTTGAGCCACTTTTGTAGAGCCAAGATGTGAATGAATGTTGAGCATTGGTAGGATGTGATCATAACTTCCTGTTGTATGCTAAATAGAACTTGAATCAGCCTGACAGATGGCTCACTCCTGTAATCTCAGCACTTTGGGAGACCAATGTGGGAAGATTGCTTGAGGTCAGGAGTTCAAGACCAGCCTGGGCAACATAGCTAGACTGCCTCTACAAAAAATAAAATTAAAATATTTGTTAGGCATGGTGACATGCACCTGTAGTCTTAGCTACTCAGGAGGCTGAGATCGGAGGATTGCTTAAGCCCAGGAGTTTGAGGCTGCAGTGAGCTATGATTGCCCCACCGTACTCTAGCCTGGGCAACAGAGTGAGGTCCTATCCTTAAAAAAAAAAACTTGTATCACTTAATCATTTATTTCTTAGGAAATGAAATACAGGTTAGAATTAGGTTTATTCTGTTGGCTCATGCAAGTCCCTTTTCCTAATGTTTCCAGATTAATGAAAAAAGGTGAGTCTAACATAATAAACATACTAATAATAAAAACTGTCATTTATTTAGTGATTAGCATGTGCCAGGAAACATGTAGTGAATTTGTGCATTATCTCATTTTATCTTCACAACAATTTTATGAACCAGATATCTGTATTTTATTCCCATTTTACAGATATTGAGATTGACTCTTGGAAATGTGAAGTAACTTACCTAGTGTCATGCAGCTCATAAGTGGCAGATACAGAATTCACATAGAGTTTGTTTGACTTCAGAGCATCTTGACTATAGCCACAGCACTGTTCTGCTTCTGTATTAAAGCAAGACATATCATGACTAAAGAATAGAAACTAATTATGGTAGGGTGAAACTATAGTTCTCTATGTTAGGACTCTGATAATAAACTGAAATCTCTTAGGATGAACTCGAACTTGTTTTTTTCAGGGTTTTGAATATAGCCGTTCTGGAAATCCCACTAGGAATTGCCTTGAAAAAGCAGTGGCAGCACTGGATGGGGCTAAGTACTGTAAGTAATTTCCATTTCACAGTCTAGAATCTATTTTTAAATGTATAGAGAAAACCATAGAGGCACAGAATGTGGAACTGAAAAGAAACAGATTTGCTAGTTCAAAATTCCTGTTCTACTGCCTTTGAATTCTTTGCCCAAGGTCCCTCAGTTGGTATAATATGCATATGTGTAATCATCAGGTAAAAATACGTATGAATAGAGGACAAATGAATAAAGGAAAAAATTCACACGAATACTACATTTATTAATACTACATTTATCATGTAGTATTCATGTGAAAACAATCTTCATCTGAAACTGTCAGTATAAATAAATAAATGGAAATTAAATTTAATAACACCACCTATTAGAATATAAAATCTTTTTTTGAGACAGGGTCTCTCATTCTGTTGCTCAGGCTGGAGTGCAGTGGCACAATCTCTGCTCATTGCAACCTCCTCCTCCAGGATTCAAGCGATTCTCCTGCCTCAGCCTCCTGAGTGGCTGGGATTGCAGGTGTGCACCACCACACCCTGCTAATTTTTTTTTTTTTTTTTTTTTGAGACAGAGTCTTGCTCTTGTCGCTCAGGCTGGAGTGCAATGGCAGGATCTCGGCTCACTGCAACCTCCGCCTCCTGGATTCAAGCAATTCTTCTCCTTCAGCCTCCCAAGTAGCTGGGATTACAGGTGCCTGCCACCACGCCCAGCTAATTTTTTGTATTTTTAGTAGAGATGGGGTTTCACCATGTTGGCCAGGCTGGTCTCGATCTCCTGACCTCGTGATCTCCCGCCTTGGACTCCCAAAGTGCTGGGATTACAGGAGTGGGCCACCACGCCCAGCCTTTTTTTTGTATTTTTAGTAGAGATGGGGCTATTTTGGCCAGGCTGGTCTGGAACTCTTGGGCTCAAGTGATCTGCCCACCTCGGCCTCCCAAAGTGCTGGGATTATAGATGTGAGCCACCACACTTGGCCTAAACTTGCTTATCCTCTGGTTTATTCACCTAATAATTTGTGCCTGAGAATAGCACTAAAGTTATTTTCAGTGGTCAATAACTCCTGATAATGTGCTGTCAGAGATTAGAGATTAACTCCCTAAACTTTTTTTTTTAATGAAGAGAGTCTTGTGTATTCATTGTGATTACACTTATCAGACAAATCTCAGGTCTGATTGCGAGTTTTGTTAAAATATTTACTGAATTGCATATTCATATAATTAACGTATGAATCATATCTTTGCTCTATTCTTTATGTTTGAAATTTCTCTTTTCTTTCTTTTTTTTTTGATATGGAGTCTCCCTCTGTCACCCAAGCTGGAGTGCAGTGGTGCAATCTTGGCTCACTGCAACCTCCACCTCCTGGGTTCAAGCGATTCTCCTGCCTCAGTCTCCCTCGTAGCTGGGATTACAGGCATGTGCCACCATGCCTGGCTAATTTTTGTATTTTTAGTAAACACAGAGTTTCACCCTGTTGGCCAGGCTGGTCACGAAATCTTGACCTCAAATGATCCACCTGCCTTGGGCTCCCAAAGTGCTGGGATTATAGGCATTAGCCACCACGCCTGCCCTGAAATTCCTTTAGTTTGCTATTTTTAAACTGTAGTTTAACTGGCAATAGGCCTTTTATCTCAGATATTTGTAAAGAATTATTTTCTTGAAGTGTTTCAGAGAAATATTATTACCAAGGCAAAATTGACTTAACACAAAAGTATCTGTCCACATTATATATTTTTTATTTTAAAGATATCTTATTCTTGAAATAGAAAAGGAGATTTTGTAATGGTATTAATCAGGGGCCTCTAGCAACTCAGCAGTGATGGCTTCCTATCTGCATTAAAGTAAGTCAGGTAAATACTTGGAGGTGTGTTGTAACCTATAGGCCTGACTTTTCAGCTTACTCTAACTTGATTTTTATTTTAGGTTTGGCCTTTGCTTCAGGTTTAGCAGCCACTGTAACTATTACCCATCTTTTAAAAGCAGGAGACCAAATTATTTGTATGGATGATGTGTATGGAGGTAGGTGACCCCTCTCATTTATATTCTGTAAACTTGTATTTTACAGATAATAAAGTGAGCCCTGAATTAATATTAACAATGTTGCCAGTATTTTTGATTATTTATTATAGTTTACAGGTGTGACAGGTACCTCTATGCTCTCTCAGACTTGGGAAAAGAGGAGCATAAACACTTAGGGTCCATGTTCTGGAACTGCTTATAAGAGAGATTATTTATTTATTTATTTGTTTATTTTTAGATAGGATCTCACTCTGTCACCCGGGTTGGAGTGGAGTGGTACGATCTCAGCTCACTGCAGTCTCCGCCTCCTGGGTTCAAATGGTTCTCATGCCCTAGCCTCCTGAATAGCTGGGACCCCAGGCGCATGCCACCACACCTGACTAATTTTTGTATTTTTTGTAGAGACGGGGTTTCGTTGTGTTGGTCAGGCTGGTCTGGAACTCCTGAGCTCAAGTGATCCTCCCTCTCCAGCCTCCCAAAGTTTTGGAATTACGGGCGCGAGCCGCCTCACCTGGCCAGAGATTATTTACTAAGAATAGTATTTAAGGTGCTAGAATGAATACGTAGCACTTGATCAACTTGCAGACATATTCTGCTCTAGAGAAGATAAGGTTTAGAGAGACAGTGTTCTCCTGTAACTTAATTTTTACCTGTAATAAAGATGAAATACAACTCAGGTTACTCTCAAGAGTTCAACCCCACACATCCCCTTTTGCTTTTTATTTTTTGTTTGGCACCAGGGAAACTTTCAAAAATTTGTTGAGAGATATGGGCCTCTTTTCCCAAAAAATGTTCTTAAGACTACACTGAGTGATTAGCATTTTAATTTTAGGGGTCTCATGGATTGAACCGCTGAAGCCCATCTATGGCTCTAAATTTAAGAACTTCCCATTAACTCTTCATTTAGCATTAGGTATATCTCCTAATGCTATCCCTCCCCCCTCCCCCCACCCCACAACAGTCCCTGGTGTGTGATGTTCCCCTTCCTGTGTCCATGTGTTCTCATTGTTCAATTCCCACCTATGAGTAAGAACATGTGGTGTTTGGTTTTTTGTCCTTGTGATAGTTTGCTGAGAATGATAGTTTCCAGCTTCATCCCTGTCCCTACAAAGGACATGAACTCATCCTTTTTTATGGCTGCATAGTATTCCATGTGTATATGTGCCACATTTTCTTAATCCAGTCTATCACTGTTGGACATTTGGGTTGGTTCCAAGTCTTTGCTATTGCGAATAGTGCCGCAATAAACATACATGTGCATGTGTCTTTATAGCAGCATGATTTATAATCCTTTGGGTATATACCCAGTAATGGGATGGCTGGGTCAAATGGTATTTCTAGTTCTAGATCCCTGAGGAATCACCACACTGACTTCTACAATGGTTGAACTAGTTTACAGTCCCACCAACAGTGTAAAAGTGTTCCTATTTCTCCACAACCTCTCCAGCACCTGTTGTTTCCTGACTTTTTAATGATCGCCATTCTAACTGGTGTGAGATGGTATCTCACTGTGGTTTTGATTTGCATTTCTCTGATGGCCAGTGATGATAAGCATATACCTAACGCTAAATGATGAGTTAATGGGTGTAGCACACCAACATGGCACATGTATACATATGTAACAAACCTGCATGTTGTGCACATGTACCCTAAAACTTAAAGTATAATAAAAAAAATTTAAGAACTTCCATTCCAAAGAAATTAAATGTTAGCTATTTAAAGTGGTGAATGTGGAGAAGACAGGCTTGCCCTTGCCTTTAAGCCCACTGATTTTTGTATTTAAAACAAAAGCAAGGAATTTTGTGAATATACATATACATATATTCCAGATGCTTCCAAATAATTAAAATGTGATTTCTAGAATATTATCATTTTATCTATTTCCTATCTGAACAAAAAGTTAAATCACTAAGTCCTTTAAAACAGCAGTTCCCAACCTTTTTGGCACCAGGGACCGGCGTGTTTTTTTTTTTTTTTTTGAGGTGGAGTCTTGCTCTGTTGCCAGGCTGGAGTGCAGTGGCACGATCTCGGCTCACTGCAACCTCCGCTTCCCGGGTTCAAGCGATTCTCCTGTCTCAGCCTCCCGAGTAGCTGGGATTACAGGCATGTGCCACCACGCCTGGCTAACTTTGTGTTTTTAGTAGAGCCAGGGTTTCTCCTTGTTGGTCAGGCTGGTCTCAAACTCCCGACCTTAGGTGATCCACCTGCCTCGGCCTCCCAAAGTGCTAGGATTACAGATGTGAGTCACTCGTGCCCGGCCTCAGGGACTGGTTTTGTAGAATACAATTTTTCCAGGGACAGGGGGATGGTTCCAGGATGAAACTGTTCCACCTCAGATCATCAGGCACTATTTAGATTCTCATAAGGAGCATGCAATCTAGATCCCTCGAAAGTTAGATTCTCATAAGGAGTGCACAACCTAGATCCTTCCCATGAGCAATTCACAGTAGGTTTCCTCCTGTGAGAATCTGATGCTGCCGCTGATTTGACAGGAGACTGAGCTCAGGGAGTCATATTGCTTACCCGCTGCTCACCTCCTGCTGTGTAGCTGGATTCCTAACAGGCCACAAACCTGTACCTGTCTGTGGCCTGGGTTGGGGACCCCTGCTTTAAAGGAAGGGACTTACTCTTAGTAATCATTTTATCCCTCAGAAATTTGCACAATGTTTCGTATTTTATCTTAGTTTCTTATATTAGCTTGTTGAGTTGAAATTATAGAAATCTGAAACCTTTAGATACTTTTATAATGCAATATAAAAGTCTCATGGCAAACATAGGTATAAAATCCTGAAAATTGTTGATTTTAAAGAACTTTTTACATTATTTTTCAATTTTATATTACCTAGGGTCAGTCTACATACCATCAAAAGTCTAGTTTCTCATTAATGACAGAATATTCTTTTGTTGTTGTTGTTGTTATTGAGTATCAATATCAATTTTTTCTTTAAGTTTTTATGTGTAAAAATCAAATCTAGGTGTATTTATAAAAAATTATTTTAAGTCAAATGATTTACCTTGTTTCACTGTAAAAATCTGGTAGTTTGATTTATATTGTCTCATTTTATCGATTAAAACTTTCAGAACTACATAACAAAAAGATCAAAAAAGTACAAAGAATAGTAACCAATTCTTTTCCATTACAAAGTATATTGAAATTTATTTTGAACCTTTCATTGACATTGATTCATTTAGTTTAGAGTTGAGAACTAGGTAGAAATTGTTTGAAAAGATATGATGTTTCAGGAAGCATGTCACTTAGTGGAGATTGGATGTTTTGAAAAACATTATTTGCTTCATGCTACTTTTGGATCTCAAGTGTGTTTTATTTGACTCTTGAGCCTTTAGAGAACAAACCTTATTATTCTTTACTATATCAGATAGCCAAACTATTTAACCAAACTAGAATTGCTTTTAGTTGCATTTTCCTTGGTGACTGAGAGTTCCATATATTTTGTAAGTGTTTATACATAGAAGGAATGAATGTTTCTTAATGCAATGTTCTTTTCATTTTATCTGATTCCCTTCTGTCTCAGGTACAAACAGGTACTTCAGGCAAGTGGCATCTGAATTTGGATTAAAGATTTCTTTTGTTGATTGTTCCAAAATCAAATTACTAGAGGCAGCAATTACACCAGAAACCAAGGTAACTCAGCTCATTTTCAGTTTTGCCTGTTTTTCCTTCGATGTTTTGTTTTCATCATTTCTGTTTACTAGAGGATATAATTTAATGTGAATAACAAATTTTATTTTATGCCATTGGAAACATCAACAAAATTAAGATAGACTGTCATCTCCGGGGTGTTATAGCATAATGGTAGTACATGATTTCTGGAGTAGAATTCAAATTGTGATTCTGTTATCTTAGTTAGTATATTATCTTGGGCAAATTATTTAACCAAAGTCTCAGTTTCTTCATTTGCAAAATGGAGATAATTATACCGGTTTTATAGAAACGGGAGTGTGAGAATCAAATGAGATAATGAATATGAAATGCTTAGTATAGTTCCTGGATACATGGTAATTGTTAAAAAAATTTCTATGCAGGAGCACCTAATTTTTAACTGCATAGCCAAAAGAGTATTGGTAACAGAAGTCATCACAGAGATTGGACTATAGAAAAAGAAGCCTGCCAAACCCCCAAACTCGAAGCACAGTGGCTTTGCCGGGCTGTAAGGGATGCTGCCCAGATACTAGTTAGATGTGGAGAATAGGCCACAAGCAATCTTTAGCTTCCATCCTGGGAAATTTGTATGCCACCGGAAGGTGTTTTGTGTCTGAGTGAATGGCATATGTGATATTCTTTCTTGGGACCTTATTTAAATTCTGTGTGGATAAAAGAAGGACCAGTGTCTTTTATAAGTCAGCTGTTTACAACTTTTTGCTAATGATTAAAAGGTTAGAATTGTACCCAAGATTATGTTGCAATGAATGCTAAAAAATAAATATCTTTTCATGTACAAATAATTACTTTGCACATTAACATGGTTGAGCTTTTGGTAATTAAGGTTTGTTTCCAGAAGAACTTGTTTTTTATCTTGCTTGGGAGAAAAGTCACATTAAAATAGCTGGTCTGAGTCTTTTTTTTTTTTTTTTTTTTGAGACGGAGTCTCACCCTGTCACCCAGGCTGTAGTGCAATGGCGCAATCCCAGCTCACTGCAAGCTCTGCCTCTTGGGTTCAAATGATTCTCCTGCCTCAGCCTACCGAGTAGCTGGGATTACAGGCGCCCATCACCATGCTCAGCTAATTTTTGTATTTTTAGTAGAGATGGGGTTTCACCTTGTTGGCCAGGCTGATCTTGAACTCCTGACCTTGTGATCCGCCTGCCTCAGCCTCCCAAAGTGCTGCGATTACAGGCATGAGCCACCGTGCCGGGCCCTGGTCTGAATCTTTCTAAGGGAGGAAAGCAAATTATGAGTACAGTAAGTCTTGTCAACAGAATTTTATATAGTGACTCTACCAACTTGAATTAATACCTTTTCCTTCCTAAAATATCAGGTTTTTCACTTGAAGTAGAATGTTTAAGTCCATGTAAAACCTACTTTTTATTTATTTGGTAATTTTTATTTTTTTTATTATCAGTAGGAATAATAAATTCTTACCAGGAATAATTTTTATAGATTCTTTAAATAATTCAAGATTTTTGTAGAATATGTATTATTTAACCATCTTATCTTTTCCAGAGTAAAACTCTAAAGTCAGAAGAGTTTAAACCAGATCTCTTGCCCATTTAAATAACAGGTAATAAAAAAAGAATCAGCTGGGCACAGTGGCTCATGCCTGTAATACCAGCACTTTGGGAGGCTGAGGCAGGAGGATCACTTGAACCAGGAGTTCAAGATATATAGCGAGACCCTTTCTCTGCAAAAAAAAAAAAATAATAATAATAATTGGCCGAGCATGGTGGCACATGCCTGTAGTTCCAACTACTGGAGAGGCTGAGGTAGGAGGATCACTTGGGCCTGAAAGGTCGAAGCTGCCGTTAGCTGTGATCATGCCACTGCACTCTAGCCTGGGCAACAAAGTGAGACCCTGCTGCTTAAAAAAAAAAAAGAAAGTAATTCAGTACAATGGCATTTCGTTCAACAAATAGAATTCTTTTCTTTGGTCTTTTTGATAACTATCAAGCATCTACCATGTGTCTGAATTGTGGTAGGTTTTGAGATATAAAGGTCATTGTTACTTTTTAAGTAGGCGGTAACCACGTTTTCTGTTGTGGGTGTCACTTTTCTTCTTTAGTCTAAAGCCCATGCTCTTCAAGTCTTAGATACTTATTCTATAGTTTCTAGAGTTTCTGGCATTAAGTTCATATTAAATATATTTTTGGCATCATAGGGATAATTCTCTTTCATTAAAATTCTAGGATGTATTCTTACACAATCTATGTTATTCATCTCTGAGACAAAATTTCCAGACACTGAGCTGTCTTTGGAATACACTTTCTTTTTTAAGAAAAGTACAATAATTAACTTTAGTACTTTTCTGTTTACATGTACGTTATCTCACTTGATCTTTACAAAAAATTCTGTAAGATAGGTATTACCAACCCAATTATACAGATCAATAGGATACATTACATACCTACGGCTTCAGAAATTTGCAGGTAAGGCTGGGATTCAGATTTGAACCTCCCAACATCATCATCCATGTGTTTCCATTATACAATGTAGCTTCCCAGATTGTTACAATATATGAGATGTATGTTTGTAAAGTATATTTTTACAAACTACTGTTATTTGCTGAATTATTTTAGCTTGTTTGGATCGAAACCCCCACAAACCCCACCCAGAAGGTGATTGACATTGAAGGCTGTGCACATATTGTCCATAAGCATGGAGACATTATTTTGGTCGTGGATAACACTTTTATGTCACCATATTTCCAGGTAAATGAAAATAATTTTTTTTGGCACAATTAGTAGACCACATATATCTGTAATTAGGAAAGAAAGGACTTGCTTAAATTAAAATCATGATCAAATTCATGAAATCTAATCATAATTAATTATTTACTGGATCGAGAATTAAATTTGGACCTCTTCTACCATTAGTTAATATCTTTTCAAACCTATGTTAATATCCTCTATGTTACTTTGTGTTTTTTATTTATTAAAGCTTACCAGTTCTCAGGGCTGTGCGTGGTGGCTCACGCCTGTAATCCCAGCACTTTGGGAGGCCGAGGCGGGCGGATCAGGAGATCAGGGATCAAGACCATGGTGAAACCCCGTCTCTACTAAAAATACAAAAAATTAGCTGGGCGCAGTGGCGGGTGCCTGTAGTCCCAGCTACTCGGGAGGCTGAGGCAGGAGAATGGCATGAACCCGGGAGGCGGAGCTTGCAGTGAGCTGAGATGACGCCAGTGCACTCCAGCCTGGGTGACAGGGTGAGACTCTGTCTCAAAAAAAAAAAGCTTACGAGTTCTCTTAGAGTGTGTAAACTCTGAAGAAATGGCCTTATTATGTGATTGTATCTGCTAATACCTTATGCATAGTAAGGACTTGAATGTTTATGCATTGATTACAAATCAGTCATATTTTTCAGTCACCTTGAATATTTTTATATATATTCTAAAAGAAAAGTGATGCTCAATGATTTCAGTATATATTATACATATTATTTCTCTTCTTCTAGTTTTTATTCCTTCAGCACTCCATATACTATGCCTAGATCTCTTTAACTTATTATTATTTTGAACTTTTACTTTATTTATTTTACATTATAGCTGTAAGTATTTATAGTGCTCTTATGTTAGTCTCTTTGGGTGGCCATAACAGAATACTATAAACTGGGTGGCTTACAAACAGCAATTTATTTCTCACAGTTCTGAAGGCTGGGAAGTCCTCAATCAAAGTGCCAGCAGATTCAGTACCGGTGAGGGCCCACTTTCTGGTCCATAGATGGAGCCTTCTCGCTGTGTCCTCACATGGTAGAAGAGACAAGGCAGTTATCTGGGGCCTCTTTTATCAGGGCACTGTATTAGTCCATTCTCACACTGCTATAAAGAAATAATCCGAGACTGCGTAATTTATAAAGAAAGAGGTTTAATTGGCTCACAGTTCTGCAGGCTGTACAGAAAGCATGATGCTGGCATCTGCTTGGCTTCTGGGGAGGCCTCAGAAAACTTACAATAATGGCAGAAGGCAAAGGGGAGCAGGCACAACACATGACCAGAGTAGGAGCAAGAGAGAGAACGAGGGGGAAGGTGCTACACACTTTTAAACAACCAAATCTCACAAGAACTCACTCACAATTGTGAGGACAGTCCCAAGGGGAGATGACTCTAAACCATTCATGATATATCCACCCTCATGAACTAATCACCTCCCTCCAGGCCCCACCTCCAACATTTGGGGATTACAACTCAACATGAGATTTGGTGGCGACACAGATCCAAACCATATCAGGCAAAAATCACCCTAATCACCTCCCAAAGGCCCACCTCCTAATCATACTAGTGATTAGATTTCAATCTATGAATTTTGGAGGACACAAATGTTCAGACCATAGCAGCTCTCTTTAAAGATTTCTTTCGCTACCTAGCCCCCTCTGCATTTGTTTCCTCCCCAGACCACCCCTCCCATACATCTATCCTTTCCTTTTTTCTCTGTCTTGTGTCTAGTTTCATCCTCTTTTGTGTTTCACTTTCTTTTGTAGATCACTTTGGGATCTCTTTATAATTAACTTGTTTCCTGCCTTTTCCACACAAGTTCTCCCTCTCTTTCCTCTGAGTAACCCAACTCTTTCCTTTCCTTGTTAGGAGATACCTTCTTCCTGCTCTTTTCTTCCTGCCTGTACCTTGTCATACTTAGTACACTTCCTGTAGTTCATCTCTATTCTGCAGAGTTCCTGAAAACCAGCTCATTTTCTCTGGCTCTTCAATTGGGCAGATGTTTACAGGTTTTATTGTTTACATTTCCCCCCTTCTGTTCTGGGTCCCTGAAGTTGATCCAGGTTGCTGCCTCCATGTGACTGGCTGACTCCCTGGGCAGTTGGTATAAACCTGCTTTTCACCTTCCTCCATTTTATTCGAAGGCATTGTCATGGTTTATTTTCCTTTCCTGAAGCACACTTCCTGGCTACATTGCATTCAGACACCTTCGTGGGCCATCTGCCTTTGGCTCATAATGTATCTTTGATTGCTGATTTTATCAGGTAAAGCAGTCTGTTTCCCAGTGAAAAATCTTCTGGCATTGTCTATTTGGCATCTTCTATTTGTCCCAGGTGGTTTTCAGTGTAAGATTCCTTATCGCAACTCCTTAGCCCATATGCCACTTACATTAGGCCAGTTAATACAGCATAGGATAGCTTTAGCTGAGACACAGTGAGTCCTGTATATTCCCAAAAAGATTGCATACGTTTTGTAGCCTGGACCTGCCCGGGTTACTCATCAAACCTGGCCCTCTTTCTCCTATTACTGTCACTAACATAGGTCTAGTTTTTCTACCTTTTTGAAGCCCACATCACATTCCGCATGCCAATGATTGGAATTTGCTTCATTTCAATTTGGATTTATTCCAGCTGAAATACTCAGAATCGCATCATCCCTAAGTAGCCACATGTGTTGTTTCCATGAAGCAAATCTTCCTGAAAAAAATCTTCTCATTGTCTTACCTTAATGAAAATGGAATATATTCTCTTTCTTCCCAGTCTTTTGTCCTCTGGATCTTCTGTAAGTCTCACGAAAGGCAAAATAGACCTACCATCATCAAGTTTCAGAGTAGCACCTCTGGAGTCAGGCAGTCTGGGTGTGAGTCCTGGCTCTACCAGCTTTTTAATCTGAGGGATCTATCTCATTTTTCTTAGTCCCCTTTCCTCACCTGTATGATGAGAGCCATAAAGGTACTGATTTTATTGAGTTAGGTATTTTGTACACTGCTTCCCTGGGTTATATAAAGTACGTAGCATGATTCTCAGAAGATAATGAGATCAGAGGTGTTAGTGATTTGGTTTTTATTTTTCCTTCTCTTTTGGCTGTAGAGTTTACAGAATGTTAGCACTAGAAAAGACCTTAGGCCTCACCTACTTTGACCCCATCCCTTT
This sequence comes from Homo sapiens, assembly GCF_000001405.40. NCBI lineage: Eukaryota > Metazoa > Chordata > Mammalia > Primates > Hominidae > Homo > Homo sapiens. Next base: position 70,427,571 of record NC_000001.11, read on the forward strand.
AGGAACCCTAAATGAAAAGTTCCCATAGCCACCTATACTAATATCTTCCAAAGACTAAACAGCTCTAATGAGGGTGAAATAAAAACACACAGTTCTATGTTTAGGAAAATGTAAAGGGAAAGATGTTGATAATGTATGTTTTTGTTTGTTTGTTTGTTTTGAAATGGAGTCTTGCTCTGTCGCCCAGGCTGGAGTGCAGTGGCGCGATCTCAGCTCACTGCAACCACCGCCTCCCCGGTTCAAGCAATTCTCCTGTCTCAGCCTCCCGAGTAGCTGGGATTACAGGTTTCCACCACCACCCCCCGCTAATTTTTGTATTTTTAGTAGAGATGGGGTTTCACCATGTTGGCCAGGCTGGTCTCAAACTCCTGACCTCAAGTGATCCACCTGCCTAGGCCTCCCAAAGTGCTGGGATTACAGGCGTGAACCACCACTCCCGGCTTGACAGTGTTTTATTAAGTGGAAAGTCTACACTTTTCACTCTGGTTGTAAACAAATACATTTTAAGACTACAGGATTAACCTAGAGGACATTATGTTAAGTGAAATAAGCCAGGCACAGACAGACATATATAGCATGATCTCATTCATGTGTGGAATGTAAAAAATGTTGATCTCATAGAAGTAGTGAATAGAACAGCGGTTACTAGAGTCTGGGGAAGGGAGGGTGGAGGTGGGGAGGACAGAGGATGGTCAATGGGTACAAAGTTACAATTAGAAGGAGGAATAGAGGAATAAGTTTTGGTGTTCTACTGCACAAAAGGATGATCATAGTTACAATAAGATACTGTATATATCAAAATAGGAGAGAGGATTTTAAATGTTTCTACTACAAAGAAATGATAAATATTTGAGATGATGGGCATGCTAATTACCCTGCTTTTGATCATTACACAATTACACATGTATTGAGCATCACATTATACTCCATGACTTAAAGGATTAATTTACAGGAAAATTGGGTGAAAGAAAACACTTTTAAAAATTCCTTTTCATTTTTATTTTTCTTAATTCTCCCAGTTTCAGACATATTTATTTATTTATTTATTTATTTATTTGAGACAGAATCTTGCTCTGTCACCCAGGCTGGAGTGCAGTGGTGTCATGAAAAGCTCACTGCAACCTCTGCCTCCTGGGTTCAAGTGATTCTCCTGCCTCAGCCTCCTGAGTAGCTGGGATTACAGGTGCGTGCCACCATGCTCAGCTAATTTTTTTGTATTTTTAGTAGAGATAGGGTTTCACCATGTTGGCCAGGCTGGGCTCAAACTCATGGCCTCAAGTGATCCACCCACCTCAGCCTCCCAAAGTATTGGGATTACAGGTATGAGCCCCCGCACCCAGCAAATTTCTTTCTTTCTTGTTGTTTTTTAAGATAAAGTCTTGCTCTGTCACTCAGGCTGAAGTGCAGCGGCTTGATCATGGTCCACTGCAGCCTGAAACTCCTGATCTCAAGTGATCCTTCTGCCTCAGCCCCCTAAATTGCTGGGATTACAGGAGTGAGCCATTCTCCAACTCCCAGCCGTCTAGATTTCTTGTAATACCTAATACAATGTACATGCTTTATAAATGGTTGTTACACTATATTGTTTAGGAACTAATGACAAGAAAAAAGTCTGTACATGTTCAATACAGACACAACTGTTCATCTATTTTTCCAAGTATTTTTTTACCCATGGTTGGTTGAATCCATGGATGTGAAACCCACACATAGGAAGGGCTGAGTAATTAGGAATCAAGATCATGACAAACCCCAAATGTAAATAATCACAGCATACGTCATGAGGTTTTAATGATTAAAAATCTAAGCAGATGAGTTTATACTTACTCTACATAAAAATTGCTGAATGTTCATTTCAACTATTTTATGTGTTTAATGAGTCATAAAATACTAGAGTCTCTACTGTAGGTAATAAATTTAGAGTCCTGTCAGCAATTGCTATAAAGAAACAGGTTCAAGAGACCAGTTGACCTGGGCTTATCTGCGCTTTCCAAGAAACTTTTGCCTTCAGATTCAATACTGGATTCAATACTTTACATTTTTCTTTGGTGGGAGGGAGGCAAAGGAGAAATAATATCAGAGATCCTGGAAAATTTTAAGATGCACATACTTTTGCAAAGTTAGTATTGATTAGAATAAGAATGGAATTTATAATTGCAAATAGGCAGGTAATGAAGCATATTTTCAAATTGTTTCTCATTTAAAGTAAAAAACTTGTTCTTTCAGCGCCCTTTGGCTCTGGGAGCTGATATTTCTATGTATTCTGCAACAAAATACATGAATGGTAAGATGCATACTTTGAATGTTCTTTTTCATGGATAGGTGAAAATTGCATAGGGCTTGGCTTTTGATCCCTTTTCTTTGATTATTTTGTAGATTATTTCCTGTGACTCATAGAGAGAGTAAAAAAAAAAATCCTTTGATTAAATGTAGGATTTCATTAACAGTACACAAAACTATGCTCATGATTTATGAGAAGAGGATTAAAGTTGGCCATAAAAAGTTATGCTTTTATCTTGCTGACACCTTAAAGAAACATTTTGTTTTTATATAATTTTTATTTTCTTGTTTTAGACATAGCTTTTGCTACTGTCCAGTTGAATAAAGGTTACTTAAACTTATTTTATAGAGCTTTTTCCCTGAGAGTTTTTTCAAGTGAAAATCACATTTTGAAAATTATAAAATAAAGAGTAAACATAAATTGTTTCTAACTGAAATTTTTGTTTGTTTGTTTGTTTTTTGTTTTTAGGCCACAGTGATGTTGTAATGGGCCTGGTGTCTGTTAATTGTGAAAGCCTTCATAATAGACTTCGTTTCTTGCAAAACTGTAAGTATTAAAAAGTGCAGGTTCCCTATGACACTCTCAGTGACTACATTTGATATTTGTATTTCCACTAAGTGATGTGAAGTGATGGCATTCTAATAATTTATGAAGAAATGAAAAATAGAGGAGAAAAATTCTGATTTTTTTTATTTATTAATTTTTTTTTTTGAGATGGAGTTTCACTCTGTTGCCCAGGCGGGAGTGAAGTGGCGTGATCTCAGCTCACTGCAACCTCCACCTCCTGGGTTCAAGCGATTCTCCTGCCTCAGCCTCCTGAGTAGCTGGGATTACAGGTGCCCACCACCATGCCCAGCTAATTTTTTATATTTTTAGTAGAGACGGGGTTTCACCGTGTTGACCAGGCTGGTCTCAAACTCCTGACCTCAGGTGATCCACCTGCCTTGGCCTCCCAAAGTGTTGGGATTACAGGCATGAGCCACCGTGCCTGGCCAAAAAAATTTTTTCTGATTTTAGAGGAAAGTGTTATAAAAATAGTTATTGCAGGCTGGGCACGGTGGCTCATGCCTGTAATCCCAGCACATTGGGAGGCTGAGGCAGGTGGATCACTTGAGCTTAGGAGTTTGAGATCGGCCTGAGCAACATGGCAAAACCCTGTCTTTACCAAAAATACAAACCAATTAGCCAGGTGCAGTGGCATGTGCCTGTGGTCCCAGATACTCAGAGGCTGAGGCAGGAGGATTACCTGAGCCTGGGAGGCGAAGGTTGCAGTGAGCTGACATCGTGCCACTGCAATCCAGCCTGGGCAACAGAGTGAGATCCTGTCTCAAAAAACAAAAAACAAAAACGGTTATAGCATAGCAAGGCTTTATGATATGATATAAGAAATGAGTTTTTTTATTTTCATGTCCATCTTAATTATAATCATAATTTGATAAAGCCCTAGTGAATTTTTAGTTTCAAGACTTAATGGTTTTTTTTTCTTTTTTAAAATTACATTTGAAATGAGGGCTTTCATATACTATACCTTTTATATCACGAATGATGGTTAATTTTAAATAGCACTTACAGTATAAACTTACATTTTTCAATAGATGTCTAAACACCATTTCCTATTTACATTGCTTAGTTTATCTCCAGTATAGTTAAAGATTAAGCCATTGTAACTTGACAGGTAAAATATAAACATGATTAGGAATAAAAATGTCCTCCACAAGGGAAACTGAAACTTATTGCTTGATAAGTGTCCTTTGGTTTATAAAAAGTAGAAATGAAGTATATATCCTGGAGGCATGTGAAATCATTGACCGCTTTGCACAAAGGCTAAATAGAATATTAGTAGAATATTCAGTAATAATAGGACTTGAACTGCTGTTTTTCTCTGTATGTTAAAATAATTTTTCAAAGAAATACAAGGTTAGGCTATGAACAATTTATGATTTTATTAAAATCATAGAAAGGACTACTTATCTTCATATTTGAGAAGTTTATATCATTGTGCTTTTACTTAGTTTTCAGCATATTTGCTTCCCCTCATTTTAAAGTAAATTTCTCTAAGCATATTCTATGCTTTGTTCTTCTGCTTCTGATTTGATATATTATTTTCCTCCTAGAACTCAAACATTGAGCTTTACACCTAGCTTCTGAGAGTCACTGTAATGGAAAAGAGAAGCCAGATAATTTCTTGGCCATACCCTGCCTTCAAACTTATCCAGGATGTGTTCATTTTGCAGCTCTTGGAGCAGTTCCATCTCCTATTGATTGTTACCTCTGCAATCGAGGTCTGAAGACTCTACATGTCCGAATGGAAAAGCATTTCAAAAACGGAATGGCAGTTGCCCAGTTCCTGGAATCTAATCCTTGGGTAGAAAAGGTTATTTATCCTGGTATGTTAATTTGATTTCTAAGCAGATCTACTAGGATTTCAGCAGTTATCCTGAGCATCGTGTTTATGTAACATTTATTTGTAAGTTAGGTGCTTTCACGTATTGTTTTTGTTCATTTATTATTGAGCACTGCCATGTGTCAGGCTCTGTGGTGGGTCAGGTGGAAAGAAGATAGACCTGGTCTCTACTGTTGTATTGCCTCTAGTTTAGTGGATGCTTGGATAGTAGAAAATCAGTTTTATGCATTAGTTGTTCCTGTGGTGGTCTGTGATTTGAAGGCTTGTGTATACCTATTCAAAGATTTTAACATTAGACTTTTCAGTTGATTTGCTTATAATCTTGTCTGTCTGCTATTCAGCATTAGCTGTCACTTTAATCTGATAGAGGTTTGTCCCAGTTGAGACTTGATATTAGGTGCTAAAATTCCCCTGAGGTTCTCTCTCTCTCTTTTTTTTTTTTTTTTTTTTTGAGACGGAGTTTCACTCTTGCCCAGGCTGGAGTGCAATGATGCAATTTCAGCTCACTGCAACCTCTGCCTCCCGGGTTCAAGTGATTCTCTTGCCTCAGCCTCCCGAGTAGCTGGGATTACAGGTGCCCGCCACCACGCCCAGCTATTTTTTGTATTTTTAGTAAAGACGGGGTTTCACCATGTTGGCCAGTCTGGTCTCGAACTCCTGACCTCAGGTGATCTGCCTGCCTTGGCCTCTCAAAGTGCTGGGATTACAGGCGTGAGCCACTACGCCCAGCCCCCTGAGGTTCTCTCCTGTATTTCTCTCCTGTATTTTTATTCCTTCACCTCTTCCAGCATCTAGAAAGTCTTCTGTGGAGTTGGCTGACTTACATCTTACTTTTTGAATTTATTTTTACCAGTCTTTTAAGCTGTGGTGGTCCTAAGTAGTTCTTTTCTTTTTAGATCCTTTTGAGGGTTCTAGCATCTAGAATATATAGAAAAATTAAGACTGGAATTTCACTAGGAAATTCACAAGGAATTTAGAGAAACCAAAGCGAAATACATATGAAACTAAATGCCCTAAAGGTACTTTAGGTAAAGAGCTGTTGATTGATATATATTTTGGATGGAGGGAGAGAGAAGAGTTTTGAGCTATGCCATGAAGAATGGGCAGCATTGGTTAAAAGGGCATAGACAAGGTATTGGAGATTTATTCAAGAAATTTTTATTAAACGCCAGCTATGAGCCAGGCTTTGCACTAGGAACTGGGATCCAATTAGTAACAAAAGAAATGGATTTGCCCTCATGGAGCAACTCTGGTGGCTAAGACAGATACTAAGCAAGAAATTACAGGATATAATTAACAAGGGAAGTCCAGGTTGAAGGGACAGCATGTGCAAAGGTCCTGAGATGAAAGGGAGTGCAGTGGTGCTGGCATAAAGAAAGCTGAAGAGGGTAGAAAAGATGAGGCAACATGAAGCTGGAGAGATAGGGGCCCAAGCAAGTAGTCAGATGTGAGCATGGCATAATCCTCGTCTTAGGCTTATTTGCAGTTAAGTAGACAGTGAAAAATACCACCCTCCCCCCCCAAAAATTACATGTTTAATTCTAAAATAAGACTTATGATACCTTATGATTACAGGGCTGCCCTCTCATCCACAGCATGAGTTGGTGAAGCGTCAGTGTACAGGTTGTACAGGGATGGTCACCTTTTATATTAAGGGCACTCTTCAGCATGCTGAGATTTTCCTCAAGAACCTAAAGGTAAACTTACAAAATAGGTTTAAAATTGTAGGAGGTAAGGCCTTACAGCAGTTCACTATCTCTCACTTCTACTCAAGCCAGATAATGTTTTTGTATCTGCAGGTTACACTCATAAACCTCTTTATCATGAAATGCATTGGGTTGAAAACAACTTAAACAACAATGTAGCAGACATCTAAATATGTTCACTTACTTAACTCTCCACATACTACAATCAGTTTGGAGACACAGAGTATTCTAATGCATTTATTTAAAAGTGAACCCCTTTTTTCAGATGAAATAGGTAAAACCTCGAAGTAGTGTGCAGTTAGTGCACTGCACAAGGGCTGTTCTAAAATCCATCCTGTGAATGGCTTTCCAAACCCTGTGCCTCCTAAGCTGCATCTGACTGGGGTGAGGCCTTTGTCTAATTTTCAAAAAGCCAGGAGGAGGCTCTCAGGGGCCTTGAGCAAGAGGCCTGTCCAACTCCATACACTGGGCTTAACCTTGAGCTCATGCAGTTTATATACTACAGAATAGATTAACAGAAAGCTGCCAGATTAGTCAAAGTGTTCCTGGTGTCACCTTAATTTAATACATTTACCAAAGTAACTTTTAAAACATTTGTAAAGTTTTATGACACTATCACACTCAACATAAAAACAGTGGTTTTTTTTTTTTCCCCTATTCCAGCAGGGATTTAAAGGATGTATTTCATAAGTGATATATATTAACAAGGAAGTATGTATAACTTGGGAAGCATTTAGAGATTTTTTTATTTAAGTGGTAACCACAGAGCAAAGTCTCAAATGCAATAATTTTTTTTTTTTTTTTTTTTTTTTTAGGCAGAGTTTCACTCTTTTGCCCAGACTGGAGTTCAGTGGCATGATCTCGGCTCACTGCAACCTCCACCTCCTGGGTTGAAGTGATACTCCTGCTTCAGCCTTCCAGGTAGCTGGGATTACAGGTGCGTGCCACCATGCTCAGCTAATTTTTGTATTTTTAGTAGAGATGGGGTTTCACTAGTTGGCCAGGCTGGTCTCGAACTCCTGACCTCGGTGATCCGCCTGACTTGGCCTCCCAAAGTGCTGGGATTACAGGCATGAGCCACTGTGCCTGGCCTAAAAACATTTATTTTTAGATTTTAGTATTTTTATTTTACTAGAAAATCTAAATTCATGTTTTCTTTGCTATAGCTATTTACTCTGGCCGAGAGCTTGGGAGGATTCGAAAGCCTTGCTGAGCTTCCGTAAGTATAGTTCTGTTTTTCTCAGTATTTTAAATTTGATGTCAGCTTTAATGATTGGGAAAGAAATATGATAAGGTCAGGGATAATTCAAGATATTTAACAATAAGAATAGCAGGACATTAATCAGAATGGACTCTAACCCTGTCAAGATGGAGACCCTGATAAAATCTCATGGAGGGCTTCTTGTTAGTGAGCGGTGTCCTCCCAAATGTTGCTTCCTTCCCTGCTCTGTCAAAAAGAGATTCCAGCAGTAACTGTATTCTAGGATCTCTGATCTCTGACCTCTAAGCAAGGGCCACATGTTCTACCCTACTCAGCCTTAGAGGGGATTGGAGACTTTGTACTAGAAAAGCTGTTTTCAAGGCTCTTTGGGAAACAGAAAATGTGTCTCTGATGAAACTCCTCCATGCCCTTGATTGTTGGAGAACAGCCCTACTAGATACTGTCAAATCTTTTGTTTTCTGTTCTCTGTAGGATAAACCTTTAATGTCTTCATGTTGTGTACAAGATAAATCCAAACCCTAACTTGGTACCAGGCCCTTCAGTATCTAACCCAATCAATTCATCTAGTTTTTTCAAAGCATCAGAGGATATTGGTACAAGAAGCAGTCTAAGATCATACAGTCCAGCAGCTTATTTTACAGGCAAGGAAACAAAGATCCAGAAAGTTGAGCTGATTGACTCAAGTGTCACACAGGAACGTGTTCGCAGCTTCACTCTTGGATTTGCATCAGAAACAGTGAGGGGAGGTAAAAGGTGCTTGGATCTAGATTTGAGATCTGCTTCCACCAATTAGTTAACCTTTAAACTTCCATTTTTTAACACATAAAATGAGATTAATAATTAATGATTTTCGGCCTGGTGCAATGGCTGACGCCTGCAATTCCAGTACTTTGGGAGGCCGAGGTGGGCCACTTGAGGTCAGGAGTTCAAGACCAGCCTGGCCAACATGGTGAAACCCTGTCTCTCCTAAAAAAAAAAAAAATTATCCGAGTGTGGTGGTGTACACCTATAATCCCAGTTACTTGGGTGGCTAAGGCACGAGAATCGCTTGAACCCAAGTGATGGAGGTTGCAGTGAGCCGAGGTTGCAGCAAGCCAAGATCGCACCACTGCACTCCAGCCTGGGTGATGCAGCGAGACTCTGTCTCAAAAAAGAACCAAAACAACAACAAAAAATTAATGATTATCATTTATTGATTACCTGTCCCCCCAAGCATTCCTGATATATATATTACCTTTATTATATGCTACTATGACCATATGTTGTAATTACTGCAGGGTTAAGTCAACATCATAACCTAACTATTTTTAACTGTACTAAATGTATACGGTGTATTTCTGTGTCTTCATTTTTATAAACATTTATGGAATAACTTGTTTTGCAAGCATTGTGTGGAGAAATGTCAGGTCCCACCAAAGTTTAGGCCTATTTTCTGTCTTTGTATAGGAGTTTACAGTTAGACCAAAAGTCAGGCAGTCTCACCAAGTTAAAAAAAAAAAAAAGATGTCTAAATAATGACTTGAAATAATTCATGTAACGCAGATTTTTGTTAGTCTTTCCGGAAGATGCCTGCTAGTAAGTTTGGATGCACAAGAGGGCACACTCAGCATGTGAAATGGGTTTGTTTTTCACAGTAATGAAATGTGTATTACGTTAAGACTCTCTTGTTTAAAAAATTGTCTTAAAATAAATCTCTCCTGATTTATTTAGGGATTTTTGTTTAAAGTTGCTTGGCCCCCAGACACTCTGGTTTAGGCTATAACCCCGATGCCAGAGGATGAGTGGATTTAGGTCAGGGCTTGTCTGTTCTATCACCCTTCATTCTGTGTCTCCCAACTCTGCTGCTACTAGTGCAGCATTGCAATATGGGAGGAAGGAAGTGAAGCTAATGTGTATTAGCTTAGTCTCCCAGCCTCACAACACATGTAACTCTGTGACCTTAGAAAAGTTACTCATCCTCCCTAAATCTCAATTTCCTCAATTTTAAAATGTGGACAACACTCTACATAGCTCTTAGGTTTGTTGCGAGAACATGGGGAAAAAAATCCCTAAGCTAATGCCTTCGTTCATACTAAGTACCCAATAAACGTTAGCACCTACTATGAACTATTATCTTTTATTAGACATCTCTACTACATTCCAAGTGCTTAGAAGTGCTTTATACATGTTCCTTCAAATTAATGTCTGTGACAAACCTTTAAGACAGGTGTTATATCCAATTTTTATTCATTAAAAAAATGAATTAATGCACACAAACCACCTAGTAGAGTATCTGTCTCATGGTAAGCACACAGTAGATGCATCTATTATTATTTCAGATAAGGAAATAGGCACTGAGGATGAGTAACTTTTATAAGGCCACATAGGCAGTATGTGGAAGGGCTAAGATTCATACCCAAGTTTGTTGGTCTCTGAGACCTGAGTTCTTATTTCTACATGTACACACTCTTTTAAGGAATTACGAGTCTCCCAGGGCAGAACATTTTAAGATGGATGTTTGTATCTAAACAACACTTTAGTAAAGTGACAAAGGAAGATATCCATCACTCAGACCACAGCTGAGATTTTTTTTTCCCCATGGCTCTCATGTAAGAGAGGAGAAAGCAGCTTAGGTATTGATTTTGCTGGTGGTGTGCAGGGAAAGGAAGAGTGTTGGTTGTAATACACATACTGGGGTTAAGTAAGATGCTAAACCTCTCCTCCATTATTCTTCACAGAAATTTCTCCTTCCCTGGAACTTGGCAGTCTTTTTGTCTATACTTGTTTGGCATTGTTTATATAGACTATTTTGTTTTGTGAATTGTCATCGCTTTTACCTCCTGCTTTGTTATTTAGGTTAAAGAAAATATCTCATTCTTCTTGGTTTCCCAATTTTTACTGCAGTGCTTGACATATTATGGGTGGTTTTCCTTTACATCTGTTGATGATGGTAATGGGCTGCTAGATCGTTTGAAAAATCCTTCCAGGCCTCTATGCCAGGAGTTATATTGTGGAATTCTGAATGCTTACTGGTTGCTACTAGTGATTCTTGGTCATCTTTCTCCGATGTGCCTCAGAAGGTCTAGCTCTGGATTGATTCAGAGGAAACTAATTATGACAGGCTCTTGGTCCAAGAGACCTCTTATAAGTAGCAATCCAGTAGGTTGGTCATGGAGTACATGATTTCTGGCCAAACTTCATTTAGGCAGGTATTAAAATATACACATTGGGGAGGCTATGCCTTACCCTACTGCATGGGGGTACTTGACACACACTTTCAGTATTTGGATTGAGCATATCTTACCAATGGTATAAACAGGATAAAAACAATCTTGCTTTTCATTTAAAATCATAGCTAGAAGAGATAAGTTTCGTAATTTTCTCTTTTTTTGCCTGTGAATTATAGGGGTATGCAAAATTTGATATTTGGACCAGAAAAATGTTGAGGGTAATTGCAGTTTATGAGACAGAAACATGCCTCCACTGACACAATATAGTGATCAAAAATTTGCTCATGTCTTCTTTCAGGGCAATCATGACTCATGCATCAGTTCTTAAGAATGACAGAGATGTCCTTGGAATTAGTGACACACTGATTCGACTTTCTGTGGGCTTAGAGGATGAGGAAGACCTACTGGAAGATCTAGATCAAGCTTTGAAGGCAGCAGTAAGTCTTATTATTGTGTGTGTGTGTGTGTGTGTGTGTGTGTCTGCTTTATCTTGGGCATGGGGGGTCACTATATTTACAAAGTGTGGTCTCACTGTGAACTCTAAAGCTTTTCTGTTCCTGTAATAGACCAGGTGTATAAATAAACGTATAGGGAGCTCAGTCAAAGTGCATATTTAAAGGATGGTAGTATTCAGAAAAAGGACTTCTTGAGGAGTTGAAGCTATGGCCTATATGTTTAATAACATATTTTTCTTGTGCACTGTTATTATAGCACCCTCCAAGTGGAAGTCACAGCTAGTATTCCAGAGCTGCTATTAGAAGCTGCTTCCTGTGAAGATCAAATCTTCCTGAGTAATTAAATGGACCAACAATGAGCCTTTGCAAAATTTTCAAGCGGAAATTTTAAGGCACCTCATTATCTTTCATAACTGTAATTTTCTTAGGGATCATCTCTGTTAAAAAGTTTTCTGTATGTCATGTTATAATTACAGGTCAATTCTGTTAATATCTTTTTGTTAATTTTGCTCTATGTTTGCCTCTGAAGGAGGTGAGATTTGTGCTACTTTGGGAGATTATGTTCTTTTTTCATGTCTAAGATTTATTTTGATCATGTTTATAATATAATGGTAATTCATTTTTGATGTTTTGTGAAGAATTTAAATTTAAACGAATGTTCTTAAATCAAGTGTGATTTTTTTGCATATCATTGAAAAGAACATTAAAAGCAATGGTTTACACTTAGTTACCATAAGCCGAAAATCAAATACTTGAAAAGTTTACTGTGAAATTCTACTGATTTAAGACTATACTTAATATTTTTAAAAAAATAAATCAGCTGGGCGCGGTGGCTCACGCATGTAATGCCAGCACTTTTGGAGGATAAGGCGGGCGGATCACGAGGTCAGGAGATTGAGACCATCCTGGCTAGCGCAGTGAAACCCCCATCTCTACTAAAAATGCAAAAAAAATTAGACGGACGTGGTGGCGGGTGCCTGTAGTCCCAGCTACTTGGGAGGCTGAGGCAGGAGAATGGCGTGAAACCAGGAGGAGGAGCTTGCAGTGAGCCGAGATCGTGCCACTGCACTCCAGCCTGGGTGACAGAGCGAGACTCCGTCTCAAAAAAAAAAAAAATCTAATTATCAAATGCATCCCATTGTGATATTCCTACATTATGTGACATTAACCTATATTCCTGGGTCCTTTTAATTCCCAACTACTGCTCTTAGAGGTCTTAGCCTTTTATGTTAATTTTTATAAATTCAATTAAATAAATATTATTCCCAAATCTTAGTGTTTGCAGATTAGTTATAAATCCTATCCAAGGTAGGTTAAAGGCCACCGTTTTACAGATAAATAGTACTTTTTATATTTTTATCTGAAATAGTGCATTTGTTGAGAATAAAAGAAGGTATGTTTAAAAATAGAATCTTTTGGGCCTGGTGGTACGTCCTTGTAGTCCTAGCTACTTGGACAGCTGAGGTGGAGGATCTCCTTGAGCCTAGGAGTTCCAGACTGCACTGGCGTCACTGCACTCCAGCCTGGGCGACAGAATGAGACCCTGTCTCTAAAAAAAATAATAAAATAGACTATTTTATAGTTGAATGTATAGTTAGCAAGTTATCATCTGAGCCATAAGTCAAAAATTAAATCTTAAAAATTGTTTTTATACTAAAGGTTTTTCATCTTATAATATATCTTGATATTGCCATTTGTTTCGGTTAAAATAATATCATACAGCCTGATGAATAACAGTGCTGTTTAGGAGGAGAATACATAAAAATATACATTCTTCTATATTATCCACACTCTTGAGTTATACCTATTGAGTCTGGAAATTCTGTCTCTAGAGGCAGTAGCATTTTGAGGCAGGTCCTATCTCACTATGGTTTCTGCCAGAACTGATTTCTTGCCATCTCAAGGCCTTAGGGCTGTGGAAATAAATGATCAACCAAATGAGAAAAGGAAAGGCTATTCTTAGCTTACTATAGCAAGGGAGTTAGCCACCATCACCTGGGTTTTGGCAGAAAGTCAAAGGCGGGCAGATGGGTGGAAAAGTTTTATAGCAGAAAAAAGGGAAGCCTTCAGATATGCCCTGGTTGAAGACTGTTGGCATAGGGAAGCCAGAAGCAGGTTGACTGGAGTCAGTGTTTCACAGTGGGCAGGTCTGTGTAATCCTACATCAAAGTCTAAGGAAGTTGAGAGGCCAAAGAGGCACCCAGTTTCTTAGAAAGAAACATTTAATAGGGATTTAGGAACAGAAGCCGTGACTATATCTTGGGCAGTGATGAGGCAAGTTGGTGGATCCCAGCATAATTACCCCCAAGACCTGGGACTTTTATGCCATAGGGAGAGGAGTGGTTGAAAAGGAATTTGTAAGACAATTATGATAACATCAAAGCTGTTTGACCTAAGGGCAGGATTTACTGTATGTATGAGTTTATCAAGGTGTCTTACTCTAAGGGCAGGATTTACAATAAGTACCTGCTCTTAAACAAGGTTCAAATAGATAAATTGGAATGAGGGTTAATCAGAAGCTAACAGGGCAGATTAGCATCCAAGATGGAGTTGCTTTGGCCTCTAGATGGGGCATCCTGTGCAATTTGCTAAGGTGCTTATTTGGCTTTCTCTGGTCCTAAGTTGGAAGCAGGGGCAAAATTAAAGAAACTGTCATTCATTCATTTCCTGACGATTCTGGGCCAATTGTTACACAAGTTATTGTTTAGCTTCCTGGATTGTCACTAAAGAAAGCAATCTGGTTTCCTGCAATTCTGACTTACAGCAGGCTGATCTCCTGGGTTGTTTATTGTTGATGAGGGTGTTGGTTTCTCGGGCAGCTTGCTGCAGGTTGTGGGTCGAATTTCTAATTTTACATATGGCATGGCCACTGTCCATTTCTATATTCAGTCTCTTAGGGCTTCTGGTGAGCAGTAAGTAACTACCATCGTGTTAGTCAAGGTTCTCCAGACTAACAGAGCCAGTAGGGCCTGTGCGTGTGTGTGTGTGTGTATAGAGAAAAATAGAGAGATAGAGATTTATTTTAAGAAATGGCTCATGTGATTGTGAGGCTGGCAAGTCTAAACTCTATTGTAGTCTTGAGTTTGAAATTTGCAGGGCAGACCATTCAGCTGAAAATACAGGCAGAGATTCTGTGATGCAGTTTTGAGGCAGAATAGCTTTCTTTAGGGAAACCTTAGTCTTTGCTCTTAAGGCCTTCAACTGATTGCATGAAACTCATCCACATTATAGAGATTAATCTCCTTTGCTCGAAGTCTATTTAAATATTAGTCACATCTAAAACATACTTTTACAGCAACATCTAGACTGGTGTTTGACCAAACAACTGGGCATCATAGCTGACACATAAAATTAACCATCACAACCATGTTCTAGGCACTGTTCCTCACTGCCTGAGAAGACACCGTTATGTTTATTAGGGTTTTTGAGTTTTATCCACAGCTTTTGGTTATCTGCAACCATGTCTCCCACCATTAACATAGTTCACACTGAGATGAGGATTCCCTATTTAACACTTGGTCCCAACTTCTTCACAGTCCATCTGGTTTTGTAGAGGGAACATAACTGGACATTCTGGTCAGGTTAGGTGAGGTCAGGCCTTCAGGACGCTATTTTCACTGAGTTGCTTTATAAGGCACATTATGCAAAATTCCATCAGCTCTTCTGTTCACTACATTCACTGTTGAAATTCTAAGAGTGAGACTGCTGTCTCACACCAAAGCCAGTGGGTACTATCTTCAGTAGGCACGCAGCATCATGTTTGTATTTGATCCAGCTAGATGACATGTAAGAGAAAACTTTATTGTGGACTCTGTAAAGTGTGACATTCGTTTGTGACTCAATTTGCTCATGTATTTGTTCCTGGGAGTTCATTACATAGCTAACTTCCAGCTGCTTTCAATTTACATCATAAAAGAAATGCATCATATTCTTCTCAGTGTCCTGGTAGTGCATTTTCCTTTAGTTTTTCAGTGAATTCTGTTGTAAGTAAAATGGATAAGATTGTTCATTATTTTGGATTATTTTGCTGAAGATGACCAGCTCTGAGATGTGAGGAGTAAATAAGAAAGTAACAGTAGAATCTGGAATATCTTTTAAAAATTAAGACATCATTTTTAACAGCAGAGTAGCCTTAAATGACCTGATTCCACAGAGGAGCCAGGAAACAGTATGAAACTACAAATTTATTTTGTAGAAATATGGAAACCTTAATACTATTAAGATGTAAATCTTAATACTATTAAGATGCAAATCTTAATACTATTAAGATGCAAATCTTAATAGTATTTTTATAAAGTGAAAACAATATGATCACTTAATTACTCAAGTGGAGCTGAAGAAAATTTCAGAGAAAAAAAAATAAAGCTTGGAATGCACTTTAGAAAAACACAAAAGGGAACACAAATGCTTCATAACAAATCTCTTAGGAGGCCAATATTGAAAGAAATAACAAAAGATGGTAAACATGATTAAACAAAATGTCATCAAGGAGTAACAAAAGTATTACTCAAAATAAAACTTCTCTTAGGAATTATCCAAAGAAAAGTAATTGTTTAAAAAAGAATTTCCACTTCTATACAACAAAAGAAACCCTGATTTCATTTATTTCACAATACAATACACATTTACTTAGAAAAAAATGAGTGCAATAAAAAATGAAATTGCTTTTAAATTGAAGAAAGGATTGCTATGTCTTCTTTTAAATAAACACATTTGATTCAATTTTGACTTATTGCTCACAAAATAAATTTATATTTATTACAGCGAGAACTGTCAGATATTGCAAACTTCTTTGTCTTTTGAATAGTGTGCCTTTAATAGAACACATATAGCATAGTTCTAGGGATTAGAGTCTTCTGACTTCATTACTATTTTTACAGTAATTTATATCTTGGTTTCTTCAATTAGAAAAAAAAATCGGGCCTGATTTTTTATTTCATTTACTAGCTCAGCTGTTCTCACACCTACCTGCTGAATTAGAAGGGACAAGTATAATCCATCTTCTTACAGAGAAGGAAAGGAAGGTTCAGAATGATTATGTGACCATTCCACATCATTTGACTAGCAAAAATAAGTGGCAGAGGCAGGGCTAGAATGTTGGACTTCAGATCTCTTACTTCTGTGTGCTAGTGCACCATTCTTAGTCCAGCACAGACAATTCTCAAACAGATTAGCAAACCACCCTCTTGAAATTGCAAGAATTGTTACCATGTGATCAAGGCATCATAATTAATGCAAACCCTAGTTTCTAGTTGGGAAAGAGATTAAGATGGAGACTTTGTAGTAAAAGATGGACATATATTTTATTCACATAGCTTATTTTATTTTGAATGAAAGAGCCAAGCAAACTCTAGCCTTGGCCTGTTCCTGAGGAGGTGATCTCTGAAATAAATGTGCTGCAGAGTTGGGGACATGGGGGCTGGCCTTTTATAGCCCTGTATTATTCAACCATTAGTTATGAGCTGGAGATGGGGAGGGACAGGGAAGTTGAAGGGGGAGGCATGGGAAACCTTCCTGGTGAAGTGGCTCTAGTCAGCAGATGGCAGTTCTCTGGTGGAGGGTAGACTGGTGCTGGGGCCTGGTAAAGGGAACCTTAATGGTGTGTTATAGCATCCAGTATAGGTAGTAATTTATGTCTCACCCATTTTATCTAACAACCTCTATAAACTAGCCTAAAAAAAGTAACTGTGGCTATAATGTTGTGGTTATTGGTGTATAATGAAATTGTTCACCCCTTCTTTCCTTCTTTTCTTCTTTCCCTCCTTCTGTAATAATGTTTTTCTATTTTGCAGAGGTAATTTTTTTTTTTTTTTGAGATACCGTCTTGCTTTGTCACCCAGGCTGGAGCACAGTGGTGCAATCATGGTTTGCTGCAGCCTCAACCTCCTGGGTTCCAGCAATCCTTCTGCCTCAGCCTCCTGAGTAGCTTACTACAGGCATGTGCCACCATGCCTGGCTAATTTTTTGTAGAGATGAAGTCCTACTATGTTGTCCAAACTAAAAGTAATTTTTTTTTCTAGAGAGTTTAGAGATTTAGGAGGAAAAGGTGGTCTTTAATAGGCTTTCTTTTTTTCCTGGGGTGGGGTGCAGATTCTTCCTCTGTTACCCAGGTTGGAGTACAGTGGCACGATCTCCAGTCACTGCAACCTCTGCCTCCCAGGTTCAAGCTATTCTCCTGCCTCAGCCTCACGAGTAGCTAGGATTACAGGTGTCTGCCACCACGCCCGGCTAACTTTTATATTTTTAGTAGAGATGGGGTTTTGCCATGTTGGCCAGGCTGGTCTCGAACTCCTGACCTCAGGTGATCCACACGCCTCGACCTCCCAAAGTGCTGGGATTACAGGCACGAGCCACAGCACCTGGCCTTTAATAGGCTTTCATAACAGAAAAGTAGACATCAGACTTTCTAAGTTCAAAACCTGGCTCTGGTGCTTACCAGCTAGCTGACCTTAAACTTAAACTATCTAAACTTTAATGTTCTTCCTCATAGGAAAAATGGGGCTAATAATGTTTCCTGACATAATGCATTTAAAGCATGGATGCATTAGGTGCTCAATAATTGTTATCTATCCCTTTGGCTTAGTAAAAACCATTGTCAAAGTTTTTGTGTATATGACTTTTAAGTTTTCTCTAAATTATATAGACAGTATTTTGAATATTGGAATCATGGCAAATAAAACTGTCCATCTAAATCTTGTCGTGGTTTAGATTTAGAATATTCTGTTGTTGTTACTAAGTAACAGACTGGTTATCCTGGGTTGGAGGGTGGTTCTCATTTTAGCCTAGCTACAAGCTGTTTTAACCAACTGGTGTGATAATTTTTTGGCTTTTTGTAAAAAATTGAATAGTGGAGAAAGAAATGCCAGAAGACCTGACTGGCATTTCTAGATGCCATGACCTAGAGAAATTGATACATAAAATTACATATACATACATATGTGTAGCTAATACAAATGATAGTAGATCACTTTGAAAATATAAAGCAAGCTTAAAGCTTAATCATCACCAAATAGCAACAACGACAATTGTAATATTATGGAAAGGTTTGAAATTGTTTGTGTCATAAAACGGCAAAGAAAGGAAATTTCCTGTTATATGTTTTTCATATTGCATGAATTTTTAGCATGGAACATTTAAAAATATTTAATGCCAGGTATCCTCTTGTGCTTTTGGTTCTCAAAAATCAAATACCCTTTGTAGAAGGCAAAATAACACAAATTGCAGAGTGATTTTGTTAAGCAATTAGAGTGGTTATCTCTTGTTCTTGTCTGACTAGCATCCATTTAACCTTTTTCAGGCAACATATATACAGTGGAAAGCTACTCTGTCCTCATTTTCAATCACTAGTTTAGTGGGGAGTCTCAGCATTGAGCACAGATTAACCAAGACCAATCTACATATCTAGTCTGGTCACAGTGATGGTTTTGAATGAACACTTGTTCTAGGTCAGTCCATTAAGAGTGAGTCTCTCATGCCTGTAATCCCAGCACTTTGGGAGGCCGAGGAGGGCAGATCAGGAGATCAGGAGATCAAGACCATCGTGGCTAACATGGTGAAACCCCATCTCCACTAAAAATACAAAAAATTAGCCAGGCGTGGTGGCAGGCGCCTGTAGTCCCAGCTACTTGGGAGGCTGAGGCAGAAGAATGGCGTGAACCTGGGAGGCAGAGCTTGCAGTGAGCCGAGATGGCGCCACTGCACTCCAGCCTGGGTGACAGAGCAAGACTCCGTCTCAAAAAAAAAAAAAAAAAAAAAAGAAGAGTGTGTCCCATAACTTTTATGGGAATTATCAGAAAAGATGCATTCTTATTCACTTGTGACTTGAACCTGAAAATGTGTGATGTGGAGCTGCTATATCTATCTCACCACCACAAGAAGAACTTCTATCTGAGAATGAAACCCCATGAAGAGGGCATCTCTGAGAGGTGGACAGAAACTGGACCCTGGTGATATTTTTTGAGATGTGCATCTAATTATCCCAGAAGCTGGATATATGCCAGCACATGTCAGTCACATGAGCCAATGCATTTCTTCTCCTTCTCTCTTCTTCCTCCTCTTCTTTCCCCTTTTTTTAGTTCTTATATTAAGCCCGTTTTTCTTTTGTTGTTTTTGTTGTTGCTGCTCTTAATAACTGAAAGTCTCATGTGATATTGAAATTAAAGGAACATTTACTTATAATGGATAATAGGAATCTACATATCTTCCAATTTTCATTTTTACAAGTTGTACCTAATAATGTCATCATATTTACAGGTATTGTGTATTAGTCAGGATTCTTCAGAGAAACAGAATCACTGGGATGTATGTGTGTGCACACATGTGTGTATAGAATTGGCTCACGCAGTTATGGAGGCTGGCAAGTCCAAAATCTGCAAGCAGGCTAGAGACCCAGATAACTGCAAGTAGAAGGCCATTTGCTGGAGAATTCCTTCTTGCTCAAAGAAGCTGATTTTTGTTCTATTTAGACCTTCAGCTGATTGGATGAGGCCCACTAGATTGTGGAGGGCAAACTACTTCATTCAAAGTCCACCGAATGTTAAACTCATCCAAAAACACCCTCGCAGAAACATCTAGAATAATTGTTTGACCAAATATCTGTGCATCATGGCTTAGAGAAATTTATGCATAAAATTAGCCATTGCAGATATCTAGTAATAATAATGGCCAATTTTTCTGTTTTAGCTCTTACTATTTCGTAAGTACCTGGATAAATATTTTATTTTTTATTATTTTTATTTTTATTTTTTTCCCGAGATGGAGTCTTGCTCTGTTGCCCAGGCTGGAGGGCAGTGGCACAATCTCAGCTCACTGCAACCTCCGCTTCCTAGGTTCAAACGATTCTCCTGCCTCAGCCTCCTGAGTAGCTGGGATTACAGGCGCCCACCACCACGCCCGGCTGATTTTTGTATTTTTAGTAGAGATGGGGTTTCACCATCTTGGCCAGGCTAGTCTTGAACTCCTGACCTCAGATCATCCACCCACCTCGGCCTCCCAAAGTGCTGGGATTACAGGCGTCAGCCACCACACCTGGCCTCAGATAAACATTTTATAAGCATCATTTCAGTGAATTCTCATGCAATCCTTTGGGGCAGGTGTTATTATTACAACTGAGGAACTAACACTAAAGGAAAGAAAGAAACTTGTTTAAGGCCATATACTTAATAATTGGTAGAAGCACGGCATGAATCTGGTTTGTATGATTCCAAAATCCATGTCCTTAGCAAACAAGCTATACTGCCACTCCAGGGCTGCAAATCTGTTTGCCATGCTTTGGTCACTTTTAAGAGAATACTCTAACAGCATACGGAAAATGTATTCAGGGGAGAGAGTGTTTTTATTTTTTTAGCTATAGCGAGTTATAGCTCAAAAAATATATCATTTTATTGAGTTACAGCTCAACAAACATTCAATGTTTGTTGAATTGAATGAATGAATGTTTGTTGAGCTATAACTGCTAATTATTTTTTCATTCAATGATTATTGAGCTATAATAACTACTGGGATGTGTTAAGCTAAAAAAATATCATGTTGAGTAAGACAAAGTCCTTGCCCTCAAAATCCAGTAGGGAGTTCAGAGAAATAGGCAGTGTGCTAAAGCATGCATGAAATGTTTTGAGACCATGTAATACGAACACCTAGTCCTGGAGGGCCAGGGAAAACTTACAGAGGAAAAGACATCCAAGTCGAATTTTGAGGGCAGACTAGATGCTAGTCAAATGAATAGGGTTAGAAGAACTTTTTACAGCATAACTAGGATCCAATTTTCTCACTGGTAAAATGAGTGTTAGAACTGAAAAAAATGTCTTGAAAATCTCTTCTGTATTTGTTTTCTGTTGTTGCCGTAACAAATTACTGCAAACTTATCTTGAATAACACAAATTTATTGTCTTGTAGTTCTGTAAATTGAAAGTCTCACACAGGTTCCACTGCACTAAAATCAGCAAGACTGTTTCTCTCTGGAGTCTCTAAGGGAGAGTCTATTTCCTTGCTTATTTATTTATGTATTCATTTTTATATTTTTGAGATGAAGTCTCACTCTTGTCACCCAGGCTGGAATTCAGTGACGCGATCTCGGCTCACTGTAACCTCTGCCTCCTGGGTTCAAGCAATTCTCCTGTCTCAGCCTCCCGAGTAGCTGAGACTACAGGCGCCTGCCACCATGCCTGGCTAATTTTTGTATTTTTAGTAGAGATGGGGTTTCACCATGTTGGCTACGCTGGTCTCGAACTCCTGACCTCAGGCGATCCGCCTGCCTTGGCTTCCCGAAATGCTGGGATTACAGGCATGAACCACCACACCCAGTTGCCTTGCTTATTTAGATCGATAGGAGAATTGAGTTCCTTGTGATTGTGGGACTGAGATCTCCATGACCTTGATGGCTGTTATCAGAGGGCTGTTCTCAGCTTCTAAAGGCCATCACATTCCTTATCTTCTGGCTCCTTCCCCCATGTTTAAAGCCAGCAACGAGTCGACTTCCTTTCATGCTTTGAATCTTTCCTCCTTTAGCCTTCTCTCTGATCCAGCTGGAAAGATTCTCCACTTTTAAGAACTCATGTGGTTAGGTTGAGCCTGCTTAGATAATCCAAGATGATCTTCATCTCAAGATCCTTAACCATAATCACATCTGCAAAATTTCTTTTGTCACGTAAGTTCACATAGCAATGGGCTCTGAGGGTTAGGGTGTGAACATCTTTGCAGGGGGTGGGGACAGTCATTATTTTGCTTTACCACACTTTCCAATTTTAATATTTTCTTATTTTATGGCAACTAATTTGAACAAAAGTAAGGCAGTGGTAATTTGGAGAGACAGCACCTTGATTACAAATGCTTAGAAACAATTGTTAAAGTAGTCTACACCTATAAGTCAAAGTTCTTTCCCTAGCAGAAGGTCATAATCTGGAGGAGCCCTCAATGCTTCTGCAAACTTGAAGGTCTTTCTTTTTCTAGGAGTAGTCTAGGAGTCTATAAATAGCTGGGAGAAGGTAGGGATGGGGTTCTGGCTAATGAGAGTGGACTCAGTGTTAAATCTTTAGGTTCTTCTGGAAAGATTTACAAAGTGCCGTGTATTCTCTAGTCTGGCCTCTGGTCTCTAAATTACAGAATCAAGCTGATTCTGTTTTCGATTGGTTATCCCTCACCAAAGTTGGGGTAATGGCCTGCAGTACTACTTCCTTCCTATGCCCAGGTCATCTCCAAGGTCAACTGAGTCTAAAGATATGCCTGAGAACTTGGTGGATTCTTCTTACACATCAGATCTGCAACAGCCAGGACCTACCCTCTATATTGAAGTAAGGCACCTGGGGATAGGGAGGAGCTATGCTGTTCAGACTATAATCCCCATTTTGGTGGGGGATAACCACCCTGAAACCATCAGCTTAATTCTCTAACCTGGATGCCAAAGGCCAGATTTCCTAAATTCAAGGAGAAAATGGTATAACTGTGGAGGGAATATTAGAATTTTCAGATCTGGAAATCCTTTCCTTGCTTCATTCACCGAGCTGCTGAAAAATATATTGTATAGAAGGGAAAAATAGATCCAAATACCATTTTAATATAATTATTATAAAATATACTGATTTTTAACTTGTAAAACTACATATTTTGTAATACTGTGAAGTATACCTTATAGCATACCTCACATGCTATGTTTATCTCTAAAATACACATTTAAAAAAAACCAAATTAAGGTTACGAGTATGGATTCTGGAGCCATGCTGCCTGAATTTGAATCCTGGTTTTACTTTTTTTTTCTTTTGAGAGAGAGTTTCGCTCTTGTTGCCTATCAGGCTTGAGTGTAGTGGCGTGATCTCGGCTCACCACGACCTCCACATCCCAGGTTCAAGCGATTCTCCTGCCTCAGCCTCCCGAGTAATTGGGATTACAGGCATGCGCCACCACGCCTGGCTAATTTTGTATTTTTAGTAGAGACGGGGTTTCTCTATTTTGGTCAGGCTGGTCTCAAACTCCTGACTTCAGATGATCTGCCTGCCTCGGCCTCCCAAAGTGCTGGGATTACAGTCGTGAGCCACTGCGCCCAGCCTGAATCCTGGTTTTACTTGTTATATAACTTTAGACTATGTAATCTCCTCTTTTCCCTCATCTCTAAAGTAGGGATAATACCTACTTCTCTGGATTATTTTGAAAAATAACTGATATAATATTTGTAAAGTGCTGAGCACCATGTCTGACATATGAGTTTCTCTACATTCACTTCATCAATGGAGAAAATAATGAAAAAATGACCACTAAGTATGCATTCTCTATAAACTTCAAAGAAGTGGCAAATTAATTCTGCATTACATAAAAAGATATTGCTTAGATATTGAAGCAAACAAAAATATAAACTATCTGAATCTTCATCACTTTCACTTTCAGATGGCACTCTGCTTTTAGGTAGAATTCACAGCTCTCATTTTTTATTTGTTCATATGTAGTAAAACCTTCATGTAATATATTTCAGAGCTTTTTTACTGTGACTTTGCTGGCCCTCTCTCACTTCCAGTTTATTTGACATTTCTTGCTTAACGTTTTTCAACCCATCCCCTTCTAACGTCTAGAGAAATACTGATTTGCTAATTTCTCTGACTGACAAACTTTGATTTGTTCACCAACATGATCTACAATGCTATGATTGTTTCTGAGACCACATTCACAGAGAAGAAGCTGAGGGGGTGAATTTTGTGTGAAATACAGTGGGTAAAACAGAAAGGATTTATAAGATATGAAATAGTGATTTTTATGAGCTGGTGTATCAGCACATATGCTGATTTTTCTTCTTTTCTTTTTTTTCTTTTTGTTTTTTTGAGACAGTGTCTTGCTCTGTTGCCGAGGCTGAGGCTGGAGTGCAGTGGTGCAATCATGGCTCACTGTAGCCTTGACCTCCCTGGCTCAAGCAATCCTCCCGCCTCAGCCTCCTGAGTAGCTGGGACTACAGGCATGTGCCACCATGTCTGAATAATTTCTTTTTTATTTTTTGTAAAGATGGGGTCTCATTATGTTGCCCAGGCTTATGTTAATTTTTATTTAATATTTTTGTCATTGAAGATGAACTTTCTTCCTTCAGAGAACAATTTCTTCTCTCCTGGTCAGACTTTTAGTGAAGAGACCAGCTGGTGTTTGGGACATCAGAATCTACTAACATTCCCAGAAAAGTCATGCTGTGCTTTGATATTATGTACTTTTACTGAAGAAATAAAACTTTATGTGGGAGAAAATCTGTAAAACAGTTTGTATGTAGAGAAAAATTCTCCCACACAATGTGTATTACTTCGTTCTCACGAGGCTTTGAAGAAATACCCGAGACTGGGTAATTTACAAAGAAAAGAGGTTTAATTGTCTCACAGTTATGCATGAATGGGGAGACCTCAGGAAACTTACAGTCATGGTGGAAGGGGAAGAAAGGCACCTTCTTCACAGGGCAGCAGGAAGAAGGGCTGAGCAAAGAGGGAAAAGCCCCTTATAAAAACATCAGATCTTGTGAGAACCCAGTCACTGTCATGACAACAACATGGGGTTAGCCACCCCCATGATTCCATTACCTCCCACTGGGTCCCTCCATGACACATAGGGATTATGGAAACTACAATTCAAGATGAGATTTGGGTGGGGACACAGCCAAACCCTATTTTCCCTCTGCTCTCACAGCACCACAGCATCAACACAGTCCTTCCATGACCAAAGGAGTGGAGCTTTTTTTTTTTTTTTTTTTTTTGAGTCTTGCTCTGTCACCCAGTCTGGAGTGTGCAGTGGTGTGATCTTGGCTCACTGCAACCTCTGCTTTCCAGATTTGAGCAATTCTCCTGCCTCAGCCTCCTGAGTAGCTGAGTAGCTGGGATTACAGGCATGCGTCACCACACCTGGCTTATTTTTGTATTTTTAGTAGAGATGGGGTTTCCCCATATTGGCCAGGCTTGTCTCGAACTCCTGACCTCAGGTGATCCGCCTGCCTTGGCCTCCCAAAGTAGGAGTGGGTTTTTCCCCACACCTAAGCAGCAGACACCAGTTGGGTATCCTCCAATTTCATTCTGACACTATTTCCCTGGAGATAGCATCAGAGCCTACAGGTTGAGGGATCAGTCCCACAAGACCACCTCCTCCTTACACCCAGTCACAACTCCAGGCCTCTGGAACTTCTGACTGACTGGCTTCAAGTTGGGGTTCCCACCTCTTTGGAACTTCAAGGTGGAGCTCCCACCTCTTTGGAATTAATCAATTTCTTTGAGTTTGATTAATTTGCTAGAGTGGCTCACAGAACTCAGGGAAAACACTTAAGTTTGCTGGTTTATTGTAAAGGATATTACAAATGATACAGATGAAGACATGTATACCTTTATAAGGTAAGGTATGTGGGACGGGGCACGCAACTTCCATGCCCTCTGGGGGCATGCCAGCCTTCAGGAACCTCCATGCGTTCAGCTGTCTAGAAAATTCTGAACCCCATCCCCATGGGTTTTTATGGAAACTTCAAGACAAGCATTCCTTTCCCTCAGTGTATAGGGTGGGACCCTCTCTGCAGACAGTCTTAAGATGGGGGTGCAGATAAGAGTTCTGCCTTGGGGCAGGTGAAAAGAGGGAAGAAGGTCAGAGAAATTCTTGTTTTCTGAGGCCTAACATACCCAACGTTATAACAAAAGACTGTAAAAAGGGCTATGGGAGTTGTAAGCTAGGTACCATGGACAAAAACCAACATATATAATAATACCACAGTTTGCTAAGAAGATAAATTATTATTACAACTGGCAAGGTGAGTGATATGTGATACATGAGGGGCATAGATAAATGCTTTTAAGCAGTTAACAAATCACATTTTTTGTGTGTCCTTTATATTAAAAGAACTTTGTTAAATGTTTTTTTAACCCTGTAGAAAAAAAAACCCCACATACCTGTCTTGTCTATTTCTGTAATCAAGATCACATTTATTTCCTCTGAATGTGCCTTATGACATTGTCTCTCTTTGCTTTTGTATCTCAGGATCTATCTGGGGTGAGTGATGATGGGAAGTCAAAAAGACCATTTGTCCTGGGAGTTTCATTCAAAAAGCGTTTTAAATTTAGACTTCATTATTTTCAAATGGAATAGAGACATAAACAATGCTATTCTGTAAACTAGTATTTTTGCGTTTCTTTACTTTTAAAAAATACATTAAGAGCCTCAAAATTGAAAAATCTCTTGACTGGTGAGAAGCACTGCTTTTCTTTTCTTTGAATCAGAATTTTCCTTCCTTGCTTTTATTACCAGCTCTCAAAATCAAATCCATCCTGTATAAGCCATAAAGAAGACTTTAAAAAAAGATACACACACACATATATATAGATAGATACATATATAGATATATATCTATATATAGATACATATACACATATATAGATACATAGATAGATATAGATAGATACATATATACATACATCTATAGAGATAGATACATATATATATACATCTATATAGATAGATACATATATGTATCTATACATATATAGATGCCTTCTGGGGGCACACCAGCCTTCAGGAACCTCCACGTGTTCAGCTATCTGGAAACTTTCTGAACCCAGTCCCCATGGGTTTTTATGGAAACTTCAAGACAAGCATTCCTTCCCTCAGTGTATAGGGTGGGACTCTCTCTGCAGACAGTCTTAAGATGGGGGTGCGGTTAAGAGTTCTGCCTTGGGGCAGGTGAGAAGAGAGAAGAAGGTCAGATACATATATATGTATCTATATAGATGTATGTATATATATGTATTTTTTAAAAGTCTTATGGCTTATAAAGGATGCATTTGATTTTGAGACAAGGTAATAAAAGATATGTGTGTGTGTATATATATATATATATAATTTTTTTTTGATACAAAGCCTTGCTCTATTACCCAGGCTGGAGTGCAGTGGTGCAATCTCAGCTCACTGCAACCTCCGCCTCCTGGGCTCAAGTGATCCTTCTCTCTCAGCCTCCAGAATAGCTGGGACCACAGGTGCATGCCACCACACCCAGCTAATTTTTGTATTTTTTGTAGAGATGGGGTTTTGCCATGTTGGCCAGGCTGGTCTTGAACTCCTGAGCTCAAGTGATCTGCCCACCTTAGCCTCCCAAAAGTGCTGGGATTACAGGTATGAACCACCACACCTGGCCTGATCAGGCCGGGTCTAGTCTTTATACTAGTCTGTAGGCTGCATGTGCACAAGGGCCTTGTCTTATTCTCTCATGTGTTAGATGTCACTTAGAAACTTAACAAAAATTCTTTTTGAATGGAGGACTATGATAACTCCATTTCTGGAGAAGGAGGTTTAAAATAGATTTTATTATTTTCTCTGTCTCTCTGTTTCTTTCTCTGTCTCTATCTCTAT
Source organism: Homo sapiens (assembly GCF_000001405.40). Taxonomy (NCBI): domain Eukaryota; kingdom Metazoa; phylum Chordata; class Mammalia; order Primates; family Hominidae; genus Homo; species Homo sapiens. The sequence goes on from NC_000001.11 coordinate 70,455,180, forward strand.
TATTTTTTTTCTCTGTCTCTGTCTCTGTTATTTTCTCTCTCTCTCTCGTATGCATAAAACAGTTTTGCAGGATTGGATTAGGTATTCTATACATTTGCAAATATTTTAATTCTTGTAGCCCCTCTAATATAAGCCTAATTTAATGTGAAAGCTCAAAAAACTTTCTGCTTAACTAGAAAATCCTTCCTCTGGACATACTCAGGGCTACTTGCAATGTGATTAGTGACATCCTTCTTTAGTAGCAGAAAAGAAACATTCCCTGGAGCTCTCAGAGGTCATTAAACAGATGTCCAATTATTGTCTAGATGACGTTTGGCAATATCACTACCAGATGGCTTTATTCTGGTTATCTTCCAATTTTTATGTCTCTACCCCTATTTATCTTCATGGGGTTCTTTCTGTAGTTAACAACAACTACGTCTCTAGGAAATCTACATCACAGAACATATTGGTCTTGAGTTGGTTTCCTCAAGACTGTAGTTCTTTCTATATACATATGTAAATGAGACAGGGTCTCACTTCATTGCCCAGGCTGGTGTCAAACTCCTGGGCTCACATAATCCTCCCGCCTCAGTCTCCCAAAATGCTGGGATTACAGGTGTGAGCCACTGCACCTGGCCATGCAAGGCATTTTATAGAAAGTGTTGGAGTGTGTGGGAAATAAAGTAAATGAAAAAAATTTGTACAAGAAAGTAAATGTAGTCATGACACTCCACTTGACTCAACAGTGATGAATATTTACATAATTATAAGAATGAAACTTCTGTGTTTGGCTTTAAATGAGACAGAAAGAGAAGGAGAGAAAGAATTATATTGGGAGGAATAGAAGAAGGGGAAGATGGTGAGTGAAATAATTTACCATATTGGAAAGTTAGTAAATAACTAAAATGTGATGAATTGAGAGATAGTGATACACACATACCATTTAGAGTTTTAAAAGTAATATTAAAGAAATGTTAAAACTGCAAGTAGGACAACAAGGTTGGCAGGCAAGTAGAACTTGGAGCTATTATTTTGTTATTGTGGTAAGCCTTTTAGCTCTGCATAAACCTAAAAAAATTTTGTAAACATAATACTCTGATTAAAAATCAGTATTAATTAAAAAATTAGCCAGGTGTGGTGGTGCATGCCTGTAGTCCCAGCTACTTGGGAGGCTGAAGCAGAAGAATCACTTGAACCTGGGAGGTGGAGGTTGCAGTGAGCCAAGATCATGCTAGCAGTGAGCTGAGATCACGCCACCGCACTCCAGCCTGGGTGACACAGCGAGACTGCATCTCGAACAAACAAACAAAAATTAGTACTAATTAAAACAATCTATTGAGGAAAAGTTCTGTGTATAATTTTTTGTTTTGCTTAGTTTCAAGTCAGTTCTACCTAAAATAGATGGTGGTAGAAATTTAACAATTATCCTTAGAATTTAGATATAAAGATACATTGGATAATTAAAAGTAAAAACTAAAAATACTAGGAAAGTCAATTCACAGTGGTTAAGAGCCACCATACACTTTTCATACCATTTAACAGGTGTATTAGTCTGTTCTTATACTGCTAATAAAGACATTCCCAAGACTGGGTAATTTATAAAGGAAAGAGGTTTAATGGACTCACAGTTCCATATGGCTGGGGAGGCTTCACAAATCATGGCAAATGGCAAAGGAGAAGTAAAGTCACATCTTACATGGTGGCAGGCAAGAGAGCTTGTGTAGGGGAACTCCCATTTATAAAACCATCAGATCTCATGAGACTTATTCACTATCATGAGAACAGCTTTGGAAAGACCTGCCGCCGTGATTCATTTGTCTCCCACCAGGCCCTTCCCATGACCTACAGGAATTATGGGAGCTACAATGCAAGATGAGATTTGGGTGGGGACACAACCAAACCATATCAACAAGATATACTAAATGATCAAAATTCCTATATAACAGATAGCATATTATGACTAGAGAGGATCCTAGAAGTCCTTATATATTTTATCTTTTTTTTTTAAGACATTTTCCAGCTTGTCATGGTGGCTCATATCTGTAATCCCAGCACTTTGGGAGGATGAGGTGGGACAACCACTTGAGCCCTGGGGTTCGAGACAAGCCTGAGTAACACAGTGAGACATCATCTCATAAAAAAAAAAAAAGACAGAAGAAACATCTTATTGCCTTGAAAAAAATGTGAATCATATTTTGTTTTATAGACAGAAATTGATTACATGAAGAATCAAGTGGTTTGTTAAAAATATTGCTGTTTTAAAAAAACTTATGTGATAGAAAGTTACTATTTCATCAGTTAGTTTTGTCAAAGTCAAATAAAAATGTAGAGACAAATCTATACACAAAAGGTTTAATTTGAGAAAATAGAGTTGCAATTTGTGGTATACAAACAGCCTGGTGTGGTTTTTAGTATATCTGAAGAACAAAGAGAAGGTTGAGTGTTTTATTAGAAAGATACATGTTACATATTGTTTTGTAAGGAGCTTACTGGCAGTAGTGAAGTTTCTGGGAGCTGGCAAGCTCTGGTGAATGATGGCAGTAGGAAAAACTAACCTTAGAGTCATGGCAGGTCATTTAGGTAGCTGCTAGGTAAAAATGGTCTTACATTGCACAGGCCATTTCAGCAGCTGAGCTTGCAGGAGAATTCTTGAAGCAGGTGCTATGTACCCTGAGTGCTTTTTCCCCTGGTTCCTCCATTCCGATTCACTTGGGTATGACAAAAATAACTCAATTCATACCACCAGTTTTCAGTTTATTCTATATTATAAAACATTAGGATTGATTTGTTAATATATGAGCTGCTCTTATAAAAGGATCGTATTTTAGTGATCTGATCATTAGGGCTTTCTTTTAATTTCAAGTTGTACTTACCTGGGCTCTTGGATCACGGTGAGTAGCATGCCAACACCAAGGACATAGCTCTTTGGAAAGACTTTAATTTAAAATATTTTCCTTCCTTTTTTGTAGGCTGGATCAGGAAGCTGTTTCTGGTCTAGAAATGAAGTGTTGTCATGTTCACATCCAGCCAGCTTGGGGTCTGAAGGGAAGTGTACAATCTGTGAGAAGACTGTGTGCTACTCTGCAAATTGCAGATAATTACTCTGAACAGAGAAGTCCTTTGAAGTTGCTGCATGAGGTCAGTAGAAAGTGTGTGAAGCACCCACATGAAATGAATCTTTTGTTCATTACTTCTGTGCTCACAGAGGGGTTGACTGCATTGGGTTATTCATCTTCTTTCCCTATGGAAACTGACTGTGGAGTTCTGTGCCAGGCCCAGCATGCATCTTCTTCCCAGGCTGCCAGATTTCACAGAATGTTAAATAAAATCTGCTTTTATTTGCCCATAACTGCTCTTCTGTGGGTTTACTCAGAAATAAGACCTGTTAAAAATGAATTACTTTTTAGAAAACTAGCACAGTTTAAAACCCTTATTGCACTTGGGGCAAACTGAACTTAGTATGCTGTTGTGCAGCAGGCGATTGTTGAAAAATGCTGAAAAATAAAGCAGAGAGCAAGGGCCAGAAGCTCCTCTCAACATGGAAAGGGTGTTGAGAGCAAAGTGGTCCTACAGTTTAGTTTTGCAGACACCCAAACTTGCCCTTCTCTGGAAGTTAAAATGTTCTTAGAGAAATAAATAAATAAAATTCCAAATATGTTACATTGATGGTCTGAAAGAGATGGGAAAAAAGTCTTGGGGAATATTTCATATGAAGGCAATATCTGATCTTCTAAGAAATATCTTCTGAAGAAACTGGTTAAAAAATTAAGACTCCTTTGAGGGATGTAGTCTTGGTTACCTTGCTGCCAGAGCGGCAGACTAAAGATCACTAGCTTGTAGTCAGTCATGTTTGTATGCACCCATTTTCCACTCAATGACAAAGGGATTCAAGCTTAGGTTCTGGGTATCAATTTGCAGATGTGTCTATCTGCTTTTCCTAATTCCTCTAGTTCATTCTGCCCTCTCCCCTTTCCTGTTTTTTTTTTTTTTTTCCTGCAGTTTATTTGCTCTACCTAACACTGACTTTAAACTAGAAAAAGCGTTTTATTGCTTTCAGATTCTTTCAGACATATTCTTCTTGCCTCTGTAATGAAATGAAGCACTTTTCTGATGGCAAGACACATGCCTTTTTTTGACTCAATACCCCAATATTAAATCATTAATGTAAATAATTTTTATATTCATTTTCTGTTACTGCTTAGTACACCTGGCACATGGTAGGGTGTCCCCACATAATTCATTATCCAAAGTGAGACACTTCTGGGAACAAAAAGGTATGCAGTTAGTAGTTATACTAAGACACCAGGTGCAAATTGAAATGTAAGTTCAGTTTATCAATAAACATTTGTGAAATATAATTTATTTCTTTGGTGATATCCTGCCCATTATAATTAACTTTTACCTTTCTAATCTCAGGAATCTTCTTATGGCTGCTTGAATAACTTCTTTCCTTTTTAGAGCCTTTTTGTTTTTTTTCCTGAGATTTTTACTGTTTGTCGAGACAGGCTGTCAGTCTGTAACCAGGTTGATGTACAGTGGTGTAATCATAGCTCACTGCAGCCTTGATCTCCCAGGTTCAAGGGATCCTCCCACCTCAGACTCCTGAGTAGCCGGGACTACTGGTGTGTGCCATCATGCTTGGCTATTTTTTTTAATTATTTTTTTTTTAGTAGGTACGAGGATTTGCTATGTTGCCCAGGCTCGTCTTGAACTCCTGAGCTCAAGTGATCCTTTTGCCTTGGTCTCCCAAAGTGTTGGGATTAGAGGAGTGAGCCACCATGCCTGACCAAGATTGTACTTCCTAAAACCACATTAGATGACTCATGACTTATCACAGGCCTGGAGGCCTAGGAGAGGAGAATGGCTTCATGAGCCAGGCTCAGGGCCCTGCTCCTCTGTGCAGCCTTGGGACATAGCTCCCTGCATCCTGGCCTCTCCAGCTTCAGCCATGGCTCCAAGAGGCCCAGATATAGCTTGTCTGCTGCTTCAGAGAATGCAAGTGATTAGCCTGGCTGGTTTCCTCATGGTATTAAGCTGGCTGATGCACAGAGTACAAGAGTTGAGGCTTGGGAGCCTCTGCCTAGATTTCAGAGGATGTATCTGAAATGTATGGGAAAGCCTGGATGTTTAGGCAGAAGACTGCTGCAGGGGTAGAGCCCTCATGGAGAACCTCTACTAGGGAAGTGCAGAGGGAAAATGTGAGGTTGGTGGCCCCACAGAGTTCTCACTGGGGCACTGCCTCTTGGAGCTGTGAGAAGAGGGCTGAAGGGGTGGCCTGCCCCTCCACACTTGTGGGAGTTTCTCGTCGGGTGGAATGAGAGACTTAAGAAAAGAAAGAGACACAGAGACAAAGTATAGAGAAAGAAAAATGGGCCCAGGGAACCGGTGCTCGGCATACGGAGGACCCACGCCGGCACCAGTCTCTGAGTTCCCTTAGTACTTATTGATCATTATCGGGCGTTTCTCGGAGAGGGGGATGTGGCAGGACAATAGGGTAATAGTGGAGAGAAGGTCAGCAGGAAAACATGTGAACAAATGTCTCTGTATCATAAACAAGGTAAAGAAAAAAGTGCTGTGCTTTTGATGTGCATATACATAAATATCTCAATGCCTTAAAGAGCAGTATTGCTGCCAGCATGTCCCACCTCCAGCCCTAAGGCAGTTTTCCCCTATCTCGGTAGATGGAATATACAATCGGGCTTTACACCGAGACATTCCATTGCCCAGGGATGAGCAGGAGACAGATGCCTTCCTCTTATCTCAACTGCAAAGAGGCCTTCCTTCCTCTTTTACTAATCCTCCTCAGCACAGACCCTTTACGGGTGTCGGGCTGGGGGATGGTCAGGTCTTTCCCTTCTCATGAAGCCATATTTCAGACTATCACATGGGGAGAAACCTTGGACAATACCTGGCTTTCCTAGGCAGAGGTCCTTGTGGCCTTCCGCAGTGTATTGTGTCTCTGGGTACTTGAGATTAGGGAGTGGTGATGACCCTTAACGAGCATGCTGCCTTCAAGCATTTGTTTAACAAAGCACATCCTGCACAGCCCTTAATCCATTTAACCCTGAGTTGGCACAGCACATGTTTCAGGGAGCACAGGGTTGGGGGTAGGGTTACAGATTAATACCATCTCAAGGCAGAAGAATTTTTCTTAGTACAGAACAAAATGGAGTCTCTTATGTCTACTTCTTTCTACACAGACAGAGTAACAGTCTGATCTCTCTTTCTTTTCCCCATAGAGGGCCACCATCCTCCAGACCCCAGAATGGTAGATCCACTGGCAGCTTGCACCATGTGCCTGCAAAAGCTGCAGGCACTCAAAGCTAGACCTTGAGAGCAGCTGCTGGGGCTGAATCCTGCAAAGCCACAGGGCTGGAGCTGCCAAGGCCTTGGGAGCCCACACACTGCGTCACTGTGTCCCAGATTGGAGTCAGAGGAGATTATTTTGGAGCTTTAATTTTTAATGACTGCAGGGCAGTCATTAAATTTTTTTTATATAATTTTTTTACATAAAAGTCCAGCTCCCCCTTTGCCTTCCACCATGATTGTATGTTTCCTGAGGCCTCCCCAGCCATTTGAACTGTGAGTCAATTAAACCTCCTCCTTTCTTTATAAAGTACCGAGTCTCAGGTGGTATCTTTATAGCAGTGTGAAAACAGACTAATACAGAAAATTGGTACCAGGAGTGGAGTACTTCTACACAGATAACCTGGAAATGTGGATGTGACTTTGGAACTGGGTATTGAGCAGAGGTTGGAAGAGTTTGGAGGGCTTAGAAGAAGATAGAAAGATGTGGGAAAGTTTGGAACTTACTAGAGACTTGTTGAATGATTTTGACCAAAATGCTGATAGCAATATGGACAATGAAGTACAGGCTGAGGTGATGTCAGATACATGTGAGGAACTTATTGGGAACTGGAGCAAAGGTCACTCTTGCTATGCTTTAGCAAAGAGAGTGGCAGCGTTTTGCCCCTGTCCTGGAGATCTGTGGAACTTTGAACTTGAGAAAGATGATTTAGGGTATCTGGCAGAAGAAATTTTCCGTTCTTTTCTTTTGTTTTCTTTTTGTGGAGACAGGGTCTTGTTCTGTCACCCAGCCTGGAGTGCAATGGTGCAATCTTGGCTCACTGCAACCTCCACCTCCCGGGTTCAAGCAATTCTTGTGCCTCAGCCTCTCCAGCAGTTGGGACTACAGGTGTGCGCCACCATGCCTGGCTAATTTTTTGTATTTTTAGTAGAGATGGGGTTTCACCATGTTGCCCATGCTGGTCTCGAACTCCTGAGCACAGGCAATCCACCCACCTTGGCCTCCCAAACTACTAGGATCATGGGTGTGAGCCATTGCGCTCAGCCTGGCAGAAGAAATTTCTAAGCGCAAAGCATTCAAGAAGTGACCTGGCTTATTCTGAAAGCATTCAATTATATGCATTCACAAAGAGATGGTATGAAATTGGAACTTATGTTTAAAAGAGAAACAGAGCATAAAGCCTTGGAATATTTGCAGGCTGACCATGTGGTAGAAAAGGAAAACCCATTTTCTGGGGAAGAATTTAAGCTGGCTGCAGAAATTGGCATAAGTAACTGAGGAGCTGAATGTTAATAGCCAAGACAATAAGGAAAACGCCTTCAGGGCATGTCAAAGATCTTCATGGCAGCCCCTCCCATCATAGGCTTGGAGGCCTAGGAGGAAGAAAAAATAGCTCTGTGGGCTGGGCCCACATGGCTCTGTGCAACTTTGGGACTTGGTGCCCTGAATCCCAGCTGCTCCAGCTCTAGCTGTGACTAAAAGGGACCAAGTTACAGCTCAGGCTGTTGCTTCAGAGGGTGCAAGCCCCAACCCTTGGCAACTTTAATGTTGCGTTTGGCTTGCAGTGTGCAGAACACAAGAGTTGAGCTTTGGAAGCCTCCACCTAGATTTCAGAAGATGTGTGAAAATGCCTCGATGGCCAGGCAGAAGTCGGTTGCAGGAGTGGAGTCATCATGAAGAACCTCAATGGAAGGGAAATGTGTGGTTTGAGCCCTCACAGAGAGTCCCCCCGGGGACACTGCTGGAGCTGTGAGAAGAGGGCCACCATCCTCCAGACCCCAGCACTGTAGATCCACTGATAGCTTGTACCATGCACCTGGAAAAGCTGCAGGCACTCAATGCCAGTTTTTGAAAGCAGCCGCAGGGCCTGTACCTTGCCGAGGCACAGGGGTGGAGCTGCCAAAGGCCATGGGAGCCCTACCCTTGCAACAGTGTGCCCTGGATGTGAGACATGGAGTCAAAGCAGATTTTGGAGCTTTAAGATTTAATGACTTCGCAGCTGGGTTTTGAACTTGTATGAGGCCTGTGGCCCCTTTGTTTTGACCAATTTCTCCCATTTGAAATGGGAACATTCACCCAACGCCTGTACCCCCATTTTGTCTTGGAAGTAATTAACTTGCTTTTGATTTTACCAGCCTCTGTAAAGATATTACCTGAGACTAGGTAATTTATAAAGAAAAGAGGTTTAATTGACTCACAGTTCCACATGGCTGAGGAGGCCTCAGGAAATTTACAGTCATGGCAGAAGGTGAAGGAGAAGCAAGGTGCATCTTACATGGCAGCAGGAGAGAGAGAGAGTGAGGAAGTGCCACACTTTTTTTTTTTTTTTTTTTTGAGACAGAGTCTTGCTCTGTCACCCAGGCTGGAGTGCAGTGGTGTGATCTCAGCTCACTGCAACCTCTGCCTCCTGGGTTCAAGCAATTCTCCTGTCTCAGCCTCCCAAGTAGCTGGGATTACAGGTGTCCACCACCACCCCTGGCTAATTTTTGTATTTTTAGTAGAGACCAGGTTTCACCATGTTGGCCAGGCTGATCTTGAACTCCTGACCCATGATCCACCCACCTCGGCCTCCCAAAGTATTGGGATTACAGGTGTGAGCCACTGCGCCCGGCCGGAAGTGCCACACTTTAAAACTGTCAGCTCTCATGAGAACTCACTCACCATCATGAGAATAGCATGGGGAAACCGCCTCCATGATCCAATGACTTCCTACCAGGTCCCTCCATTGACAAGTGGGGATTACAATTTAAGATGAGATTTGGGTGGGGACACAGAGCCAAACCACATCATTCCACCCCTGGACCCTCCCAAATCTCATGCCCTTTTCACATTTCAAAACCAGCAGTCCCCCAAAGTTTTAAATTATTCCAACATTAACTCAAAAGAGTAAGTCCAGGCCAGGTGTGGTGGCTCACACCTGTAATCCCAGCACTTTGGGAGGCCGAGGTGGGTGAATCACCTGAGGTCAGGAATTCAAGGCCAGCCTGGCCAACATGGTGAAACCCAGTCTTTACTAAAAATACAAAAATTAGCCAGGCGTGGTGGTGGGTGCCTGTAATCCCAGCTACTTGGGAGGCTGAGTCAGGAGAATATCTTGAACCCAGGAGGTGGAGGTTGCAGTGAGCCTAGATCGTGCCATTGCACTCCAGCCTGCTTGACAGAGTGAGACTCTGAAAAAAAAAAGAAAGAAAGAAAGAAAGAAAGAAAATAGACTCCCCCAAGAAGTCATCCTATCAAGATATTTCAAATTATACTCCTGATCCTAGATATTGGTTATTAAACCATCAGTCTCCATCTTCAATAGGTTTATAATTTGGGGTGGGAGAAAATAGTTCCCATTTATTGAGGTCATACTCCATGCATCTTACTCCATATATAATTATCACAATGTAGTACACTCTTTTCAAAGCTTGTTTTTTGAAATATGCATATTAGGTCTTTGGGTGTATTATATAATATTATGTGAAAAAACCTTTCCTTGAGCAATTACATTTGAGAAATGCTATGCTAAAGTTAAAGAGGTTTCTTTACTCCAGCAATTCTCCATCTTTAATAAGCAACTGTGCATTATCAATTTCTATGAGAGGGCTATAATAAGCATTTACTGGACCATGGATCTAACTTCCCATCTTCTCCGTAGACACTGTCTCTTTTATCCTGAAACTAAATGACACATTTTCTAAAGAATACACTATGAAAAAATGTAAATTAGCATTATATGTTCCATTTCAAGATGGAAATAAGCTATATTACAAGACAATACTGCAAAATAGGCTGTTTCCTGATTACAACCACATAGTAAGATGACTTTCATTATTTTGCTAACTCCAATAGGGAACATAAAGATAATAAAATGGTTTGTTGCAAATAAATAAACCCAGATTAAGTAACAAGAAATGCTTATCTCATGTACTTACATATACAATAGTCCTCCCTTATATGTGGTTTTGCTTTCCAGTTTCAGTTACTAGTGGCCAATGACAGTCTAAAAATATTAAATAAAAAATTTCAGAAATAATCTGTAAATTTTAAATTGCACATCATATTGAATAGTGTGATGAAATCTCACAGTATCCCACTTTGCCCAACTCTGTCCTGCTTAGGATGTGCATTATTCCTTGTCCACCATCTTCATGCTGTCTGTAATCCTCCCCTTAGTCAGTTAGTAGCCTACTCTGTTATCCCTCTTAGTTTTTAGATCGACTGTCAATGTATCACAGTTCTTACGTTCAAGTAAGCCTTATACTACTTAATAATATCCCCAAAGCACAAGAGTGGTGATGCTGGCATATTGTTAAAACTGCTCTATTTTATTACTAGTTATTGTTGTAAATCTCTTACTGTGCCTGATTTATAAATTAAACTTTATCATAGGTATGCATAGGAAGAAACATATTGTTTTTAGGGTGTCGTGCTATCTGTGGTTTCAGGCATCTATGGAGGGTTTTGTAATGTACCCCTCATGGATAAGGAAAGACTACTCTAACAGATTTTAAAGGATTTTCAGTGATTTTAGAAACAATCCCTAATTATTCTTGCTGAGAACCCACTATCTATTGTAACAGAGAAACAATTTCTACTCTAGTGCTATCTTTATTCTGTTCTGTACTGTATGTCCCATGTGAGTCTCATCCCACATAATATGATCTGTCAGTTTTCTCCTCTAGGGCTTTTATTACAAAGCCAGTCTTTGATTACTCACTTACTCAAAGTGCAGTCTTTTAAGTATCAACTTCTTATTAACAGTCTATTTTTCAAGTCCAACAGAGCTTAAAGGAAAAAAAGTCTTTTATTTTATTTATTTTTAAATGCAAGCATTCCCATATTTATTTCAGACCTTGATAATTAATACACTGAGATCACAAATCTTATTTTAAGATAGAATACTTTTCTATGAAGGATATCAGCTCAATTATTTATTTTATTTATCTTTTTTCATTTTTTAAAAACAGCATCTGTTTTCTTAAGTTTTCATGATCCAGATAAAAAGCTCTTCTTTCCACGCATCTCATCATGCAATTGACCTACTTGTACACAGAATCAGAAGATTAATGTTGAACTTATTTCCATAACAGTGTAAGGTCCAACTACAAGCCACACAAAATAAATGTTAGTTGAGTAACATTATAAAAGTGGTAGTGATAGTTCTAAAATGCCTGTACAAAGGAAACTTGTCCACAGCTAAAGCCAAAAAAAACCCCAAAAAAACAAAAACCCAAGAAACAAAACAAACAAATGGAAAAAAAAAAGAAAAAAATAAGGAAACCACTTGAAATGAAACAGTCTTATAAATTTCTTATGTAAACACCCTTATTTTCTGTAGTTTGTACCCAGAATCTAGTTTCTGGTGGAATCTTGAAGTACATAGTAAATATTAATTAACAAATCCATACTACACTTCCTGGGTAATTAAAAAGAAAAGTGTGTAGGGATCCAGGCAGTTCATGGAATTTAAAGATGAGTACTTGGACTATAGGATCAGTCATAGCAATGACGTGTTGTGAAGAAAAGTATCAAAAAAAGTATTTTATAAAAAGATATGCTTTATCCTAATATATTCAGCAAACCACTGGCTGCCTTTTTATTTGCATTAACATATAGAAACGACTTCCTGATGTAACAGTTCTCTTCTACATGTTGTGTTAGTGAGGGGCTTATTTTAAATTTTCTTTGGAAAATTCTGCTTGGATTCTGAATTGAAAATAGACAATCCTGTCTCTATGTAGAAATCACAGATGTCATGAGATTAAAAATCCTTTGCTAGCTGTAGTTCCTTAGTATTATGGTTAAATCCCTTCAGTCTCTAGATTAATATAACAGACTTGTAATAAAATTTTCAGATGTGCTGTGCCTGTGCAAGGAGTAGAAGAAACAAAGACAAATAAAGACATTTTGGGCCCAATTCTGTGTAGCTACGGGTATATATTGTCTCTGTTTTTCAAATAGGGTTATTAGATCATTTAGGAAACAAAAATAGCAAATCTTCAGAGGGAAGGCACCGAGAGTGGATGGAGGGAAAACACAGAAGCCGAATTGAAGGGGAAGGAAACCAGGAATCTTGCATGAGGCTACCACACACCAGGACTTGTTCCTGGTCTCCAGCAACTCTACGGCAACAGATGAGTGGAACTGGCAAGAAGCAACCTGCTGTCCCCTCGAGCCTCTGGAATCCTGGCAGGAGGTGACCCCTTGACCACCATGGACACTTGAGTTGGCAGGGAGAGCTGCTTAGAGAAGTGATGGGGCAGCAGGCCAGCTAATATGAAGCCCAGAGGGTTTGGTGCGGGAGCGTCAGTAGTGGAGCACGGCCAGGACACCCATCCCCCTAGGCTTGACTTGCTCCCATAGGAGACTTCAGTCCTAGGAGAACTGTTGGACCTGAACTCTGCAGAGCAGTCTTGTCCATCAGATGGGGTTGGTCGGACCTGAGCAGCCCTTGATCTGCTGGCCTCTTCTGCAGCTCCAGCCTGGTTACACCTGCTTGCAGGTAATCCAGAGCACCCTGGGGGCCTGCATCATAGCTTCTGTGCTGGTGGACTGTGCCTGACTGGCAGAGAGCTCAGCGGGGTGGCCCCCACAGCCACAAGCCAGCCTGCCTGCTCTCTCCCTGCATTGCAGCTTCCCCCCAGCCCATGACAATGCCCCACATCTTTGCTGGCAGTATGTGCATAGGTGGGTTTTGCTTTCCTTGCCCTGCCAATGCACCTGTGTGCATGCACCCTGCCCTGCCACTGCTGCAGCAGAAGTGCAGTCCTCTCCCCAACCCCCTATTGACTGCCATTGCAGTCAGAGCCTTGGTGGGCACTGAGGGCCCACCCCAACCCCACCAACACCCTGCCCATGCATCAACACTGCCAGCCCCAGCCCCACCAGCACCCCACCCATGCATCAACACTGCCAAGGAGCAAAACTAGGCATGGAGAACAGCGGACCCTCCCCAACATGGAACAACCGCCCCTGCATGCGATGCACAGAAAAAGCACACACCAGCACCCCGCCCCTGTGCTAACACCACCACCAGTGTGACTGCACACACAGTTGCCAGCAGGGCCTTCCTGCCCCAATGAGCAGGGCAAATGAAGAGGGATCCCACTGTCATTATACTACGAACACTTTGGCTGACACCACCCATCAAAGTGTAGTGACCACAGATCCAGGAGCACCTAGGGTCCCCCCACAACACAGTGGATTTCTAACCTAGAGGAGCCAGAGAACAAAGTCTGGTCCAATACAAGTTCCCCAGAGGTAGAACAGGAGTTGGGAGCTGAGCATGGGTCCCCTAAAATCTTCCAGATATGAAGGCAGTTGGCTGAATCCACCTTATACCACAATCAAACTCTAAAGGTCATCAAATGGAACCTTGATGGTCAGCAACCTCAAAGACTGAAGGTAGATAAGCCCATAAAGATGAGAAACAACCACCTCAAGGACTCTGACAACACAAAAGGCCAGAATGCCTTCTTTCCTCCAAATGACCACACCATCTCTCCAGCAAGGGTTCTGAACTGGGCTAAGATGGCTAAAATGACAGAAATCGAATTCAGAATATGGACAGGAACAAAGATAATTGAGATGCAGCAGTATGTTGAAACCCAATACAAGGAAGCTAGGAATCACAATAAAACAATGCAGGAGGTGACAGACAAAATAGCCAGTATTTAAAAGAATATAACCAAACTGATGGAGCTGAAAAAACACACTACAAGAATTTCATAATGCAATCACAAGTATTAATAGCAGAACAGACCAAGCAGAGGAAAGAATCTCAGAGCTTGAAAACTGGCTTTCTGAAATAAGACAGTCAGACAAAAATAGAGAATAAAGAATGTAAAGGAACAAGCAAAACTTCTAAAAAATATGAGATTATGTAAACTGACTAAATCTATGACTCATTGTTATCCCTGAAAGAGATGAGGAGAGTATAAGCAACTTGGAAAACACATATCAGGATATCATCCAAAAGAACTTCCCCAGCCTAGCTAGGGAGGCCAACATTCAAATTAAGGAAATGCAGAGAACCCCAGTACAACGCTCCCCAGGAAGATCATCCCCAAGACACATAATCGTCAGATTCTCCAAGGTCAAAATGAAAGAAAAAATGTTAAAGGCAGCTAGGGAGAAGGGTCAGGTAAAAAGGGAAGCCCATCAGACTTCCCTTTGGACTTTTCAGCAGAAATCCTACAAGTCAGAAGAGCTTGAGGGCCAATATTTAACATTCTTAAAGAAAGAAATTTCAGGCCGGGCATGGTGGCTCACGCCTGTAATCCTAGCACTTTGGAAAGCTGAGGTGGGTGGATTGCTTGAGCTCAGGAGTTCGAGAACAGCCTGGGCAACGTGGTGAAACCCTGTCTCTACTAAAATACAAATATTAGCCGGGTGTGGCAGTGTGTGCCTGTAGTCCCAGCTACTCAGGAGGCTGAGGCAGGAGAATTGCTTGAACCCGGGAGGTGGAGGTTGCAGTGAGCCAAGATTGTGCCACTGCACTCCAGCCTGGGCGACAGAGCAAGACTCTGTCAAGAAGAAAAAAAAAAAAAAGAAAGAAATTTCAACCCAGAATTGTGTATCCAGTCAAACTAAGTTTCATAAGTGAAAAAGAAATAAGACCCTTTTCAGGCATGCAAATACTGAGGGAATTTGTTACCCCTGACCTGCCTTACAACAGCAACTCAGGTAAGCACTAAATATGGAAAGGAAAGACCGTTACCAGCCACCTCAAAATCACACTGAAGTACACACACCAGTAACACTGTAAAGCAACCACATTAACAAGTCTGCATAACAACCACCCAACATCATGATGACAGAATCAAATCCATACATATATCAGTACTAACCTTAAATGTAAATTGGCTAAATGAACCACTTAAAAGGCACAGAATGGCAAGCTGAATAAACAACCAGGACCCAGTGGTATGCTGTCTTCAACAGACCCATCTCACATGCAATGATACCCATAGGCTCAAAATAAAGGCATGGAGAAAAATCTACCAAACAAATGGAAAAACAGAGAAAAGCAAAGTTTGCAGTTTTAATTTCAGATAAAAGAGACCTCAAACCCACAACGATTAAAGAAAAGACAAAGAAGAGCATGACATAATAGTAAAGGGTTCGGCCGGGTGTGGTGGCTCACACCTGTAATCCCAGTACTTTGAGAGGCCAAGGCAGGTGGATCACCTGAGGTCAGGAGTTCTAGACCAGCCTGGCCAACATGGTGAAACCCCGTCTCTACTAAAAAATACAAAAATTAATCAATGTGGTGGCACGTGCCTGTAATCCTAGCTACTTGGGAGGCTGAGGCAGGAGAATTGCTTGAACCCAGGAGGCAGAGGTTGCACTGAGCCAAGATCATGCCACTGTACTCCATCCTGGGTGACAAGAGTGAAACTCCAACTTGAAAAAAAAAAAAAAAAAAGGAAAAGGTTCAATTAAACAAGAAGATCTAACTATCGTAAATATATGTGCACCCTATACAAGAGCACCCATATTCAAAAAGCAGGTTTTCAGAGACCTTCAAAGAGACTTAGACTCCATTGCAATAATAGTGGGAGACTTTAACATCCCCTCTGACAGTATTAGATCATTGAGGTAGAAAATTAACAAAGATATTCAGGACCTGAACTCAGCACTGGATCAAATGGTGATAGACATCTGATACAGTTTGGGTCTGTGTCCCCATCCAAATCTCATGTCGAATTATAATCCCCAGTGTCGGAGGTTGGGCCTGGTGGGAGGTGACTGAATCATGGGGGCAGATTTCCCGCCTGATGTTTTCATGATAGCGAGTGAGTACTCCCAAAATCTGTTTTTTTTAAAATGTGTGTGGCACCTCCACCTACCCTCTCTTCCTTCTGCTCCTGCCATGTAACATGTGCTTGCTTCTCCTTCACCTTCTGTGATGATTGTAAGTTTCCTGAAGTTTTCCAAGTCATGCTTTCTTTACAGCCTGCAGAACTGGGAGCCAATTAAGTCTCTTTTAAAAAAATAAATTACCCAGTTTCACGTATTTCTTTATAGCAGTGTGAAAATGGACTAATACAACATCTGTAGAACTCTCCACTCCAAAACAACAGAATACACATTCTTCTCATTGCCACATGGCACATACTCTGTAATTGATCACATAATTGGACGTAAATCACTTCTCAGCAAATGCAAAATAACTGAAATGATAACAACCAATCTCTTGGATCATAGTACAATCAAATTAGAAATGTAGACTAAGAAATTTACTCAAAACTATGCAATTACATGGAAATTGAATAACCTGCTCTGAATAACTTTTGGATAAATAATGAAATTAAGGCAGAAATCAAGAAGTTCTTTGAAACTAATGAGAACAAAGATACAACATACCAGAATCTCTGGGACACAGCTCAGACAGTGTTACGAGGAAAGTTTATAGCACTAAATGTCCACATCAAAAAGTTAGATATATCTCAACTTAACAACTTAACATCACAACTAAAAGAACTAGAGAACCAAGAGAAAACCAACCTGAAAGTTAGCAGAAGACAAGGAATAACCAAAAACAGAGCTGAACTGAAGGAGATTGAGACACCCCCAAAATATTCAAAAGATCAGTAAATCCAGTAGCTGGTTTTTTGAAAAAATTAATAAAATACATAAAATGTTGACTAGACTAATAAAGAAAAAAAGAGAGAAGATCCAAACCCAATTAGAAAAGACTAAGGGGATATTACCGCTGACCCCACAGAATACTATAAACACCTCTATGCACATAAACTGGAAAATCTAGAAGAAATGACTAAATTCCTGGACACATACACCCTCCCAAGACTGAACCAGGAAGAAGCTGAATCCCTGAGCAGACTAATATTGAGCTCTGAAATTGAGGCAGTAATAAATAGCCTACCAACCAAAAAAAAAATCCCAGGACCAGATGGGTTCACAGCTAAATTCTACCAGATGTACAAAGAGGAGCCGGTACCATTCCTACTGAAAGTATTCCAAAAAATTGAAAAGGAAGGACTCTTCCCTAACTCATTCTATGAGGCCAGCATTATCCTGATACCATAACTTGACAGAGACAGAACAGAAAAAGAAAACTTTAGGCCAATATACTTGGTGAACATTAATGCAAAAATCCTTACCAAAATATTGGCAAATCGAATCCTGCAGCACATCAAAAAGCTAATCCACCATGATCAAGTCAGCTTTATCCCTGGGACGCAAGGTTGGTTCACCATACACAAATCAATAAATGTGTTTCATCACATAAACAGAACTAAAGACAAAAACCACATGATTATCTCAATAGGTGTATAAAAGTCTTTCAATAAAATTCAACGTCTTTTCAGGTTAAAAATTCTCAATAAACTAGGTATTGAAGGAACATACCTCAAAATAGTAAGAGTCATCTATGACAAACCCACAGCCAACAACATACTAAATGGACACAAGCTGGAAACATTCCCCTTGAAGACTGGCACAATTCAATGAGTATTGGAAGTCCTGGCCAGAGCAATCAGGCAAGAGAAAGAAATAAAGGACATCCAAAGAGGAAGAAAGGAATTCAAACTATCTGTTTGCAGATGACACGATCCTGTATCTAGAATATCCTGTATCATAGTCTCTGCCCAAGAGCTCTTCAATCTGATAAACAACTTCAGCAAAATGTCAGGATATAAAATCAATGTGCAAAAATCACTAGCATTCATATACACCAAGAACAATCAAGCCAAGAACCAAATCAGAAACACAATCCCATTTACAACTGCCATGAAGATGATAAAATACCTAGTGACACAGCTAATCAGGGAGGTGAAAGATCTCCACAAGGAGAACTACAAAACACTGCTCAAAAAAAAATCAAAGATGACACAAACAAATGGAAAAACATTTCATGCCCATGGATAGGAAGAAACAATATCATCAAAATTGCCATACTGCCCAAGCAATTTATAGATTCAATGCTATTCCTATTAAATTACCAATGACATTCTTCACAGAATGAGAAAAAACTAATTTAAAATTCATATGGAAACAAAAAAGAGCATAAATAACCAAGGCAATCCAACGCAAAAAGAACAAAGCCAGAGGAATCATGCTACCTGCCTTTAAACTATACTAGAGTACTACAGTAATCAAAATGCACGCTATTGGTAGAAAAACAGACACATAGACCAATGGAACATAATAGAGGGCCTAAAAAGAAAGCCACACACCTACAACTATGTAATCATCAACAAAGCTGACAAAAATAAGCAATGGGAAAAGGACTCCCTATTCAATAAATGGTGCTTGGATAATTGGCTAGCCATATGCAGAAGATTGAAACTGGACCCCTTCCTTATACCATATACAAAAATTAGCATGGCTTAAAGACTTAAATGTAAAACTCAAAGATATAAAAATGTGGGAAGACAACCTAGGCAATACCATTCTGGACATAGGAATGGGCAACAATCCCATGATGAAGACATCAAAAGCAATTGCAACAAAAGTGAACATTGAAAAATGGATCTAATTAAACTAAAGTACTTCTGCACAGCAAAATAAACTATCAATAGAGTAAACAGACAAACTACAGAATGGGAGAAAATATTTGCAAACTATGCATCTGACAAAGGTCTAATATCCAGCATCTATAAGGAGCTTAAACAAATTTACAAGAAAAAAAACATTAAAATGTGGGCAAAGGACATAGACATTTTTCAAAAGAAGACATACATGTGGCCAAAAAGCATATGAAAAAAAGCTCAACATTACTGATCATTAGAGAAATGCAAACCAAAACCACAGTGAGATGCCATCTCATACCCGTCAGAATGGCTACTATTAAAAAGTCAAAATATAACAGATGCTGGTGAGGTTGTGGAGAAAAAAGAATGCTCATACACTGTTGGTGAGAGGGTAAATTAGTTCAACCATTGTGGAAAACACTGTGGTGATTCCGCAAAGACCTAAAGACAGAAATACTATTTGACCCATCAATTCCACTGGTATATACTCAGTAATGGGATTGATGGGTTGAATAGTATTTCTCTTTTTAGGTCTTTGAATATAAGAAATAAAAGTCATTCTATCAAAAAGACACATGCACATGTATGTTCATTGCAGCACTATTCACAATACAAAGATATAAAATCAACCTAAATGCCCGTCAATGGTAGATTGAATAAAGAAAATGTGATACATATACACCATGGAATACTATATAGTCATAAAAAAGAATGAGAGCATGTCCTTTGCAGGGACATGAATGGAGCTGGATGGAGACTATTATCCTTAGCAAACTAATGCAGGAACATAAAACCAAATACCACATGTTCTCACTTATAAGTGGCAGCTAAATGATGTGAACAAATGGACTCATGGGGGAAACAACACACACTGAGGCCTATCAGAAGGTGGAGCTTGGGAGGAGGGAGATAATCAGGAAAATAACTAGTGGGTACTAGGTGAAATACCTGGGTGATAAAATAATCTGTACAACAAATCCCCATGACACAAGTTTACCAATAAAACAAACCTGCACATGTACCCTTGAATGTAAAATAAAAGTTAAAAAAATTTTTTTAAATGGGCACATTTGATGAAAATTTATAAACCAAGTGAGAAAAGATATGGCAGAAGTTTGAATCTCAAAAATCCATATCTTAGTTTAAATTTTGTATTAGATAGATTCTCACACTTGTCTCTCACAAGTGTGAGAATATTTGTAGCATAAATTTCTAGCAGTAGAATTACAAGGCCAAGGACATGTGCTTTTAATTTTAAGAGCTATTGCTCAATTGTCTTTCATGAATGTTATTGTCAGTCTGCATTCCCTGTAGCAAGCAATAAAAGTGCCTCTTTCCCCAACCCTTGCCAACACGGTGAGTTACCAAAATTTTTGATCTTTGCCAATCTGATGGATGAAAACCAATATTTCATTATAGTCTTAATTTTCATTTTGTGAAGATCTTTTCTATATTTAAGAGTCATTCAGGGCCTAGTGCAGTGGCTCACGTGTGTAATCCTAGCACTTTGGGAGGCTGAGGCGGGAGGATCACATGAGGTCAGGAGTTGGAGACCAGCCTGGGCAACATGGCAAAACCCCATCTGTACTAAACATACAAAAATTAGCCAGGTATGGTGGTACATATCTGTTATCCCAGCTACTTGGGAGGCTGAGGTATGAGAATTACTTTAACTCAGGAGATGGAAGTTGCAGTGAGCTGAGATCGCACCACTGCACTCCAGGCTGGGTGACAGAGTGAGACTTTGTCTCCAAAAAAAAAAAAAAAGAGTCATTTAGGCCAGGCATGGTGGCTAACACCTGTAATCCTAGCACTTTGGGAGGCTGAAGCAGGAGGATCACATAAGGTCAGGAGTTTGAGATCAGTCTGGCCAACTTGGTAAAACCACATCTCTACTAAAAATACAAAAATCAGCCGGGCATGGTGGTGCATGTCTGTTATCTCAGCTACTTGGGAGGCTGAGGCAGGAGAATCACTTTAACCCAGGAGGTGGAGGTTGCAGTGAGCCGAGAGTGCGTCACTGCACTCCAGCCTGGGTGACAGAGTGAGACTCTGTCTCAAAAAAATATAAAAGAGTCATTTATATTTCCTTTCCTACAAACCTTCTGTCTTCTTCATTTTCCTATTGGGTGAGAAGTGACTTGGCAAAGATTTTTTTATTCAGTTGAAGACATTATTATTCTTCTATGTTCATATCCAACAGTAACACTAAATATAGATTTATTGGGCTAGGTAATTTTTAAAGGTGAAATTGGCAAAGAGTGAGTTTCATCATTTGAATGATTTAAATTTTTATTATAAAATTTTCAACCCAGGTTAAATGAACACATATCTCACAGTTATTTTTGTGCTGTAAAATGGCAGAATTGTTTAGTATTGTACCTACGGCAAAATGTTTTAGTGAGGTTTAAATATCTTGTGATTTTACTTTCTTTCTTTCTTTTTTCTGTCATCGGGTTGGCGTGCAGTGGCACACACAATCTAGTTTAACTAGATAAAATAGTTGGATAAAAGAAAAATACATAGAGATTTCACCCAAATAATTACAGTGGTATTTATGATATTAAGCACTTTAAAAACATTTATTATGCACTGAAAGTATTCCCATGACATAGACTTCAGCATAAACATCATGCAAGTGGGTAAACTGAGATAAGTTTACTTGTTCAAAGTCAATCGACATGACCACGGTATTATAATGCTTCTCCATATGACTAGAACACCATCTTCTTCTCCGAGTTACCAGCTACTACTATGCGTTATGCTTACCGTATACTATCCAGCACTCAGGGGTACAAAGACAATTCATATTTGGTCCCTATCCCTGAAGAGATATGTTATTTTAACCACTCTATTGAGGTATAATTGACTTACAACAGATTGCATATATTTAAAGTGTGCAATCTGCTAAGTGTTGACATATATACGTATCCATGAAGTCATTGCTGCAATCAACATAATGAACACAGCTATCACTCCCAAAAGTGTCCTTGCGCTTCTTTGTAATCTGTCTCTTTTTCCCTCTCTCCCTTCTTCAAACAACTGGTGGTCTGCTTTCTGTCACTGTAATTTATTTTGTATTTTTTAGACCTTAACATAGACATCCATAATGTACTTTTCGTCTGACTTCTTTCATTTGGCGTCATTATTTTGAGATTCACTCATGTTTTCGTGTGCATCAATAGTTGTTACATTTTTTTTTTTTTTGCTGAGAATAATCCAGTAGTATAAATAAACCTTAACTTACTAATCCATTTTAGTTTTTTTTTTTTGAGATGGAGTTTCACTTTGTTGCTCAGGCTGGAGTGCAATGGCGCAATCTCGGCTTGCTGCAACCCCCGCCTCCCGCTGCGCGATTCTCCCGCCTCAGCCTCCTGAGTAGCTGGGGCGAGAGGGGCCCCCCACCTTGCCTGGCTAAGTTTTGTATTTTTAGTAGAGATGGGGTTTCACCATGTTGACCAGCCTGGTCTCAAACTCCTGACCTCATGTGATCTCCTGCCTCGGCCTCCCAATGTGCTGGGATTACAGGCGTGAGCCACCACACCTGGCAAATCCATTTATTTGTTGATGAACATTTGGGCGGTTTCCCATTTTGGGCTATTACAAATAAATCAGCTATGATCACTCATTTACGTCTTTGATTGGACATATGCTTTCATTTCCCTTGGGTAAATTCCTAGGTGCAGAGTAGCTTAGTCCTATAGTAAGTGTATGTTTAACTCCAAATAAATTTCATTTTTCTGCCACCAGTGTCTGAGAGTCCCACTCCCTTGTCAACATTTGGCATGGTCAGTCTTTTTTTAAATTTTTAAATTTTTTATTTTTTATTATACTTTAAGTTCTAGGGTACATGTGCACAACGTGCAGGATTGTTACATATGTATACATGTACCATGTTGGTTTGCTGCACCCATTAACTTGTCATTTACATTAGGTATGTCTCCTAATGCTATCCCTCCCCCCACCCCACAACAGGCCCCGGTGTGTGATGTTCCCCTTCCTGTGTCCATGTGTTCTCACTGTTCAATTCCCACCTATGAGTGAGAATATGCGGTGTTTGGTTTTTTGTCCTTGCGATAGTTTGCTGAGAATGATGGTTTCCACCTTCATCCATGTGCTTACAAAGGACATGAACTCATCCTTTTTTATGGCTGCATAGTATTCCATGGTGTATATGTGCCACATTTTCTTAATCCAGTCTATCACTGATGGACATTTGGGTTGGTTCCAAGTCTTTGCTATTGTGAATAGTGCTGCAATAAACATACGTGTGCATGTGTCTTTATAGCAGCATGATTTAATTTTAGACAATCTAGTAGTTACATAGTGGTATCTCATTATGGTATTAATTTGCATTTCCTAATAACTAATGATGATGAACATCTTTTCATGTGCTTATTTGCTATCTTTCTAATTTTAATTCTAGTGACTAAGTCATGGAGAATGTATTGGTCAGTTTGGGCTGCTATTAAGAGAATAACATAGACAGGGTGGCTTAAACTGCAAACATTCATTTATTAGAGTTTTGGAGGCTAGAAGTCTGAGATGAGGGTACCAGCAGGGTTGGGTTCTTGATGAGGGCCCTCTTTCTGATATGCAGATGGCTGCCTTCTTGCTGTATCCTCACATGGCAAAGAGAACTCTGGTCTCTTCTTCTTACAAGGGGACTAATTCCATCAGGAGGGCTCTACACTCATGACCTTATCCAAACCTAATTACCTCCCAGAAGTTTCACTTTCAAATACCACTATACTGGCAATTAGGGCTTCAACATATGGATTTTGGGGGGACAGAAATATTCAATTCATAGTGAAGACCTCAGAGATATTAATACTGAACTGAGAATTGAAGAATGTATTAGAAGTTGCATGGTCAAACAAAAAGTATGTGTTTGTATGTGCATGTGTCTGCATAGAATAAAGTAGGCTGTCATTAAAATTTTGATGTGAATGTATTTATCAGATTGTTTTATTCAGATAGAACAGAATCTAAGCCACATCAAAACTTGAAGCACTCTGGCAAAGAAGCGCTGCTGAAGGAGGATGGGCTGTTTGGGAAGAGTAAAAAAAACAAGTGGGGGGATTTGACAGAAATCTCAAATACTTCATTCTTACCTTTTTCTCCCTCACTATTCTGTATCTTTCTTGTTTCGGATTGGAAGTTCTGAATATTTGTCACCTGGTAGATCAGGTGATTTGCCTCTGAGTACCTGTTTGAGAAAATGACTACCAGGTCAGAATGGGATCAATATAATTCATTAGAGGCTTCTGACTACACTATCCAAAGCTCATTGACAACCAAAGTACACAAATAACATCTCCAGGTCAGAGTAAATCAGACTGAGCTATTGAGCCAAGGATAAGCAGAGTGTAGTCTCCATTTCAGTAAACTGAATTATCCTGATTTGCCCACCTGCTACATGCTCTCCTAGCCAGGTCTGGGTAACTGGTCCAGTTACCCTGAAATAAGGAGCAAGAATTCTGTTGGCCAAGCCAACATTTGCATAAAGACCAGTATTCCCAGAAATAACCTGTGCTTTTGGATCTGGCAATCAAAAGCATTGATTACCTTGATGGCACTGAAATAAAGCTCCTAGTAGGTCACTAGTTGTCAGGCAGTTCTTTAAGACAGTAAATAGCATATATTTATTCTGAGAGAAATATATCCTGGTTTGGACACAAATGATGGCTACTTATATAAATGTTTATCTGTCATAAAAGTTTGTGAAAGCAGGTAATCATAAATGAATGATACTATAGTAAACATTTTAACTTATGAACATTTCAAGTCATCAATCTTTTGTATGGGGCCAAGGCCCGCCCTTCCCTCACTTCCTGCATTCCTCCCTTCCTTCTTTCCTTCCATAAATATGTATTAAACTTTTACTATGTGCCCAGTAATGTTTCAAGTGCTAGAGATAAAACAATAAGTAAAACAGAGAAAATTCGCAGTTCATATAAACATGACCTAGAAGTGGAATAGGGGAATGTGGGAACCATGAGAATGTTCCCACAGACTTCCTACTACAGAGACCATAATTGATTGCTAGCTTCTTGTCTGTGTTCTCCCTCCCTTCCTCCTTCTTTTCTTCAATTACATATACATGATCTATCTTATCAGCAGGGTCTCTGGCAATTGAGATTACTGTAATAAACATTGATTACAATGTTTATTAAAGGCATGCCTAAATTTGGGGACAAAGACAATCAAATGAATAATTATAATACCAAATATTTAGATACATGCTAGAGATATGAATGATGTATCATGAAGGCCCTCAAGAAGAGATGACTAACTGCGTTTGGGAGAATTAAGGAAGTCTTTATAGAGCAGGTAATACTGAACTGAGGTTTGAACAGATTGGAGAACTTGTCAGAGAAGAGGAGAGACTGACTGTTACCTCCTCAACATGAAAACTTCTGAAAGTCCAGTAGTTTGGGACACAGTGATTGGGCACTTCCATGAGCTAGTGGCTGTATAAGAGAGTGGAGACTTAAAAAACAAATCATGATTGAATAAAGACATTGTTTTTAATTTTTTTTGTGATAGTGGTATTATGGTTATGTTTTCTTTTTTTTTTTTTTTTTTTTTTTTTTTGAGACGGAGTCTCGCTCTGTCGCCCAGGCTGGAGTGCAGTGGCGCGATCTCGGCTCACTGCAAGCTCCGCTTCCCGGGTTCACGCCATTCTCCTGCCTCAGCCTCCCGAGTAGCTGGGACTACAGGCGCCCGCTACCACGCCCGGCTAATTTTTTGTATTTTTTTTTTTTTTAGTAGAGACGGGGTTTCACCGTGTTAGCCAGGATGGTCTCGATCTCCTGACCTCGTGATCCACCCGCCTCGGCCTCCCAAAGTGCTGGGATTACAGGCGTGAGCCACCGCGCCCGGCCATGGTTATGTTTTCTTAAGTGAGCCTTTATCGTTTAGAGATCTATACTACCTTTAAATTTTTAAAGATAAAATTATAGAACATTTGAGGTGTTCTTTAAAATTATGCGTTGGTATTTACATTTTTAACATGCTACCATAGTACGTTTAGAATGATTGCCTTTGATTTTTTAAAAAATTCTGTGTATGTGTGTGTGTGTGTGTGTGTGTGTGTGTAAAATGTCAATTAAAAACACTGGTTTTGTTCCATGTAAGCATTAAACAGTGTATTTAGGTTGCAAGAGATTGTGATGGTTGTTCTTACATTTTAACTACCTTCACTTAATATGCTTGAACTGTCGCCTTAACTATGCTAAGCATCTAGAGTAAAAGCCAAAATATAATTTTTGCTGCCTTTCTAAAACCCAAAATGTAGCTCTCTATTAACCTGAAATGTACACTAGCCCAGAACAGTTTAATGGTACTTACTGAGCTATAGCATAGCTGCTTAGTTGTTTTTGAGATTTTTTTAGTCAATGCATAATGGAAACTTCTTTCTTCTAAAAGTTACCAGTGCCACTTTGAGAGAAGCGAATTGCTATATATTTAATGTAAAAATTATTACACTAAACTTTTGACTCCTCTTTTGTTCATTTGTGGATTAAGTGGTATAATAGTAAAAATTATTACACTAAACAGGATAAAAAAATAATAAAATTATGTATGCATCGGGGGGAACATGAGGTTGGGTATAGATGGCTAGATTGGCCATATATTGATAATTGGTAAAGCTGGGTGATGAGTACTAGGGGCTCATTAGAATATTCTCTTTACTTCCTTTTTCTAAAAAAGAGGTTTCACTTATGAATAGAATATTTTCCATAATTAACATAAAAAAATAAGACTTGCTTCCTAACTTTGAAGAGTTCATAGTCTCTTGAGAAGAGAGGTCTCTTAAGAGATAGTTTTAATACACTAAACCCAATATGAAAGGATACATAATGTTGCAGAATAAAATAATAGTTCTTTAAAATAAAGAACTAACTTAACTGCTTCTACTAAGTAGGGAGTATACATAATTCATATCAGTGAGTAAAAAATCTCTACACAGCTTCCTTCTCTTTAAAGACTTGCGGGGAGAAAAATTAGATTCAGACAAGGTGAACTGTGTTTATCAGAGCATAAGGATGAGTCTTTGGATATATAAAGGGAAGACCAGAGGCATATTTTTGAAACGTTGATATTTGTAAAGAGGATGGAGCGGGGGAGAGGGTGTGAGAATGAGCTGAGTGATATTATGCGATGCTTCTGTCAAGTTGGTGGACATAATCTGGAGCTGTTTGTGTTGTTGTTATATAACCTCATCCATTGCCCCTAGACCTTCACAAAAGGCTGCCACATATATAATTTGTCATTTTTTTTTTCATTTTCTCTTTTTCCTTTTGCAGAAAACAAGAAAATAAACCTGAGTTCCACATGATGGAACATGTTAGTCATGAGAGGTGATGTTGAAAGACTCTTGGGAGTAAGAACTCCCATGCATTAGTGCCATGAGAATGTTAACTTTAAGACTGCACAGAAGTTCTAGAAGGAAGGATCCAGGTTGGGGATGCTGACATGTAGGTTAAATTGGAATTACCTGTGTCAACAAGGACGATGAAGCTAATGTATTTAAGTAACCAATATTTTGCTGGAAGTGGGTTATCAGCTGCTGTATTATGTAAAGCAAGGAGTCAGGGTCCTGGGCAACATCAAAGCCTGAGATGCCATGAGGAAGAGAAGCACCAAAAAGGTGCTTCTGAAGAGAGGATAGAAAATGTTTGAAGGTGGGCCAGGAGCTGTGGCTCACGCCTGTAATCCCAGCACTCTGGGAGGCCGAGGCAGGCGGATCACGAGGTCAGGAGTTGGAGACCAGCCTGACCAACATGGTGAAACCCCATCTCTACTAAAAACACAAAATTAGCTGGGCGTGGTGGTGCACACCTGTAATCCCAGCTACTCAGGAGGCTGAGGCAGGAGAATCGCTTGAACCCGGGAGGCGGAGGTTGCAGTGAGCCGAGATTGTGCCACTGCACTCCAGCCTGGGCAGCAGAGTGAGACTGTATCAAAAAAAAAAATAAATAAATAAATAAAAAAAGGGCTTCAAGGTGGGTGATTAAAAAAAAAGAGACCTTCTTTCAAATATGGGCACTTGGCCTTCATTTTATCTCATACCATACTAAAGGAAGACAAACAGTTGACTCTGAGGGCCTTAGCAATGACTTCTGTGGAAAATTTCAATTGCCATTCCGTAGAGATACTTACTTTCAATGCCTGTTTGCTTTGAAATGTGCTTTAAGTAAAATAAAATTAATATGGAATCTTTCCAGATACTTTGATCCTGATCTAATTACTTTAATGACTTAAATTGTGTAATTTATCTTGGTGCATCTGTGTTTGAACCAGCTGTTAGGCCAAAATTGTGGAAGTCAATTAAATATCTTAATCCTTTCACTTGGCAGTCTTGCCATTAAATAAAAATAATTTTACTGCCCCATATTTGGTAGGCAAATTATGGTTTGAATTAAATTATTATATCATAGTAAATAAGTCTGAGCTATTGAGTAAAGTGAAAATTCAGCTTTTATCCAAAACATTTTATAGGCGCTTGTGTGCCCTATAGCTACCACATGATCCCCATCATATCCGGGAATTAAATCCTATTACTCTGAAAAGTCAGTTAAGAATCCAGATTCCAGAATAATTAGTACACATAATCTCAAACACATTTCCTTATTGTCAACTAAGGCTATTCATCATCTGGGAAATTACATTAAAATAAAGTACTTTGCAGATAATTACTGAGCTTCAAAAAGGACGTTCTTTTGATTAGAGCCAATGTATTTTTGTTTTGCATTTAGACGGAAGATTAGAGCCTGCTCTTACTTGGTGACACTTACTGTTCTGGTTTCTAGCAGCAAGTCCTTAGAAAGATGGTCACGTTAGCTGGGCGTGGTGGCTCATACCTGTAATCCCAGCAGTGTGGGAGGCTGAGGCGGGCGGATCACGAGATCAGGAGTTTGAGACCAGCCTGGTCAACATGATGAAACCACGTCTCTACTAAAAACACAAAAATTAGCTGGGCGTGGTGGCAGGTCCCTGTAATCCCAGCTACTTGTGAGGCTGAGGCAGGAGAATCACTTGAACCGGGGAGGTGGAGGTTGCAGTGAGCCGAGACTGCGCCCCTGCACTCCAGCCTGGGCGACAGAGAGAGACTCCGTCTCAAAAAAAAAAAAAAGAAAGAAAGATTATATTAACAGAGGCCACATGTGGGCTGGAGTGGTTCTGAACTGCATTCACAGCATACTTTTAAATATAGGAAGATTTAAGGCACATGATGTGATTAAATTGCATTTAACCCATGTTGGACTGTGTACTTTTATGCTTTTCAGTATTATGTTATTTGAATAAAACAACAATCAGCACACTCTAGGCCTGGCATGCCGTCTACCAAAAACGCAACTATGTTTTTAAAAGTGAGTCTTTTAGAAAGCAATGCAAAATTTTTTCTAGATAAAATGATATGATGTCTCGGATTTTATCAGAATATATCCTACTCAGTTGTGTATGTATTGTCCATAGCAACTTTTATGCTATCATGGCAGGGCTGAGGCGTTTTGTCAGATTCCATATAACCCATACCTGGAAAGCCTAAAATCACATTTTCAGTCTAGTTTTACATACAGCAATTTATACACTGCCATTGATGGAGACATGGATACTGCTCTCCATCTTCTACTCGGCTTAATGACCCATTCAACAGATAGCATCAGAGTAGAATGTATCTTCAGGTAGAGTATAAAAGCATTTAGGCCGGATGCAGTGGCTCACTCCTGTAATCCTAGCACTTTGGGAGGCTGAGGCGAGAGGATCACCTGAGGTCAGGAGACCAGCCTGGCCAATGTGGTAAAACCCCATCTCTACTAAAAATAAAAAAATTAACTGGGCATGGTGGCAGTTGCCTGTAATCTTAGCTACTTGGGAGGCTGAGACAGGAGAATCGCCTGAACCCAGGAGGTGGAGGCTGCAGTGAACCAAAATTGCACCATTGCACTCCAGCCTGGGCAACAGAGCAAAAACTCTGTCATACACACACAAAAAAAGTATTTACACAACAATACAAATTTGTTAGATAGCTGTGAAGAATTTACAATATGCCAGTGTATTGTTATAACTGCTAACTATTTGGCTAGACTTTGTGTTTGATACATGTTAGGTATAGAAGATGTTATAGTAGAGATCTTGTTTGTTGGTTTGTTTTTTCCTTCTGATCATTCATCCTTATTTATCTGCTAATAGTGCCTTGATTTACTTAGGAAAACATTTTTGTAAATGTATATTGGCACACATAAGATGGTAGGATTCTGAAGTATTTTGAAAATAGAACCATTAGAATTTGCTGATGAATTAGTTATGGGGTGTGAAGAAAAAACAGGAGTCAAGCAAAACTAAATATTTTGGTCTCATCAACTGAAAAAAGTATCTACTATAACCATGTCACATAATTCATATTTATTTGCTTATTCTTTGCCTTCTTTCACTAGTGGTTTGAGGTCAAGGGCTTTCTCTTTTTTCCTAGCAACTGGAAAAATACCTGGAGTGTAACATATTTTAAGTATGTTAAATGAATAAATGTCTAAGTATTTCTGTGGCATACACTTCACAGGTGTGAAGTTACATGGAGTTAAAATGAATGTATACATTTAATTTCAGTATGTTTGGAACTACCATCCAATTTCCCAATTATAATTCCACTAACTATGCGTTAGAATGTTATGGCTGCAAATGAATGAGCAGTATGGTAGGCAGAATAGTGGACCCCCAAAGATGTCCATATCCTAATGTCTGGAAATTGTGAATATGTTATCTTACATGGTGAAAGGGACTTCGACTTTGTGGTTAAGGTTAAGAACCTTGAGACGGGGAGAGGCTGTGGTCAGAGAGTGATGTGATAGCAGAAGACAGAAGTAGGATCACAGAGGTATGACATTGCCGACTTAGAACAGAGTAAAAGTAAAAGTGGACATAAGCTGAGGAATGCAGGAGGCTCTAGAAACCAGAAGAGGCAAGAAAGTGGATTCTCCTCCAGAGCTTCAGAAAGGTATGCAGCACCTTGATTTTAGCCCGGTGAGACCATGTAAGACTGTGAACTTAAAGAACCTTATGATAATATATCTGTGTTTTTGAAGCTATTAAACTTGCAGTAATTTATTTCAGCAGTAACAAAAAACTAATATGAACAACATTTCAACCAGCAGGTGTTTGTGAGGATGGTGGTATGTCTGATGAAAAGATAAGAATGAGCAAAAATGGGCCGGGTGTGGTGGCTGATACCTGTAATCCCAGCGCTTTGGGAGGCCAAGACGAACGGATCACTTGAGTCTAGGAATTTGAGACCAGCCTGGGTGACATGGTGAAGCCCCATTTCTACAAAAAATATAAAAATTAGCCGGGCGTGGTCACACATGCCTGTAGTTCCAGCTACTTGGGAGACTGAGGTGGGAGGATTGCTTGAGCCCAGGTGGCAGAGGTTGCAGTGAGCTGAGATCACTCCACTAAACTGCAGTCTGGGCAACAGAATGATACCATGTGTCAAAAAGAAACAAACAAACAAACAAAAATGAGCAAAAATGGAGGCAGATTACATCACCAAGATAGTGGAATAGAAGGTAACCCTCTTATATCCTCCCAACAAGAAGAAATCTACACCAAGACATAGTTAAAAGTCACTCTATAAGAGCCTCAGTATTCAGGTAGATGCTTGTGAAACCCTGATGGAGTCCAAGACCTAGAAGGATCGTTTTGAGAGTCCAGACTGACAGTGCTGTCAAGCGGTTGATTCACCAAGTTTGCACCTGGGTTCAAGCCCAGAAGTGGCCTAGTCCTCCAAGGTGCTTGGCTCTAGTTCCATTTGGCTTTGAGCCTGCAACCAAAACCATCTGCCAAGGGGTCCAGAAGGAATTGAGCACACTAGTTCCTTGGCAGAAAGGTTAGTCTGCCTGCTGATATCAGTCTGGGCATGGAACCTGAAAGTTGCTGTATGGCTCTGGCCCAGCCTTCTTCAGCTGAGGTCCCAGCTCAGAGCTGCTTATAAAAGGGCCCAGAGGGATACTTACCCATCTCTTGCAGTCTGGTAGTCTGAGCCTCCCTGATGTGCTTGCCAACCTTGATCCCACAGCAGACCCTGAGCCAGTCCCAGCTCAGGGCCCTCCTTCTGCGATCAGGGAACTATCTCATCTGTGCAGGGAAGTCCTGGGAGACACACACACCTGCCTCTGAGTCACTGAGACTGGGCTGTCCAGCTTCTGCATCACAGCAGATCCTGAGGGAGCCCAGTTTTAGTTCTGGCCTCTCCTGCTGGAGTTTGGAAGCTATCCTGCCTGAACTGAGACCTGCTGGGAGACAAGCACCTTTCTGGCCCTGTGAGATGAGCTCTCCAGCCTCTGTCCAACAGGAGCTCCTGCCAAAACACAGTCTCAGCTCTGACCCCTCTTGCTGTAATCAGGGAACTATTCCATCTGTTCAGGGTTTTTCTGAGACACATGCACATTCTGAGCCAATGAGTCAGGGCTTTCCAGCCTCTATCCCACAACAGAACCTGAGGAGGCCAAGTTTCAGCTCTGGCCCCTCCAGCTGCAGTCAGGGAAATACTGCATCTGCAAAGTAACTTGCTGGGCAACACCCACCCCTCTGAGTTAAGATGGAGCTCTCTAGCCTCTGTCCCATAGCAGATCCCAAGGGGGCCTGGTCTCAGCTCTAGTCCTTCCTGCTGCAGCCAGGAACTATCTTGTTTGTGCAGGCACATGCTGAGAGATGCATACCTGTCTGAGTCAATGTGGAAGGCGTGCTATCCCTTCCACATTGGGGCCCAGTCTCATCTCCAGCCACTGCTGTTGTATTTGACGAATGACCCTAGTTGTGTAGGGACCTTTTGGGTGATGCATGCACATTACAGTCAATGAATTGGGCCTGCCAGCAGATCCCAAAGAGGCCCAGTTTCAACACCAGTCCCTCACGCTGCAGTCAGGACACATATTGACTGTGCAGAGGCATGCTGGGAGGTATACATGTCTGGGCCACCAGGGCAGTCTTCTGGACTCAAGACCTTGGCCAGAATTCCCATACAGCCCCAATACCCTCCTTGGGTCTTCCCTGGGTCTATCTGGGCCAGAAAGCCATGCCACCTTCTCATGAGACTCATAGCAAACCTGGGCTTAGAGCATCCTCTAGTGTTGAGATGGTTGCAATGGCCGCAGTCTCAAAAAACACAACAGTCAGTGATAAGGTTTCGCTGTTGCCTCCACTCAAAATCTCATCTTGAATTGTAATCCCCACAATCCCCATTATCCCTATAATCCTCACGTGTCAAGGGCGGGACCACGTGGAGGTAATTAGTTCATGGAGGCAGTTTCCTCCATGCTGTTCTCATGATAATTAGTGAGTCTCATGAGATCTGATGGTTTTATAAGTGCCTGGCATTTTCCCTACTTGCTCTTCTCCTTCCTGCTACCCTGTAAAGAGGTGCCTTCTGCCATGATTGTAGGTTTCCTGAGGCCTCTCCAGCCATGTGGAACTATGAGTCAATTAAACTTCTTTCCTTTATAAGTTACCCAGTCTTGGGCAGTTCTTCATAGCAGTATGAGAATGAACTAATACAGTCAGTATACTTAGAATCCCTGGAAGGCCTTTTGAAGGAGGACAGGCACAAACAAAGCCAGACTGCAATGACTAAAATAAACATCCAATCCCTGAATGCACAGACGTTGTCACAGATCCACAAGTATTAGGAACATTCAGGAAGATATGACCTCCCCAGAAAATAAGGTGCCAGAGACTGACTCTAGAGTGATAGAGATGTGTGATCTCTCAGACAAATAATTTAAAAAAGCTGTTTTTAGGAAGATCAATAAATTTCAAGAAAATAGAGATAATTCAGAAATTTATCAGAGATATTTAATAGGAAGATTGAAATAATAATAATTAAAAGTTTTCAAATCTGGAGAAAGATATAAATATCCAGGTACAAGAAGGTCAAAAGTCACCAATCAGATTAAACTCAAATAAGATTACCCTAAGACATATAACCAAACTCTCAAGGGTCAAAGACAAAAAGATGATTCTGAAAGCAGTAAGAGAAAAGAAGCAAATAACATGTAAGGAAGATCCAATACACTTGGCGACAGGCTTCCCAGCAGAAATCTTATAGGCTGGGATGAAGCGAAATATATTCAGAGTGCTAAAAGAAAAAAAAACCCTGTCAACCAAGAGCACTGTACCTAGCAAAACTATCCTTCAGAAATGAAGAGGAACAAATGAAACAAAACCTGAGGGAATTTATTGCTATCAGAATTGTCCTAAAAGAACCACTAAAGGGAGTTCTTCAATCTGAGCGGAAAGGATGCTAACGTGATTGTTGTACTAATGTTGAAATCATAGTGTTTCAACTATGGATATCTTTAGTAAAAAGACTAAAAGAATAAGAAAACTATTAAAAATAATAATGGCCAGGTGCGGTAGCCCATACCTGTAATCCCAGTACTTTGGGAGGCCGCGGTGGCCAAATCACTTGAGGTCAGGAGTTTGAGACCAACCTGGCCAACATAGTGAAACCCATCTCTACTAAAAATACAAAAATTAGCCAGGCGTGGTGGTGTGTGCCTGTAATCCCAGCTATTTGGGAAGCCGAGGCATGAGTATCGCTTGAAACCAGGAGGTAAAGGTTGCAGTGAGCCGAGATCATGCCACTGCACTCCATCCTGAGTGACAGAGCGAGACCCCATCTCAAAAAACAAAAACAAAAAAACTAAAACAATCAGTTAAGAGATATACAATATAAAAATGTAAATTGTAACATCAAAAATTTTTAATGTTGTGGGAGAAGGGAGTTAATGTGTACAGGTTTTTCTTGGGGGAGGATTGTTTGTCTTTATTATTATTATTATTTGCAATGAAAATTAAGTTGAAAACAGTTTTAAATAACTTGTTATAATGATAAGTTTTGTTTTTTTTTGTTTTTTTGAGACAGGGTCTGACTCCTGTCGCCCAGGCGGGAGTGCAGTGAGATCATGGCTCACTGCAGCCTCGACTTCTGGGCTCAAGCAGTCCTCCTGCCTCATTTTTTGATTTTTTTTTTGGTAGAGATGAAGTTTCACTATGTTACCCAGGCTTGTCTTGAACTCTTGGGCTCAAGTGATCCTCTTGCCTCAGCTTCCCAAAGTACTGGAATTACAGGTGTAAGCCATTGTGCCTGGCCTATAGGATTGTTATAACTATTTTTTTGCAAGTCTCATGGTAATAACAAAGCAAAAATCTATAATAGATACACTAAAAATAAAAAGCAACAAATTGAAACGTAGTACTAGAGAAAGTCAATTAACCACAAAGGAAGACAGTAAGAAAAGGAAGACAGACAGGAGTTACAAAACAACTAGAAAACAAGTAACAAAATGGCAGTAGTAAATCCTTTTCTATCAATATAACATTAAATGTAAATGAACTAAATTCTCCAATTAAAGACATAGAATGGCTGAATGTATTAAAAATTAAGATCCAACTATATGCTTCCTACAAGAAACTCATTTCACCTCTAAAAAAATATAGACTGAAAGACAAAAGATGATAAAAGATACTCTATGAAAATAGAAATCATAAAACAGCAGGAGTAGTTTTACTTATATTACATAAAATAGACTTTAAATCAAAATCTGTAAGAGACAGAAGGTTATTATATAACGACAAAGGGGTCAATTCAGCAAAATGATGTAAAAATAGTAAACATGTATGCATTCAACATCAGAGCACTCAAATATATAAAGCAAATATTAAAAAATCTAAAGGGAGATATAGGATGCAATACATAACAGTAGGAAACTTCAGCACCCCTCTTTTGGCAATAAACAGATTACCAATCATTAAAGAAACATTGGAGTTAAACTATACTTCAGACCAAAAGGGCCTAACATATATTTACAGAACATTTCATCCAACTGGTGCAGAATACAGATTTTTTTCATCAGCATATGGAACATTCTTGAAGGTATGTCAGGTCATGAAACAAGACTCAGTAAATTCAAAAGTGTCAAAATCATATTAAGTAACTTTTCTGAACACAATGGAATAAGACTAGAACTCAATAACAAGAGGAATGTTGGAAACTGGACAAATATGTGGAAAGTAAACATGTTTCTGAAGAATAACGAGTTAATGAAGAAATTAAGAAGAAAATTTAAAAATTTATTGAGACAAATAAAAATGCAAACACAATATACAGGAAGCTATGAGATACAGAAAAAGTGGTACAAAGAGGGAAGTTTATAGAAATAAACTTCAACATCAAAAAAGTAGTAAGGCTTCAAATAAACAACCTAATACACACCTCAAGGAACTAGGAAAGCAAGAACAAACCTAACCCCAAATCAGTAGAAGAAAAGAAACAATAACAATTAGAGCAGAAATAAATGAAATTGAGACTAAAAAAATACATAAAATCACAAAAACAAAAAGTTGCCTGTGGAAAAGATAAACAAAATTGACAAACCTAAGAAAAAAGAAAGAAGACCAAAATTAATAAAATCAGATGAAAAAGAAAACATTGCAACTGATAGTGTAGAAATACAAAGGATAATTGGAGAGTATTATGAACATTTATATACCAAGACATTGTAACACTTAGAAGAAACTGATAAATTTCTGCACACATACAACCTATCCAGATTGAACCATGAAGAAATAGAAAACTTGAAAAGACCAAAATGAATAATGAGATGAGAGCAGTAACAAAAGCTCTCCCATCTAAGCAAAGCCAAGGACCTGATAAATTCACTGTAGAATTCTACAAAACATTTTAAAAAGAACTAATACCAATACTTTTCAAACTGTGTCAAAAAATTGAAGAAGAAGGTATACTTCCAAACTCATTCTACAGGGCCAATATTAATACCAAAACCAGACAAAAACACAACAAAAAGGGAAACTATAGGCCAATACCCCTGGTGAAAAATAGATGCAAAAATCATCAAAAAAATACTAGCAAACCAAATTCGACAGTATATTAAAAAGCTCATTCACCATGATCAAGTGAGATTCATCCAAGTGGTGCAAGGAGGGCTCAACATATGCAAATCAATAAATGTGATACATTCTATTAACAGAGTAAGTACAAAAGCTATGTGAGCATTCAATAGATACTCAAAAAGCATTGAATAAAGTTTAACATCCCTTCATGATAAAAACTCTCAACAAATTGGGTATAGAAGGAACATACCTCAACAAGTTAAAGGCCATCTATTAAAAACCCACATCTACTACACTGAATGGGGAAAATTTAAAGCCTTTTCACTAAGATCTGGAATAAGACAAGGATGCCCACTTTCACCCCTTTTTTTCAACATAGTACTGAAAGTCCTAGCCAGAGCAATCAGGCAAGAGAAAGAAATAAAGGGCATTCGAATTGGAAAGAAAGAAGTCAAATTATCCTTATTTGCAGATGACATAATCTTATATTTAGAAAAAACAAAATACTCTACCAAAAAACTCTTAGAATTGACAAACCAATTAAGTAAAGTTGCAGAATACAAAGAAATGTACAAAAATCAGTAGGATTTTTGTAGGCTAACAGGAATCAATATTAAAAAATCAAGAAAGCAATCCTATTTACAATAGCTATTAAAAATCCCTATGAATCAATTAACCAAAGAAGTGCAGGATCTCCATAAAAGAGAAAGCATACAACAGTAATGAAAAACATTGAGGATACCAAAAAATGGAAAGATACTCCATGTTCATGGATTGGAAGAATTAATATTGTTAGAATGTCTTTACTATCCAAAGCGATCTACAGATTCAAGACAATCCCTATCAAAGTACCAATGACATTCTCACAAAAATAGAAAAAGAGATTGGTTCATGTGACACCATTTAACAAATAGTAGCGTAAATTGTCAATTTAAAATTTGAGATGTGAGAACTGCAAAAGGGAGAAAATTATTTTCTAACCTATAAATGAAATAGAAATGCTACATTTTACCATGGCATGTCACTAGCACAATTTTCAGTTATTACTACACATAAGCTTTATCAAAAAGTTTCTCATATTAAATTAACAAATATTTTTTGGTACCTTGGTATAAGGCAGGCACACCAACTTAATTCTGCCAAACATTTAATCCATTTGCCTTCGTCTGCTCAAGTTGTGTGTGTTTGTGTGTTGTTAAAAAGTGATCTCATTTTAGTTAACTGGATAGAGATTTTATTTCAAAATGCTTATCGTGAGAATTCCGCATTTGAAATACATATATTTTTCTATTAAGTTAAATGAGCAATCAACTTCCAGACTGAAGTTATTTTTATACATAATAAGTAGTTAGCAATATGACTTGATTTCTAAAGCCTTGAAAAAGCTGCCTTTTCCTAAACACCTCCCATGTCAAATGCTACCTGAAAGAACCAATATTACAACCTCTTAATTCCTTCCTCCTTCACTTCCCCACCCCTTCTTTCTCCCTTCTCCTTTCTTTTTCCTCCCACTGTCTCTCCCTCTTCCCTTGTATTCCACTTTTTCTTTTATAAATATTTACTGAATGCCTTTTATAATCCGGCAACGTAAGAGTTGGGGAGCTCTTTGTATTGTAATAAAGTACATACAGTTCTCTTTCCTAAGAAGCCCAGTGCCTAGTCAGGCAAAAAGATGTCTAACAACTTGTAAGAAAGATTGCATTGCCATAATGAAGGTGTGAATAAAGTATTGTAGGGAGCCAGAGAAAGTTTCATAGAAAGGAGACTATTTGAACTAAATCTTGATTAATAATTAAGCATTAAGGGTGAAAAAGACATTAAGTATTGCCCTCTCAACATGCAAATACTTCTGAGATTTCAAAATTTCAGAAAACATTATTATTATTATTATTATTTTTTAGTAGAGACAGAGTCTTGTTTTGTTGACCAGACCGGTCCCAAACTCCTGGGCTCAAGTGGTCCTCCTGCCTTGACCTCTCCCAATGCTGAGATTATAGGCATGAGCCACTGTGCCCAGCCAGAAAACATTTATTATGCACATAATTATCTAAGGTACTATGTCAGAAAATGGGGCATTAAGAAAAAAATAAGACTTGGTTCTTTTCCTTGAGGATCATAGTTTCCTAGGAGGAAAGAGGTTTCTAAAATATGTATTCTTAGGCTGGGTGCGGTGGCTCACGCCTGTAATCCCAGCACTTTGGGAGGCCGAGAAGGGTGGATCACGAGGTCAGGATATCAAGACCATTCTGCCCAACATGGTGAAACCCTGTCTCTACCACAAAATACAAAAATTAGCCAGGTGTGGCAGCATGCATCTGTAGTCCCAGCTACTCGCGAGGCTGAGGCAGGAGAATTGCTTGAACCCGGGAGGCGCAGGCTGCAGTGAGTCGAGATTGTGCCACTGCACTCCAGCCTGGGCGACAGTGTGAGACTAAGTCTCAAAAAAAAAAAAAAAAAAGGTATTCTTAGTATATTGCAAGGACAGACACTTTGCTTTTATGGGAGTAGGGGTAGAGGCAGGAAGGTTAGGGGTAGGGTTTCAAACAAAATTAGTTCACGGGAATTGAGCCTATAAGATGACAAATGTTACAGAGAGAAAAACTACCAAGTGTTATTCATGCTGAGATGGGTGTTTCTGGGTCCTGGGAATCTCCTCTCACTCAGTTTGCCTCTAATTCTGTACCTGACAATTCTCACACTGCTGAGACTCCACTGGAGCAGGGCAGAACCAGCCACTTACAGATGAGTTAGATGTAAGATACCTCCAGAGACTCCAGACTACGTACAGGTGCCTTCAGAGAGCTGGGAGCTCCTTCTATAGGAGCCAAGCTGACGCAAGACTAGCAACTTTGGTAAAAAGAGCTAGTCATTACCCTCTTAATGTGAATTCATTTATGTATTGATTTGCTCCATGTCCTGGGCATCAAAATCCAGGCATTTAGAAAAAGAAGGATCTCTAAAAAGGGGTGAGCAGTGAGAGAAGACTGTAGAAAGAAGGAAGGAATAATAGAGAAACTTCACCCACTTCTTTGATAAGTAGGACCAGACTCCATGAGCCATTGATTACTTCTTGTGTCAGACTGGCACATATCAAGGAATTGAGTTTAGGGCCCAGCTGTGACCCCTGCAGGAAAATTTTTATTTGTACTTGGAAAATTATTTGTTTTTTATGTTTATTTGCTTTTAAGTACAGTTGTCCCTTGATATATGCAGGGGATTTGTTCCAGGCCCCCATCCATACCAAAATCCTTGCATACTCAAGCCCCACAGTGGGTCCTGCAGAACCTGAGTATATACAAACAGTTGGCCCTCCATATAGGTAGCTTTTGCATTTCTTTAATACTGGATTTTCAATCTAAGTTTGGTTGAAAAATCTCAGTATAAGTGGACATACACAGTCCAAATCTGTGTTGTTGAAGAGTCAACTGTTTAATGAAATTGATATGGTATAACTTTAGGGACTTTGATTCTCAACTACTCTAATGATACAAACTAGGTAATTTAACTCTGTGCACCTGCATTCAAGCTAATTCTTGGCTCTAAACTGTGGAATATAGGAGCACATGTTCTCAGGATCTCCCGAGGGCTGTGTCACAGAAATTTATATATATATAAAACAAGAAAGCTGGCACCTGAGTACGATAATTAAATTGGCAGAGATATTGAAATATGATCCCTGGAGGTTATTGATTATATGGCTCCCAGTAGTCTAATCTTTGGAGTTAAATCAACACATCCTGGTTTTAATGTAGGCCATGAATTGGAGCCTGCTTCTGCTTCATGACACTTAGAACAATGATTCTAAATATCTTTCAAGTTCACAAAGCTAGAATTTTTGAATTTTTTAATGCTAGATTTCTGTGGCATACTTAATGGAATTAATTTACCTCCATTCACAAATGATTGCTCTCTTTTGATTTGCTCTAATCTTGCATTGCTGTTTGATTAGAATGCTCATTTCCCTTATCTGGCTCACTTATATATGCAAGAGGCAAATTACTTCATGTTTCAATAAATAAATAATTATATTTTGGTCTCAGTTTGGGGTTAAGTTGTGTCTGTGTTACTCTTTTGTAAGCTGGATATTTCCTTATACCATTTTTATGGCCTATTTAGCTCAGAGTTTTGGCTCATAGATATTGCTGTAATATAGAGCTCTTCAGTTGTAGTGAAAGTGAAGTTTACACATTAAATAAAATAAGAAACTTTAAGATTTGTGCTACTTTGGCATGTAAAGTCTCACTTATAAACACATTATCTCATTTGTCAGGTGTTCATTGGCCAAATCAAATGTTTTCATTTGGGGCACTTGAAAGGATAGTATAATGCAGTTTCCCACCTCAAAATATTTTTTTATGTAATAAAGGAGATAAGAAAGTTAGCAAAATGAACGTGCTATAAAGGATGGTAAATGAGTCACAAGAATTCATAGGAGAGCAATTTCACTCTTGGGTAGTATCAGGCAGGTGGCTAGGCCCCTGCCACAGTTGGAGACCTTGAGCACCTTTCCCCATGGCTGGCCTTTACTCACACCAAGGGCTAGATGCCTTTGTACAGGGCACAACCTGCACAACTGTACCCTATAGTCTTGGCTTTGGGTAAGTATGACTTTATGTAAACAGCAGTTTTGAGCTGAGCAAAAGGGCTATAAAAACTATCCCTCCTTTTAGTAATCCAGATGGTGTGTTTATGATACGAAAGAGTAACACTTCAAGCATAGAAAAGACATTATTTACATTTTAGAAAATTAAAAATACTTTTGATAAAAGAACATTTTTAAGTAAGAGAAAATTAATGTGTTATTTTGTAAAAAGATGATAAGAGATCAAATTGCAGAGGTAGGATTAGTTCCATCTGATTCACAGAAACAACACTGCAATCAAATTCCCATTCGATAGCCACCACTGCTGCCAAAGCAAAGAGAAAACTTTTTCAGCTACCACTATATGAAAGGCTTTGAGAGATGTTCAGATTAAAGTAGTATATATTTGAGGACTCAAATATTAGTTAGGAATCTTTCAGATAACAGTTCTGAAATTGTAATTAAATTTGATTAGCACAGAGGAATTTGTCCTAATGAAAATGAAGTGTCTAGTGGGACCCATGGATAGAAATGCAGGTGCTACTCTGGAATAAATAGAAGGGACTTAAATATCCCAAAGTTATATCATCATCTCTCATCTCTGCTCACCTCTGTATATTTATTTTGTTCTCTTTTTGTTTCTAGTTCTCTGATCTAAAGACAAAAAAAAAATCCCCCTTTTCCTCTCCAACATCTCCTAAAATTTACTTATTACTGTGTCTGCCACTGGAGAGAAATTGGCTTTTATTCTCAGCTCCAGTTTCACAAATTACATGAAAAGGTCTGCTTGGTTCAGCAGGAGTCCGGCGTCTATCTCTGTGTAAGTAATTATAACCTAAGGGACAGTCATAGCATGTTAATGCAGTGATGTGGTGACAATGTGTAACAGTTGGCTCTTGGGGTGAGGAGAGAGGAGGTGCACCAATTTGCTAATTTGAGGTGTAAATATTCTCACGATGGCTGATTTCAAGAGACCAGTATGATATCACTGAATGTGGAGTTGGAAGAGGTGCTAACAATCAACTTTTGTAAGATAATATGAGGCAGCTCTGATAATGGCTGCTCCTGTAGTAACCATGTGGATGAGAGATCATTTCTTATGAAAGCAGGATACTTTGGGCAAAGAAATCAATGTGTCTAGCACAGCCTACGTGGTATAATAAATACTATAATTTCCCCTTCATGTGTTTTTACTCATTTTTAAAACTTAAGGTAATAGCATAATATATGACACAATATTGTTTTAGCTTACTGAATAGACATGTTAACTCTAAAGTTACTTTGAGATTTAATGCCACATGTGAAAATTGTGAGTTCGATATTTCCTGTTGAATTAAATTGATAAATTAACTCATGAGACTTGAATTATATGTGAAATAAGATGGAGAAAAATGTGTGTGTGTGTGTTTTTTTAATTACAGGAGTGATTGGAGTGGCACATAACATGGCAGAGCTGTTTCCCAAGAGAAAAATATCAGAACGAGTTCAAGACAGATGATGTTTCTCAGGCTGTTTGTTACAGGCTACAGGAAAGGACGTGTGTGGGAAACTCGGCTTTGGAAAGGCAAGTGAAGTATGAGGGGCAGAACTAGTGAGTTGGCTAAAGACTATATGGCATATAAAATTATCCATCTAACAACTCAATTTTTAATAAAATTAGAAACTTTCATACAGTACAAAAATTACACAGTTTACTAGTGTGATTGGATTACTTGTGGGGGAAAAAAACTAAATCTGCTGACTTATACTGGGCCATACATGGGCCACAGTCATTGATGCATGGTGTCTGAGTACAAGCTGGGTTATGAGCAGGTAAAGACCGCAGGGAATGCTGACTTGAGAAAGGGCGTGTGTGTGTGTGTGTGTGTGTGCATGTGTGTGTGTGTGATTAGTAGAACTCCTGCTATGCAATGTTTCCCATATGAATATTTTAGTAAAATTTATATTATTCACCAATGCTTCATGAAATTGAAGTTTTAAAAAAACATGAGAAAGTCAATGAAATGCTATATCCTACTTTTAGCTCAGAATGAAGTGAAATCAGAGAGTTTATAGAAAGATAGCCATATTTGTGTAACATATAGAAAATCCTTATTTTCTTAGGAATTAAATTAAAAGCAAATGTTAACAAACTAAAGATAAACATGAACATTTCTGTTGATATAAATATTATTTTAACTATTATTTAAACACTAATTTTGTATTTGGAAATAATCATAGATTTATGAGAAGTTGCAAAATAGTCATCTCCTGTACACTTCACTCAGCTGCTGTAGTGCTATGGTTTTAGTGTTTTTGTCTTCTCCAAAATTCATGTTGAAACTTAATACCAAATGCAATAGTATTAAGAAGTATGGCCTTTAGGAGGTGATAGAGTCATGAAGCTGGAACCCTCATGATTGGGATTAGGTGCCTTTATAAAAGGGCTTGAGGTTGAAGAGAGTGCTCTCTTGCCCTTCTGCTTTTCAGCATGTGAGGACACAGGACGTGGCAATAGATGCCATTTTAGGAAGAAAAGAGAGCAGCCCTAGCCAGATACCAAACCCGCTGGTGCCTTGATCCTAGATCTCTCAGCCTATAGAACTGTGAAAAATAAATTTCCATAATTTATAAATTACCCAGTTTGTGGCATTTTGTTATAGCAGCACAAACAGAGGAAGATATATGGTGACATCCTGTATTGCTGCAATAAAATAGCAAAACCACGAAACTGGCACTGATACATTACTGCTAACTAGACCATGACCTTATTTAGCTATCACCAGTGTTTAACCTGCATTTATACTCATGTGTTGTATAACGATGTTTTGGTCAACAACAGACTACATATATGATGTTGGTCCCGTAAGACTACAATGGAGTAGAAAGATTCCTATTCCTTAGTATTTACTTTACTCTATTTTTTATCATTATTTTAGAGTGTACTCCTCATACTTATGAAAACAAGGTT
Source organism: Homo sapiens (assembly GCF_000001405.40). Taxonomy (NCBI): domain Eukaryota; kingdom Metazoa; phylum Chordata; class Mammalia; order Primates; family Hominidae; genus Homo; species Homo sapiens. Next base: position 70,499,399 of record NC_000001.11, read on the forward strand.
AGCTGTAAGACAGACTCAGGCAGATCTTCAGGAATTATTCCAGAATAAGGCATTTTTATCATAGGAAATGATAGCTTCATGCATATTTTTGCCCCTGAAAACCTTCCAGTGAGATAAAATGTGGCGGGTGAAGAAAGCAATATTGATGATTCTGATCCTTGTAGGCCTAGGCTAATGTGTGCATTTGTGTCTCAGTTTTTAACAAAAAAGTTGAAAAAGTAAAAAATAAAAAATTTTTAAAATAAAAGAGTATAGAATAAGGATTTAAATATATTTTTACTATATTTATTATACTATACTAAGTTATTACAGAAGAGTCAAAAACTTAAAAAATTAAAAAGTTTGTAAAGTTAAAAAGTTGCAGTAAGCCAAGGTTAATTTATTATTGAAGAAAGAAAAATTTAAATAAATGCAGTGTAGCCTAAGTGTACAACGTTTGTAAAATTTGCAGTAGTGTGTGGCAATGCCCTAAGCTTTCACATTCACCCACCACTCACTCACTGAGTCACCCAGGGTGACTTCCAGTCCTGCTAGCTCCATTCATGGTAAGTGCCCTATACAGGAATACCATTTAAATTTTTTACACCATATTTTTACTGTACCTTTCTGTTTAGATAGGTTTAGATACATATTTACCATTGTGCTATAATTGCCTATAGGATTCAGTACAGTAAGGTGCTATAGAGATTTGTAGCCTAGGAGCAATAGGCTGTCCCATGTATCCTAGGTGTGTAGTAGACTATACCATCTAGGTTTGTATAAGTGCACTCTATGATGTTCACATTTCTCAGAATGTATCCCTGTTGTTAAATGACATATGACTGTGCTTGTCTGTGTGTGTGCCTTTGCTTGTGTGTGTGTGTGTGTGTGTGTCTAGTTTGGTGCAACTTAATCCCATGTATAGATTCATGTAATTATCACCACAATCAAATACCAAACTGTCCCATCAGCCTAAGAACTCCATCATGCTATTTTTTTATATTTACACTCTCTGATCCCTGGCAACCACTAATTTGTTCTCCATTGTCATTTTGAGAATGTTTATAAATGGAGTTGTACAGAATGTAACCTTTTGAAATTGACATTTTTTGTTTTCACTCAGCATACTGCCCTCTAAAACCTTCTGGGTTGTTACATGTAACAACAGTTTATTCTTTTTTATTGTTGAGTAATATTCCATGGTTCAATTATTCACCCATTGAAAGACATTTGGATTTCCAGTATTTGCTCTTACAAATAAAGCTGTTATGAACATTCATGTACAGGTTTCTATGTGCACATAAAGTTTCCACTCAAACCTTATTTTTAAGCTCCAAAATATTAAACATTATTTTCCTTAAAAGTTTTCTGACCAAGCTAGCTGTTTTTACTTACAACACTTACTACACCAAATATGTGTATGTTTTTTTTCCCTCACTCTAACCATTCTCCAACTCTCCAGATACCAACTGGGTGTTGAACAACTCAATTCAGTTCTGACACCATCTGAAATTAGCCTCAGACTCTACAAGTTTAAGGGGTCAGTCTCACAAGACTGCCCCTATTTCAGATGCCAATCACAAGTTCCAGGCCACTGTACATCTGACTGACCAGCTATTAATTGGGGCTTCCCACAGCCCTCTCTTTAGGTTTGATAATCTGTCAGAATGGCTCACAGAATTCAAGAGGGCATTTTGCTTACCATTAGCGGTTTATTAGAAAGGACATAACCCAGGGCCGCGTGCCAGTGCTCATGCCTGTAATCTTAGCACTTTGGGAGGCTGTAGTCCTCAGTCCTACAGCCTCCCAAAGTGCTAGGTGGATTGCTAGAGCTCAGGAGTCTGAGGCAGGTGGCTCACTTGAGCTCAGGAGATTGAGACCAGCCTGGACAACATGGCGAAGCATCATCTCTACCAAAAAATACAGAAATTAGCCAGGCATGGTGGCGTGCAGTCCCAGCTACTCAGGAGGCTGAGGTGGGAGGATTGCTTGAGCCCAAAAGGTGGGAGTTGTAGTGAGCTGAGATAGCACCACCGCACTCCAGCCTGGGCAACATAGCAAGAACCTGTCTCAAAAAAACAATAAAGAAAGGATATAACTCAGGAACAGCCAAATGGAAGACATGCAGAGGGCAAGGTATGTGGGGAAGAGGGGCTAGGGAAATTAGGGGTGTAGAGCTTAGCTTCCATATTCTCTCCAGATGTGCCAGTCTCCCAGAACCTTGATGTTTTCACCAATCTGGAAGTTCTCTGAACCCCATTTGGGGGTTTTTATGGAGGTTTTGTTATGTAGGAGTGATTAATCAAATCATTGGCTTCTGGTAATTAACTAAATCTCCAGTCCCTCTTCCATTTACAACCCTGAAGGCTGGGAGGTGGGACTGAAATTTCCAAGCTTCTAAACAAGGCTTGGTTTTCCTGGTAATCAGCCACCATTTTGAAGCTATGTAGGGGCTCACCAAGAGTTGCCTCCTTAGCACAAAAGACGCTCCTATTACCCTCATTACTTATGAAGCTCCAAGGGTTTTAGAGACTCTGTGCTAGGAACCAGAGACAGAGACCAAATAGCTTTCTATGATACCACTCCATTGTAGTAAGTTCTATATGCTGAAGCCTTGTCAGGATTGCAGTTGGTAACTTGAACCATTGCATCAATACAGCCTATTAAAGAATATATTTTTACTGAATATGTGATGTACTGTTCTGTGTGACTCAGGCTGTTTTTTAATCAACAGTGTTCACTTTATGCCTCATCTTTCATCAATAATGAAAGTAAGTGATAAAAAAGAGGCTCCTGGTGACAATTCTATTTCCTTCAAGTCTATCAGGAATAAATTGAATTATGTCTGCAGAAAGCCTTCTACAAAGAGATGACTGTCATTTTACTTTTAAATTTCTCTTTGGATGCAGGTACAAACCTGGAAGATTTGAAATTGATGGGGGTTATTACTGATATATTTCAGATAGACAGTGTCGCATCCTCAGGTCACACCGAGGAGAGAAACTGCCCAAGCCCCAGAGGTCCTTTGCCCTACTCTGAATCCAGTCCTTATGTAGGTGATGCTAGGATTAGAATCACTTCTACTGATTGCAAGAGATTAAGTAAACTGAATAGACAGGAGGCAGTTTTCAGAGTTTAACCCTTTAATTCTCAGATTTTCAAATCAATAAAACACATTGTTTGAATTGATGGTATTAGTTGCATGAAAGCTGGCTGTTGAAGTGTCATCTGGTCATTTATATCAGAATATGAGATGGTTTTGAGAGGGAAAATGAATTTGCCCATCTCTCTGCTTCATTGGCTCAGTTCCAAAACAGAGGGGGCACAGCTGGGATGGTTTTTGCTATCATCAAAATGAGAGTACATAAGAAATTCTATATACATATATTTCCAAAATAAAATATTATTACAGTTAGCAAATAAAAATATTACAAATAACAAAATGGCTTTCAACACTCTTACAAGACAATTATTAGCACGTTGCTATTTGAAGGTATAAGTTTTGCAAAGAGGCAGACCTAGCACAAATCTTAGCCTTCCCACTTAAGAGCTGTGAGGTTTTAGGCAAGTAACATCTAACATTTAAAAATCTGTGCTTCAGATCTTTAAAATCTGTAATATGGGATTATCATAGCATTTGCCATGCAGGGTTGTAAAAATTAAAATGTGATAATTTATATGAAGAGATCAGCAACAGCTGTCATTTAAGAGCTCCCAAATGGAACTTACTATTTAGACAAAAAATGTCCTCTCTTGTGACTGATTCTGATTTCCAGCTCAACCTGTCTCTGAAATAGTACAGATGACCCAGAAAGAGAGAGAATGTATGTTGGGCTGGTAGGGGATGCTTGGTTTAGTTTGGTATTTACTCCAGTTTATTTTACCTTGGAAAACAAGAAGGATTAAGGATTAAGAAGGCTCCAAGTTTTTCTTGTCTGCTTAAATTGTTGGAAATGGCAGGAATAAGTTAAGAAGTGAAATAGAAGATGCTAGTTCATCCAGGTTCACTCAGGTATAAACCACTCAAGTAAAGGATCTCAAAAACCAGCATCTTCTGCTGTCCATCTTTTCAGGTAAACATTCATACACCATAGGATACCAGCGCTCTTAAGTAAGGTCTCAGTTTTCTTTTGGAAATCTTAGTCATCTCTGTGTGGTTAAAGCCTCTGGAGAGCTGGATGATCTAGTTTTGACTCCTTAGCCCTTTGACATAAGGGACTAATTTCTCTGAGTGGTCAATGTGAGTAGAGGGTGGGGCTTAAGACTTTTTGAATAAATTTATAGATCAGGTTTCAGCAATGCACATCCAGTGGCATACATTTTGAATAGAAAGCCCAAATCTGTAGTTTATCCTATTCTTCCTTATTAAAACACTGACTTTCTATGACTTTTGTTTCCAGGCTCTGCCTACCCCTGTTTTGGGTACATTACTTGTATGTATAACCAAATCCCATCAACCTTTTCTCGTCCTTCATCTTTTTTCCTGTTCTACAAAAAAGAAAAGTTGTCGTCAAAGGGAACTCTTGACTAAATCAATTAGAGCAGTCTATAATGCCAAATCTCAATGAATAATTACCCCCCCCTTTTTTTGAGGCAAAGTCTCATTCTGTCGCCCAGGCTGGAGTGCAATGGCATGATCTCAGCTCACTGCAACCTCTGACTTGCGAGTTCAAGTGATTCTCCTGCCTCAGCTTCCCAAGTAGCTGAGATTACAGGCACATGCCACCACACCTGGCTAATTTTTGTATTTTTAGTAGGAGATGGGGTTTCACCATGTTGGCCAGGCTGGTCTTGAACTCCTAACTTCAGGTGATCTGCCCGCTTCGGCCTCCCAATGTGCTGGGATTACAGGCGTGAGCCACCGTGCCCCGCCTTTTTTTTTTTTTTTTTGGAGAGACGGGTTCTTGCCATGTTGCCCAGGCTGGCCTTGAACTCCTGGCCTCAAGCAATTCTCCCTATTGGCCTCTCAAAGTGCTGGGGCTACAGGTGTGAGCTACCTTGACCACCTGACTCTTTAGAGATTTATTTAGACTATAAATTTTGGCTGTTTTTATTATTTTTTCTGACACCTACAGTAGTTCTGTGAAGTAGTTATTCTCATCATCCCCATTTCAGAGATATCTTAACTTACAGAATGACTTGCTCAAGTCTAAAGTCATGTCAACACCCGGAGTGGAACCCATGATATGTGGGCTGTGTGACTCATATCACTAAAAGAGATGGCTTTTGCTGTCACTCAGGAGACCAAAGTCCATTGCAGAATGGGGATTATACAGATCCTTGGCTCCCCTCCAAATGGCACAATTCAGGGAAATGAAATTAAATGATATTTAAATCTGTCTATTTAAGCCTCTTAGAGAAGATGTGATTGATACCAGATAAGGAGTTTATTTATTTTTACTTAATTTTACTCCATGTAGGTTCATACTAGATCTATTGTTGAGAAGAACTTGAGAAAGGGACATTTTATATAAACAGAAGTAAAGTTCTGATCACTCACATTCTCCATTCTTTCTTCTCCCCAGCTCAGTTCTGGTTCTCATCGAGTGTTGCTGTCAGGCTGCCTGGAAGCAGGCATAAGAGGTGGAAAGCTGGGCGGCCTTCCAGTGCAAGGGTCTTTTCTGGGTCACTTTCACACATTTTTGTAAACTGAAATCAGGAATTTTTGTGGTCAAAAGAGAAGACTGGTTACTGTCTTGTCTTCCTTTAGCATCTCTTCAGACAGGCTCAGCATTTTTCATTGGACAAGACAGAGATGGAGTAATTAATAATATTTTCTCCTTAGTCATTTGGCCAGGTTTTTTTTTTTAACTGTAAATCCTCTGAGATGTTAAAACATAATTCATTGTAAAAATTTTCTTTTATATTGAGACCAGGTCTATCTCTGCTTTGAATGTCTCTATACATTTCCCTAAAAATAGCTAGGATCCTCCAATCCAATAATAGCTAGCTAGCTGAAGTTCACAAGAAGTGCATTTACATTTTACTTTATGAAGCAGCCAGTGGGTGATAATTTGTATATCTGACCTTTCAATGCCGTTGAATTTTTAGAAAACTTTGGCAATTTTATGAGTGTATTAGAATATTTCATGTTATGTCATTTAAGTAAGTTACAAATGAATGACATAAAGTGAGGATTTTAAGAACAATGTCCAAAGATGCTGGGACTTATATTTGTCTTAAAAAAAGTCTCTCATCACATTTTAGAGATAGAAAGCAACCAAATAACCTGTCACTTATGCAAGATCCGAATCTGTTTCTGGCCATCTCTAGCATTCCAGTAAGCTTGTCTGTTCTTGCCCACTTCCACCCTCTATTAATTAGTATTGCTTTGTAATATACTTTTTAAATTAACTGGACTGCTGCCTTTTCAAGAAAAAGAATGGGCTGGATGTGGTGGCTCATACCTGATCCCAGTATTTTGGGAGGCCAAGGTGGGTGGATTGCTTGAGCCCAGGAGTTCAAGACCAGCCTGGGCAACATGGTGAAATTCTGTCTCTACAAAAAAAATGCAAAAAATTAGCTGAGCGTGGTGGCACGTGCCTGTGGTCCTACCTACTTGGGAGCTGAGGTTGGAGGATGATTGTTTGAGCCTGGGAGGTAGAGGCTGCAGTGAGCTGTGATCATGCTGCTATACTCCAGCCTGGGTGACAGAGCAAGACCCTGCCTCAAAAAAAAAAAAAAAGAACATTAAGGAATTCTGATGAAATAATTAAAGACCTGTACTGCTTTTCAAATTAAATCTAATTAGCTTTAGATTTCTAAAAACCCAGAGTACAGACTACAGACTACAGACTGAGCTAATCCATATTACCCTTTCTTGGGTCAGGCATAAAAATCCAAACTTAGAGAAAAGCCAGTAAGCCATAATCTAGCTAGAATCTTGGTAAGGATTGTACTCACGGTGAGTATGATTAGAAAAGTAGAACACGGGGTTGGCAGGCTACAGAATTGTCTCTGGGCAGAAGTTAGAGCCAGAGCAACAGATAAGGCAAACCTGGGGAGTCTGTGAGGCAAGGTTATAGAAAGAGGTTACTTTGGTGAAGATGTAGTCAGATAACAAATGGCAGCGATAGGTGCAAGTTCGGATAGAAATGTACTGTAAGTACAGACAGTCTAGGAAATGATCAAAGCGGTTATGGTAGATAAGGTAGGAAATAAATGGATGCAGTTTGACAGGGCCCTTTGTGTTTCAGATGGCTTCCCTTTTTCCTCACGCGCATATCCAATTCATCAGTAAAAACCTTCACATCTACTCACATCTCTCTGTCGTTACTACTTCCACATGAATCCCTTCTTCACATAACAGCCAGTAGGGTCATTTTAAAAAATTAGATTATTTCACTCCAAAGCTCTGCAAAGTTTTCTCATGGTGCTTAAGCATAAAATCCAAACTTTTCACTTTGGCCTACGTGGCCCTAATGATTTGTCCCTTGACCATTTTTCCAACTCCATCTATTCCACTCCATACTCACTTAATGTACACTAGCCAAGCTGGAATTGTTTTCTTCATCATACATGCCAATCTTATTTCTGCCTTGGGGAGTTTGTCTCTTCTCCCTTCCCAGAACCTCTTCTCCCAGGTTTTCTCATGGTTGGTTCCCTCCTGGCATTTTAGACCTAGGCTACTCTCCAGCATTCTAACACTTTCTTTGTTGACTGCCACTGAGAAGCTGAGGATATACAAGCAAGAGATACTATCTGTTTTCCTGAACTATTTTATGAACTAGTGGGCTTGGTCATAAGCCAAGAATCATTTTTTGGGAGCATTCAATACAATGGATTTATCAACTCAAAGATTTTCTGGCTTCAATTGTTCTGTTCATGTCCACTGTCCCAATTTCTCACAGGGCAGCCTTCTATACCTACCTCAATATCTGCCCCAATAGCTAATGCAAGAAATATAATTTGATGTGGAAATGGTACTGAACTCCCAGAAATGCCAATCGCAATGCCTGACTCTATGGGAATTATAACAATCATAGCTAACATTTATTGAAAGTTTTCTACTATGTAAGCACTATGCTAAGCACTTTGTATCAATTGTTTTAATTGATCCTCACAGCAACCTTGTAGAAATAAAACCACTATTATTATGCATATTTCACAAAACAGAAAACTGCCCAAGGTCAAAGACCAGAAATTCAAACTCTAGAGCAGCGCCATCCGAAAGGAACCATCTGTGATGATGGAATAGTAACAGAAACTCATCTTACGTTATGATTATAGCAGACTATGTTAGGGCCTCAAAAATTCAAACTCAGAAAAACCTTGTCTCCTTAAGGAAGGGCATTTGAATTTGTGATGTTAGTATTTCCACCTATGGCTCTTTAACTGTATATGGTCTATCCAAGTCACAGTTTCACACTGCCCTGTGGATCCAAATATCCATGATTGTGGGTAGGAGACCTTTTCCGTTGATAACCTGATTTGGAGGAATTCTCATGATAGGCCAGTCCACCCCACCATCCCTATCAAGCTATGGGAATCAAGTATATATCTTTATTTATGAGATAGATGACTATTCACATTGGTATATAAAAAATGATGATCAAAGGAATAACTAGTGAGTAGTTGTTAATCTAGCCAAATTGGCTTAGTATATGTACTCATCTTTATATACCAACCCAGATTAGTATAATGCCAGGTTCATATTAGGTAAACAGTGAGTGGCTGGGTTCGGTGGTTCACGCCTGTAATCCTAGCACTTTAAGAAGCAAAGTCAGGTGGATTGCTTGAGTCTAGGAGTTTGAGACCAGCCTGTGCAACATGATGAAAACCTGTCTCTACCAATAAATAAATAAATAAATAAATAAATAAATAAAATAAAAAAAAATAGTCAGGCATGGTGGCTTGTATCTATAGTCTCAGCTACTTGGGAGGCTGAGGTGGGAGAAACACTTGAGCCCAGGAAGTCGAGGCTGCAGTGACCTGAGACTGCACCACTGCACTCCAGCCTGGGTGACAGAGCAAGACCCTGCCTCAAACAAACAAACAAACAAACACCAAAACAAAACTCCTAGAGTTGGTGGTATCCTAACATCTCTTTGCTGAGAGATGTCGGACCCTAATCTGCTAGCCAGGATTGCTTTTCTATAGTAGCTTGAAAAGAATAAGTACAGTCTTCTCCTCAATCCATTATGAGGAATTGTGGTTTCTTGGGATAGCTTTAGTTGGGCAATTAGAAACCATGGCTTCCAGAATTTGGAATGAAGAAAGTCCCTTCAATTTTTTTATGCCTTGGTTTCTCCCTGCTTAAAATGGTAAAGAAAAACTTCACTCTTTCATTCAGCAAATATTTATTGCACACCTATTCTGTGCTAGACTTTCCACTGTGCACTATAAAAATGTCCACTGCAGAAATAAGGTATAGAAATGATTATGACACAGCTGCTCTCTCTAAAGAAGGAATAACATAACTCACTGAAAAATAATGCTAAAACAGTGTGTGATAAGTGCCATGAGAGAGGTATGCAGACCACTGAGAAGGGGTCCCCAGTTCAGTTTATTTATTTGTTTTTTTAGGATAATGAGTATTCTGAAATGCTTCTATGCACCTTTTGAGACGATCCTGTGCATTTTGTCCTTTATTGTATTAATATAATGCATTACATGTTATTGATTCTTTTATATGTTCAACCAACATTGTATTCATGGAATAAATCTCATTTGATCGTGATGTATAATTCTTTTTACATATAGCTGGATTTGTTTTTCTAGTATTTTGTTGGAAATTTTGAGAACTTTTGCATTCATATTTTATTCTGAAGTGTTTGATTTTTGTATTAATTTAAAAATGACCTCATAAAATGAAAAATGTTCTCTTCTATTTTTTTTGGAAGAGTTTGTGAAGGAGTAGGGCTGGTTTCTCTTTAAATGTTTGGGAAATTTCAACAGTGAGGCCATCTGGTCCTGAGCCTTTCTCTATGAATACTTTTCTGTTCCTGATTCAGTTTAAGATGGAGGTTGGATAAAGATTGGCCAGATGGCATGAAGCATGAACTTATTTTTTTTTAATATTATTATTGCTATTATTTTTCAGACAGGTTCTCACTGTTGCCCAGGCTAGAATGTAATGGTGCAATCACAGCTCATTGCAGCCTTTACCTTTTGGGCTCAAGAGATTCTTCCTCCTCAGCCTCCTGAATATCTGGGACTACAGGAGTGCAATATCAAGCCTGGCTACATTTTTTTTTCTTTTACTTTTTGTAGAGACAGGGTCTCACCATGCTGCCCAGGCTAGTTTTAAACCCTTGGGCTCAAATGATCCTCCTGCCTCAGCCTCCCTAAGTGTGGGATTACAGGCTTAAGCCACTGAGACTGGACAATAAACTGATTTTAGGAGCAGTAAAACTTAAAGGAGAATTTTGAAGACAAATTTTTAGGAAATCCTCTCAAATAAGAAAAAAATGTCTCCGTTGGTCTTTGAAATATTTATTTGCATATTATTTAAACTTTCAAGAATAAAATTTCTATAAATCTCAAAGAATCATTGTTACTACTCTGTAGGGGACTTCTAGTATTCATTGCAGGAAACATCTTTAATTTGGACTTCATTTTATTGAACCCTACTGCAAGCGGGAAATTATCCTTAGAGCCATAGGGTTAGTTTACTTTTTACTGAAACCCTAGACTAAAACAACTGTGCTGTGTTCTTTGAATTTGGAATTTAGTATTTAGACTTCCCACTGGGCAAAGTAAAAATAGATGCAATTGGTGACAGAGTGGTGAACAATTGCAAGACATTATGCAATTCTCTGTTAATACAGCAAAACTAAGTGAATGAGTCACCAAAATACAATCATTCTCTAGCAAGATCTTGAGAAGGTTCTGCAAGAAGCCAAAGGAACTTCATTAATGGTTTGCTCCAGGGGAAGAGTCAATAGTGATTATAAGCAGAGCAGAAAGTGCCATCTAGTGGTCCTTGAGGGAAATATATAAAATGTGCTTCCTAAAGCAGAGTTGAAATTATTTTGTTATTTTCTAACCTTTTATGTCACATTTGCTTACTTTTCTTTTTTTTCTTTTCTCTCTTTTCTTTTCTTTTTCTTTTTCTTTTTCTTTTTTTTTTTTTTTTTTATTTGAGACGGAGACTTGCTCTGTTGCCCAGGCTGGAGTGCAATGGCGTGATCTTGGCTCACTGCAACCTCCACCTCTCAGGTTCAAGCGATTCTCCTGTCTCAGTCTCCGGAGTAGCCTGGATTACAGGCGTGCGCCGCCACGCCCGGCTAATTTTTTATTTTTTAGTAGAGACGGGGTTTCACTATGTTGGAAACGCTGGTCTGAACTCCTGACCTCCACTGATCCGCCCACCTCGGCCTCCCAAAGTGCTGGGATTACAAGCGTGAGCCACCGCGCACGGCCATTTGCTTAGTTTTTTTGAGTTGCAAGTAATTCGTATCGTGCACATCATGATAAAGTGTTTGTAATTTCAAACTGTATTTGTCAGGTTCTTGCAGGTAGCAAGAACAGAGACACACTCAGGTGACCTCAGGTGATAAGAGTTTATGGAAAGGATGCCTAAGAAAGGAAATGTGGGAAATTGAATTAGTGGCCATATAACCAGGCCTTTTAGAGAATTGAAACAAGGGCTTCCTGTTCAAAACTATAGCAGTTATAATGATCTAAAAGTCACTTTGTTTATCTTGTCTTCCTATCAGAGATATGGGTCATTGTGTCCCACTCTCAATGTTCCAACACAACACTAGCAGTTAGATACCTACCCTCTGGGCAAGAGACCCAAGATTTCTTCTCTGGAGAAATTAAACAGTCGCATAGAAAAGATCTCGCTGTGTGAATGTTCACTCCTCTCCAGGTAACTCCAAAGTAAAGCCTGCAAGTCATGGCTCAGTCTATGTGGTTCTCAAACTTTTGCGTGCATTAGGATCACCTGAAGGGTTTATTAAACCAGGTTTCTCCATCCTATCCTCAGAATTTTTGATTCACTAAGCCTGGTGAGCCAGAAAATTTGCATTTCTAACAAATTACCAGGTGATGCTGAATCTTCTGGTGGGGGTAAGCATATTTTGAGAACCACAAACTTTTAAAACCTTCTTTCATAAACAGAAAAGGCAAAGAAGAATAACTATATATTTGGTGGGGCAGGATCAGGAGGGGACTTCAACAATAAAAGAGAAAAAAATAAAATAAACGTAAAGCCAGAGATATGGCAGGCAAGCGAAGGGAATTAAAAAGAGGTTTGAAAACATATCAAATCCATTCATACATTAAATAAATATTTATTGAGTGCAAATATGTGTAAGGAATTATTCTAGGAGATGCAAGGAAGATAGCAGCAATGGTCTTCAAAGTTTGAGGGAAAATGACTTTCAACTAAGCATTCTATACTCAATCAAACTGTAATTCAAGTGGAGTGGCAGAACAAATGCATTTTTAGGTGTGTAAGAGTGTATCTGCCCTGAATGACTTATATTTTCAGTGAAGTTTCATGAAAATATACCCCAGAAAAATGAAGAAGTAAACAAACAGAGAAAAAGGATGAGATTCAGAAAGGCAGTCTGAGAAAGTCCTTAGGATGATAATCATGCAAGAAGCCTGACAAGAAGCTTCTCTGAAAAAATGAAGATTTTATAGACAATCAGATCCCATAAACCTTAGAAAAAGGAGGATTATTATTATTCAATGCATTATGAAAAATACATTGTATGAACAAAAGAACAACAAGGAGAAACTCCAGGAAATCTATACAGGAAAGGAAATAAAATTGTAAACTTCTTAGCTTCACAAATTCCTAAAGCTGTAAATGGAGGTTAACAACTTTAATAAAAATTTTATTATAACTGTGTTGGGAGGAAGATAGAGAGTAGATGGAAGACAGTAGAAGAGATCTAACTTCTTCATGTATTATAGAAAAATAAATGGCAAGATTAAAAAAAAGCAGCCTATTTTGAGAATTGATATAAACAACCAAAATAAATAAAGGAATTAACAAGTGTTTCCCTTTAGAGAATGAGTTAGATGAGTGAGGAGAGATTTCATGGAAGAGTATTGCTTTTCTTTATGAGCCTTTGATCTTATTTTATTTTTAAACTATATTCATATATTACTTTGATAAAAATAAAAAATATTTTAGAAAATAAAATAAAAAGGGATGGTCATGGTGGCTCAAGCCTGTAATCCCAGCACTTTGGGAGGCCAAGACAAGGGGATTACTTGAGGTCAGGAGTTTGGGACCAGCCTGGTCAACATGGCAAAACTCTGTATCTACTAAAAATACAAAAATTAGCTAGGCGTGGTAGTGCATTCTTGTAATCCCAGCTACTTGGGAGGCTGAGGCAGGAGAATCACTTGAAACCAGGAGGCGAAGGCTGCAGTGAGCTGAGATTATGCCACTGCACTCCAGCCTGGGCGACAGAGCCAGACTCTGTCTCAAAAAAAAAAAAAAAAAAAAAACAGCTGTAGGTTGAATTAATAAATTTTACTGTAGGAATTTTCTTATATTAGGAAAATCTGTCTTAATTCTTTGCTTTATTAATTGAAAGTAGAAAGCTCTTTGTTCAGAAAGAAGATCTGACATTTATAAATTTAGTGTAATTATTGTCTCTTCAATCAGATTGGACTTAGAAAAATAAGCTTAGAAAAAAATACTGGGGACTAATAGAATCTTGCTATGATATGCCTTGCCATGGTCTGGAATTTGATACCACATGTGGGTCATCTAAGGTTCTGTCTAAGTCTATTCAACAAATATTTATTGTGACTGTGTTGAATACCCGGCATTGTAAAGCTAATGAAATGTATTACTATTATTAAAATATTATTCTACCTATGTCAGTGTGTTTTCAGTGAGGAAATTAGAAACCAAGGAGTGGCATCCTCTGGATGGGGGACATTTCAGGGTCTTCAAGTAAGAGAAAGTGGTTTTTTTAGATGGAAAGGCTGCTTTTGATGGCAAGGGAAGCACAGTGGGCTTGGTAATTTAAGATTCTTTGATTCATCTACATTTACTCAAAGTTTCCATTCCAATTCTGAGAGGCAGTGGTTTCAACTTCCACTGTGATCCTGCAACTCAAAGGACAAATGAATGCAGGGCTGAACACCGAAGATCAGCATCTGTTGGTAATGGGATCATTTGAATAGATTCTCAAGGAAAGCATCATAGCAAGCGTTGTATTGTGAAAAATTTTGAAGTAGTTTGGTAGAACTTGCTATTCCCTATAGAACTGCTCTTTGAAAAATAGTTGGCAGCCAGTTTTCTGTTTTTCTGTGCCCTATAACTGTAATGGCCACTTGTCCCTTCTTTGCTTAGACATGGCCCAAATTAAGCACCTCTTCTGAGATGTAATTCTTTATCATTTCTTCCTTGTTGCCCCCATTTCATCTAGTACCTTCTTTTATTATTGCAGATAATAACTGCAAATGCAAATTCAAATAAGCAAGTAAAATGAGGATATCTATTTTATATTTGATATATAGGGGATGGCCATAACACTATGGTTAAGTGTGTGAACTCTAAACAGTTTGCTTGGCTTTATTGACTGTCTCTTCCACTTGCTAGCTATGTGAACAGTGGGCAACTAATACCTCTCTGGGTCTAAGTTTCCTTCTTTGTAAATAGTGAAAATAATAGTAACTACCTCTAATGTTTGTTGTGAGGATTAAATGTGCTAATCGATGTAGCACTTAATAAATGGTAGCCATTATAATTTAAGTAAGTTTACAATCAAATAAATACTGTATACTTAAAAGGTCATTTAATCTAATTGTGAGACATTTCAGAGGAAATTTTATGGACAGTTGGCATTTGTAATACCTCTGTTGCAAACAGCAATGTTTCATTTACTGAATATCTAGTAAAACAATTTACAAGACATTTTTAAAGTTTTAAACATCTGGATAATATCTTTTTATTATAAATATCAAACCAGTTATAAGATATATAGTAATATACTTTTTCTGGTATCAAAGTTAGTAACCATTTTTTTTCCTCAACTTACCAACAGTTACTGAGTTGAGAATTTTGATTTAATTTTTGAGTCAATTCATTTAAATGATTTTACTTTGCCTTCCTCCATTTCACTAGTTGTTTGAACTGATTACATTGTTTGTCTATTTGTTGTTAGTACTTTGTGTTTTAAATTTTATGTAGGCAAAGCATTATTTTACAAGGCTGGGTTCAGTATGCATCTTGTCGGTTTCTAGAGACACTAAGATGAACAAGTCCCTGCTATCACAATGCTCTTAGTAATTATACTCATATAAGAAACGTTTTATATTTGAGCATGAACAATGGCTTAAGCCCTCTAGTTGGTGGGCGGAGGGGCGTGGAATTAAATACATTTGACAGTACTGAAGCTGCCTAAGCTTTTTTTTTTCCCTTTGTAAAATAAGAGTAATAATAGTATCTACTGCATACGGTTGCTTCAAGGCAGTGCTTACCAAACTTGGCTGAACTATAAGAACCACATGAGGCACTTAAAAAAAAAATACAGGCCGGGTGCAGTGGTGGCTCACGCCTGTAATCCCAGCACTTTGGGAAGCCAAGGTGGGCAGATCACAAGGTCAGGAGATAGAGACCAGCCTGGCTAACATGGTGAAACCCTGTCTCTACTAAAAATTACAAAAAATTAGTCTGGTATGGTGGCATGTGCCTATAGTCCCAGCTACTCGGGAGGCTGAGGCAGGAGAATCACTTGAACCTGGGAGGCGGAGTTTGCAGTGGGCCAAGATCGCGCCACTGCACTCCAGCCTGGGTGACAGAGCGAGACTCTTGTCTCAAAAAAAAAAAAAAAAAAAAAGAAGACGTCTAAGAACCTCCCTTGAACAGCAGATCAGAGGTGGGGCCTGGGATTCTATATTTTTAATAATCACTATAGTGGTTTTTATAATCATTCAATGTTTTGGAAACATTGTTCTAAGGCAGTAGTCCTCAGAGTGATTTCTTGGGCCCCATTCTAACCAACTAAATAAAAACCTCTGGGTCTACCAATCAATAACTTAAAAAAACCCTCCAAGTGATTTTGATATGCACTAAAGTTTAAGAACTACTGCTAAAATCTTAAATTAGGTAATTTAAGTTTGGGTTAAATTAGATAAGATTAGTTAGTACTTATCTAAAGTAATTCTAATGATTATTAATAACATAAAAAATCAGGTCAGCATTATTAGCTTCTAAAACTATGAGTGAATTTGTATTCTAGTTTTCAGGCATTTTTGCAATTTTTGTTAGTGTTGCTTTATATGTGCACCTGGAAAAAATGGTTAAAATTGCCTGACAACTTAGGTTCTAGATTTCCATAAAATATTTTTTTGTAGACAGGCTTATGACAAATCACATGGCAGATTTATGTGATTAATTGTGCATCTGTTTACTGTGCACCAAAGTGTACATGAAAACATTTGAGATAGTTTCTGCCATTAAGAAATATATAAACAAGTTGATGAGGCAAGAAACATACATACAATGTTTGACCTTGAGTGACTTATTTAAACTGTTCTCATTTTCCTTATCTCACAACATATTAAAGTAACCATCAAATTCTATTGATTCTACCTCTGAAACATTTTCCTTCCATTTCTCTCCACCTGTACAATTACTTTCCTATGTCAAGCCTTTTTATCTCAGCCTCTTTAGGGCTTCCTGCCCTAAGGTTTTTCCTTCCTTTCATAAGTGGTTTGATGTTTATAATAAAAAGATACTATCCAGATGTCTTCACACCACACTCAGTCTTCTAAAAGGCAAACCTGATCCTGTCCCTTCCCTCTTATAGCTCCCAGGGACTTCTCATTATGATAAAGTATAAACCTTGTTATTTGTCCTCAAGGACCTGTATAATCTCAATCCTCCATCACAGCCTCTTGTCAGACTGTGGGCCTGGCCTTATGTGAGCCTGTGGACAAGTTATATGTGTAGTGCCCAAAGGTCATGAGGATGACATTACAAGTTATCTGATTAAGGGAGAACCAATTGGGAGGATGGGGTGAGACAAAAAGAATTTAGAAACCACGAAAAGCTTAAATAGGCTTTGCTAGGATATATATTTAATCTTAGGTGATCAGTACATTTTTAACATAATCCTTACTTGTGGCTGGGGGTCTGGTGGGGGCAGGAAGCAGAAATAACTCCATCCTTTTTTTGGGGAGAAGACTGGCAGGAGACAGTGGATAGATCCAAACTAAGGAAGAGGCTGGGTTCAAGGCAGGGTACCATACTTTGGATATCTGGGTGTATATGCAAGGAAACTGAGGCTTGACACACACACAAAATTGCACAATGGATAAGCAAGTTGGATGGGTCTCACCCATGTATACAAAGTAAGGAATGTAAGACTTATTCCAGACCACAGAGACTATTGGATTTCAGTATATTCTTCTCCTAATTTGGTCAGAATTAGGGCAGGACATTAGACCCTGTAGGAACAAAGTCCCGTCCTGGAAGACTGAGAAAGCCAGAGTGTGACTTATAAGACAAGATGTAATTAAATGTTCAAGTAATACAGATAATGTGTCTTATTTTTCATTTTTTTAAAATTTATTTTTCTGAGATGGAGTCTCACTCTGTCACCCAGGCTGGAGCGCAGTGGCATGATCTCGGCTCACTGCAACCTCCGCCTCCGGGATTCAAGTGATTCTTCTGCCTCAGCCTCCCGAGTAGCTGGGATTACAGATGCGCGCCACCACGCCCAGCTAATTTTTGTATCTTTAGTAGAGATAGGGTTTCACCATGTTGGTCAGTCTGGTCTCGAACTCCTGACCTCGTGACCTGCCCACCTCGGCCTCCCAAAGTGTTGGGATTACAGGTGTGAGCCACCGCGCTCAGCCAAAGTGTCTTATTATATAAGAAGGAATCAGCAAGAATAGATTGCTGGGACTACCTTATGGGCATGATGGCCTTATTGAGAATCCGGATGAGAATGTAGGAGTCTTGAAAGTGGATAGGATTGAGAAAGAAAAGTGGCTCAGAGCAGTCTAAGGAATGTGAGGCGTGCAAAATTTATCAGGCCCAGAGAAACATGAGCATGAGACTTCAGTCACCATCCCCTCCTCAGGCCTTGCTATGTCCTAATATTTGTATTAGAGTAATTAATAACACTACAGTGGCCTCTAAGTGTTCAAGTGAAAGGAAGAGTCATAGGTGGCTCACTTTAAAAGCCAGAAAAGATTAATCTTAGTGAGGAAGGTATGTAAAAAACCAAGATGGGCTGAAAGTTAGACCTTTTGTGCCAGTTAGCCAAGTTGTGACTGCAAAGGAAAAGTTCTTGAAGGAAATGAAAAGTGCTATTCTGGTGAACACGTGAATAGTAAGAAAGTGAAACAGCCTTACTGCTGACATGGAGAAAGGTTTAGTGGTCTGGATAGACGATCAAACCAGTGACAACAGTCCCTTAAACCAAAGCCTAATCCAGAGCAAGGTCCTAACTCTTTTTAGTTCTATGAAGAATGAGATAAAGAAAAGCTTGAAGCTAGCAGAGGTTGGTTCATGAAGTTTAAAGAAACAGGCCATCACTGTAACATAAAAGTGCAAGGTGAGGCAGCAAGTGCTGTTGTAGAAGTTGCAGCAAGTTATTCAGAAGATCTGTCTAAGATTACTGATGAAGGTGGCTACACTAAACAACAGTTTTAATGTAGACAAAACAGCCTTCTATTGGAAGAAGATGCTATCTAGGACTTTCATAGCTAGAGAGAAGTCAGTGCCTGGCTTCAAAGCTTCAAAGGACAGGCTGACTCTCTTGTTAAGGGCTAATGCAGCTAGTGACTTAAAGTTGAAGGCAATGCTCATTTGTTATTCCTAAAATCCTAGGGTCTTTAAGAATTATGTTGAATCTACTCTGCCTGCGCTTTAGAAATGGAACCCCAAAACCTGTATGATAGCACATCTGTTTGCAACATGGTTTACTGAGTATTTTGAGTCCACTGTTAAGAACTACTGCTCAGAAAAAAAGACTTATCTCAAAGTATTACTGCTGATTGACAATGTGCTTAGTCATCCAAGAGCTCTGCTGGAGATGTGCTCAAAAGCATAGACAGCAAAAGCAAAAATAGACAAATGGGATCATATGAAACTAAAAACCTTCTGTACAGCAAAGGAAACAACAGAGTGAAGAGACAACATACAGAATAGGAGAAAATATTTGCAAACTTTGCATCTGACAAGGGATTAATATCCACAATTAAAAGGAACTCAAACTACTCAATAACAACAAAAACCCCCACAAATAATCCAATTAAAAAATGGGCAAAATACCTAAATAGACGTTTCTCAAAAGAAAATATACAGCCAGCAGATATATGAAAAAATGGTCAATATTATTAATTATCAGAGGAATGCAAATCGAAATTTTCTTAAAAATTGATGAAATTATTTAATGACACAGGAAAATGATGTGTTATAAAACAAGCTGGTTACAAGTAGTGGGTAGAGGACGACTTAATTTTTGATAAAAAATTAAAAAATATGAACATGCATACAAAAATTCGAAGTTTACCTACCAAAATATCAATAGTATTTACTTCTGCTCAGTGATTAAATATTCTTCCCTTTGTTTTTGTGTCTTCTAAAAAACATGATTATTTATGAAACAAGAAGAAAAATGATATCCTGGAGAAAGAGTAAATTACTGTTTAATAACTGTTATTTAATAGTTATTGAGTTATTTAACAGTTATTGTATGCCAGGAGTTAGGAATCTGAGAAGCCAAGCCAGGAGCCCAGCAGTCAAAGACAGAAACCCAGGACCGGTCCACCCAGGGTAGAAGTGATCAAACTCAGAGGTGGAGCATTGTTCTTTTCTTTTCCTGCTGGAATGTTATTTACCAGACTGTTTCTTCTATATTTGATGTTTTCAGTGTACTCACATTTAATGGGATTCTATGATTAACCGGCATAACAGTGAAATGATGCTAGCAAAATTGGTTTTGAATTGCTACAAAATATACTATTTCGTAGTTATATATTACACAAAACACAGTGGAAATCAAGTTCCCCCAGAACAAAAAGCCCATCTGACTACATCACTGACTTTGCTGCTTTTTTTTTCCTGAACTTTGGTCATTTTCAATCTTCACCACAAATCTATTTTTTGTTTCATGGTCCTGGAAGAGGTCATTTTTCTTACAAAGAAACTAACAATAATGTAAATTGGACATTGTCTGATGGCACTGCTTTAAGTCTATTCAAGTCAAAATCTAGGTAATGAGATATTACCTCACTCCAGTTAGAATGGCTATTATAAAAGAAAAAATAACGTGCTGATGTGGATGTGGAGAAAAAAGAACACTTACACACTGTGGGTGGAAATGTAAGTTAGCATAACCATTATGGAAAACACTATAGAAGTTACTAAAAACATTAAAACCAGAACTATCATATGACCCAGAAATCCCACTGTTGGTTACATGCCCCAAAGAAATGCAATCAGTATGTCAAAGAGATATCTACACTTCCATATTTATTACAGCATTATTCACAATAGCCAAAATATGGAAGCAACCTAAGTTTCCATCAATGGATGAAAGAATACAGAAATGTAGTGTATATATATTTTTATATATATATGATTTCATACTTTTTATAGCTGTATATACATACATACATATAATATACATACATATATTATATATATATACAGCTATAAAAGTATGAAATCTTGACATTTGAGGCAGCATGGATGAACCTGCAGGACATTATGTTAAGTGAAATAAGCCAGGCACAGAAAGACAAATATCACATGGTCTCATTCATATGTGGAATCTACAGAAGTTGATCTCATAGAAGTAGTGTAGAATAGTGGTTACCAGAGGCCGGGAGCATAGTGAGGAATAGGGAGAGATTGGGCAATGGTTTCAAAATTACAGTTAGATTGGAGAAAAAGTTCTGGCGTTCCATTATATAGTAGGGTGGCTATGATTAACAATAATGTATTGTATATTTCAAAACACTTAGAAGATTTTGAATGTCATCATGACAAAGAAATGATAAACGTATGAGGTGATGGATATGCTAAATACCTACATTTTTACACAGTGTAAACATGTATCAAAGCATCACACTGTACCCCATAAATATGTACAATTATGTGTCAATTAAAAACAAAATAATTGATTAAAAAAGAAAAATGGACAGAATTAATATAATTAATGTAATACATATTACAGCTAAAATATATTGAGTACTTCTTACGTGCAAGGTGCTAATGAAGCATAATCTTTCTTAATTTTTATAATGACATCTATTTTACTGATGAGGAAACTGTGGGTCAAAGAGATTAAATGACTTGTTAAAGCTCAAACACCTCCTGAGTAGAGAGATAGGATTCAAACTAATGTAGAATGGTAACAGAACTAGCTTCTGATAATGTAGTAAATTGCTCTTTTGTGAATGACTGCAATCCCACAGGTGGAGAAGAGAGTAAGAGAGAAAAGAAATGGCAGTTCTCACTCTCTTTCTATTTTTAAGGAGTGATGTTTGAATGACACATTAGGGGCTGGAGTGGACCCTGGTTGGATGACCATTTGGTGATTTCTTCCTAGGAATTTGGAGGATGTTGAGAGGAGTTTATTAAAGGGTTGCATATTAACTCATTAACAAATGGCATGTGGAAATGAGCTTTCCCTAGTACTTTGAAGACCAGAAATGAAGAAAAATCTGTTACCCAAAATTAATTGCTTTTGCATCCACAATGTTAATATGATTAGTCTAAACACTGAAAGGTAATTAACCTGATTAAAACTCTTGGTATATCATACAAGTTAACCAGAGAAATTATTTAGTTTAGGGAACAGTAAAGATTTTATTTCTAATTCAAGCACAGACATTCTATTTTTGATACCAAAATCCAGAAATATTTTGAGACTCTAGTATTGGATTCTTGAAGATTATGTTTGTATGGCAAAAATGGAAAGATTTTGGGAGTGGAACAGAACATTTTAGCAATATCTGGAAATAGAGATAAGTATTAAAAAGTCCCTTGTTGGCTGATTTTTCTCTTCTCACCCCCACATCTTCTCTTTCTGGGAAGATCATGCTGAATGATTTTTAACAGTTTCAGTTAGATTCTTGAAAATACACAGCTTACCTAAATGCATTAAAGTTCTTATTGACTCAGCACTATTGCTGAGACAACGTATAGTTTTGTGTCCCAGGGGTTCTGGAAATAAAAGTAAGTTTTCTGTACAGATTTTCTATTAATACAAGAAGAAATCTAGTAAGTGGTCTGTCTAAAAATAAAATTTAAGATGATTCACAATACTGGAAATCACAGAGCAATAGAGGCCTACTGATTTACGAGGGAATTTATGATTTCCTTGATCAATTAATCTTTCTGCACAAAGAAAATAGGTTCACAATTTATTTCTGACTTAAAATTCAATGCACAATCATTGTAAAAATTTTAAATGACACAAAAAACTAAAACTAAAAATGATCCAGTCACCAGATACCACCACTGTTAAAATTTTGGTGTATGTGTGATTGGAATGTCCATTTTGCCCTTTTCCTTTCCCTTTTCTTCTTGCCTAGGACACAGGTTTGATGTCACGAGGTCACGATATCAGCAGGCATCTAGATCCTGAGGTGACAGGCATGAGGACATACGCCAGCATGGTACTGACAGTGGAGTGGGAAGACAAACAATCTGGGTCTTAGAGGATGTCATTGAGCCATTGTCAGTCCTGAACTGCCTATCTCCAGACTTCTTGTTGATGAGCCATATAAACCCTTATTTATTTAAGCAACTGCTAGCTGAAGTTTCTCCTACTAGCAAATGAAGGCATTCTTAACTCTCTTGGTCAGTTTGCACTGCTATAACAAATTATCATACAATGAGTGACTTAAACAAGGAATATTTATTCTACACAGTTCAACATCAAGATGCTGGCAGATATGGTGTCTGGTGAGGGTCCTCTTCCTGTTGCATCCTCATATGGCAGAGGGCAGAGAGAGAGGATGCTTTCTTGTTTCTCTTCTTATAAGGGCACTGATATAAAATCTCATGTTAATATTTCCCAGAGTTTAGTTAATTGTTCCCGATTCATTAAGTAATCCATTCTCTCCCCCAATCCCATCATAAGGTCTCCACCCTCCTGACCTTATTACTTTCCAAAGACCCCATCTCCAAATACCTTCACTTTGAGGATTAGGGTTTCAACATATAAAATTTGGGAGGGGACAAACATCCAGTCAATAGCGCTAACAGTTATCAAATCTCATGTTAATATTTTCCAAAAGATGAGTTATTGTTCCCAATTTACTGAGTAATCCATTCTCTCCCCCTATTTTTTTTTGGAGACAGAGTTTCCTCTGTCATCCAGGCTAGAGTGCAGTTGTGTGAACTCAGATCACTGCAACCTCTGCCTCCCGGGTTCAAGCGATTCTCCTGCCTCAGCCTCCTGAGTAGCTGGGATTACAAGCGTGTGCCACCACACCTGGCTAATTTTTGTATTTTTGGTAGAGACAGGGTTTTGCCTTGTTGGCCAGGCAGGCCTCGAACTCTTGACCTCAGGTGATCTGCCCACCTAGGCCTCCCAAAGCACTGGGATTACAGGCGAGAGTGGCCGCCCCCTGCCTCTCCCCCTAATCTTAAAGGCGTCTTTATTATAAACTAATTTCTGTATGCTCACATACCTGTTCAGGATGTTTTCTCTTCATCTGTCTGTTTAGTTCTACAGCACAGCTGAGCTGTTTTATTTGTGGACACTGACACTTCTTCCTTTCTCCCTCCCTGACCCCTTGGTTTGGTTAGTATGTACTTTGATTTCTACTTCCGTAGCAAAATTACTTTTTTTTTTTTTTGCTTTATGCAGTGTTTCTTTCAAGAATCACAACTATGCAGACTGTTTTGTAGCTACAATTACTACAGTCATTTGGTTTTCACTCTGTGTTAGAACGGGTTTGATACTTATCACTTGTCCCCCTCTATGACCTTTTTGCATTACATTTTGGATGACATTTTTGCATTTTAGAGACATTCATCTGTAAAAAAGTTGCCCAGGCTGATCTCAAACTCCTGTCCTCAACCCATCCTTCTGCCTTAGCCTGCAGTCTCTGGGATTACAGGCATGAGTGACCAAGCCTGGCTCTGTCTATGATTTTAATCATGGCCTTGTTCTTCCAGAAATCAGATTCAAAATTTTGGACTTTGATGTTCTTTTTCTCCTACATCTAATCCTTTAGAAATCCCTGAATTTATCTCTGTGATGTTTCCCATAGATAGATGATCACTTCACTTTCCTCTGCCATTATCCTATTTCTGACCTTCACCAGACATCTTCATTATATATAAGATATATATTTTTTTTATTTACACGGAGTCTCGCTCTGTCGCCCAGGCTGGAGTGCAGTGGCGCCACCTCGGCTCACTGCAAGCTCCGCCTCCCGGGTTCACGCCATTCTCCTGCCTCAGCCTCCCGAGTAGCTGGGACTACAGACGCCCGCCACCAGGCCTGGCTAATTTTTTTGTATTTTTAGTAGAGACAGGGTTTCACTGTGTTAGCCAGGATGGTCTCGATCTCTTGACCTCATGATCCGCCCGCCTCGGCCTCCCAAAGTGCTGGGATTACAGGCGTGAGCCACCGCGCCCGGCACATTATATTCTTAATTGGGTTTATCATCTACCCTTCTCTTGATTCTCTCCATTATTGTTGGATACAATTTTCTAAGGAGAGGCACGTCTTTTGTTTGCTTACAACCCTTGAGCTGAATATTTATTCTTTTTCCCCCTTCAGGTCTACCCCCTACCTTTCTCTGCCCTGCTCTGTCCCCTGGGAGGAGAACCTAGATAAACTGCATCCTTCCTTGGCTTCATTGCCTTCTGGCTTCCAGTTGCGTTCAGCCAATAGTGAGCTCTAGCAGGGCACTGGTGGGAGCAAGCCAGGAATTAAGCTGAGTATTTATTCCTCTGTCTGCCTCCTTGCTTGACCATAGGTTAGCTGTGCTCCTCCGCAGAAGGCCTTCCCTCATGTGCGGGGCCACTTTCTTACAGTTCTGGCTTTTCTCTGCGGCTTCCAGTAATGTTTCCTTCCTCTTTCCTGCTTCTCCTTCCTGCTTCAGTGATGGTAACTCTTCCTGCTGTTGCTGGCAGAATGTTTTCATTGTCTCTTGTTGGTGTCACTTACTCTGTCCACACCTTTGTGGACACATTAAATGCCACTCATCGATCCCATTTGAATGTACTACTTTCTTCAAACCCCGACTGGAAGAAACCTTAAATGTCTTTTAATTACACAGTAAGTATAGACTCCCAAGCTCAAGTTGAACACCAAGTTTCAAGCTACTCATTTATTTCATCCTTACATTGACTGTTTGCTCCAGTGAGATTGGGTTAATTGCAATCCCCCGAATAGACATAAAAGAGTATATTGTGTTCTCTTTGCTTAGAATTCCCTATTTCTCTAATGTCATTTGTCAAAGTCTTGTTATCGTGTTTTATGTTTATCTCAAGTGTCTCCTCTTTTATGGCACTTTTGCTAAGCTCCCAGTTGAATATGATGCCTCTCTTTATTTTTATTTTTATTCTTTTTTGAGACAGGGTCTTGCTCTGTTGCCCAGGCTGGAGTGCGGTGGTGTAATCTTGGCTCACTGCAACCTCCACCTCCTGAGTTCAAGCAATTCTCTTGCCACAGCTTCCCAAGTAGCTGGGACTACAGGTGCCTGCCACCACACCTGGCTGATTTTTGTGTTTTTAGTAGGGACAGAGTTTCACCATGTTGGCCAGGTTGGTCTCAAACTCCTGACCTCAAGTGATCTGCCCACCTTGGCCTCCCAAAGTGCTGAAATTACAGGCATGAGCCACCACACCCAGCAGATGTCTCTCTTTAAAATTTGTCTTTCAGTTAACAATTGTATATTTTCTTGTCTTCTGATGTTTATACCTTTCCTTATAACTATTAATGTACTTGTCTTTTCTATTTTGTAAGCTCTTTGGGGGCAGGGGCTATTACATCCCTGCATTGTTTTCTGCATGATCAATGTTCAATAAATATGTGACAGATCTGGACAAATCACAGTGGCTATATTTAAAGATTCAGATTATTTGTGGGTAGGGCCAATGGTTCAAATCAGGCAGAATATTTTAAAATTTCAAGTATTCTATTATACCTGAACAGGGGAAAATGCAACTTTGATTTACATAAAAGCAGATGACAAAGAAAAGTCAGGAATATCTTTTTCATTATTCATTTACTTAAAAATATTTATTGGTCAATCACAGTGGCTCATGCCTGTAATCTCAGTGGTTTGGGAGGCCAAGGCAGGAGGATTGCTTGAGGTCAGGAGTTTGTCAGCAGCCTGGGCAATAAAGCCAGATCTCTATCTCTACAAAAAAATTAAAAAATCTTGCTGAGTAAAGTGACACACACCTGTAGTTCCAGCTACTAGGGAGGCTGAGGTGGGAAGATTGCTTAGCCCAGGACTTCTGGGCTATGGCGAGCTGTGATTGTGCCACTGCTCTCCAGGCAGGGTGACAGAGCGAGACTTGGTCTGTATTAAAAATAATAATAATACTAAAAATAGTTTACTGAATGTCTACTGTCTATCAGGTGCTTTCCTAAGCACTACAGAGTGCTTCCATTGATGCCCAGCAATATGGTGTTAATTCTTTAAAAAAATTTGCAGAATATTAGAGAAAATTAGAATTTATGGTTAGTTATTCAATTGGTTATTTAATAATTTGATATCTTTGGGTGATTTCTAAATAAGCCTGACTTAATTCCAACAGTTACCAGGAAGTTAACAAAAATATAATAATTTTCTTACTATATATACTGTGACACCAATTGCAGCATAGCTAAGAATTTTCCTATGTTCCCAGAAATATATTATAATTTATAAGAGGATTATCTAGATTGTTTTGTTTTTGAGACTTAGCAGAGACAGAGGAGCCAACTGCTACATAAAAATAATGCCACAGGGAACACACACGATGGCATTTTAATTTATTGCTATCATTCTTACATAATAAATTTTGGATTCTTTTGTTTATCTGCTTGATACACAAAAACTTATTCTTGGGAGATTGAGGATCTTTTCTACTAAATAAGAGGACAAAAATGGCAAATTGAAACTATCTACTTAGGTATTTTTTCTTCCATTATACCATCCTCCCAAAGTATTTCTTTGTTAGTGTTTTCACTCTGTGATGATCCTCTTCCCCCACCACTTTTTTTTTTTTTAAAGTAAACTATACTCTTGTGCTCTTGAAGAAAGAAAAGAGTAGACCAAACAGAACTGTTGCAAGATAAAGATCCTTATTTGGTCATAAAAATACCAAAATGATGAAATATGTATTAATTAAATATTTAAAAAACACAATTATGCTTTTCAGGTTCTTATACTCAGGAACTTTAATGAGTTAAATTTCAAGTGTGGGGAATTAGGTGACTAAAATAGCACGGAGACTCAGGAACAGCATGAAAGTGAAATTTATTGTTCATTTTTGCTCATTTAGAGTTACAAACTTCTTCTGAGTTCCTGGTCCTTGAAGAGCTGTTTTAGGCTGATCTGAGTCTCATGTGTCATATGTATTTCAGCACTGCTTTTTAACCAATAAAAATTAAAGATTCACTTCAGAGGAAGTTAATTTTATGATATTCTGTGGTTGACTGTCTTTAATGTTAGTTTCATAGAATACTACATTTTATTACTTTTTAAAAATAAATAAAGTAGAAATAACCAAGGAATACAAAAATCTAAGGGGATGCAAAGCAGTGAATATTTCATATGAATCTCCCTAATTCTTAATCTTTCTACCAGGACTTCAAAAATCAGAATACAAAATACATTGCTCTGCACTTGAGGAAACCTAGATCCCAAAGGTGAGATTGCATTTTCCACCTCCTACAACAAGATCTAACAACAAAAACTGAAAGAACTAGGTGGAGAAGCTTCCTGGATGCTTTTTCTCTGAAAATAATAAAGTTTAGTATTTGGTTTTGTTTCGTTTGATCTCCCCCTGAAGGATGTTGCTGAGGCATGTATGTTGAGTTTGACTGGCCTGAAGAGTTTTTGGGAGTGAAGGGAATAGTTGACTCTGGCAGACAAAGAAGAAAGTTGATATTAGGTTTAAACATCGGATGCCTCAAACATTATTTAGCTCTAAACCTGGCAGCTTGTCCTTTCTCCAAGTTAAGTAACAGTACCAATGTCTGCTTGTTTCTGCTGAAATCTTTCTTCATGGGGATTTCTTCTGTGTTTGTGTTAGAAATTTGCATTGTGTTTAACCTGAGAAGTAATTCCCATAGGAGGTTTAAGATAGATATATTTGATAAATAAACTTTAAGGCAGTAGAGTTTTCTATGCTAGTTAAATTGAAATGTTTCAGTTGTGTTTTTAGCTTATTTCTTTCTCTAACAAAATTTGACCATCTAATTTTTCCCATTGTTTGGATATCAAATACCCATAATAAGATATGTCAGTTGTATAAGAAGAGGGAGCTTAGTTTATTATAAAGTGAGACTTTTTTCTTTTCACACATTTCTAGCAAGAAGCAACTTGGCCTGCTAAACGCATACAGCAGGAGAAACGAGGACTTCTCTGCTGGGCTTGAAAACATTACAATGGATGTGTCAGGACTGTAGGCCTGGTGATTCAGTCCTTACTGCAGCAAATTTTATTGACAGTGTGATCCTCATGCCTTGGCCTCCCAAAGTGCTGGGATTACAGGTGTGAGCCATTGGGCCCTGCCAGGATTTGTTAATTTTTTGATTTCTCAACTAGTGTTGGCAAGCTTGGAGTGGAAAGTATAAACTTTCAATTTTGTATTATAAAATCTTGTTTTTATCAGTAGCACTCTCATGTCTTGGTTTCACTATTTACTTTGTCTCAGAAGCCCTAGATTGGGGCAGCTTGCTTCTTGACTGACATGCACAATGTCAAAGGATATGACACCAGTCTGTCAGCAGAGCTCTAGCAGCTACCTCAACACCGTGACCATGTCTGCAGAGAATGCTCCAGCCTTGCCTGCTCATACACGTTAGTAACATGATACAGTCTTTTCCATCTGTACAGAAGAGCTAGAATATTCCACCAAAGTTGTGAAACATGAATCTAGCAAAAACAAACAAAAAAGAAGACAAAACACAAACCATAAACCTTGTGTGGTCTGGAAAAGGGAGAGGGGTTGGTGAGGTAGAGATAGAGCTGAACATGTGTGAAAGTCTCTGAGGAGGAGCCCTGTGTGCTCTCTGAATGAGGGGGATAGAATCCCAGGAAGTATGAGCATCTGTCCTGTAATCAATTTCTGCCTGAAACCACACAAGGAGGTGTTTCATGATATCATGAGGATCCTATGCCGCTAAGAAAGAAGGACCATAAAATACAGCGTCAAAGGGAAAATGGTCTGTTGGAATTTTGATTGCCCTGAGGGGTGGCATGGAAGAGCTGCCAGTTTTTCCCATGTCCTTGAGAAGGGCACAGCTTTTAGGAGAGAGAGAGACAGAGAGTCCTGGTGGACCTGCGAAAGTCTCATATTCTTGATGAGAGACACATAGAGGAAAAAGGTGTGGACCGTAAGACCAGAGATGTGTGGGAAGGGAAGGAACTCAGTGAATGCTTGTGTGGACCGTCTTCTGAGCACTGAGTGCGATCATAGTCTCACTAGATGGCAGCAGAGTGTAGGTCCCAGGATATGAAGGGACGATCGGCTATCTCCCCTTTACCCCCAACCCCACATTTCCCACCACTGCTCCTTGCCATGACCCTTCTTCAGGAACTTCTATGCCATCTCTGGGAGAAAGGCAGAACGTGACCAACTAAATTGTTGTGTTTAAGCTGGAATGAATGAGTTTACTCTTAAAGCGGTACAATTTTGTTTTCTGCTTTTGAATGTATCCTGCGGCACCACCAACTCTTAGAATTGTGTAACGTCTAATTCCTTAATAAATTCCCCACTTTATATCACTCATGGAGGTTCTGATTCTCTAATTGAACCCTGATGGTTCTAGGAGTTGAGGTTTGTAATGGTTCCATGAGAACAAAATCTTAAGGATGGTTATTGTGAATTGGTTCTGGATTATCTGGAATGGGTTCTTGGATGAGATTAAATTTATAGGCAGTAATAACTGTGTTTGCATTGGTAAGGAGGACACTTGCTTATAGCATGCAATGGCAAAGCAGTTACTTATCATCTGCAGCCACCTGTAATCCAATGCCAGTATAAGGCAAAACTTTCATTTTGAGCAGTCATAGACAGCTTCAGGTCCTTTCTCTTTAGGTGGGGAATTTAAAATCCTGAGCTTATAATTTTTTCCCTGAAGTTCTCCAGCTCCTCTGGAAGCAGCTAAGTCACTCCTTTATACTCTGTATATTAGGGTGAGCAACGACCCTCGTTTGTCTACAACTGAGGGGGTTCTTCAGATGCTAAAACTGAGTAAGTCCCAGGTAAACGGGGATGAGTTGGTCACCTAACTTATATTCACTGAATTGTTTTATGACAGCATTGACTTGATTAGAGAAATCAGAGCCTTTGAGGACTTGGCAGATGCAGGGACGATGATTCATACCATGTCCCCTCTTAATTTGTATCTTCAGCCTGTTCAGAAGACAGCCAGAGCTTGGAGAATAAAATTGGATCACTGTAAACTTAACCTGTTGGTAACTCCAATTACAGCTATTTTTCTGGAGGAGATTTTGTTATTGGAGAAAACACTTTGTCCGGCACTTGGTATGCAATTATTGACCTAGTGAATATTTTTTCTTTATACTTGTTAATAAAGACCATCAAAACCAATTTGCTTTGAGTTAGCACCTTCACTATCCTACACCAATTACCTATATCCGCTCTCCAGCCTTTTATCATCATTAGATCGATAAACTGTTTCCGTAAAGGACGAGATAATAGAATTTTAGGCTCTGCAGGCCTCATAAACTTTACCTCATTTTCCTCCTCCTCCTTTATGTCCTCCTTCTTTTCCTTCTTCTGAATGCTTTAAAAGTGTAAAAACTGGCCGGGCATGGTGGCTCACACCTGTAATCCCAGCACTTTGGGAGGCTGAGGCAGGCAGAACACCTGAGGTCAGGAGTTCAATACCAGCCTGGCCAACATGGTGAAACATCATCTCTATTAAAAAAAAAAAGTGTAGTCTGGAAGCTGGCAGCCTTCTCAGTCGTCAGACTGGCGCTAGTGACATGGGAGTGGCTAATGCATCCTCTTGCCGTTCCCGGTGTTTGGGCCCTGCCTGTGACGGTGGGAAAAGAAAATGGCCTTGCTGTGCTACAACTGGGGCTGCGGTCAGCGCTTCGATCCTGAGACCGATTCCGATGATGCTTGCACATACCACCCAGGTGTTCCAGTCTTTTATGATGCATTAAAGGGTTGGTCTTGCTGTAAGAGAAAAACAACGGATTTTTCTGATTTCTTAAGCATTGTAGGCTGTACCAAAGGTAGACATAATAGTGAGAAGCCACCTGAGCCAGTCAAACCTGAAGTCAAGACTACTGAGAAGAAGGAACTATCTGAATTGAAACCCAAATTTCAGGAACACATAATTCAAGCCCCTAAGCCAGTAGAAGCAATAAAAATGCCAAGCCCAGATGAACCAATGACAAATTTGGAATTAAAAATATCTGCCTCTCTAAAACAAGCTCTTGATAAACTGTCATCAGGGAATGAAGAAGAAAGAAGAAGACAATGATGAAATTAAGACTGGGACCTCATGTAAGAATAGAGGGTGTTCAAAGACATATTGGGGTCTAGAAAGTCTAGAAGAAGTCTGTGTATATCATTCTGGAGTACCTATTTTCCATGAGGGAATGAAATACCTAAGCTGTTGTAGAAGAAAAACTTCTGATTTTAATACATTCTTAGCCCAAGAGGGCTGTACAACAGGGAAACACATGTGGACTAAAAAGGATGCTGGGGAAAAAGTTGTTCCATGTAGACATAACTGGCATCAGACTGGAGGTGAAGTTACCATTTCAACATATGCTAAAGATTCACAGAACTTAGTTGAGTAGAAGCAAATAGCACATTGTTAAATGTGCACATTGTATTTGAAGGAGAGAAGGAATTTGATCAAAATGTGAAAATATGGGGTGTGATTGATGTAAAGTGAAGTTATGTAACTACGACTGCAACAAAGATTGAGATCACTATGAGAAAAGCTGAGCCGATGCAGTGGGCAAGCCTTGAACTCCCTGCAGTGAAAAAGCAGGAAAAGCAAAAAGATGACCCAACAGATTGAGTGGGAGGTGGGAGGAAGGCTATTACGTATTTCAGAATTCTTAATACTGTGTGAAGTGGTGGCTTGCTGCTGTAATCTTTTGTTTTGTTGTTGTGTTACTGAATCTGGCATTTCAGGGTTAACATTAGGTTCTTAAAAGCCAAAGTCAGTTTGTCTTTTTCTGCCTCTCATCTTTCTTTTGTGTTATGTAACATTGATTATTCATTTCTCCTTACTGGTAGGAACCACAGTTGTGTCCTGTACTTGAAGAGGCTGGAAAATAGCCCATAACCATAATTGCAGTGTTTCTTTGTATTTCTCTGTTAAGTAGATACATATTAAGGAACATGTTTTTTACATCTTTCTATTATTACATAATTAGTAAAGCAAGATGAAATGTCAAATTTTAATCAGTTTTTTTATGGATTTATGTTCTTACAGTACTTGAAAATATTTAAGGAAGAGATAAAGCTCTGCAGTTTTTTTCTATGTGGGATGATTACATTTTAAGGAGAATTAATCCTGAGATAGTGAGGTAAGTAAAGGGGAATATATGAATTGTTTAACAAATTGGAATTTGTTTACACCTACTTTAATTTTTAAATTACGTCAAAACTTACATTACTTGCCAAGCAGTATGATATAAGAGTAGAGGAAACATAAATAAGAATACAGAGGCATCAATTTGGTTAAAATTCACCATTTTATAAGACTAAGCAATAATCTTAAAAATCTCTTTCCTGAATATTTAAATGTGTTTGCATGGTGTTATGACTAAATTGTTCCTGATTTAGAGACTAAACCCTCTTAAAACCTTTAACTAGTTAAATATAAAAAAATTATATGTATCTTGCTTCCC
This sequence comes from Homo sapiens, assembly GCF_000001405.40. Lineage (NCBI taxonomy): Eukaryota > Metazoa > Chordata > Mammalia > Primates > Hominidae > Homo > Homo sapiens. The sequence goes on from NC_000001.11 coordinate 70,532,348, forward strand.
TGATGGAAAACTATATAAAATTGTAGACTTAAAAGGTTTGTGGAAATACATTAGGATATCAGAAAACTAAATATATGGACTTGCTTTATGACTATCTATTACATGTCAAATAAAATAGCTTCTTTTGAAAAAAAAGTGTAAAAACCATTCTTAGCTCCCAGATTGTACAGGAACAGGTTCTAGGCCAGATTTGGCCCATAGGTCATAGTCTGTCAATCCTTCTAGCCCACAAGTCAGAGAAGTAGCTAATATAACATCCAATTTACTGACAACTGGGATCTCAGAAGGATCAGCTTGCCTGAAGTTACACAGAGAGCCTGAGGTTACACAAATATATTATCTTGGATTTAAAAATGTTCCTATAAGGTTCCAAACCATTTACTCTTTCCATTGTGCTAATTCCTACCCAGACTTTCTCTTTCATGCTGATCGCTTTATTTTATTTTCACGGAGTGATCCTAGGAAACAATACAACTTGTTGACTGATTACTATTAGAGAGAGAATATCTCACCATCGATTTCACTAGAACTGAAATCATTGTATTTGACTGATATTTTCCACTATTTTGTTAATTAATTGAACAACTATTTATTGAAGATCTATCATCTTAGCGCTGTGGTAGGATTTGAAGCTATGACTGTGTATAAGACAGACGTGTTCCCTCTGCTTATGGAGATTACTATCCGGCAGGGAAAATAGACTTTAAGCAAATAATTGAACAATGAAAGGCATTACAGTAGCGATAAATGCTCCAAAGAAGAAGTCAGGTTGCTGTGCATTACTAGTAATATTTCTATCTAATCAGTCAACTTATACCTTAAGGGGAGGGTGGATGGGGGAATGCAGTACATGAACTTGAGAAGAGGGGTTGGATTCAGGGAGGAAAAGTTTTAGCATTTGATTTACTGAATTACCTTACTGCTATCTATTCCATCCAGAAGCACTCAGCTGTTTTGAGTCAAGATGCCCAATGTTGAAAAGGGTAATTTAATATGATGATTGGACATCTTGCTCAGTGATTCTCCAACATTGGTGTAAGACTTTAGTAAAGGGCATGACTTATTAAATATGCTAGTTTCCATACCTCTTCCCAGAGATTCTGATTAAGGATAGGGCCCAGGAAAAAATATGCTTCGGTAGTAGGCAGTCCTTGATCTACACTTTTGATGAATAACTCCTCAAAATAGAAGGCAAAGGTATAATATTGGTCTTTGTTCCTTAGTTCCTCAAGTAGGAATGCAATAGCTACCTCTTAGGACCATTTTTTTTTTTTTTAATTTTTGGGACAGGGTCTTGCTTTGTTGCCCAGGCTGGAGTGCAGTGGCATGATCACAGCTCACTGCAATCTTGATCTCTCACCTCACGTGATCCTCCCACCTCAGCCTTCTGGGTAGCTGGGACTACAGGTGTGCGCCACTATGTCTGGCAAATTTGTTTACTTTTCATAGAAATGGGGGTCTCTCTATATTGCCCAGGCTGGTGTTGAACTCCTGGGCTTACGTAATCCTCCTGCCTTGGCCTCTCAAAATGCTGGGATTACAGGTGTGAGCCACCAGATCTGGCAGGACCATATTCTTAAGGGAGCCAGGTCCATCTCAGACCTTGACCAGACCAGAATCTTGGTCTTCATAGTCTTTTTTGCGGGGGGCGGGGGATGGAGTCTTGCTCTGTCACCCAGGCTGGAGTGCAGTGGGTGATCTCAGCTCATTGCAACCTCTGCCTCCTGGGTTCAAGTGATTCTCCTGCCTCAGCCTCCCGAGTAGCTGGGACTACACTGGCTAATTTTTTGTATTTTTAGTGCAGATGGGGTTTCACCGTGTTAGCCAGGATGGTCTTGATCTCCTGACCTTGTGATCCACCTGCCTCGGCCTCCCAAAGTGCTGGGATTACAGGCGTGAGTCACTGCGCCCAGCTGGTCTTCATAGTCTTATTTGTCTCTTGCTGTTATACGCCATACTCCTCCTCCCCTATTCTGACCTTTTGAGGTATGCTTGGGTTTTCACGTATTTTCTTGTCTTGATTCATGTTGTTTTTCTTCTTTCCAGTTTTGACTTTTGTTGAATGCTAGCTCCACTAGAAATGTTACCAAAGCAACGATAAGACAAAGCTGAATTTATTCTTACCATGGTAAGAAGAGCCCTGTATTGATGGTGTCTTAGCATCACAGAGGAAGTGGGCCAAAGTCAGGTTATAGTTATGAGCGATTTAAAGTCTAGGTTAAGCCTGGGCTTTCAACATGGGGACTTGCTTAGAATTTGGTAAGGACATGGTATAACAGTTTAACACTGGTAGATTTTGAGGTGAGGGGTTTAGAGAGTCTGGAGAGGTAAACTCTTGTTTATGCTTTTTATTGAAGAGTTGCTGTGTCTTTCATGAAATTCCTGGAATTAACAAAAAAGTTATTTTCAACTTTTAACTTTCTGAGCAAGAGTTTCCTGGAAGAGTAGAATTATATCGATGACAACAGTGGAACAATGAAGTCATGTAAATAAATGTAGACAGTAAGTTGTGTGAGTGAACATGATTTTAGCTCCACTTTTTTGAATAAAAATGATTTGAATCATTCATATTTTCCATTAATTTCTTTATTGGTTTGATTTTACTGGCATAAATTAAAGCATATTTTCCCCCCAGCAAAGTCATGGGTTTGTACTATTTCTTAGATTCTTTCATGCTTGAGAATGTTCATTGCTCTTTCTCTCTCCTTCCTTCCTTCTCTCCTTTCTTTTCTTTTTCTTTCTTTCTATCTTTTGCTTTCTTTCTTTCTCTTTCTCTCTTTCTCTTTTTCTTTTTTCTTTTTCTTCCTTCCTTTCTTTCTTTCTTTTTCTTTTTCTTTCTTTCTCTCTCCTTTCTCTCTTTCTTTCTTTCCGTCTGTCTGTCTGTCTGTCTTTCTTTCACTCTGTACCTCATGCTGGAGTGCAGTGGCGTGATCTCGGCTCACTGCAATCTCTCTCTCCTGGGTCCCAGTTCAAGCAATTCTCCTGCCTCATCCTCCCGAGTAGATGGGATTACAGGCACGCACCACCATGCCCAGCTAATTTTTGTATTTTTAGTAGAGACGGGGTTTCACCGTTTTGGCCAGGATGGTCTCAATCCCTTGACCTCATGATCCGCCTACCTCAGCCTCCCAAAGTGCTGGGATTACAGTCTTGAGCCACCGTGCCCGGCCATTCGTTGCTTTTTCTTAATGAGGAAAACATTTTGGTGGAATATGATGTTTTTAGGGGAAATGAAGTCATGTAAATGTAGACAGTATGTTGTGTGAGTGAAGATGATTTTGGCTCTCACTTTTTTGAATAAAAATGATTTGAATCATACATATTTTCCAGTAATTTCTTTATTGGTTGAATTTTACTGGCATAAATGAAAGCATATTTTTTCCCCCAGCAAAATCTTGTGTCTGTTAAATTTCTTGGATTCTTTCATGGTTGAGAATGTTCATTGCTTTTTTTTGAGTTGGAAAACATTTTGATGGAATATGATGTTTTTAGAGGACACTTTCCTTCCCTCAGAAACAACAAATTACTCCCCAAATTTTTTATGCACACTTAGATATAGGAGATAGAAAGAATTTTTATAATAAGATTACATCCACTACTTCTTAAATTGAAAGTTTTGCATTTAAGCTCACATAATTTTAAAGAAAGAAAATGAAATAGGTAAAACCAAAGTAATTGCTAAATTTAAACGAGTGGTTCTCCACCAAAAGAGATACAAAATCGTATCTACGAGATACAAAATCCTTCTAGGGCTAACAATAAAAGACTATGAAAAAAGATTTTGGAGTCATATTTCTGTGATGTGTGTCATTTAAAAACATTATCTGTTATTTAGCTATTAAGAAAATGAGAATATTTGTACTATTACATTTACCACCTCTGCCTTTTTTCTCCGGCCAGTCTTTTTTAGGTGAGTTACTGCTTTCATGTTTTTAAGCAAGTGACGTTTCGATTCTGTTCTGGAACCATGAGTCTTGTCATTAGTTGTTTCTCCACAGTTTTTCTAAGAATATTTTTATTTTGATTGGTCTACTGGTTAGGTTTCAATGTCAGGTAGTTTTTTTTCTGTCCAGAAAAATTCACAGATATTGTGTTCCTGAGGTCTTGCACATGTGAAGATATCTGTTACTTTTATATTTTAAGAACAACTTAGCAGCATATAAACTTGGGTTACATTTTCTCTAGACCTAGTAGACATTGAATTTCTTTCCTTCAGACACTTGCTCTGTTGCCTTCTAGACTCGAATACCATGAAGATGTCTGAGGTCAACTTGATATTGTTTTTTCTTTGTAGTGGTTTGTTTTCTTCCCTTGGGTTACTGAAGTATTATTTCTTCGTCCTTGAAATTTAATAATTTAATTAGGCTATATTAGTTATTCTATGTTCATTTTCATTTCATGCACTTAATCAGTAGTGTCTGGAAGCTTTTACTACTTTCGTCATCCCCACCCCGTTATAGTCATCAAAAAGAAAAAGTATATAGGAGACTCTTCTCAATTTGCAAAGCATATTAATATACATTGGAATGATGGATATTTAAAATGTGGCCAGCATTCCATAACTGAGTCATTCATTTAATTTCTGCTATGCATTTGCCAGATTCTCTTCTAGGCAAACTAGGAAGATAAAGTCCCTGTTCTCAAGTAGCATCTAAATTTATTGCACTGTCCACAGTTCATCACACACATTTTCCATATCATGGCTTTTTGGTAGGTGTAGTGCTCATCTGTCTTATTCTGGGGGTGGGGAGGGGCATTATCTTTGCACATATTGGAGACAATTCTATGCTATGTCTGACCCTCTAATGGAGGAGGCAGGATGCAGATTCCCAGACACCCTTGCAGCTACCACAGAGGCATGTGATACAGGCTTCGCTACTTATATGTATGAGAGTGAGAATTTGATGTGGAAGTGAGAGAGGAGGAGGAGGTTTTACTTGATATTTCTGTTATTTTTCTGGCAGTGCTAGTGTTTGGCTATCTTTGGTGACCAAAGCAGAAACAGCAGCAATTTTTCATTAGTTCCAAGAGTGACTTTCTTTGGTACTTGGATTAGCAGCAGTAGTGGGGATTTAGTCATTGATAAAATTTACCAATTTTGTTGTGTTGTTTTGGACATTCTTCCTGGAAGATTAACCTTATTCTGGTTTTCCAGGCCTTCCAAAATTCAGTCTTTTAATAAAATAATTTTTTGCATAATTGGGGGGATTCAGTTAAAAACCTGGATTAATACAGGATGCTTATGCAGTGTATTATTTTTGTGTCTAATATTTTTTTCTCAGAATTTCGAATATGATCTATTCCTAATTTGGGCATACATATTTATTTATATTTATTTTAGATTTGTGGGGTGTAAGTGTAGGTTTGTTACATGGATATATTGTGTGACGCTGAGGTTTGGGCTTCAAATGAAACTGTCACCCAAATAGTGAATATATGCCCAATAATAGCTTTTCAATCCATTCTCCCTCCTTATTTCCCCCTTTGGTGTTCCCAGTGTCTATTTTTCCCATCTTTATGTCCATGTATACCTAACGTTTATCTCTCACTTATGAGTGAGAACATGCAGTATTTGGTTTTCTGTTCCTGTGTTAATTTGCTTAAGAAAATGGCCTCCAACTGCATCTATATTGTTAAAATGGACATGATTTTCTTCTTTACGGCTGCATAATATTCCATGAGAGTTATGTACATTGTCTCAATCAAATCCGCCATTGACAGGTACCTAGGTTGATTCTACATCTTTGCTATTGTGAATAGTGCTGCAATAAACATGAGAGTGCAGGTGTCTTTTTGGCAGAATGATTTATTTTCTTTTGGATATACACTCAGTAATGGGATTGCTGGGTTGAATGGTACTTCTATTTTTGGTTCTTTGAGAAATCTCCAAACTGCTTCCCACAGGGTCTGAACTAATTTACATTCCCACCTGCAGTGTATAAGCATTCCCTTTTCTCCACAGCCTCACCAGCATGTGTTATTTTTTTGACTTCTTAATAATAGCCATTCTGTGTCTAATATTTTTATTGGATTAGTCTGCCTTGTTTTACCCACTTCTATCTAATCATTCTTGTTTTCTTCAATGCTCTATTTTCATCTGGTAAAATTTTATTTCATGTTAAAATTTGTATTTTTTCTCTAATATATTGCTTGCATTTCTTCTACTGAGTCTCAGATTTCTTCCACAAGATTTTTTAAAGCTTCTTAAAACACTTAATGTTTTGACCAAGTAAATGAACACTCAAGAAATAAAAAATTCTTTGATGAAATAAATGTTGAGAAACCCATAAAAATTTTATAAACATCTTTGTGCCTAGTAATATGTTTAGAATTGATGGTATATGTATTATTATACATTGCAGAAAGCCGAAACTACATTTTTAAAAGATTAAGAGATAAACATTTATAAATCCTTATAATTCTTGTAAGCTACTTTCTATCTGTAACCTGTGATTATCTACAGATATAAAACAGCATGATATGGTTATTATACAGATACTTATGTTTCTGTAATTGAATTATTGATGAATGGTATTCAGTAGTGTACAATCTGAAAGAAATGTTATTCCTTTCTTATCCCTGCCTTTAGGACATGAAATTGACAATCCTTTCTCCTCCCCTTGATGACATTTTAGGTTGGGTTCATAACTTTTCTAGTTACTTTGATCTAAAAGGAAATATTCATCTTCAGATATTAAAGGTCTTAATCAGATCTAAATCAAAATTTTAATCTCTCATCCAATTCCAAGTATTCCTCCTATTTTGGTTTTCTATTGCTACATATCAAACCACCTCAAAACTTAGTGGCTTAAAGGAACACAGTCAAATATTTTTCATGACTTTATAAAGAGTTTCAAGAGGATGGAGTGAGGGTGATTTATCTCAGCTACATGATGTCTGGGGCCTTAGCTGGGATGCCTACAGTGACTAGGGGCTGGAATACTCAGGATGGCTTCTTCACTCATATCTCTGGCACCTGGTGCTTCTTATTCATCTGACCTTTGCTCCATGCTGCATCCCATCCTTCATGGCCACTGCATATGGCCTCTCTCTCTAACAGGATTAGTAAGTTGGCTTTCTTACATGCCAGCTTAGGGGCCAAAGAGCAGGAAAGCAGAAGATGCTAGACCTTCTCAATGGCTAGGCTAGGAAGTCTTAGAACATTATTTGTGTTGATTTTTTCCTCAAGTAATTTCTTTTCAGTTTTAGGCAATAAATAGAAAAATAATAATATAGCAGGTTTTCAGAAAGTTTTTGCTTATTTTCCATTGTTGATGTCAGATTCTAAAGTTTTGGAAACACTTATGGATGTAAGTATAAATTTTTTTGAAAACAAAAAGTCACTTAAAATCATTGTAGAAGGTACTTTAAGAAGAGTACAATATGTTGGTTAAGAGCATAATTTCTAGAATTTTGCTGCCCATTTCGATTCTATCTCTACCTCTTACTGGTCATAAAACTGGATCAAGTTACTTAGGCTCTTAGTGCCTCAGATTCCTTAAATATACAGTGGAGACATTAATAGATTCTTCCTTTACAGAGTTGTTGTGAAGATTAAATAAAATCATATGTGTAAAGCCGATAAAATATCTAGCCCTACTCAATGCTCAATCAATGTTAATTATTATTATCTAAAACTATCAATCCTACAGAATTCAGCCAAGGAGGAAAATGAAAACAAAAACAAAAATGGTGGAAAGATGATCATTTTGTTACACATGAATATCCAATAAATGTGTATAGATTATCACTATTAAAAGATAACTCGGTTGGGCAAATATTACAAAATTCAGCTATATGATATATCCAAGAGCCAAATATGAAATTAAACCCCAAAGAAAGATAACAAATAAAAGAATAACTAAAATATATATCAAGAAAATTATAACCAAATGAGAACTGGCAAAGTAAAACAAGACAAAGTAGAAAATATGGCAAAAGACATTAGTAGACATAAAGGCCACTACATAATAATAATAATTTTTGATATAAAAATTATAAATTTCTATGTACCCAATATTGTCTCAACATAAATAAAACCGATTGGGCAGTGGCTCATGCCTGTAATCTCAGCATTTTGGGAGGCCGAGGTAGGTGAATCACTTGAGGTCAGGAGTTCGAGACCAGCCTGGCCAACATGGTGAAATCTCATCTTTACTAAAAATACAAAAATTTGCTCGGCGTGATGGCGGGTGCCTTTAATTCCAGCTACTCGGGAGGCTGAGGCAGGAGAATCGCTTGAACCCAGTAGGCAGAGGTTGTAGTGAGCCGAGCTCATGCCACTGCACTCCAGCCTGGACAACAGAGCAAGACTAAGTCTCAAAAAAAAATTTATATATTTATATAAATTTAAATGTAAGTATATATTGATATAAATATATGTATTTATATAATATATATTTATTAAATATAAATATAAGTATATGTTTATCTATAAAACCAAACCATTGTGATTATGAATTTGTCAAATTTATCTTATAATTATCTTATTCCACATAATTATAAGAAAATTTGACAAATTCATAATCATAATAGGATATTTTTAATAAACCTTTATCAGAAGTTAGTAGACCAAGTAATAGTGTAATGATCTTGAACAAAACTAATGGCTTGTCCTGGACCTCAAAATAGAAAATATGCATTCTTTTTTAAGGATACATGAAAAAGTTATAAACATTGTCCAGGTGTTAGGTCTCAAAAGAAGTCCCTATGAAGGTCAGAGTGTGCTCTCTGAACACAGTACATTAAATTCGAAATCAAGAATAGAAAGCCATTTAGAAAGACTCTCTGTATTGTAAACTAAAAAAGTACTGCTACATGAGAGTTAAAGAATAAATGACAATGGAAATAGCAACCTATTTAGAGTTGAATGATGATGAAAGTTTTACTCATCAAAGTTGCCAAAAAAAGTTATGTAGAGGTTCATTTGCAGCTTAATTTGAAAATAATTGGGTTAAGCATTAACATAAAAAACTACAGAAAATTGACAAGAGGAAAGAAAAAAGATAAGATAAATGAATGAACTAGGAACCAGAGAGAATCAACAAAAGCAAAAGCTAGTTCTTTACTAAGATTTAGACTGTATTTATAAAATTTTGTATACATAAAATATTGTCTTATGAATTCTCTGTCATAGGTGGAAAGAATGTAGAGAGGCGCATTCGAAGAGATGGGTTCCAGAATTTTTCCACATATGTTTAGTCTCTGTTATCATGTTGCCTAATCATATAGATGTATTCCTTTCTTTACTTTCCACTATTAGCTTGCATTCTGAGAAATAAGAAAATATTGTCACAATTGAGATTCACATGGCTTATGTAGTAAATAAATTTCCTACTGCATTTTCTTGAGCATGCTTGTCCTACTACAAAGTCAAAACAAAATAATGAAGGCTAAATTAAATATAAATGTACATATGTATATTTAATTCAAAATAATACATTGCTCATAGAGAAATAAAGTAGAAAGTATACACCAGAAACCAAATTCCTACTTAGTGTGAGTTGAACCACATATGGTATGTTTCAGACATACATACAAGAATTGGTGGAATGTACCTAATAAATAACATTTTTCTTAAATTTCAGGGTTCAGGTTTTGTTTAGTTGTACCTTATTGTTTTGAAGCGACATTGGCTTTTTTTTTTTTAAATAGCCAAGCCTTTGACATTATGAAGAATACTGCCACCTATTTTATAATGGCAAGGTTACTAATGGGAACTGTCTTTCTGTGGATTTATTTCATCTAGGTGCTGATCTGCTGATGAATTCTAGGGGAAAGATTGTATTTTATTGAGTTAGTTACATTTATATAACTGGAATTGCTGTCATTTTCTCCTCTATAGAACCTTAATTCCCTTGTTCAAATGGCTCAAAATAGGTTGCCATTGAAGGCTGTAAAATAGGTGACAGAATGAGTTTTGCAGTCATAGAATATTCTGGTACCCTTATGTAATGCAATCACTTTGGACATTAAACTAAATGGGCTCATTATCTTTTCTTTTCAATCTGCTTCACAGTTAAGGAAAATGAGTATTAATCTAGAAGAATGTTTTATTCTTTCTCAACTCAAAACTTGTACTCTGCCTCTTTTATTAGAATTAGCTCTGCTGTCATGACCTGAAGATTTCCAGTCTCATGAATTCATTACGTTGCCACTTTATTTTCAAGAACAAGCTATGTACCCTTTAGATTATATTTGAATAAAATTGGCTTTGCTAATTATTACCAAAAGAAAATGGAAAGGATTAGAAATTAAGTTTGGTTTAGTCAGTATTTGTTGAATATGTAATATGTGCTCATTGTTGTGAGGGAAAAAGAACCGTAAGAAATGCTTTTGCATATTTTACTCAAAACTGACAAGTAATTAATTGTTCAAATCGATGATGCTAACTCTAAGTGCTATTTTGGACATTTTGACTTTTCTCTGGTCTACCAGGAGAATTAACATGGAAAGATTGGACTTTGGTTAATTCACACAAGTGCTTGGTGAGCACTCATCAATGATGGGATATAGTTGTGAACAGCACAGAGATAGTCCCTGCCTATATGATGCTGCAAGAAACATAGAAAAGAGTTTTAGAGGGAATAGTGTCTTCTACTGGAAGCAATTTCTGAGATGTCAAAAAAGTGACAACGACTAATGTACTCTTCTATGCTCGGGAGACTCTGAAGGGGAGACCTGTGATTATAGGCATGTTCTGCCTTGTCTGTGTTTGCTCAGTGAGAGAAACATGAGTGATTGATTTCCAGGCCTGAAGGGGCATTTGACTCAACATTTGTCAAATGCTCCCATTCAGGTTCTCATCCTACACTGGAATAAAACACAATTTGTTTATTAAATCAATGCAAAAATGAGATTGTGGTTAAAACACAGTAAACCTATGCCATTCTTTGGGGCACATATTTTTCTTCTAAAGTGAAAAAAATTCTGGTGTAACTAGGGAATACTTACATTAAATCAATACCCTGCTGTTAAAACTAAGTTCTACAGAATGAATATACTACAAATATTTCACCAAGAAAAAATAATTTGAGCTGAGCTCATACATTATTATAACACTATATTATTTTTAGGTGTGAGTAAAATAAAACTGGTGGCATTTCCTTGCACATGGTAGCTTTCCTGTATATTGTATATAAAAATATATATACAAAAGGTACACGTGACTTCTTAGAAGTCTTTCTATATATAAGGTGTTGAAGATCTTATTTTGTACCAGCGACTTTGCTCAGTGCTTTACATGTATGGTGCTGTTTAATCTGTGCATTTATTTAAACATTACAGCAACTCATGAAATAGGGACTATCATCAGTGAGATTTTGCAGATGAAAAAATTGATGCTTAAAGAAATAAAACAACATATTCAATTTCACAGAACTATTCAGTGGCTGGTATTGGCTTTTAGATCAGATCTGCCTAATTACAAAACCTATTTTCTTCTTTTACTTCTTTTTAGAAATAGGGCCTCGTTCTGTTGCCTAGGAGCATAGTGTTGAGATATCGGCTCATTGCAGCCCTGAGTTCCTGGGCTCAAGTGATCCTCCCACCTAAGCTTCCCCAGTAACTGGGACTACAGGCACCCTCCACATGCCTGGCTATACGTATATTTCAATTTTTTTGTAGAGACAGGGATCTAGCTGTGTTGTTCACACTGGTCTCAGACTCTTGGCCTCAAGCAACCCTCCCACTTTGGCCTCCCAAATTGTTGGGATTACAGGCATGAGCCTTTGTGCCTGGCCTCAAAGCCTATCTTCTTAGCCATCCTGCTATAAGGTTTAAAATTATATTAGTCTAACTATAGTTCACCCTTCCTTCTGCTCCCACAATGTTTTTGCTCCTAATTAATTCATAGCCTTGGAGATTTTGCAGATCAAAAGTTAAGACTTGGCATTTTGACCTGCAAAACACTTATTGACCCTCATTAGTATTTATTGGTGCCAACTACTCTAGATGGCCCTATTTTTACTGATGTGTATTGATAGCTACCATTACTTGAAGAGTATTTAAAATGAGTCTGAAGTCTATACAAAGAATCCTTGCACCATATAATTAAAACACCTAATACACCTTTATATGACATCAGGGCATATCATATATAATCTCTATTTTTCTTCTCCCCCAAATCTGGTTTACCAGTTTTATTTTCTCCCCGCCCCATGTCCACACATCTTATGCTCTTGTAGTGCTTTCAATGACTTGATATTATGGAAACTTTCTGGGTTTTTTCCCAGAGCAAAATTATCCATCTGATGGTCCATTATCCAAATCTATAATGAATTACAGACCTGGTATATTTACTTTGTATATTGTTTGTAAGTTTTTTTTTTTTTTGAGCCAACAGTTCAAACCCAGGAAATTTTATATAAAAATCTGGATCCTAATCATAATCTGGCAGCACCGGGTCTAAATTTTTGCATGCTATTATAATAATGGCCTAGCTCTACTTAGTAGGTGCCCCTTTAGATAGTGTGAGTCCTTTTTCGTTTGCTGTAGACATATCACTCGCAATTGACTTTCCAATTCTAGGTCAAATGCTAGTTATCATTCATATTGTGCGTACATTGTCAGTTTCTCATTGTAGAGAAGTCTTTCTCTATATTATGTTTCAAGAGAAGGAAAATGGAATATAGACCCAAAGGTGTATGTCCTTCAAAAAAAATGGAAGAAAGCATATTTGTCTTTACATATACAGAATATTCAGCAATCTTTAAAATGCAATCAAAATGTGTGCCTTTGGGTGAAGTGGCTTACGTCTGTAATTCCAGCACTTTGGGAGGCTGAGGCAGGTGGATTGCTTGAGCCCATGAGTTCAAGACCAGCCTGGGCAACGTGGCGAAACCCTGCCTCGAAAAAAAATACAAAAAATTAGCCACGTGTGGTGGTGCACACCTGTAGTCTCAGTTACTCTGGGGGCTGAGAGGAGAGGATTGCTTTAGCCCAGGAGGTCAAGGCTGCAGTGAACCGAGATGGCACCTCTGCACTCCAGCCTGGGTGACAAAGCGAGACCGTGTCTCACCAAAAAAAAAAAAAAAAAGTATTCCTTATACCAATATTTTTCACTGATTTATGTTACCTCCCTGGTGATGGAGTTTATGATTTTGGCTTTAGAGCAAGCCTAAAAAAATTCACAAACTCTCAAGAACTAACAAAAAGAACAAAGGCTGGAGTTACCCATGTTCTCTTTGGCTCAGTCTAATTTCCTTTAGGGTCATTCATATTCTTCGAAGTTTTTTTTTGTTGTTTGTTTTTTTCATTTTTTTGAGATGGAGTTTCCCTCTTGTTGCCCAGGCTGGAGTGCAGTGGTGTGATCTCGGCTCACTGCAACCTCTGCTCCCGGGTTCAAGTGACTCTCCTTCCTCAGCCTTCCGAGTAGCTGGGGTTACAGGCACCTGCCACCACGCCTAGCTAATTTTTGTATTTTTGGTAGAGACGGGGTCTCACATGTTGGCCAGGCTGGTCTTGAACTCCTGACCTCAGGTGATCCGCCCACCTTGGCCTCCCAGTGTTGGGATTACAGGCGTGAGCCACTGTGCCCGGCCTCGAAGTTTTAATGTGTAAGCCATGAACTTAATTGAATCACCAAGCAAAATTTATTTGTGAAGAATAATGTGTAAAGTAGGCCCTTTTATTATTACCTTATCTTTAAGAAGTTTCTATATTTTCTCTCAAATTCAACAAAATATTTATCTTATCTATATTATTCAGCATTCACCAATTTACCTTTCTCTTTTCTTCTTTGCTAACAATAGCCTTATTCTTTTGAGGCATCAATAAATCAATGAAAAATACTCATACTCATCTCTCAGAGTCCCCTGAAGTTAGGAGTAGCCACACAACCAAAATAATGAGATGTATGTGGAATTCTACTGGATGGAAGGCTTCTGAGAAAGCCATTTTTTTTTTTTTTTTGGTTGATATTAAACTCAGCCTCAGTTAATGTGCTTCTTTTCTTGTACATTACCCTTAATCTTAATCTTGCCTAAAATGAATATGCAGCTTCTGAAGATAGATGAATCATTTTTTGATTATAAGGACAAAAGTCACATGCTAAAGTTGAGTAAGAAGAAAGCTAGATGGAACTCGAGTTCTTCACACTTTATGGAGTTACTATGTCAGACAGTTTACCCACTTTCATACTTCCATTGCTTGAGAAAAATATTTCTCTATTTGATTAAGCTTCTAGTCAGTTTTCTGATGTATGCAGCCAAATGCAATCCATAACTAATAAAGAAGCTGAAATCTGGAAACGGATTGCTGCAAATAACAGATCCTAAAATGTAGAGAAAATGGAGCTTTGGGAAGCAAAATTCTGAGAGAGAGAGACCAAGTCTGGATTTGGCCTATCTGTAAGCTAGAGTGGCACACTCATCCATTTTCCTGAAACTATTTTTCCAGTCTTAAAATTGAAAGCTCTACATCCTGGGAACCATCTTAGTCTTGGGCAAATGAGATCCTTTGTCAGTTTACTGCTAGTAGGGGTAGAAGGAATTAGAATTTCAATAAAGGAGACACTCTTTGTCCAGGCCTGAAATCTGCATTTGTTCAGGCCTGCAATCTATGTTGACTGAGAGCTTTTCAAAGATAAAAATGCCACTGTTTCTGTATCCATCACCAAAGTCAATGCAAGCAAAGCTGCACTCTTTGCAAGAGATTATACTGGTGCCCCAAGCCTCTCTGGAGACATTTTAAGGTGACATTTACACATAATCTTCGGTTGTGGTTACAAGTCATTGAACAGAAGTAATGCTTGATTTCTGAGGGAATTCCACTGCCAACAATATACAAACTTGGCAAGTTACAGTCTGAATATTCAACTCCTAGGGCTATCTGTGGGTCTGCCAAACATATACCATGTGCAGGTGTGCTGTGAAAATCGTGCGGCTCCAGTTAAGGCATTTTCCATAATGTATACTTCATGTACAGCCTGGAAAGGTAAGAGATGCAGAGAATCCCCTTGGGAGTAGAATTAAGATTCATGGAGGGCAGTGGACAGAGAGAGGACTTAGAGATGCATTGTCTATATAGTTGTTGTAGTCACTAGCTATATGCGGCTATTGAGCACTTGAAATGTGACTATTCCAAATTGAGATGTGCTATAAATGTAAAAAATACACTAGCTTTCAAAGACTTGGTATTAAAAAGGATATAATACATATAATTAATACTTTGATCATGTTGATTATAAATTAAGATTTTTGATATCCTAGGTTAGATGAATATATTGTTAATATACCAACTTATTTTTTAAGTGAGAATTCTAGGAAATTTGAAATTACATATGAGGCTGGCCTTTGTGGCTCATGCTATATTTCTCTTGGACGGTGTTGACTTACAGCATAACTAGATGTAGAACTGGCAGATGGAATATTCAAAATTTTACTCTATTGCAGAACAGGGAGTTCTTGCTATTCTTACTCAGAATAATTTAATATTTCCTATGGATAAGTGACTGCTGTATGTTTCCTGTTTTCCCTTCTGTAGAGTGTTTTGACTTTGGTTACTCCTTTTTTGACTCATCTGTTAGTTTATTAGACGCACTTAGTTCATTAGTCATTATATTTGACAGAGATCATTGAATATCTCCAAGCAATCCCTTCACTTCAGCTGGGTGCAAGAAGCTGATGAGACTTCGAAGTTGTTGCACAGGAGAGAGGATAAGCATTTGCTGTGACAGGCCATGTATGCATGGATATTGGACAGCCAAAATATTAAACTGAGGAAAACACAGTAGTCTGCTATGTATCCATTCCCTTCACTTTTCTTACTACCAGTCCCCTAATTTTTATGGAGTTATCACACGCTCAGTTAGAAAATACGTACGTTTTAAGCCTCCTTTGCAACAAGGGTAGTGACGTGACCTAGTTCTGGCCAACAAGATGTAAGTGAAAGTCTACGTAGTTTCTGGGAAAATTATTGTTTTACTGATTAAAAAGAAATATGTTCTTGGAGGGCACACAGTTCCTTCGTCCATACTTCTTCCCGACTGGAATATAGAATATAGTTGTCTGGAGGGGGAATTTCAGTTTCCAGTCCAGCATATAAGGGGCTTAGAAATGTTGCTCCCATCTACACACAAAAAAGCTGAACAAGCTGGAAATCAAAAACTCTTCTTAGATCCATCAGAGAATGGAAGTTGCAGGGCATACTACTGTTTCCAAAATTGGAGAGACAGACTAGCAGATTCAGAGAATCACAGATTACTGGAACAAAAGCTCATGAACAGAAACCCCCATGGGAAACAGTAAAAGTAGGAAAGCCTAAACTGTAATGGATGAACTGTTTTAGTACGGACAGTTAAAAATTCGTGGGAGCCCAGTCTTAAAGGGGCTTTCACATTTTTGTGAGTTTTGCTTCTAGGAGCTCTACCAAATTCTCACAGTGATTGGAGGGAAATCCTCTTGTGCTTCCTGCAAGGAGAGGGGAAGGGTAGCTATTTTGAAATATGCCCAGAATATTCTGTTCTTTTTAACAAGGATGGTCCTCAAAAGCAAATATTTCATCAGAACCTAACTGACTGAGGTTTTACCAGAGCCTGACCAACCTAGGGGATTTAGAGCTGCATTGTCTAAAACCCCTAGGGAAACGGAACTCTCCAACTGTAGCCTTCTTTAGCATTCCAAGTGGAATAAGGGAAATGCTCAACTCTAGCCCTATATTCATTTGTTAGGGTTGCCACAACAAAGTACCACAGACCTAGTGGCTTAACCAATGGGAATTTATTGTCTCATAGCGCTAGGGGCTAGATGTTCAAAATTAAGGCATCAGCAGGGTTGGTTCCTTCTAAGGGCTTTAAGGAAAGAATTGGTTTCAGGTCTCTCTCCTCGGCTTATAGATGACCATCTCCCGCCATATGTCTTCATCATCTTTCCTCAATGCATATCTCTCTGTTCAATTTCCTCCTTTTTATTAGAACACTAATCATACTGGATTAGGGACCATCCTAATGACCTCATTTTAACTTGATTACCTCTGTAAAGATAAAATCTCTAAATAAGGTCACATTCCAAGGTACAGGGGCTAGGATTTTAATATACGAATTTCAGTGGGATACAATTTAAGCCATAACAAGCCCTTCATAGCCTTCCACATGGGGAAAGGAAACACTCAACTATAGTCCCCTCTAGCCTTCCATGTCTCACTTAAGTTGGGGGTACTGAGAAGCACTTGTGAAGGTCACTACCTAGAGGCATAGGCTCACGAAAAGATTGAGATTTAGTGATAAAACTAGAGAATCCTTCCCCTCACCCCATACCTTACTGTCATATCAACAGGGCTCTGGTATAATAACATGGGAATACAACTGAAAGAACTGCACATCTCTGATCTTATTTAACATGTCTCTGGAGGGCCCTACACATAACAGGGGAGACAAAAATAAGGACATCCAAGAAAATTTTAGCCTTTGACACCAATAGCCACAGCAGACAGTAAACAAAACCTAACTTGCAGCTGGGTAAACATAAAACTTCACATTAAAGAACTATTTATGTCAATACCTTTTACCCAGTACATTATGGCCAGCTTTCAACAGAAAAAATCACACAGCATACTAAAGAACAAATAATGTAGTTTGAAGAGACAGAGCAAGCATCAGAACCAGACTCATATATGGCTGTGATAAACATATAAAGTCATTAAAACAATGATTAATATGCTAGGGACTCTAATTAAAAAAGTGGACAACATACATTAACAGATAAATTATCTAAGCAGAGAGATGGAAAAGCTAAGAAAGAATCAAAAGGTAATGCTAGAAATTAAAAACATTATAAGAAAACTGAAGAACATCTTTGATGGGCTCATCAATAGACTGAACACAGGCAAAGAAAGAATCACTGAGCTTGAAGAAATTTCAGTAGCAACTGTCTTAGTTTGTTTTCTGTTGCTATAACAGAATGTAGCACAGACTGCGTGATTTATAAAGAAAATAAATTTTTTTTTTCACATTCTGGAATTGAGAAGTCCAAGGTCATGGCAGCAGAATATGGTGAGAATATTCATACTGAATCATAACATGGTGGAAGACATCACATGGTGAGATGGTAAGAGAGTGCATGTCAGCTGAGATCTTTCCTCCTTTTCTTATGAAACCACCAGTCTCATCATGGAAATTCCACCCTGATGACTGTCTAATCCTAATTACCCCCACAAAGGCCCCACTTCTAATCAACATGTGAATTTGGGGATTAAGTTTCCAACATTTAATTTGGGAAACACATTGAAATCATCATAACAACTTCCAAAACTAAAATACAAAGAAAAAGTATAATGAAAGATGGAAAAGAATATTCAAGAAGGTGTAACAATTACTGAATGTGTAACATACATATAATGGGAATAGAAAAAAAAGAAATAGAAAAAATATTTAAGTAATAATGACCAAGAATTTTCCAAAATTAATGATAGACATCTAATCACAAATCCAGAAAGCTCAGAGAACACCAAGCAGGATAAATACCAAAAACTTCTACACCAAGACATAAACTCAAACTCCACAAAGTCAAAGAAAAAAAAATCTTGAAAGGCATCAGAGAGAAGATAAAAACCCAGCTTACTTCTAGAAAAGCAAGAATAAGAATTACTTGGGATTACTCTTCTGAAAACATTCAAGCAAGAAGAGAGTTGAGGGAAACATTTCAAGTGTTGGAGAACAAAACACAACACCTACCAATCTAGAATTCTGTATCCAGTAAAATTATCCTTCAAAATTGAAGGAGAAATAAAAAGACTTTGTCAGACAAATTGAGGGAATTTGTTACCAGAGACCTTTTCTTACAAGAAATGTTAAAAGAAATTCTTCAGAAAGAAGGAAAATGATATAGGTCAAAAACTTGTTAATGGGTGCAGCACACCAACATGGCACATGTATACATATGTAACAAACCTGCATGTTGTGCACATGTACCCTAAAACTTAAAGTATAATAATAATAATAATAAAATGAAAAAAAAACTTGGATCTAATAAAGAAAGGAAAAACATTAGAGAAAAAATGAACAAAATTAAAATATTTTATTTTTAAATGTTTTAATTGATATAACAGATAAGTTTCTCTAAATAGTAACAATGTGTTCAGTGATTACAGCCTATGAATAAGTAAAATTAATAATAATAATGCTGTAAGGGACAGAAGGGAGGAACTAGGAATAGTATTAGTCACTTGAACTATTGGAAAAAGGACTTGGATTCATGGTAAATGTATACTGCAAATTCAAGGATAACTATAATAAAAAGTTAAAAAATATAGTTGATTTACTAAAAAGGAGAAAAAATATAAAATACTCAAAACCAGAGGAGGTATAAAACAAAAGACAAAAAACAAAGCAAAACAAATAACAACAACAAAAATATCCAAGGCTATGATAGAAAACAGTTACAAATAATATGTATGGTAGATATTAATTCAACTACATTAATAATCACTTTAATTGGTATATTTAGACCATTAATGTTAATAGTCTAAATGTTAATTGTCTAAATATACCAATTAAAAGACAATGACTATTGAATGGAAGAAAAAAAACAAGACCCAACTGTATGTTGTCTGTAAGAAACTCACTTTAAATACAAAGACACAGATAGAATAAAAGTAAAGGGATGGAGAAAGATATACTATACTAACATGAATCAAAAGTGTTGTCTGGAGATGAGAGCAACCATCTTGTGGTCATAAGGATGAAAGCCACTCACTAAAGTTGGTAGATTAGAGAGCCACAAGGAGCCTGGGTCCTAGATGATGTCCTTAAGAGCTGCACTGGCTCTGGACTTTATGCCTCCAGCTTTCTTGTTATGTGATAAAAGTAAACCCCTCTACTTAAGTAAACCATGATATTATATCAGAAGACCATAAGCAATCTCTAACTGATATTAAAAGAAACAAACTTTTATCAACAATTCTTTATTACAAGCTTCACATATATTATTTTTCTATTTCTCCTAACAACATATTTAATGTGAAAAAACTGATACTCAGAAATTAAGTATCCAGAGTAGGTGTGCACAGCTATTATACAGAGGAGCTTGGTTATGAAGCCTGGTCTTTGACACCTCATGTAATCATCACCATTATTAGTGTTGTTACAGGGTTAGCATTATTTTTTTGTTTCATTACTGTGTTTGCACTAGAAGTGTTTCACCAAGATAAGAAGAATTCTTAACATAAATTTCAGTGACCATGAATAGTTGTTTTTACTTGTGATAGATATTTTTTAAAATATGAGAGAACATACACTTTATTTTTAACCCAAAAGCTGGAGTCAGAATAAGCCTACGTGGATTGAATTGACCTTCACACATAGTTTTCTGTACAGAACTCCAGTTGAAATCAAATTACAAAGAAAAAAAAATCTCTGGCTTTTAAATTTTTTAAGTTTATTTTCTCTGTAAAACTGGTTACCAAGATGTCAAGATGCTAAGCACAAGAAATGTACAATTGGGAAAGAGTTGGAGAGATTAGATTAGAAGGGAAGAATGTGCATTTGCTCAAGGAGAAACATATCTTGAAGGCTAATAAAGAAGAAAGATATTACAGGCTATATTTATGTATTTGTTTTTGTCAGGGATGGATGAGACCAAATGATTTTGTGCTATGAAGATATCTTGTACAAGTTTCTGGCAAGTAATATGCTCAGGATCCTGCTTTTTTGCCAACCACCTTTGTCTTAAACTTTAAAAATTATGTCTATTTTGAGGGATATATCATCCCTCTGTTTCTGATTTATTTCCACCTTACTCATCAACTTACTATTTTATTTGTGACTGAATCTCCAAAATAGAAGCCTTCATGAACAGCTAAAATCAGTTTTCCTTTACTTGTCATAAGGAAAAACACAGAAAATCAGCGTTTCAAAGCCCTAAAAAAAATTGTTATTTTTATCTATGGGTGTTGTTTCAATTAAACACATATAAAGTTCATACCCATAGCCAATAACTTAAACTGGAGTCATTCTTCTGGCAAATTCTTCTTGATGGATGACTGCAAGACATTTTCTTGGCAGAGTCAAGGAACTTAATTTTTATACTCTGGAAACTGTCAGATTGCTTCAATTCAACAAGTGCTTTACTGAGTACTGATAAGGGGATGAGCCGTTTTGGGAATAAGAAAATTATATTAGTCACATTCCCAACCCTGAAAGAGAGTCAAGGTCCATTGGATAAGTCAGACACAGATGACAGATAGGAGAATAAAAAAGGTGTTACAGGCCTGGCAATGAACTATAGAGGTCTTTTGGATTTATCAGTGAGGAGAAATCAATTAGGGTTGAAGTCTGTGTGAAATGTATTTGGTTTAGGTGTTAAGAGACTATTAAAATGTATATATGTATAATAAGATCAGAATTGGGGCAAGTGCAAAGAGGATTTTATGGTTACAACATCAGTATGATGCAGGAATATCATAGATACTTAGGCAAGAGGTTCCTGTATAAGGCTGGTTTGTGGACGATTTGTGCTGGAGTAGTACAGTTTTATTCTCTCTCTATTTTTGTCTCTCAAACATAACTTTATCTGGGATTG
The DNA here is from genome assembly GCF_000001405.40 of Homo sapiens. NCBI lineage: Eukaryota > Metazoa > Chordata > Mammalia > Primates > Hominidae > Homo > Homo sapiens. Next base: position 70,553,863 of record NC_000001.11, read on the forward strand.
ACAGCTGCTTTCTATCAAGTGCCCTGGTTAAATCATATATATCTCTCTCTTTTGATTTGGTCACCTTGAGTTCCTTTGTGGATGTAGCTAAATGAGCAACCTCTTCAGCATGCCTTGACTGAGAATCTTGTTGGAAATCTGACCTTTGGAATTGCTGCTTGATTGTTACAAAAATGGATTAAATTTTTCTGAAATAGAAAAGTTTTATAGAAGATCACAAATTTATCTAGTTTTCCAATTTCATTTAACATTAACTGTTATGAAAATAATTGAGAAATAAATTGACCCCTTAAGGTACTATTTTGGAAGGATGCAGAGATTTAGAAACTATATGTGATCTTAAAGTTCTCCAGGATCTGAGTAATACAATACAGGTATTAATTTTCATGCAAATTGAGACGTCTGAAGTCAAATTTCTTTTACCTTCTTCTTATACAGCGTATCACCTGCCAGTTCCCCGTGTCTGCAAAGTAGTAATAGTTAGAGGAGGATAGGTTAGAATGAGGGGTAGTTTTCATTATTTATATGACTCCCAGTTGTTTAGCTAGAGGTAGCTAAAAAAAATGCTTTAGCTGTAGAAATAATGTCAGGTGGACTGCATCATAGTTTCAAATCTCCCCGCAGTTCTGGGAACCCATAAATAATGAAAGCTGGACAATTCAGGAGACTGGCCAAGAACATAAAAGAAGACATGATTTTCCCATTTTAAAAATGATGGCACAGCATATGCATTCCTAAAATCCTATTGCTTTAGGAATGCAGGTCTAGCAAGTACATATTTCAGGCCGCACACAATACCCCAAACCAAAAAAACTACATGCCTTATTTTTCATAACAATTTTTATTGTAAACCCTCATTCTGCCTGCTGGTGAAGATTAAATCTTAGTCAATTTAGTCATTTCAGGTGTACCTGCCCTCCTATACATTTTTCCCATATGTATCTAAGTTCCAGAGGGCTTAAGGGGGTGCTGAGAGGGGGACTTCTCATCCTCAGTTATAGTCATCTATCTACTGTGATATTAGCTGACATGTATTTTCCCTACTTGCAGCAATTGGTCCACATGTGTCACTATTATATTATCCTGTTAGTCACATAGCACTGTACCCCACTTGGTATATAAAAAAACCTTTGGCTCTGCTCCTGGACACCAATGGTGAAGGGGAAACTCTCTCCATCTACACAAGCCTCACAACCATTCTATCTACTATTCTCCTAATGTGTTGTGGAAGGAGGACATAGCTCTCCAGTTCCTCTCTGTTTTATGTGAAAGCAGAGAACACAGATACTTTCTCCTCTCAGACTCCAAACATCTATCCAGGGTTTCTCTATGTCCCACCTCTTTCTTTGGGAACCAGCATAGAGCCTTCTTATTTTCACTGTCTCTTCTCTTCTTCCTCCCTCTGCCCCACATCCCTACTGTCAAAGGGAGTCTTTATCTAGTCTGGAGGTGATGCAATTTGGTTTTTCCTTTATTCTTTCCAATCTATCATTTTAATAACCCATTTTATGTTTTTTGAGGGCTTAGATTTTGGAACCCAAGAAACTCGAATATTTAAAAGTCAAATGCCATGGGTTTCACACTTCAAAAGTCATGTTTCTGTCTTTCAGCTGATTTATCACCTTCCCTGACACAAGGCATCATTATACTCATGCTGTCTTAGCAAGAGTCACAGGGTAATAGAGTTAATATATCAAAACATATCTAGTTATACTTGTATTTTTAGCAATACCTTATGAAAATGGACAAAGAATATTTATTTTTATTCTTACCCATCTTGTTTTCAAGAACTGTGAAGAAGCTGAGGTTTTACCCTTTCTATAACTAACAAGTTAGCCTGCCACAGTCTCAAGGATGATAGCAGAAGACATGAAACTACTGGGCTAGAGAAAAAGAACAATTTATAACTCTCAGCAATATCAGTAGTTAGAATATCAATCAACATTTGTTTGCTGGTTCCTGAAGCCCTAGTTTCCACATATTGATGACAAGACAAGAGTGCTGGATGACACTGGCATTTGCAGTGGGTTATGTTGCAGGAGAGGAAACATCAGGTTAGGAACTGCATCTTTTATAGTGGGCAGAAAGCATACCTGCCCTTTGCTTCAGTGAGAGACACTATCTCTATCTTCCAAGGCTATAAGCAAACCCACCCTTTGCTCAGGAGGGAGCCGCTATCTGTACAACTCCTATATAAACATAGTGTATAACAATGGGCAGTCAATGCCTTACTTGCAAGATATACAGAAATGCAAGAGATACATGGATAATTATCTTCTAACACTTATTAGCTCTTAGAGAAATCTGCTTTGATAACAAAAACCCTTGGATCACCAAGCAAGAGTTTGAAGTCTATGAGTTGTCCATTGCCCGCTTAAAGTATGAACTGAGCATTTGAGTGCTGGGAACACAGTGCAATCACAAAGGTAGTAATGCAACAACCCAGTACATGGACATTTATGTGACAAGGGTGTAGTTTCAGCAGTAACTGATGCTGTTTAGTAAGACATTCCTATCCAAGCCTTCTCGTCCCCTCAGTTTCACCCCTCAGCATTGTCACACAGTTGCTGCTTTCACATGGGTATTGCCAGTTGGGCACTCCTTATTTATTTATTAATTCATTTAAAATCAGTCTTAAGAGTTTTTATTAGGATTAATGTGATCTTCTTTGAAATACATTTTAAACACCCTATTAACAGAGACCAAGTAATAGGAAGATGTTAGAAGAAGGTTGCGCTAATCTTCCTTAAACTAAGATAAATTTCTTTGTTTAAATCCAGTTTTCAAGTATTCAGAGGACACCTTCTGGAGAAAACATCTGAGTCAAATAAATGGATAACAGGGAAAAAACTGTAGTCAATTTTACATGAAAAAGCAAGTGAATCTTTCTGTGGGTATGTTTAGTCTCATGCAAATAACTCAGAATAATAAGCCTGGGGAAAATTCCTCTTCCTGAAAGGAGATTCTTCTGATTCATTTTCGATTCTTGTTAAAAAATGTTAGTTTCTGATATCTGTATTACTTAGTTACTGGTAAAGATGGAGCAAATTAAAACATGCTAATTATACTTACTACTGTTAAGCAACTGCAATTTAAAGGAAATGTGAAATATTTACGGAAGATGATTGCAGTGTTTTACATTAATAATGAAAGTAATAGGCATTCAATTTAAACAACTTATCATTAGAGTGATAAAGACTGTATTTTTAAAATAAAATAAGTAAATTGAGAATCAGTGGGGTCCTTTTGTCTATTAATATATAAGGCATCTGGAGTGAACTCCACTAAATGATATACCTGATAGCTTTGTTCCCAACCCAACAGGACATGGCGTCTGTGTTCAGTGACATCTGCTAAATCATAGATGCAACTTGCTTCAGCAATACTAGAAATGAAGACCTCAGACAAGCCATCCTGGCCACTGTGACATGAATGGTGGCTATCCCTTCACATACTGTAACAGTTTGTATAAGATGGGCTTTCTTGCCTGTGTGGAGATAGTACAATGATTTTAAAGAGTGTGCTCCTCATTTCCAAAAATAGACCAAAGATATAATGTGGCTGCTGTGGAAGGATTTCTGTAGTCTCCAGGGTTCTTTTGTCTTTATTGCAAAAGTGCTGGATATTGTGGCTTCAGCTGAGAAGTATTGTGGTAATAAGTACTGAGGTCTCTTGGGAAGGCAGCCTGTACCCATCCCAAGGTGACTGTCTCCAAGGTGCCAGCCTGAATGCTTTCATTCACTTCCATTTTGTCCTCCATAACTCATGTCTCTGAGTAGACCCTTTCGGATCCTTGAAAAAGGACCAGTAGTTGATTTAATTTCATTGTAATGACAGCAACCGATCTACTTTATGTATTGATTCTAAGACAGGATAATTTTTTAAGTTGCTCATTTATGGAGTTTTACTTCTCAACTTTACCTTTTCTCTTCTCTCCATTTAAGAAAACATCAGGTTTTTTGCTTTGTTGCCTTAGGGCAAAGTGCATGGGACGGTGAAGTGGGGAGTAGGAATAAGTTCTCTGGCTTTTGTTCTCAAAGGCTTAAATCCATTTAGAAGAATTCGGTCCAAGGGTAAAAGCATGATGGCTTGAAGATGCAAGTGAAGAGAAGGGAAGAGAGAAACAAATGACTTTCCTTCAGACTAGAAAGAGTTTACATGGGCTTGGCAAGGGAAGAGAGTCCTGGACCCCTTGGCAGCACCCAGAGAGATGGATGCTGCACAGTGCACATAGGAAAGTGGTTCAGCTTCACCTAAGATTCTCATACTCACGGTGATATATGAACACAGCAAAGAGCTGACAGACTTCAAGGGACCTCTGTAAGCCTGGACCATGAGGAAGGCAGTGGCCATGATGATGGTCAAGGACTAGAGGGTCTACTTCTGCTTTCAGTGCAAAACGTTAGCCTCCTGAATACACATGTGACACTGGAAGGAAGAGATCACCCTAGTAATGACTGGGATGATATTCCTGATAGCCTATTAGTTCTGAAGTTCAGAAATGAGATTAATTAACTTAGAGGAAATAAAGTGTTCATGATTGTGAACAAAAGAAGTGTATTTGCTATAATTGCTTATTGACTGATAAGATACTTTTACCATGATGATCCCAATAACTATTAACTAGCAAGTATTTTTATTCATTCACTTATTTATTTATTCAACAAATATTTATTGAACTTCTACTATGTGACAAACTATGTGCGAGGACTTAGGAATATGTTAGTGAACAGTACAGTCATGATCCCTGTACTCAGTAGAGAATAGCGATATTAAAACAAATAAATAATTTTAAATGTGAAGGATTTAAAAATCACAGTCAGAAGTCAAGATTGCAGAAATGTAACTTTGCTTTTTTATAAGTGAACTCAACTTTGCTCTGGAATCCCCATTTCTGCAGATGGGATAGTCTCAATCTTGCCACTTGCGGGTAACTCAGTCACTCTCAGGATTAAATATAGAGTATTTCGGACAAATATTTAGTTAATTTAAAGATTTATATCAGTTTGAAGTTTGCATTTGTATCAGGACTGTTTTTTCCTTTCAAGAACTATTCCCTTTGTTTTTCAAGGGTGGCATCTGGTTGCAGCAGAAACTCACCCAAGTGGCATCATAGCACTGGGGGAGAAATGCCTGGTCCACAAGCTGTCCCATGGCTTGATGACTTCCACTGAGATATTTTGTTCTCCTTGGTCTTTGATTAGCACCTTCTCATCCCACTGCAACTTTTGTTGTTGTAATTTGTTCCAGTCAGTATTGCTGATAACATGTGTCTTAGCCAGGGAACAGAAATAATAGGATATATGTATATATGAAGGGGATATAGTCAGGGTTCTCTAAAAGGACAGAACTAATAGGATCTACGTAAATATATACATGTATTTATGTATATGTATGTTGTGGGACTTCACCTTGTGATTGTGTGATCATATGTGTGATCGATATGGTACCATTCCTCAGGGTTATCAGCCAGCTACTTGATGACAGGTTGATTATATTGAACCTCTTCCCCCATGGAAAGGACAGTGGTTTGTCCTCACTGGAATAAACATCTACTCCAGATATGAGTTTGCCTATCCTGTCTACATATCCCATATGGATATATGATCACACGATCACAAGGTGAAGACTCACAATAGGATGTCTGCAAGCGGAGGAGCAAGGAAGCCAGTCTGAGTCCCAAAACCCCAAAAGTTGGGAAGCCGACAGTACAGCCTTCAGTCTGTGGCCAAAGGCCCGAAAACCCCTGGCAAACCACTGGGGTAAGTCCAAGGTCCCAGAGCTGAATAACTTGGAGTCTGATATTTGAGGGCAGGAAGCATCCAGCATGAGAGAAAGATGGAGGCCAGAAGACTCAGCAAGTCTCCTCATTCCACTTTCTTCTGCCTGCTTTATTCTAGCCACACTGGCAGCTGCTTAGATGGTGCCCACCCAGATTGAGGCTGGGTCTGGCTCTCCCAGGCCACTGACTCAAATGTTAATCTACACCCTCAAAGACACACGCAAGAACAATACTTTCTTTCCATCCTTCAATCCAATCAAGTCAGTATTAACTATCACAAGTCCACCGTTTGTTAACTTGAACCCATATACATCTCCTGAAATCATACATAATCTTCAAATAAAGACAATAGTAAGGTCATAATTGCACCTAACATAATACAACTATCCTTCATACAACTGGAAATGCACTAATCCTTAACCTAAAGGCTGTTACATAAAGTTAACAACACTTAAATGCTGATATGAAGCCAATAAATCTTACGTCACATGATAAAGAAAAAAGAAACGAAATAAAATGAAGATATTTTCTTAGTACAAGTGTATACATGCACAAACATGTTCTTAACAAAATAAGGAGGAAATATTCATGACAATTATAGTCCTCATTTCTGCAACTGGTCACATGGTTGTAGCTGGTCTTGATGACTACCTTCTTCTACTACCCATTCTGTATTCCCTTTGCCTTTAGCAAGCACCTCAGCGTGTCATTGTTTTTTACCTGGTGAAGTGACGCAGACCTTCATTCCTGAAGATCTGGGCCATTTGTAGTCCTGCCTGGATTGGGTTGTTGTAGTTTCCCATCGATCTTAAACACACAGCATCGTAATACTAAGGGATATCCTAAGGGATCTCCTGTATTGCACACATACTGTTCCTTACCTCCATTGTGGAGTTGTAGACTGATTTTCATCTTGATAGTCCAGGTCAATTATCCTAGCCAACACTATAACTCCCTTCTTAGCCTGTTGACTTAGAGGTAGGAGGAGCCCAAAGTGGCCAGGTGGCAATCTTAACCTCCAGTTTAATGGAATCATTGTTGTGTCTCCTGGCGGCAGCACTCCTCCCTCTGGAACTAAGACCTCTAGGCCAGCAGAACGTGGTGTTGCGGGAACAGGAAGCAAAAATTTTGCTAGTGGGTCACTAGGGGTGATGGTGAGTGATGCCACTTCCACTTCCACCCCTGGATTCCTGGACCCATGAATCCTGGCTGTGGGAGAAATAGTACCATATATTGGATGCTGATTCAGAGCATACACAGCTTTCTGGAGAACTTTGCCCCAGCCCTGCAAAGTATTGTCACCTAGTTGGTGTTGTAATTGTGACTTCAAAAGGCCATTCCACTGTTCTATCAATCCAGCTGCTTCAGGATGATGGGGAACATGGTAAAGCCAGTGAATTCCATGAGGATGAGCCTACTGTCCCACTTCTTTAGCGTAAAGTGAGTGCCTTGGTCAGAGGCAATGCTGTGTGGAATACCATGACGGTGGATAAGGCATTCTGTGAGTCCACGGATGGTAGTCTTGGCAGAAGCACTGCATGCAGGATAGACAAACCCATATCCAGAGTAAATGTCTATTCAGAGTAAGGAGAAACCTCTGCCCTTTCCATGATGGAAGAGGTCAAACATAATCAACCTGCCACCAAGTAGCTGGCTGATCATCCTGAGGAATGGTACCACATTGAGGGCTCAGTGTTGGTCTCTGCTGCTGGCAAATTGGGCACTCAGCAGTGGCTGTGGCCAGGTCAGCCTTGGTGAGTGGAAGTTCATGTTACTGAGCTTATGTGTAACCTCTATCCCTGCCACCATGGCCACTTTGTTTATAGGCCCATTGAGTGAGGACAGTGGTGTCTGGCGAAAGAGGCTGAGTGGTGTCCACAGAATGAGTCATCTTATCCACTTGATTGTTAAAATCCTCCTCTGCTGAGGTCACTCTTTGGTGGGCATTCGCATGGGGTACAAATATCTTCACAGTTTTTGACCCCTCAGAGAGGTCTATCGACATACCTCTTCCCTAAATTTCTTTGCCACCAATTTTCCAATCGTGCTTCTTCCAAGTCTCTGACCATCCAGCCAAACCATTGGCTCCAGCCCATGAGTCAGTATATAATCACACATCTGGCCGTTTTTCCTTCCAGGCAAAGTGCACAACCAGGTGTACTGCTTGAAGTTCTGCCCTTGAGAACTTCTGGGAAGATTTCCCTTCACCACTGTCCTTCAGGGATGTACTAGAAAGGGGCTGTAGTGCTGCATCTGGCCACTTTTGGGTGGTGCCTGCATATCGTGTAGAACCATCTGTAAACCAAGCCCTAGTCTTCTCTTCCTCTGTCAGCTGATCATAGGGAACTCCCCATGAGGCCATGAGTGCAGGCTGGGGGAGAGAAGGCAGGGTATCAGGGGCCAAGTGGTGGCACTCAACCATTAAAGGCAAGGTGGGCATAGTTACCGTAATGGACAGCAGAGGCAAAGTTGATATCAGAATAGTCTGACTCGTGTAGAGCTCTGGCATTGGCTCATTAATGACAGTGTTCCTAGAAGTGAAATTGATAGGAAGCCTACTGCATTCTTACTTAATTTGTATAAGCAGAAAACTTCCAGGTCGCATGGACAAAAGACTAATTTGAATTATAAAAATAGAGAATCATAGATCTTCAATCAATTTCCAGACTTTAACCAGTTTAAAGACCCTAGAACCCCTTGAATGAAGGGGAGGCTGGGTCCTCTTGAGGAAGGACCCCATTCCTGGTACAAAAATACAACATGCCACCCCAAACTTAGTAGAGTAAAATGACAAACATTTTATTATCTTCATGGATTCCGTGGGTAAAGAATTTGGAAAGGGTACAACAGAGATTATTTTTATTCTATTGTGTTTGGGACCCATGGAAAGACTGCATGACTGGGAATGACTTAAAACACTAGAGGCTGGAACAACTGAAAGACTTACTCATTTCCTTTCATGCTGGGAATGAAATAATTCATAATGGTATATGCTGGGATTTTGGCTGCAGCTGTCAACAGAACACCTGTAAATGTCATTTTATGTGGCTGCTTTATCATAGCATGGTGACAGATAGAGCATGTACAATAATTGTTTGGTAGACACTATACAATGCTGATGAAAGAAATAAAAATAAATGAAGAGACATACCATATTTACAGAGTGGAAGGCTCAACAAAGTAAAGATGTTGATTCTTCCCAAATTGATACACAAGTTTAACAAAATTATTATTAAAATTCAGTAAGTTTTTTTGTAGTATAGATAATATTTTTCTGAAATTTACATGAAAGACAAATGAACTAGAATAGCTAAAAACAATTTTGATAAAGAAGAATACAGTAGGAGAAATCAGTCCATCTAATTCAGGTCTTATAGTTACAGTAATCAAGACTATGTGGTTTTGGCAGAAGGATAGACATATATATCAATGTGACACTCAGAACTCAAACAGATACACAATATGCCCAATTTATTTTTGACAAAGCATATGGCTATAAAAGGGCAACATGATGAATCCTTGTGGAAATGGAAATACAGATAGAGCCTATATATGGACTATACCAATGCCTATATCCTGGTTATAACATTTGAACTGTAGTTTTGCAAGGTATTACCATATGGAGAAACTGGGTAAAGGGACCCTTCTGTATTGTTTCTTACAATTGCATGTAAGTGTACAATTATATCAATATAAAAATTTTAATATAAAAATCAACTATAGGTTCCTATCCTTAAGGTTCTCTTTCCCTGGAACCACATCCAGTGTCAATAATTTTATCAGTCAGAATTCAATAAAAGGAGCAGAGTCACTATGAATGCTAATCAATCTTGAGCTGATTTTTGTATCTGGTGTAAGGAAGGGGTCCAGCCTCAATCTTCTGCATATAGCTAGCCAGTTATCTCAGCACCATTTATTGAATAGGGAGTCCTTTCTCCATTGCTTGTTTTGGTTGACTACGTCAAAAATCAGATGATTGTAGATGTGTGCTTTTATTTCTGGGTTTTCCATTCTGTCCCCTTTTCTATGTGTCTGTTTTTATACCAGTACCATGTTGTTTTGGTTACTGTAGCCTTGTATGTAGTTTGAAGTTGGGTGACATGATGCCTTTGCCTTTGTTCTTTTTGCTTAGAATTGCCTTGGCTATAAGAGCTCTTTCTTGGTTCCAAGTGAATTTTAAAATAGTTTTTTTCTAATTCTGTAAAGAATATTATTGTTAGTCTGGTAGGAATAGCATTGAATTTGTAAAATGCTTTGGGTAGAATGGCCGTTTTAACAATATTGATTCTTCCTATCCATGAGCATGGAAGGTCTTTCAATTTATTTGCATCATCTCTGACTTCTCTGAGCACTATTTTGTAATTCTTCTTGTAGAGATCTTTCACTTCTCTGATTAGCTACATTCCCAGGTATTTTATTCTTTTTGTGGGAATTGTGAATAGAATTATGTTTTTGATTTGGCTCTCAGCTTGGATGTTGTTGGTGTGTAGAAATGCTCCTGATTTCTGTATATTGATTTTGTATCCTGAAACTTTGCTGAAGTTTTTATCAGATCAAGGAGCTTTTGGGAAGAGACTATGGTGTTTTCTAGGTGTAGAATCATATCATATGCAAACAGGGATAGTTTGACTTCCTTTATTCATATTCGAATGTCTTGTATTTCTTTCTCTTGCCTGATTGCTCTGGGTAGGACTTCCAGTACTGTAGTAAATAGGAGTGGTGAAGAAGGTATTCTTGTTTTGTTTCAGTTTTCAAGGGGAATGCTTCCAGCTTTTTCTCATTCATTGTGATGTTGGCTGTGGGTTTGTCAAAGATAGCTCCTTATTATTTTGAAGTATGTTCCATCAATGCCTAGTTTTTTGAGGGTTTTCAACATGAACGGATGTTGAATTTTATCAAAACTTTCTCTGCATCTATTGAGATGACATGTGGTTTTTGTTTTTAGTTCTGTATATGTGAGGAATCACATTTATTATTTGCATATGTCGAACCAACCTTGTATCCCAAGGATAAAGTCTACTTGATCATGATGGATTTTCTCATGTGCTGCTGGATTTAGTTTGCTAGTATTTTGTGAAGAATTTTTTGCCTCTATGTTCACCAAGGATATTGGCCTGAAGATTTCTTTTGTGTGTGTCTCTGCCAGGTTTCAGTATCAATATGATGCTGAACTCATAAAATGAGTTAGGGAGTAATCTTTCCTCCTTAGCTTTTGGAAGTTTCTGTAGAAATAGTACCAGTTCTTCCTTATACATGTGGCAGAATTTGGCTGTGAATCTCTCTGGTCCTGGGCTTTTTCTGGTTGGTAGGCTTTTTTTTACTAATTTAATGTTGTAACTCATTATTGTTCTGTTCAGGGATTCAATTTCTTCCTGGTTTAATCTTGGGATGGTGTATGTTTCCAGGAATTTATCCATTTCTTCTGGATTTTCTAGTTTGTGTACATACAGTAGACTTTGAGAATTTCTTTAAAAAAATTTATTTGGGGTTGGAGGTAATGTCCCCCTTTGTCATTTCTGATTGTGTTTATTTGGATGTTCTTTTTTTTTAATTAGTCTAGCTAGAGGTCTATCTTATTTATACTTTTAAGGAACCCACTCTTGGATTTGTTGATCTTTTGCATGTTTTTTATTTATGTCAATTTCCTTTAGTTCAGCTCTGATTTTGGTTACTTCTTGTCTGCTACTAGCTTTGGGCTTGGTTTGCTCTTGTTTCTCTAATTTCTCTAGGTGTGATATTAGGTTGTTAATTTGAGATCTTTCTGACTTTTTGATATGGACATTTAGCACTATAAACTTTCCTCCTAACATCACTTTATCTGTGTCCTAGACATTGTTGTATCTTTGTTATCATTAGTTTCAAAGAATTTCTTGATTTTTGCCTTAATTTCATTGTTTACTCAAAGGTCATTCAGGTGTAGGTTGTTTAATTTCCATGTAATTGTATGATTTTGAGCAATTTTCTTAGCACTGGTTTCTATTTTTATTGTGCTGTGGTCCAAGAGTATGATTGGTATAATTTCAGGTTTTTAAAAAAATTTGCTGAGGATTGTTTTATTTTTCAATTGTGTAGATAATTTTAGAATGTGTGCCATTGAAGATGAGACAAATATATATTCTGTTGTTTTTGGGTGTAGAGTTCTATAGAATTCTATGCAGTGCATTTGGTCCAGTGTTGAGTTCAGGTCCCAAATGTCTTTGTTAGTTTTCTGCCTCAATGATCTGTCTAAAACTGTCAGTGGGGTGTTAAAGTCTCCTACTATTGCTGTGTGAAAATCTAAGTCTCTTTGTAGGCTGCTAAGAACTTGCTTTATGAATCTGGGTGCTCCTGTGTTAGGTGTTTATATATTCAGGATAGTTAGGTCTTCTTATTAGATTGAATCCTTTACCATTATATAATGCCCTTCTTTGTCTTTTTCGATCTTTGTTGGCTTAAAGTCTCTTTTGTCTGAAATTAGGATTGCAACCCTTCCTTTTTTGTTTTCTATTGCTTGGTAAATTTTTCTCCATCCCTTTACTTTGAGCCTAGTGTATCGTTGCATGTGAAATGGGTCTTTGAAACACAGCACACCATTGGGTCTTGATTCTTTATCTAGCTTGCTACACTGTGCCTTTTAATTGGGGCATTTAGCTCATTTACATTCAAGGTTAATATTGATATGTGCAGATTTGATTCTGTCATTGTGTTGTCAGCTCGTTATTATGCAGACTTGTTTGTGTGGTTGATTTATAGTATTATGCAGACTTGTTTGTGTGTTGTCAGCCCATTATTATTCAGACTTATTTGTGTGGTTGATTTATAGTGTCAATGGTTTGTGTACTTAAATGTGTTTTTGCAGTGGCTGGTAATGGTCCCTGTGAGCCTCCCCACTAAAGCCTCCAGAGTGCCATGGAGAGCTATGTGGAGTCTGGGTAGGGCTACCGCTCAGGCACACATTGAGCCCCAGAAGCCTTGGATCCCCATGATTTCAGCACCAGCAACTGCAGCTTTGCAGCAGGAGAGGACACGCTCCCTCATCTGCCCTGAGAAAAGGAGCAGAATCCATGGGGCTAAGCAGCAATGAATTGCAAGCCTCATCTCTGCTGCACTCGCAGGATAAGGCCCACTGGCCTGGGATGCTAGCAAGTCCACCCCAGCCCTGCCTGAGTTCTTGGGCTGGGAGCAGCTCTGCACTTTCCTGGGATGGAACTCCCAGAGGGAGAGGCGAGCCACCATTTTTGCTGCTCTGCAACCTTCCTTACTGTTGCCTGCAGGCTCAGGAGAGAGTGCAGTGATTAGGGATTATCACAGATTCCCAGAACAGTATAGTCACTTTACAGAAAAGTGGCCATACTGATTTATTTATTTAATTTTTTTTTTTTTTTTTTTTTTGGAGATGGGGTCTCACTCTGTCACCCAAGCTGGAGTGCAGTGGCACAATCTCGGCTACCTGCAACCTCTGCCTTCTCCTGGTCTTAAGAAATTTTCCCACGTCAGTCTCTGGAGTAGCTAGGACTATAGGTGCTCGCTATCATGCCCAGCTAATTTTTGTAGTTTTTTTGTAGAGATGAGATTTCTCTGCTTTGCTCAGGCTGGTCTTGAACTCCTGGACTCAAGCAATTTCTTCACCTCGGCCTCGCAAAGTGCTGGGATTACAGGCATGAGCCACCGTGCCTGGCCTTACCAGACTGTTTTCCACATGGGTCCCTAACACTGCTGCCCCTCACTAGGCAGGTTGCGCAACATGGACCTCCAGCCATCCCCTAGTTGGACTCTCAGGCTGGTAACAGCTCTGTAGTTTCCTGGGACAGAGTTCCCAGAGTGAGAAGCAGGCCATCATTTTTGTCTTTCCACAGCCCTCGCTTCTGTTGCCCTCAGGCTCAGGAGAGAGTGTAAGGAATGGAGGTTGACATGAACTTCCAGAAGAGTGCCCATGTTCAGCTTTGTAAATATCACCAAATCCTGTTCCAATATAAGTACACCAATATACTTAATACGTGACTACAACAGTGTGAGATCTCCAGTTGCTCTATATTATTTCAACACTTGATGTTTTAGTTCAAGGGGATTTTAAATGAAAATTAGTAAATGGATCATGAGGAAATATCCAGTTGCTATTTAAAAGAGGTTTTAACCAGAAGTTTTGGCAAAGTTTTGTTTTGTTTTTTAACTACTATTCTTGCTGTTTTTTCTATTCTTCTGTTTTTTCTTTTGAATAGATTTTTCCTGCCATTGAAGAAGTGGAAAAAAGACTGGGTCTATAGTACGTTCAGACAAATCTTAAACAAAAGTTAACATCTGTGATTCTCAACCATTGGATGCATAAGAGTAACCTGTGGAGCTTATTCTCAACTTAGATGGCCAGCTTTCAATCCAAATATCCTGATTCAGACTCTGAGGATGGAGCCCAGGAATCTCTCTTTTGAAGCCACTGTGGAGTGACTGTGATGCACACCAAACATTGCGAACCAATAAATAAGATCACTGCCCAATCAGTCTAAATTGGGCTAAATGTCCCTTTTTTAAAGGATAGATTAATTTAGTCCGGTAATTTAGAGTTGGCTGCTCGAGAAGATGACACTACTAGCAATGTTGAGAACAGAAAAAACAATCAAACATAAAACGTGATTTGTCTATGCTCTGTATACATGATCAATTTCAAGTCAACTCATCAAACATTTATTGAGCACTTACTATGTGCCAAGTTTTGGACCAGATTCTGGATCTATCATGATGTTAAAAAAAATGTATTTGTCAGAATAGGCCAGATTATACTATAGGACAGACGTCCTTCAAAATCTCAGTGGCTTAAAGCAGGTTTATTTCTTGCTCACACTGCACATACACTGTGGTTTGTCTTAGAACAATGTTCCATATAGTCTTTAATCTGGGACCCAGGCCAGTGGAGAAGTCACTATTTAGAGTGTTTTCAGTCACCATGGCAGAGGGAAAGAGCATGTGGCAAACTGTGCTGCCTTCAAAGTATCTGCCTAGAAACAACACAGATCACTTTCACTTATACCACATTGTCTAAAGCAAGTTCCATAATCACCTCTACCTCTGAGGGGCAGGGAAGTATAACTTAACCAAATACCCCAAAAGAACAAATCCAGAATTTTGAGGAACAGAATGAGTGAATTCAACAATTATTAACACCCTTGAGAATTTTGCAATCTAGTATGGGAATTAAGGCCCATAGAAATGAATGTAATAAAATTTGTCATGTGTTGCAATAGAGCTATATAAAAAGTTATTGTTGATGAATGAAATAGAATCTGTTATTTATTCCAATGGATGGTGGAGCAAGGTTTTAAAGTGACAAGGTGACATTTGAATTTCAACTTGAAGAGTATACAGTAGTGTTTCAGGTGGAAAAGAACAAAGAACATGAGATAGCAAATAGGAGGAAAGTGTCCTGGGCAGAGAGGAGGATATAAAAAAAAGTTAAAGTTTTAGAAGCTTGTATATGGCATATTGTACAAGACATAGGAGGTGTTGGAGCACAATGATGAACAAGACAGATATAGTTCCTGCCCTTGTGGAACATATATTCCAGGAGACTGTATAGACATTAAATATATATATATATATACACATATATATAGAGAGAGAGCGTGAGAGGATTAATAATTTAATAATAACTTACATAAATGCTTTGAAGAAATATATATATATGTAGAGAGAGAGGATTAATAATTTAATAATAACTTAGATAAATGCTTTGAAGAAGAAGCAGTGTGTACCTGGAGAAATAAATTATGGGAATTTCACTTGGTCTGAGAGGTCAGGAAAGAGATTCATAGCAAAGAATGTAGGGTGGGGTGGGGGAAATATTCCAGAGAAAAGCAACATGTGTAAAAGGTCCAAGATTGGAAGGAATATGGTGTTTTATGCAAGAGCATAAAACATGCAAGAAAATAACATAGGCACTTTGTAAAGTTCACTCTGCCCACTGTGTAAACAATGGTTCAGAGGGGTTCAAGAACTGATATAAGAAGACCAGTTAGGAATTAGCTGCCCAGGTAAGAAGTAAAGGTCACTAGACCTTGAAGGAGTGCACCACCCAAGCAGCTTTCTAGAGTGTCAATCACTATGGCATACTAAAACCTTAGAGTAAATGCATCAACATGGATAAATTTGTATTTAATAAAACTCTCCTCAGGGAGAGTGCTCACATGGTTTGAAGAAATGTTTGATAATCTACTTGGGGTAAGAGAAACTTACTGTCACCAACCTTCTGACAAGGAACATGTTCCAGTATTAATAAATAGTTGCCATATAAGGATAAGCCATTTTATTTGCAAAAAATGAGGAGAGATGCTGTTGTCTGCCATTTCCCCTGCAGGACTCTGCCTTCTTCTAAACAATATTTGGCAAATACTTAAAGAATTATTTTTGAGGGGCAACAAATTATTAGTTATTCAGGGATGTAGAAATTGATCTTGCTCTAGATAGAATAATGACTATACAGAGAAAAAGATATGAACATACTTGGCACTAGTATATTGAGTATGATTGACTTAATGATGAATTAAAGGAGAAGGCTACATGGAAAGGGAGAGATAGTCATCTGCATGTCTACATTAAAATGTGAAGCATACTGCAAAGTATAGGGAGTTTTTTTTAAGGTAGTTTTTTTTTTGAGACAGAGTCTCCCTCTGTCGCCCAGGCTGGAGTGCAGCGGCGCGATCTCAGCTCAATGCAGCCTTGACCTCCTGGGATCAAGCCATCCTCCATCGTCAGCTTCCAAGAGATTCCCCTGTCTCTGCCTCAAAGTGCTGAGATTATAGGTATGAGCCACTGTGCCTGGCCAAAAGGTAATTTTTTTTTTTTTGAGACGGAGTCTCGCTGTCTCCCAGGCTGGAGCGCAATGGCGCGATCTCAGCTCACTGCAAGCTCCCCCTCCTTGGTTCACGCCATTCTCCTGCCTCAGCCTCCTGAGCAGCTGGGACTACCAAAAGGTAATTTTTTAAAAAATAATTTGATAGGTAATATACACCCAACAACTTTTAACTTCTAGAGGTCTTGAGAGAAAAGGAAGGCTGAGAAATGGTTTCAAGGGCCCATAAGGAAGGAGACTGTGTTAAATACTATACTTGTTAAAAGAGATCAGTACTAATTGTCTTTTTCTTTGGCTTAAGATATATTATTCCCTAATACTTTTGATACTAATTTGATTTCTTTTGCTATAAGTAATTTTCATTTGACTTAATGAGAAGATTGCAGGTTCTCATTTTGCCTTAATTCTTATAGCCCCTTTCCTATTTCTTTACTTAACGTTTTTGGAGTGCCTGGAATTTATTTACTTGATTTGAATTTGACCCCTGATTAAGCTTATCTGAGGGAATTATTCTTTTAAGAAACAGGTAACCAGGAGACTTGTTCACCACTGTACTACCAGAACATAGCACATAGGAGGACTTGTAATAGGTAGGACTAGGCAAAGTCAAAAGACCCAGTTTATTACACACAATCTTTAAGTTCTTGAAAACATGCATTTAGAAATTGCTAAGGCAAAGCAGATTTTCTTAAACTTAGTTGTAATCATGTGAGAAATTAATTTATTGTTTTTTCTAGGGCACTATAAGATTGATAGTTCTACACAGTAACCTCATGATTAGGTTATCCAAAGAATTTACAGCAAGTACAGCTTGGAAAAGTGTCAGACATAGTTCTTTTGAGAGAGAAGGCCCAGATTCTGAAGCAGTATGACTTTGTCAAATTCTGGGTAATAGTTTGTTGTTGTTCAAAATATGCAGTGTCAGATATGATCTGACACTGCATATATTGAAGTTGGCTAACTTACCATCTCTCTTTTCTCATTCCAAGATCTACTTATAAAGCAATTGTCTGATAATATCAGCCTATGTTCACTAGCATCTGTGTTGCTGTCTATTGGAATTTGTATGGAAGAGCTAAAATGTGCCAAGAGGTGTGCCAGTTCATTTTTCTGGGTGTTTATCATTTAGCCAACAGAGAATCTATTACACAGTGGTTTGTCTGGTCTGTATTTAAAGGTCTCCTGGAAGAGGGGTCATTTGTTTGCTCATTCATTCAACAGATATTTATTGAGCACTTACTATGTGCTGGGTGTTTTTTGTGGTTCAGAAGTTATAATGGTGAACGAAGAGCTCTGCCCTCAGGAAACTTACATTTTAGTGGAATGACATAGAAAATAAATAAGTAAAATACATAGTATATTCCTAGAATGTGATAAATTCTATGGAGAAAAATAAAGCAGGAAAGGGAAAATGTGTATGCTGGAGGGTGTAATTTTTAAATAGAGGGGCCTTGCTGAGACATGTGACATTTGAGCAAAGTCCTGAAATAGATGAGGGAGTGGGCTATTGTGGTAATTTAAAATAATTGGCTTAAATTAGGCAGGTATTAATTTGGAAAAATCATTTGGATTTTAGCCAGTTTAGAATATATGTGCATCATTTTTTTTGTAGTGACAAAATGTATGAGGAAATTTGTCAGATGCAGCTAAAAGCTTTAGTGCTATATGGAGATTAACCTTGTAAAAGAGACTTCTGAGAAACATTTTTAGTGGTAACACCTCATTAAGAGGAGTATCTCAGTGGCCACACATGTGAAGGCAAGTTGGGATGCTCTAAAGACCAGCTAGATACAGTATTTTTTTCCTCTGATGCTACTCATTGGAGAGAATTAAATGGTAGGGGAGTCACTGATTGCAAGGTAAATTATTTTATGAATTATTCTGATTTCAAGTTTTTAATCTGAGAGGTCAGTGTTAAGTCCCAAATATGTTCTACAAAAGGGGAAAATAAGTCTTCTGATATTATAAAGCTCTTATACTTTTCATTGGATTTTATAGGAATAAAAGAAGTTTTCAATTAACATATACAACACTTGTTCTTATAGAACTGACTTGTCTACTTTACACAAATGATTTAAGAAAAGTGAATTGGCAGCAGTCACCTTCAAACTGATTACTGTCTACATATAGTATTTTTTGAGCAAATATTCATTTTTGTTTTTTTTTTGAGACGGAGTCATGCTCCACTGTGCCCAGCTAATTTTTGTATTTTTTTAGTAGAGATGGGGTTTCACCATATTGGCCAGGCTGGTCTCGAACTCCTGACCTTGAGATCCGCCCGCCTCGGCCTCCCAAAGTGCTGGGATTACAGGCTTGAGACACCGTGCCTGGTTGAACAAATATTCTTTAAAATGAATTTTTCAAACTCTCTTGACAATCTCACAGATAGAAAAAACTTTAGAGAGAATCTGGGTGAATCTCTTGTTGCATAGATCAAGACATTTACCTTCAGGTGTTTTCTTAAGGCTTCAAGGCTGTGGCTTCACAAAATGCATGTAATCTCCTTCTAAGACTTGGAAAAAATTAGGAAAAAAACAAAGTCTATGAATTCCTGTCACATACCTTCAAAGATGTCTTGCTTATAGATAGCGAAGGAAATGAATTATCCCCTGAATTTGTGTATTAATCAGGTTAAGCCAAACTGTGCTGGGGTAAGAAACATGTCTCCATATCCTAATCTTAATGCAATAGAGGAATTTGTGTTACTTGTGCAAACTGATAGGATCTCTGGTGGACAGTTTTCCTTTTTTGTGGTAACTCAGAGATTTAATCTTCTTTGAACCTCTCAACATAGGGCATGTCACACTGGAGGGGAAAACAGACTGGAGAGATTATATTTGAAACTTCACCACCATAGCCTGCAAGCGACACATGTCACTTCATAGCGCACTGACTAAAACTATAGTCAACTGCAAGGAGACTGAGAGGGATGTTCTTATAACAACTGGGAAAGGATGTGAGATGGTGAATTGTATGTGCCAACTTGAATTCCAGGTTTTCTAACTTGTAAGTGACAGAGTGTGAGACTTCTCAGCCTCCATAGTTGTACCCACAGTAGATCACCTCATATCTCTGTATCTGTCTATCTATCTATCTATCTATCTAATCTATCATCTATCATCTATCAATTATCTATCTAATCTATCTATCTATCTATCTACCTACCTATCTTATCTATCTATCTATCTATCTATCTATCTATCTATCCATCTATCTATCTATCATCTACCTACCTATCTTTATCTATCATCTATCTATCAATTATCTATCTATCTATCTATCATCTATCTATCTCCTATTGGTTCTGTTTCTCTGGAGAACTCTGACTAATTCAGAGAGGAATACTATATATTTTAGAGAGACACTAGTAATGCCTATAATATCTTGCATCTTTTTTTTGGCTATTTCACTGATCTAGTGTTTGATGTTGCAGTAAGAGCATTAATTACATGTTTAACAATTGTTCTCACTCCTTCACATTAGTTGCTACATATTATCATCAGAACAGCCTTATGAGGTAAGACGAATGAAAGGATAACTAGAAAGAGCCCAAGAACACAATATTATAATCATCTATAATATATATATTAGGATATTGACATGGGAATACAAGTGTCATATTAGTTTGTGTATTAGATATGTGTTATTTGTTAAGTATGGGGTTAGGGTCCTAGGTTTCTCTGTTTGTAAGAAGTTAGGTTAGAGTCTCAGACAAGCAGAAGCTGGGTTAGAGGTCTGGGCTTCTTTGTTAGAAAGGTACCTGCAGTACTGGAAGATTATTTTTTTTTTCCTGGCTGTTTCTGTTGAGTAGGAATTTACTTCCTGACTCCTTGGGCTGAATTTTTTTTCTGGCACTTTGTGAGGCCTCTCTGTTTTCCCTGTTTGATGCTGTGTCTCCCATGGGAGCTCCTCAATTGACTCAACACCGCTTCTTGAACCCTTGCTCACGATATGCTCCACTAACTCTGCCCACCTCCTTGTTGGTATGATTTTGCTGAGGATAATTTGGAACTTCAATAGCCTCTTTGGGAAACTTAAGATATCCTCAAACTGGCATCTTTAAGACCTCTTCTTTCTTGTTACCTCTGTTCCTCCTTCCTCCTTTTACCACTTTTGATCTTCTCCTTAGCTCCTTTGAATTTTTTGATATGTCTCCCTTCAAACTCCTGCCTCCTCCATCCCTCTGTCACCCTGCCAGGCTGTTTCCCTTTCTACTCCAGCCCCTCAGTCACTTGAACTTTAGGCCCCCTGTGCCCATCAGGGTTCTCAAGGGACTCAGAGATTCCCCCAAAGCAACCTAAGGCTGAAAAGAAACAAAAGAGAAAGGGATAAAAAGATAATTGGAAATAGATAATATTATATCCATTGAAATGGGCTTTGGAGACATTCAGCCAGCTTCTTGATGTCTCTTCAGTTGCTCACCCAAAGTGTAGTCCAGTTTCCACAAGATTACATATCAGGGAAAATAAAAACTCTGAAAATCCCCTCCAAAAATATTGGTAAAAAGCTTTAGCCCCTATTCAGTAGGTAACTTCAACTTGTCCGACTTTGGTCAGAGGCACAATTCAGATAAAAATAGAAAGTGGAGAGTGAGTTTCATGTCACTGTGTTGCCTGATTCATGGCTAAAATTTTAGAATGAAAGCTATAATATATCTGTTTGCAGCTGTCTATAGGTTTTTATATGCCTATATATCTATATTATATATATATGATATTTTTCTACCTTCAGATGGTGTTACCAAATTAATCTATAAAACTTCTTAAAGGAGTTCTACTCAAATTGGCTTAGAGATAAATGGATGCTTACATACAGTTTATATAAGTTAAATATTCCTAAAACTCCCAGAAATATAGAAAGTAACCCAAATACTTTTTAAGTTCATATGACTTGAGTAAATCTTTAGCAAATAAGATTAGTTTAATATTGTCAGTTCAATAAAAGCAGCTATATCTGCTGAGTTATCAGCATTAAGTATAATATAAGCATACATTTTATTCTTCATGGGTTTACTCATTGAACAATATTTTATCTACTGGATACTTAAGATTATAAAAATTATACATACAATAAAAAACAAATGTGTAAGTAAAGATGCAGTAAAGGCAAATTGTTTGGTATTCATTATTTCATATCAAATACTTGTAGTAAAACAAAAAAACTGAGTAACTTTTCACATATACTGTAAAAATAATTAACAGAGAATTAATTTGAGATAATGGTTAGCTTTGTTTGGTATTAGAGTATGCCTACTTGAAAAGTTTCTAAAATCTTTTTGTCAGCTTGCAACCTTAGAGTTATGGTAAGTTAAATAGTCATTTATATGATATTCACTAAATATCTAAATCATTTCTAAATAAACTAAGCTACTGAAACATTCTATACTGAGCAGTAAGTTTAAGTTTATATTCTTTTGACATCTTGTTTTTATATGGTGTAGAGAAGCTAAATGTATTTGGGTCTGTTTATAAACATGAAAAATTATACTATCTATTGTTTATATAGATTGCAAAATGATGTATTCATACATTTGCTAGTCTGCTATCCATTACTGGTATGTGAGAGCTCATAATTGTCTACCTCCTAGTTTTCTTGTAAAAGAAAGGTTACTGACGGTTAAAAATTATAATCAACACATGTAATTAAAACTATTAGAAAAAATAACAGTAAAGGGAGACAAATGTGTATAAAAGCTAACCAAAATATGAAGAATGTGTTTTGTTGAGGGAGTTTTGTCTTGTTAAGTGAATAATTTTCTCCTAGAGTAAGATGACTGGTTGTCTCAGAATGATAAAGAGGAAAATGTAGGGAAGAAAAACTGAATGGATATTATGAAGTTGTAAATGGTTTGGGGAAAAGAAATCTTATGTAGGAAAGCTGGCTAAGATTCGAACTGATTTATTTATGAGGTTTTTTTTGTTTGTTTTTAGAAATGAGCTTTAATATAAAAAAATAAACTGGGCCAGGTATGGTGGCTCATGCCTGTAATCCTAGCACTTTGGGAGGCCAAGGCGGGTGGATCACTTGAGATCAGGAGTTGGAGACCAGCCTGCGCAACATGGTGAAACCCCACCTGTATTAAAAATACAAAAATTAGCCTGGTGTGGTGGCGTGTGCCTGTAATCCCAGATACTCAGGAGGCTGAGGCATAAGAATTGCTTGAACCTGTGAGGCAGAGTTTGCAGTGAGCCAAGATCGCACCACTGCACTCCAGCCTGAGCAACAGGGCAGGACACTGTCTCAAAAAAAAAAAAAAAAAGAAAAAAAACTGGTGGAAAACTGTAAGTTCATTTTCTCTCTGTTAAAACAACAAAGTTTTCTTGGGTTATGGGTCTGCTCTTAATGAGAGAATGTAAAAGAGTTTTTAAAAAATGTTTTAAATAATTTGCCTACAAAACCAAGATTTTGTGCTGTATCAGAATTATTTCCTGTGCTTTATGTTAAACTTTATTATGTTCTTGATTATTTAAGTGAACCTAGGTGTTGTTTCATAGTTATTTGTGATCTTATTTAAGTGTCCAAACCTTTTGACGTTTTTGAAGACCTTCCAAAATAAAGTCCTAAGTGAAATATTTTTGTTCTCAAACTGACCTTGAGATTTCCCAGATGGTCCCCAGAAAATATCTAAGGATTTGTTCTATAATCTTGTGAAGACAAATGTTAAAAAATAATTTGGTTCATTTTATATGCTAAATTGCCTGGGAAACATTATCAAATAAGTGATGCTTAACCTTCTTGAAGTTATATTTGTTTGAGTAATTTCTAAACTTTATTTCAGTAATTATATGAAGTTTGTAAAAATTTGTCAATACTCTCACTGTCCATGATATGTTCAGTATAATGCTATCAATTTTAATCAGTTATTACTTTAAACTGAAATAAACAATTTATCTTGTCAGTGACAAGATAAATTTTACCTTTTCTCTTAAACTATCTATAAACTACAAAAATTTAATAGTTTACATTTTTATCAATGGAAGTGAAAAGTTTATTTCTTCTCCCTACCAGATTTGTCTAGAATTTAGAAACTCTTATTGCATATTCTTATTTTCATGGCAATATGGCTGTTTGCATAAACCCCATAAGAATCTGTTCTCCTTGTAACAGGACCTCATTGGAGACATTAGTTATATGCCTAAGGCTCTAACCTGAATGTCATATGTGAGAATGATGTGCATAGAGCCTGACTTAAGGAACTAAAATTGACTTTATGGAGCAGATGCTTCCAAAACCCTCTTGAAACATATTGCCTGATACGTGGCTGTAGAGTTCCCAGCCTTACTACAGGTAAGTAAGGTTATTTTCTGGTAGGCCCAAGAACCTCAGTATATCTTGGGGACCTTAGGAATAGAGGAATCTATCCAAATTTGTAAGTACTAAAAGTGAAATCTGGTGGCGAGTTCTTGTTCTAGCTTTCTAGCCTTGAGAGGTTTTTTTAATAGTTTAATCTGAGATATCTTATAAAGTTCTAGCAAAGTAAACTCAAAAAGACCTATGTGTTCAATTAGCATTCTTGTGGCGTTTATGCAAATAATCAAGCCAGATGCAATGAGACCAGATTTAGTTTTTTAACAAGAATAATCATAACCTTACTTTTGTTATCTATGATCAAAAAGCAGGGAAGGCTGTGAGTATAGACATTTTGGTTCAATGGAAAACTGTAGTTCATTCTTGTGTGTTCTCAGTTCTAGTTTCTTCCAACATCTGGCTCTAACTCTCTAAACTTAACATTTCTAAATTTTTTTCCACCCTCCCAATCTGGCATCACTGATAACTAAAACCATCCTTTCCCAAAGCCCTGTAAGCTGAAACTAGATAACTTGATATGAACTTCAAAGCAGTCAATGCAATAGATCGTGTATGGGCAACCTCTATGCCTGTTGTGTGGGCCACTAAGAAAGTTCACAGAAATATCTGATACCACTGCCAAAAGCATTCAAATTGCAAACAACCAGGAAATCTGTCAGATTGCTACTGTCATTATTGGGCCCAACATCTAGAAATCTTCTCAACTGGCTGCCCTCTAGACCCAGAAACTGGATTTCCAACAATGAATCTTTGTTTTTCTTTTATTTTCATAGAAATTCCCCTCATTAAATGCCTGACTACTTGCACCATCCAGCAAATATCTTCTACTACCAAGACCCAACAAATGCTTTAGCTGGTCCTTAATGGACAAAGGATGACCAAACAAGAAAATGGACTTAAATTGTTCAAAAGAAAGAAGAGTGTTTCTTCTTTCCTTGAATGAAAATGGGAGGACTGACAAAGATTCTCTCCATGGCCCAACTCTAGTCAGGACGCTCTGAACTCTTTTCCCAACAAATCCCTAACTTTCAGGCTTTCATGTTCATCTCTGTATTGTCCAGTTTTAGCAAGAATCCTTCTAAGTCAATTTCACCATAATCCTTCAGCCTGGATATCTGAGATCACCCTTGATATCTGATTGGATTCCTCATCTTCCATCATCCTGCAGATGAGGTCTGATTACCATAGCCTGCTTTCAGCAAGAACCCTATTAGGTCATTTTAGCCGGGACCTCTGCATACCCCTGATATTTCTTCATGGTAATCTTCCATCCACTGACCTCTCCCCTTACCAATTGGCTCCTTGGCTATAAATTCCCACTTTTCCTTCTTGTATTTGAAGTTGAGCACAATCTCTCTCCCTCACTGCAAAACCTCATTGGAGTGGTCCCTAAATCTATTTTCCTGGTCCCCAAAATAGTCTGCCTTACTGTGCTTTAACAAGTGTCTGAAATGATATTTTCTTTAATGGTTATCAGGCTGGTTTCTAGGAGCACAAAGATAAATCAGACAGAATCCCTTTTATCAGGGGGCTTATACTGTCCTGGGCAAGACAAACACAATTCATGGTAGTGATAAGACAGAAATGTACAAGGTGGTAGAGAGATTCAGGGTGGTTCAGTGTTCAGTGAAGATCTGCTGGAAATGTGCACAAGAGGAGTCTTGAGGGTGAAATAAGGGTGAGCAAGTTGAGAAGAGATAGGAAAGGAAATTGCATTAACAAGGCATCAAGATGTGAAACAGGTGGTATTCAACCTCCAAATCCATACCTTTTCCCAAAACCTTATTTATTTCCTTTCCACAACCTCTTACTTCAAAGTTGGAGGAGACAAATATAGAAATGATTTGTTCCTTTTCCTAAGATCACAGGAGAAGTGAGAGTATACACAGTTTCTAAGGTCAATGCTTTTCCAGAATGATATTTCAATACAGGAAACCTGTTAAAGCCAAGAATTCCAGTGACTCTAACACACGCTACTCTGATCTTCCCTTCCGATTAGATATTCTTGTTATATAACCTCAACCCTGGGTAGTGTCAGGATTATTGAGGATGTTTGGGCCTTCAGATCATCTCAGTGGTATTTAAAAACAAAGCTCATTTTCCTGGAATCTTAAGATGAACAAAGTTTGAATAATGTTGTGTATATTTTCTATTAGAGAAAATTACTGCAGTTCTTTCTTGAATTCCATGGAAATCTTCCCTTTCCATAAAAATAATTGCTGACATTATCTGGGTCTTTTTAAGAAATGCAGTTATCCTTTTGTGAACACTACAGTTTTTCTTTGGAAACATGCAGCTGTTCTGAGAACATCAAATGCAGTAAGCTGATTGTGTGGCACCTCAGAAAGTTGGTCTCTTTTGTCGGTATCTTTACTTTGAT
Organism: Homo sapiens; assembly: GCF_000001405.40. NCBI lineage: Eukaryota > Metazoa > Chordata > Mammalia > Primates > Hominidae > Homo > Homo sapiens. The sequence continues at coordinate 70,580,152 of NC_000001.11, forward strand.
TAGCATTAAAGATTCGAGAATTATTTGTAGCCTTTGTCAAGTCTCCCTGGAAGGCAAGATGCCTGTGCAATATTTGCTAGGTGTCCCCTATTCAAGTTCTTGGGTATGCGTGGGCAGTGGGGCGGAGGGTCCATATGATATCACTTATAGTTCTTTGCACATATTAAATTCTCAAAAAAAGTCTATTAAATGATAAAAATGAATAAATGAATGATTGAAACTTCTATAAGTAGACTAGTATGTGTGTGTTTGTGTGTGTGTGTGTGTGTGTGTGTGTGTGTGTGTGATTTTCTATAGCTTCTTAACTGGTCTCTCTGCTTCTGCCCTTGACTTTCGCAATTCATTCTCAATAAGCAGTCAGAGTGATCCTGTTAAACAGACTTAGTTACCCGGCATGATTGTGTCTGATAACGTAATTGATTCCAGGAGTGGCTCCAAAATTCACATCCCTGTAAGGAGATTCTGACATCCAGCATTCACAGATAAACTCTGGTCATGGGAAATGGGAAAAGGAAGAAATTGAAGTGGTTAGATGCCCAACTCTGGAATAAGTGCAAAATCAGAAATGCTCAGGGGCAGCTTTGATGAACTCCAAGGCTGGAGTCTGATAGTGAGAAGGTAAGGGAGAGAGGTAAGTGATGTAATTCTCACTGTGGGCACAGAATGGGGAGATGTTTGTGTTCCACTCACATGCATCCACTGTGGAGGAGGCCCTCAGCTGTTGGATTGGCAAGATGGCTGTCCATCATTGCTTTCTTCAGCTATTAGATCCTGGCACAAACATGGTGATGGCAGCAGTGTGGGAAGCTCCACATAGCCTAAAACATAGATTTTCCCTCACCAAGGCAGATCCCTGACTTGGTATCATTCCCCAGGGATACCCAACAATTGTATATTGATTACACGGACCCTCTTTAAACAGGAAGGGGCAGTGCTTTGTTCCCATTGGATTAGACACATGTTCTGGGTAAAGAATCGCCTCCCTGCCCACTGTGCTTCTACCAGCACTACCAGCCATGGGTTTACAGAGTGCTGTGCCCATCACCATGCTTCAAAACATTGCCTCCATTTTGGGGCATACTTTGCAACAAATAAAGTGTAGCAATGAGTTTATGACCACAGAATTTGCTGACTTTACCACTTACTTCAATGGCCCAGAAGCAGTTACACTACTGGCTGGGAGAAAACACCCAGAAAGGGCCAGGCACTCTCATATTGATTAGGGTGTATTTACTAGGATGATTTGGCCCAAATACCAAGGAAAACGTAGGTTTCTTTTTCATGATCAAGGCAAGGAGGGCTATGTCTGAACCCAGGGGATTCAGTAGAGTGTCCTTTAATGTTCTCTTGCCCAATAGTCCTGGTCAATAGAAAGCTCTAGCAACTCAAAAAGTTGCCCCCTAAGGACTGAGATCCTACAGAAATTGAGGCTTAGGTCACCCCTTCCACCCTGGTGTGTTGCAGAATGTAAGATAAACATGAAATTAGTGGTGGAAAAAGGAAGTTATAATAGTCAATGTAGGCTTCATAACTCATTAGAAAAGCAGTGATCATAGCAGCTACATTTTATGTTAATTATTGCTTTTTCTGCCTCCTCCTGCCTCCTTAGATTTAGAGAGCTTTTGATGGCTAATGTTTTATACTTTAGGTAAGAGTATGACTTCATTCTGTAATAATGTAATAGTGAAGTAACTAATGGTTTGTTTGTCATCTATGTTAGGGAATGGATTTTTGTTTTCCACCCAGATAAATGATGAGTAGATGCTGAGGAGTAAAATGAGTAGACTAAGATGGAAACCTATTATTGGTCCTTCAGATTTACACTCCACCCTCCACTCCTGCTTGGGTGCTTCAGGAGGCTGACTTTTATGGACAACATCAAATGGATGCCTTTGCCTTCTAGCTTAGCTGGGTTCAGGCAAGGGGAGGCACTGGCAATATATTGGAATGAGGGAGGGAAGTGATGTCAGTATAGTTATTTGCCAGCTCTCTTCCTGCTAGATTACAGTGGGTGGGTGCATTCCTCCAACCGAGGCCTCACTCAGCTCTCCCTCAGGGCTCTGGTAACTGCTCACTCTCTTCGCCTCTTTAGGCCAAGGATAGCTGAGACTCTTGCCTTTAATAACACTGGGCACTGTATTTCACCCCCTTGCATTCTGTAAACTCTGTCTGTACATTTGTAAATTTTTTTTCATTAAATCCTGCTCGGCCTCCAAAGGCTACAGTCACTATTTCCATTTTACAGATTAGAAAACTAAGGCTGAGAAAGGGTAAACAACTTCCACAAGTTCTCACGGAAAGTCAGCTCTGTCACTGGTAACCGTGGAACTAGGTTTGTATCTAGGTGACTCTCAGACAGTGTTAAGTAAGTAAATGGTATCAAATCCTTATTACTGCAAGATATATTGTTATTGAAGAATAACAAGAAAAAAAGCCAAATTTAAACACAATCTGGTTGGAGTTTCTGTTTTTAATATGATTTACAGAATACAACCTTATCTACCTATTCTAAATAGGCCCCTGCTGATTTAGTCACAGGCAATCTTTTTTTCTTTAACTTTTAAGTTTGGGGTACCTGTGCAGGACGTGCAGGTTTGTTACATAAGTAAACGTGTGCCATGGTGGTTTGCTGCACAGATCAACCCATCACCTAGGTATTAAGCCCAGCAGGCATTAGCTATTCTTCCTAAAAAGAAAAAAAGCCCAGGCCAATTACCATGATAAAATTACCTTTGGTGAAGATATACTATATGTGATGCAGAGAGTGAATGCTTAGTCCTTGGTTGTGGGCTATCACATGTCTTTAACATTGAGTCTAATTTATTCCAAGATTCAGTCAGCTGCTCCTTGTAAAACTGGTTCTTTGTTCTCCCTCCCCTGTGCCCCCTGACTGCCTGACAGGCCCCAGTATGTGTTTTCCCCTCTATGTGTCCATGCATTCTCATCATTCAGCTCCCACTTATAAGTTAGAACATGCGGTATTTGGTTTTCTGTTCCTGTGTTAGTTTGCTGAGGATAACGGCTTCCAGCTCCATCCATGTCCTTGCAAAGGACATAATCTCATTCCTTTTTATGGCTGCATAGTATTCCATGGTGTATATGTACCACATTTCCTTTATCCAATCTGTAAATGATGGGCATTTGGGTTGGTTCCATCTCTTTGCTATTGTGAATAGTGCTGCAAGGAACATATATGTGCGTGTATCTTTATAATAGAATGATTTATATTCCTTTGGGTACATACCCAGTAATGGGATTCCTGGGTCAAATGGTATTTCTGGTTCTAGATCCTTGAGGAATTGCCACACCATCTTCCACAATGGTTGAACTAATTTACATTCTCATCAACAGTGTAAAAGCATTCCTATTTCTCCACATCCTCTCCACCATCTGTTGTTTTTTGACTTTTTAATAATCGACATTCAGTCAGGGGTAATCTTTAACTTTTCCTTGGTCTGAAGTGTTTTTTTTTGTTGTTGTTTTTAAATTTTTTTCTACTGAGGTAAAATATACATATATAATTGACTGTGGCTGGTGGTTACAGGAGGGGTAACTATTGAGAGGAAATGAGTCCTTTAGGAAGGCTGCAGTGTCTTAAGCACTTCTATTTTAAGGCTAAAGTTAATCATTGGCTTAGGTTAAGCTTGTCCAGTCTGCAGCCTGCAGGCTGCATGTGGCCCAGAATGGCTTTGAATGTGGTCCAGCACAAATTTGTAAACTTTCTTAAAATATTCTGAGATTTTTTTGCAATTTTTTTCTTTTTAGCTCATCAGCTATTGTTAGTGTTAGGGTATTTTATGTGTGGTACAAGAAAATTATTCTTCCAATGTGGCCCAGGAAAGTTAAAAGATTGGAAACCCCTGGCTTAGGCTATCTTTATAATAAGTATAAATTCTTTAATTTACTAATAAGTATCTGTATTTAAAATCTGCCTACTTGTTGACTAAAACATTTTACCCTAAGGATTTATCTTAATGAGATGCTTATTCATTGAGCTAATGCTTGAGAGCCTATTATGCATCAGACACTGTTTTAGGCCTTTAGAATATATCAGTAAAGAAAACCAAGGTCGCTGCTCTCATGGAGCTTTCATTGAAGAGGGGGCAGACAGACAGTAAACAATAAACAAAATAGAATAAATTATTTAGGGGTTATAAGGTAATAAATGCTTGAAAAAAGCAGAGCATGGTAACTAGGGAGTATGGGAAGCTGTTGATAAAAGTAAGTATGGTTTTTAGTGAAATTCTATTGAGCAGTTCCCATTTGAGAAAATTCTTTTTTTTTTTTTTTTGAGACGGAGTCTGGCTCTGTCGCCCAGGCTGGAGTGCAGTGGCGCGATCTCGGCTCACCGCAAGCTCCCGGGTTTACGCCATTCTCCTGCCTCAGCCTCCTGAGTAGCTGGGACTACAGGCGCCCGCCACCACGCCTGGCTAATTTTTTGTTTTTTAGTAGAGAAGGGGTTTCACCGTGTTAGCCAGGATGGTCTCGATCTCCTGATCTCGTGATCCACCCGCCTCGGCCTCCCAAAGTGTTGGGATTACAGGCGTGAGCCACCGCGCCTGGCTGAGAAAATTCTTAAAGGCAGTGAGGGAATTAGTCACATAGCTACAATATCTGGTAGGAGAGAGAAAAGCATTCCAGGAAAAAGCTAAAATTAAGCAATACATATAAAAGCCATAGGCATGTGTGCTCTGGAGGAAAGGCATGAAGGCTGGGGTGCCGCCCCTGAGTGAGAAAGGTGGAGGGACATAGGGAATACAGAGGGAGGTAAGAGGGGTCATGGAAAGAGATTTGGGCATGCAAAAAATACAGAAAAAATCATTTGAAAAGTCCAGGGACCTCAATTCAGCTGGAAGGAAGCAAAATTAAAGAAGACAAATTAGAAATAAAAAACCATGGGTTCTTCAAAAGAATGCAGTTAATTTTTATTTCTAAAACATGAGATATATGCAGGCAAGCTGTGGCGCTGTGTTGTGAGAGAGCTTATTACCTCTCAGAAGTATGGATTTAATATTGTGATTAATGTGATTTAAAAGGTAGAGAAAGGAATTAGAAGGCACATTTTCAACTCAGCTCTAAAAAATGGAATTCACTCTTGAAAGTTTTATCTGCTCTGAGATACTGAGATATATGGAAACTTAAGCACATTTTGACTTAAGGCCTCATAAATGTAGTATATGTAATAAAATAGACCAATGATCAGCCCTGACTGTAAAATATAAATCAAACTCAAATTCAATGTTTCTCATCAAAAAGGCATTGTGAATATATCACTAATATCTCAAAATTTCTCTCTCAGAAGTTGGATATACCTGACAGTGTGGACAATGGAATAAAAAAAACTTAGTTTAAATTTTGACTTACTGTCTGCCCTTAGGCAAGTTACTTTCTCTGAGCCTCAACTCTCTCACCTATAAGATGGTGATGATATCTATTATTTAATGATAATGAGAATTATGTAATTTATTGCACATAGTAGGTATTCAACAATGACTATTATTTTCTGTCTCTTCATTTGCCTTTCTAATCTCTATGAAGGTTTTCTCACATTGACATTCTACTTTCCCCTCTTGCATCATTTCTACAACCTTCTTTTCTAAATTGTCTCTTTTATACACATGACATTTTATAATTACAAATAAGGAATGGCTCTAAGTGGAAGGTGAATGTATGATTTATTTATTGTCAGCAACTGAAGTTTGGTATTAATTCTACTGAAACCAACATTTGGGATGCATTTTCTAACATTTAGATAGACAAGTATTAGTTATTTCACTCAAAAGATGAACTCATTTAGCCAACAATTAGCTCATTCTGCCAGCTTGAACAAGATGTTTTTGAAACTATCCTCACAGGGTTAACTAGAATCCTGGATGGAAATATAGTTATAATTAAGCATTAATCAGGCTGCACTTTGGTCCACTTCCTTGTGACATAAAACATTTCTTTATGAATTACTTAAGATGTTTTTTAGATCCTGAATTCCAGCAGAACAGCTGACACCAACCAGTTTGAAGACCCCCACAGAGGAACTGAATCAGCATGAGAATGCAGGGTCTTCATCTTTCTGTCTTATGACTTCACCCTGTACTCTGACCAATCAATGATAGCTACACTTCAGCCAGCTCCAAAACCCTTAACAACCCTAGACCCAAACTCCTTGGGGAGATGGTTTTGAAGTTTCCTCCTGTCTCCTCATTCAGCGTCCCTAGGATTAAACCTCTGTCTGCTGCAACCCAGTTTCTCAGCACACTGACTTGCTGTGGACATCAGGCAATGAACCTATTGTGGTTACATATTTCTCCTACATCATCGTATTCCTAGTTTCAGATTGGAATACATATATGAGGCAAGTGGGCAATAGGAGTCAAATAGATATTCCCAAAGCTACGGTAAAATTCCTTTGCAGTTTAGATGCCTGAATATCTATCTCAAAATGTGTCCATTTCAATATGTAAAAATAAATAAAATTTAAAAGCTGTTAGAATCCCCACCCCTGCCAAAAATGCTTTAAGCCCTGAGAGAGATGTGACTGTGATCTGAGCCACATATGGTTACCATTTCTGTTCTCAAATTATTGATTAGCTTACTTTTGTATTTTTCTTGTTCACAATGACTAGAGAGAATTAAATGATGTCAGGGACAAAAACCTCTCATCTTTTTATTAATGACTCTTGCTAAAGATTAACTTCTCCTTTGTTGTCCTGCTTTGCTAGACCAGATGGCAGAAAACCCAGGACTATTATATCCTCTATAAAAGGTCTATGGTTAATGTACCCTTCCCAAAAAGAAACTGCCTATAATCAATTGAATTGCTGTAACTATGTGCCAACTTTGTATGAAAAATGTAATCCTGCTAAAACACCTGTCCCTGCCTATCTAAATGGAATCTTAACTTCCCTACTTCAGAATGTTCACCCCATTCCTTTGGAGTTGGTGTTTCTAGGTGGTCCATCCTCACACTTTGCACTTGAATAAACTCTTTAAATTAGATTTTGACCCTTTCAATTATTTTAGGTTGACACATGTCTGGGCAACATTTGTCCAAAATATTCAAACACTTAAAAAAAAAGTTTAGCTTTTCCCCAACTTTCATCCATTTTCATTCATCTTGGCCTGTTACACTGCAAGTGGTGGGTCATATGTTAATTTCTGGCCCATTATGGAGTAAAAAAATGTTGAGAACATTATCCTTATTCATTTAACTTGTTTTTAATACCATGGAGTTTAGTTCATGGTACTCTGGGAGTTTTCAAACATTTTTCACAATATAGTCATTGCAATATATTCACAATATAAATAAATTTTTTCAGTACATATTCACAACACATTCTTCACAATAAACACTTATTTGATGCCTAAATTCAAGAAATAGTTGTGGGAGAATCTACTATGTGCTGGGCACTATTCTGGGTGCTGAAATTCAGCAATGAACAAAACAAAGTTTCTATTTTACATACCTCATAATGAATTATTCTGTCAATTTGTAATGTTGTATTTATTTTTTATTAAAATTTGTGCACATTTAAGGAGTACAAGTGCAGTTTTGTTATATGGATAGATTGCATCGTGGTTATGTCTGGGCTTTTAGTGTAACCATTGCCTGAAATTAGCAGTTTTATAGCTGTAAGGTGATGAAGAAATGGTATAATCCACTAATTTTGCAACAAAATAGACAGGCTGGAGTCTTAAGCTTAAGTAACTTCCCACAAGGTCACCCAATTAATGTCAGAACATGAACTAGAGGTTGTTTGATGATTTCTACTATAGGAGGAGAATATTAAACATCTTTGTTATGCGTATCCTGAGATCTTCTACCTTCCCTAGGGCATAACAAAAGGGCTGAATTCCAGATGTTTATGTTTAGGGCAGCTTTGTAATTCATTTTTGCTTTTATTATGGTTTTTATCCATCTGTTTTTAAATCTCTTTACTCAGCCCAGGCCAATTACCATGATGAAATTACCTTTGGTGAAGATACAGTATATGTGATGCAGAGACTGAATGCTTAGTCCTTGGTTGTCGGCTATCACGTGTCTTTAACATTGAGTCTAATTTATTCCAAGATTCAGTCAGCTGCTCCTTGTAAAACTGGTTCTTTGTTTACAGTCAGTAATTTATATCATTGTTAAAACTCCTAGACTGTGCAATAAAACTTTAGAATGAGGCAATTCAAGGATAAGATGGTCAGAAAGTAAATCAGGTGCCTTGGACTATCCTCCTAGAAAATGAATGTAAAAGACACTCTGCGGGACTTAATTTTTAATAATCTAACACATTAGTAATTGTCAGGCCTCTGAGCCCAAGCTGAGCCATCATACACCTGTGACCTGCATATACACATCCAGATGGCCGGTTCCTGCCTTAACTGATGACATTGTCTTGTGAAATTCCTTCTCCTGGCTCATCCTGGCTCAAAAGCTCCCCTACTGAGCACCTTGTGACCCCCACTCTGCCCGCCAGAGAACAACCCCGCTTTGACTGTAATTTTCCTTTATCTACCCAAATCCTATAAAACAGCCCCACCCTTATCTCCCTTTGCTGACTCTCTTTTTGGACTCAGCCCACCTGCACCCAGATGATTAAAAGCTTTATTGCTCACACAAAGCCTGTTTGGTGGTCTCTTAACATGGCCGCGCATGAAATTTGGTGCCGTGACTCGGATCGGGGGACCTCCCTTGGGAGATCAATCCCCTGTCCTCCTGCTCTTTGTTCCATGAAAAAGATCCACCTATGACCTGGGGTCCTCAGATCCACCAGCCCAAGGAACATCTCACTAATTTTAAATCAGGTAAGCGGCCTCTGTTTACTCTCTTCTCCAACCTCCCTCACTATCCCTCAACCTCTTTCTCCTTTCAATCTTGGTGCCACACTTCAATCTCTCCCTTCTCTTAATTTCAATTCCTTTCATTTTCTGGTAGAGACAGAGGAGACAGGTTTTATCCGTGGACCCAAAACTCCGGCGCCGGTCACGGACTAGGGAAGGCAGCCTTCCCTTGGTGTTTAATCATTGCAGGGACACCTCTCTGATTATTCACCGAGGTTTCAGAGGTGTCAGACCATGCAGGGATGCCTGCCTTGGTCCTTCACCCTTAGTGGCAAGTCCCGCTTTTCTGGGGGAGGGCCAAGTACCCCAACCCCTTCTCTCCATGTCTCTACCCCTTCTCCACTTTTCTGGGGCAGGGGCAAGAACCCCTCAACCCCTTCTCTTTCACTCTTAGTGGCAAGTCCCACTTTTCTAGGGGACAAGAACCCCCAATCCCTTATTTCCACGCCCCGACCTCTTATCTCTGCGTCCCAACCCCTTATTTCTGCACCCTGACCCCTTTCCCGCTTTCCTGGAAGGTAAGAACCTATGAACCCCTTCCCTCCATGTCTCTACTCTCTCTTTTCTCTGGGCTTACCTCCTTCACTATGGGCAACCTTCCACCCTCCATTCCTCCTTCTTCTCCCTTAGCCTGTGTTCTCGAGAACTTAAAACCTCTTCAACTCACACCTGACCTAAAACCTAAATGCCTTATCTTCTGCAATGCTGCTTGACCCCAATATAAACTCGACAGTGGTTCCAAATAGCCAGAAAATGGCATTTTCAATTTTTCCATGCTACAAGATCTAAATAATTCTTGTCATAAAATGGGCAAACGGTCTGAGGTGCCTGACATCCAGGCATTCTTTTATACATTGTTCCCTCCCTAGTCCCTGTTCCCAATGCGACTCATCCCAGATCCTCCTTCTTTCCCTCCCACCTGTCCCCTCAGTCCCAACCCCAAGCATCGCTGAGTCTTTCTAATCTTCCTTTTCTACAGACCCATCTGACCTCTCCCCTTCTCGCCAGGCTGAGCCAGGTCCCAATTCTTCCTCAGCCTCTGCTCCCCCACCCTATAATCCTTTTATCACCTCCCCTCCTCACACCGGGTCCAGCTTACAGTTTCGTTCTGCAACTAGCCTTCCCCCACCTGCCCAGCAATTTCCTCCTAAAAAGGTGGCTGGAGCTAAAGGCATAGTCTTTGACCTCTCCCAAAATCAGTTAGCATTTAGGCTCTTTTTCATCACATATAAAAACCCAGCCCAGTTCATGGCTCATTTGGCAGCAACCCTGAGACGCTTTACAGCCCTAGACCCTGAAAGGTCAGAAGGCCGTCTTATTCTCAATATGCATTTTATTACCCAATCTGCTCCCGACATGAAATAAAGCTCCAAAAATTAAATTCCGGCCCTCAAACCCCACAACAGGACTTAATTAACCTCACCTTCAAGGTGTACAATAACAGAGTAGAGGCAGCCAAGTAGCAATGTATTTCTGAGTTGCAATTCCTTGCCTCCACTGTGAGACAAACCCCAGCCACATCTCCAGCACACAAGAACTCCAAACGCCTGAACCGCAGCTGCCAGGGGTTCCTCCAGAAACTTCCCCCAGGAGCTTGCTACAAGTGCCAGAAATCTGGCCACTGGGACAAGGAATGCCCACAGCTCGGGATTCCTCCTAAGCTGCGTCCCATCTGTGTGGGACCCCACTGAAAATCGGACTGTTCAACTCACCTGGCAGCCACTTCCAGAGCCCCTGGAACTCTGGCCCAAGGCTCTCTGACTCCTTCCCAGATCTTCTCAGCTTAGCAGCTGAAGACTGACACTGCCTGATCGCCTCAGAAGCCTACAGGACCATCACAGATGCTCTAGATAACTCTCACAGTGGAGGGTAAGTCCGTCCCCTTCTTAGTCAATATGGAGGCTACCCACTCCACATTACCTTCTTTTCAAGGTCCTGTTTCCCTTGCCTCCATAACTGTTGTGGGTATTGACGGCCAGGCTTCTAAACCTCTTAAAACTCCCCAACTCTGGTGCCAACTTAGAAAACATTCTTTTATGCACTCTTTTTTAGTTATCCCCACCTGCCCAGTTCCCTTATTAGGCCAAGACATTTTAACTAAATTATCTGCTTCCCTGACTATTCCTGGACTACAGCTGCATCTCATTGCCGCCCTTCTCCCCAACCCGAAGCCTCCTTTGCATCTTCCTCTCGTATCCCCCAACCTTAACCCACAAGTATGGGACATCTCTACTCCCTCCCTGGCAACCGATCACATGCCCATTACCATCCCATTAAAACCTAATCACCCTTACCCCACTCAATGCCAATATCCCATCCCACAGCATGCTTTAAAAGGATTAAAACCTGTTATCACTTTCCTGTTACAGCATGGCCTTTTGAAGCCTATATACTCTTCTTACCATTCCCCCATTTTACCTGTCCTGAAACCAGACAAGGCTTACAGGTTAGTTCAGAATCTGCGCCTTATCAACCAAATTGTTTTGCCTATCCACCCCTTGGTGCCAAACCCATATACTCTCCTATCCTCAATACCTGCCTCTACAACCCATTATTCTGTTCTGGTTCTCAAACATGCTTTCTTTACTATTCCTTTGCACCCTTCATCCCAGCCTCTCTTTGCTTTCACTTACACTGACCCTGGCACCCATTAGGCTCAGCAAATTACCTGGGTTGTACTGCCGCAAGTCTTCACAGACAGCCCCCATTACTTCAGACAAGCCCAAATTTCATCCTCATCTGTTACCTATCTCGGCATAATTCTCATAAAAACACACGTGCTCTCCCTGCTGATTGTGTCCGATTAATCTCCCAAACCTCAATCCCTTACAAAACAACTCCTTTCCTTCCTAGGCATGGTTAGTGCAGTCAGAATTCTTACACAAGAGCCAGGACTGCACCCTGTAGCCTTTCTGTCCAAAAGACTTGACTTTACTGTTTAGCCTAGCCCTCATGTCTGTGTGCAGCGGCTGCCGCTGCTTTAATACTTTTAGAGGCCCTAAAAATCACAAACTATGCTCAACTCACTCTCTACATTTCTCATAACTTCCAAAATCTATTTTCTTCCTCATACCTGACGCATACACTTTCTGCTCCCCGGCTCCTTCAGCTATACTCACTCTTTGTTAAGTCCCACAATTACCATTATTCCTGGTCCGGACTTCAATCTGGCCTCCCACATTATTCCTGATACCACACCTGACCCCCATGACTGTATCTCTCTGATCCACCTGACATTCACCCCATTTCCCCATATTTCCTTCTTTCCTGTTCCTCACCCTGATCACACTTGATTTATTGATGGCAGTTCCACCAGGCCTAATCAACACACACCAGCAAAGGCAGGTTATACTATAGTACAAGCCACTAGCCTGCCTCTTAGAACCTCTCATTTCCTTTCCATCATGGAAATCTATCCTCAAGGAAATAACTTCTCAGTGTTCCATCTGCTATTCTACTGCTCCGCAGGGATTATTCAGGGCCCCTCCCTTCCCTACACATCAAGCTCAAGGATTTGCCCCCACCCAGGACTGGCAAATTAGCTTTACTCAACATGCCCCGAGACATAACTAAAATACCTCTTAGTCTAGGTAGACACTTTCACTGGATAAGTAGAGGCCTTTCCTACAGGGTCTGAGAAGGCTACCGCAGTCATTTCTTCCCTTCTGTCAGACATAATTCCTCAGTTTAACCTTCCCACCTCTATACAGTCTGATAACAGACCAGCCTTTATTAGTCAAATCAGCCAAGCATTTTTTCAGGCTCTTAGTATTCAGTGAAACCTTTATGTCAATTACAGTCCCAAGTCTTCAGGAAAAGTAGAACAGACTAATAGTCTTAAAAACACACCTCACCAAGCTCAGCCACCAACTTAAAAAAGACTGGACAATACTTTTACCACTTTCCCTTCTCAGAAGTCAGAGCTGTCCTCAGAATGCTACAAGGGACAGCCCATTTAAGCTCCTGTATAGATGCTCCTTTTTATTAGGTCCCAGTCTCATTCCAGACACCAGAGCAACTTAGACTGTGCCCCCAAAAAACTTGTCATCCCTACTATCTTCTGTCTAGTCATACTCCTATTCACCATTCTCAACTACTCACACATGCCCTGCTTTTGTTTACACTGCCAGTTTACACTGTTTCTCTAAGCCATCACAGCTGATATCTCCTGGTGCTATCCCCAAACTGCCACTCTAAACTCTTGAAGTAAATAAATAATCTTTGCTGGCAGGACTATGCTGAATCTCCTTAGGCACTCTCTAATCAGGTGTCCTGGGTCCTCCCAATTCTTAGGCCTTTTATACCTGTTTTTCTCCTTCTCTTATTCCATTTAGTTTTTCAATTCATACAAAACCATATCCAGGCCATCACCAATAATTCTACACGACAAATATTTCTTCTAACAACCCCACAATATCACCCCTTACCACAAAATCTTCCTTCAGCTTAATCTCTCCCACTCTAGGTTCCCACGCCGCCCCTAATCCCGCTCGAAGCAGCCCTGAGAAATATCGCCCATTATCTCTCCACACCACCCCCCAAAATTTTCACCATCCCAACACTTTACCACTATTTCATTTTATTTTTCTTATTAATATAAGAAGACAGGAATGTCAGGCCTCTGAGCCCAAGCTAAACCATCATATCCCTGTGACCTGCACGTACACATCCAGATGGCCCGTTTCTGCCTTAACTGATGACATTCCACCACAAAAGAAGTGAAAATGGCCTGTTCCTGCCTTAACTGATGACATTTTCTTGTGAAATTCCTGGCTCATCCTGGCTCAAAAGCTCCCCTACTGAGCACCTTGTGACCCCCCACTCTGCCCTCCAGAGAACAACCCCCCTTGACTGTAATTTTCCTTTATCTACCCAAATCCTATAAAATGGCCCCACCCTTATCTCCCTTCGCTGACTCTTTTTGGACTCAGCCCACCTGCACCCAGGTGATTAAAAGCTTTATTGCTCACACAAAGCCTTTTTGGTGGTCTCTTAATACGGACGACGCGCATGAAAGTAATCATCTCTGCTATATCCTTTCAGTCCTGCCAGAAACACTTAGAAATGGATTTGGTAGAAGGAAGAAAGCAGGCTAAGAGATCTAGTACTTCAGCACTACATTGTAGGAAGCAAGTGAAAGCCAAGAAAGCAAACATTTTGCCACTTAATGTAATTTCACCAATAAATATGAGGTGCCAGAAAATTGATGTTTAGGTCCCAGGAGGCAAAAGATGGTTTAACTTTACTGCCTACTTTAGTTCACTTTTAGGCATGGTTTATCAGAAAAAATTTGAGACATGGCACTAACCTTTATTAATGAAGGTATTAACCTTTATGTAATGAAAAGTAGCACTTCTTTTCCAAAACCCCATTACAGCAACATGTGTAAATGTTGCACAAAAAGACCTATCTATGCAAATATATTGTCACTCAGAATGAATTGAAAGCATTCAAATAATTTTTTGTAAATGATTATTTGGTATTACAAACTAAATCAGGTGAGAGATGACTTTGTCAAGCACCAACTCCCAGATTCTCATTTCTCTTGACCCTTGACCACGCTGAGGACCATATACCAGGAAAACTGCACCTGAGCAGGAGAATGGATCTAACCACTAGAATTTGTTTTTCAATGTGTCCTGAGAGCACGCTTTTTGACCATGGTCCTTCCTAGGCCTTACTACCTTTCTCTCTGGGAACCAACACAGAAATCTTTCTGTGACTTTCTGGTTCAAAGAAGCTGAAGGAGCTTACAAGCCAGAGGTAATGATATAGCCCCAGAACTTTAATGATGCATAAAAGCATATTAGAGTAATTTCATATTAATATAAAAATCTTATTTTTCTTTTTCTTATATAACCTAGTTTAGGAAAATAATAATAACCATAAAGTAAGAAGTGATTAGTGCATTACCCTTTGGAAGAGAGTCTACCTTTGCTGGCCTCTCCCTCTAGGGTCAAATTTCAGAGTGATTTTGATGCTGGTGCTCTAGAGCCACCATGTTTATTTCCTTGTAGAAATTAAGAAGCAAAATGTTAGTCATTAATGGGAAGATGCCAGAGAATGCAGAGCCATTTTTAGAATAGGGGAGTCAGCATTTCTAAAAAGCTTGTTATATATTCATGAGATTTCTTTTATTATTATTATTATTATTATACTTTAAGTTTTAGGGTACATGTGCACAATGTGCAGGTTAGTTACATATGTATACATGTGCCATGCTGGTGCGCTGCACCCACTAACTCGTCATCTAGCATTAGGTCTATCTCCCAATGCTATCCCTCCCCCCTCCCCCCACTCCACAACAGTCCCCAGAGTGTGATGTTCCCCTTCCTGTGTCCATGTGCTCTCACTGTTCAATTCCCACCTATGAGTGAGAATATGCAGTGTTTGGTTTTTTGTTCTTGCAACAGTTTACTGAGAATGATGATTTCCAGTTTCATCCATGTCCCTACAAAGGACGTGAACTCATCATTTTTTATGGCTGCATAGTATTCCATGGTGTATATGTGCCACATTTTCTTAATCCAGTCTATCATTGTTGGACATTTGGGTTGGTTCCAAGTCTTTGCTATTGTGAATAATGCTGCAATAAACATACATGTGCATGTGTCTTTATAGCAGCATGATTTATAATCCTTTGGGTATATACCCAGTAATGGGATGGCTGGGTCAAATGGTATTTCTAGTTCTAGATCCCTGAGGAATCACCACACTGACTTCCACAATGGTTGAACTAGTTTACAGTCCCACCAACAGTGTAAAATTGTTCCTATTTCTCCACATCCTCTCCAGCACCTGTTGTTTCCTGACTTTTTAATGATTGCCATTCTAACTGGTGTGAGATGGTATCTCATCGTGGTTTTGATTTGCATTTCTCTGATGGCCAGTGATGGTGAGGATTTTTTCGTGTGTTTTTTGGCTGCATAAATGTCTTCTTTTGAGAAGTGTCTGTTCATGTCCTTCGCCCACTTTTTGATGGGGTTTTTTGTTTTTTTCTTGTAAATTTGTTTGAGTTCATTGTAGATTCTGGATATTAGCCCTTTGTCAGATGAGTAGGTTGCAAAAATTTTCTCCCATTTTGTAGGTTGCCTGTTCACTCTGATGGTAGTTTCTTTTGCTGTGCAGAAGCTCTTTAGTTTAATTAGATCCCATTTGTCAACTTTGGCTTTTGTTGCCATTGCTTTTGGTGTTTTAGACATGAAGTCCTTGCCCATGCCTATGTCCTGAATGGTAATGCTTAGGTTTTCTTCTAGGGTTTTTATGGTTTTAGGTCTAACGTTTAAGTCTTTAATCCATCTTGAATTGATTTTTGTATAAGGTGTAAGGAAGGGATCCAGTTTCAGCTTTCTACATATGGCTAGCCAGTTTTCCCAGCACCATTTATTAAATAGGGAATCCTTTCCCCAATGCTTGTTTTTCTCAGGTTTGTCAAAGATCAGATAGTTGTAGATATGCGGCATTATTTCTGAGGGCTCTGTTCTGTTCCATTGATCTATATCTCTGTTTTGGTACCAGTACCATGCTGTTTTGGTTACTGTAGCCTTGTAGTATAGTTTGAAGTCAGGTAGTGTGATGCCTCCAGCTTTGTTCTTTTGGCTTAGGATTGCCTTGGTGATGCGGGCTCTTTTTTGGTTCCATATGAACTTTAAAGTAGTTTTTTCCAATTCTGTGAAGAAAGTCATTGGTAGCTTGATGGGGATGGCACTGAATCTGTAAATTACCTTAGGCAGTATGGCCATTTTCATGATATTGATTCTTCCTACCCATGAGCATGGAATGTTCTTCCATTTGTTTGTATCCTCTTTTATTTCCTTGAGCAGTGGTTTGTAGTTCTCCTTGAAGAGGTCCTTCACATCCCTTGTAAGTTGGATTCCTAGGTATTTTATTCTCTTGGAAGCAATTGTGAATGGGGGTTCACTCATGGTTTGGCTCTCTGTTTGTCTGTTATTGGTGTATAAGAATGCTTGTGATTTTTGTACATTGATTTTGTATCCTGAGACTTTGCTGAAGTTGCTTATCAGCTTAAGGAGATTTTGGGCTGAGACAATGGGGTTTTCTAGATATACAATCATGTCATCTGCAAACAGGGACAATTTGACTTCCTCTTTTCCTAATTGAATACCCTTTATTTCCTTCTCCTGACTAATTGTCCTGGCCAGAACTTCCAACACTATGTTGAAAAGGAGTGGTGAGAGAGGGCATCCCTGTCTTGTGCCAGTTTTCAAAGGGAATGCTTCCAGTTTTTGCCCATTCAGTATGATATTGGCTGTGGGTTTGTCATAGATAGCTCTTATTATTTTGAGATATGTCCCATCAATACCTAATTTATTGAGAGTTTTTAGCTTGAAGCATTGTTGAATTTTGTCAAAGGCTTTTTCTGCATCTATTGAGATAATCATGTGGTTTTTGTCTTTGGTTCTGTTTATATGCTGGATTACATTTATTGATTTGCATATAATGAACCAGCCTTGCTTCCCAGGGATGAAGCCCACTTGATCATGGTGGATAAGCTTTTTGATGTGCTGCTGGATTCGGTTTGCCAGTATTTTATTGAGGATTTTTCCATCAATGTTCATCAAGGATATTGGTCTAAAATTCTCTTTTTTGGTTGTGTCTCTGCCTGGCTTTTGTATCAGGATGATGCTGGCCTCATAAAATGAGTTAGGGAGGATTCCCTCTTTTTCTATTGATTGGAATAGTTTTAGAAGGAATGGTACCAGTTCCTCCTTGTACCTCTGGTAGAATTCGGCTGTGAATCCATCTGGTCCTGGACTCTTTTTGGTTGGTAAGCTATTGATTATTGCCACAATTTCAGCTCCTGTTATTGGTCTATTCAGAGATTCAACTTCTTCCTGGTTTAGTCTTGGGAGAGTGTATGTGTCAAGGAATTTCTCCATTTCTTCTAGATTTTCTAGTTTATTTGGGTAGAGGTGTTTGTAGTATTCTCTGATGGTAGTTTGTATTTCTGTGGGATCAGTGGTGATATCCCCTTTATCATTTTTTATTGCATCTATTTGATTCTTCTCTCTTTTTTTCTTTATTAGTCTTGCTAGCCATCTATCAATTTTGTTGATCCTTTCAAAAAACCAGCTCCTGGATTCATTAATTTTTTGAAGGGTTTTTTTTATGTCTCTATCTCCTTCAGTTCTGCTCTGATTTTAGTTATTTCTTGCCTTCTGCTAGCTTTTGAATGTGTTTGCTCTTGCTTTTCTAGTTCTTTTAATTGTGATGTGAGGGTGTCAATTTTGGATCTTTCCTGCTTTCTCTTGTTGGCATTTAGTGCTATAAATTTCCCTCTACACATTGCTTTGAGTGTGTCCCAGAGATTCTGGTATGTTGTGTCTTTGTTCTCGTTGGTTTCAAAGAATATCTTTATTTCTGCCTTCATTTGGTTATGTACCCAGTAGTCATTCAGGAGCAGGTTGTTCAGTTTCCATGCAGTTGAGCGGTTTTGAGTGAGATTCTTAATCCTGAGTTCTAGTTTGATTGCACTGTGGTCTGAGAGATAGTTTGTTATAATTTCTGTTCTTTTACATTTGCTGAGGAGAGCTTTACTTCCAACTATGTGGTCAATTTTGGAATAGGTGTGGTGTGGTGCTGAAAAAAATGTCTATTCTGTTGATTTGGAGTGGAGAGTTCTGTAGATGTCTATTAGGTCCGCTTGGTGCAGAGCTGAGTTCAATTCCTGGGTATCCTTGTTGACTTTCTGTCTCGTTGATCTGTCTAATGTTGACAGTGGGGTGTTAAAGTCTCCCATTATTAATGTGTGGGAGTCTAAGTCTCTTTGTAGGTCACTCAGGACTTGCTTTATGAATCTGGGTGCTCCTGTATTGGGTGCATATATATTTAGGATAGTTAGCTCTTCTTGTTGAAATGATTCCTTTACCATTATGTAATGGCCTTCTTTGTCTCTTTTGATCTTTGTTGGTTTGAAGTCTGTTTTATCAGAGACTAGGATTGCAACCCCTGCCTTTTTGTGTTTTCCATTTGCTTGGTAGATCTTCCTCCATCCTTTTATTTTGAGCCTATGTGTGTCTCTGCATGTGAGATGGGTTTCCTGAATACAGCACACTGATGGGTCTTGACTCTTTATCCAATTTGCCAGTCTGTGTCTTTTGATTGGAGCATTTAGTCCATTTACATTTAAAGTTAATATTGTTATGTGTGAATTTGATCCTGTCATTATGCTGTTAGCTGGTTATTTTGCTCGTTAGTTGATGCGGTTTCTTCCTAGTCTCGATGGTCTTTACATTTTGGCATGATTTTGCAGTGGCTGGTACTGGTTGTTCCTTTCCATGTTTAGCACTTCCTTCAGGAGCTCTTTTAGGGCAGGCCTGGTGGTGACAAAATCTCTCAGCATTTGCTTGTCTGTAAAGTATTTTATTTCTCCTTCACTTATGAAGCTTAGTTTGGCTGGATATGAAATTCTGGGTTGAAAATTCTTTTCTTTAAGAATGTTGAATATTGGCCCCCACTCTCTTCTGGCTTGTAGAGTTTCTGCCAAGAGATCTGCTGTTAGTCTGATGGGCTTCCCTTTGAGGGTAACCCGACCTTTCTCTCTGGCTGCCCTTAACATTTTTTCCTTCATTTCAACTTTGGTGAATCTGACAATTATGTGTCTTGGAGTTGCTCTTCTCGAGGAGTATCTTTGTGGCGTTCTCTGTATTTCCTGAATCTGAATGTTGGCCTGCCTTGCTAGATTGGGGAAGTTCTCCTGGATAATATCCTGCAGAGTGTTTTCCAACTTGGTTCCATTCTCCCCATCACTTTCAGGTACACCAATCAGACGTACATTTGGTCTTTTCACATAGTCTCATATTTCTCGGAGGCTTTGTTCGTTTCTTTTTATTCTTTTTTCTCTAAACTTCCCTTCTCGCTTCATTTCATTCATTTCTTCTTCCATCGCTGATACCCTTTCTTCCAGTTGATCGCATCGGCTCCTGAGGCTTCTGCATTCTTCACGTAGTTCTCGAGCCTTGGTTTTCAGCTCCATCAGCTCCTTTAAGCACTTCTCTCTATTGGTTATTCTAGTTATACATTCTTCTAAATTTTTTTCAAAGTTTTCAACTTCTTTGCCTTTGGTTTGAATTTCCTCCTGTAGCTCGGAGTAGTTTGATCATCTGAAGCCTTCTTGTCTCAGCTTGTCAAAGTCATTCTCCATCCAGCTTTGTTCCATTGCTGGTGAGGAACTGCATTCCTTTGGAGGAGGAGAGGCACTCTGCTTTTTAGAGTTTCCAGTTTTTCTGCTCTGTTTTTTCCCCATCTTTGTGGTTTTATCTACTTTTGGTCTTTGATGATGGTGATGTACAGATGGGTTTTTGGTGTGGATGTCCTTTCTGTTTGTTAGTTTTCCTTCTAACAGACAGGACCCTCAGCTGCAGGTCTGTTGGAGTTTGCTAGAGGTCCACTCCAGACCCTGTTTGCCTGGGTATCAGCAGTGGTGTCTGCAGAACAGTGGTTTTTCGTGAACCGGGAATGCTGCTATCTGATCGTTCCTCTGGAAGTTTTGTCTCAGAGGAGTACCCCGCCATGTAAGGTGTCAGTCTGCCCTTGCTGGGGGGTGCCTCCCAGTTAGGCTGCTCAGGGGTCAGGGTTCAGGGACCCACTTGAGGAGGCAGTCTGCCTGTTCTCAGATCTCCAGCTGTGTGCTGGGAGAACCACTGCTCCCTTCAAAGCTGTCACTCAGGGACATTTAAGTCTGCAGAGGTTACTGCTGTCATTTTGTTTGTTTGTGCCCTGGCCCCAGAGGTGGAGCCTACAGAGGCAGGCAGTCCTCCTTGAGCTGTGGTGGGCTTCACCCAGTTCGAGCTTCCCGGCTGCTTTGTTTACCTAATCAAGCCTGGGCAATGGCCGGCACCCCTCCCCCAGCCTTGCTGCCGCCTTGCAGTTTGATCTCAGACTGCTGTGCTAGCAATCAGCGAGACTCCGTGGGCGTAGGACCCTCTGAGCCAGGTGTGGGATATAATCTCCTGGTGCGCTGTTTTTTAAGGCCGTCGGAAAAGCGCAGTATTGTGGTGGGAGTGACCCGATTTTCCAGGTGCCGTCTGTCACTCCTTTCTTTGACTAGGAAAGGGAACTCCCGGACCCCTTGGGCTTCCCGAGTGAGGCAATGCCTCGCCCTGCTTCGGCTCGTGCATGGTGCACACACCCACTGACCTGCACCCACTGTCTGGCACTCCCTAGTGAGATCAACCCGGTACCTCAGATGGAAATGCAGAAATCACCCATCTTCTGCATCGCTCACGCTGGGAGCTGTAGACCAGAGCTGTTCCTGTTCGGCCATCTTGGCTCCTCCCCCCGAGATTTCTTTTATATGAATTTATCTAGTAGTTTTTGTTTGTCACCTTTAATGTAAGTACTTGGATTGGGAAGGCTGACTGAGGGCTTACGGACAATACATAGTCCTATACAGAGCCCAGTGGAGAAGCAGCCTAGGAGTTTGAGCAGAGGTTCAAATTTTGTCACATTTATTGTGTGTATTTGGGCAAGATTTTGTCACATTTATTGTGTTTATTTGGGCAAGTTATTTAACCTCTGTAAACCTCAATTGTTTTAAGTTGTCTAATGGAAATGATCATAAATACTTTTTAAGGTTGAGTGTAACATGTGATAGTAAATACATAGGGCTTAGCGTAATTCCTGGTAATAGCAAAGCACAGATTTACGAGACTTGCCCTTAAGGAAATTAAGTTTTATCATCATATTCCAATTAATTTCAACTAATAAATACTTGTCTTTTTGCCTACTATGTGCCAAGCACTGTATTTAGCTTCAGGATATGACTGTGAACAATATAGAAACGAGAGCTTTTGGCCCAGATGGCAACAATGGTGAAGACTGAAAAAAGGGAACTCTGAGAGGTGCTCTAATTTGGAAAATTTCGGAATGGCTCACTCTCCTCTTCCTCATTCCAAAAAGAGCCCAGTAGAGATGGCTTTTATTTACCTCATGGCTAAAGTAATTATATATGCCCAGACTAAGGTTGGGTTTGACATTTTTATAACAAAATTATTATTGACCTTTCATGATACTTGTTATGGAATTTATATCTCAGCTTGTGTAATTGATGTATTAGTGCTTATTTACAATTTCTAGGTAATGATTTTATAGAAAATTTATACTCTTGTGATAGTCTCCTTTGGAGCCCTGTGGAAATTTGAAACACTGAATGAAACTCATTACACAATGATATTCATAAATATAATTAATATTTAACAAGACTATGTCATTCATATATAAAACTAGGAAACTCAATGAAACTAAATTTTTGATCTTGTGAGTCTGACCCCAAGGCTAAATCTCTGGTATATTTATAATGTAAATTTTTAAAAATTCCACTTGCTGCCTTCATGAGGCTCACGTAGTAATCTTCAGGGGACATTGTACTTACATCTGCTGCTATTTATAGGTTGCCAGTAATTGAGGTTGTCGTAACTGGGTGTTTAGTTCATTTATTCTCATCTTCCTCCCAAATTTTTCAGGGAAAAATTTTGTGTTGAATTGGCAAATACTAACTTGAGAGGCATAGAGCATACAAATAATTGGTATGTCATTGTTTATTGGCTGAAACAAAGATAAACTAATAATTAACAGATAAACCATTGTAGATTGTATTACTATTGCATTTCAGATGGTAATGAATTCCATAGGAAATATACAAATTATGCAATAGTAACAAAGAGACTCCTAAGTTTTTCAAAACACCAGGTTGGATTTCTTTAAAAATCTAGGCTTACCAGAGTTTAAAGTATTTCAAGACCTTGTCTGTAAAAAGGGCTGCTAGTCTAGGATGCATTTCAGGCAGACTAGGCAGTCCAGCTGGGAAAAGTCAGGACTGGTGACTGGCATAGGTGGTACATCTGGTAGGGCTAGGTTTACAGTAGGTGGTGGTTTCTAGTAAGAGTAGTAATAACTATATGGCAACGTCTAATGCAAGTAGAGGCATAAAAATTAATAGAGTGCCTTCTGTGGGCTGGGGACCATGCTGGACACTAGAGACCCAAAATGTGATAACTTGATGTCTGTCTTCAAATGCCCCTCAATTTACCATCTTGAGCCTATTTGTTAGGCCTTGCTTACTTTCTGATTTTTTTTTTTTTTTCTGTTGATAAAGCCATCATGACTTGGACCCTGCATTAGATAGAAAGTCCTGATTAGTATCTCTACATGTTGTACATAAAGTCCCACCTGAAGTCGAGGCCTTTACAGGGCTAAACCAGAAACAATAGCGTTAACCATGAAACAAATGTGAGAAAAACATTGCTATCAAATTTATTAACTTAAGTGGGAAAAATATGGCATTTACTTGGTTCTGAGCATGAATATTTGGAAGCAATAATAAAAATTTACTTTGACTTTACCCATATAATATGCATATAACTTTCAGCTTGCTCTGCACATTAGAACTTACATTCATCCATAAAATTTGCACATTGCCTACTTGATGAGTTCCTGTCTCATTTGGTGTTGGACTATGAGTGTGTTCTTGTGGTCTCTCTTGGAAGGTAGTTATAATGAAATCCATAGGCAGGAGGAGGAGTGAGAACATTCACAGACAATGTCATCATACATTTGGAAAAAATTAAACAATACTTCTTTTCCCATCTTAAAAATCAACAACAAGCCAGGTGCAGTGGCTCACGCCTGTAATCTCAGCACTTTGGGAAGCTGAGGCAGGCGGATCGCTTGAACTCCGGAATTCGAGACCGGCCTGAGCAAGATAGTGAACCCCCGTTTCTAGAAAAAGTACAAAAATTAGCTGGGTGTGGTGGCATGCATGTATATTCCCAGCTACTTGGGGGGCTGAGCCAGGAGAATTGCTTGAGCCCAGGAGGTTGAGGCTGCAGTGAGCCATGTTTGTGCCACTGAACTCCAGCCTGGTGACAAAGTGAGACCCTGTCTCAAGAAAAAAAAAAAAATTAAATTAAAAAAAATTAACAGAGCTTCTGATCATCAAGAAATACTTTCTTTTCACTATACTATCCTGAAAAAATTCCAGCCAAACATCAAGAATCTTGATGTTTTTGTATCAAGCATATCATGAATAAAAATAAAAGAAAAAAATAAAATTTCACTTAGGCTTATTTTACAAAATTGGCTATTTTTAAAATTAAAAGTTAATACATAAACAGGATAATTGTCTATCTTTTCTAAGACTTGTATTCTTCATCTGCTTCCTCTTCTCCTACTCTTCCCATCTCTACCATTTATTCTGCTCCTCTCACAGGCAACTCCTCTAACCAGTTGTGTTTGGTGGCTTCCTCCTAGGAATATTCCAGCTGGGCTTCATGGAGAGAACACATGTAAGTGCTACAGCTGAGCTGCATCTACAAGTCATCCCAGTTCTGGTGGCAGACCCGTGAGTGAAGCCTCTGATTCTGGCCCCCCCCCACAGAGGCAACCCCAACTGAGGCTTCACAGAAACCCTCCACCATCCCTGTGCCCTGACTGAATTCCTGACCCACAGATTTCATGGACGTAACAAAATGGGTATTTTGTACCATTAGAACTGGAGTGGTTTGTTATGCTGCAGTAGTAATTGGATAGTAAGTTTCAATATCTGATAAAAGCAGGCCTTAATCATTATTCCTTTTTTTCCCAGAAATTTTCTGACTATTCTTGTTATCTTTTCATATACATTTTTGAAACATACTATAGTCTCTGAAGTCCCTTTTCTACCACCACTACCATCATATATATGTATATATGTAATATAATATATGTAATTTTATTAGGGTGGCTTAAAAATTGTTTTCTCATAATAATAATGTTAGATTTTCTGTTCAAAAACAGGGTACATATTTCTATTTATTAAATATTCTAAAATGCCCCCACAAAAATTTAAAATTTTCAGTGATATAAGTCCTATATATTATTTGTTAAAGGCATTCTTAAGTATTTTACCTTTTTAAAAATAGACTTTATTTTTAGAGCAGTGTTAGATTCACAGCATAATTGAGTGGAAGGAACAGAGATTTCCCTTTCTCCCCTGCCCTAACACATGCATAGCCTCTCCCATTGTCAACGTCCTTCGTCAGAATGTTACATTGGTTACACACAATGAACCTACATTGACACATCCTTATCACCCAGAGTCTATGATTTATATTAGGGTTCACTCTTGGTGTTGTAGATTCTAAGGGTTTGAACAAATGCATAATGACATGTATAATGGTGGGGCCACATATTTTATTTCATTTTTTAAAATTTAATTTTTAATTTATGTGGGTACGTGGTAGGTGTATCTATTTATGGGGTACATGAGATTCTTTGATACATGCATGCAATGTGTAATAATCACATCATGGTAAATGGGGTATCCATCCCCTCAAACATTTATCCTTTGCATTACAAACATTCCAATTATACTTTTTTAGTTATTTAAAAATGTACAATTAAATTAGTACTGATTGTAGTCACCCTGTTGTGCTGTCAAATACTAGGTCTTATTCATTCTTTCTAACTAGTTTTTTGTACACTCCCCTACACCCCACTCCCCACTACCCTTCCCAGCTTCTGGTAATCATCTGTCTACTCTCTATTTCCATGAGTTCAGTTGTTTTAATTTTTGGCTTCCACAAATAAGTGAAAACAAGCAAAGTTTATCTTTCTGTGCCTGGCTTATTTCACACAACATAATGACTTCCAGTTCCATCCATGTTGTTGCAAATGACAGAATCTCATTCTTCTTTATGGCTGAATAGTATTCCATTGTGTATATCTATGACATTTCGTTATCCATTCGTCTCTTGATGGGCACTTAGGTTACTTCCAAATCTTGGCTATTGTGAATAGTGCTACAATAAACATGGGAGTGCAAATCTCTCTTTGATATCCTGCTTTCCCTTCTTTTGAGTATATAAGCAGTGGGATTGCTGATTGCTGGATCATATGGTAGCTCTATTTTTAGTTTTTTGAAGAACCTCCAAACTGTTCTCCATAGTGGTTGTACTAATTTATAGTCCCACCAACAGTGTATGAGGGTTCCCTTTTCTCCACATCTTCACCAGCATTTATTGCCTGTCTTTTCGATACAAAGATAAAATATTTTATCTTTTTATTATTATCGTAAATTGGATATTTTCTTTCATTATATTTGTGATTAGTTTTATTTATATTTTATAAAACTATTGACTTTTTATAATAATGTGGTAGCATCCACGTTGCCTAATTTTGTTATTGTTTTTAATAGATTCTCTTGGTGTTTTCAGGAGTAAAATTATACCATCTGAAGATAATGGTAGTTTTACTTATTCTTTTACAATTTTTATGACTCATATTCCCTATTACATTGTCTAGTGTTTTCATTTTATTCATTACTTTAACATGAAATCGTTAGTGCTTCTTTTTTTTTTTTTTTCTTGAGACGGAGTTTTGCTCTGTCGCCCAGGCTGGAGTGGAATGGCACGATCTCTGCTCACTGCATCCTCTACCTCCCAGGTTCAAGTGATTCTCCTGCCTCAGCCTCCCAAGTAGCTGGGATTACAGGCACATGCCACCACGCCTGGCTAATTTTTGTATTTTTGATAGAGATGGGGGTTTCACCATATTGGCCCGGCTGGTCTCGAACTCCTGATCTCAGGTGATCCACCCACCTCGGCCTCCCAAAGTGCTGGGATTACAGGCATGAGCCACCACGCCCAGACTAGAGTTTCATTTTTAAACATGATACTGACTTGATTTGAAGTAGCTATAGTATGTGTGTGTGTTTATTGATCTCTCAATCATCTAAAATAATGTTAAGAAAGTATTCCTTTTTATATAAAATTTAAAAGATCAGAAACATATGCTGAATTTCCAATGCCTCTTTATCAACTTATAGAAATGATCACATAAATTTTCTTCTTTGTATTTATTAATATGGTGAATTATGTTAAATGTTTTCTATGTTTATTCATTTATTCATCAACAATACATATTTACTCAAAGTGCAAAGCACTGTTTCTATTCTAGGTACACCCTGAAGGATGCTGGGGTATTTAGGAAATCTAGGTATTGAATTTATAGTAGTATAAGTCTCACTAGGTTGTGGAAAGTGATTATTTAATATGTTGCTGGATTTTATTTGCCAATAATTCTTTGAGGATGTTTGGGTTAATTTCCCAAGTGAGACTAGTCTGTGGTTTTCTATTTTGTGCTGTCTTTATTATGTTTTGGTATCAATGTTATTCTGGCTTTGGAAAAATAATATGAAAACATCATTTTAATTTCTTCCAAGGAGTCCTTCCTGGGAATCTATTTCAAAGATTTAATTGCATGTGTACTCAAAGATATACATTTAAGTATGTTCTGTGGAAACAATCTGTTTTTCAGTACAGGAGTATGGTGAAAGATTATAGCTATAACAATGAATGATATAGCTCTATAGTACATGCTAATATATGTACTGATATGGAACAATCTTTAAGATGTATTATTACATGGAATAAACCAACCAGACCACAAAACAGATGTTTTTGCTTTTGCTAAAAAAATGGTGTTGAATGACTAAATGGGTAGATTAATAATGATATATATGTGTGTATGTGTATATATATATATGCATAAATACATTTATTTTTTCATCTTTCCAGCCTCTAGGGAAATCATTGGGAAATTGATTTCCAAATCCTTTCAGAGTTAATAAAAACCATAATTATGTGTCTCATGGGGCTTGTGGTTATGAAATTCCATGTTTGCATCCTGGAAATTAAATGTGTGACAGTGACAATGTCACATAAGTTTCTCTTTCTGCACATACAGGAAGGCTGTATTTTCCACTATCTATTGCAGTTAGATTCGTGCTATAGAATGTGGGCAGAAATGAAGTAAGCCACTTCTTAGACTTGACTTTTTAAAAATGTCATTTATTCCAGCTCTCTCTTGCCCTTTATGTCAACTCCACCTGCTGCTAAAAAATGCCTAATGAGGGCCCTTGGATCACTCTTTGGAGGTGAGCTGAGCAACCCATATTAATGTGAGCAATACCTAAACTTTCAGTGTGTTATAAAAATGAGATTGTGAGGTTATTTGTTGCTATAGCATAGCCTACCTCATCCAGACCAGTATGTACTGAGAAGGGCTTCTTTACAATTGAGGGCTTCCTGGGCCATTCGTATGACAAGAGAGAGGCTTTGATTAAGAAGTCAGTGTGCTGAAGAAGGCAGTAACAGAGATCCAGCAGAAAAGAGATTTGGATAAAATTATTTTGTTTTTGAAATTCTGACAAGTTGGGCCTAGGTTTATGGCTTCCTAGGGGAGAAATATTACCTGAAACATATCTGAATTTCCAGAGTTGCTAGGAGAATATTTTAAGTGTGAAGCCATTAGCCTCCCCTCTCGGGCTCTTTATGCCATCTAAGACAGATTGGAGGTGTTTTTGAGATAGTATATGTCTCTCTGAGGAGTTAACTTGGAAGAAAGAAGGCATTTATGATTTGCTACTTGAGACATGGACAAGCTATTAATATTTCCCTTTATCATGGCAATTCCTGGTTACAAATGTAAGTGAATGACTTAGAATGAAAATAAGATAAAAATATTTTTAAATGCCCATACAATTATAAAAACAATTCATTATTTTAAAAAATAAGAGAAAAAATAGTGAACAAAGCTGTAAATCTGCATACAAAATATCCAAAAGCTATAACTAAATCAATAGACTGAACTTTATGTCAGATGGTAGTGGAGAGGTGAGGAAAAAAGCACAATAATGAGGAGGAGGTAAAGAGGGAGAGGAATAGAAGAAATCTGAGGCACCTTCTTCAATAATCAGAGTACATATATTCTAGTCATAGGCTCAAGCCATTGGAGCAGAGGCACATACTTTTAATAATAATAATGGTAACTATAATAATGTGCATATATGAAGTTTGCTACCTTCTCTGTCTTTTCTCCTTTCAAAGGGCGATGTCTTCTAATCTATGATAAGCAGAATGCTTAGTTTTCCTTCTTTCCTTGTGCCCTCTCTGGAGTGCCCCTCTAGCACATGGACCTATCTGACAATTCCTGACTTACTGTGGGCTTCCGTTTTGTGCCACCAATCACTAATTTGCACTTCATGTTGATATATTTGTGCCTTATCTCTATGAGAAACCTGGGGCACATGGAGGAGTATATTTACTCATTCAGTATTCCCAAGACTAGCACATTCATACACAATAATACATATCCATTGCTCTACTGAGGAATTAGTGCAATTTGAAAAGGGAATTACAGTGTAGGAGAAAAACTGTTAAATTCCTAGATAATGAGTTTATTCCTGGAGTCTTAAAGGCATCTAAATGACTTAGACCATTCAAAAGGAGTGGGGTGTGGGCAGTTTCCTATTTTTAATCTGGATCCCCTCCCTTTGGTTTTGTGGGCTCAGGGGAAAAGAGCTACTTCAAATTTATTTGAAACTCCACTACTTCTCCTGAGAAAATTATTCCCTTCTAATAGGAAAGCTATGCCCAACACCCCATGTGGCACTCATGTTTGTGCCACACAATCTTGAATAAGAATCTGAATCTTCAATGTGTTACTTTTGCTTCCAAATTTCCTATGAGTGAGAGATGTTGGGTTCCCACTTCTTATAGGGAAAAGTGACCTTGGATCCTCTCATTTTTATTTAGAGACAGTGTCTCCCTATGTTGCTCAAGCTAGACTTGAACCACATCTGCTCAAACTACTCCTAGGCTCAAGTGATTTTCCCACTTCAGCCTACACTGCTGCACTTCACCACACCTGGCTTCCTCCAGTTTTGAGTATACTTTTCAATATTTTCACCAGGGAAGACTTTGAGGATCTTCTGGCCTCTTTAATTAGATAATTCATTAGACAAAGTGTATCTTCCAAAGGCAGAAAACT
The DNA here is from genome assembly GCF_000001405.40 of Homo sapiens. NCBI lineage: Eukaryota > Metazoa > Chordata > Mammalia > Primates > Hominidae > Homo > Homo sapiens. Next base: position 70,609,807 of record NC_000001.11, read on the forward strand.
AAAATTCCCAGGATCAGTTTAGAAAACCTAATAGTGAGAAAGGAATTATATTGCTGATTAGCAAGGACCTTGCTGTGTCCTAGGAGCAGATAGGCTTTATTTTTTTTTATTTTTTTTATTTTTATTTTTTGGGTGACAGAGCAAGACTCCACCTCAAAAAAAAAAAAAAAAAAAAAAAAAAAAGGATGGGAGCTCCAACCTGGGGCAGTTTTCTTTCTCTCTCTCTCTCTCTCTCTCTCTCTCTCTCTCTCTCTCTCTTTTTAAAGTTCTAGGGCACATGTACACAATGTGCAGGTTTGTTACATATGTATACATGTGCCATGTTGGTGTGCTGCACCCATTAACTCGTCATTTACATTAGGTATATCTCCGAATGCTGTCCCTCCCCCCTCCCCCAATCCCACAACAGGTCCTGGTGTATGATGTTCCCCTTCCTGTGTCCAAGTGTTTTCATTGTTCAATTCCCATCTGTGAGTGAGAACATGCGGTGTTTGGTTTTTTGTCCTTGTGATAGTTTGCTGAAAATGATGGTTTCCAGCTTCATCCATGTTCCTACAAAGGACATGAACTCATCCTTTTTTATGGCTGCATAGTATTCCATGGTGTATATGTGCCACATTTCCTTAATCCAGTCTATCATTGTTGGACATTTGGCTTGGTTCCAAGCCTTTGCTTTTGTGAATAGTGCTGCAATAAACACACGTGTGCATGTGTCTTTATAGCAGCATGATTTATAATCCTTTGGGTATATACCCAGTAATGGGATGGCTGGGTCAAATGGCATTTCTAGTTCTAGATCCTCGAGGAATCACCACACTTTCTTCCATAATGGTCGAACTAGTTTACAGTCCCACCAACAGTGTAAAAGTGTTCCTATTTCTCCACATCCTTTCCAGCACCTGTTGTTTCCTGACTTTAATGATTGCCATTCTAACTGGTGTGAGATGGTATCTCATTGTGGTTTTGATTTGCATTTCTCTGATGGTCAGTGATGATGAGCATTTTTTCATGTGTCTGTTGGCTGCATAAATGTCTTATTTTGAGAAGTGTCTGTTCATATCCTTTGGCCACTTTTTGATGGGGTTGTTTTTTTCTTGTAAGTTTGTTTGAGTTCATTGTAGATTCTGGATATTAGCCCTTTGTCAGATGAGTAGATAGTCTTTATTTTGATTGGAGGTGCTTGAAGTTTCTTTCCTCCCTGTGCTTAAAAAGTCAACAACAATCTTGGAAAAGCTACACTGAGCTTTAATGTCGGTTGCTTATGCAATAATAGCAACCATAACAAATCCCCCTACCGGAACAAAGAAATATTCAGGGCCCAAATAATATATTTGATGACTGTTAGGGGCACAACAATTTACTGTTTCTTGTCAATGGACAATCATCTAACTTTACCTCAGGCTTTCATAAGCAGTTCATGATTTTCCAAAGAAATGTTTTAATTAAGAAATCATAGTAAAACAAAATAAATCAGAACAAGAAGAATAAAGAGTTATTAAGCTCTGTGCTTTGTATTGTCTTAATTGCAATTCAATAAATCTCTTTCCAAGGTAAGAATGAACTGGAAGAAAATATACTGATCATGTGGTCTACCCTTTTATTTTATATATGAGGAAACTGAAGCTGAGAAGAGTAAAAGACTTACTGAAGGTCCTACAGACACTAGTAGGGTCAAACCTCAAATGTAGATATCCTGATGTGAATCTAGTCTTTCCTATTTTTTTGTTTTCTTCTTGACTTCCATCTATTTTTTTCAGTCCTCCCTGTAATAACATATTGCTCCTCAGGTGTCTTCCAGACTTAAAGAAGTAAAACCTCTTAGATTAAGAGTTTTTTTCTCTTTCTTAGCACAACGGTATGTTCACAGACCTTTGTGTTTCTTAGAACAACTTTAAAAGTAAAAGTGCAGTAACTTTTAAGAGATTATCCTGAAGGGGAGCTGATGTCAATGCAGGGTTAAGGAAGAGTAAAGTTGAGAGAGAGTTTAGCATGAACACAGCTACCAATTAGACTATTTTTCCCTGATTCTGGAAACATAACCCACAAAGTGTACTTTATAATGGCACTACCTTAGAGGGTAATGAGGTGTGACAACGGGGTGATGCTAGTGTAGGCATGATAGTCTGTAGAGTAAATTGGTCTTTTTTTCCCCTAGGAAATCTCCCTTTGTATAGAACCTGTGTCTCATTTATGTTTGAATTCTCAATACTTACTGAGGTCCCTAGAGAACTGAATATCTTTGGATTGTAGGGGTCAATAAACCTGAGAAATTATTTTGGAGCCAGAGTGTTGAGGATCCTCACTACTAAGGCAAAGAATTTAGCTCTTTTTCAATTGTCTTCTGCATTTAAGTTTATTTGCATTTGGCTAGTCATTGACATGATTTTAGCTGTTTTTTTTTTTTATTTCTATTGTTCCTTCTTCTTTCATTTTTTTTCTCTTTTTTTTTTATTATACTTTTAAGTTTTAGGGTACATGTGCACATTGTGCAGGTTAGTTACAGATGTATACATGTGCCATGCTGGTGCGCTGCACCCACTAACTCGTCATCTAGCATTAGGTATATCTCCCGATTTTAGCTGTTTTAAATATGCTTTAGACATATTTTAAATATGTTAACTATGAAAGAAAAGTGTAAAAGATGTACATTTTGAAGGAGATATCCTGGAGGGCATTCCTTCAGGTTCCCATCCTACGGCTCCTGTACCTCCTGTTCTCCCATTGTCTGTAATTTTACTGGCCATTGACAGTCCCAGGAGTGCCAGTTAGTATTCATGTTCTACAAACCTTCTCAGCGCCTAAACTTCAGGATCCCTTGCAGGTTGAATGATGACTTCTAGGCTCTTGTTCTTGCTGTCATGCCTTGCTTCAGATTGTAACATGGAAGAAGAGGGACCACACAGGCCAGTGAATTTGTGAGCCTGGTGGTCATTATCACCCACCTCTCAAAGGATATGGGAGGGAAAATGGACATAAATCAGCAAATACATAACCTGGCTGCTAAATTTCTTTCTAGACCCCAGCTTCTGAAATAGTAAACTTGATGAGATTTGATTTGTTCTGAAATATTGTGTTGTCTTTTTAAAACTAATGAACTAACTAGCTAATTAATGCATTCAAACTTATAATTATTGTCTGTATGCCATAAAGTGGTTGCTAAGCATCGTTGAACTTGATAGGACAAAAATTAAAGCATAATAATACATTTTATGGACATAGAGAAGGATATATAGTCAATACCTTAATAATGATAACTAACTAATTTAGCATAAATTATAGTGTCCTTGCATCCTTGCCATGTGCCAGACATTATTTCAGGTTCTGAGGAGTATATCTGTGAACAAGGTAAAGTCTCTATTGGCAGAAACATACAGTCTAGAGATGGGGCAGACATCTGAATGGGCAATTATGAAATAGTATTATAAATGTTATAAAAGGAAAAAGCAAAGGGAGACTCAGAAAGAATACCCAACCCCAGCTTTGGGGAGATGAAGGAAGGCTTCCCTGAGCAAGGAATGAAAGATAAATGTCTAATAGGTTAGTTTCTACAATTTAAAAGGCAGTGAATCTTTACTGAAATTAAATTTGAGCAGATGATCATAAGGTAGTATTTACTTTTCATTTTAAGGTGGCTCTTATTATCTACTGAAACAAGTTTTTAAAAGTCTCTTAAGAAATATTCATGATATTGATTCTTCCTATCCATGAGCATGGAATGTTTTTCCATTTGTTTGTGTCCTCTCTTATTTCCTTGAGCAGTGGTTTGTAGTTCTTGAAGAGGTCCTTCACATCTCTTGTAAGTTGTATTCCTAGGTATATTATTCTCTTTGTAGCAATTGTGAGAGTTCACTCATGATTTGGCTCTCTATTATTGATGTATAGGAATGCTTGTGATTTTTGCACATTGATTTTGTATCCTGAGACTTTGCTGAAGTTGCTTATCAGCCTAAGGAGATTTTGGGCTGAGACAATGGGGTTTTCTAAATACACAATCATGCCATCTGCAAAAAGAGACAATTTGACTTCTTCTCTTCCTATTTGAATACTCTTTATTTCTTTCTCTTGCCTGATTGCCCTGGCCAGAACTTCCAATACTATCTTGAATAGAAGTGGTGAGAGAGGGCATCCTTGTCTTGTGCCAGTTTTCAAAGGGAATGCTTCCAGCTTTTGCCCATTTGGTATGATATTGGCTATGAATCAATATTGGGAAAATGGCCATACTACCCAAAGTAATTTATAGATTCAATGCTAACCCCCTCAAGCTACCATTGACATTCTTCACAGAATTAGAAAAAACTACTTTGAATTTCATATGGAAACAAAAAAGAGCCCATATAGCCAAGACAATCCTAAGCAAAAAGAACAAAACTGAGGCATCACACTACCTGACTTCAGACTATACTACAAGGATACAGTAACCAAAACAGCATGGTACTGGTACCAAAACAGATATATAGACCAATGGAACAGAACAGAGGCCTCAGAAATAATGCCATGCATCTACAACCATCTGATCTTTGACAAACCTGACAAGCAATGGGGAAAGAATTTCCTATTTAATAAATGGTGTTGGGAAAACTGGCTAGCCATATGCAGAAAACTGAAACTGGGCCCCTTCCTTACACCTTATATGAAAATTAACTCAAGATGGATTAAAGATTTAAATGTAAGACCTAAAACCATAAAATTCCTAGAAGAAAACCTAGGCAATACCATTCAGGACATAGGCGTGGGTAAAGATTTCATGACTAAAACACCAAAAGCAATGGCAACAAAAACAAAAAGGGATCTAATTAAACTAAAGAGCTTCTGCACAGCAAAAGAAACACTCACTAGAGTGAACATGCAACCTACAGAATGGGAGGAAATTTTTGCAATCTGTCCATCTGACAAAGGGCTAATATCCAGAATCTATAGGGAACATAAACAAATTTACAAGAAAAAAACAAACAACCCCATCAAAAAGTAGATGAAGCATACAAACAGACACTTCTCAAAAGAAGACATTTATGAAGCCAATAAACATATGAAAAAAAGCTCATCATCAGGTCATTAGAGAAATGCAAATCAAAACCACAATGAGATACCATCTCACGCAAGTTAGAATCATTAAAAAGTCAGGAAACAAGAGATGCTGGAGAAGATGTGGAGAAATAGGAATGCTTTTACACTATTGGTGGGGGTGTAAATTAGCTCAACCATTGTGGAAGACAGTGTGGCGATTCCTCAAGGATCTAGAACCAGAAATACCATTTGACCCAGTAATCTCATTACGGGGTATATACCCCCAAAATTATAAATCATTCTACTATAAAGACACATGCACATGTATTTTTATTGCAGCACTGTTCACAATAGCAAAGACTTGGAACCAACTCAAGTGCCCATCAATGATAGACTGGATAAGGAAAATGTGGCACATATACACCATGGAATACTATGCAGCCATAAAAAGGGATGAGTTCATGTCCTTTGCAGGGACATGGATGAAGCTGGAAACCACCATTCTCAGCAAACTAATACAGGAACAGAAAACCAAACATTGTATGTTCTTACTCATAGGTGGGAGTTGAACAATGAGAACACATGGACACAGGGAGGGGAATATCACACACCAGGGCCTGCTGGAGCGTGGGGGGCTAGGGGAGGGATAGCATTAGGAGAAATGCCTAATGTAGATGACGGGTTGATGGGTGCAGCAAACCACCATGGCACATGTATACCTATGTAACAAACCTGCACGTTCTGCACATGTATCCCAGAACTTAAAGTATAATTAAAAAAAAAATAGACAGGAGAAAGGAAAAAAAAGGCTTTCAAGAAATATATAATAGTAGGTTTTATCCTATACTCTACTACTTTGGATCTGTCATAGAAAAATAATTCAAAATATAAAATAATTGATCATCTTGGATATTTTTATAATAGTGTTAATTATAATGAATATTAAAAATACTGTGTTTTTCAGTTGAATTATTGAAAAATAATTCAAAATATGAAGTGATAATCTTGAATATTTTAATGCTAGTGTTAATTATAATGAATATTGAAAACACAGAAAATGTTCATCAGTAGATGACATATGAATTAAATTTTATTCATGCAGTTATTAAAAACGATGGTTATAAAAATTCATAACAGAGGCTTTCTGCATATCACAGGGGTAGAAATGGAGGAAAAAGAGACTATAGAAAGGTAAAAAAGAGAAAGACAGCAAGGGCCAGGGAAAAGCAAATCATTTAAGCCATTATCAATCTAGGATTTATCTGGACATTGAAGCTTTTTGTTTATCTTAAATACTGGTTTTTAAAAGTGATTTTTGGAAGGAGAAATCTTTTTAATGGAAAATGAGGTCTTATATGGATTCCTAATATATAAAACTTATAAAATATATAAAATGGTATTTTATTAATAATGCTTGAATTGACAAACTCAGATTCTTAACACATACTTAAAATAAGCTAATTAATAAGAGTGAGAGAGTTTTGATGAAATGAATAAACTGACACTAGGTTTTGTGGATGACAGTTGCCATCTAATGTTAAGTCTCAGCATTCATTTTATTTCTCAAACTGTAAAGTATGAAGAAACAACTGATTCCTCCCAGTGAGTAATAGCAACATGTTTATATAGCTTTATAGAAGCAAATATATGCAATTTATAAAAGGAACAGTGCAAAGGCTAATCAATGACACACTTAAAAGAAGGTTAAGTATGTGCATAAAGTTGGCAGGAAGAGTTGTATTCTGGCCTCTAAACAAAGACAAGTTAGCTTGGCAGCCCTTGTTAAGCTACATTCTCTAATATGTTTGAAAATAGATGCATAACACATTTGAGTAAACCTTTAAAAATATATGCATATACTATCCATGATGCATAAATGAAATATAATCAAACATTAATATACTCTCTAAAAATGAAAAGCATTACATATATTGTACCTGATTTGAACTGTCATTTTCATAGATATATAGCATGTGTTTTGCTTTGCCAGGAAATGATATTTATTATAAAGAAAGATGTAGATAAGTTATTCTGACTTATGTAATCTTGAAGAAAAGTTTTAAAGATAATATTCTTCTAAAAAATTGTAGTACTATTATTTGTTATATTTGCTCTCTGGATTTCTGTTTCTAATACATGTAATAAATGTCAAATAATATAACAAGAACTACTGGTGTTCAGGGACAGAGTAAAGTGAGCTTGGGGAGTGTATTAGTCTGTTCTCACACTGCTATAAAGAGCTACCTGAGCCTGGATAAAGAGCTACCTGAGCCTGGGTAATTTATGAAGAAAAGAGGTTTAATTGACTCACAGTTCTACAGGCTGAACAGGAAGCATGACAGGGAGGCTTCAGGAAACTTATGATCGTGTTAGAAGATGAAGGGGAAGCAAGCACATCTTCACATGGTGGCAGGAGAGAGAGAGAGAGAATGAAGGCGGAAGTGCCACACACTTTTAAAGCATCAGATCTCATGTAAACTCACTATTATGAGAACAGCAAGGGGAAAATCGGCCCCCATGATCCAATCACCTCCCACTAGGTCCCTCCCCCAGCATTGGGAATTACAATTCAACATGAGATTTGGGTGGGGACACAGAGCTAAATCATATCAGGGAGCAAGGGCACACTTATGTGAAAGAACAGAAAGGATTAGAGTTGAGATATAAAGGTGAAGAGGAAAAGATTGGGAAGATGATCCCAGGCTGGGAGATGGCATATGAAAAGAAGAAATGGTCTAAGTTGGAGTAATAGGATGAGGCTTACCTTCCTGTAATAAACAACTACAAAACTGGACAAAATATATAAAGCAATGTTTTCAGGAACTGAGCAACCTACAGAGCAGAGTAGCTATCCTTGAGAGAAGGTAAAGACTAGAGGTGAGCTTGACATTCATCAAGGTTTTCTGCCTTTCCAAATCATGGCACAAGGAAGTGGATCCCAAAAAGCAATAATCTTACTAAGCAGAGAAGCAGGGATTAGAGTTCGGGAATGCAGATGTATTTAGAATTTGTGGGAAAGAGTCCCAGAGAAGCGTCCTTCTCTGTATAGAGTAGAGCTTCAAGAATCTTCATAGTGATCCCTTGAATTTTGGCTGAATGCTAAGCTGCACATGCAAAGAGTGACTCCATGAGGTCTTGCAAAGAATAGCTACAGGGTTTTTTTTTTGAGCTAAAGAGTCTCCATAGGTTGCAAAGTGCTGAGGAACATTGGTTTTTTGACCAGCTAGAACACCAGAAACATTAGTTGAAACCCCAGAAAGGCCATACTTTAAGAGGTTTACTCCAGCCTCAGAATAAGGGCTACTCCTGATCTTTTCTAGTAAAGCTAAAACAAAGCATCAACACTGTCAATTTGACTTGCCAGTAAATTAATTGCCTTCCAAAACAAAACTCAACACCCTTTAATATGATTCAGTCACACAACAACCTGACTGTCTTAGCCTATTAGGACTGCTATAATGAAATACCATAAACTGGGTGATTTATAAATAACAGACATTTGTTTCTCACAGTTCTAAAAGCTGGGAAGCCCAAGATCAAGGCACTGGCCAATTTTGTATCTGACAAAGGCCTGCTTCCTAGTTCATAGAAGGGTGACTTCTTGCTGTGTCCTTGCATGATGGAAGAGACTAACTAGCTCTATGTGGTCTCTTTTATAAGGGTGCTAATCCTAATTATGAGAGCACTGCCTTCATGATCTAATCACCCCCAAAGGCCCCACCTCCTAATACCATCATCTTGGGAATTAGGATTTCAATATATAAATTTTAGGAGTGGGGAAACAAACATTCACACCACAGCAATAACATTCACAATGTTTGGCATCTCCTAAAAGATAGTTAACATTCAAAGAAGCAGAAAAATGTGACCTATAATAAATAGAAAAATCAGTCAATATAAACAGATCAAGAAATGACAAAGATGATGGAATCATTAGAAAAAGCTTATATAGAAATTATATATATATGTTTAGAAAGTACATATATATGATTAAAATTTTATAGGAACAAATAAATATAATAAGGAAAGAAATGGGTAAAGTAAAAAAGAAACAAATGGTACTCACAGAGCTAAAAATACAATTAACCAAATGGAAAATTCATTAGGTGAGTTAAACAACAGATTAGACACTGAAGAAAAAATGGTAAGTGATCTTAAAGACATAGCAACAGAAACTATCCAAGATAAAGACTTTTAAAAAAAGACTGAAATAATATGAAAAAAGCCTCAATTACCTCTGAACAGCCTTTATAGGCTTGCACATTTTCAGTAACATAGGCTCCACACTCAGGAGGGGCCTCACTAGGTTTAGTGCTGTGTCATTGCCTCTTAACATTCTCAACAATTTTTGAATAAAGAGTCTCTCATTTTTATTTTGCACTGGCCCTCCAAACTATGTAGCTGGTCCTGACTAGAGGATAATATTAAACAGTCTGACATGCATGTACTTTGAGTCCTAGAACTCTCTGAGGACAATGGGAGATACAAAAATATTTGAAGACTAATGGTAGGAATATTTCCAAATTCCTTGATATAAATCTGCTGGCTCAAAAAGCTAAGGAAACTACATTAAAAAAAGGAAGAAGACAGTACTACAGATAATCATAATCAAATAGCTGAAAATCAGTAATAAAGAGAAAAACTTAAACGCATCCAGAGAAAAGTTAATATGGGGGAACAAAAAAGAATTACCACAGATTTCTCTTCAGAAATCATTCAAGCCAGAGACAATGGAGCAATATCTTTAGTGCTAAAAGAAAAAAAAGTAAAACCTTTAACCTAACATTTTATATCAGGCAAACATCCTTCAAAATTAAAGGCTTATTCAGACAAAAAATTCCTTAGGGATTTCATCACCAGCAGGCCTAAACTACAGGGAATATTAAAAGAACATTTTCAGGCTAAAGAAAAATGATAGCAGATGGAAATCTGGATATATAAAAAGCAATTAAGAGCATTATAAATAGTAAGTAAAAATCTCAAGATTCTTTAAAGACAACATAATCCAAGCTTTCAGCAATACAGAACTCATAATAATCAGAAGGCAATTGATAATTAGTGCTAGTCAACATATAAGGGAGCAGGAAAATGTGACCTATTGCCAGAAGAAAAAATCATCAATAGAAGCTAATGAGAATGTGAGACCATGGATTATTTTTAGTTAGTAAACTTTTTTTTTTTAGAACTGTTTGAGGTTCACAGTAAAATCAAATGAAAAGTACAGAGAGTTCTCACATACCTCCTGTCTTGACACATGTACAAGCTTCGCCCTGACCATTGACATGCTCCGTCTGAGTGGTACATTTGTTACAAGTGATGAACCTACACTGATACATCGTTATCACCCGAAGTTGATAGTCTATATTAGGGTTCACTGTTGTTATTGCACATTTGGTAGGTTTCAACAAATACATAATGACATGGATCCACCATTGTATCATACAGGATAATTTCACTGCCCCAAAAATCTTCTGTGCTCTGCCCATTCATGTCTCCCACTCTCATTAACCCCTGAAAAATCACTTATCCTTTTCCAATCTCCATAGTTTTGTCTTTCCCAGAATGTCATATGGTTGGAATTATACAGCATATAGCCTTTTCGGATTGGCTTCCTTTCACTTAGTAATATGCATTTAATTTTCCTCCATGTCTTTTCATGGCTTGAAAACTCTCTCTTTTTTTTTCCAGTACTGAATAACATCCCATTGTTTAAATGTCCCACAGTTTATTTATCTTTTCACCTACTGAAGGACATCTTGATTGCTTCTAGGTTTTGGCAGTAATGAATAAAGCTGCCGCAAACATCTGTGTGCAGGTTTTTGTGTGGAGATGTTTTCAGTTCATTTGGGTAAATAGCAAGGAGTGCAATTCCTGGACCTATGCAAGAGTATATTTAGCTTTGCAAGAAACTGCAAAACTGATTTCCAAAGTGGGCATACTATTTTGCATTTCCACCAACAATGAATGAGAGTTATTGTTTCTCTCTGCCAAATTCCTTGCCAGCATTTTGTGTTGTCAGTGTTTTAGATTTTGATCATTCTCATAGGTGTGTAGTGGTATCTCATTGTTTTAATTTGCAGTTCCCTAATGATGTATGATATTGAACATCTTTTAATGTGCTTACCTGCTATCTGAATATCTTCTTTGGTGAGATGTCTTTTTAGGTATTTTGCGCATTTTTTAAATCAGGTTGTTCATTTCTTTATTTTTGAGTCATAAGAGGCCTTTGTATATTTTATGTAATGGTCCTTTATCAGATGTGTCTTTTGCAAGTATTTCTCTCAGTCTATGTCTTCTCTTCTCATTTTCTTGGTATTATCTTTCATAAGGCAGAAATCTTAAATTCTAATGAGGTCAGCTTATCAATTATTTCTTTCATGGATATGTCTTTTATGTTGTATTTAAAGAATCATTGCCATACTCAAGGTCATCTACATTTTGTTATCTTCTAGGAGTTTTGTAGTTTTGTATTTTACATTCAGGTCTGTGATCCATAAAAGGTATAAGGTCTGCTCTAGATTTTTTTCTTTTCTTTTTTGCATGTGATATCCAGTTGTTCTGGTACCATTTGTTGAAAATACTATCTTTGCTCCATTGTATTGCCTTTCCTTCTTTGTTAAAGATCAGTTGGTGGCTGGGAGCAGTGGCTTATGCCTGTAATTCCAGCAATTTGGGAGGCCGAGGCGGGTGGATCACTTGAGGTCGGGAGTTCGAGACCAGCCTGACTAACATGGAGAAACCCCCTCTCTACTAAAACTACAAAAATTAGCTGGGCGTCATGGCACATGCCTGTAATCCCACCTACTTGGGAGGCTGAGGCAGGAGAATTGCTTGAACCTGGGAGGTGGAGGTTGCGGTGAGCTAATATTGCGCCATTGCACTCCAGCCTGAGCAACAAGAATGAAACTCTGTCTCAATAAATAAATAAATAAAATAAAGATCAGTTGGTTATATTTATATGGATTTATTTCTGGGCTCTCTATTCTGTTCCACTGATCTATTTGTTTATTCTTTCGCCAATAACATGCTTTCTCGATTACTGTAGCTTTATAGTAAGTCTTGAAGTTGGGTGGTATCAGTCTTCCACCTTTGTTCTTCTTCAATATTGATTTGGCAATTCTGGGTCCTTTGCCTCTCCATAAAAACTTTAGAATCATTTTGTCAACATTCATGAGGCTATGGAATTTTTACTATATTTCTAAGTAACGGAGCACCCTAAAATGGGTAGAAGAGAAGGTGACATGTAAACAGTGGGTTTTAGAAGGTAATGTGGAAATGAATAGGAGGGCAGACAGTAAAGAATGGAAAGATGATTCCTATTTCCCATCCTCTCTCTCTCTCTTGCTTGCCACTTCCCCACACTTCCCCGCCCCTCCCCCCACCACCACCGCATAGCCCATGTCTCACCTGTGCTCATTTTAAAATTAGAGCTTTTAGGTCTTGAGGAATGGTGGAAGATGAGTGGTGTGAAACACTATCTTAGGCTGGAGTTTCCTGGAAGCAAATGCTGGGCCAAGGATTCAGGTGTAAGTAATGTATTAATTCTCCCAGTAAAACCAGTAAAAGGGTAAAAGAAGCAGGATAGGAAGGAAAGTGACAAAGCCAAGCAAAGGTCCAATTCCATGTGATGTCTCAGACTCAGCCCGATTCTGAGGAGGCTCTGGAGAGAAAATGACATTTCAGGGTTTGTTCCCTTCCTCTCCGTATCCTACAAGAGCTGGGCTTTTGTATTTCACACCAGTTAGTCACTGGCCAAGGGCCAGCATGGTGGGGGATGCAAATTCCCAGATCTTTCTGTTCTCCATGTGGGCAAGGAGGCTTTAGTGCCCATGGGCAATTCTTTGAGGACCCTGGGTGATAACCCTTAGTAGCAGAGCATGTGGAGGCTGGGGATGGACACATAGCACAGATAAGAGAGATCTGAGGGGATCTGGGCAGAGTATCAGCTGTATCCATCACAACCAAGGTTCAATTTACATAGGGAACCAGGGAGCCTCATGGGAGGGAATTCCATGGAATTCTCATGGGAGCCTAGGGAAGAGAAAATGTAAGTATTAAAGTTTAGACCTAAGAAATTGTGCTTCTGTTAAAAGGAGAAGGCTACTGAGCACAGCACTACATTTTCGTATTGGACTTCAGTCTGATTCCTTGAACTTATGGGCCTTTGAGTGGAAAGACTCTCTCATGGGAGTCAGTGAGTCCATAAAAAGTCCATTTCACTATGAATTTGGTAGAAGCCAAAGATGGCAAAGCCTCGAAAATCTTGGTGTTTTTATGGCTCTTGTATTGAGGCACATTAACCCAATATGATCTCAATCAGTGCTACTTTAGGAATCTTATGGAGTTCACTCAATAGACACTTCTAGTGTCTAAAAAAAATAAAAAATAACTTACATTGGGATTCTTCTTAGGGGATGACCTCATAATGGCAGGTGATGGATGTGGTAAAAAGAATCTTTTAAAGATTACTTTGAAACAATGGTTGGAATTATTTGGGGGAGCTTTTAAAAATCCTATGCCCAGGTCCCATTCCATATCAATGAAATCAGATTCTCTGGACTGGGACCCAGAAAACAGCATCTTTTAAAAAACTTCCCAGGCCATTTCAGTATGCAACAAAGTTTGCGAAGCACAGCTTAAAAATGATACCCTAAGTGGTTACTTTGTGGATCACAATCATTTACCTGCACTTAAATAGAAAGTAGTATTATTATATAAATGTGTTTTTTATGCCTTGAAATAAGATTTATTCTGATTGTATCACACACATATTAAAAAAGTGTGTATCTCTAATGACTTAGAGGTAAGATGCTCTGATGGTTAATTTTGTGTGTCAACTAGACCGTGGGGTATTCAGATATTGGGTGAAACATTATTCGGGGTGTTTATGTGAGGATGTTCTAAATATTGGGGATGAGATAAATATTTCGATAGGTAGACTTTAACATTGGATTAGATTAACATTTTAATCAGCAGAGAAAAGGAGATTGCCTTCCATAATGTGAGTAGGCTTCATCCAACCAGTTGAAGGCCTGAATAGAACAAAAACACTGATCTTCCCCTAAGTCAGAGATAATTCTCTAGCTGACTACCTTCTGATTTCATCTGCAGTATTGACTCTTCCTGTCTGATGGTCTTTGAACTAAAACTTTGGCTTTCCCTGGGTCAATTGGCCCACCCTGCAGATTTTGGGTTTCCCATCCTCCATAATTGCCTGATCCAATTCCTGGTAATAAATCTTTCTCTCTCTCTCTCTCCATATATATATATATATATGTCTCTGTGTGTGTTTGTGTGTGTATGCATAGGCATGTATAGACACACACATATATATACACATTAATTTTTCCCCCAGAGTACCCTTGATGAATACAAATGGTAACTCTGGAAAACTGTTACTTGTTTCAGAAAAGCGGCTCCAGTGATTAATAAGATTTTGATGTTAAGAGGCACGTGGAGTTTGAATAAAATTATTTCATAAAATTTGCAGGTGGAAAAAAGTAATATTTTAAATGTAATGCTTTCATTCACAGGGTGTGTTATTTAAAATAAATATGCAACTAAATCAAATGCATACATATTTAACTTTTAAAATTTATTTTTTTATTAGTATATATTTTCAAGTCAGGCTCTTGTCGTCATTTTTATTGTATATGTCTTCCCATATGGATATCGAAGGATCACATTGTATTCTGGGTTGTTTTATGTTCAGGCATATAGGGTAACTAGTCCTGTTGGGCCTCAATTTTCTTACCTATAATAGAGAATAAAATAGTATATCCTTTAAGGTTATTGTGGGAATGAAATTAGATAAGTAAAGTGTTTAGCATTACTGTTAATAATAACTCAGTAATTATGTAGTTGTATATATATATACTTTATATATATACATATGTGTGTGTATATATATATACTTTATATATATACATATGTGTGTGTGTATATAGATACTTTATATATATATACATATGTGTGTGTGTATATATATATATACACAAAGTATGTTTTCAGGGTAAAGTTGAAGAAAGAATTGGTACAGTCAAATTATTTTTTTTGCAGAGTTTGAAAAATTGTTAGAATTTATATTTAAGCCAGATTTTATTATTTTGATGTCATTTGACCAGATGATGTCTTCAGGCAAACACAAGGACACATTCTACATCATGTAATTTTTTTATTTTTTGGCAGAAGGAGAATGCAGTTATTCTACCATTCTTCCCTTTGGATAGAAAAATCATCTTGAGTAATGAGCTTATTGCCCATTCTGTGAATGCAAAACTATTAATTCTTAGTGTAAGCCTGAGAGAGAGAGTACACACTGCATCAACTGTTTTGGAACATATTAAATATTGTATAATTCTTAATTGATTTCAGGAACAAGAAAGCCCTCTCTATAAGCAGGATAAGCCTCCTTCTGAAGGCCCTAACAATAACTTCTCAGAGACAAATCTTATTTCTACATTTAATTTTTGTCTAAAAATTGTAACGGCATATTCTTATTATCAATAATTTATTCGGAGCCCAACTTTCCACTTAAACCTTCCATCAGGAGAGAGGACAAGATAGACAACCAGACACAGCCAGGAAGTACTACTTCCACTGATAAAGACTAGAATTTCTAATAAACCAATATAATTTGAGCAGATCTTCAGAGAGAAAATGCCAAGAGTAGGGGGAGATGCAACACAGACACTGAGACTGAAGAGGGAAGAAACTGGGAACCCTGTACAGGGTACCCCAAAGCCAGGGCTAGTTTCCAGTCCCAAACAGTTCCTGGGCAAGGAGGGAGTAAAGAGACTGTGGGACTGTCCACTCTTGCTACAGATGTTTGAGGTTTTAGCTCCAGGGGACCCCATATCTCCTATGGATGTTTCAGCTGGCAGAGGGATCTGCCTGGAGAGTAGACACAGAAATACAAAAGATCCTCAGAGAATGTTATGAACTCTATGCACACACATTAGAAAATCTATAAATGGATAAATCTCTGGAAACATGCAAACTTCCAAGATTGAATTAGGAAGGGATTGAAATCCTGAAAAAGACTGATATTGAGCTCTGAAATCGAGTAAGTAATAAAAAGCATACCAACCAAAAAAAGCCTTGGACCAGATGGTTTTATAGCCAAATTCTACCAGGCTTACAAAGAAGAACTGGTACCAATCCTACCAAAACTATTTCCAAAAATCAAAGAGGAGGGACTTCTCCCTAACTCATTCTATGAAGCCAACATCAGCTTGATACCTAAATCTGGCAGAGACACAATAAAGAAAGAAATCTTCAGGCCAATATCCCTGATGAACATAGATGCAAAAATCCTCAACAAAATACTAGTAAATTGAATTCTGCAGCACATAAAAAAATTAATATATCTCGATAAGATATATGTTATTTCTGGGATGTAAGGCTGGTTCAACATACGCAAATTAATAAATGTGATTCACCACTTAAACAGAATTAAAAGCAAAAACCATATGATCATCTCAGTAGATGCGGAAAAAGCTTTTGATAAAATCCAACATCCCTTCATGATAAAAACCCTCAACAGACTGCAGGCATTGAGCAGATATACCATGAAAGAACATACCTCAAAATAATTAGGGCCATCTATGACAAACCCACAGCCAACATTATACTGAATGGGCAACAGCTAGAACCATTCCCTTTGAGAACTGGAACAAAACAAGGATGCCCACTCTCACTCCACCTATTCAACAGTGCTGGAAGTCTTATCCAGAGCAATCAGTCAGGAGAAAGAAATGAAAGGCATCCAAATAGGAAAAGAAGTCAAACTATTTCTCTTTGCTGATGGTATTATTCCACACCTAGAAAACCCTAAAGACTCCACAAAAAGACTCCTAGAACTGATAAATAACATCAGTAAAGTTACAGTATACAAAATTAATGTACAAAAATCAGTACCATTTCCATACACCAATAACATCCACTCTGAGAGTCAAATCAAGAACATGATTTTATTTACAATAGCCACAGAGAAAATGAAATACCTAGGAATACAGCTGACCAAGCAGATGAAAGAGCTCTACAAGGAGATCTACATAACATTGCTAAAAGGAATCAGAGACTACACAAACAAATGGAGAAACATTCCATGTTCATGGATAGAAAGAATCAATATTGTTAAAATGGCCACAGTGCCCAAAGCAATGTACAGATTCAATGATTATATTAGGCTGTTTTCACACTGCTATAAAGGTATACCTGTGACTGGGTAATTTATAAACAAAATAGGTTTAATTGACTCACAGTTCTGCATGGCTGAGGAGGCCTCAGGGAACTTACAATTATGGAGGAAGGTGAAGGAGAAGCAAGAACCTTCTTCACAGGTGACAGGAGAGAGACAGAGTGAGAAGGGAGAAGCGCCAGACACTTATCAAACAACCAGATCTTGTGAGAACTCCCTCACTATCACAAGAACAGCATGGGGAAAACTGTCCCTGTATTAGTCTGTTCTCACACTACTATAAAGAACTGCCTGCAAGTAGGTAATTTATAAAGAAAAGAGGTTTAATTTACTCACAGTTCCATGTTGCTGAGGAGGCCTCAGGAAACTTACAATCATGGCAGAAGGCACCTCTTCACACAGCAGCAGGAGAGAGAATGCGTGCTGAGTTAAGGGAGAAGCCCCTTATAAAACCATCAGATCTCCTGAGAACTCACTCACTATCCTGAGAATAGCATGGGGAAACCACTCCCGTGATTTAATTACCTCCACCTGGTACTGCCTTTGACACGTGGGGATTATTACAATTCAAGATGAGATTTGAGTGGGGACACAGAGCCAAACCATATCGTTCTGCCCCAACCCCTCCCAAATCTCATGTTCTCACATTTCAAACGCAATTATGCCTTTCCAACAGTCTCCCAAAGTCTTAACTCATTATAGCACTAACCTAAAAGTCCAAGTCCAAAGTCTCATCTGAGATAAGGCAAGGTGGTTCACATACTAGAGGGCCTTAAATAACAAGTTCAGAAGTGTGGACTTGATTCGGAAAGCAGGAGAGATTTCTAGAGCATACTCTGGTTTTAGAGCTTTGTCTTTGCACAGGCTTATCTCATTGCCAATTCCCATCTCTCCACTTGTTTGCCTGCTTTAGTGAGTATTGAAACAAAGATTTTGTATTCTTGGTGTAAGGAAAATGGATGTACTGTGGTCAAGAATAGGCTGAGGCAGACATCTGGTCCAGCATGACTCAGTGAGTTTGGAGTGCAGGTGCACAACTTTGCACGTTATGTAACCGTGCCATGTGAGGCACATTATGTAACCACACTACGTGAAGTGCATTAAGTAACCACTCACATGAGCTTGTGCTTGGCTCAGAGCCACTACTGTCTGTAAAAGATACAATTACTCTGTGAATGCTGTACATATGGCTTGTGCCCAGATCAGCTCATGCCCGTGCTCACACCCAGGCTCACTCATGCCCAGGGATAGAGTAAAGCCATGTCAAAACTGTTTATGTTTATGATTCCTTGAGTGTTTTTCCAGCTACCTGCCACCCCATCAGCTCCCCTTGGACCTCAGTTAGACCCTAATGATTGGCATCACAAACAGGATCCCAAGGTGGGTGAGACTTTGGTCCCCGCTGATTCTGGGTTGGCCATGTGGCTGCAATATGGGTTGTGGTACCTGGTGGCAGCTCTGCTGCTTGGATGGGCTCCGGTGGAAACCGGGGTGGCAGTAGATGGGTCCCCTGTCAGCATGGAGAAAGCTCTGGAGCAGCTGGAAGCAGAGAGCACCAAGAAGGAATAAGCCTTTGCTGCCAGAGTTGGATGGGCATTTTTGACTGCGCTATGAGAAGTACACACCCAGTCCCTTAGGGATGCAGCAGAAGTAAGGGCCCTCCAGGCACAGGTAGGGTGCCTGGAGGCCCGGCTACACAGCTCAGAAAAAGAGAAGCTGCTGTGAATGGGGACCTTCAGGTGCAGGTGGAGTGCCTGCTGGTCCTGCTACAGAGCTTGTAAAAGGAATTAGAGGCTGCTGTGAATGCAGGCCTGGGTCCATCTTCTTGGCCAGAGACCCCTAGTTGGTCTGGGTTCACACCATGAAGAAGGGGAAGATGCCCCGCCTGCAGGGGCTGTCCCCCACAGGAGGAAAGGGGGCCCCAATGAGTGACACGCTCACAGATGTGGATAGATTTTATTTTGGCTGTGGTTGACTGAGAGAAAATTGAAAAGGAGCTCAATGAAGTACTCTTAACTTTGTGGAGACAGTTGTCTCCAGAGCAACAATTCCAGAAAATGCCAAAGGGAGAGAAGGACATTGCTGTGTGACACAGTCTTGCCTGTGTGTTCCAGCTCAAATACTACGTGCTGCAGCCAGGTGGAAATGTAGAGCCTTTTCTGTTTGATTAGGGAACTGGCCGAGGTGCTTGGCTTGGGGGGGACACCAGATTACTGGAGGCCACGTGTGGACTGGTTCCTGAACCTGGATAAGTTTCTGGGCAAGGCTGCATAGACGGTTATGAAAACCAGCCAGTGAAAGTGAAACCTGTATCTTTGCACCTTGGCATTGGCTGCTCGGCTCCCTGCTTATGCATTGTGTATGTCTCTCCCATACCGGAATACATTCTGGGGGTGGATATTTTACATGGCTTGGCAGCTGTGCCGTCTATTATAGATCTGATAGACTGCTTGACAGAACTGAGACAGTAACACTATATGGTGGACTTGGATAATGCATTTTCAGAGAGCCAGGAACAGTTTGCCTTTATGGGAGGGTGACAGTAGACTTTCACAGTGTTGCTGCAGGACTATGTGCATAGCCCCACCGTATGTCATGGTCTTGTTAATAATATTATTCAAGGTTTTGTTAATGATATTAGGCTAACCTCTGATTCTCTTGCAGATTTAGAAGCTGCAATGCTCCTCTTGCCTGAGATTGAGACGGTGCCGCTGAGACTGCTGTCCTGGCAGCCAAGTGGGCTATTCAGCAGGCACAAGCCCTACGGTTAATTAACCAGGACATCCATTTAAACTTGATGTTCATGTGACCACAGATAGTTTTGGCTGAGGCCTATAGCAGCACATGGAGTGCTTGAGAATGCCAATAGGCTTTCAGTCCCAACTTTGGAAAGGAGCTGAATTCCAGTATTCATTGATAGAGAAGGAGTTAGTAACTGCATATGCTGCCCTTTAGGCTCATGAGAGCATGGCAGGACAGGCTACAGTCGTTGTGCTGATGACTTACTTGACAGTGGGAGGGGTGCATTCATGGATAATGACCCCTCAGGCTGGGATGGTGCAGACTTCCACTTTAGCAAAGTAAGGCACCTACTTAGAGCAGCGGAATACGCTGGATATAAGTCCCTTAGCAGCAGAGTTGCAAGAGATCTTGGGAACTGTAGTCCTAATGCAAGATAAGGCCATGGTGCCTGAGGCACCTCTAGACCCTGAGCCTTCACCATTTAAGGAAGGGTGTCCCCACATTCCTGATGAAGCATGATACACAGATGGGTCTAGCCAAAGTGCTGCTTCTGACTGGACCACTGTCGCAGTCCACCCTAGTACTGACAGCATATGGTTTGAAACTGGGTGTGGGCAAAGTAGCCAATGGGCTGAACTTAGAGCAGTATACATGGTGATCACCAAGGAGGTGACACCTATGTTAGTCTGCACCCATAGCTGGGCAGTTTATTAAGGTTTAACCTTGTGGTTAACTACCTGGAAGTTACAGAATTGGCTAGTTGATCACCAGCCCATGTGGGAGCAGGCCATGTGGCAAGACCTATGGGAGAAAGGATGACCTCATCCGACCAGGTATAGGGATGAATGGTAACCTGTTATTGTCTCCCCCATTGCCCCTAAAGGTAGGGGAACAAAAATCCTGGCTTAATATATAAAGCAACATTGGGGTAACGTCACCATGGGGTGGTTGCCCACATATGTCGGACCTGTGTGTCTGGGGCCTGTGTATCAGGCCTGTGTGCCCAGGGCCTATGTGTCAGACCTATGTGTCAAGCCTGTGCTGGGCCTGTGTACTCAAAACTGATGTGTCCAAGACCTGTATGTTCAAGACCTATGCCTCCCTCGGCCTAGGAGGTGGACTGTAAGGAAAATGGATGTACTGTGGTCAAGAATAGGCTGAGGCAGGTATCCAGTCTAGCATGACTCAATGAGTTCAGTGTGCAGGCACACAACTCTGCACATTATGTAACTACGCCATGCGGGGTGCATTATGTAACCACTCACATAAGCTCATGCTTGGTTCGGAGCCACTATTGTCTATAAAAGGTCTAATTACCCTGCTGATGCTGTACATGTGGTTTGTGCCTGGGTAGGCTTGCACCTAGGCTCACACCCATGCTTGCTCACGCCCAGACTACGGCTTGCATCCAGGCTCACTTGTGCCCAGAGATAGAGTAAAGCCATGTCAAAATTGTCTACAACTCCTCAAGTATTTTTCCAGCTACCCGCTGCCCCACTGACTCCCCTCAGACCTCAATCAGAACCTAACACTTGGTAGACAATACTGTGACTGGGTATATTTTCTATAACACTGAGAACAAACAAAAATAATTAGCTGTTTGCTTCAGGAAATATATATGCCTGGAATATAAAACTATAAAACTAGCTAAAATAATTTACTTACCAAGACAAATGGGCATCCCCTAGATTGACTTCAAAACCAGTCCACCATCATTATGTAATAAACTCATCCCATTTCCGTCTAGTTTCTCTCTTGCTAAACCTACCTTAAAGTCATCAAGCCCAGGTCTCAAAATCCTCCATCTTCTTCTGCCTTCACTACTAAGGCTTTGTTGAGCCCGTTTTATCTTTTACTGCAGGAAGTCTAGCAGGTTTAGCTTTGCTTGATCTACAGGTTTTTCCTGTTGACATTTAGGGCACTGATGATTGGCAACCCATGTCCACTTTTGATAATACTCAGCTGATGCATCATTTCCTTTGGTAAGCCTGAGGTGTCCTTTTAATTCCTTGCCCAGGTACAGTTAATGCTTCCCTCCTGTGCCCCTATACCTCCTTGTACATACTTCCCATATTCTATCAGAGTTTAATCCTGCTGTTATATTTTTTTGCCTTTCCTCTTAGGCTGGGAGTCTCAAAGGTTAGTGACTGTGACTTTCATCATTATATGTTGTTAGCACTGCCTTGTACAGAACGCAGGTGCCCAATTGATATTGAATTGTTGACTGCTGTATTGAATAAATGAATAAATGAACAGCCAGGTGCAGGTAGAGAGATGTACAATAAAGAGATCAGACAGATGGTAATTGCCATAGATTATCAATGAGGTAATGACAGCTGTAAGTAGAAATGAATAACTTCTCCCAAGGTGAATCAAATCAGGAGAGTCTGAGAACCACTGGGAAAATTCCAAGAACCAACTGAAGAAAAAAACTAGCCTTATATTTCCATCAGTGTTTTTCAATCTCGGCTGCACATTAAAATCAGCAAGGGTGTTAAAAAAATCCAACACCCTTTCCTGGCACCACCCTCATCCCAACATTCATTCTTTCTTTCTTTTAAAAAATGTTTATTTTATCATTAATATTATTTTTGTTTGACAAATCATAATTGTATACATTTCACCCCACCATTCTGATTTCATTTGCTCTGTTGTGGAATAGGGTATTGAAATATTTTAAATGTGCTCCTGAAACCTCTAAGGATCAGTCAAGGTTGAAAATCACTGGTTCAAGTGCTACTTCTTCTGTTGCTGTTTCTTTGACATCTGCAGTGATTCTCCAGGAGGTATCATTAGCAAGAGGACACATGAGATTCTCCTGCCACAGAAGCTTAGTGGAATTATCTATTGGAAATATGGTGTGATGGTGGGTCAGGTAGTTTAAAAATATATTAAGTATAATCAACTTTTTTTTAAATTTGGAAAACAAAAAATTATATTTTTAGTGTAACTCAAGTTACAAAAAGTAAATGCTGCTAGGAAAACCAAGCATTGCAATTTTCAATGGAGGCAAGCTCCTTTGGGGTTTCCTAGAACTGTTTTTCTTTTCTTTTTTTTTTTCTTATGGGAGGAGCTAGAAATTTAAATGTTTATCAAAAGCCGACATGTGTTTGTGATTGTAAAACACTGCTTTCACCCCTAGAACTAGAAAATTGTGTATATGCCCCTTCTCTCTGCTACCTTAGCGGCCTGTATGTACTTACTTTTATCATTGCACTTTTTACAACATATGGTGTGGAAAATTCTGCTTGGTTTTTCTCTTTCCTTGATTAATCTGTAGGCCCTTAAAGAGAAGATGGATTATAACCCTATCTCTTTATTCTCACATTTAGCAGCTAGGGGCACTCAACAGGGATTGACTGAAAGAACAAGGTCAAGTAAGGAATAAAACATCTATCACTGACTTGGCTAGGACACGAAGCAAATGAGGTCATAGATGTGAGTTCAGGCTGGAGCAGTACCAGATGGTTACTCTAAGATACTGTCCCATGACCCTGCAGCTGCCCCTTCATCCTAACCAGCTGCTAGTGTGTATTGGTGCATCAGGGAAAAATGCTGCCATTATTAACAGCCCAAAGGATTAATTGGGAAGTGGTGGTTACTAGTACCATTGTGTATCAAGGCCAACCCCATTTGTTCCAACCCCATTTGTTCTTCTCCTCTACAAATTAGAGATGACATTACTTTTCACAGGGTAGTTGTGAGGGTTGAATGAATGAGTGTGTAAGAAAAATATCTAAAGTAAAAATAGGAAAGGTTCCCATTATGGTCCCTTGAAAGAGAGCAAGTTCACCACAATATTGACATTTGGGCAGAAATACTTAAAAAACATTCAAGAATTGAAAGGGTTGTTGGATTTGATGGACTTTAAGGCTCCATCCCACCCTGAGATTCTATTTAATTTTTTGAAAAATTTTAAAAATAAATTTGTAACTTTATAAATGATGCATAGTAATGTACATATTTATGGGGTACAGTGTGATGTTTCAATGCATGTATACATTGTATAATAATGAAATAGGAATAATTAACATAGCCATCATTTTAAACACTTATCATTTCTTTGTGGTGACAACAATCAAAATCATCTTTTCTAGCTCTCTTGAAATATACACTACTACATGGTTATTTGCTATTACTTTACTCTTATTTCAAAGATAAAGATGCTAAAATACAGAAAGATAAAGAGATTTGCTAATTCTCTCATGATCATCCCTTACTCATCTTTTTGGGATTCAGCTAATACATCATTTATTCAAAGAGGATTTTTGAGACATCTATTTCCCTATTCCATGTTATCTCTCACAGCAGAGAGCTGTTATTGCAAGCTGTAACTCTGTATTTATTAATATGTTTATTTGTTCAATGTCTGTATCACACACTAGACTACAAAGTACATAAGAATAGAAATACAGAAATCAAGTCATTTTTCCCCAAAGAAGGATCTCAAACATTTGTTAAATGAATGAACATCAAAATAATTAACTAATTAATTTTAATGTATTTACTCATACCAATGTTTAAAAAGGATTAGAAGTGGATAAAGGGCAATGTATAATTAATTAACTCATTCATTTATTATGAAGATTATTTTTATTGAAACAATTAACCATTAGAAAGCTTTCGCATCTGCATCACTTCTTGGCCTTTTGGCTAAGATCAAGTGTAAAATTTTCACATGTGGCTAATTGTTTTATTCCACTACATCTATCATTATTTTGGCAACTTCGATATCAGTGAAAATGGTCAGTTCAACACTCTGGCCTCTGAGGTCCGTGACTTCCTTAGTTCTTTTGTTCTATCCCACTTGAGCTACCCGCAATGGACTTATTCCAGACCAGTGTTTTTCAGGCTCCAGATTGGGACCTATTAGTGGGTCTTAATAATTTAGCAACAACATTTTAAATAAGAATGGATCAGAATTAAACATATCAGGTATCAGAGTGCATTTAAGTGTAAGTATTGTTTTGTGAACGCTTGTGTATGTACATTTAATGTCTATGTAAAATTCCTTTCTGAGGATTGTGATCTAAAAGTTTGTTAAATATGACTTAATAACTTAATCACCTCTGAAATCTCAATTTTAATTTACTCATTTCTTCACTGCCCCTTCCCCTTGGAGCTCCCTTACTCCAATAGGTCCATTTGAACACTTTATTACTCCATGAAGAACTCACTGATCTCAACACTTTTTAGTTTTCAGTTGTTCCTCCTTCCTACTTTTCTGCTCTCCAAAGTCTGTCACAATCATTATAATTGACTGTAGCTGTTTGTTGCTCTTTCCTTCCATTTCACTTGACTGACAAAACAAATTCTCTGCTCACTGCAGACTGTTTCTAATCAGCCTGGAAAATGGCTGCAGTTACGGAGGCATACATTTGCCAATTGATCTCACTTTGAGTCTATGACAACAAATCTCAAGTGGGGCCTCAGAACTATCCAGCCATCTCCTCAGAGTTCCCTAACAAGTTTGCTTTCCATCTCTGAAGTGCTTTCACACCTTACTTCTCCATTAACTCCCCAATATCAGTTATGCATTTTCTACTCCCCTGTGGTGAACTCATGAATTTCTTGAGGAAATAACCACCATAATACAACTAGTTTATCTCTCCACTACTGAATTTTCACTGTAACCTCCTTCCTATACATATGCTCCTCTTTTTCTCTCACGACACTGAACCTCTTCTACCATAACCTAAAGCCAAACCTTCCACTTGCCACCTGATGTGTCCCCCATACATTTCCCACACTGGCTCTTCATATCCCTTTTTCTCAATCGCAAACAGATTGTAACACTCTAGCTGGGCCAATACTGTTTATTTGTTTGTTTGTTGTCTGTTTTAGTTTATTTTGCTTTCTGTCTTGCTGAGTATGATAGCAAGGGGATTGAGTAAGCTGGAGAAGAATGGGTGGTGCTCTATGTACATCACAATATGTTGCTGTGGGCAGCTGGGGTAACCCAGTGTCACTCTGTGCCCATGGAGTCTCCATAAAGGGAAAAACAGATAGGAAAGAAGAGAGGGAGGATATGAATACACCTTTGCTTCTCAAATGTTCTGAAAGCTGGCCCTTCATCTATATTATAATTAGATAACATGCTTTCCTGCTGAAATTATCAAGCATTTGTGGGAAAGTATAACACTATTCTTCTCCTTGTCCCTACAGGCACCATTGTCTCTTTAAAATAAGATCTGTACTTCTCCTCCTTTCCACAGTTATTATCCTGATGTAGGAGGCAGAAGGAGTTTAAAGGTCTTTTCTCATTGGGACCTTGAAGTACTCATTTGTAGAATTTATGGGAAAGGAGATTCTCTGTTTTCAGTCTGTTCTGATGCATGTATTTCCATTTCCTGACCTTTCAAAAGTGACCTTTCAGAAGCAATAATTGTCGGGAATGGGAAGTATTATGGATAAAAACTTTTTACCATATTCTGCCTCAAAATTAACCTCGCAGTCATCCCTCAAAAGACTCTTCTTATGACAGGTTTAGCCATCGAGGGGAATTATGGCTGCCAGAATTCCTTGTAAAGCATTACTTAGAAGGGTCTGTGTTCTATCTCATCTCCTCTAGTATGTGTTAATGATATTTTAGGTTCACATTTTAAAATCTTTTAAAGTGTCTTCTCATCTATGATTGCCTTTCATTCTGAAAATGACTTTATGAGTCATATCAGGAGGATAATAGATTGAAAGAGGTTAAGTTATTGGAATTACTTGGCATACTTGCGGGCAGCTTTCTAATTAGAGCAGAACCTGGTGGTAGAACACAAATCTTTTAACTTCTATTTCTGAGTACTCTTTATTATGTAGTTACATTAATGTATTATGCAAGGATCCATCAATGTGCATCTTCTGTCTTTTTAAAGGACTCCTCAGTTTTATCCTACAGATTTGATTCACCTGGGGGTGAGGAGCCAAGGGATACATGTTTTAAAAATCTCTCAGATAATTTTGATTTAGAGCAAGTTTGGTAACTATTGCTGCAATAGTCAATGGCCCCTTTTCCTGAGGGAAGCACAATTTACAGACTGTTCTAAGTGTTCATACATTCTTCTTACTCTCTTAACTCTGAATTTTTTTCTGCCCTTCATTGAAAAGTCACCATGATGTTCTTCTTTATAGCTAATATTTAATAGAAGCCACAGGACTTCAACTGCTGACTCAAGCACTATCAGCACATAAAGGTTTACTGTATTAGTGTGTTTTAATAGTTGATCGATATAGAACAGTATTATGGGGAAAAACACAGGAAAACATATAATGACATAATTGGGTTATTAAACATGAGAAATTATTTTCCTGAGACTCAGCAAATTTACTTTATTGATATTATGTTTTCTATATTGAATATTTGGAAAATGGAAGTCTTTAACCTGTCTTATTTATATATCTTGGAGTTGGCCAAATGTTTGGTGGAGTAGAATCAGAAAAAAGAGACCTTATGTGCCAGCTCAAATGCCTGTTTCTCTGAGCAACTATCCTTCTTTCTTCTGATACCTTAGCTGCTCTTTCCTCTGTGTTCAGAATACTTTCTTCTTGCTTCATTATAGAACTTACCATTTGTCCTGTAAACTGTTCACATTTTTAACACCTCCACAGGACTGCAAACACCTCAAAGGCAGAAAATCTGAGGTATTCATTTTTGTATTCTCTGTACATCCTAGTTCAGCTCATTCAGACATTCATTAAATAAATATTTCATAACTCTTTTGGTAGGCATTTTTACTGACTCACTAACATCTACTTCACTGCAGATGATCAATATAAGTTGGTCATAGTAATTCCATCCTTCCTTGACAGATTGATTCACAAACTGGCCTGTCTTAGCCAATATAAGGTAACATGAGGAAGAGGCTTCTTTAAGGTTTCTGGAAAGAACCAGAGTGGATATGAACAAGGAATCATGTTGACTCAGTTTTTGTGGGCAAACATCTATGGCCCTAAGAAGAACAGCCTTAAGACAAAAGAGTATGTGGTTAGACAGATGCTGTTGACTGGTCGAGTGAGGAAGAGGGTCCAGGAGTATTTCCTAATGAGAGGCTACAATATATGAAGACTAGGAAGTAATGAAGACATTGCAGGGGGTTAAGGAGCTAAAACAGGTTCAGTAGGGCTACAGTGAAGGGAGGAAAGCTGAGTGGCAGACCTGGTCCAAAACAGTGCAGAAGACAGGGGATCTTATAAGGCATGTTAAGATGTGTCTGATGTACCTTTAAAAAGAAAACATTTGTTGAATCATCTTGTCTGATTCTCTCACTCTAATTTTGTGAAAAGAACTAAGCACTCAAGAGATTAGGTAACCTACTATGTAGGTCATGTCTCAAATTCATGGTAGAGCTGGGACTAGAATATAGATCAAGTTTATGATCAAGTGCTCATTTCCTTATGCTATTTGGTCTAATGTAGTGGTTCTCAATCTTGCCTATATATTAGAATCATCTGAGAGTTTTAAAAAACTATAGAGCTCACTCATGATATTTGATTAAATTGGTTTGGGATAAAGACTAGGCATGAATGTATTTTAAAAGCTTCCTAGGAGATTCTAATGTACAGCTAGGGGGAAGTCCTGCTATGATTTGAATGTTCATTCCCTCCAAAAGTCATGTTGAAATGTAATTGCCACTGTAAGAATATTAAGAGGTGGCAACTTTAAGAGGTGATTAGGCCATAAGAGCTCTGTCATGAATAGATTGTCACTGTCACAGAGTGGGTCCCTTATAAAACAACAAGTTCAGCCTCCTTTTGCTTCTCTCTCTTGCCCTCTCTTTGTCCTGCTCTGGGGTGATGCAGCAAGATGGCCCTTGCAAGGTGCCAGCCCCCAGTCTCGAATTTTCCAGCCTCTAGAATCATGAACCAATAAATTTCTGTTCATTATAACTTACCTAGTTTCAGATATTCTGTAGTAGCAGTACAAAATGGACTCAGACAACCCAGTATCACTCTGTGCCCACTCCTTGTCTAAATTATAGGGCTTTTTTATATAATATTGAGTGTAGCTAATACATATTCTTTTAAAAAATATTTCTAAAACAGAAAAAAGAATTCTTGCTATGAGTCTTGAGTTTTGCAATTTCCTTTAGGGCACTCTGTCATAATGTAGTCATGCAAATGGAAGAGCCTTGATCTCTAGGAATTTAGAGGGTTAGGAGCAGTTTTTCAGCTATAGGTGATGATGATGCTCTCCAGGTAATTCTCCTGGATCTCTCTCCCCTATGTCATTCCAAGTTGGGAATCACTGCTGTAGTGCACATAAAGAAGAGGAGTTTGTTTCTGAAATGGTGGCTGACTTAATATGTCTGTAAATCTGTCTTATCAATCATTATTACAGGAAGAAAACCACCAGCTCAGTGTCAGTATGAGGCTAAAGAGACAGATATCTATGGGGATGATTTATCTTCATACAAAATCACCAACCACGACTGCAGACTGAATTTCTAACCTCAGTCTGTCATCTTGCCTATGTGTCCCATCATAGGATGAACCAAAAGTTAATGGAATGCCTATTATGTCCAACTCCACCTCTACCCTCACTGTTGTTTACCAAAGTAGAATTCAACATTACTATCTTACTCAACCTGATAATCCAGATAGAGTTGGCACATCACACACCAGGGCCTGTCGTGGGATGAGGGGAGGGGGGAGGTATAGCATTAGGATAAATACCTAATGTAAATGAAGAGTTAATGGGTGCAGCAAATCAACATGGCACATATATACATAGTATACATATGTAACAAACCTGCATGTTGTGCACATGTACCCTAGAACTTAAAGTACATAAAAAAAAAAGAGTTGGCACATATTTGCCACTTTTGTAATAGACAAAAATGGTGCCTAGAAACAAGTTCAGAATTTGTATATACCTATAAATATAGGAGTACTAACTTCACATATGAAGCCCTGGAAATATGAAAGCGTTGGTCCATGTATTTGCTTCCAGTATTATTTGAAAGTAATGTTCATTTATCTACTTTTCTTCCTCCTTCCTTTTCTCCGTTGCTTCTCTCTTCCTCCTTCCTTTACTTCATCCCTTTTAAATTTTATGTTTACTTTTAAAAATCATGTTTGTATCTCTCAGGTATATCATCCTTTTTGTCATGCTCCCTTTCTAGTTTCCAGAGCTTTAATCTGGAATGCAAAATCTTCCCTTCTCTCTGTTATATAATTATCCTGAGATTATTCTTGTGCAATAGTCAAAAGTCCTGTTAGCTGTACAAGAATTTCAAATAATATTGCTTTACTTCAGTTGTGATTTCAGATTCCTTTGATTATCTTGTTTACTTGTTGGTCTTAATTTTTTCTTCAAATTTATTAATTTTAAATGTTGTCACTTCATCTTTCTTTCTTTCTTTCTTTTTTTTGACAGAGTCTTGCTCTGTCACCCAGGCTGGAGTGCAGTGGTGTCATCTTGGCTCACTGCAACCTTCACCTCCTGGGTTTAAGCGATTCTTCTTCTTCAGCCTGAGTAGTTGGGATTACAGGCATGCACCATCACATTTGGCTACTTTTTGTATTTTTAGTAGAGATGGGGTTTCACCGTGTTGGCCAGGCTGGTCTTGAACTCCTGACCTCAAGTGAACGGCTTCCCATAGTGCTGGGATTACAGGTGTGAGCCACCTCGTCTGGCCCACTTCACTTTTCTTGAAGGGATGATTACCCTAAGATTCAGGTCCATGGTCTTGAATTGGCATAGGAAGTACCTTTTTCCTGAGATAAAAAGATGCAAGAAGGACGTTTTGGTTTCCAAAGCAGGCTTGGCAGGTCTCTGAGAGAGTAGATAGAAGAGGAAGAGTTAAATCAAGAAAATTGTATGTGATTTTATGGCCCTTTAGTTTTCCAGGGTAATTAGAAAGAAGACAAGAATCAGTGTATTTTGCAAGAAATACATAGGATAATGGCAGTATGATGTTTTCAACCTGTCTCAAAGGTGTACACGTAAAAATCATTTTTAAAATTTCAAATAAACCCCTCCTTCTAGTACAGCATTACAATATCTTTTCCTTTCTCTAGACACAATACTACTGCTACCTATAATTTTTGTCAGTGGTTTAGATAGAACATTTTAGGAGAGATAGGGTAAATCAATTTGACATATCAAATTTCACTCTTTGTCTTGGGGTGGGGGCCCCCCTTCATGCTTATGGGATCCTGCAATCTTCCACTCATCAACAGCAGTGGCCCCCAGGGAGTTGAAAAACACACAAAGTCAAAGTTATAAAAATTGCGGTTTATGTGAAAAAGTTACCATGTCTAAAACACATACACAAATCAAATAGCCACATGTATACATTCATTTGGAGATAATTCCAAAAGTTTAAACTTGAGGCCTCTTATACATGTGAGGCTCAGAGACAGAGCCTCTTATAGCATTCCCCTCATAATAGATTATTTCCTAAAGCATTGAAGGATCAGGATTTTACTCCACACATTGGCACTTGGATCTTTTACCCATGTTTGGATGCATACTAAGATGAGATATTATACATGTCACCTAAAAAAAGGTGAAAACTGTTCTAGGATGATAGATGTGAAGGTGGCTACGCTTGAGCCATAGGCCAATGTAAACTGACTGTACAGGTGAAATAATTGTCATCTTGGGATAGCCCTGATTCCAGAGGTCTGATGTTTAAGTCAGAATCCAATAATCTATCAGTCAGATTGAAACCATCTAAATTATTTGACATAACTATCAGTAGTGTTTTGTATCTTTTATATTTGTGTTTTCCAAAACATTTCACAATTTATTAGACAGATTATCATGGTTTTTATTAGATTTTTAGATATCAAGGAGAAAAGAAGAAGTTAAAATTCTTGAGAAAGGTATAATTTTGGACTGTGTCAAAATCTGGCATGCCTCTCTTTTTTTTTTTGCTTGACTTGAAATAATTTTCAGGACACCAAGGGACAAGTAAAGATTGTTCTACTGTCTTTTTCATGTCCAATAAAACATTAAACAGTATTTAGATATCATCTGCACTACTTCTCAGCCCTCTGTAGTAAGCTTTCTCTAGCTAATACCTGAGAAATTTTAGAATATCCAATATGAAGGGGCAGATAGATATGAATTGGCCTGCAACCCATTATCATGCTTGACTGAACAATGCTTCAAAGGGGATCTGGGGAGTGTTGTATTTTTTCCAAAACTTTCTTGGTAGCTGAAATGCATAGCCATTATCTCTGTTGTGGGCAGTGAGTACTAATTTTCCTTGTCTTTGTTTCTTCCCTCTTTCCTTTAGTTATGGATTCTCCCCAGCCAAGTTTGCAGTGGAGCTAAACACTATTTCTCAAGCTCTCCTTTATCTACATGTGGCCATGTGACCATGTGTGGCCAATAGGATGTGAGAGTGGAACTTCCACATCATATTCTTAAAGAAGGCACTTTTCTTCTACTTCTCTTTCTCCATTTCCATGGGCTGAAACACAGAGAGGGATGGTGGGGAGCCAGCCATGTCCATGCAGGTGAGGGAAATAACCTACAAGAACCTATAACAACAATAAACGGAATGAACAAAAAGAAAGAATGAACCTGAACCTGAAAATAAAAGAACCTGAGTCACGAATGGCTTTGAAAGCAGAAGTCCCATCTTAGATAGATAAATAGAAAGATTGATAATGATGACAATATTGTATCTTGGATCATCTACCAATCTGTGAATTATTCTAAGAAAGAAACATTCCTACTTGTTTTTGTGTTACTATATTTTTGGATCTCTGTTGCTGCAGTTTAGCAGTCACAAAACTAACATAAATATAATTGCAATTTCTTTTCCTCATCTGAGACCCAAGGGAACAGATTTCTTCCCATGCACCTTTCTTACTCTAATAGAAACATTAAAATGGTGAGCGAGTATAATTGTGGACATGAAATCTAATGAAATTTTGTAGTATTGTGTGTTCCCATATCTTCCTTTACTTTTTTTTGCAATATGTATAGATATACTCCTTTTGGGAAAATATATTCAGAGTAAGAGAGTGAATCCACAAACAGAAAATGGCCAGGCCATTTATAAAAATAGAGCTCTTACCCACAACCTGTAGCATCTACCCAAGAAACCAACCCCCTTCTCTACAATAAACAGTCCTGGAAGCCAGCCTGCAATGAACCAGCCTTGTAGGAAGCCAGATTGCTATCTCTAGTAACAATTCAGGAACCTAAACAATAACTTTTGTAATAATTGGCCTAAATTGGCCAGGACCTGATAATTAACTGACAGCTTTTAAAATTTGTGTCCCTACTTTCAATTTAGGACCAACCAGAGAAACCCAAGTATTCAACCCTGGCCAATCATATAGGATGCCTGTTTCTACTTAGCCTACCTTCAGCTTCCCCACCAGCAGCCTTGGCATACCTAAGGTTTTCGATTTCTTCCACTATAAAGCTTTCCCGCTCCTCTGCTTGCTTGCCTTTGAGTCTTTGCCAAAACAAAAGTGATAGTTTTTGATTCCCTTGCTATAGCAAGCCCTGAATAAATAACCTCTTCTTGTTCTCACTGGGTTGGTCTTTATTACCACAAAAGGCTTGCTTACTGAACCATGCTTTAAAAACAATTTTTACAATTAATCCCATTTCTTTCCCAAGAGAACATATTATAGGCCATACTTACAAAAACTCCCTGAAGAGGAATTCCAAGGGTTTTCTAAGTGTTCTTAAAATGACTTCTGGAACTGTGGGATTCTTCTGAGCCCCAATCTGATTACAGCTTCAGCTTCCATGTCTTGAATCAGCAATGATGAGGGTGACCTCTCTGAAATTATAATGGGGACCTTTTGGTTTACTGGTCATGTCCCTAGTGATGCTGACCAGGTCAGCTTTCACTAAAAAATAACTTTAGTTTCACCAAAGCTATGTCTCCTGACTCATAGACTATGTGTACATAGCACCAAGTCAAATGACAATTTGTCATGGGTATGGTTAATCTGATCAATATAGGTGGACAACAGTATAATTCAAAATCGGTATAATGCAAAATAGACTTTGGCCGTCTGATTTTTTGAATTTGGCTCTTTAATTTATCTAACTAGTGACAGATCTCTAGACTTGATACTGTTTGCTAGATTTGATAGTATTAACAGATGACATTTTATTATACTTCGTGTTCCTCTTCCTTTTAAAGAAATTATGATGCTATTGTAAATACCACCATAATCATCATCATCACCATCATCATTCATCACTTACTGATTGATATGCAGATCCAAGGATAGAAACTAATGTTGCTACTATAATGAGGGTAGATGTTTTAATTACAGCTAGATTGAGGTTGAAAAAAATATGAATTTATATAGTAAGGCCTATCTTGCAGTTTCCATTAAATTCATTATTTTTTTCTAGATTTTAGTAGAAAATTATGCACTTAATTGTCCTGAAGTCATTGAGACTAATTTTATAATAGGATTTATTTTCAGCAAAATAAAGAAAATATTTAAGTGAGAGGCCTAGAATCTTTAGTGTAGAAATAATGGCTCAAATTGATTTACTTAATTAATGAATCAAATTAAACAAAAATTATGCAGAAATGGGAAGCATATGAGAACTTTATACTTTCCTATCAATTGTTCAATTTTGCTGTGAATCTAAAACTGCTCTTAGAAATGTTTATTAATTTAAAAAATATGCGAAAATGGAGGCACTCACAGCATCTTTACACAGGATGGTAGAGTCAAGAGTGGATGTAATTGTGGAAGGAAATAACTCATTTGTGTTTCTTGAGGCCAAGGGAAGTGATGATTATAACCTAGGTTGAGATCATGTCTCTAAGATTCATTTTATTGCATCCCAGGAAATATCACAGGGAATTCTAAAGAAATTATTTACAATGAAAAGACATGACTAAACCGAATTTAAGTAAACTGTGGCAAGTTGGAATCACTGCTGAAGTTTTTTCTTGTCTACAGATTATGAAGTCCCTGAATGGTCTTCATTGTCCTGCTATAAAATGTCATTTTGGGCTGGCTATATGATCTCTATTCTAGACATGCAGCTCCCAGCCACCCGCCTCTCTGTGTATGGCCCTCTCCTTTCCTTCTCCCCACCAGTGGTCAGCATTTATAGAAACGCTTATTCTGGTTTGCTTTACTGATATAGAAGCTGTTTTACTTATCACTGAACAAAAAGGCTGATATTATCAAGTAGCTTAAAGCCCCTGACCTCCTTTCTCTTGGGGACCACTTACATTCAATAGAGCGTATAAACAGCCTCTGCAGATTCCCTGCTTCTCTTCATCGTGTATCATAGTCTCTCAAATGATTTCCCTCTTCAAATGGAAGCTGCTGGGGTTGGGGGAAAAACACTGGGAGATTTTTAGAGAAAATGAGATTAGAAGTAAAAATAGGATAGAATCTCTAAAATGCACAAATATTTACAAGTGCTTTTATATTTCACAGATTAAATATTTACTTTATACACATTGTGTGTCATATATTATCTTATGCTTAAAATATCTGCCTCTACATCCTTCTCCCACCATCACTTATGTAACAAATGCTTCATCTGCATAGAACCTGAATTTTTCACTTAATTTATTACAGCAAAAATTAACTATTTATGATTAACTGGGGTTAATATTCATCCTCTTTTAAAATAAATTTGGATAACCCTGGTGTTAAGAGAAGATATCAATTGTTTCAATCTTGCCAACTACTATTAAAAGCCCATTACATATATGAACTCATTTAATCCTTGCAACAAGTACATGAGATTAATGCTGCAATTATCATCCTCATTTTACAGATATGAAATCTGAGGCCCACAGATGTTTGGGATCTTGCCTAAGTTCAGGTGGTAACTTATAGAACTGAATTTAAGCTTAGAGGACTTGCTTTCAATCGCCATGCTACACAGCTTTTCTGAGTCTTTCCTCCAGCAGGCTAAACTAAAGCCTTCAGTACTAATTAGTGGGGTAGTTTGGAAGATAAAGCCTCAGAAGAGAGGAAGTGTGAGAATTAAAGTTTGGATCAGGTGTATAGTAAAGATTAGAAACAGCAGATGGGCACCATGAAGGCTCAAGAAAAGGAGTGCCAAGTGGAAGAAAAGAGGGGCCGGAGAGGAAGTAGACAAAAACTGTTTTAAAAGTTGCCTAAAATTTGTATTCATGATGTATAGGATAGCCCTTCCTCCTGAGGTAGCTCATTTCTTTGCCATGTCTTCCTCTTTTGCTATCCCTGCACCTCATGTTTCCCTTTTCCTGAGGACCCAGAAGGATGCTCATCAGCCTTTTGTGTCTTGCTCTAGGCTACCTGCAGCCTAAACACAAAATTCTCCATGTTGTCCAGTCTAGCTCACCAAGGTACAAAATTTCAGCTTGCATTCAACAGTTCTTTGCCAGCCATTTTTGTCTATGTATAAGTGTCTCAGGGACCTCATGTGTGGTGGTTAATACTGAGTGTCAACTTGATTGAATTGAAGGATACAAACTATTGATCCTGGGTGTGTCTGTGAAGGTGTTGCCAAAAGAGACTAACATTTGAGTTAGTGGGTTGGGGAAGGCAGATCCATCCTTAATCTGGTGGGCACAATCTAATCAGCTCCCAGCGAATATAAAGCAGGCAGAAAAACGTGAAAGGGAGAGACGGGCCTTGCCTCCCAGCCTGCATCTTTCTCCTGTGCTACATGTTTCCTGCCCTCGAACATCCAACCCCAAGTTCTCCAGTTTTGGAACGTGGACTGGCTCTCCTTGCTCCTCAGCTTTCAGACAGCCTATTGTAGCACCTTTGATTGTGTAATATAATACTTAATAAATCCTATATATATCCTATATTATCTTATGCTATATATATATATATGATATATATCTATATATATACACCTAGCTAGGTAGCTAGATATATATATATATATAGAGATAGATAGCTAGATATATAGATATAGATAGATAGCTGGATATATAGATATAGATATCTATACAGATAGCTGGATATATAGATATAGATATCTATACAGATAGCTGGATATATAGATATAGATATCTATACAGATAGCTGGTATATAGATATAGATATCTATACAGATAGCTGGATATATAGATATAGATATCTATACAGATAGCTGGATATATAGATATAGATATCTATACAGATAGCTGGATATATAGATATAGATATCTATACAGATAGCTGGATATATAGATATAGATATCTATACAGATAGCTGGATATATAGATATAGATATCTATACAGATAGCTGGATATATAGATATAGATATCTATACAGATAGCTGGATATATAGATATAGATATCTATACAGATAGCTGGATATATAGATATAGATATCTATACAGATAGCTGGATATATAGATATAGATATCTATACAGATAGCTGGATATATAGATATAGATATCTATACAGATAGCTGGATATATAGATATAGATATCTATATAGATAGCTAGATATAGATATAGATATAGATATCTATATAGATAGCTAGATATAGATATAGATATCGATATAGATATCTATATAGATAGCTAGATATAGATATAGATATCTATATAGATAGCTAGATATATAGATATAGATATCTATATAGATAGCTAGATATATAGATATAGATATCTATATAGATAGCTAGATATATAGATATAGATATCTATATAGATAGCTAGATATATAGATATAGATATCTATATAGATAGCTAGATATATAGATATAGATATCTATATAGATAGCTAGATATATAGATATAGATATCTATATAGATAGCTAGATATATAGATATAGATATCTATATAGATTGCTAGATATATAGATATAGATATCTATATAGATTGCTAGATATATAGATATAGATATCTATATAGATTGCTAGATATATAGATATAGATATCTATATAGATTGCTAGATATATAGATATAGATATCTATATAGATTGCTAGATATATAGATATAGATATCTATATAGATTGCTAGATATATAGATATAGATATCTATATAGATTGCTAGATATATAGATATAGATATCTATATAGATTGCTAGATATATAGATATAGATATCTATATAGATAGCTAGATATATAGATATAGATATCTATATAGATAGCTAGATATATAGATATAGATATCTATATAGATAGCTAGATATATAGATATAGATATATAGACAGCTAGATATTTCTATAGATATATACAGATATATAGATATATACAGATATATAGATATATATAGATATATAGATATATATAGATATATAGATATATATAGATAGCTA
The DNA here is from genome assembly GCF_000001405.40 of Homo sapiens. NCBI lineage: Eukaryota > Metazoa > Chordata > Mammalia > Primates > Hominidae > Homo > Homo sapiens. Next base: position 70,647,966 of record NC_000001.11, read on the forward strand.
GCTATATCTATATATAGATATATCTATATAGCTTTCCTTCTCCCCACCAGTGGTCAGCATTTATAGAAATATATATCTATATTTATATATATATGGATATCTATATAGCTAGACATATATAGATAACTATATAGCTAGATATATAGATATAGATAACTATATAGCTAGATAGCTAGAGATATATAGATATATAATATATAGCCTAAGAGAATAATATATTATGTAATAATAATATATTATATATCTATATAATTATATATTACATATAATATTTAATTATATATTATATACTTATAAATTATATATAATTAAATATTATATATTATATAATTTAATTATATAATTATATATAATTAAATATTACATATTATAAATAAATATATATTATACAATTATTTATAATAGTTAATTATAATTATAATATATAATCTTTATAATTATATAATTATTTATATAATTATATAGTTACTTAGCTAATATAATTATATAATTACTTATTTATATAATATAATTATATAATAATATAGGATATATATATATATCCTATTAGTTCTGTCCCTCTAAGAGAACCCTGACTGAAACATCATGGAAGATGAGTTGACTGGTTGAGGACAGTATTGGAGTTTCTTGGGTCCTCTAGCCAAATTTTAAAAATAATGTCCATTATAACAATTGAGGAGCTTTGCACTTAAACAAACCTGGGTTCAACTTTGGATTTTGCCACTTATTGTGTGATCTTGGACTTGATTTCTCTGAAGGTTAAGTAGATAAAGAAACACCCTACTGAAGAAAGTTATTCAGATCCTGTAGAGAGAAAACTCTTCATCTTGTATCCCTCTTTTGTCTTTACATTCTCTTCTCTTTTTCCTTTAATCTTTCTGTGTGTCATGTATCCTTGTTTCCCAGGATCCAGATCCAGAAGCATGCTCTTTAGCTTGTACCTTCATCTGTAAAATAACCTCATGGAATTATTATGGCTAAATCATGCAGTAGATATGCCTAGCAGCTAGTAAGTGCTCAAGAAATGGCAGCTTCTATCATGACTATATATAAAATTAATGTAACATTTATATAAAAATAACAATGTAGCTATAATAATGATATATATTAATCATCACAAAAATCAAACTAAACAAATATAAATATAATCTGTAAATACAAGACACTGTAACTTACAATAATCACTTTCTGTAAATCTTCGTTGTTTCTGTTATTGACTTGAAAAAGAGTTTCATATATAAATCATTTTTAAGCCTTAAAAATCCTCTGTTGTTTTAACTTCGGAAGGAAGAGAGCAGGGACTTGCCAAGACACAGATCAGGTGAGTATTTTTGAGGGGAAGGAGAGGGGCTCTGCTGTGGTGACCCCTGTGCCACCACGGGGCAGCAACAGGTGCTCTGATAAGTGCAGAAGCCAACTGGATTCAGAAAGGAAAGGTGATTATTGTGCCTACTGCACAAATGGATTAAAGATTGATCCTCGTTTCATACTATTATTGCCTGGGGATTTCACAGCTGTGACCCTCTGTGAGCGATGGCTGGGATTTAGAGATTAACAAACCATTGCCTCATTCCAATCATTAATTTACAATTATGTATAAATTGTGGTGTGGAAAAACTTTCTTGAACAAAACTCCTATTCTGCTTTTTATTGATCACATCTCTTCCTTAAAATAACAACATTGTCAGGTGTAAAGCAGTAAATATTTTTAATTACTTGGTCCCGAGGCAGGATAAATGTCTTTCTGAAAACACACAAGTAAAGCCGCAAACATTCTTCAGACTCAGGAAAAGCCAAGTTTGATAGGCAGTGCTTGTGTTGTCGAAAGACTAAGAGTAGCGATGACAAATGACCTTCAGAAATATCCTTTCTTGCTGTTAATAGGATATGGTCATTTGTGCTTTTTACATGTGGAAAATGGTTCTTGGAGGATTGATTTCCCGTCTGGCCCAGTTCCAAGCCAACAGAGGCTGCCATTGCACCTAAATATTCCTCAATTCTGGTCTCTGCCCTGCTAACTTTAATTTGTTACTGTGCAATTGATGGTTCCCTGTAATGTACCCAAGGTCTGATAGTGTTTTCTAGTTGATCAAATGCTTGATAACTTGGAAGGATTTTTTGTTATAGCCAGATGGCAGGCAGGATATTTCAACCTCCCCCGGCAGCAAGGTGTTAAATGGCCTTATCATGGATGAATGGAAGTAGGTATTGCATGGATTTTCTGTTTCCTAAGAAAAGGCGACAATATTGCTAATTAGGCAGTATATTGGCAGTGCTTCTTGGAAGGAGGTAGATTATACACATTAAGGTTATCAACACTATGATTTTTCATCAAATATTAGGGCATAATAGGAGTGCAAACTTTAACGTCAAGTTTACAGCAACTCAGTGTTTATAAGCTGCTATTATTAGTGAAGGTTATTCACTTGTCCTTGATGCATGGGAAAGATAAAACCAGTTATTAGTTAGTTACTCCAGTAATAGTGACTCTTAGAGCTTGTCAACATGAACAGAAGTAGCACCATTCCTATCTTCCTGGGAGAGAAACTGCTAAACAAACATCTAACACTGCAGTGTAAAGTATAATGTCAGTTCTATTTACATTGAAGCCATTTAAATTGCAATATGCACATTTTGAATCTTTAAAAATCTATTTCTGATGAAAACATATCTTCATTAACCACCATGAAAATAAGCAAATATATTTATATATGGCCATATTTAAAAGGCATGGGATGGCAGGTCTAATGCATATAGTAATTTAACATGTGAGGGGCTTGGTGGTTCCGTACATTAGGGTAGTTCATTGTGCTGGATAAAAACAACTTCCTAGTAAAACAACTTTACGTTCTAATAAGTCAACTTTCTACTAAAACAACTTTTGCCAAGTCCTTCCCATTACTTGGCATGTCACATCAGTATCAGAACTGCAGTTGATATAAACTTTGCGAAGAAGAAAAAATTTCACTCAATTCTTCAAGGATTCAGGTGATGGTTGAAAACAAGATAGAGGACATAAAAAAGAATTTGGGCTTCAATCAGCAAGAATTTTAAGTAATTCTGGGGTAAAATGTCTGTTTTAACTAATTTAGGAAAGCTGAATTTATATAGACTACATAGAGAAAAAGCAGCTTTTTGTCTCTCTCCAATGAGTGACTATATTTATTTCTATTTTAGGGTTGTTAGTAATATATTAACAGATTTAAACAGAGATGATGGTAAAGAATGCAATAAGACTTGTATATATGGGAAAAATTTAATCATATTTTCCCCACCCTCTCCAAAACATAGATTAACTGGACTTTGAAACATGAGATTAGGAAGAAACTATTTGGCACACTCCAAGTTTAGATGTGAAAATTTCTCTTGTATTTATTATTAAAGAAGAACTGGCAAACCAAGCATTTCATTGCAGCCTTATGTGCAAAAATTCCGTACATTACATTTTCTCCACTAGCTTTTTACCTTACATAAGTTGTTGAAATTTCTTAAACCCCAGTTTCCTTACCTGTAAAATGAGGGTGTTTGACTTCTGATGTCTATTGTCTTTTTTATGTGCCCTCCATAAATATTTTTCTTCATTTCTATCTCTTAGGGCATTTATTCATTTTTTAAAAGAAAATAATTCAGAGCTATTTTTTGGTTAACTTAGAGAACTGAAGGATGAGGAAAATATAAATTCAATTTATGCAGAGATATGTAACTGACATCTTTGTAACAAATCAAAGCCTAACAGTTTATGAGATATGCTATGTTTCCTCTTCTGATATATGGTATACAATTATGGACTGTTCTAGGAAGACAAAAGAGAAGAATTAGAGGCAAACTAAGGGCATTTTATTTCTCAGGAACACTATGGAAAAGGAAAAACTAAAAGGGAGACTAAAATAGTTGGAGAAAATTTCTAAAGAATATTGCAAGATATCGTGAATTTTTAAATTGTTTACTAAAAATTGGATCCTGAACAAAAACTAAATTTTGGAAAATAACCCTGAAAGACAGATTCTGCATTTACACAAAAGCCAATTCAAAAATTGTTATAGAAATGCATAAATTGTAAAGAGGTTTCAGATTAGGGAACGTTTGCCACAGTCTTTTCTACAGCCACCACAATTTACATCCTACAGGCAGAATATACTCACCTCATACACAAATATACACAATATAGGGGAAAACTGGAACCTGGACAATATGGTTTAGGGGGCATATATACTATGAAAATGCAAGCACCAATATAAAAGAAAGAATGAAAACGTAGAGCTGATAATTTAATTATGCATAGGTATATGGTGTACCAGCTGATTCACTGTATATCAGTTCTGATTATTCAATTTATTTGCCATGCCAACTATTAAATATTTTGAATGTAATTCCTATGAGCAAGTGTGTTTATGAAAGTATTGTTTGTAGTGGTGAACTCCTTTCCCACTACTATCTGTTACACGCACACATACACACCCCACATACACATACACAGGAAACTGCAAAAAAAGTAAAAAAATCTATCAATAACCAGGTAGTTGAATACTTCTGTTTTACTCATATTATGGAATATTAGATCACCATTGAAAACAGTGAATTAGATCTATATTTGCTATCTTTGATGGATATCCAGGATACATAGTTAAGGGACAAAAGCAAGTTAGAGATCAAGTATGAACTATGTTATATAAAAAATAAAAAAAGTATTGTGCTGTTTGAGCATGGAGAATTTTGTGATGAAATACACCACACTATTAACATGGCTAATCTCAGGAGGTGAGATTGGAAGGAGAATAAAGAAAAGATTATTATCTTTATATATTTTTGCATTGTTTACTTGTTTCAGCAAATTTAGGTAACTTTTGTAAAAAAAAAAATTGAATGAAGTGAATTTTGAAGGTAAAAAGTAATATGTTCAATTTGATTGTTGCCTGGTGGGAATAAGGGAGAATAAGAAAGAGATTATTTTTTCTTTAAATGTCTTTGTATTTTTTTCATGTTTTAAAATAAGCATTGATCATTTTATTATTAAAAGTTTTCTTATGAAAATAACTTAAATATAAAAGTTTAAGATGCTGTTTTCTTCTTGAAAATAATTAACCTGTATTCAACCATAGAATAATGAATTCTTAATTCACTTATTATGTTAAAATTCCTAGTAAAAAGTTGCTTCTTATAGAAAGAAGTCACAGCATAAGACTGTTACAGAGAAATGAAGAGGAAGAGAAAGATGAGAAAAATATTTCTATAAGCAAAATAGTAAACAATATTTGAGAAGAGATCCCTAGTATTTGGCATAAATAGTAAATAGAGTTTCAGGATTTTTTTTTCTTTCTGAAAGACTCTTAAAACAGCTTGAAACTAAGAGATTTTCTTGTCCAGAGCAAGTGTATAGCAGGTCAGACATTCAGTTCAAATCAGTTGGTATAGAGTTATGCATGCGGTGGGCTTTGAGACTTCTATGAAGAAGGTGGCAAAAATTAGTCATGTTGCACGGTATGCTGATACACTGTAATATCCAGTATGTCGGGACAAAAAAATCAAGTAAAAAATACATATACCAAAGAGTATGAGTTTAGAGGATGCAATAAATACTCTGAGCTAGGGTTAATTTATCTAACCACACAATCCCAAAACCTCAGTGACTTAACACATTAAAGACCTATTTTGTGGCCTGGCGCAGTGTCTCATGCCTGTAATCCCAGCACTTTGGGAGGCCCAGGTGGGCGGATCACGAGGTCGGGAGATAGAGACCATCCTGGCTAACACGGTGAAACCCTGTCTCTACTAAAAAAATACAAAAAATTAGCCGGGCATGGTGGCATGCGCCTGTAGTGCCAGCTACTCGGGAGGCTGAGGCGGGAGAATTGCTTGAACCCGGGAGGCGGAGGTTGCAGTGAGCCGAGATTGCGCCGCTGCACTCCAGCCTGGGCAACAGAGCGAGACTCTGTCTCAAAAAAAAAAAAAAAAAAAAAAAGACTTATTTTGTGCTCATTCACAGTTCAGTGTGGATCACTGGAAGGAGTCTATTTTCACAGGTCACCTCCGTCTCATGGTACTGCCATCTTCAATATCTCAGATCAGTATAGAATGGGAAAAGTGAGAGTGGAGCTTTGACTGTGGAATATTTTTATGGGTCAGATTTGGAAGCAGCATAGATCACTTTTATTCACATTCAGTTTTCCCAGAACTTAGTTACATGGTGCCAACCTACCAGCAAAGAGGCCAAAGAATGCTACTTAGCTGTGTGCCCAAGAAGAAGAGGAAAGAAGGGGTATTGGTGAGCAGTGGTAAGCTCTGCCACAGAGAGCCTGTTGAGGGACGACTCCCTGACTCACCACACATATGACCAGCATCTTCAGAGATGGTATGTGTGCAGATTTAATCCTCCAGAGGAAATAAATTAACTACATGTTCATTTAAAAATGGACCCCTTCCTTACACCTTATACAAAAATTAATTCAAGATGGATTAAAGACTTAAATGTAAAACCTAAAACCATAAAAACCCTAGAAGAAAACCTAGGCAATACCATTCAGGACATAGGCATGGGCAAAGACTTCATGTCTAAAACACCAAAAGCAATGGCAACAAAAGCCAAAATTGACAACTGGGATATAATTAAACTAAAGAGCTTCTGCACAGCAAAAGAAACTATCATCAGAGTGAACAGGCAACCTACAGAATGGGAGAACATTTTTGCAATCTGTCCATCTGACAAAGGGCTAATATCCAGAATCTACAAAGAACTTAAACAAATTTACAAGAAAAAAAAACCCATCAAAAAGTGGGTGAAGGATATGAACAGACACTTCTCAAAAGAAGATATTTATGCAGCAAACAAACATATGAAAAAAAGTTCATCGTCACTGGTCATTAGAGAAATGCAAATCAAAACCACAATGAGATACTATCTTACATCAGTTAGAATGGCGATCATTAAAAAGTCAGGAAACAACAGATGCTGGAGAAGATGTGGAGAAATAGGAACACTTTTACTCTATTGGTGGGAGTGTAAATTAGTTCAACCATTGTGAAAGACAGTGTGGCGATTCCTCAAGGATCTGGAACCAGAAATACCATTTGACCCAGAAATCTCATTACTGGATATATACCCAAAGGATTATACATCATTCTACTATAAAGACACGTGCACATGTATGTTTATTGTGGCACTATTCACAATAGCAAAGACTTGGAACCAACCCAAATACCCATCAATGATAGACTGGATAAAGAAAATGTGGCACATATACACCATGGAATACTATGCAGCCATAAAAAGGATGAGCTTATTTCCTTTGCAGGGACATGGATGAAGTTGGAAACCATCATTCTCAGCAAACTAACACAAGAACAGAAAACCAAACACCACATGTTCTCACTCATAAGTGGGTGTTGAACAATGGGAACACATGGACATGGGGAGGGGAACATCACACACCAGGGCCTGTTGGGGAGTGGGGGGCTAGGGGAGGGATAACATTAGGAGAAATACCTAATATAGATGATGGGTTGATGGATGCAGCAAACCACTTTGGCATGTGTATACCTGTGTAACAAACCTGCATGTTCTGCACATGTATCCCAGAACATAAAGTATAATAAATTAAAAAAAATGCTTAATATGTAGAGAGGGAAGAGATATGCTAGGACTGGAAAGTTGGGAATCTTGTAAATGAAAAAAAGTGAATTCCAGTTTATTATAGACCTCTGAATACAGCTTACATGGCAGTCTTATAAAACCACTTGTAGTTCCACAAAATCAGTTTTTCTTAGCTGCTGTGTCATCTGATTGCCTTCCTTCTGCTTACATTTTCAAGACTCAACTCATGGATTATCTGTCTCCTTTTGAGATTTTACTAATTCAGTCTGGGCTGGGTGATACTTCTCTGTGCTCTCATTACACACTAGGCATTACTCTCCCTCTTTCATTGCACACTGCACTGTATTATAACTGTTTCATCCATTACAATCATTTATTTTTTTCAAGTATTTTTGATCCACATTTGGTCGAATCCACAGATGTGCAACCACAGATACAGAGGGCTGACATCTATCTATCTATCTATCTATCTATCTATCTATCTATCTATCTATCATCTATCATCTATCTGTCTGTCAATCTATCTTCTTCATCATCATCATCATCTATCTATATTTCACATATTTAAAATTCAGTAATTAATATAAAATAGTTTTATGCTTCTTGGTGATTAGATGTCTAGGAACCAAATGTTCTAAGCTTAAAAATAAATATGCTTTTTTGATGACTTTGTGCACATTTGTGGTGTGTATCCATGGGAAGGAAGATGGGTGGAGACGAAGTAGCAGGAAGGAAGAAAACTGGGAAAGGGAGGGAGAAACAAAAAGAAGCATATGTGCTTGTTTATGTGCGTTTGGGTGCAAAAATATTTTTATTTCAACTCTGATACTTTTTCTCATATGATATGCTAGGTAAACATATTTTGGGAAACTTGCCGAAAGTGTATTCTCTTTGGTATTATGAAAATACACTATTATTTTCCACCTGTAAAATTATATCTGAATTGAGACTTAGCTACATCTGATTTTGATTAGTCTGTTGCACAAATAGAATCAGATGGCTTTACTTGGGAATGACTCATCAGTCCTTCATCCTCCTCTGTTAATGTTCTCCAAATTTAATAGCAGCATTATATAATCTATCATATGGGTAATATTACCAGACAGTTTTAGAAGAGGACACTTGATGTACTCTGGATACGCAGACAAGTATATTTTGCTATTTGAGTGCCAAAGGGGTATTCTAATTATCTTGGGTGACAATGTAACTCATTATATTTCTTTACAAGGACAGAGAAAAGAATCAATACAAAGAGCCTGTCTAAATTGTCTTCACACTCCAAAGTGTACCAGTTACAGAAGAAGCCAGCAACTTCAAATGAAGTATCCTATATCTCTGAACTCCATTAGTACTTATTAACTATTGTACTCGTTTGTTATTTTTAACCTTCTGTCCTGGATTGTTGTTTCACTCTCCAAGCACAAGATAAACTTCCCCAGTGCATCTGTAAACTTCTTATAGACAAGGACAATTATTATTATCTTATTTTTAGAATTAAGATTATTGGAAATTAACACTGATCATTCAAATTTCAAGTTATTTTGGAAACTTTACATTCAAAAACTTTTTATGCCTTCTTACATATTTCCCTATAACCAACAGAAGCATTCAAAGTTAAGTTTTGAAAGTTGGAGTCATTTATTAAAAAACAAAAAAATGCACATTAACTAGTCTCAATAATTTAAAGCTTCACAATTAATTTTATATTTGAGGATTTCTTTGTACCTCTAGCACTTTCCAAATTTAAACTAAGTGCTCAGAGTTTTATGTACAATTATCTTGGATATGACTTTACCTAAGCTTATGTTTCTCACCAACTGGAGTACTAATATCCCCTGGGAAAACTTGAGTTTGTAGCAGGGATACTTAAATGCAATAAAATAAATATGATAAATAATTTTTCTAAAAAGTGCCAATTAACTCAAGAGAAATAAATCTTAGGTTCACACAAAAACCCATATGGAAATATTTACAGTGACTGTATTTATAATCACCAAAGACTGTGAACAACTCAACTGATTAATGGATATTCAACTTTGGTACATCCGCAAAATGGAACACTGCTCAGTGATAAAAGGAAAAAAATGATTGATTCATGCAACAATATGGAAGAATCTCAAATGTCTTATGTTAGTGAAATAAGCCAAGCTCAAAAGGCTTAATAGTGTATAAGCCCAATTATATGACATTGTGGGAAAAGACAAACTACAAGTACAGAGAACAGATCAGTTGTTGCCAGGAGCTGGGTGGGAAGGGGTTGACTATACAAAGAGGCATTTTTGGGGTGACGGATTGTTGTATATATTGATTGTGGTGTGGTTACATGACACTATACATTTGTCAATACTCATAGAATGTACACCAAAAGAGTAAATTTTACTATATTACATTTAAAAAATTATATGACAAGAAGCCTATGATGGCAAGATGTTATAAAATTTGTGCTTTCAGTATAGTAATTTGTTACATTTTCTGAAGTAATTTATCTATGTATTTCCAGATTTCCTTCCTTCCTTTCTCCTTCCTTCCTTCCTTCCTTCCTTCTTCTTTCTTTCTTTCCTTCTTTCTTTCATTCTTCTTTCTTTCTTTTTGTGTCTTACTCTGTTGCCCAGGCTGGAGTGCAGTGGCACGATCTCCGCTCACTGCAACCTCTGCCTCCTGGGTTCATGCAATTCTCCTGCCTCAGCCTCCCGAGTAGCTGGGATTACAGGCACATGACATCACGCTTAGCTAATTTTCATACTTTTAGTAGAGATGGGGTTTCGCCATGTTGGCCAGGCTGGTCTCGAACTCCTGACCTCAGGTGATCTGCCGCTTCGGCCTCCCCAAGTGCTGGGATTACAGGCATGAGCCACTGCCCTGGGTCTCCAGATTTTCATTCAATTATTCCATACTGAAAAATGTATCCTAAGAAAATCATAACAATATGAAAAACCTAAATACATAGTGATGTTCATTACCTTTTTAATTGATGAAAATGCTGCCTTATTGCTTTTACTTGCATTTCTGTATTTGCTAGCAAAATTTTATATTTTTCTTATGTTTGTTAGACAGTTTTATGAGAAAGAGTAAGATTAATATCCTCCAGTGGTTGAAGAGTAGCAGATCTTCTGTTCTCTTCTCAACAAACATACAGAGCCATTCATTTCTGTGAAATAATTACAGATAGCCTGGGATTTAGTAAAATTTTTACTGTTGTTGTAGAAAAATAAACACATTGACATAAAAAATACGATTGCTAGTCAGGCTATTTAGTAAGATTTGGGTTTAAGAGTCTTTAGAACATTTTTATCGTTGAAAATTTGTCCTCAAATTTTAACTTTTCTAATTCAGTCAGAACTCTTGAATTTCATATGTTTAATATAAGAATATGGGAAATGAAAACCACAAGTTTTGTGCATTCATTTTCCTTGGGAGCTTACAATTTTGAACTCAACCCAAACTTTTCATTCTTTTGCATTCATTTAATTTTGGCAAAAGGTGCCTTTTCGTTCATGAAGCTTTTAAACTGTCCATTAGATACTGCAAAACAACATTTTGAAGAATGAAAAATAGATGAATGTAAACCACAAAATGCTTTCTTAAAAATGGCCATGTATTTAAAAAATAAATAAGGAAAGTGCTATAAAAATGTGCTAGGATAAGGTGAGAAGGTAAATATTTGTGAGTGTGAAGACCATCTGTAGCAATGACAAAAACTAGAGATACAGTGCCTCCTCATTCATGATTCAGTCACTAAATGTTTCTTGAGCATCTACTATGTCTACAATGTTCTATGCACAGTGATTTTTTTTTTGTTTTACAAAGTAGGCAACAATCCCTTCCTTCATGGCCCTCACATTCTAGCTTACTCAGAAACGGGAACAGGTGGAATTTAGTTCATCCTCAGGTGTTTTTTTACCTTTTTGCTAAATACATACTATCTTATGTAAAGTTAATGACATGGATAAAACATTGAAACGTGTATTCTACTACATTTTTCTAGTCAACCTTTCTCTTACTTCCAGAGAAGACAGTTTTCCTGTCCTTAAACCTTTGCCTTTCTCAAACTTAGATTCTCAGTAGGTGACTTTGCTTCTGATTTTATTGAGAAAATAGAAGCAATCAGAAGAGAATTTTCTTATCCGACCAAATCCGCTGACCTGCATCCTTCAGAGCTCATAGTCACTGCCTCCCTTCCTATTACTGTTTAGGAGGAGCAATGTGCCTATTTTAGGTCAAACCATCACCTCAGGCACTGCATTCAATCCCTTCTTGCCTACTCACAGTGTTTGCTTCTATGATTATCCACTATCATTCCTAGTTGTTTAATTCTTTTCCAGTCACATAAAAACATGATATAACATTTATAATCTTAAATAAAACATTATCCTGAGATGCCACATCTTCCTGTAGCGGAGATCCCATGGTTTTCCCTTTCACAGAAGCTCCCTGAAAAAATTGTTTATAGATGCGATCCTCTCTTTACCTCTAGTTCTCTCTGGGAACCACTCCAATTTAGCCTTACTCACCATCAGTGCACACAGACAACTCTTATTCAGATTACCAAAGACCTCTAATATTGACATTGCCAAAGTCAATGTCAATATTCAGTCCTCATTTCAAGAGGTCATGATAGAATTGTTCACTTTCTCCTTGAAAACATGTCTTTACTTGACTTTGAAGATATCCCCCATGAAGTCCCCCATTCCACTATTGCTAAGCTTCCTTTGCTGCATTATCTTTCTCTTCTAGACTTTGACATGTTGAAGTACCCAGGACTCAGTCCTCAATCTCTTCTTTTCTCTACCTATACTCACACTTGCATTTCAAGACTTTAATAACTCCTATCTGCTGATTATACCCAAAGTATTTTTCCAGCTCAGAATTTTCTTTGAACTATAGATTACTTCTAATATCTGATTGGATGTTGCACAAGCATCTCAAATTTAAAGTGACCAAAAGTGAACTTCTTATTTCTCACCTTCCTCCAATTATACTCCTTCTATAGTCTTCTCCATCATAGTAAATGGCATTTAATCTACTGAGTTGGTAAAGAATCTTAGGGTCATCTCTCACTCCTATCTTTCTTTGGTTCTCCAGTCTCAATTTATTAGCAAATGATGTCTCATATGCATACAAAAATTCGGCCTTCACTGGTATTTTATGACACACCATGTCATCATCAATACCACTGTCAGTCTCAATGCCAGAATCCAGTTCTGTACCATGGCAGGCCTGAATAATGAAAAGCTTGGGTTTTCCAGTTAGACTTCTACAACAATCCCCTCTGAAAAAACTTGTTACCTTTTTCTGGTCAACAGGTCCATTTGTTCCAAAAATTATTCCTTCTTCACCATGGCTCCAAAGCACACAAACAAAACTGCTCCTTTTGCTGTGATCTTCTTAAGAAACACTGTGCATCAATTCCACAATTTCTTGACATGTAAGATCATTTTTATTCCTGACTTCATATTTCAAGTTTGTGAGTGTTTCCCTGAGGTTTGCCACATTGACATCTGTACCAGACCAAGATGCCATTCCAGTGCCTCTATGATTCCACTTATTCTTATCATTAATTATTATATAATACATACACTCATTTCGGGACAATCCATTTTATAACTGTTGTCCAAGGATATTCCAGAGCCCATTGATTTGCTTCCATGTATGATCTTTGGTTCCAAATTTTTAATGGACTTTGAATCCACTGAGTTTTCAGTGTTCTCTGTGGATATTTTTATTAACGCACATCCTCCTCACACCTTCCACAGTCTCCTCACAGCCAGCAGCTGCCCGCTTTGCTCTGCATCTGCATGGCTTCAGCATCCCACAGCCGGGAGAGATGAGCTCCAGTCCAGAGTGGTATCTTTTACTCTGAGATTAGGTTGTGTCTGTTATTTGGTTGTAAAATGTACTATGTTTTATAAAAGGCTAATGAAGTAGAGGGTTGGTTGATTGTTTGGTTTTAAAAACAATATACATGTTTTACATAATGAGAAGTTGGCAATTATATGGGTTTTTGTATGTGGCAAAAACATAAAATTTACCATGTTAACCATTTTTATGTGTATAGTACAATAGCATTACCTATATGTACATTGTTGTGCAACAGGTCCATAGCACTTTTTCATCTTGCAAAACTGAAACTCTGTATCTGTTAACATCTTCCATTATCCCCATGTTTTCTGCCTCTGGCAACCACCATTCTGTTTTCCGTTTCCAAGAGTTGACTACTTTAGATATCTCATATAAGTGGAATCATTTATCTTTTTATAATTGGCTTATTTCAGTTAGTGTAATGTCCTAAAGGTTTTGTAGCATTTGGTAGGGCTTTCTTTTTTTTAAAGCTGAATAATATTCCACTGTATGTTATGTATATCACATTTTATTTATCCATTCATCTGTCATATATATTTAGGTTGCTTCCAACTCTTGGCTATTGTGAATAATGCCGCAATGAACATGGGTGTGCAAATATCTCTTTGATATTTTCAATTTTTTTGGGACTATTTCCAGAAGTGGGATTGCTGGATCATATGGTGATTGTATATTTAATATTTTAAGGAATCTCCATAATGTTTTCTATAGTAGCTGAACCATTTTACATTCTCACCAACAGTGTTCCCAAGGGTTCCAAATTCTTTACATCCTCACCAACCCTTGTTATTTTCTGTTTTATTTTCTTTCTTTTTTTTGATAGAAGCCATCCTGACAATTGTGAGGTGATATCTTATTGTGGTTTTAATTTATATTTTCCTGATGATTAGTGATGTTTAGTATCTTTCATTTGCTTGATGGGCATTTGTATATCTTCTTTGGATAAATGTCTATTCAAGTCCTTTGTCCATTTCCTTCCCCCGCCTCCCCGCCACCAAAAAAAAGGGTCTTTCTCTGTTGCCTAGGCTGGAGTACAGTGGCACAATTACAGCTTACTGCAGCCTTGAACTCCTGGGGTCAAGCAATCCTCTTGCTTCAGCCTCTTGAGTAACTGGGACTACAGACACAGATCACTGAACCTGACTAATTTTTTATTTTTTAGAGACAGTTTCACTATGTTACCAGGGCTGGTCTCAAACTCCTGGTCTCAAGCAATCCTCCTGCCTCAGCCTCCCTAGTAATTGGAATTACAAGAGTGAGCCACCAGTCTCATCTCTTAATTAGGTTATTTGTTGAGCAGTTGTTGAGTTGTATATTCTGGTTATTAACCACTTAGATATATGGTTTGCAAAGATTTTCTCTTATTTTGTAAGTTACCTTTTTACTCTACTGTTTATTTCCTTTGCCACACACTTTAAATTTTGATGTAGTTCATTTGTCTATTTCTGCTTCTGTTACCTGTACTTTTGGTGTCATTTCCAAAAAATTATTGCCAAGACTAATGTCATGAAGCTTTTTTCCTATGTTTTCTTCTAGGAGTTCTATAGTTTCAGGTCTTATGGCTAGGTCCATTTTGAATTAATTTTTGTATATAGTTTAAAATTAGAATTTAACTAATTTTTTGTCATGTGGATATCTAATTTTCCCAATACTGTTTATTGAAGAGACTAGTCTTTCTCCATTGTATAGCCTGGGCATGTTTGTCAAAGATTATTTGACCATATATGAAAGGGCTTATTTTTGGGCTCTATTCCATTCTACAGGACTATATGTTTGTCTTTCTACCAGTACCTTACTGTTTGGATTACTATCGCTTTGAAATATATTTTAAAATCAGAACTTTTGAGGCCTCTAGTTTTGTTTTTTTTCCCTCAAGATTGTTTTGGCTGTTTGGTCATTAAAAATTTTTTTTTAATTTATTTTTTTTGAAATTTTTCCAAAATCTAAAATTATGTGAACTATTTATAAGAATATTTTCTTTATGACAAATGATGTTTTACATAGTGTTACTATATGTTCACTTAAATAAAAGCAAATTTCCATTTTTAAGCTATATTCACTATTCTGCGGCATTCAAAAAGGTACATCTTTTTTAATGTTTACAAGGTACATCTTTAGCAATTTAAAATAAAAAAACATATTTCTGTGAAATGTATAATTTTTGACAGTACATGATTTATTTGTCTACCCACACTCTCACTGAATAACTATTGAGCACCTACTATGTGCCTGGCAAGATAATCCAGCTCTGAAGATGAAAGACCTGGTTTCTGCCATCATGAAACTTATATCCCAGACAATAAAAAAATGAAAAAATTGTGTTTAATATTATTATTTCATCAAATTACTTGCACAAGGGTACTCACCTAGAGGGACTTAGCTCTTACAGTTCTGATGTTTTCTCTACAAATGGCTCACAGAGCTTTGAAAATTGGTCAACTGATGAAACTATGAAAGCTTGTTTCCATAAGAATAAGACTGCTTCAGCTTGGGATCTCTGGGAATGACACTTATTATTACCTGTCTTACTTGGCAAGTCTGAAGCTCACTTTTCGCCATCTGTGAGATGGAGATGAGACAATCTTATAAGATGATGATTAAATGAGATAACGCAGGTAAAGTACAAATTGGTTAGTGCTCAATAAGTCTTAGCTACTACTGCCATCATCATTAAACATTAATATATTTTTATTAATGCCCAGAGACAAAGAAAGTAGGGTAATTATCTTAGGTAGCATAG
The DNA here is from genome assembly GCF_000001405.40 of Homo sapiens. NCBI lineage: Eukaryota > Metazoa > Chordata > Mammalia > Primates > Hominidae > Homo > Homo sapiens. The sequence goes on from NC_000001.11 coordinate 70,664,153, forward strand.
TAAGAAGGAAGCTCTGGCAACTTCTCTTTTAAACTTCTTGCTGATTGCTGACTTATAAAATAATTTTGTTGCAGGCAAAGTTTAGAATATCTGTTTTGACTTTACAGTTATTGATCAAGTGAACTGCAGTGCACTTTGGTTATTTGATAATTTAAGGGAGACTATATAAAAATCATAGTCAAGTAATTATAGCTAATCAATACTGTTAACTAGGTAGCTTATTTACTTCTCAGTAGGATGCCTTATGCCTGCATGAAGTCACTACCACTCTGCTACTATGGTTACCTGTGGACTTTGAACAAGAGACTGTCATATATATGAAGGTGTAGTTTGCATCAATGGCTAAAATGATCTTTAAAGAAAGAAAAAGAAAAAGATATGTGCTTTATTTTTCCATTTTGTGGCCCTCACTTCCAGTGTATATATAAAAGGAAAACATTTATTTCCTTATTTATTTAGCATATTTGATAAATATTTAGAGTGTCTGCTATGTTCCAGGCTCTCACTGAAAATTCTAAGCTTTATCTGACAAATAGGGTATATCTGGTATCTTTACAACCTGGAAGTGACAAGTAACATATGTTTTTTTTTAGTAGGTTGGTATAATAACATTTATTAAAATAGTGCTGTGGGTTAACAGAAACAGCACAGAACCAAAGAATTAAAATGTAAGCTATGTAAAATCCCAACTAAAACCCAAAAGTGCTAATGTAGCCATTCATTAGCTAACTAAAAGCCCAAAAAAAGACAAGACACCCAATATAATAAAGTACTGCAAAACAATTGGCAATTTTCAGTTATCAAAATTGTGAATTCTGCATTTTGTATCATTTCCTCAGTCAAGAACAAAATTCTTTTTGAATGTTATATAACATACATATAAAACAAAATAGAAAAATACATTATAAACTTGTAACAATGGCTGTAAATACATTATCTTACATGTTTCTCATAGGCTGTAGTAGTTGCTTATGGTATATATAGCATGAAATTACTAAGATAATAAAGAATAGACAAAAATATATGTCAACTGTATGATAACATACAAGCGACACTCCCATCTACCCACTCCAAAAAAATTACATAATACTTTTAGAAAAAAGTCTTAAAAACTACATATTTTAATGAGAAATAAATTCAAGAAATGATAATACTGAGAACCAAGGCGTTCAGAGATTTCAGAAGTCATGCTTTTTTTCAGTTGATCCAAAATTTTGTCAACTGAGTTTTCAAAAGTTTGCTCAGAGCCAACATTACCCATAAATGTCACACATTTATTATTTCATACATATCCTTTCTTCCCCCAAAAGTCCTCTGATAAACATCTAAAATGTCCATGTATAACATAGTTGAGATGAAACTGGATCAAATACTGGTATTGTTTTTAACAACTATCACTCAAGTGTCACGAATTTATTCAACCAACCAAACAATATAAAAATCAAAATGGCACAGCATATATTGTAAATAAATCTAAACTGTATGTGTAACAGAAAGACAAAGCAGTGGCTATTAAACCAAAGCTAGCTGGATACAAAACAGTGAATGTCTATTGCATAGTAGATTAAGTATTGGAATAAGTCTAAAGAAAAGAAAGTGCCTTATTTTCTTTCGCGGTCATTTAGTCAAGTGTCTCATAAAGATCTGCTCCTCCCTCAGAATACAAGTTAATGCATGTTACTCAGTCACCCAGTATGTGAAAGAAGATATGAGGGAGACAAATGAGTTGATGGTTTGAATTACATGATTTTTGCCACGTTACCTTGATGCAAATTTGCCAAATCTGATACTGTGAAAAGATTTGATTACTTTTCTAATGCCCGACTGGTAAGTTTTAAAACATCATCCTTTAAAAAAATCATAATTGAATAGTTTTGGTTGTTCCAGTCCTCAATGTTAGCCCAAAGGATTCTGAGATAAAAATTATGTGTGATCTGAACTTCAGTTTACAGACAAAATTAGAGCTTTGTTTTATTTGGAGAAGGGGGATGCATTCATTTTTTTAAATTTTGTTTTTAATTAATTGGAGATAATAGGATACCTAGCAAACGTTTTCACGAAAGTGAATCTTTGTGATTTTCATTCTGGAAAACAATGTTTTAAATCACCCAAATTTAATCAAATGTCTTTATATCATACCAGATAACTTACATAGTGCATCTCTTTACTGGTTTCAGTAACCTCTGCCTCCCCTGCCCCTTAACTTTAAAAGAATGTGAAAAACTAGCCTCATAGTGCATATAAATACTCAACCACATTTCTGCTTAAGTTTCTAATTTCTCAAGAAGTTCAGTTAGTTAGTTATGTAGTTGAAGCAATTTGTATGCAAAGCCTACATCTAAACACTTGAGTGAATAATCATTAACTGCTCAGTACCAGACGTGGCAATGCACAGTATAAACAACCGCTGAGAGACCTACTGCACTCAAGCAATGTGACTCCCGTTAGTGTTGGCCAGTTCCTCAGAAGTTGGGGGATCAATGCCATCTAATCAAGCCAAACAGAAGCAGTGCATTGGTTTCCGACAAACCATGTGAAAATTAGGGCAACTGACATTTGTATTGTAAGCAAGGCTGAATGGTCAGGAATGCTTATACATTAATAGAGATACTAAGATATTAATAGAGTTAACAAAACACAGACTGAATGAGATCACAGTAGTCTGGAATGTTGGCTTTAAACCAGTGGTTGAAGGTGACACAGAGAAAGGACGTAATTTGGTTGACTCTTTTTGATTCAAGGGCCTTGGAGGGCTGAGGTCCAAGCAGTGTCAGAGGCTTGATGAGGTCAATAAACTGCATGTTTGCTCAGTGTTCAAGTGGTATGGCCCTGAGCAGTGGACTCAGTGACAGTGGACTCCCCCCCAGCTTATCAACTCGTTCCTCTTCCACACCTTCCCAGCGTCACAGTCAGAGGTCAGCAGGAAGCCGAGTCAGTACCTTCTTGATGGCCTCCCCTGCCATCTTGTCTCACTTGGAAACCATTTTCAGTTCATTTACTATGTAACAGGCTTTTTAAAAAATGTCATCCCTCATAAAAAACTCTTTAAAAATCCTCAAAATACACTATAGCTCTTAAAAAGTCGGCATGAAGCATTTATTATGGAAAAAGTGGGGGCTTTGAAGACAGATAGATCTGGGTTTAAACTCCACTTCTGTTAATAGCTGTGTAAATGACCTCTCTGAACTTCACTTTCCTCGTTGGTAAGATGGTGGGTGAGGATGATATCTAATTTATATGGTTGGCTGAAATAATGTAGATAAGACATTGATCTCAGCAGAGATCAATACATGCTTATTTTCTTTCTGTTCTTGGCACTACAATATAGACTTTTCAAGTCTAGATGTAGAAATATATTTTTATACATTCATTTGCATCCATTCTTTCAACAGACAATTGTTGAGTAACCCCAATGGGCAAAAAGTATGGACATTTGGATGGCTACTGATTTGCAATAATGCAAATATGCAAATAATGCAAATCAGTATTTATGTACATTTGCATAAATACTAGAGTCTTTATGCAATGCACAGTATGAACAACTACTCAGAGACCTCAAGCAATGTGACTCCCATTAGTGTTGGCCAGTTCTTCAGAAGTTGGGGGATCAATGCCATCTAATCAAGCCAAACAGAAGCAGCACATTGCTTTCCCACAGACAGTGTGAAAATTAGGGCAACTGACATTTTTATTGTAGGCAAGATGAATGGTCAGGAATGCTTATACATTCATAGGGATACTAGAGTTAACAAAGCACAGACTGAATGAGATCACAGTGGTCTGGAATGTTGGCTTTAAACCAGTGGTTGAAGGTGACACAGAGAAAAGATGTAATTTGATTGACTCTTTTTGAATCAAGGGCCTTGGCAGGCTGAGGTCCAAGTAGTGTCAGAGGCTTGATGAAGTCAATAAACTGCATGTTTGCTCAGTGTTTAAGTGGTATGGCCCTGAGCAGCTGACACAGAGGCTTGAAGCTCTAAGTATTAGGGGCCTATATAATGAGTGTTCCAGCACCCCATGTCCAATGTACTCACAGAAGCTTGAGGATTCTAGGAGGTCAAGGCTTCACAGGGAATCAGAAGAAATATGGAACATTTGGGAACAAGTGGCAGTTGTCAGAGTTTTCCCTCTGTGATCCTGGGATTGGCTAGATCCTTGCTTGCCTAGCTCCAATGCTGTCCCAGCAGTGTGGGTTGCCTAGAAATCCTGGTACTCTGAGTAGTAAAGATGACAAGGTCTGGAAAAGGAGGGCTTTCTGATGGTAGCCTGCTGGATAGAATAAAGAGGTCACTTAAATAAGCTCTCCACTGCTGGGACATTTGGTTGCCATTTGCTTTCTTGACTTGAAGAAGGAAAATTGAACCAAATACATTCTTTAATTTGGAGCAAAGCAAGCCCTGAAGGGTTATTTCTCAGAATAAAGGTAGCCTGAAGGCTATTTGGCTTTGGTTTATACTTATTTATCTCATATACAAACCAAATTCCTAGACATAGGAAAAAAATGACTTTTACCCTGAAGCAACTGTTAACTATAGCAAGAAGAGTTACAAAAGCAAATTTTTAATTCTGGCACTGGTGTGAAATATATCCCTTGGATGTAGTGTCTTTATTCAATGCACAGCCTGAACAACTAGTCAAAGGCTTTGAATTTCTACCTAGTTGTTAATAGATTTGTGATCTAAATAATTTTGTTTTGAGGAAGAAGCAGAGCAACTGAGATTAACTATAGGATATCAATAACTACCTCCAATCTCCATCCCAAGCCCTAGACTTTTTTTTGCACAAGTCTCTTCTTTCCTCAAGATGTCCGAAACATATTGTTAAATCATGAAGGAATTGCCCTAACTTCTAATATTTAGGCATGATTTTCATATAACCTGTATAATGTCAGAGGGTCATTGTCATTTTTCTGGCTTCAGTCCTTCCCATTCAAAGGAGACTAAAAGCTTTTATATTTGTTCCAAGTAGAGCTGGATTTCCGCAAATCTAATTTCACTGACTCATAAACTGGTCCTTTTTGCTGCCTCACGTTAGCCAAGTTTTTCATTTCCTGCACTAGGTTTCTATGATTATTTTCTGTTTTTTTTTTTTTTTTTTTTTTTTTTTTGAGACAGAGTGTTACTCTGTCACCCAGGCTGGAGTGCAATGGTGCAATTTCAGCTCACTGCAACCTCTGCCTTCCGGGTTCAAGTGAATCTCCTGCCTCAGCCTTCCAAGTAGCTGGGATTACAGGTGTCCCCCTCCACACCCAGCTAATTTTTGTATTTTTAGTAGAGATGGGGTTTCACCATGTTGGCCAGGCTGGTCTCGAACTCCTGACCTCAGGTGATCCACCCGCGTTGGCCTCCCAAAGGGCTGGGATTACAGGCATGAGCCACTGTGTCCAGCCAATATTTTCTGTTTTTAATGATGTCCAAAGAGGCAGCTCTAACATAGTGTGCTAAATATAAACCCTGTTCTTGGTTACTGCCAATATCTATTCTATAAGTCATTTATCTCTTCAGAGGTCATTCTTGTCCTTGCTCACCACTGCACAAATGGCTGGGATCAGTGTCCTGCCATCTTGCACCAGTGCAGATCTTAGAGTATTTCACTCTTTTAAAATTATAGTTGTACGCCTTAGGGCACAAGTGAGTCCTGTCCTGGGTGGATTAATCTAAGAAGAATCTTCATTCCAGAAATGGTGGTACCTAAATCATCCCTTCGCTCCTACCTTACCCACTTTTCTCTGAATCTAATTAGTGTGACTTGACTCTCACTTTCCTTAGGATGAATTCTTTTCCTGGTTTGCTCTGTGTCCCTGCCCAAATCTCTTGCCAAATTGTAATCCCCAGTGTTGGACGTGGGGCCTGGTGGGAAGTGATTGAATTATGGGAGTGGATTTCCCCTTTGGTGCTGTCCTCATAACAATAAGTGCATTCTTGAGAGATCTGGTTGTTTAAAAGTGTGTAGCACCTGCCACCTCACTCTCTTTCTCCTGTTCCAGCCAATGTAAGATGTGCCTGCTTTCCCTTTGCCTTCTGCCATGATTGTAAGTTTTCTGAGGCCTCCCAATCCATGCTTCCTGTACAGCCTGCAGAACCATGAACCTATTAAACCTCTTTCCTTTATAAATTACCCAGTCTCAAGTAGTTCTTCATAGCAGTGCGAGAATGGACTAATACAGCCTCACCTTCTATAAATAACTCTCTGGTGTCCTGTCCCATTTCAACTAGTTCCTTACTGGAGCACAGGTTATGATACAGAAAATAAGAAAGAAGACCTTGAAAGAAAGAAAACTGGGAATCAAATCAATGTAGACAATATAAAAGCATATTTACCTTGGCCTGGGGGAGGGCGGATTGGAGGAGGGAGCTGGCAAAGGACAAGGGTCCTGAAAGCCACCGATGTTAGGCATGATAGAAGGAATATTGAATTATTTCCCCTGCCTCCAACTTATATTTAGTTAGCCTGTACTTAAACAAATAGGATGGAGAAACTGGCTTTAAATGCCTCCTTATCATAGCCAACAAAATGCTACTACTTCCTGATTGACCGCCTCCTTCATTATCCTCTGACTTTGTCTCCTCTCTCTAGCCCCCTCAATAACTCTGCTCTGGGTACACTGATCTGTTTTCTGTTGCTCAGGTATACCAAATATGCTATTTTCTCAAGGCCTTTGCATTTGCTTTTTTATTTCCTCCAGGTCTGTGTTCAAATACTGCCTTCTCAAGGAAGTCTTCCCTGACCACACCATCTAAATTAACACCCGCTTACTCTCCAGCTTACTTTACTCAACAGTGGATATCTGTCATGTATGATTTTCCCAAATATTTTGCATACCCCCTTCTCATTTTAGTAGTTTCCCATATTGCGAATCCAATGTAAACTCCAATTTTTCGAATGCAGAATTTAAAAAAAATCTGGAATTTCCAGCCCCCCTCACCAGAGGAGTGCGGATACCACTGATCAGATGGAAGGCTTTGATTTGGAAGGCAGCTGTGTGACAAGCAGGCTGAACATGGGCACTCCTTTTGCTAATGTAAGTGTCAGCAGGAGCCCCAAGCTTCCGTGCTGGCTGGAGCAAAAGCAGCCTTTGCCTGTGTCAAAGGCAGTGTGGTGTAAAGGTCAGTGGTGGCAGCAGCAGCTGCAGCTTCCTTTCAGATCAGTTTTATAGTATAGTTCTGGAGGTTTTCTGTGAGTTCTCCATCAGCTCTTGGATCCCTTCCTGCTGAGACAACTACTGGATACAGCCATCTGCATGTAGGACTCTGAGTGGTACAACATGCATTCATGCATTTATGTTTTTCTCATGGCATTCCACATATTATTTATTTGATTGTTTGCTTATTATCTACTAGAATGTGTCCCTAGTACCTAGAACAGTACCCAGTTCATAGCAGGTGCTCAGTAAATACTTGATGACTAGAAAAATGTGCTAAACATGACAGGATTTCTTTTGTCCTCTAGATATTTTAGCTATTGGTATTAGTAATATATCTTAGCAATATATCCAGTAGATATCCTAGTAGGTATCTGCCAATATATCTATATCCTAACAATATATCCAGTAGATATCCTAGTAGATATCCATGAGCAATCTAGAGAATGAAATATAGACAGAGAGTGCAAAATTAGAATGGATAATGATTGTGGAGTCACCAAACAAGTTCTGGACCAACTATCTCCTCTCTATCCTATCTTGCTTAAGCCAGAATTCCTTTGGGTTCCCTTTTATTTATAATAAAACTGATTCTGATATATGTATCCTTGGGTGAGTGATTCCAAATTTCTTTTGTTTACTCTTTTCTTGGGAAATTTTCTGTTCTACCGTGCAGTAACTCACTGCCGGAGCTTAAACTAGAAGCCATTGGCCTTCAATCCCAGCGTGGGTCCGCTTCTACTTCATCACATAGATTCTGTGGATGCCAAGGAAAGAAGTTCTTTTCTAGCCAGAGTAGAAAAGCCAGGAATTGTTGAAATTTTATTTCAGTTCTTTAGATATTAGGGACTTTGTATTATAACAAACTTAAGAGTCTCACGAATGCTTCATTAACTTTGGTTTTTAGTTAAATGAACCTTTCTCAGCAGGAGAGACATTACTTGTTTTATTTTCATTTGCCAGTTCTGTCCACTGAGCTCAACCTATTATTCTTTACTCCACAGTTTGCTGAGATTTTCTGATATCCCTTATACTAAAACCTATCTCTTAGAGTCCTTTCCAGACTCTAGAAAACTCCCTATGATGACACTAGTGTATTGTCAGAACATTTATTTTTTACATGCCAGATACCTCGCAGTTATTATTTCTAACTCTTGCAACCATCTGGAACAGTAGCACTATTATCATCTCCATTTTTAGAAGAGGAAATCAAGCCCTGGAGCCTTATTTGGAGTTACACAGTTCAAAAGTGGCTGAACTTGGATCCAAACCAGGCTCAAAATGACCCCGGAGCCAGTGTTCTTTCCACTTCTCTAGTTCTTTACCCTTCACTGAAATCTTGTTGGATACCGTTACAGTAGAAAGAATAAATATGGAATGAAAATTACAATGTAATTGCCAAATTGGCTGACTCCAGCATATACAGTCTTGGGAATGCATCTGTCTATAACATTTTTTCTTAACAGAATTTTTTGAAAACAGATTGGCAAATCCTCGCTAGCTAGCATGGGCCATCAGCCAGGATGTGGGAGTCACTTCATAAAATGAAATCTTATGTTAAAATAGTGTTTATTGAAATATGTTTTTCCCAGAGGGTTATGTTTTTAGTGAAGACACTCAATGGTAAATATTTAGACCTTACTCTCCTCTCTATTCTCCTTCTCCTCAGGTCCTTTCAGTTGGGCAATAGCATCACGGGAAGCCACAGGGGTGCAAAGTCTAGTGAAGCTAAGAGGGGCACAACTGGGGAGGATGGAGGGGAAAGAGGAACATTCACATGTTTTCAATTAGCAAAATACTTTTTTTTCATTGAATTAATATTTTATTTAACCCTCACATACCAAAATAAGCTAGGTTTCAAAAATCATGTTTTATAAAGGAGGAAGCTGATAGGCAGAGAGGTTAAGATCATAAAGTGATGGATGCAGTGAGTGATCAAGTTAGAATCTGAATTCAGAGTTGTCTCATCACAGAACTGATGCCCTTTGGTAGTATATCATGTTTCCTTTCATGAGCAGTAATGTTAATAGTATCAGATGTTTTTATCCTGCTTTGTGTTTTGCATATATTCTCTCATTTATTTTCATAATAATCCCATCAGGTGCTTGTGACAGTAAATTTTGTGTGTCAATTTGGCTAGGCTATGGTACACAGATATTTAGTCAAACATTATTCTAGATGTTTCCATGAAAGTATTTTTAGATGAGATTAATATTTAAATTGGTAGATTTTGAGTAAAGCAGATTACCCTCCATAATGTGAATGGGCCTCATCCAATCAGATGAAGGCCTTAAGAGAAAAAGATCGACTCCCACTAATAAGAAGGAATTCTGCCAGCTGTTTGCCTGTGGACCCACACTGAAACTCTTCCCCGACTCTCCAGCCTGCCGGCCTACCCTGCAGATTTTAGACTTGTCAAGCTTCTAAAATTGCAGGAGATAATTCCTTAAAATAAATCTCTCTCTGTATATCCATCCTATTGGTTCTCTTTCTCTGGTGAACTCTAATACAACAGTTATTGTCATCACCCCTTTTATGGATTAATAGACAGGTTCAGAGAGGTTTAATACTTGCCTTCGAAACTGCTGAACTATCCAAGGTGACACAGCTAATGACTGGAGGACCTGATACTCAAAATCAGTTTACTTGTCTTCAAGTCTTTCTTTTTCTGCCTTGTTAGAAATTATTCTTTACCTCCTGCAGTTCTAGAGCTCAGAAGTCTGAAATCAGTTTCACTGGGCTAAAGTCAAAGTGTCAGCAGGGCTTTTTAAGGCTCTGAGGGGGAGGATTTGTTTCCTTGCCCTTCTCAGCTTCTTGTGGCTGCCTGTGTCCCTCTGCTTGTGACTTCTGTCTCCATCTTCAAAGCGTACCGTTCCGATCTTTGCTTCCCGTAGCACCTGGCCTGTCTTCTGTAGTCAGAAAGTCATCTCCTTCTGCGCCCCTCTTATAAGGACTTTTGTGATTACATTTAAGGCTCACCTGGATAATCTGGGCTGCTCTCCCCAACTCAAGATCCTTAAATTAATCACATCTGCAAAATCTCATTTGCTCTATAAGGCAACATTCACAGGTTCCAGGGATTACAATGTGGGTCTCTATAGGAGCCATTATTCAGCCTACTACACTTAGCTTTGTCTTTTTTATTTTAAAATCATACATAATTTAATTTGATTACACAAATATGCTTACTTCTTTATCTTCTCGTTTACTTTACTAATTCTGTTATGAAGTAGATTCAAATGAGAGCTTTGAAAAGAAATGATTTAAAATACTGGAACAAAGACTAGAATTATTGAATTAAAATAAACACATTATATCCGCTTTAAAAAAGCTATGACTCAGAATCCATAGATATCCTCAAAGCGATTTACATGAACTCTTCTCCCTTAGAGAAAATTTATCAAATCTATTAATCGATTACCAAGGTGACTGATTTGAGTAGCATATTTATGTACTTCTTTTCTGTTTAGGAGAATGACCAAAATGTAGGGCTCAGGTAGAAGAGGAAGCAGAGGTGAATTTTAATCTTCAGATTGTGTAATCAGTTCCCAGATGACTGAGAGCTGGCTTGTAAGTTCGATATATCTATGTAGAAAACTCACTTTGCTCCAGTGGGTTCTTATTTCCTTGTCCCAAAGAAACCCCCAGGGCCTCATTTGGTTAGATTTCATGCTACTAAAGCAAGTTTTCTAGTGTCAGCAGCTTATTTCCTCGCCTTCAGCAGCCTCCTGTGACATTGAGATTCATGCCTCAGCCCACCTGATCTGTGTAGTGACAAGAGAGCTTAAGCTCTGTGGTCAGACAGACCCACATTTGAATCCCAAATCCACTACTTAGTATGTGGTGCCCTTGAACTTAGTGCAAAGCTTTAATTCTCCATCAGCAGAGTGAGGCTAATATCTTTCACACATAGAGGTTGACTGGATTAAATGCAAACAGAGTGTTTATACTGATATCGCCTATCCCTCTTTGCATCCCCTTGGCAGCCATTCACCTTTGATTTACTACTACACCCACTACAGGGACAGGCAGAATGAAAAGATCCAGACTTCCCGTGTTAGAAGCAGACCTGACAGTGCTTCTAACTGTGCCTTTGCAGAGACAATCCTAGTAATACTAAAAGGTGAGTGTGAGGGCCTCCCCTCTTCTTCCCTAACAGAGCCCCAATTGTGTCCTGATGGCAGGCAGCTCTGTGCACCTTGCAGAGGGTGCTGCCTGACTAGTCTAAGCCAGTCATAATCATTACAGTCCTCTTTGCTGGTGACTAGCTCTGGGCTGACTCTGATTTTTTTCTGGTAGATGAGACATAAGAAAATAGAAGTTTTCTGAGGAAATTCAGGGAATGATTTCCTTCCAGGATTTTTAAAATTGGCTTCAATTCACTCCCTTGGCAAGAGAGTGAGGAATTCCCTCTCTAGGGATATAAAGACAGCTGGGCAGGTGAGATTTGCAGCAGTTTATTGGCCACATATACTCATAGCTCTAGGGGAGGAGGAGGGGAGTGGAGGGGAGCCCATGCCACACATGGCCACATGGGAAGGTGTTGCATTTGGGACCACGGCGAACAGCTAGGGGTAGTAGGGGGCAGGCTTTGTCATATCAACAGGATGTGGTTCTCCCCTGGTTCCTGAGGGGGTATGTGACGGGCTTGTTTGAATAATCCTGTGGGCTGTCAGGGAACTGAAACCTGATACTCAAGCGTGAATAGGAGCTGTGTCTGGTCACCTTGATAAGGAGGGTCTTTTCGCTAGGGGACCTTATCTGTGGGAGCAGAGTGGGGAGGAAGAATTTTAGTTGGGCCATAGGAGGCTCTAACATTTTCATGAGATGTCAAACCAATACATAATATTTGGCCTTTATTTTAGTCCTTACACCTTCCATTATACTGAGAGTCGAGGAAAGGGGGAAGGTGGAGAGAGAGAGAAAACGGACTTTTCTTTTCTCTTTGGCTATCATCTTGTGTGAACATGATGATTATAGTTAGAAGCATAACATCAATTTTGCAACTATGAAGAGACACTTTGCAAGCATTCCAAAGAGAGTAGAGAAAAAAGAAAGAACAAGCCTAGGTCCCCGATTGTTCTTTGAAGGGCTGGATTTCCCTAAAACTTTCTACTACCAGACTTGGTTTATATGACTTACTAAACTCCTATTGTTGAACTACTTTTAGTCTGTTATTCTTCCAGTTGTAGCTGAAGCATCCTGATGGGGAAGGCTAGATGTTCTTACTATTGGTAAGGGAACAGCTTTCCTGTAATTTTATATGTGTAATGTCTTTCCTGTGGCTAATATGGTTATTCATATTACATTAAGTTATGGTTATGCTATAAGAGTGGTTGGTGTAACCGTTTTGAGCGAGAGTGAAGTACTGGGATAATCAGAGAGAAAACTCCAATGAGAGGCTGTTGAGTCCCTTGGCCTGCTTTCCTGCCTTACAAAGAGAATATTACTTTTATATTACTCTTAAGCATAATTTTAACAAAATTTAAGCCAATGCTAATTCGTCAATCCCTAAAGTATAAGTTTATAATTTAAATTCATATACTTTATATTATAGCCACAGGTTACCCAATACCCTCAGGTTGCCTTGTGACCTGCAGGAAGATGGAGCTACCATGTATCATTTAAAAAAAATCCATTTTGCCATCTATGGAAAATCTACAATTAACATGAAGTATCTGCCTTAGAAACATGACAAGATAAGCCAAAATAAAATAAGGACCATGTTATAGAATAATGGAGAATATTCAAGATATCATGTTCTGATTTCTATCTTCTTTGCCTCTATATACTTAACAAAAATCAACAACAAAAAGAAAAAGGAGGATCAGGAAAAAATAACTAATGAATACTAGGCTTAATACCTAGATGATGAAATAATCTGTACAATAAACCCCCTTGACACACATTACTTATGTAACAAACCTGAACATCCTGGACATGTACCCCTGAACCTAAATTAAAAGGTAAAAAAAGACAAAGGAAATGATATTGCACTTTTCTTTTGGAGAAAAGTTGAATAATTTTGTTAAAATGATATTACGAAGTGATTTTATTTGCTTAAACCTTGCCTCAAATTATTTCTGAGCTTTTAAATGTTCCATGATGTTGTTTTGAAATTTGCCTATATATATAAAAACTTCTGTAATAAAATATTTAAAATTATTCCAATATATTCTCAATAAACCTCAAGGAAACTAACAAGACAACAGTGTTAGGTATTGGCATGCAATTTTCAAAATAATCCCAATATAATACTTTTTCTAGTAAAGCAATAAAAGTTACTGGGTTTTGGGGATTGAAAAAACTCTCATGAATTTATATTTAATAAAAATTTTATACTTTTTTGATAAAAAATAAAATGATTGTAAAATGATAAAACCGTTCAATTTTTGATGCTAGAACTCTGGTAGGCCAAGAAAGAACAGCTTTTCCTAATTCTATTGACTCTTTACCTTCTCAAAGGCTCAAGAAGACCAGACGTCCACAGCCTCCGAGGGCCACTCACCACATTAGATATCTGCACAAAGCCAGAAGTTATCCCCACGCTACCTGTGACCAAGTCTTACACGTGGCTCTCAGCCCCCTTGGCTGCTCTTCTTCACTTGGCATCTGAATAGCAGTGGCCAATGAATGAAGGGTCTTGTATACCATGCTAAGGACCTCTCAGTTCTGCATGTAATCGGGAATCCATTAAGGATTTTTAAGCTGGACGGTGGTGCTTCCAATAGCTTTATGGCAGTGCTTCCAATAGCTTTACGGCGGGACCACCGTAGTGAAGAGTATGTTAGAGGGGATGGAAGAGCGGAGCTACTGGGGAGGTAGTTACCATGATCAAGAGAAACAGAATAAACACCTGGGCTCCATCAGCGTCACCACAGATGCAAAGATATGCAGGCAGGCAAAATTGAAAGACCCCAAGTAGATACACTGAGGAGGAAGAGGGAAACAGGACAGTGACAGGGCTAAGGGAAGCTAGTTAGAATTGTGCTTACTGTTAAATGAAATGAACTCTAATGTCTGAGATTCTCCGTAATTAGAAAACAACGACCCAGAGCCTGGACCAAAGGCTTGCAGCATTGATTCTGGCTTCCCTGAAGAGATTATACTCTATGGTTCCTTTGCTGTTGTTGCTGTTTTTATTACATTTTTTGTTTTTTGTTTTTAACTGTGTTTCAGATAGTTATGGTGTCGAGATAAGTGACCTCTTGATTATGTATTACAGTGACGTATGTATGTTGAATAAAAAGTGAGATATGTTACTTTCTATTGTAAACTCACAAAGGTCATGGATCAGGATGAATTTTCTAGAGCTCATTTTAGGTACTCAACAAACCATAAAAACGATCACATTTTCCCATAGAAGACTTTGTTAGAGGATAAAATACCACCATAATCTAAAGGATTTTCTCTTCCAGGAAAAGCATCTAAATAAAATTAGAAAGATACAAAGGAAAGCATATTATATTATAATATCAGTTATAGCCTGAAAAATGAAAATATGATAATGGATACAATTCATTTATTTTTCAACAATTACTTATGAACACTGTTAACCAATGCATTCTTTTTTTTTTTTTTTTAGACAGGGTCTTGCTCTATTGACCAGGCTGGAGTGCAGTGGCATGATCATGGTTCACTGCAGCCTTGACCTTCCTGGCTCAAGAGATCCTTCCACCTCAGTCTCCCAAGCTGCTGGGACTACAGGCATGTACTACTGTGCCTGGCTAATCAATTTTTTTTTTTTTTGTAGAGACAGGGGTCTCTGTGTTGCCAAGGCTGGTCTTGAACTCCTGGGCTCAAATGATCCTCCAACCTTAGCCTCCCAAAATGCTGAGATTATAGGAATGAGCCACCAGGCCTGGCCATTATAAATATATTTTATAAGCAAAGCACAACATTAATTAAAATGATAATTACCTTGATTTGCTAAAAAAAGACATTGTTATCTGAGAGGAGGAAAAAATTATTGAGGGAGGGATAAACTGTTTTATTAATAAGTCAAAAAGTATATGCAATCCAAATGTTGATTTCTGAAATAAAACAGACTAAATTTTAAAAACAAGAATTTCTATACATCAGCAATTCCAGTCATTGTTTACAACATAACATAGTGTCTTCACTTTCCAAATGAGATATTTGGGAAAATCTTAAAAAATATAAACAGTAAATTTATTTAAAGTAACAATTATGCCAGAGGACATTTGGAGGCAAAGGGATGCTGCTGGGAAATCAGACACTGACCATATTTTGAAATTCTAGAAAAACTAGGAATTCACCTGGGCACAAATTGAAGGTGAGGCTTTACTAGTGCAGAAATAATTGATTATACTTATCATCTGGGACACACTTTGCAAGAGTTATACTTTGGGGTAATTGGAAGTAGACACAAAGAATTAGGTAAACATTCCTGCATTGCCATCTTTTTTTTAGCTGTGTCACCTTTGGCAAGTTATTTAATTTCTCTATGCCTCAGTTTCTCCACTTGTAAAATGGGCTGTAATTCATACTTACTTTCCAAGATCATGACTAACATTAGAAAGTGTGTTAAAAGCCCCCAGTGTGTGTGAACTCTTGCTCAATAGTAGCTCTTCTAATTAAGTTGCAATTACTGTTTTAAGACCAGGTGCAATAATTAGAAAAATCATTTCGGTAATCCTCTCATAGTCTTTTGTTTTTACATGAATCATGAACACCGAAACTTTCCTAAGGATTTAAAAATATGGGAATGAAAAAAGTGCTTTAAAAATTAGTGTGCTTCAATATTTTATGTAAGAAAATATTAGAATGCTACACTTGTTAACTTGATCACATTATTAATTAGAATTCAAATAAGCTTTAAATACCCATAAAACCTACAGTATAAAAATCTGACCAGTTCAGCATAATTAGTAGTAAATTATCTTACTTGTTGGGGCAAGATGAGGCAAATGCCATTTATTTTAACTTGCACTTAGGCATCTTTTTATGGAATTTTATGTGCAAAAGTAAATTTGTCATGTGTACGGGAAATGGAGCTAAAGAAAATGAGTCATTACAATCAAGGATGAGGAAGAAAATATTCAGGACATTGGCAAATATCGCTTGGCCACACTAAGCTAAGTTCTCTAAAGAGAATAAAGTTCTAATTGCCCAAGAGACTGCTTTTCTGCCTGGAAACATTTATTGCTTGGTCCACAAACTTCTTGTGATTTACATTCTTGATGAAAATATTTTATCATAGGATTGGATTTCTCTGACATCTATTTAAATTATTTTATATTCTCATGCTGGTTCAAATCCAGTTACCTACTTACCTAATATTTTGTGGTTATCAGAGTCATGCATATAGAAATATATCTAAGATTGATAATGAATTTTCCACCTTTACACAACAATCCCCTCCCAACACCATATTTGCTTTAGGGCTACAAATTAATGTTGAGGCACTGAAAACACTATGTGACTGTAAATGAGGCAAAAATAAATCCCTTTTGTAAAAATAAAAGCCAATACATCTCAGAAAATAAATAGAAATGAAGACATTGAGGTGATGAAAATTTTGAGACACAGTAAAAATAGATTGTAAGGCCATATATTAGCAATAAATTGGCTACTGTATGGCAATTCAGTATTCCCGCAAGGATCCCCAGTATATTTCTCTGTATATGTAGAATTATTCTGTCTTAAGAAAAGAGAATAGTTCTTCTTTTTATGACTCTGATCATTTTCAATATGAAAATGATTCTGATCATCTTCAATCTAGGCAAATAGCAACAGAAAATTATCAGAAAATCTACAGCAATTCAGAAGAAAACAAAAACTATTTAGGTGATGAAAACTGATTTGCATAAATGGACAGATGAAGAAAATGTTCATCAAGAAAAACATGTCTCCATTGATATTACCATTGCAGAGTAACGTTCTTCAAGATGTACACTGCCAGGTGATGAAGGTGAACAGCACAATGTCTAGGCTACAGAGATACTTGTCTTTTGAGTAAGAAAGTTTACCTCTCTAAATTAAAAAAAAATAGATTTAGGGAGTAAAAGTACTTTTTAAAAAAATGTAGACTTATTGTGTAGTGGTGAAGTCTGGGCTCTTAGTGCAACCATCACCTGAATGATATACATTGTACCCAATGGGTAATTTCTCGCCCCTCACTCCCCTCCCAACTTCTCACATTTTGGTTTCCAATGTCTATAATGCCACTCTGTTTTTCCACGTGTAAAAGTTGTTTAGTTTCCACTTGCAAGTGAGAACATATGGTATTTGACTTTCCGTTTCTGAGTTATTTCACTTAAGATAATGGCCTCCAGTTCCATCCATGTTGCTGCAAAAGACATGATTTCATTCTTTTTTATGACTGTGTAGTATTCCATGGTGCATATATACCGTATTTTGTTTATCCAACCATCTATTGATGGCCACTGAGGTTAATTCCTTGACTTTGCTATTGGGAATAGTGCTGCAATAAGCATACAAGTGCATGGGTCTTTTTTAATACGATGATTTCTTTTCCTTTGAGTAGATTTTTAGAAGTGGGATTGCTGAATAAAATGGTAGTTCTATTTTTAGTTCTTTGCGAAATCTTCATACTGTTTTCCATAAAGATTGTACTAATTTACATTTTGACCAACAGTATTTAAGTTTTTCCTTTTTTCTGTATCCTCACCAACAACTGTTGTTTTTTAATTTTTAATAATAGCCATTCTGACTGATGTAAAATGGTATCTCATTGTGGTTCTAATTTGCATTCCTCTGATGATTAGGGATGTTAATTTTTTTTAATGTTTATTGGCCATTTGTATGTCTTCTTTTGAAAAATGTTCATTTATGTCCTTTTTCCTGGGCTTGTTTTTTTCTTTTTTTCTTTTCACATAGAGAGGGGAGCAAAGTTACATTTTTATTTTCCTCTCGTTTAGTTGTTTGAGCTCTTTGTAGATTTTGGATATAGGCTCTTTGTTGGATGCGTAGTTTGCAGATATTTTCTCCCATTCTTTGGGTAGTCTGTTTCCTCTATTGGTTGCTTCTTTGCTGTGCAGAGCTTTTTAGTTTAATTAAATCAAATTTCTCTGTTTTTGTTTTTGTTGCATTTGCTTTTGAGGTCTTAGTCATAAATTCTTTGCCTAGACCTTCATCCAGAAGAAGTTTCTTCTAGAATTTTTATAGTTTTAGGTCATAAATTTAAGCGTGTAATCTACCTTGAGTTGGTTTTTGTATGTGGTGTGAGATAAGGGTCCAGTTTTATTTATTTATTTATTTACTTATTTTTTGAGACGGAGTCTCGCTCATGCAGTGGCGCGATCTTGGCTCACTGCAAGTTCTGCCTCCCGGGTTCACACCATTCTCCTGCCTCAGCCTCCTGAGTAGCTGGGATTACAGGCACCAGCCACCACACCTGGCTAATTTTTTGTAATTTTAGTAGAGATGGGGTTTCACCATGTTAGCCAGGATGTTCTCTATCTCCTCACCTCGTGATCCACCCGCCTCGGCCTTCCAAAGTGCTGGGATTCAGTTTTATTCTTCTACCTATGGCAATCCAATTTTCTCAGCCCCGTTTATTAAAAAGGGTATTCTTTCCCCAGTGTACATTTTTGACAACTTTGTTGACGATAAGTTGCTTGTAGGTATGTGGCTTTTTTTCTGGTTTCTCTATTCTGTTCCATTGATCTATGTGTCTATTTTAATACCAGTGCCATGCTGTTTTGCTTAGTATAGCCTTGTATAATTTGAAGTCACGTAATGTGATGCCTCAAGCTTTGCTCCTTTTGCTTTGGATTTCTTTGGCTATTTGGACTCTTTTGGTTCCATGTGAATTTTAGGATTTTTTTTTCTAATTCTGAAAAAAATGACATTGGTAATTTCATAGGAATTGTACTGAATCCGTAGATTACTTTGGGCATTATGGTCCTTTTAACAATATTGATTCTTTCAATCCATGAGCATGGAATGTTTTTCCATTTGTTTGTGTCATTTACAATTTCTTTCATCAGTGTTTTGTAGTTCTCCTTGTAAAGATCTTTCTTCTTGGTTAAATATATTTCTAGCTAGTTTATTTTTTGTAGCTATTGTAAATGGGATTGAGTTCTTGATTTAGTTCTCAGCTTGATTATTTTTGGTATATAGAAATGCTACTGGTTTTTACACATTGGTTTTGTATCCTGAAACTTTACAGAAGTCATTTCTCAAATCTAGAAGTATTTCGGAATAGTTTTTAGAGTTTTCTAGGTAAAAGATCATGTCATCAGCAAACAGGGATAATTCAACCTCTTCTTTTCTGATTTGGATACTTTTTTTTTCTCCTGTCTGATTGCTTTAGATAGGACTCTCAGTACAATGTTGAACAAGAGTGATGAAAGCAAACATCCTCATCTTCTTTCAGTTTTCATGGAGAACACTTTCAACTCTTCCCCATTTGGTATTATGTTGGCTGTGGGTTTGTCATATATGGCGTTTATTATGTTGAGGTATGGTCCTTCTATGCCTAGTTTGTTGAGTTTTAATCATAAAGAAATGAAAAATTTTACCAAATACTTTTCTTAATCTATTAAGATGATCAAATGGTTTTTGTTTTTAATTCTGTTTATGTGGTGAATCACATTTTTGATTTGCATATGTTGAACCATACTTGTATCCCTGGAATAAAACTCGTTTGATCATGGCATATTATCTTTTTAATTTGCTGTTGGGTTAGATTTGCTAGTATTTTGTTGAGAACTTTTACATCTATGTTCATCAGGCATATTGGCCTGTAATTTTCTTTTTTTGTGTGTGTCCTTGCCTGGTTTTGGTATCAGGGTGATACTGGCTTTATAGTATGAGTTAAGGAGGATTCCTTCCTCCTTGATTTTTTGAAAGAGTTTTAGTAGGAATGGCACCTGTTAGTCTTTGTACATCTGGTAGAATTTAACTGTGAATCTGTCTGTTTTAGGCTTCTTTTCATTGGGATATTTTTTATTATCAATTCAATCTCACTACTCATTATTGATTATTTCAGGATATCTATTAATATTTCTTTTTGGTTCAGTCTTGAGAGGTTTTATGTTTCCAGGAATTTATCTATTTCCTCTAGGTTTTCTAGTTTGTGTGCATTGAGATACTCATAGTAGTCTCTGATGATCTTTTGTATTTCTTGGTATGAGTTGTAATGTTTCCTTTATCATTTCTGATTGTGCTTATTTAAATATTTTCTCTTTTTTTCTTGGCTAATCTAGCTAGCAGTCTATTGATTTTGTTTATCTATTCAAAGAACTAATGTATCTCCCAGGAGCTCTCCGAGTTTCTTGTATCTGGATATCTAAATCTCTAGCAAAACCAAAAAAGTTTTCAATTATTTCCTCAAATAGGTTTTTCAGGTTTTTCTCTTTTCCCTCAGGAATACTTGTGACTCATAGGTTTGTATGCTTTGCATAACCTCATATTTCTTGAAGGTTTTTTTTATTGTTTAAAATTCTTTTTCATTTTTGTTTGACTGGGTTAATTTGAGAGACCTGTTTTCAAGCTCCGAAGTTTTTTATTCTGCTTGATCTGGTCTTTTGTTAAACTTTCAACTATATCTTGTAATTCCTTCAATAAATTTTTCACTTTTAGAAGTTCTGTTATTAAAAAATATGTATCTCTTTAGTAAATTTTTATTCATATCCTGAATTGTTTTTCTGGTTTCTTTGTGTTGGTTTCCAACTTTTTTTTGGATCTCATTGAGCATCCTTATAATTCATATTTTAAATTCTGTATTTGGCATTTCAGAATATTCATTTGATTAGGATCCATTGCTATAGAGCTAGTGTGATCTGTAGGGGTTGTTGTAACACCCTGTGTTTTCATATTGCCAGAATTCTTACACTGGTTCTTTCTCATTTGTGGAATCTTTCATTTCTTACTTTTGAATTTACTTTCATTTGGATGGGACTTTTTTCCCCCTTGAGAGTGTGATTGTAATGTATATTGAGTAGGGTCATTTGGCTTTGCTTCTGGGTGCTTTCATGGGGCCAAGGATCTGTTTGAATTCCTTAGTTATAGATAGCCTTAGTGTGGTGGTTTTCCAAGATTCTGGTTGTAGTAGTGGTGTACTGGGCATGTGAGCAGGCTCACTGCCTCCTGCAGAGACAACGAGGCAGAGGTCTTTGTAGGCTTACTTCGTTCCCCAGTGCCATGCACTTCTGTCAGCACTTATTGTATTGGGTCATGCAGTTCAACCTCTAGGCCAGTAGGTGGTGCTTGGGGGTAAAAGCTGGCTGAGCACTTGTAATTGTGCCAGCAGATGTTGTAATGGGCTCTGCAGGTTGACCTCTGGGGTTGTAGGTGGCACTTACAGGAGAGAAGCAGCTATGGCGGTGGCAATAGGATTTATGTTTGGCCTTTGTTCAAACCAGGAGAAGTATTCGGATGTCTCAGGCAATGGGTGGGCTGTCTGTCCGGTGTTCTACCACTAGGCAGATGGGAGGAGCAAAGCCAGATGGGGCTGTGTTGGGCAAGCCCGTGTCCAGGCTCCCTGTGACAGGCACAAGTGCTGGCTCCAACAGGGGTTAGGTGGCAGCTGTCTTGCAACTGGGACAATTTTTCAGGCTGGTGGAGGCACCTCTACCACGCGAAAGCACCTGCTGAGGAGAGGGGGGATTTGGGGGGAAAGGGACAGCTGGGATTCCACAGCTCACTAGTGGGTGGTAGCACCCATCCAGCTCTCACAGCCTAATCCAGCAGTTCTCCCACTAGCATTTGGCCACTGGCAGCAGGCCGCGACAGCCAGTCCTGTCCCAAGCAGTCTGCCGTTCAGATTGCAAAGCTTCCCCAGGCCCTGAGGTTCCCTGCCCAAGACAGAAGATGCACCCCATGGCACACCCTTCCTGGATCAGTCTCACATAGGATGAGGTGCCCAGCTCCTGCACCGCGGCATGAACACATGCCACACTCTCTTCTTAATTCTGATGGTGGGATCTCCTCCTCCACTCAAGATTAGATTGACAATATCATCCCTTGGCCCCTGGACAGCTTGAGTCCTGGAGTGGGGGGATGTAATCAGGCCAGTGAACTCGTCCTCAGGCCTCCTGGATTCAGGTGCTGGCTGAGATAGGGAAGGGCCAGCTGGTCCCAGATTTCCAGCAGAATACGCAGTCCTGGCAATGGTGGTTGCTGCAGCCTTGCCACCAGGAAAGGCAGGCCCCTTTCTACAGAACAGCCAGGCAAGCAGCTTTGTGGAAGGCAGGCAGGTGTTGATTGTGTGGGTTCACAGCAGTGGCAGGAGTATTTGTCCTTGGTGCATGTGAGAGTGCCCAGCATCTCTTCTCACTCCCTGGCCCAGCAGCCAGCAGGGGCAATAGCAGCCCTAGTACACATACTGAGCCTTGGGGAATGGGCTCCTACAATGGCGCTGTGCTGCAGCTACCCAGTACTCAGAAGCCCGTGGGCTCCACCACGTGAGTTTGAGCAATGCCTCTGCACAATCTCCAGGCAGCTTTCTATGCCAGTCTGGAGGCAGGAGGGTCGATGGGCTCTCCTGTAGCGGCCGTGGAGAGAATGTGGAGCCCCATGGGTCTCTCACTTAGCCCTTCCCTGGGTCTGAGAGCTGCTGCCTTTTAAAATTTACTTAGATGATCTTGACCTCGAAATATATAATCAATGCTATTCTCTTCCATGCTCAAAAAGGCTTTCTTTTGTATACACTCCTTCCATATTAGGTAGGCACTGGAAATTAGGACAAAACTCTTGTTTCACATCTCTTTCGAGGAATATAAAGGCCTGTAATTGGATGAATGCAGCCCAGTATATACAGTGACTTGGATCAACTCTCACATGGGATTGAAGGGGAAGAAAACAAAGAAGATTGTGTATCTACTACACACCAGGAAATAGAAAAGCAGGAAAATTGCCTCAATGTCTGAAACTGAAATTGGTATTATGGTGTGACTGACTCTATGACTGGCAGTGATTAATTTTAGAAAGAGATAGAAACAGGTAAATGTTCTTCATTAGACAAAGTATTCTATTTTTTATAATAGAACTTTCATCTGTAGTTATTCCTTCACTTTATTCTCCCTCAGAAATGGTGTCTTTGTAAGCAAGGATGGTAGCTTGTACATTCTTCCATTTGAAGACTTACAATGCTTTTGTGTAGTTCAAGAGTCATTCTTGTTGGATTTGGGGCTAAATAAGAGTTAGACTCTGAGATTCTCCTGTATTCTTACATTTTTAAATTCAGAGATATAAGGTGAAGAACTAGTAGGATAGTGTTGTTCTTTTCTCTTCCTTTAAAATCAAATCTAGGGAATTGTTTTATTCCTATTATATTTATATTTTCCCAATTCTTCAAGGAATTGTAGCTCTGCATTGGTGTTTCTGCCTTTGAGAAAGCATATGCCTCTTCCGTCTTCAGCAGTCTTCACCAGTCAGACTTGCTAGAGATTCTGGGAGCCTCTCAAACATTTTCTTTGGGTGTGCATACTCCATTCTTCTTTTTCTTTCCTGGGAGAGAAGTCTGAGGATTGTGTGTTTTTTTGCAATCCCACAAAGCTATTTGGGACACAGTAAAACTCCCACCTTTTTCTCTAGGGCAGTGTGATGAAACGATGGGACATTGAGTGCCAGACTTACTTCTTTTTCTTCCTCATCAAGGAGAAGCCTCAGGATTGTGAACCTTCTCTTCATTCTGTAACACCATGCAGGCTTCAGAGATTGGCTCACATCCTCTTTTCTTTTCTTTTCTTTTTTTTTTTTTTTCTGCAGGAGTGTACCGGAACACCAGGAAGCTGGGTGCAAAATCAAAGCAACTCTTCCCATTTTATTTTTTAATTTTAATTTTGTAGAGATGAGGTTTCTCTATATTGCCCTGGCTGGTCTCAAGCTCCTGAGCTCAAGCAATCCTCCCACCTCCGCCTCCCAACGACTTCTCATTTTGAAGTTTTTGATGTAAGGACCCCATTAAGTGGAATTAAATAAAAACATATTTTAAGAAAAAGTAGAAGAGACAATGGTATAAAGGTTTAAGAAACACACACACACATATGGACATATTGAACTGCATTAGTATGTTTAAAAAATGTATTTTGACCTATTTCAAACAAATCACACTCTGATAACTTTAGAGATTTCTAGGCCTAATTTCTGTGTCATTATAGCAATTGAAGATTCTAATATTCACATAGCTGTTGTCATCTTGTCAAATTGGATTTTGTTTAAGAATGTCTGGGAAATTCTCGCTTCTGCACTTAGTAATAGGCCAACAATCAGGGAATCTTGGCTCAGAGGTTGAAATCTCAAGGGTTCAGAAAGAAAGTGGTAAAGAATTAAATATGAATAACATTATGTCTGATGCACCTTTCCTGGAAGGGTGATGGTGCAGAATCTTTGTTGTAAAATTTTAAAGGCTTTCTTAAGAGTTAAAAATTACTTTCTGTTCAACATGTTATGTTTTCTAAGTGAAAATTCAGTAGGTGCTATCCGAACTTTTTTAACTGGACTACCTAGAACAAAATTGTTTATTTTACTACTTAGAAGGTGTAAAAGTGCTGAATCCTCAATTTTCAAATTTGTTGATTTACTAAATCAATATTTATTAAACATAAACTGTATAGAGAAGTACTGGTACAGACATTGCCTACATAGCAGTTAACAAAATGCACACAATCCCTGTCCTTGTGAATCTCACTTTCTAATGTGAGGGTAGTTGGAACAGATACTAATCAATATAAATACATAAAATATATGGCATGTTTATGTAACATAAAGCAAAGAAGGAGAATAGGAAGTGCTGGGTGTGTGGTGAAGTGCTGGGTATGGATACATGGAGGGATGCTGGACATGGCCAGGCTAGAGTGGTCAAAGAGGCCCTCCCAAGAAGATGATACTTGAGTAATACCTGAAGAAAGAAATAGAGTGAGCCATGTGATTGTTTGGGGGAAGAACATTCCAGGCAGAGAAAAAACAAGAGGTGGGATTGTGCATGGTAAGAGCAGTTTGGCTAGATAAATGTGAGCAAGGAGTAGAATGATAGGAGCCTGGTTTGGGGAATTCACATATGACATAGGACCTTGGATAACACTGAAGGGGCCACAGCTTTTACCCAAGAAGCCCCTGGAAGTTTTGAATGGAGAAGCTACAGAATCTACTTTATAACATTAAAAAAAGATGACTGTGGATCCTGTGCTCATAAGAGAATATAATCTATAGTGAAGTCTCCTTGTCTAAACTCTATATGGTTATTAAGTTCTGTAAGTTTCAGGGAAGTTGGCAGCTGAGCAGTGGGCTTAGGGAAGACACAGATCCACCCATGTCATGTACTACTATGGATTCTTCTGAGTTCATGAGACATGAAATCAAAGATTCAGCTTAAGGTTATTGACAGAGTTTGTCATGTACCTATTTGCCACTCAAAAGTTTCTTCCCATAAATCTTAGGTGAAAACAGCACAACAAGAAGGGATGACAGGCTTTAGAATTAGACGGAGCTGCCTATAATCTTTTTTCATTTACTAGCTATGGTATCTTTGTCAAATTATCTCACCTGTGGGAATGGAGAAAATATTGCCCCTCTCATGGAACTGTTATAAGGATATGCACACACACACAAACACGCACCACACAAACGTATGCTATTGCCCAGCTAGTGACTGATACAAAGTAGGCAAGCAACAGACATTAATTTCTTTCCTTCTTTGTTGGCCTTTTGAAACTAATCACCCCTCTGCCTTTGGCAGATTTAATGATAACAGGTAACTTAAATGCCTGGATTTGGAATTTCTAAGATATATAATTCTAATTATAGATGACTTGGTTTATAAAGACAATTACCCTATGTGCTAGGTCTCTATAGAAGAATAGCTGAAACAAAAAGCAGTCTCTCTTGCCTGCCACCACGTAAGACAGGACTTTGCTCCTCTTTGCCTTCCACCATGATTGTGAGGCTTCCTTAGCCATGTGGAACTGTGAGTCAATTATACCTCTTTCCATGATAAATTACCCAGTCTCAGGTATGTCTTTATTAGGAGCATGAGCACAGACTAATACAGTAAATTGGTACCAGGTAGTGGGGTGCTGCTGTAAAGATACCAGAAAATGTGGAAGTGACTTTGGAACTGAGTAACAGATAGAGGTTGGAACAGTTTGGAGGGCCCAGAAGAAGACAGAAAAATGTGGGAAAGTTTGGAACTTCCCAGAGACTTGGAGGGCTCAGAAGACAGGAAGGTGTGGGAAAATTTGGAACTTCCTAGAGACCTGTTGAATGGCTTTGACCAAAATGCTGATAGTGATATGGACAATAAAGTCCAAGCTGAGGTGGTCTCAGATGAAGATGAGGAACTTGTTGGGAACTGGAGTAAAGGTCACTCTTGCTATGCAAAGAGACTGGCAGCATTTTGCCCCGGCCCCAGAGGTCTGTGAAACTTGAACTTGAGAGTGATGATTTAGGGTCTCTGGCCAAAGAAACTTCTAAGTGGTGAAGGATTCAAGAGGATGCAGAGCATAAAAGTTTGGAAAATTTGCAACCTGATGATGTGATAGAAAAGAAAACCCCATTCTCTGGAGAGAAAGTCAAGCTTGCTGAAGAAATTTGCATAAGTAACAAGGAACCAAATGTTATTCACCAAGACAATGGAGAAAATGTTTCCAGGGCATGTCAGAGACCTTCATGACGGCCCCTCCCATCACAGGACTGGAGGCCTAGGAGGGAAAAATTGTTTCCTGGGCCAGATCAAGGGTCCTCCTGCTGTGCGCAACCATGGAACTTGATGTCCTGCATTCCAGCCTGTCTAGCTGTGGCTAAAAGGGATCAAGGTACAGCCCAAGCCATGGCTTCAGAGGGTGCAAGCTCCAAGCCTTGGCTGCTTACATGTGATGTTGGGCTTATGAGTGCCCAGAAGTCAAGAATTGAGGTTTGGGAACCTCCGCCTAGGTTTCAGAGGATGTATGTATGTCAGATTTTTAAAATGCCCACAATGAAACATTACCTTTATGAGTTTTATGCTAAGAAGAAAAACATACATTCATTCACAAATATTTTTAAAATATTTTTTATGTTCCAGGACTTTCCTAAGCATTGGAGATGTAACAGTGAATAAAACAGACAAATTTTTCCTCTCTTCTGGAATACATTATAATCAAAGAAAGAGGAAACTAAAATAAATAAGTAAATGAAATATTAAGTTTGATGATAAACACCATGGGAAAGAAATCAAGCAGGAAATTAAAATTGGGAGTACAGGAGGCAGAGGTTTAATTATAGTTAGGGTGGCCAGGCAGGTCTTATTGAGAGCATAATATTTAAGCAAAGGCTTGATAGACTTAAGTGAGTCAGCCAGACAGATATCTGAGGAGAAGAGCACTCCACACAGAGGGACAGCAAGTAAAAGACCCTGAGTGGGGAGCTTAAGAACTGGAAGGGTATCCGTGTGGTTAGAGTTGACTGAGCAAGGGAAAAATTGGAAGGAAGTGAAATCACAGAGGAAATGGGGAGTATAGGATCTGATAAGTCACTGTAAGGAGATGGGAAGCCAGTGAAGAGCTTGGAGAGTGATGTGATCTATGTGGATTTTGTTTGAACAGAATGACCTGTTTGCTATAAAGGGAATTACTTGTAATCTTCAAGTAAGCATGGAAGCTTGGAGATTAATGGGAAGCTATTGCAGTAAGCAAGGAAAAAGCTGATGTCCGTGGCTCATACTGGAGTTGAATCACTTGAGAAGGAGGAACGTGGTTTTATTCTGGATACACTTTAAAGGTAGAAATGATGGCGTTTTTTGGTAGATTTGATTTGCATTGCTGGAGAAAGAGAGGTGTGAACCCTGATGACAGAAGTTTTGGCACCTGGAAAATGAACACTAACTAAGGGAAGAGTGGAAGAAGAGCAAGTTTTGGGTTCAGGAATTCAGTTTTGCACAGGTTATCTGAGATACTCAAATAGAGATGTCAAGGACATTACATAATTATTATGTTATTATAATAACATAATATTTCAACAGCTGGACAAATGAGGCTAGCACAAAATCACATTAGGCTTCCAGAAAATGTCAAAATTAAATTTAAAATGATTATAAACTTGTAGTGTCCCAGCAGCTTGGCAGAATCAAATACAAGTCCTCTCAGGAAGAATCCACTATTATTCTTATTCCAGCCTTCAAAAAACCCCAAAAATAAATTCCGTCCCCTGCAAAAAAAGCAGTTCTAAATAAAGAATAAGAAAGCATCCAAGGAAAACGCAGCAAAACTCAGCAAAACAATAGGCCTCAGAAACAGGCAAGAAAAGGACTTCAGATAAGGAAATTATTAGACATAGGTTAAAATGATTTTATTAAAAAAATTAATATATGTGAGGCAAGCAAGAAACTATAATGAATAACATTCCGAGTAGACAAAGAAAGCAAATAAAGTATCAAGAAATGCTTAGACCACGTGTGTGTGTGTGTATATACACATATATATAAATTGAAATTAAAAACTCATGATCTCACCAAGAAGACTAAACACAAATGAATAAAGATTACTACATAAGCAACTCACAGGACCCACCCACACTCAAGTGGAGGGCAAATATAAGGGCATGATCACCAGGAGGCAGAGACCATGGAAGCCACCTTAAGAATTTGTCTGACAAAGAAATGAGAAATGGACCAAAAAACATATGATTGTTGTTCTATAAGGAGAAAAAAAAATTGGAGAAACATCCTAAAACAAATATTTAAATTTTTCCAGAACTAATGATATACTAAAATCTGGATTCAGAGGGCCAAATGAAATTGAAGAAAGAGGCAGGGTGCAGTGGCTCACACCTGTAATCCCAGCACTTTGTGAGGCCAAGATGGGAGAATCACCTGAGCCCAGGACTTCAAGACCAGGCTGGGGAACATAGTGAGACCTCATCTCTACAAAAAATAAGAAAAAATATTAGACAGGTGTGGTGGCATATGCCTGTAATCTCAGCTACTTGGGAGGCTGAGGTGGGAGAATTGCTTGAGCCTGAAATGTAGAGGCTACAGTGAACCATGATTGCACTGCATTCCAGCCTGGGCAACAGAACAAGACCCTGTCTCAAGAAAAGAAAAAGAAAATAAATTGAAGAAAGATAAACAGAAACAACAACAAAAAACCCAACATCACCATACTCAGTCGCATTTGAATTAAATTTCAGAACACTAAAATCACAGAATATTTTTTAAGCAGAGAAAGAATGAGTTACTTATATAGGTGTGGTAGACTAATAGCTGACTTCTCAACAGCAAATTCAAGCCAGAAGGCAATGAAGAAAAAAATGATAGCTAAGTGAAGGTGCAGAAGACTAACAATCTAGAATTCTACACCCAGAAAAAATACCTTTAAATAATGTGAACAATATAAGAAATGTGTAGAGAAACAAAAACTAAGAGACTTTGCCACTAGCATGTTTTCACTAAGAAGTTTTAAAGAATGTATTTCCTGTAGAAGAAAAGCGATCTGCGATGGAAGTTCTGAAACACAAGAAAAAATGAAGAGCACAGGGAGTGCTAAAAATGTGACTAAATGTAAACCAATATTGACTATGTAAGTCAACATTAGCAATGCTTTAGGGGACTGGAAAAAGTAGAAAAAAGTTTTTTGACAAAAATAAAAATTACTGGGGATGAGAATAAATAGTGGTAAAGTGTTCTAATGCAAGCTGAGTGTGGTGTTGTGTGCCTATACTGTTAGCTACTTGGAGGCTGAGGTGGGAGGATGCTTGAGGCCAGCAGTTTGAGGCCAGCCTGAGCAATACAGTGAGACCCTTCTCTAAGAAAAAAGTGTTATAAGGCAGTTCTTAAATCATCTGTGAAGTAGAAGTTTTTACTTTTCCCTAATACATGGCAGACTAATACTTTATAAAATACAATAAAATTAATTACTAAAAAATGAAAAGATATACAAATGTACACTTTAGAAGAAAATGATATTTATAATTGCAATAATAGTAAACACATACAAATAACTTAATTTGTTCAGGTACTTTATTTGTGTTTTTAGTATAGAGAGCAAACCTATATGGTATTTACTGCTATTAACTACATCTTACATAGGAAGTTACTTTTCACAAGTAGATTGAGAAATAATAAAGCTGTAAATAAGCAAAGAATAAGATAAGAACAGACATTTATGATATGAAAAATCCAAAATAAAAAAGAATTGACAAAAGCCAAAAGTATTTTTTAAAATAAAACTAATAAAATGGACAAATTTCTGGTTAGAGGGCTTTGAAAAAGAAGAAATGATGAATCAGATCAGAAAGAAAAAGAGGTACAAAATTACAAATATAATCACTACTGAAAGGATAATAAAAATGTATTAAAAAGAACACTTAATCATATATAACTATGAAAATACATAAACTATAATTGCTTATAATAATATAGCTGGATCAGAGAAATATAACTGAGTAAAAATGTAAGCTGCGTAAGACTATTTACAGTATGCTAACATTTTCTGAAGAACAAAAGCAGGCAAAATGAAATCATGTATTATTTAGAGAGATATGTAAACCTTAAAAGTATTAAAAATAAAGCAAAG
This sequence comes from Homo sapiens, assembly GCF_000001405.40. Lineage (NCBI taxonomy): Eukaryota > Metazoa > Chordata > Mammalia > Primates > Hominidae > Homo > Homo sapiens. Next base: position 70,694,774 of record NC_000001.11, read on the forward strand.
AAATAATAAATAGAAAATTTCAGATTGTGTTTACTTCTGGGGAAAGATGAGGGAAAGAAAGAGGTGAGAAACACATAGATGCAGTGTGACTCGCAATGCTCTGTTTCTGTTTATGTGTTGTAGTCATGAGTGTTTATTTTAACACTTTCCAACTTACATAAGAAGTTTTATGCTTTATAACTAAACATTTGTATATAACAAAAATTTTGTTAACTTTTTTTTTTAAAAAGACGTTTTCTATAAAATCAGAGACAGGGATTTCTGCCTATAAATAGATCTCCTCCTCCCTGAAACATTTTAAAGCTCAATTCAATCCATTTTGCTCAACTTCTCTCATTAACAATTATCAATCACTAAAATGTGTACACATTACAAACAACACCCGCTACTCAAAATGTCAACTAAAATCCAAAATGTAAGGAGATGTTTGGCTAAAGAAAGTGCTGTGTCCTTTCCCTCAACTGCTGATGACACTTAGGTCTGATGAGAATATTGAAAACATGGTGGGAAAGGGCTTATGCCAGGCAATTAAGTGAAGGGTCCAAACTTGTGCCAGTTCTTCATATTTGCCTGAATTCAGCATCACCTGTAGATGCCCCTGGATTGTTAGTCACATTATTATATGTCCCATTCTCTTTTCCTATAATATATTGTTACTGAAACACCAGGGGTTTGGTTTAGGTCCCGTTGCTTGCCACACAGAAAGCCAATCACTGAGACAATGGGTATTACCAGGGAAGAAGACTTTATTTGGGTGTTTCAGCCAATAAGATAGATCAGTCAGTCTCAACTCCATCTCCTCAACCAACTAAAATTATGGGTTTATATAGGAGGGAAAAATGTAACATGTGTGTGAAAACAGGAATCGCGGGGGTAAGGAAGAGAAACTGCTCAACAAGAAGCAAGCGGTGGGTTAGGCAATCATGACAAGTGAAGGGTCTGGTGTCTCATTGTCCAGGTTTGGTGATCTGGTATGTTGTGGTTCCTTTATATTATCTGGGAGGCCTGATGGTTGGTTTTCAGAGAAAGAAACTCAGATAAGACAAATGTAACTTTCTTAAGTTTTAAGACCGAGAGGGTCAATTTCTATGTTTATTCAAGAGAATCCATAAGCATCAGTTCTATGAGACAATTGGGCCAGTTTCAATATTTCTTCTTCCCATCTTCAATGAGGACCTGCCTTTAATTGCATCAATGACAGCAGCTCTTGTTCCAGGAAGGAAGGTGACAGTATGTCATTTAAAATGTGATTTTGATCTTCTCAAAATGGATTTACCGTTATGATACCAAGAAAATAAAAAGTGGACCTACTTCCTTATCAGTTATAGTAGGAACTAGTAATTAGTTCTGACTGGGAAAAAATATATCACTGCAAGGCCATTTAAACCTACACTGAACTGAAATGTATTAGTTTTTTTTTTTTGTTCACTTCAGAGATGCTAGATTGTCAACAACTAATAACAGTATATCTCTCATGTGAAGTACTTTCAAACTTAAATTGCATGATTTTATTTCAATCATAAAGTAGTGAATTTAGAAAACATGGGACCATTCCTTTTTAAGAAAACAGTAACCTGTAGTGTAACATAAATACAAAAAAAGCACCTGTAATAAATATACAGCTTGATATGCTTTCATAAACTGAATGTAACTGGGACCCAGATCAAGAAACAGAACATTTAGAACTCCAGAAGCCTCCCCATGTTCTCATCCCATTTCTTCTATAAAATTATTTATTACAAAACATTTGAGAAAAAAAGAAAATCATCAAAAGAAAAGGAAAAAAAACTCTGCTATCCACAGATAACTTTTAATATCACTGGTGTTTATTCTTCCATCATTTATCAGAGTTGAGTTTTGTTTTCCGTTTTGTATAGTTTTTCTAAGCCACAGATTCTTGATAAAGATTTTCTTCCCTGCTCTATTTCAGTTTCAATGTTTACCATTGTGTTAATTGATTTTAATGCATTTTTGAAGTAGGTAAATTAGGAGCCCAAATTCCAGTTAATGAAGAAATATTGATATACGTTCATGAAAAAATATTATGCCCACAGATGCCTGAAATTTCCTACTTAGAAATTTATTTTTTATTTTAGCATTATCTTCTGTCTTTAAAATGCTAATATTGTTTACATAATATTCAGTACCTTACTTTGAATGAATAACTCAGATGAGGTTATCTCATGACAAGTGATCGACAGACAGCAAGGGTGTATAGAGCTGAGAGCACCTGGTAGAAAGAGTTGGGGTGAAGCTGTGGGATCAGGTAGAGGGATGAAAAGAACATGAAGGATATGGGAGGTAATGTTTGCAACAATTTTGCCTGCTTTTCCATTTTTGCTGCCACCAGCCCAGGAAATTTTTTCTCTTCTCCATTATATCTCTTCTCCTTTTGTGAGATTATCCATCTATGTTCTCTATCTGCCATTGCTGCTTTTCTTTGTCCTTGTCGTCAGAACCGTTCATGGTAAAGCATTTTGATGAAAAGAGAAGTGGAAATTACTTCATTGTGGTCTAGAGGAGACGAAGTACTTTCACACAGATAATGCAAAGAAAGAGAGAGATCAGATAAGTTGGTTGCAGGTTTCAGAGGAATTACAGGTTGTTGTGGGCCAGTGCAAATAGATCAGGATGGCTCCAAAATGTACAATTAATTCAAGGAATGAACAGAATGACTTGAACTTTACCAAATGAATTCAGATCTTTTTGTAACCATTATTAAAATAACTCACAGCAGACACTTTCTTTATGTATATGGATGATGTTTTAAACCTTATTGGAAAGATAAAATATTGTAGATACCATTTTGACATTTTATATTAATTCATAAATTTTCTTTCTTCTTTCTCTTTCTTTCCTTTTCTTTTCCTTCCTTCCTTCCTTCTCTTTCTTTCTCTTTTTTCTTTCCTTCTTTCTCTTTCTTTCTTTTTCTTTATTTCCTTTTCTTTTCCTTCATTCCTTCCTTCTCTTTCTTTCCTTCTTTCTTTTTCTTTCTTTCTTTCTTTCTCTTTCTTTCTTTCTTTTTCTTTCTTTTTTTTTTGACAGGGTCTCACTCTGTTATCCAGCAGCCAGTCTAGAGTGCAGTGGCACAATCACAGTTCACTACAGCCTTGACTTCCTGGGATGAGGTGATCTTCCTGCCTCAAAGTTTCTTATACCATGAATCCAATAACATTCTTTCTAAAGATGTTTTAGAACAGGATACAATGGGACTATCCTATGATATTGATGTTTGTTTAATGCCTTGGTGACATTGGTGAGTGTCTTTTATTTTTAAAAACAATCTAAAATTATATTCATCAAGGCAAGTAGATTAGTAGTGTCTCTTCCGGAGTCCATGAGAAAAATGTGCACTCAGAGGGATGAGCTTAAAAGAGGTCAATGAAGCAACTGCTTATAGAGGGGATGGAGGCGAGAGAGCCCACAAAGGGTGGTGAAATGGCAGAGACTAGCAGAAGTGATTTACCACTGCTAGGCCTGAAAAGGATAGGGAAATATATGAGATTATAGAACCCAGAGACAATTTTAGGTCATGGATGAGGGGAGCTATAACCATTGAATGCAGCCATGGCCATAATCCAGGCCAGGCAGAGATGACATAGAGTGAACAAATACTCCAGCTTCTCTCTCTTCTCACCTTCTGATCTCCTGCCAGTACCTCCCAATGATCAAATCAAACCACAAGCCAGAGGACACAGGAGACTAAGGGATTAGTTCACAGAGGCCATCCTTCCTGGGCACAGAGCAGGGCACAGAAGGGCAGAGAATGAATCTGTGGAGGGAAGATGGCAAATGCAGTTAACCAGCACAAGCAATCTCAGCATTTTTTCTCTTCTATCAATTAAAGCCTTGTGTGTATGTTGTTTTTTCTTTTTAAATAATTGTTATTATATTCTTAGGACAGTGGTTCAGTGATTCTTTCTTCCTTCCTTTCTTTCCCTTTCCCTTTCCCTTTCCTTTCCTTTCCTTCCTTCTTTCGAGACAGAGTCTCACTATTTTGTCCAGGCTGGTCTCGAACTCCTGGCCTCAATCAATCCTCCCTCCTTTGGTCCTCCCAAAGTGCTGGGAATATAGGTGTGAGTCACTGCACCTGGCCAGAACAATTTCAAGGGAGTTGGCTTTTCAAAGACTTTCATCTAGAGTCCATACCAAAGAAGAAAGGATTGTTGGCTAATCAATTAAAGCAAGATCATTGGGCATACTTTTATTTTGCAGCAGTAAAATTCACAGGAGAATTACATCAGGACAAATGGCTTATAACTTAGGCTATGAATAAAGCAAGCCTTTTCTAAGTCCACATTTTTGAGGAAAAAGTTAAATGGAATGGGGGATGTCTGGTGGTTTAGGCTATGAGTCTTCTGGGATGGTGTAAGTAGCATGTTCCCTTCCCATCTGCCCTCATCCTCATCAATGGTAATGAAGAGAAGAGGCGTTGCAGAGGAAGAACACACATAACTTAGCAGCTGATGGGCTTGAGCAGGACGCAACTGGGAAGAATCAAGATTAATTTTCAGGTATGTCAGAAGATTTCAGACCCATTGCACAACCAATGGAAAGATTTGAAGTGGGATTAAGGTTAGGTCTTGAGTGAGGGGGCCAGAGAGTTGCTTCAGGACAGTGTTTCATAAGTGCTACCCAAACGGGCCCTTCAGATAGAACATTTCCATTTAATAGTCACTTCTGTTTTCTTTTTTAAAGGAAAAGTTAGTTGAAGCTTAGCTTTAGTCATTTCATCATTACCAGGCAGAAAAATGTTATATCTCATTATATCTGCGGAGTCAGTCATATCAGAGATCTTTGACAATTTTGCAGAAATAGAACTCAATCAAAACACCAGGATGCTCCAGAGACATGAATCCTTGGTTCTTCCAGAAAATGTTCTACTTTCTGCTCACTTTTGAGTATTTAATTCTGAACACTATGGTGGAAGTTAAAATATGAACTCTCTTTATGTGAGGCAATCTTTTCAAAAAATATTTCATCTTCAAAAAGTACCCTTCCCCTGTCCTTGCCCCATTACATACATAAAGGGCAATGAACAATACCAAATCAATCCTGCAAGTGAAAGATCCAGAGAAATCATAGGTTAATTGCCTATGCTTCTTTTAATAAATATTAACATTAGTAGAATGGGAGGACATTAGTCAGCTCCTTTGGAAAAGCTGATGATTCTTGCTTCTTATATTAGCTTTATGAAAACTAAATTTAACAATTTTTTTATTATCTCCCACATACAAGGCATTGTCCTCAGTCTTACAGTTAGTTGAACAAGATAAAGCTCCTCTTGTCCTAAGGAGACTACACTAGGGAGATAACGTACGTAAGAACACCTAATACAGTACAAAGAAAGTTTAGTATCTCTTCCCATGAAAGGGACCCAGGGGTCCTTGATTCAAAATTTCAAAAAAGGGATAACATTTAGCTGATCACACTGAGGAACTGGCATTTGAGATTTGAAGGCATGATAAAATTTGACCAGAGAAGATGAGGGGTAGAGGTTATTCTAGGCTGCAAGGGAAGCAGAAATGAGAAAGTGTAGGGTCTTCTGGATCAAACTGGGTCTGTGTGGCTGGAGTATAGGGAATGCAAAAGGTTAAAGTGAGCAGGAATAGAGGAAATGAAAATTTGATGGGGAAGCTTTGGATGCCAAGTTGAGGCAGATACAATTCATTAGGGTGGGGAGTCACTAAAGGCTTTATCAGAGTGACAACTTAGGAAGATGAATCTGGCAGCATTTTCAAGGGTGAATTGAAAAAGGGAAACCCATTTAGAAAGCCAATATGAAAGTCTGGACTTGAGGTAATGAGCTCTTACACCGATAGAGTAGCAATGGTAATGAAGAGAAGAGGTGTTGCAGAGGAAGAACATACATGACTTAGCAGCTGATGGGCTAGAGCAGGAGGTAATTGGGAAGAATCAGGATTAATTTTCAGGTATCGATTGTGTGAGTGAGAGAGAGCTGCTGCTCTTGAGATGAACAGGGAGTAAATGCAAGAAGCTGCTTAGGAGAGTATTATTATTTCAGCGTGGACATTAGGATTAAGGTGAAATTCCAATAGGACATACCACAAGAGTTAGCATGTAGATAGGTGGAAAGACAGCTGCTTTTAGGAGAGTGGTCAGAACTATAAATATACATTTGGGACTCATCTGGATGGATATGATGGTTGCTTGACACTGCCAGTAAATGAAATCCTTTTTAAAGAGAGTGTGTAGAGAGAAAGGTAAGAATATTAGAGCTTCTAAGGGAAAAATCTACATTTACAGAGTTCAGAGAGGAAAAAGCCTCAACAAAGCACTCAGAGAAGTTGTGAAACAGAAAGGAGGAGACCAAGTACAGTACAGAGTTACAGTTCAACTTCAGTCAATTCAGTGGAACAAAAACTATTCATCAGGCAGTTACCGATAAGATAACATATTAGGTACTGGGAAAACTACAATAAATAAGCCAAATACTTTCTTGCCTTCATGTATGTTATTGTCTAGTAGGAGAAAAAGACAATTACAATTGTAATTACAATACAGCATGGAAAACGCTCCGTTGATTATTAGAGCCATGTGTCCTTACCTTTCTATGCCTCAATATTATCTATAACGTAAGAATATTAGTAGTATCTATTGTATTGGATTGTTGTAAAGAGGTAATACATGTAAGGCACTTCCAGGCACACAGAAACTACTCAATCAATGTTAGCTCTCCCTTCTCCTTTTATTATTTTTGACATCTTATTATTGCTATGATAAGAGAAATATAAGGTGCATATAAAGTGACTAGGGTGGTCATGGAAGGCATCTTGAAGGATTAGTGTTCAACTGAGAATGAAAGCAAAGAGGAAATGAAAATTGCTTCAATTAGAAAAAAGTAGTTTATGAAAAGGTCCAGTAGGGTGGGCATGGTGGCTCACTACTGTAATCCCAGCACTTTGTGAGGCTGAGGTGGGAGGATTTCTTGTGGCCAGGAGTCCAAGACCAGCCTGGGCAATATACTAAGGCCCCATCTCTACACAAACTAAAAATTAAAAAAAATTAGCTGGGCATGGTGGTGCATGTCTGTAGTCCCAGCTACTCAGGAGGCTGAGGCAGGAGGATCACTTGTGTCCAGGAGTTTGAGACTGCATTAAGTCATGATTGTGTCACTACCCTCCAGTTTTGGCAGCAGAGTGAGATATTGTCTTTTAAAAAAATTAAAAAAAGGAAAAGGTCCAAAGGCAAGAGAGGCTGTATTGTATCTCTTAAGACAAGGGAGAAAGATTATAAGGAAGAAGTGGGCAACAGGACTAAATCTTACAAAGAATGTAAGGATGCTGAAAACAGAGAAAGACCTTTGGATTTATTAATTAGAAAGTCTCTGTGTACATTCCTTACACCCAACAAATTCATATGTTGAAGCCCTAATCCCAAATACCTCAGAATGTGACTGTATCTGGGGATGAGGCCTTTTAAGAGGTGACTAAGTTAAAATAAGGCCATTAGGGTGGGACCAAATCCAATCTGACTAGTGTTCTTATAAGAAAAGAAAATTTGGACAAGCAAAAACAGACACCAGGCATGTGCCTGCACAGAGGAAAGATGTGTGAGACACAGTGAGGAAGCCATCTGAGGCCAAGGAGAGAGGCCTTAGAAGAAACGAAGTTGACCAGCACTTTATTCTTGAAATTCCAGCCTCCAGAACTGTGAAAAAATAAATTACTGTTATTTATACCACCCAGTCTGCAGTACTTTGTTATGGCAGCCCTAGCAAACCAATACACACCGTTACATTCCAAGAGAGTAGCTAAGCCAGAATACAGTGGGTTAATAATGAGTGGTGGGGAGAAAATAGAAGCAATTGGAAAATTAGTGGATTTATAAGAAGATAATAATGTACCATGTCTTTTTCCCCAGAGGATTTGATTACTGTGAGTGTAGTTTTTTTCTCAATGACTTTTAGAGTTTTTCATTTTCTAGTCTCTTAAATTCGTTTTTATAATAAAAGAATTTAAAAAGTATCTCAACTATATGGGAAAACTGCCTTACCTCTTCTTGATTATTATAGCCAAATGTATCATGTAACTGCAGGGTAAACCAAGGCATTTTCTTTTATAGTGATATTATCGGCAGTTCCAAAGTTGAAAATGTCATGATTTCCCTAGAGTCAGGAAGATTTCTATTTTTGGAGGGCAGAGTGGGGAGTAAGCATGGGAAAAGATATAAAAGCATTGGGGGTAGGTTTTGTTTCCTTCTAAAATAATATCTTTTTCTAGATTCCCAACTCCTAAATTGCAGGAATAAGACCACTTTCATACACATTGTACTAAGGTTCAAAAAATATTTAGTAATCATTTAGCAATATTAAATACACAAGGGCAAGAATTCAGGGTTTATAAAAGTTAATGGACTAACTTGAGTTTCTACAAGCCTCCAAGATAGAGCCTTTTCTTACTTATGGAAACTTTAGTTTTTCCCTGGTCTTGCCAGATGTTCTCATTGTCATCATCATGATTTTGGAGAAGTTGTACTTATACCTGGAATAGCATTTCATTGCCACTCCAAAATATTTTATATGCTTCTCAATTCTGCCTATCTTTTAAGATCTGCTCAAGTTCTTCCTCTTGGAATGAAGCTTTCTCTGTGTACTCTAATCAAAAGGAGTCTGTTTTTTCATGATCTCCCATAACATTCACATTCTGTTCCAGCAGAATAAGATGAAAATCACAGACTTTCAACTTGGACAGATCCAGGTTCAAATTTCAGATCTTTCTTCTGATAGTCATTCAAGTTTGGATGAATGGGTTAATTTTTATGAACTTTCCTTTTTTTTTTTTTTGGAAAAGTAAATTGGTAATAGGATTGTGTTAATAATTAAATAAGGTTATGTATTTGAAATGCTTAGCAAATAGTTGATGACTTAGAGTCTGTGCTCTCTTGGTTAGAAGGAAAGAAACTTGCTCACATTAAAGTTAAAAGGAGGTTATCCTAAGGATACAAGGATGTTTACAAGGAATCCTGGGAAGACTGAACAATTGAGCTGCAGAGACAGTGGAAACTGAGGTAATCCAGAGTGCTAGCTGCCCTCCCATCTTTGTCTCTGTAACCCATGGCTTCCCCTTTCCTCTCTGCGTAGCTACTCTGATCTCTCCCAGCCAACTTTCTCTCCATTTATTTTCCTCATAAGATATACCTCTGAAATGGCCACTCCAGCTCAAACTCTAAGTGAATCTTTAGTGCAAGCACCCAAATCACACGTAACTTTCTTCCTTGTCCTTTTGGTTCAAATTCCTTAAGGAGAGGATCTGATTGGCTTGGTCTCTCTTCAAGTGAGACCACAAAAATTGCTGGCCAGCCTAGATTAAACCACCCTTGCAGGGCCCGAGCCCCTTTCCACTTGTTTGTTACCTGGAAACTGGGGTCTTTGTACTCTGCTATTTATGACAAGAGCAAGGAATGAAGCAGATTCCCTAAGAGAAGAGCCAGTGATGGGGGGAAGAATGGGGAGGTACCACAAAATATTTCGAGGATTTCTAGTCAAATGTTTACTACTCCTAACAACTTAACACTGATTGTATACTATCATTTGTTTTCTATACTTGTTTGCCTAAAATGGTGTTACTGTTTTGTGTAAGCAAAGAATTTTAAAATTTACTCCACATAATACCTTCCATAGTGTTAACTGTTAACATTTATTCCTCAATATTCATTAAATATTTATTGAGCACCTACATGTCAAGCACTATCATGAAGGGTATGGTAATAAACATAATTCTTGACCTCAGGGAGCTTACGTTCTGAAATTTTTATTTTATATATAATCCCAGTTAGGCATACAAAATTGTAGAAGTTTTCATGATTTTATATAATCATCACCTTCAGAATAGAGCCCTTCTCACCACTCAATTTAAAAATACACCCACTACCACTAGTATACCCTTTCAATATTTATCCCCTGCTTCATTCGTCTTCCTAGAATTGCACAAACACATCATGTATTATATTTATTGATCTTGTTTATTGTCTCTATTACTAGACTGCAAACTTATGAAAGTAGAGATTTTTATCCCTTTTCTTCACTGTGTATTCTTAGTGCCAGATATTTACTGAAAGCACAAATAAATGAAGAAATGAATGAATCATCTTACTTATTTTTTGTCAAGCATCTAATGAGTCTCAGGCACCATATTGGCTATTTTTATAAAGATCATTTTACTTACTCTTCCCAATAAGTCCATGAAGCATTTGTTATGGGCGTCTCTACTTCATATATTGAAAAACTGGGCATAAGAGAGACTAAAATCCTTGCCCAAGTTCACATAGCCAATCGGTGGCAAACGGGTTCAGGTTTGTCTGACTCAAGAGTTCATGTTCTTCACCTCTAAACTACATACTATTTGTAAATAAAATACTAGTTTACAGAAGTAGTGATGGGTCTGTAATGGTCCATACTTTGCTGTAATGTTCGTTTATTTGATGACACTGTAGGTTTGAAGCAGAGTTTTAATTGAGAAAGCAACCTAAATGGCTTGCTGTGCTACAATGTTTTTGGCTTCATATCCCTGTCCTCTCCAGCCATGGTTTTTGGGAAAGAGTCCTGATGTACATCTAGGATGTATTTATTATTAAATATTTGTCTAGAGTGTTTGTAGTAAACAAAAGTACTTATCTTTTAAATAAAACAAGAGGGCAAGTAACAAAGTCACCTTGTTTGGATAAAATGTGAAGGAAGCAGGTAAATCTGTCAAGAGCTATGGATATTGCCACCAAGATTCTGAAGAGCCTTGTTCCTATCCAGAAAGACAGGAAACACAGTTCATAATAAACTGAGTCCTTAATGCTTTTAACCAAGATGGTTGTGAAACACTCAGAAAAAAGCTAGAATATAGTAGTGGTTTAAATGAGCTATAAAGTATAAAAGAGAATAAAGATAGAAGAACTTGGTAGTATAAATAAAACATATAAAAATATTGAAATGGTAATTTTATACATGAAAGCATTATGATAAAATAACCCTGTGGCAATGATTGACTACATCAAATTATTTTTTGACAGAACAAAAGAAAGCACTGTAGATCACCAAAATCCCTAGGTCAAGGAATTGAACATTCTTGACTAGTGCATTTGCAAAGCCAAATAACTATAGAAATAGTATCTTCCAGTATTATTGTATTTATAGTTTTCCCTTTTTCTCTCCTTAATTTCAAATCCTAATACTCTGCCAAGAAGGGATCTGTATGTATTAGCTATGTTTCTTCTCTGGAATTTCAACCCATCCCTTATGGTTGTGTGGAAATTCCATAGACATTTTCTAGTAGATGCAGCAAAAATGGTAGAGTTTGGTGGAAATAAGTTTCCTTTTTTTTTTTTTAAATGTGCACTCTGTTCTATGCTCAGGTTAATAAGAGAAGATGAGAAGGCCAGTCTTTCAAAGCAACCCCAACCCTTTGCTTCCTGTTTTTAGTATGAGTCAAAGAAGGCATATTCTCCCAGGCCTTGATTGGGTAGAGAAAAAGCAATGCCAGGTAGAGGTATTTTGAATGGGAAGAAAAGTGATGTGAAGGTGAAATGGGAGAGTTCTCTGATCCCCTTCATAGGGCGTGCGACAGGGGTGCTCGCCTGTTCTGTCCCCGTTACTGCTCAAAACCCCTTACAGGATGGGGAGCGCGCAGGCAGGTGAAGGAGCCCAAGTGGGCGTGTGTTACAGTGCGCCATTTTAGCTTTGCCATCCGCGGACGGCTTGAGTGTTAACCAGCTCGGTGGACCGTTTGCCTTTCTGCGAGGGCAGCGGGTCAGTGTAACAACTTTCTGTATCCTGAGCTCTTGTCCAGCGTCCCGGAAAAATCGGGTCGCACAGAGGGACTCAAGGATGAATGCGAGAGTTTTGTTGAGTAGTGGGGGTGGCTCTCAGCGGAATGGATAGGGAGCCGGAGTGGGGGATGGAGTGGGAAGATGATCTTCCCCCGGAGCCTCGCCATTCAGCGGCTGAACTCCTCTCCAATCGCCCCCAGCGGAACTCCTCTGGGCGTTCAGACGTCGCTCCTCTTCTCTCTTTGTCATGTCGTTCTGCCGTTTATCTGCTTGTCTCCTCATCTCCTTGCCTGCTCATCGGCTCTGGAGCCTGGAATTCTGAGTTCATATGGGTATAGGGGGCGTGGTGGGCCAAAAGGCAAATTTTTGGGCGTGAAAACAGGAATGCCTGTTCTTATTTAGGGCCACGGGTATCCAGGCTTGAGGGTGGGGCCTTTGCCGGGAAACAGCCCTCTTCTACCCAATATTTTCCTGTTTCCTGTCCCTATTAAAGGGACTGTGGAAGTCAGCGATCCACCAAGGAAACTAAACCACACATGATGTTAGAAGAAATAGGAAGAATGATGTTTTCAGACCTGAGAACCAGAGCTAGAGTAGCCACACTGCAGATCATTTTTCTTTCTCTTTTAAATATCCATAAAATTTTGCAGAAAATAATTAGCAGACCTTGTTTATGTTAGGAAATAATATTTTTCAATGTTTAGTGTTTCTGTCAGTAGAAAATGGAACACTGGTAGTTGATTCAGATGGTGTTAAATTAAAAATTCCCTATTTGTTTTACTTTGTGAGATAAGTAAAGAAGGAGTGCAGTTGACAGCTTACTGTGACATATTTTTGAGAACATAATGTGTGTAATACTTAACACATAATGAAGAATTGCTGCAGCTGTTATGCATGTCTATAAAACTGTCATGACATGCTGGTCATACTCTGGAGGATTTCTTTTTCATAACTTATTTTCAGGTTAAATTTTGCCAGCAGATTTCTATGTTTTCATTGTTAACAGTGCATACATCTTGCTGATAACCACAGGAGATTAAATTTAAGAAAATAAGTTTTTAGGATATTACCGGATTTATTGAATGAATTATTACCCCTGTATCTTAAAAATTTTCTTGATGTTTTGTCTTCCTGTTTGAGTTTTCTATACATACCATGTTTTAATGCGGGAAACAGCTTCCTCTAGAATAAAGAATGAAGAAAATTGAAATGATCTCTGAAACTCGAGAATAGTTATGTAAAAGAGAAAAAACAAAGTCTATCGTTCAAAGGCTACTGAACCAGGAAACAGGCAGCCCGCGTTAAAATCCCAGCTCTGGGATCAACTGGTTAGATTATTTTCATTCAGGCATCTTTTCTTTCTGCACTACTTCATCTACCAGTTGCTAACATTGAATGAACCTTTACAGTGTTCCAGGTACTGTTTTAAGGTAGGATTTTTCACATGCTATTTCCTTTTATTTTTACAACAATCTAAATTGGCATTCTGATTATTTTCATTTCATAGATGAGGAAATGGAGGCACAAATAAATGAAGTAATTTGCCCAAGCATGCATAGTTAGTAAGCAGCGGAGCCGGTATTCAAACCTGGGCAGTGTGCTCATCATTGCACCACACTGCCTCCTTACAATACCTTTAATCAAATCACTCTACTAAAAGACCAATGGGTTAAAATATTCCAAGACTTTAATTTTTACTTTTTCATCTTTAGGTTATTTAAAAATTATAAATATAATACTTAGCCAACTACATAGAAATATATAAAGTTAAAAGTAAGATAGTCATGATCTACATAATGATGCTATGGGCAATGATGGACCTCATATACAATGACAGTCCCACAGATTATCATACCATATTTTTTCTATGTTTAGATATGTTTAGATACAAAAATACTTACCATTGTGTTACAATTGCCTACAGTATTATTACAGTAACATGTTGTTTAGGCTTGTAGCCTATACCATATAGCCTATGTTGTATTAAGCTGTACGACCTAGGTTTGTGTAACTACATTCTATGATGTTCACCAATGACAAAATCACCTAATGACAAATTACTCAGGATGTGTCCCCATGGTTATGCAATGCCTAACAATTGTACTTTATTCTTTAGTACTATTGTCAGACAAGTAATGACTGTTAACACAGTGCTGTGTATCCTTCCAGAGATTTTCTATACTCATATAACATTTTTGAAAGAAAAAGTGAAATATAGGGTAAGTATTGTTCCACATCTTGCTTTGTAAATATAACAATTTATGATATATGTCTTCTACATCATTATGTATAAATTTACCACATTTTTTAGAGAGCCATACTTTGATTCTATTGGTTTTCTCTATTGTCTTTCTATTTTGTTTCATTTATCTCCTCTCTAATACTTCTTTCTCCTTGATTTAAGTTTATTTTTCTCTTCTTTTCACAGTATCTTTATAAATTTACCACATTTTAAGAGGAACTGCCTAATGTTCCATTTTATGTATATGCAGTTTACCCTGAACAACATGGGTTTGAACTGTGTGGGTGCACTTATACGTGGATTTTTTACTTTTTTTCTAACTTTTATTTTAAGTTCAGGGGCAGAAGTCAGGACATTACAAGAAAAAGTTAAATTGCTTGATATGTACTGTAGATTGAGGTCTGCAGCTATGATTGCCTGTCATTTCAAAGTAAAAAGAAATTCAACATAAAGACCATTGTTAAAAAAAGAAACTCATGAAGCTGTGAAAGGCATACAGATTGACTCTCATATGATTTGAGAAAAAGTGAAGTCATTATATGACAACTTAAAACAAAAGGAAGGTGAAGGACATCCAAAGCTGGATAAATACATAAGCACAAAAACTTGTGTCATGGGGGTTTGTTGTACAGATTATTTCATCACCCAGGTATTAAGCCTAGTTATCTGTTATTAGTTATTTTTCCTGATCCTCTCCCTCCTCCCACCCTCCACCCTCCAAAAGGCCCCGGTGTCTGTTGTTCCACTCTATGTGTCCATGTGTTGTCATCATTTAGCTCCCAATAAATATATTGGAAAATATTTTGGAAATTCCCTACAATTTGTAAAACAACTCACAGATAAACTGTGTAATCTAGGAATTTTTTTAATTAAGAAAAAGTTACATATGCCAATCATGCATAAAACTTACGCAGATACTAGTCTATTGTATCATTTGCTACCACAAAATGCACAGAAATTATTATTGAAACTTAAAATTTATAAAAACTTACATGCTGGCCGGCCGCGGTGGCTCACGCCTGTAATCCCAGCACTTTGGGAGGCCGAGGCGGGCGCATCACGAGGTCAGGAGATTGAGACCATCCTGGCTAACACGGTGAAACCCCGTTTCTACTAAAAATACAAAAACAATTAGCCGGGCGTGGTAGCGGGCTCCTGTAGTCCCAACTGCTCCGGAGGCTGAGGCAGGAGAATGGCGTGAACCTGGGAGGCGGAGCTTGCAGTGAGCTAAGATCGCGCCATTGCACTCCAGCCTGGGCGACAGAGTGAGACTCCACCTCAAAAAAAAAAAAAAAAACTTACATGTTTACATACCATACATAGTGCGATTTGCAGTTGAGAGAAATTTAAACAAACACAAAGATGCAGTATTAAATTGTAATTGCACAAAATTAACCGTAGTATATTGTACTACTGTAATAATTTCTTAGGCATTTCCTGCTGCTATTACAGTTAGCTCAAGCTATTTTTGTGAGTATCCACTTAAAGCACTGTGTGATGCTAATTATGAGTGTATGATAAGTTCAACTCTCACATAAATTGCATATTGCAATAAAAAGTGACCTCTCACAGTTCTCATGTATTTTTCATTGTGTTTAGTGCAATATTGTAAACCCTGAATAACACCATGGTACTCATACAGAGTGCCACTAATGATGCTGTAAGTGCTTCCAAGAAGCAAAAAAAAGTCAGGACTTTTACAAGAAAAAGTTAAATTGCTTGATATGTACTGTAGATTGAGGTCTGCAGCTATGATTGCCTGTCATTTCAAGATAAAGAAATTCAACATAAAGTCCATTGTGAAAAAAAGAAATTCGTGAATATGTGAAAGGCATGCAGATAGACTCTAATATGATTTGAGAAAAAGCAAAGTCATTATATGACAACTTAAAGCAAGAGGAAGGTGAAGGAAGTTTAAAGCTGGATAATTTAATGCCAGCAAAGGATGGTTTGATAATTTTAGGATGAGGTTTGGCTTAAACAATGTCAAGATAACAGGAGAACCAGCTTCTACTGACCAAGATTCAGCAAATTCCCAAAAAGTCATTAAGAAGAAAAAAGATCTGCCTGAACAGATTTTTAATGTCCATGAAAGTGCCCTATTCTGGAAAAAAATTGGTAAAGGACTTTAGTAAGGAAGAGAAGTGAACACCAAGATTTAAGGCAGGAAGGGATAGGTTAACTACTGTTTTGTGCAAATGCAGCCAAGTTATGAGCAAGACTGCTGTTATGTATAAAGCTGCTAACTCTCAAGCCTTGAAAGGAAAAGACAAACACCGGCTCCCAGTCTTTTGGTTGTACAACAAGAAGGCCTGGACAATGAGAACCTTTTCCCCATCAACGCTTTGTCCCTGAAGTCAAGAAGTACCTTGACAGTAGGGACTGCCTTTTAAAGTTCTTTTGTTATTGGACAATTTCCCTGGCCATGCAAAACCCTGAGTTCAACACTGAAGGCATCTACCTTCCCCCTCCACACAATGTCCTAAAATCAGCCTCTAGATCAGAGGGTCATAAAGCCCTTTAAGGCTTATTACACATAGTACTCTACAGAAAGGATTGTCAATGCTATGCAAGACAAGCCTGAAAGAGAGAACATCATGAAAGTCTGGAAGTATTACAGCATTTGAGATGCCATTATTGTTATAGAAAAAGCTGTGAAAGACACCAGACCCAAAATAATAAATTTGTGCTTGAGAAAACTGTGTCCAGAGGTTGTGCATGCATTCACAGGATTTACAATGGAGCCAGTCAAAGAAAGTATGAACTGGATTGTGGATATGGCAAAAACAAAAAAACAAAAAAAAATGTGAGGGTTGAAGGATTTCAGGATATGGATCTTGGAAAAATGCAAGAGTTAATGGACACTGCACCAGAGGAATTAACAGAAGATGGGTTGATGGGGATGGGTGCTTCTGAACCAGTGCCAGATAAAGAGGAAGACAGAAAAAAACAGCACCCAAAAACACATTGTCATTAGCTGGCAGGAGGGTTGCCATTATTCAAGACTGCTTTTGACTTCTTTTACAACATGGACTCCTCTGTGATATAGGCACCGAAACTAAAGCAAATGGTGGAAGAAGGGTTGTTACTTTATAGGAACATTTTTAGATAAATGAAAAATCAAAAAAGTCAGAAATTACAATGTATTTCCTTAGAGTTACACCATGTATGCCTACCTCTCCTGCCTGCCCTTCTAGCTCCTTCACTTCTTCCATCTCTGCCATTCCTGAGACATTAATACTTCTCCTCTTCCTCTTCCTCAGCCTACATGTTCAGCCTCAACGTGAACGTGATGAGGATGAAGACCTTTATGATAATCCACTTTCACTTAGTGAATCGTAAATATATTTTCTCTTGCTTATGATTTTCTTAATAATTTTTCTTCTTATGATTTTCTTAATAATTTTTTTCTCTAGATTACTTCATTGTAAGAATACAGTATATAATACTGTATTAGTCAGGGTTCTCTAGAGGGACAGAACTAACAGAATATATATATATTTATTAAGTATCTATATATACTTAATAAATTCATATATATACTTAATAAACTCATATATATTAATAAACTCATATATATGTATATGAGTTTATTAAGTATTATATATATGAGTTTATTAAGTACTAACTCACACAATCACAAGGTCCCACAATAGGCCGCCTGCAGGCTGAAGAGCAAGGAGAGCCAGTTGGAGTTCCAAAACTGAAGAACTTGGAGTCTGATGTTCCAGGGCAGGAAGCATCCCACATGGGAGGAAGATGTAGGCTAGGAGGCTAGGCCAGTCTCTCTTTTCACGTTTTTCTGCCTGCTTATATTCTAGCCGCACTGGCAGCTGATTAGATTGTGCCCACTCAGATTAAGGGTGGGTCTGCCTATTCCAGCCCACTGACTCAAATGTTAATATTCTTTGGCAACACCCTCACAGACACACCCAGGATCAATACTTTGTGTCTTTCAATCCAATCAAGTCGACATTCAGTATTAACCATCACAAATACCTATAACATGCAAAAAAATGTTAATCAACTGTTTATGTTATCAGTAAGGCTTCCAGTTAACAATAGGCTATTAGTAAGTAAGTTTTGGAGGAGTCAAAAGTTATACTTGGATTTTTGACTGCATGGGGTGGGGCAGCTCTCCTAACCCCCATGTTGTTCAAGGACCAATTGTACAACAATGTATTTAACTGTGCTTCTATGGATAGTCATTTATTTTCTTCCCAAATTTTCATTATTTTGACATATTCCTATAGAATAGATTGGTAGAAGTAACATGCTTTTGAAAACCATAAAAGGTAATGTTAAAGAATCCTTCATGACTACTTACTTTTTTAGGGGATTGGACTGCTGCATTCTAAAAATAATGGTGAGAAGAATGAATAAATTAGAGTTTACTATGTAATAAAACCTTCTAAAAAAGAGGAGAGGTAGCAGAATTTACAAGAAGGTTAAACCTGACCTTACTGAAGAGAATGATACCCTCATAGCAGCGCATCTTCTTTGCTCACAGAAAGGTAAGGAAAGGTCCTTTTGTGAGTACAACTGAGATGAGTTCAGTTACCTATAATCTGGAGCATTTTACATCAATTTAGAAAAACATCACTGCTGGTTAAAAATTATCTTTCCCTGCAGATATTTTAAAGTGAGATAGAATCTAACTATTTGTCCAGCACAGAGGCAAAATTTGGGCTAGCTGACTCCACTAGGTTCCCTCTCTGTCTTTTATTGCACTAAATGATCTTAAGGATAGTGACATTCTCTGTAATTCTGCATCAGTAAAATTCAGTGTCATCGTCACACAGGTTGGATGTTGGCAAACCATAGCAAAATTAGTTCATTTTTCTTTTGAAATAGTTTTCAACTTTTTGCCACATTAAATTATAAAGACTTTTTTTTTCTTTGTATGAGGGTGTTACACAGATTCACAGTAGGTTAATGTGCCTACCAAACAGAAATGCATATCAGAAGGAGAAATGTCAGAGAGATTCCTATTTTTCTGCCATTAAAAAATAATATATAAAGGCCTGCATGTTTTAAAAGGAAAATTGATAAATATAACTTCCTGTTGTTTAGGAGTTCCTAACATATTGTGATTATTTAAAAAATGAATACAATGTAGATTTAGGATGCTATTATTAGTTTCATGGTCTTAGGCAAGCCACATAGCTTCTCTGACCTCATTTTTCTCATTTGTAGGGTAGAAATAATCAGGTTTCCATTCCCCTTTTCCAGATTGTTTGAAGAATGAAAACACATATCTAAAAGAGTGTGAAAAATTTTAAGTGTTATAAAAAAGTAGCTAAAAATCCATGGCAGATACTCTCAGTTGTCTGTCCAACAATAATTCATCCCTCATTCCATTTATGTATTAAATTCAATTTTATCTACTGGGGCTATGTGCTTCATGGGTACCTGGGTTTCTCCTCAGCACAGGGAATACGTCTTAATAGTCCTAGGGCAATTTATTCCATTCTGCCTGCCTGTGATGGGTTTAAAAATAGGCAAGCGAATCACTTCTGGCCAGGAGAGGTCAGGGATGATCTGTTGACTTTTGGGAAAACAGAGAGGGCACCAATCAGGAACATTCCTGTTTTCAGCCTGTGGAGGTTGTATTGTGGGGATCTGCTGCCCATGGCTGCAGAAGTCCTCTTGCAATGAAGAAGGCACAAGCCCAAGGGCAAAAATCAATGAATAGAAGATGCAGAGCTGTGATATGAACTGCCAAATTAACCAACTCTGGGCCTTCCCCACCTTTGAATTTCTTGTTAAAAGAATTTCAAAGGTTCTTATTATTTGAGAAGATTTTACTCGTATTTTTGGTTAACAGTACCTGGAGGCATTCTAGTTGATAAATAATTACCGGGTCAAAGTAGTTCCACCGCTTCAAAAACCATATTTACTTGTCCCTCAAAGCTATTTTGCTGAGCCAAAATGAAAGTTTGAATTATTCGTTATTGAATTCAGACAATGTAGATTACATATAAATAATTTAGGCTTCCAAGTCTTTTAGTAATAGTAGTGTGAGTGGAAAAAAGTCAGGGCCCTAAACTTCCTGAACTTGTTTTTCCTTTCATTGTGTAGATAAGTTGAAAATGTTATAAAAATAAACGCAAAAGTGAAAACAAAGTATACTTTTTTTCAAAGTTGTTCCTATTAGGAACACCTTACAAAGAGAGAAAAGACAAACCTCATAGCCATGAAATGCAAATGAATTGTTTAAAATAGTGATGAGCTGACGGGCACCAGTTAGCTTCTCTTCTGAAAGTTTAGAAATTTAAAATATAAACAGTTTATTGCATTCTAGTCTTTTGAAATGAGAGTTCTACGTTTATGAGAAATAATCTGGAATATGTAATTTAAACTTTTAAGTTTATATTTTAGTTTTGAAGAGACATCTTTATTTTGGCCAAACCCTTGGTATCTGAAATTATAATCCTTTCATGAAAGAAATTAACTAGACATTCATAAATTAATATAATTCTTATGGAAATGGATCTAACCTAGGGAATCAAAGCTGTTCTGAAATTTTACACAGACTTTTAATATTAGTTTAATCAAAGGTAACACTTTCTAAGACACATGATATTTGACTTTATAATATTTGAATTATTCATAATCTAAACTAGAGGGCTCAAATAACATGGTGTGCCATTTTCCCAACATTGTATATTAATATTTCAAAGATAACTTTTGCTAACAGTAATGATCCTGAAATCTGCAAGATCCTTCTAGATCAGAAAAGTCAGAGAGGCTGTTAGGTTTAGTGGTTAAGAGTGTAGCCTTTGAAGTAATGCAATTCTGTATTCAAATCCCTACTCTGTCACTTACGATGACATCTTAAACAAATCATACAGCATCACCCACCCCAGCCTTAGTTTCTCCATCTGTAAAATGGAAGCAGGAGAAGGTTGCTTACTAACATTATTACCTTATAGAGTTTGAAGATCAAATGAAATGAAATGATTTATGTAAGATACGTAGCAGGGTGGATGGCCTATTAGAAGCGTCCAACAAATTCAAGTTATTGTATATAAGAAACTCAACTCCCTTATAATTATGTAGAGCACTAAATTTTCTAAATAATTTCTATCATAGCATCCAAATGTATTTTGAGGCAAATGAGTGGATGATAAGACAGATTTTGGTGTTATTATTTTATTTTATTTTATTTTTATTTTTTTGAAATAGGGTCTTACAGTGTTGCTCAGGCTAAAGTGCAGTGGAGTAATCATGGCTCACTGCAGCTGCACACTTCTGGGCTCAAGGGATTCTCCCACCTCAGCCTCCTGAGTAGTTGGCACTATAGGCATGCAACATCATGCCTGGCTCATATATGCATTTTATATATATATATATATATTTCTAGAGATGGAGTTCTTGCCTTTTTTCCCAGGCTGGCGTCAATCCTCAAACTCCTGGGCTCAAGCAGTGCTCCCACCTTGGCCTCCCAAAGTGCTGGGATTACAGATGTGAGCAGCCATGCCTGGCCAATACAGAAGATGAAAATTGGAGATTGTCAATGAACTTGAGATCATTCGTTCAATGCTCATTAATTCAATATTCACTTAACAAATATTTATTGAGTGTTTACTATGGGCCAAGAACTGAGCAAAACACTCCACAATACAAGTCTGTGAAATAACCCAAACAAGAGCTGTGCATCTGTGCAGTTGTTATTTTTGCCACCCGGTATCCAGTATTCATTTTTTGTCAATTGAAAACCTCTTCCTGAATAACTTATCTCTCGTCCATTATTTGTAACCTAGTTGTGCAGAGGGATGTGACATAAACCCAGACAATCAGACTCACTATTCTGGAATTTGGAAACTTGTGGGGAAGGACACATGGACAAAACCAATTGTAGCTCATTTAACCCAGTGTCCATTAGTTCATGCTCAAAGCTGCTCTAACTTCCACCTTGATCATCTGATTCCATAAGGTAGACCACATTCTATAATAATTTTCCTTTTTGCTTTGGTTGACAAATGTCAGATTGTATTTCTTTCAAGCAAAGAACCCTAACTGAAAGAACCTCTGAAAGTGTGACATCATTCATTCTCAGAAGTCTTGGAATCTGTTTCTAGGAAAATCTTTTTATAATATTGATAATGTGGTATTAAGTTCTCTTCATCGTTTCTGCCAGAGAATTATGCTTGCTCTTAACCGACAAGCCTTGACACTCATACACATTAGATATGTCTCATCTAATTGTTACTCATCCATATTGTCTTAGTTGTGCATCAGAGATCCTCTATGCTTTTACTTCCCACATACGTCTATGTAGAATGGAGCCATGCAGAATGTCAAGCCAAATACTGCAAGCAAACCTAAAACTGTTTGCACCACATGTGCTACAATCCATTGGCCAAAGCAATTTTCATGGCCAAGAGTGGGAACAGTGAGGTGAGACATGTACTCTACTTAACCTGGTGGGAGATATTGTAGGTCATGTGGCAAGGGCATGGATGTACAATTTTATTAAAAGGTGAGAGTGAAGGATTAGAGAAAATAATCTAGTCTACCACACCTCCCATTTTCTCTCAGTGCACTGTACGACATCTCTTTTATTTATTGCATGCCATCAGAATACAAGGCAGGTTAAGGGAGAACAGAAAGAAGGCAGACTCCTAGTTAATATGTGTATTTACACTCGGTCTTGAAGAAGAGAGGAAGTGGATGACAATGTGTTATGATGTTTGGCAAAAGTATTCAGGTCACATTTCATAAAAACTCTATTTACCTTATAGACAAAATGTTTTGTGTGCATGTTAAATGTATAAATGTAACTTTTATTAAATACTTTGTGGCAAGTTAGTGTATGTTCTTTGTGAGCATTATCTCTTAAAATCCTCATAAAAATCCTGTGGGGTTTACAGACTGAAAAAACAAAATTTTGAAAGGTTAAATAAATTTTTGCAAACATAAGAGAAAACTAATTGTTCTGTAGCCCTGGCAACAAGTAGTCAACAGAACTGGTTTTAAACCCAGTTACTTGTTCAACATCTGCTGCAGTGAACACGCTTTTATAAACCAACTAATCAGGGCCAGCTCTTTGCTTCTGAAAGTTAGCCAATCAGGATTCACTCCAATAAACATATCCCAGAGTTTCAACCAATCCACCACAGTCCCTATCCCCAGTAATCAAACTTCTAAAAATAATGTTAACTTATCTTCACCTCTCCAAGTCTCCTTGAACTGCAT
This sequence comes from Homo sapiens, assembly GCF_000001405.40. Taxonomy (NCBI): domain Eukaryota; kingdom Metazoa; phylum Chordata; class Mammalia; order Primates; family Hominidae; genus Homo; species Homo sapiens. The sequence goes on from NC_000001.11 coordinate 70,717,995, forward strand.
GCTTCCCTTAAAACCCACTGAAGACCAACAGAGCCTGTGACTGATCTAAAGCATCCACTTTTTTTTTTCTGTAGTAGCAACGCATTCAGCTTTGTCTTTTTATTTCAGGTATCATGTAATGGTCTCATTGTTCTTTGACAGCAACTTACCCAAGTTTACACAGCTGGCAAATGGTAAAGTCAAGTGACTATCCCAGTTCCATCTGATTTCAGAGCCTAAACTCCTACTCAGCATGAGGTACTGTTTATCCTCATTCCATAAAAGTGATAGTCCAGGTACTCTTCCCTATAAAAGTTTAGCCTCTGATGGTATTTCAACTCTTGAATGGTCATTTACCTTTGCATATGTTATGTATCCAACTAACTTGTAAGCTCAGTTGAATCTAACATAATCTCACATTCCCAGTGGTGACCAATTCATCAAATATTTGCTTATTATTTTTAAATATATTAAAAAGAATGCTTAGTGTGTGCCAGGCCACCACGATAGTGATGGAATTAGAATGTTTTCGCCCTCAAGGGCTGGCAGCCTAACTGGAGAGACAGAAAACAGCACTTCAATGTGAATTGTGCTACCACATATATAAGGTGCAGTGTGACCTGCAAGGGAGGAGTTCCTAAGTCTGACATTAGCATTGTGAGCAGTCTTTAAGAAATGCCAAATGGCTGATATTTGCATATTACTTAGTTATTTGGAGCAAACAATTATTTCAGAGTCAAGAAAAATGTCCTCAAATTTGCCAATACTTATCGAAGTCAAATATTGAATCAGATATTGCACTAACCCAAATTTGAATTATTTAGGAAGAGGCCACATCATAAATGTGTAGTTTATCAGGCGGTAAAAAATACATTTAAGAGAATGCCATTTCCTATTTCTATTGCCCTAAAAATTTAGTTTTAATTTTTCTTACTGAGTATGGTGATTATTGCCTAATATGGAGTATTACACAATTCAGATACTTGATGCAAAAGATGGTGAGAATATGAAAAAAACACTTAATGATATTTGGTAAAACAGGAGCTGGCTTAATTAGGAGGCAGACACTCATAATGATCCTCAATTTCACTTGCACTTATTCCTTTTTATTTTTGATACAAAGCTATTTTTCTGGATTACTTCCCACTCCTTTTCCTTGGCATTCAAAACATTCCATGTTTTGAAACATGATGTAATCACTGAAATGAAAATTTTGTACACAAGAAAAGAAATCTCTAGTTTATACACAAGATGTCAGTGCGTTAGGCACAGAAACAATGTTTTCATTTAGTCTTGATTAATGACTGGGAATCGCCTTAGATTTCAGTACTTTCCTTGCTTTTCTCAAACAACTTTGACCTCTGCTGATAATTTTCCTGGCTGATCCAAGAACTGAGAGCCACTACATAATGGCCATTTCTTCTGCAGAGAGAACTGAGTGTCTGCTAGGAATGCACTGATTTAATGTGAGGTGATGTATGATATCTTCTGAGTTACAATGATCTGTGGCCTTGGCTAACCAAAAAGTCAGTAAGTGCATTTCAAAGATTTAAAACATCATTGGGAAAGAGGATTGTGGCTGAAATGACTGCAGACCAAGTTTGGGTCTTTGATGCCTTTCTTCCTGATGCAGCCCTGTGACTCCAGACTGCCCAGTAGCCCCAGTCTCCTCACACAATTTTCTGGCTTTCTAACTAGGTATTTACTCTTGTGTTCTAACGCTGTATTTTCTTCTCTTACCCAGAATGTGCCTATTAACAAGTCCAGCACCCGTTCTAGAGGCTGATCATTTGTATCAGATAAAATCATTCCTACACTATCCAAAAGGATGAAAATAGCTACAATTTACTGATCACTTACTGAGTTGCTTTAAAGGGCTCATTGCATTTAATACTCACAAAAGCCCTGTAAAGCAATTACCATAAATTTCCCCCATTTTACAGATTGCAAATAGAAGATTAAGAGAGGTAAGTCAATTGCTCAAGTTCTTGGAGCCATCAAGCTTCCCATCCAGGTCTCCTGGACTCCAAAGTCCTCTTCTTTATTGGTGACCAATAAGAGGTTTCAAAGGACATTTTTGATTTGATAAGGAATAGTGCCCACAAGAATTCTGTCTACTGTAGAATTTTGAGTATTAACAAAAACCTCTAGGGAAAGATATTCTTGTTCAAGTGGTAGCTTTCCTGATGTTTCTTAAATAAAACCAAATAGATAAGTTTTTTACTCACTAGAGGGTCAGGCTAGTTGTGCTCCACACACTAGTTGTTGTGGTGACAGGAGCAGGAGGAAGAGCCCACAGATATGTACAGCCCTTTTCCCTTGAGACCAACTGTTTACCTCCTTCTTTGTGTCAGTAGCCAAGGGAAACATAGAATCACAAAGCACAGAATGATAGAACTTTAGTGTTGGGCTCGTAGAAGTGTTTAAATCTAAACCCTACATTGTAGGGAGGTAGAAACTGATCAAGGAATAAAGTAACTCAAAGTTACCCAGCCAGGAAGAAGGTAGTGGAGTCAGAATTCAAGCCTTTCTCAAGTCTTTTCCCTCCCTCCCCTTCCTTCCTTCCTTCCTTCCTTCCTTCCTTCCTTCCTTCCTTCCTTCCTTCCTTCCTTCCTTCCTTCCTCCCTCCCTCCCTCCCTCCCTCCCTGTCTTCCCTCCCTCCCTCCTTCCCTCTCTCTTGCCATTTATTTTTCAGTGTCTATAATTTGCCAGTCACTGGGTACTGGAAATACAGCAAACACATTTAAAAAAAATCGTTGCTATGATGGAGTTTACATTCTAATGGGAAGAAACACATAGCAAACAAATACACCAGTAAAATATCTACTATGCCAGATGGTGCTAAGAGGTATGGAGAAAAATACAGCAGAGAAGAGTGATAAGGAGAACAGGAGGAGAGAGTGATGTTATTTCAAGTTTCTTGTGAGGAAGTGGCCATGAAGAGAATTCCAGATGGGGCAGCGGCAAATGGGGAGCATGCTTGGACTTGGGCTGCTCGAGGAACAACAAGAAGGCTGATGTGGCTGAGAATAGTGAGCAAGGGGGCAAAGACACAGGATGAGGATCAAGAGGAGCCAGATGACCCTGGCCGTCTTATCCATCAGTCAGCGCATTAGATCAACCTCATTGCCTCAAGAGGCTCATTTAATGATGAGTCTAATATCTTCCTGTGGCCATGACTAATTTCAGAGACCTATCAACTAGAGATATGGGATGGAGTGTAAAATGTGTTGGACTGGGAATGACTCTCCAGGTGCAAGTCCATCCCCTAATTATAATTAGCTCTGTTATTGAACTTGTTTAAGCTTCCTTTTCCTTCTAAGAGGGGGATGATGTGAACTATCCCAGGGATTTTATGAGGGCTGAAGAAGACAACAAACAAGAAAGCAGTTTGTAAGTGGACATTGTGAGTAATTGAAGTCAGTCAGTCAATAAATATTTTTTTCATCATTATTGTGAACAAGGGGTTTCTCCCTTCTGATGTTTACAGCACTGCTTTCTTCTGTCTGACAAGATGTGCAGAGAGACTCCACACCTTTGGAGAAAAACGAGAGAAAGAAAAGATGTTCCTCTTTGTCTGTATCTTTCTACCATGATCTTCAACTTTATCCCTCACCTGCCAGCAACAGAATGTGGGAGATTATTATGATCAGTGTGGTCCTCAGTTAACCCTCTGATTAAATACAGCTTATTGTCTTCACTATCAGGGCAAGAGCAGTGTGATCATGGTGTGACTACTGGTGTTGGAAAGAAACAGTCTTACCAGCTATGAAATTTATAATGTAGAGATTCTCTGAAGTTTTAAATGTATGGGTATTGACATGGTTGTGTTTCACAGCTGTCTATCATAGCAACTTCCAAATCCTTCCATGGAATTCTTTCCATGGAATTTCTTCATTGAAATTTTAAAATAAAAATTATTTTTTAGGGAAACTATTATAAACTTGAAACTTCACATACAGACAAGAATTGAACCTCCTTTAATCTAGTTGACAAATACGGTACTTATATAATATTTACTTTATGGAGAGTCCTGTATTCTCAAGAAAACTATATATAGTTGTATGTAGTTAGAGTCAAGAAAATGGATTTACTGTGTGATCTTAGGGATCCTCATCTCTAAAAAGAGAATAATAAAAATTGCCTCAAAGAGTTATTATAAAGTTTAATTATATATATATATATATATTTTTTTTTTTGCCAGGAGATAAGCGAGCAGAAGTCTATCGGCATGTATATATATTTTTTCCTTCAACTTTTATTTTAAGTTCAGTGGTACATGTGCAGGATGTGTAGGTTTGTTACATAGGTAAACGTGTGCCATGGTGATTTGCTACACAGATCAACCCATCACCCAGGTATTAAGCCCAGTATCCTTTAGATATTCTTCCTGATGCTCTCCCTCCCTCCACCCTCACTCCCAACAGGCTCCAATGTGTGTTTTTCCCCTGCATATGTCCATGTGTTCTCATTGTTCAGCTCCCACTTATAAGTGAGAACATGTGGTGCTTGGTTTTCTGTTCCTGTGAGTTTGCTGAAGAGAATGGCTTCCAGCACCGTCCATGTTCCTGCAAAGGACATGATATCATTCCTTTTTATAGCTGCATAGTATTCCATGGTGTATGTGTACCACATTTTCTTTTTACAATCTATCATTGATGGGCATTTGGGTTGATTCCATGTCTTTGCTATTGTGAATAGTGCTGCAATGAATATACATGTGCATGAATCTTTACAATAGAATGATTTGTATTCCTTTGGGTATATACCCAGGAAGTAAAAGTGTTCCTTTTTCTCTGCAACCTCACCAGCACCTTGTGTTTCTGGACTTTTTAATAATTACCATTCTGACTGGTGTGAGATGGTCTCATTTTGGTTTTGATTTGCGTTTCTCTAATGATCAGCAATGTTGAGCCTTTTTCATATGTTTGTTGGCCCCATAAATGTCTTTCTTGGAGAAGCGTCTGTTTATGCCCACTTTTTTGATGCGGTTTTTTGCTTTTTCTTGTAAATTTGTTCAAGTTCCTTGTAGACTCTGGATATTAGACCTTTGTCAGATGGATAGATTGCAAAAATTTCTCCCATTCAGTAGGTTGTGTATTCACTCTCATGAGTTTCTTTTGCCGTGCAGTAGCTCTTTAGTTTAATTAGATCCCATTTGTCAATTTTTGCTCTTGTCGCAATTGCTTTTTGGTGTTTTCATCACGAAATCCTTTCCTGTCCCTATGTCCTGAATGGTATTGCCTAGATTTTCTTCTAGGGTTTTTATAGTTTTGGGTTTTACATTTAAGTCTTTAATCCATCTTGTGTTAACTTTTGTATAAAGTGTAAAGAAGGGGTCTAGCTTCAATTTTCTGCATATGGCTAGCCAGTTTTCCCAGCAGCATTTATTAAATAGGGAATCCTTTCCCAATTGCTTGTTTTTATCAGGTTTGCTGAAGATCAGATAGTTGTAGGTGTGCAGTCTTTTTTCTGAGTTCTCTATTCTGTTCCACCGGTCTGTGTGTCTGTTTCTGTAACAGTAACATGCTGTTTTGGCTGCTGTATCCTTGTAGTATAGTTTGAAGTCGGGTAGTGTGATGTCTCCAACTTTCTTCTTTTTGCTTAGAATTGTCTTGGGTATTTGAGCTCTTTTTTGGTTCCATATGAAGTATAAAATAGTTTTTTTCTAATTCTGTGAAGAATGTTAGTGGTAGTTTAATGGGAATAACATTGAATCTATAAATTACTTTGGGCAGTATGGCCATTTTCATGATATTGATTCTTCCTATCCATGAGCATTGAATGTTTTTCCATTTGTTTTTGTCCTCTCTGATTTCCTTGAGCAGTGGCTTGTAGTTCTCCTTGAAGAGGTTCTTCACTTTTTTTTGTTAGCTGTATTCCTAGGTATTTTATACTGTATGTAGCAATTGTTAATGGGAGTTCATTCATGATTTGGCTGTCTGCTTTCCTGTTTTGGATTATAGGAATGCTAGCAATTTTTGCACATTGATTTTGTATCCTGAGACTTTGTTGAAGTTGCTTATCAGCTTAAGGAGCTTTGGGGCTGAGATAATGGGGTTTTTTAGATATACAGGATCATGTCATCTGCAAATAGAAACAGTTTGACTTCCTCTCTTCCTATTTGAATACCTTTATTTCTTTCTTTTGTCTGATTGCTCTGGCCAGAACTTCCAATACTATGTTGAATAGAAGTGGTCAGAGAGGGCATCCTTGTCTTGTGGTGGTTTTCAAGGGAAATACTTCCAGCTAGCCCATTTGGTATGATATTGGCTGTGGGTATGTCATAAATGGGTCTCATTATTTTGAGGTATGTTTCATCAATACCTAGTTTATTGAGTTTTTAACATGTAGGGTTGTTGAATTTTATTGAAGGCCCTTTCTGCATCTATTGAGATAGTCACAGGGTTTTTGTCTTTAGTCCTGTTTATGTGATGGATTACATTTATTGATTTGTGTATGTTGAATCAACTTTGCATACAAGGGATGAAGCTGACTTGATCATGGTGGATAAGCTTTTTGATGTGCTGCTGGATTCAGTTTGCTAGTATTTTATTGAGGATTTTTGCATCAATATTCATCAGGAATATTGGCCTGAATTTTCTCATTTTGTTGTATCTCTGCTAGGTTTTGGTGTCAGGATGATGCTGGCCTCATAAAATGAGTTAAGGAGGAGTCCCTTCTCCTCATGTTTTGGGTAGTTTCAGTAAGAATAGTACTAGATCTTCTTTGTACCTGTGGTAGAATTCAGCTATAAATCCCTCTGGTCCCAGACTTTTTTTAGTTGGTAGGCTATTTATTACTGCCTCAATTTCAGAACTTGTTATTGGTCTACTCAGGGATTCAATTTCTTCCTGGTTCAGTCTTGGGAGGGTGTATGTGTCCAGAATTTATTCACTTCTTGTAGATTGTCTAGTTTATGTGCATAGAGGTGTTTATATTACTCTCTGATGGTTTTTTGTATTTCTGTGGGGTCAGTGGTAATATCCCCCTTATCAATTCTGAGTTTTGCTATTTGATTCTTCTCGGTTGTCTTCTTTATTACTCTAGCTAGCAGTCTGTCTATTTTATTAATTTTTTCCAAAAAACACCTCTCAGATTCACTGATTTTTTTGAAGGGTTTTTTGTGTCTCTATCTCCTTCAGTTCCACTCTGACCTTGGTTATCTTTTGTCTTATGCTAGGCTATGGAGTTTGCTTGCTATTGGTTCTCTACCTCTTTTAGTTGTGTTGTTAGGTTCTTAATTTGAGATCTTTCTAGCTTTTCGATGTGGGCATTTAGTGCTATAAATTTCCCTCTTAACACTGCTTTAGCTGCATCCCAGAGATTCTGGTATGCTGACTCTCTGTTCTCATTAGTTTCAAAGAACTTCTTAATTTCTGCCTTAATTTCATCATTTACTCTGGAGTCATTTAGGAATGGGTTGTTCAATTTCCATGTAGTTGCATGTTTTTGAGTAAATTTCTTAGTCTTGAGTTCTAATTTGATTGCACTGTGGTCTGAGAGACTGTTATGATTTCAGTTCTTTTGCATTTGTTGAGGAGTGTTTTACTTCCAATTACGTGATCAGTTTTTCTGTATGTGTTATGTGGTGATGAGAAGAATGTATATTCTCTTGTTTTTGGATGGAGAGTTCTGTAGATATCTATCAGGTCCATTGGATCCAGAGCTAAGGTCTCAGATATGTGTATTAATTTTCTGTTTCAATGATCTGTCTAATATTGTCAGTGAGGTGTAGAGGTCTCACACTATTATTGTGTGGGAGTATAGGTCTCTTTATAGTTCTCTAAAAACTTGCTTTATGAATCTGGGTACTCCTGTATTGAGTGCTCATATATTTAGGATAATTAGGTATTCTTGTTGAATTGAATTCTTTACCATTATATAATGCCCCTTTTTGTCTTTTTTGACCTTTGTTGGTTTAAAGTCTGTTTTGTCAAAAACTAGGATTGTGACCCCTGCTTTTTTTTTCCATTTACTTGGTAAATTTTCCTCTGTCCCTTTATTTTGAGCCTATGTCTGTCTTTGCATGTGAGATGGGTCTCTTGAAGACAGCATACTGATGGGTCTTGACTCTTTATCCAGCTTGCCATTCTGTGTCTTTTGATTGGGGCATTTAGCCCATTTACAATATAAAGTTAACATTGTTACGTGTAAATTCGAATCTGTCATCATGATGCTAACTGGTTATTTTACAGACTTATTTATGTGATTGCTTCCATAGTGTCACTGATCTGGGTACTTCAGTGCATTTTTGTAGTGACTGGTAATGGTTTTTCTTTTCTATATTTAGTGCTTCCTTCAGGAGCTCTTGCAATGCAGGTCTGTTGGTAATGAATTCCCTCAGAATTTGCTTATCTGAAAAAGATCTTATTTCTCCTTTGCTTGTGAAGCTTAGTTTGCTGAATATGAAATTCTGGGTTGAAAATTCTTTTCTTTAAGAATGTTGAATATTGGCTCCCCAAATCTTCTAGTTTGTAGGGTCTCTGCTGAGAGGTCTACTGTTAGTCTGATGGGCTTTCCTTTGTATGTCACCTGACCTTTCTCTCTGGCAGCTTTAATATTTTTTCTTTCATTTTGATCTTGGGGAATCTCATGCTTATGTGTTTTGAGGTTGAACTTCTCATGGAGTATCTTACTGGGGTTCTCTGGATTTCCTGAATTTGAATTTTGGCCTGCCTTTCTAGGTTGGGGAAGTTCTTTTGGATGATATCCTGAAGTATGTTTTCTAACTTGGTTCCATTCTCCTCATCTCTTTCAAGTACCCCAATCAATCATAGGTTTGGTCTTTTTATGTAGCGCCATATTTCTTGGAGGTTTTGTTTATTCCTTTTCATTCTTTTTTTCTCTATTCTTGTCTGCCTATCTTATTTCAGAAAGACAGTTTTCAACCTCTGAGATTCTTTCCTCTGCTTGGTCTATTCTGCTATTAATACTTGTGATTACATTGTGAATTTCTTGTGTTCTGTTTTTCAGCTCCATCAGGTCAGCTTTGCTCCTCTCTAAACTGACTATTCTGGTTATCACTTCCTATATTGTTTTATCTTTATTCTTAGCTTCTTTGCATTGGGTTACAACATGCTCCTTTAGTTCAGCGTAGCTCATTATTACCCACTTTCTGAAGCCTACTTCTGTCAATTTAGCCATCTCAGTCTCAGCTCAGTTTTGTGCTGGAGAGGTGTTGAGGTCATCTGAAGGAGAAGAGGCACTCTTGCGTTTTAAGTTTTTATCATTTTTGTATGGATTCTTTCTCATTTTGGGGGCTTATGTACCTTCAATTTTTGAGGTTTCTGACCTTTGAATGGGTTTTTTTGTGGGATCTCTTTTCGTTGATGACATTGTTATTGCTTTCTGTTTTTTTTTTTTTTTTTTTTTTTTTTTTTTAATAACAGTCTGGTCACTCTTCTGTAGGGCTCCTGTTGTTTGCTGGGAGATAGCTCCAGACCCTAGTTGCCTTGGTTTTTCCCTTACCTGGATGTATTACCAGTGAAGGCTGTGAAACAGCAAAGATGGCAGCCTGCTCCTTCCTCTGAAAGCTCTGTCCCGGGGGTACTGACTTGTTGCTGGCCTGGACGCTCCTGTGGGAGGTGTCTGGAGACTCCTGTTGGGAGGTTTCACTCAGTCAGGAGGAATGGGATCAGGAACCTGCTTAAAGAATCAGCCTGGTTGCTTTGGGGAGAGCAGGTGTGCTGCAATGAGGGGAACCCTTCTTCATCCAGACCACCTGGACTCTCTAGAACCAGCAGGCTGGAAAGGTTGAGCTGACTGAACTGCAGAGATGTTGGCCACCCCTCCCCTCAGGAGCTCTGTCCCAGGGAGAGATCAGAGTTCTGTCCATATAACTCTAGTTGGAGTTGCTGAAATTCCTGCAGGGAGGCCCCACCCAGGAAGGAGGGATGGATTGGGGTCCCACTTAAAGAGGCAGTCTGTCTATGATCTGGCACAGTAGCTGTATTGTGTTATGGGGGACTCCTCCTCATCGAAATCACCTGGACTGCCTGGAGCTGGCAGGCTAGAATGGCTGAGTTGACCTAACCACAGAAATGGCAGCTACCCCTCCCTCTTGGAACTCATCCATCTCAGGCAGTCTTCAGCCTGCTGCAGTGGCTAGCTGGAATTCCAAGCCAGCGGGTTTTTACTTGTGAGGTGCCGTGGAAGTGGGGCCAACAGAAAAATGCTGCTTGGCTCCCTGGATTCAGCTCCCTTCATATGCGAATGTACAGATGGAACTCCCGCCTTGCTGGGATTTCAGGAGCCGGAGACTGTAAAACTCCTGGGTCTCTGTGTGTGCTTGAGTGACTGCTCTGCTGAGACTCTGCACAGTGCTGTGTATCAAACCCAAGGCCCTGGTGGTGTGAGCTCATGAGGGGATCTCCAGATCTGTGGGTTGCAAAGATCCATGGGAGAAGTGTGATTTCCTGGGTGGGGCTGCACAATCACTCTCTGCTTCCCTTGGCTGGGGGTGAGGGTTCCTTTGGCTCCACACAGCTCCTGGATGCTGTTGCCTCACCCTACTTTTCTTTATTTTCTGTGGGTTGAGTTGATTGCCTAGTCAGTTCCAGTTAGAGAACCTGGATTTGTCAGTTGAAGGTGCTGAATTCACTTGTTGTTTTCATTTCTCTCCATGAGAGCCATGGACCACAGCTGTTTCTAATCGGCCCTCATATAATATTTTTAAAGGGTCTGGCACATAGTGCTATATAATTAACGGTTGTTTGGTAAATGACATAACCTTTCTGATTGCTTGCCTGTTGTTTGGTGAACATTTACCTATCTGTTAAGATGTTGCTTATGTCTCTGGGAAAAACAAACTTAGGCATTGTGCTTTCATAGTGCTTGTTACATCTTCAATTAAGCATTTATCATGTTATCATTTAATTATGTATTTATCTTTTCAGTTAGGCCATGCCAAATATAGAGGCTATGCATTTTTCACTGTGGTACCCAGTCTCCAAAATAAAACAGCATCTGGCACATAGCAGGCACTCAAATACTTTTTTTTTCTTAGTGCGGTGTGCAAAGCCTTCCTATGACTTGCCTCAAATGTGTGGCCTTGTGTTTCATTACTGCCTACCCCTGGACCCTTGCACTAGAAATGTCCCCTGCACTTCTATAATATGCCATGCTCTTTTACTCCTTGTTTCCATCCCCACTTTTATGATGGTATGATTGTGTGACTGCGGTACTCACTGCCTAATCCACCCTCACTGTAATACCCCAGGCCCACACAAGCACACACACTTGACTAACTCCTACCTGTCCTGCAATAATAAACTCAAACACCATTTTCTCCAGACTGCCTCTTGGTTAGAACTCTGTTTGGGGACACCTCTTATATGTTGCCATTTGTACCCTCTGCATGTAACAATAACCAATATTTCAGGCATTGGCCCAAGCGCTTCCCTATACTAGCTCATTTAATCTTCACAATAACCTTATGAAGTAGCAACTATTAGTAGCTGCAGTTTCAAATGAGACCAGGAGACTCAGAGAGGCTGAATAATTTCTTCAAGTGGCAAGTGGCATGCCAGAATGAAACCCAGACAGTCTGACTTCAGAGTCTGTACTCTTAAGACCTTTCTGTTCTACTTCTTCCACAACAATGCATAACATCTTTATCACAGTATTCATTATCCATCACTGTAATTTCTAATCTTCTTTTCTTCTATGCAAGCCTAGACAAAACACACTATATTCAATGCCAAAGACTTAGAAGGTAGATAAATACATCTGGAAGTCATGTAGTTAGCTAGATTTCAGGACATAAGTGGGCTTTGAAATAGATCTTGAAGAAACAATTGGTTGTGTGCAAGGTAGCAGTGGCAGAACAGACAAGGTTGGGTGAGCCAAGTGCTAACTAGGCTGACATGAATCCTGAGTGGTTAGAGGAAGGTGAGATGAGGTGATTATAGCTCAGGTGATGATGAAGGAAAAGAGTTTATGCTGGAAAATGTTGGGGACTAAAAGCCACAGGAAGGCAGTGATGGGATGTGATTTGTGAAGTCTAAGAAAGTTTGCAGTAGCAGTACTTTGCATGCTCTGGGACTATATACACTGGCAAAGGGAAAAGGGAAGTGAAGCATTTAACTGGTAAATTTCAAAAATATAAGTGGACATATGGATAATTCAGGTATGTACCTCCTTTTCTAATGTAGTGCTGGAATGGCCAGATGCCCCCCCATGAATAGCTGATAAGTTTTCTTATATCGACAAGTACAACATATGTTAATTCAGTGTTTCTAATACATCAACTTCCTTTACAAGTTGTTTTGCCATATCCGTGTACTCCTTGTAATTTTATTAATATTTTTATTTAAATCAATTTAGATCTTAGAAAACATATACTTTTTTCAAAGGTAACATTATATAAATAAAAAACCATTTGCCTTCTCTTAAAAAGAAGATAAAAGTAGTCAAGACAAAGATATTGACCATAAACCGTATAAATCATCTCATATATTATGAGTAATACACATACTATGGTTTGGAAAAGATTGCATTATTTCTTTAGATTGATATATACATATTTTCATTGTTTTATAAGTCAGGCAAGCAAAGCTAGGGGAAATTAAGTTGGTGCTTAAGGTCACACTATTGCTCACAGAAAAAGTTAGGACAAATACCCAGGTTGTGTGCTCTAATCTGGTATTTATTATAGCCCAAAAGAAGGCAATTGCTAAGTAGGGCCCTGAAAAGACAAAACCTAAAGCGGGGTTGGTAGAAGTGTGCTCCCAGTGTGACCAGGGAGCAGGGTGGTGGCATTGGGACCTGGCTAGATAAAGAGGCCCCAGGCTATTTAAATATCCTAGATGACCCTCAGTGAGAAAGATCTCTGGGAATACAGCTTGATATTGGGGTCTCCATCCTCACATCCACCCATCCTTGGCCACTTAAATTCAATTCTGTTCTGAAACCCATAGTAGGGCTAGAAATAATTTCCAGCCTGGAAGCCATTTGGAGGTCCTGAGGATAGCCTACACCTATTTAGAAATTTTTATCTCTAACAGATGGTGGTTCTGTGAGAGGAATCTTTGGGATTAAACCAGAGGCCAAGCCTCTGGATGAGCTTCCGTCAAGTGCTTGTCCTCCAGCTTTTTTCCATGGTGCTTTGAGAATCCATCTGGTGACATCCAATCTGTAAATGTCATAGAGCACAAGAAATATGGGATGGCCTCAGTCTGGGATAGAATAAATAAGATTTTAGGAAGCTCCTGAGGGAGTCCAAGTCCTAGGAACAATGCTAATAACTATATATCAAAGGAGAATTAAATGACACATTCCTTAGAATTACACATTAAATATTTAATTAAGTATGTAGTAGGTGCTAAATAAATGCTTATTAGGAAAATATAACAGTTTTTGAAGTCTTTCCTCAATGGCAGATTATATACTCAGTTGAACCTACCTTTTTAATAGGTAACAATGGTTCAATATTGGTAATTTCAAATAGTTCAACCTAATACTTTGGCGGAAAGTATGAGTTGGGCATTGTAGACTCTGTAGACTCCTGTCATAACTCTGTAACAAAGGTGTTACATTTGATCAAACCACATGACTTTTCTAGTTCACAGTTTCTTCCACTCTTTGACATTGACATTGGAATAAACTGTTCCAACTTAGAAATGTGTTTGATTAATTAAATTGGAAAACAAAATATTCCCATTTCCACAGGGATCTCTCTTGTTGCCGTTATTTAAACATACCCACTTCTCTCCTATCATCACCTACTCTTTAGCCCCTAGCAACTACTAGTCTATTCTGCACTATAATAGTTTTTTTCTTTTTTTTTTTTGAAACAGAGTCTCACTCTGTTGCCCAGGCTAGAGTACAATGGCGCAATCTCGGCTCACTGCAACCTCCGCCTCCTGGGTTCAATGATTCTCCTGCCTCAGCCTCCCCAGTAGCTGGGATTACAGGCATGTGCCACTATACCTGTCTAATTGTTGTATTTTTAGTAGAGACGGGGTTTCACCATGTTGGCCAGGCTGGTTTTGAACTCCTGATCTCAGGTGATCTGCCCACCTCAGCCTCCCAAAGTGTTGGGATTACAGGCATAAGCCACCATGCCTGGCTTATAACAGTTTTTTTTTCTTTTCATTTCAAGAATGTTGTATACTCTATTTGAGGAGAATTGACAACTTTACTATGTTGAGTCTTCCAATCCGTGAACATGATATATTTCTGTACTTGTTTAAATCTTTCATTTCTTTAATTGAAATTGTGTAGTTTTTTTCAGCATAGAATTTCTGTATACATTTTGTTAGACTTATGTCTAACATTTTTCTGGAATTATAACTGGTATTTTAAGTTTTTGTGTCCATATAGAAATATATAGAAATATTGATGTTGGTATATATATCTTGTATCCTGTAACATATCTATCATCACCTAAGGATGCATTACAAGAACGTTGTAGTAATTCAATGTTGTTGAAGATCCTTGTTGATTTTCTGTCCAGTTTTTAAGCAATGCATAATTGTATTTCATATTGAGTAGGTTGTGGTGGTTGTGTTCTTTAAGGAAGTGGTATATTCAATCAAAGTTCTCAAATGTATGGATGTAGAACTCTGTAGTATTCCATATTATCCTTTTGATTCTGTAAGCCCTGTAGTTGATATCCTCAGTTTCCTTCCTGATATTTGTAGTTTTTGCCTTCTCTCTTTTTTTTCTGCAGACTTCCTAGAAGTTTGTCAATTTAATTGACCTTTGTCAAAAACCATCCCTTTGTTTCATTTAATTTTCTTTATTATTTTTCTATCTTCAGTTTCAGTGATTTCTGCTCTTATTTTTGATTTTTCCTTGCTTCTGCTTGCTTTGAGTTTATTTCATATTTGTTTTTTAGGATCTTGAGACGGAGTTTACATTTTTTTTTTTTTAGAAATTCTCTTTTTTTCTAATGTATGCATTTAGTGCTATAAATTACCCTCTCAGTGTGGTTTGGCTGTCACTCAAAAGTTTTTATATGTTGTATTTCATCAAAAATTTTCTTTGAGATTTCCTATTTGACCCACGAATTATTTAGGCATGTGTTGTTTGGTTTACAAATGTTTGGTAAATTTTTTCACCATCTTTCTGTCACTGATTTATAGTTTGATGCCACTGTTATCAGAGAATGCACTCTGTATCATTTCAATTATTTTAAATTTGTGGGGTTTATTTTATGGCTGAGGGTATGATCTACTTTGGAATATGTTCCATGGGCATTTGAAAAGAATGCACATTCTGATGTTGGGTGAAGTGTTCTATAAGTGCTGATAAAATTCTATAGTTGTTGTAGTAATTCAACGTTGTTGAAGATCCTTGTTGATTTTCTGTCCAGTTGTTCTGTCAGTTGTTTAGTTACTGAAGTTTACACCTGTAATTGTGGATTTGCCTATTTCTCCTTTAAGTTCTGTCAGTTTGCTCTTCTTGATAGATTGATTATTTTATTAATATGTTATATCATTCTTTGCTTCTGGTAATTTTCTTTGCTCCAAAGTCTACCCTATCTGATGTTAATATAGCTGCTCTTCTTTTTCTTTGATTTCCCCATCATTTTACTTTCAACTTGACTATATTGCTATATTCAAAGAATGTTTCTTATAGACAGCATACAGTTAGGTGATTTTAAAAAATCCATCCTGTTTTTTAATTGGTGTATTTTAATAATTTATGTATGATGTAATGATTGTTATGCTAGGGCTAAGTCTGCCATTTTAGTTTTTGTTTTCTCTTTGTCCTCTCTGTTTTCCATTTCTCTGTTTTCTTTTTCTTGTCTACAGTGTATTATTTGGACATTTTTAGAATTCCATTTTGATTTGTCTATAGTATCTTTGAGTGTATCTCATTGTAAAGCTTTTATTTTAGTGTTTTGCCTGTTTATTACATTATATATACACAACTTAACACAGTTTACTGATGTTATCATTTTATCAGTTTGAAGTATGGAAACCATACCTCTCATATTCTTTTACCCTCTCCCATGTATAGTTGTCTAACATATTTATTTTTTACATATTTAGAACCATATCAGATAGTGTTGCAATTTTTTCTCCAATTGTCAAAAATACTTTAGAACTAAACTCAAGAAAAGAAGAAAAACCTACTATTTTAGCCCACATTTTTGCTTACTGTGTTCCTTTTTTCCCCTGAATCCCAAATTTCTTTTATTACCTCCTTTCTGTTTAGAGAATTTCTTTTAGGCATTCTTTCAGTGCATATTTGCTCATGACAAATTCTTAGTTTTCTTTCACCAGAGAATGTCTTGATTTCTCCTTCATTCCTGAAGGACAGTCTCCTTAGATTTAGAATTCTGGGTTGATACTTTTGCTTTCACCACTCTGGTTTCTAATGAAAAATTAATTGTCATTCTAATTGGTTTTCTCTTACAGGGAAGGTATCATTTTTTTTTTTCTGGCTGCTTTCAAGGTTTTTTTTTTTTTCCTTTGCTTAGTATTCAGAAATTTGATTATGTTGTGTCTTGGCTTTAACTTCTTTGAATTTATCCTATTTGGATTTATTCTGCTTCTTGAGTGGATACGTTTATGTTCCTTACTAAATTTGGCATGCTTTTAGCTACTATTTCTTCAAATGCTTTTCAGCCCTGTTGTACTCTTTCTTCTCTCCTTTCAGGATTCCAATAACACAAATGTTGGATCTTATAGTCCTACTAGTCTCTTGGCTCTGCTACTTTAAAAAAAATAAAGTATTTTTTCTCTTGTTCAAATTGCACAATTTCTATTGTTTTATCTTTCAGTTTACAGATTTAGTTTACAGATCCTCTGTTCTCTCCATTCTGTTGTTGATTGCATCCACTGAGTTTGTATTTTTTTTTTTTTTTTGACATAATCTCGATCTGTTGCCCAGGCTGGAGTGCAGTGGTGTGATCTTGGCTTACTGTAACCTTTGCCTCCCAGGTTCAAGCAATTCTCCTGCCTCAGCCTCCCAAACAGCTGGAATTAAAGGCGTGCACCACCATGCCTGGCTAATTTTTGTATTTTTAGTAGAGATGGGGTTTCACCATGTTGGCCAGGGTGGTCTTAAACTCCTGACCTCAGGTAATCTGCCCTTCTCAGCCTCCCAAAATGCTGGAATTATAGGTGTGAGCCACCGTGCCTGTCCAGCTTTGTATTTTAGCTATTGTATTTTTCAGTTCTAAAATTTCCATTTGGTTCTTCTTTACATCTTTTATTTCTTTGATGTGGCTATTTTTTTTCATTCATTTCAAATTTGTTCATACTTACTAATATGTTTTTATCATTCTGCTTTAAATCCTTTGTCAGATAATTCTACCTTCTCTGTCATCTTGGTGTTGGCATTTAGGGATGACCTTTTTTCATTCAGTTTAAAATCATGAGTGAACTCCCATTTACAATTGCTTCAAAGAGAATAAAATACCTAGGAATACAACTTACAAGGGATGTGAAGGACCTCTTCAAGGAGAACTACAAACCACTGCTCAATGAAATAAAAGAGGATACAAACAAATGGAAGAACATTCCATGCTCATGGGTAGGAAGGATCAATATCATGAAAATGGCCATACTGCCCAAGGTAATTTATAGATTCAGTGCCATGCCCATCAAGCTACCAATGACTTTCTTCACAGAATTGGAAAAAACTACTTTAAAGTTCATGTGGAACCAGAAAAGAGCCCGCATTGCCAAGTCAATCCTAAGCCAAAAGAACAAAGCTGGAGGCATCACACTACCTGACTTCAAACTATACTACAAGGCTACCATAACCAAAACAGCATGGTACTTGTACCAAAACAGAGATACAGACCAATGGAACAGAACAGAGCCCTCAGAAATAATGCTGCATATCTACAACTGTCTGATCTTTGACAAACCTGACAAAAACAAGCAATGGGGAAAGGATTCCCTATTTAATAAAGGATGCTGGGAAAACTGGCTAGCCATATATAGAAAGCTAAAACTGGATCCCTTCCTTACACCTTATACAAAAATTCATTCAAGATGGATTAAAGACTTAAATGTTAGACCTAAAACCATAAAAACCCTAGAAGAAAACCTAGGCAATACCATTCAGGACATAGGCATGGGCAAGGACTTCATGTCAGAAACACCAAAAGTAATGGCAACAAAAGCCAAAATTGACAAATGGGATGTAATTAAACTAAAGAGCTTCTGCACAGCAAAAGAAACTACCGTCAGAGTGAACAGGCAACCTACAGAATGGGAGAAAATCTTTGCAATCTACTCATCTGACAAAGGGCTAATATCCAGAATCTACAAAGAACTCAAACAAATTTACAAGAAAAAAACAAACAACCCGATCAACAAGTGGGCAAAGGATATAAACAGACACTTCTCAAAAGAAGACATTTATGCAGCCAAAAGACACATGAAAAAATGCTCATCATCACTGGCCATCAGAGAAATGCAAATCAAAACCACAATGAGCTACCATCTCACACCAGTTAGAATGGCCATCATTAAAAAGTCAGGAAACAACAGGTGCTGGAGAGGATGTGGAGAAATAGGAACACTTTTACACTGTTGGTGGGACTGTAAACTAGTTCAACCATTGTGGAAGTCAGTGTGGCGATTCCTCAGGGATCTAGAACTAGAAATACCGTTTGACCCAGCCATCCCATTGCTGGGTATATACCCAAAGGACTATAAATCATGCTGCTATAAAGACACATGCACACGTATGTTTATTGCGGCACTATTCACAATAGCAAAGACTTGGAACCAAGCCAAATGTCCAACAATGATAGACTGGATTAAGGAAATGTGGCACATATACACCATGGAATACTATGCAGCCATAAAAAAGGATGAGTTCATGTCCTTTGTAGGGACATGGATGAAGCTGGGAACCATCATTTTCAGCAAACTATCGCAAGGACAAAAAACCAAACACTGCATGTTCTCACTCATAGGTGGGAATTGAACAATGAGAACACATGGACACAGGAAGGGGAACATCACACACCGGGGCCTGTTGTGGGGTGGAGGGAGCGGGGAGGGATAGCATTAGGAGATATACCTAATGTTAAATGACGGGTTAATGGGTGCAGTGCACCAACATGGCACATGTATACATATGTAAGGTTGTGCACATGTACCCTAAAACTTAAAGTATAATTAAAAAAAAAAGAAAAAAGATCTGCTTCCTTTTCTTTCTTTTCTTTTTTTTTTTTTTTTGGTGTGATTTTTTTTATTGGAAACTGAATATTTTTGTATTTTGCTCCAAGACTCTGGATCTTATTTAAACCTTTAGTTTTAGCATGCTTTCTCTGGCATTGCTCCAACAATGGAAGGGAGCGTGCTTCCTCATTACTATCACATGGAAGTTCCCCACTGGCCTCAAATTAAACCAAAAGTGGAGCTTCTCATGACTGCTGGGTAGAGGTAGGAGTTCTGGCTCCCCACATGGTTCCTAATGACACTGCAGGAGGAGGGAAAAAGAAACATGCTTATTACTGGTCAGTAGAAATAAAGTTTCTGGTTCCTACTTGGTCCTCTTTGACACCACTGCTGTGGAAATGGTGGGACATCTCATTATACCCTAGTGAGGATGGAAGTTTAGGCTTTCCTTTCACCTTTTGCTGGTGTGGGTATAGATGGGATCACAATTTCCTGTGGTGTTTGGCTAGAGTAGAAAAGTTATTGTCTGAAAGTTTTCTGTCTTACTTGGTTGCTTCTTTTCTGGTCCCTTGGCTTGAGGGAGAAGATTTTTGTTGGGACTTTTTTTGATTGTTGTTATGACACATTGGCATTTCCAGGTTGTGGTCTTTTTCACCTCCAGGTCTGGGACATATGAGGCAAAAACAACACTCAAGGAATTCACCAAGACACTCTTTCTTGGGTCCAGATGTCCTTAGCCTTCTTTTTGCTTTTCAGTCTTACAATCTTCATTTTACATATAATGTCCAGTTGTGCTCAGTGGGAGGAATAGGGAAAAGTATAGACAGTCTATTTTCCCAGAAGTAGAACTCCCAGAGAATATAGTATTTTAAAAGGATCTTTGGTAATCCAAACACATTTATGAGATAAAGGAAATATAACGTTATTTTAAGCTCCAGCCGTCCATCTTATTTTGCAATTGTGAGGATCACAGACTGCCTAAATGACTGACTTACTGACCAACTAACTGATTAATAATAAAATTTCTGCACATTTATCAATAAAAGAAATAATATATGACTAGTATCAGGGTTAGAGTTAATAGCCAGTGACTGATGCTGAGGCTTATAAAAGCTATTTTTTTCCTCTATAAAAATGTTTTTGCATTATCTAACAAAAACTATTGAAATTCTAGATGCTGTGTACTATGAATTTTCCTCTATTTATTTTCAAATTCTCCTAGTCATTGTGGGTTTAAGCGATAAAAGAAATAAAGTTTGCTGAAAATTACCCTATTTACTTTCAGTCTGAAGTTTTGTTCATGGGTGAAAAGAAATCTGGTGTTTCTTCACTCTTTTGACAGATAAATTTTTTTAGCTATTTAGCTTTACTTCATTGTTTAGATACTTCCACAATATAGGAGCATAAAAATTAGAGCTCAGTATTCTGACCCCCTCTTCATAGTATTACAGTAGTATAAACTTGGTAAAATTTGACTGATGAATGACTGAGGCTATCCACAAACTCGGAGAGTCACTTTATAAAGGAACTGTCTCAGCTTTCCAGTGGCATAGACGAATCTTAACAATGCTGGCTGGAGGTCATATTTTATCCTCAGTATTGGAGAAACGGTAATTTGGCAATTATGCAGAGAAATAACTGCTCTGCAATGATAATCAGCATCTGTTAATGACTCAAAATGTGATTAACAGAGGTAATTTTTGATAATTTGAGTGAATAAAGGCCATCTTCTTCCCCGGCAGGCCACAGGAAATAGGTGTGGGATTATCAGGCTGGCAGGCACAGGCATTCTGCCAACTTTGATGGTTATTGAAATTGTGTGTGAAGCTCTCAATGAGTTTTTCAAAATGATCCTTGTAATAACAACAGATAAAACATATTATCTGAAGAGGCCAAGACCAAAGAATCACAATGTTTCACAAAATTTGTTAGTGAGAACAAATCATTCCTGGAAACTCCAGCAAATGGCAAATCACTTTGGGCAGTAAATGGTCAATAACATGGCATTGCCAGAAACAATTATCTACAGTTCACACCCCAGCTAGCAAATCATCCCAGCCTCTTGTCAAGTGGGGGGCCAGAGTCATGCTTCATTAACTGTGACAGTTTGACTATAACAAAGAACAGCAGACATAGAATAATAAAAAATAAGTATTGTTATTTTATGTTTTCCAACAAAGCCAACAGCCATAATGTAATATCGTTATTGTTTGCAAAATGCTATTTTCTTCTCTGACCAGAATTTCTGGACGGATTTTGGAAGTGTGAAGGTGATGTGGAGAATGCACAAAAAGCTTGCTCTGGTTGTTACCTTCCTAGACACTTTAGTGATGGAACAGGACTTGTTGACGGGCCAGGTGTTTCTTGCCCTCATTCCGGTAAACCGACAACCTTCCAGCGTGGGTGTTATGGCCAACATGAACATGTCACAGTGCTGCAGAGATTTTGTTTATGGCCAGTTTTGGGGCCAGTTTATGGCCAGATTTTGGGGGGCCTGTTCCCAACATAGTACAAAACAAATTTTAGATCATTTTAATAATAAAGTTGTATGTAATTTAGTTTAATATGACTCAGCTATCTGGAGGTTTTCAAAGTTTTTAAAGTTTGCATGCTCCTCTCATAATTTCCTTTAGTATTTGTGTCGTTTCATTTTCTAAAATTAAAATCTCTTTTTCATTTGGAATTTATCCTTGGGTAAGCAAGAAGAATGATAACATTATTTTTTGCCACATAGATATCTCTAGTTATTCTCACATCACTTATTAAAAAGTCTACAACTTTTTCACTTATTTGAGGTGCTGCCTTAGCATATACTACATTTTCATATAAAATTGGGTCTATTTTAGATTATTTAATTATTCTGCCTATTCACATGTGAATGCCATGCTATTTAGTTATAACTTGCTCATAATATTAAATATATTGTACTACATGGTTCTGTAAATTTTTATTTTAATTTTCAACTTTTATTTTAGATTCCAGGGGTACATATGTAGTTTTGTTATGAAGATATGTTGCATGATGCTGGAGTTTGGAGTACGATTGAACTTATCACTCAGGAAGTAGGCATAGTATCCAATAAGTAGTTTTTCAAACTTTGTCTTCCCCTACTCTTGAATTTTCCAGTGTCTATTGTTCCTATTTTTATAAATATGTCCATGTGTACCCAATGTGTAGCTCCCATTTGTAAGTGTGAACATGGAATATTTCATTTTTTGTTTAGTTTGCCTAGGTAAATGGCCTCCAGCTGCATTCATTTTACTGCAAATGAAATGATTTTGTTCTTTTTTATGGCTGTGTAGTATTCTGTGATGTATACATGGAGGAACCACTTCACCACTGATGGGCACCTGGATTTGCTCCATGTCTCTTTGCTATTGTGAATAGTGCTTCAGTGAACATGCACACGCATGTGTCTTTATAATAGAACAATGTCTATTCCTTTGGGTATATACCCAGTAATAGGATTGCTAGGTGGAATGGTATTTCTCTCTTTAAGTCTTTGAGGAATCATCACACTGTCTTCCACAATGGCTGACCTAATTTACACTCCAACCAACAGTGTATAAGCATTCCTTTTTCTCCACAACCTCACCAGCATGTATTATTTTTTGACTTTTTAATAATAGCCATTCTGACTGGTGTGAGATGGTATCTCACTGTGGTTTTGATTTGCATTTCTCTGATGATTAGTGATGTTGAGCTTTTTTTTTCATATATTTGTTGGCTGCTTACATGTATTCTTTTCAGAAGTATTTGTTCATGTCCTTTGCCCACTTTTTAATGAGGTTGTTTTTTGCTTGTTGATTTAAGTTCCTTATAGATGATGGATATTAGGCCTTTGTCAGGTGCATAGTTTGTGACTATTTTCTCCTGTTCTATAGGTTTTGTTTATTATGTTGATAGTTTCCCTTGCTGTGTAGAACCTCTTAGGTTTAATTAGGTCCAACTTGTCAATTTTTGTCTTTGTTGTAATTGCTTTTGGGGACTTAGCCATAAATTCTTTCACATATTTGGGTTGATGTTGAGAAGGGTATTTTCTAGATTTTCTTATAGGATTTTTATAGTTTGAGGTCATATATTTAAATCTTTAATCTATCTCAAATTAATTTTTATATATGCTGAAAGGTATGGGTCCAGCTTCAATCTTCTGCATAGAGTTAGTCAGTTATCCCAACACCATTTATTGAATAGGGACTCCTTTCCTCATTGCTTGTTTTTGTTGGCGTTGTCAAAGATAAGATGGTTGCAGTTGTGTGGCTTTATTTCTGAGTTACCTATTCTATTCCATTGGTCTATGTGTCTGTTTTTGCGTGAGTACCATACTGTTTTGGTTACTGTAGCCTTGTAGTATAGTTTAAAGTCAGGTAATGTGATGCTTCTTGCTTTGTTCATTTTGTTTAGTACTGTCTTGGCTATTCAGAATCTTTTTTGGTTCCATGTGAATTTTAGAAGAGTTTTTTTCCAATTCTGTAAAAACAAGATGTTGGTAGTTTGATAGAACTAGCATTAAATCTGTAGACTGCTTTGGGCAGTATGACCATTGTAATGATATTGATTCTTCCAATCCATGAGCATAGTATGTTTTTTCATTTGTTTGCATCACCTCTGATATTTTTTCACAAATATTTTGCAGCTCTCCTTATAGAGGTCTTTCATTCCTGGGCTGGATTTATTCTGAGGTATTTTATTTACTTTGTGGCTATTGAAAATGGCTTTGCATTCTTGATTTGACTCTCAGTCTGCACATTATTGGTATATAGAAATGCTACTGATTTTTGTACATTGATTTTGTGTCCTGAAACTTTACTAAAATTATCAGTTTTAGGAGCCTTTTGGCAGAGTCTTTAGGGTTTTCTAGATATAGAGTATCATTAGCAAAGAGAAATAGTTTGATTTCTTTTTTTCCTATTGTATGCCTTTCATTTCTTTCACCTGTCTGATTGCTCTGGCTAGGATTTCCAGTACTAGGTTGAATAAGAGGGGTGAGATTGGGTATACTTTTCTTATTCCATTTCTCCAGGCGAATGGTTCTAGGTTTTGCCCATTCAGTATGATGTTGGCTGGGGGTTTGTTAGAGATGGTTGTTATTATTTTGAGGTATGTTTCTTTGGTGCCTAATCTGTTGAGGGTTTTTATCATACAGCGATGTTGAGTTTTATTGAAGGCTTTTTCTGCTTCTACTAAGATAATCATATGGTTTAAAAAATAATTATGTTTATGTGGTGAATCGCATTTATTAATCTGCTTATGTTGAACCAACCTTGCATCCCAGCAATAAAGCCTACTTGATGATGCTGTATTAACTTTTTTATGTGCTGCTGAATTCAATTTGCTAATATGGTTGAGGAGTTTTGTGTCTATGCTCATCAGGGATAGTGGCCTGAATTTTTCTTTTTTCACTGTGTCTCTGCCAGGTTTTAGTATCAGAATGATGTTGGCTTTGTAGAATGAGTTCAGGAGGATTCCCTCCTTCTCAATTTTTTGGAATAGTTTCATAGGATTGGTACTAGCTCTTCTTTGTATGTCTGGTAGAATTTGGCTGTGAATCCATCTGGTTGCAAGCTTTTTCAGCTGGCAGGATTTTTACTACTGCTTTGATTTTGGAACTCATTATTGGTTGATTCAGGGTTTCAATTTCTCCCTGAATGAATTTTGAGAAGTTGTATGTGACCAAGAATTGATTCACTTACTTTAGATTTCCTAGTTTATATGCATAGGAATGTTCACAATAGTCTCTGAGGATCTTTTATATTTCTGGGATTGGTTGCAATATCATCTTTGTCATTTCTGATTGTGCTTATTTGGATCTCTTTTTTTTTTCTTTGTTAATCTAACCAGCAGTTTATCAATCTTGTTTATCCTTTCAAAGAACCAATCTCTGCTTTTGTTGATATTTTGTGTGGAGTTTTGCATCTTAATTTCATTTAGTTCTGCTATTATTTTAGTTACTTCATTTCTCCTGCTAACTTTGGGGTTAGTTTGTTCTTTTTTTTTCTAGTTTCTGTAGGTATAATGTTAGATTGTTAGTTTGAGATCTTTCTACCTTCTTGATGAAGGCAATTAGCGCTATAAACTTTCCTTTTAACACGGCTTTCACTCAGTTTCAGAGATTTTGGTGTGTTGCGTCTCTATTCATTTCAAAGAATTTTCTTATTTCTGCTTTAATTTCATTGTTTATCCAAAAGTCATTCAGAAGTAAGTTATTTGATATCCATGTAACTGTGTAGTTTTGCAAGATCTTCTTGGTATGGATTTCTATTTTTTATTGCACTGTGGACCAAGAGTATGGTTGGTATGATTCTGATTTTTTGAATTTATTGAGACTTGCTTAATGGCCAAACACATGGTTAATCTTAGAGTATTTTCCATGTAGAGATGAGAAGAATGTATATTCTATGGTTGTTGGGTGGAGTATCTGTAGATGTCTATTACTTTGGTCAAGTGTTTAATTTAAGTCCAGAACTTCTTTGTTAGTTTTCTGCCTTGATGATCTGTCTAATTTTGTCAGTGGAGTGTTGAAGTTCCCTGCTGTTATTGTGTGACTGCCTAAGACCACACAATAGCACTAGTTCTAGAAGTACTTGTAGCTCTAGAAGCACTTGTTTTTACGCATTTAGGTGCTACAATGTTGGGTGCATAAACATTTAGGATAGTTAAGTCTTCTTGTTGAATTACACCTTTTATCATTATGTAACGCCCTTCTTTGTGCTTTTTGACTGCTGCTGGCTTAACATCTCTTTAATCTGATATAAGAATAGTGCCCCACACTTTTTTTTTTTGTTTTCTATTTGCATGATATATCTTTCTTTATCCTTTTATTTTGAGCCTGAGGTTGCTGTTACATGTGAGATGGGTCTCTTGAAGACAGCAGATGGTTGGGTCTTTTTTCTAAAATCTAATTAACTACTCTATGCCTTTTAAGTGGGGCATTTAGACCATTTATTTTTAAGATTAATATTGACATGTGGGGTTTTGATACTGTTATCATGTTGTTAGTTGTTTTGTAAACTCAATTGTGTCATTGCTTTATAGGGTCTTTGGGCTATGTGCTTAAGTTTTTGTTGTGGTAGTAGTTACTATTCTTTCATTTCCATGTTTAGAACCCTCTTAAAGACCTCTCTGGATCTTAAGGACCTCAGCTTGTCTGGAAAGGATTTTATTTCTCTTTTGTTTATGATGCTTAGTTTGGTGGGATATGAAATTCTTGGTTGACATTTATTTTCTTTAAGGATGTTAAAAATAGCTTTCTAACTTTTCTGGCTTGTAAGGTTTCTGCTGAGAGATATGCTGTTAGCCTGGTGGGACTTTCTTTGTAGTGACCTAACCCTTTTCTCTAACTGCCTTTAATATTTTTGCTTTTGTGTTGACCTTGATGAATCTGATTACTATGTGCCTTGTGCATAGTCATCTTGTATATGGGGTTCTCTCAAAAGTTTTCTGAATTTCTTGAATTTGCATGTTGACTTTCTAGTGAGGTGAAGAAATTCTCATAGACTATATCCACGCAGATGATTTTCAAGTTGTTTACTCTCTTGCCTTCTCTCTCAGGAATGCCAAAGAGTTGTTGGTTTGGTCTCTTTACATAATCCGTATTTCTCTGATATTTTGTTCATTTTTAAAAATTCTTTTTACTTTATTTTTGCCTGACTGGGTTGATTTAAAGGACTGGTCTTTGAGTTCTGAGATTATTTCCCCAGCTTGATCTATTCTGTTATTAATGCTTTCTACCGTATTATGAAATTCATGTAGTGAATTTTTTAATTCTAGAAGTTCCATTTGGTTCTTTCTTAAAATGGCTATGTCAGCTTTCAACTCTTGGATTATTTTAGTGGCTTTTTTGGATTGGGCTTCAACTTCCTCCTGAATCTCATTGAGCTTTCTTGTCATCCAGATTCTGAATTCTATGTCTGTCATTTCAATCTTGTTGGAAGCCATTGCTGGGGAATGAGTGTGATCATTTAGGGGTAAGGGGACACCCTGACTTTTTGAATTGCCAGAGTTGTTGAGCTAATTATTTATCAACTGAGAGGGCTGGTATTTCTTTATATTTTTGAAGTTGCTATCATTTGGATGGGACTTTTTGTATTTATATTCTTCATGTTGAATATAGTTGATTGGCTTCATTTCTGGTTCTTTCTGAGGGCCAAAGCTGTGTGCGGGATTTATTTATTTATTTTTTTTGTGGCTTGATTCCTGCATTGGGTTTCACTGACAATATGTGCCGAACGAATTTTTGTTTGGTGGTGTAATTCAGGCTATCATCCAGTAGATGGCTTGCAGATAGGCTTTTGCTCAGCCATGTGCCTCTCTTGGTATTTCAGCATGTTTGCAGCTGTGCTCTGGGGTTGGGGGAGGTGGAGGGTGAGAGAAAACCCCCTTGCCAGATCCATTCCCATGTCTTGAGGCAGCCCCTTCCAATCACTGATATCGGGCTTGTGTTTCCTTAGCCCCACAGGGGAGCCTGGCAGGCCACACTTTCTCCTCTCTTAGGGGTGGCATGAGACAAAGGTTAGGCCAGGTTGGTCGCCTGGTGACCTACAGCTCCCTGGGTGCCCACTGTCCCTCTGTGTTTGGCAGAGACCAGGTGTGTTGTAGGGTGTGGCTGTGGGCTTCTGTTGATGCAGTAGGTCGAGGATGGGGATCATCAGGCAGGGCAGTGTTGTCATGGATGTGCAACTGGTGTGGTATCTGTGGCACATGGTTTTTTGCACAGCTGATGGCTGTGGGAACTGCCCAGTGCACAGTCCACTGACTGGGCTCCTTCTAGTGTCTGCCCCAGTAGCTGGCCCAACCAGGTAGTTTTTTTTTGTTGTTGTTGTTGTTTTTAACTTTTTTAAGTTCAGGGGTGCATATGAAGGTTTGTTATATAGGTACACATGTACCATGGGAGTTTGTTGTACAGATTACTTCATCACCCAGGTATTAAGCCTAGTACCCATTAGTTATTTTTCCTGATTCTCTCCCTACTCCCATCCTCCACCCTCCAATAGGCCCCAGTGTGTATTGTTCCCCTCTATGTGTTTATGTGTTCTCAATACTTAGCTCTTGCCTATAAGAGAAAACAGGCAGTATTTAGTTGTTTGTTCCTGTGCTAGTTTGCTAAGGATAATGGCCTCCAGGTCCATCCATGTTCCTGCAAAGAACATGATCTCATTCTTTTTTTATGACTGCATAATATTCCATGGCATATACGTACCACATTTTCTTTATACAATCTATCATTTATAGGCATTTAGGTTGATTCCATGACTTTGCTATTGTGAATAGTGCTGCAGTGAACATATGTGTGCATGTGTCTTTATAACAGAATGATTTATTCTTTTGGGTATATACCCAGTAATGGGATTGCTGGGTCAAATGGTATTTCTAAATTTAGATCTTTGAGGAATCACCACACTATCTTTCACAATAGCTGAAATAATTTGCACTCCCAACAACAGTGTATAAGCATTCTGCTTTCTCCACAACCTCACCAGCACCTGTTTTTTTTTTTTTTTTTTTGACTTTTTAATAGTAGCCATTTTGACTGGTGTGAGATTGTATCATATTGTGGTTTTGACTTGCATTTCTCTAATAATCAGTGATGTGGAACTTTTTTTCATATGCTTGTTGGCTACATGTATGTCTTCTTTTGAAAAGTGTCTGTTCATGTCCTTTGCCCACTTTTTTGGGGGGGCTGCTTGTTTTTTTCTTGTAAATTTGTTTAAGTTCCTTATAGATGCTGGATATTAGACCTTTGTCAGATGCATAGTCTGCAAAAATTTTTCTCCCATTCTGTAGGTTGTCTTTTGAGTAAGATGATAATTTCTCTTGCTGTGCAGAAGCTCTTTAATTTAATTAGATCCCATTTATCAATTTTTGCTTTTGTTGCAATTGCTTTTGGCGTCTTCATTATAAAATCTTTGCCCATGTCTATGTCCTGAATGGTATTACCTAGGTTGTCTTCCAGAATTGCTATCGTTTTGGATATTACATTTAAGTCTTTAAATTCACCATGAGTTGATTTTTGTATAAGGAATAAGGAGGGTATCCAGTTTTTATCTTCTGCATATGGCTAGCCAGTTATCCCAGCATCATTTATTAAATAGGGAATCCTTTCCCCATTGCTTGCTTTTGTCAGGCTTGTTGAGATCAGATAGTTAGTTGTAGGTATGTTGCCTTACTTCTGGGTTCTCTATTCTGTTTCATGGGTCTATGTGCCTGTTTTTGTACCAGTACCATGCTGTTTTAGTTACTGTAGCTCTGTAATATAGTTTGAAGTCGGGTAGCATGATACCTCCAGCTTTGTTCTTTTTGCTTAGGATTGTTTTGGCTATTTGACCCTTTTTTGGTTCCATATGAATTTTAAAATAGTGTTTTTCTAGTTCTATGAAGAATTTCCATGGTAGTTAATAGAAATAGCATTGAATTTGTAAATTGCTTTGGACAGTAAGGCCATTTTAATATTGATTCTTTTTGTTCATGAGCATGGATGTTTTTGCATTTTTTTGTGTCATCTCTGATTTATTTGAGCAGTGGTTTGTAGTTTCCCTTGTAGAGATCTTTCACTTCCCTAGTAAGTTATGTTCCTAGGTATTTTATTCTTTTTGTGGCAATTGTAAATGGGAGTACATTCTTGATTTTACTCTTAGCTTAACTGTTGTTGGTGTATAGGAATGCGAATGACTTTTTTCTTTTTTTTTATTGATGGAGTCTCGCTCTGTCGCCTAGGCTGGAATGCAGTGGTGCAATCTCAGCTCACTGCAAGCTCTGCCTCCCAGGTTCATGCCATTCTCCCGCCTCAGCCTCCCTAGTATCTGGGGCTAGAGGCACCCGACACCACGCCTGGCTAATTTTTTTGTATTTTTAGTAGAGACAGGGTTTCACCATATTAGCCAGAATGGTCTCGATCTCCTGACCTCATGAATTGATTTTGAATCCTGAAATTTTGTTGAAGTTGTTTCAGTTTTTGCCCACTCCATATGATGTTGGCTCTGGGTTTTTCATAGATGGCTCTTATTATTTTGAGGTATGTTCCTTCAATACCTAGTTTATTGAGAGTTTTTAACATGAATTGATGTTTAATTTTATCAAAAGCCTTTTCTGCATCCATTGAGATAATAATTTGGTTTTGTCTTTAGTTCTGTTTATGTGATGACCTTGCATCCCAGAGTTAAAGCCTACTTGATCATGATGGATAAGCCTTTTGATGTGCTGCTGGATTTGGTTTGCCAATATTTTGTTGAGAATTTTTACATTGATGTTCATAAAAAATATGGACCTGAAGTTTTCTTTTTATGTTGTATCTCTCCCAGATTTTGATATTAGGATGATGCTGAGTTAGGGAGGGGTCCATTTTTATTTTTTTGAATAGTTTCAGTAGGAAAAGTACCAGCTCTTTTTTGTACACTTGGTAGAATTCAGCTGTGAACCCATCTGGTTCCTGGGCTTTTTTGGGTCAGTAGGCTATTTAATATTGCCTCAATTTCAGGGCTCATTATTGGTCGGTTCAGGAATTCAATTTCTTCCTGGTTCAGTCTTGGGAGAGAGTGTGTGTCCAGGAATTTATTTATTTCTGTAGATTTTCTAGTATATGTGCATAGAGGTGTGTATAGTACTCTCTGATGGTTGTTTGTATTTCTGTGGGGTCAGTGGTAATATACCCCTTATCATTTCTGATTATTGCTATTTGATTGTTCTCTGTTGTCTTTTTTATTAGTCTAGCTAGTAGTCTACTTTCTTAATTTTTTCAAAAAAAAAACAACCCCAGATTTGTTGATTGTTTTGAAGGGTTTTTTTTTTGTTTGTTTTTTTTTTTTTTTGTCTCTCTATCTCCTTTAGTTCCACTCTGATCTTGGTTATCTTTTGTCTTATTCTAGCTATGGTGTTTGTTTGCTATTGGTTCTCTAGTTATTTAGTTTTGTTGTTAGCTTCTTAATTTGAGATCTTCCTAGCTTTTTGATGTGGGCATTTAGTGATATAAATTTCCCTCTTAACACTGCTTTAGTTACATCCCAGAGATTTTGGTACACTGTCTCTCTGTTCTCATTTTTCAAAGAACTTCTTGATTTCTGCCTTAATTTCATTATTTACCCAAAAGTCTTTCAGGTGCAGGCTATTCCACTTCCATGTAATCATACGATTTTGAGTGGATTTCTTAGTCTTGATTTCTAATTTGATTGTGCTGCAGTCCAAGAGAATGTTTGTTATAATTTCATTTCTTTTGCATTTGTTGAGGAGTTTTTTACTTCCAAGTATGTGATCAATTTTAGAGTATGTGCCATACGATGAGGAGAAGAATCTATATTCTGTTGTTTTTAGGTGGAGAGTTCTGTAGATATCTATCAGGCCCATTTGAGCCTGTGCTGAGTTAAGGTCCTAAATACGTTTGTTAATTTTCTGTCTCAGTGATCTGTCTAATATTGTTAGTGGGGTGTTTAAGTCTCTCACTATTATTGTGTGGGAATCTAAGTTTCTTTGCAGGTCTCTAAAAACTTGCTTTATGAATCTGGGTACTCCTGTATTGGGTGCTCATATATTTAGGATAGTTAGATCTTCTTGTTGAATTGAACCCTTTACCATTATATAATGCCCTGTTTGTCTTTTTTGATCTTTGTTTGTTTGAAGTCTGTTTTGCCAGAAACTAGGATTGCAATTCCTGATTCTGATTTCCATTTGCTTTGTACATTATTTCTCCATCCGTTTGTTTTTACCATATATTTGTCATTACATGTGAGATGGGTCTCTTGAAGACAGCTGATATGGTTTGTCTCTGTGTCCCCACCCAAATCTCATGTCAAATTGTAATTTCCAATGTTGGAGGAGGGACCTGGTAGGAAGTGATGGGATCATGGGGGTTGTTCTCTTGTTGTTCTCATGATAATGAGTGAGTTCTCATGAGATCTGGTTGTTTAAAAGTGTGTAGCACTTCTTCCTTTGCTCTCTCTCCTGCCACCATGTGAAGACGTTCCTTACTTCCCCTTTGTCTTCTGCCATGATTGTAAGTTTTCCAAGGCTTCCCCAGCCATGCCTCCTGTACAACATGCAGAACTGTGAGTAAATTAGGCCTATTTTCTCCATAAATTACCCAGTCTCATATATGTCTTTATACCAGTGTGAGAATGGACTAATCCAACAGCATACAAGTGGGTCTTGGTTTTTTACCCAGGCTGCCATTCTGTGTCTTTTAATTGGGTCATTAAGCCCATGTATATTTTAGATTAGTATTGATATGTGTGGATTTGATTCTGTCATCATGATGTTAGCTGGTTATTTTGCAGACTTTTTAGTGTGGTTGCTTTATAGTGTCACTGGTCTGTGTACTTCAGTGTGTTTCTGTTATGCCTGGTAACAGTTTTTCCTTTCCATATTTAGTGCTTCCTCAGGAGCTCTTGTAAGGCAGGTCTAGAAGTAACAAATTCCCATATTCCCTCAGCATTTGCTTGTCTGAAAAGGATTTTATTTCTCCTTTGCTTATGAAGCTTAGTTTGGCCAGACATTAAATTCTGGCTTAGAATTTCCATCCTTTAAGAATGTTGAATACTGGTGCCCAGTCTCTTCTGGCTTGTAGGTTTCAGCTAAGTGTTCCACTGTTAGTCTGATGGGCTTCTCTTGTAGGTGACCTGACCATTCTCCCTAGGTGCCTTAAAATTTTTTCTTTCATTTAGACCTTGGAGAATCTGATGATTATGTGTCTTGAGAATGATCTTTTGAAGTATCTGACCAGGGTTCTTGGCATTTCCTGAATTTGAATGTTGGCCTCTCTAGTTAGGCTGGGGAAGTTTTCATGGATGATATCCTGAAATATATTTTCCAAGTTGGTTCCATTCTCAACATTTCTTCCAGGTACACCAATCAGTCATAGATTCAATCTTTGTACATAATCCTTTATTTCTCAGAGATTTTGTTCATTCCTTTTCATTCTTTTATCCTCTATTATTGTTGCCTTTTATTTCAGAAAGCCAGGCTTCAAGCTCTGATATTATTTCCTCTGCTTGGTCTATTCGGTCATAGATTCAATCTTTGTACATAATCCTGTTATTTCTCAGAGATTTTGTTCATTCCTTTCCATTCTTTTTTCCTCTATTCTTGTTCCCTGTCTTTTGTTTCAGAAAGCCAGTCTTCAAGTTCTGAGATTATTTCCTCTGCTTGGTCTATTCTGCTATTAATTCTTGTGATAACATTATTATATTCCTGTAGTGTGTTTTTTCAGCTCTGTCAGGTCAGTTACAGAGCTTTACTGGATATTTTGTCTTTTCTTTACTGGATATTTTGTCTGTCAACTCCTGCAACGTTTTATCATGATTTTTAGTTTCCTTGCATTGGGTTTCAATGTACTCATGGAGCTCAATGAACTTCATTCCTATCCATATTCTGAATTTTATTTCCGTCATTTCAGCCATCTCAGCCTCTGCATAGTTCCAAACACTTGCTGGAGAGGTAATGTGGTCATTTGGAGGAAAGAAGGCACTCTGGCTTTTTGAGCAATTTTTTGCTGATTCTTTCTCATCTTTGTGGGTTTATCTACCTTCAATCTTTGAGGTAACTTGTAGGGAGACCCCCTGAAACTATTGCTATGGAATAAAAGAGGAAATGCTCCTGATTATTGTAAATACAAAATCGCATGCAAGATTGTGTTAAGACAATGCCAGGTTGGACTGCCAGAATGAGCCAACAGCATGTGATGTGCTTCCCCCTGCAGAGAGCCTATGAACGGACTTGCAGTCAGGGAGGTTTCACATCACCAAGATTCCTATCCCAGAAAAGCAGATGTTTGTAGCTCTGGGGATGGAAAGTGACCCTTGTGGAGAGCCTAGAATTGGATGCATGAGGGGCGCCTGTTCATATGGATAAGATAAGGCTATAAACGCCCTCATCTTGCCATGGCTCTTCGAGGCCTCTTTAGGGTTAAGGCATACTCCCTTCTGAGAATTTCTGGTCTAACCGGTTGTCTAGCTTCACATCCTGTTTCTATGGATTGTTTGTAACCAGCTTTTGCTGCAACTGTTACTGCTGATTAATATCTTGCTAGTCATAGGTTACGAGAAGACTGTGTTTCTATTTTAAGACTCTGTTAGAAATTACTGATGCACACACTATATTGTAAATTCTTATCTCTGTATACTGTACTTCTGCATACAGATGTTATGTTAAAGAATTTCTTCATCCTCATGTGACCATCTCACCTCATAATCAAACAACCCTAAATCCCTCACTAACCTACCCCTGCCCTCACTAAACTCAATAATAAATGCTGGTATATCCAGTGCATTGGCGGCATCACGGGACTAGAAGGCGGTGACCCCCCTGGACCCAGCTTTCACTATCTTGTGTGTGTCTATTATTTCTTGACCTGCCGATCCGCCTGGGAACAAAGAAAGAGCCCTGTTGCATTGTGGGCTGCTGGCCAGATCCTGCAATAGTTACTAATCTTTGAATGTTTTTTCTTTTATCCTATTTGATGACCTTGAGGGTGTGATTGTAGTATAAGGTGGATTCAGTTGTCTGGCTTCATTTCTGGGAAATTTTAAGTGGCCAATGCTCAGCCCCCAACTCCTGGGCTACATGCTGTAACTCTGGAGGACTTGTATTGGGTCCTGACTTTGTTGTCTGGCTCCTTGAGGTTTGGAGTCCACCACTCGGGGTGGGGGTGGTGGCAAGATGCAGTAGCTGCAGCAGAGTGCTAGTGGATGCAGTGGTGGCTGGCTCCCTGTGGATGTTAATCACAGTGAGGGAGGCAAGGCAGCTTAGGAGGAAAGCGGAGGTCGGGGGGGCCTGCTGAAGACTGTGTGTGCTGTTGCATGGAAGTGGAGTTGGCTTGGACAAGGTGCTGGCCAGTGCAGGTCTGGGTACCTTCTCTGTGCTCTGCAAGCTGGAGTGATGGCTCAGGGAGGATACCTTGTTCTCTTCCCAGTGTTAGAGCAAGAGCAGGGCACTGGCTGAGGTGGGGTTTGCTGGCTCTGTTCCCATCAAGGCTCCCTCTGCAGTGGCAGTCTGGTGGGGTTGAGAGGTGTACTGCACTCACACATGCTGGTGGAGCAAGTAAAGCAAAACCTGCCCATGCAGACATGCATCAGTAAAGTGATGTGGGGAGTTGCCATGGGATTAGGGGAAGCTGCACTATGGGGAGGGTGCATGTGGGTTGGTATGCAGCCTTAGAAGCTGCCTCTCTGGAGCTCTTCACTGCTCAGGGATGGTCTGCTGGCACAGAAGCCATGGTGTGGATTCTCAGGGAACCCAAGACTGCCCTATAAGAAGTCATGGCCAGGCTGGGGCCCCTAGAGAGGTCAGCAGACCAAGGAGTGCTCAGGTTGAACCAGCCCCATCTGAGGTGCTCCACCGCCCTTCAGAGGTCAAATCTGTCAGTTCCCTTAGGGCTAAAGTCTCCTATGGCAGCAAGTTGAGCCTAGAGGGATGTTCTTCCCTGGCCCTTCTCCACTACAGCCACTCCCACCACCACACCGCAGCCACTCTGCGCTTCACATCAGCTCGCCTGCTGCCCCACCACTTCTCTAAGCAGCTCCTCCTGCCACCTCAATTGTCCATGGTGGTCGAAGGGTTCCCTCCTGTCAGGAATCCAGAGGCCCATGACAAGAGTGGGTTGCTCCTTGCCAGTTCAACTAACCCATTCCCCCAGAGCTGTTGTGGTTCAATAATGAGCCCCAGTGTGCAGTAGCCCTTTCAAGGTTCTCAGTTTTTTACCCTTCAGATCAACTTCTGTGTCTTCCCTCTCTCCACTCTCAGCGCCTTCCCTCTGAAGATCTGTTAAAAGCACGCCAGTATTCTCAATCCCTCTGTGGGAGCCACTCCACTTGTCTGCATCTAGTCAGTCTTCTTGCCCCCCCATCTCAGTTTCCAAGCCAGTTAATTTTGTCTCAACCTCTCTGCACCCAGGTCACTGGACTGTTAGTTACTGTTGGCCATGGGGCTCCTTCAAGTAGAAGCTGCAGCTGGCAAACAGGCTACACCCTTCCTGGACCAGTCTTGTGGAGGGAGGTACTCGCAGCTCCTGTGCCATCCCTGAAACCCACATCTCACCCTACTCAGTGTTCAGAGAGTGGGGGCTCCTATCCAACTCATGCTCTGGCTACAGATCTCAGCTTGATATTCCTGAGCTGTGTGCTTGAACCCTGGGAGGTTGGGATTGGCTTTGTCCTCTGGCCCCTCAGAGTTGAGCCCTGGCTGTGCTGAGGTGACCATAGTGTCCTAGGCCACTGGCAAAGTACCCAGGTGGGGCAGTGGAGGCTGTGCAGTGTGCATGCTCTCATGGGAGTGGCCAGGCAGGGGTCTTGGGAGGGGCCAGCAGACAGCGGGGTGTGCAGATCAGACATGCCCAAGTCCATCAGGAAAGACCACCCTTCTCTCTCCCAGCCTGGCCGTCAGCAGGAGCTAGAGCAACTGGGAGCAAGATGGAAAGCCTTGGGGAATAGGCATCTATGGTCGCATTTTGCTGTAGCTTCCCTGCATGCAAAACCTTCTGAGCTCCAAGCAGGCTTGAGCTTTGGGTTTGCCTACTCTTCAGGCAGTTTCTCTTGCAAATTCAGATGTCTATGGGGTCATGGGATCTCTTGTAGCTAGGATCCCAGAGGTCCACGGCAGGAGCATGTTTCCCTGCAGTTTCTTTTCTCATCCCTTCCTTAGGTTCCCTTCAAGGCCAGGAGCTGCGCCGGCACTCAGCAACTCTGTGCAGGGTTCCAGGCTTTTGCCCTGTTCTACCACAGTAGACTTCCAGTATATTTTTTTTCTCAAAAGATCTGTTTGAAGTGTGATAGTTTACTTGATATTTTGGTATCTCTCAGTCGGCGAAGTGCTTCCCATCTGCATCTGGCAGGCTATCTTGTCTCCTCCCATTATTTTCTTTTATCTTACAACAACTTTGTATGTGTATTGACCACAGTCTTTTGTTCTTGTTTCAGTGAGATGGGTTTTTCACAGTTTCAGAAGAGGAGTGTAGGCCTTCAGAGCATTCCTGCTGTGAAATAAAATAAATCCTGGGGCCCCCAAATCACTAGACTAAAAAGAAAAGTCAAGCTTGGAATCCCTTAAGGCAAACTTGCCCCCCATTCTATTCAAAGTCACCCCTCTGCTCACTGAGATAAATGCATATGTGATTGCCTCCTTTGGAGAGGCTAATCAGAAATTCGAAAGAATACAACCATTTGTCTCTTATCTATCTATGACCCGGAAGCCCCCTCCCCACTTGGAGTTGTCCCACCTTTTGGACCAAACCAGTGTTCATTTTACATATGTTGATTAATGTCTCATGTATCCCTAAAATGTATGAAAGCAAGCTGTGCTCTGACAACCTTGGGCACATGTTGTCAAGACCTCCTAAGGCTATGGGTGCACATTCTCAACCTTAGCAAAATAAACTTTCTAAATTAACCGAGACTTGTCTCAAATATCTGGGGTTCACATTGCTTCACAGATGTAGAGGTCTCTTTTCTTATTGTTGTGAAGTGGTTAGATATATGATCTCCTCGTGCCACTGCACTCCAGCCTGGGTGACAGAGTGAGACTCCGTCTCAAAAAAAAAAATAAAAATTATATATATCTCCTTCTTTCTGTGACCTACTTTCTCTGTTCTCTTCCCCTACTTTTATCTGGATCTTTTCTTTGGTCCTACATGTCTCTATCCTGCTAAATTTAAATTCTACTCATAGTAGATTCTTCTCAATTCTGGTCTTTGACCTAAAAAGGAACTATCATATTTCAAGTTTTCATATGATACAAACTGACTTGCACCATCTGACTTTTGCTGTACTTTTGCACTTGCAAATTACAGCCCATGAAACCAGTTCCAGTTTTGGTGCTGTTTTAAGAATGGCTCACTGAACTTTCCAAAATAGATGTCTCCATTTTAAGTCCTTGAGCAATTCAATTTTAGGGTCCTGCAGCTTTCCCAGCTATCAGTAATCCTTTTACCTACTCCCTGCTTCACCCTTCACAGTTACCATTACTATGTGAAATTTATTCTAGTTAGTTTGACCTCAATTTCTCACATTTTAGAGTTCATGGAGATACTTTGTTGTTCACTTTTGTTGTAGATTTTGGCAGCATGTTTTGTATTCCAGTTGCATTGCCTGTTTTGTAGGGGAAATTGGAAAAGTCAAAAACTGTGCTGCATTCTAAAATATTTCTTTGAACTCTTCCCTACATTTCTTCCTAATAATTTTAAAGATTTGCCTTTCTGTATGTAATTATTTATTCCAGCTGACTTTTATTTTCAAGTAAGATATTAAGTAATGCTTTGACCTTATTTTTCCCATTTATGACATTCCCCCCCCCGCATATATGCATCTTTCCCTCCTCTTAATTGTAATCTTGTATCTCTTACAAGTGTTCATAGAAACTTGATTCTGTTTGAGTATCTCTATTCTGTATTTCTATCCTTTTACCAAGGCAACTTGGTATAATTATGGTAATTATACCAAGTAATTATAATTATGGTGTAATTACCATAGTAATTATATTTCTTGATATTTTATAATTCTGCTACCTCCTCCCTGTTCATTGTCTTGTTCAAAATTTTTTGTCTGTTTTTGTCTTTCTCTCGTCTTATCATTTTATTATCAGCATGATAATTTTGCTAAAAATATTGTGATTTTAGAAAGATTTGACTTTTTTAACATATCAATTTTTTTGTACCTATGCATATAGATCACCATTTATTTATGGTGACTTTTATATACTCCATAAAATCTTTATAACTTTCTCCATTAATAAATTACAGGTATTTTCTTAGATCCTATTCAATCTTTAATAGTGGTGGGACAAATACCACTCTTGCTACTATTACTAAGGAGTATTCTTTCAAATTTTAAAATAAAATACGATGTTTGTTCTGTATTTTTGGAATTCTTTTTCTCAGGTAATGAAAGATACTTCTATTCCAAGTTTAACATGAGTTTTATCATGAGTAAGTATTTAATTTTATTGAAGGCCTTTGGCATTTTACATCACGTGTTTTATTTTATTTTAAACTGTTAATGTAATAAGTATGTTACCAGGTTTTTTCCCCAATATTAAACCATTCTTGTATTACTGGGTTAAATCCACCCTGCGTGTGATGCATATATCATGATTTATATGTCACATGACACAAATTCAGAAATAAGACTTTTGGCAATTGGCTCCTGTCTTTCACAAATGTTTTCAAACGATGGTGGAACAAAGTACTTGTCTTCATTAAGGAATGAGTGGCATAGAAAAGAGGGCAAAGAAAAATGGAATATTAGTGAATAGCTCTTCTTTGGGAAACAGAGAGCTGGAAAGTGGATCCCCACATCTTGGTATTCTCCAAGCCTACTCTTACCAGACCACTGCTGTTGTAGAAATCACAACTGGCCACTGAACCAAGACACCAGATCATCTCCAGGACTGAGACAGATCTGTATCATGCAGCTGGGTCCTAGAACTTCCAGCTGACTAGCTCCATAGGCTCAAACCAAATATTCATTAGCCTTATAATAAAGAAATTCACGAATATATGAGATGCATTTTTTTGCATTCTGTCTACTCCATATACAGTTTTGCTAAGAGAGGTGCTCTCTGCCAGTAGGCCTGAAATTTAAATGAATTGAACCTCATAATTTGGAGCCTTGATGAAATGGAAATGTTGACTTATTTCAGAATCCAACTTGAAGCCAGGACAATTTAAGATACAGCCTTGAAGCTGAGAATATTGAAGTGCTAGGTCTTTCCAAGAAATCTTATTTAAATGTTCTCTCTTAGTCATAGAAGTGAACCTCAGAAAAAACTGGATTAAGAGGTAGTTTATTTCCTCCTGAGGCTATTGTTTCAAATTTACTCAAAGGAGCAACCATTAAGATGAAGCAAATGCCAGCACTTTGGGAGGTCGAGGCGGGCGGATCACGAGGTCAGGAGATCGAGACCATCCTGGCTAACACAGTGAAACCCCGTCTCTACTAAAAATACAAAAAAAAAAAAAAATTACCTAGGCGTGGTGGCGGGCGCCTGTAGTCCCAGCTACTCAGGAGGCTGAGGCAGGAGAATGGAGTGAACCTGGGAGGTGGAGCTTGCAGTGAGCCTAGATTGCGCTGCTGCACTCCAGCCTGGGCGACAAAGTGAGACTCCGTCTCAAAAAAAAAAAAAAAAAAGATGAAGCAAATGGGGCAAAGAGGCCCACAAATAAATGACTAAATGACTAAAACTTTTAGTCTAAAAGAGTGCTTCTCAAACTATCTGTGTGAAGGACTCATCTCCCCCACCGCTTCATTGCAGACCAATTCTTTGTAAAATACAATGAAAATAAATTACTATGAAAACGACATATAAAAGAAAAATAAAGACATAAAAATAAACACATTTTTAATTATCATATGTAACAGATAGAATTACTCTTTCAAAATGCTATAACAATTTCTCAATTTTATTATCTATTTCTGTTCTTGTCATGGAACAATTAAAAAACTGTTCACTGGCTGTCACTGGTCCTTGGGCCACACTGAGTAGCACTGCTCTGAAGACTGTACGTCTCTAGATAAGATCTTTGGCTGTCATTACTTGCTCACTGACGTGACTAGAAACCAATAGATGGGAAAGCTTTGAGAAATTTCTCTATGTCAAAAATAACATGCCCATCTAGACACAGCCTGTGACTGTTTAACTTCTAAAACAATCCCCTTGGCCCACCTCCAAACTCACGTCAACATCAAGTTTATTGGAAAACATGCAACACCTAGGTATTAATACATCCTCTTTAACATTCATCTCAGCTGTGATCAAATAGACAGAAGAATCTTCCAGAGTACAAAACCAGAGAGAAGTGAGGAAGACAGAGTCTTGGCAGAAAGCATCACCCTATGCATATATCAAGTTGACTAAAGTGGAAGTATTTCCTCTGCTTGGATAAAGAATCCTTATGATTATTGTACCTTGGGACTTAATATGCCCTGTAGACGATTGGTTTTCTTAATTCTTTTTTTTTTTTTTAAATAAGAAGGGTTATTGTAGTAATCCTATTTACTCTACATTCTATATAAGTAGAATTCTTTGAAGGGGCATTTATGGGAAAGGTTTTCTTTTAAAATTAGACAGACATTCCCCTTCCTTCTTCTTCCTGCCTTGAACATTGATTAGATGTCTGGAGCTGCAATAACCATTTTTCAGACATGAGATACAAATCATGAACTAGATCTTGGAAACTGCAGTAACCCATTTTCCAGGCATGAAATCCAAACATGAAAATGAAAGAGTAGGAAAACTAAGACCCTGAGACATTATGGCTTTGTTGAGGAATTAACCAATGTTAGCCATTGTGGAACGCTGGATTTTCTAATATGAAAAAAGTTCACATTAAGCTATATCTAACATTCTACTTATTACATATTTAACATTATCTTTTGTCTTCTTCTGTAGCTGTTGTAAAGTTGGCTATCAGTTTTAGTTATTGCTCATTTGTGGATGATGTCTGTTTTTTTCTTTAATGTTTTTCAGTTTCACTACACTGTGTCTCAGTCTGGATTTCATTTTATTTATCCTGCCTGATCTAATGTGCATTTTCAACCTGAGAATTTATGTCTACTATAAATTTGGAAAAGTTTCTGTAATTTCTCTTGAATATTGATTCTCATTCTCTGCAAGCAAGTTTTTCTCTATGCTTTTTTTTTCTCCAAAAAACACTACTAAAATTGTCTCTGTTCTCTGAAAAAATTTTTTCTGTCTTACACTCTGGTTTTACATGCATGAAACATTTTTGTCTTCTTAATTGCACTGGAATCTCTAGATTTGAAGAAACTGTTTTTTAAACTTGTTCATATGCCTTGCTAAGACATGGTACAATGACTGCCACACCTTAATGCCTGATTAGTATTAGAATTATTTTAGTTTTCTCTGTCATGTTTCAAAGCAACAGACTCATTTTATTTTCATGTCTCTGGGCATTTCTCTCCTTAAACAGTTAAATAATTTAAAAGATTGTAATACTCCAAATTAAATAAATACATATTTTGTATACAAATAATTTCACTTAAAGAGTTTATAAAATAAAGATAATGGCTTCTTCCATTTCAATTATTATCAAGAGTTATAGATGGAGAGGAATAAAAATCCTCAGTGAAAATGAAAATGAATTCGAATGATGTTAATAGAATCAAATCTCTAGTAACATTACCTTAAGCAAGATTGATTTAAAATGTAATATAAAGTCATTAAGAAGTATATTCTTCTATGCACATTTTCCCAGTGAGGATAAATATTGTTTTAAATGAGATAAATTGACTGAATATGTATTCTTGCTGCATCATTTCAACTAAGCATGAGATCTGACATTCCTGTGGGATTCTGTCTTTCCAGAGTTGGTTGTCTTATGTGTCTAGCCTTACGGATATTTGGTTACAAGGAATGGGAAACAACTCAAGTCAAATTAAACAAAAATAGAAGGCATCAAATGCAAGTAAGATTTACGTTTTATATTTTTCTTTGTTGGTCTGGTTAGATGTATATTAATTTATTCACTTTTTTAGGAATCAGAGTCTGGTTACTTTAATTTTCTTCATTGTTTTCATTTTCAGTTTTATTCACTTTTGCTCTTCATTGCTTATTTTCTTCTGTTTACTTGGGGTTTATACTAACTCCTTTTATGATTTCTTAGTGGAAGCACATATCATTGAGATGAGACCCTTCCTATTTTTAATTTCATAATTGAATGCTATAACTGCCTCCAGTACTGCTTTGGCCGTCTCTCATAGATTGTTATTACTGAGTTTTATTCTCATTTGTTTCAAAATGTTTTCCAGTTTTCTTTCTAATTCCTCCTTGAAACATGGTGTGTCTTATTTAAAAGAGTGTTATTTAATTTATAATTATCTGAAAGTTTTCCAGCTATCTTTCTTTTATTGATTTCTAGTTTAATTCCATTATGATCATAGGTCATATTTTATAAGATTTAAATCCTTCTATTTTGTTAAGCTTTGATTTTTTCCCCCAAAATATGATCTACCATGGTGAATAGTCTATGTGTACTTGCAAAACTGTGTACTCTGATGCTTTTGGGTGGCAATTAAGTCAGAGTAGTTTTTAATGTTATTCAGATGTTCCATATCCTTTCTGATTTTTCCATCTTTCTGTTTTATCAATTTATTTAGAGAAAAATGCTGAAGTCCTCAACTTTAAGTGTAGACTTACCTATTTCTCCTTCCCTTCTTTTAGTCTGCATCATGTATTTTGAAGCCCTACTGTTAGGAACATAAGCATGTCTTTTTGGTGAATTGAGCCCTTTATCAATAGGTAACACCCTTCTTTATCTCTAGTACTATTCTTTGT
The DNA here is from genome assembly GCF_000001405.40 of Homo sapiens. Taxonomy (NCBI): domain Eukaryota; kingdom Metazoa; phylum Chordata; class Mammalia; order Primates; family Hominidae; genus Homo; species Homo sapiens. The sequence goes on from NC_000001.11 coordinate 70,761,338, forward strand.
TTTGAATTTTGAATTATTAGGTATTAACATAGTTACTCTTTTCTTTTAATTAATGTATGCATGCTATGTCTCTTAATTAATGTATGCATGCTTTGTCTTTTAATACATTTTTACTTGTAAACCAATCTAAATGTTTATATTTAAAAGTATGTTTCTTATAGACATGATTATGGTTATTCATTTTAATATGATCTGATGAAGTATGGCTTTAATTTTTGTGTTTTGATAATATACATAGACAGTAAGTATTTTTATGGCTTGGTTAATATCTATCATCTTGGTAGTTTTTCTTTTTCTGTTTTTTTCCTTCTGTTTTAGATTACATCTTAACGAGTATTTTTTATTATATTTTATCTCTATTATTGGCTTATTATTTCTACCCTCATTTTAATTTATTTTAATTCTTGACCTTGGGCTTGCAATATACATCTTTAATTAATCAAAGCCTATCTTCAAATAGTATTATTCCACTTCAAACATGGTATGGGAATTTATGACTGTGTACTCAACAATATCTCTAGTCTATGTTTTTTGGCTATTGTTTTATGTTTTAGTTTCACTTATGTGCCCAACCCACAAATCATTGCTTATTTTAAGAGTAGAAAATGGGCCGGGCACAGTAGCTCACGCCTGTAATCCCAGCACTTTGGGAGGCTGAGGCGGGCAGATCACGAGGTCAGGAGATCAAGACCATCCTGGCTAACACGGTGAAACCCCCTCTCCACTAAAAATACAAAAAATTAGCCGGGCAAGGTGGCGGGCGCCTGTAGTCCCAGCTACTCGGGAGGCCGAGGCAGGAGAATGGCGTGAACCCTAGGGGGCAGAGCCTGCAGTGAGCCGAGATCACGCCACTGCACTCCAGCCTGGGCGACAGAGAGACTCCGACTCAAAAAAAAAAAAAAAAAAAGTAGAAAATGATTTTTTAGAGATATTAAAAATAAGAAAAATAATTCTTTTATTTTTTTAACCATTTCTAGGAATCCTCATTTCTTTATGTATATTCAAGTTTCTGTGTGATGTCATAATCTTTTTTCCTAAAGAACGTCCTTTCACATTTCTTATAGTTCATATCTGCTGTTAAAGAATGCTCCTAGTTTTTCTTTGTTAGAAAAAGTATTTATCTCTCAGTTTTAAATGATATCTTTATTATGTATAGTGTCAATAGTATTTTTCTTTCGGCACTTTGAAAATGTCACTCTATTTTTTCTAGCATGCACAATTTCTGGCAAGAAGTCTGCTGTATTTGTTCTCTGTGTTTTTTTTCTATGTAATGTGACTCTTTCTCTGGATGACTTTGAGATTTTCTTTTTATCTTTTGTGGTCAGCATTTTGAATATCATGTTTCTAGATATTTATTATCATTATTATTATTTTGGAAAAATAGGGTTTCACTCTATTGCAGATGCTGGAGTATAGTGGTGGGATCATACCTCACTGCAGCCTCGAACTTCTGGGCTTAAGTGATCCTCCCATTTCAGCCTCTCAAGTAGCCAGGACCACAGGTGTGCACCACCATGCCTGGCTAATTTTTGTATTTTCATTTTTGGAGATGGAATCTCATTTTACATCCCAGGCTGGTCTGGAACTCCTAGCCTCAAACAGTTCTTCCGCCTCAGTCTTCTGAGTTGGGATTACAGGTGTGAGCCACACACCTGGCTATTTTGTCCTGTTTGAGCTTCTCTGAGCCTCTAGGACCTGTGATTTTATGTTTTTAGTATTTTTGGAGACTTTTTAGCCACTCTCTTCAAATATTTCTTCAATGATGTCTCCCCCACCCACTACCCAAGTTTTAGTTTGGATTATTTCTATGGACCTTTCTTCAGGTCACTTATTCTTTCCTTGGCTGTCTCAAGTCTACTGATAGACAAGTTAAAGGTATTCTTCATCTCCATTACTATGATTCTTCCCCCTAGCATTTTAATTTGACTCTTTTTCCTTTTACATCTCTACAATGTTTTCACAACCACTTCTTCCATTCTCCATGTATTAGTTATCTATGCTGAATAACAAGTTAATCAAACTTGGCAGCTTGAAAAAAACAAATATTTATCATTTCACAATTTTTGTGGACCAGAAATCTGGAAGCAGCTTAGCTGACCAGAAATCTGGAAGCAGCTTAGCTGACCAGAAATCTGGAAGCAGCTTAGCTGAGAGATCTGGCTCAGGTTCTCTCATGTGGTTACAATCAAGCCATAGGACAGGGCTGCTGTCATCTGAAGGCTTGCCTGGAGATGGAGATTCTACTTCCAAGATGGCTCACTTCTACGGCTGTAGGCAGTGGGTCTCAGTTCCTCGACACCTATTGACAAAGACCCTGGCTTATCATCATGTGGGCCTTTTCATATGTCTGTCTGTCTTGACAACATGACAGTTGATGTTTTCCAAAGGAAGTGACCAAAGAAAGAGCAAGGCAGAAGCAACACATTTTTTTATGACCTAGTCTTGGATGTAAAATACCATCACTTTGGCTATATCTTATTTATTAAGTCCAGCCTACACCCAAAAGGAAGCAAATTAAGCTTCACCTCTTTAAAGGAATTTCAAGAAATTTGTGGACACATTTTAAATGGCCATAGCCTTGCTAAACCAAGTTTCAGCCTGAATGGTTACTTCCTTGGTTAGTTTTTGAGGCTGTCTTAAAACTGGATTGGTATCTCTTGTTAGTTCTCAGGAGGTACTTTGTCTAGTAGGCATTACATTTTTCAAAGTATTTCCTCTTTACTAGTCTGTCTTCTGTACTATAGAATAAGCAACTTGAAGGCAAAGATTGTGTCTTACTACATTTGTATCTCCAAGCCTGGCACAGTGCTTGGCCTTTGGTAGGCTTTCAACCAATGTTCATGGAAAAACAAATCATGCCACTCAACGAGGCACCTTTTCTGCCTTACCACATGATAAGCAGAGAAGGAGAGGGGTAGAAATAAATTGTATGGTGCACTCCCTGTTGTGCCTTGCAATCTGTATACATTATCTTATTTAGTGACAGACTGAAACTTTGATAGAAGCATAATCATATGGTAGGAAAGGATAAATAATTGTGCTTTTATACTCTCTTGCTACTTACTGCTGCAGAGTCTTGGGCAGCTAATTAAGACTCTAAGAACCTTAGTTTTCTCCTAAAAACATGAAAGAATATAATAATAATTGCCTTACCAACTTCACATTGTTTTAGTGAGGAGCAAATAAGACAATGTAAATGAAAGAGAGATACAAACTATACATATTATACAAGTATGTTAATATTATTATTTCTCAAATTTTTATAGAGCATAGGTGATATTGCCAAACATGAAGAAGATGCTTCAATTTTCAGGAATTTAATCAAAGGTGAAACCGTTATTCCACTGATAATCAGTAAGTTCCAAGGTCATTCATTCATTTAATATTGATTAACTCCTACCATATGCATATTCAAGACACAGCCCCTGTGTTCAGACACCTCAGTGTCTTCAGTTAAGTCCAGGATCCTGCAAAGTTTTCAAAATCTTTTTATACAAAGCTCTTATAAATTCACTGGTAAGAATCAACACTTTTAAAATGACAGAGGAAGGTTACTAAAACAGCAGTGCAAACGGTGAGCTAGAGGCCTTAGTCATTTCCTGAATCAGAAGTCTGGTGGCCCCTGCTCCTGCAGCAACATTGGCTCTCCTCTAAGAGCAGAAAGTGTTGGTGCCTGGCATTCAGCAAGTGCTCATTGTTCGTTAAAGGAATTAAACAAATGACTATCTCTTATATAAGAATCATCAGATGCTACATCTGGACTGGATGGCTAATCTAGCTTCCTGATTTTGCAAAGGAAGTAATAGAAGCTCAGTAAGGTCAATAAGTTCCAAGCTTATATAGGCATGAAATAGCAGAGTTTAAACTCTAAGAAATGTTCTGACTCCTTATTTTGTGCATTTCTCTCATTTGCATTCTCTCTCAGCATTTCTCTCAGCATTGTGCGTTCTCTCTCAGCATTCTGCTCCTCATTTTGTGCGTTTCTCTCAAAATATTGGACTCTACTTTGAGAGATTATTAATATAATTAGCTTTGCATTTGAATAATGAAGAAAAAATAACACTGATTTACCTAATAAACTTCTTCAAAGAAATACATATCAGCCCCTAAAGTCAAACCTGTGTCCATTGTGGGAAATAGTTGTCGGAAATAGGGGAACTCTTAGGGTACATGTGCCATTTTCTATGTCTGTTTTGGCTTTATGCAAGGAGAAATGTGGCTAGTTTTCAGAGAATCCAGGAATTTGTTAAGTTGATCATGTTCTTTGATTTAACTTGGCATGACTTGAAAGTATTATCATCTATTTGCTGTGCCATGGAGAAGTGGAGGAAGAAGTGTGTGGTTAAGCCAGTCAATTATGACATGGTTAGAAAAGTAACTCGGGGAAAAGACAAAACAGCCACTCTGTTTCAGTTTGTTTGGTTGAGGCACTTAAGACATATACTAATGCAGACCAGACTCCCCAGAAAGGCAAACTCTCCTGGGTATGAATATTATTACTCAATATGCCCCTGACATTAGGAGGAAGCTACAAAAAGCAGCAGTGGGACTTTAAACCCCTACGAGCCAGCTCTTAAACATGACCTTTAAGGTTTACAACAATAGGCACAGGGCAAAAGAGAGAGAGAGAGAACCAAAATAAATAGTAAAAAAGTGTAATTGTTAGCAGTTGTCTTAGGCCTTCTGTCAACTCAGAATTACCCATCCCAAGAAAGTGTCATGAGATCAGCATCTGGGATGCCCAGATGACAGCCCTTGACTTGCCAGCCCCTGAGACAAAATCACTGTGCCTTCTTCAGGAATGAGGGCCATTGGTCATGAGAATGTTCTAACTGTCCCTGGTGCATGGAAAAAAAGACTCTTCATCAATCTGTCCAGCCAGAAATGAAACCCAGGGCTTCCTCCATGTTCTAAAAATTCTGGGTAATAATTGCTGTGGGAAGGAGACTCATAGGCTTTCTGATACTAGAACTAGCTTTCTTGCACTAGTTGCAGCAAGCTGCCTTGCTTAAGTAAAACTACTGGGGGTCCTGGACCCTTCTTCTGATGGGCAGCTTCCCACAGTGGCAGTGAAGCAGGCATCTGAACATTATTCTTTGATGTCTCCACATCTGGGTAAGTTTTCTGGTGGACTGGGGACTCTGAGGTCTCCTCTGGAGCAATGTGGTTCATCCATTCCCTTCTATAGCGTCCCCTTCCCTGCCTCAGCCTGTCTTCCATACCTATTGGGGCAAACACAATTTGGTCAGGTGGATACGTTCCAATTTTGTAAATAACTTGGATCCAGCTGTCTTGTATATAGGTCACTTCATTTGTGTGATGTGTGTTGTGTCCAGCATGCTATCAAATTGGCTTATAAATAAAAGAGTGCTCATGAATTAAACAAGAATAGGCTAAACTTGATAGTTGGAAGAGAATGTTGTGTCTTCTAAAATTTAACTTCAAGATTTTTACCTAGGTAAACCACTGATGTTTTTAGGCTTTAGAATATTTTAAAAAGCTTTGAATGGGTAGCTTTTTGTATGGTTTAAATTCTTAAAAATTATAGAATGGTTCTCATCTATAAAATCCCAATATCTGGTAGGCAGTTCAGAATTTTCTGCCTCCTAAGTTTATATGAAATGTGCCAGGGGAAACATAGTTTTAATTGGAAAAAAGAATTTTTTTTTTTCCGATCTGGAACTTATTAAAAGGCTGGTTCAACACATGAAGGAACAAGTGAATAAAAAGAAAGATATGAGGAGAGTTATGGATAGAAGATACATTTTTTTTATGTGGGGAGGGATATAAAGAAAGAGTGATTTTGTATGAGGAGGGATTTTGTGTGGTAGATTCTTTTCCTAGAATAAAGTGACAGGTTATTTGGAAGAGAGGTGGCATAGGATAGGTCAGAGAGTCCAAGCATTGCAAAAGAGTGATGGGGTTTGTAAAGGGAAAGTTGTCAGGGGGATTTTGTATATTATTAAGCTGGCTGTGATTGAAGAAAAATTCTTTGTGATAGACTTTCTAGAAAATAATCTCCATATTGGAACTGGGTTTTCTTAAGATATTGATTTGTGTTACAGGAAATTTTTCTTTTAATGCTATAACTGGTTTCTTTTAATGCTATAACTGGTTTCTTTTAAAACTTCTCAGATTCATATCATAGATATTCAGCTGTTATTGTGACTCACTCCCTTTGAGAAGACTTGAGATAATAACTCTGCTTTAGGTTTTTAGTCAGCTCCTATAATATTTTCTCCTCCAGTTCTAACTGTTGTTATGACCTCATGCTAAAATATTTTATCTTAGAGGTCTATAAAAAGTGTGTGGTTAAGCCAGTCAATTATGACATGCTTAACCAATATAACTTGATTACATACTTTTGGCTGTTCTTTTTTTTTAACTTTTATTTTAGGTTTGGGGGTACATGTGAAAGTTTGTTACATAGGTAAACTCATGTCACAGGGGTTTATTGTACAGATTATTTCATTACCCAGGTATTAAGTCCAGTACCCAATAGTTATCTTTTCTGCTTCTCTCCATCCTCCCACCCCCCACCCTCAAGTAGACAGCAGGGTCCGTTGTTTCCTTCTTTGTGTTCATAAGTTCTTATCATTTAGCTCCCACTTATAAGTGAGAACATGCAGTATTTGGTTTTCTGTTGCTGAATTGGTTTGCTAAGGATAATAGCCCCCAGCTCCATCCATGTTCCTGCAAAGGACATGAATTTTTTCTTTTTTAATGGCTGCATAGTATTCCATGGTGCATATGTACCACATTTTCTTTATCCAGTCTGTCACTGATGGCATTTAGATTGATTTCATGTCTTTGCTATTGTGAATAGTGCTGCAATAAACATTCACATGCATGTGTCTTTATGGTAGAATTATTTATATTCTTCTGGGTATATACTCAGTAATTGGATTGCTGGGTCAAATGGTAATTCTGCTTTTAGCTCTTTGAGGAATCAGCATACTGCTTTCCACAATGGTTAAACTAATTTACACTCCCACCAACAGTATGTAAGTGTTCCCTTTCCTCTGCAACCTCGTCAGCATGCTATTATTTGACTTTTTAATAGTAGCCATTCTGACTGGTGTGAGATGGCATCTCATTGTGGTTTTGACTTTCATTCCTCTAGTGATCAGTGATATTGAGCTTTTTTTTTTGTATGCTTCTGGGCTGCATGTGTATCTTCTTTTGAGAAGTGTCTGTCTGTTCATGTCCTTTGCCCATTTTTTAACTTTTTTTTTGTTTTTCTCTTGTAAATTTGTTTAAGTTCCTTATAGATGCTGGATATTAGACCTCTGTTGGATGCATAGTTTGCAAATATTTTCTCCCATTCTGTAGGTTGTATGTTTACTTTGTTTATGGTTTCTTTTACTGTGTAGAAGCTCTTAAGTTTAATTAGGCGACACTTCTCAATTTTTGCTTTTGTTGTGATTGCTTTTGATGTCTTTGTCATGAAATCTTTGTCTATTCCTATGTCCAGGATGGTATTGCCTAGGTTGTCTTCCAGGGTTTTTATAGTTTTGGGTTTTACATTTAAATCTTTAGTCCAACTTGAGCTGATTTTTGTATATGATGTAACGAAGGTGTCCAGCTTCAATCTTCTGCGTGTGGTTAGCCAGTTATCCCAGCACCATTTATTGAATAGGGAGTCTTTTTTCCTCGCTTTTTTTTTTTTGTTGACCTTATTGAAAATCAGATGGTTGTAGCTCTGTGGCATTATTTCTGGGCTCTTTATTCTGTTCCATTGTGTCTATTTTTGTCCCAGTACCAGGCTGTTTTAGCTACTGTAGTCCTGTAGCATAGTTTGAAGTTGGGAAACGTGATGCCTCCAGCTTTGTTCTTTTTGCTTAGGGTTGCCTTGCCTATTTAGGCTACTTTTTGGTTTCATATGAATTTTAAAATAGTTTCTTCTAGTTGTGTGAGAATGTCATTGGTAGTTTGATAGGAATAACTCATAATGGTTGTTTTTATTGAATCTGTAAATTTCTTTGGGCAGAATGGCCATTTTAACAATATTGGTTCTTCCTGTCCATGAGCATGGGCTGTATTTCCATTTGTTTGTGTCTTCTCTGATTTCTTCTAGCAGTGTTTTGTAATTCTTGTTGTAGAGATCTTTCATCTCATTTGTTAGCTGTATTCCTAAGTACTTTGTTCTTTTTGTGGCATTTGTGAATAAGATTGCCTTTCTGATTTGGCTCTCAGTTTGGGTGTTGTTGGTGTATAAGAGTGCCATCCTGCAACTTTGCTGAAGTTGTTTATCAGCTAAAGGAGCTTTTGGCCTGAGACTGTGGGGCTTTCTAGATATAGAATCATGTGTCCTGCAAATTTGGATGCCTCTTTTCCTATTTGGAGTCCCTTTATTTCTTTCTCTTGCCTGAATGTTCTGGCTAAGACTTCTAATACTATGTTGAATAGAAGTGGTGAGAGACAGCATCCTTGTCTTGTGCTGGTTTTCAAGGGGAATGCTTCCAGATTTTGCCCCTTTAGTATAAGGTTGACTGTGGATTTGTCATAGATGGCTCTTGTTATTTTGAGGTATATTCCTTCAATACCTACTTTATTGAGAGCTTTTAGCATGAAGTGATGTTGAATTTTATCAAAAGCCTTTCCTGCATCTATTGAGATAATCATGTCTATTTTGTCTTTAGTTCCTTTTATATGATGAATCGTATTTCTTGATTTATATATGTTGAACAAACCTTGCATCCTGGGGATGAAGCCCACTTAATCATGGTGGATTAGCTTTTTGATGTGCTGCTGAATTTTTGCTAGTATTTTGTTGAGGATTTTTGCATCAGTGTTTATCAAGGATATTGCCTGAAGTTTACTATTTCTGTTGTGTCTCTGTCAGGTTTTGGTATCAAGATGACACTAGGCTCATAGAAGGAGTTGGCAAGAAATCCCTTCTAAACTTTTTGGGAGGAATGGTACCAGCTCTTCTTTGTACATATGATAGAATTCGGCTGTGAATCCATTAGGTCCTGGGCTTTTTTTTTGGTTGGTAGGCTATTTGTTACTGATTCGATTTCAGAGCTTATTATATGTCTGTTCAGGGCATCAATTTCTTCCTGGCTCAGTCTTGGGAGGGTGTATGTGTCCAGAGATATATCTATCTCTTCTAGGTTTTCTAGTTTTTGTGCATAGAGGTGTTCATGGTAATTTCTGATGGTTGTTTTTATTTCTGTGGGGTCAGCAGTAACATTCCCTTCATCATTTCTAATTGTGTTTATTTGAATCTTCTATATTTTCTTTATTAGAAAGAAATTAATATATCTTATTAATTTTTTCATAAAACAAACTCCTGAATTCGTTGATCTTTTGAATGGTTTTTTGTGTCTCAACCTCCTTCAGTTCAGCTCTGATTTTGGTTATTTCTTGTCTTCTTTTAGCTTTGGGGTTCATTTATTCTAGCTTCTCTAATTCTTTCAGTTGTGTTGTTAATATGAGAGATTTCTAACTTTTCGATGTGGGCATTTAGTGCTACGAATATCCCTCTTAACACTGCCTTAGTGGTGTCCCAGAGATACTGGTATGTTGTATCTTTGTTCTCATTATTTTTAAAGGACTTCTTGATTTCTGCCTTAATTTCACTATTTACCCAAAAGTCATTCAGGAGCATGTTATTTAATTACCATGTAATTGCATGGTTTTGAGTGATTTTCATAGTCTTAACTTCTGTTTTTATTGTGCTGTGGTTCAAGAGTGTGTTTGGTATGATTTCGGTTCTTTTGCATTTGTTGAAGATTGTTTTATGTTCAATTATGTGGCCAATTTTAGAGTATGTGTCATGTGATAATGAGAAAAATGTAAATTCTGTTGGTTTTGAGTGGAGAGTTCTGTAAAGGTTTATCAGATTCATTTGATCCAATTTTGAGTTCAGGTCCTGAATATCTGTGTTAATTTTCTGCCTTGATGACCTCTCTAATACTGTCAGTGGAGTGTTGAAGTTTCCCACTACTACTGTGTGGGAGTCTGTGTCTCTTTGTAATTCTCTAAGATCTTTCTTTATGAAACTGGGTGCTCCTGTGTTGGGCGCATATATATATTTAGGATAGTTAGGTCTTCTTGTTGAATTGAACCCTTTACCATTATGTAATGTCCTGGTCTTTTTTTATCTTTGTTGGTTTGAAATCTGTTTTGTCTGAAATTAGAATTGCAACCTCTGCTTTTTGCTTTTTTCCATGTGCTTGGTAGATTTTCCTTCATTCCTTTATTTTGAGCCTATAGGTTTCATTATGTGTGAGATAGGTCTCTTGAAGACAGCATACCATTGGGTCTTGCTTTTGTTTGAATCCAGTTTGTCACTCTGTGCCTTTTAAGTGGGGCATTTATCCTATTTATATTCAAGGTTAGTATTTATATGTGGATTTGATCCTGTCATTGTGCTGTTAGCTGGTTATTATGCTGGCTTGTTTGTATGGTTGCTTTCTAGTGACATTGGTCTGTGTGTTTAAGTGTGTGTTTGTATTAGCTGGTGTTAATGGTGGAGGGTCTCCAGGTTCTTGGTGTCTTGAACAAAGAATTGCACAAAACACACAAACAAAGCAAGGAAGAGATGAAGGGATTTATAAAAAATGAAAGTACACTCCACAGTGTGGGAGTGGACCCAAGCATGGGAGCACAAAGGCCCTGTTACAGTTTTTGTGAGTTTAAACGCCCTCTACTTGGGATATGCCCTATGTAAATGGAGAGGATGAAGTAAAATTACAAAGTCATTTACTTGGTCTATGCCCTATGGAGAGGATATTTCATATCATAGCTGAAGTGTGAATCAGCCTTATGTTCTCTGCCTCCAAACCCTATTTTCCTGTCTCACTGGTAGCAGTCTTTTTTTTCTACATTTAGTGCTCCTTTCAAGATCTCTTGTACAGCAGGTCCAGTGGTAATGAATTCCCTCAATATTTGCTCATCTGAAAAGGATCTTATTTCTCCTTCACTTAGGAAGCTTAGTGTAGATGGATATGAAATTCTTGGTTAAACTTTTTTTTTTTTAAAGAATGTTTGATATAGGCCCCCAGTCCCTTCTAGCTTATAGGGTTTCATCAGAGAGGCCCACTGTTAGCCTGATGGGGTCCCCTTGTAGGTGACTTGCTCTTTCTCTCTAGTTGCCTTTAACATTCTTTCTTGCATTTTGACCTTGGAAAATCTGATGATTATGTGTCTTGGGATAATCTTGTGTAGAATCTTGCAGGAGTTCTCTGTATTTCCTGAATTTGACTCTTGGCCTCTCTAGCAAGGTTGGGGAAGTTTTTATGAATGATATCCTGAAATATGTTTTCCAAGTTGTTTGCTTTCTCCCTGTCCCTTTCAGGGATGCCAGTGATTCATAGAATTTGCCTCTTTACGTAAACCCATACATCTTGGAGGTTTTGTTCATTTCTTTTTATTGTGTTTTTATTTTTGCCTGACTATCTTATTTTGAGACCCAGTCTTCAAGTTCTGAGATTCTTTCCTCAGCTTGGTTTATTCTGCTGTTAATGCTTGTGATTGCATTGTGAAATTTTTGTATTGTGTTAGCTAGCTCTGTCAGACCTGTTAGGTTTTCGTTTATACTGGCTATTTCATCCTTCAGCTCCTGTATAGCTTTATTGAAATTCTTATTTTTTTCTGGATTGGGTTTTGCCATCTTCCTCTATCTCAATGATCTTTGTTTCTATTCATATTCTGAATTTTACTTCTGTCATTCCAGCTAGTTCAGCCTGGTTAAGAACTCCTAGAGAATGGATGCAATCAGTTGGAGAACATATAAAACACTCTGGTCTTTTGAGGTTTTTTTTTTTTTTTTTTTTTCTAATCTCTGCATGTGGGTGTTCCTTTAAGTGCAGTGTAGATTGAGTACTGTCAACAGACTTCTGTTCTAAATGTTTTCACTGGGCTGAGGCTTTGTGCAGGGTCTTCACTTGAAACTGACTTCTTGTCTCTGGTTTCAGAGGCTGGTACGTTAGCAAGGTATTTTTGGTATTGAAGCTTTGGGGAATGATCCAGCAGGTGGCACTTAGGCTGACTGGTCAGTTGGTAGACTCTAGCTCAGTTGTGTAGCTCCTCTATGTTTCCTGACAGTTGCAGCCATGTTCTCTCTCAATGCTCTGAAAGTGTGGGTTTCTTTCCCCCTTGAGTGCTGGCTGTAGATTGTGGCTTGGGACTCCTGTGCTGCCCACTGCAGCTCTGGGGTGATCTCAGTGTTTCTTCCTCAACTCTGAGGCAGCAGAGGAAGGGACCTTAGTAGTGGCTATAACCAAGGGTCATTTGCTTGTTTCTTGGAGGCTCCACCCCAGAGAGATGCAGGTCGGCAATCACTCAGTGCAATCAGCCCAGAATGGAGGGTCTGTGCTGTGGGCCCAAGTCACAGGTTTCCTGTCCGGTGATGAGCAGTGGGAGGTGTTTGGGACCCAGGGGAGACAGATTGGCCTCATCTCCTTGGGTCAGCTGCAGCTTGTTGGAGGTGTGGATAAGGCACTTAGGGTCTTTTCTCCTTCATTAGTCTGATGGTGGCAAGGGCAGTTCCACTGCGGAGACAGTGGTAGAAAGGCATTCAGTTGCCCCTGGAGGCTCTGTCCAGGGAGTTGCTGAGTTACCACTGGCTTGATAGCTCTGACAGCATGTGGCTGGAGGCCTAGGCCTGGAACACCTGCCTATTGAGGAGATAAGGGAACAGGCACCCATGTAACACCCTGGCCCCTTTTCTATAGGGCTGCTGCAGTATGCTTGGGGCCTGTTGCAGTCTCTAGTCATCTCATATTTTCCAGTTCCTGGAGGGTTCACCTGTAAAGGCTGAGAAATAGAAAAGAGGGCAGCCTGCTTCTCCCTCTGGGAGCTTCATCCTAGGGAGGTACAGGTCTGTTGCCAGCCAAACACACCTGTAGGATGTGGCTGAAGACTGGTTGGGAAGTCCCATCCAGTGAGGAGGAATGAGATCGGAGACCCACCCAAAGAGAAGTCTGGTCACATTTTGGTAGAGCAGTTCTGCTGTGCTGGAGTCTGCCTCAATCCCTGGTCACCTCGAACACTCCAAAGCTCAAAGGCTAGAACAGCTAAGTCACCCAAACAGCAAAGATGGCGGCCTGCCCATTCCTCTGGGAGCTCTGTCCCAGAGAGTTTTCAAATCTCTCTTGGCTGGAGAACACAGGCAGGGGTGACTAGAGGGCCCACCCAGTGAGGAGGAATGGGATCAGGGACCTGCTTAACAAAGCAGTCTGGCCACATTTTGGTAGAGCAGTTGTGCTGTGCTGGAGGACCACTTCTGCCCCTGGTCAGCTCAGACTCTCCAAAGCCCAAAAACTAGAGAGCTAAGTCACCCAAATGGCAAAGAGGGCAGTCCACTCCTTCTCCTGGGAGTTCCATCTCAGGGAGGAGTAACCCTGCCTACTGGTGGCTGGCTGGAATTCCAAGCCAGTGGGTCTTATCCTGTGAGGTGCCATGGAAGTGGGGTCTGCAGACTGTCGCTGCTCAGCCCCCCGGATTCAGCATCTTTCCTAGGGGTATGTATGGGAGCCCACTTGGCTGGGCTGCAGCTACTTTGCTGGAAAGCCTGAGTGTCTAAGGCTCCTGAGTCTCCATGTATACCTGAGCGGCTGCTATGCTGAGACTCCATGTAAGTCTCTCAGTCGGAAGGCCCTGGTGGAGTGGGTTCACAGGGAGATCTCCTGACCTGAGTGTTGCAAAGATCCATGGGAGAAGCATGGTTTCCTGAGGTAGTACATTCACTCACTGCTTCCCTGGGAGTGGGGAGGGTCCTCTGGTTTCGTGTTGCTCCCAAATGGGGCATCATCCTGTCTTGCTTTTCTTCATTCTCCGTGGGTCAAGTTGTTTCCTTGATTAGTCCCAATGTGAATATTTGGATGTTTCAGTTGAAGGTGCTGTTTACCCCTTTGTACCTTTCCATGAGAGACATGCACACTAGCTGCTTCTACTTGGCTATCTTGGCCACCCGCCTATTCGTTTTTCTTAATATAGAACCTTATTTTTGGCTTTTAGTTTTTGACTCTTATATTGCATAACAAATTTTAAGGGCTAATGAGTGCCTGCCCACGTCCATTTCCATATGGTCTAAAAAAGTTTAATTGGCTATCAGTCTTTTGGCTCTAAGTCCCGTGGCCAAAGGAAATCCCAAAGAAACCTGAAAAACTAACTCAAACCATGACAGGAAATAGGGGGTCAGACATGCTTCGCCATGCTTACTCCCCAAATTTAAATTTAGGCCAGGATCAAAAGGCCTTTCGAAATTAAAATAAAATATTGCCCTTTCTTCCAAATGAAAAACAAAAACAAAAACAAAAAACTCCCTTGTTTAACTGGAAGACTTAGTCTTACTAAAGACTTAAAAAAAAAAAAATTCCAGGCCTGGCACGGTGGCTCACGCCTGTAATCCCAGCACTTTGGGAGGCTGAGGCAGGTGAATCACGAGGTCAGGAGTTCGATACCAGCCTGAACAATATGGTGAAACCTCATCTCTACTAAAAATACAAAAAAATTAGCCAGGCGTGGTGGTGAATGCCTGTAGTCCCAGCTACTCAGGAGGCTGAGGCAGGAGAATCACTTGAACCCAGGAGGCGAAGGCTGTAGTGAGCCGAGATGGTGCCACTGCACTCCAGCCTGCGCGACAGAGCAAGACTTCATTAAAAAAAAAAAAAGAAACCCTTGAAAATCAATTACAACCAAAACACCCCTATCAGCTATTGTTAAATACCCCCACTGCTGTTAAGCTTCAGCAAATCACTAGCTGGGGACACCTGTCCAGGATTAAACCTGTTTCTTGTGACTCCCCACAGGTATAAGAGGAAGACCCCACACCCTACATTTGTGAACCCCTAGAAGACTTAAAGCTATTGTTTTGCAAACACACAAATAAATAACATGACAAGGAAGAGCATATGCAACAATAAACCACATCTATTATTCTCATCTGGTTTTTATCTTTCCTAAGACCTTTGATAACTACTTTATTATTACTAATTTTTGGCCCTTGCTTGTTTAACCTCTCAGTTAAGTTTGTATCTTCTAGACTACAACAATTCCACATGAAGATGATGCTGGCACAAAGCTTCCAACCCATTCTGTCTTCTTACCCAGAAAACAAAAACATCCTGGTGTTGGGCCCCTTACATCAGGTATCCAGAGATTTTTTACTCCTCCAATAGAAGGAGTAAGAGTCTATGCCCATAGAATCAGCAAGAAGCAGTTACAGAAGACGGACGTCTTCCCTTCTGCGGTCCCCTTAAGATTAAGGAGTCTCTAATCTCTGAGAGAAGAATGAAGGAGACCAGCAGGACTTGTTTTCTGGTCACAACCCTGCTGACCAAAACAGGATCTCACCCATAAAGGATGAAGTGAAAAAAGTGGCAGGAACGAGCAGATGGCGATAAAAGCAATCCCTAGCTGCCCTCATTGCTCGTTAGCATAAGACATTCCCACCAGCACCATGACGGTTTATAAATGCCATGACAGGCCGGAGGTGGTGGCTCACACCTGTAATCCCAGCACTTTGGGAGGCCGAGGTGGGTGGATCATGAGGTCAGGAGATCGAGACCATCCTGGCTAACACGGTGAAACCCTGTCCCTACTAAAAATGCAAAAATTAGCTGGGTGTGATGGCATGCGCCTGTAGTCCCAGCTACTCAGAAGGCTGAGGCAGGACAATCGCTTGAACCCAGGAGGCAGAGGTTGCACTGAGCCGGCACTGCACCACTGCACTCCAGCCTGGGCGACAGAGTGAGACTCCATCTCAAAAAATAAATAAATAAATAAATAAATAAATAAATAAATAAATAAAAAATGCCATGACAGTGACCCAGAAGCTATGACTTTATTCCATAGCAATGGCCTGGAAATTACTGCCCCTTTCCTAGAAAGTTCTAAATAACCCGTCCCTCAATTTGCATTAACCTGCCCCTTAATTTGCATGTAATTGAAAGCGAGTAGAGGTGAGTAACCATACAGTTGCCAACAACCCATACATTGCAGCCCCTGGGTGCACTGCCTATGAGTTAGCCCTACTTCACAAGGAGCAGTACCCTTTAATAAAAGATTGCTATATAACAACACCAGTTTTCCCTGGAATTCTTTTCTGAGTGAAACCAAGAACGCTTCTGGGCTAAGCCCCAATGCTGGGGCTCACCTGTCTTGTGTCGGACCCATCAATTGATATGAAATGTGATTTATTTCAGGCAGAAAAATATTTACTCTGTTTCATTTTCCCTAGCTCCTTGGACAAATGTGTTTTGAGTTTCAAGTGAGCAAACCTTCAATGTGTCTGCCATTTTGGGGAAGAAGTTGTAACTTGGAGTGAAGGTAGAGGGATTTATTATGAGAGCTTTGCTAGCAGACATCTCATTCTTTAAGACAAAATCAACGCACAAACATAATTGGTGAGAAATACAACATAGTGGTTAAGATATAAGCTTTAGCATCAGAGCTTGGTTTAAAATTCAGTTATGTTTTTGACAATTGCATGACTCAGGGATGACAGATTAATCCTCACTTATAAAATGGAGATGATAAGACCTATCTGAGGAGAATGTTGTGTGGGTAAGGGAAATAATTACTCTAGATCATTTATCCTGTGCCCATAACATACTAATAGCTGAATAAACTGTGGCTTTTATTATTACAAATAATGAAACTAACTGAAGGCACCACATTCTCTAAACAGTACTCCCTGCTCTTTAAGAATTCAACAGGTTTGCAATTTGTTCATATCTCCCCTATAACTATGTGACATATTATTAAATTGATCTAACCCTCTGAACCTATTGATGAAATGAAAACATTTAATCCTGTCCTCAATCAAGTACAGGCCTAGGCCACTGTAAAGACACAAAGCTCTGAATTTCCAGGATGTAAGTGGAAGTAAGTCAGTGAACCTAAATTATGACTCCTCTTGCTGGGAACATTCGATGACTAGAGTGAAGAGCTGTGTGCTGGCAAGAATATGGCCCTGTAATATGCTGGGAAATTTTTCCTAAATGGTTCCATTGACTGCATCCTGAACTCTCCCACCCCAAAATACTCCAAAACAAATCCTCTTCTCCAACCAACACTGATTTCAAAATTATGTGAAGGAAAATGCCAGGAGAGTAAAATCCAGGGTGATCTTATTCAACTGATATTTTCTGGTACAAGTAAATTTACTTTTTTCTCTTATAAATAAGCTGAATGACATAAAGATAATTCAAGATGGAAAAATTACAGTAATATTTTTAGCATCATGGCAAGCAGCCAGTTCCTCCAAATTAGAAATGCCAGATAAAAGTAGAAGATACTCAGTTAAATGTGATTTTAAGATAAACTATAATTTTTTTTAAGTGAAAGGATGTTCTTAGTCAGTCTTGACCCTTGTAGGTGGACTTAGAAAAATTGCCAGGGCACCTCCAATGACCAGGCTCCATGTTGGATGTACATGTACAACATACACATTTAACTGGACATCGTATATTTTTATTTGTTAAATCTGGCAACTCAAATCCAAATGAACTGAATTATAATCGCCTTTATAGTTACTTGTCATACTTAATTACCCTTTAAAAAATTATATTCTGGGACACCTTTCAGATATCTTCTGGTACTTGTTATTATTTTAAAGAGATGACAAATTTGTAGATTAGAAAGTTACTGAATGTATACTTTCTCTCCTTATGGAGTCATCATTAACATAAATTGCCATTTATATTGCTATTTATATTAATGATGACTCCATAAGGAGAAAATTAACTTGCATAAAAATAAAGCTGAATTCTTCATAGGCAAGCATGAAATAAATATGCCAGTATAGGCTTCTGGGAACCAGAGAGAGAAATTCTAACTTCATGATTGGAACCAGCTGGACATTTTTAAAAATTTTAATGGCCATGACCATTTAGACACAAAGAATCTTCCAATTTCAAATCCTGGACAGTTTTTACCAATGATGTCACAACAGAGTACTAATATTTGGGGCTTCAAATGAAATCTTTATCATGTAGGGATAGATCGAAATTTGAAATTTCACCCATGCTGATTTTAGACAGTGCCAGATTTATACTATTAAAGTTTTAATACTTATCTTACCAGATGATCTTCGGGTAGCTGATAAGAGATGAAACCTGAGAAATTCATTCCAAATCCCAGTGAGCAGTCATACGGCCCTTTCTCAGGACAGTCTGAAAAAGTTCTATAAAATTTCCCTCTCACAAGGGGAACTATTTGTTCATCTGAATTATGCAGTGTGTGAGAGAAGATTTGCTAAGATGTAGCAATTCGCTTCAACATGTGACCTTTGCTTGCTGAGGTCTCTCAAGCCTTGGGGACAATTTAAAGTGTAGATAATAATCTTGATGATCTCTGGCCCCTAAACTCCCCACAGAAAGATTCCAAATCTCTCTGCATTTCCTGTGCAGTCCCTAGTGGGACTTACTCATTGATTCAAAACGAGTAAGACTCAATTCTTGACCTCAAAAGTGTGGTAGGAACAATATGGCTGTGGTCTTGGTCATCACCATTCTCCATCCATGACTGTTGTGCTCTGCTGCCAATGACTCACGGCCCTAAAACTGAGGAAGCATCTCTAAGCCAGGGTCCGCATGATTGGTTGCAGAGAGTGCATCTCTCTAGGTGGATCCTGGTAAGCAAGCTGCTGTTTTATATTTTGCAGCATCCCTCTCAAGGAGCCTGCGACGAATCCCCCGTGCTGGGTCAGAAAATATTTCAATGGTTCTTACTGTGTCTCATTGAAAAGAATCCCTCTCCTCTGATCTTGCACCCAGTGTCCCAACTGTGCTTCTGTGCATCTCCATTCTTTTCTTCACTACAGTGAGTTTCCTACTTATCCAGGGAACTTTGTCAGTCTTTTATATATTGTGACTCACTTTAGAACCTTAGATTATATTGTAAGTTTAAGTGTTTTCTTCTCTGTTTTATCCAAAATTACGTACTTATGTAAGTAACAATCTTCTGGATCTACTGTTTTGTTCATTCATCGCTCTATTTATTCAAATAATATTTTGGCTAAACAATTTCAAGCCAAACAATTTGATTTCTGCCCTCATGAATCTTGTAGCTCAGTAGCAGACACAGGGGCAGCAGAAATATCATTTAAAAAAAAACAGTATCTGTTGTCTTCTCAATTCTCTCTAAATTTTGTTGTCCTAAAACTTCTCACACATTAAACGAATTACATTCATTTTATTCAGAAAGAATGCAGTTCTTGCCTAGAAGAAAGGGATATTACTTGAGTTTGGGTTTCAAATTAGACTTTTAAGTACATTTAGAGCAGTAGTCCTGAAAGCTAGTTTTACTTAAGAAATAGATTTTCTGAATCCTAAAAATATTCCTTTAAATATCAGACACTAAAGCTTAGAGGATTGACGAGAGCATAAACTATAGAACAGGGAGGACTGTATTCCTCAATGGAATCACTGAAGTTCCAGCCCCATGAAGAAGACAAAAAAGTCCTTTCAGTGCTGTGTGAGGAACTGGAGAAAGATTGAAAAAGGGTAAAACCAGGTGAAGATGCTACCTGGGCCTCGTCTTGCCTCAACATACATCATCTCCTAGGCCTTGACTCAGAGTGGGAATCAGGAAGAAGATAGTAAGTGTGGGGAGAATGAAAGTACGTTGGACCAAACCAAGTAAACAGAATGAGATTATCTAAGTTGCTGCTTATGGAAGTGATCATCAAGAGTCCCCATTCATCCTTCTTTCTGGGCATATGGCTCCCTGAAATTAGGCATGGCCATGGGACTTCACTTTGGACAATAACATGTGAGCAGAAGTGATGCTTTTTACCTCTTAGTAGAAGCACCAAACACACAAGATTCTGCAGGCTGTTTTCTGCTAGGCAGCTGAGAAGGACACAGACGGCACCATAACAAGATATGGAAGACTGGCAGCTTGGATTCCTCAGAATGCCAAGCAGCCGTATTTGGTTTCCATCTATCCTTTCTTTATTCTATTTCTCAATTTGTACTAAGCACAAGAGGAGGAACCAAGTGGTTTTGGGTGGAAATCATGAATTTGGTTTTGAATATATGAGTGTGTGATGCCTGAGACATCGAAGAAAATATGTTAAGTATGTAGATGGACATATAAATACAGAATTCATAGGAAACATCTATAGAGATATAAATTCATATGTAGAAAGGATATATAAACCCTGTCTCCCACCCCAACCGCATTTCTTTCATTAGAAAAGATATTTTGAATCCAGGAAGGATTTAACTTATGAAGATCCCGTTTAACTGATACTAAGTAGTTTGAAATGGAAAGAACTAAGTTGTTCCCTGGTTTTGAACTTGCTATTAAGATGAGAGAACCATTGCCTAGTGACCTTAACTTCATCATAGAAACAAAAGAGATTAACAAAAGCAATCAAGATAGTGAAGAAACATGAATTTTAAATATTCAAGCAATGGTGTTGGGACTATGGTGGGGAAGAGAATGTCAGGAAGAGAAAGAATAGCTATTCAATGTATTAAAATAAATTTATGTCAGAAGGGTGGTGTTAGATGTGGTACATTTCCAGAAGATAGAAGATATAGGGGCAAATTTTGCTTTGAAGTAAGCAAGAGCTTAACATTTTTTTTTCGGCTTCTTAGAGTAATATATCTTCATAGCAAAAATTTTTGAAAAATGTAGAAAAGTAAAATTTTAAAAATCACTCATAAGCTCTTCTCCCAAAGATAATCACTGTTAATATTTTGTGCACATACATATAAATATGTACATATGTTTATTCACTGGTTCATTCAGTAATCGTTTACTAAGCACCTATTATGTTCCAGATGCTCCTTTAGGCAGTCCTGTAATTGATGCAATTCTCTACTATAGGACATTTAGGTTGGGTTCACTATCTTTCTACTATACTGAATATCTTTAATATAAATTTGTATGTGTGGCTCTGATTATTTGTTTAGTTAATATTCTTAAAGTAGACTTTCTGAGTCAAAAGATATTCTGAAATTGCTTCCTCCCAAATGATTGATATACTTTTTCATTAGCAGTGTAGAAAAGAATTATTTTCAACTGCACTTACAAACATCATATTTTTGGTTAATCTGTGCTGATGAAAGTTAAAACACATATATTTAATTTGCATTTTTTTTACCAATAAGATTGAAAATTTTTGTGTTTTTAGTGAATTAGTATATCATTTACATTTAAAGTTGAATGTAGACTGAAAGTTTATATCCCACCAAATTCATGTGTTGTGACCTAATCCCCAGTGTGATGGTATTTGAAGTTGAGGCTTTTGGAAGGTGATTAGGTCATGAAAGTGAAGCCCTCATAAATGGCATTAGCACCTTTATAAAAGAGATGACAGATGTGCCCTTGTCCCTTCCACCATGTGAGGATGCAGCAAGAAGACACTGTCTATGAACCAGGGTACAGGTTCTCAGCAGACACTGAATCTGCTGGCACCTTGGTCTTGAACTTCCTAGCCTCCAGAAATGTGAAAATAAATTGCTGTTGCTTATAAACCACCCAATCTATGGTACTCTGTTATAGCAGCTCAAAGGACTAAGACAGTTAAGTAAATTTAAATAATGTATAAAATATTTATAAAGAATAAAGAGAAAATAAGCTCCAAATGCCCATCACCCATCTTAAGAAAATAAATACTTTTATTACCTTTCAAACCTCTGTACACTTTAGTATATCCTTCCCCCTCCAAAGAAAGTACTATTCTCAACTTTGAGTTTATCATTTTCTTTTCTTTTTTTTTTTTTTTTTTGTGATGGAGTCTCAGTCTGTCACCCAGGCTGGAGTGCAGTGGCACAATCGCAGCTCACTGCAGCCTCCCCCTCCCAGGTTCAAATGATTCACCTGCCCCAGTCCCCTGAGTAGCTGGGATTACAGGCACCCACCACCATGCCCAGCTAATTTTGTATTTTTTAGTAGGGACAGGGTTTCACCATGTTGGCCAGGCTGGTCTTGAACTCCCAACTTCAGGTGATCTGCCCACCTCGACCTCCCAGAGCACTGGGATTACGGGCGTGAGTCACTGCCCCCAGCCGAGTTTATAATTTTCTTACTTTAGCATTTTACCACATACATTTCTATGTCAAATGACATAGTGCTTATTTTTGTATTTTAAAAAGCGGTATGAGTGGTCTCATACTGTACACAAACTTTCACACATACCCCAAATCTCCTTTGTACTCAACATTAAGAGATGTAAGCCTGTTTTTTCATATGGTTGTATTTCATTCATTTTCACTGTTAAAGTACAACGTATAATATATAGTGTTATATACAATATTTTTTAGTCTTTCTTCCATTAATTAACATTTGAGTTGTTTCTAGTTATATTAGTCCATTTTGCATTGCTATACAGGAATACCTGAGGCTGGGTAATTTCTAAAGAAAATATGTTTATTTGGCTCATGGTTCTGCAGACTGTACAAGAAACATGGCCCCAGAATCTGCTTCTGATAAGAGCCTCAGGAAGCTTCCAATCATAGCAGAAGGTGAAGGGGGAGCAGGTGTGTCACATGGCAAGAAAGAAAGCACGAGAGAGAGGAGGAGGTGCCAGTCTCATTTTAAACAACCAGCTCTTGTGAATAGAGTGAAAACTCACACATTACTGCAGGGAGGGCACTAAGCAATTCATGAGGGATCCACTCCCATCACCCAAACACCTCCTACTGGGCCCCACCTTCAACATTAGGAGTCACATTTCAACGTGTGATTTGGAGGAGACAGACATCCAAACTATATCACTAGTTTTGTGATATTACAAAGTATGTTGCTTTGAGTATTTTGTATGGCATTTCTATCCATTTATATGTGCAAGGGTTTCTCTATGGAATAGTTGTGGGAGCTTAATCCCTGTGTCATAGAATGAGTGCATTTGTGATTTAAAAAATAAGTTGTTGTTATCATTTTATATTGATTTACATCCCCATAAAAAGACTTAAGTATTGTTACAAAGCGTACCAATTTACATTTTTACCCAAAGACATAGATGTCTAGTTGTTTCATATCCATGCCAACACTGAGTATTTTTATTTTTATTTTTAATTTTTTTTAGAGACAGTCTCATTATGTTGTCCAGGCTAGAGTGCAGTGACTACTCATACACATGATCATAGTGCACAATAGCCTTGAACTCCTGGGCTCAAATGATTTTCTTGCTTTAGCCTCTGAAGCAGCTGGAACTACAGGTGCATGCCACTGTGCCTGGCCTAACATAATATTATCAGATATTTTCAGATTTTCCAATTTGGTGCATATAAAATACTATCTCATTGTGAGTTTGTTTTGTACTTTTCAGATTACTAATGATGTTGGACATGTTTTTTTTTGTGTGTGTTTGGCTAATTCCTATTTTCTCTACTTTTCCTTTTGTCTCCCCCCTCTGCTTCCATTTACTTGTTAGTTTGACATTATTGCATTATCAGAGTACATAACAATAGATTACACTCCATTATTGTTATTGTTGCCTCATCTGTTGCAATAACTGGGAATCACATGTATCTTTAAAAACTGATAAATCAAGCAATAGAAATTAAATATAATAATACAAAGAGAAACACTAAGAATTATACTATTAATGACTATTGATCACACTTAACATAGTGAGTTTTATGAGAAAGTGTTTAAAATATCCAAGGAGATGTTGCCTTCCATTTTATAGAAATTTTCCAGAGCATGGAATCAGATGGGATCATTTCTACATAATTTTAGAAAGTTAGCAAAATCTAACCAAAAAATAGTACTAATCAATTATTCTCTAATTATGAGCAGAGACACAAAGCTACAAAAGGAGATATTAGCAAATAGATTCTTAAAAAAAACTACATGAAAAACAGGTAGAATTTATTCCTCATATACAAAAAAATTAGTATTATGAATTCTACTTATGTAATGTATTTAACAATAGGTCAAAGGAAGAAAGCTACAAAACCAATTCAATAACATCTGAAGCCTGAGAGGAAAATGAAAGACAAGAGGCTGTGGCTGCAGCTGTGTCTGCTGACAACAGGATAAAAATGGTTGCATTGAGAGTGAGCTGCATTTTCACCAGGCAGAGCAAACTGGGAGCTAATGTGTTTCTTGGAAATCAAAAGAGGACTCCAAGAATAGAAGCTTTTAAGAGGACTGGCTGGAGAGTCAAAGAAGATCCATTAGCTTCTGGACCACTGAAAACCTAAGGGCTGATGGTGGGGCAGGGTAAGTGGCCGGCAGCAGGGAGACATTTTCTGTATCTAGGATGGTATAGAAAAGACCCCCACTGGACAGATCTACAAAGAACAACTAAAGAGTCTCATGGTAGAACAGGTCAGCTCTGGACATCATTCAAATCCAGGGGAGCCTCTTATACTGGATTGCAATTGTGTTGGGCATGTACAATGGTGTTCTTTTTCTCTAATGGCTTCTTTCTTCTGGTCAGTCTCTGGAAGGGGTGAAAGAGTGAGAAATAGTAGCCAGCAAGTGTAGAAAGAGATGTGGAAGAGAGAACGGGGAAACAGAAATTGCATTTCTCCCACGTTCCAAATGTAGGTTATCCGGGTTAAATGTAGGCCCCACCTGACTAGGCAAAGATTTTTTCCTTTGTTGTGAGTTTGAAAAGAACTAAACATCATACTGAAGTGGAATTATTGAAATTGGATAGACCCAGGTTCAAATGTTGACTCAGTTATGTAACATCTTGTGAATTTTGACAGGTTCCTTAACTCCACTGAGTCTGTTTTTATACCCATGAAATGGATGTAGGATTGTTATGAACATTAATTGAAAAATTATATATAAAATAAGTGTCCAGCATAGTTCCTGGCACATACTAGTGCTTGAAAACTACCAATCAACTTCATCAATTTGTGTTATGCCCTGCATGGGCACATATTTGTCCTGATACTCTTCAAAATGTAGAAGTACCCACAGAAAAATTGTCTCAGTTCAAGCACAGTATTATTAATATTCTACTGAGTACTAAGTATGGTCGTTAATAGTCTAATATGAGGAAGTCAAAACAGTCTCTGGAAAAAGTCTTTCTGCAAGCTTTTTGAAGCTTCAGGGATTGCTACAAAGACTGGAAAATCGATCTTGAACTCAGCCTTTTAATTTCTTTTCATGATTACTGTTCTCAAATGGAGAATGCAATTAAAATTAATGCTGTCTTAGTTCACTTGCCTCAAAATAAACATTGATCAAATTCTATGTGAAGGGTCTGTAACATCTCTTCTATAATCATTTTAAAATATATTAACAGAGATCTGTGTATTGTAGAACAAAGGGGACTGTTTCTGGGAGACAGGAGTTCTGAGTTCTGGCTCTAGCTCTGCCATGTTCTGTGTGACCTACGAAAAGGCACGTCTTCTGTTTGAGTCCCCTTCTCCTCTGTAAGATGGGTACATTAATACTTCACAGGAGTACTTAAGGATCACACACGTCAAGCATGATAATGGCAAAAATTACAATAAACTTACAATGAAATATTATGGTTGCTACCTACATTCCTGAAAAAATCTGATTAACACAAGCCTCCCAGATATCAAGATCATTGGGACTTCACACAAATATGTTACAATGCTTATTGTTATTATGGTATGAAGCGAATGTTACATGGAGTACTCAGAGGGCTAACTAGCTTATGTTATAATGAAGGTTATTTCTTTCATTTTTTGATGACAGCCAAAAAGAGAGAGATATGAAAGTAGTGTTCACATACTGCTGAACATTAAACATATTTATTAAATATTTATACCTCAAATGATCTAAAATGATCAGAAACTGAGATATGATACATATAATTTTGCACTCTTTTCCAAACAGCTTACTTTTGCTAGAGCAAAATGTCAGTCCAGGCTTATAGTTGGTCAAATGTACCATTTAGATTTACTTAATTTTTCTCCTCAGAGACTTCTCTGATGTCTCAACAAACTGTCAACCAGGAGATGGTTTACTGCTACAAATATTAACTTAGCTCTTGTCAAAACCTGTTAGCCATGACATGAGCTCTTACACTTTTATGGAACTTCTAGATTTCAGTTTAGATGGAAATAAAAAATATTCTATTGCTATAGCATAAATCTGCCTTTAATAGCCTAAGTGTTGAATTGTGGCTATCAAAAAGAGTACACACTGTGCATAGGGGATAATTAACACTTAAATAGAAGCATAACTATGCCAGGGATTGTTTTTATCAGCCATCACAGGGTCATAAATTTCACATTATAAAAGTTTGTCCTTCTACCAGCCTTGATTGGGCTAAACAAAATGTTCACTCTTAATTTCAGATCATGAAACCAGCAACATTTATATCCAGACTGATGCCAGAGGAGGTAAAATTTCCCTGAAGGGGGAATAAAAGTTATCTGCTACCCTGATAGAAGGACTGACCCAACTGCATGCTCATACTTGCCATCAATAATTACTAGATGAGAAAGAAATGAGAAATCACCTTTTTGACAGGATTTGAGACATCAAAAAGGTCCTATTTTGCTGGCTCAGAGAGCTACTATTTCAGGGGTAGTAGACTTCAGAGGTAACATTTCTCAGGATTACCTAAAACAAAAAGGGTAAGAAGATGCAAAGGAAATCCTTATGAAAAGAAGCTCAAGTTTCTCTTAACAAATATTTATTTACCCATTTTTCTTCCTCTAAATATCCAGGCTAACTGTGTTTCATTCAACATTCAACAAATATTTATTGATCAACTAATAGTTTTTTTTAAAATTCTTTAAGACATTGGTGACAAAGGTGGATAAGGCATAGTCCCTATTTTTAAAGAGCACATTGTGTTTGGGAAAGAAAAATGTGTAACCAAGCAATCAGGAAATAATAGGGTATGATGGAAAAGGCCTACTCAATGCTATGGGAGAACAGAAGCATGAAAAAATCTATATTGCTAAAGGGTTTCAATAAATATTTCACAGAGAGACTAACATTTAGTATGAGTCTTGAAGGTTAAATAAAAGATGATATTCCAGGAAAAAAGAAATTGATTGTGCAAAAGCATGGAATATTAAAAAGCATGCCACCTCCAGGAAATAAGTAATTAAGTATGTTTGTCTGGATGATAGTTTTATTAGAAGAGATTGTCAACTGCCAACTCTCAAGACACCAGCAAAATCACATGTTTGATCAAGCAAAGAGAAGTTTATTTCTTACTGTAGTAAGGGAATCCACTGACTACCTTGGTGGAGTCTTAGTGGTGTTTTGCAAGGGAAGAATCAAAACTGGCATTTGTAAAGATTTAGAGTCTACTTTAAGGCATGTCTTTCAGTGAAGTGGTCTGATTGGTACTGAAAGATGTTATAATATAATAATGTATAATTAATGGACACAGTAAAGGGAGTACACTGAAGAGTCTTTAAGAGTAAATAATCATTTGTTGGGCCCAGCTTAATAATCTATTGTTTCGAGAAGAGGCTATTTACTTAAAGAGAATGAATTGATTTTTCAGATAAATAAATTTTGAAGATTCTGAAATAAGCAGTTATTTGCAACTCCATCTTCCTGGGCAAGGATTTCCTGGAATAATTAAGTCAGGTTAATGCACAGGTTGAAAAGTTAAATTGTGTTAATATAGACAGTAAGCTGTCTGGGTGTATATGCTTTCAGTTTTCAAGAATAGAAATAGACAAAATTTGAAACAGAATTTGAAGCTGAATCGGGCCATTTTGAAGAATTTGAAATGGGAAAAGAAAGGGGAAGGGATCAAGCTTTGCCCCATGCTAAAGTTCCTTAAAAGAAGTTAATTTTTATAGCAATCCTATAAGACAGATATTATTATACCCATATTCCAGATGATACTGAAGCTTAGGAAATTTATATTTTTAAAAATAATCCTTGCCCAGTGTCTCTTAAGGAATAGCGGAGCCAGATTTCAAACCCAGTCCTAGATGAACCCAAATCCTCTTGCTCTTTCCCTTACACAGTGTATTTTCAGTAGACCATAATGCAAAGTAGACTACTTTCAGTAGACTGTAAAGTAGAGGTCCAAAATGAAACGTTTTCTTTTAGAGATTGACTACTCAAGGTGTGGACCCATGGACCACCTGGTTGTTTATTAGAAATGCAGAACTTGAAGCTTCACCCCAGAACTACTGAAACAAAATTTGCTAACAAGATCTCAGGTAATTGTTGTGTGCATTAAACTTTGAGAAGCAGTTTTAGAAAACTTTGTAGAGTTCTTGAGTTGCCATCTCCATAAGGTGAGCTCTTGTTGCACAATGGAATTTTCTGCACTAGTTTCTAGCCTTGTCTTTTTTCCCTTGTCTTCCTCATCTATGACAGGAAAACGAAAGCAATAGAGACTTCACTAGCATAATATGCTATGGAAACTCTGCTATGGAAGTATAATTAATTTAGCAAGAGTTGCTTTTCTTATAGATGTTCCTCCCTTAAGACTTTGAACACTTGAATCTACTCCTAGGTGGAAAGTAAAACCTACCATCTAAGATGGAGCTCCTCTCCAGGACAGAAATGAGACTGTGGATTAGGTGATGAAGCAAGGAAGAATAGAAGGGAATAAAAGACCAAAGGAAAGGTGGGAGGAGGAAGAAATGGGAGAAAAGACACTGGAGACCAGACTTCAAAGAGACTGCTAACTATCCACCAAGAGACATTAGTAGGGACTTTTTGGGAAAACAAATGTTTTATATCATCTGAATCTATGTATGTTGGAAATAATAAGATCATAATATTTCCTTTTTGTAAATTATTTGTAGCTGCTTAGTAACTAAGTCTTTCATCACTTTCTTCATTTATTCACTCATCAACACATTTCTTCAATGCCTACAATATGTCACTGTTCTAGGCAGTAGAGATACATTCTTTAAATTCACGGCTTCTTGGTTCTTATATTCTTGTGGGAAGAAGAGAGAGAGAATTAATATGGGGAAAATATGATTTCAGATGTCAAAATTAGAGAACTTCTCCAGGTATAGTTAAAAATAGATACTAAGACTAAGAGGACAAGTGGCGTTTGAAATCAGTATTTTTGTGAGGGAAGTGGACAAAAGCAGGGAGGCTGCACATCTAACAGAATGATGCATCACCGTGCCTTATTTCCAGTCAGTATTCAGCACTCGGATGGGCATTGCAGCTCAGATGGGAGGTGAAAAGGGAGTGTTCCTTGTACCCTGTGGGCATTTTGTGGTATTTCTCAATTTCTTATCTACAGCATTCTCTTTTTAGGCTTTACACACAAGGCACTCTTAATTTTCCTGCCTTCAGATCTTGTTGCTCAACCTCTCTTGTACATTTTTTTCTGGCTGTTAAAAGTAACAAAAAATATTTGCCCAATTATCACCTAAGAAAGCCTCCCAGCAACATGACTTGCAGCTCCTGGGGCATTTTCTGTGTGACACATCTCTATTTTAGAAGCTTCTGTGGGACAACCTGCAGAGTGGCCTAGTTGTTCATCTGTGACTGGGTAATGTGGCCCAGTGATGTGGTAGAGGTTCTAACCCACTTCCCTTAAGGCAAAGGTTTTTCACCGTGTTCACTCTAGGTGTGTGGATAATGATAACTGCAGTCTGTATAGCGTGTGACAGTTTACAAGGGCTCTAGGTGTGTGGATAATAACTGCTGTTTGTATAGTGTGTGACAGTTTGCAAGGGTGTTCATCACACTGTCTAATATTGTTATTTATATATTACAGCTAAGAAAATGGGTATACAAAGACAGTAAGCATCCTTCCCCAAAATCTCTGTGCCCAGGAAGCAAGTGCCATGTCTTCTGATTTCCAACCCGTCTGTTCTTCCCACTCTTCCAATGCTGATACTCCATCATAGTGAGTCCCTCTTCCTCTCCTTCTGCTGGCTTTTTCCTCTCCTTGTTATAGTTTGGAATTTTTTAAGGCTAAAGGAAAAGAAAAGAAAAATCAAAGAAAAGATTAAAAGCCATCCTTAATTAACTGCTGACATTATCTTACCTTACCTTTCATTTTCAGTGCCTTGTTTATAGGCATGAAATGCTTAGCATTCTTCTATCACCATTTTAAAAAATAAAAGTAGCATTATTAGAACCTCCCTTCACAAATTGTAGACAACATTGCTAGTCCTATTGGCACTAAATAGGACTAGTTTTTGACTTTAGATCTCAAAATAAACTAGGTCTTGTTTTTTTTTTTAACTTGTCATTGTTGTTATATACTAGTGTTATTTGTTAAGGCCATAATTAGGAGATAATGTTTGGCTTTGAGAGGGAATCTAACCACACATATCTCTCTGAGCACAAAAGCTTCAGTAAAACTTACTTTAAATTTTATGCATTCTTACACTTAATTTTCCCGAATTCAGGTCCCTTTGCTCAACCCCTCTTGTAGATTTTTTTTTTCTTCTGGATGCTAACAACAACAAAAAAGCATGCCATCGATATCTGCGCAATTATCACCTAATAAAGCCTCCTAGAAACATGACTTGCTGCCCATGGGGCATTTTCTGTGTGACACAGCTCTCTATTTAAGAAGCTTTAGCTCCAGAGCTGTGGCTCACTCCTAGAATCTCAGCATTTTGGGAGGCTGAGGAGGGCAGATCACCTGAGGTTAAGTGTTCAAGGCCAGCCTGGCCAACATGGTGAAACCTCATCTCTACTAAAAATACAAAAATTAGCCAAAGCGTGGTGGCATGTACCTGTAATCCCAGCTACTTGGTGTCTGAGGCAAAAGAATTGCTTGAACCCAGAAAGCAGAGGTTGCAGTGAGCCAAGATTGCACCACTGCATTCCAGCCCAGGCAACAGAGTGAGACTGTCTAAAAAAAAAGAAAGAAAGAAAGAAAGAAAGAAAGAAAGAAAGAAAGAAAGAAAGAAAGAAAGAAAAAGAAGCTTCAAGCTTTAGTGAGACTTGACTTCCAGAGTGACCTGGTTCTTCATCTGTGATGGGTGCTCTCCTGAAAAAAAGGTCATTCAAGAAGAAATTTCTTCCTCCTCAGGAAAGTTTTCTTTGATAGCTAAAGTATTGATTGTTTAGCCAATTGCTGAAACTTGAGAAAAACTTCCATGAAATAAATCTAATAAAGTAGTCCACAAAAACAAACTGTGGTAAGGATGAATAAAATATGATTAGTAATCTTTTAGAGATGTTAAAGAAAACCTTTATAAGAGTGTCATTATTCTTCTTTTTAGTACCAGTGTATTATTAATGAGAGCAAATATTTGACTTCTCTGCAGTTGCTTCGACTTAATTTGAAAACACATTTAGTTTGGACGTTGAAAGTAAATTTAGTAATGTCTTAATACTGAATTTTTACACCGATGCTCAAGTATATTCAGTGTATAAATCATCTTTATCTGCCTCCTTAAAGTATTTAGAAAAAATTGAGGCAATAATATTGATACCTAAATGATAAGCACGTGGATCTGCTTATTTATGTTTTTTTTTCTTAACCATCTCATCAAGATGGAGTGCAAAGGCATGTAGCAAAGTTCTAGAAAAGAAGGTCTACATTCAAGAAAGGTTCCAGCAAATATCCTTAAAGCCATTTGAATGGAATATTTACCCTGAATAGATTACCTTCAAAAATTGTATCTTGTTTCTGTAACTGTAATAAATAGTACAACAGAGTGAAATTACCCACGAATGAAGGAAGAAACTCTGTTTTATTTATCCTTGTGTGTATAAACCTAAGTAGTGCCTGGCTTAGATGAGGTATTTAATATATATATATCAGACTGAATGGATATATACTGATATATTGAGCTTTATTCTTTCCAACATATCCAGGAACTACTAATTATGGAAAGAGGAGTTTTCCCTACATGTGTACACACACATCCCTGACAATCCCTTAATTTTCTAGTCCTACCCTTGCATTCTGTGGCCAAACACGAGCTTCACCAGCTACTGTGCTGCCAGAATCCAACGAAGATGAAGTCGAGATGGAGGTATTGCCAATATTTGAAAAGCAGATCCCCTTTGCTCTTGCTTCCTTCCACACCTTTCTCAGACCCTATAAAATCACCCCAAGATTAAACTCACATGTTCACTTATATCTTTCCTATCTGATCATTTTTTGCAATTTTTAAAAATTATGACAGAATACACAAAACATAAAATTTATATCAATTTTTAATATTTTTCCCATTACCTTTGATGTTTTGCCATGCTACTTTGATAGTACTGGGTGATTTTTTTTAAAATTCTGCCCCACATGTAGGGAGATTTTTCAATTTGATAGCTGCAATATTTCTTCTAGAAATTGTTAACATTTGCTTAAATAACAGCAATTTATTGTCTCAGAGTTCTGGGGTCTAGAAATCAGAGATCAAGGTGTCAGCACGGTCCATTCCTTCTACGGTCTATGAGGGAGAATCCATCCCATGACTCTCTTCTAGCTTCTAGTGGTTTGCTGGCAATCTTCGGCATTCCTTGGCTTCTCTTGTATTACCTTGACATCTGCCTTCATCTTCACATGGTACTTTCCTTGTATGTGTGTCTATACCCAAAATATCCCCTTATTTCTTTGCCAGAGCAATCAGGCAAGAGAAATAAATAAAAGGCATCCAAATAGAAAAAGAAATTGTCGAACTATCTCTCTTTACTAACAATATTACTCTATTACTCCACCAAGAGCCTCCTGGAACTCATAAATAACTTCAGTAAAGTTTCAGGATACAAAATCAATGTTATTGGCATACAAAAATCAATAGCATTTTTGTATGCCAATAACATTCAAGCTGAGAGCCAAATCAAGAATGCAGTTCCATTTACAATAGCCCTCCCCAAAATAATATACCTAGGAATACATTAAACCAAGGAGGAGAAAGACCTCTACAAGGAGAACTACAAAACACAGCTAAAAGAAATCAAGATGACACAAACAAATAAAAAACATTCCATGCTCGTGGATTAGAAGAATTAATATTATTAAAATGGCCATACTTACCAAAGCAATCTACAGATTCAACACTATTCCTATTAAGCTACCAATGTTATTGTTTACAGAGTAAAAAAAATTCCCACTATTCTAAAATTCATATAGAACTGAAAAAGAGACTGCATAACCAAAGCAATCTAAGCAAAAACAAACAAACAAACAACAACAACAACAACAAAAACAAAGCTGTAAGCATCACATTACATTCCTTGACTACAAACTATATTATAAGGCTAAGTAGTCCAAACAGCATGGTACTAGTATAAAAACAGACAAATAAACCAATGGAACAGAATAGAGAGCCTGGAAGTAAAGCTGCACACCTACAGCCATCTGATCTTTGACAAAGTTGATGAAAATATGCAATGGGGAAAGGACTCCCTATTCAATAATTGGTGCTGGGATTGCTGTCTAGACATATGCAAAAGAATGAAACTGGACCTCTCTTACCATATATAAAAATTAACTCAAGACAGATTAAATATTTAAATATAAGACCTCAAACTGTAAGAATCCTAGAAGAAGCTAGGCATGGTGGCTTACATCTGTAATCCCAGCACTTTGGGAGGCTGAGGTGGGTGGATCACCTGAGGTCAGGAGTTCGGCACCCACCTGGCCAACATGGTGAAACCCCATCTCTACTAGAAATAAAAAAATTAGCTGGGCATGGTGTCTTATGCCTGTAATCCCACTACTTGGGAGGATGAGGCAGGAGAATCACTTGAACCTGGGAGGTGGAGGTTGCAGTGAATCGAGATTGTGCCACTGCCCTCCAGCCTGGGTGACAGAGTAACACTCCATCTCAAAAATAAAAAAAAAATAAAAAGAAAGAAAGAAAATTCTAGAAGAAAACCTAGGAAACACCCTTGTGGACATTGGCCTTAAAACAATTTCAACAAAAACAAAAATTGACAAGTGGGATCTAAGTAAACCAAAGAGCTTCTGCACAGCAACAGAAACTAACAACAGAGTAAACAGACAACCTATAGAATGGGAGAAAATATTCACAAACTATGCATCTGACAAAGGTCTAATATCCAGAATCTATAAGGAACTTAAATCAACAAGCAAAAAACAACCCCATTAAAAAGTGGGCAAAAAGGATGAACAGACACTTCTCAAAACAAGGACATACAAGTGGCCATCAAACATATGAAAACGTGCTCAGCATCACTAATGGTCAGATAAATGCAAATCAAAACCACAATGAGATACCATCTCATACCAGTCATTATAGCTATTATTATTATCTTTTTTATTATACTTTAAGTTCTGGGATACATGTGCAGAATGTGCAAGTTTGTTACAGAGGTATACATGTGCCATAGTAGTTTGCTGCACCCATCAACCCTCATCTAGGTTTTAAGCCCAACACGCATTAGGTATTTGTCCTAGTGCTCTCCCTCCCCTTGCCCCCTACCCCCAACAAGACCCAGTGTGTGATGTTCCCCTCCCTGTGTCCATGTGTTATTATTGTTCAACTCCCACTTGTGAGTGAGAACATGCCGTGTTTGGTTTTCTGTTCTTTATTTTTTTTTTTCTTGAGATGGAGTCTCACTGTTTCACCCACGCCAGACTGCAGTGGTGCAATCTCTATCTCAGCTCACTGCAAGCTTCTCCTCCCAGGTTCACGCCATTCTCCTACCTCAGCCTCCCAAGTAGCTGGGACTACAGGTGCCTGCCACCGCGCCCGGCTAATTTTTTGTATTTTTAGAAGAGACAGGGTTTCACCATGTTAGCCAGGATGGTCTCGATCTCCTGACCTCGTGATCCGCCCGCCTCAGCCTCCCAAAGTGCTGGGATTACAGGCGTGAGCCACTGCCCCCGGCCCAGTTTTCTGTTCTTGTATTAGTTTGCTGAGACTGATGGTTTCCAGCTTCATTCATGTCCCTGTAAAGGACATGAACTCATTCTTTTTTATGGAGGCATAATATTCCATGGTATATATGTGCCACATTGTCTTTACACAGTTTATCATTGATGGACATTTGGGTTGCTTCCAAGTCTTTGCTATTGTGAACAGTGCCGCAATAAACATACACGTGCATGTGTCTTTATAGCAGAATGATGTATAATCCTTTGGGTATATACCCAGTAGTGGGATTGCTGGGTCAAACGCTGTTTCTGATGCTAGATCCTTGAGGAATCACCACTGTCTTACTCAATGGTTGAACTAATTTACACTCCCACCAACAGTGTAAAAGCATTCCTATTTCCCCACATCCTCCCTATCTATTGTTTCCTGACTTTTTAATGATCACCATTCTAACTGACGTGAGATGATACCTCATTGTGGTTTTGATTTGTATTTCTCTAATGACCAGCAATGATGAGCTTTTTTTCATATGTTTGTTGGCTGCATAAATGTCTTCTTTTGAGAACTGTCTGTTCATATCCTTTGCCCACTTTTTGATAGGGTTGTCTTTTTCTTGTAAATTTAACTTCCTTGTAGATTCTGGATATTAGCCCTTTGTCAGATGGATAGATTGCAAAAATTTTCTCCCATTCTGTAGGTTCCCTGTTCATTCTGATGATAGTTTCTTTTGCTGTGCAGAAGCTCTTTAGTTTAATTAGATCCCATTTGTCAATTCTGGCTTTTGTTAACATTGCTTTTGGTGTTTTAGTCATGAAGTTTTTGCCCATGGCTAGGTCCTGAATGGTATTGCCTAGTTTTCTTCTAGGGTTTTTATGTTTCAAGTTTTATGTTTAAATCTTTAATCCATCTTGAGTCAATTTTTGTATAAGGTATAAGGATGGGGTCCAGTTTCAGTTTTCTGCATATGGCTAGCCAGTTTTCCAAGCACCATTTATTAAATAGGTTGTCCTTTCCCCACTGCTTGTCTTTGTCAGGTTTGCTGAAGATCAGGTGGTTGTAGATGTGTGGTATTATTTCTGAGGCCTCTGTTCTGTTCCATTGGTCTATATATCTGTTTTGGTATCACTACCATGCTGTTTTGGTTACTCTAGCCTTGTAGTATAGTTTGAAGTCAGGTAGCATGATGCCTCCAGTTTTGTTCTTTTTGCCTAGGACTGTGTTTGTTATATGGGCTCTTTTTTGGTTCCATATGAAAAACCAAACACCGCATGTTCTCACTCATAGGTGGGAATTGAACAATGAGAACACATGGACACAGGAAGGGGAACATCACACACCAGGGCCTGTTGGGGGGTGGGGGAGGGGGGAGGGATAGCATTAGGAGATATACCTAATGTTAAATGATGAGTTAATGGGTGCAGCACACCAACATGGCACATGTACACATATGTAACAAACCTGCACGTTGTGCATATGTACCCTAAAACTTAAAGTATAATTAAAAAGAAAAAAAGAAATTTATAGTAGATTTTTCTAGCTCTGTGAAGAAAGTCAATGGTGGCTTGATGGGAATAGCATTGAATCTATAAATTGCTTTGGTCAGTATGGCCATTTTCATGATATTGATTCTTCCTATCCATGAACATGGAAAGTTTTTCATTTGTTTGTATTCTCTCTTATTTCCTTGAGCAGTGGTTTGTAATTCTCCTTGAAGAGGGCTTTCACGTCCCTTGTAAGTTGTATTTCTAGGTGTTTTATTCTCTTTGTAGCAATTGTGAATGGGAGTTCACTCATGATTTAGCTCTCTGTCTATTATTGGTGTATAGGAATGCTTGTGATTTTTGCACATTGATTTTGTATCCTGAGACTGCTGAAGTTGCTTATCAGCTTAGGGAGATTTTGGGATGAGACAATGGGGTTTTAGAAATATACAATCATGTCATCTGCAAACAGAGACAATTTGACTTCCTCTCTTCCTATTTGAATACCTTCATTTCTTTCTCTTGCCTGATTGCCCCGGCCAGAACTTCCAATGCTATGTTGAACAAGAATGGTGAGAGAGGGCATCCTTGTCTTGTGCTGGTTATCAAAAC
Source organism: Homo sapiens (assembly GCF_000001405.40). Classification (NCBI taxonomy): domain Eukaryota; kingdom Metazoa; phylum Chordata; class Mammalia; order Primates; family Hominidae; genus Homo; species Homo sapiens. The sequence goes on from NC_000001.11 coordinate 70,798,038, forward strand.
GAATGTTTCCAGCTTTTGCCCATTCAGTATGATATTGGCTGTGGGTTTCTCATAAATAGCTCTTATTTTGAGATATGTTCCATCAATACCTAGTTTATTGAGTGTTTTTAGCATAAAGAGGTGTTGAATTTTATCGAAGGCCTTTTCTGCATCTATTGAGATAATCATGTGGTTTTTGTCATTGGTTCTGTTTATGTGATGGATTACATTTATTGATTTGTGTAAGTTGAACTAGCCTTGCATCCCAGGGATGAAGTCAACTTGATTGTGGTGAATAAGTTTTTTGATGTGCTGTTGGATTCAGTTTGCTAGTATTTTACTGAAGATTTTTTCATCGATACTCATTAGAGATTTTGCCCTGAAATTTTCTTTGTTTCTGTGTCTCTGCCAGGTTTTGGTATCAGGATGAGGCTGGCTTCATAAAGTGAGTTAGGGAGGAGTCCCTCTTTTTCTATTGTTTGGAATAGTTTCAGAAGGAATAGTACCATCTCCTCTTTGTACCTCTGGTAAAATTTGGCTGTGAAGCTGTCTGGTCCTGGGCTTTTTTTTGGTTGATAGGCTATTAATTACTGCCTTAATTTCAGAACTTGTTATTGGTCTATTCAGGGATTTGACTTCTTCCTGGTTTAGTCTTGGAAGGATGTATGTGTCCCAGACTTTATCCATTTCTTCTATATTTTCTAGTTCATTTGCATAGAAGTGTTTATAGTATTCTCTGATGGTAGTTTGCATTTCTGTGGGATCAGTGGTGATATCCCCTTTATCATTTTTTATTGTGTCTATTTGATTCTTCTCTCTTTTCTTCTTTATTAGTCTGGCTAGTGGTCTATCTATTTTGTTAATCTTTTCAAAAAACCAGCTCCTGGATTCATTGATTTTTTTGAAGGGTTTTTCGTGTCTCTATCTTCCTCAATTCTGTTCTGATTTTAGTTATTTCTTGTCTTCTGCTTGCTTTTGAATTTGTTTGCTCTTGCTTCTCTAGTTCATTTAATTGTCATGTTAGCGTGTCGATTTTAGATCTTTCCAGTTTTCTGATGTGGGCATTTAGTGCTATAAATTTCCCTCTTAACACTGCTTTAGCTGTATGCTAGAGATTTTGGTACATTGTGTCATTGTTCTCATTGGTTTCAAAGATCTTATTTATTTCTGCCTTAATTTCATTGTTTACCCAGTAGTCATTCAGGAGCAGGTTGTTCAGTTTCCATGTAGTTGAGTGGTTTTGAGTGAATTTCTTAATCCTGAGTTCTAATTTGATTGCACTGTGGTCTGAGAGACTGTTCATTGTGATTTCCATTCTTTTGCATTTGCTGAGGGGTGTTTTACTTCATTATAGCTATAATTAAAAAGTCAAAAAATAACAGATACTAGAGAAGCTGCAGAGAAAAGGGAACACTTATCCATGTTGGTGGGAGTAAAAATTAGTTCAGCTACTGTGGAAAGCAGTTTGGAGATTTCCTCAACAACTTGAAACAGAGCCACCATTCAACCCAACAATCCCATTACTGGGTATATATCCAAAGAAAATAAATCATCCTACCAACACGACACATACTCAAATGTTTATCACAGTACTATTCACAATAGCAAAGACATGGAATCAACTTAGGTGCCCATCAGTGGTAGACTGGAAAAAGAAAATGAACATATACACCATGGAATACATATGCAGTCATAAAAAAGATTGAAAGTATGTCATTTGCAGCAAAATTGATGCAGCTGGAGGCCATTATCCTAAGCAAAATAACAGAGGAACAGAAATTCCAACACTGCACATTCCCACTTACAAGTGGGAGTTAAACATTGGGAACTTTGGTATTTATTTATTTTTTGTTATTATTATTCTTTTTTGATGGAGACTTGCTCTGTCACCAGGCTGGAGTGCAGTGGCATGATCTCAGCTCACCACAACCTCCGCCTCCTGGGTTCAAGCAATTCTCCTGCCTCTGCCTCCCCAGTACCTGGGACTACAGGTGTGTGCCACCATGCCCAGCTAATTTTTGTATTTTTAGTAGAGACGGGGTTTCACTATGTTGGCCAGGCTGGTCTCGAACTCCTGACCTCATGATCCACTCGCCTCGGCTTCCCAAAGTGCTGGGATTACAGGTGTGAGCCACCGTGCCTGGCCAACATTGGGAACTTACGGATATAAACAAGGCAATAATAGACACTGGAGACTAATGGGGGGACAGAGGTTAAAAAAACTAACTGCTGAGTACCATGCTCACTATCTGGGTGACAGGATTATTCATGTCCCAAACTTTAGCATAATGCAATATACCCATGTAACAAACCTGCACATGTACCCTCTGAATCTAAAATAAAAGTTGAGATTATAAAAATAGAAATAAACAAAAAAAAATGAAAAAAAAATCTCCTTCTTATAAGGACACCAGTCACATTGGATTAGGGGCCTGCTCAATCCAAATCACATCTGCAATGAACCTATTTCCAAATGAAGTCACATTCTGAGTTACTAGGGTTAAGATTTCAATATATGAACCTAAGGGGTGGGGACAGGGACACAATTCAACCCACATCAGAAACCAACAGTGTCTTCTGTCTGATCCATAGTCTGGTGCCTATGTTTCCAAGCTCTGGTCTGTCCAGTCTTCATATTACAAAACCTACATCATGTACCTGCACCCTCACTGTAATGAAGTCTGGAAATCTAGTTTCTGGAGTTCACCTTAGGAAAATGAGACTCACAGTGTGGGATCCTAGCAGAATGTAGAGAGGGTGTTCAAAAATATGAGGATCTACAGTTCATACATACACATTATAGCTAGATCTCAATTCCAGCCCTGCTCCTTCTGAATCTTCAGTTAGTTACTTAAACTCCCTGGTCTTCAATTTCCTCATTTTCAAAATGGGATTTTATGTGGCTTAAATGTTAAGGACTTAACATTATGTGTGTACATAAACAGATACTCCACGAATGCTGGATCCTTTTACTTCTGTTCAGTCCTCAGAACGCTTAGAACTCTTCATTTCTTAAATGGTCTTCATCACATTCTCCTTTGTGTTGTCTTGTGACAACATGTTTCTTTCTGCATTGGTATCAGAAAAGAATACATGTCAAGCTAAAAAGGCAAATGTAAGCATTCTTTATTAAGGATGCATCATAAGCTGTTTTCTTTCGGTGAATGGAGTGTTTGTTTGATGGAGAAACACACCTTTGTAAGCAAACCTTAAGATTATATTGTGGCTACATGTTTCTTTCTGCATTGGTACCTTTGATGCTTGTCATAGTTCTCCCATTGTATTGTAAGTTTCATGAGCCAGGGGCATTGTCCTAGACTCATGCTTCTTACATCATTTGTGGTGAAGGACTAGTTTTATATATATATGACTAATCCTTCAACACAAATGATTTCATTCTTTTTTATGACTGCATAGTATTCTATGGTATATATGTATTAACACATTTTTGAAGGACTACTATATACATATGGTACATATATATACATATAGGACTGCTATACACATATAGTAGTCCTTCACCACAAAGGTTACTAGTTTTATATATATTTTATAAAATGAGTTTTATATATGTTATATATAATATATATTAATTTATAAAAGTAGTTATGTATGTTATATATAAACTAGTTATATGTGTTCTATATAATATGTTAATTATATATAGCTAGCTATATTAAATGTATTATATATTTATGTTACATATTATATATAATTATATCTAAAACCAGCTGTATATAATTATATACATAGCAAGTTATATATATAACTAGCTATATAAAATTAATTGATTATATATAACTAATATATAATATATAGTAATATATTATATATGTAATAAATACTCATATTATAAATAATTAATTATATATAACTAGTTATATATATCATCTTCCACCTATCACAGACCAATATTTTTATAAAATATGATAAAAATAATTACTGGAAAGATGAAATTTTTAAAAAAGTCATATGAAATAGAAGCAAGCCCCAATTTTTTTATTTTATTAAGTTTAACAAACATAAAATTACTCCACAAAGTGCTAAAATTGTCTAAATGCTCACCCTCAGTCTCTACCATAAACTCATTGCAGATAAGGAACCAACAGTTTCCTGACTAGCACTGGTCTTTGGACCATAGTTTAATGCGTATATCCTGGACCCCTACTCCTCAGAGTGTGATGCCAGGACCAGCAGTTTTAGCCTCACCTGTGAGCTTGCTATAAATGCAGCATTTTAGGCCTTACCTCAGATCTACTGAGTAAGAACTTGCTCAATGAATTTTAGGCACTATTCTCAATCATTCTGAATCCTGAGTTCAGAGTCTCCTATAAAGCAAGTGCACAACCAAAATCTATTAAAGCTATTTGAAAGTGGAGATCCCCCAAAAGGAAACAATATGTGACTTTCAGTACATCAGACAAGGATTTTATTGGGATCCTATAAATATACATTTCTTAATAATTGAAGAGTTTTTACAGATCTACTCCTATTGCCCCAAAATTAATTTTTATATGAAAAGATGATTTTATATTTTCAAAGTATATTATTAAAAGTTATATTCTTAACATGTTGATATGGTTTGGTTCTGTCCCCACTCAAATCTCATCTTGAATTGTAACTCCCACAATTCCCAAATGTCATGGGAAGAAACTGGTGGAAGGTGATTAAAATATGGGGGCAGGTCTTTCCTGTGCTGTTCTCATGATAGTGAATGAGTCTTACGAGATCTGATAGTTTTAAAAATGGGAGTTTCCCTACAAAAGCTCTCTCTTTGCCTGCTGCCATCCATGTAAGATGTGACTTGCTTCTCCTTGCCTTCCACCATGATTGTGAGATCTCCCCAGCCATGTGGAAGTGTAAGTTCACTAAACCTCTTTCTTTTGTAAATTGCCCAGTCTTGGGTATGTCTTTATCAGCAGCATGAAAACAGACTAATACAGTAAATTGGTACCAATAAAGTGGGTGCTGCTGTAGATACCTGAAAATGTGGAAGCGACTTTGGAAGTGGGTAACAGGCAGAGGCTGGAACAGTTTGGAGGGCTCAGAAGAAGACAGGCAAATGTGAGAAAGTTTGGAACTCCCTAGAGACTTGTTGAATGGCTTTGACCAAAATACTGATAATGATATAGACAATAAGGTCCAGGCTGAGGTGGTCTCAGATGGAGATGAGGAACTTGTTGGGAACTGGAGCAAAGGTGGCTCTTGTTATGTTGTAGCAAAGAGATTGGTTGCATTTTGCCCCTGCTCTAGAGATCTGTGGAACTTTGAGCTTGAGAAAGATGATTTAGGGTATCTGTCAGAAGAAATTTCTAAACAGCAAAGCAGTCAAGAGGTGACTTGGGTGCTGTTAAAAGTATTCAGTTTTAAAAGGGAAACAACATAAAAATTTGGAAAATTTGCAGCCTTACAACACGATAGAAAAGACAATCTCATTTCTGAGGAGAAATTCTAGCAGGCTGCAGAAATTTGTGTAAGTAATGAGGAGCTGAATATTAATCCCCAAGACAATGGGGAAAATGTCTCCAGGGCATGCCAAAGGTCTTCATGGCAGCCCTTCCCATCACTGGCCTGGAAAATGTCTCCAGGGCATGCCAAAGGTCTTCATGGCAGCCCTTCCCATCACTGGCTATGAGGAAAAAATGGTTTCATGGGCCTGGCCCAGGTCCCCTCTGCTGTGTGCAGTCTAGTGATTTGGTGCCCTGCATCCCAGCCACTCCAGCTGTGACTAAAAGGGGCCAAGGTACAACTTGAGCCATAGCTTCAGAGGGTGCAAGCCCCAAGCCTTGGGAGCTTCTATGTGGTGTTGACCCTGCAGATGCACAAAAGTCAAGAATTGAGATTTGGGAACCTCTGCCTAGATTTCAGAGGATATATGGAAACACCTAGATGTCCAGGCAGAAGTTTGCTGCAGGGGCAGGGTGCTCATGGAGTACCTCTGCTAAGGCAGTGTGGAAGGGAAATGTGGGGTTGGAGCCCCCATACAGAGTCCCTACTGGGGCACTGCCTAGTGGAGCTGTGAGAAGAAGGCCACCTTCCTCCAGACCCCAGAATGGCAGATCCACTGACAGCTTGCACCATATGCCTGGAAAAGCTGCAGACACTCAATGCCAGCCCATGAAGGCAGCCAGGAGGGAGGCTGTACCCTGCAAAGCCACAGGGGCCAAGCTACCCAAGACCATGGGAACCTACTTCCATAAATGTGACCTGGATCCAGGACATGGAGTCAAAGGAGATAATTTTGGAGCTTTAAAATTTGACTGCCCTGCTGGATTTCAGACTTGCTTGGGGCCTGTAGCCCCTTTGTTTTGGCCAATTTCTCACATTTGGAACTGCTGTTATTTACCCAATGTCTATACCCCCATTGTGTCTAGAAAGTAACTAACTTGCTTTTGATTTTACAGGCTCATAGGTGCAAGGGACATGCCTTGTCTCAGATGAGACTTTGGACTATGGACTTTTGAAATGAGTTAAGACTTTTGGGGACTGTTGGGAAGGCATGATTGGTTTTGAAATGTGAGAACATGAAATTTGGGAGGGGCCAGGGTAGAATGATATGGTTTGGCTGTGTCTCCACCCAAATCTCATTTTGAATTGTAACTCCCACAATTCCTACATGTTGTGGAAGGAAGCCAGTGGGAGGTGATTGAATTATGGGGGTGGGTCTTTCTGGTGCTGTTCTTGTGATAGTGAATGGGTCTCATGACATCTGATGGTTTTAAAAATGGAAGTTTCCCTGAACAAGCTCTCTCTTTGCTTGCTGCCATCCATATAAAATGTGACTTGCTCCTCTTTGCCTTCCACCAGGATTGTGAAGCCTCTCCAGCCATGTGGAACTCTAAGTCCATTAAACCTCTTTCTTTTGTAAATTGCCCAGTCTCAGGTATGTCTTTATTAGCAGCATAAAAAGGCACTAATACACATATGTATAGGTATATGTATGTGATTATCAATCTGTCAGTCTGTGAAGTAAATAGAGGAAGAACATTAGTCTAACAGTGGATAATTTTCTATATTTGTTTTATTAACTCAATACAAAGATTAATGGAGATAGATTCCAAAACTGAAATATATGGCAGTGAAAAGGGATTGGCTTTTAAGTCAGGAATGCCTCCATTTTAATGCTGGGTTATTGTCTATTATTTACTTTTTTTCTTTGGCCAAAATGTTCTCATCTGTAAAATTGGGCGATTATTCCAGTTTTGTGGGGTTGATGTAAGTTTAAAATAGTTTATATAAAGCACAAGTGGAATACCCCTTATATTATTAGTACCCAATAAACTGTTTTCCTGGAAAGAGAGAAATAAATTTAGATTAAAGTGTTTATATATTATTTGATGAGGCAATTGGAAGAAGTAAAATGCATACCATGAAATTAATGGCTGTAAAGTATATAAAAATTGAGTGTGGAAAAGAAATTTAATTTGGCAGAGAAATATATAGTAGTCATTTCTTGAATACTTGTAAGCTCTGAGAAATTTAAAATGTCTGTCACTATGTGTCACAAGTTGTAGGTCAATGTTTTCCTTCTCCAAGGTAAAACTGAAAATTCTGTTTAATACAAATCTGCCTTATGTCCATAGTATCTATTACAGTGCCTTCCTCATACAAAATGCAGTCACAGGGTCCTTTGGGTGTCACTTCTCCAGCTGGAAACCTCTGTGGCCAGCAGCAACTCTGCTTGAGATTTGCTTGTGCCCGCTGGGCTTGTTCCACATGCTTGACCTGGGAGTCTGTGCTTGGCTCACACCACAGGCAGCAACCTGAGATGCTGCATTTCTACACCTCTCAAGGGCAAGCCAGGTATGGTGCAGCAAAGTGTGTGTGAGTGCGGGGTCTGGCCACTGTGGACAGCCAGGCATGCTGGCTGCTGCAGCAGGGCAGGCAGCTCCAGGCGCTGGCACAGGCACCAGCTTTGTATGAGGTTACAGCTGGGCCAGACGTATTGTAAGTGGTTTCCACTGAGGGTACCACTGACTGGTGAGGGGAACATGGTAGCGATCAAAAGCTTGGAGACACGAGGAACCGCAGAGCCCTCAAAAGGGTGTTACAGCATGTCACAGCCCTGGCTCAGGGAGCCTGAAGTCTGGACTCCCAGAAGGGCCACAGCTCTTCTCTCCTTCTCGTCACCCTCAGCGCGGCAAATGGAAGGGGGGGTATGTTTCAGCCTGTTTGTGTTACCACTCTTTCAGTCCCACTGCCCCTCTCCAGCCCATGGCTCCTAGCCCTGCTGCTGCTTCCCGTTGCATGGGATGGCTGCCTGGCTCTGGTGGAGGGCAGGATGACTATAGTGTTACAGCAGCTCTGGCTGGGGAAATCCTGAGGTCTGAGCCCCCAGAAGGGTCACCCCTCTTCACTACCACAGTCCGAGAGCATGTTATCCCTGCAGCTCAGCAAGCCAGCCAGGAATGTGTTACAGCTCCTTTAACTCCCTCTGTTCAGCAGGTCTTGAGTTCTTGTCCAGCATCCAGGAAGAATGAAATTACATGGACAACTGGAGGGTCAGCAAGTTGAAGAGCAGCTTTATTGAGTGACAGAACAGCTCTCAGCGGAGAGGAGACCTAAAGTGGTTAGCTCCTATCCACAGGCACATAGTCCCAACGAGTGTAGAGGAAACCTGAAGTGGTTACTCCTATCCACAGGCACGTAGTCCCAACGAGTGCAGAGGAGACCTAAAGTGGGAAGCTCCTATCCACAGGCAGGTAGTCCCAATAAGTGTGTGAGTCTGGCTGTGTGTGGGGTTTTTATGGGCTCAGAATGAAGGATGTGCATGCTGACTAGTTCTTTGGTGGAAGCGCATGCTGATTGATCCATGAGCGGCCATGGGCAGGCCTGGAAAAAGCACCATCTGATTGGCCGAAAGGCATCAAGGAAGTTCTCACTCAGGGTCTCGTACTTTACCTGGAACTGGAAGCCCAGCCCCCAGACTTTAGGCCATCCCTGGCTTGAAGGTGGGGTTTCAGTGGGGACCCACCCCTTGCTGCCTAGGAACCTTTCTGCCTTTTGCCACCATCAACATGCCATCCATGGTGCCCAGGCTGTCTGCATCAAGGGGCAACTGCAGGCCTGCCTTGAGCCACCCTCAGTCCCCCAACCTCCCTCCTGTGCTCATTGGCACCCAAAGTTTCAGCCTTAGAGGTTATTTTTTGGGGGGGTCGAGGAAGCAGGGGGCTGGCATGTCAGCACCATCCTGAGTGTGCACACACCCAGCCGGGTCACAACAGTGCCTGGGCTTGGCTGTTGAGACACATCCATAGTGGGTGCTGGCAGCAGGGAGAGGCCAGGGAGTGGGAGAAGCACTTCTGAGCCTGCAGGGGCAGGGAGCTTCCTGGGTCCCTGGGAGCTTCCTGGGTTCCCTGAGAGCACAGGGATGCCCAGGTCCAGAGCCACAGCTGAGTGACTGCAGCTTCACCCAGGAGTGTGGGCTTCCACTCTGCCAACTCTGTAGGGTGTGGGACTCCCACTGGGATCACCTGTGCCCTGCCCCTGCCAGCTCCATGGAGCATGCAGCCCTGGCTATGACTCCCCTGCTACAGCCGGTGTCCTCACAGTGGCTGCTCCAGACAGGCCACTGCCACTATCAATGCTTTGTACATTTTTTTCTGGAAGAAAGAATTAATTCTTTGTTGTCAGGGGCTATGTTTTTTTCTTCTTATTCCATGGTCCTCTCAGCAGTTTCCTACAGCAGAGCTTCCCACCAATGTGGTGCTGTAGCCTAGTGAGCTACAAGTGATCTGCAAGTTTCCAGAGATATTGATCCCCAGACTCTGGCAGCCACTCAGGAACTCTTAGCCTCTAAGGAAGTTCTTACAGCTACCGCAGCCTCTTTATGTTTATTCCAGTATTACAGTGTTCTCTCACAGAAGAGATTGGGAAACATGGGCTCATCCTATCTTTGTTCCTAACTGGAATCCTAACTTGATATACATGTTTCTCTCCTATAAAGAAGCTCTTTGAAATGAGACCTGAATCAGCTATATGTTGTCTCCACTTCCTTCCTCCTAGACAATTGCAGTGAATTTTTGGGTGAGTTTGGGTGACATTCTCAACAATCACTTCTATGATAAACTTGATGCTCTTCGCTAACTAAATGTGTTTTACTTCCGTTACTTTTTCAAATATGCCATGCCACAATTTATGCTGAAAGTCACATATTGATTTCCTTTTGGGGGGGTCTCCACTTTCAAACAGTTTTAAAAGATTTTGGTTGATCACCTGCTTTATGGGAGACTTGGAACTCATTGAGGCAAGGGATTCAGAATGATTGAAGACAGTGCTCAAAATTCAATGAGCAAGCATGGGTAGATATTAAAAGGATTATACGTAGTGTATTGTTAAAGTTATTCCTTATTCAATTTCCTTTCAGTTCTTAAAGAGGAAGCCACAGTTTGGTATTGGTATGACTTTAACAACTTCTCAACCTCATGCTATTTTCCCCCTAAGTTTTTGTTTTTGTTTTTTTAGTAGGCAACAGTTTCCAACTAGAATTAAATAGCTTTATTTGATACAGCAAATTCGAGCACATGGATATGGCAAATAATATGGAAATACCTTAAATACACAAAACACCAGTATAACAGAAAGGGGCTAAGTTGTTAATCTGAAGACCCATAATTGGAAAACAGCCTGTTGATTACTCAAACAAGTTAATTAACCTCCCATTGCCTCATTTCTTTTTCTCATTTGTAAAATAGGCATAAGAGGTAACTATCTGAAAGAGCATTTGTTGGGGATTAAATGAAATAATGTCTATGAAAGGACTTTTTAAACTGAAAATAGTTACAAATATGTTAGCTTATCACTTATTGATACATCATAACTGATATTTTATGTTATGATTTATATCACAGTAGTTCTAAGAAAGTCCTACAAATTGCAAGATGCATGATATGAATATGTTAAATTTTAAGAACTTGTGCATAGCAGCAATAATGATGATTTTATAAGATTTAAGAAAATTTATAAATATTGATAACATTGGTATCAGACTTATTTTCAAGGTTTATTATATGCCTAACTAACTGCAGAGTTAGCTGAATATTACTAATGGAGACTATTTGGAATGAGCTTCACAAATTAACAAGGTCACTAGGAACTGCAGGCTGTTAAAGATCTCCTTGGGCCAAGGATGAAAGAAAATCAAATGGGACGGAAGAAAGCAGGTGGGTACTCTGAGGAGAGGTAATCAAAGAACTGTGTTCTGCAGCCATCTGGACTACTTGGAGCTTCACCAATGTAACCATGGAAACTATAAGGAATATGCTCAGAAGCAGGAAAGCATAAGTGCCCAGAGATTCTGTGGGCCTGTTACAATGCAAGAGAACCAGGCTATGTGTGCTGAAGTGGTCCGCTAAAGGACACAGTGGAAAAAAGGGGGAGATGTGGACTCCCTCAGAACCTGTGGAAAAGAAAGCCAACTGGGCCACCACAGACTTGTTTACACACCAGATGCCTGCTGGATCCTTTGAAGATGGGTACCTCACTGTCCAGTAAATACTCTTGGAAGGAATATATATTTGAATCTCACAACCAGTCTTTTAAGTGACTTTTGACACCAGTCAGATCACACTCTAAGTGAACAAAGATCATAGGAAAGAAATACTATTATTTCTGACATCTGCAAAAGCTATAATGACAAAGGTCCCAGACCTTCCCACTACTTGTGTAAAAGTTTTGGAACTCACAAATTCAAACCTTGTGTTACTAAATAGTCTACTTTTTAAAGCTTGAATGATTTTAGTCATGAATATTATTGAACTATCAATCAAACCAACTGCATCAGTAGGACATTCCTTATGGCATCAAGTTTATTTCTAGCTATATCAAGTATACTTCTAGCTAGTGGTTCTCAAAATGTCGGGTAGAGACTCTTGTATGTCCCCAAGATCTTTCCAGGGATTCTGTAAGTTCAAAACTATCTTAATCATCATTCTAAAATGTTATATTTTCTTTCCTTCTTATTCCCTCATGAGTGAAGAATGACATTTTCCAGAATCTACAGGAAGTGTAATACTGTGACAGATTGAATGCAGAAGCAGATGTAAAAATCCAGTTATCTTTTATTAAGCCATAAAGGAGATTTGCAAAAATGTTTAACAACGCCATACTCCTCACTAATTTTTTTTGTTTTGAAAAATATATTTTTTATTTAAAGGTGTTTATGTTAACATTAATTTATACTAACATGTAATGGGTTTATTATTGTTATTTCAAATAAAAGTATCAGTTTTAATTTTTAATATGGAGCCCAGTAATACATAATTAACACACATAACTACTTTTGGATCTTCAATGCTTTTTACAAGCACTTTTTCTGAGACCACAAAGATTGAGATCCTCAGGGATAAGCTATTATTAAGCTGCCAGTACCTGCAGGACTAATTTTGTCTCTGGTTTGAATTTTCTGGTATTGGCTTGAAGAAAGGTAATCTGTTATAACTCTATTAGCAATTTCAAACAGGTAGCAGCTGGATTAACATTTGTGAATATAAGTGTAACCTGCAGGACACCTGGAGAAGAGCCCATTTTATACCAGCTGCTGAGTTGCTCTGCCTACCCTGAGCCCCAGAACCTTCACTGCAGCTAGCCTTTGGGAATTACCTGTTAGATATCAAATTAGAGCAATGCTTGAGGAGATTTTTAGATGTGTGATTTTAAAACAATAACCCACGATTGGATGTGAAATGGCTGTATCTGTAGTATGGTATGAAAACTGGAGACAGGTGATATGGTTTGGCTGTGCCCCACCCAAAATCTCATCTTGAATTATAATCCTTAAAAACCCCACAGGTCAAGGGCAGAAACAGGTGGAGGCAATTGGATCCTGGGGGTGGTTCCCCCCATGCTGTTCTCGTGATAGTGAGTCTCATGAGATCTGATGATTTTATAAGCACCTGACATTTTCCCTACTTGCTCTCATTCTCTCTTCTGCAGCCCTGTGAAGAGGTGCCTTCTGCTATGATTGTAAGTTTCCTGAGGCCTCCCCAGCCATAAGGAACTGTGAGTCAATTAGACCACTTTTCTTTATAAATTACCCAGTCTTGGGTACTTCTTCATAGCAGTGTGGGAATGGACTAATACAACAGGTTTCTATACAATAAGGCTAGACCAAATTACAAATATCACAAATACAAGAATTGATTATATAGCAGAGCTCTGACGGTGACTTAAATCCTTCCTTGTTAGAAACTAGTGAAGTACCTAGGGAGGAGTCTCATGAGTGATAAGGAGTTCAGGCCCTAGAGTCAGGCAGAGCTGGGTTTGAATACCATGTCCACTACTAGTTAACAGAGTGACCTTGGGAAATTTAATGAACAAATCTGTTGAATGAGAAATAATAATAGTTTCACTTCATGGAGTGGTTTGAGAATTAAAGAGGCAATGTACAATGTGCTTCATGTACATTATTTCATGTACAGAAACTTTGAGACCTCAATGCTATTATGTTTCCATGTTACAGAGAGGGAACTGGCATTTAGAACAGTCAAATAATTTTCCAAAGGTCCTGCTGTTATGTGGCGAAGCACAGATTTGCTTTTGACAACCCTAACTATAAAATACCATATTATTGTGTCTTCTCAACAACAAAAATTAGAAAGTAGCAAGTTTCTTCTTCTGTTTTCCACAAACACCTAGCAGTGTTTTAAATACACAAAAGGTAGAGTTTCCTATAAAGAAGGCAAGAAAATGGCAGTAAATTCAGCATAGGGGAGAAGAGAAAAGTGCTTCTACTATTCCCCCAAGGTATGGGAAATGGCAACTTGTCTTTTATAGAGGTTTTGTAGACAACCTCTTTTTGTATACACATAACACATAAATATTCCACAAGTTTCCCTTAATATGCTCTGGGATAGGGTTGAGCATTTGTGACAGATGTAAATATCAGTTTATACAACTAAATGATAAATGATCTTAAGAAAGAGGGGGAAATGATTTCCCCATAAAAACTCACTGAAGCATTCTAGATGAAAGGACTTGAAGCAGTGAAGGCTCATCCTTGATTTACTGCCAGGCATCATGCTGGGGACTAGACACCCTTTAGCTGACATGTTCTGCACCCTTACTATTGTAACAGAGATGCAGAGTAGTTATGAACGTTTCCCGGATCTTACTTTTAAAGAAACAATTCTACTTAGAGCAATGTTGTTCCATTTATATACCAGACACATCTAAACAACAGCAAAAATATAACTTGATGCTTTTGGAAAAAAATGTTTATTGTAAATTATTGTAGTTTATTGCAGTGAACTAGGTACTATGCAGTTAATAATCTATGCAGTAAATTACATTATGTGGATGTATGCAGCCAGGAATTGTCTCCATTTCTGGATTGACCTACAATTACAAATAACAAATAGCAATTACAAATTGTAACCTATAATTACAAATATGTGTCTTACATTTAATCTCTTTGGTTACCTATCACTTTTCTATTAACTAGATAACAGATAATCATCTGATAACTAGATAAGTAGATAATCATCTGATATTTCCTAGAGCTACTTCCCCCTCACCTCCCCTCCCCTCCACCTTCACCCCACCTTGAACCCCCACCCTTGCATTTCAGTTGTAAATGTGGCTGCTACATGAATTAGTAGTGAACCTGACTGGGTCATGCTTCAGCTTTGAAGGAAGAGCAATGGCTTAGGAATGAATCACAGCGATTAACCGTGAGTCGGTGTCTTCTTAAGCACGGTAAAGTATAAATTTGATTTTATTTTTCCACTAGGATGGAGATAACAAATCACATCTGTCCATGTAAAAGTTGGTAGTTTTATGTTCACCTGCATGGATTGATAGGTGGAGCTATCATGTGCCTCTTTCTTATTGAGGGTTATTTCTGCTATTTGAGTTGAATGGAAATTATTCATGAATCAGAGGAAGTCAGTTGCAATAGCCTCCAACTGCAATTTTCTGTTTTGTATTCTGAGGACAGCACAGTTCAAGGCTGTGTAAATGATAGGCCGATACTCTGCATTTCTATAATACCTTTTGCCAAAGAATAGAAAATGATCCTGCATCTCTCTTTGACTTCAATTTTAGAAGTCAGAGAAATGACACATCATGGTATTCCTAAGATTAGGTCCAAAATTATGACTTCACTCTTGCTAGTTCCTACACATATACTCCCTCTAGGGGGAAAATAACTGTCAATATATTTTCTTTATGAGTAGGTCAAATATTTTTCAAAGTCAAAACAACAACAAAGAAAGGCTCAATATGTTATAAGTAGAATTCATCCATAAGAAGCTTTTTGATGCACAAGATATTTGACAAAATACAAAATAAATACCCAGTCCTATAAAATTTCTTTGCATAATCACCTACACTGCATACCAAATGCCACATAAAAATTAGAGCATCAGCACTCTCTTCTTTCCAGAACTTTAGCTTGTCCTGACTTATTCCTGTAACATTCATTGTCTTACTCTTGATATTCCCAGAGCTTTTCATCCTCCTATTTTCATCCTCACCTCACTTTTCAGAATTGACCATCCACATCAACTTCCCAGGTTCATGGGAATGTGCCCTCTTAAACACTGCTTTGATTTTGATTCTACCTTTAGCAATGCTTTCCTTGTCATCTTGGTTAAAAAAGTCTTCCACTTCAACAGAGTCCCAGCAGTCTCTCTTTTAAGACTGGCTTCATGAAGGGTAGTCTTTTTCTATTTGATTCTGCCTCTGAAACTGGCAAAACTTACAGGAAGGAAGAGAGGAAAGAAAGAACAGAAGGGAAGTAAAGATCACATACAAATGTATCAAATAAGTGTTTTCTGAGCTAAAATTTCTTAGGAGTTACCAAGCAGCAAAAGAAAGAGAGAGAGAGAGAGAGGAGAAGAAAAGGAAGAAAAAGAAAAAAAAGAAGAGAAGAAGAGGAAGAAGAAGAAGGAGAAGAAGAAGAAGAAGGAGGAGGATATTAGCCCTTTGTCAGATGAGTAGGTTGCAAAAATTTTCTCCCATTTTGTAGGTTGCCTGTTCACTCTGTTGGTAGTTTCTTTTGCTGTGCAGAAGCTCTTTAGTTTAATTAGATCCCATTTGTCAATTTTGTCTTTTGTTGCCATTGCTTTTGGTGTTTTAGACATGAAGTCCTTGCCCATGCCTATGTCCTGAATGGTAATGCCTAGGTTTTCTTCTAGGGTTTTTATGGTTTTAGGTCTAACGTTTAAGTCTTTAATCCATCTTGAATTGATTTTTGTATAAGGTGTAAGGAATGAATCCAGTTTCAGCTTTCTACATATGGCTAGCCAGTTTTCCCAGCACCATTTATTAAATAGGGAATCCTTTCCCCATTGCTTGTTTTTCTCAGGTTTGTCAAAGATCAGATAGTTGTAGATATGCGGCATTATTTCTGAGGGCTCTGTTCTGTTCCATTGATCTATATCTCTGTTTTGGTAATAGTACCATGCTGTTTTGGTTACTGTAGCCTTGTAGTATAGTTTGAAGTCAGGTAGTGTGATGCCTCCAGCTTTGTTCTTTTGGCTTAGGATTGACTTGGCGATGCGGGCTCTTTTTTGGTTCCATATGAACTTTAAAGTAGTTTTTTCCAATTCTGTGAAGAAAGGCATTGGTAGCTTGATGGGGATGGCATTGAATCTATAAATTACCTTGGGCAGTATGGCCATTTTCACGATATTGATTCTTCCTACCCATGAGCATGGAATGTTCTTCCATTTGTTTGTATCCTCCTTTATTTCTTTGAGCAGTGGTTTGTAGTTCTCCTTGAAGAGGTCCTTCACATCCCTTGTAAGTTGGATTCCTAGGTATTTTATTCTCTTTGAAGCAATTGTGAATGGGAGTTCACTCATGATTTGGCTCTCTGTTTGTATGTTGTTGGTGTATAAGAATGCTTGTGATTTTTGTACATTGATTTTGTATCCTGAGACTTTGCTGAAGTTGCTTATCAGCTTAAGGAGATTTTGGGCTGAGACAATGGGGTTTTCTAGATATACAATGATGTCGTCTGCAAACAGGGACAATTTGACTTCCTCTTTTCCTAATTGAATACCCTTTATTTCCTTCTCCTGACTAATTGTCCTGGCCAGAACTTCCAACACTATGTTGAATAGGAGTGGTGAGAGAGGGCATCCCTGTCTTGTGCCAGTTTTCAAAGGGAATGCTTCCAGCTTTTGCCCATTCAGTATGATATTGGCTGTGGGTTTGTCATAGATAGCTCTTATTATTTTGAGATGCATCCCATTAATACCTAATTTATTGAGAGTTTTTAACATGAAGCGTTGTTGAATTTTGTCAAAGGCCTTTTCTGCATCTATTGAGATAACCATGTGGTTTTTGTCTTTGGTTCTGTTTATATGCTGGATTACATTTATTGATTTGTGTATATTGAACCATCCTTGCATCTCAGGGATGAAGCCCACTTGATCGTAGTGGATAAGCTTTTTGATGTGCTTCTGGATTCAGTTTGCCAGTATTTTATTGGGGATTTTTGCATCAATGTTCATCAAGGATATTGGTCTAAAATTCTCTTTTTTGGTTTTGTCTCTGCCCAGCTTTGGTATCAGAATGATGCTGGCCTCATAAAATGAGTTAGGGAGGATTCCTTCTTTTTCTATTGATTGGAATAGTTTCAGAAGGAATGGTACCAGTTCCTCCTTGTACCTCTGGTAGAATTCGGCTGTGAATCCATCTGGTCCTGGACTCTTTTTGGTTGGCAAGCTATTGATTATTGCCACAATTTCAGATGCTGTTATTAGTCTATTCAGAGATTCAACTTCTTCCTGGTTTAGTCTTGGGAGAGTGTATTTGTCAAGGAATTTCTCCATTTCTTCTAGATTTTCTAGTTTATTTGCATAGAGGTGTTTGTAGTATTCTCTGATGGTAGTTTGTATTTCTGTGGGATCGGTGGTGATATCCCCTTTATCATTTTTTATTGTGTCTATTTGATTCTTCTCTCTTTTTTTCTTTATTAGTCTTGCTAGTGGTCTATCTATTTTGTTGATCCTTTCAAAAAACCAGTTCCTGGATTCATTAATTTTTTGAAGGGTTTTTTGTGTCTCTATTTCCTTCAGTTCTGCTCTGATTTTAGTTATTTCTTGCCTTCTGCTAGCTTTTGAATGTGTTTGCTCTTGCTTTTCTGGTTCTTTTAATTGTGATGTTAGGGTGTCAATTTTGGATCTTTCCTGCTTTCTCTTGTGGGCATTTAGGGCTATAAATTTCCCTCTACACACTGCTTTGAATGTGTCCCAGAGATTCTGGTATGTTGTGTCTTTGTTCTTGTTGGTTTCAAAGAACATCTTTATTTCTGCCTTCATTTCGTTATGTACCCAGTAGTCATTCAGGAGCAGGTTGTTCAGTTTCCATGTAGTTGAGCGGTTTTGAAATCTACAATGAAATCAAAAAAATTTACAAGAAAAAAACAAAGAACCCCATCAAAAAGTGGGCAAAGGACATGAACAAACACTTCTCAAAATAAGACATTTATGCAGCCAAAAAACACATGAAAAAATGCTCATCATCACTGGCCATCAGAGAAATGCAAATCAAAACCACAATGAGATACCATCTCACACCAGTTAGAATAGTAATCATTAAAAAGTCAGGAAACAACGGGTGCTGGAGAGGATGTGGAGAAATAGGAACACTTTTACACTGTTGGTGGGACTGTAAACTAGTTCAACCATTGTGGAAGTCATTGTGGCGATTCCTCAGGGATCTAGAACTAGAAATACCATTTGTCCCAGCCATCCCATTACTGGGTATATACCCAAAGGACTATAAATCATGCTGCTATAAAGACACATGCACACATATGTTTATTGCGGCATTATTCACGATAGCAAAGACTTGGAACCAACCCAAATGTCCAACAATGATAGACTGCATTAAGAAAATGTGGCACATATACAACATGGAATACTATGCAGCCATAAAAAATGAAGAGTTCATGTCCTTTGTAGGGACATGGATGAAATTGGAAATCATCATTCTGAGTAAACTATCGCAAGAACAAGAAACCAAACACCGCATATTCTCACTCGTAGGTGGGAATTGAACAATGAGAACACATGGACACAGGAAGGGGAACATCACACTCTGGGGACTGTTGTGGGGTGGGGGGAGTGGGGAGGGATAGCATTGGGAGATATACCTAATGCTAGATGACGAGTTAGTGGGTGCAGCGCACCAGCATGGCACATGTATACATATGTAACTAACCTGCACAATGTGCACATGTACCCTAAAACTTAAAGTATAATTAAAAAAAAAAAAAAGGAGGAGGAAGGGAGGGAGGGAAGGAAGGAAGGGACTGAGGGAGGGAGGGAGGGAAATGGGTGGGTGGGAGGGACAGGGAGAGAGGGACGGAAAGAAAAAAATAATCAAGGACTTAATTTCAAAAATTCAGAGGTGTGAGGGTAACCTCCATCTGGTTTTGTTAATGAAATTCCAACTCCACCATCATCGCTAGTATTTAATTCTAACCCACATTCTGTCAGGTACTGTTTCCTGATATGTGTGGAAATGTGGGGTCAGCTGGGAATGTTTCTCAAGTCCTCTCACTTCCCACAGATCTAGGGAGATCACAGTAGTAACTCTAGGCTTTCCTCTGAGCCTCAGTGTTCTGCTGAGCCATGGCTCTTTTTACCTCAAACAAAGAGAATTCTTTCCCAGTGTTCACCGTAAGTGGCTGTTAGGGACCACACTCTCAAGCATCATGCTTTATCGCTGTTTGTTAATAGAAGATAGCTTAGAAAAGTACAGACCTGTATTCAAATTCTAGGCCTGATCCTTACTATGTGATATGAGGAACATTTCTTTATCTGTAAAAATAATAACGATAATACTTTCAAGTCTGTTATGAGGTTAAAATAAGAAAAGTGTGTGAATGTACCTTTCAAAGTGTTTGGCATTTATTATGTCCTAAATATGTACAACACACTTTTTCTCTCAGTAACTAAAGGACAGAGATGCCAAGTTTACCATCATTATACTATTGATGTCTTTGGCATTCAGCTTTTATTAAACCAGTGCATTATCTTTCCCTAGAAACAGAATAATCACTTCATTTTGGAGGAGGCTGAACACTTTCAAAGATGATAAGATACGGTGTATCACAGTTTCCATTCAAACATTATAAAGGGACCCCCTTAAGTCAAAATGCTTGCACCTTTCATCAGCAGATGTCTTATGCCTGTTACTCTTTTGTTAAATCAGAGAAGCATCATTTTTATCTGCTCTATGCCCAGGATGAAAAGTTTAGCAATCCCATCAGAATGACTCCAGGATGTGTTTCTTGCATTTCAAGCTCATTCTTTATGGGTTTAACTGATCTGAGTTCAAGAGCTTAATATAAATATATAACTTTTTCAATGCTAAGTAACCTAGAGAACATTTTTTTTCTAAATATATGATTAATCTGACCATAATGCTGCCTCCCTTGAATCAGGCTGAGGGTGAACTAGATTGCACAAAGGGAAGTAACATAAGTAAACCTTAATATATCTCTGTCTTCCCTTTTGGGAAACTGCCAATAAATGAGATAAATAAGTCAGAGTCTTAGCAGTACAGCTCTCATTTCCATCTGTAATGACTAAACTCTTTATATCTGACAATCTCTTATTCAATAAGATTTGTCAGGAAAAGAAAGCTATTTGTGCAAGATGCCTTATTTTATTCTTGCAAGTCATGAACTATAAATAGAATGATGACAACAAATGTTTCCGGAATTAGGTATTCATATGTGTTTGGGTTAAATAAGTAATTTCACTTCAAAGGACAAGTCATCCGCTTTCATTAATCATCTTTAAATTTTAGCCCTACATTTCACCATCCATGCTGTAAGCATTTGTTGCATCTGCTTGAAATGTCTCTGCTACCCTTAACATCTTTTTTTCTTACCATCATGATTTTTGCATAGAATACTACATATGACTTGCCTGTACTCTCTCCATCCTGCCATGTATCCTGTACAACATTTCCAGCTTCTTATTCCCAAAGCACAAGTTTGGCAAGCCTCTACCCTATAACCACACTTTTTAAAAAAGTCTTTCAATCTACAGCATTTTTCCCTCAATACCCCATTACACAAGCTCTTCAGTTCAACCTAACTGGTCTTCTACCCAGTCATTCATAAGCATGCATTATGATTCGTGCCACTGTCAATCCTCAGACTTGTAATACTTTTTCTCCTCATTCTATTCTTTTCTAATAAAAGTTTTTGAGGATTGGAAGAAAGTTTATTTTGATGTTTTTCCTCAGTTATGCTGATTTGGGATTAATACTCCTAAGAAATGATGACTGATATCCAGCAAAACAATCAAGGATACTGCACGGAGGAGGGCAGTACTAGTCGTAGCTTCCATTTCTGAGATTGGTTAGCCTATTGTTTGAGTACATAACATCCAGCATAGTGATCCTGGTCAGGGCAAACCTGACAGCTTAAAACAAATCAACTTGTTGAGAGAGTGTAAGTGTCTTACTTCACTAGATAAAAAAGAGCATACATAGATAGTGCCTTCTATTTATGTGGCTGTCTGTACCTTATGGTGAAGGTCATCATGTTATGTGTGTTTTCCATTTGTGTGTATGGTAACTTTCCTCTCAATAAATGCTGTTCTTCAATCTGATACACAGGTGCTGTCTAGTCTTTCTCCTGCTAAGAAACAATATATTACAATTTTCTTCATAGTTCACAAACTTCTGATTTCCATTCTTACACCTTGCTCCATAAATCAGTCTCCTTATTCCTTAATCTGTCTGGCTACTAGATGAGACAAGTTTAAAAATGAAATTGTTTTGAAGAGAAGTCTTTACAGCTAGCTGCCTCTGGACATTAATCCATAAATTAATATAACAATAAAGAGGTTAAGTGATCAACCTAAGTCTCTCAGCTGTGGGTACACTTAGTTGCTTTTTTTTTTTAAGAGAACTTGGGTATCTTATTCTGGGAGGGAAGCCAGGTATCATGGCTAAATGACTGTAGTTCCTGTTGTTAAATCACAGGAGTTATCTTGTTGCTGAGCACACATTTTATGGTTATTAACTTTAGCTCTCATAAAGAGATGATACCCAGGGAGACATATGCTGGGGAGGAATAGATGTAGTCATCTATTTCCCATCAGCACATTTCCTCTAAGAAGATGTTTCCTGCTTGGAATTTAATGACCAGCTATGCTGGTGTTCAAAAAGATATTATTTCTTCTCTTTCAACATCTCTCATTCATTCATTCATTCATTCATTCAATACTATTGTGACTCTGTGAGACAGACACTGTGCTAAACTCCAGAAATATAGCATTCGACAGACAGACAAAATCTTCTGTCAAAGGCCATATATTCTTAATTGGAACACTATTTATTCACAAAAAAAGGTGACATATACAATTATAGGAAAGTAAAGGGAATACTGGGAGCACCTAGGAGGAAACCTTAATCTGAATCTGGGGGAAGGCAGGACATCAAAGAGGGCTTCCTGGAAGAAGTAACACCTTAGTTAAGTTCTGAAACCTAAAATGTGATAATCTGAGTGAATTGAGAATCTGAGGGTGTGGGCATATGGAGAAAGAGGAAGGACAAAGGTTCAGGGCCAAGAAAGAGCATGTCATTCAAGGAGTGAAAAGTTTTCATTGTGAGTAGAATGTGGGGTGGATGGGAAGACTGTGGGCAGAGATTGCAACAGACCCCACATAATGAAGAATTTTGAGGCTATTTTAAGGAGTGTGAACCTTATCTTGAGGACAAGAATGAGGTATTGAAGGTCCTTAAACTTGGTCTGACATGATCATATTTGCATTTCAGAAAGATTTTGCTCTTTATTCTTTTTTTCTTTCCTAACATAGGCAAGATATGTGATATGGAATATATCAAGATAGACTGAATTTTTTAATTTGATTATGCTGTGGAAAAGTTTGGAAACAGCACAATAAGCTCTAATGAAAGGTACAAAAATCACAAATCATGAATTGGGCACATGGCATCTAAGGCACAGTAAATATGACAGTGGCCTCCTAATAACTTTGTTCAGAAAACATTGCTGATTTATTTCCCTTCACAATGATATCATGTACATCATATCTGTGAGATTTGTTGTTGGATTAAGCAAGGAAAGGGGTCACTCTGCATCACCCTGATGAATTATATCTTTTGATTGCAAGTGACAGAAATCAAAGTCAATTTAGCTTAGGTATAAAAGGGAATTTATCATTCCATCTGTTGGAAAGGCTGGAGTGATCGGAAGCAGATTCAATTTATCTCTCTGCTTGTTGGCTTTATTTTCTCAAGCATTGTTATCCACGGGGAAGTAGGGATAACTTCTGGCTTCTCTGGTATGTTAGATTAAATTATTTAGAAGCAGACCTTGAAAGGAATTTATTAGGAAGTGTTTCTGGGAAAATCTGGTGAGGGAGTAGAGATGGGGCCAGAGAAGGAAAGGCAGACAAACTAAGGTGCACAGGTGTGAAATCAAGTGAATCCCCTTGGCTCAATTCCCCAGGAGGACTCCAAAATGGAGATTTCCCCTCAGCCTTGTCCTGATAACCAAATATTAGTCATTAGTTAAGAGCTGCTTCCAGGGAATCATAAATTTCTAAGATCTTTCAGCTAAATATGTGCACGTACAAAGTGAATCTGACATCCTGAGGGCAATCCTCCAACCAAGACATGCAGGTGTATGAAAATGGTAAAGAGATTTATAAGGAAGTGGGTGAGGTATGAACACCATCTACTACATCTTCTCTTCCTTCCTACCACTCTTTCTTACCCTTACCTATCTCTCTCAACAAAGCAATTCTAGACTCAAGTCTGATTGTCAAGCCTTAGGTTACACTCGCCCTGTAAGTGTATATCATTTTATATCACTATGACACAAAGTAATGATAAAATATTTTGTCTGATCAAGTTTAGGTCATGTGTCTTTATGAAAACCAGAGTAAGAGTGTACCTTAGTAGAAACACAGGGAAAGAAATGCTAGGCAAACAGATACCATAGATATTTACTAAGCTTCCCATCCCACAAGTCTTATATGTTATTCTAAAACACTATAGAACTAGCTCCCTGAAGGCAAATTGCCAGGAAGACTAAGTCTGAAGTAGTGCTGTACTAGTTTGGGCCCTTTGTTGCACCAAAAAAAAAAGTCTATAATTAGATCTGGTTAACTTAGGTAGAGAAAGCATTCATAGCTCACAGAAATCTAGGAAGCATGGAGGATTAGGATTGGCAGGAATTGAGAGAGATCTTAACAGCCAATTTGCTGAAACAAGAATGATCAGATGGTGCAGTCACCACCACATACCTATGTACCTACCATCACCAATGACAGAACCTCCATTGCAGGGCACTTGCTAACATGCCAGGGCCCCCACAGCACCTGGACACTTGTCTTCATGCCACCAGATATTCTCCTTCTCTGTAGCTCTAACTGACCTATGTTCACAATAAATATATCTTGAATATATTTTATTTACATTCTCCTATGAGTTGGACAGAGGGACATGTGATCTAGAAGACAGCACTAAATCTGTCTACCAGTTCACAATCTGGCGTTCTCAAATTGAGAAAAACATTTTAGAACTCATGACAAATGCATTTTTTTAATTCTAGCTACCCTTTTTCCTGGCTTATAGAATTATGACTCTAGGGTCAGTGCAGTGTATGAAGAGGCAATGTATTATAATTGGTGCTTGATGTACCCAAATCATGTAGGAAACAATACATTATGTGTTTTCTTTCTTGGGCATTTGTTTTACAGACCAGTGAACCTATCTAGAGTTCTAAGCCAAAGAAAATGACAAGTGTATATTGCCTACCTTTAGTACACATCACAGAACTTTCTTGAAACACAAAACCCTTTGTCTTCCTGGCGGGAATGAGAAAAGCAGAGCTTGCTCAACTAGTCTGGCCCTTGGCACAATTGTGGAAGTGAAATTGGGTTCACGAGCCATAGTCTCCCCTTTGTGTATTATTCTCTCTCTTCTCTGGTGCCTTCATTGACTACTTTTCTTTTGACTGCCTCTTAAATGTAAGACTTCCTACGATTTTCTTCTTGGATCCCCTTAATTCTACTCTGCCCATGTCATCACATCCCCAGTGATGCTTTCACTAACATTTTCAGCCATTCAACTCACAAATCTCTATGCCCAGACCTGGGCTTCTATATTTCCACCTCATGTCACAGCACTGCTATTCACCTATTTTCCCAGGCCAGAGACCTGCATGTCATCTTTGATAGCATCAGCCCTCTTACCAAATTCTTGAACAGTCTGAAATTGAAGGGGCATACACCTAAAATGGTTTTAGGTTTTTTTCAGAATCTCTGCCTTCAGTGGTGCTAAATTAAATCTCCTTTTCTTCCCCTGAAGACCACCTTGGGAAGGTTCTGTACCTCTTGGTTGTTTGTAAACCATAGTACTGTACAATTTAAAACTCCACATCTGAAATACTGTCTGTTGGTTTTCACTCTTCCTCTGACACTGTTCTTAGAAGCACATGTGAATTCTTCAGAGTTCGGTTGCCTGATATGAGAGCTATGGCTTAGCTTAGTCTTTTGTTTGTTTCTTTCTTGAAATAATTAATTGACAAATAAAAATTGTACATATTCAAAGTGTGCAACATGACGATTTGATATATGTAAACCCTGTGTGAGTGTTAATTACCATAGTCAAATTAACACATCTATCACTAACCATAGTTACCATTGTTTGTGTTTTTTTTCGGAGGGAGGGTGAAGACACTTAAAATCTGCCTTCTTAACAAATTTCAAGTAAACAATAGAGTATTATTAACTATGGTCACCATGTTATATATTAGATCCTCAGAACTTACTGTATTTATAACTGCAAATTTGTAGCCTTTGACCAAAAACTCATTTTCTCTTCCCCTCAAATCCTTGTCAACCACTCTGCTTCTATAAGTCTGAGTTTTAAATTCCACATACAAGTGAGATCATACAGTTTTTGTCTTTCTGTGTCTGACTTATTTTGCCCAGTCTTTCTTTTGGCCCCTACCTCTTATGCTTCATCCCAGCCTTTAATTTCCTGTGCCTGCACAGTCTCTTGCTGCTTGTTCAGGTGACACTGGAGGTAAGAAGACTTGTTGGAAAGTTACTATAATAGTCCAGAAAAAGAGAGGACCTGAACTCATGAACAATAGGGGACATAATAATGGCAAAAGTAACAGTAATAGCTATTACTTTGGCCTCTCTACTGTATGCCAGGCACTTTATTACATCCCTTCTTCTTCCCATAGTAGTTCTGCAAAGTAGAGGTCATTTTCCACTTTTCAAAGGTGAAACTCAAGGAGGTTATGTGTTTTTCTAAGGATCTTATATTTAATAGGTGGCAAAATTAAAATTAAAATTTATTTCTAAAATTTTTCCTTCTTTCCGTTCCTACATTTCATTACAATACAGATTCCTGGGGGCAATACTTAATCCTATACTTAAGTCAGGATCTTTAGAGAAAGGTCCTGAAAATGTATATTTTTAACAAATGTTTTATGTGATTCTTTTGATCAGGTCAACTTGGGAAAATTAGCCTCAAATTAATATTGAAACTCAGCCTAAGCCTGCAGAACCTGGCCCCGACTATGTCTCCAGAACCTTTCCTTCCAGTTCCTAACACCAGTGGAATGTTCCAGCAATTCCAGTCCTCTGACTCTTCCCTGGAAACACTATGCATTTCAATGCCTCCAGCTCTTGGATGTACTGGTCCCTCTTTGGTGAATACTTTCTTTGGCACTCCACCTTTAAGGTCCTGTTCCATCATAGTAGTCCCCATGAAGCCTCTGGCCAATGTTGGGCTTCTTTTCCTAACTATTCTAGCAGAGTTGCTCACTCCCTCCTCTCTGCTTCTCCCATATCCATACCCACATCACCTATTACACTTGCACATTGTATTATAATGTATTCATTTAAATATTTGCTTCTCCCAATAGGTTGCAATAGAATCTTAGACTCCAAAGAGCCTACTACAGTTAGTGCAGTTTTTAAGAAATGTGCCAGACTTTTGCCTTCTCTACTGCTGTTGGTGGGGATAGTCTGCTGCTGTCATTTTGCTTTTGTTTATATTTATCTCTGCATTTATGCGTATATCTTTTCATATAACTTCTAAGCACGTAGGCAGGAAACAGAAATTTGAACAAAAAGAGGTAAAGGTGGAAAAGAATGTAAATAGGTATTTAGAAAGAAAATACCAAAGAAAATATCCTTGTTTTTCATGACTGGTTTCAGTTTTCTTCAGTTTTCTGAAATAGGTGAGGTTACCTGCTGAGATATAATAGAAGGAGATTGGAGGAGGGGATAAAGAAGAGTGGTAAAGAACTGACATAGATGTTTACGAAAATTAGAGAAAAAAGCTATCCCAAACTAGGTGGAGAACATAGATTTTTCCTGAGATGGTGACATTTTCTTCAGAAGTTCTTGGAATTCCAGGTGTAGGAATGGAGAAGACGGGTACAAGGACTGACCCCAGAGTTGGTGTCTGCTGAGTGGGTGTGAGGAGAGGGGGGTGATGCTTGGGAAATGATGATGTTGATGGGAGGCGTGTTCAGGTGAGCCTGCAGATAGAGATGGAATAAGGACAACAGCACATGGCTAGGGGAAAGTGAAAGCACCAGTGAGCATTTCTGAGTTACTGAAAGTATGGGGAGCTTTAAAAGAGAGGACATTTGTGTCATGTTCCTAGCGCCGCTTTAGCAAATTACTACAAACTTAGTGGGTTAAAACAACAGAAATTTATTCTCTTACAGTTTGGGAGACTAGAAGTTTGAAGAGTTTACGGGGCTAAAATCAAGGTGTCTCCATGGCTAGTTCCTTCTGGGGGATCCAGGGAGAATCTGTCTTTTATCTTCTAACTTCTGGTGTCTACATCGCTCCAATGTGCTTCCATCATCACATTGCTGTTTCCTCTTCTGCAGTAGTAGCTATCTTATAAGGATGCCTGTCATTATGTTACTGGTCCCACCTGGATAATCCACGATGACTTCCCTATCTCAACATCCTTAACTTAATTATATCTTCAACTTTTTTTTTTTTTTTTTTTTTTTGCTGTATAAGGTAATATAGGTTCCAGGGTTTAGGATGTGAACATTTTGGGGGACGGGGGTTCTTTATTCAACCTACCACAACATTGTATGCCGATTGTGGGTTATTTTTGTTAGACTTTCAATAGTGGAGCGGTTCCCAGTGAAAACAAGGTCCAAAGTGTAGTCATGAGTGGGAGTGAATGAAGGTCATTGAGTCAATCAAGAAAGCAAATAACTAGAGTATCAGATGAGCCATTTTTTAGGACACTGAAGCCACCAGGATATGGAGCATGCTTGGGATGCATTGAGACAGTGGCTAGTAACTTGCCCCAGGTCACACAGTTTGTGGGTGGGGGGAGGTAGAACTGATTACCTTTATTATTTTTATCAAATATTCTACTCTAATTTCTGGGATATCTGTAAAAGAAAAGAAGACAAAGAGAAGAAGGAAGTCTATTTGCTGTCTGTGCCAGAGCAAGCTTGATTATATTCTCCATTTGTATCCCTTCCACCCACTTTCCCACCTCCAGATCTATTCTCAGTCCTTCTCTGCCCTCTCAGTGCCCAGCAGGCCAATCTCTACCACTTAGATCTCCTAGAGTCTCCTGTCCTCTGGCTTCTAATTGGGCTTACTCATGGGAGGCCTCCTGCAGGAGTCAGAAGGGATAAGTATTGGTGTAGTTACGTACCTACCCCCTTCTCCAGCCCTGACTACTGTGGTCTGCCGGAGACTAAGTATTTCTACATACAAAACTCCCTTGTGGTAAAGCCGCTTTCACAAATCCAGGTGTTTCTGGCCTCTGGTAACTCTTTTCCCTTGTTAGCTTTATCAGGCCCAGCTTCCTGCTCATTGCTTGATTCTTGGTGTTTCACCATCCATTGTTAGTTTCCTTGACCCTGTCAATCCCTCTATAAATGATCTTATTTACACTGTCTTCCGTTAAGCCTTCTGAATGTTTGATCTATTCTCTGCTGAGATTCTGACTAGTATAGTGTGGTATAATTCTAGCCCTTCACAATATTTTCCTTTACAAATTATCATTATAATTTGGTATTGCTTCAGAAGTCCCTTAGGTCTCCATTCTTTTGGTTAGGAAGTTAATTTAAAAAAGAAATCTCAATTTGTTTATCACTCTTGATAATGTTTTTTGTTGCTTGTATAATTTCAGCTTGTCTTCAATTACAACTAACAGAAAACATTACCAAGAGTGAATAAGCAAACTGTAGTTTATTTTTAATGACGTAATAAGGACAAGTTATACCGTTAGGTGCTGACATTGGTTCATTGCCTCTATATTATCAAGGCTTCGGCTATGACTGCTATGATTCTTTGGTTTTCCTTCATGGATACAAAATGGCTACTAGAACTCCAGGCTTCATATCTGTATTCCAGACAGGAAACAAAGGAAAATATGGCACCACCCACATTTATCCTATTATGTTTTCAGAAAAGCAATTGCTTTCCCAGAAGTATTCTCTCTTCAAAAGACATCTACTTGTGCCATATGTATCAGAACTGGCATGAACAGCCACCACTAGATGCAAGAGACTGGGAAAGAATCAAATTTAACTTTTCCTATAAAGGATATGGGCAAGGGAAAAGAAGTTTGGAAACAGATGTTAATTAAGCAGGGATGTCATCGACACTATCTTTCCACATAACCTTAGCAAAGCATTTAAGAGCATGCATTCTTTTTTTTTTTTTTTTGAGACGGAGTCTCGCTCTGTCGCCCAGGCTGGAGTGCAGTGGCGCGATCTCGGCTCACTGCAAGCTCCGCGTCCCGGGTTCAAGCCATTCTCCTGCCTCAGCCTCCCAAGTAGCTAGGACTACAGGCGCCCTCCACCATGCCTGGCTAATATTTTGCATTTTTAGTAGAGACGGGGTTTCACGGTGTTAGCCAGGATGGTCTTAAAGGAGCATGCATTCTAAAGTCAGAGTGCTGAGTTCCAACCCTAGGTCTACAATATTCTATCTGTGTGAATTTGGGAAATTACTTACCCTCTCAACGCTTCAGTTTCCTCAACTGCAAATGGAGATAACAAAGTTATTTTTCTATAAGGGCTACTATTATGACCAAATGAGTTAATATGTGCAGCATTTAGAACAGTGCTTGGCACCTGGCGAGCACTACATAAGTTTTTATATAATTTTAGCATTGTTCCTACCAAAACACACAAAGAGGAGGCCGCAAGAAATAGAAAAAGTGGGGGCCAATAAGAAATAGCATGAACAAAGTTTAGGCAAATTGTGAAGTTGAAAATATTCTCTCCTTTTCTCTTCTCTTTCCCTTCCATTCCTAATCATGACCTTCCAAGGCTTACACAACCACCCAGATTTCTATCCCTGTCTTGCCATGCAGAACTTGCTGCCAAGCTTACTGCATGCATTTGCATTGCACCCAACAGTCAGTCCATAGATATTTTTAGGTTATTACTTTGTTTCAGGGGCTGGGAAAGAATCATGAGTAAAACAGCTGTGGCTCTGTCATGGTGTTTCTTACAGTGCAGTTGGAAAGATGATATTAAAACATAATTAGATAGAGAATTAATTGGTGTTTGATATAGGCAAAACCAGAGATTTTAAGTACCCTTTGAGAGCATCCTAATCTTAGGAGCCAGAGAACCCTTGCCTGAGGAAATGATAATTATACTAAGACCCAAAGGTGAGGGAATTAGCCAGGTAGAGAGGTGGGGTTGGGACAGAGGAGTAGAGAGTTTCAGTAGAGGAGAAGGTGTAAAAACCTAGAGGTTAGTGTGTGTGAGAAGCTATGGACCTATCTCTCCCTCTTCTACTTCATCAAGAATGTCTTTCCAGTCTGTCTCACTCCCTCTGAACTGCTACTAGTTAACAGTTGATTGTGAGTTATTTGGTGAAACTCTAACTGCTCAGGACACTTATGAACCTCAGAATTTTCTCTTCCCAGTTTCTTGGAAGAAAAAAAAGACACTGATGAGCTATCCACACTAAAGTGTTAAAGATTTCTAAGTCTTGATATACTCGGCTTTCAGTCTATTGATATTTGAACAAGAAACTTCTAGGTACATCAATGTTTGCTTCATAAAGAGAGACTTTGATAAGTGGGAATTTCAGCTTTTTAGGAATTTATTTTGTTGTAGGGAGTTGGTGGGGATGAGACCAGATTATTTATGTGATGCAATAAAAACCACATTGTCTGAAGGTAAACTTGTAATTATCTCAAGTATGTTGGCACTAATAATGACATGAAAAACTTGATGATTTAGTGTTAATTGGAATATAATCATTCATTATTCATTAATACAATTAAAGATTTATAATATTTCCTTTTTATGAGAATCAAAACTTTGAAATACTATTTAGAAAATAAGAATGGAAATGGGTTTTAATTTTCAGGACTAGACAACAGTGAATACAAAAACATAATTTTTATTCTTTTTCTCATTGCTGAGCTGTGCCTTAACCTATAGTCAGCTCTTTCAGCAAAGCAATTGCTTTCTGAGTTGTGTTGTCCCTTCTTTACTCCAGAGCTCCCATGTGGCTGGCAAGTGTAGGGAATGCTGATATCTGTGACTTCTATTTCTTTCTGAGGGAGAAAGATAAATTTTAAATTTGTAATGTTACATCTAATCGTAAATAAGCAGAGGATGCAAAAGCCACATTTATGAGGATCTAAGGATTAAGGGGAATCTTGAGTGTTGTAAATAGTGCAGATTCTTCAAGATGACTTTATTAAATTAACATAGAATGCAGAAGCACTTGTCAATATCACACAAGGTATCAGACTGGATTAATGAAAAAATAATTTGTTCTCCACTTCACATCAGCTTCGCAAATTTGAAACTCCTTCAAATGATTGTCTTCTTTGTGTTATTTACAGCTAAGCATTCATAGTTATTCTAGCTCCCCTCCAGGCTGATAACTCTGACTTCTCATTCATGAGTTATATCCAATTGTTTCTGCTGTACCACAGTTATCTGCCTTTCTCATGGTATATGTATACATTTATGTGTACCTTGACTTAGTCCAGAATAAATGACACACTTCAATATATTGGACACATTACATGCTAGATTTTATGATAACTTTTGTTTGCTCAGAGGCTGTTAAAAACTTTCAATATTTTCACTTGAAAAAGGTAAATATTCAGATTTTTAAAAAAGTTTTTGATTCTTCAAACTATATCACCTATTTAATAAGCTGGTATATCTGCTGCAGAGGTGTAAGTCTGGTTCAATTTCAAAAGTCTACAGCTATTACTAGGGAAACCACGGTCTCTTTTATCAATTAGCTGTTGGGGTAAAAGCTTCCTGAGAAACCTCTAATTGGTAACTCCTTGTCCTAGAAGGTCTGTCAGAGATGTGAATGTATATCCAATGGCCATTACCTCTCTTGTGGCAGTCGATGCTAGCTACATGCAACAGAAATTCATTTCTCCAAGTGCGAATAACAGAAAATGTTGAGACTTTCAAGCCCTTTTGGGAGTAACAGGTATTCCATAGATACGATTTAAATTGGTTTAATTTTAAAAGCAAATAGAGAAAAATTGCAAGGGGCATTTTAACTGCTAGTGACCGAAAGCTGCATAAAAACTTCAGCTTTCAAATATTAAATGATGATAGTCCAACATTTTATTAAAGCAGAATAAGAAAATTCAAAATTAAAACATTACTAAATCATAACTCAGTGTTTGTATTTAAAATCATTATAGTGTATGTGTCAATTAGTAGTAAGTACCACATAAATGGCAATACCCAAATTGTATACTATTATTTCCATCTCCTCATTATCCACATCAGAGAAAAGTGTTATTGATACTATTTGTTCATCTTTTACATAAAAAATGTATTGAGCTTCTAACATGGCCAGAAACTATCTGAGGCATTGTTGGTACAGAACATAGTCTCTGTCCTGAAGAATTTACTGAAGTCCAGTGGTATAATCAGCCAAAAAACTCAGAATTTACATAATCAGAAAAGAAAAGTTACTAAATAAACAAAGAGAAAAAACAGCAACCACAGCAATCATAACCAAAATAGCATTTAACCAAAACAACAAACACTGGAAAGAAGGTTAATATAATTTCAAAAGTTACTCAATAATATTTAAAATGTTGAGTTGACACCCAAAAAAAGAGACATGCAACAAAGAAAGTATGGCTCATATATAGAAAAAAAAATGTCAGTAGAAACTGTTCTTGAATAAGTCCAGATTTGGACTTACTAGAAAAAGACTTCAAATAATCTATTGTAAATATGCTCAAAGAACTAAAAGAAGCCATGTATTTTTAAAAAAGAAAAGTATGATATAAGAATATCTCACTAAATAGAGAATATCAATAAAGAGACAGAAATTATATATACAATACTACATATTATATATATATCTATAAAGTTTTAAACTACAGTAATTAAAAGAAAATACTCAGTAGAGAAGCTCAAAAACAGATTTAAGATAGCACCCTCCCCTCCAAAAAAAAGGAAACCGTAAAATTGAAGATAGATCAATTGAGATGGCCCAGTCTGGGGTACAGGGAAAAGATAATCAAGAATAATTAACAAAGACCTGTGCACACCATCAAGCTTACCAACATACATTCAAAGGGAGTTTCTGAAGAAGAAGGAGAGAGAAAGGGGTAGAAAGAATATTTGAAAAATTAATGGCTGAAATCTTCATCCAATTGGGTGAAAAACATTGATCCAGGAAGCTTAAAAATTCAAAGGTGAGAACCTTAATTAGATCTGTTTCTAGACATGTTATAATCAAACTATTGAAAGACAAAGAATCCTGAAAACAGCAGAGGGAAATATCACATACAAGGGATCCTCAATAAGATTAAAACTGATTTCCATCAGAAACCATAATGATCAGAGGACAGTGGGATGATATATTTAAACTGCTAAAGGAAAAAGACTATCACCCAAGAATTCTATATTCAAATATCCTTCAATAAATTAAAACATTATCAGAGAAATGAAAACTAAGATATGTTGTTGTTAGCAGACTTGTCCTACAAGAAATACTAAGGGAAGTCCTTTAGGCTGAAATAAAATGATAGTAGACATTAACTTGAATCCACATGAGGAAAGAAATAGTACTCATAAAGGAAACAATATGGTAGTGAAAAAGACAACTGTATAACACAATAATTATAAAACATGTTTAAAGGCATATTATATATAAAGATATAATTTGCATAACAATAACACAGAGAACAAAAACAAATGGATGCATATTGGACCAAAGTTTTCATATACTATTGCAATTAAGTTGGTACTAATCCAAATGATGTTGTTTTAAATTAAGATGCTAATTGCAGTCCCCAGGCAACCACTGAGAAAATAACACAAAAATATATAATAATTAAAGAAACAATGATAGAATTAAAATAGTACTGATATGGTTTGGCTGTGTCCTCAACCAAATCTCATCTTGAATTCCCACATGTTGTGTGAGGGACTTGGTGGGAGGTAGTTGAATCATGGAGGCAGGTCTTTCCCATGCTGTTCTCATAAAAGTGAGTAAGTCTCAAGAGATCTGATGGTTATTATAAGAGGGAGTTTTCCTGCACAAGTTCTCTTTGCTTGCTGCCATCCACGTAAGACATAACTTCCTCCTCCTTGCCTTCCACCATGATTCTGAGGCTTCCCCAGCCATGTGGAACATAAATCCAATTAAACCTCTTTCTTTTGTAAGTTGCCCAGTCTTGGGTATGTCTTTATCAGCAGCATAAAAACAGACTAATACAGAAAATTGCTACCAGTAGTGTGGGAAGCTGGTGAAAAGACACCTGAAAATGTGGAAGCAACTTTGGAACTGGGTAACAGGCAGAAGTTGGAACAGTTTGGAGGGTTCAGAAAAACGCAGGAAAATATGGGAAAGTTTGGAACTCCTTAGAAACTTATTGAATGGCTTTGACTAAAAGCCTGATAGCCATATGGACAATAAAGTCCAGGCTGAAGTGGTCTCAGATGAAGATGAGTGACTTGTTGGGAACTGGAGCAAAGGTGACCCTTGTTATGTTTTAGCAAAGAGACTGGCAGCATTTTGCCCCTGCCTTAGAGATTTGGGGAACTTTGAACTTGAGAGATGGTTTAGGGTATCTGATGGAAGAAATTTCTAAGCAGCAAAGCATTCTAAAGGTGACTTGGGTACTGTTAAAGGCATTCAGTTTTATAAGGGAAGCAGAGCATAAAAGTTCAGAAAATTTGCAGCCTGACAATGTAATAGAAAGGAAAATGCATTTTCTGAGGAGAAATTCAAGCTGCTTGCAGAAATTTGCATAAGTAATAAGGAGCCAAATGTTAATCACCAAGACAATGGGGAAATCCATTTTCTGAGGAGAAATTCAAGCTGCTTGCAGAAATTTGCATAAGTAATAAGGAGCCAAATGTTAATCCCCAAGACAATGGGAAAATGTATCCAGGGCATGTCAGAGGTTTTCACAGCAGCCCCTTCAAAGCACAGGCATGAGTGTGGTGACCTAAGAGAAAATGATTTCGTGCGCCCAAGGTCCCTGTGCTGTGTGCAGTCTAGGAACTTGGTGCCCTGGGTCCCAGCCACTCCAGCCATGATTAAAAGGGGGCAAGGTACAGCTTGGACTATTGCTTCAGAGGGTAGACACCCTTAGTTTTGGATGCTTACATGTGACATTGAGCCTGCAGGTGCACAGAAGTCAAGAATTGAGGTTTGGGAACCTAGATATCAGATGTATGGAAATGCCTTGATGCCCAGACAAAGTTTGCTGCTGGGGCACGGCCCTCATGGATCTCTGCTAGGACAGTGCAAAAGGGTAATGTGGGGTTGGAGCCCCCACACAGAGTCCCTACTGGGGCACTGCCTAATGGAGCTGTGAGAAGAGGACCACCATCCTCCAGACCCTAGAATGGTAGGTCCACTGACGGCTTGCACCATGCACCTAGAAAAGCCACAGACACTCAATGTCAGCCCATGAAAGCAGCCAGGAGTGGAGGTATACCCAGCAAAGCCACAGGGCAGAGCTGCCCAAGACCATGGGAACCCACCTCTTGCATCAGTGTGATCTGGATGTAAGGCATGGAGTCAAAGGAAATCATTTAGGAGCTTTAAGATTTGACTGCCCTGCTGGATTTTGGACTTGCATGGTACCTGTAGCCCCCTTTTTTTGGCCAATATCTCCCATTTGCAATAGCTGTATTTATCCAATGCCTGTACCCGCATTGTATCTAGGAAGTAACTAACTTGCTTTTGATTTTACAGGCTCATAGATGGAAGGGACTTGCCTTGTCTCAGATGAGACTTTGGACTGTGGACTTTTGAGTTAATTCTGAAATGAGTTAAGACTTTGGGGGACTGTTGGGAAGGCATGATTGGTTTTGAGAGGACATGAGATTTGAGAGGGGCCAGGGCCAAATGATATGGTTTGGCTCTGTGTCCCCACCCAAATCTCATCTTTAATTCCCATATGTTGTAGGAGGTACCTGGTGGGAGGTAATTGAATCATGGGGGCAGGTCTTTCTCATGCTGTTCTTGTGATAGTGAATAAGTCTCATGAGATCTGATGGTTATTAAAAGGGGGAGTTTTCCTGCACACCTCTCTTTGCTTGCTGCCATCCATGTAAGATGTGACTTGCTCCTCCTTGCCTTATGCCATGATTGTGAACCTTCCCCAGCCACGTATAACTGAAAGCCCAATTAAACCTCTTTCTTTTGTAAATTGCCCAGTCTTGAGTATGTCTTTATCAGCAGTGTGAAAACGGACTAATACAGGTAAAGTGGAAAATATCTATTTAACACAAAAGAAGGGCAGAACAGAAGATTAGAAGAACAAGAAAGGTATAAGATATATAGAAAAAAAGTAAAATGGCAGATATAAATCCTACCTTATCAGTAATTATATTAAATGTAAAGGAATTAAACACTCTAGTCAAAAGCAGAAGTTGGCAAAATGAATTAATAAAACATGGTCTTACTACATATTGTCTAGAAAAGACACATAATCAGACTCAACAAAAGCATAGAGCAATATCACTTTTGAAAGAGATGGAAATATATTAAAATATCAGCAAAACAAATTCTACAATATACAAAAATGTAATACCTTATCACTAGTAAAGATAGTTATATATTAGGGAAGTCACCAGTTCAAAACAATAGCAATTATTGGACAAAAACTCATACAATTATATCAGTATATAAAGAATAAATTACAAAATTCAACAGTAGTTCATGATTTTTAAAACACAACTGGCAAAAGAAGAAAACTTGATTACAAAGTTAAAAGATTTCTACCAAAAAAACCTGCATCATATCTTTATTTATTCAGATTATAAATATTTATTTTATATCCACATTTATCAGATACTTGTCTTAAGCATTGTGATATAGCAATAAAAAGAATCAAGACCTTGTTGTCATGGAGCTTGCAGTCTACTGGTTAAACATTTTTTAATATTTGTTACTATTTAGAAAAATTCTCATTGAAGTCAAAAACAAGGATGCCTACTCCTGCTCTTCGACCAATTAGAAAACATACGAGAAAAAATATCCTACTAAAAAGTGTCCAAAATTATGAATTTCATTGGAATTGATCAATATAACAATTGCATGAATTTTGTGGGGGCAATTAAAAAATATTATTAAAGGTCATATAAAAATATGAATAAATGGAGATTTATGCCATGTATATGGAAGACTCAATATCATAAAAAAGGCAATTATTTTTCATGGAACATGAGAAGAGAATTCTAAAATTAATATGGACGACTGAATGAGTAAGAAAAGTCAAGACTCATTTGAGTGAGGGCTGGGCTGCTAGATACCAAGATTTATTACAATGTTATAAAAGTTAAAATAGTTATATATTAGTATAGGAATAGAGATATGTAATGGAGTAGAGAATCCCATAATACGTACATAAATATATAAAGATTTGACAGAAATGATGTTATAAAACAGTAAAAAAAAATGGTGCTGGTGAAAAAAAAATAACTAGCTTGTCTCAGTTGAACAAAATAAGAAAGTAAGAAAATGGTGTTGGAATTAATGGATTTCCATTAAAACAGTGAAATTGGCCCTAATTTCACCCAAAACACAAAAATTAACATCAGAGAAATAAAAAACTTAACTACAAAAAAATTATTAGTAGAAAATGTGGGAGAATATATGCTACTATATGGTTGGAAAGGTATTTTTAAATAAGGCACAAAAGCACAGGCCATGTAAGAAAGATTGATAAATATGTCAAAATTAAAATGTAAAAATCTGTATTTCAAAAGATAAGATAAAGGTAAAAAAACAGTTACAGGTCTGGGAGTAGATATTTGCAATATATATATAACAAATAATTATTACCCAGAATGTGTAATAAACTGCAAATCAATTTTTTAAAAGAGACACTTATGTTTACCAAACAATATTACTTTTTTCCCCTTCACCCAGGGTTTCTCTAAACACCTGAATTAGAAGAAATCATTCTTAGACTCTTAAATTCAGGTTTTTAAACATGTTTCTTAAACATCAGTCATTGACTGTTTATCCTACTGCTTGGAATATGGAAACTGTGTATCTTTTTATTATGTGCAAATGCAAGAAAAATGCTTATTTTAATTAAGGTAGATCTAGATCCTTCCTGTCAGAAGATTTATCGGGTACATAAATATATCTTACATATGTTGTAGTTAACTTAATTGTCTGCATCTTGGTACTGTTATCCTCCTGCCACTGGGTTTAATTACATTGCATTATGACTTGTAATTAAACAGAACAAAAAATCATTACATGATTAGTTGGTTTTATAAGGCCTTGAAACCTTTTGCTAAGAGCTCTTGTTTGTATTACAGCTATTTCCACTATGATCAATGTTCATAAAATTATTTCTAATCTGTGAATTGTCAGGTATACAGTTGCAAATTGCTTGAAATTTGAGCTCAAAATCCACTAATGTGCTTTGATCTGGTTGGGCAAAAACCTTCTATTCATGCAAATGAACACCATTTTGTATCAATCTTATTTTAAAATTTGTTCTGTTCCAAATGGGAGTACTGAAAGTCTTAAAGTAACAACTGATAAACTCATTTTGACTAAATAGTCTTTATTATACAATTAACATAAAAAGAAGTTGCCATTTAGAGGCAGCTGAGTTGTGTCTTTCAATGACTCTTGATACTGCCAGGGCATGCATCTTGTACACCTTTCTATGATGCCATGAGCAGTGGCATGAGGGTGAAAATAGATTGAAAGGTGCTTAAGCTATACCTGTGACCATAATCCAACATTTATATAATTGTGAAGTACTGTACATATCTTTCGGTAAAACCACCACGCAGTTGTATGCCTAGACTTCTTGCACTGACATTTTCTTCCTCCCTCCAAATTTTTTTTTTTTTTTTTTTTGAGACAGAGTCTTGCTCTGTCGCCCAGGCTGGGGTGTAGTGGCCTGATCTCGGCTCACGGCAAGCTCCCGCCTCCCGGGTTCGTGCCATTCTCCTGCCTCAGCCTCCCGAGTAGCTGGGTCTACAGGCGCCCACCACCGCGCCCGGCTAATTTTTTGTATTTTTGGTAGAGACGGGGTTTCACCGTGTTAGCCAGGATGATCTCGATCTCCTGACCTCGTGATCCGCCCTCCTCGGCCTCCCAAAGTGCTGGGATTACAGGCGTGAGCCACCGCGCCCGGCCCCTCCCTCCAACTTGACGGTCACACTTTCAAGCTATCCTACAATCAAACGCTGCTTTTTTCAGAGAATGTAGAACCAATATATTGAGATACACTACTTAATCCCAGGAACTATTTTACATATGCTGTGTCATTTAAATCTCACAACAACCTTGTAGGTAGGCTATTACAGTCTTACAGACAAACAAACTGACTCAGAATCTGATAAATTTTTTGGCTTAATAGAAGCTGGCTAGAAAGTGACACATCTGCTATTTAAATCTAGTTGTTTCTAATTCCAAAGCTAGTAACCATTTTTTTCCCTTCTGTGTTGACTTTTACGAGGTTGTTTGCTGTTGAAATTAAGTGACAAACTCATATCTATTACATGAACACTGAGGTTAATTGCAGGGTGGCTTCATCCAGCCAGGGTAACTCCATATGTCTATAGAACCCCCTTCAAGGAATGGTGAGGAAGAAACTTTTAAGATCCCCCCTTCATCTAGGAGTTGAGAAGGGTAGATAAGATTCTTGGATACTAGGTATTTAAGAACTTTCTCAGATGAAAGGAAGCTGAGAACAAAGTAAGAAAGAATACCTTTTAGGATTCACAAAATTATGAGAAGTCAGCCGCATACGGTAGGTCAGCTTTTTAATGTATTTGCTCCTTTTCTTATTCATTGACCTGTGAAAGGAAAATATCTTGGACCTCCAAAATCACTAAGGAAAACTCGAGCTGGATATTGCTTAGGGCAAACCTGCCTCCCATTCTATTCAAAGTCACAGAGCATTACAAGAAGCGTATTATTATTATGCTTAAATTAGAATATTAAAAGAGGAGCCCCAAAATATCTCTTTAGGTTCATCCCACCTAATTCACTTTGCCTTTAGGCAGGCTTTGCCATGAATTTTCTACTCACAAGATAAATTTCTAATGATTGTGCTCCCCATCCTGTAAAACAAAATATTTTTCTTTTAAACTTTTGTTTTGAAATAATTTTAGATTTACAGAAGAGTTGCAAAAGTAGTACAGAGTTTTTACATACCCTTCATCCAGTGTCCCCAAATGTTAACATTTTATATAAGCATGGTATATTTATCAAAACTAAGAAATTAACATCAGTACATTCCTATCAACTAAGCTTCGGACTTTGTTAAAATTTTGTCTGTTTTTCTACTCGTGTTCTTTTTCTGTTTCAGTATCCAATTGAGAACACCACATACACCTAGTCATCATGTCTCTTCAGTCAGAGGACACAGCATTTAATGTTGAATGGTAATAATGGCAAAGATGTGGAAGACTCATACAAGGTTGTTGCGGGTGGAAGAGAAAGCATATTAATCAACTTCTTAAAATTTCATAGCTAAAAAAGAATTTCTGAGTCTTTCCAAGAGGAAACAATGTTGGAAGAACCCCAGGAGTCT
The DNA here is from genome assembly GCF_000001405.40 of Homo sapiens. NCBI lineage: Eukaryota > Metazoa > Chordata > Mammalia > Primates > Hominidae > Homo > Homo sapiens. Next base: position 70,839,024 of record NC_000001.11, read on the forward strand.
GTCTTCCCAATTGCCCTGTTTTCTACTTCTCCTAAGGATGAGATGAGGTGAGTATCATTGTGGTGCAAGACAGCAGACTCTTGCTCCCTCTCCAACATGTCCTAAAGCAGTGCCTGCTTTCCTCTGCTTACTCCTCTGTGCAGTAAACTCACTAGAGAAGAGCATTTTTAGCTCTGCAAAGGGAAGCCCACAGTCCTCCAGCGGCTCTCCCTGTAAGTAGAAGGATGAGTCAGTTCATATTAGGTAGTACAGAGGTTTAGGGTGAAAAGCTAATATTTTGAGACTCACAATTCCACATATTTTTCGTATTTATTTTCATACTAGTTAAAATGTAAAAAGATCAAGGGGTATAATTAGCACCTGCAGAACCTTTAGCAGAGATTGCCATCTAGGCTATGGTTTGCTTGCGTTTTGGTATAATGTTATAAAAGGTAACCTAAATTGTTGAAAACTGTTTTCTTTTAAAGACATAATTAAGAAACGTTTCTGTAAAATAAAGCACTAATATATTATCAGAATTCTTTATGCAACAATTTAGTAACCATATTATATATACATGTGCATGTATGCACATGTATATACATGCATATTCTGACTAATAAACTTTTATATGTATTTATGTGTCTATGTACATACACATAGATAAACTTATGTGTGTATATATGTACTATGTATGCATATACACATGCATATACATATATGTACATATATACACATACACATAGATGCTTATATACAAATATACACACATATGCAAATATATACATATATATTTTTTATCCCATGAGTCATATATATTGTGTAGGGTAAGTTGTACTATGATAACCAACTGAAAATCTCAGCAGCTTAACACAATATAACCTTATTTTCTACTCAAATTGTGTAACTATTTTTGGTTGACATGGGACTCAACTCTAGAGTCACTCAGAAACCCAGGCCAACAGGGGCTTTACTATGTGGTAGCTGCAACATTTAGAACATGAAACTGTCTCGATCACCAAAAGAAAGCCTGGATAATTGAACACACGATATCCACAATCACAGCCACACATATTAAAAGTAATGGAAAAAAACCACAATTACTTTTGCACCAACCTAATAATTTTCATTTACAATTTATTGGCTAGATCTAGTCACAATACTTTATTCAGTTTCATGGAAGACAATAATCACATCCTCTAGGTATACAGAAGAGGAGAATAAAATATTGGTAAAAAATATGTATAGCTATTTGGGAAAAAACTACCTATTTGAAATGAAACTATTTTCCTTTGTGCATAAGTCAGGGTAAGTAACACCAGTAGCTATAACAAACAACTTTTAAATTCCAGTGACTTGAAAAATGCTTGCTATGTTAATTATGTTTATTATGTTTGCTCATTTGATGACATAATGCAGTTGGCAGGAGATCCCTGCTCTAAACAGTCAGATTGGGACTTCAAAGCCTAACATTTTATGACATAATAAACACTGGAAAATGACAACAATAAAGAAGTGACAGTATTTTTCCTGTAGATTCAGCAAGTAAGATGATTCAACTACTTTGTCCTTTAACAAATTAAGTGAGCAGCACTCTGAAGGAGATTGCTCAGCCACTAATCCCCTCAGTGCTGAAGTACTGTGATTTTTTTTTTTTTTTTTTTTTTTTGGGTAGAAAATAGCAGACTGATTCATAAACAGTTTTCTGGAAGAATAACGTAGTCATTCTGGCTTATCTAAGTTCTGGCAAGACCTGTTATAAAAAGAATACTTTAGAGGAGTTTTGTAAGAAAAATTTATTTCCTTAGCTTTCCTTCCTTATCTTCTATCTCTCTTGCCTTGTACTTAGTGCTAAACCTTTCAGCTTGTCGAACACATTTGCTGCCGACTGTAGCTGAGGAATTCTCATACCTCTTGTGTCCTTAATATATAATGTCCAATTCCTCAGCATGAACAGCTTGAAGTTTCGGGCTATTTGTCCTCCCTTTTCTTAAATAAACAAAGAAAAGAAAACCTAACTCAGTAGTTTTAAAACTTGTAAATAACTTGTAGATTGAAAAAAACCAAGATCCACGAAACTTCAACCAGAATTTATTTGAAATTATGTGGGACCATTTAAATATTCCACAGAACTAAGAAAAATATGTACAAATTTCTTTCGAAGTTACATTATCCTCAAGGTAAGAGTTGTTTGGAGAGATTCCTGGTCTCGTGTGAGAAATTCTTGGTATCCATTCTGGTCCAGCCATCAGTTATCTTTCTGACCTTGAGTGAGAATTGTCTACTAGATCATTCTCAGCACTTTCAGCTGTAATGGTTTGTAAGGCGTTGACTAAACTGGCTGCAGCAACCTCTATAGTGTCCTTAAGGCTCCTAAGTTTTCACTGTGTAACCAGAACCATGCATCTGAAATAGTTGACTAGCAATCTGGATCTGTATTTTTATTAACTCTACAGTTGGTTGAGTTTAATTGCTGTGCCAATGTTCAATGTTTAAAATCACCTGATGGCAGGCCCTTGGTTTGCCTCATTCTCAGTGCTATGTATTCACCTCTTTGTAGTTAATTGCAAGATAGAAAGTAGAATAACTGAATAGGAACAAAACCTGGGAACTCCATTTTATAGAGTATTTATACAAATAATCTATGTCTAGGCAGAAGAAAAGATATCCGGAAACATTAATCCTCTAGCTGAAGTAAATAGGGCATTATAATTACTATGATAACAAACAAAGGCAATGGCAGAATGGAATAACAACCATCTATCAATTCTGGGAACAAAAAGTGCAACACCTGACCAGTTCAAGCATTTGGTATCACATGACCTGATGTCTGACTATATTAGTTAAACCTAATAAGACAGATACACTTTAATGGCAAAGATGGTTTGTTCTGTTTTTCTGGTATATTCACCAGTATCAACTAATTATGGATTGAGAGCACATTATTCAACTTCTCCAAATCTATTTAAAGCCTCTGTAAAATTACTGGGTTTGCATTAGATGTCCTTAAAAGTTCCTTTTAGCACTAATCATCCAGTCCATTTCTCATTCTTTGATACTTATGTCATCAGAGTCTTGGGAGCCGACAGCTTTTCACGTCTTCCATTCAATACAGTATCTCTACATAGAACCAACAATCTTTGTTCATTCATGTTTTAACAGCATACTACTGGGATTATGATCTTATGTTTTGATTTCTTCTTCCTGACTTCTGCATGCATTTATGTAATTTTTTTAGCTGAATAATTTATAGTGGTAGATTCTGGATCAGCTTTCTTATTCCTTGACTATGGTTCCTAGTTCCAGTTTTATGTAAAAAGATTAGAATGAATCATGAGCAAGTTGGTGCTTTTGTTTGCCACTTGGGAGCTCTGACTGTAAAGTAAGATGTCTGGGTTTGGAGCACTTAAAGACAGTTGCACACATTAAAACATGTTTTTGATGGCATGAATTGTTTACCAGAATGCTTGATTTATTCTCCTCTCTTCACATGGTTTCAGAAAAGTGTTGCATATCTCCTTTACCCTGTGTGATCAAATAAGTGAATGACTGTGTTCTTGATGAGGTGGAATATAAACAGGTCCAGTGCTTTCCTGGGGTATCATTCTTAGGTGCAACTTGTGAAATCTTTAGCTGTCTTAATTCCAGGAGAAAAGACAAAGGCACATTTAAGTGATAAATGCGTTGTTATAAGGCAAGATCACATACTAGCATCACATAAAGCCTTTGTATGATGTCTGGTTGTTCAGGCATATATGACACATTGAGTACAGATGACTGAGCACAGCAATTGTGTGAAATCAGATTAATATGTCCCAAAGTATCCATTATAGAACTATCTCAGGAGAAAGACCATCATTTTAATGACTGGGAGTAGAGGTAAATAAAGGTCAAGTGAGAATGGAGCATATCTGAATTGCAGCTCTCTTGACAGAAATTTACTATGATTACCATAAACTTTCTATCTTGTTTTCATAACATTTACCCCTCCTTATTTTATGTCTTATTGCCACCACTCCTCCCAATAACACAACTATAAAGTAATTTTTCACTTTGGATTTGACTCTATACAAATCCTCTGAGCATTTTCATCTTGAGTGTTGAGAGGGTGTGTTTTCTTAAGGTTGTACTAGATAATGCCATCTTGCTACTATGTAGAGCAGAAACTTTCAAGAACAAAGAATAGCTTTTTAGGAAAGGCCTAATCAGTTGTGTTTCTTCAACTGGGTGATGTACATAGGATCACTCCATGAGATTAGAAGCCAGTCTCCTGCTCAGCAAAGCTCAAAATGACACGGGAGCAATGTAGTACTATCCACTGGTAAGGTACAACTGACCTTTCTATTGCTCTTGTGTTACAAAAATGAGGGACATTATTTTAATTTAAATGTCAACATTCAAACTTGAAATGACATAGTAAGCATAAATATTCACCACGATATACATCAGAGTCCTTGACTCAAGGGCAGTAGATAATATTTTCCACATTATCTTGACCTTCTGGGTATATAATATCAATCAAATATATTTAACAGAAAAAATTCCTAAGCCATTATGTTTGGTTGTCAGGTTCATAAAGAGGAGAATGATAGTAATGAATTTTGCCTGAGTCTGGGTAATTCCCTAGCCTCATAGGAAGCTGTGTTGTGCCTGAATCCATTATTTTTTATTCATTCTACTATACATGTCGTACTTACTACACTCCAGGATCTGGGGATGTGAGGTGAACAAAGCATATTAATTCAGGTCATAGTCAATTCCTAAACACTGTAGATTGATGTATTCTGAAGTGCCTCAGTGCATTCATTCATGAAAAAATATTTATTCTGCCCTATCTACAAGGAAACAGGTGCATGATATACATCAGTGAAGTGAATAAAGATTTTAAACCCTTATGGAGTATACAGTTGATACGGTTTGGCTCTGTGTCACCACCTAAATCTCATCTTGAATTGTACTCCCATAATTCCCATGTGTTGTGGGAAGGACCCAGTGGTAGATAATTTGAGTCATGGGGGTTGTTTCCCCCACACTGTTCTCATGTTAGTGAATAAATCTCGCGAGATCTGATGGTTTTATCAGAGGTTTCTGCTTTTGTATCCTCCTAATTTTTTTCTTGCTGCTGCCATGTAAGAAGTGCCTTTCACATCCTGCTATGATTCTGAGGCCTCCCCAGACATGTGGAACTACAAGTCCAATTGAACCTCTTTTTCTTCCTAGTCTTGCATATGTCTTCATCAGCAGCATGAAAACAGACTAATACAGTAAATTGGTACCAGTAGAATGGGGCATTGCTGAAAAGATACCCAAAAATGTGGAAGCAACTTTGGAACTGGGTATCAGGCAGAGGTTGAAACAATTTGGAGGGCTCAGAAGAAGACAGGAAAAAGTGGGAAAGTTTGGAACTTCCTAGAGACTTGTTGAATGACTTTGACAAAAATGCTGATAGTGATATGAATGATAAGGTCTAGGCTGAGGTGATCTCAGATGGAGATGAGGAACTTGTTGGGAACTGGAGCAAAGATGACTCTTGTTATGTTTTAGCAAAGAGACTGGCAGCATTTTGCCCCTGCCTTAGAGATCAGTGGAACTTTGAACTAGAGAGAGATGATTTAAGGTATCTGTTGGAAGAAATTTCTAAGCAGCAAAGAATTTAGGAAGTGACCTGGGTGCTGTTAAAAGCTTTCCACTTTAAAAGGAAACAGAGCATAAAACTTCAGAAAATTTGCAGTCTGATGATACAGTAGAAAAGAAAAACCCATTTCTTTGAGGAGAAATTAAACCTGTCTGCAGAAATTTACATAAGTAACAAGGAGCTGAATGTTAATCCCTATGACAATGTGGAAAATATCTCCAGGGCATGTCATAGGTCTTCACAGCAGCCCCTCCCATCACAGATCCAGAAGCCTGGGAGGTAAAAATGGTTTTGTGAGCCAAGCCCAGGGTCCCTGTGCTGTGTGCAGCCTAGGGACTTGGTGCCCTGCATCCAAGACACTCTAGCCATTGCTAAAAGGGGCCAGGGTATAGCTTGGCCCATGGTTTCAGAGGGTGCGAGCCCCCAAACCTTGGCAGCTTCCATCTGATGTTGAGCCTGCAGGTGCACAGAAGTCAAGAACTGAGGTTTGGGAACGTCCACCTAGATTTCAGAAGATATATGGAAATGCCTGGATGCCCAGGCAAAAGTTTGCTGCAGGGGTGGGGCCCTCATGGAGAACTTCTGCTAGGGCAGGGCAGAAGGGAAATGTGGTGTCAGAGCCCCCACACAGAGTCCCTACTGGGGCACTGCCTAGTGAGGCTGTGAGAAGAGGGCCACTGTCCTCCAGACCCCAGAATGGTAGATCCAATGACAGCTTGCACTGTGTGCCTGGAAAAACCACAGACACTCAACTCCAGCTGCCCGTGAAAAAAGCCAGAAGAGGGTCTATACCCTGCAAAGCCACTGAGGCAGAGCTGGCCAAGACTATAAGAATCTACTTCTTGCATCAGCATGACCTAGATGTGAGACATGGAGTCAAAGGAGATCATTTTGGAGCTTTAGAATTTGACTGCCCCACTGGATTTTGGACTTGCATGGGCCCTGTAACACCTTTGTTTTGGCCAATTTCTCCCATTTAGAATGACTGTATTTACCCAATACCTGTACCTCTATTGTATCTAGGAAGTAACTAGCTTGTTTTTGATTTTACAGGCTTGTAGGCGGAAGGGACTTGCCTTGTCTCAGATGAGACTTTGGACTGTGGACTTTTGGGTTAATGCTGAAATGAGTTAAGAGTTTGGCGGACTGTTGGGAAGGCATGATTGGTTTTGAAACTTGAGGACATAAGATTTGGAGGGGCCAGGGAGAGAATGATATTGTTTCGCTCTCTGTCCCCACCCAAATCTCATCTTGAATTTTACTTGCATAATTCCCATGTTTTGTGGTAGGTACCCGGTGAGAGATCATTTGAATTTTGGGGGTGTTTTCCCTCATACTGTTCTCATGGCAGTGAGTAGGTCTCACAGGATCTGACGGTTTTATCAGGGGTTTCTGCTTTTGCATCCTTCTCATCTTTTTCTCGCCACCTACATGTAATAAGTGCCTTTCACCTCCTGCCATGATTCTGAGGCCTCCCCAGCCATGTGGAACTGTATATCCAATTGAACCTCTTTTTCTTCCCAGCCTTGGGTATGTCTTTATCAGCAGCATGAAAATGGACTAATACAACAGTCTACTGGGGAAAAACAAAGAATAAACAGTAAATATAATTTTAAAATTTTACTAAGTGCTAGAAGGCAATAAATGTATTTAAAAAAAAAAAAACAAAGGAGCATGGTAAGGGGACTCAGGAGTATGGCACTGAGGGAGCAGTGAAGAGGGCCATGTACAGTTTACAGTATTAAGTGGGGTTGTCAGGGTAAACCTTGATGAGAAGAATACATTTAAGTGAAGAGTTGAAGGAAGTGAGTCAGTTTGTATGCATACTTGGGAGAAGGTCCAGAGGAGGGAATAGCCAGATCCATTGCCCTAAGGTAGAAGAATGCCTACCATGTTTAAGGAGCAACAAGGATGGCCAATGTGGATGGAGTGAATTGATTCCTAGCATAAACATGTGAATGTCTTCTAATACCCAACTCAGTCTCTGAGGGTTGAAAGATTGGGTTCAATTAGCCTACAACATGATGAAAAAGGAACCATAAATATTGAGCATCTAATATATGCCAGGCACCTTACATGTTTCCTCATTTCATCTTTATATTAATGTATTGAGGCAGTTATTATAATCACCATTTTACAAACTGGGATAATAACATGTAGGTAAGTTATATGATGAAACCAGTGTCACAAAGCTGTGAAGTAGTGAAGATGGATTCATAGGATTCCTTCAAATCCTAAGCTTTTTGGCTGCAACATCCAACCTCACTAGTGTTCATTGTGTTGAAGTTCAATTTCTAAACAAAGTAAACTGAAAATATCTAAGGATTACTAAAACTCAGCTCCAGGGATAGCAAACAGTGTCACATTGGCTACTAGGTCCAGAAGTGACTGGGGCTCCCTGTTGTTTTCCTCTCTTACCCATTTTTCAGCATTCCTTTTCCTGTTTACAGGAAGAGAAGTTATTGAAGGTGACCTCTGTACAGATCACAGACATCATTAGTTGCAGACAAGTCTTTAAAATCACCCTCCAAAGAAAGTCACATGACAAGTCTCCTGTATGCTAAATAGTGTTCCCTTTAGGGCACATTCCTGAGGAGTCATCTGATAGCACCTGCCTCCTTCTCCTCCCAGCATGTAACTGCTATGGGTATTCTGGGAGCAGTCAGCTGGGGCACCCAAATAACAGCTGTTGCCAGCAGCCCCCTCAGCCAGCTGCAACCAAAGGTTGAAATCTACCTATAATAATATCATATTTTAACCCTACATGCAGATTTTAGCATAAACTGCAGATGTTTATTCTATGAAATTTCAATTTTGACCAGCGTGAAATTTGTAATCCTTTCTTCCCTAAAGACATACGTTATCAGTTTTCTGTTAAACCCTTTTGTTACCTGTGCTTGACCATCTCTCTAATTGCACTAGATAATAATAATAAATTGAGATTACATTTTTCTGCACACACATGTGCATCATACACACACACTTATTTACTTACTCATGCTCTATCTTGTTTCACGTAAAACATGTAAAAATGTCTGTGTACATATAAGGTGACAAGATTAAAGCTGAATCCACTGACTAAATAGTTGAGGTTTGAAGAGGAAAGCAATGGCAAGTATATTGGTAGGAAAGGTAAAAAGAATTAAAATCAGTTTTTTGGAGATCATGGTATAGACAAGCTCTCATGCCCACACAGTTAACTTCCTAGCATGAATTTATGCTACTGTGGAAAAGAGGTGAAAAAGCTAGTGACATGGAAAAAATTGGACCTCCTTGTGTTCAGTCTTAGCAGAGTGTTACAAACAAAAGCAACACAAATCCAACTCTGATTAGACCTTTGTATTGTCCGCTTTCACGCTGCTGTTAAAGACATCCCCGAGACTGGGCAATTTACAAAATAAAGAGGTTTACTGGACTTACAGTTCCACGTGGCTGGGGAAGCCTTACAATCATGGCAGAAGGTAAGGAGGAACAAGTCACATTTTACATGGATGGCAGCAGGCAAAGAGAGCTTGTGCAGGGAACTCTTGTTTTTAAAACCATCAGATCTCATGAGACTTACTATCATGAGAACAGCATAGGAAAGACTTGCCCCCATGATTCAATTGCCTCCCACTGGGTTCCTCCTACAACATGTAGGAGTTGGAGAGGAGATTTGGGTGAGGACACAGTCAGACCATACAAACCTTCAAAAAGAATGAATTCAACTTCCATCCCCTATTGTGTGATGAACTAGACACTGAGCAGCTCTCCAGTGGTAGCACAATTAGACTGTGGCTAATGTATTACAAATATACCTTTTCAATGTATTTCTGGCTGTCATGAAAATAAGAAAATAAGCAGCTCTTGACAGACAATAGTCTTTGTTCTTGGAACTACTTTATGTCTGAGTATCTACTGTAGTGTCACAGATTATTATCCTTCAGGGATCTTGGAGGAGTTACTACTCTTTCTTATGGAGAGTCCATAAGATTTTTCCCCTGATAGGTAAGGTGTCATTTATTTCTTGGTGCTTTCACAATTTTTTATTTTGTCTTTAGTTATCTTCTTATTTTGATGTGTAAACTTTATAGTTTTAATAGTATGATCATGTAAGAGAAAAAATGGCATTTATGAATTTCAATCATTCCTTTAGTTCAGGCTTGTTTGTTTAAAAAACAAATAATTGAAATATTTGAAGATTAAAACAGAAACTCAAAATTTTATTAATTTAAGGAGGAAAGAATTCAAAATTTAAGTCCCAAATAAATCATTGTGTATACAAAGATTTAATACGAAGCTTTAATTATAAGGCTTTATTAACTAGCTAGTTAAATGATATTAGGGTTGTGGCTGGTAAATTAAAAGCAAATAAGAATCAATTTTACTTGAAAATAAAAGCTTTTGGAAAAAGGTATGAAGCAAGAAGTTTATCTACTCCCTCTTATATTGGACATGTGCAAGAATGGTTTTAATTATTTAGTAATCCAGACATCAAGAATTTGTAGTAAAGTGTACACACTGAAGCTGTGGGTATTCTGGGAGCAGTCAGCTGAGGCACCCAAATAACAGCTGTTGCCAGCTAATAGAAATATACTTAATATTAAAACAAGCAAACAAACAAAGAAACTTGGGAAAAATCAGGCACAAACCGCCAAAATGATTTATTTCTTTTAATTGTGATGTAGGCTGACAGAATGAAAATTAATAATCATAAAATTTTTAAGTAAAATTATTAGCCTTTTGCAATTTTTGTTGCACAGAACCCTAATCCAAGGGCATTTACTTTTCAAGCCAGATAGGATTTTGCCAGTTTCCCAAGCTAACTCCCTGATGATACAAAAATAAACTAATGAATGGCTCAGAGTTTATGAGCCATTCTCCAAGACAATTTGTCTTATTGAAATAATTGGGTGGCCCAGAACTCTGAAGAATGCTTGTCATTTTTCAAATAAAATTACTCATATTTTTGGACAGTTTTAAACTGTTCATTTGCACTATTTTTCTCTCTAATATGACATACCATTTGGAATCTAAATTTTGTTTTTATATTGTAATTCTGCTTTAGAGAAAAAATATATGTTGGATACAAATATGGACTGGGTATGTTTATCGCAAGCTATTTTTTCTTCCATATTTGTTATTATGAGTAAAAACTTCTATGATTCTTAATATAATGCATTTTCCTGTAAAAAATTTATTCTTCGACATGTAATACTTACAATTGGATGTTACCATCCTTCTTGGGCTATTATTATCAAATATTAAAGTATTACTTTCATTTCAAGAACTTCAGTAAGAAGAGAATGAATTCAGGGCTTTGCACATGAAGCCAAGCAGATGCCTGTGTTTACAAATAATAAACATAATGAAAAATTTCAATTGAAATCTAAATAAATAAATCTATGCATTTGCATGTGCCTTTATTTCTCTAGTCTATGTAAAGAGAAAAGCCAAATAGAAAGATAGGAAAACAAAACAAACAAAAAACCCTCTGACCTATATATTACAATTTGAAAAGGTGCATTCACTAGATCTCAATATTTAAGGAGGCATTGCTTCTTAAACGTCCAGAGGAATTTGTATGTTAACACCAATTTTGTGTGTGGCGGTGATGTATTAATATGATCTGGTATGTCTTAGAAATGTTTCTCTTTTTTTCAAACTGATTATGACACCCACCCATTTCAATAAATTAGCATTATCATCTCAACCAAATCGTCTTGCAGTGACATCAGATTCTCTTATTATTGCATGAGCTATGTTTGAAAAGTAATTAGAATTAATATTTCTGTTTCCTATCATCCAAATTAGCATTAATTGCACACATAACATTTTGTTTACAGCACTCACCAGACATGTAATAATCCTAGTAAAGACATGGATAGGAAAGGTCCAGAGGAAGGGAAGAGATAATATGCATGCTGAAAGGAGGGAAACCCCAGTTGAACTTAAAACTAATTTATGGAATGTGATCATATTTGACAAACAGGTTGTCCATAAAGGCAGGAAACCTTTACTATTTTTTTTTTTTTGAGTTGGACTCTTGCTCTGTCATCCAGGCTGGAGTGCAGTTGTGCGATCACGGCTCACTGCAACCTCTGCCTCCTGGGTTCAAGCGATTCTCCTGCCTCAGCCTCCCGAGCAGCTGGGACTATAGGTGCTTACCACCGCGCCTGGCTAATTTTTTGTATTTTTAGTAGAGAGAGGGTTTCACCGTGTTAGCCAGCATGGTCTTGATCTCCTGACCTTGTGATCCATATCCCAAAGTGCTTGGAATTACAGGCGTGAGCCACCGTGCCCTGCCAGACACTTACTTTTAATACCTTTTTGCATAAGTGTCAATGCTTCACAAACAAGGGATGTTCCACGAAGAAATCTGTGTGGTGGTAGCAGGGGTGAGGTGTGGTTAGAGATGGAGATTTGGGAAAATAGAAAGTATAGTAAACTGCCTGTTTCCCAGGCTGTTTCCAAGAACAAAATCTGAACTGTAGGGAGAGAAAGCGTTATGGAAATAGAGATAGAGATCGAGATAGATATAGAGATCGAGATAGAGATAGAAATAGGTAGAGATAGAGCTAGAGCTAGATGTAGAGGTAGAGCTAGAACTAGAGCTAGAGATAGAGATGAGGTGGAGATATAAGTATAGCTAGAGCTAGAGGTAGAACTAGAGGTAGAACTAGAGATAGAGATGAAGTAGAGGTAGAGACAGAAGTAGAGCTAGAGCTGGTATCAGTACTAGAGGTGGAGGTAGGGATAGAGCTAGACATAGAGGTAGAGGTAGAGGTGGAGCTAGAGGTAGAGATAGGGTTAGGGATAGGGACAGGGATAGAGCTAGAGCTATAACTAGAAATAGAGCTAGAGGTAGAGGTAGAGGTAGATGTAGAGATAGAGACGAAGGCAGAGGAAAGGGAATGGAGAGGAGGATAGGAGGAAGAATTCATAGATGATTTTATGAGAACACATTGTATTTAATAAATATCAAGAAGAATCATTATCTAGAATATTTTTTAAACCCTCACAAATCATTAAGAAATTGACATAAAACCCAAGAGATTATCAATGTTATAAACAGACCATACACAGAAAAAGAAAAAGAAGACAAAATGATTAATAGGGCTTGTAAAAGTTCTCAACCTCACATTTCATTCAATAAAATATATAATAGAGTAACAATAAAGTACTATTTCACATTGACAATGATATGGTTTGGCTCTGTGTCCCCACCCAAATCTCACCTTTAATTTTAGTTCCCATAATTCCTATTTATCATAGGAGGACTTGGTGGGAGGTAATTTAATCATGGGGGCAGTTACACTCATGATCTTCTCATGATGGTGAGTTCATTCTCACAAGATCTGATGGTTTTATAAGGGGCTTTTCCTCCTTTTGCTTGGCATTTCTCTCTCCTGCCACCATGTGCAGAAGGACGTGTTTCCTTCCCCTTCCACCATGATTGTAAGTTTTATGAAACCTTCCCAGCCATGCAGAACTGTGAGCCAATTAATCTTCTTGTCTTTATAAACTACCCAGTTTTGGGTATTTCTTCATAGCAGCATGAAAACAAATGAATACAGAGAAGGATGTAGAAAATTAAAACATCATAGACGTTGATGTAGATATACTTGGGGAAAACTCTCATATATGTGGGCATAAGAAGATGCACATGCTCTTTGACCTGGCACTTTCACTCCTAGATATTTATTTTAGAGAAAATCAGGCAGATGGGTGCAGGCAAACATGTATGAATGTAATTTTTATTTTTATTTTTGCAGTGCTCCTTGTCATGATGAGTGTGGAAATAATTTTCCCTTGGCGGGAGATTGTACAAACAAATTATGCTTTATTCAAATTATGGAATACTCTATAGCGGTTAAAATTAACGATTTAGAGCTCCATGTTTCAATGTGGATAAATCTCAAGAAACATAATTTTCAATAAAAAAATGCAAATTTTACATATGATAATGTATACGCAAATATAAATTCACAAAACAATAGGACATAAGTTTAATTGATGTATGTAGATATAGTAAAAGTACAAAAACATGTATGGAAACAGGACATAACAGCTTCTGGATAACAGTTATATTTGGGGGTGGGCTTGGGGGAAGAAGTAAAAGAGAATAGTTTGGGAGGTGGGTGTTTCTGTGATTTTTTTTTCTTTTACAAAAAGAGAGTCATGGAGCTTCCAGTGATGTGATCCTGGCAGAAAGGCAGGTTTTAATTTCCCCAAAATTCCTCCTGGAAAACAAACAAATCAATTAGGATAGCCAATAATAAATGCACTGTTAATATCTTAAATAAAAATCAAAGGCAATAAATTCTCATAAATTTCAGATTATGAACAGGAATGGTAAATCACTTACAGCAGTATAACAAGAACAAGAACAAGAACGAAGTTGTGTGACAGTAATAGTGAAAAATGAATAGGGACAACCTATGTATGCCACAAACTCGGGGTGTAAAAAATTTTTCTACAAACATCTACTAAAAGAAGAAGATCCTATATTCCTTGGGTGGAAACATGGTAAGACATGTGAGAATGCCCAGTGAAACTGGGAAAAGTCCTCAGAATCTTCCATTTGCAGATAAGATTAAAAAACTGCTTGCAGACATAAAAACATTATGGTTCTAGGCTAATTTCAATTTATAGTTAAATGACCACAGAGTTAAGCCACTAGCTAATTTCCATTTAGTGTTAAAAGACATAATAAAGAATTAGAGAAATCCAGAATGGGAGGCATTCTATAGAACAACTAAACTAATTTCTATAAGTGAATGGCTGAAGGAAAAGGGAGCAGAGGAAGAACTATTCTAAATTACGAGTGACCTAAAAAACAAACATATTAAAATGTGGACCTTGTTTAGATTTTAATTCAAGTAAGCCAGAAAACACATTTTTGAGAAAATCCATACATTTGATTAAGACCAGGTATGAGATTATGCCAAAGAAACATTATGAGTGATAATAATATTGTGGTTTTGTAGTGGGCCATAATTTTTAGAGTTATACTGAATTATGAAGGGGTAAAATAATACCATCTGATATTTGCTGAAAAATACTTCAAATAAGAAAAAGAAAAAACGTGTTTTAAATAGGTTAAGTGATCCCAAGTTACAGTAATCTAAACGGTGTGGTACTGACATAAGGACAGACATATGGATCAATAGAATAGAATAGAGGTCCCAGATAAACCCTTGTGCACGCACTCAATCAATCTTTGACAAGAGTGCCAAAACCATACAATGGGCTTAAAGGGTAGTCCTGTCAATAAATGGTGTTGAGAAAACTGGATATCCACATGCAAAAGAATGAAGTCGGATCCTTACTTTACACAATATACAAAAATAAACTCAAAATGAATTAAAGACCTAGGCATAAGACCTTAAAATATAAAACTATAAGAAGAACACAGGAGAAAAATTTTATAACAGTGGATTTGGCAATGTTTTCTTGGAGATGACACCAAAACCACAGGCAATAAAAGCAAAAATAGACAAATGAGAGTACATCAAACTTAAAGCCTTTTGCACATGAAAGGAAGCAATCCTTAGAGTGAAAAATTAACCTACGAGATGGGAGAAAATATTTCCAAATCATATATCTGGTAAGGAGTTAGATTCAGAATATATAAAGAATGCCTATAATTTAACAACAAGCAAATAGCCTAGTTAAAAAAATGGGTAAAATCCTCAAAGTGGTATTTCTCCGAAGAGTTATAAATGGCTAACAAGTGACAAGATATTCAATGTCACTAACCATTAGAGAAATGCAAATCAGAACTATAATGAGATATCACCCATTAAGATGGTGATATGGTTTGGCTCTGGGTCCCCACCCAAATCTCATGTCAAAATGTAATCTCCACATGTCAGAGGAGGGGCCTGGTGGGAGATGATTGCTCATGGGGACAGATTTCCCCCTTGCTGTTAGTGTGTTCTCATGAGATCTGATGGTTTAAAGTTGTGTGGCACACTTCCCCCTTCTCTCGGTCTCTATCCTGCTGCACCATGGTAAAATGTGCTTGCTTCCCCTTTGCATTCTGCCATAATTGTAAATTTCCTGAGGCCTCCAAAACATGCTTCTGTACAGCCTAGGGAACTGTGAGTCAAACCTCTTTTCTTCAATTACCCAGTCTCAGGTAGTTCTTTATAGCAGTGTGAGAATGGACTAATACACATGGCCACTGTCATAAAAACAGAAAATAGCAAGTGGTATTGGAATGTGGAGAAATTGCAATTCTTGTGCACTGTCAATGGGAATTGACAATGCAGCCAGTAAGAAAAACAGTATAGAGTTTCCTCAGGAAACTAAAAATGCGATTACCATATGATCCAGAAATCCCACTCTGGGTACATATCCAGAAGAATTGAAGACAGACTCTTGATGACGTATTTTCATATCCATGTTCATTACAGCATTATTCTCAATACCAAGAGGTGAAAGCAACCCAAATGTCCACTGACATATAAATGGATACAGAGAATGGAGTATATACATACAGTGGAATATTACTTAGCTTAAAAAGAGAAGGAAATTCTGTCATGTGCTATAACATTGATGAACCCTGAAGACATTATGGTAAGTAAAATAAGCCCAGTCGCAAAGAGACCAACACTGTATGATTCCACCTGTATAAGGCATCTAAATTGGTCCAACTCATAGAAAGCAGAATTGTGGATGTCAGGGGCTGTGAGGAAGGGGAAATAGAGAGTTGTTTTTCGATGGGTATAGAGTTTCAGTTTTGCAAAATGAAAAACTTTTAGAGATCTATTGCACAACAATGTGACTATTGTTAACACTATTGAACTATACACTTAGAAATGGTCAAGATGCTAATTTTTATGTTAAACATGTTATGTTAAAATGTGTTTTCTACCATAATTTTAAAAATAAATAAATAAATTAGTTCTGTGAACGCGACAAAATATCGATTATTGTTTTATCTTGGTGATTGGTATATCTAGTACTACTTTAATTTTGTGTCTATATCAAAATTTTTTTAATTTTTAGGGAAAAAGAAATTTGAAAGAATTATGACAGAGTATTAATATCTGTTCATTCAGGGAAGGGAGCAAATGGGTGTTTTCTGTGTGTTTGGAATATCTCATCATTGATAAAATCCAAAAGTAATAGCAGTAGCCAACTGGCAACATAGAACCTTAAGTTTACCCAGTTTGAATCTATGGGTCATAATTCTCAATTATCTGGAGAGACAATCATATTAACTAGTCCAGTGAGACCAGTGGAGATTATATAATCCAAATAGAGTTGTACTGGGGAAGTGGGGTCAGTTCTGAGAGGAGCGATATGGGCTTTTAGAGTTTCCAGAAAAATGTTTGCTACAGATTAAAAGGACAAGGATTTTCACGGTAGATTAAAAAGTTTGGTAATATGGCCTGGATGTTTCATAGCTTGATGCCACTATCTAGTTGTGCCACTAAGACATCCAGAGACTCTTATGCTAGTTTTTTCACTTCTCTGAAAGAGAAAAAAATGCTTGTAGACTTCCAAGGTGTCTATCACTATACTCTGATAGCTGAAGATTATAAATAATATTTTTATTTAGGAACTGTTAACAAAGTTGTCAGTTATCTTTATGACCTAGCCAAGATAACTCATTAGCTTTTATACAATGTGATTATTGAAGACATAAAAAAGCTACAAAAAATTAGCTGGGTGTGGTGGCAGGGGCCTGTAATCCCAGCTACTTGGGAGGCTGAGGCAAGAGAATCATTTGAGCCGCTGAGGTGGAAGTTGCAGTGAGTCGATATTGCACCATTGCACTCCAGCCTGGGCAGCAAAAGTGAAACTTCATCTCAAAAAAAAAAAAAAAAAAAGCAGACATTGATAGTAACATCAGCATCAAAACAGAGTTGCATTTCCCCAATTCAAGTAGGTCACAAATGATGATCAAAAACCTAACTAAAGCAAAACAATCAATTACTGAAGAAATTTGCTCTGTAATTTTATACCAACTCTTTATTATGGGCTTTTTCCCATTTTTTTAAGGTTAGAAGGTGTTTCAGAATGTGACTTAATAAGAATTTTTTAAAAGCTTACATTTTTTACTTTTTATTTTGAAATAGTTGTGGATTCATAATTTGGAAAATGGATAGTTCTTGGGTACCCTTCACTCACTTTCTCCCAATGGTTACATCTTGTATTAACAATAGTACAATGTCAAAACTGGGAAACTGACATTGGTACAATGTGGTGTATAGTTCTATGCCATCTTTTCATATGTATGCATTCCTGTAACAACCGCTAGAAGCAAGATACAGAATTCTTCCACCACCACAAAGATTTGTTGGTGTTAATATTTTACCAATTTATGTCAAACATAGAAAACTTGCCTTCTTTTAAGTCTCTGTACCTATCTTCCCAACCCATTTATAATATAGTTCTCTTAAATGTTTTTGCTACATACATTTAGATTCATATTGGAAAATATTGTACTTTTAGCTTTGACTACTAAACTAAATGTAGAACACACAAGAGGAGAAGGAACGTCTTTTGTAGTTACTTATATTTGTTGTTCTTGATGTTTTAAGATTCCTTCTCTAAGGGGTTTCTTTAGCCATTGTTTTAATGTATGTGGCTTGTGACAAATTCTCTTAATTTTCATTAATCTGAAAATGCATTTATTTTCTTTTCATTTCTGAAGGAAAATGTTGCCACATACAAAATTTGGGTTTGACAGTTCTTTTCTTTCAGGACTTGAATTTGTTGTACCATTTCCTTCTGATCATTATGATTTCTGATGAGAAATCCACTGTCATTCAAATTTTTTTTTCCCCTGATAGTTCAGGTGTCATTTATTTCTTGGTGCTTTCAAGATTTTTTTGTTCTTAGTTTTCTTTTTATTTTGATGTGGATTAGCATGGATTTCTTGTGTTTGGATTTCACTCTTATTTATTTATTTATTTATTTAGAGACAGAGTCTCACTCTGTCGCCCAGGCTGGAGTGCAGTGGCATGATCTCGGCTCCCTGCAAGCTCCGCCTCCCAGCTTCACGCCATTCTCCTGCCTCAGCCTCCCGGGTAGCTGGGACTACAGGCACCGCCACCACGCCCGGCTAATTTTTTGTATTTTTAGTAGAGACGGGGTTTCACTGTGTTAGCCAGGATGGTCTCGATTTCCCGAACTTGTGATCCACCCACCTCAGCCTCCCAGAGGAAAATATTTTCTTAACTGCAATTTTAATATAACCTAAACTATGTATTCTTGGCCCTTGTTCGCAAATAATTCATGACTACAGTTGCAATAGTAGTAGAAACATACTCATCACTCACAACACATAAATTCAGGCCAGTTTACTGGGAATAATTTCTGCTTATGTATTCTCTTCGTTGCTTTATTAAACAAAATTTTATATTTTTACTACAATATGCTTACAGAAAAGATAGTCATAAAATACAGTGAATGTCTCAAGAACCACTGATATATTTGCTCAGCCGATTTGGAACTCTGTGACCCTAGAAAGTTCACTTAATCTCTATAGTTCACATCTCAATTGGTAAAATGGGATGATAGAGGCAATGATCTACTGAGCTCAGGGATTAATACAAAACACAGATTCTTTTTTTTTTTTTTTTTGGTACAACATAGCTTTTGCTTATTTCATTGCTCTTTAGTATCACCTATAGGAAGTACACAGAAAAAGGAAACAACGTTGAAACAAATGCATCACTTTTAAACTTCAGTTCCTAAATGTACCAGTAATTATAATTGAGGTATGAACTGCAGTCACTTTTTCTAAGACAAACTTTCTAAATTTCTATTATTCTCTGAAAACCTCGTTTCTGTTGGTATAGTTTTCCTATTATTAATAAAGACATTTGATTCTGAGTTTTAGCAAACAACCTGACATAGTGAAAGGGGAGAGTGTCCTGGAGAAAGCAGGGATCATGGAATTAGGAAACTGATATTTACCACTGACTCTGGGCCAGTTTATTGAATCTCTTCAATCCTCAGATTTCTTATCTTTCAGAAAATTGGGACCAACAAAATATACCCTAAAAAGATTATAATGAGAATTTGAACTACATTACTGGTCAGATGAAAATGACATAAAACATTTTTATCAATATGCCCTGGGGTCCAGGACCTGTGTTCTTTCTCTGAGTACCTGAGTAAGCTCCTACCAACATTTGGTTTTTCAGTAGTAAAATAGAGGTAATATCTGTTTCAACTACCTCACAGAGTTATTCGTTGAACAAAAAGCAGTAAAATTACTTTTATTTATTGCAAAATGCTATAGAAATAATTAGTGTTCACTAAGGTTTTATGGAAGTTTAAACATTATTAGTTTTTTAATATTTGAATAGACTTGCTTAGGTTGAAACTTCAATAAGGTGTTAGGTATCAGACACACAGAGTTCAATGATCCGCCTTGTGTTTTTGTCCACTGCTTTCTCATTTTGCTGCTAAGGGTAAGCACCAGAGTTGGCCTGTGTCAGAATTGAGAATGAGGAGTGGGCTGCCTTTGCTGCTTCTCACTGTCCCCCACTTTCTCTGCAGTGCCCACTGTGAGATGCTCCTATTCTCATGCTGAATTTCATCCTCTTGCTCATTACTTCCATAAATTATTCCTTAGAAAGAGCAAAGAATGAATTAAATAATTAATTTTGAGCATTTGCATAACAATACAAAACTATCCTTTTTAAAGATTTGCCACATGATTTTAGTTTTGTGAAAAATGTTAGAGTCATGTATCTATTTAATCAGCATTTTCCATTTAGTGTCTTTATGGTGCCTAGTCTGTCATATTCTCATTAGTTTTCTTTTTTTCAATTTGTCAATGGCTTCACCTGTGTTCCTTACAATTATTTAGCTCTGTGTTTATCAACTTCATGAAGATTTGCATATATTGCAAGATTTACAATTTTAGTTGGCACTATATGTAGTTGGCACTGTAATTTTATTGTAATATTAGGTATTTACAGTATCTGGCAATCAGCAAGAAACAGATAAAAATGCTTTGACATAACGGGCGAAAACACAGGCTAGTGATTAATTCATCAGTGAACGTATCTGTGTTATTAAGACCTTGCATTCTTACACGACTGCCAATTGCAGGAACTCGTAAGAAATGCAGAAGGAGGCTAGCTATGACTCTATTTAAAAAGTACTACTATTATTATTCCCATTTTACACATGAGAAACTGAGCCTTATCCATGTTGAGGAAGTTGACAAGAAAGATGTTTCGTATGGCAGAATCAGGACTTAAATCTGTATCGGTTTGACTTTCTGAGTTCTTCAGACATCATAGAACTTACTATTTGGTTATGTGTTTTTGAGGAAGAGCAAAGAAAGAAGTAATGAGACAAGATAATAAAACTGTTAATTAAGTGTACTATTATGTGACCTAGACTATGCGTTTTTCATGAATTCAGAAAGAGTATGGGACCGTAATATTAGAGTGGGTGGGGGGGAGTGGGCGCTGGATTTGCAGATCATTTGGTAATGTCCTCGTTATTTGGATGAGGAAACTGAAGTCAAGACAAGTAAAGTGATTGTCCCAAACTGACAAAAATGGCTCTTAAACTAGAACTCCTACTTTTTTCTAAGATAAATTTGTAACTAATTAAAAATAATATATATTCTAATGGTCAAATTAGAACTTTTTAGTAATGTACAACAGGCACTCAAATAATATTTTATTCAATGCCATTTTATTCAACTTCATTTCATTATAACATTGATGAGAAAAAAATGTGATTCCCCATCGGGGCTACTGTCTGTGTGGAGTTTGCACATTGTTCTGTCCAGGATGGGTTTCTGCTTGGCTACCTGAGCTGTCAGGAAGGACTTTGGCCACCTGTGACCATGAACTGAAATAATAGGGTAAATAATTATCTTACTTGTTTGTATTAATCTTTCTTAAATGGATGTATAGCTTACATTTATCTCAAGGTTTAAGATTAGAAGGGTTTTGTTTTTTAGTTAGAAGTTTGGTGACATTTTTGTGAGCAGAAATACACTCTAAGAATTTATCTCTTTTTTATATTAGTTAGCCTATGGTAAAATTGACTTCAATAGTCATCATTTCACTTAAAGTTGCAGTTTTCAAGAACCTACCAATAATGTTATGTGAGACCTTATTGTACATCATAAAGTTTTTCAAACTGGAGAAGAAAAGACCATGAAAGAGAACAGAGACTTAGTACTATGGTGACACAGAAGAGGCAAAGAAAAAAGTAGAATGATTCACCCATTAAACCTGCCTTTATGGAAATTTATATAAGGCACTGTTGGGTCCTGTAGCTAAGGAATTATGGAATTATTAAGTAGCTTACACAGTCTGTTAGGGAACAGAGACAATTCTACAAAGAATACTATAATGGAGTAAGGACAATTTAAAAGGAAAGTCATAGAGTGGTATGGCCACTAGGAGTGGGAAGTTATTAATTCAGCCTAAGGGATTCCCACTGATCTTGTAAGGCTTCACAGAAGTGACAATTAAGTTTACTGGGCACCTGAGGGGCAGGGAGCTATTCCAACCAGAAAGAACTGCAAAGGGATAACGTATTATAAAGCAAATATGTTACAGGAATAGCAAGAAATTCAAAGAGGTCCTAAATACTTATGCAAAAGCCTCAGAGATGCATTTTGAATAATTTTTGGCTTGTGAAAATTGTAGAATCATTCTGACCAGAAAGGTTTTGCTCATTTCTAATTTTACTTAAGTCAAAAATCCTTCAGAATACATTTCTAACTTTCTAGTGTTAGCATTAGCAGCCTCCACATTAACATTCAAAGTTTAATAATCAGCACAACCTGTAAATGTTGACCACCCATCAACACCTGCAACACCTGCAACAACCTGCAACACCTGCTGCATCACCTTGGCTATATTTTGCTTTTATGCCTTTGAAGAAATTTGTAGACTTTGCTAGGCTACTTGCTTTTCAGTTATAAAGGGAAACATTCACATTTTACTCCATAAATTTGCACAATCATTGTGTGTCAATCAAACATAAATAAAACTTAAAGAGAAAAGAATCCATTAGAATTAACTAAAATAGCACTGACTAAATGTGAGTGGATGCAATGGGAATCTTCATGGTTCCATTAGCAAAAAAAAAAACAAAAACTTCTCTGTATGGTATCTGCAGCTTGCTGTGTGTTTCTCTCTCAGAATATTTATCATTCATAAAACTTACTTGGTGTTTTCTTTTTTTGTACGGAAAGCAAACTCTCATTTCTTAACATTTTTATGCTTCTGTGGAACTCTTTGGCTGTTAAAGTTTATGTAAGAACTTCTATTTCATAATAGCTTACTGTTTGGTCCCTTCCCTCCTTGGAGCTCAGGATAGACTAGGTCTTGAGGGGAGGGATGACATCTTAACCATCTAGTATTTCCAGTATCTAGCACTTAGTAGTTGTTTAATCAATGAAAAGTGGATGATTGAGAATAATTGAATAAAACTGTTGTGAAAGCCCCATTAATCTGAGGATCTATATATTGGCCAGGGTGGGCCTGGTAAGAAGTAAAATTTAGTGTCTAAGAGAGATTACCTGAAATATTGGAATTTCAGGGAACCAAAATTAGCACCTCTTTTTTTCACCCACTCCTGAATTTATGAAATGAGATACATAAAACAAATGGAGATTTAAACATACTAAGTAAAAAAAAATATTAATAGTAACTGGTAAGTTCTTTGGAGATCATGACTTACATCTGCTGTCAAAATAGTTCACAGATACTTCATCCCAGGGTTAGGCAGATTTATCTTCAAGTCATCAGCTTAGCTGGACACTGCAGGGTTCTCCTATTATGTGATAGGCAATAGAAATATTGTGCTGAAAAAGTCCTGCTTTCACACTGTTGAAGTGAAGTGAATGGATAATTTGGATATGGTGTAATGGTGAACTATAGGGAATTAAGGGAGGACAGGGGAGAGTCTCATGGCTTTGACTTAGAAAGCTCAAGGAATGAAATATCCAAGATGTGTTTTGAAGGAAGGATAAGAGCTGTCTAATAAAGAAGGGAATGCTCTAGACCAGAAAACCAAACCAAAGAAAACAAACATGAAGTGTTTGAGGAACAAAGCTTTTTGTTTTTAATGATCAGAGGGTAGAAGATGAATGGCGGAAGAGAAGACAAGGAGGAGGAAAAGAAGAAAGAAGGGAGTAAGAATGAGACAGGAAAGCTTACTGAGGATGGATCAGGAAGGGCTTTGCAAGCAATTTTATGTAGTATCCACTGGACCCTCTCCTAAGGGAACAAACAGCGGATAACTGAATGGTTCTTAGCAGGAGGATGGCACAATAGATCTTTCACTGTGTGAAACACTAAGAAAGATTGCAAAATAAACATTTAGGAGGCTTGAGCTCCAGGCAAGGCAGGAAAGTTGGAGAGAGGTCAACAGATCGGAGACACTTGTAGGATGTAAAGTCAAGAGGATTGGTGGTAGGTTATTTAAAGAAGGGGGCGGCCGATGCCCAGGTTCTCTGTCTTAGAGAAAGAGATGATGGGCCATAACATGAGCTACAGTTGCATCTAGTTGCTATGGATTTATTTGCTAAAAGAGGATTTTTTTTTTCTCAGTCTCAGCTGGAACAAATGCTCTCCCATGTTCGTCTTTGCCCAAGATGTGATCCGGAACAGTTCAATACAATTAGCAACTTCAGTTCAGATCATTGGCAGGATTGAAATAGCAAAGTGTGATATCACCTACAAATCAAGATGTATTACTAAGCATCCTTAGGGTGCTTTGGATCTGTATGATTAGCTTCCCCATTGATCATGTGTTCAGGCTGAATTTCACTGTCCTGTCTTCAGAGAATACAGATGACTAATAATCCAGATGTAGCTGGTTAGAGGATTCTACTGCAAGAAGAAAATTTTGACTCTAGTAAAGCCAACCCTCTTCAAAATCATAGATCATGAAAAAATCTTTAAAGCTATTTAGGACAATGTTTTCAACCCTGGGTCAAGATCCATTCATGAGTTACGAAATCACTTATGTGGCTTACATCTTGCTTGTTTGTCTTAAAAACTGAACTAGAATGTAATAGACTAGAATAGAAAATATCAAAGCACATCACATATATAGCAAATGGATTTTTTTTTTTTGTGAAACAAGCATGGATAGGAACAGAGAAGAAAGGCATTTTGGTAGCAATAACAACCTGAACGAAGGTAGAAAGGTAGGAAAACATAAAGAATGTGTGGAGAATATCAAGTAGTTCATGATGGCTATGGTGAGTATATGGTAGATGATTTGTGGAAGATAAAATTGGATAATCACTGAAACCCATATTATATTGGGACATGAAAAACAACTCAGGAATTAGCATGTCATTCAGTAGGCAATAGAGAATCATGGAAGGTTCTTGAGCAGGGAATCTACATGATGGAAAGTTTAATATGAGAGCAGTGGGGACGATCATTCTTTACAGAAATCGGGTAGCAGTTGTAGCAATAATCCAGACACAGGGAACTAAAAATCTACATGTTAAATTTCTTCCTACCTCAGAGCTTTACACATGCCATTCCCTTTGCCTGGGTCACTCTCCACCACAGCTTTTACCACCTTATTCTAGCTATTTACTTCTAGTTTTTTTTTATATTAGTCAAATTTTTTATCTAAGAGAAATTTTCTGACCTCCCCAAGACTCCTATTATATATATCACTCTTGATCAGGTAATTAATGTGCTGTTATTTCATGTCTGTGTCCTCTGCTAGAATGCAATGTCCATAAGCAGAAGGAATCTGTCTTGTTTACAGCAGTTATCTCTAGCAATTAGGGTGCCTTGCACACTGTTGACTAATAACTTTTTGCTGAATAAATGAAGGAGCTGTGATAGTTACCATAGAAAAAAATTAAACACGGAGGACATTGGAAAGGAAAATCAGCATGACTCAGGGATTTACTGGGTCTTACACCAAGGGAAAGGAAAAGCCAGAGATTCAGTCATTCCTCTGTAAACAAACATTTGTTCCACATACCCTGTGTGTAAGACACTGGTGCTGGGCCCTGGGAACATGGAGATGAACAAGACATAGTTCCCTCAAATCGAGATGCTCACAGTTGGCAATCATCAAATTCTTATATAATCCTTACTATAAGCCCAGTACTTTTTTGTTTAAAGCACTTTATATACATTAACTGGACAACAATTTTATGAGGCAGATACTATTATCAGTCCCATTTTATAGCTAAGTTTTGTAGAAATTAAGCCAAGGAGAAATTAAATAACTTGCCTAAGTTCACACTGGTAAGTGTCAGAGCTGGGATTTGGTTGCTTTTTCCTAACTCCTAAGCTATATTGCTTCTTTGATTTTCACAAAGTGGCATAATAATAGATAGTTCAGAATACCTGGTCCAGAAGTAGCCCAGAAAAGAAAGTGGCCATCTATCCAGAAGGCAGAGTCAAGGAAGGGGACGTGACAGTGTCATGTGGAAAGAGTGATAGGGAAAACATTACAGGTGATAGCATTTCAAGGCAAGAAAATATGAAAAAAAATGATATTTTGGGAGATCTACAATCCGTTTAGAATTTCTGGTGAATTCCTGAAGGGAGAGGACAACAGATAAAGCTACTGATGAGGTCAGCAGGAGAGGTTTGTCTACCACCCTAAGGCATTGAGACCTAATTCCAAAGGTTGTCAGGAACATGGGACTATCAAAAGCAGTAGGGGTGTGGTGAAGTGGGATATGATCCAAAATCAGACTTGCTGATTGGGAATACCACCCCAGCAGTAGTGAGGAAGGATAGGTTTAGAGTGTGAGCTGGAAATAGAGAGACAGATTAGGAAGTGACTGCAATCAGACAGGCAAGAGATTATGAGGGACCCCTTTAAGGAATTAACAGTGGACACAGAAAGGATTTAAGAGCACTGCAGAACTTGGAGAGTCACTGGATGTTGGGAATAGAAAGGAAGCAAGCTAAGGATCTCTTCAGGGTTCTTGACTTATAAAATCAGGCCACAAAAAGATAGGTGGGACAACAGAGATGAAAGATGGTAAGTTATTTTTGGAGCATGTTTCATTAGAGATAGGCTGACTTCCTGGGTAAAAAGTCCTGTACTTGGCAATGTGGAGTCTTTACTTACTAAGAAGTTTGAAGCTCGCAAGTGTTAGTGGAAGTTGTGGATGTGATGAAGACATGGCGGGAAAGGACAAATCCAAGAACCAACGGAAGGGCTGAGCACAGAACCTTGAAGGATCAATCACAGTAGAGGTGGGAAGAAGAGGAGCCTGAAGAGAAGAGCAGAGATGACATGACTAGAGAGGCAGGAAGACACTCATCTAGAGCCACATCACAGAAACAAAATTGCCACACCTTTCCTGGACTGTCATCCGG
The DNA here is from genome assembly GCF_000001405.40 of Homo sapiens. NCBI lineage: Eukaryota > Metazoa > Chordata > Mammalia > Primates > Hominidae > Homo > Homo sapiens. The sequence continues at coordinate 70,865,940 of NC_000001.11, forward strand.
GAAATTCCTACTCATTTCTTCTTCAAAGTTCAACTCAAGCACTTCCTTCTCTGGGAAGCTTTCCTTGACTGCCCCCTTCCATGTAAAAGCCTGTTTCCCTTTGCTGCCAACTGCTACTTGTGTACAACTTGAACTTTAAAGAAAGTACCCCTTCATATCTTTCTGTCTGAACGCCCGTCTTAATGCTTCGCTGTAAGCACCTTGGGGGTCCCATATCACATTGCTCACCAGAGGGCTTGGCCTGTAGAAGATGCCTAATACATATTTGCTGAGTGAAGCCCTGTAGGAAACATTGAGTATCATTAAGACTTCCTCAGAAGAGCCACTGCAAAATCTGTGCCAACTGTTGATGCTTCTAGAACACAGACTTACTTTCAGTTTTCCAAATAACCCATGTTGGTCTCAATGAAAGCCTTCCTATTAATTACCTTCTGAAGTCCTAATCTTATTTCAGAGGCCAATTACATCTTCCATGGGTATATTTTCACTACCAACCCAGAGATCAAACCACCATCAAAGCCCCCGAGTCCTGAGTTAATCATCCTTCTATACAAACTTTCTTATGCATATTTTTTTATTGCATAGACCAATGATATGCTCATCTCTGTGTCTTACATCAGGATGACCAGACTATGAGCTTTTCGATTGAAAGACCAATGTCTTGAAGATCTGTGGCTCCAGCAGTTATCACAGCAGCCAAGCATTTGGTAAAACCTTGGGAAATGGAAGAGGAATTAGATGGTGCCTTGATTTCTGGCCATCAAACAGGCCACCATCAGAGGGCACTGGCGGCTCTATCAGGCTGAGATTGCTTGAGGTGTTCCCACAGCCTGAATCATAGGCCATTTGTGATGGAACTGTAACTCCAATCTGGACTTCTGCATTTTTTCCAGGCAGCGGGATAGGGGGTGCATGCTCTTACTTCTGGATCAGCTTCTCTGCTCCGAATGCCTTACTGGATTTTAAACTACTCTCTCTGTCTCCATGCTAAGTTACAGCCTGTTCTCCTTACCACATCAGAGGTGTGTCTAAGAAACAGCTCTGCTCAAAGCATGTTATACAAGGTTTTTCACAATTGCCTCAACCTGCCTTTACAGTTGTATATCTGCCACCAGTCCTGGTTTACCACCACACTGTCAATACAAAATTCTCTGCTGTTTCCTGAATAGACCACAGATGCCCCCACACTAGTGCTCTTAGCTTAGGCTGTTTCCTCTTCTGCAAATTCCCTTCTCCACCTCTAAGAGTTCTAACTTGTCATGCAAGGCTTTTGTATTATCTACTTGATAAAGAGTTCTCTAATCATCCAGGTAGAGTTTTTCTCTCTGCATTATGTTGCAGGCTTTTAAGAATGTACCTTTATTATGGCACTTATCACACTATTCATATTTATTTGTTTGCTTATTCCTCTTCCATAGTTTAATATTCTCACTTTGAGGGCAAATATTAAAACCTTCAAAGAAATCTACAGGCTGTTTACTTGCAATTAAAAATGTCTGGGCCAGTTGCGGTGGCTCACACCTGTAATCCCAGCATGTTGGGAGGCCGAGGCGGGCAGATCACTTGAGGTCAGGAATTCGAGACCAGCCTGGCCAACATGGTGAAGCCCCATCTCTACTAAAAATACAAAAACAAATTAGCCAGGTGTGGTGGCAGGCGCCTGTAGTCCCAGCTACTTGGGAGGGTGAGGTGGGAGAATTGCTTGAACCTGGGAGGCAGAGGTTGCAGTGAGCCAAGATGGTGCCATTGCACTCCAGCCTGGGTGACAGAGTAAGACTTCATCTAAAAAGAAAAAAAAAAGTCTGGAAAGATAAAAATCCTGACATGGTCAGTAAATACATCCACAAGGCCAGGCTAGATCTTAAGGAAGCTCTCCTACTTGGAGTCACAAGACAGAAACTTGCAGGTACATTATTTACAGATTAATAAAATCCTTCAGTGGCTCAAGTTTATCTATGCTTAGATTGCAAACAGACAGCATTTGATTCACAGTCCTGTCTTCCTCATCCACAATAGACATTACTAAATACCATGAGAGGCAGGAGTCTGTAGGCCCTCCAGATTAATTTTATTTGCTGTTTTGGCCTATAAGATAAAAGTCAAACTCCTAAGCAAAACATACAGGGTTATTATACCTTAGATATACCATGCTGTTGTATATCCCAGGCTTTTGCATACACTGTCCCCACTACCTCCAATCTGTGTACCTTCACCCAGTCCCGTTTTTCCTATCAACCATTTAGTTCATCTAGTATACTCCTATGTCACCTTTACAATTCCACTCAAACCTCACCTCCTCTGTGATGCCCACCTTCACTTTCATGAGAAGACTTGGGCTTTTCCTCTCTATGCCCATGGTGTTTCTGAATACTTCTGCTACTTATAGTTATAAATCACTTATAATTGTCTATTGCCTTATTGTTTTCCCTTTGAGACTGTAGTTGTTGATTGTAGGTTCTGTGTCTTATCTCCATAGCTTTAGAATATGACACAGTGTCTGTTTATTATTTACAAGCTCACACTGAGTTCTCCTGGAGGTGGGCACAAAGTAATGTACAAATAGAACATAGAAATCCAAACAGATGTCATTAGGGAAGCTTGTGTGCAGGTAGAAAGATCACAGCCACTAAGATTTTGCTCTGGATAATAAAGCCTTATCTCCAGAGAGGCAGGACTGTCTGAGTGAAACGAAACTCTTCGTAGGAAGGATCTAGAAAATCATGAAGACTTCTAGAACAAGAATGAAAATGGAAGCCAAAATAAAAATGGAAGCCCTTTTCTATAAAATGGAACATTAGTGGAAACTCATGCATGAGTTCCAATCATCATCAGAAGAATGAACCTCAAAAGTTCATAAATCTTGAATTATAGCTGCTCTGTAACTGTACAAGAAAGAAAAATACAATGCCATAGTGGGAGGTTGTGGGAGCCACAGGAAGTGGCTCAAGAGATTGGGTGGTAGACAAGAATGAATGGGCCCAGCTATAAGAAGCTGGGTGTATTAGGCCGTTCATGGTTCCCAGAAGCTGGTTCCCCAGAAGCCAAGCAGATGCCAGTGCCATGTTTTAAAGCCTGCCGAACCATGAGCCAATTAAACCTCTTTTTTTAAATAAATGAGCCAGTCTCACGTATTACAGCCTGCAGTACATTCCAGTGCCATGCTTGTACATGCTTTACTCATAACGGAAGGCAAAACAGAAGGCACTTCATATGGCAAAAGCAAGAGCAAGAGAGACTGTATGTGTGTCGGGGCAGGGGTGGTATCACACTTTACAACAACCAAATTTTGCAAGAACTCACTCACTATCATGAGAACTGCACCAAGTCCTGGGGACCTGCCTCCATGCATGACAAAAACACCTTCCATCAGGCCCCATCTCCTACATTGGGGAATACAATTCAACATGAGATTTGGGCATGGACAAATATCCAAACTATATCATTCCACCCCTCTTCTCCACCCCTAAATCTCACATCCTTCTCATGCTGCGAAATACAGTCATGACTTCTCAATAGTACCCCCAAATCTTAACTTGCTCTGGCATTAATTCAAAAGTTCCAAGTCTAAAGTCTAAGTCCAAAGTTTCATCTGGAGATAAGTTCCTTCCACCTATAAGCCTGTAAAGTCAAAATAATTTATTTACTTCCAAGATACAATGTGAGTACAAGCATTGGGTAAACATTCCCATTCCAAAGGGGGAAAATTGGCCAAAAGAAAAAGGCTACAGGCTCTATGCAAGTTTGAAACCCAGCAGGGCAGTCAATAAATCTTATAGCTCCAAAATAGTCTCATTTGACTCCATGCCCCATATGCTGGACACAGTGGTGCAAGGTGTGAGCTCCCAAGGCCTTTGGCAGCTCTGGCCTGTAGCTTCGCAGGGTTCGGTCCCTGTGGTTGCTGTCATGGGTTGGAGTTGCATGTCTGTGGCTCTTCTACACTGAGGGTGCAAAGTGCCAGTGGTTCTTCCATTCTTGGGTCTGGAGGATGGTGGCCCTCTTCCCACAGCTGCACTAGGCAATGCCCTGGTGGGGATTCTGTGTGGGGACTCCTATGCCACATTTCCTCTCTGCACTACTTGAATAGAGGTTCTCTGTGAGGGCTCACTCTGATAAGCAGCTTGGACATCCAGGCTTTTCTACATGTTCCCTGAAATTTAGGTGGAGGGTGCCAAGCCTCCACCACTCTTGCACTCTGTATACCTGCAGGCTTAACACCATGTGGAAGCCACCAACACTTATGGCTTGCACCCTCTGGAGCTGCTTCCTGAGCTACTCCTGGGCCCCTTTGAGCCATGGCTAGTGCTGGAGCAGCCAGGATGCAAGGAGCATTGTCCTGAGGTTGTGCAGGGCAGCAGAGCCCTGGGCCTGGCCCACAAAATCATTCTTCCTTCCTAGGTCTTTGATCCTGTGATGGGCTGTCTCAAAAGTCTCTGAAATGCTTTCAAAATTGTTTTCCTATTGTCTCGGCTATTAGCACTTGGCTCCCTTTTATTTATGCAAATTTCTCTAGCAAGTGGTTTCTCTGCAGGCTGCTTGGATTCCTCTCCAGAAAAATGCTTTTTCTTTCCCTGCCACATGGCTAGGCTGAGAAATCTTCTAAACATTTATGCTCTGCTTTCCTTTTAAATATAAATTCAATTTTAAGTCATTTCTTTGCTCTGGTATCTGAACATAGGCTGTTAGAAGAACTCAGACCACATCTTGAACAATTTGCTGCTTAGAAATGTCTTCCTTCAATCTAGATACCTTAGGTTGTCACTCTCAAGTTCAAACTTCCACAGATTCCTAAGGCATGGATACAATACAGCCAAATTCTTTGCTAAGGAATAACAAGGGTGACCTTTGCTCCAGGTCCCAATAATTCCTCATTTCAGTCTGAAATCTCCTCAGCCTGGATTTTATTGTCCATATCACTATCGGCATTTTGGTTACAACCATTTAATGGGTTTCTAAAAATTTGCGAAGTTTACCTCATCTTCCTGTCGTCTTCTTCTGAGATGTCGAAACTCTTCTAACATCTTCTTGTCACCTAGTTCCAAAGCTGCTTCCACATTTTTGGGTATCTATCTTTATAGCAATGCCTCACTTCTAAATATCAATTTTCTGTATTAGGCCATTGTTGCATTACTCTAAAGAAATACCTGAGACTGGGTAATTTATTTTAAAAAAAGGTTCAGTTGGTCCATGGTTCTGCAGGTCACACAAGCATGGTTCTGGCATCTGTTTGGCTTTTGGGGAGGCCTCAGGGAGCTTTTACTCATGGTGGAAGATGAAGTGGGAGAAGGCACTTCACATAACAAAAGCAAGAGCAAGAGAGACAGTAGGGGGTGGGTAGGTGCCACACTTCGCAGCAACCAGATCTCATGAGAACTTGCTCACCATCATGAGGACACCACCAAGCCATGATGGATCTGCCTGGATGAACCAAATACCTCACATCAGGCCCCATCTCCAACACTGGAGATTACAATTCAACATCAGATTTGAGCAGGGACAAATATCCAAACTATATAACTGGAGAAGCCTCTGCCAGAGTTTTGAGATAGGGCTGACAGCAGAGACTATGTCCATGTCGGTATTCCTGGTATTGAGTTCATAACAAATGCTCAAGAAATGCTTGTTGAATTGTTAAGTCATGATTTTTTCACCATGGGCCCCTTGGTGAGAGAACTGAAACCAATGATTAGTCCCAAATCATTTGAGAAGGGTAGAGGAAAGCAAAAATGAGGAGAGCCTGAAGTCACACTAAGAATTTTAATGTGAATGCAAACCTTATTACCTAATGAGCTAGAGGCATACATTAGATGCAGAAATATCAACCTTCCTCTATCCTGAGCTGGACTTGCAATTTTTTTTTAATCTTAGGGCTTTTATAACCTGAAATGGGTACAACTACTAAATCCATATCTAGGGTCATTCAATTTTCAAGGTGCTATTTTAGCTTACCAAAAGTTAAAGTATGCTCTCCCCTCCCACATTCCATTTGAGAAGTCTATCTGTCAGATTAAGATACTTTCATCAAGGTCACTAGACTGCTTGTCAAAAGTCTTTTAACGTCAGTCACTCCAAGAATTATAAATAGCTTTGGCCTCAAACACGATTGTGTTGAGGGAAGGGAGGGAAGAAAAGGAGAAGAAGTGTGACAGTTGACTTTTTAAAAGCCATTGACATATTAAAGCTTTGAATTGCTTTTAAAATTTTTCTTTCCCATGAGTTTGAGGTTTATTGGACACGTTGATCTGAATGGGCACGGGCCTCTGCTGAGAAAGTTGTGGGAGATGGTCGGTGTTTTTCTTGGTTTGTATGTTCATATTGTCCTTCCTGAAATGGTTAGGGGCATTTCTCTTGAAGAACTATTAATAGTCTACATTTTTAAATCTTGTAAACAGTTGTGCATAACTGATGGTGTTTCCCTCTGTAATAGTTACGTATAAGCTTTGTGTCAAAATTTTGCTTGACTTCTTACTAGAGTGAGACATTTTTCAAACTGAATAAAAATAATGACCATTACTGAACACTGACTATGTTCCAGGTACTGGACTAAGCACTGAGCATACAGCTATTGCTCGCAACTTATAATAACAAATGAATAAAATTCTACCTTTGGTCTCCATTTACAGATGACAGAAGTAAGACTTGGAGAAATTAAGTAAGATGACCAAAAGTTAAGTCAGACCTCATTCTATTTGACGCCAAGGTTTGTGTAGCATATATGACATCTAGACCACAAACTCCAATGTATATGAAATAGCTCATTTTTTATAAAATTAACAAAAATTGTTCTCATAGTCTATTTTGCTAGAGTGGTAGAGAATTCAGTTGAAGTCACTACTGGGACTTGCCACACCATAGAGTTGTGCTGAATTCCTAAAGTTAGTTATAGGGAGTGCCACATCATCTGAGATGTAGTCATTGGTCCTTTGTCCACTGGGTACCATTAAGAATCTCTCTGTTCCAGACTGTGTGATCCTTTCCACTAACACATAACACCTCCCTGGGGTGGTATTTTGCTACTGAGAAATGCCTGGGCCCTTGACTTTGACCCTCTTTTTGGTTCAGGAGGCATAGCTCCCTCTTTCCAAGCTTCTGAAAGTATTCTCTCTATCCTGCATCCTCAGGATAATAGTAGCATAGTCTTTTCAAGAAGTTCTAATATGACAAAAAAAAAATCTCTTTTAAGTGTCTTTTGGTTTTCCACCCTGTAAAAATCCTAGAGGCAGAGCAGTTCTAAAATTCCAGTTGTGAGGTAGGAAAATATAGGAAGAATAAATAAGCTAATATTCCACAAATTATTCTGCTATGTGCCTTCTTTCTTTAGGTTTACCAGGTATAGTTTGGTCTGAATAGGTATGGTCCATTGATGGAACATAATGAGCTTTGATTATTGTGTCTTTTCTTTGCAAATCTATTTTCTAGCACCCACTGCCAGAAATGGTTGTATTTCTTAGAAACCATGGTTTATTTTTATTTCATGGGCACGGTGAGTCATATAATAGACTACATTTCCCTTTCTGCAGGTTTTTTGGAGACATTTTGATCAGATATGTGTCTGTGTACTCTGACATTCTTACAACGTATTTTCTAGACTAAATTGTATAAAATTTAGAGAGATTTGTTTTGTTTATTTTATTTTAATTTTCATAGGTTTTTTGGGGGAACAGGTGGTGTTTGGTTACATGAGTAAGTTCTTTAGTGGCGATATGTGAGGTGCTTTTTTTTTTTTTTTGAGACAGAGTCTTGCCCTGTCACCCAGGCTGGAGTGCAATGGCACTATCTCGGCTCACTGCAACCTCTGCCTCCCGAGTTCAAGAGATTCTCCTGCTTCAGCCTCCTGAGTAGCTGGGATTACAGGCACGCACCAGCATGCCTGGCTAATTTTTTGTATCTTTAGCAGAGACAGGGTTTCACCATGTTGGCCAGGAGGGGGTTTTGGTGCTTTTAAAATACTATGTATTATTATATATGTCAGGACCTGGGAGGGAAGATACGTAATGAAAGTGGTCTCTTGTTTGGTCTCTTCTTAAAATTTTAACCTTTCTGTTTTGAAAACATCTAGCTTCCAGATTTTTATGTTTCATAAAGAAATATAGCATTATTACTAATAATAGTACTTGTTTTAGACCTGATGTTACAAATACCAAAAAACAAACATACAAACAAACAAACAAACAAAACTTTGTGTCTCTTTAAGTATTTGTTTTTCTTCAATGGAATTTGGGGAAGAAGGTTGCAGGTCAGACCAAGGAAGTGGAGCTGGGGCCAAACTGCAGCAAGCAGAGCTCAGTGCAGAACTGCATGTACTCACACTTCCTCAGCCCCTAGGCAGAATGGCAGACCTGAGCTTCCCCACCCTTCAGGACCGGAGAGAATTGAATTTATTTCTACTTAAGTTCCAGTAGGTTGCCATGCTGTCTGTGGGCACTCAATAAATATTGACTCAATTGCGTGTTGCCATGGGTTATCTTCCTTTCTCTCTTTTCCCTCCCCAGCTCCTCTGGCTGGTTCCTTGGGTTTTTAAAAGTTATATACATTTTTTCAGTGTTTCATTTGTTTTTATGTCATTGGTTTTCAGTGTTAGGCCTCTCTGTGTTCTAAATATTACTTCTTTGTGTTTGTTTTCTCTGTCTGGTTCTTGCCTCACAACTTGTCTCTGAATCTGCCCTTCTTTGTTTTCTTTCTTTGAGACTCTGTTTCTGTATTTCTCCTTTCTATCTCTTTATGTCTCTCCTTCTGTCTCTGTCTCTCTCTCTGAAACTTCCCCATACCCCTTTCTATACTTCTGTTTGTTCCCTTCCAGAACTGTCATCAAATCATTGCATTTTCCCAGGAGAAATTGAACACACTAACAGATTTGTATAAGTGTTCAGAATAATTCATTTTATGTTTTTTTTTTATTTGAAACAGCAGTTTCAGTCCCTAAATATAGGAACTTGGGAAAAGTAGATCAGTGTCTATGTTGACCATAATACATTCTAAATCATACAGAGTGATTGAATCAGCTCTCCTTTGGGTTTTCTATTTGCCTTCTGCCCAGACAGGATTGCATTCCTCTGCGCATTCTGACACAAATGCAGTGACATTTCACCAGGCAACTATTAGCCTAGGGGGAATATTCAGCTTCTCCCTTCCCCTAGTGTTTTAAACCTCATTCCAATAATTTGGCCTAAGATGTTGGCACAGAAATACTGGTTGCAAAAAGTCCTTGGAGACTGATGCTGACTTTCTGCCTTCTATGTCTCAATTTTAGGGACAAAAATGAGACATGGGTTTGCAATGGCTTTCCTTCAGCCACTTTCTGGTTAAGATCTGAAGGGTGTGATCAACCTCCCTGGGGTTTGACAGGTTACTGTCCTGCTGTTGACATTAAAATTAATTCTCTAAACATCATTTGTGCCTAGAAAGGTAACAAACTAATCAGTACTTAAGCAAGTATATGGAGGATTGAACTTTTAAAGTGGCATGGACAGACTGTAAAAAAGGCCTGTGTCCTTGTTTTAGGAGAAGAATACAATTTCTTTTTTCTTCTTTTTATTTTTTAAATTTATTTTAGGTTTAGAGGTACATGTGTAGGTTTGTTATACAGGTAAATTGCACATCACAGAGGTTTGGTGTACAGATTATTTCATCATCCAGATAATCAACAGAGTACCTGATAAGGAATTTTTCAAATCTCTCCTTCCTCCCACCCTCCAGCCTCAAGTAGGACACAGTGCCTGATATTCCTTTCTTTATGGTCATGTGTACCCAGTGTTTAGCTCCCACTTATAAGTTAGGATGTGGCATTTGGGTTTCTTTTTCTGCATTAGTTTGCTTAGGATTATGGCCTCCAGCTTTATCCATATTGCTGTAAAGGACATGATCTAGTTCTTTTTATGGCTGTGTAATATGTTGTATATCCATCCATGGGCATTTAGGTTGATTCCATGTCTTTGCTACTGAATATAGTGCTGCAATAGACATACGCACCCATGAGTCTTTATGGTAGAATGATTTATATTCCTTTGGGCACATACTCAATAATGGGATTGCTGGGTTGATTGATAATTCTGTTTTAAGTTCTTTGGGGAATCACTGCAGTGCTTTCCACAATGGCTGAACTAATTTACATTCCCGCCAGCAGTGTATAAACGTTTCCTTTTCTCCACAACCTTGCCAGCACCTGTTGTTTTTTGACATTTTAGTAAGAGCCATTCTGACTGGTATAGATGGTATTTCATTGTGGTCTTGATTTGCCTTTCTCTGCTGGTTAGTGATGTTGAACATTTTATAATATGCTTGTTGGCCATGTGTATGTCTTCTTTTGGACACAGTCTGTTCATGTCCATGCCTACTTTTTAATGGGTTTTTTTTTTTTTTGCTTATTAATGTGTTTAAGTTCCCTGTAGATTCTGGATATTAGACCTTTGTTAGATGTGTAGTTTGCAAACATTTTCTCCCATTCTCTAGGTTGTCTGTTTAGTCAATTGATAGTTTCTTTTGCTGTGAGAAACTATCAATTGAATAAACAGATAAACTAGAGAATGGGAGAAAATATTTGTCCAGTTTTGTTTTTGTTGCAATTGTTTTTGGTGTCTTCATAAACTATCTGCCAGAGCCTATGTCCAGAATGATGTTTCCTAGGTTATCTTCCAGGGTTTTCATGTTGTGGGTTTTACATTTAAGCCTTTAATCCATCTTGAGTTGATTTTTGTATATGGTATAAAGAAGGGGTCCACATTCAATCATCTGCGTATGGCCAGCAAGTTATCCCAGCACCATTTATTGAATAGGGAGTCCTTTCCCCATTACTTGTTTTTGTCAACTTTGTCAAAAACAAGATGCCTGTAGGTCTGTGGCTTTACTTCCGGGCTTTCTATTCTGTTCTATTGGTCTATGTGTCTGTTTTTGTATCAGCACCCTGCCCTTTTGATTACTGTAGCCTTGTAGTATAGTTTGAAGTTGGGTAACGTGATGCCTCCAGCTTTGTACTTTTTGCTTAGAATGGCCTTGGCCATTCAAGCTCTTTTTTGGCTCCATATGAATTTTGAAACAATTTTTTCCAATTCTGTGAAGAATTTCATTGGTAGTTTGATAGAAATTGCATTGAAACTGTAAATTGCTTTGGGAAGTGTGGTCATTTTAACAATATTGATTCTCCCTATCCACAAGCATGGAATGTTTTTACATTTGTTTGTGTCTTCTCTGATTTCTTTGAGCAGTGTTTTGTAATTCTCATTATGGAGATTTTTCACTCCCTGGTTAGCTGTATTCCTAGATATTTTATTCTTTTTGTGGTGTTGTGAATGGGATTGCATTCTTGATTTGGCTCTCAGCTTGGACATTGTTGGTGTATAGAAATGCTACTGATTTCTGTACATTGACTTTGTATCCTGAAACTTTGCTGAAGTTTTTTATCAGATCTAAGAGCTCTTGGGAAGAGACTATGGGTTTTTTCAGGTATAGAATCATATCGTCTACAAACTGATATAGTTTGACTTCTTCTCTTCCTATTTGGATGCCTTGTATTTCTTTATCTTGCCTGACTGCTCTGTCTAGGACTTCCAGTACTATCTTAAATAGGGGTGGTGAGAGTAGATATCTTTGTCTTGTTCCGGTTCTCAAGGGAAATGCTTCCAGCTTTTGCCCCTTGAATATGGTGTTGGCTATGCGTTTGTCATAGATGGCTTTTATTTTGAAATATGTTCCTCCAATGCCAAGTTTGTTGAGGGTTTTTAGCATGAAGGGATGCTGACTTTTATTGGAGAGCTTTTTTGTACCTATTAAGATGATCATGTTATTTTTGGTTTTAGCTCTGTTTATGTGGTAAATCACGTTTTAATTTGTGTATGTTTAACTAACCTTGCATCCCAGGGATAAAGCCTACTACATCATAGTGGATTAGGTTTTGTTGTGCTGCTGGATTTGGTTTGCTAGTATTTCATTGAAGATTTTTTATCTATGTTCATCAAGGACACTGGCCTGAAGTTTTCTTTTTTTGTTGTGTGTCTGCCAGGTTTTGGTATTAGGATCATGTTGGCCTCATAGAATGAGTTAGGGAGGAGTCCCTCCCCCTCAGTTTTTTGGAATAGTTCAATAGAATTGGTACCAGTTCTTCATTACAAACCTATGGATGTCATAGGTTTGTAAGTCTGGTAGAATTCGGCTGTGAATCCGTCTGGTTCTGGGCTTCTTCTGGTTGGTAGGCTTTTTATTACTGATTCAATTTCCAAACATGTTATTGGTCTGTTCAGGGATTCAGTTTCTTCCTAGTTCAATCTTGGGAGGTTATATATTTCCAGGAATTCATCCATTTCTTCTAGATTTTCTAGTTTGTATGCATAGAGGTGTTCATCATAATCTTTGAGGTGTTTTTGTGTTTCCGTGGGATCAGTGGTAAAGTACCCCTGGTCATTTCTGATTGTGTTTATTTGAATCTTCTTTCCTTTTTTCTTTATTAGTCTAGCTCATGGTCTGTCTTAATAATTTTTTCAAAAGACCAACTCCTGGAGTCATTGATCTTTTGTGTATTTTATTTTGCATCTCAATTTCCTTTCATTTTGCTCTAATTTTGGTTATTTCTTGTCCTTTGCTGGCTTTGGGGTTGGTTTGCTCTTGTTTCTCTAGTTTCTCTAATTGTGATGGTAGTTATTAATATGAGTTCTTTCTAACATTTTTATATGAGCGTTTAATGCCATAAACTTCCCCCTTAACACTTCCTTAGCTATGTCCCAGAGATTCTGGTATATTGTATCTTTTTTCTTATTACTTTAAAAGAATTTCTTCATCTCTGCCTTCCTTTCATTATTTACACAAAAGTCATTCAGAAGCAGGTTGTTTAATTTCCATACAATTGTATTGTTTTGAGTGATTTTCTTAGTATTGATTTATATTTTTATTGTGCTGTAGTCCGTGAATGTAGTTGGTATGATTTCTGTTTGTTTTTTGGTTTGCTGAGAATTGCTTTATGTCCTATTGAGTGGTTGATTTTAGAGTATGTGCTATGTGCAGATAGGAAAAATGTATATTCTGTTTTGGGGTATAGTGTTCTGTAGATGTCTGTTCAGTCCATTTGGTCAAATGTTGTGTCCACATCTTGAATATCTTTGTTAGTATTTTTGCCTCAATGATATGGTTAATATGGTCATGGAGTGTTAAAATCTCCTAGTATTGTTGTGTGGTTATCTAAATCTCTTCATAGGTCTGTAAGTATTTGCTTTATGAATTTGGGTGCACCTGTGTTGGGTGGATATATATGTAGGATAGTAAGGTCTTCTTGTTGGATTGAACTCTTTGTAATTATGTAATGCCCTTCTGTCCTTCTTTTTGTTTTTTGTTTGTTTTGTTTTGAGACAGAGTCTCACTCTGTCACCCAGGCTGGAGTGCAGTGGCATGGTCTCAGCTCACTGCAACCTCTGCCTCCCAGGTTCAAGCTATTCTTGTGCCTCAGCTTCCTGAGTAGCTGGGATTACAAGTGTGAGCCACAGCATCTGGCTAATTTTTGTATTTTTAGTAGAGATGGAGTTTTCCCATGTTGGCCAGGCTGATGGTCGAACTCCCAAACTCTAATGATCATCCCACCTTGGCCTCCTAAAGTGCTGGGATTATAGGGGTGAGCCACAACGTCTAGCCTCCCTCTTTCTTTTTTGATCATTATTGGTTTAGTGTCTATTTTGTCTGAAATTAAAATAGTTACCCCTGCTATTTTCTGTTTTCCATTTGCTTGGTAAATTTTTCTCTGTTCCTTTACTTTGAATCTATGGGTGTCATTGTCTGTGAGATGGATCTCTTGAAGACAGCATACAGTTGGATCTTGCTTTCTTCTTCACCTTGTCACTCTGTGCCTTTTAATTGAGGTATTTATTCTGTTTGCATTTAAGGTTGATATTGATATGTGTGGCCAGGTGCAGTAGCTCACACTTGCAATCCCAGCACTTTGGGAGGCCGAGTGGGTGGATCATGAGGTCAAGAGATTGAGACCATCCTGGCCAACATGGTGGAACCTTGTCTCTACTAAAAATATAAAAATTAGCTGGGCGTGGTGGTGCGTACCTGCAGTCCCAGCTACTTGGGAGGCTGAGGCAGGAGAATACTTGAACCTGGGAGGCAGAAGTTGAAGTGAGCCAAGATTGTACCACTGCACTTCAGCCTGGTGACAGTGAGATTCCCTCTCAAAAAAAAAAAATTGATATGTGTAGGTTTTATCCTGTAATCATATTGTTAGCTGGTTATTATGCAGACTTGATTGTGTGGTTGCTTTATAGTGTCAACGACCTATATGCTCAAGTGTGCTTTTGTGGTGGCTGGTAACAGTCTTTCCTTTCCATATTTAGCACTCCCTTAATGACTGTGCAAGGCAGTAACAAATTCCCTTAGCATTTGCTTGTCTGAAAATGATATTATTTCTCCTTTGCTTATGAAACTAGTTTGGCTGGATATGAAATTCTTGGTTGGAATTTCTTTTTTCTTTTTTTTTTTTTTAAGAATGCTGAGGCTGGGCGAGGCAGCTCAGGCCTGTAACCCTAGCACTTTAGGAGGCCGAGGTGGGTGAATCACCTGAGGTCAGGAGTTCGAGACCAGCCTGGCCAACATGGTGAAACCCCATCTCTACTAAAAATAAAAAAATTAGCCAGGCATGATGGCGGGCACCTGTAATCCCAGCTATTCAGGAGGCTGATGCAGGAGAATCTTTTGAACCCAGGAGGCGGAGGTTGCAGTGAGCTGAGATTGTGCCACTTCACTCCAGCCTGAGTGAAAGAGCAAGACTCTGTCAAAAAAAAAAGAAAAAAAAAAAAAAGAATGGTGAATATAGGCCCCTAAGTCTCTTCTGGCTTGTAGAGTTTCTGCTGAAAGTTCCACTGTTAGCTTGATAGGGTTCCCTTTGTAGGTGACCTTCCCCTTCTCTCTAGCTGCCTTTAACATTTTTTCCTGCATTTCAACGTTGGAGAATCTGACGACTATGTGTCTTGGGGATGGTTGTCTTATATAGTGTCTTGTAGGGGTTCTCTGCATTTCCTGGATTTAAATGTTGGCCTCTCTAGTGAGATTGGGAAAATTTTTATGGATCATAACCTCAAATATGTTTTCCAAGTTGCTTGCTTTCTCTCCCTTTCCTTGGGATGCCAATGAATTATAGATTTGGTCTCTTGGTCTCTTTACATAATCCCATATTTCTCAGAGGTTTTATCCATTCTTTATTGTTTTTGCTTTATTTTTGTCTGACGGAGTTATTTCAGAGAAGCAATCTCTCAAGCTCTGAGATTCTTTCCTCAGCTTGGTTGATGGAGCTGTTAATACTGGTTGTATTATGAAATTCTTAAAGTGAGTTTTTCACCTCTGTTAGTTCAGTTTGATTCTTTCTTAAAATGGCCATTTTATCTTTCATCTCCTGTATTGTTTTATTACATTCTTTAGATTCCATGGATTAGGATTCAACTTTATCCTGAATATCAATGATCTTCATTTCTATCCGTATTCTGAATGCTAGTTCTGACATTTTGGTCATTGCAGCCAGGTTAACAACCTTTGCTGGGGAACTAGTGTGGTCATTTGGAGGTAAGAAGACATTTTTGCCTTTTTTGTTGTTGTTGTTGTTGCCAGAGTTCCTGCACTGTTTTTGTCTCATCAATGTGGGCTCATGTTTCTTCAGCCTTTGAAGTTGCAGTCCTTTGGATGGGCTTTTTGCTTTTATCTTTTTTGGTGCCCTTGAGGGTTTGATTGTGATTCTCAGTGGGATTAGACAACTGGCTTCAATTATAGTCTGCTCCTGGGTCTTGGAGGAGACCCCTCCAATTACTGTCTCCATGACTGTGTTTCTTTTGTTGGGTGTTCTGGTCCACAGGACTTCCTTAGGCAGAGGTTGCAGTTAGCAGACAAGCCATTTCCTTGCTGGGTTGGCCCTAATATGTTGTTTGAGTGCTTCTCAGGGAAACATAAGGTTGCACCTGTCTACAGAGTTTAGGCAAAAGCAGAACCACTGAGCTGGAAGCTCTAGCAGATGTGGCCCATCTTGCTATGAGAGGCAGGGGTAGGTGGAATTGCCCACCCTGCCATCTGGGTGTTTCCAGGGCAACAGGAAGCTGCACCTCCAACAAATTTAGACAGAGGTGGAACCTGTGAATTGGAAACTCTGGCAAGCATTACCCACTTGGCTTCCAGTGGTAGGGGTTGGTAGGGTCACCCTTCTTGCCATCTCAGTGTTTCTCAGGAAAAAGGCAGGCTTTGCCTGCTAGCTGAGTTCAGGCAGAAGAGGGTTTTCTGGGCTTGAAGATCTAGCAGGCATTGTCCCCCTTGGCTACCATTGGCATGGGTGTGTGGTGTCACCCACCCTACCATCTGGGTATTTCTCAGGACAACAGAATGCTGCACTCTTGGCTGAGTTTATGTAGAAGTGGGACTGTTCGGCTGGAAGCTCTAACAGGCATTGTCCACCTGGTTATCAGTGGTGGGGATGGGTGAGATCACTTGTTCTGCCATCTGGGTGCTTCCTGGGACAGCAGGAGGCTATGGCTGCTGGCCAAGTTCAGGCAGAAGCAGCACCACTGGGCTGGAAGCTGGTAGTGAGCCCTGTCCAATGAAATGAGGATAGATCAATCTTATTTCTCCCAGACACTGCAAATGTGGCCTCTATTGGAGCTATGGTGACAGTGCTGGTCTGCTTTGGGGCCAAAGGCTTGCAGAGGCCCTCTTGGACTCAAAAGTTGCCTCCACAAAATGACCAGGTGGCTCTCTACCTCAGTTTATTATCACAGATGGGAGCGTGGGGGGCCAGAGGGATTTTTCCATTCCCAGTCTTGCATAGGTCCCTGTGGAGAGTGCGAATCTTCTAGGGGGCTCTCACTCGCTCACCCTTTACCATGTGGGAGAGGTTCTCCTGGTTTCACACTAAGCCAAGATAGGCTGGTGTCCAGCTTTGCTTCTCTCTGCTCTGTGTCCCCTGCTGCCTTGATGGATCCCAATGTGGTTTCTCAGATGTTTGGCCTGCAGGGTCAGTGTTCACTAGCCCTTTTGTTTCCTTTCTGAGAGCAGCACACGTGAGCTGCTTCTAGTCTATCATCTTGGACCCTCTAATCTCTTTTTCTTTGAGCTGACATTATTGAGGGCCTTACATGTTCCAACAACTTTATGCAAAATATCTCAATCCTTACAGCAACCCTAAAAGTTAATATGATGATACCCATTTTGTAGGTGAGGAAACTGAAGCTAAGAGAAGTTAAGTAACTTGACAGAGGTCATACAAAATAGCACAGTTGAAACTTGTTGAACATGAGTATTTTTATGTTCCTGAGGGCAGTTTTTATGCCTAGAAAAAAACCTATTTAACGTAATTTTGGTACAAAATTAGTATTCAATTTATTTAAACTCTTGTTCTTCTTAAGCTTTTAGGTTAGTTTATAAATCTTATTAACACATTCATAAACATAGCAAATTTTATAATTACTTTGAAGGAAGATTTCACAACTTAATTAAATTCCTTAAATATTTAAGCACATTTATTAATGTAACATATTTCTGTTTTCTTTTGAAGTATACCAATTAGGTGACTTAAGAAACTTCCCAAGAACTTAAGTCACTCTTATAAGCCTAATAAATTAAATTTATAGGTATGATGAACCTGAAGTTCTCTTAAATGTTACAAGTAAGATTTTAATCTGAAATTACAAGCCTAAAGCAATTACTCACCCATTTTAGCTTGGAATTACAATGTTGACCTGTTATTATAAAACGTCCAATTTTCTTAAATAATTCTAGTAACTAAAATTCTAATAGGCACATATTTCTAAATAAAAACATTTTAGAGTTGCGACTTTGACATTTTCATGCTCTATAATACTAAATGTTGCTATCATTAAACGATCAGAACATGGCCAGGCACGTTGGCTCATGCCTGTAATCCCAGCTCTTTGGGAGGCCAAGGTGGGTGGGTTACTTGAGGTCAGGTGTTCAAGACCAGCCTGGCAAACATGGTGAAACCTCATCTCTACTAAAAATGCAAAAATTAGCCAGGCTTGTGGCGCATGCCTGCAATTCCAGCTACTTGGGAGGCTGAGGCAGGAGAATCACTTGAACCCAGGAGGCGAAGATTGCAGTGAGTGGAGGAGGTGAAGGTTGCAGTGAGCGGAAATCACTCCACTGCACTCCAGTCTGGGTGAGAGAGCAAGACTCCATCTCAAAACAAACAAACAAACAAAAAAGGATCAGAACACAATTATATCATCCTCAGTAATTTTACCATCCTAAGTAATTCTGAGACACTTATGTGTAATGCTGTTGTGTGGGACACCCTGATTCTTATTTATCTGTCTCAGTGCCCTCTGAATTAGACAAAATTCTGATAGCCTCCAAGATATCCACCCCCTGGTATACACATGCTGTATAATCATCTCCCCTTGAGTGTGAGCAGAAGCTGGGAATATCATGGGTAATAACTCCCATGATTATGTTACATTATATTGCCAAAGGTATTTTCCAGATGCAATTAAGTTTCCTAGTCAACTGATTTTGAGTTAATTGAAAAGGAAAAGTTCCTGGGTGGGTTTGATTTAATCTGGCAAAACCTTAAAAGAGATAAGCAGGAGCAAGAGCAGCAGCAGCATCACCACTTTCCTGCTGACCTTAGAAGATGATCTCAAGCCTCAAATGAGACCACAGCCTAGGCTGACACTTTGATTTCAGCCTAGTGAGACCCTGAGCTGAAGACCAAGCTAATGCATACCCAGATTCATGCACAGAAATTGTGAGATAGTAAAACTGTGTTGCTTTAAATCACTAAATTTATGGTGATTTGTTAGGAAGCAATAGAAAATTAATACACTCTCTAACTGGGGTGGTCTTATCATGTGTGTCCCTTAAATTCAGTGTATACATGTGTAATTCTGTTCACTTACAGAGATTGGAAACCCTATACAGTCTGCTATAGAATTTTGCATCATTTTCTGGCTGAGATATTTAGGTGTCTTTCTATGTAAAGGAACTCCATCACGTTCCTAGATTATTGTAAATAGGAACATGAGGGGAATCCTCTATATTTGTTGTATGCTTCCTTTATTTGGGACACAACTCTTCTAGATGTTAAAATCACATCCCACTGAATTCTGTAAATTTTTGGCACTTTGTCTAACTATTCCAAGATCATTTTCCTGAAAATGCAAGAGCCAAAATTTGTCTGTTTCTAAAGAATTAGACTCTTTTTACTTCTTTTAGTGACCAGGAATAAGTTTTTGAGTTTTGAAATAATATTGAGATGTTTATTGTTCCACTTCATTCTGAGAGCATTCTAAAGCTTCTCTGAGTTGGACTTCTGAGGTTCTCTGTGGTTGCTCTGAAGCAATAGTAGTTATATTCTAACATCATTACTCACTCCATCCATAAAAAATGTGTTATACTCCATCAAATGGTTTTTAAGTCCATCTGTGCATTTATTCATTAAGCTTTTCTTTTAACAGTACAATGATAATTAACCCATGTATGTACATAACACTCTAAGAAAGATACAAAGAATATAATATACCATTTCTGTTCCATAAGACTTTATGATCTAGTTGGAAACAAGATATAGATGCAAAAAATTTTGCATACAAAACAATATGGGTTAAGTGGTACATATATTATGTAATATGACTGATACAAAATATAAGTGGAGATAGAGATGAGAATAAGTTTAAAAACTTCATGGAACAAGAAGTATTTAAGCTCATTCATTCATTCAGCAAGGATGAATTTAGAAACTTTAATGTGTCAGGCACTGTGCTAGGCTCTGAGGGCCCAAGAATAAGGTGCAGTCACTCCCTTCACCAAGCTCACAGTCTAGCTGAGGAAACAAAAAAAAGGGAAAATAAAAGAATAAAGATATACAATATGATAAATGCTATTACAGTTGTGTACAACATGCAATGCAAACCAAATGGAGAGAGGAATAATGCCGGCAATGAGGATGGGAGGAAGCATATGGCAAAGGAGCTTTCAAAGGGGATATTCTTGCTGAACCTGATAGAAAAAATAATACTGTCCTTTTGTGACCATTTCTTATGCTTCAGGAATGACCCTAAGTACTTTTATACTAATAAACCTCATATGATCCTCACAACAACTTCATGTGATCAGAGATTGCTAAAGACTGCATATTTGTCTCCCCCATACCTACCCACCAAATTCATATGTTGAAACCCTAATCCCCAGTGTGCTGACATTTGGAGATAGAGCTTTGGGAGATAACTGGGTCATGAAGGTGAGACCCACATAATGGGATTAATGCCCTTTTAAGAAGAGACAAGAGAGAGCTTGCTTCCCTTCTCTGTTTTCTCCACCATTTGAGGATACAATGAGAAGACTGACATGTGCAAACCAAAAAGAGGGCACTCACCAGACACCGAATCTGCTGGCACCCTGATCCTGAACTTGCCGGCCTCCAGAACTGTGAGAAACAAATTTCTGTTGTTTAAGCCACCTAGTCTGTGGTATCTTGTTATAGCTTCCCAAACTGACCAAAACAGGGATACAATACCAATGGAGAGTAGTTCCTAAAGAAGAGACTGAAATCATCAGACCACAAACTCATCATCCCTCTGCCTGGGACACTATCTCCCAGATACCACAAGGCTCACTTTCTCATTCATTCAGGTTTCCATCTAAATGTCATCTTATCAGAAAAGCCTTCCTTGATCAATCTGTCGAAAGCACAACCACTTTCCTCTCTCTCTTCTCTTCACTCCCACATCACTCTCTGCATCTTTACTCTGCTTTAGTTTTCATCATGGCAATTATTAGACATTTTCTGTCTCCCCTAACTAGAATAAGCGTCTCATGAGGACAGGAATTTTTGTACTGTTCTTTATCTCCAGGGCTAAGCACAGATCCTGGCACACACTGGATGCTCAATAAATATGGTTGAATTCATGAATGAATGAATGAAGTGACTTGCCAAGGTCATACTTTTGGTATATGGCAGAGCTGGTCCTTGGATCAAGGTTTGTTTGACCCCATTGACCCAGTTCTTAAATACTTCTCCTCACTGCTTAGAAGGAAGAATAAGTTAACACTAGAGACAGAATAAGTTGCAACATAGGGGATGTGAGAAGGAGGGTCCTGAAGATGAAACCAGGGAAATAGTTTGGGATCAATAATGAAACATCTAGAAGTCTTGGAAGAGAAGTCTATAATTTTTCCTTTGGGCATGAAGAAAAAGCTTACTGAGTGGGGTTACGAGCCCCTCAAAGTACTAATGGTGAGGGCTTGAGAACAGCTGAGAGGGGAAAGGACATTTATATGGACTCTAATAACACTTTGGATCTTGTTGCATTTCCATTGAAATTCTACAGAATACTGCTATCTCAAGGGGACTAAGTGGATAATTTAGTAAATACATTCCTTCCTGGCACTTTTCATGCATGACTTGGTATAGTCTGTTAAAGGCTTTAGCTTTAGGTTATGGTCTGCTTTGATCTCCAAGCTCTTCTGCTGATTTTCTGCATGTTGCTGGTTATGCTTATTACAGTTCTTTCTCTTCTTTCAACCCAAATGTGTGTAATTTGTCCTGTTGGTAACATTCCTGCCTCCCCCATTTTTGGTGGAATGAGGAAGGCTCAGGTTTCTAAATCTATAGTTTTTGATATTTTTTTTATGGCATGGGAAATAACTGAAATCTGCTTCCTTTTAGTGCAATTCTAGGTTCTAATATGATAGATTTGTTTATTGCTCCTATATATACTTATTTTTCAACAAAGTCTCTAAATAATTTTTCTCTGTATATAAATTTCAAATTCTTGCTATTTTCTCTGTGGTGCATTAGAGAATATAAAGCAGATTTTAAAAATCTGTTTTGCTTGTGAGCTGGCTGATTTATATTAGCTATTATGTTCTAGCTGGGTGGTTATGCTGTTTCATAATATTCCAAAACTCATATTAAGACCCAAACTGCAGACCACTATGTAAACAAGAGCAAAGAGTAGAAACATATTTTCTTTCTTCCATTATGTTTGGATATAAGATTCTATTTAGATCTTTCTGAGTAACTCAAAATAGGTATGGGTAAAGGCAGCTTCATATGTGTTTGTTCCTGACCAGAAAGCAATGAAGCAATAACACTGTTTCTGTCTTTCATTTTGGTGTTAAAGCATGCAAAGCTGTGGGAGTTGACTATTTGAAAATCAGCATAAGAGTACCATGTACACTAGCAAGCTTTCTCCTGGCTTTTCTCCAAGCTGAGTTTCCAGGAGCAGAGAACAGACTCAAAAAGCCCTCTTAGCAGACGTAGCAGTCATGGTTGTGTTGCAATAGGCACCTCACAATCGTGAAGGGGCATCAAAGTGATGGCCTTTTATGAATTCGGGCAGATCCAAAGACTCTGAAAAACCACCATTTAAAAGGATAAATAATAGGCTTCTGGAGACAATTAAAGAGAGGGTTAGGGAAGTTCAGGAACATCAAAATGTATCTATGTAGATCCTATTTTTTTCAGCCTCCCAGGTATTTTAAAAATTGCATATATTTAAGTTATACAACATGATGTTTTGATACACATTTGCATAGTAAAATAATTACTACATTCAAGCAAATTAATGTATCTATCATTTCACATAGTTACCTTTGTGTGTGTGTGTTTGTTAAGAGCCCATAAAATCTGTCTTAGCAAATTTCCAGTACACAATATCATTAACCATAGTCCCCATGCTATAATTTAGATCTCTAGACTTATTTATCCTACATAACAGCAACTATGTTTCCTTTAACCTGCTTTCTCCCTGTTCTGCCTCCCATCTCAGGCTTTTAAATTCATCCGAGATGTGAAAAAAAGCACAATCTGTGCTAAGAAACTAGGCTTTGGTTTGTGAATTTGGGGATTTTTTTTTTCTGATGGAAAAGACTGTGGGGCATAAGATGTAGTTGTGCTGTTGTTTAGCCATAGATTTGTGCAAATTAGAAAAAGATGCCTGTTTCTTTGGGATTCGCCTTCCCTCTCCTCTGCCTGGCACCCTCGTGGTATGAATAATGTGCATAACAATTTGCAGCAGCCCTGAGATAGGGTGGGCCATAGTGCACAGCAGGAGTGTAGTAGGTTTTTTAGAAAAGAAAGCACGTAAGAACAGCTGAATTTATGTGGTGTTAAATATTTCCTCCCTTTTCATGCCCCATTGGCTTAGATTTACCTACTATGCCTAGATATATGCTAACTTGCTCTTTAGCGACAGGCAAATTAACCCCTCAAATCTAAATCAGCACCAGTACCTCAATCGGATTTCCACTTAAGATTGTGCTCTGTTGGGAGGCCGAGGTGGGTGGATCACGAGTTCAGGAGATCAAGACCATCCTGGCTAACACGGTGAAACCCCGTCTCTACTAAAAATACAAAAAATTAGCCAGGCGTGGTGGCGGGTGCCTGTAGTCCCAGCTACTCGGGAGGCTGAGGCAGGAGAATGGCATGAACCCAGGAGGCAGAGCTTGCAGTGAGCCGAGATCACGCCACTGCACTCCAGCCTGGGCGACAGAGCGAGACTCCATCTCAAAAAAAAAAAAAAAAAAAAAGATTGTTCTCTGTTTTTGTTGGCTTATGTTTTATTTATTTTATGTTAATGATAAATATAATTTTGATTTCTCTGTTGGACAAATTTAGTATAAAATGCAAAGGCAACCTAAAATTACATATAAATATTACCATGGCTCACATTCAGAGAAAATTAAATGACCAAAAGAAAAATAAAATAAGAATCATGATGACAATTGGACAATACATCAATGTTCAGATTAGGTTTCTACACTAGGCTAGTGTTTAATTCTTTTCATATGGCTTATGATCTATAGTTTTCTTCTTGCAGTGGTCAATATGTTAGATAATTGCTGATATGACATCTAGGTAAAACCTTGAGCTGAGGAGAACCATCAGATCACTGACTTCTCTTGAAAGCCCCACATGTCTGTGAGGACTTGTTCTTAGGCTTCTTCCCTTGGGACAGTTTACTTTTTTTTTTTTTGCTGTTAGGAGCCACTTCCGATCTTGCTTAATTAATATCATTGCTCTTTTCCTGTCCTTCATCTCCAAATGTTACTCTTGACCCTTTCTGAGTGACTTATTTAACTGAAGTACATTAAACATGCATAAACACTTCATGTCTTTCAGAAACTTCATTTGGCATTTCCATGTTGTACCACTTCAATTCAGCTCAATTCAATGATTACGGCTTAGTCTTTTATACACAGACCACTAGACAAGGTCCTGCAGAAACACAGAGTGAAGGAAGCATAGACCCTCCACTCAGTGAGCATTCAACAGACAGCAACAAAAGTAATAATAACAACTGCCATTTATTTAACAACACTTATTTTGTTTCAGGACTCTATATCATTTTCTCTTTTAACCCTTATTTCTGACACCCCTGTACCATAAGTATTCTTATCATTTTACCACTGAAAACACTGAGGCTTATAGAATTAAGTGATCCTCTTAAGATCAGAAAGCCAATAAGTGATGTGAAATTTGAAATGACCCCCAAATCTATCTTCTAACCTCTGTAAACTGGTGGAGGATGATAGAAAAAAAAGTGGACATCAAAACAACTATAATACAAAATACTGGTCCATTAACTTATGCTACAATCTACTTTAAGTATCACCCCTTCCAAATTCTTTCTTGTGTATGTTATCTTGGTAAACGGCACAATCATCCACTCAGCTGCATGGTTCGTCTAACCTTATCCTAACCAGTTACTTTGTCTTATCAGTTTTAGCACTTAAATATTTATCTCCACAGACACCATGTTTTCTTACTGTAACAGCCTGTTCTCACACACAGCCCTCCCTGACCTATCCTTCATGGTGCTATAAGGGAAATTGGTTTTTATCATGTTTATATTAAAAATCTTTTAATCACTCTTCTTAGGACAAAGTCCAAACTCCTAAGGCTGGCATAAAAAGTCCTTCAAGATATGGCTATGGTTTTTCCCTCTGGTTTTATCTCTAGAGTTACCTGCAGGAGAACCCAGTTATATATTTATAGGAATTTTTGTTTGTTTTGTTCCTTAAGTACCTTAAACATAATAAGCCCTCTTACTTTCTTCATACCTATTGACATGCTGTCCTCTCTGGAACCTGATTCTTGAGTGCAGTTGCTTTTACTCAACGTGCAAAACTCAGCTTCAGCTTCTCCAGGCTGGGTTTTCCTAAATCACTCACTACCTGGCTGTATTAAGTGGCACTCCTTTGGATTTCAACTATAACCTTCAATTCCACTGTCATAAAACTCACCCCATTCTGTGTCAACCAGCAGTGCCTTTGTTGTCTCTGGCCTTAGACCATGAGCTTCCAGCAGCAGGGACTATCAGTCATCACACAGGCACTCAATTAAGGATTGTTTAATGAAAAAATAAAGACACAATAATTTCCAAGTTATTTCTATTTGATTTTGGAATGCATTTCCTGAATTCCCATTTGGTGTAAACACACCCACTCACAAACTACAGATGCCATCCTCAGACCTACAGTTGGATATTAATGAAGCAGCTAGAAACATTTCAATGAACTTTAAAGGCTCAACACTCCTAGCACTGCTCTGTTTCTCAGTTCTTGCTATTCTATTCTTCCCCTCTTTCACTATAATTGGTAAAAGTCTATCTTAAGAAAAAAAAAAAGAAAAATTTGTCCATTTTTAAAATAGGAGGACATCAAATGATCTTTACTGCTGCCCCAAGGGTATGGAAATGGTCAGTGTCATATAATACACCCATTTGTGGTTTTAGATCAGATACCCTCCAGGGCAGGAGCTGTGTTCTTGATACAGTCTGCTTGTTTTAGAGCTTGCAGGCTTGCATAGCATTCTTCTTCTCTAACAACAATTATAAAAATAGCATGGACTTTCTTGTAATCTTAGTCATAAGCTAAGGAAGGAAGGATTACAAAATTCTGCCAATTTAAGATCATTGATGGAGACCTTAAAAGGTCCTAATAAATGCTTTATATAATATGGAAAACCATGTATGAGAGACATGTGCCATGAGTCTTAGGAAAAGACCTTTGAAATTGCACTTAGAGGTAGTAATGTTATACGGAAACAAAATCTTTACTATGAAATCTCACTCAGCTGAAAGGGGAAATCCACAACAGGGCTGAGTTAATGTTGAAAGGGCTTCCTAGACCAGCTACTTACCTCTTTATAATTATCTAGGAATAAATACTTTGGAGCACCTACTATGTAACCTCTTGTGAAAAATACACAGAGGTGAGGTTGTAAAATATGGAGTTTCAGGGGGAAAGAAAGCTTTGGAGGAAGACAGACCTGCATTTCAAACCCAATTCTATCACTTATGAGCTGTTGCTTTGGGGCATATTCATTAACCTCTCTGAGCTTGAGTTTCCGCATGTAAAATGTTGACGATAACCCTACCTCACATGTTCCTTCTAAGGTTTAAACAAGATAAGGTGTTCAAAGTGCTCAGCACAGTGCTTGGCACAGAATGAATAGTAAATGGTGACTGCCATCTGTTGACATGTATTTAACACAGCTGGCACCAGGTATGACTAGTGTCAAATGAGAAGCATATACAGAAAAACTGTTAGGAATGAAAGTGTGCTTATAGTGTTCATAGATAGATTGTACTAGCTATTCAAGGAGTAACATATCCTCATCCCCTGTCTTCTTCCTCTACATATTGTAACCTCCTTAGGAGGTGGCTCACACCTGTAATCCCAGCACTTTGGGAGGCTGAGGTGGGTGGATCATTTGAGGTCAGGAGTTTGAGACCAGCCTGGCCAACATGGTGAAACCCCGTCTCTACTAAAAATACAAAAATTAGCTGGGTGTGGTGGGCCATGCCTGTAGTCCCAGCTACTCAGGAGGCTGAGGCAGGAGAATTGCTTGAACCCAGGAGGCAGAAGTTGCAGTG
The DNA here is from genome assembly GCF_000001405.40 of Homo sapiens. Taxonomy (NCBI): domain Eukaryota; kingdom Metazoa; phylum Chordata; class Mammalia; order Primates; family Hominidae; genus Homo; species Homo sapiens. The sequence continues at coordinate 70,892,786 of NC_000001.11, forward strand.
AGCCAAGATTGTGCCACTGCACTCCAGCCTGGGTGACAGAGCAAGACTCCTCAAAAAAAAAAAAAAAAAAGAAAGAAAAAAAAGAGTAGGAACATTTCTTACTTCACCTTCATATCTTCCTAGCACGTAAAATAATACTGCATCTACAGCAGATCCTGTAATACATATTAAATAATATCTGATCTATGTGCTTTCTGTGAGTAGGTGATTGCCTCTTGGAAAGCAGAAACAATGTCCAACTAAAAAAAAAACGTTTCCTTACTATTGAGTACAAACTAGAACTAAACAAGGAACAAATGGAATCTAGTTTACCAGCTTTTCTCAGATCCTCATTCTCCTCATGCAATATGCCATAACTGTGTGGTTTGAGGTTAGAAGCTGATAATTTACCCATTATGTGCCAGGCACCTTGTACCATCTAGCCTAATTTTCTAATAATCCATGTGGGGTAGATACTGGTATCTCCATGGTACAGATGAGAAGCTGATGCTTAAAGAGTCTGAGACACTTGCCTAAAGTCATGCAGCTAAGTGCCAATGCTTAGATTTAATTCTAGAACAGCCTGCTGCCTCCTCCCACAGGACACCGCCTCTTGTTTCAGCTATAGGACTGTGGCGTGGAGAAAGACATCAGGACAAGGCCAATGTCCTGGGAATGGTAGTAGGGTCTTTTTTCTGCATGTCTTTCCTTGTGATTCCTGAGGAGCTGAGGAGGCTACATCACCAGGACTTTCCCCAGCATCTGCCTTATCCAACTAGGTGACAAGAGCACAGACAAACCATTGTTTAAGTTAAATTCTAGCTTTTAAGTTCATATGTCAGTGTTCATGCAGAAATGTGAAATGCCTTTTACATGAGTAAGAACTCTTCCCTGAATAGTCAGGACTTTTCTGCGAATTTATAGGATTTTATTACACAAAGTGTTAAAATAAGTCAGGAAAAAATTCCTTTGAAAACTACTGCCAAGATGAACGTATGCAAATGTTCCAAAGTCTATTGCTGCTAGGAATAAGAGCAACAGAGAAAATTCATTTGTTTGTTGCTTCCTTGATATTTTAATTACATCTTCTATATCCTCCATACCCCATTCAACATTTTCTTAAATCCAACAATATTTATTAAAAATAAAATAAAAAATTTAATCTACACATAACAGCCTTATTACAAAATAATTATTAAATGTTAAGAACCACAATTTGGTTTTGGTCAGAATGAAAAATAATCTTTTAAAGTGCCTGATAGGTGGGACATGGTGGCTCACGCCAGTAATCCCAGCTCTTTGGGAGGCCAAGGTGGGTGGATCACCTAAATTCAGGATTTCTAGACCAGCCTGGCCAACGTGGTGAAACTACATCTCTACTAAAAATACAAAAAATTAGCCGGGCGTGGTGGTGGGCACCTGTAATCCCAGCTACTTGGGAGGCTGAGGCAGGAGAATCACTTGAACCTGGTGGGCGGAGGTTGCAGTGAGCCGAGATCATGCCATTGCACTCCAGTCTGGGAAACAAGAACAAAACTCCATCTCAAAAAAAAAAAAAAAAAAAAAAAAGAGTGCCTGATAAATTTGTTTTCTTATGAAGTTTTGTGACAATCATCATTTTAACTCTGTTTACCAAATAGCATTTTGAGCCTGCAAGTCTGCCAGAAAACTACATTGAATGCCTAGTTTTCTACATGACCTTGGATAGTTTATTATATTTCAGAACACTTTGGTTGTCTGGTATGAAGCGTATTTGGTTTTCTTCTACTCTTGCTGGAGGCAAACTCATTTTTTTTCCCAAAAAGTATGTTACATAATTATTGAACTCCTGGAAGAAAATTAGAATATTTTTAATGAAGTGCTATTATGGATAACAATTCCTGTGGAATTTGATCAAGCCTCACCTTTAGGCAAAAGTATATTTAGTTTACTGTTTGCTTCTTGAAAGTCCTCTCCCCACTCATCCCACCCTATCTCCAGTAGAGGTATGTGAATCCTTATAACAGTCTTAAGGAGTAGACGTTAATTCCATTGTATAGGAGATAAAACTAATACCCAGGGAGTTTAAGTATTGTGCCTGAAATCACACAAAGCTGAATGGCAAAGTTGGGGGGTTAAACCACCTATATCTGACACCAAAATCCAATCTCTTCACCTACAGCATGACTTTCTTAGCATTCCCTTAGTTTTCTCTCAAAGGTTTTCTCTTGACATCTCACTGAGTGGTGGGCTGTTTGATGATTCAAATATAATGGAGTTCTAAGGATATCAATCCCTGCTGTCACCAAATGACTCTCAATTGATTATTGATTTCAATTGATTATTGACATCTCAATACTGAGTTCCCCCCAGCACCAGGAGCAAGAGCATAGCATTTAACAAAAGAAATGACAAATAGGAGAAATTACAAATAATATTTAAGCCACAATTTTTACTCATTCTTTTCTTATTTTCTCAAAATATTTGACAAGTGATAGTCCACACTCTTTGTGTATCAGGATCTCTGGACATTTATAAGGCAAAGTCAGTTGCTGGTCATGAATAGCAACTCAAACAATCCAAGCTTCATGTGGTTAGTATTCTGCCAGCTTGAGGAAACTTGTCTTTGGCTACAAATAAAAGAAAAGTAGTCCCAAAATTTAAGTGGCTGCCTATGATTACTCATTGCCTTTGAATAGTGGTTACTTTTCATGGTATACAACTACAAAATCATTTACATAAAATCCAGTGTAAGAGCTGATTAAATCAGCATCACTTTGTAAACCAAGTGAACAGACACAGAGCTGAAATTCAGACTCCAGATGCTGCAAAAAATAAAAATAAATAAAGATGCTTTAGAATGCCTGGCTCAGTCCCTGATGTGAGATTTCACAAAAACAAGTTTCTGTTTCACAGAAACAACCCATAGCATACTTGCTGAAGAAATTTCAGAGAACAGGAAAGGAATTTGGTCTGACATAATTTTAGGTACAGAAGTGTGATGTTAAGGTAACAGCATAAGCTCTTGTTTTGATTGTGTCTGTTATCACATGTAAGAACTATAGTTTCAAAGCTCAGGCTAAGGTGGTTGCAAAAGAGGTTTAAGCAGTGGACAAACAGTTGTACTAGACCAGGAGAACCAAATAAAACTTTTTCACAGATCCCTAGTGGTTGGTGGCAATGTCTCTGACAACCTGGAGTAAGATTAGGAAGAAGAGTGCTGCAGTGCATATGTGCATGTTGTCTGGTGTAAGATTCCAGCTACTCTTTCTGGGAAAGACTGCCCTTTGCAGTGAAATGATAACATTCCTAAAATTTTAGGAGTTAAAATCTCTTTTCTTCAAAATGATGAAGATAGTAGGATGCATGTATTTTCTCTTTTTTTCAAATGTCCTTACTTAATTAAATTACTAGTTGGCTACTGTTAAGAGTTAACTTGTGTCCCCACAACAGATATTGAAGTCCTAATCCGTAGTATCTATGAATGTGGCCTTATTTGGAAATAGTGGTTTTGCAAATGATCAAGTTTCGAGGAGGACATTAGGGTGGGCCTTAATTCAAGACTGGTGTCCTTATCAAAGGGGGGAAATTTGGACACAGAGACAGATGTATACAAAGAGGAAGATGATGTGAACACACAGGGATAATGCCATCTACAGGTCAAGAAATGCCTAGGAATGCCAGAAAACTACCAGAAGCTAAGAGAAGCATTGGAACAGATTATCCCTCCCAGTCCTCAGTAGAGACCAGCCATGCTGACTCCTTGATCTCAAACTTACAGCCTCTGGAGCTGTGAGACAGTAAATTTCCATTCAGCCTCCCAGCTTGTGGTAAATTGTTACAGCAGCCCTAGGAAGCTAATACAGCCTTCTTAGGTCAAATTCTTATTTTTGTTTTTATTTGTTTTGCTTTTTGAAATTCTACTAGTTCTTAAAATCACAGAGTCTGAAAACCCTTATCAGGGGTGGCTGCAAGGTCCCATCCAACCCTAAGATTTTATGATATTTTACACTGCAACAGCTCTTTTCTAATTTTTTGACTAGGCGTTAGTGTTCCTCCAGGACTGGAGCTTTTCAGACTCTCCTTGACATAGCAGAGTACAAACAAGCACAACATTTAGGTGTTTCAGACCCAAACCTCAGAAAATATCCCACAATATGGCTTGATACTCTAAATGCGGACGCTGGATTTCTTTCCCTGTAGTTTGAGTAGGAGTAAAACTCTAGGCACTCCTTGTATAGGATGTAAAAGTAAGTTAGATGTGCCTCCACCCATGGATCCGATGAGGAACGGTGTTTCTCAGAAGCTTAGGGATAAGTGCCTGAGGTCTGTGGAATGCCTCTTCCTTTTTATATTTGTATTATCAAACAGCCCACCACTCAGCGATCTTGAGACCCCGTTCCCCTTTCCTTTGTCCTCCCAGGCAAGCTACATAAGAGGAGGTTAGGGACAGTGAGGTATGTTTTATCTGATTATGCTAGAATGCACTGGTGTCACATTTCCATTGCTTGAAGGGGTTGAAGTGTTCTTTAGCTTGAAGAAAATCTAACCGGCAATCCATTCACTCATTTATTCATTTGTGAATTCATTCAATGAATAGTAAAAAAGAGGAGTTCTAAGGATATCAATCCCTGCTGTCACCAAATGACTCTGTAACTACAATAACCACTAAGTGATGAGAACCTCTACCCTCGTTGAATAGAGGAGAACACATGGGATCAAATAATTGAACCACAGCTGATGGTCCTGTAGCTGATGAATGTCAGCAACTTGACCTCAGTTCTTTATGACTCCCACGTGTCTGCTGTTTCCATTCTATCAAGCTGCCTGCCGGTACAACCCACCAAACTGGCATATATCATAGTATCATAAGACATGTCTCCCCTTCAGGAGCTCATTTCTTCCAGTCCTCTTTGCCTCCAGCCAAGGTCCATCACTTCACAAAAACCTGGTTAAAAGCTCACCTGCTCCAGGAATGTTTCCTGGTTTCCACCTTTACTCAGTCAACCCTTCAGCACCTAGAACTTAAATTGTGAAATAAGTTTGTTTGTTTGTTTTGCATTTATTGAGATGCTGTGCTGTTATTGACTTCAACATGTTTTTGTTTGATTTGTATCTCCCTAAAATATCATCAGTTCTTCAAAGAAAAAGGCTGCATTTCCTTGTTTCTAGTCCCAACCTTTCTGCCAAGGAGCTATACTACTTAATCTATTTGAACATATCACTTAATGTATTTGAACATGTGGTCCTCACTGATTTAAAAAAAAAAGTGAGGGTTGGGGAGTGGGTAATTGGAAAGAAGGTCTCTATGGATATTTTTTACCTTAATAGTGTGTATTTAGTGTCTCCTATGCATCCCAGTCCTTTGCTGGCTCTGGGAATTGTCCATTTGAGCCTTGTTGCCCAGCATCCTCATGTGAGGGGAACTGTGGTCTTATCAAGAAGGACTTCTCCTACATCCCTGCTGGGCAACCCAGGCCAATTCTACTGAGTATGAACTTGAGCAACACACACTGATGTCCATCTTGGTCTTCCTGTTTTTCTCCTTTCCCCTTTTCTTTGGTATTCAGCCATAACTACAACTCCAGATCAAGGTGGTAGATTCTTCTCCACAGCCTGCTCATCTCTACAGACATCACTCCTTCTTCCTAAAATGCTCATATACTCCCTGCCCTTTGGTTAATTCCTGCTCCTCTAAGACTTCATTATTCCTCATCTCCTCTCGAATGCCTTCCTTGACCACCAGTCTTCCATCAGTGCTGCTGCTACAACTTGTTAAAATATTTACCCCTCTGCACTGTAACTGCATCATGCAGAAAGAACATAGTGTAGTGGTCATGAGCACAGTCTCTTGGTTTCAGACTGCTCAGGCTGATAATCATCACTGGGCCACTTACTAGCTATGTACCTTGGAAAAGTTAGTTCTTTCTCTGTTCCTCAGTTTTCTCCTCTGTGAAATGAGGGTAATAATAGTATTTATATTCTGGAGTTTTTTGAGGCTTAAGTAAGTTAATGCATAAAAGCATATAAAATAGTGAACATATTACCTAGTTAATAATATACAGTGATATAATCTCATGTTCCTTTTTCCCTCTAAAATCTCAAAAAAGGAGATACAATTTTCTTATAACATCAAAGTTGTAATGTCTTAAGATCTCTGTTTTATGTTCCTCTTTCTTAACTATTGCCTCTTTCATCACTCACCTCCCATCTGAGCATCCTCTCTTTCCTTCAATTGCCTGGTGTAATAATACTCACCTACCTTAGCCTGATGCTTGAAGAATGCTCCAAGAAATGGACTATTCTCATATAAAAGGAAAGGATTGGATTTGTTGCTGAAAGATTAAAAGGCATAATATATGCCAAAATGCTCCAGGTAGAATCTGTCTCAGGAACAGCTTGTGAATTCATTAGAGGAATGTTTATTAAACATCTGTTCTGTTCCTAGCATTATGTTACTGGGTGCTGGAGATTCAGTCCATGATTTCCTACTGTTTACTGTCTAGTGGGGAATAGAGACAATTACACATACAGTTGTGATACAATGTAAGGAGTAGTGTTGGAGGGAGAAAAAAACACTATGGTAACTTGTGGTGCATATATATAATTCACTCCAGGAAAAGGAGAAGGCTTCCCAAAGGAAATGGCACCCAGACTGAGTCTCAAAGCATGAATGAAAATTGATCAGCCTTAGAAGAGGAGAAGAGTATCCCAGGCTAACAGGAAATCTCATGAGAGAAGACATAGAAGCATGAATCACTAATGTGTTTTGAAGCAATTGCAAGGAGTTCTGAGAGAGTGAGGGGTTAGAGGAAATCGGCATGAGCCAGATTATATGGTGCTTTTATGCTTCTGCTTGGATTTTACTCTGCAGGATTTTACTCTTAAGGAGCTTTTCAAGAGTTTTAGGGAGGGAACAAACTATATTTGGGTTTTATGCTAGTAGTTGTGTGAAGGGTAAGTTGCAGGGGACTAGAGTAGAAACAGAAATCAGTTTGTAAGTTTGTTACAATAACCCCCATAAAAATCCTAAGTACTGGAACTAAGGGAGATAAGCAAATAAAAAGCCTGGTGAAGAGATTAGGAGAGAAAATAGATAAAAGTTCACACCAATTGTCATAGGGTGTAATTGTACTATATCCTTCAATGACTCAGTATTAGACTCTTCAATACTTCACTAGACTTTCTGGATGCAATGACTGTAATGGTAGGAATTTTGAATATGTCAGAAGCAACCTGTGAGTTATAAGGATTCTGAAAACACCTCAGCCACACTTCAGTGACACTAGCCTTTCCCACAGAGGTGCAAGCTTGAACTAAAAAACCTAAAGCTACCAATTTTCTTCCTTATTTTCTTCAGCATGTTGTTGTTGTTGTTTTGATACAAAGCTTGTTTCAGATTGCCTTTACTTTTATCTTTATTTTTGTCTTATTTTACTAAATGATTTAACTTTAATTTATTATCTTAAAGACGACTGCCCCTATTTCTTTGCTGGGTGACTGCAAAGCCCCCAGCTCCTATCATGACCGTGTTTCCTACTCTGTCAGTGGTCAGGTTGTTGGAGTTGGGGGGAAGGGGTGTTCTTACTATGTATACAATAGGGCTGGACCTTGAAGGACAGCTGCTTTGTATTCTCATTCTGAGTGTCAGCCTCTTTTACATGCAGGAACAAATGATTGAGTGCTTCTGGCTCTGAGTGATGGGAAATGTAGATTGAACTCCTAGAGACTATTTCAGTATGCTTTTATATCTCTTTTGTTGGCAATTTTATATCATAGTTATATTAATATACAAATGATGAATTTAGAGCGGAAAGAGGTTGTAAACACAGTGTGTTGAGCATTTCTTTAAAGATCCTATTTCTTTCTTGTCCAAGGTGAGATACAAAATGTAATGTATGCAGCTTGGCACGTCATTAAGACAGGTATGGCCTTTCAGCTCTATATTTCATTTTGAAGGCAGAAGAGGAATGAGAGAGGAAAGCACAGCCTTCTGTAGAGCACCCCCATTATACAGAACTTAGTGTACTCTATGAAGAATGTCACACATGCCCTGGGAGGTGATCATAATGCATGAACCAATTTATCTTGGATAAACCTCTCCAAGCCCAAGTTACAAAGCAGTGAGGGTCGGGACTTGATTGTCCTGCTATTTGATTATTTATTGCAAGTATGTATGATGGACCAGTAGGAGGAAACAGATAGGAGTGTCTTAGACATACTGCAAGGGTATGGCCCAGAAATTATTGTTTAGTGAGGTTCAAATGGACTTCTCCTGGGAGAAACCATGCCGTATGTGGTAAGACTGATGTCCAAGCCCATAGGAAAAACAGGAAGAGAAAACCCCTTAGTCTCCTGGCTGATCCCCAGAGATCTCATTCTGAGTTTAGAGGTTTAAGTGGTAGGCCTGAAACTTGGGACACTGTTGTATGTGGACTAAAGTTAACTGCTTTTGGAGTGGGGCAGGCTTCTGTCTTGTTCCGCAAATGCTCACAAATCTAAGCTGTCCCTAAATTCGCAGAGTGGGACTAAAGGAGCTGTAAGACAACATGTCATCATCAGCTGTTATGTGGAGGTTGGATATGAAGAACAGGAATTGTGAAATATGTTGGTTTCAACCAAGAGTTTATTTGGGCTTCCCTGGATATTGTGTTGGTAAAAAGAGAGATTATGTCCATTAACATACTACCACGAAATTAAGTTGTATTATAGTAGAAATAAGAAATCAGAGGAATCCATTGTCAATTGATGTTGTGCCAACTCCCAGAATAGTTATTTGTATTAACTGATTTATCCACCTTTTTGGAATACCAATTATGTGCCAGATGCTGCACTGGCACCATGATTATTGTGAAGAGCAAAGGCAGTACCTACCTTCAAAGAATTTACAGTTTAAGGAATATGTGAGTATAACTATTTAATCTAGGAGATTCTGAGACAGGTGTTCGCTTCAAAAGGAAAAGCTTTTGAAAAATCATGAAGGCAACTGTGTACCTACCACATACAGCATTGGTAATGTTTAGAAAATGAGACAAAATTCAATCTTCTGTTTACTTTATCCCAAACATAGTTTTGGATTTTAAACATAAGATGGAGTAAGGATTTCACTACAAAAAGGATACGGGAAAGTAAAGAGAAAAACCAGTTTATTAAACTTCAAAAATATCAGCCTAAATCAAAGCTCAGGGCAGAGATTTGAGGAGAGAATAGAGACTCAAACAGCTTCTCTGTACCTTCGCCTACCTCAACCAAGAGTTAAGCAAAGTAAGATGATATCCGAAATATCAGTTATTACTGACAGTGAAGGTATAGACTCTCCACCCGAAAAAAATATATTTTCACAGAAGAAAACCTTCCTTAAAAAAGGAAGAAAAGATACCTATAAGTCAATTTTTAAAAATAACAATAATTACTGCCACCACAATAATAATAATAAAGAAATGTCCAAATAGGGAGAATAAGACAAAGTTATCAGTAGAATTTACACCACTGAAAAGGCAATAAGACTCTACAGCTTTTATTTCAGCTGCCTCCACAGGGTAGTAGACCAGGTAAACCTGAGGGAGGAGGTTGTCAGGTGCCATGCAGTTCTACACGGTTCCATGAGGTTCACCAACCTCTGCTGAAAAGGTACCACATGTCTGGCAACTGGCCATAGGCAGTAGGTGGTATAAAGATGAATGAGTCACTATCTGTATCTTGAAGACATGAGAAAAACAACACTCAGTTTCATGGAGAAGCAGACAGGTGCTCAGCTACAACAGTAAAGGTCACACTGTGATAAGTGCTGGAATCAAGACAGAAAGCCCAAAAATCTAACAGATTTGGAGAGAAAAGAGAGAGCAGTCTTTCTTAATGATTAGAAATACTTCACAGAAGAGGGTGGAAAACAGTGTTGAGTTCCAGAAAGAGAGGAAAGGCATCAAAGGAATTGCACAGGGTAGGAAAGTACAACGGATATTCAGAAAACACCAGAAAGTTCTGTGTAGTTGGTTAGGGCAGGAGGCAGAGCTGACTTATGTACTGGACAACTTATTTACCAAATCAAAGATTTGGAACTGAAATCCACTAGCAAGTGGCAGTTAGTGAATCAGAGAGGGGGATATTGAGCCTAAGAAAAGAGAAACACTCATAATACCTGTAGCGGGTTGAATGCTGGCCCCCCAAAAGATATGCCTCATGTCCTAATTCCCAGAACCTGTAAAAGTTAGCTTATTTGGAAAAAGAAACTTTGCATATATAATAGTTAAGATCTTGAGATGAAAAGATCATCTAGGATTATTCAGCTGGGTCCAAAATCCAGTAACAAGTGCCCTCATAAAGAAAGCAGCAGGAGATTTGAGACAGACACAGAGGGGAAGGTGTTGGGAAGACGAAGGCAGAGATTGAAGTAATGTGACTACAAGCCAAGGAACACCAAGGAATGCCAACAGCCAACAGAAGCTGGAAGAGGCAAGGAATGAATTCTCTTCTAGAGCCTTCAGAAGGGATGTGACCCCCACTGTCACCTTAATTTTAGGCTTCTGGTCTCCAGAACTGGAAGAAAATAGTTTTGGGTAGTTTTAAGTCATCAAAGTTATGGTAATTTATTACAACAGCCCTGGAAAAGCAACATAACACCTCAAAACTAATCATTATAAGTGAGATAGTAATGACTAACATAGATATAATGCCTTTCGATTTACAAATCTTTGTACAGATAATTTTATTTTATTCTCATGACAAAACAATAGGTAGCTATTATGGTTTCTTTTTCCATTTATTGTTGAGGAAACTGGGCTTCAAAGAAATAAAATCACCTTCTTAAGTTAATTCAAACTTCTATCTCTATCTCCCTGTTTTCACTACGAACCCATGCTTCTTTGGTAATGAATCAGTCCTCAGAGCTACCACTTTTCCCACTCATACATGGTTGACAGCTTTAAATGGCATCCAAGAGTCTTTTGCAGGCCCAGACTGGGGAATAAACCAGAGGAGGAGGGAAAAAGAGAGAGGGAACCAAAAGGGATCACAATTACGGTATTCTAAATAAGGATAAAAACAGCCCTTTTCCAATTATCCTGGGTTTCAGCTACTTACTCTTGTAATACTGGGTAAGATTTCAAACTCCTTGAATCTCAGTTTTCTCTTCTGTAAAATGAGCATAAAAATTCTTCCCTCGGTTGGTTTAAAGATTAGATGAGTGATGTGGTTTTGCTGTGTTCCCAGCCAAAACTCATCTTGAATTGTAACTCCCACAATTCCCATGTGTTGTGGAAAGAACCCAGTGGGAGGTGATTGAATTATGAGGGTGGATCTTTCCTTCATTGTTCCTGTGATAGTGAATGAGTCTCATGAGATCTGATGGTTTTAAAACTGGAGTTTCCCTGAACACATGCTCTCTTTGCCTGCCCGCCATCAATGTAAGATGTGACTTGCTCCTCCTTGCCTTCTGCCATGATTCTGAGGCCTCCCCAGCCACATGGAACTGTGAGACCAATTAAATCTCTTTATTTTGTAAATTTCCCAGTCTCTATGTCTTTATCAGCAGTATGTCTTTATCAGTAGTGTGAAAACAGACTAATACAGTAATTGGTACCAGTAGAGTTGCTGAAAAGATACCTGAAAATGTGGAAGTGACTTTGCAACTGGGTAACAGGTGGAGAGGTTGGAACAGTTTGGAGGGCTCTGAAGAAGACAGAAAATGTGGAATAGTGTGGAACTTCCTAGAGACTTGTTAAATGGCTTTGAGAAAAACACTGATAGTGATATGAACGATAAAGTCCAGGCTGAGGTGGTCTCAGATGGAGATGAGGAACTTTTTGGGAACTGGAGCAAATGTGACTCTTGTTATGTTTTAGCAAAGAGACTGGCTACATTTTTCCCCTGCCCTAGAGATTTGTGGAACTTTGAACTTGAGGAGGATGATTTAGGGTATCTGGTGGAAGAAATTTCTAAGCAGCAAAGCATTCAAGATGTGACTTGGGTGCTGTTAAAGGCATTCAGTTTTGTAAGGGAAGCAGAGCATAAAAGTTCAGAAAAGTTGCAGCCTGACAATACAGTAGAAAAGAAAATCCCATTTTCTGAGGAGAAATTCAAGTTGGCTGCAGAAATTTGTATAAGTAGTGAGGAGTGAATGTTAATCCCCAACATGATGGGGAAAATGTCTCCAAAGCATCTCAGAGGTCTTCACAGCAGCCCCTCTCATCACAGGCCTGGAGGCCTAGGAGGAAAACATGGTTTCCTGGGTTGGGCCTAAGGTCCCTGTGCTGTGTGCAACCTAGGGACTTGGTGCCCTGTGTCTCAGCTGCTCCAGTTGTGGCTTAAAAGGGCTAACATGGAGCTCAGGCTGTGGTTTCAGAGGGTACAAGCTCCAAGCCTTAGCAGCTTCCACATGGTGTTGAGTCTGGGAGTGCACAGAGGTCAAGAATTGGGGTTTGTGAACCTCTGCCTAGATTTCAGAAGATGTATGGAAACACCTGGATGCCCAGGCAGAAGTTTGCTGCAGGGGTGGGGCATTCATGGACAACCTTCTGCAGTGCAGAAGGGAAACGTGGGGTCAGAGCACCCACACAGTGTCCCTACTGGGACACTGCCTAGTGGAGCTGTAAGAAGATGACCACCATCCTCCACACCCCAGAAAAATAACTCCACTGACAGCCTGCACCATGCACCTGGAAAAGCCTCAGACACTCAACACCAGCCCATGAAAGCAGCTGGGAGGGAGGCTGTACCCTGCAGATCCACAGGGGCAAAGCTGCCCAAGTCTATGGGAACCCACCCCTTGCATCACAGAGACCTGAATGTGAGACATGGAGTCAAAGGATATCACTTTGGAGCTTTAAGATTTGACTGCCCTGCTGGATTTCGGACTTGTATGGGGCCTGTAACCTCTTTGTTTGGCCAATTTGTTTCATTGGGAGTGGCTGTATCTACCCAACGCCTGTACCCTCATTGTATCTAGGAAGCAACTAACTTGCTTTTGATTTTACAGCCTCATAGGATCATTATCTCATTGTCTCAGATGAGACATTGGACTGTGGACTTTTCAGTTAATGCTGAAATGAGTTAAGACTTTGGGGGACTGTTGGGAAGGCATGATTGGTTTTGAAATGTGAGAACAAGAGATTTGGGAGGGGCCAGGAGTGGAATGACATGATTTGACTGTGTCCCCACTCAAATCTCATCTTGAACTGTAACTCTCACAATTGCCACATGTCATGGGAAGAACCTGGTGGGAGGTGATTGAATTATGGGGGTGGCTCTTTCCTGTGCTGTTCTCATGATAGTGGATGAATCTCATAGGATCTGATGGGTTTAAAAATAGAAGTTCCCTGTACAAGCTCTCTCTTTGCCTGCCACCATCGATGTAAGATGTCACTTGCTCCTCCTTGCCTTCCACCATGATTCTGAGGCCTCCGCAGCCATGTGGAACTGTGAGTTCCATTAAGCCTCTTTCTTTTGTAAATTTCCCAGTCTCAGTTAGGTGTTTATCAGCAGCGTGAAAGCAGACTAATACAATGAGCTATGTATTTTTTCAAAACTTTGAAAACTGTAAGGACAATGCAAAATGTGAATTATAATTATGAGAGTAAAGGGAAATGGTGCAGAAGAGTGGTACAGATGTAACAGTATATTAGTATCACCTGGGGAACTTGAAAAAGTCATGGATGCCTACATTCTACCACAGAATTATTAAATCAGAATCTCTAGGAGTAGGCCTCAAGCATCATTATTTTTAAAAAGCATCCCAAATCAGTCATATAACTGCAGCCAGTTTTTGAGAACTCCTGCAGGAGTGGAAAAAATGAGCTCTGGCATCAATTGATCTAGGCATAAATTCCATATAGTAATTTTATAATTTGTATGTTGTAAATTGTGTGATCTTGGGCAAATTACTTTAAAATAGGAATAATAATACTTGACTCATAATGCTGTTGTAAGGATTGAATTAAATATGTATAAAAGTGGGATAGTAAGTTCAAGTTAGTTTGGTTTTCCCCATTCTGTTCATATCTAGAAGCCATTGGAAAGACAAAAGGAAAGAAGGGAGAGGGAGAGAGTTAGCATTTGACATATACATGCATTTCCACAAATTGGCTCCAAATTGCATTTTCTTAATTTGAGGTAAGTTCATATACAAATGTAGCTTTTGCATTATGAATGCAGATGTTAACAAATGCAATCATCATATAAAGCTATCTTCTCATAAAATTAATAGGTTCCCAGGGGTTGCATAATTCAGATTAACTGTAAAACCAAGTGTTTCCTCATTAATCAGTGCCTCAGGGAAGTGCCAAGTGTTTCCTGTCTTAGCAAGTTGTATTAGATTAGAGTCACAAGACATCAGTTCACTAAATGTGAGGTGCCTATAATGACCAAATGTCACTCACCAAATGGTAGAAAAGTTCAAATATTGGTAACAATATGGTAACAGCTTTTGCTGTTGTTTCTGTTTTAGCTATGGAAAATCACCTCTACATTGCAAGGCATTTCAGGGTCCAAACTAGCATTTTCATCTTCATTCCTTAGTCTGAAATGGGTTGGGTTACAGGATGAAGGGCATACACTAGCTTATGCAATATCTTCAGAATATTAGAGATTAGGGGATAATGAGAATTACAAGGACAGTGGCATCAGCTGGTAGCTGTTAGTGTCATAGGTAACAGAGAAAAAGAATGGACAAGCTCTACTATCAATCAGGACATGATGCGAAAGCCAGAAGCCTTCAAAGAACCATTTGCCATTCAAAAAGCAGCTTTTGGTATGCTACTGGACTAGTGGAAATTGAGCCTGCTCATGGCACATCAAGTAATTGTGTGACTGGGTTGCTCATCATGAGCTCTTTACTGTCAGATCTTCCAAGTCAGTAGTTTGGGCAGGCACATCAGTAACACATCATGAAATGAATGGTACTTTTGCGATCAGGCATGAGCATGTCCGGGGGAGCAACTAAATTACACAAATTGGCAGCTAAGTCCCACATATTACTTAACTTGTTAAACCAATGTGTCTCCCTCAGTTCACACCTGAGACCTCACAGAGAGTTCCCATAACCAGCTGTCAGGGGATTAAAAACCCAGGTCTGTTTCAGAGATGGGTGGCTCAATATTTCATGTGAGCTGAAAGCGGACTGCTTGGGCAACACAGCTCCACCCAGGGTGGCCAGGAAAGAGAGTAGTGAGGGGAAATTCTCACTACTGCGGGCAGAGCTTCAAGAAGTACATCCATCAGGCCATCAGCTTGTGTAGACAGTGTGAGTGGAGCAGGTTCACTGTTGATTCTCTGACCATATTGTCTCTCCCTTCAGTTCATGCAAGACAGGCTTCCAATAGTCGGCACTTGCATTCCTTTCATCCTCTGATTAATTATACCCACTTTGTCTGCTTGTGCAATAGGCCGAAAGTGTTGGAAATGAGTACCTCCCAGGGTGTGGAATACATAGAGGCAAGGTGTCCCCGAGGAGACAATTATTTTATAACAAAGATTGTAGAGAATTCCCAGCGTATCATGACAATAAGCATCTGAATGATTTTTTGGTCAATTTTTCTGCTCTTTTAAAATCATCTACACAATCCCATTATTGCCAGAACCTGAGGCAGAGATTTCCCAGTGCTCTAATCTGGATGCCACTGCTCTTAGGAGCAGCTCTCAGCCAATGACTGACCCACCAGGACAGGAGGCGGTGTACTGATACCTCAGCTCCTTCTCCCCTGGAGCAGGATAACTCTGATGCTTGCATCTGTACTGGCTCCCAGAGTTTCCTCAGTAGGATTGAGCTCCAAGTACACTAAGTGATAACTGACTCAATAATGCACCCATTATTGGCTATTTTCCCTTCCTGTTTCACTTTCCCATTCCCCTGTTGGACTTTCCTCCACCATCTAAATAACCTATTTGTATTCAGATCCTTGTCTCAAGATCTGCTTCAATGTGAACCCAATTAAGCCAGGGGTCTATAAGAATAGTAAATGCACATGTCTTTTGCCCCAAGATTTCCACTTCCAGGAATTTATCCTGAAGTCATACTCACAAATGCCCCCAAAGGCATGATCTTTGTAACAATAGTAGTAAAACATCATTAAGTCCTTACTATATACTAGGCATTAAAGCTCTTTTTCATGTCATATCTCCCTTAATACTCAGAAAGCCCTATGCAATTACAATTACATATCCATTTTTACATAAGAGAAAAGTGAGGCATACAGAGGTTGACCAGCTTAAGAGTATAGGAGCTAGTAGTGCAGAGCTAGGATTCAAAACCTGGAAATCTGCTTTCAAGGCCCATCCACTCACTCTCTGTATAAGCATGCAAATGAGGATGCTTATTTCTGCATTGTTTATTACAGCTGGAAACAATCCAAATGTCAATAGGAGGATGGTTACATAAATTATGGGATGTCATATAATAAAATATTTAGAGCTACTATAAATAAAGCTTATGTACTAATATAGAAAGAAGTCCAAGATATTAAGTGAAAAATGCAAGGTGCAAAACACCAAATTACACAGGCTTCCAATCTTGCAAAGCCCAGAGAGCTATGTGTACGTGTTTATTTCTGTGCGTGTTAACCATCACAGGTAATAGTTGTTCCCTTAAGAGAAGCCTGTGCTTTAAGCATGAGAGGGAGACATACTTTACACTGAAAGCCATTTTTTATTGTGTTAATGTAAGTATATATTACTCTTTCAAAAAGCCATATGAAAAATATTGTGTAATCAAGCTATATATGAATTTACATGGAAGGAGTAATTCATTCTTCCTGGAAGAGTCTCAGAAGGCCCCATAAAAGGACATACTGTGTGAGTAAATGCAGAAGATCTCTCCCAGCAGCAGTATTTTTGAAGCTCCTCAAGTGTTAGAGTTCACAAGATGTTGGGTAACTGTACAGTTTGTTGTGTGGAGTGGGCAGGAAATGAGGCTAGGAAGGTTGAGATAAGATAATTTGTAGATACAGTGTCTCCCAACTGAAGTGAAATACCCAGGCCTGTCAATAGTTACTTGAAAAAATATTTTTCTGCAGAGTCTTTATAATATCTTTGAAGGCCACGTGTGCCACATGGGATATTACAAGAAAGGAAAAGAAAAATGTTTCAAGAAGGCTTCCTATAAAGAGTATTAGCTTTCTTCACTCTCGCTCACCTCAGAGGGTTAAGAATCAGAAAGAACTGATTTGAAATGCTTACTTAATCACTTACCCACTATGGGTTCAATGTATTCATCTGTAAAACACATAAGAATACAACCTTCATAAAATTAATGTAAGGATCAATTGAGATAATTCATGCAAAGCAGTTACTATAATACATTGCTTGGGATTAGCAGGCACTCAGTAATCATTGCATGTTACTATTGCTAATAAGTGCTGACAAATAGCAACTGCAACATGATCACAACCTTAATGATATCATAAGGAACTGAAAACAGTGAACGGAAAGTACTTCTCTAGGAAAATGAAGGTCTACAGTTTTACTCCAAAAGAAAACCCCACACTCAAAATGATCTCATTGGCTTTCTCTGAAGCAAAACCCCAAGTGACACCCAGTTTCTGCCTAAAGCCACAAGGCTGCCTGACAGTGGTGGAATCTGTCAACCTCAACATATGTGCCATAATCTCTGGTCCACCAATTACACCCAGGTTGGTGAACCATGGCTGATGGTGTTTGTGACTTTATTTTTTATTTTATTTTATTTTTCTAGAAATGGAGTCTCACTCTGTCAGTCATCCAGACTGGAGTGCAGTGGCATGATGATGGCTCACTGCAGCCTCAAATATCTGGTCTCAAGTGATTCTCTCACCTCAGTCTCCCAAGTGACTGGGATTACAGGTATGAGCCACTGACTGTAGCTTTGAATGAATACCTTAAAAAATTCAGAATATTAATTTTGCCTAGGGAAACACAATGATCTAAAAACTGTTCAACCTAACTTTATGTTAAAAAATTATCTCAACCATCCTTTCTGCTGAAGACGCTTGCAAAGAGGCAACATTTACAAAACAGAAGAAACAAATTAAGCGAGCATTGGTTAGAAAAAATGTCAATGAGCCACGTTCTGGTTGTAAAATTCTAATTAACCGGCCGGGGCCATGGCTCACGCCTGTAATCCCAGCACTTTGGGAGGCCGAGGCAGGCGGATCACGAGGTCAGGAATTTGAGACCAGCCTGACCAACATGGTGAAACCCCATCTCTACTAAAAAATACAAAAATTATCCAGGCATGGTGGTGTGCCTGTAATCCCAGCTACTCAGGAGGCTGAGGGAGGAGAATCGCTTGAACCCGGGAGGCAGAGGTTGCAGTAAGCTGAGATTGCGCCACTGCACTCCAGCCTGGGCGACAGAGCGAGACTCCATTTAAAAAAAAAAAAAAAATTCTAATTAACCATAACAAATACCACACATACACATGAATGATGTTATGGGTGTCAAATTTATCATTCTAGATTGAGAACCAAAAGTGCTTAATCTGAACAAAGTATCACACTGGTAGACCCGCAGAGAGACAAGCAAACATACTAGATTGGAGACCCTTTTCTTCATACCTCACTGTCAGACTTTTTTTTGTACTCAGTCATACTAATGCATGAAATGTCTCCCCCCACAGTTACAGTGACATTTTTGTTTTCCAATCCAAAAACTGGAGCACATGTTTTGATAAGATCAAATATTCTTACGGGAACAACAGAACACATTTTCTTAAAGAAATGTTTTCTCCCCAAGTTTTAGAAATCTGGTAGTACCCAGGTGACAGTTATAGATAGGTTTTTTGTCTGTTCATACTGATCTTGTCCCTCTAAAAATGGCAAGTATTAACCTTTAAATTAAAAGTACTCAGAAAGTGTGAGTTCTCTGAAGACAGGGAAAAAAGTGGGAGAAGACAAAAAATGTAGGATGGCAGAAAGTGACGACATTTTTTTAAGAGGAGGGGAACTAGGAAGATAGGAACTTATAAAATGAAGGTTTTTAGCCAATTCTATTAAAAGCTTAGACAAGGTTAGATTTCATGAGACTGAAAAACTCAGAGGAAATCGTGTTACAACGTAACTCGAAATAAAAATTTTATTTGTTTGTTTTGAACTCCACAATGAACAAAATGCCCCAGATGATAAATGTTTATAATCATTTTTCACTTTCAGCACATTGCCTTCATCTTTTATTAAAAATTTCAGGGAGAAAAAGAGATCCACATTTTGTTGCAGACCTGTAAAATTTTTTGTACTTTCGTGATCCCAAATATTCACCATTATGATCAAAGAAAAAAATCACTCCCCAGAAAATAGCTGATAATGACATCAAAAATTACTCTCATGTTTCATTGAGATCTAAGCATTTTGTGCTGACTCATAGAAATATTGGTGGACCTGCATGGCCATGGATCAAAGAACTCGAAGTTATGGTAACTCGGTGTTCTTAAGTAGATAACATCATTACAAAATGTTACAAAATTATGTGAAATTTTCCCATCTTCTCAAAGTCTACACAGCTTTGAACTCTGATTGCAGGATCTAGGATACCATTCATTTTCTCCTCAATCTAAAGCCTAACTCTTCCCATCTTACATATGAAAAGCAAAATAGAGAATGTTTCTGGTCTATGATCTTTGAAAAAAACTGTAACATAATCAACAGCTCATTTATTGAACTGGTTCAAGTGAAATTTCATATATGTTTATATTTGTTATGGCTCAGTTCAGTGGGATGATAACAGAAGTGATGTGTTCAATGTCCAGTTTATGTTAAATTAAAGAGTTTGTTTTTCATTGCTTTTCTTTCTTTCCTACTGACTATCATATACACATAACAGAAGGGGTTGGAACCACTATTTTAAATCTCAAAATGAAAGGTACATGTACAGAATTTCAGAGCTGCAAGATTGAAAAAGGCCACGTCCTCAACATCATGGAACCAACATATAAGCCCTGTACTACTTACACTCAGTCTGAAACATGCAAAAACCCTTCTATTTTGTCATGTTTTTGTTTTTATTTTCTAGCCTTTATAGATTTATGTTCCAGCATCTTTGTTAAAGAGATGATCTTTCACCATTGAATTGCTTTGGCACTTTTATTGAAAATCAGTTGACCATATAAATGTGAGACTATTTCTTAATTCCTATTCAGTTTCATTGATCTATATGTCTATCTTTATATCAGTATTACAATGCTTTTTATTTAACTTTAGCTTTATAATAAATTTTGGAGTCAAGTAGTATAAGTCCTTCAATTTGGCCTCTTTTTCGAAAAATTATCTTGGCTACTCTAGCTTTTTGACATTTTCTTATGAATTTTATAATCAGCTTATAGAAAATGCCTGCTGGGATTTTGTTTTAAATTGCCTTGAATTATAGATAAGTTTTGAGAGGATTTCCATCTTAGCAATATTTAATTTTTCATTTTGTGAACACAGTATATGTCTCCACTTATTTAGGCCTCCTTTAAATGTTTCTCAGCAATGTTTTGTAGCTTTCAGTGTACCATTTTTTTGTGAATCTTTTACGAAATTTATTCCTATTAATATTTCATATTTTTGATGCTATTATAAATGGTATTGTCCTCTAAATCTAAATTTTTAGTAGTTCATTGCTAGTATACAGAAATGAAATTGACTTGTAAATTTTAACCATGTATTCTACAGCCTTGCTACGTTGACTGGTTAGTTCTAGCAGGTTTTTAAAAATTCTTGAGGACTTTTTACATAGATGATGAAGTTGTCTGTGAATAGAAAGTTCGTTTTTAAATGCCTGATCTGTATTCCTTTTATTTCTTATTCTTGCCTCATTATCCTGACTGGAATCTCCAGTAAATGCAGACTGAAGGAGACAGCTTTGCCTCATTCTCAGTCTTGAGAAGAACACATTCAGCTTTTTACCATTGTGTATGATATTAAGCCACAGAATATTATTCAAGCCTTTTATTAGGAAAAAGAAGTTCCCTTTAATTCCCAGTTTGCCGAGAGATTTTATCAGGAATAAATATAGATTTTTTTTCGATGTTTTTTCTTCATGTATTCAAAAATTATGTGGTTTTTCTTCTTGAGTCTGTTAATATGATGAAGTACCTTGATTTTTGAATGTTAAACAACCTTATTTTTCTGGGATAACTCCACTCAGTCATGATTTGTTATGCTTTATATATATTATTGGATTTGGTTAACTAATTTAACAAAAATGTTTGTGTCTATCTTCATGAAAGATAATGTTATGTAGTTTGCACTCTTGTAACGTCTTTTTTGAGTTTTGGTATCAGAGTAATGCCAGCTTTATAGAAGCCAGCTTTATAGAATGAGTTGGAAAGTATTCTATGGTCTTCAATATTTTGTTTACTTGACTGCCAGTTTGGCCTTTCTTATAGCATATATAAGTATATATAGTATACATATATAGTACATATAATATACATAATATCTGTATTCTAATATTATGTGTGTGTGAGGGAAATGGATGAATGTGGCTATAAGGAAACAAGAACAGTACATCTGTTTGGGGATGAATCATGTGAAGGATGAGTTGTGTTTGTTGAATATTCGGAGTTAATGGAAGCCATTGTGCCTCTGTTACCTATAAACTGCAGTTGATATCTAGTCATGAAATTGCTAGGATTTGATTGAGATAACATGTGTAAATCATTTGGCACATTGCTGGAACAGAGTTGGATCTCAGTAAATGGTTGTCATATTTTCTTATAATTATCAACCTCATTCCTGCTATCAATGACATCATCATAACTATTTTCATAATTTCAACCATTTAATAATAAAAATATAAGCATTTCAAAAACAAATTTATAGCTGTTTGTCATTAAAAAATTCACATCTCAGACCCCTTACTCTTCTCATAAAACTTGTCACAGGACTCCCAAGGCTGGGATTCTACAAAAGAGCAATATGTGATTATATCTCTGATAGGATTTGATGGGCCTCCTGATCCAAATTATCTACTCAACTGAGGTGCAATACCTAGAGAATCAATCATCCTCTGCTTCAGCTGAGACTGTTTTTAAGTTTGTTAATATATTGAATAATAGCTTCCCAATCATTAGTTAACTGGGATGATTTATATCAAGTAGATGGGACTTGAAGAAAATGAGAGAGGTGGCTCTGAGGAGTAAAGTAAGGTAATGATCACAGGGGGCACAGAAAATGGATGCAATTGAATAAATACTGGAATCAAGATTAGGAGACCTGTGTTTAAGGCCTAGTTTAGACATTTATTAGCTGTGTTCAGTCATTCAGTCAAAAATTTATTAAGTGCCAAGTATATGCCGGGAACCTATGCTAGGTACAAGTCACAAGTGGTAAACAGGACACATACAGTTCCTGGGACTTACTGACCTTGCTTTAACCTCTTTGGGACTTCTTTTTATTCTATCATCTCATAAGCTTGGCATGAGGAGCATTTACATAAAAGTACATTGTAATCTGCTTTATTAGAAAAAAATCAAGAACTGCATAGATTATTGCCATTGGTATGTGAGCTTCAAACTTAGATTTTTTTAAATTGTCATTTTCTGTTACAATCAATGTCCCCCTCACTAGGCTATGAATTCTGAGGAGAGTTGTCTTATATATCTCTTTCATGGAATGTGTTAAATTATCTATGCCTATTGAATAAATGAATGAATGAACACATTAATGCATGGAGAGTTTGGAAAGGAAAGATACTGGCTAAGAATCACAAAGACCTTAAAAAAGATCATGAAAATGAAAATGATGATGATGAAACAACTGAGAAAGAAGAGACGAGGTTGCAAACAGAGCATACTGGTTAAGGTCACTGAATTTGAAGTCAGATTGTTGTCTGTTTAGATAGTTTGGAGAGCCTGACTGTCTTCTGCCAATTGGATAACAATCTTAAAGTCACAATAAACTTTACTTGACTGTTGAGGAATTCCCAAATGTGTTAGCAGTCATTAAGTGTCTCAAATATAATTGTCCATTTGGCCAATTTCAACCAAAATTTAAAGCTATCTCAAAACCATTTTCTGAATAGGGTGTCCTTTCCCCACTGCTTGTTTTTCTTGTCAGAGATTAGATGATTGTAGATGTGCAGCTTTTTTTCTGAGTTTTCTGTTTCATTGGTCTATGTGTCTGTTTCTCAGAATTGGCCTTGGCAAAAAATTTTTGGCTAAATCCCCAGAAGCAATTGCAACGAAAACAAAAACTGACAAGTGAGACCTAATTAAACTAAAGTTTCTATGCAGCAAAACAAACTATCAACTGAGTAAACAGACAACTAGAAAATGGGAGAAAATATTTGCAAACTGTACATCTAACTAAGGTCTAATATTCAGAATCTATAAGGAACTTAACTCAACAAGCAAAAAACAGATAACCCAATTTAAAAAAATGAGTAAAGACCATGAACAGAACTTCTCAAAAGAAGACATACAAGCAACGAACAAACATATGAAAAAATGCTTACCACCACTAATCATCAGATAAATGCAAATCAAAACCACAATGAGATACAATCTCACACCAGTCAGAATGGCTATTAAAAAGTCAAAAAACAACAGTTGCTCCTGAGACTGCAGAGAAAAGGGGAACAATTATACACTGTGAGTGGGAATGTAAGTTAGTTCAACCACCATGGAAATCAGTTGGGAGATTTCTCAAAGAACTTTAAACAGCTACAATTCGACCCAGCAATCCCATTACTGGGTACATACTCAAAGGAAAATAAATCATTCTACCAAAAAGACATATGCACTCATATGTTCATCCCCATGCTATTCACAACAGCAAAGACATAGAATCAACCTAGGTGCCCATCAGTGGTGGACTGGATTAAGAAAATGTGATACATATATACCATAAGATACGACACAGCCATAAAAAAGAACAAAAATCATTTCCTTTGCAGCAACTGTTTGCAGCTTGAGGTCACAATCCTAAGAGAATTAACACAGGAACAGAAAACCAAATACTATATGTTCTCACTTGTAAGTGGGGCATTGAGTACACACGGACATAAATGTGGGAACAATAGATACTGCAGACAACTGGGCGTGGGGGAGGAGGAGAATGTGGGTTGGAAAACTACCTATTGGGCACTATGCTTACTACCTGGTTGCAATATACCCATATAAAAAATCTGCATATATAATCTAAAGTAAAAGTTGAAAATTTTTTTTAAAAAGCTAACTTAATTTGTTTGGATATTAATATGACTTTTAAATTCACAATTGACACGTAATTGTATATATTTATGGGATACAATATGATGTTTCAACACATGTATACATGATATAACGGTCAAATTGTGGTAATTACCTTACCCATCACTATAAACATTTATCATTTCTTTGTGACAACATTTAAAATCTTCTCTCTTCTAGTTATCTTGAAATATACACTACATTGTTATTTGCTAGAGTCACTCTACTGTGTAATAGAACACCAAAACTTATTCTTCCTGTCTAATTGTAACTTTGTACACATTGACCAATCTTTCCTGGTCCCCCTGCAACCCCCGCTTTCCCCCTCTCTCCTCAGTCTCTGGTTACTAGTATTTCAGATTCTGCTTTCAGAGTCAGCTTTTTTAGATTCCACATACAAGAGATCATGTGCTGTTTGTCTTTTTGTGCCTGTTTAATTTCACTTAATATAATGTCCTTCAGGTTCATCTGTGTTGCTTCAAATGACAGGATTTCATTCTGTTTTATGGCTAAATAGTATTTTATTTTGTG
The DNA here is from genome assembly GCF_000001405.40 of Homo sapiens. Classification (NCBI taxonomy): domain Eukaryota; kingdom Metazoa; phylum Chordata; class Mammalia; order Primates; family Hominidae; genus Homo; species Homo sapiens. The sequence continues at coordinate 70,917,408 of NC_000001.11, forward strand.
TGTGTGTGTGTGTGTGTGTGTGTGTGTGTGTGTGTATACAATCAATTCCATAGAATGGCATTTATGCTGATTCCATATCTTGGCTATTGTGAATAGCACTGCAATAAACATGAGTGTACATGTCTCTCTGACATACTGATTTCACTTTCTTTGGATATATACCCAGTAAAGAGATTGCTGGATTATATGATAGATCTATTTTTATTTTTTTTGAGGAACCCCCAAATTGTTTTCCATAATGGCTGTACTAATTTACATTTCCACCAACCACGTATAAGAGTTCTTTTTTCTCTGCCAGCATTTGTTATTTTTTGCCTTTTTGATAATAGCCATTCTAACTGGAGTGTGGTGACATCTCATTGTAGTTTAATTTGCAATTTCCTGATAATTAGTAAAGTTGAATATTTTTACATACATCTGTCAGCCATTTGGATTTTCTTCCAATAACTATCTACTTCGTTCTTTTGCCAATTTTAAAAATGGAATTATTTGAGTTCTTTTGCTATTGAGTTATTTGAGTTCCTTATATAATCTGGATATTAATGCCTTGTCAGGTGTATAGTTTGCAAGTCAGGTGTATAGTTTGCAAATGCTTCTCCCATAGTAACTAAACAGCTTGGTACTGGCATAAAACCACACATAGACCAATGGAACAGAATAGAGAATCCCAAAATAAATCCATGCATTTACAGCCAACTGATTTTCAACAAAGGTACCAACAACACAAGACATACTGGGGAAAGGATAGTCTGTTCAATAAATTGTTCCGGAAAAACTGAATATCCACATGTGGAACAATGAAACTAGACCTCTATCTCTCCACCATATACAAAAATCAATTCTAGATAGATTAAATACTTAAATGTAAAATCTGAAGATATGAAACTACTAGAAGAAAACAGGAGAAATGCTTCATGAAATTGGGCAGGGCAATAATTTTTTTGAATAAGATCTAAAAAAGCACAGGCGAGCAACAAAATAAAAAATACACAAATGAGATTACATCAAACCAAAAAGCTTCTTCACAGTCAAGGAAACAATCAATAAAGTGGAGACTACCTACAAAGTCAATCTAATTTGGAAGCTGTTCACTTTTTTCCCAAACAAGAATCTACCTTTTCTCTAGAGCATCTTAATCAAGGCAATGATCATTCCGGACTTGAGTCACAGAAAATAGGGTTCAGAATTCTCACATCCAGACCTGGTTATCCTTCTAACTTGCTGTATGATCTTGAGCAAGCCTCTTCACAATCTGGGCCTTACTCTCCTCACCAAAACCCAGAAAACATTAGAATAGGTGATCCTCTAGCTCCTGACAGCACCAATGTGTTGATTCTACAGTTGAATTTTGAACATGAACAAATAGCTTTCCAATTTGTGATGTACTTCTATTGAAGTTCTTGAAGCAAATGATGATTGCTAATATATAGGTAGCTCTCCCTATATACTAGATACATGGTATATAAATACCTAAGAAAAATGAAGCAGAGAATTAGGACAATTTGCTATTACATTAAGCCTGCAATATCCATTTCAATGAAATAGTTATAGTTTCTTGGACACGTATTCAGAGATACAAATAGAGGTTCCAGTTTGTAGTAAGAAGTAGAGCCATGAATGACAGAGCCTGGGACTCCTGCCTGGGCTTATTTGAAATGACACTACATTCTGTTCAAGTAGGCCATTTGTAAAGCATGGGCTCTATATTTCTTTTATCCCTCTGCCCCTGCCAGGCCCATTGCAATTTATTTCTCTAAAAATGTAAACCACCACCCAACTTTGTCCAGCAATTTAGTCTGTTGGGATCTAACCCAATCCAAATAGACCCTGAGTTTTGAAATGATGAAAAAGTAATAATTTTGCCAGTTCTTTCCTTTCTTAAAAGGAAATTTCTCTCTGTATATTTAGATGGAGGTGTTTTGGATTATGCCACAAAGAGTCTGTTCCCTGATATTTTCTAGTTCTCAGAACCCATCATGAAATATCTTTCCTTTCCAGTGAGCTGAGAGGAGCTGAGAAATCTGGGAACACAGCTGGTCAGAAAATACAGAATAGAAAGCATATCTTACAAAGCATATTTACCTAAAGAAAACTCCATTTAGATTTTAATCACCAATCTAATACATCTACTTGTATGTATTTAAATGTATTGAATGTTATTTCAATTCAGGTAGCAAACATTGTGATGATAACCCACAGTGACTAAAATTCAGTCTGTTAAGTGGGCATTTGTAATCTCTGCTTCTCCCGAAGAAAAATCTCTTTTTCACTTTGAGTTTTACTACAACTGGGGGATAAAAGAGGATTAATATAAGATATGGCCATTGCTTACTGAATCTGTATTTAATGGAATTACTATTCTATACTCTGTGTAGTAGAGAGGAAAATCATTAGAAGCCAGAATAGTTTCAGGGAGAGTTCCATTTGTATTGCCCTAGGCTTTCATAAGAAAAATAATTACAGAGAATTGAGGTGAGCACCCAGTTATTACAGTTGTAAAGAAATCATTAAACATCTTACCAAAAGTATTGAGTTCCGCTAGCCTAAGGTAAGATATCTTGCCAATTATAAATGAGCTCTGGGTTTTACTGGGGCAAGCCTGGCTCACAGTCATTTTCTTGTCTTTTGCAAATACTCTGTTGATTCTGATATTTCATGGGGCTGAGTTTGAGGCCCAATTAATGCTGACAGTTGTCTCAATTTGTCTGATATATGTAGAAACTGTCACAAACTTTTCAGAAGAATATGGGTGACAAGGTGAAATGAAGAATATGAGTGACAAGGTGAAATGAATGTTCAAGAAACAAATTAAGTGTCTCTAAAGAAACTTGAGGTTGGAGATTCATTCTCTACTCCAGACTAAGCTCATCTTTCATGCCCTTCCAGACTTGTGGTTACTTTCTTGTTAAAATGGCACCCTTTCAATAGGCTGGAGAAATGAAGAACTGGAGAGATTTCTAGCCCTTGTGTAACTCAGCTGTTCAGGACTTCACTTCAAGGTCCTACTGCGATTGAGCAGGGTTCCAATATAATTTTGACAAGGTTTCACTTTTTTAGGGTTCTGCTTACTAAAAGAAATCTCAGAAACCAATTTGAATAAAGTTATTAATGATTAATTAAGGTTTTTACTTTGTTTCCTCTCTAGATTATGTTTGCATGTTGACACATGGTATCAGTGTCTATAGCCCAAAGTATAGGTAATATGGGAACTTTAGATATAGCTACAAAGCTGGAGATTGAGATTATTTGATTAAGAAAGCCATTTCAACAACACTAGTCAAGATGGGCAGACACTTGTGAAAGAGCATAGCATGTCCTAAGAACAAGGTAAATGTTTCTGTTTTCCCTTCTGAAACAGGATCCTGAATTTGACATCAGTTGTTCATATTTTATTAGTGACTGTGAAATGTGGTTAAATGAAGAAGGGCAAGAAGCACTAAAGAGGAAATCAAGAATCCTGACAATTTTTGTATGTTGTTGTATGTTGTTGTCTCTATGCATATTCTATACAAGACTAACTCTTACTCTTACAAATAAACTAATTACAGACAAGACTGCTCAAGAAGCTGGTAATGTTTAGATACATGCAGTGCTATCACTGTTAAAATCCTTCATGTCCTTTATACTTGTTCACACATATCATCATTTACATTATAAATAAGCATAATAGGTGCTCAATATGATTTTCGAAAAATGAGTAAAAAAGAGCAACTTTGCTAAGAATCTATTATGTTGTACATACTATTCTGAGTACCAGCAATTAAAAAAATTAGGAAAGTCTTCCCCCTCAAGGAGCTTACAATCTAGTAGCAGAGGTAGATATGTACTCAGAGAAACACAAGTGTATATCACTTAATGTAAAAGGAGAAAACCGACAAGTGGCCGCCCGAACTTTTCAGTGTCACTGCAAAGGGTGGGTCTTCCTGGCCTCCCTGAGTGCCTCGCTTTCCCCATCTTGCCTCAGGCAATGCTTTTCTTTCTCTCTCTCTGCAAACCTGTCGAATGAATGGTAAAAATCACTGTTTATCTTCTCTGTAAAGTTTTAATTAATGGAAAAAAGGATTTGTGAGGCTAGTCATAGGCTGTAGCAAATCTGCTGTGCTTTGTGGGTCTTTCTGTATTGTTCTGTCATAATAAGGCATACCTCAGAACAGAACATGGGCTTAGGACACCCCTAAACCTGCTTTTCAAGATGGCCCAGCAAACTGGTCAGTTATAAACTTTGCTGCAGGTCCCTAAAAAAAAATAAATAAATAAAAATAAAAATAACTGGATGAAGTTTCCCTCTTGTCTCTTGTATGTCCTTGGGAGCTTGACCTTGTAACCAGGTGGCAGTACTTTCTCTTGGTCTCTGCCATCACAATGGCAGCCCGGATTCAAGGTTTAATTCCTGGCTTGGAAAATTGGTCCTTTATCTTCTGTCTATGTATTTATATGTATTATTTGTGTGATATTTATATATGAAAGAGCTTTGATTGATTGGCTTAAAAATAAGTTCTAAATCAAATATTTTGTCAGAAAAGTAAAATGTGTAATGCCTTTTAGTTCATGTGACTTAAGTAATCTTTGGGAAATAAAGACAGTTTTAAAATAAGGACAATTTTGTTGGTAAAATTAAAATGTTTTCAAAAATGTAAACATTAGGTCTAAATTATACAGGTCAGATATTAAGTTTGCTAAATGCTTTAAGGTCATAAACTGCTTCTTTGGCTTTTAAAAACTGTTCATTTTAATCTTCCTTGGAGATATCAGATTCTAGATAATGCCTGGGGACATGTGAAATAAGCATAGCTTCTAGCTATGCAAAGAAGGTTATAAAGAAAGAGATTTTATATAAGAAACGATCTTCTATGGTAAATTCTTGTCCTAAAGCAAAATGACTGGTTGTTTAACAAGAGGAAGGTTTATGACAAGTCAGAAAGTCCAAGCATGTTGTAGATGGTCTGTGTGAGTCATGAAAAAATTTATGAAAACGAATTTATGCAAGAAACATTGTACAATTTAAAGGTGATGGGCCTCCTAAATGCTTCATAAAATGCCACTATGGCTCTTACTATACAATTTCCTTGCTTTACAGCTAGGTAAGGCCTGGGACATGTGGAGTTAGCCATGCCCACTAGCTGTGCTGGAAAAAGCCAGCCCTTATCTGCACTTCTGTCTGGGTCCTAGGCTCCACACTAGTACATAATTAAAAAATCCCTTACTTACCAAGGCTTTCACCAAAAAAAAAAGTTGCTAAGAGTTAACACCATAACATGTATCTGAGACTACTAAAAAAAAACCAGTTCTATACACAAGGGATGTAAAGAAAGTAAAATGTGTTTTTTGTAAAAAAATTATAAGAAGTCTTGGGAATATGAATTTTTCTGCCTAGATTAAAGGGTTAAAAGATTGTTTTAAGTTAGAATAAAGCTGAAGTGTTATGCAAGTTGTGGAAGGTTTGTGAAAAATTAATTGTAAAAGAAATTCTGTGTGTGAACACACTGGCTAAAGTTAAAGGGGTATTATTCCATTTTTTCTGTAAATTGAGCATTAGAATAAAAGCATAACAAGATTTTCTTAGAGCAAAAACCTGCTTATGATCTGACCTGTAAGAAAAATTGTAAAGGCTTATAAAAGGTTTATTAAAATCTTACCTATGGTCAAACTGATTAAGATTGAATATATTTGTCTATAAGGTTTTATTGAATATATTTGTCTATTGGGTGTAACATCAATAATGCACTAACACAACAGTGACATTTGGCTTACTTGGTATAAAAATCATACAAGAAGCATTGCCAAATACAAAATGGTGCTTGGTTTTTTTTTTTGGCTCTATTTGTATAAATGTGTTATTGGTATATGTTCCAAAATTATGGGAAACTCCTCTAATTCTGATATGGCTTAATGTATGTTATTAATAGTTATAATTGTTATGTGAAATTGCTATATGCCACAGAAGTGACCAAATTTCCATATCAATTGTGGCCTTAATAGTGGCTGTCCTAAGACTTTTTATCATCCACAGACAATTTTTGTCCTGTTTTAATCCTCTTTGGAAGATGATTTTATAGTCAACTGTACAATTCTAACAGGTGTTCTTAAATGGAGGTTTCTGATAACTTTGGAGATTATTACGTTAGAATAGAGAAAAATCTTTGAGAACACTCTTGGAAAGCTGAAATGTTCATGAATATTAAACAGAAGTTAACTGCATGGACTAAACTAATAGAAGTCTAAAGTAATCTTTTAAATTTTTCTTAAAACATTACTGATCCTTTGTTTTGTTTTTCAGAGTTAGGAAAACTTTTCCTTTAAGCTATTTGTAGCTTGTAGCAATAGAGTAAAGTATACTCCTATGAACAAAATTTGGAGCATATTTGTTTCTCTCTACCAGTTTTATCCAGAATTTGGAAACTATCTGTGAATATTCTTAATTTATGGCAACATAGTTATTTGCATGACTGCAATAAGAATCTGTTTTCTTTTGCAACGGGACACAATTGGAGAAACTGGTTATTTTACCAAGGCTTTTACCTGAATGGCATGCTTTTCTTTAAGAAATCAAATTTGACTTGTAGAGCCAATAAAAGTCCCTTGGGGAACTGGCCTCACACCTTGACTACACCATCCCTGTATGAGCTTCCTGACCTGTGGTAAGTAAAGAACATCACAGGCCCAGGAGCCCCAAGTTATCTTGGGACCTCAAAAAGAGAGGAATTTACCCAACTTGTAGGTATCTGAGTGTGGATACACATGGTAGGGCTTGGCTTAAAAAAAAAGTCTTATTTATCTAAGATTTTTTCTATGGAACAGAGTTCCATTGAAGCCATTTTTTAAAAAGCTTATGGCAAATATTTATTCTTGCTATACTTTATACAAATAATCAGGCCAAATATAATAAAGCAAATCAATCTTACCATGATTTGTCTTTAGTAAAAATGGGAGACTGGAAAGAGAAATTATGTTCCAAGAACTATGGTATACTTGTTATTAAATTTTAGTCTCATCAGTTGTTTTTAAATGTGTTTCTGTAATTTAGGCTAACCCTGCTTATTCTTGTGAGCCAACCAGTGATCTCTGACTGCTGGTCAGAACAACCAAGAGGGATGGGTAATGTAAAAATCTGTATGAGTATTCTAATTGTGGGCACATTAGAATCAGCTAACAGTCCCATATTAGCTTAGTTCCAACAGTTGCCCCATTCATGGAAAGCCTTCTAATTTTGTTTACTTGAGAAAATTCTACTTCTTTTGCTTTATTCTTGTGGAATATATTGCTATTGTACTCTTTTTGTAGGAATTCAGGAGAAACTTACTAAACATTCTCTTAAATTAAACTGCTCTAAATTAAATGGCTGCTCTGTCTATGGAGTAGCCATTCTTTTTTTCCTTTACTTTCCTAATAAACTTGCTTTCACTTTAATCCATGAACTCACCCTGAATTATTTCTTGCGTGAGATCCAAGAACCCTCTCTTGGGGTCTGAATCCTGTCCTCTTTCCTGTAACAATATGGCTAGCCAAAGATGAACTGAGACAAATCTGGTATAATTCCTAGTTCAGTTATCTGTCTGTTTTAACCTAACCTTATTGTGATGGTTAATATTGAGTGTTAACATGATTGGATTGAAGGATGCAAAGTATTGTTTCTGTCACCCAGTCTGGAGTGCAGTGGCATGATTTCCACTCACTGCAACCTCCACCTCTTAGATTCAAGCGATTCTCCTTCCTCAGCCTCCCGAGTAACTGGGATTACATGTGACTGCCACCATGCTTGGCTAATTTTTGTATTTTTAGTAGAGATGGAGTTTCGCCATTCTGGCCAGTCTGGTCTTGAACTCCTGACCTCAGTTGATCCACCTGCCTCAGCCTACCAAGGTGCTGGAATTAAAGGCATGAGCCACCATGCTCAGCTACGCACTCACTCTTAATATAACTTTAATACATTTTAAAATAAGCTATGTATATGTGTCACTACTAATATCTTATACTTTGAACATTTGTCTATCCTGTAATACAATAAATGCACTGCTGGATATATTCTTGAAAATCATACAAGTGTAACAAGATGATATACAATATTATCCATTGTAGCATTGTACATAATAGCTAAACTTATAAAGAAGCTAATGTCCATCAAAAAGAGAGTAGACAAATCATTTTTGATGTAGTCACTTAATGGAATAAAATTTAATTCTGCAAAAAAATTAATGAACCACAGCTTCATGCAAAAATAAGAGTAAATCTTCAAATGTTCAAGAACAAACTAAACAACATAATATTTATAAATAAATACATATGTTGTAAATACATGAAAAATAAGGAAAGTATAACAAATGAAATTTATCTTAAGTGGGGTTTTGTTAGTGGAAGCAAGAGGAAGAGAGAGGTAAAAGTGAAGGTAGATGAAACAGTTCTGGCAATGTTCTAGGATGTAAGTCGGTAGTGGCTTCATAGGCATTCATTTCATTATTGAACTTTATAAAATATATGTTACATTCTTTAGTGAATATTAAATATTGCACTAAAAAAGAGTGAATGTAAGTAGAAATCTCAATATTGCATTTTTGAACCACAATGTATCCCCTGGGGCTACACAGAGACTACCAAATTAGGCAAAGGATGTCACTGATACTTTTCTAGTAGTGAAATAAAATGCTCATATTTCTGTTTTAAAAAGAAAATATTGTTATCAACATTGTAGAGGAGAGACAATCCATGTGAGAGATGTTGAGCTTCTGACCCAACATAGTGGTTGTAGGGACAAATTATATGAGGTGGAGTATTTAAGAACTATTTAAGAGTAGTTTTTTCCAATTCTGTGAAGCAAGTCATTGGTAGCTTGATGGGGATGCCATTGAATCTATAAATTACCTTGGGCAGTATGGCCATTTTCACGATATTGATTCTTGCTACCCATGAGCATGGAATGTTCTTTCATTTGTTTGTATCCTCTTTTATTTCATTGAGCAGTGGTTTATAGTTCTCCTTGAAGAGGTCCTTCACGTCCCTTGTAAGTTGGATTCCTAAGTATTTTATTCTCTTTGAAGCAATTGTGAATGGGAGTTCACTCATGATTTGGCTCTCTGTTTGTCTGTTATTGGTGTATAAGAATGCTTGTGATTTTTGTACATTGATTTTGTATCCTGAGACTTTGCTGAAGTTGCTTATCAGCTTAAGGAGATTTTGGGCTGAGGCAATGGGGTTTTCTAGATATACAATGATGTCGTCTGCAAACAGGGACAATTTGACTTCCTCTTTTCCTAATTGAATACGCTTTATTTCCTTCTCCTGACTAATTGTCCTGGCCAGAACTTCCAACACTATGTTGAATAGGAGTGGTGAGAGAGGGCATCCCTGTCTTGTGCCAGTTTTCAAAGGGAATGCTTCCAGCTTTTGCCCATTCAGTATGATATTGGCTGTGGGTTTGTCATAGATAGCTCTTATTATTTTGAGATGCATCCCATTAATACCTAATTTATTGAGAGTTTTTAACATGAAGCGTTGTTGAATTTTGTCAAAGGCCTTTTCTGCATCTATTGAGATAACCATGTGGTTTTTGTCTTTGGTTCTGTTTATATGCTGGATTACATTTATTGATTTGTGTATATTGAACCATCCTTGCATCTCAGGGATGAAGCCCACTTGATCGTGGTGGATAAGCTTTTTGATGTGCTTCTGGATTCAGTTTGCCAGTATTTTATTGGGGATTTTTGCATCAATGTTCATCAAGGATATTGGTCTAAAATTCTCTTTTTTGGTTTTGTCTCTGCCCAGCTTTGGTATCAGGATGATGCTGGCCTCATAAAATGAGTTAAGGAGGATTCCCTCTTTTTCTATTGATTGGAATAGTTTTAGAAGGAATGGTACCAGTTCTTCCTTGTACCTCTGGTAGAATTCGGCTGTGAATCCATCTGGTCCTGGACTCTTTTTGGTTGGAACCTACAGATAGAACCTACAGGAGTTGATGATATGTAAGAGAAGTGACAATTGTTTAAGATGACTTTTAATTTTCTAGCTTGAACAACCAATGCCATTATCCAAGATAGAGAAGACAGTAAAAAAGAAAGCATAGCTATGGAATACCGTGATAGAGAGGATAGCATTATATATTGGAGAGTTTGAAGCAACTACATAACATAAAAATGAGCTTGTTCAGCCACATTTAGAAATATTTCCTGGATCTCAGGAGAATGGCAGGCTCTGGAAATATAGATCTAAATATCATCAACACATCAGTAACTAAGGCCACAGAAGTAGATGACATCATTCAAAAAAGAGCATATCAAGTAAAAAAGGAGAAGAGAGCTATGCTGGATTCCCAGAGGTCATTTACCATAAAGGAGACTCTGGAGAAACTCTCAGGGGGATAGAAGAGAACAGGAAAATATGAAACAGCCAAGTGGCCAATGATGTTATCTGTCTCCAGATACATCAAGTAAAATAGAAATTGTAACTGACACACAGAGGGGCTATGCAAAACCCAAACCTCTAAACCAAGTGCCTTAGCTTCTTGTATTTACCCTATACACTGATCTAATGATTTTTAAGTTGTGCCTTGGAGTGTGCTAGAGCTAATTCTAATGGTTAGATGGATATCATTTTTCATTCCACAAATACTGAGCAACGTTTATCTACTAGGTACTATGTAAATAAAGTACTGTTTAAAGATTATGGCTTTAAAAATAAATTATGAAACATTTCTGTTAACAATGAAGAAATCCATTCATCATATATATATATTTATATATATATATTTATAGACATATATATTTTTATAGACATATATATTTATAGACATATATTTATATATATGTCTACATAAATGTGTGTAAGAGATATCAGTAGGGCTGAAAACTACTGCCTTGTATAGAAATTCCAAATTATAAATCATGTTAATGAGGTTAAAATACCTTTGATTACAAAAAAAAAAAGTGGGTTAGGGGGAAGAAATGAAGAGGAAGCTGGGCAAAGTGGCTCATGCTTACAATCCCAACTCTTTGGGAGCCAAGGGGGAAAGATCACTTCAGCCCAGGAGTTTGAGACCAGCATGGGCAATATAGTGAGACCCCCATCTATACAAAAAATAAAAAATTAGCCAGGCATGGTGGCATGTGCTTATAGTCACAGCTACTCAGGGGACTAAGGTTGGAGGATCACTTGAGCCTGAGAGATTGAGGCTGCATTGAGCCATGACAGTGCCACTACACTTTAGCCTGGGTGACAGAATGAAACCCCGTCTGAAAACAAAACAAAACAAAAAACGAAGGATATGCGCAAGAGACTTTCTATTCTTGGGAAAAGGAATTGGAAACCGGAGAAACTTAAATATTTTTCTTCAAATGCTCTGTATTGTTTGACTTGCTACAATTAGCATTCATTACTGATAATTATAATTTAAAAACAAGTACACAATAGAAAATTTCAGAAATTCACATTGCTTCATTAGCCTGTTTTTCCACCCTAGGAATTTACAGATACACACACACACACACACACACACACACTATATATATACACACATACATATATATAAACACATATATTCACAACCCAGGAACTAGGGAACCCAAATCTAACACTTGACTTAAACAAAATTTCTGCTTGTTATTTTGAACTAAGTCCTCCAGATCAGAGATTTTTCAGAACTCCGTTTCTCAGGACAGCTGCAAACTAGAGTTTTGTAAATTGACCTTGTGTGTATTATTATCTTCTGTCATAGAAAACATATGACTTCTGTGGCATTTTTAAATGACTAATCCAAAGTTATGAAATAAAATAGCTCTAAAGACGAATAAATACAGCTGTGTTTTGATTCCGCACTTTTCCTATGACATTAACCTTCAAAAGGGTTTTCCCCATTTACCTTCAAACTGTAAAAACTGTGGAGTTCTTGTCTATCATTCAGCAGTAACATCTTGGTTACTGGGCTAATCTTAAAATCTTGTGGCTAGCTTTTGCAGTTGATTTCATAATTTAAATACATTCATGTAAAACATCAGATGTGTAGATGGAGAGAATAGAAAAATAAAGTACTTAAAAATTAAATGGGTAATGACTGAAACACTTAGTAAAATATTGACTAAATAATTAACTTTGTTACTGGTCAACCTGGTTAATCAAATACTTTGTAATACACAGCACTCTGTGTACAAAATAACATTGCTTTTACCCTAAAACAGGTCTCTCTGAGCAGTGTTTATATTCATGAACTGGAAAACAGGTGAAAAGATAATCCCCTACCAAATTCCCAGAAGTTCCCAAGGAATAGCTCTTATCTCTGTTACCCTTTAAGTTACTGACGAACGATGGAGAAATAAACAATAGTTTTAACTTGCAAATTTATCTCCAATGTTTTATTTATTCCCAAAGCCTCCAGTGGAGAAAAAGTATTTGTAGGGAAACCTCTGCAGTGAGAGAGATAAATGAGTTAAACGGAAATGAAATATGGACAAATATTCTGTTTCAAGAAAAAAGGAAATTAACTATTCTGAGTAACTCAAGGTAGAAGAAACCATTCTGAACTATATTACTCAAAAAATATAAGATCTCTTATCAGCTTAGAAATGCTTCCTCTTATATTGCTCTGTTTTATGTCTCTTGATTTTCAGACCTAAATTACATTTATATCAAAAGATGAAGCTAACAGGCAAATTACATTCATATCAAAAGGTGAAGCTTACTTAGTTCCAAACTAAGTAAAGTGTTATTTCATGTTCCCAAAGTATTTCAAACAATAACAATAGATTTTGGCTTCATGGCTCCTAAAATTGAGGTCATATATTTGCAACACAGCTGTGTGGGACTGGGAACAAGAGGTGACTGAAGTTGGGGCATGGGTAAAGCAGACTCCGTCCTACTGACCCAGACTCCCCAGTGGCAGGGCTGTCACCCTGTGGCTAACCACAACCACCTCAAAAATTCCCTGCTGTTTTGTACAAAGCCTCTTATTATCTTGTCCTTACCTGAGTTTTAGTTTCTTCTCCCTCATATCTAAATCATAATTGACATTATAATTCCCACTCCCAGGTCTCACTCTCCATCTCCTTACACTGTACTCATACACTCACATTCTTTCCAGTTTCCTGAGAAAATTTGTTTTCCTCTTGTATTAGTCCACTTATGTGCTGCTGATAAAGACATACCTGAGTCTGGGAAGAAAAAGAGGTTTAATTGGACTTACAGTTTCACATGGCTAGGGGGGCCTCAGAATCACAATGGGAGGCAAAAGGCACTTCTTACATGGCAGTGGCAAGAGAAAATGAGGAAGGTACAAAAGCAGAAACCACTGATAAACCCATCAGATCTCATGATACTTATTCACTACCATGAGAACAGCATGAGGGAAACCGCCCCATGGTTCAAATTTTCTCACCTGGTCCCTCCCACAGAACACGGGAATTATGGGAGTACAATTAAAGATGAGATTTGGGTGGGGACAGAGCCAAACCATATCATTCCTCCCCTGGCCCCTCCAAATCTCATGTTCTCACATTTCAAAACCAATCATGCCTTCCCAACAGTTCCCCTAAGTCTTAACCCATTTCAGCATTAACCCAAAAGTCCACAGTCCAAAGTCTCATCTAAGACAAGGCAAGCACCTTCAGCCTACAAGCCTGTAAAATCAAAGGCAAGCTAGTTACTTCCTAGATACAATGGGGATATAGGTATTGGGTAAATACAGCCATTCCAAATGGGAGAAATTAGCAAAAACAAAGGGGTTTCAGGGCCCATGCAAGTCTGAAATCAGCAGGGCAGTCAAATTTTAAAGCTCCAAAATGATCTCCTTTGACTCTATGTCTCGCATCCAGGTCACCCTGATGCAAGAGGTGGGTTCCCATGGTCTTGGGCAGCTCTGCCCCTGTGGCTTTGCAGGGTACAGCCCCCCTTCTGGCTGCTGTCACAGGCTGGCATTGAATGTCTGCAGCTTTTCCAGGTGCACAGTCCAAGCTGTCAGTGGCTTTACCATTCTGGGGTCTGGAGGACGTCTGCCCTCTTCTCACAACTCCACTCGGCAGTGCCCCAGTAGGGACTCTGTGTGGGGGCTCAGACTCCACATTTCACTTCTGCACTGCCCTAACAAAGGCTCTCCATGAGGGTCCTGCCCCTGCAGCAAACTTTCTCCTGGGCATCCAGGCATTTCTATGTATCCTCTGAAATCTAGGTGGAGGTTCTCAAACCTCAATTCCTGACTTCTGTGCACCTGCAGGCTCAGCACCACGTGGAAGCTGCCAAGGTTTGGGGCTTGCACCAACTGAAACCATGGGCCAAGCTGTATGTTGGCCCCTTTTAGCAATGGCTGGAACAGCTTGGATGCAGAGCACCAAGTTCCTGGGCTGCCCACAGCATGGGAACCCTGACCCTGGTCCACAAAACTGTTTTTTCCTCCTAGGCTTCCTGGTCTGTGATGGGAGGGGCTGCCACAAAGACCTATGACATGCCCTGGGTACATTTTCCCCATTGTCTTGGGGATTAACATTCAGCTCCTTGCTACTTATACAAATTTCTGCAGCCAGCTTGAGTTTCTCCTCAAAAACTGGGTTTTTCTTTTCTACTGCATTGTCAGGCTACAACTTTTCTGAACTTTTATGCTCTGTTTCCCTTTTAAAACAGAATGCTTTAAACAGCACCCAAGTCATGTCTTGAATGCTTTGCTGCTTAGAAATTTCTTCCACCAGATACCTTTAATCATCTCTCTCAAGTTCAAAGTTCCACAAATCTCTAGGGCAGGGGAAAAATCCCACCAGTTTCTTTGCTAAAACATAACAAGGATCACCTTTACTGCGGTTCCCAACAAGTTCCTCATCTCCATCTGAGACCACATCAGCCAGGACCTTATCATTCATATCACTATCAGCATTTTTGTCAAAGCCATTCATCAAGTCTCTAGGTGGTTCCAAACTTTCCCACATTTTCCTGTCTTCTGAGCCCCCCAAACTGTTCCAACCTTTGCCTGTTACCCAGTTCCAAAGTCGCTTCCACATTTTTGGGTATCTTTTCAGCAATACCACACTCTACTGGTACCAATTTACTGTATTAGTCCATTTTCATGCTGCTGATAAAGACATATCTGAGACTGGGAAGAAAAAGAGGCTTAATTGGATTTACAGTGCTACATGGCTGAGGAGGCCTCAGAATCATGACAGGAGGTGAAATGTGCTTCTTACATGGTGGCGGCAAGAGAAAATGAGGAAGATGAGAAAGCAAAAACCCCTGATAAAACCATCAGATCTTATGAGACTTATTCACTGCCAGGAGAGCAGTATGGGGGAAATTGCACCCATGATTTATATTATCTCCCACCTGGTCCCTCCCACAACACGTGGGAATTATGGGAGTACAAGTCAAGATGAGATTTGGGTGGGGACACAGAGCCAAACTATATCACCTCCCTCTTTCAACTATGCCCCCAATTCTCAGGGAAGCTTGCTGAATTCTACCCTTCCTCAAGACTTAGTTCAAATGTCTCCTCTGGAAAGACTTTCTAAATTTCCCTTCTGTACACATATACACATAGAGATACAAAAACATACACACGAACACACACATACACACAACTGTAGACTGAAGGCAGAGTCAGGGGTTCTCTCAGTAACTATACTAAATTATATCAGTATCATATGTTATATTTTAATATTATATCTATTGTGTTATAATTATTTAATTATATACCTGTCTCTTCTATAACTAGACCATGAGCTCCTAAAGGACAAAGCTGTGTCTTCTCTGTATCTTACTTATTTGTGTAAAGTAATACCTGGTATTTAGTAATGGCTTAATAATTGCTTGATTGAAGAGTGAATGATGTTACTATTCTTTAAGACTTATAGCAGTTTCCCTTGCCTCTCTGAAGTCTTGCAGATTCATCTAAGACAGGAATAAACTCTGTCCTCTCTGAGTTCTCATAACACTTTATTTCTTGCTTGTGACTGACTGCTATCACTGAGTTTCCTAGATTTAATTCCATTTCCTCCACCCTATCATAAAAAGATCATAAAAAA
Source organism: Homo sapiens (assembly GCF_000001405.40). NCBI lineage: Eukaryota > Metazoa > Chordata > Mammalia > Primates > Hominidae > Homo > Homo sapiens. The sequence continues at coordinate 70,933,391 of NC_000001.11, forward strand.
GATCATACCTTCTTTTATTATCTTTTCCCTCAAAGTCACTGTGCTTTGTAAAAAGTAAGTTCTCCTTAATATTTGCCGATATCATTTAATATATTTCCCAAATATTTTCCCCAAATAAACATCATTAAACAATGCAAAGTTTTTATGCAGCACAGAGATGATCTCAGATTCATTTTTATTTGCCTAGGCTCAGCGCATAGGAGGTACCAAATAAACAGTTGCTGGGAACATGAAGGGAGAAAGTGACTACTTCAGAAGCAGAAGACCCTTTTCTTTGTTCATCTGTTGGCAACAATTTGTCCTCTGGCAAACACTGGGAGTGAAAGCGGTTATAATCACCTAGTTTTAATAGCTAGAGTCACTCTATACTTTTTCTTCCAATGCCTAGCTATCCTTAGAAATAATGACTTTGGAAGGGGTAATGGAAGTTTTTTTTAACTCAGAAATTGGAGAAACATTAACTTTTTAATTTACTACCCTGTCCCCCAAATGGTGACAGTACTGCCAGGCATTGGAAATAGGTGAGGCAGACTCTTTCATGGAAATTAATTGAAAAGTTGAAGTATGCTCTAAGTGCTGAAGTAAGTATGCACATGGAAGAATAGGATGGCTCCTGTCCCTGAGAATAAAATCTTCAAATATCTCATTTTTCTCACAATTATAATAACAGCTCCATTTACTGGCAATGTATATATGCCAGCCTTGTGCTAATCTCTTCACAATATATTCTTATTTAATTATCTTGACAATATTGTAAACCAAAAATTAGAAAACTAAACTCGTAATTACCTGGAAAAGGGAACAAATTAGAGCACACACTAAACTACCCACAAAGCAAAATAATCTCAACCAACAACTCCAACCAAGACTTTGACAAGTCACCCAACAACATTAGGCTACCGCATATTGTTCCTTTTTTTTCTTCACAGTCATGTGTCTCTGAGTATACACAGGAGTAATATGCATCATCACGAAGATGCCTCAGCGTAAATAAAACACATGTCTCAAAGTGACTGGCTCCCTTTCAGGAATTCAGCTACTTCTGCTAAGGAAATTTAGTTTGGCAACACTAGCTTATTTTAATCTTCTATATCCTCTGACTCTGTAGTTTCTCATTAACTCTGTGCTTGGGAAACTCAGTTTCTCACTGCATAGTTTCCATATCAGTGAAAGTGGCCTGTCCATCACTAACATAGATTTAAAAATACTAAACTATAAATATGCTCATGGATCAACTGTGGGGAAAATTAGGATGTCTCCATTGATACATAAATACAGGCCACACACACAACATTACTTTCCAGAGATTTGCCTACCTCAATGTGAAGATATAAGTGAGTGTGATAGTTACATAAGATGATTTATCATTTCAATTATGAAAAGCATGCTTTCTAAAACACTGTCCAGATCACCTTCCCTGACAGAAGCAGCCATAACAACAGAAACAATAAAATTTCCACAAAAAACAGTTGGCCAAGTTTATTACAAGACATAATGTCAGCCGTCGAAATGATTGCTTCCTCAAATTGACCTTGTTTAACCTAGCAGTTCTAAACTTTCCCTTTTGGCCCTTCAAGGTAAATGTTGATCACCAGCTCTAAACAGATCCATCTTGTACAAAGCATTGTTGAAGTTACATGTGGTTTATATTCTGGAGATAGAAAAAGAGAAATAAGTCCATAGTGAGCCCACCAAGATGCCTCGATCCTAAAGTCAAGTGCAAGAAAGTATCTACAGGATTTGAGGCAAAGAATCAAATCTGTGTTTGGGAAGAAGCACATTAAATTCAGAAATAATTCATAAGAGGTCATAGGAGCTATTTTCAGAAAGTTCTCATTGTCAATGACATCAGCAATGCTTTTTTCCTACACATTTATAATATACAAGAATCTAAATATTCTTTAACCTCCTCTAATTATCATCTAGTCAGTATTATTTAGACTAAGCAGAGGTATTTCTTCCTTCCTTCTGCCTACTCTTTCTTCTCAGTTTTTATTTATATACATAAATAGCAATAAATATATCAATATACTATCTGGCATGTTTTAGCCATGAATAGAAGCTGAGGTTGTGCCTTATTGGGAGAGTCTACCTAAATTGCTCTGATTTTCAATATTCTGCATGACAACTCAGTATGTAAGTTCACATTCCTTTTTGCAATATTTTGGTTTGCTTTTATTGTTTATTTTTGCTTTTACTTAACAAATATTTTACAAATAATTGGGATACTTTGAAAATACTTCTATTGAGACATTGTGTTGGTACTAAGGATACAAATATAAATATATATATATATATATATATGTTCTGCTTTCTGCCTTTTAAGCATTCAGAATGTGCATGCAAAGATATTCTCAGTGGTCTTGACAAGTACAGAGATCCATGGGATCAAAGATATTGGGATGGGTGGAGATTTCCAAGAAATTTGAAGGAGTCTTGGTAAAAGAGAGGACAGTAGAACTAGGTCTTAGATTTTACCAAGATGAAACGAATGGGAAGTAAGCTGGGAAAAGGGAATAGCAGGAAATTACAAAAATGCATGGTCTTTTCACAGGGAGTTAAAAAGTTCAGCATGGTTAGGACTAACGCTGTGAGAGCACCAAGTTTTTGGAGAATGCACCAATACGTAACAAGTTTCTAGAAGTATGAAAAACATCTAGTATGAGAAAAGGACATCACAAAAATTCATGTGAAATAATACAAAGTGGATCTCAGAACTCTAGATAATATGAGCTCTAAACTGTGTTTTCAAAGTGTGGTCCTTGGATCAGCATCATTAACATCTGTTGGGAACTTGCTTGAGTGCAAACCCTTGGGCTCTGGGCTAGGATGAGACCAAGCACTGTGTGCTTTGCCAAGCCCTCTAGGTGATTTTAGTGCACACTACAGCCATAGCTGCAGAGGTAGAAAGTGCACTTTCCAGGTATGAGTAATAGCACACACAAAAGTGTAGAGGCTGGTGTGAGAGTAGTAGTGGCATGCAGAGAGCAGGCACAGCAATGTTTTATTCATTAATTATTTCAGTTATTAATTCATCATTTAATGAAACAATTTTACTAACAAGTATAGAATGGGGATTTTAATCCTGTAGTACAATTCCAAAAAGTGTAAAGTCTGGATACTTTACATAGTGAAGAAAAAAAATGACTGTAAAGGGAAGATCAGACTGAGGATCTGACAGACATTTTAAATTGCAATGGCCTACAAAATGGAAGAGGCTTTGTATGTTCTTCAATTGGACAGCAACATAAATAAAATAGGATTTTAGGAAGTTTGTGGTAAGACTATGTAACACAAGAGAACAAAGGTGGCTTAGACAAATTTTAGGTGTTCTTCACTGTAAATTCATACTTCTCTGTAGTGGAATCTGTATTATTTGGAAGGTATCAGGAAAGACCTCACTCCCCAAGTATATCTACTTTATCCTTAGCATAATGCTTAAAATTTCATTATTGCAGAGTCATTCTTTTGAGTTTTTTTCATCAGTTTCCTAGGAAAGTAAATACTGTATCAATTAAAATCCAGTAAAGAAGGAAATTGACAACTGGCTGAAAGCAATATTTCAGTAGGAGGGGAAGAGAATGAAGGGACAAGAGCAGAAAAACACAGCATCTAAAAGGGGAAGAAGTTCCTGCCCAAAATATATTTTTCCCAACTTGTACACTTGAATAGGGCTCCTTTGGCCCAAAACAAGGTTGGCGCCATTTAAAGACACGAGGAAATTAGGATCAGATCTAGAAATTTGTCTCAGAGTAAGATAGAGGGGAATGTTATGATTATAAGCATAGTGAATTTTGGGTGAGGGAGGGATAACAGGTGGAAATTACTTATGGCAGTTGAAAATTTGGGATGAAAATTGCTGTAAGCTGATGTGGTTTTTATTTTGTGTTGCCAAACATGTTTATAATCCAGTGTTTTTGTAAAGCATTTAACATTCCCAATAAACCATTTAATGGACATCATTTATTTGGCGGGCACTAGGTGTGGGGTTAAATTGAATATGATGTCCAGCCAGCTGTTGGATGTGCAGGTGGGAGGTCTGAACAGGACAGAGACTTGGGAATCATCAGCATATGGACATAAATTTAAGCCACATAATCCATAAAGTACACTATGCAAAGTGGACCAAGATGAATCCCTGAGAAAATCAAAAGGAATAGTTAGGTGAAGAAGATCCTGAGAATTTGGAATTTGGATGTACTTGAAACTGCCTTTTAGGTATCATTAGTCCCAAGGAAACTTGTGAGTTAGTCATTTGAAGTGGTCACTCTCACATAGAAAATCTATTTACATAGTGCTGTGACTCTCTATATCCCTTTTAAAAACATACTGTTTCTTTATCATCTTACAACCATTTATTTAATGGTTAATTAAATATAAAACATGAAAATAGAATACCCTTTTAAAGAAATAAAAGTTAATCATTGTTTATTATGTTTATGCATCATCTGAAGCAATTGTCTCATTTTGCTTTTAAGCATATTTCACTTTTATTAAAAAAAAATAGAAAGGTGGTTTTATAGTTTGATTCCCACCAAATGGGTAAGAGTTAGTTCTTATTTAGAGTATTGGCCTTTATTTTGAGATGAAATATGACATTTTGGAGTCAAACTCAAATTGTATAACTGAAAGACTTTACAGTCCAAATTAAAAGATGTCTATTTTGAAATACTGTTTACACTCTCCTCTTTAAAGAACAGAGTGTGTGTTTTGGTGGGGGGTGGGAGGTGTCAATGTCAATTTTAGCAAAAGTCTTATTTTAAAAGCTTCATGCTATAGAAATAAAAATAGAAAATCAGAACTTAGAAGAGCATCAGAAGCTAATACATCAAATTCAGTGCCCAAGGGTCAATACCAAAACATCATACTTGAGCCTGAGTACCAGACTAGACAGGGAAAGTCAAATCACCATGGAGTTGTTCAGTACAATGAACTCAAATATAATTTGTAAGTTACCTTTACTAAAATTACAATGATTTATAAAATGTACTATAATGGTTCTCACTGAAAAAGAATTTAAATATTTTGGAAAATACTCAATGATAATGCTGTGTCTTAAAAAAAAACATTTTCCATTTTCATTTCCTGAATTCATTAATATTATCTAAGAAATTTCAAATATTTTCAAACATCTGGTCTATTAGTCTGTTTTCAGGCTGCCGATAAAGACATACCTGAGACTGGGAAGAAAAGGTGGTCTAATTGGACTACGGTGGCACATGGCTGGGGAGGCTTCAGAATCATGGCAGGAGGTGAAAGGCACTTCTTACATGGTGGCGGCAAGAGAAAAATGAGGAAGAAACAAAAGTGGAAACCCCTGATAAACCCATCAGATCTCATGAGATTTATTCACTGTCACCAGAATAGCTCAGGAAAGACCAGCCCCCATGATTCAATTATCTCACATTAGGCTCCTTCCACAACAGGTGGGAATTCTGGGAGATACAAGTCTAGATTTGGGTAGGGACATGGCCAAACCATATGGAAAATTCCACGCCGGCCCCTCCAAATCTCATGTCCTCACGTTTCAAAACCAGTCATGCCTTCCCAACTGTCCCCCAAAGTCTTAACTCATTTCAGCATTAACCCAAAAGTCCACAATTGAAAGTCTCATCTGAGACAAGACAAATCCCTTCCCCCTGTGAGCCTGTAAAACCAAAGGCAACTAGTTACTTCCTAGATACAATAGGGGTACAAGTATTAGATAAATACAGCCATTCCAAATGGGAGACATTGGCCAAAACAAAGGAGTTTCGGGAACCGTGCAAGTCCAAAATCCAGTGGGGCAGTCACATTTAAAAGCTCCAAAATGATCTCCTTTGTCTCCATGTCCCACATCCAGGTCAGGCTGACGCAAGAGGTAAGTTCCCATGGTCTTGGGCAGCTCCACTTCTGTGGCTTTACAGGGTACAGCCTCCCTCCCAGCTGCTTTCATGAGCTAGTGTTGAGTGTCTGCAGCTTTTCCAGGACCATGGTGCAAGCTGTCAGTGGATCTACAGTTCTGGGGTCTGGAGGAAGGTGGCCCTCTTCTTACAGCTCCACTAGGCAGTGCCCCAGTAGGGCCCCTGTGTGGGGGCTCTGACCCCACATTTCCCTTCTGCACTTCCCTAGTAGAGGTTCTCCATCAGGGCTCCGCCCCTGCAGCAAACTTTTGCCTGGGCATCCGGGATTTCTGTACATCCTCTGAAATCTAGGTGGAGGTTCCCAAACCTCAATTCTTGCCTTCTGTGCACCCACAGGCTCAACACCACATGGAAGCTGCCAAGGCTTAGGGCTTCCACCCTCTGAAGCCACAGACTGAGCTGTACATTGGCCCCTTTTATCCATAGCTGGAGTGGCTGGGACACAGGACACCAAGTCCCTAGGCTGCACACAACACAGGGACTGTGGGCCCAGCTGATGAAATCAGTTTCCTCCTGGGCCTCTGGGCCTGTGATAGGAGGGGCTGCCATGAAGATCTCTCACATAGCCTGGAGACATTTTCTCCATTGTCTCGGGGATTAACATTCGGCTCCTTGCTACTTATGCAAATTTCTCTAGCTGGCTTGAATTTCTATCCAGAAGATGGATTTTTCTTTTCTATCACATAGTCAGGCTGCAAATTTTCCAAACTTTTAAGCTCTGCTTCTCTTATATAACTGAATGGCTTTTAACAGTATCCAAGTCACCTCTTGAATGCTTTGATGCTTAGAAATTTCTTCTGCCAGATACCCTAAGTCAACTTTCTCAAGTTCAAAGTTTCACAAATCCCTAGGGCAGGGGCAAAATGCCACCAGTTTCTTTGCTAAAACATAACAAGAGTCACCTTTACTCCATTTCCCAACAACTTCCTCACCTCCACCTGAGACCACCTCAGCCTCGACCTTATTTTCCATATTGCTATCAGCATTTGGGGCAAAGCCATCCAACAAGTCTCTAGGAAGTTCCAAACTTTCCCACATTTTTCTGACTTCTTCTGAGTCCTCCAAACTGTTCCAATCTCCGCCTATTACCTAGTTCCAAAGTTGCTTCCACATTTTCAAGTATCTTTTCATAAATGCCCCACTCTACTGGTACCACTTTACTGTATTAGTCTGTTTTTATGCTGCTGATAAAGACATACCCGAGACTGGGAAGAAAAAGAGGTTTAATTTGACTTACAGTTCCACATGGCTGGGGAGGCCTTGGAATCATGGCAGGAGGTGGAAGACACTTCTTACATGGTGGCAGGAAGAGAAAAATGAGGAAGAAGCAAAAGCAGAAGCCACTGATAAACCCATCAGATCTTGTGAGACTTTTTTACCATCATGAGAATAGCATGGGAAAAACTTGCCCCATGATTCAATTACCTCCCCCTGGGCCCCTCCCACAACACGTGGGAATTCTGGGAGATACAATTCAAGTTGATATTTGAGTGGGGACACAGACAAACCATATCACCTGGGTATTCCTTAGTTGTTTGTCATTTTCTTAACAGTCATGTTATAGGATCTTGCATTTGGGTCTTAGATTCATGTTTCTAACTCATGGTCACATGATCATCTTTAATTTAGTAGTAACTATCTTGAGCCTATCCTACAAAATGAGCAGGTTAACAAAAATGTAAAGATAAATGATTCAGCATTTCCAGAAGGGAGCGAGTTATTTGCCAGCAAGATAGTTGGAAGAATAAAATTGGTTGCTTCTTGTTTTTTCAATATACTTGATAGATACTTGCAACAGCATAGGGTTATTAATTAAATGTCTACTTCAATGACAGTGCATATCTAATGCAATACTCATATATAAAGAGTTGTCAAGTCTAAAAACTCCTCTAACTTGTAATGATTTTCTGTTTTATGAATATCTTTCTATAGAATTTGAAACTCTGAATTTTAAGGGGAAATTTTTGTGTTTTTTACCATTGAATACTTATAAAATGGCTAAACCACTGCTTTCATAATTTGGTAGTATCTAAACTCTTCTGTTTTGCCTAAGACCTTTTTTGTTTGGGCATAAAATGAAAATTGGAAATCACCATTCTTATGTCATTATATAAATCTATGATTACTATAGTTGACCTCATCTCCATGTGATTCCAATTACATTTTGTCACTATTATAATAACCATGAAATGTATTTTTTCAGCCCCTGAAAATATGTCTTATGTGTATGACTTACTGGCACCTCTGCTTTGATATTCCACAGATATCTCAAACCTCAGTATGTTTTTAACTGAGCCTTTCCCAAGCCCTCTCCTCCTCATTTAATGTTACCAAAATCTCATCATTCATCCAAGCCAGGAATTAAGAGTTACTAGAATTTTCCTCTTCTTCCCCTCTCAAAAGAAATCAGTCAGGAGTCATGATGAGTCTATTTCTAAAATATCACTGGAATCTGTTTTGTCTTCTCCACTCCTACTAGCACTGCCTTAATTCAGAATCACTTGCCAGAATTACTGAAATAGCTTCCTCAATATTATATCTGTGCTTCTGACATTGCCTCACAAATTCTTTCTTTATAATGCTACTAGCATTACATTTTAAAATTAAAATTTAATCACGACCGTCCTCCTTAAAAATCCTCAAATTTATAAGAACCCAAACTCCTTACTATGACTTACAAGACTGTGATGACGACAGCTCCTATGTACAAAATGCCTGTCTTTTCATAATAATAGAATTACAGCTGGGAAGGGGTTATCCAGCCAACCCCCTTATGTTACAATCCCCATAACCCAGCAACCAGGAGAGGTCATGTGAATAGTTCTCAGCAATGGCAGGACAGCAGGAGTGAAGTGTGCCACTTACTGGTTCAGACCTTAAAGTGAAAGTCTTGAGCACAGCCACCCAGGCATGATCACACAGATGAGAGCCTTGAGATGAATGGAGTCTGATCCAGGAATCACTTTGTGGAAGAGAGTTGCTGGTGGACCTGTAGCACCAACCCTGAACTATTCCTTGAAGGAGAAATAAACTTGTGTTGTGTTTGTGCTATTATATCTTGAGGCATTTTTTAACCATAATTTAGCCCATCTCAGTACAAAACCTTTTATAATTCAATCCTTAATTACCTTTCCAACTTCATGTTTTACCAATTTTCAATTCCTCATTTGCATCCTAAGCTCCAGCATTACCAGACTATTTAAAATTCCATAGATAAGCAATGCTCACTCTTGCATTTATACCTTTGTTCCTGCTGTTCTATCCACAGGGTTATACCCTCTTCTTTAAGACTGGGTCAAGCAACACTACTCTCGAAAATTTCTCTTGTTTTGGGTGGATTGTGCACAGCGCCCTCACCCCACCATTTGTGTGTTGAAGGCCTAACTCTCAGTGTCATAGAATGTGACTGTACTTGCAGACAGGGCCTTTAAATAAGTAATTAGGTTAAATTAGGTCTTCAGGGTGGGCCTTAATCCAATTTGACTGGTATCCTTATAAGAAAAGGAAAGTTGAACATGCAGAGAGAGACAAGGGATGTGCAGGCACAGGACACAAAGAGAAGGTGTTCACCTGCAAGCCAAAAAGAAAAGCCACAAACAAAACTAAACCTGCCAACATGTTGATTTTAGACTTTTCACCTCCAAGACTGTGGGAATATACATTTCGATTAAGTCACCCAGTCTGTGGGTATTTTGTTACGGCAGCCCTAGTAAACTAATATACCCCTTGAAGCAGGATATTTTCTTCTCTGAAATGTCATAGCATCCTGAGCATACCCCATTTATCAAATATCTTTGCTATTTTTCAATCAGTGATTTACTTGTCTGTCTCCTCAACTAGTCTGTCAGTCTTTCAGGGAAAGTGACTCTGTCTACAAATCTGCTGCCTTAACTCCTGACAATATGTTTGGAAATTCATAAGAAATGGATAAATGTTCATTAGAATGGATTAATTTCTTCTCCACAACTTGCAACTTACCAGCAAGCAAATAATCAAGTAGTTTGAGTTTTTATTTGTTGTCTACTTTCTTTACATATATGGCCAGGGTGACAATCATGTAGCCTGATTTTGATACACGATTTCATCATTGGAGATTGACTTGCCATTTTTCATATTGTTTTGTGGACATTTTTAAAGGTATAGTTTCTATACCTTTGCAGATTTACTAAAGTCCAGAAGATAAAGATGAATTTTATAGCAGGAACAAGATCTTCTGTCAGTAAAGTTGGTTGTGATGTTGCAGTGGACTGCTGTTGCTATTTTGTCAACATTACAATAGCCTTCTTTTTCCAAGAATTACCCTCAAACCAAGCAGTTGGTTTAACCCAGTCTCTATGTCATACTTGGTTGGACAAGAGTGGTCACTAGATACAAGTTTAACTAATAATATTTTTTTCCACAAATTTTGAATTGAGAGTGAGGGAAACTAGTTTTGATCTCTTCTGAGTGGCTGAAACTGAGAATTGTTGGGTAATCATGCGCATTGAGATGGAGAGATATTTGAATGAAGACAAAGACATATCCTAAATACAGATGTGAAAAGGGAGAGAGAGGGAGAGAGAGAGAGAGAGAGAGAGAGAGAGAGCAGTAATACCAGTTAATTTTCATTTTCTCATTTCGGTTCCTTATGAGGCCTATGGCACTCCTTGCTCTTGGGTTCCATGACATTTTTATATCAAATTTCATTTGGTTTAATCTGGAATGAATTTCTGTCATTTGCAATAAAAAAGAGTACTTACTTAAATCAATTAGATAGTATAGTTGACATATGTAATTTTTAAATTAGTATAGTTGACATATGTAATTTTTAATCACTCAAGTCATTCTTCCTTGATGCTAGTAATAATTATTCAATCATCTTTTTTGGAGCCACTTTCCTCTATTCTAGTCTATAAAGCTCATTAGGGTCAAGCCTAGTACAAGGTAATTAGCTCAAGAAGGGACATAGAGATATATGACCTAAACTAGGTCAATAACTCTATCAGCAATATTTGCTAGAACTTCTGAGAAATTGTGAGAAGTCAAAGCAATTTTTTTACCACTGAAATTTCTCAAATAGTAAAGACAACAGCTTGAAGCTCCTGGTTGCCCTGTTACCACCATGAAAAGAGTACCTTTGAGAATGAAACCAGTATAGAAGAAGTCAGGGCAAAAGACAGAAAAACCCAGATTCTTCACACATCATTTGAGCACCAAGGTCCATGCATTTCTGAGGTCCTAGACTTTTCAGTTATTTCATCAATAAATGTCATTTTTTAAATCTGAATTTTGGTGTTGTTTGAAACAAAAAAGTCCAGATAAACATGGATAGCATATCTTTATATGTCTTTGAGCTGGTGAAGTTTTATTATGTATACCTAACACCAAATTGAATGCCTAACCCTGTATCTGAAATAAGTGGATGCTCAAGAACTTTCTGCTGAGACTGAATGAAGATGAAAAATGCTACCTATTGTGCCATTTGTGGATATGTCTTTTTATAGCCTTACCTCTTCATCAGAAGTACTAAATCTGTGCTCTATAATCAGTGGATTTTCATCAGAGAAATTAGGTAAAAAGGGTTTTGGGTCCTTGTCACCAGAGCCAATCAGAATATTTGCCTCCCAAAGGCCAAATCATAAGTAGATTTTCCCTCTTCATTGTAGTATCTCCATTCTAAAGAGAACTTCTCATCCGTACCAGTGCAGTAGCCTCCTGAGAGGTCTCCAAGTCTCCAGATTGTTTCTACTGTAATCTGTTGGGGAGCTTAAATAACTTGATTAAAGTCCTATAGTTAGCTAGTGGCTGAGGAACTATTCGAACCCACAGGGGCTTGATTGACTTCAAAATCTTTGCTTAATTTCCCTACTGTTATACATATTGCATCACTTCATGATATAATTCTTATATTTTCTGGGTTGAAAAACAAACTAAACATGGCCTCTTCAAACTTGGAGAGACTAGTAACAGTGAGACAAAAGCTGATCCAAGAAAATGCAACAAAACACACCCGTGTTGTTCTTACAGCTTTGCAGTTTTGTGAAAAGGAACACAGGAGATTTTGCTCTCATTTAGAACTGTCATTCATGGCTTTTGCTTGAAAATACCTGCTTTCAAATTCACACTGTGTCTCTGTCTACCAAGCGTATGTCTATGCATATGAAGTCCAGAGAAAGTAACTCTGCTAGACTGAACTGGGATGCATTCCAAGGACTCGGAGTCATGGGATAACAGATCTTATACAACCTAATAGGACTTGATTTGGCACAGGTAAAGTTTTTTTTATGAAAATTTACTTTCTCATATATTGGTGAGACTGAACAGATCTAGCTATATATTGCTTAAATTTGCTTCATGTCAAGTTAAGAAGAAAACACTCATAAAACAGCCATTCCTTCTTAACAGAGAAAAGCTGTTTTTATCTTTTGAAATACTAGTTTAAGGAAGTGCATCAATAAAACCTTTAACTTTTTAAAAAATCTCATTTTATGATGTAAATTGAAAGCATATTTCTTATTTTGGAGAAGGCATTACTGATGTGCATAAACTCAATAGGGTTCTTCATACTCTAACCTAAAATTTTTGCCTAGGGCTCATTTTTGTGATTTCCTCAGAAACCAGAGAATGCAAAATAGTATTGAAGTAAGATGGAGGTGGATTTGGTATTGCAAAGTTAAATATTTTAAGTGCACAGCTAACATTGGAAAGGGCCTTATGCAAAGGAGATTCTGAAATTACTTTTAGTAATTTCATGACTTCCATCGAAACGGTAGCCAATATAGGATGAGAGAGAAAATAAGAGGACTCTTGGGATTGTGTTGATATCTGCTTTCCCTAGTCCCCTCAGAGGTGAAGTCCCTGAGGTCCCTCACTTGCAGAGTCAGATATCTCTGGATTTAAGTCCCAGCCCCACCACATATCACTTTTATGAATTTACCCAAGTTACTTAGTTTTCTCCTTTATTTATCATACACTTGCCTAGCAATTTCCTGAGCCAGGCCCCATTTGAAGCCTTTATACTCTTGGAAAGCTGAAAACTTGAGCACTATCTCACTCCCAGTTTACAAATGAAGTGGGTCACAGACAGAGTTAAGCAAATTTCCCCAAATAGATGATAACAGAATTGGTAAGAACCAGAAGACAGACCCAGGAAACTTGGTTCTACAGTGCGTGCTCTTTACCACTACTTAACCTGCCATGTTAAACTATGGCAAGTAATAAAACAATCTTGCTTCTTCCTGCTGTGGTGAGGTTTCATTGAGATAATCTGCATAAAACATCTTACACAATTTAACAGGCAGGCATATAGTAAGCCAGTCTGCAGAGTCTGGAATTAGTTAGTCCGTTGCTGTAAAGCTGGTGTATCTGGTAGGTCCTGGGTGTTCATGGACCCACCACACCAAAATGATCTCCAATAGTCCACTCAACTGGCACAGTTTGCCTACCGGAACTTCTGCTATAGGTTTTCTATTTGACACTTCTATTTCCAATTGGACTGTGGCCCAGAACTAACCTTCAGTTCATTTGGCTGGGGTCCTGACCATTTGCATTCCAGGAATCAGATATGCATGCTCACAGGTCTTATGTTCCCGGTTCTGCTATACTTTATTTTCACTGGTTGATTTGCCCCTGCTTGTCCTTGAGCAGACTTATATAATTCCAGGTGCAGTAACTCCATAAGTAGGTTTTCAGTGACCTGGGATAGCACGGTACATTAGAAAAGGAATAAACTCAAGAGTTCCAGGACTAGGTTTGTATCTCAGCCTCAGCACTGTGTTCTTGGGGAAGTCAATGATCTGCTCTATGCCTTAGTTTTCCTCATCAGTAAAAATAGGGATAAAAATTCTTACTCTCAGGGTCATTGTTAAAATTAAACATGGTAACTTCTGTGGATATATCTAACACCATGCTTAAGCTAAAGTAGGTGATACAGTTTGGCTGTGTCCCCACCCAAATTTCAACTTGAATTGTATCTCCCAGAATTCCCACATGTTGTGGGAGGGACCCAGTGGGAGGTAAATGAATCATGGGGGCCGGTCTTTCCCATGCTAGTCTCATGATAGTGAATAAGCCTCACAAGATAAGATGGGTTTATCAGGGGTTTCTGCTTTTGCTTCCTCCTCATCTTCTCTTGCTACCACCATGTAAGAAGTGCCTTTCAGCTCCCACCATAATTCTGACATCTCCTCAGCCATGTGGAACTGTAAGTCCAATTAAACCTCTTTTTCTTCTCAGTCTTGATTGGGTATGTCTTTTTCAGCAGTGTAAAAATGGACTAATACAGTAGGTGTGCAACAACTTTTTCTTTCTTTCTTTTTCTGAAAGTAAAGGAGAACTCCATATGTCTGGAAAAATAATTCGAATTAACCTTCACATCGGACAATGCACAAACCCAGGCTTTCCCACTACTGTAGATTTGGGTTGCTGAGTTTCAGGTTACATTGCTGAGACATTAATGCTGTTGGGGTCTGAATTTCTTGAATCATTGTTGAGTACTGGTGACTAAAATAAACAATGTGATATGGTTTAGAAACTTTGTTACGTTCTATACACTTGTTTATCTACGTGTACATGTTCTAAAAATGTTTACATATATGTGCTATGGTTTGTTCTGTTTTGATAGGATGAATGGGTGTTTGTGGCTGGGAATTCTAAGAAGCAAAATGTAAAAAAATAAATTATTTGTAGTAATCAAAACATAATTAAGTGCTAGAGAGCACAGTCATGGATTTCATCATGGCTTTTAGCATAGTGAGTGTGATGAAATGGTAGAGGTTTCCTGTAATGCCTTAGAAAAAGCCTGTATCACACTTCACTGCATAGGGACAGTAACTGCTATCATATAAAACCAATGCTCTGCAAAACTAGACATGAGCCTTTGAGATTTATACGTTGCCACTGATATGCTTTGGCTGTATCCCCACCCAAATCTCTGCTTGAATTATACATGGTAGGGACCCAGTGGGAGGTAATTGAATCATGGGGGTGGTTACCTCCATGCTGGTCTTGTGATAGTGAGTGAGGTCTCATGAGATCTGATGGTTTTATAACGGACTTTTCCCCACCCTGCTTTGCTCTACAATTCTCCTTCCTGCTGCCATGTGAATAAGGATGTGTTTGCTTCCCCTTCCACCATTAACTGTAAGTTTCCTGAGGTTTCCCCAGCTCTGTGGAACTGTGAGTCAATTAAACCTCTTTCCTTTATAATTTACCCAGTCTCAAGAAGACCTTTACAGCAGGCTGTGAACTAACTAATACAGTCGCTAATTTGAAAATGGCTGCATACCAATTTGCAGTCATAATGGAAGGGGAGAGGCATAATCTAATCACTGAGACTTGAGTCTCACGTGCATAATAACTCCATATGCCATTAGTTTAGCAAGTGTGTTTGATTTCATGTACTTCGTTACTTGTACAAGATTTTTTTTAATTATACAGAAACAGATAAGCATGTTTCACTGAAGCAGATTTTGCAATAACTGAAAAGAAAAATGACAAGAGTCATTTCATCTGAATTGTGAAATGCTGCCTTACAGGAAGGACCACAGCCTATCTGCAGAAGCCTATCTGCATTGCTTCTGCCAACCCTACTCTCTCTGTGGATGAGTCTCTTCCACAAATGTTCCCTTTAGACAGATGTCATAAAGAAAAAGAAAGGACGAATTAGAGCACGCTTCTCAAAAGTTCTGGCTAGTATTAAAATTTTTTCTTTGAGTTAAATATTGGACTGGATTCAAATAGAGTTTGCATTTTATTCACAGAGCTCCTCCATTCTCTCCTCCATTGTCTCTTCAGGCGTGGGGTAAAGGAGTGTTGGGAAAAGTTTATGCGGCGGAAGGGAGTTACATACACAAACACACATCTACGGATAAATATACGAAAGATTTGTTTCTTATAAAACAATAGGAACAATCTAAGTTTCTGAGGTTAATGGCTCCTCCCTTAAGAAGTTTAGTATTTCATAATTTTCTGTGTACAAAATGCAGTTTCACATTGCCTGTGCCCTAAATTGCTTTCTGATGTTGAATGATAGAAATCATCAAGCGACATTAAATTAATTCCACATCTCTAAGTTGTCCAAAGGGATTAAGCTCCTCCTCTTAAAGTGTCCCATAGCACCAGAGAATACTTGAGACACTGAACAGGAAAGGAAGAATATTCCAGACAGAAGGAGTAGCAAGTTTAGCCTTGGAGTCAAGGAATGTAAAATAGTTCAAAAGAGTACAGTTCAAGGGAAAGAGAAATAATGAAGTTAGACAAATGGTAAAGGTCATGATGGATTTTGTAAGCCTTGTGAAAGAGTTTGGAAAGCAATGAAATGCATCATTAACTACAAAGAAAAAAACATCAAGGACATTTTTACTGAGACTTAACTTGCCAAATGATTTTATGGACACTTGAGACATTCTAGTTTTCTAGATACTGACGCTGGCACAGGTAGGTGAAGGTCTAGATATTCTAGGGTAGCACTGTTCAATACAACTTTCTATCCTGTCCAATATGATTACCAGTAGTTACATGTGGCTACCAAGAACTTGAAATGTAGCTAGCATAATGGTAATTTAATGTAAGGCAGTGGATAGTGGAGGAAAATAGAGAGAGGCTTGCTGGGGATTAGACACTGGGAATATGGGCAGAACTCCAAAACCACCTCTGCAAATCCAGATCAACATTAAGAATATGGCAAAGTTCAGTTAATGTGGGACATAACAAATCTAAAAGAGTAAATGTGTCAAAGTCCAGAGGCAAATTCCCAGCACGTACTGGCAGGAGTTAAGGAGTGAAGGAAGACACGAAGAAGGGTCAGGAAAATTTTAACTTGATTTGTTAGAGTTATTTCAGAAGGTACAGAGTGTGAGCTCCATGGATTAACTTTCAGTGGTCTTAAATGAGAAACAGATTGAAGTAAACAACCTATTGCATATGGAGGGATTAACCAACCAAGAGGAAAACAAAGTTAAGGACATCCTGAGTGCCTTACTTCTTGCACATCTAGAACAATCAGCTGTCTAATAGTTAATATTTTCTACCTCAAACTCAAAGCCATTTATAAATAAATTTTTGCCAGAACTATGAAAGATTCCTTTAAAATAAACAGACTCTAAAATAATTCAGGCAACTGATTACAAAGAATGGAGGCATTCCAGTAGGACTAATTCCTTCACCTCACTGGGTCACAAGTTCCTCATAAGTAAATGACAGGGTGGGTTTGCTCACCTTTCACGGGAAAAAGGAGCAAGCGTATTGGCAATCCACTACTTTCAAACAAAATCAGACTAAAAACATATAAGAAAGTCAAATATGCAAGAGATAATGTATTTTAGAGTGGGGATTCTGTTCTACAGAGAGCTAAAACTGATTTAAATTTCATAAATATGCCTCTCCTTTTAGATATAATACCCAATAAATTCCAGCATTTCATGCTATTCTTCTTCTTCTTCTTTTTATTTTATTTTTTTTAGATGAAGTCTTGCTCTGTCGCCCAGGACGATCTTGGCTCACTGCAACCTCCACCTTCCAGGTTCAAGCGATTCTCTCACCTCAGCCTCCTGAGTAGCTGGGACTACAGGAGCCTACCACCACGCCTGGCTAATTTTCATTTTTTTTGTTGTTGTTTTTATTTTGTAGAGATGGGGTTTCACCATGTTGACCAGGCTGGCCTAAAACCCCTGATCTCAAGTAATCTGCCTGCCTCGGCCTCCAAAGTGCTGGAATTACAGGCGTAAGCCACTGTGCCAGGCCCATTTCATGCTATTCTTTAAATTTGCTTCCTTTGTAAATGAAGACACTATTAATCAGTTTAATTTTAATGTGTCCAATAGAAACTAAATGCTAACTATCGATTGCATGCTTAATTACTTTTACCTTTGTCTTAACTCTACTGTTCCTTACCTAACTTTTTATAACTACTTTCTGCATTTTTGCATCTTCATTTTCCACCCATTTTTGAATAATAAAAGAAAATAACAATAAAGCATTAAAATTATTTTTAACACCATTGTTCAAGAAAACTTAGAGATACTGTATAACCTATAGAAAGAAATCATAAGAAACAAACACTTGTTTGCTGATTACAAACCTCTAAATTTGGTGTAGGAAAGGTCATGTAAGAGTTTCAGTGCATAATTCACAAAAACACAGATGTATTAAAAGAGCAATGTATCAAAGTCAGGAGCAATTTCTTCTGTTCCCTGTATTTCAATATCTTTGCCTTTTACTTTGGATTTGTAGGATATTTGCATATGATGGGGAAACATGCTAGTATACCTTCAGCAGGGAAATATACGGAGTAGAAGAAGGAGATTGATTGGGCAGCACTGGTAAAGAAAAGGAAAAGAATAACAATATTAACTGAGCACTACCCAGGTACCTAAAGATGCACTTAATTAACTCACATATTCCTCACAGCAATTCCTTCACTCTTTACACTAATATTTCCTTAGCACCTCCAATGTGCCAGGCACTGTGCTTGGTAGATTCAAGGACAGACAAGACAAAGCCTGTCTCTGCCCTTGGGAAACTCATATTCTAATATAGAAAACAAAAAGGTAGACAGACAAACAGAAACAAATTACTAAATAGGACAGGCACCATGAAGGAAACAAATGAGCTGAGATAGTAAATAATAGAGAAACCTACTGTAGATAGGAATATCAAGAAAAAATGCTTCGAGAAAGTACTTAAGCTGTTAACCAAAGGAAGAAACAGAGCTGTAGCATGCAGGAGGTAGGGAAAAAAGTGGGATAGCATGTGCAAAGAACCTGGGGCAGGAAAGATCCTTATGTCTGCTGAGTAATGAGTGGGCTGGTGGGGGCAAGTGGAGAAGTATTAGGAGCAGGTGTGGTGGTCTAGCTGAGAAATTAGTTTTGCCTGAATTAGGAGTTTTAGAGATGGAGAGAAATGAATAGTAGAAGATATATTTTGAAGGTAGAGTCAACAGTACTTGCCACATTTACTTATTAATATTCTCACATAACAGATGAGAAATGGCCTGAAAGATTCAGAATTAAAGTTCTTGTAGTAAGTAACTTCGTGATGGGGTTATGAACCCTGCCTTCCTTAAAGCCCCTTCTACTACATCACACTTCCTAGTTTTGTTAATTCAAGGTTAATGTAGGTTTTATAGAGTCCTAAAAGTGGAAGTTTTTTGCCAGTCTAATGATGTTGAATTAGAATGTGTTTTAATAACCTGAACAAATAACAGATTTTCCATTCACAAACCCATAACCTTATGTCACTGAAGAGGGCATCAAATTCTACAAACACCCTTTACATATTTCTTCTGGACCAAATGTTAAAATACTCTTGCATTTCTTCCAGAGATGCACTGCATTACCAGCATGCATATGAAAAAATTTCTGTTGACTAAAGCAGCAGTCTTGGCAATTCTGAACCATGTGCTATTCTTACTATAAGTCTAAATTGGGTAGTTCGAGTGACCAACCAGTTTGTTCAGCTTTGCTAAAAATATGCCCATGTTTGCCCAAATGACCTGGCTTGCTGGTAATCTCCCACCTTTCCGAGTCAATCAACACATGGAAAGTGCTCAAAATAAGCAGGGATTAGAGTCACAAACTCAGCTGGAGGAGCTTGCTTTTTTAAAACACAGCACTCCTGTAGTTATTTTCTTCATGTTATTCTGTCTTTACTGTTGAGATTCTGGTGTACACATTAATGCTGCTCACGAGTACCTCCATTTCTTCTCTGTTCAGCACACGATAGGTTTGTACTTGCCCACAATGTGCAGTTGCCCTCTGTATCTGAGAGTTCTGCAAACTGCAGATTAACTAACCACAGATCAAAATATTGAGAAAAGAAAATAATAAAAAATAACAATATGAAAATAAAAATAATACAAATAAAAAGGTGATACAGTATAATCACTATTTATACAACATTTACATTGTATTAGGCATTATAAATAATCCAGAGATTATTTAAAATGTTCAGGAGGATGTGCATAGGTTATATGCAAATACTACTCTAATTTATATAAGGGATTTGAGCATCCTGGGATTTTGGTAGGGGGAAGGTGGTCATGTAACTAATCCCCAGTGGATACCGAGGAACAACCATACTTCTTTAGGTTGGCATCACATACTTGGTCTGGCAGTATTTAAGAGCTGCCATACAGTTCTTCCCTTCTGTGTGCAGTGGAGTCTAGTGATGCTTGAAGCCTCCAATAGCCTGAGTCTCTGATGAGGACAATGTGCTGCCAAGTCCCCACAGCTGATCCCCAACAGACATGTTATATGGGGGCAAAGACCTTTTGTCATTTTTAAATGCTAAGACTTGGGGATTTGTTGTTGTTGTTGCTGCTGCTACTATATATCCTAATCTTTGTGACTGGGATAGGTTCCTTCACATTCTTGATAGGAAGGAAAACACGAACTTTCAATTTAAGGAAATATGACAAACAGTACAGTTGGCAGAAAGTGAAGAGGTTTGGATTCAAATGCAACTAGTTTTAATACTATCTTTGCAACTTACTTGCTCTCTGAGTCTTCTTTTTCTCATCTGAAAAAGAGTAATAACAGTATAAGCTTGCTATAATTTAATATGCAAAGTTCCTAGAAGGATGCTAAACCACAGATGATGTTCAATGAAAATAGCTATTTCTGTGAGGGGTAATGGTAAATAGACTAAAAGTATAGCAAAAGATAAACAACATGGGCATGGCTGAATCTGAAGAGACTACAGAAATGGGGAACACTGTCATTCATCCCCTCGGTTCTGCCTACCAAGCATCTCCTAGTCATAGGCATGCTTTTCTGTCTCTTCTGTGTTCAACTCATGCTTTCCCTGTCCCGTCCCCACTCCTCTGTCACACGCTGCTCCCAGGAAAGTATATAGAAATCACTCACTAAGATAGCTGCATTTTAACAGGAATTAAGTTAAAGGGCTAAAGCTCCAACTTAGTATTTTAGGCCTTAGGTGGAAAAGGGCAGTGGATATCTCTCACCTGAACCCAGGCTGGCCAAGAGGATCCATCTAGCTTAATTATGTCCACTTTTTGGGTCCACTAACCTAGGAAGGTCTATTGGACCAGTCTTTATAAAAGACTTTTATGAGGCTTCATTTTGTGAAGCTGTCCAGATCTGCTGGAAAGACTACCATTATAGTTTGGCAGGATCTTCTGTGGGGTCAGGAGTGGGGACTGGCAGTACTAGTGCTGTATGTCGACATTACTCTTAAAAATGTTCAGACAGTCTTAACATAGTCTCCTCATATTAATCCTCACAGCAATCCTGCAAATGGGCATTAAGATCTTTGTCATAGATGATGGAACTGAAGCTTAAAGCTTTTAAATCATTTACCCAAATTCACGTATATGATAGGTGGAAGAGTCTATATTCCAAAACCAGTACCTCTGATTTCAAGTTTAATATCCTTTTTTCCCCTTTCACTATTACAGTTTTCTCTGTGTGAGAAAGTAAATTCAATAGGGTCTCTTGATGGCATTTTGCTATCATGTAATACAAATATTTCTTTTTTGTTGTTACATAGTTGGGAATTTGAAATTCTGTTTTCTACATTCAACACTAAAAGGAAGAAAAAACACATGACCGTTAAAAAAAAGAAACTACAAATATACTACTGAAAATGAAATTAAAGTAAGGTATTCTATATTGTCATGTTTTCTGGCTAAAATAATACCCACAGTTTCAGAGAATTTTAATCTCTACCTATATGAAAAAAGAGAGAAGCGAATAGGGAAGGAAGCTAAGATTTTAGTCTCATCATTTCTTTAAGAAACTATAATTATTTTCTTATGGCTAACATAATTTCTAACATCAATCTATTTGCAGTCAGTTGTAAACATTGAAAATGTTTTGAAACTTACAGTGGAAATACAGAATTTGTAGCCAGACAAACTTGAGTTTGAATTCTAATAACACCACATAAATCTATAGGCCTTGAGGAAGTAAGTTAATTAAGCCATAAATTAGAGATGAGCCTCAAGCTTCTTATCTCTGAAATGAAAGTTTATAATAATAATCTCATAGAAAGGTGGTGGCTATCACATGACATAGTAGATATAAAGCACTTATAGATTATAAACTTTTTTAAAGTTTACTTCCCTTTTCTCTTTGCATCAGATAGATTCTCATCATTCTAGAAATAACCTGATTCTTATTCCCAAGTAGTGCACAATCAAGTGGATTTTATTCACTTAGTAAGTATTCAAAGAGAGAAAGCGAGAAACAGAGAAGAAAGATGGAGGAAAGGAAGAAGGGAAGGAAGATAAGGAGGAAGGGAGAGAGGGGAAAAGTCCTACTAAGAAAAACAATACTAAAATCAGATGGAGACATGTTCCTTCTCTGCATGATCTAATATTGTTCTGTTAGTAGAGATTGGAAGTACTTGGAGTTATCCATCCTGCCCTTGTCCTCTTTCCCCAGTAGAAATACAGGAAATAAAAAAAGTTTTATAACACTTCTGATAATATCACTAGAAATTGGTCATTAGTTCTCAAAGCAGAACTTCTTGCTTGATATATATTTGGCCCTATTTGATTTTATCATTCATTCAAGGGTGGAATTGTTACAGAAATATATTCTAGGGTCACTAATCCCATCACTATGCACAATTATACATTTATTTTTTGGACAACTGTCCAGATTCCAAATGTAAACCTGAAAGACCTAAAGAAATTTTTCAACACCCAGTCTAGGATTGATCTTAACTGGACTTTGGCTGTCTATGGCATCTCAAGTAGCTATTTCCAACTTCACTGTAGAGGACAGCCATTACAGGTTTGGGCAGCTATCTCCACCATGAGAAAGAGTTAATTTTTTGTATAATTTTGAAGTCTGAGTGAAGTTGAAGTGTGAATTCATTACAGGATATCGTGAATGTTGTTAAGTGGATCATACGAATGCAGTTCCCTCTATATTTCCTATAATGATTTGTATATACTCTAAGTAATTACAGGCATTTATATTTATAATTAGCCTTTTGGGGGAACCATTTTAAGAAAATGATTTGTCCAGCTGTGTACCAGATTAGTATCAGCCAGGTGTTTGTCAAATACCACCGTAACTGGGAAAACACAGCAAGAAGTGTTGATACAAAAAGAACTTTGGAAATATGCTTAAAGTTTCATTTTTTTTTTTTCCAAAAATAGTTGCATCACTTCTTAGAACACAAGTACATGTCTTTCAAACATGACTTTTTTCTTTAAAAAGTGGGGCATGAGTACACAAATACAGTGATGAAATGAAAAAATATAATCAATGGAATTTTACTGGCACAACGTAAAGGTCAGGATAAGACTAACAATACAAGCATTAGAAACAACACTGAGCAATGTTCTGAATGATCATGAACTGCCTTTAGAGGCTTCTAAAGCACCAAGATGAATTGGTGCCAACAACTGGACTATGGAGTCAAGATACCAGCAGAGGCAGTTGACCCAAACTCAAGATGAAACTTTTATAAATAAATATAGGCTGTGTGGTGGCTCACAGCTGTAATCCTGACACTTTGGGAAGCGGAAGTGGGCAGATCACTTGAGGCCAGGGGTTCGAGAACAGCCTGGCCAACATGGTGAAACCCCATCTCGACAAAAATTAGCCAGGTGAGGTGGCCCATGCCTGTAATCCCAGCTACTTGGGAGGTTGAGGCAGGAGAATCGCTTGAGCCAGGGAGTCGGAGGTTCCTGTGAGGCGAGATTTTGTCACTGCACTCCAGCCTAGGTGACAGAACAAGACTCTGTCTTAATAATAGTAACAATAGAAGTAAAGCTGTTTGTTATATTCTTGTGAAGATTTGTCTGTGTACAGGACAGAATCGTAAATTAAAATCCCCAAATAAGAAAGTCTGAGTCAAGAAGGCAACAGTGAGACAACTATTAACCTCTGTTTTCGGTAATAACATCATACATCTATTCGAATGTCCCCTTGTCCAAAGAATTATGTAAACCTTAATCATCTTTTAAATGGGCATCATCTGATTTCCTTTCAAACTTCAACCCCTAAATGAGTATATTGTTCTGATTTGGAAACTACCAGGGAGAAATCTGACTATTCAAAGCAGTGAAGTCAACCTGAGTTGATAACGTAACTGCAGGCATTCCTACAACATTTCATCCTCTCCAATATAAATAGAGCAATTTGACCTTCATTTAACTTGATCATTTAAAATCCATTATGAACAACATAAATATCTTTCCCACCATGTGCTTTAAAAACTTTGTACTATTTATTTTTTTGCAGGGAAAACTTCCAGATAATACAGGGTCAGAAATCTGACCACTTTTGAATTTTCTTCCTTTTTAAAATTTATTTTTAAATTTATAATTGACACAATAATATTACATATTTCTGGGGTACAATGTGATGTTTTGAGGCACATGTACATAGTGTAATGATCAAATTGGAGTAGTTATCATATCCATCATTTTAGACATTTCTTTGTGGTGACAACCTTCAAAATCTTCTCTTCTAGCTATCTTGAATATGTAGTACAATGTTATTTTTCTATAGTCACTGTATTGTGTAATACAACACCAAAACTTATTCTTCCTGTATAATTTAACGTTGCAGCAATTGACCAACCTTTTGTTGTCCCCCCTTCCAGCCTTTGGTAGCCACTATTTTACTCTCTATTTCTATGAAATCAATGTTTTTAGATTTCACATGAGTGAGATTATGCAGTTTGTCTTTCTGTGTCTAGCTTATTTCACATAATATAATGTCCTCCAGGTTCATCTACGTTGCTTCAACTGACATGATTTCATTCTGTGTTATGGTTAAATGGTATTCTATTGTGTGTCTGCATGTGTGTGTGTTTGTGTGTATAACAATTTTTAATCCATTCATCTGTAGATGGTCATCTAGGTTCATTCCATATCTTGACTACTGTGAATAGCACTATAATAAACATGGGTGTGCAGATGTATCATCAACATACCGATTTCATTTTCTTTGATATATGCCCAGTAATGAGCTTGCTAGATCAAATGGTAGTCTATTTCTAGTTTTTAAAGGAAACTTTATACTGTTTTCCATAATGGCTGTATTACCTTATATTTCCACCAATCGTGTGTAAGAGTTCCCTTTCCTTTGCCAGCATGTTTGTCTTTTTGAAAAAAGCTGTTTTAACTGCAGTGAGGTGATACCATTGTGGTTTTGATGAGCATTCCTCAGGTGATTAGTGAAGTTTTGCATTTTTAATCTATCTGTTGGTTATTTGTATGTACTCTTGTGAAAAAATGTCTATTCAGGTCTTTTGCCATTTTTTATCTGATTTTTTGGGTTTTGGCCATTGAGTTGTTGAGTTTTTTATATAATCAGGGTATTAACTTATTATCAGATGCATAGTTTGCAAATATTTCTCTCATTCTGTAGATTTTCTTTTCACTTCATTGATCATTTCCTTTGCTGTACAGAAGCTTTTTAGTTTTATGTAATCTCATTTGTCTATTTTAGCTTTTGTTGCCAGGGCTTTTGAAGTTTTATTCAAAAAACCTTTTCCCAGTTCAATTTCATGAAGCATTTCCTCTATCTTTTGCTGTAGTAGTTTCATAGTTTGGATCTTATGTTTGAGTCTTTAATCCAGTTAGAGTTGATTTTTGTATACTGTGAGAGATGGGGGTCTAGTTTCATGCTTCTGCATGTGGCTATCCATTTTTTTCAGCACCATTTATTGAAGAGATTGTCCTTTCTCCAATGTGTGTTCTTGGCATCTTCGTCAAAAATCAGTTGGCTGTAAATGCATGAATTTATTTCTTGGTTCTCTATTCCATTGATCTATGTGTCTATTTTTATGCCAGTATTATTCTGTGTTGGTTACTAGAGCTTTGTAGTATATTTCGAAGTCAGATAGTGTGATGCATCTAGCTTTGTCTTTTTTGCTCAGAATTGCTGTGGCTATCTGGGTCTTCCGTGGTTCCACATAAATTTTAAAATTGTTTTTTCTATTTCTGTGAGGAATGTCACTAGTATTTTGATAAGAATTGCATTGAATCTGTAGATTGCATTGAATCTGTAGATTGGGGTAATATGGAAATTTTAATGATTGTTTTCTCCAATCCATGAACATAGGATATCTTTCAATTTATTTGTGTCCTCTTCAATTTTTTTTTTTTTTTTGAGATGGAGTCTCACTCTGTTGCCCAGGCTGCTGGAGTGCAGTGGCAAGATCTCAGCTCACTGCAACCTCCACCTCCCTGCTCAAATGATTCTATGATTCTCCTGCCTCAGCTTTCCGAGTAGCTAGGATTACAGGCAACTGCCACCATGCTTGACTAATTTTTGTACTTTTAGTAGATATGGGGTTTCACCATATTGGCGAGGCTGGTTTTGAACTCCTGACCTCGAATGATCCGTCTGCCACAGCTTCCCAAACTGCTGAGATTACAGGCATGAGCCACTGTGCCCGGCCCCTCTTCAATTTTTTTCATCTATGTTTTATAGATTTCTTAATTGTAGCCAGGGCTGACGTGTCATTGAGATTTTTATTCAATTTTTTAAACACTTTAAGTCCCACAGACAACATCATGTCAGGTCTTTATGATTTTGGAGTTTAGATTTGGTTTCCTCCCTCTATGAACCCTCCTTGTTATAAATTGATTTTGTCACCCCCTTTCAAATTCATATATTGAAGTCCTAATTCCTGGTACCTAATGCGACCTTATTTGAAAATAAGGTCATTGTAGATAGAATTAGTTAAGATGAGGTAGGATGGGCCCCTAAATCAATATAACTGGTGTTCTTTAAAAAGTGGGAACACACACATTCAGGGAGAACACTATGTGAACCTAAAGGCATAGATTGGTATGCATCTACAAACCAAGAAACTCCAAAGCTTGCTGGCAGAAGCTATAAGAAAGGGGTGGAGCAGGTTTTTCCCTCACAGCTCATGGAAGAAACCAACAGTGCCAACAACTTGATCCTGGACTTCCAGCCTCCAGAACTGTGAGGTAATAAATTTCTGTTGCTTAAACCACTCAGCATGTGGTATTTCATGATGTCAACCCTAAGAAACTAACACTAATACACTTTCTTCACAGTTGTGCCAGAAAATTGTCTCATTAGCTGATTAGTGACTCCCTTATTATTTCTGCTTTTGTACATTGAGTGGGAATATTTGCATATCATTGATGCCAGAATCTATCCTTCAAAATGATGGCCATTTTAAAAATGGATAATATCTTTAAGCATTGCCTTGCCCTTCCAAAAGGTGAAAAAAAAGTGAGGCTTGGTAAGGAGGACAAGATCTGCTAAAACTTGCCATTAAAAAATATTATAGCAGATCTCTGGATACGTTCCAGTATTAAAACACATTTGACAGAAATATGAGAAATGAGAGACCATACTACCAATGTCATTCTATCAATGTCTTTAAGATGAGAGCAAAGAAGCAAGAGGATCAAGGAGGAAAATAATAAAGAATCCTTGCTATCAAGCAGAAAGGGGATTGGCCTTGATCAGTGGGAAAGTTAAAAAGGGCCACAAAATTAAACTGCTCCTTAAAAAATAGAAAAGGAGATAATGAAGTCAAGGGAAAAGCAACATTAGTATCTGGATTTAATTCATGACCTTCTTAGTCCTAGGAGAATTTGGGCCAGGAGAATTTCCTAATCAGCAGCTGCACTCCCCACTTCTAGTTCTCTGGGCCACATTTGACAAATGTAGATCTGAAACTTTAATATGGATGAGAATCACCAGAGGTCTTCTAAAACAGATTGCTGTCTCTCTTCCCACTGCACCCCATAGTTGCCATTTCATAGGTCTGGAGTGGGGTCCCAATAACTTGCATTTTTAATGAGTTCCCAGGTAATGCTGATGCTGCTGATCTGGGGGCAATACTTTAAGAACCACTGGACTGTAACAATGTCAAACCTGCCTGATGAGAAGAATCACCTGGAAGGTTTAAAAAAATGCAAAATCCTCGGCCCCATGCCAGACTTTCTGACTCAACCTCCAGGGAAGAGCCTAAAATTTTCTATTTCAACAATCCTGCCTGATTAATATGATTAGGTGAGTTTGGAAAATGCTACACCAAATCTCTATAAATTCCCTTTTTTAGCATCTGTTGTTTTTCCACTTGGTTTCAGTGAATTTTGCAATATGGCAGTAGCTATGTGATGAGCTAAGAGTAGCACAAGTACTAGGTTCTGTACCTTGAATTTCCTGATCCCATTGGCTGACCACAGTACCCTGCTTTTTCTTTTTATGAACATGTGCCTTGGGAGAGAGTCTTCCTTAATCCCAACTGGCCCTGGTATCATGATGTCATCCAGAGGCCACTCTGAAACCAACTCAGATGATGTAGCCTTCACTGGTAATTCTCTGCTTATCTTTCACTCTTTCTTATCATACAACATGCATATTTTGCTCTGAATATTAATGGTGGCTCTAGCCTCAGGCTGTTTCCTCTTAACTTTGAAAGTATTTACGTGTGAGTTATGCTCTACAAGTTTTATTTCAAAAGCACTTTCTCTTTATTTGGCAGGAATATTCTTGCTGGCACTTGCAGAGGAAATCCCATTGGTTCAGCAGATGGCTAATGATAATTGAAGTTAACTCTTTAGAGAACAATTAGAGATTTCCAAAAGGATTGTAGTAAAATTGCTTAGGGCCCTATCATGCCCATCTGCTGCTTTTGAGAACATATAATTCCTATCTCTTAGATCCAAATTCCAGCCACAAACTCAAAGTTGAGGCACCCTGTAAATGGCTTTCTTTGGACCTTCTTTGCCTTTTGGGGATTTGTAATGATTCTAAATATAGTGACCTGATATAGTTTAGCTCTAATTTTTGCAGCAGCACTGCAAGTAGATGTTACTCTATTTTACAAATAAGAAAACTGAGGCTAAACAAGATCAGATATAGAGTCTTGAAGATTATACAACTGCCTAGTATCAGTCAGGATTCAAACCCACAGCTATCCAACTTACAAGCCTAAGCTGCTCCTCTAAGACGACTCTATTCTACTTTTGAAGAAATGTGGGGTCAGGTTTGAGAGCAACATTTTAATTTGTTATTTTTCCTGGAGTTTCCAAGATTGTGTTTAAATTCTACCAAGTGAGAAAAGGTTACAACAATCATCCTTAGTTTTGTTTGCTATCTCAACAGGACTCTGCGTGCTTTGATTCTAAATGTAAAATTAGCTCTGTCTGTTACAGGAAAGCCATCAACTGGGCAGTGTATTAGTCTGTTCCCTCACTGCCAACAAAGACATACCTGAGACTGGGCAATCTATAAAAAAAAAAGACGTTCAATTGACTCACAGTTCCATATGTCTGGGGAAGCCTCACACTTCATGGTGGAAGGTGAATGAGGAGCAAAGTCATGTCTTACATGGCGGCAGGCCAAGAGAGTGTGTGCAAGGGAACTCGTCTTTATAAAACCATCAGATCCCATGAGACTTATTCACCATGATGAGAACAGAACAGGAAAGACCTGACCCCATGATTCAATTACCTCCCCTCAGGTCCCTCCCACAACATGTGGGAATTCTGGGAGCTACACTTCAAGATGAGATTTGGGTGGGGACACAGCCAGATCATATCATTCCACTCTTGACCCCTCCCAAATCTATGTCCTCACATTTCAAAACCAATCATGCCTTCCCAACACTCCCCCAAAGTCTTAACTCATTTCAGCATTAACTCAAAAGTCTGCAGTCCAAAGTCTCATCTGAGACAAGGCAAGTCCCTTGCCTGTAAAATCAAAACCAAGTTAGTTACTGCCTAGATACAATGGGGGTACAGGCATTTGGTAAATACAGCTATTCCACATGGTAGCAATTGGCCAAAATGAAGGGGATGCAGGCCCCACCCAATTATGAATTTCAGTGAGGCAGTCAAAGCTTAAAGCTCCAAAATGATCTCCTTTGACTCCATGTCTCACATCCAGGTCACGCCAATGCAAAAGGTGGGTTCTCATAATCTGAGACAGCTCTGTCCCTCTGGCTTTGCAGGGTACATCCCCTCTCCTGACTGATTTCATGGGCTGGCATTGAGTATCTAAGGCTTTTCCAGGCACACCGCACAAGCCTTTGGGAGATCCACATTCTGGGGTCTGCAGGATGGGAGCCCTCCTCTGATGGCTCTACTAGGCAGTGTCTCAGTGGGGACTCTGCATGGGGGTTCCAACCTCACATCTCCCCTCCGTACTGCCCTAGCAGAGGCTCTCCATGAGGGCCCTGACCCTGTAGCCAATCTCTGGATATCCAGGCATCTGCACACATCCTCTGAAATCCAGGAAGAGGGGCCCAAACTTCAATTCCTGGCCTTTGTGTACCTGCAGGCCCAACACCGTGTGGAAGCTGCCAAGGCCCAGGGCCTGCGCCCTCCGAAGCCACTGCCTGAACGGTACCTTGGCTCCCTCTAGCCATGGCTGGAGCAGCTGCAGGGTGCCAAGCCCCTGGCCTGCACACAGCAGGGGGACCCAGGAATCCACTTTTTCTCTCCTAAGCCTCCAAGCCTGCGATGGAGGGGCTACCAGGAAGGTCTCCAACATGCCCTGGAGACATTTTTTCCATTTTCTTGGTGATTCACATTGGGCTCCTGGTTACTTATGCAAATTTCTGATGCAGGCTTGAATTTCTCCCCAGAAAATGGGTTTTTCTTTTCTATTGCATGGTCAGGCTGCAAATTTTCCAAACTTTAATGTTTCACTTCCTCTTGAACATTTTGCTACCTAGAAATTTCTTCCACCAGATATCCCAAAGCATCTCTCTCAAGTTCAAAGTTCCACATATATCTAGGGCAGAGGCTAAAAGCCGTCAGTCTCTTTGCTAAAGCACAGCAAAAGTCACCTTTGTTCCAGTTCCCAACAAGTTCCTTATCTCCATCTGAGACCATGTCAGCCTGGATTTCATTGTCCACATCACTATCAGCATTTTGCTCCAAGCCATTCAACAAGTCTCTAGGAAGTTCCATACTTTCCCGCATCTTTCTGTCCTCTGAGCCCTCCAATTCTCTAGGAAGTTCCAAACTTTCCCACATTTTCCTATCTTCTGAGCCCTGCACACTATTTCAACCTCTACCTATCACCCAGTTCCAAACTTGTTTCCACATTCTCAGGTGCCCTTTATAGCAACACTCAATTTACTGTATCAGTCTGTTTCCATGCTGCCAACAAAAACATAGCTAAAACGGGCAATCTATAAAGGAAAGAGGTTCAATTGACTCACAGCTCCACATAGCTGAGGAGGCCTCACAATCATGGCAGGAGGTGAATGAGGAGCAAAGTCATGTCTTACATGGCAGCAGGAAAGACAGCATGTGCAGGGGAACTCCCCTTTATAAAACCATCATCTCTTGTGAGATGTATTCACTATCATGAGAACAGACAGGAAAGACCCGCCCCATGATTCAATTACTTCCCAGTGGGTCCCTCCCATGACAGGTGGGAATTATGGGAGCTACAATTCAAGATGAGATTTGGGCAGGGACAGAGCCAAACCATATCAAGCGGTTATTCAGAAAATGTGACTAACTATTGGTTTTAAGTAACAAAAGGATGGTTTCAGTCTTGAATTATCTTGAATTATTATGTTTGCTCAAACTTTCATAGTTGATTGTTGCATATCTTCTTTCCGTTCTTTCTTTCTCCAGCAAGAATTTGTTTGTACCAGCTCTATGCCATACACCGTGATAGACACACCAGACGTGGAAGTGAGAAATATGGTTCCCATCTTGGATAGCAAAGAAGATGGACAAATAAACCAACAAATTAAACACAGAAAAACGTTTTCTAAAGGAAGGAGGTTTCTTGAAGGAAGTGGTACTTCTGTTGAAATATGAAAGATGAGTGAGGGTTAGTCACATACAGAAAGGGAGAAGGGAGTATCCAATGTAGATAGAACAGCATATGAAAAGCACAGAGATGTGAGAGAGCAGGTAGGCATTGCTGTAAATCCAGGTGGATGTAAAAAAAATCAGAGCCTTGCAGGAACTAGGTTGTAGAAAGCTCTGTGGACTAAGTTTAGTTGGTTTAACTTTATCCTAAAAGTCACAGGAAAATATTAAAGATGTTTAAAAAAGAAAAAAAAGCAGATTTTCATTTTATTAACAAAACATAACTCTGGCAGCAGGTGTGGAAAATGGATGGAGGGGCCAGGACCAGAAGAAAGACACCTGTTACTGAAGCAATGCAGATGGGAAATGATGGAGACCTAGATGTAGACCATGCCAGCAAAGACGGAGGGGCAGAATTGAGTAATACTTGTAGAACTAATGTAACTTACAGGATGATTAGATACATAGAAAGGAGACTAACTCAATCCTTTATTTTTCTTCCTTTTTCAAAAGTTTTTTTAAGACTATATTACTATCTTTTCCCCATTCCCTCCATACTTAATATGACAGTTAGCTAATTTTACTTGAATACCTATGTCTTATTCTTTACCAACACCATCAAGCAGCAGCATCTCCCTACCACCACCACAACAAGCAGCAAGTGTTTATGGAGCACCTCTTAATAAATTATCCTTTGTCTTGTTTTGTGACAAATTTACATTCCTCTCTGCTTTACTTTTGCTTTATCCTGTATTTTTCATTGTTCTGTGGTTTAGCGTGTATTTTCTTCTGCTCTTCCAGGACCATAGGATTTCAGAGCTTGTTACTTAAGTTCTCAGGTTTTTGATATGTACTTGGAATTTTATTTTTTACTACTTTCTCAAAGTAATGCTCCACAAATATTTCTTATGTAATTCCAATGCATCTAAAGAGATTTAGCATTTGAGTTTTATGTTAAACCAATAAACTGATTAAAGCCATAATTAGCAATCACCAACTTTTATCTGGAAATAAACTGAAAACTATTATTCACTTACTAAGGCTCTGGTGTACTTATTTCTGTAAAGAGAACACTATACTTTGCTCAAAGAAGTAATACAATTTATATTTTCTCCTGTTCTCATGTGTGCAAATTATGTTCATTTTATTGTACAGGCTATATATCTTCTGCAATACCTTCATCTGCCTGTAGGTGTAAAGTTAAAATTCAGCTCTTCTGTCAAGGTAAGAAATTAGATAGCTGGCTAAAACAAGTTATTTCAGTGTATACTGCTCAGGTGATGGGTTCACCAAAATCTCACAAATCACCACTAAAGAACTTACTCATGTAACCAAATAACACTTGTTCCCCCAAAACCTATAGAAATAAAAAATTTTAAAAAATGAATATAAAAAAAGAAGTTATTTAATATGCAGGCTTATATTTATCTAGTTTTTCATTGTTTACATTTTTTCTTTATTCTAAAAAAAACAGGATGCATGCACAAAACGTGCAGGTTTGTTACATAAGTGTACATGTGCTATGGTGGTTTGCTGCACCTATTGACCCATCCTCTAAGTTCCCTCCCCTCACCCCCGACCCCCCAACAGGCCCTGGTGTGTGTTGTTTCCTTCTCTGTGTCCATGTGTTCTCAATGTTCAGCTCCCACTTATGAATGAGAACATGTGGTGTTTGGTTTTCTGTTCCTGTGTTAGTTTGCTGAGGATGGTGGCTTCCAGCTTCATTCATGTCCCTGCAAAGGACATGATCTCATTCCCTTTTATGACTGCATAGTATTCCATGGTGTATATGAACCACATTTTCTTTATCCAGTCTATCACTGATGGGCATTTGTGTTGGTTCCATGTCTTTGCTATTTTAAATAGTGCTGCAATAAACATACATGTTCATGTGTCTTTATAGTAGAATGATTTCTATTTTGGGGGTATATACCCAGTAATAGGATTACTGGGTCAAATGGTATTTCTGGTTCTAGATCCTTGAGGAATCTCTATACTGTCTTCCACAATGATTGAACTAATTTACATTTTTTCTTAACAGCAGTCATGTCATGCCATGTTAAAAAAAATACAGATGTTTTCTTCAAGAAGTCTAAGGAAAGACTTCCTTGTACTACTTAAATAAGACTGCCAAAATGGCATAATATCAAAAAAGAAATGTAAATAGAGAATCAACTGCCAACTAAATGCCACCATTACTCACAGTGTGATATCACCTACTTGTCTTAGGCATCATTCATTTATATTATAGTCTGGTCCACCGAGACTATTCATCACATTTTTATTGAGCAATTTCTATGTGCTTAGTACTGACTCTGCTAGGCTCTATAGGTTCTCTGTAGGTGCTTTAAGTCCTGCCCACAATAGCTTACAATGTGGTTGAGATTTAAATAAAAATACAGAAGTTTTTAAAAATATATCTTGTACAAATTACCTTAAAGTAAAAAAAATTCAGATAATGAAAATAAAGCTGTCGAAA
This sequence comes from Homo sapiens, assembly GCF_000001405.40. NCBI lineage: Eukaryota > Metazoa > Chordata > Mammalia > Primates > Hominidae > Homo > Homo sapiens. The sequence goes on from NC_000001.11 coordinate 70,967,508, forward strand.
ATCTAGGATGAGCCTAGAAATATTTTGTATTAATAAAATAGTCAGTAAAAGCCTGGATTAATGAAAAATATGAGGACAGATATTTTTAGTATGGCAATTAAACACTTCTGTAGTCATAACTAAAAATATAATGATAAGCGTATATTTTATACAGATCCTTAAGATACCTGCATAATGACAATTATCTTAAGAACAGTTTTCTTTGAAATGTGCTTCCAATTACAAAGGATGTTGAAAAACTTTTTCTCTTAGTTTATCTGATTTCCTTATAGCTTTTATTTCATTATTTATTTAATTTTTGAAAATTGTTCTTTTAGATACTAAAAACACAGACCCAAGTCAACTCTGTCTGAATTTTCATATATTCTGTGGATATATTTTATTATGTAAAAGATAATGACTCTACTTTTCTCTTCCCTCCTTGGGAGAACTTAGATAAATATACCTTCTGACGGAAGCCAAAGCTTCTAAACACAATATTCTCTGTTCTCTTACGTATCCCTGGCTAACAGATCTCGGCATGGCTTGGCATGCTTGTTCACATTACCCTGGTCCAACCTCTCTTGGGAACAGCACAGCTGAGTTTTTTGTTTATTTGTTTGTTTATTTTCTTTTACATTGGGTTGCACTGATGCTGAATGAAAGCACTAATGCTGCAATACAATGGGGGCTGGAGTAGGCAGCAGTTCATTTCTTCCAATGCAAAAGCTGTAAGTTTAAAAGTACGTGGAATATATTATATGTATAGTCAGGACTCATGTCCATACAGCCCACTTAAAGCATATTAATGTTATATGTTTGTTTCACATATGTATCCCACAGAACTTTACAGTAGTTACTATAATTAAAATAAAACTGTAGATCAAACATCAGTTCTTCACAAGTAACTTTTTTTTGGCAAAGTTCTTAAGGATCTTACTTTATTTTGAGGGTTAGTTCTATCTTTATTATAACCTTGTTGCATAATGACAAGAATTTGTGTTTATTGAAAATAACAAAAATGAAGATGAAGCTACTTGTTAAAAACCAGTGTTTTGCTGAATTACAACCCAGAGTATTTGAGTACACATATAACATAATATAACATTATTTTCAATGAATTTGTACACAATGGATACATTTGTCTAGATTGTAAACAAAAATGTTCTCTGTACCTGCTCAATTTTTCTGTGAAACTAAAACTACTCTAAAAACTAAAGTAGTTTTTTAAGTATCATATATATATATACTGATATGTATATATAGATATACAGTTTCTCTACATCAGATTTTAAACTAATTGGACAAAGATATTTCTCATTGTATGAGAAGTATCTTTGCCAAATAGTCATTATTTTTCTAACTTTTCTAATTATTTTGTTACTTATTACTTTAACAAAAAAACCTTTAATAAACATGCTATGTAAAACTTCATGTGGGCTGAGCATGGTGGCTCACACCTGTAATCCCAGCACTTTGGGGGGTTGAGGCGAGTGGATCACTTAAGGTTAGGAGTTCAAGACCAGCCTGGCCAACATGGTGAAACTCCGTCTCTACTAAAAGTACAAAAATTAGCTGGGAGTGGTGGTGGGTGCCTGTAATCCCAGCTACTCAGGACGCTGAAGCAGGAGAATTGCTTGAACTGGGGAGGCCAAAGTTGCAGTGACCCGAGATCGCACCATTGCACTCCAGCCTGGGCAACAGAGTGAGACTCTGTCTTAAAAACAAACAAATAAACAAACAAAAAGCACTTCTTGTGATTATTCTCCCTGGATGTAGACATTTTTAAACAAGGAAAGTTTAACGTGAAATGACAACAACCACTAACATGAACAACAACATAAAAACAAAAAGCTATCATGTTCACTTATGTTAATCTTGTACATAAATGTTACCTTCGCTGATAATTTACTTAATTAGTAACATCTTTCTAGGTGTCAAACACTACACTAGTGCCAAGAGACCTGTGGAAAAAAATTAAGAAACGAGTCCTCTCCACCATGAATTACAGTTTTGTCACATGGGAAGAGACATATACAATGAAAATATTCAAGGAATAGTACAATACAATAGTCAAAATGAGTACTATGTAACTTCAAAGTTGCAGACAGAGGTAAGGAAAAAACAAAAATACTTAAAGTATTCAAGGCCTAAGGACAAGGTGAGATCTGAACATGTGGGAGGTGGGTAGGTTTTGCATGGACAAAAATTATCGTGAGGTCTTAAAAACAAGAATAGCATCCAAAGGATGGTTGGGGTTGATTCCGTTCATGACATTTAAACCCACAGAGTCAAGAAGCCGGTTTATAGTTGAAATTGAGATTCACATTAAATAGGTAGAAATAAGTCTGGGTAAAGAATCAATCATAGTAAATACTTTCTGAGGATCTATCGTGTAACACTCATTTTATGTACGTTATTACAATTACCCTACAGGTAAGTACTATTATCTTCAATTTATAGATTAATTTATTGAGATGCAATTAACTTTCTCAGAGTCACAGAGCTTGTGAGTGGCACAGCCAGATTTAAATCCAAGTTTGATTCCAAACTCATGCTTCTGTTACCACATCACTTTGTCTTGTAAACAGAATATCACTGCAGCAAATCTTTCATCCCATTGTGCTGTAAGAAGGAACAGTACACCTGGAATTTTAAAAACTTGAACCTGAATTTGAATTCTTACTTATGTTAGGTATGAAAAATCGGTTAAGCCCTTTATAAACTGTACCATCTTTTGTAAAAATAAAATAGTGAATAGATGACAGCTAGTCACACAGGTGAATGAGGAACAGATAGAAGTAACAGAAGAATGGACATTCTTCTGATGTTGGCAAATACTATGTACTCAATAAAATTCACTGAATTTAAACCTAAGTAAAGGGATTGTGTACAGCATCAGCTTTGTGCTAGTTAAGACCATTTTAAATATAGATTTGGAAGAAAATAGTTATAGTTTATAGCTAATTCACAACTGCTTCTGCTATTTAAGAAGGACTCTACTATTGAGTCATTATAGTTGGCAGAAACGATATGTAGTCACAGCATATGATCCTACAGCAAAACTTCTGATACCATATTTTCATCGCTTCCCAAGATGTCCTATAGGTGACAGCATGGCCTTTAGCATGGTACCTAAAGAGGAGACACTCAGTAAATATGTGGTGAATTAAGCAAATGAGGGGACAGAAGAAAGGGAGGAAGAGAAAAAAAAGGACAAGAAGAAGAAAAGCTGATTGAATTTAAAAGCAGGTAACGGCATATCCGTTGAAAACTATTAGATGACTCAAGTATATCTTTTAGAAGTCCACAAAGTTTTTTATTTTAATACAGACAAAATAGATTCTTTTATTTTATAAAAACGTAATAAAGTTTGTTATTCAACAACTGTTATTTATTAATTTTGCCTTTGTATATGCTGCCAGAAAAGAAATATTAAGAAATCCTGACTTGGTCATGGTGAATCAGAAGGCCTACCTGGATTTTTTTATCACTCTAACTGCGCAGCTAATCATTCAACCTCAAATTTGTTTTTTATGACACTCCAAGGATGCCCTTAGCTGCATCACTCCTTTGTCATCAAAAGCTTAGAAATAACAATTAAGCAGATTCCTGAGTTACTAAATGACACATAACTAGAATTGAGACTTAGGAACTTTTAGTTCCATGCTAAGCCCACAGGGACACAACATCTCTAAAACATTAATCATAATTGGGCACAAATATTTTTTGTCACGATTCCCTCCTGCCCTCATTTGCTTTTATATGTCGTTAAGTTCATATCCTATTAATTGAATTATCACTCTCAATATGTTGACTTTTCACCATCATAAGCTTATACTGATTTTTCAAACTCATATTGCAAAAGCAAGCTATCATGAAATGTAAAGATGTCCACTTTGGTTAAGATTCACGTAAAGGTTTGAAGTTGGAGAAAACTCCTGGAACACAGGTCTTTCTTTTCATCACTTTTCCTCCAATCATCATCTGTGAAATTCTTCCCAACTTCTTAAATGCATATTCAAAATCCCATCCAAGAAACCAATCTAATATTCAGAGGCATGGATTATAATAATAAAGTTGATCTCCATGGGTATTACTGACAAAACAATCATTAAAATAAAAAGATAAAAATGAAGAAATAATCCAAATTAAAATATATAATTATCCTTCTCAGGTGGGAAGAAATATGCAAATTCAGGGAAGCAGGAATTGCAATAAAATGTCCAACTCCGTTCTTTCATTATCTGTTAGAATAGAGAGAGAAAGATGCAATAAGCATGGATGGGGATTATTTTTTTTAAATTTTGTGTATGGTGTGAGGAGTAAAATATAAGTAATAAATTTGTTTGCTTTAAACGTTTAAAACATTCTCTTTTGAAGTAATTACATGTGTTTTAGATTTAAAAAAGCAATTGTAGGCACAATAAATGGTCAAATAATCTTGTTGTAAAAACAAGTTTCAATTAGTATATAACTCTAGTCTAAAAAGAAATAAGGAAGAATAGAAGCTGAAATAGCCAGGAAATAGAATATTTTCCTATCAAAACATCAAAGTAGGCCAGACGCGGTGGTTCATGCCTGTAATCCCAGCATTTTGGGAGGCCGAGGCGAGTGGATCATGAGGTCAAGAGATCAAGACCATCCTGGTCAACATGGTGAAACCCCATCTCTACTAATACAAAAATTAGCTGGGTGTGGTGGTGTGCACCTGTAGTCCCAGCTACTTGGGAGGCTGAGGCAGGAGAATCGCTTGAATCTGGGAGGTGGAGGTTGCAGTGAGCCGAGATCATGCCACTGCACTCCAGCCTGTTGACAGAGCGAGACTCCATCTCAAAAAAACATAATTAATTCATTAATTAAAGTATTCTGTTTATTTTTTTAAGATAGTACACAGTGCCAATTAGTATAAAGCAAATTTTTTCACACACGGTTGATGAAATTTTAAATCTAATTATTTTCGCAAACAGTCTGTCTACATGTATCTTTAAAGAACATTAAATATTACACATTACTTATTCCATAAATTCTCCTTATGGTAAAATATATATATATATAAACAGTTTTTTCAAACCTCTGCCTTTCAGTACTTGGGTAATGATACAGTAATATTTTCATCAATGTGGCAAATTTGACCACAAAATTGACCATATGGTTAAGTAAGCTACAGTGTATTATTTAGATAACCTATTACATAAATATTAAAATGGCTTCACAAAGAATTTGCAAATGGTCTGAGAAATGCTTATTTTATGCTAAATAAAATGAGAACAAGATTAAAAAATGTATATCATAATATTAACATAAGTATGTAAAACAAAATTAAAAAACTGCAGGAAAAAAAGAATAGAAAAACATACACTAACATGATACTGAATTTTTACTGACTGGTGAGACTAAAGTTTAGTAAGCTATTTTTCTTTCTAATTTTCATCATTTTCCAAAGTTTCCATAGAGAACAGGGCTTATTTTTGTAACTGAGCAAAAGTATAATAAGATTTACTTTAAAAAATTAAAAATGGAGTTAGAGTGAACCTACCAAAAAAGAGATGGAAACAAGTTATCTCTCTTCGTTTCCCTTCATTGGTTTTCTAGGGAAATCTGTATTAACAGCAAAACAGTACCCAGTGTGCACGTGTGTGTGTGTGTGTGTGTGTGTGTGTGTGTGTTATAGACATAGATAGATAGACAGATAGATACATAGATATAGATAGATGATAGATAGATAGATAGATGATAGATAGATAGATAGATAGATAGATAGATAGATAGATAGATAGATGATAGATACGTAGACAGATAGATGTGGGGAAGGATATAGGATTATAAATGTGAGTTGAGTAAAAATTGTATTGGCCTCATGATTTTTAAGCTGTTTTCCAGAATCAACCAGCTTGTTCTTATCCTGTAAGTGGCACACTATATATCTCTATTGAAAAAACACATTCATCTCTTCCTCTGAAAAACAGGAAAAATTCTCTCAGTTCCCTCAACCATGAGGATAAATGTCTAAAGAAATTGAGCTGCTTGAATGTTCATATCAGTTATAACAACTTGTACCGAGCAGAGGGGTTACTGTACCTGACATTACCCAGAGAATAAAATAAAATGAGCATGCTTTTTCGCTAAAATGAAGAGTTCAACTCATTTGATAAGTCAACTGTGTTATCTCTGAAAAAATAAACCTTTTCACAGTCCTTCTTAAAAAGAAAAAAATCACACAATGCTATAATTCCCAGCAGACTTTCCATTCAATTAGCCATTAATAGAAATACTAAAAAGAGGTGCTTGAGGGAAGAAACTAAAGCTCAAAATTTGATATGGCCAATCATACATGACATTTGGGATTAAGTTCTGCCTTTTAGAGTACTCATTCATTGAAGTACATGTTTTATTCAAAATAGATCTAATCAAAAATGCGACTGAGAGTGTGCTAGCCATATGAGCCATATGGCGAACACGCTGGATTCTGATACCTAATTAAAATAGGAGTGGCCTAGCCTTAACATACTACTGGAAACTGTCCTTACTATGAAAAAATCAGTGACTTACAGATTCTTTCATGGCAAGAGACTTGATCAGTCACAAGATCAGACTCAAGCCAGTTTCAAAAAACTCTTGGTTGGAGGAAACTTAAGTAAAGTTAAAAACAACAACTCCTCTAAGGAATCTAGCACTCTTAATCAGATGTATATGTTTAATTTGCATTTTAATTCTCAGAGATGGTCTGCCTTTGTAGCATCAACTCCGATTAGAACAGAGAGACGGGGGAAGGCTATGCTATAAATCCCGGCAGTTTCTAAATCTCACCTTTCCAAATGGTCGCTCCACATCAAGGTTGAGGAACACTGGCAGGGTAAGGAGGTGGAGCTGGATGCATAGTTGTTTGTGTGGTACCTGATCTGTGAACAGACAGAGGATTTCACAGGACACTTCCTTGAGTATTTTTAAAGAAAAGCAAAACCAAAACCTGCATATCAAAGTCACATTGGCTATGATCAATATGGATGTTTTAGATATTACCTTCCTAGGACCATCTCATTTCTACTTCCATGCTTTGACTCACACTTATTTCCTCCTACACTTACGCATCAAATACGACTTGCAGGCAGAGACCATGTCTGATATGACTGGGGAAGTTATCACAGCACTTGTTAAAGGCTGAATAAGAACTCATTGACCTCAAGTGATTGGTGAAGGGAAATCTAATTCAACCACCCTCCAGCTGATTATTTTTCGTGATTTCCCATTGCTCTGGGATAAAGAATAGAATTCCTAACATGACATCAAAGGCTGTTTTATCTGGCCTCGGGATGCAATTTCAAACTCTTTTCAAACTTTTTGCCTTTTTGATCTTAAATGCTCAGGCTACACTAGCCATCTTCGAACATTATGAACAGTGTCATCCTTCTTCATACCTCAGGGCCTTTGTACTTGCACTTTCTTCTGCCTGCAGTATGCTTCCATTTCTTCATCACCTGGCTAACTTCTACTCATCTGATAGATCTCAACTTGGAGAATCACTTTCTTGGAGAACATCCTGTTCACTAGGACTGGTGCCTCACTATATGACATCTACTATTTTTTCTTTCAGGAACTCATGGCATATGAAACGTATAGTTATGTGTGTGATTATTTATTGATGTGTCATTGTACCTAAGCTATAAGCTTCACAAGAGCAGGAACTGTGCCTGGTTTTGCTTACCACTGAGTCTCCAGCAGCTACCACGGTGCCTGGCACAGAAATCATAGTGGATAAGCATTTGTGGCCTGAGTGGACAATGCTGCACAGCCAGTCCTGAGGCCCATCCCTCAACAGTATTCTCCATATTACACATCTCCTAAATTCATTGGATGTCACAGCAGAAAAACGATTCCTTTTTTTTATAAATTTCTCAGTAATTGTCTTATAAGAAAAAGACACAATAAAATGAATTCCTCATAAAAATTTGTTACAAGAGAAAGGAGAAAGAAATAAAATCCAGTGTTTCTTCAGTCTTTTTTAATTGGCTTTCTAAAGTTTTTTTTTCCTTAAAAATTTAATTAAGATTATCTTAAACAGCACGGCCATTTTAAGTGGCATGGCATTATACAAGCAGTCCAGACAGACATATAGTTTTCCAATCTTTAACTGTGTTAAGCAAATGGATGATTTCTGTTTTAGGTAGGCAGTGCTGTGTGAAGAATCATAAAATGCCATGTTTTCTTTGCAGCAAAAATTACACTTTGACCAATACCTATTCCACAGCAAACAGAAAAAGTTTAGTGGCAATTTGCACAGAAATTTTATGGTTCTGGAAGAGTGGTCAGACTTGGAGGAGAAAGGAGAACAGGTTTTTGGGGTCTTTTTAAATTTTTTGTCTGCAAGACTTTCAAAGCCCCCTTTGTACTCCTATGTGAGAAGATTCTCCATCTGCTAAAGAACGATCTGGTTAGGATAAGTTCTTACCTTAGCTGACAACTAGGTTCCTCTTCCTGCTATTATGCTGCTTGGTTCTTATTTAGAGGCCTGCTTTAACTAAGGAAATGCCCTTGGGCTTGCATTATTTGTTGGCTAAACTTTAGAAGCAGACTACAGCTGTAGGAATTTCGATATCACATACCTGTACAATGTCAAATAGCAGGAGATTAAAAAAAAAAAACCTAAAGTAAGAGGCACTGCAAGGTAGTTTGTCAAGAGCCAAGAGTTCTGCAGCATATGTTTCCCTAGTGGCACTGTCTGTGGAGCACAGAGGATTTTTAGGGCTGTGAAACTAATCTATGATTCCATAATAGTGGACGCGTCATTATACATTTTTCCAAACCCATGGAATGTACAACAGCAAGAGTGAACCCTAATGTAAACTATGGACTTTGGGTAATAATGCGGTGTCCTTGTAGATTCATCAATTGCAATAAACATACCACTCTGGTAGGGGACATTGATAATGGAGGAGGCTATGCATATGTGGGGCCAGGGGAGTCTGTGAAAAATCTCTGCACTTCTCAATTCTGCTATGGACTGCTCCAAAAAATAAATTCCATTTTAAAAAATTGCTGTATATTGGGGATTATATATGATTTGATCTACTAATAGCCTTGTTACTACTGTTTCTGACCAAAGTTTTCCTTCTCTTTAACATATCCTGCATATTGTTTCCAAGGCAAATCTTGGCAAATCATAAATATCTTTGAAAGTTTCCCATTTCTAAAAGATAAAGACTACCATATGTCAGGTGATGCCAAGCTCCTTTGCCTTTAATTTCATTTCATGCTTAAACCCTTTAATACACTGATCTTCATTCACATCAAATATGACCTGTCCTGAAAGTATAAGGATAAGCAGGTACTAACGAGCCTCTCTTAGACATATCAGCTCTTGCAGCCATAAAGATTTTCCTTTATGCTGCCTAGGATCTTCCCGTCTGAAATAAATCTTGTTCTTGTTTCAACTAAACTTGCAGCTCTGCTGTGTTCTTCCCAAATTGCCAAGTATATAAGATATCCAATCTGCCAGCAAACTTTATCCTCCCTTTGGATGTGAGACCCCAAAGATTTCAATTTAGACAGCTTTATTTACTAAGCTGTGTTACAGGATATTTTAAAATAATTCAGTTAAGGTGGTTCAGGCTATTTAACTGCGTATTTGGAGGGAGGGTCGGTGTTGATCTTCCAATTTGAATTTAACTCTTGGGCCAAATTATTTTCCTATGGCAATTCTGAAAGAAGATTGATGTGTAAATGGGCACGTCACAGACACCAAATGGAGACTCCAGAAACATAGCTCATTTGTTTGGCCTTCTGCTATGGCTCATTTGTGGATCCTGTGCCATTTATGGTTTAGCTGAGGATGCCTGATGCCTGTATTCACAGAGCCATGCTGCCTCTGTGGGCTGAACACTATGCTAGTTTGTCTACGAGATTCCTTCCAGAATGACCCAGCTGTACCACAGGGTTATAGCTACTTTCCATCATGTCATTAATAGTTCTTTCTGCTCACCTACACTAGCTCACTAATTTATCCCCATCCACTGCTTGATCCTGAATAACTGAGGACTATGATGGTCTGTGCTGTCACCTTCAGAATTTCAAGGCCAGAAGTGTAACTTGGCATAAATCTAGCTAGATTTTGAAGGAAAAAGAGAAAACCATCCTAGAATTCCCTCTCTTCACCTCTGATTACTTGAGTCCTTGTTACAGGTCATCCCGCTCCCATAGCTATCCCCTCCCTCTTCCAACTTCCTGACCACCGGCTCCTTTCCATCCACTTTCAGATATGTGGAAGTTTCCCTTGTCTTGGGAAACCAATACACACAAACACCTGTGCTTGACTGTTTGTCTCTACTCCTTCCTCCAAGTGCAGTCGAATGTTTTGCCTCCCTTTAACACCAGCTTCTTTAAGTGACATGCAGTCTCAGGTGCTCCTAATTCCTCTCCTTTTAGCTCCCTCCTAAACAACTGACCAGAATTAGAAGGTCCTCTCCCTTTGTCAGAAACTGTTCAAACACTTTACAAATAATAATTCATTTAATTATTTGTAATCGGTACTCTTATCATCTTCACTTGAGATATGCAGAAACTGAAGCATAGATAGGTAAAGTAACTTGCCTAAGGTCACCTCCAGATGAGTGGCAGAGTTTGAATTCAAATGCCAGCAGTCTAGTTCCAAAACACATGTCCTAACCACACTCTACTGCCTCGCTCCCTCCAAATTCTATAATTGGTTTTCATTCCTGTGCTAATAAAACTAGTCTCTTAGAAACTTTTGGTATATGCTCTCATCTTTGATTGTAGTACTCAGGCTAGATATACCTGTATTGCATATTAAGTTCTAGTATTTACAAACCTCCCCCCACTTTTTATGCAAGTATAATGAAACTTCATTAAGCTGGAATGAACACATTATTCTAATAAGGGTAGAACTAAATTTTATATTGTTCGTGACATAAAATAGTCTTAATTGGTCAAATTAATAAGCAAAACAAAAAATTAATAAGGTAATAGGAGCAGCATTTGACCTACTCAAGGGGGAAAATATAGATAATTTTAGAAACACAAATCCAGGCTTCTGATATCAGAGGAGTCTTTCCTGATCCGGATAATAATATGTATAATGCACTTATTGATTCCTGCCTTGCAGGAGTGTGTGCTCTAGTTGGGAAGCAATTGAAATAACAAGAAATAGTAGAAAATGGCACATAGTCACTCTCCAGAGCATAGGATGGTGATATTCACCATCATCTACTTTGTTAGAATTTGCAGGGTATATTCTGAGCACTGGCAAGTTCTTCTTAGGCACCATGCCAGCTGCCACCAAGAGGGTAGTGATCCCTGTGGGCATAAAGAAAACTGCACATTTTAAAGCTAAAAGGAGCCTTGGAGATGATGTAATCCAACTCTTTTATTTACAGATGAGGATATGAAGCCACTTTCTTTTACAGTCACAAAGCTAGCTTGCAGCAAAGTCCTATCTGGAATCTAGCTTTCTCTTTCTGCTCTATCACTAGGCCCAATAATAGATTTGTAGATTTAATCCACGCATAAATACCCTAGAACATACCTTATTCATCAAATGCTTGTTTCTTAAAGAAATGAAAGTATAGATAACTGAGCAGGGTTAAAAGACTAAAACATGTGAGCTAGCCAATTATACTACTCAGTGAGCCCCACAAGAGCAGAGATTTTCACGTTTCTGTTTGTTGATGGACCCTCAGTGAGTAAACCAGAGTCAGCCACAACGTGGTTTAATTACTATGTGGTGTTTGAATGAATGATTTCTTCTACATTTTTTATATGCAATGTCTATAAGTGAGTAGATATTATTTCTATTTTATAGGTGAAAAAAAAAAAAGCTGAGTGAAGTTGACTTGCTCAAATCTAGACCTAGAACCAGAACTAGAAACCAGGCTTCTGGTGCCTAATTCATTATTTAGCTGTAAAAAGATTGCTTTCATAAAAAAATTAATTGTTATTCTGTACAGAGAATACAGACAGATTTGTCACTTCAGCAAAATTCTGAGGAAATGGGTACAGCTGCACGTTATCTACTGTCATTATTTACTTGCTGGTCTTTTGGGTGTGAGCCATCATTTCTAGTCCGGGGCCTGCTATATCACACTAACAACAAAAATAAACGGTTTCCCCTTCTTACTTTCCAAAGTTTCCTTCCTTTCTTATCTTTCCTCTCAGAATTCAAACTGCCTGGAGAAACAAAGTGGGCAGGCTGGGGACCGTCCTTCCATTGAGCGTTCTCACACCACTTCGTGAGACTCTGATCAACTCAAACTATATTAAAGACTCCAATGCCTTACAACTGTCTCCTCAATTTAATTTCATCTTTTGGAGTTTTTACAGCCTCACTATCTAAAGAGATTATACAGTTACTAGGCTTTGTAACTTCTAGCACTGCTTCTTGAATCTTCATCTTTTAAGGGGGTTCTGTGTTTTTCTCTTTCTACAACATCAAAATATATTCTTAAGATAATAGACCTTAAATGCAGTTATACTGGTCTCTTCACAATAGCACAGATTGTAGAAGCCTTAAGAATTCACAGAAAGGGGAAATATTAAAGTAATTGAGGGGAGTTGAGGTTTCATAAGGAAGTGCAGAGCATGAAAAGAAGAACTGGAAGGGAGGCGGGGAAGTCTTGAACAAAGACAGGACTGAATGAGCAAGAGTGGAAGGCAGAGAGCAAATACAGCTAGTTATTGTGGATGTTTCACTTTTGGACTAAGATTGGATAGGGGTGGATGGGAATTGGAGAAATAGAACTGTTACCACTTTCAAATAAGTGGGGACTTCGACATAGTTTGGGGGGATTGATAGCCAAAAACCTTAGGCAGGAAGAAGGGTAAACTCTAGAAATATTGCCCAGCTGGAATCCTGGTTCCACCAGTTATTAGCTGCGTGACCTTGGGCAAGTTACTGCAACTTGCTGGCCCTCAGTTTCCTTCTTGGTGGAATGGGAATAAAGGTTGTAACTACCCCTATAAGATTGTTGGTGGAATTAAAGGATTAATGCAGGCTGCCCATTATGTCTGTAATCCCAGTGCTTTGGGAGACCTAGGCAGGAGGATTCCTGGAGCCTAGGAATTTGAGGGATCCCAGGAATCTGAGCCATGATGGCACCAATGCACTCCAGCCTGGGTGACAGATCAAGACCCTGACTCTTAAATTTTTAAAAAAGGGGTTAATGTATATAAAACACTTAGAACAGAATCTGATGCAATGACACAAAGTAAGCACTCAGAAAATATTAGCTATTCCTATTTCAGCCATAACAAACAGGCCATTTATTATGCTAGCCTCACCTAGAGGTTCTTGTAAGGGAAATTCCCTGGCCCACAACTTCTGAAGGGGCAACTACAGGTCGCCTATTTTGTGCAAAGATTCTGTACATTTTAGGCATACCTGATTGGACAAGGTGTGCAAGCTCAAGCAATAGGTTAGCCACTGATCTATGACTTTGCCAGTCAAGGAACAGTGACCTTATAAGAGACTTCCTTTTTTGAGAATGTCAAGAAAATAAGGAAGATTAGTATCAGGAACAGAGCCATGAGGAAGAAGATGATTAAGCTAAGGAATTATATTGACAATACAGAGAAAGAATAGGCAACTGTTAATAGAAACAAAATTATGACAAGTAGAAAATAACTGGGTCCAATAATGGTGGACAATAGGCAAGAGATTCCATTTACTCCAGTTGTTGATTTTCAGGATCTTAATCTACTCTCCAACTCCAGCCTACACACTCCAAGCCATACTATTGTTTCTTTTTCTTTCTCCTTTTTTTTCTTTTCTTTTTCCTTTTCTTTTCTCTCTCTCTCTTCCTTCCTTCCTTCCTTCCTTCCTTTCTTCTTTCTTTCTTTCTTTCTTTCTTTCTTTCTTTCTTTCTTTCTTTCTTTCTTTCTTTCTTTCTTTCTTTCTTTCCTTCCTTCCTTCCTTCCTTCCTTCTTTCTTTTCTTTCAGACAGAGTCTGTCTCTGTCACCTAGGCTGGAGCGCAGTGGCACAATCACAGCTCATTACAACCTGACATCCTGGGCTCAAGCCTCCCACCTCAGCCTTCCAAGTAGCTGGGACTACAGGCATGCATCACCACACCCTGCTAATGTTTTTATTTTTTGTAGAGATAGGATCTCACTATGTTGTTTAGGCTGGTCTCTAACTCCTGAGCTCAAGTGATCCTCCCACCTCAACCTCCCAAAGTGTTGGGATTACAGGCATGAGCCACTGTGCATGGCCCATAATGCTGTTTCTATTACAATAAACCTCCTCTTGCTTAAGCTAACATAAGTTTTGATCTATTTCCTATGGTCCAAGGAACGTAAATAACCAACCAATGCAAACACCTTAGATGATGAGTTTGGGTATCCAACACTTGCTTTAGTGATCCCTGGTACCCATCAATCAATTGACTCATGGCCCTCCAGTGCACCCTCCATGCTGCCCCCACAGTTATCCTCACTCAGAATGGGCTCCCATTCTTTTTGACATATGCACAGACTAATTTTCTTTCAAGGGCAAGTTCAAATTCCACTTTCTCCATGAATACCTGGGGACTATACTGGACAGAGGTGGATCCAGGTTTTGTGGCATCTGAAGAGTACAAAACTTTCTTTAATAAAATGAATATAAAGCTAGGTGCCTAGGAAAAGGCCTGTGAAATTGAGAGACTTTGAAACTTCAACTTCATTCACTTCCCTGTACATCTACTTCTGATACCAGGTTAAGAGGGACTTTTTCTCCATGAAATTATTCTACCAGGTATATTTTACAATACTGTGTGTAATCACACAGACCTGCTATATAAATAAGCTCAGTCTTACACCTGCTGCCTCTCACTTTGGGAATATCATTTGTGATTGGACTGCAGTATTCCACCCCCCAGGCTGTTGGGAAGAAATTCCTGATGTCTGACAGATCTACTGTCAGATTTGGGAGGGAAAACATCGATCAGTATATGACACTGCTCCTGCTCATCCAGCATCTAGTGTATGCCACCTAATATTGGTAGCTAAGCCATTCTCCACACAATTGTTTCTAAAGAGAGCCTGCTCATTACACACATACATACTCAGACATCCCAACATACATGTTTTGTAAAATTGCTTCTTATTTTTCTATTAGCCTTAAAATAAAGACAAACATTTATTTCATGGGCCACAAGTCTCCTGTCATGTTTCCACCATCATTCCTCTCTGTCTCCCACTCCATATTTGCAGAGCTAAAAAATTTACTGTCCATTTGTGGACATCTATGCAAGGGAGCAGTCAATAAACATTAGGAGTAGTTATCTCTGCTTTTTAAATTTCACTGTTTTTTCATTTTCTCCTTCCTCATTCACCCTTGGCTCAGTTGAAGTTCTCGGTAAAGACTCATAAATAGGTGATAGAGTTGTTAATTGGCTTAATTTAATCATTGCACAGTGTAAACATATATCAACACATCACAACATACCCCATAAATACAGAACATATACAGTGATTATTTGTCAATTAAAAATAAGGTAAATCACAAATTTCTAAAAAGAGGCTAAACAACTAAGTGAATAAGGAGCTTTATGAGGGTGAAGCTTTGAAGAATAAAAAAAGGAGGCTCCCCAGACTGATTAGAAGCACAGTAGAGAGAGGACAGCCACCTAGAGAAACAGATCAGAGAGAGCCTGAAGGGAACTGTGGAAATGCAAAACCATAGCCCAGAGAGAGACCTGTCAGGTGACAGCCAGAACCTAATGACTCCCTGGAATCATCAGAGTGCTCGAGAGGGACTGCATTTCATGAAGTCACCCAGGATGTGCTTGAGTTTTTTAATTAATCTGAAAAAAAAAACAACGGAACTTTCTATGGCTAGAATTGGGGATATTTGGAAACATCCAGAGTCAGTTATTGAATATCAGTACCACTTGATTATCAGTTCCATTGAGGCAGGGTTCAAATCTACCTTGTTTCTGCTCTATGCCCAC
This sequence comes from Homo sapiens, assembly GCF_000001405.40. NCBI lineage: Eukaryota > Metazoa > Chordata > Mammalia > Primates > Hominidae > Homo > Homo sapiens. Next base: position 70,983,429 of record NC_000001.11, read on the forward strand.
ATATCACAGTGCCTCTCCTATAGTATGAACTCATTAAATATTTAGCGAATGAATGGATAATATTTTCAACAAGACTCAAGCTCTTTGAAATCACAGACTGTATCATAAATGTTCTGTAACTCTAAAGAACCCAGCACAATGCCTGACACTGAGTGACACTAGTTATGATTTGCTGTCTGATTTAGAAGCTCTTTATATGTCAAAGGGAGATATTTTTTTCTTTAAGCCTGGTGATAACCACGCACACCTGGTCAAATTCACATCCTGCCTTATCTTTTATGTGCTCCCAGCTCTATAAAGGTAAAATAAGCAAAAGGAAGAACAATTATTGGTATCAAAAATACAGTAATCTAGAGACTAATCCTTCCCTGAACTATCTTTGTCACTTCCTGATTCATTGAATTTGGTCAGTTTGTTCCACACGTAGAGCCTCCTGGCTCTCAGAACCATGAGGAAACAGCCATATCCCTGGAAGTAGACTTTAACCAGAGGCTGCTTCCTGAAAGGTCCTAGTCCCCAGGGATTTATTGCCATGGAAAGCCTGAACTGGCCGGAAGACGAACGGTACACACAACCTTTGGGTTGAGTATAGAAAATGTTCTGTATGGTTTAGCTGTTGTGACTATCTGCTATGTTGCTAATCGACACAAATAGTAACATTATTAAAGTTCATTAAGGCTGGGTGTGGTGGCTCATGCCTGTAATCCCAGCACCTTTGGAGGCCAATATGTGTGGATTACCTGAGGTCAGGGGTTTGAGACCAGCCTGACCAACGTGGTGAAACCCTGTCTCTACTAAAAATACAAAAATTACCCAAGTGTGGTGGCACACACCTGTAATCCCAGCTACTTGGAAGGCTGAGGCACAAGAATCGCTTGAACCAGAGAGATGGAGATTGCAGTGAGCCAAGATCATACCACTGCACTCCAGCCTGGGCAGTAGACTGAGACTCTGCCTCAAAAAAAAAAAAAAAATTCATTAAATTAACAAAATTATTCTAACTATTCAAAATTGCTCTACTAATAAAACAATAAGGGTAACTCTGCAAGGCCAAGGTGGGAGGATCACTTGAGGCCAGGAATTTGAGACCAGCCTGGGCAACACAGCAAGATCTGTCCCTACCAAAAAAGAAAGTTTTAAATTAGTCAGGTGTGCTGGTGTGAGCCTATAGTCCCAGCTACTCAGGAGGCTGAGGTGGGAGGATGAGAGGATCCCTTGTGCCCAGGAGTTAGAAGATGCAGTGAACTATGATTGTACCACTGCACTCCAGCCTGAACAACACAGTGAGACCCTGTCTCTAGAAATAAAATTAAAAAAAAATTTTAAGTCAATAAGCAAAGCCCAAGAACTCACATCTTAGTTGATAATTTAAAGGAAAAAAATAAGAAAAAGATGTATTTTCCAAAAACAGTTAAGAATAAAGTTACACAATTTAGAAAAATTAAAGAGATATTTTAGTGAAACAACAAAAATGTACTCTAAATCTTCAAAAACTTCCAAATACATTTTCTTGAATTGGTGATAATATTGTCTTCCATCCCCTCCCCACTCTCATGGAAACCCTTCCATCACGACAGCCCTAGGGAAATGGGAGAGCTAATGCCAACTTCAGCAGCAGGAGGAAACCTTTGCAAGGAAGGGCCTTTGCCGACAAAATCCTTCTAGTGCTAGAAGAGGAGACAGCATAGAAAGAGGAGTAGGAGATAACATCCTTACTTCTCCATTACGATGGCCTCAGAGTCAAAATCCAGAAGCGGGAGAAAGAACAGAAACACACAGAGAATGAAGAAATGGTCACAAGCTCTTTAGTACACAGGCTCATGAGGTGTCACCGCATGCGTGTGTGGACATGAAGGAGAAAGCCAATTATGATTCCCTGACTCTCCTCCAGCCTCCCTGAAGTCTCCCTGGGGCTTATGGAAGGCAGTGGAAAGCTGAACACCATAGAGACTGCCATGGAGTTGCTATTGTTGGAGGCCAAAAGAGTAAGAGTCATGATCAACTCAGTGTACCACTGGAGGCTATATGAGTAAACAGCAAACTGTTTCTCATAAATGCAGAATGTTGGCGAACTGACAAACTGTGTATGCCACCCAGAAGGACTACAGGAGGGCAGTCACAATCCAGGCACAAGTGTTTCTTGTGATTAGGCAAATCTGAAGCCTGTTAGTAATAATGTGAACCTGTGATCAATTAAGCAGCTGACCAGTCGTTACCTCCTCCTCCCTGCTCTTTCTACCCAATAAATACAAAGGGCTGCCTTTGCTCGCTAGAAGCAGGGAGCTCTCTTCTTCCCCTGGACCCTTCCTTAAAATAGTTACTTTTGTCTTAAGTTTTCATTTCTATGTTCGTCACTTTGTTCAGTCTTTTAATGACGGTCTCAGGCAGTAACAGTAGTGACGGTCTCAAGTAGTAGCAGTGGCAGTCTGTCACAGCTATGATTAGGGCTAAGATGACATTGTCAGAGGCATTTGAACCAGAGCAACTCTGAAATCTACTGGGCTGCATTCCCAGATGGTTAGGCATTCTAAGTCACAGGATGAGATAGGAGATCAGTGCAGGACACAGGTCATAAAGATCTTGCTGTTAAAACAGCTTACAGTAAAGAAGCTGGCCAAAACCCACCAAAACCAAGATGGCGACAAGAGTGATCTCAGGTCATCCTCACTGCTACACTCCCACCAGCACCATGACAGTTTACAAATGCCACGGCAACAACAGGAAGTTACCCTATATGGTCTAAAAAGGGGAGGCATGAATACTCAGCCCTTTGTTTAGCATATCATCAAGAGATAACCATAAAAATGGGCCACAATCGACTCTCGGGGCTGCTTTTTCTATGGATTAGCCATTTTTTATTCCTTTACTTTCTTAATAAACTTGCTTTCACTTTACTCTGTAGACTCACCCTGAAGTCTTTCTTGCCTGAGATCCAAGAACTGTCTTTTGGGATCTGGATTGGGACCCCTTTCCTGTAACGCCATGGCAGAGACAGCAGTTCCTATGAGGGGACGAGCCTAAGGCAATGGACTGGAGGAAGGAAGTGGCTGTGCCTCAAGGGTCTTCTGTGTCACTGAGATGACAGTGGGGTCAAGGAAGCAGGACCACAAGGCTAGAACATGTTGAGGAAACTGTTCCCAGATTTCACCAGCACTGAAATCAATGGTGGATGCCAGTGGCTGTCTAGCAACCAGGCAAGACAACAATTGATTCTGGGGATTTCAGGGAGGACCCAAAGGGCAGGATCAGGACCTGCTTTTGACAAGCTGCCTCCCTTCAATTACCTGCATTATCACAAGGGTATGTGAGCTTTCTCCTTCACACAGATGCCATCTTGGCTAAGGAAAGGGCGTGCTGGGAGAAACCATGAAAGACAACATTTGCCTCAAAGAGACTGAATTAACCCAAAATGAGAAAATAATGGATTGATAAAATATCTTCAACCGCAAGATCAAGAACCCATCTCCTACTCTTCTACCTCCTAGCTCCTGCTCCAGCCAGCAGAGACCAAACATCTGTAAGAGTTTTGTTCTTTCTAGAAAAATTTTAAGCAGATATCTTTAAGCACCTAAAATTGTATTAATTTTACAATTAGTATTTACTATAATTGTATTACAGCCTAGTTGTACACTGTATAATTTTCACCCTGGCCATTAGCAAAAACAGAGACTCTAAGAGCCAAACAGATATCAATGGCCCTAAACAAATATGGTTATGGTTCTCCCCTTTATAAATCTGTGAATGTGAGCCTTTTCTTTTCCAGTTTGATGTATTATAAAGGTGACCAGGAAGGAAATGGAAACAATGTCAAATAAGAACAGCCATTCTAATTCCAAACAAGTTAAGAATATATGTCTAAAGACAAATTAAGTCTGACAAAACGTATAAGTTATGTTTTGTTGTATAATCAGTAATAGGAGTCAATCAAGGGTCTCATTGCAATTTTATCTACAGTTTTTTACAAGGTAAATTACAAGAAATATAGCTCAGATAAAAAGAAAATATTAAATGCACTCTTCTAGTATATTACCACATCAGTAATTGAGAAGGATTAAATAAAAGACTATAATAAATATGGTAATTGCACTAAGTAGTTCCATGATAAATCGATTCTTATTCTCCAAGTAAGAGCTGATTTGATTGATCTCTATGCACTTCAGTGTTCTGGAGGATTTCCTAGTCCCTGAAGCTGCAGGTGTGGTCACTGTCAGGGGCAAAACACTTAACACAGCTGAGAAGTGATTTGTTCCCTGTGGTCCCAGCTATGCATAGGCATAACCACAACCACCCAATATAATCAAATTAAATCCCAGCTAGTGTGACACTGCCATAAGAATAATGATTGGATACTAGCAGAAGCTGTCAAGGGTCTTTTATACATCCGATAAATAAATCCAACTGACTAGTGAAGGTCAATTCAATTTAGCACTCATTGATTACATATCTTTCATGTGTAAGACACTGTGCTAGGCATTAAAAGAAAACTTTGACTCCTCACCAATAAAAATGTTTTATTGTTAAACAGCTCTCATTACGTAGTGTAAATTGTATGTAGTTTGTGGTTATGAAGCGTCTAAATTCACAATGCATTCTCATTTCTCTCAGTGACAGGAGTATCAAAATAAAAATGACTAAAGCCCCATTAGTCACAATATGACCATTTGGAATCTGGATCTTACATAAAAGTGTTTAAAAACTCAGTTGTTTAATTTTAAATATGAAGTAATACAGCAAATTACTTATCATTCAGCTTCTCTTATTCTTAATAACATAGTAACTGTGATCTTCAGGCAAAACCTTGATAAATTCTTTCCCATAAAATAACCCATAGGAAGTTTTAAAAGTCATGCAATATGGGTACATAAAATAAGGAACCATTCTCAGACTATGGCAGAGCCTTCCAATTGCTTCCTAGCATCCACTCTCCTCTCTTTCTACCAGAGCCCTGATTATGAGGTGGATACCGACTAAAACACTGCATTTCCAGACTCTCTCCCAGTTAGCTGTGGCAACGTGACCAAATTCCAGCCGATTATTTGTGAGCAGAAGTGATGAGACTTCTAAAATTCTCCTTAAAGGAAAGAGGCACACCCTTCTTTATTCCTTCCTCCTTCCTACTGACCAGAAGGCAAAATAATGGCTGGAGCTCGAGCAGCTATATTGGATTATGAGGATGTAAACTAAGAATGACAGCTAGAAATAGCTCCAATCTCTGATAACCAGGAAGTAGCCAGATCAGCCCTGGACTATCTACATCCAGAATTTACATAAATAGGAAAGAGATACCCATCTGTGTTCTTTTAATCATTGTTTTATTTATTTTTTGTTTTTTTCTGAAGCTGACCAAAACCTAACATAGTGATAAAGTCATCCCATCAGCCAGAATAAATTCTGAGCAGTTATCAAGAGAAAACTTAAAGTAATGTGAAGAGAAGCCACACTTATAAAGGAAACCAAGAGCTTTCATTATAGCTAGCCTAAAATGAAGTTAATTACCTAAATTGTTCAGTCACCAAGGCTTTGGGAGTTAACATGAGGAGGCTGGTTTTATTGTGTATCATGCCCAGAAGTTCCATGATAATTTCAAATTGTTTGCATGTAATTCCCCCCCCAAAACTTGTACAATATTTTGACATTCTTAAAGAGGAGAGGTGACACAGTATCATACTACTGTGTAATAAAAATCTGCTCTGCCCTCCTACCGGGTTTACAATACAGATAGTGGCACAGGAAAGCGCTCAGAACAGAAATCAGAATGCTTGAAGCTTACTTAACTCACTACAGACCTGGAAAGTTGCTTAAATTTTATAAAGCTTGGTTATAAGGATAATGATAACAGCAGCTCCATTTTCTACGCAGGGAAGTTGGGATAATCAAATAAAATAAATGTATGTCAAAGTGTTATTGTTGTTACTAAAATCATTTTGGTGCTCACTTATGTTTCACTGGGAGAAGCACTCTGTTTTCAGTTTTCTGGAATAATTACCTTTTAAAAGGGACTCTTTTTTGCCTGCATTAACTTATTTTCTCTACCTTCTCACTTTCATGGTTCTGCAGGATAATTTTATTTTTATGATGTCTGAGTTTTCATGAGCTACATGTATGCAAATATTTTTAGCTAAAACAATATTATTGAGAATGTGTATTTGGCTAACTCATAACTGCTTATTTTGAAACTAGCTGAGAAGCACTTGGACTGAGACTGAAAATAAAAATAAATTTATTAACAAATTATAGAAGGCTGTGCAGTTAGAATATGTCACTTGCTGATTGAAATCCAAGTGCTATATGCAGTAAAATTTCTTCAACCCAGAATCAAGCATCCAGACATTTCACATAGCAGCATTTACTTTGATAGTATTGGCCAGTTATCAATGGTAGTAAAAATGCCCCTGGACTTACAAAATATTGAAGTGCCTTCTGAATTATCAAAAACATATTACCAGTCAATGGAACCTACACACACACACGCACACACACACATGCATATATATTTTCACATATATACATGTATTTGTAAAAATATATATGTGAAAATATATACATACATGTATGGATGTGTGTATATACACATCAAGCTTCTGGGCATGATATACAATACATGTATGTATGTGTACATATGTGAAAATATATATACACATACAGCTGGGTGTGGTGGCTCACGGCTGTAATGCCAGCACTTTGGGAGGCCGAGTTGGGCGGATCACGAGGTCAGGAGATCGAGACCAACCTGGCTAACACGGTGAAACCCCCTCTCTACTAAAAAATACAAAAAAAAATTAGCCAGGCGTGGTGGCGGGCACCTGTAGTCCCAGCTACTCGGGAGGCTGAGGCAGGAGAATCACTTGAACCCGGGAGACGGAGCTTGCAGTGAGCTGAGATTGCGCCACTGCACTCCAGCCTGGGCGACAGAACGAGACTGTCTCACACACACACACACACACACACACACACACACATATATATATATATAAAATACATATTATATCTATTATACATATGTATCAATGTATAATATATATATACATATATTATACATATATATACACATATATGCATTTTATATACATGTATGTATGTACACATATAAATACATGTATGTACATGTATATATATTTGAGACAGGGTCTTGTTCTGTTTCCCAGGCTGGAGGGCAGTGGCATAACCACAGCCTCCCAAGTACCTGGTACTACAAGTACACACTACTACACCTGGCTAATTTTTATGTTTGTAGAGATCGGGTTTCACAGTGTTGCTCAGGCTGTGCTTGAATTTCTGGGCTCAAGCAATTCTCCCACCTCAGCTTCCCAAAGTGCTGAGATTATACAGGTATGAGCAACTGCACCTGGCTGGAACTAAAATATTTAACTAACTGATATGTACCACTCCACAATCATATAATATGGAGATTAATATTAATGGCAATAAAAACACTAGATTATCTGTGTTTACCTGGAGCAGAATGAAAAATGCTACAATTCCGTTTCACAAATAGTGAAGGTAACATTTAATTTCTTGCTCAAAAGAAAGCAGGTTATTTGAATTTATTGTTGAGAACTGCCTTCTGAACGTCATTCACTTCATAGGCTTCCTTCCAATGTGCTTCTCATTGACCTTGGGCTTCCATTTGATTAATAATAAAAGTCACCTAACCTTAAACTTCACTCAATTCTTCTCTCTCAGACACTCACACACATACCATTAGAACTCCCACTCTCCAATACAATCTAGAAAAACAAGACACTCTGCAAGGATATATACTCAGGGCTTGGCCCTACCCTCACACTTTTGACAGTCCAAGGAAACATGGAGAAAGAGGAGCTGGCCTGTGCACATTACACTTTGGTTTTACTGCTCCTTTCTTGGAAACCCTACTCACTCTCTGCCCACTATCCCCGAGGCTGACTGGTGAGACATTTCCTCTCTTATCCTCTCCTCTCCAAACCCTCAGTCTTCCCTTATGAGCCTGCTTTCTTTCTTTAATTTTCCACTGCTACTTTCATTACACTCTCTGAGCCAGAATACTAGGGTATAGAGAATATATGTGGAGTGAGACAGGGAGGGAAGGTTTCTAGGGAGTGAGCACAAGGAGACCCTGACACCAGTCCTTTCTGGGAACTGCAGGGAGATGCATTCCGTGCCTCAGTCTCTGAGGTGGGCCCAGAAGAGAATTTTGAAATGGGCTACAATAGCTTCAGGTGTCTGTCTTCTCTTGAGATTCGTTCCCTCCCAGCCCTTCGTGTCTTTCCCAGGTTTTTCCAAAGAAATCCTAACTCTAACTCATCATTAAGGCTTAACTGTTCTATGTCCCATTCCTCTATGGCCTTACTAAGTGGCTAGAGGTAATGGAAATAATTATTTATGAGATATGAGAGAGTGACAGTGATTTACTGTGTTATTACTCAGATAATGCATTTACTTTCTAAGAAGGGCCTTTTGTGTCCTTGCTCAAAGAAATGAAAATTCTTAGATTATAGGTCTTATGGTGGATCCTATAAGGTTAGGAAAGCTTTTGGAAACCCTTTAAACAATAATAATAGGCTATATTTAATTGGTTATACTAAATATCAAGCACTTTTCTAAAAGCTTTACACATTTTAGCTCATTTGATGTTCATAGTAATCCCAGAGGAAAGTACTAATACCTTTACAAATGAAAATACTGAGCCCTGAGGAGGGTGAGTAATTTACCCTCAGTCACACAGCTAGTAAGTAAATGAACTGGGGTTTGAACCCAAGTAGTCTGGCTCCAGAATCCCTGCTCTTTATTCATCCAGATAGCTGTCAAACACAGCATCAAGGCTGAAGTTAGTCTGGGAGTCAGAAGGCCCGAGTTCTAGAGCTGGCTCTGCCTCTAAGGAGCTATGCAACTTTGAACAAGCCACTTAAACTCTCTCAGTTGAACTGAATTTGTGGTTGATATCCTTGTTTTTTTGGAAGCAGAGCGATTTCTTTAAATGAAATCCTAATTAAAAGCCTGATATACACAACAGATAAAAGGGAGATATTGAGCCTAGGCTGCTGTTATAGCGACCCACATGTTGTTCAAAATTGAACCCTTCACCCCTTACTAAAGATAGCGCTCTGTTGAACCAGTTGAACTCCTTTTGACTCAATGATCTCTACTGTTTCTTTCAGCTACAGGACCCTATGTAACCAATTGTGTAGACACACCTAGCAGCTTCATGTCTCAAAATGTGCTCTTTTCTCTACCATGCACTCAGGTGGAAACAGCCTAGTGTTACAGAGAGAAAAGAGGCAACACTTGAGCAACCAAGGACATCGATTTCATCATTTTACTTGATTTCCTTTAGGGCTCAACCAAATAAAAGATACTAATTAAAGCCTCACCCTACACTATATATTTCCCTCTGAGAAGCAGAGATGAGAAATGCAGCTTCTAAGCACTTAGCACAGTGACTACCATCTTCGAAGCATTTGATTAATGATCATCCATGCTAATTTGAATACTATAGCAACAGTATAACTAAGACCCAAAACATTTATAACAACATTGCCCTGGGTAGAACTTTTTGAGATTAATTTCATTAGATACTTGAAAATAAATTCAATTAACCTTGTTTTTCTTCTTCAATAAAATTAGATATGAGGTCCCTCAATGTTAAATTCCCCCCTCTTCTAACAAGTATATCTAGATATAGATCTGGATATACTTACTTTCTTCCCACTTCCAGATATTCTCTTATGAACCTCACTTCTCTTTTTCTGCATAGTGGAACACATTCATCTTTAAACCATTTGTTTTTCAGTATTACTGTCCTACGTTTGTTACATATCCCCCACTAAGAAAGCAGATGTATCACAGATGGTGTCCTTGTTAAAGGGAAAACTTCTAGAGAGACAGCGCAAGACTCCTGGGTCTTTGGTTTGCTTTATAAAGCGCATGTGTATACATGGGACATGGGTGAATATGTCTGTGCGATAGAGCTTATGACACCCTAAAAGCTAGAGGAATCATGCTATACTCATTTTCTGAGAAATTCACCAAGTATTGAAAAGTGAACTGGTCTTGGGCAGAAGTCTACATTTTGTACAGTTAGGCTAAAATGTCTAACCATGTTAGGCTCTCCTTTTGCAGCAGCCCATTAACAAAACTGAGGTGTAGGTGAAGAGGGTTAATAACAAAAAGCTCTGTAGTCTCTGGAGAGCTCAGAAGAAAGATTTTCAGGAATGACTGGGAGGCTGCTCAGGTGTGCTTTGGAGTTTTCCAGTCTTTGAGATGTGTTACTTGCATTCTTTGCTCCTCGAGGGCATTTGCATCCCCACTGTGGTTAAGTATAGTAATAAGCAGAAATTAGAAGCTGAATGCAAACCGAGTGAGTGAAAGAATAAGGGATGCAGTGAACAATAAGAAGAATTGATGGAGAAACTGCAGTCTAGTGATATGAACACATGGCAGGAAGCAAAAAGAATTTCTAAATGTGAACAGATCAAAACCCTGTTCAACTTCCTTGTGCCCCAAAAGGAGGTGGTCAGAAGTTTTCTTCAAAGGCTCTTCGTTCTTGGAAGGAAAGTGTTTTTTCACTCTTTATCAGCCTCTGACTTCATAGCTGTGTTACCAAAAGGGCTGGGAGCAAGGATGTGGGTTTAGACCCTGCGGCCAAAGGCTGCTCTGCTCTTTGCCAGTTGCTCTGTTCCTGCCAACCACAGCTACCCTTCTCTCTTCTAGCCTGGCCGCTCACCTCTCAGCCTGGCCATTCTCCAGCTAGGGCCATTGCAGACATCTGAATTAATCAAAAACTGTCTTCCCTTCATATCACCTCAGAAACTTAATATAAGAACGTAAGAAGTGTTGCACCCACTAAGACTAGTAGTTCATTCAATTTAATATTCTCTCCAATGGTGACACCAAGGGACCTTTACCGGGATGGAAAAAGAGGCATTGTGAATAGCAAGCATGCCAAAAGTTTGGATGCCATTATCTCTAATTTCAGTCCCTAATTATAGTTAACTATTTACGGAAACATGTAGTGTATGCTGTATCTATCAATGTGGTAAGTCTGTAAACCTTAATTTTTTTTTTTTTGAGACAGAGTTTCACTCTTGTCGCCCAGGCTGCAGTGCAGTAGTGCGATCTTGGCCCGCTGCAACCTCCGCCTCCTGGGTTCAAGTGATTCTCCTGCCTCAGCCTCCGGAGTAGCTGGGAGTACAAGTGTGCACCACCACGCCCGGCTAATTTTTGTATTTTTAGTAGAGACAGGGTTTCCCCATGTTGGCCAACATATTCTTGATCTCCTGACCTTGCGATCCACCCCCCTCAGCCTCCTAAAGTGCTGGGATTACAGGCGTGAGCCATTGCGACCAGCCAAAACTTAATTTTTATAAACTAAAACCTCTTCTGGGACATCATTGCCTTTTTTTTATTTGTACTATTTTTTTTGGTCATTTAAATCAATTTAATAAGTATTTCTATGTCTACTGTGTATCTATAATTCAAAGCCTTCACATTCTTGGAAGCTGAAGGTCTGGGGAGGAGAGGAAGTGGGAGGGACTGGGACACTAAGATTAAAATGATGTGTCTTTCATTCAAGAAGGTAACCATCCAGTGGGGGAGCTAGAATCACCCACAGCTCACTGTAATATAAGTAGAGCAGTGAGAAGTAATCACCGAGGCATAAATGAGGTGTTTATGGATGTACAAAAGAGGGAATCAGTAATTCTGAATCAGGCATAAGGAAACAACTCTTAGGGTAGGTGTCATTTGAGCTGGGCTTTAATGAATGAGCAGAATTTTCTTCATTGAAATTAACATTTAAGCAAAGTAAACACTAGAAACAGAATTGTGAATGTGCATAATGTGTTTGGGGAGAGGATTCAAAAAAGGCTGGTATCAGTGTTGCCAGAAAAAAATTGGAATGGTAGATTGGGATTGGTTTACTGAGAGCTTTGAACAAGTTAAAGCTTTTGGGCTTTGTACAGTGGGCAGTGGGGAAGTAGTAAAGGACACTCTAAGTCTCTGCTCTTGAAATAGATAGTCTAGGACACTCTACTATCTCCACTATTCAAATGAGAAAAATGAGATTAGAAGGAGTAAGAAACTCACTCTAAAGAAAGTATGAAAGTGATATTTGAGCTGAAGTTTCACTCTAGCGTCCAAATACTACACCTAGTCTTAGTCTTTCTTTAAAAAAATTTTAGAATTATTTTAATTGACAAGTAAAAATTATAGTAATAACATGATGTTTTGATATATGTCTTAATCTCAATTTAATTATTTATAAAATAGGAATAATAACAACACTCCCTAGCTAACTAAAAATTTGATCAAATAAAACTACAGATGGTAAAATGCCTTAGAAAGTACAAAATACTTTTATAAGTGTTCACTATTAATATTATTTTACATTTATCACTATTCAACTAATATAACTCCTAAATATAGTTCTGGAAAGGAAATTAGTGTTATTTGATGTTAATATTGTCTATAAATGATTGCATTCCTACTGGGCTTTATATATACGTATTATCTCATTTCCTTGCTATCTTGTGAAATAGGTGTTGTTATCTCCAATTTATAGATGAGTAAACAGAGGCTGAAAGAGATTAAAACCTACTCAGTCACACAGCTGGTAAGTCAAGAACCATACTTCAAATTTATGTCTTTAAATCCCCAAATCCCTTCCATAAGGCTACTCATTGCCTTCCTTATTGATGATGCTATAAACCTTGGAGTTTACAGTGGCACACTGAAATGACGTCTTCAGGGAACAATTAATGATGCCAGAAATTTCAGCATTTCCAACAAAGATGTGAGTGTCTGGTTTTTTGTGCTTTAAAAGAGATGTAACTCTTTCTAATCCTGTTAAGAATTAGGTTGAATAGTTAAGTAGTAATTAGGCTTGACTTACCTAAAAAAAAAATACCCATTCTATCCTACTCTCTGAGACAAAATAATGTCTTTAAGAATAATTTTACTGTTGATTTAAAAAAACTTCCCTGTTTAAGTAATGGTATTGGTTCCTTATAATTATTTTAAACTTTAAAATCTTCCCTAAACATTTACTGAATCATTTGTATCTATTTTGTTTTTGTTTTTGAGAAGGAGTCTCCCTCTGTCACCCAGGCTGAAGTGCAGTGGCGCGGCTCACTGCAAGCTCCGCCTCGTGGGTTCATGCCATTCTCCTGCCTCAGCCTCCCGAGTAGCTGGGACTACAGGCGCCCGCCACCATGCCCGGCTAATTTTTTTGTATTTTTATTTATTTATTTATTTATTTATTTATTTATTTATTTATTGAGACGGAGTCTCGCTCTGTCGCGCAGGCTGGAGTGCAGTGGCGAGATCTCGGCTCACTGCAAGCTCCGCCTCCCAGGTTCACGCCATTCTCCTGCCTCAGCCTCCGGAGTAGGTGGGACTACAGGCGCCCGCCACCGCGCCCAGCCTTTTTTTGTGTTTTTAGTAGAGACGGGGTTTCACCATGTTAGCCAGGATGGTCTCGATCTCCTGACCTCGTGATCCGCCCGCCTTGGCCTCCAAAAGTGCTGGGATTGCAGGCATGAGCCACTGCGCCTGGCCTGTTTCTATGTTTTGAAGTATATTTCTTGGCTGGGCGTGGTAGCTCATGCGTGTAATCCCAGCACTTTGGGAAGCCGAGGAGGACAGATCAATTGAGGTTGGGAGTTCGAGTCCAGACTGGCAAACATGATAAAACCCTGTCTCTACTAAAAATACAAAAATTAGCTGAGCTTGGTGGTGCATGCCTGTAATCCCAGCTACTTGGGAGGCTGAGGCAGGAGAATAGCTTGAACCTGGGAGGTGAAAGATGCAGTGAGCAGAGATTGCACTACTGCACTCCAGCCTGGGTGACAGAGGGAGACTGTCTCCCAAAAAATAAAAATAAAATAAGTAAATAAATAAAGTATACGTCTCTTCTCTTGGTTATGAAACTTAAAAATATATACATAACAGGTTAGATAATATTGTACAAAAATTTGGTGATTGTTATTCATGATAGATTTATTCTTCTGAAATATGTGTATATTTTACACATAGCAAAAAATGATCAGAATAGATAATAAGCAGAGTTTGATCAAATTCATATTGTTGGCAGACTTTCATATTCGATGAAGTCAATCCAATAATCCAATTATAATTGTTATTAATGACCACCAGATATTCTGATTTAATTATTGGAAAGTAATTGCTGTAGCTCTTTTTAAAAAAACATTTTTGCTGTTTTATGAGTAGTTTTCCAAAAATGTTGTAAACTGATAAAGTGAACATAGAAATCATGAAATTCTAGCTTTGAGATTAGGGTCAACAACAATGCATTTAGTGACACATAAAGCAGAATATAAGCCACATCTGAAGAGGTTGAAAGCAGAACACTAAGCTCAGCAGCTATATTCAGACAAATCTTTGTCTTTTACACCAATTCCAATATTGTAGCCATAGTATGACTGTTTTGAGACATAGAATCATAAAATCCTGAGTTGGAAGAAGACTTAAAGAAGATATTTGTATTCCATCCATCTACAGCAAACTCCCTAGTGGTTTTCTGGTATGTGCTTGAATATTTGAAGTGACAGGGAACTCATTATTGCTTAAGGTCAGCCCTGCCACCTTAGGGCACATTGGTTTAGCACCTTTCTAGATTAAGTCAGACTCTTTCTCTCTGTAGCTTCTTAGTCCGCCCTTCAGGGCATATGAAATAAATCTCTATTTAATGTGACACTCCTTCATGCATTTGAGAGAATCTCACCATGGTTCTTAGATGCAGTCAGGTTTGAAGGGAAATTTACAAAGACAAATATTTGAAAGAATATTAATCAAAACCATAACAATGATTAAGTTTGAGTGGTGAAGTATAGGGAATTTTTCTTTGGTCCTCGTGCTTTCCTGTATTGCTTAAATTTTATACATGAATATATATTCTAATTACAATGAAAGAAAATGTAGAGCGATTTACACTTTGGGAAAGCTATTTAAGTCCTAAATGCAATCAGTGAAAACTGAGACTTCGCTCTGAAGAATGAGAGAATCTGAAATCTGAAATCTGCAAGTGATAAACCTCAATGTCCCCACAACCTAGACCCACATGATAGAAGCTCATTAAAAATGTGAATATGACTAAATAAATCAACAAATCATTCATTTAATTGGTGGTCAAAATCTACTTGGAGACACAGTCATCACTTGGGAAGTAACAGCTCCACTAAGAACCAAGTTGTTACTGCTGTGAATCCAAGTACTAAGAGGAAAAGAATCACTTCCATCCTAATTCAAATTGATTTAATGCCCCTTTTAATTGTGTATTTCTCAAATACATCACAGTCCGGAAATTCTCTGGTAGTTCTGTTTGTGACTTTACAGCTAGAGATGAACTGAGGTACTCAGAAATAAATTACTGTTTTGCTTGAATCTCGATACATCTATGAAAATTTTGCACAGGGAACGACGATGGTGCTTATTATGATGACGGTGGATAAGTACCATATTTAAAATCTGGCGTGTGGCTGGGCACGGTGGCTCACGCCTGTAATCCCAGCACTTCAGGAGGCCGAGGAGGGCGGATCACGAGGTCAGGAGATCGAGACCATCGTGGCTAACACGGTGAAACCCCTTCTCTACCAAAAAACAAAAAATTAGCCGGGCGTGGTGGCGGGCGCCTGTAGTCCCAGCTACTCGGGTTGAATTCATTCAAATAAATGTCAATTGACCCCAGAGATGCCTGAGAACTGTTGACTATTGTCACACTTACATTGAAATATTCAAAAGACAATGTACAAAATAAGACTAAAGATAAACATCAAGATGTACAAATTTTTCCACTTTATATATCTATGGATAAGTTGCATTCTGAATTCATTTAGTGATAATAATAGAATTAGAGTTTGGAGACGCTGAGATTTTGTTTCCTTGAACAAAATGTTTTGCACAGTTCTAATCAGTCTGATCAGTTCTGTGGAAATCAGAGAGCAGTCAGTTGAAGAGAAAACTGGTGAATGAATAAAATATCAAATGCATCAAATAGATTTCACCTGTTAGCAGAAAGGGATGGAAAACTCAGAAACAGGGGGCAAGAATTTTTCTTTCTGAAAGACAAAATGTGCTCCACTCAAACTGCATTGTATTTTACCAGAAGAAGCTAAAGCAAATTTCAAAATTAAGCAGGGAGAGATGATAATCAGAATAGTTTCACTGATGACAAATGGTCTGCCCTAGGTCCTGAATTTTCTACAGTCTCTTAGGAGTTCCTCTGTAACTAGGAAGCACAAGTATCTTCTGCTTTTCAGTAAGCATTCTCCCAAATTACAAGTCCGAGAGGACGGGTAAAAGGAAAAATAAAAAAAGAGACAAAAGCCAATAGGGCCAAAAGAGATGTATTCTTAGTAACCCAAATTGTGATAAACTCTTGGCTTTAGCAAAAACCACAGGCCTGTGTGGAAGTAGAAGTGCAGTTTTTCTGTACAACCATCTGCTGCCAGGAAACCAATAGTTTCTCCACTGCAGAAGTGGTCCTGGATCAAACAAGGAAGGATCTAAATGTTTGCAGTCATGTGCACACACCTAGATTGGACATATGGACCTTCACATTTTTTGCTGAGAATCTTGTTTGCTTAATCTAATCAGCACTCTTAGAAAAGCTGCCTCACCACTGCTCCCCAAAATTATTTCTGGTGGTTTGAAAATGTCCAGACATTGATAATAGAGTCAAAGCCTTTCTTCCATGGGGTTTTAAACAAACCCTCGAAGATAAACTTGAAGCTTCTGAAACTAATCACAGTAGTAATTATTTGCTCATGGATAACACATGATTATATTCTAAACCCAAGTCAGGTGTGAACCCCAGCTTTATTTCTCATTAACTGTTGTGTATTTGGTCAAGTGACTTTTCTTCCACAAACCCCAGTTTCCTTATCTGGAAAGTGCTGATAACACCTACCTGCTGTCATTGACATGAGAATTTGATAACATACGAAAAGTGTAGGTGCTCATAAAATGGTATCTGCCACTATGGTCATTATCACCAGTTCAAATTTCTTTAAAACGTTGTTAGTGTTCATGTGTCCCTGAAAGCATTCTCTTTCCATTTCTGGGAGTTTGGTTACTTAACATCCTTTACTATTAAGAAGCTCATTTTAAAGCAGATGTGGTCAAAATGAGTGAATAATTCAAGAAGGATGAAGACATGGGATCTAGACAAAGGACTATCAATATAAATAAAAGAGGCAAAAGGATGAATAGCAGAGAAAACCAGAAAAATGTTAGACTCCCAAAGTGGGTAAAGATTATCAGATAGGTTTGGGCACTTGGAAGACTATTAAGATTTAGCCACTGTTCCAAAGCAAACTTAAGCAAATTCAAAACTTGATGAGTTCGTAACTCTAGAAAAAAAGAGAAATGTATTCAAGAAAAGAAACATAATTACAGTACTACTGATTCCTCAGTGAAGGATATTTTCATTATCATGAAAATGCAAACATTGAATGTTGATTTAATGAAAGTCAGTTATAACTATAATGGGAGAATGGGTGAGGAGAGAGCTAAATCCAGCAAAATAGAAAATCAGCATATAATGTCTATAAAGTTGATTGAGTGTGAGATAACAATATATTATTTAAAATTATGGTGTCATATGCTAGAAAAAACATTGAAAAAATAAGCTGAAAGGAGTAGCCACTGGAAAGCAGGTGGTCTAGGGGTAGGGTTAGAATGGGGACTGTGGGTTTCATGCATGATAAGCCTTTCAGCACTATTTGACTTTTTAAAGAGATGCACATAGTATTTTAATAAAAATTTATGAAAAAACTTAAGAAAAGAAATACACATTTGAGGTATAACAGATATCTCTCTTGCTCCTTCACACACACACAAATAAGCACAAGTGTATAAAAATCTATGTAACTTACTCTTTGTTACAAGAGTTCCTTAGCCACAAATAAATGAATATCCATCATTTAACAATTAAAGGCATAGGATTTAGCAGTTAGGATGAAGAGTAAAGCAAAAGGAGGCAGAAAATCTTAACAAATGGAAGACATGGTACCTGTATTCAAGGATTTTGCAATTTGGTTGAGAAAAGAAATCCATCTCATTCAGGAGAAAGAGTGGGAACCTGAAATTTCTTTTTGGAGAAAAAAAGAATCTATACTTTTGAGTCTTGCTATTTTTGTCTCCTAGAGTTTTCCTGTGAGCTGTTTTCCAGGACTCAGAAGAGAAAAGCTTATCTGTGTTTAGCTGACAAGACCACCTTCATGACATTTCCAGAGAGAAAGGAGAATCATGGCTTTTCAGTGAGAAGATACCACATAGAAATATCATCCCCTTATTTTACAGATGAGGTACTAAGCCTAAAAGAAGCTGTGTATTTTTCCCAAGTTCACACATCCTGTCTGTGACAAGAACCAGCTTTCTAACGTCACTTGTGTGTTCTGGTGAATGTGCGATTGCCCAATACTAAACTGGGAAGTCTGTAGTAAACATGAGATGAGAACAATCATAATTAATTTTCTAATATTGTTCAATTAATGAAATGAATATAACAAAGTAACACTAACCACTTGTATAGCACTTTCAAGTGTCTTTACTGGGTGCAAAGCCTCATACCTGTAATCCCAGCACTTTGGGAGGCTAAGACAGGAGGAATGCTTGAGGCCAGGAGTTTAAGACCAGCCTGGGCAACACAGTGAGACCTGTTTCTAAAAACAATAAAAAATAAAAAAAATAAGCCTAGTGAGGTGTCGCATGCCTGTAGTCCCAGCCACTGGGGAGGCTGAGGTGGGAGGATCACTTAAGCCAGGAGGCTGAGGCTGCAACGAGTTATGATCACACCATGGCACTCTAGCCTTCGGGACAGAGTAAGACCCTATCTCTTAAAAAAAAAGTCTGTATTTTCATTATCTCATTTAATTGTAACAATCTTATGCTGATAAGAAAATTCAAGTTGATTCAGAGACATTTAATGGATTGTCAAGGGCAAATAACCAGTAAATAACAAATCAAATAATTCGACCAAGGTGTTCTGGCTCCTTGTCCAATGTAGAACATTTTCTCTTTCATTATGACACACAAAACTTTAGAGAGCATTTTTGTAAAATGACTGTATTTAAAATATACTTTAAAATATTTTAAATTACATATGGCCAAAATAAATGAATTAGTTCAGCTTTGGATTATTAATAGTCTGAATGAATAGTCACAGGGATATTCAAAACGGTCATGGTGTGAGAAAATCTCGGACAGGGATAAGAGTCATGCATATCTAATTAGAGCTGCCCAACATTTAAGGCAGTGATTACACTTCATGATATGCCAATATTATTTCTCCAAAATATTTCAAGTAAAAACCCGTTTTGTCCCGTTAATTCTTAAAATAAAAGGGTTGGGCAAAAAATTTAAATGGTCAAGAAATGTTGAAACTAACAAAGGACAATTGCTTTTCCTCTAAAAACAGCTCCTCCTGGATCTCCTAAGAAGAAGACTCCAACTCACAGACCACTGCTGACTCATTAAAATCAACTTGTAATGTCATGCACATACTGTGTATCTGTCCAATTCATGCACATACATCCAGAATGTAGGATGCTTTGGTATCAAAGAGCTGTTTATGATTGACAAATACTTCAATGCTCTAAGATTCCATTTTCATCTTCTTTAATAAGGAAAGACAAATGCAAAAATACATGTCATTAATTGCTCTGCATTTTTCCCTCCAGAGAAATGCAAACCATAAACATCAGTAAGATTCTACTAATAGCTTTAAAAGTTGGCTTAAACCATTATTAATTATACATTTGTAAGACGGTCTGTGACTGCATGCCTTGCTTTCTTATTCAAAGGTTCAATCAATAAGGTCATCCCTGCCACTTGCACTCTGAATGGCAATGCACAAATTTAGTGCCTATAGAAGTATAAATAGATATGTGTCTACATATATATCCTAGTATCATGAAGTTACATTTTAACCATGTAGCTTGCTTGTGTATAGGAGATTACATTTTTCCAGGGAGGTGGGTAGATGACATTTTTATTGATTTTTTAAATAGCTACATTATAAATCTCTCTTGTTGGGCCAGCACAAGGCAAAACTAAAACAACATCTTTATTGTAAGGCAAATGCATCTTTGGATAACTTGTAATATTTTTTTTAAATGGGTCTTTCACTTTTCAACCTGTTTTGGGGTGAGTAACCTATATTGCTCCTCTCAGATCAAATTGTGTTATTTCTTATCATCACATGATTGCAACTTTTAGAGAAAAATGATTGCAGTTCCTTATAATAATTCTACCTCCAGTTACATTGATTTACTGTTATGGACATATCGTTAGATAGATGTCAAGGAATTTTGGCATTCACTGGGAAGTAATTACATTGACTTAGTTCCAGTTTTAGGTTTGAGTTTCCTAACCAAACGTGGAAAGCTTTGCAGTTCCTTAAATCATAGAGGCTCTCACAGAAGGATTTCTTAACCTATGGGCATAAATGCCGAAGAGGTCTATAGATAGACTTCGGCAGGTCTGTACAATTTCTGACACTGTGCAAAAATCCTCTGCACCTTTTGTGGGAGTACCACATACCTATCATCAATTTCTCAGAAGGGTCGTTGATCCTAAAATAATTAAGAACCAATGTTCTTTCTAATTAAATATCACTTAAAACAGCCTCAATTGTGGATTTCAGAATTATTTTCTCTCAATGTTCTTTGCAAAATCAGATTCAAACAACCTTGTATGTTATATTCAAAGCCTTCTTTTTAAAAATTGCATAAGAATATTATGCATAAACACTGATTATCCATAGTCTTTTGTAACTTGGCCTCAGAAACTTATGGTTAACAGATTAGGTCCCTCATTCTAATTGTATTTTTTTATCAGACTTTGATTTTCAGTGTGGTAGGTAAACCCATCTTCCCATTTTATACAAACAATAGGTTTCAGTAGTGTCAGTTATAGAGATCATGACTTGAACTCTGTTATCAAAATGTATGATAATAACTCTAGACCTGAGGAATTGAAGACTGGCATGAACTCAGAAAGTCACAGGCTCATCAAGAGACATTGCCCAATATTTGTTCTTTGATAAAAATCATCTTTCAGATAAAATGAAGCTTCTGCAGCTTTGTTATACAGACTAAATATGCAAACATCTAATTTAAGGAAATAGTTTGATAAATTAGTTTTCTCCTTCGGAGAGAATTGTCTGGAAATGTGTACTTAAAGATGTAGAATTATAACAGATTTTTTAAAGGTCTTTGGAGACAAAGACTCACTTTAGGTATCACTTTGAGAGACATACAAACCCTAATTCCTTTTATCAAAAAGAGAATAGAGATTGGAGGCATCAATAGAAAGATGATACTTTCTAAGAAATTGTGCCTAATCATCTGTGAATAGGTTTATGTGATTATGGAAGCTGATCAGGGCCTGTGGTGATCCAGGCATTGTTGTAGTGGCAGCACCACATTTTTGTGCAGTCAGACACAAACTGGCATTCTAGTACCTGCTGCTTCAGGAAATGCCAGAACAGTGCCTATGTGGACCAAGGCCCCACAGATGGCCTCACCCCTCAAACCCTTGGGTACATAGCACCTGTTTAGTGGCCCTGGCCCTTGCTTTTAAGGAGTGGTTCCAACTGAGGGCAATTATGTCCCCCATAGTACATTTGGCAATGTCTGTGAATATTTTTGATTGTCACATCAGAGAGGTATTGCTGGCATCTCATGAGTAGAAGTCAGGGACATTGGGAAATAACCTACAATGCATAGGACAGCCCTCACAACAAAGAATTACCTGTCCCATGTGTCAATAGTGCCAAGGTTGAGAAACCCTGCCCTAAAGCCATGCCACTTTGATGACCCTGAGAGGTTATATAGAAAGGATCTATGTAGAGCCACACTACCCACAGGACCACTAAAGTTTAGTCCATTTGACAGATTTGGAAACTGTAATGCTTTGGACAGAGTGAAGTGAAAAAATATCCTACAATGTCCTTCCTTTACAGGTTAACACCTATTCCTTTCCCCAAAATGAGGATTAAATGCCACCTTCTACAGGAATACCTCCCATGTTAGCATCACGTTTCCATGTATTCTCATGATACCATGTGCTTACTCTAATTGCAGCTCTGATTATTTCCTGTTCCCCTACCAGGTTATAAATTCACTGAGAGCTTGCTGTTTTTATTAATTCTTGGGTCTTAGTACCTACCAGAGCTTGGCACTTAATAGGTATGCAATAAATATATGTTGAAGGAAAGAGCAAGCCTGCAGAAGTGACTTAAATTCTCCATGACAAACATCCATCCAGAATGGATTTACTCAAGGCTAGTACTAGCAAGCACACTGGCCCCAAGGACATTTGGCCCCATGCCCTCTGAGGACATGAAACTGGGGAATGTCTCACCCCATGGCCTGTAGGTTTACCAGCATGATGGTGGAAATTTCGGGTGAGCCATAGCCATAGTAGTCATAATGACTTTTAAATTTTATTTATGTATTTATTTTAATAATCACAATTGTACATATTCGCAGGGCACAGAGCGATGTTTCGATACATATAATGTATACTGGTCAGATGAGGGTAATTAGCACATCATCATCTCAAACATTTATCATTTCTTTGTGTTGGGAACATTCAATAGCCTCCTTCTAGCTATTTGTAACTGTATATTAGCATTAACTGTAGTCATCCTACAGGAGTATAGAACACTGGAACTTATTTCTGTTATCTCTCTTATCTAGCTATGATTTTTGTATACTTTAACAAAACTCTGCCTATCCTGAAATACTAAAGAATCAAGATTGTAGAGACAATAAGATCTGGTCCTAGGCCTAGAACCCCCACATGGGAGGAACCAGGGACAGAATTCTCCTTGGATATCTTTTCTCACGAAGAAAGAGGGATACTTTTAATGAGCTTGACTTTGCAGTCTACATTTGACAGAGCTTCTCCCTTCATTGAAGAAGGAAGACCAATAGTGACCTCAATAAGTACATGAACAAATAGCTGGGGATCCCAGTATTCATAACCACCAATACTCAGCTCACACCAAAACTCAGGCACAAGTCAATTAAAGGGTTGTACTATGAGCAAGGACAATTCTTATTTTGGCTGCCTGTAAATTACACCAAAATCCACAAGAAAGGGAAATAACTAAGCTTACAATAATTTATAAATGCACTCTGTGTTAAGAACAATAATCTTGAGATAATAAAACAAAGAAACATCATGTTGAAAATCGGAAAAGAGCAACTCTCATATTTATATTAAATCAACAATAATTTGTTATGCACATGATTATGGAATATAAAACAAAATGATCTAATTTTTCCAGATAGCATGGGGCTGTTGCATTACATTGTGCTATTATTTGACAAAGCACATCAAATGGGATTTCAGCAAAATACTTAACATAGTTATAGGTAAAGTATTCCTGACGTGAGTTGACATCAGGAAGAAAACACAGCGACATTTCAGAATATTCAACTTTATTTTCCATTGACAAACACGACATAAATAACACACATTTATTAAATACACAGACTAGCCATGACTTGAATGCCAGCAAAAGTCTAACGTACTTTTCATACGCTCTTTTATTTTTTGTCTCCACAGTATTGAAGACCAGCCTTTAAAACATACTAGAAGATATATTTAAATACACTGACGATAACTACCCATAAAACTTTACATAGAGGTGATAAAAGAGACTTTTCCATTTAATCAAGTATATAGAGATGGATGCTGAGGAGGAGAGGTGAAGAACACTATGCTTTTGATACTGATCTTTACAATATGGATTAAAGTGCCAATGATTTCAGCTCCTCCTAGGCACACCATGTAAATAGTACTTACATTCATTTGTTACAAACAGATCAAAATAATCAGTGCCTATTTTAATTGGTTTGCTTAAACAGGCTTACACTATTTGTACAAAAACATTTGATAAGGAGAGCAAGAAGGCAAAGTATTTTTTTCTCTTTCAAGGAAGAGTTGGGAAGGAAGAGAGTTCAGCAGTCAATAATGGCCTGAGTGAACTTATCATTTGCTTTGACAGACAAGACCCCTGGCCACTCAGTAGTACTACTGATGCTCAAGTGTTCAAAGATAAATGCAGTCGGTCCCTTCCTCTCTTTGCTTCCAGGGCCTGGCACAAAATGATGAAGGTTAACAGGTAGAAAATGGACAGGTTTTCCATCATATCTTTTTCTATGTTCTCTGCCCCACCCACATGAGTATCCTTTCAAAAGTAGAACGTTGAAGTGTATTAGTAAATCACACGCATTTCCCTCTGCTTAACATTACAACTTTGATTTCTACAGACATGGAAAACTGTATGAGAAATCTATATTTGAATTACTATTAAAGTTTAATGATTGGCTGTTTTTGCCTAGACGTTTGGCTTACTTTAATTAAAGGATCAAAATATTCTAATTCTAAAGCATTTAACAATAGCATTGAAGAGATGCACAAATGATAATAACTTGAGAAGTGGAATCATCTCCAAAAATGCTCAAAAAAGCATGAAAAGGCTGACTTGTTTCTGATGGTGATCTCTTTCCTTCTTATCTTTACTCCCATAATAAATTCTTCAACAAAGCAGACTTACTACACAACAGATTCTGATCTGTTTCACATATTAGGCTACTGGCACTTTAAAAATATGAAGTTATTATCTCTCCTCTTAAAAACAATCCCAGCCTCATCAACAGGAATTATGTCTGTTACTTTCTTTCTGTGAAAGAATGGATAAGCACAGTAGAGTCAAGGGGACTAGGAGAAAACAGTGTAGTTTCAAATGAAGAAATACATAATCTAGTAGATATCTGGGTTGCTTATTACATGAAACTGATTGATACAAAGCTTCTGAAAATAAGATAATTTTTATTCTCAGTAAAGAAAATGTGTGACATAAATAAATATAATACATATCTGATTGAATTATATTTCTAGAGAATCATAATGCACTCTGCTTATGGTATCATAATGTAATGGTATATGACTAAACTTATATAAATTATAACCCTTAAATAGAATCTTCATTTTAGGAATTATAAAAGGGAATATATCAAATAAAATATTTTCCCTAATTCTTTTATCATCATCACCACCTAGTTAGTTTCCTTACAATACTGAACTGATGTCAGCTTCTTAACAAATATGTATGTGAGTTTAGGTTGGTTATTAAATTTTGTAAATTGGCTCGATCATAACCTATGTCATGAAACATCACAGACATCTGTCACTTTGTCAGCACTTTGTTGCAACTCAGAAAAGTCTTATGGACTAGGCCACAGTTGCACAATTCTGCACATTTTTTAGACCTCAGTTTTAACAGATTTTGAGATATGTAAACATATAAAACAAGCAATAAACAAGCAGCTGTGAAAATTTGTCATTGTTGATGGTTTGTACTTGTTATACAGATAAAAAATAGAAATTTTAATTCTTCAAGTTAGGCTTTTTATGTGTTTGTAATAATAAATACTCTGTAGTCTCCCTGTGTCATTCAGCTCCTAGAATCCTGTGTATTGCAGGAGAAGCTTTTGGGGTTAAATTATGAAAATAAATAGATATTATGCATGTCTAAAATTTCAAAGAACAAAAGTTTTCTATTTTCTTTTTCTGAGTTGATCTCAACCAAAAGAACTATTAGTGATTGCTGATGTGGAGAAGGTTGAAAGCTGACCAATAATTTGGAGTCAAAAAGAACAAAATTATAAAAAGCGTTGAATAAATAAAAAGCCTAATCTACTTGAAAATCCAATATTAGAATACTGCCACAGAGTGACCCCCTTATTAAAATACTGTTTGCCAGTTTTTAGTTTGTCTGTCACTCAATGCCAATGTGCTCACAGGATCTTTCATAGTTAACTTACATGAGGTTTTGCATTATTTTCTGCAACATGGTCGGATATTTCATAAAATAAAGAAATGTAAGTAGAAATATATGTATACCCTATATTTCAGACTAGTTTAAATCTGGCATGATTAAACACTTACATTTACCTAAAATATCTTGGGATATATACAGCACTAGGTTAACTTGGTAAATATTGAGATAACTCATTTTTGTTTCTTCAACTTCAAGATATTTTTAAGACATTCATCATACCTATTTTATTTGAAAAGTAAACTGCTCTCATTAAGTAACATGTGATCATTCTTCTCTGTGACTCAGCATAGTATATAAATTCATTGTTTGGAAAATCAACACTACTTGGTAAAATTGACACTTGCTAATTTTACATATATTTCTACATTTCATTCGCTTACTTCTTCCACCATGGTTTTCTTGGCCTTTAATTGTCTTTTAACCAATACTTCAAAATTCAGGAATTGTCATAATCTATACATGCATTTTTCCTGATTAGACATATGTATGGACAAACTAAGTATACATGAGTGAACTTGAAAGCCAATAAAATTAAACTTAGACACGTCTTTCTGCTGTGACTACATATATCCTCTTTCTAACCACCGCTCTAGTCTCTGTACATCTCTGAAATCTAACCTCAACCATCATGAAAAGGCTGAAATCATTTGGGATTTTCATTTCTTATCAGGTTTCCCCATACTAACGAATGCCTAGATAATAAAACTCATATGCCATTTACATAATTTCTTTGTTTTCCACCTCCCTTTCAAGCTTGTTAAAAAAAACACAAAAGCTGCCATTCATCCCCTCCTAAAATATATCCCCTGGGCAGGAATTTAATTTGCAGTTAAGAATAAGTGTCAGGTTTTTTGCCTTTCTGTATTTTTGCAGTTTGATGAAAAGTGATATTCTTGTGATAGTAATGTCCACTATCATTTGGAAGTATCAGTCTCCTAAATTATTAGTATAAATAAAGCACTGTGTTGTACAGCAGTATGACACTACACCCTTGAAGATAAATTCATATTTCTGTAATTAAATAATCAGAAATAATTCACTTTATCAGCCTGATGGACTGTAATGGCATGAAGCACTTCAATCATATGGTATGTGCCTTGCCAATGTGTACTGTCCTGGCAAACTTCTGCTCATTGATTCACTGAATAAATATGTATTAGACAGTTTCTATATTCCAGGTGCTATACTAGATGCTGGAAGGAATAACCTAATCATGCTCATGCCACTCAAATTCACATTGCCTCTGTGTCTATCTGACTAGAACTTAGGGTCACAGGACCAACCAAGAGGTAAAGCCTCTTTATTATGTGATTTCAGTGCACTTTTGAAAAAAAGTAGGTAGTTTTGTCTTATACCCAATGAGATGACCTACAGGATAATCCAATTCTATGGCATAGAGAGATTTTAGTATAGTCTATTTATCACCTTTTCCAAAATTTAGATTAGTAGAACCATCATTAATTACATAAGCACTCTCAACAGATTTTGTCTCCAAATTCAATTTGACATGGTCATTTAAAATAATTAGCCCCAATTGACATAGGCTGGTGTATATATCAATCTGATAGACATATTGTACCTATCAAAATTAATTCTTTACCACTAAACACACACAGAAATATGCAGTTACTACAAGAAGTATAAATAAATCTCAAGCTTTTAAAAAACTAGAAAAGCAGTGCAAGAAACTGCAAATGAAAATCTTCACAATAAAAAGTTAATGGGTTTACAAAATGAATGCACCAAAGAATATGGCAAGCTTTGTGTAGGCATAACTACAGGATTACTATGTTTGGTGGGGAGACATTTTTAAGAAGTGCAATTCCCAAAACTTAATGTAGTGATCTACTTGTGCACAAATACGTCAAGCTTAGCTATTGAGGTTTGTATTCATGTAGACTGTAGGAAAAACATTTTAGTAATAAATATTTAGATAGAGCCACTTTGAGGAGCAGGCAGAAGAGCTGTGAAGGGTCAATGTTATTAACTTTCTTATATAAATAGGCCAAAATATGGAAAGTATTCATTGAGTCTTCAAAATATTTATTTGTTTTGGAATCAGTATTGGAATTTAAAGAGTCAAAGACTGGGGAACACTTTTGGTGAATAATCAAGGGAAATATATATTCAGAGTACCTATAGTTAGTGCTCAAATCGGTCCTTACATAGCATTCTGAAAAACCACTTCACGACTCTCATAGGTCAGTTTCATGAATCTTCCTTAGGCTCATAGAAATGTAAAATATATTCAAAAGAAAGAATAATTAGCAATTTGGGTAGTCACAAACTCCATATTTCAAACAAATGGAATTGGTTCTTATTCAGATAAAGAGTAAACCTAATTATCAATCCAAGTAAACTTAAACTTTGTTAGGTTAGGAGCTAATTTGCTGTATTGAGCAATATTTGAATAATGGTATCGATGAATATTATAAATACATTATACATTTTTAACTGTAATTAAACTTTTCTTTAATGTAAGGAGGAAAAAAGTGACAGAAAGCGAGAGAGGCAATGAAAGAGAACACAGCAATGTCTTTGAATAAAAACAAACTGCTATCCCTTGTCTTCAATGATGTATGTGGTTAAATTCCTCATGTATTCAGTGTACTGGAATATTAACTATCCCCGCTCCCCAATAGACCAAGATCATTTATAAAAAATGTTTTCATCACATAATTAATCACATATTCAGCTACGAATGGCAGACTCAACAAAAACACTAGACTGTTATTAATATATTTTCCTTTGTTTGTGTTTCACTACTTTTGGCACATAGGGATTTTCTATGCTTCTAAGACCATTTAGCTTTATACCAAAAATTCCACTTCAATGCATAAACAGTGGCATGCCAGAGATGCCTAAATTCACAGTAAGGTTTAGCGATATTTGTTACCAAAAGCTGTGCACATGCAAGTTAAGTGTTTTCTTTCATGCTTCTGTCTGTATTATTTCATTAGATAATGAGATAGGCTGCCCTTTCTGTCCATCATTAGAGCAGCTGGAGACAGCATTTGCTACCTGGCAAAACTTTCGAAGAAGGATCTTTCTTAACAGCAGGTAAACCCAAGGATCCAAGATCTGGTTCAGTGAAGCCAGGCGAACAGCTATTAAGAAGAAGTTGCATTCTTTCTGCTTCTCCGTGTGTGTCTTGCAGTGCTCAACTGATGTCTGATTGAAGATCATTTTCAACATCATTATCTAAGAAAAGGGGACAAATAATTGTTTCAAAGATTAGTAAGGTCATATGCATCTCCTCTACACTGTACTTTGCACATAGTTGGTTTTCAATAAATTGGTTGTTGGATTGAAATGATTAATTCAAGCAACATTTATACTTGGATAACACAGTCCTGAATTATACAAGACATTCCTAGGTATTTTCCCACATTTGTGGCTATTTATCATGATGTAGCTTTTAAAACATGCATGTCTTCAGGCTCTTGATTCTTGGAATTTAAGAAGCTTGAAAATAACACATCTCAAAATGAGCCAAAGTCATGTTTGTTGCAGAAAACACCACAAGTTCACCCAAATGAGAGCCAACACTTCAACAATAACAAAAACATCTTAATCTTAAATTTCCAGTAGTTCTAATTTTAAAAATTACTGCAGAAAAAGTAGACGCAAGAAAGGAGGAAATATTATTATTATTATTATTATTATTGCCACTAGCATTTTCAGAATCCTTACTATTTAGCAGACATGGTGCCGAGTTCTTCATATGCATTTAATAAACAGCATAACACAGGTAGTATTACCACTTCCTTCTGGATGAGCCAGACTAATACCATATGATGTACAATATTATACTTTTCTTTGCCCCCACCCAATATACACTGCAATGTAAACTCCATGATAGCAGGAATTTGGGACTATTTTTTCCCCAAGTGCCTAGATCAATAGGTAGCAGATAGCAGATGTTCAGTAAGTATTTGTGAGAGAACAAATTTTTATATTTGAAGGAATATATTATACAACATAAAAATGACAGTATATGAGTTATATGTATTTGTGCGAGAACAAATTTTTATATTTGAAGGAATATATTATACAACACACAAATGACAGTATGTTATATAATATGTATTTATATTTGAATTAAAAAGATGTTCTTATGCATATTAAAAATGTTCAGGCCAGGTGTGGTGGCTCACGCCTGTAATCCCGGCACTTTGGGAGGCCGAGGCAGGCGGATCACTTGAGGTCAGGAGTTCGAGACCAGCCTGACCAACATAGAGAAACCCTGTCTCTACTAAAAATACAAAATTGGCTGGGTGTGATGGTGCATGCCTGTAATCCCAGCTACTCAGGAGGCTGAGGCAGGAGAATCCCTTGAACCCGGGAGGTGGAGGTTGCAGTGAGCCAGGATCATGCCATTGCACTCCAGCCTGGGCAACAAGAGCAAAACTCTGTCTCAAAAAAAAAAAAAAAAGAAAACAAATTGGAACTATTTCACCTGCTGTTTCCCAGCTATGCAACTCCTAGGAATATACTGTCCAGAATTCCTGCACCAAGAGTACTGTATATGACTGTTTCATAACAGCATTGTTCATAATAGCAAAAAAAGCAGGAACAACTCAAACATGGGTTCACAATCCCAAGCAAAGAAATGAGCTGAGTTTGTAACTGGCTCCTAAGTTTCCCATTCTAGACCTATACAGCTATTGAGTACTTGACATGTAGCCAAAGCACACTGAAATGTTAGAATATGTTGATTCCATAATGGAATAATAATATTTCTATATATTGTGTTAAATAAACATATATTATTCAAATTAATGTCACTTGTTTCTTTTGACTTTTTAAAAATGCAGCTACTAGAAAACTTTAAATTATATGTGGCTTGTGGTTTTTTTTTGCTCACAGTACATTTCTATTGAACCTAATCTCTCTCTCTTGAGGCTTACACTTATCTGTATGTTCTGCCCTCAGGTCACATAACTTAAATTGAATTCAACATCCCTGAGCATCCAAAACATCCCTAACCACTTAACCACAATTCCAGTGATGGCACTTTGATACACTCACCCTGGATCAACATTTCAGAGTCTGTGAACTCTTCTTTTCCTCATCCTCTGCAATGCCTTTTGCTCTTGCTTCACTCTCATTCTTGTTCAGATCTTCCTCTCATTTGAATTATGGTAATAACAGACACCCAGATGGTACATGTACGGACTGAATGTTTGTGCCTCCCTTCAATTTATATGTGGGAGCCCCAACCCTTTATGTGATGGTATTAGGAAGTGAGGCCTTTGGGAGGTAATTAGGTTTAGATGAGGTCATGAGGGTGGAGCTCCTATAATGGGATTATTATCCTTATAAGAAGAGGGAGAAGAACCCACAGGTCTCTCCTTCAGCCATGTGGGGCACAGCAAGAAGACAGCAGTCTACAAGCCAGGAAAAGGGCCTTCACCAGAAACTGAATCTGGGGGCACCTTGATCTTAGAATCTTCAGCTTCCTGAATGGTGAGAAATAAATGTCTGCTGTTTAAGCCATCAAGTTTACACCTTTGTTATGGCAGCCCAAGCAGACTAAGACAGTGTTTACAGATATCTGCCCATCACAGGTGCAGCTTCCAATCCCAGCTGTGATCAAATCCTCTCCAACTAGAAAATCATCAATGTCTTCCCATTGTCCATCGAACAGAAATTTAACTCTGGTATTCAAAGCCCTCTACAGTACTGTCCAAACTATTCTTTCCAGTTTTGTCTCCCACTAATTGCCTATACAGACTCCAAACTCTAGCTATAGTCCATTGGTTTTATTCTTTCCTCCCTCTTGGCCTTTATTCTTTCTTTTTTCTACCCCTGCAACACTTTTAATCCTCATCATTTCTACTTCTGAGACTTCCAAGTCTTTCAGGACTATCTCAGTTGTTCCTGATTATTCCAAACCACTGGCCTCTGAAGGCCTACAATTGTGTGTGTGTGTGTGTGATATAACCACATATTTGTAGTAGATAGACAGATAGACAATACTAGCAGGCATCCACATGTCCCTCAAAAACTTGGACGTATGGGGGAAGAAAATGTGGGTCTCTAAGATTTAAAGTGGACATAACATCAACACGTAGGAACCCAGCTCCAAGGTTACTGAACTTGACTGCAAGCAATTGAACAAAGTATCGACATATCTGAAATCGATTTGCTTTGGGAAAAAGGATACTTAACCATCAGGTTTGAGTATTTTCTATTCTTGTTGGCAAAATTGACTACTATTGTGAGATAAAAGATGTAATTGTCTATATTAGTTTGAAGTAAGTAAATATTTGATTCTTTTAATTCCCCATCTTCTGTGTCTTTTTCCACTAAGCTGATAATGACTGGTCCCAGTGTTGATAAGTCAACAGGAAAAGAGAGCTGAGTCATAGGATTTCTGGTATTGCCAATTCTGCTCATGTATACTCAATTTTATTTCAAAAATACAATTATATAACAAAAAAGCAGGTAGAGCAGGTTAAGCAGACAGACAAGAGAGAGAGGAAATAATACACGAAAATTCTTACAAGACTGTGTGACACTGGTATCCAGCCATTTTCCCTTTTGTCTTATTTAGTCACAGTTTTTATTCTTAAACGAATCCCTGGCAAAGGGGATGGGAATTTCCAGTTTTGGCTTATAAGGCAAACTCATGCTCTGGGGCTTGACTCATATTTTGTTTTTTGAGACAGTGTCTCACTCCGTCACCAAGGCTTGGGTGCAGTGGCACAATCATAGCTCACTGTAGTCCTGAACTCCTGGGCTCAAATGATCCTCCTGCCTCAGCCTCCCGAGATGCTGGGATTACAGGTATATGCCACCACACTCAATTAATATTTTTATTTTTTGTAGTGACGGGGTCTCACTATGTTAACTAGGCTGATCTCAAACTTCTGGCTTCAAGCAATCCTCTTGTGTAATTTCTTTCACAGGAATTTTTCCAAATGATTTATCCAATAAAAGCAAATAGTAGCTATACAATAAATAAATGTTCAGAGGAGCATTATATATGCCAGCAAGAAATTGCAGACACATACATCTCTAACATCAGGTGTAAAGCTTAATAAAACAATAATTCACAAATAGTATATATAAGTATTAAGTGAAAAAACAGAATATAAGATACTTTATATATAAAGTTTTGTTGTTATATTATTTAAAATAGGCAGACTTGTGGAAGGCAATGGAATTACTGCTATTTAACAATAATTTACTTTTAAACAATATAATTTAATTTTAAAATTGTATGTACACAGGCCAGGTGTGGTGGCTCATGCCTGTAATCCCAGCACTTTGGGAGGTCGAGGCAGATGGATCCCCTGAACCCAGCAGTTCGAGACCAGCCTGGGCAACATGGTGAAACCCTGTCTCTATTAAAAACACAAAAATTAGCCGGGCATGATGGTGTGTGCCTGTAATCCTAGCTACTTGGGAGGCTGAAGCAGGAGAATCACTTGAACCTAGGAGGCAGATGTTGCAGTGAGCCAAGATAGCACCACTGCACTCCAGCCTGGATGACAGAGTGAGACTTGGGCTCAAAAAAAAAAAAATTGTATGTATATAAAAACATTTCAAATGATGTTAATGAAAGTCTTTTATTTAAAGAAAGCAGATGGTTATTATTCCCTTCTTTGGTAAATATGGACAATTATACACCGAATTTACTTAAAATAAATATATTTACATCAATATATTCTGATGCTGGCTGGCTTATCATCCTATGAGCTGAATGCTACCCCCCATCATAGAAGGCAGAATAATGCCCCTCCTGCCACACACAAAGATATCCATTTCTCGGTCCCTGGAATCTGTGAATACGTTACCACACAAGACAAAAAGGACTCTGCAGATGTGATTAAGGTAAAGGACCCAGACGTGAGGAGATAATCCTAGATTACCTGCGTGGACCCAATGTAAAAACAAGTGTCCTAAAAAATCAGAGAACTTTTCCCAGCTGTGGCCAGAGGGAGAGATGACTATAGAAGAATGGTCAGAGATACACAGTATCTCTGGCTTTGAAGGTGGAGGAAGGGATCCAGGAGGTAAGGAATGAGGATGACCTCCTCTAAAAACTGAAAAAGGCAAAGAAACACTTTTCTCTCAGAGACTTAAAAAGTAATGCAGCCCTGTAGCACCTTTACTTTAGCCCAGTGAGATCCATCAGACTTCTAACCTACAGAACAGAGAAATGTGTGTTGCTCTTAAGCCACTGATATGGTCTAGCTCTGTGTCCCCGCCCAAATCTCATGTCAAATTCTAATCCTCAGTGTTGGAGAAGGGGCTTGGTGGGAGGTGACTGGATCATGGGGGCAGACTTCCCCCTTGCTGTTCTTATAATAGTGAGTGACTTCTCATGAGATATGCTTGTTTAAAAGTGTGTAACACTTTCCTCTCTGCTCTCTTTCCTGCTCCACCATGTGAAGATGTGTCTGCTTCCCCTTCACCTTCCACCATGATCACAAGTTTCTTGAGGCCTCCCCAGCCATGCTTCCTGTACAGCCAGCAGAACCTGTGCTTTTGAGACAGTCTTGCTCTGTTCCCCAGGCTGGAATGCAGTGGTGCAATCTTGGCTCACTGCAACCTTCACTTCCTGTGTTCAAGCCATTCTTGTGCCTCAGACTCCCAAGTAGCTGGGATCACAGGCACGTGCCACCAGGCCTGGCTAATTTATGTATTTTTAGTAGAGATGGGGTTTCACCATATTGGCCAGGCTGGTCTCAAACTCCTGGGCTCAGGGAATCCACCCGTCTCGACCTTCCAAAGTGCTGGGATTACAGGCGTGAGTCACCACCACCTGGCCCCAGGTAGTTCTTTACAGCAAGTCTCAGGTGGACTAATACAGCCACCAAGATTACAATAATTTGCTACAGCAGCAGTAGAAAACAAATATGCCCACACACTGAGCTCTCAACCAATGTTAAGAGGAATAGAAGGAATGAGCTTGAAAACGATTTTTTCATTCTCATAGATAAAATAGCCTAGGAAGCTTCTTTAAATTTTTTTACTTTCCTAGGAAACTTAAAAATAAATGAATAAAGTAAAAGTAAACTTCATTCTAACTCCTGTCCCAATTATCTCAATTTCTAAATTTACAACATGCAAAACCGAATGCCTGTTATTCTAGTGGCATCAGTCAATGTGTTTGACTAAAAGTTATAAAATTAATATTTTCAACTCAGTTGGCTTTATGAAAAAAAGCTTATTAATCCCTTTCCCCTCTTTTTATAAACTATTAGAAAAGTTTTGCTTATCTTTTTCAGTCCTTTACCCCACCCAATAGTTAAATATATTTGACCACTTACTATCCTCCAGAAAGTGTTCTGGGCCTCGTCTAGAATTATCTAAAAACTCACTTAAATTATGTTTTTATTTTCTCTATAAAATAAAGAATTGGATTTCTCTAACTTTTTGTGATCAGGAAAATTCACAAAATTACTTATTAAAATGATACGTCAGTCATTTTACACAGTCCTCCTTGATTATTTGAAAATTAATTTTTGTGAGGCTAATAATTTAAAATTATTGTTATGAGGCAAATATAGGTTTCATATGCCTTACATTGTTTAGTACACTGTAATTTCCTATTGAGAATGCAATGATTCTGAAATTATAAAATCAGCCAGTAGCTGGCACATGAGGAGAGACATTAGCTTTCCCCAGAAATCATGAGATGTGCAATATAGAGATAATTGGAATTAGAAGCAGTGAGCATGCTACTGCCATTTCCAAATGGCAGCAGAGATGAAACTGGGGCTCCAAATTCTTCATCCAATTTTGAACATAAATTCAAATTAGCATCCATCTGTTGAGTCTTTATATTTAAGCCATAATTATAATTTCTGTGTATGTGTTTGCAAATATCTTTCAGACTGTTTAGACTTTGAGAGAAAACCTTAGGCATGAATATGGTAGAATTAATTATTCCTATTAGTCCAATTCTGTGTCATACAAGGGAGAGGGACCAAAGAAAAAGCAGGATGCTCAGCTAACAGAGAGGCTGTTTACTGGTTTTAGCAAACACACATATACCCTGCACTATTTCTCCTTTCAAACAGCCTCATATAACAAATGATCTGGTCAAGGGAGTCGTGAGACCAATTCTAGCTGAACGGAGCTGCAGCTGTTCTGTCAGCCCCTTCCCTGGGTTCCACGTGACTCTCCCAGGCCCTCTAGCAGAGCTCTCCCTTGGTTATCAGCAGTAATAGAGAGCTTCTTTATGCACTTGAGATAACTGGGAACACAACTACATCAGTGACCTCTAAATTCGCCATCCCTGTCTACTGTCAAGTACAATTACCTTGTTCCATCCTAAAGGAAAAAAATGATTTACCCTTTCCCCAGTGATAACGTTCTTTTAAGTGTTCAAAGCATTAATCAGGGAGGCTGTCTTTAATATTCTATCCTTGGATTTTATTCTATTGCAGCAGGATTTATAATCACACACTTAAAAATCTTTAGTACTTCACTTCTTAATTTAAAAATGCCTTGGGTTGTAGGCCACACATATCTATTAAAGATGATAAATGAGGAAACCCAGAAAAATTAATTTATGGGGGAGGAAATAAATTGGTTAGCTGCCCTTAGGCTCAATTCTGGGGTGTTTCTGCATTTCCAGTTTATTCCTAATGCAAGTGTTTAAGAGAAGTTTCCTCACAAGCCAATTTTTATCTGCGATGTTTTGTTTTCCGTAATTCTCTGTTGTTAGGTTATGGGAGAATAACCTGCTCTACTGGAAATTCCCCCCTATAATTTGATAAGTGTATTTCATCATAATACACTAAAACCAGTCTGGGCCCTTTAAACTAGTTAATTATGTAATTTGAAGGATTTGCATGGGAAGAAGCTTCACTGTGGATTAAGAAACAATTGTAGTCTCTCCAATCTGGTTACAACAGTTCTCCAGTTGTCAAATCATCTCTGGATCCTAGACTACTGTTTCAAAAGCTTTCCCTGCCTTATTTAAACTGAAAACATTACAAATAAACAGCTCATAAACATTAAAAAAATTAGTAGAATTTGTGCCATTTCGTCATTACTACTACGTAATTTTATAAGATTTTTTAAAACAACAATGGATTAAGAATCAAGTAAATTATATTGCTAGTTTTGCCATCATTTACAACTTTAGAAAAGTCATTTATCTCTGAACTTTATTAAATTTATTAGTAAGCAGTGGGGCTGGACTGGATGGCCTCTGCATACACCTCTACAGTTTTTTTTTGATGATTTTTGGGGCAAAGCTGGAAAATGAAAGGATTTCATTTGGCAAATAATTAAAACCTACAGGAAATAGGTGTGAAACAAAAGTCAAAATTCCTCTTCAAAAAAAAACTCCAAGGGGCAAATGGAGGAAAGAGAAAAATTACAAAGTTAGAAGACAGTGTATGAGAACAAGGGACTAGATTCATGAAGCTTTGGTGTATGTTAGCAGAGTGTGTGTGTGTGTGTGTGTGTGTGTGTGTGTGTGTAGTGGGGTGGGGGTATTTTTATTAAAAGAAATAGCAGATTCTGGCAAACATACTGACCAAGAGTTAAAGAACTTCCATAAGTCTGACTCAATTCTGCTTCTAGTTTGGAGACTAGTTACCTAATTTTGGTTCTTAACTTCTTCCTTCTCTAAAACATGATTCACACACACTTACTGTGTATCGTCTCCAACTAGCAGAGCAGTTGCAAAAATTAAAATGTGATAAGAATAATTAATACCTTCAATTTATATAGCATACCTCTTCCCATGCCTCAGGCACTCACACTATTGCAGATGCTTCCAAAAAAAAATGTCTTGACATTCACAAACAGAACAAAAAAATGCTTAGGGGAATACGACAAAGAAATAAATGAATTGTGTCTATATTGCTTGAATTTCTTGCTAATAAAGTAGTTTTAGAAAACTCACCTCAAATTTGCACTTTAAAAATGTTTAGTAATGCAGAATCATTATTCAGTTACTGGATATGGAAAATCAAAATTATAAAGAAGCCAGCAGCCCGCTACCACATTATTTGCTACATAAAAATTTCCCTTTCAAGTAGTATAAATTGTAAATTCTGTATGACTTGGCTCAGAATAGCTCAAGACGTATGTCTAGATAAATGTTTATCTTTCTATTAGAACAGTCACACAATGTCAATATCTAAGTAAGTATTCAAATTCTGGCTGAAAGGGGGAAGGCAAAATCTATTCTATCAAAGGATTCATTTCTTGGATTATGGATGATGGATTAGCTGGGTGACACACAAGTTAGAAGAGTTATCTTTACTATATTTCAAACACCTATATTTCAGATGTCAAAAGAAAGTCTAGATAATATGTCATTGTCAAGGCTTAAAGTACATTAATCCTTAAAAATGCTTAGATTTCAGAGTTTTTTCCTCCCAAAATATAGTTTCATTTAAACCCCAAATGTTCAATTTTACTCTCATCCATTCAGAAAATCGGAGTGTTCGTGACAATTAAAAACAACTAAACACTTAAAGGAAAAAAATCAGAGATGTGAATTAATTGTGTGTGCAGAGATAGTCACCTCAATATAAAAATAGAAAGTTAGAAAAACCTAGATGACTGACAATAGAGCACTGCTTAAACTATGGACCATCCTTCATATGCATAATTTATATCTATTCTAATGCTGACATTTAAAATCATGCTGTTGAATATTAGTAACATGAAGAATATTTAGTAACATGAAGAAATGTTCAGAATGTGAAAAGTGAAAATAAATGTTGCACAGTATAATCCAAATTTTAAAAAATAACTGTGCTTATTTATAGTAAAATATGCTAGAAGTAGTTTTCTCTGGGTGAGAATTATGGCAATATCTATTTTCTTCTCTGTATGTTTTCCCCAAATTCTTTACAATACACATGCTATTTTTTACACTTTAAAAAGCATTACATTTAGAGTAGCTGGTGACTTAGCTATAAACAATCATCTATCCATGTATTGGTAAAGTGTTAGTGTTGCAATCCTAGAACTATAATGTGGTCATTTTAGGATGAATTCTTAAGAGGTCAATGTGTGCATAATTTAACAAGAGGTAAGCAGTCTGACACTCTGTATGTTCAAAACATTTAGCTTGATCAACAAATTAATTATGGCTTACTAAATTTAGTGATAAATTAAGTGGCCTCAGTGATGGACTTGATGGACAATACAGACATGACATACAAAAGAATCCCTTCCTGTGACATAGTGGGTACACAATGCAGGGTGATGAATATGGTTCTAATCTGATATGATACATTCTTATTAAACTTTGCAGTATGTCAAAATGACACTGCCTTTTAAATCTATTAAGACTTCATCTCACAGGAGAATCCAAAATAGATGCATCTTATATTCAGGATGGACACTGGGTGAATATGAGCAGATTGAGGTGTCCTTAAATGTATGCTCACCAATCCTAATTCATTCTCTAGTCAGTGCTCTCTCTCTCTCTTACACACACACACAAACACACATATACACAGGCACACACACACACATACACACACAAATGAACAGAATCTGTTTAGGGGGCTTCCCACCTTCTTGCCACCAACTTCAGCATCTGCAGCCATCCATTCTTTCCTTCCTCTTATTTGACTGGAAGAGGTGTCCTGTCTATCTAAGGCACACCCTCTGTCTAGCCCCTGGATCTTATCCATCCTGAATTTCAGAGACCATATACTCTCAATTGTTCCTGTCCTCTTTTATAGTTAACTTCTCCCACTTTTGGCAGTTTCCCAGTCACATTTTAACATGTCCAAATTTTTGCCACCTTGAGAAAATAAAACCTGTGTGGAATTCTCACCTACCTACATATAGACTGCTCCAGAAGTTACAGCCAAATTTCCCAAAAGAGGTGTCTACCCTCCTTACCTTTAAACTTATTCCAAAACCTGCTGCAGCCTGACCTCTGTGTTCACAAATCCTCAGACAAGGCTGTTCCCAAGGCCACCAACAAGGTTGCAGAATCAACGCCACAGTCTTACTTGTCTGTAACATCAGACCTAATTGAATGTAGCTGTCTCTTGAAACATTCTCTTCCCTAATATTCGAGTCACCATTTGTTCTGATTTTATTACTAATTTTCCTGCTACCTTTCTGGGTATTCCTCTGCAGTCCCCTTTATATGCTCCTGTTTCTCGCTGTCTCAAAATATGTTAGCATTTCTGAATTGTATCTTAGAGAGCCTCCTCTTCTTACTGTGAATAAACTGACTATGTGTGGTCTTTCATCTCAATGGCTTCAAACCCCATTTATGTGCTATAGGCCATACCTTTTCTCTGAGCTCCAAATGGATTAGTTTAGCTGCTATTGCACGGCTTTGTTTGAATGTCTTACATCAAATTCAACATTTTCAAAATGAAAATTCTTATCTTTTTCCTCAAAGGTGTTTCTACATTAATCTTCCCTATCACAGTAAATCCCCATCTCTAAAACAGAAACCTGGGAGTTACCCTTGATTCATTTCTCTGTGTGTCTTTCTCTACGTCTCTCTGTCTCTCTCCACATTCCACCACATTCACCATATTCCTCACATCCAATCAATCACGGAGTCTCCAACTAACCTCTTATGGTTTTTTTTTTAATCTATCACTTCTCTCATTTACACCCCCAATTGACCATAAACTGAGGTCTCCATCGTCTCTTGTCTGAACTATCACAATCATCAATGACATGATTTGTTGGCCTCCATCTGGCCTGGCCCATGCTGCTGCTTAAAAAAGATGCTTGTAAAATGAAATTTTAATCTTGTTATTCCACTTTGCAAAGTCCTTCATTTATACACATTGCCCTGAGTATAAAGTCCAAACACTTAAATTCAAAGCTCCTCTTTACTTGGTGAGTACCTGTTGTGTTCTCTAGCCTAAGTTCTCACCATTTTTTACCCTCATGCATCAGTATTCCAATTATCTTGAACTTCTTGCAGGTCTTTAAAAGTGACAGTTCTTTCTTGCTTTTGAGGCATTACAAATGTGGATCTTTAAGTCTTAAAACTCTCATCCTCTTTTTCTTTACTTGAAAAATTCTGACTTATTTCGTGCGTGGTCTTGAAACATCAATTTATTTGATATTTCTCTTGACAAAAGCAAGCCTTAATACAATCTTCATATGGATTCCCATAATTCTCTACTTCTCTACATTTTATCTTGCTGCTTGTTTTTAATTGTTGGTCTCTCTCAATAATCGAAAATTGTTACAAGAGTAGGGATCAATTCTATCCTATATTCTAGGTATATCACAGCAAGGGCCAAGCCCAGTAGATTAATAAAGTTTTTGAATTAACAAATAAGTGAATGAGAGCAAGGGTATAGTGCATCCTGCCCATTTGGGGGTACAGATTCTAGAGTTTTCATGTAATGGACAAATCTACCGACATTCTATCCTTTTCTTTCTTTTTTTTTTTTTTTTTTTTTGCCTCAGCCTCTCGAGTAGCTGGGATTACAGGTGCCCGCCACCGTGCATAGCTAATTTTTGTATTTTTAGTAGAGATGGGGTTTCACCGTGTTGACCAGGCTGGTCTTGAACTACTGATCTCAGGTGATCCACCTGCCTCAACCTCCCAGTGTGCTGGGATTCCAGTCATGAGCCACCGTGCCCGGCTGAAAAAAATACTTGATTCTTTTATTTATTTATTTATTTATTTATTTATTTATTTATTTATTTATTTTTATTATACTTTAAGTTTTAGGGTGCATATGCACAACGTGCAGGTTTGTTACGTGTATACATGTGCCATGTTGGTGTGCTGCACCCATTAACTCGTCATTTAACATTAGGCATATCTCCTAATGCTATCCCTCCCCCCTCCCCCACCCCACAATGAGAACACATGGCCACAGGAAGGGGAACATCATTCAATCCTTTTCAAGATTCCAGGCCCTTCCTTCCTTCCTTCC
Source organism: Homo sapiens (assembly GCF_000001405.40). Taxonomy (NCBI): domain Eukaryota; kingdom Metazoa; phylum Chordata; class Mammalia; order Primates; family Hominidae; genus Homo; species Homo sapiens. The sequence continues at coordinate 71,025,150 of NC_000001.11, forward strand.
TTCCTTCCTTCCTTCTTTCCTTCCTTTTTTTCCTTCCTTCCTTCCTTCTTATTATAATTAGCCAGGATAACAGCTTCAAACTAGGTGCTAATGGACTATAAGCACATCTTCTTATCATTCATGATTTTAAGTGGAACGTTCTGGTGTTCAGATGACAGCCAGTAGTAACCCTGAGGCTGGTAAGTTGGGGTTATAGAATGAAAGGAGAACCAAGTATTTAAAATAAAATATATTGAATCTATAAGAGGATATTCTATTAACTGTATATCTAATAACATTTATTTAAAATATAGCCCAAGGAAAAAAAGAAGATATTATGCATATCAACACAGTCTTTAATGAGGATATCATCAAATTTCTAATACTTAGTGTCAAAAGTCCTTTTATTACTGTAAGTGTTATATATGATTCTAGCACTCCTTGCTTATAGAAGTTTTGCCCAAAAATATAACACCATATCTTATGCTTAACAACTGAAGACGAATAATAACAAAACAGCAACTAATGCTTATATAATACTTACTATAAGAGACTATGCTTGCCTGTGAGGTGAGTGAGTTGCAGGAATGTCTTCAATGCTGCTACTGGGTAGCCCCAAGAGGAGAGAAAGTCACCAGAAATATTTGGTTGCAACTTTTTCCCTTCACAAGAGCCAAGCAGTAAAATTGTGGGTTAAACCCAGTTAACATGGCTCTCTTTGGAAAGGTTGAGGCATTGAAGGCCAAACTTCCTGTCATGATTAGGAAATCACAGACTGTTCTTAATGTTAAAGCGAAAGCAATGCTATTGTGTGATACTTTCAGCTCCTCAAGTTGTGAATCTGGCATTGTGTGATTACTCCCCCCTTGCTTATACTGTAATAAATATTTAAAATACCCCCCAGAATCTGAGATAACACATCAGTAACAGTTTAATTTAGCACTTGCAAAATTCCCTCCCCAGGTTAGGCTTGTACTCAGTATTGGCATCAGGAACTTCCTAACATTATATTCATTCATTTTCCTTTTCCCAACACAAAACACACCCCTGGCTAAATTTACCAGCTTTCTTTACAGCTAACTCTTGTCCTGTTGACTGTAAATAGGAACTGAGTAATACTCACAGTCCCTGACCTATATAAGTGCTATGTAAGTACTACTTGCTGTTTTGTTATTATTTGAATGTTATGTATTACAAACGGAAGCAACACATAGGTGGCAGCTGAAAACCAGCAAGTGCCATGCGATATTTATATTACTCATTGTAAACTTTAGTTTCCGAAACTTCTGAAAAAAATGTTTCTTTTGTTTTTCAGGAAATCGGACTTTAAAAACTCACTTAAATAATGGTTAGTACTTACAATTTTATACCAGGTTTGAAGGAAGTTTGAATAAGACACAACTTGTATGCAATGCAGGAAAATGGAAAATTATAATGTGTTCATCTTCCGTGTTTACCCCCTTAGGCTGCTTTTGTCTCTTCTATTGATTTATTTGGATTAATACTATATTATTACTAATATTATATTATTTAGATTAATACTATATTATTATTTACTTTGCTGTGGGACTTTGGTCATGGACATGGCTGTTGGACATGGCTTCAAAAATATGTTACTATTATAATGTTTCTAAGAATAAATTAGATAGACGGTAAAAATGGACCCCCATCTTTTATTATTAATATCCCAATTTTGGATAACTTTTTCTCTGTATTCTGGGTTGGTCCAACAGCAAAGTAAATAATAAGAACAAGAAGGAAGCAAACATGAGGAAGAAACCTGTTCCTACCATGACTCAAATGCCTAACTCCTATGAGGATCACAGGCTCCCAGGCTCCTGTAAAAAGATAAACAGATCCCAACACCATTGACTCCCTCTCTCCTTAACGTGTGAACCCAGTGAGAGCAATTCTTACTGTACTACTTACCTTCTAGGGAGGACCTTAAACAAGTAATAATAAAACAGTTCCTACAACTATCATAGGGAAAATGCTTTTGGTGAATTCATCTAAAATCCTATATTTGATGTAAGTTTCTTTTGTTATTTTTTTTAAGAGACGGGGTTTCTCTGTCACCGAGGCTGGAGTGCAGTAATGCCATCATAATTTACTCACTGTAGCCTCAAATTCCTGGGTTCAAGGGTTCCTCCCTAGTAGCTAGTACTACAGGCATGTGCCACCATGCCGGGTTAATTTTTTTCTTTTTAAATTTTTGTAGAGACAGGCATCTCCCTACATTGCTCAGGCTAGTCTTGAACTCCTAGCCTCAAGTGATTCTCCTGCTTTGGCCTCTCAAAGCACTGAAATTAAAAACAAAAGATTTTATGCAACCTCACCAAGGCGAAGTAGATATTTTCAGGAATGGTTTTGCAGGAATTGGCAAATAGATCTATTGAGACTTGGAACTATCCGGTTCCCCAACCCATTTAACCAGAACAGGTCTGTTTTCATCTATTTCTCTAAAGAGATGTATTGACATAGTCCCCCCGGTTAAAACAATTGGAAAATCATCAGTCTAATGCAGTACTATCCAAGAGAAATGTAATTCAAGCCACAAATCTGCAGCACATGTATGCTTTTGCATTTTCTAGTAGCCAGATTTTTTTTAAAAAAGTAAAAAGAAACATTTTGAATTTTAATTCACCCAATATATCTGAAATGTTACATCAGCATGTAGTGAACATAAAAATTATTAATGCAATATTTTACTTTTTACCTTTTTGTATTTAATCTTAAAACTCTGCTGTGTAGTTTACATTTAAAGTATCTCAATTTGGATTAATCACATTTCAAGAGGCAAATAACCATATGTGGCTAGTGGCTACTATGCTACTATGCTGTATAGATGAAAGTTTAGTGCTTTATTCTTTTTGAGGGTTTTCCACCTTTATTCTGTCAATTAAACTGTGTAGGTATCATCACTGCAGTGTCCACTATTGGTCACCTACCCAGGGTCCATTCATCCATCTCCCCTGCTCATGGACATAGTTATTTTCACTGGATCCTATGTGCTTCAGGGCTGACCCCATCCCTAGCTACAGGAATGTGCCGGGGTTAGGGATGATCATGTGACCCCATACTAGCTAATGAGATCCAACAGTTTCCTCGTTTTTAAGAGAAAGTCATAGAAAAACACAGCTTCTCTCTCCTGCTAGAAGTTAACCAGGAAGCACGTACTACAGCTACCACTTGCGGGGAACAAGCCGTAGGATGAAGCCAAGACTGTACTGCGAAAGAGAGATGCGGCAAACTTTGGTCCTAGATGACGATGCTGAGCTTTCGGATTAACCAACTCTGAAGGCTGCCCTAATTTTGGATTTCAGTTATGTTTTTTATTCCCAAACCACTACATTACATCATCTCTAATAATGACTGAGGGCAACATAAATATAGTGACACTCTGGAGCAACTTTTGAAGCATTATGTTTTTTCCTTTGTTTTTTATTTTTTACTATGTTTCCCTATTGTCGCCGAAATTCCTCATGTTTAATTGTTATCCCCAGGGCACCTTTCCAAACATCCCTTTCATTTTTTCCGTCTTTAAACACCAGGCATTAGAGCAACTGTTTTCTTGTGCTCCTTCCCATTGCTTCCAATTAACTTCTCTCTTCCATTATAAAAACAATGTTGTCTCTCTTACAGTTGTCTACCCTAAAGGTATGTTTAAATCTTCTCTAGAATTTTTATTACTAACAACAAAGTGGAGACAATAAAAGTAAAGAATAAAGAAAAATATGCACTATTATCTTAAATACTAACAACTTTTACTGTATTAATAATACCCATGATTCATTAGATTCAAGTTGGATTAGTGGCTTTAGAATGAAAAAGATTTGAGTTTGATTCACTCAACACTATTTATCATCTGTGGCCTTAAAGCAAGTTGCTTACTCAACAAGTGAAAAAGTAAAATAAAATAAAACAAAAAACAGGAACTGATGTCACCTACATTTCAAGATTTATGTGAAGATTAAAAAACCATCTAATGTATGCAAAACTCTTAAAGCTAGGATTTATACCTTGATCTTCTTATTCCTATTCTAGTGTCCTTTTCACTTAATTACACTTCCCTTCTTCATTCATTTCACAATCATTTATTGCGTGATTTCTTTGGGCCAGGAAGATTTATTGAAAAACAAGGCAAGATCTCTGCTTTTAAGCAGTTTATAATTTAAACTGAATCAGACAAATAGAGGGAGACCATAAAGCTTAGTGGTTAATTACATAGGCAATAAAATCAGACAAATCTGGATTTGACCCCAAGAAAGTTACTTTACATCTCAAAACCAGTTTCCTCTTCTGAAAACGAAGATGACAGTATCCCCTCAAGTTGTCATCAATAGAACAAAATGAAATTATATCTGTGAAATGCAATGTGCATAAATTATAAAATAAGCATTTGTCTATTGTGGCCAATCATCCTCATTGCCATAATTATAACTGTGCATAATTAAGTATAAAGGTATGCACAGGCACTATGGAGTAAAGAGGAGGGGCACTTAAATCAGTTTCTATGGCCGGGCGTGATGGCTCACACCTGTAATCCCAGTACTTTGGCAGGCCTAGGCAGGAGGATCACTTGAGGTCAGGAATTCGAGACTAGCCTGGCCAACATGGTGAAACCCCATCTGTACTAAACATACAAAAATTAGCTGGGTGTGTTGGTGCACACCTGTAATCCCAGTTGCTCCGGAGGCTGAGGCAGGAGAATCACTTGAACCTGGGAGGTGGAGGTTGCACTGAGCCGAGATCACGCTACTGCACTCCAGCCTGGGTGACAGAGTGAGACTCCATCTCAAATAATAATAATAATAATAATAATAATAATAATAACAAAATAAGTAAATAAATAAATAAGTTTCTAGGTTCAGAGAAACCCCTGTCTGCCAAAACAGCAGATGCTTTGTAGGTATTTGAGACAAAGTCCACATTTCTGAGTGTGAAATTGTGTGAATCATTATAAGAGCTGCAAACTGATTTTTATCACTGAAGGTAAGGATGCTGGGGTAGGGATGGAAAAAAATGGTACAGTGGTAAATGTGGCCAAATCCAAGATCTTGAGGATTAAACTAAGGAATCTGAAGCCTTTTAATCTGGGTGAGAGGCTACTATAGTAACATGCCTGAATTCCATGTTAGAGAGTCACCGTGGTCACACTGAGGTTCTCTAAGGCTCTTTCTCTTTTCCCTAATTATAAGAAAAAAGATGAAAGCAGGTTTGCAAGAATCCCAATTGCACTGTATCATACTGGAGGCTTTAGAACTGTCAAAACAAAGTTTCTAATTTTGACTGTAGTCAAACACTTTCCCACCAAGCAAAAAGAATTCAATATACAGTTTTATTTGTTTTATAAATAGTTTAGTGAAAAGAATAATATATGTGACTTGTACTAGCTGAAAAATGTTTGCCTAGTAAAACTTTATCACTGGATGTGAATGTTCTAAGCCTAAAAGACACACAGAAGTAAATAAAATTGATGCCACACCTTTACAAAAAACACTTCCTAAATTGCCGGTATCGTGGTGAATGGAATCATTTAACAAGTTACTGTCAGACAAGTGAAAACTCCTGTCACCTTCTACGGGATTTTTCAGAATATGCTCCCTAGATACTCAAGCTCCTACAAAGGTCAATCAGTTGATGAATCAATAGCTATTCTACAGGAAATCTCCATCACCATAATTATCTGACCCAGACAATTTCAGTGATTTTTTTTTTACTATTCTCAATCAATTTGTTCTTTTTTGTACAATATTTTCAACGAAGTGATTTGAAAATATTTTTATAAACTAATAAGAGAGAAAAACGTGACACATAGCATTATAGTGTACAAAAGCCTAAGATCTACTAATTACTAGGAATATGATTAGAGAAAGTTATAAAATCTTTTCTGTCTTATTATTTGCAACTGAAACATGGGAATGAAAGGTAACAAACTCAAAAATTGTTGTGAAGATTAAATTAGGTAATATATGGAAAGGGTAATTGTCAAGTATGTACCTGCACATAACAGGCATTCAGTAAATAGAAGTCCTTTTATTTTTTGTGGCTCTCTTCAGTTTGCGCTCCACCAGTCTCACTGCTACCCCAATTTCCCAACAGATAGGTGGCAGGAAAACACACACACACACACACACACACACACACACACACACAAACGTGCACACACGCACATGTGCACAAGGCTTCAAAAGTATGTTACTATTATAATGTTTCTACGAATAAATTGGATAGATGGTAAAAATGAACCCCCACCTTTTATTATTAATATCCCAATTCTGGATAACCGTTTCTCTGTATTCTGGGTGGGAGAGAAATCCCAGCACATATGTCATAAACCAAGTGCTGGAGGTGCCTGAGCCTTCATCCTTTGTTATAGCATAGGGGTAAATAACCCAAGCTACAGCAGTCAGGCTGGCAACAGAAGTTTGAATTTTACAAGCATAACACAAAGAAGAAGGGGGTTTTTAGACATTGGATTCATCACAGAGGCATGCAGCAAACATTTTTCCAGCAGGACTTTGGCTGTGCAGCCTGAAGTTCATCATCAAGAACATCCTGGGTCTTGCCTGTTTTCCAAACCTGACCTGCCAGATTTCTCTGGACTCTGTGAGCTCCTGAAATCCTTCTACATATGCTCTTTGCACTTGGAGTCACAGTTGGTTGTTTGCAACCCAGAACCATGTCTAAGGAGGAGGGTAGAATTCTGAAGTCAGAAGATATTCCATGCTTCCTGATATTGATCTGTAGCAAAATTTAATTAGAAATAGATGCTAGAGAAAAGAATTTTAAAATGTTCCCTAATGTCTTTTATAGAGCAAAAGCTAATATTAAGAAATTTGCTTTTGGATCCAGGCAAATCCCTAGTCTATTCTTGGAGAAAATTACTACCATTAAATAAATTCAAAAGTCTGCCACCCAGCATGTTGGCCGTTAGCACAGCTACTGATTTATAAAGAAAAAGCTGGTTGCCAGAATAACATAAAACCCAGACTACAACTCATCCTTTATGGAAAAATCAAGAAAGAACTTCTTTTTTCTTCTCTAGTCATCTCACTATGGTGTTAATGGAGTATTCGTGAGATTTTCGTCTTATAAGGCCACCTCTCATTATACTCTTACTTCTGGAAAATTCTCTGAGCCTGAATCTGGAAAATTCTCTGAGCCTGAATCTTTCCTCATAGCCTAGAAAACTCATACTAGTCTTTGAAAATGCAACTTTGTCATCTATGACTGTTTCTTGTGTTTATAAAACAAAACAATAGAAAAAATCTATGATGTCTAAACAGTGCTTCAAGATGATGTATTCAGTAAAATATTGTATTATTATAAAAGCAAAATTAAAACCTCACATGTAGACCACAAATATAAACTTATTAACTTGAAGCTTTGAAAAAAGAACACAAGACCTAGCCAAAGAGCTGCAAAGCTATGGCTTAGGCTGGTTCCTTAGGAGCAGAGCCTGAAGTGGGGATTCTGATACATAGCAAGAAGCTGAAGTTAGAGTCTCAGAAAGAGACAGTGCTGGCTTCCATCTTCTATAAGGCCACCTCCACTCTTCACACTCCTGCAATTTATGTGAATCAAGCAACTCCCCCTACCTTTTTATATTTATTTATTTGCTTAAGCTAGTTTGCATTAGTTTTCGATCATTTGCAGCCAAACAATCCTGATTTTAAAAGTAGGGAGTATTAATTTGAGAACTGCTCTCCTTTTAGGAGAAAAAGAGGCCAACAGTAACCAGAACCCGTTTAGAAAGAACAATGACAACAAAAAGTTTCTTCTGAGACCTAGCCTGGAAATCAGCATGCTCCAGATCTTCTGGGGATCACGAATCTTATGACATTCTATTATTTTATAAGCAAATTTTGGTAACTTCTGTGTCTCTGTGTGACTGTTCTGATTCATGTCTCAGAAAAAAGGAAATAACATCTATTAGATCAAATTTACCTCCTAATTCTCTCTTCCTAGTTGTGTAAGCTTAGAGCAGTCACTTCCTTCTTGGGGAGCCAAATGGAAAGCCATATGTAGATAGCTGGCCACCTCAAAACCAAAGGCCTGGAGAGGAAGAGAGAGGTCCTATTTCTTGTCAGAGTCATAGGACAGGGATTAGAGAAATTTCAAAATGTCTGGCAAACTGTCTCCAAAACACTATGTCAATATGGGTACTTCACTCCAATCCCAGTTGTCACCGCCTCTTACCTGGATGACTTCAACAGCCTTCTACCTGGTGTCCCTGTTCCCACACATACCTTTCTGCAATCCAGCTCCACATAGCTGCCAGAAGGATGCTTCAGGCTTTATTCTGGCACACTGCTTCATTTTCTTAATGGTATTTATCACAATCACTAGACTTCTAGTTTATTTATTGCCTCTCTCCTTCCACTAGAATGCTAATTCCCTGAGAGCATGAAACTAGCCTAATTCACTGCCATATTTCCAGCACCTAGAACTGTGCCTGACACATTGTATGGACTCAATAAACAAATACTGATTGCATGCATGGATAAATGAATTCTGAATGGTTCTCAGCTTTGTTTCTTTTTTTGAAAATTAAAGATGGAAAATGCTGCTGCTTTTTTTTTTGAGTCAATTTCAAGTTTCTCCAGGAAATCGTCTTAAAGACAACACATTCCTTGAGGACAAGGGTCACGTCATTGTAGCACTACCTTACACACAATCAGTATTCAATAAGTGTCTGCTAAATAAATTATAAATCATGGCTCCTCCTTCTGCCGTGGTCAAGGTAATTTTTTGTTATTTTTCTGCTTAAAAACTTAGTAGAACTCCTCATTACCTAATAATATAATGCTGCATTAGTAATACTACTCTGTATAGTTATTGGTATAGTATTTTTATCTTTAAAAATTAAAAAAACCTTTAAAAATAAAAGATGTCTTTAAGTAAATTTAGTATTGTTATGATGTGTCTGTATCTGGATTCTTTATCTGGCCAGCATTTTGATAGGATTTCTTTGTAATTTGGTGGAGGTAATATTAGTTTTATCTTATTTTATTTTGAGTGAGAAGAATCTTATTTTAAAACTCATTTATGTGAGTTATATTAATAACTACAAAACAATGATTTATACTAGCAGGGAAAAACTGTTAAAGTTTTTAAACCTAATATTTTAATCTAACATTTTTATCGCTAAATTTTCTTTTAATGTGTTCCTTTTGTCATTTATTGATTTTCCTGGATTTGACATAACAGGTATTTTATAAGATGATATATATGCTACCTTTTGTTCACATAAATTGAAATAGCTAAGTCCCTTTATGTTTGCCATATTTACCAAAGTACCTGGCACAAAATGCACCAGAATCTAGGGCAGTCATTTTATGTAAATGCACATGAGTTTACATTGCTAATATAATTGTTGATCCACTTATAACTTGTGCAATAAAGTATGTATGCAGTGACTGAGTTGTCAGTAAAAAATGTAACCTCTTTGTGATAAAACATAATAGTAAAATAAAAATAAATGTAGTATTGCTCTAACTAATCCAAGAGCTAGTATTAGCACCGAAGGGTGGAAGCAAAAGGGAGGACAGATTCTGACTCAGTCAATATAAGGGAAATGAATTTTTCTAATACAAAGAACAGCTCAAGATGAATTGGGGTATTCTAAGGCATCATGGCATGGAGGAAACATGGACAAATGAATTCTAAATGGTTCTCAGCTTTGTTTCTTTATTGAAAATTTATTGGCCTTTCAATCCCAGCCTGTCTACTTAATAGCTTTGCTACCTTGAACAAATCACTCAACTCCTCTCAGCTTTAGTTTTCTCATCATAATAACTTTGGCGACAAAAATGCCTATCTCATAGGGTTATTGCAAGAAATTTTAAAAAAAGTATGTGTGAGAAAGAGCCTGGCACAATCTTGGCTCTAAGAAAATTCCTAGAGTTCTTGAAAGGTAAAAAATTTCCTATTATTAAGGGTGTTCAACAAAGTGTAAACAAAGCTGGAACAATTTCACTAAGAATATTCTAGAAAGATATCAAATATTAGATGAGTTGTTTTCCTAAACGAGGTTTGTGAATTCAGGTTTTATAATGCACACTCTCTTATTTTACAAATATAGAACAGTATAGAAAATCAATACAAATTGCCCAAAATGAAATACAAATTCTCATTCCTAATCTTAAGCAATCTACTTATGTGTTTCTCCCTTTCCCTTCAGTCTCTATTTGACTATATCTATAGTTTTTGACATTCTCAAATGTACTTCTACAAAAACAGATCTGCTTACCATTCCCAGCACATCTGGTTCAATATTTTCCGTGGTGCATCTGCACAGATCCACTGCTGCTTCCCCTCTCTCACCGATTCTAGGCCAAGCTACTTCCCACTCCTCTTTTAAAGCAACATTTAAGGAAGAAGGCTTTTCTTTATATTAATGTCTCTACATCTCCATCTGTCCTCAGTACTCGAGGGCTCTGATGCTCTACCCATCTAATCCATTAGGCAACCTTAAGTGGTCTTAAAACATGAAGCAGATCAAATCATTCCCCTACAGCTTTCAGTTGTTTTTCATTGTACTTGTGGTAGAAATCTAAACTCCCAAACAAAAATGACAAGGTTGTGAATTATCTGGCCCTGCCTCCCTCCCTAGCTGGCCTTGCAGGCAATCTCTTTTTTACTCACTCTAATCCATCCATCTGGCCTTCTTTCAGTTCCTCCAATGCTTCCAGTGTATTCCTGCACTGACACCTTCACATACTGCTCTTTCTTCCTTGAGGTCTTATCTTGTAAGACTCGTCATAAATGACCTTTTTCCCAGAGATGCCCTCCCTAATCCCAATGCATCAGTAGGAGATCTTCCTTGACACTCTCTCAAATTACCTTTCTCTTGCCTTCATAAAGTGCTCGTTTTTGATGTATAAAAAGGTATGCCAGCATCCATCTGCACTTCTCTGGTCAAGTGGGCAGAACAAATTACATTGGAGCAGAAGTTTCAGAAGAATTACTTATTCTGGTAAATTTGGAATCATTAGCTTTACACAGGGGAAATTGTGTGGTATACCAAAGGAAAACCCACACAACACTCTGTGGTCACTTGGGAAGAGGTAGATGGTGCTTAAGGGGCCCAGGGACTTCTGGTCAAAGAGGAGATCAAGAAACTGAACCTCTTCTCTCAAGATTTGAAGCCAAAAAACTTGGAGCAGAGTGGATTTGGCCACATTCACTACAGGGAAAAGACATACAAGCCTTAAAAGAAAACTTAGAGAAAGGGAAAAACTGGGTATGGTGGTGCACAACTAATAGTACAACTATGCAGAGGCTGAGGCTGGAGGATCACTTGAGCCCAATAGTTCAAGGCTGCAGTGAGCTATGATCACACCACTGTACTATAGCCTGGGTGACAGAGCAAGACCCTATCTCAAAATAAAATAAATTAATTAAAAATAAAAAATAAAAGAAAGGGGCCCGGCACAGTGGCTCACACCTGTAATCCCAGCCCTTTGGGAGGCCGAGGTGGGCGGATCACAAGGTCAGGAGATCGAGACCATCCTGGCTAACACGGTGAAACCCCGTCTCTACCAAAAATACAAAAACTAGCCGGGTGTGGTGGTGGGCTCCTGTAGTCCCAGCTATTGGGGAGGCTGAGGCAGGAGAATGGCATGAACCCAGGAGGCGGAGCTTGCAGTGAGCCGAGATCGTGCTACTGTACTCCAGCCTGGGTGACAGAACGAGACTTTGTCTCAAAAAAAAAAAAGAAAGGGAAAGACACATTTCTCAGGAGATAATCTGAGTACCACCCAGAGCCTAATGATCCCAGAAGTAAGGCTGATTCTAGAGCAGCATGTGGCCTGAGGTCAGCAGCCCTTTGAGTCCATGTACTCACTCTGGCAGTGTTTGTGCTCGGAGAATTGCAGCTGAGCATTACAGCTGGAGTCACAGGTGTGAATTAATGTGCTCCCTAATTATGGAGTCCAAGCACAGACCCAGTACAGTTGGGGCCAAGCGTGTTCCATTAGGGCCATCATGCTGCACTGGACCAGCCGTGTCCTGCCCACATGAGGCCAATCTCATGTGTGATAGTAAGGGCAACCACAGTAAGACCTATCCGACTAGTTACATTGGCTTATTGGAACGACTGATTATCTACTGTCTGTCTACCTTAGTAGACTGAAAGCTATGTGAAGGAAGATAGCATTCCATTTGGCTTACCATCGAGGCTACCACGTAGAGCTGCACAGATTGCATACTGCTCAACTCCAAAGATTGTCATTGTCTTACAATATAATGTGAATAGCACTCTCTCGAGCAACGTAACTGCTCAACCTTTATAGCTAAATGAATCCGTGCTGACCACCACTGTATTACCAGAGTGATGAGAGTGGCAGGCACATAACAAGCTCTCAATAAATATTTATAGAATCGCTGGATAAAAGAATGTGTGATCTATTTTGTCCATTTGCATACATTTCTATGCTTTTTCCTAATAAGTTTTTACGTATTTTCCCCCATATATCTGAAATAGTATGTCCAATAGGGACGATTTAATCTATTTAGAGCTACAGGAAGTGAGAACTGAAAGGAGGATTAGAGTCGTTAATCGTTTTATCTTACCGGTTAGAAAAGGAAAGTCCGGCAAGATAAAGTGACTTAGATCACATGGCAAGGCCGTGACCAGATCCAGGTCTCTTGCCATCCAGTGCCTTGTTCTCTCTGTGGCACTCACTTGCTTCTTTAATAACTTTCTTCTGTTCTTCTTATGAAGCAGAGAGGAGTCCTCACAAGTCGGGGGTCACTTAATCACTGATGCTACTCTGTGGCTGAGGAGCTGGCTGTTGAGGCATTCTTCTATTTGGGGAAATATGAAAGTGTGTGATCTGCCAGGAGCTCTGACCCAAATAAGGTTGTTGGTAGCAAGATGTTACCAGTGAAATTTCATACATCAAACAGCAATTAGTGCTCCACTTTACTGTCTTGTGAATTTCTCAGAATGAATCTTATCTTTTACAATCACTCTTTCATCATTTTCAACATTAATCACACACTTCTTTTTTCCAAATTTTTATGAATCACAACAGCAGCATATTCTCAACCATAGAAAATGACATTTATTATGTGTTCAGAAAGAGAGACAAAAAGATATACAAATCAAATTTACTCTCAGGATATAACAAAAAATTAGTGGAAAGTATATGTTTTAAATTACACTTAATATTTGGGGACCAATTATTGCTTGAAATAAACAGGCTTCCAGTTCCAACATGGCCTTTTGTTTTTGTATTACCAAGAGTTTTTAAACAGTAATGGTATCTGGTGGAGAATTTATCTTGTATCTATATTGCACAACTTTTGCCTAAATTAGTAGGCATTTTCTTTTTTCTAAAAATAAAGTGTGAATACTCAAGCCTCCTCTTCCATTTCTGCTACCATTTTTCATTTTAGATCGATGATCCTTCAAATATCTATCATAAAATTAGTTCACTAAAATAATATTTGGATTTTAAGTAAGCACCCACATAAGTCACTGAAATGTCCTCCCTATAAATGTGGTCCCAGAGAATATCTGGAAAGGCCACTGGATAGAAAAATAACACATTGTGCTATTTGCAGGCCACAAATAATATTAATGTGTTGTCAGGACCTGGTCAAACTGTATGAAGCAGTTTACAACTCTATGATTCACACACTTTGGTCTGACTTAAGGCTTGTGTAAATTCAATTCTGGGCTGTCAGTCAGCAGCACAGGTTCTGTTCAGTCCCAACATTTCTAATTGCCTGTGAAAAGATGAAGACAACTGAGGGAGAGACTCTCTCAAGAAGTTTGCAGAATGACTTGATCCTAGACAACAGTTAGATGCACAATTAGTTCAACTCAAGATTCCATTGAGAATAGGTTTGTGCACATATAGGATAACAGGAAGACGACCCTGACTGGAAAGAGCTCACATGAGAGGCTGTGGGTGCTAGCAAGACCCACATTTAACTCCAACACAGAGGAATGACTGTTCAGGTGGGGAGGGGAACTGTTCACTGCAGATAAGTCCTCCCCTTCTCAGGGCCATCGAGCAGAAAAGAGCATTCCAGACCTGTGACAGAGGTCTTCAGGACACAAGGTACTAGCTCTTCCCTCAGGTGTAAGGGAAAGGGGAAATGGGATCAGTGTGTTTTGGAGTTAGAGAGCTAACTAGAAGCTGTAAAAGGGAACAGATTACAGGGCTGAGAGAATGCAGAGGAGGGATGGTGGCAGGGGGAGGGAAGGAGGGATGAATTACAATACCTTATAAAAATTTAGGCACCCTGTAATCCCAGCACTTTGGGAGGCTGAGGTGGATGGATCATGAGGTCAGGAGATAGAGACCATACTGGCTAATGCAGTGAAACCCTGTCTCTACTAAAAATAGAAAAAATTAGCCGGGTGTGGTGGTGGGCGCCTGTAGTCCCAGCTACTCGGGAGGCTGAGGCAGGAGAATGGCATGAACCCGGGAGGCAGAGCTTGCAGTGAGCGGAGATTGCGCCACTGCACTCCAGCCTGGGTGACAGAGCGAGACTCTGTCTCAAAAAAAAAAAAAAAAAAAAAGAAAAAAAGAAAGAAAAATTAGGCACAGTTGGTTTACCATTTTTCTTTCTGTTTCTGAAAGTTGCATTCTCCACCACATTTTTTCCCCAATGAACTATAACTAATCAAGCTGTGAAACACTACTTGCCTCCTTTCTCCAGTTTGCTAGGAGAAAGGTCTATCTCAACACAAGAGTCAACACTACTATCCAGTAAAACATCACAGTGGTATTCCTCATATGGAAGGAATGTTCCCAGCTTGCTAAAAGGACTCAGTAATAAAGTATTTTCATAGTACTGTATACTACCCCATTATTTTCACATATGTTAATCTTGTTGGTTTTCATTATAACACTGTGAAATGAGCTGGGTAGGCATTTTTGTTTCAGAAAGAAAGAGAGAGAGAGAAAGAAAGAAAGAGAGGGAGGGAGGGAAGAAAGAAAGAAAGAAGGAAAGAAAGAAAGAAAGAAAAAAAAGAAAGAGAAAGAGAGAAAGAAAAAAAGAAAGAAAAGAGAGAGGAGGAGAGGGAAGGGAAGGGAAGGGAAAGGAAAGGAAAGGAAGGGAAGGGTTCATAAAGTTATCAAGTGAATTGTCTAAGGCCAAAAGTAATTGCTTATTTACATGGGGCCAGACCCTGTCTTCTGATTTGGTTGCTCAAGTATTCAGTCAAGGCCAGCGCGGTGGCTCGTGCCTGTAATGCCACAGCACTTTGGGAGGCAGAGGCGAGAGGATCACAGGAGGACAGGAGTTTGAGACCAAACTGCCCAACATGGTGAAATCCCGTCTCTAGTAAAAAAAAAATACAAAAATTAGCAGGGCATGTGGTGGTGCATGCCTGTAACCCCAGCTACTCGGGAGGCTGAGGCACGAGAATCACTTGAACCCAGGAGGCAGAAGTTGCAGTGAGCCCGAGATCATGCCAATGCACTCCAGCCTAGGCAACAGCGAGACTTTGTCTCAAAAGAAAAAAAAAAGTATTCAGTCAATAAACACGTATTGGGCAGACCTTATGTGGCAAGCAATTATGATAGTTCCTAGGAAAAAATAATGTGCAAGACACACACTGTACTTGACCTTAGCAGAACTAAAAGAACAGAAAGACAATAAACCAATGTCTCCAATGAAGTGTGACTCAGACTGTGAAAGGGAAATGCGGGGTATCATGAGATCAGGGCACCCAATCACGGCCTAGAGAGGATGAAGGAAGGCTTCGCTAGAAAATGGCTTCTAACTTGAGATCTTAGCCAATCCAAGAGAGGTGGGTGCTTGGCAGATATTGCTGAATGGCTGAGGGGTAAAGTGGCAATGAAAAATGGAGAAAGAAGTGCTCTGTGTAAAGAGAGCAGGGTGCAGGAATTCACAGAGAGTTCCCATGTTGTATGTATCTCAGTCATATGCTGCCCAACTGTCATTTCTGTATAAGAATCAATTACAGATGTTCCTCAACTTAAAACAGGGTTACGTCTGGGTAAACTCACTGTCAGTTGAAAATATTGTTAAGTTGAATATATTGTAAGATCAAAGATGCGTTTAATACGTTTAATACACCTAACATACTGAACATCATAGCTTAGCCTTGCCTATCTTAAACATGCTCAGAACACTTACATTAGCCTACAGGTGGGCAAAATCATCTGGCAACACAGTCCACTGTGGAGTATTGGTTGCTTACCTTGTGTTTGCGTGGCTGACTGGGAGCTGTGCATGCATCACCAAAGAGTATCATACTGCATATCACTAGCCCAATAGAAGATCGCCATTCCAAATTCCAAGTACAGTTTCTACTGAATGTGCATTCCTTTCACACCATCATGAAGTTGAAAAAGCATAGGTCAGAGACTGTCTTTACTATGTTTACAGTAAAATGTTGCCATATACTTAGGGGACAAGATATAAGAGGAACCCCCCCAAAATGAGGCTCCTTCATTGGTTACCATCTTTATGAAAGTTGGAAGTTTCTAGGGAAAAGGAGGACTAGAGAGATTGTCTAATGATTCTCAAGAAGCACAGCTGGCAGGAGTTGAAATACAAACTTCCTTCCTGTCTTTTTGTAAAGCAATTGGAAAAAATGGGAGAGTAAGAATTTGACATGTTACAGTTGTAGATCTTAGTGTTGTGAGGCATGAATGAGATAAATGTGGAACACTGGCAGGTTGCAAAAATGTTACGCAGATGTACAGCGTTTTAGGGGGGACTTCCCTGCATTTCTGTCCTGCAATGCAAGGGCAGAACCAAAAACTGAAACTTAGCACCCAGTATCCCTCACCTACCACCCCTCTGCACCCTCAGATGAATCATAGTCTGTTACAGATGCCTGTGGTGCATATTCCTGAGTGTTAGTCCCAGAAAACTAAACCTATGGAAACTTTTATAATTTAGTTGTTGACCTTCACAGCTTGTTCAAAAGAGAAGGGCCAGTGACTCACAATTATATTACAACTTCAGACCATGTGAATTTCTTCAAAGATGATGGCTTAAGAAGTGTTTAATTCTTGGCTCTTTCTGATAAACTCAAAAGAGTGAAGTCCTCATCTTGTCATTCAGGGACTAACCATCTAAATTTGTTTTCTTGAACATTTTTAAAACATCATTCCCATTGATCTAGTGTGCACCCTTTGTTCTCATTGGGCTGGGTTTTGGGACACACTTGCTCTCAGTCATGAAGTCATGAAATGAGGTTATGCCAATTCATCTTCCTGGAAATCTCCTCTGGCAAATTCAGACTGACTTTTTTCTGAGAGCCAAAGGCATTAATTACATCCTATCTTGTATTATAATTCTTTAAATATTTCACTCATAAATGTGGAAATTCTGCTTTTCTGAACAGATTATAACATTAATCAGTTTTATAATCATAGAATATTTTGTTGACCTTCACACCTTTTTCAAAAGAGAAAAATTATAGAATATTTTTCCTACAATGTGGATTCATATGTTTAATCACTTTCTCTGAAGCAACATCCTGAATATGGCAGAAAGTTGAGGCAGAAGAGATTAGCAATTGAATAATACTTTTATATGCTATAAAACAACATTATTTCTGAAAATAATTCATCATACATATCTACCACATGTGGCATATTAAAGGCAAATTTCGCTTGTCAAAATACATCAGTGACTCCTTAACTAAAATGAAAAAAAATCACAACTACATTGTGAAATATCTTCTTGAACTGAAACATCTCTGTATTTGTGGATACTGAGCAGGGAATTCAGTGGTTCAAGATTAAAGGCAAAAGTTTCTAAGGCTGCTTTTATCCAGTTCCAAGATTGATGATGAGAAACTGTTTGTTGCTCATACCTCACTTTTCATGATGTTCATAGCTGGCTTTGTATTTACTGTTTTTGAGATAGCTTACAGTATTAGCCACATTCTACCTGTTTGGGAGTGCCAAGTTATAAAAGTACAAAATGTACTCATAGCTTCCTTTGAACAAAATCCTAAGGTTATTCCCATTTCTGGAAATTTAGCTATCAGGTCAAACAACTGAGCTATGGTGAGCATCATTCATAAAATATAAAACATAAAATAATGATAAAAATCAAATAGATTGCATTGCTGGATGAACTGGCTGATTGCAACAGAATGACAATGTGATGCCTTACATAAGCAGTAACTAAAAACTGTAGGTCATCTATCATGGTGACATAATTTCCCACTGTACTCTCTTAATTTCACATTTTATATTGTATTTTGCAAAATTTCTGAGAAAAAGAAAAAGGAAACAAAGCTTTTGTTTAAGGATACATAAACCTCTATTTAAGTATTTATGTAGTGTGAACTTGTAGCTGTTGGGACATTTTCTTATTATGGTGTTTCTGTACTACCAAGTTTTCCTGCAGTAACAACTGAATATTTATTATAGTCATGATAGTCTTCCAGGATATACTCAGGGTCCTTTCAAGTAAGAAGTTTGGACAATTAGAATAGTATCCTACACCCAACTTAACGAATGCTAGCAGGAAACCTATATTACACTCATAGTTAGAAAAAACAGCGTTAATCTCTCATTTTAACACTAATATGCTGAAAATTCAATTCACTAAATTCTAGTGTTTTTATTCTTATAATTCTCTATTAAGAAAGCAGCTTTGCCAGTTTCTTTTCTTTGTAGTAATTCCAACTTTGTACAGTAAATCTTTTTGAAGATATTTGGAGTTTTTTTTTTGTTTTTTGTTTTTTTTTTAGAGGGAGTCCTGCTCTGTCACCCGTGCTGGAGTGCAGTGGCGTGATCTCGGCTCACAGCAACCTCTGTCTCCCTAGCCTAAGTAATTCTCCTGCATCAGCCTCCCGAGTAACTGAGATTACAGGCGCATGCCACCATGCCCCGCTAATTTTTGTATTTTTAGTAGAGGCGGGGTTTGGCCATGTTGGAATGCTGGTCTCGAACTGCTGACCTCAAATGATCCACTCACCTCGGCCTCCCAAAGTGCTGGGATTACAGGCGTGAGCCACTGCGCCCAGCCGATGGAACCATTTTCTTTAAAAAGTTCTCATTTCTCCTAGGCCGGGCACGGTGGCTCATGCCTGTAATCCCAGCACTTTGGGTGGCCGAGGTGGGCGGATCACCTCAGGTCAGGAGTTCGAGACCAGCCTGGCCAACATGGTGAAACCCCATCTCTACTAAAAATACAAAAATTAGCCAGGTGTGGTGGCGGGCGCCTGTAATCCTAGTGACTCCAAAGGCTGAGGCAGTAGAATCACTTGCACCTGGGAGGTGGAGGCTGCAGAGAGCTGAGATCTCACCACTGCACTCCAGCCTGGAGTTTTTTTTTTTGAGACAGAGTCTCAAAAAAAAAAAAAATTCTCCTTTTTGATATGATCACATGTTTAATTTATTTTGTTTAATGTTTTTATAATTGAATTAATAAAGTACCCAGTAAAATGCTATAAATCAATAAGTATTATCCAAATGAAAATAAATTGAAATTAAGTAAGACTAGTTTCAAATGCAGTCTTTCTTGAAAGAGTGAGTTTGGCCATCCTAAATTACAGTTTTCAAGATTGATCTACTTTCTTTCTGAGGCCACCATACTTTTGGTACTAGAATTAAAGTGTCTAAATCAAAAACACACTACATGGCTTCGCTTTGACTTAAAAACAAAATGCACAAACAATAAATTATAAGTCTGATTAACTGTATGGGTATTTTGTTCAATTGATTTAACTGCATTTTTTTTCCCTAGGATATAAATCATGTGATACAGCAAACTCAAAGATGTGGGACTCAAATGACACTTGTGAAAAACTGATACCCTGTTTGCCTTTAAAGTTATATTAATTACCACACTTTAGTAAAGTGTTTACTATTTAGAACTCTTTCTTCCTTCCTAGTTGGCCACCTGTACACTCCATTCCTCAGCCATAAAAGTAAATACTGTATATCTAAAACTGGTGCTGGTTTTGATAAGCCATAGTGATGACATCAGCCTGAGTTCCAACTCCTGGAATAAAGAACTGTGACCATACAGCGACTTGTGGGCAGTTAGGTCTCAGCATAACACTCCTTGTCCCCTCATGTCACTGATTTGGAGCCAAGGTTTGTGCTCCAATCTACCAAACCAGGTTAAAGAAATTACATTTCTATTTTCAAATGCAAGGGATTTAAAAGTATACATGGCGCACAAAAAACTCAACGTACTTAATGCCTAATGCCACTGAACTGTACACATAATAATGGTTAAAATACTGAATTGTATGTAATATATTTTACCATAATTAGGAAAGAAAAAAAACTGCGTTCACGTGTTTCAAAGGTTTTCCACAACTGTATAATACATATAGTTGGTTATACCTTTGTAACAGTGACCATATCGCTCTTTCTGCAACATCTATTAACCCAGACACCCCAGGGCCTAAGTAAGCATCCATTCTTCAGGAATTAGTAAACAGCACTTACACACGGACATTTCTAGCTAAAAGTAACACAGACAAAAAAACCTCAAAAATATCACGTAAGGGCAGGTGTTAGGCAAAGAGCCTCTGCAAACATCCCTTGCTCCTCTGCATTGCTCTGGTGTGAGGAGCTAGGACATGGAGAAACCTCTACCTCCTATCTCAGGATTAGCGAACCCTGCTTGAGTGCTACAAGGGTAAGTAAATGCTGGCCTGAAGAAGCTGCTGAGCTTCCGGATCCCACTGACTGTCGTTCGGGCACTTCCTAGAGGGTCAAGCACCATGGCGAAAGGCTGAGGAGGCAACTCGTATCTTTCATTCTCCTGCCTCATCAAGAATGAACCTTGAAGGCACCCATAGGTCGCGCAGTCTTTCAGAAGCTGCAGGAGGGCTGTGACTGTATGGGGTTGCAGACTGAAAATCTTATTAACGTGAAAGAGGAATTTGAAATTAAAAAAAAAAAACCCGGCCGGGCGCGGTGGCTCACGCTTGTAATCCCAGCACTTTGGGAGGCCGAGGCGGGTGGATCACGAGGTCAGGAGATCGAGACCACGGTGAAACCCCGTCTCTACTAAAAATAAAAAAAAAAAATTAGCCGGGCGTGGTGGCGGGCGCCTGTAGTCCCAGCTACTCGGAGAGGCTGAGGCAGGAGAATGGCGTGAACCCGGGAGGCGGAGCTTGCAGTGAGCCGAGGCTGCGCCACTGTACTCCAGCCTGGGTGACAGAGCGAGACTCCGTCTCAAAAAAAAAAAAAAAAAAAAACCCCACAATATCAGGCTACAGTTATCATAGCAATTCTGCTTTTAATGCACTCAGGACAAACTTCTAGCTCTGCATATATGTCATTTCAATGACACATCCTGTCTCCTACCCGACTAGAATGTGAGCAGCCCTGTGATCTCTATGTGCTCATAAACAGTGCCTAATGCGAATCCTGGCTCTTGGAAGGCGCTCAGCTAGTAAGTGAGGAGCTCAGCTCTGAAGCTGTAACCAAGACCGCGCGGGCAGGAGGAAAGGACACTTCAGCGCTCTGCGGTTGCAAACACACCCCTGCGGGTGCTGCCACTTAGCAAAGTCTTAGGTTCCCGCTTACTCGCACACGCATCCTGACTTCCCCCAACCCTGGAACTACCTACCAGGAGCGGAGACCAGCAGACCGACAGCACGCACATGATCCCCATAAGCTGAATGGCCGTCTCGGTCGTGATGCGGCCCCACTGGGCACTGGACTGAGATGCCGTGGCCTTGGCCCGGCAGCGGGACACCAGGGCCTTAATGGTGGCCAGGTTGCAGGAAAAGGTGACTGTCAGCGCCAAGAGCCCCAGGAAGGCAAAGGCAGAGGCGAAGAAAAGGTTGCCCCAGTTATGCGAAGAGCTAGTCCCGTTGCCCCCTCGCCCGGTGCTGATGAAGCACCACGTCCCGGGCCACTGGACGGTGTACTGGCCCACGCCCAGCACCGGCAGCAGGGCGAAGGCGAGCACGGCCAGCCACACGCCGAGCAGCACAGCGCGGGTGGCACGCGTCTTCATGTGGCTCGCATACCAGTGCGGCGCCCTGATGGCCAGCGCCCGCTCGACGGCCATGGCGCTGGCGATGAACAACGAGGAGAGCCCGAAAACAGTCATGGTCAGCCCGAAAAAGGTGCAGAGCCGCCCCGACGGGTCGATGTGCTCCCAACGCTGCTTGGACAGGTACACGACGATGACGACCGGGGTGGTGAGAAGCTGCCCGACCAGGTCGGTGAGCGCCAGCCAGCCGATGCACAGCAGGAAGGACTTCTTGCGCTTGCTCTCCCGGCGCCGGTAGCTGCGCGACACGAGCAGCATGGCCAGTGCGTTGCCCACGAAACCAGTGAGCAGCATGGTGATCGGGAAGGCCACGGACACCGATCCGCAATCCTCGCCAGACCCTGGAGGGCGCGTGAGGTTGCCCCGCGCCTCGGCGGAACGCTCGGGCGCCCACATGCCTGTGTAGGAGTGGTTGAGGCGGGTGCAGAAGGGGGCATCCCCTCCGTAGCCCCGGGTCTCCTTCATGTTGGCTTCGAGGTGAGGAGGGGATGGCGTCCAGAGAGCCGCAGCGGGAGGGGGCAGACGCGGCGCGGGCGGCGGCGGAGGTCGGCGTTTACCGCGGCTGGGGCTGGGCTGCCCCCCATGGTGCGGGGCGCAGCCGCCGCCCTACTCCGCTGCTGGGACCGCGGCCGCGGCGGCGCCAGGGCTCACTGGCCCGGGAGGGAGCCACGCCTTCCTCTCTGGGAAACCTCTGGTGGCGAGGCGCGCGGAGGTGCCGAGTCCCCTTTATAAGGCCGAGGGGGCGGGGCGCCCGTGGGTGTGGACAGAACCGAGGTGGGAGGAGGGTGCAAAGCAACTGAGCGCCTCTCTTGGCTGTTGCCTATCCTGATCGCCTGGGTTGGGAAGCCCCAGACGGTCTCCTCTGAAACGCCCTGCTCCTGGCCGGACCGGGAGCCCACTGGGGTCTCCTCCAGTTCTCCGCTAAAGTGTCGGTGGACGGCAAGCAGCT
The DNA here is from genome assembly GCF_000001405.40 of Homo sapiens. Classification (NCBI taxonomy): domain Eukaryota; kingdom Metazoa; phylum Chordata; class Mammalia; order Primates; family Hominidae; genus Homo; species Homo sapiens. Next base: position 71,048,062 of record NC_000001.11, read on the forward strand.
AATAAGTAGCACTGGACTTGCGGACCCCAGGCAAACTGCCGAGGCGCACCTGAGCGCTCGTCCTCCTGCTTCTTCAACCACAAACGCTCCTACAGGGACGGGATCCTTCTCCTGAAGTCCTTTAGTAACTCTGGTAAAGTGAAAATCGCCTGTCCTTAAGCAATCCACACAAGCCTTTGCATAGCTGATCGTTAACTTTTTTCCTTTCTGCTTTGTGACTCTAGAGTGATTATAAAAAGGCCAAGGTGTCCTGTCCCCTGGGGTGCCGCTGAAAACTATAAAATTACTAGACAGTGCCTGTAGACTTAAGGGAATAGACACAGGGAAACAAATACATCGGATGGTTGAATTCCAAGACCAAGAAATCCCAACTACTACCCCTCGCCTAATCCTGCCCGCTCCCCTCCCCACCACCCAACAAAAAGGTCAGCTATGGCAAAAGTGGCTACAGGAAGGTGGCATCAATTTGCATATCTGAGGTAGTGAAATCAACTGCTCCCAGCCTATGGGAGTGAGAGGGGAGCAGAAGAGAAAGGTATTCCTTACAAAGCCTCCAACCATCCTTCTTATCTTCATACAATAAGAACTAGAAAAGGTATTCAGATGTTATGAAGGCCTTAATCTATATGGAAACTTTGCCTTTGAAATAATAAACATTGAATGAAAATAGGCATACTTGCTTGCCTCGTAACATCTTTCAGTAAGCCAATATTTTATGTACTTCTCACAAGCATTTTCTCATTTTATCACAGAAATCCTCCAAGGTACTATTGCTATTATTATTTCCCTTAAAGGTGGGGTAACTGAGGCCCCATGAAGTTAAAGAATGTTCCTGAAGTCTCTCAGCAATTCTCAAGTCCCATCTTATTTGAAGCATGTATTCCTGACATGGGTCCCATAACTGCTCTCAGCAGATGAATATTAACGGTGAGATCATCTTCCCCTAATCTTGGGAAAGTCTTGTGTTTTTTGCTTTTTGCCTTTTTACACTGTCTAAGAGATGAAAAGATTTTTAAAAATAATTGCAAAGTTCATTTTTCCTCATATTTAAGAAATTAGACTTAATCATATAGCACTCTAAAGACCATTATTTTGATTGACACAGATCAACTTTCAGAACAAGCCCAATCAGTTTTGCCTTTCCTAGCTTAGCTGATGTTCTGTATGGGTGTTCTTAACTTTTAAATTACTGTTAAGAGGTAAGAATGGGATATGTCCCTCTGCATACTTTATGTGCTGTTGTCTTGATTCTGTATGAGAGTTTGAAAAAATATCACTATAACATTATATGTTTTTTAAAGAAGGAAAAGCAAGAATGCAACTTAAACTCCATTTTAATAAGATGCATTAATCACAACATGAATTTCATTTTGTGTTTTGCTGTCATTTAAAAATGTTTTGCACTTTTGCGTTTTACTGACTAAAATGTCACGTTTACAATGGGAACAACAGCTAGGAAGGGTGAAATGGTTTGATTCTAAAATCTTCCGTAAACTTTTGTCTTATTATTTTGAATTAATCTCAAACCTGTATTTGGGATAGTATTTTTCTAGCCTAATATCATTTGAAAATAAAATAATATTTGAGGTTATTCTTAGACAAAGCTTTATCCAAAGCATTTGGATGAAAGTGGCTATCAAGTTTATACCATCTATAGTTAGTAAAATTCTAGTGTAATTCAATATTTAAAATTTAAGACCATATCACCATTCACACAGCAAAGGAAGCAAGGCTTATCTTTTTCCAGTTACATCAAAAACTATTCTCATTTTTATTCACAAATATTTGACTTCTTTGAAACTTTTACTTCTCCCACTGAAGTGCTTGCTGTAGCCAATTGGACTTGATAAGCATGGTAAGCGTCGGGGCATGTATTAGTAAAGAATTGTTAGCCTCTCACTAACCTCTATGCCAATGAACAAAATGTGTTGCATTTCAGATAATTTGGGTATTTCTCTTCTTTCAGCACTTTGCTTCATCCTATATTGTCTGCCTTTAGCTATTCACCTTGTAAACAAGTGACTGTGAGGTTTTGTGGAGTAACAGTGTGAAGCTGGCAGTTGGATTCTGGTTGGTACTTTCTGGTCAGTTACTACGGATATAGTGTGAATTGTGTTGGTCTGAAACAACACCACCCTCTAGTGACCAAAAGGCTAATAACATGCTTTATGCTGTTTTAAAGAGAATTTCCATAGGGCCAATGGATGCTTTGCTTAGGGAATCTCTGATTTCTTTCCTAGAGATCTACTTATCAGTACATAATTGTGGTCACTTTGTTTTCCTTTGAGGTTACAAATTGGCAACTTTGTTTAACAGTCAATAAACCAGTAGAGGATTAAACTGAAAGACCAGATATTCATTTTTTTTTAATTTAAAGTATATATTCACCTATTATGTTTTCAATGAAATTCTAACCTGGACATGTTTTAAATTCACAGATTACTTAATTGTACCCTACAGCTTAAAATGTATAATGTATGTCAATATTTAGCTAGTGATGATGAATTTATTTTGCTATTTACTTCTATTAAACATCTATTTAAAAATCTTAAATATGGATACAAAATAAGATTAATAATGAGTCACATGATCAGCCTTTGATTGCCTCACTATGGATGGAAAATATCTGAAAGTCTTTCTTCATGGAGCCAACCAGTAATTTTAGTTTATATTTTAGTCATTCATTCATTCAATAACCATTCATTGAGCACCCAATCTATGTCAGACACTGTTTCAGTCATTAGGGATACAAAAGCAATACATAACAGTGCCTATATTCATGGGGTTTATATTTTAGTGCAAAATTACTGATTCTAAGTGCCAAATAACAGGAGAAACACTGATCCCATGGCTTTTGTCTTCTCAGAATGATTGTCATGGAAGTACAGTGCAATGTAGACTTAACATTTAAACATCAATCAATGTAATTACTGTATCAAAATAAAAGCAATGCCTAGAAGTCTTTGCTAGATCAAAGAGTCCCTTTCTATGAATGCCTTTTCTGCTGTCTTTTCTTCCTATTCTTTACATGCCTGTTTTTTTTAATTGAAAACTGGACATTGTAATATATTGTAATGACTCTGGAGTCTACCGGGTTTTTTTCCCTGAGTATTATCTATTTTATGTTTGTTTGCTCTGTTTGACAGTTAACTTGTCCGGATTCAAACTGCCAATATTGCCTCCCATGGGGCATGCTGCTCTTGGTATCTCTGCTTCATTCTCATGGTTTTCCATGCTCTTTTAGCTTGGCTTCCTAGAGATTGATTTCCCTATGCCTGTGTAATTTGCTGGTCAGTTAGCAATGGAGATCACCTTCTGTGTGGGTTCCTTGATTCTAGGGATTCTCCTCTTATTTGCAGCTACTCTGCCAGCTTAGGGCTATTCCCTGACATTTAAAGTTTCTGAAGCTTCAGCTTTCTCCCACCCAAAGTACACACAGCACAGGGAGGAATACATCCCCTTAAGTAAAGCATCAAAGTAATCAAAGTAGATGTATTCTTGAATAATGGTTTTTGTGTGTGTTTTGTTTTTTTTTTTTTTTTTTTTTTTTTTTAGACGGAGTCTCACTCTGTCATCCAGGTTGGATGCAGTGGTGCAATCTTGGCTCACTGCAAGCGCCGCTTCCCAGATTCTCGCCATTCTCCTGCCTCAGCCTCCCAAGTAGCTGGGACTACAGGCGCCCACCACCACGCCTGGCTAATTTTTTGTATTTTTAGTAGAGACAGGGTTTCACCATGTTAGCCAGGATGGTCTCGATTTCCTAACATCATGATCCTCCCACTTTGACCTCCCAAAGTGCTGGGACTAGATTTCTATCTGGTCTTTGCTTGCTTTTTCCTCAGGCTTCATGTGGTCTCCTTCACTCATGCAGAGTTTGCTGTGAGACATGAATTTGGGTAGTTCTATCTCATTTCTTCTCTGGTTCTCATTACCAAGATTTCCTACTTAAATTTGCAGTGGCTTTTCAAGCCTTAACTCCAGTCTCTGGAACTTTTTGCCAGTAAGGCTATGATTTTTTTTTTTCTACCAGTATTTCCCATAGCCATAGTCATGAAGAATGGGCAGGATCCTCGATCCCAAAAACCAGTAAGTCATAATTTTTACTCCTTTCATTTGCAGGTCTTTTTTTCTCTTCTATGATTTCTGTATGCTTTTGAATGCCTTCCAATGCAATAGTTTAATAAAATTCAAATACTTGTTTTTACAAATTTAACTATATTTTACTATTGTTATATGCAGGGCAGCGTGATACTGGCATAAAGATAGGCATGCTATGGTTTGAATGTGTCTTCTCCAAAATTCGTGTTGAAACTTAATGGCTACTATGATGGTATTAAGAGGTGACGCCTTTAAGAGGTGGTTGGGCTATGAGGACATCTCTTGAGGGAATGGGATTAGCTGCTCTTACAAAAGGGCTTGACAGAGGGAGTTTGGTCCCTTTCTTGTCATCCTGACATGTGAGGACAGGGCAAGAAGGCCTTCACCAGAGACCAGATGATGGCGCCTTGCTTTTGAACATCCCCAACATCCAAAACATTGAGAAATAAATTTATATTCTTTATAAATTACCCAGATGTAGTACTGTTATAGTAGCACAAAACAAACTAAGACACTGATCTATAGATCAATGAAAGAGAGTATTATAGAGAGCATCATATATACACATATAGAGATATAGATATGTGTACACATATGCAGACATTCAACAGATTTTTGTCAAAAGTGTTAAGGTGATTCAGGAGAACAGTCTTTTTAACAAGTGGTGCTGGAAAAACTAGATAGCTGTATGGATATAAAAATGAACATAGACCTTACACCACAAAACAAAATAGATAATAGACTTAAATGTACCTGTTAAAACTATAAACCTCTGAGATTAAAAGAGGATTTTTCCTTGTGACATCTTTTCTCCTCTATCATTACTGCAAGTACTCCTACAGCTTTGTTGTTGCTGTTGTTGTATTGAACAACGTGTGATTATCTCTTTTAGTTAGTAGGCACAGAAATTCTATTGTTTTATTTGTTTTAAAGAGACAGTCTCACTCTGTCACCCACGCTAACGTGGCCTAACAGTGATGGACGGAGTGGGGAAACCCAACAAGGTTGCTTTGTACAATTCCCCTTCCCCTGGGTATGGGGCAGGACCCCTCGGGAATGAGGGGTTTTCCAGGGAGAAGGGACAGAGTGACCTTGCTAGGTTTTATGGCTATGTTTGGGAGAGAGGAGTTCTAGTTTCTATGACCTGCCTTGGGGAAAACAAATTCTGGTTTCTGTGACTCACTTTGTGGGAGAAAAGGGCACAGGAACCAGGAGGGAAGGACAAAGGCTAGGCTTCTGAGATCTTCCAGTCTCCTCTGGGTCAGAGTAGTCCACATGCCAAAGGGGCCATACTTTGGGGTTTAATGAGCCCTGACAGCAGGTCCTTGCAGATTTCACAGGCAACCTGTGATCTAAGTAATTGGCTTTCAGTCCCCCAATTTCAGAGGACTTTAGCAAAGCCTGGTTGAAATGGCCAAGTGTTAGAAGAATCTCTTCAAAGTTGAAATTCATCAAGTTCTTCAGCTGAGGGTGGAAGAATCCCAGATGTAAGGTTAGCAAGAGTTAGGACTTCTGGAGTCTTCCCCGCATGCCCTGGCTCTTGAGTATCAACAGGCCAGAAGCTCACAGTATCTGATCCTCCTGTGGCTCAGCAGGGATGCTTTAGAGCAGCATGTTTGGAATGAAACTGGCACACTTAATCAAGCCTCAAGGGCCGTTTGAAGTCATGTGTGGCCCACACTGGCCTCATGGGAACACAGGTGCTCCATGACCCAATAGGTTCAGGACTAGGTGGGGGGAAACTCCAACCCTGAAAACATCCCCCTGCTGTCTAGACCAGCCTGCCCCATGGCCAAGGGCAGTGAGAACCCCGGCCACCCCTTGGGTTGCACCCCTGCCAGTGCTAGAATTTTGCCCATCCTGGGCAGAAAAGCTCCGCATTTGGCTAAGGACATAACTGGAAAGAAATGCCCACGTTTTTCACTGTGGGGCATGAAAATACAGGGAGGCCGGAGCCTGATGTGTCTGCGGCCACCCAGCTGGAGGCGGATGGGCTGCGCTTCTCAAATTGCTTTGAGGAACGTTCTTTTAGTGGGGAGGGAGTGCCTTTCCTGAAGAAGTCCTTGGGATGGACATGCTGATCCTGAATGAGTCTTAAGAAGTACAGGTTTCCCAAGACCCGGAGAAGACAGCAAGCCTGTGTTCCCAGCCAGCGCTAGTGGCAGCTGGGTTCCGGGCAGGTGGAGCCGACGTGGTCTGGAGCCCGCAGCCACACTCTGGCACCTCCTCAGGCGGTTTTCAAGGGTGGGTTCCAGCCAGGCAAGTCCTACGCACTCCTGCCTAGGTGGCATGGCCACGGGAAGGACAGCCTCAGGAGGTAGATGGACAAGGACCCTCCTTGCCTGCTCCCTACAGGCTGTGTGCTGCAGGCCACTTTCAATGACCTACGTTCCCAAAACCATCAGGTCCCAACTTTGCTGGCACACGGTGTCAACTGGGGTGTCCCGCGGGGTGGGTGAGGGGTGCCAGGGACTCCTCCGGCCTTGTCACCCAGACCCCCACCCCTGTCCTTAGGGTCCCTGCACTCAGCGGCTGTTCTGGGGCCAGGCACTCTGGACCCCACGTGGTGCACATGCCGGAGCCCAATTCACTCGAGTCTGCGGGAACTGATGCTGCTGAAGACACCACTGTTCTCACAAACATCTCTGCTTGTGGATTCTTCTCAGTGCAAATGTAGCACCTGCTATGATTTTTTTTTTTTCTTTTCTGCTTTAGAGATGGGGGTCTTGCTCTGTTACAGCCCAGGCTGGAGTGCAGTGGCACAATAACGGCTCACTTGACTGCTCGGGTTTGAGCCATCCTCCCATTTCAGCCTCCTGAGTAGCTGGGTCCACAGGCACGGCGCCACCACGGCTGGCCTGAATTTTCTTTAATGGTTTGGAGTTCCCATCAAACTAAACGCTAATCAAAGGATAGCATTATAGAGTATGTGAAATTATAACATTAATACATGTGAGATAGGGCTGGCTGCTGTGAGAAAATCTGGCCAGTCTGGGAAGCATTAATAGGACTCACCTTGTTTTCCTTTCTCAGGTACTTCTCCACAGCCTTACATTCAATGTACTGAAAAATGCTGCTTGATACATTTTGTCTAGTTTGTTACAGGTTGAAGGGTAAATCTTGGCCTGAAGCAGAAGTCCTCTGCTCTTTTTTTCTCTGAATTACGTTTGATCTGCCAGTATTTTCCTGTATTCTTGAAAGTTTAATTGACTTAATTTTCTCTAATGTAGGCTTTCAAAGTTACACAACTCCAAGCACTGCTTTAGCTCAATCTCACAGGTGTTGACAAATTGTATTTTCTTTTTTCTTTCTTTTTTTATTTTTTGAGGCAGAGTCTCGCTCTGTCACAGAGGCTGGAGTGCAATGGTGCGACCTCGGCTCACTGAAATCTCCGCCTCCCGGGTTCAAGGGATTCTCTTGCCTCAGCCTCCCGAGCAGCTGGGACTACAGCGCGTGCCACCACGCCTGGCTTTTTTGTGTTTTTAGTAGAGACGGGGTTTCACCGTGTTAGCCACGATGGTCTTCATCTCCTGACCTCGTGATCCATCCGCCTCGCCTCTCAAAGTGCTGGGATTACAGGCGTGAGCCACAGCACCCGGCCTGATAAATTGTATTTTCATTCAAAAAAAAATCCCACTATTTGCTGACCCATGGGGATGTTTAATTCCAAACTTTTACTTTCCCCATTCTCTTATTTCCAAACTGAAAATACATATTACAAATACACAATTGGCTTTGTCAATTTATCTTAACCCTGTCTGATACTCTGGATTAATTGGTGTATAATCCACCTCTAGGTACGAGAGTTTAACTGGCTTGCTGTTTTGTCATTCTTTACCTCTTAAAAAACTAATTTGTATTAATCATTTTCATTACTCCCTTTTTCCCCACTACTTGTTATACCTTTATTATTCTTAGTGGTTATGGAGATTAAAATATGGTTCCATGATTTATTAGAGTCTACTTAAATAGTACTTTTACCATTTACTGAGGAATGAATCTCACAACAGCTCAAATTACCTACTTCCACTTTTGAATTTCCACATTTTAAACTTCTTAAAACACTATTGGTCTGTCATGTAGTTACCCTAAAATTTAGTGTTTTGATCATATAAATTTGTAATAACTTTAATTTGCTTAAGTAAGACTTCTTACTATTCCCTTCCCATCCAGTAGGGTTCTTTCTGATCTATTCTCCAAGCAGTGGCCAATTTGTATTAAAACTAGGTCACTTCAAACTGTTTACTATTTTCCAACTGTTCTTCGCATACCATGTAAATTCCCTTCTATGGCTTACAAGGTTTGTATGACAGGTCCTCTAACTCTACAACTCTGTCTTAGACCATTTTTTTCCCAAGCCATTTACTGGCTTCTCATCATATCCAGGAGCAGACTTAGCCCCGCGGCACTGAACTCTTAAAAATTCAGTTACCAAGTACAATTTGCCTGACCCCAAGGTCTTATACTTACTGTCCTAAGAGTAGTTTTATACACCAACCCCTTTTATATCCTTCACAGTAGCAATCGGAATTGTTCTCCTTGCTTCAATCAAGGTATCTCACGTTAGTTCACTACCTAGCATGCAGTAACGTAATTCATTAGTATGTTTAAATGTTCATACTGTGAATACTCTAATTTTTCAGATACTCTCAAATTACCCTCTAAAAGGCCCGTGCTAACTTATCCTCTAATTAAAAAAATTAAGGATTTTACAAAAATAGATCATACTGATTCAAATAGCCCCAGCAAATATAATCAAAAGGGCACTAAGCAATGATACCAGAATGCAGTGGTGCTTAAAATGCAGGTTCAATGTTTAATATTGTGTTAAATATGTCTTTGGAGTCCTTGAATAAGACTTTCTTTTGCATCTACATTAACAGATGAATAGTCTCCAAATGTAGAGAAAACATAGTGTAGGTTTGCTAATTTCCAATGGCTTCACCAAAATTACAGGTTAAACATTTTGTGTCTCTCTTATCAGTCATCAGTGCTTCAAAATGTAGTTTTTCACGGTCAGGTACCTGCCTTAGACTTTATGATACGCAATACTTTATGGGAGGCCTGAATTTAAACACATTTTCATTATCACTAATATGAGGAAAAAACACAAAACATTATTTTTATTATTCTTTCTTCCTTCTTAGCACTCTTCTATCCTAAGATTTTAGTGCCACAGGTACTATGGGTGCAGCCTGAGAATACTGAGGTAGTTTCTTCTGGTAGAATTAACTACATTCTCCTTAACCTTTCCCTTTTTGTGATTCTAAGGAATCAATAATAAGGAACAGGAGACATAATTGTGAGTGTGATATAGGGCAACACAATCTTGTGTCACAGTTGCTGATACCACATTAAAATTCTTAGGCTCTAATACATTATTCAAATTATAAGAATACAGATAACTTGTTTTCCCTGATCAGAATTTTGATACATGGAAATAATTGCTGAAAAAGCAACATTTTTGACAGGTTCACAGTCAACAGCTAGATTAGAGGTAACAGTGTCACTAAGAGTTAATACGAGGATAGACCATAATTAACTGGATTTGCTTCATCCAAACTGAACACTTCCATTTTAGTTTTGACTTTTAGGTGTTTTCACAGAAATAGCTCATTTACAGTTAGTGTTATGTATATAAGCCAAAATAAATGTCCAAACAATTTATCAGTAAAAATCTACTGGTCTAGTTATCAAGCAATAATGTATTTTATATTTTCTTGTTTGAAAGCTTTTTAACTATACTTATAAAATTCGGTTCTACCTAGTACATGATATGCCTGTTCGTAGTATTTTAACCTAACAAAGCATTTTGAACTCTATCATCTGCTCCTCCAAGTTAGGTAAATTACTTTTTGATTTGTTGCTTATTTTGCCAATGATGCACCCCAATGCACTTACTTCAGGATCATACATTTATAGGGAACTCAATTTACCAATCCATAGTGAAGTCCCTTAGGTTAATATTTTTGCAGAGGATCACACAGCATGTTAGGAAGAAAGCCAATAGTTGACCCCAAGTCTTACTTCCAGCATAGTAATTTTTTGTGCTTCTGTCCTTGGTGATATACAAATAATCTAATTTCAAAATGTATGCCAGTGAGGCTGCTCTTTCTCAACCTATCTTAGTTGTGTGTAATAAAATATAAGTTGGCATACTTTAAGTAGAAAATTGAGGACAATAAGGTTTATTTACATGTTCTACCCTCTCCTGAAGGATGGCTGGACAGATAACTTCAAAGTTTTTTCAGCTTATGAAGAAATGGCCTCCTTGGACTTAAGAAACAGAAAAAAGCTGGGCATGGTGGTTCATGCCTATAATCCCCGCACTTTGGGAGGCTGGAGGAGGATCACTTAAGGTTAGGAGTTTAAGACCAGCCTGGCCAACATAGTGAGACCTGTCTCTAAAATAAATATTTAAAAAGAAAAAAGAAAAGTTTCTCCTACAATGGTCTTACAAAGCTTTAATTTCAGAATAAAAACTCCTTTCACAATCAAAGAATGCTTTCCAGCGAAGAACATTTATTCTATCAGTAATGAGGAAAAAATACAACTGATCAAAACCTCTTTGAGAAAGGTAACAGATATTGACCCTCATCAAACATTTGAGTGCTTGCTATAATGACAAACACTATGCTAAGGGAGAGGGATACTGGGGAAGGAGAAACTTTTAGGAGTTTCACCCAATTCCCATTGAAAGGGAAGAGGCATCAGGGATGGCATCCTAGTGTTCTGAATTGAGTCATGAAAGCTAAATGAAAAAAGAAATGGTAGTGGGGTATGTGTAGGGTATCCCAGGTATAAGAAACTTGTACTAAGATGAAAGCCTATTAGTAGTTCAGCATAGTTAACGTAGCTAGTGTATAGGTTCTGTGCACCTAAGTAGGTTAGAATTGGGAGGTGGGGGTAGTGTGAGTCCTGGAAAAAACCCCTGAACTTTTTACTATATGCATAAGGATTGTAGTTGAATTCTGAAAGCCATGAAAAGGCACTGAAAGGGTTTAAACAAAGAAATAACATGAAATGAAATGCTCGTTAGTTAAGAGCATTCTAGCATCAGTGATGAAGTGATCAATGCTTGGTGAAAAAAATTCATTTAGCAAATATTACTGAAATCCTACTAAATGCCAAATGACCATTTAGGAAGAAACTACAATATCCTAGCCCACAAATCAAAGCAGTGGTAGTGTTCACAAAAAGGAAATCTAAGAGGATTATCAAGTACTGATAATGATGTTTATCAATATGAAATACAACATGAGATACAGGTTTGGTGAATAGAGGATTTAGGAAGAATTTAAATACAGTAAAATTGGCTGTCTGACATGTGAAGGGAGATACAGGCCAGGCGTAGTGGCTCACACCTATAATCCTAGCACTTTGGGAGGCCAAGACAGGAAGACTGCTTGAGTCCAGGAATTCGAGACCAGCCTGTGCAACACCGCAAGACTCATCGTGACAAAAAGAAAAAAAATAAAGGGAGATACACAGGAGGCAGCTAGATACATGGATCTGGTGCTCTAGAAAGAGTAAGTGGGAAATAGGCATCTGAGAATATATACACACACATGCATATATATATACATATATATTATTATATATATAATGTATATATAAACATATATATGTATAAACAAATATATGTATATATAAACATATATATGTATAAACAAATATATGTATATATAAACATATATACACATATATATGTGCATGTGTGTGTATATATGAGAAATATCTGTAAACATGGAGAAGGGATAAAAACTGCCAATATTTGCTGCATACATATATGCTACATTATTTATAATAATTCCCACAAGGTAGAAACGGTCATTTTCATTTTATAGGTGTTAACAACTTAGGCATAAAGAATGTCTCGAGTCACTCAGTTACCATTAACTAAATTGAAGTCAGTGGAAGAACCAGATAGTAACCAAATATCAGTCACAACTCTACCACTGCATCACACCCATTAAAGTAAACTTTAGTTCCTATTACTTTTAGGTTGGAGGTACTTAGCCTTTGTGATAACCTCACCAATAACAGGTCACAGATGTTTCATTTTAGGGTAGGTGCAAAATCCCACTGTTCTGTGTTCAACACTTAGCTATTCAAATTATCAATATTCTGTAGTCAGTATTCACTGTGGTCCAGTTTAATTCCAACAGCATTATTACGAAGTTCCCTGTCCTTCTCCGAGGTTTCCCACAGCCATGGTATTTTTAGTTCCCTAAAAACGTCAAATCTTCAGTGTTGCAAAGAGAATAACCTTAGCTTGCCTTATTCATCTATAAATTTGTCCTTCAAGACTGCAAGTCAACTCATTAAGAGTTTGCCTCTTTATTCGGGCAAAACTGTTCCTATTTTATTGGAGGCTTTATCTCTAACCTGAAGAACAGGCCCTCTATATTCATGAGTTCTGTATCCAGCATCCATGGATTCAACAACTGCAAATTAAAAATATTCAGGGGAAAAGAAAACCCTATAAAGTCCCAAAGACAATACTTGAATTTGCCACATGGTGTTATGCTGAATCTACGTGAAGTAATGTATGGCACTGTATTAGGGTTACTCTAGAGATGATTTAAAGTATATGAGAGGATATACATAGGTTACATGCAAATACCATGCTGTTTTACATAAGGAACGCGAGCACCCTTGAAATTTTGTTATCTGTGGGTGATCCTGGAACCAATTCCCCACAGACACTTAAGTACAACTGTATTTTATAAGAGCTTTTCTCGCACTAAATTGAGGTTAAGGGGAGGAGTTGTCCTATGCATTTTTAGCTTCAAATTTAGGTATTTTTCTTTGAAAAAAATTGTGTAGCTTTCCTCAAAATCTTTTTAGATACCTTTTAATCTGCATTGAAGTATTTCAAATTTACCAAGTTAATGTTAACATTTTTCTTATCCCAGCACCTTTTATTTTGCTAAACAAATATTTAAGAACTATTACTACATGTTTATTATTTATATCTGTGTGTAATATTACAACACCCTTATTCAAGCAGCCAGGTAGTTCGATGTGGCTGAGGGGAAAAAAAAAAACCATTAAATGTTTACTGCTCACTCTCAATGACTACAAATTTGGCTGTAATGCAATCTGGACCCATCCCTCCTCATACTGTAATTAACTGTGGAGGCTCTCATTTAATATTGAAGGCACCCCCCACCGCCTTGTCATGGCTCTAGACCCCATGTTTTCTCCTATTTGATACCTCTCCAAAAATTCTTCCCTCCCTCTCTCCATCTACTTTCCCCTCTAACAGAGAATAAAGGCTTGTCAAAGGTCACAAAAGCCAATATGAAAAATAAGTAACAAGTATAAAATAAATATAACTGAGTATATATATAAAAGAAATGGAGACAAATCTTTCTTATAGAAAAATTCCAAATACTGTGTAGATACCTAACCCCAAAAGGATATGGAACTTAATTCCCCCGTCTTATCATGATGATGGACTACACTTAGTATAACCTGATTTGAAAGAGTAACAGTAGGTAAAAGGAGAAACAGTAACTGCAATGGTGAATCAGGGCAAACCCTACCTTAACCAAATGACGAATGTTAACATTCCCAGTGAAGTCACAGGGTTATGATGTACCCTGCACAGGAAGTGACAAGAAAGACACTTTTCCTCTGTGTAGGAAGTGACAAGAAAGACACTTTTCCTCTGTGGTATTCTCTGCAAAACCCCATAATCCCAGTCTAATCGTGAGAAAAACCAGTCAAATACAGAATGCAGTGGTGGATATTCTAGAGGATACCTGGCTAGTACTCTCTTAAGATTGTCAAAATCATCAAAAATGAGGAAAGAATGAAAAACTGTCATAGAGGAGAAGAGAGCAGGAAGGTATTAGTAGTACAAGATGGTACTCTAGATTATGGAATATCTTAAGGGGAAAAATGATAACATTCTAGTAAAATCTGTAATGTAATTAATAGTAACATACCAACGCTGGTTTTGGTTTTGAGAAATATACACACATGGCAATTTAAGATGCTAATGACTGTAGAAAATTAGTGGGGATATATGAGAACTGTCTGCACAATCTTTGCAACTTTTCTTTAAATCTAAAGTTATCCAAAATAGTGTTTGTCTAACCTCCCTGACTATAATTGGCTGAAATTATATATTCTCTACCAAATTACCAGACTAAAAAATATCTGACTATCGGGCTTAACAATTTCACATTTATTTTCTCAAAAGAGTTTTGGCTTTTATTACACATAATACTGAAATTTCCCATCATGTTTGGGGGTGAATCCCTACTTTGCTATTCCTGTGGCTTCCTTGGGCAAGTTTTTAATTTCCCCGTGCTTTAACCCTCCTTTTCGCAAAACACAAGATATGCAAGAGTATATACTCTCACAAGATCATAGGGAGAATTAGATAATGCCTGCAAATCTCTCTCTCTCTCTCACACACACACACACACACACACACACACACGAAACTGTCTTTTAGTTAAACCTGTCTACTCAATTTCCCCAGAAATAGAAATACCATTTCCAGGTCAGGAAAGCCATGAGGGTATTTCTATTTAAAAAACATTTAAACCTTATGTCAAAAACAGGGGGCAAAGTGGAGAAATTCCCTACCTTCTTACCAACATCCACAACACTGGCTATGTACACAAGATAGCAAGAAGGGGAGATGACATGGTTTCAGAGATCTAATTTAGCTTGGTAATTGTGCCTAGAGATGATCTTCTATTTAGATCTAGTTCTGAACTTGGACATTTATTACCAGATATCATTCAATATTGTTTAGATGAAAGGACTCCAAATAGAAACTTAAGAAAACTTAGCTGTTAAGCTGACAGTTGAGTGCTTTATATAAGGTGACAGTTTAAGAGTAATTCAGGAAGCACACTACGATATGGTATTTTACCACATGGAATGAGGGATGTAATGTTCTGGCAAGAAGTGTGCAACTAATTTAGGAGCTCTCTATTTAAAACGAAAAAAAGGTTAAATTAAAAATTCTGAGGTTGCAGTGATAATGGCTTTGGAATTTAAAATACCAAGCACTCATATATAAAAGGTAGGTGAATATAAAGAGTGTAAAAAATTAACAAATCAAAGGTAACAGAAAACTGTAATTAGTTTAAAAATGAACATTAGATCAGAGTTTAAAAATCTCTAGTTTATTTCTAACAAACACCACTTGATGCTTGACTCACAGGCTTTATTTACATTTGTCTACAGTATCATTTCCTTATGAAATGAACTAGTACAGCTTAGTTAAACCAAATGAAATCATAATCATCAGAATTGTCTGTAAACTACTATTAGCTAAATTATAACCTTGCATTTGCTTAGTACAGCCAAAGTTTTAAATACAGAAAGCACAAGAATAAACCAATGGTAACATGTAGAATCTAGATCGTCGGGGCAATTTAGAAGGTAGACTTTCAAAAAGTCTGAGGCACAATTACAAGTGAGTAAAAGTTCTTGTGCAACCTACATAAACGCAGCAAAGAAACTTAAGACATAAAAACATGGGAAAGCTCACTGTAAAAATATTATCAAAATATTTCTACATAAGATATCTTGCTTTCATTTTTAGATCAGCTGAAGAGAAAAACATTCACTTTAAAGTAAAAACATATATTTTTGTTTGGTTTGTCTATGAAATATCTTAAAATGTCGTAATTTTTATTTAAATTGCAGCAGACAATGTTACGGAAAAAAAACAAGAAATCAATATCCCATAACAAAAAGCCCCCAAGCACAACTGTTGATTTCCTTTGATATACTTACCTTGCATTGTCACTGGAAATACTGTTAAGAGAAACCTTTTTATTTTTTAAACCAGAAAACAAACTAAAGCTCATGTGACCAGATTTTAATTTTGAGAAATAAACTCCAAAAGCATTTTAAGCCATAACTTATTTCAAATGAATAGGAAAAATAATGACTTTTGCTTACATCATGCAGCAATAAGCATTCATTTGTTATTCAGAAGAAAATTGTATGCAGTGTGTTTATAGTTAACATCTTGAGGCAAATGTTCACTTAAATTCACAATGTCTCCATTGGCCTTTCACCAAAAGAGAAATATACTTTAAAAGCTTACTTCAATTTGCTCATTAAGTATGATTTAGCCTTTTCTACCATATTATATTTGGTAACTACATTTGGAAGAATATCACACAAAGCTTCTTAAAACATTGGTAAACATTTTGAGATGTCTTTATCAAGCAACCGTATCAGCAGAGAAAAGATAAACTCTTAAGACTTTCTTTTTTGCCCCAAATTATGTGTCAGAAAGGAAAATATATCCCACTTCTCTCCTTGTAGACATCACAAGATTCTTTTGCATTAAATGTGGAGCAAAAAAGTAAAGCTGGATAAAAGAGACACAATGATTCTAAGGCACCCTTAGCATAGGGAATTTCAAAATAGACATTTACAGTTGGCTGCTTACAACATAGTTTAACTTTTTTTGGTGAGAATCACTCTGACATCTGTTAACAGCATAAAAAGGCTGACTTTCTTTTCCATAAGTATGTTGTTTCCAACTAGTTTCCAGTCTTTCTTCCATGCCCAAAGTTCAGGCAAGCCTAGGTAATCCTGTCTTAGCCAATGGACAGGATGTATTTGGAAATGACAAAAATGGGTTTAAATTAGGAAGCAAAGTACTTTGTTATAGCTGAAATGGTTTTAAATGAAGCAAATGGTTGTAAATAATGAATGACAGAACATCTATTTTGGGACATTATGGCTTAAAATGCTATTTACTTTTAACTTCACAAATAAACACAGCTGTATTGTTTTGAAAAGCAATGAAAGGCATGCACCTCTACTAGCAGATTTAGCACTTCTGACCAAGTAAGACACCAACTTCTTTAAAAATATGCTTCATGCACTGTACTGGATTTTTTTAAGATGTAAATTTTAATACATTATTTCTTTTTTGAACTTGAACGGGAACCAGAATGGGATGATCCAGATGATGACCTGTGGCGTCTGTAAGACATAATGGAGAGAGTAGGCATTCTAGTAAGCTAGAGCTAAATCTCAGCATTCATTCTTAAGACTGTGAAAGTATACAAAATTCAGTACCATGATGCTAGCAAAAAAATTAAAAATTGAGATAGGAACTTACACACATAAAATTATCTGATGTTTAGACTTTGGATATGAGCCCAGTTATCATATAAATACAATAAAAAATTCTCTACAATTTCAAAAGAATCTCATTTCAAAATATAGCCACCTCTCAATTATTTAAGATATCAAAGAAAAGCCTTGCAAAAATGTGTAAAATTACAGAAAATGTACAACAAAAGCATATAAACTTGGTAATGGAAGTGTGACTAAACCAATCCCTGTGACACGGTGTAGAAAGTGTAAGAAGTCTATTATGTAAAAAAGATACAGCAAGGCTTCTGTGTATGAGAAAATATACTCATAAATAAGTTTTGGAAATCTAGGTCACACAAGATGATTGTACAATTTGCTATAGGGTTATATTCATGCAGCTAGTATGAATAAGTCAATATCAACCTGGGTAAAGTAGTGGTGTTCCGTAGGGGTTGGCCCTGGGCTCAGGGTTGTTTAGTGTTTTCACCAATCACCTGGCTTATGGAATAGAGAACATGTTCATTAAGTTTAGATGACAACAAACTAGGGGGATTATATGTGGCTAAGATAAAAATTTGCAGAAGTGGTAAGAAAGCAACAGAATGAATTCCACTCAAAAACAGAGTAATTTTTTTTACAAAGAAACAAATGCAGAGAAACAAGACTGTGTGAAATCTTAACATCTAAACTCCAAAATGTGAAGAAGCAAAACTAATCATTCTGTACAAGTAGGAATCATGAGATAATCCTACCACTGAACCCAGCAATTAATAGACTTTACATAATCTTTATTTTCACAAGCTAATAAAATATGAAAAATTTGCAAAGACTACAAATAAAGCCATTAAAATGACTATATAATTGGGAACAAAGAGAAAATTAATGAAACTGAGTAATTAGCCTGTTGCAGAAAAGGCTGACAGATGACAGTTGCATTCTTCCAATATTAAAAGTGTCAGTACAGATAAAGTAACCTAATATAGGCCTTTCTCAAAAAAGATTTGGACTGCAAAATGAAAAATGTATTAGCTACAAGGAATAATTTCCTTATAGACAAAGGGCATGAAGCAATTTGCTGTGGAAATGCATTTACACATATTTAAATGAGGACAGATTCCCAATGATCTGAAAGTTAATTTTTTATTAGATGCTCTAGAATTCTTGACTATTAGTATTTAAAGAAGCCTAAGTATAAAAGTCAACTCATAAATTACTTCGACATACAGCTTCTGAATTGCAATCTCAAAAGACAGAAATAACCGAGAGTTGGCTATAAAAATTATAAATGGAACTAAAAATTTAAACAATAAAATGATCAAAGAATGGTTTGATCTACAATTCTAAACAACCTGATCAAAGTACAAAGGATAAGCAAAGTAATGTTTTTTTGAAGTTCAAAGTTGAAAAGTAGAAAGTCGGAACACAAGAGATAATAAAAATCTAACCCTTGACTAGGAAAGTTTACTTTATCTATTAAACACACTTAAGAACACCCATTCTTATTTCTACAGAAACCCAAACCTTTCGGGTGACCGTGATCTTGTTCGTCTTTTTTTGCGATCACCAGATGAAGAAGATCTAGAACGACTTCTCTTTCTGTTCCTCTCAGGAGAAGATGATGAACTTGAATAAGATCTTTTTCGTGGGGAAGAAGAGCCCCTGTGGGACCTGGAGCTGGATCTTCATTGATTGAGAAACAAATCAAACATTTCATTAAAAGAAGAAATAAGGAAGATTATTTAGTTATCAGATAGCTCCAAAAATAAACAGGATTTATAACAACTATGAAAATTTTATAAGGAAGAATACTTACTGCTTATTCAACAGAAGACTTCTGGATCAACCATGAAAACATTCTACTTAAACATTTTAATTTTGTCTCTTTAAAATTCTATCATGTGTAATTAAAACCCTGCTTACTATATCAAAATAGAATTTAAACTTTTTTTAAGGCTTTTCAAAGTATACACAAATATTATAGTATTATAAAATCAGCAGATAACTGCATTAACAGGACTTTACGTTTAGGAACTACATCCTTCCATTTGAGGATTAAAATATGTATCTTATATACCACTTCCTGAGGAAAATAAACATAATTCCATGTGGAATTATTCAACTCATTAAACTGTTATGGAAAAACCAGGTATATGGCACAGCAACAAAAGACTAGTAACTGTACTTAACTGCTAAATATTCAAGAAGAAATAAAAACTAACTTTAAGATGATTTATATTTACAATACTATTTTTATGAAAACCCACTACTTATGAAATATGAAGTGTTGACATTCACATGCTTCAGGTAGAAGTAAATGTGCAAATGTTTAAATACAAATTTTTTTTCTTCACTTGTATATTTTGGTTGAAGGAATTTAGCTCAAACTTCCCAAAAAATTCACCTTTGGGCTTAAAATAAAACCAGAAAGCCCAAAAGGAGAATTCTTTGGAAAGTTACAAGCAATGAAAAAATGTTTGGGAAGAATATGATGGGTGTTCTGTAAACCTTAATTATAATGGTTCCCAAAGGGAATACCAGAACTTAAGGATTTTTACCTATAAAGCGCTTAAATATTGTTACTAAATAATGGTAACAATAAAAAATAATTTGCTCTCTACTTCTATTTTTTTTTTTTTTTTTGAGACAGGATCTTGCTCTGTTCCCCAGGCTGTGGTGCAGTAGCATAAGCATGGCTCACTGCACCCTTAATCTCCAGGGCTCCAGTGATCCTTCCACCTCAGCCTATAAGAACACACCACCATGCCTGGCTGGTTGTTTTAATTTTTATTTTTAGTAGACGAGGTCTCACTATATTGCCCAGGCTGGTCTTGAACTCCTGGGCTCAAGCAGCCCGCCCACCTTGGCCTCCCAAGGTATTGGGATTACAGGCGTGAGCCACTGAGCCTGGCCTTGTTATCTATTTCTTATTGGCTTATAATGCAAGTGTGCACAACATTCTTTTCTCCTTAACATGATTATACTGTGGCAGCCCTTTAATGCTAAATTTGATTCAAAGCAGCAAATACTTTTACCAAAACAGCCACAGTTAGACTTCAATATGAATTTCCACAAATATGGAATTTCATTTTCTTATTTATTTTTTAGATGCCTTTAGGTCATAATAAATTAACTTAAAAACAAAGAGAGCATATTTTGACTAAACAAAGAAAAATTTCCTGCAAGAGCATCTTTCAAATTATGTTTCCCTCTACAGATGTGACTACATGCAACCTGAAACTTTAGAACACTGTTTACTACTTAAGACCACATCCTATCTCAACTAACCGACTATACTTCCTGATTTAGTTTTGAGTGTTTTGTGCTCTATAAATAATAGCGTGTGTAAAATTAGAAAGGAAAATGTATATACAGTACTCTAGTAACTTTATCTGATATAAATGGCAAATTTGTTTCTGAAAATATTGAAACAACTGCCGTGCAAAACAGGACCTGTTTTGAGGCAGGGTTATTTTTCTTCCTTTTAATAATGAAGAAAATTTTTCTTTTTATTTACATATGTAATTTTATTTGAACTACTATTAATTTTTTTTTTTTTTGAGACACTCCTCTGTCACCCAGGCTGGATTACAGTGCTGTGATCAAGGTTCACTACAACCTTGAACTCCTGGCCTCAAGTGATCCTCCCACCTCAGCTTCCCAAAGTGCTGGGATTATAGGCATGAATCACTGTGCCTGGCCATATATAATCTTAATATACTAGAGATGTGGCGATAAGACTTGGCTTCATCTTCCTACTTCATAACATCTTAGTGCCAAAATAATAAACGCTGCATATTGCAAAATAGCCACCTGATTTCAATCATGGGAATGTCTTGGCACACTGCTGGCAATGGAAACATTTCATGGTGAGAAAATTAAGCTGAGGCAAGTGCATTAGTTTTCTAATGCTAAAATAAAATCGACAAGTAGAAGCAAAATAAGGGGAAAAAAAGCAGCAACACCTTCTGCAGCCTTTAAATATTTTTCTCTCTGCTTTACAGAGAGATGCTACCTCATTCACCTTGATTTCGACCCACGAGATCTCGAACGTTCTCTGGAACTGGAACGAGATCTTGACTGCGAACTGGAAGAACTTCTTGAACGGGACCTGGAACAACATGGAACGATTTTTTTTTTCCAGGACCATTTAATTGAGCTTTGTGATATGAACACTGAAAGAAAGATATGTATTAGAGTTCATTTTCATATAAAAAGATAACTATACAAGATATATACTTTCAAAACATAGTATTTTAAATTAGATAAGATTTAGTAACAAAAGGTAATTAAAAAAATATCACTTTCCAGGTGATTAAATTACCCTAAAGCCACTCAACTATAAAACAAAACATTATCACTTTATTACAAAAACAATGAATACTTTGTTTACAAGTAACTAGAAGCTACCCAGAATACATCCAAGAAAACAGAATGTTGCGATTTATACTTAATTTCTCTAAAATGTCTCCATCATTTTCCTTTATAAATCCCCTTCTATTTTTGTTTCTAGTTAGTACAAAGTTTTGAATGTTGGCATGTGTGTATTTCATCCCTATATTTTTCTGTTTACTCAATGCTTAGAGAATTAAAGGGAAAATGTATAATTCTGTCATTGTTAGGTAATTATATTATTGGAAAATATGACACAAGGGAGACATGGTTCGTACAAATTTTAAAACTCACAAAATTCATTAATCTAATTTACAACTATAATTTGTCCCTTATAATAATACCCTGTAGAAAAAGATCACTATATTTTTACCAAAAAATTACTAGTTATAGCCCCACTTTGTTAAGCTTTCAGGCTTTGTAGTGCTCAATTAACATATATCTAATTGTTATACACTAATATCTAGTATTTTATTCCTAAATATGATTAAAATTCATTGCCCATGCCATCACTTAACTGTGATTAAGGTTTTTCAAGAGGACACTGTTAAATTTAAATCACTGCTTTCACTCACCTAAAATTTTATTTTTATTGTTAACTATAAAATCAGAGATTACATATTTTACATCAACAAACAATATTCAAGTACACCAAAAGAGTTTTAGTTTACGCCTGGACTTCTCAAAATTATGAGCATGAAGTCAACAGAACTAATATGGCTGAATTTGCTCCGTTATTCACAATACTGATATCAAAGCAAACTATTAAAAACATTATGTAATAAGCAATGATTTAATGCCTAGAAAATTTCTGTGCTAGCCTTTAACATCTTGAATGAAAATACAGATCTCCCCTTTACTTAATTTCTATATGTAAGCTATCTCTTTAGATTAATTAAATATAAGTGTATATAAAAATTTAATTCAGTTTTTAAGTCTATTTTAGTCAAAAGCATGAGGCTAAAATAGGTTAAGGAAGTTTCATGCTAAGACTTTACTTTTCTAAAAATACTGGACAACAACTGTATGGTACTAAGCTGAAAAATTATTTTAAAAGTTGATTTGAATTAAATTTTTAAAATAAAAAGGAAAGTTTATTTCGTCAAGAAAAACAAAATTTATAAATAAAAAAGTTAGATACTGACATTTTGACTGGTGTTACCCTTGACCTGTACCCGTTTACCTGGACCTAGACCTTGAACTTGAGGGGGAGGATGAGCGTGATGAAGATCGTGAATGTGAAGATCGAGACTTTGAGCGACTTCGTCTATTAGATTTCTTTTTATTACTATCTTCTTCTTCACTGGCATCAAGATTATATTTTGAGAGATCAGCGTCATCTTCATCCTCATCCTAACAAAAATTCAATTATAATTAGACATTTAGATATTAGTGTTACCTACCAGGAAAGATAAAACAGTTAGGTGTACTGAGCACCTCCATATGCATATATCACAGGTATCTCAGCAAATTAATTCTGAATTCTAAAATTCACCTACTAAACTCATCTCAAATAGAGACTTGACAACTTTGTCTCAGGTATTGCACAGACATAAACCTGGAGGCCATACACACTTTTTCTGTCACACTTATGCATCACCCAAGAATTTTCAAGTCCACCTCCTTAAAAGTCCTTGAAATCACCATTTTTAGTCTTAGACACTCTGTTCCTTATTCTCTAGCATATTATAGTAACCTCTTAGCTGGTCTCCTCAAATCTGAAGATCCATTCTGCCTCTCTAGTATCTCAATATACTGACAGTCATCACTCTGAAACACAGGACAGATAAACACATCTCACTTTTTTCTTAAAAACTTCAAAACTGGCTTATTATTTCTTTAGTTGCATTCCAAGACCTCTTATGATCAGGCTCTAAGGTACCCTTAACATGGCATAAAACTTACACTCTGGCCTGACAGAACAAGTATCACCAGACCTGAAATGTGTGCTGTCCCCCTCATCTCATTCTCCCCTCTGCTCTAACTATACTGGCCTATGTATGGTATTTTTGAAGGCTGCTGGCTTATCTCCTATTTAGGGAACCCGTATTTGCTGTTCTCTGCCTAAATGTGCTCTCACCTCGGCTCTTATTGCTGGCTCCTTCCTATCATTCAAGTTTCAGCTCAAACTTCACCTCCTTAGACATTATCCATCGGCAAAACCAAAGTTGCTTTTAAACTGTTATCACATCATGTGTCTTCATAACGTTACTGCTATCAAAATTACCTATTTATATATTTCCTCCTCTAGAACTGTGTAAGAGAAAACTGGTTCTGTTTCGGTCACCACTGTATCTCCAGAACAGTAGTGTTCCAAGTACAAATAGTACTTGGCAGAGTGGAAATCCAAAACCTTTGTGAGAACAAATGAAAACACAGAATATATTTTCACCAAGTGTCTGAGGCTGTCAAAAGCATTCATGTTATGGTATAACTCCAATAAGACAAAAGGGAAATAGGACAAGAAAATTGTTCACCTCATCTAACTTATATTTAGAAAGATCTTCATCCTCATCCTCTTCTTCTCCCTCTGATTCTTTATCTTCAACTTCCTTTAATATAGATGCAGGACCAACTGCTTTCCCTCTGTATTTTTTCTTTTTACGTCCAAACTAGAGAAAAACAATTTCAAAATGCTTGTCAGCTGATAATGCATTAAACTTAATACATTTTCTAAAAAATTATTTTAGATATTTATGATTTCCTGAAAATGATCAGTTGCTGAAGACTCAAATTGCACTTAAAAAAAAGTTTGTTTTCCTTTGCATTTAAGAATTTTTTCTGTTTTTCTAATTTATATTCAACCTGAACACCAAAATATAGCTTACCTCATCATATTCACCATCAGATTCTTCTCTTTCTATATATTCAACATTTTCTCTTTCATTAAAACCACCACCATATCCTTAAAAAAGAGGGCACAAATTGTTACCCTATGACAATTGATTTAAATAATAAACACATCATGCCCAAATCTCCAGACAACAAAAAACATCTAATCAACAATGGCTGCCTACCCATCTAATAAATTACTAGTCTTTAGAAAGCATATTAGAAATCACCACAGAAAATACAGAGAACTTAGTTGTAACGTCATATGGCTGTACTTCTAGCTCTTTTCAATTCCAAATTGCCCTACATGACTTATTTAATTCATAGAAAGTATTGGTGGAAAACATCTCAAACTTCTGCTATAACCAAGTTTTAAAGGACTTTCCTCTACAGTTAATCGTAATTCTTCTGGGAAGGGTGGGCTCAGTAACAACCAAGCATTAAATTCCACTGTTTACCAACTGCAAATAGTCTGAAATCTTCTGATATTCTGAAATTTTGCTACTTTAAAATGTAGCAGGCCTTATTAGAGCTTGGAAAATTCCTAATTACACAGACAAACACAATAACACAATAAAGGCCATCCTTTGGCCCTGGTTTAATTGGTTTTAACACATAGGTAAAAGTCACACAGGTTCTCTGAAGTAGCCAGTAAATTTTGAAATTAAATGATTCTATTAAAAAGTAGTTGAGATTAGCAAACCACTATTCTCTCATGTCACAACCAATGTATACAATTCAATTGGCAGGTCTCTGACATAAGCTTAAAGGAGAGACTGGAATTAAAGAAAATGAGCTAGTTTTAGGAAAAGTGAGTTGACATATTTTGAAAAAGTCTCCCATTGAAAATTAAAGAGGTATGTGTTGATCAAGAGTAATACAATCTAACTGGTCACATACTCCAGAGCAGTATCAGTACAATAAGGCCGGTGATTTCCAGACTTAGGGACTTCATTCATCAGCAAAATATTAAATAGATTTATAATAAAAATATTTTATAAAAATTAGGACTTGTAACTTAAAATTTGCCTATCATATTTAAAAAAATATTTTTAAAATTTCACTTTCTGAAAAAAACCCACACTAATATAGCATCTTTTCTTCATTATACTTTGTACTAGTGAAAACTTCAAAATACTTGGAAGTTAATAAAAATATTTTTAAACATACGTGGGATCTAAATTGGAAATAATTTACATAGGAAAAAACTGAAAAGTAATATGACAAATATGGAAAGCTCAAAAATATAGTAAAATTAGAAAGTGAACTATAACTCTAGTAGTTAATTTTTCAAAAGTATGTAAATAAAATTATTTTAAGAGGCAGCAAAATAGTCTGCTGACAACAAAGACATTGGTATGTTCTATGAACCCATACAATATAAATCTAGCTCATTAACTCTGTATAAATGGAAAATACACTAGCTCCCTATCGTGAAAAAACTGAAGCATACCATTTTCACTGAATACCTGAGATAGTGGAATCAATGGAATGATATGTATGTTTCCGTCATTCTACTAATTTCAAGCACTTCAGATAATGCTGTATAAATTGGTTTTATTTCCACTCTTGCCGCCACCTCTCCTAATTACTTCTCCACAAACAGAAAGAAGAGTGTTTAATCCATTACTCAGGTAACTCATCTTTCACTTCTTAGCTTAAGCATAGCTTTCCTAAAG
The DNA here is from genome assembly GCF_000001405.40 of Homo sapiens. Taxonomy (NCBI): domain Eukaryota; kingdom Metazoa; phylum Chordata; class Mammalia; order Primates; family Hominidae; genus Homo; species Homo sapiens. Next base: position 71,074,155 of record NC_000001.11, read on the forward strand.
AGGACTTCATTAATCTTTGGTGCTGTAAGACTCTTTTGCTCACCTAGGTATCCCCAGCACCTTGCACAGTGGCCTATAAATGTCTTCAAGGAATGAATACAGAAAACACAATTCTGGAATCATCTAATGAATTTGAATTTCTATGGAAAGCTTTAGAAAGCAACCAAGAATTTCCGTAGATTTTAGTAAGTCTTACAATGAATATATTTTCAAATTTGTCTCACAGTATAATGTAAAAAGCTGAGCAAGGGCCAAGAAAGAATCAAACACAGGTTTAAAATGAATGTTTGGATCAAGATTGTGACAATGGAAAAAAAGCGGGAAAGGGGGATGAATATAACATGTACTTCAAAGGAAGAACTAAGGCACTAACAGGAAAACTCTGTGATTCTACACCCTGAACAATTAATTCAACTCCTGAGAACATATTCTAAGGAAAGAATCCAAAAGAATAAAAATCACAATGTACTAAGTTTGTTTTTATGCCATTATCTTTAATGGTTTTTTTTTTAAAAAAAAGCTGACAAAAACAAAAATAATCCTAAATCCTGAAACAGAGAAGTAAATTACTGAACAATTTGATGGAATTATGCAGGATAAGCCAGCAGCAATCTTTCAGAGGTAGTGAATCACATTCTCTTTTATTCATATCCTGTCTCATGCTTAGGAAATGCTCCCCAAACCCTGCACTGCTTTATTACAAATAGCCAAAAGAAAGCGGAAAGCAACAGAGTAAGTTATTTCACACCTTCAACTGTTACCAGCAAAGACAAATACTTGTAGCAAGGGAAGTGAGAAAGGTTCAAGACACCAGAATGACTGAAAAATGACAATAAGAAAAGTGAGAAGTTATCAAATAAAATTTGCTTACTTCTCTGTTAAACTATAGTTCTTGTGATAATGAAACTATAAAGGAGTCAGGAAATAGGTCAAAGTTTTTTTAAGTTTTGAAACTGTTAAAAAGATTTTAGACTTTATCCTAAAAGCAATCAAAATGGGTTTTTTAAAAAAGGATTTTAAATTTGGAAATAAAAACATGTAGAAACCAGCTAGGTGGCTATTTTTCCACAAAACATAGTAATTCTTTGCCTAGGGTGGTAATGGAAAAGAATTTTTGGGGTATGGGAGATATCAAGAAAGGGCTATTTAGGCTAAGAAGGACATCTAGATTTCCAGCTTATGTAATAAATGTATGGTGAGTGGTACTAATCATGAGAAAGAGATCATTGGAAGAGGGTCAGGTCCCAGGGGTAAAATCACAAATTCAGTTTGAATATAATGAGTTTGACATTTGCATGGCAATGTTGAATAGGCAGCTGGATATATGGGTCAAAGAAGTCTGAGCTGGAGACATAAACTTGGGTTATCATGGCAAAGTTACTTAAACTTTGGGCTTAGAAGAAAACACCATGAAAATAGAGGAAAGAAAGAGGGCCAGGGATGGCTGCGAAGAATCCCAACATCAGTGGCCAAAAGAAGAGAAACCTGCAAAGGAGACAGAATAAACAATCAATCAAACGGGGGTTGGTGGGGGCGGTGAAGGAGGTACGGTGCATACCTTAGGTGAGGGAAGAAAAAAACGAGATCCTTGTCAGAAGGCCTTAACTTACCCAATCGGTGGAAAGGCAAAATCACTTCCTAAGAATAAGGCAGGATTTGAGGGTTGAAAGTGGCGGTTGGGCTGGGGAAGGGGGGATCAAGGACATTATGTTATAATGTTCTCACATATGAGAATGTAAGTTTTAAAAAAGGGGTGGGGGGGGATAAAAGTAGAATTTCTGTTGAAGTCTGGAAGAGCTAGGTCGAAAAGATTGAACAGTGGCCCTCTGATCCCTAGAAACTAAACAGACAATGAAAACGGCCTAAAGTTAGAGAGGCAAAGAAAACAGGGAAGCAGTTCACCAAGCCTAAGTCTGACAGGGTGACTAGATATAGAAGGAATCCTTTGATCATGTGACATATAAGCAGTTGAAAGACAAAATCAGATTTTAAGTAAACAGATAATGTGGTTGGGCTAATTGGTGATAATGGAAAAACTATATGCTATTAGGTAAACATTTTCATTTCACCAGTAACATACAAAGCCAATGATCAACTATTATTTAGGCCAATGATTATCAAACACCATCCAAAAAACCTGCAGATGTTGGAAACCCACCGCCAAATAACTTTAACAGTTCTGCATTTTGCAATCGATATTTGAAAAAGTTTTTCAGATAATCTAGCACATAGCTTAAGTTTCAGAATTACTGCCAAAGCTTTAGAAGAACACTTTAAATGGTGTGGCTTTGCCCTTTAAGTCACAGCAGGCTATCAAAAGAATTTAAAAATGGTATCATTATATCATTACTAATAACAAACATGCAAACCAGTGAAAGGGAGAGGAGGAGAATATTTCTGAAAGTATTCTTATGTCCCTCCTTGTTAGGATAAAGGTCCCTAACACTGTTATTTTATAAATTGTGAAACAAAAGATTTGTATGTGTGTATGGGGGGAAAAAAATCCCAGTAACAAACATTCAGGGCAGAATAAACAGAATCCTCACTTACTGTGGCTCTTACTCGAAGGTGATACAATTATCGTTTCAATATTTAGTGCTTTAAAAAAAATCATTTAGTTACAATGTGGTTTTATCATACCTGTTCTTTCTTCTAATTTAGCATACTTTGGAGTATTACACATATTACACTCTGATCTTCTGGCCCAATTCACATTGCTGCAACTTTAGAAGTGAAAAATACTAAATTAGTAGGCTATAATATAGATGAATATCAAATTTTTAGATATTTTACAATTTTAAAATAAAAACTAGGATGAAACCACTGTCAAAGAAATGTTTATTAAGTGGTAATGTAAACAAAGAAAATGTACAGTGGCCTGAAGAGTAAATGTGGGTTCCAACAACGGACTGAACCATTTAAGCAGAGAAGCAAAATTTATATAGTATGAAAAGTGCCTCTGTCATTTTGAGAAGTAAATGACAAATTATAACCACAGGTCGAGTATCACTAATCCACAAATCCAAAATCCAAAAACGTTCCAAAATCTAAAACTTTTTGAGAGAGGACATGACACTCAACAGAAACGCTCACAGGAGCATTTCAGATTTTCAGATTAGGGATGCTGAACCCACAAACATTTCAGGTAAGTGATACTGAACCTGTATAGAAATTCTGATGTCTTATGAAAAAATATAACTTTAAATTAACAGCTCCACTAATTTCTCAGTCTCTGAATATACCTTAAAGAGTATGGTTATACCCTATAAATAATATTAATTTATTTTTTTGAGGTCTCAGTTCAAGCACTGAATTCCAAAGCATACCAAATCCAGTGACCAAATCTGTAGCTGGAAACTTTTCCAATACAAATTTATAATCCTGAGGATCAGAAATTTATTTAAGACTCTAGGGTCAGGAATAGTGGCCCATGCCTCGCCTGTAATCCCAGCACTTTGGGAGGCCAAGGCAGGCAGAATGCTTGAGCTCAGGTGTTCGAGGCCATCCTGGGCAACATGGTAAAACCCTGTCTCTACCAAAAATATAAAAAAATGAGCCAGGCATGGTGGCATGGGCCTGTGGTCCCAGTTACTAAGGAGGCTGAAGTGAGAGGATTGCTTGAGCCTGGGAGGTAGAGGTTACAGTGAACTGAGATCGCCCCACTGCACTCCAGCCTGGGTGACTGAGTGGGACCTCATCTCAAAAACAAAAAATACAAACAAACAAAAAGAGAAATTTATTTAATACTTTTTTGATTTAGACCTCTTTCATACACATAGGATTCATCTGCATAGAGAAAAGATGGAAGTTGGAAAAATCAATGAAGAATTAAATCTAAGCCTGAAAATAAAAATCATTAAGAAACCTACCTATAATTAGACTTAATTACTTACGGCACACAACTTATGAATCTAACATTATTTTGTAAACAGGCAAAATGAGTTTTGTGGTGTATTTCACACTAACTATACAGTCTAAAAATTGGGATTTTTCAATAAAGGAAGTAATAGGCCTTAGTACTTTTAAGTACCACCACCCCCCGATTGGTTTTGAGCTTACCATAAGCATTTGTTTACTGGTATACATAATCCATCATAGTGACAACTATTACCATTAAAAAATGCAAAGAATAATTTAAAACTTCTTTATACTATACTTAAAGATGAGACTGAATAACAATACCTTGGATTTAAAAGGTTACCCTGGCTTGTCAATGTCACTAATAAGAGCTGTAATATAAACAAGTAGTGGCCAGATCTATTATTTTGGAAGAAAGAGCAGACAATAATTTAAAAAACATACGTTTTACATTGCCAGTCATTAGCACTAAATAGGCCTCGGCTCTTTTCTGCAAGTGTCTTTCCTATTTCAGTGCCCCCAGCTTTCATCATCTTGGCCTCAGTTGTTTTCTCTGAAAACAGAAAAATCATGCAATATGAACCTGGAGAAATAAATAAATGATACATATACAGTATAAATAGAATCTTCTTTAAATACTTACCCCGACCACATCGATTACAGCTGGTTCTTCTAGCAAAGTTTACATTTCCACATCTAAAAACAGATTAAAAAGCATTTATAAAAATTTAAATTTGTAAAATTTTACATTTTAACTTGTCCTCACTACATATCTGGAATTCATAACTTCTAATCCATCTTAGTCATGTTAATGTCAATGTTACCAACAAAAAACTCCACACAATTTACTGGGGGAAAAATACTTGATTGGAGCCACAAATTCAGAATAAGATATCCCAATCCTCCATTTACCAGTCATGTGATCTTGATTAAGTTACTTAGGATCTCTGCCTCAAGTCCTCACATTAGCACATATCATTAGTTATAATCCCTTTACAAAGTTGAAAGTGAGAGTTAACTCCACTTCACTAATTACTTACAAGCTACCAGGGAGTTTTAAACCCTAGCGGTGGACCAATGAGGAAAAAAACTTATAAATCAAGGAGGGCTTCATGGATCTTAATGAAATTATCTTTTTACATGCAGTAGGTAGGATGCTAAGGAACCAAATATGATAGGTTGTACTGACTAAAAATACAAAAAGATTCAATAATTGTAAGAAAACTGAGTTTTACAGGGCATTTCTCAAACCTCTGAGACTTCGCTGAAAAAAATGACACAACCACCAAAACCAATAATCTCAACACATGTAGTACAGTAAGACTTTATGCTTATACTCAACAAACTCAAACCTAAAGAATTACTGGTTCACTCACATGACCTTAGAAGTGTACGTGTATATTGGTAAAAGTATGTTAAATGCTCTGGATAACATGGAATGCTTAAACTTTAAAAAGCTGATTTTTAAGGCATTATACTAGAATACAATACAGATGTGAAGTATGGGATGACACTAAAGTGAAACACTCTAAATAATATTTAGGTTAAGTTTTTCCCCTAAAAATATTCCTTTTAACTCCATTAAGCATGGAAAATATACTCTGAAAATTTATCCTGCATTTAAACATATTGTACAAACAACATTCTATTCATATATTTGTAAATGAGTTGAAATGAACTCTCATTGAGAGTCCTACCTCTGGGTGTGCTGTCATTAAAGACACTGACAAAAGCACATTATTTTACAGGTAACAACAAAGTCAGAAGTTGTTGTTCTAAATCTTTTGAACGTTTTCAATAATGTCTTACCACTCAGAGCAATACTATCCATAACATATAACTTTGGTTCTATTCAGTATCATTTGTTAGGCTTGAACTACTCCTTCAGGTCATCTTAATATCAAATTACTATCAATAGCCACCAATTAGAATTTGCTACACGTCACTGTTTACACACCCTATCCATGTTATTTCATGTTTTCATTAAAAAAAAAATTCTATTCCTTTTTTAGCAGTTAAATAAGTAATAGAATTTTAACTAAACCCAGGTTTATTTCAAAGTTTTTGCTTTTTACAATCAAAACCTATTTGTGGCTAACTTAGGTACAACAAATAAAAGGCTTTTATGTGAACATGAGTTGTACATTAAATTATTTTCCATGTTATTTCCGAATAGATACACCTATTTGTGCACCCTTCAAAAAAAATCTGATTAACTATCTAGTCGAGTACTGGCTTTGGCAACAATGTCAAAAAGCAGAGCCACTAACACACGTGCTTCTCTGCTGCAGGCATCTTAAGGGCTGAGTAGGCAAAAACACAGGCCTCTTCCCTCCTTTTCGGCTCTAAGGAGGCGAAAAGCCCAATTCTTGTGGAGAAATGATCCACAAAGAAAATGTCAGAATTTCCCAAACCGAAGAGGGTAGAGCTTCCGGAAAAGGGGAAAATAGTATGGAGGAAAAGTTTGAGTAAAAATACAAAACAAGGTGAACTATAAGAGGCAAAAGGACGAGTGCGAGAAAGCAATATTTTCCGTGAACAAGAGTAAAGTTCTGCAGAGAAAAGTCACGTGGGGGAGATCCAACACCAAGCTGGCCTGACTGGAGAGGTTTCCTATCGCTAAAACCTGGCCGGGGCGGGGGAGGGGGGTGGGGGCAAAAAGGTAGGCCATCTCGCACTCTAAAAAGAGAGGCTACCTTGCGGAGGTAATGTCGAGGAAACGCTGAAGACATATCTAGAACAAAGGCTCCCGGAAAGACCTCTCTCGTGAGGAGATTGGGAGCCTTCTTCCCGCCAGGGAACTGGCGGTTCGCCGCCTCAACCCGTCTTAAGGCACAGAAAATCATAAAAAAGGAAAATGCCGGACGGACCTCGGAAAGCTTCCACTAACAAACTCCGTCCCAATTCAGGACCCTTCTTGAACTCACTTTTTGTCAGGGCAAATCCAGTCCCCGTCACTGACTCGGAAATTCTTGGTCGACATCTTGAACGCCACCAGCACAGCCACCCGCAGCTATGTCTTCACAGGAGGAAAACGGGCCGGGGACTTTCGGCAACTCGGGGCTGTCCCCACACTGCCTGACTCGCGCCTACTACTGTGTCAGGGTTTGATAATGAGGGAACTAGCCAGGAATTCAGCTTGTACGTTGTTGTCCAGACTAAGATGCCTGTGCTACTGTTTGTTAGATGGAAAAGTTAAAATACAAATATCTTTTCTAGAACTAAACTCACAGGCGCCATAAGGACAACCCAGGCAGGAGGCCTTCGTGGCACTAGAAGCCTCGGAGAGCCCCCTACAGGTGGGAGGACCCAAGAGTAAAGTACTTCCGCTTCCTTAGGTGGAGCTGGAAAGGTGGAGGCGGAAGTGACTGATCAATTCAGGGGCGTGGGGTTCGTTTAGGGTAAGAGGCGGCTCGGGCTCTTCAAGTGTTTAGAGAAATTATTTTAATAAGGCATAAAAATTCTGTTATTTCATACACATGGGATGTCGTTTGGAAACCTATTTTTATATATACATAAATAGGTGTAACAGATAAGTAAGCAACTTATACATGGGAACCAGCTGGTAATTTTAAAACTGAGACATTGTCAACACTGTTTAAATTACCAGTGTCTTTTCTGATACCATCCCATTACTTTCTTCCACAGATAACACTTTCCCATATTTGGGATTTATTCTTTTGCTTTTTAAAAATTTATGTACGTTGTTAGTCCAAACTGCACCATTTTTGTAAGCCCCCCTGCCATTTTGCAGACCTTAGTCAAAGTGAAACATTCCACGGGGTTCGGGCGTGAGAAACAGGCTGCCTCTTATACTCTGCTGGGAGAAAGTACCACATTCCACTGGAACAAGGGCCAGAGCCGCCTCGTCCTGGGAACACCTTATCAACATGTTCCCAGGAAGCAGGCCATGGCCCCCCAGACCACTCCCACCCAGGCCTATAAATCACCCCAGCCTGTAAGAAGCAACGGGCACTGGCATTAAGCTGGTCTCCCACCTCTGTAGGTCTTATGCTGGACATAAATCCTGTATTTGTTGTTAAGCCACCCTCTCTTTCTTTAATCCTTGCCTTCCCTTCAAAACCTAACATACATGTATGTTTAATTTTATGAGCTGTGTAAGCATAGTTGATTCTGTACTCTTTTTTTGTTCATTATGCTTCTAAATTAATCCTAGGTAGTTGCATGTAGAAGTGTATAGGTGTAATTCTTTTATTTGCACTGATGTATACTGATACTATTCCGTTTTGTGGTTTTGTGACAGTTTATTCCTTCTGTTTCTCAGGCTTGGTATTACAAACAACACCAGTATGAGCATTCTTATGCATAGATTCTGGTATATAAATGCATTAATTTTTTTTAGAATACAGCATATACAGTCATGCCTCACTTAATGATAGGGATATGTTCTGAGAAATGCCACTTTCGGCAATTGTGCTGTTGTGTGAACATCATAGAATGTGCTTACACAGGCCTAGCAGGTATAGCCTACTACACACCTAGGCTATATGGTATAGCCTATTGCTCCTAGACTACAAACCTGCATTTAGTACATCTTATTGTACTAAATACTGTAGGCAGTTGTAACGCAGTGGTATTTGTGTATCTAAATATAAAGGTACAGTAAAAATATGGTATTGTAATCTTATGGGACCACCTTTGTATATGTGGTTCATCATTGACTGAAATGTCTTTATGCAAGTATGATTATGTTTAGGAGAGAAATTGTTCAACTACTCTCTAGTTATGATTGTTGCTTTAAAATCTGTATTATAACATTTTGGTCATCTAGGAGTTAGCAGGTGTTGATTATATTTTCCCTTGCAAGTTGGTCACATTTTTCCAGTTCTTTTATACTGTGTAATTGTGGATTTTATCTAGGACATTTTGAACATTATGTTGCATAGACTGAGTCCTGTTAAAAGCCTTTAGGGAATGTTGATTTTTTTTTGTTTTAGAAGGCAATCGATCCAATTTGGTTCAGGTCAAAAGTTCGGTCTCATCTTCTATGAGTACTGGTTCCATGTCAGCTGGGTTTTCAAAGGCTTTGCTGTGTCCTATACCTACAATACTCAGGGATTATTTGGGGATGTTAGCAGTAGTTTAAATTGAAATTCAGTTTTGCTATGCTATTTTGTGTTTGTTCTGCACGTGTTCAGTTTAGGTGTGAACACAGAACTTGTATAGGTTCATACATAGAATTAGGGGATCCTCTTCTCTAGCTCTCTCCTCTTACATTCTTCTCCTTTTGTCTCGCAAGGTCCTCTCACCAGAAATATGAGGTTCCTCTTGGAGTTTTAGCAGCCTGGCATAGCAGCTGACTAGGGCAGATTCTGAGACAAAGCAGTGACAGAAAAGAGAGAGAAAAAATGTGGATTCCCTCTACACTCTTCAGACCACAAAGGCCTCCTTTTCTACTTCCTTTGTCCATAAAAACAGAGCTTCTGTTAGTATTGTAGATACCCAAGCCTAGGGCCTCACTCTTGGGCCAATGCCCAGAGAGAGAGAGAGAGAGAGAGAGAGAGAGAGAAATTAAAAAAAAGAAAGAAAAACCAGAAGAGGGGGAGCTAAGTATTCCCCCGACTAACTTTTGGCTCACAAAAGCCCCCTATCCCCATTCTGGCAAGACATACAGGTTTCTGTCGGTTTTTCCTGTCACCACAGTTTCACTAGGTGTTGGGCCTTAGGTCAAAAGCTGTGAGAAAAGAGGAAAAGCAAACATACAGAACATTTCTCCAGGTTTTCATTCTCCACTCCAATTTACCTGTTTTTGTTTTTGTTTTTCCAGAGTCTTCAGGCAGTTGCTTTTGGTATTTTGTCTTGAGTTTCTCACTGTAATCATTAGGAAAGATAGGTTATTGTGGGCTTTCTATGTCTTGGTTGGTACTGCAAGTCAGGGGAATGCAAATTAAAACCATATGATACCATTATGCATTCATCAAACTGACTAAAATGAAAAATCAGAGAATACTAAGTGTTGGAAAGCATGTAGAGCAACTGTAATTCTCATACATTGCAAAAAGTAATTGATACATCTACTTTGGAAAATGTCGGAATATATTAAATCTGAACATTTTCGTACACTATGACCCTGAAATTCCATTTTTAGGTATATTACCAACAGGAATGCACATAATGTTCACTGAAGATGTATATAGTAATGTTCAGAGCTGTACTATTCAAAATAGCCCAAACTGGAAGCTTCCCAATTGCTTATCAGTGGTAGCCTAGATAAATAAATTGTCATATGTTTACACAGTTGGAATGTGTAATACAGTAGCAAGAATAACAAATTACACTCAGATTATTGAACAGTATTTCACTCACAAATACAGTCTTGAATTGAAAAAAGCAAGACACAAAATGGCATATGCTATATGACTCCATTTACATGAAGTTCAAAAGCAGCCAAACTAATCTTGGATAGTGATCACCCTTGGGAGTAGAGAGGAGATAGTGACTTCATGGGGTCAATAGGAATAATAGATGCCAAAGCTGGTAGATGACATGCAGTTAATGCAACAACAGTTAATCAACTGTACTAACTGTAATTAGCAAAATTTTTCTGGGAGAATTATGTGTCAAGAGAAAAATCCTCTATAGTAAGTCTAGGATAATGAACAAAATGCGTGAATACATCTGATAATGACCAGAAGAGGTTATTTGAGTTCAAGGACTTTAGCTGATTTTTCAAAGAGAAATATTCCTACAAAAGAAATTCATTTCAGCTATCCTAATTTGAAAGAAAAATTCTACCCATTCTCTTTATTCTTATTATATGCTCACCAAACAGCCCTCTGATAATTTGTCTTCTCTCCTGAGCACACTTAACCTACTGTGGTGAAATTCCCAGAGTGAATTTATCCACACAAGTTGTTCATCTGGATTAAGCTCTCTTTATAGATTGAGAAATTGGCACTCTGAAATGCATATCAGTTGTTTATGGGTCCTCTTAATATGTTGGTCCCCAGGAGATTAGCTCTGGTGGAAATGGTAAAGTTGAGTTTCTGAACCTACAAAGCTAAGAATCTGGCTCTAAATATTGCATTAGGGCTCACTCTGCTTGCAAGTAACAAAAATAAAAATAAAATGACTTAAACAACAAAAAGGGGGAGCATATTATAAAGAGAAGGTGGTGTTTGATGGAATGCCAGAGCAGGAATGCAGTTTCAGAAATATCCTAAAAGAAACTATCCTCTATTCAAGCAGCACCCTTTCTCTGTCTCTTTGCTGAATTTGTTCTGCATATGCGTTATTCTTTCCTCAGACTAGCTTTTCTGTTACCTAGTTCAGAAGACTGAAAAAAAAAAAAAAAGCAATACTGCCCTTAGACCTGGGCAACCAGGGCTCCTAGCCTGGTCCTGCACCTGGCCTTCCTTGAGGTGCCCTAATTCCCCTCGAGTGTCTTGGACCATTCAGCAGGATGGAGCCAAAATGTAGTACTATGTGGGTCCTGGACAGTGGAAGTCCTGAGATGTTCTATTGCTTTTGGTGGTGGGGACCAGCCAGGTCAGCAGGACCTGTTGGGTGGGACAGTCCTAAGCCTAAAGAAAATGTTATTGGCTTCTTTGTTTCTTCCCTTCAGGCCCTCCTGACCATATTGCCCTCTTAACATGCTCAGGGTCCACCAGTGCAGCAGGATCTCTGGTACTAGCACCTGTAGGGTGGCTTAGGGCCAGATGGCCCTGCCAGTTCCTGGAGAGCAACTTGGAGGGCCAAAGCTCCCACTGGCTGGGGCATTATTTCTTTCATGGCATTATTTCTTTCATCGCACAAGTTTGGGCCACCAGAATGATGCTTTTTCAGTGGTTTGAGGGTGATTTTCACTAATATCAGACACAGGATGAGTTCAGTGCTCTGGGCTACCACTGTCCCCCCATGCATCCTTGGTCTGGAGCTGACTGTGTGAGCCAGTATGTGGGCTCTTCCCTGACTGGTCAGACCAAGGAACCACCTCTAGTGGAGAGCACTTGAAAAAGGTATGTGTGTCTGCAGACATCCTTTATCCTGGGGTCTCCTGCCGTCACCCTGCTGCTGGCATTAGGGCAGTCACACCACCCCTCTGCAAGCTCCGTGTCACATATCAGACACTACTTATCATGGCAATGCTTGCCTCCTTTCAGGGCTTTTGAGACTGTAGCAACACAAAGCCAATGGGCCATTTCAATCAATGTCTTTTTTACCTCTAATAAACATGGTGACATTCTCTTCTGGGTTGGTTGTAAGCCTTGATGAACAAGTGATGGACACTGGTTGCCCAAATGGGATGGCTCTTTTCATCTATCCAGGGCCTCTCATCTATCTTCACCACTGATAACTATATATGGAAAGCAGGGCTGCAGCCAACCTTAAAAGAGTCACATTCTAGGGATGCAGTGATTAAGGTCTAGACAATTCAAGAGAGGACATGGTTGAGAGATATGCCATTCTATGTTAATGCAGTAAGTTCTATAAATAAATGCTATTAATACATTCCAAACAATAAATTTAACATGACCACAGTATGAATAATTGTTTGCATTTTCCTGCATTCTCTGTGTGAGACCTGTGTTTGTGGTCATCATGAACAAATACACTAACACCATTTGAGTCATTAGTATCCAGTGTTCACAGGCAGTACAATGGATGTTGAAGCAATATGAGTAATGCTGTAATCAGCATTAAATAAATGGCATTATGGAACTGCAGAGGCAAAAAGATCTATACGGTTCCAATTATAATAGGACCTGAAGAGCCATTGCATTGTGAATGATAATAGTGTTACTACCTTTTCCTTGCAGTGGTAGATATGAAATTGAACAGGAATGGTTTCTTTAGTAATAATTAATACAAATAGGTGACTCCAAGAAACTAGAAAAAATTTTTATGTTCACCGATTGGACAATAAGTAGCTATGTTTCCTTACCTTGACTCTCTTCAGCTTTTCCTTACCTTGACTCTTTAACAGCAAATCACTCCATCTCACATGGGTCCATGACTTTTATAATTATTTTTGTAATCAGATGATTGCTATAGATAGATTCTCTCTCTCCTCGAACATTTCCTCAGGGCTTTTAATATCTACAGGCAACCCTGGACAGAAGATAGTGTTGCTAAAGTGTTCAAGTTTCTATCTCTCTTCCATTCAAGAAATTCCCACCTGGAGCCTCTTAGCCCTGTCTTCAAATTTCCAGACTCTAGTTGCTCTGGCTTGAGTCAGGTGTGCACCTCTATCCAATCAGCTATGTCAGTTTTTCAGGATCATGGTGTAATGTATAGACCTGACTGCTAGGAGGCACTCCTGTGGGACAAGGGGAGTAAAGGGTAGTGCCCACAGAAAAGAAAAAGCAGTTGGTTCTTGTATTGGTTTTCTAGTGCCAAGTAACAAATTACCACAACCTTAGAAGCTTAAAGTAACATGTATTTGTTATCTCTCAGTTTCTGTGGATGAGAAGTCTGGGCATAGCTTAATTGGATTATCTGCTTAGGGTTTCACTAGGCAGCAATCAAGGTGCCAAGTGGAGCTGCAATTTCATCTGAAGCTTTTAGGCATATTCAGGTTGTTAGTGGAATTTAGTTCCCTGAAACTTTACATCAGAGGTCCCTATTTTCTTGGGAGATGTTGGCCAGGGGGTTCTCTCAGCTTCTAGAGACTGCCCTCAGGTCCTAATTACATGGCCATCTCAAAACGGAGTTTACTTCTCCAAAGCCAGCAGGAGAATTTCTCTCCAGTTGGCTGCTGCTGCTGCCACTACCATTACTACTATATACTACTACTATAACTATTACTGCTATAAAGTCTTATATAATATAATGTAATCAGAGGAGAAATGGTTCCGTCCCCTTTGCCATATAACATAAACTAATCAAAGGAGTGCCATCTCATTGTATTCACAGGTCCTGCCCACACTCACAGAGAGGGTATAATACAGGGCATGTACACCAGGACACAGAAATCTTGGGAGCCATCTTGAAATTCTGCCAACCATGGCTTCTGAATAGGCAAATACTCCAAAGGCCACTACAGTTGTTGCTTTCTCAAATCATTGAGACATCCTTCTTAAACTGATGGTCTATATTTTTCTCTTTAACTTTATTTTAAGAATGGCATAGTTTATGGGATGTGTGTGAGTATTCATGGACACTCAAGTCTCACATACCCCAAATATACATCTCTAAGAATATTTTGTCACACAGATTTCTTTCAAATTTAAAATAAATGTGCTGAAAGAAATGACAAGACGTTATTAAACATTGTTTACTTAGTACGTGTTATGATTTGACATTCTTAGAAATTCACTACATTAAAAAATGTGAATACATGTGCGCACACACACACACACACACACACAACAACAACTCTCCTACAACTTAAATGCTCTTTTCATTCTGTAGAAACCATTAATAGGGAATTTTTGCCAGTTGGTGTTTCAGAGTCCTTTATAAATTAATTATAGTATTTACCAGCCATGTGGGAGTGAGAAGTCTAATTAGGTCAAGGAGGCTGGCCCTGCTGGAGACTGAGGGCAAAAGCATATATACGGTGTCAGTCACAAATCTACTGCAGTTCTTTCTTGAGCACGTATGTTTAAATAAAAAACTGGAACAATTCAAATGCTACATACAAAGTTATGAGAAAAATCATATCACAATTAGAATAAAAGCAGGTTGAAGTTTGCCATCTATCTATAGCAAAAATAAAATGTTTTTACTGACGAAGGATTTCACACACCTGTGCCATGCCACAGCAGGTATGGCATGTTCAATTCTGACAACACACTCATTTATTTATTTGTCCATTCATTCATTGACTTACCCACTCAACAGGTACAGGACTAGATATTGCAGCTATAAAGAAGATTATGTCACAGTCTCTTTGTTTAAGGAGCGCACAGAGTGCCGATGCATATGGATGTGTAAATAGTGAGAAAACTGTGTTGTAAGTATAGTATAGGTATAATCAGAGGATATTATGGGTGTTCCCAGGAAGAATGACTCCCTCAGTTCATGGGTGGGGAAGGGAAATGCATTAAGGATACTTCATCACAAGTAACAGAAACCAAAGCTGGTTAAACTTTATCCTTAAAGGACTGGGATAAGAGCGAGGCAAATAACACAAACAGGGCATGACATTTAAGGAGGCAGTCTCAGGTGCTGAGCCTGGAGTTATCACTTGAGAATGAGCGCCTCCTTAAATGTTGAACCCTAGGCATCTGGCTCACCCTAGTCCCCATCCTGTTATTCCTTCAGTCTTACCTTCTTCAAAAACTCTCATCCCCCACAGTGAAAAACAGTTGAAAAACTGTTTACATCCTAGTGTAAATAACTAAAAACAGTTTAAAGTGTCCTTTTTTTTTTTTTTTTTTGAGACGGAGTCTGGCTGGAGTGCAATGGCACGATCTCGGCTCACTGCAACCTCCACCTCTCCACCTCCTGGGGTCAAGCGATTCTTCTGCTTCAGCCTCCCGAGTAACTGGGGTTATAGGCATGCACCGCTACTCCCAGCTAATTTTTGTATTTTTAGTAGAGATGGGGTTTCACCACGTTGGCCAAGCTTGTCTGGAACTCCTGATCTCAAGCGATGCACTCATCTTGGCCTCCCAAAGTGCTAGGATTACAGGCGTGAGCCACCGCACCCTGCCTAAAGTTTACATTCTTATAAAGGGATTTTCAGTTAAATCAAGTATTAAACCATGAAAGAAAAACTCAAATGTTTACAGGGTTCAGGCAGTAACATAAATCAATGATGCAGGCCTGTGTAAAACACTAGGGAATGAGGGAAAATGTGATGAGCTGTTCAAAGCCTTTCAAATTCAACCTAAACATAAATGTTGTCTTGGCCAAATAAAAAGTTCTTTTGGATTATCAGGTCAGTAGGATAGTTGTTTGTGTACCCTGCCTGTTAAAGAAATTCATTTGCTATGTTAGAACTTTAGATTTCTGTAAGAAAATGGTTATGAGGACATAAGCCTAGATGGAAAACCCTTGGGATATTCTTTCTCCTCTTAAGGGTTCATTGTGAGGCCCTACTCAGCATTCTTTTGCATTTCTTTCCTGCGGGCTCCAAGATTTGGCATAGTTGTTTCCATTCTTTGCTGTCACTATTTGTTCTTTTGCTGTGATCTGTGAGTCACAGAACATAGCTGAAGAGTTTTTCACAGTTAGAAACCAGAGAGAAATAGACAAAGTTTAGGAACAGGAAAGTTATAGCATCATTAGAACTCTTAAAAGTCTCTTGTCTGGACGGGAACAGTATGATAAACAAGAGCACTCGCAGTTTATATCTACTCAACGTGCTTTTCTATCGCCATCTCACAGTCCAGGTGCTTCTGGGGGCCTGTCAATCATGGTTCTTCCTTTACCCCCGAGCACAGTTTGAGATTCTTGTCTCAAGATGTTCAGTCAGAATGTCCAGTCTCCTGATGGGGGGAAGGAGTAAAGCAGCTAGCCCTGTGGACCATTAACTTCCTTTCCTATGGGGGCACCACTAGGAAAAAGAAAGGAAGGCAGGTAATCTATTCTAATCTCCTTTCTGACTAGACACCCTAATAAATAGAATAATGATTTTAGACAGAAGGAGATCTTTCTACAGAAAGCCCTTAGCAGGATCTCCCTGGATAAGGATTACTTCTAGTAAATAAATCTGGAATCTATTGATTTATGGGGACATGGATGGCTTCTCTGAAGAATGTCTTGTAATGGCATGCCATTTTATAACATTCTGAGGTATAAAATGGAGATGTATTATAAATTACACGCCTCTACTCTGTAAGGTAATAATCAGCAAAACTACGTACAGAGACCTAGTCAATCACTGGGGGTCAGTGGATAGGAAGCATCTGGCAAAGCCACACAGAATGTCCCAGACTTTCTCTGCTCTGTCTTTGCCTCTTGATTGCCTGTACTCCTGAAATTATTAGGAAAGCTTGATGCTATTTCTGATTTTTGTGAGTCCTTTTCGAGCATCAAATTCTGTGTGTTAGCTCACCTAATCATGGTGATTGTCTGAAAACTGAATATATGAACCAGGCAAGGCCAATCAGAATATTCCCGAGGATTCATTTAGGATTATTGGGAAAGAGAAGTTTTTTCTTCATTAGAGTTGCTGATCTGGTATATGTGAATGTGAGACCCACCTATATAGAGAAAGTTTACCCACAAAAGGAAGTCAAGTAGATACAATAAGAGCTGATAGATGGAGAGAATTAAAGAGAAAGAAGTGGGACGAGGGAAAAAAGTGAACTCTGAATATAGCATTTGTATCCCTGAATATAGCTCTATCTGAGGCATGCTTATCTCTTGGACTTCCCAGTCACCTAAGTCATGTCAGCACACTTTCTTTTGGCTTAAGCTACATTGCACTGGGGTTCTGTCACCTGCAACTAAAAATTCTGATTAATATGATAGCTTGAATTTGGCATGAGCCAGACTGGGAGGACCTGGGAACTCAGGACCAGGCAAACCCACTAGGAAGGAGTAGTACTCAAAGAAAAATATCAGATGTGAAACAAGGAATACATATATCATAAAGCTATTTTGAACTTCCACTTGTGATTCAGACATAAACGTTAACAGAATTTAAAATAAAATTGCAACTATTATAACAATTTTAAGCACCTTATTTTATGTATTTATGAAAGAATGTTCTTCTGTCTTTTTATTCTTTTCCTAGTTTTGCCCTGTGTATGACCTCGTTTGGAGCCATGAAACCAGGTAACATAAAGTGTTTTGTAGCTTTGGCTTTGATTTAGGAAGCAAAACTTCTTCTTAGCAATTATCCTTTTATGTTGCAATTACCTATTTGTTTTTATGTATCTCCAATTCTTCGCAGAATAAAATAAACATTATTCTCACTACCCAAGCACCTGGAACAAGGTTAATGCTCGATGTTTGTAGGATAAATGAAGAGAGGAATTTTATTTTTACCATTATTGAAACTATGCATAAGCCTGACCAATGTGAAACTGTACAGGCTTGATTCCTTCTTACTCTTTACCAAATGTGCATAATTATTTTACTTGGTATGCAACAAAATGTTTGATTGTGATGAATGCTATTATAGTTAAGGCGTGTTGCAAACATTTGCTGCAATAAACAAGGAATGACTATTCTAAATTGTTTCAAAGTCTAGAGTAGTGGATAAAATCATGAGTCTGGAACTAGATTTCTTGCACTGCTTTCTGCTAGCCTTGCGACTTTGGTCAAGGTGCTACCTTTCTTTTTCCTCACCTGTATAATAGTGATAACAGTGCATTATATTGTTGTTGTCAGTATTAAATATGTACTATGTTTAAAACTCTTCTCATGAAGAGTATCTAGCATGTGATATGTGTAATGTGTTTACTGTGATTATTCTTATTATTGTTATTCTCCAAAATTCAGTTTTATCAAAGTAAGATGGGGAAAATATTACATATATGTGTGTATTTCTAATGGATAATACATGTAAAATGCCTGACAATAAATACACAATTACCAATTTTCAGAAACAAAACAATAATATAGCCCATCTAATACTGAAGTATACACACACACACACACACACACACACACACACACACTCATAAACAGCATAATGTTGAAGTTGACAGGTACAGGCATTGAAACCAGTTTGCTCGGGTCAAATCCAGACTCCATTGCATATTATTTGTGTAATGTTGGGCAGGTTACTTAGCTTCTTGGAGTCACCTCTAATAAAATGAGGACAGTGGTAACATGTATTCCATAATGTGGTCTTGAGAATTAATTGTGTCAATTTTTCTAAAGTAATAAAGGCAATGCCAGGAAAATATTAAGTAGTCAATAAGTGTTAGCTCTTATTATCACTTTGAGCTTCAGTCACATTCAGTGATGACAATGAGGACAACGGTATTTACCTTACCAGGCTGCTGTGTAGATAAAGTGTGATAGCGCCCATGAAAATGTCTAGTAAATATGGGCAGCTGAAGCAGGAGAATCGCTTGAACCTGGGAGACGGAGGTTGCAGTGAGTCGAGATCTTGTCACTGCCCTCCAGCCTGGGTGACAGAGTAAGACTCTGTCTCAAAAAAAAAAAAAAAAAAAGTCTAGTAAATAGTACTCAATAAATGCCAATTTTCTCCATTTTTTATTTTATTATTATTATTTTTATTTTTTGAGACAGAGTTTCGCTCTTTTTGACCAAGCTGGAGTGCAATGGCGTGATCTCGGCTCGCTGCAATCTCTGCCTTCCAGGTTCAAGTGATTCTCCTGCCTCAGCCTTCTGAGTAGTTGGGATTACAGGTGCGCACCACCACGCCCGTCTAATTTTTTGTATTTTTAGTAGAAATGGTTTCACCATGTTAGCCAGGCTGGTCTCGAACTCCTGACCTCAGGTAATCTGCCCGCCTTGGTCTCCCAAAGTGCTGGGATTACAGGTGTGAGCCACTGCACCCAGCCAAATATCAATTGCATTTCCATGTGTGAATATAGGACAGAGAAGATAGATTAGGTGGAATTTTATCAGTGACACATATTATACATTGTTATCAAGTAAATATTATCAGTCGGCGTATTAGCTGTTCTTTTCTTATAAAAGTAGATTGTGCCACAGATACCTTATTTTGTTAATTCTTTTGATTCTGGTCATAGATAAATGGTGATTTACTCTATTCAAAGAAGGATAGAAAAGTGGGCTTGCATTTTAGGTTTCTTGTGGCATACACTGGTGTGCAATCTGCTAGAACTGAAGGAGGATGTTATTAATCAAAAGGTGCACAAGGAGGGAAAGGACTTCATTATGCTGTTTTGCTTCCACAACTTGCACCTGGAGCTTCTTAATGAATGTGCCCTTTGGAGACAGGTGGCACTCTGAAAAGTGTAAGCCTCTTTAAACCTCTTCTTGTCTCAAATTGACACGTCCTCGTCTCAAATTGACACGTCCTCATGACACTATGAATAATCAATCTAATTCTTAAATGATGTGAATGACTTTGGTTGGACTATAATTAGTTGAAGCAATTTTTTCTCCTGGTCATTAGAAGCACACATTGCTAGAATTAGGGAAAGAAAGAAAGTCAGGAAATGGCTGGGAAAAAAAGTCATGTATTCCTTGAAAAATACAAATTTATAGATGATATTGTGTACTGGGTGAACAAATCCAGTAGATGGCAGTTTAGTAACATACAATATCCTTCTATCATGGGGAATTCATGTTTAGCAGTCATCTTTTCTTAGAATATATATGAAAATATATATCTTAAATGTTATCTGTTTATTGCGATATTTTGTGGAAAAGTTATCATCTACCACCTCTATGGGTGCTCTCTGCTGGCTAAGAGAAGCAAAGTTGTTATAAACTTGTCAAATAACAAACAATATAAGGTGTGTTGGAATTTTCCAGGATTTTTCCATCATATTTTATTACCTCCCATTCATTTGAAGCACATATAGATATCTATGATATTTGAAGAAATAAAGGATTTGGCAATGTTTTTTAAGAAAAATAGCACTATAACCAACAATTGATTCCTCTGAAAAGCTGGCTATAATTTTTAGCATTTCATGCATAATTTCTTTAATTGTTAGCTAAGATATTTAGTAAGCTAAGAGAATTATGGAAAGGGAGCAGAGTATATATAGATTATCAGAATGAGAAGGTAATATATCTGAGAATTTTTGAATGTTAAAAGGAGAAAAAAAGAGCCCAACCTTCCCTGAGATATAAACTCAAAGACTGCATCACTTCTTACATGGGATTCAACAAAAAGTCCAGGCATTAGGAAAATTCTGATTCCAGAACAGAAAGCTAGCAGTACGTTCTAAGATAGAAGTAAACCATTACACACATTGCATTGGTTTAATTGAGCATACATTATATCCTTCAGTAAGAAATTTCTGCCATGGTGCACTATTTTCTTGGGCACCAGGGCCTGACAGCTTTCTCACACAAGTCAGCAGTTGAAAGTGATACAATTTTGATGTGAAATGTGCTTATACTTTGAAAGCAATTAAACAAGCCTTGTTTGCTTATAATTTTCTAATAAAATAAAAGACCTTATGTGGAAAGCAATTTTAAAAACACATCATAACATTTTAAGTATGTAGGTCTTGCGACGTTTGTTCCCATTTTCTAGTGACAGACACAGAGTAATAAGATTTCCCTAACAGATGCTTAGTGCTGGGTACTCACATGTCACTCAAGCTGACAAGGTTTCAGAAAAAAACACTTTCTTCACCATGTTACCATTTTGAAAGATCAGCTATTGCATATAATTTAATTTTGTTTAATTGAAAGGTATAAAATTCACAAAATACAGTTTATAAAAGTTAATGTAATGAATAAATTGGGAATATACCTTAAACAACCCACTAGATCCTATCTACAAATTTAGTCTGTCTCAGACAAGACTTTAATCCTATATGCCTGGAGAAGAGTTTTAGCTCAGTTCACGATAAGATTATAGAATTTTAAAGCTGGGAAAAATACGTGTAGATAATCTACTTCTTTCAATGCCCAGTTTTAATGATTTACTTTTTATATATACCTGAAAAATTGGACTTATACCTGAAAAATTTGAACTTAATTAATATACAGCAGGCACCATTAAAGTTACATAGATTATTTATTCAATCTTTCAACCAACATTTATCAAGCATCTTACATATACTGACTAGTATTTCCGAGGAACTGTATTATGGACTTTTAATGCAAGAATAAATAGTTCACTATCCTTGCCTCTGAGGAAGTGCTCAGAGTCTAGCTGGGAAGATAGACAAGTAAATTAATAACTATACTATAGTGTGATAAAGCCTAGACAGGTTTGTATACAGCCCTGTGGGAAAACAGATGAGGGTGCAACCTATGTCACCTGGGGGTTTTGGGAAGATAACAGAAAGGAAATCACATTCGAGCTGGGTCTTGGAGTTTGAGCAGGAATTCTCGGGGAAAAGTAGGGGTGAGGATTTAGTAAAGGAAATAGACATGAAGGCAGAAGAATATGTTCACAGAATGACATTTTTAAATACAAGGAATGGTGGGAAATGATGTAGAGTGGCCCTGGAAACGTAGTTCAGAGAAAGACTGCAAAAATCAGATGCTAGAGAGTTTGGCTAGAGAGTTAGGAAACAGGGAGCTACTAAAAAAAATTGAAAATGAAGAAAAAGGATATGATCAGATTTATATTTTTAAAAACATTATCTCTGGCAATGGTGTGAAAGATGGGTTAGACAAAGTCAAGAATAGTCTGATTGAAATATGTTCAGGTCTATACTAGCACAGTGGAAGTGACAATGGACAAACGCACGTATTAAGGTACACTTTAGAAATGGAAGTAACAATTTGGCGATCAGTTGCTTGGAAGAGGTGCGTGCTAAGGTAAAGGGAGAAGGTAAGAATGGCTTCAAGAGATCTAGTTGGTATGATTAGTTTTGAGGGTTTGGATAAGCATTTATTTAATCCTCTTCACAAGCTTTTGAAGATTCTAACAGGTGAGAAAAATGAATCTCTGAAAAGTTAAGTAATTTGCCAAGGTTACTGCTTTGGACTGAATTGTGTGCCCCCAAAATTCATATGTTGAAACCCTAACTCTCAATGTAATGACATTTGGAGATGGGGCTTTTAAGAGGTAAATAGGTTTAGATAAGTTCATAAAGGTACTCATGATGGCACTAGTACCCTTATAAGAAGAGACCAGAGAAGTAGCTCTGTGTGAGAACACAGCAAGAAGGCAGCTTCTGCAAGCCACAAAGAAGGCCCTCACCAGAAACTGAATGTGGTGGAACTCTGATCTTGGACTTCTTAGCCTCCAGAACTGAGAGAAATCAATGTCTGTTGTTTAAGTGACCCAACTTCTGGTATTTTGTTACAGTAGCCTGAACAGTCTAGAATTACCATACAGTTAGTAATTTATGAAGGCCAGATTTGAGCACATTCTGTTTCATTAATTCCAGAATCCAAGCTCTTAACCAGTGTGCTGGCTGTTTCTTTCTATACTCATGGAGTGGCCAGTATGCCATTTACTGGACTAGGAAATATGGGAGGAAAAAAACATGTTTTGAATATCAGATAATCAGTTCGTTTCTTAACATCTTGAGTTTTACATAAGTGGTAGGCAAAACACTGGAGACATTCAGAAGAGAATTGTAAATAATAGTTCTGACGCTCATAAAAGAAATGGAGTCAGAAAGTTCAGCAGTAGGAGATACCAGTAATGATCGAAGCCGTGGGAGTGGCTCACATGGCCCAGAGAAGAGATGTAGAGTGAGAATGGCAGAGGACTGTGTAGAAAGCTTTCAGTGGCAGTGGAACGAAAGGGGTCGCTGGAGGAGACTGAAAAGGTGCACTCAGATGACTTAAAGGAAAACTTCCTTTAGTTAAAGTACAACTTCCACGTAAGTCTGTGAAATGGAGACTGACTTTTTCTCCCTTGAACATGCATTGGGGAGAAGGTTGAAACTGCATATTCTTAATGGTTTACTATTACTTTAAGAGCCTTTTCTTCACTGGAAAGCTGTCATTCACAGCTTCTCTTTTTCTGAAGTTCACAATCTCTTCCCATTGGATATCACCATATTCCATTCCACACAAATTTTGTAATTGTAGTAGGCCACAAGTCCACCTCCTTGATGATTCTACCACCCCACCTGAATTCCTAGACTATCCTTAAGCCAACTTCACTTCCAACATGTTTCCGTGTGAATCAGGGAACTGCTCCTTTTATGAAATAAGCCATAAAATTCTTATGACTGAACCTCATAGCTCTCTCTTTCTACCTTCCTCTAACTCAATCCATATTTAATGTAGTTCAAGTCAATTATTAAATACTTATTGTATGTTGTGTGCTAGGACTTAGAATACAGACTCACACAACAGACACATATATGCGCACACATAGTGTAAACATACCCTAGCACTGAAACATTGTTTCATCTCACAGAATAGGAAGGGAGCAGGTATGTAAAAACAATTTTGCAATCCTAGTGTGATAAGTAAAATAATACAGGTATATTATAGATGCAGTAGTATGATACAGTGGAAAGTTTGAACAGTTACACTTAAGTTGAAAATGGGAGAGATATCATTTATCTAGAAATGAATAACTAAACCCTAAAACATAGTGGCTTAAAATGGAAATGATTCCTTATTTCCCATAATTCTGTGGGTTGACTGGGCTCCACCTCCATTCATCTGGTGGTTGGGATGAACAGGAATGGCCAAGAAGATCTCACTCATATGTCTGAGGTATAGTTGCTATATGCAATCTCTCCTCTCTATGATTTTCTGTCTGCATGGTATCTCATACTCCAGGCAAGATAGCCTGAACTTCTTCGCAATATGGCAGTTGGGTTAGGCTGGAACTGGAATAGTGTCAGTTCTACAGCATTCTGTTTGTTTGCCCAGAATCAAGGGGTTTTTTGGTGGGAGTAATGGCATGACTGTATAAGGGTGGAAGGAAATTTTGGCGGCCATTTTTTTTCATACTAAGTACTACACGTGACTTTAATAAGAAAGATGCTTGAAGTGGGTCTTGAAAACTGAGAAGTTCATTAGTGAATAGAGGACAGGAAGTTTAGGAGAAGAAGAGGAGCCCTTTGAAAGAACAGCAGTAACATGAAGACAGAAAGCATCATATTTGGTCTGCCTGACAGGACATACAGAATGCCTGGAGGCATTTGGGAAAAGGAATTAGAAATGAGCTTGAGAGGCAGGCAAGATTATAAACAGTCTTGTATGTTTTAAGAAGTAATGGCACTTTATCATCCAGGCTGCAGAATACCCAGAGGGGTTTCATTCAGGGGAATGACTGCTCTTCACTCTCATTGATTCTTCTGTACTTTGTCAGTTTCGTATGTTCTTGATCAATAAGACTTCTCTGGCTTCATTTCCTTATTCACTCCAGCTGACAATCCATGGTCATTCAGTTAAACCTCTCTCTCACTGACGCTCTTATTTCCCAACACTCTCACGACCTTCTTCTCATTCCATTATTCCTAATCCTCGATTCTAGAATAACCCAACCATCTGTTTGTTCTGATCCTGAAACCAGGCACTGAATAATCCTGGAGCAAATCACATAACCATATTGATTGTCTGTCTGCCTTACACATTTATGATTTCTGACATCTGTTGGACTCTTAATCTTTTTCTAGGAAATCTTTACAGATACTTACCTATTTCCTATGACGCTTTCTTTTTAAAATTTTTACAGCTTTTTATACTTTGTACTTAATGCTGCACTCTTTATTCTTTGCAGATTACCTTCCCTACTTCACAGAGGAAATAGTTGTTACAGTCAGGAAAATTTTCCTTTATAACTTCTTCCTGGAGTTCATCTATTCTTTTCATTCTGGATGATCCTCTATCTTTCCTTCCAGATTCCTATCATTCTGGACTTATTCTACTTCTCCTGCAACTCTAAATTGATTTACAGTTCTTATCCATCCTTATTTTCTTTCCTCCTTCAACATAGTCATTCTTCCTTTTTTACCCCTTTCCTCTTGCCTTTGACCTCAAACCTTCTCCCTCTTGCAAGTTCTTGCTTTAATAATGATCTCCTTTTTTACTTGCTTTTCCATTCTCTTTCTACAACTTCCTCCTCAGCCATGCTTCTACCACAATCAGTATTCTCTCATTGTACCCCCTGCTTATTGTTTATTTTATATTTATTCCTTGGTAACCTGAAGCTAGGCTTGTCTCGATTGAACACCAGGCAAAGTTTTTGACATATAGTATGAAAGTAATAAATATGTATTAATGATCAATTTCTAATTTCCAATATTATAACCTCTTTTAAGTTCTCATATTATAGTGAGAAGATGGGGAAAAGGTCCCAGTTTAAGGTCCTGTCTTTGGATCAGTGGGAGCTTGCTAAACCATAGTTGCAACTGGACATAATGGCTGAGATTCTGTATTCTATAGATCTTTTCCAAAATCAATCTTATTCCATTTGCATTTAGGTTTGTTGGAACCTGTACTGTAGCAGTTGGTAAATATATTGAATATTACCATTATCTCTCTCTCTTTCCATACATATATGTATGCGTGTGTGCACTCTGGAAATTGTATCATTATATAAAAATGATTATTATTCCTGGTTGAAGTGTGGTGCCCATTTAACACATGATAATCACAGATTTTTAGAGCAAAAACTCTTTCTCATATGCTAGACAGATTTACAAAGGCAGAAATCATGGTTTCCTGGCATATAGAAGGTAACAAATATGTTTTTGTGGAATGAATGGATGAATGTTCTTTATGTGTAACACAGGAAAAAATTTCTAGATGAGCATAGAACATATTTATGAAATTTTAAATCAAATATAATATCTATAGTTAGGGCTTAGAATGTTCAGACATTGTAAGTGACTATTGTACTACTGTTATTGAAAGAAAAAAACACTCATCAGTATAGCAATTCACAGAGCTTGTTTTTTCTTGTAAATTTCATTTGTTAAGAGCGTTGTTTTAGATGCAGTCTCTCTATAGAAACATGTATAAACTCATGAGGAGTTTGAACATAAAGTACTGCTATAAAACTAGGTACTTATTTTCCTTCAATGTATCTAACTTTTATCTTACAGACTGTGAGCTCATTTAATAGCATCAAGTGAAGGAGACTGGTATAGCATCCCCTCTGCTGCATACCTTTGGGACTTTCCTGTATAATGTTGATGCTCAGTCTCAGCCAACCTGACAATAAAATGATCCACTTATCCAACACAAGCAGGCAGAGGAGGAGATACTACATCTTTTCACGCTGCGTCCCACTCCCAGAGCCAGTCCAATGCTTCCTTTGGGCTGAGCACACACACACAGAAACCCCTTCATCAACAATTTTTCATGTTTTCTGTTAAATTGGGTTTACTCTTCTTACGTGAATTTTCCCCTAGATACTTTTACCAAATAACACAGAAAGTATTTGAGGTGAACTAAAACTTTTTAATAATAAACTTTGTGGTTATAAAACCCAAGGAAGACAAGACTACTGAGGCAGTTAGAAGAAATTGCTGAAGTCAAGAATAAAAAAAGATATATGTTAGTCTAAATCTTAAAATGAAACTTTTCAAAGAACCAATATTGTCTAATTGGAAACTTTTATACATTCCTTGGGAGTCTACTTCATAAAGTAATTTTTTTAGCCACTAACACATTTTTTACCATTGTGTAAAGTTTTTACTTTCTTAATTCCTCTACTCTTTGGCACTTCTGTTTTTAAAAATAACACAGAAAGCAATTGTCTTTTGCATTAGATATCTTACTTTTAACTGAAACTCATGTAAACCCTATTAAAGTTGCTTACTTAGGTATTTTTATTTTTTACTGAAAATAAATGCTTTCTTTTGGGACCATGTTTTGTTGTCAAGGTGCAATCCTAGAATTACCAGGCAGATTTGAGAGCAATCCTAATTGAATTAAAAATTCTAACTATGTTTTGTTATTATAGATTATAGCTTAATTATTTGAAGGAAACCAAAGTGCCTGTTGTCCTAAGATATTCTATTAACTTTTAAAAATACCTAACTCTATCAATCTTCTGTTTTAAAGCCTTCATTTTCTATAATTCTATTATTAAAATAAAAATATGTTGTTGACAGGCTTTTAACGTATATATCAAAGACAATATGTAGAATTCTAACTAAAAAAAACAGGACCAGGGCAGAAAGATTTTGAGGGAAAATAGTGGCAGAAAGACTCAGAAAAGAATATTCAACGAAAAACTCTGCTTTGCTCTAGGTGGTATGAGGACTGGGCCTTTTGTCAGTTAACAGTCTTTCTGTACAATATTCAGAAAATCCAGCTGAAAAGATCTAAAACCAAAAGGGAATTTATTGGCTCTCATAACTGATACTCATAGCCTATATGCCAGTTATCAAGTTATTGCCTCTTGGCTCCAAATTCACCC
Organism: Homo sapiens; assembly: GCF_000001405.40. Lineage (NCBI taxonomy): Eukaryota > Metazoa > Chordata > Mammalia > Primates > Hominidae > Homo > Homo sapiens. The sequence continues at coordinate 71,101,852 of NC_000001.11, forward strand.
TTCAATATATATTCTATGATAATAGACAATTCCTTTTAGTATTTCTCCTTTAAAGTGAGACCTATGTTAACCTTTCTCAGCAGAGGATGCTGATTTCAGGAAAAAGGTGTCAGGCTGCCTGCCATCCCTTAAGGCAGTAGTGTGGGTATAAGGACATCTGGTGAAGCTTTGCCTCAGTCATGTGCCAAGAACATAGGCCTTTGGCAACCTTGCAGAGTAGATCCTGCAATAACCTTCTTGCTTTGCCCTTGACATGGAAATTTGCATACGCATATCCTCTTGGCTCTGTTTCTTTAGAGAACTTGAATACAGCAATCAACAGATGTCACTATTGACCTCTGAAAATAAAGGAGGAAGAGGAGAAAGACAGTGTGGAGGTGGGATTGGACAAAGGCATGATCCTTGGAGGAAAGGTAGAGAAGGATCAACTTCTCATTTCACAATTTTGTCTTGGGCAGGTAGTATATTTACTGATTCTAGACTTTCAGTCTATTTCTCTCTCACTTTTGGGGTGTAGTAAGGTACAACATATTGTATAACTTTCCACCACTCATCTACTGATTTGTTGGCCAGAACCAAGAGGACACTGGAGGACTTACCAACACTTATTCATGGGCTGGGATGAAACTTGATCCAAGGGCCCCTCAGAGGTGTATAATAATTATAGATGTTTATAAATAATTGACTCAGTGGCTTATTTGCTTATTTATTCACAGACTCATTCAATTATCCACTTAGCACCAGGTACAGCTAATCTGTGAAGTAAGGAAAAGAATTTCAAGATATGTAGTATATAGTTCCCAGCTCTCCAATAATTTATATACCTGTTACATAATAAAACAAATGAACTTATTTTTAATTCAGGGGTAATTAAAATCAAATTGATGAGAGAGGTTCAAATGATCGTTGCAACTCAGAAAATGGAGAAAGAACATTTGCTGAAATGAGGGAAGGCTACATAAAAGACGTATAGTTGAGCTCTGAAAAATGGTTGGGATTTTGATATGAAGAGACAGAAGATGACTTCTAGTTAGAAACAGCAAAAGCAAAAGAACAGGGTTAAAAAATAATACAACCTTGTTTGAGATGCATGAATAAAGCAACATAGTTGGAATAAAATATTTAGGGAGGCAACTTGAGGGTGAGGTTGGAGTAACACATTGGGAAATAATCATGGTCAACCTTAAAGGCCAAACTAAGAACTTACATAATTTTTTAAAGTGCAGAAAAGTGCATAAAAGATAAGTGTCCATTTCATAGATTATTACAAAGTTAATGCTCCTATGAAATCACTACCCAGATCACAAAATAAAACATTTCCAACATATCAGAAAGCCCATTCAGCCCTTTCAAAGAACATACCTTTTTTTCTCTCTCAAGGAAACTCCACTGACCTCTAACACCGTAGACCAGGAGTGACTATTTTTTAATTCTATATACCTGTCATTACATAAAATATATTATTTTATGTCTAACTTCTTTCACCTAACAATGTTGATGAGACTCATACATGCTGTTGAATGTATCTGTGGCTCACTTATTTTCATTGTTTGATGATATTCTAGTATATAAATATACCACAATTTATCCAAGTGACTGTTATTTTGTAGAATTTAAAGATTATAATAAGGGTGATCAAATATACTTGAGCTTAAGTAACTGCCAAGAATGGTAGAGTCTTAACCAACTAAAGGAGGCTTAGAAGAAAATTCTGGTTTGGAGTATATGGTTTTCAATTCTAAAATTATATCGCTTACCTTATTAAACTATTTTACCAATCCTTTAGTTTGAATTTGTGACAATCTTTTTCTTCAACTCTCATTTTTCATCATTGCTATGGAAGGTCATTCTCGGAAGACATTGCAGCTGTCAGGGAAGAAAAAACCGGGACTATGGAGGGATAGTTAAATTGCCTCCCTCTCAGTGAGCTCGGTATCCAGAGCTTTTCTATTATTCAAACCTGACGGCTTTGGTGTAAGGAGTGATAGTAGCTAGGAGAATGACAGGTCTGGGACTTCTGGGAAGCCTAAGTCCACATAGCTTTTAAAGTGGTAGCTATTCCATGTGCTCAACTTATCACTAATTCTTTCCTTATTTCTAGACATTTTTTTTTCTATCACTGACATAAGCAATGGCTTTTTCCATTTTTGCAGCCTATTATTTATTTAACTGGATATTAACAGGTATCTAGCAGACATGTAGATACCCCAGGAACAGCATGCCACTACCTTCACCTGTGTTGGTGTTGTGATAGTAATTCCAATTGATTAATTTTTTTATCAATTGATTAATTTTTGAGACAGTTTGCTTGGATAACAGTTCAGACATTGCTAGGCTTGACTGTATGAATTCCTATGGAATGGATCTCTTAGGCTCTGTGTGCATTTTAGCACAGCCTTTTTAATAGAAGCTTTTATTTAATATCTGTGGTAATATTTTACTTACCATTGTATCCGGAAACATAGGAAAGACTGTTCATTAAACTTGTTTATATTGCTTCTTCCAATCAGGTTTCTTTGACAAATGTTTTGCCTTAAATTTGTGCTTTCCAGGATTATTACTATGCCTTGATAGCTTACGGGATGGCACTAACAAGAAACAGAAGAGATAGTATCTTATATTTCTAGACCACTTTAGAATTTACAAAGCATTTCTACATCTATTATTTCCCATTACTGTCTCCACCACCCTGTAAAAGAGGTGTTTTTGCTTTCATTTTAAAGATCAAGAAATGTGGGCTCAAAGACATATGTAGTATCACAGTCACTGGTTTGTGTAAGATCAAATCTGATCTTCTAATCCTAGGTTCAGCGCTATTAGCTAGTGCCTCCATCCTGCTTATCTGTATCTGGTGTAGATTTTCCTGTTATCCCTTTGGTATCTGGTGTAGAATTTCCTGTTATCCCTCAAATGTTAATTAGGAGCTATATTCTTGCCACGTAAGAATTATATGTCTATCGAGTTCATATACCTTAGCATTAGACAACAACTGAAATTCTCAAAATTATCAGGTTAATGTATCACCTAGAACTAGTCAATTTTCTGGAATTAATTTTATGTCATAAGGCTTACTTTTTATCTTTTCATGTGCTTTAATAATACTTGAACCAATATTACCTCCTATGTGAACAGAGTTCAGGTGAATAGCCAGTGAGCTTCTATTACAGATCTATTTTAGAATTGACTTCTTTGTGGCACCAATAAAATCTTCAACTACAGCATGATTATGTTGTCAAAAAGTTGATTTTCATCATAGTCTGAATATTGATTCATTGAATATGTAACTTTTTTCTTGAGAGAAATAAAATTATTTCCCTGGATACGTTACATAGATCATCAGTATGTATGAAGTTTTGAAGAGGTTGGTCATTGGTAAATATACTAAAGAAAATAATCCGAAACAAACCATACAGATAAAAGACAATTCTTACATTAGTTTAACATTAAATGTCCCTTAGTACATAGATGAAAGACTAAAATGCAGGACAATATAAGCATAATATGTGTTGATTTATGAGCAGCATGCAGCTCAATAATCCATTGGTGTCTACTGACTAAGATCAGTGTAAGGGCAAACACGGCTCTCTTTTGAGTGCTGTTCTAGGCTCTTCTGGTGAAAAGATATTTTTAGGCAACACTGTGCAATTCAGAGAACGTGAAAGGTAATGAGGTATTCCTCTCAGCGCAATGTACCATGTCCATTCTATCATTGAAAGAGTAATGACATGAATCAGAAAAGCCAAACACATATACATTTAAATCCCTGAAAAATGATGTGACTATGAAGTTACTGAATTACTTGGATGTTTTGTCAAAGTTTACTTCCTGGCTAAATAGTGGGCCTCTCCATATTCAACCATGTCACATACTTATTTAAATATGTCACATATTTAATTAAACTTTCTTGCTTAAATGGGAGTTGGAGAATGATCTGGCCAACATGAACCAAGTTGAGAAGGGGTTATTAATTAGGTTCCAGGATGGTGAAGAGTATGCAGTTCTTACCCAGGACCATGGGAATGCAGTGAGCCAAAGGGATTGGCAAATCTGTCAGAAGAAAGAAAGAAGAAATCTGTCAGAGGAAAGAAAGAACATTAGATTTTCTGGGCCAAAAATTAAGCCAAAAAACTTTTAGCAAAGAAATAAGATATGAAAAGAGCAAAAGCCTTTCGGGAGTGAATAGGTGGTTCTTTGACAATGTCCTAATTTGACAATGGTAGAGGATCAGATAACTGAGGTTTTTCTTTAGGGAACAGTGGGCATATGAGTGAAAGGAGTTGGTTGGCTAGAAGGGCCAAGAGCTGAGCAGATTACGATTCATTATTCTTTCCTACGATAAACATTACCTAGTATTCTATCATTAGACACAATTAAAATGTGTAAAAGCAAAAAAGTCACCATCATAATCAATTATTTAGTTTTTCTAAAGGATTTCAAACAATGTTTGATTGATTTTTAAATGCTGAATTGGATGATTTTGGGATTCAATTAGTAATACAGAGGAACAGACTCTCAATGGGAGACAAATTTCAAGGTTATCCAATGGCACTTGAGGCAGGAATTCTTTCTATATTGTTCAAGTTGAGCGAAAGTCTGGTATTAAGTTCTGTGTTGACAGTACACATGCTGCTTTATGAGGCACTCCATTTCATTGTGTATAGCCTTATGTCTGTAATTTTTATTTTTGGCTTCCTAGAAAACATTCCTAATTTCTACCAGCATTTTGGTTTATGTTTGTAGAAAAATGTCTTCTTAATCTGATACAGTCTAGTGAAACTATTAATGATGGCCCTTACCTCACCCTAAACAAAGGTACCAACCTGACCCCGGGTAGTCCTGTAGTCAGTCCTTTTCTCAAATTTGAATCTTGAACACGGTGAAACAAACGTTCAGCATTGTTTCATTTCCAGCAGTGGTTGGTGCCCTGACCAGACTATTTTCCCCCTGAGCCTCTGACCGTCTTTCCTGTTTTCTCATTCTCTGAATGAATCTGCCCTAGTTTTTGTTGTTTCCAAACTGATTCTCCAGCTTCCTGTCAATACTGTGCATGCCAGTCAACTGGGGAGACTGTTAGAAATGAAGATTCTTAGACCTCATGTTGCTTAAAGTATTTAGCAGTAGTAGTATGAGGTGGGGTACAGGAAGTTAAATTTACAACACACTCCGAGTAACACTGATGCAGTCAAAAATATGAGCTGACTTTTGGGAACACTGTACAATGTACATTTGTACTTTAATAGAACATTTCTGAAAGTGGAAAAGTCTTCCTGACTGACTCACTAACTGGATAAATTCCAGTTCTTTCATTCATTCAATAATTCAACAAACAGACATTGAGCATCTACCCTGTGACAGGCATCAACGATGAGCCTTGGAGTAAATAATATCATTAAGATTATTTGAGGCTGGGCGTACCAGCTTGCTTTTGGCGGGGCACTGAGTCATTCAAAAGAGCAAGGAATACATATCTAGATATCGATGTCTTATATTCAGTAAATATCACTAATAATCTTTAAAAGAAATGGACAAGCATTTATCTCTATATTTCCATATCCCTCATATTCCTCAAAAGTGTCATAATAAAGAGATTTCTAATTACACTCTAGGCATGTTCCTTTGTGTATGTAAAAATAGTTCTAGGCAATACCAGAAATCTCAGTTCTAATTAATTAGTCTTAGGCATGATAATAAAATTCAGCCATACCAATTTTCTGCCAGGTTTAATGAAACAAGGTTTTCTTCTTTCATTTTGCTACTCAATTGCCTCACAATTACATGTACAATGTACAATAAAAATAACTGTATAGGTGAACAGGATATGAAAATGTTCAGAAATTCTTCCTTTCAACTAACAAAAATAACTTTTTATTTTTTTTTTTGAGACGGGCTCTCGCTCTGTCGCCCAGGCTGGAGTGCAGTGGCGCGATCTCGGCTCACTGCAAGCTCCGCCTCCCAGGTTCACACCATTCTCCTGCCTCAGCCTCCCAAGTAGCTGGGGCTACAGGCGCCCGCCACCACACCTGGCTAATTTTTTGTATTTTTAGTTGAGATGAGGTTTCACCGTGTTAGCCAGGATGGTCTCGATCTCCTGACTTCGTGATCTGCCTGCCTTGGCCTGTAAATGCTGGGATTACAGGCGTGAGCCACTGCTCCTGGCCTCAACTAACAAAAATAACTCTGAAGTAAAATACTGTTAAATAAGGTTCAAATTTTATGTTGTTTCGTTGATTATTTTAAGATTATAAATCAGTGATCTTAAGTACATCTTAAAAACTTATATCCCTCTAAAATTGACTCTAAGTAAATTGACCTCTAAAATTTCTCAATTTAAGCTTAGATCATTGTAAAATATATAGTTTACTGTAAATTGTAAATATTGACATAAAAGTTGTATCTTCTTGAGATATAGCCATTTCGATTCTCATGAAAAATCGATATTAAAGTACTTAAACTAATTCATCTGTAACAGTCACAAGTTACCCTGAACTTCTATTTCTATACCACTTTTTCAATAGGATTTAGCCTAGTTTAATGCATTCTTTCTGCCTCAAAGTCTTTTAGTAATTACCCTTTTCCTACCACAACAATATGGATGTACATTGAAAAAGTAATTAAAAATTTGGTGATGTAGACTCCAGGTGTTAAGAATTCTTCTGAATTCAATTTTCATTATTCATATTAATATATAATTAACCTAAACATCATGAATAATTTTTAGATAATATACATAAAAACTAAAATATATTAGAATTATATTCATTATTCTCATGATTGAGCAATTTCTTGTTTAATAAATGTATGTATCTGTGGCTGAATATTACTTATTGCTAGAATGAGTCAAAGCTTAGCATCAATCTATTCTATTTGATTGAGTTTCTTAATCCTGAGTTCTAGTTTGATTGCACTGTGGTCTGAGAGACAGTTTGTTATAATTTCTGTTCTTTTACATTTGCTGAGGAGAGCTTTACTTCCAACTATGTGGTCAATTTTGGAATAGGTGTGGTGTGGTGCTGAAAAAAATGTATATTCTGTTGATTTGGGGTGGAGAGTTCTGTAGATGTCTATTAGGTCCACTTGGTGCAGAGGTGAGTTCAATTCCTGGGTATCCTTGTTAACTTTCTGTCTTGTTGATCTGTCTAATGTTGACAGTGGGGTGTTAAAGTCTCCCATTATTATTGTCTGGGAGTCTAAGAAACTCACTCAAAACCACTCAACTACATGGAAACTGAACAACCTGCTCCTGAATGACTACTGGGTACATAACGAAATGAAGGCAGAAATAAAGATGTTCTTTGAAACCAATGAGAACAAAGACACAACATACCAGAATCTCTGGGACACATTCAAAGCAGTGTGTAGAGGGAAATTTATAGCACTAAATGCCCACAGGAGAAAGCAGGAAAGATCCAAAATTGACACCCGAACATCACAATTAAAAGAACTAGAAAAGCAAGAGCAAACACATTCAAAAGCTAGCAGAAGGCAAGAAATAACTAAAATCAGAGCAGAACTGAAGGAAATAGAGACCAAAAAAACCCTTCAAAAAATTAATGAATCCAGGAGCTGGTTTTTTGAAAGGATCAACAAAATTGATAGACTGCTAGCAAGACTAATAAAGAAGAAAATGGAGAAGAATCAAATAGATGCAATAAAAAATGATAAAGGGGATATCACCACCGATCCCACACGAATACAAACTACCATCAGAGAATACTACAAACACCTCTATGCAAATAAACTAGAAAATCTAGAAGAAATGGATAAATTCCTCGACACATACACTCTCCCAAGACTAAACCAGGAAGAAGTTGAATCTCTGAATAGACCAATAACAGGATCTGAAATTGTGGCAATAATCAATAGCTTACCAACCAAAAAGAGCCCAGGACCAGATGGATTCACAGCCGAATTCTACCAGAGGTACAAGGAGGAACTGGTACCATTCCTTCTGAAACTATTCCAATCAATAGAAAAAGAGGGAATCATCCCTAACTCATTTTATGAGGCCAGCATCATCCTGATACCAAAGCCGGGCAGAGACACAACAAAAAAAGAGAATTTAGACCAATATCCTTGATGAACATTGATGCAAAAATCCTCAATAAAGTACTGGCAAACCGAATCCAGCAGCACATCAAAAAGCTTATCCACCATGATCAAGTGGGCTTCATCCCTGGGATGCAAGGCTGGTTCAATATACGCAAATCAATAAATGTAATCCAGCATATAAACAGAACCAAAGACAAAAACCACATGGTTATCTCAATAGATGTAGAAAAGGCCTTTGACAAAATTCAACAACCTTCATGCTAAAAACTCTCAATAAATTAGGTATTGATGGGACATATCTCAAAATAATAAGAGCTATCTATGACAAACCCACAACCAATATCATACTGAATGGGCAAAAACTGGAAGCATTCCCTTTGAAAATTGGCACAAGGCAGGGATGCCCTCTCTCACTACTCCTATTCAACATAGTGTTGGAAGTTCTGGCCAGGGCAATTAGGCAAGAGAAAGAAATAAAGGGTATTCAATTAGGAAAAGAGGAAGTCAAATTGTCCCTGTTTGCAGACGACATGATTGTATATCTAGAAAACCCCATTGTCTCAGCCCAAAATCTCCTTAAGCTGATAAGCAACTTCAGCAAAGTCTCAGGATACAAAATCAACATACAAAAATCACAAGCATTCTTACACACCAATAACAGACAGAGAGCCAAATCATGAGTGAACTCCCATTCACAATTGCTTCAAAGAGAATAAAATACCTAGGAATCCAGCTTACAAGGGACGTGAAGGACCTCTTCAAGGAGAACTACAAACCACTGCTGAAGGAAATAAAAGAGGATACAAACAAATGGAAGAACATTCCATGCTCATGGGTAGGAAGAATCAATATCGTGAAAGTGGCCATACTGCCCAAGGTAATTTATAGATTCAATGCCATCCCCATCAAGCTACCAATGACTTTGTTCACAGAATTGGAAAAAACTACTTTAAAGTTCATACGGAACCAAAAAAGAGCCTGCATCGCCAAGTCAATCCTAAGCCAAAAGAACAAAGCTGGAGGCATCACCCTACCTGTCTTCAAATTATACTACAAGGCTACAGTAACCAAAACAGCATGATACTGGTACCAAAACAGAGATATAGATCAATGGAACAGAACAGAGCCCTCAGAAATAATGCCGCATATCTACAACTATCTGATCTTTGGCAAACCTGACAAAAACAAGACATGGGGAAAGGATTCCCTATTTAATAAATGGTGCTGGGAAAACTGGCTAGCCATATGTAGAAAGCTGAAACTGGATCCCTTCCTTACACCTTATACAAAAATTAATTCAAGATGGATTAAAGACTTAAACGTTAGACCTAAAACCATAAAAACCCTAGAAGAAAACCTAAGCATTACCATTCAGGACATAGGCATGGGCAAGGACTTAATGTCTAAACCACCAAAAGCAATGGCAACAAAAGCCAAAATTGACAAATGAGATCTAATTAAACTAAAGAGCCTCTGCACAGCAAAAGAAACTACCATCAGAGTGAACAGGCAACCTACAAAATGGGAGAAAATTTTCGCAACCTACTCATCTGACAAAGGGCTAATATCCAGAATCTACAATGAACTCAAACAAATTTACAAGAAAAAAACAACCCCATCAAAAAGTGGGCAAAGGATATGAACAGACACTTCTCAAAAGAAGACATTTATGCAGCCAACAGACACATGAAAAAATGCTCATCATCACTGGCCATCAGAGAAATGCAAATCAAAACCACAATGACATACCATCTCACACCAGTTAGAATGGCAATCATTAAAAAGTCAGGAAACAACAGGTGCTGGAGAGGATATGGAGAAATAGGAACACTTTTACACTGTTCTTGGGACTGTAAACTAGTTCAACCATTGTGGAAGTCAGTGTGGCGATTCCTCAGGGATCTAGAACTAGAAATACCATTTGACCCAGCCATCCCATTACTGGGTATATACCCAAAGGATTATAAATCATGCTGCTATAAAGACACATGCACACGTATGTTTATTGCGGCACTATTCACAATAGCAAAGACTTGGAACCAAGCCAAATGTCCAACAATGATAGACGGGATTAAGAAAATGTGGCACATATACACCATGGAATACTATGCAGCCATAAAAAATGATGAGTTCATGTCCTTTTTAGGGACATGGATGAAACTGGAAATCATCATTTTCAGTAAACTATCACAAGGACAAAAAACCAAACCCTGCATGTTCTCACTCATAGATGGGAATTGAACAATGAGAACACATGGACACAGGAAGGGGAACATCACACTCTGGGGACTGTTGTGGGGTGGGGCGAGGGGGGGAGTGGGGAGGGATAGCATTAGGAGATATACCTAATGCTAAATGACGAGTTAATGGGTGCAGCGCACCAGCATGGCACATGTATACATATGCAACTAACCTGCACATTGTGCACATGTACCTTAAAACTTAAAGTATAATAATAAAAAAAACTATTCTATTTTTGTTTTTATAGATACGAGATCTGAGAAAATGTATTCTCATAAATAAGTAGGTGGGAATGGAAAGAGTTGTGTTTTAGCAGTGTCATTCAAATATTTGAACTCCTTCCAAGTTATATGCCAAAAATCACATAGTTATCTATCATCAAAAATTATTTTTAATGATGTACCAGCTGTCATCTCAATTAGGTCTTCTTTCAATTTTGTTAAAGGCAAAGAATTGAAACTAATTCTAGGTTTTATTATTCAGTTATTAGGGTCATTTACTTTCTGAACACTAATAGCAATATTTTGAATCGTCCTAGAACTCTGGAGATTTTTGCACTCAGGGTCAATGTGCCATGGTAAAATGGATGACAAGCATCCCTCTTTTTGAAAGTGTAACAAGGATAACAAGGATAAGAAAAACCAGAATAAGTATTCTGACAGTCAAATTTTAGGAAAGAGTACATGTTAAGTTCAGGATGTAGCAATTATTTCCTTGAAATTATTCATGCCACCAAAGTATACATATCCCAGTTTGAACTCGGCTGGTCTGATCATGTGAGGAAGCCTTTGGGATTACGCCACGACAGTCATCTGAATACAACTGCATGAAAGACCTCGAACCAGAACCTCAAAATTAAGAGAGATAATAATAAAATGATTTAAGCCACTGTGTTTTGGAATGATTCATTATGTAGCAATAATAATCAAAAAGGGACCTAAGAGAATACCTTAGTAATCAAAATAATTTGATGTTCATACAATCCAGAATTTATAGAAGTTTTAACTGATTTGATCTAAAATTAATCTTTTCATATTATGAAAATTGCAGTGTGCATTAGTACATAAAGACTGCAAGAAATATATTAAACAGCTAATGTTTAATTTCATTAAAGAAAATATGACTAGACTTATGCTACAATTTGTTATTGGTTAGGGTTCTATAAGTATATGAAATTTTCCAAAGTTCTTATCTTTTATTTACTTTTAAAAATGTTAATTTTTATTCTCAAAGTAATATTTGTGCTTAATTTTAAAAGTACTACAACAGTACATAAAGAAATAAATAGAAGCAAACCCCTCTCCTCTTCCCTTTCTCTGGAAACATTTATTTTCAATCTGTTTTAGCTGTTTGTTCTGATATTTACCTTTCAATTTCTCTTACCATACTTTATTACTAGTTCTATGGCTTTTTGCTTTTTTCAATTTTAGGCTTTATTAGCTCCCTTCTAAAGAAGATTATCTCTTTCACACTCCTTCTTCAACCCATTTTAATGCATACGCTTATTTTTTCTCCTCCTGTTCTCCTAATATAGTTATATCATGCTTTTATAAGGTATTAGTACTCACAGTTTAAATTTGCATTGTACTGTGATTATATATCTCCTCTCCCTTTTTACTACAGTTTTTATTATATCAATTGGTTTTTTTAATCCAGGTCCCTAAGACTATTTTAGCCCTGAACTTTCTCACGGAACTGTAAAACAGGTTTCACTACAGTCCATGTTATTGAACACATAATTCTAGGTTTTTATTCTTTCTTTCTGTTTTTTTTTTTTCCATTTTTAATTTTCTTTAGGTCTGTCCTTCTGGAGTCCATTGTCCTCCTGTGAAAATCTGGACTCATGGATCTCTAGACTAAGTATACTAACTGACACTATAGGTTGTCATTACCAGGAATTATTCTTTGTTTTTCATTTATCTTTTTTCTCTCTGTATTGAATTCCCTGATTTTTTTGGATTTTATGTCATCCTCTTTCTTGGTCTCTTTCTTTGTTTTGATGAAGCACATCATCTAGTATTTCTGACAAAGGCTGCATACAAGATAAAATTTTTTGGAGATGCTGAAAAGGTTTTTTATTCTACCTTTACATTTGATTAAATTATAGCTGATGATAAAGTTTTAGATTAGAAATAACTTTCTCTTAGAATTAGGAAGCATTACTTTGTTGATTTCTGTTGATTTGTTCCTGCAATTGTTAAGTCTAATACTACTCAGATACCAGGTTTTTTTTTTTTTTTTTTGTATAAGACTGGCTTTTTTATCTCTGAAGTTGTTTAGAATATTTTATTATCCTTGATATTTTGAAATTTCACTATGAATTTTTATATAGGTCTTTTTAAAATTCACTATGCTAGACTCCAATTGCAAACTTTCAATATGGAAAATTGAATTCTTTATTTTTGTAAACTTTCTTTTGTTGTTAAGTTCTTCAACTCATTTTTTTGTCTTTTTTTTCCTGCTCTCTCTGAAACTTCTATTTGGATTTTGGACTTCCAGGAATGATTACCTAATTTGAATAAATGTTATTCTTCTGTTTTCCATCCTTTTGTCTTTTATATTTTTGAGAAACATTCTCAGCTTTATTTCCAATTCTTCTACTGAATTTCTGCAATTATATTTTTAATTTCCCATAGCTCTTTTCGTAAATGTTTCTTTCTTTCATTTTTTTAAGCATTATTTTTTAAAGTATTCCGGTCTTATTTCATGGGTATAATATCTTCTCCCTGGGAATATTCATACTATATTTAGACTTTTGTTTCAATATTGCCTTTGTTTTACTCAGTTTTTCTTCTCTGTTCTTTTATTTTGGTTTCTGTTTTTAATGTTAGAGAGTTCCTTCCCGTATCTAGTCATTCTTGACCATTTTCTCCTATTTAAATTGAGTCAGAAAAATTTGAATTGGAAGTTCTAAGCACATGGATAGAACTTCTTACATGTAAGAAGTTGTAAGGCAATTTCCTTGGGGGATGCCAAAATATTAGTCTCTGTAGATCTTTTCTTTTATTCCGGCAAATTTCCCTAGAGGGTAGTCCTCCAATTTTCTTCTTGGAGGGAAAAACCCAGCTGACCTACTGTGCAGAAAATGGTTGGCCAGTGGGGGTGGTGATGTCAATGTTCAGTATAAAAACTTTCATTTTATAACCACATTTAGACTAAGGCCTCATTCGTAATGTCAGTTATGCTATTTTCCTTGAGTCTAGACACTTTGGTCCATCTTTTCTAAAGAATGAAAAGATAAGTGGGGTGGGACAGTAGCATAATTGCAAGGGCTGGGGTGGGGGCTCTAAGGAGAAAACTATGCCTGACATAAATTTTCAATCTGTCTTCCTGTTTCAGCCCTACTCTATCCCATACTCCTGCCTTCAGAACTACCTGGTTCCTATACAGAGCTTTTTTTGAGGGTTTGCTACTTGAATCTTCAGCTTCAGTTTTCTGAGTTCTGCTAATCAATTTCAATTAATCCCTGTTTTGGCAGGCCACAGGACAGTGGCTCATGCTTGTCAGTGTCTCATGCTTGTCAGTGGCTCATGCTTGTCAGTGGCTCATGCCTGTAATCCCAACACTTTGGGAGGCTGAAGTGGGAGGATCACTTGAGGCCAGGAATTTGAAACCAGCCTGAGAGACAGAGTGAGACCCCATCTCTACAAAAATTACAAAAATCAGCTGCTCTTGGTGGTGTGTTCCTGTAGTCCCAGCTAGTCAGGAGGCTGAGGTGGGAAGATTGCTTGAACTCAGGAGTTTGAAGTTACAGTGAGCTATGGTCACGTCACTGCATTCTATCCTAGGCCCAGAATAAGACCTTGTCTAAAAAAGAAAAAAAAAAAAAAGAAACAACAACAAAAAACGAATCCATGCCCTTTTCATCTTACAAAATTGTGTTGATTTCTCTTGTCTACCATCCCTGATGTCTCCTTCTCTCTTCCATTTTCTTTGTCTTTGTGGTTTTACACATTCTTACTTCCTTTACTGTAATTTTAGTGCCATTTCAAGATTAAATGTATGTGTTTAATCCATTATGTTTAACCTGCATTCTGTAACTTTTTAATGTTTTGCACTTAAGGGATTTACTAATTCTGCCTCTGTAGGTTATTTTTACATTAGAAGATTTCACAGCTTTCAGCAAGTATGTACATGCCTATATGAAAAATTAACAAAATTATCTATCTTTATTATTTTCTCTTGATTTTTTATAATTAAGAAAGATAGGGTGGCATATTAGTAAGTGTTCATTCAGGAAAACTGCTAAAGCATTTAAGGAATTGGTTAGGAAATTGTTGGAAGACTGAGGAAGTGAAGAGGGGAAGGTGAGGTTACTCCTACCTACCACCTGTCTGGCAATAGAAGCAGCAAAGGAAATGGAGTTACCCAGAGACCAGGATTGTTGTGATGAAGAGGCTGTTGAGGTTCTACTTCTGCTGCTGCTGCAACTATCACCATTTTTTGCAGGCAGCTGAAAGCCCATGCCCCTGCTGGGCTGCACAACCGAGGTCTACAGTCTCTTTTTATAGAGGCTGCAGTTGCTGCTGCTAGAGCCAGAGCTCATAAGCACCATGCAGGAGCACCAGGTCTGCCACTGCTGTGGAATTGCACTTCTTGAGCAGGACCTAGAGCATGCACTTGCCCTGCCCCTTCTCTAACGCTTTCATGCATCTCCAGAAACAAAACACACACACACACATACACACACACACACACGCACACACAAACAAACAGATTTCTCCCTTCCTTTGCCTTTCAGTCCCCCAACAGTGCCTCCCATTGGCAGAACCTTACTGGAAAGCAGCTGGTGAGAAAGTCTGTGAGATATAGTTTGCAGGCTCCCAGCCATCTTGTGATACAGAGGAGATTCCAGAAGGCTGGGAAGGTTGTTGTGAGCCAAATGACATATAGCCAGCCCAGAGAGTTTGAAGGGAAATTCAGCAACTGACTTGTGAATATTATCATTTTTCCTAGTAGGCATATCTATCTGGCACATCCTTTGAGTATGATACACATCTATAAATATATTGCATATACATATATTTAACAGTTAGGGAGACTTTGAGAATAAAATTAGAACTGCTCGTGGCAAAGAGGTTTGATAATTTCTCCAACTGTGAAGAAAACTTTAATAATTATGATATTTCATTGATTATTTTGACATTTCCAGAGTTTATATTATACATTGCTGTTTTTGCTGACATTTTACCAAATTTGGAGCAAGAATATAAATTTAATAGGTTAAGTAGGACTTTCTCATTGTTTCAGATTTTTAGTTAAGGCCAAAAACTGAGCAGAAGAGGGGCTAAATTCCTCAGATTCTAAAGATTGCTGCTAAGGAAGCCAAAATTAGGTTCAGAAACTTACCCCAGGGCCAACCAAGAGAGAGCAGGTCTGGGCCCACTGCCATCAATCTGCTGGGCCATTGTTTTTCTTTTTAAAACTTGTTTATTAAAGTGAATGTGATCTTTCAGGTGAATCTGGCTATTTTTGTTGCTAAAATTGAAGATGAAGAAAATCCTGTTTGGCCAATATGTAATCATAGAAAATAAAAGGGAATATCTTTCAGGTTCTTGGGCTCCTTCTGTCAGAGAAATTAGGAGTCAACTCTGATCCTCAACTAGTTGCTCATGTTTTGAAAAGGCAAAGGGAGGACACATTCATGACAGACTAGATTGTTCCTATTTACTTGTTCTTATGCCTTCTATACAGAGTTATTCAAAATAAAGAAACAGTAGCTGTTGAGTTGATATCAATATGATACTTGGATGGCATTTGGCCAGAGGACTCATGAATATCCAAATACTGCCCTGCCTTGGCTATCCTCTGAGAAATACCCAAAATAAGGATCCATGCAGGGTACACTGACCAACAGAGGACAGTGACATCATGTTAAACAGCTGCTTGGACTTGACTCTCAAACTCCAAAGCAGAATAAAAGGGAACTAATCAAGACTTCATGAAACATTCTAAACTATATTGAAGTATATATTGAAGTATATACTGAACTATACAGTATATACAGGCTTGAATATCCTGGAAGCAAAGAAGACCAAAAGGCCCTTCAGACCATTTTTACCTCAATATTCAATCCACATTTAGGTCTTAGCATTCCCATGTGGTGACTACTCCACTCACAGGTCCCAGTGTGTGAGACATAAGGACAGATGGAGAGGGAGAGAGCCCTCCATGGACTCTCTTGGGCTGCGTTGGTAAGCCAACTGATTCAGCTTCCTTGTGGACGAGTAAGAGACCAGCTGAAGAGAAAAAAGAAAGAGAAGGGAGAGAAGAGAAAGAAAAAGGGAGAGGAGAGAAAGAAACAGGAGCAGGCTTTCTCCCAAGGAGAACAGATCCCAAGCTTAGCCTTTCTTCACTACACTCCTGGAAGTCAGAGTCCAGAAAAGCAAAGATAAAGGAGAGATTTAGGCTTTTTCTTCTCTTATTGCTATTAAAATATCTTAGAAGGGGAGACATCACACAAATATGTGGCCTTGACCTCTTTGAACACTCCGCTGTGATACAGTTAAGATGCTAGAGTATAACATCCAGGTCAGCAGTGGGATGAGGGAAGCTTGGAGTAGACAGCAGAAGTGAATGAAATCTGGAACTCCTCTCTGGGAGGCCAGAAAAAACCACTGTGCTGATGTCAGCCTTTGAAAAAGTCTGATGTTTTATGACTTCATGTTTTAGTGAACAACAAACCTTAATTGTAACTTCTGTGTAAAACGTTTACTGATGGTCCTGGAATTGATTGATCTTTTCATTTGCTGAGGTACTGTGGCACTTTTTTTTTGTCAGTCTTGTAGCATCTTTTTTCTTTTTTTTTTTTTGAGACAGTCTTGCTTTGTCGCCCAGGCTGGAGTGCAGTGGCATGAGCTTGGCTCCTCTGCCTCCCAGGTTCAACCGATTCTCCTGCCTCAGCCTCCCAAGTAGCTGGGATACAGGTGCATGCCACTACACCTGTTAAATTTTTTTTTCTTTTTTTGTATTTTTGGTAGAGATGGGCTTTCACCATGCTGGCCAGGCTGAGCTTGAACTCCTGACTTCAAGTGATCTCCCTGCCTCAGCCTCCCAAAGACCTGGAATTACAGGCAGGAACCACCATGCCTGGCCAGTCTTGTAGTGTCTTTTCATGTTTCGCTCTATGTTTGTAACTGCACAGTGCACTTTTCTGAGGCAGATAACTTGTCATTTACCTCTTTGTATTTCTAGGATCCAACATAGTATTTGGCATTAAGTAGGCACTTAATAAAGTTTGAGGATAAAATTGCGTAGTTTACAGATGATACTATTGAGGTAGGACTTTTTTTCTTAATGAAAACTGTCTCCAAAACTTTGTTTTGAAAATGTTTCTCAATAGTTACCTCTCCTAAAAATTGACTTAGTATTTTCATTCAGTGTTATTATTGAGACGAAGGACTTACTGCTGCCATTTTGTTGCTTATTTTCTGGTTGTTTTGTAACTCCTCTCTTCCTTTCTCACTGTCTTCCTTTGTGGTTTAGTGATTTTCTCTCATAGTATGTTTTAATTAGTTGCTTTTATTTTTAATGAATCTATTACAGGCTTTTGCCTTGTGGTTATCATGAGGCTTACTAAAAATCTTATAGATATAACAAGTTATTTTAAAGACACAGCAACTTATCTTACACCACAAGGAAAAGAATAGAAACAAGCCTCGATTTCAGAGCCTATTATTGGTCTATTCAGGGACTCATCTTCTTCCTGGTTTAGTTTTGGCAGGGTGTATGTGTCCAGGAATTTATCCATTTCTTCTAGATTTTCTAGTTTATTTGCATAGAGGTGTTTATAGTATTCTCTGATGGTAGTTTGTATTTCTGTGGGATCAGTGGTGATATCCCCTTTATCATTTTTTATTGCATCTATTTGATTCTTCTCTCTTTTTTTCATTAGTCCTGCTAGCAGTCTATCAATTTTGTTGATCTTTTCAAAAAAAAACCAGCACCTGGATTCATTGATTTTTTGAAGGGTTTTTTGTGTCTCTATCTCCTTCAGTTCTGCTCTGATCTTAGTTATTTCTTGCCTTCTGCTAGCTTTTGAATGTGTTTGCTCTTGCTTCTCTAGTTCTATTAATTGTGATGTTAGGGTGTCAATTTTAGATCTTTCCTGCTTTCTCTTGTGGGTATTTAGTGCTATAAATTTCCCTCTACACACTGCTTTAAATGTGTTGCAGAGATTCTGGTATGTTGTGTGTTTGTTCTCATTAGTTTCAAAGAACATCTTTATTTCTGCCTTCATTTCGTTATGTACCCAGTAGTCATTCAGGAGCAGGTTGTTCAGTTTCCATGTAGTTGAGCGGTTTTGAGTGAGTTTCTTAATCCTGAGCTCTAGTTTGATTGCACTGTGGTCTGAGAGATAGTTTGTTATAATTTCTGCTGTTTTACATTTGCTGAGGAATGCTTTACTTCCAACTATGTGGTCAATTTTGGAATAAGTGCGATGTGGTGCTGAGAAGAATGTATATTCTGTTGATTTGGGGTAGAAAGTTCTGTAGATGTCTATTAGGTCTGCTTGGTGCAGAGCTGAGTTCAATTCCTGGATATCCTTGTTAACTTTCTGTCTCGTTGATCTGTCTAATGTTGACAGTGGGGTGTTAAAGTCTCCCATTATTATTGTGTGGGAATCTAAGTCTCTTTCTATGTCTCTAAGGACTTGCTTTATGAATCTGGGTGCTCCTGTATTGGGTGCATATATATTTAGGATAGTTATCTCTTCTTGTCAAATTAATCCCTTTACCATTATGTAATGGCCTTCTTTTGATCTTTATTGGTTTAAAATCTGTTTTATCAGAGACTAGGATTGCAACCCCTGCTTTTTTTTTTGTTTTCCATTTGCTTGGTAGATCTTCCTCCATCTCTTTATTTTGGGGCTGTATTTGTCTCTGCATGTGAGATGGGTCTCCTGAATACAGCACACTGATGGGTCTTGACTCTTTATCCAGTTTGCCAGTCTGTGTCTTTTGGTTGGAGCATTTAACCCATTTACATTTAAGGTTAATATTATTATGTGTTAATTTGATCCTGTCATTATGATGTTAGCTGGTTATTTTGCTGGTTAGTTGCTGCAGTTTATTCCTAGCATCAATGGTCTTTACAATTTGGCATGTTTTTGCAGTGGCTGGTACCGGTTGTTCCCTTCCATGTTTAGTGCTTCCTTCAGGAGCTCTTCTATGGCAGGCCAGTGGTGACAAAATCTCTCAGCATTTGCTTGTCTGTAAAGTATTTTGTTTCTCCTTCACTTATGAAGCTTAGTTTGGCTGGATATGAAATTCTGGGTTGAAAATTCTTCTCTTTAAGAATGTTGAATATTGGCCCCACTCTCTTCTGGCTTGTAGAGTTTCTGCCGAGAGATTCACTGTTAGTCTGATGGGCTTCCCTTTGTGGGTAACCCAACCTTTCTCTCTGGCTGCCCTTAACATTTTTTCCTTCATTTCAACTTTGGTGAATCTGACATGTGTCTTGGAGTTGCTGTTCTCGAGGAGTATCTTTGTGGTGCTCTCCGTATTTCCTGAATTGAATGTTGGCCTGCCTTGCTAGGTTGGGGAAGTTCTCCTGGATAATATCCTGCAGAGTGTTTTCCAACTTGGTTTCATTCTCCCCATCACTTTCAGGTACACCAATCAGATGTAGCTTTGGTCTTTTCACATAGTCCCATATTTCTTGGAGGCTTTGTTCATTTCTTTTTACTCTTTTTCCTCTAAACTTCTCTTCTCGCTTCATTTCATTCATTTGATCTTCAGTCACTAATACCCCTTCTTCCACTTGATTGAATTGGCTACTGAAGCTTGTGCATGCATCACGTAGTTCTTGTGCCATGGTTTTCAGCTCCATCAGGTCATTTAACGTCTTCTCTACACTGTTCCTTCTAGTTAGCCATTTGCTAATCTTTTTCCAAGGTTTCTATCTTCTTTGCAATGGGTTCGAACATCCTCCTTCAGCTTGGAGAAGTTTGTTATTACTGATCATCTGAAGCCTTCCCTCAACTCATCAAAGTCATTCTCCGTCCAGCTTTGTTCTGTTGCAGGCAGGGAACTGGGTTCTTTTGGAGGAGAAGAGGTGCGTAATTTTTAGAATTTTCAACTCTTCTGCTCTGGTTTCTCCCCATCTTTGTGGTTTTATCTACCTTTGGTCTTTGATGATGGTGAAGTATAGATGGAGTTTTGGTTTGGATGTCCTTTCTGTTTGTTAGTTTTCCTTCTCTGAAATTGAGGCAATAATTAATAGCTTACCAACGAAAAAAAGTCAAGGACCAGATGGATTCACAGCCAAATTCTACCAGAGGTACAAGGAGGAGCTGGTACCATTCCTTCTGAAACTATTCCAATCAATAGAAAAAGAGGGAATCCTCCCTAACTCATTGTATGAGGCCAGCATTATCCAGATACCAAATCCTGGCAGAGACACAACAAAAAAAGAGAATTTTAGACCAATATTCCTGATGAACATCAGTGCAGAAATCCTCAATAAAATACTGGCAAACGGAATCCAGCAGCACATCAAAAAGCTTATACACCACGATCAAGTTGGCTTCATCCCTAGGATGCAAGACTGGTTCAACATATGCAAATCAATAAATGTAATCCATCATATAAACAGAACCAAGGACAAAAACCACAGGATTATCTCAATAGATGCGGAAAAGGCCTTTGACAAAATTCAACAGCCCTTCATGCTAAAAACTCTCAATAAATTAGGTATTCATGGGACGTATCTCAAAATAATAAGAGCTATTTATGACAAACCCACAGGCAATATCATACTGAATGGGCAAAAACTGGAAGCATTCTCTTTGAAAACTGGCAGAAGACAGGGATGCCCTCTCTCACCACTCCTATCCAACATAGTGTTGGAAGTTCTGGCCAGGGCAATCAGGCAGGAGAAAGAAATAAAGGGTGTTCAATTAGGAAAAGAGGAAGTCAAATTGTCCCTATTTGCAGATGACATGATTGTATATTTAGAAAACCCCATCGTCTCAGCCCCAAATCTCCTTAAGCTGATAAGCAACTTCAGCAAATTCTCAGGATACAAAACCAATGTGCAAAAATCACAAGCATCCCTATACACCAATAACAGACAAACAGAGAGCCAAATCATGTGTGAACTCCCATTCACAATTGCATCAAAGAGAATAAAATACCTAGGAATCCAACTTACAATGGATGTGAAGGACCTCTTCAAGGAGAACTACAAACCACTGCTGAACGAAATAAAAGAGGACACAAATAAGTGGAAGAATATTCCATGCTCATGAATAGGAAGAATCAATATCGTGAAAATGGCCATACTGCCCAACGTAATTTATGGATTCAATGCCATCCCCATCAAGCTACCAATGACTTTCTTTGCAGAATTGGAAAAAACTACTTTAAAGTTCATATGGAACCAAAAAAGAGCCCGCATTGCCAAGTCAATCCTAGGCCAAAAGAACAAAGCTGGAGGCATCACGCTACCTGACTTCAAACTATATTACAAGGCTACAGTAATCAAAACAGTATGGTACTGGTACCAAAACAGAGATATAGATCAATGGAACAGAACAGAGCCATCAGAAATAATGCCGCATATCTACAACTATCTGATCTTTGACAAACCTGACAAAAACAAGACATGGGGAAAGGATTCCTTATTTAATAAATGGTGCTGGGAAAACTGGCTAGCCTTATGTAGAAAGCTGAAACTGGATCCCTTCCTTACACCTTATACAAAAATTAATTCAAGATGGATTAAAGACTTAAATGTTAGACCTAAAACCATAAAAACCCTAGAAGAAAACCTAGGCAATACCGTTCAGAACATAGGCATGGGCAAGGACTTCATGTCTAAAACACCAAAAGCTATGGCAACAAAAGCCAAAATTGACAAATGAGATCTAATTAAACTAAAGAGCTTCTGCATAGCAAAAGAAACTACCATGAGAGTGAACAGGCAACCTACAGAATGGGAAAAAATTTTTACAATCTACCCATCTGACAAAGGGCTAATATCCGGAATCTACAAAGAACTTAAACAAATTTACAAGAAAAAAACAAACAACCCCATCAAAAAGTGGGCAAAGGATATGAACAGACACTTCTCAAAAGAAGACATTTATGCAGCCAACAGACACATGAAAAAATGCTCATCATCACTGGCCATCAGAGAAATGCAAATTAAAACGACAATGAGATACCATCTCATGCTAGTTAGAATGGTGATCACTAAAAAGTCAGGAAACAACAGGTGCTGGAGAGGATGTGGAGAAATAGGAACGCTTTTACATTGTTGGTGAGACTATAAACTCTTTCAACCATTTTGGAAAACAGTGTGGCAATTCTTCAAGGATCTAGAACTAGAAATACCATTTGACCCAGCCATCCCATTACTGGGTATATACCCAAAGGATTACAAATCATGCTGGTATAAAGACACATGCACATGTATGTTTATTGCAACACTATTCACAGTAGCAAAGACTTGGAACCAACCCAAATGTCCATCAATGACAGACTGGATTAAGAAAATGTGGTGCATATACACTGTAAAATACTATGCAGCCATAAAAAAAGATGAGTTCATGTCCTTTGTAGAGGCATGGATAAAGCTGGAAACCATCATTCTGAGCAAACTATCACAAGTACAGAAAACCAAACACTGCATGTTCTTACTGATAAGTGGGAAATGAACAATGAGAACACTTGGACACAGGGTCGGGAACATCATACACCGGGGTCTGTTGTGGGATGGAGGGAGAGGGGAGGGATAGCATTAAGAGATATACCTAATGTAAAAGATGAGCTAATGGGTGCAGCACACCAACATGGCACATGTATACATATGTAACAAACTTGCACGTTGTGCACATGTACCCTAGAACTTAAAGTATAAAAAAAAGAATAGAAACAAGCAAAGAAAAAAATGAAAAAAAAAAGACTTCTACACTTTAACTTTATCCCTCCCGCATTTTGCAATTTTGTTGTCTCAGTTTACATATTTTTCTATTGCATATGTCTTAACAGGTTGCTGTAGCTGTTACTGTTTTTGATTGATTTGCTTTGGGCTTCATACTAGACTTACGAGTGGCTTGCACAGCAGTTACACCAATAGAGTATTCTGGGTTTGTCAATGTGCTTACTTTTACCCATGGGTTTTATACCTTCAAATGTTTCTTCTTCTTCTTCTTCTTCTTTTTTTTATGTAAGTGTGTGTGTGTGTGTGTGTGTGTGTGTGTAGGGGGCGGTTTCTCTTCAGATTGAAGAACTCCCTTTAGCATTTCTTGTAAGATGGATCTGGTGGTGGTGAATTATCTTTGTCTGGATAAGACCCTCTCTCTCTCTTTTATATCGAAGGACAGCTTTTCTGGATACATTATTCTTGGATGAACTTTTTTTTTCTTTCAATACTTTGAACATGTCATAATATTCCCTCCTGGTCCATATGGTTTCTTTTGAGAAGTCTGTTGCCAGACAAATTGAGCTTCTTTATATGTTATTTGTTTGTTTTCTCTATTGCTTTTAAGATCCTCTTGTTGTCCTTGACCTTTAAGAGATTGATTATTATATGTTTTGTGGTGGTCTTATTTGGGTAAGATCTGTTTGGTGTTCTCTAACCTTCCTGTACCTAGATATTTAGATCTCAGGTTTTTGAAAGTTTTCTGTTATTATTTTTTTGAATGGGCTTTTTAGCCTTTTCTCTTGCTCAGCTCCCTCTTGAACACCAGTTATTCTTAAATTTGGTCTTTTGAGGTAATTTTTTATATCTTGTAGGTGCTCTTCATTCATTCCTTTTCATTCATTCCTTCTCTTCTAACTGTGTACATTCAAATAGGCTGTCTTCCAATTCACTGATTCTTGTCTCTGCTTGATTCAGTCTGCTGTTGAGAGTATCTAATAAATTTTTCATTTTGGCAAATGTATTTTTCAGTTCTAAAATTTCTATTTAAAATATTTAAATCTCTTTGTTAAATTTCTCTGACAAATTTCTGCATTGCTTTTCTGTGCTATCTTGGGGATAACCGAGTTTCCTTAAAACTGATATCTCGATTTCTTGGCCAGAGAGCTCACATATTGGCATCTCATTAGAGTCACTCACTGGTTCCTTACTTTGTCTGTTTGAAGTCATGGTTCCCTGTTTGCTGTTGTTTCTTATGGCTAAATATTTATGTCTTTGCATTGAAGCATTATTTGTTTATTTCTTCTCTGTTCATCTTGTTTTGATTTTTGTTGGATAAATTTGTTTAGAGATACTTTGTAATTTACCTGTTGAATTTCTTTCTTTTTTCCCCACTACATCACTGTCTCCTTTTTGACATTGCTTGTTGCCTTAAGCCTCAGTTTGCCTCAGGTCTAGTAAATGATCAGAGCACTACCCATCCTGAATAGGGAAGGTCCAAAAAAGGTTATCCTAGCTGTGTGAGAAGGCTGGCTAGGGGTTTATGCCAAGAGGACCTGTGGAATGAACCTTCTACAATGTGGTGCTTCTGAACAGTCACTCTGATTTGACATCTCCATTGGCCAATCTGTGAAGATATAGAGCAGATTTTCCAGGGCTGGGGATGGTAGTCTTGCCCCCCTTGCTCAGTCTGTCCTCAGGGATGTTTCTCCCATCATGCATTCTTGGTGTTTCTCATGTGTTAAGGCAAGGACAGATCTTCTGCCAGGTAACCTAAGATGGTGAAGAAGCTGGTTGTCCATCTCAATCTCGCCTTTTCCATTGTAGGCACTGTGAGTCGGGGAAATTTTCCACACACTTAGTGCTGGGCAGATTGTGGGGAGGGGATATAGATACGTAAGCTTGATTCTTTTGTCATCTGCTTGGAGTTTTTTCACTTCTCTATGGCCCCGGGAACTGTTTTCCCTCATATTTGAGTTCTTAGTTATTGCTGGTGAGACTCTTGGCACTGTATACTTGGTTTTGGTTTTCTGTGAGGGAAGGAGTGAGGCTAGCTTGCTTCTATGCTGCCCTTTTGGAACTGGAAGTTTGGTTTAGCATTTTTAACGCAACTTGATGAGCTAAATTTATTTTTCACCTTTGTACTTGTTCTTTTGGAAAAACGTGTATGAAGAAAAGATATATTTGGAATAAGATATACATAAAAAACTGCAGAGACAAAGTGTGTCTCATAAAATGTCTTTTTAAAAACTAAAGTAGTGTGCAAGGTAAGAATGATAGAAAGCTCTTGCTTTGGAGTGCCTCAGCCCAGGTGGTTAGGATAGAAAACTAGGGTCAATTCTATAAGAACAGGTTGATTTGCTTTTCCATTTTTATTAGGTCATTTTGTAAGCTCTTTCACAGAATAAAATGACAATTTTAATGTGAAAATATAAGCAGGAAAGCATAATTCAAAGTGATTATACTTTTTTGCCAGTCAAGGTGCTAAATTATGTATATCAGCTAACTTAATCTGTTCAACTACTTTACAAAGAACATCATAATTTATAAAATAACTTATAAATTTAAAAACTAAAAAATTGAGGGTCACAGAGTTTGATCAATTTTCCTAGTTACCACCAGTCATGGCAGAGCTGTAATATAAACACACTTGCATGTGACTTTCTAGTTCAGCTCATGACTTGTACCACCACAATCCACTGAATCCTGAAGGCTAAGAAGTGTCTTTGGGAACAAAAGAGGAGAGTGCATTGGGATACAGGGCAGTCTATTTTTTAGACAACTTTTGAGAATTTACCCGAACCATCAGAAGTCTCAGCTTCACATTTTACAAAAACAGCAGTCAGGCCATTTGAGAGTTCACATAAATTTTGGACTGACACCTTTACCATAATTTAGAAATAATGAGGAGACATTTTAGGTTGAGCTTTGAGACTGACATGTTTTGCTTACTGTTTTGCACAATAGTCATCTTCTCCTGAAAATAATAATTCACTTATAGAAAAGAAGAACCTGTGATTGACTTGTTGTTGCAAGCAAATGAAAAAAGTTGTAATAATCAAGACAGGTTACTTTGAAAACGGTGAAAACCTGGGATCATGTGGGTATCAGCTTTTTTATATTTGTGTATAAATTCATTTACCTTGTCTAGAGCATCAAACATTTTTTTGGAATAATAAATGGAGATGTTTTACCTGAATACTAATGTGCTGAGTGCCAGGTGAAAAATTAAATTGATATACTGTCACAATACTTTTTTTCGTTTTACTGACAAGAGATGTCATGTTTTCTTGATTCCTGATATATGGAGTGTGAACTGATAAATAGTATGGAGATGAAATTGTCAGCTACCATTATCACACTCAAGCAATTATCTTTTCTGGTGGCTTGCAATGCCATGAAATTCAGATTCTGAAGTGTGGAAGCAGAGAGAAGGGGAAAAAAATGAATGTGACCGCAAATTGGAAAAGTGCTTGGGTTAGAAAAATAAGATTCCAAAGGGGCTCAGATAATTTATTGCTTCTTCTGAGATTGAAAAGGGAAGAAAACCAGGAAGAGGGGGCAGATTGAAGGTGGATCTACCTTGAAGCTAATACAGCTTGAACTTTAGGGCCCATTACATATAAGAATGCCTCAAGAGGGACCCTAGCAATATGTTAACATGACCGTACCAATTTTAAATTTTTTTGCAAGATATTTAACGGCAAAAAATTGGGTCTGTCTTGTTCTCTCTGACTTTTCTTCCAGTACATTTCTGTGGTTTTGGAGTGACCCCATACATTGTGTCTCTAAGGAAATTTGGGTGGAACATATATTTTACTTTGGTTTAGTGGAATATATTTAAATGTTTCAGACAATTACTTCACATATATTCAAGTTACTACTTCCTCATTCTAGCATACAGATATTTTCCAGATGTACTTCTGTTGACTACTCTGCCAACTTGATTAATGTCGTGACACACTAGTATGTAACCAAAGTAATATGAATATGTGATATGAATATATCTTAAGTTGGTCAGCATTTAAACTATGTGTCTAGTGGAACAAAAACAATGTTTGAACTGTATGGAGCCAGAAATTAGTCTGTGGAGAATTTTTCTAATAATCACATGTATAAACTATAATTGGAGAATTTGGTTTCTATCAATATTCTCAGAAATAGTCTTAATAATGCAGTATGTAATAATGCAGTATGTAATTTTATAACATGTTTTGAAATTTTTTTCTGGTGGAAATTGTGTGAAATAGAATTTGTCAGGGTATATGTAGCATTCAGGTGGCTGTATACCATCTTGCTACTGGCCTGAGGTTGAAGTTTTCAGTTAGATCAGAAGTGACAGAGCTTTGGAGATGCATTACTGGGAACTGAATGTACCTTTATAGAAACCTGTATACACTATGAACTTATGATGAGCCAACCACCATGTGACAGCAGCAAGATGGCAAAATAGGAATTTTAGTGCTTATCCTCTTGGAGAAACATCAATTTGAATAAGTATTTATAAATAAAAATAACTTCACAATGAATTCAGTTAATTAATACCACCTGAGTGGAACACAGAAATAAGAAAAAACACACTAAAGAGGGTAGAAAGGACAGTTTCCCATTATCTGTGTCACTCCTCAAATCCTGCACAGAGCAGCACAAGGAGAGGTACCCTCACCATAGGGGAAGGAGAGTGAAATGAGCACCCCCAGCACTGGACCCATCTCAGTGCCAGGCTGGTCCTCACGGTCCCAGGTTACAAGTTCGTCCCTACAAATCCAGGATCCAGACCTGCCACAGCATCAGCCTGGCCCTTGAAGCCCCAAGCTCCAGGTACACCTCTGCAAACTCAAGCTCCAGGCATACCTCAGAGCCAGGCTGGCCTTCACAGCCTTCACAGGCTGGCTTCAAGCCTGCCCTAATGTCAGGCAAGTCCCTGTGGACCCAGGCTCCACACTGGCTCCTGTGATACTAGGCTCCAGTGGACCCAGGGTTGAAGCCCGCTTCAGTAGGCTTAGGGGCCATGCGTACCCTATGAGATCTGAGTGCTGGCCTGTCCCTGTGGACTTAGGCTCCAGGCCCACCATGAACTGACTCACACACCAGGCAAGCCTGCTTGCTAGCTCACCTAGCTGGTTTGCTCAGACTCTCTTGATGGGATGAGTGATGAAGAGCTTTCCCTGCCAGGCCAGTCTGCAAAGACTGGAAAAGATGCCTACTTCTTCAAATATTCAGACACTAATTGTAGAACACAGAGATCATGCCACAACCAAAGGGACAAAATAAAATGCCAGTAACCAACCTTAAGAAATGGAGATATATGAATTGCCTGACAAAGATTTCAATATAATCTCTTTAAGAAGTTCAGTGAACTACAAGGGAACACAGATAGACAACTAAATGAAATCGGGAAAACAATACATGAATAAAATAAGAAATTAAACAAAGATATAGAAACCATCATAAGTAACCAGATATTCTGGAGATAAACAAAATGACTAAACTGAAATATGACACAGAGAGCTTCAGCAGCATATTTGAATAAGCAGAAGAAAGGAACAGTGAGCTCAAAGACAGGTGGTTTAAAATTGTCCAGTCAGAGAAACAAGAAGAAAAAATAATGAAAAAGTGTGAAGAAAGCCTATGAGACTTATGGGAAACCATCAAGTGAGTCAATTTACACATTGTGTCTTCTCAGAATCCCAGAAGAAGTAGAGAAAAAGAAAGACAGAAGAAAGCTTATTTTAAAAAATAGTGACAAAAAACTCCCCAAATCCAGAGAGAGAGATAAACAGCGAGATCTATGATTTCCAAAGAACCCTAAATAGATTAAATGTAAAGAGATCTCTATTGAGATACATTATAATCAAATTCTGAAGATTCAATGACAGATAAATAATTTTGAAAGCATCAAAAGAATATTGAACCATCACATACAAGGAAGCCTCATAAGACTTTCTCAGCAGAAACCCTGCTGGTCAGGAAAGGGTGGGATAATATAGTCAAACTGTGGAAAGAATAAAAAATGCCAACCAAGAATACTATGCCAGGAAAATCAGTTCTTAAGAAATGAAGAGTTGCTCAGATAAAAGCTGAGGGCATTTATTACTACTTGTGAGAAATGCTTTACCTGAAATGCTAAAGGGATTTCTTCATATAAGATGAAAGGATGCTAATTAACAAAATGAAAATATATGAGGGTATAAAAATCACTATAAAGGTAAGAAATAGTCAAATTCAGAGTATTCTAATACTGTAAAGGCAGTGTATATATCACTTTTAATTCTAGTATATAAGTTAAAAGACAAGAGTATTAAAATAACTAAAACTACAATAATTTGTCAATGGAGACATAATATATAAAAGATGTAAATTGTGACAGTCATAAAATCTTGAAGGAAGAGAAATTAAAAAGTAGTTTCTTTATGCCATTGAAGTTAAGTGGTTATCAGCTTAAAATAGACTGCTATAACTATTAAGATGTTTTATGTAAGCCTCATGGTAATTATAGAGAAAAAACTTGTAGAAGATACACAAAAGATAAAGGAATTAATGCATTCTACTACATGAAACCATCAATTCACAGTCAAGAAGAAAGGAAAAAGGAACAAAGGAGGTACAAAACAGGAAACAATGAACAAATTACTTTAAATGTAAATGAATTAAATTCACCAATTAATAGACATAGAGTTGTTGAACTGATTTTTAAAAACTACACAATATTCCCTATCTACAGCCTATAAGTGACTAATTTTAGCTTTGAGGACACATAGGTTAAAAGTGAAGGGATGGAAAAAGATATTTCATGCAAATGGTAACAAGAGAGCAGGAATGCTTATAATTATATCAGACAAAATACACTTTAATGACAAAAATAAACAAAAATGTCATTTTATAGTGATAAAAGGATCAGTCCATCAGGAAGACATAATGCTTATAAATATATATGCTACCAATATCAGAACACCTAAAGATCTAAAGCAAATATTACCAAAATTGAAGGGAGAGACAGACAGAAATACAATCATGTTACAGGACTTCAGTAAACAACTTTAAACAATGGATAGCTCACCC
The DNA here is from genome assembly GCF_000001405.40 of Homo sapiens. Lineage (NCBI taxonomy): Eukaryota > Metazoa > Chordata > Mammalia > Primates > Hominidae > Homo > Homo sapiens. The sequence continues at coordinate 71,132,071 of NC_000001.11, forward strand.
AGACTGAAAATAAGAAAACAGTGTATTTGAATGACACTATAAAGGAAATGACCTATCAGGCATACAGAGAACATTCTATCCAACAGCAATCGAATACACATTCTTCTCAAGTGCAGACAAAACATTCTCCAGGATGGATCATGTGTTAGGCCATAAAACAAATCCTAACAAGTTTTAAATGATTAAAATTATATGAAGTATTCTTTCAATCACAATATTATGAAGCTAGAAATAAATAACTGGAAAATTCACAAATACATGAAAATTAACATGTAGCTGAACATTGACGGAATCAAAGAAGGAATCAAAAGAGAAATAAAAAAACTTCAGACTAATGAAAATGGAAACACAATATGCCAAATCTTATGAAATGCAGCAAAAGCAGTTTTAAGAAGGAAGTTTATTGCAATAAATGCCTACATTAAGAAAAATTAAGGATCTCAATAAATAGCCTAACTTTATACCTCAGGAAACTTGAAAAAGAAGAACAAACTAAGTTCAAACTTAGCTGAAAAAGAAAACAATAAAGACCATAGCAGGAATAAATGAAATAGTGACTAGAAAAATAGTAGAAAAGATCAATAGAGCTGAGTTGATTTGAAAAAATAAACAAAATTGGCATACCTTTAGATAGACTAAAAATAGGAGATGGTTTAAATAAAATTAAAAATGAAAGAGGAGACATTATAGCTGATGTCACAGAAACACAAAGGATCATAAGAGATTACTACAAATAATTTTATACTAAAAAACTGGATAACCCAAAAGACGTGGATAAATCCCTGCGTCATAAAGAAATAGAATATCTGAACTAATCAAAAATGGATAAGAAGATAGTATCAATAATAAAAAAGTCTTTCATCAAAGAAAAGCCTTGCACCTGATGGTTTCACTGCTAAATTCTACCAATTATTTAAAGAATTAACACCAATTATTCTCAAACTCTTCCAAAAAATTTAAGAGAGAATTACTTCCAAACTCCTTTTACAAACCCAGCATTATCCTGATACCAAAGCCAGGCAAGGATACTGTAAGAAAGAAAATTACAGGCCAAAATCCCTGGTGAACATAGAAGCAAAAATCTTCAACACAATAATAGGAAACTGAATTGAAAAGTATAAAAAGGATCATATACCATCATCAAGTGGGATTTATCCCTGGGATGTAAAGATGGTTCAATATATGCAAGCTCATAAATGTGATACATTACATTAATAGAATAAAGGATAAAAAATTGTATGATTATGTCAGTAGATGCAGAAAAAGCATTTGACAAAATTCATCATCTTTTCATGATAAAAACTCAACAAATTGGATATAGAGATAATGTAACTAAACATAATAAAGGCCATATATGACAAGATCATATATGGTAATATCACATGGAATGATGAAAAGCTGAAAGCCTTTCCTCTAAGATCAGGAACAAGACAAAAGTGTTTATTATTTACTCTTCTCTTCAACATAGTACTGGAAATCCTAGCCAGAGTAATTAGGCAGGAAAAAGAAAAACAACCAAATGAGACAGGAAGAAGTAAAATTGTCTTTTGGAGACAACATGATCTTACATATACAAAACTAAAGATACCACCAATAGGTGGTTAGAACTAATAAAATAATTCAGTAAAGTTCAGGATACTTAAGTCAACATATAAATTACATTTCTATACACTAACAGCGAGTTATTGGAAAAAGAAATTAAGAAAACAATCCCATTTATGTTAGCATAAAATAATAAAATTAACCAAAGTGGAAAAAGATCTGTAGACTAAAAACTATAAAACACTGGTAAAAAAAAATTGAAGAAAACAAAATACCTGGAAAGTTATTCCATGTTCTTGAATTGGAAGAATATTGTTAAAATGCCTTTTCTACCCAAAATGATCTACAGATTCCATGCAATCCCTATCAAGATTCCAATGGCATTTTTCACAGAAATAGAAACAAATCATAAAGTTCATATGGAACCACAAATGACCCTGAAAGCAATCTTAAGCAAAAAGAACAAAGCTGGAGGCATCGCACTTCCTGATTTCAAAATATACTGCAAAGCTGTAATCAAAACTGTATGGTACTGGTATTGGGGGAACCCGCACCCAATATTTCAACGTAGGTTCTTTCTATTTTCCCTAAGTGTTGGCTCGTCTGAGAAATAAAGAGAAAGAGTACAAAGAGAGGAATTTTACAGCTGGGCTGCTGGGGGTGACATCACATACCGGTAGGTCCGTGATACCCACCTGAGCCGCAAAACCAGCAGGTTTTTATTAAGGACTTCAAAAGGGGAGGGGGTGTAGGAACAGGGAGTAGGTCACAAAGATCACATGCTTCTGAGGCCAATAAAGATCACAAGGCAAAGGGCAAAGGAAAGATCACAAGGCAAAGGGCAAAATTAGAATTACCGATGAGGGTCTATGTTCAGCTGTGCACATATTGGCTTGATAAACATTTTAAACAACAGAAAACAGGGTTCGAGAGCAGAGAACTGGTCTGACCTCAAATTCACTAGGGTGGGGTTTTCCCCACCCTAGTGAGCCTGAGGGTGCTGCAGGAGACCAGGGTGTATTTCAGTCCTTATCTCAATCACATAAGACAGACACTCCCAGAGCGGCCATTTATAGACCTCCCCCAAGGAAGGCAATTATTTTCCTAGGGTCTTAATATTATATTCCTTGCTAGGAAAAGAATTTAGCGATATCTCTCCTACTTGCACATCCGTTTATAGGCTCTCTGCAAGACGAAAAATATGGCTCTATTCTGCCTGACCCCGCAGGCAGTCAGACCTTATGGTTTTCTTCCCTTGTTCCCTAAAATCACTGTTATTCTGTTCTTTTTCAAGGTGCACTGATTTCATATTGTTCAAACACACATGTTTTACAATCAATTTGTACAATAGTGGTCCTGTGGTGACATACATCCTCAGTTTATGAAGATAACAGGATTAAGAGATTAAAGTAAGACAGGCATAAGAAATTATAAGAGTATTATTAGGGAAGTGATAAAGGTCCATGAAATCTTCACAATTTATGTTCCTCTGCCATGGCTCTAGCTGGTCCCTCCGTTCGGGGTCCCTGACTTCCTGCAACATACTGGCATAAAAACAGACATATAAAACAGAATAGAGATTCCAGAAATAAATCCACACATATGGCCAATTGATCTTTGACATAGGTGCCAAGAACATATAATGGGATGAGGACAATCTCTTCAATAAATAGTGTTAGGAAAACTATATCCACATGCAGAAGAGTCAAACTGGCCCCTTATTTTACACCATGTACAAAAGTCAACTCAAAATGGATTGAAGACTTAAATGTAATATCTGAAACTATAAAACTACTAGAAGAAAACATAGAGAAAAAGCTTCTTGACGTTGGACTTGGCAGTGATTTTTGAACCCAAAAGCACTGGCAACAAAAGTAAAAATAGACAAGTGGGATTGTATCAAACTAAAAAGCTTCTGCACACTAAAGGAAACTATCAGTAGAGTGAAGAGCCAACCCTGGGAATGAGAGAAAATATTTGCCAACCATACATCTGATACAGGGTTAATCTCCAAAATATATAAGGAAATCAAACAACTCAATGGCAAGAAAATGACCCAATTAAAAAATGTACAAGGAACATGACTAGACATTTCTCAAATGAAAACGTCCAAATAGCCAACAGGAATCTAAAGAAATGTTCAACATCACTAATCATCAGGGAAATCCAAATCCAAACCACAGTGATTCACCTCACATCTGTTAGGATGGCTTTTACAAAAAATACAAGGGAAAAAATGTGTTGGCAAGGATGTAAAGTAAAGGGAGCTCTTGTACACTGTAAATGAGAATGTAAATTGGTACAAAAATTATAGAAAATAGTTTGGCGTTTCCTCAAAACTTAAAACTAGCACTACCATATGATTCACCAATCCTATCACTGGGTGTACATCAAAAGAAAATGATTTTGGTATCTTGAAGAAATATCTACACCCCATGTTCATTGCAGTACTATTCACAATAGGCAAGATATGAAATCAACTTAAGTGTCCACTAACGAATGAATGGATAAAAAATGTGGGGAGTATATATGTGATATATGACACACATATATATGACATATGTTATATATATATATATATATATATATCACAATAGAATACTGGCCTTAAAAAAGAAGAAAATTCTGTCATTTGTGACAACATGGATGAACATGAAGAACATTATGCCAAGTGAAATAAGCTAGACAGAAAGACAAATACTGCTTTGCTTTTACTTCTATACAAATTCTAATAAGGCCAAATGTAAGGAAGCAGAGGGTACAATAATGGTTTCCAAGAGTTGGAGTTAGAGGAAATGAGGGAATGCAAATCAAAGGGTAAGGAGTTTCAGTGATGCAAGATGCATAAATTCTGGAGACCTAATGTACAGTGTGGTGACCATAATTGATAATATGGAATTGCATACTTGAAATTTGCTATGAGAGTAATTTTAAATGTTCTTACTACAAATACACAAATTGTAACTATGTGAGATATTGGATATGGTGATTAGCTTCATTGTGGTAATGATTTCACAACATATACAAATACATCAAATATCACATTATATATCGTAAACATATACAATTTTTATTTGTGAATTATGACTCAATAAAGCTGGGGAAAAAGAATTTTTCACAATTCCTGAGTAAATATGTAGTATTTTTCAAATATTATACTTATAGTAGCTATATATGAAAGAAACTTTAGAGAGAATGTGTAAGTTATTTACTGTTGCAAAACAAATCTGCCTAAAACCTGTTGGCTTAAAACAAAAATCATTATTCCATTGTCAGTAGTTTGGCCTAGGCTCTTCTAAGATGGCTCATCTTGCTTCACATGGTGCTTGCTGAGGCTCGCACATTAAGTCTAGGGTCTCGGCTGGGGTGGCTGGTGCTTTTTCTTCTCCCTCCATGGTCTTGAGTCCTTCATGATGCTGCACAGAGTGGTTTATATTTACAGGATGAAAGCATAAGCAAGGTCTCTTGAAGAGTAGGCTCATAGCTCACACAATGTCACTTCTGCATTTTACTGCTCAAAGAAAGTCACAAGGCCAATACAGATTCAAGGAGCAAAGAACTACAGACACCTCTGCTTGATGGGAGTTACTTCAAAGAATTTGTGGTCTTTTTTTGCACTCTTATCATATGGAATTTCCCAATTTGACCAAAACTTAAACATATATGAAAAAATACTAAGTTGTCAATATCAAAGAAATCAATTATCAATAATAAAAAATTTAAGTCAATGGTACTAGAGATAAGCCTAAAGTACCATTATATTCTCTCTTTATAAAATGATATTAGAATATTGTTGTCATTGGAAAAGGAATCAGAGTATGAAGCCATAAATATGTAGGAAAACAATTCCTACCTGGTGTGTTTGGAAAGAAGGATCAACGAAATCTGTCTTTGAGATACAGTTGAGATGAGTTCTTGTTATATTGCCCAGACTGGAGTGCAGTGGCTGTTCATAGACACAAACATAGCAAACTGCAGCTCTTGAACTTCTGGTCTCAATTGATCCTCCCACATCTGCCTCCTGAGTAGCCGGGACCACAGGTGAGTGCCATGTTTGTTTGTTTATATAACCCAGATGTCAGGACCATGTTTGGGAGTTCATAAAGCCTGGATTTGGATAAATCAACATTACTTAACAGATGAGAGATTTGGGGAAAGTACCTTTTTCTTTGAGAATCAGTTTTTCATCTGAAAAAAGGAATATCTATTTTCATGTTTTTATAGATATTAGTTTATTAATAATGCATTAAAGTTACTAATACACTGCTGGTATATACCAAGCAGAGAGGATACATTTTTGTTGAATATGTCTACTGTGTTCCATATTTTTTTCTAGATACTGGAGTTATAGGGGTAAACAAGAAAAAATTTACAAAGTTGCTACCCTCAAGAAGCTTACATTCCATAATAGTAAGGAGCTTATGTATAGTGGGAAGCTGACACACTGTTGAGGAGCTTATATGATAGTGGGGAGCTTACATTTTAGGCCTCAACAAATTGTAGTTCACTTTTTTAGTATAAAGACATGAATAAAATGATGAAGAAAAATAACCAGTATAATAGTCTGTAGAGATTTTGTACATTTCTTACTTAGAAGTGTGTATTAATTGATCAAAACGAGTTTAAGGTAAGAAGATGCTAGAAGTGTACATATAATGAACTTGCCCAAACTGTAAATGGAGGCTAAATTATTTAGGATTACTCTAATCCAGTTAGCTAGGAAAATTGGAGCTCTGTCTCATTTAAAAGATAGATTCTTATCAAAGGCAAGCTGTTCCCTTGTTTCTTTAGTATCCTGAAGAATTAAAAGAAATCCTAATTTAGGAATGCATTTCTATCTTAAAAAAAAAACAACTCTCAGTATGTTGAAAAAGTGTCTTTAAAAATGCATTCCCTATCTGTATCACAATTATATTGAAAGTATCAAATAATTATTTTGTATAACATTTTCTTTTACCATCTACTCTTTCTATAGAAATAATATTACAATATGCATTAAACCTATTGATTTTTTTCCTAGAGATGAATAAATTATTCTTATGCAGTTGCCTAGCTAAGGGGGAACAATAACACATTTTTTAATTGAAGTTTCAATTTTGAGGCAGAGCGCATTTTAAATGTTGTCTATCTTTAAACTTTGGCAATTGGTTTTGTGCTTGTGATTGAATAGGGTGTTTCTGCAAATGCAAGGAATACTAGGAAAACAGATAAGCTTCTCGTTTTATTTTTAATTCAGCTGTAAAGCCTACTAATGTTTTAAGGTTTTAAAAATTATATTTTCTTGGGTTTTACAACATGAATTAAAAGCGATGAAAGGCATAGTTGCCTTGTCTACACGTATTTTGAGAGGATAAGAAATATTACCTCATTGACTGATATGGGATATTAAAAATACAACTCATAATTAGAAAAGTCCATTCTCAAAAGGCTCCTTCCTCTAACAGTACTTAGGTGATTTGGTTGTTTCACATGAAGTCCTAACTAGGTGGTGTTCTAGAATTGAATTTATGTTTTGATGTTAATATTATATCCTTTTCTGTCTTTCCTGACTAGAATATGGCTTAATATTTTGGCTAAGTCATTTTCCATAGTCTTCTTTCTATTATTTTTCCTACTATTTTCTTTATAAAAAAGAACTTTTCTCTCTTGACTCTTCTTAATTTATTAGAGCTGATTCCCTCTAATAGAGTCTTTATTTTGAAGGAGGATTTGAGCAAAGGTAGGCATTGTTTGGCTTTACTTTTCAGTGTAGTCTTAAGACAGTAACTTCTATATAGAATTGATGTTTTTATTTTCTCTTCTACCTTAAACCAAATACTTTATTATTCATGCATTGTAATCAAGGTTGTGCAACCTACTTCATCTTCATACTGCTATACCTCCGAACAGCCCACTATAGTCTTGCAAATAGTTTAAATCTCTGGATTTAGATCACCTCAGAGTGATAAAAATTCTGCCTCTTTACCCTTTTAGTCATTATCAGCTCCTTTTTATACAACATGTTTTTTTCTATCAGGGTAACATTTTATGAAAAGCACAGACCAAAAGGGAAAAAAAATCAAAATGAAAAGCTTTTGCTTCTTGAAAGACATCATTAAGGAGATGAAAACACAAGTCACATGTCTGATAAATATACATATATCTTGATACGAGTATATAAAGAGCTCTTACAACTGAACTATAGGAAACTAAACAACCCAATAAAAATGTAGCCAAAATATGTTATCAGATGCTTCACTAAAAAGGTACACAAATGACACCAATAGCCACGAGGATGATGCAAATTAAATCACGATGAGATACTACTATATAAAATGAAAATGACCAATAATACTAAGTGTTGACAAGAAGGTGGAGTAACTGGAGCTCTCATACATTGCTGGTAGAAATACAAAATGTTATAGCCATTTTGGAAGACAGCTTGACAATTTCTTATAACATTAAATATATAATTACCGCAAAGCTGAGAAATTCTACTGCTAGTTATCTGTCCAAAAGAAAGAGAAATGTATTCAAATGCTCCTAGAAGCTTTATTCACCATATCAAAGGAAGGAAAAGAAAAAAGAGAACAACCCAAATGTCCATTAGCTACTGAATAGATAAATTACGCTACATTTTTACAATGGAATCCTACTTAGCAATAGAAAGGAAAGAACTACTGATACAAGCAACAACATGATGTTAAAAACATCATACTAAGTGAAAGAAGCCAGACACAAAAACTTCCTACTGTATGATTTCATTTATACAGAATTTTATTTATTTATTTATTTATTTTCTGACATTCTTTTATTAGAGATACATTAATTCATTAGAAGATTTGAGGATATTTTCTCCCTCAAAAGGCATTTGATAAGATGTGAACATGTCTAAAGTAGCAGTGACATAAGCTTTTAATTTTGGCTGTTCCCTTAGGGCCACACACCCAAAGGGTAAACTGGATACGTATCTTAGAGCTCAGAAAATCATAGCATTTCAGATTCTGAAGCACTGAACCCATTGTTTTCAACATACAGATGAGGAGGCTGAGTCCTGGAGTGGTAAAATTGTAGCAACAGAAAGCAGATCAGAGATCAGACTGGAGTGGGCCAGGGGAATGCATGCAAAAGGGCACTAGGGAATTTTCAAGAGATGGACGTGCTCTATACCTTGAGTGCGGTGGTAGTTACACAGTTTTATACATTTGCAAGACTTCATTAAACTGTACCCTTAAAATGAGTTGATTTTTTTCTATGTAAGTTATGTTTCAATAAAGCTCCTAAAAACAGAATACTTATCATAAATAATTAGAAAGTACAGGAAAATACAATGAATCAAAGGAAAATTTATTTCTCATCATCTAACTACTATTAATATTTTTGGTAAACTCTTAATTGAAGAATAGAGTACTATAGAAAGTTAAAAATCATAGTTCTGAAACTCATTGATTTTTAAAGTGAACACCCATATCATGAAACAGAACACTGCTGTCACTCCAGAAGGTTATTTCATGCCTCCTTCTAGGCAGTAAGCCTTGTAACCAGTAACACCAGAGCTTAGTTTTGTCTATTTTGAACTCTCTCTATATATAATATATAAATAAATATAAATGTATTTATATATGTATGTGAAATCACATGGAATGGTTTATCTTATGTATGGTTTCTTTAGCTCAAAAATACTTTTTCAAGATTTATTCATATTGCATGTAGTTGTAGTTCACTCATTATCATTTTGTAGTTTTTCATTGCATGTACATGGCACAATTTATTTATCCATTCTATGCTGAATGATCATTGAGTTATTTACATCCCTTACAGGGATATTAAGCATAAGATTTCTGTAAACATTACTGTGTATATCTTTTGCTGAACAGAATGTATGCCTGTTAGGTATATACCTAGGATTGGTGTTGCTACATTTTGTGGTATGCATATATGTAAACTTTATAGATATTTTCAAACAGTTTATCAATGTGGCTATACCAATTACACTCTCACCAGCAACATATGAGCATTCCAGTTGATTCACATACTGATGTTTTAATATATTTTTCACAGAATATCTCCAAGTTGATGTTTACAATTTTTGTAACTCAATAAAATTGGGTTCATATGGTATACAGAGATTTGAATATTGCTCTTTAAATTTTTTATTTAACATTATAACATCCCTATATTATTGTTATTCAGAAAGATGATTGATTGTTAATTGGGCTGGATAATATTTTATCATAAGGTTATTTCCATCACTTGCAGCTCTTTTCTGAGCTTTACTTTCCTCAACTATACAATAGAGATAGTTATATTGCTTTTTAGAATTTTTGCAATTTTGTAAAGATATCTAGGTGGGGTTTTCATAATATATGGAATACAATAGATGCTCAACTATTAGGTTGATACAAAAGTAATTGCAGGTTTTACCATTACTTTTAATGAAAAAGCCACATTTATTTTTGTACCAACGTAATAATTTGTTTCTTTCACATTCTGGCACTATATTCATTTCCTTAATGGAGAATAGTTTAAATACAGTAATTCGATCTTCCTTAATTTCTTTCATTAGAGTTTTATGGTTTTCTGCAAATAGATCCCCACATATTTTGTTAGATTTATACTTAAATATATAATTTTGGGGGGTGCTATAAATGATATTGTGGTTTTAATTTCAAATTTCAATTTTTCATTGTTGATATGTAGGAAATAGTTGACTTTTGTATATTAATCTTATACTCTTCAACCTTGCTTATTAGTTCCTGGAGGTTTTTGTTGTGATTGTTGTAGATCATGTGTAATTTTATAAATAGACAATCATGCCATTTATGAACAATTTTACTTTTTCCTTCCCAATCTGTATACCTTTTATTCTCCTGTCTTGTTTGCACTACCTGGGTCTTCCAGTATGATGTTGAATAAAAATGGTGAGAAGGAACATGCTTACATTTTCCCCAATCTTAGGGGTGGAAGCATCCAGGTTCTCATCATTAAGTGTGATATGTTTGCTGAAGATTATTTGTAGATATTCTTTATCGAGTTAAGGAGATTCCCCACTATTCCTACTGTGCTGAGACCTTTTATGTGGTGTTGGATTGAATGAATGTTGGATTTTGTCAAATGCTTTTTCTGCATCAATTGATATGATTACATGTTTTTTCCTCCATAGACTGTTGATGTAGACTAACTTAACTGATTTTTGAATGTTGAACCAGCCTTTGCACAAATGTAATAAATCTCATTTAGTCTTGGTTTATCATTCTTCTTATTTATCATTGGATTATATATAAAATATTGTATCTAATATTTTAAAATATAATCTGTAATTTCCCCTTCCTGTAATATATTTATCTGATTTTGTTCTTAAGGAAATGGTGGCCTCATAGAATGATTTAGAAAGTGTTCCTTCTGCTTTTGTTTTTTGAAGAGATTATAGAGAATTACTTCGTTAAATGTTTGGTAGAATTCACCAGTGAAACCATTTGGCACTAGTGCTTTCCTTCTTTTTCTGCCTTCTCTGGTTTTAAGTAAACATTTTATATAATTCTATTTTGTCTCTTCTCTTAGCATATCAATCATATATCTTTTAACAATTTTTCAGTGCTTGCTCTAGAGTTTTCAATACACATATATAATTTATATAAGTCAACTTTCAAATAACACTACGTTGCTTCATGGGCGGTGAAGATACCTCCCCCTAGAGTATTCTCAATTCCCCTTCCCTGTCTTATAACATATCTGTCATGCATTCTACTTATCCATATATTATAACAGCTCAATACATTCTTAGTATTATTACTTGCACAGATATGCATTTGATGATTTCCTTTCTTCTAGGTGTATAACTAGCTGTGGAATTGCTGGATCATATGGTAGTTCTAGTTTTAGTTTTTTGAGGAATCTTCAAACCGTTCTTTATAGTGGTTGTACTAATTTACGTTGTCAAATGAGGTTTCCTTTTCTCCACATTCTCACTAGCATTTGTTATTGCCTGTCTTTTGGATAAAAGTCATTTTAACTGGAGCGAGATGACATCTCATTGTAGTTTTATTTGCTATCATATAGATAATATCTCATTTGTAGTTCTGATAATCAGTGATGTTGAGCACCTTTTCATGTACATATTTGCCAATTGTATTTCTTCTTTTGAGGAATGTCACTCAGATCTTTTGCCTATTTTAAAATTGGATTATTAGGTTTTTTCCTGTAGAGTTGCTTGAGCTCCTTATATATGGCAAATATTTTCTCCCATTCAGTTGGTTATCTCTTCACTTTGTTGATTGCTTCCTTTGCTGTGCAGAAGCTTTTTAACTTGATGTGATCCCATTTGTCTGTTTTTGCTTTGGTTGCCTGTGCTTGTTGGGTATTACTCAAGAAATCTTTGCCCACTCCAATGTCCTGGAGAGTTTCTTAAATGTTTTCTTGTAGTAGTTTCATAGTTTGAGGTCTTTGGTTTAATTCTTTAATCCATTTTGATTTCATCTTTGTATATGGCAAGAGATACAGGTCTATTCTTCTGCATATGAATATCCAGTTTCTCCAGCACCATTTATTAAAGAGACTGTCTTTTACCCAACATATGTTCCTGGCACTTTTGAGGTCACTGTAGATGTATGGATTTATCTCTGGGTTCTCTATTCTGTTCCATCAGTCTATGTGTCTGTTTTTATGCCAGTACTATGCTGTTGTGGTTGCTATAGCACTGAAGTATAATTTGAAGTCAAGTAATGTAATTCCTCCAGCTTGTTCTTTTTGTTCAGAATAGCTTTGTCTATTCTGGGTCTTTTGTGGTTCCATATTCCATATAAACTTTAGGATTGTTTTCTCTATTTCTGTGAGTAACATCATTGGCATTTTGATAAAGACTGCATTGAATCTGTAGATTGCTTTGGGCAGTATGGACATTTTAACAATATTGATTCTTCCAATCCACTGACATGGAATATCTTTCCAGTTTTTGCTGTCCTCTTCAATTTCTTGAATCAACGTTTTATAGTTTTCATTGCACATATCTTTCACTCCTTTGGTTAAGTTAATATCTAGGTATTTTATTTTATTTGTAGCTATTGTAAATAGGATTACTTTCTTGACTTCTGTATCATATTGTTTGCTCTTGGCATATAGAAATGCTGCTGATTTTTGTATGTTGATTTTGTGTCCTGCAGCTTTGCTAAATTTGTTGATCAGTTGTAATAGTTTTTTGATGGAGTCTTCAGGTTTTTCCAAATATAGGATTATATCATCTGCAGACAAAGACAATTTTACTTCTTTTCCTTTTGGATGTCCTTTTCCTGGTCTGATTGATCTAGCTGGCATTTCCAGTACTATGTTGAATGAGAATAGTAAAGGTGGGCTTCCTTGTCATCTTCCAGATATTGCAGAAAGGCTTTCAGTTTTTCCCCACTCAGTATGATTATAGCTGTGAGTCTATCATATATGAGTTTTATTGTGTTGAATATTTTTTGTGCCTGGTTTTTTGAGGGTTTTATCAGGAAGGGATGCTGAGTTTTATCAAATGCTTTTTCAGCATCAGTTGAAATGATCATATGGTTTTTGTCCTTTGTTCTGTTGATATATCACATTGATTGATTTGTGTATGTTGAACCACCCTTGCATACCTGGGATAAATCTCACTTGGTCATGAAGGATGACTTTTTAATGTGTTGTTGCTTTAGTTTGCTAGTATTTTGGTAGGAATTGTTGCATCAATCTTCATCAGGGATACTGGCCTGTAGTTTTCTTTTAATCTGTGTCTTTGTCTGGTTTTGGTATCAGGATAATACTGGCCCTGTAAAATGAATTTGGAAGTATTTTATCCTCCTTTATTTTTCAGAATAGATTGAAAAGTATTGGTACTAGCTCTCCTTTAAATGTTTGGTAAAATTCTTTAGTGAAGCCATCAGGTCCTGGGCTTTTCTTTGCTGAGAGACTTTATTATGGCTTTCATCTCATTACTTGTTATTGGTCTGTTTGGGCTTCAGATTTATTCATGATACAATCTTGGTAAGTTGTATGTGTCTAGGAATTTATTCATTTCTTCTAAGTTTTCCAAATTTTGGCATATAGTTGCTCCTACTAGCCTCTAGTGATCCTTTGAATTTCTGTGGTATCAGTTGTAATATGGTCTGCCTCTCTATTCCACCCAAATGTCATCTTGAATTGTAATCCAAATTGTAATCCACGTGTGTTTGGAGAGGGACTTTGTAGGAGGTGATTAGATCATGGGGGCAGTTCCCCATGCTGTTCGCATGATATTGAGTGAGTTCTCACAAGATCTAGTGGTTTTATAAGCGTCTGGCATTTCACCTGCTTTCGCTAATTCTCTCTCCTGTTGCCCTGTGAAGAGGTGCCTTCCACCATGATTGTAAGTTTCCTGAGGCCTCCCAAACCATGCGCAACTGTGAGTCAATTAAACCTCTTTTCCTTACAAATTACCCAGTCTTAGGTATTTCTTCATAACAGCATGAGAATGGACTAATACAGTAAATTGGTACCACAGAGAATGAGGTACTGCTATAAAGATACCCAAAAATGTGGAAGCAACTTTACAACTGGATAATAGGCAGAGGCTGGAACAGTATAGAGGGTTCAGAAGAAGACAGAAAAATGTGGTCAAGTTTGGAACTTCCTAGAAACTTGGAGGGCTCAGAAGACAGAAAGACGTGGGAAAGTTTGGAACTTCCTAGAGATTTGCTGAACAGTTTTGACCAAAATGCTGATAGTGATATGGACAATGAAGTACAGGCTGAAGTGGTCTCAGATAGAGATTAGAAACTTGTTGGGAACTGGAGTAAAGGTCGCTCTTGCTATGCTTTAGCAAAGAGACTGGAGGTTGTTTGCCCCTGACCTAGAGATCTGTGGAACTTTGAACTTGAGAGAGATGATTTAGGGTATCTGGTGGAAGAAATTTCTAAGCAGCAAAGCATTCAAGTGGTGACAGAGCATAAAAGTTTGGAAAATTTTCAGCCTAATGATACAGTCGGAAAGAAAAACCCATTTTCTGGGGCAAAATTCAAGCTGGCTGCAGAAATTTGTATGAGTAATGAGGAGCCAAATGTTAATCACTAAGACAATGGGGAAAATATCTCCAGGTCATGTCAGAGACCTTCATGGCAGCCCTTCCCATTACATGCCTGTAGAATTAGGAGGCAAAAATTGTTTTGTGGGCCTGACCTGGGACCCACTGCTCCATGCAGCCTCAGGACATGGTGCCCTGCAACCTAGCTGCTTCAGCTACAGCTGTGGCTAAAATGGGCCAGTGTACAGGTTGGCCTGTTTCTTCAGAGGGTGCAAGCCCCACGCCTTGGTGGCTTACACATGGTTTTGGGCCTGCAGGTGCACAGAAGTCAAGAATTGAGTTTTGGGAACCTCCACCTAGATTTCAGAGGATGTACGGAAATGCCTGGATGTTCAGTTAGAAGTCTGCTGCAGGGGTGAGCCCCCATGGAGGACCTCTGCTAGGGCAATGTGGAAGGGAAATGTGGCATTGGCACCCTCACACAGAGTCCCCACTGGGGCACTACCTGGTGGAACTGTGAGAAGAGAGCCACTGTCCTCCAGACCCCAGAATGACAGATCCACTGACAGCTTTTACTGTGTGCGTGGAAAAACTGCAGGCACTCAATGCCACCAATGAAAGCAGCCAAAGAGTGGTGCTTTACCCTGCAAAGCCACAAGGGCAGAGCTTCCCAAGGCTGTGGGAGCCCACCTCTTGCATCAGTATGTCCTGGATGTGAGACATGGAGTCAAAGGATCATTTGGGAACTTTAAGGTTTAATGACTATCCTGTTGGATTTCAGACTTGCATGGGGCCTGTAGCCCCTTTGTTTTGGCCAATTTCTCCCATTTGGAATGGGTGCATTTATCCAATGCCTGTACCCCCATTATATCTTGGAAGTAACTAACTTGCTTTTGATTTTACAGGCTCATAAGTGGAAGGGAATTGTCTTGTCTTAGATAAAACTATAGACTTAGTCTTTTGGGTTAATGCTGAAATGAATTAAGACTTTGAAGAACTGTTGAAAAGGCATAATTATGTTTTAAAATGTGAGAAAGATGAGATTTGGGAGAGGCCAGAGGCAGAATAATATGGCCTGGCTCTATGTCCCCACCCAAATCTCATCTTAAATTGTAATCTGAATTATAATCCCCATGTGTTGGGGAAGGAAACTTGTAGGAGGTGATTAGATCATGTGGGCGGTTCCCTCATGCTGTTCTCATTATAGTGAGTGAGTTCTCATGATATCTGGTGGTTTTATAAGCATCTGACCTTTCCCCCGGCTTGCACTGATTCTCTCTCCTGCCACCCTGTAAAGAGATGCCTTCTGACATGATTATAAGTTTCCTGAGGCCTCCCTAGTCACGTAGAACTGTGAGTCAATTAAACCTCTTTTCTTTATAAATTATCCAGTTTTGGGTATTTCTTCATAGCAGCATAAGAATGGACTAATACAAGTTGTAATGTCTCCATTTTCATCTCTGATTTTATTTATTTTAATTTTTACTCTTTCTTAGTCTAGCTAAAATTTTGCCAATTTTGTTTATCTGTTCAAAAATAGCAACATTTTGCTGATCTTTCATATTTTTTGTTTCAATTTCATTTATTTCTGTTTCAATCTTTATTATTTCTTTTCTTCTACTAACGTTGGGTTTTGTTTGCTCTTGCTTTTCTAGTTCTTTAAGATTCATCATTAGGTTGCTTATTTGAATGAAGTTTTTTTACTTTTTTGATGTAGGTGCTTTTTGCTGTAAACTTTCCTCTTAGTATTGCTTTTGCTGTATCTCATAGGTTTTGCTATGTTGTATCCCCATTTTCATTTGTTTCAAGAAATATTTAATTTCCTTCTGAATCTCTTCATTGACCTACTGGTCATTTAGGAGCATATTATTTAATTTTAATGTTTTTATAGTTTCCAAATTCCTCTTTTTATTAATTTCTAGTTTTATTCCTTTGTGTTCAGAGAAGATAATTGACATAATTTCAAGTTTTTGGAATTTTTTAAAGACCTTTTTTTTTTGGCCTAACAGATGGTCTATCCTTGAGAATGATCCATGTGCTGAGGAGAAGAGTGTGTATTCTGATGCTATTGGTTGAAATGTACTGTGAACACTTATGGGATCCATTTGGATATACTGCAGATTAAATCAGTGTTTCTTTGCTCATATTCTGTCTGGATGATCTGTCCAATGCTTCATGTGGGGTATTGAAGTCTCCAACTATTATTGTATTGGGGTCTGTATCTCTCTTTAGCTCTAAATAATGTTTGCTTTATATCTGTGTGCACCAGTGTTGGGTACATGTGTATTTACAATTATGATATTCTTTTGCTGAATTGACCCCTTTATTATTGTATAATGACTTTGTCAACTTTTATAGTTTTTGTCTTGAAATCCATTTTGTTTGATATGAGTATAGCTACTCCTGCTCTTTTTTGTTCTTTATTTACATGGAATATCTTTTTCCATTATTTTATTTTCAGTTCATGTCTCTTAATGGTGAAGTGTGTTTCCTTTAGGCACTAGATCATTGGGCCTAATTTTCAAAATTCATTCAGCCACTCTATGTCTTTTTATTGGAGAATTTAGTTCACTATTTACTTTCGATGTTACTATTGATAAACAAGTATATCTCTGACATTTTGTTATTTGTTTTCTGTTGTTTTGTGGCATTCTCTTCCTTCTTTCCTGCCTTCCTTTTAGTGAAGGTGATTTCCTTGGGTGGTATGTTTTAATTTCTTGCTTTTTAAATTTCTTGCTTTTGTATATGTGTATCCATTGTATTTTTTGATTTGAGGTTATTATGACACTTGCAAATAATATTTTTAAACCATTATTTTAAACTGATGACAAATTAACAACTGATTACACAAACAAACAAACAAAAAGAAAAAACTAATTAAAGCTCTATGGTTTAACTTCATCCTACCACTTTTTAACTTTTTGTTCTTTCTACTTATATTTTATTGTACTGTGTCTTGAAAAGCTGTAATTATTATTTTGATTGGTTCATACATGAGTAGTTTGATGACACATTTACACTGATTCCATAAACAAGTAAAAAGAAAAAACTAATAAAAACTTTATGATTTAACTTCATCCTCCCACTCTTTAACTTTTCGTTCTACACCCTCCCAAGACTAAACCAGGAAGAAGTTGAATCTCTGAATAGACCAATAACAGGCTCTGAAATTGAGGCAATAATTAATAGCTTACCAACCAAAAAAAGTCCAGGACCAGACGGATTCACAGCCAAATTCTGCCAGAGGTACAAGGAGGAGCTGGTACCATTCCTTCTGAAACTATTCCAATCAATAGGAAAAGAGGGAATCCTCCCTAACTCATTTTATGAGGCCAGCATCATCCTGATACCAAAGCCTGGCAGAGACACAACAAAAAAAGAGAATTTTAGATCAATATTCCTGATGAACATCAGTGCAGAAATCCTCAATAAAATACTGGCAAACCAAATCCAGCAGCACATCAAAAAGCTTATCCATCATGATCAAGTGGGCTTCATCCCTGGGATGCAAGGCTGGTTCAACATATGCAAATCAATAAATGTAATCCAGCATGTAAATAGAACCAAAGACGAAAACCATATGATTATCTCAATAGAAGCGGAAAAGGCCTTTGACAAAATTCAACAGCCCTTCATGCTAAAGACTCTCAATAAATTAGGTATTCATGGGACGTATCTCAAAATAATAAGAGCTATTTATGACAAACCCACAGCCAATATCATACTAAATGGGTAAAAACTGGAAGCATTCCCTTTGAAAACTGGCACAAGACAGGGATGCCCTCTCTCACCACTCCTATCCAATGTAGTGCTGGAGGTTCTGGCCAGGGCAATCAGGCAGGAGAAGGAAATAAAGGGTATTCAATTAGGAAAAGAGGAAGTCAAATTGTCCCTGTTTGCAGATGACATGACTGTATATTTAGAAAACCCCATCGTCTCAGCCCCAAATCTCCTTAAGCTGATAAGCAACTTCAGCAAAGTCTCAGGATACAAAATCAATGTGCAGAAATCACAAGCATTCTTATACACCAATAACGGACAAACAGGGAGCTAAATCATGAGTGAACTCCCATTCACAATTGCTTCAAAGAGAATAAAATACCTAGGAATCCAACTTACAAGGGATGTGAAGGACATCTTCAAGGAGAACTACAAACCACTGCTCAGTGAAATAAAAGAGGACACAAACAAATGGAAGAACATTCCATGCTCACGGATAGGAAGAATCAATAACGTGAAAATGGCCATACTGCCCAAGGTAATTTATAGATTCAGTGCCATCCCCATCAAGCTACCAATGACTTTCTTCACAGAATTGGAGAAAACTACTTTAAACTTCATATGGAACCAAAAAAGAGCCCGCATTGCCAAGTCAATCCTAAGTCAAAAGAACAAAGCTGGAGGCATCACGCTACCTGACTTCAAACTATGCTACAAGGCTGTAGTAACCAAAACAGTATGGTACTGGTACCAAAACAGAGATATAGAGCAATGGAACAGAACAGAGGCCTCAGAAATAATACCACACATCTACAACCATCTGGTCTTTGACAAATCTGACAAAAACAAGAAATGGGGAAAGGATTCCTTATTTAATAAATGGTGCTGGGAAAACTGGCTAGCCATATGTAGAAAGCTGAAACTGGATCCCTTCCTTACACCTTATACAAAAATTAATTCAAGATGGATTAAAGACTTAAGTGTTAGACCTAAAACCATAAAAACCCTAGAAGAAAACCTAGGCATTACCATTCAGGACATAGGCATGGGCAAGGACTTCATGTCTAAAACACCAAAAGCAATGGTAACAGAAGCCAAAATTGACAAATGAGATCTAATTAAACTAAAGAGCTTCTGCACAGCAAAAGAAACTACCATGAGAGTGAACAGGCAACCTACAGAATGGGAGAACATCTTTGCAATCTACTCATCTGACAAAGGGCTAATATCAAGAATCTACAAAGAACTCAAACAAATTTACAAGAAAAAAACAACCCCATCAAAAAGTGGGCAAAGGATATGAACAGACACTTCTCAAAAGAAGACATTTATGCAGCCAACAGACACATGAAAAAATGCTCATCATCACTGGCCATCAGAGCAATGCAAATCAAAACCACAATGAAATACCATCTCACACCAGTTAGAATAGCGATCATTAAAAAGTCAGGAAACAACAGGTGCTGGAGAGGATGTGGAGAGATAGGAACACTTTTACACTGTTCTTGGGACTGTAAACTAGTTCAACCATTGTGGAAGTCAGTGTGGCGATTCCTCAGGGATCTAGAACTAGAAATACCATTTGACCCAGCCATCCCGTTACTGGGTATATACCCAAAGGATTATAAATCATGCTGCTATAAAGACACATGCACACGTATGTTCGTTGCGGCAGTATTCACAATAGCAAAGACTTGGAACCAACCCAAATGTCCATCAATGATAGACTGGATTAAGAAAATGTGGCACCATGGACATATACACCATGGAATACTATGCAGCCATAAAAAAGGATGAGTTCATGTCCTTTGTAGGGACATGGATGAAGCTGGGAACCATCATTCTCAGTAAACTATCGCAAGGACAAAAAAACCAAACCCTGCATGTTCTCACTCATAGGTGGGAATTGAACAATGAGAGCACTTGGACACAGGAAGGGGAATATTACACACCGGGGCCTGTCGTGGGGTTGGGGGAGAGGGGAGGGATAGCCTTAGGAGATATACCTAATGTAAATGACGAGTTAATGGGTGCAACAACTGACATGACACATGTATACATATGTAGCAAACCTGCACACGTTGTGCACATGTACCCTAGAACTTAAAGTATAATAAAAAAAAAAACCTTTTTGTTCTTGTTACTTATATTTTATTGTACTGTGTCTTGAAAAGTTGTAATTATTATTTTTGATTGGTTCATACATGAATAGTTTACATACCACAATTACATGTTATAGTATTCTGTGTTTTTCTGTGTACTTACTACTGTTAGTTAGTTTTGTACTTCTTGTCTGATAGGTCTGGTGTTGATGACATCCCTCAGCTTTTGTTTGTCTTGGAAAGTCTTTATTTCTCAGTCTGTTAAGGATATTTCCACTGAATATACAACTATAGGATAAAAGTATTTTTTTTCCTTCAGCACTTTATGTCAAATATGTCATGCTACTCTCTCCTGGCCTATAAGGTTTCCACTGAGAAGTCTGCTGCTAGGTGTATTGGAGCTCCATTGAGTGTTATTTGTTTTTTTCTGTTGCTGCCTTCAGGATCCTTTCTTTATTCTTGACTTTTGGGAGTTTAATTATTAAATATCTTGAGGTAGTCTTCTTTGCATTAAGTCTGCTTGTTGTTTTAAAACCTTCCTGTACTTGAAAATTGATATCTTTCCCTAGGTTTGGGTAGTTCTCTGTTACTATCCCTTTGAATAAACTTTCCATCCCTATCTCTCTTCCTACTTCCTCTTTAAGGCCAATAACTCTTAGTTTTCTCACTTTTGAGGCTATTTCTAGATCTTGTAGGTGTGCTTCATTGTTTTCTATTCTTTTTCCTCCTCTGACTATTTTCAAGTAGCCTGGCTTTAAGCTCACTAATTCTTCCTTCTGCTTTATCAGTTCTACTGTTTTGACACTAATGCATTTTTCAATATGTCAATTGCATTTTTCAGCTCCAGAATTTCTGCTTGATTTTTTAAATTATTTCAATCTCTTTCTTAAGTTGATTTGATAAGATTCTGAATTCCTTCTCTGTTATCTTGAATTTTGCTGAGTTTCCTCAAAACAGCTAGTTTTAATTCTCTGTCGGAAACATCACATATCTCTATCTCTCCAGGATTGGTCCCTGGGGACTTACTTAGTTTGTTTATTGAGGTAGTGTTTTCCTGGATAGTCTAGATGCTATCCAATTCATTGTTGCCTGGGCATTGAAGAGTTAGGTATTTATTGTGGTCCTTTGAGTCTGGGCTTCTTTGTACCCATCCTTCTTGTAAGGTTTCCCAGGTATTCAAAAGGACTTGGGTGTTGTGATAGAAGTTTTTTGTCACTGCACTTGTATCTGCATCAGGGTGTTACAGTAGGTAGCTAGTCAGACATGAGCAGAGCAGAAGAGGGCTCCCCCAACCACCCCATACACACACACACCCGGAATGTCAGGCAACCATCAGGTGATGGTCAGGTGGTTGTTAACTGTCTCTCTAAAATAATAATTGGTAACAACCAGCACCAGAGAAAGGCAGTCTTCTAATAATCTGAAACACCTGAAACTGGTGATCAGCAGCTTCCCAATAAGATCCCAGGAGTTGGCCAAGTAGGCTCAAGCACGTACATTAAGAGGCAAAATGGCAGAGTTTAACTGGTATATGACCTTCTAGGAATATTCAGCTGGTAAGGGAAGGATGACTCAAGTGAGAATGCATATAACTCCAGTAAACACATTGTGCATGCATACCTAACAAGTGCTAGCAGACCACTGCATATGCAGACAGCTCATCCCAAGAGAAGAATCAAGGGAGAAGAGATGCAGACCCCGTAAGTATGCCAACATATAAAACCCCAAGTCAAAAGGTCAAATGGTGCACTTGTCCTCAAGTTGCCCTCTTGGCCCTCTTCCAAGTGTACTTTACTTTCTTTTCATTCCTGTTCTAAAGCTTTTTAATAAACCTTCACTCCTGCTCTAAAACTTGCCTCAGTCTATTCTTCTGCCTTATGCTCCTCAGTCAAATTCTTTCTTCTGAGGAGGCAAGAATTGAGGTTGCTGCAGATCCATACAAATGTGCCACTAGTAACAAAGTGGTACCCCAAGCTTAGTAATGCTGTGGGTCTTGCAGACTCACAGAGGTTCCACATTGGTAGTCTTTTATATGATTCACAAGAATTCTCTGGATTACTAAGCAGAGACTCTTATTCTTTTCCCTTTCTTTCTCCCAAACATATGGAGTCTCTCTCTGTGCTAAGCTGCCTTAAGCTGGGGGAGTGTGCCGCATGCGGTGTGGCCTGTGTTGGGTCATATCTGAAGCTAGCACAGCACTGGGTCTCACCCATAGCCATGGCAACCATTGCCTGGCTATTGCCTATGTTTACTCAAGGTCACAGGGCTCTACAATCAGCAGGTGGTGAAGCTAGCTAGGTTTGTGTCCTTCCCCTCAGCAAGTTCCCATGAATGCCTGTCAGGTTCAGAAATGCTGTCTGGGAGGTAGGGCCTGTCATTGGACACCCTAGGAATCTAACCGGTGCCCTATTCTACTGTGGCTGAGCTGGCACCCATACTGTCTTGTGGCACCCAAGCAACAAGGCAAAGTCCTTCCCACATTTTTCTCCCCTTTCCGCAAGCACAGCAATCTCTATCCATGGCCACCACCACACCAGACTGGTGTTGTGTACTACCTGGCTACTGCTCAAGGCCCAAAGGCTCTTCAGTGAGCTTGTGGTGAATGTTGCCAGGCCTGGGACTCTTCCTTTAGGGCAGCGGTAATCCCTCTGGCCCAGGGCAGGTCCAGAAATACCATCCAAGAGCCAAGGTCTGGAATCAGAGACCCCAAGAGCCCACTTTGTGCTCTACCCCACTGTGTACAAGCTGGTGCCTAAGCTGCAAGACAGGGTCTCATTTACTCTTCCTTCTCCTTTTCTCAAGCATAAAGAGTCCCTTCCAATAGGTACCATAGTTGGGAATGTGCTGGGTCACACCTGAAGCTAGCATGTTTCTAAGTCTCCCCCAAGGCTCACAGCAAGAACTGCCTATGTATCACTGCTGATTATCCAGGGCCAAGGGCTCTTTAGTCAGCAGTCGTACAATCAACTGCCAGACTGTATTCTTCTCAAGACAGCATGTTCCCTTCTGGTCCAGGGTATGTCTAGAAATGTTGTCCAAGAAGAAGAGCCTGGAATGAGGGCCTTAGGACTCTGCCTGGTACCCTATCCTACTGTGGGTGAGCTGGTATCCAAGTTGCCAGACAAAATCCTCTTTACTCTTGCCTCTCCTCTCCTGACGTGGAGGGATGGAGACTCTCCTGGAACTGCAAGCTACATTGTCTGGAGTTGGGGGAAGGGCAGTGCAAGCACTCCCTCGGCTGCCTGCACTGGTGTCTCACTAGATATTGTGCCCCCCAAGTTTACTGGCTCCAAGCCCAGCACAGCACCAAGATTTGCCCAGGAATGGCAGTCCTTGTGGCCTAGGCTGCCTTCACGTTTATTTAGGACCTCATATCTGTTTAGCCTGTGGAGGTGAGGCTTGCAAGAACTCAGGTTCCAACCACTGGGATGGGTAATTCTCCTTTTACTAGGGTTGGTCTAAATATTGTCTCCATGGGTGCCAACTAACTTCTACCTGATATTGCTTTCTGCTGTGATAAGGCAGCACTGAGTTTCAATGCAAAGTTCCACCGCCACTGTGCTCTCACTCTCCCAAGTGCACAGATCCTCTCTGTGTGCCATGCAGTCACTGGTGGGGATGGAGGAGGGGTGACATTGGCAATTCAAGACTGTCTTTTAGCTGGGCACAGTGGCTGGTGCCTGTAATCCCAGCACTTTGGGAGGCCAAGGTGGGAGGATTGTTTGAGCCCAGGAGTTTGAGACTAGCCTGGGCAACACAGTGAGACCCCTATCTCTACAAAAAATTAAAAAAAAAAAATGAGCCAGCCATTATAGCACGCACCTATGGTCCCAGCTACTCAGGAAGCTGAGGCGGGAGGGTCACTTGAGCCTGGGAAGTTGAGGCTACAGTGTGATTGTGCCACTGCACTCCAGCCTGGGTAACAAAGTGAGCTTCTATCCCCAAAAAAAGACCATTTTTTCTACCCACTTTAATGCCTCTTTCAGGGATATGAAGTTAAAATAAAGTACTATGATTGCTCATCTGATTTTTGGTTCTTATGACGGTGATTTTTAGGGTAGATAGTTGTTCAATTTGGTGTTTCTGCAGGGAGGATGATTGGCAGAGGCTCCTATTTGGCCATCTTGCTCTGCTTCCACTTCAGATATTTTGCTTTACAGTCTTTTTGCATTTCACTTTGGGAAGTTTCTATGAACATATCTACAAGCTTGCTGATTCTTTCTCAAGCCTGTCTAATCTACTGATGAGCCCATTGAAGGCATTTTTTGTTTCTATTTTTGAATTTCAGCATTTCTTTTGGATACTTTCTTAGTTTCCATCTCTTTGTTTATGTTACCCATCTGGTTCTGTGTGCTGTTTACTTTTGCCACAAGAGCCCTTAACATATTAACAATAGTTATTTTAAATTCCCTGCCTGATAATTGCAAAATCTGTGCTGCCTCTGAGTCTTATTCTGATACTTACTTTATCTCTTCAGACTGTTTTTTTTCTTACTTCATAGCATGCTTCGTAATTTTGTTGAAAGTTAGATATAACGTATCAGGTAATAGAAACTGAAGTAAACATCTCTTCATTGTGAGGGTTTATGTTAATCTTACTAGGAGTTAGGTCATGTTTAATGTTTGCTATAGCTATAGGTATGAAAGCCTTTAATTTCCTCTAATGTACTTATGTTTGTCTTCCTTATTGTCTTTAGGTTTTCTTAACAACTCTGTCTTAAACTGAGTCTGCATCTCACAGTCCTTTCAGCTATTTTTCACGGTTATTATGCTACAGTCCTGTTGAGGAGTGGTAAAATGTAGGTGAGGGGACACATTCAGTAATCCTATGATTCAGTGTTAGTCTTTTAGTGGGCCTGTGTCCCTGGTCTATAAGCATTGTAAGTGTTTATTAGCTTCTCCTCTTGCCCGCCCTGTCCCACTGAGTCATTAATTAGGTGAGCCAGAGAAGGCTGGAGTTATGTAATTGCCCTAAGTGCTCTTCTCTCAGTTCAGATAAGGCTCTATTCAAGTCTTTTTCCTATACTTTTGCTTATTTTGAAGTATGCCCAGAACGTTCTCCACAGCAACTGAGAGCCTATACTGAATAGGCTTCAGTCGTGGAGGACGTTCTGGGCATATTTCAAAATATGAGAAGAGTTATCTCCTCTTCTTGACATTGCCATGTGTAGATTTGTTGTTGTTAGCATCTTACCATGAGAACCTGATGTAGTTCCTGGAGTTAATACCAATGATGTGGGGCCCCTAGGACTGTGAACCCCTGGAATTTCTCACTTTCACGCTAGACAAAACTTAGCCTCCAGCAATTCATCCAAGTTACTGGTTAACCGTTTCTACTAGCCTGCTCCTCCAGGTAAGGTGAGGCCAGCTGTGATTTTCTTTATTCCCCTGCTTCTGCAGATTTTACTATGGTAGTTTGCCCTGAGATCTCAATTCTCTGATGAGTTCAAGAAAAGTTGTTGAGTTTTCATTTGTTCAGCTTTTTCCTTATTGCAAGGATGGGAGTGGTAACTTCCAAGCTCCTTACATGTCAGAGCTGAAACTAGAGTCCACACAGTAATTACATTTATTGTTTCTTTTAAATTTTATAGTAGAGCTTGCTATTTTAGGCTTTAACTTGGATTACCGCAGGTTTGCCTGGGTCCTGGTTGTACCAGTTGTAAATATGTTAAAGCCTATAACTTATTTTAACACCTGCTTTCAATCTCGAAGTTTCTCAATTTTAGTGGAAATCATATGGTTACCTTTGCAATTGAAACGGAGAGTTCCCTGATTCCCCTCTCAACTCCTCTTTTCTCTTTCTCTGCCATGCGTTCTGCTGTCCATCTGTTTGCCTCTTCATCTCCTCACCTGCTGGTCTGTGGGTCTGCCAGTCTGCCTGGTCTGCTCTGGAGCTTGGGGTTTGGGGTTTATATGGGGCAGGATAGGGGGTGTGGTGGACAAGAAGACAACTTTTTGGGTTTGGAAAAAGAAATGCCTGTTCTCATTTAGGGCTGCAGGTATCCAGGCTTGAGGGTGGGGCCTTTGTGGGGAACTGCCCTCTTTTACCCAATATTTCCCTGTCTTCTGTCCATATCACAATGATACCCTTGGGAATAATTAAAGACTTACGTGACAAAGGCGGTTGCTTTTGACTCTTGCACTTGACTGGTTTTGTTACTGGAAAATCATATACCACTTTTTCCTTTCTTTCTTTAGTATCTCTCCCTACTCACCATTTGTTTTCATTTTCACTTGTTCTTTTCACAGATACCCCCAATGTGGTAACTGGAATATGTTCTCTATGACAGTTAAGGCCCTTTGTGGTCATATAATTTAACCATCAGGACTGAGATTTGAGAATGACTGTTTTAACATGACTTAACTGTTTGTTCCAGGAATATTTTTATCTAGAAATATATGACTTGTAAACTAGTAAGTAATTTCACTGTTTGCTTCAGGAAATTCCTAATTTGTTTAGGAAAATTATTATCTCACTTGGTCACAGTGCTTGCTTATCCAAAAGAGCTTACTTATGAAGACTCAAGACTGTTTTCTTGATATGTCTGTTACATATTATCATTAATTAATTTGCTTAATCCTAACAAGTTGTCCTCCTTGAAAAGATTTGAAAGGTGTCCTCCTTGAAAGATTTGCTTGTTTGAGCACAGACCTCAAAACCCTATGTGTATATATCCTTTTATGCAGATATGCATATATATATATACATATATTCTTTTATGCCCTATGTCTTCTGAGAACTATGAAGATTCACTTTAGATTATTTTTTATCTTGTTGCAGTAGGTTTAATCAACTTAGTTTTGCATGATCACAGGTCATTTGCATGGTCTTGAACTCTTAATAGTATTAGAATTTCTGGAGGAAGTACATTGATTATACTCCATTATAATCCTGAAAACACTGGATTGTCCTGAAAAAAATAAATTGGATAGAAAAGACAGGCAAATTTTTTCTTTGCTTTTCATTACCTGCGTGTACATGGCCCAGATTCTTATTCCACCAAGTCCCATAACAAGCCATTAATTCTAACACTATTCCTATGGATTAAGAATATTCTTATCTCAACTCCACAGGTGGAGAACTAGGAACAGAGGCTAATAGACTTGTTTAAGGTCACTGAGTGAACCAGTATCCTGGCTGGCTGGGATACAGACCAGGTCGCTTGACTGTCAGCCCCATGCTCTGTGTACCAGATGTGACACCATTCTGCTCTGCCATCAGTGAGCTATTGACCTTGTCTCCTTCTTAGCTGGCAGAGGTCTACTCTGTGTGCTAATGTCAGTTCTGCAGTTTATACCTTGAATTTCTTTTCTGCATGGCCAACTTTGTAGTGTTGCAATATTTTCAGGGTATGGCAAAACATGGTGTAAAATAATCTTTTAAAAATTGACATAAGATAGGGAGGTAGGAGAATTCTTAAAACATGCTGAAACTTACAATGTAATAGAAGAAAAAATCAAATGGATTTCAAAACTGAGCTTTTTTAAATGGCTAAGATCTACATAGCCAAGCACACATTGCATATTTTAAAAGAAAAATAGCTAAACTAAGTTTTCTTCATATCCTGGGGTAGCTAATAAGTCTTAAGTTATACTGTAAATACAATGTCCTTCATGTAAACTCATTTCATTTAGGCAGGATATCCTTGAATTACAACTTCTATCCATCTCCATTTTGGCAATGTGTCTCCAAAAATGTTGTGAATTGAAATAGTTTTCCTTTCAGTGGGTTCTACTTTCTTTTGCTTTATATCTCCTTTCTTCATTCATTACAATAGTATTTACTACAAAACTGCCATCATGATTTATTTCTCTGTAGGCCAAATCTGATTAAATAGAGTGTTATTAAAGTCTACTGATGACTTAATCATTCCTATTTACCTCAAAAAGTATAAAGAGGTTATAAATGTCACTTTCCAAAAGTTTCTGAAAATTTTGTGAGGGGTCATTAGAAAAAGATCTCAGAGATCCATAAGTGAGTTACTCACTGAAAAAGAGAAGATCCAACGAATCCTGGGTAACTGCTTGCCACCTGAAAAAAGCATATGGTAACCCCTTTACACAGAACTCAATTAGGACATAATCATATAACTTGTTACAGAATTCCTGGACCCTGAAATGGTTGACACTTAGTATTTTAAAGGGAATCACCAATTTTTCCTCAGTCTCTTTGCTTAACACTTCATGAAGAACTTTTAAAAAATGTTTTACTGCTTACTTACGGAAGACATGAAATTCTTGGACAGTATATATGTGAATCAGAGATAATCTCTGGATAAAGGGATTTGGAAAGTGGCTATCGGAATGGGAGATAGAAAAGAATTTGTCTTGAATAAATCCACAGGAAGGATAGCAATATTAGGCACCAAGTTAAAAAAGTAAACAAAGTGTCTGGGTTGAGCCAGGCACCTGTATTAGTTAGGGTTCTTCAGAGAAATAGAACCAATAAAATACACACACACACACACACACACACACACACACACACACACATAGATATGTATGTATGTATGTATCTATGTTTATATATAGGCAAAATTTTTCTTTAGTTTTTATTGCCTGCTTGTACCTGGCCCTCTATATACATAGAGAGAGAGAGAGATGTATGAGATGTATTATGAAGACCTGGTTCATGCAATTGTGGATGACAAGTACCACAGTCTGCTATCTGCAAGGTGGATATCCAGGAAATCCAGTGATGTAATTCAGTCTGGGTCTGAAAGCCTTAGAACCAGAGAAGCCAGTGATGTAAATCCTAGTCCAAGGGAAGGAGAACATAAAATGAGATGTCCCAGCTTAAGTGATGAGACAGGAAAAAAAGGAATAAATCTCTCCTTCCTTTGCCTTTTGTTCTATTCAGGACTTCAGTGGATTAGATGGTGCCATTCGCGTTGGGGAGGGCAATCACTTTACTGAATCCCCTGATTCAACTGCTAATCTTATCCAGAAACACCCTCATAGACACACTCAGAAACGTGTTTACTCTGGGGACCTTGTGGCCCACTCAAGTTGACACCTAAAATTAACCACAAGTCTCCTCCTTGTCAACTGAGCACCCACACACATCTTCTTAAACCATATTCAATCTCCAAATGAAGACAATAATAAGGTCATAATTCCACCTAACATAATACAACTATCCTGTGTACAACTAAAAACACACTAACCCTTTCCCCAGAAGAGGAGGTAAATGTCTTTTCTTTTCTTTTCTTTTTTTTGTGAGACTGAGTTTTGCTCTTGTCACCCAGGCTGGAGTGCAATGGTATGATCATGGCTCACTGCAACCTCCACCTCCCAGGTTCAAGCAATTTTCCTGCCTCAGCCTCTTGAGTAGCTGGGATTACAGGCGCCCACAACCACACCTGGCTAATTTTTGTATTTTTAGTAGAGATGGGGTTTCACCATGTTGACCAGGCTGGTCTCGAACTCCTGACCTCAAATGATTTGCCACCTCAGCCTCCCAAAGTGCTGGGATTACAGGCATGAGCAACCGTGCCTGGCTGCAGGTAAATTTCTTGAGTGATGTTTTATATTCCTTTTAATATCCTGTAATGTAAATACTGTAATATAAAATCAACAATTTTAAATTATGTGATATAAAATAAATACATGTTATGTGAAAAGAGAATTAGAAAGAAAACAAACATACTGATTTGATTGGCTCTGTGTCCGCGCCCAAATCTCATCTCCAGTTGTAATCCCCACATGTCAGGGGAGGGACCTGGTGGGAGGTGATTGGATCATGGGGGCAGATTTTCCCTGTGGTGTTCTCATGACAGTGAGGGAGTTTTCCTGAGAGCTGATGGTTTTAAGTGGCAATTCCTCACTCTTTCTCTCTCTCTCCTGCTGCCATGTTAGACGTGCCTTGCTTCCTCTTCACCTTCTGCCATGATTGTAAGTTTCCTGAGGCCTCCTCAGCCATGTGGAACTGTGAGTCAATTAAACTTCTTTCCTTTATAAATTACTCAGTCTCAAGTATTTCTTTATAGTAGTGTGAAAACAAATTGGTACAGATACAGACATACACACACACACACACACACACACACACACACACACAAATGGAAATGTATTATGAGGAATAGGCTCACATGATTCTTAGTCAGTTTGGGCTGCTATAACAAAGAATTATAAACTATTTATTAGAAATTTGTTTTCATAGAAATTTATTTCTCACAGCTCTGGAGGCTAGAAATCCAAGATCAGGTTGTCAGCAGGTTTGGTGCCCACCAAGGCCTCTCTCCTTGGCTTGCAGCCCTTGGCTGATTTTTTTTTTGCTGTGTCCTCACATGGTCTTTTCTCTGTATGTGCATCCCTGGTGTCTCTCTGTGCGTCCAAATTTTCTGTTCTTATAAGGACCCCAGTCAGATTGCATTAGGGCTCACCCATGTGATATCATTTAAACTTAATTACCTCTTTAAAAGTCCTGTCTCCAAAAACTGCCTCATTCTGAGGTAGCGGGGGATAGAGCTTCAACATATGAATTTGCAGGGAACACAATTTACTACATAACAAAATATGACAGATCTCTGAAAGGTAACATGGACTCTTACTTTTTATCTTATGTATTTTTATTTCCTCCTTATTCTAGAGGCAGTGTAGCACAACTAAATGCATGGCTCTGGAGCCAGCCTACCTGCATTCATTCTTTGCCATGCTACTTACTAGATTTGCAACCAAAGGCAAATTGCTTGACTTCTCTGTATCTCAGTTTCCTTGCATGTGAAATGGAAATGGAATTGTCAGTAATAACTACCTCATTGGATTGGTGTGAAGTTTAAATGGATGAATACATATAACATACTTAGTAGTTGCTGGCACACAATAAACATTCAATAAGTGTTAAGTATGAAGAATAACAATAATTTCTGGCCATAAAATATATAATAAGATACTTATACATATTAGTGCTATAGATAAATATTTGTATTCTGTAGAGATGTATCAATTTTTCCATTAAATGGCATAATCAGAAAGAAAGATGTATAAATTTAAGGTGACTATCCCAGCTATAATTTGCATCACTTACTTTTCACATATTCACATACAGCATATATCTGTCTGACCATCTGTGTTTCTAAAATAACTCCAGTGAGATTTCAGACACCTAATATTGTTAATAACAAAAACGCCATGTGTCTTTTACATTTGTGTGGGTGATAATTCTGTACTTTAGTTTACCGTATTAAATTCACCCTTAATCTAGTTTTTGGTATATTTTGAAACATGGGTTAGCCCTTTTATTTTTTCTTTATAAATACATTACCATCGTTTTCTCTCTCATCTTCACAAATTCTAAATAATAAGCAAAAAGGAAAAAAATTTTAAATGATAAATATTTTATGCGTGTGCTTTTATATACAGTACCTTTCACCCATAACAATGACCTGCTAATAGTCAAATCCAATGAACTGTGTTCGGGCATTAACTAATTTATTGAAAGCAATGTCTCTGCATCACTTTTTTTTCTTTTTACTAACACACATAGCATTTGCTCTTTGCCTAGCCCTGCTATAAGCAATTTCCATTTATTAAATTATTTAGTTTTCAGAACAGCCCTATAGAGTAGGTGTTATTATTCCCATTTTACAAATGAGGAAATTTAGGCACAAAGAGATTAAGCTACTTGCCCTTCAGTGAGTACATAGTCGGGCCATCATTAGGCCTAGGCAGTCATGTTGCATTTTCATTCTGGACACTTTTTCTTTTATTGGCTTACAGAATACCACTCATTTCTAACCTTTCTGGCCACTCAAATAAAATCCTTTATTAAATCTCTCTCTTTCCATGAAATGCAGCTTAAATATTGTAGCTTCTCACAGTTCTATTCTTAGAATGTTTGTTTTCTCTCTTTAAACTCCTACTCATTCTAGGACTGAGGTACAATCTAAACAGTGATAATCTTACATTTATACTCTAGAGCCATCTTTTCCCTGAAGTGAACATGTATTTCCAACCACCTACTCAGCACCTCCAACTTGAATGCTGAGCATGCGCAAAAGTGAACTCTCCATTTGCCTCACTCTTCCCATATTGCTCCTCCTCCTTCAGTTCCAATTCCTAAGCCTCCTAGTGGACTCTTCCATCTCCCTCATTTCATGTGTGCAATCTGCAACCAAGTTCTATTGATTCTGGCCCCAAGTAGCTCCTTAATCTTGCCCCTTATCTCAAATCTAGTAGGTGGGTGCTGATAGATTTTCTGTTATCTTTTCATCCATTAATGACTTTTACTTACTAAAAATTATCATTTGACCATTGTATAGTCAACATATGTTAGTATTCTCTGCAGTTTGAAACATTTCAATCATTCCTTTACCTTAATTTTCCCAATATCCCAAACCTGAGCCAGGATTTTATTTCATTACGTAGTTTTCTGTTTTTTATTTGCTAGAAAGGAATTGAGTTTCTTTTTCATCACAAGTAAGTATCTTGATCTTCCTCAAGATCAAGATACTTTGAAGATCAAGACTTTTGCAGAGTTTTAAAAAATAGATGAGATTTTTGTTTCCTCCCTCAGCAGTAACCACTACACAAATAGAATGCAAAGAGATAAGGAACTTTTAAGAATGGCCTAGTATATTTTCCTTTGGGCTAGTTCCTTGATCTACAAATTCTTTGGGAAGAATGTTAATTTCATTGTCTATTATCTCTCACCTCAACTTTTGCAACAATCTTCAAACCTGTTTCTCTCTTTCTCCACTCTATATAATCTTCCTAAAAATTAAAAACAAACAAACAAACAAACAAAAAACGCTCTATTGGCCACTGGATTAGGTGAAAATCTTTCAGAATGGCTTGCAGGGTCTTGGACAAGTCAGCTGAAAAATGACCTCTTCAGCTTCCTCTTCCTCTGCCTCTCT
This sequence comes from Homo sapiens, assembly GCF_000001405.40. Taxonomy (NCBI): domain Eukaryota; kingdom Metazoa; phylum Chordata; class Mammalia; order Primates; family Hominidae; genus Homo; species Homo sapiens. The sequence goes on from NC_000001.11 coordinate 71,165,285, forward strand.
TCACCTTCCTCTTCCTCTCCCTCTCTTCATCATATCCCTTAAATTCAAGCCACAATAAATTCTAGCTCCATGCACAGCTTTTCTTTCTCTAATGCCATATACTCCAGTTGTATCTGAAAACACATACATTTCATTAAGGCTTGACCCTGACCTGACATCTGGATGCTCCTCCTTGATGTCTGTCACCACCCACCCATCATGTTTCCCAGGACAACCCTGCCCTGCCTTGCTCTGCCCCTGATGAACGGGCAGGTCTCATGCGTAATTTCATCATCTGGCTCCTTGTCTCTGACACTTTTCTTATAATTGCTGAACTCCCAACCTCTTGTTTCTAAAAATGGATTTAGATTTTTTGACTTGAACTTCACTGCTAATTTTTAGATAGGGTTTGACTTCTGACTTTGTCCCCAGGCATGTGAGATAATCACCCCACAGGATGGAGCCTTGAACCCAGACTCAGTCACCTTTCCAGACCCTCCTGTAAATCCAAAGGCCCCTTACGGGAGGGATCATACAGTCTGTTAAACATCTTCTTGTTTCCCTCAGAAAGAACTGGTCACTGCCTCCTTGGCGCTTCCATGATTGTCCTCTGTTTATATATCTGATATTTCTATCTTGTGGTTATATTGCAATAATAATACTTGAGAGCACATTCTCAGGTGTGAGGAGTGTAACTTGGCACTTCTGTGCCTCCAGTTCAATGCTCCTCCTGTAGCCCCTTGTATCGCTTTTACTACTTTGTGCCCTCTTCCCCTGACTTGAGTATGCCTCTGCTTTCCTCAACTTGCACCTGTGATTCTTCTTCAGAGTATGCCCTTGGACTACTATCCCTTTGCCCAGAAGCCCAGAGAACTGGTGGTGCCTGGGAAGTACATTCATCCCAGGTGGCTGTTAACCAATGACTGAATGGTGAGAGAGTCTCAATCAAGGGACAGGACCACTCTGAGGCATAGGCTAAAGCTATTCTGTATAGGACTTTGCCTAAAGCCTTACTTGGCTTCTTTCTCCTCCATGCCATGCTTCCCCCTCTCCCTATTGATTTTTCTCAGGAGTACTTCCCTAATGATTCATTTGCATGGAGCTTGGTGCATGGTCTACTTCTAGAGAGCTTGATCTAAGAATACCACTTAATCTCCCTTTCATGTCCATTTTGTTTGGTTACAGAAAAAGTATTCCAAGTAGATTCTAAGTAAATGTAGTCACTTCAGATTAAATTTCAATCAATTCAGAATTTTCACAGAATCTCTTCTCCTTTCTCCATAAATTATGGTAGGGCCGTCGTGGTGGTGATGTTTTTATAGTTTCATGAGGAATTATGTCCATCTGGCCCCAGTTGTCAGAATCTATCCTGTGGCATATCATATTACACCCAATTATCTATTTCTATGTTTGTTCTCATTACTATGGTTAAAGCTTTAAAGTGCCCAGATCTTTTTCTCCTTCTCCTGCTCCTCCTCCTTCTTTGTTCTAAGCACTTAGAATAGGGACACTAAGGGTTCAGTGAAAGCACTGAATACCTTTGTAAGCTAGTCATTATCATCCTAGTTTTACAGATGTAAATGAGGCTCAGAGAGATGAAATAATTGAGGCAAAGGAAGATAATTGATTAATAGCAGAACTTGAATGCGATCTTCTGACTTGGTATGAATTTTTCCACACCACCCTTCCTCACCTTCCTCTATACCATCCTCCGAATCCTATGACTGTGTCATTATGCCTTATTTTCAAGGGAAAGTCCTGTGTATAGTGACCTCAGCCACAGAAAGTTAGTCACAAACATCTTCTTGTAGGCTTTTTGGAGAAGGGAAGAATCATTGCAAAGCCTTTGTCACTACTGGAAATAAAAACAGAATCTTCCTGATCAGGCTTCCTCCTCAAATATGAACATTAATTAACAGTTTTCTTTCCTTCTTGGAGAAACTGTGCACAACTTTAAGCTTTCATTGAAAACATACCTATAATAAGATCAAGCATCAGTTTTTATATCATTTTTATCTGTTTGGTAAGCAATCTACAATCTACTGGGAGGGAGGGGTCCAGCCATGCTAGAAGGAAAGTATTGTGTCTTTAGGGAAGGTGTGTGTTTGAATCAGAAAGAAGACCAATTAATAATGGAAATATCCCATGATGCAATGGAAGAAATGTACTCTAGGGAGGTTTGATGTAAGGACAATGCTTTTAAATTATTGATATTACAATGAGCAAGAAAGTCTGAGCACAATACTCTTTTTTATTCCCACCAATTCTCACTCTTGGGAATTCAAGACCTTAGATCAGGTGGTATGTTACAGGGATCAAAAGGCATCTCTCATATCTCAGAGGACCAGAGGTGGCATGACCCCTTATTCCTATGCATGTGTGCAGGCGTCTGGACTGTCCTATTGTAATATGTATCTGTGCTGAGCTGTGTGAGCATAGAAGCTGCACAGATCCTGCTTGGATATGCTACCTAGCAGGAGGGAAGAACAGTGAAGTTTGAAAGGCGTGATTTAGTTAATATGCTACACTCTGCCTCTCAGGCACTTGGGGGCACATCTTTTGTTACTCTGGCTTATTTCTTCTGACAAGGGCATGATTTAGCAGTTTGTTAGGGAACAACATTACCATTTAGTGGAAGAGCACTTTCCGTTTTAAAACTTTTAACTTAAATTAATGTCATCTAGAGTATATTTGTTTTAACCTATTGACTCTTAGCACTTAAACACCTTAGGCAAGATCCATCTGTATGTACAGAACCTGAAATCATTTGCAATTTGGTAATGTGTCTCATTGTAGCATGCTTGAATGCCATTATGAATTAAATACAGGAGTACCATCTTATATTCCATTTTGAGATCTTAAAGTTGACATTTACTTGTTGCAAGCAAATTCCAAGCAAAAATTGGCATAGTATACTCTCTAGCTTACACATTTATGATATTTTAATTTTTTCATTTAGAACTCTGTATAGTAACTTGAGGGCTTGTTTTTTCTAAATATATATTGGGGATGAAGAAATGTCTATAATGGGAGGTACATGACAAGGTAAATAATAATTGGTACCTTCAGAACTGCTTCTAAATAAAATTTCAAGCTTAATGAAATTTGACCTCAGCTAAAGCTTTCTCTGTGTTTTTTTTTCCCTCTAGTATCCACTGTCCTCAGAATGGCCCTTTTTCTTGCCTCTCTTGTATGTGTCTTCTATGCTCCCAGGAGTATGGTTCTCTTCTGTGCCACCAAAAGCTATAATGATTCCTTCTTCTGAAAGGGCCAAAGAGGCCTTTCTACTGAAGTCCAAGAGGGGCTGAAAGCAGTTATAACCCTGGGTCCTCTAATTCTAGCTCAGCCTTCTCACTCATGAAAACTTCAGGCTGTTGGTGGGCTTGCCAAAAAAAAAAGAAAAATAAAAGAATCCCATTACTTTTACTTTGATACAATGTACTTTAAACTCATTGTGGAGGAAAATTTATTGCCTTATTAACATGTCTCTGGTTTTCTTTTTGGAAATAATGGATTTTTTTTCTGGCTTGTTGGATTGACAGTGAAGTTTAGTTTTTATAGGCTATTCTCTGTGTTGCTTAGGAAATGGATTTGGGGACCAGATTCAGAGTTCCAGGTTCAGAGACCAATCTTGAGTTATTAATCTAATAAATTTAGTTGAGTGCCTACTATGTGATAAGAATTGTTTGAGGTACTGAGAAAACAATAATGAGCAAGGCAGACAAAGTCTAAACTCTCATAAAGCTTATGTTGTGATGAAGTAGGGAAATGTATTAGTCTGTTCTCACACTGCTGTAAAGAACTACCTGAGACTGGGTAATTTATAAAGAAAAGAGGTTTAATTGACTCACAGTTCCACATGGCTAGGGAGGCCTCAGGAAAATTACAATCATGGTGGAAGGCAAAGGAGAAGCACACAGTGGCAGGAATGAGAGCGAGGGGGAATATGCCAAACTTTTAGAACCATCATATGTCGCGAGAACTCACTCACTGTCACGAGAACAGCCTGGGGGAAATCCACCCCCATGATTCAATCACCTCCCACCAGATCCCTCCCCTGACACATGGGGATTACAATTCAAAATGAGATTTGGGTGGAGACACAGAGCCCAACCATATCAGGAAACAAACAAAACTTTGTAAGTAAAGAAGAAAACTATCAAGCCAAGTGTTACATGCAGTGAAGTGGAGTGGTATGATAGAGAGTGGTTGGAGCTGTTTAAATGAACAGGGAAGGCTTCTTTGAGGAGGTGTTTTTTAGGCTACCAGTTAAATAGCAAATCATGTTATTCATTTGATGAGCCCTGTGTATTTTTATTTTAGGAGGATGAGATTCCTGGTAGGGCAAAGGCCCTAAGGCTAGACTAAATACAGGTTGTCAGACCAGAGGACATAAGATAGCCAGTATTGCTGAAGCGTTCTAGGCAGGAGGAAGATTGGTAAGAGATGAGATGAGAGAGGCAGACAGGGGACACATCTTCTAAGGCTTTGTAGGGCATATTAAAGAGTTTAGATTTTATTGTAAATCTGTGGGAAGTCATTGGAGGTTTTAAGCAGGGTACTACTATTTTAAAATGATCACAGTTGCTGCTACATGGAAAGTCAAAAAATGCTAAAAATTCACAAGAAGAAGACAGAGGAAGAGTGATGGTTATTTAGCAGATGCTTTCCTTTGGACGTCTCCCTTCTCCTCTGTTTTAATCTTGTGAGTTCTTAGCATCTTTTGACTTTTTATATCCTCTTCTGATTGCTAATGCTTCCCTTGAAATCTTCGGACAAAAGTATTGCTGGTGCCTAGCATCAATAGATTAGGCAAATATCAGCCTAGCACGATGGCTCATGCCTGTATTCCCAGCATAATGGAAGGCCAAGAAGGGAGGATTGTTTAAGCCCAGGAATTTGAGACCAGCCTTGGCAAGATAGCAAGACCTCTGTCTCTACAAAAATAAAAAAATTTAGCTGTGCACGGGTCCTAGTTCCTTGAGAGACTGATGTGGGAGGATCCCTTAAGCCCTGGAAATTGAGGCTGCAGTGAGCTGTGATAGTGCCACTGCACTCCCACCTGGGTGACAGATCAAGACCCTGTCTCAAAAAAATAAATAAATAAATAAAAATAAAAATTTGTATCAATTCAGATAGCCATGATGACAAACCATTTTAAGATACAGGAATTACTGGGCATGACCAGGTATATGTGTTTGATACATAGAAGAAATTGGAGCCAATAGAGGTTTGTGACATTGCTTAGTCCTGGAAGAAAATGGGTTATAAAAAATTTTAACTGCAGCCACTTGGATGCTAAAACCTTGTTGCTTAAGTAAGAAGTTCTAACTATATTTTTCATTGACCATTTTAATTTAAGTCACTCTTAAAGCTGTTTATGAGGATCATTAAATCATTATATGTAATGCTTTGATTTCATGTTTCAATTTCAATTCTCTTCTTTCTACTGTATGTTACTGTGCTAGAATGAGATACTGCTGAGAACAAGAAAATCAGGGTCCCAGGCCTCATGAGACTTATAGTCTAGAAAGAAAGAAAGCAATTAGGCATTTAATTGACTTTGAGCATAGTGAGTTCTTGTTCCATGTTAGTTTTCTAATCCTTTATCTACATTTGAAAAAGGATGGATGCCTAGACTCTAAAGCCAACTAGACTTTCTGGGTAAGACCACAGGTACAATATTTCTAAAAGCTCTCTAGGTGACTTATTGTGCATACAGGATTGAAAGTCAGTGTCCTCTATCAGGGTTTCTCAATCTAAGCACTACTGACATTTTCAGTGGGATAATTCTTTGCTATGGGTTGGCTGTTCTGTGCCTTGTAGGATGTTTAGCAGCATCTCTGGCCTCTGCCCACTAGATGTCAACAGAACTCCCTGCAAGTTGTAACAACAAAAAATGTCTCTACCCACTGCCAAACACCGTTTGGAGGGGTGAACTGCTTCCTTCCCACTTGTTGAGTACCACTACTTATAGGAAGTAGGCTCTGGCTATCTTTGTGACCTACTCTCCTCCTACTGTCTCCCTTACTGATTCAGTGTCAGTCATGACAGCTCCTGAATGTTCCTCAAACCTGATACCACCACTTTAGCCTTTCATTATCTCTGCCCATGATGGCTTCCAAATAGCCGCTTGTCTAACTCCCCAACTTCTTTCAAGTCTGCTTACATGTTACCTCAGGGAAACATTCCATAATTATCCAGTCCGTAACAAATATTCCACCACCTTTATTTATATCCTTACCCTGTGTATTAGTCCATTCTCACACTGCTAATAAAGACATACCTGAGATTGGGCAATTTATAAAGGAAAGAGATTTAATTGACTCACAGTTCTACAGGCCTGGGAGGCCTAAGGAACCTTACAATCATGACAGAAGGGGAAGCAAACATGTCCTTCTTCACATGGTGGTGGGAAGGAGAAGTGCCCAGCAAAAGGGGAAAAGTCCCTTATAAAACCATCTTGTGATAACTCATTTATTTTCATGAGAACAGCATGGAGGTAACTGTCCCCATGATTTAATTACTTCCCCTGGGTCCCTGCCATAACACGTGGGGATTATGGGTACTACAGTTCAAGATGAGATTGAGTGGGGACACAGCCAAACCATATCATTCTGTCCCTGGCCCCTCCAAATATCATGTTTTCATATTTTAAAACACAATCTTACTTTCCAACAGTCCCCCAAAGCCTTAGCTTATTCCTGCTTTAACCCAAAAGTCCAAGTCCAAAATCTCATTTGATACAGGGCAAGTCCCTTCCACCTACGAGCCTGTAAAATTGAAAGCAGGTTAATTGCTTCCTAGATACAATGGGGGTAGAGGCGCTGGATAAATATAACCATTGCAAATGGGAGAAATTGGCCAAAACGAAAGGGCTACAGGCCCCATGCAAGTCTGAAATCCAGCAGAGCAGTCAAACCTTATAGCTTTGAAATGATCTCCTTTGACTTCATGTCTGGCATCCAGGTCACACTGATGCAAGAGGTGGCCTCCCATGGCCTTGGGAAGCTCCACCCCTGTGGCTTTGCAGGGTACAGCCTGCCTCCCAGCTGATTTCACAGGCTGGTGTTGAGTGTCTGCAGTTTTTCCAGGTGCACAGTGTAAGCTGTCAGTGGATCTTCCATTTTAGGGTGTGGAGGATGGTGGCCCTCTAGTCACAACTACACTAGGCAGTGCCCCAGAGGGGACTCTGTATGGGGGCTCCAACCCCACATTTCCCTTCTGCACTGACCTAGTCGAGGTTCTCCATGAGGGCTTTGCTTCTGTAGCAGACACCTCCCTGGACGTCCAGGAGTTTCCATACGTCCTCTGAAATCTAGGTAGAGGTTCCCAAACCTCAGTTATTTACTTCTGTAAATCTGCAGGCTCAACTCCAAGTGGAAATTGCCAAGGCTTGGGGCTTGCACCCTCTGAAGCAATGGCTTGAGCTGTACCTTGGCCACCTATTTTGGTCATGGCTGGAGCAGCTGGGACACAGGGCACCAAGCCACCAAGTCCTGAGGTTGCACAAAGCAGGGAGGCCCTGAACCTGGCTTAGGAAACCATTTTCCCCTCCTAGGACTCCAGGCCTGTGATGGGAGGGACTGCCATTACATGCCTTGGAAGCATTTTCCCCATTGTATTGTATTGGTGAGTAGCATTTGGCTCCTCGTTACTGCAGCAGGCTTGAATTTCTCCCCAGGAAATGGGTTTTTCTTTTCTACTGCATCATCAGGCTGCAAATTTTCCAAACTTTTATGCTCTGTCACCTCTTGAATGCTTTGCTGATTAGAAATTTCTTTCACCAGATACCCTAAATCATCTCTCTCAAGTTCGAAGTTCCACAGATCTCTAGGGCAGGGGCAAAAAGCCTCCAAGTCTCCTTGCTAAAGCATAGCAAGAGTGACCTTTACTCCAGCTCCCAAGAAGTTCCTCATCTCCATCTGAGACCACCTCAGCCTGTACTTCATTGTCCATATCACTATCAGCATTTGGTCAAAAATCATTCAACAAGTCTCAAGGAAGTTCTAAACTTTCCCACATTTTCCTGTCTTCTTCTGAATCCTCCAAACTGTTCCAGTCTCTGCCTGTTACCCAGTTCCAATGTTGCTTCTACATTTTTGGGTATCTTTATAGCAGCACTCCACTGTCTGTGGTACCAATTTACCGTATTAGTCTGTTCTCATGCTGCTAATAAAGACATACCTGAGACTGGGTAATTTATAAAGTAAAGAGATTTAATTGATTCATAACTCTGCATGGCTGGGAGGCCTCAAAAAACTTATAATCGTGTTAGAAGGAGAAGCAAACACATCCTTCTTCACATGGCACCAGGAAGAAGTGCCAAGCAAAAGAAGAAAAGCCCCTTATAAACCACCAAATCTCATGAGAACTTACTCACTATTATGAAAACAGCATGGAGGTAACCACTCCCATGATTCAATTACCTCCCACCAGGTTCCTGCCATGACATGTGGGGATTATGAGAACTACAATTCAAGATGAGATTTGGGTGGGGACACAGCCAAACCATATCACCCTGCTTTATTTTTCTTCACAGAACATATTACTATTTGACATTATATCATGTCTTTCCTTTAAATCTCCCATCCCCATAAACCACTGTGAAGTCTATTTAAGTGTCTGATACATAATAGTGAGATAAGAGAGTTCCCTGATCCACCTTGCAGGATGTGTGACAGGGGTGTGGCTCTCTGTTTGGCCACCATGAGCTCAAACCCGTTACAGGAAGGGGAGCATGCAGATGGGCAGCTGCAGGAACTGGGTTGAGTGTTTTTTGGCTCTTGCCCCATGGCAGTGTCTAGGGTTGGGTGCCTGCGACGTTTGAAGCCCCAGTGTTACAATGCTCTTTTAGCTCTGCTGTCCTCAGATGGCTTAAGTGTTAACCAGCTCAGTGCCCACTTGGTACCCAGGCCTTTGTCTAGCATCCTGGAAGAATCAGGTAACCCATGGACTTGAAGGGTGGTGAATGTGGGGGCTTTACTGAGTGGTGGACGTGGCTTTCAGTTGGCAGGGTGGGGAGCTGGAAGGAGGATGGAGTGGGAAGATAATCTTCCCTTGGAGTTCAGCTGTCCCGTGACCAAACTCCTCTCTGTCCCCAGCTGGACTCCTCTAGATGCTCAGATGCTCCTTCTCTTCTTTCCTTCTCTGTCACACCATTCTTCTGTTCCTTGGCTCTTCTGCTCATCTCCTTGTGGAGCCATAGGTTTGGGGTTTATATGAGTACAGGATAGGTGACATGGTGGATCAAAAGGCAACATTTTGTGTGCAAAAACAGGAATGCCTGTTCCCATTTAGGGTCATGGGTTTCCAGGGTTGAGGGTGGGGCCTTTGCTAGGGAACCACCCTCTTCTACCCAGTATTTTCCTGTCTCCTGTCTGTATCAATAGGTACACAATATTTATTAAATTAATGAATGACTATACATTATGAAATGGGAAATGCAAGGTATAAAGGAGAATTGCTGTCCTTGAAAAGAAATTTAGTTTGTTTTTTTTGTTGAGATGGAGTCTTGCTCTAGGCTAGAGTGCAGTAGTGTAATCATGACTCACTGCAGCCTCGAGCTCCTGGGCTAAAAAGTGATCCTCCTATATCAACCTCCCAAGCAGCTGGGACTGCAGGCAAGTACCACCATGCCTAGCTAATTTTTGTATTTTTTTTTTTTTAGAGACGGGGTCTTGCTATGTTGCCCAGGCTAGTCTCGAACTTCTGGGCTCAAGCAATCAGCCTGCCTCGGCCTCTCAAAGTGCTGAGATTATAGGCATGAGCCATCATGCCCAGCCAATCTAAAATTAAGTTTCATCATCCTCCACAATGTTTAATTTTGTTTTTGAACTCTACCTGGATTAAAAGCAGCTTTTAATTAAAGATCATATGTGTGTGTACACACACATATGCAGATGTTTAATCACTGATGAGCAAATGAGTATATTAAACTTTTACCCAGTTGGTAGGAAAAATCATGCTTTTTTCCACTTTTTTTTTTTTAACCAGTGCAAAATGTTCATTTATCTCCAAAGGGCTACAACTGCAACCAAGTTAGCTATATGCTGAACATTTTAGCTTTGGCCAAAATGTTTAACTATATACATAGTGTCAATATACAACAAAATTTGGCCAAAGTTTGTGAATAAAAGTCTATATTTTTAAAATATGACAAACATTTTTCATAGGATAAAGGAAAGTTTTGCCCTGTAAACTTTCAGAAAGACCCCATCTGAGTTCCGGTGGAATTTGAAGTTGGAACAATTTTCCATTCATTTTGCCAGCATATTTACATTAATTTTCAGGCCATCTTTCTTAAATAGTCCAAAACACTTTTTCTGTGAGATTTCATATAAATGACCATAGGTTTGAGAGATTTCTTATGAGGTGTTATCAAGTACAGCTTCCTCTAGGGAGGACTAAACTTTTTTTTGTTTTGTTTTTTGAGAAGGAGTTTTGCTCTTGTTGCCCAGGCTGGAGTGCAATGGCACAATCTCGGCTCACCGCAACCTCTGCCTCCTGGGTTCAATCAATTCTCCTGCCTCAGCCTCCTGAGTACCTGGGATTACAGACATGTGCCACCACACCCAGCTAATTTTGTAGTTTTAATAGAGACGGGGTTTCACCATGTTGGTCAGGCTGGTCTCGAACTCCCGACCTCAGGTGATCCACCCGCCTTGGCCTCCCAAAGTGCTGGGATTACAGGTGTGAGCCACCATGCCCGGCCTGGGAGGACTAAACTTTAATCACTAGACATGCACATTTTATTTATTCTGGAAGCAGTCCATGTAAAGCAATATGATAATGTCCATTGGTATATGTTTCTTTTCTCTGGCCAATCTAAGTGTAGGGTACCAAATTGCCAATATAAAAATTGCTGTGGTCTCTACAAATTTTTTTAAAGGTAAGTTTTACTGCTCATGTTAATCAAATAAATAATTAACTCCTCCCATCCCTAACAAAAGTTGTCCCTTCTTTCCCTGACTCCACACCTCATCATTAATGTACAAGTTTATCATTTTCTTTCATATTCTGTATAAAACTGTTAATTGAATGCTCACCTTTCTTTTTATAACTATGTTTTTGTTTCCTCCTTCTCTATTTTGTCTTTCATTCTTTATTCCTTTCCTCCCCATCATTTTTATTCTTCTTCCTTCTTTCTTTTCTCCTTTTTTTGATATTTATTCCTTTTTTCTTTGCCTCCACAAACATTTATTGGGCACTATTCTAGATATTAGTTATATGGAACTGAAGATTCTAGACCTTGAGAAATTTATTATTTAAATATCTAATAGTAGACGTTTACTTATGGAGTTAATATACCAAGTCACAGAAAGGATAAGACACTTATTTAAACTAATTCAGCTTATTCAACAAATGGAGGAGCTGATTTATTCATTTATTCTTTTATTCATATATTAACATATTTGTGGAGTAGCTACTATGTGCCAAGAACTGATCTAGTTGCTACAGATACAGAAGACAAAAGCAATTAGAGCAAATCAGTTTTATTAAAAAAACACATTTATTTGGTTTGTTATTTTCCCATCTCCTATCAATGGAAGTAGAGTTATTTGAGTTATTTTTAAAAATCTGATTTTTTTTTTTTTAAATCGGGTCACCCTCTGTCACCCAGGCTGAAGTGGAATGGTGATCATAGCTCACTGAAGCCTCAAACTCTTGGGCTCAAGTCATCCTCCCTACTCAGCCTCCCAAGTAGCTGGGATGAAAATTGTGCACCACCACATGATTAATTTTTGTATGTTTTGTAGAGACAGGGTCTCACTATATTGCACAGGCTGGTCTCAAACTCCTGGCCTCAAGTGATCCTCCCCCTTCAGCCTCCCAAAGTGCCAAGATTACAGGCGTGAACCACCATGCCCAGCCAAAACTTTCAGTTCTATAACTCACTCATATACTGTATCTTTAAGTAGCTCACCAAAATTTACCATGAACTAACCCATAGAATTATTAATAATATTTATGCCATTGCCCTACACTTGGAATTTGAAGCAGTTTAGATTTGATTGGTTAAAATATATATAAATGCAGAAGCAATTTTCCATTGGCTAGGAATATTCTCATCTTCAGAAAAAAATTACAGTTTTCTGGGCTTAAATTTTCAAATTTGTTATTCAAAACAAGAAATCTATTTCAGAAAATAGTTCGTTAAATATCGGATGTAAGGCTAAAATTAACATCTATGCTGCTGGAGCAATTAGGCTTATATAGATTAAGAAGAAAATGCAATATTCATCTCTGTTTGTTAATGTGCTCACGAAGGACTATAAGGCCAATGGAAAGTTGGATACCAACAAGAATGTGATCCATTCCGCTGACCATGGGGTGAGATATAGTGGAACCCACAGTAACATTGTCTCCCATCCTTATTAGAAGAAAAGTGTCAAATAAATGCCAAAGCTAAGATGGGAGGAAAGAATAGAGTGAAAGTGAAGCTAAAATCGTTTACCAAGTATCAAGTTTCTAAGAGTCAAATGAAACAAAATGTGAAGTAGAGAAATAAATGAGAGCTAAGATTAAGCATTTGATAAAGAGATTTAAATAGCAAAACCCACTTCTCATTGACTGGGTCTGGCAGAAACTCCTTTAAAGCACCCAGAGTATAACTTAAGGAATGTAGGCTACTGTTTTCCTGGGGGTGGGAGGGAAATATAGTATTGGAACCAAAACAGGAAATGCCATTCTATCTTGCTTTGCATTTTAATTACTTCAGGTAATCTTAGTCAACACCTCACGCCAGTTATAAGAGAACTACGTAAGTTTTGGACATGGACACTTAAAATCAAGGAATAAAGACCTGCATTATGATAGAGCAAAAATTTAGAAAATTAAGTGGAGTGATAAAGTATAACTAGAAATTTCAATGGCAGAATAAAAGATATCATAAAAATTCAGAAAATCATAAACAATATGAATAAAAGGAAGACTGACCTCTGTAACACTGTAAGAGTTAAATAACACGTAAAATTTTAAGGAAGCTGAGGAAAAAAATAAAACATAAAGGTAACTACCTTTTAGGTTAAATATTTTTTACCTAAGGTAGTTGCTGAGGTTTAAACCTCCCGATCTCAGTGGCATAAAACAATAACAGTTTTGCTCATCAAGGACTAAACAGGAATTCTGTTTTATGTCATTATCTTAGTTACTCTGGGACCCACGCTGATGACACAATCACTATCTGGAACATTGTTGGGAGACAGAAAAGGCACATGGTAAAGCATGAACTTCCTATTAAATCTTCTTCCAGGTAGTGACACACTTGACTTTACTTGCATTTTGTTGGCCAAAGCAAGCCACAGGACTATGCCTGAGTTCAAAGGGTGGGGAAATGCAATTCTGTCATATGTAGGAAAGAAAAAGGGATCCAAATGTTTGGAACAGATGCAATGATTGGTACAGTAGTAAACTTTAAATACTCATTGTTTTTAAGAGTGGAATAGGCTAAATATATAACTGATTTTGAAAGAGATTCAGCTGCATTAAAGGATACATTTATAAATGGAATTTTTTAAGAAGCTCAAGGATGTTTTATAGAATACCCTAATGGCTTCTTCTCTGATGTCAAAGAGAAAAGTCATGAACTTTAAAAATCTTCTTGCATGTAAAATAGAATAAGAGACTTGTTTATGAATCAAACCTCCTGCTCAAGATGATCTGTTCTCATATAATTCTTCTTTCTTACAGGCTAGAGATGCTAATTGATTTTCCAATTTGAATGTCTATATCTCCCCATGGTTATGTACTCCAAATGATAGGGTGTCTGAATTGGCAACTGAGTTTTATATGGAATAATAGTTTAAAAAATACTAGAAGGGCTGGGATCTGAGTTAGATCCAGATATAAAGCAGGGATAGCATTATCTCCAGATATAATCATCAGTCTCCAACAATGGTTCTCAACATTTGCTATATATCAGAACCACCTATGAATTGAAAAAACATAGCAATGCCCAAGCTCTACCCAAGATGGATTAATTCAGAATCTCAGTGGGTGGGAAGCGTGCACGTGCATTTCGAGAAGGTGGTGCGGCAACTGTGATAAAGAGTATAGTTTGAGAAACGTTGGTCTGCAAAACAATGTTTGACTCAAGGAAGACTAAAGGACCAGAATAGTCCCAAGTAGTTACTCTCTACAAGTTTTCCGTCCCCAAACTCAAGGGAATGGATACTGGCACATTGGCTGCAGCAAGTTCACTTTAACGTGATTGGGTTGGGAAAAGGAACTAGGAGTACTTGGGATCCCAGATAGTCCATTGGGTGAAAGGTCAATGCCAAATATTCATTATTTGTTGCTACGGCTTTTGACAAAAAGATCCAGACCATGTTATTCTGAATTGCAAGATTTACCTGGTTAACCCAGGTAATCACTAATCAGTGGTGAAACCAGACCTTGCTCCTAGCTTAGGTCGAAACCTGGCTAACCTCTAAACTAACCTTTTATTCCTGCCATTGTCATGAACAACACAGAATTCCCAAGAGAATCAAATGCTATAAATTGCTTTGGAAGAATGGAATATATAGCTAGAAATGTGAGTATGGACTTGTCTGAAGCCAAGATAGCACATCAATGGGCACTGGGTAGCCAGGAGGACTCTGCTTGGACATGGAAGGCCAGAGGCCATTGGCAGAGTAAAGTAGGAAGAATATTAACTCATATGCACTGCTTGCCTCTTATTTGCCAAGGACTTTTCATGAACTATGCAGTCTTCACAATTACCATTATAGGAAGATGTTATTAACTCTATTTTACAGAAAAAAATGAAGCTGCAGGAGTTAATGATGATCACCCACAAATATGTGGATTTGGTATATCAATTATTTTAAGCTGAAAGCACTTGAGAAGCTGTGTTTGCAGAAAGGGCTATCAGACCTGTCCTTTCCTACATGTAGTAAGCCATAAAAATTCCTTTGAGAATAGTGCCTTCCTTGTACCAGTGTTACAAAATAACCCATATCACCAGAGACTGGGAATTACTGCTGCAATGGACCCATACAAATGAACTTACTGAAGAAACCATTATCTTCCACTAGCTTTACACACCCCCACCATAGGCCTCCTAATGATTTCCCTAGAATTTACTGCCTCTAGCCAGATCCTTTTGTCCTGTCATTTCTTCACAAATCTCTCATTCTTTGTCTAAAATGTATAAAAGGTCTCTGCTTTGACCATTTCTTCAGGTTTTTACTCTCTTAATGATCCCCGTGCACATGTAAAAATAATGACACTTACATGCTGTTCTCTTCTTAACTTGTCTTGTGTCCATTTGATTCCTAGACCCAGCTGAAGATCCCATTTAAGAATTAGGATGGGTAGGCCAGGCGCAGTGGCTCACGCCTGTAATCCCAGCACTCTGGGAGGCTGAAGCGGGTGGATCACGAGGACAGGAGATGGAGACCATCCTGGCTAACACGGTGAAACCCCATCTATACTACAAATACAAAAAATTAGCCAGCCATGGTGGTGGGCGCCTGTAGTCCCAGCTACTCAGGAGGCTGAGGCAGGAGAATGAGGCAGGAGAATGGCGGAACCCGGGAGGCAGAGCTTGCAGTGAGCCGAGATCGCACCACTACACTCCAGACTGGGCGACAGAGCGAGACTCTGTCTCAAAAAAAAAAAAAAAAAAAAAAAAAGAATTAGGATGGGTAGAGGTGATCTTTAAACTCCCCAGCAAATCTAGGAGATTAAGTAACTTGTTAGTGTTTCACAGTTAATAAATCATGAAGGCAAAATTTGAATCCTTTTCTTAGAGACTCAAAAGCCCTGCTTTTACTAGATATTATATGGCCTAGAAGGGAAAAAGAGGTGATACAAACAAACTTTGACACCATCACAATTTTATGTCACAAATACTTGCCCACCATTACACAATTTTATTAGACTGGAAATCAGGAGCAATGCTGGAATATAATGTAAAATAAGACGTATTTTTGATTTGACAAGCCCCAGAGGAATAGGGTGGGAGTGTACAAATTTTCATAAAAGCCAAAAGTGCTTTTTGGGAGAGAAAATATTGCAAATTTCCAAGCCAGGTTTCAGCACCAGACACATGTGGATGTGTAAGTGTTATTTACTACACTGGCAAAACAAGAGGGATGGAGGCTGAAAATCATGAGTAAACCCTGGGGAGGTGACTCGGGGGAGTTTTAGAACATTCTCACAGTGGGAAGCTGGAGGTTCACAGTTACATTTATTTGATTATTATAAAAATACCTAAGATATACCCACAATGGTGGTAAGTGGGACATAGCTACAAACATGTCATCACCTGGAATGTCCCGTAAATTTCCCTTTCTCCTCTAAGATGTTATAGTTTCCCTTAAGGATATTGTTTCCTCTCTAGTCTACTCTTGAAAGCATTTCAAAGCCCCTTGTCTCTGAATTCAATATGTTGTAGCCAGTGCCACCCAAATCCCTCAGGGACTCCTTAACACTTTGGGGGCCTCCTTTGAAACTTTTAATTCTTCCTCCCAATACTGGGACTGGCCAGCGTTGCAGTGCCATTAGGGAGGAGTGCCCTGTTACTGAATCAGTACCTGCCTCTGACCTGGTCCCATTTTATCCCATTTGCAGTGCCCTCCTATTCTCTTCTCTGACCTGATGACATGGCCACCCAGATTCCCAGAGGAGTTCTGGGATGTATGCCTCTGAGATCATCTTAGAATCCTGGACTGGGACTCAGAGCCAAAAAAGTGGCATGGCCTGCTGGCCAGCATGGTATTTCTTTTGCAGGATCAAGTGAGATTTTGGATGATTCTCATTCACAAATGAGATAGGATGAGCTCAGGGCTCTGGCTATGGAAAGAGTTGGGGTTCAACTCCAGTCCTTGGCCTTGTGCTGCATGAATGGGCCCATGCATCCACTCAGGCCCAACTGTGTTCTAATTGTGGTGCCACCTGTGGTCCATGGCACTAAAGGGCTGTGATGATGGCAGCAGATATCTTTAAACCAGTAAGCATAGTCTACCACTGACAACCAGGGCACCATCCCAACTTTTCTGCAGGTTCTATGCCAGATATCAGGCACTTCTCATGGGATGGCCTCACCTAACTCCCTAGCCATCTTATCTGAGAACTTTGGAAATCATTGTTCTGCAACACTAAGGGGCCGTCCTAATCAAGGGCTTTTCCCGCTTCAGACAAATATGGCAATGGCTTGCTCTTCCTGGATGATCTTAAATTGTGCCTTTTGAGTGGCCATTCCTTCAATGAATGGGACCATTTTTTTTTTTTACCATGCCATTGGGCCCTTCATGTGTTCTCCTTGCTGGTGGTGGTGGTATGCAGAAAGCAGGGATGGTCAACATAAAAAGAGATCACACTTCAGGAATGCAGTGAAAATGGCTTCATGAGTTCAAGAGAAGACATAGTTGGAAGAAGTATTTTCCTGTGTTCAGGCTGTTAAAATTCTAAACAGTAAATTCAATAATCAGAAAATGAATTGTGATTCACATTTTCCTCAATAATCTGGATAAGACCTTCATTTCTGATCATCATTAATGAAACAGCAACAACCTTTGAAAGAATCATTGGAAGCCAGTATTCATGGATGGCACAATGAATGATTACATTATTACATGAGTAATAATGTAACAAGCATTAAATAAATGGTATTAGAGAACTGCAGAGGCAAGAAAATTTATCGTGTTTCAACACAAAAGTTACCAAAGAGCTATGGCATTGTGAGTAATAACAGCATTGCTGCATTTTTCTTTTAGTAGGAGATATGAAATCAGCCAGGAATGGAACATTTGACAATAAAGAACACAAAGAGATTGTTCTTGGACCTGAACAGGAAGAGGTTT
Organism: Homo sapiens; assembly: GCF_000001405.40. Lineage (NCBI taxonomy): Eukaryota > Metazoa > Chordata > Mammalia > Primates > Hominidae > Homo > Homo sapiens. The sequence continues at coordinate 71,183,074 of NC_000001.11, forward strand.
GGGGTGTACACTATGAATTATCTTTACATGCAGTGATTGGACCATAAACAAATAAATAAATATTTCTTCTCTATCCACTATTTTGAAACTTTATTCAGATAACTAATTATACCTAACACAGGCTTGTGAATTTCTAAATACGTTTAAGGTTAAATTGCTTATATTATAATGTATGTAAAAGGTACTTTCTCAGGGTCCTGCATGTCCCAGAGGTGCCCTGATATTAGCAGACAGTCCCAGAGGAAACAGAAGGTATTATAGGATGTCTCTATTATAAAGGGACCTGAATGTATCCATCACGTTATGGAAACACAAACGCTTTCAGAGAAAATCAATATGTATTCCTAATTGGTAGGCTGAGGGCATAGTCTGAAGGAGAAGAAACTCCAAAACATTAATCAGGGAAAAAACGAATAGACAACTTTTTGTGCCAGTAAGAAAAGGGTAGCGTCAACATGAGCATTAGATACCTCTGAGTGCTAAGCTTTAATAACAGGGAGGGACATAGTTTAACAGTAGGCCCAGATCTTGATTACTTTTCCTAATGAGAGTGAAGCACAGCATGGAAAAGTGACAACTTGAGATAATTCAAAATGTCACCTTAGCTTTGAGTTTCAATCTCTTCCACAACCAGTCTTCATAAAAACTGCTAATGAGTAGTAAATTGGACTGATTTGAGTTTTACTTTGATTTGCTTCTTGTGCTAATCTTTAGAGAAAGGGTTTAAGGCAGTAGGATGTCATGGATAGCAAATGAGAGCAGAAGTCAAGCGACCTGAGTTAGAGCCTGTGCTCTGCAGTGAACAATCTGTGTGGCCCAGGGCAAGAAAACAAAGAAATTAGCTGTTTATGAACATCTGTCAGGTTCCATGCACTGTGCTAGGTCCAGAGGAGATAGGTGAACAAGACTGGGATCCTGCCCCCGACAACTGCTTACGGACTAGTAGTGTAGAATGAGATGTAAAACGATAATTAGAATATATTGTGATAAGTATCTTACAGAGTTACGAGCAAAGGACTATGGGACTCCAGAATATAGTGTGATTAAACAAACAACGAGAAGATCAATAAGTATACATGTTAGTCAGCGCTGTAAATAATGAAAGCTGCATATGTAATTTTAACATTTCTAGGAAATATATTGAAAAGAGTAAAAAGGCACAGGTGAAATTAACCCTAATAATATATTTAACCCAATAGATTCAAAATATAATTTCAACATAAATAGATATAAAAAGTATTAATTAATGAGATATTTTACATTTCTTCACTAGGTCTGTGAAATTTAGTGTCTATTTTCTACCATAACACATGTTAATTTGGACTAACCACATTTCGAGTGCTCAGTAGCCACATGTGGCTAGCGACTACTATCTTGAGCAATGCAACGATAAGTCTGCACTTACGTTCAAAAAGACTTAAAGCAGGGATCGACAACCCCCAGGCCACAGACTGGTATGGATCCATGGCCTGTTAAGAACTGTGCCACACAGCAGGAGGTGAGTGGTGGGCCAGAGAACAAAGTTTCATCTGTATTTACAGCCACTCCCCATTGCTCGCATTACCACCTGAGCCCCGCCTCCTGTCAGATCAATGAAGGCATTAGATTCTCATAGGAGTGCAAACTCAGTTGTCAACCTCACATGTGAGAGATCTAGGTTGTGCACTCCTTATGATAATCTGATGCCTGATGACCTGTCACTGTCTCCCATCACCTCCATGTGGGACTCTCTAGTTGCAGGTAAACAAGTTCAGGAATCCCTCTAATTCTATATTATGGTGAGTGGTATAATTATTTTGTTATATGTTACAATGTAATAATAACAGAAATAAAGTGCACAATAAATGTAATATGTTTGAATCATCCCCAAACCATCCCCTGCTCCCCCAACAGTTGGTGGAAAAATTGTCTTCCACGAAACCAGTCCTTGGTGCCAAAAAGGTTGGGGGCTGCAACTTAAAGTATTTGTGCACCATTTAATGAGGAATTCCTAGCTTAACCCAAGAACATTGGAAAAACACTTAGAGATTTTTAATGTTCTGCAATGTTTCCAATACAAGATTTCACAAACTGATAATGATATTGATAAGAATCCCTTGGAAAATGTGAAAAGACATACTCTCAGATTCCTGAGACTCTGAATCATTGAGTCTTGAGCAGATCTTAGGAATCTATATTTCTATATAAAAAACATTGATTAGTCCTAAATTTGTCCAGGTTGGGGACTACTGGCCAATAAGCTTCATAGAAGTCACCTGTGGAAATCAAAAGGGCAATTTGATTTCAGGTAGCATTAGCAGAATGATCTTCCTCTGTGTGAATGGCCGTAAGTGAAGTGTTTCTGGAGAAACAACATCACTTCTCTTCCTAGAGAGGTGTGGTATCTGGAGCCAGCCCTGCCTTTCCTTCAGCTCTTATCATCTTATCACTTCCTCAGCCTGGAGTGGATGGCATCTCTTCACTAGGCTTCAGGAAGGTGTGAGGTTTTATTTTTCCCTTTGGGTCACATTATTTTTTGTCTGATGTTTTTCAGATAAGTTGTCCCAAAGTTGGCTATGCATTACAATCATCTAGATGACATTAAAAATATCTTTCATGGATTCCTTTTCAAGTGTAGGAAGTGGTGCCTAGAACTCTGTATTTTTACAAACTCCTCAGCAAGCACTTGGTGTGTGGAAAAATGTCTGGGGAGGCAGTGACCTAGAGAATCATTTGGAAATGTGTTGCTAGGGTTGCTGCTTCCATTGATAGATTTCAGCTTTGTTTACCACCATACACAGTGTGATTTAATGGCCTAAGGCAGTCTTTGTTTGACATTTGGCTCTGCAGTTTACTAACTGTATGATCTTGTTAAGATATTTACCATGTCTGAGATTCTGTTTCCTCATCAGTACAATGGAGATAATAATATTCAATTTGAGGGCTGTTGTTTGTGTCCTAGGGCTCAGGTCTTGGTTCTTCTCCACGTTTAATCTGTGATCTCATCTAGTCTTGTGGCTTTAAATAGCACCTACAGCTGATGACTCCCAAATTAACATCTCTAATCTGTCCTCTTTAATCCAGACCAATTTATATGAATAGCTGACAGGCAGCTCAAATCTAACATGCCTAAAGCATAACTCTATAATCAATTTCCAAAATCAGTTTTTTTTCTTTTTTATTATACTTTAAGCTCTAGGGTACATGTGCACAAAATGTGTAGGTTTGTTACATATGTATACATGTGCCATGTTGGTGTGCTGCACCCATTAACTCGTCATTTACATTAGGTATTCCCTTCCCCCTCCCCCCACCCCATGACAGGCCCCGGTGTGTGATGTTCCCCACCCTGTGTCCAAGTGTTCTCATTGTTCAATTCCCACCTATGAGCGAGAACATGCAGTGTTTGGTTTTCTGTCCTTGCAATAGTTTGCTCAGAATGATCGTTTACAGCTTCATCCATATCCCTACAAAGGACATGAACTCATCCTTTTTTATGGCTGCATAGTATTCCATGGTGTGTATGTCCATGGTGCCACATTTTCTTAATCCAGTCTATCATTGGTGGACATTTGGGTTGGTTCCAAGTCTTCACTATTGAGAAAAGTGCCACAGTAAACATACATGTGCATGTGTCTTTATAGCAGCATGATTTATAATCCTTTGGGTATATACCAAGTAACGGGATGGCTGGGTCAAATGGTATTTCTAGTTCTAGATCCTTGAGGAATCACCACACTGTCTTGCACAATGGTTGAACTAGTTTACAGTCCCATCAACAGTGTAAAAGTGTTCCTATTTCTCCACATCCTCTCCAGCACCTGTTGTTTCCTGACTTTTTAATGATCGCCATTCTAACTGGTGTGAGATGGTATCTCATTGTGGTTTTGATGTGCATTTCTCTGATGGCCAGTGATGATGAGCATTTTTTCATGTGTCTTTTGGCTGCATAAATGTCTTCTTTTGAGAAGTGTCTGTTCATATCCTTTGTCCACTTTTTGATGGGGTTGTTTTATTTTTTTCTTGTAAATTTGTTTAAGTTCTTTGTAGATTCTGGATATTAGCCCTTTGTCAGATGGGTAGATTGCAATAATTTTCTCCCATTCTGTAGGTTGCCTGTTCACTCTGATGGTAGTTTCTTTTGCTGTGCAGAAGCTCTTTAGTTTAGTTAGATCCATTTATCTATTTTGGCTTTTGTTGCCATTGCTTTTGGTGTTTTAGTCATGAAGTCCTTGCCCATGCCTATGTCCTGAATGGCATTGCCTAGGTTTTCTTCTAGGGTTTTTATGGTTTTAGGTCTAACATTTAAGTCTTTAATCCATCTTGAATTAATTTTTATGTAAGGTGTAAGGAAGGGATCCATTTTTGGCTTTCTACATATGGCTAGCCAGTTTTCCCAGCACCATTTATTAAATAGGGAAAATCAGTTTTTAACTCATCTCAGTAAATGGCAACTCTGAAGTTCCAGTTGTATAGGTTAAAAACCATAGTATCATCCCTGACTCCTTTCTTTCTCCTATACTTCACATTGGTAAATCTTACCAGCTCTGCTTTTAAAATATCCAGAATTTCATAATATGTCACGAACTCTACCATTGCCACCATGGTTATTTCTAGCCTAGATTATTTCAATGGCTTTTCTTTTTCTTTTTTTTTTTTTGAGACGGAGTCTTGCTCTGTCATCCAGGCTGGAGTGCAGTGGCACGATCCCGGCTCACTGCAAGCTCCGCCTCCCGGGTTCATGCCATTCTCCTGCCTCAGCCTCCCGAGTAGCTGGGACTACAGGCGCCCGCCACCACGCCCGGCTATTTTTTGTTTTTTTTTAGTAGACACGGGGTTTCACCGTGTTAGCCAGGATGGTCTCGATCTCCTGACCTCGTGATCCGCCCACCTTGGCCTCCCAAAGTGCTGGAATTACAGGTGTGAGCCACCGCGCCCGGCCGGCTTTTCAACCATTTCCTTGCTTTTGTCCCTCTGTTCCTCCACTGTCTGTCCTCAATAGAGTAGCCAGGGTGACACTTTAGAAACATAAGTCGAAATTACATTACTGCTCTGCTCTACTTGATATGGTTTCTCTTCTTAGAGTAAAACTCTTAAGTCTTTAAAACCACCTACAAAGCAACTTTTGAACCTGGAATTCTGTTTCTTCTCCAATCTCAATTTCTCCTTATTTTCTCCTAGCTTATTCTTCAGCTACATTCTTGCAAATATTTTAAAACAACAAACATAGCCTTGTTTCTGAGTCTTTGCACATGTTTTTTCTTTCCCGTCATATTCTTCTTCCCCCAATGTTTTACTTCCTCACTTCCTTCAGATTTCTGCTTAAATGTCACCTCCTCTGTAAAGCCTACTCTGACATTCATATTCAAGCAATCTATCTCCCTTCCTTGCTGATATTCCTTTTATGCCTTTTCCCTTTTGCTTATTGTCTACTTCTCTTTACTAGAATGTAATCTACCCAGTGGCCAGGATAACAGTCTGTTTTGCTGATGCATATACTCATTGCCTAACACAGTAAATGGCACATATGAGGCACTCAACAAATATTTGTTGAATAAATAAATATATGTCAATACCAGGCATATAGTAGACGCTCATGCAAAGAGCCTTCTCTCCTTTGACTGAGAGGTAGGCTTTAATTAGCCAGAAATTTAGCACTTTAAAATTTTTGGTCGAGAATATCAGAGATTTAAAAAAATAACTAGGAAGCTGATTAGGTTGGTGAGACTTTCATGAGAATTAGAGTATTAGTTCAGCAAACATTATGAGACAGACTCTTTGGCTGAGACATTGGGTCTCTATTTTCATAGGACTTGTGCTAACTCACAAATTTATGCTAAAATTCCCATTTCTTTCTCTTCCTTCTAGTGGACATCTATAGCTTTTCTGCCTGTTTCTCCATTTCTAGGAATTTTCCCACTGACTGTTCACATGGTTGTAGCAAGAGTTACTATGTTAGAAAAGTGTGAATGTATCTCCTTTAAATTTTATTGAATAATGGGTGAGCATTTACACTATAACCAATGAGTTCCTCCCTAAGCAATTTGGACATCAAACTAGAGTTGAGCCAGTACCTTTAAAGATGCATATGGTGGATTCGATTGTGTTCCTCAAAAAAATATGTTTTAAGTCCTAACCTCTGGTTCCAGGGAATGTGATATTATTTGGAAATAGGGCCTTTGCAAATATAATCAAGTTGTGGTGAGGTCCAAGGAAAAGAGGAAACTGCAAGAGAAAAGAATGATACTGGTATGCGAAGAAGAGTGGGGAGCAAACCTTGATGACATTTGAGATTTGAGTTTTTGTCTAGTTTTCCTTGAGTCACAACTGAGTTCCTTGTCCTAACTTTACATAAAATTCTCAAGTTGTCTTACACTAAATTTCCAAATTAATTTGAGCTGGTTTCTGCCACTTGCAACCCAAAGAATCCTAATCCGTACATGTCTCCTTCAGAGGGATTTATTTTGTGTATCTTCTTTTCCTTCAATATTTCCCATATTTAAAAACGCAACTAACCCTTCCCTACTGTTTTAATTAACCGCATTTAAACCAAGCATTCCTGTTTATCTCTTAGGACTCAAAGAGACCATTTGCGTGAAACTTTAATGCCTTTGGATTTGAAAATGACTCCCTCATAAAGACAGTTAGATTCTCTACCATCTGTAAAAATGAAAAAAACTATTATCACTAGAAAATCTTTCTAGCTCTATGACTTCTTAAGAGACCATTACACTGGAGTGATTTCTGAACTCTATTTCTGTGAACTTGCTATGTGTAAAGTACTGTTCTCCGCACAGAAGGAATGCAGAGATAAATGAAACAATGTTGCTTTCCTCAGAGAGTTTAGAGATTAGCGAGAGATGAGACCCAGAAACAATACATTAAAAACTAGGATGACATGAACCAAGTGTTGCAATAGAAGTACCATCAGTGGGTTCAAAGGAGAGCACAACTATTTCCAGCTGGGGTTGTTATTGCAGACTTGATGGATGAGTAGTATTTTGATAGATGGAGCTAGATGGTCTCTCCTCCCCTAAGAAAAGCTACATTAGATGTCCCTGTTAAATACTCTCATATGTTTCCGTATATCCCCCTATTCATGGTGTGTTTTAACTACTGTACTGCAAGCTCCCTAAGAACAGTAATCACATTTGTTATGGCCAGCGTTGTAGCTTCAGAGCTTACCATGATGTGTAGTACATAGCAGTTTTCAATAAATGCTTTTTGCATGAATGCATAAACTTAGCTATAGGTCCATGCCACATAGAGAATGGAGCAGCAGGGTGACTCTCTGTTTGAGTGATTTTAAGGACGCCAGTAGGAAGAGCTCATATAGTTTTATTCTAGTGCCTTTACATTAATGTGACTAGCTATGCCTCTGATGTTTCCTCCTTTCTGTTTCAACTAGCAAATTCTCTCTATTGCTCTGTTCAGGTTCCTGAGAGGGGAAAAAGTTCGACTGATTTTTCCATCTTTTCCAGTTAGGCCATACATGTCATTGGCCAGATAATATAGTGACTACCTTTGGGTCATGTGTCTACCTCTAGACCAATCATCCATAGCTATAAGGTGGTTCTGTAGTTTAAAACTTGAATGTCTAGACAGTGTGATCTAGTTGTGGAATTGATTTGTTTAGATGGGGATTTGGACTGGGAAGACAATAACTTATCTATGTAGAATATTCTTTTTCATAATAGCCTAATACATACGTGAGCAATGTATAACAAAAATGTATAATAAAAAGAAGTCTTATCCACATTAATGATAGCTACATTAGAGTTTAGTGGAGAATACAAGTAAGTCATCAGATGAGCTGGTTAAAATAGAAATACTGGAAACTGAGACAAGGTAGATCTTTTCATAAGTTAAAGTGAAGATGAACGGTGGGGGCGAGAGCACAACCAAAAGCCACTATTAATAAACAGGAATTCTTTAATGGTATCCAATTTTACTGGGTATGTATACACAACGCTGTTGGAGATACTTCTTGGCAGCTGAGATGTGATGAAAGAGGGAGGAAGTTGAAATTACTGCCTGGCATGAATGTTTGAGATGTACTTGAGATTCATTTAAGTATATTTTTCTGCCTCCTAGTTCTTAACCTGAGTAATTTTTATAAATCGCTTTACAGGACCACCGTCAATAAGAAAAGCCCATTTCCTTAACCCTGCTCTGAGGCAGGATACACACATTTGGTAGAGCTGTATTTGGCTGATTTTTCCTCATTCTGTCTGACTGCACTGGAAGATGGTTCCTTGCTATTTCTTACTGTGTGTGGACTCAGGTTGAGAGACGTGACCAGCAATCTTCATTGTATCTATTTTCATTGACCAGGAATATAAAGGCAAAACTGACAAATAAGTGAAGCCTGAGTATAGCAGTAGGTAACAGTAGCAGTAACCATTCAGCAGGCTGAAGTTGAGAATTTCTTCAAGATAATTTGAATTTCTTCAAGATAACTTGTACTCTGTTTGCTATGGTCTACCACTATAGGCAGCCCACAAGAACAATATTACTAATAATTTCAGCTATCAAAAGGACTCTATTTGAATCACAGCTCTCCCCCTTGCCCTCAGCATGTATAATCCTGTAGCTGAGACTATTGGTTTCTACCTCATAATCATATTTCCCCCTACTTCCTTGCTGGAAGAGCCCTTGGACAGCACCATGCCTGGTTCCAGTGTCTGGAACCATGACAGCTCTCTTGTAACCATAAGAGGAACTGGCTTGAGGACAAAGTGTACGCATTGAGAGTTGCATACTAAAAAGATATAAAGGACTCTGGTTGGTCCTTAAAGAAGTCACTAGGCTGCTGAATTAACAGAGGAATATTTGGAGTCTTAGTCTATAATTTATTATTATTTTGAGTTGTTTTCTTCTAGTTGCTGTTGAAAGCTTCCTGAATGACCCTATGAATACTTTTTCCTCTCTTCTGCCACTCTGTTTCCTTATTTACATCTCCCTCTCTCCTGCACCAGACTTAAGCTGAGCAATACTTACTATTGTCAAGAGACAATAATGAATATTCATGGTCCCCAAATTAAAATGATTCAGTTTAGGATTTTTTGACCTTATGATGGTGAAAAAGCCATACATATTTAATAGAAACTGTGGAAGTCTTCTCTTGGCTCAGTATTGACTGTGTTGCCCCCATGTATGGCCATGTCTTGAGGAGGAAACAAAAAAAGATTGACAGTCATGAAAAGACTTCTCACTTCTCCTCTGGCTCATCCACTGGGGAGCTTTTTACAGAACTGTAAGCCCTACCTTCCCCACCTAATGTCATTCACTTGTCTGTTCTTCACTTGTATATCAGACCACTCAATTTTCCGTCTAATTATAACTGGATAGTCAAATATTAAAAGCCCCAATCTTACTGAGGGGTAGAATCTAAAATTAATCATTGTGTTGGTCCACTGGCCATTTGAGAGGGTACAGGGGTTTGAACTCTAGGGCCTCTAACAATTTCAGTTCAGAGTATTAGAAAAGTCTGAATATGGGTATGGTTAATTTAAACTTTTGACAAAGATGGAATCTTATTCAGGGATATCTTCCTAGAATAATTAACTAGGTATACTTTTCTGCCATTTCCTTCTGAATGGGGGTACAGGCTGGGTTGAATTTTCAAGGAATTTAGTCTTAATCCTTGTGTCCTGTCTGTTTTTAAGTTATATCATTTTTTTTTTCCTGGACTGTGTAGATAAAAGTTTCATTTAATGACTAAAATCAAAGTAACCATCTCAATTCCCTCTAAGAGAAAAAGTTTTCCTTAGGCATGGGCATATCATATGAAAAAATCCTTCCTTTTGTGTTCTTCCTCCTCAGGACAATGGCTTCTTCTAGTATAGACTTTCAGTCTTTCTTTGGAAGAGGACTAGGAAAGGATGTATGATGTAGAGGAATTCTCTGTGACAGGAATGGGAAGAAAACACAGGTCTTTCAGTTCCAGAGGAAGAGAGCAGTAGATGGAATATAATAGGGACAAGGTCATATGTTAGTGATTTCTCTCCATGTGCCACACCTGCCCCATCAAGGTCATCCTTGAAAAGTGGGAGCAGAGTACATAAACACAACAGATAGAATTTTTACAGAAAGCTGAAATAAAAAGAGCTTGTGCTCTACTTTTCCATTTGGGTTTCTGGGAGGATACTAAATGAAATCACTCACATTAGCACTGGTGTGTGTATGGGTGCTGAGAACAGGAATGGTGGTGTAGAGAGCAGGCTGGACACCAGGCATCTCCCTTGGCTTCATATGGTATTAAAAAAGATGCAAAATGTCCTTGAATAATCAGAAGAGATGACGCAGAGGGAGCTAAGAGTAGAGAGCCAGAAGGCTGCTTTGGACAGTGGCCATATGGAGAATGTAGCTGAGATTTTAGATACTCTGTAATATGAGTGGGAGCCAGGATGGGCCAAGTCATTAGAGTAGGCATGGAGGTTTTCAAGCATTCTGAGAAAAATAGCCCAAGTTTTACCAGTCATGAATTTTAGCAACAGATTCCAAGGGCTTTAAATAATCATAAGGGGCCAGGAACATTTTTATGGATGCTGCCAAGGTTCTAGAAGAAAGAACAAAAGACAATTTTCTAATTTTGGGTTTCTTCTTTCCTCTATCATTAGGGCACTGAAGATATTATTTATATTCAGAGGCTATGTTGGTTTGGAGAAGGAAAGGTGAGAGAAACCTTAACCAGTACCAGAAGAGATTATGTTAATCTGACCATTTAAAGTAAACATGTCTGAGCTAGGGGCATGTCTCGTTTTATTATACTTGGCCTTGTTGTGCTTCACAGATACTATGTTGTTTACAAATTGAAGTTTGCTGCAATGCTGTTTGATAGTATTTTACCAGCAGTAGAACTTCTTTCATAATTAAAGTCTATTTTCTCAAACTTTGCTGCTGCATTATCAACTATGTTTATATAATACTTTAAATTCTTTGTTGTTATTTCAACAATGTTCACAGCATCTTCACCAGAAGTAGTTTCCATTTAAAGAAACTACTTTCTTTACTCATCCAAAAGAAGCAACTCTACATCCATTTAAGCTTTATCATGAGATTGTAGCAATTCAGTCATACCTTCAGGCTCCACTTCTTTTTTTTTTTTTTAAGACGGAGTCTCACTCTGTCGCCCAGGCTGGAGTGCAGTGGCACAGTCTCGGCTCACTGCAACCTCCACCTCCTGAGCTCAAGTGATTATCCTGCCTCAGCTTCCCAAGTAGCTGGGATTACAGGCACGCACCACCACGCCTGGCTAATTTTTGTATTTTTAGTAGAGACAGGGTTTCACCATGTTGGCCAGGCTGGTCTGAAACTCCTGACTTCAGGTGATCCGCTCACCTTGGTCTCCCAAAGTGCTGGAATTACAGACATAAGTCACCGTGCCCGGTAGGCTCCAATTCTAATTCTGTGTCTTTGATTATTTCTACCCCATCCGCAATTACTTCCTGTAGTGAAGTCTTGAACCCCTTAAAGTTATCTATGAGGGTTGGAATCAACTCCTTCCAAATTCCTTTCCAAAAGGTTACAATTTACTTTGCCCAGATCCATCTGAAAAATTTCTATCTAGGGCAACTATGGCCTTCCTTATAGTGTATTTTTTAAATAATAAGATTTGAAATTCAAAATTACTCATTGATCCATGGGCTGCCAAATGGATACTGTGTTAGCAGACATAAAAACAACATTCATCTCCTTTTATATCTCCATCAGAGCTCTTGGGTAACTAGGTGCATTGTCAATGAACAATAATGTTTTGAAAGGAATCTTTTTTTTCCCCAAGCAGTCATCTCAACAGTGGGCTTAAAATATTCAATAAACTATGCTGTAAGCAGATGTTCTGTCATCCAGGTCTTGTGGTTCCATTTCTAGGACACAGGCAGAATAGACTTAGCATAATTCTTAGGGGCCCTGGAATTTTTGGAATGATAAGTGAGCACTGGCTTTAACTTAAAGTCACTAGCTACATTAACCCCTAACAAGAGAGTTCAGTTTCTTTGGAGCGTTGGAGCCAGGCATTGACTTCTCCTCTGTAGCTATGAAAGTCCTAGATGGCATCTTCTTCCAATAGAAAGCTGTTTTTTCTACCGTAAAAATCCCTTGTTTGGTGTAGCTGCCTTCATCCATTATCTTAGCTAGATCTCCTGGATAACTTGCTGCAACTTCTACATCAGCACTTGCTGCTTCACCTTGCACTTTTATGTTATGGAGATGGCTTCTTTTCTTTAACCTTGTGAAACAACTTCTCCTGTTTTAAAATTTTCTTTTGCAGCTTCTTCAGCTCTCTCAGGCTTTATAGAATTGAAGAGAGTTGGAGTTTTGTTCTGGATTAGGGTTTCATTTAAGGGAATGTTGTGGTTGGATTGATCTTCTATCCAAACCACTAAAATTTTCTCTATATCAGCAATAAGACTGTTTTGCTTTCTTATCATTTGTGTGTTCACTGGAGTAGCACTTTTAATCTCCTTCAAGAACTTTTCCTTTGCATTAATGGCTGGGCTAACCAGCACAAAAGGCCTAGCTTTCAGCCTGTCTTGGCTTTCAAAATGCCTTCTTCACTAAGCTTAATCATTTCTAGCTTTTGATCATCTAAAATGAGTGAGTACAGCTCTTCCTTTCACTGGAACACTTAGAGATCATTGTAGAGTTATTAATTGGCCAAATTTCAATATTGTAGTGTCTCAGGGAATAAAGAGGCCCATTGCGAGGGAGAACGATGGGCGAATGGCCAGTTGGTGGAGCAGTCAGAACATACACAACACTTATCAATAAAGTCCGCAATCTTAAATGGGTGAGAATCATGATGCCCCAATTGAATTACAATAGTAACATCAAAGATCACTGACCACAAATCCCCATAACAGATAGAATAGTAATGCAAACATTTGAAATATTGTGAGAATTACCAAAATAGGACACAGAGAGATGAAGTGAGAACGTGCTGTTGGAGAAACGAATGGCACCAATAGACTTGCTCAACACAGGGTTGGCACAAATTTTCCATTTTTAAAAGCTCAATATCTGTGAAGTGGAATTGGTGAAGCACAAGAAGCAGAGTGTGCCTATATAAAGTTTCAGTTATGCAAGATGACTAAATTTTACAAGTCTGTACAACATTGTGTTTATAGTTAATAATACTGTAATGTGTACTTAAAAATGTTTGAGGGTATATCCTAAGTGTACTTGCCATAAAATTTTGTAGTTAGTTAGCTAATTCAATAACTTCCCTAATTCACTCAGACATATATGTAAGAGGCTGAGCCAGAATTTGAACCCAAGTCTGTCTGACTTTCCTATTATAGCAACTTATATAGTAATTGAATATACCTTGACAAAATAAATGTGTAATTCCTAATAGGGCCAAAGAAGCCAAGAAAAATCTGCCAAAGAAACCATAGTGGTGTAAAAAAGATCAGTTAGAATAGGACTTGCATAATTTCCCAAGACCAGATGAGGAGGGGGGTGGGAGCTACATTTTCTATTTATGCAGAAAAGGACCATTTACTGCAGAGGTGGATTAGCAGCTCAAGGATGTTACCAGTGGCTAAGGTGCATTATTCCTGAGCTCCTCCCCATCCAGAGCATAATAGCTTATTTCCCCTTCCTCTTAGATTCTGAGTCCAGTACTGTCTAACCTCCCAACATTAGCCATTTTGAAATACAGTGGCATCTTTGGTTTAGATATAAAATATGAATTTATACATAACCAGTAGAAATGTTTATTAAGTATTACATAGTAACTTTTGCTTTGTTTCTTACACCTTTACAGTGTAAAGTAGAATATAGGCATTCTTTTGATAGTAAATTTGTCCAGTTGTATATCCAGTAGATGTCAGCATTGGGCTGTTTCTGACCATTTAGTGTCTCTCCATATTATTTTGAAAGGACCATAAATATTCAGTATAAAATATACTGAGATGTAAAATAGCAGGTGCAGCAAATCTGTGGTGAGGATACATTTAATGGGTGAAGGATTCAATATTCCATCTATGTAGCAAACAACTGTATATAAAACCCCATCTGCAGCTTTTTTATCCATGTCCATTTTAAAAAATCAATTTATTTCAAAATATCAGAGTACTATTTTGTAGAAGATAGCTTTATACAATTAAGTGACAAAACGGATTAAAGCCATTGAAAGAAATATAAATATTTAAGTAATTTTAGGTTGCATCTGCTTAAATTCAGAAAGGGACACTAAAGAATTTTTTACAATCTCATTAAGAGATAATTTCAACATTAAAGATTTGGCAGAATGGTCCTTGAGTTACTCTCTTTTCTCTCTTTCCTCCTCAATATTAAGATTTTAGCTCCTTTACAACACATTAAAACCGTTTCTGGTAATGTGCACCTCAGTGAAGCCAAATGGATGATTGATCAACATTAGGTGGAAGATAATATGTGTAATTCATGCCTCCAGTAGATTCTAGAGTTGACCCAAATATTTTAGACTCTTGGCACGTAGAACAAAAGTTTCCTATGATATTGCTCAGTTCTGTGGTTGGACTAAGCAGATCCGGCCTGTGTCAAACAAAAATTGATTAAGAAGAAGTGAAAACATCCTTATTTCCTTAAGAGTAGAATCCAAGCTTAGTCAATTCATTACAATTCCCACAGCAGCAGAGTGATGGAAGCCAGAAAAAGCTAGAGAAATCATTTAGTACAGCATCTTCATATGGAAATTGAAGACCAAAGAGACAAAAAGACCTGCTTGAGGTGTCAGAGCTAGTGTGTAAAAAAGAGTCTTCTCAGCATTCTAGTTCATTTCAGAACAAAAAAGATATGCTGAGAACATGCGCATATTCTATAGTAGACTTTAAGAGGAATTAAAAATTGTCCTTTTCTCAAGGTTCTTGGAAGATAGGAGAATTCAGGAAATAGAAGCATTGATAGAACATCAAAATATATTTAGCAATTTTAATGACAGATGTATGCTCAGGGTACACATAAGGAACACTTAGCCTAGTCAGGAAGGTTCTTCATAATTTCTAGAAAAATAGCTATGTGTTGCTTGAAAACTCTTTCAGGAGCTTTGTTACCAAACTAGGAAAAAGAGAGCATCACTCTTTGATGGGGAAGCAAATGAGGGCTGAAGCTGTCTTGACTGATCCACTACATTTTGTCCTTTTGGGGATTTTCCCCCAGCTTGAAGATCAGTGCAGTCCAATATTTTCCAAGTGCTGGTAATGTCTGTATCAGAATCATCTCAGAGATTAGGATTTAGAAGATTGAGTGGCCTAAAGAAAAGAAAAGCAAAAATGGAAATAACAAGAATTTTGAGGCACAGACAAATAAAGGAACCACGGATCTAGCCTACACTGAGCCACCCACACGAGTTCATCTTGAGATCAATAGCATGAAATTTGTTACTTTAAGAAATGTAGTCTTTGGGCCGGGCGCGGTGGCTCACGCCTGTAATCCCAGCACTTTGGGAGGCTGAAGAGGGCAGATCACCTGAGGTCAGGAGTTCGAGACCAGTCTGGCCAACATGGTGAAACCCCATCTCTTCTTAAAATACAAAAGATTATCTGGGTGTGGTGGTATGCACTTGTAATCGCAGCTACTCAGGAGGCTGAGGCAAGAGAATCACTTGAACCCGGGAGGCGGAGGTTTCAGTGAACTGAGATCACGCCATTGCACTCCAGCCTGGGCAACAAGAGCGAAACTCTATCTCAAAAAAAAAAAAAAAGAAATGTAGTCTTTGGTTCTGTAAGAGAACCAAGTTAGATAGTTCAGTTAGATAGTTCATACAGAAATCAATACCATAACTGTGACCTCATTAATACTTTATTCTCACCCATAAAATTCTTAGGTCACCATGTGTGATGACTACATCCAAAGAGAGTGAGTGGCTTGAGACATTGGTAGTATGTGTATCTGATCATATCAATATGTTAAAATGACGTTCAAAGTATGATCTACCTCAGAATAATCTAGGTGAGTTTCAATGATCTTGCAATAGACTGCTATCTGGAAATGATGGTTTAGCAAATCTTTTCCTTGCTTTTTTCTGAATGATGGGAAAGAACACCTCTTTTATGGGCACTATATAGTATTTCCAACCATATTCTTTCATCTTTTTGGGACACTTCAGGGAAACACATTAGGTCATAACTCAGCACTAGAGGAAAATTCTGATGATGAACCTAGCTTTTTCAAGCCTCTTTGACATTAATCTGCCATATGCAATTACTGTGTGTAAGATTGAAGATCATATTTCAGTTCTGTATACCAGAACACAAAACCCTATCATATAATTCATCCAAATCATTGGAGAGATATTCCTTTGCAGATAACCAGCATAGTACTAGGAATAGGGACAGATTCTAGGGAATATAATTACTCAGTTTCTCGGTTAGTGGTGTCAGGATCAGTGACAAAAATTATTGTGCATTTTCTGTGGACTAAAATTATTCACTCAGTGGCAAAAAGAAAATGTACTTTAATACCCAAGCTGCTTTTCATTTGAATTAACTAACAAACATTCTAGATAATATTTTGGTGTACTTTCAACACTCTCTGTTTCTCCCCATTTTATTAAAATATAAATGAGTTCACAGTTATGGTTTGATTTGTGTATGAACTATCTAACTTGGTTGTCTTACAGGTCCAAAGAATACATTTCTTAAAGTGACAAATTTCATTCTATTGATCTCTGTTTCTGTGTGTTTTAGGTGGTTTTATTTGAAATTTATTCATCATGCAGATGAGAATTGTGAGAGAAGTAAATGGGGTTGTAAATAGGGATGGGGAGATGGTTGTGGGGATGCCGTTCCTCAGTTTGGACATAGTAGTTCTTACCCTCCATTTGCATGGCTTTTTAGAAATAAAGTCAAGTTTGCATAGGAATGCTGTACTTGAGTAGAAATTTAATACTTTTCCAGATTAATTCATAGGTCTTACTCATATAAAGAATAGGTTTTCTTTATAAAGTCCTTCATTTATCCCTTTCCAAGATGAATTATTTTAGCACGTTCATTAATCTAGTTTCATTACTCTGGATATTTTAACCTATTTTATTAATCGGTTACCATTTGCCTATTTTCCTTTTTGCTATGTAGGGAAGGCATTTTCTTTTGGGTTGGAGACCCAAGAAATAGGCAGGATATCAGAGAGTTTTTGTTTCTTCCCCATAAGTAGCCTACAAATCAAATCTTTTCTTAATTGAGGCCATGTATTTTGGTTTCAGTGGCCAGACTTCGAACACTGCACCCAATACTATCTCACTGATGGATATTGATTCTGAAGTTGATTAAAATGATCAGCTTTAATGGACACAATCTCATGAGGAGGATGCACATTTAGGGTTCAGTTGATTCTTTGTCCCTCAGAGAGACAAATATCTTAGGGTCATACAGCTGCTGTATGATCTCTGGAATCAGTCTGTTTATTTTTGCCAGTGTACCAAACTAGTCTCAGAGGGGTTTAGCATATTTAGTGTATTTTTGCTGATATTAACTGAGAAATACATGTGTGTATGTGTGGGGTGTGTGTGTTTGTGTGTGTGTGTGTTTTCTAGGTAGCTTTATTTGAAATTTATTCATCATGAAAATGAGGGTTATCTGCATACCTTTTAATTCAGAGTTAGTCTTTTTACTTGATTTTCCCTAAAGACTGCCTGTCAGTGCTTCAAAAACATCAATGACTGATAGATTTCTATTCTATACAGCTGCCTGGGCAGCTGTGGTAATGAAATGTGAATATGCTTTCACAGTATCTGAAGATTTCTGCTTGGGATTATGAGCAGAAAGAACAGATTTTTAAGAGAATGTTAGCATATTCTTCAAATGTTGTTTTGAAACTGATGAAACAAAATAATCTATCATTCTAGGGCTGCTTTAGCTTTATTGGTTCTAACAAGAAGATATCCTCCCATTAAAATCCTCTGCCTCTGTCTTTCTCTCTCTCTCTCTTCTCTCTCTTTCTCTTTAGACCTCATTATAATAGAAGTCAGGAGATCTGCTCTCAAAGACAGCACAGTAATAAGCACTAAAGGGTTGTTTTCAAAGAAATGAGATACAATCCTGCATGGGTGAAATGTTAAAGAAAAGAAAAACGCCTTTTAAATGTCCTTTCTATGCGTATACCCTTATGATTTAAAGTGATTTAGAAACTATTTTCTGCCATTTGAATGAAACAGGTCATGTTTCCCCTGAGTATGAATATTTCCGATTATTTTTACATTATTTTTATCTGAGCATAAAATAATTATTCCTTAAAAAAAGGTGTAGAGTCTACATAAAATCAATGTGGTCAGACTCTGTTTTTATTATTTTCCTGAAACACACAAAGCAGATTATTTTATTTTATTTTTTAAACTGAAAATTAACAATTACAGGTCATCTAAAGAGAATCAAATGATAAATAATGTTTAGAGGTACAAACTCAACAGACTACCTCAAGCCTAAGGCAGCCCTGTGTGTGGATCTATCTCAGACCCCAGCCAGGGAACAAGCTAGAGGCACAAATGTCACTGCGAGATCAATACAATATATTCCAGAGCCAGTCATTTCAGGTCTTGAGGGTGCCAAGAACACTGCACATCAGTTGGTACACAGAATGTTTCAGCATGGAGGAGGCATAAACAAAGAGCACTCACACTCCTCCAGGAACAAGAGGAGATGGCTTTTAGTAAATACAGTATACAGATTTTCGAGACTGTAACTAGGGTGTCCAGTTAATGAAATATTTTTTAAGAACTATAATAAGAGGCAATATTACTTAGCCTAAAATCACTACAACCCTTTGAGGTGAAGGTCTACATGCAATCTTAATATCTTAAATTTCCACAGGAAAATCTTCAATAAAATGCACCCTTAGAGGAAAATGGCCAAAAGCACCACTGAGAAATATACCTCTTAAATCTCTTTTTCCTTTACGATAAAAATCCACAGTCTCTGAGATGACATTTAATAATATTATAGGACAGTATTATATTTCTGTTTGCCCTAAAAATGCAATGGTTTCTTATGTCTTTCAGCCTCAAGCTTTATTCTAGGAAGGTAATTCTGAAGATACCTATCTTCTTGAGAGTGAAATTTTATGGAATCCTAGATTTCTCATACCTAGGAATAACAGTAATGACTTTCTTCATATAATATGGGATTTTACTATTTTGTCTATTTTGGTTTGTGTGAATGTACGCGTCAAATTTAAAGGTGTCTAACCCCAGGGAAAGTTC
Organism: Homo sapiens; assembly: GCF_000001405.40. Taxonomy (NCBI): domain Eukaryota; kingdom Metazoa; phylum Chordata; class Mammalia; order Primates; family Hominidae; genus Homo; species Homo sapiens. The sequence continues at coordinate 71,202,236 of NC_000001.11, forward strand.
TAAGCATATAATTTAAAATAAATTAGTTCATGCAAGTGAATTCTACCAGCAGTTGTTTGAAAGAAATACCTGTGGACCAACACACTGGAAACACGAATTTTTAAACTTTCAGATACAAGGGACAGAATAGTTAGCAGTGTTCCTGTTGAAAGGTCCAAGTATCTCCCTAGGCACAGAAAACACCCAAGTAAGTTCCAGACTTTTCCTATGGGAAAATGGTATCAGGTATCAAATTAGAATTGATTTTATTTAGTTAGGTTCAAATTTTATACACCTACAGCAGGTTTTTTTTTTCTAGGCATAGGTGTTAGGAAATGTTATACAGATTATATAAACCAAAGGTTATATAAAACCATAGTCTTATTTGCTCTAGCTATGTGAAGAAAAAGCCATGATGAAGGGACTGAACCCATTTCACCCAATTTTGATATTTTTTTTTTGTTTTTAGTCTGATGCTTGGGGCAAGGACTCTGTGTGTTGTAGTTTGCATTCCTCCAGAAGTAATCTTCCTCTTGAGACAAAGATTCAAGGGAAATTTTCTTAGTTGGGATCCCAGAAAATACTAGGAAAGGGAAAGGGGAGGAAAGAAAGCCAATACATGGTTTCATCAAGCAACTTATCACTCTGGGAAACTCTACCTTCATCCCGATAGGGAACTCTGGGGTACACTGTGAAATATGCACCTGAGAGTTAGCCTGTCATCTGCCGTCTTCCTGTCAGTCATTGTTATGGGCTGTTTCTAGTATTCACTAATTTCTCAGCATTTCTGGCCTGCCCCACAGATGAGCAAAGCAGACCTTGGTGGCCAGAGGGGAGCCCTCAGGTAGAGCTGCAGATGCTGGCAGTTTGTGTTAGAAGGTATGTACAGTAGTGGTGAATGCAGAGAGCATATGGGAGGATGCTGACAGCATCTGTACAGGTCAGAGAGATAAGCTTCAAAGATCTTGGACCAATCTCAGTTTGGTAGCAGAATGAAATAATATTTTACGCTGAGGTTAAGTCTTAAAGACAGATTATAAGGCAAATGTTACATAAAGCAAAATTACCTTTGGAAATACATTAAAAAGATGTCATTTTGGAGGCTGACATACAGTTTCTCAATAGATCCAACTTCCAGGTTTATTTTCAGCCCGGGAATAGAGCACTGTTTCTGCAGTTGGGCATCAGATGAAGTAGGCTTGCATATGGGGGCAATGTTGTACGAAAAAAATGCTATCTTTAAACATTGGAATCGCACTCATTTTTTTGAGAGACACATGAGACCTGAGACTGAGGCAACACCATAACTCTTGTTTTCACATTCAGAGTAGGGCTTGTGCTCCATGAGTGGAATGACGAGTGGAATTTTCTGTACTGTTTAACTCTTTCTCTTTCTCCATGGGACTGAAGTTAATTATGTGCAACTTAAATATGCATATGATGTGACCCCATTTATATATAATGACTAAACTTAATAGAATCATCAGTGAGTCCACTCTTTGTGTGTAACTGGGGTGGGTGATATGCTTGGGAAATAAAATGGATTCCAACCACTTTTTATAGCAATAAGTTAAAGCTCTTTTAATGATTGACACAGGTTCCGGGGCTAAACAGATGCCTAGAATTAGCCACCAAAAGGTAAATTGTAGACTCCACTCTTCAAGAAGCAGCAGAAGGATTAGGAATTCAAACAGTGCTATTTTACGGTAAGATGTGGAAATCATCACAGATCTTAATCCAAATCTTATTTTCATGAATGGGAATTAGGTAAAAACAAACAAGTTGAAAGGAAGGAATAGAGAAAAGAAGGAGAGAAGAACAATTTTTAATACACGAATCCACATGCTCGTATCTCATTGGCAATGTTATTTAGACATTTGTCCTAAATGGTGGCTCTCCAGTAAGTAGATCTTTCTTTCAAAACCTTCTAATAACTCCCACAGCTCTTAACATTGTATTTCTATTATACCATTTAAAAAATATGATTTCCAACTGGATCATAGGACTGGAGCTGAGGTGCTGAGACATTGGCCTGTATGCACCATAAAAAATGGAGATATTTGTTATGCTCATTGTATCCCTGGTGCCTACAGCAATGTCTACCATGCAGTGTGTGACTAATAAATCACTCTTGATAAAAATAAATGGTGATCAGTGTATTAAGGTGATTTTCTTCCTGTTATCTAGCTGAATTTCCTAATTTCCAAGTTTTAGGAACTCCACAGGAAAGACCTTGAAACCCGTCCTTAGGAAATGGGCTTTGGAGATATTTAACAGGGTGAAATAACAGGGTGACGGAAAGCCCAATGGAAGCTAGATGGAGGGCCATGGAGAGAAAAGTTTCCATGAGTGAAGAGGAATGTGATTTATTGGGCCAAATTTAGCAATAATACTGAGTAAGAAAAGGAACACTGGTTCTGCAAGAGTGTGAAATAATACCTGAAGGCATCCCTGGTTCCCCAGGCATCCCTAAAGACCTCTTTTCTCTATGCCACCAGTTTTCGCATATATTTCCATTTTAACATGTATCACATTGTATGTCATTATTTTTTGTAGGCCTGGCTTTGTATGTTCAGACTCTAAGATAACTCCTCCAGATCCTAGGCTCAAGGGAGAGAGGTAACAGGGCCCTTCAGTTGCTTTCTAAATTGCACATAAATACTGCTCATGAATAGGCTATGGTAATACTTTTCCAAATAGATTCGGTTTTCTCATGTGCTATGCCTTTGCACCTGTTGCCTTTGCTTGAAATGCCTTAGATCTGCTTGGCCAAACTCCTACTCATCTTTAAATCTCAGCAGATATTCTGTGTCCTCCATGAAGCCTCCCACTTGAGGACTCTCTTCTTATGTTCCCATGGCATAGCACTTACTGTATTGTATTCTGACACCATGCTTGGTGCTTGTTTGCCCTCAAGGCTATTGATGCGAGCCCTTTCAGCCCTGCCTCAGTAGTCTCCACCATCCCTGAAGATTCTGCCCTGACTCTAATGATCATCTAAAATGAATTTCCTAGAAAGTTCGTGAGCAGTCAGTTATCTGTGTCTTACAACAGTATACAGGAAAAAGAGAGAGCTTGCAGAACTTTGGAGCCTCAGCCCTGGGTTTAGAGAATTGAAAGTATATGCTGTCTTTTTTTTCCTGCTCAGAATCCTGCTCCTGCCTACCCACCCCATTCTCTCTGGGTGTGGTTTTTTTGATAATTATATTTTTCCTCTTCTTTTGTCTCATCAATGGGGATGGAGAATAAATAGGATATTGCACATTAGCATCTGGAAACCCATGAAACTGAGATAATTAATTTCATGACTTGTGGTATTTAGGCTTGTTCTCAGAGATGTATGGTAGCCCTCACAGTCTTTAACCCCACAGCTGAAAGTCCCTGAAAACTGGCACTTAGCAGATTTGTTAACTGAATGAGTGTTTGAGATTACGTACTTGCCTGGAGATTTCCTTACTACCCTGAACCCCTAGAATCAGAATGTGAACCACCTCATGCTGAAGGATAATAAACCTTAACAGTTAGCATCAGTGTTCGGTTTCTGACCCAGTTAACACCTAGAAGACAGGAAACATTAATTCTATTTCTTCTAAGCCAATATTTGGATTTATGGCCAGAAAAGGAGTACTTTAGTTCCTTGAAGCATTTACCTCATCTATAAAATAAGAACTATGGCTTCCTATCACTTAAAATTGGAGCAATTTACTGACCTTAACCAAATGGTTATTTAGAATTAGCCATGTATATTACAATTTGCATTCTGAGGATGTTTTATTCTTTTTGAAACATGATCACTTATTATATGTTATTGGATCCTTTGAGTAATACAATGAAGAAAGGAATCAAGCTATTACAAACTTGACTGGTAGGTAAAAACAAAAGGACACAAGGTGATCCTATGACTTATCACAATCTTACAGATAATTAGTGACAGAGCCAGGGACATCCCATAAGGCAATTTTTTAATATACAGGTAGAATATCCAGAACATTTTTCACCTCTCAATAGTGCTAGTCTCTGTTTTGTGTGATACATGTATTAACTTATTACATTCCCACAACAACTCTCAGAGACAGGGTAGTAGGCTGAAATTTTGGCCCAGTTCTTAATTCCTTCCTGTCTGGTTTTTCACCACTTCCTTGCCACAGTCTCACTGTGGAAGGAGCATATTTCTCCACCTCTTTACATGGCCGTGTCACCTACTTTGCCCAATTACATGTGGGTGGAAAGGCCAGAGTGCCAGCCCCAAACATAGGCCTTAAGAAGCTTATATGGGCCAGGTGCGGTGGCTCACGCCTGTAATCCCAGCACGTTGGGAGGTCGAGGTGGGCAGATCACTTGAGGTCAGGAGTTCAAGACCAGTCTGGCCAACATGGCAAAACCCCGTCTCTACTAAAAATGCAAAAATTAGCCGGGCGTGGTGGCATGCACTTGTAATCCCAGCTACTCAGGAGGCTGAAACAGGAGAATCGCTTGAACCCGGGAGGCAGAGGTTGCAGTAAGCTGAGATCTCCCCACTGCACTCCAGCCTGGGTGGCAGAGAGAAAACTGTCCTGAAAGAAGGAAGGATATTCAATGCATAGCTGCCTTGATTGGCTACAGGCTTGCAGTAGAAACAAGAGATGCTCCAGCTGCTGCATCTGGAAGCAGAAGATGGCTCCCACCTCCAAGTCAAGCCTAATGTGGATCAGTTGGACCCTAGCCTATTTGCAGATCCACGAGAATGATTACTCTTTAAGCTAATACATTAGAGTGGCTTGTTTGGCAGCATTATTGTGGGAATAGCTTACTGATATACATAGGTAATACTTGTGGATAAGGGAACACATTGAAACATTGGGAAGAGAGGTAATTAGTTTAGAGTTGTTCTATAAGCAGAGGATCTAGGATTTGAACCCAAGCAATCTGCCTCTAGAGCCAAATTTTTTAAATCCCATTCACTGCCTTTCTCATATTCTAGTGGAATTAATTCTAGAACTAAACTGGATTACTCAGAAATTTTGTTTGAAAGGGGAAGCAGAAGGGAAGTGATATAAAAAAAATCTGTGGGAATTTCGGAGTCAGCCACTCCCAATTACAAAACTCAACTCTACCACTTACTATGTGGCTTTATATCAAATATTTGATGACCCTGAACTTTAGATTCCTCACAAAAATGGTAATGATGTTGACTATATTATGGGCATTAAATATCTAATTAATCCCATTCATTTAGCACCCTTATGTGCTAGATACTGTTCTAGGCACTAACAATACTAAAATAAGTAAGACTCACTCAAATAGCTTACAGTCGAGGAGAAAAAATAGTACACAGCAAGATAAAGGAGATGGTAATTATGTGGCACGCAGCAGAGAAAGACAACAGATAAGCACTAAACTACGTATTAGTCGGGGTAAAATAAGGAATTGGCTCATGAGATTATGGAGGCTGAGAAGTCCCAAGATTTGCAGTTGGGAAACTGGAGACCCAGGAGAGCCCATGGTATAGTTCCAATTCAAATCCAAAGGCCTAAGGACCAGGAGAGCTGATGAGTTCCAGGCTGAGTCCAAGTCCAGCGTGCCAGCATTGAACATTCCTACTTCAAGACTGGCAGAGAAAGAAAAATGCTTTCTTGCTCAGCCATTTTGTTCTATTTAGTCCTTCAATAGATTGGATGAGGCCCGTCCACATTGGAGAGGACAATCTACATTATTTAGTCTACAATTCAAATGTTAATCTGATTTAGAAATACCCTCATTGACACATCCAGAATGTTGTCTAACCAAACAACTGAGCACCTCATAGCCCAGTTAACTTAGCACAGAAAATTATCCATCACCCTTTGATTTGGGAGGTGGCCTGGGAAGGCTTCCCAGAGAAGGCAGTACTTATTCCGGTCTTATAAAAAAATGTGTGAAGCATTAGCATAACATATATGAGGTGCTCTTTACATGTTAGTTTTTTTTTTGTATCTATCTCTTCAAAGGTCATAAGAACAGACAGTATTTTTTTGGCGCAGCAAGAACTTCTTAGGCCATAAAGCATGACAGACCTCTTTTCCTTATGCGCTGAATTGAAGAAGTGCTGACTCTTTTGCTGATGGTAAGGGTCACTGGCATGGTTCATTTGCAATTGCAGAACGTAATTCCACCTCCAGATTGAATGTTTTTGGATAGTGTTTTAAAATCTCCAATTGGTTTTTACTTATGAGGTGAATTTACAGTGAGTTATGTTACAAGGTAATTTAACCTGACAAGACAGACCATACTACACATTCACAGACAAAGTTTTGTTTCTCCCTGGAGAAGAAGCTGTTAGAATAGAGTGGTAATCGCTGTAACATGATCAGCATGGGGGAGATTGATCACACCTAGGAAAGTGACCTCTTGGAGGGTCTTTGCAAAATGCACACCTTTCCTGTTGATTGACTACACATCAGGGTGACCATCCCTGGATGAGAAAACCCAGTGTGGTCCTCACCTTCTGCCAGCACATGCACTTTTTTGGTTAGTGCTCATGCAAGATTGATGTGCAGCAGCTGGAGTGTAGGGTCCCAAATATTCATGCCGTAAAAACCCAGCTAGTTTTGAAAAGAGAGAGAAAAGGATTTATTGTCTACAAACATAATTACAATAAGCCCAGTTCAAAATGGTGATTAAATTTTAATAAAGCCCATGGAGGGTGGTCTTCTTGCTGAGAAGGGGAGTGAGATGTATTTATAGAAGAAAGGGCTATTTCCCTCTACATCCTGACCCTGACATGTCACAGGATTAGTGTTGCACACGTAGTTTTCATGCCTCAATTTTTATTCCAGACAATTCTTCTTTCACTTTCATACCAAATCTCCATTTCTAAAGGCTCACTGCATCCTTCCTCCCAAATTGTCAGTATCATCATCTGATGCTGGTGACTTCCCTTCATTCTTTGAATAAAATGTTGGTGGCTTAATGGTCTTTTTCTTCACCTCAGTTTTCTCCCCTTCCTGAATCATTTCAATGTACACAAGGACAGTATGTCTATTGCAGTCTGTCTGTGCCTGCACTCCCTCACCTTCAGGGATCTTTACCTTTATTAACATACTCCTTAGAGCATGTCATCACCTGCTTATCATCATCTTGAACTTCCAACTGTTTCTGAGGCATTAATTTAAAACATTCTAGTCTCTGACTGCATTTTTCCTCTTTTCTTTTCCTATCTTTGCATCTCCCTCTATGATTGTCGCTAGATTCGTCCCTCATGTTCTTGGTATCTCTAATCCTTTGATCCTTTTATTTTCCCGTCAGCCTCCTCTGGTTGTCATTTCCTGCTTTACTCAGCCAAAACCCCACTGTCTTCAAACATTTTTGGTGTTGTCCTTGTCATCCTCAAATCCCTTGTCCTGTTTTCTTATGTCTTGGCTACCTGGAAAACCTTCAACTTTAGATCAATTTGGTTTTATTTATTTATTTATTTATTTATTTATTTATTGCCTCCTTCCTACCTAGGAAACTGAGCATTACTTTAAAAAAATCACACAACTCTGACAATTAATGTCATTTAATTGCCATTAATGCTAATTAATTTTATGAACTCATGTTTTAAAAGGATCAGTACTGCCTAACATCTCTTCTGTAAGTTTCTCATCACTTTTTATTCCATTCTGAAAATCAGCTTTTTCAAAATTTATCTATTCTCTTTAAACCTCCATACTTCCTGTCTCTGCTTCTCAGCAGACAACTTTGGCTCTGACATTCTAAAGGAGAGAGAAATCATTAGACTGAAATTAACTCAACCTACAAGCTTGTTGCCACTATACCTACAAACTTCTTGCATTTAATCAGTTCTTCCTTGTTCTCTTATCTCTCGGTTCAAGTGGAACTGCAAATCTCATTTTCAAGCTATTTATCCATAATTCATACCCTTTCCCTCCCATCATTGTTTACTTATCTGATATATTCAACTTTTTATGTCAGAAACTTGATTCTCATCTTTGACTCTTCAGTCTTTCTCATTTCCTACCTAAAACAATCATCACTAAGTCCTGTCAAAAGTACTTCCTAAGTATTTTTCAAATTCATCTCCTTTTCTTCATTCTACTGCCCCTGGGTTGCTGCAATAGGCTTTTCATTACCCATAATTTGGCCTTACCTTGATTCAGGCTTATCTCAATTCAACCCATTCTTCATATCTTTAGCTTAGCCAGAGTGATTTTTCCAAAATGCTAATATGATCCTGTGACTTCCCTACTTAAATCCTTCCATGTTGACTTTAAAATAAAATTTGAAGTCTGTAAGGCAGTTTGCAAGTCTTTCACTTCCTTGTAAACTTAGCTTTCCTGCTTTATTTTCCACAATGCCTCTCACTTTACCTTGAAAACCAAGCTGTAAGTTAATCAAATTACCTGAATTTCCACCAATTTGACATACCTGGTCTTACTTCCCAATCATTGCACTTCCTGTTGCCATTTTCTTTCTTTGATCCTGTTCTCTACTTTAGGTTTCAACTTAAACATTACTTCCTTTGTGAACTTTTAACTTGTCTCTCCCTTTAAGACTAAGTTAGATATCCCTCTGGTGTGTTTCTGTTGCACCTCATATTGTCACTATCGTAGCTCTTATTGCACTGGATTGCAAGTATTTGCTTCCTTGGGCTCTCCTCCACTAGATTGTGAGTTCCTGAAGGGCTGAAGTTTTATTTTCACTGGGCCATCCTTAGTGAATTTGTCACAAAGAAGAGGCTCAATAAATATTTGTTGACAGAAGGAATTCCAGAAGCACAGTGACACATGTTGTGGTATTTCTTTTTGCTGGTTATTTGGAGAGATAATGGTTGGAACAGCCGGTAGCTAGGCAGTCAGCATGCAAAAATACAGAAAAAAATGTGGAAAATCTATTCCTTATAGCATAGAAGATGATTTAAAAAAATGTAATCATGACAAATTTTGAGCTCATCTTTATTTTTTTGGAATTTCAAAGGCTTCTGATATTCCATTGTGTTCATCTTCACACATCTATCTTTGTTCTGAATGAGGTTATCTTTAATAGATTTTGTTCGGGGGGCTGGGGAGTAGCAAAGACAGTCTGTTGTTTTCTGAACCACTTTATGCCAGAAAAATCTGCAAATATCATGCTAAGATATAATAGTTTGTTTTCTTGCCAGGTGGTTAGGTTTCATTCAACAGTGGCATTTTATTAGAAATGTACTATCACAGATAATTTCCAGAAGGGCATTTGAAATGGATTATTATATGGAAAGGGAATTTTTAAATACCCAGCTCTGTACCTAAAACTCCTGGATAAAATAGCAAGAGCGTAGTTGGTCTAATGGGACCACTTAAAATTCTGTGTTGCAAAGTGCTCCTAAAGACAACTTTAAGTTCTCTCATAATTCTGGGTTGCACCCACTCAGTCTGCTAGTTTTAATCATGTTGCAGGGAGGCTATTTGACAATTGAGTAGTAATGAGGTTTAGTGTACATTTTATTTAACCTTCTACCAGGTAGGCCAATTAAAATGTTACATCTGAAAAAGCACATATTCCAATTTCTGCCTAGGGATATAATACATTAACTTGCATTTGGACATACTTTTGCTTTATACCCTTCATTAATGACATCTACCAATTTATTCTTTGCGCTGTTTGCTCTCCTCCTCAAGGCCCAGTGATAGATAATAAACCTCAAACCATAGATTTAATCCCACAAAAGATAGTTGGTATTCACTACACAGAACATTAAAGACATACCTTGCCCGTGCTCATGCTTTGGCTAGCCATTTTTCAATTATGGCCAAAAAAGAAAAAGTGAGATTGGATGGATTTTTTTCTAAAGCACCCTTTTCTTTCTGAAGAAAAGACATCAAACAGCCTGATCAAGAGGTAAATATTACGGTTACCAGAACCCTTTCTTAGTAACTATGGTTTTCCTATAATCCCAGAGTAAGGTAAAGAAAAATGAACCAATCTGGATCACAGAATCTTAGGAAAGTCTAGTGTCTTCATAATGTCACCAGCATTATAAAAACAAACAACAAATTAAGCCCAATTCTAAAGTACCTAATTTTTTTCCATTACATATTTCTTTTCCATAACATATGACTTTTTTAAACAGAAAAAAATATAGAATTAAACAATTTTAAGTAAAAGTTTAGACAGAACAATCATGTGACTGGTTAGGGACACAAAGAAAGGGATGGAGGAAGCTGAATATGATATGACTTCGCTATATCACGCATTGTTACTAGAATTCCACTGTGCCATGTACAAAATCATGTCAGTTTGAGAACTATCAATCACGTGGTCTATTTGGCAAATTTTGGATCTGCCCTTCAATTTTGGGCAGTCAGCTCAGGCTGCCATAATAAAACATCACAGACTTCGTGGCTTAAATTATAGAAATTTGTTTTCTCCTAGTTCTAAAGCCTGGAAAGTCCATGATCAAGGTTCTGGGCAGGGTTTGAACTCTGGTGAAGGCTTTCTTTCCAGCTTGCACACAGCCACTTTTGTCCCCATGCGGCCTTTTCTCTGAGTGTGCATCTCTCTCTTCCTCTTTCTATAAAGACATCAGTCCTATTGGATTAGGGTTCCATCCTATGACCTTCTAATGACACCATCTTCCTAATTACCTTCTAATGACACTATCTCCAAATATAGTTACATTGGTTGTTAGGGCTTCAACATATAAATTTTAGGGGGACAGTATTCCATCCATAGCTGGCACTAAGAAAGATGAAGAAAGATTAATAGAATTTAAGAACTGATGTACAGCCATGTGTAGCAGCAGGGCTATGAATGTAGAAGATAGAGCTTATGTAAACCTATTCATTTTCTTACTGAGCAGTTGAAATTAGAATCCCAAATTCAACTAAACATTTTTTAAAGGAATATGTTACTGCTGAATCAAAAGAAAATAAATTACATATGAAGATGAAGATGCACCATCCAGACCCTCCTTCAAGAAAGTACTTGTTGCTGAGCTGCTGGGAATGCCATCTGAAGACAGACTTTGGGGTCAGCTCCTGCAAGAATTGCTTTAGTTGTAGACAGCCCCTCTCCCAAGGCTACATTCTTCTTAGGACAGCCGGTATCCAAAGACAGATTGAGGCAAGAGTATTACGAGATTGTTATTTCGACACAGTGTGTGACAGCTCTAAGGAGCCATTTTAACTCGAGTTCCTATTATGGTTGTCTGGACCCGTCATTGGGCCCACAACCCTACCACTTCACCCTCCATTCTGAGGTTGTTAATCCCATAGCACACTTTAACAAACATCCTGCACACTATACCTCATCTCAACCTGTAATAGCTTAGGATCCAGTTTCATATTATTTAAAAACATTACAAAAGATGATCAAAAGCAAAAGAATGATACTGTTTTTAAGTATATTGACAACTAATCTTGCATCCTGATTCATTTGACCCATCACTGTTTCCAATAATTTCTATTTTCTAAAGTACAAATATGTGTGTGTATAATTTTTTCAAAAATTGTTTATCTGTTTTTTGACTAAATCATAGTCTTTTTTCCATGTCAGCACATAGTTTTACAGTACATAGACAGTTTCAACCTTCTTTTTGCCCCATTTTTTTTCACCCTAATTGAGGTAAAATTAGCAAACAAAAATTGTGTATATTCAAGGTGTACAAAATGATGTTTTGCTATGCATATACATTATGTAATGATTACCACACAAGCTAATTTACATATCCATCACTTCACATAGTTACCTGTGTGTGTGATCTACTCTCTTAGCACATTTTGAGCATAAAATATATTACTATTAACTGTGGTCATCATGCTGTAAATTAGGTATCCAGAACTTATTCATGTTAGAACTGCAAGTTTGTACTTTCACTAAAATCTCCTCTTCCCCTCCTCACTCCAGCTACTGCTGGTAACTACTCTTCTACTCTCTGTTTCTATGAGTTCGACTTTTTTAGATTCCATATATAAGCGAGATTATACAGCATTTGTCTTCCTGTGTCTGGCTCATTTCACCTAGCATAATGTCCTCCAGGTTCATCTACATTGTCACAAATGTTAGAATTTACTTCATATTTAAGGCTGAATACTGTTCTTGTGTGTGTGTGTGTGTGCATATACATATATTTGTATGTACATGCCTACATATATACATACCAAATTTTCCTTATTCATTCATTTACTTATAAATATTTAGGCTGTCTCCATATCTTGACTATTGGTGAATAATGCAGCAGTGAACATGTGAGTGCAGCTATTTAAAAAAAATTTTTTTATTTCAATAGCTTTTGGGGAGCCAGTGGTTTTTGGTTACATGGATAAGTTATTTAGTGGTGATTTCTGAAATTTTATTGCACTTATCACCTGAGCAGTGTACACTGTACCCAAAATGTAGTCTTAATCCTCACCCTCCACTTCCCACTTTTCCCCCTGAGTCCCCAAAGTCCAGTCTATAATTCTCATGCCTTTGCATCCTCGGAGCTTAACTTCCACTTATAAGTGAGAACATACAATATTTGATTCTCCATTCCTAAGTTACTTCACTTAGAATAATGGTCTCCAATTCCATCCAAGTTGCTGCAAAGGCCATTATTTAGTTCCATTTTATGGCGAAGTAGTATTCCATGGTGTATATATACCATATTTTCTTTATCCACTCGTTGGTTGATGGGCACTTAGGTTGGTTCCATATTTTTGCAATTGTGGATTATGCTGCTATAAACATGCATGTGCCTGAGTTTTTTCACATAATGGCTTCTTTTCCTTTGGGTATTTGGGTAGCTATTTTGTTGAGATAGTGATTTTATTTCCTTTGGCTATATACCCAGAAGTGAGATTACTGTATCATATGGTATTTCTATTTTTAATTTTTTGGAAGAACCTCTCTACTGAAATAATGTACTGATTATAGCTGCATGTCTCTTTTAGTCTTTAGTATATTTTAATTCAGTCCTCTGCCCTTTTAGGAGGGTGGAGGGTGCTTTCATGACATTATGATTTTTGAAGAGTCAAAACCAGTTTTTCTATAGAATGACCTTCAATTCAGATTTGGTTGATTGTTTCTTCATAATTAGTTAATATTACATCGATGACATTACATCCTTCAATGTATATTATATCAAGAGCCATGGATTATGTCAGTTTTCCCCATTGATAATGTTACTGTTCACTAGACATCACCATTTTAAAGGCCCCTTTCAAGAAGAAAATGTTGATGAAGATTTATATAGGTTAAAACTCCTCCTTTCTCACTGAAACAATTTCTTTGTTTTTACACATCAGCTTATTTCCCAAAACCATACTAATCCACATCACATGACAAATGATGGGGACAGTATCAAAAGATCTGGGGAAAGTAATTTGAAAACGTGACATACAGTCTCAGCTTGAAAATGTTTGTCTTTAAAAAATACCAACCAGTAATCTTATCTTCTTATTGTGGCCTTTTGTCATTTTATGCCATATAGTGTCTACTCAAAAATACTTGGAAAACTTTGCTCAAGGATCTGAAGTCTCTCCTCACCTCTTGTCTTCTAAGATACTGCTTCTATCTCTGTGTGTCCTCTTTAATATCTAATAAAACTAAAGTGGATCAGATGATCAACAGCATTACATAAATTCTATATATCAGATGAGGAAAAGTGAAGGTAAACCCAAAAAGCTAAGAAACAATGTAAGGGAGGAGCTAAGATGGCCGAAAAGGAACAGCTCCGGTCTACAGCTCCCAGCGTGAGCGACGCAGAAGATGGGTGATTTCTGCATTTCCATCTGAGCTTTGAAGAGAGCAGTGGTTCTCCCAGCACGCAGCTGGAGATCTGAGAATGGGCAGACTGCCTCCTCAAGTGGGTCCCTGACCCCTGACCCCCGAGCAGCCTAACTGGGAGGCACCCCCCAGCAGGGGCAGACTGACACCTCACATGGCTGGGTACTCCAACACACCTGCAGCTGAGGGTCCTGTCTGTTAGAAGGAAAACTAACTAACAGAAAGGACATCCACACCAAAAACCCATCTGTACATCACCATCATCAAAGACCAAAAGTAGATAAAACCACAAAGATGGGGAAAAAACAGAGCAGAAAAACTGGAAACTCTAAAAAGCAGAGCGCCTCTCCTCCTCCAAAGGAACGCAGTTCCTCACCAGCAACGGAACAAAGCTGGACGGAGAATGACTTTGACGAGCTGAGAGAAGAAGGCTTCAGACGATCAAATTACTCTGAGCTACGGGAGGAAATTCAAACCAAAGGCAAAGAAGTTGAAAACTTTGAAAAAAGTTTAGAAGAATGTATAACTAGAATAACCAATACAGAGAAGTGCTTAAAGGAGCTGATGGAGCTGAAAACCAAGGCTCGAGAACTACCTGAAGAATGCAGAAGCCTCAGGAGCCGATGCGATCAACTGGAAGAAAGGGTATCAGCGATGGAAGATGAAGTGAATGAAATGAAGTGAGAAGGGAAGTTTAGAGAAAAAAGAATAAAAAGAAATGAGCAAAGCCTTCAAGAAATATGGGACTAGTGAAAAGACCAAATCTACGTCTGATTGGTGTACCTGAAAGTGACGGGGAGAATGGAACCAAGTTGGAAAACACTCTGCAGGATATCATCCAGGAGAACTTCCCCAATCTAGCAAGGCAGGCCAACATTCAGATTCAGGAAATACAGAGAACTCCACAAAGATACTCCTCGAGAAGAGCAACTCCAAGACACATAATTGTCAGATTCACCAAAGTTGAAATGAAGGAAAAAATGTTAAGGGCAGCCAGAGAGAAAGGTCGGGTTACCCACAAAGGGAAGCCCATCAGACTAACAGCGGATCTCTCGGCAGAAACTCTACAAGCCAGAAGAGAGTGGGGGCCAATATTCAACATTCTTACAGAAAAGAATTTTCAACCCAGAATTTCATATCCAGCCAAACTAAGCTTCATAAGTGAAGGAGAAATAAAATCCTTTACAGACAAGCAAATGCTGAGAGATTTTGTCACCACCAGGCCTGCCCTAAAAGAGCTCCTGAAGGAAGCACTAAACATGGAAAGGAAAAACCGGTACCAGCCGCTGCAAAATCATGCCAAAATGTAAAGACCATCGAGACTAGGAAGAAACTGCATGAACTAACGAGCAAAATAACCAGCTAACATCATAATGACAGGATCAAATTCACACATAACAATATTAACTTTAAATGTAAACAGACTAAATGCTCCAATTAAAAGACACAGACTGGCAAATTGGATAAAGAGTCAAGACCCATCAGTGTGCTGTATTCAGGAAAGCCATCTCACGTGCAGAGACACACATAGGCTCAAAATAAAAGGATGGAGGAAGATCTACCAAGCAAATGGAAAACAAAAAAAGGCAGGGGTTGCAATCCTAGTCTCTGATAAAAGAGACTTTAAACCAACAAAGATCAAAAGAGACAAAGAAGGCCATTACATAATGGTAAAGGGATCAATTCAAGAAGAAGAGATAACTATCCTAAATATATATGCACCCAATACAGGAGCACCCAGATTCATAAAGCAAGTCCTGAGCGACCTACAAAGAGACTTAGACTCCCACACATTAATAATGGGAGACTTTAACACCCCACTGTCAACATTAGACAGATCAACGAGACAGAAAGTCAACAAGGATACCCAGGAATTGAACTCAGCTCTGCACCAAGCAGACCTAATAGACATCTACAGAACTCTTCACCCCAAATAAACAGAATATACATTTTTTTCAGCACCACACCACACCTATTCCAAAATTGACCACATACTTGGAAGTAAAGCTCTCCTCAGCAAATGTAAAAGAACAGAAATTATAACAAACTATCTCTCAGACCACAGTGCAATCAAACTAGAACTCAGGATTAAGAATCTCACTCAAAACCGCTCAACTACATGGAAACTGAACAACCTGCTCCTGAATGACTACTGAGTACATAACGAAATGAAGGCAGAAATAAAGATGTTCTTTAAAACCAATGAGAACAAAGACACAACATACCAGAATCTCTGGGACACATTCAAAGCAGTGTGTAGAGGGAAATTTATAGCACTAAATGCCCACAAGAGAAGGCAGAAAAGATCCAAAATTGACACCCTAACATCACAATTAAAAGAACTAGAAAAGCAAGAGCAAACACATTCAAAAGCTAGCAGAAGGCAAGAAATAACTAAAATCAGAGCAGAACTGAAGGAAATAGAGACACAAAAAACCCTTCAAAAAATTAATGAATCCAGGAGCTGGTTTTTTGAAAGGATCGACAAAATTGATAGACCGCTAGCAAGACTAATAAAGAAAAAAAGAGAGAAGAATCAGATAGACGCAATAAAAAATGATAAAGGGGATATCACCACCGATCCCACAGAAATACAAACTACCATCAGAGAATACTACAAACACCTCTATGCAAATAAACTAGAAAATCTAGAAGAAATGGATAAATTCCTGGACACATACACCCTGCCAAGACTAAACCAGGAAGAAGTTGAATCTCTGAATAGACCAATAACAGGATCTGAAATTGTGGCAATAATCAATAGCTTACCAACCAAAAAGAGCCCAGGACCAGATGGATTCACAGCCGAATTCTACGAGAGGCACAAGGAGGAACTGGTACCATTCCTTCTGAAACTATTCCAATCAATAGAAAAAGAGGGAATCATCCCTAACTCATTTTATGAGGCCAGCATCATCCTGATACCAAAGCCGGGCAGAGACACAACAAAAAAAGAGAATTTAGACCAATATCCTTGATGAACATTGATGCAAAAATCCTCAATAAAGTACTGGCAAACCGAATCCAGCAGCACATCAAAAAGCTTATCCACCATGATCAAGTGGGCTTCATCCCTGGGATGCAAGGCTGGTTCAATATATGCAAATCAATAAATGTAATCCAGCATATAAACAGAACCAAAAACAAAAACCACATGATTATCTCAATAGATGCAGAAAAGGCCTTTGACAAAATTCAACAACCCTTCATGCTAAAAACTCTCAAGAAATTACGTATTGATGGGACGTATCTCAAAATAATAAGAGCTATCTATGACAAACCCACAGCCAATATCATACTGAATGGGCAAAAACTGGAAGCATTCCCTTTGAAAACTGGCACAAGACAGGGATGCCCTCTCTCACCACTCCTATTCAACATAGTGTTGGAAGTTCTGGCCAGGGCAGTTAGGCAGGAGAAGGAAATAAATGGTATTCAATTAGGAAAAGAGGAAGTCAAATTGTCCCTGTTTGCAGACGACATGATTGTATATCTAGAAAACCCCATTGTCTCAGCCCAAAATCTCCTTAAGCTGATAAGCAACTTCAGCAAAGTCTCAGGATACAAAATCAATGCAGAAAAATCACAAGCCTTCTTATACACCAACAACAGACAAACAGAGAGCCAAATCATGAGTGAACTCCCATTCACAATTGCTTCAAAGAGAATAAAATACCTAGGAATCCAACTTACAGGGGATGTGATGGACCTCTTCAAGGAGAACTACAAACCACTGCTGAAGGAAATAAAAGAGGATACAAACAAATGGAAGAACATTCCATGCTCATGGGTAGGAAGAATCAATATCGTGAAAATGGCCATACTGTCCAAGTAACTTATAGATTCAATGCCATCCCCATCAAGCTACCAATGACTTTCTTCACATAATTGGAAAAAACTACTTTAAAGTTCATATGGAACCAAAAAAGAGCCTGCATCGCCAAGTCAATCCTAAGCCAAAAGAACGAAGCTGGAGGCATCACGCTACCTGACTTCAAACTATACTACAAGGCTACAGTAACCAAAACAGCATGTTACTGGTACCAAAACAGAGTTATAGATCAATGGAACAGAACAGAGCCCTCAGAAATAACGCCACATATCACAACTATCTGATCTTTGACAAACCTGAGAAAAACAAGCAATGGGAAAGGATTCCCTATTTAATAAATGGTGCTGGGAAAACTGGCTAGCCATATGTAGAAAGCTGAAACTGGATCCCTTCCTTACACCTTATACAAAAATCAATTCAAGATGGATTAAAGATTTAAACGTTAGACCTAAAACCATAAAAACCCTAGAAGAAAACCTAGGCATTACCATTCAGGACATAGGCATGGGCAAGGACTTAATGTCTAAACCACCAAAAGCAATGGCAACAAAAGCCAAAATTGACAAATGGGATCTAATTAAACTAAAGAGCCTCTGCACAGCAAAAGAAACTACCATCAGAGTGAACAGGCAACCTACAAAATGGGAGAAAATTTTCGCAACCTACTCATCTGACAAAGGGCTAATATCCAGCATCTACAATGAACTCAAACAAATTTACAAGAAAAAAACAAACAACGCCATCAAAAAGTGGGCGAAGGACATGAACAGACACTTCTCAAAAGAAGACATTTATGCAGCCAAAAACCACATGAAAAAATGCTCACCATCACTGGCCATCAGGGAAATGCAAATCAAAACCACAATGACATACCATCTCACACCAGTTAGAATGGCAATCATTAAAAAGTCAGGAAACAACAGGTGCTGGAGAGGATGTGGAGAAATAGGAACACTTTTACACTGTTGGTGGGACTGTAAACTAGTTCAATCATTGTGGAAGTCAGTGTGGCGATTCCTCAGGGATCTGGAACTAGAAATACCATTTGACCCAGCCATCCCATTACTGGGTATATACCCAAAGGACTATAAATCATGCTGCTATAAAGACACATGCACACATATGTTTATTGCGGCATTATTCACAATAGCAAAGACTTGGAACCAAGCCAAATGTCCAACAATGATAGACTGGATTAAGAAAATATGGCACATATACACCATGGAATACTATGCAGCCATAAAAAATGATGAGTTCACATCCTTTGTAGGGACATGGATGAAATTGGAAATCATCATTCTCAGTAAACTATCACAAGAACAAAAAACCAAACACCACATATTCTCACTCATAGGTGGGAATTGAACAATGAGAACACGTGGACACAGGAAGGGGAACATCACACTCTGGGGACTGTTGTGGGGTGGTGGGAGGGGGGAGGGATAGCATTGGGAGATATACCTAATGCTAGATGACGAGTTAGTGGGTGCAGTGCACCAGCATGGCACATGTATACATATGTAACTAACCTGCACATTGTGCACATGTACCCTAAAACTTAAAGTATAATAATAATAAATTAAAAAAATAAAAAAAAAGAAAGAAACAATGTAATGCAGATTAGCACCAGATGGGCCCTCCAAAGTTAGAAAAATGAAGGGTGTTAGAAGGTACATTGAAAAGGGAAATGAAAAAAGGAGAGAGGCACAAATGAAAGCAAACTAACTCCAAGTTTCTGTGAATAGCTCATCCCAAATCCAGTAGCATATTTCTCTTTTAATACTAGAATCAGCCAATTTTGGTTTGAAATTCTGGCTCTTTTCTTTCATCACTGTTTGATCCCAGGTAAGTTACCTAATTAATCTCCCTAAGCCTTATTTTCCTCATCCAGTAAATGAGAATAATAACACCTATACTGCATAATCATTGTAAGGATTAATTATATTGAGTGCTCAATTCCTAATTTTCCATAGCTATTAAACAAATGGTATCTGTTGTTATAACTATCACTATGAACCTTTTTATGGTGCTTTGCAGTGTATAGACAATATTCCTATCAGACATTATCTGATTCAATTATTGCAAAAAACATTTACAGATAAGAAATGGAGGGTCAGTAAGATAAGCAAAATTAGTAAATTTTCAAGTCACATGTTGAAAAACATTTGGTTTTGGGAACCAAAACCCAAGTCTATTGATTTTTAACTAACATTTTCTTCACTATACCATGATAAGTTAAGAGTGAAGCAATAGTGCTATCTTCCTGCAAGAAAAAAGTATAATTATTCTTAAGTCTCTAAAGTAGATGAATAAATAGAAGTTGCATAGTTTATATAATGGTAATATTAATTAATGGAAAATGTGTACTCCAAATCAAAGAAAAGAAACCACTAAATGGAATTGTAAGAAACAGTATTTCTTAGAAACAAAATGACTATCAACTTTTCCTCATAGAAGACATTATTCTCAAATATATGTCTGAAGGCTAAACCATTGTTCCTTTGTCTTTTTTAAGAGCTACAACAAAATAGATTTTATAAACATGATTATCAGATGTTCTAGCACTATTTGGCATGACTTCATGCTTGTTATAGAATTAATTGTTCTTTCTAGTTGGCTTGGTGGGCACTTGTTTATACTCAGATGAATTAATTAATTATGCAAATGATCAATTGTACAACTATTTTAATATATAAACTCTGTGCTAGTCTGTGCCTGTATGAAATGACTTGTGTCTATGTGATGTTTAATCTATTGAAATATGTGAATAAAAACATATAAATAAATCATATAAATATTAATTGAGTTCTACTGTATGCCTTATACTGTGCTTGGCTGCAGATTAACAACAACATGTAGTTGCCCTCAAAGAGATTGCAGTTTGCTGGAAGAAAAAAATGAAGAGACAAAAAATATCATGTAATGTACACCAATGAAATTTAATAAAGTCTAGTTTGTGATATAGGTCACAAAAATAACAAAAACACGTATTTCAGGGTTCTGTTTCTTTTTCTGAAAATAGCTGAGGGGAGACAGTGAGGATTAGGCATCTTCAGAACAGCTCTCTAGCTCTGTGGATCAACCACTGTGCTGAGTCATGGGCCTCTGGGTACTCCCCTGCCTGTGGTCTTGTTCCTTGGAGTTGGTTTCCTGTAGAGTCAGCAGAAATGACTTCTAATCCAAGGCCACCTTGCTCTTAGTCAAGGGGCTTTTGAAAGAGTTGTGTCAAAGTATATGCCATGGGCCTTGTAGGGTAAACTGATAAATATATATATCGTTTTTTTAAACCAAGTTTTTCCTCTTAATTAGGTGGCTTTTCTACAATATAAAGATGGAAATGGGAAGAAGATGTTCATTGCAAATTAAGGTAATGTTCAGAGGCTATAAAAATGTGATCGGATACTTGGACAAAGGCAGTCCCTTTTGTGTGACTTTTTGTCTCTGATCATTTGCTATTTTAAGCCATCATAATCATCGGATTCCTATATTACACTTATTTATGGTTTATAAAGTATTTTCATGCATTACTTTTTCTAATACGACACTGTGAAATAGAATGAGTATTCTATTCTCCTTTGACAAATGGGGAAACTGAGACATCACAAATTTATTTAATTTAATATCACATAGCGTATAAAGGCTGATCTGAGCATAAAACTCTATTATTCAGGCTCTAAAATTATTGCTTCTTTGACTCCAAAACACCAGTTTTATGCTGTGCCATCCCAAGTATTATGGTGCCTTTTCCTCTGCTCTTTTTTTTCTTCTTCTACTCTCCTCTCCTTCTCTCTATTTCTTTTATTTCTGTCTCTTCCTTTTTTCTCACTACATTCTCCATGCCCCATTCTTTGTCTTTCATTTCCTTTCAAGCCTATGAGGGGCAGGAGTCTGGCAGCCAAAGCAACAAAGAACCACTTCCACGGAAAAAGAGTAATGAGAAGTAACATGGGCTTTTATATATTAACAGTTCTTGCAAACAGTAACCAATTTCCAATGTTATTTTCTGTCTGCTCCCGCCCATTTTTGAGTGAGTCCAAAACAAGGCCAACTAGGAACATCTGTGTATAAAGCATAACAAAAATAACATGTGTCACGTATGTGACGATGATACAAGAATGACTTTATTGCTTGTGCTTTTATAACTACAGTCTAAGAAGGATAACTGGGAAGTGGGAGATGGAACAGAAAAGTCATCTTAAGCACAGTATTTCCATTCCTCTTTTCTAGACTGAGGTAATACGCCTTCTACTTCCACTAACTTTTTGTTTCTGCCTCTTTAAAACATTTGTTGAGATTTGTATTTGAAACTCTTTTTGGAAATAACTGGAACATGCACTTACTTCAGTAACATGCAGAACATTCAGTCCCCAACTCTCCAGAGTTCCAGAATGGCCCCTTTTGGAGTTTACAACTCATCCACCCATCTGTGCATTTGTTCCCCAGAGACCAGAGCGAAGCCAACAAAGATGAAAGTCTTTGCGAGTCTGTGCTTTTGAACATTAAACTACTGGATCTGGAGTCAGAAAAATTCTGCATTACAGATTTAAGATCTCCCTTTAGTATTTTGTGACCTTGATAAAAAAAAAAAAAGCCACTTAATTTCTCTGCAATTTCCTTACCTGCAAAATGAAGAGACTGGACTAGAACAGACCCCTATGATTTTAAGATATTGTAGGAATAGCTTGTGTTTCCAATGCCCTGAAATGCTGAAAAAAAAATGCAGAAGGCCACTTGGGTAGATGGAAATCACTTTCCAGTTTATTTTTCACTGATTTTTACAATAACATTATAATAGAACAGATGTTTTTAAGGATTAATGAGTGATAGATATAAATTGCCATAATAATATTGCTTTACTGTTTTCATCCTGGTTCATTAACTGTCATTAGAGCTACCATGTGACTTGTATTTTGCATGTTCTGTGATGTAATCATCTAGTAGCTGTATTCCTTCCTCCACCAAAGGGTCCCCAAGCCTACCATTTGAATCAATGGAGGTGTGAAATTCATTTCCAGATAATCTCTTTAGGAGATCACAAGGTCATTGGTTCTCATCAAGAATATGGATGAGGAAAACAAGATACTAGAATAGAGCAAGAAAAAGAGAAGCCAATTCCCACTGCTCCCTGAAGTTTAAATAGTTCCCCTGTGATTTCAACCTCAGTTCTGTTCTGCTTTTAATTTAAAACCATTCTCTACCAGGCAACTGATTTTTGCTAGTCTCTTGGGTGATTTTCTAAGACAGATTTCACTGTATTCTACCCTTGTGTGTGCACTTAGCTCCCATTAGCAGTAATGGGTGTTATGCATGTATAGCTCCCATTAACAATAATGGAAATTATGCATGTGCATCCAGAGGAAAGGATGCTCCCCAATGTTGGAATTTTTTCCGAAGGAAAAGTACTCCTTATGCAGCATTTGGCTTTTGTTTTAGGCTCTTTATTGTGGTGACGATTTGTGCTGCAGAGAATGAACATGGTGTGAAAGACTGCCAGCTTCCCCGTGTGCAATCTGTACAGTATTTTTTAAAATCTTGTCTTATAATTTTTTGCGTGACTAAAACAACAGTCAGGCAACAGTCAGGAAAAACTTGTTAAAGAGGTAAAATAGATCCAGATCAATTAATAAAGGGTCATGAATGGGGGCTAAATAAGTCTCTTACAGCTAGGAATTCTGGTAGGTAATGTCACCTGTTTCAAGATAACAAAGAGTAGATTTGTACAGATGGAAAAAATAATCCTTTAAAAATAACCAAGTGCTATTTATGCAGACCATAATAACATTCCTCCAGATGAATGTGTCTTAACCCGAAGAGACAATTTTTATCATAACACATTGATAAAAAATGGTAGGCCAAAGGTGATATTATAAGGGGCTGTGAATCATTGGCATATTAATTTTAGAACAAATTGTGCAAAAAAGAATCTTTAATATGAAGTCAAGAATATGATTCATCTTCATCTTTATGAGTGGTAGAATACATTTAATACTTGAAATGTTTTTGAATTGTCAAAGTGAGGGTCTAAGTAATTTATCTCTTCTGAGAGTGCCTTTTGCTGAATATCCAGTATTATTGTTCATTTGTAAGATAAACTTGTCTGTGTCTAGTCTTGGACAACCCCTGACAATGCTTGGTGATGAATAAAGTCAGACTCTGTGTAAGAGTTGGGTTTTGATAGTAAGAGTGAGGCATATAAAAAGCCCTGGAGTGTTTAAGAGCACAAGCTTTGGGGAGAGATCCACCTGCATTTAAATGCTGACCCTGTCACCTGGGAATTTATTTTACTTCTCTGAGCCCAAGTTACCTCGTATGTAAAATGAGAATCATAATTCTTATCTTGTAGTTGTGAGGATTAAACAAGATCTAAAATTGCATTACCAGAACTATTATTAACAATTATTAATCTATTTAGGGAAATAAAATTTGACAGTACTAGATGTCAAAACATTTCTCTAGCCATATCATGTGGACCAGTATCAAATTATCTCAAATCTGTTGTGTAATTTAAATACGATCTATTTTTTATTATTTAACAATAAACATGCCTGTCATAACCTGTACTTCTATTTTTAGGGGAAGAATAAACATAACAATATTCTCAGGAAAAGAACCCCAAATACACAGGTTGACATCTACTTTATTTTTCATACTAACCAAACTTAAATCATTATAAACTTTAAATTTTTTTAAAAACATACAGCTACACAATTTTTCTGAAAGTGATGAGAACTCATATTTTCTTTTTCTTGTTTCCTTAGCATTATGATATTTAATGTGCAAAAATTTATAAGCAAGGAACTTCTTTGCAAAGTTTATACATACATTCTTACTGTTGCTGTCTTGATAATGCAACATCATGTAAAAATATAGATTTTACCCATTAATTTCATAGATTAGCTAGTCACTTAGCATATTGCTTTGGAGGGACAGACTATCTGTGTGATTAGGGCATACCTAATCAATCTCCCTACACCTTGATTCTTCATCTGCAAAATTAGAAAAGTAGTGTTAACTTCATCAGGTTGTTTTCAGAGTAAATACATTAACATATAACATATGTGGTGTTGACAAGTTGATTCTCCCAGGAAGGTCTTGAGAATGGAGAGAGCAGCCTTAAGAAGGAACCACAGCTGTAGGCTATGGGAAGCCAGCACTGCAGAGAGGTACTTTGCTCCTGAGGAAACACTGGGGTGGGAAACTAAGTGATGATGAGAATGCGGAGGATTCTATGAGGCGATAAAGGATGTATATTTTGCTGATTGCTCAGATTTTCCTGGGAACAGTGATATGGATTGGCTTTGTGTCCCCATCAAAATCTCATCTCCAATTGTAATTCCCACATGTCAAGAGAGGGACCTGGTGGGAGGTGATTGGATCATGGAAGTGGCTTCCCCTATGCTGTTCTCATGATAGTGAGGCAGTGCTCATGAGATCTGATGGTTTAGTTCCTACTCACTGTCTCTCTTCTGCCACTATGAAGAGGGTACTTTGCTTCCCCTTCACCTTCCGCCATGATTGTAAGTTTCCTGAGGCCTCCCCAGCCATGCAGAACTGTGAGTCAATTAAACCTCCTTTCTTTGTAAATTACCCAGTCTCAGGTAGTATCTTTATAGCAATGTGAGAAGAGAGTAATACAGATAGCATAGCCAGCTGTAATTAGTACGTGCCTTGGTTCTTTTCAGAGAGATTTGCCCTGATGCTAACAGGTGAAGCTTATTTCCAAAAGATATCCTCTGTTTTGTCCTAGGATAGATGTTGAATTACAATTTTATCATGGCCAATGACTACATTAAACAATTCCCCCTTTAATGCCTGATTTTTGGAAAGATTCATTTTTTTAAAACAGAAAAATTGCATTAATGATTGGGGTCCTCATTTTTGTGACATGTGTATCTGTTAATCAGGATTTGTGATTATGTCTAGATAGAGTTTCCACAGAGTTGATATAATTTGTCTTAATTTTTTTAAAAAAGGAATTATCTAGAGTTTTTTTTTACTAAATATTTAATTTAGATTTTATTATTTATTTTTGAAACAGTGAACATAGCTCGTGGACCCCTTGAGGATCTATGAACTTGAACTTGTTACTATTGCTTATATATCACTACGTATAAAATCTGTGCATGCTGATTTGCTGAGGTTCCGATAGAGCCATTGGGTAACTAATAATCAGTATCCCAAAGACTCTCTATCCTCTTATTACTTTCTTTTTCTTTTATAGCACTTATTACCACCTGCACCTATATGTTTTGCTTTTGTTCCTTGTCTGTCACTGTGAGAGCAGTGACTTTGTCTATTGTTCTTACTGCTGTATCTCTGTGACCTAGATCATTGTCTGGCATACAGTAGGTCCTCAATACCTGCTTGTTGAATGAAGTAGTTGATAATTGCTTCTTTTCAATAGCTACATTCTCCTGTATCAATGCAATGGGAGAAACAGGAGGTTTCTGTGTGGTTCTGTCTGCAAGATAGGCAGCATGGTACTGCGTACCAACTCCATCTCTTCGGCAAAAGATGTAGGTGTGAGCCCAACCTTTTCCATGAGCTATTTTGGCACGTCAGTTAATCTCTCTGAGCCTTGGATTTTGGATCTGTGTGAAGGGGATAATAATACTACTCTCACAGGTTGCAGTAAAGATGAAGCATGATAATATATATCCTACTGTTTCGTGGACTGCAAATCTTAGCTGTTACTAGCATATGGCATCACTGGAAAAAATGAGACATTTGGGACATCGTCCAAATAGTTGTGCTCTGCCTCTAAAAGCTATATGAGCTTGGGGCAAATCTCTTAACTTTTCTAGGTCTCAATTTCTTCACCTGCAAGAGAGTTGTTATTAATGATCCCAAATGTGCATCCAGCTATGAAAATCCATGTCACTAAAGACTACATTTTTCTTTTCACATTCCTTCCTGTGGTTAGGGATCATATAGGTGTTCCTACAATTTCTATGAAAATGCCATAAAAGAGATTTAACATCAGGTGTTTGCTTCATTTTCTTATCACCATTAGGCATTGTCCTACTTAGCGTGACAAATTCACTGCCTAACAGTGCTCATGTTTTCAGTATCTTTTACTACAGCCGCCCCAAGTAGCTACAAGGAGCACCTTTCCCCGCATAATTACTACTGTTGACGTGAGACAGCACATTTGACAGAGGCGGCTTGCTGTGTTGGCAGGAAGGGTGCCGAGTTATCCTGGAATCTGGCCTTTCACATTCACATTATTCTGCCTTTGGAAGAAGGTGCCCTCCACCCCTCACTAAATGTGAGAAAGAAAACTGCTTTGCCTGTACAGAACACTCTATTTACAGAGACTTTCTGAGGGGATTATGACAGCCATGGGCTGGATTTATGGGTGAGCTGTGCTTACCAGGTCACATCTTACATCGCAGGCTGATGAAACTCACTGTTCATGTTAACCGTCTGTGCTCTCTACACGGAGTGGAGCCCGTGCCTTCCCCTAGGAATCAGGAACGGAGGGCTGGGGAAGCTTCTGCTTTGCATTGAGGAGCTTGATAGCATGCAGCGGGATGCTGTTCTTAGGAAAGGAAACTTCCTTTAGGGCAACTTTTTTCCCCCCACATAGCAGATGTAGAATTCCTCTGTACCTGTTTAAAATCCTTGTTGGGGTTGCTAAACAGCAGATATACATGAAGCTATTGGGAACTAGGAGTGAATGTGGGCAGAACAATGCCTGGGTGGGTAGCTACACATTGGATTTTGGTGTGATAGGCGGAGTGACAGAGACTGCAAAGATCAACTGGTCTTCAAGTACCTTATATTTCAATTTAATAAAATGTTTTAAGGCTTGCCATAATCTCATTCCAATTTGTAGGTCTACTCTTTCCCACTTTTCCCCAGAATATGTACTTAATTCCAATCAGGCAAATCTTACAGTCTTTAATAAGTCACATTCAAGTTCACCTGGTGTTACTTTGCTCATGTTATGCCTTTGGTCTAGAGAAATTCATCAAATTCTACTACTTCTTTTAAGTTACAGATCAAATGCTGCCTGTATCATTTGACCACAAAAAGCTATATAAATGTTTCCTTTCTCTGAACTATTACTATATTTTATGCTTACTTGTCAGATTTAACTCCCTCATAAATTATATAGCCCTTGATGTCAGAACAAAGGTATATACTTTTTCCAATTTCTCATGATCCTATGTGAATGTTGGAAATCTAGTCAGTTCACACAATTTTCTTGTTTTTTGTTTGCAAAATTCTAAATGGTTTTTAACAATTTTTTCTCCCGTATTAAAATGACAGTAGTTTTGATCTACAATACTGTGTCTTTTATTTTGAATTCTTCTTTTTCAATTTGTAAAGAGCCATGCACAGAGTCTAGCACAGGCTCTGGCATATACACGTGCTCAAGAAATGTTAGCTTTACCAACTCCACTTTCACTGGCTTTGTTTCTTGTGGCAGGTTGCTATGTCAACATAGAACATGTTTTATGCTTACTTCTTCCAAAACAGTTGCCCCCACATCCTTCTCCAAGGTCTTCAGAAAGAAGGGCAACCATAATTCATTTTCTTTCAGTCACTGTCTTCTTTCTTTGCCCCCTCACGATAATTCTTTCTGCTAGTCAGTATTATTTCCGGCATCTTCTAAATTTATTTTTCCCTTTAACCAATGTGCCAGCTTCTTTCCCCTGGAAATCTTCCATAATTAATGGACTGTTTATGCATAACCATAATATTATAAATGCCTTAAGAAAAACTATTATCAGTGATCATATAGTTGGGCATTTTTTGTGCATTTCTTTCCAAAATGGTGGCAAGATCTTTCAGTTATTGGGTTTCGTATATATAGAATGCATTCAAAGTCATTTGCTTAGATTTTCCTAATGCTTCCTAATCATTCTTAATTAATTTCAGATATAAATAGAATGTGACATTTTTCTGTTTAAAAAAATTTTATTTAGCACAAAAGTACGGCATGCAACAGCTGTTTGAAAAGAACCCAAAATGAAGAATTATAGCATCATGAACTGAAAGATTAATTATGTTTCTTATTAATTTGTTTTTGTTTTTGAAACTAGTTTGAATTTCTTCTAAAACTTGATATTTTTGGGAAAAGGACACAAGCTCTCTTAAAAAGTATTGTATTGTGGAATTAGATCCATGTGAGTTTCTGGCTCTGCCATTCCCTAATCAGATGACTTTAGACAATTTATTTAACTTCCCCGGGCCTCGCTTTTCTTGTATGTAGAATGGGTATAGAAGAGTTGCACCTACCTTTAAGATTTTTGAGTTTATTAAATTAAATAGTGTTTGTAGGAGACAACACAATGCTTGCCATATAGTAGACACTTGTTACAACTCTGGAGTGATTGTTTCAAACTTTTCTTATTTTATGGCATACCAATAATTTCCCAGGCACCTAACTTAGTCTGACATTATTTGTAGCTTTGTATTCACTGGAGCCTGCCAGCTGTAGCCCTTAGGAAGTTGCAGAACTGAGGCTCCATTAATTGAATTGTTTGCCAATGACTTAAGGGCTCCCCATGAAAACTAGACAGAAATGTGAGGAGGTTTAGCCATAAACAAAATATATAAAGGAGAAAATTAATTCATGGTGTCTATTGCCTTAGCATTTACTTTTTCTATCTCATTGTTTACAACTGTCATGTGCCTGGGTATGTGTGACAGCAGCTGTAATGGGATATGGCATTAATTCAGTTCACAGACATAAGTTTCAAGCATAATATGGTTACAGGTGGCCATGGTGATAAATAACAAGGGGCAGTTCAAGCAAAGAGTCAGAGAGCTCTAACATGGAGTACTTTTTACTCCATTTTATTTATTCATTCATTTATTCATTTTTATTCATCAAATATTTATTAAGGAACTTCTATGTTTCAGGCACCGGTCTAGGTGCCTGGGATATTTAAGCAAACAGAGGCAGAATTTCCTGTGGCAGAAGCTTAAAGTCTAGAAGAACAGAACAAAACAGAGTAAATATATAATCAAGTAGAACAGATACACAATCAAATAGAGCAAATATACAATAAATAGGACAGATACACAATATAATGATAGGAGAAGTATAGAAAGATAGAAGAGTATAGAGAGGAACCTACCTGATATATAAATGATGGAAGGTCTCCTTAAAGGAGTGCTATTTAAGCTGAATAGGCAATAGCAAGAGGGAAATGTATCTTGTTTCATGGAGAGGAAAGTATGTATGAAAAACCACAGGGGCTTGCGTGAGCATGCTGAGAATGAGGGCCTGCAAGGCAAGCTAACATTTTGTCACCCCTTAAAAAGGATATTTAAACAACTATTTATTCAATATTTATTTCTTGGGGCCAGGGAGAAATTGATTTTTCTATTAAGAAAAATTGTATGCAAAACACATTCACCTAGTAATTCACTTCAGCTGGGTCAAAGCAGAGTTTATTTTGTGGAATTATTTAGCAAAACGTTCCCCATTTTCTTCTCTTTCTTCAGTTTACGTGTGTTTTGAGCCAGAGAACTTCTTGGGAGGTGTACTAAAAAAGCAAAATTTAGATAATAAAATAAATGACTCATCCCTGATAAACAACACTATGCCACATATTATTTGGGTTTAGAAATTTAGCTTGCTGCCAACTTTCAGCTGTTACTCTAAATATATTTTGCAGAACTACTTAAGAAATCAATTTGTGTAGGGGATGGGAGAATATTTTTATTTACATTTGATAATGCTGACTCCCTTTCCAGGAGCAACATCAGTGTACATTTTGCATTAAACAAGGAGTTGGGCCGGGCGCAGTGGCTTGTCCCTGTAATCCCAGCACTTTGGGAGGCCGAGACGGGCAGATCATGAGGTCAGGAATTCAAGACCAGCCCAGCCAACATGATGAAACCACGTCTCTACTAAAAATACAAAAATTAGCTGAGCGTGGTGGCAGGCGCCTGTAATCCCAGCTACTGCAGAGGCTGATGCAAGAGAATCGCTTGAACCCAGGAGACAGAGGTTGCAGTGAGCTAAGATCGTGCCATTGCACTCTAGCCTGGGCGACAGGCAAGATTCAGTTTCAAAAACAAACAAACAAACAACAACAACAACAACAACCGAGGAGTTGGAGAGCCAAGTTAGTGAGCCTGATATTTCTAATGTGCTCTAATAAGGTGAGCACCCCAGCTGGTGCAACACCCAATCAGGTCCTTAAATAAATGACTGGAGCATAAAGTACGAAGGAAGAGTATGTGAGACGAGACTGAAAAGGTGAATGGGGGCCAGGCACAATGACTCATACCTGTAGTCTCAGCTACCCCAGGAGGCTGATGTGAGAGGATCACCAGAGCCCAGGAGTTCCAGGCTGCAGTGAGCCATGATCACGCCACTGCGTTACAGCCTGGGTGACAGAATGAGACTCTTGTCTGAAAAAAAAAAAAAAAGTAAATGGGGTTTAATTATGAGGGGCCTTGTATGATATATGAGGAGTTTTCAGTTTGTCTGTTAAAAAACGTGAGACCATGGAAGAGTCTTAAGCAAGAGAATGACAAGGCAAAATTTTTCGTCTAGAAAGATCTTTCTTGCCTCAGTGTGGACCAAAGCCTGGGAGAAAGACTTCAAAAAGGAAAATGCATTAATAGAATGTTGAAACGATTGAGGTGAGAAATGATAGTAGCTTGAATGATAGTGGCTTGAATTCCATCAGTAAGGATGCAAAAAAGTAGAGTTTAGGGAGTGTGTCAACACTCCCTAATACCAGAAATATTAGGGTAGGCATTATCAGGTGAACCTATTGTCAGGTAACGAAGCTCCATCCCCTAGAATGGAGTTCAAGGGCAGGACTACTCCAGTCCACGGTCACAAGGCATGAATGGTAATGGTGAGATAAGCTTTAATATCCAATATGTGAGGAATTATAGACCTCCAGGTAATTACAGTGGGGATCCTGGTGATGGAACTGACATGCCAGGTAGAGACCTTTTTAAGTAAAAGAGTATGAGAACAGGAGTGTGCGGGTGGGGGTGATAGTGAATGCTACAATTCAGTGAGGATGTGGATCTGTGAGAGAACTGTCTGAGGGTTTTCATGACACAGTCTTGTATCAACAGCTAGTTGGAAAGAATTTAAGAGACTAGAATGCTAATAGCTGATAATGGCATAATGTTTTACATATTCAGTTTTTGCCTTCCTCTGCACAGCAGTCAGAATTGTTAAATAGAAACCTGATCATGTATTCCTCTGCTTAAGACATTTGGGGGTTAGGGGTTGGATCAAGACCAAAACCTTCCTTATGGTTTACACAGCCCTGAGTATTCTAGCTCCTGGGTCACCTTTTGACCTCATCTTAAGGCATTCTCCTCTATCCCTAGGTTTCAGCCATCTGAGTCTTCGTCATTGTTTTAGTTTGTTTTGTTTAAAAATGTTAAACAATATTCTTCTTATTCCAAGACCTCCAGACATTCTGTTTTCTCTGCTTTAAAACTCTCTTCTCTTCCTTTCCATGTACTTTTAGATTTTAGCTTTAATGCTGCTTTCTCAGGAAAGTTCCCCTTGTTATATATTCTCATGCTAACCTTCACTTCTTTTTCATGACACTTATAATTATAATTAATCATTTCAGGAATAAGTACTCACATGTCTGTCTCCACAAATAAACTATAAACTTCAAGAGACGGAGAACTATGTATGCTTATTTGTTGTGCTATATCTTGTGGCTAGCACAGTGCCTGACATATATACACACACACACACACACACACACACACACACACACACACACACACACACACACATGATTAATAAATGTTTGTTAAATGAGTAGTTGAATCCATGGATTATTTTTATGTACGCTGTAGGTATGCCTTAATCCAAAGCATCAGTTTTCTAGTGGTAGCATTAAAGTCACCTAATAACAGAGAAACAAGCATCTTTGAATGGAAATGAGCCTTTCTAGTATCCTTTAAGTTATATTAATTAGGCAGTTACCTACTTTATTTAAGCAGAATGTTATCTTTGTTGAGCAAAAACCTAGTAGATAGAAAGAACAGAAATATACCTAAGCTAGTATGCTGAGGGAGGTAATCAGAGGGTAGGAGAGCTTGACCACTTAGTTTGAAGGAATGAGATCCATAAATACAGATCTTCCTAAGCAGAAGGAAGATATTTGAAAGACAGTTTTTTAAAATATTAATTGAAATTGTGAGTTGTTAATTTTTCTTCTTGAATTTTCCACCTCCTCTGTCCTTCATTCGAGCACATAACAAGTTCCCTACTTCCTTACCAGATGAAAGGTTTTTGGCAGGATTTTCTGGCTTCTGTTTGCCCACTGAGGATGATAGAATTTGAAGAGAGAGGAAATTGGTATCCCTGTGTGAAACCAAGAAAGACAGAAGGTTTCAAAAGAGAAAAAGAGCTTTCTCCAGGTTGGGGGTAAGGGACAGGTCTGCCTGTCCTTGAACAGAAGGGACTTTTACTTCTTCCCTGGAAGCACTCAAAAGTGTGGCAGGACATCAGGGAGCATATTCACATAGTTAACTAGGTAGGTTAGATGCCAAGCTTAGGTTCTCAGGCTTGTTCAAGATCCTCTTGAAGCACAAAGCATGGCATGGAAATGGCACACCAGTGAATCTGATGATATCACATGGCTGCAGCAAAATTCAGCTTTTACCAGTGTGGACAGATACCTCTAGTGATTAATGTCCTAATGCTTAGATATGGCGTAAAACCCAGAACCTCAGCACAAACCTGAAGGTGGGAAAAAGCCTAGAAATAACTGAGGTTGAATTTCTCACTAAGTTGATAGGAATAGCTACTCAGAATTGAAATTAAATGATTTACAGACAATAATGAAATGTAATTTTGCTTCAGATTTATACCTGCTACATTAAGCAAGTGAACAATAACAAAAAAGTTATATTAGTCTTCGCTTTCTAAGAGTATAGCTTATTTCTACTTAACAATTTTTAGAATTTTAAGTTGAGTTAAACTTGCAAAATATTTTCAGGAACTTAGCACTGAACTGTCTGCACTGAATCAACTGATCTCATCAATAATAGACAGCTCTTAACAGTACCTTAATGATAAGAGTAATAAAACCAAATTCATGGCCAAGTGCAGTAGTGTGTGCTTGTAGCCCCAGGTAGTTGGGAGGCTGAGGCAGGAGGATCACTTGACACTAAAAGTTCAAGTGCAACCTGGACAACACATTGAGACTCCCCCTCTTACACACACACACACACGGGCACACACACATCCTAATTCTAATTCACCATGCTGAACATGTCTATGGGGGCTACCCTTTTTATCTGGAAGAAAAAAAATTACACTGAGCACGAGTCTTCCAACAAAGAATGGATCTATTATCAGCTAAGAGTGACTATCTCAGTGAAACACAAAGGTATTACCTTAAGGCAGTCAGATCTATGTTCTCTGCTATAGGAATGTGCAAAGGCGATAAGCCTACTGTTAGGAGGAAGCTCATGAAAGGCTGGCAATATCAACTTATCTTTCCTTGGTGGAGAACTGATGGCAAACAAGTTAAATCTGGAAATCAGTATGTTGATTACTTATTTATTTGGCTTGATATTGAAATAAGCTTTTTCTATGTAATCATTCTTACTTGTGAATTCTTTTACTCTACTTTTTAAATTCTATTTTTTCAACAAATATTTATCGAGGCTCATTATATAAGCTAGACATTTAGTTAGGTGCTGTGGGAGACATAGAAATATATGAGCTACAGATTAAATACCCAAAGCATTTTTAACATCTAGAAAAATGATAACCCATGTACAAAAATGACTGTAACGCAAGGCAAGTAGTAAGTTTGTAAAAGACAGGAGAGAATGATATTGCTTCCTTTCCTTTTCCTTTCCTTTTCTCTCATCCTGTCTCCCTTTCCTTTCTCTTCTTTCCTCTTCTCTTCTATTTCATTTTCTTTCCATCAACACTGGTAAAGATGATGTATGAAACTGTCCTGAAAAAGTAGAAAATGCCAGGTTGGCAATTTCAGCCTCAGCTACCAACACTGGGTGTGCACACTGACAGTAGAATTTAGGGAGTGGCAAAGAGAGTGGGTTCTGTCAATTTATATGGAATAATGTTTCCCAAGGCAACCAGATGTGATTTTTTTTTGGCAAGTAAAAAGCCACACAGAAAGGCTGAGATGAGTTAAAATGAAGAAAGCAGGACCATTGGTACGTTGAAGCCAGCTCACATTATCAGAGATGCTTGTTGATTAATTAGGAATTTTGAAGCCAGTTGTAAAACTGTCGGTAGCTTGCAGTCAGCCTAATGGGAGTATGTACACCACAGAAATAGGTAACTACAATAAATTATGATTGTTTTAAGAACAGAAAGCTGTTTTACCAGTTCAACAATGGAAATAACACCAAGAGTTTTTTACCTTCTGATTTTCTTTTTATAAACAGGAAGCTCTTCCACGAGTTCACGAATGGAAATAACATCAAGAGTTTTTCATCTTCTTAGTGTGCAAGGTATGGATATTCTGTGTGTGAACTTCAAGAGTATCTAAGGGAGGCAATAACATGGTTGATAATATACCAGAGACTACAAACTGTCTGTGCATCCCAGAGGAACAGGAAGCTTGTGCAGGTGAAAAGACTGGAGGAGGAAGTATGTTGATGATACCCAGGAAGCCCACCTTCCACTTCTTTGGTCATCAGAAGTAAGAAAAAGGACAATTAAATAAGTGGTTAATAGTTGTTTAGAGAAAGAGAATTTTCACTTTATATGCCAGTCATTGATAATATTTGCCATAGTGGTTGCTGTTAAGTAAGTTTCTTCCTGCAGGCCTGTGAGAAGGCATAGTACATGAAAGTAGCAGTGCTTTCAACCTGATTATTATTATACAGTATGGACTTTTATTATATAACAAGCAATACTTACATTTTGTTATTTACTTATTTATTACTATACACTTACACATATGCAGACACAGTAATAAACATCTAAGTGGTACAAATAGGTACAAAACCAAAAATAAAAGTCTGCCTTCTAACTTCAGTAAGATGTTTCAGTCTCATCCTGGGTTCTACTGCCTTTAATATGCAATCAGCCACACTTCCCAAGGGGCTTTAGTCCCTTTTGTTAAAAAATAGTAATAAAGATCAAATCTAGGGGATAGAAGTAGAGATTTTAGTATTTTATATGAGAATTGGGGATGCAGCATGCTAATGAAGCCACCTGAGTTACAGGGCAGACTATTACTTTTCTTTTTAAATAACAGGTAACAATTCTATATTGTTATTTTCAATTTAACCAAGTTTTTATTTTAGCACTGAGAGTTTTTAATCTGATTTCTCCTTCCTCTGGTAGATTTGAGGTTATTTATTGTCACACCAAATAGCATTTTGTCTCCTATATTTAGAAGTCTTTTGTTTTTTTTTTTTTTTTTGAGATGGACTTTTGCTCTTGTTGCCCAGGCTGGAGTACAATGGCACGATTTCGGCTCACCACAACCTCCGCCTCCTGGGTTCAAGTGATTCTCTTGCCTCAGCCTCCTGAGTAGCTTGGATTACAGGCATGTGCCACCATGCCTGGCTAATTTTGTATTTTTAGTAGTGACGGGGTTTCTCCATGTTGGTCAGGCTGGTCTCGGACTCCCGACCTCAGGTGATCCACCTGCCTCAGCCTCCCAAAATGCTAGGATAGAAGTCTTTTCTTACTCTATTTTTGTCCCTTGCCTCAAGTACCCTAGAAGTGACTACCTACACAACTCCCCTTATCAGCATTTTAGAGGAAAGACTATCTGAAAAGTAAAATAAATTCTATCTTTTCTCACAGAATTATAAAGAATATACAGGCAAAAGACACCTAATATTTCATATGGAATGATAAACAATTTGAAGAAAAAAAGGACAAATCTTTGAGATTTAGCCTAAAACTATTTTTTAACTTTGAATTTCCATGGACATTTGTCAACATTTATCTTTTATTTCCAGTAACATTGGTATTAAATTACAGTGAATATATACAAATATTTATTAGCTCAATATTATTTTATTAGTCCAATTTTTCAATTAGAGTCAGATAAAACTCTAAATAAAGGTCAAAAATCATCAGAATATTTTGTAACCCCCAAATTCAGGTAGAAAAAATTTCTGTATATTATATTGTCCCATTCTACAAGACTCAACTCACAGTAGATTATAGCACATTGGAATATAACATATTTCATATTAAATATTATATTTAATCTACATTTAAATATTCTGAAACCTCCCTACTAATAATTATAGAATTTTTCTGTTTATTCCTAATGCTTTTCATGTTCACATAAGCCAAAATCAGAAAATTCATCAAGTTTTACCAATAGAAATTTTCACCTTTTATGCGAACACATGTATTTGCCTAGATCAAGGCATCATATGCCTACACTTCCAAAGTTAATTTGTATTACCTGCATAATCCCCCTAAAATAAAACCCCAATTATTTTATTCTTATAATTTGGTAAATTGAGCCTCAAAAGCTCCATTCATTTAGAATATGCATTTTCCAAAATCTTGACAGGCCAACCAGGCAAGATTTGTTGAAATCTTGACAGGCTGATTTTGACAATAATAAAAAATTTGTTCTTAAAATTCTGTGTTGAATTTTAAGCACCTCTCTATCACAGGGATAATAACTTAAATGCTTCAGATTATCTGTTAGAGACCCTATAAAACAATAATCTCTTTTTTTATGTGTCCAATTAACATCAGAATCCATTTAGGGAACATGCTTCTCTTTGAGGGTCTTGTGAGGCCCTACACCCAGTTTATTCAAATGTCACTGCTACAAAGGCGCTGGCCTTACCTTCAGTCTTCTGGGGCAAGGCCTGGCTGCAGACTCAGGACAGCCTGCTTTATTCTGTTGTACCAGTTCTCCCTGTTGCCCTGCTTGTTCCTTTCCCACATTTCTGATGCTAGATTTCCTAATATTGTACTAACTTTGATCCAGCTTTTTAACTCCTTTTTATGTTTTCACTCTGCTCAATATTATCCATTTAACAACACCTCCTATTCCGTCTACGTAGAAAACTGTTTATACAGAGAGTATCTGAAAAGTTGATATCTGTAAGTTTATTTCCAGAATGACACATGGTTCCTAATGATATGGAATTGTAATGTTGTCAACATAATTCATCCAAAGAGGATATATAATTTATTATCCCAGGCATAATTTTGTTTAGAGGAGATGACTCTTGGATTGGGCCCACCTGAGTTTAGGAAAAGACTGGCACTGCACTTGTTTCCTCTATATCTATTAATCTTGGAGAATTAAGTTTCCTTTATCTTTTTATTCATTTTTATAGGTAATTTAGATGTCAGTGCGAGGCTGCTATTTCTTAATAAGAAAGGAATGGATGTTTATCCCTTCAATAGAAAGTGAAAGAATGTTTATGGCAGAGGTTGGGCAAACTATAACCAGTGGCCCAAATTCTGCCTTCAGTCTGTTTTTGTGTGGCCTGTGAGCTAAGGATTTTCTTAAAATATATTTTAAAGAGTTGTAAACACACACACACACATAAAACAGGGACTGTATTTGACCTGTGAAGTGCAGAATATTTAAAGAAAATGTTGCAGACCCCTGTCTTAATATAACTATCATAAAACGATCATTTAAAACATTTTTTATATGACAAGTACATGGGATTTTGTATATGTTAGCTCATTGAAATCTTATAAGAATCTTAAGTGTATTAAGAGTTGAAGTATTCTCCTCATTTTGGAGATGATAAAACTGAGATGTGAGAGGTTAATATCACATACTTTCTAAATGCCAGAGAGAAGATTTACACTAAGACAGTTGGGAACTGGAGCTGGTACTTATAGCTACCATATTATACTGCATCTGAATGTGACCTGACAGTTGTTTGTTTGAGTCTATCCCACTCCTCATACTAATCTGCAAGCAGTCCAAACAGAATAATAATGAGATTGGCAAGATACTGCTCATACACAAAGCAAAGAGTATACAAGATTCTTTAAGCATATAAAGGGAACCATGACTGTGCACAAGCTGGCTATATACTGCAGCAAACACAGCAACACTACCAGTTAGATGAGTAAGACACTCTTGCTCTCAAATTCTCATGAAGTTCCCTGACTTCCAGT
Organism: Homo sapiens; assembly: GCF_000001405.40. NCBI lineage: Eukaryota > Metazoa > Chordata > Mammalia > Primates > Hominidae > Homo > Homo sapiens. The sequence continues at coordinate 71,240,818 of NC_000001.11, forward strand.
AATACTACTTGCTCAGGGTGATGACTCTTCAGGGTACTATCCTTGATAGTCTCAGAGGATTCATACCTTGTTGGTCCCTCATGACTTCTCTCTCTAGAGATTTGCGCTATGTGCCTGACTGCTTCACATTTGACATTACTGTACTTGGTAACACTCTCAAAGTATTTATCAGTACTATGAAAAGACTGAGGATATTACATGTAAATTCTAGGCCTGTCACCCTTTTGGCAGATTTGGGCCTCCAGGCCTACTGAAGGCATATTCCTGGAATAGCCAGATTGCTGTGCTTTCTTCTCTCAGTATTGGTCTCTGTGCCTATCATTTCCATCAGAGGTTTTGGTCTGTTACGAAAGGAGTTCCTGTCTCTGTTGTAATTTTCTCCTGCACATATCCTGAGTTCTAGATTCTTCCATTATGATTTCTTTATTAATCTGATTTTACTTCCCTTGGTTTTGCAGCTGTCTGTTAAACTCTTTAACTTGTCATTGTACTCTATGTCTTTATAAGTTTATTCATAATATAATTTTATAGTGTTATTTCAAGGACACTTTTGGAAGGAAAAGAGAGATAAACATATGTACCAGATCTATCATTCTGAAGTAGAAGCTATCAAACTTTATGTGACGAGAAAATGCATTTGGGTATATACTGATAGGTTTCCTATCACTTCATGCTTTATTGCATTTCTTCTCCCATGTTTTTGAAGCTTTCTAATCAACTGTGGAATGATGGAAATAAAAGAATCCAAGAAGCAATTCTTGATTTTAAATTCAAAAAACCATGGTCCAGGTGTAAAACGGAAAATATTTGGACATATATATATTTACCAAGACTAGATAGGATTCCACGCAATGGGAAAGGAGAGCAAATAGGGTGTTTGAGGACAGGAGTGATATCCCCGTCAAGAGATCACCAAGCTCTGTCCAAAGCCAGAATCCTCTGAGTCTATTTCCTGGGAGATACAGGGAACTGAGATTATATCTAGACATCATCCAGTCTCTAGTCAAATGAATGCCATACATTGGCTGGATTGAGTAGCTGTTAGGAGTCCTATTTGTTCCCATCCACGAAGATCATCCATTGACAGTAGTCAATAAGTGCTTGCTGATCTTCCAAAGTGTTTGAAGGCTTGATATCTCATTTGGCCATTAAATGATTCATCCAGAGTGGATATACTCAGGTTCATGGCCTGAGGTGGTTTTAAGTTCCAAAAGTATTTTTAAGCTCTCTTTGTAAACCAAGAGAGGAAATGATGGAGGAGCAGTGATTAATCAGAGGCTTCCAGGTAATAGTGGAAACTAACTAGCAAATTTTAGAAGAGTTTTAATTATATTTATGAAGGCTTGGACAGGTATAGGAGAAACAAGGGTAGTATTGTACCCCATGGCTAGTAGCAGCAGAGCTTTACCATCCTGACACCTCAAAGGTCAAGGGAAGAGATTGGTTCCCAGAACTTTGAGAGGGTACCCAGAACCTTGAGAGGGAACCATGAATAGGGATGACTGACAAGAGCTGTGTCTTCAGCATCCTGACCTCATTCTTCTCTCACTCTCAGACTCTCCTACAGTTGCCTCTCATTAGGATTGCTGTCAAAACTTGTACTAGTTCATATGTTTATTTTAGAAAAGAGTCATCATACAACTACAAAATACATTCTTCCTCATGAAATTTGATCTTAGAACAGTCCTTCTCAAACTTTGGTAAGAGAACAGCTGTTAAATTTCAAATTTCCTGAGAAATGATACTTTCGTAAAGTAGAATAAAAGTTAATAACTCAAAAATAAAATAAAAATAAAGAAGCATGCAAAATGCAAAATGCCTCAATTATTCCAATATTTAATTATTCAATTCATAGACATAAAATTACTCTGCCAAAATGCCACAAAACTTCTGTACTTACATTGTTTGGAAACAAGCAGGCCACAGACTGGCACTGTCTTGCATGTCACCTCTTTATTAACATAATCCAGACCACTCAATAATGGTGCCAAATGTGATATATAGCTGAAAATATTAAACAAAATAAAACAAAACAACAAAAATGGGGACAGAAGCAGCTTCACCAAAAGATAATTATGGATTTTTTGGAAACTATTAAAAAATGACAGAGTCTATTGGTTTAATATGGCATAAATTAGTATTTTCCAGACTGGTGGAATATTGATCCCTACAGGTGCTCCATGACTTAAGAATTGCAAGGTCAAATACCACTGGGAAATATCCCCAATGTTCACAGTACACATTTGCATATTAAAGATTCTGAGCCATCTAGTAGTTAATAAACATTTTTTAAAATCCAGCATTTCTCAAGTGTATTTGACTAATCCATTTTTTTTCATGTAATACTTACTAACATCTTTTGTAACTTTACAAAATGCTGGTATACATGTATTTCTGCCTAATGAGGTAAACTAAATGATTTCTCTTGACAGTATTCCTAATTTTATGATTCTAAGAAACGTTCCGAATTGGACTTGCCATTCAATAAGGCCAATTTAAAAAACTGCCTTGGGTAAACTTTCAGTTTCGAAGTTGTTATTCTATGCTTTGTTGCTGCTCTATATTAGAGAGTGAGGAACTGTGTCAAAAGTCATTCTTAATGAAGCCATTTTCTAATTTTAAGTTATCTTTTGCTTTTCATATTTACCTATGGTATTCTGGAAACTTGTGATTTAGAGGAAAACTTAGCATACATTACTAAATACTTGGCTGCTGCAGTGCCTCATATATGTCAAGTTCTAAAAATTTATAATTTTACAAATATCTGTAAACAACAGTATTGTAGCATTAATAGAGAAGAATAATTCATTTTGATTTCACTGGGCATGTATCAACACATGACTTAACTATGAAAAATAATTGTATTTAGCTCAAGTGGGAATTGAGGGTAAAGATTTTAGCTCTTCTGACCTTTGTGACAATATTACAAATGAAATACACAATCAATGGGGGAAAAATCAGAGGCTACTTGGCCCAAATTCTGCTAGTTATTTATTATTTAATACCCGAATTTTTTGAGGGCAGAGAGCTAATTTGAAATCCTTCAATATGTCTCTCTCTTAGTCCATTTTGTGCTACAATAACAGAATACCTGAGACTATATAATTTGTAAAGAACAGAAATTTATTTATTATGCTTCTGGAGGCTGGGGAGTCTAAGATCAAGGTGCCAACAGGTTTGGTGTCTGGTAAAGGCCTGGTTTTCACTTACAAGGGGACGTATTGAACACTGCATCCTCTGGAGGGGAAGAACAGTGTTCCTCACATGGCAGAAAAGCAGAAAAGCAAAGAGAGACAATCTACTCCAAAAAAAACCCTTTTTAATTATTTACTTGAGATGAGTCTGACTCTGTCACCCAGGCTGGAGTGCAGTGGTATGATAGTAGCTCACTATAGCCTCACACTCCTGTGTTCAAGGGGTCCTCCTGCCTCAGCCTTTCAAGTAGCTGGGACTACAGGCATATACTACCAATACTAGCTAATTTTTTTAAATTAAAACGTTTTATTTTTAGGGACAAAATCTCTCTATGTTGCTCAGGCTGGTTTTGAACTCCTAGCCTCAAGTGATCCTCCTGCCTCAGCCTCCCCAGTAGTTGGAATTATAGATACAAAACACTGCACCCAGTTCAAAGCCCTTTGTGAAAGGTATTCAACCCACTCATAAGTGCAGAACTCTCATGACCTAATCACCTCTTAAATATCATTACCTTGGCGATTAAATTTTGATGTTTTGGAGGGGACAAACATTTAAAGCATAGCAGTCTCTTTTGCTATCTATAGTCTAAACAAGAAGTTCTCTCTTTAGTATTTTTCATTTTGTTTTCTAAATATTAAATTTCTCCCTTGTTCAGAAAAGTCATTTAAGAGGAATAAAAATCTATCACTTCATTGATACTTAAGTAATACATCTGATGCATTAGGCATCTGGAAACATGAAGAGAATGGATTTTCTTCTTTTCCTATTACCATAGGAAGCAATAGTAAGTTAACTTACCTACCAAAGTTCTCAATATGTGAAATATCTATGGATATGTGAAACCTTTAGTCGAAAAGGGTGCAGAATCACATGGCAATGATGAGACCAGTTCTATGACACATGAATGGTAACATTTTATAGGGAGAAATGATCACTCTTAAAGGGTAAGACAGTGTAATGGTTAAAAGAAGTAGTATAATGGTGAATGTTTAATAACTAGCCTGGGGGGTGGAGGTGGAAGGTACTTAGTAGAATGTTTGCTAATTTCCATGGTATAAGTACTTTCATCATGGTCACTTTCAAGTTATAAACATGATGTCACCAAACACAGAGTTAGGAAAAGATGTGCCCACCATTATATAATGTTTCCACCATACAGATAAAATAGACACAGATGAACTCAAAAGCATTAATAATAGTACAGTAAAGTTAGATACTTAGGCAGTAATGTGTTTTGAATATTTATTGTAAGCTTACATAATTTAACTTTTGCCAATGGCTTTTGCTATGGTTTGAATGTGCCCTCTAAAAATTGTGCTGAAAATTAATCCCCAGTGTGGTAGTATTGAGAACTAAGGCCATTAACCCATTAACCTATTAATCCATTAATGGGTTATCATGAAAGTGGAACTAGTGGCTTTTTAAGAAGAGGAAGAGAGACTGAGCTGGTACATTACCACGCTCAGCATGCTCACCATGTAATATTTCGCACTCTCTCCGGACTCTACAGAGTCCCTACCACAAGAAGGTTCTCACCAGATGTGGCCCCTTCCCCTTGGACTTCTCAGCCTCTTTAACTATTAAGAGATAATACAAAAAAGTACCCGGTTTCAGTTATTCTGTTATAAACAGCAGAAAACAGTCTAATACAGCTATGTTTAACAATCAGCTGAAAAATACTCTGAACATTTAATAATTGTCTCTTGTAAGCTGATACAAGTTGTCTCCCACACATCACTGGGTAAGAATATAAGGTTTAAAGTTAGATCTGAATTTGATTCCTTGCTCTGCCACTTAAAACTGTTGACCATGTGAAGTTTATGTTTATTCTCTATGCCTTAGTATTTTCGGATGAATGATAAGGGTAAAAATTATATCTACTTCGAATAGTTGTTGTGAGGATTAAATAAGATTGATAGCCTCCTCTTCCCCCAGGGAGGAAGGCCTCCATGGCTAAAAATTTCATAAGGACCCTGTTAGAACTGTGATTACAAAGCATCTTTCTTTTTTTTAACTAAAGGAGAAGCTATTAAGAGGAATATGCTCTGTTCTACATAATGATGTAATTTGCATAATTTAAGGGAGAACAGGCAGGTTTCTTTAAAGGGTTCAGACACTACTATCATTGAAACTGTATTAGCCCATTCTCACACTACTATGAAGAAATACCCAAGAATGGACAATGTATCAAGAAAAGAAGTTTAATTGACTTACATTTCATATGGCTGGAGAGGCCTCAGAAAACTTACAGTCATGGCAGGAGGCACCTCTTCACAGGGCGGCAAAAGAGAGAATGAATGCCAAGTCAAAGGGAAAGCCCCTTATAAAACAGTCAGATCTTGTGAGAACTCACTCATTATAATGAGAACAGCATGGAAGAAATTGCCCTCATGATTTAATTATCTTCACCTGGTCACCCTTGACACATGGGGATTATTACAATTCAAAGTGAGATTTAGGTGGGGACACAGAGCAAAACCATATCAATTTCCTTTGGATATGTGCAGTTTAGTTCCAACAAGCATTCCTCCTTCCTTTAGTGGTAAATTTGCAAACAAGATCCTATTTCTTGGAGAGCTTTTACATACCCTAGAATATCTTATGGGACTTGTAGGCCAAAACCTCTTCCTTGTTTTCTCCTTTATGGACTCCATGGAAGACAATAAAAATGGGTGGAGACATCACAGGTCACCTTAAAAAAAGGGAGTAATTTAGAAGACAGGCATAAATATAAGGACAGGGAACAAGAATAGGAACTTGGAATCCATACACAAAGAATCCCCATATGAAGGATTTGGACTTTGTGACAGGTTCTACTGGTTTATAGCATTACATTCTCCATCTACTTTGTAACCTAGCCATGCAGTGTTTAAATGAATATTTTTTGTATACCTACTACGTGTTATGCACTGTGAATGGTACTAGGGATACTATGGTGAACAAAAATGTATAGTCTTTATCTTCATTGAGCTCTTATATTAGTGAAGACAAATTATCAACAACTAATTAAAGTGACAGAGTAACAATTCCAAACAAGGATAAGTGCTGTGAAGAAAATGAAACGTTATAATAGAAAAAAACCAGTTGACTGGGTGAGGGAATGGAAATTAAGAAAATGTCAATGAGAGAAGTTCTCATGAAAATGTAGATTTATTTATTTTTTCTAAGAGCAACAGAAAATATTGAAGAATTTTTATAGGAAAAGGACATAACCCTGGGAATTGTATGAAGAATGTATTAGAGGGGACTGTACTGGAGGCAGAGAGAGTGGATAGAAAACAACTACAATAATCTAAGCAAAAGATTGTGGTAGGTCATACTAGTGTGGTGTCAGTAGGGATAAAAAGTACAGAGAGTCTAGTTCTATTTTGCTGTTAGGATCAACAAAATCAGCTGTTATGTTGGAATCAGACACTGGGGAGAGGGAAGATGACTCCATTGTTCTTCAGCCTTTAAGTAAACAATATGAAACACAATGTAGGGGCCAAGGGAAAGCTTTCCCATCACTCTCTAAAGGTTCTTTGCAAGTGAACTAACAATTGACATATTAATAGGAGAAAAGGCTTACAAATTTATTTAAGTGTGTAAGTATTGTATAAGTATGAAGAATTCCATCATGGAATGATTACCCAATAACCCAGTGGGGTTCAGATGTTTACCCATTCCCTTTGTCATAGTGAGTAACGTGATAATTTTGAAGGTTAGTAAATAATTTTAAGGGAGAGTGAATGGATCTCAGAGGTAGACATCATCTTGTATAATTCTCTTTGGGTATTGAATGGGACTGGAGAGAAAACAATAATTTGAGACAAAGTTCACCAGGACTCTAGGTATGGTGTTTTAATTTTCAATTTCTTTCTCTGTGATATGAATTTTAATCTTCTCTGGTTAATTAAATTTCAGGGAACGGATTGAAGGCAGTCCGTTTGGGAGTCTAGTTTATAAGCAGACAAGGGAACTTCAGAGATCAGCCTCATCCTGTGCTTTGGGAGAGAAAGAGAATTGAGAGACAGGAGTGGTATGGAGGAATCAGAGAGAACTTAAGGCTGCTTCCTTGGTTCAGCATGTCAAAATTCCATATTGTGGGGGTAATATGGTTTAGCTCTGTGTCCCCACCCAAATCTCATGTTGAATTGTAATTCCTAATGTTGGAGGAGGGACCTGGTGGGAGGTGATTGAATCATGGGGGCAGATTTCTGCCTTGCTGTTCTCATGATATTGAGTAAGTTCTCATGAAATCTGATGGTTTAAAAGTGTCTGGCATTTCCCTCTTCACTCTGTCTCCTGCTTTGCCATGGTAAGACATGCTTGCTTCCTCTTCACCTTCTGCCATGATTGTAAGTTTCCTAAGGCCTCCCAGCCATGCTTCCTGTAAAGCCTGCAGAACTGTGAGTCAATTAAACCTTTTTTCTTCAAAAATTATCCAGTCTCATGTAGTTCTTTACAGCAATGTGAGAACAGACTAATACAGGGTGTACCATTTTCTGAATTCCAACAGAACTATATAACTTGATATGCAGAAGTATATTTAAGTGCATGGTCACCTTCCAAAGCTTTGGGAAAGCATCTAGGAAAATCTTACATGGTCATATATTTGTGTTAATTTGTGAAAATGAGACATATGTTTACAGTAATCTCTTCCTCTTTCCATTCTAACTTTTCTTCCATCATACTTCTCATTTGTTGTGTGGCTATTGGATTAGCTGAAGGCACTTTTAGGATCCAAGCAGGAAGAATTTGAAAGGAACATGCACTTAATTTGGGTTGAGTGCCTTGCAGTTGTATCCATGTATAATCAAGTTATTGTGAGGTGTCCTTGTCTTCCAGGAATACTTCCACCTCCCACGGTGCCAACATACTCCATATTGGTATAGGGCAAGAAGTTATGACACAATATGAAAGTGTTCCATACTATTCAGCTCTGGAAGTACTGCTACAGAAGCAAGATTTTAAAAGTGGTGCAGGAAGCTATCTTTGAAAACTCCTTCTAGCTCTCAGATATGTGAAATTATTTCAGTGACAGAGCTCCCACAAATATTTATTAATAATAGAATATTTATAAACTTTTTTTCATAAAATTTTTAAGCTCAATGCAAGTAAGTAGTATTTAAAAATGCAATTCTAATATAATGGCAGGGAAACGTCTTAACAGAAGCCAAAAGTATAAACTGAGATGAAGAAAAATGATAGAAATACTAACATTCCAAAATTCTTATGTTACAACACAAGCAAACTATTCTAATATCAAAATTATGAACATAGAGAAAAGAATCATAATAGTGAAAATACAGATGACAAAATGACATCTCATTTAAAAGATTGTAAAAATCAGGAAACTATCTCCCAAACAAGAAATCAAAAAGGAGAAGAAAACTTAATTTTTATGATTATAAAGGTCAGCAGTTATTTTATATCAACAAAGTTATTGAGTTCAATAAGTACTGTGATTTTTGATTATGGTCTTCTTCACTGGGAAATAATTTTGTTCAACACTGTTTAATAAAAAAAAATTTTGAAATTGTTTCCAATAATTTTTACAGAAAATCACACATAACATAAAAATGATACTTGAGCAGACATTTTGAAAATAAAATGATCAAACTATTATGATACTCTGGCTTGGCTATTCCAAGACTAAAAGGATGTATCTATTGTTTTATTTAAGCTGTTTTTTAACAAGAAAGTCATTACTTACAACAGATGAGCTTCCAGACCAGATGTGTATAATGAGAACCATTGAAAGTCATCAAGACTCCACAGAGCACAAGAAATCTATATTTGTACTTGGATTACAAGTAAATCAATTACAAATGCCTCTACACTAATGTCTTCAATACCAGATAAGAAACAAAGAACATTCAGTGTTGTTTTGAAGAGCTTAACAAAATATAATGAGGATTAATAAATTTTTAAGTGAAAGACTTTTGTACTTCAGAGGTAACAGTGAAGATTGGCTTTCTTCAAATTTCCAAATTTGCTCAATTTTTACAACAACAGTTGGGAAAACATCAAAATTAAAAAGGAGTAAGTGTGACATACCTAAAACAGTTTAGGAATTCTAATAAAAGTAAAATGTCTACAAAATGAAGTGATAAACAGACAAACAAAAAGGACACCAAATATTAATCCCTTGTTCTACCTTCTAAACTGGATACAAAACACTAATTAATTAGCAACTATTGTACTCTCCTGTTTTAACAAAAAAACCTGATGAGTATTTTTTTTTTCTGTTGAAAACCACCTAATTATCTGTGACTTCAAATTCAAGAAAATGAAAGAAGTTCTGGAAAATGGTAACTTAGTGCTGAAAAACTTTAGCAATGCACTGTATGACAATGCAGTTGTTACGAAAGGTGAAGACAAAGAAGTGCAAGTGCTCTAAAATTTTAATAAGTGACCAGAAGATGTGCCTTGCCAGCTCATTTCCTTAATCTTGTCAGAGAAAAAGCTGCTGTGACAGTAGCCAAAATTGTTGACTGCTTTAGTATTTTGCAACAGTTATGTTGTCTTTCAAGATTCATCGCATAGATAGTGTTTTAAACAATAGGACATTTTAAACACATATACAACTTAAATTTTCATTAAAAAATCTCAATGTAACAAGAGGATCTGCCTATTCCAGTGTTGCTTGAGGTTTGCATAATGGATATAATTATATTTTAAGGATCTAACATATTCTTTTTCCTAAAAGTTGGATATATAAAATGTTTATCTAAAACGTTGAAGCTTGAGTGTGCCATTTTAACTGTTCTTCTGAAGACATTTTGGAATGTTTCGATAAAACAAAGGAGAAATTACAACTCCTGATTTGGAAGTATATACAAAGTACCACATTTAATCATCTTTAAGTTTCCATTAGGAATTGATAGAAAATTCTGAAAAAAAGGTAATAGATTGTGACATAAAAGTAGTAGGGTTGAAGGGATGACATTGCATTAACAAAAATTATTCAGACATTGCAAAGTAAATAGAAACATTTTTTTTCCAGGTAGTTCCAAAATGTCTTAAAAGGAAGAGATAAAGTTAAATTAAAAGTACTGTATTGGGTAAGTTATTTGATTGTTTGATAATCCAATTATTAAAGAAGATTGAATTCTTTTAACACCCTGGGAAAAATGCTTGAGAGGAAATGCTGGTATAAGAGACCAGAATGTGCCAGCCCCAATTATGCCTCTTTGGCATAAGGACTAATTTGAATTGATTATTTTGAGAAACAGCAGACACAGGAGAAGCTCTGAAAACAAGATTAGAAGTTATACTTTCGTAAATAAAACATAAATTTATAAACAAAATCTTCATTTGTAAGGGTATCTCCCTCCCTATATCAAGAAGAGAAGGATGACTCTAAATCACAGTGGAATCTTCTCAATGACGAGGACACTGACTTAACTCTGCAAAGCAAACCTTACCCTTGTCTACCACGCTTTTTCTGGTTGCCTCCTCATAACTGGCCTCTCCCCCACCTGTCTTTCTTTTATTTCAGCTGAAGATAGCAGTGTTTAAGCCTGAATTCTAAGCCACTTCTTTGAAATTTCCTCATTTTTTTGTGGGGGGAGGCATTTCCCATGTATATATTGGAATATATGTGCTAATAAACTTGTTTGCTTTCCTCTTTCCTCTTGTTAATTGTAATTATCTTTTGTTACTAGGGCCCCAGGCAATGAATAAAATGAGTAGAAGGAAAAATATTTTTTGTTCCCTACACTGGATTGGCATACATGAAGATAGCAGAGCACTCATAATACTCCACTACAGTGAGGACACCATTAATAGCAAAATGGGAATGATGCTGTTGATTCAAAGAAAACTGAAAGTCCCTTGAAATCCTACAGCTTGTCTAGAATAGAAACTAGATAGAACAGAAACTAGATAATTTCCAAATTTTACAATAATCTCTAAAATTTATATAACATAACTGACTTTATTAATAATTTAGAAAAGTTTCTTTATATGTGAAAGTGAAAAACATTTTTTAACATAAAAACAATGCTGTATTTTAGGCAGGTAATTAATTATTTATGTTAATTTCATAAGCTTTGTAGCATTTGCCAGGCTTAAAAATTTTAATTTATTTTGATTTATTTTTCTAAATACATATTAACCTTCATGCTTAATAATGTATCTGTAATTTTGTACTACTTATCTTGAAGAGAGCCCCTCAAATTGCATGAGGCCCACGCCTAGAACCCAGCAAAACTCTCTCTGCCTATTCTTATATGATGAGACTATCAAAGGAATGGGAAAGCAGAAAAGTGGCCTGTTTTACATAGACCTCTTTGCTGGTGCTGAAAAACAGGGAAGGTGTCCTCTTTTTTAGTACCACTTTCAGGGTACTAAATTCATATATTCTTTGTGAGGGCTTTCAACAATTCTCTATGCTAAGAACTCAGCTTTTGGAATTAGACTGCCTGGGTTTGTGGCTCTACCACTTAATGGCTACGCAATCTTGAAAAACTCTAAGTTTTGTCTTTTCTCCAAATGAAGATGGAAATATAACTATCTCATTCAGTTGTTGTGAGGGTTAAATACACTGAGGAGCTGAATATATATTTATTCAATGAGGGAAAGACAATAATTACAAACACCAGGGTCATGATATAGTGAAAATTCAGGAAGGCTGAATAGGAGAGAGATTTAGGAAGGAGGGATCTGTGCCAAAGAAAATGTCACAATACGAGGCAATGAGATAAAGAAGGGGGAAGAATTGTCCTCAAATGGAAGCCCATGTTTATGAGATTCCTTATTTCAAACTATGCCTAAGGACATTGACCACTAAGTAGTAGACTCTGACAAAACCTCAAAGACTGGGAGACAGTGGTTAGTTCAGGGTGGTTGTGAATATTGTAATTTACAAATTTTCTAAATCTGTTGATTCTTGAGTTCTACACAACATAGCTGCAGTCTCCATACCAATTTTCTCCTTTGGTTGCCAAATGACTACATTGTGATAAACCTCCTTCACTCTCAGAGAAAAGGCAGCCCTTCCTTCACATTCCCTCAGGTGCGGGAGAGAACACTGGCCATCAGCCAGCAGTCTGGAGTCTTCCCTGGGCTGAGGGATACCTTACACATACTATTGTGCAACTATTTCCGGGGGATACAATTGATCCAAAACACCAGGGGAGCATATTAAGGAGGACACGTGACTGGTCCCTTTCCTGTCCAAAGCCCACATCATGGTTTTTTTTTTTGCAGCCCTTTTGCTAGGAGAGCAGCCCTTCACAAGGAATAGCCTGTCATCAAGTCATTCCCACCAATAATAATAACAAAAATGACATCCAATGTGATTGAACTATGATTATGTGCCAGTCCCAGGTTTAACTGTTTTAGATGCACATATTGTTCTCTCCTTCTCTCAGGCACCCTCCTTTGGCTTATAGTGAAAAAGTGGAAGATTATATTTGACATCTTCCTGAATTGTTCACTTGTAAGTTCTCAGCAGTGTGCGCTCCTCCCTAAAGCCTCTATTGCTCATGAGCCACCAGAACTACTTTTGTTGTCATTAAACTTTTTAAACACTTAGTATGTGCAAGGTACTGTTCTAGGAGCTCGAGACACATTGATATACAAAACAAAATATGGCAAATGAAATTTTGATTAGGTGCACATTTGGTAGATGCTTTCAAAGTATTATTTTTAAATCTAATTCTCTGTCAAATTCATAACTCCCCACATTCACATTAATACTAGTTGGTATTAAATTATGCATTTATGTTAATTTTCATATTCCCTTTTACTTGAAACAGTTCTAATCTGATAAATATAGTTATAATTAACAGTAACTTCTGTGTATAAGAAATTAGTTTTCAGGTATGGATAAGCTTTAAGTTTTTCTTCCATTTCATAACCATGTCACACAGACATTCCAGATGGAACCACTAAAAACTTGCTCTACTTAGGAGTCAACTAATGTGACTTGGAAGAAGGCAATGATTCTGGATATTCCATTTTGTAAACTGCTCTATTCCTTATAACTGACCATTACTTTCAGGTTTGTGGACTATCAGCCTGCAGGCCAAACTTTAAAAAAGAAATTGCTGGTTGATACATTCTTCCAGCCCATACCAGAGAAATGTGGAAAATTGCAATTTGCTTAATCAGGTTGGAAAAATATATACAAGCAGAAATAGCATGGTTAGAATTGATTGTAAACTTTTATTGCTGTTAAAACTAGTTTTCTTCAGATTTTTAGAAAGCAGGGCACATATCTGAGAGAAGGAAAAAATGAAGACTGCCATGGAGTTAACACGATGAACCTAATTTTCCAACCCAGATAATCGTGCTAAATTCCTTGTAACATAGCTATACTTGGGTGTAAGAAGAAATTAGGATTATATATGAAAAGTTAAAACTTCGGCAGATTCTTGGAATCCACATGGGAGGCTGGCTGCAAAGTTATTGATCAGTGGAAATATGTACACATACCTTGAATTCAGCAAATAATTTGATAAAGTGGGTCCATATTGTCACTAAGCTGGAGAAATGTGAGTAGAGTGAGGTGTGAGTTAAGTGAACCTGCCTAACCATAGTCTGATAGTCTATTTGACTTATAGATGATGAGTAAATAAATGTTTTCAACTACATTGAAATGAATTGGTCTGTGTTAATCCATATGAAGTGCCGTAGTAATGCACATGGCATCGTTGTATACCCTATTTTATTTAGTATGCTGATTGAAGGTCTGTGAAGATTTCTAGGACCAGCTTGTCAAGCCACATGCCTTCAGTCAAGTTGTTTTACCAAGTGTTCGCTAATAGTTAAATATAATAAGACTCTTGCAACCCTATCCTATTTGCTGCCTCTGTGGCATTGAATCCTGACTGACCTATTTTTAGAAAATCCATCTTCCTTTGGATTCCAAGATACTATTTTTGCAGTTTTCCACTTCGCACTGTGAGTATTCCCTCTCATTCACCTCTAATTTTACTCCTATTTACCCCTTAAATCTTCATCTTCCATCTTCTTCACAGTTTTACTACTCTGAGTGATTTTATTCATGCTCATGGCTTTGTATATGGTTATAATATGAAACCCTAAAGCTGTATCTTGAAAAAGTGGCCTAGACCACTTTTCTGGGCCACGAGAACCATATGTCCCATCCCACTCTTGGCATATAGACTCCTCTTTTAATGTAATTAGTATTCTGAACTTATTCAACGTGAGTTATCTTAACTTCATTTTCCCAATCTTGAAGTTTCTGATAATTAAAAAATATATTGGCAATGGACACAGACTTGTTTGATGTTTTTATAATCATCACACACTAGTTATACAACCCAAAGCAAATTATTTAACCTACTTTTATTAGTTTTCTACTGCTGCATAACAGATTACCACAAGCAAGCGTGCCTTGCTCACCCTTCACTTTCTGCCATGATTGTAAATTTCCTGAGGCCTTCCCAGAAGCCAAGCAAAAGCCATTACGCTTCCTGTATAGCCTGTGGAACTGTGAGCCAATTAAACCTCTTTTCTTTATAAATTACCCAGTCTCAGGTATTCCTTTCTAGCAATGGAAGAACAGACTAATACAGCTGTATTGAAGGTTTCAGCCAGGAATGAGTTTTCATCAGCTTCCCACCTGGGGAAAGATCTACTTCCAGGTTCCCTCAAGTTGTAATAAAATATTGCATAACTTGTTTGCATTTATTTATACAATGAGATTAGATACAAGACTCAGGTAATTATAAACAGGTACTTTGCCTGCATGCATATTTGGTGTGATATTCAGAAGTCCTGGCATGCGGGCCAATTCTGTATTATACAAGATTGTTCCAGGCATCTTTTGTCTCCCCACACATTAAATATCATTAGTGTCTTCTATTCATTATGATAACTAGAAATGTTTCCAGAAATTTTAAGAACACCCCTTGTAATATTGCCCTCTTAATAGTCCCCACATGAGGGGTTTAAAATATCATTCCTACCAAATATGAATTTTGTGCAGAAATTGATAGAAACATTGAACTATTCATCCACTTATTCATTCAATATATTATTATTGAGTACTTCCATGTGGAAGACACTGTTCTAGGTGTTGCCTTATTCACAGTCATGAACACAGAGGTGAAAAAGACAGCATCGAATTTTCTCTCATGGAGTTAATATAAAATAATAGAAGAGATCTCGAGAGTGGATATTGATCAGTTACTACTCTTCTTTGCTTCAAAAACAAACCTGTTTAAAACTGTAGAACTTAGTTACCTGAACTGTCTTATTCTTTAACTCCCATTACCTAAACCATTTTTTTTTACTCCTCATTCAAAGTTCAGTTGATCAGGCAATATTCTATGGAAAATAAGCATGTCTACTATGCAATATATTTCTCAAAAATATTGTCACAAACTTCCTTTTTAAGATTCCAATCCTTTCTTTTTTTTAATTGACAAATAATAATTGTACGTATTCATGGAATACATAGTGAGGTTTTGAAATATATAATGTATGGTGATCAGGCCAGGGTAATTTGTATTTCCAATCAAGCTAGATTACTGACTATTCCATGAACCATTCTTAAACTTTTCCACCTCTATGCCTTTTACACTGCCATCATGATCTAGAGAGCTCCTTCTCAGTCTCTCACATTTTTATTTAAATTCTATCCCTCTTTTAAAACTCTTCCATAAAGATATTTTGATTTATCAAAACAGAGGTGATGTTTGATGCATTCTACTTTTAAGGAGATTAAATGAAGTAATGCCTAGTGCTTTACAGAAAATAAGTAATGAATTAATGTTAGTTACTATTATTATTACTAATGATACTAAGTTAGAAATGGTTTCTGTTTTTGTAAAGTTTGCAACCTAGAGAAGAAGATGTTCGTGTGTAACAAGCCAACTCTAGCAATGATAAATGTTCGAACGGGATTTTTGTGATATGGGAATATGTAGATGTGTTCAGAAAATATTTGCTGAACTATTATGGTTACTTGAATGTTCTTAAAGAGCATTACCTAGAAAAAAGCACAGGATAAGAACAGAGGGTGGAATCTATGCCAATTCTTCTGAATAGATTTAACATTTTGTTACCTTTAGAGGTAAAGATCTATTACCTAAGGCAGAGTAATTCAGTGTAGGCAATGGCAGTTAGATATCTGTTGACTTTATCATCTGCTCCATCACAGCTACTGAGTGTACAACATACACTGATGTAAATCATGTTTATGTTTTTATTACTTTTTCCACTCCTCTCTAGTACTGGCATCAAAAAGGGATTTACAAGGTTTAGCCCTCCCATAGTCTCCCTAAGGCCTCTCCAAAACTGCCTCAAATTAAATTCAATCTAAGTGAAGGCATGTCCTGCTATTCAATTGCGGTTCCCAGACCAGTCCTCCAGCCTCACCCTTCCAACCTATTTGCTGCCCTAATTCTCTCTTATGCAGACATTTTGGGGTTGCCACCTACCTCTTTACTCCTCCCTCTCTGCCCATGCCCTATAATCACTCTCCCGATTTCTACAGATTATATGCATATCCTTATGGAATGTTTCATATATTTGCATATCTTCTGCCCCCATCAACTTTAGTAATTACAGTTTTATGCTTAGGAGATGCATTTCTTCCTATTAGAGAATCTTCAGAGCACAGGTGTGGAGATAACACTGACCTCTTGAATTTTATGATTAAAACCGTAATGTTTTCATGTTGATAAATTACAGATATAGCAAGGCATTTTCCTTTCCCATCAGGATTTCTGTTTGGGCATAGTAAAACTGCAAAACAGGAAGAAACAGTCAGCATAATAATTTTTTCTTGTTGGTTGATTTTCCACATCAGGGATATGCACTAGCAGGAATTGAAATAAAAACATTAACTTTATTTTAAAATAAGGGAATAGATAAAGCAAGATCTTAGTGTTATGTAAAAAAATGCATTAATGCCAGGGATGGTTCTATTGTGTCATCTCTAAGTATTTATAGTTTGTTGATTTTGTTGACACACAAGTTCAAAGATTATATAATGCCTAAGTTTGATGAGACATTAATGATGGTCACCCTTCTGGCAATACTATCATTGAACTTGTTAAGAGTAGCAAAGGATTTGTCATTAAATCTCTCAGAAGGTACAAAGGACCCCTGATAGGAAAACAGGGAGAGGAGGGGCTGTGTCTGGGAGAATGGGTAATGATTACAATTGACTAAAATTTGGAAGAAACAAGAACAACCACAACACTTTGCTCCTTCAGATTACCAAGCAATAGATTTCTTGTAACATTTTCAGAGAATCTCTCTGGCCCAGAATTTTAAGAAAAAGCTTAAAAAGAAAGTTCCACAAAAATGAATGTGTGCTGCTAGAACAAGAGATTTTGGGGTGGTAGTCATTATAATAAATAATTATAATAATAACAATTACAATAGTATATGGGGCAGACAACATACACATACGGCAATATAAAAACAGACTATCAGAGAAGGTAAATGGCTAATGATGGTAGCTAAGAATTATTTAGCACCTAGTGAATGCTTTTATGTTCACTGCTTATCCATACAACAAACTAAAAAGATAATAAACAATCAGCAGAGGCAAAGTTTAAAACAAAAGCAGTCTGGCTCTGGCCCATGCTCTTCCTCACTATGTATCGCTGCCTCTCCTGCATATTGTATTGTAGTTGTCTGTGGATCTTTCTTATGTATCTATATCTTTCATCAGTTTACAAGCTTCATAAAAGCAGGTACTCAGTCTGTCTAGTTTATCACTGAGTCCCTAATACATAGCCCAGTGCTAGACAGAACCTAGCTCAGTGCTAGATGGGTATCCAGAAAATACTTATGGAATGCCCAGTGTCAATCAGCAAAACTAAATCAAATTAGGCATTTTGGGATTTAAAGACTGAAGGAGGAAAAGGACATAATGTCCTTGTTCATTCTTTCCTTTGAAAAACTTATTTCCTTCATGTTTTGCTATTGTATACTAATAGTAAGAAGTAAAATCAATTGAAGAATGCAAAGTCAACAAAAGCATTGCCAATGGCAAGCAGAAGGCAGTGGACTCAGATGAGAAAAAAGAGAGAAAAGTTTTCTCAAAAGCTTTTACTATATGACTATTAGCTTCTTAAAAGGTTCAGGGATATGTCTATGTATGGTAGAAGTTAAATTTGAAAAGAAGCTTCCCGAATTCTGAATATTTGTTCCATTTCAATTACAATGTTGTTTGTAAGAATAAGAGTAAATAAACTGTATTGAAACATGAAGTGCAAATTCCTCTTGGACTTTAGTCTCCCATATTCTTCTCTAAAAGAAAAAGTTGTACAAACTGGATTAGAACAATCAACCCTAATTATTTATGTGCAGGATTTGTTTCTAGGACACCCCTGTGAGGGATCCAGAAACAGCACATCTCACCCAAACATTTTAAAATTGTACCAATCTACAGGTATGAATGGGGTCAGTTCATATTAATACTTCAGCTTTCCTATTCTAATCCCATGTAGGAATTTTAATACCTTTAAAGATTTCACTGTCCCACAAATGTTTTTGAAAATAATGAAGAGTTTCTTACAAATTTTATAAATTAATGGAGGTTGCTACTATGTCATTTCATTTGCGTTTCTGATGCAGTTCCTCAGCCTCTTCAGTTTCTAAATGCTCTTAAACTTCATAGTGCTATAAAATTTGGCAGTAGTCTGTGAGGGCAAAAGATATACATATATAATTCATATATATGTATATTATATATAATATATATAATATATATTATATACATATGTAAATATATATGTGTATATATAATATATAATATACATATAAATATATGTGTATATATAATATATAATATACATATAAATATATGTGTATATATAATATATACATATAAATATATGTTTATATATTTATATATTATATATATTTTATTGGTATATATATTATATATAAATGTATATATATATATTATATATATATATAATGTTTAGTTGTATGGTTTGGGGTTGTTTGGGCCCTAAAATATTAAGCCATTTAGGAAGGGGTCACTTTCTGTTTATACCTATGATGTTTTGTCTCTTTGGGGTATACATTGTCACTAGGGTAGCCACACTGGGATGAGATTTCATGCTGGCCTCTGGGTAGCACAGATATTTGCCACCTCACTATATCTTTGCTGTCATGCAACCCTCAAATCCTGTTGTAAAATTGCCATTCTAGATTCCTTCTTTGCTTGGTATGAATTCTTTTTCAGGGGCTTTGCCATCTTTTTGTGCCATCTGGCAAATTTACTTTTTCCTTCTCCCAATCTAGTCCAAAAAATATGTATGAAAATCTGAGTTCCTCTCACCATATTGCAAGTCACCTCCCATGTAAATCAGTGAATACAAATAATGTACAGAATGCCATGTAACTCTATGTGACAGACATAGCTGACTCTAAGTCTTGGCTCAAATGTGACCTCATCATGTAAGACACTATAATCAATTTTGTTACTAAGTCCTAAGATATGTCTATCAATACTCAAGACTTTCCTGGAGATTATAAATCTTCATTTACACAATGGAATTCTCCTTCTCTTTGAATGTGGGGAGAAGTATTTGGAGACTATAATTGGTCAGGGCTTTCCAGAGAAATAGAATGAGTAGGATATATGTATAGATATATAGATATATGAATACCTTGATAATATGGTGGGTTTCATTCAGACCACCACAATAAAATGAATATTGCAATAAAGTGAGTCATTATATGCATTTTTTATTGCCAGTGCATATGAAAAGTATGTTTATACCGTACTGTAGCATTTAAGTGTGCAATAGCATTATTTCTAAAAGAAAATGTACATCCCTTAATAAAAATTTTTATTGCTAAAAATGCTAATGATCATCTGAACCTTTAGCGAGTCATCGTCTTTTTAGCTGGTGGAGGGTCTTGCCTTGATGCTGATAACTGCTGATTGATCAGGGTGGTGGTTGCTGAAGGTTGGGGTAGCTGTGGCAATTTTTAAAAATAGGCAACAGTGAAGTTTGCCTCACTGATTAACTCCTTTACAAAAGATTTCTCTGTAGCATGTAATGCTGCTTGATAACATTTTCACAGTAGATGTTTCAGAATGGAAATCAATCCTCTCAAACTATGCCACCACTTTATCAACTAAGTTTATGTAATATTTAAGTCTTTTGTTGTTTTTCCAACAATGTTCACAGCATCTTCATCGGGAGAAGATTCCATCTCAAAAGGACAGTTTCTTTACTCATCCATAAAAAGCAACTTCTTATCCATTCTTCTAAATCTAGAGAGAATAAAATTAGAAGCATATACTTATATTTTTCTTTCTCAAACTAATTGCTTGACATTTACCCTAAAAATCAATAAGTGCTGCCTTTCTCCGAAAGGTGTTGTATTATTTAGGTCAAAATTAGGCTACAAATGACAGAAAATTCTAACTAGTTGCTAAACAAGGTATGCACATATTTATTTCTTACATAAATATAGGTGACACTGGGTTGGTATGGTGTGGTGCATTTGGATGACCAAAGACTTCTTTTTTCATGGTGCTCCATCATTTATTGTCTTGATCACATGTATAAGAAGATAACATTCATATTTCAAGCAGTGGTTTGGAAGAAAGGATAAGCATGCTGTCTCTTAAGGAAGGTTCCTGAAAGCTTTCCCCTCTTTCTTTGCATCTCATCGGCCAGAACTTGATGACTACACTTAATTACAGAGGAGTTGTATGTAGAAATGTAGTCTACAAAATGTAAAATGTGGATTTATCCTGATCAGCAGTGAGCAAAGCTAAATACCAGAGGTTCTATTACTATAGAAAAAGAGAGTGAATATTGGAGAGCAGCAACCTATATTGATTTTAAGGACCAACCTGAAGTCTAAGAATATTCCCCAAGGAAATGGCACATTTTCCCACAGTTCTATGAGTTTAGCTCTGGTTCAGGGCATTTAACAAATTTTAGAAAAGCAGAACTCAGGGATTATAGACAAGACTGCAGATTAGTTCATTATTTCAACTGAGATTTTTTTACCTCACCCTTTCTGTCATGCCCTGAGGTTACAGAAAATGTGCATAGAACATAAAACACTGAGCCCTCATACTATAGACAATTTGTAAGAGAAGGCAAAGTGATTTCTGATACTAAATGAAGGAATCAGAAAGTCACAAACACTATATCAGAATAGATAAAATTAGAAAATTGGGATAAAACCACTCAATAATGAGCAAATGAAAGAAATGGCTTGGCACAGCTATCTACAAAACCTAAAAGTGCTTTTTTTTTTTTAAAATTTAGAGTACAAAAGACAAAACCCAACTTTGAAGAAACAAAAACCAAAGGAATAGAAAAAAATATTTTTTATAAGCAATTCATGCTATGAAATTTAGTAAACTGTAATTGAATAAAACAAGAAATCAGAGAGATGACAGAAGAGCAGAAGGAGATTAAAATGGAGATTGCATACCAAGGAAACAAAGTGACGATCAAAATAACATCACTTGAAATTACCAGTTGCCAAAGAGCCTGATCGGCTGATGCCCACTCACATTAGGGAGGACAAATGTATCTGTTATTAAACTTAGAAAGTAACCATTATTAATGATATGTTTGTATTACAATAAATGGATGCAAATCATTCAGGATTATACCTCTGATCATATTTACATCTCACACATGATAAAAACATTTTGGGGGTTGTGCATTACATAAATAATTTGACTGAAGAAATTGTTATGGTTACCCAAACAAAAACATTCATTTTTTCTTCAGTGGAGTAAATTTTTTACTTTTCTTTTAATTATCTAAGACTCAGGAGGCAAGTGTGGAGTGTGAAAATAGCATGTGGCATTTGACATTTTGAAATTTGTTTTCTACAAAGTTCCATGAAAACAATAGCCTGCTACAACGCTCAGCCTGCAGGTCCAAGTCTGAGATTTGGACCACGAACAAAAGCTCAGTGTGATGAGGTTAATGACCTGTACAGACTAGACAGTTGGCAATTTACTCAGTCTTCTCGGTAGCATTTGTTCCACCCACTCCCTTCCCTGTTGGTTTCTTTGAGATTGCTACAAAAGTCGGGGAAAGCGCACATGTATAGCTGTGAGAAATAGCTTAAATTTTTCTACTTGCAGAAACTATATTTATCTAAACTGAAACTTGGCTTGCAAAGGTATTTGTATTATGGCTCTGTCTGTTTGTCTACATTTCTTTAATTTATGCAGTATATGCTAATTACTTTTTTAACGTGAAAATATTTTGACACTGTTTTTCCGCGTTTCTTTGACTTCTTGAATAATTTCATGGTGAGGACGGCTCTGAGTCACATCTGCTCTTCGGGTTTCTAGGCTTTTATTTAGTGCATACATCCTTTAGTATTGGTGCTCAAGTTTCTTGCTTCTGGTTTTCTAAAACACTTTTAGTAAATTTAGATATTATAGAAGTTACTTTAGTTAATCTGATTTTTGTTAATTCTGGATAATCACCACATCTGGATATTCAAAAAAGTAAGGGTACATATTTAGACTGATCAAATTTAGACTTCTTTATGTTGCAAGAACAAAACAAGATACTCAGTTTCGAGCTGAGGCAGGTCATTCAACAAAATTGAATCTACCTGACCCTCTCAGAAGCTGTATAATGTGTTTTATCTGTCACCAAAGAATGATCAAAAAGATGCAAGTTTTCTTTATACAAAGGGAAGCACCATGTGAATTCAGAGATAACACTTCGTACCTGCTCATCACTTTTAAAATCTACCTAAGATTTTACATGGGGAAGAAGACGTGTGTTTGTGAACTTGGGAAATGGATTTTGGAAGGTTTCATCTCTTCAATCTAATACATTTACAAGCTTTCTAAAATCAAATGCCACAACCTAGATAGTGTTCACCCCTGCAGATGTGGCCCTTTCTTTGCCATTGCCCAGTATACATCATATCCCTTATCAACATCCTTTTCTGACAAAGCATCACTCTAAAGGGCCATTTAAGTGATTGACAAGAGAAGACGATCACATAATTCAGAAAGGGTCTTGTTGACTAATCACTTTTCTACACAGTTGATAAATACTTATGGTTTCTTGAGCTAGTATATCTGAAACATTTTATTTACCATTACTATTAGGAAATGTTCCCAGGTACAATGGGAGTATTATAGTTCTTGCTGCTACTAGCTTGATATCTGGCCTACCAGAAATTTAGAAAAAAAGTGGAAGAGCAGCGCCGATTTTTCTCAGGGTACACTGAAGCGGCCTTTGCTATAGCTGTGAGATTTTAGAAAGCATTTTCTAAGACATCTATCTTAAACAGACAAGACCATTTTAAATTAGACTCATTAAATCATTTGTTGTCACAGCCAACAGCCGTGTGGAGGCTAGTTAACAAATGAAAAATGAGCCTTTCTAACTTGTTTACTTTATATGGATGCTTCTTTTGTTTCGTTTTTTTTTTTTTTTTTACTTCTGGTAGCACATTGACACAGGGGATCTTGTTATGGTATTGCCTGACAAAAATTAAAAATGTGAAGGTTGAAAATACTATAGGTGTAATGCCCAAGTTTACATAAAATACCAGTGAAGTTCCTATTGATAGTGAATCTTGGGTCTGTCTTCTAATTCAAGGAAGGCAACCAATTAAAACCTCATTTACTTTGCCAAAAAGGTAACACAGAATCACTTCAGAAACATAAGATTCTTGGCACAGGTAAAAGAATATGATGATCTAAAATTCATTTCTAAATTTTTGCTTCTAGCCCCTGGCCTACCAGCTCAAGGTTGTTCCCAGCAACATAGACTAAAGTGTCTTTGTTCATTTATTTATTGGTTGGTTTGTTCATTCATTCAGTCACTCACCAGTCTGCTTTTAAAGTTTACAATGGATGAAAGTTACCTTTTCAAGTTCATTGACATGTTGTTTGTCTTTGCTATTTGTTATGAATTAATCTTAATTTCAGTTTACAAATATTCTCTTCTTATTGTAGGTTGGGATTTTGGGGCATTTTTCATACTATTGCTTTTTTAGCTATGGTCTAGAAAAAAATACATGCTGCCTTTGTTGTTTGTTTTATTGTTCATTTTAGGAATCTTGTTTAAAGTTTCTTTACTTTTATTTTCTAATAGCTTTTGCCTAATGTGTTGCTTAGTCATAAGTGAAATGGAATAGTACTTTTTGGTTAGCCTTGTGTAATTCTGTGTATCTCAGAGCTTGCAGCAGGGAAATGTTAATGATAAAAAGAACTTTGGAATTTGGTAGATAAAGGTTTGACTCACCTCCACCAGTTTTCTCATATGTAAAATGCAGATAATAAACCCTTTAGGAGTTAAATTGAAGACAAAATGAAACAAAGATAAAGTTCATGGAACCTAATAGACACTCAATAAATGTCCCATCTACTCAGGAAACTTAAACAAACAAACAAACCTATTCTGAATTATCAAATGGTGTCTAGGCAATAGTGCCTTGTATTTGCCATTAGTCCCTTTAAGTGTCTCAGCTTTCATTTGATTAATGATTCTAGCCAGCTGAATTGTATGTGAATGTTTGTATTTTAAAAAGAATTCAAATCAATTTTCAAGTTTTAAGAGACTTAGATTTTTACAATTTTTTATTTTTTAACTTTTGTTTTAGGTTCAGGGGTACATGTGCAAGATGTGCAAGTTTGTTACATAAACATGTTTCATGGGGGTTGGTTGTACAGATTATTTCATCACCCAATTATTAAACCTAGTACCCATTATTTATATTTCCTGCTTCTCTCCCTCATCCCACCTTCAATCCTCTCATAGGCCCCAGTGTGTGTTGTTCCCCTCTCTGTGTCCGTGTGTTCTCATTATTTAGCTCTCACTTAAGAGTAAGAACATGTGGTATTTGGTTTTTTGTTCCTGCATTAGTTTGCTAAGAATAAAGGCTTCCAGCTCCTAGATTTTTGACATAATCAATATTAATTGAGAATTGGGTTTTTACTGACACTTGTAATAAGATTCAGTTTGGAATTATCTACAGTTCCATAAATATAAGATGAATTTTCTTTATCAGGTTATTAGTAATGATGTTAAATAAGCACAAAGCTCACAACAACCCTGGAATTAGTACTTTAAACACGCCTGCAATTTAATTTATTCCTTTTCATCATTGATATATCTTGTAGTCTCGCTGTCAGTTTGCTTTGTAAGTGATGTTACAGAAAACAGATTTGAACTAATTCCTCAGATTATTGAACTTTCTTTAAATTTCTCATTAACTCATAAAATCTACATGCTATTTATTTAGTCATTCCCCCCATCTATCCAAGATTTTATCATTCTAAATTTCTTCCCAATTTTCTTGATTTTCCAGTTTGAGCTAGACATACCTCTACAAGTAGCAAGTCTTGTATTCACTTAGCCAATACGTATGTAGCAAATGCCTACCATGTATCAGGCATTCTTAGCACTGGAGAGAAAGCAATGAATAAAACATGGTCCCTAACTTCTTGAAAGTTACATTTTAGTGGGGAAAGTCCAATGCTTATTATATAAGTAAATAAGTAAACAATCTGATTTGAAACAGTGATAAGCACTGTAGAGAAAATGAAACATGGCAATGGGATAAGAATTTGGTGAGTGGTAGTTCAGGGTAT
Source organism: Homo sapiens (assembly GCF_000001405.40). NCBI lineage: Eukaryota > Metazoa > Chordata > Mammalia > Primates > Hominidae > Homo > Homo sapiens. The sequence goes on from NC_000001.11 coordinate 71,266,553, forward strand.
CATTTTAGCTAAGATAGTCTGAAAAGGCTTGTCAGAAGAGGTGAGACCTAAATAATGAGAAAGGAAGAGTATTATAGTCAGAAGAGCTGCAAGTTCAAAGGACCCAAGATGGCAATGGGTTTGGCCTTTCTGAAGAATGAAAAGAAGGCTAGTGTGGCTGGGGTGAGGTTGATAAAGTAGAGCATGATGGAAACTGATGTTGATGCGGTAGGTGGGGGTCAGGTCGTGTGGAGCTAGCAGGGCATGGTAATATGTTTAGATTTTTTTTCTAAAGGCAATGAAAATATTTGGGATGGTTTTAAGCACCAGAATAGATGAATCTGATCTGTACTTTGAGAAGATTATATTGGCTGTCATGTGGAGAATAGACTGGGGATTGTGAAGTGGGCAAGAGTTGAGACAAGGAGACTGGTTAGGAGGCTACTGCAGTAGTAGAAGTGAGAAATAATGGTGGCTTGGACTAAAGATTTAAAGAATGGAGCTACAGAACTGAGAAAGATTTGGGGGACAGTGCCATTAGGACTTGCTGATAAGTTGGATGTGGGAGATAATGGAAAGAGTGGCACCAGGAGAGAATGAAAGCTACATGGCAAGTGCCATTCAGTACTTGGCTGTCCTTTTATATCACTTTATAATCTCCTAAAGAGCATGGAAGCTCCTTGAAAATAGCAACCTTTCCTATTTATCTTTGGATAGCCAATACCATTATATAGTTATTGCTTGGTAAGTATTTGTGGAATGAATAGAAGATATGGAGGTAAGCCTAAAATTATTCAACTTGACAGAATAATAGCTGCTGTGTTAAAAACCATTTACAGGGCATGTGATGTGATATAAGAATAAAGGGTACAACTTCTTGGCAACATACTTTATGGAATAGTATGATTCACCAGATTCACAGAAGGAAGTTTATAGTACAGAAAGAAACTAAAATTTTACAGGAGAAAAGCAAGTGTAAAACACAACTTCTTATCTGAATGTTTTAAAGTTCAAACTAGATAAGTTGCATGTCCTCTAATCTTATTTGTTTTAAAGAAAAATATAGTTACCTTATATCTTAAACTGCTATATGTGATATTGGAAAGTCAATCTCTATCAATCAGATGACTTTTCATTACAAGTGACCTAAGCCCACATCTAAGTTTAGAAAGTGAGAATGCTTACTGGCTCACATAACAGAAAAGTTCAGGATAAAATCTCACTTGAGAAAGGACTTACATAGAATTTAAATGATGTTACTAGGGCTTTCTTCTTATTTTATAGCTTTATTCTTTACTCTTGCTGTGTCTTTATTCTCAAATGGTTACAAAATGGCAGCATCAATTCAAGACCTCACATTCTCTGATTTTCAGGTTAAAATGAATAATGAAAGGAAAGGGAGAGCGTCTCTCTTTACAATGCTGGAACAGATGTCTTGAGTCTGCCTCCTGATGACTTAATTTATGTCATGTGCTCAGCCCTAAACCAATCCCTGTGGCAGAAGTGAAGTGGCTGTGAAAAGAACTGGGGGTAGTATTGAGAAGAAAAGTAGAAAATGACAGGTCAAAATATAACAAATGTCCGCTACCAAAAATAATGTTTTCCTGTCAATTTTTAAGCATGTGTGTATGGTTTCAATGTATTATTAAAAGTATGTGTGTGTATACATATACATATAAGAATCTAATGTATTCTATATACATATGTATACTCATACTGTATGCATTTATACATATTATAGATATTCATATATGTAATATCTATATTTTGAGTATATGAAATAAAGCTACAAGAACTCTCCACTTTTTCTATGTCCCTGGGGCTTAATTCTGTGCCTAATATAGATACTCAATAATACTTTTTGAATGAATAAGCAAACATGAGCTGTCCCTTAACCTTACAGTAATCTCTGCTGGACTTCTCTATCAAAGTGTTTGATGCAGCAAAGTAAGAATTTCTATGCATGTATATAAATAATTTGGAAAACTATTCATAGACTACCAAAATAATGTGAAGAAGATATTGTTAGATTCAATTACAGCATCCTGGGAAGGTTTTACAAGTTGAGATTTTGGCCTGAATCTTAAATTTTGGATTCTTTTTGATCTCTTTCACCTTTTAGGTATAAAATAAACACCATATTTCCTATGGCATTTCAGAGAACTGAACTTGATAATTCTGGCAATGCTATTTTGCTCTTTCAAGACATTCAACAGCAAGCACATATGTGTCTGACTAAATGTCACTGTGCTTGAGGTTCTATAATTTGGATTTGGAAGCTGGCAAAGGGAGAAGAGAGACAGAACTTTTTCAATTCTTGTTACCCTGTCCCATGATGTTTCTTTGTTCATTTGATTTTAATGATTCCAGCAGGAGTTGAAACAAAAGCTGGAAGATTGGCCTACCATGGGTTAATTACTTAGTGGAGGGGCTATTTCTTGAGTCTGATGGTGGAGAATGGGTCAGAAAAGACTAATTAGACAAGCTTCAAGTTATAGGGAAATGCTAGTGGAACAGGTGAAAATAAACTGGTGATAATTGAGGGGCTAATTATCCTCCACCCAGCAATTGGCCACCAGGTGTTCTGCAGCACATAAAAGAACTGGCAGAGCCACAGAGGCTGTTTTTGTTCAAAGAAACAAGGAGATTTTGGGGGAAAAAAATCAGAGGACTTGAAAAAAAACATAAAATGGTGTTCCTTATGTTTCTGACTTGTTCGTTCCTGTTGCATTGTGTAGAAAACTGAACCAAGGATATGCACTGGAGTTTTGTTTTGTTTTTAAAGAACTCGTAGGTCTTCTAGTATGGATAGTGCAGAGGAATTTCAGTGTTGAGTATACATCTACATATGTCCTTGTAATTGAATTTATGGTAACAATATGCATGGCACATTATTAGGTAGAAAGTTTACTGGCATTTAGAAATCCATGACTAAAAATAGAATGGGGAACAACCAATCTGAATTGCTACAAGCAACTGTTTTGTAATTAGCAATCTCTCTCTTATTTGGGCTAAATTGGAATATGGTGAGAGTTCTTAGAATATACTTAGTGGTGTCAGGGATATTACCAACATATCCCATAAAGGATCTTTCGAATCTTTTTTATTGTTCTAATTTGTCATTTTATTAAAAACCAGCATTCAGAATTCAGTAACTTAAACAGAACTATCTTTAAGATGGGACTTTGTAGGCAACGTAGATCAACTGAAAGAATGAATACCTGGGGTTAATGATTACCATTAAAATAATATAACATTTGATTCATATATGTCTACAAGTTGGAGAGAGCATGACAAAGGTAGAAAATATTTTTAAATGGCCAAAGGAGCTCCCTTTAGTGACACTGCTCTGGCCTAGGGCAGCTATGCTGCAGAATAAACATATGTTTTCAGGCCTAGAGAATTTTATTTTTTTGCCTGTCATTCCCTTGGCTCTGTCATTTCCCTTGGTAGGCAGAGCAATTTAAGTGTGATTTTGAAACTGGATGTGAATCATAGCTCTACTACTTACCAGTGCTATGACTTTGAGTAAAGATCTTAAATTTGCTGACTTTTGGGTTTTCTCATCTGTAAAAGAGGTAATGATTACTGCCTTGTAGGGAACTTGTAAGGACTAAATAAGATGTAAAGTGCTTTTTGTATCATTAGGATTTAAACCGAAAAATGAAACCACTGCATAGGGTATGAACACCACGAGTGTATTTTACAGGGAAATGAACACAGAGAATATATTACAAATGTGATGAAAAAGATGAGAAGCCAAAGAGGGAACAATTAGGTAAGTTGGTGGTTAGTAACAGCAGTATGCAAGGATAAGGAGAGGAGCCAATATTACCTAGAGCTCAGGATTACTTTGACCTAGGCAAACTGGAACCACAGCTAATATGTTTGGTGGTGAAGTAGAAAATTTTCCTTGACCCCTTCATGGGACTCATGAAGTGGGTGGCTCGTTTACTTAGCCCACAGCTCTCAGCCCCTCACAGGAGGGGGAGCACGCAGGTAATTGGGTGCAGCAGCTAGGACAAATGCTTCTTAGCGCTGTCAGGAGCAGAACTCTGTGCTGCCCCATGGTAGCATCTAATGGGGTACCCGCAACCCCCAGAGCCCCAGACGGTGTGTGTTACAGTGCACTCTTTTAGCTTTGCCATCTGCAGACGGCTTAAGTGTTTAATAACTCAGTGTGACAGCCTTCTGTATCCTGAGCTCTTGTTCGGTGTCCAGGAAGTATCAGGTCACATGAATGAACTGAAGATGGTAAATGTGGGAAATTTTATTGCTGATGAAAATGGCTCTCAGTGGGATGGAGAGCTGGAAAGGGGATGGACCGTGAAGATGGTCTTCTCCTGGAGTTTGCCTGTCCCTGGGCAAAATCTTCTCTGAGGTCTCGCTGTCAAGCCACCCCTCTGAAGTCAAGCTGCTTCTTCTCTTCTCTTCTCATCTATTATTCTGCTGCCAATGGAGCCCGGGGTTTTTATGGGTACAGGATGTGGGGCAGGGTGGCCAGGGTGGTTTTGGAAAAGGCAACATTTAAGCAGGAAAACAGGGATGTAAAGTTCTCACTTTGGGCCGCGGGTCCAGGCTGGAGGGTGGGGCCCTCTCTGGGGACCACCTTCTTTTATCCAGTATTTCCCTGCCTCCTGTCTGTATCAGTGGGAATCATGGAGGACACATTAACAGTGACACTCCAGGAAGGAAAGAGACACAAGGAGAAATATCCTGCTAACCCCCTTGTTTCACCCCCCAATCTCTATCCTGTGCCTCCCATCTGCTTTTCTCAGGCTCCTATGTCCAGTAGGACATGAGACACCGGCTCCAGTGCGACATGGGAGCCTGAGAAAAGCAGCAGCCTAATGGATACAACTCCCCTAAGACACAGAATGAACAGAGGAGAGGCAAAGAATGCCTCAGACAGTGATAGTTTAAAGGCTGGTACTCGTGACATGTTGCCTGCTATGTAGTTACTACCTCAGTGAGGTGTCTTTGAATCCGTGTCCTTTCCTTCCTTGGTCTTTTCCCTCCCCCATTTCCCTACCCTACCTTCCCCCACCTTTTAAAGGTGCCTGAGAGAGGTCAGAGAAGAAATTTCAGCTGCTGCCTGTAGCCTGTATTTTCTCTGATGCTTCCCCTTATGCTAATGACCTCCTTGGACCCCATCTCTTTTCTTCCATTTTTTTTTTCTGAGAGGAAATAATTTAGCTTTTAGATGAATGCAGAGAGTGAGGATTTTCTGAATGACCACTCACCTTTCTTCCTTCCCCTCAGGAGACCCTTCCAGGTTCCCAATTTTTCATCTTAAATCCAGGGAACTTGATTTACTTTAAAAGCACACATCCAAATTATTTAATCATGTTAGGTGCTAGAAAACCCTACCATAACTGGCTTTGATCAACTTAACTCTTCAGAATAGTGCCCATGCCTAATTAAAGCAAGACCATTTTTTAAATCACTGCTGAAAAATCAAGAAACTTTATTCTTGATCCCTGGCTGACATTTATTACAGAGTTCTTAACAGGCTTATGTATCTGGTTTCCTGCCCTCAGCAGGTCGTCAAAACTGAAAGCATTGTAGGGGATGAGGAGAATGAGAACAATACAAAAATAGACACATCCTTAAAGGTAAGCCTGGTTTTGCTGGAAAAACATCAAGAAAGGAAGATGGAGAGCCAAAATTAACCAAGCTGTATTCCCTTGATAGCCTGCATGTTGTGAATGACTGTTTTGAATAAAGAAATACTGAATTATTCTCAGCATCTTCTAGTTAAGGAAACAGTATACATCGTGAAAGATTTTGATCCCCAAAATGGTTAAAGATTTGACTTATTACGAAGTAAGCTTCAATTATGTGAGTAATTATCTACTCTGGGTGACTTTGGCCTTCTTTTATCCCATTTAAAATAAGGTATTATTGTATAGCAAAGACGGCTTTTCATTTTCTTTTTATAAAATGTTGCCCCACCTAGAATCATCAAAGGTTTATAACTTTCTAAAAGCTGAATGAAAGACCAGATAACATTTGTATTATAAAATAGATCAGTTTTTCATTTTTATGTATTTAATATGTATGTAGAAATTAGACATTCAAGATCAGAGAAAGACTACAATCGCCTTTCCCTTTTATTGTTGTTCAAGTACCCATCTAAGCAGTCCCCAGACTTAGAACTAGGCATTAGGAAAGGCATCTGTGGAGTGGGGAGTCATGGGGATGAAAGGTTAAAGATAAGAGAACTCTGAATGTGGATTTTAATCCACTGGGGAAGCTGTCAGCAGCATAATTAGAAGAATAAGCTGCACAGGAACCATGTAAAATCCAGCTGCTAAACCACAGCCTATGACAATTTAGAAAACTCATCTTCTTTAGCTTTAAAATAAAAGCTTTTCCCACATCAAGGACTGTTTGGAGAATATGTCTTCTGTAAGCTGTGCATAAAGACCAACATAAGATTACTGAAAGAAGAATACAGCATATCTCATTGCGGATACATTTCCAAATTACAATAGCTTTTTTTTTTTTTTTTCATTTTGCTTTGTTTTTTGATACAGACTCTCGCTCTGTCACCAAAGCTGGAGTGCAGTGGCTCGATCTCCGCTCATTGCAAGCTACGCCTCTGGGGTTCACACCATTCTCCTGCCTCAGCTTCCTGAGTAGCTGGGACTACAGGCGCCCGCCACCATGCCCAGCTAATTTTTGTGTATTTTTAGTAGAGATGGGGTTTCACTGTGTTAGCCAGGATGGTCTCAATCTCCTGACCTTGTGATCTGCCTGCCTCAGCCTCCCAAAGTGCTGGGATTACAGGCGTGAGCTGCCACGCACGGCGCCCCCCCCTTTTTTTTTTTTTTTTTTTTTACAGTGTTCTGTCTTGCTAACTCTTCAGTGGTTTGAATTTCCTGATTTTGTATGGCTCATGCATTCCTACTTTTTGAAAAGGTACTTAGCCAAAGTCTAAAATGTCTGGGAAGAAGAGTCAGCAGTGGTTTTATTTAGTCAGCTCCGATGGCCACCAATTCCCAAGAGAAAAGACAGGCAAATAAATCAGCTGAGTATTATACTAAAACATCTAGACAGGCCAAACAGTCGATTACTGGGAAAAGCAGCACATCTCGGGGTGGAGGGAATGGTGAGAAAAAGGAGATTATAGATTCTAAGCTGAAGTAGTAAATTTTCTAAACACTGTAAGCTTTTAGGAGAACATTTTATGTTTCTATTAGTTAAGTTTTATTATTGTTGTTTGCAAGTATCACAGTTTATGCAAGCTAGTGAGACAAATAAGTTTATTGATATACCAATTTTTGGTTGCTCTTCTTTAACATTTTTTTTTTTGCACTTCAAATAGATAGCTAAAGTCTTTATATTTTGTATCAAAGTCATGTCTAGGACTTAAATTAGAAGCTTCTTGAAGGCAACACCCCTTCCTATCTTTTGTGAAAGCCTAAACTCCTTGAAGAGATTATTCCACGGGAGGAGAGAGAAGAGAATGCCTCTGAGAGAATTTAGAAGAGAGAGAGGGACAGAGAGAGAGAGAAAGAGAAAGAGAGATTTTTTTTTCCCTTTTTCAATATAGTAAAAAAATAGACTTAGTGGGTCCCTGGTATTAGGGACATGCTGAATTACTGTGACAGTGACATCAGAAGGGGTATGACCTCAAATGAGATTGCATTATGGTCACTGCTGGAGCTTAGACCCAAGACATGAGACCATCCACTAAAGTTTCACAGACACCACACTTGGCAGGGAAGCAGCTGTGCCCCCAAATCCCAAGAAACCCTGAGGACTGAGAAAAGGTGTTTCAGCAGTAACCCATGTCAACCAGTGACCAATTACTAAAGGAGCCTTCCTAACCCAATAGCATTGCCAAATACTTTAGGACCTTTATAACACTAGGTGGTTGTGAGAGTGTGAGCAATAACAAATGAGATAAAATTCCAGGCAGTATAATGGGATAAGAGCTGGGAGATGGGTTTAGGTGAACTTAGCAAAATAAATAAGCTTTGATATTTCTTACAGTTTACTAAGCTTTAGACCTACTAAGGCAGAAATCAACAATTTATCAAAAGAAAGGAATGATATTCTAGCCTTATATCTCCAAACGTACCTCATTCTATAGCCCTCCTTCATTGCTGTACTCCAGCCACGCTGATTAGTCCCCAGTCTGCCCTGTTTCTTCATACCTAAGAATCTTTGTGCTAAACTTTCTTTTGCCCGAAAAATACTCCTCCAAATATTTGTATGAGTGGCTTCTTTTTATATTTCAGGTCTTACCTTACATGCCATTTCCTAGGAGAGATTATCCTTGATCACACTAAATAAAAGAAGCCCTCTCCTACCCCCACTTCTAGAGCAAATCACTTATTTCTGATTACCCTGCTTTGCATTGCTTTGTAGGAGTCACCATAAAGCATATAGATCAATAGATCAACCAACTGATCAACAGATAATATAGTAAGTTTGCTAGGGCTCCCATATTAAATACCACAGAATGAATGGCTTAAACAACATAAATGCATTTTCTGATAGTCTGACAGCTAGAAGTTTAAGATTAAGGTGTTAACATCTTTGATTTCTTCTGAGACCTCTCTCCTTCAGTTGCAGATGGCTCTTTCCTATGTCCTCACATGGTCTTTTCTCTGTGCCTATCTGTGTCATTATCTCCTCTTGTAATGACACTAGTCATATTGGATTAGGGGACACCCCTGTGACCTTATTTTACTTTAATTACTCCATTAAAGGCCTAAATCCTTATGGTGTTAGTGGTATGAATCAGCTTGCTTCTTTTGATTTTTGTACCCCAACTTCACTCCTTTCCTTTAATAGTCACTGAAACCACAGAAAACACAGATTATACTCAGTTACTAGCCATCTTGTTGCATCTTACCTTCTGAAATATTGTTGGCACGCTTATTGGCTGTTGTCTTTTTTTCTTAGTCATTTTATCTTTATTTTATAAAATTTTTTCTTCTTTTACAATCATTTAGTAGGATTTCCAGATAATATGGACATATATGTACAGATTTAATGTTCCATGTTTAACGTAAAGTCTGTTACATTACTTTATACTTTGTTTAATATGACTTTGAGGCCTTTAACCCTGATTTCTAAACTCTCTGGAGAGTTCCTTGTTCTTTTTTTTTTTTTTTTTTTTTTTTTTTTTTTTTTTTTTTTTTTTTTTGAGACGGAGTCTCGCTCTGTCGCCCAGGCCAGACTGCGGACTGCAGTGGCGCAATCTCGGCTCACTGCAAGCTCCGCTTCCCGGGTTCACACCATTCTCCTGCCTCAGCCTCCCGAGTAGCTGGGACTACAGGCGCCCGCCACCGCGCCCGGCTAATTTTTTGTATTTTTAGTAGAGACGGGGTTTCACCTTGTTAGCCAGGATGGTCTCGATCTCCTGACCTCATGATCCACCCGCCTCGGCCTCCCAAAGGTTCCTTGTTCTTAACTGAATAAAAGTTCTGTTCTTACTGGATCAATGCATTTATTTTTATAGAATTAATTACATAGAAGGGATGTTATTTAGGAAATTATAAATATTGTATCTAACATTGGCTGTAGTTACCAAGGATCTGGTGAAAACTTTATGTATAAACCTGAGTTAATACATGACAAAATAATATCATATCACATCATAACATTTAGATATTTTAAAAAGGTATTTTGTTCAATGTAGCTGATACAGTTTGGCTGTGTCCCCACCCAAATCTTATCTTGAATTGTCATTCCCATAATCCCCATGTGTCATAGGAGGGACCTGGTAAGAGGTAATGGAATCATGGGGGCAGTTACCCCCATGCTGCTGTTCTTCTGAAAGTGAGTGGGTTCTCAGGAGATTTGATGGTTTTATAAGAGGCTTTTCTCCCTTTTGCTTCACACTTCTCTTTCCTGCTGCCATGTGAAGAAGGAGGTGTTTGCATCCCCTTCTGTCATGATTGTAAGTTTCCTGTGGCCTCCCCAGCCATGCTGAACTGTGAGTCAATTAATCTGTTTTCTTTATAAATTACCTATGCTTGGATATGTCTTTATTAGCAGTGTGGAAACAGACTATTCTAGTAGATTTCAGTTTCAGTTCTTATTACTTGCCTATACAAACCAAATTATCAGCTTGCTGTTCTTCAAACATACCCAACACAGTTTAGTCATTGTACTTTTGTTTAGTGTATATCCACCTCCTAGCATGATTCATCCCCACTTGTTAAAATCCTTTCTATTTTTCAAAGCCTAGCTCAAGAGCCACCTTTCCCAAGGCTTTAAAGATGTTTTATCTCTCCTTTGAACATAGCATTTGTACTTCTCTTATGGGCACAGTCAAGCTGTGAATGAACTTGGCTTGTCTTTCTTACTAGACAATAAGCATTTTGAAAACAAAATTCTAAGCAATTTTTTGTTTTTGAGATAGAGTCTTGCTCTGTTGCCCAGGCTGGAGTGCAGTGGTGTGATCTCAGCTCACTGCACCTCTGCCTCCCAGGTTCAAGTAATTCTCGTGCCCGAGCCTCCCGAGTAGCTGGGACTACAGGCATGTACCACCATGCCACCTAATTTTTGTATTTTTGTATTTTTTCACCATATTGGCCAGACTGGTCTCAAACTCCTGACTTCAAGTGATCTGCCCGATTTGGCTTCCCAAAGTGCTGGGATTACAGGCATAAGCCACCGCACCAGCCTCTAGTCAATTCTTAATGAGTGCCTATGGCATTTAGTCAAAGTGTCTATGCATTTAACAGGAGCCCAGTAGTATCTGTTGATTTGAGTTGGACCCCCTAGTCACAGTAACTTTTAGTTAAGTGTTTGGAAATATAAATGTATTTAAATACTAATCTCAGCAAAATAATTAGAAAGTTAAATCTGTTGTTAACACTATTATACATCCTCCTGCCAAATTAAAACCCTAACCTAAGCATTGTAAATCCAAAAACATACCTAATTTTTATATTACATAGGTCATTTAGGGATTTTTTTAATTAAAAAAATTAGGACAGTGTCTTGAAAACCAATTACCTGGAATCATAAGCAGAGGTTTTAGAACAAAGTTAATATATGCTGAAAGACTTGTAAATCTGCTAAGTGCAAAAGACCCAATGAATGTCTTTGGTTATTATTAGAATAACAGAAAATGAAGAAGACATCTGTTTAAGAGATATTCCTGCTGAAGCAGAATTGGGAGCAGAGATCAGGTGCTGAAGAAGGGAAGAGAGCAGAACTAAGCAGATGATACATCTAACAGTTTTTCCCCAAGAGGTTTTGAGTAGAAGGAAGTGGCACTACCAATGCTAAAAGCCCTTCAGGGAATTACAAAGCTTCAGTGCATTGATCTATGCCACAGAATAGGATATTCAGAGGAGTGAGGATAGGTTGGGCTCAATAATTTCAGAAGAGTTTGATTTTTCGAAACCAGCACACATTTCAATATAACAAATAGTATAATTTTCAAACATTGCACAGCATTCCTAAATAACCAGTGATTTCTTCAATTTATTTGTTCCATGGCTGTGTCTTCAGGGTCAAAAATAAAGCATATTTTCTGCATACAGTAGATATGACCAAATAGCAGTAATGTCACAAGGAAAATGAAAATATAGGAGGACATCAAAATAGGCGTTTTAAAAGATTAAGCAAAATAGTAACTAAATAATAAGTATTGACAGTTGCAACAAGAACTAATTGAAATTTCTTTTTCTACATTGTGAAAGTTAGGAAATCATGCTTCCTACATAGACCCACAGCACGTTAGAACAGTTTATAACATCAAATAACTCATAGTTCAGCCTGTCCATTTTGCATAGGGGAGCCTGATGCATACATTGTTGAAGTCTTTCATCCAGTGCCCAAAGCTAAATATTGGAAAAACCAGGACTGGAATTCTTATTTCCTCTTTTGGTTCACTTACCATTCTTTTTATGCTCACCACACTGCCAAAAACAAGCAAGAGTTCTTGAGCAATAGAAGTATCAACTATTCTGATAATTTGCCATAATAAAAGCAGTTTGAAGCCAATAAAAGATTAGGAAAATATATATAATTCTTTAATTACCTTTATGCGTAGTGATATGCGTTTATTTCCAGCTAGAAGGAATATGACTTCATTCATTCACTTGGCCAACATTTACTATGTCTTGCTATGTGTAAGTCTCAGCTAAAATCTAGTTTCAGTTCACTGGAGATCTCCTTAACTATTTAAGGAGTTTTTGACACAAACAAGGGCATTCATATAGTTTAAGGGAGACAGATAAGCTTTATAGAGTACATGGCCCTGTTTTACTTAATATCTTTTTCTTTAGTGCCCAACCTGTTTTCTTCTATGGCTGCAAACAACTCCTTTAACTTTAGCCAGTCACTTGTAAAACAATGCCCTCAATTATAGAAAGTCTGAGAGAATGCATGAGAATATGGATGTATCACTCCTCATACAGCTTCATATATGGCAAGTACATAACAGAGTCATATTATTATGGACAGGGATACGGGGAAATAAGACTGGTCTATTATTACAGATGATATTGGTTTTTTATGTGTAATATTGCACTAAACATAATGTTATATAAAAGAGAATAATTTTAATAGCTGTTTAACTCTTTGGTGGGAACTCGGTCATTGGGTGGTAGTATGAAGATTTTTGGTGGAATTTCTAGTGGACTTCTTTTTATAGCTTTCATGATTATGAGGCAAAAGCATGTCATGAGAATAGTAAAGTCATGCCTTTTGCTTTCTGAGCAAGTTTCTGTAAGCAATTTAATATGGTTCACCAAGAGAGAGTATGGTAGCTAGTCCATGTTAAGCCTAAACAAACTGCAGCAGAAATTGAAATGGTTGTTCTTGGCTCAATTCATGCCCTTGGATTAAACTGAAATATTACCCATGTCATGTAGGGATATTGAAGAGAGTTGTAATTCTGTTGGTTTCAACTAGGTATTGCCAGTAGTAACTGCCATATGAAAAACAGTGAAAATACATTTCCTGAAGAATTATTAGCAAAGGGTGAAACTCCAACAAGGAGTGCAATCCAAAACAGTAATAAAATAAAGAATAAGGAAAATCTGGAAGAGTAAAATTATGAAAAGCTGTCATCAGTGAAATTACCCTCCTCATAGAATAACAGAATTGTTTAGATTTCCGTTACTGTTTTTGTTGAGTAAGGTGAGTTTACATTATTTCCAGAGATACACATATTATATTATTTACTTCTGTAGCTGGTAAAATTCCAGCATCATAGATAACTTTTCCCACAGCCTGTGTGGTTTTATTTAGTGTGTACATATTAATGCCTTAAATTACATTTCTATAGCACATTCAATGAGCATACTAATACAATTATAGCCGCTTCAATGACCTTCAGCCTGAACTTCAGTCCTTTACCTACAGAATTTTAAAAACACAGACATGGAAGAGGCACAGAGAAGATGCATATGTAATTGTGGATTTAAATTATATGTTTATCTCTGGGAGTATTTGCTCCTCAAATGTTGTTAATATTTAAATATATATTTTCTAAAAGCAGCCATAGTCTAAAAAGAAGAACTCTTACAATCAACCTAAAATTTTACAAGCTACCAATCTTGCAGTTAGACCACTCGACTGTGCTGGTATCTGTAATAGTAATTGGCAATTTGAAAACCCCTTTAATCTCTAAAGCACTTTGCAAATATTAATCAGGAAACCTCACATAATTCGTCTGAGATCTAGTTATCTCCCTTCTTAGAGAAGGGACAACTGAGCTTAAGTGACTTGTCCTAGAACTGCAAAGGTCAAGACTGGGATTAAAACTATGGGACCAGCAACTACTAAAATCAATAATCTGGTATTAGTAAAGCCCTTTTCAGATTTTGACTCTAATGAGTGGAGTATAGAGTTATGAAGATACTAAGACTGTTTAGTTAAGTGTTTTCATATTTCGTTTCTGCCATGTAGGTTTATATTTTTCTAATTCATCAAAGTGAGATTATAATAAAAAAATAAGGCTAACAAAAACTCCACAGTAATGACAGGCTTTTGTTATATTAATACAACCTCAGGTGATCTTAATGCTCATTGCTACTCAACTTCCAGAAAAATACTTGAAGATAATTTCTTCTTTCAGCATATTAACATAGAGGATATTTCAGGTACGGCAATATAGACCTTATAGTTTATTTTCTGCTTTCATATTATGAAATAAACTAAGTTATTATACATAGCTTCTCACTCCTTTTTAGCTCTAACATTACCATAGTACTTTAAAAAGTGAGCAGACAAAAAAATACTTTTGGATGGCTGGTTTTATACCATCTGCTGTTTTGAGAAAAAAAAAGAAAAGAAAAGTATATTTTTCCAGATTATTTATATTTAATTAAAATTAATATCATTTGACAGTATAAAAGCTGAAAATTAAAGTTATATTACAATTTACTTGAAGTAGAGAAAAGATGGAAATATAAAAAGAAACAAATTAACAGAAAATCTATTTATTAGGATGAGAAAGAGGAAGAAGATAAGAAAAAGAGAGGCATGACTGATTAACATTCTGGGCAATTATTAGTATGCTCTGCCTCCTAGAAAATTCTTAACCATAAGCTCACTGAATATTTTAGATTTAGAAGGATAGTGAAAGAAATTATTTTCTAATATGATGTATTCTTTTAATATTGTGCTTCCTTGATTTTAAGGCTCACTTTTTTTTTTTTTTGCAATTTAACGTCAGTGAAGTTGAGATGCATCTTACAATCAAAATCATCTTATTATTGCTGTTAATGTTTCCAGATTTCCAATAGATATTAATCTTTGGGATTCGTGAATGAAAAATTAGGATTCCTCGGACTTCTCAGGAATTGTCTTAATTATGTTGTTCTGCATTTTTCTTAACATAACTATGTATCTGTTTTAAATGATTCACCACAATAATAGTGAATCATTTTGCTGTGATAAAATTATACCAAGAGATTCAGAGACTATTTAAAAATTATTTGAAAATGCATGGTTTATTGGCATTATGAATCAATATACTTTAATAACCCATAAATCTCTACCTGATATGGACATTTTATAGGTCATATTTATGAAGCTGAATAAAAATTATTTAAAATATTAAAAGCTTTTATGAAATATTTAATAATTAAAAATTCTTCTTCTTCTTTATTTTTTTTTTTTTGAGATGGAGTCTCGCTCTGTCGCCCAGGCTGGAGTGCAGTGGCGCGATCTCGCCTCACTGCAAACTCCGCCTCCCGGGTTCACGCCATTCTCCTGCCTCAGCCTCCCCAGTAGCTGGCACTACAGGCGCCCGTCACCACACCCGGCTAATTTTTTGTATTTTTAGTAGAGACAGGGTTTTACCGTGTTAGCCAGGATGGTCTCCATCTCCTGACCTCGTGATCCGCCCACCTCGGCCTCCCAAAGTGCTGGGATTACAGGCGTGAGCCACCGTGCCCGGCCAAAAATTATTATTCTTAAAATGAAAATTTAAAACATGAAAGATTAATTGCTCCATCGGATAATCTTGATCTTTGTTTTGTGGCAGATATTTTAGATGTAGTAATAAAAGTTGTTTTCATTTTGCATTGATGTTGATTGCATTAAGAGTATGTCTAAAGCAACAGTTTGCCAATTTTGTTTTTAAGGCACACATGCTTTATATAAGCTCTTTTTTCTTTTTTTAAAAATAATTTTTTAAATATTGTCCTCATTTTGGTTTTCATATTGAAATCAAAATTGTGTTTGCTATTTTATATTTTAGATCAGTTTCTGATTTTATGCTGTAGTATTCCATAACAATATTAACACCTTTTTGTTGCATTTCTCCTGTTAAAGTATTGCAAATAACTTTAAATAAAGTGTACACAAATAACTTTGCTCATAGCAAATATTCAAATACTGCAAAATGCCAGTGATTATTTGTGGGTAGTGTTAGAATAACATAACATTTGCATCGCCTAGCAAGGTTAACATTACTATAAAGATTCACTTGTCAACATTGCTAATTTAAGGACTTATTTTGCTTTCAAATCTTGTTAATTCTTGGAATACCACTCATAGGATTTTTATAACTATACTATGCCTATGATGTTTGATAATTATATTATTTGCAAGAATGACTCACTGTTAACTGCAGAAAGAGACACAATCACACACATATAACATGGCAACTACAAGCAAGACTGATTAATTAGTAACATCTCTACACTGATTTTTAAGCTTTAATTTTCACAGGAAAGTAATCATGCTTTTCCTGTTTTCATTATTGATTTTTCTCCAGATTTTGGCTTCAGAGAAATATATAAATTTCTCCAAGTATTTCTGCATGGAAACTCTACTATCGCCCAGATATCAATTGTGATACAGTTGTCGCTGCCTGGGCATTTATAAACATCAAAACAACCAACATCACAAGTTTTTTTTATAATTTAACTTTTATTTTAGTTTCAGGCATACATGCGTAGGTTGGTTCTATAGATAAGTCACATGTCACAGGGGTTTGGTGTACAGATTATTTCATCACCCAGATAATAAGCATAGCATCTGATAAGTGGTTTTTGGATCCTCACCCTCTTCCCACCCTTCACCCTCAAGTAGGCTCCGGTATCTATTGTTCCCTTCTTTGTGTCCATGTGTACCCATTGTTTAGCTCCCAGTTATAAGTAAGAACATGAGATGTTTGGTTTTCTGTTCCTGCACTAGTTGCCTTAGGATTATGGCCTCCAGCTTCATCCACATTGCTGCAAAGGACATGATCTCGGGTTTTTTTTTGTTTTATGTTTTTTGTTTTATGACTGGATAGTATTCCATGGTGCATATGTACCGCATTTTCTTTATCCAATCTACCGTTAATGGGCATCTAGGTGGATTCCATGTCTTTGCTATTGTGAATAGTGCTGTCACGGACATGTATATGTATGTGTCTTTATAGTAGAACAATTTATATTCCTTTGAGTATATACCCAATAATGGAATTGCCAGGTCTGATGGTAATTCCATGTTAAGTTCTTTGAGAAATTGCCTGTTTTCCACAGTGGCTGAAGTAATTTACATTCCCACAGCCGTGAATAATTGTTCCCTTTTCTCCACAGCCTTGCCAGCATCTGTTATTTCACTTTTTGATAATATTATAGCCATTCTGACTGGTGTGAGATGGTATCTGTATTTCATTGTGCTTTTGATTTGCATTTCTCTAACAATTAGTGATGTTGAGCATTTTTTTATATGCTTATTGGCCATGTTGGTCTTCTTTTGAAAAATGTCTGTTCATGTCCTTTGCCCACTTTTTAATGGGGCTGTTTGTTTTTTTGCTTGTTAATTAGTTTAAGTACCTTACAGATTCTGCATATTAGACCTTTGTCAAATGCATATTGGCAAATAATCTCTTCGATTTAATAGGTTGTCTGTTTACTTTGTTGATTGTTTCTTTTGCTGTGCAGACGCTCCTTTGTTGAATTAAGTCCCATTTGTCAGTTTTTCTTCTTGTTACAATTGCTTTTGCCATCTTCATCATGAAATTTTGACAGGGTCTACATTTAGAATGGCATTTCCTAGATTTTTTTCAAGCTTTTTTATAGTTTTAGGTTTTATATGAAGACTTTAATCCATCTTGAGTTGATATTTGTATATGGTGTAAGGAAGGCATCCAGTTTCAGTCTTCTGCATATGGTTAGCCAGTTATCCTAGCACCATTTATTGAATAGGGAGTCCTTTCCCCATTGCTTGTCTTTGTTGACTTTGTTGCAGATCAGAGGGTTGTAGGTGTGAGGCTTTATTTCTGGGTTCTCTATTATGTTCCATTGGTCTATATGTCTATTTTTGTTCCAGTACCATGCTGTTTTGGTTACTGTAGCTTTGTAGTATACTTTGAAGTTGGGTAATGTTATGGTGCCTTCAGCTTTGTACTTTTTGCTCAGGATTGCTTTGGCTATTCAGCTCCTTTTTTGGTGGACATCAGAACTTACAGAATGAGTGTCAGCAGCTTGGAATGATAGTAGTAGAGCATTCTTTAACCATTACTCTAAACTAAATGGTTATGAGGAAAAGGTCGAGGGGGGATGTATCAGAATTGTTTAACCACATTCTTGGAGTGGGTCTCAAAAGGCAGTTCTACACAATTGCAAAGTCAGTTTAAAAGCACAGCACTAAAGACTTTAGTTCTTTTAGCATTTTTTCCTTTGAACTTCTACACCAACAGTAATTTTGATGACACAGAAGACGTTATAGAGTGGTGAAAAAATGGACATCAAAAGACTTTGAGTCAAAAAGTGCTTCAGAAGAATTGGAGCCTGAAAATGAAGATAGTTTAGCAGGACTTTAACCATTTATTTTGTTTAAACTATTCACTTTATAGAGACATATAATAACTAAAAACAGTTACATATAATTAAGTTTAGGAGAGCTCTTTAAATCCATTTTCGAAATGATAAGAACGTATTTTCTCATGGTTTATCTGGCAGTGTTTTTCTTCCTTATTGCTACATAAAATAATAATAAATACATTTTACAATCAATAATGACTGATTTGATAAAATATTATAGATGCAGAAATTGAAACTGAGAGATTAGGTGACTTCCCAAACATATATGACTTTTTGAAAAATATGCATACATGATATAATATCCTGTATATATATTTCTAAATTAAATCTAGTTTTTATGTCTATATATAGATACATACAAGTACATTAATTTTAACTCTTGAATAGTATTATAGCCTATGAACATCCCACAGTTTATCAAATCCCCTATTGATGGTATTAACTATTCTGCAGTATGCGTCTGCATTAGTTAAGGTAACATTAGCTACTCTGATAACAAACCCCCTCAAACATTTTGTAGCTCAAATATGAAAGAACTTCAGTTGTCATAAAGACCAAAATGCATATTCTTGATTGATGAGAGGCTCTCCTCCAAGTTCAAGGACCCAGGTCCTTCCACCTTATGGCTCCACCATCTACATCATATGACTTCCAAAGCCTTTGTGCTTCTTGGCTTCAAATTGATGGAGAAGAAAAAGCAATGGGATTATGTTCACGTGGTTTTGTGGCGGGGGCAGGCCTGTATGTGCTGCATATTATTTCCACTTGCCTATCATTTGCTGGAATTCAGTCGTAGGGCAACATGAAATGGTAAGGAGTTGAGAAAATTTAATCTAACTTTATGCCCAGGAAAAGGAGGAAATAGGTTTGGTAAAGTGCTAGTCAGTCTCTGCCATAATATCCTTCTACATGTTTTTATGTGCCCAAGTATGAAACTATATCTAGGACATGTAACAACATGTGGAAATGTTGGGCTTTAGTGAATCAATCTTAAACTTGATTAGACATTAGTCACTGTATAAATGTATTGCTATTCCCACATCCTTATAAACTCTTGAAGTTATCAGATTTTTAATTTTTTTAAAATTCTTCTGATTAATCTTTTAAAGCTAACCTTATGGTTGTAAAATAAAATCTGTAGCCTCAGTTTGCATTTCATTGATTGTAATATCAAGGATATTTTTATGACTTTTGTTCACTCAAATGGCTTTTCCTATAAACTCTGTCACTCACTTCTATAGAGGGTTTTTTTTTCTTATTGAGTAGTATGAGTTCTTTATATATTCTGGATACTAATCTCATAATCTGCATTACAAACATATTCTCCTAGTTTTTGCTTGTTTTGTGTATTCATTTTGTTTTGGATGTTTCTTGATAAACAAGTTAATTTTAATGTACTTAAACTTACCATTTCCTTTATATTTTGTGCTTTTGTACCTTTTCAAAAATTTTTACACCCAGTATTCTGAACATATTCACCTACATGTTCTTCTGAATATTTTCAAAATCTACTTTATATATATAACTTTTAAATCAATATATAATCTATTTTTAGTTAATTATAAGAGAATTATGTAATTTTCTTCCACATGTATAGTTGAATTGTTCCAGCATCATTTACTGAATTGTCTTTTCTTTCTCAACTCATTTGTAATTATATTTATATAACATATGATTTCCCATACATGTAAGAGTTTGGTTTTCAATTCTGTCCTATAGGTCTATTTGTTTATCCTTCAATACTGTTATGTTTTAATTGCCATAGCATTTTAGTAATTCATACCTTGCAAGTCTCATCGTGTTAATCTTTTTCAACATTGTCTTGGTTATTCTTCACCTACTCTTGACCTACTTTGCTTTTAGATTGAGATTTCTGGATTCCATTAAAAAATTTGTTGTGATTTTGATTGAAATCACATTTATTTTATGGATTTATTTAGAGATAGAATTAATATCTTTATGTAACTGCATACTCTTATCAAGGAGTGTGGTTTATTTTTCTATTTATTTAGGGCTGCTTCTTTAACAAAGCTTAAAACTTTTCACCATCAAATCCTGTATAAATATTTGTTAGAATTATTCCTAGTTACCATGTAATTTTATTTTTCATGAGATCATCAAAGATTAGGATTACATATTTCTGATGCATATGGAAATATGTTTTATTTTACATGTTGATCTTAAATTTTATAGCCTTTTTGAACTCCTAGTGCTAATAGTGTGTATGCTCCACCAGCATTAAACTACTTAAAAGCTGGGAACTTGTCTCTTGTTTACTACTGTATATCCAGAGACTAGATAGTATAGTTCCTGACTATATTGGGATTAAGTATTCAATAAATATTTACTGAATATGTGTAAATGACTAGGACTGATGCTTTATCTTTTTAGTCCTTTTTTTCTTTAGTTTAATTGCTAAAACATTATTTATATTTTCATATTTTCATTGTTATTCTTATTTTTAACAAATATACTAAGTATTTTATAACGGAATCCATAATTATTCAGTATATTTTCTTTATGAAGATAAAAAGTACATTAACTTGCTTTGAGAAACCACCAAACCTATTCCAATTGTCCATTCATTTTTATCGTAATTTTGCTTCATCTTTAAATATTAAATGTTAGTTACTATTAATTCCAATTGTTAATTACAACTCACCAATTTTAATTGCATCTTTGCTCCTAATTAATTTTTATCATTATTTTACTCTAGATTTAATTGTCTTCTCTCATATTTATTCTTCTTTTTCTTTCTGTTCCTCCTTTGTCTTTATCTTTCTTTTTATTTTTTTTCTCTTTCTTCATCACACATGTAAACTACTCTTTTTAGGTAACACAGACTGGGAACCTATGATGTAGTCCTAGTATTTTTCATGGAATCATGGCTGATGTGTATTTTTATGGTCATTTAAAACTCAAGAATGAAATAATAATGTAAATATTTTTGTCTTGCTCTTCTCCCTCTACAATCCCTTGTGGAAATTTCTCCAAATCAGCTAGTATAGTACTAATGAGTTCTCTCTGATGGCTACATAATCATTCCTGATGTGAATACAGCATATTTTACTAAATTATTGTTATGTTGATAGAAAATTATTTCAAAATGTTTAACCTCTAAAAATGATGCTGAATTAAACATTATTGTAGGTATGTATTAAGATTCCTCTTTCTCACAATTGAAGTGGCATTTCTGGATCCTATGGTAGCCAAATTGAAAATTTTAATAGAGTTATACAGATTACTCTTTAAATAAGCTGTTACAGCTCCAATTTCTACCGCTAGATATGACAGTTATTTTCCCTCCTCTTGTCCTTACTGTGCCAGCAATAGGTGTCATTGCTCTGTTGAATTTGGCAGTCAGGCAGAGCACAGTGGCTCATGCCTGTAATCCCAGGACTTTGGGAGGCTGAAGTGGGTGGATCACTTGATATCAGGAGTTCAAGACCAGCCTTGCCAACATGGTGAAACCCCATCTCTACTAAAAATACAAAAAAAAAAAAATTAGCTGCACATGGTGATGCATACCTGTAATTCCAGCTACTTGGGAGGCTGAGACAGGAGAATCTCTTGAACCTGGGAGACAGAGGTGGCAGTGAGCGAAGATGGCGCCACCACTCACTCCAGCCTGGGTGACAGAGTGAGACTCCATCTCAAAAAAAAAGAAAAAAGAATTTGGCATTCAGATGCATGTAAAATTGTTATGCTTTGCATTTCCCTGAGTATCTTGTAATATATTTTTGACTATTTGTAATATTAACTTATAACATTAACTTATAATATTAATTGTCATATTGTCTTTTAGATATTGTCATTTTAAACCTTTTTGTAGTATAGATATTACCCTTTCCCTATCATCCAAATCACAAGTTTTTTTCTAAAAGTAACATGATTCTTTTGACTTTAGTTATGGTGTCTTTTTCCAGATATATTTTAAATTTTAATATACTGTCTACTTTTTTATTAAAAAAAGACAAAATTATGTGTTATCTTACCTCCTCCAGAATGGCTACAATAAAAAAATAGAAACTAACAAATGTTGTTAAGGATGAGGAGAAATAGGAACTTTTGTACAGCCATTGTGGAAAACAGTTCGGTGGCTCCTTACAAGGTTAAAAATAGAATTACCATATTACCCAGGTTCTACTCTTACGTATATAGCTAAAGGATTGAAAATAAGCAATTATGCCAGTGTTCATAATAGCATTATTCACAAAGCCAATAAAACAACAGAGGTGTCTATCAACATGTAAATGGATAAAGAAAATGTGGCAAATATATAAAATGGAATATTAATCAGTCATAAAAAGGAATGAAGTTCTGATACATGCTGCAGCATACATGAATCATTAAATAAGCCAGACACAGAGGACAAATATTACAGTATATGATTCCACTAATATGAAATATTTCAGAATAGGCAAACTCATCGAGACATAAGGTAGATTAGAGATTAGTACTGGCTGAGGAGAATGGAAAGGTATTGTTTAATAGATAAAGAGTTTCTGTCTGGGATGATAAGAATGTTTTGGAAATAGTGGTGATGGTTGTGAGTATAATCAATGCCATGGAATTGTATATTTTAAAATGGTTAAAATGGCAAATTCTATGTTATATACATTTTACCACAATGAAAAGCTTCAAAAAATTATATATGTTGTTTCCAAGATTTTTTAATAAAATATTTCTTTTTTATATTCAAGTGTTTAATATGACTGAGCTTTTTTAAAAACATGCTTTAAGACAGGTTTCAGTTGCACCCGTTTCCCCATATGAATACAAATTCTGGCCTCATTTGTGAAACAATTCTTCATTTTCCACTGAATAGAAGAACTGTTTCTTATGTCCAGTCTATGAAGTCAGTAAAATATTCTCAAATGAAGATTGGGTCTAAAGGCAGAGATTATATTAAAGGTATTAGCATTAAGAATATCCCATTGATATGGTTTGGCTTTGCGTCCCCACCCAAATCTCATCTTGTAGCTCCCATAATTCCCATGTGTTGTGGGAGAGACCTGGAGAGAGATAATTGAATCTTGGAGGCAGGTCTTTCCCATGCTGTTCTCATGATAGTGAATAAGTCTCATGAGAACTGATGGTTTTAAAAACAGGAGTTTCCCTGCACAAGCTCTCTCTTTTTGCCTGCTGCCATCTATGTAAGACGTGTTGCTCCTCCTTGCCTTCTGCCATGATCGTGAGGCTTCCTCATTCATTGGAACTGTAAGTCCATTAAACCTCTTTCTTTTGTAAATTGCCCAGTCTTAAGTATGTCTTTATCAGCAGAATGAAAGTGGACTAATATAGTGAAATGGTACCAGTAGAGTGGGGTGCTGCTGAAAAGATACCTGAAAATGTGGAAGCAACTTTGGAACTGGGTAACAGGCAGAGATTGGAACAGTTTGGAGGGCTCAGAAGAAGACAGAAAAATATGGGAAAGTTTGGAACTTCCTAGAGACTTGTTGAATGGCTTTGACCAAAATGCTGATAAGAATGTGGACAATGAAATCCAGGCTGAGTTGGTCTCAGATGGAGATGAAGAACTTGTTGGGAACTGGAGCAAAGGTAATTCTTGTTATGTTTTAGCAAAGAGACAGGTGGCATTTTGACCCTGCCTTAGAGATTTATGGAGCTTTGATCTTGAGAGAGATGATTTAGGATATCTGGTGGAAGACATTTCTAAGCAGCAAAGCATTTAAGAGATGATTTGGGTACTGTTAAAGGCATTCAGTTTTAAAAGGGAAGCAGCATACAAGTTTGGAAAATTTGCAGCCTGACAATGTGATAAAAAAGAAAATTCCATTTTCTGAGGAGAAATTCAAGCCAGCTATAGAAATTTGCATAAGTAACAAGAAGCCAAATGTTAATCCCTGAGACAATGGGGAAAATGTCCCCAGGGCATGTCATAGGCCTTCATGGCAGCCCCTCCCATCACAGGCCCAGAAGCCTAGGAGAAAAACCTGGCTTTGTGGGCTGGGCCCATGGTCCCTCTGCTGTGTGCAGTCTAGGGACTTCGTGCCCTGTGTTGCAGCCACTCCAGCCATGGCTAAAAGGGGCCAATGTAGAGCTTGGGCTGTGGCTTCAGAGGGTGCAAGCCCCAAGCCTTGACAGCTTCCACATAGCGTTGAGCCTGTGAGTGCACAGAAGTCAAGAATCAGGGTTTGGGAACCTCTGCCTAGGTTTCAGCAGGTGTATGGAAATGCCTGGATGCCTAGGCAGAAGTTTGCTGCAGGGGCCAGGCCCGCATGGAGAACCTCTGCTAGGGTAGTGCAGAAGGAAAATAGGGCACGGGGGTCGAAGCCCCCACACAGAGTCCCTACTGGGGCACCACCTAGTGGAGCTGTGAGAAGAGGGCCACCATCCTCCAGACCCATCCTACCAGAATGGTAGATCCACCAACAGCTTGCTCCATGTGCCTGGAAAAGCTCAGACACTCAACGCCAGCCTGTGAAAGTAGCCAGGACAGAGACTGTACCCTGCAAAGCCACAGGGGTGGAGATGCCCAAGACCATGTGAACCCACCTCTTGCATCAGCATGACCTAGATGTGACACATGGAGTCAAAGGAAATCATTTTGGAGCTTTATGATTTGACTGCCCTGCTGCATTTTGGACTTGCATGAGGCCTGTAGCCCCTTTGTTTTGGCCAATTTCTCCCATTTGGAATGGCTGTATTTACCCAATGCCTGTACCCTCATTGTATCTAGGAACTAACTTGCTTTTGATTTTACAGGTTCATAGGTGAAAGGGACTTGCCTTGTCTCAGATGTGACTTTGTACTGTGGACTTTTGAGTTAATGCTGAAATGAGTTGAATTTGGGGGACTGTATGGAAGGCATGATTGGTTTTGAAATGTGAAGACATGAGATTTAGGAGAGGCCAAGGGCAGAACGATATGGTTTGACTCTGTGTCCCCCCCACAAATCTCATCTTGTAGCTTCTGTAATTCCCACTGTTGTGGGAGGGATCTGGAGGGAGATAATTGAATCATGGA
This sequence comes from Homo sapiens, assembly GCF_000001405.40. Classification (NCBI taxonomy): domain Eukaryota; kingdom Metazoa; phylum Chordata; class Mammalia; order Primates; family Hominidae; genus Homo; species Homo sapiens. Next base: position 71,291,770 of record NC_000001.11, read on the forward strand.
GGTAGGTCTTTCCTGTGCTGTTCTCACAATACTGAGTAAGTCTCATGAGATCTGATGGTTTTAAAAACAGGAGTTTCCCTGCACAAGCTCTCTCTTTTTGCCTGCTGCCATTCATGTAAGATGTGACTTGCTCCTCCTTGCCTTCTGCCATGATCATGAGGCTTCCCCAGCCACATGGAACTGTAAGTCCATTAAACCTCTTGCTTTTGTAAATTGCCCCGTCTTGAGTATGTCTTTATCAGCAGTATGAAAACAGACCAATACACCCATGGTCACAGGTCAAACCAAGGAAGTAGAGTCAAAACCTTTGTTAAGATCTCTGAAATAATTAGGCTGACATGTAGTATATCTTTTCAGTTGGACAAGATTGTTTCTAGGAAGTGTAAACTTGTAGTCCCACAGAAATCTGATAGGCCCAAAGTATTTGTAATTAAATCTAGAGAGAAAGGCATGTCTAAAAGGGAACGATAAATGTGGTTTTTGACAAATAAAGTTGATGTGTATCAAATATATAGATGATCCATAAATTTTTGAAGAAAGAACCAAGCTGGGCTAAAAGAAATTGAAACTTGATGTGAAAAGTTCTTTAAATTTCTATATGTTGGAAGCAGGCTGAGAAAACTGTTCAGTCATCAAAAAAGGGCATATTTTTCAAAGCCTTAATCAGAAGTAGTCAATTAGGGTGATAAACAGGGAAGAACGTCATAAAAGATTGAATTAAGGTCTGTGGCTAACTTAGGACTGGGAATATACTCCCATGGATCAGAAACAGGACCTAATCAATACATATTTCCTATCACAGAGTAGGATGACCTGGCAGCATTTGATCAGCAGGATTTTCAGACTTGCTTATTGGAGCAATGACTGCTATATGATTATGGAATCACCCAAGACCAGCAGAACTGCCTCAGTCAACCCACAGCTTCACAAGAATAAATAGTTGTTTTAAGGGAGAAGTTGGCAAACTTTTTTTTTAAAGGGAGCAATAATAAATATTTTGGGCTTTGTGGGCCACATGATCTGCTTGCAACTATTCAACTCTGCTGTTGCAGTGCAAAAACAGCCATAGACATGCATACGTAAATGAGTATGGCTGTGTTCCAAAAAAACTATTTCTGGACATTAAACTTTTAATTTCATATAATTTTTCATATATAAAAGATATTATATTGATTGACATAGTTTGGCTATTTGTCTCTGACCAAATCTCGTTTTGAACTGTATTCCCTAATGCTGGAGGTGGGGCCTGATAGGAGGTGTTTGGTTCATGGGGGTGGATCCCCTCATGGCTTGGTGCTGTTTTGGCAATAGTGAGATCTCATGAAATCTGGTGATTTAAAAGTGTGTGGCACCTCTCTCCTCTCTCTCTTTTCCCCCACTTATTTCTCTCCCTTCTCTCTCTCCCTCCCTCCCTCTTCTTTCTCTCTCTTCTCTCTCTCTTTTTCCCTCTCACTCCTGTTCTCACCTTGTGATGTGCCTGTTCCCCCTTTGCTTTCCACCATGACTGGAAGTTTCCCGAGCCAATTAAATCTCTTTTCTCGCATCACAGTAGCTCATGTCTGTAATCCCAGCACTTTGGGAGGCCAAGGTGGGAAGATCACTTGAGGCCAGGAGTTTGAGACCAGCCTGGCCAACATGGTGAAACCCTGTCTCTCCAAAAACACAAAAATTTGCCAGGTGTGGTGGAGCATGCCTGTAGTCCCAGATACTTGGGAGGCTGAGGCAGGAGAATCACTTGAACCTGGGAGGCACAGGTCGCAATGAGCTGAGATCGTGCCACTGCACTCCAGCCTGGGCAAAAGGGCAAGACTCTGTCTCAAAAAAAAGAGAACATAAATCTTTTATCTTATAAATTACCCAGTCTCAGATATTTCTTTATAGTAATGCAAGAATGGCCTAATACATTTGTTTTTTTCATCTATTGAAAAATATAAATATCAGTCTTAGCCCACAGTGTCAATATATAGTCAAGTTGGATTTGGCCTCTGGGCCAATAGTATCCTGTTTTAAGTTACTGAGTTTTGTGGTCTTCCCTTAAGTTTTCTTCAGTATTACAAGATGGAGATTCTATAGCTCATTACAGTAATATTCCTAAAAATCCTTTTTAGAGTCCTGTCTTTTGCCAAAGTTTCATTTCTTATGGTAGCTATTCAAACTTCATCTTTCTTTCTTTCTCTCAATCTGCCAGATCCTAGACCTTTTATTCCTATCAATGTACCTGTAAGTTTTCTTATGTAACATGATTTGTTCTCTTAACATTTTTTTCATTTCATTTTATCTCTGATAAACAAAAATAAAATACTTTCCTTGGGACCTACCCTCTTAGAAGGCCAGAAACACAGGGAAATGTACGTATTTATTATTTACCCAGGCACACATAATATACTTATAGAAATAATATTACACTTGATGCTATAAGAAAATTACAAAAAAAGTTGTGTAATAAATCTAAACTCCTTTTTCTTAAAAAGTATTATTTCATACCGATAAGAATAAAAAGAAGGCTGATCTGAGTCATGCCTATGAGGGAGGCAAGAAGAAATGTTCACTAACTGATAGATCACAGTTAAATGCAACTACAAACCCAGCAATTTTTAAATTGTGATTCAGCACTGCAAGTATTTTCAACTCCATTTCAGCAGATACTGACATTTAAGTACTACAGCAAGGCACTATTAGGTTACACACGTCTGCACGTGTTCAGATAAACATACTCACTAAACTCCCTAATTCCCTTTAGAAGGATAAGGAAGCCCATTAACCGGATCTCATCACTGACCAGGATGAAATTGGTTGTCGTTTGTCAAGGACAGTTTATAACATATCCCTTCGTACTTTGAGCTATTTGAAGTGCTTGTGGCATTTCAGACTGTGGAATGTATTTTCTAGTCTAAAATCATCATAAAATGAAGAAGGAGGAAAATAGGCTTTCTTTTCATTATTTTCTTTTTCTCCTGACTTCTCTCATAGTATTTTAATCTAAAATTATTTTTACAGAATATTTTCTAGGACAAAGATCTGGATCAGAACATCAATTCCACTTTGATGACTTTTGACCAAAACTTCAGAGTGAGAGAGAAAAGAGGACAGCAGAAGGAGAAATGAGGAGAGGGGATATAGGAGATTAGGCCTGAGAGAGGGCAAGACAGGTGAGGGGAGGGAAGGAAACAAAGAAGAGAAACTGAGAAGAGAGACATAAGGAGCAAGGAGAGAATAGAATTTACATTAGAGAGAAAGAGTTAATTCTCATGAAATGTAGATAGAGAGGAAAGAAGCTGTTTCAGTTCCTGCCTAGTAGGAAAGACTTAATTAAAAAATTTAAAACTGCTGAAAATGCCATTTTATTATTGGCATAATAGCTGTTTCAATGTTAACAGCACTTTTGAAACACAGCCATTTTGTCCCTAGTTCAGAAAACTCTCGGAAAGGGACATGTTTTTGAGAGTTCAAGCAGGAAAATACCGCAAAGAATGGGGCCTAAAATTTTGAAGGCAGAGCTAGCATAATGATTTTATCTTACCCCTCAGCTTTCACCAATTGGTCTACTTAGAGTGCTATGAAGAGTAAAAGTCCAATGTCACGTCTGGGTGTGGTGGACAGAGAAGTGCCATCCAAATAACTCTTCAAGGAAGGATTTATTGCCCCAGCTCTGGGAGAGCAGTCAACAGACAGCCTCCAGCATTCAACTCCTTCCAGATCTGCTTCAGCTGCAGATAATCATTTCAACCAAGGTCCTGACCTTCCCAAGGTAGCCCACTCCAGTGATTAATCATGGTGAGAATGTGAAGATCCAGCCAGTTTGGGTCAGTAGCAGGTCAGCTTTGATGGGCGTATGCTCCAGAGCTCACTGGAGAGTTGCATGAGGGTTTGTCAGGCTTACCACACAGCCTCGCAATTCCATTTCTTCCTCTGCCTGATCCTGTTTTCCCTCTACCTGCCACAGTGTTGATCCCTAATCAATACCCTGTACTTGCACTCTTGTCTAAGTGTCTGCTTCCAGTGAACCCAAACTGCAACACAGTTAAAACGAGTGTTGTAATTGATTTGCAATATCTGCCATGGGCAGGGATGAGCATGCTTTTTCCTAGGTCTGTACCATTTCTATTAAGGAAAAAATTGCTTCCTTCAAATCTCAAACCACAATGGCAGAACAATTAGTTATTTTCCTGGTCTAAGAGTTAATATCAAAAGGAATATTGGGATCCTATGGAGAAAACACCAGAAAGTTTCAATTTTATTCATCAAGCATTGATATTAGCTCCACACCAGGTAGAATGTAATAGTATATGCAAACAATTAAAACATAATTTAAAAGATACTACCTAGAACTCCGCAATAGGGCTGTGGAAGTCTAGAAAACAGAGATCAACTTTGATAAGAGAAGTTGGGAAAGAGAAATGACAAGTATTTTCCTATCATAAAAAGAACATGGAAGGGTTCTTCAGGTATAGAGGGTGGAATGTACAGAAGCAATGAGTCCAGGAAACATGGAGTGCTTGGAGGAATGGCAGGTATTTTAGCATGATGAAGTGTAGGGTGAGCAAAGCTTGCAGAGGGGATCAGGTGGAGAGGCAGAATATGAGACTACAACATCTGGTGACTGCCAGTTGGGAAAGTATTTTTTGCCTTGCTCAGGAGTTTGGACTTTATCCAGTAGCAGTGGGTGCTTTTGGAAGGGGAAGCTGACATTCTATGTGTATGTTAATGTTTTGGACAGATGTTAGGCTTTTCTTGTTTTGGATTTTGCTATAGTTCTCATTTGGATTAGTTTACACCTCTGTGGGCCCTTCATTCCCTAAAGAGGGTGAGTATTTCAGGTGTTCATCGTTTGGGAAAGGCAAGCCTCAGAACAACTGGAGAAGGAATTCCTCTTTCTCTCTTGGCCTCTTGTGGTCTGGGGCCGGAATTTTAATGAGGCTCAATATGCAGTAGCTTTAACTGCAGAGTCCTGGGATATTAGGCAAGGCAGGGAGAGGGCTTCTCACATGTTGAAACAGGCCAAGGGATAGGAGAGGGAACCACAAAGCAAAATATAACCTGTGAATCAGAATTCTAAATCAACTTCCTTTTTGCTGTCCCTGAGCTTTAGGGAAATCATGTGTGTGCTGGACTGGAGGTATCTCCCTGGTGTGCCAGCAAGTGGAATTAGAAAACACCCTTATTGGAAGTCCTCCAACTGCTCTGGGCAGTTTCCTTAAGTGTAGTAGGATGCTCAGGGATACAGATGTCCAGCCACATTTCCTGATTTGTGTAAGTCTCAGGAGCCCTGTAAGAAAGTCTATAAACTCATCCACAATTAGGGTTTATTGCAGATACAGCTGATAGACCCAGTGAGGGGGTTGGAGTTCAGGGCAGTGGGAGGGACAGGGGATGGTTGATGGACTGGGGCAGGAGTAGGCTCTTAGGAAGTATAAATGCAGGAAGAATCAACAGGATCCTTGGCACAAACAACTCATAAGTGTAAAATGAGAGGAAGACTCCAGCAGCAGTGCCAAATGTGGCAGAGGAGCAGGAGTTTTAGTACTACAACAGGTTGTACTTGAAACTCTTCTCACAGCAGTGCTGCCTAGGGGCACATGTGCTCTCTGGGAAGGAGAGAGCTAGGGGGTAAGACTGATAGAATCATTGCTCAAGTAATTTTTCCACAAAACCTCATCAAAAAGATTTGCGCTGGAGAAGAGGTAGAGATCATCCCTAGCTAGAGAGACAGGTGTGGTCCAAAGACTGGGAGGCAGCAGATAATGGAACTTCACTGGTCTTATCAGAGAGATAAGTCTAATCTATGACAAGAATGTGACAATGAAAACTAAAGGAAATATAGGTGGTAACATGAATAGGACATTGTGGTATTAAATATGGGAGTGGTGAGAGAAATAGAGGATCTAACAATGCTACTGTGACAGCTTAGATAATAATATGACAATTTAGTGAAGGATGCAGGAAAAAGAACCAGAATGAAGAAAAATGGAGAAAAGAAAGGGTTTTATTTGGAGACAGTTTTCACATGTTGGAGCATGTTGCTTGATTGTCTGGTAGAGTATTTGGGTGAGAAAAACATCAAACAGTTGGGTAGCATGGATCTGGATCTTTTTAGAGAAGTGGCAGATGAAGTACTAATATTGGAGATGGTTAAGAATAGAAGACTGGAAATATTATATTTAAGGAACGATCAAAAGCCGTGGAATAAAGAGGATGCAGACTATTCAAGGCAAAGAAATATATAGAAAAAAAAAGTATTTTGTGGAAGTTAGGGGAATTACTCTATCCCAGATATATGCCACATTGAAAAGAGGAAATAGTAAAAGTGAGGTTACCGCTGACTGAGATCAGATGGTCAGCAACACCAAAAGATGAGGCCTTTCAAACTATTGATCTGTGGTTATATGGTTGAGTAAAATCCCTCAGAGCACCAGCAATATCACAGGTAAAGATACTACCCTATAGTCCTATGTCCTAATGTAATGTACCTTCAAGAAAAGATGGGAAGGGTCTGCTCTCAGGGATATGGACCAGAGAGAAAGTCCAACCCTAAGACGTAAAGGTGATTATTAACAAAAGGAAGGAGTCAAATTAGAACAACCCAGTTACTTACCCTGTTGTCTTTCCTTGATCATTCTCTACATGTGGCTCACAACTACATCCAAGGTAGATGCACCAGAATCTTGAAGGAGTAGGTGTTCAGTGACAAAACGTTTCCCAGGAAATTTGAGCATCTATCTCCATGGTTGAGAAACTTTTGCTTTAGACCTGCAATTTAATCATTTCTAAAGTTTCAGGTTTAAGGAATTTTACAGCAGTTGGTGAACCCAAGCAGCCATTTAGGGAAGACTGTAGTGCATAGGCAGGAACTACCTATAAATAGTCACTGCTTTTCCAGGATTATTCCTTTGATTCAGATGTTTTCTTAGTTGAAGAGAAAAATCAGCTACCTCACCTTTGTCATCCTTTCCAAGGCTTGCCTTGGATGTGCCATGATTTGGAGAAATTTTTGGAAGTCTTAGACCATGCTTGTGCTCCCTCCACCCCACCCCATGTCCTGTTCTGTTCCATTCCTTTTTTTCTGGCCGTGCTCCAGGAACTCCAGTTACTCTACAAAATGTCGTAACTGGGTGTGATGTAGCACTGAAGAATCACATTATGCCTGTCTCCAAAGAAGGGTGAAATTTCATTTTCCTCACAATTAAGGAAATAAACAAATGCCATATTTTTCTCATTTTATTATGCACATATTAAGAAAGGAAAAGGAACTCACTAAAGAACATTGAGATATTTGTTGTTTCTAATGTGGAAAACTGAAGTAAAGTAAAGCTACAAAAGCCTCAGAATAACATTCATTTTTCTTGCAAATGATGTTTAACTGAGGTCTCGTTCACAAATTGCATAAAAGCAGAATTTATTAATATTTTCTTCATTTTTAAAAAAGTAGGGCTTTGTTTTCAAGCACAAACAGGACATCTAAATCTATTAATAATTAAAAATCTAAATGTTATCATTATCAGAAACTAAGCAAAACTGAAACTCCTTTATAAAACATGCTACTTAAAGATGCAAGAGAGCTGCCTGATAAAAATCAATCAAAATAAGTCCAGAAGTGTTTTTTCTTCTTAAGAAAAAAAAATGATGTAATTGGTAATTACAAAGCCAGAATAGAACATAATAGCTACTCTTTAAATAGTTGATTAAGGTTCAATGAGTTTCTCTATAGTGTTCTGAAAAAAGGTGACTATTTAGTAAGCAAAGGAGAAGACCTTCTGAGATAAGCAAATAGAATTAGGTAAAGACATTTTCTAATTTATATCCAGGAGGGAAAAAAATCTCATCCTCTCGGCCACTCACTTTACAAATCAGTTTCATTAAAAAACTAAAATAAATTCAGTATTTGCAAAGATGTAATGGTTCAGATCCGTGCTTTCTTTCCCAAAGATCACATATGTTTTGTTTTCAAATCATTAATTGAAGGCACAATAAAATGAATTCTTGAAAATTCTTTGATATAATTTGTATGCTATTTTAACCCAACACTAAGTAAAATTTGCTTTCTTGGTATTTCTTTTAATTCTTTCATTTATTCTACAAATATTTACTGAATATACACAATGTTCTAGGCACTATGGTCAGAATTCTTTTAAAAAACACAATTTAATTTTGCTTTATACAAAAGGGTTAAGAGTGAAGACATTTTTCCTCTCATAATCATGGAAAGATATAACTTCTTTTTTATCTTTTTTATGCTGAATTTTTTTGGCATAAACATATTTTCACTTGTGACAAAAGAAAATAAGTTTAATTCTCACCACTGACAAAAAAATATAAAGACAGCTTTTTAAGTTCTTGTCTTACATTTGATTATCACTTGCTTTGCCTTGCAGGGTGCTCAGCACTAAAAGGGAATATATTTATTTTCATTTCTTCCCACTTTCCCTTACACTGTTCCTACTGCTCTCCTTTCTAGGACCTTTGCTAAGAATGCTTATCTGGCTAAATACAAGCAAACAACCATATTGGCAAACATGAAGCTAAGGTCTACTTAAATATGTTAATTTCTCCAGTCTATTTATTGGAAATCCACAATATCAATGGCAGAGATCACCCTAATTGTGATCTTCTTGGGCTACTGAAGAAGTCTTATTTTAGTTTTGCTTAACTGAGAGAAAACTAAATTTAAACAATTATATTTAGATGCCAAACCTACCAACTAAACCAACAAACCAACCACTATAGTTTGAATGTGTTCCCCAAATTTCATGTGTTAAAAACTTAGTCCCCAATTTCATATGTTGATTGGAGGTAGACCCTTTGGGGGTTAATTGGGATTAAATGAGGTCATAAGGTTAGGACCTCTATAATTGAACCAGTGGCTTTATAAGAAAAGAAAGAGGGACCTGAGCTAATACACATGCTCTTGCCCTCTCACTATGTGATGTCTTCCACCATGTTATCAGGTAGCAAGGAGGCCCTCACCAGATGCTGGCACCATACTTTTGGACTTCCCAGCCTTCAAAACTATAAGAAATAGGCCAGACACAGTTGCTCACGCATGTAATCTTGGCACTTTGAGGGGCTGAAGCAAGAGGATCACTTGAGCCCAGGAGTTCAAGACCAGCCTAGGAAACATAGTGAGACCTGGACTCTACCAAAAAATTAAAAAATTAGCCAGGAATGGTGGCACTCTCCTGTAGTCCCAACTACTCTACTCAGGAGGCTGATGTGGGAGGATCACTTGAGACTGGAAGATCGAGGCTGCGGTGAGCTGTGATCCACTGCACTCCAGCCTGGGCTACAAAGCAAGACCCTGTCTCAAAAAAGAAAGAAGGAATAAAATAAATGTATTGTCTTTATACATTTTCCAGTCTGCAGTATTCTGTTATAGAAATGCAAAGTGGACTAAGTCACCAACCAATTTAAAGGAGGCTGAAGATCCAACTGGATGGCATCATGATAGGTTGATGAGGGTGCTGAAAAGATGGTGAGTTGAAGAAGATACCAAGTTCCTTCTTATAATCGGATTTTGCAAATCAGTCATGGAGAATGTGTTGACAGTTTTTTTTTTAAGATGTTTGCAATTGGGTGGGGCTGAAATTTTATGTGATTGGTGTGTGTGGATATGTACTCCCAAGAGTCTTCATATTAAACTCTGAACTTCAACTTTCTTGTATCCATTTCCCTTCCTCTCTCCCTCCTTTGATCTCTCCCTTCCTTTCTTCCTGATTCTCATTTACTGACAAAAAATACTATTCCTGTTTTATAAAGATGAAAATATTTTTGGAGGGGATATCTCCAGGAATTAGAAAGATGTTAATAAACTTGTCCTTAAAGTGGTCAAAGGAGTAAGTTTAGTTGTTAAAAGCAAGAATTTGGAAGTCAGGCGGACCTAGGTTCGAGTCCCTATTCTATCACTTGGTATCTGTGTGGCCTTTAGCAATTGACTTATCCTCTCTAAATATCTGTTTCTTCCTCTGTAAAATACAGATAATAATGGTATTTACCTTGTAGGCTTGTTGTAAGAATTAAATGATACAAAGCATCACTGAGCTTGTTGTAAGAGCTAGATAAATATTTTCAAACACTTTTGAAGAGCTATGATACAAAGTACATGAGCGCTTGAAAAAGTACCTTGGAAATAGATGCCAGGCATGTGTACATGAAGTTTTTCTGCCATTTACTGTCTTCAGATGTCAGAGTACATGACGTATTCGTTGTTGTAGTTCCAGTATTAAGTACTGTTTCCAAAACCATAGTAGACATTCAGTAAGTCTTTGCTCAATGAATGAGTGAATGAATAAATAAATGATCTAGAATAGCAAATAAATCTCATCTTCAGTGCCAAGTCTTATTAATTAGTAGGGTTCAGGAAGAATTATTGGGTGCATATGTGCTAAGCTTGCACCAATCAATTTGACAGGTCTATCTAGCTAGGGCATAGGCACAGGGAGAGGCAGCATGAATACTACATATGCATTGATTGAGGCCTCAGCCCTTAATTTAAGAAAGGGAAGATACCAGAAAATTGGAATTAAGGAGATGGTATTTCCATTTGTGTCCACTTGCTTTTAATTAGAAGAGTGAAGTAATTTTCCACATTCACCTCCAAAAGACCTGTATCAGAAAAAGTTGTGTTGGTCACAATCTTAAGGTCTTTTGTGCAAACTATGAGCACTTCTTCTCTCCTCCTATGTCTTTTAGGTGCAGAGAAACAGATGTTCCCAACTCTTCCCATTATTTGTAGCTCCCATTTTATTCAGATATTGAAGCATCTTGCATACAATTTGCCACTTGACAAATCTTATTCTATTAAGCTAGATTAGAATTACCAGTTGAGATTTTAAACACTAAAAACATGCCATCATTGGAACTCTTATTCACAGTTCTTAGCATGGGTTCAGGTATTTCTATTTGGGGAATATTCACAGGTGAGACTGAAGGATAGCTATAGTTGAGAACTATTAGTATTCAAAATACTTTTCTTTGAATTCATTTGAATTATGGCTTCAAATATTCTTATTTGTGAATCCTTAATTTTCTTTTTTTTAAAATAAGAGTAACATTATCAAGTTACTATGAGAATCAGAGGCAATTTTAATTCTAGACACTTCATAAGTGCTCAATAAAATGCAAATTAATCTTTGTGCCACTAAATAGATGTTGTAAGGAAGATGTAATTCTAAATCTGAAGGGATTTGAGGCATTTGGAAAAATACAATGTTATTAACAAAATATACAGTCCTTTAAATCTATTAAATTCTAGTGGTTTACCCAAAATGATCATGGAATTAGATATTTTAATTAATTTACTTCCCTGGGCTAGTCAGAAAATAAATTTTGATTTAATTCTCATTGCTGAAAAGATTCCCAAAATCTAATAATCTTTTCTGTCTTAAAAAAGTCTCCTATAGTGTACATAACAGAATCAGTTTTGACAATTGCAATATCCCAGTGTTATCATTCAGAACAAAACATTTCCATTGTGCCAAAGTGTCACCATTGTTTACTGAAGATGACTAAGGTGAAATATTCAGACACTCAGGACCTATTTGAGAGGTTGTTTTATTGCTTTTTGTTTGGGTCTTTATTTCTAACATAAACCATTTTTCCATTCATATCTTGTAGTAACCTTGAAGAGTTCTTATGTGAAATAGTCTTGTGAAATAACATCTGATATCAGTCCTAAAGAACTCTCTCTTCTATTTGGACCTTTTAAGTTGTACCCCCAGCCAAAAAGTAAAATCAAATAGGACTGCTTCTTTAATAGATGTTATCACTTTGGGCTATGTTCTAGAGAGGACAGGAGTAGAGAGACTGAATCTCCTCTATTTTAAGCTGTGTGCTTTGGACACTATTGGTAGGCCATTGTTTATACTCCTTATAGTAAAATAGTCACCCTCTTTTAATAATACTTGCTTCACCACATTCTCATAAAGATGAAGTGTGCTAACATTGGTAAAACATGAAAGGGCTAGGTCCCTCACTACTTGTTTACTAATTTATCTCCAATGCCAAGAAGAGTCCTTGAGGAAATATTTGTGGTGTGAATGAATAAATATTATTCTTCCTTTCCTCACCATCTGAGTCACCATAGCGCTTTTACTGTTCCTTTATAATGGTATTTGTATTAGTCCGTTCTCTCAATGCTATAAAGAACTACCTGAAACTGGCTAATTTACAAAGAAAAGAGGTTTAATTGGCTCACCGGTCTGCAGGCTGTACAGGAAGCATGACTGGAGAGGCCTCAGGAAACTTAGAAAAGGCGAAGGGGAAGCAGGCACATCCCAAGTGGCTGGAGCAGGAAGGAGAGGGGGAAGAAGGAGATGCTACACACTTTTAAACAAACAGATCTCATGAGAACTCACTGTCATGAGAACAGCAAGGGAAAAGTCCACCCCCAGATCCAATCACTTCCCACCAGGCCCCTCCACGAACATTGGGGATTAAAATTTGACATGAGATTTGGGCGAGAACACAAATCCAAACCATATAAGTATTCATTATGTTCTCCACTATAAACTAGTTAGTTATGTAACTCTTGTATTATGCAATTAGCTCCCTTAGCACAGGCCTCACTAATGTCTCTCATAAATTTGTTCCTCCACAGAACACAGCATAGTATGTGACATAAAGGCTTGATGACTGTGTTGAATGAATGTATGTTGTAAGTAAACCCAACTACGTAAGTAGTGTATGTAATGAATGCTTATTATTTTTATAAATGATCTTGACTAATAATAGAAATTCTCCACTGCAAATCTTGCTGAATTTAGCAAAAAGATTATTACTGATAGTATCTTATATTTTTCTTTCAACCTTCTTGAATAGCACTGCATGTTTTTTAAATTCTAAACACGTATGGTGACTGTTTTAATGATATTTAAAGTCACACAAATATGTGAGACCTATTATAATAGAATTCTTTGAGAACCGAAAGGTATTCTAAGTAGTACAGTTTTTTCTTTTTGCAGAATGCCGCCAGCATTAGGCTCAATGGGAAAGATGGTGAAATTGGGTTGATTCCTTATTTTTAGCCTCTGTTAGATGATTGTAATTCATTATTTGCTAGGTTACCTGAGGGTATACTTCATCAACGCTCATGCATTTAGAATGCTGCTGCTTATGTCTCCTGGGATCCAGGCTTTCCCAGCCTATCACTCCTCCTGAAATCTCCCCACTGCCTCCCAAAGAAGTAGTGTGTCAATATTATGTTTTTATTGATAGCCACACAATTCACGTTCCACTTCTTTCCCTAAACTTTTTTCATTATGTGATTGTATCTGCTGGCTTAGGCCTTTTATGCTAGCCATTTATTTTGCCCCCAAGCATCTGGCCTTTAAAAATATAATGCATTTTACTGGCTTATTGAATAAGAGATATATGGCTTTGCTGGTAGTCAGGCATGCTGTGCTTACACACTCTGAATATTACTAAAGTATTTCGGCTTCCTTAATACTTTGTTAATTCTCATAATGGCCTGCCAAATTTCCTAGTTGTTGTGCAATTGTTATTCTTATACTGCATTAAAAAATAAGTTAGGCTGGGTATTGGTTCTTTTTTCTTTTCTTTTTTTTTTTTTTTTTTTTTTTTTGAGACAGAGTCTTGCTCTGTCACCCAGACTGGAGTGTAATGGCGTGATCTTGGCTCACTGCAACCTCTCCCTCCCAGATTCAAGCGATTCTCCTGCCTCAGCCTCCCGAGTAGCTGGGATTACAGGCACATGCTACCACGCCTGGCTAATTTTTGTATTTTTAGTAGAGACGAGGTTTTGCCATGTTGGTCAGGCTGGTCTTGAACTCCTGACCTCAGCTGATCTCCCAAAATGCTGGGATGGATATTGGTTCTAAGGCTGAAGACTCTGATACCTTAGGAAATGCTATAATACATAACTCACACCATCAATTTTCAGATGCAAAGTTCTTTTACATAATGGTAAAGTGATAATTCTAATAAAAAAGAAAGTTTTTAAAAAGATTTGACTCTGTCTCATATTCTCATCCATAAACTAAAGATTAATAACTTAGAAAGCATTATTCTAAAATGTGACTTCACAACAAGACAATTATAAATTAAGAGAAAGGAGTAATTATTTTCAGCTAATCTAGAGAACATGCTTTAAGTGTGGTCAATTGAGTAAAAAACTAATATTTGATACTTATCAATATATATCTGAAAATACTATTTTACCTGATTATTTGAGACACATTTTCAAATTATTAAAACTACAGGGAAAAGTTGCTCCACTTCAAAGGTATCAATAGAGTTCATAACTTTGATATTTTAAAAACACTCACTGGAAAGTGTTCATCCAAAATGATACATATCTAAAAATCAGTACCAGGCTCTATAGTTATAATATGAGGGAAATAGGCACCACTTTAAGAAATTTTAAAAAAGAACAAGAAGTCAGAGTCGGAGCACTAAAGGTGAATCAGCTATAAGTAGGATGTGATTCCCCAATTAGCTCTTTAGTGCCTTAATAACAGCGTTTTTAACACTTGTTACAATGTCTAGTAAAGGTTTTTGTGCTCATCTTCTCCCATTAAACTGTGAGCTTATCATGTGCACAAGACTTTTATTCATCATTATATCTGCAGCACCTAACCCAGTGTCTACCACAGGGTGGCTTTGTGTTAATTTATTATTAATAATAATTAGAATAACTAAGGTAAAATATAACAATAAAATTTAATTTAAGGATGTATTAACAGGGAAGTAAAAGCAAGAACTGAGAAATAATTAGTACACCACAGTTGGCATTTGATAGGATCTTCCAAACCTTATTTGCAGTTTCAGAATAGAATTTGTAAGAATAATATTGAGAAACTTGATAGGCTAGAAAGAAGACAACATAGCTCTTTGGAAAGAAGTGAAGCTTATATAGTGATTAACTCCTCCAAAATAATAGGGAAATTCCTATGGAATTTTGCTATAGGGATTTGTAAAAGGGCAAGACCCTTAATTCCCAGGTTTCAAATGTTTGTCTACTTAGCTGTTAAGATTAATTTTTAAGTAGACTTTAAATTAATGATACTACTTTCTATATCAGTTAGAATCAAGTTAGGCTGCCAGTAATAAAGAACCCAACCCCATTTGCCCCAAAAGTGGCTTAAACAAGATAAACATTTATTTCTCTATTAGGTAAACATGCCCACAGTTAGTTCCATGCTTAGCCTCACTTTCAGAAGAGATCTAGGTTCATTCTAGCTTGCCTACCATCTTTAGCATATTGACTATGATTTAAAGTGGCTGGTCAAATTGGTAATAATTATATTTACATTCCAACAAGTACAACCAATGAGGGGACCAAGAGGGGCCTCTCCTTTCCCTTAAGGAGACTTCTTGGAATTAGCACATAAAAGTCTTGCTTGTATCTCATTAGCTACGTTCTCTTTCTGTTAATGAGAAGGAAGATCAGCTACATATTGAGAGGCAACCAGCAATTTCTGTGACATGGTAAAACAAACAAACAAACAAAAAACATACACTCTTGGTTAAAAAAAAAAGCATAGAAATAGTGTAGAAGGATACAGGTACGAAGCTGAAATTTTCCTCTCACTTTAATAAACATCTGTCATAGTCTGCTTACAATTTTTTGAATAATCTTTTCTCCTAAGAGTTCCTGACTCTTGTTTTTATTTTGCTGAGAAAAAACGAACAAACCTGTAGTTTGTAGGCTTCCCTTTGGCCAGCGCTTAAATATATGATGGAAGCTTAATCAATTGAATGCATCTGTGTGAAGCTGTGATTCAGAACTGAGTTATATGGGGAAAGAGGTAGAGTTCAGGGCATCCATTTGCTAGAACAGATGTGGCAGAAGCTTCATGGTTCTGGAGTCAATGGCTGTAATGGCAACTTCCTGATTCAGTGCTTCCTGATTGTGGTGCTGTAAATACATGTAAATGTGTTTCACATGTGTTTCTGGCAGTGTGGCTCTGGAGCTGACAGCTGTGGAGGCAGCTTTATGACTCAGCAGCAACTTAATTGTGGCAGAGACAGCATCTCTGTTAAGTTGGCCAGTTCTGCAGTGTGTCTGGAAGTCTTTTAGGAATCTTCAGTCTAGGAGATCTATCTTCATCTTCTGCAGGGATTCCTTCAACCTAAGAAATTAAACCTACCAATAGAGTCACCGCCCCCTTGCAAACCTCCTGAATCTTTCCTCTCTACAACTCACTTCCTTTCCCACCAAGATAATTACTATCTTGAATTTGGTGTTTTCATTTCCATACATATACATTTTTAACCTATGTATATCTTAAGTATATAGTATGTATATAATATTCTTTTATCTGGCTTTACTCATATATGAATGACATCATTCTTCAAGTATTCTTCTGTAGTTTTTATCAATTTCACATTATGTTTATGAGATTTATCCATATTCATTCATGTAACTTTGGCTAATTGATTTTCACTGTGGCATAGCATTATATAAATTTAATATAATACATTATCTAGCTCATGTTAATGGAAAATTAGTTTCCAATATTTGCTATTATAAACAATTCTACTAAGAAGTCACCTTTTTAAAATATATGTGTCTGTTTGCTTACACAAATAAGAGTTTATTTATGGTGTACACCTAGGGATGGTTTGCTGGGCTAGGGTATTTACACCTTCAAATTTATTAGTTACCACAACATTTTTCTTCAAGGTGGTTGCATGAGTTTGTATTCCTATGAACAGTATATTAGTGTTGCCCTTTATCCACTTTTTTTGCCAACACATGATATTGTCAGAGTTCTTAAGTTTTGCCAAACAATAGGTGTGAAAGGTATTTCATTGTGCTTTTAATTGACATTTCTCTCATTATCACTGAGGTAAATCATCTTTTAATAGGTTTATTGGCCATTTGAGATTAAAAACCTTGGTAAATTTCTTATTTATATCCTTTTCTCATTTTTTCATTGAGTTGATTTGTAAGAAGGCTTTTTAGTATTCTGGATAATGATCTTTTTCTGTTTTATTTGTTGCAAGTATCTTTTCCCAAGTCTAGGACTTGCCTTTTATTTTAAAATTATATCTTTTCACTTACAAAAGTTTTAAAATGATAATGCTATTGAACTTGTCAATAACATTTTCTATGGCTTTGTGTCTTGTTTTAAAAAGTTTCTCTGTTGAAGTCACAAAAATATCCCCTATATTACCCTTTAAAAGTTTTATAGTTTTGCCTATAAAACATTAAGGCGATGCATTAGTCAGTATAATCAGAGAAGTAGAACCACCAGGAATAATGTAGATTTATTTATTTAGGAACTTGATCTTTTATCGCTGTAGAATCTGGTAAAATAGTCTTGGTTCTGTTTTCTTCTGCATCTGATACTTAGCATAAAGTCACAGGTCAGGCAGTAGGAAAAGGACAGATGTGAAATGGGGAGAGCTGGCAAAAACCAAAACTGTGAGGAACAAGCTGCAATCTGCCTTCCTTTCTTATTGAGTCAGCATTGGCCTTTTCTCATCTCCAAGCCACCAACCTTGAAGCTGAGGATGATCTATAGGACATGCTGGCTATCACTCTTGTTACAGAACTGCAATAGCACCTGACCCAAGTTGTGGAAAAGGTAATTTAAAAATATCCCATGGGAGGTGGAGGATTTATGGACTCAGGTGCTTCCTTTGCCAAAAAGATTGGCCAGTAGATGGCAAAAAAAATGTGCATGAGCCACAAGAAGGCCTAACCTACATTGAATTTCAGGGAGTACATATAGTCACTGTTCTCATCTTCCTTTCAAATCACAAGCAAGTTTCTTTGGTGGTCATAACAAACCACTAAAAACGTACAGAAAAGAAAATTCTAGAAAACATAATTCAAATTTGCCAAGCTGACTCTTTACGAAGCCATACACAGAATTTTTGTGCATTGTGTAGCATAGCAATTAAAATTTATTTCTTTTTTCATCCGGATAACCCCAGATCAATTATTGAATTTGCCATTCTACTACCCACTGATTTTCAATGCCACTTTGTCATACATTAAAATTCATTATATATTTTGTTCTTCTGTGACACAGTGTTTATTTTGTTCCACTACTATTTGTTAACGTCTGTGCTAGCTTTTTATAAAACATAGTATTTAGTAGCAAATAATATAGCATTTGCAAACTAGCGAAATATTGCTGATTCCAAATCTTTGTATTACTTCCAGTGGATATAGCAAAGGTGGACCGTATTGTAAGTTGTTTGTAAAATGTTCTATATCTTAAAAAGATATATAACATAAAATACATCAAAGAAAAAAGTATATTTATTGTGAGAGAAAATATATGTTGTAAACATAAAGTTTTATAGCTGCAAAAAATGGCACAGTTTTAATTGCTATTCTTTGTCCTTATATCTATGGTAAGATAAATCCCACCACCTTACTTATTTTCTTCAGGTATGTCTTTGCATAATCTGTTCCTTTGCTCTTACATATACATTTTAGAATATTCATGATGTTGAGCTATTGAACATATAAACATGATATAACTCTCCAAATATTTAGTCCTCCTTTAATGCTTTCAATAAAATGTCATAATATTCTTTCTTAAGGTCATATATATACTTACTCTTAAATACTTTTTAAATGTTGTTATTGAAATAATATGTTTAAAAATGATACTCTGTATTTTTAAATTAATTTCTGATCTAGTAACTTTTTAAAACTTTTTGTTAACTCTATTTGTCTATAGATTTTCTTGAATTTTATATATATGAAATGAACACTTCTACAAATAAAGGCTGTCTTGGTTTTTCGTTAAGTTATTATTCTTACAATAGTAAATTATAACAAATATAACATATTTATATTATGTGTTATATAATACATAATATAAATAAAAACAAATATTGTTTATTATCTTTCTACATAGCTCAAGACCTCCATAATGTTAAGTATAAGTTTTGATGTTTGCATCAAAGTTTGAGAACTGACCTTGTTTTACACCAGATTTACCTGTGTTCATTATTGAAAAATGTTACCCATAATCTATTTGCACAACTGCTTAATTATTTTTTTTTTTTGTTGAGACGGAATTTCACTCTTGTCACCCAGGCTGGAATGCAATGGCGTGATCTCGGCTCACTGCAACCTCCGCCTCTCTGGTTCAAGTGATTCTCCTGCCTCAGCCTCCCAAGTAGCTGGGATTACAGGCACCCGCCACAACACCCAGCTTTTTTTTTTTTTTTTTTTTTTTTGTATTTTTAGTACTTATGGGGTTTTGCCATGTTGGTCAGGGTGGTCACAAACCCTTGATCTCAAGTGATCCATCCGCCTTGGCCTCCCAAAGTGCTGGGATTACAGTTGTGAGCCACCGTGCCTGGCCACTTAGTGATTTTTAGAGAGTGATATTTTAATTCAGCAGAATCACATTTTTTTTTGTTTGTGAAAGATGGTGTTTTTTAAAAATCAGAGATGTGTATACAATTGAACAGTTGTCATTTTTTTGCAGCTATAAAACTTTACAAAAACATATTTTCTTTCATGATAATTACACCTTTTTATGTGATGTATTTTATATTATATATCTCTCTGGATAAGAAACATTTTACAAACAATTTATAATAGAGTCTATGTATACATAGAATTGGAAATCAGTAATATTTTGCTAGCTGGCAAATGTTATATTATTTGGTAGTAAGATACTACATGTTTCATAAAAAGCTATAGGTTGCTTGAAGTTTGGACTTGTTAAATTGTTCATAGTTCACACAGTACATCCTTTTAAGTGTTAAGCATCACTTTGAAAATATGGCATATTGACCCTCTTTGTATCTAGAGATGCAATTAAAAATAATGGCCTAAATATTCAAGTAGTAGAGAATGTTGGCAACATGACTCTGAGGCTATTCATTTGACCTTCTTTTGTGGCTTTCAGGCATGCAATTTGTTTCCAAATAGATGGCATGCTGAATATCTGCAGTCATGTAATTTTTTCCCTGACAATTAACAAGATATAGAAGGAGAAAACTTTTATTAAGAGAGATTCCAACTAGGCTACTATCCAAAGATCAATAACATCGAGTGTTTCTACAATGTAAATATGCTCTAAGCCCATCTCTAGGGACTGGGGAGAGATCAGCTTTATATAAACAGGTTTTTTTATTTGACGAGTAGAGAATAGATGAAAAAATGTGCTATAGTTCTTTACAGAGTGTTTCTGGGGTTTGGGAATGACGTGCAGATATAATCAATTAATAGACGGCTACTTTAGTTAAGTATTCTATAATCTTATAAACCTGGGAAAGATTCTGGCTAAATATTCTCCAGTGTCAACTGAAATGTCAGAAAAGTCTTTTCTGACCATTCATATTAAGTGCCCCATTTTATAATCTCATAATATCTTCTCCTTTGTAGAGTTTATCATGGTTTTAATTCAAAAAAGAAGTATTTTTTGTTTAATTTCAGATCACATAAATAATTGTTAACTCCAAAGAACACAAACATGTCTATTGTTCTGACTAATATAATTTGAGAAATTGACACAGTGGTTGCTTAATAAATATATAAATAAATGAACAAATGATGAATAAATAACCACGGTTATTTCTTGAGAAATAAATATGTAACTGCCTTTAATTACAACAACATAAGGTTTTGGACTTAACATAAGCACAAACAGAGATTTATTGGATGGACATGGCATCTCACACAATCAAAGGAAATTCTGAGGCAGCATTCAGGACAGCTTTAGGAGTCTAGGACGTGGAAACCAACAGTCTGCAAAAGACACTGCTATCAAAATGAATCAACCATGTTCAGTTTTCCTGTCACTGTGAATAAGATTAAAATTCCAAGGAGGAAAAAAATAATTCTCTCTGAAAAATTCAGAGACTCAAAAAGGAATTTAATTTTTTTTCTCTCTCTCCTCTCCTGTCTCCCTCCCTCCTTCCTTTCAGTTTTATATTTACTAGCATATTTACCATTTCCCTGCTTTTTATTTCTTTCAAATTTGAGTTACCATCTGCTGTAATTTCCTTTCAGCCTGAAGGACGTCTTTTATTTATTTATTTATTTATTTATTTATTTATTTATTTATTTATTTATTTTAGGTTAGGTTAGGTTAGGTTTGCCAGCAAGAACTTCTCACCAATTTGTTTGGCTGGGAAAGGCATCATTTTAGTTTCATTTTCTATCAATAGTTTTGCTGGTTATATAATTCTGGATCGGCAGTTTTGTTTTTTTTTCTTTCAGCACTCTATCAGCCCACTGCAGTCCATTCTCAATTGTCTCCAAGGATGAGCAAGCCTTTAATCATGTTGTTTCCCTGTATATGAGTTGTTTTCCTCTTTCTACTTTTGATTGTCTTCATCTTGGTGCAGATTGACTATGATGAGTGTAGGTGTAAATCTCTTTGTGTTTATCCTTCCTGAGGTTTGTTAAGGTTCTCAGATCTGTATATTAATGTTTTTCATCAAATTTGGGAAGTTTTTTGATACTAATTAATTTTTTCTTACATCTTTTTTCTCTTTGTTCTTCATATAATACAATTTCTATTAATTCTTTTTGTGGTCATGAATCCATTCTTCTGTCATCTCAAATTGGCTGTTGGGCCCACCTAGTCATTTTTTTAAAAAATTTATATTAGTATACTTTTCAAGTATTGAATGTCTGTTACAAATAATATATATTTCTGTCTTGAGATTTATGCTTTGTGAACTCATTGTTACCATATTTTCCTTTAATTCCTTAAACATAGTTTTCATTAATTCTCTTAAGATGTAATAACTTTTAAAATCTTTGTTTCTAAAATACAGTATAGAGTACACTTGGACCATTTCTATTGACAGATCTTTTTGTTTCTGAGAATGGGAATATTTTTCTGTTTCTTTTCATGTCTTATAACTTTGAGTTGAAAATTGGACATTTTAGATAATGAATCACAGTCAACAGCAACCCTGGATTTTTTTTAGATATGTTTTTCTTTTTCTTTTTCTTTTTTTATTTTTTTGAGATGGAGTCTCACTCTGTTGCCCAGACTGGAGTGCAGTGGTGCAATCTTGGCTCACTGCAACCTCCACCTCCCGAGTTCAAGCAATTCTCCCTGCCCCAGCCTCCCGAGTAGCTGGGGTTACAGATGTCTGCCACCACACCTGGCTAATTTTTTTTTTTTTTTGGGATTTTTAGTAGAGACAGGGTTTCACCATGTTGTCCAGGCTGGTCTCGAACTCCTGGACTCAAGTGATCCACCTGCTTTGGCCTTCCAGAGTGCTGGGATTACAGTTGTGAGCCACTGTGCCTGGCATCATTTTTGTGTTTTTAGTAGAGACAGGGTTTCACCATGTTGGCCAGGCTGGTCTCAAACTCCTGACCTTAGGTGATCTGCCCACCTTGGCCTCCCAAAGTTCTGGGATTCCAGGAGTGAGCCACCACACCCAGCCTGTTTTTCCTTTTTAAAAATATTATTCAGTAACTCATCTGGACTTAAACTGCAGAATTCGTCCATTTTTAATTTCAATTTTTTATCTTCGCTTTCTAAAGTTTCCTCCTGTGTCTGTTGCTTAAGGATCAGCCACTGATTTGAGTAGTGGTTATGCTCAATACCTTTGACAATTGCTCTGTGTGTGGATTGCAGAGTACATTGAAAAGTGCAGCTAGTTTTCACATCTACTTTGGCTTTTACTTTTTGCTGGGCTCTCTCAAGTGTCCGCCATGCATGCAAGTGGTTAGTCGCCAAGTCAAGAATGTGTCAAGAGTTTACCTTAGACCTTATATGGCTCTCTCATTTCCATGATCTACCCATTACATTTCTGGCAGGCTCACTTAATTCCCCAACTGGACTAAAATATTGGCCTATCAGAATCATAAGTTTTTTCATTTATTTTCTATGAAATTTGTCTCTTAAATGACAGAGCCAAGAGGTTTTGGTCCTATTCCAAATTTAGTCTGTCCCCCCTTTTTTTTCTTTTGCAGAAAGTCTCTCATTGGTAAAACTGTGGTCTTCATTGACCATTGACTGAGCTGAAGGAATGGGAATAGCCACACACAAGAAAGCCACAGTGTCCTGCTGTTTTTACCTAAAGCTGTAACAGTTTTCAATAATGTATATGAACTTATCATCTGAGTTTGATCAACCTCCAGTCTTAAAATGGTGTCTTGACAGTTAACCAAATTTGTTAGTTTATTTTGTGCAGGGAGCATCTGCCTACCTCTTTATGCTGCCACAAAAAGAAATCCTTTCTCCTCATTTTCCTATTGAATCAAATGTTCAAGTTTTTGTTCTCTTCAATCTGATTCTAACTAATCTAAAGATTGTTTCTAATTAATATATTCAACATATCTGTGGCAGTAATTTTTAAAAATACATAACTTCAGAATTTCTAACTGAATTATTTAGCTATATGTAGCCAGAATCTAAGTTGAAATTCTTTTATTTTTTTCTTGTTTATATATGGCAACTCCAAGAGGACAAGGAGTGTGTTTTTCTCTCTTCCTTTTTTTTTTTAAAAAAAAAATCAATCTACTCCCAGATATCTGACATATGGTAGATGCTAAATAAATATTTCCTAGTTGAATAGATGGTTCTTCTGAAAGAAAAGAGTGATTTACAGCATTCTTTAAGTTGTTATCTTATCTGATTCATAAATAAAAGTAATTCAAATTTATAATTGCTGAGACCAGCTCAGTCGGGAGACCCTAGTCCAGCAGCACTAGAGGAATTAAAGACACACACACAGAAATATAGAGGTGTGAAGTGGGAAATCACGGATCTCATAGCCTTCAGAGCTGAGATCCCTGAACAGAGATTTACCCATGTATTTATTAACAGCAAGTCAGTCATTAGCATTTTCTATAGATATTAAATTAACTAAAAGTATCCCTTATGGGAAATGAAGGGATGGGCTGAATTAAAGGAATAGGTTGGGCTAATTAACTGCAGCAGGAGCATGTCCTTAAGGCACAGATCACTCATGCTATTGTTTGTGGCTTAAGAATGCCTTTAAGCAGTTTTCCGCCCTGGGCAGACCAGGTGTTCCTTGCCCTCATTCCCGTAAACCCACAACCTTCCAGCTTGGGCATCAGGGCCATTATGAACATGTTACAGTGCTGCAGAGATTTAGTTTATGGCCAGTTTTGGGGCCAGTTTATGGCCAGATTTTGGGCGGCCTGCTCCCAACATATAATCACTGTAATTTTTTGTCTCCTGTTTACAACCTCAAGTTTGTGTTCAAATGTCATTCTTCTGGTTTTAGATATCATGTTGTCATGCTCACTTTGCTCAGGGGTGTTTTCAATTAATTATATGAAGACCGTGTGCAGACAGACCCCTTTTGACCCTTACTGTATGACTCCTGCCTCCTGGTGTTCATGCCTTTGTGTAATTCTCTCCTATGAGCATGGATGGGACCTGTGATTTGCTTCTAACCAATAGAACATAGCACAGGTGGTAGGATACCCCTCCCATGATTATGTTATGTTATATAATACTCTAGCTTGCTTGCTGACTCACTCTAGAGTCTCCTTGCTGGCTTAATGATGTAAGTGGCCATGTTGAAAAGTTTCATATGGCATGGTCCTGCAGATGTACTCTAGAAAATACAGATATCCTCTAGAAACTAAAAGCAACCTCTAGCCAATGACAGCAAGAAGTGAGGACCCAATGGTCTTATAATTTCAAGGAAATGATTTCTGTCAATAACCTGATTGAGTATGGAAGTAGATTCTTCCCTCATCAACCCTATAGATGAGAACTCAATCTGGCTGACACTGTGTATAGCCTCATGAGACTCTTAACAGATATTCTAGTTTAGCTACACCTGTACTTCTCACTCACAGAAAAAGTGAAATAATAAATTTATGCTATTTCAAGCTGCTGCATTTGTAGTGATTTTTTTAATATACAGCAGTAAGTAACTAATGCATCCTACTGCATTCACAATACTGTTGCCTAGAGGTCTCAGTTTCTTGCTTGCTGTTGGCAGAAGTCCTTGATTTCTTCTTATATACACCCCTTTAAAGGGTTGTTTGAGTGTCCTCATAACATGTGAGGTAGCTTCCCCCAGAGGAAGTAATCTAAGAGACAGAGGGAGCAAAGAGGAGCTACGATGTCTTTTATAACCTAGTCATTGAAGCCACACTCTGCCACTGCTGCCACATTGTGTTCATTAGAAGTGAGTCACTAAACCCAACCCACACTCAACAGGAAGGGAATTAAGCATTACCTCCCTGAATGAAAGAATATCAAAGAATCATGAACAAATTTTTTAAAAAAATCACTGTACTTGTGGAATAAATACATAATTATAGAAAAGTTGCAGGATACAAGGTTAATATAAAGAAATCAATTGTTTTCTTATATACCAGCTATGAACAAGTGGAATTTGAAATTAAAACTATAATACCATTTATATTAGTACCCAAAAATTGAAGTACTTAGGAATAAATTAAGCAAAATATGTGTAAAATCTATATGAGGCAAACTGTAGAGCTGATACAAATAAATGAAAGAAGAACTAAATAAATGGAGGGATTTTCCATGTTTGTGGACAGGAAGAATCAATAGTGTCAAGATGTAAGTTCTCCCCAGCTTGATCTATAGATTCAATGCAATCCCAATTAAAATATCAGCAAGTTATCTGTGGATATCTACAAACTGATTTTAAAGTTTTTATATGGGGAGTCAAAAGACCCAGACTAGTCTATGCAATATTAAATGAAAAGAGCAAAATAGGAGGACTGACACAACCCAACTTCATGACTTAGTATAAAAGTGCAGAATTCAAGAAAGTGTGATATTGGTGAGAGAATAGACAAATAAATCAATGGAAAAGAATAGAGAGGACAGAAATAGACCTACATGAATACCATCAACCAATCTTGACAAATGAGAAAAGGCAATACAATGGAGAAAAGACAGTCTCTTCAACAAACGCTGCTAGAACAACTGGACATCCACATGCAAAAAAATGAATCTAGACACAGACTTTATACCTTTTACAAAAATTAACTCAAAATGAATCATAGACCTAAATGTAAAAGGCAAAACTATAAAACTCCTAGGAGATGACATGAGAGAAAATCTTGATACCTTGGGCATAGTGATGACTTTTTAGATAGAACACAAATGGCGTGATAAGCTAGATTTCATTAAAATTAAGAACTTCTCTGTAAAAGACAGTACCAAGAGACTTAGAAGACCAGCCAAAGATTTGGAGAAAATATTTGCAAAAGACATATCTCATAAAGGTTTTTTAATCCAAAATATACAAAGAACTCTTAAAACTTAACAATAAGAAAGTGAGCCACCCAGTTAAAAGTGAGCAAAAGACCTAAACAGTCATCTCATAAGCATGTAAAAAGATGCTCCTCATTATATGTCATTATGGAAATGTAAATTAAAGCAACAATGAGATGCCACTACATGCCTATTAGAGTGGCCAAAAGTCCAGAATTCTGACAATATCAAAAATGCTGGTGAGCAAGGGGAACAGTAGGAGCTCTCATTCACTGCCAGGGGAAAAAGCAAAATGGTGCAACCATTTTGGAAAACAGTTTGGCCATTTCTTACAAAATTAAGAATATTCTTAACATGTAATCCACCAATTGCACTTTTTGTTGTTTACACAGATGAGTAAAAAAAATGTCCACACAAAAATTTGCACGTGTATGTCTTTATCAGCTTTATTTATAATTGCCAAAACTTGGAAGCAATTAAGATGCCCCTTAGTAAGTGAATGGATAAATAAACTGTGGTACATCCAGACAATGGAGTTTTGTTCAGTCCTAAAAAGAAATGAGCATCAAACCATGAAAATATATGGAAGACTCTTTAATGCATATCACTAGGTGAAAGAAGTCATTCTGAAAAGGCTACAAACTATTATTCCAACTATATGATATTCTAGAAAAGGCAAACCTAAGAAGACTGTAAAAACCATAGGGATTGGGAGTAGAAAGAAATAAATAGGCAAAGCACAGCGATATTTTAAGCTGGTAAAACTATTTTTGTATGGTACTATAATGGTGGGTATATGTCATCGTGCATCTGTCCAAGTCTATAGAAGGTACAACAGCAAGAGTGAACCTTAATGTAAACTACGGACTCTGTAAACTATGGACTCTTAATGTAAACTATAGAAGGTACAACAGCAAGAGTGAACCTTAATGTAAACTATGGACTCTGGGTGATAATAATGTGTCCAATAAGGTTCATGGATTATAGTAAATGTGAAAAGCAAATTTACACCACAGTACACCTGTATCCACAAATTATTTACATTCTTCCCACATTCAAAAACATCCAGCCTCTCCCAGGCTCCCTAAGTGTCTGATTCACATTATAACAGCATTTCAAGGTGCAGAATTTTACCATCTAATTTAAGTCCAGGGTCAAGTGAAGTTTCTTGGGTATTGTTTATTAAGTACAGCTCCTTGAGTATAGTTCCTCTAAATCTTAAGACTTGTGAGCTTATGTCCCATATCCAAATACTACCCAATATACAATTTTAGGAGAGACAAAAGGTAACTGCTATAAATTCATGTTTAAAAAAGGAGAAGATAGGAGGCACCAGGAAGTCCTGCTTGACACATATTAGAAGACCCTGGATTAGCTCTCAGTCCTGTTGCTGCCCAAGATTGATTCTCTATGTTTCTTGGCTTAAAAGTTTAGAATTTCACTTCTGCCTTCCAAGTACTAATTGGTAGCTGTGTTTGCAGCTGTATATTTTTCTGTCTGTTCACTGATGTAAAATTTGTGGAATCAAAAGTCTTCTTTAAATTTTGTACTATCTCTGGCCCTTTGGAGGTCAGTTGGTATTCTTTCTGCTAATATCACTCTTTTTTGTGACTATAGTTGAAAATAATTTATTGCGTATTTCAAAATAGCTAAGAGTAAATTTTACATGTTCTCATTGCAAAGTTAGGATAAATATTGGAGGTGACAGATACATTAAATAGACTGATTTAATAATTCCACGTGTATACATGTATTAAAGGTTCACACTGTACCCTGTAAATACATACTATTATTGTCAATTAAAAAATAGCACTAAATAAAAGAACAAAGTGGCTGTGCTGTTTTAGTTTCCCAGTGAATATGAATAAAAGAAGGATTATATTGCTCTGCATCCCCTGCTGTCCTTCATATTGAATCTTAGAGTCCATTAAAATAGATTCTCTCTCCATTTATTTAGATCTTCTTTGATTTCTTTATTTTATTTTATTTTTTGTAAGTTATTGGGGTACAGGTGGTATTTGGTTACATGAGTAAGTTCTTTAGTGGTTATTTTGGTGCACCCATCACCTGAGCAGTAGACAATGCAACGTATTTGCAGTCTTTTATATGTCGCCCCCCCCCAAGTCTTCCCCCATTGGTCCCCAAAGTCCATTGTATCATTCTTATGCCTTTGCATCCTCATAGCTTAGCTCCCACATATCAGTGAGAACATTTGCTGTTTGGTTTTTCATTCCTGAGTTACTTCGCTTAGAATAAGCCTCTGATCTCATCCAGGTCACTGTGAATGCTATTAATGCATCCCTTTTTATGGCTGAATAGTATTCCATTGTATACATATACCACAATTTCTTTATCCATTCGTTGATTGATGGGCATTTGGGTTGGTTCTATGATTTTGCCATTGCAAATTGTGCTGCTATAAATATGCGTGTGCAAGTATCTTTTTCATATGATGACTTCTTTTCCTCTGGGTAGGTACCCAGAAGTGGAATTGCTGGAACAAATGGTAGTTCTACTTTTAGTTCTTTAAGCAATCTCTAGAAGTGTTCCCTGTTCACCACATCCACGCCAACATCTACTGTTTTTTGATTTTTTTTTATTATGTCCATTCTTGCAGGAGTAAGGTGGTATCGCATTGTGGTTTTGATTTGCATTTCCCTGATCATTAGTGATGTTGAACATTTTTTCATATATTTGTTGGTCAGTTGTATATCTGTTTTTGAGAATTGTCTATTCATGTCTTTAGCCCACTTTTTGATGGGATTGTTAGTTTTATTCTTACTAATTCATTTGAGTTCATTGTAGATGCT
This sequence comes from Homo sapiens, assembly GCF_000001405.40. Lineage (NCBI taxonomy): Eukaryota > Metazoa > Chordata > Mammalia > Primates > Hominidae > Homo > Homo sapiens. The sequence goes on from NC_000001.11 coordinate 71,320,715, forward strand.
GCATATTAGTCTTTTGTCAGACGTATAGATTATGAAGATTTTCTCCCACTCTGTGGGTTGTCTGTTTACTCTGCTGACTGTTCCTTTGGCTGTGCAAAAGCTCATTAGTTTAATTAAGTCCCAACTATTTATCTTTGTTTTTATTGCATTTGTTTTTAGGTTCTTGGTCATGAAATCCTTGCCTCAGCCAATGTCTAGAAGAGTTTTTTCAGTGTTATATTTTAGAATTTTTATAGTTTCAGGTCTTAGATTTAAGTCCTTAATCCATCTTGAGCTGATTTTTATATAAGGTGAGAGATGAGGATCCAGTTTGAAATTATATCAAGCACTCTCTCAGACCACAGTGGAATAAAATTGGAAATCAACTCCAAAAGGAACCTTCAGAACCATGCAAATATATGGAAATAAAATAACCTGCTCCTGAATGAGCATTGGGTCAAAAAAGAAATCAAGATGAAAATTTAAATATTCTTTGAACTGAACTACAATGATGACACAACCTATCAAAACCTCTGGTGTACAGCAAAGGCAGTACTAACAGAAAAGTTCATAGCTCTAAACACCTATATCAAAAAGACTTAAAGAGCGCAAACTGACATTCAAAGGCCACACCTCAAGGAACTAGAGAAACAAGAACAAACCAAAACCAAACAGAACAGAAGAAAGTAAATAACAAAGATCAGAAAAGAACTGAATGAAATTGAAACAAACAAACAAACAAAGATACAAAAGATAAATGAAACAAAAATCTGGTTCTTCGAAAAGATAAATAAAATTGATAGATCATTAGCAAGACTAACCGAGAAGAGAGAAAATCCAAGTAACCTCATTAAGAAATGAACAGGAGATATTACAACTGACACCACTGAAATACAAAAGAAAATTTGAGGCTACTATGAACACCTTTACACACAAAAACTAGAAAACCTAGAAGAGATGGATCAATTCCTGGAAAAATATAACCCTCCTAGCTTAAATCAGGAAGAATCAGACACCCTGAACAGAGCAATAACAACCAACAGGATTGAAATAATAATAAAATTACCAACAATAAAATGTCCAGGACCAGATGTATTCACAGCAGAATTCTACCAGACATCCAAAGAAGCATTGGTACCAATCCTTTTGACACTATTCCACAAGATAGAGAAATAAGGAACCCTCCCTAATTCATTCTATGAAGCCAGCATCACCCTAATAAAACCAGGAAAGAACATAACGAAAAGACAAAACTACAGACCGATATCCTTGATGAACATAGATGCTAAAATCCTTAACAAAATACTAGCTAACCGAATCCAACAACATATCAAAAAGATAATCCACCACGATCAAGTGGTTTCCATACCAGGGATGCAGGAATGGTTTAACATATGCGAGTCAATGAATGTGACACACCACATAAACAGAATTAAAAAAAAGAATGGCATGATCATCTCAATAGATGCAGAAAAAGCATTTGACAAAATCCTACATCCCTTTATGATTAAAACTCTCAGCAAAATCAGCACACAAGGGACATACCTCAATGTAATAAAAGCCATCTATGACAAACCCACAACCAACATAATACTGAATGGGGAAAAGTTTAAAGCATTCTCTCTGAGAACCGGAAAAATACATGGATGCCCACTCTCACCATTCCTCTTCAGTGTTGTACTGGAAGTCCTAGCCAGAGCAATCAGACAAGAGAAAGGAATAAAGGGGGCATCCAAATAGGTAAAGAGGAAGTCAAACTGTCACTGTTTGCTGACGATATAATCGTTTACCTTGAAAATCCCAAAGACTCCTTCAGAAAGCTCCTAGAACTGATAAAATAATTCAGCATAGTTTCTGGATACAAAATTAATGTACACAAATCAGTAGCTCTTCTATACTCCAACAGCGACCAAGGTGAGAATCAAATAAAGAACTCAACCTCTTTTACAATAGCTGCAAGAATAAAATACTTAGGAATATACCTAAACAAGGAGGCAAAAGACCTCTACAAGGAGAACTACAAAACACTGCTGAAAACACATTTCCAAGAAAAAACGAACAATCCCATCAAAAAGTTGGCGAAGGATATGAACAGACACTTCTCAAAAGAAGACATTTATGCAGCCAATAAACATATGAAAAAAAGGTCATCACCACTGGTCATTAGAGAAATGCAAATCAAAGCCACAATGAGATATCATCTCACGCCAGTTAGAATAGTGATATTAAAAAGTCAGGAAACAACAGATACTGGAGAGGATGTGGAAAAATCAGAATGCTTTTACACTGTTGGTGGGAGTGTAAATTAGTTCAACCATTGTGGAACAGAGTGTGGTGATTCCTCAAGGATCTAGAACCAGAAATACCATTTGACCCTGCAATTCCATTACTGGGTATATACCCAAAGGATTATAAATCATTCTACTATAAAGACACATGCACATGTCTGTTTACTGCAGCACTATTCACAATAGCAAAGGCTTGGAACCAACCCAAATGCCCATCAATGATAAACTGGATAAAGGAAATGTGGCGGCCAGGCACAGTGGCTCATGCCTGTAATCCCAGCACTTTGGGATGCCGAGGCAGGCAGATCATGAGGTCAAGAAATTGAGACCATCCTGGCCAACGTGGTGAAACCCTGTCTCTACTAAAAATACAAAAATTACCTGGGTGTGGTGGTGCATGCCTATAGTCACAGCTACTTGGGAGGCTGAGTCAGGAGAATCACTTGAACACGGGAGGCAGAGGTTGCAGTGAGCCAAGATTGTGCCACTGCACTCCAGCCTGGGTGACAGAGTGAGAGAGCAAGACTCTGTCAAAAAAAAAAAAAAAGGGAAATGTCACACATATACCATGGGATGCTATGAAGCCATACAAAAGGATGAGTTCACGTCCTTTGCAGGGACATGGATGAAGATGGAAACCATCATTCTCAGCAAAGTAACACAGGAACAGAAAACCAAACACCACATGTTCTCATTCATAAGTGGGAGTTGAACAGTGAGAACACATGGACACACAGAGGGGAACATCACACACCAGGGCCTGTCAGTGGGTGGGGGGCAAGGGGAGGGATAGCATTAGGAGAAATACCTAATTTAGATGATGGTTTGATGGGTGTAGCAAAACACCATGGCATATGTATACCTATGTAACAAACCTACACATTCTGCACATGTAACCCAGAACTTAAAGAATAATAATTTTAAAAAACTGGAAGAAAAAAGAAATCATAGACGATATAAACAAATGGAAACACATCCCATGCTCATGGATGGGTAGAATCAATATTGTGAAAATGTCCATACTGTCAAAAGCAATCTACAAATTCAATGCCATCCTCATCAAAATATCATCATAATTATTCACAGAATTAGAAAGAAAAACAATTCTAAAATTCATATGGAACCAAAAAAGAGCCCAAATAGCCAAAGCAAGACTATGCAAAAATAACAAATCTGGAGGCATCATACTACATGATTTCAAACTATACTATAAGGCCATGGTCACTAAAACAGCATGGTACTGGTATAAAAATAGGTGCGTAAGACCAATGGAACAGAATAGAGAACCCAGAAACAAACCCAAATACTTACAGCCAACTGTAAGTATTTTTTGTTTGCTTCAGCAAAGCAAACAAAAACATAAAATGGGGAAAGGACACCTTTTTCAACGAATGGTGCTGAGATAATTGGCTAGCCACATGTAGGAGAAAGAAACTGTTTCCTCATCTCTTACTTAATATCATTCTTTTAAAATCTTTGTAGACAACTCTTGAATCTTATTTAAGTTCCCATCACTACTCAATAGCTACACCCAAAAATTGATTTGAGATGAGCTTTTTCTACTCTGGGCTTCTACGAAGACTGCCAAGGGTAACAGTCCTTAAGCTTCTTAGACTCCCTATTGCTTAACTAAGTGGTTCTTGGCTGTAAATCTTAGGTCTTTCTGAGGCATTAACAGAGAATTTTACAGTAGCACCTTCTGCTACATCTTTAAGCTTTTCTTTTTTGATAGTGCCCAGGATTTGATCCCATGGTTCAGAAGCTGTTTTCTTAGTTGTAGTGCTGTTTGTCATCTGAAAAGACTGTAAAATTTCAAAACCATTAGGTCATGCATCCTTTTTGTTTGACAGTTCTTATCTCTTTCTTCTCACATTTTACTATCAGCAGCATGAAGAAACCAGGTACTTTCAACATTCTACCTTGAAATATTTTTAACTAGATCACCTAGCTCATTAGATACATTTTCTACTTCCTATGTTTGCACAGATATCAGCATTGCTAAACTGTCTGCTACTGCATAGTGGAATGCTTATCCTCTAATTTCCAGTAAAAGTTTCTTACAATTTTTTTAGCCTGCAGTATAAACTCCTCACGGCCTTCATGCTTCCACAAATGCTCTCCTCAAGGGGATTCACATTCCACTGATAATAATACTCTCCTCAAAGTTTCCCAGCTTCCTTCTCCTACTCAAGTACCAAAATTAGTATTGTCATCTAGTGCTGAATAACACCAATTGTTCCATAATTTAGCAGCTTAAAAACAACAGAAAATGTACTATCATTGTTGTATTTTTCAGCACACATGTACATAGAGATCCATGTTGAATTCCTGGAATAGTGTTAGCCTGGTGCTGGAAGATGATATTTAAATTGCTTCTGAGGTAGTTGGATTAATTTTAGTCATAACAATATGTGAGCTTTAGTGGATTATTTCCACATCTATTTTATTTAACTGTATCCACAGGAAACAAGACAGAGAAATGAAAAAAGTGTATGTTTTTTTTAAAAAAAAAAACACAGAACCTGTAGAGAGATGATGGATTATACATAAGTGCAATTCATTACTTCAAATGTTTTTTTTTAAGTGAGTTGTTCATTATGTTAATATGGATATCAGATTCTTTGTTGACTGAGTCCTACTTATATTTGTTGGAGACCTAAAAGAAAAGTAATAAGGACTATTTTATAAGAAATAACTTTGCTGTTTATTAAAAAGAATAATAGAGGTTCAACATAGATTGTGTAATTTTGAATTTGGGCATGATGGATGAGGGTAAGAACAGGACAGCCGAGGGAAGAAATCTCTTAGAAATTGCTTGAGTTTTTTTAGTAATATAAATGATGTGCAACTAATCTAATTTAATTAAATTTAGAATCATAACAGACTCCTTTGAAGAGTTAGTGAAATGGTTTTCTTTTGTATGTCTCCATACTGCTGAAATGCAGTACATTAAAATGAATAAGAACAATAGATTCAACTAATCTCATCTGCAACTCCATCTGATCAAATGAGAAGATTTTAATTAAACCTGGACTTCTTTCAAAAAGAGGAACTATTGTAACCATAATTAAGTTGATTTTTCCATAGTGCATAGGTCATGCATTCATTGTTTTGTTGTATTTGCTTCTCCTAGTGCTATATTTTTACCTTTAATATTTCTGTTTGTATATTGAAAGAAACTATGAATTTTCTATTTTTCTATAACAGGCATTATTCACTGGCCTCAGTGATGATCTCTCTAATGATATTTTGTTTTTAGAAACTCTGGGGGACGTTTTCTTCCCTAGTCACACTCATGTTTAATCATGCCAGTAAATAAGAAACCATCTCTTGCAAAAAGTCTCTTATAAAATTATACAAATAAATGTAAAGCAAATATTAATTCATTATGTTTTATTTTTATGCTATCAAAATTAAAAATAATTAATTATAGATGTTATGTATTACCTTTATTTACTTGAGAATGTACAGTAAACAAAACTAAAAACCTCATATGTTGCAATTATAGCTGTTTGAATGCCTAATGCATAAATACACAGGAAAATGTTTAATATATATGCATTCACTGGATTCATTTATTCCTTAAATGTCCTGGCACATTCTGGTTGGACAAATTATATGTTTTTTTAAGCTCATTAAGTCATTATTGTTTTCAACCAATACAATTAGTTGAAACAGTAATGACTGCTAATTAAGTCAGGTTTGTCCAAAGACACCTATCTATGAAATAAAAACTCCTAGCGATTGAAATGGTAGTGTTTGCTAGTCATAATTACTTGATTAGCTAGGGTTCGGTACTCAACAAGGCAATTGTTGTTTCTTTGCCCTTTTTAAAAAAATACTTTAAATTCTGGGGTACAAGTGCAGGACGTGCAGGTTTGTTACACAAGTATACATGTGTCATGGTGGTTTGCAGCAAACCACCACATTCATCATTTTCTTTTTTCTATTTTTTTATGCTCTTTTAAAAGGCCCCACATCCCCAACAATTCTTTATAATAAATTCTTATTTTAATAATTCTGGATTTTTAATTACTTAAATAAAATTCAGTCTATAAAATAATATTCATAAAATATATGTACAAAAGACAGTGCATGTGTACCCATCTCATAGCTTTAAGAACAGAATATTGCCTTTTACTTGGCAGTCTCCTATATGTTCACCCAAATTCTAATCTTTTATTTCTACCCCCATCCAAAATTCTGTCCTCGTAGTTCTCTTCCTTTCCTTTAGCTTTCTGATGTATTCATGTTTCTTTATTCTATACAATGATGTTTACTTTTGAAAGGCTTTCATGTTATGATAACTTAATCATACTTTCTAAATTTGTTTACAACTGGCTTTTTTCTATTCAGCCTTATGTTCTAGGATTTTTCTGTACTTTTTCATGTACCAATAATTTACTCATTTTCACTGCTATATAGTCTTCCAGCATATAAATATACCAAAATTTATTTACTTATTATGCTTTTAATGACAAATATATTTTTGTTTACAATTTTCTGCTACTACAAACTGTTGCTATGTATATTCTTGAACAGTTGCCCAGAGGTATATGTGCCTAAGTTTGTTTAGGATACATGTATAGGAGTGAATTGCTACATCATAGAATATATTAATATCAACTTTATAGAATGATACTAAATTGTTTTCCAAAGCAGTTGTACTTCTTAATTTTTGCCAGTATGCCAGTGTAAATCATTTTTAAAATTTTTATTTTATTTTTTATTTTTACAGGGTTTTTTTATTTTTATGGGTATATATTTATTTTTATGGGTATGTATTTAGTAGGTGTATATATTTAGGGGTTAGATGAAATATTTTGATATAGGCAGACAATGCATAATAATCACATTATGGCGAATAGGGTATCCATCACCTCAAGCATTTATCTTTTGCATTACAAGCAACCCAATTACATTCTTTTAGTTATTTTTAAATGTACAATTAAATTATTATGACTATAGTCACCCTGTTATGCTATCAAATGCTAGGTCTTATTCATCCTTTCCCTTGTTTTTTGGACCCATTAATCATCCCCACCTCCCTTCCATGCCCCCACTACTCATCCCAGCAATGATTAATTTTATCAAATGCATTTTTAGCATCAATTGAAAACATCATATGTTTTTTGTCCTTCATTCTGTCAATATGATGTATCACATTGGTTTGTGTGTGTTGAACCATCCTTGCATCCCTGGGATAAATCCCACTTGGTCATAATGAATAATCTTTTTAATGTGTTGTTGAATTGGGCTTGCTAGTATTTTGATGAAAACTTTTGTATTAATATTCATCAGTGATATTGGCCTATAATTTTCTGTTTTTGATGTATTTTTTCTGGTTTTCATATTAGGGTAATACTGGCCTTGTAGAATGAGTTTGGAGGTATTCCCTCCTCCTCTATTCTTCAGAATAGTTTCAGTAGGATTGGTATTAATCCCTCTTTAAATGTGTGGTAGAGTTCAGTAGTGAAGCCATCATGTCTCAGGCTTTTATTTGCTGGGAGACTTTTTATTACAACTTTGATCTCATTACTTGTTATTGGTCTGTTGAAGATTTGAATTTCTTCATAGTTCACTCTTGGTAGGTTTTGTGTATCTAGGAACTTATCCATTGCTTCTAGATTTTTCCAATTTATTGGCATATAATAGCTCATAGTAGCCACTAATGATCATTTGAATTTCTGCAGTATCAGTTGTATTGTCTTCTTTTTCATTTCTCATTTTATTTATTTGGGTCTTCTCTCTTTTTATCTTCATTAGCCTGGCTGAAGGTTTGTCAATTTTGTTGATATTTTAAAAAAACAACTTTTTTGTTTCATTGATCTTTTATATTGTTTTCTTCATTTCATTTATTTCTGCTCTGATCTTTATTATTTCTTTTCTTCTATTAATTTTGGATTTGGTTTGCTCTTGCTTCTCTAGTTCTTTATGATGCATTGCTAGGTTGTTTATTTGATGTTTTTCTTCTTTTTTGATGTAGTCACTTAATAGCTCTAAACTTCCCTTTTAGTACTGCTTTTGCTGTAATCCATAGGTTTTGGTATGTTTTGTTTCCATTATCATTTGTTTCAAGAAATTTTTCAATTTTCTTCTTAATTTCTTCATTGAACTACTGGTTATTCAAGAGGATATCTTTTAATTTACATGTGTTTATATTATTTTCAAATTCCTTTTGTTATTAATTTCTAGTTTTATTCCATTGTGGTCAAAGCAGATGCTTGAGGCTATTTCATCTTCTTTGAATGTTTTAAGATTTGTTTTGTTACCTAACACGTGGTCTATCCTTGAGAATGACCCATATGCTAAGGAAAAATTGCATATTCTGTAACCCTTAGACAAAATGTTCTGTAAATATCTATTGAGTTCATTTGGTCTATAGTGCTGATTACGTCAATGTTTTTTTGATTTTCTGTCGAAGATCTGTCCAATGCAGAAAGTGGAGTGTTGAAATCTCCAGCTATTATTGTATTATTGTATTGATGTGTGTTTCTTGTAGGCAACAGATCATTGGGTCCTATTCTTTTTATCCATTCAGCTACTTTATGTCTTCATTAAATGTTATTATTGACAACATTTAATTTGCTCATTTTGTTGTTTATTTTATGACTGTTTTGTGATCTTCTTTTCCTTCCTTTCTGTCTTTCTTTCAGTGAAGGTGACTTTCTCTGGTGATATGATTTAATTTCTTGCTTTTTTTGTGTGTGTATTCCTTGTATTATTGTTGTTATTATTATTATTATTATTATTATTATTATTATTATTATTATTTTGAGATGGAGTCTTGCTCTGTCTCCCAGACTGGAGTGCAGTGGCACGATCTCGGCTCACTCTCAAGCTCCGCCTCCTGGGATCACACCATCCTCCTGCCTCAGCCTCCAGAGTAGCTGGGACTACAGGTGCCCGCCACCATGCCCGGCTAATTTTTTGTATTTTGTTTAGTAGAGACGGGGTTTCACCCTGTTAGCCAGGATGGTCGCGATCTCCTGACCTTGTGATCCGCCCGCCTCAGCCTCCCAAAGTGCTGGGATTACAGGTGTGAACTGCCATGCCCAGCCCCTTGTATTATTTTTTATTTGAGATTACCATGAGGCTTGCAAATACTATCTTATAACACACTATTTTAAGCTGACAATGTTAAGTCAGGTTATCATTGTCAGCTTAACAATGTTAAGTTGCAGCTTAACATTTTTTGCAATGTTAAGCTGCAATTTAACATTGCAAAAACAAATAAGCAAGAAGAAAACTAATGAAAACTCTATAATTTTGTCCTCCCACATTTTACCTTTTTGTTGTTTCTATTTACATCTTATCATACTGTCTATGTCTTGAAAAGTTGTTGTTGTTTTTGTTTGTTTGTTTATTTTTTGAGACAGAGTCTCACTCTCTCACCCAGGCTGGAGTGCAGTGGTGCATATTGGCTCACTGCAACCTCGGCTCACTGCAACCTCCACCTCCTGGGTTCAAATGATTCTTTTGCCTCAGCCTCCCAAGTAGCTGGGAATACAGGCATGTGCCACTACGCCTGGCTAATTTTTTGTATTTTTAGTAGAAATGGGGTTTCATCATGTTAGCCAGGATGGTCTCGATCTCCTGACCTCCTGATCCACCCTCTTTGGCCTCCCAAAGTGCTGGGATTACAGGCATGTGCTACCACGTCCAGCCAGTTTTTTTTTTATTGTTTCATCATTTAGTCTTTCTTACTTAAAAGTAGTTTACACACCATAGTTACAGTGTTATAATATTCTATGCTTTTCTGTGAACTTACTATTACCAGTGAGTTTTGTGTCTTCAGGTGATTTCTTATTGCTCATTAAAGTTCTTTTCTTTCTGATCAAATTACTTCACTTAGCATTTCTTGTAGGACAGGTCTGATGTTGATGAAATCCTTCAGCTTTTGCTTGTCAGGGATAGTCTTGGGTATAAAGTATTAATTCATTGAAGGAAATTTGCATTTATCTGATTATTAGTATGGTTGAATATGTTCTTATGTATTTATTCAGTTTTCTTCTGCAGAGTTTCTGTCTTAGTCCATTCAGGCTGCTATAACAAAATACCATAAACTGGGTAGCTTATAAACAACAGAAATGTATTCTCACTGTTCTGGACCCTGGGAAGTCAAAGATGAAGGTGAAAGATGCCAGATGATCTGGTGTCTGGTGAGGGCCCATTTCCTGGTTTAAAGAACAGTGTCTTTCACTGTGTCCTCCTCACATGATAAAACAGGCATGACAGCTCTCTAAGGCCTCTTTATAAGAGCACTGATCTTATTTTTAAAGGCTCCACCCTCATGACCTAATTACTTCCCAAAGGTCCACCTCTTGACACTATGCATTTGTAATGACATTTCAACATATTAACTTTTTGAGAATACAAACATTTATATTATAGCATTTCACTCCTAATCTCCAAAAATTCAGGTTCTTCTCACATGCAAAATATATTTATTTTATCCCAATAGCTCCCAAAATCTTAACGTGTTCTAGCATCAACTTCAAAGCCTAACTCTAAAGTCTCATCTAAATGTATCTAAATTAGATATGAATAAGACTCAAGGTGGGATTTATCCTTAGGCAATTTGTTCTTTAGCTGTGAATCTGTGAAGTGAAAGGAGTTATATGCTCCCAAAACACAATAGTGGCACAGACATAGAACATAGGAAATAGGAAAGAAATAGGAAAGAAAAAAGGGGTAACAGGTCCCAAGTAAGTCCAAAGCCTTTTGAGAATAATCTTTGACTGAAAATCTGACCTCCAGGCTCACTGGCACAGAGGTCTTGCCTCTGCAACTCTGTTAGGCAGGGGTTGTTCACCTAAGGCCACGGGCAGCCCAGTTCCCACTGTTTTGGGTGGCCCCATTACTATGGCTTTTCTGGGCCCAGTGAGTACCACTGCTCTCACAGGTTGTATGCAGTCCCAGTGGTTTTACCAGGCTGGAATTGCAAGCCAATGTTTCTACTAGTCTGAGGTTGAAGGGATGTCCTGACCCCATTGTTCCACTAGGCATTGCCCTAGTGGAGGTTCTCTGCAGTGACCTGGCCCTCAAGGAAGCCTTCTTCCTGGATCACACTTTCAAAGTTCCACATGGCTGTATCTTTTGAAATCTGGGGTGGGGGTAGCCATGCCCCCATGGCTTGGGCATTTTGCACCCCAAAAGATGCTGCCAAGGTTTACCACATGTGCCTTTTAGAGGGGAAGTCACTGCTGCCCATGCTGTATTGGGGTCCACCGAAGCCACACCTAGGGTGGCTGAGGAGTGCTGCCCCAGAATTTGGAGAGTGGAGCCTTGAGCTGGACAGCAAGCATTAAGGTAGTGAAGGTGCCCTCAGCCTCTTTGAAATCCTTCTGTCCCCAAGACTCTTGCACTTTGGCTCTATGTTGAAAGGGGTAGCCCCAATGAATCCAAAATGACATTGAGTACCTTGTTGAAGAGTTTGACATTGTATATTTTCAGAAGTCAAATGAGTGCCTTGGTCACTACCAATAATGTCTAGAACTCCTAGGGGATAGAGTATCTTAGTGAGGGCTTGTACTGTGACCTTATCCTACATTTTGGGTATCTGTGAGGCAAGAGATTTCTAGAGATTTTTACTCCAAAGGGGAATCTTGGTTAAGAAATTGTTGCTGTAAAAATGTGTAGATGAGGCTGATTGTTAGCTAGGATATCTAATGTTAAATGGCTGAGTAAAGTTCAGTCAGTTTTGCTGACCCTTGGTTTTCATCTTTGATCAGGAACATGCAGTTGAAGGATGAAAAGCAATTTAAACAGCCCTCCAGTGAGCACGTAATGGTGGTGTGGCCATCCCTCTTACATGAACTTCTTTTACTGCTCACTTGGTTGATACCAAGGGGCTCTCCATGAAACTAAGGGGTACAGAAAAGGGCAACCTCCTCCATCACTGTGTCATTTGGCAGGGAAATGAGGGCAAGACAGCCCCTTCCCACTCCTGCAGTGGAAGACCAGGTTTAGCTCCACCGGATAGCAAGGAGACTTCAGTGGCCATGCTGAGCTCATGGGGTGCTGTTACCATACCCAAGGTGTAATGGGCAGCTGGGTATGGAGGGCCATAAGCTCAGGTCCTGTAACACCTCTGTTTCTAGGAGAGCTATCAATTCTAGCTAGCAGTTGTTACCCTAATGGCATATAATGTTGAGCCAAGGAAGGCAATTTCTTGCACTGGAAGCCCATGGGCAATATATAGCCATCATTTATATCTCCAAGACCCCAAGAGGAACAACAGGAGGTTGCTAAAGCTGCTAGAGTGAAGGAGCCTGATTGGGGAGCACTAATGTTCTACTGCAATTTGGACAGATGCTAGGGGCTTTTGTTATAGGAGGTTTAATTCAAAGTATGCCAATTTGTGAGTGACAGCATATATGGGCTTAAGTAAAATTTCTAAATAAAGAATATGTTGTCTCCAAAACCCAAAGCCTAAAAGAACTTTCACTAGTTTTAACATCATGGTTGCTGAGAAGGTCAGTAGCTGTTTCTTGACAGTATCAGGAATGGAGCAGCCCTCAGCTTACCAAACAATTTTCAGAAATTTAACTGAAGTGGTGTGGTCCTATACTATGTGTGAAACAGTGACCAACTTCTCTCTATGAACTCCTTTGGGAGTATTTGTGTGTCCTCAATAAATGTATCAAATGGATCTCCATGGAGGAGGATGTCATGAGTATGATGTCATACCTGTGCTTCTGAGTAAAGTTGGATGCAATTAAGATCTTACCTACAAAGATTGTGTATGATCACAAGAATGTTGATGTAGCCCATAGATAGCTAGGTAAGCACCTTCTTTTGTGTCACTTAAAAAGTGAAAGCAAACGACATCCAAGATTCTATTGAAATAAACACTAAATGGAATGTAATAGACAAATCTACAACTACAGAAGAGTCAAAGTATTTATCTGTTGCTGGTTGGATGGATTTGGTAATTTAAATAATCGTAGGTATGGGCACCTTAATTGGTATGACTAGAGCATTAGCCTTATAGCAATCCACTATGAGGTGCCATTTATTTTTTCAGGTTTAGAAGTAGGTCAAATTGGGCTGTTAATTAGAGAAGCAGTAGGGATAACCAACTCTTCTTTAAATGTCTTGTATAATAGGTTTTAATCCTTGAAGGTTCTGTTTTACTTTATATACAGCTTGATAACCTGTTTTATCTGCAGTAAGATCCATAGGGTGCCATTTTATCAAACCAATAGTTAAGTGCCAAAGACTTAATTTAATTTCAGTTTATTGCTTGTTGGGTCAACAGCAGTCATGACCACTATGAGATACTTTAGAAAAATGGACAGGGTGACTATGGTATTTTGTGAAGTCTTAGTAAGTAATTTGTTTTCATTTATGTGACCTCAGTATATCACATTGTAACTTCTCTTCCCCTATATGAGCTATCACCAAACGGGCCCATATATTGCACAAACTATCAGTCTTTCCTCAGAACACTCTATAGAATGGGGCCAATGCCTGGTAAGACACACACCAGCTGTCAGTGGTAAGAGATTTTCCCAACTCTAGTGTCAGTCATGGCTTGTGATGGAATCAAGACACAAACTACAATCTGAGGCACACAGATAGTAAATCTATTCTGGGACACACTCCCCATGCCATTTATAAAAGGAAGACTCCATTCCCACAGCACTGTCACTAGACACTAATGGTTGAAAACTTCCAACTTATGTTGGTTAATTCTAAACAGACGCTTGGTAAGACTTGTAAATGCAGAAAAATCAGCACAACTCAAAGCACAAGCTTGCCAGCAGGTAGCAATACATTTCAAAAAGCATGTTACCCAGTAAGCAGCAGAGCCAGTTAACCTCTCATTCATACCTTGTTTTCCTTTCATGCTCGACTGCGATATTTTACTTTTTAGAAGTTTATCTGAAAATTCTTTGAGTTGTGGAAGGAAAATGGATTCCTTTAGAGTATTAGATTTTGCTTCTTTCAGGAACCTGAGGTGGTAGCTTAGGCTACTAAATTATATTATTTATGTAAAGTTTCTTTGGACCACCCATGCAGTATACATTCTTATTCCAAAGCCACTTTGAGGAAGTATCTTGGTGTTAAAAATTCTTGAGGAAGATATTTTTCCCTTCAATATCAAATCAAATCAATTTCAATATCAAAATCATGACAAGCAACTTTTCTTGTAGTATTCTTAAGGAGGGGTTAGTACATTTTAAATTCACTTTTGTAAGGAGATTGTAACCCTTGGTGGCCTCTTTAAGTGTATGTCTCCTATCAGACTCCTAAGCATAGGTAAACCCATAGACTTTGTATATTGTCCTCAATATCTCTTAAAAATCAAAGTAAGTTCACCTGGTTCATCAAATGACCACAAACAAAAGTCAAATAAAGTACTCAGCAACTTGTCTTGGTTTGTTTCTTCACATAAACTTTTTGGTGGATTATAGTTCATGTTTTTGTAAGTTTATCAGTGCATTTAAGCTCATTTATAATTTATGTGGAGGTTTGATTATTTCTTCAGTGAAGTAGCCAATCACTAAACTTAGTTTTCTTTTTATTTTTATATGTATTTTAATTATTATTTGAAGTTCTCATGAACATCAAGAAGATACCTTTTAGAGTGAATGAGATTTTTTTTTAAACCTGACTATATAAATTTGGGCCTTCTTTTTGGGTAGAAACTATTCCTTAGAAAAGAAAAGATACTGTGTAATTTTATGTGTCTGAAAAAATGATTCTTACATAATGCACATATGGTAATTGGTTTTGTTATTTTTAAAAATGCAATTTAACATTTGATTTTAGACATATTTCCCTGGCTTTATTAGAAATGACAAACAATTGTTCCTTTAAAAATTAAATACTCATCACTTGCAATATTTCTTATTTATGAAACTGCTTTTGTTTGAGATGTTAAAAACAGGGAGGAGGATATAATTTTTTCTCCTTATCACAGAGTAATGTGGAAAAATGGAGATTCAATCTCATAGACTCTCATGTGAATATAAAAAGATTTCTCATGAGTAGTAGATTGTTATATTGGGGAGAAGCAAAGACTTTGGCTCCCAATACTTTTGTCATTTGTAGTGCCCTCACACAATAATGGTAGGCTTGATCATATCACAGTTTTGGTCAATGAGACATTAGCAAAAGTGATACAAGCAGGGGTTTGTCCTATGCTTCTATTACTGGTGGCAAATCTATATGGGTCTGCAGCAACCTCAATTCTTGCCTCCTCAGAAGAAAGAATTTGACTGAGGGGCAGAAGTTAGAAGGAGAGGCCCAGGCAAGTTTTAGAGCAGGAGTGAAAGTTTATTAAGAAGCTTTAGAGCAGAAATGAAAGGAAATAAAGTACAGTTGAAAGAGGGCCAAGCAGGTGACTTAAGAGATCAAGTGCCCTGTTTGACCTTTGACTTGGGGTTTTATATGCTGGCATACTTCCAGAGTCTTGCATCCCTTCTCCCTTGATTCTTCCCTTCAGGTGGGCTGTCTGCATGCACACTGGCCTGCTAGCATGTGGGAGGTAAGCATGCACAGTATGTTTAGTGGAGTTGTATGCATGCTCACTTGAGGCATTCTTCCCTTAGCAGTTGAATGTCCCTGGATGGTCATATACCAGTTAAACTCTGCTATTTTGCCTCTTAATGCACATGCTTGAGCCCACTTTCCTAATGCCTGAGATCTTATTGGGAAGCTGCTAATCACCAGTGTCAGGTTATTTCTATCTATTGGGAGACTGCCTCTCCCTGGTGCCAGCAGGGACCAAATATTATTTTAGAGAGACAATTAACAACTGCCTAACAATCACCTGATGGCTGCCTGACATTCCTGATGTATGCGAGGCAGCCCTCCCCTGCCCTGTTCATGCCTGACTAGCCACTGTAATATTCTCCCACCCAAGAGACCAAGATCACAATTATTTGAAGAAAATGCATGAACCTCAGTCTTCTGTAACTGCTTCCTGCTTCCAGCGGGGTGATGGTGGTGGTTGTTCTGTGGATCTTGGCCTCTTTGCTAGATGTCAGGGCAGGAGGGTGGCTCCATGGGTTGGTGAAAGCAGTATCCAGCCAGGTCCAAGGGAGACAGGGACAAGATTTTGCCTCTGTCATGTCTCACTAATGGGCAGTCTGGGGGTCTGTAGAAGGGTTACTCTTGAATATTGAGAGGAAGTTAACCCTCACTGAGGATCATCTGGAGCTTGATGGCCTGAAGGCTAGAGGAAGCATATCAGGTTATTAGATTTAGAAGAATGTCAGAGCAAAATAAGGGAGTGATGACAGCACCAAAAAATTCTGAGACTGCTGACACATCCAGGTAGCTGGTATTAATTACTATAGTCATACCTGCTAAGACTTTGCTCTGTGGGGTTGCTACCAATTCCAAAATGTGCCCAGAATTAGCATATTGATCCAAATTTTTACATTACTCATCCCTCTTGTTTCTTCTGAGCTGCAGCCAGAGACTACTGGTTGATTCACAGGAATAAGCAGGACTAGGCTAAACTGCAGACAAAAACTCCAAAACAACTGATAAGTCTAGAACCTAATAACAAGTGTGCCATATCTGTACCCTCTCCCCTCCCCTCTCTCTTTCCATCTCCCTTCCCTCTCCCCTTCCTTCTATTATTGAAACATAATTTCTCTCTCTCCAGTCCTAATTTTTATGAAAAACAAATTATAATAAGTCTGATTTATTTGCAAAATAAGCTTTAGTCTTATTAAACTTGTCCTGTTTATTTGTATAAAGCACAGCAAGAATAATTATTTGTCACATAGGCTCCTTTTTAATTGGCTTTGATGGAACTTCATTCCATAAAGAATCTCAGATAATACTTGAGATTCTTAAGTCTTGAGCCCAGCCATGGGTTTGTGCCATCAAACACCTGTATGAGTTGGGTAAATTCCTCTCCTCTTGAGGTCCCAAGATAATTTGGGGCTCCCAGGCCTGTCACAAAGTGACATTCTTTACTTGCCATAGGCCAGGAACCCTGTACAGGGAATGTGTGGACAAGGTATGAGGCCAGTTTTTCCAAGGGGTTTTTATTGGCTGTATATGTCAAATTTGATTCCTTAAAGGAAAGCCCACCATTCAAGTCAAAACCTTGGTAAAATAAACAGTTTCTCCAATGTGTCCTGTTGCAAAAGAAAACAAATTCTTATTGTACTTATGCAAATAAGTATATTGCCATAAGTTAAGAATATTCACAAGTAGTTTCCAGATTCTGTGGAAATCAAGTAGAGAGAAAGCAATAGGCTCCAAATTTTGTTAATAGGAGTATACTTTATGCAATTTTTTAAAAGCTGTAAATAGAAGGATTATTTCAGTTTTCTATTAGTTCAGTCCATGCAGTTAACTCCTGTTCTGCCTAATATTCATGAACATTTTAGCTGTCCATGAGAGTCCTCAACGTTTTTCCTTTATTCTAGTGTCACAAACTCCAAAGTTTTCAGAAACCTGCATGTAAGAGCACCTGTTAAAGTCTTATAGTTGATTATAAAACCACCTTTTAATTAGGATTAAAACAAGACAACAATTGTCTGTCAATAACAAAAAGTCTTAGGGCAGCCATAGTCAAAGACACAATTGACAAAGAAATTTGTTACCTCTGTGAAACACAATGATTTAACATAACAATTATAGTGACTACTGATAATGTATACTAAGTCACATTAGAATTACAGGAGTTTGGCACAAATTTGGAATACATGCCAATAACAAATTTATACAAATACAGACCAAAGAAAGCCAGATTTTACCTTTGCTTTAGTGTATTGTTGATCTTAAATCCAATTCTTAATAAAACTTTAAACACATATCTATTCAATCATAATGTGTTTGACTGTAAGATTTCCATAAACCTTTTCAAACTCTTTAAAGTTTTCTGTTGAAAAAGAAGAACAATGCACTAAGAAAACCACCTTGTGCTTTTATTCCAATATTCAATTTATGAATAAACTGGATAGTACTCTTTTAATTTTAGCCAATATGTTTACATAAAGAATTTCCTTTATAGGATTAATTTTTCACAAATCTTCCACAACTTGCTCAAACCTTTAGCTTTATCCTATCTAACTTAAAATAATCCTTTAACCCTCTAAACTTTGTCAGAAATCTGCATTACCATGCCTTCTTATAATCTTTTTTACCAAAAGTACATTCTACTTTCCTTACAAGCCTTGAATGTAAAACTGCTTTTGCAGTAGTCTCAAGTACATGTTACACTGATAACTCTTAGCAACTTTTACTTTTGTTGAAAAACCTGGTAAATAAGTGATTTTAATTATGTACTAGGTTTAGAGCCTAGGACACCAGACAGAAGAGTAGATAAGGTCTGACTCTTTCCAGCATAGCTAGGGGGCATGAATCTCTGTGTGTCCCCAGGCCTTACCTAGATTTAAAGCAGGCAAGTTGTACATTTAAGTCATAGCATTAGTTTATGAAACATTTAGTAGGCCTAATAACCTTTAAAATTCTTTAAATTTTTCCCTTTCATGAATATTTTTAATACTTACACAGATCATTTATGGCATGCTTGGACTTTCTCACTTGTCCTAAACATCCCTGTTTTTAAACAACCAGTTATTTTACTTTAGGGCAAGACTTTACCATACAAGATCCTTTGTCAGACAAAATATCTTTTTTTATAACCTTCATTGCCAGTAATACCTTTACTTTTACAACCTTCAAAATAGAGAAGTCATTTTTTTTCTATTAGAAAGTTAAGGTTTGTATGGCATATTGCTGTGTGAGTTCTGAGAAGGGGGAGCAAATGAGGAGGTTGTATTTACATACTGTAGAAATTATCCCCCATCAAGAGACTGCTCAGTTAGATTTTTGCTAAGGTTTGTGTGTGTAAGTGTGGGCTAGTTCTAAACCCCTGAGGTAGAACCATCCAAGTTGAAATTGTTGGTTAAAGATTTAGCTAGCTTTTCCAGAAGAAATAGAGCTATTAGAGAGAAAGATGAATTTAGAGGTCAGGTAATTATTAAGCAGGCACCCATCTTGGAAATTGTATTTTTTGCCCCAAAGGTGTGTGAATCTTTTCTTTGGAGGAAAGTGGTGCCATTTGCCCACATTATCCAACAGGATTTCAAGGAGAGTTGCTTAGAGAAAGAGATTATCACAGAGTAGGCAGCTCTTGAACCCAAAAGGGAAGTTTATAATTTTACTTGCCACCTCCAGACTTTCCCTTGGCTTTGTCCTATTGATGATGATGTCTGATTTGGAAGCAAGCCAGAGCAGAGAGCCTTTCAGCTCAAGGCCATCAGGGGTTGGGATTCTGTCCCAGGGGCCCTTTGGCCCTCAGGACTGTTCTATTCCAGTGGCCAAATTTGTGGTAGAGAAGGCAAGCCATTTGAGGCCTTCTCCCATTTGTCCCATTGGGGCAGTTTTCCTTCCAGTGGCCTGGATTCCCACATCAATGGCAATTCCTTAAAGGAGTTTCCTTAGGGCAACCTGGAGGGGGCTTGAGAGCTAGTAAAGCAGCCAACAGTTGAATCTGCCTCTTGTCTCTGCCTTTCTCCTTTTTCTCCCAGTTCATTTTTAGGCCAAACTGTATTACAAAGGAAAACTAGTTTTTTTGTTTTAAGGTTTGGGGGAATCGAACTATTTCCAGTTTTGGGGGATGCACCCGAGGGGTGTGTCCTATGGTATGGAGACATGATTACCCATCTGTGAAGACAGAGCAGAGAAGTAAAAAGAATTAAAAAGAAAAAAGGCATCCCCTTTTGCTCTCCTTTCATTCTGAGTGGGCCACCCCCCATTCATCCTTAGGGTTTTGGAATAAATCCATCTTTCCAAGTACCGTTAACCCTGGTCCCATCTCATCACAATTACCCACTTGAGAACAGAGGAGATACTGGAGTGAACAGTGGTCCCCCAGTTCATCCTTACGGTTCTAGAATGAAGTGGTCTTACCATGTACCCCTAACCTTGTCTTCATCTCTGCTCTAATTGTAATCTGTTAGCCTGGGACCAACCTTCCTCTCTGTCCTATGGGTCTCTTGTGCCCGCAGCCTTGGGCTATAGTGGCTCTCACTCAGAACATTTTAGCAACAAAATAATTATATCTTAGATTCCCGTTTCCCATGTTCTTCTTCTTCTTTTTTTTTTTTTACATGGAGTCTCTCTCTGTCTCCCAGGAGGAATGCGGTGACAGTGATCTCGGCTTACTGCAGCCTCTGCCTCCCAGTTCAAGCAATTCTCCTGCCTCAGCCTCCCAAGAAGCTGGGACTACAGGCATGTGCCACCATGCCCAGCTAATTTTTTGTATTTTTAGTAGAGACAGGGTTTCACCATGTTAGCCAGGATGGTCTTGATCTCCTAACCTCGTGATCCACCTGCCTCAGCCTCCCAAAGTGCTGGGATTGCAGGCATGAGCCACCGCACCCGGCCTTGCATGTTCTTTAAGTTGATGAGAAACCTGTATTTTTAGCTAACTGCTACAAGGGGGTTGGACTTCCCTCCCTTTGAATATGACCTTGAAGATCTTGAGGCCTGTTGAGAAAGGTGTAGAAGTGATTAGAGAAATGGAGGCTACAGGAAGAAGTGGGAGGAAGCTAGAGGAATACTCCTGTAATGCCTTCATGTGCTTGCAAAAATAGCAGCTCTTGGATTCGAGAGGGAAACATATATTTGCCCTCTTGACATAAAGTAATAACCTCCAGGGGACTTAGGCCTTGGGGTAAGAACTCTCAAATGGCAAAGGAAGAATTTTCCCTCCTCCAAAAGGGGGTGCTAATTAAAAAAAAAAACAAGTAGATGGCATCCTTAAAGAACCACAGAGTGAGGCCTTGTGCAGGTGAGACAAACTGCTTCAAAAACCACCAAAAAACTTAGCCCTGGAGTGTAACAGGAACAAAAAGCATTTGGTAAGTTATAAGAAGCTGGCAGAGCCAGGGCTCCAATTAGTGTCTGTCTCAGCAATGTGCCAACAGACAGGGTAAGGGTTTGAGGTCATCCAAGCTAATAAGGTAAAAACAAGTTTAAATCTCAGGAGATATCTGCAAGGAAGCCTGTGTCTTTGCTGCTGCACAAATGCAACAAGAGCCACAGGAACACAAATAACAGGGAAGGTGTGTTAAAGGAGTTACATGGTAAGCAAAGTGAAAGCAAAGAGGCAGACTTGGCCCCAAGGTGGATGGTCCAGTTGGTACACTAGGTCATTTCAGAATATACACAGAGAAAACAGGAGAATGGGTGGTATGGGTTTTTTTCTTATTATTTTTATTGAAAAGAGCTGATTTTATTTGAAAAAACATAGAAAACCTCAGCAATCTCACAGTTTTAGTTTTTAGCCCTACCACTCTAACGAGCCTCTTGTCCAGGAGGGCCATTAGTGCCTCAGATCTACTCAGTACAGACCCAAGGTCCTTCCCACCCCTGCAAGTCACCTTTCACGGTTAGCTGAGAGATCAGCCAAGGGGGAAAGAGCAACTTGTGGCCAAGAGGAATCATTCTGGGGCTTTGTTAGTAAGCAGGAGGGTGAAAGAGGAGAAGAAAACCATGTACAGTGGTTGACTGCCTCTTGCCAAAGATGAGCCGTAGAGGTGTCTTACCGCTTAGGGGCACCAAAGTATGTTACTAGTGGAAAATTCTTACAGATCTGCACCAACCTCAATTCTTGCCTCCTCAGAAGAATTTGACTGAGGGGCATAAGGTAGAAGAAAAGACCAAGGCAAGTTTTGGAGCAGGAGTGAAAGTTTATTAAAAAGTTTTAGAGCAGAAATGAAAGGAAGTACACTTGAAAGAGGTCCAAGCAGACCACTTGTGAGATCAAGTGCCCTGTTTGACCTTTGACTTGCGGTTTTATATGTTGGCATTCTTCCAGGGTCTTGCATCCCTTCTCCCCTGATTCTTCCCTTCAGATGGGTTGTCCCCATGCACATTGGCCTTCTAGCATATGGGAGGTGAACACGCACTGTGTATTTACTGGAGTTGTATGCATTCCCACTTGAGGTGTTCTTCTCTTAGCAGTCGAATGTCCCTGGGTGGTCATATAACAGTTAAACTCTGCCATTTTGCCTCTTAATGCACACGCTTGAGCTCACTTGCCCAATGCCTGAGATTGTATCAGGAAGCTGCTGATCACCAGTTTCAGATTATTTCTTTTGGGAGACCCTCTCCCTGGCACCACTATAACCAATTATTATTTTAGAGAGACAGTTAACAACCACCTGACAATTGCCTTACGGCTGCTTGACATTCCTGGTGTGTGCAGGGGAAGCCCTCTCCTGCCCTGCTCTTGCCTGACTAGCTACTTAATGGTAATACTTCTACAATAAGGTTTACCCTCTCAGAATGCTTTCTTTCAGAATGTAAGAGCTATGCTATAAGTTAGTCCTAACTCTCCTGCTGGAGAGAGGGGCCACATGGCAAGGCCCTGGAGGATGCAATATCATGTTTAAAGCCAGCAACAATGAGGATAACTGAGGCCCTCAGCCATCAGTCAATGCCAAGTCCCAGTAGGTGAGAGTAAACCCACTTTTGCAAAAATTATCAATGAGAAAATTATGACAGTGAAAGAAATCTGAGCTAAACCAGCCCCCATCTTGCTTTTTCCTTAATTATTCATGGGTTATTGGGTTGAGCTAACTTTGGAAGATATTCAGGCTATAGTTCAAATGGTAATGGGCCTTGCCCAAAACTCAACCACTTTTGTAAAGCTAACGAAAGGCCATTAGGCTATGGGGAGGAGAGGAGCCTGAGTTCTGCTAAGGCACAGGCACAAGTGACAGTCAGCCATTATTCCAGAGGTTATAAGATATGCAACTCCTCCAATTACTTCTGTAAATAATATCACTATTGTAAAACCTAAGATTGGCCTTTTGAAATATCTTTTAAGTTTTTTTTATGTCTGATACCCATAGCTCCACCTGAATCCACCTGGACCTGCCAAACTAGCTCCTGTGGCCCCACCCAGAAATGATTCAGCATGCAGGATAGTTTTGACTCCCTATGATTTCATCTCTGCCCCAACCAATCATTAGCAAGCCTAGCCACCCCACCCCTTTCCCCAAACTGCTTTTGAAAAACCCCTAACCTACAAACATTGGACAAGAATGATTTCAGAACTAGCTCCATGTCCCATGTGGCATGGCTGGCCTCGTGTCTATTAAACTGTTAATTTACTGCAATGCCATGGTCTGTCTTTAAGCAACAGACAGGAAGAACCTCTCAGGCTGTTATAAGAGAAGCCTTCTTGAACCTTCCAGCTCAGCCTATCCAGCTGAATTCAGGCCGAGAGTGCCCCCAGTGGACACCATATGGAGCACAAGAAAAGCCCAATCAACCTGCAGAATCATAAGAAACAATAAATCCTTGTATTTTTAAGCCATTAAGTTTTGAATACTTTGTTATAAGTAACACGTAAAAAGCACCATGCAAGATGTTCTATTCAGACCTGATATTAGAAAATTTTGCTTTCTCATATAAAAGGAGTATTACCTTAAAAGCTAAAATATGCATTCCCTTCCTTCTATATCTTCTTCATTTCCAATTAACTTGGAAATCTGTATTAAACTAAAAATTTGATGTTGTCAGTGTTGTTATAGTTTATTTTTCTCACCTGTAATATTTATATGATTTAGAAAAGAAACTCTATCTACATTCTAAAACAAAGAACAAGTGACTCAGTGGCATAGAATACAGATGCATGACCAGGTCAAAGTGTTGGAGTAATAATATCCTCCTTTTCCTACACAATTTTTCCTTTTCTACACAATTTTTCTCAACTATTTTGTTTTACTACTTCTGTGACTAGCAGGTTCAACCATGTGTATTTAACTGTCAGGAAATTTTGTTTAAAATTTTGTTAATTTTTTTCTTAGACATGCAATAACCCAAACAATGACTAGATCTGGATGAAATTATACTTCTCATATATATGGTCCTGTATGAGCCAGGGTTCTCTAGAGAAACAGAACTAATAGGATAGAGGTACATATAAAGAGGAGTTTATTAAGGACTATTGACTTACACGATCAAAAGGTGAAGTCCCACAATAGGCTGTCTGCAAGCTGAGGAGCAAGGAAGCCAGTCTGAGTCCCAAAACCTCAAAAGTAGGAAAGCCAACAGTGCAGCCTTCAGTCTGTGGTTGAAGGTCCAGGAGTCCAAAAGCTGAAGAACTTAGAGTTTGATGTTTGAGGGCATGTAACATCCAGCACAGGAGAAAGATGTAGGCTGGAAAACCAAGCCAGTCTAGTCTTTGCATATTCCCCTGCCTACTTTTATCCTAGCTGTGCTTACAGCTGATTAGATGGTGCCTACCCAGATTGTGAATGGGTCTGCCTCTCCAAGTCCATTGACTCAAATGTTAATCTCCTTTGGCAACACCCTCACACACACACACCCAAGAGCAATACTTTGAATCCTTCAATCCAGTCAGGTTGATACGCAATATTAACATTTACAGCACCTATTTCCTTGGGGAATATAGTACTTCATTGATTCTAGGACTCATTCTTGCTTTTATATTTTAATATCTCTTAAATTTAGATTCTTGAAATTATAAGAAGGCAGTGATATATTAATTAACTCGTTTATTATTGGTAATACACAAAATTATGCATTTTTAAATATTTCATATCTTAAATATAATGAAATTTAACATAACATATATTCCATGTTTGATAGGTTCTATCATGTTGAATGCCTTGTCTACTAAGTCATGATGCTGTGAACCATTCTGCCCTAAAGGCTTCTGTGATAATCAGTGGAACTGGCTCTGTGAATAAGCCATCCTAAGCATTTAAACACTGGTGCTAATGAAACAGCCTCATTGTCTGGGGTGCCACCCAAAGTTCGTTGTCTCATGGCTGAGGAAATCAATGATGTGGACACACAAAGGGTGAGGTTGGAGAAGTTTAATAAGGGAAAGAAAAAAAGCTCTCAGGCTGCAAAGAGGGGTCCTGAAAAAGGGTTGCCATTTCACAGTTGAATACTGAGGCTTTGTAAGTAACCAGTGAGGGCGGGGCATCTTATTTTCCATCCATGGAAAATAAGACATGGATGAAGCTGAAAACTATCATTCTCAGAAAACTATCACAAACACAGAAAACCAAACACCATATGTTCTCACTCATAGGTGGGAAATGAACAATGAGAACACTTGGACACAGGGCAGGGAACATCACACACTGGGGCCTGTTGAGGGGTGGGGGACTGGGGGAGGGATAGCATTAGGAGAAATACCTAATGTAAATGACGAGTTGATGGGTGCAGCAAACCAACATAGCACATGTATACCTATGTATCAAACATGCATGTTGTGCACGCGTACCCTAGAACTTGAAGTATAATAAAATAAATAAATAAATAAAAAATCTAAATAAAATTTGAAAGAATGGTACAATGAAAACCCATATACATTTGTTCTAGACTTACTACATATGCCTTTTGTGTGTGTGTATGCTTTATTTTGTGAAACCACTTGAAAGTAAGATGTAGACATCATGACCCTTCATCTCAAAGATTTCAACATGCATCTCCTACACGATCATAGACAATCATCACTTCTAAAAAACAAAAGAACTATAATTCTATACTATCTAATATACTACCCATATTCAAATCTATATAAGTGTGCCAAAAATGACATTCACACACACATATATATCTCACACACACAAATATATACCTACACACACACACACACGTTTCCAATTCAGAATTCAATAAACTTGTATGGGCTTTTTGTGGGTATGAATTTTCAGTTTCTTTAAATATAGAAGATTATCTTACCTGTTTAAAAAAATAAAGTAAAAATTTAAGGCCTTTTTCATGCCATCCCCCTTTCACCAAGATATCTTATTTGTAATGAAATCATCTGGCAGAAATCAAATAATTCTATTATTAATTTGATCTACATTAAGTGAAGTGTTATATAAATGTTTGCTTTAACTGCTAAGAACTGACACTAAAGGATTTATATTCTATACTGATGAATAATATCAGACTGTGTCTCATGCCCCTTAATGAAATTTTGACCTTATTTCACTCTTGAAAAATCTCTGCTCTCGAAAGCTGTAATTC
Organism: Homo sapiens; assembly: GCF_000001405.40. Classification (NCBI taxonomy): domain Eukaryota; kingdom Metazoa; phylum Chordata; class Mammalia; order Primates; family Hominidae; genus Homo; species Homo sapiens. Next base: position 71,346,988 of record NC_000001.11, read on the forward strand.
TGCTGAATTATTTCTCAAATACTTAAGGAGTCATACTGTGTAATATTAGCCATACTTCACAGTGTGCAACATTATGTTGCATGTACATTTTACTATTGAGTAGTTTTATTTTGTAGTCTTGCTAGTGCCATCATATAATTAAACTGTGAACTCATGTGGTATAAAGGTCAGATACTTTGTACAAAAGTAAATGCTATGTGTATTTAGGGTTCTACTCATTGCACATTGAGATCAACACAAGGAAAGAATAAATCATGTAAGTTACAATGGAAATTTCTTGTCTTTGAAACAGGTTTTGTCGTATCTCACTATTGTAAAGAAATCTACAAAAAAATTTCAAAATATGCCTCTATTTTCTTGGGATACTCATGGAAGAAAAATATAAAATATACATTTTAGATATTTTCAGCCTAACCACAAATAAGACTGATGAGTTTCACTGGTGGCTGCATTTTTTCTTCTTAACAATTTCCCCTGTTAATCTACCTTGTTTTATTTTCTTGTGGTTGCTTTCACAGTAGAAATATACTATGGTTTTCTTTCTGATAACCAGAAATTTAGAAAATTGTAGCTGATCAATTTTTTGTTTTTCAGTTTTTAAAATGGACAAAATGTTTTCAAAGTATTTATTTTGAAATGTGTTTTCCTTCTTTCTTTCTTTTTTTTTTTTGAAATGGAGTCTCACTCTGTCACCCAGGCTGGAGTTCAGCGGTGCAATCTCGGCTCACTGCAACCTCTGCCTCCTGGGTTCAAGTGATTCTCCTGCCTCAGCCTCCCAAGTAGCTGGGACTACAGGCACACACCACCACACCAGGCTAATTTTTTGGATTTTTAATAGAGACGGTGTTTCATCATGTTAGCTAGGATGGCCTCAATCTTCTGACTTCGTGATCTGCCTGCCTCGGCCTCCCAAAGTGCTGGGATTACAGGCGTGAACCACCACATCAGGCCTGAAATGTGTTTCTTTAAAGTTCAAGAGAATATGTTTGCATATACTAACTATATTTATTCCATCTCACGCTAGTACATGGAGATTCCAGAGAATCCAAGGCTTATCCAGTCTTGGAAATTATTATTATTAGATGAGCCACCAAAATATTAACATCAATGGTTCTTAGTAAAACATATTCCAGTTGTTTCTTGAGAACATTCTTAAACTTAAATGGGCCAGGTGCTGATATGATAAAATAATCATAATTTTATCAGATTACTTTTCAACAATTTAGGAGATCATTTGAAAGTTGTTTATTCATTTATCTATAAGATGAAAATTATTTTAGGTTAGATAAATATCTTAAAGTTCCAATCCTTCGCTTGATGTTTGTTATCTTCTTTTTTTTTTATCTTGCTTGGTCGCCCAGGCTGGAGTACTGTGGCGCGATCTCAGCTCACTGCAACCTCTGCCTCCCAATTTAAGCAATTCTGCCTCCGTCTCCTGAGTAGCTGGGATTACAGGTGCGTGCCACCATGCCTGGCTAATTTTTGTATTTTTAGTACAAAATTTTGTATTTTGTATTTTGTATTTTTAGTAGGTTTCTCCATGTTGGCCAGGCTGGTCTTGAACTCCTGACCTCAGGTGATCCACCTGCCTCAGCCTCCCAAAGGGCTGGGATTACACGTGTGAGCCACAGTGCCTGACAGATGTTTGTTATCTTCTACCATATGCCTTCCTAAATAGAGAGTCCATGAAGAGGATTTCTGAAGTAAAATTCTAAGTAAATATCTATACCTGTATTTATCTGAGAAAAATATCCAGAACTTTTATAGGATTCCCAAAGTAGTTCTGTAAAATAGTTTATTCTTCCACTCAAAGGATATATACATTTTTTCATCTAGAATGGTTTCATTTGGTTAATTTCTGGATGTAGAAATTAATCAAATGAAAGCCAAGTAATTCAGCTTAGCATATTTAAGTAAAACAAAAGTCCATAATTAAGCATCCTTGAAATTGTCATAGTTGCCTTTGTTTGGGGATTATTCTGAAAATTTATAGATTGTGAGTTTCAGAAATACATTAATATCATTGGTTCACTACTGTTTCCCTCTTTTAGTTAGAGTTTGGGATTAGAAATACATGATTGAACTTTATCTTTCTAGTTGTTATATTTCACTGAATAAGTGATTTAGTGGACAATTTCATGGCTCAAGGAAAATTAAAAAATAGGTTTGCTTGTTTTATAAATGGCACAACATTTTAACTTCAGCTGTATCTTGATGTATATTATTTTCTAATATTAATGATAATCTTCATATTTTATTTGTGCTCTCCACTCTTCACTGATAAAGTTCTATTCATTCTCTAGGCATTTTCTTGAAGTCTCACTTCCCCAGGTAACCCCCACTCCCATGTTAAAGGTTACATTAATCTCTTTGTTGGGTACACTCCCCTAGTAACCTTCACTTTCACTTTATAATATACATTTCACTTGTACTTATTTGTTCAGTGTGAACTCTATTTCTGGACTTTTAACTTCCCAGGAACAGAGACTGTGGCTGTATTGCACATAAATTATATTTCAATATCTAGAGAGTCTTGGCTCACAGTAAATTCAATATGTATTTGTGGATTGGGTAGATTAAATGGGAAAAAGTTCTAAATATAGTAGGATTATCCTTACGTATTGTTTTCTGATTCCTGAAGATCTGTCAAATTTTAGTTCTTCTGGAGAATCTGGGAGAATTAGAGATTAATTTTACCAGTTTTTTAAAATCTCAGGAAGGCTTGGTGAGCTACCATTAGTTCAGAAATTTGGAGAGGCTGAAGATACACAAAAGTCCTTATCACTTATCTCATTCCTTAAAGATAATCCAAAACAGGGAACAAAATACCTTCCACAACCTTGATCCATAGAGTTTGGTCTGGGAAATCAAAAGGGTAAAGAAAAAACGGAAAGCAAATATCTCTGTTCATGTAAGTGGAAATTTTTAGAGAGAAGAATCCCAAACTCTTCCAAGAAGCCCAAAGTCTCCCTCTTGTAATGTTAAAGTCCTCATTTGAATGGAGATATTTGGAACCTTACTGTACATACGTATTACCCCTGAATAATTTAATTTTGAGCTACATTTTAAAATCCGATGATTAATATATGAAGTAAAAGGATACAGACAGATGCTAAACATTATTCAGAAAATTCAAGTTTATATTATTTTAAAATAGTATTAAAAACATAAAAACAATATTAGGATATCATATGCACTTATTATTCATTTCATTCTAGGAAATGTGAAGCCAGAATTATTCTTGTTTTGATGTATCTTCTTGGACATAAGTTTCCCCCAATTAGAATTACTAATGGAAATGTATTTGTGAACTGTGAAGCAGATGGCTTGGAAATACGGCTTTTTTTTTTTTTTTTTCAGCATAGCAATGTTTATGTCAAAATTCAAACTGCACCAATTTTAACATTAATGATCAGAATATTCTACAAGACCCGTTGTTATTTAAATGATTATTTAAAATATTTTATTTGTAAGATTGAGTATTTGTGAGTATTAGACAATGCAAAGAGGCATTTTAGAGTTAACCCATTAATAATTCAGTGTCAGCAAATTCTTGATTTATATGCAGTAATGAAAGAATATTTTGGCAGAGATGTTATAAAAGAAAAGCTATAAAAATTATAGCATGTTTGTTTTGAAGATAGACATAGTACTTACATTCTGAATATTGGTATATAAAATGATCTTTCAAAAAAGTAATTAGACAATATCTCAGGAAATATCTGAATAATCACTAGTATATGAAAAAAATTACAGATAATTTAATTTTTAAAAAGATTTGTCCAAAAATGTTGAAAGTGTGGAAACATAATCTGCAAAAACTTTATTTACATGTTGTGACATGCCTTTTTTTTCTCATTAGGTGCCTTAGCTTTTGCTATTAATTTTTGTTTCCTTTTCAAAAACAGATATTTGAAATTTTTGTATCTGAGCTGGGTGTACAGAGAAGACAAGAAAGTCTTTTCCACTCTTAGTCATCATTCTAACTGTATGTCCAAAATAGGAAACGTTGAACATATCAGCTGAGGATTGCATGGGATGTGTGGAAAAGGTCGACTGAAATTTTTGACTTATAAGGGCTATATTTCCTATGAAGTTGACTGCTAAGAATCAAGACCTATATTTAGAAATAATGCATTCAAAATTCTTTATATGACATTTTATAATTTATCACCTGACTAGAAGAAAGTTATATCCTGTTCCTGTACAACTGAAATATATTATTTCTGAGAAACAGAAAAAATCTTTTCCTTTGCATGATATTCTTATGGAATTATGCAAAACAGATATTTTCATTTTGTATTTGGCTAAGTGTAAAGAGGTTTGTTACATTATGAACATTAATTTTTACAGAAAAAAATTACTTTCACAGTTTGTCTTAAAAATGAAACATAATTGGACATGGCCAATTTGACTTTGGAAAAGTTGCATTTCGAGAGAAATAAAACTATTGAGTATGATGAAGTTCATCCTCTGATAATAACCTTGATTCTAACCATCCAACATCAACAGAATGTTACCTTAGGACTAGAATTTGCCTTACATGCAAAAAGGTGTCATTCACAGCTATAAAAAGTGTGGCTTTTTCATTTTCAAAATGCATGCCCAAAAGCTTAAAGAATTTCAAAATCCTCCTTCATTCTTCCTGTGAATGTGGAAGTCTGCCAGAAGTTTCTCATAGATTATCTTTAAACAAATCCCTGACTAATGCCAGAAAGTATGTTACTTTATGTACTTTGCAATACTTGACTCTAGATTTTTATTTGCATATCAAAAATTGTATCCAAAACTGCTTTTAAAACTACAGTTAAAACAAAAGCACGATGAAATAATATTCTAATAAATTGTTCCAAAATTAGCCTTTAAATAGAATTAGCTCCCACATACCCATCTCCCAGCCTCAACAATTTTGCCAATTTTGTTATATTTATTTTCCCATTTTTAAACTGATATAAAATAACTGGACATATTTATGAGGTACATGCTTACAATGTATAATGATTAAATCAGGGTAACTGAGACATCCATCACTCAAATATTTACCATTTCTTTGTGTCAAGAATATTCCAAATGTTCTCTTCTAGCTATTTTGAAATATACAATAAATTATTGGTAACTATTGGGTTATTGTGCTATTGGTTCTAGAATTTATTCTTTCTATCTAACTGTATTTCTGTGCCCTTTAACCAACCTCTCTTCATCCCCTCCTCTACTTCTTTTTAAATTAAAATATTTAAAAGAAAATTTCAGGCATTATGTTATTTTACCCATAAATGGTTCAGCAGGTAACATGGTTAGGCTTTTGCCCCCACCTAAATCTTTTCTTGAATTATAATCCCCATAATCCCTATAATCCTCGTGTGTCAAGGAAGATACCAGGTGGACATAATTGGATCATGGGGCCAGTTTTCCCCATGCTGTCCCTGTGATAGTAAGTGTGTTCTCAGGTGATCTGATGGTTTTATAAGTGTTTGGTAGTTCCTCCTGCATTCATTTGCCTTCCTGAGGCCTTGTGGAGAAGGTGCCTTGCTTCCCTTTCTCCTTCCCCCATGATTGTAAGTTTCCTGAGGCTTCCCCAGCCATGCTGAACTGTGAGTCAATTAAAGCTCTTTCCTTTAGAAATTATTCAGTCTCAGGCAGTTCTTCACAGCAGTGTGAAAACAAACTAATACAGTAGGCATCATTAATTAATAAAGACTTTCATTTTTAAAGTTGCTACCATTCAATTATCTCACTCCATATAATTAAAAATAATTATTTTCATCCACCACTGCTTAGATGTTTAAAAATATCAAATCATCAGAAAAATCGCAACTAGAGTACAAAAAATACCTGCATACCTTCTCTTCACTTAGATTTGGCATTTGTTAAAATTTGGCCAAATTTACCCTTTCTCTCTTTTTTTCTCTCTTGTTCAGGTCCATGTACTTGGACACATTCTCTCTCATGCTTGTTTTATTTTCAAAGCCATTTGACTATCAGATCTTTGACAACCCTGACAAAAACAAGCAATGGGGAGAGGATTACCTATTCAATAAATGGTGCTGGGAGAACTGACTAGCCATATGTGCAAGATGGAAACTGGACCCCTCCCTTACACCATATACAAAAATTAACTGAAGATGGATTAAAGACTTAAATGTAAAATCCAAAACTATAAAAACCCTGGAAGACAACGTAGGCAATACCATTCAAGACATAGGCACAGGCAAAGATTTCATGACAAAGATGCCAAAAGCAATTGCAACAAAACCAAAAATTGACAAATGGGATCTGATTAAATTAAAGTGTTCTGCACAACAAAATAAACCATCCACAAATTAAATAGGCAACCTACAGAATGGGAGAATATTTTTGCAAACTATGCATCTGACAAAGGTCTAATATCCAGCATCCATAAGGAACTTAAACAAATTTACAAGAAAAACAATCCCATTAAAAAGTGGGCAAAAGACATTAATGGACACTTTTCAAAAGAAGACATAAATGCAGTTAACAGTCTTAAGAAGAAAAGCACAGCATCACTGATCATCAGAGGAACGTGAATCAAAACTACAACATACCATCTGACACCATTCAGAATGGCTATTATTAAAAAGTCAAAAAATAACATATGGTGGTGAGGTTGTGGAGAAAAAGGAATGGGAGTTATACAAAGTTGGTGGGAGTGTAAATTAATTCAACCATCGTGGAAGACAGTGTAGCAATGCCTCAAAAACCTAAAAACAGAAATACTATTTGACCCAGAAATCCCATTACTGGGTATATACCCAAAGAAATATAAATTGTTCTATTATAAAGACACATGCACACATATCACATATGTTCATTGCAGCACTATTCACAATAGGAAAAACATGGAATCAACTTAAATACCCATCAATGATAGACTGGATAAAGAAAATGTGGTACATATACACCATGGAATACTATGCAGCCATAAAAAAAGAATGAGATTATGTCCTTTGCAGGGTCATGGATGGAGCTGGAGGTCATTATACTTTGCAAACTAACACAGGAACAGAAAGCCAAATACCACAGGTTCTCACTTACAAATGAGACCTAAATGATGAGAACACATGGACACATAGAGGGCAATAACACACACTGGGGTTCAATCTTGACGGCAGAGGGTGGGAGGACTGAAAGGATCAGGAAAAATAAATAATTGGTACTAGGCTTAATACCTGGGTGATTAAATAATCTGTACAACAAACCCCCATGACACAAGTTTACCTATGTAATAAATCTGCACATGTTTCCCTGACTTCAAAAGTTAAAAAAAAAATTGAGAATTAGTTTCAGATGTCATACGTCAGCCTGAATACTTAAGTCTGTATCTACAAAGAACCAGGCATTATCTTACATAATCATAATAAAATAATCACACTCAAAAAAATTAACACTAATATGATATAGGTGACTAACACACAGCCCATATTCAATGTCCCTCAATAGTCTCAACACTGTCCTTGATAGCTGTTTATTTTCTTCTCAATCCAGGAGCCAATCAAGGATCATACTTTGCATTTAGTGTCCTTTATTCTAGAATAATTTCCAAGCCTTTATTTACCCCCTCCCTCCCTCCCTTCCTTCTTCTTTCCTTCCTTCCTTCTTTCCTTCCTTCTTTCCTTCTGTCTTTCATGTTATTCATGTTTTAAAATAGTCCAGGCCAACCTGGACTTTTATTTTTTTTTGCATGGATCCAACGCATTAAGAGAAACATGATGTAAGTTTATTCCATTAGTGATAATATTATGTTTTCTCATCTGATGAAGTCCATGTCCAGCAGATTTTCCATTGTAAAGGCATCTTTTTTTTTCCGTTGTAGTTAATAAATTATTTGGAGTGAAACTTCAAGAATATGTAATTATCCTGTTCTCAAAACATTTTCCGTCAATGGTAACTATGTATTTTATCTTATATCCAATCTTTATTCAAAACTTTACATTTACCTCATAAATATCCTAAGTTGTTTGTTTGAATCATGATCCAGACCAAGTTGAAATATTTTATTTCATTAAAACATTTATTGGTACATATTTGTACATTTTTAGTGGGTATATGTGGTATTTCATTTCATGCATAGGATGTGTAATGATCAAGTAGGGTATTTAGAGTATCCATCACCTCAAGTGTTTATTGTTTTTATGTGTTGGAATATTTCCATGTGTTGGGAATCCTCCTTTTTTTTAGCAGTTTTGAAATATACAATACATTATTGTTAAATATAGTCAACTTACTCTGCTATCAAACATTATAACTTATTTCTTATAGATAACTGTATGTTTGTACCCACTGATCAAACTCTTCATCCTCACCACCCCCCACATGCCTTTATCCACTTCCCAGCCTCTGGTAACGATCATTCTACTCTTTACTTTCATGAGACCAATTGTTTTAGCTCCCATGTATGAATGAGAACATGTGATATTTATCTTTCTGTGCTTGGCTTTTTTCATTTAACATAATGGTCACCAGTTCCATCCATGTTCTTGAAAATGATAAAATTTCTTTTTTTCTTTTCTTTTTTTTCTTCAACTGTTATTTTAGATTCAGGGGGTACATGTGCAAGTTTGTTACATGGTTATATTGCATCATGTTGAGGTTTGGGGTACAACCCATCATCCAGGTAGTGAGCATAGTAGCCAATAGGTAGCTTTTCAACCTCTGCCCCCTCCCTCCCTCTATCTTTTTGTATCTCCAGTGTCCATTGCTCCCATCTTTATATCCATGGTACCCAATATTTTGCTCCCATTTATAAGTGAGAACATGCAGTATTCGGTTTTTTATTTCTCTGTTAATTTGCTTAGGATAATGACCTCCAGCTGCCTCCATGTTGCTGCAAAGGACACGGTTTCATTCTTTTTATGGCTACGCAGTATTCATGGTGTATATGTACCACATTTTCTTTAGCCAATTCACCATTGATGGACACCTGGGTTTATTGCATGTCTTTGCTATTGTGAATAGTGTCTCAATGAACATACATTGTCTTTCTGGTAGAATAATTTACTTTCCTTTGGGTGTATACCCAGTAATGAGATTGTTGGGTCAAATTATAGTTCTATTTTTAGTTATTTGAAAATCTTCAAACTGTTTTCCACAGTGGATAAAATAATTTAAATTCCCACCAACGGTGTATAAGTATTCCCTTTACTCCACAGCCTCACTAACATCTGGTGTTTTTTACTTTTTAATAATAGCACTTCTGAATGTTGTGAGATGGTATCTCATTGTGGTTTTGATCTGCATTTCTCTGATGATTAGTGATAATGAGCATTATTTCATGTTTGCTGGCCATTTGTATCTTCTTTTTGGAAGTGTTGGTTCATGTCCTTTGCCCACTTTTTGATGGGGTTATTTGTTTTTTGTTTGTTGAATTGTTTATGGTTCTTATAGATTCGGGATATTAGACCTTTGTTGGATACATAGTTTGCAGATATTTTCTCCCATTCTCAGGTTGTCTATTTACTCTGTTGTAGTTTCTTTGCTGTGCAGAAGCCCTCTAGTTTAAGTTTAGCTTGCTGTGCAGAAGCTCTCTAGGTCTGACTTAGTAATTTTTTTATTGCAATTGCTTTTGAGGACCACCCATACATTCTTTGCCAGACAGATGTTGAGATAGGTATTTCTCAGGTTTTCTTCTAGAATTTTTATAGTTTGAGGTCTTACATTTAAGTCCTTAATACATCTTCAGTTAATTGTTGTATATAGTGATAGGGCGGGATCCAGTTTCATTCTTCTGCTTATGACTATGGCATATGGCTAGCCAGCTATCCCAGCACCATTTATTAAATATGGAGTCCTTTCCCCATTTTTAATTTTTATTGATTTTGTCAAAGATCAGATGGTTGTGGATATGTGGCTTTACTTCTGGCTTTTCTGTTCTGTCTCACTGGCATATGTGTTGTTTTTGTACCGGTACCATACTGTTTTGGTTGCTGCAGCTTAGTAACAGTTTGAAGTCAGTAATGTGATGCCTCTGGGTTTGTTCTTCTTGCTTAGGATTGCTTTGGATATTTGGGCTCCTCTTTGGTCCCATATGAATTTTAGAATCATTTTTTCGAAATCTGTGAAAGATGATGCTGGTAGTTTGATAAGAATTGCTTTGGGCAGTATGGCCATTTTAATGATACTGATTTTTCCAGTCCATGGAAATGTAATGTTTACATCAACAAAAGACCCACAGCTCCCAGGGACCTACTAGTACTCGGAGCTTGGTGGAGTCCGAGTGGGTTGTGGCTTTTATCTGCAGATGTTTGGTGATGCAGTGGGTCAAGGGCCACAGATGTGCAGCTGGTGTGGTGCCCACAGCCTGGGTTTGTTTGTTTGTTTGTTTGTTTGTTTTTGTTTTTGCCCAGCAGACAGTTGTGGGCTCTATCCAGTTTGCACTCTCCTAACTGGGTCTCCCTCTGGTGTCTCCCCCAGGAACAGGCCCGGCCAACTAGTTTTGTCCCAACTCTTCTGTGGTCGGATGGCTGGGCTGTTCTAGGTGCTCCAGGCAGGGTGGTTGGAGGGTATAGGGGGAATGGGGGTATGTGGGAGGTGTGGTTTCATCAGGTAGAAGCTGAGGCTGGCCAACAGGCTACACTCATCCCAGATCAGTCTTTTGGAGGGAGGAACATCCAGCTCCTCTAAAGGCACATGAACCTGCAGTTCAATCTTAGTGAGGACTCCACTCTCACTCTCGGAAGAGCTCAGGCCTGCTTGAGCTCAGGCTACAGACCTCAGCTCAGTACCCCTGGGTGGTATGCTTAAACTCTGCGGCATTGGAACCAGGCCTGCAGCTTTGTTCATTGGTGCCGTGGGGCTGAACACCAGCTATGCTGGGGGAGACTCAAACTGTTACCAGACCACCAGCAAAACATGCAGGTCAGGGAGTGGAGGCCGTGCTGTGCGCGCCCTCTTGCGGGAGCCACCAGGCAAGCATCTTAAGAGGGGCAAGCGGAAAAGGGTGTCTGTGGATCTGCCCTGTTCTGGTGGTTTCAGGCAGCCCTGCTTTCTTCCCGCCTGGCAGTCAGCAGGGGGGGAGAGTCACTCAGAGCAAGATGGAGAGCCTTAGGAATGCGTGCTTATCCTGCAGCTGCCCCACTTGTGAAACCTTCTGGGCTCCACACAGGATTGAGTTCTGACTTCTGCCTACTCTCCAAGCAGTCCCCCTTACCAATTCAAATGTCTACCAGAGTGTGGGATCTCTTGTAGCTAAGATTCCAGATGTCTACAGTGGGAGTGTGGGGCCCCAGAGTTCCTTTGTTCACCCCCATTTTAGGACCTGTTCAGGACTTGGCACCTGTTCAGGACTTAGAACCAGTCCTGGTGCTTGGCAGCTCTGTGCAGACTTCCTAGCTTCCTTCCTCTTCAACTTTGATGTCTGCATCACCTCTCTATTGACTTTCAGTGTTTTTGTTGGTGTTGGTGTTGTTGTCGTTGTTTTTCAAAAGATCTGTTTAAAGTGTGATGGTGTACTGAATATTTTGGGTTCTCTCAGTGGGAAAGGCATTTCCCGGCTGTGTTGGCCAATCCCTCACCTCCAGGATTTTTTTTTTCTTTTTTCTTTTTTTTTTTTTTTCTTTTTTTCTTTTTGAGTCGGAATTTCGCTCTTGTTGCCTAGGCTGGAGTGGAGTACAATGACACAATCTCGGCTCACTTCAACCTCTGCCTCCCGGGTTCAAGCGATTCTCCTGCCTCAGCCACCTGAGTAGCTGGAATTACAGGCACGCACCACCACGCCCGGTTAATGTTTGTATTTGTAGTAGAGACGGGGTTTCACCATGTTGGCCAGGATGGTCTTGATCTCTTGACTTCATGATCTGTCCGCCTCGGCCTCCCAAAGTGCTGGGATTACAGGCGTGAGCCACTGCGCAAAGCCAGGATTTCTGTTTTCTATGGTTGAATAGTATTCCTTTGTATATATACCACATTTCCTTTATCTATTCATCTGTTGATGGACACTTAAGTTGATTTTATATCTTGACTACTGTGAATAGTCCTGTAGTAAATGTGAGAGTACAGGTATCTCCTTAATAGACCGATTTCTTTTTCTTTGGATAAATATCAGTGGTGGGATTGCTGGAGCATATGGCAGTTCTATTTTTAGTTTTTTTGAGAAATTTCCATACTGTTACCCATAATGGCTGTACTAACTTGCATTCCCAGCTACAGTGTATAAAAGTTTCCTTTTCTCTGTATGCTCACCAACATCTGTTGGTTTTTGTCTTTTTAACAATAGCCATTCTTACTGGGATAAGATTATATCTCATTGAGGTTTTGATTTGCGTTTCCCTGATGATTAGTGATGTTGAGCTTTGTTTTTAAACTTGTATTTTAGTTCATGGGTACATGTGCAGGTTTGTTATATAGGTACATTGCATGCCATAGGGGTTTGATGTACACCTTATTTTATTACCCAGGTAATAAGCATAGTACCCTGTAGGTAGTTTTTCTATCCTCTCCCTCCTCCCACCCTCCACCCTCAAGTAGGCCCCAGTATTTGATGTTCCCTTCTTTGTGTTCACATTTACTCAATATTTAGCTCCCACTTATACGTGTGAATATGCAATGTTTGATTTTCTTTTCCTGTATTAATACACTTAGGATAATGGCCTGCAGCTCCATCCATGTTGCTGCAAAGGATATGATCTCGTCTTTTTTATTTATGGCTGTGTAGTATTCCATGGTATATATGTACCATATTTTCTGTATCCCATCTACTCTTGATGGACATTTAGGTTGATTTCATGTCTTTGCTGTTGTGAATAGTGCTGCAATGAACATGTATGCATATGTCTTTATGGTAGAATGATTTATATTCCTTTAGGTATATACCCAATACTAGAATGACTTTGTTTTCTCTACCAGCGAGTTGGATACTTTTGTGTGCTTTCATGATAGTAAATATCCTTTTCCTTCCAGCCATAGAACTCCCTTAAGCATTCTTCCATAGGACCAAGCTTGTGGTGATGAATTCCCTCAGTTTCTGCTTGTCTGCAAAATATTTTCTTCATTATGAAGGTTAACGTTGTTGGGTGTAGTATTTTGGCTACCAGGTTTTATATATATATACATACTTTTTTTTTCAGTCCTTCGAATATATCATCTTTTTCTCTCCTGAAATGTATGGTTTCTGCTGAGAAATCCACTGTTAGTCTGATGGTGCTTCCCTTGTAAATGACTAGATGTCATCTCTTGCTGTTTTTAGAAATCTCTTTGACTTTTGACAGTTCAACTATAATGTGTTGTGGAAACCTTTTAAAATTGTACTTATTTGAGGATCTTTGAGTTTCCTGTATCTGGATATCTGAAACTCTTATTAGACCTGAGAAGTTTTTAGCTATAAGTTAATTAAATAGGTTTCCCATTCCTTTTTTTTGCTTAGAACTGAGACAACCAAAAACTTGAACATGTCACCAGTTTATGGTGGCCCATATATTAAGTAGGCTTTTTTCATTTTTTTCATTTAGTTTTTTTAATTTTTGTGTAACTAGGTTATTTCCAAAGACTTGTCTTCAAGTTCTGAAATTCTTTTATCTGCTTGATTTAGTCTGTTACTGAAGCTTCCAAAGGTGTTTTGTATTTTATTCAATGAATTCTTCTATTTTAGAATTTGTTTGGTTCCTCTTTATGATTATCTATCTCTTTGGTAAATTTCTCATTCATACCCTGACTTATTTTTCTAATTTCTTTATTTTGTTTATCTATGTTTATTTTTATCTCACTCAGTTTCTTTAATATCATGATTTTGAATTCTTTTTCTCTGGATATCATAATTTTCTTTTTCATTGGAATCTGTTGCTGGAGAATTATTGTTCCTCTGAAGGTGTCATGTATCCTTGTTTTAAAATTTTTTTCCTGTGTTCTTATATTTATATTTGCACATCTAGTATAACAGTTGCTTCTTCCAATTTTTTGGATTGCCTTTTGTAGGGAAAGGTTTTTTTTCCTGAAGATATATCTGTGGTTTTGTTTGGGTAGGGTACTTTCGCTTTGATTCTGGATGTGTGCAGAAGTGGAGTCTTCATATAATTTCTTCAATTGTAAATAGCATCAGTGGTGTTTGTGATTTTCCCAGTGGCTTAAGCTGCAATAGTTAGTGGTAACAACTTGAAAACTGTTATGGAGGCCTAGAGCTTGTGAAATTCCATTAAAAAATTGTAAAGGCACATATTCATAATGGTGCTGAGAACTTTCTGTCTTTTAAGTGAAGAATATTAAATTTTTTTACAATTATTTTTGACCAAAAACAACATAATTCTATCCAGTCCCTATGAGTTCACTGCCTTTGTAGAAAATGGCATTGCTTTTAGGCTTTATTCTTCACTAAGTAAGTAATGGGGCAAATTTTCTAGTCAATATTTTCTTACTCATAAGCATCTTACTATAGGTTATAAATATAAAATAAAGAAGAGATTAATGGAAAATGTACCTATGTATACAAATTTAAGATTAAAAATTGGAAAGTCTGAGCAATGACTATATATGTGCTATAAAAGTCCTATTTTCCCTGTCTACATGGCATCTGAAAGGTGGAGAGAACTTTAAAATCAACGCAAAAGGAATTTTCCAGTAACGCAGCAATATAACAACTAAAGTTATACTACTTTCATATATACAGATATAATTCAATGGCTTTTTTTTTCTTACAGAATCACTAATTTTCAGGGCTATGGTAGCAATTCTATTGACCACCCAGCTTTTGCCTGAATATCTCCAGTGAAAGAATGCATACTCCTGTCTGAAAAAATCTTCCCTATTGTTAAATACTTCTGTCTAAAAGCTATAATTTTTTTCTTATCTTCTCTTAAAACCCATAACCCTCTAAATTCTATACTTTTATGTTTTCTGTGAAAACTTACCATCTAGTTTCTCATCTATATAACAATCTGTAAATCATTGAAAAGTATGTTCATAGATCCCCTTGTCTTTCTAGACCATACATTTTCAGAGCCTTGCTCAGGGATTTGTAACACACTCACACATCTACGCAGTCTATATTGGGGCATGAATCTGTGCAGTTGGCTAGCATAAGATGTAATAGAGAGAGATAGGCCTGGGGCAAGATGGAGAATTCATGCCTTATCTGAACAGGGTATGCAGCAGCTCCCAGCTTCAGTCAATTGTTGCCAAGGGGAAAATGTTGGCCTCTGTTGACAGATCTTTCAATTCCACCCCCCACTTTAGAAGCTAGAAATCTCATTTGTATGAGAAATCTCCTGATTTCTAAATATTACCATCCATTGTAAAATTTGTTCAGTTCAGCACTGTGTAAGCCAAATAAAACACATTCAAATGGTCAGTTTCTGCTGTTCGGCTGCCAGTTGCGACTTCTGCTTTAATCAATCTGAAGGCCAAACTCATCCAGACCCTTAGGCTTCTTCCTTTGGAAGTCCTGTATTTTCTTACTTTCTTAAAATATACTCCATGGAGTTGACATCAGTTATGTTATGGTGCTAGTATCCTAAGATTGTCACTACTAATAATTTAGTCCAGATTTTATTCTTTCTGTCAACTAATTTTATCATGAGTACCTCATTTCAGTGTGGTTAACTAAAATATCCAAATTTTTTTTTGGATATTTGCTATGCTTAAAACATAGCAAATTTTTTTCCTGGTAGTATAAAATTTACTTGTTTTTGTTATTTTTAAACTTTTGCATGGCTTTTGCATATTTTTAAGTAAATATATTTACCTTTGAAGAAATAAGAGTTTTTAATGAGTGAACTCTAAACTATTTAATTTTTATGGGTATAACTTACAGAAGGAAGGTTGGGTGGATCACAGCAAAATGATAAATGTGTGTGTTACCCAAACATGTCATTGAGAAGAAGCAATGCTTTTCTTTTTCAGCTTTATAAGGAAGTGGAATGAACATTTTGGTTAGACAGAAACATGTTGTTTAATTTTGTATTTGGCAGGATAGACTGAATCTCAGTCTGATTATGTGATATAAGCTATTATAATATCCATTAAAAAGTCATTCTGCTAATGGCAACAAATGTGCGAATGCCGCTTCTTTTACAAATGATGAAATACTACTATAATAGTTCTTATTATCTCATTAGGTAGGATACCAAGAAGTTTTTGTTTTATGTATTTTAAGAAATGTGTTGCTAATTTAAGATCACTCTCCCCTGGATGTGAGTAAAAATTCCGAAAAATGAGTACTTTTATTTTCTTTTTGATCACAATTCATCAGTCTATTTAAGGTGTTTAATACAAATTTGATTTTTAAGATGAAATTAATAAAAAATAACATCATACCAAAACATGATTGGCTTCAATACCAATTTCTAATAGATATTTCAGTAGTGTTTACTTTTTAGTAACACCTACCAATGAGCCCTACATTCTCATTCCATGCTGAAAACTAATTTCATTTTAAATTGTATTTATTACATATTTGGTCATGGATATTATTGCAAAGTAAAAGAGTGATATTATTTCACACTCTTCCCCTTTCCCTTGTCTACTCTTAAAACTCATTGACATTTGATATTGGGACTACAGGGGATTAAAATCTGATGATCCGGAAAATGAAATGTATGATAATGAAATTGGACAATTGTAATTCCATTTAGGTTCTGAAATTTAAATTTTACTTTCATCTGTTGATATATTCTCCTACATATATGGAAACACAGCCAAAAAGAAAAGCACATTACTCTGAAAGCAGCATAATCATCAGCTCTAACAACGGTTTTTCAAAAAAAAAAAAGTCACATTGAGTGCTATTTCACTTTTGTCTAAGTGTTCCATGTTTTGGTGAACATAATGCTACGATTATTAAAGCATTTTTATGCAAATCTAAATTTCATGTCAATTAGCAGTCAGGTTTATAAAAGAAAACTGTGGGTCTCAAATTATGTATATAATGTTACAATTGATGTGGTATTTATTCATATCACCTTTTCATTAGGTTAGGGTTTTTTTTAAGTGCTAATAGAAAATCACACACAGAATGGACTTTGGGATCTGAGTGTTTGCATTGACAAAGAAGCATATATTACTTTCCTAAACAGCAATTACTGTCAGTCCTTTGCACAAATATGTTAAAGTACTATGTCGATGATTAGAAGTGAAAACTGTTAAAGGCATAATGAGGTCAAATGACAATTCCAAAGTAACAAGAGTATAGGATACATTTAACAATCTTGTTTTCTAAAGGTTAATTTTAAGACAAAAAAAATCATGTAATTGTTTCATTTAAAATTAAAAACATAGGGAGTAGATTATCTACTGCTCAAGTCAATCAAAAACATTTTTCCTGAAAAACAATGTAATGACCTGGAGAGGAGGAAGCATGAAAAACAGAATATGTTGGCCATTCCAAACATTTGGCTGTGCTGTGATAAAATGACTCAAAAGTTCTGAATGCTTCAGTTTACTTTTAATCAGCAGCATTTGTGCAAATTGCTGAGATTTCAGAAGTTTCCAAGCATAATGACCCAGAACTTGAGAAGCTCTGACATTTTTGTACTGCCTGAGTGTGCTTCTAGAAAGGAAAGTAACAAGTGATATGGCCTCCATCAAGTTCTCTGGATATGACCATCACAGTGAAGCCTTCTGACCTCAACTGGTCTGAGAATGGCTTGTCATGAGTCCACGATAAGAACAGAAGTCACGTGTGAGCATTTAGAAACTTTTACAGCACTTTGACATTGCCGCTATATCTGAGCATGTGATCAGTGTGATTGTTTGTCAAATCTAGTTATAAATAATTGAGTTCATTTTCTTTATATTTTGCTTTACTTTTTCACTTCCTTTTTGTAATGCTTTATTTTTATTGCATTCCACAAAGTGTGCAATGGATTGGAAATTAAAACAAACATAAAGGATAGCTCTTCATCACAAATAGAATGAGAAGTACTGATCTAAATGCCAACCACTTGGAGAGTTGTGTAGTCTGTTACCTTCTGTTCAGAATCCATCATGAACGTGTCACACTTTCAGTGACTACACCGAACTACTAGATGTTTGGCTTCACTAATGCCAACACTTGTTAAAATGCTGGTTATTAACTTTCTAATTCACCATTTCTTCCTGGTTTACCTCAGGTTATTTTAGGGCAATGATGGAAAGCACCAAGTGGAGTCTGGAGCTAGACTGATCTGTGTTCAATCCTGTCTTGGTTACTCATTGGGGGGCCTCGACTTTCATGTCTCTGTAATGTCCCTGACAGTATCTGCCTCACAGGGTTGCTGTGAGAGTCAAGCGAGGTAAGTTATGCCAAGTACCTGGCATATAGTGGGTGCTCAATAATGGAGAAGGTTTTGCCTTTTATTTTCCTTTCTCCTCTGAACACAGCACACAATGGTCAAGGGTTTTAAATACATTACTGAAACTAGCTCAGATAATCCTAACCAACAGTTTTTACAAATGTTTGCTGATCTCTTGGTAACATCTTTTAAGAGGAGTACTACATTTTCTTGCTTCTATAAAGCTTTTTATAAGTGCATATTGCTATGTACACACACCAAAGGAAAGATATAAACCTGTTCAAATTTTTTTTCTCTACCTGCTGAGCCCTACTGGAAAGTTATGACAATGGACAAGGGGATAATATCATAAGCCATTATTATTATCTCATCAATGAAATGATTTACAGTGATCATGGGGCAAGCTGTGTGCTAATAATGAAGTCATCCCTTACAATTTATAAAAGCCACATATGGTGATGCACCACTTCCTACTGTTTTACATCTATTTATAACTCAATTATCTGATGTTATTGTTAAAGAGGTTGTTTTCAGATTGAACAGTAACAGAGCTAAGCTGATGGCAAAAGAAACGAAATATGTGAAAATGTATTTAGTTTATTCTGTTAGGCAGCCCAGTGCCTAAATCTTTATGATTTGAACTAGTAGTATGTGTTTGGTTTACAGATTAAATACAGTATTTACTTTCATTTTCTACTTGCATGTGGAAGGGTTTTTAAATCTGGTGCCGTTAGTAACATGATTGTGTTGTTAGACCCAGTCGAGGAATAAATTAGGCTCATTTAATATCATTTCTTGTCTGCTGCTAAGATACTGTTTCTGAAATTATCATTATGGTGAGTAATGACCACAAAAGTGTTAATGCCCTCAGCAACGTACCTCGCTTACTTCCTCAGTGACTCATTGGAAATCTAGGTAGCCATATTTTCAATTGCTGTTTCTTATATTGCCTTCAGTTTGAGTACTATTATAAATGCTAGTTTTCCTTTAAACTATTGTATGTGTGTGTGTGTGTGTGTGTGTGTGTGTGTGTGTGTGCTTGAGCACATGCATACATGTGTGATGCAATTAGGTTACATACTTTTTAATAGTATTTTAATAATAATTACTTTGAGAGTTAGGGAATTTGTTTTTTTCTAATTTAACCCTTTTATTTTTTGTTACCCTATCAAATTATTTGGTTTGATGCAAAACAATTAACAATACAGTGGTTGAATGCCATGGGAATGTGCTAGATAAATATTTCCTCGAAGAACACTGTGGCATACTGAAAATAAACTAATCATTGGCATTCTACATTCATTCTACTGTTAGGAAATGACTCCTTGTAGTAATATATGGTGTAGGTTTGGCTTTAATGTAAGTTGACTTGAGGAAATACTACCAACTTTGTTATAAAGACATATCATTACAGGTACTACAGTTTAAGCAGAAAAAAATGCCTTAGTAGAGCTTGATGCTATTAATAACACCAGTAAATAAAGACAAAATTACAATCCTTTTTATTAGAATGCATCTAATAATTTTGTGTTTGTGGAGTGTTTAATAAATTCAGTAAATGATCTGTAAGACCCTCAAAGTTTGTGTGCAATCTCTCCAAAATTAAGGATGTTTACAAAGCGAAAATGTCAGTGATCTGTACCCATTTTCAGAATGAATAAATAAATCAGTTAATTAAAAGTTTTAGTACTTAAAAAATCTGTTGTTTATTTAGGCTACTTTCTGTCAAAAGCAAAGGGATAGTTATCATTTGACACACTTTTTTTTTTTTTTTTTTTTTGTCCACCTGCAGAGTAATGGTCAAAAACAGTGATGTGGCTCCTGGTGTCCACGGAGTGGTCCAGGTTCTCTTTATTCATCATAATAGCCAATTGGAAGCAGGTTCATGGAGGGTTGTAGAATAGAGTATGGTTACCATCCCTGCAGGGAAAGGTCTCAGACCCGACGTGGAAATGGCAATGAACTTAGGCATCTCATGCTCTTTGTGGTGTGACTTCAGGAAGGCACTTGGTGTGTTCACTCCCACCATGGGAAACTTGGCAAAATACACGAGGGCCTTCTACACACAAGCTGAGCCCTGGGTCACCCTGGGCACACTTGACATGGGCTGTATCAGTGGTGGTCAAGCCTGCTGCTGTCATTTTCTCCATGGACCATCACAGCCCTGCTTAAGACATTATTTTAATTAATAAACTTTATTTTTTAGAGAAGTTTTCAGTTCACGGCAAAATTGAGCAGAAAGTACAGAGAGTTCCCATATTCCCCATGTCTCCCTACACACTCACAACCTTCCCCATCACCAACATCTTGCACCACAGTGGTGGTACATTGTTTCAATGAACCTACATTGACTCAACCTGGTAACCCAAACTCCATATTTATATTAGGGTTCACTCTTGGTGTTGTACATTCTGTGGGATGGACAAGGGTGTAATGACACATATCCATCACTGTAGTATCATACAGAGTAATTTCACTGCTCTAAAACCCCACAGTGCTCTGCCTATTCATCCCTCTCTCCCCGCTAACCTCTGGCAACCACTCATATTTTTTCTGTCTCTATAGTTTTCCTTTTCCATAATGTCATATAGTTGGAATCATTCCATATTTAGCTTTTCAGATTGGCTTCTTTTACTTAGTAATATGCATTCAAGTTTTCTTTATGCCTTTTCATGGCTTGATAGTTCATTTTATCATTTTATGGCTTGATAGTTCATTTTATTTAGTGCTGATATACCACCATTTACTTATCCATTCACCTACTGAAGGACATCTTGGTTGTCAGTTATATAAAGTTGTAAACAGCAATGTGCTGGTTTTTTTGTGAACATACTTTTTTTTTTCCAATTCTTTAGATAAATATCAAGGAGTGCAATTCCTGGATTTATGGTAAGAATATGTTTAGTTTCATAAGAAACTAACGAGCTTTCTTCCAGAGTGGCTGTAACCTTTTGCATTCCCACCAGCAATTAATGAGTTTCTGTTGCTCCACAGTTTGCTTATTCTAGGAAATACGTAGTGGTATCTCATTGTTTTAATACTTAAGGCATTTTTAAAGATTGATAATCTTCTCACAAGTTAAGACTTCCATGAAAGAATGAACATTTGCTAAAAGATCTCCAGGTCTAGAAAATCAAGACTTTTACTATAGTAAGATTTAATTGTTGCATTTTAAAGGAAACTGTTGTAACTGTAGAGTGGTTAGAAAATTATTAGGAGAAAAAAAGAAAACTGAAAATGCTAAAGTATCAACCTAACTCCTTTTCGAATGCTCAGCCCTAGAAAAAGAGGCTGTTTGGGCTTTATTTATCTGGTTGTGGCCATTGGTTACCCACATGTGTTTGCCAAAAAAAGACCATGGGCAACAACACTGCAGAGTAAATCCATAGAATGTTTAAGCCTATGTTTTATGGTAATATGTTTAGTCTATATCGGATTGTATGTTATCTTTTCAAGATGATTGCAATCTTATTAGAATGATAATTTAGCAGTGAAACTTTACAAATGCAAACTAGCTAACTGGACTATTTTTGAATATGGCACACACATCATTGCTATAAAATTTTTACAGGTCCTATTTTAAAAGTATCATACATGAAGACTAAACTATGCAAATCATGTTAACACTATTATCATTTTATTACTCATATTCTTATTAATCAAACTTCCCATGTTGAATCAAAATCATCACTGTTTCCAGGTACCTGATGTTAACTGAAATTTAGTACAGGCATTAAAGAAGTAAGATGTCCTCTTAAGCTATACATAATTATTTGTTGGCTAATTATTAATTGGCTCATTACTAATTTTTATAAAAGCAAAAGAATGAAACCAGCATTCTGGTCTTAATTTTTTATTTCTGAGAAAGTCTCATATTGGGTTAACAAAAGGAAACTATATTTTAGAGCTATAAAATTATTTCAATAGGACAGTTAATCATCCTCAAAGTAAAACAGATAAAGTTTACTGCTAGCAACAGCTTGTTTTGTAATTATCACAAGGGAACATTTTTCCTAAACCCTAATTTCAACAGATATTGGTTTAGTTTATCAGAATTTCTCATATTTGTGTTTTCAGGTAAGGCATTAAGTTATTACTGAAACACAATGGTGTCTGAGTTCTTATGTATTACAAACTGAATGAGGAGATGGAACCAAAATTATATCTCATTCTAGTGAAAATGACAGCAACATTTCTTTCTTTAATAGCATCCCAGGGGAGGCCCAAACTGATTTGCACTCTGTTCTCTTTGTACAGTTAATTAATCCAAAAGAAGCATTTAGTAACTTTAATTTTTTAGTCTGTTTAACTTTAATTTTTAAAGTTCCCCCTTAAGATTGCATATTGCTTAGCAGACAAGAACAAAAGAAGTTGATTTGGGAACTCAACTATACTTAATAAGGGCATGCATTAACTTATTCTCAGCTGTGGAAACCTATAGTTTTTTCTTCTCCTTCCCTCTGTCCCTCACTCTCCTTCTCCCTCCCTTTCTTTCTATATGTAGATATATGTATATAAGGGAGATGACAGTAGAATAAAATGAAATTGGATGTTGTATTAGTTTCCTATTGCTGCTCTGTCAAATTACCACAAATGTAATGGCTTAAAACAAAGCAAATTCATTTTCTTACAGTTCTGGAGTTCAGAACTCCAAAATGGGTCTTAGTGGGCTAAAATCAAGGTGTCAACAGGGCTATCTTCCTTTCTGGGGGCTCTGGGGTGAAGGTTTTTACTTGACTTTTAATATAGTATTAAAATGAGACTACAAAATGGAATTAACTGTTTGAATGACATTTTAATGTAATACCTTGCCTTAAAATTATCCTTTTACCAAAGGTCATGATTAAACAGGGGTTAAGATTCAAAGGTTGGACATTTGTACTGTGATTTCAAATTAAAAATCTTTTTAGATTTAATCTGTTAATAACGCTTAAAATACAAGTTATCTTATCTCAAGTTATTGATAGTAGAATAGAAACCCGGTGACCCTACTGAACCATATTCTTCCTGCAACCAGAAATTCTGTAAATGCAGATTCCTCCTTGCCTGTATTCTCTATAGATGCTGACCCACAAAGTCACATATAATGAGAGCATAACAGGAGTAGTAACCTTGTCATTTTTCTCAAAGTTTCAGCCAATAGTTTCTGGATATCAGCAATAGATTCAACAGATAGAAGAACAACAAGTGACTCTCTTAAAATTCTATGACCTCAATAGAGTGTAAAAGTAATGAATGCATTTCTCAAGAGAGGTGGTGTGGTTGAAGTAGCAGCAAGTTGAAATTTGTCTGGCAGCTCTGGATAATAGAAAGTTATTCTGATTCCATACCTAAATGAATTTATTTGTTGTCTGTTTGCAAATGTAGTACATATAACAAGCCACGTGTATGTGACAGTTGATACATAGATTTGACAGAGGGTTCATACTCTGGTATCATTTAGTGAATTATATCAATCACTCTAACATACTAGAATTTTTAAGATTTGCAAACATATCATTTTAAGAATAAAATACAAGACAGCAGCATTGAGTGGTGGTTAAAAGGAACTGACTCTGGAATCAGACTGCTTATTTTAAACCTAGTTGCACCAGTTACTCCTGATTATTTTGTCTCTTTATACCTGAGATTCTCCACCTGCAAAGTGGGTATAGTAATAGCTCTTATTTTTTAGAGTTACTGTGAGGAATATATGAGGAATAAGTGTGAACAATGTAGCAAATCTGTACTTGAAAAGCAACCCAAAATATTAACTACTGTTTCTATATATAAACTGACTTATTATATATGTTTAATCTAGAGTTATAAGGCAGGCAAAGTCATGTTCAAGAAAAGAAGTTATAAGTTTTTCCAATTAAAGAAGTTCCAAAACAAGAAGTAGATTTTGTTAGTTTCTTGTTTTAAGCCAACATCAACTTTTAGCCTGAAAGCTTCAAAAAATAGAAAAATAACTATGATTTTGTTAACTGTAACTTGCATAAAAATACCCAAAGAATTCAGCAAAGAGACTTAAGATGTTCAAAGATTTTATTAACCAAACATGTACAATGTAGTATTTGAAATTTTTTTTTTTTTTTTTTTTTTTTTTTTGAGACGGAGTCTTGCTCTGTCACCCAGGCTGGAGTGCAGTGGCGCGATCTCGGCTCACTGCAAGCTCCGCCTCCCGGGTTCACCCATTCTCCTGCCTCAGCCTCCCGAGTAGCTGGGATTACAGGCGCCCGCCACCACGCCCGGCTAATTTTTTTGTATTTTTAGTAGAGACGGGGTTTCACCATGTTAGCCAGAATGGTCTCGATCTCCTGACCTCGTGATCCGCCCGCCTCGGCCTCCCAAAGTGCTGGGATTACAGGCGTGAGCCACCGTGCCAGGCCGAAATTTTTAATTTATTAAATTTTGGCTTTTATGTTAAATTTAGCTTTCATTTTTATATAACACAAATCTAAAAAGATATTTGCTTACATAAATTGACTTTAAGTAGTGCAATCATTATATTCTTTCTGATGCCAGGCATAAATACTTTTAACACCTAGCACTGTATCCAAGTAGAAAGTGAGATTCTAGTCTCAGTTATAGTCTAGTTATAGTGTGAAAACTTCCAAGTGCATGTCCTCTGCCAATTGATCACATCAGGGAGCCAAATGTACTGGGTCCAGGAAGTCAGTGAAAGGAGACATTTGTTGTAGGGATTAGACACTAATATCTGGGTACTTCAGCAGAATGTACCGAAAGATTTTTCCAGAAAAGGGGAAAATGGTCTTAGTAAAAATTATCCTCAGCTATGCAATGAGTTATCCATATATGATGCTGTACTATATACATCTCTTTCCATGTCTCTTTGATTAGGCTGTAAATATCACTTTCTCATTTTTCATGAAGATTGATTTTTATGGTTTTGTCAGTCTATGTTTTTATTTGTCTTTTCCTCATGGTATGAAAACTTTTTCTATTGTTATTAATGACTGGTTTCCTTAAAACATACAGCAAATTTGCAGTCAGGAAAGGATAAAGCCATAAAACCAATGGAACAAAATTTGGACAGAGCTCTGGATTTTAGTCCTCATGGTACATGATGATTTTGAGTTATGCTGCAGTTCCCAGACTCTGCTCTGCATGTAATATGTAGCAAGGGAGCCTGATGTTTAGATGAAGAAAATAATAAATACAATAAAATAATGTAGGAGGAAAGCCATGACAGAAATCCTTTATCATTATTTATAATAGTAAGCCATTTTACAGAGTCATACTGGTCCCAAAAACAGAGAGCAAGAGTTAATTCTGGAGGTATTGTGATATCTCATGGTGTTGACTATGAGTTTTTACCATGGGTTGCAAAACCACATATCATGCTTTTCCTTGAAGCGTATCATTATTTTTTGTCTTCATGGGGCACAAACTGGTGCTTTTATCTTCCATGGTACATGTTAACATTTGAGCTGGATGAATAAAATATGTTCTTTGAATTGTGCATCCTCCTGATGAAACTGTGGCTGTCAGCTTAAAGTTTATGATGTCATTATTGGTCATTTCAGTGACAAACAAAACCTTTCTATGGAAAATTCACAGTACTTTGGGTCTAACCAGGAAATGTGATTGCAGAATACTGAGACTGGAAGTAGTATCTTGCACATTGTGTTGATCGTTGTAAAATCTGAGTTGGATTAATTATGCAGACTTGGGATGAAAATACTTTTGATGCATAGGACTTCCCAAGAGGCCAGCTTTCTGTTATGTATCTGGTACTTCACTGTTTAACTCATTTAACTCCTGAAAAAAAAATTCATGCCAAAACATTTCTGTTTTCTTTAACTGACCATGTCAATTTCCACCTTATCCGCAGTAATGTTCTCAAATATTAAACTTGACTGCTTAACCTGTGTCAAAACACATTTCATGAATAATATTCTAACAATGTAACAAAGAAGGCTTGTTCAATTTGTTTTAAGCCTCCTTCTTCTGGATACCCTTTCAGCTCATCTCACACTAACTTAATTATCATTTGTTTTATGTAGTTTTCTCAACTGGTAGGTTTTTTCTTTAGCTAGTGAATGCCTTCCCTGATTTACTCAATTATGCCTTCAGATGTACAGTATGTAAATCAGATCACAAATAGCACTTATATTCAATAGCATGAATTGATTGGCATTTATAAATAAAATATTTGTATAATGTAATTCTGTTGCAAAGCTGTGTATATTGCATGACTTTTTTGACTTTTGGTTTTGATACATTTTCACCATAGCTAAGGTGATCATGTAATTTATTACTCACATCAGAACATTTAGAGATTTAAAGAGGGAGCTATTAATAATTATGCCAGGTCATCAGATGCGAACTGAGACAGTCCCAGGCAAATTATAATGTAGAGCAAGAATCTGCAAACTATGTCCCATGGGCTAAATTCAGGCCACTTCCCATTTTCCAACAGCCCACAGGCTAAGAATGATTTATGCATTTTTAAATGGTTTGAAAAACACCAAAGAAAAATATCTCATGACACGTGAAAAATGATACAAAATTTAAATTAGAGTTTCTATCAATAAATAAAGTTTTATTGGTATACAAATATATCAAATCACTTATATATTATCTATGACTGCTTTCATGCTACAATGGCAGAATTGAATAGCTACAGCATACCATATTGTCTAAAATATTTACTGTCAGAATCTTTACAGAAAAAGGTATACTGATCCCTGATGTAGAGTAATCCTAACCATTTCCCAAGTTGGTCTATGAGTTTCAGTAAGAC
Source organism: Homo sapiens (assembly GCF_000001405.40). NCBI lineage: Eukaryota > Metazoa > Chordata > Mammalia > Primates > Hominidae > Homo > Homo sapiens. The sequence goes on from NC_000001.11 coordinate 71,373,949, forward strand.
AAGATCCTTTCAAGCTCTTTCTTTCTAATAGTGCATGTGAAACAGTATGTTGTTAATGCTTATGTTGATAATGATATTTCTAGTGATGTATTTATCTACTCTGCAGTTTTGTATTGAGTAGAAACTCTCCCTGGTCACATTTTTTATTCCACCATAAAGTCTGCAAGATCTTTTATTAACAATATTCAAGTGTTAATTTTGATATGAATTAAAAAAATGTTCTTCAAGAATCAGTTTCCCAGTGTTTCTATTTTCTCTGACAATAAATTACTGGTAATGCCTTAAAACAGTTTTAGTTTTTGTCTGAATGTTTTACAAAGTGTATGGTAGAACAATATTTTAAAGTAACTTAATTCTGTGTCTCTGGTATCAAATCAAAGGGGTTATAAGAATTCTTCTACCTCATTGTTCAGTAGGCAAGATGGATGTGTCGTTTAAAGTAAATAGTACTTGTTGGCTAAGTAACAGGTCAATAGCTTTCTTAATAATAGGCACTGTTGCTCTTGAGCCACTTGCAAAATTGTTGTCTAGTAAATCTACCTAAGCTGTGTGGTTATTGAGACTCTTCACCATCTTTCAGATCAGGTTGATTCTGTCAGCTGGCACATATGGTACATTTTGAAGAGCTACAGAATATAAAACCCACGTAGTTATAAAAAGTAAATTAATTGGTGATTAAATTACCAATTGAATAAGAACAAAGATATTGCCCTTATACCTTTTGTTTACCTATTAGATATCCAAACGTTGACATTTGTGAAATATGGTAATACAGTACAGATCGCAAATGACAGCCAGTGTGATCTGGAAACCTGCTAGAAATGTGGTCTGAATTAGTATTATTTTGGCCCTGAAAATATGCCATTCGTATCTTTTCATTTCTAACACTAATTACATATAATAATTCTAGGTTTTAGTGTTAAAAAGAACCCTTCATGTATAGGGTACTATAGACCTATTCAGTTCATATGCCAGCCCTAATTAAAACCTATCTGAGAATTCATTAAAATCTGGCCCAACTGCTTAACATCTCTTACAGCACTCACCTTTAGATGAGAAACACTGTACCCTCCATTTTTTCCTTTTCAGTTTTTGTTGTCTAATTAATGGAAACCATTAATTTGGAGGGATGAATTAAAAATGGAGTGAATAGTATAGGCTTTGTGCAACTCTCTAAAGATTTTCTATGCCATAATCAAGGGGAAAAATGCTTATTGCAAATGTCCTGAGCTGACGGAACTGTATATTTAGAATCATTAAGTCTGTGGTAACTAGTGAAAATAAAATGTATGATGAAGATAAAATTAAATGAATGATAGAATCCAAGCTTTAATGAATTAAAAAAAAAATCCTAACTTTAGTTCCCAAGTCCATTCTAGCCAATGGGAAATAAAACTCTTCCCTTTTTTTTTTTTCTGTTTCGGCAAGGAAAATTACTGAATTAAAATGCTTTAAATTTTATCCAATTTGTAGTATGATGATGGGACTTAGTTGAAGAATAATTCTAGTAGACATTATAAATAATATGATAGAAATACTGAGTTTTTTGCTATTCAGTGATAACCAAAAGAAAATATGACTCACTGAGTAATTGAGAAAGAAAATGTGTCTATACTTTCCATGAGGGCAGAAGTGTGAGCACTAGTCTTTTTACAACTATACCAAAGTTGTTTGCCTTACATTCCAGAATATAACTGTGAGAAGGAGTCCACAGACAAAAGCCCGACTCCTGTGGGTAATAATTATCAAGGTGATTCACAAAAGAGCCATTGCCTTAGCTTTGCACAGGTCATCTATTAGAGGCTAAAACTAACATTCTGCATTATTCCTTTAAAGAGAATGAACAAATTTTACTCCTTGTTGGTTTGTCCTGGGAATTCTCCATCAAGGAATTTTAGAGATGTTTAGGATGGAAATATTTAGTTTCTTCTCTTGGTTCTATCTTTAGTCATAAGGAATACATTCTTTGTATGCAGAAAGTCTCCCAGTAGATTTACATTTAAATCTCTGTCCAGAAACGTCCTTTTGAAGCAGCTACGTTGTCTGGGGTATATACCCTGAGGATTCGTTGTCACATGCCAGGAAAATTTAGGACATGGACACACACAAGGAGTTTAGGAGCAGAGGTTTAATAGGCAGAAGAGAAGAGAAAGTAGAAACAGCTTTCTCCATAGAGAGAGGGGTCACTGAGTGAAAAGGGCTGTTGGTGGCAAATGCCCCAGATTTTATAGTCCAGTTTGAAGAGGTGGTGTCTGATTTACATAGGGCTCACAGATTTGTTCTATCAGGTATGACATTTACAGAGTGCATGGGAAGGCTGATCGCCCCATCCTAATCTTATTATGCAAATAGGCTTTCCAGTTGATTGGTGCCATCTTGTCTGCTCCTTATAGTATATGTGGCTGACAGAGGGGAAGATGGAGCTGCCATCTTGAACATGTCTAGTTTTGAGTTCCTGCTGGCATTCACCCATGCAAGCTCCCAGCTTGCTTGTTTATGTCTGCAGTTCGACTTTACAGGCTGCTCTTCATTAGAAAGGAAAATAGTCTGGGGCTGCTTTTCATTAAAAAGAAAAGCCTTACCGAGGACTCCCATACCCTTGCTATCTACCTAAGTGATTTCTTAACTCCTATATCACTTTCAGCTAAAATACTATGAAGAGCTGGAACCTGACAAAAAGTGAAGCTCAAATTGCACGATTCTGAACACGTGATTTAAAAAGATAGGGCAAAATGTGTTTTTACTTTTTCAAAATTATAGTATTTGCTTCCTATTTTTACTTTGGAAGTCATGCTATTAATAGTACAGCAAGAGTTTTCAGAAAATGGAATTCTCATATACATGATATATTTCACAGAAGTTAGAGACTTTCTTGTCTTCATCTACTCTATCATGAAACCTTAAAAAAACAAAAAACAGAAATTCACTCTACAAAATCTAATAATCCTTCAAACTTACTAGTTATGGCAGAAACTGGTTGGCTGCTAATCAAGCTGGTTTTCCTTTCTGCTGGGTTCGCAGCTAGGCTTTAGTTCTAAATTATTCTTGAAGTTGGATATGACAATGGCCATGTGACTAATGTCTATCTCACTGGTCCACATCTTGTGGGTGAATGTATCTTACTCCTAGTCCTGGCTCAGTAAATCAAACAGAATTTAAAATGTACAAAAATTTTGGAGCTGAAAGAGTTGGAAATGTAACTGCCACTACATTTCCAAAAATAGAATGTAAAATTGAAGTAGCTTTTGAGGGACCAATGACTATGAGACCCAGCTCTATGACAAAGATAAGATTAAGGGTGTGGATTCCTACTGAAACAGGAATCAGGCTTTCAAAACCTCTACAATAGCAAGGGAAGGCCTAATCTTCCATACCAACCTCAGGTGTGTCTATAGAGGATAATGGTCAAGGAAGATGTTTCAATAGCCTGGAGGGAGGGGGCCAGGGACAGCAATGGATAAGGGAGAGTTCCCAGAAATTAGACTTAGTCTAATAAAGGAATTTTCTCCTCCAAATGTGTAGGGACCCTTCAAAATGTTTCCCTGCAAGATTTTATAAATTCTTGCCACAGTCACGTTTTTTCCTCTTCTGAATGGAAGCTTTTAATGTAGTTACTATGTTCTTTCACTACCTTCATAAATTGAATATGTGATGTGGAAGTAAAGGGTGGAAGTAGAGTTGCCAGATAATGAAGAGCCACATTTGGACTCAATGAAGAGTTTTCACATCACTAGAAAATACCCGACTTTGATCTGGATGTGGTCACTGAATAGAACTTTGAGGGAATGGAAGAATGTGTTCTTTATGTGAAAGCAAAAGAAAAATGGATATTTAGTGAGTAAAAACAGAATGTGAAGAGACTGGATACATTTAACAAAATCTATTTTTCCTATGTTTCTGATACACGTCTTCCAGCCTTTCTTGACAATGGAAAATTTGGCCAAAAGTCTGAGTGTTGGCCTATTGAATTGATTTGGTTTGACTCTGTGTCCCCACCCAAATCTCATGTCGAATTGTGATTCTGAGTGTTGCAGGTAGGGTCTGGTGGGAGGTGATTGGATCTTGGGGGTGGACTTCCCCCTTGCTCTTCTTGTGATAGTGAGTGAGTTCTCACGAGATCTGGATGTTTAAAAGTGTGTAGCACTTCCCCTTTTGCTCTCTTTCTCCAGCTCTGCCATGATAAGACATGCTTGCTTCCCCTTCATCTTCTGCCATGATTGTAAGCTTTTTGAGGCCTCCTAGTCACACTTCCTGTACAGCTTCCAGAGCTGTGAGTCAAATATACCTCTTTTTTTTTTTAATAAATTACCCAGTCTCGGGTAGTTCTTTATAGTAGTGTGAGAATGGCCTAATGCAAAAATGTAGATATGATATATGCCATATCTAAGCCTAGCCCATTAAAAACTTCCTATATGTTTCTCTACTCTCTCCTTCTTTGCCTTTAGTTAGATTTTAAATGCCTAAGTTGACCCTAGAAGCCATGTTTTGAAGAAAGCACAGGCCCCCTCAGCCCGAGTCCTCGAATACTTGTATGGAGGAGTAAACCTCTCACCTCAACTGTGATATTTGGCTTTTGTGTAAATGAGAAATTTCCATAGAGATAAGCCACTGAGAGCTCAACATTATGTGTTTTGTAAGGTAGAATACCTAAAAAATACAATAGTCAAAATAGACAGTTTTTAAAAATCCAACTGAAGATAGTATTTCATAAGATAAAGAAATCCAGCATAGTTTATTGCTAATTTTAGTTGAGACTATGTTAAAAATTATTAAATTTTGCATTGTGTTATTATCTCAACAACTAAACAACTATTCTGTTTTTAGTAGTATTTCTGTTATTGGCATTAAAAGCTAAGTGAATTAATTTCATATATTTTGATGTGCTATGGTCTTGAATGTTTGTGTCCCCCCAAAATTCATCTGTTGAAATCCTAACCATTAATGATGATATTAGGAGGCAGGGTTTGGGGGATGATTAAGTCATGAAAGTGGATCCCTCGGATTGTTGCTGTGTCTGTGTAGAAAGAAGTAGACATAGGAGACTCCATTTTGTTCTGTACTAAGAAAGGTTCTTCTGCCTTGGGATGCTGTTAATCTATAACCTTACACCCAACCCCGTGCTCTCTGAAACATGTACTGTGTCCACTAAGGGTTGAATGGATTAAGGGCGGTGCAAGATGTGCTTTGTTAAACAGATGCTTGAAGGCAACATGCTCCTTAAGAGTCATCACCACTCCCTAATCTCAAGTACCCAGGGACACAAACACTGCGGAAGGCGGCAGGGCCCTCTGCCTAGGAAAACCAGAGACCTTTGTTCACATGTTTATGTGCTGACCTTCCCTCCACTATTGTCCTATGACCCTGCCAAATCCCCCTCTCCAAGAAACACCCAAGAATGATCAATAAATACTAAAAAAATTTAAAAAAAAAGAAAGTGGATCCCTCATGAATAGGATTTGCTCCCTTATAAAAGAGGCCCTGGAAAGTGCTGTCCGACCCTTCCACCACATGAAAAGTGAGAAGTCACCACCTATGAACCAGCTAGTGGGCCTTTCTCACACATCAAATTTGCTGGCACCCTGATCTTGGACTTCCCAGCCTCCAAAACTGTGAGAAATAAACTTTTGTTGTTTGTAAGCTACCCCATTTATAAACAATGGAACTGAACAGAGTAAGACACAATAGAGACATTTTGCATAAATTTCTGGAAGGAAATAGAACATGCGATTGTGGAAATGACATTACACATAAGGTTGACCATTTGTATATTAGCAAATTCTTTAGTGAACTGAATAATGCCAATTAAAAATATAAAGGCAAAAAATGAGTGTTTGATAATAATTAAAATTGGGGAAGGTTTCAGAACAAATAGAAGAGTAATTGGAAAACACATTTATTTATGGCAAGAATGTTGACATCGCATAAGATTCAGCTTCAGATCTGCCACCACCTCAACATCCCAACTGAAATTTTGGCTTGAGAAGAAAGTGGTCAAGACTTTGTGCCAGGTTGCATGCCTTGATGTATTGCTTTTCTCGTCCTTCCAGTTTAAAGGGCCTCTGATTTGACAAGAGCTATACATATTTCCACATTTCCTCTGTAGTAACTTCCTTAGAACCCAGCTGAGTAAATATTTAGTAGTGGTACCAATTTTTCTTTTCTTTTTGAGATGGAGTCTTGCTCTGTCGCCCAAGCTGGAGTGCAGTGACACAATCTCAGCTCACTGCAAGCTCTGCCTCCTGGGTTCATGCCATTCTCCTGCCTCAGCCTCCAGAGTAGCTGGGACTCAGGCACCTGCCACCATGCCTGGCTAATTTTTTGTATTTTTAGTAGAGATGGGGTTTCACTGTGTTAGCCAGGATGGTCTCGATCTCCTGACCTCGTGATCCACCCTCCTCGGCCTCCCAAAATGCTGGGATTATAAGCATGAGCCACCATGCCTGGCCTAGTGGTACTAATTTTTGTACTGCTGAGTCTCTATGCTGTATGTTATTTATTTAAGAAGTATTTATTTAGCATTTATTATGTGTCAGGCACTGCTTCTAAATATTAAAGAAACAGTAATGAGCAAAACATACAAAAATCCCTGCCATCATGGAGCATACTCTAATGGAAAAGACAGAAAGTGAAAAAAGATAAATAGGTAAATTACATAGTGTTATAGTGTTAGTTACAATTACTAAGGAGAAAAAATAGAGCAAAGAAGGGGGATACAAATAACTTAGATGGAAATGAAAATTTTAGAAAAAGTAAGATTTCATTGAAAATGTGAAATTTGAGTAATAACCTGAAGGAAGACATCTGTCCAAGCTGATACTCACACGGTTAATTCCAAGAAGAACAAGTTCAAATACCTGAGGTGGGAGCATGCCTGGCACACGTAAGGAACAATAAGAAGGCTGGAGAGACTGGAGTCAAATATGGGTGAAGAGTTGTAGCAATTGATAACAGAAAGATGATAGGTCACATAGGATTTTGTGATTAATAGCAAAAAGCGTGGTTCCACTCAAAGCGACATGGAGATATTAAAAAGTTCTTAGCAGGGAAATAATCTGACTTGACAACATTGCTATGCTCCAATGTTGAAAATAAAGTGAAGAAGCCTCAGCTAGAATTAAGGTGACAAGTTAGGAGGTTATTACACAAATCCAGGCAATATATGATGGTGGTTCAGACACGAAAAGTGAAGGTGCCTAGAATTTATCAAATTCCAGGTGTAATTTGAAGCTAGAGTTGACAGAGTTTGGTAATGGATAAGATGTGGCTTCTGAGGGCAAGAGAAGAGTCAGAGATGGAGTCAGTCCAAAATTTTTTTGTCCAGAACAACTGAAATAATTGAATTATCCCTTACCTAAGATGGTGTGTCAGGCTGTTTTTGCATTGCTACAAAAGAATACCTGAAACTGAGTAATTTATAAAGAAAAAAGGTTTAATTGGCCCACAGTTCCGTGGGTTATACAGGAAACATGGTTCTGCAATCCTGCTCACCTTCTGGTGAGGCCCCAGGAAGCTTCTGATCATGGCAGAAAGTGAAAGGACAGCAGGCATGTCACATGGCAAGAGCAGGAGCAAGAAAGAGTAGGGGTAAGTCCCCAGACTTTTAAACAACCAGATCTCCTGGGTGAACTGATCAAGACTTGCTTATCATGAAGGGATGATGCTAAACCATTCATGAAGGATCTGCCCAATGATCCAGTCACCCCCAACCAGGCCAGACCTCCAACTGTGGGAATCACATTTCAACATGAGATTTGGAGGGGACGAATGTCCAAACCATATCAGATAGGGAAGTCCACAGGAGGAGTCAGTTTAGAGGGAAATATAAGGAATTCAGATTTGAGATATTTAACTGTGGGATGTTCTCTAAACATTACAAGTAGGGATGCTGAATGGGAGGTTGGGATAACTGTTTAGAGTACAGCACAGAATTTTGGGCTGTGATATAGATGTGGAGCAGCATACAGATGCTGTTTCAAGCTGAGATATTGACTGATATCGCTTAGGGATTGAGTGTAACAAGAAAAGAGAAGCAGTTTGAGAACAGCACTCTGACATTTAGTTATTTGAAAGAAAAGGAGGAATCATCAGAAAAAATCTGAAAAGGAGTGGCTGGAAAGATAGAAGAAAAATGAGGCACATATGTTTTCATGGAAACCAAGTACAGAAAATGTTTCAGGGAGGCGTGAGTAATCTACCAATCTTACCAAATGCTGCTGACAGGTCAAGTAAAACAAGGACTGAGAAACTATGTTTGGAGTTAGAAATGTGGAGATTAGGAATGACACTGAGTTTTACCAAAGTGATGGGGACAAAAACCTGATTTGAGTGGAATCAACAGACATTGTAAGAATAAATAGTTGCAGTAAGTGATTATCAACTTTTCATTTGATGGATACAAGTGATAATATTTTCACTATAAATTAAAATGAATTTTACTGTCTTGACACACATTGTTGTAAATGAGGACTCAAGCTCATAGTTATCAAATATTTATTGCAATTTATAATCAGCATGAAACTGTCATATAGCAAGATCAAGCTTCAATGTCATCTCTTTTGTGAAATCTTTCCCGCCTCCATCAATTAATCAGTTTTTTGTGCTTCCCAAACACTTCATAAATACATTTGCAATACTACATTGTCTTGTAATAATTTATTTGTCTGTCTCTTCTATTACACTGTGAGTCCCTCATATTTATATAAAAGTACAGTGTTTGGGCCAGGGTCGGTGGCTCACGCCTGTAATCCCAACACTTTTGGAGGCCAAGGCTGGTGGATCACAAGATCAGGCGTTCAAGACCAGCCTGGCCAAGATGGTGAAACCCCGTCTCTACTAAAAATACAAAAATCAGCCAGGTGCGGTGGCAGGCGCCTGTAATCCTAACTACTCGGGAGGCTGAGGAGGCAGAATCGCTTGAACTCAGGGGGCAGAGGTTGCAGTGAGCCGAGATTGTGCCACTGCACTCTAGCCTGAGCGACAGAGTGAGACTCCATCTCAAAAAAAAAAAAAAGTACAGTGTTTGGTAAAAGTGTGCATTCAAAAATAATTGGTGAATGAATGAATGAATTCATATCACATTTTAAGTCAGTCTAAATGATACAGTGGAAACAGAAAAGAAATTTATTGAGTGTTAAGGATTACAGATAAATGCAGAATCCTCATTCATTTTTCCCAAGATCAAAAGCGCTTATTATAAATAAAATAAAATATAATAAATGTGCCATCCAACTAATTATAATGCTTTCATATTATTTTGTTTGTTTCATATTACCAATTTTTAAACTCTCATTTTCTCATAACATTCAGATTAGCAACTCAGTACGTACACAGATAACAGATGATCTAGGTAAAGTTTTTTCCTCTGGGACAGGAATCTGGAATTTGGTTCCCAGATTTTTTTGAGAACCTCCATGTCCTCAGAACTTACCAGTGCTCAAACTAACATTATGACAATTTTATTTTAAAAGAGAAACAGTTAGCCTGCTTTGAAATACTGGATTGTTCTGTGAAGCTACTCTCCTAAGGGTAATTAATTTTTGTATTAATTTTTAATATTTCAATTTTTAATATGACTCTTTTATAGTTTGCTCACACATGATTATGTTAGTGGTGCTGAAATAGAGTACAAGAAAAATATCTATTAAAACTAAAATATTAAATGTGTATATAAAGTTTTTCATGTCAATTACACATTTAATTAATTACACAATTAATAAATAATTAATAATTAATAAATAATTGTAGTGGAAGCCAAACTACTACTAAGAAAACCCTTACTAGAACTATGTGCTGGAGTAAATTTACAGGTTCAAGGTAATATGCTATCTCTATTCTAAATAACATTACAAAAAAATTTTTATGATGAAAAATTTTTATTTGCTCATTTTTATTCTTGTTCTTAAAAAAGTAACTTAAAGCAAAGAAATTCTTTGTATATTTTTTCTACTAAGAAATGTTGATCTTGAGGAAGAAAAGTTAGATCTGTGTGTCTGTCTATCATCCCCATCTCCCTAAATTGAAATTTTAATCTTTATAAAATATTAACTTTAAAATTTGTATCAACTGACTATAGTTTTCAAGCCTACCTCAAATAAAATACAACATTTGGATGAATTGTTTAGTATATTTATTTTAATGAGCAGTTAGAGAATTTGGGTATAGAAGACAATAAAGCACATTCCCAGTTGTGTGTCAAATCTGTCTGTCTATGGGGTGAGACTGTTTATCTCTATGGGGAGAGTCTCCTTATTCTTGAGAAAAGTTGAGGGAAAAGTAAAGGGGACATTGTCTTGCACCTTAGGTACAAGATCAGCCACATGGAGGTAAAGCATGAAGTGGGCTCTTAAGATCCCTGATTCTAGTTCTTGGATCTTGGAGGGCATTTCTGGACCTGCCCTGGTCCAGAGGGGAGACCACTGCTCTGAAGCGTGAGTCCCAGGCCAGGCAGCATTTACCACAAGCTGATTGGAGAGCCCTTTAATGTTAAAAGAACATCAGTGGTATCCTGGCAGTACTCCTCATGGGCATGTGGGAATGGTGGCCATGGGGTGAGGCTCCTCTGCCTGTAAAAAGGAAAGGAAAGGAAAAAGTGGGAAGGACTGTGTCTTGTGGTTTGAGTGCCAGCTCAGCTGCAGTACAGTAGAACACCAGTAGACATGTAAGGTTTTCTGACTCAAGTCTCTGGCTCTCAGGTGGCACTTCTTGACCCACTCAGAGCCCGGGGAGCTCATCACTCTGAAGGAAGGGCAGAAGCCTGGCTGTCTTTACCACCTTCTGATTGTGGAGCTCCAGGGCCTTGAATGAACATAGGCAGTAGCCAGTTAGTGGTTACAGTGGGTCTTGGGCAATATCCACTACTGTGCTGCCTTCAGGTCTGACCCAGTGCAGTCCCAGTGGTAGTGGCCACAGAGGTGCTTGTGTCACCTCACCCTCAGCTACCAGCAACACAGAAGACAGAGACAGACTCCATTTATTTGGGAGAAGGTGAGGGAAGGGAACAAGACTATCTGCTTGGTTATCCAGAGAATTCTTCCAGTTCTTATCCATGACCACCAAGGTGGTACCTCTATGAGTATGTAAGAACCAGTGTTACGGGGCTTAGGGTGCCCCTTAATGAAGACACAGCTTACATCACAGCACACAAGTCCTTTTAAATATCTGGAAAACATTCCCAAGAAGGACAGGGACAAAGAAGCCTGGACTGCAAATACTATAATAAATAATTTTTCAATGCACAGACATAGACAAACATCCATAAGCATCAAGACAATCCAAGAAAACGTGACCTCACTGAACAAACTAAGTAAGGCACCAGGGACCAATTCTGGAGAAACAGAGATATGTGACCTTTCAGACAGAGAATTCAAAATAGCTGTGTTGAGGAAACAAAGAAGTTCAAGATAACACAGAGAAAGAATTCAGAATTCTATCACATAAATTTTAAAAAGATATTGAAATAATTAAAAAGAAACAAGCAGAAATTCCAGAGTTGAAATATACAATTGACTTACTGAAGAATGCATCAGAACTTTTCAATAGCAAAAGTGATCAAGCAGAAGAATGAAGATAGGCTATTTGAAAATATACCATCAGATAAGGCAAAAAAAAAAAAAGAATTAAAAAGAATTCCTAAAGGATTTAGAATAGCCTCAAAAGGGCAAATCTAAGAGTTGTTAGCCTAAAAGAGGAATTAGAGAGAAATAGATAGGGATAGAACGTTTATTCAAAGGAATAATAACAGAGAACTTCCCCAAAACTAGAGAAAATTATCAGTATTCAAGTACAAGAAGGTTATAACCAAGTAGATTTAACCCAAATAAGACTACCTCAAGGCATTTAATAATCAAATTCCCAAAGAACAAGGATAAGGATAAAGAAGGGATTATAAAAGCAGTAAGACAAAGAACAAAACAAAACAAAACAACAACAACAACAAACCCATACACAAATAACATACAATGGCGCTCCAATCTGTCTGGCCACAGACTTTTCAGTGGAAACTTTACAGGCCAGAAGAGAGTGGCATGACATATTCAAAGTGCTGAAGGAAAAAAAAATTTACCCTAGAATAGTATATCTGGTGAAAATATCCTTCAAACATGAAGGAGATGTAAAGACTTTCTCAGACAAACAAAAGCTGAGGGATTTAATTAACACCAGACCTCTCCTACAAGAGAGGCTAAAGGAAGTTCTTCAAACTGAAAGAAAAGGATGTTAATGAACAATATAAAATCATCTGAAGATACAAAACTCACTGCTAATAATAAGTACACAGAAAACCCCACAGTATTATAGAACAGTAACTGTGGTGTGTAAACAACTCTTAAGTAGGAAAGACTAAATGATGAACCAATCAAAATTAATAACTATGACTACTTTTTGAGACATAGGAAACATAATAACATAAATAGAAACAACACAAAGTTAAAAAGTGGGAAAACAAAGTAAAGACTTTTTATTAATTTACTTTCTTTTTTTTTGTGCAGTGTCAAGTTGTTATCACTTAAAATAGTGGGTTATAAGACAGTATTGCAAGCCTCATTGTAGCCTCAAATCAAAAAACACACAACGGCTACACAAAAATTTAAAAGCAAATAATTAAAGCACACCACCAGAGAAAATTACATTCACTAAAAGGAAGACAGGAAGAAAGGACAGAAGGAGTAGAAGACCACAAAACAACCAGAAAACAAATAAGAAAATGGCAGTAGTAAGTCCTAACTTATCAATAATAACATTGAATGTAGATGGACTAAACTCTCCAATTAAAAGACTCAGAGTGGCTTAATGGATAAAAAACCAAGAATCAATAATCTGTTGCCTACAAGAAACATGCTTCACTTATAAGGACACACATAGGCTGAAAACAAATGGATGGAAGATGATATTGAATGCCACTGGAAACCAAAAAGAGATCAGGAGAAGTTATATTTATATCAGACAAAATAGATTTCAAGGAAAAAAACCCATAAAAAGAGACATAGTAGATCACCATGTAATGATAAATGGGTCAATACAGCAAGAGTATATAACAATTGTAAATGTATATGCACCCAACATTGGAGCAAACAAATATAGGGCAAATATTATTAGAACTAAAGAGAGAGATAGATCACAATACAATAATAGCTGGAGACTTCAACACCTCACTTTTAGCATCAAAGAGATCTTCCAGACAAAAAAAAATTAAAGAAGAAATATTGGATTTAATCTACATATAAGCCAAATGGACAAATAAATATTGACAGAACATTTCATCCAACAGCTGAAGAATACACATTCTTTAATTCAGCATGTGGATTATTTTCAAGGATAGACCACAGTTTGTGACTTGTGTCACAAACAAGTCTTTTCGTCTTATTTTTTTTATTTTTATTTTTTTGAGATGGAGTTTCACTCTTACTGCCCAGGCTGGAGTGCAATGGCATGACCTCAGCTCACTGCAAACTCTGCCTCCCAGGTTTAAGTGTTTCTCCTGCCTCAGTCTCCTATGTAGCTGGGATTACTGGTGCCCTTCACCAAGCCAAGCTAATTTTTTTTTTTTTTTTGTATTTTTAGTAGAGATGGTGTTTCTCCATATTGGCCAGGCTGGTCCTGAACTCCTGACATCAGGTGATCCATCTGCCTCGGCCTCCCAAAATGCTGGGATTACAGGCATAAGCCACTGTGCCTGGCCCACAGACAAGTCTTAAAACATTTAAAAAAGATGAAATTGTTTCAAACATTTTCACTGACCACAATGGAATAAGACTAGAAATCAATAACAAGAGAAATTTTGGAAAATCATACAAACACATGTAAAATAAACAATATGGTCCTGATGACCAGTGAGTCAATGAAGACATTAAGAAAGAAATTGAAAAATTTCTCGTAATACAAGATAACAGAATCACAACATATCAAAATCTATGGGATACAGCAGAAGCAGTATTCAAAGGGAAGTTTATGGCTATAATTGCCTACATCAAGAGAAAAGAAAAATTTCAAATAAACAATCAAATGATGCATCTTAAGGAACTAGAAAAGCAAGAGCAAACCAAACCCAAAATTAGTAGGAGAAAATAAATAATAAAGATCAGAGCAGAAATAAATACATTTGAAATGAATAAAACAATACAAAATATCAATGAAACAAAAATTACATTCTGAAAAGATAAACAGTATAGACAAACGTTTAGTCAGACTGATAGGAAAAAAAAGAGAAGAGCCAAATAAATAAAGTCAGATATAAAAAAAGAGATATTACAGCTGATAACTGATACCACAGAGAAATTCAAAGGATCATTGGTGGCTAATATGAGCCACTACATGGGAATAATTTTGAAAATCTAGAAGAAATGGATAAATTACTAGACACACAAAACCTACCATTATTGAACCATGAAGAAATTCAAAATCTAAACATCAACAACAAACAATGAGATAAACGTTGCAATGAAATGAATCCCAGCAAAGAAAATCAAGGAACCCATGGCCTTACTGCTGAATTCTACCAAACATTTAAAGAACAACTAATACCAATGCTACTCAAACTATTACAAAAAAATAGAGGGGGAGGAAGTACTTTTGAACTCATTGTATGAGGCCTATATTATGCTGATACCAAAACCAGATGAAGACACATAAAAAAAAATCATAAACCAATATCACTGATGAATATTGAGGCACAAATGCTCAACAAAATACTAGCAAACCCAATTCAACAACACATTAAAAACACCATTTATCATGACAAAGTGGGATTCATTCCATGAATGCAAGGATGGTCCAACTTACATAAATCAATCAATGTTACACATCATATCAACAGAATGAAAGACAAAAACCATATGATAATCTCAGTTGATGCTGAAAAATATGATAAAATTTAACATCCCTTCATAATAAAAACATAAAAAAACTGGGTGCGTAAGGAACATATGTCAACATAATAACATCCATATACAACAGACATATAGCTAGTATCATACTGAATGAGGAAAAATGGAGGCTGGGCGCGGTGGCTCACGCTTGTAATCCCAGCACTTTGGGAGGCCGAGGTGGGCGGATCACGAGGTCAGGAGATCGAGACCATCCTGGCTAACACGGTGAAACCCCGTCTCTACTAAAAATACAAAAAAAATTAGCCGGGCATGATGGTGGGCGCCTGTAGTCCCAGCTACTCGGGAGGCTGAGGCAGGAGAATGGCGTGAACCCTGGAGGCGGAGCTTGCAGTGAGCCGAGATTGCGCCACTGCACTCCCGCCTGGGCCACAGAGCAAGACTCCGTCTCAAAAAAAAAAAAAAAAAAAACGGAAAGCCTTTCCCCTAAGTTCAGGAATATTACAAGGACGACTACTTTCAATTGTGTTATTCAACATACTACTAGAAGCCCTTGCTAGAGCAATCAGGCATAAGAAAGTAATAAAGGCATTCAAATTGGAAAAAAGAAGTCAAATTATTGTTTGCTGATGATATGATCTTATATTTGGAAGAACCTAAAGACTCCACCAAAAAAACTTAGAATTGATAAATATATTCAATAAAGTTGCAGGACAGAAAATCAACATAAAAAGATCAGTAGCATTTCTATATGCCAACAGCAAATGATCTGGACAAGAAATCAATAAAGCAATCCATTTACAGTAGCTACAAATAAATAAAAATACCTTAAATTAATTTAACCAAAGAAGTAAAAGGTCTCTACAATAAAACCTGTAAAACATTAATATTAGAAATTGAAGAGGACACCAAAAAATGAAAAGATATTCCATGTTCATGTATTGGATAATTAATATTATTAAAATGTCCATACTATCCAAAACAATCTGCAGATTCAATGTAATCTCTATCAAAATACCAATGAAATTCTCTACAGAAATAGAAAAAAAATTGTAAAATTTATATGTAACCACCAAAGACCCAGAATAACCAAAGAAATCCTAAGCAAAAGGAACAAAACTGGATGATTCACATTTCCTGACATTAAATTATATTACAGAGCTATAGTAAACCAAACAGCATAATACTGCCACAAAAACATACACATAGGCCAATGGAACAGAATAGAGAACCCATAGATAAATCCATGTGTCTATGGTGAACACATTTTTGAGAGAGGTGCCAAGAACATAGATTGGAGAAAGAATAGTATTCAATATATGGTGCTAGAAAAACTGGATATCCATAAGCAAAAGAATAGAACTATGCCCCATAACTTGCCTTATACAAAAATAAAATGAAAATGGATTAAAGACTTAAATCTAAGACCTCAAACTATGAAACTACTACACAAAAACTTTGGGGGAACGCTCCAGAACATTGGACTGGGCAAAGATTTCTTGAATAATACTCCACAAGCATGGTCAGTCAAAACAAAGACAAATGTGATCCCATCAAATTAAAAAGCTTCTGCACAGCAAACGAAAAAATCAACAAAGTGAGTAGACAACCCACAGAATGGGAGAAAATATTTGCAAACTAACCACCTAATAATGAAACATATAAGGATCACAAAAAACTCCATAGTGAAAAATAGATTTATCTGATTTTTAAATTGGCCAAAGATCTCAATAAGTATTTCTTAAAAGAAGACATACAAATGGCAAACAGGTGTATGAAAAGGTGTTCAACATCATTAGTCATCAGACAAATGCTGATAAAAAATACAATGAGATATTGTCGCACTTCATTTAAAATGGCTTTCATCCAAAAGTCAGGCAATGAAAAATGCTGGTGAGGATGTGCAGAAAAGGGAACTATTGTACATTGTTGGTGGAAATGTAAATTAGTGCAACCACTATGGAGAATGTTTGAGTTCCTCAAATACTAAAAATGAAGCTTCCTTATGACCCAGCAATGCCACTCCCAGTTTGATATGTGTTGGCTCTGCGTCCCCACCCAAATCTCATTTTGTAGCCCCCATAATTCCCACTTGTTGTGGGAGGGACCTGGTGGGAGATGAATGAATCATGAGGGTGAGTTTTTCCCCTGTTGTTCTCATGTTAGTGAATGGGTCTCATGAGATCTGATGGTTTTAAAAATGGGAGTCTCCCTACATAAGCTCTCTTTTATTTTTGCCTGCTGCTGTTTGCTAAGATGTGACTTGCTCCTCCTTGTTTTCTGCCATGATTTTGAGGCCTCCCCCAGCCATATGGAACTGTAAGTTCAGTTAAACCTCTTTCGTTTGTAAATTGCCAGTCTTGAGTATGCCTTCAGCAGCAGCAAAAAAAAAAAAAAAAAAAAAAAAAGGGACTAATATGGTAAATTGGTACCAGGGGTGGGGTACTGCTGAAAATATACCCAAAAATGTGGATGTGATTTTGCAAATGGGTAACAGGCAAAGTTTGGAACAGTTTGGAGGGTTCAGAAGAAGACAGGAAAGTTAGGAACCTCCTAAAGATTTGTTGAATGGCTTTGCTCAAAATGCTGATAGTGATACAGGCAATAAAGTCTAAGCTGAGATGGTCTCAGATGGAGATGAGGAACTTGTTGGGAACTGGAGTAAAGGTGACTCTTGCTATGTTTTAGCAAAGAGATGGGTGGCATTTTGCCCTTGCCCTAGAGATTTGTAGAACCTTAAACTTGAGAAAGATGATTTAGGGTACCTGGCAGAAAAAATTTCTAAGCAGCAAAGCATTCAAGATGTGACTTGGGTGCTGTTAAAGACATTCAGCTTTATAAGGGAAGCAGAACATAAGTTTGGACAATTTGCAGCTTGACAATGAGATAGTAAAGAAAATGCCATTTTCTGAGGAGAAATTCAAGCCGGCTGCAGAAATTGCGTAATTAATGAGGAGCTGAATGTTAATCCTCAAGACAAGGGGGAAAATGTCTCCAGGGCATGTCGGAGGTCTTCACAGCAGCCCCTCCTATCACAGGCCCAGAGGCTTAGGAGGAAGAAGTGGTTTGGGAGACCAGGCCCAGATTCCCTATGCTGTGTGCAGTCTAGGGACTTGGCGCCCTGTGTCCCAGCTGCTCTGGCCATGGCTGAAAGGGACCAACATTGAGCTCAGGCCGTGGCTTCAGAGGGTGCAAGCCCAAAGCCTTGGCAGCTTCCACATGGTGTTGAGCCTACCTGTGCACAGAAATAAAGAACTGGGGTTTGGGAACCCCCGCCTAGGTTTCAGAAGATGTATGGAAACGCCTGGGTACCCAGGCAGAAGTTTGCTCTGGGATGGGGCACTCATGGAGAACCTCTGCTAGGGCAGTGCAAAAGGGAAATGTGGGGTTTCATGTCATGGAGGCTGCATTAGAAGAAAAATTTATTTTTCTCATTATCCTTCCAGGTTACTTGGCTGAAGCCCTGTAAATTGGACCGATGAAAGACAAATTAATGAGAGAAATTAATTATAATAAAATAAAAATCTATATACATTTTATATATCATGGGAGTCTTCATAAGGAAATAAAGACCCACGAAACAGTTAAATCTGAGTGTTTTCATATTATGTTTGATGAAGAATGAATATTTTTGAAAAATGTGATAGGACAAAAAGGTACATACTAAGCATAGTCAATATAATTTGGATGTCCTCTCCAAATCTCATGTTGAGATGTTATCCCAGTGTTGGAGGTGAGGCCTGTTGGGAGGTGTTTTGATCATGGCAATGGGTTCCTCATGAATGGCGTGGGCCATCTGGCGTGGGCCATCTCCTTGGTGAAAAGTGAGCTCTTGTTCTGAGTTTACATGAGATATGGTTGCTTAAAAGTATGTGGCACCTCCCTCCTACTCTTTCTCTCACTTGCTCCTGCTTTCACCATGTGACATGCTTGCTTTTCTCATGTAATGTGCCTGCCCCCACTTTGCCTTCTGCCATGATTGCAGGTTTCCTGAGCCCTTTCTAAAAGCTGAGCTGATGCCAACACAGGCTTCCTGTAAAGCCTGCAGAACTGTGAGCCAATGAAAACCCCTTTTTCTATAAATTACCCAGTTTCAGGTATTTCTTTACAACGATGCAAGACTGACCAAATACAGATAATTGGTACCAAGGAGAGGGGTGCATTGCTGTAAAGATACCTGAAAATGTGGAGGTAGCTTTGGTACTCATAATGGGCAGAGGTTGGAAGAGTTCAGAGGGCTCAGAAGAAGACAGGAAAACAGGCAAAGTTTGGAAATTTTTAGACTGGTTAAGTGGTTGTGACCAAAATGTTGAGAGTGATATGACAGTGAAGGCCTGGGTCTCAAATATAAATGTGGAAATTATTGGAAACTGGAGCAAAGGTCACATGTGTTATACCTTAGCAAAGAACTTGGCTGCATTGTGTCCCTGCCCTAGGGCTCATGGGAAGTTGGAACTTAAGAGTGATTATTTAGGGTATCTGGTAGAATTTCTAAGCAGCAAAGTGTTCAAGAAGTGGTCTGGCTGCTTCTAACAACCTATGCTCAGATGTTGGAGCAAAAAAACCTTAAAGTTGGAACTTATATTTAAAAGGGAGCAGAATATAAAAGTTTGTAAAATTTGCAGCCTGATAGTGTGGCAGAGAAAGAAAAGCCTTTTTGGGAGAAGAATAAAAGCAGGCTATGGAGCAACTGCTTACCAGAGATATTTGCATAACTAAAAGAGAGCCAAGTTCTACTATCCAAGACAATGAGAAAAAGACCTTGAAGGCATTTTAGAGACCTTCATGGCAGCCCCTCCCATCATAGCCCTGGAGGCTTAAGAGGGAAGAATAGTTTTGTGGACCTGGCCCAGGATCCTGCTGTCCTGTACATCCTTGGGACACTGCTCCCCACATCCAGTCCACTCTAGCTCCAGCCTCAGCTCAGAGGATCCCAGGTATAGCTTGGGCCACAGCTTCAGAAGGTGCAAACCATAAACCTTGGCAGCCCCCATGTTGTGTTAAGCCTGTGGGCACACACAAGATACAAGAGTGAATAAGACTTGGCACCCTCTGCCAAAATTTCACAGGATTTATGGAAGAGCCTGGGTGCCCAGGTAGAAGCCTGCTGCAGGGGTGGAGCCACCACAGAGAACTCCCATTAGGGCAGGGCTTAGGGATAAGAGAGGCCTCACTCAGATTCCTCACTGTGGAGCTGTGAGAAGGGGGCTATTACCCTCCCCACTGTGGCACTACCTAGTGAAGCTGTGAGAAAAAGGCCACTGCCCTCCAGACCCAAGAGAATGGTAGTCCCACCAGCAGCTTGTACCCTACACCTGTAAAAGCCACAGGCCCTCAACAACCTGGGAGAGCAACCTCTGGGGCTGAACCCTGCAAAGCCACAGGGGTTGGAACTGACAAGGCCTTGGGAACCGCCCCTTGTACCAGTGTGCCCTGAATATGGGACATGGAGTCACAGGGGATTATTTTGGAGCTTTAAGATTTAATGACCGCCCTGCTGGGTTTTGAACTTTCATGGGGTCTGTAGACCTTTTCTTTTGGCTAATTTTTCTTTTGTGGAATGAAAATGTTTACCCAGTGCTTATTTGCCAATTTTATCTTGAAAACAACTAACTTATTTTTGAATTTGCAAGCTTATAGATGGAAGGGACTTACCTTGTTTCAGATGAGACTTTGGAATTTGGACTTTTGAGTTAACGCTGAAATGAGTTAAAGCTTTGAGGGACTGCTGAGAATGGATTATTTTATTTTAAAATATGGGAAGGACATTAAATTTGAGAGACCAGGGGTAGAGTGATGTAGTTTGAATATCCCCTCCAAATATCATGTTGAGATGTAACCCCTAGTGTTGGAGGTGGAACTTGGTGGGGAGTTGTTTTGATCACGGGGAGGGGTCCCTCATGAATGGCTTCAGACATTTTCTGATGATAAGTGAGCTCTTGCTCTGAGTTCACATGAGATCTGGTCATTTAAAAGTGTGTGGCACTTCCCTCCTACTCTTCCTATCTTGCCTGCTCCTGCTTTCACCATGTGATGTGTCTGCTTTTGTCATGTGATGTGCCTGCTCTCATTTTGCCTTCTGCCATGATTGTAAGCTTCCTGAGGCCTCCCTAGAAGCTGAGCTGATGCCACAACTTGCTTCCTGTAATGCCTGCAGAACCGTCAGCTAATAAAATATCTTTCCTTTATAAATTACCCATGTTCATGTATTTCTTTATAACAATGCAAGAATAGCCTAATACAGTAGTAAACTGGGGGAAACTTAGTGAGGCCTATTTGTTCAGATTCCTTTAGGCTTTTCTCTGTCTTTAGAGATAAGGATGTGCCTTTCCTCTGGTCATAGAGAAGGCACTTCTCATAAGAGGGTCTCGTGACCTGGGGAAAAGTGGGAGGACAGAGTCTTTCCAGCACCTACCATTTTGCAAATGTATTCAGCTTAAAATTATTATGCCAAGGTGCCATATCATGAAGTAGTGTGAATCCCATCAACGTGGCATGCTTACCTGTTTCTGTGGCACGACTTTAGCTGTACATTTGCCTACTGGCTGCATTTCCTACCTTGGTACCATCCTACCATTGAAGTTTTCCATCATTCAAAAGTTTCTCTTTCTTGAGAGCCATTCAAGAACCTTCCAATAAATTATTTTTTTCAACTTGGCCAGTCTTTCTGTTGTTTGAGTCCAGAACTGATAGAGTATGTTATGTGAGAATACACAGATATTACAGATTTATGAAAAATCAAGAATGCTTAAAATGAAGTTTTATTTTTATCTATTTTTGAAAACATTTAAAAATTTTTCTGGTGGCTAAAAAGTGTTAAATTTTCAAGACTTTTTGGATTTTATTCTTTTTTTTAATGTCACCCAAAGCCCGTAACTAACAATTACAGAAGATCTCAATCTTTATTTTTACTGTGCATATTTAGGGAATGGTAACCTATTCAAATTCAGATTTTATTTTATTATTAAACAATTTCAGCAATTGACTAGAATTCATTTTTAATATCAAAGTCACAGAGAAATGGAAGTTTTATATTTTTCATTGCATTCTGTGATGCAATGGAATATTGTCATATTTTCTTGAGAAAAGAGTATGATATACTATTGTAGAAATTTAATTTTATATGAACAATAATGAAAGTTTTAAAGAAAGAAGAGGAATGACAACTTGGAAAATGTAGGATAACAGCCTTTATTCATATCACTAATTGTAATATGTACTAATTGTAAATGTGGAAACTGAAGCCCCATTCCAGAGAAGACATTGCTTTTTATGATAGATCCAGGCAACAGGAAACACACATGCACACACACACCGACACACACAAAAGAGCCTTTCTTAGGAGAAAATATACATTAATCTCTTTCTTTCCCTTCCTCTTTCTCTTCTTTTACCCTCTGTTTCTTTTCTTCTTCCTTTTCCTTTCTCACTTTCAGTTTAAAGTGAAATCAGCTTCCCAAAGAAAGGATTAGAGAAATGGGTGCCTTTTTCTTCAGTTTGATCATAGTGTCCTAAACATCCAGATTAACTCTACCAGGTAATTCTTTTTAGACAGCTCTTCAGAGGTCACCTAAATCATATTTTATTGTCAAATAAGTGGATGGATTAATGAATGAATGAATGCCACATGAACATTTCAGGTTATCTGAGAAACGTTAAGGTCAACCACTTTTCAGTGTAAATTAAATCTGATTTTTAAAATTTCCAAAATCAACAAATAACAGGTTCTTCTTGAAATGATACTAGCTTGAGAATGTGCCTCAACATAAAAATCAAAACCATTTGATATTGTTTGGCCATGTCCCCACACAAATCTCATTTTGAATTCCCACATATTGTGAGAGGGACTTGGTGGGAGGTAATTGAACCATGGGGGCAGGTCTTTCCCATGCTGTTCTCATGACAGTGAGTAAGTCTCATGAGATCTGATGGTTTTATAAGCGGGAGTTTTCCTTCACAAGTTCTCTTCTCTTCTCTGCTGCCATGTGAGATGTGCCTTTCACCTTCCACCATGATTGTGAGGCCTCCCCAGCCACGTGGAACTGTAAGTCTGATAAACCTCTTTCTTTTGTAAATTGCCCAGCCTCAGGTATGTCTTTATCAGCAGTGTGAAAACTGACTAATATAGTAAATTAGTATCAGGAGTGGAGTGCTGCTGAAAAGATACCTGAAAATGTGGAAGTGACTTTGGAACTGGGTAACAGGCAGGGGTTGGAATAGTTTGGAGGGCTCAGAAGAAGACAGGAAAATGTGGGAAAGTTTGGAACTTCCTAGAGACTTGTTGAATGGTTTTGACCAAAATGCTGATAATGATATGGACAATAAAATCCAGGCTGAGGTGGTCTCAGATGGAAATGAATAACTTGTTGGGAACTGGAGCAAAGGTGACTCTTGTTATGTTTTAGCAAAGAGATGGGTAGCATTTTGCCCTTGCCCTAGAGATGTGTAGAACTTTGAAGTTGAGAGAGGTGATTTAGGATATTTGGAGGAAGAAATTTCTAAGCAGCAAAGCATTCAACAGGTGACTTGGGTGTTGTTAAAGGCATTCAGTGTTCTGTTCTGTTTTGTTTTGTTTTTGAGACAGAGTCTCACTTTGTCACCCAGGCAGGAGTGCAGTGGCATGATCTCAGCTCACTGCAACCTCTGCCTCCTGGGTTCAAGCAATTCTTCTGCTTCAGCCTCCCAAGCAGTTGAGATTACAGGCATGTGCCACCATGCCTCACTAATTTTTATATTTTTAGTAGAGTTGGGGTTTTATCATGTTGGCCAGGTTGGTCTCAAATTCGTGACCTCAGGTGATCTGCCTGTCTCAGACTCCCAAAGTGCTGAGATTACAAGCATGAGCCAGTGCACCTGGCTGGCATTCAGTTTTAAAAGGGAAACAGTATAAAAGTTTGAAAAATTTACAGACTGAAAATGTGATAGAAAAGAAAATCCCATTTCCTGAGGAGAAATTCAAGCTGGCTGCAGAAAATTGCATAAGTAATGAGGAGCTGAATGTCACCAAGACAGTGGGGAATATGTCTCCAGGGCACGTCAGAGACCTTTGCAGCAGCCCCTGCCATCACAGGCCCCTAGGTTTTGGAGGAAAAAAATGGTTTTGTGGGCCTGGCCCAGGGTCCCTCTGCTATGTGCAGTCTAGGAACTTGGTGCTCTGCCTCCCAGTTGCTCCCAGGATGATTTAAATGAAGCCAAGGTACAGCTTGGGCTGTTGCTTCAGACAGTGGAAGCCCCAAGCCTTGGCAGCTTCCACATGGTGTTGAGCCTGTGGGTGCATGGAAGTCAAAAATTGAGGCTTGGAAACCACCACCTAAATTTCAGAGGATGTATAGAAATGCCTGGATGCCCAGAATGAAGTTCTCCTCATGGAGAACCTCTGCTAGGGCAGTGCAGAAGGAAAATGTGGAGTGAGCCCCACACAGAGTCCCTACTGGGACACCACGTAGTGGAGCTGTGAGAAGTGGGCCACTGTCCTCCAGATCCCAGAATCATAAATCCACTAACAGCTTGCACCATGCACCTGGAAAAGGCACAGACACTCAATGCCAGCTGGTGAAAGCAGCCAGGAGGAGGGCTATACCCTGCAAAGCTGCAGAGGCGGAGCTGCCTAAGGCCATGGGAGCCCACCTCTTGCATCAGCATGACCTGGATGTGAGAAATGGAGTCAAAGGAGATCATTTTGGAGCTTTAAGACTTGACCGCCCCTGTAGTCCCTTTGTTCTGGCCAATTTCTTCCACTTGGAATGGCTATGCTTACCCAATGCCTGTACTTCCATTGCATCTAGGAAGTAACTAACTTGCTTTTGATTTTACTGGCTGCTCATAGGCAGAAGAGACTTGCCTTGTCTCAGATGAGACTTTAGACTGTGGACTTTTGAGATAGTGCTGAAATGAGTTAAGACTTTGAGGGACTGTTGGGAAAGCATGATTGGTTTTGAAATGTGAGGACATGAGATTTGGGAGGGACCAGGGGTGGAATGATATGGTTTGGCTGTGTCCCCACCCAAGTCTCATTTGGAATTCCCACGGATTGTGGGAGGGACTTGGTGGGAGGTAATTGAATCATGGGAGCAGGTCTTTCCCATGCTGTTCTTGTGATAGTGAATGGGTCTCATGAGATCTGATGGTTTTATAAGGGGGAGTTTATCTGCACAAGCTCTTTTCTCTTGTCTGCTGCCATATGAGACGTGCCTTTCACCTTCCACTGTGATTGTGAGGCTTCCCCAGCCACATGGAACTGTAGGTCCAAAAAAACCTCTTTCTTTTGCATATTGCCCTGTCTCGGGTATATCTTTATCAGCAGTGTGAAAACTGACTAATATACCACTATACAAGTTCTTACATTACCTGATGAAAGATATCTAATTGTCTATTATAAAACCATAAAAGCTTTGTTAATACATTTTGAAACCTGAATAATGAGAGAGCAGGAATTCTGAACACACATACTAGTTTATCTATAAATTAGAAATATATATGTTTCCAGAAAAAAATTGCTTATTCAAATGTAAAAAAAAAAACCCAGTCTTTCTCCTTGTCAACATTTAAAGTTATTAGACAGTAACACATTTCAAAGCATAATTTAGTTGTTTATCAACAAGAAAAATGTATTACAAGAAATTAATTTATTCCAAATTTTTTTAAAAATCTGCTTTTCTCCATGTCAGTATTTACAGCAGGTGCCATCTTCTGATTAATTAAATCACAAGATGTTCCTTATGCTAACGTCTTAGCAAATAAAACTTAAACAGAAACTGTTGGTTGCACTGTTGTCATTTCTTCTTCTACTTTAAAAAAATTATTCAGAACACCACATGGCCAGCTTGCAAGCTTATTTTCCAGATCACTGATAGCAATGCGATTTTGTATTTGTGTGTGAGTATGTGTTTTGTTTTGAAAAAGACATCAGCTTGAAGCAGTTTCAAATCTCTGGCAATGATTTCTTAAGGAGTATGTCAAAAATGAGCTATTGAACACATTTTTGCCAGGTCACTTGTCAAGTACTTGGTAGGGAGATGTCAAGTTTCAGGGCAACCACAATCCACACTTATGAAACTACTTAGAAAACTATGGAAGAGTTCTGTGGCTCTTACTAGGTATTTTTAGAACAATCAAGAGAATTTTGTTCCTTAGCTTTAGCATATTATAGTCTTCAACGAATATTTTGTAAGTTTTTTTTCTAAGATATGGTCCCCAAATTTTCTTGAGAAATCCCCATGTGCTTGAATACTTGTTTAAGCACAATTCAGAACTGCGGGAGGTCTAAGTCTGCTGTGACTTAGTGTAAAGTTAACTCCTTTTTGAATGTAAAAAGTCAAAATTGATGAAGAAACTGGCAAATTCAAATTTCCACCAAGGAATAGCCCAGTGCTTTTAGCAATCCATTTGAAATGAAGGAGGGAAACCACCCTCTTTAACATTTTAAAGTTTTGAAGGTGTAATGAACCATGCTACCTCCTGTAGTTTCTACCAAACCAAGATGTGTGCTAGGACTGGGCTCATTAGCACTAAGTAGGAGCAGAACACTCAGTTCTGGCTATAGCTTCTTGCAATGTTTTTATCATTATCATAGTATTTGGTTGATGAATTATTGCTATCTCAACTGTTACTTCATTTTTCTTACTGTTTTTGATATAAAATTCCTGTTATACCATGAATTAAATGCCCCTGTGACAAAAAAAAAAAGACTTTTTCTGTTAATTCTTTTTAACAAGTGCCCAAAATATATTATTTTTTCAACAAGGTGGATTCTCGAAGCAAGGTAGTTCTTGTGACTGTTTACTTTCTCTTTCACATGTCCTAGACTATTGGATTATGGTTTGTGAGATAAGGAAGAAAAGGAGTAATTAAAAAACATAGATTATTAGATAGATAGGTTACTTGGGTTTTTTTTTTTTTGGGTCATTAAAGTAGGCATTACATTATCAAAGCTCAAAATGTTAGCAATGAATTTAATTCAATGGCTTTAAAAATTTTACATCTCGTCTGGGAGCGGTGGCTCACGCCTGTAATCCCAGCACTTTAGGAGGCCGAGGGAAGTGGATCACTTGAGGTCAGGAGTTCTAGACCAGACTGGCCAACATGGTGAAACCCCACCTCTACTAAAAATACAAAACTTAGCCAGGTGTGGTGGCACGTGCCTATAATCCCAGCTACTGGGGAGGCTGATGCAGGAGAATCGCTTGAACCCAGGAGGCGGAGGTTGCAGTGAGCCAAGATCACACCACTGCACTCCATCCAGGGCAACCGAGCAAAACTCTGAAAAAGAAAAAAAAATTATGTCTCTTCATTGCAGAGAAGAATTTTTGCTGAAATGAAAAACCACTAATTACTTGGAACACACTTTTACAGGTTACCTGATTCTGATTCTTTTGGAGCCTCTGTATTTTTCATTATATTTGAACTCTTTTTCAAGTTGTAAATAAATAATACTAAGGCAAAATATTTCTCGTCTACAGATATGGAAATAAATTCTGAGGGGTAAAGATTCAATTGAATTCTCCTCCTCACTCTGGAAGCCAGTTTTGCCTCTATTAGTACATTAATTTCAAGGTTTTTGATCTATAAATGTGTATGTTCTTTAAATTATCCTTTTATCTGGTTGTAATGTCTTATCAGGTCCTTCATTAATGAATTAATTTATTCATTTCATAAGTGTATGAAAATCACACTTTTTATGTTTTTCAAACTAAGTGGTGATATCCATAGGATTTGTATTATATTCATATTTTGAAAACAAAGTACAAATGTATTTCTTAGGTTGCATATCATTTAATTTCTAGAATTAGAATCTTTCTCTTGTTCTACTGTCCCAGCACAAACAGATGTTCATGTTAGTATTTCAATATAAATGGCCTCAAACAACATCACTCAGATTAAAATCAGTATTGTGAATTTTTTTAAAAGTGTGTATGTATTCTGATCTCCATTTCCCCCAAAATTCTGTTGATTGCAGATGTCTGAGGAATAGTCTTAGTGGATTATCCCAAACTTGACACATTTTTTGCAAAATGCTATACAAAAAGAAGATACATGCGATTATGACAAGATTCTCCACTTGGTGTGACCAGTCTCATACAACCCAAGGCTGTGTGTCCAAAGGCAACTGTACTGTGAGTTTCACGTTTCCAAAGTTTTAGATGACATGTACAATCTGATTAGCCTTTAAATCTCATACCCTCTGCAGGTATTGGAAAATACAAGGATGTCATAAATATCTATATTTATATTTAAAATGTGCTTATATTTATATAAATATATAAATAAAAATATGCAAATAGTTGTCTATGAAGCTAGCAATGTGATTATATGCTTTTCTTTTTCCTAGGTAGTCTGGGACTGGAAACAAATTGGGAACATTTTTCATTGCATATTTGGCTCAGATCTGCCACTTAGTTGAAGTATAATCTTCAGCAAGTGACTCAAAATTTCTGAATCTCGTTTTCACCATCAATACATGACAATAGTAATATTTTCTCCTTTAAGTATTTGAAAGTGTTGAGAAAGCCACAATAGCAACACTTGCAAAAGTGCTCCATTGTAAAATGCAAAGGAGAGGTAGTTGTGACCCTTTGGGGAAAACTATAGTTGCCACAATTGTCTCTGAAATGAAGCATGTTTCTTAGACTGAAGGAAAGCCCTGGGAGAGATTGGTCTAGCTTTAGGATGACTGTGGGTAGAGCTTCTAGGGAGAAGAATGAAACGTATTCCTCTTTTCCTTTTCTCTAGGAATACCGGAAAGCATGTATTTGTTTGCTAAATTGCTCTCTTTCCACCAGTGATATCAATTCTGAAATACTTTTGAGTAAGTTTGGAATTACTAGAAAAACAGTGAATGTAAATGTGAAGGTGTATGATTCTTGGAAAGTTCAGAGGGAGTACATTGACGGGTGTTTGGATCAAATTCCACTAACTTGAATGAATTACCTTGGAAAATTATCTCTACAAATTCTTACTTACATTTCTGACTGTCAGGTTAAAGTGAATAATTATTTTCTGTATACCAAGATATGATTTTGAAGCATCTATGTTTTGCCCTATTCTTTTGAGAGGGAAACTAGCTCTGTTTCATGTGCTGGTTTTCCATGTCTGATACTTGATGTTTCTGTTTCTGTGATGTAATTTATGCAAGATAGATAAGATAGATGTTGAAAAGGGAAGAAATAATGAAGCTGTGGGGGAAATCAGACATTTATTAGAACATTTCCAGTTTTTTTGTGGAGGGAGGGCTTTGGTGTATATAGATTTCTCAGAATAGCAATGATACTTATATTTCAAAATAGCTTATAAAACCAAGCATGAATCTTTTTTATGCTTTGTTGTTTTATCTATCACATTGTTCTCATTTATTCAGTTGACTATCATAGATGAACAGATATGGGAAAGAGGGCTTAAAAAATTCATTTGGCTTGAGATCTCATTTGTATATTATGGTTTGGTATTTACAAACTAAAGGTTCTCAGCCAAATAACGTGTTTTGCTTGGAAACCAAGGTATTTTTAAGGAAATTGTATCTGAATACCTTCAGGTGCCCGTTGTTTTATACCCAGCTGTTAAGAAATTACACTCTGCCTGGCTCTTACAAGCGTTTGAGTTTTCAGTTGTTTAGCCTGTAAGATCATCAGGATTTTATCAACAGGATATTTAGTCTCTGTTGCTAACTCTGCTGTATTTTACCAGGTAAAGGTTCTAAATAATTAATAATAAAATGTTTCCAGAAAATTTATTTTTAGTTTAGATGTAGTTCAGCTCATCAAACCTTTTAGGAATCAGCAACAGCAAGAAAGAATATAGTGTGGAGTCATTTGAAACTGTAGCATCTAGAATTTTTACCCTGTACTGCTTTAGAGTAAGCAGAAAGATGAGTGTAATACAGGAAATAAAGAGAATAGCAGAAATATCTTCAAATTATTATTTCTTCCTTCTTTCTCTTAAGCTAATAGAGTTTTAAAATGAGTCAAATACATATTTTAATTGATAAACTGAGTTTATATTCACCTATTGGAAACAGTACAACATATTTTACATCAGGTTATGAAATATGGATGTTTTACTAAAAGACAGGAAGAGCTTTTTCCAGTCTTTAAAGTAAATACATATTCAAAGAATCTTAAGGCATACCATTTATTCATATTCATATCTATTGAAATACTGTACATCCACATACTTCAATAAATAGTTAAAAACCTGACCTCTTTTTAAATCATTTCTGGATTTCAAAAAACAATTTTTATTGAAAAGATTAAATAGGTAACTTTTGGCTGTGTCACAAAGCTAAGCACAATGGATAAATTAACAATTGTTCAGTAAATTTGATCATTATAGATGATTGACTTTGATAATTCAGTTTTTCAGAGTTTTCTGACTTCAAATGTAGGGGTATTTATATATATATATATTTTTTTTTTTCCCTGAATTACCTGGGTAATTTTCTCAGTTCTCCAGTCTACTTTCTAGATATAGCTTAAATGTTATGATGAAGCATTAATTTTTCAGTTAAGTTATAAACCCCCCAAAAGTGGCTTTAAGTTTGAAATTCTCCCTCTCAAATCTTTTAGTGTCTCAAAAACACCCACATTACTATAACTTGGGCAGTACTTTTTATTATATAATTGCTGCATAATAGGAACTTAATGGTATAATAGGACTTATGTTTCAAATGCGATCATTGAAAAACGTAGTTACACCACTTGCAGTTAAACTAAGAATGCAAATGTGTAAGTTAACTACCCTAATACTCTGATTCTTCCTTCCCTCTCATCCTTTCTTTCTTCCTACCTTCTCCCCTTCCTCCCTTCCTTCCTTCATTCCTTCCATCCTTCCTTTTTTTCCCTCTTTACTGCCTTTCCTTTTCATTCTTTTTCTTTTCTCTCCATTCTCATTTTTAAACTGCTACTTATTTTTCTTTCTTCCTTCTTTAAAAAAAAATAGGGGCAACAAAAGGAGTCCCACAAGTGGAACTTGTAGAAAATATAATCCTGAAATGAACAGCTAACACAAATTGTTATAGATTAAAAGATAAATCAATTTATAAAACTGCTATTCTGAAATTGCAACAATCTTGTACAGTCAGGACTGATAAAATGGGGTAATCAGACATTTTATATGTCCATAAATGTAAAATCATCTACTTGAACATTATATGCAATACATTCACACAAAAAAGCAAATACTGTAGCCTTATTTGACAATATTGAACTCATAAATACTCATGATTTCACTCTGTCCGAGGGCCTAAGGACTAGGAATGCTGCTGTGATACAGAAAAACATAGTGAATACCTCCTCTATTTAAAAATGTCACTCAAGAAAGTCTCTTCTAACATAAAGGCAAATACATATAGCTACTGAGCTATGACTGTACTTCTGTCACATTCTATGGTAAAAACACCAGACTCCACAAATTTGGAATCATGACAACACTTTGAACTAATTATTTGGTTCATCCATAGTTTATACCTCAATTTACCTACAAACCTTACAAAGAGGAGGTATTTTAACTCTAGGAAAGCGGTCACTGAATAATATGCATTCTTGATCTGTTTCTTTCTCCCAAACAATGGTACTGATGGTTAACATTTTTTGTGGTAGCACCACTATTTCTAGTAAGTAGATTATTATGGAGTGTGCCACTTTAAAGCTGCAATACAAAATAATATTTTATAGTTTATTCAACAATTCCACAAAGAATATTTCTTAAAAGCAAATAAATAATAAAGTTAAATGCCATATTTGTTCTAAAAACTCTTTTTTAATGTATCAATCAAAATAATGTCATACATTTATTACAGTTAGTAGATTTACTAGCTTTATGCCTTATTATTGCCATTTTGTGGAAAGAGTATACTTATGTCCCCTCATTTAAGATTCATTTTTCTAATTAAAATTGATTTATGATGTACTTTGGGACTAAGTTTTACTTGAAGAAAAAAAATCACAGTTTTTAAGCCATCCCTGCTAGGGCAACATACTAGATATCTCAAATATGTATAACCACTGCAAAATTTCTTGTATCTAATTTTATTATAGGGTCTTTGTTGTTACAACTTGTAAAAGGGGACTATTTGTAGAAATTTAGGTGTACTGAAATTGGTAACTTCATCAAACCTGTAAAATGGCTTTCAAGGTGATGGCCTTTCTTTAGTAAAGAGTGAAACCATCAAACTATTCCTGTAAATTAATGTTAGAGTAACAGCATTTTCCTTCAAAAATGTAGTTTTGCTTCTTTATAGTAGAAATAATTTAACATTCACAATAATTTGATAATTACTTATCTTAAGATATTCTCATCACTGGTGTTTTGTCTTTATTTGATCGCATCTTACATATATCATGTAAGGAAAAATAAAGGATGGTCTTTTTTGATTTTACTTGTTTGCACTGAAATGGCTATATAGAAAGATTTTATTGAAGAATTAGCTATTTTAGAGATTGGTCTGCTACATACCGATATAGAATGTTTGTTATAATATATTTTGGAAGTTTTAAAATATATAACATGCATTCCAGACTATCAACTGAGTGATACTTTCAGATGGAAAATATGCAAAATGCTCCTGTCCACAGGAGCACTGCCTCTGTCATACTAACTTAGCTGCCACAAAATAAAATTAATGATGAGCGCTTACCAACTCTTGTAATATTAGGTGATAGGACTTTGTGCCCTTTCTGACAAATCATCTTAAAATTTTTGGCTTGGACTAGTGAAAGGAAAAGATGCTGTATTGCTAGGCAATCCTTTGAGTGGACTGTGCTGTCATTTTAAAGGGAATGATTTCCCACGGTGGATCTAACATTTAGCTACAACTAAAGAAATCATATGGTATATTTACTATACTGTTATTAAATTGTCTCTCATCACAAGAACTGAGTTAGTGTGGGGCAAAATTCTCAAACCCCATTGTCAGTGCAGGAAGAGATTTTTACAGTCCAATAGCTCCTTCGTTACTTAGAGATAGTGTATGGTTTAACTTGATCACTCTGGTTTATTTTTACTTTCAAATTGTAAGATTTAGCAAAACATTTTATATTAGTTGGAGACAAAGAGAAAAATATTATTGTATGAAGGCACACCCATGCTGAACTTACAGGAAAGAGAAGCAGAGCTGCACAGCCAGTTATATTACAAGGCTCATTCCTGAAACCTGAATATCATGCGAGCAGAAAAATCTAGATATGTGTTATATTTTGAAGAAATAATCTGAAGGCAATATTATTTGCTTTTTTATCAAAAAAGAAAAAAATGCATCTTTGTAAATGTGGATTGACTCTTATTGAAACAGGGAACTGAATGCTTGTATTGCAGCCTTAAAGAATCACATATTCACTGCAATATTCGTTTTTGTAAACTACAGCCTGCAACCTAGCAGACCATGACTGAATGCTTTTGAAAAGTTGTAGATTACAAACATGAAATCACAATTAATATCCTCTAAAAGTAATTTCAGAGCTTTCACGTCTTAAAAAAAGGACAATGTGTACTGCTTCACA
The DNA here is from genome assembly GCF_000001405.40 of Homo sapiens. Taxonomy (NCBI): domain Eukaryota; kingdom Metazoa; phylum Chordata; class Mammalia; order Primates; family Hominidae; genus Homo; species Homo sapiens. The sequence goes on from NC_000001.11 coordinate 71,407,256, forward strand.
AGGTAATGTAGCTAATCAAAAAAGAGTAGAATTAAAGTATTTACATAATGAGCAATTCTACAGAAGGCGATCATCCCCATGTAAGCACTGCTGATTATATCCCACGCTGCTTTTAACAAACTGTACCAGATTGGATCCAGCCATCAGCACTTTCAGAGAATCCTTAAAAGCCTTTTATGGGTCTTTGAATTTATTGTAGAATGGCATTCTTCAGGTAGAATATGCTGGTGAAAGAGGACAGTGTCAACACAAGGTACCAGCAGGAGAAAAGAACATCAGCGCTCCCGGTAATTCCATACTGGGCTGTACTTGGAGCTGGAAAGAAATGGAAAAGATTAAATCAAAATCTAATTTGTGTCTTCCAGGATCTTGACAATAATCAAAAGGTAGCCAGGTGCATCGGGGAAAGCACTGACATTGGAGTCAGACAGACTGAAGTTCATATCTGATTCTGCTATATGACAACGTGTGGGCTATGTGGCTAACTTCTCAGAGCTTCAGTTTTCTCAAGGGCAAAATGAAAATAATAGAAATAATAGAATCCACCTCACAGGGCTGTGGTGAGAATTGGAGATGAAGCACATACAGCATATTACATCAACTAAACACATGCTAAGTACTCAACAGCTACTAACATTATTATTCCTCTTATATGTACTGTAAATATTTGTATTAATGGACAAATAGTCATTCATGTGTATATATAGCTGTGTTTTATTAGCTAAATACTGTACTAAATGCTAGGAAAACAAGAATATTGTCCCTTCCAAGGCCTTTTTTTGGTGAGAAAAGATCTTCAAACAATTATAATACAGAATATTAGAGTTGCATGTGCATACCCAGTAACACAGACAAATTGTGCTTTTAAATTGCCTGGGTAAGGGAGATTTCAAATACAGTTTTACTAAAGGAGACTATCATGTGGGTAGAAGAAATAACATATTCGAAGGCATAATAAAAGGACAGAGCAAGGTGTGTCGTATAGAATATAAAGGTAGATTTAGTCTTGCTGGACCATGAAGTTTGAGGCCCGAAGTGGAGGGAATTGAAACTAGACCTCTAGACAGGTAGAATGACCTCTACTGTAATGAAAAAGGGACTAGGTTTTTATATTGAAAGACATTTTGAAGAATTTGGAGAGTTGAATGTATGACTACATTTATACATCAGAAATATTACAGTCTTATATATGGGGAAGTTCACATGGTACTTGGCTAACAGTCATGTTGAATTTTCACTGAATACCTGAAAATTCACCAAGTTTGGGATATTATTGGAGTGTTTGGAATGGGTTTCACTTTGTTTATGAACAGACAGTTGCCTAGTTGTAGTGAATTATATTGTGTTCCAGAAATTAAATGTTACAGCCGTGCTTGGACTTGTTTGAGACTGATTCTCATTTACCATAATAATAATAATAATTGTAATAACAAAAAACCTGCCAATATATTTTAACCACCTTTTCTTAATGAAACCTGGATTTCAAGCACTATTTCCTAGTAGAAATTGAATAATGTAGTAAAGAAATCGACTACTTCATTTCTAAATTTATAACTCAAATCCAGGAGCAGGTTTAGTCACACTGAGTCTGAATTGCCAGCAGATAGTTTTAATGAAATGTTCACAAATGACTATATTGCTACGTAACAAGAATAATAAATTCTGCTGTTTACACTTCCAAGAAATTAAAGGGGATGAAAGATACATTGGTCCCTGCAGTGGGAAGTTTCCTTGACAATGCAATTATTGATTCCAGGTGAGTGGGATTTGAACACTGAGACTACTATTTTTTAATAAACAAAGAGCAAAATTAACTATTTAATGCATGTGTATAATTACAAATGAGTTTTTTAAAAAATAAAAAGACAAAGAAAGTAAGTCTATTGTTGAACAGAGAGCTTTTCAATTTCTGATGTATATGAAGTCTAATTTAAAGCTATGGAACTCCTCATTGTCCCCTTTTCTAGACCTAGAAAAATATTTTAAAAATACAAATTAATCTTTATTTAATATATGACCTTCTCAATAGTAGTTATGCTAGAGTTGTTTTTCAAGAATGTCAAGTGTAATAAAACTTGTATAATGGTAAAGGACCAAAAATATGTAAAGCATATAAATGGTTTCATAAATAAGAAATAAAATTTAAAAGCTAAGCATAAAAAGCAAAGGTAAATTATTTTTGTTATGAGAAATTAAGTAGTAACATTAAATGGGTAGATTATCAAGTCCCCTCAAAACTCCTTATCCATCCTTGAAAATGCGTTTTTGGGCAATCTTTCCTGGACCTCCTCTCATTCTCCAACAAACTGAGCTGACCACCTCTTTTGTGTCATGATACCATGAAATATATATTATATGTTATGTAACTATCACACTGCATTGCAAATATTTGTTTACATATTCATTTCTTCCAACAGATTTAAACTCTTCTAGGTCATTTCTTATTCATCTTTGTGTTTCCAGACATAAAATCTGGCAAAGTGTGGTATATAGTAGATGCTCAAGAAATGTCTAAGTAAATGATTCAATCAAATGAATGGGTCATAATCAAAATGAGTATTTCTGTCCTACAAAATGGAATCTTTTCTGAAGGAAGCCACGTGATTATAGGCTAGAAAATGTACTATAGTAGTATAGTACATTCATTCATTCAGCAAGTTTTAATTGAACTAGGTACCAAGCACTCTCCTAAGTGCTGGGAATGCAGCACTTAATAAGATATGTATGATCCTTTTATTACTTAATTCTGCCTTCCCCAGTGTAGCTGTATCTTCTTCCACTCAGCCTCCTATTGTCTTAAACTTAACAAAGATATTACCAATAGCGTATTTTAAATTTATTACTTTACAATTAAAATAGCATACGTCTTTTCACTGATGCCACAAATTTATATACTTTTTTGTTGCTTGTGAATATAATATTTATATTAGTCCTGAAATAAACTAGAAACTGGGGGATGAATCGTTAGCTTGCAATTGTTACAGGCAGTAGACTGTGGAGTAATCGTGAATAATCAGTACACCAAAACACAAAGAGCAAAGTTAGTCACCATAATGTGAGATCAGATACCTAATGTCAAGTTACATGTCACCAGTCGTACTCTTTAAATATCTACTGAATATCTATTATGTTCGTGGGGTTGAATTAAGCCTCACATAGGCAAAGATGAATAAAACCAATCCTTTCTTTCAGGAAGAGCTTATTCTAGTTGGGGATATAAATAAATAGGTAAATACAGAACATTAGGGTATATGGAACTTTAAAAATAATATACAAACTTGGGAGGATTCCCTATGGCAGATAAGTAATCTAGGCAACAGTTACAAATACAATTATTTTTTACAAAATACAATGATATACATACTTTAGTACACACATATCTCATTTTTAAAATGGTGTTATAACATTCCATTGTTGGGGGATGCCATTGTTATGCAACCTTATTCCCACTGACTGGCATTTATTATGTGTGGTTTGTGTGTGTGTATATGACTGTTGAACTGAATTATTTGAAGAACAGGGCTAATGATACTCAAGTTAAGGGTCTCAGTATTATTTGGGTCAATGGATCTTCTTAGCAGGTCAAATTCCAATCAACTACTTGATCTTAAGAAAATAGCTGTTAGCTATTAGAAATTAGCTTCAAGACTGGGCTGAAATATTACTTAGGAAAAAACCTTCAGAAAATCCCATATGACAAATTAAGCATTACCGCCTTTCCCCTGTATTACTTAGTAACTGGTAATATACTTATACATCTTAACCTGATTAGGTCAAGAATGTCTAGAAGCCAAGATATATTATAAATATCTTTTATCTTTGATACTGAACATAGAGTTTGGTACTTAATAGGTGTTCAGTAAACGTCAGTGCTTCACATCCATTTCCCCCAGTTACTACAAACCTATAAGGAGACAAAATACCTTGACTTCTTTTTTCAGAGAGTATCATCTTTTCCTTTTGTATTTTGCTGAATCTTTCTTCTCATTTTAGTATCAGGCTCATTATACTTTGACCTGTACAGGTCAGACTACCTCCCTTAAGTATTTTGAGCAAGAAGACAGATCATTAAGTGGATAATATAGGAAGACAGCATGTACTGAACTTTATAACATCATACTCTTGCCACAAAAGACAGTCAGCATAGATGAACCCATAGGTCCAAGCTAGAAGCCTGAATTACTTAGAAGATATCTAGTTGAGCCTCTGGGATGGCCAGACCTGTTGAAGGATCTCTGTCAAGTTTTTAGTTGCCTTTCAATATCATGCTGCTATTTACCTTAAGTAAAATTAGGCAGTATAGGTCATGTGATCAGAGATGTATCTGGGCTATGGCAAGGGCTTTAGTTTCATTCTGAGTGACATGAGAAGCCATAGGAGAGTATGATTATTTTTAAAGGATCACTTGGCTACTCAGTAGACAATAGATTGTACTAGGAAAGGCAAGAGTAAAGCCTATGTTGCTCGGGTGCAGTGGTTCATGCCTGTACTCCCAGCACTTTGGGAGGCCGAAGCAGGTGGATCACCTGAGGCCAGGAGTTCGAGAATAGCTTGGCCAACATGGCGAAACCCCGCCTCTACTAAAAATACAAAAAAATAGCTGGGCATGGTGTCACACGCTTGTAGTCCCAGCTACTCAGGAAGCTGAGGCACTAGAATCACTTGAACCCAGGAGGTGGAGGTTGCAGTGAGCCGAGATCGCGCCACTGCACTCCAGCCTGGGTGAAAGAGTGAGACTCTGTCTAAAAAAAAAAAGTAAAGCCTATCCTAGCTCACCTTCAAGTATTCCCCATTGTTTATTGAGTAAAGCCAAAACTTTACAGCCTGGGATTCAAGTATTCCCCATTGTCTATTGAGTGAAGCCAAAACTTTACAGCCTGGCATTCAGGGACCTCTGCCATCTGGTTCTAGTCAACTTATCCAGACTCACACCGCTTCTTCACTCTAGTCATACAAGCCATTTTCTGAGCACATAGAGTGTTTCATTACCTCATGTCCTTTGTGCATGCAACCTCCTTAAGCCTAGATGGCCTTCTTCCTATTCCCCTTTGCACTTATTAAAGTCCTGCTCATCCTTAAACATCAAAAATACCAGTTTTTCCATGAGGCCATCCCCAATCTAAGAAAAATTATTAGTCTTCTGCTTATACCTGACTTCAGAAATGTTTTCTTTCTTCTTAACTTATAATTAGTTATATATATGTGATATATAACTATAAACATCTTGAAGTTATGGAACATTCCTCCTTATATGTGCATCTGAATCTTATATCAAATGTGTTCAATTGATGTTTACTGGATTGGATGTGAAATAATATTCCTAAATATGCATGTGTCAAATTCAAGACCATTTTGATAGACTATCCTATTTTAATAGTTGTTCCTGTGATTTCTCACCCTCAAGGCAAAGTGTGTAATGAAATTGTTCTATTTCTTTCTTACTACCTGCTTAATTTTTTTTGAGGAGAAGAATGAAGAAAAGAGAAGAAAAGTTTAAATTGAGAACAAGAAAGAAAGGAGGAGGATAAAGGAAACAAAAGGTTGAAGATTTAAAACTAACAGAGAGAATACGCAGCCCTTTAACAATGTATTAGATTGTATTATATTTACCATTTTATTGAAAAAAAAGAGAAAATAAAATAGAGTATGTAAGGGAGACTGATCCTGTTTGCAGATCAGAATTTAAAACAAACAACAGAACAGGCTGTCATTCTTTCTAGTTCTTAGTAAAGCTAAGACATTCTAGTCTTTAAATATGACATTGTATATAATATATGGACTGTAGAGCTGGATGACATTGGTTCAAGTTCCAATTCCATCCCTTTCTAACTGGACTAACCTAGGCAAGTTTCTTAACTTTGCTGAGTTCAGTATCTTCATTTGCAAATGAGGATTGGTAGTATCTCAAAAGTTATTACAAAGATCAAATGTGTTGTTATCTATAAACCACCCAGTACAGCACTTAACAAAGCATAAACACTCCCTCAAGGATGATCTAAACACTCCTCATTCACTTATTCCTTTAGCAAATTCAGTGTGTGCTATGTGCTAGGCACTCTGAGGCAATGAGCAAAACAGAAATGGTTCCTGTTCCCACAGAGCTTTCTGTTTAACTTGAGATGCTTTGCATGGAACAAGCATATTTTACTTCACTTAATCTACACTTGGTTAAATCAATCTTTCTCTGGTCTTGCAAAGATGTCTTTCATTTTTGCTTACAAAAATATTAATTCTCTATATTTTCTTGACTTTGGGAGGATTTTTATTTAATGCAATTTATAGCTAGATAATTGGCCAGTCTCCTCTGATTTGCAATTTCTTCAGAGTCAGAGGATATGACCTCTTCCTTTTCTTCTCTTTTGCCAAAGAGAACAGCATGGTGAGTGAAATTTAGAGAATGGCTTCATGGCTGACCTAATGACGAGTTTGTTTTTAGAGGATCTGTCTCAGGTATGAAGCAAAAGTGTCCAAGCTGAGTGGAGTGTAAGCCTTTGAGACTTTTTCCCGTTGTCAACAGGAAGATCCACTCTGGGTTTTAACATATATCTTATATCTTTTCTAATTATGATTATCACTACCAATTACCACATCTGCTGCATATTATTTTCTGTTTTGGCAGTTTTCCCTTGTATTGCTCCAGTTTGTATTTTGAGGCAACAGCAAATGTAACTGTGAAATATTTAGTTTTGGTACAATACCAATTACTTCCCTAGAAATTTCCTTAAATTACTCAAGCTTTAAACTAGCTTTGAGTCATGTTTTTAAGATTTCTGTTGCAATCTTAGAGTTACTAAAGCTATATTAATTCTGCTTCTGTAAGACAAAACTGGCCTCAACTTACATTTTCCTGAGGAAGCATATACCTAGTGGGAAGCAAATGATTTACACCCAAATAACGTTTCAAGCACAAGAGGGTGATTAATGTGTACTCAAAATAGAGAACACATACGTTTACTGAGAAATTATACACCATTGATTAGATCCAATTGACAGTGTGATCCTGTTTCATTACATACTGTGGGAGGAGTTTGCTCAAAAGATAATTAAATCCTCTCTGAAGCAATATCCACCCCTTTCCCCATGAGCAGCTGCAGGAGATATCCGGAGGCTCAGATTACACTTCCCTTTTTTGTATCACTTAATTTTACTTAAACACTGGGTAGAGATTAGGAGAGAAAAAGAGAAGCAGATGGGATATGCTTTTCCACTGGTATATAAATTTGGATTATAGTATCTGGAAGAATCAAGCAGGTCTCACACAGGTGACATAATTATACTCCTTTCCATTATTTCTGGTGAAATCAAATGGTCCAGATCCTAAGATGAGATGTGCTGAGTTATAGATACAGCACAGACATGCTCTATCATCTCATGTACCACCTCACATCTGTTGCACAGCGATTTCTAGGAAGAGAGCTTTGTCTGTGTGAATATTGCATGCTCCTGTACTGTAGACCCTCTGTAGTCTTTTTCTCCCCCTCGACTTTAGGGTTGAAGAATGCCCGAGTAGCATACTTGTCATGTGGTAGGGACCAATGTAGAGATTTTCTGTCTGTTTGTTTACTAAACACACCTTCATTGTGCATGTCTCCTGGAGTGCAGAGAGGTAAACATACCATGGTCCTCTTTTCAATTAGCTCTCAGTGTGGTCGACTAACAATTTATGATTCCCTACTGCAGTCAACTCCTCTTGCATTTAGGGAAAGAATGTAAAAATTGGATAAATGGCTTCAGATTCCTGTCAGTCAGCTTTCCCGTTTGTCTTCTTTAGAAGAAGTCAGGCAAACAAGTGCACACTGGTGTTCTTTTCTTGAATTAGAGGCCAAAGGTCATAGAAAAATTTGTATTTATATACTTATTCTAACATTTTGGGTTTTTTTTTTCATTTGATAAAAAAACAATGTCTATCTTCAGGTAGTTCCATCATTTTTGACAGACTGAAACTTGATAAACATAAAAATAATCATTTTTACAGAAAATCTCTCTATTTTTGTGTTATAAATGATGAGGTGAATGGGTAGAGAAATCACACCATTCCTTTCTTGCTCTTTTTGACTAGTGGCATTTTTCTGCCAACTTATTCTTAGCGACTACAGAGCTATTTCTCTGGCCGACCAGCATCCTTAAGTCCCATTCTGCTTGCTGAATAACCATTTTGCCAAAGTTCACAATATACCCTCCTATCTACTCAGCATCAATTACATTAGGAATTTTAAACATATGTTTGCCTTGGTTATTACCCACATTCAGAAATCTGCCTATTTGTAGATAAATGCTTTTATCTTCATATAGCCAGATGAAACTCTCCAAGACTATTACCTCTAATTTGAGGTAAGGAGAATAAGGAAGCAATCATCCAAATATAAACAAATACCGCTATCTTTTATTATCCTTCCTAGTTGCTGAAATAAAGAAGTCTCAAAGCTTGAATTGTTCATCAATGTTTTCCAAATGTTTTGGATTTTTTTGTTTACTCTATTTTAGAAACTCAGAAGTAATTTACATGAATATATAGTTGCTTTGTAGTGTGTTGTCAATACAGGTTATTTTGTATGACCCTGAATGGTTCTTTGAACTTGGTATGGCAACTCCTACCAGGCTGGTTTGCAAATGGGTTTCTATGTAAGCGTCTTGACATATTTTGGAGTGTGTATGTGGATGTGTGTGGGTGTGTGTATGTGTGTTTTAAACTCTGGCTTTGTCGTGTGAAATACATTTGCACAAAATACGATACACATTGCCCTTACTATACAGACTTTAGCTTGGGCCTCTAGGGCATCATTTAGTTGAAGAAAAGAAGGTTTTACAGAAATAAAAATAGAAATCCAGCTGTGTTCTTAAGGTCAGTAATAGTCACTGCCATCAGCTGTGTCTTCACTGTGACACTGTTAGTGTGGTAAAAACATGGGAGAAATTGCAAACCGAAAACATTTTTGCAAGTTGAATGCGTTTTTATGATCTTATACATGTGGGTATGTGGGTGTGAAATTATTTAAGCTTTTATGTAGGGTGTCTAAACTTGGAGTTTCATGATCAGGTTTTCTTGTTTACTACATTTTATTCTTTGTATCTTTTGTGTTAGGAAGGTTACCTAAACTAGCTTATTTTCTGGAGTCTGCAACATCGTTCTTTTGGCATTAATTAATGATCAAGAATTTCATAAGCTTTGATCATTTCCATTTTTTTGAATATTCCATTTACCTTTAAATTTTGTCTGCTTGTTTGTTCTTCGATTTTTCCAGTGAAATGAAGGCCAGTGATTATCTGGCCTTGTAGTTCTGATTTACTTAAATTGTTCCACTTGTTACACTCTAGATTGATTTTGAGTTCTTCTCAATGATTCTCTAATCATTACCATTATATTTTGGCTATTTTTAAATCCTTAATAAAATCCAAAGGACTTTGTATGGAATGTAAGACCTTCTGTAAACTTTCTGCAAGCTACTTTTTCAGTCTTATACCTGATACTCTGCCATACTTTGCACATGTGTCACCCTAGGCAGAAAACTCTCCATTCCCAGGACACATCCAAGCCTTTGCTGCACTTTTGTATTTGCAGTTTGCCTTCATCTGAGATGGGCTTCTATGTCTGTATGTGTTGAAACAGTACTCGTATATCAGTGCCCATCTCAGATGCCACCTGCTCACAAAGTTAGAATCTGAAAAAAGTCTGAGTACTGGGGATCAGCTGTTGCCATCCTTTAGTTTTACAGATGAGGAGGTGAGGCTGACAGGGATCAAATGATGTGCTTAAATTAGATGCAAAAATAAGACAAGGACTCAGGTATTCTGATTCTCTGTGCTTCCATCTCTATGTAGCTTCCCTGAATTATTACCTAACTCTGGTTGAATTAATCTGCCAAGTCCTCTTTTCTCCTACAGCTTTTGCCTATACTTCATCTATATTTTACCTATACTTTATCACTCTCATGTGCATCTTCTTCTACAGAGTCTAAGTTTCTTGACTCTGTAGGATCATATTTAATTTACTTTTATATGACTCATAGCATTTGATCAAGTGTTTGGTACCATCAAACTATTTATTACAGAGAATGGAAGTATAGATACATTGTTTAAATTTCTGCATTGGGATGAGGTTTTACTATAGAGCTGAAGAAAAAAGAGATAGGAAAGATAATATTATCAATCAAGAATTCAGGACTTGGAAATATTGACTACCACTGTAAAGTAACGTTGGTTCCATCTACTGAAAAGACGAATCTTGTCTTCTTGGATGTCTCTCAAGACATCATACCATAAATATAGAGTTATACCTTTACAAACATATAAACACACACCCAAGAGAACTGTTAAATAACTGCTCTTGTCTGTGAGTTCTATTTGAATGTGTTTGTTATGGATGGAGGCCATATTTCTTAACAATCAAGCATACGAGGTATTAGCTTAGCACCCTGGCACCTCAGTTTTCTCAGTTGAACAAAGGGGATAAAATTATCCCTTCTAGTGTTATGATAAGCAAATTAGACAACTAAGTGAAGTGTTTATTGAAGTGCTGATTAAATTTTCTTAAAATTGTAGCTTTAAAAAATGTGTTAGTGTTTACACAAGAAGTACCAATGTAAGCCCTACCTTGGCCCACAAAGAAATGTTCAGTTGTTGGCAGGAGATCATGTGTATCTCAGAGTTCTAGAAATCTGAAACAGTAACAATGACACCAACAATATATGTCCCTTCTAAAACAGAGCTTTTAAAATTCAGGTCAGAAAACTCATCCACTAAACAAATAATGCTTAAGTATCTATACATGCTCAGTGATCACCTGCTATTCCCCACGTACTATTCTGTGTTCCAGGGTACACTTTTTTTTTTTTTTTGAGGCATACCACTGTGATGTTTTACTGGATAGTAATGTTGACTCTTGTGTTGAGATAGACCTTTCTCCTAGCAAACTGGAGAAAAGAAGCAAGTAGTGTTTCACAGCTTAATTAGTTATAGTTCAATGGGGAAAAAATGTGGTAGAGAATGCAACTTTCAAAAACAGAAAGAAAGAAAAATGGTAAACCACCTGTGCCTACTTTTTATTATTATTATTTATTTATTATATATATATTTTTTGAGATGGAGTCTTACTCTGTCGCCCAGGCTGGAGTGCAGTGGGGCAATCTCGGCTCACTGCATCCTCTGCCTCTCGGGTTCACGCCATTCTCCTGCCTCAGCCTCTCGAGTAGCTGGGACTACAGGTGCCCGCCACCACGGCCGTCTAATTTTTTGTAGTTTTAATATGTAGCTCCTCTAAGATCACAATGCTCTGAACAAACCATAGCCTTTTAGCTCCTTGGGTTTACAATCCGTGCCTCTTTTACTTGGAATTACCTTCTTCTACTTCCTCCCAATTCTCCCTCCTCTATCTGACATATATTTCTCCTTAAGAAGAAATGTAATAACTTAAGAAGAAATGTAATAACTTACATGATCCCTTCCTTACTTCCTCCTTCCTTGGAGCCTCATTGTAACTCACATTCTCTCAAGGCCTTGCTTAGGTACTTGCTTCCTCACCTAGATTTCGCATTTCTAAAGAGCCGGCATCATATTTTTTCATCTTTCTTTTCCTCTTGTTTCTTCTTCCCGACAGAGTCTAACACAGTGACTACATATAATAAGGGCTTAATAAATAATTACTCTTTTTATTTCCATATGAGATAAATTTGCAAAATACACTTGTTTCACACACTTTTTGTATTTTGCCTTACATCTTCTCATTACATTTCTACTTTAGCTATTGCTATGACAACTGGTTGTGTGCAGGGCAAACAATTCTAAAGTATATTCTACAGGGCTCCTCAGAGGGTCCCTAGTAGGATGGAGTCCAGTTATGCACAGCTAGTACCAGTTCAATAGTGTATTATTGGACTGGCTTTCCCTTCTTCCCTATTTTATTTGTTCCAGTCACCCACCAGTGTTCCAAAATTCCTTCCCAAAATAATCACCTACAAGCAATTTGCTCATTTTAGGGGCATCCAGAGAAAGACAATAAGCTTGTACAAAGAAAAGGAAAATAATACATTGTAAATACTGTGTCTACTGCAACTTCTTATCTCCCTATGCTCCATGGTGCTTTGCACATAGTAGGTGCACAGAAAATTAATTTGGATAAATATATCTGTTGAAAGTAAACAGTTATCTACTCTCTTTGCCACTATTCTTCCTGGGTCTTGATAATTCTCTCAGTTAGTGTCACTTTTATGAGTTTTGCATTAATTATACTATTAGCAGGCACATACTCTTAATAACAACAACAACAAAAAACCCAGGTCTTAAAATCTTAATTAAATCTGTTTTTTTTCCTCATAGATTTTATCCCAGGAATATTACCCACTGTTTTACACTATCATCATTTTGGTTTCTGCTATACCAGCAGCACTGCTTAATGAAAGTTTTGTCTCCTCTTGTATTTCTTAAATATTTAAAGGCACTCACGGTTCTTATTTTTTATTATGATTTCAACTATAAAATACTCCTCTCCTCTGCAACCTTGAAATGTTCTTTCCTCAAGACTCTATTGCTGCCTAAGATTATCCAACTTGTAAAACGGGAAAATGAGAAATAGAACTGCTGTGGAAGGACTTTGGGGGCAGGCACAAAAAAATCAGATATTAGGGAATTCTGGTCCAAAGAAGAGTCCAGAAAAGGATGAAAAGAAAAAAAAAAAAAGAAAACATGCACAGTGATGCCAGTACTGAACTCAGACACTAGTCAAGATGGTAAAAAACAGAGAGAGGTGTGCATTTTTAAAACCATTACATCAAAACACCTTACCTCTGGCTCATTTTTGTAGATATTGCAAATTTGGCCATTTATATTACTGTTTGAAATCATTTTTGACTATAATAAAAATAGCATTCCCTGCATTAATAAATGTTTCAGTTTATTAGCATTAAGTTTACATCCATGGTTCCTTCAGGCACAAAACATTAGGAAATTTTTGTCATTTCATAACACCTTTATTTTATTAAGAGATGCCTCCACTTTAGCAGTACTTTCAATTATACTTAACCTTAATATATACATTTAAACATATAATTGGAAAATTGATCTTTGAGACTTACATAAGTCAGGAAATTATAATTTAGAAGTAACTGATTTTTACACCAGTAATCACATTATTTATTCAACAAGTGCTATGGAGTGCCTGCTATGTGTTAGGCATTGCACTCATACATACACAAAGATGAACAATACCTAATTCTTAGCTTTTAGGACTATGTAGTCAAGTAGAAAAAAAACATTCTACACAAGAAAAAAGGAAATGATTTTTACAAAATCATATGTTATTATAATTCCAGGGTTAAAAGAAATTTTGAGGGTATCTATTCACCTTTGTCAAAGCATAACTAAATCAGAATCTAGTTAGAGAAAGACATTCTAGGCTTATGTCGTTTTATAGCCAGAAGACACTCAAGTCTGGAGAGGAAAGAGCTAGACAGAGAATTAATGTAAGTGTCTAGATTTTAAGTTTAATGCCTTTTCCAGAATATTGCACTGCTCACATGAATTTGTTTAGTATTTTGCTTCATGCTTTTATAACGCTCATTGCTTATTAATATTAAAGTAGCCAATAGGAATCTTAAAATGTTTCTAAATATAATATGATCAAAATAATTCCATAGTCTAGTAAATTATCCAAAGTCTAGACACATCTTTAATTAGACATTTCAACCAATAAAATACAAAATGAGTTTGTTCTACATACTTGCTGAAAGTAATATAATTAATTTTTGAAATATCAAATGTTGGAAATAATTTCCAAGATCTATAGTTAATACATGCTTTCTTCACATCTTTCATAATGTGTTCAATTTGAACTTTTTTAGTACCTCAAGCATATGGAGCTCATAATAAATACGTATTGATCAAATATTAGTGATATTTGAATAATCATTATATTAGAAATCTCTTATGAATGGCTAATTTATTTTTGTAAGAAGAACTTGGCCTAGAATCAAAAGAGTAGGCATCTACAACATTTAGCTATATGTCTAGACTGTGTCTTGATTCATCAGTTGCTAAAAGGTACACATGAAATCAGAAAATTAGCATTCAGACATCTCTGCATAAAATTTAGTTGTTGGTGTTTGTTTTAATTTTTTTTCCAGTGAAGGAGCAGCTTTGGCTTACTATTCAAGCTCGAGGTCAGGGCTTGAAAACTTGAAAAATGGAAAAAGGATTAAGAGAACCTTATATTCCTGAATAGCAAAGGTATAGTTTAAAAACAATAAGTGTGTCAATTGGTTTTCACAGTAACTTCTCTACTTCCTAGCACACTAGTATCTAAGAGTAACTGCTAATAAAATAAGCCACATTTAAATACATGTGTTCTAACATACATTTTCCATTTCACACTAACTTCACTTATATTCACAATTAATAGGAACATTTGGCATCATTCTAATTGCCAAAAAAAAATTCTAAAATTCTGTGTTTGTTTACATGTAAGACTTAAAGAAAGCAAGCATAAGAAAAGCAACCATACATTCTGATGTATTCTTAGAAACATATCATTATAAAAAGGTTTGGGCTACATAATACATAATTGCACTTGGGTGTAATTTTTTAATCTTTAAATTAGAAAAGACAGATGATTATTTTCTGCCTTCACCAAAGAGAGAAAAGATGTTAAATATTAATATCTCCTTGTTACACTTTTTTTTTTTTTTAAGACAAAGGGATATAAGAAGGATATAATAAGCACTGTGAATGTTCCTGCTAATCTTCCTGGAATTTCCTCCTATATTAAACTATATCTTATCTATACTATTTAAACTATTCTTCTGATATTCTTCACATGTGAACGAGATGATATTTTGCAAAGTTTAAGCATTGTGGCAGCTACCCACTTATAAAGAGCAGCTTTATCCACTTCTGAATTAGGAACAAAAAACTCACGAATACAAATGAAGGTTTTCATTAAGCCACATTCTTGTTTATTACAGAGTGACAGTAATAAATTTTCAGGATTTCAATTTAACGTTAAAAACAAATCCCAATTCCCCCATCTCTTTGATGCAGCTGGCTGCACTATGCATAATGTCTGATACACAATGGCACTGTCTATTGTTACAGAACTGGCTTATTTGTATATTGAAAGCTGCATTCAAATTTGTATGGTTCAGAATGTTCAAAGAAATGCACAAATTGACTACTTTAATATTCCTCAATTTGTCATAATCGTTTTTGTGTGAGTGTTTTTCTTATTTAAGGCTGTCGTAATGTCATTTATATTCTTTAAGGAAGAAGCAACAATTCTTCTGAAATCTCATAGTCGAAAGCTAAAGACAGGGGCCTAGGTCAAGCTCAAAGTCACTTACAGGACGTGAAAATCACCTCGGATTTAATCTAGGCTTAGCAGCTACAGGAAAAGAACTGAAGAAAGGCCTTGTTTTATGTTTTCTGACAGTAAAATGAAATAAAACGTGGAATATTATAGAAAGGATTTTGTAAGTGAAAGGGAGTGGTTGAGAAGAGGCAAAGTGAGTGTTGGAAAGGATATTGAAACTTGAAGAAGGCTGGAAGAAGAGGTCAAGGGAATCCTATGACTGAAAGCAGCATCAGAGACACAAACATACTGATCTTGGAGCCCTGCAAATACATCTCTTTATATTGAACATT
The DNA here is from genome assembly GCF_000001405.40 of Homo sapiens. Taxonomy (NCBI): domain Eukaryota; kingdom Metazoa; phylum Chordata; class Mammalia; order Primates; family Hominidae; genus Homo; species Homo sapiens. The sequence goes on from NC_000001.11 coordinate 71,422,883, forward strand.
TTGAGTCTTTTTCTATTCCTAGGTGTGTTTACTAAATTATACAAGTCTGCTAATACCAATTATCCTATAAATGCCCTTCTTAATTCTTAAAATACGTATTGCACAACTGAATTGCATTTGAGTTTGTTTTTTAAGTTATGAAACAGGTATCCTGAGTCTGTAAATACAGTTTATTTCCTGATCACTGAGCTACAAAAAGTACAGATTCAAAAAGCAATTTTTGGCTGGGCCAGATGACTCACACCTGTAATCCCAAGCACTTTGGGAGGCTGACGCAGGAGGATCCCTAGAGGCCAGGAGTTCGAGATCAGCCTGGGCAACAAAGCGAAAAATCCCATCTCTACAAAAAATAAAAAAAATTAAAAAGTGATATGTGTTGGCATATGCCTATCATAGTAGCTACTTAAGAGGCTGTGGTGAGAGGATTGCTTGAGCCCAGGAGGTCAAGACTGCTGTGAGCTCTAATTGCACCTTGCACTCCAGCCTGGGCAACAGAGCATTTCTTGAAACAATTTCTTATCTCAAGAAAATAAAATGAAATTTTTTAAAAAGCTATTTTTAAAACATGGAAAAAAAACTTACAAAATCAAGAAAAATGATTGTCATTATTGCATAGATACTAATTAGAGACAAATGTAGTTGCATGTTGTTCATTTGAAGATATTACCTTTTCATCACTTCACTGGTAGAGATTAGAGGTCCTTTTCCAGCATTTCAAAAAATGTGGGAAAAACTAGTCTCTTCTACTTGCCATAGATAACTTACTATTGCAATTCCTGAGGATACGTAATTCCACTGTTAAATACAGGGTGGGATAGCAATCACATTATAATTATCAAACTTTTGGGCAGGGCATATAAAGAATTGGCCAGAATTTTTTTTTGTTAATCTCTTCATTTAATTCTTTGATTATATCATTATGACCAACTCCTCCTCACCCACCCCCCCTTTTTTTTTTTTCAAAATTAGTTGCATTCAGAACATTTTGAGTATAAAGAATTAAGACCTTCAACAAAATACTGCAGCACTGTGAGCCGCAAATTTCTATAGGCGCTATAGGAGGGGTTATTAATATCCTTAGACTATTGTGAATGTTGGAGGAGATAATGTATGTGCCTGTGCTTTGTAATGTACACATCAGTTTGTAAAAGCAATTTGAGACTAAGGCATAACTGTCAGACGCTAATAGTTAGGACTTTAAAGAAAAAAAAAAACCTTTAAAATTTGTTGTCATTTGATAAACAAATTCTCACCATTGAATAGTAAATCTTTCCATGATTAATCAATTCAATCAATTCAATCATAGACATAAGGTTAAGTGTAATGACCCAAAACTAATGTATTTGGGTAAAATAAAATTATCTTCACCTACAGGCTCAGTTTTATCTATTTGTAATTTGTATGATAATATATCTGACTTACAAAATTATCTTTATTATTCATTTGTTCATACATTTGTGGATTCATTTAATAAATGGATTTAGTATGTACCTGTGCACAGAATTACCTCAGTGTCACAGGAGATAATGCACCATGGTCAATGTGGTAGAAAAATTCTAAAGATGTCTTTCCTCCCCAGACATTCCCATCCCCTGGTTACTCAGTCAAGCACTAATCTAAGTACTTTGTGAAAGATTTTGCAGATGTAATTAAAATTCCAAGTTAGTTGACCTTAAAATCTGGAGATGATCTGGGTGGGCCTACCCCAGTTACATGAAGTCTTGTAAAAGCAGGCAGTTTTCTCCACTGGTGGCAAAAACCCAGAGATTAAAAACCCAGAGAGGAGTTGGCCTTGCTGTTGCTGGCTTCAAAACTGAGGGGCCCCCATGTGTTAAGAAATGCAGGTGACTTTCAGAAGCAGAAAGCAGCCTTCTGCTGACAGCCAACAAGAAAATGAGGACCTCAGTCCTTCCACCACAAGGAACTGGATCCTGAAAACACAAATGAGCTCAAAAGTAAGTATTCCCTAGAGCCTACAGATAAGAACCCAGCTGAGCTGACACCTTGGTTTCAGCTTTGTGAGACCATATGCAGAAAACCTAGTTAAGTCATATTGCACTTCAGACTTATAGACCTGAAAGTAAATTTATGTTCTTTAAGCCACTTGATTTCTGGTAATTGTTTCATAGCAATAGAAAGCAAATGCAAGTTAACAATCTGTTTCATATTGGGGCATGCCACATAAACTGTGGAAAGGCAGGAAGGGTTAAAGGGACAAAAGTTAGAAATTAAAAAAAAAAGACATGTCAAGATGAAATGACTGAGCAGCACACATAATACGTGCTCTTAGCTTCAAGAAGAGTATTTCACAGTGGGCTGGAATATTCTGAGAAGTTCTTCCTGGAGCAGGAAGGCTTAAAGCATGGAAGAGGTAGTAGGCAAGGCCGAATCTCTCTTATGATTCCAAATAAACCTCCCATTAAACTTGTCTATCTTTAATTTGAGTTTTTGTTTAAACTGAAAGCAGCAACAGAGATGACACTGTATAGATGACATTATATAATCCTAAGCTATATCTGTTATTCATGTTTTCTACAAACCTTTCCCCAACTATAAAAACAACAAAAACAAATGCTCCAGAGACTCCAAGGAGTCAGTGCTATTATTCCACTGAGTTGGAAGGAAATAATCATCATCCACTTATAAATCCGGGATTACTCCAATTTCATGCTGAGCCCTGAATGAGATAATACATACATATATGTAATCTCCATATAGAGTACAGTAAGAAAGCTTGACCAGAAGACCTGTGTGCACCCCTCCACACACTTTTTTTAATGTAAAATATCTGAGTCGGAACACTTCTCAATGAATAACTAATCCTGGGAAGCATATAATCATGTTCATTTTCTAACTCTTTTGTGGTCAAATAATAAATACAGATGATACAGAAAATAGGAACCATGGCAAATTTGGACAAACGTAATTTAGAGACAGTGACAGAAAGCTTAGTCAAGCTTAATGCTCACAATCCATAAAGCAAAAATCAGGACAAAAAACACCAAACATTCCCCTGAGGCTCATGATTACATAAGAGGGTCCTTCAGGTCCTTTGGTTTAGCACAACCTCTTCTTTTCCCAGCAATCACACTCCTACAGCTAAAAGATGTCTGGACTACGACACTCATTATTTACAGCAGTTAGTGAAGCTGCAAGAGTACCTACATACATATATGCATACATACACAGTGCAGAAGATAATGAGTAATGCCTTAGCTCATCTTATTTCCCCAAACTTGTAATTTAATTATGTTTCCAATGGGAGAAAAAGGCACACACCTCCCCTTAAAGAACACTTTTTTATATACAAAAAGTAAAGTGGACGTATTTCTTTTACTTGTGCCATTTCTCCATTTAAGCTGCTATTTGCTACTTATCAGCATGAATAGAAGAATGGATGAAATGAGCAAAACATAGATTTTTGTTGTTCCTGCCATGTAAAGTTACAGCAAATAAATTGCACAGAGAAAAGAATAAATGTAGAAATAACCTAAATCTTTTTATGTAGATGAGGTAAAAAGGCAGTCTCCTTTAGAATTGCTCCTTTAGATTATAATAGCAATTTATGTTAAAAGTCACGATGACAAATCAGCCTGTAATTTATTTTAAAAAGTCAAACTAGCAAGATCAAGCGTACTGTAGGTGGTATTTCATCTTATCATATTAAAACAGTCTTCCCAAATGTAAAAGATAATCTCAACTGCTGTGTTCTGTAAGCAAGCAGAAAATTATGTAAATCTGATTTCCTTACTGTGTGCTTACTATCTCTTTAAAGCTTACTAAATCATATCCAGATTTGTAAACACAAAAGCACTGGATCCAAGATATATTTGCCTTTAAACACTCAGAATGAGAAAAGGTATTTTGCAGGGTGTAATTGAAAAATTCCTATCTGTTTTCAAAAGCTAACAAATCAACAATTATGTGAGATTTAAAAAAAAATACAAAACATCACCTTTTAACTTATTATGGGCTTAATTGCTTCCTCATAATGGAGTGTGACAATGTGATTGCAATAAGAACAGCACCTGCTTTGAAAATCCCATATCAAAGAAATGCCAGTAAGGGAGCAGGAAGCTCACACGGCAGCCATGTTGAAGTTCCTCTTCATCTATATTTTAGCTTTCACTGTTTCTTACCCTCTGTACTTTAGGTCTCTTTAGGCTCATTGCCTGAATAACTGGTGTTTGCTTTGTTAGCTCACCTAAAAATGTCTGTACCTGTATGCATGCTCACGTTGGAGATGTCATAAGCATAAAGGCACATATATGTAGCTGGATATTTCTCCGAGCCAAAATTTAGAAACTTTCTTCTTTTCAAACACAGAAATCTCCTACATGACCCAGACTGTAATGTGCTCTGCCTGTGTGCTAGAAGACAAACCTGTGATCCAGATTGCACAGCATGTTAAAGTCAATAGCCGTGCCAATAGCATGGACTGTCCTCATCCTTCCTGTGTTCTGCAGAAGTAATACTTTGATGTCAAAGTTAAATTCACTGTTATTGTGGGTTTGCATTTACCTGCATCAGTACACTCCAATCTATTTGGAAATATACATCTAATCTTAATATATATCTTTTCACAACTAATTTCTTACTTTATATATTACAGCAAGGCAGGAAATCCTTTACTCTTTCTATGAAGAGTTAACCAAGTAATAAATCAAGTTAAAAGATATTTAAATTACTAGTTATGTTTTAGTTAAGATAAATGTATAGTATTTCCTGCACCTTTAAAAAATGAGAGTAAGAAAAACAAACTCTCTTGTTCTAGTTCCTGGCCTATAGTAAGTAGTTAAATATTTGTTAAGTGAGAATGCTATTCAATACATTCAGTAAGCAATAAAATATACATTTTGGTTCTTTATTAAGGAATTTTGCCAACTGTAAAATAACACAATATTCCATTTTAATTCTAGCATTCTAGAATTTTAAGTGATAGATCGAGACAATCACATGAGAGTAAAGAAAGGCAGTGAATGCTGAACTTACATATGCTATGAGCCATACAAAGAGAATGACCAGCAAATACAGTAGGACAAAGAATAATGAGAGATGTGCTCAAAGGGAGCTATGCACCTGCACATAAGACACACTGAGAGGCTGATAACACACTCACACACACACACACATGCATGCACACAAACACACACACTGTCCTTATGCATAGCAACATTTAGAGGCACACAAAGACACTTACTGAAAGGGCAGAGGAAGACTGAGAATTCTAATTATGGCAGAAAGTGAGGTGAATGGGAAACAGCCCCAGTTTATGTGTTTATAGGATAATAAAGACTGCAAATGCCCTCTTGTATTTTCACAGCAGAAGGTACCAACGGCAGTGCCAGCTCTGGGTGCTTGCCTTCTGGCTAGATGACATTAAGCTGAGGTGCATATGTGGCCTGTGGGCTGAAGATTTCACACCTGCTATAAAGGCAGTCTGTGTTAAGTCTCATTCTAAATAGTACCTGTGTAATAGTAGTGTTCAAATCAATGTTTCACACAAATAAAAACTCACATTCATTTATCTATAAAACTGCTATAATGTTAAGGCACTGAGTATAAGCCCTAATAAATTCAAATGCTAGGCACATTATATCAATGTGCTGTCAGCAAAATGCGTAGCTGAAAGATAATGAATAATTTCATATTTCAGGACCTCTGGAATCTAGAACAAAATAATCAGAATAGTTGATTCTTATATTCTTAGACCTATCATGTTTAAGTATGTTTTAAAAACTTTGCATATATAAATTTATTTATATAAATTTATTTTTTATTATAATAAATAAATTTATTTTATTATATAAATTTATTTACTCCTCACAACAGCCTATATTATTTTCTCCATTGTATAAATGGGGAAAACTGAGATACATAAATGTTGGAGCCTAGATTTAACCCAGTCTATGAAGTTTTAAAATCTTTGTTCTTAAGCACTTTGCAATGCTGCCCCTCAGAGATAAGCAACAAATGTAAAGGCTTAAAAAATGTTTGAATAAGATCCACGATTAAAACAATACATAAAGAAACAAATTTTAAAACTCCCTTTGGATTTTCTCTAATAAAAAGGAAGAAAAGAATACTTTAAAAATCTTTATCACCTGCAGGTAGCCTTTTCAAAGACTTTTCTTTCACAAACAAGCCAGTATGAAGTTAGAAGAAACCCTGGTATGATAAATACATAATTTTTTAGTTCTTTGATTAAAAGGTTACATCTTGATAACTTTAGAGTTTTTTTTAATTTTTTTTTCATAAACCGCATTGACTAGAACTGCTGGTGGTACTGGTACACATACCTATATTTACTTTCAATGAACTTAAATTCCTGAAAAAGTTATTTCTAAAGAAGGAACAAACTAGCATGTAGTATTTAAATGGATTATTTTACATATCAGGAACACAAATCTCTATGTACCATCAGCAGTTTTTGTTATTTTTACAAAAGGTAAAATTAAAACAAAAAAAGTCCGAAAGGTTAAGTGAAGTCTAAATTACATTTCATTTCAAATTCAAATGCTCGGTGGGGGTTGCACAGTAAAATCCTTATTGATAAAAGACTGGCTTGAATCAAACTTCTTTTTTGCTAATAGCCTGAGCCAAGTCACCCAGAGCCAGTGGTCTCTGATGCTTCTAGAGAGTCATCCATCAGAGGCTTTCTCCATCTGTTAGGTCCAGTGCACAGTGCATTCCATTTTGTTCTCACTCTGGGACCTCTCCAGCCAGTCCTAGATCCATCCATACCTCATTGTTCTGCAGCCAGACAAACAGTGGCAATTAAAACATTGGGTAGGGATGACATACTATGGTTACGGTTAAGAAGGCCCTTCCACTTTTAAAAATCGCTGTTTTGTGATACTTAACATTTTCTCAAAATAGTATTCAGATGGAAACTTTGTGTTTGCTTTCAGTTCAAAGTGCCTCTGTATGAGAAATATTTAAGAGATGTATTTTGTTTTAAAGTAAAAATATACTTTATGGATTACCCATACTTACTTATGAAGGATTCACTGCAGGGTGAGAGGGAGGAGGATAATTTACACTTATTATTCAACAAATGTGTTGACTGCCTACTATGTTCAAGGCCTTTTGCCAGCCCCTGCCTCTCTTCTCAGAAAGGTAATTATCTCCTAGGACAGATAAGCAGAGGCAGAAATAAATGTTATATAATTGAAAAGTGCCAGCCTTCCCTCCCACTGCAGAGTCCCTGCTCATGGCCTGGTACTGCAGTATGGAAGAGGAGAGTATCTTCTTAGAACAATTGGGCAACTCATCTTTGAACTTTTGTTTCTGTTTGGCACCTTCTGGCAAACTATGGCCATTATAGCTCCTGGATCCTGGCTCAAAGACACGTTTCCTTTCTGCTCTTGGCTCTATGGTCTCATTTAGATCTCAGATCCTTTCTCTGTATTGCCTCTATAAACCTCAGTTTGACCTGGCCTCTGCTGGGTATTGCCCTAACATATCCTTCCTCTGCAATTCTCTGCTCTTTTGCTTGGGGCTCAACTAGGTGACTGCAATATGTAATGTGCCTTTTTCTCTCTTGCTTTTATGTAAAATTAAAATTCATGGTTTTGATTTTTTAATGGTATTGAATTAGTTAAAGCAGTCATACTGTATTTCCACTCAAAACCCTTAGATTATCCAGACTTTCCAACATTCTTACAGCATAGAGTTGGCTATAAAACATCCACATTTTAGCTGGGCAGTACAGAAAGTGTATAATTCACATTTTACTACATTTTCTGAAGTGGTATGTCTTATAGCTTTTTTTTAAAAAAAAAAAGTTGTGACTCTCCATATAAGAATTAAAAAAAGGCCTTTTTTTTTTTTTTTTTTTTTGAGACGGAGTCTCGCTCTGTCACCCAGGCTGGAGTGCAGTGGCGCGATCTCGGCTCACTGCAAGCTCCGCCTCCCGAGTTCACGCCATTCTCCTGCCTCAGCCTGGCTCACTGCAAGCTCCGTCTCCCGGGTTCACGCCATTCTCCTGCCTCAGCCTCCCGAGTAGCTGGGACTACAGGCGCCCACCACCGGGCCCGACTAATTTTTTGTATTTTTAGTAGAGACAGGGTTTCACCGTGGTCTCGATCTCCTGACCTCGTGATCCGCCCACCTCGGCCTCCCAAAGTGCTGGGATTACAGGCGTGAGCCACCGCGCCCGGCCAAAAAAGACTTTTTTTTTTATGATCTTTTTTTTATGACCTTTTTTTTATGATCATAAAAAAGGTCAAAAAAAGACCTTTTTTATGATCAGGCAATAAATATGTATTCCCTGGCATTGTTTAGATGTATTCAAATCCCACAAATACTGATTGAAAAGCAAGTAAAAATGTATCTGGAAATACCATGAAGATATAAATCATAAATTCAGTTTATTTAACACTAAAATACACAAAAAAGGACAGTTTGAATAAAGTAAAACATGGCTATAGCTCCCAATTTTTCTAGCAAAGTGTACAATAATGGAAGAAGAAAAGAGCTGAAAGATGTCTATGCAGACTAAAGCTCATCTGTAAGCCCTAAAAACAGAGTGAGTATTTCGAATTGAACTCAGAAAAAGTAAAAGTCTATAGAAATTCCACACTTCTAATTTGGATTTATTTATCTGAAGGAAAGAGGATCAATATTTATTTATTTATTTATTTATCCAATCATCCATCCATCCATCCATCCATCTGTTTATCCATTCATTCATTCATTCATTCATTCAACAGATGTTTATTAAATATAATGTATACTGGGTAATAACCCAGGTACTTCCTAGGCACTAGGGATATAGCAATGAACAAACAAATTTCTTGCTATCATGGAATTTACATTTTGGGCAAACAAATAAACAAATAAAACATCAAGTAGTGATACATTCTAAAAAGACAGAATAAGGGACTAGAAAGTGAATGGGAGGGTAGGGTATTCTTTTATGTATGAAAATAAATTTAGAGACTTTTGCCTAGAGATTTAAATAAAGTAATTCTTTGCATAGAGATTTAAATAAAGTAATGAGATGAGCTATGAAAATGATTAGGGGAAACTGAAATTGTGGTAGGCAGAGACCTGGTTAGTGCTAAGGCCCTGAGGTAGGAGCATGCTTGGTGTGTTCAAAAGCAACAATGAAACCAGAATGGCTGAGCAGAGTAGGAGAGTCCACTGAGAAAATGATTGTAAGAGATGATGTCGTAGATCAAGGGACAAGATCATATAGGTCCCAGAGGGAACTTTGGATTTTATTTTTAATGAGATAGGATGCTATTGAGTGGTTTTGAGCAGAGGAGTGACATGTTCTAAATATATCATTCAGGCTCTTTGTGGTAGAGAACAGATTAAGTTAAAGGAAGATGGGAAGCAAAAGAGACAAGAATCCATAGCAATAGTTCTAACAGAGATAATAGAGCATGTATATTAGCAATTGCTCTTTTTTAAAGAAATTATTTTATTGTATATATTTAAGGCATAAAATGTAATGTTTTGGTATACTTATACATAGTTTTTGCTATGGTTTGGATGTTTGTGTTCCCTCCAAAACTCATGTAACAACTGAAGGAGTGCAGGAAATTTTACACCAAAATATGGCTCACTGGAATCATGAGTATTTTGATTTAAAAACTGAGAGGTCAGTAGGCTCTAGAAGGGACTTTTCGCTTATCTATGTAAAGATGAGACTGAAGCACCAAAGAGAACAATTGTTTCTCTTCCCCTCCCTGTTATTTCATTATCCACTAAAGGAACGAAGGCTAAAAATGTAACTGCATCTGAACACACCCTTTTTAAAGATAAAGACTGACTCCAAGGATCATTTCAATTCCAAAGATAACTATTTACAAATTAATTTCTGTTCCTTGATCCAACAATTCATCCAGGCAATCAATTATTGCCACTCAATGGAATTATTATTCTCCCCCACCTTATAACCTGTTTTACCAGGATCCAAGCCCCCATTCTTGAGCAGATATATAAGCTCCTGGATGGTGTTGGAAGAATCCTCTGTGATTCTCCCCATGAACATGGCTTAATAGATTTGTATGTCTTTTTTCTTATTAATCTGTCTTATTGTGAGTTGATTTATCATTGAAACCTTGGGCGGCCAAGGGCCTTGCCTCCCATAAAACTTTGTCTCCAATGCAACAATATTAAGAAGTGGAACCTTTTAGAATCTGCAATTATGAGGAAGGAATTCTAGCAAAGAGATTAACGAGTTATAAAAGTGCTTGAGTGGCAGGTGTGTTCCCTTTTGCCCTTCTGCCTTCTGCCATGTGAGGATACGGCAAGAAACAAAATGATAATACCTTGATCTTGGACTTCCCAGCCTTGAGAACTGGAAGAAATAAATTTCTCTTATTTATAAATTGTTCAGTCTCAAGTATTTTATTAGAGCAACATGAATGAACTGAGATAATAGTGAAATGGTTACTGTAGCCAAACAAATTAACGTATCTATCATCTCACATAGTTACCCATTAGGGCATTGTTTTTAAGGAATCTTCAAACTGGACACCAGTTACTGTGCTTCACACTGCCCCAAAATGTCCCTGGCCAATAAAGAAGTATGATTCCTGAAGCACAGTGTATTAGTTCATTTTCACACTGCTGATAAAGATATACCCGAGACTGGGAAGAAAAAGAGGTTTAATTGGACTTACAGTTCCATGTGGCTGTGAAGGCTTCGGAATCATGGCAGGAGGTGAAAGGCACTGCTTACATGGCAGCGGCAAGAGAAAATGAGGAAGATGCAAAAGCAGAAACCCTGATAAGACCAACAGATCTCCTGAGACTTAATCACTACCACGAGAACAGTATGAGGAAAACAGTCCTCATGATTCAAATTATCTCCCACAACACATGGGAATTATGGGAGTACAATTCAAGATGAGATTTGGGTGGGGACACAGAACCAAACCATATCATACAGTGTGTGTGTGTGAGAGAGATTATCTTTCTCTATAAGCTTCAAAGTTTATTGTTACTGGTAGTAAACTGGTATTTCTCTATGTTTCAAAATAATTTTGTAAACAAACAGAAACAATTGGGAATATGTTTTACCAAAATATACTTTTAAATACCAATAATTGAAGTCACGTTGAGGTTGTTAAGTCAGTAATAAGCTAATAAGTTAGAAATAAGCCTTGTTTCAATGGCTGGTCAAATTGTGTTTATATGCAGTTAACCTTTGAACAATACTGGTTAGAATTATGTGGGTCCACTTATACATAGATTTTTTTTTCAATAAATATATTGAGAAAGTTTTTGGAGATTTGCAACAGTTTGAAAAAACTGGCAGACAAACTGTGTAGCCTAGAAATATCAAACAAATTAAGAAAAAATTATGTCATGAATGCATATAATATATGAAGATACTAGTCTATTTTGTCATTTACTACTATAAAATATAGACAAATCTATTATAAAAACTTAAACTGATGCAGACTGTGCATAGTGCTACTCAGTCCAGGGAAAATAAATAAATGTAAAGATGTGGTATTAAATGATAACTACATAAAATTAACAGTGGTACATATTGTAGTACTGTAACAATTTTGTAGCCACTTCCTGTTGCTATTGTGGTGAGCTTGAGTGATGAGTATCTGCTTAATACACTGTGTGATAGTAATCATCTTTGTGTGAGAAATTCATCTCTCCAATAAATTGTGTATTGCAGTAAAAAGTGATTTCTCGAGGTTCTTGTGTTTATTTTAAACCATGTTTAGTGCAATATCATAGTCTTGAATAACACCATTGGAGTCACAAGAAGTGCCATAGTGATGCTGGAAGTGCGTCCAAGAAGTAAACAAAAGTCATGACATTATAAGAAAAAGTCGAATTGCTTGATATATATACTGCAGATTGTACTGCAACTGTGGTTGGCTGCCACTTCAAGACAAATAATCCAGTGTAAGGATTTATTGTTACTATAGTTAAAAAAACAAGGGGGAGGCCGGGCGCGGTGGCTCACGCCTGTAATCCCAGCACTTTGGGAGGCCAAGGCGGGCGGATCACGAGGTCAGGAGATCAAGACCATCCTGGCTAAAACGGTGAAACCCCGTCTCTACTAAAAATACAAAAAATTAGCCCGGCATAGTGGCGGGCGCCTGTAGTCCCAGCTACTCGGGAGGCTGAGGCAGGAGAATGGCGTGAACCTGGGAGGCAGAGCTTGCAGTGAGCCGAGATTGCGCCAATGCACTCCAGCCTGGGCGACAGAGCCAGACTCCATCTCAAACAAACAAACAAACAAACAAAAAAAAAAAAAAAAGAGGGAATTATTGTATCTACATCAGCAGGGGCAAAAACGTTGTACTTTTTGCAAAATACCTTTTTATGTCATATTGAAAATGCAGTTTTTATGTGGGTGCAGGCCTTCTATAAGAGAGTCATACCTTTAGTCTCTAATATGATTAGAGAAGAATTGAAGTTATTACGTGACAATTGGCAAAAGGAAGGTGAAGGATCTAAACCTAGAGGACTTAATGCCAGCAAAGGGTGGTTTGATAATTTTAGAAAGAGAGTTGGCATAAAAAAATGCCAAGATAACGAGAGAAACAGGTTCTGCCAACCAAGAGGTAGCAGACAAATTCTCAGGTGCTGTTAAGGAAATCACTAAGGAGAAAGGATATCTGTCTGTACAGGTTTTTAATAAGCACAAAAGTGCTGTATTCTGAAAAAAAAAAAGTCACAGAGACATTTATTAGTAAGAAAGAGAATTGAGCAGCAAGATTTAAAGCAGGAAAGGATAGGCTAACTCCCTATTTTGAATGAATGCAGTTGGGCTCATGATTAGGACTGCTCTTATGTATAAAGCTGCCAACCCCTGAGCCTTGAAGGGCAAAGATAAATACCAGCTGCTGCCCATCTTTTGACTGCACAAAAAGAAGGCCTGGACAATGAGAACACTTTTCTTGGAAGAGGTGCATCAATGCTTTGTCCCTGAAGTCAGGAAGTACCTTGCCCATAAGGAACTACTTTTTAAAATTCTTTTGATATTGGCCAATACCCAGAACTCCATGAGTTCAACATGGAAGGCATCAGAGTGGTCTGCTTCCTCCTCAATACATTTCTAACTCAGTCCCTACATGTGTGGTGGGTCATGAGGACCTTTAAAGCTCACTACACACAGTACTCTATGTAAAGGATTGTCAATGTTATGGAAGAGAACTCCAATAGAAAGAACATCATGAAAATCTAGAAGGATTTCACCACTGAAGATGCTATCATTGTTGTAGAAAAAGCTGTAAAAGTCATCAAGTGAGAAACAATAAATTCCTGCTGGAGGAAACAGTGTCCAGATGTTGTACATGAATTCACAGGACTTACAACAGAGGCAATCAAGGAAATAATGAAAGAGATTGTGAATATGGCAAAAAAAAAAAAAGGTGGGGTATGAAGGGTTTCAATACAAAGATCTTGGAGAAATTTAAGAACTAATAGATATCATACCAGAAGAATTAGCAGAAGATGACTTGATGGAGATGGGTGCTTCTGAACCAGTGCCAGACAATGAGGAAGAAGATGCAGATGAATCAGTGCCAGAAAACAAATTGACACTAGACAATCTGCCAGGAGGATTCTGATTATTTAAGACTGTTTTGATTTTTGCTTGTTTGTTTGTTTTTATAATATTAACCCTTCCATGACACAATCACTGAAACTAAAGCAAATGCAAAAGAAAGCATTTGTACCATATGGAAATATTTTTAGAGAAATGAAAGCAGAAAAATCAGGCAGAAATTATGTTGTATTTCTGTAAGTTACATCAAGTGTGTCTACCTCTCCTGCCTTCTGTTTTACCTCCTCCACCTGTTTTGCCTCTGCCACCCCTGAGGCATCAAGAATAACTTATTTTCCCCTCCTAAGCCTATTCAATGTAAAGATGATGAGAATGAAGACCTTTATGATGATCCACTTCCACTAATAGTAACTATACTTTATCATTCTCATGATTTTAAAATAACATTTTATTTTCTCTAGTTTATTGGATGAATAGTGTATACAATACATATATAAAGTATGTGTTAATCAACTGCTTATGTCATCAGTAAGGCTTCTAGCCAATAGTAGGCTATTAGTAGTTAAGTTTTTTGGGAGATTTTCACCTGCATAGGGGCTTAGGGCCTCTTCATGTTGTTCAAGTGCCAATGTATATTCTTACCTATGCGTTCATAGAGCTTTAAATGTAAGCTATAATCATAACCCTAAAAACACTATAGGCACATAACACTATAGGTACCTGGCTCAGAAAAAAAGAATAATTTTTAAGAGTATGAATTATATTTACTTGAATATAATTAATTAGTAAAAATAATTATAAAATCTAATGATTTCATTTATATGAAATATCCAGAATAGGCAACAATATAGAGACAGAAAGATTAGTAGTTGCTTAGGAATAGGTGGGATGAGAGGTTTTTAGGGAGTGATAACTAAAGGGTAAAATGTTTCTTTTATAGGTAATATGTTCTAAAATTGATGTGGTGATGGTTGCACAACTCTATGAATTTACTAGAAACCATTGACTTGTATATTTTCAATGGGTGAATTGTATCACATGTAAATGATAACTCAATACAGCTATTATTCAAAAAATGATTATAAAACTAATGGATGAAGTCTTACCTATCGTAAATAATGGCCACTTTGTAAATTAATGGTGCTAAAAAAAAAGCTAACATATCAGCAAGTCAAGAAATTCAGGTGCTTGTATGCTAAATTTCTTATGAAAATATTTACAAACATTCTACTTTGCATTTAGAAATGTTATGTTCATCTATGTATTTATATTCTTTACTTGGAAAAATGTGAGTGCGGAAGAGGTCAGGTTAAGCATGAGATCTTTGGAAAGAGGGAAGGGTATCATTAATTGACTTCACCATGAAAATTAAATGCCTTAATTTGTGTTTGTCTAAGATACATTTAAAAGATTTGTTTGAAGTGTCAGCAGTGCTCATGCTATATTTCAGGCAAGGAGAGCCCTCCAGGTCAGACATTGAGAAAAAGAAGTATGATTATTTTCAAGTCGAAGGAGAGCTATATTAAATATGCACTTCATGAAGCAACACTGCCTTTTAGTGGCCTCTCAAGAACTCTTATTATTAGCAGTATCTTCTAGAGAGATTTTCTCACAGGGGCTGCATGGTTTGCTAGATATTGTTCTTGCATCTATTTCTATTAGCTACAGCTGCTGATCTATGGTTTAAACCAGTTACCTGCCAAATTACAACGCTTGTTGAGAGTTTCAACAGTAACAGATCAATTCATGTAAACTGTTTGGATGGCTTTGAGGATGTTTATGTATTCTTTATAAGCCCTTAGTCAAAGATTGCTGAAGTTGGTGGTGTACAAATGAAAAAATAATGGGCGTTCTGATATCTGGGGCTGGCTATGCTTAAATTTGGCACCAATAATTAATGGATCTTATGTTTCTTGTGAAAAAGTACATTGGTACTTACATACATATTTCTAGAATCTTTCCTTATTGTAATGCAAGTCTATCAAATTATAATGACACTTCAAATGTGATGAATCCCAGAATCTTCATTTTTTTTGTATGTCGTGCTGAAAGCTACTCTGCATAATAATAAGCTCTCTAAACAAACATAATTGCCTTCTCATCCCACTGAAAAGAGGAATGAAGAACCACTTTCAGGGCAATAAAGAGAGGTTTTAGGTGTTTTAGGATTTTTTGTTTGTTTGTTTGTTTGAAGGGCATTTTTTAGGTCGAAAAAGCACTTAGGCATAATAGCATTTTGTATTTGTTTAGTGCACCAAACAGAGAAAATGGCCTTACTAACCTTAGTTATGCTGTGATGAACTGGTCTTTATCCAAGCTCACAATTTTGGTTATCAAAGAAGCCTAGTAATCTTACACAGACTATCGAAAGTGAGATGGGGCCAGACATTCTTGAGAGAGAGCACCTGGCCCCATTTGATGCTATTATGGCCAGAACCTGAATATGCTGATCTAGAAGGCTGGCAAGTCTCACTGGCCAGTGATGGCGTGGTGGAAACCTGCCCTGCTCTTGGTACACTCACAGGAGGAGCAAGCTATACTGGCCAGAGGCACATGTGGACAGGTGCTTACTTAGGTGTCTGACTGAAGCATATTCTTTTTGCCCTATTCTGATCAGTAAATAACTGTTCACTATTCCCAGTCCAAAATTCAAAATAAAATCAAAGCTCCCCCATGATCTTTTCTTGGTGAGCAAATTCCCCAATCCTTTTTTCTCTAATCTTCCCTTCTGATTCCACTTTCTATCACTATTTTTATCCTTCTCCAGACTACTCCAAATAATTGTGTTTTCCAAGCAGTGTATAGGGAGGGGTGTAATAGATTCTGAATAGAGCTCTGTATATTAAAGATCAACTCATTTACAAATCCCAAAACTGAGAAAGGTTGTGGGAAAAGTAAATATTCAAGAACGAGCAAAAGTGGAAGGTGTTACTAGAACTCAAATGAAATTTCACCGTATGTCCTTTCCTTCAATAATGTTTTTGTTTGTTCGTTTTTGTTTTTGAGACAGGATCTGACTCTCTCACTCAGGCTGCAGTACAGTGGTGTGATTTTGGCTCACTGCAACCTCTGCCTTCTGGGATCAAGCAGTCCTCCTACCTTAGCCTCCGGAGTAGCTGGGACTACAGGCACATGCCACTAAACTCAGCTAATTTTTGTATTTTCTGTAGAGACAGAGTTTGACCATGTTGCCTAGGCTGGTCTTGAACTCCTGGCCTCCAGGAATCTACCTGCCTTGGCCTCCCAAAATGCTGAGATTACAGGCATGAGGCACTGTGCCTGGCATAAATTTTAAAATACATAGAAGATAGACAATACTTCTCGTCAAAACTGATTCCATATGCTTACCTTACCATGCTTTATTAAAGATTCTGGATGGGACTCTGGCTGAGGGATTCTTGTTTTCTTATTTTAATCATTCTACTGGTCTTTCTTCTCTCTTTTTCTGTATATGCCTATATCTGTAGATATATACATATAGGCTTTTATTTCTCTCATATATATATATAAATAAATTTTGGTCTGTTCTTGTTTTTCTTCAGCCTCATGTAATTTTTCCTTTTACAGACTTCCTTAGCACTTGTGTTCATTTCTTAAGGAACATAGTACTTCCTGCATAATTTTATTGTTTTATTTTATTATTTCATTACCCATTTGTATTCTATGGCTTACGAATCCATTGAGAATAGGTGTCACATATGATCATCATTGTTTTATCTTTGACTACCACAATTTGATGTCCTAGTATGTATTAAATGTTTCCAAATGAATAAAAGAATAAGTATCTTCACCCAAAATATATTGTATTTTATTCTCTAAGTAAATCAGTACATTTTGTTAGTGATGAACACTAAAACTGATGATTTACTATGATGTGAGAAATACTGAATTACCAGTAAATTCTATAAATTCTCATGAGCATTGATTCAATTTACTTGTCCAGGTATAATCTGCATTCATTGCCAACAACCATAGCCTGCAATAGAGCAATAAAGTAATTGCTATTTGATGAATATGGTTTTATTTGGATTAGAGATCTATTTCCAAAACATAAATTCTACTAATTTTCAAGACATAAAACTGGCCTGTGATATATAAACAAAATGTTGTAATAATCGACATGTTGAGGTGATTTCTTGTTACTTTTCTTAAATGCAGTTATTATATCACTTATGGATAAGGATTCTATTCAGGAAAGGATACTACTGATTCCTTTAGACATCTGCCATTCAATTTGGTACAGGCATCAACAGCATCAACCTCAGCTGGGAGCTTGTTAGAAAGGCCTACCATCAGGTCTCACTCCAGGCTGCTGAATCAAAATTTGCATTTTACCAAGATGTCCCAAGTGATCCAAATGCACATTAAAGTTTGAGAGACACTACCTTAGGTCTTTATTTCTGTCATTGAAATTAAAATTGTCATATTTATAGAAATGAAAGAACAAAGTCTTGTGTGTCTGGGTTTAGATCAGTCCTATAATCTCAATCATCTTAACTAATGCAGGTGAGTATTTTAGAAAGATTTTGAATATTAATGCTTCCAAATGATCAGACCCATGAAAATTTATTGGACACTCATAGATCAAAACAGGATAAAGCAATCAATTAAAAGACAGAATTTATAGGGTGCTCACACTGTGCAGAAATGTAGGTGAGGCTTTTGGTAGTGATAAATGACAGATGAATTTCAAGGCACGTCCAGCTGAATAGGGAGACATATGTCCAAAACAATTATCAGTACAAATGAGGCCAAAATGCACTTCTTCCAGGCATAATGTGTGGCCATGTGGTGAATCACATAAACAATGTGTGAGTGGTCAACAATCGCTCCAAAGTGAAGTTATCAACTGATGTGAAATTAGTGTGGCTGGAACAGAAAATAATTTGCACATAATCTGGTGTGGTAGGTTGTTATCGGCCCCAATCTTTTAGCTTTCCTTCTTCCATACCCTTCGCCATGTACTTTTTAAGGGCCCTCCCACTGGGGGCAGTATGTATTTCCCTGCCTCATGACTTTGAATTAGCCATGAGACTTGCTTTGCCAAATGCCATGACATAGAAATGGCAATCTGTCATTTTTGAACCTAGACCACAAAAGAACTTGGTGAATTATGATGATCAAGAATGTATCTAATGAGGCTGGATGATGAGTGATTGGATCATTCAGTCTTATAGACAACAGTAATGAAGTAAAATTTTACTTTTAGTGACATGAGAAGGCATCATCAAGGGTTTTTAAAATCCCTTTCTGCTCTGTATTATAGCTATCTGAGTAAATGTTATCACGTATACTAGATTTTCAGCTATTAGAAAATGGGAATTTATGTTATCATGGAATGTTTCCTGCTAAGCCCAACTTGGTTGTTTGGTAGATACTTCAAGGGGTAACTGCAGTGGTTTCATGCATTGTTAGGTTATCAAGAACACTACATGGACAAGCATTTACAAACAAAGATAGTCCAATTAGGAGAGGAAACCCTGCAAAATTATAGAAGATTATTTTATTCTCACCATATTTTGTACTTTTTTATTCCTTGAAGATATTAATCTACATTATCCAACATTTAGTACTCTCCATGCTTAGCACAATGTTGACTTTTGTAAATATATCAATTGGTAGCTGAAATAGGTGAATGTACTTTGTAAAATGATATTTAAAAAATATTGCTAGTGATTACATCCTATAAGAACCTGAATCATAAAAAGTATACATGTTAGGAAACACCTTTCTATTACTCACCTTGAAAAAAAACCTCTCTATAAATGCATTTGCAAATACTAACTCCACATGTTACTTGAAAATTTAAATATGAAACATTTAAAAACACAATGGCAAGGTAGCATTCCTTTTTTTTTTTTTTTTTTTTTTTTTACTGGATTTCAAATGTTTCTTCTTTATCATCAATGAACAACATAGGAAAACTTTTCCATCGTTAAATAATTGGACATTTTCAGCCGGGTGCGGTGGCTCAAGCCTGTAATACCAGCACTTTGGGAGGCTGAAGTGGGCAGATCACTTGAGGTCAGGAGTTCGAGACCAGCCTGGAAACATGGTGAAATCCAGACTCTACTAAAAATACAAAAATTAGCTGGGCGTGGCGGCATGCGCCTGTAATCCCAGCTTCTCAGGAGGCTGAGGCAGGAGAATCACCTGAACCTGGATGGCGGAAATTGCAGTGAGCCAAGATTGTGCAACTGCACTCCAGCTTGGGAGACAGAGTGAGACTCCGTCTCAAAAAATAAATAAATAAATAAATTAATGAATTAATTAATAAAATTGAACATTTTCACATCACATGGCAAAATCCTAACAACTTTTTTAAAGTGCAGGGAAACAAGAATTGGTCCTGTTGAAAAAGCTTAAGACAAACAGGTGAGTGTAATTCTGAGACAACAGTAGTAATCCCTCTGCTGGACCTTGTTTTGAGAGAAGGTTGCTGCTGACTTTGATCGTTTGACAGAAACAAATTGAAGGTTATTGAGACAATCATCTTCCCAAATGTTTAAGGGTCTGAATTTTCAGGGATATCCTGTGCTCACTTTGCCCCCTCTGTTCTAGACTCTAGTGTGTTTAGGTTACTTTGTGGATCTGTACACTCAGGCTCAGCCAGTGGTGGAGGATAAGTGGAGAATGGGCAGAACTGATTATTCTGCCTTTGAGTAATATTTGTTCACCTTGAACCTTCTGGTCAATCTAGGAGTAGCATCCAGAAAGATGGTAATTTTACCGATTTGTGTTCTTCATTCGCTTTAGCTATCTAAACATTATACTTATTTATGTATTTATCAAATACAGGATGATTTTGTAAATTTTTTTATTGCTACATAATACATGGGCATATTTTGGGGATACAATGGGTGTTCATTCACTCTTTAAGTGCCTTTATAAGTCTTTCCTCTATCAGGAAGCCTTTGTTGACCTCGCTAGATCCCAGTGATCCTTCCGCCTCATAACTGTCGTAGCCATTATTTCCTGTATTACTTATTTGGCACCTAAAAATACGTTGCTATCTAATGCCTTTTACTTTAAATTAATATTTAAACTTTTTGTTATATCCACTTTTTTTAGTTATATGTTATCTTCTCAGTGAAAGGGTTGCTGAGGGGCAGAGACAGTTTCTTATATATCTTTGTGTTTTCACAGTACAAGTGCAGAATAGCCATCAAATGATTATTTCTTGATCAGATGCATGAATGAATGAATGGCTTTGTAAGCACTATTCATTAATTCTTTCATTAAGTTATCAGGTACTGAGGATACAAACATACCTGTCCTCCTAAAGCTCATATTCTAATTGGAGAAAGCTCACATCCTTGTATTTTAATCAGTTGAATATGCTTTGCCTAATGTTAACAGCTTTTTTATAATTTGTGAGAAACATACTTTAGTTTTTTCTAATAAACATAAGTAATGCTCATTTGATTTTTACAGTTTATGGAACACAATAATCTACAGCCAAGTCGTGATTAACTGAGGTCCAGATTTTCTAGATTTTTCATTAGCACTTTCAACTGCATCAGAGGATAAAAGTGAGAAGTTAATTTCCATTTACATTGTAAAGAATTGTTGAAAGTTGATAGAGAGTTGAGAAACCTAGCCTAATTGATTTATATGATTCTTTAGCATCACATGTGTGCATCATTTATGCATTTGATTCTTGAATCAATTATTATAGGTAACTAAGCATTGTGTTCTACATTTACAGATCTCACTAATATGCATAGAGTAACATCTTTTTCTATCTTTATTATAATTCCCATGTTTTAATTGTAGGAGCCATAAGCTCCCCAAAAGTAAAGCTTTGAACTTTTACATGTTTTGAAGATATGGAGATTGTTATGACCAGAAAATATTTTTAAAAAAGCCTTATCATTTCAGCCTATTTTAAAAGGTTCTGCTCTGTAGTTTGCTTACTATTTGCAAGTACTCAACCCCACATTAGAATGCAAATGCACTTTTAGATAATACTTAAATGAATGGGCATGGCTATATTGCAATAAAATTTTATTTATTATAAACATGGAAATTATAATTTCCAGGAGAATAATATCCCAAGTGTGATGGGAATAATATTCAGATTTCCGTTTCTATGTCATGTCAATATCCCATGACACGTGGGATATCATTCTTCTTTTGATATAAGAAATCCATTTAAAAATCTAAAAATTGTTTTTAGCTCAAGGGCCATACAAAAACAAGAAGTGGGTGGGCTGGATACTTGTTTATTTATTTACATATTTTCTGTGGCTACTTTTCTGCTACTGCTGCAAAGTTAAATCTTTGCAGCAAAGTTGAGTATTTGTCAGAGAGACTTTAATGCTTGCAAAGCCAAAACTATTTACTATTTGGCTCTTCAAGAAAAACTGTCAATCCCTGGTGTAGACAACAATATATTTCCATCAACAAGCAGTAAGTAGTCACATGACATGATATATAAAGTACAATATAACACAGTTTTTGTCCAAAAGGCAACAAACTAACATTCTAACACAATAATATTCTTGAAATCATGAATATATATTTTGAGCAACTACTATGTGCCAAGCACTATTCTAGACATTGGAGATACCACAGCTCAGGCATATAAATGGACATAATCTCTGTTCTCATGGAGTTTACATTCTTGAATGGGAGCCCAATAATAACACACAAACATGCATACACACAATAAATAAATGTAATTTACAGACAAAATAACTTCTACAAATATTCCTGGCTTCTGAGCTAAACTGGAAATGACAAAGCAGTAACACTAATACACTTTTAGGGTTACCCAACAAGGGTTCTAGCAGCCTGCTCATTGAACCTCTAGTTGGGGTTAAGACTTATCATGAGGAAAATCTTAAATCTTGTCTTCTCAGAAACTGCAATACATCAAGGAGAAAATAAAAATTCAAGGTCAGAACACAAGCTCAATGCTTTTTTTTTTAAAAAAAAAATAGCTTACACTGTCAAAATTGTCTTAAAGCAAAGATTGTAGATAGTGGGACAATATAGTTAGAAAAATTTGGAATTTTCTATGGAGCCCTAGAGATTAAAAAAAAAAAACTCCAAATATTGTTACACTTGAAGTTAGTTGAGGATTTAAGGCGTTAGAGAAATAGGCTGAGGAACTATAAAAGGCTGACTTAGAAATGATGCCTGAAGATACAGTAAGTGACCTGCTTAGAGTCTGACACAACTGACACCTGAGTCTCCTAACTCTAATAAAATTCTCAAAACAAAAAAACTTCAATCTAAACTGCAGACACCTGAGAGGAAATCAATTTATGAAGCTGGGAAAATAAGACCTAGAAAATGCATATGACTTTAAATAAAAATAGAAAGCCCCAATATGCGTCTTCTTACGTACCAGCAAGCAATTGGCTTCCTGATGGGAACCTGCATGGGAGAAGGCCAGCGGTCAAGTACAATTCTGCAATCTCAGTTATGTGACCTACTGGACATTCCCAAGGACATTTAGTAAATGCTCTCTTGAGTGTGATATTCCGGTGCTAAAGCTCTGTCACAGAATTTCCTAGCTTTCTATTATAGGAATTACAAAAAGAAAGATGAAGAGACTATAACATGTCTTTATGTTCAAATTCTTCACCATATTTTTTACATATTAAATCACCCTTTTTTAAGAAATTGTCAAAAGGACACAAATGAAAACTACTATTGTTTTTAAAATAGTGAAGACATCTCAGAATATAAAATTTAAATCACATTGCTGTAGAGAGTTATGAGCATGGAGGACTTAATGTGGCCTTTAGAACATCTATGACCATATTAGCAAATATGTTTCCCTTTTCTAGTAGCCATGTTGCCTCATTTGAGACGAACTCATTGGAAGTCACTTAACAGAAAACCATGAAGAAGAGGTAATAGGCATTTCAAATCAGTTGTGTACCAAATAGATTCCTGTTTACTTTGTTCTGAGATAACCGTCTCAGAAAACAAAGCTAGGAGGTTTCATGTTGTTTTAGAAGAGAGAAAAAAGCTACACTTTCTTAAATGTCATGAAATAGTGAATTGTTTCATAGAATTATGAAACAAGCCTCTACAATTATTTTGAGTAGGTAAGATGAATTATTTTTGACAAGATTGACTTTTAAGAATTGTGCACAATACTATTGAGAAAGGGAAATAATTCAAAACTCACAATGTTTTACATAGATTATATCCCTATGACCAATTTAAGTGGAAATTTAGTTAGCATGTTTAGTTAGATTTTAATTAAAGTTGACAATATTAGACTGTGTATGCTGTGTATGTTCATAATGGAATCTGGTTACTCATATTCTTTTACTTCATTCTTCTTTCCGATGTACATTTTAAATTGAAATACATTGGAAAAGTGCATAAATTGGAACTCTACAGCTTGATAAATGTTCACAAAGGAAACCTGACCCAAACCCTTGAAGTCACTACGTCCCCCTTCTAGTAACTAGCCTCATCGATAAGAGTAACCATTATGTTGACTTCTATTGGTGCCAATGTTTTAACTTTAAATAAATAGACTCAAACAATATTGTAACATTATTTTGTGTCTGGCCAACTTTCATACAATATTATGTTTGTGAAATTCATTCATGATGTTGTCTGTAACTGGAGTTCATTCATTCTTATTACAGTATAAGTTTCCACTGTATAAATATACCACAACTTCTTTATCTATTCTACTGCTGACAGGTCCTGTTAGGACCCAGGCCACACAGCAGGAGGTGAGCAGCAGGAGAGGCAGCGGGCCTTACTGTCTGAACTCTGCCTCCTGTCAGATCAGTGGCTGCATTAGATTCTCATAGGAGCGTGGAACCTAGGGATCTAGGGTGAGCACTCGTCATGAGCCTCTAATGCCTCTGAACAACCTTCGCCAAGTCCTTGGAAAAATTGTAAAAATTGTCTTCCAAGAAACCGGTTCCTGGTGCCAAAAAAAATTGGGGACCCTTCATGTAATCCACCCAAAGAGGTCAAAGAACTGCTACCAGAGAGATCTTTACAAATGCCCATTGATATAAATCATTTTCCAGATCAAAATATTCCAGTGTCTTAGGATATAATTCAAGCCTCTTAGTCCCATATGATGCTATGAAGAATATGGTTGCTGCTTTCCATGCAATTACTTCGCTTTATTTGCAGTTCTGTGAACAGCAAGGGAGTAAAAATCTTCTGCACCTAGAGTGACTTTACCCTGATCTTTTCTATCTGCTGGATTCTACTCTTCCTTTAAATCTCTATTCATACTTTACCATCTTTGAAAAGCCTTTCCTGACCTTCCTAAGTACAGTTAATTTCATCATCTGTACTGCCCAGTGTTTGAACGTAACTTGAATTTATCTCCCTGTTTATACATTTTCTCCCTAAGGGACTATGAAGCACTCGCTATGCTTTCTTCATCGTCGTGTTCACAATGACTAGAATGAGCTTAACCAATTGCCTAGCATAATTTTATTGAGTGAATGAATGAATGAAATATTTTTTTCTGTAAGTCCTCTTTCTTTTCAAAGTAGTTTAAACAACCAAAATTTTATCATGGAAATTATTTCTCCTACAATAAGAAAAAACTAAAAGAAAAAGAATTAAAACATACATTTGTTCTGGGGACTGGAAGAGGAAACTCTTCAATATACTTGCATTTTTAATCCTTTCACAGGGTTGAATGAAATGGGAAAGAACAAACTGACTTAAGAGAAAGACTGTATAAACTTTTCTTTTACTGCTTGACCAAGGGAAACACGGTTTTCTGATCATTGAAAGGTTATTTGGAAATTTTAGCGTTTGGCACCTTTGGTCAGTGTTAAAAGGAAAGGATAGAAATGAGGCTGAACGGAGCTTAGAAGAAGAGACTACTTGAAGTACCTTCTCTGAGAGAAAAAAAAAAAAGACACAGAGAGAGAGAGCATCATTGCTTGTGTCCTGACAGATAAGAGAAGTTATTGGTAAGAAGTGGCTGAGGCTGGGTGTGGTGGCTCACGCCTCTAATCCCAGCACTTTGGGAGACTGAGGTGGGTGGATCAATTGAGGTCAGGAGTTCAAGACCAGCCTGGCCAAGATGGCAAAACCGCATCTCTACTAAAAATACAAAAATTAGCCGTGCATGGTGGCATACGCCTGTAGTCCCAGCAACTCAGGAGGCTGCGGCAGGAGAATCGCTTGAGCCCAGGAGGTGGAGGTTGCAATGAGCAGAGATTGCACCACTGCACTCCAGCCTGGGCGAGAGAGGGAGACTCCATCTCAAAGAAAAAAAAAATGTCGCTGAGAGAGATTAGAGAAAATTACGCAACATTTTAGAGGCAGAAAGCTCTGAGAACGAGCAGTAGGACAAAGTCTCCCAATAGACTCAGGGAAGGCTGACCACAAACACAGTCTGACAAAAACACAAAGAAGGTCAAGGTGCTCCTCAACTTAGATGTAATTTATACAATTAGGTCAAACTGTACCATAGTAAACATTGTAGGTCATGTCAAAAAGAGCTTTCTGGAATCTTTGATTTCAGTGACAACTGCACGATAAAGGGGCATAGGATAAAATCTCATTACTTCTCATTTCCGCCTCTTTCAAGAGGCTTGTAATATGGTTTGATGCCACGTCTTTGTTAAATTTACTTCGGTTGTCAAAGAGGAACCCGAGGCTGTCATTGAGATGGTATGAGAGCACATTGCTTTCATACTTTGTGTACAATTTACTTTGAGGCGTGATGACATAATCTGCACTACCCATAGGAAGTAATAGATACTTCCTACAGTCAGTGGCTCCCTCAACTCTGTGAACCCTAAGCTGATCATATCAGAATTCATTTTCACTATTGTAATATCTAGGTTAAGAGAGGTATAAGAGTTAGTGCAAAAGTTCAATCATTCATATGAAAATTTTATTGTTTCACAATATAAGCTAGCCCAATTAAAATGGCTAACCTCACTTGATTTGACACTGTTTACACTGACTAAAACTATATTCAGTGGTGCCTATATTTAAAGTTTTGCAAATTTTTCACAATCACTTTTATGGAAAAGATAAAACAAAACTGCATTTAGAGCTATTATTTGGATAGAGGGGTCAGCTTATTGATGTTCAAATCTGAGCACTGAAGCTACCTCTAAGTTTTTTGATTTGGAAAACAGTCCTTGTTGGTAGTACTAACTTTAAGTTACATTCTGTGAACAATTACATAATGGCAGATAAAGATAACTATAATTTCGTTTTGACAATTGAATTTAAGAAGTAAATTTTAAGTTCAAATTATTAAATTATGTGCTAGTGTCATTTGAGTAGCACTTTAAAAGTTTATAACAGAATTCCATGTACATTATATCACTTAATTCTCAACAAGTTTTCAAAGAAATCTTTATTATCTTCATTTTATACATGGTGGAACTAAGGTTTGGGAAGATTTATTGATATGCTCGAGGTTACATGATCATTAAATGGACTCAGGGCTCAATCTCATGTCTTAGAACTTCAAATCTTAGACCACATTGTTTAGTATGTTCTTGTAAGGCTGGATTTTTATAATTTTTCTTGGTATTCTCATTGAGTGATATAAGCCAGGAATTTTTTAATGAATAAATTTATTTTTATATTTGTCTTTTATTTTCACCAATTTTAAGACATTTTTGGAATTTTATATAGATTTTTTTTTTTTTTTTGAGACGGAGTCTTGCTCTGTTGCCCAGGCTAGAGTGCAGCGGTCCACTCTTAGCTCACTGCAACCTCCACCTCCTGGGTTCAAGCGATTATCCTGCCTCAGCCACCTGAGTAGCTGGGATTACATGGGCGTGCCACCACGCCTGGCTAATTTTTGTATTTTTAGTAGAGACGGGGTTTCACCATGTTGGTTAGGTTTGTCTCAAACTCCTGACCTCTTGATCCACCCGCCACAGCCTCCCAAAGTGCTGGGATTACAGGTGTGAGCCACCACACCTGGCCTAGAATGTTATTATTTACAAGCAAACTATCTGTTATTAATTCAATGCACAGCAAAATCTGTGGCACAGCAATGTGCAGTATTACAAAGTAATTGTAACTCTATCATTTAAATCGTAAATACTATATATAACTAAAATATAAGACACATTTTTTAGAGGGACTTCTAATACATAATATTGAAAGAGATTTAATGTTAATAGTGGTTATCTTTGGATGTTGAAAATAAGGGTAACTTTGGCTGGGCATGGTGGCTCATGCCTGTAATCCCAGCACTTTGGGAGGCTGAGGCGGGCAGATCTCTTGAGGTCAGGAGTTTGAGACTAACCTGGCCAACAGGGTGAAATCCTGTCACTACTAGAAATACGAAAAAAATTAGCTGGGCATGGTGGCGCATGCCTGTAATCCCAGGTACTTGGGAGGCTGAGGCAGGAGAATCGCTTGAACCCAAAACGTAGAGGTTGCAGTGAGCTGAGATGGCACCACTGCACTCCAGCCTGGGTGCAGAGCGAGACTCGGTCTCAGGGAAAAAAAGAAAAAAAAAAGGAAAACAAGAAAATAAGGGTAACTTTTTCTTTTGTTTCTATACTTCCCAGATAATCATTAATGATTAAATATTACTTACAGTGTGAAAAAAATACACATTTTTAAAAAAAGTGGTAGCAATAGTGTAGCCTCCTCATTGTCTTCCATGTTTTTAAAATATTTGACAGGTGTAATCTCTAGAGTACTGGAATTCAGAGAAAGGTCATATTCTAACCTCCTCTCCTCCAGACTAGTAATCACTTTTCATTTGTCAATCAATTACACCAGTGGGACATTTGGAAGATGCCCCTCCCCGTCCCAGAGTACTTGGGTGCTCCCTTAAGTAGGGCAGACAGGCTTGTTCAAAACAGAAGCTTTAATATCATCATGTCAGAAGTTCTTAAACTGCTTTAGCATATTCTAACAAAGTTCTGAGGTTTTTTTACTTTAGCTAATTCTACAGTGAAAAAATGATCCCAGGAAAGAACCAGTGCAACTGAGAGGCACACAGTAGTGCTACAGATTTTTTTTTTTTTTTTTGAGTCAAAGTTTTGCTCTTGTTGCCCGGACTGGAGTGTAGTGGCACAATCTCGGCTCACTGCAACCTCCGCCTCCTGGGTTCAAGTGATTCTCCTGCCTCAGCCTCCCGAGTAGCTGGGATTACAGGTGCCCGCCACCACGCCCAGATAATTTTTTTGTATTTTTAGTAGAGACAGGGTTTCACCACGTTGGCCAGGCTGGTCTCAAACTCCTAACCTCAGGTGATCCCCCCACCTCAGCCTCCCAAAGTGCTATGATTACAGGCATGTAGGTGGTATCACTACTTACTCCACAGGGACTAGCTGTTGAAATTGAGGCCAATACTATGCATACAGCAATGGACAGAGCTCTGTTCTTTTCCTTGAGGAGACTGTGTGAAGATTATGCTACCAGTTTTATAAAAGCAAGTATTTAAATTTCCTCTGAAATAGGATATTTTAAATCTGACTAGGCTCATTAAAAATATTAGATAATCCTATTGTATATTCAAGTACATATTCCTGAAAACAATGAATCCCAAGTGGAATTTTATTTTTGCACATGTAATCTTCACTAGAGCTTAAATTCTTTTAGGACAGGTCCATATGTTACATACTTTTGCACCCACGCCTTTTCCTCAAGCACCAGTAGGGATTCAAAATTAATAGCTAAATTAGATGAACAAAATTCCACTATAACATCATGAGACAGTCTTTCATTGCAAATAGTTGTAATTTTACTATGAGACAAAGAGTAGTTCCTGATACTTGATAAATTGTGCCATTTGTAAACCCCCCAACACACATACACACACTCACACATATCCATTCATGATTGCCATTAATCTCCTTTTATTTTATTTTTGAGCATCGAATTGGAGGGTTTAATCTCATATCCTTAGATTTTCCTAGTGCAGAGATGCAAAGGTCATCCTCAATGATATCACTACACATTACATTTGACAGAATATCTTAGGGGTTTTCTTTTGCTTTCACTTTTAACAAGTTTTCTTGTTAAAGTAGTAATCTACATTGCTACAAGATTTGAAAATGATTTCTGACTTTTACAACTAAAGTGTTGAAATTTCTCATTTAATGTTCTAGATACAGCAGGGGCTTCAACGGGTCAAGATAAAAGGATTGTTTCTAGACATGCTTAGAGTGAGAAAAGATTATGTGAAGAAAGAATTCACTGGAAAAAATATGGACTTGAGTAATCATTAAATCCATGTCCTTTTCTCAAAGCCAAATAAGGTTCCTACTGTCTCCTTGATAGTGATTTGGAAGCCTGTTTGGGTTGACATTTCCCTTATTCATTTTTCCTTACCATAAGGTTTTGCTAACATTTCCAAATACCTATGAAATTGTGAGATTTCACAGAAATAAAAGTAGTTATTAATGAAGAAAAATTTCAGCCAATTCACTTAAAATGACTAAGAAAGTGCATTAAAAGTACAGTAATTGCAAACAAAGAAACAAAAAAAAACCAAAAAAAAAACACAACAGATAACAGTGCCACCTCCAACAACAATGTAACATGTCCTAACAACTTTTATAAAAATACATATAACAGATTTATTTCAGTAGCATAAACACAGAAATAGTCCTTTGACTTCCAAGAAGATGAAATAATACATAGGTCATGAATACATAAGTTTTATTTCTATGACCAAAAGTATTTCACTACTCCAAGAAGTATTTATGAGGCAAATTACTGGAAGACTATGGAATTAAATTTGGTTTTATATAGCATCTTTCATGCTCCAAGCGTCTCAATAGCTTTTTGAAAGTACAGAAATGCAGTGACAGTTGAAAACTGAAGAAGCTATTATACTTTTAAGGGCAGATGATGTAGGTTTGAATTCAGAGACGTGTTTTATGGATTCAGGGAGCAGGATATTCTTCAACTAATCTTCTACAAGTTCTGTGTCATCTTTATGTTCTACCTGAGTTGCAACCAAGGGCATGCAGTGGGGTCTTAGTGAAATAGCTCTTTTAATTATATAATAAACTGTCCCTGGCTTGCAGGGACAGGGTTGCAATATTAGGTAAGCTTTGGATATAGCATTTGAAACTCTCAAATACCTTGTCCTGTGATAAGTAAGCCATAATACTCAACATAGCATGTTTAGTGTAAAATGTCATTCAATGCCCAAGATATAAATAATCTTGCATTTAGTTTCATAGGAAAACAACAACGATTAGTCCAATTTTTTATGCCAAGACGGGCGAGAAATAGAAAAACCAGAAACAAATCAGCTTATCATTGATAGAATTACAATTTTTACCAGTCTGGAGAAAGACCTGAAATAATGCCAGCAGCTTTTTCAATAAGATGTAGGGAAAAGAAATACAAGCAAGTGCTATTGCCCTCGATGATATTTTATACTGCAGAATTGTTTGTAACTGGAAAATATTGTTTGTGTCAGAGAGAAACTCCCAGGGAAATGAAAAGCTAATAAGGATCAGCATGAACTCTGGAATGGTTCTGAGCAGATTGTTCACTGATGGGGAACAGTACTAAATGGAGAAAGCCCTACACTCAGTAGTCAAAAGATTAGAAATCAGAATTCTATACAAAAGAAATAACCTCTGCCCTTTTCCTTTACTCTAAACTGAGCCACAATTATGCTGCAAATGTTAGTTTTTTACCCACAAACACTGGTGTCTAACTGTCCCAGTGGTTTTACATTTTTCTTCTCTTCAGCCATAATTCATGAGCTCACTTTCTTATTTTTGAACTTAAATCTTTTTCCTAGACTTAATGTCTTCATTTCTCAAGAATATTCCCAGTATTAATTTATTCTCCACCCACCTTAACAGCAACTCTCTGTTCATTGGCATCAAGTGACAATTTAAATTACTCTTAGTTTTTGCTAACTTGAAGCATTTCCTGTGAATTTTTGTTTTCAAGAAATTTTTACTAGAGTGGATTTTCTGCTTTTCTCCTTTTTAGAGCTTATGGTGACTTTGTCTATTGTCATTAGTTCTGGATCCAACTTTTTTTTTTCTATTTAATTTAATTCTTTGTCCCATTACTTGATGGAAAGATTCTTGGATGTCAATAATATCTCCCACATAGATACTTATCAAAGCAATTACCTCTACTGTGACATTTTTTTTTCATCTTCTGACATCCAATCATGACATTTCTTTGAAATGCTTCTTAATTTGCTTCTGAGACAAGGATAATTTACAATTTATCCAAATATCCAGGTTTCCTTGTGGTTTTAAAAAAATTTACCTTCCACTCTTACAATGTGGATCCCCATATCCTGAGTTGGGTAGAAAACACTCAAGTGGAAGCATGAGAAATGGAAAGAGTATAACATTTTGGACCAGAAGGTCCAGCTTCAGGTTTTGGCTCCATCACTTACTAATTATGTAAGCTTGAACAGATCACTCCTTTCTCTTGCCTTGCTTAGAAAATGACTCACAAGATGTGCCTACCTATACCACAGATTGGGGGATAAAATGTAATAACAAATGCAAAAAGTCTTTATAAACTACTATAGTGGACACTGAAGGTTTTATCTTGCCTAGGATCTTTCCTTAGGACACCATTTTTTCCCACTCATAACTTGTGGGATGGCCCTATCCTTCTCCAGCCCTAACCTGGGGGTTGGCATACTCCACAGGCTTGGCCAGGCAGATCCCACGGCGATCACTTTAGGGATGGGCACAGATGTAAGTGAGCAGTAGGAGTATCTACAAAGGACTTACATTTTGAATACTAATTGGAAATGATTCATTGAGTCCAATTACAGCATTCTGAAGATGCCATCCATTATTTTCCTCTACTTAGTCTCCAAGAACCAGTTCTTGTACAAATATGTCAATATTTTCTACAATTCCAGGAGAAACTCAGTATTTAACTCAAAATACCAATAGTGCTGAGATTAAAAAACCCTGCCCTTGAGCCTAATATATTATTCGGTACATAATACCTACCCTCCCTTACTCCTAAGTCTCTGAATAAGTATTAATTGAATGACTGAATGACTGAATGAATGAATGTAGGTGATCAGATGAAAGTCTAATATCATTAAGCAGCTTGTTCAAGTTCATCCTGTAAGCTTTAAGCAAAGGTGGCACTTGAATTAAGATCTTTTGACTGGCCAGGCACAGTGGCTCACGCCTGTAATCTCGGCACTTTGGGAGGATGAGGCAGGCAGATCACAAGGTCAGGAGATCGAGACCATCCTGGCCAACATGATAAAACACCGTCTCTACTAAAATACAAAAAATCAGCTGGGCGTGGTGGCACGCACCTTTAGTCCCAGCTACTCAGGAGACTGAGGCAGGGGAATCGCTTGAACCCAGGAGGCGGAGGTTGCAGTGAGCTGAGATCACACCACTGCACTCCAGCCTGGCCATCGAGCAAGACTCTGTCTCAAAAAAAAATCTTTTGAGTATCAGGCTGTTACTTTTATCTGCACTTTATTACATTTTTATGTCTCCAAGTTAAAATTCTTAATTTATGATTTATCACTGTCTAATTATATACTTGTTTTCCTGTCTCCTTTCCATCTTCTGTGACTCATAAGCCCAAAGACATAAGACTTCAGTTTACAGTGTATGTTTCACTGCAATATCATGTGTTGCTCCTTAGATATGCCAGTTGGTTCAGAATTTCCAAAATATACAGATAATCGTAACATGCACTTTTTCAACAAAGTCATGCAACTGTAATTATTTCTAAATATATGGGAATAAAAATGATATAGAGCTATATAACCAAAATTTCAAACTATAGTTAAATTAGATGACTTCCAAGATTTCTTTAAGGTTTAAAAATATAGTTAAGTACTTGCTTAGGTACAACAAAGAGATATGTATGTTGAGACTTTAAGCAAAGAAGCACTCTGAAAAACCTGGTCCACAGAAGGGAATAATTGCTAAGTTACAGTAAGGGCACTTTAAAAAATTTTTTTATGTATTTATTTATTTGTTTATTTCTGTAGTGATGGGGTATCACTGTATTGACCAGGCTGGTCTCAAACTCCTGGTCTCAAGCAATTCTCTTGCCTCAACCTCTC
The DNA here is from genome assembly GCF_000001405.40 of Homo sapiens. Classification (NCBI taxonomy): domain Eukaryota; kingdom Metazoa; phylum Chordata; class Mammalia; order Primates; family Hominidae; genus Homo; species Homo sapiens. The sequence goes on from NC_000001.11 coordinate 71,456,368, forward strand.
AAACTGCTAGGATTGCAACAATGAACCATCACACCTGGCCTCAGTAAGGGTACTTTCACTAGAATGAAGGATTTATCCTACTGCTGTGTCCCTCTTTATTCATAGCACTGGTAGAAAGCACATTATCCAGATAACAACGCATTCCCAGGTCTGCTCAGACTGTAAGGGTCCTGACTATTTTGAAAGGCAGGTAAATGTACTTTAATCATTTTTTTCTTCCCCGCAATGGCTGGCTCATGGCCAGTCATCATGACATACTTGTAGGAGAGTTCTTATGTTGTAATTACACCAACTTCTATGGAAAGTTCAGACGCAAAGAAAATTCAAAAAATTCCACTAATTTCTCATAAGACAGACATAAATCAGTACAATTAGCACCAATGGACATGTTTTTACAATTTTGCCATGTATCGCTATACAGCTAAGTCAATTTCTTTTTTTGATATTTTCTGCACATTTCTATGCCTGCTTTTCCACAGTTTTAAAAATGTTTTTATTCTGGCATGCTGGTAATTTGAGTCCAGTTGGGTGAAATGGGATGAAGAACTAACTTGTCTCAGTTTGCCTGGGACTTTACTAGCTTTAGTCTTGAATGTATCCTGTTCTGGGAAGGTGGTTGTTGTTTACTCTTTGTTGCTTCCGGGATTGGTGTCTGTGGAAATATTATTATCTTCCTCTGGCTTCTGAGAGTCCTCACATCTCTTCCTTCCTTTTTCTCTCTTCATCAATCAGCCACTGGGTCCTGGGATTCTTCATTCACAAGGCATCTCACTTCTACCCTTTGTCTACCACATTCTCCACCCCACCCCACCAGTGATTCCACTCTCATGTGGTCTAAATCCTCCTCCGTTCTCCCCACTACCTGGCTGCCAGAATAATATTCATAATGTACCACTTCATCTTGTCAATCCCCTGCTTAAGGGCTTTCAATGATGCTTTACTGCCTAAAAGGTAAAGCTAAGATCCAAAGAAAATTATCAAGCTTCTACTTCAATTTTCAATATTTTCCCTCAGCTCTGTCCTACATGAACTCTGTCACAAAGATAGATCTGCCCATGACACCCAAACCCACTTTTAATTCTTTCAGTCATTCATCGCATGTTTGTTATCCTTGTATGATTCAGGGATTATGCAAGGTCCTAGGAAAAAGAGGAAACAAGAGAGACAGCATCTCTGTTCTTATACAGATTACTGTTTAGCAAGTTTTTTATTGCGAATTCAGCGAGGACATTAACATTTTTATATGTAAATACTTGGACCTGACTTTTTATAAATAATTTCTTTTAGTTCTTACAGCAACAATGTGAAATAAGACCTATTATTAGTTTTCCTTTTTCTTTTTCTTTTCTTTTTTTTGAGACGGAGTCTTGCTCTGTCGCCCAGGCTGGAGTGCAGTGGATCTCGGCTCACTGCAAGCTCCGCCTCCTGGGTTCATGCCATTCTCCTGCCTCAGCCTCCTGAGTAGCTGGGATTACAGGCACCCGCCACCACGCCCAGCTAATTTTTTTGTATTTTTAGTAGAGACGGGGTTTCACTGTGTTAGCCAGGATGGTCTTGATCTCGTGACCTCGTGATCCGCCCACCTTGGCCTCCCAAAGTGCTGGGATTACAGGCGTGAGCCACCACGCCTGGCCAGTTTTCCTATTTTATAAGAAAGGTAAGGCTCAAAGAAGTTATGTCTCTAAAAAAATCACACAGATATACAAGTCTTTTATCCTAGATCTATTTAACTGCAAAGTTTGAGTCCTTTTCCTTGTACCACATTGCTACTCTGAAGAGCTCATTTATTCATTCCAAGATAATGTGAATCTCTTAGCTAGGCTGAATGCAAATTCCATTGCTCCATCAAGGTGTAGCCTAAGACCTGACTCTCAGTAAGTTATTGCTTACTGCCATTATATTCTCTAAATGTTCTAAATTACCATAAACTCTTATTATACATACCATTCCTTTGTCATTAGATTAAACATTGTCCTGTTTTAACCTACTGTGTGTTTGTGCTTTGCAAACTCACATCACTTGTAGGCTCTTTGATAACTAGCAGAAGGCTGCAGATTTAACAGTAACCTATGTAGTGCCCACTATAGTTATACTTTTCACATAGCAGGTCCTAATTAAATATTTATTTTTGAATGTCAAGTTGCATTCTATTTCTGTATAATTTCATTTAGATTGTCTCTTTGCTGGTCAATTTTGATATGGCTTTGATCATACCAGTAATCCATAAGCATCTTGGAGGTTGGGATTCCATCTCTATTAACTTTGTGAGTCCAGTTCCTTTCACAGTGTCTGGCATATATGGCACATAATACATATCCATTAAGTGGATGAATGACTGAATTAAGGAATCTGACTTCTTCATGGTAACACAGGACATATATTTCTAGATCCTTCTCTGAATGTTAATCAAATACATCTTTGACATATATTTATATTGAACACAGCACTTGGTCATTTGTTAGCTAAATGACTTTAACTTTTTCTTTATCAGCTTTCATGCCTCAGTATTTCTTAGTTTCCATCAGTTCCATGTGTCTCTGACAAAGTTATCTCCCCTCTGCCTCTTTGATCATGTCACCCCATTCCTCAAAACCTTCCCTGATACACAAATCAAACCAAGTTCCAGAGTTTGAGCTTCAAGTTCTTTATCAGTTCTGGCCATTAAATAAATAAATAAAATAATAAAATAAAATAAAATTCTTGTCTCATTTATTGCTTTCCATTGCTTTAAACATCTTTCTTTAAGTAAAAATTAAGTTCTCCCCTACCATCTTTTAGTCGATATTTTGGAAAATACTATTCCAACTTGGGGACGACTTTTCTTCCAATAACAGCTAACTTAACTTTAAAAGAACAGCTTTAAGATTTTCTCTTCCATAAAGTCTTCTCTAATACTCTTCTAAGGAAAAAGAAAAAAACAAAGTCTCCCTATAGATTCCAAGATAATGTCTCAAATGGTTCACTAATCTGAGATGAGAGTGATCTCATACTTTAATTTTTGTTTTCTCCACTAATATGAGGCTTCCTGATTAAAGTTTATAGTTCTAAGTATGTCACTTCCACACTTAATAGACTTTGAAGACTTTCTGCTGCCCATCAACTTGGGCTGGCATTTAAATCCCCTGATGATCTAGTCCTAACTTATTCTTTATGTCTTACCTGCCATGCCGTTATCCATGCAAACTTTCCTTTGTACCCATTTAAGCTTTTTTTTACCTTTATCTCTTTGCTCTTACTAATCCCTCTGCCTACAATGGCCTCCTTGTCCCATGTCAGTAAGTTCAAATCCTGCCCATCCACTAACATCCATGCTAAAGGCCGTAACTGTGTCCTGTCAGAACACTCAATCTGAACATCCAAATGATTTCTTTGCACAATTTATTACTTTCTGCATTGTATACTTATGCATGAGGCCATGCCTACCTGCCTCCGTGCCTAGAATTCCTTTAGTTCCTTCCCATAGTGATTTCCTTATCCTTTGAATATTAGCTCAATCATAACTTCCTCAGAATCCTTCTAAGAATACCCAAATGGGTCAAATATCAGTACTATTGACAATCACAGTACCATGTATTTATTCATGGTACTTGTCACAGTTGCAATTTATGTTCATTTGTATGATTACTTCATTAATGTCTGCTTCTACTTCCATATCTTTTAGTGCTATAAAAGTCAGCACCATATATTTTCTGTCCCTTCAAAGTACATATTACTAAGTAAGCACAGAATTGGTATTATAGTAGATAACTAATGTTAGTTGAATAAATGAATGAACAACACATATTTCAGGTTGGAAATTTTTTTCTCAAAAAATTACATATCGTGAACTGTGAATTGATCAATACCAATAGCATTTCTGTGGTGGGATAGTGTTGTTGACATCGGTCCAAGTACAAGCTCTGCAGTCAGACTAGACTGCTTCAGTTGTTTCAGACATTGTTTCTGTGATATGGACGACAGGGCCTGAGTTAAGGTAAGGCAAACAAGTCACCTAGGGCCAGGGCACAAAATTTAAGTAGGTTCTTACTCACAGCTCTGCAAGTGACTCCCATCTTACATTTTGTACCCTAGGCAGCTACGTTTCTTCACCTTGGTCTTCAAGCCCTGATGGGCAATTTTCTTAATCTCTGTAAGCCTTGCTCTTCTCAATTATAAAACAAGGATCTTAAAAACTGCATCTATCTTGTAAGATTGTTTTGAATATTATATCAGATAATATGATACTTAGTGTATCTTGTGTAAAGGGCTTCTCAATAAGTATTAGATATTTTACTCACTGTCATCGAGCCTATGATAGGGTCCTGAGGTAATGAACTCTCAGGTAGGTTTAGATGGTGTGATAAAGCAGGGAAAATTTTGAAGTTATCTGGAGAAAGATGTCAGAAGGCACTCCATAGTTGGAAGAAATATATATGGACACCAGGTACAAGACAAAGAGGAGAAAATGCCAGAAACAAATTAATGCTTTTGCCTACTTTGCAATTTGCCTGGGCCTGAACAAAATATATTAACGATAAAAATAAAGTGGAAGGGTTTTTGTTTTTCTTTTAGCTCCAGTTATATACTTCAAAAAAAAAACTTATCCCACATCATTGCCAAATAATTTATTTTTAAGCTTGCTGGTCTCTGAAAATAAAATATATCTGTCTTGTGTTTGTCATGTATGGTGAACTTTCTACTCAGGGCTTACTTGTCTTCTTTATTATTGAAAAACTGTTGTTTTATTTTCAATCAATGGGTGTTCATCCAGTGTCACCTATTTACAATATCAATTATAAAACTCTTTAATGGCTAATAAACATGATTGTCTTGTTATTCTCAATAAAGGGAAGCTGTTCCAAGTCTTTGGCCAAATTAACAAAAATATCATGAAAATTTTTTGCCAATCTATGATGTCACAGAAGTTTTCTTTTTAAAACATCATACATTATCCTAATGCATACTTTTTATAATAATACAGATCACTTCTAAATGATTGTCTTTAAGATTTGCATAATTAGCTAAATTAACACCCTGAATTTGGTCATGATTGCCAAATTTGAAGGTCTTACTTTCATTTTCATTGAAGAAGTTTGAACTCATTTATTCTCTTTATAAAGCCTGAATGCATAATCAGTTTCCAATTTGAATAAGCAAACTGGCCGACAAAATTTTGCAAATTACTCTAATAAGTTCTCTTGGTATTTCCCACAGAAGGCTGAACAAATGTTGACAGAGGAACACACTGTTTGCTTATGTCTAATCTTCCCATCTGACTTATATAAATGTCACAAATGAATCTCAGACATGTGCCCAATATCAAATATCCATACGATGGCCCTGGAAAGAGGCAATCTACATTTATGGCTGATGAGAAGATGGATTTTTAGCTTGAAAGAAACTTATTACTGGGGAGAGGAAGTATAAATGAATGGAGAGAGCTATGAAGAGGTTGAGAGAATACAGCCAAGGTCATTTTCTCTTTAAATGCTGTGAAGTAGGCATTGTTATAAAGGCTTTGCATAACTCTTATGTAATCTTCACAGGCCCCTTAGTCCATGAGGAAATGGGATCTTAAAGTGGTCAGTCAACAGCTCAAGTTGCCACAGTGGCAGAACAACTGGCAGAGTGGGATTCGAACCCTGCTCTGTTATCCCTGAAATTTTGATTCTAATTACTAAATCATACATGTATTTAGATAAATTAATTTATTAACCATTATTCTTTTAAACTAGGTGTTATAAAACTATTAGCACTGTTAGAGTAGTAGATAATTGCATCTAAAATTTTAAATAAAATCCTCTTATAAGTAAAATCAATGATGGAATCTAATGCACTGAGGGGGAAATAGTGTGAAACCTCTAATTGTTCCTGAAGTGGGAATGGCCTAAATTTGTTAGAGATGCCTTTTATTCTTCTCTGTCAGGATAGAGCAACTCTTTTAAGATCAAGTAAAGATTTTAAAGCTGGTATTTGGGAAATTCAACAGACCCTTTTAGAAGAAGAGCCCTTTCATGATAGCATGCCAGGTAGAGGGCAATGGAGATGCAAAGAGGAAAATCAAGCACTAATAGGTGTTCTCAAGGTAGTTCCCTTTTGTAGTGCAAAGCAGGCCTTAGAAAGCAGGACCTTGCCCAGCAGGATGACCCCCTACCAGCCTGGTGACTGTGAGCATCAGGCCAATCATAGAAGAAGATACTTCAAATGATTTTACCTTGGGAGTGGAGGGAGAGAAGCTTTTGTACTAAAAGCCAGTGATTACACTGGGAGAGCAGTTAGAGGAGCCATTAAGATGTGTTGAAAACAATAACCCCAACAATTTCTTTATAAGAGAATATAAAGGCCACTGAAAAATAATCTTTTAGATGCAGCTTCTTAAAAACAATCAGTCAATCAAGTGATAAACATGTTTTGGTACCAAATTTCATTTATTATTGTGTTTCTCAAAAGGAATAATTAATTAGTATTGGCAAAATTAAGAAGACTTAGAAAGATATGTTATGGATGTAAGTGTGCATAGTTTTGTGTTTATAGTTACATTTGATAATACGTAACTGTACAAGAAAATCAGAGGGGAAAGGAATAGTAAGAAAATCGGATGAAGCTAGCTGTGGGTATGCTGTAAGAACCTGGGTATTTCTTTTGTTCTTTTACTGGATCATGCATTTACTCAGCAAATATTTATAGAATGCTACTTAGGTACATGGCACTCCTCTAGGCACTGGGGTAGTTTGGGTTGGTTGAACAAAGAAGAGACAAATGTCTGTTTTCATGTAAATTACAGCACAGGTTGGATGCGAGAGAGCAGTAAACATAATACTTAAGTAAATTATATACATTTTATGTAAAAGGGTGACAAAAGCTATTGGGCAAAATTATTCAGTAAAAAGGAGACTGGGAAATGCAGGGAAGGGGTGGAACATTTTTAAATAGGGTACTGTTTTGTTCATTAGGGAGATAACTACATTCTTGTTCGTCTTCCAGGCACATGACAGAATTGCTCTGTTGAAGTTTTGCAAGGTCAAATGACTCACTTTGTCTAATGGAACGGGAACGAACAATTTTTTTGTGTCACGTTTGAACAGATACCTTTGAGAAGTTTATGATTCTCCAAGTTCTCTTTCTCCTACTGTGGCACCTACTGACAAGATAAATGTGTAGAGGTTCCTGAGTCTAGGGGTAAGGAAACAAGAAGCAGTGCCCTGTGCAACCCTGATGTAATGTGAGCAAGAAATGCAAACCTGAAAATTCTGTTACTGTACTATTAGTGCCCATCCTGATAAGTATAGAAGGTCATAGTCAATTTTAAATAGTTGCTAAAATTGTGCTGCCAATTTGTTTCTTAGGCTGTAGTGAACAAGTTTCCTAGGACACTGTCTTATGCATTTCTTATTGTGAGATATTGAAAGCAAATTCATAGTTCAAAAACAAAGCAAGTCTACATGGGGACAAAATGATGCAGCTACATATTTTGTACAAAGCTCTGTGCTAGACTCTTGTCTTAAACTTCTAGGAATTTACAATCTAATTAGAGAGAAAGGACCCCAAATGATACTAAAATAAATAAATAAATGGAGCTTATGCCAGATGAATTGTATCGTCAGGAATCCAGAGACAAATTGATTTCTCAGAACTGGGGCATTTCTTCATGGAAAAGGTTGGAGTTAGACTCATCTCTTTCCTGGGATGCTGCTGTTACTTTAATATCCCAGTTGGATTTAGTGACATCTGCAAAGGCTCCATGTAGTTAATAAGATTAAAATCAAGTTTTAGTCTTCTGTCAACAGCTTGCTATCTAGCCTCTTCATTAAGGAAAGGGGGAAAAAAGTATCTGAAGTCAAAGTTGACTCAGTGTTGTATCATCAAGTCAGGGATGCAAAAGTGCCACATGTTGCTAGGCATGAGTAAACTGATTTTAAATATTCCTCACAATGAATAAGAGAATACGGCAAATCTGTTGGATGAGGAAAGACTGCAATGGCTTTTAGTTGTCATTAGTACCATGGTAAGTTTAAAAGAGAAAGTAAAGTGAACTGAAAGTAAAGATAACTAGAGAACATCCATCAAATGACAGTTATGAGAAAGATAAAGAGAAGCAACAAACAATATCTAATCTAATTATAGCTTTATCCACATGAATACCGTTCCATTTTGTTTTAATTTTGCCAAAAAAGCTAAAGTAATAATTTAAAAATACCTGTTAAAAAATGGAAAATGAAAGATTGAGTTTTTATTACAGATTATCCTATCCTCCCAAGAATGCAGTTCTGTCGCAAAATTTGGCCATACAAAACCTAGATGTATATCAATTAAAGAGGTTTCCCCACCATAAAGCACGGAAAATGAGGAGGACCTGTGAGCCAACTCATCTGGGAAAATATGCTTTCCATAATTAAATATAACATGCTGCCTCACCCCTGTGTATGTTCTTGACTAGACAGAGCAATTCACACGGTGAACTGCAGCGTCTTGGTGTTGAAGGAAGTCTACACAGTGGAGTCGAATATAATAACAAACTGAAACCTTAATTAGTTGAAGTAACAAAGGCAGTGGTACACAGTTATGCAAGCGTAGAGTTTGGCTGTTCATTTCTTCTTAAGAGAATCTACATCAGTTATCTTCAGAAACGTATTAAAGATTCCAGGTAGAGAATAGCATTGAAATCCTTCACTGGATTTCTTCTGGAAGTCTAGGATCATTCTGAGGATGCTTGGATGCCATTTCAGACTTTTCAGAATTTATACCATTTATTTCATTAGATATTTCAAATTCCTGCACCTTCTGCAGTGTTAATAGAATTATAGTATACAGAATGGAAAACAACAATTAAAAATTAGAGTTTCAGTGAGAACAACAGAGATAAAAACAGCAGAGTCAGGTATTTATTGAGTTTTACTCTGTGCCAGCCACTACGCTAGATGCTGAAGATATAGCAGTGAATATGACAGTCTCTGCCTTGATGGAGCTTGCAGTTTTTTCTGAGTGGCTGCTAACTTGATTCTAAGTTATCTCCTTAATTATTTCAGTATCTGAGTGGTGTTGCAATCTGCAGACAACTTGTTCTTTGTCCTTGTCACTATGGAAATAGTTATAATCGGATACTGTATCTACCCCTAGTCTTCTGTAATTCATTTTAACAATGTGCACACATGTTGATTTGGAGAAAAAGAATAACAATCTTTTGAAAAAATGGTGATCCTAGGGCTACGACCTTTTAAAAACTTGGGTCTCCATGAACCCATTAAGTTGGATACAAGACTCAACTTAGTATAATAGACCTTTTTCACTCCTGTTATTACTAGTACCTTAAAGTCTAGCTTTCTTACTGGAGTGATGTTTGGAGAGAGAAAGCTGCATCACTTGGTGAGTAAACTGAAATTATATAATAAATAGAATATGCACAAAATGGGGATGCATTGAAGGACTCTGATCATACTAATGGCATGATTGTAGCTGTACTTTAGGAAGATGAATGGATTAGAGTAGAAAAAAGGAGAAATACCAGTTAGAAAATTATTATCTTGGTTCATATGACAAATAATAAGTCCTTGGATTAGAGTATATATATAAAGGATATTAGGAAAAATGATTATGGCCAGTTTTTACCAAATTAATGTTAGAGATGAGCATTTTATGTATTCTCTAATGGTTAATAGTAAACTCTTTGGAGATTGACAGACCCATGCTCTATTTCTGATTCCTCCATTTCCTAGATGTGTGACCACTTAAATTATTTGAATAGCAGCCCCCTCACCTGCAAAATGGTGATAATAATACGCAAGTAACACAGGCACTGAACAGAAATATGATAATTTGTGTGAGAGAGTTTATGGTGCCTGGCACACATTATGTAGGCACTAAATGATAGCCCTTAGTAAAAGAAGTAATAGTGTTGTAGCAATATTCTAAAATGCTATATTCCTAGGTATAATCAATATCCAGGACTTGAAGAATGTGTTTAGTATATTTCATTCATTCATTCGGTAAATATTTACTTTCTGTATGTCCTCCTTGCTGGAGGCCCTGGACAGGCATTTACTTAACAAAACACTCCCAAATCCCTGACCTCTTGAAATGTATGTGCTAGTGGGAGCAGATAGTTTATAAACCACGGGTATAATAAATAATTAAAATATGTGGCATGTTAGAATATGATATGCACTATGAAAACAATAGAGCTGGGGAATGGTGATCGAGAGTACTGGGAAGTGCAGCCTATATACATGCCTGGTCAGAGTAGGCCTCGTTGAGAAGTCATGATTGACAAAAATGAGGAAAAGAGTCATGTGGTATTTGGATAAAGAATGCTGCAAGCAGAGAGAGTGTGAAGCACTGAGGTGGAGCATGTTTGGCTTATAACCAAGGCAGTAAGGAGGCTGGTGTACATGGAGGAGAGTAAGCAAGGGTTTTGAAAAAGGGTTGCAGATAAGTCTTGGAGATGCAGCATGGGTAGAAACCCACAGGGGTCCACGGACCATAATTTCAACTGTTGATCTTGTTTAATAAAACTGGATGAGAGCAGAGCTTAAATCCAGCTCTGCAGAGTGGTCTAAAGATTCAGAGAGCATTTCACAGAAGATTGTCAACTCTGTAGTATAAATTGTGGGCTAACCTTAAGCCGGTTCTTACACAGATCTGGAAAGCTTTCTCATAATTTTAATGGATTTTTGTTTATGTCATGGCCAGAAGATTTAGCCTCTGTCCATTGTCAACATTTATGTAGCAATGTTAAAAACATATTCACATACATTATAAAGTTAAATGAATGAAAAATAAAACAAAATTGGCCTATGTTTTCTCAGAAGTCATGCATTTTGGCTCAAAGCTGAAGGTTGGATTATTTTGTGAGGTTAGTCAGTAAGTTAAATTTAGAACTAGAATTTTGTGAATGAATCCCAAGGCTGTGTTGGAAGTCTTGAAGATGTGAGAGAAATGTGCCTGAAGTCTATTCATTTGCTAAAGTAGATGTCATTGCAAGGAAATGAAAAACAAAGAAAAAATGAATCCCCAGAAATTATGTAATCTGCGTTATACATGTTATCTATCATTTGTGCTTGTATTTCAAAGTCAAATTTCAATAATGCTTTAGTAACAATATACTAAAGGATTCCTTCATTTTTCAGTGTCATACTTTTTTAAAAAGAGGTTTTTAATATGAGAGGAAATTTTAACTAGTGAACTAATTATTTTAATTTGATATAATTTTTCTCATTTGCATTTTTGACAATTATTTATGACTATTGATAATTAGAGGTTGTATGTCTTTCAGAATACTGTAAACAGCAGCATAGACATTAGCTGAATCATTAATTTCAACTGAGGATGAAACATTTTATACTTTTGACCTTTTATAAAATATTCTTCTATTTGAAGCAAATTGCTTGTCAAAATCATAGCTATTTGCCCAATTGGTATCTGGCATCGCAAATGAGCTCTTGACTTATATATAGCACATTTAAATTCTAAGTATTTGGTGGTAACCATTGAAAATCATCCTCATAAATCAAACTTCATTGGCTTTGTATATTTTAAATGGAGTCATAGAGCACATTGTAAATAATAAATTGTTATTACATTCTAGTGAAAAATCCTGTGCTTTTCAGCATGCTTAATTATTACATCTTTTACCATAGCTAAAGGTGGAAAACTTACTTTATTCTCCAAAGACAAGACAATAAAATAGAGGCAGATAAAAGTAGATTCAAATTATTCAAAATAATATTATACAAATATAATATTAACAACTTAAAATGATCCAACAGTACCGTTTGCCTTTTCCTTAAACCAAATTTAATGTCTTTGGGGAAAGAAATGGTATATATATTTAGATGATTATTTTGATGTTTCATTGGTCCTTTTGATTTAGTTTGTTAGTTTAGTCAGTAGTGCTGTGAGCTGTGTCTAACTCTAACTATTAATGAATTTTCTTATTCATAGGTGAGTCTTGCATATCTGATGAATCCACCAGTAAAAGTACCACTGCTGAAATCACGCAAATATATTTTTTTAGACCTTATCAACCTTGGCATGGAATTAGATGAGCAAAAAGCTGAGTTGAATTGATGAAAAGAATCCCAAGTCATTAATTACTAATGATGGAGCTTGTAAAGTACAGCATCACTGGGGAAAGCAACTGACTTTCCTCATACACATTATATTTTTATCTGAATTTCAATACTGCTTAAATATGTACTTCATTACAGGGCACAACTAAAATAGAAGGGCACCTGCTAAGTCAGAGCCATAAAACAGATCTACAGCCTGCTGGCATGTGAAATTTCTCTAATTTATATTTTTTATGAAACTACCCTCACATTATGTGGTTGGCAGCATAAATAATAAAGCATGTTACTGAAGCAATTTTACATTTACTGTATTAGTAAGTAAATGCAATGGCCACTCTTATTCTCAAATAAAAACTACCCAGCCTTTTCATGAAAGATGTTTGCAATTTCCATTGGCCTGTATATGCAATAAAAAGCCATAACTCATCAAAATTTCAGCTATTTTCTCTTAAGATAGAAGAGCATTTTGCTTGAACATTGAACGTGATATTAAATATTCAAGAAACTGAATAGAGTTTAAGTACTAAGTAAAACTCTCAAATTCTTTTCAACTAGATTGAAAATCTGTTTGAACCAGGTAAAAACTGCCGCTAACCTGAAGAGGTGTTCAAAAACATCGTAAAGAGGTTGTACAATATGTTCAAAGTGCTATAGTTATTTGGGATTGATTTTTCTGAAAAGCTTGTTCCTCCTTTGAAATTGATTCATGATAACAGCCTCCATTTGGGTCAAACAGTATTTAACCGCTTGTAAATTTTAATTAAATGATTTGTCACTTTGAACACATAGTTTGTCATCTTGCAACTAAACGATGTGTCTTTATCAGAAAATTACTCAGAGGGAAGGCATTTATCTAATTTGTCACTTGGACACCCATTAAGATAATTTGGTTGTTGCATAGGGATAAAATTGAAATTTGTAAAATAGAGCGCACCACTTTTAGTAAGCAGGATCACATTGTAAACTATTAAAAAAACATAATTTGCTCTGTAATTAAATTCTAATAAGGACTTTACTTCTGGTCATTTTTCATTAACAGATGTTTAACTTTTTGAGAAAAGAAAATCTTCCAGCTGAATTTAGTATCTACAGGAAAATAGGGGGCTGCAAATGAAAAGCAATAAGCTGAATTAGGATTATCTTGGGGAAAAAGCCCTTTCATCAGAAGCACTTATATCATCTCAGACCCAGCTGAGACCTTGTCTGCAGCCTGGTTAATACCATCAGAGATAGCTTGGGACAGAGTGAAAGGGACAACTTATGAATTACTGAGGAAATAGCAGAGATCATAGATCTTTCTCTAAAGAAGGGTATATCTGGTGAAAATGTAGATATTAAAATACATTAATTTTTGTGTCCCCAAATTATTAAAAAGGTAGTATGTCTCTGAGAGGCTTAAGTCAAGCATGCTAAGTTAATTCAGTAATCACTGTATACAAAAGTAGAGTTGATCTTTTTCCACACTGAAATAGTGGTGACTATCCTTTGTTAATATAACCCAACAAAGAGCAGATATGTTAACCAAAATTACAAAATATGGACACATGTAATTTTATTTTTAAACTGAAAAGTAAAGTCTTTTTAGTCTTCCTACTCTCAGATAGTCCTGAAAGGCTTGGCCATATCAAATGTTTGTGTGAAATAAAGGGACTGTGGTCCTTATTGGTCATATCTTTTTTCCAACCAAGGTCTAAGTTTCTTGAAGTCAAGGGCCAAACATTAGATGTTAGTGTTCTTCTGTAGGGTCTATATACTCAGAATGCATCAGCATCACCTGGGCAGCTTTCGAAGCATTCTGAGGCCCAGACCCTATCTTTTTTTTTCCTACTATCGAAGTTATTTATTTTTTGCATGTTTATTACAGATACTGACTTCACAAAATGCAACCCTTTGTATGTGTTTTAGGTACTTTGTAGCTTAAGGAGTGGTCATTGATAATATGCCTCTCGATGTTGATGTTTTATGTGAATGACATGAAACGCTATTAGGCTAGGACATTCCTAAAAGAGTTTTCATAAAACACTAATATAAACAAAGAAAATTTAGCATCCTCCTTCTTTAATGATATTTATGAATTATATACCTGTTTTTAGAGAGAATGTAACTTAAGGATATATCTCTTCAATGTATGTTCAGACTTCATATGACTACTGCTACAGAGAGAGTTTTTGAGAGATGAGTGCTTTTACTGCCTGATCCTTGTCAATTTTATGTGCAGGTTCAACTGTTGTGTAGTAGGGCCAGGCCTTGGTATTTTTGCATTCTATTTTGCAGCCAGGGTTAAGAAGCATTGAACTAACACAGGCAGTGTTCAAACAATGTGTAACAAAAGGTGCAAATGTCATACAAGTTGCGAGAAGGATCTGCTTCTGTTAGAAGAACCAGCTATAGTCATTCAGATTTAAAATTCAACATCCTGAATTTCTTTCTAACTGATATACTTTAACTTTCCCTCACGCTACCACTACCAACCCACCCAGCTGTTTATTTTTCTTTGATTTCCCTTTTGCTTCTCTCCTCATTTTGTTTAACATATTCAGGCACATTTACTAATTGCTATTGCTAACAACTTCCCAGCTAATGCTGTTTTCTGTCTATCAGGTATCTTTTTATTCCATTCATAAATGCTGGAAAAATCTTTATAAAACACAATTCTCATCAAGTTATATTCCTGCTCAAGAATCAATTCCTACACAGCTTACTAGCTATATTAATGTGATATTACTATTCCATTGTCTTTATTAACGTAAGAAGACTCTTGCACAATAAATAAATTAAATATATTGTTCATTACAGGAACACATCAGCTCTTCAGTAAAACATCAATGGTTTATGTCCTAAGACTTTTTGAACTCCTCATCTCGAAATCCTCAAAATATTCTCTTGCTATGTTCACCAATCTTAAATTATTATATTGTGATTCTTAACTAATTCTAACCAAGTCCCACATTTAAAGATGCACCTTGGCTCACGCCTGTAATCCCAGCACTTTGAGAGGCCTTGGCGGCCAGATCACCTGAGGTTGGGAGTTCAAAACTAGCCTGGCCGACATGGTGAAACCCCATCTCTACTAAAAATACAAAAATCAGCCAGGTGTGGTAACACCTGCCTGTAGTCCCAGTTACTCAGGAGGCTGAGGCCAGAGAATCATTTGAACCCAGGAAGCAGAAGATGCAGTAAGCCACAGGACTCCAGCCTGGGCGACAGAGTGAGACTCTGTCTAAAACAAAACAAAACAAAACAACAACAACAAAAAAAAAGACGTACTTTTAATCAAATGTTAGGTGCTCAATAAAATCTGACCTTAACTTCCCTGCCCAAAACAATACCAAATCAGTTAAGGCAGTCTCCTATGTTACCCAGAAAAGCCACAGACTCAGCACTGTCTTGATCAACAGATTGTGTCAGTGACGTTTGAGGAGCCAGTATTCCACAGTCCCTTCTTCACAACAGAACAACGTCCCGGTATTCCTTCTCAGTCTGGCATTCCTGACCTTCCAGAGGCTGAACCCAGCTGTCTTTCTTATCTTATTCTCTATTCTTCCCTTTTACCTCCCCTGTGTTCCAGACTTTCTGGGCAAACTTCTAATCTCTGCAGTCATCAAAAGTCTTCTGATCACATGTTGTTCTCTCATACTGAAATCCCCTTTCAGTTTAGTTTTCACTAGAACCAACATTTATGGGAAATATACAACTAAACATTTGAGATTGGATGATCTCTACGATCTCTTTGAGTCTTTTTACTTTAAGATCTATCATTGAGTCTGTACAGGCAGTGATAGAAATAGTAAGAGATGGAAGGGATATTGGCTAACATAATGGAACGGTATTGATTGAAATAGAAATATGTCTACTACAAAATTGTCTGACTGGCTATCATTTTTTCCTAATTTGGAGATATTTACAAACTTGAATTTTCACTTGTACCTTTCTTCCACTATTTATTGATAGGCCTGCCTAAATACAGCCTTACTGAAATCTCGATATATGAACTTTTTGATTCTCCACCCTCCAGGATCATGATTTTGGTGTAAAAGATGAAATTCAATTGGGCTACTGGGACTTGTGTCTCATAAAGACATATTGATTTTTTCTTAGTACTCCAAGATATTTTAGGGACTTGAAAATTGGAAGCAACTTGATTTATCTACAGCTCCATTATCTTTCCAGGCACTGGAACCAGCTGACTGATCTATGGAAGTTCCCTTGGTCTCCATTTGTTTAGAAAAGGTGATGCATCAGAAACCTTTCCTTACACTGTATGATAGATGGGTGGTGGGAAACAAAATCTACTTTTGCTCCATTCTGATACATGAGAAGAGAGTATGTTTATATTCTCTCAGTGAGAATTCAGACCCAGGTATCACTTAGACTTCCATTCAATAAAGTAAAAAGAAATTATAAAACATAAATAGGCAGAAATAAAATTAAAAGTATACATATAAAATATTATATAAAACGTAAATATACAATAATTGGATGTTCTAACACTGAAAAATTAAAAGATTAAAGATGGGATAAAGTTAACTATGAAACAATGGGACAGAAAAAAGTGAACCATGAGAGAAATTCAGAGCGAAAGTGATAAAATAATTTTAAAAATGTATGTATCTGAATATATGTGTAGTTAAGAAAAACAGAGGGTAGTTTTAAAGGCTTTAGCACTTGTCTAAAAGAAATTTCACCAGAAGAAAATGGAATAACAGGAAAGTAATACCTGATAAGATAACAGTTGAGACTTTCCCAGAATTAAACATATAAGTACTAAGATTGAAAGTGCACATTCAATACCAGTCAGAATAAATGAAATTAAATACTTACATATTTTATAACATTGTAATGAACTTGCAAAGAAGTATAAGAAGAAGATCTTAAAAGCTAACAGAAATAGGGCATGGATTACCTAAAAGGGAACAACAATTAGAATGACAGCAAATTTCTCATTAGCAACTAGTGGATGTCAGAAGATAATGAAATTATAGCTTCAAAGTACTGAGGGAAAAATCAACCAGTGAACCTGTCAACCCAGAATTCTACATATCATAAAACAACTGGGAGTAAAAGAGTTAACACTATACCTGCAACTTGATCTTTTTTATGGAGGCCATCCAGGGAAAATGAATGACCCTCGGTGTACTTCCTTATAACCATGCCAAAGACCTTCAACAGACCTCTATGCAGTATAAAAATAGTATTTACTACAGATAGGGAGTTTTTATTGAGAACATATATTTTGTAGGATATATTTGTTGTAACTAGATTTCTTATTTTCAATGAACCTGGACCTTATGGATGTACGGGGCATGGCTTTTTGGAGAATGGGGAGCAGTGGGTGGTAGTCATCAAAATATTCCCTTATCCCTGTAATTATAAGAGTATAAAACAAAAGAGCTCCAAATTCCTAATGGCTTCCTTTGTGACTAGTGTGCATATATTGCTTAATACTATTCTGTGTGTCAGAAATGAAAACACATCCGAAAGTAAGAAAAAAAAATTTTGGAAGCTGCATTTGGTCTTTAGTTCCTGCTGGAAATAGATGTCTTGCCTGAGCCTGCTGCTTGCCTGTACCTTTTGAATCATTAATAAAGTTTGGCACTGGGTAAGATCTATAATGTGCAGAAGTGCTCTTTGACTGTTCAACCCATTGGGTTAACACAACTATCATTCAAAAATCCTGGACAAATTTCCAGGCATACCTAGGGTAAGAAAGTTTGTCACCCACAGACTTGCACTGAAAGAAACTAAAAATATTTATTAACAGAAAGAAAAGTGAACCCAGAGGGAAGGTGAAAGAAACAATGGAGAACACAGAAAGTGGTTTATTTTCATAAAGTTAATTAACCATGGAATAAATAAAGAAAACAGGAAAATGTGTGTGTGTGTGTGTGTGTGTGTGTGATTAAAACGGCAAAATATAAATTTAAAACAGCATGAGGAAGACTGTGTCTATGTGTGACAATGAGAGAAGAAATTGTTCAGGGCCAGGAGGGGTGGCTCACGCCTGTAATACCAGCACTTTTGGGAGGTCGAGGTGGGTGGATCATTTGAGGTCAGGAGTTCGAGATGAGCCTGGCCAACATGGCAAAACCCCATCTCTACTAACAATACACACACACACACACACACACACACACACACACACACACACAATTAGCCAGGCGTGGTGGCAGGTGCCTATAATCCCAGCTACTTGGGAGGCTGAGGCAGGAAAATTGCTTGAATATGGTAGGCAGAGGTTGCAGTGAGCCAAATTGTACCATTGTACCATTGCACTCAAGCCTGGGTGGTGGAGCGAGACTCTATCTCAAAAAAAAAAAAAAAAAAAAACAAAAAAACAAAACCAGAATAAATAAACCATACTAGGTTTTCCATCTTGCTTGGGAAGAGGTTACTGAATATACTTATTTAAACTTTGTTAGAAATATTTGTAGTTAACATTGCATGCTCAAACGTAAGATAAACCACTAAAAGAACAGAAATATGAAATCTATAGCTTCCACATTAACAGAGAAAATATTTGAAATTAAAAGTTAGGAATTCAACAAGGGTCAGGTAAGAAATAAACAGAAAAGAACATGTAAAATTTAAAAACACAGCATCTATCTTAAAATACATATTCTTTATGGGTACATATAAACATGGTTAGAAAAAATACAACCTAAATTCAGGATGGGAGGGTGTAGGAGACTAGGATAATGGGGACTTAAACTCTACTAGAAAAAGAGACTGGAAGCAAATAATAGCAAACATTAACATTCATTAAGCCTGATTGGTGCAGATATGCATTTTACTATATTATTCATGGGCTTCTCTGAATAATTGAATAATATGCTTTTTAAAAAATGAAAGTATATTATTTTCCATATATGGCTATTGAGTATTTGAAAAATGTGATTTAAACCCCATTGAATAATAGGCACTTCTTCAAATAAGTTAAAAGGATATTTGCAAAATATTCAAAGTTTATGTCACAAAAGATATCTCTTCCAAATAAGAAGGAAATATAAAGAATTAGTTATGTTAATCTGAGATTTTTGTGATAATAAAACATACTTGATATATTTGTACGCTAACAATATGTAACTGTAATTTTTTTCATGTGTGCAATAAATGTTATTAATAATATTTTCCCATTTAAAATTTGGTCAAAATTATAGAAGTTAAAACAACAACAAAAGCCATAGCCACAATTTTAGCATATCTGAGTACAGTGTTCATTTAAAAGATTTAGAAGTAGGATGAGAGATTTCACACATATTTGCTTAAGCCAGAATAAAACATTCCTAAGAAGGTCGTTAGGAAAAAACATTATTCTTTATTGGATTAAGGAACTAATCTCAGCTTAAAATTTAGGTCAATTAACAGCTTATATTCCTTCTTTCTCTCTGGCAAAAATTTATTATCTAACTTACTTAATTTATATTCTAATAATTTAATGCTAAATTTTATTCTCATTTTTTTCTAGAGACTATAATATCTTCAATAATTATTTATTTCATTGATGTTCACTTGTATAAAGCATTTAGCCTTGATACACAAAACTTAACTTAGACTCCTATCATAGTAACATGTGTTTGGAGTTTATAAACTTGATTTATCTTTTGAGAATTCTGCCTAGAGATTGTGGTAAGATGGTTTTCTGATGTGGGTTTTTTCTTCCTTCTACATTTTTCTTTAAAGAACACTTAAATACTCTTAATATGTGTCATTTTTTAAAAATAAAATTAATCTCATCAATCTTTCCTGATATCAACCTGGTTTATCTAAAGAAAATATGAGTTATCTGATCATATTATAACTAAACAGCAGGAAAGAAAGAATTTGAAGACCCCACTGAAGCTTTAAAAGATTGTAGAATTATTTCTTGACTTGCATCTTTCCTTTCTACCTTCAACTGTCATTTTTGACAACAAAAATTAAAATCAATAAAATAAGCAATATATGACTATTCACATTTTATCTGGTGTGTAAATAATGTAACCTTTTCCAAAGAGAGGTCTGGCCTTTGACCTTGGCTTCTGGGAGGTAATCTTGAAGTCCTGGAGTGTGATGCTTAATAAGATAATCTTTGTTTGCCTGGGGGCCTTAGGCCAGCCAGATAGTAACGTGTGGGGTAGGAGCTTTAAGCCACAACAACCATGTGATTTAGGCTGTGGGCTTCAAGTCACAGGGTATCAGCTGGACCTCCTGAGGGTCTGAAAACAGATCAGCCATTTAGGTGACCAACTGTGTCTACATGATGGAGCCTCAATAAAGGCTGTGGACACTGAGGTTCGGGAGAGCTTCCCTCATCTGGCAATACTCCAAGAATGTTGTTACATATTAATACTGGGACTACATGTTATATATTAATACTGGGACCACTATGTAGACAATGGAAGCTCCATGTTTGCAACTTTCCTGGACTCTGCCCATCTTCTTTTGGCTGATTTTAATGTGTACTGTTTAGCTGCAATAAAGCATAACCAGGAGTACAACAGATTTCAATTTCTGTGAGTCCTTCTAGCAAATTGCCAAAACTGAAGATGGCTTTGGGAACATCCAAAGTTATACCAGGTAAAATAAAAATATTAAGGCATGCAATTATAAGTTTATATTTCTTACCATAGCTTGTCTACAAAGGAAAAGTATTGTTGATTATACACTTAATATGTACATGGAGAAGAATATTGTCAACAAATCAATTTTAATTCTAATCAAGTATTTTGATGAATATTCCACATATTTAAAAATTGCTTAACCAGTGCAGTTTAAAGTGTTTTTAAAAAGGCAACCTTGCTTAATATTGGTAATACAAGGTAACTGGCAGATATTTCAAAGACTACTTTTATATGTGTTTTACCAGTAATTTTGTTGACTTTCACTGGAAATCCACCTTTATGGCAGAAACTCTGGCAGATGCTTTTGTTCAGCAGGGTTTTTTTTGATAACTATGTATGAAAAGCTATTTTTTCACCTTTCACAGGGACTGGTCAAAGGCTGACGTTTGCTTTTGGTGACATTGCATTAATTGTCTCCCATGAGACTGCTAGGGTGCTGAAGGCAAGTTAACATTTCTTGACTCTCACCTCCTCCTGAGTCCATGATTCTTGCCCTCCATTAGTACTGTTTATGCCTGCAGCATGGCTGCCTGCTACCTTCTCTGCTTTGCTGGGACTTCCTCTTTCACCTTTTACTTAGTCATGTGTACTGAATTGATGAGAATAAGTGTCCAGTTGCTTTAGTTTAGTTAGCTGTGGTTGATGTTAGATGGGCAGTGGGGTGCTTTAAAGAAAGAGTGGGTTTGTAGAAGGTAAATCTCTTGCTTGAAACTCCGTGGCCCTTTTGTTTGAGGCCTTATGTTCACTTAGTAGATTATTGCTGCTTCATTATAGTTGTTTTCTGTGTACATTTTGGCCTTTGATCTTACAAAGATCAAATTACTTACAAAGAGACTGAGCAGATATCTTAATAGTCAGACAACAATGCTTCACTCTTGGATTTTTAAAAAAAAAAATACATAAAGCTTAAAACCTGTAGGAAGCCTGAGGGAATGAGGAATAAAAAAATGCTGTGATCTTGTACTTTTCTTGTATTACTTTATCAGTGTTTTCTTTCCCAATAAGCCAAAGATTGTCTCTGTTTAATTGTTTTTTCATAGATGAATGTATATCTTTTTCCCAAGATGAATATATGTCTTTCTCTTTTGTCCCATTTTACTTTGCTCTGTAGGAAATGACACTCCCTCATACCATTGATTTTGCTATTAAAAGACACAGTTACTGGTGTGTCTGTGTACACATGTGTATCGAATAAAAATACTAGGACTGTTCTAAAATAGGTAAATGCTAAACATAGTATTCTCTTGATTAAAATCCTTCAAAATCCCCAATAGCAAGTGCAAAACTTCAGATCCTTGGCATGAAATTTAAGGCATTTTATGGTCTGGCACAGACCCGCTTTTCCAGCCTCATGAGAAGCAGTTCACAGTCACAATAATTATTTGTGAATACACTGACACTCTCCACTATCATACAAAACAACATTTTTTGTAGTTGATAGGTTAAGACCTTGAAAAGGATTTTTCTTTCCTTTGGCCTTCTTAGTGGCCGTCTCTTTCTCCATTGCCCACAACATCTTGATATTTTTATTTGGACCCTGCACTCTTCTGTTCTTAGTTTGGGTAGGAATGGTCCCCTGCCTGACTTAACACATCAGCATATCCTATTCCTCTGGACATAGTAAATAGTTAATGAACTAAATTTAGGTCACAGAATGAAAGCAAGTCCCACAATATCTGTAGGAGAATCTAGAAGCAATACTCTTCCCCTCTTGCTTTCCCCCAATGGTACTGTGCCAGAATGGGAGGCCTGTAACTGGGTTATTATTTTGCTACTATGGAGACAGAATTAGAGTTTTGGTGTGTTAGTAGTGGTGCCTGAGATGAAGCTGATACCATGGATGATAGATAGGGAAAAAAAAATCTTTCAGTGACACATAGAGTGACACTGTATGAGCAGTTAGATCAAACCTCACCTGAATCCAGTGCCTCTGGTCTATGCAGTTACACAGACAATATATTCCTTTTCTTAGGCCATTTTAAGATTTCATCTGACACTTAAGTGTATAGTTATTACAGTCTCACAAACCACTGCTTAAAATTTATACAATGTGCAACATAAGTTACTTTATTAATAAAATGTTTTTTTCCATATGAAATAGGCAGAAATGAACATTTCACTTTACCATTACAGAAATAGCATAAAGAACCTCACCAGTCTTTATGAATTTACAAATCTTAACTTATCCCAAGGGCTGATTAGCTGTGCTCATCAGTCGACGCAGCACTAATGTTTTTCATTGTGCTTTTTTGGCGGCCTGGATTCGTTTCCTACTGACTTATTCTTGTCTATTCCTTGCTTCACCTGCTGCATCTCTCTTACTCACTTATGCACTACAGCAATACCCTGACAGGGGACTGAAAAAACAAATCAGAAAACCAGCATCCCATTTTAGCTGGTTGGATATAATCCAAATAAATTCACTATCCAGTAGAATCAATCAGTAGAAAAAAGTCATTATAAAAGTATGTCCCACTTGCTTGTTTTCTCTTCCGGACAGGCTAAATATTTAATAGGAATCTAGGTGTTATTTATTCATTTCTATTAGGTCCTTCTGACACCCAATCCTACATTGTGATGGGCAATTAAGGTAAATATACGCTTAAGGGAGAAAACTTTGCTTCTGGGAAACTGTTTTCGCACCAATCCCAGTCTAATTGAGTTATGGCTTAAACATCTCTTGCATAAAATCTTTATTTATAGGTATTAGATCTACTTTAAACTATTTGTATTCTCTCATTCATGAGAAAATCAGAGCTTCTGGTTTGTAGGGAATCTTTTTTCCCTGCCAATATGCAATTAATATTGTTATCGATTTTGTTATCTACTGTGGTGTTGTTGCTTATTAAAGTTTCTTAGTAGTTCCGTGATTGCTTGCCTGTAAATAAATCACAACTACACAATTGTTTAGCATGCTTTAAGTACTTGCACTTCTTTTATGTGATTCATATAAATTTTACTTGGTTATGAAATTTTCATGGGAGGGCTCACTTGTAAATATTTTAAGGCTTTTGAAGCAGTGGAAATTGGATAATTAGTATAGCCTGAAAACAATGAAGTTGATAAATTACATTTCAACCAACCCATGTAATTACAGTGGCCATATTTCTCTAACTCCTGATAACAATAGTAATAATAATAGCCAATATCTACTGAATGTTTACTATGTGCCAGACATTGTTGTATGTTCTTTACTTGGAGAAATTCATTAAAGCCTCAAAACAATCCTGTGAATCTGGCAATATTATTTTCCCAATTTTGGAGACAAAGAAACTAAGGCCATGGACGTTAAGGAGCTTGCTTAAGGTTTTAGGGTAATAAGTAACTAATAAGGAAAATTGCAAGTCCCAACCCTCTTACTTTGTTCTGTCCACTACCCTTCCTCCTTTCCTCTTTCTCCTTTTCTCTATCTCTCTTCCTTAGATAGCATTTATAATCTTCCAAGATTCTCTATGATTTGTTTATTAATTGTGTTTATTGTTTGTCCCCTTCTGCTAGAAAGGGAGCTCCATGAGGGCATGGATCTTTGTACTCCAAATTTGGAACAGTGATGGCATACAGTAGATAAGCAATTCATATTTACTGAGTTAATGAATGAAGTTGTAGTATTAATATTAAAACACATGATGTCTGTTGTCAGAGACCTTACTTCTATCTATACCACTATGCTGACTCAGAATCCACTGACAGAAAAGTGGAATTGTGCCCTTTGAGAAACAAGAGATATTTACAATAATAACTTATTTTACAAATCTTGGCCACACTAAGAATTATGCTTAATACCTTACATACCTAATCTTTAATTCTGTCAAAGAACCCTGAAAAATAGGAATACTTATTCCTAGTATATAATTAATAAAACAGGGGCTCAGAGAGGTGAAATAACTCACCTAAAAATTATATAACTAGTAAAGATTGGGTACTGAGTCTGATCTGCACTTTTCACATCCAAATTGTAGTCTGATTCTATTAAATGTTAGTTCCTTTATTTTATATAATAGCTAATGCTTATTAAAAGATAAGCATTTTTATAAATGTTTTGCATGCTTATTTCATATAATGATTTCATTTCATAACTCCATTATTAAGCCTTTACCAGGCAAGGAAATGGATGTATCTCTTGCTTGAGGTCACATAGCTGGTCAGTGGGAAAAGCATTTTGGAAAGCTTAGGCCCAGGCCTTTCCATGCTATCTTTTCCTGCCTTCCTCCAGAAGCTCCCCACAACTTGGCATAGTGGGTGCTCAATTGGTGCTCACCTATTTGAAGGAACTGAAAAAAAAAACTGATAGGTTTAGCTTCTATAGACAAACACTTTTAAAAACTGTGATCTTTTCTCTCTACCATAACCATTCTCTTTACACAATGATTTTTCAAGACCTAAATTGTTTAGAGTACTGCCACCCTTCTGTTGGCTTTGTCCACATATATTGAGTATATATACGTGTGAATCTCTTTGCTTCCTCATATTTTCCCCTTTAAAACGGCAACAATGGTAACACTGAACCATACCTATTGAATATTAAAATAAAACAAAATTCTTGAGCCAATTGGTGTTCTTTGGAGCATGATTTTTATACGAATAGTCTAGATTTTTCCACCAATTAAGATTTTAGTAAGTATTGCATATTCATTGTATGTTCTTTCAAAACACAACCACTTTGTAAATATTTTTGTTAACAGATGATATAGAATCTTTGGCACTGATTTTCTTAGTCTTTCATTTTATTTAAGCATTTTTTGAGGTGCTATTTTTAAAATATGAACTTTTAGTTTAGTTATTTACTTCCTTTATTTCTATTGTTTGCCTGGTGCAGAAATGCTTTTTAGTCACTTTTTAGGCTAAAGTTACATTCATGCCTTTGGTTTAAAATGTATTAATTTTCCTTTGTTTCTCCCTTTTTTATTCTCTGAGCTTTATTTTTCTCACTTTCTCTGTACTTTAGTTTTTGGAAACTAGCCTAATTCTAAAGACCAGGAGCCCAATTTCTACAGCAAATCACAAACCACTGAGCTTTGGGAGTAATGTACCATCTCATTACCAGCACTAGGTCTTTTGATATTGATGAAACACTGAAACAAGAGCAATGAAGATTAAACCCCTGCTTATTTTTTAAAGCACTGTTAACTCCTCATACTGATACCTCTCTACACTAAATAGTCAAAGACAGAAACAAAACCCACACCACCAATAGCTATTCATCTTTGTTGTTGCCAAAGCAGAACTATATTAATATTAAAGAACTAGCTTTGGAAATAGTGACAAAAAGGTATTTTGGGCTGAGTTGATGAGAAACATCTAGCATGTATAGAATTTTTTTTAACATAGCAGGCAAAAAAAGCACCTGCCACAGATAATCTTTCTAAACAAAGTAGAACAAACTGTTAGGTGGTGGAAAATAGTGAAGAAATATGTTTACCCGGCTCACAAAATCTTTTTTGATTAAAAAATATACATACACTTGTCAAGAAAGCAATCACCATTTTAAACAAACCCCAGCATCAAATGATATGACTAAGATAATTTTTATGCTCTTTTCCATTTTTAATTCTCATTTATTTAATCTTCCATAAGAATTCATGTCATTAGAGGATTTTGACATTGTTTATTATGGAATAACAATGTTTTGATATTTATTACTTTTAAAAGCCGCAAAATAGCAAGTCTTCAAACCGCGTAAGGCAAATAGAAGTTATTTTTATTAGGTTTATCTCAATGCCTGAGTCACATATGTACTTCCCTTAGTTCCTGTGGGCCTAAGTGTTATTAATTCATTAGCATCAAATGTGCATTAATTCAGCAAATAATTGACAGCTAACTATATACTGCCTGTATTAGGTGCTGGGGACAAAGTCATGGATGAAGCACTAACGATGAAATTTACATTTTAGTTGAGGAGGGCAAAGACAATTAAAATACAATAATTATTCTATATAAGTGAGATAAAGAAATGAATTAATCATTAATCAGGGATGGGAAATTAAGAGTGGTAGGTGGGATGCAGCTGGAAAGCGGATAGTCAGGATAGGGCACACCCATTGGGGACATCTTTGCAAAGACTTGGAGAAGTCAGTGAGAGGCCATGTGGATATTTGGGGGAAGTTATGTTGCAGACAGGGAAACAGCCAGTATATTTAAGGCAACAAGACAGAGTCCACCAGGCATTGCATTTTCTAGGAATAGCACAAAGCCCAGTTTGATTGAAGAAGAGTGGCAAACAGAAAAAAAAAATAGAAAATGAAGGCAGAAATATGACGGTATGAGACCATGTAGGGTTTTGTAGACTGTTTTACTCTAAGTGAAAGGGGGAACATCTGGAGAGCTCTGAGGAAAGGAATGACATAATATAAGTTATATTTTAAAAGTTAGGAATAGAGTGTATGAGGGCAAGCACAGTAACATGGGGCCCATTTAGGAAATAATGGAATAATTCATAATAGAGATGATGGTGTGAGTATTACAGGTTAAGCTACAATGACTGAACTGCACTCCAATGAGGCATTTGTGTGTGTATGTACATGTGCATGTATGTGTATGTAGATCTATCCATACAAAGGTATCAAACTTTTAAGTCATATGTGGCTCATAGGTTTTATCTTCAATGCCAACTCTTATCCACTGGTAGTGGCTGCCAGGTGTGCCCTAATGAGAGTCTAATGTCATGTTCAGGCTCAGAGAGAAAGAAAGAGCCCCATAATTATGAAAGGCAGCATTGCAGCAGTGATGTCAGGTGTGTTCCATCTCTGTTAAAAGGCAACTGTCAGTAGTTGATTTTAAGTAGCTAAGACTTTCTGGCTTTTGGCTTCAAAACACATAAAATAAATGAAAATGCCTAGCATTTAACAGTAATTTCTATAATAGCAGTATCTAAAAAGGTTTTTAAAATGTCATTTTCACTGAGGATTTTTTTTCACCTAGATTCCTATTCCTTAGAAGCAAAGAGTGAAAAATGTATAGATTATTTTCTGTATTCTCTGGAAAATAACTGGTATGCCCTTGAGGAGTATAAATTTGAAAACCATATGGGTTTTCTAGGTAAACTCATCAATATTACCATATTCTACTTATTTTACTTAATCTACTATGGATTTTAGGCCTTGATTGAAAACTAGTTTGCAAATATCAGCTTTTCATTCTATTACAGCTTTTCAAATAGGCTTTCTCTACACCAATTTTCATGGTGATTTCGAACACTCTAAAAGTGACTACATTCAGGCACATGAATAAAATACCAGCTGGATGTTAACCTCTGGTATGATTGGAATATTATTCACCTTCATGCAAGACTTTTTTTTTTCATCTCCAGGGTCAACTAATTTTATTTATTGTTATTGCCTGTAACCCTTAAATATATAAGAATCTCCATATGCATCTATATAAAACAAAGCCTTGAAAGTGTTCCTTCAAAATAGTGATCATTTGCATTTAGTTGGCAGTACAAATTTATCTTTCTGTATAATGCTTCTACATCTTTAAAAAGCCAATATCATAAATGAGATTATCCCCTTAGAAAACAATCTCAGACTAGAATAAATCAAGATATGGGAAACTTACAAATAGCCTTTAATTTAACGAATATTACCAGAAAGTGTGTGCAACTGAAAAGTTCTAAGACAATAATTTATTGCTGAATTCGCAATGTAGGTTTTCCTTTTAAAAATGTATTATCAGCCTCTATCCAATAGTATTAATAATCTTCCATGCTTTTGTGGCTGAGCAAATGCATATAAGATCATATAAATCTAAGTGTTCCAGTCTAACTCCTTCTTTGCAGGGATGAAGAAACTGAGGCCCACAGAAGGTGGGTGATACCTGCAAAATCACAGTGAGTAAAATGCAAATACAAGAAAGTACTTCCAACTCACTAAGAGCTCTTTGTGATACTACACTGATTTGGTTCAAATTTTTCCTTATACAAAACTCTGTCTACAACTTCCATGAGAAACTGAATAGAATATAATAAACCTCTAATATTTGAAGATGATAATTTGAGGTTTTTTTGGCTAATAAAAACATCTACAGAGTGTTTTCTAACAGCAGACACAAAAGTTACTAAATAAATAATTGTCCCCAAGCTTGAGGGTATTCCCATGAGATGATTGACCTTCATAATTTTAGTCTTTGTTTAGTTTAGATAATTGTGTGTGTGAGGAGGTAAAGAAAGGAGGAAAGGCAAATTCACCCTATTTCTTATGCTCCTCTCCTTTGGCCTTATTTTTTTTTATCATAAAACTTTATTGGATTGTTTTAACTTTTCAAAAATAGACTTTACTTTTTAGAAAAGCTTTAGATTTGCAACAAAAATTGAATGAAAGACATAGAACTTCCCATATACCCCCTTATCCCCTATGCATAGAATCCCCGATTATCAACATCCCCACCAGAGTGGTACATTTGTTACAATTGATGAATCTGCACTGACACATTATTATCTCCCAGAGTCTCCAGTTTATATTAGGGTTCGCTCTTGGTATTGCACACTATCTGGGTTTGGACAAGTGCTTAATGATAAGTTTCTAGCATTATAGTCTCATCCACAGTATTTTCATTGTCCCCAAATTCTCTGTGCTCTGCCTATTCATCTCTCCCTTTCCCCAACCCTTGGCAAACACTGACCTTTTTACTGTCTCCATAGTTTTGCCTTTTCTAGAATGACATATAGTAGGAATTACATAGTAGGTAGCCTTTTCAGACTGTCTTCTTTCACTTAATAATGTGCAATTAACCATCCTGTATGTCTTTCCATGGCTTTATAGCATATTTCTTTTTAGTGCTGAATAATATTCCACCGTCTTTATATGCCTTAGTTTATTTATTCATTCACCTACTGAAAGACATCTTGGTTGCTTCCAAGTTTTTGCAATTATGAATAAAGCTACTATAAACATATGTGTGAAGAATTTTGTGCAGACATAATTTTTCAACTCCTTAAGGTAAATACCAAGGAGTGCAAATTTCTGGATCATATGTTTAGTTTTACAAGAAATTGCCAAACTGTCTTCCAAAGTGGCTGTACAATTTTGCATGTCTACCAGGAATGAATAAGAGTTCCAGGAATGAATAAGAGTTCCTGTTGCTTCACATTCTCTTCAGCATTTGGTGTTGTCAGTGTTCTAGATTTCGGCCATTCTAGTAAGTGTGTAGTGGTATCTCACTGTTGCTTTAAGTTGAATTTCCCTGATGCCATATGATGTGGAACATCTTTTCACATGATTATTTGACATGGTATATTTTTTCTGGTGAGATGTTTGTTAAATTCTTAGGCCCATTTAAAAAAATCAGATTGTGTTTTTATTGTTGGGTTTTAAGAGTTCTTTACATGTTTTGGGTAACATTCCTTCCTCTGATGTCTTTTGCAAATATTTTCTTTTTTTTTTTCACCACAGAGCTTTCATGGTGAAAGAAGAGGGCAAAACTCAACCCGTCTCTTTAGACTTGGGAAGAATATGAAAGGACCAGGAGGGACACCTTTCCTAATAACCTAGCTGATGGTTCACTTATTGTAAGCACATTCTCAAACAAGGTGACAATTAGGTTCAAATATCGTCTTTGAAACACAAAGTAGATCTTACCCTTTTTATCCTCTTATTGCTAGTTTAGCTTCTACTGTTAGAAAGTTGATTCTTAATGTAATATTTGTCTAAGGGTCTGTTATAGGAGTCCTAAACAGATACATCAGCCATTTTATGCTCCTAAATGCAAGCCAGGAAAGAGCTAGAGATAAAAGCAAAGATGTTAATTTATGTAAAGTACTTAGCATGGTTCCTGGCAAGAATAACAAGTCAATAAATGATATTAATAATAATACTAATACTGTAAATAATACCTAACAAGGCTATTTTTCTTATTATTTTTAAAATTCATACAGTCTCTAAAATCTTCAGTTACTTGTTCCTCTCACAGTGTTCCATACTACACCCTGGAGACACTGATCAAGCAGAGAACTGTGTTTACTTGATTGTCTGAAACAGCAGGCCGATATAGCAGTTGCAAGCATCTTGAGCAATTCTATTCCATATAGAGACATAAGAAACCGAGAGAAAGAGACACAATACATAGAAGATTTTTTGCACCACTTAAGTCGCTTAAAAATGAGAAAAAGATATATCCAGTCTTCTTTTTTTTAAAAGACCACATCACATTTTTAAGATGTAATCCCTAGTAATCAACATGACAGCCCAGCAGAGCAGAATCAGGAGTTCTTGCTGAAATAATCCTACACACTAACACTTTGTCTAATGTCATAATAACATCTGAAGATGCACCTTTTTCTCCAACTATTGAGCGGCTACTTTCTTTCCTCTTTCCCTCACAGCTGTCTCCCAGGCAGATGATTTTAGTATAATATCTGTAATCACTCCAGAGCTCTTTCCTGATGTGTACTTTGTTCTCTGAACCCTTTAAAGTTGTAGCCCCTCTGATTATTTTGGTCCCAGAGTTTCATGCCTTTTACACATTGTTATTCTAAATTCCACGAGTCATTTACTTGCTCATAATCCAGGTCTTTCAAGCCTCTTTGAGTTTGCACACTCGGTTCCACACTATTTGTCTCCATTTTTGTATCATTAGCCAAATTGACTAATATGAAGTCTGCTCAGGATGGTTCAAAATGAAAATAATGTGCTAGCTGAAGAGTAAATATTACTGAGCTATGAATGATGAAGATTTGCTCAGAAATTTTGCTTATGAGTAGTTTGTTATGAAGCATACAAACCCTAGCATTCATTAGATTTTTTTTTTAGTAAAAAGGAGTAAATCTTTTCTTTTGTATGCAAAATGCACTTTTCCTTTAAATTTATGAAGTTTATTGGCTTTTTAATTTTCTTTACAATATAATATATTTGCAACAATTAATCCTATATTCTTCCTCTTTGAAATACACATTTTCTAAAAACATGTTGATCATGAGGTAGATAGAATAAAGTAGCTTACTTGATAGCTTTTCCAACAACCTTCTGATGTTTTTTCTTGTGCTGTAGAGGCTGGAAAGCTGAAAAATGACATTCCCAGACTCCATTGAAATTAGATTTCCAGAGGTGATTTATGTTCCACACATCAGATGTATATGCTCAAGATTTGTTTAACAGGGAAGGAGGCAGTGGTGTGTGGGTCCCTTTTGCTCATGTGAATCTTACAGGTATGGGTATGGCTCTCAAGTTCACAGTGCTGGTTACTGCTTGCTGATCTCAACAGTCTAAAGCAGTTTTTTTTTCCAGAGGCAACAGTTTTGTGATGGACTTCCTAAATTATCCAGCTTCTTTATATTGGCCAAAGTAGTAGTTTCCTTGATGAGAAAGGATACAGTGTTCTGGGAGCTAATTCTGGTTAGCCTAGATAGAGCCTGTTATCACAGCCCTTTCCAAAACAATTTTGTCAACTCTAATGCCTTGTAAAAAGTCACTTTCTGCTTATGAGACCAGAGCAGTTTCTGCAATTTGACTCCCAGCTGAACTGTTTCAAGTTTGAGATTCTGAAATCAGGGTTTGAGGTACTGAATATTTTTGAATGGTCTTCAAAGTTATCATTCCATTTCCCAGAGTTCTTTTCCAAACAGTGCAATAACTTTCTACCCACATTGTCATTCAGTAACTCACAGAATCAGATTCTTCATCCAATTTTTAGCTATATTATCCAAATATCCTTGTCACCATGTAGCATGAACTACCTATATCCCTTCTTCTATTATATTATGAACAGATGCACCCTGACTTCCCTGACTTCAAACACTGTTCAGATAGCCCATCTGAGATCCTTATCTTGGACTGTCTGTTTCCTGCAACTACTAATGCAAGCAGAAGTATTATACAATTCAAGATGTAATAAAACTAGAGGTTTTTCTTCTCACAAAGATGATGGTGTGGTATAATTGAAAATACTACACAGTTTGGAAACAAATCGACCTAGACTTGAAAACTGGCTCCACTATTTTACTTACTATCTGTGTGACTTTGGACAGTTATTTGACCTTTTAAGTCTGTTCTCTGAGATTCAAATACCTTACAGAGTTCTTGTGAAGATCAAATGACATATGCTCATAAACATAGCCTGTTTTTCCTGTTGGAGAATTACTTCTTCCTCATTGTATGTAGTCTTGGTGGACGGATTAAAGATAAACAGATTCTACCATGTAAGCCAAATGAGGCAAATATTCCCTTTCTCTGTCTCAGGCAACTTAGGGAGCAGGAATAATGGCATATATTCAGCGAATTGGGAGCTCTTTCATGAGGTTTTAAATCTCCCAGGTAGATTGGAGGTTATTTATTAAAACAACCAAGGTAATAGCAGTGGCCCAAACAGTTTCAGGCTGAGATTCCAGTTTTCTAATTCGTGGCCCTCCAGTGTTTCCTTGTTCCCTGCCCATTCTTAGGCTGCTTCACCAGGCTCTTATTGATGTTGTAACTCCTAGGATAGTTTTCTAATAAATCCCGTTTTGTGTAAGTTATTCGTGATGGTTTCTGTTGTTTCCCACACAAAAACACTGATTGATAGAGTATTTTTTCCTACTCTAAAAAAGAGAAAATGAAGCCATGGAAAGGTTGTGTTACTAATACATGGCTGTGTTAATAATAATCCACATAGATAGTAACTAGTAGAGTCATGATTTAATGTCAAGTCTTTCAGACCACAAAATCTGTTCTTCTGCTTAAACAGAGCTTTTTTCTTTTTTCTTTTTTCTTTTTTTTCCTTCTTAAACAGAGTTGTCTCACTAAGCCCAAATTTGTCTAACTGGCCTTATTTCCCTGGAGTATATCCTGGAAGTTTCCATTCAAGCCAATTTAAGTTACTTTAAATTAGGAAAGGCAGAAAACAAAAGCCCAAACCTTTGTAAAGGAGGAGGATTTGCTACATTGTTCTCAATTCATCACAGAAGAGGATGAAACTGAGTGATTACACTTGCTGGAGAGAAAAAAAGTCCTTCCCCCGCTCACCCCAAATAAAGCATTAACTTTATGTTAATCCATGAATTAAATTGAATTGCATTATTACTTAGTGCTAATCTATATAACCTACTTAAAATTTAATTGTATGTCATAGTTTGAATAGATGCATGCTATGCATTGTTCTTTACATTATAACATCATCTTGACATTATCAATATGATGTCTATAGAAGACATTAATTTCTTGTTCTGAAATACAGAAGTATTATTTTTACATTCTTTTGCGGGATTGTATTCTTTTTGCTTATATTAATATCATGTGAAATCCACCCAAAGGTAGCAATAACAATTATATATTTGTTTCAATTTTGAAATACAAATTTAGAACTAATATGCATTTGGTACCCACCTCACTGAATATGAAATCTCATGACTCTTTACATCGAGTGCTTATGACAACATGCTACAGTGTGCATGGCCAAACACATTCTTCAAAAAAACAACATAAAGGATATAAAGGCTGACATAAATGAGTATTATTCCTCAGATTGTTCATTGATTTGTTTCATCTTCTAACACAACATTGATAGACATATAATGTAGCAGATATATTCTTCCTTGCTGGCAGAATTCACTGTTTCAAACGTAAATCCCCAACAGTCTAAACCATTCTATGCGATGCCATACCTCCTCCCTGTGATTGCTTTACAAAAGAGCATGTGACTCAGTCTTGGCAATGATTGAGTCACACCTTGGCAATGACATGAAAGGGAAGACTGCTGAGGATTCTGGGGAATGTGTCTTCACTGATGAAACGAAACACAGAAGAAAAAATTGCTTATCTTCCTTTGGCCATTGATGTATCTGCATGGAAAGCCCGTAACTGCAGAAATCAACTGGGATTTTAACGGCTGTTCACAGAACACAGCTGAAACACTGGACAGAACTGGCTCCTTGAGTTGCTGAATTAACCCACTCTGGAACTAATTTCTTGTTATATGAAATAATAATGTTTCCTTTTTGCTTAAGCAACTTTGAGTAGGGGTTTTCCATGATGTGCAGTCCAAAGCATCTTAATGATACACATAGCAAGTATTTCACAGGAGTTCTTAGCACAATTACCATGACAAGTGCTCACGTAATGTTTATTAAAAAAATTCAATTGGCCCTTCATATTCTTGGGTTCTGAGTCTATAGAATTAACCACCTACAGATCAAAAATATTTAAAAAATTGCACCTGTACTAAACATGTAGACATTTTTATTGTCATTATTCCCTAAACAATACAACAACTATTTATATGGCATTTACATAGTATTAGGCATTATAAGTAGTCAAGAGATAATTTAAAGTGTACAAGAGGATGCGCACAGGTTATATGGAAATACTATACCACTTTACATCAGGGACTTGAGCATCTTTGGGTTTTGATATCCAAGGGAGGTCTGAGAACCATTCCCCTGAGGATACCAAGGGACAATTGTACTGAATGCAAGGAGGTTAATATTATCTGACATTATCATGGACTTCAGAAAACGTGAAGGAATATGTATTTATTTGGGCTAAAGATGAAAATAATGGAAGTGACTACAAGCAAGTAATGGATAAAATGAAAGTGTTATGATGGAGGGGGAGGCAAGAAAAGACACATTTTGGTACCTCCAATGACCACCTCAGGGCTTGACTTTTTTTTTTTTTAAATGAAAATATGACCTCACAGCAGAGTGTTTGTTCTCACTCTTCATGCTACTGTGAATGTCATCCAACCTTACCGTGGCCAGCCCGGCCTCTCCACATTTCCAGCCTGTGTGTACCACAGTAGCAAATGTTCTTTCATTCCCAAAGGGCTATGTCTTCAAAATGGAGAAACAGGACACACACCAAATGTATAAAACAGAAAATAAGACAGAAGAATGTGCTTATTGGCTTTTTCTTCTATCATTTAATAGAGTGCTATGGTTTTTGAATGTACGTGTCCCTCCAAAATTTATATGCTGAAACCTAATCACCAAGGTGATGGTATTAGAAGGTAGAACCTTTAGGAGGTGATTAGGTCATCAGGGTTCACATTTCATGAATGAGATTAATTCACTTATAAAAGAGGCATCACAGACCTGTCTCCCACTTTTTGCCCTTCTAAGGTACAAGGACACAGTGCCATCTTGGAAGCAGCAATGAAGCCCCTACCAGAAACTGAACCTACTGGCACTTTGATCTTGGAGAGCTATGAGAAATGCATTTTTATTATTTATAAATCACCTAGTTTATATCATATTAGAGCAGTAGGAATGGACTAAGAGATTGGGCAAGGGTGAAATACAATCTAAAATGCAAGTAAGAGTTTCAGGTATAAGAAAGAAGTAGAGACTTACGGGAGTGAGCCTGTCTGCCTCTGTTAAGTATCCCTTGGGCACGGGATAAATTTTCTTTGTAATGGAAACTTCTGAACCATTTATAATAGTGTCAGTACCTCTTGAAAGCCATCAATTAAACGTTTATCAAAAAAACATAAAGACCTTTTCCCCATTCTCATTATCAAGATCTCATAGTTAGCTAGGTACTTGATCTTGAAGCCTGTATCTTCAAGTGTTTATTAATTCACAATCTCAATTTCTCTCATTTCTTCACCTCTTACGGCTCCTGGTTCAGCTCTTTTTACCTCCCTTCTCTAAACAGTAAGCAGCTTCTTGTTATTTTTTTCTCAGTTTTATATTGAGTTTTATACACACGGATTTGACTCAGATTTTTATCTCTAAATAACTGTATGAAAATATTTACTGAATATGTGCAAGACACAAAGCTGGTTAGGTTAAATAAAATGACACATAAAACTTTGACTTTGTTTTCAAGAATCTCAGAATCCACTGGGAGTCTGATATTTAAACAATTCAACGACAGACATACTGTGATAAGTGCCGTAACAAAAATATGTAAAAAATGAAAACGAAAGTAGCTTGCCTCTCACCATAGTCTGTAAGGCATCCCCTATTGGGCTTCTCCTTTTATTTCAAATTTGCTATGTTCAAGATAGAATTCACCATCTTTCCTCCCAAAATTGTTCTCCATTGTGATGATTCTATTTCTCCTAGCTGTTGCACAGTTAGCTTAGTCACTCAGGCTTGAAAGATGGGTATTCTTTGCATTTTTCTTAGATTCATACTCCCCATCTAGCCATATACTAAGTTCTGTTCATTTTTCTTTTGAAATATCTGTTTTATCCTTCTGTTCTACAGTCATTACCATCGCCCTACTCCAAAATTGGATCACTTTATACTTATATTCCTGCAATTTCCTAGCAGATGTCTATGAATCCAGGCTCTCCCTCATCTAAATCATTCTGTGTACTTCAAAGACCCACCGAATTCTAAAATAGGGAGACGTTGACCTCTAATGCAACAATCTCTACAAATCAACCCCAAAATGTAGATGAATACCCATCTACTATCCAAATACTTATTGATGGGAAGCCCAATTTTTCAAAAAACCTTCTTACTTAATTTGTAGATTATTTTAATTGATAGAAAAATTCCCCTTGTTTTGGTAAGTCTACATCTTTCTTGCTCTATTTTTCCCCCTTGAATCCTTGTTTGGATTCCCTGAAATGTAAAATCTCATCAAGCCTTTGAAGAAAACTATTTTCTCTTTTTAAGTCTTATGTTTTAAAAACTGGTTAAACATATACTGTTTCCATAATTGAATCTGATATAAATTTTAGACCACAATATCTTGATTGCCCTCCTATTGGTATTTTACACTTTTTAGCATTATTTAAAATACGGTGTTCAAATATAAAGAGAATACTTCACAATTTCCTTACACAGATTTTTCATTATTCTGCTCATCAACCAAATTCAAGTATCTTAAATATTTCCAGTTTTTGTTGTGTCAAAACAAAACTTCTCTCCCTGAGTTCTACCTGACTTTAAAAGCCATCCAGAATTTATGTGTTTTGCTCTAGTCCAACTTATTTATCTCAGCTACCTAAAGCATATCCCACATTTGCTGGGATGGGATCCTTTCTTTAGCATCTCCTTTCATTCACTTATTCACATTTCCAATTCTTTCCTTATGCTTATCCTTTTGCCTGAAGTGACTTATCTTTACCTGATTTTATCTTCTCTTTCCTTGAACACTCAGTTTTAGACAGTGTAATAAGGAATTTCACCTCATCAAAGAGAGGTCTGGCTTTTGCCTTCAGCTACTGGGAGGTGACCTCTAGGTTCCTGCAGTGTCCTGCCTGATAGGAATCCTTTCATTTGCTAGTGTGTTTGACTACTAGACCACTTAACAAGGTGATTTATGATGGGGACTTTGAGGCCATGCTATATCACCTCTAATCTCATGAAGAACTGATGAGTAAAGGTTGCCTGACTTTTGTGAGTGGTAGGAGACTAAAGGGCAGCCAATGCCAGCACTATGTGATTAAGCCCCAGTAAAAACTCTGGACACTGAAGGCTTGAGTCAGCTTCCCTGATTGGCAAACTCTGTGTGTATTGCCACACATTGTGGCAAGGAGGAGATAATACCATCCATGACTCCACAGGAAGAAGACAGCCAGAAGCTGTGTATTTGGTCCTCTCTCAGACTCTGCCCTATGTATCTATTCCATTGGCTGAGTTTTTGTATTCCCCTGTAATAACCCATGACTATAATAGTTTTCAATGAGTTCTGTGAGTCCTTATAGTGAATTATCAAATCCAAGTTTAGTCATTAGAGTCCTTTAAATTGTAGCCAGCTGGTCTGAACTGAGAGTGGTCCTGGGGACCCAGGAACTTTGTGACTTGTGTCTGAAGTGAGGACCGTCTTGTGGGGAGAATTCCCTGAAATTGCATTGTTGGTCAAACTCACCACACAGACCCACTTCCTTCCTGAAGCATCCTCTAAGTACTACTTCCCTCACTGATGTTGCTTCCTTCTAAATATCTATATATTGACTGTTCACCCTTGAACAGTGTGGGTTTGAGCTGCACAGGTCCACTTATATCTGCCTCTGTCACCCCTGAGACAGCAAGAGCAAACCTTTCTCTTTCTCTTCCTCTTCAGCCTACTCAACATGAAGATGACAAAGATGCAGACCTTTAGGATGGTTCACTTCCACTTAATAACTAGAAAATATATTTTCTTTTCCTTATGATTTGTACTAATATTTTCTTTTCTCTAACTTACTTTGTAATCAAAATACAGTATCTAACACACATAAAATACAAAATATGTTTTAATTGGCTGTTTATATTATTGGTAAGGCTTCTGGTCAACAGTAAGCTCTTAGTAATTAGGTTTTGGAGGAGTCAAAAGTCATGTACAGGCCAGAAGTGGTGGCTCACGCCTATAATCCTAGCACTTTGGGAGGCCAAGGTGGGTGGATCACTTGAGGTCAGGAGTTTGAGACCAGCTTGGGCAACATGGTGAAACCCCATCTCTACTGAAATACAGAATTAGCCAGGCATGGTGGCACAGGCCTGTCATCTCAGCTACTTGGGAGGCTGAGGGAGGGGAATCACTTGAACCTGGGAGGCAGAGGTTGCAGTGAGCTGAGATCGCACCACTGCACTCCAGCCTGGGCAATAGAGTGAGACTCCATCTCGGAAAAAAAAAAAAAAAGAAAACAAGAAAAATAAGTTATACACAGATTTTTGACTACACAAGGAATTGCTGCTCCTACCCCCCTACATCATTGAAGGGTCAACTGTATACTGAATATCACAAAATTTGTCACAGACATAGATCACTGGAGGTAACATATTAAGCTGACATTACGATAAGTACCAGCAAAGGTTTGGATTTGGGTACCATGGATATTTAGCAATCTTGTAACTTCTGAGATCAGAAGACAATAAAAGAAGGAGAGAGAAGACTATTATAATGCTGTGAAAAAGTATAAGAAAGAGAGGATGGTAGTGATACTGGCAAGAAGGCATCAATCATTTTCCTAAGGAACCACTGTATTAACAAAATAGTTCAACAGTTCTATCAACATGTTTTAAAGCACTTACTAGGCACTGAAAATGTGTCATCAACTCTCCAGGGATGAATAGTTGATGATGGTATTTGATAATTCTTGCAACATTTTTTTTTGATAGCAGTTTATTTCAGAGGCTTCATACTTTGGGAATAGGTCTCTGCCTTTCCCACATCTTACAATTTTATATGAGCAAGACCATCTACATGCTCTGCCTGTGACTGGTAGTTTTCTTTTTAATTATATTTTTTCCTATTTCTTTTTTCATGAAAGATGCCAATAGTCAGTGTGGTGACCCTGTCAAGTTTAACATGAATGGATAATTCTGAGTGATGTGAGATACTCTAAATAGAGAGAAAACAGAAAGAGTAGTCATGAACAGCACATAAGTACAGCAATATGGGAACAGGAAATAAGAAACCAGAAGGAATAGAGGAATTAAAAGGGCAGAAATGGGCTCACACTGGCTTCCAGAACTAGAAGGAATTGGAGGAAGATATTCATAGAAACTCAGAAAAGTTCTGAAATCAGAAATGGTGATGGGTTGATTCTTGGCTTGAGTATAGCAGCAGGTGGTAAAAAAAGGGGATAGAAAGAAGGAAGGTATTCGTTGGCCAGAAGTTTGATATCCTTTCCTTGTGGAAAACATCTTGCCTTTTGGTTTTATTTTTACTTCTCTGAGAGCTGTAAGGAGACCAGGATTCATATTTCCTTGGGCTAGGATTATGACAGATTACATTCTTTTTTTTTTTATCCCTAGATAATGCTTTTCAGAAAGAAAAACATCTCAAATAGGCATCCTGGAGGGCCCTGAAGGACCCTAAATTGGGACAATTCTATAAAAACAGGATGTTTGATTATCTCTTGTTCTGCTAAAATCACACTACAGAGCCTGGCTGAGCTGGGGGATGTGCAATAGATCAGTAACAAGGCAAGAATTCATTATCCACCTGCTAGAGTTCTATGATAACCTATCAATGGAATAAGTGTGTAAATCTCTACTTTTTAAGCAGTCTTCATATTTCACAAAACCCCTTTGTAGCTAGTTAAGCCACTTGCAACTTTCCTAACATCCATTTTCACTACTGGAAAATTGATAAATCAAAATAATGCGTTAGGTTTTGATGTGCTTAATCTGGTTTCTGTTTGAAACATTAGCATTTATGAATCAGATATGCAAAGCGTGGTGTGTCCGATTTCCATAACTCTATCCCTCTTCAGTATACTAGAAATAATTGGGCCACGAGTTTATTAATATTGAAATTTCCAGTACAAAATGCATTTCTAGTTGAAGTGATACCAGCTAGTATTTTACATACTGGTAAGTGCTGATCAATTGATAGACGTTTTTTCTATTCCTGATGTTTTAAGAAAAGAGAAACTACCTTTTCTGATTAAAAGAAATGCAGTCATTCAGTAAGCAATGCACACAATCTTTACAATTTTCTGTGTTCAAATAGTCTTCTGAAATTATACCACATATGTGTGTATATCATAAATATAGATAAAAATATCAGCGTTCATTCTAAATTGCTTAAAATGTGTATTTCTCTTTTAAACAGAAACATTTACTATAATTCCATAGTTTTTTTTTCAAATATGCTTTTTTCTAAGACAATTTAAGGAGCTTTTTGAAACAGGGTTATTGATCTTTTTTATAAGATCAGATGAATAAAGTATTTCCAAGAAAACTGATTCCCAGGATAGAATTGGTATGTTGTTTCTCTAAATTGTGGTGGTTTAAGAACTCATCTTGTTCATTTTCAGCATATAATCTATAGTTTTTGAGAAGCTAAATGGAAAGAATGATGAAAAAATGCACAGTTGCAAAATTCAATTTTAGAAACACAACTTAAAAGGCTTATTTAATATGCTGCAGGTGTAAATATATGCAGCATAGGAAAAGATGATGAGATATAGAACAAACAATTATTTCAGGTAAAATAAAACCTAACACTTGTGTTTTCTGATTAGAACTTCCCTTTCCATTTATTGATATCTGTTTCATTCAAGACAGAATGCGAAACTATATATCTTCTATGTTTTAGTCAGGGTAGGATGCTAAATTATATTTTTAAAAGACATCATTTAGCTTTTTCCATTGCAGAAACAAATGTACACTGAATTAAAACTTAGGAGCTGATAGCTTCCACAGGCTGTTGCATATCACCAAAAACTCAACATGAGTTCATTAATACTTGTTGAATTGGAACTTTTTTTTAAGTCTGAGCCTGTCCTGTCTAATAAAATATACAAACAAGAAAATATGAACTCATCTAATAGTTGAAAGGTAATGGTCATCTAGTAGGCTCTTCTCTTGGAATGGTTTAGCAATTCATTGCTGCATGTATTCAGATTAATTTTATAGCATTAAAGTGATAATATTGTAAAACATGCCTATATCTCTTTCACATACTTCCTTCTGGTGTAGTAAGGATTCTGCAGTAAGATAGTGTGGTGG
This sequence comes from Homo sapiens, assembly GCF_000001405.40. Classification (NCBI taxonomy): domain Eukaryota; kingdom Metazoa; phylum Chordata; class Mammalia; order Primates; family Hominidae; genus Homo; species Homo sapiens. Next base: position 71,498,313 of record NC_000001.11, read on the forward strand.
ACTAGTTGACTTCCCAAGGCCTATTATTCTATGAAGTGAAAATTAATATCCTTTTAACAGAAAAGCCGGGTTTCCAATTATCAGTAGAGCAGATGTTGTGCTTTTCTTCTGGATATAAAGAAAAGGGATGTACATATTATGCTTCAAGAGGTGTAGCAATATAAGTAAGGCTTTTTCACTCTGCTTTACTGCTACCCTGAGGGTAAATTGCTCGGGTGTGCAGCTCCATCCTGCAATTCCTCCAAATATCAGAAATGAAAAGCACAGCTATGAAAGGTCCAGGCTTGGCTTTCCTCATCATAAAATTATGGGAATGTAACTCATACAGCTGCTGTGACTACCTGCTGTCTGCCAGATCCCCTTGCTTCCATTTTTTTCTGCTCACTGGGTATAGCCAGTCATTTCCAAGAGCTAATTTGCAGTTGATTATGCAATCTGCCAAGCCCAATCAATGTGCATACTCATGACCACTCATAAGATCATTTGCCTTAATCATAGGAGACCTGGAGGTCACTACTTCACTATAGGGAATATATTCAGTAGAGATAGTTGTAGGGGTGCCCACTACCCAGCTGCCTGCCAGGTCTCTTGGCTTCCATCATTTTCATCTCTTGGATGCAGCCAGTTTTATCCAAAGTCGCTTCAAAGGCAAATCCATTTCCTACCAGTGAGAAATCCTCTGCTGACTACGGACTTCTGAGGCAGCAAGACACATACAAATACCTTGACAAAAATTCAGAATTCAGCTTTCTTCATTTTCTCTCTTTTTAAAAAATTTAAGTAATGTTAGTTTTCAGCAAGATTTTATTCTTTTCCATGTGACAAAATGAACTGTCATTAGGTGTCTAACAGAATGGTCTTCTAAAAATCAGGCCTCTTGTTGGGATTTATTGGGCTCATGATATCTTTCCATATGTATAAGCCAGTTTTTATTTCTTACATTCTGAAATTTCTTTTTAAAAATGGACCAGATTATATTTCAATACATGCTTGAGGATTGTGACTTATAGATCTTGGCAGTTTACAATCACCTAGTGCAGAGAAGGCAAAGATGTACCATGTGTTCTGCTATTCTCCTTCCTCTTTTCCTTGCACATAGTTATATATATATGGCACATAATTATATATAACATATATAATTATATATAAAATGTATATATTGTATATAATATGTATATATAATTGTATATGTTATATATATTATTATTATATATATATTAGTGTTTACCATATGCTGGGAATTATTATAGGCACTCAAAATGTGACAAAGAACACAAAGTTCCTGACCTCACGATTGCTTATAATCCCATGAGGATAGAAATATTATAAACTTATCCCAGTATCATTTCTTCCTGAGCCCTGACACAGCCACATGATCCTTCTTAACCTTTGCAGTAGATGTTCACTACCAATCAATAAGACTAGGCAGGTAGAATGAAATCTGTCATTCCTGATCTAGTGCAATCTATTGTGATAGAAAAATAATTCACCCACAAAATAAAATCTGTACCACATTTTATTGAAACCCCTAAATTTAAATATTTCACCATAATAAATGTAATCAATGTATAGGCCAATAACTGTTTAACCTGCATCTTACCTCAACACTGAGTCTTTTCCAACTGCCAATCACAGCTATCATAATGATGTGTGATGTGCTTCTCTTTATTGAATTAAAATTCAATTTTAGAAACACAAATTAAAAGGCTTATTTAATGGAGGATATTTTATGAATTTAAAAAATCAAATGTAATACCAAAAGCATTAGTTTGTACAGTTTCTTTATGATCTCTCTCCTCTCTATATAAATATACCTCAAGAAAATTATCTATAGTTAAGTTTTGTTTAACTCACCATGTCATAAGTTAATAAGGTTACAATTATGTTGGATATATTATTGTCAATGACTGCTTGGTTTAAATAAGTTTTTTTTTCCAGCTATGAGGGTGGGGTCAGCATCAGAATGAATAAAGCTATGTACGGCCAAATTAATGACCTATAGAATCATCTAAATGAAAAAATGACAATAATCACTTTCTTTATTTTATCTTAGTCTGAACTTTCCACCAGGACTCTAGTTTTTATTATTTAATAAGATTTAAAAAGTGAAAATTCAGTTTTGGATAAGTGTAATATCTTGATTTTTGGAATTAATCAATTTCGTCACATTACATTAAAAGGTCCGATCTTCTTTGCCTGTGTAAACCTTTTTGAACTTCTAAACATCAGATGAAGTGCCACTTTATCCTCAACATCACTTAATGTTTGTACTGATAATAGTACAGTTATCATTACATTAAAAAGTTATCATTACATTAAATGTCAGCACTTAATGTTTGTAATGATAATAGTACAGTTGTCCCTTGGCATCCATGGAGGATTGGATTGAGGACCCTTGGCAATAACAAAATCTGTGAATGCTCAAGTCCCTTATATAAAATGTTGTAGTATATGCATATAACCAATGCATAGCCTACCATATACTTTTAATCATCTCTAGATTATTTATAATATCTAATAAAATGTGCATGTTCTTTAAATAGTTGTTATACTATATGTTTTATTTGTATTATTATAATTTATGTTTTGTTATTTTTTATTTTTTGAATATTTTTTATCTGGGGTTTATTGACTCCACGAATGCAGAACCCACAAAGTCAGAGAGCCAACTGTATGTTTAAACATGCTAATTTGAAACATTGTATTGTAACTTTCTTGTGTGGCCTTTAAAATTGTCACAGATTTTGTCTTATTCCACAATAAGATTGACATTAATATGCAAATAAGACCAAAGAATGAATATCAGATTGTCAATGTATCTATTTACTGTATACACACATGTGCAGGCATGTGTGCACATATACATTTCTGTTAGAGATCTAACAATAAGTTGATATCTGATAAAGACATAGCTTTTTAATAACTTGGCATATATACGCAAATGATTTATATTTCTAAATGATGAGATATTTCCTTTAAAATTAATGCATTATTTGTTATGCATTAATTGTGATTCAATGAATGAAATGAACTTTAATCGTATGAAGCAATATTTTTAAGATAATTTCTAAATACAATTTGGGGTCTGAAAGATCTCACAGTTTGAAATATTGATGATAGACCCAAATATCATTTTCAGTGTAAAATTGATTTGTCCTGAATTGGGAAATGTTAAATCTATGTTCTATAACCTAACTACTACCAAGAGCTGCATGACTCTAGAAAAGTCATTGAGAGGTGGCAAATTTTAGTTTACCTATCTGTAAAATAAAGAATAGCATATTTCTATGGGCCCTGTGAAATTAAAGATATCAATGATTCTATGTCGATACAAGTATGTCCACTCACTGGTGACATGTCAAAGAATGCCAAAATCTACAACAATGTGAGAGTGAAAAAATAATGTTCATAAAATTATAAACAAGAAATTTCACATAGCATAACTACAGATAAGAAGAATAAAAAATATGTAAAGCTCTTTTATATGTTTGCCCTTGATAGAGTTTATTACAATTATTATAAATTGCACAAAATTATTTGTTGAAATAAAGCATATTAATTACTTATATATTCAAAAGTTAAACATTGATAAACATCTTGCTATGTGTATGGAACTCTATTGACTTTTTTGTCCAACTTTCTGAAGGCAAAATACGTTGAAATAAACAAGGAGGAAATAAAAGTGATTCTACTTAAACTTCAGATTATCATAAACATGAATATATAACTAGATGTGCCCTATGGTTATTTGGTCATGTAAGAAAACATTTTAAATGGTCCATTTTCAAAGCATGATAAATCTAAGTACCGGCAGCCACCCGGCAAACGTAACAAACTGCATTGCTCATGCACCCAGAAGGTCACGAAAAGGGAACAGAATGTAGAGGAGGGGTCAGCCCATAAAAGGGAAGAAAGTTTCACTATCAGGAAATTGAAACATAAGCAAGAAAGGGGACCTGGGTATAACCTTATAAGGGGGATAATGAAACTTAGGCAACGTCCAGGAAGATTGCAACCCCATAGTACTCGACCAATGAGGAACTGGGGAAGGGACTTGCATGCTAGGAGATAAATTACCTGGTGTAACTGCCCCAGGTGTGCCTGCCTACTAGACACCTGATCTTGCAAGATCGCCATTAAAAGTCTCACTTCCGCTGTTTTTCATGTCTCTCAGTCCATTCTTTGGATTTGGATGGGTGAATATGTGTTTCTCACAAATCTGGGGTTTTGTCCAGGATCTCTGTGCCTTCATGGAGTGGGACTCTCGCAGAGAGGGGAGATGCGTCCCACCTGATTTAAGTGGCCCACTCTGTCTGGGCTTACTGGCTCCCTGTAGAGGCTATAGACAAACCTGAAACTGTTATTCAGGAGGCAGCAGAGGCAACAGAAGGAGAAAAGCAGGCACCATGGCAACCAGGCAACCTCGTGCATGAGCTGAAGTAAGAAAATTGGACTATAAATTCAACCTTGGTGGTTGGGCATGTTCATAGGTCGAGTGTGTGCATGACTGAGATGTATCCTAGATATGAAACAAGTGCAGAGTCCCAATCCATGGTTCAGTTCTCCCGCAAGGGAAATGGCCAGAGACAGAGGCAGCGATTCTTGGGGTGTGCAAGAAACCTCTAGTAGGGAGGGTTGAGTACATGAGGAAAAGCTCAGATACAGAGACTGACAGGAAAAAGGAACCAGAAATTCTAGGCCTAGGGAACAATAGAAAGAGGGAGTCAAAGAGACTCTCTCTGACATTCCCCTGGATAGTCTGTTGGGGAGAATGCTGCAGGTTTGCAGGGACTACTCTCAAACCAGGGACAAGGAAAAGTTAAAGATAATAAAGTATTGCTGTTTTATCTGGCCTAAAGACCCTACTTGTAACCCTTCGGTCTTTTGGCCTAAGTTTGGCTCAAATGAGGTTTGGGTGTGCCAAGCTTTAATTCTGTATGTGAATAATAAAATCCCATCCTCATAGGAGGAGATAGGTTACGTTCTCTGCTGGATCAAGGAATTAGCACCCCCATGTTACCTATCAAAGAAGAAGAAGAAGAGCCTAGTAAAAAGCCCTCACCCAGCGAAAAGCCCTGAGACCCCCTACAATGCTTGCCCCCTCCATACATCTCACAAAATAGGGGACAGGAAGATCAAGGGGCAACAAGAGGGTTAGAGGAAGAAATACCTGGAGACCATGGGGGAGCTGAACCAACTGCTTCTTTAAATTCTCGTCCAAATTTAAGAAAAGAATTAGAACAGTGTAAGAGGGATGTTGAGAACTTCCCTATCCCTTCCACACAGCAGGCATCTAGCATGTTGCCCCTTAGGGAAGTTCCCATAGACAGGGAGAGATTGGCTTTGTAAGTGCTCCTCTTACAAGTACTGGAATAAGGAATTTCATAAAGTAAATAAAACCACTCCTAGAAGATCCCCTCAGTTTAGCAGACCATCTGGACCAATTCCTAGGACCCAGCTTTTACACATGGGCTGAAATGATGTCTGTCATAAATATCCTGTTCACAGGAGAAGAAAACGAAATGATTAGGAAAGCGGCCATAACCATCTGGGAAAGGCAACACCCTCCGGGCAAGAAGTCTCGCCAGCTGAACAAAAATTTCCAAATATTGATCCTGAATGGGATAATAGTGATCCCAGGGATCAGGCCCAAATGTGGGATCTTGAGGAACTAATAATTAAAGGGAACAAAGAGCTCACTCATAGGACACAAAATGTCTCAGAGGCATTCGAGATTCAACAAGAAAAAGAGGAAACACCCTCTGCATTCCTGCAGAGGCTCAGAAATTAGATAAAAAAATAAAATAAAATAAAAAAATAAACCTCCAAATTAGATCCAGAGGACCCAGAAGGGCAAGACCTCTTAAAGGTTAACTTTGTAACTAAGAGCTGACCTAACATTACAAAAAAATTACAAAAAAAGATTGATGGATAAAATGAGAAACTGATGGAGGAATTACTGAAGGAAGCTCAGTCGGTCTTTGCAAGGAGAGAGGAAGAAAAGCAGAAACAAAAAGCAAAAATCATAGTTTCTACTGGGGAAAAGGTAGTCCAAAAAAAGACTAGATCAAGATCCCCCTCACAGGAGACAAAGGAATGACAGATTTCAACACAGAGAAAGAAGAGAAATGCAAGGAAAAACTCCTAAGACTATGAGTAAATGTTACAAGTGTAGAAAGCCAGGACGGTTTAAAAGAAAATATCCTGAATGGAAATAAGAAAAAAAAGGCAATCCCCCTCACAACCGTTGAAGACTAGGGGCTTCAGGGGTTCCTTCTGAGTAGGTCCCACCAGGACTTTTAATAAATTTGAAGGTGGGACCCGAGGAAGAAAACGTAACGTTTTTGATTAATACTGGAGTGGCTTGCTCCTCTCTAATTCACCAACCAAGGGGTACAAAAGTCTCTAAGGAAAAATGGACAGTATCCGAGGTAAAAGGGGAGGGATTTTAGGTTCTGATATTGAAGAAAATGTTAATTAGATTGAGACCAGAGCACACTGAAGGGTCATTCTTATATGTTCCTGAAGCGGGAACTAACCTCCTGGGTCAAAACCTGATCATGAGATTGGGTTTAGGATCAGGAATAGAGGAAGGACAAGTAAAAGTAATGACGGGCCTCCTAACAGAGGAGGAGGAAAAAAAATTAATCCTCTTGTGTGGGTTAGGAAAGGCAACAGAGGAGGGTTAAAAATCACACCCTTACAGATTAAACTAAAACAACCAGGACAAGTAGTTTGCAAAAAACGATATTGCATTTCTATTAAAGGGAAAAAAGGTCTCCAACCGTTAATAAAGGGATTCATTGAAGAAGGACTATTAGAACCCTGCATGTCACCATACAAACCATACGATAACTCCGATTCTCACAAAAAGCCTAATGTGTTATAAATTGGTGCAAGATCTAAGGGCTATAGATCAAATTGTTCAGACTCGCCACCCTGTGGTGCCTAGCCCCTACACCCTGTTTCTTTTTCTTTTTTTTTCTTTTTTTTGAGATGGAGTCTCGCTCTTTCGCCGGAGTGCAGTGGCGCTATCTTGGCTCACTGCAAGCTCCACCTGCCGGGTTCACGCCATTCTCCTGCCTCAGCCTCCCGAGTAGCTGGGACTACAGGTGTCCGCCACTGCGCCAGACTAATTTTTTGCATTTTTAGTAGAGACGGGGTTTCACCGTGTTAGCCAGAATGGTCTCAATCTCCTGACCTCGTGATCCACCAGCCTCAGCCTCCCAAAGTGCTGGGATTACAGGCGTGAGCCACCGCGCCCGGCCCCCTACACCCTCTTTAGTAAGATAGTCCTATAAACAGAAGTGGTTCAGTGTGGTGGATCTAAACGATGCATTTTGGGCAGTCCCTTCTACTTTAGGACTAGGGACCTCTTTGCCTTTAAATGGGAAAAATCCTATAACTGGGAGAAAAACAACAGTACCGCTGGACTGTGCTGCCACAAGGTTTCATGGAAGCCCCAAACTCATTTGGTCAGACCTTAGAAAAAGTCCTGGATGAATTCCAACCTTCCAGGGGAACCCAGTTGTTACAATATGTAAATGATCTCCTAATTTCTAGGTAGAGGAGGGCCAAGGTATCAGAAACCACTGTGAGCTTACTTAATTTCCTAGGAGAAAGGGGATTGCAAGTCTCTAAGAACAAATTGCAATTTTTAGAGAAAAAAAAGTTAAATATTTAGGATGCCTGATTAGTGAAGGGAAGCAGAGAATAAACCCAGAGAAAATATCGGGAATAGTGGGTCTGCCTTTGCCTAAAACAAGGAGAGAACTCCAAAAATTTTTAGGTTTGACTGGCTACTGCAGGTTATGGATTGATTCATATCCTTAAAAGACAAAAAATCTGTATCTCAAATTACTAAAAAAGGAACCCAATCCCTCGCAATGGTCCCCAGAGAAAATTCAGGCAATGAAGGAGCTAAAGCAGGCCCTCATTGCAGCCCTGGTCCTGGCCCTCTCATCTTTAGAAAAAACATTCCATCTGTTCGTAACAGTAGACCAGGGCTTGGCCCTTGGGGCGCTCACTCAAACTTGGGGAGGGAAGAGGCAACCTGTTACTTTTGTCTCCAAGCTTCTCCATCCTGTCTCTTGGAGGTGGCCGAAATGTGTGCAAGCAGTAGCTGCCACAACCCTGCTGGTAGAGGAGAGTTGGAAGCGAACCTTTGGTGGGGCCCTAATGCTAAGTACCCCATGCCAGGTCAGGAATATATTAAACCAAAAAGCCAGGAAGTGGTTAACATATTCTCAGATTCTAAAATACAAAGCCATAATAATAGAAAAAAAATCATTTGGTCATAACAATGAATACTTGCCTGAATCCTGCCAGTTTCCTATGGAAAGGAGAGGGGAACGAAAGACATCAGACCATAACTGCTTAGATATGATAAAATACAAAACCAAAGTTAGACCAGACCTTAGGGAAGCTCCACTACATGATGGGATAAGGCTGTTTGTGAATGGGTCATCCAAAGTGATGGATAAAAAACAAAAACAAAAACAAAAACAAAAAAAACCATAATGGTTATGCTGTCATTGATGAAAATAAACACTGTTTACGTGGGAAAGGTAAATTACCTAATGGCTAGTCAGCCCAAACCTGTAAGTTATGTGTTCTTAACCAGGCCCTAAAGCTCCTTGAAGGTCAAGATGATACTATATATACTGATTCTAAATGTGCCTATGGAGTGGTACACACTTAAAAAAATCTGGACAAAGCAGGGTCTAATAAATAGGAGGGGAAAAGAATTCATACATGGAGAACTGGTCAAACAGGTCTTAAAAAGTCTCCTGCTTCCAGCAGAGGTAGCCATAGTTCATGTAAATGGTCATCAAAAAGAGAACACTGTAAAAGCTGTAGGAAAGAAGCTTGCAAATAAAGCTGCTAAGCAAGCCTCCTGAAGGCAAAAATTAGACTATTTAGCCTGATCCCAGACATCCCTAAAGTAGTATTAAGGTGCAGTTTACCAGAGATGTGAAGGAAGAATTAGACAGGATAGGGGTCAAACTAAAGATGGGAAATGGGTACTTCCTAATGGAAAAGAAATAATAAATAAACCTCTAATTAAAAAACTAATGTCTATATCACACAAAGGGAGTCATTAGGGACCCCAGGCTCTGTGTAATGCAATACTCGGGAATTATGGGTGTATTGGGATTTATACCCTCACTAAACAAGTATGCAAAAGTTATGTAACTTGTCAAAGGATAAACAAAAAGGTAATTAAAAAACAGGCCATGGGAGGAAGACCTCCCAAACTAAGACTATTTCAAAGCATTCAAGTAAATTTCACAGAAATGCCCAAAGTAGGAAAATTAAAGTACTTACTTCCCCCTTCCAACAGCCACTGCTGGGAATGTGGTCAAAATAATATTAGAACAGACTGTACCTAGATTTGGCCTGGTGAAAAATATTAATTTGGAAAATGCGAGCCACTTTACCTCAAGGGTGTTAAGGGGAATTATAAAAGGTTTACAAATTAGATGGAATTATCACACCCCTTGGCATCCCCCTTCTTCTGGAAAGGTAAAAAGAATGAATCAAACTCTCAAAAAGCATTTCACCAAACTAATCTTAGAAGCTAAAATGCCTTGGATCAAATATTTCCCAATAGCACTCCTTAGGATTAGGACAGCCACCTTCCCCGCTAAAGAAGACTTGGAATTGTCTCCCCCACAAGTTATTATATGGGCTCCCACAGTTGGGCAGAGCTACAAATCTCCCTACTATGGAAACCAAGAATCAATTTTAAGAAATTATATACTGGCCCATATCCTCCACCCTGTCACCCCTTAAGTTAAAATGACTTCTGACTCAAACCCCACCTTTTAAGTTTGTAGTTCACCACTTCCAGCCTGGTGACTTGGTGTTAATTAAAACTTGGAAAGAAGACAAGCTCCACCCAAGCAGGGAAGGTCCCTATTAAGTGCTCCTGGCCACTATGAAAGCTATGCAAACAGTTGAATGCAGGTGGACTCCCCATACTTGAGTCAAGGGACTGAGAAAAGAGACCCCAGGAGGGAGGGAAAAAGACTGGTGGAAAGTGCACGGGTCACCTGAGGAACCCCTAAAGTTAACTTTGAGAAAAATCTACAAAGAAAACATGGGCTGGCCCCATTTCTGAAAGTTAATATGGCTAGGATGGGCTACTATACGAAAAGCAAAAGTCAAAATGGAAACTGGCAGGGGACTCCTCCCTACCCAATCATGTTGGTAATTAATGTAACCAAATGGTAGCATTCCAAACTATAAAATTTAATGCCTTCCAGGTCTTACCCTGTGGGAATTTGGAAAATCAGAGATAGCTCTGGCAGGCAGATAAATATCTTTGCCCTGAACCGAATACAGGTTACAGTAGGGCATCACCCTGCCGCAGCTGAGATAATGTATGGTGGACTACCCAATTTCAGGGTTGGACAGTAAACACGGGGTGGGTAACTCCAAGCTGGAGACCCTTAAAGATTAAACTGCATCTGTCCAGGGGCTCCCCGCCAGATAACTGCCAGAATTTAGAATGCAGTCCTATACTTATCACCATGAACAATCCAGCCATTCTAAACCAAGAACCAAAAGTAGCATCACGGGTATATGGGTGAGGGGCAGACATCACAGGGGAAGACCCCCTAGGGTGATTTGTTCTTAAACTAATTAAGAACTCAACCTCCCATTTGCCTGGAACTATTCCAACCCCAAACCCTAATACTTTAGTCCACCAAATAATAACCATAAAAGGATAAAAATAAGGTAAAAGTGAACCTTAGAAATTGAGACAGGGTAAGGGGATGTGAATGCCTGGGTCGAATGGATCAAATTTTTGGTACAAGCCCTCAGGAAGAGTAACTGCTATGCATGTGCTGTGAGATGACCTCAGCCACAAGTGGTTCCGTTTCCCCTAGGATGAGATACCAATCCTAAAGGAATGCATTGCATATTGGCTCTATACCAGGACAAGGATGCATGGGGAAATCAGACTTGTAAGAGTCTGTCATTGCTCTTTCCCACATTGCAGAGGTCAGATCCCAGAGTAATCCCTTAGTTCTTTATAGGAAATATGAACCACTCCTCTTGCCTCTCTAGGCAGGGGGCAGAGCCCATGGGATAACTCTTGACTTGTACCCACATCCGACATGCCACTGGTGAGTCAGGCAATGGCAGTTACTCAGCTCTCCATATACCCTGGGCTTATGTCTGGTGGAATTGTGGGAAAAGGAAACTTCGTAACTTGTTACCATACAATTGGACCAGGACTTATGCTTCAGTCCAATTGGCCATTCCCTTCACTCTGGCATTCCATAAAATACCCAAAAATACACATGGCCACTGAAACTGGAGAGATCTAACAAATTCTTTTGATCCCAATATATATGTTAACTCAATAGGAGTCCCAGGTGGGTGCCTAATAAATTTAAGGCCTGAAACCAAATAGCTGCTGGGTTTAAGTCAGCACTCATCTGGTGTTCGACTATTAATGAAAATGTGGATTGAATTAACTACATCTATTATAATCAACAGAGATTCATCAGTTATACTTGGGATGCCCTCAAAGGGGTGGCTAGCCAGTTAGATGCCACCAGCCAAATGGCTTGGGAAACAGGCTTGTGCTAGACATAATAATAGAAGAAAAAGGGGGCATATGTGTTATGTTGGGTGGGAAATGTTGCACTTTCATTCTCAACAATACTGCCCCAGATGGGACCATCACAAAAGCTTTACAAGGTCTAACAACTCTAGCCAATGAACTGGCAGAAAATGCTGGAATTAATGACCCATTAATGGGTTGGCTAGAAGGTTGGTTTGGAAAATAAAAAGGAATGGTGGCTTCAATCCTTATATCTCTCATAATTGTGGCATGAGTCTTAACAGCAGTGGGATGTTGTATTATCCCTTGTGTAAGGGGACTAGCACAGAGATTAATTAAAACAGCTATTAATAAACAAATGCCCATAACTTACCAGCAAAATAACCTGATACTATTAAAAACCAAATTAAACTCACTGTCCTATAAGGAAAAAAGCAAACAACTTCTAGAGTGATTCAAGAATCAAAAGGTTTAGATGAAAATGAGACCAAAGAAAGTAAATAGAAAAGAGGAGGGAATTTGAAAGAAACCATTTTAAATGGTTCATTTTCAAAGCATGATAAATCTAAGTAATGCCAGCCGGCCTACAAATGTAACAAACCACATGGCTCATGCAGCTTGAAGGTCACGATAAGCGAACAGAATGTAGAGGAGGGGTCAGCCCATAAAAGGGAAAAGTTTCATTATTGGGAAATTGAAACTTAAGCAGAGAAGGGGATGGGGTATAACCTTATGGGGGGATAATGAAACTTAGGTGACATCCAGGAAGATTGTAACCACATAGAACTCAACCAATGAGGAACTAGGGGAGGGACTTGCGTTCTAGGAGATAAATTACCTGCTGTATCTGCTCCAGGTGTGCCTGCCTATCAGACACCTGGTCTTGCAAGACTGCTATTAAAAGTCTCACTTCCGCTATACTTTGTGTCTCCAGGTCCATTCTTTGGGTTTGGGTGGGTGAATGTGTGTTTCTCACAGTCAGAGAACAAATATTTTGAAAAAGGAAGCAACACTCAGACTGGAAGGTTGGTACATTGAGTGTACTCATAGTTTTCTCAGGTTGTGAAATGTCTCTCAAGGCATGATTTAGTTAGTAAAACTCTTGAGGCCTGAAACAATATCAAAATGTTCTAAGTCTAGGGCAGACTTCCACAGGGTTACCTTGATAATTTTGCAGATGCAGGCTACAAGGAACTTTTAGAGGGTGCCTTGGAGAAGAGATGGTAAGACAGAGCATTTTGACTGCTTTTCAGCTATTTTAACCGCAGTTGACACCAGCATTCAGCATAATATGCTCTGCAAACTGGATGTTCACTAGTAAGAAAGGAAAGGCAGTATTCCTTGCTGAAGTAAGTTTTGAGAATCCTGAATTAAACATGTTATGATGCTTTTAATTGCAGAAGTTCTCAGTATCTCTAATATTAGTTTCTCATGTATAAATTGAGTTTTTAAGACAGTGATAGAGTATGCAGGGTCTCCAAATCTAGTTGACCAACAGAACCATTTTCTTTCAAAATATGTTACAAGACCAGCATTTGCTATGAAGTATATACATTCCCTTCTGTCTTCTAAAGCCTTTGTTTCACTATTACAAATAATATATACTGCATTCAATTGTGCATCAGAGGCTCAACTGAACATAGTGGAAAGAGTCTAGGCTTCTAAGAGCCCAGAGACTTCCCTAGAAGTTCCACAGAATTGAAGCATTATTTTTACTTATTGATTCTATGTAGATCAATGTCAGGATGTTGTGAAATGAATCATCTGATAGGAACTGCTTTTATGGTTGTGTTGAGATAAGCTGAATCAAAGAGCAATATGTTCTTTTGTTAATGTTCTTAGTGTCACAAAGTATCAGCAGCTGTATTTGCACTGAAAAGATTAGTTAAAGACACACAAAGTCAATATTAAATATAACTGATCTGAATAACTATGTATTGAGAAAACATAATGAGGCCCATCTTTCTTTATGTTCAAACTTAAATTGGCCAAATTCTACATCAGAATTTTAGAATTAAAGTCAAAGAATATGTCCAATTTAGGTTCATATTATAGAGCCTATAGTAGAATTATATTCTGAAAACTTAGGCAGATTTGTTAGAAACGTGTAAACAGTTAGATATACTGAAATTTTAGATGCAAGTAAATGATACGATGCATGAGAAACTCCAGAATATCTTGTTTAATTAAAGTACTATGAATAGTCTTTATTCTCAAATAAAACCAATATTATCCTCTCAACATACACAACTTTCTTTCTTTCTGTAGAATCAAGTGTTATGTTTTTAAAATAACTATCAATTACATTCAAATGGATCTTTTCTGATATGAAATGTTCTCTATTGGGAATATCAAATGTAAAAACAGTTCACCCCTACAGTTTACTTAAAAGTATATAAATTAAAAAAAAAATAACATAATGCTTTACTAAACAAAAGTGAAAATGGAAGCAGATTATCTTGTGATAACAGGACTGTACTCAAGGAAAAAGAATCTGTACTCTTTCTTGTTCTGTATTTCCAACTTTTTAAATGTTATGATATCTAGTTTGAGTACAGTGTATGTATTACATTCAATTGTGCACCACAGGCTCAACTAAAGGCAAAATTTGCACAGCATCTGTTGACAGGAAAACTATGTATAACATTCCTAACTTAAGTAGCACTTAGAAAAAAAAGCATAAATACTAATCGATTTTTTTTTTTTTTTTGAGAGTGAGTCTTGCTCTGTTGCCCAGGCTGGAGTGGAGCACTGAGATCTCGGCTCACTACAACCTGTGCCTCCCAGGTTCAAGCAGTTCTCTGCCTCAACCTCCCGAGTAGCTGGGATTGCAGGTGCCCACCACCACGCCTGGCTACGTTTTGCATTTTTAGTAGAGACAGGGTTCCACTCTCTTGGTCAGGTTGATCTTGAACTCCTGACCTTGTGATCCACCCGCCTTGGCCTCCCAAAGTGCTGGGATTACAGGCGTGAGCCACCACGCCTGGCCATACTATCCGAATTTTTAAAATGTGTAAATAAAATAAGCTATAGGAATAAGATACAGTGGAAAGTAATATATTTACATTAATTATCAAGAAACTAACAGTTTTACTATACATATAACATCGACAAAAAATACCTCATAATTATAGTACACTAGTCAATAGGGCAGATTAAAGAATTTCTCCTGATGGAATAGTTTATGGATACAATTATAGATACAATTCAGAGAGGGTGGATTTAGATGAATCTTACAGAAATCAATTTTATTACCTTATAATTATACTACATATAATTCAAAAACTTAAAATGTGAGGTTTTTTGTTGTTAACTAAGCATATTTAGTTCACTAGTTTGCTGAATATATTTTTCTACCTGTTTTCTGTTTGAGGAATACAGAAATCTACCCCTACCTCCACCTCTCAAAAAAGTGAGTTATGAGGAAAAGCACACAGGGTGGTTTTCATCTTGGAGAATCTGCCATTATTTAGGGTCTGGGTCTCAGTTTTGTGGGACCAGAAACCTATTTTTTCTATGTTTTTGAGTTGATAAAATTGGATAAGGGACTCTTGCTGCATAAATTCTGAACAGGCTAAGGAATACATGCCATTTCCTAAACGTATAACAAAAACTCTGGTGGATCAACATCTTTCTCCTGAAGGCAAGCCAATATTAAATCTGATGTCTATGTTTATGAAGTACATAGAATTTGTAGACATTTTCTTAAAATATCTCAAAGTCCTATTAGGTATATGTTTTCATCCTGATTTTATAGGAGAAACTGAGATTCACGGAAGTTAGGTAGCCTCCTTAAGATCACACAGCAGAGGAGGAGCCAAGATGGCCGAATAGGAACAGCTCCGGTGAACAGCTCCGGTCTACAGCTCCCAGCGTGAGCGACGCAGAAGACGGGTGATTTCTGCATTTCCATCTGAGGTACCGGGTTCATCTCACTAGGGAGTGCCAGACAGTGTGCGCAGGCCAGTGTGTGTGCGCACCGTGCGCGAGCCGAAGCAGGGCGAGGCATTGCCTCACCTGGGAAGCGCAAGGGGTCAGGGAGTTCCCTTTCCGAGTCAAAGAAAGGGGTGACGGACGCACCTGGAAAATCGGGTCACTCCCACCCGAATATTGCGCTTTTCAGACCGGCTTAAGAAACGGCGCACCACGAGACTATATCCCACACCTGGCTCAGAGGGTCCTACGCCCACGGAATCGCGCTGATTGCTAGCACAGCAGTCTGAGATCAAACTGCAAGGCGGCAACGAGGCTGGGGAAGGGGCGCCCGCCATTGCCCAGGCTTGCTTAGGTAAACAAAGCAGCCGGGAAGCTCGAACTGGGTGGAGCCCACCACAGCTCAAGGAGGCCTGCCTGCCTCTGTAGGCTCCACCTCTGGGGGCAGGGCACAGACAAACAAAAAGACAGCAGTAACCTCTGCAGACTTAAGTGTCCCTGTCTGACAGCTTTGAAGAGAGCAGTGGTTCTCCCAGCACGCAGCTGGAGATCTGAGAACGGGCAGACTGCCTCCTCAAGTGGGTCCCTGACCCCTGACCCCCGGGCAGCCTAACTGGGAGGCACCCCCCAGCAGGGGCACACTGACACCTCACACAGCAGGGTATTCCAACAGACCTGCAGCTGAGGGTCCTGTCTGTTAGAAGGAAAACTAACAACCAGAAAGGACATCTACACCGAAAACCCATCTGTACATCACCATCATCAAAGACCAAAAGTAGATAAAACCACAAAGATGGGGAAAAAACAGAACAGAAAAACTGGAAACTCTAAAACGCAGAGCGCCTCTCCTCCTCCAAAGGAACGCAGTTCCTCACCAGCAACAGAACAAAGCTGGATGGAGAATGATTTTGACGAGCTGAGAGAAGAAGGCTTCAGACGATCAAATTACTCTGAGCTACGGGAGGACATTCAAACCAAAGGCAAAGAAGTTGAAAACTTCGAAAAAAATTTAGAAGAATGTATAACTAGAATAACCAATACAGAGAAGTGCTTAAAGGAGCTGATGGAGCTGAAAACCAAGGCTCGAGAACTACGTGAAGAATGCAGAAGCCTCAGGAGCCGATGCGATCAACTGGAAGAAAGCGTATCAGCAATGGAAGATGAAATGAATGAAATGAAGCGAGAAGGGAAGTTTAGAGAAAAAAGAATAAAAAGAAATGAGCAAAGCCTCCAAAAAATATGGGACTATGTGAAAAGACCAAATCTATGTCTGACTGGTGTACCTGAAAGTGATGTGGAGAATGGAACCAAGTTGGAAAACACTCTGCAGGATATTATCCAGGAGAACTTCCCCAATCTAGCAAGGCAGGCCAACGTTCAGATTCAGGAAATACAGAGAACGCCACAAAGATACTCCTCGAGAAGAGCAACTCCAAGACACATAATTGTCAGATTCACCAAAGTTGAAATGAAGGAAAAAATGTTAAGGGCAGCCAGAGAGAAAGGTCGGGTTACCCTCAAAGGAAAGCCCATCAGACTAACAGCGGATCTCTCGGCAGAAACCCTACAAGCCAGAAGAGAGTGGGGGCCAATATTCAACATTCTTAAAGAAAAGAATTTTCAACCCAGAATTTCATATCCAGCCAAACTAAGCTTCATAAGTGAAGGAGAAATAAAATACTTTATAGACAAGCAAATGCTGAGAGATTTTGTCACCACCAGGCCTGCCCTAAAAGAGCTCCTGAAGGAAGCGCTAAACATGGAAAGGAACAACCGGTACCAGCCACTGCAAAATCATGCCAAAATGTAAAGACCATCCAGACTAGGAAGAAACTGCATGAACTAATGAGCAAAATAACCAGCTAACATCATAATGACAGGATCAAATTCACACATAACAATATTAACTTTAAATGTAAGTGGACTAAATGCTCCAATTAAAAGACACAGACTGGCAAATTGGATAAAGAGTCAAGACCCATCAGTGTGCTGTATTCAGGAAACCCATCTCACGTGCAGAGACACACATAGGCTCAAAATAAAAGGATGGAGGAAGATCTACCAAGCCAATGGAAAACAAAAAAAGGCAGGGGTTGCAATCCTAGTCTCTGATAAAACAGACTTTAAACCAACAAAGATCAAAAGAGACAAAGAAGGCCATTACATAATGGTAAAGGGATCAATTCAACAAGAGGAGCTAACTATCCTAAATATATATGCACCCAATACAGGAGCACCCAGATTCATAAAGCAAGTCCTGAGTGACCTACAAAGAGACTTAGACTCCCACACATTAATAATGGGAGACTTTAACACCCCACTGTCAACATTAGACAGATCAACGAGACAGAAAGTCAACAAGGATACCCAGGAATTGAACTCAGCTCTGCACCAAGCAGACCTAATAGACATCTACAGAACTCTCCACCCCAAATCAACAGAATATACATTTTTTTCAGCACCACACCACACCTATTCCAAAATTGACCACATAGTTGGAAGTACAGCTCTCCTCAGCAAATGTAAAAGAACAGAAATTATAACAAACTATCTCTCAGACCACAGTGCAATCAAACTAGAACTCAGGATTAAGAATCTCACTCAAAGCCGCTCAACTACATGGAAACTGAACAACCTGCTCCTGAATGACTACTGGGTACATAACGAAATGAAGGCAGAAATAAAGATGTTCTTTGAAACCAACGAGAACAAAGACACCACATACCAGAATCTCTGGGACGCATTCAAAGCAGTGTGTAGAGGGAAATTTATAGCACTAAATGCCTACAAGAGAAAGCAGGAAAGATCCAAAATTGACACCCTAACATCACAATTAAAAGAACTAGAAAAGCAAGAGCAAACACATTCAAAAGCTAGCAGAAGGCAAGAAATAACTAAAATCAGAGCAGAACTGAAGGAAATAGAGACACAAAAAACCCTTCAAAAAATCAATGAATCCAGGAGCTGGTTTTTTGAAAGGATCAACAAAATTGATAGACCGCTAGCAAGACTAATAAAGAAAAAAAGAGAGAAGAATCAAATAGACACAATAAAAAATGATAAAGGGGATATCACCACCGATCCCACAGAAATACAAACTACCATCAGAGAATACTACAAACACCTCTACGCAAATAAACTAGAAAATCTAGAAGAAATGGATACATTCCTCGACACATACACTCTCCCAAGACTAAACCAGGAAGAAGTTGAATCTCTGAATAGACCAATAACAGGCTCTGAAATTGTGGCAATAATCAATAGTTTACCAACCAAAAAGAGTCCAGGACCAGATGGATTCACAGCCGAATTCTACCAGAGGTACAAGGAGGAACTGGTACCATTCCTTCTGAAACTATTCCAATCAATAGAAAAAGAGGGAATCCTCCCTAACTCATTTTATGAGGCCAGCATCATTCTGATACCAAAGCCGGGCAGAGACACAACCAAAAAAGAGAATTTTAGACCAATATCCTTGATGAACATTGATGCAGAAATCCTCAATAAAATACTGGCAAACCGAATCCAGCAGCACATCAAAAAGCTTATCCACCATGATCAAGTGGGCTTCATCCCTGGGATGCAAGGCTGGTTCAATATACGCAAATCAATAAATGTAATCCAGCATATAAACAGAGCCAAAGACAAAAACCACATGATTATCTCAATAGATGCAGAAAAAGCCTTTGACAAAATTCAACAACCCTTCATGCTAAAAACTCTCAATAAATTAGGTGTTGATGGGATGTATTTCAAAATAATAAGAGCTATCTATGACAAACCCACAGCCAATATCATACTGAATGGGCAAAAACTGGAAGCATTCCCTTTGAAAACTGGCACAAGACAAGGATGCCCTCTCTCACCGCTCCTATTCAACATAGTGTTGGAAGTTCTGGCCAGGGCAATCAGGCAGGAGAAGGAAATAAAGGGTATTCAATTAGGAAAAGAGGAAGTCAAATTGTCCCTGTTTGCAGACGACATGATTGTTTATCTAGAAAACCCCATCGTCTCAGCCCAAAATCTCCTTAAGCTGATAAGCAACTTCAGCAAAGTCTCAGGATACAAAATCAATGTACAAAAATCACAAGCATTCTTATACACCAACAACAGACAAACAGAGAGCCAAATCATGAGTGAACTCCCATTCACAATTGCTTCAAAGAGAATAAAATACCTAGGAATCCAACTTACAAGGGACGTGAAGGACCTCTTCAAGGAGAACTACAAACCACTGCTCAAGGAAATAAAAGAGGACACAAACAAATGGAAGAACATTCCATGCTCATGGGTAGGAAGAATCAATATCGTGAAAATGGCCATACTGCCCAAGGTAATTTACAGATTCAATGCCATCCCCATCAAGCTACCAATGACTTTCTTCACAGAATTGGAAAAAACTACTTTAAAGTTCATATGGAACCAAAAAAGAGCCCGCATCGCCAAGTCAATCCTAAGCCAAAAGAACAAAGCTGGAGGCATCACACTACCTGACTTCAAACTATACTACAAGGCTACAGTAACCAAAACAGCATGGTACTGGTACCAAAACAGAGATATAGATCAATGGAACAGAACAGAGCCCTCAGAAATAATGCCGCATATCTACAACTATCTGATCTTTGACAAACCTGAGAAAAACAAGCCATGGGGAAAGGATTCCCTATTTAATAAATGGTGCTGGGAAAACTGGCTAGCCATATGTAGAAAGCTGAAACTGGATCCCTTCCTTACACCTTATACAAAAATCAATTCAAGATGGATTAAAGATTTAAATGTTAGACCTAAAACCATAAAAACCCTAGAAGAAAACCTAGGCATTACCATTCAGGACATAGGCGTGGGCAAGGACTTCATGTCCAAAACACCAAAAGCAATGGCAACAAAAGCCAAAATTGACAAATGGGATCTAATTAAACTAAAGAGCTTCTGCACAGCAAAAGAAACTACCATCAGAGTGAACAGGCAACCTACAACATGGGAGAAAATTTTCGCAACCTACTCATCTGACAAAGGGCTAATATCCAGAATCTACAATGAACTCAAACAAATTTACAAGAAAAAAACAAACAACCCCATCAAAAAGTGGGCGAAGGACATGAACAGACACTTCTCAAAAGAAGACATTTATGCAGCCAAAAAACACATGAAGAAATGCTCATCATCACTGGCCGTCAGAGAAATGCAAATCAAAACCACTATGAGATATCATCTCACACCAGTTAGAATGGCAATCATTAAAAAGTCAGGAAACAACAGGTGCTGGAGAGGATGTGGAGAAATAGGAACACTTTTACACTGTTGGTGGGACTGTAAACTAGTTCAACCATTGTGGAAGTCAGTGTGGCGATTCCTCAGGGATCTAGAACTAGAAATACCATTTGACCCAGCCATCCCATTACTGGGTATATACCCAAAGGACTATAAATCATGCTGCTATAAAGACACATGCACACGTATGTTTATTGCGGCACTATTCACAATAGCAAAGACTTGGAACCAACCCAAATGTCCAACAATGATAGACTGGATTAAGAAAATGTGGCACATATACACCATGGAATACTATGCAGCCATAAAAAATGATGAGTTCATGTCCTTTGTAGGGACATGGATGAAATTGGAAACCATCATTCTCAGTAAACTATCGCAAGAACAAAAAACCAAACACCGCATATTCTCACTCATAGGTGGGAATTGAACAATGAGATCACATGGACACAGGAAGGGGAATATCACACTCTGGGGACTGTGGTGGGGTTGGGGGAGGGGGGAGGGATAGCATTGGGAGATATACCTAATGCTAGATGACACGTTAGTGGGTGCAGCGCACCAGCATGGCACATGTATACATATGTAACTAACCTGCACAATGTGCACATGTACCCTAACACTTAGAGTATAATAAAAAAAAAAAAAAATTAAAAAAAAACAAAAAAAGATCACACAGCAAGTGAATCACAAAGTCAAATGCACACTGAAGTCTTAGGCAGCCCATTTTGATATGGTACTTCCAAACTGAGATGTGTAGGAATACATTTTAAGAGAAAATATGAAAAAATTATAGACCTGAGACTAGGTGTGTGTACCTGGGGTTTTTAAAACTTTCTCATTATTCACAGCTAAGGAAAGGTCTTTTAAAAAATATCTAGTAAAATGATTATTTGAGGATTATCTAATACACAAAAAAGACAAAATTTCAACTTTTTTCACAGAATTTGTGGGTCCCTAAAAATATGGGTGAGAAGGTGGGATGAGAAACTGGCTTAATTTTTAAGTTTGTAGGAGTTGGAGTCAGACGAACTCTGACCATACTTATTAGCTCTCTCAGCTTCAGATTCTTCTGTAAATTGGGATGAAAATGACCAGTGGTGGGGTTGTCATGATGGTTAACTGAGATAATGGATTTAAAATTATTTAACACAGTGTCTGCCACAGACTAATTGCCTAGTAAATAGTAATGCCTTTTATTTGGATTCCACTGCAATGCTGACATGCTGTGGAGACAGGCTGACCTACCTCCAATGTCATAACGTTGCTCCGTAAGCGTGGAATCAGATGTAGTCTCAAGAATCCATTGCTCTTTTCGAAGCAAACTCAGTTGCATTTTGTGTGCCAGAGAAATCTCCCTTGGACAGGCTTAAGTGAGGGAGTCAATACATGGTTTTGTCTCAATGATTCCCACTGGCAGGTTATGGACTAATATATACATTCTTTAATTACAATAATTAATGAATTAGTTACAAATTAACTCAGGTCAAAAGCCTAGAACCCTTTTTTGGTTATTCAGAATTGTGTTTAAGTCTTTGCTCTTTACACTTAAAGGGAAGATTGATGTCCCAAATAAGTAGTACCTCATTTCAGCTCCTGTGCACTACCCTACTGTGAAGCCTGTCTTGTGTAAAAGCATGTAAAATCAACTAACTATAGCTCCTATTTAGTGTCATAGGCATGGCTGGGGCAGGGAAAGACAATACAGGAGAGCAGATGGAGAAAATGGGAAGGTGATTTCACATATGACTTAAGAAATTACAAGTTACCCTGCTTTTACTTGCCACCAAATGCCTTCTGTCACTCCACCCCAATCCAGCAGGAACTGAAGGTTCATTAATCTGTGATTAGATTAACCCACTGAAAATTTCTGTGTTTGCATGAGATCCATGATTTTTGCAAGTTGCTGGAGAAAGGGACAAGTTAGCTGTGACTTGTCACTCTAGGGAATCTTAATTAGCAGCCCGTTAATTTGGGAATTTGTAGAGTTCTTTTCTCTTAGTTGAGCTTATTTCCCAGAGACTCTTACTTGGGGTCAGAGATTTATGTTTTTCTCATTCTAAAGTCCTAGATTCAATGTAGATATTTCAAGTACAAAAGCACTACATACCCAGCTGAATGGAAAACGGTCAATTTAACTAAGCTTATAAGGATACCAGAGCAATTTCACAGCTGATTTAGACCCATAGACCTTTCATACCCCGTTTATAGGAAACTCATAGAATTTAAGAGATGAAAGCAAAGTTTAAGATTATCTGGCCCAATCCCTCCACTATAGAGAGACTATGTTACCAGTGGAATGAGATTTGTTGAGTACAGGGGCCACATCTTTTTCATCAATGTTTCTGAATGAGTTGAGACATGCCTGAAGCCCTAAACATAATTGACTAGACTTCAAACCTTTTGAATAAGTAAGAGTTTCCTAATCACACTCTACTATATTTCTTGAGTACATCATCCTATCTCACTCAGTCCCAAACAAATGAAAATTTAAATACAAACAGATTGTGTGGCACAGTATGTTTCAACAACCAGGAAACAGGACTACATTTTTCATTTTTCAATTGTCAGTAGGTATGAACAGTTTCAATATGTTACCATTAAGTGTATAGGAGCAACTCTTGTTCAAGGGATTAGTACAAATAATAGTCTGATGAAATATTTTTATAAGAGGGGAGAAGATACTACAAAATTCAAACACAAATCAGTCTATGGAAACAACACTTGAGAGTCTTCAGCAGAGAATATAGCCCAGAGGTGCCACCTAGTGACTGCATTCTGCTGGCTGTGAAAAGCATAGTTAACATGGGGGATGAGATTTGTACATATTAATATTTCAAGTCATCTTTAAATACATAACATAAATGTCTATTCATAATTTTTTCTGCTCTGTCAAATTCAGAAAATAAAATGAGTAATGAACTGAAAGCCTTTGAAAGCCACAAAGGCAAAAATAAAAACATAAGGTATTTATCAAAGTGCTTTGCTCTTATGGGTGCACACACATGTCCTTGGTTCTAAATAAATATGATAAATAGAATTTCTAGTGTATGATGGGATTAAAAAGGATATAATACATTCCTGACTCCACCATTGTATTTTAGGGTTATATTCTAAGATTTATTTTTATTCGAAGCCCAGTATGTAGCACATAATATATACTAGGCAAGGGATGTTGAATTAGTGAATGCATTAATGCAAAAATGTTATATAAATCCTTGAATTTAAGAAATTTCAAGAGAGAAGACACTGGCTTGGAAAGTGGACAGTTCCAATTTGTCCTCACTGTCTACTCAACCAGGTATGATGACTACCTTTGTGTCTGAGTATAATCTCATTTTAAAATCAGAGTAATCCTGATATCAAGGAAGTTTGGTGGTTTAAGTGGAGGAGAGTGGTAGCGAAAGAGGTAAGGCCAGAAAAGGGACAAAAAAAGTGCTATGAATGAAATACAAAGATTGGTGAAATGTCATCATTTCTGCTTGGTAGCAGAAATTATTTCTAATTAAGTAAATTTTAAGTAAATAAGTAATCAGAAATTACTTACTCATGGTGTGGGCCTAGTCAGCTTGCCCTCATGAATTGTAAAATGGGTAGATAAAATGCTGCTATTTTCCTCCCCTCTACCCCCCCCTTACACACACACACACACACACACACACGCACAATACTTTTTAAAAACCAAGCCTAACAGTAAAGGTACAGACTCACACGCTCCTATGTGTGCTTGCCTAATAACTGTAATGCCCTGTTGAGCCAGATACAATAAAAAACAATAAGTAAATGTGATGAGTATTTCATGAATTGGAAAGATTTTGATTGCCTGGCTGCATGATCAGAGGCATAAAGTCCTCTTGGCCTTATGCCCACGAGCCAGCCAATGGTCTTTTGAAAACCACAAAAATCTTTAAGACTCAAAGTGTGATATGAAAGATGTCATGTTTTGTTGTTTGTTTAAATGAACAAAAGATGGTTGGTTCACCTCAGGAAGAAAACTGGTTAGCATTTTATTAAATAAAAGTGCCCAAACAGGGCCTCCCTGATAATCTTCTTGGAGCCAATGAGCAGGTAAGTTTGGGTTGTTGGGTTGTTGTGAGGATGGGAGGAGCCAATGAGCAGGTAAGTTTGGGTTGTTGGGTTGTTGTGAGGATGTTGGGTTGTTGTGAGGATGTAATTTCATTTACATATGCAGGAAGATCCTAACATAATGCAGAAAGATCCTTAACACATGAAATATTTACTGAATTTCTGGGTTGTTGGGTAAGTTGTTCAGACTCTCTGAACTTCAAATTCCTTACCTGTTCATATATTGTAAGATTATTTTTGAGAAGTAGATGTTTGTTGAAAATACTTTTTAAACTATAACTCACTTTGAAATATGAGTATGAATATTACCACCTTCAAACAAAGCACAAAACAGCCTTGTCTATTTGCACTTGCAAAATATCTACCTAGTTTATTTAAGGTAAACAATGGGATAAAGATGCAAAGTCGGCTACTGATGCTGGCTAGATGACCAGGCAGAGTCCAAGCATCTGGATTTCTGGATTTAGCGATTTATATGGCAACAGGAAGGCTCTCCTGCCTACTAATATTCCCACAATGAGCCTGTTTCTAATTTCCATCATTAGAAATAAATTAGGGTTAAATAGGAAGCTTCTTTTAAAATACAAATAACTCTAGGAAGGTGCATATTTGCAAGCATGCATCAGTTTAACACTGATCTGCTAATAACAACTGGATGAAATTTGCTAATTTTGGACTACAGGCATTATTTGTGATCCTCAGTATAGCGAGAAGCTCTGGGCTAGGAGGACTGACAGAAAAGCAAAAATTAGAGGGCTCATATTCTAAGTAATTTTACCTTATTCTTCTAAATGCAAAATCTTCATTTAAACAATTTTTTTTCATTTTCTGTTTGCTTTTGCTATTTCAAAATTAAGGCCAACTTAAAATATATGCATGCCTACTTAGAATAACCACAAGCAAGCATTTGCTTGTTGGCTTTTACAGAATCCTATGTCCAGGAAAGAAACTATTTCCTACATGCATTATTGAAAGACTAATCATTTATTAGACCGAAAGTCATTAACTCTAATTGTTTCAAGATTTACTTGCATTTATGATTCTTTCCTGTTATAGATGCCTTCTCTAACTATCAGTGGGCCAGTTGGGATTTATATTTTACATTAAGATCTTGGAGTCTTCTTTTTAAATAGGAGTGTGTGTGTGTGTGTGTGTGTGTGTGTGTGTGTGTGTGTGATATCAACCAATTTGATAAAATATTGTAAAATTATTGGTAATATGGCTTGATAAATATAATCTTTTCAATGAAAATC
Source organism: Homo sapiens (assembly GCF_000001405.40). Taxonomy (NCBI): domain Eukaryota; kingdom Metazoa; phylum Chordata; class Mammalia; order Primates; family Hominidae; genus Homo; species Homo sapiens. Next base: position 71,524,434 of record NC_000001.11, read on the forward strand.
ATTACCTTTTTAATAGTAAAATAGTTGCTTATAAACATTTACTATAAAAGTCAATATTCAAATAGCTTGTACTCTAACAAAATTCATTACCTGAATATTGGAAAAATTCAAGGAGGCTTGGTAGGTTCTGAAGGAAAATATTAGATGTAGAAAAAAGGAAGTATTTGTTCACCTGGTATGGTTTACGGAGTGATGACCATCCAAAGATGTCTACATTCTAATTCCCGAAACCTGGGAATTTATTACATTATGTAGCTAAGGGGAATTAAGGTAGCAGATTGGATTATGATTAGCTGACTTTAAAATAGGTAGATTATCCTGGATTATCCAAGTAAATCCAGTGTAAACACATGTATTCTTAAATGCAAAAGAGGGAGACTGAAGAGTCAGTGTCACCGTGATGTGACATGAGAAAAATTTGAGTGGCCATTTCTGGCTTTGAAGATGGAAGAGGCACATGAGCAAAAGAACATGGACAGCTTCTAGAAGTTGGAAAATGCGGAAAATAGATTTTCTCCTACAGCTCCAGAAAAGCACACAGCCCTGCTGACATCTTGATTTTAGTCAGGGAGACCCATTTTGGACTTCTGACCTCCAAAACTATAAGATAATACATTTATGTTGTTTTAAGCCACCATATTTGTGATAATTTATTACAGCAACAAAAGGAAATTAATACACCTAGGAAATCATTCATTCACCCATCCATTCTTTCATTCAACAAATCTTATGTGTTTCCTAAGTGCAAGGCACAATCACATTCATCTAATCAGTGTTCAGCCTGTAGGGCTGTCTTTTGTTAACTTCTATTTTCTTTCTTTCCACTGGTAAACCAGAAATAATTAGGTGAGGAAAAAATTTTTCCCTTCCTCTTAGGAATTTTGGGGGGAAATTCTATTTTCCACCAGCCTTTGTTTCCCTTCCTTTTTGCAGATATATTTTTGAAATGCTCTCCCATTATAAATCTGGCCTCTATGCTGGACTTGCAATAATCAATGCTTATTTGACTTAAAATCTAAATTATAAAGATAGGTATTTCAATTCTTCTAATTTCCCATCCAGCTGAAATCCTCCTCACATTAACTCACTCATTCATTTATGCATTTATGCAGTGAGTTCAGTTCTTACCATGCTTCACTCACTCTTTCAGACACTGTACAGAGAATGATTTTTTAACAAGGAACAAAAAACTTGTTTCCTGTTCTAAAGAATCTTGCAATCTAGAGTTGTAGCAGACACATACCTCCAAATATAATGTAAGGTATTAAGTGTTTTGGTAATTGTGATGTCACTCTATAATTAGACAGTACAAGATACTTGCTATATACTTAATAAGGACTTACATTTATAAGTCTGTTTTATGTATATAAAACAGAGTAATAGTAATCATCAGTCATTTTAATACTTATGCTATATAACAATCATTTGATTTAACATATTAAATACTTGTGATTAGTACACGTGGTGCCTGACTTTGAAGCATTGATCTATATCTTTAGTGGCATGTTACTTTGAGCCGAGAGTAAATCATAAGCCAAATAGCCTAAAATAATATTTTGAGACAGAGCTGAAGATATGTTAAGGAAGAAAGAATTGAATAGTGAGAAACAGAGATTAGAAAGCACCTACTTTTTTATCTTTTTAAATAATGAGCATCATATTCTAAATTGCATCGTAGGTTTTCTGCTATACTTTTATCTGGAAATTAATCAACTAATTATGGATAATTATAATTAATATCTGAATTCATTATATTCAGGCATATTAATTGGAATTTGAAATATATTCTGAGCTGTCTTAAATTTTTTACACTCTAACAATCAGAGAATAATGGAAGCTTGATTATTTTAAATTAGGAAAAAACCCTACAAACCTTAAAATAAGCTTTGTAATAATAGACTTTGCTTGATGCCTCCTCACTCTCATTCTTACCTTTCTTATTACTTTTACAGTATTATGTCTGCACAGTATACACAGTAATAGTATTCTCCTGTGTAAAGTAAAATAAAACACTGAATCTTTTGTTCCAAACAACAGGATAAAGTCCAAGACATTTGGCATGACATTTATGGTATTTTCCCCATCTCGGTTGGTACCCCACCACCCACAGAGAGAGGTGGGAGTCATCCTTGTTTCACTCTCTCCCTGTCCTCAGAATCAAATCAACAAGTAAGCCCTGATATGTTTGCCGTTGCAATAATTCTTGAATTAGTTCCATTCTCTCCTTCCTACTATCACTATCACATATGAGGTTTTCATCATTTCTTTCCTGGCATTATATAATAACCTTTTCTGATGCCCGTCTTATTCACGTTAATTAGACCTTGATCCTGACTCTCAGAGTTACATAGGAAGCCTAATAATCAGCCTATGCCTACGGGTAAGTAGATCAAGCTTACAGCAAGGAACACAAGACCCTTCAGTGATCCAGCCTGTCTACTTTCTCAGCCTCACTGCACTTTCTGCTCAGTTTACACTCCAGAAATTATTTGAAGTTTCCCTCAAACACACCATATTCTTCTATGTCTCTGTACCTTTGTCCACATTGAACTGTTTGTCTAGAATGGCTTTTGCCTAAACTAACAAATTCATGAATCACATCCTCTAGAAAGCCTTTTATGATATTTTTAAAGCCATATCTGAGTTTGAAGAGTGCATTACACATATTTCTCTTATAGCACATATTGTATTACATAAATCTGTTTTGTTTTCATGTCCCTCTCATTCATTGAAATGTGAGATTCACAAAAATAAATAATGGTCCAATCACTTTTGCATCTCTGATGCATGGTTCAGTGTCTCACACATTCAGATGCTCAATAATTTTTTGAGAACTGACAGAAACCACAGAAGGTGACTTACTCCCAACTTCCACCAGTTTCCCTACTTTTCTAAAGCTCTACCTCTATGAACCACAAATAAGTGTGTCTTCCATTCATCCACCATCCATCCATCCATCCATCCAACCACCATCCATCCATCCATCCATCCATCCATCCATCCATCCATCCATCCATGGGTAATCAGGCATATGCATCTGGTCTAGTCATTAAGATTTTCGAATTTTGTTTAGTAAATAAATAGATAAATTACCCAACCTTCTTGCTATTGTGTGATTATTTGATAGTTGAATATTTTCACCCCTCTCTATTCCCGAATGAGTTTTATTAGAGTACACTATCACAATCTATGAGATTCCTTTTATGTTCTACTTCTGTGGATTACTTATGGGTTTTCTAAAGCATTCATTCACTAATTTATTTATTCACTTATGGAGGAAAGATAATCTATTGACAATTGGACTTTTTTTTTTAGCATAGAACTTGATGATACAATTTTAAAAGGTTGTTTATTATCCTATTTCAATTACCATAGGAAATGCTAGCATAAAAAGTATTTTTAGAAACCTCTATTATCTATAAATCACAAGAGAGTGAATATTGGTAGTAAGTTAATTTTGGTAGAAAATTAATTCTGTTTTTTATTGTATTGTCTTCTCTTACATGGGTTTTTTAAATGATGAAAGTTAGACACAACCCAATGTAAAGCAAACAGTGTTACGTAGCTTTTGTCAGGAAACTAACTTCTGTATTCATTTTTTTGGTTCAAACGCTTTGCTAAGTGGTTCAGCATTTTTGCTGAAATCATCTGGCATACATGGAAGACCTGCTAAATACTAAGCACTCTATTAGATAATAAAGATATAGAAATTAAGTCAGTTTTTACCCCTAGTCTTCTACATTTTCTACCATTTTGACTTTTTAAGTTTTTGCTTGCTATGGTACTCCCATTTCTTGCTAACTATACCTAATCCATGAAGATTCTGTTCATATATGTGAAGATTTCCCCCAGGCAAAATTGTCTGATTTTTCTTTAGTATGAAACTATAGAATATATCATATTAAGTAATGGATAGTTATACATATGCCTATCTCTTTTATAGATTATAAACACCTTTAAGATAATAACCTATGCTCCTAGTACTCAGTGCTTGATACAGCTGTTACTCAATAAAGTTTTGCTAAATGACAAACTATATCCTTCACAGGAAATAGAAAATGGATCTTCCTGGGGTAAGTTAAACAAAGACATTTTCCTTTTTAACAAAATACAGTAAACTAGCAAAGTGAAAAATTATTTTCTAAGTACATGAATCAGATAGCATTTATTCAATTTAAAGTGGAATTTCTTTACATAATATGGTATCTTGTGGTGAATTTAAATAATTCAGTTTACAAACATTAAATTCTGTTTTTTCAAAAACAGTTCTGTTGTTGAAAATGAGGCAAACATTTGATGATATAGCTGTAGGCATTTCAATATTGGTTTGGCTGTATGCTTGCTCAGTGACCTTTGGTAAAAAAACAATTGTTTCGGTTTTTTCCCTTGACTGTCAACGGGAACTAGATTGTTTCATAGACTTAAAAATGATCTTAAAACACCCATAAATACAATGTGCTTAATGATAGCCATTTTAAAATAGTGACACTGTACAAGTCCAACTTAAGAGTCTACATTGACTTTTTTTGGTTTATTTTTAGGTATAGATGAATCGTATTTCAAAACTACTTCTCCATTTGTCTAAAGACACATAAATAAAGCATTTTTTTTTACTATGAATAACAACAGCATTCAGTTAAAGATTAAATTATTTTCAGAATAAAAATTTTTAGTTGATGACTGCTAAAGATTATTTCTAGGGACAAAGTAAGGACAGATGCTAGGTGGGGTATTTGCGGTGCATTAAACAAATATTTAATTTTAATCATCTGCCTATAGACTAAAAATGGTTTGCCGAATTAATGTTTATTAAATGTTTTGAATCTATATGAAGCTAAGTGAATACTGGTAGGACTACAATTTTAACTTTTTAGATTATTAGCTTGATGCTTTAGAGATAATTATGACCTAGGAATATAAAACCAGCATTAGGGCATTATTGTGAATTTAATCTAGATTGGGAAGTTCAGTCTTGAATTGCAGGGATCAAGGTCACAGACTACTTGTGTAATGTATTCAGACAGACAGGCTACACAAAGCAACCCAATAAATAATTTTAGGATTAATAGTTTGTTTTAGGCAGAGTAGATACCCTTAAGCTCCTTTCCACTCTTTAAAATAAAAGTCCAACATAAATATTAAAATACACTTCGAAGATGATCTCAAGAATGTGTTTGTTTTTTTCAAAAAGTAAATAGAAATGATTTATGTCATTGAATAAGATTACACTGGTTTAGTAAGAGATGGTAAGCATTTTTAGCTCGATGGCCATTGTCCAGAATAACTTATAGTCCAGCACAACAATTACAATAAAGGTAGTATGAATTTGCTAATTCACCATATATCTCATTCATTGTGAAAAACGCCCCTTACCTTTCAAACTGAGACTGAGACTAATGAAAGAATAGTTTTCTTTCATTCTTATTATGTACTATATTTCATAGCCTTTTCTTGAATAATGATGTTAATAATTCAATTTTCATTCCCTTCATTTGAAACAGATTCTGACTTGTCAAGAATATATAAAGCATAAGTTATGACTTCAGGACCTTCATTTCTTCAGAACTTATGATCATAAATGATATAAATCCACTTACTTCAATCTATTTTCAGTGTGTCCAATATTTTCATAACTATATCCACTTTATCTCTGCTTTAACTCTCTGGCAGTAATATTAGGAAATATGAGATCTGTGCTGAGTTATTTTACATTCTCTTTTTCCACTTATGTAGAAGCAGTAAATGGGGTAGTTTGCAAATCTAATATTTATTATCTCCTGAATACTTTTGTGAGAATTTTCATTTACTATTTTCATTTGGATAACATTTTTTAAAGCTTTGTTTGAAACAACTGGAACTTTTAGTAGTTTGATTTTATTCACAGAGTAAATTATTTTCCCACCTGCCTTTATGTTCTTTTGCTTAGTTATATATTGCCAAATCCTTCTCCTTTGTATCTTGCTCAGCAGATTGCACATTCTTTTAAAAGCTTTTGTTTATCATTTATACCGCTCTTTCAATCCTGCTATAACCACATACTCTTTAAATCCTTGCCTAACCAAACTGTTCCCTGGAGGCCTTCAACAAATTCACAATTAATGAAGGGTGAGTTTCATTTATAGCTGCACTTGTTTTTTATCTTTCAATTCAATTCAACACGTATTTATTAAATTTCCCTACAATAATCATTTCTAAAAGTTTATATTATCTTTTTTTAAAGACTGTGGTGCTAAGAAATTCAATTTTAGACTATTTTTCACACATTCATAGTTTCCAAACATTTAACCCTAGCAACAAATTGACCAATTCTGGGACATAATGGCTGCTGCTTGGGCATTTTAGAAGTCGTGCCAACAATTATTATGTCTCAGAGTGCTTGAAAGGCTAAGCAGTCCAAATTTTTGCCTTTAAGCACATTAGTAAACTTTTTCCATATCTGGGTGTCATGAGGAGGTGTGTGTGTATGTGTGTGTGTGTATTTTTCCCCCAAATTTAACCTACACTTCTATCATACTATGTACTAGGAACACTTATAGTTACTTTACCAATATTGACTTACTCAATTTTCATAATAACTCCATGTACTAGGTACTATCCTTATTGTACACCCACCCCATTTTACAAATGGAAACTCTGAGTATAGAGTGGTTAAGTAACCTGACTTGAATTTTTTTCTAAGAAGCCCAACCATGGAAAGATCTTTTGATATAAATAACATACTGAAAAAATAATCTCACTATACCTATTCCCAATAAAACCTTTTCCAAAAACATGAAGTCAGAAAATATGCTATTACTGGATGCCACTAGGTACCACTTCTTAAAATATTTTGCATTCTACTATTCTTTGTTTGAGTAGATAAGAAAGGTACTGTGTCCTTTTAATTTATGAGGACTTCAACCAATAATTAGGGCAATGACCAAAAAAGGAAAGTAAGAACTTATCTAATCTTTACGTCAACCCATCAGGTGACATAGCTATATGGAAGTTACTTAATATCCTCATTAAAAGTGATAGAGAAAAGAAGATCAAAAAGTTTACTAGCAAGATTATGATCTCATATGAACCTGAGATTATATTAATCTGTAGAGGACAAAGGCATTAGTAGGAATCACACCTAATAAGTCTTTATAAGTTAAAAGAAAAATTAGATTCCCATGATGACTGGTTCTAATTATATTAATATGACACTCAACTTTGAGAGACTAACCCCTGTAAAATGGGAAACTGTTATTAATCACAAAACTTAAACTTTGTGTGCATTAACTATAAAATGATTTTAAATAGACCACTCAATATGTTTCAGTTTGAGAGGTTATGAAAAAGTATTCTATAATTTGACCAGAAAGTGTTATATTATGAGATTCTTTAAATATATAATCATAGACTTGCTCAAACATGTTTCATTTTGGGGTGGGGGTAATTCATAATCATCTAAAGCAATTTAAAGCATTTTTGATTGATTACAATTTGAGATAGAATTTTTTTTTTCATTTCTAAAACACTCAGTTTCTCAGATCAGCAAATCCTGTTTTAGACTAAAATTTAGTGCCATTTCTGGAATGAGAGGAGAAAAAACTATTTAACTAACTTATACCTCTTTATGTGTAGGCAGCACCAACAAATCCTTTAACTCAGCAGTTACAAGAAATCCCTATGAACTTTTCAAAGCTGAATAACTTTAGCATTTCCACTTTCTTCTTTAAATAGCCAGCAGCCAACATTCAGAATGAACTGCTAAATTCCTATATAACGAGAAAAAGGTTGTTTCTAATATCAATTGCTTTTATCTCGATTTCATGTCACTCAGAAATGTTCACAGTTGAAAACAACTTTTAAAAACACACTTAACAGCAATGGCCTATCTTTTCAAAGTATTTGTGGCTGAATTAGGAACAATCTGAAAATAAAGCCCAACAACTGAAATAAGTCCTCTAACTTGATAGTTTCAAGAGACCAAAATCTCCTACTATAATATTGCAAGAGTAGAAGTATAGGTTTTCCCCTAGCTATTGTTCCCTTTAGAAGCACTAAATACCTTCTTGCTTCATAATGATTTTATAACAATGGAATACCAAGCCATAGTAAATAGTTTTTTAATAGCTACTCCAAAAGCCTTGTAAACTCTCTACAGCTCTGTTTGCAAAGGCATTGCAGAAGCTAATCACCTTGCAACTATTCTACAACGTGACACATATTTACCGCATATGCCCTACAGAATGAAATCAAAGACGTAAACTTCAAATCAGGGTCAGATCACAAAATCCAACAGGAGGACATATCACAGATAGACGAGGACAAGTAACAGACATTAGAGCAGTACCGCAAGCATGCGGCCCATAATCAACTTGGTTTATTTCTATAATGATGAGAAGGTCTTGTTTAATGGAAAAGTACCCAGACATACTTTGAGAATGTATGTGGATACTGACCTGGACTTGTGACAGGACTAGAGGTAGTAGGTTCAATAATTTCTACAAAAAGGGAAAAGGAAAGAAAAGAAAAACATTTTGTGTATTAATCATACATAAAAGACAAACACTCATGAGACAATCAACAGTCATGCAACATATACACAGATGGTCTTTGATATGAAGACTTCCCTGACCGTGGACACAATTGACCAAAATCCAATTTTATGAGGTTTACACAACACCCCATCACTGACTTTGATATTAGGCCATCTTTCATTCTGAGGCAACATTTAGGAGTCATTTCCATATCCTAGACTATAGCATCAAGCTCTGCTGTGCTAAGGTTAAAGACATGCCCTTAGAATTCCCAATCAACAGTTTATAAGGTTTTCTTATAGTAAAATATTAAAACCTACATGTAGAATGTCTTCCTCTTAGAGGATGTCAGTTCCCTAAAAAGTCTTTCAATCATGTTGTTTCTTAATATGTTCTATAAATAAAAATCATTGATAAAGCTCAAATTGCCCCAAAATAACTTTTCAAAGGTAAAATCTCATTATTCACTAACATACCTCCAAACTTGGCCACATAGAGGACCAATTATATCTGCTTTTATGTTTTTGTGTAGAAAGTAAATATACACACACATGCACATATCCCTATACATCTCACACATATACACACAAACATGTACATGTTTTAAATTACCTGGAATATATTTGTGTGTCTACAAGGCACTGTTGGCTATGTCTCAGGCAAATCAAAGGATATCTGTGTCAGTGGAATATCAATATAATTTTCCAGCAAATATCTAACAAATAAATTCTATGGTATTTTAAACAATGTATATAGTTGTATTTAAGATTTCTATTTTTAAACTTATCTTCTTAATAGAATTGTTTCTTTTGAAGTGTTAAATGATGGTGATAATAAAAGTACCAGTGATACAAAGACTAAACACCATCACTGGCAATGCTAAAGGATATTAACAATTTTTCATAAGGAATAAAGCAAATACCAGAAAAACATTGCATTTTTGAGAAACTCTAATGTAGTAGCCTGAGATCCTTAATTCAGCACTCATTTCACATAAATAATCTACTCCTTTTTAACTTAGTTAATAAGGAAATTCTATAATAGTAAGAAAACCAGATTAGATTCTTAAAACTTCACACAGCGAGTGTGGCAGTGGGAAGTAAAAGCAAAGATTCTTATGTAAAATCTTGCCTTGGGACTCTCCTCTGTTCAACTATGTTCCCATGACATACAAGAAATGTTGCTGAGCAAAAAACATGCAAACAAACAAAACTACAACCCCTCCCTCTTTAAAAAAAATTTCCAGTCCCTTTGGAACTCTTGGTTTTTCTCTGAAAAGGCAGTGGCAATGACCAATTCCAGTTAATAGTGAACTCACATTCCTTCCTTTTTAGTCGAACTATTGGTTTGAATAATAAAACCCTAGTTTAGCAGTAGTTATAAAATAAGCTGTCCAAAAGACATCTTTTGTGGGTATGTGGGAGACTAAAGTTTACATGTGTCCCGTTCTGCAGGGCTGATTCTTTGGGCCCTTTTCTGACTGTTCTGGGCCATGGATCATGCTGCCTAGCTGACAGCCAACAGGATCATAGTCTAAGTTACAACAGATCTGGCATGAAAGAATATACTTTTGAAGAAAGATACTCTCAAATGGAAAATAATTAATTGCATAACAAGCTACAATTAAAAATTCAAAAGTCCAGTCATCTATCAGACATTGCAATTTGTTGTTATTGAGAAGTAGAATCTTACTAAGGAGAGTCTGTATTAGACTACTTAACGATGTGAGAATTATTCCATTTTCCATTTGCAAGGATAGCAATTATTATATTCACAAATAATATTTAAATTCCTTGTATGTGTCAAGCAATATTCTAGGAGCTGAAATCATAGGAGCTAATAAAACAGTTAGAAATGCCAGGCCTCATGGGGCTTATTGACTATAAAATGTCAGGTTTCAAAATGTGAGAGCATTCTTATCCCCAAATTCCATTATTTATAAAAATTTAACAAAATTTTAAATAAAAAATTATATCAGAGAAATGATGTTCTAATGAACACTGTCCTTTTGGTGGGCTAGCAATAGTCTCTTAAAATTTTTTTGTGACTATTATACTTTTATTTTTAAAAATGAACTTCAAAATAATTAAAATTTATGTTAAATTAGTTTAATGCTATATAATACATCGTAATTTATAGAGTATGCACTCAAATGAAAACATTTTATAATTCAAAAAAATGAAAGCATAAAATGGCTTGAAAGGTAGAAGTTTAATCAGAATATTTATTGATGGGAAAACTAAATTTAATGGGACAGTGAACAGGCTTTTCTATGTTCCGTAACTTGGACATGTGATCTTCAATTTCCTCGACTGTTTGGCTCCCATTGTTTTGAATTTCTAATGCTGATTTGAGAGTTCATTGAAAAAGACGGGTGGCATACAACTACAACTTCATCTCAATAAAAGGATAGTAGAAACAAATAGCTATCCCAATGAACCAAGCTCTTCTTTGTACTTGCTTATGTAGAGCTAAATTGCTTATGTAAAGCCACATTGTCTCATAGAAAGGCTTTTAAAAGAATACAGGAATTTACTGCATAAAAAATTATGTTGCGTGCAGGATCCACTCTATAATTTCAGCTTCACAGTCAATCCAAGATTTTTTTCCCCACGTAGGCCAAGATAAAGTAGAATTCCTGGCGAGGTAATTTTATGTAAAACAAGAATTGAGAATAGAGAAGTTGGTTGAGTTGGAGATTCATGGTTGCACACAGGGCTAGATGAGGATGAAGCAGAAGAGAAACCAAAGTGAGATCAAAACAAAGAGATTTGGAAAAGCTGGTGCTACAGGCAGTAGATGATGACAGTCAGCTAGATTCCTTGATGTGAGATAGTTCAGTGAGTTAGAAAGGACTCAGATAAAATAGGGATCAGATCTTAAACCTAACTAATTATTTCACTGCATGGTAGAAAGCAAGTTAATGAATCTCTCCAACCCCTAGTGTCGTCATTTATCTAATTTGGATAACAGTTCCTATTTTATAGGGTTTGGAAGGATTAAAGACACTGTACTTTATATAAACAACCAAGTGAGAGTGAGTAAATGTAGTTATTTCTTATTATTACTTATAGAAGTGAATGGAAAAATTTGCATATGAAACAATGAAGAAGAAATTAAGCAGACTGTTAGACTTAAGGGAAAATTCAACCTTACCAAGTAGAAGCAAAGAAGAATGGCATGAGTAAGGAAACTATATAATTAACAAAATTCTACCTACGATGTAGACATTGATTTTTTCCAATTATAACATGGTGAATATATTGTGTTTTAGGGTAATTATTTGTGCCATGGCTTGCATATGGTATGTTTTGCTTCACCAAGTTCCATGTTGAAATTTGATGCCCATGGTGTTTGGGCTACGGAAGTGGATCCCTCGTGGATGGCTTGATGAAATTCTCTCAGGAGTGAGTGAGTTTTCACTATTCCCACAAGAAGTGGTTGTTGAAAAGAGCCGGGAATCTTAGGCCTGCTCCCTCTTGCCATGTGATCTCTTCACACACTGGGTCCCTTTCACCCTCTGCCATGAGTGGAAGCAACTTGAGACCTCATAAATGCAGATGCTGGTACCATGCTTCTTGCATAGCCTGCAGAATCACAAGCCAAATAAAACTCTTTTCTTTGTAAATTATCTAGCCGCAGGTATTCCTTTACAGCAACATAAATGGACTAGGACAATTTTGGGAGTCATACTGGTTGCTAGAAGATAACTATAGAATCCAGAGTATTTTTAACAGTTCTGATTCATGTAAAAGTTTAGAGTATAAATTTATAGATCAAGATCTTAAAATTTTTGTGAAGGACAAATGCACTCCTAAAATGGGAATTTTGTGCCAAATTACAGGCATGTATTTTTAACACATCCAAGAAATATTTAAAATTAAACTTTCTCCCTTTATATCTCTAAACAGATCAGAATGATCCCACTGACTTAATATAGTCAAGCTCTTTTGTTAAAGAAAATAATGATATTTTATTACTGAGAAAATACATTGTAGGTAATAGTTGAAACTAACTAGAGCCAATAAATCTACTATAGATTTCCTTATACTATTCAGAGTTCATTGATTCAGTATTTCAGAAACTACTTATTGAACAGCTGTTGTAACAAGTCATTATTATAATTACATTAATTACAATTCTGAGAATTATCTAACTCCTACTATGTAACAAACACAGTCCTAAATGTTTTACATATATTAATTCATTTCCTCCCCTCAACAACTATGAGGTAGATATGAGCATTAATTCCCCTTTTACAAATAAGATAATGGGGCACAGAGAGATTAAATATCTTGTCCATAGTCACACATGTAATAAGGAGTAGAGATGAGAGAAATACTATGCTAGGATGTCTTAGCATCCCATTCTCTACCTTCCAGAAGAAATATCCTATTAACATTCATTATATCTATAATTACTTAAATGGGGACATTCCTATGCAAGGGATCATATAAGACTTCAGTACTAGTAGCTTTTTCAATAATAGGGTCTTTTTATTAAAGGTACCTAATAAGTGAGTAGCTTTTGTCACCAAAACTGGAAGAGAGGCAAATTCAATGTTAATTCCTGGAGATTTCTATCATAATGGACTTTGCAGGACAAAAGAGTTTACACACAATTTTCCAATCTTGTTCTCACATTTTAAGCCAACACCAAATACAGCTATCTGCTTCTGTATAAGCCTTGATGCCATAGAGGGACAACTCGTCTGATAGTTCAGAGGATGTTAGCATAACAGAATTACACAATTAAATAAGCATCATGAACTTGTAAACCCTTATTCTGTTAAAACAGTAGTTTAACCAGAAATTACTTAGCTTTCAAGAACTTTGTTGTTTTTATATGGATTGGTTTTTGAGCTCCTGTTTTGTCATTGGAGTCATTAACTTGTAAGCAGTGAAATATTCTTCACGAGGTGCCAAGTAGGCTTTTCTGATGAGCAACAGTAAAGGTCCTCAGTGAGATTTTCTTATGGGTCTTATTATGTGGAGAATCAGAGTGAGCATGCCAAGGCTAATGGTGGAATATATCACTGTGGGCTATTTGCATTACTGTGGGGAATGACCTTAGCAAAGGGATAGTTTTAATTGTACATAAAACAGAGGTGAAGAGAAGTTCACCAAGACAGACATTTTCAATAGTTATGTGGGAAAATAAGGTATCATGTAAAATAACATTTTACTTCCTTAGTAAACGTAATTTTGGCCAGATAGAAGGAAATTCCATTAAAACAAGGTATTGAGGAAACCATGTGTTACAAGAAGGAACCATTTGTAATGGCCCTCTCTATAGACTACATTAATGATTGTTTTATAACTCTGCACACACGATATATTATTAAAATTGTTCAGTATCAAAACACTTCATTTCTATGTATTTTGGAAGGTTACATTTGGTTTCTAGGTTGTTATTTTATCTTTATGTTATTATACAGTAGAGGTGTGTGTGAGTTATCTTTTAGACTGTTGAGAGATAACATGATTGTGTTATTGAGACACAGCAGAAATTAATCCTTTTGGTTGCCGTGGTTTCATCTGAAAGCTCTGACTCCCAGTCATTGTGGAGTGGAAGCAATGTCATTTTCACAGTAGAATGAGAGTGGGTTGCCCTGGAATGACCAAGGTTAGTGCTGATGAAGCCTCAGGAGACAAACTGTGAGCTAAGTTAGACACAGAAGGCAAAGAAGGTTACCCTTACTTTTCACCTTTATGAGAAGGCCCATAAAGTATATGCCAAGCCTCTTAGAGCACTGGAATAGCAGAGGCTTCGTGCATGGAGTACAATTTAGAAATCACACTTTTGCCCTAAGCAGAAGAAATACATGATCTGTGAACTTTCATGTATTTATAGCTAACATCAGAGTACACAAGTTGTTACTGTCTAATACAGACAGCACTGTCCTGGAAGTCAGAAGACTCAGATTCCATCCCATCTGGTGATCTTAGGTGTGTGACTCTAACCGAAGCTCCAGACTTCATTTTTCTTATACATTACTAATAGGTTATAATAGTTGGTTCAAATACTTCACTAGGTTACTTTTGTTTCCATCACATGGTTGTTGTTTAAAGGATGGTTTAGCATAGTGGTTGATAATAGAGTTTCTGGAGGAAACTTACTTAGCATCAAATCCTGGCTCCAGTACTTAGGAGCCACTCATTTTCTCTAAGTTTGTGCAATTATTCAATGGAGATAATGATGATATCTACCACTCAACATTGTAGTGAGGTTAAATGAGACAATGCATACAAATCACTTAGCAAATAAGCATCACTCTATAAATGTTAGCTTATTTTCTAATTGAAATTACTTTAAAATCATCACAGCATTATGAATATTTCATCTTGTAAGTGACTATCATATAATTCAGCCTTAAAAGTAATTTTTTTCCCTCAAGAAAACCATTTCTATTAATCTACTAAACAGATTGCCAAAAAATATTTCTGAATGTTTGCAAAGGAAAGCCTACGAAGGAAAACATTAGCTGCACTCGGCCACCAAAATTTCACTGTGACTTAACAAATGCACAAGATAGACTGCATTTATTTTGTAGAGGAAGTTTTTTGTCCCTACATGCAGCTATTGTTTGGAGGTGTTCGAGTAGATGTGTGTATATGATGGAGTAAAGGAAGATTCACAGAGGGCTAAGGATTACAGTGTTCCTATACGTATCTCTGTATATATATACCTCCAGTATTCATTTGAAGAAAAAGTCCAATGTCAAAACTAAGAAAAGATGCGTGTTTATTATCATCCTGGTAAATATCCTGAGACAGTATAAATATTGCCATACTTAATAGGTCAAAACTACTTTGAATAAAAAAAATCCTCTTAGTTAATCAAAAGCCAATTCTGGTTTGAGTTAGAAAAACATCGTTTGTAGTAAAAAAGAAGTACTGATAACAACTGGTGCATTTCTATGCTTAATAAAATTAATAAAATAACTTTATACTTATATTCAAAGTTGCTCCAATATATTTTCCTACCTGCTGAGATTTGAAAGAATGATTTGGAAGTATTTTGGTCCAGGCTATGAATTACAACCAACCAAAATGTTTATCCCAGACTTCTAGGTATGTTTCTATCTACTTCAGTAAATAGAGCATTAAGTCAAAAGCGCATTGAAGAACTTTGGGTTTTAGTGAATATTTCATACAGCACTCTGAGGCTAAAGACTGACTTTCATAATTGTGTAGATACTAATCTCTGGAAAAGATCTGATGAGAGTGTGGTATTATTTTCTTCCATTATCACAGAAGAATAAATGTCTTAGTTTTCAGCAAACTCACTTGGTTTTCTCTCTAATACAAATTAGAATGTAAATAAAAATAAAGGGAATGTGGTCAAGGATACAACAAGAATCCAACAGAAACTGATAGGTTTATAAAAGTCCATTGTATTGATGCCATGCAAAGAAAGGCAGGGCCTAGATACCTGGTAATTAAGAGTCGGACTGTTTATTTCCTTATACCTAGAAAACCCTCATTACTCCTAGGAACTGAATTACAACCTGTTAGCTCTTTCCAGTTCTTCCTCATGTATGATTATAGAGAGGAATGGCTTTTAGTTATTGCTTCTGATTTTTTTGTTTTGGCTGGAGTATTGACAGATCTCCAAGGGCTTAGCAAAAGACCCTATGCTTTGAGACACCCATTCCACAGATTAACACATTACTCATCAGTTTGACATGCTGAATCTAAAAGGGGATTTGGCAAATTCAAATCGGCACTCTAACTAAGACTTAGTCATATGAGGTATGTCGTTAATGCTTGGAATCTGTATCAGACTGTTAAGGTATTGTTATAAAGAAATACCTGAGACTGGGTAATTTATAAAGAAAATAGGTTTAATTGGCTAATGGTTCTGCAGGCTATACAGGAAGCGTGGCACTGGCATCTGCTTGGATTCTAGGGAGGCCTCAAGGATCTTTTATTTAGGGTGGAAGGCAAAACGGGAGCAGACACATCATCACATGGTGAGAACGGGAGCAAAGGAGAGAGAGTGAAGGTCGGGGAGCCACACACTTTTAGAAGACAAGATCTCATGAGAACTCACTATTGCAAAGACAGCACCAAGCCATGAGGGATCCACCCCCATGATCAAAACACCTCCACCCGGCCCCACCTCCAGCACTGGGAATTACAATTCAACATGAGATTTAAGCGGGGACAAATATCCAAACTATATCAGAATCAGACAGACCTGGTTACAGGTCTCTGCCATAAACTAGCTGTGATATATTTTGTAGGTCATTGATTGTAGGAAAGGTTTTTTTTAAAAAAAGAATATCCAAGATGAGAGATCTAGCACAGTGACTGGCATATACAGGTAGATACCAATTTTTGTATCTCTCATTTCTGACCTGGGTCCACAATTTCTGACATAATAGAAGAAAGCCCTTAATTTCTAGCCATGCTTAGGCCTTATTTGAGAAGCACATATTAGACGACTGACAAATAAAGAAGCTGAAAACAAGTAATGAAAAGGCAGCTTGAGGGTGGAAGACAGATATCCCTGGAGTATTGGCTTTACATTTTGGGGATATATAAATAGTAAGTCGACCTGCTGAGCAGCATGAAATGGTCTACAATGGCAAACTCTCTGACAACGAAGGATGCTACGGGACATGCGTTATAGGCATTAAATGAAGTTTCACTTCATGCAGTTTCTGTAAGCCAGGTGGGTAAGGACAGATTCAACATGGAACAGCAGGAACAGAACGGGCTGTCAGAATATGCATTATTACAGTTGTCTCAGCGCTGTACTTGAAGCAATGTAGCAGCAATGCAGCTTTCTGGGAAACCAATGCCAGCAGAAAACCAGGCCTGCCAAAGAGCAGCTGTACTATTGGCTCAGTTAAGAAAAAATACCAAAGGCCAGGAGCAAAGCCATGAAGGGTGACCAGGGAGGCTTTCCTACAGAAGAGCTGTTCGATCATTGCCACACTGACAAATCAGATTATTCTGGACTTATTTATTCCTTTTTCAATGCACCTTTGAGTGTATTCCATTTTCCTGACACTATTCTAAGTGCTGTTGATACAAGAGTGAATAAGAAATTCTCTGTAAAATGTATTGTAACGGAGACCATAAATAAAAACAACAAAACAATTACATAATTGACACTATTGGTGGGAAATATGGTAGGAAATATGAAAAATAAGTCCTGGTGGTAGGAACTGTGAAAAATAAGTCCAAGGTACTTCTATGATAACACTATGGTAGGAACTATGAAAAATAAGTCCAAGGTGCTTCAGAAGCATGAAGCCGGGGAACCTCTCATGGTCAAGGTGTTGGAAAAAGCCTCTCTGAGAACTGCCATACTAAACCTTAGTTTCCATATTCGAATCATATGCTCTGTCCAGGCTGGTGACAGACAACACCAGAAGGGGAAGTCAGATGGATTCTTTGCTGGTACGAGCCTGTTGACAAGTTTAGCAACAGCACATTCTGTACTAGGCAATGCTGTTGAGAATATGAGATGTTGACAGGGCATGAACAGAGAGGTACTAAGGTAAATGATTCCAGCTATAGGCAGAGGATGTTACAGCCTGATGAAATTTTAGAGGGCATTCTGATTCCATCAGTTCCTCCTATTGAGAAGGAAAATGAGGGCCCAGCAGATACAGTGATATGCCCAAATCATACAGCCAGTATACTGCAGGGATGGAATTAGAAGCCTGGCCTTTTCACTCCCAATCGAGTGACAATGAAGAAGAAAATCTTTGCAATGTTTCACCACAACAACATTACTCTAAATATGACAAATCAGCAAGAGCCAAGTGTTTTTAGCAATATGCCAGGGCAGGTGGTATCATAATGTCACTCCTATGATAACCTTTGCTCCTCATAACTCCATGATGCAATGAGAGCAAGTGACTAAAGATTAAGAGCTCCACAAGCAATTTTTCCTGATCCAACCAATTCTGGAGCACATTTAACTTTGGAAAAAATTGCCACTCTCAGACTGACCTGAACAAGTACAACTGTGTGTACGTATATATAGCAGAATGTAAGGTGAATACATACATACACATACATATGTGTGTGTATGTGATATGACATGAGTATGTATATATGACATGAAAAACCACTTTTGCTTATGTAGTTCCTGTCTTTCTCACTAGACTGTAAGCTTCATAAAGCCAGGAACTGTTTTACTATTTTATTCTCAATAACTGAAACAGTCTTGGCAAATGGTAGGTACTCAGTAAATATTTACTAGATAAATGAAAAAACACATACACAATTGCAAATATGTATGTTTTGGTGTGGACATTTGTACATTCTTACATCATGTGCTTGTGACAACCCCCCAAAATCTGCTGGTAACAGGAGGATTCATGGAGAGTAGTAGTCACACACCCCAACCAAACATTTTCATAGTTGATATCAGATCTCAAGATGGTAAGAGTTCTATTACGAAGTGCCAATAAAAGCCTCAGCTTGATCTGCGTATAAAACCCGTCTTAAAAAGTTAAAGCAGTTTCTATTATGCAAATTGAAATAGTAGAGTCTGACCAAGATATGTGCTTTCCTGACCATATCATAATTTTTAAATGTTTTATTCTCCTGCTATTTAGTTACAAAATGATTCCTTATCAACAGAAAGAAAACATAATGTGGGAGGGCATAATGAGTTGGACCTAAGTGTGTCCTAATTGCACAATTCACTGTACATACATAAAAGAAATATGTGATTTCAGTAAAGTTTGATTTTAGAGAACAAACTGGTATCAAACTCAACACATCTAGGTTTTGCTTGGTCTAGATCTTCTAGTAGATATTAATATAAAAAACTTTAATAGTCCCCTTAAATTTATTCATTTGAGAAAAATCTCAGTTATGACCAAGTCTTGTACCAAATTACATCTTTCAGTGAAGAAAGTGATTCTTATGCCTACAACATTAAACTCTTGGAAAATGAATCCAGGAAAAAGCACTAAGTGGTTAAGTTGGATAGAATGTTTAGCCATTAAAACCATATGAGGTTTTAGGCCTTATATGAAGTCAAAACTTTTTTTTTAACATTATTTGTTTGTTTGACTTCCTTGTCCCCTGCAGCTGTTTATGAGGAAGATGTATTCATTGAGGCAACTGCCAGAAACCAACCTTATCTAGATACTGCCTTGTGAAATGCAGTCACTTTTGAGATTTTCTCCAACCTGTAGGCTTTCCGTTCCTTCCAGCTCACTAAATATTTCAACTATTTGCTGAAATAGTATATGTTTTAGGTGATATCTGTTTAATGTTTATTTATCTAAATCATTTAAGTAGTATATATTTTTTGCTAAATTAATATTAGTTTTGCATCAAAAGTGTCTAGGGGCAAGGGTGATAGGAGAAAAAACATATTTTTGATAGAGGCTGCAAACCTTGGGTTTGGGAACAGGTACTGTCATTTACTAGTTTGGTAATTTTGGTCTAGTCACAAATGCTTTGAGTTCCACTTTGTCACTGAGAAAATCTAAGTAATATCTGCCTACTTTATCTAACAGTGTGACATTGAGTAAATTAAATACTTTCTCTGGGCTACAGTTTACTAACCTAAAAAACAGGGAAAATAATAACTTGCCTCATGAGGTGATTGTGAAAATGAAGTAACTTTTGTAAAGATTTTAGTAATTTTTGTAAAGATCTTAGTGCCTGGCACATAAAAAACATTATAAAGTTAGTATTATTATTAATGTAACTTCAACAGATTATATACACTTTAAGTATTAGACAGTACAATTATCTCCTGTCTGACAGCCCCGTATAGGAGATTGTTGGTGAGACAGGGGAGAGGCAGTCTGAGTAGCTATGGATGAGATGGTATCAATGAGAATAGTTTATAATTCCACTGAGGTTCATTTTACTTTATAAGAACACAGCAGGTCCAGTGGAAAGAATGGAAACTTGGAAATCTACCCTGGTTCTGGTCCTGTGGATTGTTAATTCTGCAGCCTTGAGCAACTTAACCTAACCTCTTTCCAGGCTCTTTCCTCCCCTAAAACTGAGATGAGTATTCAGGTTTCCTGAGTGCCTGGGCAGGTCTCTTGCTATAGCAGCTGATTGGCTGCTGGCTTAATGAAGCATCTCATTCATTATTTCATGCCAGAAAGACTATTAATTATTATATGCTGAGTGCTATGTTAGATGACTGAGAGATAACAGCCTGCCCCCCAACCAAAAACAACAACAAAAAAATGAACTGCCCCAAAGAAGCCCTTCATCTAGTAGTGGGGGAGTGGTGTGGGGTACAAGGTCCCATGCTGGACCTAGAGAACAAGTCCCATATTTGAAATTCAGGATCTGTTTGTCTGCCTTTGACCAGTCTACAGAAGGAACAAGGGGTGCTTTATGCTTCTTAGGTAGATGCAACCTACACACCCCTCCTTTTTTAGGAGTTTTTCTGGCTTTCATGGCAACTGCCAAATAGGTTTGGTAGGCAAGAAATGCTCTCCTGAACTTTCCTAGATTGGAGGTGATTAAACTCCTTTGGAAGCCAATGCCCTTTGCTGATTTCAGTGTGTCAATATCCTTTTAAAAATCCAGTCTTGTAGATTGTCCACCATCTTCTATATCTTCTGTCTTTCTATCTATGTCTATTGTGCTGTCTGACTCTGTCTCTCTCTTTCTGTCCCCTTCTTGAGACATATTCTTAACTCTTTTCCTTTTTTTTAGCTGTGTGGACTGTGATGTTTTTCAGAATATGATTCATTGTGTGCCAAATCTCTCAATATTTCTATTTTCTATGGATCTGATAAGCGACAAGGAGCAGGGCATTACTGGCAGCCGCCTCTATAGAAAGAACTCAGGCCCGAGGGGAAAACTCAGGCTGTGTGTAGAGAAGTAGCCCATTGAAGCAGAACTCTAGCGTTGGTGAGGATGGAATTTCTCTCTAACTCCTCCCATGCATATATTTCTATATTTTGGATCCTAATTAGCTGTGTAATTTTGGCACCATTTGCTACTTTCCTCTCTGTAAAATTAGCAATCTAAATATATGATATCCATGATGTAATCCAACTTGGAAATATTATGGCTCAACCATTTCTATGGTTCAAATGGTTATATCTGTGGAAATAAATCTGTGTCTGATAAACAGACAGGAGTTAAACCACCAGAAGGAAAAGTAATATTTAGGATTTTTGTTTAATTGACACAACAGCTCTTTGGTCACAAGTCTTTCTAATTACAAAGTTATATAACCAGCGTTCAGTTATAGTTAGTGTAAAGGTGATTTGATCCAACCTTCTTTGAAATCTACATACATAAGGAATGTCCATGGCAAAAACAATTTCCAGACACACTCAACAGAGGGTAAAATGAAAATTTGACAGTGAAGAATAAAGCAACTTGATGCACCTATTAATTAATGCATTTATCTATTCAAAAGTTGATGGAATACCCATGATGTGCCAAGTATTATACAGTGTGCTAGGGTACAAAGATAAATAAGACAGCATATGCTTTCTAGTGGGCACACAACAAACTATTTAAAATAAAAATAAATATAGGATAACATAAAAACTTAAAATTTTACCAAAAAATAAAGAAGGCATATAGGTGTTTAAAAGTGGTGATGATAGTAGTATGTATGCATTGAGTACATGCCAGACAAAATTTTAAGTGATTTAAACACATTAACCCTTTTAATATTCACAACAACTCAGAGAAGTTGGCAGTACTATTACTATCATCATTACTAAAGAAAAGTAAACTAGGCATATGGAAACTGAGTACCTGTACAAAGTGACACAGATAGTAAGTGCCATAGCCAGAGTTCAAATCCAGAGGGTCTGGACTCTGGAGCCTGTGTACTTAATACTTAAGCAGTGATTCTTATAAAGTATTGGGTAAGGGGTGGCCCTCAGTGTGACTGAGTAGAAAAGAAAGCCTGCAGGACTTGAGGAACAAGAACAATGTAGGTTAAGACCTGCATTATCTACTGTCAGTTTCCTATATAAAGAGGTGCCCTATTGGTTGCCACCTCTATATATCTTTTCTAGCTCCTAGTCAATCAGGCCGCAAATTTAGATGGACCATAATGAAGTAAAAGTAGAGAGAGGCTGGCAAGTTGGTTTGATACTCTAATCACTGTTCAAGTTGCTTTTGCTCTTATTTTTAAAACAAATTTTCTAACACTTATGACCTTATTGAACTGGGGGACAATTGTGTCCACCAAATTCCTTTTCTTCCAGAAAGTTTTGATGTTTTTGTTTCCATATAGCTAAAGTAGGAAGAGGAAAACTCTTTATGAATAGCTCCCTATTAACCTCTTCTAAATTTCTTTCTTTGAATCCGATTTTACTGCCAACTCCAAGCAATAGTCCCTTCCCTTGTTGTCTGGTACTGCCCATCTAACTTGTTCATTTGTCAAGAGACAGAGACAATAGACTGGGAAGTATTTGTTAGGCGATAATTAATTGGAAATGAGAGCATGTGTATTTTGCAATTTAGCAAAGTTACCGGAGTGAAAAAGGGATAGGCTGTTTCTGCTCACAGTCTATTCTTGTGTCTTCCCTGTTGGAGAGGACGTCTTCTAAAACCTGGACTCACAACATTGCAGCTTTAATGTCATTTGAAGAAAATTAGAAATGAGAATAGCCCACCAAAGAAACAGAATAGAAAGAGAAAGATATTTCGAGATGTCAAAAGATTTACAAAATGAGAGATTAATAAATAGGATATTCTTTCATATCAGTGTGGCCCCAGACAGAAGTGAAGATTTCATGCACATTTTGGAAAATTGACCTAGCAGAGAAAAATAAGAAGGCAGGGGAGAGCACTGCTTTGCCAGTTCTATGCAGCCATGGCATCTGTGGTTGCCAGCTTTTGAGATGGCTCCCAATGATCCTGGTTTCTTGGTATTCACATCATTGTACTGGGATCGGTGTATCTGACCAAAGGCATGTGACAGAGGTGCTGGTATACAACTTTGCTCTGAATTAAAAGAGTCACTGCAATTTGTGTCTTGTGTGCTTCACCCACTGCCCACCACGTCTGATCAGTAGCCTGGAAGAAGGCTACTGTTGTGGGCAGCTCTATGAAAAAGTCCACCTAGTGGGAGACTGAGGTTTCCTACTAACAGCCACCCTGAGTGATCTTGGAAACAAATTATCTGGACTGATCAAACCTCAGATAACTACAGCCTTAGCCATCATCTTGATTACAGTCTCATGAGAGACCTTGAATTAGAACCACCTTGGTAAGCCACCGCTGGAATCCTGACCCACAGAAACGGAGATATTATGTTTGATGTTTTAAGCTGCACAATTTGGAGATATTTATTATGCATCAAAACATAACTAATACAGCTCCATCACTTATTTTCTGGAGATGGGGCTGATTCTGTAGGCTCAGGGATCCTTTCTGTAGCTGGTAACATTTCTGCTGCTTTGGGGACAACACTTCACTGTGATACCTTCACACTAAGTGAGGCACCCTCCATGCTGCCACCAAATGCAAATAATTATAATAATGGATCTCTTAGAGGTTCAGTCCTGAAGGCTAAAACTGTGCTCTACAAATTTGTCAACCTTCAGAAAAAAGGAAATGAGATCCTTTTAGGCATTGGGCTCCAATCTGGATTTGACTTCAGCTTCTTGTCGCTGTTTCAAAGACATCTTACATTCTTGGATATTCTTGACGTTTGAATCATGTGTCAAGATGTTGTTGATTCTAGTGATGGCAACGTTTCATCTCATATGCATAGCAGATTGTTAAAACATGCCGAGGCTGTGGTGCTCCTTTCCATTCTGCCGTTCCCAATTTTATTGTCACTTCAGAAATAAACTACAACATATAAAGGAGCACTGAGAAGGCGGCTTTAAGAGCCCTGGGGTAGAGCTAAAAGCAGCTCCCTTGATTTTATGTTTGAGCCATCTGGTGCTTACATCAGCTACCACTTGTTTTCAAATATATATTATTTGCGACTTTGTAGAGCTGAATAACATGAGCCCCTTTGGTACAGCAAATATTGTCAACGTACAGTGATTTAAATAAAAGAAAGAGCTAGTCATTTCATATGAGTCTGTGTGGATAGAGGTTGATAGTTTCCCTGTACTGAGAACAGGAGAGTTCTTATACTTAGAGAAGTGTCTACAACTTTATCCTTCTGGACACCAGAGCTATAAATTAAATGTTTTCAGAGAAACCATCTGTGTCTAGGCCAAAGGCTAGCATTTATTGAGTGCTTACTATATCCTAAACATTATGCTAAGCAATTCAAATATTTTGTCTAACCTAGGCCTACATATTAGTCAGAATACATTAGACAATACTTCAGATCTTAACCTTAAGATCTCAGGGAATTAACATAACAAATGTTTATTTATTACCATGCTACACGCATATTTGTATATCCCTGTGAGACTAGATTAACCGTCTTATTACTGTATTATCTGGAAAGAACAAAAGTTATCTTTGTTCAACTTGGCGGGGAAAGAGAGTGTTATGCACTGGTTCCTCCATGCTTTGGCACAGAAGCCCCACGATCAAAATTGCTCAAAATTTCATTGGTCAGAAAAAGTCACATGATCTTGTCTAAAATCTTCCCAAGTGCCTCTGGAAGGAGAGGAGAGCCAAAACTGGCCAAGCACTAGAATCTCTAAAATACTTTTTAAAAAACATATTTATTTTATAGATGAGGAAACTACGGCACAGTGCAGTAAAGGGATCTTCCAAGGTCATTTACCTGAGAAGTAGTGAAACTGGATGAATCTAAACCTGGGTTTGTTAAAACCCAAAGCCCCATGCTCTTAAGCAATGCATAGAGAATTCCAGCAGTGATTGAAGAGAGGTGGAGAGTCATATAATATCTACTTTGCCAGAATAACATTATTTCATGGATTCTTTCAAATATTTATTTCAGATCCCTTAGGTGAGTGAGAGGAGGGACCCTGTCAGCAATTGACTACCATTGAAAGCTCAAGCTTCTAGTATAGAGCCAGGCATATAGCAAGTGTTCAACAAACTTCAGTTGAAATCTATTGAATGCATGTCTAATCTGTGCCAGGGCTTACATACCAGGATCTGGAGTGCACACTTGAATAATAAGGATGCTTCCAATGATCTATACTTCTTTCCTCATTTATATGGTAAAATGGTAAAAGTAAGCTATGTTATAAATCACCCATTCCTTTATGAATTTAACAGTATTGTGGGACAATCATTTCTACTGTCCAAGTCCAAATGGTGGAGCAGACAGTCTTTGAGTTTTTTTAGCCTCGTCATCCTTTGCCACTCATGTGTTGTGAGGAGCCCCCAAGTTCAGCACAGATTAGCTTCTCCATCTATGATCATTTCATTCTCATTCTTATTGATATACCTTCCCAGCCACTCATAGATATTTTCAGTTATGTTGATCTATAAATGGCATAATATTTTACAATTGACACTATGTTGTGTCCTTAAGAGTACCTTCCCTTATTAGGTCCCAGTGCTGCCATTTCCTGGAAGCAGCATTCCTTTAAAGGATCTTTCCTAACTCACACTTGCTCCTGGCAAGGTTCAGAGTTGACTTCTTTGTTACTTACCCATTTTTTTTTTCCTGTCTACTGCTCCAGACTTGAATCCAGCCCTTCATGCAGGGACACTAGGATCACAGATATAGAACATCCACACTCTCATTCAGGCTGTAAACCTGTGTAGGCCCACAAATTCATACTTTCTTCCATATACTACCTTGTAGCCATGGTCAGCCCCTGCACTAGCTCCTGAGACCACAGCCTAGACTAGTTTCTGAGAGTTCCCTCCTAACATCCACATTCTGTTCCTTATCTAAATCACTTAGTAGGATAAACTGGACCACAATTTTTCCTTGGTGTAGGAAAATCTACCCATAGGGTAAGGGCAACAGTCAAATTGTAGGAAAGGATTTAAGGAATTTAGTTTCTTTCTACAACACTGAAACATGCCAAATTATGAGCAATGTCGAGTTGGGCAAGCTATGAGATAAGCCCTACGTATTCACTACGTATACATTTAAGTGTATAATGCATCTCTTAAGAATAACTTAGAACATCTACATCATGGGCATTATGTTGTCTCTCAGACCAGCATTATAAGAAGAATTTAGTATAATATAGTATGGTACTCTACATTGTATGCTCTTAAGAAGAATTTCTATGTATATTGTTTATAAGTACTTAAATAACATTGCATATTCCATCGGGATTGCCAGTGGAATTTCTCCTAGCTTAACACAAAAATGCAAGCATGATTCTTTTACAGTCATCTTCATTTCATCAAAAATGTGAACATTAAAAGTTTCTGGAAAATATCAGATTCCATTAAAGACAATTATGAAAGAAAAATCAAACATACTTTAGTTTTGGGGTACGTACTTTCAATCATAATTTCTCTTACTGTTAAATAAATAATGAGACAGGAAATTGAGAAATAATGGCCTAATGAACTATTCATATGGTTAAGTGTTTCGAAGGCATATTCAGACAGCCATACATGTACATATACACACAAATGTTTCTAGTATATGAATATGTACACAAAAAATTTAATCAGGTAAATTCAGTGTGATATATAAAAACAAAGACTGCAAATCAGGATACCTGAGGTCTTGTCTTTTCTTGCACTTATTTATATTTAAGATCTTAGGTAAATTATTTAACTTTGTTTAGACAGCTATACAATGAAAAATTTAAATCAGGGAAAATAATATATTTGTTAGTTTTCCCTTTCCCACCCGTGGTAGACATTGCTAATCAATCACAGTGCTCTTTCCTGCTGGCCAGGATGTCAGTTTCAAAACCCTTTTCAGTATTAGGGCTGCACAGAGACTCCAATTGATGTGATTTTATACCTGATATAAAGTCCATTGGTCATCCTGGGAAGATGATCTTAAATGTTTCCTCTGCAATTTCATTTAAAGAATACAACTTCTTTTCTATTGAAAGGGTTTGGAGCCTAAAAATAATCCATTCATATTCATGTGCATAGTAACAAAACATGGGCCCAAAGTGTGAAAACTTCTATATCTTTAATTAAAAATAGTCTTTTTTCTTCTTCTTCTTTTTAGAATACGCTATATATTGACAAAGACTCTTTCCTTGGTCTAACTAGAGTCAGGCTTCTCCTAAGCCCTATAGGCCTCAACTTTGACATTTGTCCTTTTTGCCCCTGCAGCACCCAGCTATAGCAAGAATCTTGCTCAGTTAGTTTGGAGAGAATCTCTCACTCTTCATATCATCACTTGATATCTGATCCAATACCTAATTGCTTATCTTCCCCAGGTGATATGTAATCACTTGTTCTGCCTTTAGCAAGAATATTATTAGATCTGTTTAACCAGACACCTTCCTTAACTCTAATGTTTTCCTTTAGTAATTTTTCATCCACTGATTCTCATCCTGTGGCCCTTCTATTATATATATATATATAATATAGGGACACTAGGATCACAGATATAGAACATCCACACTCTCATTCAGGCTGTAAACCTGTGTAGGCCCACAAATTCATACTTCCTCCCATATACTACCTTGTGGCCATGGTCGGCCCCTGCACTAGCTCCTGAGACCACAGCCAAGACTATAATACATTAGAAGAATATATTCTATATATATAGAGAATATATAGAATATATATAGGATATAGTCTATATATAGGATATATTCTATATATTCTCTGTATATATAGAATATATTCTATTTCTAGAAGAATATATTCTATATTAGGAGAATATATATACACACATCTATATGTATATATAGTATTGTATATATGACATTATATATTCCACACTATATTCAGAATTGAGCTCAGTTCCATAATGAGGTCTCTTTCCCTTATTGCACTAGTTCCTGAATAAAATCTGGGTTTACTGCTTTAACTACTGCCCAACTCTGTTTTTTCTTGGACTATGTAAGTAGGCAAAAGTATAATTTGCTTTACAGCATATTCTCAGGAGTATTCAGCAATTGAAACTGCCCAATCCCTTGACAATGCAGAGAAATGGCATTGACAGGAAAAGACATTTCTTTGCATTTGACCTAAATATAGGGACATATAGAAACTTTTCTATTCTTAAATTTTTGTAACACAGATTTTATTTATTTGCAGTCTATTTCGTTCCACAGAAAAATTGAGTCAGGTTGTAAAAATGTTAAAAAAAACCTAGGCAATTTCCTGTTTCTTTCTTTTATCCTTCTATTATTAAAAATTCTGCTGAGTATATACTTTCTAGAAATAAGAGTATATTTGAACTGCATTTCTTACTATAGCATATGTTTATTAACAGCAAGTGCCAAAATATCTTAACTTTTGATTTATATCTAGCCTCTTTTTGAATGACCAGTCTCATCTCTAAGTTTTTCTGTCTTTAAATAATAAGGCTATTTCAAGCATTTCAGAATGAATAATTAATTGCTGAACCTGAAATCTCTCTGGTATCAAAGTATTAATGCCTGAATTAATTTTCAACTTATAACTGTTTTCATTTACACCTACTTCCTTGGTAGTTATTTAAAGCAATTTTATCTTCCCCGTCTGTGGCTTACATGTTAATGTATTTCATTTTAATGAACACTCTTTAAGCTGTAGAAGTAGGCCAGACACTATCAGAATGTGTCATGAGTGGAGAAATCTGACTCAAAGATGAAATTTTAGATAAAAAGGTTTAAAAAGGCTGATACAATGGAGATATTTTTAATTCACAGCTGAGAAATGATTCATCTGAAATATATTGCTATAACAGTATCTATCCTTTTCTAGGAATTAAACACAGATAATTTCACATCTGTTTGTGCATAATTTTAAAAAATTTTGCCTGAGACTGTGGTTGTTCACATGAGCCAACCTGGAAAAAAGTTTGATAGGTGATGGCTTTTAAAGTAATTTGCTATTTGCCTAAACTCAAATTTGTCTGAGTGTGTAGATATAGCACAAATATCTTCATATTATTAGCACACTTCTAATAATTACACTTAAGTACAAAATCTTTTTCTTATTTAACATATTTCCTTTTGATGATAGAAAATATCTTCATCATAGAACATTTAAAAAATAAGAGTTAATAGTAACTTAGGCTTACAGAAAAGAGTTTTTTAGTGCAATAACTAAGTCAGCATCCTAAATGAAGATCCATTGCTTTAATTAATACTTTTGAGAATTAAAAGAAATAAGTTTGTTGTTTTGCTTTCATCTTTATGCCTTTCAGACATATTAGATACTAGGGTAATTAATTAAATAAAACTGGGTTTATTTCTTTATAAATAAATTTACTTAACATTTTAGCCCCCAAAATTTCTATTATAGAACATTGATTGTTTTTCTATTATTGAAAAACTGGGCACTAAACAAGTGTAAATCAGACAGGTGTCAATCAAGTGCTAATCATAGATAATATTATTTGCTAATTAGACAATATTATATTGCACATTGGAGACATCTTTTTTTTTAGAATGGAATATTAGTGTAAAAATCAAACAATGGTGTTATTCTCTTACACTTTATTTAGCAGGGGCCAATTAGTTACCTATCAGTAGGCTACCTGTTCGGCCTGGGTGTATTTTTCGGTTACCAGGATAGAGAATTTCTGTATTAAGGAAGAATGAGACACTTAATTGTTCAAGGGGTGAAGAGTTTGCAACCAGAAAGTCTTATATTGGGATTTCTCACCCTCCTGCACCCTGTTTTTGCCCTCAAACTCCAAAAAACACAAGATAGAATATTAAGTTTCTATTCCTGAATAGGATGTCTTCACAGAACCTACTCTCCTCTTTTTTCCTGGTGGAAAAATTTGGACATTCTAGAATAAAAACTGGAGGTCTAATTTATTATTTCTCTTAATCAAAGAATACATTTTGAGCATCAAGATCTTGAATTTCTTCTCTAGATTTCACCAATTAGGTTGCTGGAATCCGAGGTGCCTTGCAGGTAGAGCCTTCTGGAAGATTAGAATGAGAACACTTAAAGGGGACGCTTTAGAGCACCAAAGTCCCAGAAATCCAAGAACCTTTAACTCAAG
The DNA here is from genome assembly GCF_000001405.40 of Homo sapiens. Taxonomy (NCBI): domain Eukaryota; kingdom Metazoa; phylum Chordata; class Mammalia; order Primates; family Hominidae; genus Homo; species Homo sapiens. The sequence goes on from NC_000001.11 coordinate 71,554,916, forward strand.
ATCAGTAACCCAGTGAAAAACTCCAAGAAGTGATCCCCAAAATACTCAACGGTCTTACTTTTTTTCCATCCCTTCTGAAAGTGCTCATTAAAAGGAATCTATTTTCCTCCAATAAATGGGTAGTTGGCACAGCTGCCTTCCTAAGGAGCAGCCACTTCGAATTCAATTTGAGACAATGAGTTACTAACTTTTTGAGTAATGGATTGAGAAGCCCTAGTTGGCCATTGCTGCCATGAATCCCCCTCACTCCCAATTAGAAATTGCCTATATTTTACATCAAACCCTGGTTTAGACCGCTAGCCATTCTTAAAGCTCTGTAGGCAGGTAAGTATTCCTTTCATACCAACTGATGAATTGGTAGTAGATGCTTGGAGGTAGTAATTGGGCTAAGCAGCAAAGAATTCCAAGAAGCAACGTGTGTTGGGAGAGAGGACTGGGAGGAAGAGGCTGCCCACGTGCCATGTTACCCTTCCTGCCCTATAGGGTAATTTCCTTTCTGAATCTTGGTTCATGATCTTACTTGTTACCTGAAAATAGACATTTTTAGAACATTTAATACTTGCACAGGATATATAAAGATGGCATGCATGTGTCCTCTGCCCATAAGGAGGAAGAAAATTAACTTACTACTCTAAAAAGTTGATAATTTGATAAGAGCACTGCTGAGTATGCTCAGAGCATAGGATTAGCCACTCTCAATCTTCAAAGTGTGACATTTTTTCAAATTATCTTTCTTTCCTAAGTCACTCGTGAACATAAGGTCAGCAAAGATCCACTGAAAGATAATAAACACTCTCTAGTAAGACTGTATGTATTCCCTCTTTGAATGTTTGGAAATCACTTTTGATACCCCTTTTTCGTTTTCTGTAATCCAAGAAGTTGAGAATATCTTCAAATGTCCTTCACTCTCACTGAAGTCATTTTTCCATCCACTGGTCCCCAACTTGTTAGTAACATACAGGTTTGAGGAAGACGTACTTGAGAATTTCCTCCAGATTTTTCTCAGGTTTCTGTTTGGTAATGCTATTACATATCAGCTAGTAAATTTAGTAAAATGTATTTTCTATGATGCTATGTAATCTAAAAAATATGAATATACTTGCCACTACTAGATCATAAAGGATGGTATGAACTTCTGAACTTGGTATACTTAGAGAATATTACTTAATATACCATGAGATGTCATTTACTAGACCTCTTCAAATGAAAATAAAATAGTTTGAGGATGTATTCTGAGTACTCAGATTCATCAAACTTTAATGCACAATAGCAATCTCTCTGTTTTGCAAGGAAATCTGGGGTTTCTCTGCTGCCTTTTAGCATTTGAAGCATAGAACTCACATTTTTATGAAATATTTCTGCAAACTTTTCTGCCTTACATGTCTAAAACAATTGGTTCATTAGCTAGTTAAGAGACTGGCCAGACAGAAAGTGGAAAAAGTTTGCTGAAGAGAGAGGTACACACAGCTCAGTTAGTTAAAGAGAAAGAATTTCTTGAAGGTCTGAAGAATTAAAACAACATGACCATTAAGTCAAACTGAATGCTATGGTTTACTCAGCAATTTTAGAAGCGTTTGCTATGATAATGTATATATCCTGGTGCACACATTATCTTGGATATACACAACATTCTAAGAAAATCCATCAAAGTGCAATAATTTGTTATTCATGCTGGCGACAATGTTTTCAAATGGGTTTTTATCTATTTTGTAATTACACACACACACACACACACACATACACACACACAAGTCCATGGAGACACAAAAACTCACTCACACTGCCACACTCAGAGAAAATAAAACACAAAGAAAGAGAGAGGGAGATTTATACTCCCAAAATAAACCGTGGCTGGGAGAGGGGTCGATATATTCTTTTTGAAGGCAGCTATAAATGTTCAATTAACCTATTTCTCATGTCTTTTATTATGACCACATATGGTGACAAATGGGCCTAACAAGAAGGGTCACAGAACAACAGATGTGTAAAATAGCAAAATGAAACACCTCAACAGATGTAAAATTTTTATTTTGCGTGAAGTGAATAGGAATGTGGAGATTGCATTTTGCAAAGTATGAAAATGCCCTCAAATTAGAAAGGCTATGAGTTGGAATGGTTTTAGAAACATTCTATGGATTTATTTGAAGTATTCATGAAAGGTCTTTCCCACTACAGCCACCCAAATACTGTGAAGCCTGATAGTCTGTAGTTAAAGATTTAGTCCTTTATGGTAGAGATAGTTCATCTTGCACTTTTGTTTTGGAACACAAATGCCTTTGGTTGGTAGAGCACATGTGAGAAACAACCACAAAATAACTGAAGGGGATTGTGGAGAGACAGGAAGGCAGCAGAGCCTTGAATCCTGAGTAAGTTGGCATGTGAGGGCTTGGAACTGGTAATACTTAAAGAGTATGGCGAAGTCTGGGAAATTAGGCTTTCTTCCAGACAAATGTTAGCTTTGTGATAAAGGAAGTGTGGGAGAAGAAGGATGTCAACTTTAGAGTGCTTTGAAAGTGACAATGAACGTCATGCACTTGGAGAAAATAAATGTGAGGGAGAAAGCAAGTATTGATAAAACATTTCTAATGTCTCTAGTTGTTTAATCTCATTGGACTAAATTAATCTGCTCATTACTTTAATAAGACAAATTCCTTATCTCAAGAACTTTTAACTTTTTACTTTGCAGTAGCTTTAGACTTATGGAGAAACTGCAATAATGAAGCTGAGTCCCTATATACACTCTACTCAGTTTCCTTTAAGGTAAAAATCTTATATAACCATGGGACAATTATCAAATATCAATTATGAATTATCATTGCAATTTTCAATACTAAGAAATTAACATAGGCACAATGTCATTAACCAAACTGAATATTTAATCAGATTTCCCAAATGTTTCCCATAATGTCTTTTTTCTATTCCAAGATCCAATCCAGGATACGGTATTGCATTTAGTTTTCATGTCTCTTGATCTCCTCTTGTCTGTAATGTTTCTTCAGTGTCTTTCATTATCTTGACACTTGGAAGAGCACTGGTTGGATTTTTGCAGAAAGCCCCTCTATTTGGATTTCTCTGATATTTTCTCATGATTAGACTCAACTTATGTATTTGAGAGAGGAATACCACAGAGCTGATGTGCCCTTCTTTATCATATTAAGGATAGATTACATTAATGTGTCTTACTTCTGGTGATGCTAACCTTAATAATTTGGTTAAGCTGTTTTTTGTCATATTTCTCCACTGTAAAGTGACTATTTTTCTTTTTCCATACTCTACTCAGTATCAGTATCTACTCAGAACATCCCCACACTCAAAGGGATAGGAATTAAGCTCCACCTTTATAAAAATATTATCAAAGAACCTGTGAACATATTAAAATTGCCATAGCAATTAAAACATATTCATGAGGGAGATATATTGAGGATATACTGATATCCTATTTCTCTTTAAAATATTGCCTAATTATTTGAGGTATCATTATACGTCAGCAAATGTCACCTGCTGCAATTATTATAATGGCGTTCTGATGGTGTTTCTCTGTTCCCTCATTCCTTTATTTTTAATTGGAATTCTTCTGGAGGACTATTCCTTCCATGTCATTCATATATGTATTCAATAATTTATATCAGTATGGACTAGTGGATATTTATTTTATTCTTTCAGTTATAATATAGCACCATCAATATTTGTTTTGTACCTTAAATTGTTCCAGTTTTGTAGCTTAAATTGTTCCAGTTTTGGTCACCTGGAGGTCTTTAGATTGTGTCTGTGTCCTTCTGACATGCACCTCATCCTTTCTTTTCTTTCTTTTTTTTTTTTTTTTTTAGCACTTCTTTACATCCTAGCACCACCAGATGCTCTAGGCTCATCTCGAAGTTTCCCTGCCCAGCCCTAGAATTAGCCATTTCTCCAACGATTCCTGGTTTCTGTTATTGAGGAATGGTAATAGAGACCAAGTTCTGGGAACTAGTTGCACTAGTCACTACTGGGGTGTCAGTGCTTCTAGACTTCTCAGCAGACAGTGTTAGGGAAGGTATGTATGTATACCAGTGCATGTATACACATATCATTTATGTTTATTTATTTATCTTCTCTGTGTGTGTGTATATATATATATATATATATATATACACATATATATTCATGTGTATGCATATATATATGTATATATCAACATGACTTCATATTCATATCTCCAACTCCAGTCAAACACCTTTATGGTTCATTCTAGCATTTTGGCTTTGCTTATTTTTAATTTCTTTCTTAGGCAGTTGGAAAGCTAATTTTTATTACTATATTTTTCTTATTTTTCAACCCTAGTATACATGTAATATTAGTTTCAGAACTGTAACACATAATCTAATGAGAAATGGATTTACCAATTATGATACAGTTATTTTTAATCTTTAGTCTTACATTATCAAATCAAAAGATAATTTCACAAAGTTACTTAGATCAGCTCCTTTCTTCCTCATCTGTTTCAGTATGGTTATGTGATTCATTTGTTACACAGTTAGATTCATTTCTCAGAGTCTGCATTCCATCTTGTGTTTCTCAAATATCCTGTTTAATTTTTTAAAGTTGCATAGAATAACGTTCTCTTTTTGTGATGCACATTTCTATGGATTTTGACAAATGCACATAGTTGTATATCCACTAACACAATACCCTGCGACATAGTTCTTTCACCCCAAAAGTTCCCAGAAAGGTCCTTTAAAAGAAAAACAAATTAAAATAACACTTTAAACTTTTAATCAAATTCCTAAAACATGTATGTGAAGTGCCTGCCAGGTTGGACTGTGGATTCACTCTAGATGGAATATACTGTTTACAGGCAATCTAATACTCAGCAGAACACCATCAACTGCATACACACTAAAATCTCTTAAATCACAATACAGTCTACATTATCATTCTGGTAAAAAAAAAAAAAATCTTCAGGAATTCCAAATGCTATGCGTATTTCTTGTTCTTTAAAAGCTCCCAGGATCTTAGTTTGGACCTGCTTTTTCAACCTTACTTTCTCCTAGTCTCCCTTTGCCAACTATATTCTATCCCAGTGGTTCTCTAAGTGTTATTGAAAGACCAGCTGCATCATCTTCACTTGAAGTCTAGTGCACATGATTGTCAACTACACAGATATTTTACTAGTCACTAAGAGGTCATGATGATGATGATGATGATGATGATGATGATAACTATATATGAAAGTCATCGTTTATGAGAACTTTTTTGTTCCTTTTATCTGCAACTGACAAAGATCCTGAGAGATATTAAAGACATCTATTCTTATAGTTTCCACTTAAAGATGAGGAATTTCAGCTTCAGAGATTATCTGTCTCAAGGTTAAGCTAATAAGTAGCTAGGAATTAAACTCAGATTTTCTTCTTCAAATTTCTTACCTTCCCAATATCTACATTGAAATCCTTTGGTGCTATCAGGAGAGAAAACAAATAAAACTGATGCCCATTATGTATGACCTTAATATAACCCAGGCCCTGTGTAATTCTCCATTATATATATATATATATATGTATATATATATTTCCAATTAACCATCATTCTGTCAATTCTCTAAGAAAACTGCTATCAGATTGGGATACTAGAACTCTGAGATGCAGAACAACTTTCCCAAAGTCACCCAGCATATTTCAACTCCAAATTGTGTGAGCACAAATTCCCTTTCTTTCCAATAGAATCATACTGGGTTTTGGTTAAGGTAATTAGAATTACTCTTAGCTCTCAAAAAACATTTTGTGTCTCATAAAAGTGATCATTTTGCATTTCTTAAAAGACCAGCCAAGATTCTAAAAGCCATTAAATGAGAAAGGATGTATGATATCCTTTACATAGTGTGATACTATGTAAAGGATAAGCTTCATATCCATTGTCTTCCCTGAAGTAGGAAAGATTTTCCTGGCATTTGCCTTCTATCCCTCTGAAGGCAAGACTAAAGGGAAAAATTCTCAAAAGCTTTAAGAAATAATGTATCTTTTTCTGTCTAGGTAGAACTGGGTTTGAATCAGGCTCCACTTCATACTTGCTTATGAATTTGGACAAGTTATTTCATGTTTCCGAGACTCAATTTTATGTTCTGAAAAATTGGGAAAAGATTTCATAATGTTGCATTAAGGACCAAATAATATGATGTACATAAAGTCCATAGCACATCCTAACCATGATCATGAAATCAGATATTAGAAGAGGTAACCGTCAAACTCACTAAACCATTTAGACAGTCCCAGCCTCCTGCTAGCCAATACGGAGACCAAGGAAGTTTGAGAAGCTTATCATAAACATGATTAAAGCAAGCCCCTAACAAAGATCAATGTCTTATTAATTTTGATTTAACACTCAAATTTCAATTTTTCCCATAGCCCATGTTATTATACATCTAGGTTTGCCTGAGACAATTCTCATATAATTTTAATAGGGCCTACTTTTCCTCTAAAAATTTCCGCAGTTTGGATGATAAACTATGAGATCACACTGCTTAAAAGGGATTTTTTTTGGCACTCACTAGTTCTATTGCATTTTGCTCTTTAAAGATAAGTAGACGATACTTGCTGAACTGTATAAAATTATGTACTCACTTGAATTTATGAAATGCCAATCTCAAGCCAAATTTGAAGAGATAATTGCAAAATTTTGTATCATGAAAATAAAACAGCTATTAAAACAAATAGTCATCTGAAATAGAAATGTTTAGGGTGCTAAGTTTTTTATATCATTGTTTCTCCATACGCTTTGGTATTCAAACAGCTAAAGACAACCATAAATCCTGAAAGCATGAACATTCAAGAGTCCTGTATGGCCAGATATGTTGAGTTCCAGAGTTTTTGGGGTTGAGCAGATGGCTTAGGTGTCCTTTTAGTATCTGCTCTGCCTGCATCAAAAGGAGAAAAAAGTGACACAGTATTCTTTTTAGATCTTTCTTTCATGAATATGCATAAATATAGCATTCATGAATCACTGAGATGTAGGAGACTGTTAAATTGCCTTTTTGCTAGAGCTTTTTTTTTTTTTTTTAAAGAACTTATGAGTCACCATACTTTTGGCTCAATTGCAATTCCTTTTTTAGAGGTCATTTTTGAATCTGTTCCACTGGTGGTATGTAAGCTGGAATCAAGTGGAGGCATGAAGATCCGCTAATAATGACTTATTAAAGTTCTTTATCTTGCCCTGTAGCCAAAAACGTTTCTAGTGACAATGTAGGTGCCAAGGGTTTAATTCAGATTGTCATTAATAAATGGCAAAGATTATCGGGCAAAATAATAATAATAAGAGACAGTGAAAAGGAAAAATAAACTTTCTTAGTAGAACTTATTCTGCTCTGTTACCTATTCTGTCACTATCTTGATAACTATTTGAAAGCATGAATTTGCCCTAGAATCTAGAAAGATCTTATTTCCTTCTTTAAAACACTGGACATAAATCTTCAGGTATTCCTTGGTATTTTTCCTGGTTCTAAAATATGAAGAGCAAATATATTACATTGCTTACCATTACCCCGTCACACTCTTGACAAATCTTAATAATCTGGGTTTTTTCCTCATCTAATACCTCATAGTCATTTTCATTCCAACTTGAGAAGCAGGTACTTTCAATTAAGTGGCACTAGAATCTTATGAAATCTGTAAGCCTTTCCTAGTACAGATTTCCTAAGGCACAAGGAAGAATGTAATTGTTTAGTTCTCACCTTTTAAAAATGTATGAAATTACTTGGATATTTAGCTTGTTTTCTTTTCTTTTATTTAGGGGCTGTGTTCTTTCCTTTAAATCATTTGTGTAGGTAAAAGCAGTGATTTGTTCAGCTTTTGCTAGGTTATTCTGTTATAACAGTCAAGGTCTAAGTGACTCCAACAATAAAATTTATTTCTTGCTCACGTAAACAGTTCAACTGCAGTTTTGCTTCTGTTCCATGTGTCTTCCTCATTCTAGGACCAGATTCATATCACTTACCTGGCTCATATTCTTCTCATGGCAGAGGGAAAGTCTGAGACATAACCATTAGTAGTTCTTGGAGCCTGTGCTAAGATGTGGTGCACATCACTTCTGCTATTTCATTGGCCAAAGCAAGTCACATGATCACCAATGTCAATAGGAAGAAGGCCTTGCACATTATCTAAAAATGGGTATAAATGTGTAATCCTCTCATGGGGAAGTAAGTGAATATTTGTGAATAATAATAGAATCTCACGTGGCATATATTTGTTTGCTTATAAAAGAGTGCTTGTTCTCCATGAAACATATTGGAATAGAGAGAGAGAGGACTGACTACCTTTTACTTAAGTGCAACAAGATAACAGTTCAGATTTCCTGCTGACTCTGGGAGATACTTAATCTCCTGGAAAGACACATCTATGAATTTTGCTTGTAAGCTGGCAGATAAATGGCCGGTGCATGAACCCAAGATAGGGTTGATTTTTCCCTCAATGTTTTTATGCTGCTTTGCACCTGGACTCCATGAGCTAGATCAGAGAAAGCCCACAGAGCATTTTTGCAGAATAATGTCATAAATGCCCACATAATTTTAATTACAGATGAAGCTTAAATGGATAATTCAAAATATGCTCCAATCATACAGAGGGAGAGTAAATTATCATCTATTATTGACTGAAAGAACTAGAAAGACAAGTAAATGGTTGCTAGGCCCTTTGCTATCATTTAGAGAAATAGAAGAGCACAAAAATGGTAAAGACATGAGCCTGCAGATATGTAAGAGAAAGATTTTTTTGTCGTTGTTATATTTGTTTTTAACAGAAAGAAGTTTGGAACAAGCAAAAGAAAAGAGTTTCACTGGGAATCTTGCCTTTCTAGTGTAAAAGAGGGTGAAGACTTTAATAAATAAATCTAGCATTTGTGAACTGGAAGTGATGGCTGAAAAAAAATAAAGGAAGGATCACAGAGCCCTGTGAAAGTTTGGGGAACTTGTCCTAGCAGGTTGACACAATTTGACTTGAAAATGATACACTGTTGGTGTCCTTTGCCCTGACTATAGGTGACAGACGACTGGAACAGAAGAGGCACACTGATCGGGGAGGAAAAAAAAAAAGACCAACCTTCCACTCTATCATTTCAAAACAAATATGTATTTATGCTTGGAAATGGAAGGAAAAAGGCCAAAGGTATTCTACATTTTTATCAAATGCCTTTATCCATGCAACGCAAAGCTTTGGCATTACCTGCGAGACTGTTAGAAATGCAGACTCTCAGGCCCCAGCGCAGATGTAGTGAATTAGAATCTGACTTTCGCAAGATCTCAGGTGATCTGTTTGCACTTTAAATAAGTTTGGGAAGTACTGATCTAGGATGAGTAGCCCCTTGCTAGGGGAATGCACGTATGTTATTTTACATTATCATCACCACATACACTCATAGTATTTGTTTCCAAAATTTAAGAATTAGAGAACTTAATTTCATAAACTGGGAAAAATCATACATATGTTAAGTAGTGGATTAAGGATTTGGACCCAGTTCTGTGACTCCACAATCTTTATCTTCCCCATTCTGCTATCTTTTCTTACATTTATTTTTGTACCCACAAAAGAACAAAAAATAAAAGCTCTGCTTCCTTTGGATCTCAATTTTTTAAAAGTCAAAACCCAGTACTTCCTTTACTCATATTTCCTCCCTGTCTCAATCTTCTCTCTTAGTGTTGATATGTACAAAGATGTGCTCTATACAGTAAGAAAACATCAAAAATTTAATCGCAATTTTTGTTGATAGTTCAAAGAAATAAGAAAATTTTTTATAAATGACTATGTTTTATCAATTCTGGATGCCAGTCGTTTTTATAAAATTGTCAAAGCAACTAGTATATGGATATGATAGACTATTTATAATTATGTTTCACAAGGATAAAACTGGAACTCACAGATCATATAATCATTGACTCAGCTATAAAAAGATTTAGAGATAATCTCTTCCTGTGCCCTATGACATTAGGTTACTTTCCAAGGTCACCTATTGCAGAGACATGGTTAAAACTCAAGTATTCAGATTTGCAGTGTAGGGTTCATCCTTTTCTACTATGTATCATACTGCTTCAAAGAGGAAGTTAAGAGTAACTATCAATTAGATATCATTAGGTAAGTACACAAATTTTGCATGATATTTTAAGGCGAAGAATCAGTACTGAGATCCTCTTCCCAAACCAATCAAAGGCCCATTTATTGAGAGGTAACCAGATAAAATAAAATGGTTGTAAACCAAACACTCCCTGGTGGTTCCTCGTAGGAAGCCATGCTTCCCCAGCTTCAAGCCTTTCTATGAATTCTATCCAAAACAGGGTTGGATCAGATTCTTACTGAGATCCTACTTGACTTAATCCTTGGCTTGGGGTTACTAGGGAATTAAGACATATTCAAAGGAAAAGAAAAGGAAAAAATAAGCAGCTGGAGTTTGTGTGCTTGGGTATGCTTCTATGTATGTATACACAATAGTTTAAGCCTGGCTAAGACTTTTATGATTCATGTCATTTCTTGTATACAGACTTCATCTCAGTTCTTAGTGGTTTTTCAGTAACAAGGTATTTGCTTAGCAGGGAAAATAAGTGTTTCTCCCTGTGATTGCCAAACTGGTGTTGGTCTCTCTGCAGAGCACATTTCCTCATCAAGAACTCAGGCCCTCTAAATAGGACAGAGCAACAAGTATTGGCATGCAGACAAAAACCTGCAGAGAGTGCCAGCTGACTCTTCAGTTTCTTCACCAGGTACAGTGCAGAGACAGAAAAATGAAACAGCACACAGCTGAAGGAAGAAAAGGCACATGAAATAAATATGATAGATGCAATGGAGATAAGATATTGAAAAGCAGAGAATAATATTGAGGGCATCAGTGGAACCAGACTAGGTTGGAGAGGATAATGTTCTTAGGAACAATTTCAATAGGAGCCTTTAATAGATTTATACAATTCTATAAGTTTTTCTAAATTTCTTTTTTTATTTTGAATAATTTGCTAGTCTCTTCTTGCTGATCTATGTCCACATGTAAGTCAAATATTGAAAATATATGCCCTAATTTAAAACAATGTCTGACACACAGAGAAGGCCATGTGAAGACAGAGACGGAGATTGGAGTTATGTTGCCACGAGCCAAGGGACACCAACAATTGCTGACATCTACCACAGGCTGGGAAATGGGCACAGAATGGATTCCCCCTGAGAGCCTCCCGAAGGAAACAACCCTGCCAAAACCTTGGTTTTGGATTTCTTCTGGCTCCAGAACTATAAGACAATGTATTTCTGTTGTTTTGAACCACCCAGTTTGTAGTAATTTTTTATGACAGCCCTAGCAAACTAATATAGATATTTAGGTGAATGGATTTCTAATAATAGATATACTTTTAAAAGTATCCTAATTTTTAATGTATTTAGTCATGAGAAAAATATATCAACAAACTAGGGTAAAACATTTTATAGTATTTTCCGTATTTCGTATATAAGTAAACTGAGGCACAGAGAAGACAGCAACTAGAAATAAAATTCTTAGCTAGCTTTTTAAAAAAGTGTTTATTTAATGTTATTCTCTATCAGGTAATTGCTGTGGTGGTCTGTGTGCATCTTCTCATTTATTCATAGAAAGACTACTCTTCATGAGATAAGTATTTCAGTCTCTAGATTAGGTAACAGGCTAGTAACAGAGTTGGATTTGAAACCAGAGCTGTCTATTCTAAGTCCATGCTTTTAAACATGGGTCAGCAAAATTTTCCTGTAAAGGGCCAGATAGTAAATATTTTTGGCTATGCAGGCCAAATGATCTCGGCAACTTCTCATTTCTGATCATGTCATTATAGATAATACATGAGCAAAAAATAACAGTGTATTTGGGCTGCTGTAAGAGGACACCATAGACTGGGTGGCTTATAAATAATAGAAATGTATTTCTCATAGTTCTGAAGGCTGGGAAATCCAACATAAAGGTGAATTCAGTGACTGGTGAGGGCCCGTTCTTCAGGGGTGGCACCTTCTGGCTGTGTCCTTACAGAGTGAAAGGGGCAAACAAGCTCCCTCAGGCCTCTTTTGTAAGAGTACTAATCCTTTTTATGATCTGTTCACCTCCCAAAGGGCCTACTCCTAATACCGTCACCTTGGGGCTTAGGATTTCAACATATGAATTTTGAGGGGACATAAACATTTAGACCATAGCAAAAGTCTAGAATAAGATTTCTGGTTTCTTGCAGAAAATTGGAGGAAAAGAGTGAAACTGACAGAAGAGAATACATCTCAAGTTTTAGACCAATGCAGACCCACAACATTCTTTTCTTTTCTTTTTGTTGTGTGTGTGTGGTTTTATTTTTACCTCTATTTCCATCATATTCCAAAAACTATCTGCTTGAGATAAAAATGGATTAAGTATTGCAGAGTTTAAGGCAATTTTAAAGTGTATTTTTATATAGATTCTGCTATGAATGTGGTAGCTGAGTATTAGAAAAATGTCTTGAGGGAAAACTCTTCTAAAAATAATATTTCTAGCAAAAGACAGAAATGGTATAGGAATTGGTAAGCATTTCCTATTACCTATACTTTAATTTAATAGCCTATGCTTATTTTGATCACTTAATTGCATTTACTAGCAGTGGTTATTTATATGTAGCTGCTTTTCTGATTTCATGATACTTAGAATAAAATTCAGGTAAACTGTGCCTTTGCTCTGCTATTGCCTGATTTATATATAATAGAAATATGTAGAATTCATTTTTCTGTGTTATTCATTCTAGATTTCATCTTATAATTGATTTCTGTATTGTTCAGCTCACAATAAAGTATATCAGTGCAATATACACTAAATGTTTGTGTCCCCCCTCCGCCTCAAATTTGTATGTTGAAATTCTAAAGCCTAACGTGAGGGTATTAGGAACTGGGGTTTTGGGGAGCCAATTAGGCCATGAGGGTGGAGCTGTCATCAATGAGATTTTGTTTTTTTTTTTATAAGATAGACCCCAGGGAATTTTCGCAGCCTTTTTCTCACATGTGAGGATGCAACCAGAAGTTAGCAACCTGGAAGAGGGCCCTCACCCGAACCTGACATCTTAATCTCAGACTTTCAGTCTCCAAAACTATAAGAAGTAAATTTCTGTTGTTAATAAACCACCCAGTATATGGTACTTCTTATAGCAGCCCAAACTAAGACAATCAACAGATGCAATGTATAAGTTCAAAGATTCACAAAATGATAGCATTACTCCCATCTATTCAATTACTCTGTGTATCAAGAGAAAAGACTTGTTTATTGTCAGTTGGATTATTGACTTCCTTAGCTGTTTTAGTAAGGTCATTTTATTAACCCCTCTATGAAATCGGTGTATTAGAGGCCTTTTAAAACCTCCTTGATGGGGGATACGCATTCCATATCAGAGAGCCCTATCTTAAACCACAAAGTATGATGAACTCTAGTGAAGAATCATTTCTGGTAAATTTACAGACCATGAGCCCTGTTTCTGTTCTTTTACCTATGAGAGATTCTCTTGACAAACAGGGAGAGAACTTGGGAAAAGCAGGAAGAAGGCCAGGCTTCCAGGAGTCCCTGAGGACCTTGGAGGTTATCCATGTGTTCCAGATGAGGAGACTCAGAAAATAAGAAATTTGTTCATTACTAGCCAATCAAGTATTTATTGAAGTTACCATGTGACAAGTTCTGGTTGAGTATTGAATTTCCAGTGGTAAATAACAACAAAAAATGTAGAAATGTAAACATGAATAAACACCTGAAAATAAAAATATAAGGAAAAAAATACACATATATACATCTATATACATATATTGTTTGTATATATACATATGGTGGGTGTATATATATCTACATATGTGTAAATTATATATATGTGAGTATATATGTGTTTATGCACATATAAAATAAAATTATAAGAATTATGTTTTATATGTATGTGTGTGTATGTGTATATATGTATACGTGTGTGTGTGTGTGTGTGTGTGTGTGTGTGTGTGTGTATACGTATATATTAAAGTGTCCTTGCCTCAGGGGCAATGATCCTTTTGTAATTTTTTTTTTTTTTTTGGAGACGGAGTCTCGCTTCATCGCCAGGCAGGAGTGCAGTGGGATGATCTTGGTTCACTGCAACCTCCACCTTCCAGGTTCACATGATTCTCCTGCCTCAGCTTCCCGAGTAGCTGGGACTACAGGCACATGCCACGATGCCCGGCTAATTTTTTGTATTTTTAGTAGAGACAGGGTTTCACCATGTTAGCCAAGATGGTCTTGATCTCCTGACCTCGTGATCCTCCTGCCTTGGCCTCCCAAAGTGCTGGGATTACAGGTGTGAGCCACTGTACCCGGCCAGCAAGGATCCTTTTTAAGCCTATAGAAACCTTATCTGTTGTTAGGGATATTATATAAATTTCAGAATCTTAGATAAATGAATGAATCACTTCACATGAGAAAGGAACTGAAAAAGAAAGAAAAAGTTATCATCTGGTGGTAGAAGGAGGGGTTGAAAGAATGGGAAAGAAGGAGTAGGAAATAGAGCCAGCACAGCTTGAGCTTAGAAGAGAGAAAAAACTCTATTTGAGCAGTTAACATGAGGCTTAGTGCATTTCAAGGATAAATAAATCCATTATTGTTGTTGAAATAATCTGGCATCTCTTCTGTAAAAATATCCTTTAAAAAGTTCAGTAATGATCTAGACTACCGTTTGGGCGTTTAAAGTTTTAAAGTTTATTTATTTATTTTTTAAAGCATGACAATTCAGTTTTGTTGGGGTTACACATGGTTCTTGCCCTCACTAAATGCAGAATTCAGATGATAAATATCTGGTGCTTAGATTTTATTTGGTTTACTTCAGGAGAGAGCTGCAGTGTGACTTGCTGGCAAAAGAAGACAGAAAGTGTCATTATATGTGAAGTCATTGAGGGATTCTCTTCCTTGCTGAGTTGTAAAGGGGTGATTTGAACCATGTTTCAAATGACCTTTAGAAAAGATCAGACACAAGTGTGGCTCACCAACGGGGTCACTTCATTTCCCCCTTTGTGACTGAAGCACTGGGTTTCTTTTTCAGTGTTGGTGGTTATAGAGTAACAATCACTGAATTACACAAAACAAGGTTCTAGCTTCATTTTGCCACTAACTAGTTTTATGACTGTCATCTATGTACTTAATTTCTTGATGCCTATTTCCTTAAAAACAACAACAAAAAAGTTTCAATGCAAGATAATTTGCGAACCATTTTCTTATAATCTGTTGACTCACAGAGGAGTTTTCCAAGGGGAGTCCATGATTTAAAAGAATTCTAGGAGGGAATCATTTAATAAATTTTTATGTATTTTTAAACAAGAAGCTGTTTCTAATTTGTTGTATGGCTTGGATTTTTTTGTACATGGCATTTTCTTTGACAAGTGACAGATGGTTATACCCCAATGCCACAGGTACTCCTGTAGAACTATAAATTTGTCCTCCTTGCTTAAAACTATAGCTCATTGGGGGTTTTTATATATCTTAGAAAAACTGCCCATGGTACATTAACTGGAGTGATATACTGTTTCTGTATGATTTTAAAAGAAGTAAAATTATCTACATTTATAAGTTGGAAAGTGACATATGGCTACTGCCCAATAGTCAAGTCTATCTTTTAGGTATAAGATGCAATACAAAATCACTGTATTATAAGTACTTTTCTTATTTGTTAATGCATACTTCCAGTGGTCAAATTATTTTATGCTACAGTTAAATTTTTCCTTAATAGTACTTATAAACTTTGTTTATACTGGGTCCTTATTATTATTATTATTATTATTACTTTCTAAGAAAAATGTTCTGAAACGTTACTGGATGTCTCTAGCCATTTCTCTCCATAAAGCACATGAAGGCATACCAATTAAATTTGTTCAAACAAGTCATCATAGTTTATAGGAGAAAATTAACATAAGTTTTAATCAAATTGAAAAAATGGAGAATTTCGCTTGTAGCTTATGACTTAGTCAAAAGCTTTTATAACTGTTGTTGTTATTGTGTTTGTGTGATTTTATATTTTTCAATTGATAGAAAAAGGCACCATTGACTGATGTCTATCTTTGATACCAGGTATGTGAGCTAATTGCCAAATTACTGATGTCTATCTTTGATTCCAGGTATGTGAGCTAATTACCAAATTAAACTGATGGTATGTAAGAAAGTAAAAGCAAGTTTTCATTTTGAACTCTGCATTAAACATAGATTAATGGGTAGAGGACTCAGATATGTTGTGAAAATTCATATTAGAAAGTAGGACACATTTTAGCCATGAATAGCATTTTATCATCACTTCCTTCTTATTCATGAATATATTTTGGGACAGACATATCTAAAGTTTTCTGAAAGTAAAAATGGAGGAGCCATATGTGTTTATTTGCTTCGCAAAGCATATTCAGGAAAGGCACCATCACATTATTTAATCACTACAGGACTATTCTCATAATTCTCTGAAGCACAAGTACATCTATTATGAATCATAGTCAGATTTACCATTTTTAAAAATAAATAGCAGTTTTCTATATGATTGACCAAATTGATTTTGCCAAGATGCAAGTCAAACAAAGTAATTGGCTAAAATATGCAAAAGCAACAACAACAACATCACCAAAAAGTTTTCAAAATGTTGCTGGCAGCACTGGCTCATGCCTGTAATCCCAGCACTTTGGGATGCTCAGGTGGGTGGATTGCTTTAGCTCAGGAGTTCAAGACCAGCCTGGGCAACATGGCGAAACCACGTCTCTACCAAAAATACAAAAAAATTTAGCCAGACAGGGTGGCATGCGCCTGTAGTCCCAACTACCCAGGGGGCTGAGGTGGGAAGATGGCTTAAGCCCAAGAGGTCAAGGCTGCAGTGAACTGTCATGGTGCCACTCCAGCCTGGGTGACAGAGGGAGCCCCTGTCTCAAAAAAAAAAAAAAAAAAAAAATCTGAAATTTGAGCTCATTATGCACAAAGCAGTTACTTCACAGTTTTTGGAGTATACATTTTTTCAAAAGTTGAAGAGGTAAAAATGGCACAAAGTAATATGCCTTGCCTCCTTTTTAAGCTAATTTTCACACAATATCAAGTATAAGACTGAAACTGGGCAGGGCTGACAGACAATTCTTTGTTCTGTAAATTTATACCATATTTAGGCCATATTTTGGAGCTTTAATTTTTCAAATTAGCTCTGAGTATTAGCCTTTGTCTTTTATATTAGAATACTGATGATTTCTGGGTTTAAACGGGCTTTATTTAGCCCTACCACAAGTTATTCATTAGAGTTTAAAACTCTAACAAGCCATCTAAGCATTGGTGACCCCTCTGATCTCTGTTCCTTTTTCTTAATCACAACTACAGAAATTACCCATTAGTCTTGCAACACATAGCAAGTCTAAACAAAGGCAGAAAGCAGGCTGTTGAGATTCTGGGAAATTCTAATTCCTCCTAGGGAAGAGGACAAGTAAACAGCTGAAACGTAAGGCTCTGTTCAGATCAAGACCACGTCATTATCATCTGTTTCACAGGGCTTCTATTTCTAAAGTGAGCACAAACTCTTAACACATACTTATTTTCAGTATTCTGAACAGAAAATAATATGCTCAACAACAGTACCCTGCACATTAACTCTTCTCACTATTGAGAAAAGCAAAGCATCTCGTGTTGCCAATTGCTAGGCATTTTATATCACTGCAAAGTCCTGCTTAAGCATTGATTTCCAGCATAGGGGTCAGCCATGTACGCGTGAGGTCTGGAGGCTTTAAATAGCAGACTTGTGGGTATATATTCATTTAAATTCATCTCTATGTGTTCAAGTTTATTTTGCAAATGCGTAAGTGTACTAACCTACTCGACGTTGGAGTTATTACTATGGAAACAACACTAGTTAATAAATGCCTGATTTCACATATCATTGTGCTAGACACTAATAACTGAATAAACATAGCACCTCGGCTTCTGCTTTGTTACCTCCTTAAAGGGACCCTAGAAGAGTAATCAATGAATAGTCGATAAAGGGTGACCATTTAGATTGGCTTCCTAATATCATCTTGAAAGCAATTTTCAGTTACTGTGAAGACTGGCAAGGAAAGTACTCCTGGATAAGCGTAGTTTAAGAAACCTCCAGAGGCAGAATTCTTATTAGGATAAGGGTTTTGCAGAAAATTCCCTTGTGCTGGGGAGCTTCCCCTCCCACATACAAAATTACATGATGACATTGCCTCTGGTTTGGAAACACTGTAGGTATGCTTAATATGGGTATGGCTATTGTAGGTTCGATGTTACACTAAGGGAAAGGAAGCAGAGATCTAGGACTGGTTAGCTACATGAATAGAATAGATAAAGGGAAGTCACAGAGGAAAATTGGGGAGGGAAAAGGAATGAATTTGAAGATTGATACGAAGTATGTACCACTCAGAGAAAAGGGAGTCAGAATTATTGAATGTTATGCATATTTAATGCTATTGGCAAAATTGCCATTTTTTTAGATGAATTAATCAATGTTGATTTTAGGCTAATACCATTAAATGTTGGATTTCTTTATCTCCCCTTCTGATTCCATGGTCACCAAGCAACCTTCTCATTGTGATCTGGTGTTCTTTACAAGTCTAACTACAGAGAATGAATGGCTGATCCTACAGACTTCAACAATTTTCTGTCCTCAGACAGTGATTTATCATAATGAATTAATAAAATGACTTCTGACTTTGATGTGGCTTCTCTTGTAGTTCATTTTAAGAACAGAATGAGCTGATCATGCCAATATGAATATTATAAACCAAGTCAATTTCTTATTATAAATTAATAAATTGATATTCTAGGGTCTACTCAGAATATATGTTGTAGTCTCTTATATTTTTTAGACACTGTCAGTCTGTCATCATAGTCTGCTAAGTCCTAGGCAGATGACAAGAAAGACTCTCTAGACTTTTGAAATCGAAGCCCAGAATCTAGATTATGGTGACCTAAAAAAGGCCTTTTAAGGACCCAACCAGAATTCCCCTAAAACCTAGCTATTTAATGGAGTGTGGCCCTTTAAAGGATACACCTACCATTTTTATCTCTATATATCTGCAGATTATTGGGAGACACTCCTTTATGGGTCTCTTGCACTGCTGCATGCTTTGTTGTTCCCTGTTTTGTTGGGAATGCCAAGAATGAAAGACCCAAGTAGAGGATAAAAAGTAAATGCTTTTATTCAGGCCATTTCTTACAGGATGAAGTAATGTCTTCCTCTGAGAAAAAGAGCAGGCTTACTTACTGGCTTCTGGAAAATACTAGGTTCCCTAAACTCAATATTGTTCTCTTGTAACAGACACTACTGCATGTACACACATCCATAATGGCCAGCCATGCTATCCCTATGGGAACTGGGGCTTAGGAAACTGACACAAACATGTTGACTTTCTGCCTATTGTTTTTGCTGTGAGAAATAAAGTTTTATATCTCTGACCCAGGAGTCTTGTGTTTTCTACCAGCATCAGTGAGATTGTGGCAAGCTAACATTAGCTTGTAAGTAGGGTATAATCTCAGACGCTTTGCAGTTATTGACTCAGATTTCTACAGTCTTTTTTAGCACAGTTGCAAAAAATAAAGTATTAGGAAAACTGAGTTCTTACCTAGGCTCTGCCATTAACAAATTATGCCAAAGAATAGTTACTACCTTTTCTTTCTGGAATAATTTCTTCCAGAAATTATTGAATAAAATGAGGAGAGGAGAGAGAAATGAAGTAGGTGATGGGAGTTTATAGATAATTAGTGACTTAAAAATAGCATTCATGTCTTAGGAATTCTTTGTTATTGTCTCACCACTACAAGATACAGCACATATCAATAAATTTATGTTCTATTTTAGCCCAAGGGACTTGGGAACCTCTTAGAAGCCTTAATAATTTATTTCCCTTAGCCCATACTTATTCTACATTAAGTGATGTGCATATGTTCTGTGTATATATGATGCCTTATTCGGTGAAGATAATTAACTTCTCATTGAACTCAAAATACATAAACCATTTGGATTATCTCTGGGTCCATTTAGTTTTAATAATTCTTAGGTCCCTATTCATTTGGGGTATTATGGAATGTAGACATCTTTAGGAGAACAACTATTTGTTTGTTGTTTGAGACAAAATTATTCTGAGACTAAATCTGTAATGTGATAATTTTCAGGGAAGAAGAATAATAGGAGAACGTGGATTGCTCATATGTGTTGCCTGCATTATGCCACTTTCACTCATAAACTCAGTATGGTGCTAGCTGATCTACAGAGAGAGGAAGGAATATACATATCTCTGCTAAGGGAGGAGCTCATACACCCTACAATCTAAATTGATTAAGAGCCTGGTAATTTATATATTGCAACATTGAAAAAGTCAGTTGCTTCTGCCTCCAACCAAAGCAGTAGAGAAATAGCTACAAAGCATCAACCTTGACATCAAAGAAGACTAACACACTTGCTGTGGGAAGTCTGTGAAATTTGAGGGCACAGACAAGACTAAGGGTATTGCCCTTCCAACCAACCACAGCAGTTCAGATTTCCTCAATGTAGCTGCTGTTTGGTTGAGAGAAAACAAAGAGGATAGTAAGTGAGGCATTGGAGCTATCAGCATTCAAAGCCTTTTCTACTTAAAAATCTTTCCCAGTTGGGCACGGTGGCTCATGCCTGTAATCCCAGTACTTTGGGAGGCCGAGGTGGGTGGATCACGAGGTCAGGAGATTGAGACCACCCTGGCTAACATGGTGAAACCCCGTCTCTACTAAAAATACAAAAAATTAGCTGGGCATGGTGGCGGGTGCCTGTAGTCTCAGCTACTCGGGAGGCCGAGGCAGGAGAATGGCATGAACCCGGGAGGCAGAGGTTGCAGTGAGCCGAGATCTCGCCACTGCACTCCAGCCTGGGCGACAGTGCGAGACTCCGGCTCAAAACAAAAACAAAAACAAAACAAAACAAAACAAAAACAAAAAACAAAAAGCACAAAACCTTTCCCTAATGTTATTAACAAATTAAATTAACTGTATTGGAAGGCTACTAGGTTTTTGAGCAAATTGTTTTGTCAAAGAAGCCACGAGCCTTGTCTGCTATTACAGATGTTCAACCTTTAAAGAGAGTTCTGTGTCCCCAGTCTGCAGCGGTACAAAATGGGCCATGCAAGCTGCTCAGCCCCAGTGCTTTCTTGATATGTAGTCATGGAGCATAGTGTCCAAGAAACAACTTCCAGAGGACACAGACAAGAGCCACAGAGGACAAAGAACTTGAGAGTTCTTCCCAGAGCACAGAATGAGTGGCTGCCCATAGAGTTATCTAAGGAACATACTATACTGCTGGAAAAGTGAATCTTGACTCTTCCAACTGGCAGGAGCTGATCATTGGTGTATAAATGGCTGCTGTTTTGGGTTTTTTTTGTTGTTGTTGTTCTCCTCTTCTCAGAATGAGAGTCCTATTGCAGTTTTCTGGTTGATATTCCACCATAGTATTTTGGGGTTGCGTATGACAGAAAAAACAAAAACAAACAAACAAAAAACTTATTTTAACCCAGAGATCATCAGACAACATGTCACATTCAGGCTGATGAAGAAGAATGTGAATCACTCAGAGATTCTAGCCCTCAGTTATCTAGAATCTTGATGAAGAAACCATGGTTTTCTATCTTTGATAGGAATGAGTGTGTTCTATATGGACAAGGAAGGGCAGGCCTAGATATTTGCATCACAAAGGGGTAGACTGTAGTAAAGACTACTGGTTTTCTTTTCATATCTATCATATCCTTTTCCTATAATAAGATAACCACAATTTTAGGCAAAGAATACTAGCGAAGAACAAAATTTCTGACTTCCCATGCAGCTAAGTGTGGCCATGTAGGTAAAGGCCAGTGGGCCATAAGTGTAAGTGATGTCTACAGATTTGGAGAAGTATTTATAAAAGGAGGAGATGAGACCTTTTCCTTCCCTCTTTTCTTCTTCCTACAGTCTGAAGTATAGATTTGATGCTTTGAACTGAAGTGGCCACCTTGGACCAAAAAATAACCCTGGGAATGAATGTTACAAACTGGAACAAAAATCATAGAAGGGGCTATGTCCTTGATACAGTGATGCTATTCCAAGTGCTGAACTGTCTATTGTGGGCTTCCATATGAGAGAAAAATAAAGTTGTTTAAGTCATTGTTATTTTGGGTTTTGTCACTTGCCACTGTTTCTAATTCTAACTAACACAGATGCTTTAGAGAAGTTGTCTAGAAAGTTATTCACAGAATTGTAATTTTTTTTGTCAGTTCTTTTCAAGTCTCAAAGGATTTTAATAGTAATGAATAAAAAATGATAAATTAGTTCTCAGAATATTCCTGCCTTTTTGGTGGAGGGTCTCTAAGCACTTTGGTTGAATAGAATTTTAATGGTGAAATAAAATGTAGATGAAATAATTTGCTTTTGTTTCTAGACCTTTGTTTTAGACATTAAGATTTCAGAAGTTATTTTAAAGAAGTCACGCTATAATTTTATAGCTTTAAGGGATCACCTAGGAAGAAGCCTATAACATGGCTGCAATCTTCAAAAAGCTGTCAACAATGTTGGAGGAGAAGCCAAGCCACTCTGAAGTGAGAAATATAAACAGAAACCCAGATGACTATGTATCTCCTGGTCTTTTAGAAGGGGTTGGTTACAATCAATACACATAGTAGTGGCCAGGAAGAACTGAAATCAATATTGGGTGATTTTTAATCTAGCTATATACATGCACATGCACTTTAAACAGTCATTTCAAAATGTTATAATAGGTTCCAGATTTTTTCTGTTATCCATCTATGTGGTAATCAGACCAATTTCTAGTCTGAAAGCGTCCTCTGTCTAAGCTTGTCTCTTTGCTGAACTCTCCTTTGTAAACAATGACAATAACAACAACAATAACCTAACATAATATTTTCCAAAACTGTTAAAAGCTAGGCCTATCTCACGTTGAATTCAACTATTGTTAAATCACAAAAGATAATAATGTTGTCCTTTATATTTGAAGATAATGATTCTGAATCACCATCAGCAGAATACTTGCTTGGAGCTATTTTTTTTCCCAGTACTGATACACACTCTCTCTGAACTCCTGAAGTCATGATTATCTGTATCAAGATATAGCAGTGCATTACATTCTGCCTTTCCTTATTCTCTAATTGAGCCTAGATACTAAGTCTGATCTTACAGGAGCCATACTGAATAAAGGCTGCGATACTTCTTTCCTAACACTTCTCTTTTCTCACACCCATCAGTTAGTAGGGTATAATACACATAAACATTTATATTATACTTGCTGATTAACAGTGATGCTGGATTTGTGTTAAGCCATCTCAGCTCTCTCATCGTGCTCCTATTATAACCAGTTTTAAGATGGTAGGCTGGGACTAGAGATGTAAGTTATTAGAAATGAAAGCAAAATAAAATGAAACAAAAAACAACTAACATGCAAAGGCAAGTTCTTCTTTAGAGAACTTAATTCTTCATTGATCTGGGGCTGGTGACAGTATATACTATGGCTAGTAATTCATTGGATAGAACAAACTGTAGCTGAATTGGTAAACTATCTTTATGGGGTGATTTCCAGGTCACTGAAATCAGTTTTAATATTTATTAATCAGCTGTTATCATGCCATTATCAATCAGGCAATTCTCTAATCACAAGACAAGGTGTTATACATCTATATAGAAAAGTTCTTAATGGATTCACTCAGGGGCAAGACTATTTAACGGTATTACTTTACTCAGAGATGAAAGATTTTGCTCATAAATGTCTTTGGGGGGCTTCTTGAAACATCCTGTATAATTTGAAGGAAAGGGAGATTAGATCAAACACATATGGTATGAATTAATGAATAGACTAACAGTGTACTAGAAAAAAGTTAGGGAAGGTTATATTAGAAAAAGGTTAAATATTTCATTAAATAGTTCAGTACTTATTATCTTACTATTTGATCAGCTTAATAGATCAACAGTGAAGTAATTACTATTTCTTTAAGAAAAAATTGGCACAAGCATATCTGATTTTCCAGAAATATATAAGGAGAAGATAAATAAGTACATTGAGGAATATCAAAAGTCGTAGAGAATTTAAGGCAGAGACTAACAGTAGGCTTCATCTTAGTAACTGGGATAATTTCACATGCATTATGACACAGCTTACGAACCAAAGCATTACAGTATTCTGGTAATCACTGTTCATTTGTCACTCACATTTTAAAAGCTAGCAATAGTATATGAAAATATGTTTTTGGCTCATATCATTTCTGCTACATTTCCTTGCAAGTCCACTTTAGAAGCTAGCATCTGCCTTTCTTTTCACCCAGCTCTGTCCACTTCACCTGTAATTGCCCTCTGTGTTCCAGTCACATGGGATTTCTATTATTCACTTATATTAGTCATTCTTTCTATCACCCCTAAGAATTAATTACATTTTGTGATAATTGCTTGTGTTGCCAAACCCCTTTTCAAAATTGACAATCTCCAAAATGTTGTGAATCAAGTTATTTTAGCTCAACTTTGTATTCCCAACACAGCATGAGACTAGGCATATAGATAATAAACTTAATAAGTGAAAAATGCTGAAGTTTTAAGATTATGACATTACTGGTTAATCTTATGTCCCAAGCATGCAGTCTACAAATGTGTTTTCTTCCTTTAAATAATTAAGAAGAATTGGAAAACAAAATAATACAACTACTTAAGTTTTTTAATACAAAATACAAAATAATACAACTACTTAAGATTTTTTTTTTTTTTTTTGTAGTGGAGAGGATGATATGAAAGGGAACTGATTCCACCTATTTCAAAGCAGTTTAACATATAGATTCCTCCTCCCCTGATTCTAGCCAGGTTAGAGGAAAGATAACAATGGATTTGGAACCTATTGTGATGTTAATGTGTGGCTTATTTGCCCTAATATATGAATGCTTTTTATGACCAGGTTATATGTTTTTCTCTCTGGCTTCATAGAATTAAGACATTGCAAAATAAGCATCCTCTGAGGTCTCATACCTTAGGAAAAAATGAATGATATTGCTTAAAATCTACTGTGGAGTGGGAATGAAGCATAGTAAGAGTCAGTTGTAAGAAAGAATTGGTTTGTGTTGCAGCAAATTTAAACAAGAGATGTGGCACACACATGCACACGTATGCTCATTGCGGCATTATTCACAATAGCAAAGACTTGGAACCAACCCAAATATCCAACAATGATAGACTGGATTAAGAAAATGTGGCACATATACACCATGGAATACTATGCAGCCATAAAAAATGATGAGTTCATGTCCTTTGTAGGGACATGGATGAAATTGGAAATCATCATTCTCAGTAAACTATCCCAAGAACAAAAAACCAAACACCGCATATTCTCACTCATAGGTGGGAATTGAACAATGAGAACACATGGACACAGGAAGGGGAACATCACACTCTGGAGACTGTTGTGGGGCATGGGGAGGGGGGAGGGATAGCATTGGGAGATATACCTAATGCTAGATGACGAGTTAGTGGGTGCAGCGCACCAGCATGGCACATGTATACATATGTAACTATCCTGCACATTGTGCACATGTACCCTAAAACTTAAAGTATAATAATAATAATAAAAATAAAAAAAAAGAAATGTGGCATGCATGTGACAATATTTAGGTAGGCATGAGTTTATCATAGAGACAAAATAAAATCCTAATTTTGTCAGAGGTCATTATATAGATTTGGAGATACAGAATAGAATCATTCCTACATCAAAATAAAGTGAAGAAAATTATAGAAATAATGGGGGGAGGGCACTGAAGTTATATAAGAGGATAAAGAAAGGCCATAATGTATAAATCCCTACCAGGAGCCAGGCACTTTATGTCTATCTTACTTAATTCTTCCACCTCTATGTGAGCTAGGTGTTACTCCTTTAACTCCATTTTACAGATGGACTAATTGAAGATAAGTGAGGTTATGTAATTTGTCTAGAGTCATGTAGGTTACATGGGGAGAAATTGTGTTCTCCTTTATAGCCATTCAAGTAGATAGTGGCATGCTAAAGCTGGCTTATACTAGCTTTTAAGGCCAATTGAGAAAGTTTTAGAAATTCTGCGATTTATTTATTAAATACAGCCATTATTAAAATTGAATTCTATAAGTTTAGAATTAATAAATGATACTAAACACAAATGCAATAGCTATTCAAACCTCATTACCTCCAAATTACTTTACTACAGTTTACTATTATTTATAATCTTGAGGTTACTTGCATCCCTGTGTCTGTATTGTAGAAATATTATAAAATGGTGTGTGATATGGCACATCTCTTCCCAACTCTGCATTCAGTAACATCACTTGGTAGCTTGAAATCAGCCATGGTGGGAATGTTTATACCATGGAAACCGGCAAATGGTCCAAGTTACAGGTTGATTTATTGCTTAGTTCATTGTCGAGACTTAAGAAAATGATGAAGTGAATATTAATAGGGATTAAACGTAATGTGTCATGTCTGTGGCCATTACATTAATGTCGACACAAAAAATTGGGGAAATTTTCTTGCAGTATTCCAAAACTATTCTCCGATTCAGCAAAAAAGTTGCACAGGTTATTTTCATCTAACTCATTACCACAAAAATATCATGTCTTATTCGAGTTAGAATAATCCTCATAGGTAGAATACAGCTCCATGTGGAACATCATGCATGTCACATGCATGGATTATAATCATGGGCTGGTTACAGATACATGATTCTGCCAAAAATCAGTGAAAGAATCTGTGAGAAGCAACTGACTATATGGAATTTACAATAAAGATAATTGCATATTTTCTTACTATTTGTAAGTCTCATTATACACAATTTTTTTTTTTTTTTTAAATTTGAGACCGGGTCTCACTCTGCCGTCCAGGCTGCAGTGCAGTGGCGTGTTCTCGGCTCACTGCAGCCTTGACCTTCTGGGCTCAAGTGATCCTCCCACCTCAGCATTCCAAGTAGCTGGGATGACAGGTGTAGACAACCACATTCAGTTAATTTTGTGTATTTTTTGTAGAGATGGGGTATTGCCATGTTGCCCAAGCTGGTCTTAAACTCCTGGGCTCAAGCAATCCATCTGCATCAGCCTTACAGAATGCTGGGATTACAGGACCAAGGCACTATGCCTGACCTACACACATCCTTTACTTCAGTTAAATATTTAACAATTCACCACTAAATGTATCATAGTGAAGCCATTAAAATATTACTTAGGAAGACTGAATAAAAATATGGAGACATTTTTGCAAGGTATACAATTGATTTTTTTAATGATATTGTAAAATAAACACATGGAGATGGTATGGTTATGTGAAAATGAAAGAAGTTTTGTGAGGAGGGTAGATAATGTACAATTGATATACAGTACAAAGGGAAAAACTATAGAAAATATAAGTGTTTAACAAAAGACTGTTATGATGCAGAAAAGCATCTTGTAATGTTTCTTCATGCCAATCTTATAAAATATTTTGGAAAGAAAGGGAGGGATTTGTCATAGAATACAATCCTATACAGACCCACAGACTATTATTTTGCTTCATAACCATATATATATTTTTTTAACTTTTGCCTCTAGAACTATAAAATGGAGTGTGTTTCTGGCCTTTCTCTCTATCTAATAGCAGCATATTATTTTGCCTTATTTTTTCTCATTAATTTTCATTTCCTCTAAATTTTAGTACACATATGGAAGGAGCAGATCTCATCTTTTCAAAGTCAGAAGAGATTCTCTGGGGGAAACAAAGTTTTCTCAAATCAAAACAAATATGAAAACAAGGAAACAAAATATGCTTTGGGCAGCCAATTCTGTGACTAAGATAATATTTTAAAAAAGTAATCCTGCTTTTCCCCAGAAATGTATGAGAAAATCTTTCTGCAAATTTCAAGCACAAGCAAGTTGCCTCCCAAATTGGCCATTTGCACTCCAGGGCTAAAGCTGAAAGCGCACAGAATTGCCTGAGTAATTCAATTGCAGGCAGAATCAATGCAAGTGTGAACGCTGCCCTGGTCAAAGGTTGGCCCTTAGGCTGCAACTTAAATCAATTTTGGGTAAGCTAAGTTTGATTACATTTTCAGTGATGAAGCTTTCAAAAGCAATTTTGGGCTTCCCTATTCAGAGGCTGTTTGGTTCCGTTCTGAATCTATACTCCTGGTTAGAGAAGCATCTATCTGTCTCTTTTGGTGATGATTAAGTCCTGGAGTTGAGGAGAAATAAGAGGAAGAAAATAAGAGGAAGGGATACAGAAAGTAAAAATAAATAAATAAATAAATAAATAAATAAATAGGTGAGAGCCTATCACTAATGTGAGTCAGTAACGTAAAAAAAACTTTAAAAAATATATGACTATCACAACAATAAGACAGGGAAAAGAATTAAGGAGGATGGTAACAAGGAAACGAAAATAATAAATGGAAGATTTATCATGATGGTGATATGTGGCAGCCTAAGATTATTTTAGCATGTGAGGCTCATTCTTTCAGGTGTTGCTGGCAGGAAGAATGTTAGAGAAATACAGGTGGTTCTGCAGAATGAAGCAAAATGGGTGTAAGAAAGGATGTCAAATATGGCCTCCAACAGGCACATGCTAGCCTGAGAGAAATAAACCCTTTCAATTTATCCTTTTCCAGCAGAGTCAAGCCTGCAGAGTTGATGTGCATCTATCACTTATGCAAGTCTTCCTAAAAAATGTGTTTACTTAGTTAATGTTAGTCAGTTTGATTATAGTTATTATCTACAGTTTGTATGCATATCATAAACTAAGTGCTCCCAAGGAGTTATAATTTTTTTGAGAAAATACAAATTTCCCTATAGTTATGGTCACTAATTCTTAGAGCAAATACTATTATTCTGCCCGTTTTAGGAAAACATATATGTTGTTACTCTTGTCTTAGGAAGTGTTTTAGAAAACTTGGAATTCATTCTAAGTGGACTGATTAGTGACTTTAATGGTTCTTCAGCAAGAATTATGATCTGCCTCACTAATTAAGCAGCTCCACATATGCACTAATTGGATTGACTCAAAGAAAGGAACCGAAGATTATGCAACTATCTAAAAAACACATTTGAGAGCTAGGAAACTGAAGTTGCTTCATTTCTTTAAAACTGTTGAAAGAGAAGTGTTGCTTAAAAATAGGCTAAAATTCGGAAAATCCAACCTACTATAAATGCCTGGCCAGAGCATAGGTGAAATAACATTTCCATGCAAGCAAGTCTGGCTTGGTTTATTCAAATCTTGTCTAACTATATACTGGGTGGATAGTTAATTTGTATCTCTGCAGAGAAATCCCAATTGAATTACATTTATAAAGAAAGGAAACCCTGTCCACACTGAATAGACACATTCAATGAGGACATGCCATTTTCAGTCTTTTCCCTAGCAGTTTTATGGATTCTAAAACTGAATTTAGAGTGCTTTAGAGAAAGAGTGGCCCACTGAAATATTATTGCTTTCACAGTTAATTCCTCCTCTTTTTACCTTTATCTGGAACATCAGAATGGCCAAAAAAAGAGCCAATTTCAATTTACTTTTTCGTTTAGTGGAGTACCCTAGTAACTATGTTTCACTCTGACTAAAGAGAAATAGGAAGTTTAATCATAATGATACTCAGACCTTCATAATAATCATTTTGTTCACACGTATTCCTGGATCTTTTATTAGGGGTCACATTTCCATTTTCAGAGAAAGAAATCACAGCACAGAAGCGAAGATGATACAGTGGCCCAGACTTTGCCACCTTATTACGTGCTCAAACCATTGGATCCCACTTTAGATGGAGTCAAAATTACAGGGAACACAGTGCACGCTTGATAAGTATGCTCCAAGAAACTTCTCAGAAGTGCTGGGAAAGAAATATCTCACAGGACCTCCAAAAGGCTTTGTAAGAGAAAAGATCAGGAAAGTCATACTGAAGAAAGACTCTGTTAATCTGTTTTCTTTTGACTGGAAATGTTGGCATGTTTTCATTTTTACAAAGTCCTAATAGTCACAACGCCATATACTCAAGTCACATTTTGGCCTAATTAGTTATAGGATTAGAGCTGTGTGAAATAAAATAGCAAGCAAGAATGTCTATTCTAGTGCCTTTTTCATAGGTTACTGGCCAAGGTTGTTGCAACTGTGAACATAAAGGAAATTTCTCTGGAGAGTAAAATTCTGTGTAGAGATGACAAAATGATTAGGCCAGCAGTGCTCTTGAGCTAAGTTTTATGGAAACTCACTACAGAGACAAGCACATTAAGATGCATTTTTTTGTCGAATAAAAATAATTTTGAGTTCAATAACAAAAATATACAGAAGGTAAAAATATTGGCAGCACTTCTACTTTGTTAAGGAGTAAGTTTAACTTTAAAAAATAACAATCAATCAATACATACTATCTTTTAAACATGCATAGATTTCTTAGGATCTGAAAACATTACAGCTGAAAGGTAACATGGAGACTAGTTAGTCTAGTCCCCTCATATTATAAATTGGTATGCTGAGGCCAGGCAGTAAATTGCTATGGAGCTCTCCAATTTAAGGCCAGTTTGACTCCAAGGGTAGGGCTTCTAGTAAAATTTTGTGATTAAATTGGAAACTCTAATTTATTTTTCTATGTGTTTTTGGTACCTAATCCTCATAAGCAAGCCATATTTCAAGGCTGATCAATGACAACACCAAATACCAAAGCTTCCTTTCCCTTCCAAATTTACTGACCCTTTGTCAGCTGTGGGAAATGTATGTGCTGTACCAGTAGCTTGAAGATGCCACTGTCAAATTGCCTCAATCTGGGAGAAACACATCAGTAGAGTAATTAATCTTGTACAACCTCTCCATCTTTTTTTTTTTTTTTTTTTTTTTACTCATTACAAGTGAATGCTTATGTGCATGGCTGATTTAATTAATAATTGTAATAAAAAGGACAATATCATAATGATATACATAGTGCATTAACAAATGAATCAAAGGACCAGTGCTGCTAATTTGTCTATCCAGTGAAATAAAGTTACACAGTTATTCAGGTTATATAGATCTGTGCTTGCCTGTGTTTACCCTTCAACATTTGAATTATACATGAGAAGGACAGAAGAGGAAACCAGCATTTAATAGGCACTTGTTTTAGACTAGTAGTGTATTGGCCATTTTGCATGTCCTCTCATTTAATCTTCACAATAATCCTATAAAAATAATTTATTTTCCCCTATTTTATAGGTCAGGTGACTAAAGTATCTACAATCCTTCATGAAGGATTATAGTTTTAACTTGGATCTGCTCGATTCAAAGCTTTTGGTGTTCCACCTGTGTAGTGGGAAAAGCACTGGAACAAGGGTAGTAAAAACGAAATTCTAGCCCTAGTTATGTTGCTTGACTTTGGTCTCTGACTCATCCTATTTGGGTTTCAGTTTCCTCACCTATAAAGTGAAAAAACTGGTTTAGACAAGAAGTTTTCAAAACAAATTATTTGGAACTGTATGACACCTTGAGAGGCTTCAAGGCCGCTATGTAATGTGATGGGTAGGAAAATAAGATTTGTCTCCAACTTAACCAAACTAACTCCAGTTTTATCTTTGTTATACATTAAGAGTTTGCATAGGTTTTATTTGGAGGAATAAAGGGTTTCATTGCTTAAGAAAGTTGGAAGAATTGACTATGTAAAATCTGAGACATCTTCTAGCTCCAATTTCTGTCAATTGACAAACGTAACTAAAGCTCCGCTAACTGATATGTGGTTTTCACTAGAGGCAATTTGGTGACCTGGAGCACCATAAACTTCAACAGTCACTCTGACTGCTTCAGCCTGCTGGTTATCGTCTCTCCCATATGCCACTAAATGACCATTTGGTGTCTATCTTCTTGAAAATACATACATGTTCCAGGTATGAGATTGAAGAGGTAAAATATTCTCTTGCTTTACTCATACTACACTTCAGCAAATTTGTATACTTTCATGACTTATGTGATGATTATGTCTGTGTGTGTTATTTTTGTTTGGTAGAGAACGACTTGATAGGCCTGTGTAGCTGGATCAAATTCTGCCTACAACTGCAAACCTAATTTTTGTCAAATATTTATTACCAGAGCACCAAGGAAAGCCTTCTCATTAACATCTCAAAGCTGCGAGGATAAAGCAGGTTGTCTCACACAGCACTCTGTCTTCAATAATCACCAAGTCTAAATTTATTACTGCCTCTTTCAACCAAAATGAAAACCCCATCTCCTTTAAGTTGCAAGAGGAGAGATAAATTTCTATCTAAAATGGGAGTCATTCACATCTGTGGTATCACCTTTCAGGGTTCATTATAATAGGTAAAAGTAACAGAGCCCATACAGTTGCTTACTGGCATGTGGGAACATCTGAAGCAAGCAGAGAGCTGAAATATTACTTGCAAGGACACAGCTAGTTTCATATTCAACAAATCAGTTGAAAGGTACTGTTCGCTTGCATCGGTTGAATCTAACCAGGGAAAAACAGTTACATTACTCTCTCTTACTTTCTCCAGTAGACTCTTCCATTTCCTTTTGGATACTAGCTACTGACTTCTTTTTTATCTGAAAAGAAAAGAAGCCCATCACATTAAACAGGCTGGGAAGAAATTTTCTCTGATATGAAAGGAGACATTCCAGAAAGTTAAAAAGCCCTGACTGCATAAAGCATTTAAAATTGGGACTTCATTATTGTCTCCACAAGGCTGCTAAGGCAGGGAAAAGACAGTTTTGATCGGTCCTTTGAATGTGTTATGTGTAATATTTCTGAGACAAATGCTTTGTTACTTTGAATAAATGCATACACGAGTACACACACACACACACATGCACACACACACACACACACACACACAGATATCCCTATAGCATCATTAGGACTTGTAGAACCTATACTACAGTAAAGGATTTGACACTATATTTTTAGGTACACCTGAGATGGGAGTTTAGCATCCACACATCATAGCAATATTATCATTACCTATTTTGGGACTCTAAGCAATGAGTCTTCATCAATAGTGAGACTCAATTTGTACCAAATATTTCCATATATTAGGTCTCAGGAGAGGGTTGTATTAAACTAAGGCTGTGTAAATTCTAAGCACTTTGCTTATGCAGCTTTCTTCCATCTTAATTAATTCTATTTCCCTTTAGATGGCAAGTCTTTGAATACGTGTCTTATAATAAATATTTGTACTTTTGTGGAAGTGAGAAACAAAGCGTGTACAACATGTTTTACTTATAGAAATAACTATGTTTTACTGATTACTGAATTCCCACTAAAGTGATAGCATACATTTGATGAATTGAACCCATAGATGGCAGGATGGGACCACTCAGTTCATAGTCTTTAAAAAACAGACTTGGAAGAAACATTTTTTTAGTTGCTCATGTTCAGGAAGCAAAAAACGCACTGAAAAATAACAATAAAATAACAAATATCTTTGAATCCCCAATTTTTTATTTAATAAGAATTTTGCTATGAATAGTTGGCATACTGTCATCCATTATAAATTTTGTTAAAGCACTTCATTCCTGAGGGCTAATATACAGTGATCTGCACAATATTCTCTCTGCCTTTCCTTCTCTTCCCTTCCAATTTTGTACTTTTTACAACATAGAAATCTTTCAGGAATTTTTGGACAGAGAATCTAGAGGATGAGGGATCTTCATTGTATACTAGCTTTCCTGTAGTTTTTCCACCATAAAGTTTGCTTTCTCTTTATTTTAGAAAACATACATTTTTACCTTAAGTAATTTAAAGTAATTCTATTGATGAAATTACTAAAACCTCTACTTAAAATTATAGGTCCTCTTACAATTACTGCCTAAAGCCTACAGGCCATGGAAGATAAAGGGGTTTAAGTTGTCTTCATGTTAAATCAAAACTTTTGCTTATTTCCCTCGCACCCAAAGAAGATTTGAGAAAGAGGCAAACAAGCTGAAAATGATGGAGACTTGCAGAAAAACAGAAAACATTGCAAGTTCACTATAGTATAGTTCATCAAATGTTAGGGTGTTGTATCTTTGCGGATCAGGGAGCTGCTCATATACACACAGCCATTGGGCCTATTAATCAGAAAGCAATCCTAATCAGACCAGCAGCTAGACATAAAGGCATAACATCAGCCTTGTCTTCTTCTTTTCATAGCCTAACCTCTGAAAAGCGCAATTTATTATCCATGTCTCTATTTCCTCATCTATTTATTTAACCTTAATCCACAGAAATCTGGCTTCTACTCTCAGTTTTACACAGAAACTGCTCTGGCAAAGGTCACCAGTAACTAACTGCCCAAATGTCAGAGACAGTGGTTGATTTTCAGATGTTCCCTGAGTAGACGTAGCACAGGACAGTGCTGACTCTTCATTCTTCCTAAAATGGGCTGCTCTCACAGCTTTCACAGCACTCCACAGTGCTGACCCTCCTCAGGCATCTCCATCCACACTGAATTTGCTTGCTTCTGCAGGATGCTTCTCTTCCTAGGCTCACTCGATGCTAATTTTACTTGGATTTCTGTTCTTGGTAATCTTATCACTCTACATGGCTTCTATGAGAAGTCTCATTTACTCTCATGGCTGAAACTATCACCTCCATTCTGATAACTTTAAATCTATGTCTCCATTCTGGACTTTATACCCAGCTACCTATTAGACATTGCCTCAAACTAAAAATATCTAGAAATGACCTAATTTTTTCTTTTAATTTCTACCTCCTTTTAAAATCTAAAAACCTTAATTCTTTTCTTATGTACTTATTCTGGCTAATTTCATGCAAACTAAACATTAGCAGTTATCTAGATCCTTGCAACTCCCTTCCTTTTCTTGCCAGATTTGGTCATTAATGGCTATCTCCTAATTAGCTCTCAACTCTCTCACCTCTGCTACTCTTTTTGGTGCTATTACTATTATTGCTATTTTGCCTTTAGAATTAAAAGTTTAATACTGGGTTTAGCAGTCCACAATGCCTAAGAGTGTCTTTTGGAAACCAAATCTGTTTGTATCATTCCCTTGTTAAAATCCTTCCGTAACTCTCCAAAACCAGGATACAGCCAAAACTCATTTCAACTCTCTCATCTTCATCGTGTCAACTTGTCTACCCTCATCTCTCAATACTCTCCTTCTACCTTTTATTCTAGCCATTTTAAAGTACTATTGTGTCTTCAAATGTATTGAATTGTTTCATACTGCCATGTCTTTACATGAGCGGTTCAACACTAGAGTGCTTGCCTCTCTCTTTCTTCCATCACCATTCCCACACCCAGGCTCATCCTAATCACCTTTACCTCAAGGGGCATCTCCTTTATATTTTTCCCTGAGTCCTTGAGACTGACTGAGTTGATCATTCTCTTTTTTGTGTCACTATACTTTGTGCACATGATTGTTGTTGAATGAGCTCCTGCAAAGTTCTGCCCCAGAAAGTGAGATAGTCATTGCTAAGATGATGTTTTGAGTTGTACCTTAGATATAATTCAGATAGTGGTATTGGCTACTCTAGATAAAAGTTCTTTCATGACCCTTGAGACTATAGTAAGAGCACCTTCTCTGCCCCATTATGGTACCACTGACCTTATTGCATTATCGTTGCTTGCTTGACTGTTTCTCACTTCTCACTCATCTGAGAACTCCTTCAGGATGGGGTTCCAGTCCTACTCACCCTTTTCTTTCCAACATCTAGTGCCGTGCTTTGCCGGGTGTAGGCATTGTAGATAAAAGCTTAGAATCTGAAGCCAGATTGTCAGGGTTTAAGGTTTTGCTTTGTCACTAACCATTTGGCTTCAGCCACATTTATATTCTCTAAGTTTCCTTTTCTAGAAGAGGAGAATTACAGAATCTAGCTCTTTGGATTTTGTGAGAATTAAATGAACAAGTTTATATAAAAAATAAGAATAGGGTCTGTTTCAGAGTAAGCTAACAATGTGCTATTTGTAATTACAGTCATATTGCCTTGTATCTGTAGAGGTTACAAGTACAAATTCTACAGCTAAAACTCATTCACTCATTTATTTATTCATTAATCCATCCATTCATTTACTCAATGTTTAATTCATTTATTCACTAAAGATTTACTCCTTGCTTATTAAATAGCAGGTGCTGTGCTTGGTGATATGGGAAATAAAATAACTAATCAGACATAGATCCTGTCTTTTTAAAGAACTTATAATTTGATGGAGAGATGGAATATATATAAAAATAACTATAAGACAAAATAAAAATGCTTAGTGCAGTAAGAGCTTCAGATGAGGTCATACCAGGGGTTCTGAATATATGAACATTTTTTCAAACTCCCAGGGCTATGTTCATAATTACAGACAAGATTTTCACATTTGCCTTTATTAACAAATTAATCAAATTGTATGTACTTAATAGCACCTCAGCATACAGCAAGTCAATGGCAGAGAGAGATGATGAGAGTCTCTTCTGAAGGCACTACGTTTAGAAGCCTTTTCAGCACTATATTATTTCCAGACATTTGTGTTAAGATTGCCAGAGTAAAACAAATGTTTACACAAGTGGCATTTGTTCCTAATTTTTCACATTCATTAATGTTTCAGTTTTGAAAATCAGAATGTAATTTAGAAATTTAAATAGCAAAACGTAATATGTTATTAAGCCTTAAATTTTTCTTTACTTTGCCGTGTTAATTCATTTATTCTTTCAAGTGCTTGAATATTTAAACCATTTAAAATATTAATAATATACCAAAGAAGTATCAATATTTACATTAAGTTGGAATTCACACTGCTTTATAATATTTTCAATGGTTTATATTATTCATAATTTCACTAAATAAATCATCCTCATGGAAGGAACTTAAGCAAGCATATTATACTATAACTATTGCATGGCAAGCAATGTTTTTCTTTCAAATCGAGTGCTAAAGGATATTAGGCTGGGATAATAAAAGATGTAATATAAACTGATATGTTTTATTTCACATCAGCATTCTTAAATTATGGTAATGTAAAGCTCATAAATCATGGAAACTTATTACAGTATATTTTTAAGTTGTAGGAACATCATATATCCCATCCCCATTTCTGCAAAACAGAAATGATATTTATGATGAACTATACAATATTTGCATTTTTCAGAGATAGCTTACTATAACAAGATCGTAAGACAAATATACATTTGTCAAGTTACCATAAAATATTAACTCTAAGAGATAAGGATAATTCAGATAACTTTGTGGCACTGAAAAGACAGTATACTCTCTCTAGTCTTCTTTGAACATTTTGAGAAACATTTGATTTCAAAATTAAGAATATTTTGTGGCTGCAACAATTTGTTGGTTACTCAGCTTCTAAACAGCAGTAAAATTAATTATAGGAGGAAACATTCATGGAGGTTTCTAGCCTTTTACCCGATCCTTGTGTTTGTGCTTCTTTATTAATTTTTAGTCCTTAGGAAGTAAGATACATTAGAAATGTAGTATTTATTTGAATAAAATCTTAAGTTTTATTTTAAAATACAATTTTGAGTAAAAATATTATCTATATGGATAAAATATTTTGTCCATGATCATTTACTTACTGTTTCATTTTATGTATGGCTTGTGAAATTCTGGCTACCCCAAGATGAATGTTTTATGAAAACCAACCAAGAGTAAATTCAAGCCATGTTAATCTATACTTCAAGAATATGCAATACATTTAAAAAACAACAAAATCTCACCAAATCTACTGACTTCAGCCAAAAGACACTTTTTCAGTTAGCCCTATTATTTATGTATTTTTTCCTTTCTCAGCTCTAACATATTTTTTTAAACACATGTCGACTTCTACAGGGATTATAAAATCCTTGGACAACTATATGATTTGGGAGCAAAGTTTCCATGTGTAAGGATTGCGTGATGTATAAGGAATGTGTCACATCAGGTTGAGTTTTAAAATGAACGTACTCCATTCTTAGGTTTTATCTCTACAGATGGATAGGGGCCCAGAGGCCCCTGGAAGCATTTTGGTACCATTGCATTACTTACGGTTAAGAGGCAGGCTCGCATTGGTTGTGCCTAGCTTGTTGGCAGCCACACAGGTATAATTGCCGAAGTGCTCCTGTGTCACGTTGGTAACAGTGAGAATGGATCTTGTGCTAAAATTTTGAATAATAATTCCTTGTTGGCCATTGAAGAGCCTAGAAGACAAAATAAGCTCTAGGTAAATATGTATTGTGAATACCAGTTTCATTTTTTTATCTTAGCTGGGGTTGTCATGGCAACCCATAGACAATTCAACTACGCTGACGTTAGCATATAACGTGATAATGGTGCAATTTACATTTCACTTACATTAGTAGATTTGGGGGAGGTGAGGTTGCATGTCAGCTGTAGATTGTTCCTGTGGGATTATTTGTGCTATATAACAAACTGAGCTTGGATAGCTACATGTCCTATTTAGGCACTGTTACATATTTTAGAAAATGAAACATACCATACCAATAATATCTCATCTATTAAAGTCAGGAAGGAGTTTAAGGGAAATAAATATAAAGATTCCACGGAAAGTACAAACTGATGGTTTCTAGGTAAGCTGGCGAGAGTATGTCTGGGTCATTTCAGACATTATTAAATAACTCCCTTGAAAGTTAACCCTACAACTGTGATAGGATAGTTCTGAGTCCAGAGTCAACACCACTTTACTCTTGTACAACCCAGACAGATAACTTCCATTAAACCTAAAAAGAGACAGTCATATAGTATTGGAGATAGCATTTAAAGTTGAGTCCCATCACTGTCACATTTTAGGAATGTGCCATGGAAAGACTTTAAAACTCTCTGGACTTCAGCATGGGATTCAGCTATACCCAAATTCAAACTAATTGTCCAACAGTCTCTGGATTTACCACCAGAGGCCCTCACTCTGAAATAGGCTGACATGGCTTCACCATTCTCAATGCATGTTGTACCTACTTCTGCTTCACCCTTTTTCTAAATCTGTAGCCTATCTCTTGTACCTTCTATTTCTGCTAGTCAGATTCTTCCTTCCTCATTTAGGTCTAACCTAAGACTTATCTCTCTTTTTCTAATTTATCTTAAAGGACTCTTATATCTCTCTCTGTATGTTTCTTTTGTACTATTCTCTCTAGCAGTTTCCATATATACAAGTCTTTTCAAAGCAAATACATTGAATTGTTTTAAATTCCTCAAAAGGAAAGGCTAAATGCACATGCTTTCTCTGATATTTGAATCCTACAAAGCACTTAATAGTGATATCCTATATACATAATAAATAGTACAAAGGTCAATGGTATTCAGGTGATGTTCCCCCAACATAGGCATTAGTAAGCCCGCTTCAGTCACCTCTTCAAGAAATTATCTCTTTAAATATAAATTTTCCTACAATGAGTATGTCAACTTGATAATAACTTCTACACAATTTACCCCAAGTTTATTGCAAAGGAGATGCACTGATCACAACATAGGCTATGTAAACTGATAGTCCAAATGGCATAGTAGTTTTTCTCTCTTTAATGTGTTCAAGTTTTTGTATTTTTTTAAATTATGAAAATGCTAATAAATGGCATCCCCTGAGAGTTCAATTTGAACTCCTTTGCATTATACTGTGTGGCTTGCACCTGAATTTAGATGAAATATACTGTAGTTAAATGCAGATTAAAATGAGCAGTCATACTTGATTACTCTGGGAATTACTTATATTTCATGTAATAGCTGAATTTGGCTTACCCCAAATGCAAACTTTAATCAGATTAATAAAAGTGTGAGTTAAATAAACATTGAACAAACTTTAGCTTGAGCAATAAATTTAATGATCTCCAACTCTGACATAAGATAATGGGGCATAAAATATCATGGATATGGCAGCTTTTATTCTTCTCTCTCATATTTTTAGCCTAGCAACATTTATGCTAAATTCCCCTAGTCATTATTATATATTTTCTGCATCACATTAACAACTTCGTTTTTAACTAATCCGTATATATGCTGTGTAAAAAACCAGTTTCATTGCCTTGCAAGTTTCAGCACTATAACTTGAATTTGCCCGCATCTTTGTGATAGACACATTCTCCAGAGGACTCAGAAACTCCCTAGACTACTAAATCCCTGTTGTGCTCCATCGACCAACAGTAGGACTATTTACCTGCCGAAGAGTTGAGAGAGAAATTAACCAGGGCCTTCAACTGGCTAGACCCAGGGGAAATACTTGAGGAAGTAAATTCAGACACTCCATGGCACTATATGCTTATGTTCCTTATGGCTGTCTTTCTGTCTTTCTGGGTGAATTAGCTTCCAGTTCCCTGCCCTTAAATGTATCTGAAGGCACAGCCACAGATGTTGCTGAATCATGTAGCGCATCCATACTCTGTATGTGTGGGCCCATTTTGGGCCTCTGGCCAGCAGTACCGTGTGCATCCTTACCAGAGTGGAGCATTAGTGCTCCAACCCCTGCTACTCGGATCAGCCAGGCAGGTTATTATGGCCAATAAAAAAGAAAACTAAGTTCCCCGAGGTAATTTTCTTCCCTCTGGGGAAAGCTACTTTTCTGAAATTACTAGAGAAATCTAAAGCTTACTTTCTTCTGCAGTTGTGTGTTTTAGAAGTGCTAACTCCTCAAACATCACGTAAGAACCTATCTTCATCTGGTAGATGGCTGGAAGAAGGACTTTGCAAAGCTGACTTTGTGGGAGAGTGACTTCTGATATGGTGTATATGTCTAGAGAATGTACTTTTGTGATTTTCCTGGAGAGTTCTGGGGTATGAAGACGGGCTTTCTCAATTATTCAAATCAATTCTGAAAATATTCATTAAATTGCTACAAAGATGAGCTCTATGCTGGCTGAGTGACTAGGGACAAGACTGGGCAACCCATGATCTCTGCTCTTGAGAAGGTCAGAGCCAAGGAGAAGAATCCAGCACATAAACAGGTGTTTACAACAGAAGGGTATTTTGGTCACTGTGGGGAACTTGTTAATATAAACATATCTACCCTTAATTACTGGATATATAAATTTGAGCCACAGCTAGAAGCTCCAGCATATATGACCCTAATGTGATTCACTCCTTGACTAAAACCAAATAATGATAAAAGAGCTCTCTAATTGATGACATGTTTTTCTTTACAAAATTGATTTATTCTAATATGATTGTCTATAACTTTATTTCTGTAAAAAGAATCATTCTTATATTGACTTAGATTATACAATGAAATATGCTTTCTTATAGCCCCTGCCAAACCCTGCCCCTCCCTGCCACAAAAAAAAAAAAAAAAAAAAGAGAAACAAATTCTGTAGAGCTCGGAGTTAAATATGACATCCATTTCTTCAGCATAGATCAGTACTATATGGTGCCTACTTGGAAATACCTGGTCATTTTTCTTCATTGCGTTTTTATCATAGGGAATATAGTTATAAGATCCTTCTATTTCTGTGGACCCTGCTGTCCTCTACTCTCTGACACCAATAGAAGTTTGCTCCACATCGAGAACCATAACTCTCGCTCCTCTTCTCCCTTCTGGCTTTTGCCAATGCCTCATAAATCTGTGAACCACAGGCTATTTGCTTTGCTAGCCAAGGCTGTCAGCTCATAAGTAACACAGCCCAACCCACTAACTAGTTCTGAATTAGAATAGTCCCCTATATTTTCTAGTGTCAGTCAGAAGTAGCACATGGAAAGCCTGCTGATAACTACAGATACTTATATTTCTGACTCACAAAATGGACAGAAACTTTACAGTCATAACCTCCCTCCAGGCAGCAGCTATCTGGGATGACCAGAAAAGCCTGCAGCAACATCACCCCAAAAAACTGGCCACATAGCCATCAGCACTGATTGTTAAGATTACAAAAATATTAATAAATGGAGCAGCTACACTGGACCTCATTCATTTTATATATAAATCCAGTCTCAATCCACATTTTAAGACTATTGTTCACTATCTGTCTTTCCAGGTCAGGAATAACAACAGATATCTCTAGAGAAACCAACTTGCAGATGAAAACAGCCTCAGAAAGACTTCATTCCTAATGTAGGACATATATATTAAGAAGTATCAGACAACATTTTAAATATTAGAATAACTTGGAATAAGAGTGAGGGAGGCATTCTCAAATAATGATAAATCTTTTATCAGACTGGAATTATGAGAGAACATGATAATGATATATCATTTTATATGAGTGGGTAGATTAATATGGTCTTATTAATCAATCTTTGGTATTAGATGGTGGGGGAAGTTAACCCTTGAATCATAAAAGTTTTATTTACAAAGACAAGGAATGTTAATGTCAGCAATAGACTGTAGGCTTGTAGAATTCCAAGATGTTGTGTGAACTAAAGATACAGCTCAAATTAAAACAAAAGAGAAAGATTTAGAAGAAGTCATGAGTGATGGTAGAACTCTTACATGGACTTAACAAAAATGAGGTTTTATTTGGTTATCAAATTACGATTAAATGCCTTCTATGCTGAAAGAGAGTTAGGAACCATAGAGGAAAATTATGACATAGTTATTACCTCAAGGACCATAGTTCTACCTGAAACTCTGAAGATGACATGAAGATAGCATACAGGTCCCTTCCACAACACATCCTATAATGCCTTTCTCAAGGATGGAGTTTTATTTATATATATATATATATATGTCTCTCTCTCTCTCTCTCTCTCTCTCTCTCTCTCTCTCTCTGTGTGTGTGTGTGTGTGTGTGTGTGTGTGTAGGCTGTGAATCAGACTGTATTTCTAGTCTTTTCAATGTGACCAGGAATGCTTTATGTATGTGGGACATTTTATCTGTTCTCAATACATTTATGACTGAAGTAATCTCATACTAAAAATTTTCAGCATTGTGGCTGGGCATGGTGGCTCACCCAGCACTTTGGGAGGCTGAGGCGGGTGGATCATTTGAGGTCAGGAGTTCGATACCAGCCTGGCCAACAGGGTGAAACCTCGTTTCTACTAAAAATACAAAAATTAGCCAGGCGTGGTAATCCCAGTGGGCGCCTGTAGTCCCTGCTACTCGGAGGGCTGAGGCAGGAGAATTGCTTGAATCCAGGAGGCGGAGGTTGCAGTGAGCCGAAATCCTGCCACTGCACTCCAGCCTGGACAACAGAGTGAGACTCCATCCCAAAATTAAAAAAAAAATTCAGCATTGTACACAATAATGTTTCGTGTTACGAGTGTGAAAAATCGACACACAGAAAACTTTAAGCATGTTGAAATGTACGTATCAACAAATCTTCACAGCAATCCTAGGAGGTAGTTGTTATTAGTCCCATTTTATAGGTGAGAAAACAGACATTTAAGAAGATTAGGTTAATTTATCTTGCACCATCTGACAAGTGGCAGAATCAAGATTTAAATATAGGTCCTCTGACTACTGGTACCCTCCGAAAGTAGCAACTGACATTCAAATCGCTAAGTAGAAACCAGGATATTGTATCTAAGTTTGGAGAGACAAATCAGAAATCATGGATACTTCAAGAAAATCGAGTCAAGCCAAGGAATAAAACCAAGGGAGCTAAATAGCCAAGTGGTATGTGTCACCTATGCCAGGAAAGCCAGGTTTGATCCAGAGGTGAGTCTAATGGGTAAAAAATTAACTAAAAAAATGATACTATCTGGATATATCTCTGGACCAGAAGCCTCTTGACTATGTATTTGGGGCTTAGTTATGTCTTTCAGTGCAGGCTTTTAGAGCAGCTGTGTCTAGCTTCACATAGTCAGCCTTCCAGGCTTCTTGTAGCCTGAGATGAGAAACATAGAGTAGGTTCTCTCCTCCTTCCCTGCTCACACTCTCTCCAACTTACACACACTCTCAGCATCAATTACTGTTTGTTTTTCTTCCTCTAGGTTCACTAAATATTTGGATGGAAGAAAGTCCCTCCTCATAGTGTATATGTAGAATATAGTCAAGAATGGAAGAAAAATGCAACCTATCCAAATGACAAGAATGCAGTATTTTAGAGTAATCCTAAAATTCTCTGTAAAGTTCCAGTTATCGTGATGGTATGGGGTTACTGTATTCTGCTTGGCTTGGCCAAATTATCATCATAACGTCAAATACTTCTTTTTCTAACATCATTTCAGCTTTAAGTTTTCATATATTTGTGTGATTTTTTATTAATATCCATCTTCCTCATTAGAGTATAACTCTGTTAGGGCAAGGTTCAAGGTTGATTTTGTTATTCACTGTATTCTAAGCATGTACTATAGTGTTGGATTCTGAATAGGTATAGAGTAATTGTTGCATGCTTGTCTGAATGAATTATGTTTTTATATTTTTGTAATTCTTAGTTTTTTCATCTGTGAAATGGGAGAAA
Source organism: Homo sapiens (assembly GCF_000001405.40). Taxonomy (NCBI): domain Eukaryota; kingdom Metazoa; phylum Chordata; class Mammalia; order Primates; family Hominidae; genus Homo; species Homo sapiens. The sequence continues at coordinate 71,599,107 of NC_000001.11, forward strand.
TGAAGCCAATCACAAAGTGTTAATGTTAAAATGTTTTTAAAAATATTTAATGTGTAATATTTATGTACATATATGCCAAATGCAGTAGGCACTAGATTATGATAGGTGTTATTGTTCAATGATAGAGTCTTTTTCCTAGAACAGATACATTTCCTCTCAGTTGGCAGAAAAATATTAAATATTGAGCATTCAGGAAATTATTTTTAAAGAAAAGATCTAGGAGAGTGACTGAAAAGATCATGGCATCCTGATTTCAAGATGTGCCAAACTCAGTATCAATTACATGTGCATCATCAATCTCATCTAAGCTTTTCACAGATTTAACAAAAAAGAAAAGTGAAAGGGAGGAGGAGGAGCAAGAACTGCTAGATACCAGAGAGAAACGAAAATTTATGTGAATATGCTGCTATGGCAACCTACTGGTTTATTGTGCTGCTTGATACTTAAGGCTTGAAAACAATATGATATCATTTATTCCTAGGAACAGGTTGAAGAATATCATGCATCACTGTCTTAGCCCCAAGGGGTATCTATCTTTAGTTGTGCATTTGAATAAATTAATGTTATTATAATATATTAGAACACTTTAATGAATCTAGACTTTATTAAGCTATTTAAAATGCATGTCTTATTTACTTTATCAATTTTAATGAAATTAATAATTTTAGATTAGAGATATTTGGGCTGCTTTCCTTGTGACAATTTGATTCGCATGGGAGGATATTCCCTTTTAACCCTACGTTAAATAAACAATGGCTACAGTACAGATGTCAAGCCTCCCTGACTGCTGTGAGTTCCTGTATCCCTGGCAACCTGGCCTATGACTGGATTTCTCCCCACCACTTGAACTATTTTTCTAATATCAATATGCCCATGATTTTAATGTAAAATATTACCCCATAATATAACAGCACAACCATTTCTCAGAAACTATATTCACAAAGAAAAAATCCTGAGAAGCCAGAATTGAGCAACAGAAATCAGCTTCCTTTCTCTGATCATATATTGGGTTTACAATGTCCTGCAATCTAAGGTGACAGGATTCATTTGTACTAATAGTCTCTCACCAACTTGAAAGTGTGTTAAAATAAGAATGGCTCTACTTTATATTTAGTAAAAGGCTATAACGCAGTCTTCCAACAGAGTGTATCATTCATGCCAAATACCATGATAAGCGTTGGGGACATGATAGTGAACAAGGCAGAATCCTCATTTCCAGGTAGATTTAGAGCTTAGCAGGAGAGATGAAAAAGTAAAATAGGTTGTGTTTAGTTTAATCAGTGCTTGTTAGATGTGAGCCCATGAGGGTACATTTGAAGAGCTCCCTCCCAGGTAGAAAAAATCTCGTTGTGGTAGCTTTCCTGGAGAAGGTGACATCCCCAAGGAGACTGAAGGACTAGGTAGTGGAAGGCTGCCAGCCAAAGGCAGCCAGGAATGGGTATGTGAGTGGAAGGGGCTTACAAACAAAGGAGCCAACATGTGAAGAGGCCTGAAAGAGAGAGCTCATATCAAAGTCTGGGAATGGAAATATTTCAGGATAGCCACAGCTCCTGTTGTGTGAGGGTAGAATGGCAAGATTCATAGCCAGAGTGGAATACAGGGGCCAGAATGTGAAGAAACCTACATACCACCCTCTGTTGTGAGGACTTTATTCCAGGGACAGTGAAGAAACACCGACAGGCTTCATACATAAAGTGTAAGATCAACTATTTATTTTAGAACGATCATTACGCATTTTAAAAACACAACCTAATTCCAGCTGTTTATGGGTAGACTCTGTGTGTGCAGTACTAACCCCTTGATTCTAGTATGTTCCAAACCGAACTGAGCGTGGTCCCTCCCTAAACTTTCTTCCTGTGTTCCAGCCTCAGCCAGTGGCTTCACTCTTTATCTTGTTGTCTAGATGGAAAACATAGAATTACGTTCAAATTTTCCTTTCCTTATATCCAATTAGTCACGGAAATAAGCAAATACTACCTTTCTTCTCTCTTGCTTTTTAACTGCATATCTAATACTCTAAGCCATATTTTAACTTTCCCATCCATTTCTTCCAACTACTCTAAGAAATATTTTGTGAAGACATACAAGCTGCCAACAAGCATACACAAAATGCTCAGCTTCACTAATCATCAGAGAAATGCAAATTAAAACCACAATGAAATACCACCTCACACCAGTCAAAATGGCTATTATTAAAAAGTCAAAAAAACAACAGATGTTGGTGTGGATGTGGAGAAAAGGGTATGCTTGTACATGACTGGTAGAAATGCAAATTAGTTCAGCTTCCATTTAAAACACTATGGAGATGTCTCAAATAAATAAAAGCAGAGCTACTATTTGGCCCAGCAATTCCACTAAACAAAGGAAAACAAATAATTATATTAAAAAGCCACTTGCACTTGTATGTTTATCATAGCAGTATTCACAATAGCGAAGTCATGGAATCAACCTGAGCATCCGTCAATGGTTGATTGGATAAAGAAAATGTGGCACATATATTCAGTGAAATACTATGCAGCCATATAAAAGAATAAAGTCATGTCCTTTGCAGCAACATGGATGGAGTTATAGGCCATTATCCTAAGTGAAATAACTCAGAAACAGAAAATCGAATACTGCATTCTCACTTATAAGTGGGAGTTAAAAAATGGGTACACATGGACATAAAAATGGAAAATAGACACTGAGGATTCCAAAAGTGGGAGGGCTGGGAGAGGAGTGAGGGATGAAAAATTACTTATTGAGTACAATGTTCACTATTTGGGTGTCGGGTGCCCTAGAAACCCAAACCTCACCATTATGCAATATACCCATATAACAGCCTTGCACATGTACCTGCTGAATCTAAAATAAATAAATAAATTAATTAAATTAAACTACTGCTACACACAAAAAAGGGACTAGATTGTTTTAGTACTCTTGAAAATCCCCTCAATAGCTTTCCAATACTTCTGGAATCCAGTCCAAATGCCTTGTAACATTTAAGACCCTCCAAGTCTTTCCCTAAGGTGCCTTTCTAGCCCTAACTCCTGTTATACCTGATTTCATATCCTGCACACCAAGACATTTAAAAACCTTCCGCATAATGCTTACATGACATTGATCACGTTCTTCTCTTGCCCATGATTATTCTTTTTTTTTTTTTTTTTTTTTTTTTTTGAGACGGAGTCTCGCTCTGTCGCCCAGGCTGGAGTGCAGTGGCGGGATCTCGGCTCACTGCAAGCTCCGCCTCCCGGGTTCACGCCATCCATTCTCCTGCCTCAGCCTCCCAAGTAGCTGGGACTACAGGCGCCCGCCACTACGCCCGGCTAATTTTTTGTATTTTTAGTAGAGACGGGGTTTCACCGTTTTAGCCGGGATGGTCTCGATCTCCTGACCTCGTGATCCGCCCGCCTCGGCCTCCCAAAGTGCTGGGATTACAGGCGTGAGCCACCGCGCCCGGCCGCCCATGATTATTCTTAACCCCGTGGAATGTTTGGAAGTGCTACTCATCCTTTGGCATCCAGCAAAAAAGCTACATTTGCCCTGAAGTATTCTGTAACCCTTTTATTTGAGTTGAATGGGCTCTTACTGTGCACTTTCACAGGTCTTGGCTTAGGGTTCCCTGAAAATTTTCTTACTTAGTACTTATTTCATTTTGCTGATTTTTATGACAAATCCTACACTCTAAGTCACAGGATATAAACTGGAGGTGGCCCACTTTCATCTTTGTTTGACCCAATGTTTTCAATGTAATAATATGTATTTGTGTCTCACACGGGCATGTGCTCTTCAGTTCCCAGTAGCTGAAATGCTTTCAGTTATTTCATATATTTATTTGCATCTCTGGCCTTGAATGTTAAAGTCGTCACAAACGTGGTAAGAGTTGTACTGACACCACATTGGTTATTAAAAGAAATATAATCAAATGAAATAAATAAAATAATAAACAACATAACACGACATAGCAAAATATAATAATGAGATAACACTAGAAATGCAAGTTTCTTCAATTCAAGAACTTTTCTTTCCTTTTCAAGTTATCTCACAGATTAATGAAGAAGTGAAACTTTTCAAATTATCTTACAGGTGAATGAAGAAGTGAAATCTGAAGTTAGAAGAGAAGATCACTGTTAATCTGAAATGGTAATAAGGTTATTTCTAGTACTCTTCTAAATCAAAACATATAACTGCCTACGTTGCATATAACTGCCTACATTGGTAAGAACCACCTTGTGAATGATAAGATAAAAGCAAAAGAGAAACAGAATGTACTTCTAGTCCTTTCTGAATAATCAAACTTGTAATGTAAAATCTAGAAGAGAGATATCCTGACATAGGAGTCTGGAAATTAGGTCTGCTTTCCTTCAAGTCATTTCACCTTCAAAAGATACAGTTTTTATTATCATATGTAATCCGGTTAGAATTATACAAGGAATGAGTAAGATAGTATGTAGTAAGTTGTAAAATATGTGTTATAAGATAGCAAAGTCAGCATATAAGGTAAAGTTGCATGTTGTTAAAATTAATCTTGAAAATTCCTTAAACTCCTTGTTTCAAACTACCATACTTTACAATAGTTTCCAAAATGGAAAGCAAGTATCTTAAAGTAGAAATAAATGACTAGTTGGAGTGTGAGAAAAAAATAACAGAAGGTCCATTTGTATTGTATTCTTATCTCATTTTTAAAATTTTCTGTCTCAGCTCATTTAATGCATGAATACACTAGTTCAGAAATGCATAACCATAAGTAAAAATCAGTATGGAAATATTGTTAGTTTTTGCTAATTTTTTTATTTTACTCATGGGAACATATGTTTTAAAAAATGTTGCTGATCCCTGCTTTACCTCACTGTTGATGAGTGAGCACTAAAGTAGTTGGCTTTGTTTCAGAGCCATGTTACATTAAACTAACATTTTCAACATTAAAACCTCATTAAAAATAGAGAGATGCTCATACTATCAGAGATACATGGGAATGAAGACCCACTGAAAGAGAGCCAGTTTCATATCTCCCATGGTATGTATTTTTGAAGCAGTAGAGTAGTAAGTCATGCCGTTTAATTATATGTGCTATCTAGCATTTTCTCTCTTCCTCTCTCTGTCATGTAGCACCCCAGGCTTAAGAATTGACTCTATGTAAGTGAACGAATGTGAACATTTTGCAAAGCCACCACACATAATAAAGCCTTGAAAATCATAATCTGCTATGCAAATGTAATGTATTCATAATTTTGACATAAATAAATTGCATGAAAACAGTAAAGAAAGGGGAATCAAAATTTTCCTACATACAAAAAAATTTTAACTCATTTTGCTGGTTTCCTCAAAAATATAAGAAGGGGAGAAGACCCACCCTCCCACAGTCCTGCAGCAAAGTAAATACTCACATAAAATTTATAGCTTGCTTAGACAATCAGGTAGTAAATATTTAGAATAGAAAAGAGGAGAGGAATGGTCATTACTCTTTATTATGATTTCTCAAGTTCATGTTACCATTGTAAAATCAGGAATGAAAAATAATTGTTATCTAAAGTGAAACTTAACATTAACCTTACTGAAAAAGGTCACCATGCCTCTATGTAAAGTGAACATGGCATATTCTACAAGGTTGACTTCAGGTATTTTCCTATGCATTCATTCGTATCTGCACACATTTTGTACTTGTCTATGCATGCATATTTTATGCACCTAGATAACTAACCCTTCTCACCAGGGCAAAATGATAATGACCATCACATTTTTTTCTATAGCAGTGTTATAAGGAATGACTTAAAAGAGAATAGGCCAAGTTTGAAATATGTTGCTTAAAAGTCAAGATATTATAGGCCCCACACTGCCAAATGCAAAAATTTCCATTTTGTAGGTACACAGCTTTTAAACTAGTATATCGATAATTTTAATGTCTTTTTCATTCATTGGAGTAATTTATGTTTACCTCATTTGCAACGTTTTCATCCCTATATTAAATTATATTAGAGGAATAGGAAAGAAATGCGGTTGCAGCTAAAAAATTCCAAAAAAGCACTTCTACAATTAGCCCTTTGCCTAAAAACAGGAAAAGTAAGTAAAATACTATTTTTAAAATCTATTCATTTATTTAATACTTTATTTTTAATTGACCAATAATAATTTTATATATGTATAGGGTATAATGTAGTGTTTTTATATATGTATACATTGTGAAATGACTAAGTCAAGCTAACATATCAGTTGCCTAAAAGCCTGGAGCAGTTAAAATGGTCATGAGAAATCAGAAAGCATGTATTTCTAGACCTCAGGCTTGGATTTGAGGTAATCTAGAAAAAGAGGAGGGAATTCAACGGTGCAGGCAAAATAACAAAAATCTCATCTAAGACAAGACGGTAATACCATCTTCACAAAGTAATACCAATCCATGTTTTTGTAATACCTATTGAAATGCCAGTATATTACAATTCATGTTTTTAGCCTTAATCCTAAATGAATGTACTATTCTCAAACATAGATTAATTGAATTTCATATCACCAAAAACGTTTGCTTAATGATACTTTGGATGTTCTGAAATTGTCTTTTCACTGCATATGCATATAAAGAGTATATTTCTACTTAACAACCTTCTACAGTATTGAGGAAAAAAGTTTAAATATTTGGCTCTCTTTATAACTCTAATTTTCCCAAGGCTTAAATAAATACATAGTAAAATTAAGCCCATTGATACTCTTCATTCCAGGTGTGCTGAAAGAAACTATCATGTTAAAAAATGACTACCTTATCCTAAGAGGTAATATTTTAATAACTAGTATATAGCATTAGCCACTCTCATGGTGGAATAAACTAAAAGCCACATGACTAATATTTCCAATATAAAAAATACTTAGATAATGCATGAGAGAGACAGTGTGGGAGCCATCTTTGAAGATGGCATCAGATGACTCTCACCTCTTGATATTCATGTCCCTGTGCTGTCCCCTCTCACAATGACAATTTCAGGGCATCCAAAGTCCTATTAAGCAAATGTTTTTGATGACATGAAATCACATTGAATAAGGTTTCCCCATATAGCTAATAATATATTATGGATATGACAGAGCATGACTTCTGAAACTAGGTTATAAAGGACATGTCAGCTTCTATCTAGCTCTCTCCTGGATCACTAATACTGGATTAAGCTCGTCGCCTATGGTGACATCCACGTGGCAATTAACTGAGTCCATCTGCCAATAACTAGCACTACTTGTTGGGCATGTGGGTCAGTCATCTTGGAAGCAGATTCTCCAGCCCCAGTCAAGCCTTCAGATGAGCAGCACCAGGTGACATCTTGACTGCAATCTTATGAGAGACCCGGAGTGATAACCATCCAGCCAAACTGCTCCTGGATTCCTGACCCACAGAGGCTGCTTGAGATAGTTAGTGCTTACTGGTTTTAGTTGCTAAGTTTTGGGTTAATTTGTTACTTAGCAATAGATAACTAATAATGGCATCAGAAACAAGGGAAAGAACATGGGCCGAGAGGTTATCACATCTAAAATGTCTTGATGGTGACATAAAGCTGAGTGCTCTTCAGGTGAAGTCCCTTGTGTCTCAGTTTTGTCAACAGTAAATTGATGATAATAAAATCTTATTTCACAGAGGTCTGAACAGTAAATGAGATAAAAGAATTCAAAGAAACTGGAAAGTGTTTTTTTTTTTTTTCCTCAGTAAGTGTATATTTCTTTCTTTTCTTTAAATTGTGCTTAATTTTACCATCCTTCTTTTAAGGGGTTTTAAGCTGATTGCTCTTAGCACACAGAAATGGACTTTACAGGATGTTGAAGAACTGCAGGCAGAGATAGGGCTATGGGTGTTCAGGCACTGCCTGTTTTTTGTTTGTGTTTATTTGTTTATGTTTATCTGTATGAAGAGCTGGCTTTGAAGATCTTGATTTAAGATAAATGAATATTTATAAACATTCTCTTACATAGAAGTAAAGCGATCGTATAAGTTATTTCTGATTATTTATGTGAGCCTCAAATCAAAAAAGGTCTCTAGGAAAGAAAACTCTAGATCTTGCAGAAATAAACTCTGTTCCTCTCTGACAGGGTCTCTGACAGCTTCATGTTCCCAGTTAAAGACCTCAGAGGTCAAGAAGACAACTCTGAAACATGCTGTATCTGTTTCTGCTGTGTTCCTCTTGACTCCATTTTTCTGTGTCCTTGACTAAATAAATTGGGAAATTATAAGTGAGTGTTTGTACATGCAGTTTCTTATTTTGCAAATCCATAAACAACTTGAAATGCTTTTGCCCTTGGTATTTCACATTGACATTTCAAATTAGTTTTGATAGACTCTTAAGGGCCTTGACCTACACTAGGTGCCATAGTATAGGGGTTAAACCCATGGACTCTGCATGAAGATTTATAAGACTTCCTGGGTTTAAATCCCAGCTCTGCCACTAACTGTATGAACTTGTGCAAATTACTTAAAAGCATTCTATGCTTTGGTTTCCTTAGGTAAAAGTTGAGAATAATAATATTTACCTTACAGGTTTGTTATAAGAGTAAAATGGGTAAATATTATCAACTTAGAACACTACCTGTCCAATAGCAGGTGCTTGCTAAATAGACAGCTTTTTATTTATTTTTATTTTTTCATTTTTTATTTTGTTGAGAGAGAGTATCGCTCTGTCTCCAGGCTGGAGTGCAGTGGAGCAATCTCGGCTCACTGTAATCTCCGCCTCCTGGGTTCAAGCGATTCTCCTGCGTCAGCCTCCTGAGTAGCTGGGACTACAGGTGCCTGCCACCATGCCCGGCTAATTTTTGTTAGTAGAGATGGGGTTTCACCATGTTGGCCAGGGTGGTCTCTATCTCTTGACCTTGTGATCCACCCGTCTTTGCCTTCCAAAGTTCTGGGATTACAGGCGTGAGCCACTGTGCCTGGCTAGCTTTTGATTTTGATGAAGTAAATAATTGAATGGCCTGGGCGTTTATGGTGAATCTGCATAGTGAGCGCAACCATTCAGCAACCAGAATCCTTCTTTTTCCTACTCCCTGCATATGCTCAACTTTGCTTTACTTAAGTTTTGAAACGAAATTATTCATTACCATGATATTTGAGAATTTGAGTATTGCCTCAAATATAACCCTAAAGATGATAAATGTATGCTTCACTCTGAACTGAAAATATGTTTGCCTTTCACAAGTGCATTTGATTTTCACAGCTGCATTTTTCTATGCGTGTGAGTGTGTTGGGGAGGACATTGATTGGGGAAAATCAATCTACCTTTTCCTTTTTAGCAAATGGTTCTGAACTCCTTTGAAAATCTAATAAAAGCTGTAGTCCATCTCTACAGTAGGAAAAAAAAAATCACTGAAGCTATGATTGTGGGCACCAATTGGCCCTTTTCTATATTTACTATAGGCCAAGAAAGTGGACCGAGGATTACTGTAGCTTTTTTTTTTTTTTTGACAATGGTTGCTGAATTTAGAAAAGATAAAAAGAGAGAGCAGAAAAAAAAAATCCAGGACATTGCTTCACAAAATATTGGAAACAAAATGGCCTTTAACAAAGGAGCTCTGATTGTTAGCTTTTAAGAAATTAATGACACAAATTAAAAAGTGACTTTGAAAGGTATGTAAAATAGTCTGTCAGTGTTACTTATACAGTGTTTTGTAGAGAACCAGGGATTTGGGGAACTCCTGCAATGATGTCCTAATTTAGAGAAGGGTTGTGAACAGGTAGAATTGAGGCTCCATTTACCCAGCATCTTCTCGAGAAGTGCTGTGTTCATAAATATTACTTCTTGGGCTTCCAAATAAGATTGTACATGAACAAAGAGTTCCATAACTTATAAAGGATTCAGAACCACTTTTCTGGATATTTGTCCATATAGATAATTACAAACTGAAACTTCTCAACCTAGGTTATCAAAATCTGAGAAAGGCTATATTGGCAGATGTACAATATTGTAGGGTGAAATGAGAGTGACCACAGACCAGTTTATCTAATTCTCAATATATAAAAATATGGAGTCTTCTACTAAGCTATAAAAAGGCAAATTCAGAATTAGTAAAAACATATAAATTAGTAAAAAGAATTTAAAAATTTAACAACCCAAATTATAGAAGTTGCATATAAAATAGCTAAAAAAAATTTTAGGTAAAACCAGTCAGAAGAAATGAGACTGTATGGCCGGGCGCGGTGGCTCACGCCTGTAATCCCAGCACTTTGGGAGGCCGAGGCGGGTGGATCACAAGGTCAGGAGATCAAGACCATCCTAGCTAACATGGTGAAACCCTGTCTCTACTAAAAATACAAAAAATAAGCCGGGCGTGGTGGCGGGCACCTGTAGTCCCAGCTACTTGGGAGGCTGAGGCAGGAGAATGGCGTGAACCCGGGAGGCGGAGCTTGCAGTGAGCCGACATCACGCCACTGCACTCCAGCCTGGGCGACAAACCAAGACTCCGTCTCAAAAAAAAAAAAAAAAAAAAAAAAAAAAAAAAAAAAAAAAAAGAAATGAGACTGTTATGGGGATATTATCCCTTATTATTAAGGTTGATGTTAAAAAGGGATATTGTCTTCCACAAATCTTTTGATTCCAGTTCCAGAAAAAAATACCTGCTTGCATCACATACGTTCTTATCCTTTGTGGTAATATCTAAGTCTTTATATAATTTCACCAGTTTTCTGTTCAGCTATTTAGCTGCAATTGGTTATGAGCCATGACATAAGTAAATGATATTATTTGGAGGTGTCCCCACCCAAAATCTCATCCTGAATTTAATTTGAATTGTAATCCCCATATGTTGGGGGAAAGACCCATGGGAGGTGATTAGATCATGGGGGCAGTTCCCCCACCCTGTTCTCGTGATAGTGAGTGAGTTCTCACAAGATCTGATGGTTTTATAAGGGGGTTTTCCCCGATTTGCTTGGGACTTCTCTCTCCTGCCGCCTAGTGAAGAAGGAAGTGTTTGCTTCCCCTTCCACTGTGATTGTAAGTTTCCTGTGACCTCCCCAGCCATGTGGAACTGTGAGTCAATTAAACCTCTCTCCTTTATAAGTTACCCAGTCTTGGGCAGTTTTTTATAGCAGCATGAGAATGGACTAATACAGTATGTAAACCCCCTACATATATGTTGTACAGTATGGAATTGCCAACATTTGGCTTTTTTGACTTCGAAAGTGGGAATTTCATACGGTTTAACCTAGCATTTGCTTGAATATATTCCTCCCTAGTTTTGACGCAGACTCTATACAGTTCACCCACAGGGGTCCTGTGATTTTTTGATCGATTGATAACAGAATTTGAAGATGTCTGAATGAGCCTACTGGTTGAAAGTAAAGAGAAAGTTGTCAAGTCCTGTCTTATCTTATTCAGTAGCTCTTGCCAAGGTTTTTGGGTCTTCTCAAGGGAGTAATCACACAGAGTTGAAATAAGAGCAGCCCTAAAATCCCACTGGTTAGTCCTTTAGGCATGTATTTTATCTCCTCTACAGCCTCTTTAGTGACAGAATATCTAAAACATAGTGTTCTGTAAAACAAAATGTTAAACTATCTTGTGGGAGAATAAGGCAGGTGAAAGGGTTGAGGCTTATCAAGGAAGCCAGGCAAAGACAGCAGTTCCTATTGCTTTTGAAGTGCTCTTGTGGAAGCTGTACTCACGTCCTTTAAGAGCTGGTTTACTTCCCAAATAAACTGAGTTGCCAGCAACTCAGTTTCAGGAGGGAGGGGAAGAAATGAAATGCATCAGTGATGGAGGATTTGCAGGCATTTCTGAGATCATACAAACCAAAGTGGACATTTCTTCTGGATGCTATTAGCTACTCATCCCTCCCACGTGGGCCCCTTCAGTTTGCTTGCTGGAGAGGAGGCTGCTGAGAATCATTCAAGCCAGTTAAAGAAATTGCCTAAAGTAAGTATCTGAAACACAAGCACGTTAGCTCAAAGTGCTTAGAACACAGTAATAATCACAAAGTCCTCACTTCTTCTCTCCTTTGTACCATTCAAAGGCTGGAGGCGGCACACCTGCACCTTCACATCTTATCAGGCCACTGCGTCCGGGGGTCACGGTGCCAGATTTAATTTCCTGAATAGTAGGAGCAACTGCAAAAGAAACAAACAAACAAATACTAGTAGATAAGTAAAAATAATCCTCAACAGAAATATGACACACATATATTTTTATTCCTTCTATATTCAAAGCAATCTTATGCCTGATAGACCAACGCATCACATTTTCAGTGTTTTATGCTTCAAATACAAGACTAGTCATTTTCAGCTTCATTTTTCAAGGTGAACAATAGATGAATGTTTTCAGGGAGTGCAGAGTAAATGCAATACATTTTGGCCTTGCTTCCTACTGGAAAAATGGCATTGGTGAGGGTAACACTCCATCTGTACTCCAGTCCAACTCTACTGCAGTAATAGTTCTCATCTATTGAGTGATCACAGGGAGCCAGTCACTGGGCTAGGTGCTTTACATTCTCGATTTCCTCACAAAAATACTCTAAGCTTGATGGTATTATCTCAATTTTACAAATGTGAAAAGTCAAGTTCAGAGATGTTAAATGAATTGTCAAGGTCACACAGCTACTTAGTTGCAGAATTTGCCTTTGAAGTCAGGCATGTTAACTCAAAGCCTGGGCTCTTGAAATATTCTGTGTTTTTTCCTGCCTCCTCCCTATGCTTTAGTAATTTAGTGATTTTTTCTTTAATGTAGTTTCTTCTGCCCGAATGCCGTTGTTCCCCATTTCCACAGATTCAAGATCCATATTAGGCATCAGTGTCCCCATGCTCTTCCCTATTGCTCTAGCTGGAAAAAGTTTCCCCGCCTCTGAGTATCTGGATCTCTCATACCATCAACTTTCTATCATGTATTGATAGAAATGTATTGCATTGGCCGAGTGCGGTGGCTCACGCCTGTAATCCCAGCAATCTGGGAGGCCGAGGCGGGTGGCCCACGAGGTCAGGAGATCAAGACCATCCTGGCTAACACAGTGAAACCCCATCTCTACTAAAAATACAAAAAATTAGCCGGGCATGGTGGTGGGCACCTGTAGTCCCAGCTACTCGGGAGGCTGAGGCAGGAGAATGGCGTGAACCCAGGGGGCAAAGCTTGCAGTGAGCCGAGATTGTGCCACTGCACTCCAGCCTGGGCGACACAGCAAGACTCCGTCTCAAAACAAAACAAAACAAAAAAGAAATGTATTGCACTGTATCATGTACTGTATTTATGGGTATGCCAGATTTCCTTTTCAGTTCCTTGAAGGCAGGGTTAAATATCTGATTCATTCTTTGTATATTCCAAGATCATTACACAGTGCCTAGCACAGTGTGATGCTTAAAAAGCTTTTTTTGTAGCATAACTTTTTTTTTTATCCTTCACATAGTTATTCAGCTGTCAACATGTGCCAGGCATTTCTCAAGGAACAAAGCAGTAAATTGCCCTGACGTGATGAAGCTTATATTCTAGATGGGGTAACAAATGGGGAGACAGACTATAAACAGCAAATATCACAAATAAGTAGTTTAAATAAAATGTTAGAAGGTGATAAACAATACAGTAAAACAAAAACAAAACCCTTATAGTTGCAAGGTAAGAGGAATCAGAGAATGGAATGGAATACTATTTTCGATAGGGTAATCTGAGTAGGCCTCATTGAGATGGCAAAACTTGCACAAAGACTAGATGTAAATGAGTGAGTTAGCTATGTGGATATTTAGAGACAGAACCTTGAAGGAAGAGGGAACAGCTTGCAGTAAGACACTGAGGCTGAAGCTAGCCAAGTTTGTTTAATAAATAGCAAGATTGGTGTGGCCGACACAAAGAGAAAGAAGGAGAGTAGGAGGAGATAGGACCAATTTTCAGTGGATTCCAAGTTTACACCAAAGAGAAACAAAGGATGGAAGACTGGGTAGGACCTCTCAGGTCATTTCAAGGAATTGACTTTTATTCTAAGACAAATGGTGAGTCCCTGCAGAGTACAGATAAAATCTGATTGTTTTTTTGAAAAGATGACTCTGGCTGCTGTGTTGAGAAAAGACCATAGTGAGGCTAGGATAAAAGTCTAGGGATAAAGTAGGGAATGCAGTAAGCAAGGCAAATGAAGGTGGGTGGCTCACTCCAGGGTGGTAGCAGTGCAAGTGGTGGAAAGTTATCGGGCTTGTGGTCTACTCTGAAATTGGAGCTGATAAGATTTCTAGACAGACTGAAGTGACATAGAGAAAAAAAGAGGAGTCAAGGGTGATTTAATTTGGCTTGAGTAGCTGGAAGGTTATTGACTGAGATGAAAAGGACAGTAAATAGAAGAATTTTGGAGGGGGCTGTGTGCAGTGGCTCACACCTATAATCCCAGCACTTTGGGAGGCCGAGGCGGGTGGATCACCTGAGGTCAGGAGTTCGAGACCAGCCTGGCCAACGTGGTGAAACCCCGTCTCTACTAAAATTACAAAAATTAGCCAGGCATAGTGGTGGGCACCTGTAATCCCAGCTGAAGCGGGAGGCTTGGGAGGCTGAAGCAGGAGAATCGCTTGAACCCGGGAGGCAGAGGTTGCAGTGAATTGAGACTGCCATTGCACTTCAGCCTGGGCAACCAAAGCGAAACTCCATCTCGAAAAAAAAAAAAAAGAATTTTGGAGGGAAACATTAGGAGTTGTATGCATGCGTCTTTTCATAAATATTTCCTATTCTGCCAAGTTTTTAACATACTATAATTCATATTTCAAATAACACTATAGAAAATTATTAATCAACAACTAGAATCTTGAAGATACAAAAACTAGTTCATTCAGAAATATGGCCTAAGTGTGCACTATGGATGTATTTTGATTTCTTTGGAAAGCAATTAAAAAGTACAGCACTTAATGGTTTATCAATATTCAGTGAATACTGAATATATAGTTTTCAACATATGAAAACTATAAAAACTCTTACAATGGAACATTGCCTTTCAACTAAAAAAATACCCTAGGAAATACATCATTTTCTGTTAAGGGAAATACTTCTTTTTGAAATTATTGCACTTCTATTTCTCTGTGGTGTTTTTATTCTTATTATTTATAGTTCTAGAAAACATTGCAAGGAAAATATTTTTGCTAAAGTACTTGCTAATAAATTGGTGAAAAAAATGAAATAATATTTCCAAAAAATGTTTGCATGAGAACTGTTACAAGATAATATAGATACACACATATACACAAACACACACCCAGTTTTATATATATATAAATCATATATGTATAACTTTTATAATGTACATATACATATATACCCTTATATATACACATTTATCTATATATGGGTGTATACATATACGTATATTCACAAACACAAGAAATCATTTCATAATTTTAAAATTGTTTTGTTAAGCAAAATTTCATGTCACCTGCAAAAGCCAATTAAATATATTAAAAAATCTATAAATAAAACTTCATGTACTTGTCAATTATTATGACACTGCTCATGACAGGTACAGGTAAGATTGTATTTTCACTATTGTTCTCATAGGCTTTAATCTCTCTTTCCTGTCACACAAACAGACTGTAATCTTTTATGATATCTAACTATTATTGAAGATGAAATAACCATATGCAACAGGAGATCCATCACAAGCTTCTACTGATAACCTGGTTAGTTTAATTACTCTCTTGTTTGTCAAGGGGGCCATGACTCATTATAAACAAAAGCATGAAATCCGGAACATTGCCTGAAAACCGGAACATTGCCTGAAAACCCAGGCGTAATGAACCGAAATCAAAATCTAGTTCATCATTAAAAGGCTTTTGTGCAGTACAGTGTACATACGGCTCAGTACTGGGTGCTTTACCACACAAGTTAAAGGGACATGATCCTGTTATCTAGGGCTTCGTGGGCTGCTATGATGGACACCGAAAATGGAAAGATATCTAAAATGTCACATGGAAATATGGATAAAGAATGAATAAATATGCATAAGAAAAAGTCCTAAGAGCATTTTGCAAGGTATAGAGTTAAAGGTCCAAGTGTTGTGAAGTAATCAATGTGGAGAGAAGATTCTCATGAGGCTATCCCTTTGTGGCTAAAATTATAAACTTGAACCAAAAACCTCTATTGATTTTACTTGGAGACATAAAAGTTCTTATTACATACTCATATTACTGTGCATCTTTTGGAAATAACTTGTTCAAAAAGAAAAGGATTCATCCATTTATTTATTCTTTATTCCTCTGTTGATTCAACACATATTTTATCAGGGATCACATTAATGAAAAAAAAAATATTCCTGGCCTCATAGAGCTGATATGAAGTGATACAAACTAAGACGAAAACAGAGCAGGGTGAAAGAAAAAGGAAGAGCAAGATATGTTATTTACTATGTTGCAGTCTCAGAGATCCTGGATGATAAGGTAATATTTGAACAAAGAATTAAATGATGTGAGAAAAGGAATCATTTGGCAATTCGTAGAAAATTATAATAAGAAAAAGGAAAGGCAAAGGTCCTGAGTGGAGAGCATACTTGAGGTGGAAACATGTTTAACAGGATTAGGTTTAACACACTGTTTTAGAAATAGCAAAATGGTCATCATTGCTTGAGTAGAATAGGTGAGAATAATCTAGAAGAGAAGGTGGGGCAGGGGGCTGGAGCCCAGATTCTATAGGGTCTAGTAGCCCATGGTAAAAGCTTTGAATTTTATTCTAAGCTGATAAGGTTTTGCAGATTTTGAGCAGAGGAGTGACATGATTTAGTTAAAATCCTACAGAGATTATTTGTCTGTTGTGTGGAACATGGTCTGCAAAGAGGCAGGAGAGGAAACCGGCAGAATAACTACGAGGCTGTTGTAGTAATCCTTAGGATAATGAGAAAGTCATTGGCCAATGCATAGAAAAGGCAGAAGCTGAGGATAGAATGTAATTAAATAGATCATTGCTCACATTGGACCTGAATCAACTCATTTTAGTTAGCAGGCATTGACTGAGAATTTTCAGTGGATTCCAAGTTTACACCATTCTGAACCCTATTACTCTGTATAAATAAAAGGATTTTGTGGGTACAGACATGTCTGATAATGCCCAGAGGATTACTTTCTACATTACTTCTTAGAAATTGTGATGTACATGTATGTCTTATGAATCTTTTATTGCAGGGGTCTGTTAGGAACCGGGCCTGTTAGGAACCCGGGCCACACAGCTGGAGGTGAGTGGCAGGTGAGCAAATGGAGCTTCATCTGTATTTACAAATGCTCCCCATCGCTGGCATTACTGTCTGAGCTCCACCTCCCATCAGATCAACAGCAGCATTAGATTTTCGTAGGAGTGTGAACGCTATTGTGAACTGCACATGCAAGGGATCTAAGGTGCACACTCCTTATGACAATCTAATGCCTGATGATCTGAGGTGGAGCTGAGGCAGTGTTGCTAGCACTGGGGAGTGGCTGCAAATACAGACTAATGTTAACAGAGAATTATACACATAGGCCATAATAAATCAATTGCTTGCAGACTCATATCAAAACCCTATCAGTGAGTGGCAAGCAACAATTAAGCTGCATCTGGTGGCAGGCTTTATAGTGGCAAATAAGTTGAGGTACTTCAATTGCACAACTGCATCTGGTGGCAGGCTTTAAGTCAGAATCTGACACTTTAGTCTGCATGTGGCCCACACATTATTTTATTTACCACTTCTGTCTGTACCTTTTTCCTACACTGCGCACTTGTCTCAGTCACAGTTTTGGTAAGCCCACAAGCTAACCCTAGCCAAAATGAGTAAAAACCAAACATCACTGGAGAGCTTCTTTGAAAAGGGGAAAAGACCCAACAACTCTAAGACTGCCAACAAAAGAAAGCTGCATTTAAAAGAAAATAACAAGAGTGCTACTTAAATTACAAGTTCTTTGTAACAGGTGATTCACATTCTCCAAGCCCACTTTGTATAATGTGTGGTGACTGGCTATCCAACAAGGCCATGAAAACTTCAAAACTGCTGTACCACATGGAGACCAAGCACCTTGCATTAAAAGACAAGACTTTGGAGTTTTTCAAAAGGAAAAAAACATAAACACAAAGAACAGAAGCAATTATTGAAGGCCACCACTTCATCAAATGTGTCTGCACCAAAAGCATGATTCTCGTGACTAACCACATTGCTAAAGCTAAGAAGCCCTTCCCTATTGGTGAAGAGCTGATCCTGCCTACCACTAAGGATATTTGTCATGAACTTTTAGGAGAGGCTGCTGTTCAAAAGGTGGCACGTGTTCCTCCTTTGGCTAGCACCATAACTAGATGAAATAGCAGAGGATATTAAGGCACGATTGTTAGAGAGGATTAACGAATCACTGTGGTACACAATCTAGGTTGATGAATCTACTGATGTTGACAAGGCAACAATGCTTGTTTATGTGGGATATATTTTTCAGGAGGATGTTCGTGAGGATATGTTATGTGCACTTTCGTTGCCAACCAACACCACAGCTGCAGGACTATTCAAGCCTCTGAATTCGGGAAAACTGAATTGGTTATTTTGTGTTGGTATATGCATGGACGGAGTTGCTGCCATGACTTGACAGCTTTCTGGTTTCACTATTCGGGTCAAATAGGTCACTTCTGAATGTAAGTCTACACACCGTGTCATCCATAGATAAATGCTGGCTAGCTGGAAAATGTTACCTGAACTAAAATCATTTTCCAGAATGTGATTAAAATTACCAACCAGGTTAAAATACATGCCCTTAACTCACATCTGTTGCCACAGCTCTGTGAGGAGATGGACACAGAGCACACATGTTTTCTCTTATACACAGAAGTGAGATGGCTTTCTAAAGGTGGATAACTGAGCAGAGTATCTGAGTTATGAAAGCCACTGCAGAGATTACTTTTAGAAACACAGTCACCAATGGCAGCACATTTCAGTGACATAGAATGGGTCGCAAAACTTGCTTACTTATGTGACATATTCAACCTGCTCAATGGACTCAGCCTTTCACTCCAGGGGAGAATGACAACTGTGTTCAGATCGGCAGATAAAGTGGCTGCATTCAAAGCCAAACTGGAATTATGGGGGCGAAAAGTGAACACTGGGATTTTTGACATGTTTCAAACATTAGCAGAGATTTTAAAAGAGGCTGAGCCAGGACCTTATTTCTCCCAGCTGGTGCATGATCGTCTTGCTCAGCTTTCGAAAGACTTTGAGCATTACTTCCTAATCACAAAAGACACCCGAACTAGGAAGGAATGGATCTGCGACCCATTTGTGAATAAGCCAGGTGTATTGACTTTGTCCCTGCCAGAAAAGACTCACTTACTTGAGATTACAAATGACTGTGGCCTTAAAAGTATGTTTGGGACAACCTCAAATCTCCATAAGTTCTGGATTAAGGTCAAGACAGAATATCCTGGGTTGCCACAAAGGACTGAAAAACCTGCTTCCATTTCCAACATCCTGTCTTTGTGAAGCAGGGTTTTCTGCAGTCACAGCCACCAAAATGAGATCATGGAGTAGACTGGAAAAGCAACACACTTCGGGTGCCACTGTCTCCCATCACCCCCAGATGAGACTGTCTAGTTGCAAGAAAACACACTCAGGCTGTCAGTGATTCTACATTATGGCGAGTTGTATAAGTATTTCATTATATGTTACAATATAATAATAATAGAAATAAAGTGCACAATAAATATAATGCACTTGAATCATCCTGAAAAAATCTTCTACCCCACCCCACAGTCCATAGAAAAATTGTCTTCCAAAAAACCGGTCCCTGGTGCCAAAAAGGTTAGAGACTGCTGTCTTTTTGGACAGACCCTTTTCCAAACTTATGTGGTCACAGCGTTCTATAAGGTTTTATTTGAGCATTTTGTGGGTCTGATATTTCTTGGGATATATTCTGCATGTGTCAAATTACTGGAATAGTGGATCTCTAAGCTGTATTCTACATCATAGGTTATGTTGTCCGTGACTTTTAAGGTGAACTGTCATTACTGGCTCAAGAGGTTTCTAAGGGCTCATGAGCTATAATGTACTCACAGATTTCATGTAAGGAGAAGGCTTCAATTATTTGTGCCATAAGGATATGGTCATTTATTTCCCTGGAACAGATGTACCTGACAAAAATTATGACTAGTTAAATCTCCAACTGGAGCTGTACAGTAAAAAATTATAAATATATTTGGCCAAGTTGTACAAAACACTCATTTTCCACTACAATATTCCATGTTTTAAGTAATCACAGTGGGCTCTTTCTTAGAAAGATGATCAAATGAAAAAATCTGAGTGATTGCTTCCAGAGCCTATTTCTCTTACTACTACACTCCCTCCATTGCTCTGTGAATTTTGGCCTGGCACCTGAAGTGTAAGCTGTTTTTGCTGGGAGTAGGGAAATAAATTTATGCATCTTCATGTGTTTATGTTTCCAGAACTGTTTTTCTTTTTGTATATATAGCCTTGTGTTCTTCTTAGATGTAACCTTTCAATAACATTAAAGTGGCAAGGAAAGTGAATGCTAGAGTCTCTCAAATTCACCAGTAGAATAGCATCCTTTGGAGTGGACTGTGAGCTGAAGCAATTGCACAGTGGAAATAAAATCAATTTCAGAGGAATGTTATTAGACAGATGTGAGTAAGAGCAAGGAACAGATGTTGGAGAAAGCCAGCAGTGAAAGAAAGGGTCAGCATGAGGTATTTAATACCTGTGTGATTAGAGGCTCACAAAGGAGGAGTCTTCCTTTCTAATTTGCTCAGTGGGATTATTTCTTTGCATTCTTTAGCTAGTCATTTCAGGATGAAGATAATGAAAGTGTCTTCATCCAAATCTCCAGGCTCTGCAGGTGCAAGAAACAGAAACTCTGCACTTGGCACCCAACAAGCCTAATCAAGATTCATTTTCTTAGTTACTTGACAATAGCTACCAAAGATCTTCTTTCTCTCATGCCATCCTCAATGGGAGCTTTAGTCATGTAGAGAGTATTATTATTATTAAAAACGAGTAAATCCAATAATTATTTTAATATCCTTACTAAGTTGAGGTAGTTGAAATGAAACTTTAGAGTTCCAATGGCAAAAGAATTTGAACACCACCCTATCCCCTTAAAGTGATGGATGATTATGAACACGCCATGTTAAATAACTGCAACAATAAAAAAGGGTGCCCAGAGAAGAAGAGTAGTAATGTGTTTCATGTTAAATACTGCAACAGTATAAATAACATTGCCCGTAGAGCATTAGTGAATTTAGAGTCTATAAAGAGGAAAAATCGGTCCTACAGAATCCACATGGTTTGAAAACGCTGTGGAAAATAAGCATGTTGACCTTAGTCTGTATTTAGGATTTACATACTACATTAAGGCAGCCTTAGTCAAATGGACAGTCTTTGGAAAAATTTTAAGATTTCAAGTACCTCACAGAGAATACAAAATATAAGATGTGTTCAATATATTATTGTTTCATAGGAGGAGAGTTATAGGTAGTTAAAAATTTCTTACTTGAAGACAGGTTGAAACTCAGGGTGGGAAACAATGACAATCTTTCAAAGGTTTTTATAGATCTCATAGAAACATATCATAAGGTCAACCAACTCTTTTTATGAAGCAAATATGTCTTCGCCTAATGAATTAATTTCACCTTAAAGGAAGCTAAGATTTAAAAAAATCAAACTTCCAAAATATAGTTGAATCACAATCTTTATGACTTAGAGACTTTCACATTGAATTAAGCCTCTGGTCAGCATTCACAGGGGATGAAAATAATCTAGTTTGTAATGTACCTCCAGCTTCCCCCAGACCTTAAACATTTACACAGTGGTGAAATAATGCAGTAAAAAAGCACTGCTTTGCAGTGCAACAAACGTAGCTCTAACATTTACTGTCTGAAGTACTTAACCCTTCTAAATCCCAGTTTTCTCACCTGTAAAATAGACAGTACTTACTTCATAGGATTGGTGTATGGAGAAAATAAAATAATTTAAGGAAAATGCTTCATACTGCTTTGCACTGAGTTAGTTGTCAATAAAAACATTAGCTATTATTAAATTAGGATTATTACTAGAGAATAGAGTATCATAGTCCTGCTTCCTTTTAAGGGCATGGAATCATGATAAGACATGGGCAAAAAAGAAAAATGAATTTTTAAAAATTCATTGCCTTGGCACTGCAAGCATGTGATTAATTTAATTAAAACCTGGATGAGTATATCACATTTTACTCTCCCAGAATTCCATCCATAGCCTACTTTTTTTAGCGTAATCAAGAAAATCTTTCTGAAAGGCAGATGTGGTAAACCTTATATTCCTCTTTGAACAAGAAATAAGAGGCTTGGGTTCAATGTGAAAAAATGTGAAAAGTGTATGTAACACAAAGGTATCCTTTCCAGGAAAATATGCAACTGTGGTGGTACATTACTTGGGTATATAAAAGATCATGTCAGTTACATTAAACATATTGATGAGGTCATTTTCTTTTTCACAAGAAAGACAATAAGTGAAATTTTACATGTTAACTTGACCTTAATGTTTTTTTAATATTTAATATTCAATGTGACAGAGTACTAAGCTGTGATCTTTGATTCCCTTATGTTTGAAAAGGTACAGAAAAAAAACAAAATTATTTGGTAAAAAAATTTTCGGAGCGCAGAGATATATGACTACATATGAATTCTGATTTTAGGAGGATGAATGAAATCTCCAGCACTAACTCCCTAAACCCTCAATAACAATCTGTTCATTGTTTGAAACTATTAACCTAAGAGATTATTTTCCTAAGATCAAGTTCAATGTTATTATATTCAACTTTTTCAAGGGGTTGAATTTACTAAGCTATCATTAGTCATTATATTGTGGTATAAATGATCTGATACTGTGTTGATGATGAGTATGCACATGTTAGAGGCCATAGATGATGGATGAATGGATGAGTTACCTGTGACTCATGAAGTGAATAAAAGTGCAGTAAGAAGAGAAAGGCTTACATCATGAGTAGTTTGCTGATGTTAAAGCAGAATTTATTCATATTGTTCTTTTGACAACGGTTAGCACTGGTGAAATTATAGCTTGAAATAGCTGTCCCCTTGTAGTCAGCAATGCTCACTCCAGTGATGCATCCACTGTAAAATATGTGTGAAATTTATTGGGCCACCAGCTGTATCAACAGGAATTAAATGGTTCACTGTTTTCCTAGCTGTTTGCCGAACTTTCTTTCTTTCAACTTGTTCATGATCTGATCTCTTCTCTGTTGTCAGTCATGCTGAAATTATAGCTGTATGTGATTGATTTGGATATATTGGACAAGTTTGCAAGTATTGTAAAAGTTGGGATTCTCTGAAAGTATCTCTATTATCAGCAAGTACAATCTTGTAAATAAAATTGCCCTTCAGTACAAATCTTACAAATCCTAAAATATTTGAATGCATTTTTTCTAATATTGAAGGCGTTATAAACTTTCTTAAATAAAAATTATTTTTAGTGAATCTTCAAAAAATGAAGATTAGAAACGTGCAGACTCTTTAGATCCCTGTAAAACATAAGAATTTTTTTGTAATTTATTAATGAAAATATGTTTCTACTTGTATTAATCATTCAAGGTATGTTGTTAGAGCTTCCATGATGTTTATTGCTATGTTTTAAGCCATGGTATGCCATCAAAGACTCACATTGATCTCTCAAAATGTGAATGAGCCAGGCTCATATATACATTCGAGATAGGTGAAGTCAATCAATTGAAAAAGTAATGGCAGTAAATATACATGGGGTAATAGATGAGGATAGCATTGGTTGGATCTTCCCTTAGGCCAGTTCCTCACTGGATCATGTTTCCTTCTGCTCTCAGAGCCAGTTTCCTCCAAAGATCTAATAGTAAATCCAAAGGCAGAAGGGAGCCTTGGGGTGTTATGACTTCTTCCCTCTCAGAATAATAACTGGATCTGATTTCTTAGCTTACTGAATGGTTTATTATTTCTTCTTGTTACTATGGCCTTCAAAAATCTTAAAAAAGAACATTTAAAAAGTTGATTAAAATTCAGTTATTATCATTGTTTAATTCTATAAAATGAATAATTCATTTTGCTAATATATTCTAAAGAATTACTTTCCAAACACACTGTCTTATAAGAAGAAAAAGAAAGCTTTCAGGATCTAGAAAGAAAAAGAAAAAAATAAGATTTATATCATAGAAATATAGTTGTAAACTACCCATTTCTCCCTGCCTCAACCCCGCCTTCAGTTACGTGACAGTGTCAGAAGTCTAGCAAGACTACAGAAAATATGTTAAGCGAATGACATTTTCCAACACTACAGATATAGATTCCCTAGTAAAAAATGAACATTAAACCACTTTCACCCCCCCGCCATTTATTTTGACATGGCAATTGCCTACTCAAACCTGCATCTTGGAGGATGTAATGTGATAATATTTCTATATGGTTCAAAGACTAAGGCAACAGAGGTAGTAACTGTGCAACCAGTGTGCTTTATCCATGAACTTGCCATGAACTTATGAACAAGGGGGGAAAAACATCCTAGTGGGAAGTGATAGTAGTTGTAGAATTGAGAGGTAATGTTTTTTCTCATTTGAAAAACATAGTTTTGGACACTTCTATTTATGGAGAAAGAAAGCTAAATCAGAACATGCACAATAAGTAGTAACTAACAGCAAAAGAATGAGAAGACAAAGTAGGAGAGACATTTTACCTATAAATAGTGTAGCTTAAAGAAATCAGAAGATGTGGGAGGAGGGGTGGTAGAAAAACTGTAATTTTCAGAAAGAGTAGTATGGGTGTATTTGGGGCCAAAGCTGTTTTAGAAGGGAAAGAAAATGTCATCCTTCTTAAAATGATTAAACAACATGGTATGAGAAGAAAACTCTGCCTAATAGCAAAAGTAATTTGACAAGTGAAGAGAACATCAAGAAAGGAAAAGTCTCACTGACAAAACAGAAATTCCATGTCAGCAAGAGCAGCACATGAATAAATTATTAAAGAATATGTTTGGGTTCCTTCCTTTTTTGCTCAGGAATACATACACATTTTGCTCAGAAATGCAGCTGATACTCTCCTTATAATCTCAATCTTATTTAATGCCCTTTCAGTCAAAGTCGCCAGATCCTGTCTATTTACTGCTCTCATCCTGCAAAGCTTATCTGTGAATTTGATGAACAGTTACTATTACCAGTTCATCAATGTCATTGAGAAACATTTCTAAGTCTTGAGAGATGCTATAATCTTGTTGATTCTGCCTTTAAAATGCATCTGAAATCTTATACTTCTCATCACTCCTATAGTTATCATATTGGTGCTAGCTAACATTACTTCTTGCTTGAAATATTTCAGTAGTCTCCTAATTGGTCTTCCTGGTTTTGGCTTTTGCTCCTGTTACAAATCATTCTCAGCACAGTGGCCATAGTGTTTCTGTTAAAAGAAGACAAATCCTACATCCTTGCTACACACAACTATGCTTCACTTCCCTCACTTTTTCAGAATAAGAGCCAAATTCATTACAATGGTTTATAAGTCTCTAAATGATCAACCCTCTTGCCACTTCTGTGACCACATCTCTGTCCATTGCCTCCCTTGTCCAATCTGCTCTAGCAATATTGGACTATTTCAAATTGGTGGAACACAAACCAAGAGCATCCCTACTTCAGAGTCTTTTTACTTGATACTTCCTCAGTCTGGAATAGTCATCCCTCAGATATTGACATGTCGTGCTTACATCCTCATTTCCTTCCAGTCTGTGCTCAAAGTCCACCATATTAAGGAGGTGCTCCCTGACCTCCTATATAAAATGGCAATCCTACCCCCTTACTCTCAAATTCTTTCCTTCTTAACCATCCTTACTGTTCTCCATCCAATAATCTCCATCTGACATGGTATATATTTACTTCTTTATTGTTAGTTGTCTCCCCTCTCGCATTGGAATGTACAATTCACAAGGGAACAGTCTTTGTGTTGTTCAATGATGTATTCCAAGTCCTAAGACCAGTGCCTGAAGCATACTAGGCACTCAATAAAAAATAAAATGTTATTGGTGTTTAAAGAATAAAGTAATCATCAAACTATTTGTGTTACAGAAATGTTGCACATTTTGATGTAGGCCAAAAAAGATGTCATAATTTCATTCACCTTTGCTGAGTAGAACATTTTTGTAGTATTATCATTTGAATGTTTAACATTCCCACTATCATGTGCCTCTAAAAGAAATAATGCAAAGTCTGCATTTATATTGCTTTCACATTTTTGATTTTTTTGTGTGTATGATACCTTATATTTTTCTTTATACTTACATGAATACACACAGACACACACACACACACACACAATTGACCTTTTGTATTCATGGGTTCCATATTTGTGGATTTAACCAAAGAGGGCTTAAAAATATTTGAACTAAAAAATAACAATACAATAATAAAGCTACAACTAAAAACAATACAGTGTAACAGCTATTTATATAACATTTATATAGTATTAGGTGTTATAAGTAGTTTAGAGATGAGTTAAATTATATGAGAGGATGTGCATAGGTTCTATGCAAATACTATGCCATTTTATATATAAGGGACTAGAGCATATACAGATTTTTATATCCTTGAGGAGATCTAGAACCAATACTCCATGGATACTGAGGGATGAATGAATATATGTGTTTAGTTGATATTTATGTGTTATTTTTCTATATTTTATATATATTTAAATAAATTTAACATATTTGTTAGAATACTTATGATAAGGCAGGCGTCCCCAAGCCCCAGGCCATGGACCACTGCTGGACATATCGTGTGCCTCTAACATGAATAATGCAATGTCTGCATATATTGCTTTCACATTTTTGATGTTTCACTGTGTAATAATACCTTATAATTTTTTTTTATATTTAGATGACTATACACACAGCTGCATAGCAGGAGGTGAGCTGCAGGGTAGCAAGCATTACTGCCTGAGCTCCTCCTCCTATCACATGAGCAGTGGCAACATATTCTAATAGGAGTGTGAACCCTATTGTGAACTGTACATGTGAGGAATGTAAGCTGCATGCTCCTTATGAGAATCTAATGCCTGATGATCTGAGGTGGAACAGTCCCACCATCCCCTCCAACCCCTCAGTCCATAGAAAAATTGTCTTCCACAAAACCACAAAACCACTCTGGTACCAAGAGGTTTGGGGACTGCTGTGATAAGGAACAGATTATCTGAAACTAAATGGTTAACTTTATTTATTTATTTTTTTATTACACTTTAAGTTCTAGGGTACATGTGCACAACATGCAGGTTTGTTACATATGTGTACATGTGCCACGTTGGTGTGCTGCACCCATTAACTCGTCATTTAATATTAGGTATATCTCTTAATGCTATCCCTCCCCCCTCCCCCGACCCCACAACAGGCCCCGGTGTGTGATGTTCCCCTTCCTATGTCCATGTATTCTCATTGTTCAATTCCCACCTATGAGTGAGGACATGCAGTGTTTGGTTTTTTGTCCTTGCAGTAGTTTGCTGAGAATGATGTCCCTTCATCCATGTCCCTACAAAGGACATGAACTCATCATTTTTATGGCTGCATAGTATTCCATGCTGTATAGGCATGGGCAAGGTCTTCATGTCTAAAACACCAAAAGCAATGGCAACAAAAGCCAAAATTGACAAATGGGATCTAATTAAACTAAAGAACTTCTGCACTGCAAAAGAAACTACCATCAGAGTGAACAGGCAACCAACAGAATGGGAGAAAATTTTTGCAATCTACTCATCTGACAAAGGACTAATTAATATCCAGAATCTACAATGAACTCAAACAAATTTACAAGAAAAAAACAAACAACCCCATCAAAAAGTGGGTGAAGGATATGAACAGACACTTCTCAAAAGAAGACTTTATGCAGCCAAAAGATACATGAAAAAATGCTCATCATCACTGGCCATCAGAGAAATGCAAATCAAAACCACAATGAGATACCATCTCACACCAGTTAGAATGGCGATCATTCAAAAGTCAGGAAACAACAGGTGCTGGAGAGGATGTGGAGAAATAGGAACACTTTTACACTGTTGGTGGGACTGTAAACTAGTTCAACCATTGTGGAAGTCAGTGTGGTGATTCCTCAGGGATCTAGAGCTAGAAATACCATTTGACCCAGCCATCCCATTACTGGGTATATACCCAAAGGATTATAAATCATGATGCTATAAAGACACATGCACATGTATGTGTATTGCAGAACTATTCACAATAGTAAAGACTTGGAACCAAGCCAAATGTCCAACAATGATAGACTGGATTAAGAAAATGTGGCACATATACACTAAATGGTTAACTTTAAATTTTTATCTTATATATTATGCAATATCACATGTAACACTATATAACTAGGCATTAAAATACTATATATCTGGGCATCGGAGTTCTAGAAAAAATTCAAGTAGCATTTGTCTATGACTCCCACCAATATATTTTGACTCAGAAAGAAATCACAGATCACTGTTAGACTAATGCCATTTTTTAGTCAGCTATAGACACAGTGATGCTGTGTGACAAAGAACCACTACATTTTAGTGACATGTAACAATTATTATCTATTTCTCACTCCTGTGTCTCTGACATATCTTTAATGCCCATTAGTCAAAGCAGCCACATGGTCAAGCCTGTCATCAATGGGGCTAAGAAAGACTCTTCATGTACATTTGGAAGCGAAGGAGAGTCAGTATTTTCCAAGGAATTGTCCAGACTATTACTTGGAGTAGAGTTTTCCAAAGTTATTCATTCTCAAAATCTCCTATGTACCAAAGCCAAAGAGAGCTCTATGGGTCTGCCTTGAAGAGAAAGTTTGTTTTATCTTCTGTTGAGAAAATAAACTGTCTAAAATGAATTGTGGATTCCACAGTAATTCAATGTGAATATTATGTGAATGAAGATAACCATAGAGAATAGAGCTGCCTGTGAAAACCAAAATGACAGCAAGTGCTACACAGACCAAGAGTCTGGAAAACCAGCATGTCAGGAGGGTGTTATGAGAACTCCCAAGAAAGGGTGATAACTCACCATGGGAGGACTTCCCATTTCTTCAGTGACCACACAGGGAATGTATTTGGAAATTGAAAATTACTTTCTATTTTTATATGTCATCTACTCACTCTACTTTTATTCTGAATTATTGTCTCTTCTTTTAATAATTTATTTACTCAGTGCTCGAGGTCAAGGATAGATTAAAATGGTTCCTGCCTTAGAGAAGCTCAAGATTTTAGTGGAATTATGAACTGGTCAATACTATGTCATAAACTTATGTATTTCCCTAAGACTTGGCCCAATATCAGAAACATAGGTGATAATTTAAAAATGTTTATTGAATAAATGAACACAATAAATGAATGCATTATGTCCATAAAATATTACAGTTTTATGATCTTGTTATAATTTACCCTCTAGACTTTTTAAAAATTATACTTTAAGTTCTGAGATACATGTGCAGAACATGCAGGTTTGTTACATAGGTATACACGTGCCATGGTGGTTTGCTGCACCCGTCAACCCATCATCTACATTAGGTATTTCTCCTAATGCTATCCCTCCCCTAGCACCCCACCCCCTGACAGGCCCCGTCGTGTGATATTCCCCTCCCTTTGTCTATGTGTTCTCATTGTTCAACTCCCACTTATGAGTGAGAACATGTGGTGTTAGGTTTTCTGTTCCTGTATTAGTTTGCTGAGAATGATGGTTTCCAGCTTCATCCCTGTCCCTGCAAAGGACATGAACTCATCCTTTTTTATGGCTGAGTAGTATTCTATGGTGTATATATGCCACATTTTCTTTATCCAGTCTATCACTGATGAACATTTGGGTTGGTTCCAAGTCTTTACTATTGTGAACAGTGCTGCAATAAATATATGTGTGCATGTGTCTTTATAGCAGAATGATTTATAATCATTTGGGTATACACCTAGCAATTGGATCGCTGGGTGAAATGGTATTTCTAGTTCTAGATGCTTGAGGAATCACCACACTGTCTTCCACAATGGTTGAACTAATTTACACTCCCACCAACAGTGTGAAAGTGTTCATATTTCTCTACATCCTCTCCAGCTTCTGTTGCTTCCTTTTTACTGGTTGCCATTCTAACTGGCATGAAATGGTATCTCATTGTGGTTTTGATTTGCATTTCTCTAATGACCAGTGATAATGAGCTTTTTTTCATATGTTTGTTGGCCACGTAAATGTCTTCTTTTTAAGAAGTGTCTGTTCATATCCTTTGCCAACTTTTTGATGGGGTTGTTAAAAAAAAAGAAAATCAATGGTAGCTTGATGGGGATAGCATTGAATCTATAAATTACTTTGGGCAATATGGCCATTTTCATGATATTGATTCTTCCTATCCATGAGCATGGAATGTTTTTCCATTTGTTTGTGTCTTCTCTTATTTCCTTGAGCAGTGGTTTGTTCCCCTTGAAGAGGTCCTTCACATCCCTTGTAAGTTGTATTCCTAAGTATTTTATTCTCTTTGTAGCAATTGTGAATGGGAGTTCACTCATGATTCGGCTTTCTGTTTGTCTATTATTGGTGTATAGGAATGCTTGTGATTTTTCTCACCACTCCTATTCGACATAGTATTGGGAGTTCTGGCCGGGGCAATCAGGCTAGAGAAAGAAATAAAGGTATTCAAATAGGAAGATAAGAAGTCAAACTGTCTCTATTTGCAGATGACATGATTGTATGTGTAGAAAACCCAGTCATCTCAGCCCAAAATCTCCTTAAGCAGATAAGCAAATTTGACAATGTCTCAGGATACAAAATCAATGTGCAAAGATCACCTCTAGACTTTTTAAAAACTCAATAGAGTTAAATCCAATAAGTTAGAATTTAATGTGGATGGTCTTGCAATGCTCATGTCATACATAACTGATAAGTGATAAATACATTTGTATTATATGACCAAATACTGACATCAATGCCTTTTTCTCATAATTTCCATTTCTCAGAGCATTTTTCAATGAATAAATTGTAATGAAAAGACTATGGAAATAGCACAATTTCTGTGTACATTTCACTTCTAATTTAATATAAAGCTAAAAATTTCCCTGAAAATGTTC
The DNA here is from genome assembly GCF_000001405.40 of Homo sapiens. NCBI lineage: Eukaryota > Metazoa > Chordata > Mammalia > Primates > Hominidae > Homo > Homo sapiens. Next base: position 71,630,075 of record NC_000001.11, read on the forward strand.
TACCTTCTGGACATATAGAGCTATATTTTGCTCAAATAAATGCATATCCTTGTTAAGAAAAGAAGAATTTATTGGACTAAAAATCTTTGTTATTAGCTGAATCCAAAATGTATTTAGGAGTTAAAATCATTTATTCAGTTTTAATGTAAACTGCAGGATATGATTCAGCTAGAAAGTTACTCTGTGTGTACTGGGCCTATTAGAAGCAGTTTATGTGTTTGTTTATAAACGATACAGGATGAATGATTCCTGAACAATGTTAGAAGCAAGATGTCCTGCTTCTGTTATCATTTTGGTAAAGTGTTAAATGGGGTTCAGTGTCTTAATTTGAATTCACCATTTTAAAAAATAGAAATTTGTAGAAGGAGGTATAACTATATTGTAAAATGTATAAAGATTGGACAAGATGATGCTCCCCATTGGTTCTATCATCTGAAAGCTCTCTCCAATGTGTTCTGCTGTGTGCCCCATAAAATAATGGTCCATTATGGTTTTATGTTCTTCTTCCTGAAGTAATCCAACAAGGTAGCCTAGTAATAGTATCAAATAATTTTTTATGTGGGTTTTGAGTGTGTGTTTGTGTGTCTGTGTGTCTTGTTGGCTCTGATTCTTCCAAAATAGAAATCAGCCTGCATTTGGTAACTGAAACAAATGTTTCCAGGGCATTTTAAATGCATAATTTATAAAAACCAAAAATGGTGAAATAATGCAAAGATTCTACTGGCATTCATTTAGCTATAGAAAATATGCTAAAACACTAGGTAGAACAGGTTTTGTCTTTTAACATTTTAATGAGCTTTGGGACTTTCATGCATATTAGTTATGTTGCCCTAATTACTCATTATAATTCTAATGTGCATTTTATATTTAATTACAATGCTTATAAAGATTTGGTATGGACAGTAAATTATTATAACTAGCATGTGCATAGCGATTATGAACTGAATTTATTAACTTTTACACCAGCATTCACTGTTGGTAACTTTCAATTTCACCTTGGTGATTAACCACATTGTCTGATTAAACAAATATTTGTGTGGGAATTAATTGTAAAAGTCAAAATGCAGTGTCCACTGTTTTGCTTTTTGCCAATTTTTATCAAATTTATTTTGTTTCCACAGCTAATTTCATTACTATCCAAGCTCATTTCAAAAATATTTAAGTAAATATTATTATTTCTTTCTTAATTACTTAAAATATTATAGGTGTGTTAGCACATTCAATAGAGAGCCTGATATCAGATGATTAGAAACTTTCTGCTAGGGTAAGTAAAGCTAAGTAGCTTTCTGAGATGTCAGCTAATTTACATTCTAAAGATAAAAATATGCAGCTTTTTAAAATAATTCTCACATTTTGTAAACATTAAGAATAGTTGTCATCTATCAACAAGAATTCTCTTCCCATCTGGCATAATGCATTTCCAAAAGTCTTAGATGTTATTTCTTTGGCAAGTTGTTTATATTAAAATCACAAATAGCTCCATATTCATTTTCCATCCTTGAAATTTAGTATAAGGCTTTACCAGTGGGTAATCAATACATATTTATTGGTAATTAGAATGGTAATATAATGGTCTTATAAAAATTCACATTCACTTAGTGAAAAACAAGACTAACTAGAATTTAAATGTGAATGAAACCATAACTTTATCAGATGAGGTCTACATTTTTGGACCCCAGATGGTCTTATTCTTGACCCAGGTAACATTAACCTTCAGTGGACAAAAGAGGATATGAAAGACAAAGATCATACAAGAATTAACAAGAAAGATTTTTTTGAAAAATTTCTAAATATGCACGTTCATACAGTATAGCAATTAAGGGGTTTGCATTAAGGAGTAATTCAATTAGAATCTTAACTTCCAGATGCTGGGCAAGTATGTTAATGTTTTAATACTGTAATTCCTGCCTCTGTAATACAGGAATAATAAAATCTACTTCAAAGGCTTGTTGTGGCAAGTAAATGAGGTAATTTATATAAAAAATGAGTACAAGGAAGGTATGGCATATAACAAACTCTTGAAAATGAGGTGCTATTGCATAAATACTACTATCACTCTGGTTCAAGTTATTGGCAGAGAACTGTAAATATGGAACCTACATCTTCCTAAAATCCTTCCATATCAGTATAATCTCTTTCTTGATGTGTGTGTATACATATGCAATTATGTATGCACGTACATATTATACATTTATATATGTATATATGTAAATATATGTGAATATTTTAATAAAATTTTATTAAAAACAATTAACTTGCCATCAGCTGACAACTTTGGATATCATAATCTCCAAAATAATTCCATTGTTTACTATGTACTCAAATTCCTAGCTCACCTTTAACATTACTCTTATGACAACATCTATAGATGTTTATGATATTTTAATATGATACAAATTGATTTTATTGAACTTCTATGCTATTAGTACTATTTAATAATAAAATGATTGCATAAACTATTATATTATTTTATATACATTATACTATATATTTTTGTAAAAATATACACTGAATATTGATTGATATAGCATATTATAGCACCACTATTAATAATTATGCTATTATCTCCATAAGTACATTATGCCTCTAAGATAAAGTTTATTTCTTAATTGTCATTTTATTCTCTAAATTACAAAACATTTATTGAGGATTTACTGTACATCTGTTATGCCTTAGCAGCTAGAACTATGCCTTGAATATAATAAATATTTGTCATCTGACTGAACAGATGAATGAATTATAGTTTTCCTACTGTACAATCTGTTAACTTATGGGAAAGCATTTCCAAGATTATTTTTCTTTCATAGGCTGTGTTTACAGGCTAGATAAAAATAACAAAGTGATAGGTAAAACTTCTGTCAATTCATTAAGTGATTTTATGGCAAGATTTTCTGAATAATTGCTGTTATGAATTAATTAATCAGGTATTTTGTTATTAAGTAGATATAACTGCATATGTCTTTAAAATATCTCTAATAGGATTTAATTCTATAAAGTTTTTACTTTCAAATTGAGTTCAGGCCAAATTATATTTTGTTTGTGCTAATTTAATATGTAACACTCTCAGTTTTTAGTCCATTTCTTTGTCATCCATGAATTTCAACTAACATGCCCAATTTCACTTATGAGCTACACACATTCATAACCAGTTTGTATGTTTTCTACACCTACACCTCCTTGCCATCAGTAGATGCCACAGAAATTTTTTTGTCATCTCTTCAGTAATTATATATTACAGTCCCTTGGCAGTCACAGATTTAATGTTTATGGTTCTTAATTTAAACTGAGCAATTCCAAAAGCTCACTAATTGTATTGTTGGTAATTTTTCTGTGGCCTAAATTTGCATCTTTTGTGATTATGTTCTGGGAAGAATGGAATGGAGGAGTTTGAGTCTAAAAGTGGGAAGATTGGCTCAATTCAGTTCAGAAGTCAAGGGCTGAACTATGACAGTTTCAAAATGACTGGAAAATCCTGAGGGAAGAAATTAACTAAACATGGAAACTGGGGAGAAATGTTTATTACCATGGAAAGTTAGAGAGGGAGAGAGGAGAGATTTTCATTTAATGTCTTTGGCTTCTCTCTACCTCCTTGCTTACTGCCACCCAAAGAAAGAAGAACAACTGGTATTTGCAAGTACATGAGAGGAAATGGGCATTTATAGATTGGCCCCTTCGCTTTCTTTTCTCCTGATTGGCAAGCTGTCAGCAGGATATAACCATGTTCTCAGTGTCTCCCTGGAGGAAGTTGTACAAAAGCACGCAGCCCATGTGGAGTTATTATCTTTTTTAGCCAAGGCTGTTGTTTCCAGTTGTGTCTATGACTGGAATATAGGTTCACTTGTACTGAGTATTACAATCTGGTGCACTGGACCAAAAACCTTGAGACTTATAAACAAGGAGTGGAATTTAAGGAGAAAAAATTCACATTCATAGATATAGGTTTTGGGATGGATCCATTGTTTTTTGGACTTGGAGTTATAGGCACACCATGTGGATTATTTTATACTTATGTGGCTATCTTTGAACTGCTCTGACCAAGAATGCAGCTTTAGGTCTTAGGTTTAGGCCACGTGGGATTTTTCACACTAGCTAATGGGTCTTTGTTTTGGGAGAGTGACCATTATTCTACAGGTGAGCAGATAAATAACATAGAAACAGAGTCATTTTGTACAGGTGCAGCCTGAGCAAGCAGATGAGCCATCTCTGATCTTAAGTAAAGAGCAGGTGCACCCAGTGGGTGGCTCAGCAAAATGTTATTGGCAGAATAAGCCAGGCCAACCATGGCCAAATGCAGGCAGCACCATGGAAGCTTGGCAGGGACCAGCCAAGCTGGCTTTAATGTGTAGGCTGCTGATGCTTTGAACTATACTGGCACATGTGGCCTGGTAACATAGATGAGGTAGGACTCTTCCATATTGTTATTATGTTTTTCAGCCAAGGCTGCAGGATGGAAAGCCAGATCCTTTTCATCAAAGAGATCCTGAGTTCCTAAATAGGTAAAAACTAGTTCAGCTGCCACAAATTCTGTTTCTCTTTTATGTCTTGAATTGATTTTAGGACTAAAAGAAGAGAGTATGAAGGGGTAACCTTGGAAACACGAGGCCTGTCCACAGGTTATTAAGAGTCACTCCACATTACTGTGGTCTCAAGGTGGGTCTAGACTTACTAATTACATAGTCTTAGGAAATGGCTCTGGATTGCTGAAATCCAAATTGTGGCTTTATTCATAGAAGGGTCTTAGATATTATTAACAAGTAAAATTAGAGTCCTTATTATTAAAATAGTCCATCTCTATGGATGAAGGTTGAGAAGCAATTCAATAATACTACTGCAGACTCACAGGTTTAAGAGGCAGTTTTAAAGGCCTGGGCAGGAATAAGAAACCAGGTTTGCTCAAAAAGTCAAGAAAGAAAATGCTTGTTCCAGTCTTATAATTGAGGAACAATGATTAATGAAATAGAAGGAATCCAGACTGATTAAATGGTAGAAGAGAGACCTGCAGAAAAATGGATGAAATCTGAGTGGCCAGTTCAGATAGATATCAAGGGGAACACAGGATAATGGAACCCAAAAGACAAGTATATATTGGAAGAAAATAAATGTGGTTTCCATTGTTCTAATCAGGATTTAAGAAAAGGGAGATACACATTAATTATTACTGGTTCAAAACAAAACAAAGAAGCCTCTCCCGACTTTAACCACCGCCCGCACTTCCACCCCAGAACCAACACACACAAACACAGAAAAACAAAACTAAAACAATCTATCACTTTGGCTGCAGCCTAAATATAATTTTGGAAGAGAGCCAGAAAGGATAGGAGAGAAGAGTCAGGACATATTGCAGCAATTGAGGTTGAGGCATAGTAGTATAGAGTACTATAGAGTTATAGTAGTAGAGATGCAAGATGAGAAGGGGTTTGAGAGAAGTATTTGAGGCAAAATGGAGAGAGTTGAGGATAGATTGGATCTGAGGGAAATAAAAGATGGAGATGTTAAAAATTGTTCTTGGGTTTGTGGCTAGCACAACTGGCTGGACGATCATGCCAGTCCACACTGTAAATGGTTAATAATAGCAGCTGTCTGGTAAACCTAACTTCAGTTTGAAAACATGTGGAGTTTGATAAGCTCTTCAGAAGAGTCAATATCAAATGAAGAGATATGTAGAATGATCTGGGGCTTAGAGGAGAAAGCTAGCCTGGGGTTATGAATGCTTGAGTCACCCATGCAAAAGTGTTAATTGATGTCATGGGTGGGATGAGATTTTGAGATATCGTGTCCTTACTTTTAATATACACCTTAAGAATGCTTCATATTGTGTATATTTTGTCATATTTTAGGTTCTTGATCTGGGATAACTATCATTTTATAAAATGATGTTTATAAAGTTAAAAAAATCAAGTAAACACTTGACAAATAAACAATAGAAGTAACTGGTATTTTAAAAGTGCTTTAATCTTTCTCATATACATATAATTATCTATACTATATAGCAATAGATAAATGTTTCATCGTTTTAAAATATTTTTGAATAGCAATCCTAAGAGTGGTATTGTTAGGGTAGACCCACAAATAACTAAACATTTTGTTAAAAATATATTACAATAAGTCCTAATGAAGAAATATTGTTGGCCTTGCCAAAATGGAAAGTAAATAAGAGAAGGAACTAAAATATCCAAGAGATGTGAAGAAAATCATTTCTATTTTAACTAGTTCCAGGGAAATTAATAATCTGGAGGTTCTTTAATGAGTATTTCGTACCTTCCTCATCTTTATTAAACCATTTCATTTTTATGTTATGTCTTTCAGTTTTATTTTTTATCACAAAATGGCAGAAACATTTTTTGAAGGCCACAGATAATTAAAGGTAAATTAAATTCTATGTGATGAGCAAAACACTGAAAGTATAGAATTATTATTAGGGGAAGGTTAATCATGAATTGATGGATTGACAGGAAATAGCACCGAATCATTGCCATCAAAAGCAAGCTTCTCCAATGGAAAGGTTCCATAAGATTCTATCAGGTGCTCATGATTATTTTCTAACAGGCATTATCAAATAGTATGCTGCAGACATTCAGGGTATATTTGTATTCAATTTTAAGAAATGTCTGTACTATTGTGGAGTGGCTGTCATATTGTTTGCCATTTTTTAATTTGCAAAATGCCTATTTTCATAACTGAATGCTATTCAATGGAGACCTTAATAATAACCAAGAATTGTGTTCCACTTAGCAACAAGCTAGATAGTGGTTCGAAATGTTCTTGGAGGTCCTTAGAGGAATCTTTTGCCACATACCCAAGGTACTGTTTTGATAATATTAATAGTAGCCCAATACTTTGAAGTCACGGGAAAGACTGGGGTAAATGTGTGTAAAAATCCTTACAAGTATTTATGTACGGAATAGGAATAGTATGAAAAGACAATTTATTGTGTAAAATTTATGGTATGAAGAGGACCAACAGATGTTTATTCTAGTTCTCCCGTTTTAAGGTAGAGAGCAAAAAATAGGATTTAACATTTCCCAGAATCATGGGGTTCTTGTACTATAGTGTATAAATCTTAGCACATATCATTGATTTGAACTATTATAGTTTGGTCTTCCCTACTTTCATGTGCATGTGTCTATCACACCAAGCATGCCAGCATATTATTACATATTTTCAAGTTCCATGTTTATTCAAAGCAAATATTCATTAAGTAACTTATATGTCCTAGAACTTTAGGGTATTTATGGATGAATAAAACAGATTCATCTCCTTTCAAAAAGAGGCTTTTACCATGTTATTGCTTGAGTATATGTTCAATTATATATGACCATAAAAAGTGTAATATCCTAATATAAAATTAAAGGAGGGGGGTTAGTTTAATGAGATGGGCTTTAAAGTGATGATTATTTTATGTATATAATTTGGTATCATGCAACCCTATTTCTATAGATAGCAAAGCAGCAGTAACAGAATAAAGTCTAAATGTTCACTGCTTAGAGGATTATAAAAAAATCTCTATAAAAATTTGTACATGATATGTAATTATAATTAGAAGATAGAATAGGGAAGCAGTCGCATTGATGTCACCATGGTTAATCAATATATACTATGTATATATTTCTCTAAAACCATGAGGAGGAGAATAAAAGTATAAAAAGAAAAGAAAGAAGAAGAGGGTGAAGACACAGAGGGAGACAAAGAAGCATCATTGGCGGTAGGCATGGAGAAGGCATGCAGAGGTCACCTAACCCACGTTACTGGATATCTCTGGGCATTATGAATGCAATCTCTCCTCACTCATAGAGTCCCTATCTGAACACCAGCAATGATAATTAATCTATACTAAGCATATACTATTTGCCAAAACAGCACTAAATTCTCTAAATGCATTATTTTATTTAAAACCCCATATGTCTGGTGCTATATTATTTTTATCATTTAGATGAGAAAGCTGAAGCTAGAGAGGTTAAGGAATCTTCCCAAGCTCACGTAGCTGATAAGTTGGATTCAAATCCAGAATTGTCTCACTCAGAAATTCTCATTACACTGACAAAATATGGATTATTCCACAAGCACTTTAAACATGGCTATCTCTGCTCAATTAATCTTAGAGAAAATATTATTTTCATCTCAATTGTGCCACTACCTCTTCTTTGAAGCCCCGTGACATCCTTCCACGGAGACATCCTGCCCTCCAGTGTGCTCTCATCATATGAATCACTTGAGACCTATTCATGGGCAGCATGTCATAGTTTTGGAATGTATTTAAATTCTCAGTCTTTGAGCAAGTTCTCTAGCCTTCATAAGCCTGTTTATTATTGGTAAAATGAGAATGAATTCTTCCTTGTAGAGTTGTAAAGATTAGAGAATATAAAAATAAAGCATTTTGTGAGTGTCTGGCTCAAGAAAGGAACTCAAAAATAAGAATTTCTGTTTGACGCTTGCTTCTTCAAGTAAGATGTGAGCTGCACAGTGATAGGGACATCAATTGAGCATGTAGTCTATGCCAGGAACTATTCTAAGCACATTTCATGTGCCAATGCATTTAACCTTCACAACAGTTCTGTAAGTACTATTATGATTTCCATTTTACAACTAAGGCAAAGAGAAGTAAGGTGTCTAAGGTCATATTCTAAATCATTACTATCTTATGGATAGTAAACCTTTGCATTTAATAACCTTTTACAGTCTCAGAGAAGAACGTTATTAATATACTGTGGCATCTCCCATAAGGTTACCCATGTGTCCGCAATGCAAGCTGTTAGTATTTTCTAAGTCCCCTTTAAAATGCCCTTTTCCCCCATATTCAAAATATGTCACTAGATAATAACACAGTGTCTTAGTACTGAGAGAAAAATAGTTATTTGTAGTTTTTAACAGCTATACTCACATTCATTTCACCTATCACAAGGAGGAAGAATAAAATAAAATAAAATAAAATAAGAATAAAATAAAAATGAGAGTAGGCCTATATCCCAAATTCATATACTCACATGAGAGCTGCAACCATTGTGTCAAAGGAGCACACATTGATTTTCTCTGCCACATGTGCTGGTGCTCAGAGTACAGTGTAAGTAAACAGAAAAATACACCATCCTTGCATAGAATACTTCTGCATATTTGAAGATGAACAGATGTTCAGGGAAAAAAAAAAAAAAAAACAGGACACAAAACAAGTTCCCCATGCCCATGCCCAATCACAGGCTTTGTCAACTAGGTGAGTTTGTGCTTTATGATTTTCATCAACTGAAAAACAGAATTGCAATTACTGAGCAGTTTTACAGTTCTTCAATGTGCAGCTACAAAGAGCTGGCTCAACAAAGCCGTATCTCATCACAAAGGTTTGCTGCTCCTATTTCCTCTGTTGCTACTCTTGCTGAAGATGTTTTGTCAATATTTTCTCAATCTCTGTGTTTCAGGCAGCTTGTGGGTGAGTCTGCATGATGGTCTTGAAGTATAGTGGAAGAATATGTGTATGCGCACCTCTGCACATGTTTGTAGGAAGTTAGAAGGTGAGGCATAGTCCTTGGACACCAGTATATTAAAACATTTTCTCAGAATATACACTGTGCTGCTGGTGAGGGGGGAAATTAGAGTCACCAGCCATTACTCACTTGTGTTTGGGCCCCAGGCATTTGCGACCTGCCAAGTAATGTGGTATAGGCCCAACATGGGCACATGTCATTAGTGCACCTGAGTACCAGAGGCAGCATGAATGGAGACGTACATTTCATCCAGAGTGTCTTCATGATACATTAGTAGAGGGGTGGAGGAAGGGAATGGGAAAACATGAAACCAATCAGGACTTACAAGGAGAAAAATCAGGCCACTCTTCTTAACACACACTTCCTCCATTCATTCCCAAGGATAATTGTTATACTTTTTGCAAACAAATATCCATGGATCGAAGCAGAACTGCTCTGCTTCTTTTCCTGAATGGTTAATTTTAGCCTTATATGTTGCCTGCTCTTACAAGTCATATTTTCCTTGCCACAATTATGAGCCTACTAAATGTTCTCTATTATTCTCTAAGAACTAGTAATATTTGCAATGTGAATGAACTGCTCTCCAGCCAACAGTTTCCGGTATGGGTTATCCTGTGCAGGAACAAATTACATGTGAAATGCATTCAACTTGGGATTCTCTTTGTTAATGTGTGGCCACACTGCTGTAACAATAAGACAGAAAATCTTGGCCATGAAGATGGCTGTGTAGTAATGCAACTTTTGGCTCTGTAGAGACTCATGGGACACAGACCTCTAACCTGCTTGCAACATGGAGCTCCCTCGAAACTGAAACAAAGGATGCATTGATATCTCAGAGTGTCAAACGGAATTATTCCCCTTCATACACTCCTCTGGCCTTCCCTACTGATTCAAGCCAGGGAAACAACATGAATGCAATATCCTGGTATCTGTGAATGGTAAGAATTTCCTCTCTTAACAAAAGGGATGGAACGTGATAAGCAGTTGGTAAGTGTTAAGTCTTTTTAAATGTGCTCACAAATCTAAATCTCTCCCAAGAAGACAGTCACTTGAAAAATAAAGTTCTTTATTAATAACTCAGTATCAGACTAGAGGAAATTATCTCAACAGCTGAATATAGAAGAACTTAAATATTCAACCTCAGAATGGAAAATTAAGAAGTCATTTATTATTTATTAAAAATCGAGAGCTTCTGACTAGAACACAATGTCTAACTACTCTAACTTGGAGTGACCAAATATCTTCTCTATTAATAGATTGAAATGAATGGCTGAAAACAGACATTATTCTTATTTCTTTTTGTATTCCCAACACAAAAAGTGCCCAGAACTAGGAGTTCTGGACACTGTTGAGTAAGAACTCAACAGAGGCTTATGGGATGGATGGTGAATGACTCCTTGCCATTGGATAATTAACCAAAACTTCTGAAACAAAGAAATTCCTACAAAATTTTTAGAGAAAACCAGCTGCAAATTCTGCTCATGTTGATTTTGCAGAAACCACACAACAAAGTATGTAAATCCACTAACTCAGACCATGTTTCTGAGGACACTGCTCATTACGACTGTATAATAAATGGAAGTGCACAAGTCACCATTAGCACAGAACAGATTGTTTGCGTAGCAAAGACAGCAGCTGTCACAGCTTGACAGCTTTCTTGTTAGTGCATCAGCTTTATAGACAGCCTATTTGATTGAAAACCACTGTTCACTGACAGTGTGTTATAGCTGATATACATATGTATCTCATGAAAAATGACACCGTTGCTGAAGACTCACGAAAGGTTGAGAAGGTACAGTTCTATGAACCACATTAAAAAAGAATGAAGTTTCTATAAAGCAGGTCCCTCGGTGTATAAAAACATTTTGTGTACAGAAAAAACACACAAATGCATGAAAAAGCATGATGGTGACCCAGTGGTGGGTTTCCTCTGTATTCTTTAAGCTGATCCTCCTGTCATGGAGTTTTATTTGCAACCAAATGAGACTGAGGTGAACACAGAACCCTTGGGAGAGGCACATTCATTCCATTTCTTAAATCTCCAGACTGTCAAAGGATGAATATGGGTTGGGGGAGGATATCACCTTCTCAGTTTTGAACTTGGGGTAGGAATACCATAAGCAGAGTGGGAATGACATCAGTAAGCAGAACCAGTCATGCATAATGCAAGCAGGTGCGGTACACACTACCTAGCACAGACTTGACAATTCATTTCAATGCTGAAAAGCTCCTGTTTCAGCAGCACACGGCCCCTGTCTGAGTAGAGATGTGGAGATAAGAATAGTTCAGATATTCTAGGGTTATTTGAAGAGTGACAAGAATGACATCTTGCTGGAACAAGAAGCACCAGATTTACTCATTTGGTCTTCTCTGAAAGGTTCACTAATTTATGTTCCCTAAGCTCTTCTTTAGGATGATCCATATGCTTGGGGCCTTAGGAAGTACGGTGAGTTAGTGCATTTACCTGATAGCTCTGTCCAAGTTCCCATTTGTCATCATCTCATATTTTGGCAGAGTTTCTGGCCTCTATACAAATGAGAGACAGGATCAGAATAACCAACATGTCTGTGGGTCAGGGGAGCGACACAGTGACATTCAGACGTTCATTGGGATAGGTTGGCAGGGCTGTGCCTCTCATCACTGCCAAACTCTCAGCTGTTTATTGTGTAAGTGCTGCTAATAATGAGTGTAATATGGCCAGGAGAATAAAAGTGCTTAAGCCAATGTTAAAATGTTTAAACCATGGAAAACAGATAACTTATAAAGCTGATAATGTTAGAAAGAAAGGAAGAATGAATGAAGTGTAATTCATTGAATGTGGAGAAAGAAAGAAAAGAGAGAAAGAGAAGGACAGAAAGAGAAGAAGAAAAGGAAGAGTGGGAGAGAGAAAAAATTGGGGGGGAGAGAAAAAGAGAGAATAGAATGAAAGAGATCAACTTTGTAAGCCCTTGCTCTCTCAAAGATGATCTCACAATCACTTTCCCATAATCTTGCTGTAACACCAATCAGACTCTATTTACCAAGGAACCCAACTTAAGACAGTAATTCAATAAAGGACTATGCAGTCAAAAAAAAAAAGTGATTTGAGATCACAAATCAATGAAGGAAGTACGGTTTTTGTTGCTTTGTTTAATCTGCTTTTTCATTTGTTTACTCAGTAGACTCACTAGAACTAATCAAGTAACATGGTCTTTCTTTGGTATTTGGTATCTAGTGGGAAATCTATAAATGTTTATTCTATCTTGGCAATTTATAAATATATGTCCTATAAAAGTTAAATGTGTATCTCCCTTATCTTTTGTGGTCTTTCTTTTTCTGAGAGCTGTAGCAGCAAGAGTCCCAGGCAGGTAGTTACCCTTTTATCTAGGATTGGGCCTGTAAGTATTACTGAGACTTTTAGGTAGGGCTAAGTATATTCAGAAGTGAATAAAGAAAGTTCATAATAAAGAAGGGGAATAAAAAGACCAGACAAAGGAGTAAAACCATAAACTTGGTGCTACCAATCCCTTCAAATAGACAGAGCAGCTATTCCTGCTTTGAGCACACAGGTCAGCCTGATGAAGTAGGCAGCCTTGTCCTCAGTGTGATATAAAATGGATTAAAACCACACAAATCCCCAAATATTTGCCCTTATCCTCTCCTGACCTGACTTTTTTCCATGCATATTCTTGCCATGATGTTAGGCTTGTCAACATATCTACAGAACACAGTTACCAGAGAACATTAATGCAACGTATTTGGGCAGGAGAGACCTTATGTATCAGCCAACATCTTCTCAGTGATGGCGATGGTATTGGTGATATAGTGATTGTGGGAGTACTTTCGTCCAGAAAAAAATGATATGCTGGAAAATCAGTAGTTAAATATGGGAAGACATTGCAAAGATAGGCAACAAAAGTTGCATTGGATACATAGTTCATTGACTTTTCAGTTATACTAGGTTAAATTTATCTGAAATACATATATCAGCCTTTTATGTTGACTCTGTGTTTCCAAGACCCACTCTTAGGAAGCAGGATGGATAGAGGAATTAGCCTCAAAGAAAGAGAGAAAAGGATATTGCTATTCTTAAAATTTTCACCATTCCAATCATGATCAAACACAAATGTATATGCATGTAGGTGGTTTCTACAACTTGTAAACTCTAAACTTCTTCAAATTCAGGCTCTGAAATATTGTAATTTTCCTGACTCCAATAAGAATTCAGAAATAATCCAGACTCATCTTGTGGTAAATAGAATGCCTTCAAGACTAGTATTTGATATGATTTGGAATTATAAACAGTCAATAGAAATCATTCATTAGCTTTCCTATGGATTTTGCAAAAACTGAATCAAATTTAAATGAACAATAAACAATTGATGGCAGTTTTTATTACTTCTAGAAAGTATGATATTAACTTCCTGTGGAAAAAATTTTACACTGCCACAGAGAAAGAAACCCCAAGTAATGGAGGAGAATTCTTTTCTTGTACAGCTAAGATCTCATTCCATTGATCTGGTAATGGACAGGTCCTTGCTGCCCAAAAGAGTTCCACTTTTCTTTGGAAGCAAAAGCTAAAACCACTACACTGGTCCCTATGAGCTGATTCTTTGGCCTTTGTGATCCCCTGACTGACTCTTCTATTCTTTATTTGATTTGAGTTCCTCTCTAGCCACACCAGCTTCACCTGTGGGTTTTAGCACTAGTTTTTCCCCAGGGTTAGAATACTAATCCCTAGAATGCCACCTAACTAGCTTCCTGCTTCCTTCTAGTCCCCGCTCACACATCACATTCTCACTGAGTCCTACACTGAAAACACCATTAAGAACATAATTCCTAAAACCCAATCTCTCTTTACATTCTCTAGGCTTCTCTTTTTTCCATAATGTTTATTGTTTTCTAATATATCATTTACCTTGTCTTCTTTTCTATTGCTTTTAATGCTAACTGTTTATGGCCTGTCTTTTGCTAAAGTGGAAGCTCTGTGAAGCCAGGGTCTGCTTTATTTATTCATGTATCTCAAGACTGTGAGACAATGTCTGACATATGATAAGTACTCAATACATAGTTGTTGAATAAATATAATAGGTGTGTGAGATCTTGAGAATGCAACTTAAATACATGCTTCAATTTCTGTGTATTTCAAATGAAAATGATGTCAACTACGGTAAGGATTAAATAGGAAAAATATTAAATTACATAACAGCAAGCCTGGAACAACATTTATAAGAAGTAATTATTATTAACATTGAAAGGATCTTCACTGGGACCAGAAGCCTCTTGTGTTATTTCCAGTACTAGAGAGATGCTTATCCAGGGGCTTATTTCAATAACTTCCCCAGGCTACTATCTGTTCACATGTTTATTATAAATGAAGTATTCTGAAGTCTGCTGGAAAGGACTATTTTTTCCCCTCAAACAATTTCTCTCTTTAGTTATTTTTTCTACTGGCTTTCCTACTAGCTGTACTCACACAATTTACACATTTATACAGCTCTAAACTTTATATAACTTTGCTACCTTGACAATCTATATTAAGGTGTTCTTTTTTCCACCCTCAAACTCAAGTCGGAAACCAACCTATGTAAAAAGTCAGGTTTGCATCACGCTTTTCAGTTTTGCTTTTTTCAGTTCTAGGAGATATCTTTGATTATGTTCTACTGTGGAGTTATTTTTAGAGGAACCACACACTTGCTGATTTTGAATAATGCAAGCACTTTCAGAGTGCTTTGCACATAGTATGCATAGTACTCACTGATATTTGTTGACTGTTAGGTAAATAAAACTTTATGATACAGTTTAAGAATAACAGCTCAATATACTAAATATTCAGGACAGCAGTAATCCTCTCAAAAAGTTTACCCTTTGAAAGCAGAAAGAAATATAAACACTTGATATTAGTGCTATTTATCAGATACCAACATTTGTTCATATAATATAGTCTTAGAAATACAACACACTCCTGAATAAGGGGATTTTTCTCATTCCCACAGCAGAAAAAAAATCTTCTCTCAATAATTATTTTTATAATGCAGTAACGAATAAGTGAAATAAGTCATTACCTTAGGCCTTTTTATGTTTTTAAAATATTAAGTAGAACCATTTTTGAAGCTCTTGGTAAGATTTAACATCTTTTGGAGGAAATGACTAAGTCTGAAGTTTCTGGACGTTTGAAGAATATACTGGAAGTAAGAGGCTAACATTTATCTCCACATTGTCTGTAGTTCTTTGACAGATTAGGTACAGTAGGAAAAATGGGTATTAAATTTCAATCAGGGTTAATCAGCTGACATATATTGGGCTGTAGAGAAGTTGAGTAATGATTGGGAAGTTCCATATTTAATCACTGCTTGGCTGCCTAGCACTGCATAGGTAATGGACTCTAGACAGGTATTTTTGGATTACAACATTCTTAGGGAAGAATAATTACATCTCAGAATTTTATCCTATCCTTCTATTGCCCCCTTACCTTAAAGAAGTGGAAATACTAGTGACATTTTGCCCCAAAATGTGAAAGTTTACCATGACAATATTTTAGTCTTTCCAAACTGGGAGGGATTTTTTTGCCATTTCCAACAATATATGTATGTGCTTGTGTATGTATACATATACACACATACATATAGTTGAATACATATGTACATGAATACACATATTGTTTTGTACATATATACACATACATATACATAAACACATATATATACATTCATATACATGTCTATGAATAATGCACATTTTTTTAAACAGTAGTTCATTTTCTTTTCTTTGATCTCCTAAGGAATAGTGCATATAAATTAGAAGGCCACCTGAACTGGTGTAATATCTCCTCTGGAAAAAGAAGCATAGTCTAGAAATTTATAAATGGCTCTGAATATAACTGACCTGAACCCTTGTTACTTAGGAAGTCTGCCAGAAATATCAAGAAATTAATTGATTATTTTTTCCTGAAAATTATAGGACATGACAATTAAAAGAAAGATTGATCTTAGGTTAAAGCTTTTAACACATTAGTTCATCCTGGCTCCCCTAATTTAGAATGTGTACCAGAGAGCAAGACAATCTGTTTGAGGAATGAAAATAATTAATGAGCACCACACATTTGAAAAATGGCTTCTCTCTTTATGTTTGAAAATACATGTATTATTTCTCAGCAAGCCATAACTGAGTCTGTTTATCCTTGACCAGAGGTAATAATAATAGATAAGTCTCAGAGAGAAAACTGATCTTTTTTTATTGCTGCATTACTGAGAGGGCTCTTCAGGGACTTTACAAGAGAAATACTGAAATGTTATCAATGACATCAATAAAGGACAACTCATACACAATTGAATTAACAATTCTAACATAAATTATTGTCCCTGCATATATTAATATTTCTACTAATAATTATTATTTAAGAAACAGACTATAAGCGAATACACTAAGACAATAGTGAACTATGGATATGGTATCTCACCTTAGGTAAAAATAATCTTCATGTTTAGAAGTTGTTGACTCGAGCCATGTCAAATTCACATTATATAAGAAGATATGCCAATGGAATAGCTACTTTATTGGTAAAAGCAAAACCGAGAGAATTCTTTATATTGGCCCTAAAGTGTTCAGGGCTCTTTGGACTCAATCCCACTCATTTTTTCATAACCTTTATTCAGCCCTGAGCCTAACCCACAGGAAAGTTTCATTTCTCACCATTTTCATTCTTGAGAACCAACTGGGTCCCCAAATACATTTGGTAGGGTTTCTAAATGATCACAGAAAGTAATCATTTTTTTCCAGCCCAGGGGTCCTTAACATAGCCTTACAAATAACTGTTAGAAGTTTGATCTGCCAAAATTTCGCTCAATTCACAGGATTTGCATTGGTCTCATGTCTAGTAAAGAAGGAAAGCACTATGTCTTTCCCACATTTTTATTTTTATTCATATTATTATTGGTGAAGAAATAGTCATTTGACCACAAGAAACATCATTAAACACAATAAACATAAGTAGATGGTGTTAGTAGATGAATGGTGTTAGCAGATGAACTTCCTGTAAGCCATTTTTCTTTTTGCTTCCTCCTCCCTCCTGACAAGCCACAGTGACCATTCAACGATTCAAGTGAGAGCTGTTGTTCATTTGTCAGTTTCCTCATGGTAGAGACAGATTTATACTGAGTCTTCTACAGTTTTTCCTTTATTCACCTTTATGACTAATGTCACTATTTGCAGCTAAGAGTGAAAGAAACCAGGAATTGAACACATGATCTCAATCTTATTAGCACTATATACTGAACTACAGCAGCCACTTCATACCTACAAACATTAAACAGCCTGGCTTGTGACACTGTGTAAACTTATTATAGTATACATGTGGCCACACCACTGACATATTTCCCTGAAATTAAACTGTTATGTCATAGCTCATTCAAATATTATCCACAAAAGCATAAACAGTAAGGAAAGAAGGTAAAAGTCTATATATATAGTGAAAAGCAATGGAGGACACTTTCAATTCCAGTGAAACATAATATTTAATATATCCTACTAGTTTTTCTTGAGCCTGAAAAATATGCAGCCAACTGGCCCTGTCCCCATTCACAGTTGTTTATAACTTTCTTAAAAGAATGCTTTGGGGTCTAAAATATCTTATAAATCATCTTGGCCTAGAAACAATTTTGCTCAGAAAATTCAATTTAAAACAAAAACCAGAACAGTTTCTGAATTACCTGACCACAGGGAAGAAGAAAGCAGTTCAGCTATTTAAAGGTATATATGCAGGGAAACACAATGTTTTTTTAAAGACTAGCATGGCCCAGGAAACAAACAACTTGAGTGTGAGCTATACACAGATGAAGTCCAGTAATTCTGATAACATCAAAGAATGTTCATGTTTATTTGGTCCTGTTCTCTCATTTTGAAGATGAGAAAACTGAGTTACACAGAAGTTAAATTATTCATTCAAGGGACAAACATAATATTACAACTCTGCCTCAAGATGTTTCCATCTTGTAAAACTGTACAGAGAGCATTCAAAAGGGAATAGGAGGCCTGGATTCTATTTCTGGCTTTTCGAACAAGATGAGACCCTAGGCAAAGCACTTAACTGCTCAGTTTCCTCACGTGGAAACTCTATGTAAGGGTTAGAGCATCTCCAGAGGTCCCTTCCCACTCTAAAGATCTACGGTTCAATCACAGAAATTGCTGGGTTGTTTCTTGTTCCTTTAGTTTGCTTTTCCTTGAGCCTTTAAATGATGCCCTGATCACAACCCTTCTTGTTGATTGCTCACAGGCCTGGATTTGGAAACTTACATGTCTCTCTCTGGCTTGTTCATTATATATCTCTGCTGTGTTCAATTTTCACTATTATCTTTCCATAATGAAACCTAAATCTTCTTTTACTTCTTCATTCGTTCCATTCAGTTCCATACTTCAAAGTGATTTTCCAATGACTCCTTCTAAAGACTAGTTAAATGCTTTCCCTGATCTTCTCAGTTGAAATTGATTATTCTTTTTCTCATCTACAATTTCTGAATTTTACCATTCTCTGTAGTTATTGATGTATATGTAGAAATATCCAAGAAGCATGTGTAAAAATGTCCAGTTTTACTTTTAATAAAAGTAATGCCAATTACAATAAGATGTTATTATTTTACCTCTCAAACATGAAAATATTAGGAAATGATAATATGCAGTACTAGTTGTATGTGCAGAAAAAGCAAAACTTTCATATTCTGAGAGTATAACTTTAAACCAGCATAGCCTTTTCAGAGGGACAATTTGGCAACACATATCAGAAGGCTTAAAATGTATATCTGATGACCCAGGAATTCCAATTCAAAGAATCTATCCTAAGGACATAAACAAAGATGTACATAAGAGCAAAGTACATGGATTATCATCACAGCATTATTATATAACTAAATTGGAAACAAGCTATCTAGCAATAAAATGCTGTTTTAAATTGTGGTGCACTTCTACAAGATACCATTTAGCTATTGAAAATCATGGTCATGAGGCTTGGTTAATTACCTAGGAACAAGATAAAATACATTAAAGTAGGAAGGGTGAAAAACAGTATGCAGAAAATGTGTGGAAACATGAAATCTAAATTTTTTAACAGTGATTCTTTTTGGATGAATATTATTTTTCTCTTTATTCTGTAATTTGTAAAACTGACAATGAACTTATATTACATAAAAAGAAGAAGTCAGACTATAAATGTGGAGAAACATTATGTTCTCCCTGGCAGAGTTTCCTAGTCTCGTCAGCCTGAAGGCTGAGATAAATGCCAGTTGAGAACTCAGAAGTCTGCAGCTTCATTCCTGTGTCTCTTATGTGTGAGCTTAAGACAAGTCAGATAACTTTTGCCACTCAGTCTCTGTGTCTGTAAAATGATGGGATTGGCAAAGGATGAACTCTTTGATATTCTTACTTTTTCATTACATAATTCCATTAAATACCTAGTTTATGGAAAAATGAGAAAATACAGGAATTATACTCCATATGGAATATAAAACAAAATAAGTAACAAAAATGTGCAACAAGGAGTTGGTAATAATAGAGAATATTTTGTCCCTAAATCTGATACTGCAGATTTTTATGTATCTTCAAATAAAAAGAAATGAAAAGATGAACTGCAGAAAAGCCTCGGTTCTCCACTTATACTCTTAGAGGTGGAAAAATTCGAAACGATTGAGTCAGCCCATATGGAAATGCTGGGATGTTCAACAGAAATTTCAGTGACCCCTGAATAACAGGAGCTGTGATTGCCAGCTCCTTTCTGGTTTGAACTGGAAGTTATAGCTTACACTATTTATGGTGTAATGACTCCATACAGATGGGGAAATCAGATCAAGTGGAATCAGAACTTTGGGTTCTAATTAGATCCAGCTGTTCCATGGAAGCTGAATCTTTAGGACTGAAAACTAGTAAGAACAAGTTTCACATTTTAAAAAGTACATTGAACCTGTGAAGATATAAATGCAAAAATGACCAATTTTGAAATGTAGACTGCATTTGTCTTATTATAAACAAACGCTGTGTTTTTATTGCTGTTCTCAAGAAAAGGCTGTGCAAGTTTTCTCCCTGTTGTTTGCTCATAAGCATACTTGTTTTCTTTTCTTTTTTGGTCTTGACTATTTCAAGAAAACTTTCTATCCATAAAGCTTTATTCTTTAAGTTGTATTTTTGTAAATTTTGATTAAAATAAATACAATGTCATCACCATGTGCTCTAAAATGGAATTGTGATTTTGTAGTATAAAAGAAAAAAATACAATTTTAAAAGTGTCAGCTATTATCTGCTATATGGAGATCTTATTTTGCTTTGTAATGACTTTGAGGCATCAGCTTTTTCATACTTTTATTTAGGGCAGTAGAATGATAATTAGATAATACATTACTTTGTGCTTTTTTCTGAGGGAGATACTAACATTGTTTACCTACCATATACCTAACTCAGTCTCGAAAATACTTTTCTAAAAGCAAAACAAACAGAAACCCATAACTATGTTGAATATAGCTTTATCTCTTTTCTTGGCTGATGTACACCATTCTCTAGTATAGTACCTGACACGTATTAGGAACTCAAAGAAAAACTAAGACAAATGAATTTAAAGATATAAATATTTGTGATTAGTGAATGAAATGTGAGATGTAAAATATATTTACATGATCAAAGAATAACAGTGACCTATATATGGGGGATTATGCCTTTGCTAAGCTCCACTTGCTTGTAGAGAGTCTGTTTGGTAGAGTGGATATAACACTTGCATTGATGGGGGGAAATGACTGAAGCTCAATTCCAGGATCAGAATGTTACTTGTATGATCTTAAGAAAACTCATTAAATTTTTTTGAATCCAGACTGCTTTTCCACAAAGTATGTATGATGATATCCAGCACACGGGATTGTTTTGAGGTCTGAGTAAGAAATGCAGAGTCTATAAACAGTATTATATTGAGTTACTGCTCATTGCATGTGCCCATTAAAACCTTGCTTCTCTTCTTTTGCTCCTGTCCTTTGTTTTATCTTTAATATCTTTCAGCTGCTTTAATTAAAATACTTTTCATTTTATCCAGATAGCTCAACTGTCATTTCTCTCTGAATCCTATTCTGATCCCCCAATCATATGTGACTTCAGTATCTTTGTCATGGCATTTATCATATTCTATCCTGTACATGTTGAACTCACTTATGAATGTATATATCCTGTATATTAGTATATTTAATATTAATAATAACAACAACAGCAGCAGCATAAGCAGCAGCTAATATCAACTAAACACTTACTAGGTGCCAAGTACCTCACTAAGTATTTTTCATACGTTATTGAATCCTTACAATTTTATAAGGTGCCAGTATTACTTTTGTTTCAACTTTCCATACTGAAATTTATGTTACCCAACAAGTGAATAATTCCCTGTAAATTTCTTGAGTGTGCTTACTAAATTCCAGGAATTATACTAAATGTTTTATGCCAACTCTTTTGCTTCAAGTATGTAATAATTTTATGAGGTGGGATTTATTTGTATTTTACAACTAGAGAAACTAAGGCTCAGAAAGGATAAGCAACATACCCATAAAACCCATAAATGAGCATATTAAAAACCAAGATATGCCCAATTCCAATCCTAAAATCTGCATTCTTCCATTATCCAAAAACAGCAATGTCTATTTCTGCCAATTGCTTGAGAAATACTTCTTTAAAAAGCTGCATTACTTCTCACACAATTATTTGCATGATGTCATAATATTAATCTTTATCATTTTTTTACACTATCAATTACTCAGTCTTTGGTAAAAAGTAATTTGGTTAGCTATTTTAGTTTGTAAACTGAATAAAATGTTTTCTGGTTAATTCCAGTCTTTTTTCTCATTTTTTAAACCAGAAGTCAGCAACATGGTCAAATCTAGCCATCTACGTTTATAAATAAAGTTATATGGAAACGCAGCACAGCCATTTTTTATAGACATATATGGCTACTTATATACTACAATATTAGCATTGAGTAGTTACTACAGACACCATAGGGCCAACAAAGCCTAAAATATTTACTATTTTGCCCATTATAGAAAAAGCTGGCCCGGTGTGGTGGCTCACGCGTATAGCACTTTGGGAGACTGAGGCCGGTGGATCGCTTGAGCCCAGGCGTTCGAGACCAGCCTGGACAACATGGTGAAACTCAGCCTCTACCAAAATTCTAAAATTAACCAGGTGTGGTGGTGTGCGCTGTAGTCCAAGCTACATGAAGGGCTGAGGTGGGAGGATCGTTTGAGCCCAGTAGGTGGAGGTTGCAATGAGCAGAGATCATACTACTGCATTCCAGGCTGGGTGAGAGAGTGAGATCTCATCTCAGAAAAAAAAAAAAGTTTGCCACCCCCTGTTCTAAATAATCTTGGGTTCTTTTTTATGGTCTTATTGTTGGTAAATTATTTTCTTCTCTTTGCACTTAATATTTGAAATCATCTTGTCAGACACAGGTATTCACTGACTCATTGACCTCCCTGCCCCCATTTCAAAGTACATTCACTGATGCTAGGTCTGAGAACTCAAAGCTCTGACTTAGTTAATGCTTACAAATATTTTGTTTTCTTCACTTTTTTTGTATTTAAAATTCAAATGTTTTTCAGGCACATAATTCATTAAAATTTTAATAAAGGGATGAAGGAAGAAAGAGAAAATGGTGACTGTAAACAGTCTATGAATCTATACCTCTTTACTCTCCTTTTAATCTACAGTCTTTAATTTAACTAAAATACTTGTTGGAATATTTATGAAGACATATACACATACTTAGAAAACATGAAGCAATTTAAAATATTTCAAAATAGCCTAATATTCATGTGCACAAACTTTTCTTTTCTAAAACTGAAAAATTACGTCAACAACTTAAAAAGCTTTCCATTTCAGAAATTCTTAGCCAACTCTGTGTATGAAATGGGAGTTCTTTTTCCACCTCATTCTTTTTACGTTGCTTGCTTATTTCTTTGTATTAGATTGAGGTCTTTGATTTTCATTTATTGTGTTTTTTTAATCAATTGACTGTACACCCTTATCTGATTACTAGTCATTATTGTTCTAGTCTATCTGAATTTACAAAATAAGTAATATTCATTAAAGGTAGATATTTATCACTGGATAAAAAGCAACATCTTTGTATGCCATGCATGTTACTATTACTTCTATGACCATCACAGCTACTGCTTCTGTTGATGCTGGCATGCCCAGGTACCGTGCTATGGCTTTACGTGTGATTTTTTTTTTATCATGAACATTTCAAGATATATATTAATATTTTTCATTTGAGAGACAGCAAACCTGGAAGTCTAAGATCTTTAATAAATTGTCAAGTTCACACAGCTGAAACACAGCAAAGTCACTTTCAAAACCCATGGTTTCAGGCTCCAAAGTCCTATTCTTTCCACTTCATGACACCTCAGATAACTCTCTTTGTTATGAGGAAACAATCATTATATAAATATGGCTGTGTATTATTCAAACTTAAAAGAGATGAGCTATGAAGGTATAAAAAGATGGGGAGGAACCTTCAAGTCATATTGATAAGCGAAAGAAGCCAGTCTGTAAAGGCTACATACTGTTATGATTCAAATTATAAGATAAGAACTTCTGGAAAAGGATAAACTATGGAGTCAGCAAAAAGTAAGTAACTGTCAGGGGCTCAGGGCCGGGTGTAGGGAAAGAACAGGTGGAATGTAGAGTATTTTAAGGCAACAAAACTATTCTGTATCATACTGTAATGATATATGACATTATGCATTTGTCCAAACCTGTATTATATACAATACCAAGAGTGAACCTAATACTTGATTAATATTAATGTGCCAATATTGTTTGATCAATTGTTGCAAATATACTACATGAAGACAAAATATTAATAATACCGAAAGCTAGGGGTTGGAAGTAGAGGGAGCATATGAAGACTCTGTATACTTCTTGCACAATATTTTTTTCCTAAAGCTGCAACTGCTCAGAAAATAAAATATGTTCAAAATAAATAAACCATAAATATGGTTGTGACTTAACTCACATTGATATCCTTCATCTATTATGGGTTTTTGGAAAGTGAATATTCTGTACCCTGAACATATTCATTGGGGTGTGGAAAGGCAGTGCCAGTGATAAGATAGAACACAAGATTTATCATAGGTTAATATCAAATAGGTCAAGTGATAGATAATTTATGAAATCATTCTGACAGAAATGACAAGTGATACTTTTTAAAACAAGTGGATACATTCTACAAATAAATAAAGTTTTGACATTATGGGTTGCTAGTTTTCAATGAATACATAAATTTGGGAGGTCTGTCTAATATACAGCTTTAATCATGGAATACTAAATATTTTCCCACTGAGAAAAAAAGTTCCCTGGATAAATAGTGATTAAAAAGGCAACACATTTTGTATTGTGAGAGTCACTGGTGAATTTGAAGTGAAATCACCCATCAGAGCCAATGTATATACATTTGAATTTTGTGTTTGTCAGTTGAAATTTCAGTTCTGTTTTTGGCCACGTCCAATTGAAACTCCTCCTGTGGAATAAAAACTACACAGTTTTAATTCCATTTAAAGAAGAACTTATTAAGTATGCTTGTATTCATTTATTCAAGGAGATTTTATTGAGTATCTTTATTTTGGCAGAGTCTAGAACTAATTGCTGTGGAGGAAGGTCTAAAAGAAATTATATTTGTGTTCTGAACCATTAAGAAGCTTACAAAAATGTTAAAGAGCTATCTCAAGCAAGAAAAATGATAGAATATTCCAGAAAAGTGTATTTTAGAGAAGTGATCAAACCACATGTATGAAATAGTCAGGGATACCTATGAAAATGACACCATTTATACCTAAAGCCTTCAGATAGAGTAAAAAATAGACTCCTTATATAAAAATTACATGGACACATTTACACACAAATATTTGCATCCAATTTTAGGACATTTGTGAACTGCCTTTCTTCCTACAGTGAATGCTCCTTTAGTACTGGGAATTCCCTAGCATTAATATAAACAAATGCAGAATAAAAATTTTGCAGGAGGCAGAAATCAGTACCTAATCACAAAACCAACATCCTAAAGGATGGAAGTATCTAGTGAAGCACCAATTCTTGTTTTGTGACATATATTACTTGATGAGGGTGGGTTGCAGGGCAATAGATAGAATGGTAAACAAGACAGACCTGTCCTTGTTCTCACAGAGTTCTATAGGTACTCAGAATCACAGTCTAGAAGATACTGAGAAGTTTATTATGCAAATGATTGTCTCATTTGAGTTGTGAAAGGCATCACAGAGGGAAAGTAGCAGTTGCCACAACGGTCTATTAGAGGGCATCGTGACTTAATCCAATGCCAAGGTCTTCTAAACAGTCACCCTAGCAAGCTTCTGCTTAGTAACAATAAGTGTCATTGTTATTAGCCAGATTCACATTATTACCTTTTTAAAGTGGCTAATCTATGTTGAATTCTATGGTAACAGCTCTCTGCATTTTATTAACCCTGCAAACAACCTCATAGAATATCCCATTTATAACTGAAGAAAATGAAGCTTGCCCAACTTCAGAGTATTTAAGAGCCAGAAATGAGTTCTTACTTGGGCATAATTGATCCCAAACTTTATCCCCACAGCCCACTTCCCAATCTGCACTGTTAGTTTTAAGTATCAGACGCAGTGACATAAAAATGGGGTCATTATCATTAAACTCTCATGACGTAGTAAAGAAAGCAGAATTTTCCGTTAGAAGGAAAGACAGTTCTGATGGCCCCTATTCTCCTTCTAACAGGAAAGAATCCCTTAACATTTCTGAGCCTTGGTTTATCTATATAAAATGAGAGGGTTGACTAGGCATCTCTTAGGCTTTTTACATTGTTTGTTTGTTTTTGTTTTTTGTTGTTGTTGTTGTTGTTTGAGACGGAGTCTGGCTCTGTCGCCCAAGCTGGAGTGCAGTGGCGGGATCTCGGCTTACTGCAAACTCCACCTCCCGGGTTCACGCCATTCTCCTGCCTCAGCCTCCCGAGTAGCTGGGATTACAGGCGCCCGCCACCGTGCCCG
This sequence comes from Homo sapiens, assembly GCF_000001405.40. Lineage (NCBI taxonomy): Eukaryota > Metazoa > Chordata > Mammalia > Primates > Hominidae > Homo > Homo sapiens. The sequence goes on from NC_000001.11 coordinate 71,656,575, forward strand.
TCTAATTTTTTGTATTTTTGGTAGAGACGGGGTTTCACCGTGGTCTCGATCTCCTGACCTCGTGATCCGCCCGCCTCGGCCTCCCGAAGTGCTGGGATTACAGGCGTAAGCCACCGCGCCTGGCCTTTACATTGTTAAAATTATGAAAACTTTTATTGTTGAGCTTCTATAGACCTGACACAAGGGGAACTCTCCTCATAAAAGAGAGAATTTGGTGTTCTATATCTATGGATAATTTAAGTAAAACCTTCAGAGTCTTAATTACCTGGATGCATCTTGTTAGGCTCTGGGATATTTTGATTTCGTTTTTCTAAATAATTGCAACATATCTCTAATTCATTTAACACATGGGTTGGGTGTCCCAAAATTGGCCCAAAGGTCATAATATTGCAGCATGGATATCTAATAATACTGTTTGGCTTCAAAAATAATAGCCAGGATTTGTCACATGGAATAAAGAAAGATGCAAGAGTATTGAGCAAGGAACCCCATGGACCACTGTAGTTTGATAAAGGAAATCTGAAACAGCAGTCCACAAAGAATGTCTTGAAATAGCTTTACACTCAGACAGTGAATCACAGTAGTATAAAGAACTAGTGAATTCTTTAAAAGGCAAACAAAACCTCATGTTTCTTCACAGGAACCATCTCTGGGAATGGGCTCTAACAATGGTTCAAAGGGATTCTGTCTCGACCTTTAAAGAAAATGTAATAAGTGTTGGAAAAAAGGCTCAAGATCAAGAATAAAATAAAATTCTCTGTGAAACATCACTTCTTTGGGGAATTAAATTCTCATGTTTGTCTCTAAACATCACACTAATAAATAACATGAATGCTCACTTTTTCATTGCTTTATGTCCCTATGAAACCAAATCGGAAGTCACAAAGATGCTCCAAAGTTTGGTTACTATATTTAGAAAGAAACATTTAGTTTTTTTCTCATTAGAAATATCCAACATGAAGAAACTAATTTAGAAACAAAAAAATCATTCAGGAAAGCATATTTTAATAATGGCAAACATAAAAGGCAAGGAAACATTGGGGTCTGGCAGGAGAAGGCAGCAGATGCCAACAAGTAGGAAAACAAACTTACAAAGAGCAGGCTGGGGACGCTAGCCATGAACTTTACATATGCCAGTTTTGATGGTTTGATCCTCCCTGGTGACTGCCCTCCTTTGATAATAGATAATGAGGAAAAAGTTTGTTACAACAAACTATTTGCAATACTTAACTAGTGCTTTCTTTCATAATACAGAAAAGAAATGTTTTCAAAATCTGTAGCTAGATTTGGAAGTAAATTAATAACTATAGCAGCACAGCAGCAAAACTGTATATTCTAGTACTCTTTCATAGTAACATTAACCTAAACAGTTTTAGTGACTTGTCCAAAATCCCACTGCTAAACATTCTTTTTTTCTCTCTGCCAAATGACTTATCTTTTTAATAACAATTCAAATGTCATCTCCTTCCATGATCCCTGCACAGCTCCAGCCAAACATAATTAATTGCCTCTTGCTCTATGCATTCAAAATATCATAAGCATATCTGTATTATGTTGAAAGTTGTTTTTACAATCTCTTACACTATATTAGAGAGTGAGCTCCTTGGGGCAGGAATTGTTCATTTATCACTAAATCCAAAATACTCAGCATAGTGTGTGACGTATAGCAATTGCCATAAGTTAAGGTTTTGTTTGTTTATTTGTTTAGGGAAAAATTGATGTATGATTATATTCTAAATAAAATGAGCTTCTTTCTGTTATCTAGATGTTTTATTATTTATTCATTAATTTGGCAATAACTATTGTCGTCCTTGGTTAGAAATAAACTACATTTTTTTTTTAACTGGTCCAAAGAATCCAGAAATCCACATTTTCAAGTCTGTGCCAGAATTATTTGCAAAGGTGCCAGATTTCTCAATTGCTTAATACGGGCCATGTGTTAAAGAACTGCTGAGTTGTTTATTACGGCAAATGGTGTCTATTGCACTTTCATCTCATGCATGTAATTTCTTTTTCTTCTGGGTGGGACATTTTTAACATGAAGACCCTGATTAAAAGTAGGTGTGTTTAAAAGTTAAATAAAGTAATACTAATAGACAATTAGAAAAGGGTACAAATAAAATTAAACAGAGTTTCTGAAAGTATATACCCTTATCTTAGATATTTTAAAATAACTTTGGAGATCTTGTTGAGGAACTGCAGACTGCAGTCCTTCTTAGAATTTTTAGAATTTCTTAGAATTTTTATACTTGACAGTTATGTAAAAACATTATTGTAGGTCACAAAACTATTATTCAAACTAATTGTTGAGTAAAACTAAAATGTGAAGTAAGGAGTTTCAGTTGAAAAGGAAATACTTAAAGGTCTTGATTATTATTTTTGTGTCATAACTGTTTAGATTATTAAATCTTGGATTTTCTGTAATATGCTTGACCCAATGTGATAAGACATCATTGGAGGAAGCGGACCTCATGGAAAGACCATTGGGTTGAGGTAGAAAGACTTTTACTGAAGTGCAGCTTTCTTACTAGTTCTTTAACCCTAGTCAAGTACTTAACTTCTCTGAGACTGGATTACAAACTGCTTTGAATCTTCAGAGGTTTTTGATTTTTTAATCTTCAGGGTTATTTGAGCAATGCAACCATAAAGAGTTAAGCCAATTGTGTGTTGTACAGAGGCCAAGAAAAAGAACAAACAGGCTTGAAACTCAGACCGCTCTTCAATAGCCAAATTGTGAGTACTGATGTTGAACTCCCCAATATGGATTACTCTTAAGTGTAAAACACAAAACTGTAAAAACTCTGGAAGACAACCTAGGCAATACCATACTGGACATAGGGGTGGGCAAAGATTTCATGACAAAGACACCAAAAGCAATCACAAACAAAAGCAAAAATTGACAAGTGGGATTTAATTAGACCTAAGATCTTCTATAGAGCAAAAGAAACTATCAATAGAGTAAACAGCCAACCTACTGAATGAAATAAAATATTTGCAAACTATGATCTGACAGAGGTCTACAATCGAGCATCTATAAGAAACTTAAATTTACAAGAGAAGAACAAACAACCCCACTAAAAGGTGGGCAAAGGATATGAACAGATACTTCTTGAAAGAAGACATGCATGTGGCAAACAAGCATATGGAAAAAAGCTAAATCTCACTGATCATTAGAGAAAGGCAAATCAAAGCCACAATGAGATGCCATCTCAAACCAGTCAGATGGCTATTATCAAAAAGTTAAAAAATAACAGATGCTGATGATGTTGTGGAGAAAAGGGAACACTTATACACTCTTTGTGGGAGTGTAAATTAGTTCAACCATTGTGGAAAGCAGTATGGTGATTCCTTAAAGAGCTAAAACCACAACTACCATTCGACCCAGTAATCCCATTACTGGGTATATACCCAGAAGAATATAAATCATTTTACCATAAAGACACATGCACATGAATGTTCATAGCAGTACTATTTGCAATAGCAAAGATATGGAATCAATGTAAATGTTGATCAATAGCAGATTGGATAAAGAAAATGTGGCACATAATATCATGGAACACTATGCAGTCATAAAAAAAGAACGAGATCATGTCTTTTGCAGAAACATGGATGAAGCTGGAGGCTATTATCCTTAGCAAACTAATGCAGGAACAGAAAACCAAATACCACATGTTCTTACTTGTAAGTGAGAGCTAAATGATAAGAACTTATGAACACAAAGAAGGAAACAACACACATTGGGGTCTGCTTGAGAGGGGAGGGTGAGAGAAGGGAGAAAAGCAGAAAAGATAGCTATTGGATACTGAGCTTAATACCTGGGTGATGAAATCATATGTACAACAAGCCCCTGTGACACGTGTTTACCTATATAACAAACATTCACATGTACCCCTAAATATAAAATAAAAGTTTAAAAAAGAAAAAAAAGTCTCTTTACAGAGTTTTATATCCTCAGGGCTGCAACTGCTCATAGAAAGTATGTTTTTGTAATTCATTCAATGTGTTCACATAAGCTAGATGAGGCTCTGATTCTGAAAACAAAAACAGAAACAAAACCACAAACCATAGCTGTGGAATTCTACACATATCTAACAGATTACTAATTTTGAACATCTTGGCTTTTTCTTCTTATTATTATTATTAAACTTTAAGTTCTGGGATACATGCGCACAACCTGCAGGTTTGTTACATAGGTATACACGTGCCATGGTGGTTTGCTGCAGCCATCAACCCGTCATCCACATTAGGTATTTCTCCTAATGCTATCCCTCTCCTAGCCCCCTACTACCTGACAGGCCCCAGTGTGTGATGTTCCCCTCTCTGTGCCCATATGATCTCATTGTTCAACTTCCACTTATGAATGAGAACATGCAGTGTTTGGTTTTCTGTTCCTGTGTTAGTTTGCTGAGAATGATGGTTTCCAGCTTCATCCATGTCCCTGCAAAGGACATGAACTCATCCTTTTTTAGGGCTGCCTAGTATTCCATGGTGTGTATGTGCCACATTTTCTTTATCCAGTCTAACATTGATGAGCATTACGGTCGGTTCCAAGTCTTTGCTATTGTGAACAGTGCTGCAATAAACATACATGTGCATGTGTCTTTATAGTAGAATGATTTATAATCCTTTGAGTATATACCCAGTAATGGGATTGCTGGGTGAAATGGTATTTCTAGTTCTAAATCCCTGAGGAATCACAAGGAAACAACAGATGCTGGACAGGATGTGGAGAAATTGGAATACTTTTACACTGTTAGTGGGGGTCTTTTATAAGGCACATTACAGCAGCTGGATCACCACACCAGGGACAAGCTAATTGTGCTTTAATTTAACTGTATAATGTAAAGGATGAGTATTCTACATGTAGTGCAAACTCTGTTTTTCCATTCTGCAAATAAACTCTAGTAGAGATGTTTATCTAAAGGATGGACAAGTGAAAATGTAATAGAAATTTTTACAATTTACTGGCTTTCTACCATATGACACAAATATTATGTATATTGTCTCTAATCCCTATGACAGTCTTGTCATATAAATCTTATGACCCCCGTTACAAATAAAATAAGTACATGTTCAAAGTCAGATAATCAGAATGTGAAAAATGAGAATTAGAACACAAATTGATCTGATGCTAAGTTCTGTGTCCCTTCTTTTCATACTACCATCTAGCCTAACTATATTAATAGAGTTAAAAATATTTCTCCCATTATTCTACCTCTTAGTAGTTCTACAGCTTCAGGCTAGGTGCTTAGAAGAAACTGTATCATGGAGATTAGGATTTTAGCCTCAGGAACCAAAAAGATGGTTTTACAAACCCAACTCTGCCACTAATCAACTGTGTGACTGGAAAATGATTTAACCTCCTTTTGTAGAACAAGGATAAGGGTAGTACCGACTACCTCTTAGACTGCTGTAAAGATTAAATGAAATAACATATGTAGAGTTGTTAGCACCATGTCTGGCACATAATAAATGGTCAATGAACTTTTTATGGGAAGCAGTATCATCTAGGACTTAAGTGAGCAGGTTTTAGAGTCTGAAGAAATTTGTGGTTTAAATCCAAGTTCTGCCATTAACTAGGTGCAAGACCTTGAACAAATTATTTGATCACTCTAAGCCTCAGTTTTCCTCATTAGTAAATGGAAATAACATCACAGACTATCTCACAATAATTGGGAAAGAATTAAATAAGCAAAAATAATCACACTGCCAGTAGGGTTTTGAACTATCCACAGGCATAGATGTTTTTGTTATTATCATTCTCAGATTTAGTGGCATCTAAAGGAATTTGGAAGTGGTTATGCATGGAGAACGGAACTCAAAAGCAGCTATTGAGAATAGCTCCTCCCTTTGTTGTAAACTTGCAAATACTGAGGCATATTCAGGCATTATCACACCTTAGATTTATAGACTGAACCTTGGTTCTACCATTTATTAATAAGATATTTAAGTTTTTTGAGCCTCAGTTTTTTCGCCTGAAAAAGAGTATTATTAATAATGGATGTATTGCATAATTACCCTGTCCATCAGAAGTGATTTTAAAGTACTTTGCATACAGAAAATTATAACACAAATGTGATTATATTTATAACGTCAAAATATATACAATCAAGAATATATATATAATATTATAAAATAGAAATGGAAATACACACGGAAAACATTTCTATAAAATTATATTGATGTGAAACCCCTTAGTATCTCATAGATGACTTTTAAAAATGTAACTAAAACTAGTTCAGTTTTATTAAAATTTATATGTACACATGACAACTTTTCATTTATACAGAAACGCCTAAAATATATCAAAGTATTTATATCCAGTAATATCTACCCACTCTCTGGAATTAATTACTTCTACCAGTTTTGTTTTTTAGTGTTTTTTTTTTCTTTCTTTTTTGAGACGGGGTCTCGTTCTGTCTCTCAGGCTGGAGTGCAGTGGCACGATCTCGGCTCACTGCAAGCTCCGTCTCCCGGGTTCATACCATTCTCCTGCCTCAGCCTCCCGAGTAGCTGGGACTACAGGCGCCTGCCACCATGCCTGGCTAATTTTTTTGTATTTTTAGTAGAGATGGGTTTTCACCGTGTTAGCCAGGATGGTCTCTATCTCCTGACCTCGTGAGCTGCCTGCCTCGGCCTCCCAAAGTGCTGGGATTACAGGCGTGAGCCACCATGACCGGCCATTTTTTAGTTTTTTTATAGTGGTTACGTGTGCAACTTGAAATAGCATATTATTGCAGCTTCTACATCTTAATTCTTATCATGTTATTATTTTATATTTTTAATATTTGTACAATGCTTATTTTTTAAACTATACTTGCTTCTTTGTCTATATGCTGAACCTAGTAATTTAATTCAACAAACTCAATCTTTGCAATTTTATGAATAGATATTCTTAATTACAAAAGAAAAAATGTGTTTTGCTATGTCATAAAACCCTTACTTCTGAAGAGATATTCCAAAATGCCAAAGTCTACTGGAATCCCATTGAATTATTTTTGCATTTCTTTTGCTTTTGTCAGTTCATTCAGTTGTCGCTTTTTAATTTATCCCATGCCATCTTCTTTCTGATAGTCTTTTACAATTTTACTGGAGTACCTCTTTAGAAAATTGAACTCAATTCTGTCTTTGCCTATTTTTAAATATCTCCGTGTGCCTTCATACATGATTGATAGTTTGGTTTTATGAAATTCTAGGACCAAAATATTGTTTTATAGTTGTTCATGCATATTATTGAAGGACTAGGTTTGTGAATTTGGGCAACAGTTATAGCTTTCCTCTGCAGGTGGATAAACCTGTTTCTCAGACTTCTCTCTTGAAAAGGTAGCTGTCTCTATTGAGAGTTAATTATGGATTCTATACAAGCAATATACTGACTGGTCACTTCCATTTTAGAATGCATGAAGGTAAAATTTCCATACGTGCTGGGATCCTTAAATGTCAAAATAAGAGTTGGTTTTAGTTCAATGATGGAAACATCTAGTGAACTTCTCTCTCAAGTATAGCTGACATCCTTTTTGTGTGTGATTTAATTTGTATTATCATTTCTTCTATTCACATATGGCAGTTTCAAACCCTACTCCTTTCTTAGATCCTTGCATCTGTACCACAAGCTCACTGTATGTAGAAAATTCTCTTCTTAGAATACAATGCCTTTACACTGAGTGAAAGCATGTGGGATGAACAAATGGAGCACCACCATGGCAGCTGACCTACAAATAGTTCTTTCATTAATTACTGCAATGTTTGCCAGAAGATTCTGATGTTAGAACATGATGTTTCTGAATTTGGATATGGTAGTTCCTATCCTTGTAATTTCTATTATTTTCCACTTCAATCTAATTTTTTCTAATACTTTTTCTTGTAAGATATTTTACAATTTCCAGTTTTCCATGGCCTCCCTCTCCTGACCAAGACTATTATGATTTTCTTAAGTTTTTTACATATCTTTTTTGTGTGATTTCCATGGGAATTTAGAAGAGAAGGGAGGGAGATGAGTGTGTCAGATTTGCTATTTTGTACTAAAATAAATAATATTAAATCAATTAAATTTGGTTTGAACAGAATTTATAATGAAACCTTATGAAAATTCATCAGTTTCCTTTGCCTTACTATCAGTCAAAACCCTCTCAGTGCTATTTGGCTTCTTTGAGAAAAAAAAATATATATCTCTTTGGTAAGGTTAGAGTATATTTTACAAAATATCTCTTTGTGTTTCTGACACCCTTTTCCCCTTGATCTGTTTAAGTTGATCCTACTATTGCAGCAGAATAGTAGGCTGCCATTTGGACTTACTTTATCTAGAGAAATGTAAGTTTCTGGGGTAGATAACCTTTAATAAGAAGGTATAAACATACATTTTCTATTAAACCTTCCTTTGGAATGACTATCCAAATGTGGAAATGACTTAAGTCCAACAATATCAGGCCAAAGTAAAATAACTGTCAAAAGGTTAGGTCAGCAAAAGAAAATTTAATAACAGCATATCAAATATTTACCAAAGCTATTTGCAAAGTTAAATCATTCATGAAAATATATTAAACACTTTTAAATAGGCTGGCTTTCATGTGAAAAATGAAGGATACTTAAAAGTAAAAGTATAATATTCTGCAATAATAAAGCTAATTTTTCTAAAACTATAGTTTTCTTTACACAGCATTTTCATTCATCTTTGCTGTCTGGGGATAAAAATACACTTCACCTCAGTTAAATTCTGAAGTTCAATGTACTTCCTATTGACTTTAAATTACAGAGAACTTGTGGAGTTCCTGCAAAGAAAATAGAGGTATATGTTAAACATGGGGAAATGGGCAGGGTTACAATATCCCTGAGAGATTTCTATTAAGCCTGTGCCATATTCATTCTATAAACATGTGTTGGATCCTGCCATGTGACAAACAGGAGGATAGATGCAAGGACTACAACATGGTTTCCCCACTTGAGAAACTCATCTTCAGCTTTGCTTGAATACTTGCAGTGACGTAGCACCCACACTCAATAAGCAGCCTGTCCCATTGTTGAACAATTCTAAATTAGAGAGATTTGTTTCCCTTACATTGAGCTCCATCATTCTTCACTAAACTCTTAACCATTCATTCTAATTTTTTCTTTGAATCTACACCAGTGTTTATTCCTCTTTTCATACAGTGGAGCGCCATTTATTTGGAGACTGATTATAGCTTCCTAAAGCCTTGTTTTTCTGGAATAAACATTCACAATTAATTAAATTATATCTTATAGATAGAACACGTGTTCCATACCTCCTATGGCTCTAGTTATCCTCCTCTAAGAGTATGCATTTTGTTTTGAACCTCAGTTGGTTCTTTGGTGCCTACAAGATAAAGTCAAAATTCTTATACAGGACTCATTCATTTCTTAAATGAGTAAATGTGTTTATTTGACAGAGCTTGTGCTTGATGTCTTGGATTCAATAAAAAACTAGAGACAGCCTCTACCTTCAAGAAGTTAACGGTTTAGTCAACTGTCTCATTCCATGTTACCCTCCACTAATATTAAACACTATCACTGTTCCTCCATGTGAATGCACAAATGAACGTAAATACTTCAGATAATCTGATTTTCTAAAACTTACCATCACTCAAGAACATTATATATGACTCACTTGCAAGTGATAGTTCTATTTTTTTTACAATTTTTCTATTACGAAAATAGTTAAAATGCTTTTTTAGGATTTTCAAGACCACTCCTAACAATAGTCATTTGCATTAAAAACACGGGTCTCAAACGAAAATAATTCCTTTCTTGAAGCCACAGGCTAAGAAGGCCCTTGGTTGTAAATGTGTAAAAAGTACCCATCATGGAAATAGAATAGTAAATTGTTTTAGAAGCTAAAGCATAGGCACTCAACCAGCATTAAAAATGAAACATACAAACACCCACCTTGGATCTGTTACTGCAGATCTTTATTTCAATTGAGGTATAGAATAGGCAGTGTTTACCTTTGGAAATACCACTGAAGCCTTTCACAAACATATGTACCATGTCCATCGCTAAATATTTCAAATCTGAACTGCAATTATATTGGGATTTACTACAAATCTATCTAGCAGTGTTAACTACTCAGTAGTAAAAGTTCACTCTCCTTTTGTTCTGTAAATTTATGGCAAAGTATAGATCTTGTTGTTTCTCCAAAGGTTTAACATACCAGAAAAAGTTCTGCAGACAGGGCTGAGTAACTCCTGGATTTCATCATACTTTAAAGTATAATTTTGAATGATTTTTTTAAGTTTCATTGCAAACCACATTCAACCCAAGATTTATTTTTCTACTAAAGCCATTCTATTATTTTCCAACTATAAAAACAGTCAGAAAAATGTCTCATGACCTCATACTTAACCAATTTCCAGTTTTCTGCAAGCATCTATCTGTAGATATTAACAAATATTTTGTCTGGTATTAACATTTCTACTATTATAGTATACATTTCTACAGGAAAAAAATTATATCTGGTCATATAATGAAGTCCATAACACAAAAGAAATGTGAGCAGGGCTGTACAGAGAAGGCAGTGTCACCCATGTTACACGTGCCCTAACAGAACAGGTGAGTAAACAGAATTTTAGCAAATGCAAAAATCACATAATTTATTCCTTGGTAGGTGTAAGGTTAGAAACACAAGAGTTTAGTCTTCGATGTGACTCTTGTGAATCAGTTGAAAAGTAAATTCTGAATGTTTTTAGTAATTCAATACAACCTGCCACAATGACAGTCAAATCTGGTTTCTCAGAATGGTAATGAATTAAGCTCTTCTGTGCAATTATGCAATAAAACCAAGGTCTGTGAAATACACAGAAGCGAGACTGTGAATGATAGCTCTAGAAATATGACACCAGATGGAAAAATCAGTGTTGCAATCTGGTGGCATGAGGGACAGAGCCCTGGGTGGGATTGGGAGATCTGGGTTCTAGCTCCAATTCTACACCCTGGTGTCTGGTAAGAGACAGCTGTGTAAATGGGGGAAAATGTAGTACAGAGTTTCTGGGAAGGTCTTAAAGAAAATAGTCTTTTACTTCATAATTTTGTTCAAGGCAAAGAGGAAGCCAGAATAATGTGTCTCAACAGTGTGTTGTTTGATCAAATCTTACTAAAATTTTTAATTTACCATTGAATTTAGTATAGCAAAATTTCTAAAGGCACAATCTCCAAAGCTTGACTATCGGGTTCAAATCTTTCCTTATCCTCACTAGCTTTGTGAGTGTGGGCAAGCTATTTAACTCCTAGTGTCAGTTTCTCACTTGTAAAATAAGGGTCATATTAGGTTGCAAAGAATTAATCTTTGCTCAGAGCTTACAAAAATATTTTGCATGATTTATGCACTGTATACATTTTAACTATTATAGGTATTGTTAATACATATGAAAGTAGCATATAATGTAGTCATAATACATATGAATGTATTATAACTAAATCAGTTTATGTTTTTTCCCTTTTTTGCCAAGATACTCAATATTTTCTGTTATCTATTTTTTGTCTTTAAATACATGCTAGGAACTAACAGTTGAAACCATTATTTTCATTGGGTTTAACTAAATATTTTCCTGATAGGAATATCTTTTTTGTGTGTCATCTGGTCATGTTTGAACAACCCTCAGTTTATCACAGAGGTTCATTCAGCTGGTAAATTGTCCATTACCCTTGCTCTTCTTTCTCGTGGGAGAAGAATGCATCCATATTTGGCCAGAGAAAACTGAAACTCCTTTTATTAGAGGAAGAGCCAGGTAATTAAAGCCTGTGCCGTTCCCTGGGTAGCAGTGGAAGCAGCAATTGAGAGCTAGAATGTCATCTTTTTGTTACTGCCAGGCTGATAGAGGAGGATAGAGCCAAATGCTTTTTAGTACAACGATGAGCAAACAGGAGAATTAAAAGTTAGGGTTAGGGCTCATTGGATAACTATTCTTTTTTTAATTGATAGAATATTTGCCTTTGAGAGAGAAACGTCGTTAAAGCTTCATTGGTACTGGAAATAGCAGTTCCACAGGTCTCAGTAGTGGGAAGATAAAACGTGACTGAAAGGACTTATATTCACTTTATCTTGGGGCCTAGAGTGCATCCTTTACCTAGAGCCTGAAAACATCAGATATCTAGATGACAACTGATATTTCCTGGAAACCCAGGAAAAGAACAAAAAATGAGAATGCCTTGTGTAGAAGGGTTGGCATTTTCGTAAGGCAGGGGAGAAAGTCTTGCAGAAGGACATACCTGTGATTTTTGGTGAGAATATAAGGATGGAGAGCTAGGCAGGGAATGGAGGGAATGTTCCCAAGGGCAGTCTGCTTGGCGTGAGCTAACATCTTGACATGTGTCAACGTATGTTGACTGTGTTGTTTTATATAATTCCTGATTTTTTTTGGTTTGCTTGTTATATCATTTATCTGCTGAGAGAGGTTTGTGAAAGTCTTCCAAATGACTGTGGATTTGCCTATATCTCCTTTTACTTATATCAATTTATGCTTTATATATTGCAATGTTGTGTAATTGAGTACATGTAGATTTAGAATTTTTATATATTCCTAGCTGTAGACCGCTTTAATATTATAAAATGTCCCTTTCTTCTCATAATGCTTCTTAGCTTAAAGTCTAATTTGATATTAGTAAAATTATACCAACATTTATTGGTTCATGTTTCATGATCTATCTCTTTCTATGCTTTTAAATTCAATGCAGGATCCTGCTATTTAAAGTGTGTCTGGACAGTCTTTTAATTAGAATATATATTCTATTTACTTTTAATGTATATAATAAAATGTTTGGGTATATAGCTATCATAATTCTACTTGTTTTTTAAAATCTACTTATTTTGTGTTCCATTTTCTCTTCTTTTTTACTTTCTGTAGAGTAGCTATTTTTATTATATTATTCTTTCTCAATAACTTTTTTAGTTTAGAATATGTTACTGTCTTTTGATGTTTTTACTGGATAGTCAAGCTTGCAGCCTTGAATTACTGAAGTTAAATTTCAATTATTACTTTTACAATTTCACCTACAATGCTAGGGCCTTAGGACACTTTAGTTTTATTATTCTTACTTTTATGTCATTGCCACCATATATTTTAATGCTACGTAACTTTTTTTTTTGAGATGGAGTCTTGCTCTGTTCCCAGGCTGGAGTGCAGTGGCGCGATCTCGGCTCACTGCAACTTTCGACTCCCTGGTTCAAGCAATTCTCCTGCCTCAGCCTCCTGAGTAGCTGGGATTACAGGCATGTGCCGCCATGCTCAGTTAATTTTTGTATTTTTAGTAGAGATAGGGATTTCACCAGGTTGGCCAGGATGGTCTCGATCTGACCTCATGATCTGCCCACTTTGGCTTCCCAAAGTGCTGGGATTATAGGCGTGAGCCACCGCACCTGGCCAATCCTAGGTAGTATTTTAATATTCTAAAACATTATTACTAGTGTTTGGGATGGTCATTATTTGTTTATATATACTACATATTTACCCTTTCCATTATTCTTCATTCTTTCCTTCCTTTCTCCGTTACCATTTGTGATTATTTTTCTTCTGCCTGAAGAACATTTTTAGGTTTTCTTCCAGGGCTCATCTACCAGTGATGAATTATCTTGGCTTTGCTTTATCAGAGAGTATTCTTATTTGTTTTTATTTTTGAATAATCTTATAGGGAATATACAGTTCTAGTTTGTGCTTTTTTAAGCAATTTAATGTTATCTTTCCATGTTCTTATAGATTTCATTAATTTGTTGAAAAATTTGCTGCCTTGTTAATGTTCTTTTGAAGATATTGTGTGTGTGTTTGTGTGTGTGTGTGGTTGTTTTTAAGATTTTCTCACTGTATTTGTTTTTCAGAAGTTTGCCTATGATGTACTTAGCATAGATATCTGTGTATTATCCTTCTGGTTCATACATTTTTTGTTGTTGTTCTTGAAACCTTGAGTTCATGTCTTCCAACAATTTTGAAAAAGTCTTAGCTATTATGAGTCAAACAATTTTAATAAGTTGTAACAGTTTTTTACTTTTTTTTTTGAGATGGGGGTCTCACTCTGTTGTCCACACACAATTTCAGCTCACTGCAACCTCTGCCTTCCTGGCTCAAGTGATCCTCGAGTCATGAACATGGTTGTGTGCCAGGCTTAATTCTTCACCAGTATTTTCTTTCTTGGATCGTGAATCTTTACACATCCATTTTGTCTCCTCAGCTCTGGAAAAATTTCAACAACAATTCTGTTTTTTTCTGGCCCATAGATATGTCTCTCTGATCAAATCAGTATTCTCAGGCTCCTGCCCTCAACCTCAAATCAGCAGATGCCTAGAATAAAAAAGGCTGCAGAATGCTAACTCACAACACACACACACACATACACACACACACACAGAGTATTTGCCTCAGTGGCTTTTTGATGCCTTTAAATAATTTTTTTGGTGAATTTCATTATGAGCATGAGTCTACCTCAAAGCACTTTGTCACTGTTGGACACTGAACTCAAAGAAGGTGAAATTTTAATATGCGAATTATAACTATTTATTGTTATATTTTTATACTTTAACTTTGCAGTAAAAGAACTTTATATTGTCATCACTATTAGGTTTGTTAGTCTACTTGAGGTTGATGGGACAATATGATAGGGAAAGGTGAGAACAATTCCACTTGATTTGTCGTGGTTCCAGAATATAAGAGACTGTGGTCCTGTAATGTATGATTAACCTTGCTCCTGGCAGTAGAGGGCTAACTCACTTGGACACACTGGAGAAGACCAAAGAGGAAGAAAAAGTAAAGAGCAACCTTCAGACTGCCCTTAGTAAACATCATCTTTGAGGGGTAAACAGGGTAAAATGAAGGAAACTGGCAAAACCTGGGCTACACTTTTAATAATGCACTGAAATAAGGGGAAATTGATAGAAAGAAAGCATAAATGATACAGTTTGAAAGACAAATATGTAAACAAAGAGGAAATAACAGGAATAAAATTGTAAAGGGAAAAAACTATTTTAGGGTATTATACTCAAGTAATGATTTCCAGGTTATTGTTCATAAGCCAGCCATCTTGCCAAGTTCATCACAATCTCAACTCCATCTTGGTCAGCCATCCTTTATCTTTCATCACATTGCCATTACAGTGTCTGTATCTGATTGTCTGATAAATACCATGGCCAGGGTTCTTCTCACTGGTCTCTATTCTGTTCAACCTTCTTTGACTGCAACTGTACTTTGGCAATCATGGGTCCCCGTTAGTACCCAATTAATCATACTTGCCAGACAACATCTTATTTAACTACTCTCACTGGATGTTTTATTATTTTTGTTTCAATTTTGAAGGCATATTTTATTTCTGTTCTCTCTCTCTCTTTTTTTTTTTTTTTTTTGTTTTAAGAGACAGCTCTCATTCTATTGCCTAGGCTGGTCTCAAACTCCTGTCCTCAAATGATCCTCCTGCCTCAGCCTCGCAAAGTGGTAGGATTACAGGTGTGAGCCTTCACACCCAGCCCTACTTCTGCTCTCTATTTCAACCATAGTAAAAACTCTACTATTGAAAGTAACATTAGTGATACGGAGCATGCCAAATATCTGCTATCATAGCTAAATATATTCAAAGATTGAAGGCTTACCAGTTCATTATTGGTTTCTGGATTTAATACCTTGCTGTTGAGAAAGTTTGGGGATATAAACCATAGACACAATAGTCACAATGTTATCGCTTTGTAAAAAAAATTAAGAATGCTTTGGGTGAAGACAAAATTAAATTAGATAAAATTATTGCATTCATTAAAAATTAAAACATGTGACATCTTTGTAACATTTAGAAAGTTAAGACACTCATGAGTAGCATTTAAAACATACATTCCAAAGATTATCTATTGTATTCCAAAGATTATCTATTCTATTAAGGCAGAGACCAAGTCAATCTTGTTCACCATTGTATATCCAGATCCTGGCAGAGTGATATATTATAAATCCTTAATAAATATTTGTTAAATCAATCAATAAATGAAAGGGAAATGGTGGTGTCAGCAGGGTCAATTAATCAGTGTGCTAGTCTCCAAAATATCTCAAAGTCCTTAAAATGGGGATATGATCTGTGATTACCCAATAAAGGGAAACAGTGCTCAATGTTTGCCAAACTTAAGTTTCAGAATAGCACCTTGTGGTAAGCACTTTGACAGACTTAAAAAAAATAAAAAACCCAGGGCTATTCCTTGAGACAAAGCTAAACTGACATCAGAAAAATATAGTTGGTGTCAATAAATTATAAAATAATAAAACTAACAGATCATGAATGAGCTAGGATGAGAGTATGTTAAATTGGGAATTAATGGAATCCAGCACACAACACCTAACGGCTTGGCGGGATGTTGAGGACATTGTGGGATTTGAACCCAACAAAAGCCACTTAGAAACTGTATCCATGGCCGGGTGCGGTGGCTCATGCCTGTAATCCCAGCACTTTGGGAGGCTGAGGCGGGCGGATCATGAGGTCAGGAGATCGAGACGATCCTGACTAATACAGTGAAACCCCATCTCTACTGAAAATATAAAAACAAAATTAGCCTGGCATTTTGGCGGGCGCCTGTAGTCCCAGCTACTTGGGAGGCTGAGGCAGGAGAATGGCGTGAATCCAGGAGGCAGAGCTTGCAGTGAACCAAGATCATGCCACTGCACTCCAGTGCATCTCCAAAAAAAAACAACCCAAAAAACTGTATCCATATACTATGTCCAGGACATCAGCCTATTATCATACTAATGGGTATCTTTGTAAACAAGTTAACCAGGCATTGAAGTGTAGACAAGAGAGTCCATATATATTATCCTTTGTTCACACTTTATCAATTCAACATTCAACAGAAATATGTTTAATTCCTTTTTCATGTCTGACACTGAAGATACACAGTAAATTTTAATACAACTTGGTTCCTGCTTTTATGGAGCTTATGATTTAATATAAGAGACAGCTAGGAAAACAAATTACTCTAATAAAGCATTATAGGATCTAGGATGGTTTGTTCATGAATATCAGTTCCCTCAAAATTGGAAACATTATTTCTCTTAAGGGAGAATATTTTTTCCCTTAAATATTGAAAGTAAAGTATACCAAAAATTCAGAAATCCTCAAACAATTTTAGTCCCAAATAATCTGTTTTAGGACACTAATGGGCATGTTACATTTAACTTGTGACAATATGTGAAGCAATCAAATCAATGCTTATAGTAATTACACAGAGCAGAAGCCCATATGCATTTATTTCCATTAATGATATTTTTTTTTACTAACGAATAAATATTTGTCAAGCTTCTACTATGCTCTAAACACAGTTCTATGGAGCTCAGTCTTTATGGAGAACATAGACATGTGGACGAATTACAGAGAAATTTAGAGGTTACTGTTAGAAAACATTTTTGTACTTTTTTGAATTTTTACAATTAAATATTAGTATTAGTTTTATATTAATATAAGAATACAACTGTTGGTATTTAACGTGAAAAATAATCTCTCAACATTTTCTTTCTTAACACTAAAAACACAGCTTTGAAAATTGTATTTATTTCTCAAAAGTCATATGCTGGGTAGCACCATTTATTTCTTCTATTATCAGACAAATGAGTGACCTAGATATATTCTTCCCAGGTTGTTAATAAAATATGTTTATAAACTATCTGGAAGTTTCACTTCTTTCCACTCAAATGCAAACATCTATATAAAATCAACATCTATCACCATTTTAAATAAGTCAAAGAATGAGTCATGTAATTTGTCACCTGCAGAAATACCTTGATAACTGCAAAATGAGCATTAAATCAATGAATCAAATATGCAAGAAAATCTCAATCCAGGACACACTGATACTGCCCATGCACGTATTATTGCATTCACTAGACATTACAGCTTACTGAACTATTCCTTTCTCATAAAAGATGGCATATATTTTGTTGCCTATGCTGTTTAGACTTTGTATTACATTAGCTATATAACAATTCTAGGTAGTGAATATTTTCATAATCCTTTGGCCCAATCGAAATACTCTGCAGGCTTTTGCTGGGAGGGCACACACACACACACACACACACACACACACACAAATGTATACAGTACTTAGCACTGTATTCTAAAATGTGTGATGTTCCGGTTAGCTTTTTCAATGAGTTAAGAGGACAAATGTGTAGACGAGATTGCTTTCAATGAACAATGTTCTTTCTATCACATTCTTTGATGTCACTCAGATGTAACCTTATCAGAAAGGGCTTCTCTGAACATGTTATGTAAAATAGAGTTTCTGTATCACTTTTTATCTAACTTTTACTTTTTTTCTTTCATAGCATGAATCACTATCTGGCATAGGATATATTTGTTTAATGTATGTTTTCATCCAACAGAATGTAGGCACCTTGAAACCTGCCTGTTTTGTATTCTTAGCAACCTTACCTAACACTTGTAACATTCCAACACTGAATAAAGAAAAACTGAATATATACCAGATGTTGTATATATTGCATAAATATATATGTGATACATACGTATGTGATCTATATATGTGATCTATATATGCAATATATAAAATGCATGTTTATTCATATATATATATATACACACACACATATGAATTCTTAGAAGCAATATTTAAAGCAGGTGTTAGCATGCCCGGTTAATAATTAGGGAAATAGCATTCAGTTAAGTAAACCTTCAGGTATAGAGTTAAGTGCCTTTGAACTCAGGTCTGGTCTGACACTAGACCTACTACTCACTTTGCATGAATACCCAGGAGTCCTTGCATAAAAACATCCATGGCATTCTGAGTCACTCTATGGGAGCAGTACAAGAATAATTTCCCATTCACCACTAGATCAGCAAGAAGAGAGAGAAAGGTATATATAGATGTAGATATATAGCTATAGATATATACAAATATAGATATAGATATATGTGTATATCTATATATCTATATGTATCTCCCTCTCTCACTCTCTCTCTCTCTTTATATAGAGAGTGAGAGAGAGAGAGAAAGACAGACAGAGAGAGAGAGAGACAGAGAGATAAAGAGAGCATGCATGAGGAAAAATCTGTTCTTGGCATCTGGGATTATGAGTTTGAACTTGGATTGTAGTTTTCAAAGAGATAGTTAGAAACTGACGTGTACTACTAAGAGGAAACCAAACATGAATAGGGTATACAGAAAAAGAAACCAAGTTCTTGTTCAAAGGGACATAATTTCAGTCTCTCTAGTTTTTTGGTTTTTGTTGTTGTTGTTTGTTTTTTGTTTTTTGTTTTTTTTTTCCTTAAGAGACAGGGTCTTGCTCTGTCACCCAGGCTGGAATGCAGTGTTGTGATCATAGCTCACTGCTGCCTCTGACCTCCTGGTCTAAAGTATCCTCCTTCCTTGGCCTCTCAAAGTGCTGGTATTATAGGTGAAAGCCACCTGCCTGGACCGATTTTAGTTTCTATACAGATACTAAACAGGTGTTTGACTTCCACCATGTTACCTACCAAATTTTATAGAATTCAGTTATTACATTTGCAATATAAAATAATATTTACAATGTAGGATGACGATGAGAGTTAAAATAATCTTATTTTGTATGTAAGTATTTTGTAAGGTCTAAATTTTAATTAATCTTATTTGGGAAGAGGGTTCCAAGCCACTAAGGACACTTTTTGTGTGTGTGTGAACATACTGTGAATTAGGGACCATCATTATTTTGGAAGTTATTATTAAGAAAAATGTTCTTCTATTATGCCTCAGAGGTTTTGTGGTTTAATTATGAAAATATGGGGAGTCAATGTCTTCTAAATTTTAACTCTCAACTAAAAACTATTATCGTCTGGTAAAAAAATGATCTTGTGGCCTCATTTCATATCTTTGCTAAACCTCAAGCACCAGTGCGCTACAAACAATAGAAATCCATACAAATATGGTAGCAGTACAATGAAATGATTGCTGTAAGACAAGGAAACAGCAACAATAACAATGAACTATAAGTGATCTCCCATGCAGTAGGATTCCTTCAACCATTGTTGGGTGTCAGAAATTTCTTCAACCGTTGTTGGGTGTCTTGCTTGGTAAAAATTTTCTAAGCAGATATCTCCACCATACTGCTAACCATTATCTCTTCTCAATGTAACCCACAGGGTGTGTCACAGGACTTTGCTTACTACTCTTTTCTTGTCAGATATAGCTGTCTGATAAAACAGATAAAAATGTCAAATAATTTACTCTCTAAGCCCCCTTTATAGATCATGGATGCAAGAAAGAGAGAAGAGATATTTCAAAAAAATTCTGAGTGAAGGAGGACATTTTAAGCAAACAGCTATTAGAATGCAAATGATAAATGTCATGACTGGCAATCACCCAGCATATTAAGACTGAGGGTAGCTCATTTGGTAGATTTTCACTGGAAGGAGTGTAAGTTGCAGTTTAAAGCTTGGGCTTTCCAATTAGACATATCACCCTTCCCATTATGAAGTGTATGACCAACTATGTGTGAGTTACTTGAACTTCATTTATTTCATCTGTGAAATGGAGATAATGATATCTACTCTCTTGGTTTATTGTAAAGATTAAATAAGATAATATATGTAGGCTGTTTAGCTCCAAGCTGGTGCATTGTTGGCCTTCTATAATGATGGTCATTATTCTGCCACACATGTTCACAGGGCAGCCCTCTGTTTCCATTTCCATCCTCCATGATTCATTGATGGTGACAGGAGCCATTTGTTCCCACAATCTGGTCTCCGGATAGGATAAAATCGTAATTTACTACCACCCAGACAGCATTATCTTTACTGCATGCTTCTTAATGATTAACAATCAATTACAATATCATCCTTTAAATCCAATTCATAGCACTGTCAAATGATTATGTACTATAATTAAATTAATGATATTGAACTTTAATTTGAGTTGCATGGCTGCTTTTATTTGATTTCTGCTACACTCACTGAGTGAACATTGGGTTCTTGTGTAAAGTTATCATATTTATTTTACAGCCACAAAAGAGCAAACCCTTAATATAATTTAAAAAGATAACCACAAATAGGAATATTTCCACATGAGCCCATTTGGAGGTTCACATTTGCTATTCATTAATTTAGGCTTTGACAATTTAACATAAATTAAAATAAAAGCCTGTTTCACGGAGCATGTGTTTCATTCTTCACTGTCTCAGCATGACCACGCTGATTCTGGGGTTTAGTAATGTCCTTAAACATAATTTACAAGTGAGAAAGTTAGTGAGGCTGGAGGAATGCATGTATAACTTGCAGTCTAGCTTCGTATGACATTAAAATCTTGTTAATCTGAGACTCGAGTTGTGAAGAAAGAATCAAGATTATTAAGCATAAATCAACGTTTGCCTTATAAAATGCAATGGAATATGCTAATAAGATTTACTGTTAACAGGAAGTTGGATTATAACTTATCTATTTTAAGTCAGTTTGAACATTTGCCTCAAAATTTGTGTCCTGAGATGGACTGAGCCTCAGATTCCATTACTTTATTTTTTATTTTTACAGAGCACATGCAGATACATGATGACAGATCATGACAGATCTGTAGGGCATGGTAAAAAAAAGAAGAAGTATGCACACACCTCCAAAACAATGTATGTAAACAAATTACAAAATATGCATAATTGTACTTATACTACAAGGAAAGATAGGAAGCTCATTGTTTGTGTCTAGTTCAAGGTAATCAAAAGGGGGTAAAGGCAATTTTGAACCAGATAATTTTCATATATGTATTTGGAACATTGAGCAAGTATGAACATATGTAAACTGAATATATTAATAGCTTTTCTCTTTACTACTTTACAATGAAGCTTAGCATCTGTTTTGTCAGTTAATTATATGTCATGGTAAAAATGTGATTTATTCTATAACAAAACAAGTATAATACAGTAAGTAATGAACTTTTTGTTCAGAATTTATCTTAAATGCTCACATGTGGACACTCCCCGAGTGATTGGCCATCAACACATTTAATAATATTCCCTTACTTACTGCTTGGCAGGTCCACCCAGAGCAAGTCTAGTTTAAATGGCTACACCAAAGTATTCAGTTGTACATGCATATAACACCTATGAGTGGACATTTCCTTCCACTATAAACAGGCTATCAGGAATGTGCCACTTTTGTCTTATTTGTTCAACATTTTGTTCAACAGTTACTTGTTGGTTACTAGGCACAGTATTGAGAGCAGAGTTGGAATTAGCCCATTACTGGAAAGCAGAAAAAAGTCTTCAACATGATGTATTCAGAGTTTTTAAAATGGCAAATTCGGGGAACTGAAAGTACCTTTGTGAGGATGGGATACCATATTGAGAAAAGCAAGGAAAGGGGAGTTTCAAAGGCAGCCGAGCAAACAGAGGCGGCATCAAGAAGAGGCTAAATGTGCCAGTCAAAGGACTAACACTCTATCCTGAAGAATGGAAAACCACTGAAGATGTTTAAGCAGGACAGTGACGGTATCAAGTTTGTGTTTTGTAAAGATTGCTCTGGAAGTGACGTGGAGGAATTGAAAATGAAACAGATCTGGCTTGGAGTTGCAGCTTTAATTTTGCCCATAATTTTGTTTCTTGTCTCTCTATTGCTCTATTTATCTTTCCTTCTACTAACATCACATTGTATAATTACAATGATGTTATCCTGTCTATCCATGCTTCTTTAGGAATGGATGGAGTCTTCTCGAATTCTTGCTTTTTCATGTTAATTTTAGAATCAGTTTTTAAAGTTCAACAAAATACCTGTTCAAATTTTGAATGAAATTGTATTTAATTCACAGATCAATTTGAGGACAATCAACATTTTTACTACATTTATAATGACTTTTCATATCAAAAATATAGTATACTTTTCATTTAACATCTCTTAAATTCATTTTAATAATCTTTTTTATAAAAGATTTGCACATTTTCTCTGATATAATTTTACATATATTTGCCATTGTAAATTAAATGTAAAAATTATAATTTCTGATTGTTACTGGTTTATTCAGCATCACTGCTAAACTCTTATTAATTGAAATAATTTTTTTTGGTTTTACAGTACAGAACACAATATCATCCACAATGCAGAACATAAATCAGCCACACATAGAGGCAATTTGGCAGCTTTTTATTTTCCTTTTTCAGTTCTTATGCTTTTTATTTATTCTCCTTTTTACTACAATGGTAAGAGCCTCTATTGAAAGGTTCAGTATGAGATGCTGATGTTCAAGTCTTTTCCCTGATCTGAAAGAGAAAGCAAATAATTTTTCAATATTAAGGTGTTTAATGTAGATATTTTTATATGCCACTCATCAGGTTAAGTCCTCTTCTCTTCATAGTTTACTAAGAGTTTTTATGATAATATGTTGTTTTATTAATTTTTTTCTTGAATTTATGAAATGACCTATGGTTTTTCTCCTTTAATCTGTAATGTAACTCAGCATTGTACTCCTAAGTTAAAATCAACATGATATTTTTATACATTGCTGGAATCAGTATGCTAATATCTTGTTTAGAATCTTTGAATCAATTTTTTAATGAATTTGGTCTATAATATTATTTCCTTCTAATCTCAAATAATTTTAGTTATCAAATTATTAGAGCCTCATAAAATTATTTGAAAGTTTTCTTTTTATTTCTTTTTAAAAATTTTTCTTGAAGAGTTTGTGTAAATTTTAACAATCCATTAACATTAGACAGAACTGTCATATAAGAACATCTGAGCTTTAAATCATATTTTTGGAAAGATATTTTAATCAATGACTCCATATCTTTAGTTACATAGGATCGTTCTGATTTTTTACTTCTTTTTGAGACTGTTAAAGAAATTATTTTTAGCAATTTTTCCATTCCATTTCAATTTCCCAATTTATTGATTGTTATTAAGGACAACCTCTTCATATCTGCTTTAATCTCTGCAGCACGTAGAATTCTGTCTCTATTTCATTTCTAATTTTCTACTTTCACAAGATGCCACAGATAAACATTAGACTAACATCCTCAGAAGTTTGTCCAATCTCATTTTTCTATTTTTAATATTAAAAGTAGCTTTTAGATTTCTCCTTTTCCACTGTATGTTCATTTCTGTTTTAATTTTTGACTTAAGCTAGTCAATGGGTTTACCATTTTTCCTAATGATATAAGGCTGTTTTACTATATTTTAACACCATTGCTCTCCTTCCGTCTTCAGTGTTGTTGTCTTAACACTTCAGCTCTAGCCTGCTTCATCCCACAGATTAGACATTTTAAAATATATAGTTAATATTTATTAAAGTTTGCTCATTTATTTGCCAATATATTGTATTTGCCTAATATCTTTTCCTTATAACAGATTTCCATATGGCTTCCTTTTGCCAGAAGTTTATGTTTTAGGAGTGTCATAATATATGTCAGTATAGGGCAGTGAATGCTGCAGTAAGAAACATTCCCACAATTTCTAGGTTTCAATATAACAAAAGTTTACATTCCTGTAAATAAGGCTGTGGGTCCAGGTGACTCTCCTGTGCACAAGTTTTCCATGTGTTGGCACAGCACTTCAGACTAATTTAAAAGCACTTGCATATTAACATACACATCTATGATTATCAAGTCTGTGAACAAGAAAGGTGGATTTTTAGATATCAGCATTTAAGTGTTTTCATTTAAAAGTGATGTGTGTCATTAACATTTATTTATCCAATAACATAATCAACTTTAAGGGGGTAAAAAAATACAAGTTTCTATTCTTTCTGTAACAATAAGAAAATAAGATTTTGGTGTTCAATGCAAACATTTATGTCAAATGGTGAAAGTCATTTTGTGACAAACTCTCATCTGTTTTTTGTCAAAAGATCTTTTTATATTTTTCTACATAAACATAAAATGACAGTTGTTCTATCCTAAGACACTAAGAGTATTACTATGATTCTGTCTTCTGGCATTCATTGTTGCTGCTGAGAAATCAACAGTCAGTGTGTTTGCTGTTGTTTTACAGGTGATCTTTTTTTATTTTAAGGTGTTTTGACATTGCTTTTTCTTTGGTTTGCTTCAAATTCAGTATGATGTATATTTGTGCGTATCTTTTTATTTTTAATCCTGGTTGCATTCATAGGAATTCCTGTTTCAGAATGAGAATTTTAAAATAAACCTGGAAAACTGAGTCATTTCTTTCTTTGAATATTGCCTATTTCCCACGTCCCTGTACTTTCTAATATGTCCTAATATGTCCTTATGGAATTATACTTTATACATTTTAGACATTTACACTCTATTCTTTAAATTTCTTCACTTTCTTCCTTAAATTCTGTCTCTTGGTTTCTCTGGCTAGCATTCCATTTAATTTTTTTTAGGCAGAGTCTCGCTCTGTCACCCAAGTTGGTGTGCAGTGGTGTGATCTCAGCTCACTGCAACTTTCACCTCCAGGGTTCAAGCGATTCTCATGCCACAGCCTCTCAAGAAGCTGGGATTACAGGCATGAGCCACCACGACTGGCTAACTTTTGTATTTTTAGTAGAGATGGGGTTTTGCCATGTTGGCCAGGCTGGTCTCAGACTCCTGGCCTCAAGCGATCCACCCATCTCAGCCTCTCAAAGTGCTGGGATTACAGGCATGAGCCACCACATCCAGCCACATTCCATATAATTTTGTAATATCCATCTTCCAATTTGTTAATCCCCTCTTTAGTTATATCTAACACATATTTTCTTTTTTTTTTCAGTTGTAAGCTTTTTAATTTTAATTATTCTAATCTTCACACTTGGAAGTTCTATGGAGTGGAATTTTCATTCAAAATTGCTTACTGTTTGCTCATATTCAAGGTTCACTCTCATTTCTTTAAACTTATGTCTGATAATTCTTCTACAAAAAGTTTTTGTAAAGTTTATTTTTCTTGTCTGTTGTTTTCACTGATTATTATTCATGTCTAAGTGTTTTGTTATATGAGACTGGATTTTTCAGTCTTGTAATTTTTACCTCAAAGATATTCATATACAGAGTTATTTTTGAGGCCTAGGTTGAAGTTGTATTTCTTCAGAGATTTATGAGGTTTTTGTTTTTGTTTTGTTTTGTGAGTTTCTTGCAGATTTCACCTATTTGGGACAACAGTAAATTTAAATAACGCCTCTAGATTTTTAAAATAAAAGTGACATGTGGATATGTGGCTATGATATAGTTTCAATGTTTGTCCCCTCCAAATCTCACATTGATATTTAATCCCCAATGTTGGAGGCAAGGCCCCAGTGGGAGGTATTTTGGTCGTGGGGGCAGGGCTTTCATGAAGGGCTTGGTACCTTCCTCTTGGCAATGAGTGAGTTATTATTGCATTAGTTATCAGGATAACTGATTGTTCAAAAGAGCCTGGCACCTCCTTCCTCTCTCTTGCTTTCTTCCTCTTTCCATGTGATGATTGCTCCCCTTTGACTTCTGCCATGAGTGAAAGCAATCTGAGGCCCTTACCAGAGACAGGTATCAGGGCGAGGCTTCTTGTACAGCCTGCAGAATCATGAGCCAAATAAACTTTTTTTCTTTCTTTATAAATTACCCAATTTCAGGGATTCCTTTATAGAAACTCAAAATGGACTAAGAGGCTGCAGACTTATTTTGGGTAAGTTGAGGTTATAGGTTTTCCGAGGAGAATTTTTCCATAAAATCAGAGCTAAACGAGGCAGGAAATATTCCTTGCATCTACTTCTGAGACATGGGATGTATCTCTTGTTCATTCTTATACTACAGGTATGGCCCTTCGTGGGGGTCTTTGTTTAATGTGAAGGGATCTCCTCTAGTTTTAAAGATCCCTGGACTTTGTCTTCTCTTTGCATCTTTCATAGTCATCAAAATGGGCATTCAAAGACTCAAGAGTATACTAGATACTCTGAGAGAAAAATCATTTTTATAGTTTCTTACCTATTAGTGGTTCTCATTTCAATTAATTTTACAGCTCAGAACTTACATTTTTCCTCAGTAAATTAAAATGATGCCTTTTGAAACATACTTTGGAAATTGTATCCAGCATCTTAGTTGTTTAAGTCCAAAGTGGTTTTCTGGGTATCTAACATATTATACCTCAAAAGGAAAAATCTCCCTCAGGTTTAATTTTTTTTTAACTTCTCAAGATAAATACTTAGTTTGATAGCATTCTTTCATTTTTTCATAATAAAAGACTATTAAAATTATAAATTTGCCTCTGAGTACAGCTTTCCTTCACTCTGGGTTGTTTTGATATTCAGTGAATTTGCTTTTCCTATTTTTAAACTACCCCCACCAAAAGTTACTTAGGATTTTTTTTTTTTTTTAATTTTCAGGGGTTTGGGATCTTATTTTTGTGTTTTGAGGATTTAAACTTTTATTATTAAATTTGAGTAAGAAATTATGACTCTTACAATTTCTGCTTTGGAAGATGTATTGAGTTCTTTGTGGTTTGGTAGATAAACAATGTAAAAATTCTGTAGATGAACAATGTTTACTGTCTGAGGATACAAGATTTAAAATGCGGGGCTGAGTGCAGTGGCTCACGCCTGTAATCCCAGTACTTTGGGATGCCCAGGCGGGCAGATCACGAGGTCAGGAGATCGAGACAATCCTGGCTAACACGGTGAAACCCTGTCTCTACTAAAAATACAAAAAATTAGCCGGGCGTGGTGGTGGGCGCCTGTAGTCCCAGCTACTGGGGAGGCTGAGGTAGGAGAATGACGTGAACCCGGGAGGGCGGAGCTTGCAGTGAGCCCAGATCGCGCCACTGCACTCCAGCCTGAGTGACACAGCAAGACTCCATCTCAAAAAAAAATTATAACGCATATTAATTAAATATTACTAATATTATTAAAATTATTTTATCATTCTTTTCCTACGTAATCTTGCAAAGGATGAGGGTTTTTAATTAAAACTTTCTTTAAGCGTTTGTACATTTGTATATATTTTTAACGTCTTTCTAAGAAGACTTTATATAAACACATACAACACATACTAACGTATGTTTGTGTGTATGTATGTATCTATTTTTGTGTGCGTGTGTGTGTGTGCGTGCGTGCACATTCTATATTATTTCATCTATAAATGTTTACTGGTATGGATTGTTAGGGAAGAAACTTCAGTTTCCCTGACCTCATAATTCTATATGTAGAGTCTCTTTCGAGAATAATCTCCCTGCCCTGTGTGGCCATTCCAATGAGAGGAAGATGAAGTATCAGAATGTTAAATTGGAAGAGGAAATTAGGAATGCTGCTTGGTGCTTTCCTTGTTTAGAACCATCCTTCTCAGGAGGTACCTACATTGATTCCTCTCCATTCTCCCGGTAATATGGTTGGCTTTCAATTTGTCATATTCCTGCTTCTATCTTTCAGTTGGTTATAAACTCATGAGGGAAGATTACTAGGCTTTGTACTGTGTTCTCTCAAACTTCACAATTTAAAAAAATATCTTTTAACCTGTTTTCATTTATTTTGAATTGCTTCAATACATCTTTATTAATTCTTTAAGGTATTTTTTCTTCATTTTGCTTTAGGTTTGTCTTACACAAGCAATATATCATTGTTTATTATATCGGTATATAATAAATACCAATGTATTAAAGCACAAACCCAGTAATTTTTCCCTTTAGTGTTCAATTAATCATGTTAGTCTGTTACATTACTGATGTTTTCATTTACTTTTCGCTTTTTGTGCGTGTTTCAATTTTTATACTTCATGGATTTCTCTTCCCATTTGGCTACAAGTAAAAAGACTTCTGTTTATGTTTCCTGCATTCATTTACAATAGGGTTTACTTTTAGCATTTAGTGATATTATTCATGTTTCCTGGATTATCAAATTCAATAATTAATTGACATTACTTTTTTTTTTTTTTTTGAGATGGAGTTTCACTCTTTTTGCCCAGGCTGGAGTGCAATGGCATGATCTTGGCTCACTGCAAACTCCGCCTCCTGGGTTCAAGCGATTCGCCTGCCTTAGCCGTCCCAGTAGCTGGGATTACAGGCATGCACCACCACACCTGGCTACTTTTGTATTTTTAGTAAAGATGGGGTTTCACCATATTGGCCAGCCTGCTCTTGAACTCCTGACTTTGTTCTCTGTCCGCATTGGCTTTCCAAAGTGCTGGGATTACAGGCATGAGCCACCGCAGGCCGAGGTTACTTTTCTTTAGCAAATGAAAGATAACATAGAGCGTGCTTTCATTGCCTCTCCACGTGTGTACTCCACTTCCCCCTTCCTCCCCACACCAAATTTATTTTTCTCTCCATTCTTCTATTCACCTAAATCTGTCAATTACTGGTGTTTAAAAAAGTATAATCTTGGATTTCATATCCAGATCATTGGTATTCAATTTCTAAATTTATATTATATAAACGTGAATTAAATACTTTTTTGAAGAAACTTATGAAATCTTGTTTATGCCAATTTTTTGGCATCGCGACGGAGCTTAGCTGGTTTCAAAAACTATTGTCAGAAAAGTTTATGTCAGAGGTTAATGGCCAGATGCTATTTTAAATCCAGTTGTGTTTCTGAGCAAAATCATAGGTAGCCTCAAAGGCATGAGACTCATAGACTTTTTTTTTTCACTATGACTCACAAAATTTGCAAACAGAAATTTGGTAGGCTATACTTCATATAGGAGGAAAGAAAAATCCATTATCTCTCTACTCTTCTCAGGAAGCTTTTTATCATTGCTTTCAGGCAAAAATTTTGAAGTAAGATGTGATGCAAAATTTTTTATTGAATTCAGTATATTTGGCCCTATATTCTTGACTGTAGTAGTCAGAGGAGGCTGAACTTTGGGAACAAATAGACTCAAACATACAATGAGGCAACAAAAAAAGTTTGGTTCCCACTCACCTAAAAGCCCATAATAATTTAGTTCAGTGAAAGGTGGGGAGTGAAAGGGGGTAGGGGTAGGGATATTCTGCTGCACAGAATCATTCAGGGGCTCACACAAGGGCAGCTTTGTTATCTTCAACATGTAGCTTTCAAGGTCATCCTGAAAGCTAATGGGTTAGTATTCCCATTAACTAGAAAGGAAAATAAGCATAGCAGAGCATGCGTGGGAAGTTTTATAGGCCTTGCCTGGAAGTGGCCCATGTCACTTCTGCTTACATTTCTTGCACTAGAACTCAGTCACAGGGCCAAAGCTAACCCCAAACCAGGCTAGACAATGTAGTCCAAGCAGTAGGCGCAGGAAGAAGATGAAAACAGTATTCGATAAATTACCTTTACCCCATTGAATAATCTAGAAAATTCTATCAGGACACTGAACTATTAGTCAGAATTACACAACTTGACTCCTAAAGAATTCACAAATCATCAGCTGTTCTCAGTACAGAACAATTCATGAGAGACTGCATCCTCAAGTGAATTACATGGAGCTTCAAAGTCCTTTTGACATCCACAGGGAAAAACAGAAGGGTTTGCAAACCCAATATGCTCACAAAGATGAAACAGCATTAACAAATGTAGCATTTCTGAACTTCAGCTAATTACTGATATACTTCCCTCCATCCTATTATGTAAATGTACACTAGCTGGTTATACTAAATGAGGAAAACACTCTCAACATCTGTTCTAGGATACAGAACACTTATTTGTTTAGACTAGGTCAAAGTATGATTTATTGCAGAAAAATTAATATGCATTAGGCTACGATGTCTCATATTACTTAAAAATGTATATGTTTTATCTAAATTGCTAACTTAAACCTTTAAACAACTGGGGAGGAGGCTTAAGATATTTTGTCTTTATAATTGCCACCAAACTGCTTTTAAGTTATCGGTAGACTGAATATATATGCTTCTCAAGGCATTAAGAGTAGAGTAGTGAATCTTATAAACATGGAACACACCCACAGTGCCCTAAATAAAATTTTGTTATCTTTCATTTTATCTATGAAATACATAAGTGTTTAATGCCCCTGGCACAGTGGGCATTTTGTTTTGTTTTTATTTGTTTGTTTTTTGCACTGCTGTTAGCTTTTCTGTGTAGCAGCAAGCAGGCTGACTGCATGATGCTGGGATTTCATTATATTCACTATTAAACAAAAGCTCTTATTTCACACAGTATGTGAACAAACCTATTCTGAGTGCAGCATCGTTCTAAAGGATTATTTATTGTAATTGTTTTCTCTATTCACTGGGAATCCTAACTTCCGTGGTTCTGCACTTTATTTCAGTGTCAGCCATTCTGACAGCTAGCACCTGCGCACATTCTGGTTATTGAAATAGTTTCTTTTCATACACAGTGATCCTCTCTTCTCATCCTGCAGAGTTTACTATCTTTCTAAAAGTCTCCCTAGTTTACACAGTTTGTTGAGAATAATTAGGATCCTTTTTCAATTTACGTGAAAGCAGGCTAGTATAGTGAAAGCAGCCTCAGACCTAGAATTAGGATTTTAAAGTTTCATTCTTAGCCCTTCCATGAATTCCATGAATTAATTTCCAAAGCTACCTAAATTCAAATACATACATCTATAAGATGAAGAAATTTGGCAATTTTATGAACATTTTTCAACTGTAGAATTGTAGGTGTGCATATTTTATATTTATTTATTTATTCTATCAACATACATTGATTATCAGTTACTGTGCTAGGTACTGGGAATAATAATATGCACTAAGCTATCTCATGTCTTAACTCAGTTAATCCTCATGCTCTCACTTTATATTGAAGAAATTGGCATACACAAAGTTTAATGACTTGACCAAGTCTGCATGGTCGTAAGTGACCCAGGTTGAATTTAAAGCCAGGGTGCCCAGCTACAGAGCCTGACTTCGTAGTCACTGTGTTACATTGCCCGGAAAACAAAGGTGAACTGGAGGAGTTTCCCTTTTCATATATATATATATATATAGATAGATAGATAGATAGATAGATAGATTATATATATATGAGATATATACATAAAAGATATATAAAATATATATATAAGATATATATAAAAGATATATATATAAAAGATATATATATAAAAGATATGTATATATCTTTTTTTTTTTTTGAGACAGAGTCTTGCTCTGTCGCCCCGAGCTGGAGTGCAATGGCACATTCTTGGCTCACTGCAACCTCTCCCTCCCAGGTTCAAGTTTCTCCTGCCTCAGCCTCCCAAGTAGCTGGGATTACAGGTGCACGCCACCATGCCCAACTAATTTTTGTATCTTTAGTAGAGACAGAGTTTCACCATGTTGGCCAGGCTGGTCTCGAACTCCTAACCTGAGGTGATCCACCTTCCTTGGCCTCCCAAGAGTTTCCCTTTTTAAAGAGTTCACAGGCTACAGAGGAAGGTTGACATGTAAACAAAATGCTACTTTCTGATACTATTGATACACAAAATCATTGGCCTTGCAGCAGTCATTCTTGTTGTTTTAAATGTATTATGACAAAGCTCACAACCAATCTTTAAGGTGTTTATAATTGTCTCCAGTTTTTTTATATAGGAAAGCTGAGCCTCTGAGAAATTAGCTAATTTCCCCAGTATCCCATAGTTTATAAGTGACTGAGCTAAGATTAAAACTCACGTCTGATTCCAAATCCCATTTTTGTCATCCTCTGTCACACTCCATTGCATAAACAGAATTTCTCCTTTAAGGTTCTCTGAAATTTACGTCTTTATTACTGTACTTATTCTTCACATGAATTACATTTTAAAGGATGAAAAGTTTGCCCAGATTTGCCAACAATGCGTAATAGAACGAAATTATCATCCTTATTAATTTCTCAAAGAATTCACAAAGCAAAAGTCTGAGATTATCCAGAATCATTTGACTGAAGCCAAACAGTGGCTTTATACCTTTGCTCCCTGCCTGTTAGGAGGTGAATTCATGCAGTCTCTATAAAACTTAAATAACTATCAGAAAAACATCAGAATGTCAGGAGTAGGTGGTACCAGAGAGTGATTCCCTCATTTTCTAAATGGGGAGATTGAGACCTAGATTTAAGTCTTTTGCCCAAAGTTGTATAATTAGTTAAGTGACTGAATTAAAAACAGAATTCGGATCTTCTGCCTTTCTCTTCTGTTTTATTTTCATTATCCTGTAATATCTAAACCCAAAATTTTATCACCTAGTAAATTTTGAAAAAGCAGTTATGCTCATTGATTTATAGGTAAATATAGACTGAATAATTCAGTATATTTGGTGAGTGATTATTTGGCAATCCATATATTTAAAATGTTTCCAAGGTGACTGAATAAAATTCATTATTAATCTTCATTATACAGATGTCTTTCAAAAGTTGGTTTAGTATCACTATACATCTGAGTAGAAATAAGAGGAAAGAGAGGAGAGGAAACGAATAATATGGCAGTCACAAATAAATTAACATTAAATAAATTTAATATAATAAATATAATTAAATAAATGTAATGTAAATTAATTAACATTAAATAAATGTAAGTAAAATAACAGTAAATATCATTAACAGATATTTAACGTTATTTTAACATTTATCATTTAACAGATAGAGAGAATAGATAAATAAGAAAGAAATGAGTGAAGACAAGCTAGCAAGCTTGAATGTACCAAGGATGTTTCCCCACAATTTGGATGCTTTTGTCCCAAATTTATCTGCCATAATTCTTGTACATACTGCTATTATTTATACTATTTCTACCATACTCTGCCCCTAATCATTCCACTTCTCTCCCTTCACACACATATACACATACACAAAACACACAAACGTGCATTGTCAGACATAAGCATATTTGGCAATTCCTCTGAAGTTTAATAATGATGCTATGGCGAAGACCCAAGGGGATTAATTCAGTATTGTTCATTCTATAAATGGCTCTCACATATTGGCTTAAAAGAATTCAATCCATAAATTATCTTGCTTCACGTACTGAAGCAAAACTTTTTTTTCTAGAAGCACTAGGAAACATGCTGAAAAAGCTGGATTTAGATAAATACACGTTATAAACTATATGTTTGTACTGACTAAAGTAATGTTTGAAACTTCTACATCATTTTGAAGAGTATATTTAGCAAAAGGCACCCTGCGATGATTTTCAGGGTTTGGTCCTTTGGCTGCTTATTAGAACATGAATCTAGAGGAATACACCATCACAAATGCACACATATAAGTTATATAACACACACACACACACACACACACACACACACACATATATATATAGAGGGAGACAGAGAGAGAGAGAGAGAGAGAGAGAGAGAGAGAGAGAGAGAGAGAGATTGAGATTTGCCGTTGTTTGTTCTTTCCTGACTTTGACTTTATCACTTTTCTTCCGTTTGGCGTGGAGTCATTTTCAACCCAGAGTATTTTACCCTGTTAGAAATTGCTTTCTTACTGCTAGCTCATAGTCAAACTCTATTATTCCTATTACTTCATGTATATTTTTTGAAGTGATGATTGCCAACCTAAAAACAACTACAAACAAAATAAACACAGGCTCCCATCTAGCAAACATTTTGCTCCTGTGTTAAAGGAAAGAAATTGTTTTATTTTTCACTTTTAGGAAAAGGAGAAATAATAAAAATATGCATATTTCATTACTACAGAAGCATGTTGATGTTCCGTAAACAAAAGGCAAAAGATCACTCATAGACCCTTAACACTAAATCCTCTTAACAAAGATAAGTGCATGGGAGAATACACTTCAGTTAAACTGGATATCAGACTCATTAAGTAAAAATAGTCTTGGCACACTAGTCATTAATTGAACTGTATGTCTAATATTTAAAACAAAGGTCCAATTATGTCTCCCTCAATAGAAAAATTCATGTATTCTTTAACTGCATGTTTAATAACAGTATTACTTCAACTGAGGGATTATAGAAATCACAGAATTAAATGTTAACTTTTTACACCATGAAAGTCCCAAGGTGAATAAAAAAGGTTTAATTCTTAGTTTTTTTTCAATTTTGTTGTATTAAGAAAAGAAGTATTTTACTTATTTTTTGGGTGATTATTGATGTTTCTAATATTTAATGTTCAGTTCTTTTAGGAAGTTTCCTTCATATTTCTTAGCTCCTCATATCTCTTTTGGTTGGCATTGTTCTCACTATTATCGTTTTAATCTCTTCTCTTACTCTTGCCATGAAAAAAACAGAAATCTTCCAAGTATTCTTTGTGAATGTAAACTATAAAAGTATTTAAATTCATTTGATTAATATTCAGATAACCTCTGAGCAGTTCTAGCATCTCAAATTTATTCTTTTTTCATTATGAAACACTGGATCTAAGTATGCCTATGGAAATTCACTAACTCTCACCTCATCCGGTCCTGCTTCACTCCACAATGCTTAACCTTCTTTTCTGTTTTGTGTCTTGATCTGACCCAGCCCTTTGTACCCTGACTAAACAAACAACATTCTGTCCCATAACTCTTATGAAGCTAAGCAAATGATGTTTCTTCTGACTGGAAGATCTTTCTTTCTTTTTTTTTTTTTAATTTTAGAAATCTGTTGAATTCAATTTAATCCTTTAAACTCCATCAGGGCTAAGGCCTATTAGAAGCTTTCAGTGAAACCCCAAGGTTGAGTTTGGTGTATATCTTATATCCTTGCACAGCACCTTACGATTGGTTTATCAAAGCACTTGTCACACTGTATTAAAACTATGGGTTTCTTTTATTTTTCTCCTTTCCTGGATAATGAGTTTGAAAAACAGTAGCCCAGGCTGTAGCACCTTGATTCTCTTATAGTAAGCAGTAAGTAAATAACTAAGTGAATATATAAATGTAGATGTACCAAAGTGTATCATCATTGGAGATGTTATAGGAACTAATACTTTATTTAAAAGACAACTCTATGCCTTTTTCTCCCCTGAGTTGTTCCAAATAAGTGTTAATTAGCTTAAAAAAAAACATAAAATACAGAAGAGTATCCTAAATTACAAGCAGATATGAAAGATGAAGTAAATGAAAAGTAAAGTTAGGGGCATAAAATGGATCCAGAAATAAAACACTAAGGTGATGACTATGAATTCAAATAACTCTGTTTTCTTCTAGTCCCATGATAGTGCCTTTGCCCTACTCAAACTTTGAACACCGAGATTTTCCCTTTATTCAAGGTGATGGCCATTTGTGATCTGCAATTTCTTCTAGTCTTAAGTTTGACATATTGCCTAAATTGCCCAAGGCTTTGGAGAAAACTTTAGGAATAGCTTTAAAAAACTGGTCATTTCCCTAGAAGCCTCCTCCTCTTACTCCCCAGTGGCTTCTCATTTCAAGCTTCCGTATAATTGTACTAAGTTATACTAATTGGAACATTCAATTCCACATGTTTGGAGCTAGTTATATTGGAAGATAACGTGCATATTTGCATAAATGAATACGTAGCAGATGCAAAATAATGCACAAATATGTGCCTGTAACTTATTGGATAAAAAACTTACTTCACAGCACACCCAAAAATGACTTTCCTATTTATTTGATCATAGGAAGAATTAATCAATTCTATTTTACTAAAAACGTGTGTACAAAATAATTTCTGATACCAAATAAAATGGTCAATATTTAGATCTGACTTTCATGAGTAAAAATTGAAATAATGTCTAGAGCTCTTTTCACCTTAGTCTGGTTGGCTCTTTGTTTTTTTCCAATTAGCAGCTCTTTTTACTCACATCTGTTTTGTTCTTCAAAATCAGGGCAATTATTAAATGTTTTAATATCTCTGCATCTCAATTTTCTTATCTATAAAAAATGGAATTAGTGCTGCTTCTCTCTGAGTAAAAACAGTATGCAAATTTCAGGTTATCTTTATTGAATCCACCTGGATATTTGGGGAGAAAAAAACAGTATTAGAAGTATATTAGTCAAGACACCATCTACTAATTTTCCTGGGAGAAAAAAAATTAATTGTGAGGCAAACCTAATATCTTTTCTCTATTTTGCCTAGTAGAATGATTCACCTGGAGGACTCTAAACTGTTTAACCCTTTATTTATTCAACAACTATTTTTGGACACCTTTTTATGGACCAGGTACTATTCTAAGTAACAGGAACACATCAGTACATCAGTGTACAAAGGACAGCAAAATCCGTTTCCACATAGAGCTGACATTCTGGAGTCAGTTCACTTACATTCACATATATGTATATATTTATAACATTTATACATTTACAAATATATATAAATAGGGTATTATTGCCCTGAATTTACAGAAGTGAAAACTGAGAGTCAGAGAAGTAAAGTACCTCACCCAAGGTTTCAAAGGCCCAGTAAATTATGGACCAGTAAGTTATCTGCTAATACTTATAGTAAATTATATCTGACCACAAGGCCCACATTTCCAAAACTGGCACTCTTAACTGGAAGAATACATACAAATGGAGTGGAGAACAGATGGCCTCTGTCACAAGATTAGGGAACCCCATTCATTTTACTATTATTAGTAACCTTCATATTAAAGGGGTAGGTCTTCCACTCCTTGCTGATTTCTTATCCCTGGGATTCTACTTTCTTACACAAATCTATATTACTTGATTCATCACACTTTCTAAATTTTTCAAATTCTATATTTGATTTCTAATAAATCAGCTTTTTGATTTTCACTGTGATCTTCCCTTTTCTAACCAGATTTTTCCTGCGTCCTGTTTTTTTGTTTTGTTTTTCAATTCACTTGAATCCATGGGCTTTCTGAGACTCATTCATTCTTTCATTTTGTAATTTACAATAACAACTATGAACCTAGTGTCCACAAGGCTTCTGCTAAGAACAGAACATGAATGCAAATAAAATGGGGAATCTGTCCAAGTCTACATTCACTAGCTCCCTTTGGCTTAATCAAATGTGTCAATTTTTTTTTCTCGTGTGTGTGTGTGTGTGTTTGTGTGTGTCACAAGGTTTAATTATGATAATTTTCATGACCCCTTTTCATTATTTTAATTTTTTAAAAAGTGGACAAGAAATACACGCATACACAAACACATAAGGAAAAAGTTACGAATAAGGACTTGGAGAATAAACACCTAATATCCCCCTACTTAGAAATAACCCATTGCATTAATGCTTAAAAATTTCTTTCTATCTATAGTAAGGCTTTCTGTGAATAACTCAAAATGAACTGATTTATTCAACCAACCAACTAGCTCTATCTGTATAGTCAATTATATAGTCAATTATATCAATTACCTCAACAAAGTGCTAGGTAATTAAATTGAATAGAAATCCACAGTGACAGGTATGATGTTATTTATTGTATATGTATATTTTCTATATATAGTGAACGTGGAAGGTGTATTAGAGAAATAATAAAACATTAAACATTTCTAAATTTCAGGGAACCTAAATCTTCTCAAATTGACTTACCACATAACTGAATCTACCGGAGCTTATGAAAATGTATTATATTTCATCTTGAACCCCATTTGGGGAAAGGGGCAAAGTTTCTCTTCAAATTATAACTCATGAAGCTACTGTAATTCTATGCGCACAATCAATATTGATTAATAAAGATGAAAGGAAGGGCTGTCTTGAACCTGGCATGATACTGTCTTTAGGGAATCTTCAGGTTATCAGGGGATGTGCAAGTCCATGCTGGTAACGTAGACCACTGTACTCAATTTTGGGCTTTGACAAACTAAACTTTGTTCAGTAGGCTTTGGCTAATTTCCTCTGGAAAATCAGCTCAGCAAAATCTAGAAGTAGCTCTCAATTTTTGACTTTAAAGGGCCAAGTTCACAAAATTAACACTTTGCAAACCTTTTATAACAAGAAACTTTTTCAGACATACTCACAATCACATCCCTTCACACCTGAGATATCAGTTATATATGTGTGGCATCAGTATTAAACACAATTAGTACTAAACAAAACCAGTATTAAACAGTTTTTCATGGAACATTTGGAAAAGGGTGAATTATCAAAGGTATGACTCAGGGAGAAGCAAATGGCAAAACTGATTGTTTAAATCATTTGAAAATCCTGTTGGGTCTATTTTCTTAATATGAGACAAGTTAATATTATGTCTGCAGCAATATGTCGACTTATAACTGTACTTATCTACCTGAAATTTATTGTTAAAAAAGGTAGCCTCTGTCATGATTTAAAAAGCACTTCCCTACTGTTTTAAAATTTTCTCCCTTTTTCCTACTGTTTTCCCTCTTAAGTTAAAGTGATTAACAAAGTCTTATTCTCTACCTATTCTAGAGTGTCTGACACCCTGACAAAGCCACTAAAACACCTTTGTTAGCCCGACAGAATGTCTTCAGGCTCTACCTCAAATGTTCCAGCTCCCATCTTGTGTTAGAAGAGAATTCTGCATGGGTCTTTCACATTTCTGCACACTTTGTAAGCAGAGACACTGACAGCTTTTGTTCCTATCTTTTCAGTCTTGGAAGAAAGAAGTAGTTCTCCCTATGGAGTAAAGGGCAGATTTGTTTACAATCCAGTTTAATAAAGATAATTTCCCTCTCTATGGCAAAGGGCAGGTTTGTTTGCTGCCATTATATATTTTTTTTAAAAAGAGTTTTCCAAAGCTCAGGATGCTTCAACTATGACATAAACCCACTATGTACAGTTGTCACCTAGCCCTCATCTTATCACCTTGTAGTAACTGGGTCTTAAGGAACTGATGCAAGAAAATGACAACACTCTGACTACTTCTATTGCTATGAGTAATACATTGCCTTTTGTCTTTGTCCACTGTATCCATGAAACTGCTGTAGACTCTTCAGCGTTCCTGGTATCTTTTTTACCCAGTTTCTGTTCTTTTGCTTTATGGATAGACTCTCTTCTATCTATTTAGTTCCCTACTCAAGTTTCTGCCTCCTTAAGTTGACTTTCTCGGTCTAAATTTCCTGCTTGACTAGGGAAAAGAGAATCCGATTAAATAAGTGGCAACAAACTAAAGTCAGAAGAATAAAAAGTGTTAATCCAAAAACAATTGTGGCTTGTATATGGAGTATAGGTCCCATGCAAATCTGTACAGCAGCTGGGTTTTCAATTTCATCCCTATCAGAGACATCGTTTTAAAGACCTCTTGGGTCTTGGAGTTTAAGAGGATTGCTGGGCTGGGTGCCTTGTTTATTTGATAGATTTTACTCTGCTTTTTCATTTCTTAGTGCTCACTGCTAAAAATATTCTTTCCTTAGTAGATATATGTCTCTCTTCCCTCCCCTCCACTTCCCAAGCCCTCAACCCTCCAACAATAAAATCAGTATACACATATTCAGAAAAGCATGGCTAGTGATAAATGATCAGGAATTTTTACTTGTTTGTTACCTCTTATTTCAGAGAGTTCCAGAGGGATGAGCAGTAGCTCTCTGCAATAAGAGTCCTGAGAATCAGTGGGAACCTCTTAAAATTCAGGTTTCCAGGCCATACACTCCCAACCCCAAGGATTCTGATTCAGCATGGCTGATGTGGGTACCAGGAGTTTTCCATTTTTAATGAGTTTCTTTGGCAATTTTACTACAATTTGTTTGCAGAACACTCCATGAGAAATCCTGCTCCAAAAACTGCCTCCTGACTTGGTATCATGCACATTTGTGCAGTATAATAGAGACAGTTCAACCCTAAGTATATAGATTAGTCACTGACAAATGTTAGTTGATGACAGTGATTTGCTCTGGTGTACAGCTCAACTGTTAGAAGTGTTTTGAAAGTTATTTTTTGGCCCATGAGACTGAAAGACTCATATTAATATGAAACAACTGCTGATTAGCTTTAACATTTCTGGATATATTTGGAACAATTTCTTCTGATCTGCAGCATAATACCACGTGCACATTATTAGCAAGGACCATATATAGAAAGATAAGTAAGTAGAATTTTAAAAATGAAAACTATAGTTTGTAAATACTTTGGGTAAAATACAATTATCCCAAAGGTATTTTATTGGAAGAAGTTAAACAGTATGAACATTTTTTAGATAAAGACTTAGGGGAGATTTTTGAAAAGTAAAAACGATTGTAGTCATTGCTGTTGAAATCATAAGATATATAATAGGATGTTACTGGAAAATCATCTTATATCAGTGTGGTGGGAGCATTGAGGAAAAGTGTGTAACATACTAGCATTGACGGTTCTGCAGGTATCCAATTTATATTCTAACTTCTTAACAACAATGCTTATGGAAAAATTCTTTCTTCACTTTCTTTTTCCCAAACGAAATAGAAATAAGTCACCCAACTAACAGAAGCATCACACTTCAGCTCTTTTCTTTGAGTACAGATGAGTATACTTCATTTTCATCAGGCTTGATTGGGAGTTACGCACTTAAATTTAGTGTTAGTGCACTTCAGGTAAAGCTCATGAGGAAAACACCAGCATATGGCTACAGTGCTTTTGAGGTAAGGACACCACAGTTTAGAATGCCAGGGATTAGGAGAGTATTAAACACATTTCACTCCATACATCAGACTGAATTATTGTGGGTTTACTTGGGACAATTGTTGTTACATTAACCAATTTAACCAACATTTCAACATCTACACGTCTTCAGTGTTAGTAGGTGATTTTTACCAATAGACAACCTCTTAAAAACAGCAACATAAATTTCAGTCAGAATTTTTCAAGGTGTTTTATCTTTTCTCAGAACTTATCTTGATAAAAGGTGATGACACTTACAGTTGACAACAACTTTTACTTTCCTCACATCTGGGAATGACACATCATTTTCCGCACTGCATTCATATTCCCCAGCCTGGTCCCTTGTAATTCCATAAATGTCCAAATATTGTCCATTTTCAAATGGTTTTGCTATAAAAAAGAATACAGCATGTTTAATTGTAGCCGCCTGAGGCTTCATTCAAGTAAAACAACAATTTCATGACTTCCTACAAGATACTGCTGACAAAACAATTCCAAATGAAACTGGGGAATTATTAAACCTTTTGTTCTTCTATGTTCAGAGGAAAACTCAGAGAAAAAGCAGAAGCAGAACGAGGTATATTATAACAACTATTTCCCCAGAACAGGATATACATGTGTTCTTTTTAATTGATTGTGGTCTCCTAACCTCTTCACACATCAAATAGACTCTGCACATTTCTGTAATTGAGTTCAACAACCTCTGAGCAGTGTAGATGAAATTCACTAATATGACTTGGTACATATTGACTTCTCTACTGTGTGAGCTAGAAACTTGACACTTAACCTAACTAAATGTTACTTTTCTTTTGGGGGAAATCTCCTACCCTTATTCAAGGATTCAAGTCAGATGTCTTGAAAAAAGTATATATATTTAACCATTGCTATATTTTGGTTTCCAAAAGTATTAATGCTGCCAAGAAAGGTACAGTGTACATGCTATATATAACTCACGCAATAAATCTTGGAAAAAATCATTATGACTCTCTAAGGGTTAAGTTTTCATAAAAGCAAACTAAATTATCTTTATTTTTAAATATGCATGGGAAAACATTCTATGTGACAAAAAATAGCAGCAGAATAGAAATATAAAGATGTAATAACAGAAGAAAGACTGCCCCCAAATGAATGAGATTTGAGAAAATAAAGGCTCCTTCTTTTAATAATGGAATTTTTGTTTATTTGAAAGCATTGAGTCATTGAGCAGGATCCTAATTATCAGAAGTGTGGCAAAGGTAGAATAAGCCTTTGTGAATTTCAAGAGAGGAGACCCTTCTACCTCCTTGCACAGGCCTTGAAAAAAATCACATTCCAGTGCATATCAAAGGGAATTATGGAATGAAGCAATGCTTCCATTAAATTGTTTGTTTTCAAAAGTCAATATTATTTCTATCTTCCCCTTTCTATCTTGTCAAAACCACTGTAATGATATAGAAGTTGGAGAACTAGTAAGAATGTTCCATTTTAATGAAACAAACAAAATAAATTTTAGTTATGGCCCTCCAAATCTAAAGTCCATCCCAATAATTTTCCCCCAGTGTTCCCCCATGCACTTCTGTGTCTGGGCCTTTATTAACTGTGGCATGGTCTGCCCTCCAGATAACTATGAGTTTGCTAATTGAAACCTTTAGTGTTTAGAATATATATGATTAAGTCGTATTTCCATTTATCTATCTAATCCTTGTACAGAAGGGAAATGTAAAACTTCTGAAGTGGTAGTTGGCTCTTTTAGTCTTATTTTCACTATTATAACGAAGATACTCTAGGCTTAAATGTGTCTGTAAAACCTACTGAAATATATATTAAAAAA
Organism: Homo sapiens; assembly: GCF_000001405.40. NCBI lineage: Eukaryota > Metazoa > Chordata > Mammalia > Primates > Hominidae > Homo > Homo sapiens. The sequence goes on from NC_000001.11 coordinate 71,699,560, forward strand.
ACAAAACACTTCACTTCCAAGAATTTTTAAAATATAACTTAAATTATAAAGAGTAAGGATGGTATTAAATATAAATTAAAGTATGAGGAACATTAATATACTACATCAGGTACTGATGTGAAGACATGAGATTTGGAGGGGTCAGGGGCAGAATAATATGGTATGGCTGTGCCCCAACCCGACTCTCAACTTGAATTGTATCTCCCAGAATTCTCACTTGTTGTGGGAGGGACCTAGCGGGTAATTAAATCATGGGGGCTGGTCTTTCCATGCTAGTCTCATAATAGTGAATAAGTCTCATGAGATCTGATGGGTTTATCAGGGGTTTCTGCTTTTGCTTCCTCCTCTTTTTTCTCTTCCCGCCATCATTTCACCTCCCACCATTTTTCTGAGGCATCCTCAGCCATGTGGAACTGTATGTCCGATTAAACCTCTTTTTCCTCTCAGTCTCAGGTATGTCTTTATCAGCAGTGCGAAAGCGAACTAATACAACAACATAATAGAAAATTCAGAAAATTTGACATTTCGTTAGAGAAGGTAGATCAATTTATTTGTTTAGCCAATGATTGATCATGTCATAAATAAAAATATTTACCTTTTTAAATTTTTATTATTATGTGTAAGGAACCATATGCTTTCTTAAATTCTACAGTTAACCTTAAACTTATGAGGTAAATTCCATTACATAGAATAAGATTATGATAGTTAAAGAGATTAAATATCTTGCTAAAGAGCCCAGTGACACATATGAAACCCAGAACTAACTTAAAAACCTACATGCCTTATTTGTATACAACTGACAGACTACATTAATTCTCTCATTTGTGAATGGTTACTTAGCTCACTAAACTAAATTAAAACATGTATGTGTCATTCTTAGAACTATACAGCACTATATAAATGTTAATTTAATATCTGAAAGATGCTATTTGTACTTATATCAGTTGTCTATGGCTGCCATAACAAATTACCACAAATTTACTGCTTAAAACCAGTAAATTAACCACATGTCAATTTAATATCTGAAAAATTCTATTGGCACTTGTATTAGTATTTTATTGCTGCCATAAGAAAATACCACAACTTTACTGACTTAAAACCATGCAAATTTATTTCCTTATAGTTCTTTAGGTCAGAAATCCAGCAGAAGCCTATGGTAACCAGAATAATAGGTCCCCCAAAGTTATTCACATCCTATTCACTAAAGTGATTAGCTTATATGACAATAGGAACATTGCAGATGTGAATAATGTTAAGGACCTTGAGATAAGGAGAGTTCTGGGAGGGACAATACTAATTGCATGAATTCGTAAAAGTAGAAGAGGTAGATAGAAGAGTGAGTCAAAGAGATGAAAAATGATAAAGGCTCTACTAAACATTGTTGATTTTGAATATGGAGGAAGTAGAGCATGAGCCAAGAAAAGCTGTGGCCTCTGGAAACTAAAATGTCCCTCAGCTGACAAAAAAAATTAATTATCCTTTATAACCTCCAAAAAGGGACACAGCCTATCAACACCTTGCTTTGAGTCTGATGAGACCAGTGCTGAGCTTCTGACATACAGAATTGAAGGATAATAAATTTTTGCTCTTTTTAGCCACTAAGTTTGTGGTAATTGGTTATAGCAACAGTATAAAATTAACACAGTGTCTCACTGGATTAAAATCAATGTGTCAGAGGTTCAGGATTCTTTTCTGGAGATCTGTTTCTTTGTTTTTCAGGTTGTAGGGAGAATTAAGTTTCCTGATGTTGCAGCAGTGAAGTCTTCATTTTCTTGGTGGCTGTTAGCTTACAGCCATTTCCAGCTTTTAGAGGCTACAAGCATTCCCTGACTCATATTCCCCTTTCTCCATTTTCCAAACCAGCAAATGTTGGGTCAAGTCTTTATCCCACTTTGAATCTCTACTGCCTCTACTACAGTCTCAACTCTCTGACCACTCTACTGTTTTCTTCTTTCACTTTTAAGGATTCATGTGATTAAACTGAGCCCACCTGCCTAATCTAAAGTAATTTCCTCATCTCTAGCTCCTAACCTTAATCACATCTGCAAAGTGTCTTTTACCATGTAAGGTAACATGGTCATATATTCCACAGACTAGGGCATGGACATCTTTGGAAGCCATTATTCTGCATGGTTTTCTACCAATTTTCCTTAGATTTTGCAGTTCTACTTGCATATACAAATTTTAATTTAATTATAATATTTTTCAAAGGCAATAGGTAAAGAAAGACACGTGGTATAATTTATAAATTGCTGAAGTTATTAATCTCTCTGAATAATACAAATGAAGTTCAGAAAAATAAATTTAATGAAGACATTCATTTTGAAGAACAAAAATTTCATGACACTATACCACAAATCTATCAAGTAATGTAAGTCTGAGAAGTGTTGTTAGAGCACAGAAATAATGGAGTTTATGGAGCAATAAGAGGGGGTATATGGATAGATGAAATTATGGAAGTCATCTACTGAAATTATTCTAACAGGTTTCAAAAGCAAATAAAAGTAACTAGTAAGAAAAACCTCAAGCTTTTGATTTTTTTGGTTACATATTTGTAATAATCCAGCAGAGAGCACTGAAGGAAAATTTTTAAATCAACTCAAAATCAATTGTTTCTTTTCTTCCTGCCTTCTTACCTACCTTCTTTTCTTCCATTTATACATTCATTCAATGGATATTACTCGTGACAAGATCTCTGACCAGTGAATAAGATTGTTTCCCTTTCAAAGTTTATTGGGAAGTAAAAGTATAAGTGGACAATTTCAATAAAGTATGATAACTACTACATTTGGGGTAAATATAGGGTGTTATGCTGTCATAATATCACTGTCATAACTTAAAGGAAGATTTCTGAACATTTGGTTATGCCAGAACAGTAATTTCATAGGAGTAGGTAGAAGTGACTCTGGAGCTATAAAGAGAAGTTATAGCCTAGAAGGCCTTGTATTCCATGTAAAGAATTTGGATTATAAATTGAGGAATTATTAGAATAATGTAAGTTAAAAAGTATTAGAATATTTTAAAGAATCACATTTCTAAATATTACATATTTTTAAATATTACATTTTAAAAGATAACTCTGGCATTCAGATCGCTATTATATTTAGGAACAATGGCCAGACTTACCTTCTTGCCATAAACCACTAAAGAATGAGCAAAACTTATTTAAAAAAAAAAAAAAAACACTTTCAGACATTGGACAGTAAGAAGCACAGAACTTTGATCTCTAATGGAAGAGAAGTAAACACAGTGACCCCCACAATTAATATTCATGGCTTTCTATCTCATGCAATTTTCAAGCATCAAGCTCACAGAGGTGGAAACTAGAGCCCAGTGGTCTTGCATTGTCAAGGAAAGAGAGATTGGAATTCAGGTAGACCAAGGGGATGGAAGTAGTGGTGCAGGTTTTAAAGAGAAGGAGCTCATATAGACAAAAAGCTACAGAAATCTACATGTGTTTTCTTGTCGTTGCTGAGTACAAGGCTGTACTTGCATAGGCAAAAAATCCCACAAATCTGAAAAAAAAAACAAACAAACAACTGGGCATTTGTAAGATAGACAATTTCTAGAGCTCAGACAAGGTAAAGAGACATTGATCTTTGATGAACAAGAATATAATCACCAGAGACTGATGGAGATTCCAAAAGGCTAATGCCTTAGTTGTATGGCTGAATAAAAGCCAGAATAAAGACTCTTTTTGGCCTATCCTTTAAAGCTTAATAACAAGGTTTAATGGACCAAAATAATTTGCAGGTGATACAGGAGCCTGTTTAAAAAAAATCCAACACTCTTTAAGGGAACAAAACAAAATCTAAACACTTAACAACATAATGTCCAATATCCAATTTTAAAAATGACTAAACATTTAAAGAAACAGAAATCTCTGAACTATAACTAGTGGAAAAACAGTCAATAGAAAGAGACCTAGAAATGAAAAAAAAAAAAGGAAATAAGAGAAAAAAAATTAAATACAGTTGGCTATAACTATGTTGAAGTCTTTACAAAAAATAAATATAATGAAGAAACAAATGGCAGATAGAAAAAAATGACACAACGTTATTTACACAGCAACACAAAATATATGAAATTAACTATTAATTGGAAGAAATTAACAGTGTATTAAACACCAAAGAAAAAAATATTGTTAACTTGAAGGCAGAGCAAGAGTACATAACATTGCCAAATTGAAGCAGAGAGAGAAAAATACAAAAAACCAAACAAGCAAATAAAAATACAGAGCCTCGATGATATATGGAATAATAAAATATTGTCATATATAAATATTGGGGGGGGTCCCATAAAGGGGACAGAAAAAATATATTAAGAAATAAAGGTTGAATGGTTTCTGAATTTGATGCATACAATAAAAAAGCAAATATAAGAGGTTAATCATGTCAAAGAAAAGTAGACAAAGAAATAAAAATCATACAAAAGAATATCATAACTAAATTGCTAAAAACCAGAGGAAAAGAGAAAATCTAAAAAGGAGCCAGAGATAAAATACACATTTTACACTAAGAAACTGAAATAAGAACTATTGCAGACTTCTTGTTTAAAACTATGCAAGCCAAGAGAAAATAGAATCTCTCTCTCTCTCTCTCTGTCACACACACACACACACACACACACACACACACACACACAAGATTTAAAATCAATTTTGTAACCTTTACCTTAAGAAGTTGGAAAAGAAAGAACAAATAAAAGCTAAAGTAAACAGAGCTATGGAAATAGTAAAGATGATAAATTATTAAAATTGAAGATGAACAGTCAACAGTGAAACTCAATGAAAGCAAAAGCTGGTTCTTTAAAAGATCACTAAAATGGATAAATCTTAACCAGACTAATAAAGAACAAAAAGAGATGACACAAGTTACCAATTATCAGAAGTGAAGGAGAAAAATAGTACACCTCCAAGAAAAATTAAGTAGCTATTAAGCTAATATTAAGACAAACTACTTGTCAATTAATTTAACAGTTTAGATTAAGTGTACAAATTTTTTGAAAAATAGAAATTTATATATTAATTTAGAAAAAATAAATAATCTGAATATTTAGTATATGCAATTGCAAGAAATTGACTTTGTAATTAAAAGATCACTCACAGAGAAAACTTCAAGATCATATCTCTATTAAACCTTTAAGAAATAAATAATACCAAACCTACACAAATTCTTTCTGAAAATGGAGTGGGTTAATGCTCCAATTCATTTTATGTCACTATTATTACCCTAATATCAGGACAAAAAATATCAAAAGAAAAAATAATACTTCCTAAGAACATTGACACAAAAATCCCTTAACAAATTTTTGGTATACCAATCTAGGGATATATTAATATGATAATACACCATGATCAAGTACAGTTTATTGCAAGGTTGAAAAGATGATTGTGTTACCAAAAAAAAAATTAAACAATATGAATCACTACATTAACAACAATAACAATATATGGGTATATTAACATGCAGATAATTCATTGAAAAATTCAGCATTTATTCAATATTTTAATTTTTTTCATAAAAATTGAGATTGAGGAGAATTATCTCAATCTGCCAAAGACTTCTATGAAAAATAACATCTGACCTCATGCTTAATGATGAAATGATGTTTTCTTACTAATATGAGGATGAAGGCAAGGTTATCTACTCTAACCTATATCTCGTACTTTATACATAAATTAACTCAATATGCATCATTGACTTAAATGTGAATCATACTACCATAAATACGATTTAGAAGGAAACAAAGAAGAAAATCTTTGTGACTCTGGGTTGAGCTAAAGGTGTTTAGATATTACACAGAAAGCAAAACTATATAAGAATATACTAATAAGTGGATTTCATCAACATTTTATAAAAACAAAAACTTTTGCTTTGGAAAAGACACCATTAATTACATAAAAGGAAGGAAACATTTTTAAACCACATATTAAACAAAGAACATGTGTTCAGAATGTATAACAAATTTTGAAAGTCAGTAAAAACATACAACCCAATTAAGAAACGGGCCAGGCCTGGCGTGGTGGTGGGCGCCTGCAGTCCCAGCTACTCAGGAGGCTGAGGTGGGAAAATGGCGCGAACCCAGGAGGCAGAGCTTGCAACGAGCTGAGATCGCGCCACTGCACTCCAGCCTGGGCGACAGAGTGAGACTCAGTAAAAAGAAAAGAAAGAAAAGAAAAGAAAGAAAAGAAAATAAAAGAAGAGAAAAGAAAAGCAAAGGAAAGAAAGGAAAAGAAAAGAAAAGAGAGGAAGGAGAAAGAAAGAAAGAAAGAAAGAGAGAGAGAAGGAAGGAAGAGAGGAAGGAAGGAAGGAAGGAAGCAAGGAAGGAAGGAGCCAGAAGGCAAGAGCAGACCAAGACAGCAGAATAGAAAGCTCCAGGCATCATTCCCCAACAAGGACATCAAGTTAATAACTATCTACACAGAAGAAAAACACTTTCATAAGAACCAAAATTCAGGTGAGTACTCACAGTACCTGGTTTTAACTTCATATTGCTGAAAGAAGTACTGAAGAGATTTTTAAAATAACAGTCCTAAATCACCAATGCCAGCCACCCCCTTCCCCAAGTCTCCGGATGCAGCTGTGCGGTGCACAGAGCATCTTTGGACGCTGGGGGAGGGAGACCACAACAGCTGTGAGGCATTAAACTCAGTGCTGTCTTGTTAGAGCAGAACGGAAAACCAGATCAAACTCAGCTGATGCCCATCCGCAGAAGGAGGATTTAAACCAGCCCTAGCCAGAGGGGAATTGCCAGTCCAAGTGGTTTGAATTTGAGTGCCTGCAGACCCCATGACTAAGGGCCAAAATGCTTTCAGTCTCTAAATAAACTTGAAAGGCAGTGTATGCCATAAGGACTGCAACTCTTAGGTGAGTCCTAGGGAAGAACTAGGCCCAGACACAGTGGACTGGGAGGCACACAATATACTGAGATACCAGTAGGGGTAGCCAAGAGAATGCTGGCATCCCCATTCCCCTAACCCCAGGCTGCCACAGTTGCTGCTCCAAAAAAAAAAAAAAAAAATACCCCTTCTTTCTGCTTGAGGAGAGGAGAATAAAGAGTGGAGAGGACTTTGTCTTGCACCTTGAATACCAGCTCAGCAACAGCAGAATAGGGCATGGATCAGACTCAAAAGGCCCCCATTCCAGGCCCTAGCTTCCAGATGACATTTCTAGACACACCCTGTGTCAGAAGGAAACCCACTGCCTTAAAGGAAAGGACCCAATCCTGCCAGCATTCATCACCTGCTAACTAAGGAACACTGGGCCCTGAATAACCAGCAACGATACCCAGGTACTACATTGAGGGTCTTGGTGAGCTTCTGAGATTTGCTGGATTCAAGTGAGACTCAGTACATTACCAGCTGATGATTCTGGGACACTGGGGGAGGGAGACCACAACAACTGTGAGGCATTAAACTCAGTGCTGTCTTGTTAGAGCAGGAAGGAAAACGAGATCAAACTCAGCTGATGCCCATCCGAAGAAGGAGGATTTAAACCAGCCCTAGCCAGAGGGGAATTGCCAATCCAAGTGGTTTGATTGAGAGTGCTTGAGAAAAGCAAAGGAAAAAAAGGGGTCTTTGTTTTGCACTTTGGGTCCCTACACTGCCACAGGGGTTGGAGCACCAAGTGGGCTCTTGGGCTCTCTGATTCTAGGAGCTGACTCTTGGGTGGCATTTCTGGACCTGCCCTGGGCTAGAGGGGAGCCCACTGCCCTCAATGGTGAGTTCCAGGTCAGGCAGCATTCACACAAGCTGACCTAAGATACTTTAGGTCTTAAGGGGACATCAGTGGTAGGCTGAGAGTGCTCCTCATGGCCAAGGTTGGTGGTGGCTACAGGGTGAGGCTCCTCTGCCTTTGGAAAGGGGAGGGAAGAGTGGGAAGAACTGTGTCTTTCAGTTTGAGTGCCAGCTTAGCCAGAATACAATAGAAGATCAGGTATACTTCTAAGGTTTCTGACTCTAGTCCCTGACTCTCAGATGGCAGTTTTGGACCCACCCAGGGCCTGGGGGACTTCACCATCCTGAAAGAAAGGACATGGGCTGGCTGGCTTTTCTGCTTGCTGACTATAGAGCCCCAGGGCTGTGAGTGAACACAGGCGGTAGCCAGGGAGTCATTACAGCAGGCCTGGGGAGAAACCCAGAGCTATATTGACTTCAGGTCTGACCTTATGCAATCATAGTGGTGGTGGCCACAGGGGTGCTTGTGTCACTGTATCCCCAGGTTCAGGTGGCTCAGGACAGAGATGGAGATGATTGTATGTTTGTGAGAAAGTAAAGGAAGAGAACAAGAGCTTCTGTCTGGCAATTCAGAGACTTCTCTTGCATCTTGTCCAAGACCATCAAGGCAATTCCTCTAAGAGTCTGCAAGAACCACAGCATTACTGGGCTTGGGATGCCCGTAAAGCAGGAATAGCTTAGATCACAACACCAAAGTCCTTTCAAATAACCAGAAAGCCTTTCAAAAAAGGATTGCTACAAATAAGCCCAGACAATGAAGGCTACAATAAATATAATACCTAACTTTTTAATGTCCAGACACTGAAGAACATCTACTAGAATCAACATCATTGAGGAAAACATGCCCTCAGCAAATGAACTCGAAAGGCAACAAGTACCAACCCAGGAGAAATAGAGATATGTGCCCTTTCAAACAGAGGATTCAACATAGCTATGTTGAGAAAACTCAAATAAATTCAAGATAACACCAAGAAGGAACTCAGAATTCCATCAGATAAATTTAATTATGAGATTGAAATAATTAAAAAGAATCAAGCAATAATTATGGAGCTGAAAAATGTATTTGGCATACTGAAAAATACATTGGAGTGCTCTAATAGCAGAATGGATCAAGCAGAAGAATGAATTAGTGAGCAATCTACAGATTCAATGCAATCCCTATCAAAATACCAATAACATTCTTCACAGAAATAGAAAAACAAATCTAAAATTTATATGGAACCATACAAGATCCAGAATAGCCAAAGTTAGCCTAAATGGAAGGAAACAAATTACCTGACTTCAAATTATATTACAGAGTTTTTATTTTTTTTTTAAGTTCAGGGGTAAATATACAGAATGTGCAGGCTTGTTACATAGGTAAACATGTATCATGGTAGTTTGGCACACAGATCATCCCATCACCACATATTAAGCCCAGCATCCATTAGCTATTCTTCCTGATGCTCCCCCTCCCCACAGGTGCCCAGCATGTGTTGTTCCCCACTATGCATCCATGTGTTCTCACAATTCAGCTCCCACTTTATAAGTGAGAACATGCAGTGTTTGGTTTTCTGTTTCTACATTACTTTGCTGAGGATAATGGCTTCCAGTTCCTTCCATGTCCCTGCAAAGGACAAGATCTTATTCCTTTCTATGGCTGCATAGTATTCCATGGTGTATATGTGTCATATTTTCTTTATTCAGTCTATCACTGATGGACATTTAGGTTGATTCCATGACTTTGCTATTATATTATAAACAGTGCTGCAATGAACATACAGGTGCATGTGTCTTTATAATAGAATGATTTATATTCCTTTGGGCAGATACTCAGTAATGGGATTGCTAGGTCAAATGTATTTCTGGTTCTAGGTCTTTGAGGAATTGCCACACTCTCTTTCACAATGGTTGAACTAATTTACACTCCCAGGAAGAGAACAAGAGCCTCTTTCTGGCAATTCAGAGAATTCTCTGCGGAGAATTTTGTGGAGAAAAGCATTCCTTTTTCTCCACCACCTCACCAGCATCTGTTGCTTTTTAACTTTTTAATAATAGCCATTCTGACTGGTGTGAGATGGTATCAACTCATTGTGTTTCTGATTTGCATTTATCTAATGATTAGTAATGTTGAGCTTTGTTCATGTTTGTCGGCCACATGTATGTCTTCTTTTGAGAAGTGTCTGTTCATTATACTACTGAGCTATAGTAACCAAAACAGGATGGCACGAGTATGAAAACAGACACATAGAACAATGGAACAGAATAGAGAACCCAGAAACAAATAAACACACCTACAGTGAACTCATTTTTGACAAAGCTGCCAAGAACAGTGGGGAAAAGGCAGTCTCTTCAATAAAGGGTGCTGGCAAAACTGGATATTCATACATAAAAGGATGAAACTAGATTCCTGTTTCTCAACATATACAAAAAATCAAATAAAAATGGATTAAAGACTTAAATTTAAGCCCTCAAACTATGTAATTACTACAAGAATACATTGGGGAATATCTCCAAGGCATTGGTCTGGGCAAACATTTCTTTAGCAGTACCCTGCAAGCACAGGCAACCAAAGCGAACATGGACAAATGAGATCACATCAATTTAAAAAGCTTCTGCACAACAAAGGATACGGTCAACCCAGCAAAGGATACAGTCTATGAGTTGAAGAGACAACCCATAGAATGGGAGAAAATGTTTGCAAAGTACCCCTCTGACAAGGGATTAATAACCAGAATATATAAGGAGTTCAAACAACTATATAGGAAAATATCTAATAATCTGATGAAAAAATAAGCAACATACTTGAATAGACATTTCTCAAAAGAAGACATACAAATAGCAAACAGGCATTTGAAAAGGCAATCAACATCATTGGTCATCAGAGAAATGCAAATCAAACCTACTGTTATTACAATCTCGCCCCAGTTAAAATGGCTAATATCCAAAAGACAAATACTAGCAAGGATATGGAGAAAAGGGAACCCTTGTACACTGTTGGAAATGTAAATTAGTGCAACCACTGTAAAGAACAGTTTAGAGATTCCCCTAAAACTAAAAATTGAGCTACCATATGATGCAGCAATCCCACTGCTGGGCATACACACAAAAGAAAGAAAATCAGTATATCAAGGAGGTATCTGTACTCCTATGTTTGTGGCAGCACTGTTTACAGTTGCTAAAACTTGGAAGCAAACTAAGTGTCCATCAACAGATGAATGGATAAATAAAATGTGGTACATATACACAGTGGAGTACTATTAAGCCATAACAAAATGAGATCCTTTCATTTGCAACAACATGGATGGAACTGGAGGTCATTATGTTAAGTGAAATATGCCAGGCACAGAAAGACAAACAATCGCATGTTCTCACTTATTTGTGGTATCTAAAAATAATAATAATAATAAAAACACCAGAACTTGTGGTCATAAAGAGTAGAAGGATGATTAACAGAGTCTGGGAAGGGGAATTGGGAGAGAGGTGGGGTTAGTTAATGGGTACTAAAAATTTAGAAAGAATGAATAAGATCTACTGTTTGATAGCACAATAGGGCAACTATAGCCAATAATAACTTAATTGTATATTTTAAATAGCTTAAAGAATGTAATTGGATTGATTGTAACTCAAAGGATAAGTGCTTGAAGGGATGGATACCCCATTCTCCATTATGTGCTTATTTTGCATTGCATGTCTGTATCAAAATATCTCATGTACCCCATAAATATATATACCTACTATTTACCCACAAAAAAAGTTAAAAAAATTTTAAATGGCCAAAATATTTGAACAAATACTTTATTAAAGAAGACACCCAATGGGAGGCTGAGGCGGGCAGATCACGAGGTCAGGAGATAGAGACCATCCTGGCTAACACGGTGAAACCCTGTCTCTACTAAAAAAAAAAAAATACAAAAAATTAGCCAGGTGCGGTGCCAGGCGCCTGCAGTCCCAGCTACGCGGGAGGCTGAGGCAGGAGAAGGGCGTGAACCCGGGGGGCGGAGCTTGCAGTGAGTGGAGATGCGCCACTGCACTCCAGCCTGTGCGACAGAGCGAGATTCCACCAAAAAAAAAAAAAAAAAAAAAAGAAGAAGACACCCAGATGGTAAATAGGTGCATCAAAAGATGCTGCACATAATTAGTCATTAGGAAAATTCAATGCAAATTCAGGAAGACATTCCACTATTAGAATGGCTAAAATTTACAAAAAAAAAAAAAAAAAGATTAGTGCTGTTAGGAAGCAGAATAACTTGAATTCTCCTACACTGCTGGTGTGAGTGTGAAATGGTGTGGCCACTTTGGAAAAGAGTTTGTCAGTTTTTCATAAAACTGAACATTCATTGACCATGTCATCTGGCAGTCTCACTCCTGCATAAATAAAAACTTAAAATTTCAACAACTGTGTGAATGATTATATTAGCATTACTGACAATTGCTAAAAACTGGAAACTGCCCAAATATCCTTCAATGCATGAAAGATTATGCTACATTCATTTGCCAGTACATGCAATCCAATTTGCTAATAAAATTATTCATACATATGAAACATGGATGAACCTAAGACATGTCTTATTGTTTTCAAAATCTATAAATACATATTTAAAATTATTTTATTTAAACACATGCACAAAATAAAATAGATTCAAAAGGCTATATATTGTATGATTTAATTTATTTAACATTATAGAAATGGCAAAACTATCAAGGTGAAGAATAGATCAGTTGTTCCAAGAGGGTGGAGAAGGGGAGGCTGGTTTAGTATTGAAGGATAGCTGAGGGAATTTCTTAGAATTATAAAATTGTTCTGTATCTTGCTTATGTTCATGGATACATGACTATGCATTTTCAAAAGCCATAAAACTGTATGCTACAAATAGTGATTTTTACTTTATGTAAATATAAAGGCAAAAGCATATTGATATACTACTATACATTTACTAAAATGACTAAATTTTAAAAGATTTACAATATCAAATGGCAATGAGGATGTGCATCACATAGAACAGTTTTTCCTAAGAAACCACATCAAAATGCTTCTCTCCCAATCCTTGTAGTCCCACAGGGAGGGACAGAGTTTTAGGAGTATTCTAATTGGTTTTTAGTTAATCATGTATTACAGGTTCTATAAAGGTGATGTGAATTACAACTCACTTTGCTATCTGTTTCTTTAGGATTCAGCTGATGGTTCACTTTAACATCCTATTATATTAGCTTTGTGACTTGGGGCCCTCTTGAGCAATATATTCTGTACTCCCAGTTCTGGCCAGAGAATATAACTTTGACTTTTCTGGCGTTTAATTCTTATCATAAGTTCAAGTACAGAGATAATATTCATAAAAAATTATGTGAGGAAAATTCATTTATTTCTTTACCTATTTAAAATTTTCTTTTCAGAATATGTCAGTGATATAGTTTGGATTTGAGTCCCTGGTATCCCTGCCCAAATTTCATATCCAATTGGAGGATGGTCCTGGAGGGTGGTGACTGGATCATGGGGTCAGATTTACCCTTTGCTGTTCTCATGATAGTGAGTGAGTTCTCATAAGATATGGTTGTTTGAAAGTGTGTGGCACTTCCATCTTAACTCTCTCTCTCTCTCTCCTGCCACCATGTGAAGATGTGCTGCTTCCCCTTCAACATTCTGCCACAATTGTAAGTTTCCTGAGACTTCTCAGCCATGCTTCCTGTACAGCCTGTGGAACTGTGAGTCAGTTAAACATGTTTTCTTCATTAATTACCCAGTCACAGGTAGTCCTTTATAGCAGTGTGAGAACAGACTAATACAGCCAGTATATTATAAAATGATTCCTTTTGACTGCCTTATCTTGGCACTTCATCAAATTTTCTTTAACAACTGTTCCTTTGGTGGTACACCAGTTTTCACTGAGAAACATTATAAGAAAGGCCTTATGAAACTTCCTATTCTATTTTTGTCGGAAAGATTATTGAGGTCCTTTTCTGCCATATCGATGTGTCTACTTACTGATGACCTACGGGAAAATTATTTGTGCATTTTAGCACTAGGAAAAGGTCTACCTCTGGCATCCTAATTTCCTCTTATATTATAATCCTATAAATTAGTTGTTTATAGAATCCTATAAACTAGTTGTTTCCCTTTTTGTTCTAGGCCACTAGGAAATTTAAAGCCAAAATGAAGGGAAATATACTTTTGATGTCTCCATCAAAGGAGTGTTTTGAGGATCATTAAGTTATATGTGGATAGATCAGGATATCATAAATAAGAATATAAAGACACAGATATTTGGAAAATAGTTTTGTTACACATAATGTAGCAGAACTGTGCTAAAATTAAATCAATCAGATTATTTCCTATTGGATATTACTGCAAAGCTTTTGGACCTTACTTTATTTACAAGAAGAAACATTTGCTAACAGGCAAAAAGCAAATAAGCATAGTGTCTAACAGAAAAGCTGTAATAATTGTCACACCACCTTGACAATGCAAGACAGCATTCAAGGAACTCTTTATGGAGAGGCTTCTAAAAACCATTTAGCATCTGAAGGAAGTATACATATAACACACACAATGTGTTCTTATAGATGTCTTTGTAAAAAAAAGATATTTTATAACAATATAGATAAACAAGTGATTAAGAATGTGGGCCTCAGGGTCAATGCAGTGGGTTTATGTGATCTGGGGCAAAATTTTTAACCTCTGTTAGGGTCAGTTTTCTCTTTGAAAAAAGGAAACAGTACCTATTGTATTAGTTCATTCTCACACTGCTATGAAAAAAATACCAGAGACTGGGTAATTTATAAAGGAAAGAGGTTTAATTGACTCACAGTTCCACATGGCTGGGGAGACCTCAGGAGACTTACAATCATTGCAGAAGGGACCTCTTCACAGGGAGGAAGGAGAGAGAATGAGGGCCAGGAAGGGAAATGCCAGATGCTTATAAAACCATCAGATCTCATGAGGACTCACTATCATGAGAACAGGATGGGGAAAACCATCCCCATGATTCAATTACCTCCTCCTGGTACTGCCCTTTACACCTGGGGATTATTACAATTCAAGGTGAGATTGGGGTGAGGACACAGAGCCAAACTTTATCATTCTGCCTTTGGCCCCTCCCAAATCTCATGTCCTCACATTTCAAAACAAAATCATGGCCTTCCAACAGTCTGCAAAAGTCTTAACTAATTCCAGTATTAACACAAAAGTCTGAATCCAAAGTCTCATCTGTGACAAGGCAAGTCCCTTCTGCCTATGAGCCTGTACAATGAAAAGCAAGTTGGTTCCGTCCTAGAAACAATGGAGGTACAGGCATTGGGTAAATACACCATGGCAAATGGGAGAAATTGGCCAAAACAAAGGGTCTACATACCACATGCAAGTCTGAAATCCAATAGGGCAGTCATTAAACCTTAAAGTTCCAAAATGATCTCCTTTGACTCCATGTCTCTCATCCAGACCATGCTAATGCAAATGAGAAGCTCCCATGGCCTTGGCCAGCTCCAGCCCTGTGGATTTGCAGGGTACAGCTGCTCTCCCAGCTGCTTTCACAGCCTGGCATTTAGTATCTGTGGCTTTTCCAGGTATATGGTGCAAGCTGTTGGTGGATCTACCATTCTGGGGTCTGGAAGACAGTGGCCCTCTTCCAACAGCTACATTAGGCAGGGCCCCACTGAGGACTCTGTGTGAAAGCTCCAACCCCGCATTTCCCTTCTGCACTGCCCTAGCAGAGGTTCTCCCTAAAGGCTCTGGCCCTGCAGTAAACTTCTGCCTGGACATTCAGGGGTTTCCATATATCCTCTGAAATCTAGGCAGAGGTTCCCAAACCTCGATTCTTGACATCTGTGCATCTGTAGGCCCAACAGCACATGTAAGCTACCAAGGATTGGGGCTTGCACCCTCTGAAGCCCCAGCCAGAGCTATACATTGATCCCTTTCAGTCGTGGCTGGGATGCAGGGCACCAAGTCCTGAGACTGCACATGACAGCAAGGCCCTGTGCCCAACCCAGGAAATCCTTCTTTTCTCTTAGGCCTCTGGGCCTGTGATGGGAGGACCTGCCATGAAGACATCTGACATGCCCTGGAGACGTTTTCCTCATTGTCTTGGCAATTAACATTTGGCTCCTCATTATTTATGCAAACTTCTGCAGTGGTCTTGAATTTATACTCAGAAATGAGTTTTTCTTTTCTACCATATTATAAGGCTTCAAATTTCCCAAACTTTTATGCTCTGCTTCCCTTTTAAACATAAGTTCCAATTCCAAACCATCTCTTTGTGAATGCATAAAACTGAATGCTTTTAAGAGCACCCAAGTCACTCCTTGAACACTTTGCTGCTAGAAACTTCTTCTGCTAGATACCTTAAATCATCTCTCTCAAGTTCAAAGTTACACAGATCTCGAGGGCAGGGGGAAAATGTCACCAGTCTCTCAGCTAAAGCATAGCAAGAGTTGCCTTTATTACAATTCCCAACAGGTTCCTCATCTATATCTGAGACCATCTCAACCTGGACTTCATTGTCCATATCACTATTAGCATTTTGGTCAAAGCCATTCAACAAATCTCTAGGAAGTACCATACTTTCCCACATCTTCCTGTCTTCTTTTGAACCCTCCAAACTGTTCCAGCCTCCGCCTGTTACCCAGTTCCAAAGTTGCTTTCACATTTTTGGGTAACTTTATAGCAGCACCCTACTCTCTGTGGTACCAATTTACCATATTAGACCGTTCTCATGCTGTTGTAAAGAAATACCGAAGACTGGGAAATATATAAAGGAAAGAGGTTTAATTGACTCACAGTTCTGCGTTGCTGAGGCGGCCTCAGGAAATTTACAATCATGGTGGAAGGCACCTCTTCACAGGGCAGCAGGAGAAAGAATAAGTGCCAGCAGGGGAAATGCCAGATGTTTATAAAACCATCAAATCTCATGAGAACTCACTCAGTATCACGAGAATAGCATGGGGGAAGCTACCCCCATGATTAAATTATCTCCAACTGGTCTCGCCCTTGCTACATGGAGATTATTAAAATTCAAGGTAAGATTTTGGCAGGGACACAGAGCCAAACCATATCACCTATCTTCTAGGGTTATCATGAGCATCAAATGTAAAAATATGTAGAAAGCATTGTGGAAATACCAATAAAATTGAAATTTCAATTTTACCCCACCAAATGGGGTAGAATGTAGAAAGGCCAGAAATAATCACAAAATCCAAACTGTATGATAGCAGTGAGAAATTTTCATTGTTAAAAATTTATTGAAAAAATAAGATTAAAATTATGAAACATTGTTCAGTGTCTATGGTATTTTTATTTGACAGTTAAGAATTGTGTTGTAACAACACAATATAATTTTATTTTGTAAACCCAAACCTACAGAGCCAGAAAAGCAGTTTAATAGTGAAAAGTTGGAGAAACAACACATATGTCTATTCCTATGAGGTAAAGATAATATTTACTCAATATAGCACTCACAGGGCCTTTCTCACTGCTATCATACATTTTGGATTTTATGATTATTTTTCTGGCCTTTCTACATTCTATCCCATTTAGTGGTCTAAGAAGTGTTTTACCTGGACAATACATGATTCAATTTGCAATGGCAAGTTTAGCCATTGTTTTTCCCTTAAAAATTTAAATTGCAAAAAACAAAAGTGAAATAACATATTATTTATTAAACTGGGGAAGAACTGCCTCCCCCCACCATCCAACACACACACCTTGTTCAAGAGAGATAAATTATGGAAGGAAAGTGCCTGCAAAAGTACCGGCTGTTACTGTTTATGTCGTTGTTTCCAGCTAGGTTCTGTTCTGACCAGGTTGAATTCATTACTAGCAATGTATTATTTACTGTCTCTCTGAACAGAACCATATGTCATTGGTCTGCGCCATGTGAAACCCCTATTATGTTACATTTGTAAGAATTATAACTTATCTGAATATATTTGTCTACATATGCTGTAGCCTAATAAAACTATCTTCCTCAAGTGACAATAGTTCCAGCTACAGAAGTTTCAACTGGGTATCAGAAAATACTGTTTACATGTCCTCTATGCCTGTAACTTGCTGTTATGCATTGTATGTCTCTCAGCATATTTGTTTTTATTGTCACATTTACACAATAAGAATTCTTTTGTTCTTAGTATTACTTTTTTTTGAGTAAACCTCAGTCACAGACATTCCTTTTCTGCCTTGTGAAACAGCCCAGTGCCTATATAGATCTGTACAGCTAATCCTATTTATGTGCCATATCTTTCCTGATTGTCTGTACATTATTCACAATTTCACCAAGATCAGGGACTTAATCTACTAGTATTTTTAAGCTGTACTTGATATCTAATAGCATTCTGCTTCTAAAAAGAAATATAATTCTTCAATAAATGCTATTTGAGTAACAATGCTTTAGATGCTGTTGTGGACTCAGTTGTGTACCCCTGAAATTCATATGTTAAAGTCCTAAAGCCCAGTACTTCAGAATGTAACTATATTTGCTGGTAGGGTCCTTAAAAAGGTAATTAAGTTAAAATGAGGTCATTAAGGTGGGCCTAATCCAGTATCACTGGTATCCTTATAAAAAAAGGAAAACTGAACACAGGCATAGGCATGGAGAAAGACAATGCGAACACACTGGAAGCAAACAGCTATCTACAAGTCAAGGAGAGAGACCTGGAGCACATTCTTCCCTCATAGCTCTCAGAAGGAACCAACATGGCCAAATCTTGATCTCAGACTTATAGCCTCCAGAATTGTGAGACAATACATTTCTGCTGTTGAAGCCACCCCATCTGTGATACTCTGTTTTGGTAGGCCTACCAAATCTATACAAATGTCATATGAAAAAATTTTGTAAAGGCGAATCATGGCTGTTAAGATGTATTACTGATATAGTTTGAGTATTTGTCCCTGTCCTAATCTCATGTTGAATTGGAATCCTCAGTGCTGAAGGTGGAACCTGGTGGGAAGTATTTTTATTATGTGGAAGATCCCTCATGAGTTGGTGTTGTCTTCATTATAGTGAGTTCTCCTGAGAGCTGCTCATTTAAAAATGTCTGCACCTCTCCCTGCCCCCACCACTCTCGCTTGCTCCTACTGTTGACTGTGATGTGCCTGTTCCCCCTTTGCCTTCTGCCATGATTGAAAGTTCCTTGAGCCTTCACCAGAAGCTGAGCAGATGCCAGCAGCATGCTTCCTTTAAAGCCTGCAGAACTGTGAGTCAATTAAACCTCTTTTCTTTATAAATTACCTAGTCTCAGGTATTTCTTTATAGCAATGCAAGAATGGCCTAACACAACTATTGACATTTAAAGTACTTGAAATAAGACATATTGCCTTATTTTATTGATTTCATTTTTTTAACATCAGTTGTTGACTTTTTATTTTGTTTTACAAAGTTTAAATATGTTTTTATTATTTATCCTCAAATAGCACTGAAAGTATCACAGGATATATAAAAAAGCCTGCCATTTTTTTAATACAATCAGTTTTTCTCTAGAAAAAAATTACAACATGTAAAAAATAATCAAATCAGTAATTCCATTTCTGCTTCTCTCATATTTCCCTTCATCCTTATTCTTATATTTCATTCTCTTTCCAGTAAACTAGTTATCCCTTCTGTATGCTTAAGAGTGTGCCTATTTGTACCAATCCCTTGATCCTTCTTACAAAACTTCAGCCAAGTCTAAAGAAAAATAATATCCATAAGGTTTTCTGTTGTGAGCAAAAAAAGTATTGTTTTCTTCATATTTGAAGCTGGAGCTGAGGAAATGGATAAGCTAAGGGTTTGAGTTATAAGGTGTTATGGAAGAGTGTTAGGGAATAAAATTGTGTCACTCTCTGGGGAAAGAGTTCTACAGCACTTTATATTTTTTTCCCTAACATATTAAGCCTTTGGTTTCTGTGAAAGGATCATTTGGGTTGGCCCTTCTCGAATTTGAAACAACATGATGATATATGAGGCTTAATAAAAAGGTCTGTTCTTACTCTCTACACTTGCTACAGCTGATAACAGAGAAATAAAAAGTTATGTCTTATTCATACATAACAAATGTTCATTTCATTTGTCACATGAAAGAATAAAAGATAATTAAATGAAAGAACAATAGAACAAATAAGCAAGGAATAAATATACAAAAAAATTAATTGTCTGGCCTGTCCAGAATGTAATCATTAATGCATCTGCTTTTTGCCACTCCCCTGTATATCATGCCCTATTCTTGGTGGATCTAGAATTGATGGCTAAGAATGGATGCAAAGCAATTTTTATCATTATCTTCTGGTGACGTCACACTAGCAGTGATAGAGAGACCTTCCATGGTCACTGAGTTTCCAGACGTTTGAAATGTTTCTGGACAGACTAGACAGGAGCCAGTGTTTTTTTTTTTATTATTATTATACTTTAAGTTTTGGCACACATGTGCACAACATGCAGGTTTGTTACCTAGGTATACATGTGCCATGTTGGTTTGCTACACCCATCAACTCGTCATTTACATTAGGTATTTCTCCTAATGCTATCCCTCCCCCAGGCCCCCACCCCCTGGCAGGCCCTGGTGTGTGATGTTCTCCTCCCCGTGTCCATGTGTTCTTTTTAGGTGTAAAGACCAATGTGAGATAAGCAGAAACATTACTGTACTTAAGATTCAAAAATTTCTAGTTTTACAAAATATTATGTCCTGACCCTATAAGAGTGCATGTACTCAACATAATGGATATATCTCATATAATGCCATTATGAAAAAGAAACATTAGCTGAAAAGGTAGTTGTCATAGAAGTATATAAATGGAATACAATCTTATTTTCTGTTAGACTATTAGGTACTACCAAACAACTACAAGAAGGAAATGACAACTATATTGAAGAAAGATGAATACAGAGATGATAGCCAGCAGCAATTAATTTTTTAAAACAAATAAAGTAAGCGTTATCAACACTTTCCATTGAACAATGTTGTAATAGTGTATAGAGGAATATATTGCTTGCTGATAGGAATCCATTGGTTCAACAAGAATGAAACAAATCGATTGACTCTATCAATGCCATTTTACACACACAAAAAAAGTAAAAGGAAACTCCTTTGAAGCCATAAGTGCCTGTGTCTATATAGCTAAGTTAGTAGTGTACCAACGAGCCATACATATGCATGGGTGATGGGCATCAAAAGCTTCATCAGCTATCAAATACATCCACTGATGGCTTTTCTGTCTCTAAAATTCCTCTCATTATTAATTATTCTTTCAGTTGAAGGCATTTTTTTCCCTAGAAACTCTTCCTTAAAATGAATATGCTCAAACGGAGAAGTAACACATATAAACCTGTTGGTACTTTTTTCCCTTAAGGCCTAAAGACAAGTCCTAGTTCCACCATTCTGTGAGCCTAAGCAAATTACTTGGCCTCATTTCAACAGGCATGATTTTTTTTCTTTGATAAATTTGTCAGACCTAAGGAACTCATAGCGAGAGAAGCAGATATTGGCAAAATAAAGCAAAATCAGGTTTTTAATGAGGGTTACTGAATAGATGTTTTGATGACTTCCAAACTTCAAGTTTCATCACAGTTTGCCTACATGTGAGCACCTAAATGTGAGCATTATTTATGATC
This sequence comes from Homo sapiens, assembly GCF_000001405.40. NCBI lineage: Eukaryota > Metazoa > Chordata > Mammalia > Primates > Hominidae > Homo > Homo sapiens. Next base: position 71,720,851 of record NC_000001.11, read on the forward strand.
CTTGCTTCCTGTGGATTCTTTCACTACAGAAAATCAACAGTTAAAAACTATTACCTTTACTTGGAACAATGAGGCCAATAATCATTTCCCTAGAGAAAACATCAGTCAGCACTGCAATATCCTTTCAAATATAACAGGTAGAAGCAAGTCAGGTTAGAGAAAAGTGTTAATTTATTTATAGCATGACAGAGAGAAAATCAGAGATGCAATAAGTTTGCACATTTCAACACAAGTCATTGACCCTGCCAAATATTTAAGAAAGTAGATTTATTTCATAAGCTATGAAAATAATTTTAGTCTTAACACTTGCTTGGCCACCCACCTACCCTGAAAATTTCTGGCATTTACACCATTTTTTTCTTTGAAAACTTACAAAAAGTCGAATCCCTTGTCCTTGATTCTCAAATCATACTCTGGGGAAAACATGCCTTCAGCTAATGATGGAGGTCAGTTGCAGGAATACTCAACAAGTTATATAGAATGTTTTTTAATGGAAGATGTGGTTGGCATTCAGTCAATCAGTAAATATAAACTGAATGACAAAACATTCTGTGTAGTCATTACTTTAAAAGCTGGGAATATAAGGGTGAACAGGTCATCCAAGGTCCCTGTTCTCATTGGTACAAAAAATAAAATAAAAAAGTAAACATAGACTAGGATATCAGATAATTACACATGCTTTGCAGGGGGAAGTAAAATAGAGCAAGTTTTCTAAAAGTTGGCACTACTGCTATTTTGGACCATATAATTCTTTGTGTGTGTGGCTGTGGTCCTGCACATTGTAGGATGTTTAGAGCATCTGTGGCATCTATCATTAAATACCAGTAGCAGTCAACACTCAACAATTTTGTAAGCATTTCCAAATAACCTGTAGGAGGCCACATTGCCCCCGATGGAGAAACGTTGAAGTAAAATGATGTGATAGAGAGTTACTGCCTGCTCACTGGATGAATGCAATTTGATGGTCACTAAAAGTCATTTAAGTGGAGACCTTAATGTCATCAAAGAGGCTTCCATGTTAACATAGGGAAAAAGGAATCTTGGCAAAGAGAACAGTTAGTGCAAGTGAGTCCAAGGCAGAATAAGAATAAAAAGACTGAAAGGAGGCAAGTAGGGGAAGAGAAGCATGAGATGAGTGGAAAGTGGAAGTCAGTTCACATGTAGATTTTAACTAGGGTAAGACGTTTTTATTTTATTCTAAGCATAACGAAATGACATTAGGGGACTTTTCAACAATTAAGTGCTATTATCTGGTTGTGCTTTTAGAAGATCACTCTGGCTTCTCTCTGGAGAATAGATTGAGGAGGCATGAGTAGAAAATGGAAGATAAGTTAGGAGGTAACAACTCACGAACTGAGATGATGATTGTCTCAATTATTTGCAAATAGAATGTTTTCTTCCCATTCCCTTCCCTTGTACATAGACCACCTCCTCCGTTTCCTAACCTTAGAAAAACATTTTCTTACCTTCAGAAATATGGTAAATTATTTTAATTTATTTTTATTAATTTAATTTATCCACGTATTATTTTATTTTTAAGTAAAATTACATAGCATTAAAGGATTGAAATGATATATGATCTCTGTCATTAAGGGTATCTTATACTTTTCAATGAGCATGCTTCATATGATAATACGTCATGTATATAATTTTCATTTCCTACAGTCAAAAATAAAGTTTAGAATTTGCTAATCTTGTCTGTGTAACAGCAAAAAACAATGGGAATAAATAGCCGTTGAATTTAGATAGATGTGGGTTTTTTGTTAATTGGTCTTGGGCAAGCCTTTTTAACATTGCTTTATTTCTTTACTTAGCTACAAAATATAGGAACTATTGTGTTGTGTGGGTCAGAAAAAAATTGGCATACATTTTTTTTATTTTTTAAAAGCTTTATTTAGAAATAACCATAATACAATAAGCTGCACACTCTTAAATGCAATTTTATAAGTTTTACCATAGGAATACACCCATTGAATTATCACCACATTCAAGATCAGGAATATATCCATCACCTCTAAAAGTTTCCTTGTGTACCTTTGCAATATTTCCCTTTTGTTCCTCTCTGTAAGTCCTACCTCCAGGCAACTACAGCTTCTTTTGTCATCCCACATTAGTTTGTTTTTCCTAGTATTTTATATAAATGGAATCATAGAAAATGTACTTTTCCTAGAAAGTTTCTGAAAAAAAAAACTGCTGTAATTTTTATCTTTGTTCCTCTATATTATGTCTTTTTCATCTAGCTGCTATTAAGATATTACTCTCTCTTCACTGGTTTTTAGTAATTTGACTGTAATGTGCCTGGTTGTGATTGCTGTTGTTTTAATCTTTATTGGGCTTAGAATTCATTGAACATCTTTGGTCTCTTGGTGTTGTAACATAAAAATATATTTGGTATTTGTCCCCAGTTTCTGGCACAGAGCTCCTAAAACCCTTGGAATTTCCTGAGTGATAATAAGAGTGTCATTTGTCATAATGAGACAACTTTTGGCTGGCCCCTGATAGATTCAGGTTGGGGGCTGCTCAGCTAAAAGATCAAACCTCAATTAGAAATTTGGAACTTTCAGCTCCACCTGCCAGTCTTTGGAAAAGGGCAAGGGGCTAGAGAACGAGCTAATCATGAATGGTTAATGATTTAATCAATCATGCCTGTGTAATAAAACATTCATAAAACCCCCTATCCAACAGGGCTCAGGGAGCTTCTGAAGACATCCACATGCCAGGACTGTGGTGTACCCCAGCTCCACAGAGACGGAAGTTTCTGTGCTTGGAAGGCTTTCAGACCTCACCCTATGTACCCCATCTCACTATTCACTTGTATCGTTTATAATAAATTGAAGTGCCTTACAACAAAGTGCCTTCTTGAGTTCTGTGAGCCTCTCCAGGAAATTACAGAACCAGAGAGGGGGAAGTGGGAATCCCCTATTTGTAGCCAGTTGGGCAAAAGTACAGGTGTCCTCGGATTTGTAATTGGTGTGTAAAGTGGGGGCAGTCTTGTGTAACTCAACTCTAACTTGTGGTATCTGACACTAGTTGCAGGTTGAGTATTAGAATTGAATTAAATCCTTGGACACCCAGACGGTGTCAGTTCAAGAAGTATCATTGGAAAAGATACCTGTATTTGGTGTCAAGAGGGAAAAAAAAAGTCCTCTCACCAGGCTTATGGTTTTCATCAAATTTGGAAAATTTTCTATCTACGTTTCTTATTTTAAAAAGAACTTATCTCTCTTTCCTCTCCCTATGGGTCTCCAGTTACATGAAGATTACAGTGTTTGAAATTGTCCCACAGCTTACTGATGCTGGATTCATTTTTTAAAATTCTCTTTTCTCTGTTTCATCATGGACAGTTTCTATGGCTACATCTCCAAATATATTAAATTTTTCTTATGCAATTTAATCTACCTTTAATTGCATCCAGTGGATCACACCATACATCGTAGTTTTTATCTTAGGAAGTTCATTTAGGGTCTTTTAAAAAATCAGATAGATAGATGATAGTTACATAGATAGAAATATATTTCATGCCTTATTTTTTGTATAAACAGAATATAGGTATAGAAGTGATTTTAATGGTGCTTTTAACACATGTCAGTTCTGGATCAGTTTTGATTAATTGATTTATTTCCTCTTTTTGCATCATATTTTCTTGCTTCTTTGCATTCCTGATGATTTTTCATTGGATGGCATATGTTGTTAGTTTTATTTCATTGGTTGATAGATGCTTTTGTATTCTTATGAATATTCTTGAGCTTTGTTCTTGGGTATATTTATGTCACTTGAAAACAGTTTGATCTTTTTGAATCTTGTTTTTAAGACTTCTTCATTGGAACCAGCACAATGCTCAGCCCAGAGCTAATTATCCCCTGTTATACCAGGCACAGTTATGTTTACATCTTTTGTGTAATTCTCCAGCCTCTGGTATTTGCTTCATATGTCAGGGAATACCCTCAGCATCTCTCCCTTTATCTCTCTCTCTCTCATTTTCTTCTTTCTGGTACTTTTTCTTGTGATCTCTAACCACCTTGCTCCCTCTGGAGTCAGCTTTATCTCCTTTCTTCAGTGAGTCTGTGAGGCTCGACTTGGATTTCACCTCCCTAACCCACAGCCTAGTTACTCTCTCAAAGCAGTAAGGTGAAGCAGCAGTGTGGTTCTCCCTTGTTTCCTGCCTCTGAGGAATCATCAACCTTCATTGCCTAATGTTCAGTGTTTTCCAAACTGTTTCATATATTCTTGTCAATTATTTGGTTATTTCATTGCAAGAGAAAATCTGGTATCTATTATATTACTCTTTGGCTAGAAACAGAAGTCAAGATGTATTTTGAAGATCTGATCGATAGAAGAATTTCAATAACTAATAATAGCTAAAATTTACTATGTATCAGACTTTTATACTTGGTCTTCTAGAAACAGTAGAACTAATACTAGGTCTTTTACGTACATTGTGTAATCTCTGATGCCCTCTCACCACTCATTGCTTCCATTCCTCTCTTTCGGAAAATTTTATTGTTATAGAACCCACACCTTGATCCGTCATTGCAGATACTCTTGGATTGAACTTTTATCCATGCTGATAAGAGTTAAGGAAATGAGTTAACTACACCATCAGCATTCATCAATTCTGGAGCTCTTTTAGTTTTCCACTTAATTTTTAGTGTAAGCACATAGTTGCATCACAAGTAAGAAGCGTATGCTGAACTTTACGATTAATAATTTTCTATTTTAAGCAACTGTTATTTTCAAATTAAAAAAAATACTCTTCAAAACACAATGTTAGTCTTCTCAGTATTTTGATAACTTATTTCCAGAATGCATCCTCACGAAATCTCTGTAGGCTGGGCTTTTGTCATTATTGTTATTATTTTCTTTGAAAACACTCTGATGGATCTAAACTTGCCATCCTTTTCCTCCTCTTTCTGTTTGATACACACTTGGATTATAGCATAGTTTCTAGTTTTTATTTTGAAATCTTGAATAGAACAATATTCTATGCCAAATGATGTCAATATCACTGCTCCTCCTCAGTGATAGAAGAATTGACTTTATCTGCTCAGCATCTCTCTACTTCTACATAAGTGACATTTGTTTTTGTGTCTCTGATCAATCTGGTTAAAAAAATTAACAAAAATGCCATCCTCAACAAGTGGACATGTGCTGAAAAATTTATCAAAGATAACTTCTTAATACTGATGCTTGGAAAGAATGCTGGATGACAAATTGCTGCTGTTGTGAGTTATTGGAGTTAGTATTTAGAAAACTTAGACAGTACTTACGTGATCCTTATTCAAGTACAGCTGTTACTGTCAAGTGTTAGCTGGAATTTATTTTTTTTTCTGTGAAACCCAGACTCTAAGTAGTTCTTTTATACTTTCTGCAAGTAATCATAAAGTGTGGATTTTTTTATCCCCACCCAGTTTGAGAGTGAGTAAGAAAAAGAGAAATTCTGAGAGATCCTTCTGATTTTGCTCTGTGTATCGCACAAATACAACTACTTCTTTGCTCTGCAGGGTGCCACATGATAACTGCATTAAGCATGATTCTTTGCTTTCGAAGTGCTAGGAACTCAGTTTAAACTAGTTAAACAAAAAGGGAAATTTACTGTTTTAAGTACTGAAGATTCCGAAGTTAGGAGCTGGTGGTAAGAACTCAGACATTGTCATCAGAATTCACAAGCCCTACATTTCTTGGTAATGCTTTCTTTTATGTTGTTTTTACTATCAAGAAGGTTCTCTCTACGTGATTGTAAAGATAGATCCCACATCACCAGGCTCATATTATTCTTAATGTCTTTAATCTCAGAAAGATTGAGGCTTCTTCTTTCCAGCATCAATATCAATTTTCCCCCAAAAGCTTTGATAGGTCCTGCAGTCACATGTCCATCTCTAGGGCAATCAGTGTAGCCAAAGGAATGAGGTAATAGGATGAAGTCCCCATCCCATGTTCAACTTGGACAAGACAGAGTAGAGTCAGCCTATCCTAACTACGAAGAGCAGTTCCTCCCAATACATACTGAATTCCACAGAAGAAAAAAAAATGCTACGCATGTAAAAAATACATACCACTAATCCTTCAGGTATGCTTCCCTGACATGTGTTACTCTACGTGACCTAATATAGTGCATAGCCTGAACCCTCTTAGGTTCAGCAAATATGGGACCTTTACTATGGTTAGTATGTGACTGAGAGCTACAACATCAGCAAGATGCCAGAATTCTTGCTAACTTGTTTATTTCTGCCCCTTATCAATAATCAATAGCTCCAATTAGGTACCATTTGTGAGATGAGGCTAGATTTTATTTTCTGCATTACTGTATAAAACTTTGTTATTTTGTCCCCTCCATTCCTACCTACTTCCTTTCAGTTTCCTATCTGGATGCTCTTCTATTTCTTATAATTTATACTTTTTGATGTTAAAAATGTTAAGGTGATTTCTAAGTGTGCATAATTTTAATATACCATATAAAAACAAATAAGTAATAACCACTTTGAATTAAACATCAATAAAATAAATTCAGGATATGCCAAAAGATTCATAAACTGAGAAGCTGAATTGCTAAAGCTTTGATAAAAGATTGCATTAGTACTCACACTTCAGACATTTATTAGGAATTACTAGGTTACTAAAATATGTCAATAATCCATGGAGAAAAAATCAAGAGAAGTAGCTATCACTCAATTCATTTTCAAGGAGATTGCAGACTGACTTGGAAGAGGCACAATCACCAAAACAAGCACAAATACAAGAAAGAACAGAGTCCATTTTCTTCTGTGCTGTGGTGCAAGCATAACAGAAAATAAATTCATAAAATGGACAGAAGTCCTCAGAGTGGAGTGCACTGGTAGGAAAAGCAAGACTTGTGTAGTCTGAAAGAAAAGAACTGTATTCATGGAGGGCATTTCAGGCTAAGGGCAAAGGATAAAGGTATAACACAAAGGCAAAAGCGATCTTATTCCACATGTGGTTAAGGGACAGTCCTTAATCTGCTAAAGTGGAATATTGAGTTTATGTTAAAGAACAGTGAGAAATGCCTTGAGAACAGCCAGTGGGGTGCGAAGCCTTGTAAGTATGAAAAGTTAGGAAGCAACTGGAGAGGCTGGGATTAGAAAGAGACACATTAGAAAGAGGCAACAAAGTTTGGCATAACAAAGTTTGGCTAAGCAAGAAGTCATAAGCCTGGACCATTCAATACGGGACAGGTATATGAAATCCATTCAGGCAAGTCAGCATTTAGGCTCATGCTTTGCAACAAAAAAGAGCTTAGAAGAGTTTCTAATGTGAGCAGGCAGACCAGAATTATCCAGTCAAAAAGGAAGGCACTGACTGAAGTGGGTTGCTTATATAGGCAACGATCCAAGAGACCAGGGTGGGTGGAATGTTGATTTATTTCAATTCAACTCAATCAATATACAACCAACATCCAGAAGTAAGAGACATGTGCAAAAATTTTGGAGACACAGAGGAATAAAATAACACATTGGAGTCCAGGCAGAGTAACTGGAAGGGTAAATTAGGGAGATGAAACTAGAAGCAGGACCTTCCTTGCTACTGAGAAAACTACTGCTGAGGTTTATGTTTCCTAGTGACTCCCATCTCATGACAAACTGAAGCTGCATGTGGGTAAGATGGAGACCACAGACTTACCCCATTAGAACAGTTCTATATTCTGACTTTCTATCTTTTCTTACATGTTCTCAACATATTTTTTACTGACACTCTTTCAAAAAATCTTTCACCAAAATCTAACGTTGCTTTTTTCTCTTTTGATTTTCGAGTAGGAACTTTACTGGCTGTGTGATTTTTAGACAATTTTCATAAGCTCTCTGAACTTCATATTACTCCTCTGTAAAGAAAGGAACATTGATTGCCTCTCAGAGTTTTTAGCACTAAATAATGTAAAAATATATCACAGTAAGCAGCACAGAGTTATACAAGGTATGTGCTCATTAGCGTAAGTTTTCTTCAGCTCTTCACTACTCCCTTTCTCAAAAGTTATTCTTTCTGTAGTGATAGTCCACCTGGGAGGGAAATTTGATGGTCCACCTGGGAGAGGAGGAGAAGGATAAGGGAGCTAGGAGCAGGCATTTCTTGCAGTATTAATGTGACAGTGCATACCTACCATCCAATTCTGACAGAAGAACATGATAGAGAAGAAATGGAAACTTTTTTTTTACCACGGCTTAAAACTTTTTTGTGATCTGGCCAGTTCTGTGACCTCTTATTCTACTTGCTCACACCCTCTCCTTTTTCTCCTCTACTCCAAGCATACTGGCCTCCTTTCCTCTCGCCAAACATAAGACTCTCCTACCCCAGGGATTTTGCACAGGGTGCTGCCTCTGCCTGACATGCTCCTCACACCACCAGTTGTGTGCAAAATTTCTCTCTGCCTTTACAGCTTTGTTCCAATAACACCTTCTCAATGAGGCTCCTCTCACAAAAGTATTTAAATTGAAACATCTTCTTCCTTGCCCTATCATTCCCAATCCACTTTACCAGGTTTTATTCTTTTTCACCTAAACTAATCATAATCAAATCAAATCTAGTCTAGCCACCTTATATTATATAATGTATTATTATGCTTAATATTTATCTTCTGTCTTCTTTACTGGAGTGAAAGCTCTAGAAGATGCTTTTTTCTATTTTGCTCACTATTTGTATCCCATGCTTTGGCATGGGGTAGGCTTTTAATAAATACCTGTTGATTAATGAAGGTTGTGATTTACGGTAAAAATCTAAGAGATTTGCATTGGTAAATTAACAAAACTCATTAAGAGATGTAGCTGAATAATTTTTGTTGTTGTTTTTGTTGTTTTTAGACAGAGTGTTGCTATTGCCCAGGCTGGAGTGCAGTGGTGCAATCTTGGCTCACTGAAAACTCCGACTCTGGGGCTCAAGTGATTCTTCCACCTCAGCCTCCCTAGTAGCTGGGACCATAGGTGCATGCCACCATCATGCCTGGCTAATTTTTGTTTTTTTGTTTTGTTTTGTTTTGTTTTTTGGTTTTTGGTTTTTTTTTTTTGTAAAGATGGGGTTTTTCCATGTTTCCCAGCCTAGTTGAATAGTTTTAATGAGAAAAGAATCTTTTTTATTGAGAGACAATAACTTATGAGAGAGTCCAAAACTAACTTTGAAATAAAAATTGATAAAAATTAATCAAAGTAATTTCAAAGTGGAAAAATGACTGTTAAACCTGGTCATTGAAATAGGGGATCAGAAAGATTAATTTGGTGACAGATACAAATTCTAATACCAAGAGGAAAAGGAGATCTCCTTTAAAAACTGGTTTTTACAAGAAGATACAAACAACCTTGAGTCATTAGTTGGAAAGATAACTAGAACATGTACAAGTTTTTTGGAGAAAATATTATTTGTTCAGATAAGTAGATGGTAAAAATAAGAGCAGCAGAGGGAGCTGCTTTGAGAGTTGATTACATTAGTAGTGAAAACAACAGGAAATGATTTGGAAAAAGAGACAATAGTCAGAGACCATAGAAATAGGTCTACATGTCTAACGTGCAATTCATGCCAAAATGATAGCAATGGTAACCATGACTTTCAAAAAATGAATCGAGTAAAACTTAATAGGACTTCTGGCTTGAACTAAGATTTCTGAATGATAGTTTTCAAGTCATATAAGATGCAAATTACTATCATAATTTTATTGAATATATATGTTTTATATATATAATTTGACTTTTCAAATTATATGTGTATATATAGTATAAATTTATATATATATATATATATATATAAATTTGAAAAGTCTGTATGGCTTTCCATACTCTGCAAACACATTTTTGAAAGCCATTTTAAATTCACTTCCACATTTTCCAAAATAGTATCAAACAGACTATTACCTTCTACAATTAATATGAAAAGTCACAAAATGTAAATAAAAAGTTATTCTCAATATTCACAAACATCTGTTTTAACTAGCTTTAGTATCAAAATTGTTTGGCATTTAAATCTAAGAGTCTTCTTGAGACACCCCTACAGTTTTCATAGGGACATATGCTACTGGTGTAGTGAAGCATTCGTGTGTGTGTGTGTGTGTGTGTGTGTGTGTGTGTGTGTGTGTGTGTATGTAACTTGATTATACAAAGAAATTACCATGGAAAAGAAAGCTAAAGGTCAATAGCAAGTAAGAAATTGTTTAATTTTGTCATTACTGGGCTTTTTACTTTTTTTGTTCCTAATAAGCATTGAGGCTCAGAAAGCACGAATAGAAACTTGTGGGATTTTGTTCTTAAATGGATTAGTGCTTTCAACAATTTAATGAAGATAAGATCAAGGTTATCATTCTTATTAACAACATATTCTAGGTCCAGAAGGTAAATTTTACATGGTGAATTTTATGTGGTATGTATTCTAGAGCTTCTCCTCTCATTTTTGAAAAAAATACCATATGACATATTTTGTAGAATAATACGTAGAAATCAACTCTGAGCACTGTTCTTCCAGAAGCCCCCTCTACTCAGAGTGGCTCTACTGCCAAATGACCATCACTGCATGATTACATGATGGTGGAACTCAGCATTTGTGATTAGCACTTAGGGTGAGGAGTATTCACCCTGGTGTCTGAAATTATACTTTTCAAAAACCATTCTGGGTCTTTTTAAAAAGGCAGAGCCAATGTAAGGGATATGTTCAAAATAAACTTAACAGAACTATTGCTAATAGAGATAATTATTTTGGTTAAGAGCAATAAGTGGAAAAGGACAATTTCTTCAACATAAAGACAAGATTTTTCTTTTTTTAAAAATACAAATTTCCTTTAAAAAGCACACATCTTTTTTCTTGGCTGTTCATCAGTAGAGCAGGCAAAACTGGACTTGCCGAAAGTGATCATTGCTATTACCTTCCTCTGCAGGAGAAGATGCAACACTGATATATTGTTTTCATATACAGCATCTTCTGACTCCACAGGCTTTGCTAGTGCATAACAATTACACAGCACTGATATAAAACTGTCAAGATTTAGTTTTAAGGTCGTTTAAGTTTGGGATTAGTACTTTAAAAACTTGATATCTTCCCTTATTCACCAGTGAACAAAGGGGAGAGTCAATTTAGCATGGTCACTTATTAGACTTCTATTTGCATCCTTATTGTGGAGATACTAATTGACTCAAATTGAAGCCTCCAGTTTTCATGAGGCATTGGTGTTTATTATCAATGATAAAGAATTCACATTTCGGGCCGGGAGTGATGGCTCACATTTATAATCCCAGCATTTTGGGAAACCGAGGCAGTGGATCTCTTGAGTCGAGACCAGCCTGGGCAACATGGTGAAACACCATCTCTACTAAAAATACAGAAATTAGCTGGACATGGTGGCACACGCCTATAGTCGCAGCTACTTGGAGGACTGAGGTGGGAGAATCGCTTGGGTCCGAGAAGTAGGGGCTGCAGTGAGCCGACATTGCAAGCCGAGATTGTAGCACTGCATTCCAGCTTGGGTGACAAAGTGAGACCTTATCTAAAACAAACAAACAAACAACAACAAAAAAACCCCATACATTTCACAAGTATATAAGAAATTGAAGATATCTTGATTTTCTATCATGGACCCAGTCTCAGCCAATGTGTTCAATTTTATACTAATCAGTTACTGCCTTAAATTAATTAGCCACATTCGACACATTACTGAATGCTGTGTGTGTGTGTGTGTGTGTGTGTGTGCGCGCGCGCGCCAGCTTGTGTTCTTTTTAGAGGCATTCGTGTTGACATTGATAAGATGCAGGTGTTTCCTGCTAGTTAGCTTCAAACCTCTGTGAGGATGCAGTGCTTTTAGAAGAAAAAATCAAGTTTTTTTTCCTGACACTTTCCAAAGATTTGTCCATTTTATATTACTAAAAATATAAATTGATATGACTGACACATAAGTCCTCAAGAATGTTCAATTTTCTCTTTATGCTATTGTACTAAGAAATACAGAGCAAATCAGAGAATGTGGCATTTCACAAAATGGGTTTTTGAGAATGGGAAGGATACTACAAAATATCTACCACCAATAAAATTCCATTTTATAGAAAGTTCTCTTAATAGGATTAAGGACAAAATGTTTTTCGATTTTCAAATAAACCTGGGAAGTATGAATTAAACAAAAAACAAACCCCACATAATTCCTTATTACTGGACTTCCAGAGCCTTTAATATGTTAATGTGCATCGTGAGTCTCCAAGACAGGTGTGCTCAGCTTTTCTCAAGTCAAATATGGTCACAGGATAGCTCTTTTTTTTTTTTTTTCCTACAGATCATCTACTGGAATTATTATTCCAAAGAAAGCACTCTTCAAAATGCTGCACAGTGTGCTGATTTTAGCGTCAGAGATTAGAGTGAGATTTAAAAGGCAAGTGTATCTACATTTTAATACTCAAACATCTGATATATCTGCTGCTCTTTGGAGAAAGAAATATTGTCTTTACAGAAATGATAAGAATCAGTGAGGGTTTTGAGGGTGGGCGTTGCTCAGATTGTTTCTGTGGGAATAGTTTGCAGATGTGCAGTTTAGCATCTGAGTGAGAACATTCCTCCAGTAAACTTGAATTACATATATTAGCCAAATGAGAAAGAACACTCTTAGAATTTTAGTCTGTATTGTAACTGAAGTTTACTCTGTTCCAAATATTCTCTTATTTGCCATCATGCCTCCAGTTTGTTAAAATTGTAAATGTCACTTGCCCAGATTGAGTAGAAGTGATCTGATGTATTATTTATCTTCCAGCTTCATACTATACTTTCTACTGAAGAGCCCAAGGCTCTGAGAACTTTCCAATAAAGGAAAAATTATAGAAGTTAGTGGGGGAGTGGAGAAGCTAGGATAAGTAGAATGAAAATGAGAGACCCAGGAAAAGTTAAATACTGGCAAATTCATCAGAGCTCATTTGTTAAAACAGCAAAATATAATACAGTAGTGATATAATTGTAGACCAAAATAAAATGGTGCAGAATTATATATGTCATCTAACTGCCTGTATAGTACTGATTCCTAAAAAAATCCAAGAAACTTGATGTGCTACATCTTCCCCCCACTATCAAATGGATAACTTGTTCATTGATTTCAACCAGTATGTTGAAACTTCTCAACATTGGAAACTATTAAATCTTTCAACACTATTCAGATCCAGACAATCTGATTATTTTACATACTTTATTAATCATTTGAAATGCTCATAAAAGACCCCAGGCTTCCTCAAATTATTGTGAGCAATTTATTCACTTATTGTAGTACAGGAAGGTTGGGACTGATGCATTCCAAACATTACCTAGGACCCTAAGGATAGGGCAGAGCACAGAATAAATAAGAAAAAGCATTTGATTTTTCTCAGGTTCAACATCTTCACCAAAAGAATAGGACCGGCAATTACTGGCTGCACAAGTAAGACCCGCAGAATGGTTTGTTTATAGAGCTGGTTGGCTGAAGCCAGATGGTCTCAGTTCAAATTCTATCTTTATCCCTCCCTAGCAGGTACTTTGGGCAAGATATTTAACCACTCTTAAGCAAGCTTCAGTCTCCTTATCTGTGAAATGGATATAAGAATACTTACATTGACAGAATTGTTGGAAGGCTATTGACTTATTTTATATAAAGTGACAAAAATACTGCCTAGCATGTAGTAAGAGCTCAATAAGTAATTGTTACAATTATTTTGATTATTCCAAACAACTTTTCTCCTTTCTTTCTCCTATGTTAATAACTCTTCCACAATGGCTTATCCCTTTTTGTTTAATTTTACTAAAGTAAAAATAAATGCTGATTTAACTATGCTTCTAACACAATCTATCACCCCATCTTTCTTTTTCTCCTTATTGCCACACTTCCTTAAAGACTAGTCTCCCTCATTCCTCCCAAATGAATTCTGCCTTTCTACTCCTATAATCTGACTCTTACCACTAGTGTACCACTGAAACAGCTTTCATTAAATTCATCAGTGCCCTAATAATTTTAAATGCAGTGGGCCGAGTCATTGTCTTGCCATTGCAGTCTTTGATCATCTTAAATGCTTTCTTCTTGCATTGTCCTCTTCAGTTCTCTTGTCTCTGCCTGCTCTTCTTCAGTTACCTTAACTTTTTTTTCCCCTCCATTTCCATTTAATTACAGTCATTTCCCCAAGGCTCTACTCTCTGCATCTTTAAGTTCAATCAATACACTTTTTACCCGGAAATCTCTGTTACTCTGTTACTCCTTTGGTTTTAATTTGCCAACTTCCAATTTTTCTTCACTAGATGTGGCCTATTTCTTAATTTTCAGTTACCAGTTACATCAACATGTTCATATGGATGCCACACCAGCACTTCTATCTCAGCATGAGTTTTTCATTTCTTGATCCTCTAATTCATCCATTAAAATGCAGCCAGGTTTAGTATTCATCTTTCAAGACACACTTAAAATGGAACTTCCTTTACAAAACCCTAAGAGCTCCAAGATAAATTTTATCACTATCCCAAACTTTGCTTGAGTCTCTTTCTTATTTATGGTTATTTTTACCTCGATAGTGATTTTTAACCCACCACTAACTGTAAGCTGTTGAGAGCACAAAATACATCACTATAATTTTCAAAGTACTTCAAAAGTGGCAGGGTGAACCTGAAATCTGATATTTAATGAATGGTTGCTTAATTGGGTGGCTGGTAAAGGGGGACATTGCCTCTTAAAATGGCAAATGACATGGAGTGATTACATGATTTATAGAAAAACATATAGGAGCATAGTACAATTACAGACACTGGATTGAAAAAAATAAGCAAGATTCTAGTAGCTATGATAAGAACTGCAAAAATGAATACACATAAACACACACACATATATACACACACATCGTGGGTATACATATAATTAAGTATATAAAATGTAAAAGTACATAATTATATAAATAATTACGTGCAATAGATAAAATATACTTTTGAATGGTATTTCAGATATTCCATTCTCTGTGCTACTTTTTGATGACAGGTACTAGAGGGCCACAACTGAAGGTGAGGCATCTGAGAATAATATCAGGTGCTTAAAGGAATTTGAAAAAAAATTAAATTGTTACATATGAATTAAAGGGTTAGGAAGTACTGAGAAAGTCATCTACTTTGTAATCATGCTGTAGACTATAAAAAGTCCTTACCTTTTATTGAAATGATCAATTAATGTTTAGACAAAGAGAATATTGACAGAGTTCCTGATAATACACTTCACAACCTCCCTAGATTATTGTTTTAATATTTCATTACCCTCAGTGTAGAAAGCTCAAAATTATCAAGTACATTGACCAAAGCCAGGCTAGCCAATTAGAAAAAAGAATTTTCTTATTTTTGAAAAGCAAATACTATCTTCTAACTTTTAAAATTATATTTAAAAGTTTCTTATTGATTATTGTCTATTAGTTCAGTCAAACTATTAGTTTCTTCCCACTTTGATGTATTTGTTGAAAATGTTTTGATGAATTTTATGTCTAAAATGTGGTCTGGGATTTAATATTTAAAGATCTTGTATACTTTCACAAGAACTATTTTTTTCCTTTTGTTTGCATATATTTAGAGATTTTGAAAATGTAAGCAGCACCTTTGATTTTAAATACCTACTTTACGGTTAATCATTAAATTACCATTTAAAATGTATTTTTTCCCCTAAGTTCGAGCAGCAATCATAGAGAAAGTCATAATGTGCTGCAGTAATTATTAATTGATTAAAGGCTTTGTAATTGGCACTGAGTACAGTTTCTTGAAAAGGCTTATTTCCTATCTGAGCCAGCAAAAGCTGCCACCTTTCAGGTTTCCTCAAGTCATGAAGTAATCTGCTGGTTGCCTTCAGGAAATAGTTTGAATGGAGTCAGAAAAGTGCTCCTGGATCAGAGTTTTCCCAGGATATTACCTTGTGATGAGGAACCTCAACTGTAACTAGTTCTTCAGATTAATGCTTTCCAATGTCTCGTATAATAAAAGAACTAAATATTTGCTGAAGAATTGAATGCATTTTTAGATATGCAGAAGGAGAAAAAATGTGGTTAACTATCTGCCTCTTTCACAATTAAGAAAAGCAAAATTCTGCAATTCTATTCCAACCAAACTAAAAATGCCAACTGGTATTTAACATCATGAAGGCACATTTTGGATGGGCTCTGTAAGAGGAGTCAGGAAAGAACACTTGAAAATGCAATGTAGTAAAGTTGGGTGCTTCCTAAAATTGTTCTCAAATATCTGGATGAGAAGAAATCAGAAACCATTCATGCATGTTTTAAGCAAAAAAGTTTTATGTGTAAAACCAGTCTTTCAACTATAATAAACCTCAAGCAAAGTAGAGATGTAACCTGAATTTTAAAAGAAATCCTTTTGATTTTTCAACTTTTGAAAAGGGAAATGAAATAGGCTCGACCATATCATATCCCAAAATGTCTGTTAAACTCTTACCTTTGCTCAACTAGTTTTTCAATAGTTCTAGAATTACAAATTCTGGTCTTGATTTCCCTACATATTTTACATTCAAACACCCGTTGGACAGAGGTGAGAAAACAGCCTTTTTTTTTTTTTTTCCTTGGGAGGGAATGCTAATGTTGACTGAAAGTCTAGGCCTTAGTTGCATCCCTCGAAATGGAGATTAAGATGTAGACATGTTTTTGTTGTAGCAACAAAGGAAAAAAGTAATGAAGCAGATAGGAGAACTCTCTCACTATGCAAGTTGGTCATTTATCTTGCCATTAGTTTAAAGAATTTTGGGGTATATACATGCCAAACAAAATAGAGACTAAAACTTATTTTATTTTATTTTATTTTGATTTACTATTAACTCTATTAATTTGTTAATTTGAAATGATCCACAAATAACCAGTGCAAAGTAACCAATACGGATATAACACAGAAATTAAGAGAAGATTTGCAAAAAGATTAAATATTTTTCAGTCTTTGTTCTTACAGGCAAAGACAAAAAAGATAGCTAATTTCCTTACATTGCCGTTTTCCTGAAGAAGGTGAAAAGTGGATCCAATAAGTGACTATTTCTCCACAGGTAATGCCCCCTCTTTCTTTGTGACCCAATTTTAGGATCTCTCTGGCTCAGGTTTTTAGTCCTCACGGGTGGCAGGAATTACAGTCGGTTTAGGCAACTGTGTCTCTTCCCAGAGCCAGCACCTGCTGGGTACATGAGTTCAGCTTTCCTATCCATCTGCATAACTAAGGAGGAAACAGCCCATGCTGAAGTAATGAAGTATCATCCTTCCTCCCACTCCTTCCTAGGCTGCTATTATCCCATCTCTTTGCCCCTGAAATGAACCTCTAAAAAACCTGTTCACTTCATTTGTTCTCTCTGCAAAGCATTTTATGGACCTCAGTCTCTATTTTCAGTTACTAAAAAGACCAAGCAGCCGGACTATGGCCTGGAGACATTTGTGAACGAAGTGGAATCCGCTCTGGCCCAGCAAGTCAAGCACTTCTCAGCCCTGACAGATGTCATCAAGGCCTTGAGCCCTGCCATGCAGCTGAAAGAGCAGGTTAGCAGACAAATAAGCAACAAGAAACATCCCCAGTGACAACTGCAAATAAAGATCTGCTTGATTTGACACCCAGCCTCTTCCTCCACCCTCCCCAGAGAACTTTGGGCAACTGGTGGACCTAGGCAGGGTCTGAGCTGAGACAGGCTCTGGTAAATGTCAATATGAGGGCATCTGGGGCCAGAGCAGCTGGGGATGGGGATCAGAGTGACATGGGACACTACTTTCCTTTTCCTCAGTTGTCGCCCTCAAGGGAGGAAGGAGCTCTTAGTAACCCTTATATGTTGCCCTGCTTTCCATAAGAAGGGAATGCTGTCTGGTGTAGAGTTTTCTGTCAGTAGTGTCCTGCCTGTGTGTCCTGGCTCTGGCGGGGAGCCAGGACAACCCCAGGGAACACAGCTCTCTGCTGGCTCTAAACCTTCCATACCTTTGGTTCGAGCACTGATATGTCTTATATTTTAAAAAATGTTTCTGGGACCTCTTTCTTCTTTGCTGCCTTCCTAGGGATGCACGAGGATCCCTACTGTTTTCTGTTTTAAATGTTTATACATTGTATGTAACAATAAAGAAAGAGAAAAAAAATTACATAGCATGAGTTCATTGTTTCCTTATTCAGTTTAAATTACCAAATGTTTATGACTAAGGACAAAAAAGAGCCTCAAAGTGACTTAACACAAAACAAACACCCCCCACCCACCATGATGGTTAATACTGAGTGTCAACTTGATCAAATTAAAGGTTGCAATGTTCCTGGGTGTGTGTGTAAGCCTGTTGCCAAAGGAAATTAACATTTGAGTCAGTGGACTGGGAAAGGCAGACCCATCCTTAATCTGGGTGGATACCATCTAATCAGCTGCCTGTGCAGCCAGAAAAAAGGCAGGCAGAAAAAAAAAAAAAAAAAACAAAAAAAAAAAACGTGAAAAGACTAGACTCGCTTAGCCTCCCAGCCTACATCTTTCTCCTGTGCTGGATGCTTTCTGCCCTTGAATGTCAGACTCCAGGTTCTTCAGCTTTGGGACTCAGACTGGCTTCCTCGCTCCTCAGCTTGCAAATGGCCTATTGTGGGATGTTGTGATTGTGTGAGTTAATACTCCTTAATAAACTCCCCTTTACATATACAACAGTCTTACTAGTTCTGTCCTTCTAGAGAACCCTGACTAATACACCCCCACCAAAACAAAAAACAAAACAAAACAAAACAAAAAACTAAAAAAAAAAAACCCTCTTAAATCATTCTTACTCTTTTCCGAAAAATGAGTATTTCCCTCCTATTCTATCTGTGTGCAATTGCACATTTAAAAAAAATTCTAGGAGTATCAAAAATAAAAGTTTACTTTCATTTCATGGCCCTCACAAAATCAGGAAATTGATTCACTCAAGCAATAAAAAGTTTATTGAGCACCTACACTGGTAAAACAAACAGCTAAAAATCACTGCCTTCATGAAGTCTGTAGAATTTTTTGTCTTCCTGCTTTCTATTCCCTATAGGTTTTGTCTTTATAAAGCATGTCTCTACTTAGATTATTAATTTGCCAAAAATATTTAATAGCTTTTAAGTTTTATTTAATAAAAACAAAGTCTAGAATCTCTACCATGTACCTTAAGCATCCTCATGTTCCCAAAACACTCCTTGTACATTACCACTTCATGACACTCCACTCCAGACATTCTTCTCTTCCACAGTCTCTAATACAGAAAGATTATTAACAAGTTCAAATTCTTCATGATACCAACTTAAATGTGTTCTATTTAGATCTGGTTTATTTCATCTGCGACTTCCCTGGAATTGTGTTTATTACTTATCTTATGGAATTTATATCATTCAGTTCTACAACATAGCTGTTTATATCCTTATGTTCCTAATATGTTATAAACTTTTGAAGGCAGTCGAAACGTTTTGTTCTACGTCACAACCATTCTTCTCCATTTCGGCCTCTAATGGAGAATACAGATAGTTCTCAGTAAATGGTGAATGAATTACTACTCCATTATTGCAATGTAATATTTGCATTATTCTTTAGGTTTGCTCTGCTACTCTGTATCTTATATGGTTGTTAGATACTGAGATTAATATAAATATGATCAAAGAGAGGAATATATGGTAGTAGTGGAATTAAATATCAAGTTCACCTGAAAAATATGAAGCTAAATTTTCCTAACGAGACACTATCCACATCCTAGGAATGAGGTTGCAACCTATGAAAACAAAATGAACTTCATCCCACAAAGATGTTTCCTGGGGCCTGTCTGCTGAACACAGGAAAGTACAGTGGGGGTTTGGGTAGCTCATATGTATTCAGCTATAATGTAATTTTCAAGATATATTATTTTAACATTATTTCTGGCAAATCTCAAGGGACTGTATCATTGGTTTCTCTGGAAAACAGCAGGAAGGCAATTTAATGAAATTAAATAAATTAAATTAAATAATGAATATTGCAAGTGTATCTGCCATCTTTTGCCAATACTGATTAGTCTACTTTTACTAGTACTTGCATTGCCTTCATAAGTAAGGAATGGGGATATTTTAAATAACAATTCTTATGGTCAAGTTATGCTTTGGAAATTTCAGAGTTGACAAGAAAATATTGATTTTCA
Source organism: Homo sapiens (assembly GCF_000001405.40). Lineage (NCBI taxonomy): Eukaryota > Metazoa > Chordata > Mammalia > Primates > Hominidae > Homo > Homo sapiens. The sequence goes on from NC_000001.11 coordinate 71,740,914, forward strand.
GGTATTATTTGGTCAGGCTCCTGCTTTACTTCAGTGTGACTCTGTGGAGTGAAAGCGACACCCTGCAGAGGTTGGCTCAAGTGTCTGATTTACACTCAGAAAATGGGAATGAGTTTAGTCACCAAAAAAATTTTGATTTAGTGATTTCTTCCATTCATGGCGTCTTAGGCATTCAATCATTTGATTTCATTTTATACCAAATCTCAGAGCATTCATTACTGCTCTAAGAAGAAGACACCCAGAGTCTGGGGTTGATCTGTTAATTCTCCATTTGGTCCCTCTTGAGCTGGAGGTTTGGCAATTGTAGCTGCAGAACATGGTACAAAGTTGCATTAAGAGCTTAGAGAATATCTCAAATCATTTTAAGCAATATGGTACTCTGTGTAGCCATGAACATTGCAAAAATAATAGCAATGACAATGAATATCACAACTGTATCTGCCATCTTTTGCCAATACTGATCAGTCTTAATTCATGTGATATGTGTTTCCTCCTATCAACCCAATTCTCCCATTCCTTTGTTTAATTTATGTTTCAGTTCTTTCAGGTTGATCTTTCTGGAAAAACTCATTAATCTCTCCAAATATCCATTCACCCTTCCTGCCAGTATTTGCCAAGCACCTACCATATACATTTTGCTATGGATTAAATGTTTATGTTCCCCCAAAATTCATACAAAAAACCCTGATCCTGAATTTATGTTATTTGGTGGTAAGGCCTTTGAGAAGTACATTAGACCATTCTTTCATTGCTATAAAGAAGTACCTCAGACTGGATAATTTATAAAGAAAGGAGGTTTAATTGGCTTATCGTTCTGCAGGCTGTAAAGGAAGCATGATGCTGGCTTCTGCTCAGCTTCTGGGGAGGCCTCAGGAAACTTAAATCATCCAGAAGGTGAAGGAAGATCAGACACTTTACATGGCTAGAGCGGGAGCAAGAGAGAGCAAGGAGCCACACACTTTTAAACAGCCAGATCTCATGAGAAGTCACTCACGACTGTGAGGACAGTTCTAAGAGCATGGTGCTAAACCATTCATGATAAACCCACTCCCATATTCCAATCACCTCTCACCAGGCCCCACCTCCAATACTGGGGATTACAATTCAACATGAGATTTGGGTGAGGACAAGATCTAAACTATATCAAGAAGTAATTAGGTCATGGGAGTGGGGCTCTCGTAAGAGGATTAGTGCACTTATGAAAAGAGACATAAGAGAGATGATCTCTCTCTCCACCAGATGAGGATTCAGCAAGAAGGCATGCATCTACAAATTGGGAAGAAGACCTGCACCAGGAACCAAATCAGCCTAAGGATCAATAGGCCAGATTGCCTCTGCCCAAAGCCTTCATGGTGGGGGCTCTTGGAGCTATAGGAGAATGACCCCTGTCAAGTAGAGCCCTGGGAATGTGACCCTCACCTAGAAAATCTATAGAGACAGGATAACTGCCCCAGTGGGTGCAGAAAGTGGGAGTTCTGCCCCACTGGGTTTGGGAGACAGGATTTCCACTCTAGTGGGTCTGGATGGCAGGGCCACCACTTCTAGTGAGTCTGGAAAACAAATCATTGAGCTAAAGCAGGCTATTCTTAAGCCTTATATCTCATGAAGTTTACATGCTAGATCTTGGCTTGCTTGGGAACTGTCACCCCTTTCTTTCCCATTTCTCACTTTTGGAATGAAAATGTCTATCCTATGTCTGTCCTGCCATTGTATTTTGGAAGCACATAACTTGTCTGTTTTCATGGGCTCATAGCTGGAGGGAAATTTTGCCTCAGGATGAATTAAACCTTCAGTCACACCCGTAACTGACTTAGATGATATTTAAATGAAATTTTGGACTTTAGACTTTAGTGTTGATGTTGGAACACATCAAGACTTGGTTATTGGGATTAAATGAATGTATTTTGCAAGTGAAAAGGACATGAATTGTGGGAGGTCAGAGGCCAGATCTTATGTACACAATATTTGTGTTCCCCCAAAATTCAGATGTTGAAGCCCTGACTCCCAGTGTGATAGAGGCCATGAAGTCATGTGGGTGGCACTCCCATGACAGAATTTGTGCTCTTAAAAGAAGACACAAGAGAGGTTATCTCTCTCTCTCCACTATGTGAGGATACATCGAGAAGATAAGACGACATCCATCTGCAACCCGGGAAGAGGGCCCTCACCAGGAACCAAAATGGCTAGCAACTTGATCTTGGACTTTCCAGCCTCTGAAACTGTGAGAAATAAATGTTTTTTATTCAAACCACCCAGTCTATGGCATTTGTAAAATCAGTCCAAACTGACTAAGACATGTTGCTTCTTAAGCCAGGATCTATGGAGGATCAAAAAAATGTAATACAGAATATTTTTCTTGAGGAAAGTAGAATGTAGTTTAATATAAACATAAAATAACAGAGGTGAAGATAGTACATCAATCTAGGAAACTGCAGTTACTTGTTTTTTTCAGGAAGATTTTTATTTGGATAGCTAATGATTCAGCTGTCATTGGTTTTTTTTTTTTCCAAAGGCAGCCGGAGAAAAAATTTCCACTAAAATTTTTATAACTATATCAGCCTCTTTGTTAATAAAGAATTTTAATTTTAACTAATGCTGATTATGTTGAATATAAAAATGTCTTTCAGTATGGTATTTTTAAAAATAATCTCATCTATACTGAAAATGGAACCTTATTTATAGAGTCCCTTTAAATGCTATTGTTGTTCTCTCAGGCTCTCTAATAGGGCCCTAATAACCTTCAGCAGCATCTCCAAAGGGTCAAATCTTTCCCAGGTTCTCTGTGTCAGTGTGGCTGAAGATCAGCCTGCAATTGCAGAGCTCTGTTGCCTTTCTGAGTGTCTTTCTGCCCTGAAATTGTGTAGCATGCTTGAGTTTTTCATTTACCTAATTGGTACTTAGGTCTTATGTATTGAATTGTCCTCCCTTAGTCAGATAATTGAAGTAGTAGACTGCACTCTTTGCTCCTCTTCATTCAAGCATCACCTCTATACAGGGAATTGCTTATAAAATAACTCAATGTTTTCTGTCAAGAATTGGAAATATGATCTGTCTTGTAGTTACTAGCCCTCCCTTCTGGTTAATTTTGCAATTCTCTCCCACTCATGGCTTAGATGACCCGAGGATTAATTATTTAAAAAGTGCTGACAGTGTATTTTTATATCTGGGAAGACAGAGTTGTCAATTAAGCTTAAGCAGATGACATTTGACCTTATTTAGTATTATTTATTTTTTAGCCTCAGACTACACGAAGTTTAGGAGAATGAACTTGATAGCTGTAAAGCTCAGGGTCCAAATCTTTACTCTGCTCTGCAGCCATAATTTATCCTTTGTAAAGGAAGGGTGATAATAATATGTTTATGACAAATAACATATATATATATATATATAAAGTGCTTGGTAAATGGAGCACATAGCAAGTACTCTGTAAATAATAATAATAATAATAATAATAATAATAATAAGCCAGGCAGGTTTAAAAACAACATATCCATGTCATAATATATCCATATTTACATCTGTCTATATCCACATATACCTATATATCCATATCCATATATCTTTGAGGGATCAAGGTTGACTTTCATGGAGCCAATAAAAAGCCCGTTAGAATAACTGGCCTAGTATCGTGTCTACTCAGTTCCCTTTTAAGATCTTTGATCTTCTAGTTAGTAAAGAAAGTCATTTTCTGATAGGCCCAGTAATGAGGACCTTGAGAAGGGTGAAATTCACCTAATGCATACAGGTATGTAGACACCATCTGAGAACAAGTCAAATTCTTGGCTTAGCTTCCTAGTTTGAGAGGTTTTCACAAGTTCAATCTTAGTTTTTTAAGAAAAAATTTCATCAATGCCAACTTTAAAATAACCTATATTAAAAATCATTATTCTTACTGCACTTTATGCAAATAATCATCCCAAGTTAATGAACTAAATTTACTTTACAAAGAAATAGTTTTATCATAAATACCTTTGGTGGAAATGGGGGAATGAAACAGAGAAAAATTATGTGGCAGAAGAAAACTATACTGCACTTATTAGATTCTAGGCATTGTTTTTGAGTGTTATTATTATTTGAACTGAATTCTGAACTTTCTGTTTTTTCCATTATATGACTGTGACTCTCTGGACTAAGGTTTATAAGCTTTATCTTATCCTTCTTCCTTGAAATCATTAAAATTAAAACTTCTCTCTTTTTTTGAGGTCCTACAAACTGAAGTTAAACAATTTGATATAAACTTCAAATAAATCACCACAATGGCTTATGTATAATTAACCTTTGTGCCTACTGCTGTATCGACTATTCACAACATTTATCTGATGCAAACTATAAACCAGGAAAAGCTGTGAGATTTCCACTGTCTACTCTTTTTCCATCTATACATGCTTCCAGTGCAACGTCTAAAAATCTTGGCTGGCTGCTCTCTGGACTAAAACAAACAAACAAACAAACAAAAACCCTGAGTTTTATAGTTTGTTCTAAACATAAAGCTTTGTTTTCTTCTTTCAGGAGAAATTCCTCTTATTAAATATTTGATTGCTCACACTATATAGAGCCCTGACTTTGGTGGGTGATCTACAACATCACTGCCTGAGTGAGACACATCTGTAACCAATTTAACTGGACTAACCTATTCTTGAGACTGAGAGACTGATTCAGTGGCTTATGAGACAATCTACCACCCCAGTTTCTGGACTGTAAAAATTTTGGGAAAGTTTCAGACCAGGGAATGATGGGCCTCAGAAAACAATAACTCAAAGTGAAGGCTTAAAAAGCAGCCCCTCAGAAGCAAAGTCTCTCTCACCATTGCAGTGAGCCGAGATTGTGCCACTGCCCTCTAGCCTGGGCGACAGAGCAAGACTATGTCAAAAACCAAACAAACAAACAAACAGAAATCATAACCTGTTTTTCCCAAAGCCAACCATAAAGCCTAAAAATATTACTCTAATCTTGCATCCTGCCTTTCTGTGTAACAGCTGGCCATAAAGTAATTAAGATGTTCATTCCAAAGGGGTCCTACTCTAGATCTAGGAGGAGGAAATGCTCTAAAGAGAGGCCAAGAACACTCTAAACAGACCTTGCTGAGTTTCCCCCCTCAGTCTGGTTGCATTAGATCATTCCCTTTCTACATGCCTGTCCATATTTCATTGAACCTACGCATAAAAATGGATAGTTTTCCCTTATCTTTGGATCTTCATTCTGAAGGCTCCTGTGTCATATAAAAGTATGTTCATACAAATATGTTATGCTTTTCTTGCTAACCTGTCTTTGTCACACAGGTGTTGGCCATGACCCTTATGATGAGGAGGAAAGAAAACACTCTTTTCTGCTCCTGTAGAGCCATGTGTCAGGCTTTATATAAATGTTTAATTAATGAATAAATAAAATAATTAAATCTGTTGTTTAAGGCTGCAAGAGGCAAGAGTTCAAGATTACCTAGAGGAAATTGTGAGATTTCTAACACGGGATAGCAAACTTAGATAGGTGTTTCAGCAAATCTGAAATACTCTTTAGTCTAAGATTATCTGGTTATAACTGACAGCTATGAAAAATCCTTAAAAATCACATTTTTGAGTGAAATAAAGTGCCAATTATCTTCAACTGCTCATTATGTAAGTCCTTAAGTGACTATCATTTGAGAAATCTTCTTTTTTTTTTTCTTGTTAATTCTCCCTGGAAATTAGCTTCCAGCATCACAGCTAAATCCATTTTCCTCAATGCATCTTCTTTTTTTTCTGCCACTTCTGTCAAAATACTCACACAATGTCTCCTTACTTGAAAAGAATATTTATAAATATGTATACGTATACACACACATACACACACATGTACACACACACACGCGTACACACACACACGCACACACACACACACACACACAGATTTCTAAAGTTTCCAAAAAGAAATGTATGAATGTTTTCTACAGTTCCAGTTCCCTTTTAATTGCATGGCAAATTCCCTCTCTCAAATGCCTTTCAGGCAGCCTGGATATTAGCCATCAAAAATGGAATATTGGCTGTCTCAATTATGTAAAAAGCTTATCTGATTCTAAGGGTCACTGAAGTTTTCAGTCCTCTTCCAAAAATAAAGGATATAGCTAGTGTAAATGATTCAGTTGCATTACTGGCTTTCAAATAACAATTAAATTGAGTGTAGGAGGGAGGCTATCTTACTTATGACTATTTCCTCTAGTGAATAGTAAAATACATCAGCTTTTTATCATATAAAGGGGCAATTGACTTAGTGACAAATAGACACACTGGAAAAGAGCTATTCTGAAGTCAGGCATATAAATCTCATTAATAAAAAAAAAGAAAAAAAGGATGAAGTATTTCCTTTATAGATATTTACTAGACAGGATCAGATATCATAGATATGCAGAACAGTCAATCTTCTTCCATTAAATCCATCTCAGTACAGCACAGGATCAATATTAAAACATAAAAATAAATGTAGAAATCACTTAGTCTTTCTTCTGAGTGAAAATAGCCATGTGGTGAAAACTTCTTACATCTTTTTTTTTTTTTTTCAGACAGAGTCTTGCTCTGTCACCCAGGCTGGAGCGCAGTGGCATGACCTCAGTTCAATGCAGCTTCCACCTCCTGGGTTTGAGCGATTCTCCTGCCTCAGCCTCTCAAGTAGTTGGGACTACAGGCATGGGCCACAACACCCTGCTAATTTCTGTACTTTTTGTAGAGATGGGGTTTCACCATGTTGGCCAGTCTGGTCTCAAACTCCTGACCTCAAATGATCCACCTGCCTCAGCCTCCCAAACTGCTAGGACTATAGGCATGAGCCACTGCGCCCAGTCCGTTTTCATATAATAATAGAAACAATCGAAGAGACCAGGTAGAATGGGTGGATTTCTCATTTTTATAATAATCTTGAATTCTTTTCCACCCATACCCCATCCTTCACCTTTTTTTTTTTTAACATTTATATTTGATTAGAGTTAGAGGGATCTGGCTTCCAAAGTTTTAGGGAAAAAAATAGAGTTAGAAAAATTAAAACTAATTCCTATCATCCAGGTTCTTTCAAATCCAATTGTATTGGACAGAATAAGTCTACCAATATATTTTTTACATTTGCTGAAGCCTTCTGATTTTGTAAATACTTTCATGTTGATTATTCTGTTATTAAAACAATTCAGTTGAACAAGTGTAACTTTCCTCATTTAGATATGAGAAGACCAAATCCCAAAGACATTAAATACTCTGCTCAACAGTACAAGGTAAAATAGAAGAACTTTGAGAGAAAATAATTATTTTGACACACAATCTAGTGTTCTTTCCATTTTCCCTACTTTACCGTACATACTGGCTGACAGTATATGATTAGCTTCCTAAGTAAAGTCCTCTACAAACTCAGTGTTACAAAGTTTCTTGATAATTAATAATGTTAGTACACAATGTAGTTCCCCATGCCTAAATTTGAAGTTCATTTCTGATGAAACATACAAATAGGTCTGCATGAATTCACTGAGTATATATATGTATACATATCTTCACTTTTGTTCTTTTAATTTAAAGGTAGACTGCTATATTTTCTTAGGTTTTAAACAAACGTCAGTTTCCAAATAAAGGGAGAATAGTGATGACATATTGAGACCTTATTAATGACCTATGATACCTGTATCCTGAAGAAAACATATAAAAAGTTCAGAGGTTATGCCCTTTGGTTTGCATATTTACTTATAATATTTCAGTGGGCTTATTAGATTTTAGTTAGCTAATGCCAATGAAATTTATTTCTGCCTTTTAAAAAATTGTATTATAATTATTGGAAAAAATTTACCTAAGGACTATTCGGTGCTCACATGATGACATAATTTAAAATAAATGAAATTAAATAAATTTCACTTTGGCATGAAAAAATGGACAGTGTTTCTGAAGCTCTAATGCATAGAAGGACTGTGGTCTATAAAGGACTGTAATATGTTTCTTATGATTCACACAGGAGGAACAAAAAAAAATTAGAGACTTATCAAAGAAAATTATCTGAAGAAAATAGTCAAAACATTTCCACAAGGAGAATGAAGTCAAACTATGAAATAGGGCTCTTCATAAATCAAATAAGATCATAGTATTTTTGTTTTTCTGGAAATCATTGAGAACTTGTTAACTTAAAATAAGAATGATGCTTTCAATATTCTTTGATGCTTTCTATCAAAACACACTTACATCAACAAAACTAACAAAAAATAATGTTTATAATCACAGCATCTTGAATGGAATGTTCTGATGCAATATGGAAGAGGATGTTTAACTAAGAAAACACTTTTTCCTGTTATCACTATTACTGAGGTATCACAATTTTTCACAGAATCACCATTTAGTTAGTGTAATCTTGAATAAAACACAAGATAGAATATTATCTCCATGTAAAAATACTCAAAATTTATATAGGCAAACTATTCAACAATGGTGTCTCTTAATATTTTCACTTAACTTACCTAAACCTCAGTTGTTATTTTTCGTGAGTAAAATGAACATAATAATATCAGTACATCTTTGTGTGTTATTACAAGAATATGTAGTATAGCATATCTGCAGCACTTATATCATATTTGCTATGATAATCATACTTAGGAAAGGATAGTTATTAATTTTATTAATTTTGAGCTCGTGTCCCTGACATCCTATTTTTGACAGCTGCTTGGGCCCTTTCATTTGCTTGTGTGTTTTTCTTCACTGTACTTGGCCTGACTCCCCATCTCGCAGAAGCTACTCTCGTCTTAGGTAAGAACAACCAGCTCTTGCTCCATTTCATGGAACTTGATCAGATAGTTCCAATGTCACTTTTTCATTATTTGAAGAACAATTCCTGTTCAATATTTAGAAGAGGCAATTAGTTGTGTTGGATATTTTCTCCTCCAGCATTTTAAAGCTGTATTATTTTGTTGTCAGACCACTGTAAAGTACCAAAAAATGCTTATTTTTAACATTTAATGATTAATACAGAAGCAGTCACTATAGCCCTGTCAACAGTTTAATGTCCCTATTTACAGACACATATAAAAATGCCTCACAAAGCTACAAAAATCAATCTCTCCTGATGAAATGGTTTGCTCCTTTCTTTTTTTTTTTTTTTTGAGACGGAGTCTCGCTCTGTCGCCCAGGCCGGACTGCGGACTGCAGTGGCGCAATCTCGGCTCACTGCAAGCTCCGCTTCCCAGGTTCACGCCATTCTCCTGCCTCAGCCTCCCGAGTAGCTGGGACTACAGGCGCCCGCCACCGCGCCCGGCTAATTTTTTGTATTTTTAGTAGAGACGGGGTTTCACCTTGTTAACCAGGATGGTCTCGATCTCCTGACTTCATGATCCACCCGCCTCGGCCTCCCAAAGTGCTGGGATTACAGGCGTGAGCCACCGCGCCCGGCCCTGCTCCTTTCTTTTGGACGATAAGCCACTGTGTTATATTCTCTTTGCCCTATATGAGCAAAGGTCAGATTTTAGATTTTTACTGAGCTGCTACTGATTTCCCCAGAAAGTATATATGTATTAGTCTGTTTTCATCCTGCTGGTAAAGACATACCCGAGACATATAAAGAAAAGAGGTTTAATTGACTCACTGTTCCACATGGCTGGGGAGGCCTCACAATCATGGCAGAAGGGAAGGAGGAGCAAGTCACATCTTACATGGCAGGGAAGAGAGAACTTATGCAGGGGAACTCCTCTTTATAAAACCATCAGCTCTCATGAGACATATTCACTATCGAGAACAGCATGGGAAAAACCCACCCCCATGATTCAATTACCTCCCACTGGGTCCCTCCCATAACATGTGGGAATGGTAGGAGGTACAATTCAAGATGAGATTTGGGTGGGGACACAGCCAAACCATCTTATTGTGTATTACTTAATCATTTATATTTTTAAGAAGCTTTTTTATTTTTTATTTTACCCCAAAGTTTTCTTTAAATGGTTTCATCAAATCTCCATGTTTCTGTGTGTGGACATGTATATAAATTGATTTATATGTATTTTAGGACAATATAATGGGAAAAAATGTTATATATTCCATCTATAGAACTTAGTTTATGACTAGATTTACAGAATTGAAGGACTTTGGAGTGCAAAATACCTTAGTGATGATCTTATACAGGTGTACTTTCATTTTAGGGGTGAGAATATAGTAAAATATTTGGTATGAATCTATCATTCTTTGTTTTGTTTTTTTTTTGTTCTTTCTTTAGCCTGTATCCCTTTTTTAGCCTGATATTACACAGAGTAATATCCAATATGACTGAGTAATTCAGTAGTTTCAGTTTTTATCTCCCCTTCAATAAGAGATGAACTCTTAGCTAAGATCAGTAATGAGCATCCCAAGATCTGTTATTTTAATCTGCAATTTCATATTTATTTATACAGTTTACTTATTTCACCTCTAAAGCATAGAGATAGTGCTTATTATAGTTTAGATTTCAGTATAATTTGAGCACTTCAAGAAAAGTATTTGACTCATAGAACAGTGAATGATCAACATTTAACACAATGAATCCCTGTTAAGGGCATTTAAGAGGCTCTGTTGAGGATGTCTCTGAAAACCAATACTATTAAATCACACATTTCCCCATTGTTTGACTTCCCAAATCCCAAACAGAGACCTTACTGATTTTATTTGACAACTTTTTTTCTCCCACTGTTTGTTTCTTGTGCTTTCTCTACCCATTGGATGTTAGTCAAACAGTGACTTTTACCTTACTACCCAGGAGCTATTCAGCCCAGAGCTGCTTCTGTGGCTGTCAATCAATGGAAGCCCACAGGCCTCCCAGGCAAATGTGCTAACTCCAAGCTACCTTTCCAAAAAAAAAAAAGCCTGTCTCATAAGTGCCTATTGGGCTCAGAGCAGCATTTTTCCTGAAGGGAAGGCCAGAAGACACATTTTCTCCATCAATAGAAAAATGCAGTCAAGGATATACTCTTTCAGAATTCCATTTAAAATTATTATTGACATATATGTGGAGGACATTATGTGAATGGAAAATTTATCGTCATATGAGAATATGAAATTTTAAAGTCATAGAATTTGCTGGAAATGTAGTGGTCATCTGGGTCATTGGTTAACTGGATTGGCAAAATTGAAAACATGTTGATATATTTAAATAATTAGTTGAAGAAAAAATGTAGAAACATTTCTCTATAGGAATTATACAATACGCTGGAGTAGTAACCACGAAATAAAGTATTGCCCTTCTAAGATGCAATAGAAGTCCATATTCAGTGTAATACTGAGAAGGAAACAAGTTCTTTAAATAAGAGATGGGGTCCTTTTATAATTTCTGTAAGGGGTCACTAAGCTTTTTTTGTAAAATACTTGGTAGAAAACATTTTCTTACTTGCAGGCCATAGGTTCTCTGTTACAACTACTCAACTCTGCTCTTGCCACGTGAAAGAAGTCATAGATAATACATAAACAAATGGGTGTGATTATGTTCTAATACAACTTTATATACAAAAATAGGTAGGGAAAGGGATTTTTCCCACATGTAGTTTGTTGACTCCTGATCTAGAGGAAACACACAATTTTGGTTTTACTGGCCAGCTAGCTATGCAAACAAACAGATAAAGATTAATATCTGATGTAAGATTATCAACTATTCATTTTTGCATAGGGCTGTTTTTATTCTAAGTGTATGCTATGTTTTCCTCTTTTGCATGAACCTATCTTTGGTTTATGAAATAATGGTGAGAGCAGATGGCAAAATTTTGTTTAATATATTTCTTGGTCAAATAAAGACCTTCTCCACATTAGAAGGAAATATCTCCCCGGTCTATAAATCAAATACTATGGAATCAATCATTCATGTACCCTCTCACTTTCATAGATGCCAGAGTTCACTTAGGCAGCATTCCTGATAAGAGATTATTCAGTCTTTATTACTATTTCCAGGAACAGGAGATTCGCTACTTAACATGGTTTCAGTTCTATGTTATACTAGCTCTCTATATTGGAAATTCCTCCAGAAAATCTTAGTCATTTTGATGTGAAAATTATTCTACAATAGTAAGCCCATGAGCTGGAGATTCTAATTCTACTTTTTAGCAAGTCCATGTAGCTAGTAATTTATATTCTATATCTTCCTTTAGTAATGGTTAATAGCTTCGGCTTTGGGGTCTATCAGAATTGAGTGTGAATTACGACTCAGATACTAGTTGTAGTCCTTGGGAAAATGATGAAATACTAAGAGTCCCAGGTTCTTTCACTCAAAAATGCAAACATACTACCTATAATATAGGTATTTTTTGAGGTTTAACTAAGAAAATTAATATATTGCCTGGCAGACAATAGTATTCACACAAAGATACTGTTGATATCATATTGCTACCAAGGATAGTGAAAGAAGAGCTCAAATCATTATGTAAAATTACCTAAATTATTTTGGGTTTTATCATTCATTCAAATATATTAGGCACATACTATATGTAAGTATAATGAGGATCGAGGTAGAAGTATATTCAGCTCTTACAGATCTTGCACTCTAGCAGAGATAAAAAATGGTGTTGACTACACCCACATGAATCCTTAAAAGTGGCAGCAGTCAGTGGTGTAATATATCTCAGGAGTCTTTTGCCCATGTCTCAATACTTAATTCAGAACAGTAATAATCATCCTTATAATTAGTAATTATATACCTAGATACTACTCTTTCCATCATTTGCTATAGGGAATCACTGATACCAAGACTGTCTTCTGCCTGGGGATTGTTAACAAGATTTCTCCCCTGAATTTTCTAGTGGTTATACATTCCCTTCTTTATATTCGGAGAATGAGCTGTCATTGTTTCTTTAATAGATCCATATCACTTTTCATGGGTAGATTTCTAATTTGTAATTTGTAATTTCCTGATTAACTCTGCGAATCCAACATATGCTCTGTAACATTTCAGAATGGTGATGGGAGCAGTTGGCAATATGTGACGGCTGGAGAGCAGAAGAACACCTGGGAAGAGAAATGCTGACTTTTTCGAAGACTGCACCTCCTGTTACAGACCACAAGGAAAGGAAAATGATGGTGATTTCTTTGAGCAATAAACTGCCAGGTGACAGTCCCAGTCAGCAGCAGCAGACACCTGGGGTGATGAATTGAGCATAAAGCACACATGATTTCAGGATAAAGCAATGGAACAGAACTAAGAGAGAGACAGAGGGTACTATCAAAAAGAGGAGACTCGAAGGTTTCCTGAAAGAGCTGCCACTGAGGAACTTTGTGTTCCTCAGAAGTGACAGGAAAGGCTCCAGTAGCAGAGCTGAGGAAGTGGAGTCCAATGACCAGCACACAGTACCCACCTCAGAGGTGCTGGGCTCCTCATGCTCTCTGTGTTGGTCAAACAGAGCGCCTCACTGAAGACCTCTACATCGTGGGTTTACAAAGAAAATATAAACGAGCAGAGGAAATCACTTCTACAATTGCTACTATGTCCGTTTTCCTTTAAGATACATTAGCGTTTCAGTGTTCTGCAATTGCTTATGGTCCATTATTATTATGGTCTTTTTAACATAAATATTTTTGGTGAAATAAGGAAAAATCCCCTCTTAAGTTGGGGAGGCAGTTTAGATGAACAAAATTAGCTATGTATCAATTACTGTTGAAGCCAAATGATAGATACATGGTGTTGCCATACTATTCTCTCTCTTAGAATAGCATCCCTATCTGGAACCCTAAACAGCAGTCCAGCAAATATCCCACTTTTCTTCTCTACCTCACCACAAAACTCCCCACCCCCACCTGCATTCCCTATTCAGCTCATTCAATCTGGCTCCAGTTCCCAGAGATTCACTGAAAGTGCTTTTATGAAGGTCAGAAAGGATCTCCATGCTGCTAAATATAATAGACACTTTTCCATATATCTTATTCTATCTTTTGTTATATTTTAACTCATTAGATCACTTTCTGATTACTAAACCCCTCTCCTCTCTGAGTTTCACTCTTCTAGGTCTTCATCTGTCACACTGGAAACTCTTTCTCAGTCTCTTGCTCTTGTCTTTCAAATCTTCAGATACTGGCCTTGGGCTCTCTGCTGTCTGTCTACTCTGCCTGCTTGGGACAGATTTACATTCATGATTCCAAGTTTCATTTATTGTCCTGACCTCTTCCTTGAGAAAAAGCTTCATATATCCAATTATTCACTGACATTTTCACTTGAGTGTCTAACATGCCTTACAATTAACATAGCAAAACAGAAATTCTGATTTTTCTTTCAAATATCCTTCTCCTCTCCTCTATTCTACCCCATCTCATTGAATGGCATGCCTATTTTCCACATTGATGAAGCCAGAAAACTAAGAGGCATTCCCCATCTCCAATCTATCAGTCTGTTGGTTTTACCTGTATATTATGGGATTCCCCGAGTCCTCTTCACCTCCACTGTCATTACCCTCAAGTCAACCTCTCAGCTACTACTCTTGTTTCCTAAATGATATCCCTCTTCTGCTTCATGCTTTCTCTGCAACTCGTTCTCTACATAGCACTAAAAACATCTTCTAAAAATTAAAATTAAATCACATCATTTACGTGCTCCAAAACTTTCTATAGCTTCCTTTTGCATTTAGGGGAAAAATATACTAAACTCTCACCATGGCCTGTTATCCTTACTTGATCTGTCCAGCCCCAACTAACCTTCTCCAAGCCCAACTTAAGTCGCTCTCTTCCCCTCCTCTCAGTTTGTCCCATGCCCACTGACTTCAGTCTTAGAACAGAACAACTTTTGTCTTGCCTTCAAGCATTTTAAATGCTGTTCCCATCAATTAGCAACTTCCTGTCCTTAAACTTCAAGGCTCAGTTTAAAAGACAACTCTGCAAAAATGCCTCATTGTTGTATTGTTAATGTGTAATTTTTTTCACTCTTCATATTATGTCTCTTCTGGCAAGATTTTAAACTCCTTGATGGTGGTAGCTATAATTTTTCCTCTTATTGCTATATACTTAAATTCTGGCACAAAGTCTGACATAGTAAGTGTTGAATAGATGAGTTTTGAAGAAAACAGATGTAAAATAAATATTTATAATATAACCTTTATGTAATGAGTTAAGGATATTTTATTTAAGTAATCTATTTTTGCAAAACATGTTAAGTTTAGATTGAAATCTTTAAGCCTCAAATGTATTTGTCATATGATGAAATTGAGTCTCACTGTTTTTTAATACATGAGAGATATCCAAGAAAAAGTTACACTAGCAAGAAGACTTATTGATCACTCCAGGCAGCAGAATCTAGTGGAAATAAGTTCTGGCTGAAAAGTGTTGGTTCTCTCATTTGTTGCCTGCTGATCACTTTTTAGTTAGCCATTGTTCCTCTTCACTTCTGTGTGAAAATCTGAAAAGTGTCATCTAAGACTTTTTTGAAAGGGTAACATTCCTTATTGCCTTATATCACATTTTAGTAAACTAATCTGTAGGGCAACTGTATACTGTGGATTAATATGTTGAATAAATAGCACTGCTTTCACAACTTCCCCTTAAATCAAATGCCTCAAAAAAACAAAAAACAAAAACAAACAAAAAAAAAAAACCAAAAAAAACCACATCAGGCCTCTACTGAGTTAAACAGCGAGGGTTGAGAAGCCATTTTATCTCTACAGACATGTGTTCAAAATCCATAATTATTTCTTGTCATGTCACAAAAGGAAAAATAGAATATACTTCCATGAAATACCCAGTTGTAATCAACTCCACAGAGAATCTTGCTCTGAGAGTTCTTTCCTTCTCTTCAACTGGTTCTTTTGTACTGTAATTGAATTGAATTTGCTCCTGTCTCCATTCCTCACAGACAGCTTCTCATTTGAGGGGTCTGAAGATGTATTACACTAATACATCGTCAGAATGACAATGCTATGATGATGCATGGGTGTAATACATCTTCAGAGCTTCAGCACTGTTCAGAAACAATACGGCTGGTACTGAATTACATTCAAATCAAATGCAAAATGAAAATAAAAAAAAAAAACCTGGCTAACAGGAAAGGTGAAAAAAACCCTCAAAAACAAAATTGTTTAATAAATTCCATAATTCTATATATTTTGAGGGCAAGTTCTCAAGACTTTAGAATGGCTTTAATTTATAAATTTATGCAATAATATTCTCTATAAATTTCTGAAGATTACACTGAAACAGAGCCTTAGACAAAAAATATACAATGAATCTAGTTTTTTAAGTCATGATCTCTCAGGCAAAATTTACATACAGCATTTATGTGCAATAAATGTTGCATTTTACCTCTTTTGTCGAACTGTCAAAATTAGCTTTTCACCATTTCATGAGATATTTGTATTATGCTAGGAGACATTTCATGGGTTTTGACTGTCTTCCCTCTGGACAAAATTCCCTTTGAGACATTTTATAGGGAGTCAAAGTGCTGTCTTCTGATAGAGAATGCTCTCCATAAAATTTTTAAAACTTTAACAGGCCAAAATTGGAAGGCATAACAACCTAAGATTAGATAATTTGCCAAAATTAATAATAATAAGAAGAAAAACTTGGCACCATCATTAACAGCCCTCTGGTCCTAGTATCCTTTACATCTTTTTACTTTGGCTTTGTTTAGGTTAATAGTTATATGGAAGTCTCAGAGAGACTTGGTTCCTTTATTCTAATGCCAACCGCTTAGGAAGCTATAGCTGTGTGAAAGACTCTTTTCTTTTGTTCTTAATTTTGACAGATTTTTTTTCTATAGCACAGAATGAAACCAGATAAAACATTCTCTTAAAAAATGTAACCCTTCTCTAATATATTCCATTTCTTGTCCTCCCCTCTCATCACCCAGAGTTTATGAAATCTGAATAAGTAAAAATTTTGTGTCTGGAAATCATTCTGGTGATTGCCCAGTAAACATTCTCCTCTTATACTGTTTATATAGAAGAAACAGAATACAAAATAAAATTTCACCAGTTTAGAAGGGCAATCATTAACTTGCATTTACCTGATTTTATCACATAAGAACACAGTATTCATCACGATCTTTTATTATCTGTCCTCAAACAACTTCTACGTAAAAAATGAAGTATATGGTAAATTTTAATAATAATAGCTAAAAAGTTAAAGCTCTTAATTTTGGATGAGTTTTTTTTTAACTCTTTGCCTGTAATATCTCTTTTGTGTAACAACCCTGTTACATTGCTGCTATTATTATCATCTTCATGTTGTAGATAAAGAAACTGAAGCATAGGGAGCTTAAGAAATATACTCAGGCTAACACATGCAGTGACTGGCAGAGGAGGAATCTGAAACCAGGTAACCCAAGTCCTAACCATAGTCCTTTTAAGCTCTATATAATATTGCCTTTTCAATAGAAGTTTAATAATCATAAAAATGATGTTTATTCTGTAACTTCTTTAGAAAATGATCTAGTCATGTAGGTTATGAGTATAAATAATTATTAGTTTTATTAATGTTTAAAAGATTAATCAGATACATTTATTAGTCACATTAAGATTTTACAGTATTCTAAAATATCTTTTCTTGTAACAAATATTTATTGAATGCCTACTGTGTAATTGTAATTGCTTAAAACATGTAGTTTCACTTGCCCGAATCTTAAAGAGATAGCATACTAAAAGTGAGAATGATTATAATTAAAAGTTTAACACAGTTTTATTGATATATAGTCCAAGATTATTATAATCATTATAATTTTCTACTAGTGATGATTATTCCTAATTATGGTCAAGTTAACCAAGAAAAACATAATTTTAAAATGAGCTGTTGCACAATTAATATTCCATAGCAAAATATTCATTTTGAGTGAAGAAAAAATTGATATAGTACTCTATTACACCAGAGGTCAAAACTCTTCTAATAATAATTTACTGCAAGCCAACCATGTGCTCTTCTCTATAATTGCCAAGGACACATTGGGTCTTGATTTTTAAAAAATCGTTATTAAGCTATTTTCTCTTTCTTACTCATATATATTTCAATAAGGATCCAAGAACAGCACAAAATTCCAGTAGGTTTTATCTGTGTATAAAATTAGCCTTGATGAATACAACTTAACATTTATGGGTGAGAGCAATCAAATTATACCTCCATTGACTATGGGGTTCAAATGATCAGCACAACTTGTATTCAAATTAACATCATGCTGTTTTTCTCCTGAATGTATTGCATGGTTATAATACTTCACAAGAATACTAGTTACTATGTGCTAACCTATGTTAGAGCAGTGCCTGGGCTATACTAAGTGCTGAATAAATAATACTTAATGTAAGTATTAGATGGACTCATTGTATACATTGGTAGTACCTAATGTTCCTTCCGGATACTTATAGTATCCATCTAATATTATGAATGGAATTTCCATCTGTAGAATCCCACCTCAGCATGAATTAGCATGAAATTTATAACCAAAGTAAAGGTTGCATTTTCCAAGATTATAACTTTTTTTTTTTTTTTTTTTTTTTTTTTTGAGACATAGTCTCACTTTGTCGCCCAGGCTGGAGTGCAGTGGCACGATCTCGGCTCACTGCAACCTCCGCTTCCCGGGTTCAAGTGATTCTCCTGGCTCAGCCTCCCAAGTTGCTAGAATTACAGGCGCATGCCGCCATGCCTGGCTAACTTTTTGTATTTTTAGTAGACACAGGACTTCACCGTGTTAGCCAGGATGGTCTTGATCTCCTGATCTCGCGATCCACTCGCCTCGGCCTCCCAAAGTGCTAAGATTACAGGCGTGAGCCACTGCGTCCAGGCTTTTTTTTTTTTTTTTTTTTTTTTTTTTTTTGAGACGGAGTCCCACTCTGTCGCCCAGGCTGGAGTGCAGCAGCGCCATCTCGGCTCACTGCAACCTCCTCCTTCTGGGTTCATGCGATCCTTCTGCCTCGGCCTCCCAAGTAGCTGGGATTACAAGCCTGTGCCACCATGTCTGGCTACTTTTTGTATTTTTAGTAGAGACGGGGTTTCGGCATGTCACCCTGACTGGTCTTGAACTCCTGGCCTCAATGATCTGCCCACCTCGGCCTCCCAAATTACTGGGATTACAGGCATGAACCACCGTGGCTGGCCCAAGATAATAACTTTTAAACAAACTCCTAACTTGTTTAGTTATAATCACTTACATACTACTTTCCCTATACATGTAACATGAGATGAAAATCAATAAGGGAAAGACTCTTGAAAAAATCGAATTCACAAAATGTGGACAGCCTAATGTTAAGCATTATCTGCTCCCCAGATTCAGTGCACCAAGGGGAAACAACGTGGCATGTCATTTTTTAAATGCCCCTGCTCTCTCAGAAAATAAAATTCCATAAGAAAAAAAATCTTTTATGAAATGTTTGGTGGGTTCCTCCTTTTTGTTTTTTTATGGGTAAGCACCTTCCTCGAAGTATTGTGGATTTATTTTTATAGTGATTCATCATATCAAGAGGCCCATTGTTCTGGCATTATATGTGTCTTAAAATACTAGAAATTTTCTTTCTTTATTCAAATCACAGGTATTAACAGCTCTGAATTTAAAAATTAGCATAGCTCACCACTTACTGGTTAGAAGTAGAGGGGACTTTGGAAACAGACAAATGAAAGTTAAAATTATAAAGAAAACTCTCAGAAAAAAGAGTCAATTTTAACTGCATATATAAATTATTGGTGTGCAGTCTTATGGTGAAAGTTTAACTTGCCATCATTATGTAGATTCATTCATTATATAATTATCCATTATGTAAAGCCATTTTGGAAATTCACAAAAGCTCCACATAGAATGCAACTCTGCAATGGAACTAGAACCATAGTTTGTAATCTAAAGATCTGGTATTGTTGAAATGTCATCAGCATAATTTGCCGGTTTTACTGAATTTTTTTTTCTACTAACATCAAAGAGCAGAGTGTAGTGTCAGGATTGCAACCTGAAGCAAGGTTCATAAAGAATTACAGTGTTTGGGTGACAGGCTGTGTACATGTACACAGTCTGTTCATAACACACTTGGTGTTGGTCCAGCTCTCAGCATTTCTAAGAAGTCTTCCTTTGAATAAAGAGGAAAGGCAATGGAATTGAGAGCACTAATAAGAAATAACACTTTCTGGTTTATAACTGTAATGACTTAAACTATTTTCGTAATTAATTTAAACAATAGATCCCAGCAGTGTTCATAGATTTTAGCTCATAATTTTCATGTTTTACTGTCTCCTAGTTTTTCAGATAATTAGG
The DNA here is from genome assembly GCF_000001405.40 of Homo sapiens. Classification (NCBI taxonomy): domain Eukaryota; kingdom Metazoa; phylum Chordata; class Mammalia; order Primates; family Hominidae; genus Homo; species Homo sapiens. The sequence goes on from NC_000001.11 coordinate 71,761,050, forward strand.
AATTAACGTTTGCTGTCTTAAGACTCTATTTAAGATAATTACAGAAGTTTTAATATGCTAAATCTATATATCTCAGCTGGGAAACAAAACTTAAGACCTAAACCTCTTTTAAAATATCTGATGCAGGAGTCAGCAAACATTTTTTAAAGGACCTGATGGTAAGTAACTTAGGCTTTGCTGTCCATATAGTCTCTGTTGCAACTATTCACTTCTACTGCTGTAGAGTTAAAGCGGCCATAGACAATATATAAAGGAATGAGCATGGTGATGTTCAGTAATCTTTACTTACAAAAAAGACAGCAGGACACTTTGGCCCATAGGCTTTAAGTTGCTAATCCATGGTCTACAGACTATTTTATTTTGTTTACTCCGTTTATCCTGAAGTAAATCTCATGGAACAGTTTCAACATCTTTAAAATCTCCTACTTTGGAAACTATTTTGTATTCTTGATTGACAGTTTACAATATTAAACTTATAGCTGAGGTATATCCATAGCAATACTTGTGAAAAACATAGAAAATACTGCTTCTTTATCTTTCTGAGTTTCTATACTTTAACCCACATGATTTCCAAATATTGCTATGTGGCCCTTTTAAGGCTCCCTCAATGTTAAATAATGACTGACATCTTTTATTAAACTCAGTATTCTAACTTAACCAAAATATCCTTCAGAAATAAAGAAAAAATTAAAACATTCTCCGACAAGGAAGACTAAGAGAATCAGTCTTCAGTTGAACTGCCATAAAAGAACGGCTATAAAAAAATTTTCTAAATAGAAATAAAACAATAAAAGAAGGAAACTTAGGGCATCAGGTAGGAGTGAGAAAAATGGTAAAAATATAAAAGATAGGTAAATACAAAATACTTTCCTTCTCTTGAGTTTTCCAAGTTTGCTTGACAGTTAAAAACTATAGTACATTATCATAATAAAAATACTTTATCATGTATGCAGAGAAAATATTTAAGATGCATATATTTTAAATGGGGTAAAGGAATGTAAAGGGCACTAAGTTTTCTATACTTTGCTGGAACTAGTAAAGGTTGGACATCCTTAGACTATGATAAGTAATGTGTTTGTAAGGCAACACATAGAGCAATTACTTAAAAAGCTGTGCAGAGATATATTCAAAAACTCTGGCAATAAGATAGAGTTCTAAAAAATGCTCAGGTAACCCACAGGAATGCAGGAAAAAGAAAATAGAGAAACAAAAATGAGAGGCAACAAACAGAAAAAGAAAAAAGAAAAAGTCAGACTTAAGTCCTAATGAATCAATAATTAAATTACATGTAAATGGTTTAAATACATCAATCAAAATAGAGAGGTTGGCAAAGCAGATTAAAGAATGCATATGTTGTATCAACTATAGGCTGTCTGCAAGAGACTCACTTAAAATAGGACAATATCTTTAGCCTGAAAAATAAAAAGATGGAAAAGAAACATGATTGTTCATAGCAGCTTTATTTGTTATAAACAAAAACTGAAAGCAATCAAAATATTCTATAATATTTGAATGGTTTAGAAAATTGTGATGCATTCATATCATGAGATACTATTCTGCAATAAAAAAGAATGAACTTGATATATACTATAACTGGGAAAGATCTCAAGGACACTATGCTGAATATAAAAAGCTAATTTCAAAGATTATGCACTGTATGGCAGTACATAACCTTTGTACACTTACATGTAAGTGTACACTCAAAGGACATTCTATAAATGACAAAATTACAGAATTGGAAAATAGAATGTTAAATAATGAGTGACATCTTTTATTGAACTCAGTATTCTATTCTAAGCCAAAACATCATTTGGCAATAAAGGAGAAATCAAAACGTTCTCTAATGAAGAAAACTAAGTTTGTCTTCAGTTGACCTGCCATAAAAGAATTGCCAGAAAAAGTTCTGAACATAGAAATAAAGCAATAAAAGAATGAACCTTAGAACACCAGGAAGGAAGAACAAAAATGCTAAAAATAAAAAGGGGGTTAGGCATGGTGCATGGGGGAGGAATGTATGTAACTATAAGGAAATAATACAAGAAAGATCTTTGTGCTGAGGGAATAGCCCTGTATCTTGATTTTGGTTCTGGCTACATGAATGAACTCATGATAAAATGGTATAGAAATATACACAAACATTGCACTAATGACCATTTCCTAGTTTGATGTCATATATGTTATACAAACATTGGGTGGGGGGTCCTCCTTCCACAGTTACATAGTACTTTATGCCACCGCTTGTGTGGAATTAACTCCCTGAACAGTAGTAACTGGCTTTATTTGTCTTTGGTCTCAAGGGACAGGGGACTCCTTGTGACTAGAGAAGATCTGTTCATCTTCATGCCCCATTGGGAAAAACTGGGTGAAGAGTACATGAAAACTCTTTGTACTAACTTTGGAACTTCCTGTGAGTCAGTAATCATTTCAAAGTAGAAGGTAAAACATAATTTATATTTATTTGGGTTAATTTATGTAAACACTCTGAGTATCATGTTCATCTGTACAATGAGTTTGGTTTTGAGGCTTAAATGAGATAAGTATGTGAAAATACCTCTCCCTCATTGCCTATGGTATGGAAGGTAATGAAAAAGTTAGTTGAACCATGTTGGCTAAAATTGATTGGTGTGAGCTTTATGTTAATAGGGTGTAGCCATATTAAAGCTATAAGGAAAATAAAGGGCTGATGCATATTTAGGAGTGTGTGTGTGTGTGTGTGTGTGTGTCTGTGTGTGTGTGTTTACTTAGGGGAATAGGGAAGTGAGAAAACATCAGGAAAAAAAACACTTGCTTGTGTGAATACCTCATTATCTCCATCCCAATTTTAATATCTAGTTCCTAGAAGCCATGTAGGAATCAAAGACAAAGAGGAGCATTCATTGGTTCAGCAATCTTTACAGATTCCCTACTTTGTGCCAAGCCTTGTGCTAAGCCATGTAGTATAAAGAAGAACAGATTATTTCCGGACAAAAGGACTCCCCTGGCCCATGAGACCAAAAGCAAATAAAGTCAATTATTACAATTCAGAAAGTTAATTCCATACAAGTGGTGACATGAAGTACTATATAACTATGGAAGAAGAAACACACAATTTTTCCCGGGAAGTTTTGGAATGATTTTTTGAAAAATTGAAGAATAAATAGAAATTTGTCAATTGAATAAAATGACAAAGATATTCCTAGTAGAAGAAACAACATATGTAAAGGTAGAAAAGCAAATTTCTAACTTGACTAGTAGGATGCATAGTTATTTTAGGTGAGTGCAAAAGTAATTGTGGTTTTTGCATTGTTGGAAGTTGCTGTTTGATATTGGAATACATTCTTAAATAAATGTGGTTATGTTATAAATCATTTTAATAGACATTCTCTCTTTACTTTTTTTGCTAATGACTTATTACTTGCAGTTTATTTTATGTTTATTTTAGACTATGGAAATGATGTTAGACAAAAAGTAAATCCGAGTGATTTTCTTATTCAAGTTCAAAACGGGTCATAAAGCAGCAGAGACAACTCGCAACATCAACAAGGCATTTGGCCCAGGAACTGCTAACGAATGTACAATGCAGTGGTGGTTCAAGAAGTTTTGCAAAGGAGATGAGAGCATTGAAGATGAGGAGTGTAGTGGCTGGCCATCAGAAGTTGACAAGGACCAATTGAGAGCAATCATAAAAGCTGATCCTCTTACAACTACATGAGAAGTTGCTGAATAATTCCACATTGACTATTCTATGGTCACTTTGCATTTGAAGCAAATTGGAAAGGTGAAAAAGCTTGATAATGGGTGCCTCATGAGCTGATCGAAAATCAGAAAAATAGTTGTTTTGAAGTGTCATCTTCTCTTTTTCTACACAACAACAAACCATTTCGCAATCGGATTGTGATGTGCGATGAAAAGTGGATTTCATACAAAAACCAGTGATGACCAGCTCAGTGGTTGGACCGAGAAGAAGCTCCAAAGCATTTCCCAAAGCCAAACTTGCACCAAAAAAAGGGCATGGTCACCGGTGGTCGGCTGCCAGTCTGATCCACTACAGCTTTCTGAATCCTGGCAAAACCATTACAACTGAGAAGTATGCTCAGCAAATCAATGAGATGGACTGAAAACTGTGACACCTGCACAGTTGGTCAACAGAACGGCCCAATCCTTCCCTATGACAATGCCTGACTGCACATTGCCCAACCAATGCTTCAAAACTTGAATGAATTGGGCTACAAAATTTTGCCTCATTTGCCATATTCACCTGACCTCTTGCCAACTGACTACCACTACTTCAAACATCTCAACAACTTTTTGCAGGGAAAACACTTCCACAACAAGCAGGATGCAGAAAAACTTTCCAAGAGTTTGTTGAATCTCAAAGCAAGGATTTTTTTTAATGCTACAGAATAAACAAGCTTATTTTTCATTGGCAAAAATGTGTTGATTTTAATGGTTCCAATTTTGATTAATAAAGGTGTGTTTGAGCCTATTTATAATGATTTAAAATTCAGGATCTGAAACCACAATTACTTTTGCACCAATCTAATATGCCTCCACATCTAAGTTCTTCATTTACTCCAATCTTCCATATTCTGTTTCTGTCCCATTATGACACTGAATTGCCTCACTGACCACCAAACTACTTAACCCAGAGGTATCTATATGGTTTGTATCTTATTTGACCTGATTGACATTATTCACTATTCCTAAAAAGGTTTTCATCTTTTGGGTCCTTAAAATCATGGCATTCTGATTCTATCCCTATGCCTTAGATCACTTGTTTAAAGTCTCCTTTACAAGTGATCAATGACTGTTTATTAAACAAAAGTGAGCAGTGTCAAGTGATTGATTTAAGAAATAAGAGACCTGGCCAGGCGCGGTGGCTCACGCCTGTAATCCCAGCACTTTGGGAGGCCGAGGTGGGCAGATCATGAGGTCAGGAGTTCGAGACCAACCTGACCAACATGGTGAAACCCCGTCTCCACTAAAAATACAAAAATTAGCTGGGCTTGGTGGCATGCGCCTGTAATCCCAGCTACTCGGGAGGCTGAGGCAGGAAAATGCTTGAACTTGGGAAGTGGAGGTTGCAGTGAGCCAAGATCGTGCCACTGCACTCCAGCCTGGGCAAGAGAGCAAGACTCCGTCTCAAAAAAAAAAAAAAAAAAGAAGAGATCTGAGTCTTTCTAAATGTGAGCAGGATAGGGTCAGTAGAAAGGAAAAAGTTAAAGATGTAAGAAAAAGATAATATTTAATAAAATAAGGACCTGACAAATAGGAAGAAAAGGAATCTCAAACATGACAGGAGAAAAAGAACATAAATTGAGCATTCTTTATCTTGAGTTAGGCAATAGCCTTAATGCCTATGATAATTAAGTTAGTAATGCCTTATCAAAACATTAAGCATACGGAAATTAGACAAAAAAGTGTTTGAGACATATAGCCCAGTGTTGTGCTCACATGTTTAGCTTCAGAGCCAGTAACACCTTTATCAATTAATAAAAACCACCAGGCTAAAGGATGAACATGTCTGGATATTCCAGGTACCAAAGAATAGAAAGAAATGAACTTGGAAATAGACATCAAAATAAATAGCCACAAATAAGTGAATATTTTTAAACGGCTTTCAACATGCTTCTAGATTTTTTTATCTCCTTGATATGGTTTTGATCTGCATCCCCACTCAAGTCTCATGTGGAATTGTAATCCTCAATGTTGGAGGTGGACCTAGCGGGAGGTAACTGGATCATGGGGGGAGTTTTCATAAACAGCTGAGCACTATCCCTTTAGTGCTGTTCTTGTGAGAGAGTTCTCATGACATCTTGTTGTTTAAAAGAGTGGAGAACCTCCCCCTTCTCTCTCTTGCTCTTGCTTTGTCCTTGTAACATGTGCTGGCTTTCCCTTTGCCTTCTGTCATGACCGTAAGTATCCTAAGGCCTCTCCAGAAGCAGAAGTTGCTACGCTTCCTGTACAGCCTGCAGAACAAGGAACCAATTAAACTTCTTTCTTTGTAAATTATGCAGTCTCGGGTATTTCTTTATAGCAGTGCAAGAATGGACTAATATAGAAAATTGGTACTGAGGAGTAGGGCATTGCTATAAAGATACCTGAAAATGTAGAATTGCCTTTGGAACTGGGTAAGGGGAAGAGGTTGGAAGAGTTTGGAGGGCCCAAAAGAAGACAGGAAGATGAGGGAAAATTTGGAACTTCATAGAGACTTCTTGAATGGTTGTGCTGATAGGGATATGGACAATGAAATCCAGGCTGATGGGGTCTCAGATAGAAATGAGGAATGTATTGGGAACTAGAGTAAAGGTCACTTTTGCTACACTTTAGCAAAGAGCAAGGCTGTATTGTGCCCCTGCTCTAGGGATCTGTGGAACTTTTAACTTGAGAATGATGATTTAGGGTATTTGGCAAAAGAAATTTTAAAGCAGCCAGGTGTTCAAGAAGTAGCCTGGCTGCTTCTAACAATATATGCTCCTATGTGTGGGCAAAGAAATGACCTGGAACTGGAACTTTTATATTTTAAAGGGAAGCACAGCATAAAAGTTTGGAAAATTTTCAGCCTTGCTATGTGGTAGGTAGAAAAGTAAAGCCCATTTCAGAGGAGCAATTCAAGATGGCTGCAGAAATCTGCATAATTAAAAAGAAGGTAAAGGCTGATAGAAAAATGAGGAAAAGATCTCAAAGGCATTTCAGAGAAGCTCATGGAAGCTCCTCCCATCACAGACCTGGAGGCCTACCAAGGAAGAATGATTTTGTGGGCCAGGCCCAGGGCCGAGCTGCCTTGTGCAGCCTCAGAACATAGCTCCCTGCATCCCAGCAACTCCAGCTCCAGACATGGCTCAAAGGGGCCCATATAAAGCTCAGGCCACTGCTTCAGAGGCTGCAAGCCATAACCTTTGGCAGCTTTGATGTGGTGTTAAGCCTGTGGGTGCACAGAGTACAAGAGCTGAGGCTTGGAAGCCTCTGCTTAGATTTCAAAGGATGAATGGAAAAGCCTGGATATCCAGGCATCCAGGCAGAAGCCCACTACAGGGGTGGAACCTTCATGAATAACTCTATTGGGGCAGTATGGAAGGCAAATGTGGGGTCAGAGCCGCCACACAGAGTCCCCACTGGGGCATTACTTAGTGGAGTTGTGAGAAGAGGGCCCCAGAATGGTAGATCCACTGACAGCTTGTACCCTACACCTGGAAAAGCAGCAACCACTCAACATTAGCCCATGAGAGCAGCCATAGGGACTGAACCCTACAAAGTCATGGGACAGAGCTGCCCAAGGCCTTGGGAACTCAGCCCTTGCTTCAGTGTGCCCTGATTGTGAGACATGGAGTCAAAGGAGATTATTTTGAAGTTTTGAGATTTAATGACTGCAGTGCTGGGTTTCAGAAATGCATAGGGCCTGTATCCTTCCAATTTTTTTTGTTTTTGGCTGATTTCTCCCTTTTGGAATGGGAGTATTTACGCAATGCCTATACCCCATTGTATCTTGCAAGTAACTAACTTCTTTTTGATTTTACAGGCACATAGGAAGAAGGGACTTGTCTTGTCTCAGATGAAACTTTGAACTTTGGACTTTTAACTTAATGCTGCAATAAGGTTAAGACTCTGGGGGACTGTTGAGAAGGGATTATTGTATTTTAAAATGTGAGTAGGACATGAGATTTTTAGGAGGTGTCAGTGTGGGAATGATATGGTTTGGATCTGTGTCTTTGCTCAAGTCTCATGTGAATTGTAATCCCAATGTTGGAGGTGGAGTGTAGTGGGAAGTGATTGGATCAAGTGGGTGATTTTTCATAAATGGTTTAGCACCATTGCCCTAGTCCTGCTCTTATGATAGAGTTCTCAGGAGATCTGGTTGTTTAAAAGAGTGTAGAACCTCCCCCGACCCCCTTTCTCCTGCTCCAGCATTGTAAGACATGCCTACTTCCCCTTCACTTTCCACCATGACTATAAGTTTCCTGAGGCCTCCCCAGAAGCAGAAGCTGTTATGCCTTGCCTCCTGTACAGCCTACAGAACTGTGATTAACATTTTTAACAATAAAACTTTTTTTTTTTTACAAATTACCTAGTTTCTGGTATTTTATAGCAATGGGAGAATGGACTAATACACTCATCTATAATTGAAATTTTTTTCCTTTAATTTTTTATTTTTTCTTACTATTTCTAGGCTTATTAATACAATCATATGTAATACAATTTTTATTTTTTCTTTATTTTTAAAATCAGAAGCCTCATGTATACTTGTCGATATTCTCCAGAAGTTTACAGTGATTTTTACCTTCATGGTAACCTCATTTGTGAGCAGCTATGTGAATTACATTTTCAAGAGTCATAAAGAGGCCCCTTAATTTCAGGAACAGAGTTACAAATTCTATCTGGTTAATATGACTTGGCTGTGTCTTCACTCAAATCTCATCATAAACTATAGTTCCCATAATCCCCATGTGTTGTTGGAAGGGACCTGGTAGGAGGTAATTGAATGGTGAGGGTGGTTACCTCCATGCTGTGCTCATGATAGTGAGTGAGTTGTCAAGAAATCTGATGGTTTTACTAGGGGGTTTTCCCCCATTTTGCTTGGCACTTCTCTTTGATGCCACCACGTGAAGGACAGTTTTGCTTCCCCTTCCACCATGATTGTAAGTTTCCTGAGGCCTCCCCAGTCCTGTGGAACCATGAGTCCATTAAACCTCTTTCCTTTATAAATTACCCAGTCTTGGGTATGTCTTTATTAGCAGCGTGAGAATAAACTAATAATCTGTTCAAAAATTTAAACACATTTCAAAAGTATATTAACAGCTAAGAATATGAAATGTTTATAAGTCATAAACTCTGTCCAATGTTGCATACTATTCCATTTACTGTTCATATAACAATTCTGTGAATTGGGTACAATTGTTACTGCCATTTTGTATTTGAAGTTTAAGGAAGTTAACAATTTTTTCTAAGATGTTACTTTTGATAAGAGGAAGATCTGGATCTCAAACTCGACTGAAATCAAAATGCATTATCTTAATCACTAGGCCCTACCGGCACCATCTCATAAGTAAATTCCTGGTAGAAATGAAATCATACACTTCACACTAGGAATTTTGAAAAAACCTTGAAAAATTTGAAACAGATAAAGAACCAGTCATAGATGAGCAGAAGCAGTAGGATCACATGTAAAGATCTATGAGCCTACTTGTATCTCTAGCCATAGGACAACTACCCTCTTTATTTTCCTTGAGATAAATATTTTTCTTACTAGTTCTGGTGCTCTTTGCATACACACAGATTACAGGCTCCGTTCCAGGCTTCTTGTTAGATAAAACCACACAAAATATTTTTTCTATCCCTCACCCTGAAGTTATTTAAGGTCTTATTGTGGTTTAGAAGAATATCACAGGAAGTAGCCTAGACTTCTGAGTCTTTGATAATTTTACTATAAAGCAGTTAAGTAAAGTTACATTTTTAAAGCAAAATGTAATGATTCTAACTCCAATTGTATGGTATAAAATCAATCAAAGTTAAATGAAATGGTTGATTCCAGAAGTAAGGCAGAAAATATGAGCCTGTTGTATTTTCTTATGCCAGAAAGCATAGAAGTAAACAAAATGATGGGTTCATGTCATAAGGACACAGGAGACCGATTTGGTGTGACTCCTAATGGTCAAACTGAAGACAATTTGACCAAGAAAAACATTAAAGACTTTTTAAAAATGTAAATAAAAACCACAACGAGATACCATTTCATGCCAGTTAGAATGGCAATCATTAAAAAGTCAGGAAACAACAAATGCTGGAGAGGATGTGGAAAAATAGGAGCACTTTTATACTGTTGGTGGGACTGTAAATTAGTTCAACCATTGTGGAAGACAGTGTGGTAATTCCTTAAGGATCTAGAACCAGAAATAACCATTTGACCCAGCAATCTCATTACTGGGTATATACCCAAAGGATTATAAATCATTCTACTCTAAAGACACATGCACACGTATGTTTATTGTGGCACTATTCACAATAGCAAAGACTTGGAACCAACCCAAATGCCCATCAATGATAGACTGGATAAAGAAAATGTGGCATATATACACCATGGAATACTATGCAGCCATAAAAAAGATGAGTTAATGTCCTTTGCAGGGACATGGATGAAGCTGGAAACCATCATTCTCAGCAAACTAACACAAGAACAGAAAACCAAACACCACATGTTCTCACTCATAAGTGGGAGTTGAACAACGAGAACATGGACACAGGGAGGGGAGCATCACACACTGGGGCCTGTCAGGGGGTTCGGGGCTAGGGTAGAGATAGCATTAGGAGAAATACTTAATGTAGATGATGGGTTGATGGGTGCAGCAAACCACCATGGCATGTGTATACCTATGTAACAAAACTGCACGTTCTGCACACGTACCCCAGAACTTAAAGTATCATAAAACAAAAATGGAAGGCCGAGGCACGTGGATCACCTGAGGTTGGGAGATGGAGACCAGCCTGACCAACATGGAGAAACCCTCTCTCTACTAAAAGTACAAAATTAGCCAGGCATGGTGGCGCATGCCTGTAATCCCAGCTACCCGGAGGCTGAGACAGGAGAATCGTTTGAACCTGGGAGGTGGAGGTTGTGGTGAGCCGAGATTGTGCCATTGCACTCCAGCCTGGGTAACAAAAGCAAGACTTAGTCTCAAAAAAAAAAAAAAAAAAAAAAAGGTGTGAATCCACGAGTTCATGCCATAAAAATAAACAAACAAATAATAAATAGGAGAAAGGGGAATTCTACAGTAGAATGTCAAGTGCTAACTAGTAAAAGCAGAAGGACTGCTGAATCTAGAAAAAAATCATCAGTTTGATCATCAGAGTGAAGGCTGAGTGCAAAAGAATCATCAATAATGTCAAATCTAAGGGCAGAGTTGACAAAGAGCAGATATTTGGATGTCACGGTCTTAAAATCTCTCCCTACAGACTGTTTATTGGTAGCATAGGGAAGAAAAAGGAATAAACTATATGATGTGGAAATCAGACAACACACTGATTGATTGAAAATAACATCACAAATGAGGGACACATGAATATTATGTGACTCCGGATCCGATTCCCTGAGAAGGATACAACTTCACTTACTTCCATAAGGACATAACTAGAAATCTCATGAGAAAATATGAGACAACCCACAAAGGAGAAATATTCTATTTAAAAAGGGGTCAATATGGTGAAACCCCATCTCTACTCAGAATACAAAAATTAGCTGGGTGTGGTGGCGCACGCTTGCGATCCCAGCTAGTTGGGAGACTGAGGTGGGAGCATCACTTAAATCCAGGAGGTGGAGGTTGCAAGGAGCCAAGATCACACCACTGCACTCTAGTCTAGGCGACAGAGTGAGACTTCATCTCCAAAAAACAAGGAGGGGTGGGGAGTATATACATTGTTGAAAAAAAATGTCAATGTTCAGTAATGACACTGAGAAATTAAATTAGAGGAGCCTAAACTGTTATGTCAAATACATGCAATACAGAGTTCTGGATTGGATTCTGTACTAGACAAAAAAGTATTCTATAAAAAAACTATTGTATTAGTTGACCAAATTGGAATATGGTTGATTAATTGAATAAACGTATGATACCAATGTTAAATTTACTGAAATTAAAAATTACTGTGGTTATGTAAAGAAAATGTCTATTCTTCAGAAATTAACACGGAGATATCTAGAGATAAAAAACACCTAGAGATAACAAAGGCCAAGATGTATGCAACTTGCTCTCAACTGGTTCAGTGAAATATATATATGTATATACTTAGTCTACCCACAGAGAAATTGATGAAGCAAATTGACAAAATCCCAATGAATCTAACTGGGTAAAGCATACAGAATATTCTCTGTTTTATTTCTGTAACCTTTTAAAACATAAATTTGAATTTAATTCTCAAATATAGAATGGAAAAAACAGAAAAAAGAAATAATCATTGATAAGGTGAACTGTAAGGAAGCTCACATATCCAGAAACATCTCAGGAAAGGTGTTTTTTTTTGGTGAAAGTATAGTTGAGTTGCAAGAGTTAAAAAGTAGAATGGCAACTGTAGCTGGCCCCAGTGATGTTTGTGATGTGGTTGAACACACAGCCTCATTTTTCTGTAAATAAGGGTGAAGCTGTATGGAGCTATCATCCTGTGACCAACCACTTATTACTGATTTTTAAAACTGGAATTGACCATGAGTGAGTCAGCAAGAATTACCATGGGCATTGCTAAAAACCCTAAATCAATCAGACACATACAAAAACTAGCCATTACTTCTCGTGTTGACATGAGGTATATCTACATCTGTTTTTATTTACTTATTTATTTTTATAACTGCTTTTAACACTCAACATGTTCACAGGTTAACTGCTGTTTTGGGACACATTTTCTTTCATAATATAGCAAAAGAGGAGCTGAGAACATGCAAAATATTGATATTTCTTAGGCAAAATACAAAGAGATCAATGAATTCATAATTTTGCTTTTAAATATAAATTAATAAGTCAAAAAAGCTAATAGAATTATCGGACATGTTCCTTAAAGCAGGAACTCCAGCGTTGTGGGGTTTTCTTTTTCCTTTAGGTGCTGTGAATTTGAATGTAGATCATTAATAAATTATAATTTGAAATTATTGTAAGTGTTTATAAAAATCTCTGCCAAGTCTAGTTATTCATTGGATAATAGTTAATATTTATGCTAATTTTACTCATTTGCTCAGTATGGCAGAATCAGAAAAACAAATCTATGCACAGTTTAACTTATAAACCCAATCTGTCTTCTTTCAGTTTCATGATGTTATCCGTTATCATTATTCTAATAACTTCACTAACCAACATTCCTATTTAATTAAACTAAAATGTATCCAAGCACTTTTAAAAAGAAGAATGTGCATAATAACAAGCACTGCAAAGCAGGAGAGTTAAATTCATAATATTAATCTTAAATTATATGAAGATAGAGATTATGTGTTTTGCTCTTACAAAAATTATATTACCATATCAGATTTAAATTCCTGGAAAGATGATTAAGAATCAGCTTTACATTTACATATTAAGTTTTACTTTTTAAAACACATTTATGCCTATTATATTTTTTGAGTCCCACAATAGCCAAGGATTATTATCATGCAATTTTTGAAAGTAGGAAACTAGCTGGTGGTAACTACAGCTAAGAGATGTGCACAAGGATTGGCAGATTTGATGAATAAGGAACTTGTCTTAAGAGCACATGTGTATAACTCCTGGTTCTGAATTTGCTGCACTTATACCCCACGGAGAGTCCTGCCATGAATTTAAGTGCTCACATATCAGTTTTATGATTTTTCAGTGGTTCTAGAGAGTGAAGAGTTGGCAGTCAAGAGCACACTCATACTTCAGAAATATTGTAGGGGACATAATGCATATTATATAAATATATATTGCAGATATATTGATTTTTTCTCACATAATACCAATACTAAGCATGTGATGTGGGTAAGATTGATTAGACACACTGCATAAATGAGTAAACTGAAAGTCGCTGAAGGGTAATATTAAAGAAAACATTAGCAGATAAAATACATGTTTCAATTGTGCTTGTTCTACACCTGTATAAAATATGCCTTTCTGATTTCATTAAAAGCAGTTTCATTGCATCAGCCTTGCTCAGGGTATTTTCACAAAAAAAAAATATGAAACAAAATCAAATTTCATTCATCTGAAATGAGGTGGGGTCCTATTTATTAAAAGTACATCTCTGACTCCCAGGGTGCACCCAAAGCTATGTAGTTCAAAGTTAAATTTCACACAACTTGATAATTCTGTTAGCATTGTGACTTTGAAAACAGACCTGTTTTGATGATGACTAAGGTCGACTTCCTGAAATTGACTTATAATCTCTTTGGGAGGATGTGCACTATAGCAGAAGTACTGGAAATCTATAAACATGTTATATATTTCATTTCTACTAGCTATGCAATCCTGCACAAGCTACATAAACTCTTGGATTTTTAGATCCCTCATCAGTTAAAATTTAATTCTAACTCCAAAGTCTTTGATTGAAAGCTGCAGTTTGAAATCAGACCCAGCAAACTCATAATTTGATTAACTTTATTCTCCCCTGATTACTTTAGCGGTTCATGCTGACCTATCAACGTGTGAATGCTGATCAAATAAATCTCTTACATATTTAAATGAAGACATTTCTCTTGTGACATTTCCATTTGAGCCTTTTGTCTATTGATTGGTGATTATCCAGCATACGAAAGAGAAAATAACCTTGACTAAGAATCAACAGACATAGGTTCTATTCTGGACTCTGAGTGAAAAGTATTCTTTAACTTTTTTTTTTTTTTTTTTGAGACAGGGTCTTGCTCCGCACCCAGGCTGGAGTGCACTGGTGCGATCTCGGCTCACTGCAACCTCTGCCTCCTGGGTTCAAATGATTCTCCTGCCTCAGCCTCCCGAGTAGTTGGGATTACAGGCATGCACCACCACACCCTTCTAATTTTTGTATTTTTACTGGAGATGGGGTTTCACCATGACAGCCAGGCAGGACTTGAGCTCCTGACCTCAAGTGAGCTGCCTGCCTCGACCTCCCAAAGTGCTGGGATTACAGGCGTGAGCCACTGCGCCCAGCCCATTTAACTTTTATGAACTGCAATGCCTTTAAGTATGAAGAGTAAGTATAAAAATATGCATTTTGGCCAGGCGCGATGGCTCATGCCTGTAATCCCAGCACTCTGGGAGGCCAAGTTGAGCAGATGACTTGAGGCCAAGATTCCGAGGCCAACCTGGCCAACATGGTAAACCCCTTCTCTACTAAAAATACAAAAAAAGTAGCCAGATGTGGTGGTGCAATCCTGTAATCCCAGCTACTCAGGAGGCTGAGGCAGGAGAATCGCTTGAACCTGGGAGGCGGAGGTTGCAGTGAGACCGGTTCGCGCCACTGAGCTGCAGCCTGGGGGACAGAGTAAGACTCTGTCTCAAAAATAAATAAATAAATAAATAAATAAATAAATAAATAAATAAATAAATGCATTCTGCCTACCGCATGAATAAAATACAAAAAATTAAGTTGACTCTTAAGTTCTGAACAAGTGAGGTTAGTGAGGTTACAGGAGAAAAATGAACAGCACAAACAACACTAATGCATTCCTACTTTACCTGATGGGGAGATGTGTCGCCAAGAAATGGAAGGCTCTGGTTTCCCAGTGGCCAAACAAGTAAGAGTGACGTTGGTTCCTTCATTGACGGTCATATCATTTGAGATGTCATATATCTTA
This sequence comes from Homo sapiens, assembly GCF_000001405.40. NCBI lineage: Eukaryota > Metazoa > Chordata > Mammalia > Primates > Hominidae > Homo > Homo sapiens. The sequence goes on from NC_000001.11 coordinate 71,776,291, forward strand.
GGAGGAACTGAAATGACAAAATACGCAGTGATTAGAAAAAAATATATAAAGTTTTGTTGAAGTACGTATGATTAATTCCATAATATCATGCAAGAAAGGTATGAGGGTGAAATGTATATATGGCCTATGGGCCTCACCTGAAAGATGGATTCTCTAGAACCTCAAGACTTTCTAGGAGTTTTTTATTAGTTTTTTTTCCCCTAATTTTTGGATGTTAAATACCTCAGGATAAATGGAATATTTAATAACAAAAATGTTTAAACATTGATTAAATATGTATTATGAGTAATTTGTGTTAAGTAAACTAGAATATAATCAATCTATTTTATCCATGGATCCTCACTGTATGATGTTTTCCTTGTTGAAATGGTTAAAAAAGAGGAAATACAGAAGAAACTTAAAATAGCAGAATGGTTATTCCTACATACTGATTTAAAAGCTGGGTGAGTTAGGACATGTACATGATTGGGAGGTAAGATTTCATGGTCACAAAGGTATTTTTGACTTTAATTTTCTATCTGCCAGGTAGTAGGGCTAGACTTTCTCAAAATTTGTGTTCTAAGGAACACAAATTCTAAGGACTATGAAAGGTGGATACAATAAAGTTTTCTTATCAATAATGACTGGCAAACACTGGTTGAAACAGATCACTTCAGGACTTCTCATCCTTTGTTATGCCCTTTTGCACTGTAAATCCATAAGAGTCAAGGGGGATATATTGTATTGCATTTTCTCTGATGTATTAGACTAGAGAAGTTTTTATCCCAGAATTTAATCACATAATACATTCGGGAAATGTTGGAGAGAAAAGTCTCTAAACTAACTTCCAGGATTAAATTTCTATATTCTTTGAGAAACCAAATGTCTCATTGAATCCTCAAAGAGCATGGGTATAAATCTCTATTGGCTAACTGCATTATTTAGAGTAAGTTATTTAATTTATCTCAGCCTCAGTGTCTTTATCTGAGAGCAGGAGACAATAATAGTACATGTCCTATCTGGCTGCTATGGAGACTAAGTAAGTCACTACATGTTAAAGGACTTAGAAAAGTGCCTGACATTAGTGTTAGTCATTATTATTAGATGCTATTAAACACATATATGGTGTTTGAATTTCATTTTAGTAGTGCTCTTTTCCTATGCCTTAAAATTGTTCTCAGAAATTCTTCACTTTTGTAGAGGGTATGACTGACCTATGCCATAAATAAGTTTGGGTTACTTTATAAAATTTATACTATGTTACTATTACAGCACAAATATAAATAAATAGCAATTACACCCCTTGGTAATCATTAGAAAAATAAGATTTTTACTGAAATCTTTTTAATTGTTCCCTTCTTTGGGTTTCTTTATGCAAGAGACATGTTTTCACGATTACCTTTAAAGCTAGTAACTAAAATCTGTTGTGACGATAAATTACCCATACTTTGAATTTTTTTTGACAACCAAAACTCAGCCTCAAGAAAATCAAGAATGATATAATTACAAATATAAAGTATTTGATTATGTGTAACTGTTGATATGATTGAGGAGAAGGCTTTTTCCTAAGTAATACACCACTGTAACTGTTTCCAAATGACATAGTTTAATTGGCATTTAAAACACATTATCATCAAACTCTTCAGTGAGCTTTTCTCAGGCAAATAATAAAAATTTTAAAACCATCCCAAACAGAGGGGTCTTTTCAGCTTAACTAAAACAGAACAAAAATAAAAACATTAAATTACCCTAGAAGGAAAGTACAAAAAACTTTGCATTACACTGGTAAATAGGAGAGTTAATAATAATAAATTTACAACATTAAACTAAAAGTATATTTTAGATATTTAGTTGTAGGTATAGGTTTAATTCAATGAACTGTAAAGCACATGTGGATATATATACATATATATATATAGAGAGAGAGACAGATATACATATATAGATGGTCACTGACTTACAATGGTTCAATTATAATGTTTTTACTTTATAATGGTGTGAAAATAATATCCATTCAGTAGAAAGCACATTTTGAGTACCCATACAACAATTATGTTTTCATTTTCAGTATAGTATTTGATAATCTACATGAAATATTCGACATTTTATTATAAAACAGGCCTTTTGTCACATTATTCTGACCAACTGTGGTTAAGTGTCTGAGCACGTTTAATGAAGGCTAGGTTAAGTTATGATGTTCGATAGTTTAAGTGTATTAATTGCATTTTCAATTTACAATGGGTTTATTTGGATGTAACCTTATCATAACATGAGGAGCATCTGTATTCATAAACATACATACAGTGCATAGCAGTGCCCACTATTAAAAAAATTATATAGTGCTTTTTTCCTTTATATAGAAGATAGTATATAGGGCTCTTAGTCTCGCCTAGCGACTTTACTTAATTATTTAAAATATAACTGATTCAAGGTTAGACAGAGATATGTATATGAAGAGAAATAATGAAATGCCATAAGAACATGAATTCCATCCTCGAAATACCATTATTTGGTCAATACTGTCTGATCAAAAAATAGTTTAGTTGGATCTTTACACATCTACATATATTTAAAGTGCTAAACATTATGCTAAACTAATATTCAGCACTAGTATTTGGCTATATAGAGAAACAATTAAGTCCCTTAGAAATAAACTTAGATTTGACATTTACCTATAGGAGATTGTGTAGTGTGGGGAGAGTGGTAAATTCCAGGTGTGACATGTCATTCTCAGTGATTGCAATTGCCTTCCAGGGCCTCATAATTCAGGACATGCTACAGGGAATACACATCTGGGAAGAGGATGTTAGTAAGAGAAAATCCCTCTGACAAGGCTCCTCTCCCCAGAAATGCATCACTTGTTGGAAGCAGATGCCATGTGTAAGAGGGCCAGTGAAATCCTTACATGCACGGTGGCTTGTGGAGACAAAAACAGGTGTTGCTTTGCTGAATATTCAGAACTATTGCATATTCAGTTTAAGCCTTCCAACTTTTACTGACTATCATGAAGGGAATAATTCTTGACCCAAAGGAAATGCAAAAGTTTAAAGGCATGTTACTTGCCCTCAAGAAATTTAAATTAAAAGACAGAAGCGGATAGGTAAGTAACTAAGAGAGGGCAAATATTTTCCACATTTTCCTTTCCCATTTTACAGGAGTAAAACAAGTTCAATAGGTAAAACTTCTGGGTTTAAATCAGTAGACATTAATTTTGTGTTGGTTTATTTTTAAGTTAATTATGTAGAATAGTTTACGCACAAGGTTATTGAGTGCAGACTATTTATAATAGATAAAAACTTTTTTTTTTTCTTTTTTTGACAGAGTCTCTCGCTCTGTCTCCCAGGCTGGAGTGCAATGGCTCAATCTCCGCTCACTGCAACTCCTGCCTCTCGGGTTGAAGTGATTCTCCTGCCTCAGCCTCCGGAGTAGCTGGGATTACAGGCGCCTGCCACTGCGCCCAGCTAATTTTCATATTTTTTAATAGAGATGGGGTTTTGCCACATTGGCCAGGCTGCTCTCGAACTCCTGACTTCAGGTGATCTACCTGCCTCTGCCTCCCAAAGTGCTGGGTTTACAGGAGTGAGCCACCACACCAGGCCAGGAAAACTATTAATAACCTTAAGGTAGGACTGCACAAATGGTGGTATAGAGAATTGGTCAACTGGATGGTGATAACAATTGTCAGCTCTGTCGTCAGAATAAGGTGTGGTATAGAGAAGGGTTTTGGATGGTCCCAGGGCGCATCGTGCTAAGCACTTGCATAGGAAAACCAAAAAAAAAAAAAAAAAAAAAAAAAAAAAAAGAAAAAAAATAGAGGAGAGTTAAAAATAATGTACTATTCTAGATGTGTGCCCCTTTTCTAGATCTTATTTCAGACTCCCTCACATCCTTTTCTAAATACTTAATTTATGCAAAAAGGAGCAGATGTATTTAATCAATTCAACAATTTTTAAGCCATTAAATAACTACAGATTTTAAGAAGTATTTTAAATTGTCATGTACTTTAAGTACTTATGACCTAGGGCAGAGTTATAAAGAAATATATTGATGAGTGTAAACTCATTTAATATGCTGGAAACAATTATTATAATATCCTCACTATCTTCATTATATGATACCATAAAAAGACAATGAAAAGGCAGAAGTCCTAGATTTCATACTAAATCACAGAATATCTCCTAGTGAAACTCTAATTAGGGATATACAAGACTTTACAACTGTGTTCATAATTAATTGTTGTGTATTACCAGTTAGAGAGATCTAAGAACACTGGAAGCTTTCTAAGCAACAGAGGTTGAAAGTAGATTTAAAGATTGTGTTGGGTGAAATGTATTTTAAAACCTCCATATCCATTTAAATGAACTACTCTTGGTCCCTTGCATTCATAACATGCTTTCCCTTTAATTGTTCACTGGCCTAAAATTCAACTGCTACTTAGTACCTGGTCTTCAACTTTTATTTAGTTGGTTCCACAGTGAGGAGATAATGCGTATTTAGATGTATCTACATATTTAGATTCTCTAAAGATAACATATGTCTCTTGTTAGTTTCACTTTCACCAAAAAATGTAGGCAATTTGACTTACTCCACCCACCTTCCCTCTTCTGAGCCCATCTGTGGGTGTCTTCAGGCCAGGTATGAGTCACTTTCAGTAAGAAAAATCTTAGAATGCACATCCAAACCAGATTCTAATGACCTTCACACAGGCTACCATTTTGGATTATTCTCCACTGTTTGTACGATAATGAGCAACTGAGTTTGTGAGTGCACGGCATTATTTTCTTTTAATGTGTACATATTTTCTGATGTATAGAAATAAATTATTTTTGTTTGTTTAATGAGCAGTCTTCAAAGATATAGCTTTAATTTCTTTCAAGAATTCATCATGCTGCCTGCAACATGACCATTAACAGAGAAGCCAGCATCACGGTGACTAATCTGGATATCACAGGAGTCATATAAGCACAGGGTATTTTATTATATTAAAAGTTTTTATCTAAAAAAATCTGTGCAGATGATTTTAGAAAGAATAAATAAAATAGCACCTGAACCAATATTAACTTGCATGACCTGTGAGGTCAGGTCACACATGATATTAAAAACCCTTACAGGATGCGTCTGACAGTTATTTTAACTGTAAATAAAAGGCATAAACTATTTGGATCTGGATAGTTGCACTGGCTCACTGGAATCAATTAAATGCCCCATCGAGCTCTTAAGCTGTAAGAGTCCGTGAAAGACCACAGTGCATACAAATCCATTTGGAGGCTGTCTTTAGGATGCCAGGGCTAAAAGGTAGATGGAATATTTATTTAATCTGGCTCATAAACACTCACAGATTACTGAAAAACATCAGATCAGCATTTATTGTAACCACAATATTCTGGCACAAAAACCACCTGTTTCCTCGGTCAGGATATAAAATCAAAGCAGTGTTTTATAGGGGAGTGCACCGAATGCCCTCTCATTCATTCTCTGAAGTTGTAGACTCATTACCAAAAACCTTTAAAAGTTGTTATATATCTATTTGAATTATGCACACAATTATGAGATCTATTCTCCAAATATGTTCACTAGGACAAATAAGAAGTAAAATAAAAGTGATGCCAACTCTTTGATGTCCTCTTTGACCCACCTCTCCCAACGGTGACTTCTCATACCTCAAAAATTTACCACAAAGAAGAAACAGCGAAATGTACATTAGTGAGTGAATTTTAAAAGATCAAAATTCGATCTTAAAAAATTGTATCACTGATGACTTTGATGATCTTAAAGCAGAATAGGTTTTTCTGGGTCTGCACTGTGGACAATGTTTGTGTCTCTCCCAAATTCATGAGTTAAAATCTTAACCCCCGAGGTGATACTATTAGGAGGTGGGGCCTTGGAAAGGTGATTAGATCATGAAGGGATTAGTGCCCTTATAAAATAGACCCCACGAGCTAGGCCACCCCTTCCACCATGTAAGGACTCAGTGAGAAAGTGTCATCCATGAGAAAACAGGCCCTCTCCAGTGCCTCGATCTTGGACTTCCCAGCCTCCAGAAGTGTGAGAAATACATTTCTGTTGATTATAAGCCATCTAGTTTATGGCATTTTTTATAGCGCCTGAATGTACTAGGACAGAATGTGTCTTGTTGAAATAATTATTTGCACCCATAACTCTCTGCCCCTTTCCACTCCTATACTCATTTCTTGTGATAGTTTTCTTTGCAATCCATAATTATCATTGGTATTTATTTCTTCATTTGTTTATTATCTGTATCTCTTCATAGAATCTAAGTAGAGACCTAGGGTAGGGAAGTTGTGTGCTTTATTCAACAGCATATTGCCAGAACCTGAGAGAGGGCCTGACACATACAGGTTATTCAATAAATATTTCATTGTTCTTTCAGGTGCTAAGCTAATACTTCTTTGATGTCTCAGTGAAGAGATCCTATAAAATTTTATACCATTGCAAGAATCACATAATATAAGTTCTGAGAATATGGTGAAAATGTAATTATAATTTCAAGGGTCCTGTGTGACTTTTTCATGGATTCTCTGAGTTTAGGGATTAAATATTCCTCTAACTCATTTAGAAGCATAATATTTTCTTAGTCCTTTGCCTACTATAGCTTTTGCCATGCAAACCCAGAGAAATAACTGGACAATAATCATACACATTTATTTTTAACAGAATGGTCTGTCACATCTTAGGTAGTCCCATGTGAGTTGGTCTCAGTATTTTTTTTTTTTTACTTTTGGATCTTTGCAAATTTAAAATCAAGAGAATTTGACTCTAATAGTATGTATGTGCATATTATTTCTACTGTTTTTTTCCTCCAAAGACTTGGAGTCTGGGTTAGTTTGGATGAACTATATTTCTGAAGCTTTTCCAAACTGCTTGAGTCAACAAGCTAGACGTAACTATAAATCTTGGGAGAATTGGCTTTTTTGCACTCCCATATCTGGTAATGGCTGGCAATATCAAAAGAACATCCTTCCTTTCACTGGGCTGGCACTCCTCTTTTCAGTATTGGCCTGCCCCCAAAAAGTGAAAGCAGATCTACGTTACATAACAAACCTCCTGGAAAAGGTGTTGTTCTCAAACTGAGATAAGAAATTGTTTCATGCTTTTTTCTCTAAATTGGTTTGCTTGTGGGTTCTTGATGGTTTCATGGTCTGCATCTCACCAGCAACATTATTTTCTCCAGCTGATAGACTATGACTGACTTGTCACAGTTTATGGCATTTCAGAGATTTCTATTGCTTCTCCCCTAATCCCCTCACTCAGAGATAGTGATAACAGGAAAAAGATACCAAGCATGAGTTTTAAATTCAAACTTGCCAAATTCATGAAATACCTACAGATAAAATATGCCAGAACAACTTAGGGGTAAAGAATCCGTATAAGAAAAACGTTATCTGTCGAACTTCAGTTCAAACTTTGAATTATGTTGCTTACTTTACTGTTTTCTCTCATTTAGGATACCTATGCACGAGTTTTTCTCAATCTATTCTGTCCTTCGTGGGGTCACCTATAAAAATCTGGCAAAATAGGCAGTGAACTGTTTTAATTCATCCATCCACCCGTCCATCCATCCATCCATCCATCCATCCATCCATCCAATAGACATTTATTAAGCCCCATCTCAGGGTGACTAATCTTAAGGAGTCCATGTCTAAAGAGTTAGAAAGATACAACATTTCTAATCACAATGCAGAGTCACTAATCCTACAAAGACTTATTCCCAAGGTGTATTGGGAACACAGATTTGTAACTAACTCTTCCTTATGGAGGCAGAATTGAGGGGATGCTGATATTGGACAAGGCTTTTTGAAACAGGTGGAATTTGAACAGAATTTGGTGGTTTAAAACAGTAGTTTCCCACACCCAGCTAATCATCAGGGATAACCGGATGAGTTTTTCGTGATTCTGGGATGGGAGAAAGGTTGATTTAGGATATTCTAGACCAATAGTATGTAGTGAGTTCCAAAGTCTACAGATTTTGGAAACACTGATTTACAGAACACCAGAAAGACCTCTCCTTAAAATTCTCTCTCCTATATTTAAAATCTGCACTCTAAGTAGAAAGGCTTTTTTTTTTTTAAAGATCCTCAGAATATTTATTTGCCTTCAAGGGACTAATGTTAAAATGTAACTAACCCTACAAGAAATGATGACTTATTAACTTGCATCCATTTTCAAACTCACTGAGAGCAGCATAGTGGGTGCAGTGGGGCACCATCCTGGAAGTAGAAAGATGCAATAGGCAACATTTTACCATCGTGTTCTTTTCCCTTGAAAAGCTCAGGATTGGTTCTAAATGGTAGTGATCAAGAAGAGAAGAAAGTAAGACTCTGAGAAGAATGAACCCTACAGGATATGGAATTATAGAGAAACTAAAGTGGAAATTACTTTCTTCTATTTTCTCTTTCTCTCCATCTTCTCTGGACTCTCTAATGCATGGATTATGCAAAGGCATAACAATTTGCCAGTTAGATTTTCAGTAGCAAATAAAAACATACACTTACACATGAAACACACATGAAGTAGGTTTAGTATACATGAAAATTAAATGTGATAAAATGAGCTTTTAAAAGGCTGCTGGTTTTAGAGAGCTTAACATTTATGTAATGATTTTAACATTTTTGGTTGCAGGCAAATTTCTCGCATGCTGTACAAACATTTTATTTTGAAGACAAAAACACAACATGGTTACACAAGAGTTTCAATATTTTGGACTGTAAAGATTTTTATTTTTTTGATTTGTTTTGGCGAGAGGATCAATAGCTAGCCTCTGCACATGAGTGTTTATACACCAGAATTCAAATCACTGCTGTACCTCAGGCTTGCTTCAGTTTCACTTACTTGGATAATTCAAAGATATAAAACACTGCTTAAAATCAGGACCTTAATAGCAGCTACTTCCTCAGGCAACAGCAGCAGCAGCCAGCAGGCTGGAGCACACTTATTGTCGTGCTGTATATCACAGGGAATCTACAATGCCTGCATAATTCAGTCTCTTCCTTAGTAGAAAATGGTCACAAAATAGATAGGAAGAACACCGCAATTGAAATACCTTACAGCACACTAATGTGGGTATCCTAGTGAAGTATAATTCTTAAGGCACCAACTATATAACTTCAAAACCTTCAGTGATGGTAACATTTTATTAAGAATTAATAATGAGGTTTTTTTTTTTCCTGGAAACAATTTGGCAGTATATTTTAAGAACTTAAAAAAATTTCTATTCCATTGAGCCAATGATTCCCCTTCCAGGAATTTATATTAAGGAAAGCAAGTACCTTCTTTCAGTGTAGTTACTATTCCCATAAACCTGGTGGCCAGCTCCATTTGGAAATGTGCCAACAAATACCCTTTGGAATGGCCCAAGTGAACTGTTTTCTTGCCTCATCCTTGGCAGTGAACTATTTTCCCTATAAACCAGAGGAAACAGCCCAGCTGTGTCAAACTAGAACCCAGCTGCCTTCTTTGCAAACATTTCCCATAGCTAAAAGCTTGCTTTAGGGTTTTTGAAAACATGAGAGAACCCAATGTCTACCCTTGGAGTCACAGAGTTATAATGTAACACCTGGCTCCTGGTTTTATAAGGTAAGCCTGCTCAGGTTCAATATACATATTCCTTGTTAGGCTCAGGTTTCTCAAAATGTGTTTTAGCAGATTTTTATATCTAAAAGCTGCTCTGGTGTTTTATGCATTTGCAGAGGAGATGTGTCATTTTAGCACCATTTGAAAAATAACACCTTCTTTGAAGTACTCTGGTTTCTTTGTTCTTTGTAAATAATATTTATTTTTCTAATCATGAAGATAATATACATTCACTGAAAAGAATGTAGACAAATACATAAACATTAAGGAAGAAAAAAAAGTAGCATATTAGGTTGTAATATCTAAAACTGCCCTTTAGTTAAAAACAAATGGATATTGGCAATTTCATATGATTCAATTTAATATAATGCCACCATTTAATAATTATTATTAATAGTTTGATATATTTTATTTTTGTCTTTTTATTCATATGTTTATATAGATCCTAGAAATTTCCATATGATCCAATAAGCTCACCAGGGAATTGGTGCTGAAGCCTTGGCTGGAAATAAATAGTGTGCCCTTCTCAACACTATTTATAGTGATCCCTTCTCAACACTGTGCTCTAGAAAGGGAGTGAGAAGGTAGTTGGATAAGTATTCAAAATAGGACACTGTGGCTTTCTGCCTTCCTTACGGGAAACATGTCTAAAAAAGGTTACCCACAGCAAGGGTTAGTATTTGTTGAACATTTACTGTGAGTAATATACTGAGAGACTAATGACTTATTTGGAGGGAGTGAGTTTGGGTCCATCTTAGGGCAAAGTTCTACATGTCCAGGCCAATTCTTCCTTCCATCCACCCATCTGCTTTTGTGATAGTTGGTTTGTGTGGTGGTTCTATCAACATGGCCACAAATTTTTTAATACTCTTTCCACTAAAAATAGGATCTCTCCCCTTCCCCACCTCATATTAAATTGGAGTAGGCTCTTGGCTGCTTCATACAGTAGAGTTGTGGAAGAAATAATGCTATTTGACTTCCAAACTGGGAAAACAAAACAAAACAAAACAAAGCAAAAAATATTTGTTTCCGGTACTGTTCTCTGAGAACACTCACTCTTGGAGTTCTAGCCCACTGTGGTGTCACCACCTCGGGGCTACCATGCTGGAGAGAACATGTGGAGGCACCACATGCGGTCGCCACATGGAGAGACTGTGATAACAGAAAGAGAGAGAGAGAAAGCTTGGGAAGCACTTCAGCTCATCTAAGCCCTGACTGCCTAAGTCATCCCAGTGAGGCCTCAAATATCCTATCTAAATTGCACAAATTGCAGTCTTCTGAGTAAAACAAATAATTGTAGTTGTTAAAAGCAACCACGTTTGGGCACAGTTTTTAAAAGAATAAAGAAAATTTGAGAACTTATCTTATGTGACTTCACAACTTACCATAAAGCTACTACAAAGCCAGTGTGGTGTTGGTATCAAATAGACAATGGAACAAAGTAAAGCCTCCAGAAATAGATGATAAAACTTCCCATGATGGCCAAGGCCCTGATTACTTATGTTGAAAACAAAAATATCTAATGTTATGGATAAGTAACATATATGAGTAATGTGAGTCAGGACAAAGTATACATACATATTGTGATTGATGGGGCCAGGTAGAGAGCACCTGTCTAAAGAGAGCAGCTACCACTGATAATTTCCATCCTAAAAATAGAAAAGTCTAGGCTTGCTAGAACTTAAGACTGGAAATATTAATTTTTTTTTTGTAGCTTACAATCTCCTCAAAATATCTGTGAAATTAGCCTGGCACTAACCCAAATGACACCTTTATAGGAATTAGAAAAACATGAAGACACTTCATCATTACATGTTGGACAATTTTCTTGATATAAAAGTCTACATGGTTTATGAAAGTAAAGAGTGCCTGCAGATTTGTGTGTGTACAAAATCTTCACCATATGCTGAAAGCTCTTCATGGTCTGGATTCAGCTAGAGAGCCACAATCTTGCCATCTTTGCCTCACATCTTGGCAAGGCCTTCAGACTATTTTGGCTTTGAAAGACACAAGGAATCCATTTTCACATTACGTTGTTTGTTTTCTTATAAAAGTTGTACATTATCACACTAATGTGTGGTTTCTCACCTGTCAAAAACTAACCATGATTAGATTTACAGAGTAACTGCCTTAGAAAGGCCTAGAGTCTTGCCTTAGAAAACATTCTGAGAATGGGTTTCATCCAGAAACTTAATGATAAAACCATGATTCATGTTAATATTCTGCTTCCAAAAAATAATTATCATCTATATTTTTTAACGTCCATGTTACCTTATCTACTTTTCTCAAAGAGAACCTTTATTTTTTTAAAAAAATATTACAAACAAAGGTTATCATGCAGCTATGTGCCAAGAGATAGCAGAGTCCTATGGTTACATGTGCCAGTTCTCTCTGAAATTGGATTGGATTAAAAGATAACTTGCCATGTGTTGGCTCCTAGATCATTAGTCACAGTGGTCTAAGTGCATTCTCTTATAATTCAATATCAAAGAAATTGCTTTTGTGACATTAACTATATTATATTCAAAAGTATATAAATTATTGAAATGCTATGCCTACTGCCAAGATATAAGACAGTTCACATGGAAAAAAAAAGTTGTGTTTTAAATTATTCATTAGAAAAAAATGCAGTCTCTTGACAGAAATTGTTTTATACTGGGGCTAGCTTCTGGGACTTATATTTAAATATAAATCACAAAAACTCAAATTTTCAGATATTCTTAATTCTCTTTAACGCCTTGATTTCCAGCAAGAGGATTAAATATTATATATTGCCTTAGATCTACAGTTAGATACGTACTGTATTGAATACAAGCATGTGTGTGTGTGTGTGTGTGTCTTGTAACATCAGTATGTGCCTTTGTTTATACTGAGATATGGTAACAGTGGGGAAAGTCTAATTATAGGAAGGCTACTCTCAAAAGATCTCTCTCTTACAGATTTATATATTATTCATTTGGTTAGAAAATGTTTGTCATTTGCTATGCACTAGGGACTGACATAGGTGCTGTTGATTTAACATGTAATAAAAGAGTTGTTTTCCAGTAGCTTATATATTATGGAAGAAAATAAACATTAAAATAGATTAAAAATACAATTATATCAAGTTATATGAGAAACATATACATAAAATATGTATACCTTAAGGAAAATTCACCCAGCTCAGATAAAGATAGAAGGATGGCAAAGGCGATACCAAGATATTTTTTGGAATATGTTGTAGCCGTCTAAATAGACAAATGTGTTCCAGGTCGAGTTATACACATATGGAGGCTGGACAAGATGAGGACCCTATCACAGACTCTGTATTCATCCCTGTGGCTGTAACTGAACTACTTAGCTAGTCACACCTAAAATTATTTCCTTTATTCACTTTCAAGACATAAACAAATGTCTCTTTTTGTAGATATTTCTGGAGAAGCCAGATGAATGCAAGAACTATTTTATATTGATCCCTGAGTAATTTACAAGATCATAATTAGTACACAGTAAGTGCTCAGAATGTGTTTAATGGGAATATTTTAGTCAGTTCTAAATGTTCCTTGTTTAGAGATTTAGTCTTTAACACATTCATTTACAAAGTCATTCTCCTTCATATTAATTACTACATTCCAAGGAACAGAAATACTTTGCCACTTCTCCCTTTTGGCTTAAAATATTAATATATTGAAAGTGAACTAGTCTCTTGGGTGTTACATAAGGAACACTAACATGCTTTAGCTTCTCTCAAGTACTAAGTGTATAAAATATTTTCATATCCCAGATAAAAAATATCATGTATTTTTACTTTTGTTTTCTTGATGCTATCAGATTCTGTTTTTAAAAACTTAAAAAATGTGGTTAAGACTGAAAAGTGTAATTCCTTGGGCATTCGTGCTCTGGAGCTACCTCTCCAACCTGCTGAACTTTCTTGTTTTGAACACTCCAGTCTCGTCACTTGATAAATCCACCAAAAATAAGCCAAACCAACCCCTTCTTCTTTCTGAAAGGTGGAAAATCCAAATATGCTACCTGGTAAAAGTTAGCTCTTTTATTCTGTATTTTTGCATACACCTAACTATCATTAAAACCTTTTATTCACGGCTACTACTGTAGTGGAAGGATGGAAAAGTATAAACTATATCTAAATATTTGGATTTTAAGGGTTGAGAGGAATAAACATCAAGGATTAGCTATGCCAAAATAACCCAATTTACCTTTTGAGTAGGTCAACTACTTACGAAGAAAGAAAATTCTATGAACATATTGAGTGTGTATGTAGATTTCAGGAGCCGTTTGACAATTGTTGACAGTTTAAGCAATAAAATAGAGTTGTGTGGACAAGTTGCTCACATAGCCTGACAGAGACCTAACTGGTCATGCCACTACAACTTGTATTGGTGGTAGATTCATGTCTATATGGAAGCAGAATGTCAGCAGTGCTCAATAATAATCTGTATTTGGCTGTTTTGTTTTCTGAATTTTAAGCAACTTGGATGTATCTCTGGGAGACACATTTAATGATAAAACTATACCGGAGGTCAGGTGTTCAGTTTCAGTCGTTACAACATGCTAGTAACACACAGATGTTATTTTGCCATTAGACGCCAGACAGAATAGTAAAGTGCATACATGCAGTACTACGTTAGGACACTGATGACGGAACCAGGAGTGTTTACATAAATATAAAAAATGCAAGGAAGGAGAAGAGTATTTGCATTTGCTTGTGAATTTGTTCTCAGTTGATCTAGTAGAAAAAAGTATGGTAGAATTCAGGTGATTATAATAAAGTATCCTAAACAAGAAGTATCCTAACAATAAAAAACTATTTTATGAGAATACAAGCTCCCTGTCATCACATGGTTTCCAGAGACTATGGAAGACCAGTGGGATTAGAAATGGGATTACTACACTGAGTGAATGCTTGAGTCAAATAATACTGTTAGGATTTTTCAACTGTGCATTCTTTGAGTATTTGCTGCACTACATACCTTTGTATATGAGGAAGTAAACTCAAGGAAAATGCCATTAAAGGGCCTGGCTATTAGCAACTGAAAAATGAGATCTGAGGGAGGTTAAGTGATGAACAAAAATCATTTGTTGTTCGGGACTGGCGATAGGACTGGTAGACAACTGGGGAAGAGGAGGAGAAAAATAAGAGGGGAGGCAACAAAAATGTAGATAAAATGAACAAGCCCATTAGAGGAGAGAAATGGAATTTCTTCTTACATTTCACATATAGTTTTTCCCTTTCTTACAGCATTTTTAAACAAAACTGTATAAATAGAAAGTATGCACTGACAAACAATGTCAATATCAGGTGCACTTGTGGAAGGTAAATGTTGGATTTTCAGGAATTTTGTGAGTTGAATTTTAAGCATATTCATTATTAAAATTAAATAATATTAAAGTTAAATTATACTAAAAGCAAAAATTTTAAAAACTCAAAATGTATCACTTTCTCAATATTTTATTACATTTTACTGTCGTGTGTTATCTTGGGTTACTTACATGTATTGAATCTATATGGTAGAAATGGTCTGCTACTGCATATCTCTCCTCAACTTTGTATTTAGTGATATCAATCTGAACGTGGCCACAGTGGCAGTGTTTAGAGCATGGAAATTGGCAAATGCTATAAATTATGGCTTTTTTAAAAAAATATTTATCAGTAGCCTGCCTACCAACTTTTACCTATATATAAGATACATTTAAAGTTATTCATTTCATAAATACTGTAATATTTCATAATAATAGAATATTTCATAGTGTTCCCATCAGATATTGAGATCATGAAGAGGAATCAAAGGCATGCTCTTGCCCTTAAAAAGTCTAGAATGTAGTTAAGAGAGAAAATGAGAACATTAGTAACTGTAAAGTGGAACACCCTAAGAGTCATAAGAAAGATTCAGAGAAAAAGATCACGGTACTTTAGGTGAGAAAATGACTAACTTTAATTGGAAGTAGGTAGAGGAAGGGCAGGTGGAGAGGAGAATCAGAAAAGATTTGATGAGAAGAAATTTGAGCTTGGCTTTGAATAATGGAACAAATTTGGACTTGGGAGGATGAACAGAGAATTGTGAGATCAGCATTTGGAAATAAACAGTTAGTAAACATACAGGACATATTTGCCGATCAGGCAGTTTAGCTTTACAGCTCAACTTGGTAGAAACAAGATTAAAATGTTAGGATGAGAATAAATTATAGAGGACTTTGAGTTAAAACATTGCTAAAATAATGGACGCAAAAACAAACATGTTGTAAATGGCTAGTGTATTCCTTCTGAGGGCCTGAAGTTTCACAGGCCCAAATAAGTTTTTGTTTAATTCTTGGAATGGAAAGAACGTTTGATTAATATCTTTGTGGGAGGGAAAAAAGAGACTACTGTTTGCTATTTGAAAACTCCATGGCTGGTTGTATGTTGGTTTCTCCCCCTATGATATGAATATCCTATCAAGTGTTTCTACCTAAGCAAATTTTTGTGAGTTTGCATTTATAGAAGTCACAGTGTATGCATCCAGATTGATGTGTTAGTATAAATAGATGGAAATATGTTTCTCAGTTGATGAGTAACGTAAGAGCCCTTCTCATCCTGTTTCACCAAACAGCTAAACCCACACACTTTCTTCCACACTTCCTCTTTTTTTCCCACATTTATCTCTGTATTGTTTTTCATTTCCAGAGATAGGATGACCACCTGCCTTTCCAACATATTGCAAAAACAACAGTGACTATGGTTGATTTTTTCTAGTCAGTTATTTTATTGAAAAATAAAATGTACCAAATGGCAGCAGAGTCACCAGCTGATGAGAAGGTTTTTTATGTATATAACATGGTGCTTTTGATAGGGAGTTGGCAATACTGTGCTAGGATTTTAATATCAAACTGTTTCCATCAGGCTGGAAGCTGTAACACTCAAATGGTACCTTCAGGAACTAAGCTGTATGCTTGTTACTATAAGGTACTTTTTGAAAGGGGGCATTAAACAAAATTTATAGAAGAAAAAAGAACTTTTCTTTTGTAGTAGAGAAATATCTTATTTCTTTCTAGGTGTTGCAAGGCAGCTAATTGATTACCAAGTTCATTTTCCTCTTCTTGGCAGACAACTAAATTATGATTCCCAGATAAAGTTACTTATGCTTGAGTTTTAAGCAATGGAATGTGAGGAGAAGTGATGTGTGCTCTTTCCAGGATTGGCTCACATAAACCTCCCAGGAGTGATCCTCCTTGCTGTTTCCTTAGAAATTGGAAATCACATATTGAAGATGGCATAAATGAAAAGTAGAATAGAACTAGTCTCTAGAGAATATGGGCTGCCTGTAGGAACAATTGATTGGGATGTTCTTTTTTTTTTTTTTTTAGATGGAATCTTGCTCTGTCGCCCAGGCTGGAGTGCAGTGGCACGATCTTGGCTCACTGAAACCATATATATATATATATTTGTATTTTTAGTAGAGACAGGGGTTTCACGATATTGGCCAGGTTGGTCTTGAACTCCCGACCTTGTGATCTGCCCGCCTCGGCCTCCCAAAGTGCTGGGATTACAGGCATGAGCCACCACGCCCGGCCTGGGATGGTCTATCAGCAACAAATAAATAACAGGCCTACACAGTTTTATAAAAGATATCTACCAATATTTAAAGAACTAATTTTCATGTTATATAGCCTACTCAAGAGAAGATTCAAGATACAAAATTTAACAAAAATAAAATGAGGAAAATATTGCCAATTCATTTCATGAAACTGACATAATGTGACATTAAATATAGGCAATGACTGTACAAGAAAAGCAATTTCACTTATAAACACAGAAAATTTTTAATTGCAACATTGGATTCATCAAGTGAATCCAGTAATATATATAAAAATTTTGCCTAAGCAAGTGTTCTTATGTTAGGAATGAGGAAATTATTTAACAGCTTATAAATTTAATACATCAATACAGATTTAAGGATATGTATATATATATAATCATGTCAATAGATATAGAAAAAGCATTATATAAAAATACTATAATTTATAACAAAAAGTTGCAATCTAGGGATAGTTTCTTTCAAAATGTGACTAAAAAGATACAACAAAATTCACAATGCTCATTATCTGTAATTGTGAAATGTGAGGCATATTTCATTAAAACTGAAACAAGGTAAGGAAGCCCAGTTTTTCTATTTCACATTATAGTAGAGTTCCTAATCAGTTCAATAAGATTTAGAAATAAGTTAAAAGGATAAGTATTCAAAGCAAAGGTGCAAACAAGTCATTGCTAATAGATAACTTGTCTTTGTAGAATATTCAAGAGAAGATACATGCTATTGGAATTGATAAGATAATTCAACTGGATTACAGAAAATATGTTAACTCTTCCCCCCTTAAATCTATAAATGTGATACAATTACATTAAATTCCATTTTATTTACAGAATTAAAAAATTCATCCTATCACTCATATTGAAGAGTAAAGGACCAAGAGTAGCCAAGAACAATCCTAACTAAGAAAAATAAAAGAGAATAACTTATCCTTTCAAATTCTCAATGCTAATTATAAAATGCCGGGAAAAAATACAGCCTAGAATAAAACTGGCACACACAAAACTCACAGCACTCACAGAACAGACACACACAGGTTTTGAATATGATAGCGGAGTATTACAAATCAGTGTAGAAAGATTCAATCAATGGTGCTAGGCAATTGTCTACCCTGTGGGGAAAAAAAAACAATACAAATGAATTTGGACCTCATGCCATGTACATAAATAAGTTATGCATAGATTAAAAGTCCAAATATTAAAATCAAAATTTTAAAATATTTTAATAATATAGAATTACTTTATAGCATTGAAGTTGGAAAAAGAGTAAGATGTAAAACACAAGCCAGATGAAAAAGATTGGTAAATGTGACTATCTTAAATGTAAACAGGTAAACTTTGGTATATGTGAGATACCATAAACTGATTTAAATAAAGCCACATTGCAGGAAGCATTCCCAGAGAATTTAAACAAACAAACAAAAGATTAGTATTCTGAATATATAAATAATTTCAACAAGTCAAAATGTTAAAAAAGGTCTACTAATAGAAAAATGGATAAAGAATATGAATGCACAATTTTAAAAAGGGGAAACTTTAATGGCCAATTATTTGAATTACTTGACAAGAAGTGCACCTTCACTTTTAGGCAGAAAAATTTAAATTAAAATGTCACAACTTGAAATTCATAATATTGGTGACACTTAAAAAATTAGGTAATACCAAGTTGATGAGAAAATGAAAAATCACACACTGCTGAAAACAATATAAATCTGCAAATAATTTGAAAACAAATAAAACTGAAGATACACATATATCACTACAATTTCATTTCTAAGTATTTGAATGCCCTAGAGGAAATACTTAGAAATGAAATTGTAGAGATTTGAAAGTGTAGTCCTGAATCACCTGGGAGCTTTTTACAAATACAGATACTCCCAGATTAACTAAATAAAAAGCTGCAACTTAACAAGATCTGTAGATAATTTATATCTACATTAAAGTTTGAGAAGCATTGCCCTGGACTAAAACAGTGGTTCTCAATATTGAATGCACATTAGGACCATCTGAGATGTTCTCAAAATATATCAATTCATGGGCCCCACTCCTGAAAAACTTGAATTGCCATCTATACTCAAGAAATTCCCAAATGATCCATTTCATTGTTTATCCATGGAATCTCTGTACTAGAGAAAATCTCATATATGCACAAGGAAATACATGAAAGATTATACAGTTTCCAAAAGCAAAAATCTGAACAAATCCCAATTGACCGTGTGTTTATAAAATGTTACGTTGTATAATATAATCTTCAACTGCAGACAAAATGAGTTAACTGGGTCCCTGTGTATCAATATGAACTATTCTGAAAAACAAAATGCTGAGTGCAAAAAGCCAGTTGGGAAAGAATTGTGCAGTATGAAATTATGATACCATTTATGAAAATATATGTCAATTCTGTAAATTATTATTTAGAAACTAAAAGTCCAATCCTTTAGGAAGGGAGCAGTGTTTTGTTTAAAATATACTGTGAAATACAGAGCTTCTACAATTTAGACCAGGCTGAACTTTGGGGATCATTTCAAAGGCCTCATTTGGTCCCAGAGAAGTGGTGCATTTCTGGGTGTACATGTAGGTCACAGATTAGTCAACCTTATGGTCATTAAAATCTAGCTTTTGCAGCAATGCTGATGCTAATGTTGCTCTCCTAACTGGATATTAACATAGTTCTATATTCTAATTTTTAACATTCAGTTGACCTGAATTCTCATCCAATCTCCTGACCTCTCTACCACCACACATATTCATACAATTTTCCTTCCAAGCATACAGAAGCCCTCTGTGTGTACTTTCCACTCCCATCTCAGGAGGCACTACAGAGCCTGGGTCATGTTTCAGCCTGTGCAAAATGAGTCCTATTTACATACCTGGGCTGGAAGAGTACCAGGTGTGTTTGAGAAAAAGATACTCTGTTAATGTGCAGCACTATCATCAACTAGGTTTTGTGTGTGTGTAATTTTGGAGGTAGTGATAGACAAAGTCATTTCTCTCTTTAGAAAAAATAATCGAGAAACAGGTTTTGATTTTGTGCATTTTCATCAAATTCAAATAATCTAGAAAAATGGAGTGAGATCAAAAGCTACAAGAAAGGCTCAAGCGAGCTGGATGCGGCATAGCCTGTGGTGACCAAGGTTTTTTGTTTTGTTTTGTTTTGTTTTGTCACAGTGAAGAATGACATACAATTAAGTGAAATAATTTTTCAAAGTGAATTCTGCAGCAAAAACTCCTTTTTAATTTTATCCATCAGAAAGTTTGCAAATGCCTATCATCTACAGGTATTATGCTCCCTTAAGGCAGGAGTCATACTTCTTTACAATCTCTTTAGAGAGCCAGGGGTATAGATGTACAAAAAGACATCACAAAAGAAGTAAGTAAATTGCTTAGTACCAAATAAGGGGACACAAATTCACTTCCGGAGGAGTTGAGAGAAGGAAGTTGGCCTGGAGTGCTCAGAAAGACTTTTTAAAAGTTGTAGGTTTTATATAGGGGCCTGATAAAGATTACTAGGGGCTTAACGGTAGGGACTATGGGTTGGTCATTTTTACAGCACATATTTACATAATTGAAACTCATTAAATATTTGCAGATGGTGAGAGACAGGATTTGTATCATTAAAGAGGAGAAGGACTTCAGACAAGCTAGTATTGCTTGCAGAAAGACAGACGGGAATGCCAAAGGAGAGCAGGAAATATTTCTCGAATACTTAATATGTGTGAAACACTGTGCTACATACTTTATATCCATTACCTCATTTAGTAATGTGCCTCGCAGTACCACACAGTCATGCTATGAATTAGGAATTATTAACCTAATTCTAAGAGAAGAAAAATCTGAGACCAAACTGATCATAAGCGGCAAGACTGGGTCTCAACCCAATACTGTTTTTCACTAAACCTTGTATTTAGTATATTAAACATGCTGCTTGCTCACAAGGATCTAAGCTATTGAGTCATGGTAAGAAGATTCAAAATGAAAATATCCAATATGAAATCTAAGGCCACAGAATTTGCAGTTAGGCTGCCTTGAAACTCTGGTGCTTACTATTTGTTTAACATTGAACAAGTGACTTAAATTTTATGATCCTCTATTTCCTTCTGTAAAATTTGGATAATTAGAGAAAATACATCAAAGTGATTTAGAGGAAAATGTATAAGATAATAAATGTACAGAAATAGAACACTACCTGACATAAATTATGTATTTGATAAATGTAGGCTTTATAGAACTAACATTAAATGCTGTTGGATTGAAGAGCTTAAGCAGTCTTTCCTGTTTTCTTTTTTTAAGTTTCAGAATGGCTCTGAATAATGTATACATTATACATTAATTTATTTAGTTGTCTTTGTTTCCTTCTAAATAACATTCTCTGAGCACTGACTCTTCTTCCATGGTTAGGTAGACTGCACCATTAACTTAGTCATAAATTTTCTATTTGTGCAGATCATTTTTATCGAATATCTTTAGAAAAAACAGAGTTTATATTGTTTAACCTGCATCACTATAGTATCTAGTTGCAGAAAGTACTCAACTATAAAATCTGTATGTTTTTGTCATAGGTATCATTCCTTGCCATTGAAAACATTTATGATTCTTTAACATTGGCCAACAGATGGCAGATATTAAAGGACACAAAGAGCCAAATATTCTTACCCTTCCAGACTGGATACTCTCTCCTCATACAAGATAAACAGAGCACAGCCAGGTGAGAGAACGTGCTGTAGAGAAGCCAGCCCCCTGAAGCTATGACTGGCTTTTCAAGAGTATCACTGATCCAGACCATTTAGAGAGTAATATCAGACTCGGTGGAGCAGAGAGTCCCTACATTTAGCCTAAAGACAAACAGCAACTGAAAAAAATACAGAAAAAGTCTTCAGGAGAAAGTTCACGGTGAATATCCTCTTAACTGAGAAATAAAAGATACAGAGGTTAAACATAAAAAAATGACTAAAGAGTAAGCAAAGAAAGTATATAAAAAAGAAAGATGACAAAGCTAAGACATTAGGTGACAATAAAAATTACAATTGCATGTAATAAAAGAACAGGATAAATAATAACTAGCATTAATTATATCTTCACTGTGCACCAAGAACTATTCTAACTATTTATGCATATTAAAGAATTACATCTTCACAATATTTATGTGAAACATTTTCACTCCTATTTTGCTGATGGGGCGACTAAGGCTAATTCATTAACTTGCTCAGATCACTTAATTGTTAACTAGGAGATCTAGGATTCAAACTGAGCTGATCTGAGTCTGAAACCTAATATTTTTTTTCCTCCAAGGCTATGCAGGCAGAAAACAAAAACAGTAGAGCTTTATAAGACAAATCTTGGATTGAAGAGAAACATATTTCGTGGAGAAACCTTAGCTCCTCACAGAGCTGAGTAAGAGTGTTGATACCTTATCCCAATAATCCCTTTAATCCCCTATTTTGTGAGTGCACCTATGAATGCATTCAAAGACTGGGGTGTAAACAGTTTATATAAGTAGCCGAAGGTACTATATTAAGACAGTTATCACTCTGCATTATTAAAATTATATCCTCACTTATCTGCCTTTTTAGACTGTGAGCCTTGAGCCTTTTGAGGGTAGGGGAAAAGATCTTGTATTGAATGGTGTTTTTTTTTTTTTATTATACTAAGTTCTGGGATACATGTGCAGAACATGCAGGTTTATTACATAGGTATACATGTGCCATGGTGGTTTGCTGCACCCATCAACCCGTCATCTACATTAGGTAGTTCTACTAATGCTATCCCTCCCCTAGCACTCCACCCCCTGACAGGCCCCAGTGTGTGATATTCACCTCCCTGTGTCCATGTATTCTCATTGTTCAACTCCCACTTATGAGGGAGACCACACGGTGTTTGGTTTTCTGTTCCTGTATTAGTCTGCTGAGAATGATGGTTTCCAGCTTCATCCATGTTCCTGCAAAGGACATGAACTCATTCTTTTTTATGGCTAAATAGTATTTCATGGTGTATACGTGCCACATTTTCTTTATCCAGTCTAACATTGTTGGGCATTTGGGTTGGTTCCAAGTCTTTGCTAGTGTGAACAGTGTTACAGTAAACATAGGTGAGCATGTGTCTTTTTGGTGGAATGATTTATAATCCTTTGGGTATATACCCAGTAATGGGATTGCTGGATCAAATGGTATTTCTGGTTCTAGATCCTTGAGAAATTGCCACACTGCCTTCCACAATGGCTGAAATAACTTACACTCCCACCAACAGTATAAAAGTGTTCTTATTTCTCCACATCCTCTCCAGCATCTGTTGTCTCCTGACTTTTTTTTTTTTGAGATGGAGTCTGGCTCTGTCACCCAGGCTGGAGTGCAGAGGCACGATCTTGGCTCACTGCAACCTCCACGTCCTGGGTTCAAGCAATTCTCTTGCCTCAGCCTCCTGAGTAGCTGGGACTACAGGAGCATGCCACCATGCCTGGCTAATTTTTTGTATTTTTAGTAGAGACGGGGTTTCACCGTATTAGCCAGAATGGTCTCGATCTCCTGTCCTCGTGATCTGCCTACCTTGGCTTCCCAAAGTGCTGGGATTACATGTGTGAGCCACTGCACCCGGCTGTTTCCTGACTTTTTAATGATCGCCATTGTAATTGGCATGAGATGGTACCCCATTGTGGTTTTGATTTGCATTTCTCTAACGACCAGTGATGATGAGCTTTTTTCATATGTTTGTTGGCTGCATAAATGTCTTCTTTTGAGAAGTGTCTGTTCATATCCTTTGCCCACTTTTTGATGGGATTGTTTGTTTTTTTCTTGTAAATTTGTTTAAGTTCTCTGCAGATTCTGGATATTAGCCCTTTGTCAGATGGATAGATTGCAAAATTTTTCTCCCATTCTTTAGGTTGTCTGTTCACTCTCATGATAGTTTCTTTTGCTGTACAGAAGCTCTTTAGTTTAATTAGCTCCCATTTGTCAATTTTGGCTTTTGTTGCCACTGCTATTGGTGTTTCGATCATGAAGTCTTTGCCCATGCCTATGTCCTGAATGGTATTGCCTAGGTTTTCCTCTAGGGTTTGTATGGTTTTAGTTCTTAAGTTTATTATTTGCAAAATTCCTGACATACTGTAGGTGCTCAAAAATCCTAGTTTGTCCCTCTCCCTATCCCTTTTCCTTATCCCTGTAACATACTGTTCATGTCCTCATATTCCACTTTCAATCAAAATTATTTGCTTTCTTTCCACATGGTAGCCTCTGTGTGCTTATGCTTTGCCTTCTTTGTTAAGAGAGGACTGTGTTCCCATCCAGCCTCATCCCTCCACTTGAGCACTAAGTCCATTCACTTTAACTACTCGAGGGCTTCATTTCACTAATCCTCCCATTCTCTCCCACATCATCCAGTGTTTTACCTTAATTAGATCATTCCCATAGCATGTGTTATAGTTCTTCAATCTTTAAGAAAAAATAAACAGAAACAGAAAAACAACAAAAAACCTCTTGAGCAATCTTTTCTGTTTACTGCCTCATTTTACAATAAAATGCCTCAAAATAGTGTTTGTAGTCATCATATAATTTTCTCTTGATTTCTTTCTAATTACACTTTCACCACTACTACTTCCCTGCAACTACCTTCTTTCCTACCACCCTACAACGATGCACATTACTTAACCCAGTGACAGGTTCTCAGCTCTCATCTTACTTAGTATATTACTCAACGTTTAGAATAATTGATCACTTTGTTCCCCTTGAAACATTTTCTCTGCTTTTCTGGACATCACACTCTCCTGGTTTTCTACTAACCTTTACTGGCCTCTCTTTGCCAGTCAGCTCTGATGGTTTTTTCCTCCTATCTCACTAGTCTCCTGATGTTAGAGCATCTCAAGCATAGATTGTTGGACCTCCTTTTATCTACATTACTGCTTTAGTGAGTCCATCACATTTTATGGTTTGAAATACCAACTAAAAAGTCAAGAACTCTTCCCTGAATTGTAGACACAGATCTCCCTCATTTCTTTCCCTTGGGTTCAAGATTAGATGTACAATTCTCTGTTCAGTATCTTCACATGGTTGTCTAGTACATATCTCAACATGTCTAATGAAAACTCTTGTTATTTCCACTCAAACTATCTATCATGCCAGCCTTTCTTATCTCAGTTAATCATAACTAGTTTTTCCAATTTGCTCAAACCAAAATCCTTGAAATCACCCTTGGTTTCCCTCTTATTCTCACACTCCACATATATTATCAGAAAATCTATTTGCCTCTAACTTTAGAGCCTCCTAACTTCATCTGCTATTGTCCATGTCCCAGGCAATCAGTTCTCAACACAGAAGTCATAGTAATTCTAATAAAATCAATCAGATTGCATTGCATTTCGCCCAAACACTCCAATAGTTTCTTATCTGTTATGTACTGCATTCTGTTGTTAGCAGAAATAAGGACATTAAAGGTGATACTGATGAGGGTTCTGAAAGAAAAGAGGAAGACAGTAGTGCAAGCTATTATTGTTTTAGAGAACATATATATCGTTACCATAATGTTAGTAGAAATATGAACACTAAAGGTGCTCTGGTAGGGTCTCAGCTGAAAATGAGGAACATGTTATCAGAGACTGAAAGAAAAACTGTTCATGCTATGAAGTGGCAAATACTTGGCTGAATTGTGTTCTAGTGATCTGTGGAAGGTAGAGCTTAAAAATAATAAACTTAGATATTTAGCTGAAAAGATTTCTAAGCTAAGTGTTGAAGGTGCAGCTTGGGTTTTCCTTACTGCTTAAGATAAAATGAGAAAGGAGAGAAATAAAGAGAAGAAGAAATTATTAACAGAAAAAAACCAGAACTTAAAGATTTAGAGAATTATCAGTTTATACATACTGCAAAAAAATGAGAAAGTATGTTCTGGAAGGGACAACAAAGATATGGCTGAACAAGTACTCCATAAAGAGATTGCCCATGGATTTAATCAGCTATGTCTCCAGTGGCCAGCACAGGAAAATAGAGCTATTCATATGTGATCATGCTTTATCCTACAAAAAAAGAAAGTATGACCTTGAAGGTAATTCAGACATCATCAGAGCTCCCACTTGCACCATAGGCCCAGAGCATGCATGCCCAGGAAGGCAGATTATTTACTTCTCAGAGAGGGTGGGGCCACCTCCTAGATTTCAGTAGCCAAACTGCCCCTTAAAGAGTCATGGGGGCAGGATAATGCTTAAGGCTATGGAAGGGATGCTGCTGCCTTATTGGGCCTGGAGAGCAGAGCATCTGGCCAAAGAGGAGTATTCTTAAGCCTTAAGATCTAATAAAATGCCTTGATAGGTTTTAGAATGGCTTGGGACTCATCATGTCTTTCTTCTTTCTGATTTCTCTCTCTTGGAATGGGAATGTTTATCTTATTTCTAATCCACTGTTGTAATTTTAACACACATAACAAGTCTTGTTTCACAGGTTCATAGCTGGCAAGGAACTTTGCCTCAGGAAGAGGCATACCTCTTGACTCACCTATATTCTATTTAGATGATATTTAGATGAGACTTTGGACTTGAAATTTATGCCAAAATGGGTTAAGACTTTTGGTGCTCTTAGCATGTGGTGAATGTATTGTAAGTGAGGACATGAATTTGGGGAAATGGGGCAGAGGTGAGAATTTTATAGGCCAAATTGTGTTCCCCCAAATTTATATGTTGAAATCCTAACCTCCAATGTCAGTTTAAGGGTTTGTAGACAGGGCCTTTAAGGAGGTAACTAACGTTAAATGAGGTCATCTTGGTTGGCCCCTAATCTAATATGACTGATGTCCTTATAGTAAGAGGCAGAGACATCAGAGCTGTCTTTCTTTCTGCATACACACCAAAAAATGGCCATGTGAGGACACAACCAGAATGTGGCTATATATGAGTCAGGAAGAAAGATACCACCAGAAACCATCCCTAATAGCATCTTGATCATGAAGTCCTATAAAAATAACTATCTTTAGTTAAGTCACTCAGTCTTTGGTATTCTGTTATGGTAGCTCAAGCAGAATAATATACCATCACACTCAGAGCCAGGGGTATAGTCTGTCCAATGGCTAACAGTGACCTTCCTCTCTACATCCTGTTGCTTTTCCAATATAATCTATTACTATTTTTCTACCAGCTCCATTGGTTCCTTGCTCTCTGACATTTCCGTGGCTCAGGGGCTATAACTTGTGGTTTCATTTATCTGGACTCTCCCTTCAGATATATGCATAGCTTTTTCCTTGTACTTCTTTTAATTATTTGTCCAAATATAACCTTGTCAAAAATTATTTCCTTGAACATTCTGTTTACAAATTTTACCTTTCTACCTTCCTTGATAAAAAAAAGTCTTCATAGAACATACCACCTTCTGACGTATTACATAAATTACTTATATGTTTTGTTTCTTGTCCCTTCTTACTAAAACCAAAGTTCCTTGAATAGAAATTTTTGTTGATCTTGGTCATTGTTCACTTCAGTGCCTAGAATAGATTCTGTCAGATAATAAATGTTTAATAAGCATTTGTTAAATTAATGGAAATGTATTTATATTTTCTTCTCTGCTAGTCAAAGAATAATGACCTTCATATTTGTACTTCTAAGGCCTATATGGTAAATATAAAATATTTAATACTTTCATTAAATATTTTTATTAAATATGAATAGAATAATAACAAAATAATAAATCAAGGTTGATAACAGGGAGAGGAATCAGGAGTCTAGTATACAACCCTACCATTTCATTTCTGATATTTATATAAAGTTGGTATTCTATGTAATATTTGGAGATGATTGCTAGGAATATGACAGTTATCTTAGGCTGTGTTTGTTTTTTCATGTTTTATAAAGTTGATAATAAACAGCAATAACAGGTCCTGTTGCCAAGCTTCCCAACTAATGTGAATGTTGCAAGGTGAATTAATTAGTAAGAACAGATGTCATGCATGCAGTGCAGTTCTAAGGGATCTGCTGGCCATGGTCCAGTAGCTGGCCTCATAGCACAGTGTAAGTACAGACTGCATACGTAGACACCAGCCAGTTTAGGTTCACATGTGGAATCACAGTGTTGTGGGAAGTCAGGGACCCCGAATGGAGGAACTGGCTGAAGCCATGGCAGAAGAACATAAATTGTGAAGATTTCATGGACATTTATTAGTTCCCCAAATTAATACTTTTATAATTTCTTATGCCTATCTTTACTGCAATCTCTGAACATAAATTGTGAAGATTTCATGGACACTTATCACTTCCCCAGTCAATACCCTTGTGATTTCCTATGCCTGTCTTTACTTTAATCTCTTAATCCCATCATCTTTGTAAACTGAGGAGGATGTATGTTGCCTCAGGACCCTGTGATGATTGCATTAACTGCACAAATTGTTTGTAGAGCATGTGTGTTTGAACAATATGAAATCTGGGCACCTTGAAAAAAGAACAGGATAACAGCAATGATAAGGGAACAAGAGAGATAACCTTAAACTCTGACTGCCAGTGAGCCAGGTGGAACACAGCCATATTTCTCTTCTTTCAAAAGCAAATGGGAGAAATATCGCTGAATTCTTTTTCTCAGCAAGGAACATCCCTGAGAAGGAGAATGCATCCCTGAGGGTAGGCCTCTAAAATGGCTGCTTTGGGGGTGGCTGTCTTTTACAGTCGCAGCTGTAGGGATGAAATAAGCTCCAGTCTCCCTTAGCGCTCCCAGGCTTATTAGGATGAGGAAATTCCCGCATAATAAATTTTGGTCAGACCAGTTGTCTGCTCTCAAACCCTGTCTGCTGATAAGATGTTATTAATGACAATGCGTGCCCAAAACTTCATTAGCAATTTTAATTTCGCCCCATCCTGTGGTCCTGTGATCTTGCCCTGCCTCCATTTACCTTGTGATATCTTATTACCTTGTGAAGCATGTGATCTCTGTGACCTACATCCTATTTGTACACTCCCTCCCCTTTTGAAATCACTAATAAAAACTTGCTGGTTTTACGGCTCAGGGGGCATCACGGAACCTGCCGACATGTGATGTCTCCCCCGGACACCCAGTTTTAAAATTTCTCTCTTTTGTACTCTTTCCCTTTATTTCTCAGACCAGCCGACACTTAGGGAAAATAGATAAGAACCTACGTGAAACATCGGGGCTGAATTTCGCCCGATATCACAGAGATGTCTTTGCACTGTTTTTGAATATCACTTTCAAGGATAGTAACACACCAACATAATTTTAGAGATAATTGGAATGTTGTATTTAGCTAGATATTTCATTGCAAGCTCATTACAGTTTGCAAACAATATTTACAATTTCTCTTATTTCTTTTGTTAAATGCTTAACTACTTGCCTGCTGTAATGTAAAATAGCAAAGAATTGAAATGCATGTGCACCTGGTTTATTTGAATAGCAAATTTTTATTCATGTTCTCAGTAATAGGCAGAAGAAAAGCAAACAGAAATTAAGTGGTTAATGAAAAAATAATGACTATGGCAAATTTGCTTTTGCAAACTGCTTAAGTTCTCATTATCCAAATAAAAATGATTGAAAATAATCTCAATATGAAGTAAGGATTTCAATCTATTAACTTTCTTAAAATTCAGTGTGTGCAAAACATCTGCCACAAATTTACCAAGAAATTTCCATTATTATTTCTAAAATTAAGTAATATCTAACTCAAGAATCTGAATATTGCAGTGGGCAATAAATACAAAAATACAAAATATTATGAAAAACCATGTCACAATAAACAAAACCTTTGCTTTTTCCATTGGACAGGTTAGTTCCCTGACCAATACCTTTTTAATCAACTGTTGATTTGGTCTGGCCAAGAAGATATATTAAAGTTATATTAAATTTTTTAAGAAAATATACTATAAAATATTAAAAATTCTAGCTCCTGAAGTTAAGCACCATGTGAATTTTTACAATCATCTTAAAGTTCTGTCTTTCATACTGTAGTTGGAATCCCTATGATTTAGGGCTTAAAATGGTTAAAGTGTAAAGCCCTATGATAACAAAGATTTTTAATACTGTAGTATAAAAAGTATCAAATGAGTGTGTAGGTCTATAAAAAGTAAGAAATAATTTCAACTCAAAATCCTTTTGAAAATTCCTCCTACCCACTATTGTAAAAAAAAAAATCTAGCATGTATTTTTCTTTCTTTACCTACAGGTTCCTGATGTCAGTGCCATAAACTGGTTCAGGAAATTGTTATAATATAGGCAAAACTTCATACTAATGAAGAAATTATTATTTTCCCAAAACTGTGGTAAGCTATTTGTATACATTATTCCATCAAATACTCACAATGGCCCTATAAGGCAATAATCTTATTCTAATAAAAATTTAAAAAGTGGGTAGTTAATCTCCCCAAGTGTTGAAACCAGTACGTGTCAGATAAGGCCTCAGACTTATCTGAAATGAAATTGTCTTTTGGAACTAATAAGTTTTAATCCCCATCCTACATCCTAGCATACCACACAAACTTAAGTACTGCGCAAACATGTCGATCTGTTTTTTTTTGTTTTTTTTTTTTGAGATGGAGTCTCACTCTCTTGCCCAGGCTGGAGTGCAGTGGCGTGATCTCCGCTTACCGCAAGCTCCACCTTCCGGGTTCACACCATTCTCCTGCCTCAGCCTCCCAAGTAGCTGGGACTACAGGCGCCTGCCACAATGCCCGGCTAATTTTTTTTTTGTATTTTTAGTAGAGACAGGGTTTCACCGTGTTAGCCAGGATGGTCTCAATCTCCTGACCTCATGATCTGCCAGCCTTGGCCTCCCAAAGTGCTGGGATTACAGGTGTGAGCCACCGCACCTGGCCATGTCGATCTATTTTTAAAATAAATACTGTATGGGACATTGTAAGAGTAATTAGAAAGCATTTCATATTGTTTCTGTGCAATAAAGCACTGAAATATGGCTAAAAAGACTTACAACTTAAAATGCAAACTTCAAACATTTATGGACAGAGAAATTAAACATTTTATGTAATAGATAAAAGAGAAGTCAATCAAATAAAGAACAATAAAAAATAACAATAAAACACCCTGTGAAAAGACTGATCAAAAGTGTATACAGATAGAAGTTGCAATGGCCAAAAACAGAAATAGTAGACAGTGATACTACATTCCAAATCTAATGATTTAATGAATTCCTCTTGAAGAGGAATTGAGGTTAATGGAAATTGTTCATGCTTAATTTAGCTGCATACAATGCTCTGATTTTTTATTTTATTTGGATTTAGCCTCACTTTATGCTTTTTCTGCATTTACAAAGTCTAAGGTAACAAACCATTTCAAATTTTTTAAAAATCAACATTTCAACCTAAAATTTGGAGGGGACAAATCCAGTAAGCAGTTTCTTACGAAAGTTTATTCTTACTTCCTACCTGAGTAACTTGCACACTACAAAAGCTCATCTGCAACTGAGAGGGAAACAGTGAGTATCATCACCAAAAAAGCTCTGAGATTTCTAAGCACATTCTTTTTTATTTACTTCTGTTTTCATAAATATAAAAATGCATAAAAAGGAGATTTGTCATATATTATAATTTGTTCCACTCTCCAAGAAAATATCTACTATCTAATTCTTATACATATACACATATTGTATCCTTTAAAAGAATTTTAAAATATCATTTATTTATGTCAAACAATAAATAACTGAAATGAGAGGAAAATAAGAAAAGTTATTGTTCCATAATGTATAAAATGGCACATGATATCATACAACTTTTTGCAAGAAAAAGCAAAACATGCCAGTAAGATCACCACCACCAAACACCAAAAAGTTGCAACTCTTAAGAGGGAAAATCACTCTGAAATCACTTTAAAAATGAGGAACTGAATCCAATCAAAAGAAATAAATGTTTCATGATTTTTCAAACTTTATGAATTTCACTATCACTTTAAATTCTTCAGTATCTACTAAGGATTTTTTACATTCTGTTTGAAATAACTCAAAATAGTCCCTCGCCCTCCTATAGGTATAGATGGTGGAGATGAAAACAAATATATTTGAGTGCTAAATGTGATTTAAATATATTATTTATTTCTCACAGTTATTATGCCAGGTAAATATTTTCCCTATTTTACAGATGAAGTAAGCCTGAGAAGAGAGGTTAGGGAGCCTGTCAGTCACACAGCTGGTTCAGGCCTACAAGTATATTCCACACATGCAGCTCAAAAGAGCCTTTATTATACTTTTTACTGTAACTGCATGATTTTAGAATAAACAAAAGAATGTACTTCACCTGCTCTGCAATCCAAGGTAATACTAGTTCTGAAAGCAGTAACATGAAAATGAATAGGATTTGTTGCATAATATCTTCCCCCAACTCCTTGTTACATATTCTTATTTCAGAAAAAAAAAGAACAATAGAAAATGAGACATTTTTTTTCACAGTGGTAGACACCCAAAAAGGAATATGTGATTTTCCTCCTCTTAGAGTAAACTATCTAAAGCTTCTAAATCAATGCATACCAACATAGCTCAAAGCAAACATAAATGACACTAACAACACCTCTCTATCTGTAACTTGTTTTCTATATATGCCAATTCATCACTGGCTAGTAAAACCTAATAGGAGTGTGTGTATGTGGTTTTATTTTTCCATTTACATGATTAGATCCTTAGTTGCATTGTGATTGAGAAGCATCCTTTTAAAGAGCTTTACCTATTGCTTATTAAACATACATATCTCCATGTGTGAAAAGCAGCACGGGGGGGCACTGATAAGTGATGGATACACAGGAAAGAAAAATGGCTATCCCTCCATTCATTGTTTCCAATTTATTCGTGTTGCAAAAGAGTGTGTGCCCTTGTGGAAAGTGGTGCTTCCCTGAGTTTTTTATTAACCTGCATCATCACACTCCTCCCATCATCATTACACAAGGCAGTTAAGTAAACAGATATAATAGGCCTTGGTCTCATCTTTAGAAATTTACTTCCGTGGAAATTCAGCTAGCTATGTCATTTATCTTGCTTTTCAAAGAGTGATTTAAGTGCCACCCACATGGTGAAGCAACAGTAAGCTAAGTTGCCATAATCATTTATTCACAAATTATTTCTTGTGTGTCATCTATTTCTTAGGCTTTGTATTAGGTATTGGGGTAATAAAAGTAAACCAAGTATGCCCTTCAAGTTTTTGCAAAGTAATGAGTACAAATGATCAAAAAGGACTAATTGAACAACCACAATCTAAAAATCCTTCACTTTTTCAAAGGTATCCATAGCAATAATGAATAAAAGTAAACAATTAAATAAATAAGAATGTCTCTACTAACTATTCTCTGACTTCATAGTATTATTATATATGACATATAACTTCCTGACAAAATGAAGCTAACATGTCCAATGTGTGTGTGTGTATGTGTGTGTATGTGTGCGCGCACATACACGTAGTAATTCACATGCTCAACATTCTAAAGTGACTCCAGTGTCACTTGGTTACAAGTACATAAATTTAATACATGATTTCTGAAAGTCTTACCAACCTGTGATCCTAACAGACAAATTGCTTTAAGCAAGTCAAGGAAAAAACGTAAAAGTTTTGCATGAAGGGAAACTAAAACCATCTCAGACAAATGGTAATTGTCTCTTAAAAGATTTTCAAAAGATTTTTATTATCAGTGAACTGCAATGGTTGATCCAGATGAAGTTGGTTATGAACCATAAGCTGCTCATGTTTGAGGAAATAATATATTATCATTTATTCAAGCTAGCAATCTTCGGTGCACAATCTGCACTCTGGATTAACTAGCAATGACAGACAGCAGAGCAGCTTTGGGGTAAGGCAGAGGTTAAGCTACCCTTAACCTATGCTTTGGTTAAGCTTTCCTTTGTGTTCTAGGACCTAATGGCTGTTTTCCTATTCATTTCAAATTATTAAAAAAGTGTCTAATTATACAGTAATGACATTTTTGAAATCATGGTTTTTCTTTTACACAGAGAATGGAATTGACAGTATGGTGTGCCTCCCTTCCAGGATCTGCAGTATTCATTTGAGCCACTAACCTTATAGTAAATCTTGTAATTTTCCAGTCAGATAATCTAATTATAACCATGAATAGAACTGAAAGAGTATTAATACTGTAATACCATATCAAATATACAATATGGAAACACATTAAAAGCTTTTTAATGAGTTTACTGAAAGAGCAATATTGTTTAAGATTTGTCAAATTTATTGATATGGTTTGGATTCCTATCTCCGCTCAAACCTCATGTCGAATTATAATCCCCAGTGTTGGAGGAGAAGCTTGGTGGAAGGTGACTGGATCATGAGGGTGGATTTCCCCCTTGCTGTTCTCATGATACTCAGTGAGTACTCAGGAGATCTGGTTGTTTAAAAGTGTGTAGCTCCTCTCCCTTCTCTCTCTTCCTCCTGCTCCAGCCATGGAAAATGTGCCTGCTTCCTCTTTGCCTTCCACCATGATGGTAAGTTTCCTGAGGCCTCCCCAGCCATGCTTCCTGTACAGCCTGTGGAACTGTGAGCCAATTAAACCTCTTTTCTTTATAAATTACCCAGTTTCAAGCATTTCTTTATAGCAGCGCAAGAATGGACTAATGGATCTGTTAATTCTTGTTTATTAAGGTATATATTTCTCAAATTTGCTTTTCCATAAAACAGGTATTCTTGAAAATTTGTCTTGACATTCTGGTGGTTTTTAACAATAGACATAATGCCAAAAGATTCTGCTGTAGGCTCTGTGAAACATCTTCATTAGAACTTTAGGTGTTTTAACTGAAGGAGTCTGCACAAAAGGTGGATTATATTTACCTCCTAAATCCTTCGGGGAACTGTAACCATCTCCATGACGAAATATTAAAAGCAAATCCTATTTTAATGATTTCTTACTATTTCCTGGGTATTGTGCCACATATTATTTATTTTTATAGCAACTCTTGAGGGAATATTATCATAATTTATTAATAAAGGAATTCAGGCACAGAAAATTCAAGTTCCTTATCTGAGATAAAAGAGCTATCTGTTTGCCCCTCTGACTGGAATTCTTCATTTGTATAGGTGGTTCTTCCTTATTCAGATCCAATGTCACCTCCTTTCCTAACCACCTTATTACATAGTAGCTGTACACCCTTGGCCCAAGTCAGTGGCTATCTCATAACTCCTTTCATTTTCTTCATAGTACTTATAATTTGAAATTACACTATTTAATTTATTTACTTACTTATATTTAATTTACTTATAATTTACTTATAAGTAAGTAATTATATTACTTACTTATAATTATATGTACTCTTTCTCTCTTCTCTAGACATGTAAAGCAACTAGAATATAAGCCTGTTTTAGAGAAGAAGTTTTCAATTTGTTTATTATTTCTTCTCAGCCTTTTGAAAAGTGTCTGGTAGATAGTAGTTGCTAACTTAATGTTTACTGAATAAAGAAATAAATTAATGAAAGAAAATAATAGAGCCAGGATTCAAACCCAGGTCTTTTGACTCAATATCCAAAGTTCTATTTATTTATTTTATTTTATTTTATTTTATTTTATTTTATTTTATTTTATTTTATTTTCTTATAGGATACAGGTGCATGGCATGCAGGTTTAGTATATAGGTAAACATGTGCCATGGTGGTTTGCTGCACCTATCAACCCATAACCTAGGTATTAAGCCCCACATGCATTAGCTATTTATACTGATGCTCTTCCTCCTGCTATCCCCCAACAGGCCACAGTGTGTGTTGTTCCCCTCCCTGTGTCCATGTGTTCTCATTGTTCAGCTCCCATTTATAACTGAGAACATGCAGTGTTTGGTTTTCTGTTTTTGTGTTAGTTTGCTGACGGCAATGGCTTCCAGTTCCATCCATGCCCCTGCAAAGGACATTAATTCATTCCTTTTTATGGCTGTACAGTATTCCATGGTATATATGTACCACATTTTCTTTATCCAGTCTATCATCAATGGGCATTTGGGTTGATTCCATGCCTTTGCTATTATGAATAGTGCTGCAATGAGCATAAATGTGCATGTATCTTTATAATAGAATAATTTATATTCTTCTTGGTATGTACCCAGTAATGGGATTGCTGGGTCAAATGGTATTTCTGGTTCTAGGTCTTTGAGAAATTGCCACACTGTCTTCCACAATAGTTGAACTAATTTACACTCCCACCAACAGTGTAAAAGCATTCCTATTTCTCCACAGCCTTGCCAATAGCTGTTGTTTCTTGACTTTTTAATAATCACCATTCTGACTGGTGTGAGATGGTATCTTACTGCAGTTTTGTTTTGCATTTTTCTAATGATCTGTGATGTTGCACTTCTTTTCAATGTTTGTGGGCTGCATCAATGTCTTATTTTGAGAAGTGTCTATTCAAGTCCTTTGCTCACTTTTTAATGGAGTTGTGTTTTTATTGTGTTTTTTTCTTGTAAATTTGTTTAAAGTCCTTGTAGATCCCAGATATTAGATCTTATTCAGATGAAGAGATTGCAAAAATTTTCTCCCATTCTGTAGACTGTCTGTTCACTCTGATGATAGTTTCTTTTGTTGGGCTCTTTAGTTTAATTAGATCCCACTTGCTGAGCTCTTTAGTGTAATTATATCCAATGCGTCAATTTTTGCTTTTGTCGCAATTGCTTTTGATGTTTTCATAATGAAATTTTCTCCATGCCTATGTCCCGAATTGTATTGCCTAGATTTACTTCTAGGATTTTTACAAATTTGGATTTTATATTTAAGTCTTTAATCCATCTTGAGTCAATTTTTTTATAAGTTGTATGGAAGGAGTCCAGTTTCAATTTTCTGTATATGGCTAGCCAGTTTTCCCAGCACCACTTATTAAATAGAGAATCCTTTCCCCATTGCTTGTTTTTGTCAGGTTTGTTGAAGATCAGATGGTCGTAGATGTGCAGTCTTCTTTCTGAGTACTCTATTCTGTTCCATTGGTCTATGTGTCTGTTTTTGTGCCAGTACCACGCTGTTTTGGTTGCTGTAGCCTTATAGGATAATTTGAAGTCAAATAGCATGATGCCTCCAGCTTTTTTCTTTTTGTTTACGGTTGTCTTCCCTATATGGGCTCTTTTTTGGTCCCATAAGAATTTTAAAGTAGCTTTTTTCTAATTCTGTGAAGAATGTCAATGGTAGTTTAATGGAAATAGCATTGAATCTATAAATTCTTTTGGAAACTATGGCCATTTTCATGATATTGATTCTTCCTATCCATGAGAATGGAATGTTCTTCCATTTGTTTGTGTCCTCTCTGATTTCTTTGAGAAGTAGTTTGTAGTTCTCCTTGCAGAGGTCCTTCACTTCTCTTATTAGCTGTATTGCTAGGTATTTCATTCTCTTTGCAGCAATTGTGAATGGGAGTTCATTCAAGATCTGACTTTCTGCTTGTCTATTATTGGTGTATAGGGATGCTTGTGATTTTTGCACATTAATTTTGTATCCTGAAATTTGCTGAATTTGCTTATCAGCTTAAGAAGCTTCTGGGCTGAGATTATGGGGTTTTTAGATGTAGCATAATGTCATCTGCAAACAGAGACCATTTGACTTCCTCCCTTCCTATTTGAATACATTTTATTTCTTTCTCTTGCCTGATTGCCCTTGCCAGAACTTCCAATACTATGTGGTGGAGTGGTGAGAGATGACATCCTTGTCTTGTGCCAGTTTTCAAGGGGAATGCTTCCAGCTTTTGCCCATTCAGTATGATATTGGCTGTGGATTTGTCATAAATGGCTCTTAATATTTTGAGGAATGTTCCATCAATACCTAGATTATTGAGAGTTTTTAACTTGAAGGGATGTTGAATTTTATCAAAGATCTTTCCTGAATCTGTTGAGATAATCATGCGGTTTTTGTCTTTAGTTCTCTTTATTGATTTGTGTGTGTTGAAACAGCCTTGTGTCCTGGGGATGAAGCCGACTTTATCACGGTGAATACGCTTTTTGATGTGCTGCTGGATTCAGTTTGCAAGTATTTTATTGAGGATTTTTGCATCAATGTTCATCAGGGATATTTGTCTGAAGTTTTCTTTTTTGTGTGTGTCTCTGTCAGGTTTTGGTATCAGGATGATGCTGGCCTCATAAAGTGAGTTAGAGAGAAGTCCCTCCTTTTCAATTTTTTGGAATAGTTTCAGAAAAAATGGTACCAGCTCCTCTTTGTAACTCTGGTAGAATTCAGCTGTAAATCTCTCTGGTCCTGGGCTTTTTATGGTTGGCAGGCTATTTATTACTGTCTGAATTTCAGAACTTATTATTGGTCTATTCAGGGATTCAATTTCTTTCTGGTTCAGCCTTGGGAGGGTGTATGTATCCAGCAATTTATCCATTTCTTCTAGATTTTCTAGTTTATTTGCACAGAAGTGTTCATAGTATTATCTGATGTTTGTTTGCATTTCTGTGGGGTCCGTGGTGATATCCCCTGTATCACTTTTTATTGTGTCTATTTGATTATTCTCTTTTTTCTTCTTTATTAGTCTAGCTAGAAGTCTATTTTATTAATTTTTTCAAAAAACTAGCTCCTGGCTTCATTGATTTTTGAAAGATTTTTGTGTCACTTTCTCCTTCAGTTCCACTCTGATCTTGGTTACTTCTTGTCTTCTGCTAGCTTTGAAGTTTGTTTGCTCTTGGTTCCCTAGTTATTTTAGTTGTAACATCAGGGTGTCAGTTTGAGATCTTTCTAGCTTTTTGATGTGGGCAGTTAGTTTTATTAATTTCCCTCTTAACACTGCTTTAGCTGTATACCAGATATTCCAGTATGTTGTCTCTTTGCTCTCATTGGTTTCAAAGAACTTATTGATTTCTGCCTTAATTTCATTATTTACCCAGGAGTCATTCAGGAGAAGGTTGTTCCATTTCCATGTATTTGTGTGGTTTTGAGTAAGTTTCTTAATCCTGAGTTCTAATTTGATTGTGCTGTGGTCTGAGAAACTGTTAGTTGTGATTTCAGTTCTTTTGCATTTGCTGAGGAGTGTTTTACTTCCACTTATGTGATTGATTTTAGAGTAAGTGCCATGTGTTGATAAGAAGAACGTATATTCTGTTGTTTTTGGGTGGAGAGTTCTGTAGATCTGTATCAGGTCCACTTGATCCAGGGCTGAGGTCAAGTCCTAAATATCCTTGTTAATTTTCTGTCTCAATTATCTGTTTAATATTGGCAATAGTGTGTTAAAGTCTCCCACTATTGTTGTGTGGGAACCTAAGTCTCTTTTTAGGTCTCTAAAAACTTGTTTTATGAACCTGGGTGCTGCTGTATTGAGTGCATATATATTTAGGTTACTTAGTTCTTCTTGTTGAGTTGATCTCTTTACCATTATGTATTACCCTTCCCAAAGTTCTTTTTACTATATAACATTGACTGCCAATATTCTAAGTCCTAAGATTCTAATTAGTAGGTATCTCCCTTCCTTTCAGGTACAGAGGAAACAATTCTTTAGCCAAATGTGCTATTGGTAAAATCCATCACGAACATCCTCTTCCTCGACTTTTTTTACTTATAATTTTCCCTATCCATTTAAGTGAGCCAGTGATCACTGATAAACTGGATCATGGTTGAAGTGATAAAAGGTTTAACATATTACTCTTTCATAGAACTTTGCTACTTTTCCACTATCAGTAAATAACCACCCCTTATGTCCTTAACTTGCTTTTTACACAAATTGAATTTCAAGGTGCATCAATAAAATCAATTCCTTTCAAACACCCTAAGTTTTTTATCCCAAATATCCCTTGTCTTACTTATTTAGGAAATGCAGAAGATGCAGTAAAATTTAAGTATTTGCTTATGTACTTGCTGTTTGGTCTGAATTCAAATTCATGACCAGAAAACTCAAAGAGAACTCAATATGTGAAATCCTAATTTGCTTTATTATTATGTTGGCTTTTGTATGCTTAACAATTACATGTCTTCTTTTCCCTCAAACTTTCTGTATGATTCCCCTCCTTTTACACCACCACACATGCACTTTTACCATCTTAGCAGAAAACCTTTTGTATTAGTCCATTTTCATACTGCTATGAAGAAATAACTGAGACTGAGTAATTTATTTTAAAAAGGGGCTTAATGGACTCACAGTGCCACATGGCTAGGGAGGCCTCACAATCATGGCAGAAGGTGAAGGAGGAGCAAAGGCATGTCTTAGGTGGCAGTAAGCAAGCGAGCTTGTGCAGGGGAACTGCCCTTTATAAAACCATCAGATCTCATGAAACTTATTTACTATCATGAGAACAGCATGATAAATACACACCCCCAAGATTCAATTACCTCCCTCTGGGTCCCTCCCAGGATAGGTGGGGATTATGGGAGCTACAATTCAAGATGAGATTTGGGTGACAACACAGCTAAACCATATCACTTTGTTTCATACAGTCAAGTAGGAAATTGCTCCTGTTCCCATTCCCCAATCTACCAATTAATCTGCATCTGTGCCCACACTCTCTGCCTTCCTGAATATTACCACGAATAAAATATTCCTGGTTCTATCAAAGGGCAGCCCTTCAAACTGTGCTTGTATTACATCCCTTATGGCCTCTCAAAAACTTTCCCCCTAATATTAT
Organism: Homo sapiens; assembly: GCF_000001405.40. NCBI lineage: Eukaryota > Metazoa > Chordata > Mammalia > Primates > Hominidae > Homo > Homo sapiens. The sequence continues at coordinate 71,816,897 of NC_000001.11, forward strand.
CTACTTTTAATCAATACTGTCACTTCCTTTTTTTCTCTATCTATCTCTTACTAGAAAAAAAAAAATGACAAAAACTATCCTGACTCCAGTCCCTCTTCACCTAGCTCCCATTCCTTTATTTGCCTCCACAGCAAGCCAACTTGCCAAGTTTTTAATAGTTTGCATTCTCTCCTCAGCCCACTCCAATCAGGTTTCCGTCTCTAACATTCTGGCACGGTTTCTGCATCTGAAGTTTACCAATGGCTTCTGTGTAGACATGGAGATGTGCTGTGCCTACTCTTTTTAAAGAAAAGACTTGCTCATGCAGCTTCCAGGGGATGTGGTGAGCAGACTGCCTCCAGCTATCAGCTTCTCCAAGTTTGTTCTCAGCCACCTGGCTCAAACAGCCCACATTCAATGGTTAAGCAAGATGGTAGTACAAAGTGCCTGCCAGTTCGCTGACATGGGCTAATTCTGGTGGCCATTTTAGCCCAAGTACTTCCCCACCAGGTTGGAAAAGCTTAGTTAGACGTTCATCACAACTTAACATTTTTCTCTTATCAGTCTTATTTCCTTCTTGCCTCCTTTCATAGGCGCTATTCCCTAATAAACATCTTACATGCAAACCCAGCATCTGCTTCCAGAAAATCCAATCTGGACAGTCAATACCAGGACTAGATCGAGGAAGCAGGCTGGAAGATGGCGTTTAGTTTTTGGAGCTAGATTATTTCCCACCTGCAGGCAATGATGACTGATCACTAGTAAGGAGGAACACAGACTGCACCTGGCAAAAAGTGGCATCCAAAGGAAATTTTCACCTGTGGAAACCTGGTAGAGTGTGAGGATGTAGTGATAGAAACAGCAGATGTTGCTGCTGTTATTGAAATGTATGAAAAATAATACATAAAACTTTATCAGGATTGGGTGGCTATGGCTAAGCACTGCTGGTGTTCTACAGTCATGTTGCCAAGTACAGTGGCCACTAGCATGCATTGCTATTGTGTTTTTGAAATGCAGCTAGTTTAACCTATATGTATTGGGGCCAACAGGCATATGAAAAAATACTCAACATCGCTAATCATTACAGAAATGCAAATCAAAACCACAGTGAGATACCATCTCACACCAGTCAGAATAGCTATTATTAAAAAGTCAAAACATTAACAGATGCCAGCAAGGCTGTAAAAAGAGGGGAACACTTATACACTGGTGATTGGGGTGTAAATTAGTTCAGCAATTGTGAAAAACGGTGTAGCGATTCCTCAAAGAACTTAGAATTACCATTCGACCCAGCAATCTCATTATTAGGTATATACCCACAGGAATATAAATCATTCTACCATAAAGACGTATACATGAGTATGTTCACCACAGAACTATTCACAATTGCAAAGACAAGGAATCAACCTGAATGTTCATCAACAGTAGACTGGATCAACAAAATGTGGTGCATATACACCATGGAATACTATGCAGCCATTAAAAAAAGAATGAGCTCATGTCTTTGCAACAGCAACAAGGAGGCCATTATCTAACTAAGCAAACTAATGCAGGAACAGAAAACCAAATACCACATGTTCTCACTTATAAATGGGAGCTAAATGATAAGAACACATAGACAGAAAGAGGGGAACAACAGACATTAGCACCTACTTGAGGATGGAGGTTGGGAGGAGGGAGATGATCTGAAAAACTACCTCTAGGTACCATGCTTATTACTTGGGTGACAAAATAATCTGTACACCAAACTTCTGTGAAGTGCATTTTACCTATATAATGAAACTGCACATATGACTCTGAATCTAAAATAAAACAAAAGCTAAAAAATAATAAATAATAAATACATAAAAATAAACTATGTATAAAATCCAAGGAGGTAAATTTTTTTAACAATAAAAGCTCCAGCAGAGTGACAGCCAAGGAATCCTGACCCACAGATGGTTATGGAGATATTAATAAAACACGACATCCATAGGAGCAAAACAAAAAATGTTTTGTTTTGCTTTACATTTTAACATGTTACTACTAGAAGTATTTGAAAGTACCTATGTGGCTCACATTATATTTCTATTGTACAATAGAGCATTATAGAACAAAGCATTTAGATTAGGTATAGGCAATTGAAAGCTAGATGTAGAAGCCAGTGGGCCTTTTATATTTTATACAAAGAAGTCAGCATCTGTTCTAGTGAGGGGCTAAAGAAAGCTGAGGCACAATTCTGAAACTAGGATGACTCCTAGAAACACAGAAAAAGTGATGTTGGTGCCAGTAACAGCTTATTATCTTCTCATGGTGATAGAATTCTGCCCAGCAACAAGCCCCACCATATGCATAGAACTAGTCAGCTTTTCTATTCTTGGAAAAGACCTAGTAATTAGATGATGGGAAAAGAGATGTCCGACAACAAAGACTATCATCAGTGGCATTGAAAAATGAATCCAGTTATGCATCAGCTATGATTGCATAGAAAGAAAAGTAGTAACATAAAAATAAATGCCACTATAGACCAAATAGAACAGTAATCCTCTATTTAATATCCTTAGAGAGGTTCGAGAAGGGTTTGTATCTGTAAAATAAGAAGAGTATATTATGAAAAAGGAATGATCATAGAATAAGAAAGAGCTCTTGGAAATTAAGCAAGTATTTACTAAAACTAAAAATTGAAAGGAAGAATTGAAAGATAAAGTTGAGGACATTTTCTATAACATGAAAATAAAGAACAAAGAGATAGAAAAGAAAAGAGAATCATCTTGGGAAGTATAATGCTTTACTAATTCCATAAAATGCTCCAGAAATAGATGCTATCATATGCATATCTTATTCTAGAAATAAATCAATGCAAATCTATGTCAAAGGGGGGATAAAAAAGAAAAGGTGAAGTTGAAATGCTAGAATTGCCCTGGTAGGCTCTGGAGGAAAGGGATAACAGGGTCAGGAAAATGCTAGAATGAATATTCAATGTACAGTTGAAAGACCCTGTAGATGAGTATGCTCCACACGGAAGCCAGAAGACACCAAGGCCATTATGTATGTGCTAAAACAATGACACGGCATCAGTAAAAATTCCCTGATAGCTCTCTGGGCAAGAACCAGAAGGGGGACAGGCTGTTACAGATTGTGTCCCACTGATGTCAGTGTGGATAATAAGATTTCAAAATATTAGGAACAAAGGGGCAATGCGTCATTGTCAGAATCTAATGGGGTTGTACTTTTATTTTTTGGTAATGAAAGCTATATCAGAGTGATAAACAAGAAATTCTGACCCACAGATGGTTATGGAGATGTTAATAAAAGACGACACCAGTGGGGGCAAAATAAACAGACTGCCAACATGAGTACTACTCAGATTTTAGCAGCAAAAGAACTCAAAGTTAGATGACCAGAAGATTGAGGGCAGTCACAGCAATAAAAATTCATGATCCCTTTCCCAGTTTCCAGACCTGAGCCAGTTTTCAGACAAAGAACCCATTCAGTGAAGATGTGGCACTGACTAGGAGTAAGGACTCCACAATTATATGGTAAGTGTACATGATAATGATTCCTCCAGTCCTTCCCTACAGGGATTATGGCCATTTGATTGGGGAAATTAAATATCTAGATAATTTGATGGCTGTTGGACACAAGATTTAAGTTGAAGTTGATATCCAGAGCCCATCATCATGGTCTCCTTGTTAGAGTAGGGCATATAGGGGACATATGACACATGATTAAATTAAGTTGCGGTTAGGGTCCATCTTATAGAGTATCTACTAATGGTCATCTCTCTTGTCCTCAAATGTACAATCAAGAATGACACTTGGGAGTTGGATCTTTGGTCACTGGGGTCAGAGCTATCACACAGCATGAGGCCAAGTGAATGTCCCTGAACCTGCTCCTTCCATCCTTCAACAAAGATAGCGAATCAAAATCACTATTTAATCCTGGGAGTGGGAGATGGAGTCAGAAATTAGTGCCACCCTTATAGATTTCACGAATGTAGAGGTATTTGTTCTCATAACATTATTATTTAATTTACTAGTCTGAACCCTGGAAAAACAAGATGGATTCTGAAAGATAACTACAAGCTTAACCCAGAAATAGTCCCTTTTTGCATCTGTCATGCCAGATGTAGTATATTGCTAGAGCAGATTAATATGGCCTAAGGAACTTGGTATAAAGCCATTATTCTGGAAAATGTATTATTTTCTATCTCAGTCAGAAAAGACAATCAGAAACAGTTCACATTTACATGGATTGAACAACAATATTAATTTATAGTTTTGCCTCAGGGCTATGTTAACTCTTCTGCCCTCTGCTATAATATAGTCTAAAGAGATCTGCACCATCTGGATAACCCACAGTACTTCCCATTAATCCATTACATCAATGATATTATATTGATCATGCCAGATGAGCAAGAGGTAGCTAACATTCTGAAGGCCTTGGAAGAACACATGCATTCCAGAGGATGTGAAATAGAACCTGTGAAGCTTAAAGGGTCAGGCTGTCCAAAACTATTTGAAGAGTCCTAAGTGAAGAATAAATACTGCATTTTGTACCTCCTAACACAAAGAAGGGAATACAATGTCCTAGCGGGTATTTGCATTCTAAAAGGTAATCTATTCATTTAATACTTAGAAATGTACTAGTTGACACACACAAAAAAAGTTGAACAAAATTTGAGTGAAACCAGAGTAGAAAGGGCTCTGAAGAGGTTCAGGCTAAGGTGCAACAGCCCCACCACTTGGACCACGTAATTTGGTGAAGCCTGCAGTGTTGGAGCTATCAGTGATGGGAAAAAATACCATATGATATCTGTGGCAAGTCCTAGTGAAAAAATCACAACACAGGCCTCTACGGACCTGTAGACATCATGACATTTGTAGCAAAACTGTATGCCCTTTGAAAAATATGTCCTGGTAGAGACAGAGCACCTGACCATGCAGCTCCAAACGATGATTATCAGAAATTACACAAGAAAGAGATACATTTGAGATGAAGCATGAGTGGGACAGGCAGACATAAGCAAGCAACATGAGCAGATAATTCAGAACCCCATGGCAGCACTATTGCACCAGCAACTCCTCCCACAACCAGGTCACATAGGAGGTCAGGTATGACCAACTAATAAAGGGGGAAGTGATTTTAATTTGGTTTCCAGAAGGGTTTTTTTTTGTATGTGAGTGTGAGCCAAAAATGGACAGCAGCTACACTATAGACTTATACTGTATGCTTGAAAGACAGTAGTGAGGGAAAATTATTTCAGTGAGTGAGGGCTTTAGGCAGTGCAACTGGTCTTCTACTTCATGTGGAAAGAGAAGTGGCACAGAAAGTAGCCAAGAGGTGGCCTATGCAAATGGCCTGGAAGCAAAAGGCTAGACTGTCACAGACAAGGATGAATGAGGTAGAAACACATCGATGGACCTATAGGATTGCACAAAATGAGAAGATCTACGTATTATATGTTGATATCTACTATAGAACACCTGCAATGAAAGAGGCATTTAACAACCAAGTGGACAAAATGATCTAGCCAGCTACTGCCAGCTAGCCGCTATCATTGATTTCATGAGTGCTGGAACAATCAGCACATAAACAAAGTGTCTATGATGTCAAATATGAATACTACACATGGGTCCAACGGCATCAGCTCCCACTTGTCAAGGCTGATCTAGCTCCTGTTGCTGCTCAGTGTCCAACTGCCCCCAACAAGCTAATCCTGAGCCCTCATTATGGCATCATTGCTTGAGGAGACTGGACACATGAGGGCAGGTTGACTGCATTGTTTCCCTTGCATTCTGGAAAGGTCAGTGGTTTATTCTCACTGGAATAGATTCATTCCATATAGAGCTTTGTGTTTCCTGCCATTTGGGCCTGCCTTGGCCAGTTCCACTATTAAAGGCTCACAGCGTGTTTGGGCCACTAGCATGGAATCCCATTCACAAGGGCTCCTCTTTTACAGCCAAAGAGGTACATGAATGGACTTATGACTACAGGACCCACTAGTTGTATTGCACACTAAATCCAGACTGCTGACCATATAATGTATTAGAACCGCCTGCTGAAAGCATAGCTGAAATGCCAGATTGCAGGCAATAGTCTGAGAGGAGAGAGTGCCATCCTCCAAAATCTAGAACATGCATTCAATCAAAGACCTTTATATGGTGCTGCGTCCCTGTTAGGAAGAATACAAAGGTCTAGGAATCAAGGGGTGGCATTCCTAATGTACCTCTATGTAAACATGGAAGCTGCCCTTGATCTCTACAATGCATACTTCGGAATCAGGCTCAAATATCCCAATGTATAGAGTAATGGAGATGCTTCCTCCAGAGTCCCAATTTCTGCATCATTTTTTTTTTTTTTTTGCCCAGAATTAAACATTTCTTCACAGGATTATGAATAGTGAGACATCCATTCCCTTCTGGAGAAAACCAAATCTCCACTCAATAAGGTGTGATCTAAATATGATCCCAAATTATTTCAAAGTTGACTTTGCTTCATTCCACCATATCCATGATAACCTTGTTATATCCTTTCTCTCATTTTGGGTAGAAGAAACTGTGATAGGGAATTGAAGTTGAGAGGTAAATAAACTTTTAATGTTTAGAGAATATTTGCTTTTCTGTGTAAAAAAGAAAACACGCTTTGCATTTCCAGGTGATCCTTGCTGCCAAAACTGATAAAAATTGACTTGGCAATTTTGATAAATTTTATCCTCTATTCTCAGCACACTTTTTTCTTACTTCATAGCATCTCAGACCTGAGCCTGTAATCTAAGGACAGGTTACCTAAATTTCAAGAAACTTACAGCTTCACACCAGAGTTTCCAGTCCATGTTTTGTTTCTTTTTCCATATTTCCAGAATTTTTATATCCTTAAGAAAAGCCTGTACAGATAAAGTGTTGAGAAAACAGTAGCAATGATAGCAGATTTACCACCTGCCCATTTACTGCCTGCAGATTTACGGCCAACGCCGCCTATTTTGCCATCTGGGTCAAAGTCATATTTTCAGTGGAAATATGTTGGTAAGTTATTGCTGGCATTTTTTACATGCAGGTGGTGATCACACAGGTTTTATGGCACTTTCATAACTGTGCGTCTGACTGAAGTGCACAGAAGCTGATCTTTTGTGAGTGTCTACAGAAGCAATTCAATGAAATGAAATGCAGTCTATTCATTACATTTACCAGTGTGGGAGGAACTCCTTAAACATAAAATATAATCCTGAGAAAGGTGCCAAGTCATCTATCCTGTTTGTTTCCAGAGGATACATTGTGGTACACAGAAAAAAAAATTGGCTACTCTTGCACAGTGAGGCTAGTGATACCAAGAGAGTTTCAGAGTTGATGGTAGATATTTGTTCAGAATAGGGCAAAACCTAGTTAATTTTGATGCATTAGCCACTGCAATTTTCTCAAACACTTTTTTTATTGAAAATATGGGCAGTTCATTTGTTTCTTTTGCTAAATATATAAATACATTGTGAAGGAGAGATAAGATCATAAAAAAAAAAACTGGAGAGTGAAAAAGGCATGGGACTCAAAATCAGAAGACCTGGATTCTTAAGAAAATTCTATAATGTGAGAGCCATATAATCTTACCCATTATATTGAGCCTCACTTTTCTCTTTTGCAAATGGAGAAAGGAGGTGACAACAGAAAGTACATACTTTTTAACATCTAAGTATAATTTACATGCACCAATCCAGCCTTAAGTGTTCAAAGCAATGAATTTTGACAACTGTAAACTATTGTGTAATCATCATCCAAAACAAGTTATAGAATATTTCCATTCACTCCAGTGCCCCTTTCTAGTCAGTCTCTGTTCCTCTCCACACATAGAAGAAGCAAGAACTTCTGATTTCTGTTACCATAAATAGTTTGGGCTATTTTGTACTTCATACAAATGGAATCATCTAACTTCTTTTGCCCACCAGAATGTCTGTAAGATTTGTCCACACTGCATGTGTCGTTGATTTATTCTTAGTTATTACTGATTATATAATAGTCCAATACCTGAATAATCAACAATTTACCCATCTATTCTCTTATTTATGGATATTTGAGTTGTTTTTAGTTTTTGATTTTGTGAATTAGACTGCTTTTGTTATTCATGTACAAGTTTTTGTGGATATGTTTTCATTTATCTTGGGTAAATATCTAGGTGTGGAATTTCTAGGTCATAACACAGCTGTTTTCAACTTTATAAGAAACTACCAAACTATTCTCCAAAAGGATGGCACCATTTTAAATACTCACCAGTAGCTCTAATTGTTCCATATCTCTGTCAACACTTGGTATTATCAGTCTTTTTGATTTTAGTCATTCTGGGGGATGTAAAATAGTATTTCATTGTGGTTTCAATTTGCATTTTCTAGATGGCTAATGAGGTAGAGCTTCTTTTCATATGTAAATCACAAAGAAATTAGATGTGGTTTAAATCTCCTTCAGAAAACAGTCTGAGTTCTATTCTCCTCTGTTTTTAATAGGCATTTTACAACTCATCTGTGTAGTTTTTAAAATCTCTGCATGCTTTGGTCCCACTTCTACACATTTTCATTCAGAAGATTTAGCATAAGCCTCTTTAAAATATGATTCTGATTCACAAAGGAACCACTGGATTATGCTCCAGGTATCTGACAGGTTTTCAATACTACTAGTATGTTTATTATAGCATAAAAGGGCAATATAAAAATAATTAAGAACATCAACTTTATAATAAACAAGACTAGATATTGAATCCTTGTCTGCACTTCCTCTCTATGGAATTTTGTGCAAGGTGTGGAATCTCTCTAAATCTCAGCTTCTTAATCTATAAATTGAGAGGAATTACAATACTTACAGATTTATGAAAAGGATCACATGTGATTATGCATGTAAAATGGTTACCATTCTTCCTAACTCATAATAAACACTCAATGTATATTAGAAAGAAGAAAATATGTATGTAGATAGATAGATAGAATTATATAGTAAAGAACTAGCTAAACAAGTTAGAACGTCTAATTTTAGTATTGTGACATGTATCCCTTTTACTACTATTATTTAGCCTATCATTCACTTCAGATTGTCTCCCAAAACACCTTTCTTACATCGTTTTACCTGTCTCTCACATATAGAATTTTCATTGTCCCAGGTATTGGCATTCTCAGCTTTCATACGCCACAAAGAAGATGCATGATAGAAGATACGCCTCTATCGGCTGTTTGATTTACCAGTGCCAGGTCTCCTGGATGCTCTCTGGTTTCCTCCCACAGTTCCCTCTTTCCATCTGATGTTCTCATCTAAAATTGTTTGGATTTTAGTTTCTGGATTCTCAGTTTTCTTTTCCGTTCCCTGTATACATTGAATGAACATATGCAATCAAGTGTGTTCTCTGTCACTCTGCTCTGTCTTTCCCTATTTTTCAACTATGAATCTATATATCTCTACTCCAGTAGCAACTTTCATGATGATAGAGTTTTGATTATCACAATAAAGTTTACTTTTCTTACCACAATAACCATGATTCTACCTGCTAATCATTCCTTTCACTAAATCTTCTCTCTCTCTTTTAATGAAAATATATGTCACTCAAGACTCATTCTGGCTTTGCATTTTGTTTGTTTTGTTTTACAATCAGCTGCTGCTTCCCACTTAAGTGGGTCTTTTTTCCTTTACCTGAACAATTTGCAAATAACATGATGCACACTTTCTGAAAAGAGATATAAGTAGATTTCCATTTCCTTAATATTATATGCGAGCCTATGGAAGTAAGGAAGAAAGATTCTTCCCCTTTTTTTCTGTGTAAAGAAGTGTGTTTGCACTGACTTGGTTTGAACCTCACAACAAAGTTTTTGTTATTCATTTGTACTAAAATACACATTCCAAGAAAAAAATTGTTTTTGAATTGTTAAATTTTCACTTACTGACAAGGGCAGGGATAGCTAGTTACCTACATAATTACATTTCTAAAATGTTAAAATGAAATGACTCCTTTTATGGAATACATTTTAATGCATTTGTAAGACCAGGGGATAATGACAAAGGTAAAAAGAACATTCATTAAACTAACTGGGGAGTGGTAAGCAAATAGCATTTTATTAATGATGAGCGTCAACATTTCTCTAGTGAAGAAAGGTGAAAACAACTAGTGTTAAATAATAGGGCCTTTAGCAAGCGATTGCTTTTAAGCTTATACTTTTGCTAAGAGCAGTTGCCACTATTGGCTTTTCTCCTTTCACAGTGGTTTCCCAAAACATGAGACTTGTGATGAAATCCAGTTTGGTATGGCTTCCCAGTAAATAGCCAATGACTTTGCAGAAAAAAAAGGAGCTTTTTTTTCTATTCTATTGTGTTCTGTTTTATGAAAAAAAAAGAGGGAGCAGAGAGAAAAATAAAAAGTCTTTCCTTTAAAAAAATATAAAGCTTTTTACTACCAAGAGATAGAAACAATCTCATTTACCATTGATGGGTAAAATTTGATAGATTGCTGATAATTCTCAAAAGAATGACTAGCTTTCCATTTGCCAAGTAAATTAAAGGGTCTACGACTCTTACCAACAAGAATCTTGTCACACAACTCTATTCAATCAATGAAAAAGCTGACTCTCGGTAGATAATCACTCTTTAATCTCTAATGCCATAGATTTTTCCTTACAGTTTGTGACTCACTGTTTTCATGGAAAATACAAAAAAAGAGAAGAATAGGACCAGTATTTGCTGAATCCCTTTCCTCAGTGTCTCATGTTTTTTATTATTGTTCTCAACTGAGAAAATACAGAAATTACAAACAAACAAAACAATAACAAAATTGCTTTCTAAAACATTTGTTTCCAAAATTAACTAGATAAAGACAAGAATGGGCAACACAGAATTTTTGCTTTTTTGTTTTTTCTAAAATTATGCTCCCTCCTTGGATCAGAATTTTTATGTAACTATACCGCGAGAGAGACAGGTATGAAAAAACAGCATGATATCTTCAAGGTTTTTTTCTTTATCCCAATTGACCCAGATAAAAAATACAAATCCTATGTCAATGATAAAGATGTAAAAAAGAGAAGGAAAAAAAGAAAATGGAACCAAATGAAACGTCAGGTGAACAGTTAAGTAAATACGTATTTCATTTCTTATAGATTCTGAAAGAATTCAATAATTTCTTTAAAACACATCTAAAATCTCAGAATCAACTGAAGAGCAGCATTTGCTTTTAAAGCCAGAGGGATATTTAAATTACAGAATTATCCCATATAATACTGTGAAATAACTGCTATAGTAGAGATAGGAACTGAATATTTTGGGGTAATGGGAATTGAATAAATAATTAGTTGCTCTTGCTCTGTATTGTAATTCTTTACCTCTCTTATTCTGCAATGAAGCTGTGGATTTCAGAGAAGGAATGTTTTTCTTTATGTCCAAAGTGTTTAGTTCAGTTCTCTGCTCAATGTTAGTATTCAATAAATGTTTGAAAATTGTTTTTATCCCTGAATTAGTTCTACTCTTCATCCTTTCATATGGAAAGCAGGGGTAGGAATAGGAAAAATTAAGGAAAAGGATATAATAAAGAGAAAATAGCACATGTATTTTAGGTTCCTGGGAGCAAGTCAGAAACACACCCTGTTGTTGCTATATAGGTTTTTGACCTTTTGTTTTTCTCCCATGACAAAATATAGGTTCTCTTTCCTTTCTTATTTTTCCTTTGTCTCGCTCTCTTTTTCTTTCTTTCATGTTCAGTATACAATCCACACAGCTCCTCACAATTTCACTGTCTTTTCACTCTTCTAATGAGTATGTGGGTCATGTCTGTGGGATACAAGTCCACATTGTTTTGTCTTTCCCAGTAACCTATGCCTATTGCCATCAGAGACCAAATTCTTGAGTTTCTAACTTTCTAGCAAGGTACACCTGCTGTCCTGCACTCCACAGGAGCTGCTGTTTGTTCTGATTCTGTGTCATTATTTACTGCCTGCAGTGTGAGCTCTGCTCCTTCAAGGAAAAAAAGGTTTGGCTTATGTTTTCCTCCCAATCAATGCACAATGAACACTACTGACGGCTGAGCCATGAGACAAGGCTGAGGGCAGAGAGTCAAGGGCCTGTGTATGTATTTCAGGGCAGGTTCATTTCCCAGGGAAAAAAGAGGAAAACACTATCACGTTTGGAAATTGTGTAACATCCATATAGTTTAACCCTCCTTTTCATTCTCACAGTCTATTGCTACTATCTAAAGTCTGAATCCAAATTAAGTTGGCAGGGAACCTTCAATATACTTTGTGATTTTTTAATAGTTCCTGAGTTTGCAGGATATAGGAGTTTTTCTGGAGTTGGCTATTATATGAAATCAAACTGAAATTAATTAGTATTAAATCCTCAACGTTTTTTGTTGTATCATATTTTCCTTTGAGTTTTTTTTCCTATGAAAAAATTAAACTGAAATCTTCATTTCTTTTGAGATTTAACAGATATTGGTTCCAGCATATCTCTGGCATCACCAACCAGTAAGTAAAATTATGTTCCATTCCCAGCAATACTCCAAATCTCAATGCAATAAGCTCCTATCAAACTGATGAGGCAGACAACCAGTCTTTTTCAGAGATACCACACTCCAATTATTTCCAACAGGGGGTTCTGATATATAATCAGAGCTGCTGCCTACAGCTCTGCAATACCTCAGGCCTAGACTCTAAGGTCCCGAACACCCGTTTGGTTTCTTGACCGCTGTAGTCCAGCCCATAATTTAGTGCTCACTTCTACCAAAATCGAAACGATCAAAGCTTTCCTCTCTCTTTAGTCAGCTAGGAAAAACAAAAAACAAAACAAAACAAAACAAAACCCAAAAAACAAAAAAACGTAAACAAAACGAAACAGAAACAAAATATAATACAACAACACAATCAAAAAACGCTGTTCCCTTTAACAAGCTCTTTCAGAGATTTTCACAGCATACTCTTATGGTCCACAGTGAAATGTGTAGTTCCATCCTAAATATTGCAGCACAATCCTTCTCAAGGTGGTTTGGCCAGGGAACTGTTAGGCACAGCCTTTTATTACTTAAAATAACTACCTCCCCCAAGGTGTTTGCATGTATAGTCTGCCTACCTTTAACAGATTTCTTTACTCACTGGGAATTTTTTTTCAGTAACCTCATTAATCCTTTCCTCTGGTCTAATCTTCTTTAGGGACACTAGCCCATGACAAAAGATTTACACAAATCGGACCCCAATTGTGGGCTAAATTCAAATTTTCTTCCACAGGACTCTGGGGCCCCTATAGATCAAGAAATAGGACTTTTCATCTTTATCAGGGTCTCCAAACATTTCAAAACCTCAAAAGATCTCTGGGGCAGGGATGGTAAAGTGTTACTGCAGTGTTACTTTTATATCTGACTCATTTATTTATTATTTCATTCATTCATATAGCAGACATTTCCTGAATATCTACTTGGTGTTCAGCATTGCTCTGGACTAAGTTGAAAAAGTGTTTTCTATAAAAGGGGCTAATAGTAAATATTTTCAGCTTTGTGAACCATAATATCTGTCACAACTATTCAATTCTGCTATTGTTACAAAAAAACCAGTCATAGGCAATATGTAAATTAATGGGAGTGGCTGTGTTGAATAAAATTTTAATTAAAAAAAAATAGGCCGTGCGTCAGACTTGGCCTACAAATGGTACCTTGTTGATTGCATTCTTGACACTAGTGATAAACCAACAACAACAAAAAGAAACAAAACTCCCTGCTGTATTGTAACTTACATACCAGATATGTAAGTAAAGCAGTTAGTTCAATGTTAGTAAGAGTCAAAGAAAAAAACAGAGCCAGAAAGGAGGATAGGGAATAAACAGGTAGGTCTGAAAATACCCATTTCATTAGGATACTACTCGACTTTGTTCCACATTGAAATTTCCCTCTCTCAGCCACTTTGTAAACTTTGTAAAGTTTAGATTTTAGTTGTTATAATTCAATCATTCGTTCAGTAGATATTCACTTAGTATTCATTACATGCCATAAATATTAGTATTTATCACACGCAATACATAACACCATGTGTTATGGGGAGACACAATTATATAAGCCAAATTTCCTGCTTTTAAGATCACACCATAGTTGTGGGAAAAAAAAAATGTGTACCATTTGGAGATAGGAATTCTTGGAATATGTTAAACTGTTAGATTAGAAAACGTTTCTAAAGACCAGCTCCCACATTTCTTAATGTAGCCTTCAACATGAGTCCATTGCATGAACTAATGAAAATAGAAACTATAGTAGCCTTCTTTGACTGGATGGGTCTATGAATAAAGATGTAAACAGAAAAACAGTATGCTGTCTTTTAGGACAGTGTCTTTTAGGACAGCCAGTTGTTGCTGGGACAGACACTGGAAATTTCATGTTCATTCAAATCACCAAGTACTCAATATCACTGTGTTTGGCACTATCAAAGGATCAAGGTGGGAATACAATGTGGTTTCTGCCCCTAGGGAGTTTTTAGAGAGAAAAAAATTGCAAATAAAGGTGTTAGATTGTTTGAGTGGATAAAAGCTACCCTAGTTTGGGGTCATTCATGTTACTCATTATATTCCTCATCTTTACATACACAATGTATTGTTAAACTTCTATTCTGGTTTAGAGTTAAGCATTTTAAAAAGGGAAAAATTTATACCTGACATGTTTTCATGGAGAACCTACTGTGAGTCAAATACTTCTGGGCACATGGGGTTATAAGATCGGGCATGAAAAATTGTTTTCTGTCATCAGAGGGCTCATTATTGTGTGTGAGACACAATCCTGTAAGCAGACAATTACAGCACAATGCAATAGTTGCTGTGACATACTATTAGTGGATGCTACAAAAACACAAAGGATGTGAATATTGGCTAGAGGACAGTGGGAGGATCGAACTCATGTTGGTCCCTGGGGATGTAGGAGGATTTCTATAGAGAGGAAAGACCAAGGATATTTTGGGCTGAGACAAAAAGAAAAAAAAAAAACGCAATGAGGCAAGAATGAGCATACTGCTTTTAAGTGTGGTGTCTATGGAGCACTGTGGGCTGAGTGGGAGCCCTGGTTTGAAGGAAGTAGGGAGTACTGACTAGAATGCATTTTTTTAATATGGTAAGAGGAAACAACTCTGGGTTTTGAACGGGGAGTAACAGAATGAAAGTAGGACTTTAGGAACACTGGACTGATGTAAGTACGCAAGATGGATTAGAGATGGTAGAGACTCGAGTGAGAAAAATCAACTGAGCACCCCTGCGATAATCATAAGCCTAGATTAGTGAGAGAGTAATGGGAAAGGAGAGAAGGGCAGAAGCTGAAAGACAGTTCAAAGGAGGAAATGACAGGACTCAATGACAGACTGAATACTAGGTTTGAATGAGAGGGAAGAATAAAAGATAGCCTGGAAGAATAGTGATACCGGTGACAGAATCAACATAGCACTATGAACTGACAACCAGACGATCAAAGTGAGACACCACTTGTGCCATATGTCTGAAAGCTCTTCATCAGAGATACAAAGCTGAAAGGAAGGTTGTCTCTAGATTTTTCTTGCTCAGGAGTATATGGGTAAATGATGAACTCTTACAAAAAGAAGCCCTCTAAGGCACTAGCTGATGTGACCTCATGTGTCAAACCAAATTAAAGGCCCATAGAGTGAGGGTCAGCTCTGATGTCTGTACAATTTAGAACAGCAAATAGACATCAGGTTCTCCTTGTGAAGTCTCATCCAGGTCACCTATAAACCATAACAAAACATCAAATAACAATAGTTGGTAGGTCCTCAGTAAAGATTTGTTGAATTGGTCTGAGGATAGGGGAATTAACAAGAAGTCAGTGAAGAGCTGGTCTACCTCTTTAACATTGGACAGAGTGGAGAAATAACAACTTTAACAAATCACAAAGTCAAGGCCCAATTAGGCAAAATAGAATGGCCTCTTCTGAAACTCAGGTGTAAAGTGCATTGCCATGATTACATAAGGAATCATGGAGAATTTCAAACAGGGAAGCCTGTTTTATACAGAATTTGTTTCTCTACTGAAATGGTTAGCTTTGACTGTGTAGTGTTGACTACAAATTACATGTTAAGAACAGATAGTATTATTAAACATCTAGCTATCTATATATTTGGGAACTCAAAATGGAAAGAATCAGTTATCTGTGATGTCCTGAAGTAGCACTGATACATAGAAAGAAAAACATCATGAAAAATAGATCCATAAATCTAAAGTTGTGATACAGAGAGAATACATTTTTATGACTTCATTCAACCAATAAGGAAAAATTACGTTTTCTTCAATATAGGCTACTTTTTTTTGAGATCATCATAAAATAAAATTGCTACTTTTTGTTATGTATTTACTTACAATAATAGAAATATAAGTCAAATGCATTATGAACATCATTTTTTAAGTGAGAAAGGTACTTTTTGCACCTGGCAGTAACAAGATGTTAGGACTTTGCTTTGCAATAGTAAAATAGAAAAGGATTTTGTAAAATTCTGAGTTAGACACTATTGTTTCCTAAAGGGAAATACCACTAACTACTATCAGTGGTCTCTTCTCAGGAGTTAGAAAGGAAAAATTATATACTGTGAAAGAAGAGAAAATTTATTTCTCCATGGTTGGTCAAGACTAGAATTCTCTACAGAGAGAATCTTTCTGGGGGGAAAAAAGTATTTTTATGAGCTGGAAGCAATGGAGAAGGAAGCAGAGAAGCAAACAAAACAAATGACAAATGCATTTTGAGTTGGTGGTTCTAGCAGGCTGGTACTTAGTGTGATTCCCTATTCTGTCTCCAGCAATACAAAAGCTGGGTCAGTCTTTCAGCACTTGACTCGGGCTTCTGACTGCACTAGACCTGATGTTGCAAACCAGCTGCACCAAATTTATATTGTGTTTTCTATAGAGTGAGCTGAAGCAATTTGGTTCCAAGTGCCATTCTTCATGTGCTTAATTATTTTGACATTATTTTCAGAACTTTATGTTCATTTCCCTTTAGAACCAGCGCACTCTCACTGCAGCATAAGCATAGCATTTAAACTAGGTTTCCAATTAGTCTGCATCTTTATGAATAACTTGTCTTGCTCTGCCTAAATTATTCAGCTTAGAGTTGTTTCTGAAATCATGGATTATTTTTAAATTAATTGCATAATAGTGCCAAGCACAGGGCCTAGCATATGGCAGACAATTAATAAATGTTTGTTGAACAAATAAATGAGTTTCACTTCAGTCTTGGATTTTGGCCTACCTTTTCACAATGTTAACCAAATAAACTGCATTGTATTGGATGTGAAGCCACCTACATTGATACTGGTATTTGATTCATAAAACTTGCTTTGATTCATGGTTTAAGGATTTGAATTGGGAGTAAGAAGAAATTGGTATCTAGCTATTCACTTACTGGTATGATGGTTATTTTTACCTGTCAAGTTCACTGGGCCATGGGGTCCCCAAATTAAATATTATCCTGGATGTGTCTTGGAAAGATGTTTCCAGATGAGAATAGCATTTAGATCAATGAACTGAGTAAAATAAATTGACCTCCCCAGTGTGGGTGGGCACCATCCAATCCATGGAGGACCTGAAGAGATATAAAGGTGGAGGAAGGAGGAATTCACCACCCACCCCCACCCCCTGCCAACCATTTTTTTTTCCTCCCTCAATGGTTGAGCTGGGACATTTAATCTCATTTACTCCTGCCCTCAGACTGGGTTTTATACCATTGGCTCCACTGGATATTATACTTTCAGAATCAGAGTGACTTATACAACTGGCTTTCCTGGGCCCCCACTTTCAGAAAACACATTGTGGAAATTCTCAGCCTCCATAATTGTGTGGGCCAATTCCTACTGATTGTGCTTCTCAAGAGAATCGTGACCAATACAGCTAACAATTGTTTATGTTGTTCCCTTCTGAACAGGAAAAGACCTGGACTTAAAGTTATACAACTTGGGAGTAAATATTGGCTTCTAGCCTTGCTATGTTACAATAACAGAGTTTTGTTATTTTTGAAATGGTAATAATGCCTGCCAAACACCGTCGTTTTAAGATTTTAGGAGATCACACACACACACACACACACAGCAGTTATCTGTTGCTGTATATGAAAACACCCAACATGTAGTGACTTACTCACTTTTGCTCACAAGTTTATGGAACAGCTGGGCAGTTCTGCCAATCTGGACCAGGCTGGACTGATTACAGCTAGGCTTTTTTCCATGGTCTTTGCCTGGTTGTTGGCTCACTCACATGACTGACAGTTGGCTGGCTGCCAGCTACAATGATGGGGTTAATAGGGTTATGTGTTTCTATCTGTTTTTCTACTTATCTCATAGTATGGCAGATTTCAAGACAGAGAAAAATAAATGTCCCCAGTTCTCTTCAAAACAAAACTCTGAACTGGCATCATGTTTTTTCTGCCACGTTCTATTGGTGAAAGCAAGTCACAAGGGCAGCCAAGATTTGCAGAATGGGCAAACAGACTCTATCTCTTATCTGGAAGAACTACAAAGTCACATTGCAAAGTTTTGAGGACAAAGGGAGCATTAGAAAAATTGTACTCATTTTTGCAATCTACCATAATATAAAAAATTGTTAGGATATGCATAAGGGCAATAAATCAGATTTTTTGTTATTACTGTCCTGCAACCTCTCTACTTCCTTATTATACTTTTTCTTTCACTCTCACCTTCATTTTTTGTTTGCAATTTCATGGTTCTAACAAAAGAGGATGCTTAGTATTGATTAACAAAATGACTCTAGTTATTTCCTGTCAGTCCCCCAACCTATGTATATCAAGAAGTAATCACAAGGGATTGCTTTTGCAAATTTCTTGAATCTTGCAGTTTCTGAATCTTTCAGTTCCCTATTGCAACCAAGGAAGGTATAGTAGCATCATGGTTAAAGAAACAGTCTCTAGACTATTTTGTTTTTGAATTATGACTCTATCAATTTGGAACTATGTGACTTTGTGCTAGGAGGTTTATCACTTTGGTACCTCAGTTTTCTTGTCTGTGAAATGGAGTTAGTGAGATACTAAAAAGATTAAATGAGATTGTACACTATATATATGTATATATGCCTAGTCTATAGTATGTGTGTGTGTGCACATATGTGTCTTTTATATTTAAGTAATTAATTTGTTTCAGTGAGACATAAAATCATAGGAATTCTGGCCTCCCTGGTGATTAGCAGATAACAAGGCAAAGCTATTGCAGGGTGGCTGATCAGGCTCCCTCATTATCTCATACTGCCTCTACCCCCTAATCTCTGACTATGTACTGCATGTTATTGACTTTGGAGTTAAACCCAAATAGACAAAATCCAGGCATGTTAAATCTACACTTTATTTTAAAGAAAATGTTAGGCACATGAGAGGCATTTGGGAGGCTGAGGAGGGTGGATCACCTGAGGTCAGGAATTTAAGACCAGCCTGGCCAATATGGTGAAATCTGGTCTCTACTGAAAATACAAAAATTAGCTGGGAGTGGTCCCGGGTGCCTGTAGACAGAATTGCTGCTTGAACCTGTGAAGCAGAGGTTGAAGTAAGCCGAGATCGCATCATTGCACTCCAGCCTGGGCGAGAGAGCAAGGCTCTGGCTCAAAAAAAAAACAAAAAAACAAAAAAAACAAAAAACAACAAAATATATATGTGTATATATATATATATATATGAAGTCGGTACTCTTACTCTTAGCACAGGTACAGCTTGGGGAAACAATGAAACCTGCTGGAACATTATTTCTTCCTGTGTATATCAAGACAACCTAAGAAAGAATTGGGACTCCGGCGATTTCAGTTTTAAAACAGAAAGAAAAGATAATTCCTATAAAAAAAACTCACTCTAAACAAAATTACACTTATATTTTTGCCAGCATTTTATGTATGCAGTACTCCTTGCTATTGTTAAATAAAGAACAATAAACAAAACCTAACCATGATTCCTTAACTGCCATATATTTTTACCCGCTACTACACTTCTGAGAAAAAGCATATGGCGAAGTCAGACCTCATGACTAAATACCCTTCAGAGGCACATAACTACATTTAAAGACATTTCTAAGAAAGGAAGGAAGGAAGAGAAGGAGGAAGCAAGAGAGGAAGGACAGGAGGGAGGGAGGAAGAAAACAAAAAATCAGGAACAGAAGTTGTACCTCAATGTATTCAGCAAAATTTGAATTCTGCCAGACTCTTCCTTGTATTATTAGTATGTGAAACAACTAACTGATCTAATGCTGTTTACCGTCAAGTCACCTCTTCCTCTCACTTTGCATCTCTGACAAATACTAGCCTATTCACAAGTAACTCCATGATTAGCAATTCCAAGACAGCCCTGTGACCCTGTTTTCAGATTGCTTTTGAAGAGTAGCTGATAAAAATAGTAGAAATTATGACTATCATTTCCAAAAGGACTTCTCTATATGCCTGACACTATTCTAGGCATGTTACTTATATCATCCTCGTTCCTAACAACTCTCTGACAAAGTAGATATTATTCCTACTTTGCATATAGGAGAGGTTCAAGTTGGCAGCTGTTAAGAGGAGGATCTAGGATTCAAATATAGATCCCTCTCATTCCAGACCTTGTGCTTTTAGTGTGAAAATAACTTGAACACTGACATGGTATTTCTCTTTAGACTTTTTTTGTTGCCGTTAAAATACATTTTGTTGATGTTAAATACATTCATTTTTTGTCTTATCCAGAGCATTCAGTCACGTTTGTTGCCCTCTTGTTAACTCTCTCCACATTCTCTGCATCACTCTTTTAATAACTGGACCCTGATTGAACATAGCACTCTATCTACCCTATAATAAGTAAAGAGTAGATAATCTTATGTTTTCAACATGAAATGTTCTTTTAATATTCCTCCATTTACAATAGCAATCCCACCTCCCAAACCGCCATTAGCACAACCTTAATTAACATCTATTTAAAGCAGTAAAGCAAGGTCCATGAAATAGATATTGAGCTATTGTTAATCACTCACAATTGGGTACTCACCTAATTAGAACAAATACTAAAATATATAATCTAGTTCCCTTATTTCTTTCCTGGAAAAATCAATGAAAAGTACATTTTAAAAGTAAGATAAATTTGTATTCTTCCTGATGTTCTAACTATATTAATGCCAGATCTAAGACTATTAATTAAGACTGACAAAATGTATTTTTCTAAAAGTTTTATAATCCCTGATAACATCCCATTTGTTCACATTGTTTGAGGTACATTGAAAAAAATAAGATCTTATTATCCCAGTTTCTAGGGTCTATTGTTTTATTTTCATGCAAACATAGTACATAATTAAATAATGTATTTTGCCTAAAAGTTATTTAGAAAATCGTTAGTATACGCTTTTGAGAAAAATTTCACTTTTCAAGAAAATAAAATTGGATAATACAAATAACCCAGAGGTTAGACGCCAAAGGCAAACTGGCACTGCTCTGCCACATGGCTCAAATGCAGCATAAAATATGTTTTAAATATAACCATGTAAGAAAGCACATCCTTATATAATTTGGGAGCTATATATACTCTTTTGGGAATTAATTATCAAATTATAAATGATCTCTTTCTACAGAAAGATGCATTTAAACATCTATTTTAAAAATGATTAGGGAAAATCACTACTCGTGCCAAGCAAAGAACTCCTAGCTTTGACTAAGGTAAAAGTCATTGATACATTAAGGTGTTGATAATGCCATTAGAAAGTTCTTAGGTTTTAATAGGTTGCATTTAGTTTACTGATCAGCTAAGTAGGAAATATAAAGGCATATTGCAAGTCTTTGGCAGTGAGTGTGAAGTGCTTTGTTTCATTCAGAGTAGTCTTGAACTCTACTCTGTTAAACATCTTCATAAATGATATGCAGTTGGTTGTTAATAACATTATTTAAATTCTCAGATGAGAGAGTATATCAAGCAATAAGACATCACATAATAGTACAAAAAGCCTAGAATAAATGGCCTGAAATTAATCAAATGAGATTTAATCTGGAACTGCAAAGGCCAGTATTTGATTAAAAAACAGATCCAATAAAAGTTGAAGTAAAATTAAAAATCAGTTTCAATAAAGAGATATTTTGAATAGTTAATATAAAGTTGATTTGATATTCTGTAATGGAGTTTGAGAAAATGTAAGCTGTTTTTAAAACAGGAATGAACTTGAAGTTCTTATAGTAATCATCACCTAGAAAATTTGAGTGCCAGCTGACCACATTGGGAAAGTTGAAATGCTGTGTGCATATCTGTGCCTCAGCAAAACTTCTATGATCATCAGACACTCATCCAATAGAAAGAACAAGGGGTCCCATGAAGAATCCTTGAAGATAATTGAGAAAAAAAAAAAAAGTACAGCTGGCTGAAAAGAGACCAGACTTTTTTTTTTTTTTTTTTTTTTTAAGACAGAGTCTCACTCTGTCAGCCAGGATGGAGTACAGTGGCATGATCTCAGCTCACTGCAACCTCCTCCTCCTGGGTTCAAGTAATTCTCCTGCCTCAGCCTCCCGAGTAGCTGGGATTACAGGGGTGAGCCACCACATCCAGCTAATTGTTGTATTTTTTTTTTTTAGTAGAGATGGGGTTTCGCCATATTGGCCAGGCTGGTCTTGAACTCCGGACCTCAGGCGATCCACCCACCTCAGAGTCACAAAGTGTTGGGATTACAGGCGTGAGTCACCACTCCTGGCCGAGACCAGACTTAGGATTAATTTCAACACATCCTTCAAAGGCACCAGGGCTTTCTAAAGAAATAATACAAATTAAAATTATTGAAAATAAAATCAAGAGAGCAAAAAGTAGTGGCTTAGATAGAGGAATATAATTTTGATTGTGATACAACAGGC
This sequence comes from Homo sapiens, assembly GCF_000001405.40. Classification (NCBI taxonomy): domain Eukaryota; kingdom Metazoa; phylum Chordata; class Mammalia; order Primates; family Hominidae; genus Homo; species Homo sapiens. The sequence continues at coordinate 71,839,666 of NC_000001.11, forward strand.
TGCTTCTTCATTTGCAGAGTTGGGCATATTATTTGCAAATATTCCAGAGGATTTTATTTTAACCAGGACATTTAAACTACTCTTCATAAAGCAATCTCCACCCTTATTTCTGAAAAGATTTTACTATGTTTTTGGAGAAAATCTATTCACTTCAAAGTGCTTCTTTTGCAGTAGTCTTAGAGCTTTCACATTGTCATTCTTTGAAGGACATGCTGAAACTCGAGTTACATAATTACAGCTTTACAAAATAAGTCCTCTATTTTGAGATTCTTAGTGGCGATTTCTTCTTACTAGTATTAGAATAATGGAAACATAACATAGCTGCAGGTGACGATGTAAAATAGATACCAAACAATAATGTAATAAGGCTTTTCCATTTTTATCAAATGTGATTATATGCATTATCTCCAGAGCGGATTTCTCTTTTTCTGTCAATATAATTCCTGGAAGTGCTTGCTTTACAGGACTATAGAAGTGGGATCAGTTTGAGTTTCCCTATCATACCTGATTTAAGTGAATCAGTAAACATTGTACATCAAAAACATCTGTAGGATTATGAACAGTGAGCAAAATATAGTTCAACAGCTGCAAATATGCTTAGAATTGTGCTGCCATAAACACTCTAAAGTGTTCAGAATTACCACATCATTAGAGATATGTTAAAAGTAAGTATTTGTATGTGTTCCAAAGTTATCTTTTATTTCATCTCTAGAATTGAAAAAAAAAGATATATCTAATAAGTAGATACACCCAGTTATTGTGGTTCCTTCAAGGGTCTGTGTCCTTTGCCTACATCATTAATAAGTTTCTGTGGTATATCAGATGTGGAAACAAAAGCTTTATTCTCTTTCTCCATTGTTATACTACTGATAAATGGTTTTATATTCTTAGCTTAATTTTTATTTTAAAAATGTAGACTTCACTCTACTATATAAAAGTTATGATACTCAGAGTAATCAAAACCTAAAAAGTTCCAGTGGATAAATGAACATCTGGGAAACTTGGAATGCTATAAATAGTTTTGTGCCACAACAAAACCTGTGTCATGATTAATTTTATGAGTCAGGTTGACTGGACCGTGGTACCCAAATATTTGGTCAAACATTATTCCAGTTGTTTCTGTGAGAATGTTTTGAAATGAAATTAACATTTAATTGGAAATATTTTAAATAAAGTAGATTGCCTTTTATAATATAGGCGGGCCCCATCCAATCAGCTGAAGGCCAGAATAGAACAAAAGATTAACCTCTCCATGCAAGAGAGAACTCATGGCGAGCAGCCTTTGGTCTTTAACTACAACACTGTTCTTTCCTGAGTCTCCAGCCTAGCAGGCTACCTTGAAGATTTTGGACTTGCCAACCTCCACAATCACATGAACCAATTTCTTAAGGTATATCTCTTTCTCTCTCTCTATATATATACACATCCTATTAGTTCTATTCCTCTGGAGAACCTTGACTAATAAAACCTGCAGGACCATCAGGCAGTCACCCAATAGAAGGATCAAGAGATCACATGAAGAATCCTATGAGAAGAGGATAATATAAAACATGAATGTCTTCTCAATTTCTGCATAATAACATAATTTTCAAATATAAATTTACATATAAATCTATTTTATTTTCAGATGACGTTAGGTCTCCTAGGCATGGGAAAATATAGTTACTTGCTATAATTCCAGTATTCAATAAACAGCTTTTTAAAGTGTATAACCAAAAATTAAATTCGATTTACTAGTTCATTGCACATCATGTTGTCAAACCCCAAATTTGAAAGACCGATGCATAGAAGCATTTATCCTGTGTATAGCAACAATTATCTAGTCGCAATTGTCTAATCGCATCCTGCCTTTTCAGTTATGTTTGTACATATTTGTCCCCCACTGGGGACAAATACACTGTCATGTCAGTATAATGTGGTGGTTATGAGTACCCATTCTGCAGCCACACTGGTGGAAAGATTAGGTAGCCTCTCAAACCTTCCAGTTCCTCATCTTCAGAATAAAAAGAAAAATCTCTACTTCACAGCATCATTATAAGGATAATGTATGCAATGTTCTTAACACAGCATATCGTAGAAATACAATTCTTGCTTTTAGTCTCTTTAAAAGGCAAGGATAGTGTCCTAAAAGAAAAGAATACATTTTCTTCCCATAGATTACCTGGTTTAGTGCTTTTTATATTGTCAACTAGTTGGTAACTATTGACAGTAGTTCCCAATTATTGTGTGTTGATGATATGCTAGATTGAATTTTTAAAACTGTCTCAAAATTCCTTCAACGTAAGTATCTTCATTTTTGGATGAGGAAGCTGAGGCTCTGATCACACACTGCTACTTAGCAGTAGAGGCAGCATTTAATTCAGTTCTAAATAAAAACTGTGCTCATTTTGCCTTGCAACTCATTGTCATTGCCTATTAGATGATTGGTAATAGACATTTGTTAGCTCAGAAGTCACATGGGAAGTTCCCATTGATCATGATATTCTGTCCTTTTATTTCCTTTTCATGCTGCTTGACGATCTGGCTTTGTCACACTTTGGGAGCTAGAAGCCTGGCTATTCTGGCTTGTTAGACAGTGGAATAGAGTGAAAGGGAAGGTTATGAAAGTGTCTTCCCTGGTGATTCTTTTGAAGGGGAAATCCACTACCTATCCATTGAGCTTAATTTTTAGATTCATCATGCTTAGACAAGATACAAACTCATCATGGACAGCATCTATCTTTCAATGTCTGTTTCCAGGAAGCTGGAGATACATTTTGTTTGTTCTGAAGATTCTTTAAGCTCCTTAAGTCTAGGATCTTAACGAAATAAGGAGCTATTAAGAAATTTCTCTAAATCTTTAAAATATTTTTCATTATAGTTAGTAAATAAACAGTATAGATGGAGAAATGTCTTCATCTATACTGTTAAACATGTCTTCCAATTTTTCATAGAACACTTTCTTGCATGCATTTTAGTTACAGCATTGTTGCAGATTTTGTGTGAAAGGAAATCTTGAAAACATTATTCTAGTTCTAAATATTAATTCCAGTGGGCAGTGATTTCCTCTATTATCAAACACCTTTCAAATTCGAGGAAGTAAAACATTTGATTTCTAAGATGTGCCTAACAATGTTATCATTAAATTAACATCATTATCGTATATCTTAACTTAGCAAGCTCTGTTATGGAGTCTATAAACATCTTTTGCAACCAAAGAATCTGTTTTTCTCCAATACAGAATGTTGTCACCAAGTTAAAAGTGAAAGGACCCTATTATCATTGGGGAGATAGAGGATTATAACACTTTCCCATATTCAGGGTAATAGCACTATTTTTTAAAAAACTTAACTTCTTTGGGCAATATTTCTGCCTTTTTGATTTTGTGAAATTATTTTACATTTTTAAGGGAAAGTAATCATGGCATTGCCTCAAGTGTCACATCAGGTACATCCAAATGGCAAATGAATGTCGTTATAGTGCCCATTAGGGAACTCACTTTGATTAAAGAGGACATCCATGCCCAAGGACAGCGGCTGTCATTAGTCTCCAGGCTGCAGCAACATCCTATTTGTGGCAGGGGATGGAGAAAGGCTTGTCCTATTGCACAGAAACAGGGGCTCTCTAGATCTTTGGAGATAAATAGACTTAGCTATGGAAACAGAACATTAAATTGAAAGGCAAGCCAATAAAAACAAAGCAACTTGAAGTATATCTGGGTCAATTTAAAATAAGTCCATTTCCCATTAGGCAATAAGAGAACAGAAGTCGAGGCTATTGACTCCTGTGCACTGAAATGGTATCAAACCAGGTGATTTTTCCCAGTTACGTGCTGACTGAGACAAGTCCACTAAGCAAGGGGTTGTCAAAGGCCAGGTCTGTATCCTCTATCTGTTCCTAGTGTTAGAAGGGCTTTATCTCAGAACAAAATAGATTCTGAAACTTAAGTTACATTCTGTTATCACAGGAGACAGTTGATAACAATTGGGGTAGTAAAACATTCGTAATAGTTTTAAAGATGAAATGAGAAGAAAATAGTCTCATCAGTGAGATCCAAAATGAACTCCAAAGCAAGGACTTATGAAAATAAATTCTAGCTTAGCATTTAAAAAATCTGAAATTGACCTATTTTTATACCTCATTGTTTTTCTAATTAAAAAGGCATGAGATTCATTATCTATTATGAATAGAATCGCTCCATTAATTCAATATTCTAGTGAAATCTTAACATGTCTAATTGGCAGGAAATGTAAAGTTCAAAATTTGTGGACATGACAGCATGCTAGGGATATGAAATATCTCTCTCCCTACATTTGTTTCAGTTTCTCCAGAAAACCAGGCTAGCCTTCTTTTAATTGAACTGGAGAGGGAGGTAAAGAGAGGATGTCAGACCAATCCCAATGATAAGTGTCACATCCAATTGCCACCCTTACCAGAGGGAATAAAATTAGGTTAAGGGGACAGGTTCTGTATTTTTAAAAATTACCTGCCATGTATTTTTCCCCAAATGTCAGGTAGCAGCCTCTATTAGAGGTATACCATTAATCAAACTAATGAGAACTATGGATGTAACCATCCCTTAACAAAGACATAATGCCTCAATGGGGAAAAGAGCAGAATGCAAGAATTTTATGAAGTGGGCCTTCCTTTGTAAACACTTGTGTTTGAATCACACCATAGTGTCCAAATCAGGGCCTCCTGATCCTGACAACAGTGTTTAATGTTCCCTAACAGAGAGGGTCATAATACTGAATCAAAATCAGTTTTACTTATGGTTTTAATGGAAAAAATAACATTTGATTTGCCACAGTAAGGCATTTCAAAGCCATTCTTAATGACCTAAATCTTACTGGTGATCCTTCAGGTTTTGAAGAAGCTGCTGAAAAGAGAGGAAGTATTTGTAGGAAACTACAATCCTGCCAACAGTGTTCACATGGAAGCTGTCCTTGACCCGTTTGCACGTATTGAAACCACTCTGAGTTCTCCTGCTTTATTGTTCAATCTAGACTAGCAGGAATGGCATAAAATCAGGATACTACGCCTCAGGCTTGATAAGAAATTAGTTTCTCACCAGCCTTTTCAAACAGCTCAGGGTGACTTCAGTAGAAGAGAGAAGCAAAGAGTTTGGAGATTAAAGGAATGAGAGAAGTCAGATCACTAACACATGGTGACTGGCCTTGGCCCAACCCCAGGACAGAGATTGTCTTGTCTTCCTAGACATCCTGGTGGACATCCTTGAACAGACAGGCCTGCCCAGGGGGACTATCCAGGATATAGTCAAGAAAGTGCCTTCTATAGGAGTTCAGATTTGCAGACAGAAATTATTTCAGGTTTTGAACATATATATTAAAATGTTTTCTTAGTATGAGTTAATCTGAGGTCAAGGCAAATAGAGGTTTAATGTTAGGAATAATAGACAATGGTTCTTTTTCAAACCAATCAGAAATTGTTCTTAATAAATAATGACTTACATCATTTTAATTGCACAGTATGCAGTCACAAGGAAACATTTCCTGTGTTAATTTCTACATAGCGCTCAGAGAGTGTAGCTTAATTTTTGTTTTTATTTTTGATAAATAACTATAGAATTTTATATATCTACACAGAATATATTTCATAAATAAGTGCATAAATATGAAAGCATAAATAGTAACCAATTTGTGCATAAATAAGAAGGCATAAATCATAATCAATTTAATAAGTAATTAAAGTTATTATTATATTTAAAAATCAGATCTTGAGATGGGTAGGAGATGGTAAGAAAAAAGAAACAAAGTCCCACATAATGGACTCCATGAAGACTTTTGTTCTCAGGGGAAATCAGGCTGCCCCAATTTCTTCACCAAGTATCACCAAAATTAAGTAATACTAATGAAACTAAGTACTTAGAAATAATATTTATTGAGCACTGACTATCATGTCCTATTCTAAACACTTAACATTCAGCCAATTTTCACCACAACCCTACAAAGAGGTACTCTTCTTATCTCCACTTTTAAACAAATGAGAAAACTGAGGTAGAAAGAGAGTAAGTTGATCCAATTCACACAGCAAAAAGGACAATAGAGCCAGATCTATCTATCTATCTATCTACCTACCTACCTACCTACCTACATATCTATCTATTTATTTAGAGATGGGCTCTTGCTGTGTCACTCATGCTGAAGTGCAATGGCACGATCACAGCTCACTGCAGCCTCAAACTCCTGGGCTCACGGGATCCTCCCACCTCAGTCTTTCATGTAGCTAGGACTACAAGGGCATGCCACGGCACCTGGCTTTTTTTTTTTTTTTTTTTTTAAGAGATGAGGGTCTCACTATGTTGTCCATGCTGGTCTCAAACTCCTAGGCTTAAGCTATTCTCCCACCACAGGCTTCCAAAGCCCTAGGATTACAGGCATGGGCCACCACCCCCAGCCAAGAGCCAGATTTAAATCATGTGGTCTGACCCCAGGGCCTCTGTTATTCTCTCTCCTGCCAACCTGGAAGCCAGAAAGGTTGTTATTCTCTTCCTTACTCTAGGGCTGTCCTCTGAAGTTGAGCTGAATGGAAAGCAAGTTTCCCCCCCAACCTAATAAAAATTCTGCTCATAGAGAAGTGTTTAAATCTGATTCCTTTTCTAATACCAAGTACCTAGGAGTCCGATTAGCCACATCTATCTAACTCAACAAGAGGTCTTAACTACTTGTATGATTTATCTCCTTTGTTCTTCAGCACTACAAATACCCACCCACCCACCCACACACACACACACACACAAACACACACACAAACACACACACATGCAGGTTATGGAAGTAAAAAGATTGCTGACACATTTTCTAGGAATTGTTTCCTGGGGGAAAAAATGTGAATAAATAGTAAAGCTGACTCTCTCATCCTCTGGTTTCACTTCATCCCATACCCTTGAAGAACCCAGAAATTCCACACATATTACTTTCTAGCTGTTCTCTCTTTTCTTTACCACCCTATATATTGTCTTAGTCCATTCAGGCTGCTGTAACAAAAAGCCTTAGAATGGGTAACTTAGAAATATATCACAATTCTGGAGACTGAGAAATGCAAGATCAAAGTGGCAGCAGGCTCTGTGCCCGGTGAGGGCCTGTTCCTTATAGGCAGTGCCTTCTTGCTGCATCCTCACAGTGCGGAAGAGGCAAACAAGCTTCCTTGTGCCTCTTTGATAAATGCACTAATCTAAACCATGAGGGCTCTACCCTCATGACCTAATCACCTCCTAAAAGACCCATCTCTTGATACTGTTACATTTGGTATTAGGTTTCAACTCATGAATTTGCTAGGGACACAAATTTTCAGACCATAGCACATATTTAAACATTTAAGCATTGCAATGTTTTCTTCTCCCACAGTACTTACTCTCCAAAATGAATTCTTCTCTTTCTTTTCACATTACTACTCTGTATACCACTCCAATCAAATCCCCCCATCTCACAGTATAGACCATTTGACTCAAGTTGGCTTTGGATATCAAGTCAGAAGCACTGAGGTCAAGAATATTTTATTACACTGGGGAATAAGGCCTCATTTCATCCCCTCTGCTGTGTTGAGATGAACTGTTCAGACTGTTTATTGATATTTACTTAATGATAAATAGAAATTGCATATATTTACTGTGTACAACATAATGTTTTGAAATGCAGGCACACCTCATTTTATTATCTTCCTTTCATTGCACTTTACAGATAATGCATTTGTTACAAACTGAAGGTTTGTGGCAACACTGTGTCCAGCGAGTCTATCAGCACCATTTTTTCAACAGCATGAGCTCATTTCATGTCTCTGTGTCCCATTTTGGTAGTTCTCATAATGTTTTAAGCATTTTCATAATTATTATACGTGTTTTAGTGATTTGTGATCAGTGATCTTTGATGTTACTCTTGTAATTGTTTTAATTGTTTTGGGGCACCAAAAGCAGTGCCCATGTAAGATGGCAAGCTTAATCAATAAATGTTCTATATGTTCTGACTGCTTCACTGACTGACCATTCCCCAGTCTCTCTCCTTCTCCTTAGGCTTTCCTATTCCTTCAGAGACAAAAATATTGAAATTAGGCCACTTAATACCCTACAATGACCTCTAAGTATTAAAGTAAAAGGAAGAGTCACATGCTTTAATCAGAAACTAGATTGATTAAATCAGATTAAATCACTTTAAATCAGAAACTAGAAATGATTGAGGTTAGCGAGGAAGACATGTGGAAAGCCAAGATAGGCTGAAACCTAGGCCTCTTGCACCAAAGAATTAATCAAGCTGTAAATGCCAAGGAAACATTCTTGAAGAAAATTAAAAGTGCTACTGAAATGAATACACAAATGATAAGAAAGCAAAACAGCCTTATTGCTGATATGGAGAAATTTTAGTGGTCTGGATAGATCGAATAGCCACAACAGTCCCTTAAGCCAAAGCCTAATCCACAGAAAGGCCCTAACCCTCATTAACTCTATGAATGCTGAGAAAGGTGAGGAAGCTACAGAGAAAAAAGTTGGAAGCTAATAGAGGTTGGTTCATGAGGTTCAAGGAAAGAAGCTGTTTCCATAACATAAAATTGCAAGGTGCAGCAGCAAGTGCTAATGTAGAAGCTGCAGCAAATTATCCACATGAACTAAATAACATCGTTGATGGAGATGGCTACACCAAACAACCGATATTAAATGTAGATGAAACAGCCTTATATTGGAAGATGTCATCTAGGATATTCATAGCTAGAGAGGTCAAAACCTGGCTTCCGTGCTTCAAAGGAGAAGCTGACTCTCTTGTCAGGGGCTAATGCAGCTGGTGACTTTATGTTAAAGCCAATGCTCATTTACCATTCTGAAAATCCAAGGGCCCTTAAGAATTATGCTAAATCTATACCACCTGTGCTCCATAAAGGAAACAACAAAGCCTGGATGACAGCACATCTGTTTACAGTATGGTTTACTAAATATTTAAGCCCACTGTTGAGGCCTACTGTTCAGAAATAAAATTATTTTAAAAATATCACTGCTTTTTAACAATGTACCTGGTCACCTAAGTGCTTTGATGGACATACACAAGGAGATTAATGTTGCTTTCAGGCCCACTAACGAAACATCCTTTTTGTAGCCCATGGATCAAGGTGTAAGTTCAACTTTCAAGACTTACTATTTAAGAAATATATTTCATGGCCAGGTGCAGTGGCTCACGCCTGTAATCCCAGCACTTTGGGAGGCCGAGGCGGGTGGATCACGTGGTTAGTTAGGAGTTTGAGACCAGCCTGACCAACATGGTGAACCCCCATCTCTAATAAAAATACAAAAATTAGCCGGGTGTGGGGGCGCACGCCTATAATCCCAGCTACGCAGGCGGCTGAGGCAGGAGAATTGCTTGAATCCAGAGGTGGAGGTTTCAGTGAGCCGAGATTGTGCCACGGCACTCCAGTGTGGGTGACAGAGCAAGACTCTGTCTCAAAAAAAAAAAAAGAAAAGAAATACATTTCATAATGCTATAGCTGCCACAGACAGTGATTCCTCTGATGGATCTGGGTAAAGTAAATTGAATACCTTCTGGAAAATATTCACCATTTTAGATGTCATTAAGGGCATTCATGATTCATGAAAGAAGGTCAAAACATCAACATTAACCAGAGTTTGGAAGAAGTTGATTCCACCCCTCAAGGATGACTTTGAGGAGTTCAAGACTTCAGTGGAGAAAGTAACTGCAGATGTGGTGCAAATTGTAAAAGTACTGGAATTCGAAGTGGAGCCTGAGATGTGATTGAATTGCTGTAATCTCATGATAAACTTGAAAGATGAGTTTACTGTTACGGATGAATAAAGAAAATGATTTCTTGAGATGGAATCTACTCCTGGCGTAGATCTTGTGAACACGAAATCACAGTAAATAATTTAGAGTACTACATAAATTTATTTGCTAAAATGGTACCAGAATTTGGGATTAACTCTAATTCTAAAACAATTTATATTGGCAAAATGCTATCAAATAGCATTGAATACTATAGAGAAATATGTTGTGAAAGGAGGAAGGGTCAATCTATGTGGCAAACTTGCTTGTTTTATTTTAAGAAATTGCCACAGTCACCCCAACCTTCAGCAACCACCCCCCATCAACATGGAGGCAAGATCCTCCACCAGCAAAAAGGTTACAACCTGATGAAGGCTCGGATGATTCTTAGCATTTTTAGCAATATAGTATTTTTTAATTAAGGTGTGTACATTTTTTTAGATACAATGGTACTACACACTTATACTCTACAATATAGTGTAAATATAACTTTTATATGCACTGGGAAACCCATAAAAATGTGAAAATGTGCCACCAATTTATTGCAATATTTACTTTATTACAGTGGTCTGGAAACAAACTGGCAATGTCTCCCAAATATGCCTGTATGTATACTTTATGGAATGTCTAAACAAACTAATTGACATATCCATTACTTACATACCATTGTGTGTGTGTGTGTGTGTTAAGAACATTTATAATCTACTGTCTTTTTTTGTTTGTTTGTTTGTTTGTTTGTTTGTTTGTTTTGAGATGAGTTTTTGCTCTGTCATCCAGACTGGAGTGCAGTGGTTTGAGTTTGACTCACTGCAACCTCCACCTTTTGGGCTCAAGCAATCCTCCCATCTCAGCCTCCTGAGTAGCTGGGACTGTAGGCATGAGCCATCATGCCCGGCAAATATTTATATTTTTGTTAGAGATGGTGTTTTGCTATGTTTCCTAAGCTGGTCTTGAGTTCCTGGGCTCAAGCAATCCTCCCTCCTCAGCCTCCCAAAGTGCTTGGATTACAGCACGAGCCACCACGCCCAGCCAAATCTATTGTCTTGTCAAGAATATGTCTTAATTGTAGGTCAAAATAAACTCCTACACGGCCCTTTTGGAACATTTTATGCTTTACAAATTAAAATTTCTGCTAAGTAAATGAGTATGTATCAGTGATTGTATGTTATTCATTCATCTCATTTATTTTGGGCAGAATGATGAGAAATTATTTCTACATACTTTTGCTTTTTATTTTGTAATGCTTTTGTTTTTCTTGTTAACTTGGGAAAGAGAGCAGTTAAGTGGAAAAGATTTGGCATTGCCTCATTCAGATGCTCCAATATTTAAGCAATAATGTATCTAGGGAATACAATATTATTTATTATTTTAAGGTACCATTATCTATAAAGACTCTAACACTGGTTTTTGGAAATTTCCTCACTAAAACATACTTAAAAAGAAGCCCAATCCTGAAGCACTCAAGGCTGAGACTTTTTTGTGTGCTAGGAATATAGTTTACAGTAACTTCTGATTCAGGATTTAGAAAAGGGTAGTCTCATGGACCATGTGCCAGACTACCTGTATTTATCAAAATCATCCACCTCTGATAGTTTCAAGATGAGCGTGTGTTTCCTGTGGGCCTTTGAAAGTGCTGAGTTGGGCTCTTTGAGTAGAGAAGGATTTTTCCTAACAGATAGCTTTGGCTATCTACATGACAGCAAAGGAACATTTTGGCAGGAAACCACACAACGCAGCAGAATACCCTGGTTTGAACAAAATGTTTTTATGCAATGTGTTACCAGGGGAATTGGTTTTCATGTTGATATTACCGCCCACACAAATGATCCCTGGTTTATTTCCTAACCAGATGATTTTTTTCTTCCTAATATTTTACAAATACATCCTAGGTATGTTTTCTAAATAATTTACTGAACAGTTTTGATGCCTTATACTGAACCAAGAGTTTTGAGCACTGCCAGCAAGAGGTGTGCTAAAAATGCAAATTTTCTTTTAAAACTCATTTAATTTTTAAAATTATTTTTACTACAGTTATGCATAGCACAATCGTTGTATTAGGAAATAACACTTTTTAATTCATGTATTTCTAATTTCATTCAACACAATTTTATAAGCTCCAACTATGCACAGGGATCTGCACAATCAGCAACACACTGATCTTGTTTAGTAAAAGAGATTTTTAATGCAAGGTTAGACAAGAAAAATATGGGTAAAATACCACGGTAGCTGATTGGAGGAAGAGATTACTTCTCATGAAGAGGGGCAAGAGAATCATTACAGAAACTGTAGCATTTGAGTGGGATTTTAAAGTAAATTCTATTTACTTCTTTGTTTGCTCATTAAAAAAAATTATGTAGTATAGTAAACAGTTTTATTAAGATAGCAGACTCTATATTTAAACCGTGGATTTATACTCTAAGTTTACTAATTAATTAACAGTTTTTGAGTTTAGACAACTCATGTAATTCACTTCCCTTACTTGTAAAATGAAGGTAAAAATAGTTCCTTTTACACAAGGTTCTTGGGAAGATGTATATCCTATTTACATGTGTATTCAGGAAATAGCATAGCAAAGTATAAAGGGCACAGACTTTGGAACCAGAAAATACTGTATTTGAATTATAAAGCTATCCTTTACCATGTAGCTACTGACAAACATTTAAACTGTTTCATCTTTTAAGTGATTCTTACTTCCATACATCGTTGCAAGGAGTAAATACTAGGTATAGTCCCTTAAAGAACAGGCAGAAAGTCAATGCTACATAATAAGAGATTGCACTGGAGACAGACAATGGGACTACATGTCACAGGACCTCAAAATCCAGGCAACATAAAGTGGTCTAACTCTATAGACCAGAGTTGACAAGCCGGCAGCTTGCTTTTCATATTCTGTCAGAACTGTGTGAGAACAGCAGATACAAATATTTTGTTTGGCCACACAGTGTCTTAAAAGTTAGAAAATTTAGTATATTTTTTCATCAAACATTAAAAAACCCATATTTCAATATGAAAAATATGAAAACAATCAGCTATACCTAAGTGCCTTCTAAATCTTATCTGGAGCCTACGCATGCCACAATCTCTAGCACTCCTGATTGTCTTATTCTATTCACTTTACTTATTTTATTACCGACCTGGCCTTTTTAGGAACTTGAGTGTGCAACATTTCCAGACAATAGACCACAACTGTTTTGTTTTGTTTTGTTTTAACAGAGAACGGTTTGCACAGATATTTTCAGGAGTATTACACCTTTGTAATTTGCAGATTTCAATTAGAAAAAGACAAGACTGGAGGCAAGTGAACACAAGGTTTTTAGTAATACAGATGAGAGGTAAGTAGGTTTGAAGTTAATGCAGAAATGGCCAGGAAAAAAAAAAAAAGCTGATGTGAATGTTATTCCAAAGGAATAATCAGAAGGAATTTGCTAACTGACTGGAAAAAATGGACAAAGAGGAAAAAAAAGAGAAAGAATGGTAAAACTAAAGAATGGAAAACGCTTGTAATAGAAATAGGACAAACCAAAATATGTCTAGAGATCACAGAGATTTCAATGTGTGGTATAACGAATTTGGACATTTAAAGTTAAAGAAATTTCTAATAGTCATGAATCATGGGGAAAATCCATGTTGACCCTCAGAAATATTTGCAGGCTCTAATCAGTGACAATAAACTGTGAATTTTCAGGGAAAGGATTGGAATATTATATTCTTATATCTATTTGTGTAATTTCAGAGCTTGGTAAAGAGTATGCCCTCAGTGTTTATTGAATTAAATTACACGGAATATGCATAATTTTTATCAATCTTGAGAATGTTGGTATATTTTTACAGATGCTACTCATAATTTGCTACAATTAAAAGGTAATAATTTGCCATTTTCAAATATACAGCATAATAAATTTTCAGATACAACTGTGTTCTTGTTATTCCACGTAAAGAGATGACATATAGGATTTAATGTGACATTGCTTAATAATTATGCGATTTATAAGCTATGTTTAGAAGTCCATTAAAATATATATGTTAGTGTTGATATTTTTACAAAGACAATTGTGTCCAGTATAATTGAGCAGAATTCTTCCAAACCGTGCCTTTGTCTTGAAAAATGCCATGAGCTATGTAGCACACTAGGGATTTGCTTCATTCAGAGTAGTTAAAAAAAAGGCAGAAATTAGATACTCTCACTAGAGAAAATTGAGGCTGACTGAATGTATATTGATTCTTTTTAATTCATCCTTCTGTGCCTATGAATTTACAGGCTTTCTGTCCACAATAGACAGATCCAGAAAGGGTCAAGAGACAGTAGAAGAAAGCAGCCATAAAGTTTTTGTTATCATAAAGTTTCTGACATTTATTTACAAAATTTTCAAAAGTTGTGCTGTTATTTGGACAGGATTACATTTATAAAGCGGTTCTCACTTTGGTTATTAGCATTGCTAGACGTCTGTTTTAATATGAATGTGTTTAGTTCAGAGCAAAATGGATCAATTATGAAATGTGCAAAACAAATTATTAGGCTTGAGTTGAAACTGGTCGTTTTAAACCCTCAGCACAAAGAGCAGAATAATTTCCAGGTGAAATGTTGTTGATTCTGTATTCTTGTTTGTTGAGGATTTGATTTTTATTAAGCATGTTGCATTAAAAAAGTTAATTTAATGTCATGTATATTTACTTTTACACATTTTGTTCATTTTGCTTTGCCCTATACCTTGTCAACCAGGCAAACCTATGTTCTCTTCGAAACTTTCCTTAAATCCTCTTCCATCAAAATATTTTTGGTACCTTTTACATACTTCTATTTCTACATTTAGAACACTGACTGCAAATTGCTCCCCCTGTGAGCTCTCAAATTACTTCCCCTAACTATGTGCTCTTATACTTCGGGCCCAAATTATATTAATTTCTATATATTCTCAGAATATAGTACAGTGCCTAAAATATAGTAGGTCCTCAATAAATAAATTTTAAGCAAATTAGTGAGTAAATGAAAATACATTTTTGTACCCCACATCTAATACAGCACCTGATATTTAGAAGATATTTTTTAAAAAAACAGATTGAACTCAATACTGTAAATCAATTGGTCAGTCAAAAGGTGATGATAATTATAATCGTATTAGTCCACTCTGATGCTGCTATGAAGAAATATTCGTGACTGGGTAAGTTATAAATAAAAGAGGTTGAATTGACCCACAGTTCCACACTGCTGGTGGTGGGGGCGACCTCAGGAAAGTTACAATCATGGAGGAAGGCAAAGGAGAAGAAGGCACCTTCTTCACAAGGCAGTAGGACAGAGAGAGAATCGGCGCTGAGCAAAGGGGGGAAAGTCCCTTATAAAACCATTAGATCTTGTGAGAACTCACTCACTATCACGAGAAAAGCATGGGGGTAACCGTCCCCATGATTCAATTACCTTCCACCAGGTCCGTCCCAGGACACATGGGGATTATGGGAACTAGAATTCAAGATGAGATTTGGGTGAGGACACAGCCAAACCATATCAATAATCTTAGGTATCAAAACAATGTCCATCCACACCAAGACTCAAGCAATTGTGGGGCATTCTGTAACAGCACAAGGTCAACTATATAAGTCTCTGAGTTCACCTTTCTGTTGACCTGTGAGTTTTGATGCTTGAATTTAAGATCCTCTACACTTCTTATCCTTAAATACTCCCCAAACAGTATCACGTTTAGGCATGTAGAAGTTCTATAAATCACTTTCATTGCCCAAAGTCCTTCTAGAAAAATCTAACTCTGTTGTATATTTCCCCATAAGCAGTCTGTCAGGTCGAACTGCAACCCGTTTTATTTTCTTTCAATAAACTCAAATCCCTGACCTGCCAAGTGGTTTTCCCTGATGAACTATGAGGAAACTTCATTTTTTTTCACCAGTGAGATTATTTGGAAGACCCTTAATAATTTTTTTTCTTACAAAATGGAATAAATGAATCTGAAGTCTCCTCTCATCCTAGGAGAAAAGCAGTTGATTTATGAAGCAG
This sequence comes from Homo sapiens, assembly GCF_000001405.40. Classification (NCBI taxonomy): domain Eukaryota; kingdom Metazoa; phylum Chordata; class Mammalia; order Primates; family Hominidae; genus Homo; species Homo sapiens. Next base: position 71,855,425 of record NC_000001.11, read on the forward strand.
AAATAGGCAACTCAACTCTGGAGGAGGCTGCCATAGCCATTTAACTTCTAGAAGAAAAATAGGAAGTCCTTTATAGGACATGTATATTGGCATTTGGAAGATGTTGAAAAATTAATTGAAAAAGAGGTTTCATACCGAGACCTGGAAAGTATTGAGAACAATAAGCCTATTATTTTGATTATGCTTAATTATCCTTACGGTACAGTAACCATAGCTTTGAATTATGCATTCTTAACAGTCTTAAAATTAATAATGTTCTGTTGAATTTTCATTACACTTTTCTTTTAAGGTGCTCAAAGCATTTTAGAGAATATTAATGTCATCATGAAAAAAAATCATTGTTTTAATAGATGCTTTGGGTGGCAATAAGGTAAAATTATTTCTATTAGGAAAGGTTGAATTTAGAAAAAATATATTCTGAGCACCTTATGTTGGAGTATGTTAGAAATTTCAGACTTAAATATATAATTATGGACCGTGATTCTAGTAAGCATACATATAATTGCATTCTAATCTACAGCCATACCACACAACTCCTCTGCCTGCCCTCAAAAATGCCTTCTTACAGTTATGTGTCTCAGCATGCTTTATTTGCTATGTAGGCAACACTTCTTAATCCCATTCCCATGAGCCCTTCTGACTGAGATTAAGAATGGGGCAGGAAAAAATGTAGATATTTATTAAGGGTCTATGTTCAAAATATGGAGGCCAAAATAATGAGTGAAAAATAGTGTCCATTTTCAAGGAGTAGATGGTCTAGTGATAAGACAGTCATCTATCCAAGTAAGTGCCCTACCAGTCGATAGATACATAAGGAAATATAAGTTTATAAGGAGCCATCTGTACAGAATTGATAAATTATGAGAAGCAGCCTCCGTTTGAGGAGGTGCCATAAAGGAAATCTTCATGAAAGAGTGAGTTATCCTATGAGTAAGCACATGATGGCAGATGAAGTGTTATACCATTCACTTATTTATCCATTAATTTCACCCATTTTATTTATTTATTCATTCATTTAACAAACATGTGTTCTCTATTGTGTGTCAGATACAGTGACTAGAAAGATATAATTCCTTCTTTAAAGGAATCACAGTCTAATATACCTCACAATATGGAAACAGAGAGGATTTTCACCTAACAGCTCTTGGCATAGGTAGGAGAATGTTTTGAACAGGAAGTGAAGCAATAGTGAGATAAACAGAATTCCAGCATTATTACAAATATCATCTGTCTACCCATCCATTTATTCTTTTGTCCATGTTAACATTTATTGTCTGTCATTATGCTAATTGTTGCATAAAAATACTCTACAAAACCCCAAGTTCGAGCTCAAATTTCAGCTGCTCTATGAAACATTCAGGATCTAAAGGAAACCCTTCATGCCATATGAATTATTTTCTTTTTTAACAGTGTCAACCTCACTAGGATCTGCTGGCATATGGTTCACATTATCATGAGTTAAGTCAAGATATATATGTTTTCATGTATCGTATTTATGTTATAATAGAAGAAGCAAAGGACTTTGGTGTTCAAAGAGATGGATTTCCATTCTCATTCCTGTATTTGCAGGCCCTTTCAGCTTGGGCAGGTGTCCCAGACTTAGTTTCCTTGTATGTAAAATGAAAAGAGCAAATGATATCGCACTGAGATGACTTGCAAACAGGAAATCATAGTGAAAATGACAGTGGTTAGTGATTCTTTCCATTCAACTTCTGAGAGACTGTAAAAGTCTAATATTGCATTTGAATACAATATAGACTTCATTGCTGTAAAAGAGAACATGAGTTTTGGGAAGAGTCCTATGTTAGAACTCAAAAGAACTACCCTGTAATCTTGGTTCCAAAACTGTTTGTTGTAATTTTCCTGAGCCACCATTTTCTCATCTGAAAAATCTGACCACAAACAGGCCAGGCACTGTGGCTCATGCCTGTATTCCTAGCACTTTGGGAAGCCAAGGGAGGTAGAGTGCTTGAGCTCAGGAGTTTGAGACCAACCTGAGCAATATAGTCAAATCCTATCTCTACAAAAAATACAAAAAAAAAAAAAAAAAAAAATTAGCTGGGCTTGGTGGCACACACCTATAGTCCCAGCTACTTGAGGATCTGAAGTGGGAAGATCATTTGAGCCCAGGAAGTCAGGTTGCAGTGAGCCAAGATCACGCCACTGCACTCCAGCCTAGGTGACAAAGTGAGATCCTGTCTCAAAAAAAAAAAAAAAAAAAAAAAAAAAAAATTGAACCACAATCTTCCTTGGATTCGTAAGAGAATGTATGTGAAAATGCTTCATCAGTAATAAAGCTCTACAGAAATATATGGTGCTTTTATTATCTTTTGACTGTGATATATTAATTCTATTTAGCTTGGCTTCAACAAAATATACATTTTCTTTTTGTCTCAAATATTGTATAAATTCTATACAACCCTACAATTTCTAGAGAATCTAACTGATGGGATTTGTTTTTGAAAGACTTGCTATAGAAAGCCTTTCTTCTTTCCTTTTTGCAAAGCTAAAGAATCTTGCATGATTTCCTTTCCCTGGGGATATTCTCCAGGGCATTCAATTTGGCAGGCTTCACTTTTCTTTTCAACTCTCTAACACCAAGTGTTGCAATTTGGCTTTCACTTTCTTCTACCCTAATTTCCATTTTCCTAAACATATTTTCCCTGGTGTTCTATTGAAGCGGTTATCATCACTGGTCACTCTCTGCAGCAACACAAACACATTTTTGACTAGTTCATCCTTTGGGTCTATAGCCTAGAGAGCTACTATTGAGACATCCTTCTCCTACACTTATCCAAAGCTCACAGTGAAATATGCTGTTCTCATTTTTGTTCTTCTTTTTAAACATTCCTTTCTAAAACTCAGATCTGTATCATTTAGAATGCAGTTTGCAGCTATTCCTGCAGGTAAGTTTTAAAAGCCACTATGGTTTTTGCATTAGATTAAACAGACTGCCTACAGAGCAATGCATTTGTGTAGCCGTCTCTGAACTCATCAAGAAAAACCTGAACTTCATGGGTTTTAATGGGAAATAATTATTACAGTGGAACCTTGCTAATTCATGATAGTGATGGAGAGTCCTATATTAAATTGCCAAATTTCTCAGTGATAATTGAAGAAAAGTAAAGAGAATCTAAAGGAACTTAGCTGATATTTTCCCCGTTTTTCAGACTGCCTACTTGTTCTCAATGGGACATCAAATGCAGGCTCCTTATGGAAAACAAATGAACAAACAAAAACACATTTAAATCTTAATTACTAAATACCTAATGGCTCTCCCAGCAGATGGTTATTGGGGAAAAGTTATGTAACACAAATATACTTTCATGAAAATACAAAATAATATTTTACTGCATTTCAAAATATCATTTAATTGCCCTAAACTGAATACAAGCAGTATTTAGTTGAATATCAGCCCTATATTATTATTTTTGTGGTTTTTTAAAACCAAAAATTGTACCTAAATATAGCATTCCCCACCAATGCTGCTCCTATTTTCCAAGTCCCCATTATCTCATGCCTGGTTCCCTGTAACTCTTACTAGAAGGTCGTTCCTCCCTGATTTTGGCTTTGTTCCCCATTGGTGTGTTATCAAATCAGCAGTGGAAGAAAATCCTGTTAAATCATATGTCCTATGTCACTTGGTGTTCACCCTCCAATGGCTCCCCAATTCACTTAGAATACAAATCAAAAACTTCTGATGGCCTGCAAGGCCCTGTATGACTTCTTGATACCTTTTGCCCCCATTCTTTGACCTCCTACTTCTCTCTTTCTTCCTCACTCTGCTCCAGGACATTGGTCTCTCTGCTGTTTCCAGAACATTCTGAGCATGCTCCTGTCTCAGAGCCTGGGAACTTCCTCTTCTGTTGGTCTAGTATGTTCTTTCCTTAAACGCTGCATGGCTTGCTCTCTCACCACCTCTGTGCTTTACACAAAAGTTACTTTTTGAATCAATTGTCCTCTGACCATTCTCTCTAAAACACATCCTATTCCTCTTCCACTTCCTGGATTTACTTTTATTCATACTAATTTCTAGCATCTAACCCAGAAGTCTGCAGACTTTTTCTGGACAGACACACACTGTAGAGTTTTGGTTGCAACTGCCTCTGGGTTTTGTAGCACTAAAGCAGCCATAGACAATAAATAGGTAAATGAAAGAACATGACTGCGTTCCGATAAAAATGTGTTTACAAAAGCAAGCAGTAGGGTAGATTCGGCCTGCAGATTGAATTTGCTGCCCCTAGATCCAACATAGTATGCATTTTACTTATTTTACCTCCTGTCAGCTTCTTGCCACATTTGGGGATGTCAGCTCCGCTATCACAAGGGTTTTAGTTCACTGTTTTATCACCACTGTCTATAACCATACCTGGAACACAGATGACACTCAACAAAATTGTATTTAATTGTTCAGTAAAAGCTTTTTATTCATCCATCTAAATATCAAAGTAACTGTTCCTGAATGAGGACATTAGCATTAGAGAACCTCTCATTGCACCTCAGAGAGAGTGAGAACTTCTCTTGGAGAACAACCCAAGGACCATCTGCCATACTCACAATGATTAATAAAAGAAGAAGAGCTGCCAACAGTCTATTTCCAGACCCCTACTGCTCTGCAAATTTTTGCAATATGACTGAGCATTCCATTCCAAATTCTGCGAATCCAGGTGATACGTGACCCTGTTATCCTTACAAATGCACCAAGAAGCTCATAGCTTTATGGTATATGTGTTCTTGTGTGACTGGTAGAGGGCAGTCAAAATTCTCATCATTTAAAAAAAAAAAAACAACTATTCACAAAGGGGGAGTTTGTAAGAGACAATATACGCTTGCTTGCTTGTTTTATAGCATTTCTGAGAACATAACTTTGCAAGTACCTTACAAGGTAGGAGAGATCATTTCACAGCAGAGCCATACTTTTTATTACTATCTCTTTACAGTGTGTTTTTCAGCAATCTATTCACAATCTTTGCCCAGTAAATCTTGTGAATCAGTTGATATTGTCCAAATACAGTGGGAGGTCATTTTTAGACCACTTTATGTTTTGGGAAATTATAATTCAAAATTATTGTGTGTTTCATTAGAGTGACTCTGCAACTCCAAAGTCTAATAAAATTATGTTTGAAAAATCATTATATTAGAAGTCAGATTATCACAAAATACAATGATAGATAGTAAGACTTACCTTAAATTTACTGTGCAAAAAAAAAGTGAGCTTAGTTTGCTGGGGCTGATAAATACTAAAAGCAAAACAACATGAAGCTTAAATCACATTCTTAAGGAATTACAGAAGGATAAGTTTTAGAGTTAAAAAGTCTTTGGAGATTTAAATTACATCTCCTCTCTTATGTACAGATGAAAAAATAAATCCTTACCCAGAAAGGATAAGCAATTTCCCAAGTCATAAAGCATTTCTGTGGTTGGGAATAGTGAACATATGAGCATGAAAAAATTGGAGTTTATTTTTATAGAATAGCACATCTACATAATCAAGTTAAAATAGTATAATTGGGTATCCAATGTAACCAACAGTGAGAAGAGGCCATTGAGATGACAATTACTAGTTTGCTAACGATTAAAAGCTAAGAAGTTACTCTCTTTTAACTACTGCTTATTTTCATCTCACCATAGGGAAAAAGTTATTACCTGTAAATGACAGAATATTTTATTGGATCTGTATATTGAGAATAGTGTTTCAGATCACAGTCTCTGGAGCTAGCAGCCTGGATTTGCATCACATCTAATAACTGTATGATCTTGGGCAAGTTCCTTCATCTCTTTGTGACTCATATAAAATGACTCATATAAAATGATGACACCTACCTCCTGGAGTTGTCATGAGAATTAAATGTAAAACACTTAGAAGAGTGACTGGCATACAGGAAACACCATACACTATTATTACAATCTAAGAGAGGTGGACTGCACATCTCTTTGGAAGAGTTCAGGGTACTTCTGTACTTTTTCCCTAGGGGTAGTTTTGGTCCCTTCCATGGGCAAGGCTAGGAGATATTGAAATGCCTATATGCACTGCAAACAACTAAGACTAGAATCAGATTCCTAGACCCAAAATGCAGTTGTCTTCAGACTTATTTCTTTCTCATGCAGCTTCTTCAACACCAAAGAATGCATGAGAAATAAATCTGCATGCATCTCCAGCCTTGGGTTCATTAGCACAATTCAGTAAGTAATGAGAAAGGAATAACTTGTGCTAAGAAAGATGGCTAACCTTTATAAATAAACTGATTATTCGCAAGCATAAAATGAAATTAATTTTGGATTATTACAGGGGAGACATGAGTAAACTACAGTTATTAGGAGCATAATGCAGTCACATTAATTCAAGTTAGTGAGTAATTATCACTGTTTCCATTTTTCTTTTTAACCATTTAAGAGGTCTTACTCAACACAGTAGAACAGAATGAAACAGATTTCACTGTAAGAAAAGAAAAACCATGTATTTAGATGAGGTGGCCCCTGCCAGGAGACATTTAAAAAAAATCACACCATCTCTTCAAGGACATTATATACTTTTTGCACACACAGGAGTGAAAATCTGAAGAAATGATTTCATTATGTGTGACAGAAGACACAATATTTCTTAATGTGTTAGAGAATTTGTTTACATTTTCTGTGTATTTTTCCTAAATTATATGTAATCCATATTGTTTTTCTTTTCTTCCAATGTGAATAGTAATCATCTTTCTGAATGCTTATTATAGGGAGATCTTCCTATCATTAAAAACAAACTCTTTAATCTTCACAACATGCTGGCAAGTTTATTAGAAGACGAAATTTGAACAAAAAGAAATTAAGGACATAACTAAAAAGGGTCAAAAAAGGGAAGTGAACCTAGGTTTTCTGACCCCATAGCTGACACTCCTAACACTTTTTCTTACAAAGCTGTTCTCAAGTTATCATCCCATTGCCATTTCTAATAATGTCATCACTCGCCCATTTTCAAAAACATCATAAGATAACTACCTCACTCACTCCCTGTTTCCCTAGACATCTCTTACCCAAATCTGTTCTGGACTATTAGATATTACAAAAACATCACAATTGCTTCCTGAGGTAAATCTTGGCATTGCCTATAAGTTCCTTTGCTCTGCATTTGTATTAAGGAGTTGGTGGCTTTCCTCTCCATTCTGTGTATTGTCTCTTACTCTAGATTTTATTGCATCAAAATTAATTTACTGATATATTTCTCTGGCTCTAAAGGAGGAGTATATATTTTCTAGTGCAATGCTGGGTACATCATATGCCATCAAAAATACATTTGAGGGCTAATATCCAGAGTTTACAAGGGACTTAAACAAATTTATAACAAAAAAACAAACAACACCATTAAAAAGTGGGCAAAGGCATGAACAGACGATTCTCAAAAGAAGACATTCATGCAGCCAACACACATATGAAAAGAAGGTCAACGTCACTGATCATTAGAAAAATGCATATCAAAACCACAATGAGATACTATCTCACACCAGTCAGAATGCTGATTATTAAAAAGTCAAGAAACAACAAATGCTGGCAAGGTTGCAAAGAAAAAGGAATGCTTTTACACTGTTGGTGGGAATGTAAATTAATTCAACCATTGTAGAAGAGAGTATGGTGATTCCTCAAGGACCTAGGAGCAGAAATACCATTCATTCCAGCCATCTCATGACTGCATATATACCCAAAGGAATATGAACCATTCTGTTATAAAGACACATGCATGCATATGTTCATTGCAGCATTATTCACAACAGCAAAGACATGGAATCACTCCAAATGCCCATCAATGATAGACTGGATAAAGAAAATTTGGTACATATACACCATGGAATACTATGCAGCCACGTAAAGGAACAAGATCATGTCCTCTGCAGGGACATGGATGGAGCTGGAAGCCATTATTATCAGCAAACTAATGCAGGAACAGAAGAAGAAACACTACAGGTCCTCATATAAGTGGGAGATGACTGATGAGAACACATGGACATAGAAAGGGGAACAACACACACTGGGACCTATTGGGGGAGTTGTGGGAAGGAAGAACATCAGGAAGAATAGCTAATGGGTGCTGGGCTTAATACCTAGGTGATGGGTTGATCTGTGCCCCAAACCACCATGGCACATGTTTACCTATGTAACAAAACTGCATATCCTGAACACGTACCCTGGAACTTTAAATAAAAGATGAAGAAAAAGAAATATGTGAATACACAAGTAATTAGAAGCATTAATACTGGACTTACTTCTCTTTGTTTCGATTACAGTTCCTACACACAGTTATTAAGTTTCAAAAGCAGATGGCTCCTCCTCATTTGGGAATAGACAGTACTAGTGTTCCTGAGCGCCTTAGGGAATATAATTTTGAGTGGTCTGGCAACCACCCAACGTGTTGATTATACATAATGAACAAGAGGACTGTCCCTTATTAATAGAATATTAAAATATCATTTCTTAACATTCACTAGGTGTTAATTAGTTTATACATGTTATCTTATTGAATCTTTCCACAACATTTTAAGTTGGTATTTTTTCATGCTTTATAGATTTAAAAAAACTGAAACTCACCAAAGTAAGCAAATTGCCCAAAGTCACACATCAGAATTCATATACTATGTCACATCTCTGTGACTAGAAAATTTGTTTAGGTGGCAGTAAATTATATTTTCTCCCTTAGAGATGATGGGAAGTACTCATTGGTGAATTCCCCACATGGTTGTCAGGGGGCCGTCTTAGGGAGAGGTCGCCTGGGTCCACAGGTTTCATGGTACCACCTCTTGGTATCACTCATGCTAAGTGATCTGCAGTTGTTAAGACTGTACAGCTTATTCCACTGTGGAGCACACAGGCATGCAGTTCTTGGTCACTGATGAACCCTGTAAGGAAGGTTTGTCCTGCTCCCTGCTTAATCTCAACAGACAATGTCCCATGATATGAATGGTCTAGCAGTGGCTAGAGTTTAAACTTAATAATAGCATGTGTAATTTACTGGCTTCACTGCAATCTGATTACACCTAAAAATTAGAAGGTCATCAGAGAAAAACAAGAAAATAAATTTCTCTGTAAAAGAATTGTGACTAAAGTAATTTTTCCTGATACATTGATAAATGTTGTATAGTAGGTGAAAAGGTGGCAGATGGCATTTTTTATATCCTTAATTTATTGACATTAAGGGCCCTGCAGCCTTCAAAGCACCTTCATCTGACAGAAATTAAACAAAATTCCAAAGAAAAGGGCAACACAAGACAGGAGCTATTTCCAGGGCCAAAATAGAACAGGAACCACAACAATAAATAGAAAAATCCTTCCAATAAGCACACGGTAAATAAAACATCAAAAACACAAACAGAAGAACTCAATTAAAGCAGAAAAGTTCTCAGTATTCCCCTGAAGGACATAAATATTATTATTCATTATTTATACAATGCTGTAGATGCACATGGCTTTATACAGCAAGTTGAATATCATATGAGAAACAAAAAACTGTCCTTTCAGGTTTCTGATTTAGGCACACATGAAGAAGAAAGGGAATGTATAGGCTATTTTGAAAGAAGAGAGGTACACACTAAGAACAGTTCATTGAGGCAGTTTTTAGAGAGGACAGTTTCTAACAAGTTTTTCAATGAAAAGAAGTTCAAGGTGAGATCACATGCTGAATAAAATACAGAAATCAGTAGTAAGGATAAAATGATTAGAACTTCCCAGTGGCCTCCTGATTGCCATCTTATTTATTTAGCTATAAAGTAGATCATATCTGAAATATTTTCTTAGCCATACCTGAAGGTCTTCAGTAGAGCTTTTCTAACAATTGTGTAAGCATCTAATTCCCTGTATAAAAATCTATTTGGTTAGGCACATGCACACGTATGTATATTGCAGCACTGTTCACAACAGTAAAGACTTGGAACCAACCAAAATGCCCATCAATGATAGACTTGATAAAGAAAATGCGGCACTTATACACCATGGAATACTACGCAGTCATAAAAAAGGATGAGTTCATGTCCTTTGCAGGGACATGGATGAGGCTGGAAATCATCATTCTCAGCAAACTAATGCAGGAACAGAAAACCAAACACCGCCTGTTCTCACTCATAAGTGGGAGCTGAACAATGTGGGAGCTGAACAATAAGAACACATGGACACAGGGAGGGGAACATCACACACTGGGGCCTGTCAGGGTGTGGAGGACTAGGGGAGGGATAGCATTAGGAGAAATACTTAATGTAGATGAAGGGTTGATGGGTACAGCAAACTACCATGGAACATGTATACCTATCTAACAAACCTGCACGTTCTGCACATGTATCCCAGAACTTAAGTATATTAAAAAAGAGTAGAATGCCATTGCATTCTATGAATATCATATTAATATTTTACATATGCTTTTCTTGTTTCCAATTTGTGTCTCACACATAGCAATAAAGAACTATCCTTGCTAATAAAAAAATCTATTTGTATTTAAAATATCTTGAGTGGGTTCTGTTTCCTGTATTAAACAAAGACATATACATCTTAGACATGTCTTATGAATAACATTATTATAGTCCATTGTTCTTCTGTGTTGATTATGTTATTTTCAAACTGCCAACATTTAAAGTATACTATAATTTTCCCAATTCTGGTTTGAAATACCTTTCCTTTCAACTATATAAACAAACACAAAAAAAGCCTGTAACAAAAGACACCTTTCCCTTTACTTAAAGGAAATAATAATGAGGAAAGAAAAAAGGCAAGTAAAATGTCCATAGAACTCTTTCTTGGGTTACAAAAAAACTACTTGAATAATTTAAAAATCTCTAATTGAATAATTACAACTAAGAAACACAAGAAGAACAGTAAAATATCTCCTAAGTAGACCATTAGCAATTTAGCAAAAGAAATTCTGGTTTCAGAGGAAGTATTGGAATTGTTTTTGACATAATGTTCCATAACATATCATATTAATCCATTATAATGTCAGTAAGAATAGGCTAATCAAATAATAATGAAGACCAGACACTTTCCCAACCATTTAATTCTTTCAGCATTTCAATATTCAAAAAATGATAAAAGGCAATAGCTATTTTGAATAATGTAAACTGTACTTTAAATAATGACGTAAATATCTGACCTTACAAAGTTTTTCACATTTTAATTAAAATGACTGTGATATTAAATTGTTTCAGCAAAAATTTTTCCCAATATTTTGATCCTTTAAATATGCCACTGTGTAGTAATTCCATCAACATTACTGGTAGTTATAGATTCTGAGAGGACAGGGTAACTTTTATGTTTAGCTTGTAGTTGGTTTTATGGTCAGTAAATAATATTTATAAGGGAAAACCTAGCATATCTTAACAGCTGTTGTATGTTTTATAAATAAACGTGGTAAGAAGTGATAGTATAATGTGACGCTCTCTGAATGCAGTGTCAGAAGATAAGAAAGGTTCTACATCAAAAGCTATGAATTTATTAAGTTACCTAACCTCTCCAAACTGCAGTTTTTATCTCTGAAAAGTGGGAATGTCCCTACTTCCTTTTTGTTATTGTGATTAAATGCAACAGTGTAGAAGAAAGTCATTTGTGAGGCATAAAGATTATCATATAAGTACGAATATTATTGTGCCTTTGAAAGGGAAAATACTGAAAAGAAAGATACATTATCCTGGCCGGGTACTGTGGCTCACGCCTGTAATCCCGGCACTTTGGGAGGCTGAGGTGGGCGGATCACTTGAGGTCAGGAGTTTGAGACTTGAGGTCAGGAGTTTGAAACCAGCCTGGTCAACATGGTGAAACTCTATCTCTACTAAAAATACAAAAAATAGCCAGGTGTGGTGGCCCGTGCCTATAATCCCAGCTACTCAGGAGGCTAAGGCAGGAGAATTGCTTGAACCCAGGAGGTGGAGGTTGCAGTGAGTCGACATTATGCCACTGAACCGCCACCCTGGGCGAAAGAGTGAGACTCCGTCGAGGGAGGGGACGAGGGGATTCAAATCTACTGGAATGGATAGCATTAATCAAAATTGTTTCATTATTATGCTGTGTAGCAAATAATGGAGGAATTGGGGTTGTTTACATTACAGAAATAAATACTAAAAAGATATTTAACAGTTGTCTTACAATATTTAAAAATTTGGTCAAATTGATTAAGGGGTAAGCTTCTCTTTTGGTGTTTGAGAGACTGATATGTCAACTAAGACTGTTATGATTAGAATTGCCGTACTATGAAATAGACTCCTGACCAAAATCATATACAAAATTTTAAAATTTGACCAATATCAGAAATGTAAAAAATCCAAAATATTGTATCATGTTTATTATTAATTAACTGGCTCAACCACCTCTACAATATTTATTTTCTATGAAGTAACTAGGTATTCTTTGCCTCTTAACATGATAGTTACTTCATAATGTCATTTTCTATAGAAAGAATATAAAGATTATGTTCCCTTTTCTCTTAGCAACACTGTTCAAATTTAATTTTATTATTGTTAGTTTTGGAAATATATTACAGCACACCAATTCATCATTGATTTTGTCCAGAAACTATTTTAGGATTATTATCAATTTTGGAAAAAGCTGTATTAATTTTCTATCAGATATGACCTGTTTGATATCAAGTCTTTGCTCTTTGAATTGAGGACACCATTAAACACTTTTTGGTCAATGTCTTCCTTTTAGTGGCACATACACGTTTTATATAATCTTTGTCAATGTCAGTATACCATGTCTAATCAGCAAGAAATATAAATCTCTCCAGCGTGTTTTTTAAATCTGCTACTCCTCATTACTTAGCACAATATTCCTGGAAAATATTCTCATGGCAATAACTGAAAGTAACTACAATACATGGAAACAAATGAATTACATTTAAAAATCCCACTAAATCTCAATCAAATGAATTCCCAAATCAATTTCCTTTTAAGTGGCCATTCCAATGTCTTCTAACACAAGGGAAATCATAGAAAGAAATAGCCATCTTAAACAAATGAGTTAACATACCTTACCTTAAATTAAATAGATAGATGATAGAAGATAGATAGATAGATAGATAGATAGATAGACAGAATACATACATACATACATACATACATACATACATACATACATACATGGATTTATATTATATAAATACTTTGCTAAAGTCACTTCCAGGAACTTGCAAGCTGTTCATACAAAAAAGGGCCCCTGAAGTTTAACTTTAATTACTTCATGGAAAATGCACTTTCTGTTACCAACTATCTTTCTAGGTGTTTTCTAATATCTTAATCATATCAAACTGCTTCTAGTGTATTGAAAGCTATATCCTATTTCTGAAACACACTTCTACTCCTTCCTCTCACTTATGTCTGCACTTTATATTCCTTCTTTCCTCTCTCACTGACCTAATACTCTCTTCCTCTCTCACTGACCTAATACTCTCTCTCCCCTTCCCACTTCCCACCTTCTCCCTCTCACCACTTTCCCCTCAAATACGCCTTACCCCCAATATGTATGTACATACTGGAAAACAGGCCCTTCATCAGGCTCTTTCCTCTTCAACCTTCATGATTTACAATGACCTCAATTTCTCCTAGGAATACATCATCAATTCCAAATCCTAGTTAGGAACACCTCCTGAGTGATCTCAAACATGCTCTGTGTTTCCTACACTACACCAAAAACTATAATTTGTTCATCTGCATCTTTTACCTGTTTATTTTCTGTGAAGGCAGAATCCTTTCATGACTTATTCATAGATTAATATTTAATACCAACTACCTGGATTAAATCTGTTGTTAGGTAAATATTTGCTAAATGGATGAATAGATTAGAGGAAGGAATTCTAGATGAAATTAAGTAAATGAGTTATTTAAGTCAACTAATACAAGTCCTCAAAACTTTGATTATATAGAGAGCTAAACTGATAAATATAGACAAATATAGTGAGCCTATAAATTAAAGCTATACTATGATGAAAAAATAAATGAATAATTGTGAAATAGCCAAAAATACTAAAATACAGCTATAAGGTTAAAAATAAATCTGAATAAAAAATGTAGGAGGGAAAAGTGATTACCTTACCAAAATTCTGGAAAACAGACAGATAGTCCATAAGGGAAATGCAATTAGTCTCACATTTATTTAATGTGATGGATACTGATTGCTAGATAAGGTTAACAGTGCTACACAAGGCTTGTTATTTTGAGGTAATAGCATATTATGGAAAAAGTAGCTAAACAGAGTAGAAGTTGGAAATTTTCCCAAACAATATTTGTATAGATAAATATTAAAACATAGTAACAATCATATGGAGTATATATTCAAGTCAAAAGAAAATAATTGCTCTAAAGAATAATTATTATTTTGACTTCTTATTTTTCACTTTCACTTAATACGGAAAATACTAACATTTTTATGATGATCTGTGATATTTAACAGTGGTCTTAATATATAGTAATGAGTTGCTTAAACATGTTTGGATAGCTTTTCTTTCTTTCTTTTTTTTTTTTTTTTGACAGAGTCTCCCTCTGTCACCCAGGCTGGAGTGCAGTGGCATGACTTTGGCTCACTGCAACCTCCACCTCCCGGGTTCATGTGATTTTCCAGCCTCAGCCTCCCAAGTAGCTGGGATTACAGGCGCGGGCCACCACAGCTGGCTAATTTTTGTATTTTTAGTAGAGACGGGGTTTCGCCGTGTTGGCCAGGCTGGTCTTGAACTCCTGACCTCAGGTGATCTGCCCACCTCGGTCTCCCAAAGTGCTAGGATTACAGGCGTGAGCCACCATGCCCAGCCTGGATAGCTTTTATGAAGTGTTTATAAATTGAGTATCCTGCAAGTATTAGGACAGTCAAACCAAATCACTTGCTTTAAACATTTTCAGATATTAGAATGTAGTATTGACAAAGACCTGCTACAAAAAGCTATAGTTTTTGAAATATCTATTATTTTTTATCTAAGGAATTAAAATAATTAACGCATAATTACGTTAGGGTATGCAATTTATAGTTATAGAAATGATCAGTGGGCTCTTCCTGGATATTGATGAAGTAACAGATAGTAGTTTGAAAAAATGACCATTGCTCAAAGAAAAACATCTTAAAAATTAGAAATTGGTGGATGACATTAAAAAACTGGCCTGTATTAAATTTATACTTTACTTGCACTACAATTACAGCTTGCAGGTGGGGAGTGCAGTTAAGTATAGCTGACTCATATTCCTAATTCCAGAATTTGGTATTGTAATATATTAAAGATTAAGTAATACTTTTATTATTCATTCTGTTACACTGTGTGAAATTATGTTGGCCTAGGGCTAGGTTGAAAAATCACAGACCTATGAATGTGACCATTATCTGGCTCTGTAAGTGTCTTTTTATTCATTCAAATCTGTGTGCTCAAATTTGAGTTCATATCACACTCATGAGATGTTGTTTTCATGAATGTGCTAACCTGAAGGGGTGAATGTTCAAAACACTGCAGAGCCAACATACACCCAAAATGCAATAAACTGCAAGATTTTGTATGTGCCTTGCCTTAGCAGAGTTTTGAAAATTCACCCTGAAGGCTAGAATACTTTCTTTGTAAGAATCTCAGCTTTCATACGAATACCTGGGGATAAGAGAACTGTGAGAAGCAAGCCTAATGGAAGTTAAATTCTATTGCAGGATTACATTAAGAAGGGGAGCCGAGCAGAAGTTCTTCTCTGTCTTTGAGATTGTTCTCCATCGTGTGTTAAGAATATCAAACTCCCTATTTATCATCAACGTTTCAGTGACTTGGGAGTGCAGAATATATCTTGTAAAGAAACACTTATGTAGGCTTACTAATGCAGGTGACATATTAGGCTGAGATGTAAAAAGACATAGCTCTAGGGGTGATCTCAGAAGCAAGTGACCTAGTCATTTTGGAAAGTCTCATCTCTGAAATTCCAATAGTTCTTCAGATTCAAAATCGATAGAATAGCATTTCTAGTAGACTTTTTGTGTGGACTACAATGTTTCAGGATAATATTGTCTTGTCAGGTCACCTCTTATCACACCATTTTAAATATCATGAGAAAAGTAAACAAAAGAGTCATTTCGAGCCACTTTTTCATGCGGCATCCCAGTTGTGGTGGTCACTTAATGTTCATTGCAAGCTCAAAATGTATATTAAGCAGCCCTGTCAGTTGCATACATCCTATACACCTTGTACATTTGTTGTTACTCATTAAACAGCATGCTTTATCTTGGCATATCAATACATGACAAGTTAAGCTGATCTGCACTAGACAAATTGATTCTGAAACAGGTATTGAAAGTTTAAATCAAATTGTTTTCACCTTCTTTACTGTCAACAAGATAGTTTTTATTGAGGCACAGATATATTGTTTTTTTATTTGTTTCAGAAGAAACTTAACTCTCTGTACTATCTACCTAGGGTCCTTTTTTCTATCAGAGCTCATTCATGAATTGCAGCTTCCAGTAACTTGAACACAAACAATCAATTTCTATTTGAGATTAACTGAAATATCAATTTATCCTTTCTAAGAAGAATTATGGGAAGTATTATTCACAGAGCTCCTCTTAATATTGTTTGCATAGAATCAAATACTTTCAGCAGACCAACCTTGGACTTTTAGGCTGTGCAATCTATAAAATTTAGTACTCTGGCCAGCTAAATAATACAATGGAATAAAAATAAATGATGACAACATAGGAGATGTCATAAAATTGGTGAACAACTATAGTCCATTCAATTGCTTAAAAGTTTCTAAATTAACCTTATGATAATATTATGATTAAATACTGTCTAAAACTTGCTTTGAAGAGGTGTTACATGCAGGAAGACAATGATGTTTCCCTCTAAGTACACCTAAGTGGTAGACTATGATTTTCTGAGGTGGTTTTGACACATTTTGCTGAACTAACTTCCAGTCTTTAGTTTTAGGTTTTCTAAGACATGGTTCTATAGACTATTCTAGGAATTAAAGGAGTAGTATTGTGTTGTAGACGTTAACTCTGTTCACCGCGTATTTCTGTGACAAGCCAGTTACAAGGGGCCCTGGAGGTATTATGGGCAAGGAAGTGTTGTGAACAGAAGTGATGTGTGCCACTCCCTGTTTAGGTGGAGAGCTTCTAAAGTGCTCTCCCTTTTCCCTCCAGCAAAGCATAATGTGGCTTCTCTGTCAGCCTGCATCTCTCAGTGACCATCATGAGCAAAGCGCCTCTATTCACCACGTTGGACATGCAACATGAGCAAGAAATAAAACTTGGTTATTTGAAGTCACAGAAAATTAACAGTGTCTTAAGACCACCATATAGTTTAGCACATTTTGACAGATAAAGGTTGGATTCATTTCAAATTCCAATAATATGCTGCTGGCCATACTGCTGAGAAGAGCAGTTTGTGTGAAACCCAAAAGAAGTAGGCAACAATTTATTGAAGTTAAGATTTTGATGGTACAGTAGCCAACATTACTGAAAACACTCTTTCTTGTTTGTTGCCATGTGGACATTGTTGTTCTCTCTCTTTTTACTTCATTTCTTGTTTATTTTTCCTACTGAAAATGGCATAGGAAGTTAGCGGAACCCACACTACCCTTAGACTTAACCGATGTTTCACACTCAAAAACAAAATGACCTATATTTTATGACTCAGACATACTATTTCTTGCTCTACCACTCAATTCCTAAACTGGAAAACGGTAGAAATTGGGAGGTATGTTGAAATTGAATCCCTAAAGATGTAGCAAAAAAAAAAAAAAAAAAAAAGACAAATAGAGTATTTTGAGGTTTTTGTTTGATTCTAATAGAAAAGTTCATTTATCTACATGAATAACATTTATATTTGCAAAGTAATTTGAGTTTTGGGTTTGGAAAACATATGTAAATATATAAATACATATATTAAATATATAAAGTCCATGAAAGAACATTATCTCTAAGGCTTGTTTTGCAGTGTGAAGTAGCTAAAATATTGGTTAACAAAACAAAATGTTTAAAAGGAGAAATTTTATTGTGGCATGGGATAGTGAAAATGTTTTGGAATAAAAATATTAGGTTAAGTTCCTGACCTGCAACTGGCTCGTTATATGACCCTGGACCAGTTAATGTATATAAAGTATTCTTTCCTCTCTTTAAAAGATAGGAAAATGACATCTTCCCTAATTCATAGCATTATTATACAAAATTAAAATAATGCACATAAAAACATTGTGCACTCTAAATAATCTATGTGCAAATATGCTAGAATATTCACACTTTATTGTTGTTAGTAACTTTTTCTAGTTTTCCTCTCGATTTACTCACATCTCTCCTTCTTTCCAAATAAATGGAAAAACGTTAGTAGACTATGATGGGTAATGCCACCAGTGAGTCAAGCTGTAGTGGGTGTTACTGTAATAGTTCACATTCATCATTGCTATAGTTGAAAATGAGCATTTGGATGTGGTTGAATAGTTCACATCAAAACAAAATCTCATCTGTATGACAGAAACTCTGTTGTGTTGGGCTTTGAACATAATCCAAGATACTCAAGACAGTAGCAAAATTAGGCATTTGGAAAAATCAGAGTAAGAAAGGCATTTTTCATGCTTATTTGCTTCAAAGGATGCTCTGATTTTGTTAATTGCCTGAAAGAGTGCTTCGATTTGCTATTTTCTACAAACAGTATTCTAATCTAGTTTATCCTCTGAGTTGCAGCTGTGTTCAAGTATCCTAATAGGTTTGGTGCATGCTGAACTATTCTTCTGCAATTAATTCACTTGGTTCTTCATGTGAAATGATTTACACCTATTTAGAATTAAATTGGAAGCCATTCCACTCTTGCTTATGAAGTTATTAAGACAGCTTTTAGATGACATTAATTTGCACTTAGTACCTTTTATCTAAGGATCTCAAAGCACTCTATGAAAGTGCATTATCATTAATGAAGAAAAATAGAAGAATCGAACACTGTATTTAGGAGTAATTTGCAAGGTAGGACATAAAATAAAAATGCATTCTTATTTTTAGTTGTAAAATAGTAATGGTACATATTATCTTCAGACTCAACAACACAACTTCTTATTTTCTCTCCCTGTCTAGCAAGGTTTGTGGGTCTCTATCTTCTTCAACTGCAAACTTCCACAGCCATTCATTCTCATACCTACAAAGCAACATCACCTGGGTTTTCTACTTTATGGTGTATCTTCTTCTCTATTATTAATGCCTGCTTTTTAAATATCCCAGCCTTACATTATTATTAGCCTGCTCTGAAAAGCAGTTAGGATGTGAATTTGCTTTCACTGAAGTGGGTTGAAGCCAGGCCTGATTCTTAGATGTGTTTAGCATCCTTAGATGTTCAAGTATCTTCAAATAAAAGATAGTTTACACTAAGACTTGATTTTCACTTAGTATCATGATATCACAAGTCAATGTTCTGTGGATATTGATTGCTGAGGAAACTTTTCGGTTTCCACAGCAAGTTTTTCTTTTTCTTTTTCTTTTCTTTTTGAGACAGGGTCTTGCTCTATCACCCAGGCTGGAATGCAGTAACATAATCATGATTCATTGCAGCTTCAAACATCCCAGGCTCAATCAATCCTCCTCCCTCAGCCTCCTGAGTAGCTGGGACGATAGATGTTCACCACTACACCTGGCTAATATTTTTAAATTTTTTCTAGAGATGGGATTTTGCCATGTTGCCCAGGCTGGTCTCAAAATCCTAGGCTCAAGCAATCAGCCCATCTCAGCCTTTCAAAGTGCTGGGGTTACAAGTTTCAGCCACTGTGCCTGGCCAAGTTTTTCGTTTCTATAAAAGTATACTTATATTACATCACAAATGCAAATATAAATAAAATGATACACCTTTAAAAATGCCAATCTTGTACATACAATTTTATGAGTTTCAAGAAAAATAAATCCTGGGCCCAATTTGTCCATTTTCTCTCTGAAGTGTTTATTTGCTTTAATTGTGCTGGAAAGTAGGTCTCTGATTAATACAAATGTCTTAAACTAAAACTTATAACTTGGGTACAGAATGATCCTACTTCTCTCTGTAAAAGCAGATATCTGGTCATTCTGAGTCTTTGGAATTTAGCCGATTCATGTTGTCAGTAGCAGTGGCATTTGATAATCAGGGCAGTTGAAGCCTTGCCTTTAACAGGGATGCTGAAACTGTTAAAAAAGTCTTCATGTGAATTAGAAAAGGTGCAGCTCAGTGATAGAAATTACAGTTTGATGTGCAGATACGGGCTAGATTTAAGATGTTACCTTACTCTTTCAGCCAGGCATCCCTGTGCAGCAAACAACCTGAACAATGGAATGTTTCAGTCCTGGTTTTAGATCCTAGAGACTGAAAACATCTGTATTTCAGAGGTCCTGCTTAACTACTTGAAACACTAAGCCTCAAGATTTTAATAAAGAATGTACTCAAATATCCAAGCTAACTAGGATCCTTCTCTGGAAAATGACTCTTCGCTTGAGTATTGTCTCTTTGTCTGTTTCTATTCAAAGTCAGAAGGAAAAAATGGAAAGGCTCGATGAAGATAGACCATTATATACAATCTTCATGGGGTTGTTCTTAAACCTGAGCTGTTTCCCATCAAATAAACCTAAAGTTATACTTCCAAACGTTATTTTTCTTATTTAGTCTTAATCTCTCCTCCACTCAGCTTCTGTACTCTGCTTCTCCACTGAAATTGGTACTATCTATGGTTGTCAATTTTTTAAGCTAATGAAGACGAGGAGCTCGGACTTCCTTTGGGAGGGCAGTCTTAAATTTTTTAACATATTAACTCTAAAAAACACATAGTTCTTGTATATATTATAGAATATTTTTCTTCGGAAAAGTCCAGTATAGTTCTATAATGTGCTAATTCCATGATTCTAAGCTAACAATATAAGAAACATAGGCAATTTGGGAGGCCCAGGAAGGTGGATCACTTGTGCTCAGGAGTTCAAGACAAGCCTAGGCAACATGGCAAAACACTGTCTCCACTACAAATATATACAAAAATTATCTGGTCATGGTTGCACGCTCTGGTAGTCCCAGCTAATCTAGGGGCTCAGTCAGGAGGATCACTTAGGTTGAGGTTGCAGTAAGCCATGATGAAGCCACCACACTCTAGCCTGGGCGATAGAGTGAGACCCTGTCTGAAAAAGAAAGGAAGAAAGAAGAGAGAGAGAGAGGAGACAGAGAGAGAGGAGAAGGAAGGAAGGAAGGATGGGAGGGAGGCAAGGAAGGAAGGAAGGAAAGAAGGAAGGAAGGAAGGAAGGAAAGAAGGAAGGAAATAAATTAGTCCACTATTAAGTGTTAACAGTATTAAGTGAATTCTTTCAGTTGGAGAGGAAAACTCATAGATTGGAATTGCCTGAGCATATATGTAGCATGTCAGGGAGTGGAAGAAACTGAAGTTTTTTATATTATGATCCCATATTAGGGCATTTGGAATCATAATATGTTCACTGATGGATAAACATTGCTTCTAAACTAAACTCTAAATTAGGAAGGATGAGTGATCGAATGAGATAAATCAGACCTCTGTTTTAGAATTCCCATGCTACCTGAATTTTGGAGACTGGGTCAGAATTAGAAGATACTTAGAGAAAGTATTACCTATAGGATGATGTTTGCAGTAGTTAAAAAAAAAATAGCAGTAATAGTGTGGATGGAAATAAAATGTAAAACTTGAGCAACAAAGACTGTACAGATTAGGAGGTAAAATGTGAGGGTTGCGAGTGGGAGCAAAGGATCAAAGAGCATTCAAAGCAAAGGTAGGTAGCACGACAAAAACAAAACAAAACAAAAAAAAAACAAAAAAAGGGTCTGAGAGTAAGGCAGGCAGCTCCATCTGGAGAAAAATCTACCAGGGAACCAGAACTAGTCATGTATGGCCTTAGAAGAAGGAGTAGCTATAATAATCTATAGGGACTATTAGTAGTTGGCTAGAGTTGCCATAACAAAGTTGCATGTACTGGGTGACTTAAACAACAGAAATTTATTTTTTTCATAGTTCTGAAGGGTGGAAGTCTGAGATCAAGGCGTGGGCAGGTTTGGTTTCTTCTGAGGGCTCCCTCCTTGGCTTGTAGATAGCCACCTTCTTCCTCTGTCTTCACATATTCTTCCCTCTGTGTTTGTGTCTGACCTGATTTCCTCCTCTAATAAGAACACCAGTCTTACTGGACTATGACCCACTCTCATGATCTAACCGTAATTATCTTTTTAAAGATGGTGTCTCGAAAATACAGTTACATCCTGAGGTACTGAAGGTTAGGACTTTAACGTATGAATTTTTGGGGGACAAAAATATACTGCCATTGATAAAAAATAGAATAGACAAAGAGTAAAATTAGCTGTGGTTTTAATTGTATTATTTATACATTTTATAATAAATACACATTATTTTATAAGATGAAAACAATAAAAAATTGCTTTCAGTTCATTTTCTACTGCAGCTGTCCATATCTCAAAAATGTGAACATTTTGTTGAGCTACCCCAGTTCTAAGGTCTGAATGCTTAGTCCTTGATGGAGGTGATCTTGTAAATTTTATATTATAATTTAAGGATTACAGTAAAATATACCATGGCCTGTCATGGCCTGAACTTCATTTAGACTTCATTTAGTGATATCAGGATAATGATTTATTGTCTTTGGTCTTCCTAACTAAAGTTAGAAATGACTTCAAAATCATCCTCTCCTGGTAATAATTTCAAACATTGGAAAATGCCGACTCTTACTATTTTATATTTGTATGGTGAGTGGAGGGAAAATCTTTGAGTAATCTGAAATCAATAAATAATATCAAATCAAATCTGGCCAATTTCAGTGCTCAATATATTCCTTAACCTTTTTTTGCAAGTTTTATTACAACATACCTGTATAAATTTGCTTCTCTCATGTAATTTTTTAGAAAAGATTATCCATCTCTGAATTAAGTGCTTTCATTATCTTTCCCAGCAGTGATTCTTACACTTTGGCATTAATTAGAATCACCTGAAGGGCCTGTTAAAACAGAATGCTGGGCCCCACCCATAGAGTGTCTTATTTATAGTCTGGTGTGGACTCCAATATTTTTGCATTGTTAACAAGTTCTCAGGAATGTTGTTATTGCTGGTTCAGCGACACTGAAAACTTCTGCTCTGCAATAATGTTTGTAACAACAAAATCAAATTATTTCATTTTACTTTGAAAAACTATTTTTCATCATAAAAATATATAGTTTTAATTAAATGTATTTGTCACCATTATGAAAAATAATAAATAGCTGGAAATCATTCTGATATGCATGGTATCTCAGAAGACATGAAATAGTTGCAGTTACCATGACCAAAAACCAAATCAAGGAGCTAACAACTCTACAAAGTCAACAAGTATTTAAAATATTTGTTATGCACCTATGTGTCATCTTGGTCTTAGCCATACTAGTGTGGGGACAATAAAAAGAAACATAGAGCTATATAATATCTATCGGTAAATTTCTTTAATAAGTGATATATCTGGGTTGATGAAATAAATAACTGTTCCCAGATTGCAGTGTATGAGATGTAGATCACAAAGCTGAAAGCTTAAAAATAGCAACAAGGACCAGCCTGACCAACATAGAGAAACCCCGTCTCTACTAAAAATATAAAATTAGCCAGGGGTGGTGGTGCATGCCTGTAATCTCAGCTACTCAGAAGGCTGAGGCAGGAGAATCACTTGAACCCGGGAGGCAGAGGTTGTGGTGAGCTGAGATCGCGCCATTGCACTCCAGCCTGGGAAACAAGAGTGAAACTCTGTCTCGAAAAAAAAAAAAAATAGCAACAAGGATAATGCATGAAAACCCTATCTATTTGCCATCAAAAAAAATTATACAAATGTGTAAAGGATCATGCATAGGGAGAGATATTTCTTTTTGTTTGTGCCTTAGAATTGAGGCTAAGGACCAAATTGAGGATAAAAGATGCTACTCCCCACCCCTATTCATCAATATAAGAAGAAAACTAAAAGGAAATGGATTAGTGGCCTGCAGATAATTTGTTATTTAAAACAAGATAATACTTTTTAAAAACTAAGGTTGCCTTCAAGAAAACAATACATGCCAGCATAGTGGCTCAAGCCCAGTTACTTTTAGGGAGGCAAATCAACCACATATTTTTGGAAATGTGGACTTTGCTGTTGACCCTACTACTGATAATTTAGGTGGAAAGCAGATTAAATATGTGATGATAATTACACAATGAACTCCCTTGATCAAGAGTTTGTTAAGACCTCTAAACATGCAAAAAAGTTCTAGTTCACCCATACATTACAGATAATTTTTTTCTCTATGAAAAACAACATAACTTTCTTGCTCTTCACTAAAGCATTTCACAAAAATCTTAGAAATGCCAGGTTTTTAACATGGCATTCACAACATTTCTTAGGACTGAATAATTTTTTTCCTCTATGTTCAGATGGAACACTAAATGATACTTAGTTTTTTTGAAATTCAAGATCTATTTACAAAGTGTAAAAGGACTAAGACCCTTCTGATGGCCCAATTTAGAAACATTAAACCAGCTAATGTAAACCTCAGTATGAAGAAGTTATTTCCAACTCTTACTTCAGAAATTGAAGCTTTCATATGAGTTCTATAGTAAGACATATCTTTTCATAGCAGTCCAATATGTTAACCTTAGTATTTCTTGTCATGAAATATTTTTAAACTACCAAGATAGCTAATAATCTAAAATCGATTTCCTTTCCAGTAATATTTTCAGAAGTATGTTAACTTTAAACTTTCAGATTTCATAATGGAGAGATATTTAAGGCCTTATATTTCAAAATGCCCCAGGCATCATGGTGGAAAGTTTTGAGGATAGGTTTTTCACAATAAAAAATAACAATTTTATTGCAG
The DNA here is from genome assembly GCF_000001405.40 of Homo sapiens. Lineage (NCBI taxonomy): Eukaryota > Metazoa > Chordata > Mammalia > Primates > Hominidae > Homo > Homo sapiens. The sequence continues at coordinate 71,880,230 of NC_000001.11, forward strand.
AGAGGCCTATAATTTAAATATTTTATTTATATCCTTCCTATATATTAGATTTATTACTCATATTTCAAAGAAGCATGGTGGCATCATAAAGTACAATTTTACTATACTCTTAGGATTAAAAGAATATTTTTATACAGTAAAAAGTATATTTCGAGAGACAAAATTTTGATGCCCCCAATTACTTAACCAAATAATTCCTCTAAGAATATATGAAAGCCAGTGTTAGCAGGAACAAAGATTCTTTGTGGATTTTTAATTTGTTGCTCTCTGTTCAAATTTAAGACACCTTTGGTTCTGGATGAATTTTCTTTTTGGAAACATTTATTTTTTTTAACTCCTTTGAAATGAACTCCAAACACTTCAACATAGATAGAAAACCTTGCAGTTTCAATGAAGCTTTTCAAAGTACTCTTTTACCATCTGGCAAAATACGAATTTGCAGCTTCCTACCAAGATAACCTACTGCCTTCAATTCTGACTGTATGCATATTTCTCTTTCTACCCATAAATGCCACTCCTCAAAAAAGAGTAAGAGCTTTCGACCAAAGCTCTATGCTTATAGCTATGAGCATTTTTTTAGAGCTCACATTTACTAGCCACAATATGGAATATACAGGGGATAGGAGGTTAATATTTAATCATGAATATTGATTAATATTTAGACTCGATTTCTGACGTGAAATTTGGCTTTTTGAAGTTTCACGAGAATGATAGGCAACATATTCAATAAATGTAATAATAATGGCAAATACTCAAAATGGCAAAAGATGGGTGGTGTATATGCTTTTATATAAAAGCAATTTATTTTATTGACTCATCTTACCTTGGTATCTCCCTCCCACTTTTTACCTACACAGGATTCTCAAGAAAGTTGTGTTCAGTCAAAATCCTTCCTACAGTACAGTATGTTTCGAGCTTAAAGGAAACTCTTCTAGAAATTACACAGATCATAGGACCCTAAATATATAAATGTTTTATGACTGACTTTTTTCTGAGACAGTAAGTGTCTGATGCAGAAAGAAAACAGAAGAAAAAGGAGAATGATAATTAGAAGAGGATACTCTCTGCTTCGTAGCAAATTCAGCTTTTAATAAGAACAATATTGATAGGTTTTTCCTTATGTACCAGTAACATCACCAAACCTTTTGACACTTGTGTGCGAGCTCCCTAAAGAGTCTGAAATCTCAGTTTAAAATAAATTGTAATTGTTCATTGTTTGGCAAGGTTCAACTCAATTAGGCTTTTGCACAGATTTCTACATCTACATTTTCCTAACTTATCTGTTATTGTGCCTATTTTAAAATACAGAGTATTTAAGCCAAAATTTATATGTAAACCATTTTAAATAAAGATTCTGCAAGGTACATTTGCTCAATTTGTTTTCATTTGATTATTGACTGTTAAATTTGAAGAAAAAAGTCTTAACTATGAAAATGTACATAGGAAAGAAGATTGCTGTAAATGTTTCCTGAATATGAGTATCACATGACTTTCCCCTATTGTAATCATGTGGCAGACCACAAGTGAGTTTCCAACTGAATTATTTTAGGCATAATATATTCTTTCTGAATGTCTTTCCTCTTTAACCAACTGCTTTTTGCTTGTGGTTTTAAGGGTATGCACTTAATCTTGCTATTTCAGCTACATCTGTGTACTGTAAAAAGCAGCCAGTTCTTAGAATGGTTGATAAACTGGTTGACCTCTGTAATCTACATTTTAGAGAAATACATTTCAGCTGCAGATGTTTCCAAAGGTAGAAAATCTGTGAAGAAAATTAATCTGTAACTGACAGATGTTTTCATATTAATACAGTTTGGGAATATTCTCTTCCAAACATGTTGCCTTCCTGTGAAATTCAAGAGTGCTGTTATCTCACATTTCTAGGCTCCTGAATCCTATAGCATGGCACCAAAATGGACTGTCATCTAAATAAACAGACGCGAAACTTGCTTTGTAGTTAGAAGGTGCAATTTAAATTTGTTGACTTTTACATTTGCTCCATTCCATTTAATTCAGTTAGTTGTATAACTGCTGATAAAATTTTCCTCAGTCCTGCGGAAGGCCCAGTGAGTTACTTATATCAAAACTCAAAGTCAGTATAAACGTTGGCAGAAGATTTCATCCTGTTTGGGCATTTTATAGCATCTTAGGGAGTTATCTTTCCCCTAAGGGCTTTATTATTAATGGGAACTGCCCACGTGGTTTGAGGGAAGAATGGACTTCCTCAATTAGAAGACCTTTCAAGAGAGTTAACAGAAAATTTATTTTTTCATTTAAGGAAGAGAATGTTTCCCATAAGAACACTGAATCTTTCATGGCTGACTGTCTTGCAAACACAATGTGTAAAATTTTTAGTTCCTTAAAAATTAAACAGACACTGTGAAATTTAATAAGGCTTAAAAGGGACCTATCTTTAGTATCCCTGTTTTCTCACCACCCAGTACTCGTGATAACAGATTATCAGCACTACCTACTAAAAAATCTTCATCGTCTTCAGAAAAAAAAAAAAAAAAGCATGTTGAGGTCTTCCCAAGGATTTAATTTCAGTAGTTCTCAGTCTATATGTGGAGGAGTTTACACAGATACTTTTCCTACCATTTACTGGCTATGTGATTATGAGTAATTTCCTTTGCCTTCTGAAGCTCTGCTATTTCATTTGAGAGTCATGTTACCTACTTTGAAGGTTGTACAGATGGGAGAAAATATATGTAAAATACCTGGCATGGGGTAGGTATTTAAAATGATCCTTTGCAACCATTTGTTTATTGCCACAATATTTACTTTTACTTAACTCAATTCAATATATGTAAATTTACAAAGTATAATTTCCACTTTATTGCTGTTTGGCCATAAAGTATAAATCTTTTGGGGCCTCAGTTTCTTCTAACAAAGCATTGCTTCAACGATTGTAAATTATACACATTAGCTTGCTCATCAATACCACTATTATAAGATTTATTCATTATAAAATATATTTCCTCTATTACATTCCATTCAGACCATAAAACTGCCACCTTAATTCTATAATGTTATACATTATATACAATAATAAAATGACTTCAATAATTTCCTCTAGATTGAAATACCTGATTTACTATATAATCATTATATACATCAAACTTCCACCGTTGTTTGATATGCTATCATGTTGGCTAATTTTAGAAGCTTTGTTAAATAAATAGAAAAATAAAAGCCCTGATTTTTTTGCTCAACAAGAAGTTATGTTACAGATAAATAATTGAACACAAAAATTCGACCATTTGAGAAGAGATAGAGTCTAATATAGTGATAATTACAGATTATTACACTAAAATATACTTTTTCATGAGAAATTAAAGGAGCTATTTTCTTTTTTTATTATTATACTTTAAGTTCTAGGGTACATGTGCACAACGTGCAGGTTTGTTACATATGTATACATGCGCCGTGTTGGTGTGCTGCACCCATTAACTCATCATTTACATTAGGTATTTCTCCTAAGGCTATCCCTCCCCCCTCCCCCCACCCCACGACAGGCCCTGGTGTGTGATGTTCCCCATCCTGTATCCAAGTGTTCTCATTGTTCAATTCCCACCCATGAGTGAGAACATGTGGTGTTTGGTTTTCTGTCTAAAGGAGCTATTTTCTTAAAGTTAATATTGACTCAGCTTGAAAACCATTCAAAACACCAATTGTCATTGTTGTTAGAAACGAAAATATTTAAACAAGACAAAATTTCTGATATGAATAAATGGAAGAGTTAACTACAGCCTTATTAACATTTTTTTTTTACTTTCCTAGATATTATGACTCTTTTGTATCCTTAACCATAACACCATCCTACCTTTATGCTTTTCTCAGATCAATGAAATCAAATTGGTCATTTTCTCCAGGGTGCCCTTTAAAGTCTACTGAAAGCAGTTCAGCTCATTCCCTCCTTACTCCATCTCTTTCCTAACACTGTGTTTAATTGGTTATTGTTTCCTCCACTTGGGTTGTAAGCAGTTAATTGTGTTTGTTTTTTTTCCTTTATTTCAAGAGTGATATTTTGCCTCACTTCTTGGGTGGGATATGAACATTGTTCAAGGCACTTCCATTGTTCTGCAAGCCATATATCATTCATTGTGACTAGACCATACCCCCATCCATACACACAGACTCATCCACAGTCTAAATTCATTCCTTAATTATCACTGTACATGTAGATCATTCAAATATTAGTTCATTTGATTGGTTTACAAAGCTTCTCAACTGCTAATTTTATTATTTGATAGACCAACAAAAGCAAATGCACAAATTATTAAAATTACAGAATTTGAAAATTGAAGGGATGTCTTAAAATTCATCTAACTTAAACTCAAATATCATATGCACCTTTATTCCCAGTAAGAAACAAATTTCTCATTAAACATCTGTGGTATACCAAAACCTGTATTTGGCATGCGGGAAATTGAGAACTAGATGACACACTTGCCACTTTCATGAATCAAGTACATGAAGAAAAGTTACACTAAAAAAGGTAGTTTAATGATTCTTCAGAATGAGACAAAAAAACCTATCAACAGGCAATTGCATCAAATAAATCAAAGCAGTTGCCTGCTAGTTGCTTTAAATTCACATGGACAAAGGCTGTACTTGTTTTTGATCTTATTTCTTCTTGTAAACACCTTTCTCTATATATTTTTTCTAGGTGTATGAAATAATCTGAAATAATTTCTGAGGGTTCCACTTTTACAAGCTAAAATCAGTGCCAGGTGCTTTCTTAATCTTGTTCATAAACCTCAGAATGGCTTTGAATCCTTCTGCTTTGACCAAAATGGACTTAAACTATAGAAGTGTTGAGTTTTTCTTAGCACAGATATTGGTAACTTTAGTCTGACATCTCCCCACCTGGGTGATTCTAAGGATGTCACAGAATAATAAGCACAGTAAACAATTAGCATCATCCAACAAACAGCCCTCAAATGGTCTGTGGCATCTGTTTGTCCCTAGCTTGAAAGCTAATAAGAGCCAGGACTCTCCAAGGTACCTTCCTTTTCAGCTTCAAATTTAATTACACTTTCTGCATTTCAAACCATTGAGGTACTTATGGCTAGAGAGAACACTCACATTATTTTATAGTAGAACAAATTAAGAAACCCTGCATAAGTGGGCAGAATGCCAGCTTGCAATTCTCCAGAAGTCTTGACTCACACAGCAGTGTTTCTTGCAGGACATCTACTTGTTTAGTTTTTTGTTTGTTTGTTTGTTTGTTTTTTAGAGTTTTTATTATAAGGAAAATTCGCACGTTAGCTGTTTTTTAAACTTCTGTAGTAAAACATAAAATTAGCAATGCAACTGTAAGTAAGAGGATCTGGGTGAATTAAAAAACACGAAGTGTATACATAAAAGCTGAAAGGAGGCAATATAATAACCTTGGAAAATGGTTGACAAGTCATTGATTAATCACATTGAACAAAATATTTAATATGCACAGAAACATTAGAGAATAGAGAAGTACTCAATATTTTAGAGAATAAATTTTCCTTGATTATACACATCAGCATTATTATGATTTATCCAAATATTTGGTAAAGTATTATAACTTTCTCTTTAGACAGTTATCTGTTCTAGGTTTACCTGGATATTTTTCATAACAAAACAAATGGCGTATTAATAATCAGTATGGAAATTTATGAAATGTGTTTTCCCAAAAATATCTTTATACTATAAATTGAGTAATATATAGAAATGCTTTTAATAAGCAGGCAGAAGGTTTGGTTTAAAAGTGTTATACTTAGGTAATTAAATCTTGCAATGAAGTTTCTATATCAAAAGACGACAGCTTTTTCACTTATGCACTTCTGGGAAAAGACTATCAACCATTAATAGTCCTTATGACAAGGCTGAACGCTAATATTTGCAAGCTTTCAAAGGAGTTGCTAATTATACACAAAGGAACAAAAGGTGTTGAAAACTATAACAAAAGGGCTTAGATTAGTCCAGTGAAGTTTCCTGAATTCAAAACTTGCTAAACATGTTCTCCCCTGAGAATTATGATTATTAGTTGTTCCCTAATAAAAATGGTAAATGAAAATATTAGTGTTTGCTATAGAAAGACTAATTTAAGAATAGTAAAACCTAAAGTTTCTATTGCATTCTTCTTCCATAGTTTTAACCTAGGTATTCCATGAGAATGGTAATAGCATATTACCCTTTGTGACTTCAGATTATATATTAAATGACCAGTGTGTTCTTAGTTTATGGGGGAAAAAAAAAAAAACAAAGGAAGGAAGGGAGAGATGGAAGGAGGAATTGAGGGTGAGGCAGATAAATTAGACTTTAGTTTTTAATATCTAACCAGGTGAATTATTTATTCGGGGCAGAACAGTCACCCCTACTTTTTACCATCAGTCTGCTTCTGAAACAGTAATATAGGTGGTATGAGGCACACTGCACCTCTTATGTCACTCACCTTTTCCCCAAGTTGCCTTAAACGGAGATATATATCTTTAGTAAAGATAAATAAGATATAAAACTAGTTGAGAACTGTTCATTACCTTTTTTACGTGTATTCCATTTACTGGTTTTCTGCAATAGGGAAGAGAGGGATGCTAACATGGAGGAGAAGAGCACAGGAAAGGAGCCATTGTGTCTACTACACTTACCACTTAGTTACTTTGTATTGACTAGTGCTAAGAACAAGATTCCATTTGGGGTGCAAAATATAATTGACCCTTGAGCAATGTGGGAGTTAGCACTGAACACTGCACTGTTGAAAATTCATTTATAACTTCTGACTCCCCCAAAACTTAACTATTAATAGCCTACTGCTGACTAGAAGCCTTGCCAGTAAAAAGCAGTTGATTTAAATGTATTTTGTATGTTATAGGTATTATACACTGTATTCTTACAATAAAGTAAGCTAGAAAAAATAAAATTTTATTAAGAAAATTATAAGTAAGGGAAAATGTATTTACTCTTCATTAAGTGGAAGTGGATCATCATAAAAATCTTCATCCTTGTCATCTTGACGTTGAGTAGGCTGAGGAGGAGGAGGAAGGGGAGGGGTTGGTCTTGCTGTCTTAGCGGTGGCACAGGTGGAAGAAAATCCAAGTATAAGTGGATCCATGCAGTTCAAATTTATGTTGTTCAAGGGTCAACTGTATTGACATATTTATCTAAAAGCTTAACAACTTTTCAAAATGTGAATATTTTTATTTTCTTTCTTACTCTCTGTCCCAGTCATGAAGTCAGGGACAAATATCTAGTCTCATTCCTTGTACTAGGATTTTTTAACCTTAATTTTCATTTTTTAATTTATTTTTTCTTTAATAAATAGTAATTGTACATATTCATGGGATACAGAGTGATGTTGCAATACGTATAATGTGCAGTGATCAGATTAGAGTAATTAGCATATCCATCATCTCAAACATTCATCATTTCCTTTTGTTGGGAGTGTTCAATATCCTCCTTCCAGCTTTTTAAAACTATATATTATTGTTAACTGAAGCCACTTTACAGTAGTATAGGACACTGGAACTTATTCTATTTTGTTGTTGTTTTTACTGCAATGTTTCTCACCCCCAATTTTTGCTCCATACTTTCTCTTTGTTATTAAAGGATAAGCAATATATATTCTCCTGAAAGATCAGGTGGAAACAACCTTTTCCATTTGGAATTCCTACAGGCTAATCTCCCCTACCCCCACCTGGAGTCCTGCTTGCATGTCTTTTATTCCTACAATCCTGCTGCAATGGGTAGTACCAAAGAAAGCCAGTGGAGCTCAAACTTTTGAAAGGACACACACACACACACACACACACACACACACACACACACACACCTCTAGAATAAAAAGCTCATGTCTGAATGGCTTGTGTCTGAACGGCTCCATAATTTATTCTTCAACTTGCCACTCTCCCATAGTAGAGGTTAGATGACTCTATTTTATTTTTTTTCTTCTAACCTATCTCTGAATAGAAAAAGAAACTGATTTAGAATGGAGAAGTCGGGGGAGGAGCCAAGATGGCTGAATAGGAACAGCTCCAGTCTACAGCTCCCAGCGTGAGCGACGCAGAAGACGGGTGATTTCTGCATTTCCATCTGAGGTACCGGGTTCATCTCACTAGGGAGTGCCAGACAGTGGGCGCAGGCCAGTGTGTGCGCCCACCGTGCGCGAGCCTAAGCAGGGCGAGGCATTGCCTCACCTGGGAAGCGCAAGGGGTCAGGGAGTTCCCTTTCCGAGTCAAAGAAAGGGGTGACGGACGCACCTGGAAAATCGGGTCACTCCCACCCGAATATTGCGATTTTCAGACCGGCTTAAAAAACGGCGCACCACGAGACTATATCCCACACCTGGCTGAGAGGGTCCTACGCCCACGGAATCTCGCTGATTGCTAGCACAGCAGTCTGAGATCAAACTGCAAGGCGGCAACGAGGCTGGGGGAGGGGCGCCCGCCATTGCCCAGGCTTGCTTAGGTAAACAAAGCAGCCGGGAAGCTCGAACTGGGTGGAGCCCACCACAGCTCAAGGAGGCCTGCCTGCCTCTGTAGGCTCCACCTCTGGGGGCAGGGCACAGACAAACAAAAAGACAGCAGTAACCTCTGCAGACTTAAGTGTCCCTGTCTGACAGCTTTGAAGAGAGCAGTGGTTCTCCCAGCACGCAGCTGGAGATCTGAGAACGGGCAGACTGCCTCCTCAAGTGGGTCCCTGACCCCTGACCCCCGAGCAGCCTAACTGGGAGGCACCCCCCAGCAGGGGCACACTGACACCTCACACGGCAGGGTATTCCAACAGACCTGCAGCTGAGGGTCCTGTCTGTTAGAAGGAAAACTAACAACCAGAAAGGACATCTACACCGAAAACCCATCTGTACATCACCATCATCAAAGACCAAAAGTAGATAAAACCACAAAGATGGGGAAAAAACAGAACAGAAAAACTGGAAACTCTAAAACGCAGAGCGCCTCTCCTCCTCCAAAGGAACGCAGTTCCTCACCAGCAACGGAACAAAGCTGGATGGAGAATGATTTTGACGAGCTGAGAGAAGAAGGCTTCAGACGATCAAATTACTCTGAGCTACGGGAGGACATTCAAACCAAAGGCAAAGAAGTTGAAAACTTTGAAAAAAATTTAGAAGAATGTATAACTAGAATAACCAATACAGAGAAGTGCTTAAAGGAGCTGATGGAGCTGAAAACCAAGGCTCGAGAACTACGTGAGGAATGCAGAAGCCTCAGGAGCCGATGCGATCAACTGGAAGAAAGGGTATCAGCAATGGAAGATGAAATGAATGAAATGAAGCGAGAAGGGAAGTTTAGAGAAAAAAGAATAAAAAGAAATGAGCAAAGCCTCCAAGAAATATGGGACTATGTGAAAAGACCAAATCTACGTCTGATTGGTGTACCTGAAAGTGATGTGGAGAATGGAACCAAGTTGGAAAACACTCTGCAGGATATTATCCAGGAGAACTTCCCCAATCTAGCAAGGCAGGCCAACGTTCAGATTCAGGAAATACAGAGAACGCCACAAAGATTCTCCTCGAGAAGAGCAACTCCAAGACACATAATTGTCAGATTCACCAAAGTTGAAATGAAGGAAAAAATATTAAGGGCAGCCAGAGAGAAAGGTCGGGTTACCCTCAAAGGAAAGCCCATCAGACTAACAGCGGATCTCTCGGCAGAAACCCTACAAGCCAGAAGAGAGTGGGGGCCAATATTCAACATTCTTAAAGAAAAGAATTTTCAACCCAGAATTTCATATCCAGCCAAACTAAGCTTCATAAGTGAAGGAGAAATAAAATACTTTATAGACAAGCAAATGCTGAGAGATTTTGTCACCACCAGGCCTGCCCTAAAAGAGCTCCTGAAGGAAGTGCTAAACATGGAAAGGAACAACCGGTACCAGCCGCTGCAAAATCATGCCAAAATGTAAAGACCATCCAGACTAGGAAGAAACTGCATCAACTAACGAGCAAAATCACCAGCTAACATCATAATGACAGGATCAAATTCACACATAACAATATTAACTTTAAATATAAATGGACTAAATTCTGCAATTAAAAGACACAGACTAGCAAGTTGGATAAAGAGTCAAGACCCATCAGTGTGCTGTATTCAGGAAACCCATCTCACGTGCAGAGACACACATAGGCTCAAAATAAAAGGATGGAGGAAGATCTACCAAGCCAATGGAAAACAAAAAAAGGCAGGGGTTGCAATCCTAGTCTCTGATAAAACAGACTTTAAACCAACAAAGATCAAAAGAGACAAAGAAGGCCATTACATAATGGTAAAGGGATCAATTCAACAAGAGGAGCTAACTATCCTAAATATTTATGCACCCAATACAGGAGCACCCAGATTCATAAAGCAAGTCCTGAGTGACCTACAAAGAGACTTAGACTCCCACACATTAATAATGGGAGACTTTAACACCCCACTGTCAACATTAGACAGATCAACGAGACAGAAAGTCAACAAGGATACCCAGGAATTGAACTCAGCTCTGCACCAAGCGGACCTAATAGACATCTACAGAACTCTCCACCCCAAATCAACAGAATATACATTTTTTTCAGCACCACACCACACCTATTCCAAAATTGACCACATAGTTGGAAGTAAAGCTCTCCTCAGCAAATGTAAAAGAACAGAAATTATAACAAACTATCTCTCAGACCACAGTGCAATCAAACTAGAACTCAGGATTAAGAATCTCACTCAAAGCCGCTCAACTACATGGAAACTGAACAACCTGCTCCTGAATGACTACTGGGTACATAACGAAATGAAGGCAGAAATAAAGATGTTCTTTGAAACCAACGAGAACAAAGACACCACACACCAGAATCTCTGGGACGCATTCAAAGCAGTGTGTAGAGGGAAATTTATAGCACTAAATGCCTACAAGAGAAAGCAGGAAAGATCCAAAATTGACACCCTAACATCACAATTAAAAGAACTAGAAAAGCAAGAGCAAACATATTCAAAAGCTAGCAGAAGGCAAGAAATAACTAAAATCAGAGCAGAACTGAAGGAAATAGAGACACAAAAAACCCTTCAAAAAATCAATGAATCCAGGAGCTGGTTTTTTGAAAGGATCAACAAAATTGATAGACCGCTAGCAAGACTAATAAAGAAAAAAAGAGAGAAGAATCAAATAGACACAATAAAAAATGATAAAGGGGATATCACCACCGATCCCACAGAAATACAAACTACCATCAGAGAATACTACAAACACCTCTACGCAAATAAACTAGAAAATCTAGAAGAAATGGATACATTCCTCGACACATACACTCTCCCAAGACTAAACCAGGAAGAAGTTGAACCTCTGAATAGACCAATAACAGGCTCTGAAATTGTGGCAATAATCAATAGTTTACCAACCAAAAAGAGTCCAGGACCAGATGGATTCACAGCCGAATTCTACCAGAGGTACAAGGAGGAACTGGTACCATTCCTTCTGAAACTATTCCAATCAATAGAAAAAGAGGGAATCCTCCCTAACTCATTTTATGAGGCCAGCATCATTCTGATACCAAAGCCGGGCAGAGACACAACCAAAAAAGAGAATTTTAGACCAATATCCTTGATGAACATTGATGCAAAAATCCTCAATAAAATACTGGCAAACCGAATCCAGCAGCACATCAAAAAGCTTATCCACCATGATCAAGTGGGCTTCATCCCTGGGATGCAAGGCTGGTTCAATATACGCAAATCAATAAATGTAATCCAGCATATAAACAGAGCCAAAGACAAAAACCACATGATTATCTCAATAGATGCAGAAAAAGCCTTTGACAAAATTCAACAACCCTTCATGCTAAAAACTCTCATTAAATTAGGTATTGATGGGACGTATTTCAAAATAATAAGAGCTATCTATGACAAACCCACAGCCAATATCATACTGAATGGGCAAAAACTGGAAGCATTCCCTTTGAAAACTGGCACAAGACAGGGATGCCCTCTCTCACCGCTCCTATTCAACATAGTGTTGGAAGTTCTGGCCAGGGCAATCAGGCAGGAGAAGGAAATAAAGGGTATTCAATTAGGAAAAGAGGAAGTCAAATTGTCCCTGTTTGCAGACGACATGATTGTTTATCTAGAAAACCCCATCGTCTCAGCCCAAAATCTCCTTAAGCTGATAAGCAACTTCAGCAAAGTCTCAGGATACAAAATCAATGTACAAAAATCACAAGCATTCTTATACACCAACAACAGACAAACAGAGAGCCAGATCATGAGTGAACTCCCATTCACAATTGCTTCAAAGAGAATAAAATACCTAGGAATCCAACTTACAAGGGATGTGAAGGACCTCTTCAAGGAGAACTACAAACCACTGCTCAATGAAATAAAAGAGGACACAAACAAATGGAAGAACATTCCATGCTCATGGGTAGGAAGAATCAATATCGTGAAAATGGCCATACTGCCCAAGGTAATTTACAGATTCAATGCCATCCCCATCAAGCTACCAATGACTTTCTTCACAGAATTGGAAAAAACTACTTTAAAGTTCATATGGAACCAAAAAAGAGCCCGCATCGCCAAGTCAATCCTAAGCCAAAAGAACAAAGCTGGAGGCATCACACTACCTGACTTCAAACTATACTACAAGGCTACAGTAACCAAAACAGCATGGTACTGGTACCAAAACAGAGATATAGATCAATGGAACAGAACAGAGCCCTCAGAAATAATGCCGCATATCTACAACTATCTGATCTTTGACAAACCTGAGAAAAACAAGCAATGGGGAAAGGATTCCCTATTTAATAAATGGTGCTGCGAAAACTGGCTAGCCATATGTAGAAAGCTGAAACTGGATCCCTTCCTTACACCTTATACAAAAATCAATTCAAGATGGATTAAAGATTTAAACGTTAGACCTAAAACCATAAAAACCCTAGAAGAAAACCTAGGCATTACCATTCAGGACATAGGCGTGGGCAAGGACTTCATGTCCAAAACACCAAAAGCAATGGCAACAAAAGCCAAAATTGACAAATGGGATCTAATTAAACTAAAGAGCTTCTGCACAGCAAAAGAAACTACCATCAGAGTGAACAGGCAACCTACAAAATGGGAGAAAATTTTCGCAACCTACTCATCTGACAAAGGGCTAATATCCAGAATCTACAATGAACTCAAACAAATTTACAAGAAAAAAACAAACAACCCCATCAAAAAGTGGGCGAAGGACATGAACAGACACTTCTCAAAAGAAGACATTTATGCAGCCAAAAAACACATGAAAAAATGCTCATCATCACTGGCCATCAGAGAAATGCAAATCAAAACCACTATGAGATATCATCTCACACCAGTTAGAATGGCAATCATTAAAAAGTCAGGAAACAACAGGTGCTGGAGAGGATGTGGAGAAATAGGAACACTTTTACACTGTTGGTGGGACTGTAAACTAGTTCAACCATTGTGGAAGTCAGTGTGGCGATTCCTCAGGGATCTAGAACTAGAAATACCATTTGACCCAGCCATCCCATTACTGGGTATATACCCAAATGACTATAAATCATGCTGCTATAAAGACACATGCACACGTATGTTTATTGCGGCATTATTCACAATAGCAAAGACTTGGAACCAACCCAAATGTCCAACAATGATAGACTGGATTAAGAAAATGTGGCACATATACACCATGGAATACTATGCAGCCATAAAAAATGATGAGTTCATGTCCTTTGTAGGGACATGGATGAAATTGGAAACCATCATTCTCAGTAAACTATCGCAAGAACAAAAAACCAAACACCGCATATTCTCACTCATAGGTGGGAATTGAACAATGAGATCACATGGACACAGGAAGGGGAATATCACACTCTGGGGACTGTGGTGGGGTCGGGGGAGGGGGGAGGGATAGCATTGGTAGATATACCTAATGCTAGATGACACGTTAGTGGGTGCAGCGCACCAGCATGGCACATGTATACATATGTAACTAACCTGCACAATGTGCACATGTACCCTAAAACTTAAAGTATAATAATAATAATAAAAAAAGAAAAAAAAAAAAAGAATGGAGAAGTCAAGAACACAAGACTTTTTGGTATGTGCTTGAATACTACAATTCATTTCAAAAGAAAACATCTGTAGTAGTTCAAGAATCAGGGGAACCACATTGAAACAGGAATAGGGGCTCTTTGAAGCACTCTTCTAAAGTGAGTAGCAATTCATAATGACAATATTTCCATTTATTCAGCAGTTACTAGGCAAAAAGCACTATAACAAACACTTTACATGGATAATATCACTTCCTCTTAAAACAACACTGAGATACATGTGTTATTTTCCCCATTTGACAGATAAGGAAAATAAGACCAAAGAAGTTAAGTAACTATTAAAATACTGTTTGACAAATCCAATCAAGACTCCAGGCTACCAATTACCAAAGTTAGCTAACTTATCAAATACAGGTTTAACTTGCTAACTTGTTAACTTCATAACACGCTAACTTGTCAATCCTTCTTTAACAAAACTTGAAGTCTCTCAATAAGTTTTATTTTTAAAAAAAGTGAGAGAGAGCTGGGCACGTGGTGGCTCATGCCTGTAGTTTAAGCCACTTGGGAGGCTGAGGCAGGAGGATTGCTTGAGCCCAGGAGTTTGAGGATATAGTGTGCTATAATCATGCCTGTGAATAGCCACTGCACTTCAGCCTGGGCAACACAGTGAGACTCCATCTCCAAATTTTTTTTTTTTTAAAAGGAAGGAAAAGAAAGAATCCATACTATGAAATAATCTATACACAATTTACTAACATTTATAGAAAATATCTATAAGCAGTCTGTAGGCATACCCATCGCATGATTCTATTGTTAACTACCATGTGTCCTCAATAGGACATTTTGGAAGCCTTGGATAGGAGTGACTAGGGTAATAGGTACCTTTAAGTTTTAATTTAGGAGCTATTTTATTATCTACTTATGTGCCTCTATTGTTCCAAGTTTTTGTCATTTTTGTCATTATCATTATCATCTAACCTTAGTGAGTGCTTACTATTTCCTAGGTACAGAGCTTTTCAAATATTATCTCATTTCATTCTCATAACCATCCGTTTAAGTAGGTTGTTTTTCATTTTTATTGAGATATTATACAAACACCACAAAATTTACCATTTTGTGTGCACAATTCAAAAGTTTTTAGCAAATCCAGTTTTGTAAGCATCATATTTTCATCACTCCCAAAAGAAATGCCATTCCCATTAGTACCTACTCCTCATTCATCCCTTCCTCTTGCCCCTGGTTACCACTAATTTCTTTTCTATCTTTATAGATTATCTTATTGTAGACATCTCATATAAATGGAATAATAACATTTGTGGTCTTGGTGCCTGGCTTCTTTCACTTAGTGTTATAATTTCAAGATTCAGCTATATTGTAACATATCAGTACATTATTTTTGCTTGTGGCCAAATAATAGTCCATTCTATGGCTCTATCACATTTGTTTAACCCTTTATCAACTGATGAACACTTGGATTGTTTTCACTTTCTGGCTGTCATCAGTAACGCTGCTAAGAGCATTCATATACAACTTTTTGTGTGAACATATATTTTCAATTTTACTGGATGTATACCTAGAAGTGAAACTGCTGAATTATATAGTAACTGTGTGTTTTTGAGAATTTGGCCACATTTTCTTTCACAAGAGCTACACTATTTTATATATCAAGGTACCAGTTTCTCCGCCTTTTTGCTAACACCTCTTATTATTCAACACTTATTATTATAGCTATCTTAGTGTATGTTAAGTGGCATCTCATTGTGGTTTCAACTTTTAAGTCTCGATGATAACGTTTAACTTTTTTTTTTTTTTTTTTTTTTGAGACAGTCTGACTCTGTGGCCCAGGCTGAAGTGCAGTGGCACAATCTCGGCTCACTGCAACCTCCTCCTCCCGAGCTCAAGTTATTCTCCTGCCTCAGCCTCTGGAATAGCTGGGATTACAGGTGCATGCCACCATGCCTGGCTAATTTTTGTGTTTTTAGTAGAGATGGGGTTTCACCATGTTGGCCAAGCTGGTCTTGAACTCCTGGCTTCAAGTGATCCACCCGCCTGGGCCTCCCAAATGTGTTTAACATATTTTTATGTGATGCTTGACTATTTATATAGTTTATTTGGGGAATTTCTATTCAAATTATTTGACCACTTTCTAATTGAGTTATTCATCATTTTATTGTTGAGCTGTAAGATTTCTTTGTATTTTTTAGATACTAGTGCCTTATCTAAGATATTAATACAAATATTTTCTCCCATTCTGCGTGTTATTTCACTTTCTTAAGTGGATCCTTTGAAATACAGTTGTATTAAATTTTGGTTAAGTTTAATTTATCTATTTTTTCTTTGATGCTTGTGCTTTTGTTGTCAAATCTAAAAAACCATTGCCTAAGCTAAGGTCCTGAAGACATACTCCTATGTTTTCTTGTAACAGTTTTAGAGTTGTAGCTCGTACCTTCAGATTTTTGATCATTTTGAGTTAATATTTTTGTATATGGCATGATGTAGGGGTCTGATTTTAATTTATTTTTCCATTTGGAAATCCAGTGGTTCCCAGCAACATTTGTTGAAAAGGCTATCTTTCCCCCATTGAAAGTCTTGCCACTCTTGTCAAAAATCAATTGACCATAAATATGAGGGTCTGTTTCTGGATTTTCCATTTAAATTATTATGTCTGTTTTATAAATGAAAAAATGAAGCTTGGAGAGGCCAAGTAACTGGCTAAAGATGACAATGTAATAAGCTGGGATTCAAAGTTGGTTACCCCATCTGCTGTATTCTTAAGCACTGTGCTCTGATGCCATGTTACAAGTATAATCTGCACTGATACAGACTGCACTGATTCCTTTTTTAATCTCACAGTTAATAAAGTAGTTGCTGAGTATTCTTCTCTGTTCACGCTTAAAGTATATAGACATATATATGTTATAGAATATATATATATATACTATAACTCGAAGTATTATTGTCTCTGTTTTCCATTTCAAAACATGTCTATTTGACAGAACATCAGATTCTCTCCATTTCCCGACATGAATATCTTGTAAAGACTAAGCTCATTATAACACAAATGTCAGATAAACCAGGACAAGAAGCAATGTTCTACATTGGATTTAGAATCTAAGGATAGTTCTCCGATTCCTGCTGTGTAGCTAGTTAGTTACCTATCCCTTGAAAAGCCCCTCAACTTCTGTGTTGTCACTTCTTCCCTGCAAAAGGAGAAGTGTGAAATACTAGTCTGATATATCTAAAGTCACTTCTATATTTATAACCCTAGTTTGAGAGGTCTTCCTCAGGGCTTGTGACAAATGAAATTGTAAGTTTGTATTTCATATTTATACAAAAGAAAGAGAAAAACGTAGTAGACCCACAATTTTAAAGAGATTAACTCATACTTTAAAATATAGAATGAATTTACTGCCTAGTGTGAAAATTTGCTAATGGTATAAAAATCAAGATGATTCCACAATAAAGGCATAAAAAGTACATAACAATTTAAGGGTTTTTTTTGTTTGTGTGTTTGTGTTGTTTGTTTTTATCCAAAGTTTGGTCAACACTTATGGTACAAGATCTCTAAAAATTTTGAGGAGTGCTTATCTAGAAGCGCAGGCATAACTGAACATTTATCCAATAATTTTAATCAATACTGAATTTTAAAGACTTAGACATGAGATTTTCATAAATTCAGAAGAAAATTATTTCCAACTTAGAAATTTTAAGCTTATAGTTTTGGTTCCTTTAGAAAGCCAACAGACAATTTTACTTTACGGATAGTATTTTCTGAAGGAACAAATTTTTAAGTTCTCCAGTATCACAGTTACTATTGTGCTGTGGCTAATAATGAAAGAATACTCATTATCTAGGAATTACTGCGAGTCTGTAAACAGTTTATCTTTCTTCTGAAATTGGCTAAAAGTATTCAATGACATTACTGAAGTCAGTCTGGTAGGTATTTAAAATTTCCGTCATTGAGGAAGCTAATACATTCTTTCTCAGAAAGGGAAAGCTGTCTTTTTATTTTTTTCTTATTAATACATTTTTATCATCCATATCTAAGAAACGCTCATCCCATAAAATGCTTACAGACATTAAAAACTGCTTTGCTGGCCGGGCGCGGTGGTTCACGCCTGTAATCCCAGCACTTTGGGAGGCTGAGGCGGGCAGATCACGAGGTCAGGAGATCGAGACTATCCTGGCTAACACATTGAAACCCCGTCTCTACTAAAAATAAGAAAAATTAGCCGGGCGTAGTGGCGGATGCCTGTAGTCCCAGCTACTCAGGAGGCTGAGGCAGGAGAATGGCGTGAACCCGGGAGCCAGAGCTTGCAGTGAGCCGAGATCGTGCCACTGCACTCCAGCCTGGGCGACAGAGCGAGACTCCGTCTCAAAAAACAAAGAAACAAAAGAAACAAATAAACAAAAAAACTGCTTTGTTTTTTTTTCATTTAATGTTTAAATACACGTTTGGACGTTCAAAACATATCTTGCAATAATTGTGTTTAAATAAATGTTTGGACGTTCAAAACCTATCTTGCAATAATTGAGATCCATTTAAAAGAAAACAGAGCAAGTATATGTATACATATATTTTACATATATATAAAAGAAAAAAGAGCAAATATATATAATATATTGCAAATATATATATTGCAAATATATATATATTGCAAATATATATATATTGCAAATATATATTTGCAAATATATATAATATATTGCAAATATATATATATAGCATATATATATATATAGCATATATATATATATATATATATATATATATATATGGCAACTAATGTGTGTGTGTGCGTGTGTGTGTGTGTGTATGCCTAGGACTTCCATGGAAAAGATTCTGGGAACAGCAAAATTCTTTTAAGGAAGAATCCACTTTTGCAACTTCTTTCAGAAAAGTGAGAAATTCAACCTTTGTCCCCTCCACTGATGCCTGCTAAAATGCTGAATGTATTTTTCATTGGTTTCTGAGCTCCCTACACAGATATATAAGAATCCAGAACGCAGATCTTAGATTTAGAAGCTGAGAAAGAAGTGGGTTTATGGTTAGAGTGGCACTAAACTCTGAATTTCAGGGTATGGAGGAAGGGTATGGAGGATGATCCAAAAGACAGTGAGTAGGAAGATGCAGATGGGAAGGCAGATAGGAAGGCACTAGACCAGATTAAGAAGGTTGGGGGAAAAAGTTAGGGATTTGAACCAGACAGATTTTCTGAGCTGGGGTATTATCACAATGGAAAGGAAGAATCACTGAGGAAGAAACTGTTAAAAGCACAAATACACTAAGAAATTCAAATCCTTGAAATGGTTAAAAAGTTACACAGTAGCATTTCAGTTTTCCAGTATCTGCGTATAACCCCATTTACTGAAATTAAACCCTATATTTATTATTCTAATTAAATATGAAATCATTTAATTTGTACAAACATTTTTTATTACATTTGCAATTTCTTTAATCAAAAGTCTTCTTATTTATAGTTGGGAATGACTCTGTTTTTATCAGAAACCATTTTATTTCTTCTCATGGCAGGCTTATTTAATATATTCCATATTTGCCTTTAGTCTCATCCAGATCTCATCAAACATGAACCATTGTTTTCTTCACCAAGTGTCCAAAGGGTCAGTATCAATGGTCAAGGGTCCACTCTAAATGCCCTGGCCCTGCAGCCACCCTTAAGAACTTTTGTTAACATTTCCACTGGAGTATTTGGGAATATTCGCCAAGAGTTACAAAGAAAACATGGCTAGTGAAGAGAAACATTTGAAGTATATACAATCAATAAAACTCTCATCCAAAGCACAGCTGCTTAAGTAGTTTCCATTTCTCTACCTCCAGCCAAAAAATACAGTATACCACTGAGTGGGAAACCTTGCTTAAGGAAGGTCCTATGTAGTTTATTTGGTCTGTTTTATGGGGATTTCCTCACATGATAAATGCGAGGAGATTAAGAACTCTTGTAAGGGATGCTATAGTGGAGTTAGGCCAATTCAACCATAGTAAAGTGTAATAACTTATGAACTACAGGTTTAAAAGTATAATAACCAATGCTTTTCCCTATTAGTCTCTGTTTAGTATTTGCACAATCCATTCTTTATCCTAGTCATGCAAATAAGCATATTACTTAATGTTATTATGAATTAAAATTATTTATTGCATTCACTTTATTATATTGAATTGCCCAATTATTTTTGAGGCAATTTTAACAATGTAAAAATCCCTAAGCATATTTATTTAGTTTTTTGAAAAAAGAAATAGTTCATTTTCATTTAATAATATTCAAATCATCTTAATTGCCTTCAATGATACATGTAATGTTTTGAATCTTAATAATTAGAGTTATTTAACTTGCAGGGTAACCAACTATGTACTGGAAAATGAGGGCAAGGCTCCAATTAACGTAGGAAAATAATGTTTGCATGTTTTAATAACTTTTAAGAGGAAACATAAGATTTGAACTGTAACCACAATGATAGATGCTAGAAATGGAAAACACACTTGTTTGCTTAATTCATTTTTAAATATGTACAAAATTATTCCATGGAAAATGTAGATTTGTTTAATTAATATTAATTTGATTGTACTTGGAAAGATACATTGAAGGGAAGAGACTGAAGCAGAGAAACAAGATCTGTTAGTAGGCTACAGATGTGCCTAGGTACAAGATAAAACAGTAATAGAAAATACATCATCACCATCGCCATCATCATCATACTAAGCAGTGTTAAAACTGTTTCAAAATATTTCCTGTTTAATCTTCATGCAATATATAAGTAAATGATTTGAACACAGATCCATCTAACCTTAAAGCTCATTTTTCTCTACTTTAAAATCATCTAATGATGACATTAATCTTATTTCTGTGATTTGTTGAAGTGTCAATGAAGCAGCCATATAGAAGTGTCAAAAACATTCTATCAATGCATGATTAAAGTATGATAATGAGGTTTTCATTCTATATAGTTAGTAGAAACAAAACGATCCAAAAATAAGGACTAGCCTTCATATTTATTAACCTAAGAGCCTGCCATAGCAACTACTATTGCTACTACTGCTAATAATAGCAAATACCATTTATTAACTATTTCTGGCACATTCGTACAATTATTACTATCTGGTACATTTCTTATTTATCACGCATCTTTCTTCGCTAGAATGTAGGCCCCATGAGAGCAGCCTCTTGGGGCTATTTTGTATATTGCTGAATCTCTAGCTTTTACATTACATATAGTTCAAAGTGCTGAAAACACTATTATTGAATGAACAATCAATTTCATTGATCTAGGGTGTAGGTAATTGGCTTAGAGAAGATAAAACAACCTTTAAAATGGGCCCCTGGGGTTAGAGTTCCCTCCTAACCACAATGTGACATTGTGATACTGATGAGCTTTTTTTCTAAACACCATTTTTCTAAAAATGAGATATAAATTTTTTTTTTTTTTTTTTTTTTGAGACGGAGTCTCACTCTGTCACCCAGGCTGGAGTGCAATGGTGCGATCTCAGCTCACTGCAACCTCTGCCTCCCGGGTTCAAGCGATTCTCCTGCCTCAGCCTCCTGAGTAGCTGCGATTACAGGCATGTGCCATCATACCCGGCTAATTTTTGTATTTTTAGTAGAGACGGGATTTCACCATGTTGGTCAGGCTGGTCTTGAACTCATGACCTTGTGATCTGCCCACCTCGACCTCCCAAAATGCTGAGATTACAGGCGTGAGCCACCACACCTGGCCAAGATATAAACATCTTATATTTGATTTAAACCATAACACCACAAAAGTGAAAAATAAAGCATAATGATAATAGCAATTATTTTTCTACAAAATCATAAATATTCACTTATTAATTGCAAGCAGTCTGGGGAAATTAAGGAAGAAAAGGTCTTATTCCTATTTCACAGACTTAGAAATTGAAAGAGGTAGGTGAAGTGGCACACATAAATTTAAGGATGTAGCAGTAATGACAAGATCATCACCCAGTGTCCACTGTCTCTGTTTATTCACTAGATGATAAAATAAGAGCGCAGTATGTGGTTAGTGTGCTTTTAGTCTAAAGACATGTATTCGTTAAAGCTTGTTTAATACAAGGGCATTTGTCAGTTTATGCATTTTATTATCCAAAAAACCTGATAGAGTTTAACAGAAGTTGAGGAATTTTGCATAAAGATTACTTCTTGAATGTTATATTTTAATTCATTTTCACTTACAATATATTTAGACACAAGTATTTTTATGAGGAGTTAAAACCTGTTCTACCCATTGTATTTGTGGTAACTGTCTTCAATGTGATGACCTGCTTGGTCAGATATTGTCAATTTCTGTAACTCAGGACTTCGGCGCCATTTAGTATTCACCCAATTTATCATTTCACCTTTGAATTAAACACCTTTTAACCCATTATTTTGCCGCAATGATAAATCATTAACTTCAGGACATACTTAATTTTTCCTTTTCATGCTCTAATTACATATTTGTAAGGTCACCACAAGTTGAATCATTTTTGAAATTTTTATTTTTAACAATTCTAAGGAATATACAATGTTTAAAATATTTTAGCAAATTTATTTGGAAAATAAATACAATATGGGCACAAGATGTCACTTCTAATTCTAAAGTATACTTAAATTATAAATCAAATTATAAAAAGTTTTTACTTTAACTGGATGAGCTTCATTTATTAATTATGTTTTCATATATTCATTAGCTATGTTATTATAATTGAAAAAAACATGAGACTAGAATATGCCAATGATTTATTGAAATGCTATTAACCCTCTTTTATTAATTTCCCAAAGTTTTAAATCTATAAAATTCAGTTTTATCATAGGGATTTTTAGATCAAATAAAAAGGAAGAAACTTGATCCAAAATATGTAAACATAAACCTCCAGAGATCCTAATTAAAATCACAAAAATTACCTAAGACTTCCATTATTATAACTCAAGCTCTCACCCACCTTTGTACCCTGTTCTGGCTTTGTTGACTTTTGATGTCATTGTGATGGTATGTAAACATTTATTTTATGTCTGTTCATATTATATTTAATAAATACATTTTTACTAAATAAATAAATTTTATGTTTATGCAATAAGTAATTCTATCACAAAGTTCTTCTGCTGTCAGCAAAATTAAGGCAGAAATTTTACTTTCAATTCTATTTCTATGCCCTTCATTCTATAAATATTAACCAAAGTTGACAAAAGAGTTGTATGTAATGATAGTATTTTAACTAAGATATTTATAATGTCAGATGTTGTTAGCTTTAAATGAAAGACTACCGGTGTGACCTCAATCTTTCATCAAGAAATATCCTAGAAGTCCCATGAATAAGGTGATACATTTAATCATGTGACAACAGTGATTAACTATGGATTTTGCTGTGTCCAAATAAATTTCCTTTGCATACTTCCTTCATTTGTACTATTCATAAATACATTTATTTCATACATATACATATGTCTGTTGCATCTCTCTCTCCATATATATGTATATATGTACACACACACACACATCCCTAATACATAGCCCTCTTATTACTACAGCTATATCTATATCATCTTCCTTATATATCAACCCCATTCTCTCTCTATTATATATATATATAAAAAATGATGTATTTTTCTATTAATAAGGCAGATGAATGGATGTTATAAATGCTATTACTTGACTTTAACGTTAGTGTGCATAAACAGATTTTTGGCCTTCTAATTTGCATGAGTCTTATTCTTTCATTCAATAACAATTGATTTATTACTTTCTTTCCCCTATTTACATGATATGAGAACTTACAGTGAGGACTCCATGTAATCACTCTGTTACATATTATATTAAAATCCTTTAGTGCATCTTTTAGCTAGCCAAAATGAAATTCAGTGTGAAGCAGTGCCTCAGGAAACAAAAGCAGTTGTGACAGCATTTCTAAGGAGAGCAACTGTATGTATCACCAAACATAAAGGGAAAAAGAGGACTTGCGGATATTTAGTAATAACTGGATTTCAAATAGATATTATTTAATAAAATTAATTTATATTGTTAATCGAGAAGTTATATTGTAAATTATAAAATGCCATTATTAATAACTATTATGTGCCAATTCCGCACAAGTGGACATAATTATTTGATATTTATAGTAAGATCACCAAAAAATAATCAGTTTGCTTTATGATACTATACATCACTATCATTCTTAAATGAAAGATAATATAATTTCCATAGTAGAGACAGAATGTCTGATAAAGTAATATACACTTAATGCCGTAGCAACATTCCTTAAACTTTTAAACACTGTCATTCAAGTTTTATCTCTATTTGTCATCCAATATAGGTTTGGCAAAATTAGAAATCTCTTATTAGGAAGTAAAGAGAAAGTTTGTCTTCATAAAGTGGCTGTGAACAAATTCAAACTAGAATTTGCATAAGCCAATTGCTTATACAACTGCCTGTTTCTTCAAACAAGCTCACTAAAGAATGGTCACATTTATTAGAATTTCTGCTTATTTAGTATCCACCCACTTAATCTGGTATCCAGAAAGAACTCAAAATCCAAAACAATGATGGCATCTGGCAATTTTACTATTGATGCACACATTTCACAGAAGATCAAAGTTGTATGATTTGACAGTCAGCAGTGTGGATTTTAATACATTCAATATCCAAGATGGCAGCTTGCATGGGAGTCCCTTGCTACATACAAAGCTTCCAATACAGACACGTTAATCCAATTCAAACGTAATACTGCCTACAAATGAATGCTACAGCAGCCATCTTAATTCTCTATATATTTAGAATGTTCCTCCAAAAAATGTGAAAGATTTTTCTTCTTTAATCAGGGCATTTTTCCCCCTCAATATGTAGCTCTGTCTTAAGCATAAAGACATTCAATCCACTGTTTTGGTTGAGATATCTGGAAAAATACTTGAAGTGTCAATTATAATAATATTCTTTGATCAAGGTTTTCAAATCAGTTTTTAACACACAAAATAAGCTAATTTTTTTCTTTAACAGCTATGCATAGAAATATTTTATTAGTTTTTAATCACAATATTTTTGATAAAAAGTTTCAAATAAATTAAAAAGTAATTTATTTGAATTAAATGTGTTTTATTTGAATCTAATTTTATATTTTTCTAATCTCATATTTTTCATCTAATCTCATTTTTTATCTAATCTCATATTTTTAGATAAATGTTTTTATTTACATTTATATTCTATTCACATCAAGAAAATCATTATGTGGTTGGAATTTTCCTCTTCTACAGAATCTAATCCTTAGAACAATGTAAATATAATCAATAAAAATAAAACATCGTGAAGATTATTCAGTGAAGTTAGGCAATATATGATCCATTGGTCATTATTTAGTCCTTCAGAATTCTTATGTTGCAAATAAAGTAAAACTTAGCCTTTTGATTTAACAATATTTTGAATAATCTTTCTGACCTAGGAAAAGATATAAAGCTGGCAGAAATAAGATACATTTAAAACAGGGTCCACTGATAAAACTGCTTTCCAAAGAAATGAAGGTACATGTGTTAAGAGGTTTAACACATTATTCCTATAGGTCAGTAGGACAGGAACATTAAAATTCACTTATAATTTAGAGGTTGTTAAATTAATTGGGAGGTTGTTACAAAAAAAAAAAAAAAAGAAAGGCTGAGAAAATTCCAGTGCTTTAGTTTCCTATGTAAGCAAAGTGAAGTGTGATGTAAACAGTAAAATACAACTTAAGCTTAGCCAACCAGAAACTGCCACCTAATATCTAATTAGGGACTTTCCACCATATTATATCAAAATAAGGCAAATGGCTAGCTGCAGCAAATTGAGCAATTTCTTTACTTTGCTTCTGGATTCAGCTGATAAAGCCCCCTACTCATGCTGCTAAAACGGAGCACTCTAAAACTCTTCCAATTCTGGGTGCTGCCCAATTCATAAGCCATTCTTTGTTCAAATAAACACTGTCATTTTTATGCCTTTGATATAATGGGCTTTAGGGACTTGGTGGGGAGAAGGGGGAAAGGGAGTGAGGGACAAAAGATTGCACATTGGGTACCGTATACGCTGCTCGGGTAATGGGTGCACCAAAATCTCAGAAATCACCAACTCAAGAGCTTATCCATGTAACCAAACACCATCTGTTCCCCTAAAACGCTATTGAAATAAAACAGAATAAAATACAATTTAAAAAATAAAATAAATAAAAATATATAAAGATGAGAATATGAATAATTTCCCTGGCCAAGGATTAAAAAAAAAAAAAAAGTTGAGATCTGAATCTCCTTCTGGTCCCCTTATTTAATTTTCTCATTAACTCTTATAATTGTTAAGTTGATTGCTTTGTTCTTTTTAGGTACAGAGTCATTTCATCTGTGAATAAATGATTTTGATCAATGAAAGAGTTTAAAATAGTGAAAAAAAACTGTCAAATTTAATTTGTCAAAAGTTTTTCTTTTAACAGCATTCACTAGACGCATATGTCCTATTAACTCATTCACTTCATCAAAATAAAAACACACAAAAATCAATAAAATATAGTATGAGGTGAAGTGTATAATTCACATCTGCTAACTTAGATTTCAGGAGGTGGCTCTGGAGCTAAAACTAGCTGCTGGCTCTTAGCTATACCTAGCACTTAACCTAGCCTGAGGGACAATTAGAAAAGATAGTCTTGAGGAAATCAGCTGAATTTAGGAGACTCTCTCTTATTTTTACCTGCAGGATTTTCTTGCTTTAATTGCTACTGTCACCAGCCAACTGGTTGACTCCAATTAACCCTAGGGAAAATGTTACGAATTAACTATTTTGTCTTAGCTCTGCTACAGTCAGTCCTCTTCCCCTCTCTTTATACTTGGTTTCATTTGTAAAAAACATAAGCAAAGAGTGATTATCAATGTTTACAAGAGAAAATATCATTTCAAATTTAGCATGGGTTAAACTCATGCTTCCAAGAGATAACTCGTTTAAAGACATGAAAGTAATTTCTAGGTCTAGCCTCTGTTTCTATTACTGTATTTCCATAGTGGTTGTCTAGAAACTACATGGCACTGATTGATGCCAACTTAATGAGGTAATATAATTGCCAAAAACACTGAATATAACTATTGTTGGAAACATCAAATAACTTATTTGGAACAGACATAAGATTATCAGAGACATAATTTGAAAAAGACAAAAGTTAAGTCTATATGGAATAGTCCCTGGGAAATGCAAATCAAAACCACAACGAAATACTGTCTCACACCAATCTGGATGGCTATTACTAAAAAGTGAAAAAACAACAGAGGCTGGTGAGGCTGTGGAGGAAAGGAAACACTAATATATTGTTGGTGAAAATGTAAATTAGTTCAGCAACTGTGGAAAGCACTTTGGAAATTTCTCAAAAAACACAACTACATTCCACCCAGCAATCCTATTACCGAGTTTATATCTCAAAGAAAATAAATTGTTGTACCAAAAATATGCATGAAGTTGTACGTTCATTGCAGCACTACTCATCATAGAAAAGACATGAAATCAACCTAGGTGCCCATCAATGGTGGACTGCATAAAGAAAATAGGGTACATACACCCCCCATGGAATACTATGCAGCCATGAAAAGAACAAAATCATGTCCTTTGCAGCAACATGGATGCAGCTGGAGGCCATTGTCCTAAGCACATTAACACAGGAACAGAAAACCAAGTACTACATGTTCTCACTTACAAGTGGGAGCTAAATATTTGGCACTCATGGACATAAAGATGGCAACAATAGACACGGGGGTCTACTAGAGGTGGGAAGAAAGGAGGGGAGCAAGGTTTGAAAAACTAACTGTTGGGAACTATGCTTACTACCTGGCTGACAAGATCGCTCATATCCCAAACCTCAGCATCACACAATAAATCCTTATTACAAGTCTGCACATGTACCTCATGAGTCTAAAATAAAAGTTGAAATTGTTTATAAAAATGATATAAAATAGAACCACAACGAAATGCCACTACAAAAAAAAAAAAAAGAATATTGTTTGGTTAATCTCAGCAAAGAGGAATGTTCTATACAACATTTTTGAATCTTCTCCAGCACAGCTTTCATTCTAACTTGATGCAAACATTTCCAAAAGTTTAATCACAATTACAAATCTGGATTATGGCAATGTCTGAATACAAACATTGAACAAAATCTAACAAATGTTCTGTCATTTAAAGAACTCCAGACAAACAGAAGAGTAGGAAAGGCAGGGACCCAACATGAGCTAAACACTTCATGTGTTCCAGGAACACAGCCAGGATCTTAGCACCAATCTAACGTCAGAAGGCAGACCACTCAAATCAAAAGGTTGAAGAAAGGAGGCTCTGAGAGGTCCTCCAACTGGGACAAAAACATACTGTAAACTTAGATTCACTTGATTCTTTCTGTTACTTGCTCTATGAGTTACCAAAGTCATTAACTTCTGGTGGATCTTGTCCTTACCTGTAAACTTAGACCATTGATTGCTAAATCCTCTTCAATGTCTAAAATACATTATTTTAAATATATGCAGTCAACTGTTACAGTGTTACAGTTTTTTTAGTAATTCAGAGAACCATCTCAGTCATTATTACTTTCAATTCTAAACTACTTCCCGTGTTATTTTTTGTTACCAAAATAGATATTAAATAATTTTTAAACTATATTTTCTTTCTTTTCTTAAATTTAGGAAAATGAGCTGACTTATTTTCCCTTATTTCTTAAATACACATTATTTTTAAATGGTGTCAAGTGTAACATTGTTGACAAAAGACAAATCATTTGAAACCACTCAGGTTTTTAAACATGCAACTCCCAATAGTATTAATTGAAGTATAAGGACTCTAGCTGCTGAGATACTTGAAGAACTCCCTTTGGATTGCCTGTGAGTCTTTCAAAACAATTAAGTATTTGCTTCAGTTCTCTGTGGGCACAATCCTAAAGATGAAAGATGCAATTGTCTATTTACAGAGAGTACTTTTAAGAGAAGGCATTGCTTCCTGCTGCCACGTAGCAGGGCATATCAGCAGGAGTCCATTTGAAATGGCTGGTGGTTTTTCTCTCATCAAGTATTCCATATATCAGACAACATAGGACTGAAAAAGAAAAAGTATGGAAAAACTAGGCATGATTCTGAAAATTCTATTTTATATTTCTTCAAAGATAAATCCTGGACTAAACCATAGCCTTTTAATGTTTCCGGTGTTCGTTGAATGTGATTGCTTTGTTATTGTTTGGTTAATCTCAGCAAACACTTCTAAATTCAAGAGAAATTTCTTCAATCCTGCTCTTTTTGTTCTGAGCTAAGACAGGCTGATAACAGTGGCTGGCACTAGTGAGTAAATTTTATAACCAAAACTGACATCTCACTCAAGTACCCACAATTTAAAAGAGTAATGAATTGTCAGTTTTAACTGGAAAGGGGTTTTTATGTGATTTTAGAAGTCTTTTGAATATTTATTTTGTTCCACTTTACACGAATCTGTCTAAGATTTATCTTGTTACTTCCAAATGTAAGCCTCTCTTGGCCAGATTTGGAAAATAAATTAGAATTTACAAACATTGTGAAGACCGAATCAATACATTAATATTGAGGAGATGTTTGAAAGATTTATTAACCACAAAAGATAGCAAATATTACATCAGAAATATTAAACATGTGTAATCAAAGTCATCAATTGTAGTTATGCATAGACTCTATAAATAGTATAGAGATTTACTTAAATATGCTACAGATTCAATCCAGTCTATCATACGATTATAGCTTACAGGAAGAAAAGCAAGAAATTAAAACTAAAATTGACAGATGGAGTAAGACAGTACATCTTTTTGTGTGTTTTATTCCCTTATCACTGATTTTTAAAAGTAATGCCACATACTTGGACATTAAAAGTCAGCCAAGTAATATTCAGTGAAGGTTTTCATTCAGTCAATAAATATTTAACGAACACCTATTAGAGGCCAGAACACATGCTAGATGTTGGCGATAAACTTTGAATAAGGCATCATCTAAACTGATAAGGGACTTAGAATCCAGTGTATAAACTTGCGAGCAAGCAACTGTTGTAAAAATATGGACAATTAAAAACTGGAATACTTTGGGAAGGATCTTGGTACAAACTGGTTTCAAAAATTTGCAGGTAACGAAATACCTGGATACCTAATAAGTACCAACAACCCTCAAAGACAGACGTGATTATTCTCATTTTACAGAGGAGCAAACTAACCCTGATTGATTATACAATTTGATATTGTTCACTAAAGGTAATAATGCTGATGCTGCTAGAGTGTAAATTTAAGTCCAGATAATTTGACTTGAAAATCCATTCTATTTTTGTTTTACAACTCTGCCTACCATTACTGTTAATTAATAAGTAAAATTCCATTCAAAGTTACATTTGTTTATCTGGCAAAATCTTAAGCTTTTAAAGTAGGTTGAGTGGCCATGTATGAGACTCTTCTAGAGCCTTAGGTTTTTGTTTTTGTTTTTGTTTTTGAGACAGAGTCTCACTCTGTTGCCCAGGCTGGAGTGCAGCGGGACAATCTTGGCACACTGCAGCCTCGGCTTCGCAGGCTCAGGTGGTTCTCCCACCTCAGCCTCCCAAGTAGCTTAGACTATGGGCACACACTACAAAGCCTGGCTAATTATCTTATTTTTTGTAGAGGGTAGGTTTCACCATGTTGCCCAGGCTGGTTTCAAACTCCTGAGCTCAAGTGATCCATCTACCGCAGCTTTTCAAAGTTCTAGGATTACAGACATGAGCCACCACTCCCAGCCTAGAGTCTTAGATTTTAACCAGAATTTCCTGTAGTACTTTAAAAAAATAAAAGAGCTTGAGAACCACCCTAGTGAGAGAAATGTAATTCTATTTTTTATTGAAATCACTGTCTAGATACAAGTCTGTCAAGCATTATACAGAAGAAAATTAAGACAATATACTATTTATTAGTCAATGACATTTCTTCAGTATATTTGATTAAAGTGTATTTGAATGGTAATATTTTAATTGTATTGAGGCTTAATTAGGTTGGTATAAAAATAAAGCAATATGTAAGAGTTTTATAATATGATTTTTATTAAAATATGATTAAGTGTAGTACTGTGGAAAGAGCTCTGGTCAGGAATGAGATGACATCCACTTAAAACCTGGCTCTATTATTACTATCTTTTTGATCTGCAGCAAGAAACTCAACTACTCTGCATTTTAATTTTATTTTCTCTAAAATAGGATTAATATACCTATTCTTCGGTCCTGAGGGAGTTGTAAATAATGCAGAACACATTTAACTGTAGGTATGAATAATGGTAAGGCATGGATTCTAAGCCCCATGAGAACAGGAGCTGTTTTGAGAGCACCAATACCAGAAAGAATAGTGGCCAAGAAATACAAGATTGTTTTACTAAGGTTATGTGAGTAGTTAGCAGCAAAGCTGGAATTAGGATCTTTAGTCTCTGAAGTGTAGTTACTTTCCACTACACTAGTGTTTCCCAAAATAAACAGGTATATTGAGAAAGAAAGAAAGGGCTGTTGTGTCAAGAAAGTTTGATAGAAGATCGACTGAACAGTAAGAAATTTAAAGGGTAAGCTTTGTAATTAGTCTTTAACTTGAGCCTTGGTTTTGGTACTTTCTATTGGTATCATTATGCATAATTTGCTAACCTACAAGAGTCTACCACCACACCCCATTTCCTCCTTCATAAAATACAGATGAGAATAATGTTTATAATTTGTTGCTTTTTGGGTTGACTAATATATTAATGGGTATCAAGAATGTACCCTGGTGTCTGGCAGGTAGTAATGACTACAACAGCCATAGCATATATATTATATGTCTGTGGCTGTTGTAACAAATTATCAGATACTTTGTGACCTAAAACAACAAAAAATGCATTATCTTGCAATTATGTATGTTAAAAGTCCAATAGTAGTCCTACAGGGCGAAGACCAAGGTGTGGGCAGGGCTGCTTTCTTTTGTGGGGACTGTAGGAGAGAATGCACTTTCTTGTCTTTTCCAGCTTTTAAAGACTGCCCACCTTCCTCCTAGTCTCTTCCTCCATCTTCAAAGTTTTCAATAGGGAGTAAGTCCTTCCCACATCTCATAACTCTGATCTGTTTTTCTATATTTTTCTTCTACTTATAATAACCCTCGTTATTACACTGGGCATAACTAGTTAATAAAGGATCATGTCTCTATTTTAAATTCAACTGATGAGAAACTTTCATTTCATCCGTAACCTTAAATCCCTTCACCACAAAAGGTAGCATATTCACAGGTTATAGGAATTAGGACATGACATCTTTGAAGACCATTATTCTGTCTACTACAGCTACTCTGATAAACGTCATTCTTACAGGATCCTGTCTGCATTTATGATTTGTATGTCTTAAAGGGGAGTATAGTATTCAGAGTTTCAAAACTTAATTTGAGTCCCTTTTATTGCAGATCATTTTTTGGAACTTTTACTCCAAAGAATACATTTGAAGCAATATAAGAATAATGTAGTCTACCATATTGTCTCAAATATATTTGTTAATAAATGGACTGTGAGAAAGGATGAATGGATAGATGGATAGATGTATGTACATGTGTGTGTATATATATATAGTACATGTATATATGTATTTATGTATATATGCATATAAATTTCCTATTTGAACATTTTCATGCATTTTGTAATAATTTCAACTTAACTTTGCAAAATAATTTTATCTTTTATCTGACATTTTTAGCACTAATTTTAAATTGTTGGACATGTGTGATTCAGTGCAATTCTCGGAAGAAAATTCTTATCTGTTTGAGTAGGTTCAAAGGTCCACAATATATCCTAAATTCATGTTATTTCTAGCCTCATATATTTATTAAAATATGGAAGCAATCATTTTTAATTAAATTAAATTAATTAATTAATTCTGAGATGGAGTCTCACTCTGTCACCCAGGCTGGAGTGCAGTGGCGCGATCTCAGCTCACTGCAACCTCCACCTCCTGGGTTCAAGTGAGTCTCCTGCCTCAGCCTCCAAGTAGCTGGGATAACAGGCGCCTGCCACCACGCCCAGCTAATTTTTTTATTTTTAGTAGTGATGGGGTTCCGCCATGTTGGCCAGGTTGGTCTTGAACTCCTGACCTCAGATGATTCGCCCACCTCAGCCTCCCAAAGTGCTGGGATTACAGGCATGAGCCACTGCGCCCAGCCGGAAGCAATCCTTTTTTACATTACATTTCTACCCTTACTTAATACAAACAAGACAAGAAAAGAAGCCTGCATAATGTCACTTCTAAACCCATATTTTGCATGTGACATTCCCATGTTCTCGTTTTTGGATGTCTCAGCCTTAGCAATTCGATTTTGAAGGATGAGGAAATATGTTAATACTGAAAGAAGACTCAATGCCAAATGATATGCCTTCATAAATTGATTAGAATTTTCTTTCTATTCATTTTACCCTGATTTAATTTCTGATTATTTTATTTCTAGTTGTTCAGCATTTCTAATCTTTTATAACAAAAGAATGGATGGCACATAGACACAAAAGAAAAAGAAACAGAGCTTCCATTTCTGAATTCTATTATTTTACAGTCATTTACACATGGTTGCAAACTCTAGTAACACAAAGTGTTTCCTCTGAAGGAAAGGAAAAAAAAAAAAAAACAGTGATAACTAAGTACACTCCTTAGTGTATGCAAGACAAACAATATTTTTCCCAGTATGTCTCTAATCCCTCAGTGATAAGCTTCTCTGTGAAGAGTTGATCACAATACCAACATTCTCTCCATTAACATAACAATTGCTAAATTTAAAACAAAGACATTCTAATTTGAACAATATAAGAAGATTGTGAGATATTTCTGGTCCTTGAGATCAGAGCTTATGGTCAACTTAGGATATGATTCTGAGACGCCAATCCTGAACAGGAATTAACTCTTTCTTAGCCAATACCTACCACCATTTATATTCTGAGAAGACACAGAGGACAGGAATACATTATTATATCCTGAGGACAGGAATACATTATTTTCCTTACTTCAGTGTCTGACTCATCTTGGGGCCAGCTTCTCTATAGACAGAATTTGTCCATCCTTTACTTCAACAATCAAAATGTAGGTGATTGTTACATTAATGCCTGATCAAACTTAACCTTTTTGGATTTTTTCCCACATTTCACAGAAGAGCTAAATGAGGTACAAAGTTGTGCTCTGAATGGATAAGTTAACTGGAAATAAGTCTAAGCCCAGGTAATGAAAACCAGATACTTTAAATTATTTCCATTCATTTGATCATCCCACTTTTCATATGATTTCGAGTTTGGTGCTATCATTTGCTGTTGTCACTCCCATTTACCAGAAAGTGGTGTAAGCCCCTTCTCTCTTTCCTAGAGAAATGTGGGGGTGTTGGTTTAGTCATCTCATAGTTTACACAAAGCATCCACATACTACAGTATTCAGTCCGATGGAAAGATAATGTTTTTTTCTTGAGAATAATTTTTGAGTAGCCTCCTGATGGGAGGATTGAGAGCTACCACAGCTCATGTAGTAATCTCTCTCACTGTCTCTGTCTCTGTCTCTGTGTTTCTTGCTTGTGTCATAATATCAAAGAAGTTAGGAAACAATGTTGTTTCCCTTTTCAGTGTTTCCATATAGATACTCATGATGCCATCATTTGTCTGTAATCACTGCCTATTATTACCTATTTTAACTAAGTGGATTTCTTTGCTCTTGTGTTCTTATTTTTGCTATTGCTAATGGCCATCATTTTGTTTATAAAGTCTTTTGGGATGCTATTAAGTCTTTCCTCTTCCTTTAGTTGAAACCAAAAGTTTTTTCCAATTTGGGCTGCAATTAGTCTCTCATTACGACTGTTAGAGGCTACATCATGAAGTCCTTTTTTTTTAATGTTTTGTCAGGCTAGGAGATGACTGGACTAAAATAAAAATAAAAAGGTTAGCAAGAATCTCATTAATTCTGATTTTAAAAAGTGACTAAGTGGCATTTGAACATATTTAGATATGATAAGAAGCCTTTTTGTCATTACAAAGTTGAAAAATGGCTTGGCATATGCATTTATCTATGTTGTGCTGTCATCACTAAAGAATAGAAAAAATAGAAAGTTGGAGAAATAAGCAGCTAATATTTATAACAAAGTTGTTTGACACATCTATTGAATAAGAAGTTAGAGTAATAAATAAAAGGAGAAATTGAGGAGCAAAAACAAATAACTGACCTTTTCATCGGGTTATGAATGCACACACAAACCTCTTAAAAGATATTTATTATATATAATAATAATAGTGTCATTCATTGTACTGACTTTGTGTCCAGTTCTTAACACATTTCATTTCTTAATTTTGAAGGAAATTCTATAATGTGGGTTTCATTCTCCACAAAACTTCCCATAGACTAAGGGTCTCAAACTTGGGTTAATATAGCTCCTAAGTGGCAGAGCCAAGGTCCACGTTCAGATAAGTCTTACTCCAGCACGTTCATCCTTTCCAATGTGTATGCCTGTGTAATATCGTAATTTAGGAGAAGCCATTTTCTCCACAGAACATGGTTCCATTAGTAATAATAACATAAATTAATTCATTAAGAGATCATATATTGAGAAGTATAAATAAGCATATTACTTGCCCTCATGTGGTTTACCTTTGAGCGAGAAACACAGATACTTTAACAAGTAACAGACTATGATAGGACCGCCAAAAGGATGTTCAGAGATGTTCAGAGAAGAAATGATTAATCCTACTTAGAGGGAAGGAAGAGTGCTTAGGAAAGAACAAAAACACAGAGGTGTGACACATCAGGTTCTTTAAGGGAAGAGCAAAATTTTCAGTATTCCCAGAGGGTAAGGGTGGGCAAAAGAGAGAAGAGAGGGGCAGAAGGATTGTTGCCCTGGGGGAAGCAGGGAGTGGGGGTTTCCCTGCCATTCTGACTACACTTCTTCCTACAGAGATATCCTTAAACTAGTATCATTTATTTAAATGTTTATTTTATACTATCTGATGCTTCAATGTCTATTAATATTATAATTTTAAAAGTTAAATAAAGTATAAAGCATAAAGTTAAAAGTATGATGAGTCTTATCAGAAACAAAATGTTTTATGTTCTCCCTTACTAATCATCAGGATAGTAAGCAACAGACAGCAAAGTTTAAGCAAAGTTCTACATAATATAAAGATCCTTAAAAAATACCCATTCATCATGAAACACTGAAAATGTAAAGAATATATTTAGAATCATGAGATCAAAATACCAGGCCAGGTGCTGTGGCTCACGCCTGTAATCGCAACACTTTGGGAGGCCGAAGCGGGTGGATCACCTGAGGTCAGGACTTTGAGACCAGCCTGGCCAACATGGTAAAACACCGTCTCTACTAAAAAAATACAAAAAATTAGCCAGGCATAGGGGCGTGTGCTTGTAATCACAGCTACTTGGGAGGCAGAGGCAGGAGAATTGCTTGAACCTGGGAGGTGGAGGTTGAAGTGAGCCGAGATTGCACCATTGCACTCCAGCCTGGACAGCAAGAGTGAAACTCTGTAAAAAAGACAAAACAAAACAAAACAAAACAAAAACCAGAGATCTTTCAATTCCAAGTGCATAGTACTCTAACTTATCATTAGACAGATTATTCCCAGTGAAAGTCCTCATTTTTTAGTCAACCATAGGTAGTGTTTTTATTCTGAGCTTAGCAAAAGAGGTCCATGGGGCTGTGTGTGATGGGCAATTTCTGATTATTTGACTGACAACGGGAGTCTGGGAAAAAGAGAAAGGCAGAGGTCACTGTCACATTTTCTTCTCAGTGTTTCCTGTGTGTGTATATGCCCTCTATAGCTCCATCTGTGTCAATGCTCATTGTTTTATGTAATAGAGAGGACTGAGGCCACACTTGGCACAGCAGCCTGTGCACTGGGCGCCAATGGCTACTCATAAATGTCACGCTATAGTGATGCTTTGGAATGTTAAATATTGCACTGGGATAAGGAGAGAGCTGGAAAACTATGAATCATACCGAATTAAATTGTTATATTTACTTATAATAACCCTTATTTTTTCAGAAGGTGATGTACTAGAAGTCTGACCTCTTCATTTATCTTGAAGAAATAAAACAGAAGACAAATTTGTGTCTGAAATATATAGCTTTCTATTTGATTAACTCCATATTTTAAGGCTTCAGTATGTTACATGAAATATCTGTGAATTTGAAGGGTTCAGAGATTAAAACATTCTTTCTCTTTGATCTTGATAAGGCCATATCAATTTTTTTTAACTACATGCAAATGTAAAGAGTAAGTCGGACGGGTGCGGTGGCTCATGCTTGTAATCCCAGCACTTTGGGAGGCGGAGGCGGGCGGATCACGAGGTCAGCAAATCGAGACCACGGTGAAACCCCGTCTCTACTAAAAATACAAAAAATTAGCCGGGCCTGGTGGCGGGCGCCTGTAGTCGCCAGCTACTCGGAGAGGCTGAGGCAGGAGAATGGCGTGAACCCGGGAGGCGGAGCTTGCAGTGAGCCCAGATTGCGCCACTGCACTCCAGCCTGGGCGACAGAGCGAGACTCCGTCTTAAAAAAAAAAAAAAAAAAAGTAAGTCATATATATTTTGGAAGCGGCCAAATTGAACAGCAAACCACTCTTCAAAAAGCACAAATTGAGTTAGGTTGCCTTTAAGAACGACCTCACTGCTGTGTGCTCTACTGCAACGTTAAAAGAAGAACACATCATGCCTGGCGTGGTGGCTCAGGCCTGTAATCCCAGCACTTTGGGAGGCCGAGGCGGGCGGATCACAAGGTCAGGAGATCGAGACCATCCTATCTAACATGGTGAAACCCCGTCTCTACTAGAAATATAAAAAATTA
This sequence comes from Homo sapiens, assembly GCF_000001405.40. NCBI lineage: Eukaryota > Metazoa > Chordata > Mammalia > Primates > Hominidae > Homo > Homo sapiens. The sequence continues at coordinate 71,918,071 of NC_000001.11, forward strand.
GCCGGGCATGGTGGCGGGTGCCTGTAGTCCCAGCTACTCGGGAGGCTGAGGCAGGAGAATGGCGTGAACCCGGGAGGCAGAGGTTGCAGTGAGCCGAGATTGCGCCACTGCACTCTAGCCTGGGCGACAGAACGAGACTCTGTCTCAAAAAAAAAAAAAAAAAAAAAAAAAAAAAAAAAAAAAAAAGAAGAAGAAGAACACATCATACTGTCAAAAACAAGTGTATGAACTGTGAGCTCAAAAGCCCAAAAGCCTTGCAGTAATCCCAACCACATGTCAAGTCTCAGAAAGTGGGACGGTTTCTCCTTTGGAGTTGGGGAACAAAAAAACACTCCAAGGTGTGCAAAGCCAGCAACTCTCCATGAGAGATGGATGAGCCTTCAATGGTTTCTGCTTTCAAATAATTGTTCAAATGGTCTGCAAGGTATCTTCATTAGCTAAATAAATAACTTTGAGAGCAATTTTTTATTTGTTCAGAGCAGACTTAAAGTAACTATTCCAGGAGTCTTTACTAGGTCAGAGGCTTCAAGGGTAAATTTATGTTACCTTGAAAAACACACATAGCTTTTTGGGTAAAATGCTCTTTTTAAATGAGAGTATGGTATGCTGTGCCAAAAAAAAAAAAATCGAGTAAGTTGAACCTGAAAAAATGAGTTTTCTTCTTTGTGTTGTTATCCTGACATTTCATTCTTGGTCACTCAGGCCCCAATTTGCTAATATACTCAAAGCCTGACTCACTTCACATCATTTCATTGTTTGCTCAGAACAGATTGTATAACCAGCAAAGTTAGAAGGTCAAGTTTATCGATTAAAACCCACAGCAATGAAATATCTGTTAAGCCGGGGTAACTGATTCCCATGTGGCTTAATCCACATAGAATTTTTCCAGATGGAGTGATTTTGATAAAAATTTGCAGTACTGTGAGATTTCAACAAAACAAAAATATAAATAGATGCATTATTATTTTAAAATTACAGTGCTCACATTCACAAGTTGAATGAATACCTCCACCTCTACATTCTTCCTTCCATTTCTACAGGATCCACAGTAGTTCTCAGCTCTCACTCAAAGGTGGACTAACACAATAATTTTCCAGCTGGATTCTCTTTCTCAAGTGTTTACATCATAATTGTGTTTTACTCAAACAAAATATCTATTATGCTGCTTCCGTCTTCCTCCATAATCAAACCCAAGCTGATCCAAAAAGATGCAGAAGGGATCACCAATATACCAAGGCTCGTTATCCTGAACAATATTTGAAGAGGACAGCCTCATAGTAATGCTAGACAATGTTCAATGTAATGATTACCTAAATTCATCACACTGTTATACAACAACATCTTTTGTGGATAAGTTGATAATAGATGTTACCAAATTCTCTATTAGCTAATCTTTTTTGTCTTTCTAATACAAACTATCTTAACCTTTTTTTTTTTTTTTTAGCATCAGGAACTTTGAGAACAGGATAAAAACTACAGTTACTCTTTCCAGGGGAGAAGTATCAAAAAGTACCAAATTTTGCATATACTCTCGTTGATTTTTTGGTTAGTGAATCCTTTAATTTAAAATCAAGTCTCCTTGTTTTGGCCAATGTAACAGCTATTGTTAGGGTAAAATTGTTCCTCAATAAACAAACAACAAGCAAACATAATACCACATTAGCCAAGAAAGCCTAGGTTCGAGTTTGAGGAAAGTTGTCTTTAAAAATCTCAAACATATTTTGTCAATCTTATCAATATTTCACCATTTCTTCATATATCTAAGACTGTGTTTCAATAGTTATTGCCAGCTGCAGAGATGGTGGAACTGAATGGATAACTTTGAACTTTCCATGCAATGACACTCATAACTGCTGCTTCCCCTGGCAGCTTCTTAATCTGGGGAAGCTCCAGCTGTGGCTCTCCAGGGTTCTCTGCTTAAGCTCTCTGCAGCTGCTCCTCTCAGTATTGAATGGCTCCAGTCAGCAGTTGAGCTCAGCAATTATAGCCTCCTACAACTGCTCCCCAGAGTCCTCCATTTTCCCCATTGCTTCTACATGCTCAAACCACCTCCAAGCCATCTCCAGCTCCGAGGAGCTGTACATTTGAGTATCTCTTTGTCAGTACTACTTCTAAAGGCCATCTTATGGTAATGCTCTGATTGAGCTATTCCTCTCATCTTGTCCTGTTCCTACTCCTTCCCCACAGTTCTTATTCCATTTTATGGAACAAGACAATGCGAGTTTATACATCTAATTGCTTATTCAGCACTTGCTGAGACTTGAAGTAGCTCCTCATTGAGCTCTGAATGACTTACTATATACCCTAAGAGTAACTTTCAAGCAGTATACTATGGCTATCACTTCATGCCTTGTAATTAAACCTCAAGCCTATCCACTACTTCACCCCAAAAGCTGGGTATGATCCTACAGAAAAAGAAGACCTGCCTTATGTGCCCTATATATACATCTGTCCTAGCCCCTACCTAACTTTAGTGCACTCATTTGCCCCCAAGTCAGTATCCCCCAGCTGATAGGTAATTTCCTTGAAAAGAAGGACTAATTTTTATTTGCAGATCTTTCTTTTCCAACACTTACAACAATGCTTAGCACGAAGCAAATGCTCAAAGGATGTGGCTAAGTTGCTTTAGAGTTAGTGTCCAAAATCAGTTAACTGGTTTACTGAAGAGGCACAAATTGCTCTTCACTAGTTTCTCCACCCGGCACAGGTGCAGGTGTAAAAATCAAAGCTCAGAATACTTCTAGACAGCTCACAGCTCCCAGGGTAAATATATAATCACAGCTCTACAGCCTCTCTGTAAGTTATTTTTCTTAAAGTTTCAGTCTGTGTGGTAATGAAAGACTCCTATTTTCACTCATGCCATTGTGTATTTGTAGCTCTAATATTCATTAAGGATGCAACTGAAATGTTAATGATAATCGCACCCAAAAGCTAATAAAGAGAAGCCCAAGGCTCACATAAATGCCAGCATTTAATAATTATGCATACTTTTAGCTTTTCCCCAATTTATCTTACTTTCTAATAATTAGTTTAATAAATCTGAGATCCCAATATATGTGTAATTAATTTTAAATTTTGTTTTTAAATTTGCTTTTGATATTCAGGAATGAGACATATTTTTCCTAGAATGTAAGGCAGTAATTATCATTATATAAAATGGTTAACTATATAAAGGATAGAGCTTAAACACTTGCCTTTTGCGAATATTTACAACTCAAAACCACTGGAAATTTTAAGAAAAAATCTTTACCAGTTGGGATACAGCCAGGAAAGTAGAAACCAATCTAAGTACATTTGACCTTTGAACAATGCAGGTTTAAACTTCAAGAGTCCATGTACACTTGGATTTTCTTTCACCTCTGCCACCAGACACAGCAGGACCAACCCCTCTTCTTTCTCCTCTGCTTTAGCCTATTCAATGTGAAGATGAGCATAAAGAACTTTATGATGTTCCACTTTTATTTAATGAATACTAAATATATTTTCTCTTTTCTGTGATTTTCTTAATAACATTTTCTTCCCTTTAGCTTACTGTATTGTAGGAATACAGTATAGAATACATATATATTCTTATAGATACAGTATAAGAATATATATAGAATATTATATATATAGAATAGATACAGTACAAGAATATATATATATATATATATATATATATATAGAATACCATCGCATGGTTCATACATATACATACATATTTTATAACATAAAATATGTGTTAATTGACTATGTATGTTATTGGTAAGGCTTCCAGTTAATAGTAGGCTATTAGTAAAGTTTTTGGGGAGTCAAAGGTTATGTGCAGATTTTTGACTGTGTAGGAGGTCAGTGTCCCTAACCCTCATGTTGTTCAAGCGTCAACTGTATTTCAAAAAAAGGATGGTCTAATACAGAGAAGTTTTTACATACGTGATGAAAGTCTAAGAAGCCAGAGCACATGAAGGAGAGAACCTCAGAGATTTGTAACAAGAAGAAGCCGCTAATACTTTTGTAAGCAGGTCTCACTGCCAGAGCCCACAGGTCAGGACTGTTCAATAGCAGCTAGGCCCATGACATGGGGTTTCCCAGTGTGAGCTGTGCCAATAGGAGGATGGGCTGTCCAGCTGAACCTGGAGCCAAGGAAATAAAAGGCTTTGGAGGAGACACCGCCTGTGACAATAAGAGAGAGGAAAATAGCCTGATTTCTCTCTTTCTCCAGTCTACAATCACTCTCTTGCCAGTATCTCCCATTGAGTGAACCCTGCCAGAAACTAAAAAACATAGTAGGCTGGGAATGCACCTTCTGGTGTGGGGGCAACATAGAGCATAGCAAGAGAGGTGCAGAGAATAGCTTTGAGATCAAATAGGCAAAAATGAGTGCATAATATCTTTCCGTTAATTTTAGGTAGAAGTTTTCAAAAAATATACGATTATTTTCAATTATGTTCAAAACCTTAACATTGGTATAAATTTGTTATATCCTTTTCACATAGAATTTCTCCATGAGAAGGGTAATTAATTTTGTTGATATTTTACAGTCTAACTTTGTTGTCTAAATTCTTAGTAAAGATCACTTGGAATCAGTGAGAGCAATATCAATTGCATCCTAATTCAAAAGGAGAAAGAAGAAAGGACCTATATGTACACTATTAGCACTTTGGAAAAAGAAAGATTATAACTCAGATTGAATATCTACTCTGAGTTGGACACTTCAAGAAATATATATCTAATTGTTTTTTAGATTTTTATAGCAAACCAGAGAGCTGGGGATTACTTTTTACTTCTCAGAGGATGGAGGTGAGTGTTAAATAGATGAAGACAGTTGACCAAGTTCATATGCTTTATAAATATTAAAAGTGAATGTGACTTGAGGTCAATCTAATACTTATGCCATGCTAAACTACTTAAGAAAAAGAATACTGATCTTTACTAGTGTCAACAGGGGAAACAGACCAGAGAGAAAAAATACAGAAGAATTTTCTCTGGTCATTGGCTGGTTTATACTCTAAGAGACTTCACTCCTTCACTCTATCATCCATTAAATATTTATTTCAGCCCCTTTTATATGCAGCCCCTGTTCTGCTCACTCAGGTTAGGTCAGTAAGATAGATACGATCCATATTTTCATGGAGCTTTTCACAACCCGCCATGCATTTGAAAATTAAAGCATTTGTCTTCTATTCCATCAGTGGTTCTCAACTAGGGGTGATTTTCGCCCCAGCAGACATTTAAGTGTCACAAGCAGGGAATGCTGCTAGTGTCCATATGTTGAGGCCAGGGCACCTTACACTTGGACAGCGATACACACACACACACACTCTCTCTCTCTCTCTCACACACACACACACACTCACATGGCCAAAATGTCAATAGTACTGAGGTTAAGAAACTTATTCTAGATGGATATAAAGGTGCCTTTATTTTAGAGTGTGTATATGTGTGAATGTGCACGGGGAGTGTATTAGTTTTCCTATTGGCTGCCATAACAAATTATTACAAATTTAGTGGCTTAAAACAACACAAGTGTATCTTACATGTCTGTTAGGGTAGACATGTCTCACTCAGCTATACTCGAGGTGTTGGCAGGGCTGAAGTCCCTTCTGGAGTTTCTAGAGGAGATTTCATTTCCTTGACTTTCCTGGCTTCTAAAGTCTATCCATATTCCTTGGCTCAGGGTCCCCTTCCTCTATCATTAAATCCAGCCATTGTAGGTTGAGTCCTTCTTCAGCACATCAATCTGGCCTACATCAGCAGTCAGCTCCCTCTGACCATTCTTTTGCCTTCCTCTTCCACTTTTAAGGTCCCATGTGATTTCACTGGGCCTGACTGGATAAGCAAAGTTAATAGGCACTTTCTTTTTTTTTTTCTTTTTTTGTGGCAGGGTCTCGTTCTGTCACCCAGGCTGGAGTGCAGTGGCACGATCACCACTCACTGTAGCCTCCACCTTTTGTGCCCAAGCAATCCTCTCACCTCAGCCTCCAAAGTAGCTGGGACCACAGCAGCTATTTAAAAAAAAATTGTAGAAATAGGGTCTCCCCGTGTTGTCCAGGATGGTCTCAAGTGATCCTCCTGCTTCGTTCTTCCAAAGTGCTGGGATTATAGGCTAGCCCTGTCTTAAAATCAGATTACATTTTTCCTTGCCACTTAACCTAACAAATTCATTGGTTCTGGAGATGAGGATGTAGTCACATTGGGAGACTGTATCATTCGGTCTACCACAAGGGGTAATGAATGAATGTAGGTGCAACATTTAGCAAAGTTATTTGCACATAGTTGGTATTGAATTAAAGTGAGACTTCATAAGTCTTTATTGACATAAACTGAAGTCATCCTGCCTGCTCTTTTAAAATGGGCTCACTTAAAATGAACAACTCCTAAGCAGAGTGAATAACAACACATCTCACTTTATTCTGCACTAATAAATAGCTGCAAAATCTGTCCTTCCTCAAGTCTTCAATATTTCATTTAAAAAAGGGTCCATCCACCCATTTGTTCAAGTCAAAACCTAAAAGAATGAGCAAAATCCTCAGATAAAATTTTAATTGTGTAACTGTTGGCTCTTTTTAAATGTTAAACTCTTGTTTGGGTTTGGCATTAGAAACGATTGGCTACAGTCTTTGTAGCTAACTCTGTCCCATGTAAAGTATATTTTTCCTCAAAATAACATTGCTAGGGTAGAATATATTTTGTAGAATGCTGGTGTCTTATTTGTTACTTTTTACTACAACACGCATTCACTATTCTACACTTGTGAAAATATGGAAATTATAGAGAATAAGAAGGTTTTGGCCTCAAATAAAAATAAGCAATCTAAGTCATGAATGTCTAACTAATCCTTTTTTTTTTTCTTATTATGTCAGCATTCACGGTCTTATGTGTCCTAAAGATAGCATCAACATACTAAGTCACAGCTTAAGCAAAACGATTGGCATGAAGCTAGGCAGAAAGAAATACGTGCATTTATAAAAACAATAAAACTCTACTGAGTTTCTAACATTTGTCAGACACCATCCTGGTTGAGAGTCAAAAAATAAAATAAAATAAAATAAGACCTAGTCATCACGCTCAAGAAGTTGACTTGAGATCTTTCTTGGAGTCCACAAATAGATTTACGGTGTTCATAAGCCTGTGCTCATGTAAAGAAGTATGCTAAAGGTATGTGTATTTTTCCAGAGAAGGGGTCTACAAATTTCATCAGATTTTCAAATGGGTTCATGACCACAAACTGTTTAAGGGCCACTTGTCCAAATGCAAACCTGCAAATGCGGGCTAGAAAACTGACAACTTAGTGCAGGTGCATGGTCCCTTTTTCCCCGAATCTTTCCACTTCTAACCTCTTGCTAGATTACTAACCAGAAGATGCTGAAGGGATGGGTGGCGAAGTATGGGAAGAGAGATATTGGAACATAGCCTCACTCTAATTCTGCAAACTAAGCTTTGCCACCAGTTTTAATTGTGTCCATTTTCTTGTTGGTGCTACATATGATTAATCCTTATTTTTCTACTACAGATCATAGAGTAAACAATATTAGCAGATTCCAATTTTCTCCTGCAAAATGTTATCTTTGCTTTACATAATGGTTACAAGGAGTATTGTCAGTTGGCATTTAACTAATGAAAACAGTAAATTCCTAATTGCCTTTATAGTGATATCTTAATTATATACATGATTTGGGAAAAAAAAAAAGAAAAATTATTTCATAGATCAAATCCCATTAAAACGACTCCAAGAAGAAAAGTTATTTCACCAGACATAGGTTTTATTTGCAGTGTTTCTTAAAATAAATGTGCCAGCTAGAGGTTAGTAATCTTTTATTTATAGAGAGATTTTCATAGTGATAGTGTACATTGCACTGGGATTTGACATGTATTACTTACACAGTTATTTTCTTTGTTTTTTTTAAGAGAAAATGAATATACTCCAAGATAGGCAACAAATATAACCACTTTCCAATACAGATTTCACATGCAAAACTAAGAATTACTACCAAGAACATGAAAATGTGATCAGTCTGCTGAGCTCTGACATACTTATCAAACTCTGTGCTTCAGGAATTGTAAGAAACATCCATTAATCATTAAAGGGACTTTTAAAAGCAGCAAATCTTGCTGAAAGGGATAATTACTTTAAATTATTTTCAAATTGTAATTTTGGACTGTGTGTTATCAAAAACAGAAATACTGCCTTAGTCTCCAAATGAATAATATATAATATTCTTCTTCTTTCTTATATATCCTATTCCCAGATATGTTTTTATGGAATACTTGCCACTCTAATTCAAGCTGAAAACTTGAAAAAAAAAAGGATAAAGTAGGGCAACATTTCTCCTCATCAACACTGACCACAAGCTGTATAATTATTTGATTTTTGGCCCTCTTCTACCACCCTCTCAACATATTATTCATCTCATGAGTAGATCCAAGACACTGAATTAGAATCTTCCTTGCTGGTATAATTTCCTAGTTAGCAAAGATGCTTATTTAAATTCCAATAGTGCTCCTCCTTTCTGCTATGAACTCACAAAGTTCCTTCTATAGGAAAAAAAAAAAGAGATGACTCAGATGGAAGCCGACAATGTGTGGTGGCTATCAATATGATTTTTTTTTTTGGCTCTTCCCTACTTGTCTTTCATTGGCAAGTAACAACAAATTGAAAATGTAAAAGAAAATATTATCAACTTAGTAATTCCCTTTGTGTAGAGTAAGAAGTGCATTATGGATTTTGGCACAGTTTTGATCTAAAGTATTGTTCTAATATCAGACCTTACATTAGGCAATACATAAAACTTCATGTGATAATTTTGCTTAGGAATATATGATCTATATATTTACATAGAAAATCTTTTGGAAGTAAAATACTATTTACTGAAATCTACTTTCTCTTTCTGCTACTTCTTTATTCCCAACTGTAGAAAAGTAATGTTCAATAATTCTGAATATTAGAATATTTAGAACAAAAAAATGTGTATTCTGGAAGACAAGCTGGTATTCAAACAAGAATTTTACTAAAAGTAGCTCAATTCACCTTATATCTTATAAATCATAGTAGCTAAACCCATAACCTAATGAATGTCAATATATTCACAGAAAAGTGAGATAATGAATTCCTAGAATCTGGTCTGATATATCCTGCCATGTAACCATAGCAATTCTAGCCAGAAGGGATTGTGTGAAAAGAAAGCTGAAAATGTCCACCTGAAAAATGCATTAATTTTTTAATTGTTATGCAAGATTTCCTTGCCTAAAAAAGCTTACCCCACATAAGCACAGATGGTGAACCTGAGTTTTTCTGTCAAGGTATATTTGGGGAAATAATCTTGGATCTAAATTTGTCTGTGAAGGTATATTTGGGAAAATAATCTTAGATCTGAATTTGTCTGTGAAGGTACATTTGGGAAAACAACCTTGATTCTGAATTTGTCTGTGAAGGTATATTTGTGGAAATAATCTTGCTAAAGTCTAAGATCACGAATGACACCTGAAAAACTTACTTTTCCCAAGTTTCCCAAATTAGGCATAACTATTCTAAATTGTTTAGATATCAGACCATTGTCTCTCTAGACCTCAATAATACTGCTTCATATAGTTCAACAGATTAAATATTTCCTACTGGATAAAGTACCTGGGGAATATAATGGTAGTCCTGGCCAGGCGTAGGGGCTCATGTCAGTAATCCCAGCACTTTGGGAGGCTGGCCGAGGTGGGTAGATCGCCTGAGCCCAGGCGTTTGAGACCAGCATGGGCAACATGGCAAGACCCAATCTCTAAAAAAAAAAAAAAAAAAAAAAAAAAAAAAAAAGCCAGGCAGAGTGGTGTGCACCTGTAGTCCCAGTTACATGAGAGGCTGAGGTGGGAGGATCACCTGAGGCCAGGGAGGTTGAGGCTGCAGTAGGCCAAGACTGAGCCACTACACTTCAGCCTGGACACAGAGTGAGATGCTGTCTCAGGAAAAAATAAATAAATAAATAAATAAATACACACACACACACACACACACGTATATATATACACACACACATATGTACATATATGTATATATACACACATATGTATATATACACATATGTATATATACACACATATGTATATATACACACATATGTATATACGTATATATGTATATATACACACATATGTATATACGTATATATGTATATATACACACATATGTATATACGTATATATGTATATATACACACATATGTATATACGTATATATGTATATATACACACATATGTATATATGTATATATACACACATATGTATATACGTATATATGTATATATACACACATGTGTATATATATATACACATATGTATATATGTATATATACACACATATGTATATATGTGTATGTATATATACACACATATGTATATATACACATATATATGTATATATACACACATACTTATATATACACATATATATGTATATATACACATATGTATACATGTGTATATATATACACACATCTATACACATATATATACACATATGTGTATATATATACCTATATATATTTTTTTTCCTGAGACAGCATCTCACTGTTTTATATATATATAAAATGATCGTCCTGTTAACTAATGAGGCATATCTTCCAAAATGCTAATAAGATCCTGTCTTCATAAATTGCAAAACTGGACATTTCAGATCAATAGAAATAGAAAAATGCAATGCAATGTTCTTAGGCCTAGTTCCATTGTTACTACTTCATTGTGGGGAAAATTTGTAGGGACTAATACAGTCTTATTGTTATCGGTAATTGAACTTACTTGGTCTTTCACCCTGTGATCAGTAGTCAGGTATTGATTAGTCTGCCTGAGCTCAGTATAATTTGTCTTCCATTGGACCTGCACTATAATGTAAATGGGGTAAGTAAATAATGATTTATGGTAGAACAGGTCGAAATCCCCTGCAAAGGGAATAAGAATGAGTATGTATACCCCTATCCATGTAACATTTATCTTAAATATTTGAGATCACTTTTAGCCAAATTATAGAGAGCAAATAATAAGCATTTTCTTACAAGCAGATAACAGGTATTTATCATATATGTTCTTAGAAATGTAGCTTTGTTATCTAGTTATTGATATAAAGAAGCTATAGATCATGTACAAAAAAACATGGACAATTTTGGGACACCTACTCCTAGTTTTTACTGGTAGTAGCTCCACTAACAAGTTATCTTTTTTCATTTATCTAAGATTATGTTTTGTAAGTATGAAGGTGCATTCCTTAAAGATAAAGATATTTTGGGTAGGGTAACGACACATAACGGGTTATTAAGCCATTTTTATTTCATATGGTTTATTATTGTTTCCATGCTAAAAATATTAACAGCATGAGGTTTGAATCTTTGTCCATTTCTTTGTGTTTTAGAGCATGTCCAAGATTGGGTTCCCATGTATAATCTTGATCTCCTCCACAGGTAAAAATAGATCCTGAATAAAACAGACTAGGATCCAATATGAGAGTCTTGTCATGAGCCATTATTGCATCCAGACAATGACTGTTTCAACATCTGTAGCTCTGTAAAATTTTTGTTAGTGGCGATAATTTTTCTTTGGTTTCATTTTTTGACTTGTTGAAAATTTTGAAATTTTCACTGTTGCAGCACAATGGCTTGAATTGTCCAATGTATGTAGTATTTTTTCATGCTTTTTTCACCATTACTGTTTTTTTTTTTTTCTTCTTTTGGTCTTTTGGGAAAAGCAGGCCCATGTCCTGTGATGCTGTTTATTCCCATCAGCTCAAACTGGAACAGAGTGTGGTGTCCTTCTCTTTCAGTGTGCACCTTGTCAAGGCCTTAGTATTCATTGAAAGGATGTTAACATTAGGCAAAGATGTGCTAATCTTTGGAGAATATGGCTTTATACTTGTGGCCACATAGAGTAATTGCTCTCCAGATAATCATTGGTAAGTATAACTTTGAAGTATCTGCACTTGAATTCCTATTCAACGACTAATTGGGAGAAATAATATTTGTGGAGTTTTGCCTAAGAAGGATAGGTTCTAAAATTTATTCATAGATTAAGGTGGTAATCAAAAAGCTATCTCCCTGTTATTGGAATGGCATCTTATTGAATTTATTTTTAAATTTTTTTTTTACTTCCCTGCTCTTCAGGTTATATTGAAAGCTGTTATAAGTAAAAGCCTTATGAATGAATGCTATGTGTACCAAAGAGATGTTCCTTATACCTCACCGTGATGCTCTGAGATAGCTCATGGCAGAAATGCTACTTTATTCTGAATAACAGGATCAGAGTACTGAGAAAAGTAAGTTTTAACCTATGAACTATGAAATGAATAACTGATTCTGTTTCTCTAGATATATTGGCTTTCAGAAATCTTAGAAATAAATTTTTGACATGCTCTGAAAGTATATGAAAATCATATTACAAATTTTATGATCTAACCTCACCTCTGACTGCATCCTACTCTTCTCTTGTTTATTTTGTTCTTCCTATCTATCTTGGTGTTCTGAATACTCCTCCATAAGCCACTTCAAATCCGTTTTAACATAAAATAGAATATTAATAATAAATGATGTTTGAATGCCTTTTCACTTTATAAAGGCTTTCTCAAAACAATGACTAAGCAAGAGATATGGATCTGATGTTGTCATACTTTAGGATCTTTGTGAAACGAATTCAAACAAGACAGAGTTTAGAGTGCAAGATGTTTATTAGGAAATATCCTTGTGATCAGCCGCTGGGGACGGAAGAAGAAGGAGATGGGTTTGAATATAGTAAGAAGTAGAGCTGCAATGGAGTCTGGACAATAGCCTCAGCTGCCCATGAGGAGCTCTGAACCTAAAATGGCCCATCAAAGCTGTCCTACATTGGGCTAAAAGGAAAAGGTCTTTATACTCCTTGCCTCAAGCAGTCATTGGGTGTTGGCTGCTCTAGGCAGGGCTTGACTTCAGCAAGGAGGCTCTCTGCAGCTGAGGCTATCCTCAAAAGGGCCCGGAATGTTGTCTTCTAACTACACTCCCAGGTTCTAGAGAAATAAGCCCACCCTTGATAAGGGAAGTGTAGCACCCCACCTATTACAAATACTCTAGGTGAGTTATGTACCCTAAGGAAATTACAATACCCTGGAGAAGTTAAATACCTTTGAGAAGTTATTTTGATTATAGAGTTATGTGCTAGTCAAATCTCCTCCTACTCTGACCAGAGAAAACTTAGAGTGTATTTCCTTGAAAGGGAATGAGTTGAACACTAAACATTTCATATGTTTATTTAATACACGCTATCTATGAGTGTCTAATTTGTGCTCTATACAATCTAGACTTTAAACGTCATGGAGAACTAAAAGTAGGAACCATGTCTTAGTCCATTTTATGTTGTTATAACAGAATTTCCCAGATCGGGTAATTTATAATGAACAGAAACTTATTTGGCTCATATTTTTGGGGGCTGAGAAGTCCAACAGCATAGTACCAGCATCTTCCAAGAGCGTTTGTGCTGCATCATCCCATGACAGAAAACAGATGGACAAGAACAAGAAAGCAAGAGGGGGCCTAACTCACTTTTATAACAAACCCACTCTCACAACAACTAACCCAATCCCATGACAGCAACATTAGCCCATTCATGAGAGCTCTCATGAATGAATAACCAGCTTTTATTTGACTGCACCTCAAACATTGTTCCTTTCAAGATTAATTTTCCAACACATGAACTTTGGGGGACACATTCTAACCATAGCACAATTCCTGACATATATTCAAATGGGCAGTGTCTATATTTCATGTTTCTCAACATTACAGTATTGTAATAAGGAGCTCTTGCTTCATAACAAGTCCTCCAGCCTCACACACTTTTATACTTATAAACAAAGAAATTAGTTCTTAGTAAATATATCACATAGTTCAAAACAGTGAATAATAGGTCATTTGATTTATCAAAACCATGTTATATATAGGTAATGAAAAAAATTATTTTATTATTAAGTCTATTAGTCAGTTTCAACCCTTTTAAAGCCAGGCTCCAAATTATCACATTCTCCAAATTTCATAAATACATAGGTTGCTCAGCTCCATTGGATAAAGAAAAAATATAAAGAGAAATGAAATGTACTTGTGGAGTAAGTAGTAACAGGAGCTATATGTAAACATTAGTTTGCATGGTGTTCAATAAAAGTTATAAAATATTTTTCTTTTTTAACTTAAATATTTGTTCCCATTAAATCAAAGCAAATAATTGACGTGGGATTTTTGTTATTTTTTTATTTGTTTTGTTTTTTTTTGTTGTTGTCATTTGTCTTTTTTTGACTGGTGTGGACCTTAAAGACCTTCTTGTCTTATGTCTCTTTTGAAATGAGAAAGCCAGAGTTCAGAGAGACTTAATAATTGCCTAGTTTATGCAGGACAATTCCAGATTAGAATGCGGGTTTTCCTATTCCTACTTTAGTGTTTTCCCTCCTCCACTGCTCCATTTATTTATATTAATAGCTCTAAGAAATCAATAGCACTAATAAATTTCTCAAACATAGTGTCTGTGTTGATAATATATCCCCTTTTTATCCCTTTTCAAAATGATTTAAAAAAAATAGTTCCCTGGAGTACATGCAACAATTGAAGATGAGCTTTGTTTTTACCAGCCAATGTATGTTTGACATCAGTGATTAATACAGTCTTCCCTCAGTTGCTAAGCTTCTTTATCTTGGTGAATAAAGGATTGTCAGATTGTTAGGCAAAGAGCATATGCTTCAAAACTATGCTGATACCCCTGAGCATCAGACAATCTCACAAATTTAGGGACTGAAGAGGTGTACACATCAGTTTACTTTTGTTCATTGAGAAGAAATGTAGCTTAAGTGGGGTTGACTTTTTATGACATTTATTTAGTACTTGAATTGACTGACAAGCCTATTAATGTATTCCCTGAACTTTATTAATGTAATTTGAAAACCGCCTACATGTCAATCAACTTCTAATAAGTAATTATGTTCATAAATACTGTAAAATTATTAGCTTTTAATTTTATCCAATCTTATACTTTCAAAACAGTAACATGGATTTTTCTTTTTCTAGAGGAATAAAATATTAAACTGAAGGAACATTCAATAAGTACATTCGTAACTGCTCAAAAGTTCACCATCGTCTAATGACCAGCAAAAAAGAGTACTATAGTAAGACATGTAGCAGTTTTAAAAACGTGAACAATATTAAACAACCTATGTAATATAAAGTTATTTTAAAAATCCTATGAGAATTAAACATGTACCTAGGCTGGTCTTAAATACCGATAGTCTGGGTATTTAAAATATAGACCTAATATGGAACAAGAGAGAATGGAAAAAGGAAAATGGAATATATTTATTCTTCAGAAATATATCATTTAAACCTACAAGTTTAAAATGTACAAGCCAAATGTCTGTGTCTTAAGTAACTCGAACATATTATTGTTCAAGTATACTTTCTTTTTTCACATAATGAAAATCTTTTAGAGTCTTTGAGCTAGAAACTCAAGTCAAAGGGCAGAGAACTGAACAAGAGAACAAGATTAAGCTTGAATAACATAAGAAATGTGTTTTGTCTTACAATCTCATGTCGGTTTCTGAAGGTGGATTAACTCCCACCCTCTGGAGTCCCTGAATAATCTCTGATTAAAGATGAACTTTTGTGAAAATGTTATTATATTCTGATATACCACTTTTAAATAATGAACATCATCACAGCCTACAATAATCTGTAAAAAAAAGAAAAATCACTGAGGAAATTCATTGACTTATTTTTCAATTTATACTTTCCTCCTTAAAGTTAATTGTTTAAGAAGTTTAACCTCATCACAAAGTTAAAATATTTACTGTACTAACAATTGAAGGTGTGTTTGAATTCAAGTTTACCTTTACATAAGGAAATAAAGCTCAGTTAATAAGTCTATAGATTAACAATCTTTTTCAGACTTAAGCTATGCACCTAAGTTAATTTTAAGCCTTGACTTATTGAAGGGTAAACTCAAAGAGAGTACAGCTGACTTTCTCACTCAACTTTCCTATTAGGAATAAAACATGCATGCTCTGGCACCACATTATCACATAATTTGTTATTAATTTTACTTAGAAATAAGGCAACTTCAGTTTTAGTTCCACAGAGCATAATATTTCTAAACAACCAACACACGATTAATTTATAAAGCAGAAAGAAATAATGTAAAAGGTAAAAAATAAACGTTTTCCATTCTCCTAGCATAATAATTAAATTTTTCTTGAAAACCATTTGTATTTTAGGGGACTTATGCTCTTACATTTTAATATGGAAGAGAAATAAAATAATTTGATGATTCTGTTTGTATCTGGAGATTGAAAGTTAGCTAGCATAATTCATGATCTACTGAAAGTAAATCAAATATAAACCATTGTGTACATATTTTCTCAATTACTCTATATTTAAATAAAGAAATCCTAGAAGGCTGCTACTTTTCATTGTGACTTGAATCAAAGTAAACAGAGGTTGGATTGAGACAGAGTATTTGAATGCTTGGAGGATTGCATTTAAAGAGTTACTGTGCATATTTCAAAAAGTTCTAATATTTTCATGTATCTATTGTAGGTTTCAAACATTTAATGTGTCAATCATGGGCTCCCAAAGATTTATTGAAGGGATGAATCAAAGGAAGATATGAGGTGAATCAGTTACAAATGTCATAATATGGTGTTAATGGATATTTCTTTATCTTTGTAAGTAGGGATTTGTATGCCTGTAATAGTCATTACACTTCTTAATGACTACAATACTTGCATACCTTTTTTTAAATGTGTGTATGTGTGTGCGCGTGTGTGTTTCAACTGAAAGCCAGTCAAAAGACTTTTTCATTCTGTCTGTATGACTCTTAATGACTTTCTGATGTCTAGGAATGTAAATTCCTGAAAACTATGACAATATAATTCAACAAATATTTCAATGACAACAAATATTTCAACATTGTTAACTGCTTCCTAGTCATTTTGATACCTAAATATTAAATATTTCTAAGCACAGTCTTTCACAATATAGCAGTTCTGAAAATACATACCTTGCACAGTTAGATGCACCTGCATTGTTCTGGGTGTATGTTGAGTCTGAACAGAACACGTGTATGGGCCATCATCTGTCACATCTACATTCTGTATCTGGAGGCTGTAGTCCCTTTTATTCAATGTTGAAATTGAAACTCGAGGATCCACTGACCACTTATCACCTCCCGCAAAAATAATACTTGACCGGTTCAGCCAGGCACCCTTTGAAGCTCCATCTTCCAAATAACACCTACAAATTACAAGAGATACAACACTATTAATCAAAATAAAAATGAGAGACAACATTATTTTGTTCTGAGTGTTTTTTTCTTTTGCTGAATAATAGCACAGCATCAAATGCAAACATCAGACATTAACTCAGGAAACATGAACATACTGATGCATCTTCCATTCCCAATGCAAATGTGAAACAATACTTGTGTACAGTTTTTTTAAGTGTGTAGTGTGTGTGTGTGTGTGTGTGTGCATGTTCGTGTGTGTGTGTTTCAACTGAAAGTTAGTCAAAAGCCTTTTTCATTCTGTCTGGATGACACATCTAAATAAAGCTAAATTAGTTTACACAATTTTCTGCATTAAAGCCTATTTCATTGTTTGAAATTATGAGAAGCAGTAAAGGTCATGATTTAGACTGACCTGACCCAATCTGATACTGAATATAATGTACCAGATGCAGAAATCATAGACTCATATAAGGGTGGGTTTATTTATTTATTTATTTGTTTCTTTCTTTATTTGAGGCAGGGTCTTACTCTGTCGCCCAGGCTGGAATGCGGTGGAAAAATCTTGGCTCACTGCAACTTCCACCTGTTGGGTTCAAGCAATTCTCCTGTCTCAGCCTCCCTAGTAGCTGGGATTACAAGCGCCTGCCACTGTGCCCAGCTAATTTTTGTATTTATATTGGAGAGGGGGTTTCACTGTGTTGGCCAGACTGGTCTTGAACTCCTGACCTCAGGCGATCCTCCTGCCTTCACCTCCCAAAGTGCTGGGATTACAGGCTTGAGCCACCATGCCCGGCCTATAAGGGTTTACTTTTAAAATAGCTTGCATTTGCACAGTGGTAAGCTTGTACACTGAAACTGTAAACTATGTTTCACTGATAAAACTATAAACTATGTTTACTGATTGCTGTAGTCATTAGATATAAAAAAGCTAGTATAACACTTTTATTAATAATGTTGCTTGTTTTTGCAATTTATTGATCAATACTTTTTTATAAAGCATTCATTTAGCTAGCAAACATTTATAAGATATCTATGGATTTAAACAGGTATTGTCTGTTGCTGTCTACAAGTTTTAGTCTAGCGAGGAAGACACAAGAGCAAACCAATTATTACCATACAGAAAGGAGAATATTTTTATGAAATCACACACAGGATGCATGAGAGATCAAAGAGAGTTACTTGACTCAGGGCGTTGAAGGCATAAAGGCCTTCTGAAATAGGCAATGTCTGAGATAAAGAGATAAGTATTGTAAGATATGGCATTCTAGACAGAGATGCTATATGTGGGCAACACCAGGTAAACATGAGAGAAATAGGAATTTCAGGGAACTACAAATAACCATGAGATATATGGTAAAAGGCATGAGAGATGGAATTGGAGAAATAAAACTGGATCCACATGATGATGACAAGCGTAATGACAATTACTGGATTTTAAGGTCAAATTTGCAGCCATTTATTTAGTCATATTCTGTAACAGGTTTCAAAAATACAGCATTGTGTTTAATAGTAGTCAGGCACATCAAGCTTTAGAACAGAAGAAGGCTGTGGTCATATACCAGTGATTTTGCTGAGGCCTGGAATTCTGTTTCATCTTGAAAATGTTCTGTTACAAATTAAAGACTGGTTTTCTTAAATGAGTACAAAGCACAGCTACAGAACGAAAACACACATACATAAAAATAGTTTGACAGCATTTCCACAGAACACCTTGGGGGATTGAACACAGTGTTTGAGATTGCTACAAAATTGTAAGCTGAAAGCAACAGGGTGGGCTGCTGTCAACTGTATGAAACTAATCAGTGGGTGAAAAAGTAAGGAACAAGGTACATTGCAGAATCTAATTTGCAGTCAGCTTTGCCATCTACAGAAACCAAAACGGAAGTCATAAAGGTCACTGTTAATTGAAAAGCTTGTCCTTATGTATTTAATAAAGAAAATAAAACCCCTTTAATGATGTAATTAAATAATTCCAGCATATTGTCATTCTTAACAATATGCAGAAAGAAGATAGAGGGTACATATTTCCCATTTCACAGATCACATTTGTGCTGGTACAGGACAGAACTCTGAAATATCAACTGCTAGGACTGTGATAATTCTAGTGTGTCATTTAGTATCTGCATTCATCAAGTGTTTCTGTGTGACCACTGCATCTATGGCCTTCGTATGTTTTTCTATTGCGTGTTCATAACAACTCTTTCAGGGTATAGATTGCAAAGCTCTTGATCACTAGAAAATAAATGGAGATGTTTAGGTTAAATGACTGGCCTAAGCCACGATATTAGTGGGTGCCAATGTTGAATTCATAATCAAGTCTTCTCTTTCCACATTCAACATCCTTTCCACTGTAATGCAGATCAAAGACTTTTAAAATAGGTTTCAGAAATGGGAAAATGATTAGAATGTTGCAGAAATTACTGCAAGTAATTTCTTATTTACTGAATGTGACCAACTGCTTAACCTGTCCTAGTATAAAGGAAGCAGAAAATTAATTATTAGTGGATGTTTTACCATGAAAGTCTGATTTAGAATGCTCTATTGGGCATTTCCATTTCCCCAGAGGCAGTAGCAGCTTTACCTTTATTTGGGGGGTATTAGGGAAGACTGCAGAGATTAACCAGTAGTCTTAGCATAAGCACTGTTCCTCAATTCTGGCATGACATGGGCTGCCACAGAAGAATGGAATTCAATTTCTTCATGATGAAAAAAATGAAAAAAGGGATCATTTATGTCTCCTTGGCTTCAATAACTCTATTTTGTAATAGCCAGTGTTCCCAACTCAAAGTTTTTTAAGATACACATTAGTAATACTCTTGAATGACAATCAGAAAAAAAAATATTTTCCTTTTGGAAATTTTGCTGAATTTTGTAGAATTATTCTCAAATGTTCTACATTATTATGTTAGAACATAAATAACCCAAATTACCATACATGGAATTTTACAAATTTTGAATAGCAAGTCTACGTAGACTTGGCTATGTTATGAAATCATATAGAGAATACATGTAGTTTAAAGGTCTAGTATGAGATGACTACATAGACTATGTGAATAGGCCAAACATACACACATACACACACACACAGCTGTATGCATGTGTAGGTGTTTTTTTTTTTTTTTTTTTTGGTCATTATAAAGATTCCTTGAGAATAAGAACTATGTCTTCTTCCTCTGTACCTCCTTTTCATTCTCCATCTACATTCTATTTTTTCCTTTGCAATACAAAGAGATATTGCTTGACATGTGTATGCTGTATTAAGAAATTTTGTAAGGAGGGAAGCTATGTAGGGTACAATGGGGTGGAGGGTGAGAGCCAAGTAGAGGAGCATGATAGCAATTTATTTTTGTACTCTTTGGGTACCAACATTTTTTTTTCTTGGTTTAAAACGTCTAGTGTCTACAAATATAAATTTGTTGGAATCCTGGCCCAAACAGAATTTATAATTTAGCAAGGATGATAAAGCATGCGCATGAACAGCCATCATGCAGAACAGGGAGTGAAAAATGTAGTAATTAAATTGTCATTATAATTGGATTATTGAGATTCTCTGAGAGTCTCTGGCTTCTGCCCTTGACCCTTGTAGCCAGGTCCATTCTTCCCACAATAAGCAGAATGAACATTTTAGAGTTCAAATCAGATCATCAACAACTCCAGGCCTTCTATTTAATTCATAAGAAAATTTATAATTTTGATAGTAGTCAACACAGCCTTATAGAGTCTGGTCCCCTGATGCTTTTCTGACTTTACCTCCCACTCCTATTTTCCACTTTACTCTGCTCTAGGCTGGGGTCCTTTAGCTGTGCTTCCAACAAGTCAGGCATTCTCTTGCCTCAGTTAGTTTGTATTTGCTATTTCTTCCCTGCAACTTTTTTCCCCTAAAGTTCTACATAACTTGTTCCCTATCTTCCTTAGGTTTTCATTAAATGACCTAATGTATTAAACAGCAAAAATAGCGCGACTGTTCCCACACTCCCTTTATACATGTTATCTATTTACTTGATTGATTATTGTCTGTCTCTTTCCACTAGAAGCAAGATCCAGGAATTTTGTCTATTTGGTTGCTTCTATATATTCCAAGGGCCTAAAAATAATGAACAATAAATGTAAGCGTGTGTTGAGTGGATAAATGAAGGTAAAAATTAGGAAAATTTTGGAGAAAGGAATAATATGATAAAGTGTATCAAAATTCCCAAAGTGAGGCATAGTTGGAAAAGCAAAGTCACACCCATGTAAACTATAATTACATGTAATTAAATGCAGATATATGTAGTACAGACAATAACTGGTGAATGATACAGAGGATGTGCTAAGCAATCTAAATCAGTAAGTGAAGAACTAAGCTAAGAATTCAGTGATCAGAAAAAAAGGCAAGTCAGGGGCAGGGGTGGGCAGAGTGCCGGTGGCAGATCAAGAAAATCATTCATACACATAGCTACTTGAAATAAGAAAGAACTACAACATTTGACTCTACACTTCCGAAACCCTTTTAAACCATTAGACATTCTGCTTAGTATGTGCTAGGAGGTTTGCTAGGCATTTTACATTTATTATACCATTTAAGCCTCACATAACCCTATGAGCCAGATACTACTATTATCTTAATTTTTTAGATGAAGAAGCAAAGGTACTGGCAGGTTGTGATTGAACAAAGCCAGTTGGCTTGCATTCTTAACCACAGTGACAGACTATGCTAGTATTTTTAGAGTCAGGCAGCAGCAAGTCAGGGGGACTACCTGTTTAGAATGGAGGAATTAGGGTGTAAGGGGGAGTTCAGTGAAGTGAGGGTGGTCAGATCATTAATGGGACAGCATGAAGTAACAGTTCTCTGGTCACAAATTCAGATCTTTTTTCTTTGGACTTCAAAATGGAACATTTTAGCAGCAAGTGATCTTAAGGTCCCTTTGAAATATAGACAATGAAATAATCTGAATAAAAATGTTCAATAATAAATATATCCTTTAATCGAGTATGGCATAGCTTTCCTTGATAGTGGTTTTTATCTTTCACTTTAAAAATCTGCTAGACTACCTATTTTGCAAGGAGATGAATAAAACAGTTCCAAAAATACACTCTTCAGCATATGCTCTGTTGACACTATACCAAATATCATGATAAATACTTAAATTTTCAGTCAGTCATCTGGATATTTTGTGCACATAGTTCCAAACATCTGGCTATTGGAAAATACATAGGAAATAGCTTGAACATTTCTTTTTGCTTCATGGTTTTAATTATATAAACCCAGGCTAACAATATTTAATTCTTTTCTAATAAGAATGGCACTGCTGCCTAAATTCTTTTTAGGGGCCCCCTTAAAGGATGTTACTACGCATTAGGCAGGTCTCTGTTTTGGGGGTATGAAGTCCCATTGGGTGAGATGCTATTTGATCAAACTGTTAGGAAAATTCTAACAGAATATGCCTGTGATACTAACTCCTGTGGTGATTAAATTGGAAAGGTGGACATCAGAGAGTGTAGCGAAAAATAGCATATTTAGGGTATTTGTTATTTTTTAAAGCTCAGTTAAGTCAAAAAGCCTGTGGCTGCTGAGGAATGATTTTGTCTACTTATATCTCAAATTCTTTGTTGCACAGTCCAAAAACATAAGCATTAGCACCATTACCAGTATTCCACACAGCAGAATTTATTCAGCTGTATGGAGAAAGAACAGCTTTCTCAAGACATTTTGATTAATGAAAGCTCCTATTAAAGGCACCAATTAATAAAAAATAAAAAGTACATTTTTCTCTTGGACTCAAAGCTAAACTGAGTGAAAATAATATTCCTATGAAGAGACTTACCAGCTACCTTTACTGCTGTCTCTTCATTGCATCATAAAGTCCTAAATTTGACAGAAGGAGAACTTTCAAAAGCATATTAACAGAGTTCAGAACCCCATAAAATCTCCATGCTGATTTTGCACACAAAGAGAGTTTTGATATCCCAATTTCAAGACCAAATGAGGTAAGGCAAGTGAAGCAGAGATTATATGGAAGAGAACAGAAATTTTACCATCTTTCTCCCCTACCTTTGTTTTTTAGGGCACTCTCTTCTTGATATCTTTCATGAGAGTTGATTCCTAGATAATATGTATGTATGTATACATAAATTGTATGGTTATATAAATATTTCCTAGATAATAATATCACTTTATATAATCTTATGATTGACAATATTTAAAATTCTCTTTTACAACTACTCAGACACAGAAATGGTTCTTATTATCTTTCTATTTTTGCAGGTGTGGCAGAGGTGGAAGACAGTGAAGGGTGGTGGGAAATCCATGGTAACAATTTGTCCAGTGAACTTCAATTATTTAATGAAGTCCTCATCCTTAGAGATGATAAGAATTGTATTTTAAAATATGTTCTGGTGATATCTAAGTGAGAACTGCACTTCAGCAGGTAACAGTTCAATACCGTTCAGTATACAATAGTAATATGTTAACATTACTATGCACCAGATACATTTTAAGCATGTTATGTATATTTTTCATTCAATCCTCAAAACAAGACTTTGAGTTAGGTTATATCAAAAACTATTATTATTATCATTATACCCATTTTACAATGAAGACACTGAGATGCATCTGTTAGTTAAGTAACTAACAGATGACTTGCTTATTAACATTTGTATTATATGAGAAAAACTTTATTATGAAATAATTACACTAAATCTTCAGGCCTTAGAACCAAAGTAATATCAATAAAACATGTACATTTATTTTCAAAATGGGAGTTATGCCAAGTTGGGTATATTTTACTTCTTGTGTAATAGCAAAAAAGAAAAAAAAAACAAGTAGCATTGGTTTCTTATTTTGTTGGAAAAAGAATTCTATTTTCTATGTATTTCACTCTAGCAATTTGGGATAATATGCTTATTTTTAAAATATTTTGGATACAAGATTGAAAACTATCAGCCACTATTGATTATAAGACCAAATCCTCGAACATCTTAAAACATTTTTACATTGTAAATTAGATGGGAAAAAAAACTGAAAATTAAGCTTTGTGAATTTTTCTTACTTTTTTCATGCAGAACTATACTTAACGCCTCTCTGAAATCTGTGAAGTTTAATGTAATCAAGTGATGGTATTAATTCATATAGTTTAGTTTTACTTTAATGCACAACTTAAAATTCTTTAAATCTATATATATATATATATATATATATATATTTTTTTTTTTTTTTTTTTTTTTTTTTTTTTTTTTTGAGACGGAGTCTCGCTCTGTCGCCCAGGCTGGAGTGCAGTGGCGGGATCTCGGCTCACTGCAAGCTCCGCCTCCCGGGTTCACGCCATTCTCCTGCCTCAGCCTCCCAAGTAGCTGGGACTACAGGCGCCCGCCACTACGCCCGGCTAATTTTTTTGTATTTTTAGTAGAGACGGGGTTTCACCGTTTTAGCCGGGATGGTCTCGATCTCCTGACCTCGTGATCCGCCCGCCTCGGCCTCCCAAAGTGCTGGGATTACAGGCGTGAGCCACCGCGCCCGGCCTAAATCTATATTTTTTAAGAGACAAATTCTTGCTCTGTCACCCAGGCTTGAGTACAGTGGAACGATCGTAGCTCACTGCAGCCTCGAACTCCTGGACTCAAGCAATCCTCCTGCCTCAGCCTCCCAAATATGAGTCACCATGCCTGGCCCTAAGTTTGTTTTATATATATATATAAGTATATATGTGTATATATATGTGTGTGTATATATATATGTGTATATATATACACACATACATATATATGTGTATATATATGTGTGTGTATATATATGTGTATATATATACACACATACATATATATGTATATTTATAAACTATACATATGTGTATGTGTGTGTATATATATATAAAACAAACTTAACTATACATATATGTATATTTATAAACAAACTATACATATATGTATAGTTAAGTTTGTTTTATGTATATACTCACACATACACACACATACATACACATGTATCATACACATATATACACATGTATCATACACATATTTACACATGTGTGTATAAAATATGAACTTAGAGCCATTTATATATATACATATATATGTATATATAACATTTTAAATGCCTGGGAAATCATTCAAATTTGGTTATGATTAAGTCACATTTTCAAACATTAAAATCACTCATTTTAACTCATAATTAAACTGTTTTTCTGCAATACCACAAATTGCTTTATCTTATTCTTTCCATTAATAAGAAGCTTCCAAGCAAGAATATATGTCTGTGTTAGGAGGGGCCATGCCAAACAATTTTTACATGTAAAGGGTGCTTCAATACATTATTTGTAAATAATTTAACATATAAATTAGCATTTATGAAGTAAAATAAGCATGGATAGAGTAAGAGAGATCTTGTACATTATGATTAAAGAAACTAACAAAGTCTGAATATCAAAATATCTTCATTTTTGGTCTGTTACTAATTACTATCCTCTTATCCCGATAATAAATTTCATTTGCAGAATGATTACTATGGGTTAAGAGGCATGGAAATATTTTTTAAATGTATGATCTCATTTAACACTCACAAAAACATTCTGAGAAGTAGATAGGTCTTATCATCTCTGCTCTAAGATTACTGAATGCATGAATACAAAATTGATAAATGAAGCAAAGAATGTAAAAGTCCTAAAAAAGAAAAAAAGGTGTTACAAATTTGAGTGGTTTAAGGCTAGCTTTGTTCCAATGGCTTTAAACATGAATTAAGCAGAAAATTTCTTTGTCATCTCTACTTTTTAATTTTTGAATTCAACTAAATCAGCTTGCTTTCTCCCACATGGACTTGATTGAATGTGAGATATTGGGATCTGGAAGGGCTTCAAGATTTTTGATAACTGGCAGGTGCTCTGAACCGCTGTGGGGAAAGTTCTGTCTGCAATACTGTCTCCCTGGCAGCTGCTTCCTGGAGAAGTTGGACTTTCACCTCAGGAGATACAAAGATAATGAAAACTACATTCAAAATGCATGCAGGAGGTGTTTAAAATAGCAGTATCAAAGACAGGGAATGCAATCAGATCCAGAGAAATGACTGAGATAAAGCTCTAGGCTCCAGACAAGCCTTTCTATTCCATCCTCTTTGGGATGGAGCCAGGTACATACACCTTATCCCTAAATTGAGGGAATAAAGGACATGGACTTCTCTAGTAAGAACAGTATCAGCAATTGCAGCTCGTCTCCCTTCCATCAGCCATCTTTGTGTTGAAGTCATTAAAAGTATTCTATTTGCATATATTAATAAATAGAGATTATAAAATAAGAAACATAACACGGATGGATATACGGAAAGGTTCTAAATTCATGTTTTGTAAAAATAATAAACTTATGCTACTTTACAGTATCACCAAATACAGACATTTAAAAAGCAAAATGAATTCTGTTCCCCACCTTCCCAACCCATCTGCTTATGTTGATCTTTAAGCATCCTGCCAGGCACTGCTGGATTTTTCTTATTGCAATTTTTCCTAATAAAAAATATTCTGAACACAAATTTTGTTTTATGAATAAAAAATGGTTACACAGTCAACTAATTAAAGCTAGCCTTGCAATCAGTTACTATAGTAGCCATTAACCCATATTTGTCTGTCTTCTCGAGAAAATGGACTAAACCATAATTCAGTATGAACTATGCCTTAAAATATAAATTAAGGAGTATACCCAAGAAGAAAAAAATTAATGTTTTTTTAAACAGCTTCCTGTAAAAAAATTAAACTTTATATTTTTGAAAGATGTTAAGTTAAAAATAGTCTCAAATTTGAGTCTTTGCTAGATCTTATTTTTTATTATAACTTTTCCTTAACAAACTGTGTAGTGTAATTATAGTTAATATTGAGTTCAAATGTCATCTTTCTTGTGTACTAGGCCTGGAACCTGGGCCAAGTTAATTTACCTTAGTTTTCTCACCTGTAAGATGGGGTTAGTAAAAGTACTTACTTGACAAAATTGTTATGAGGATTAAATTAATTAGTTTGTTTAACTTGTTTAGGACAGAAGGAGGTGCATGATAAGTATGCAATTCAGGTTAACTATTATTACCCTACATCCCTGTGGTTAACTTTCTGTTTGAAAACAATACTACTGCCAGTAATAACAATAACAAAAAACCCTATGTATAAAATATAATTAGAAGAAGGAAAAAAATAAAGAATTCAGAGTCTGGCTTGATGTAGCAAAACTTTATTTTTCTATACTGTCAGAGCACAGAGCTGGTTCACAGAACTAATTTTATAGGTAGCTAATTGTCATATGTAAAAGTACTTCATTCATTTACTCCCCTTTGAACTGCCACAAAAGTTTCTTTTTTTATACTTCCCCATCTTATAAGCAGAACATGTAGAAAAAGACAGCCTTGGTGTTATATTTTAAAAAGTTATAAAAGTTGTACTGGGACTGAAAACTTACATTCAGAAACCATATTCCTAGTTTACTAGCAACTGTTTTGGGCAAGTAATTCAACTTCTATAAAGAATTTAATAGTTGCAAAATTGAGATAATATCACCTGTGTTAAGTAGCTTCTATTTTGGTATAAGATCAAAGAGGCTGTGCATGGGAGATAGGTTTATAAAGTTATAAAGTGAATTATAAATGTAAACATTTTATAATTATTACAATGTTTTATAGGTTAATGCTCTTCATAACTCTAGGTTATGATTGTGAATTTCTATATAGAGACTGCATAAGCACACTGATCTTCCCAAGCCCATTAATGTAAGTAAAGGGTTACCAATTCTATTCGTTTCTTTTTTTTTGTGTGGGAGTGACAGGGTCTCACTCTGTCACTGAGGCTGGAGTGCAGTGATGCAATCATAGCTCAATGCAGACTTGACCTCCTGGGTTCAAGCGATCCACCCGCCTTAGCCTCTCTCCACATGTCCTACATTCCCGAATATCTGGGGCTACAGGTGCATGCCACCATGCCTGGCTAAATATTTTTATTTTTATATTTTGTAGAGACAGGGTCTATTATGTTGCCCAGGGTGGTCTCAACCTCAGTTTTTTTTCTTCTTGCTTGTATGGTTCATATAACAATTTTGTAAATTATGTACACCTTTGAACTCTCAAAAATTGCCACCTAAAATTTTCATCATAATCCAAGGTCTTTGCCAACCTATAATTTCTTACTACTATCAATATTGCTATTTTAAAATAAAACCGTAAGTTCTCAATTTTAAATATGTCCAAAGAAATCGAATTAAGAGTGATGTGATGTTCATTAACAGCCATTTAAAACAAGATGAACAAACTCTACTTTAAAATAAACGCTACGTTGCTTTTTCTCCTTAAACTGATATTATTCTACTTATCCCTCATAATTTGATCCTAATTTTTCTTTAAAGCCTTTTATTGATATCCTATCTTTTCTACTGTAAAATGCTGTATATAAATTAGCATTAAAATATGTCTTGTGAACATACAAATCTAAGTGAAAAAATATTCAAAAATAAAATAACTTTTATAATTATTAATAGTATATGATTGAACAACTTTTATATTTATATATGTATCCCACATTTTAATAAATATTTGTCCAGCACTTTGGAAGGCTGAGCTTGAGCTCAGGAGTTCAAGAGAAGCCTGGGCAACATAACAAAACCCCATCTCTACAACAAAAATTACATAACTTAGCTAGACATGGTGGTGTGCTCCTGTAGTCCTAGCTACTTAGGAGGTTGAGATGGAAGGATGGCTTGAGTCTTGAGTCTGGGAGGTGGAGGTTGCAGTGAGCTGAGATCACACCACTGGACTCCAGCCTGGGCAACAGAGCCAGATCCTGTCTCATACACACACACACACACACACACACACACACACACACACACACGTATATGTATATATATATGGATAACTTTATATAGTTAATATATATTATATATATAAATCATATATATAACTTAATATAGTTAATAATAGAGGTGTTAATGAATTGGTTTTATCTAGATACATGGAAAAACTTTCTTACTCAAATGGCAAAACTTTTTACTTACAGGAAATAAAGTCCAGAATGAATTCTTCCTAGATTTTGTTGGAATGGATTTTATGGACAGAAACCGTGAGAAAATCTGTTTTCATAAATAAGTCTATGGGAATGGAAGGTGTCCTATTTAAGCAATACTACTAATTCTTCAACTTGATGAGAGGGATACAACAAACAATTACAGGAATCTCACCCAAAATCATTCCTAATGCTTTATCAGTTGATGATGATACTATACACCCTGTAGATGTATAGAAAGCAAGTTGTAAACCACCTCTATTGCAAAAGAATTTAGCAACCTCTAGATATTGTTTTAACATCAACATTTTAAATAGCCTCTTTGTTTACTTTCTGCAAGTTTTAAACTTTGGGCCGTGGCCCATGGTATGATTCTACATGTTCAACAGGTTTTGTGAAAGGTGACAGTAAAAGCAGGAAGTAGGAACCAGAACCAGTCAAAATACAGACATTCTCCAGCAGGTTGGTCACTTAAAAAAAAAAAAATATGGAAATTAATGATCAATAAATTTCTTAGAACTATCTGTTCCTGCACAGTCCTTGGAAAGTCATCATGTACCTAAGTGTATTTATGTCTAAGATGCTGTATTTGGTATATTTTTCTAATGGTAAGCTACCAACATATTTGAGTAGTATTTCTCCACTTCTAATCTTCCCTTTCTATCTTCCTAGAGGTTGGGAAAGGAGACAACTGAATATATGTGAGAATTATTATAATATAAGTTTACACATTGAATATAGTGCCCCAAAGACAATCTTTCTGAAGAACACGGACTTTTAAAATACAGTTGCTTAAAAAATCTTTTCACTTTGTTCTATCTTGTGTAGATTTAAAGTTGCTTAAATTCTGTTAAAACAACAACTGGAATGTAGCACACTTTATTATAATTTCCATGGATCAGCGAATTAAAATATTTATGTTCTCTCTTGAAAATAAAAATTGTGCCCTATTCTACTAAATTCTATGGGCTTGAATATCGTTTGTATTTAGTCAATATTTATGTACTTTAGAAAAACTTAAGCTGATATCCATATATTATAAATATTTATTTTTAAATATGTGTTTGTAGTCTAGGGTTTCTTTTCATTTTGAGAAATATAAAAATATATCTTTATGATCAACTCTTTGTTATTGTTAAATATTTGCTTCTTCAAGGGATATGTGTGCTTCAAAAGGGGCGTGTGTGTGTGTGTGAGAGAGAGAGAGAGAGAGAGACAGGAGATATTTGGTACGAAAATGGACAAGACATGAAAATGAGTATTTATTATTACATGTATAGTAAAAAAAGTGACACACTTTGAATATGAAACCAATATATAATTTAAATTAATTTCATCTGAGCTCTTTCTTACAGAAAGTGCCAGAATCTCCCCACATATCGATGCCTCTCTTGCTAGAGGATCCATCCAGCAGCAGCATCTAGTGGACAGCTGGACCTGTCATATCTCACTGCCTTGCTGGCTCAGAAATGCGAGTACCTCTAAGGGATGTAAAATCCACTGCGATTTAGGAAAACCGTAAATTTCAACCATGACTTTCTGGCTGGAGTTGTCTTTACTAGATTGCTGCATATTTTTCGAGCCCCATGACTATCATCTCTCAAGGTCAGAATTTTGTGATATTAGTTATTACTTCCTTGAGTCACTCTAAAAAGTTAACCTGAAGAGGAAAAAAAATACACTATCACTCTAAACACAGGTGAACTGGAATCTGGGGGAAATACTGATATGGCTTCTTCAAGGATATTGTACTTTGGGTTCAGACTAACACAGGATTGAATCATAACTCTTCCTGTGACTTCTAGCCTGAGGAATTTAGGGACTAAATTTTTCTCAACCTTCACATTTGCTTCTTTAAAATGGGGATATGAATACGCACTTGAAAGGGCTATTTTGTGAGATGGACTGAAATGTCTCATGTGATAAGATCTAAGCACCTAACCTTAGATGTCATGTCTTTGGAAAGCTATCCCTGACATTTCCATTCAATGGCCTCAGACAGGTGTAATGGACCCTCCCTAAGGTTTGCACTGCCCTAGCATATTAGGCATCATTCTTTATTGCCCTGCACTGTTCAGTCACTCATTTAATCAATTATTGTCCTGCTAAACTGTACAAGACTCTGGCTTATTTTTCATTGTGAAGTGTAGTAAGAAGTTCAGTACCTGTCACGTAGTTGGTACTTAAAAAATAGTTTTTTGAATACTATAAGAACTCCAAATAAAATACTGTGTGACTGCTGCATAAAAGAAAAGATGACATATTCTACTGGAACAAAGAATAGGGTAAGAATAGGTCAGGGCAGGTTTAGTAGGAGAGGCAGCATTAACACCAGCCTTACTCTATTGTACTTTAGAACTTTTGTTTCAAATTATCCTAAATTGAAGCACACACAGCAATCTCTGGATTTCCTCTATGGTTCAAAAATTGAATATATAATTTGGAACAAATGGAACTGCCCACTGTCTAGAGAGTCTCCTTTTATCTTCTTGTTCATTTTACTTTAAAAATAACTTAGTGATACTAAATTCTAGCCTTGACACACTGAAAGGAGAACAAACTGCTTTCTGTCTTAGAAAAACAAATGGAAGCTGCTCATATAGTTTCGTTTTCTTTCCTATGTTTCTGGAACATGTAAGAAAAACTCAAGAGGCCAGGTAAAATAGATAAAGAATGGGTAAAGAGGCCGTATAAAGAAAATCTACATAAGTTAACAAATATTTTATTAAACTGAGGAAACCTTACTCATTTGGTTTTAATTTGACTCAAACAACATAATATTGTAATTATTATTCTTATGAATTCAAAGATGGGTTTTTTACATTTTTATTTCATGATCCAAACATGGTCTTGGTGAAATATCATTCCTGTTTATGTAGTTCAGAGTTCCTACTGTGTGGCAGTAACTCCTTCATTTCTTAGCAAGATACATATTTGTCATTCATTGTTCTTACATTTACCTGCATTTTGTGGATAAACACACTGGTAATCACTTTTAGTATAATTTGTAGCAAGCATAACACATAAGTAACATTATTAAATATAATAAATGCATGGGAATTATAAATTAGAGAAGAAGGAAAGAAAAAAGAATGCAAATTGAGTGCTTTTTGAAATTAAAAGTCTAAAGTGTACTGCTCCCTAAAATTCTATTTTACTTGAAATATTTTCATCCTCAAATACTGTTTCATTCTTGAACCGATTTCCTATGTAAAGAACTCCTTACTGCTTTCTCTATAGTTCTCTACCTTAGCCATTAATCTCTCACGTGAAGCTGTCAAAATCTTTTATGAAAATCAAAACCTACTATATCCACTTTTCTTATCTTTCACAGTGCATTATTTTCAAGCAGCCAAGCAAGTTAGTTAAGCACAAACTGCCTTGTAAAAGCCATGTTAGGAATACAGCCACACTTTCCTTAGCTTTTATTCTGTTACCAATATTTCACAATTGTCTTTGTAGTCAATACTAAACACAGAGGTCTATTGTTTCTGGCTGTGCTTGTCTCCTTAGGTCCTTAATTCCTGACTCGCTTCTGATGCAAAAGGACTACATGGATACCATACGATATATACACTTGCATCTTTTCTGTCTCTCTACTTGGACTCTCTAATTATGAACCTTTGAAAGAAACTATCACATTTTTCTTTTTGTTTTCTCTAAATCATTAATTTATCATATGTGTGTCTTCAGGATTTCAAGTCAACAGTGTACAATTATTTAATGGCCTCCTTTATTTTTCATGGACTTAGTACAAAAAATAGGCTATAAAATAAATATAAGATTTTAAGGACAGCTAATAGATTTTAAACTGGCATTTAGGAAAATGAATGGATTAATTTTTTTTGAAATGCACACTGCTCCAATAATTAGAGGAAACCATTTTTGGCAAAGTATACTTTTGATTTAGCCAAACACCAAATTCTCTTACATATAATGAGAAACAGTTGCCTTTCATCTTTACCAATGGCTGAAAGTCATCATTATCTAACAGATGCTCGGTGGCCCTTGTGAAATGAATTGGTCATCCCAATCAACTATTAATGGGCAGGCAACTGTAACAGGCAAATCATAACTATTACAACTAATTAAACTCGAGTTTTGTATTTACACAGACAGAACAAAGTGAAACTGAGATATAGCTATCAATTTTGTGAGGAAATAACAATACTTCAAAATGAATTAAAGGTTGTTATTCTGAGATAGCGTCTGAGTCAACTCCCCTTTCAATTCCTCCAACAATTTCTTTTTGAGTTCTGGCCATGCAAGTAGACTAGAAAATTTAAAAATATAAAAAATAGCTTCTTTTAATAAACTTACAATCTAGAAGACAGAATAAGCAAAATATTTACACAATAATTACCATGATAGACATGATAGAAGTACAGGCATACCTCATTTTATTGCACTTCATAGATATTCTGCTTTTTACAAGGTTAAGCTTTGTGCCAATCCTGTGTCAAGCAAGTCTGTTGGTGTCATTTTTCCAACAGCATGTGCTCACTTCATGTCTCTGTGCCATATTTTGGTAAATCTTGCAATATTTCAAATTTTTCATTATTATTATATGTTTTATGGTGGTCCATAATCAGTTATCTTTGATGTTACCATTATAATTTTTAGGGAGGCATTACAAACTATGCCCATACAAGACGGCTAAGTTAATAAATGTTGTCTGTGCTCTGACTTCCCCAACTACCAGTCATTCCCCATCTCTTTCTCTCTCCTTGGGCCTTTCTATTCCCCAAGATACAACAATTTTGCAATCAGACCAATTAAAAACCCTACAGCGATCTCTAAATGTTCAAGTGAAAGGAAGAGCATCACATCTCTCAATTTAAATCAGAAGCTAGAAATGATTAAGGTTAGTGAGGAAGGCGTGTCAAAAGACAAGACAGGTTAAAAGTTAGGTTTCTTGTCCCAAACAGTTAGCCAAATGGTGAATGTAAAGCTAAAGTTTTTAAAGGAAATTAAAATTGCTAATCCAGTGAACATATGAATGATAAGAAAGTTAAACAGCCTTTTTGCTGATATGAGGAAAATTTTAGTGGTCTGGATAGAAGACCAAACCAGCCACAACAGGCTATTAAACCAAAGCTTAATCCAGAGTATGGCTCTAACTATCTTCAGTTCTATGAAGGCTGAGAAAGGTGAGGAAGCTACAGAAGAAAAGTTTGAAGCTGGAACAGCTTGGTTCATTAGGTTTAAGAAAAGAAGCTGTCTCTATAACATAAAAGTGCAAGATGAGGCAGCAAATGCTGATATAGAAGCTGCAGCAAGTTATCCAGAAGATTTAGCTAAAATAATTGATGAAGATGTCTACATTAACATCAGATTTTCAGTGCAGATAAAACTGCCTTTTATTGGAAGAAGGTGCCACCTAGGACTTTCACGGCTAGAGAAGAGAAGTCAATACCTGGTTTCAAAGACTCAAAGGACAGGCTGACTCTCTTGTTGGGGACTAGTGTAACTGATGACTTTAAGTTGAAGCCAATGCTCATTTACCATACCCAAAATGCTAGGGACCTTAAGAATTATGCTAAATCTACTCTGCCAGTGATTTATAAATTGGACAACAAATCCTGGATGGCAGCACATTTTTTACAGCTTGATGCACAGAATATTTTAAGTCATAGTTAAGACCTACTGCTCAGGAAAAAAAAAAAAAAAAGGTTCTTTTCAAAATACTACTGCTTACTAACAGAAAATGCACCTAGTTGCTCAAGAGCTCTTATGGAGAATGTACAAGAAGATTAATGTTGCTTTGATGCCTAGTAACACAACACCCATAACATCCATTCTGCAGCTCATGATCAAGGAGTAATTTCAACTTTCAAGCCTTATTACTTAAGAAATACATTTTATAAAGCTATTGTTTCCACAGATAGTGATTTCTCTGACGGATATGGGCAAACTAAGTTAAACCGCCTGGAAAGGATTCTCCATTCCAGATATCATTGAGAATATTCGTAATTCATGAGAAGAGGTCAAAATATCAAGTGACTGGAGATGCGGTGGAAATAGTAAGACAACTATAACTAGAAGTGGAGCCTGAAGATGTGCCTGAATTGATGCAATCTCGTGATAAAGCTTGAAAAATGAGGAGCTGCTCTTTACAGATGAGCAAAGAAAGTCGTTTCTTGAGATGGTATCTACCCCTGGGGTAACTGCTGTGAATATTGTTGAAATGACAACAGAGGATTTAGACTATTACAAAAACTTATTTGATAAAACAACAACAGGATTTGAGAGGGCTGACTCCAATTTTGAAAGTTCTATTGTGGGTATGACGCTATCAAAAAGTATTGGATGGAATAAGGAAATCTTTCATGTCAGAAAGAGTCAATCAATGTAGCCAACTTCATTGTTGTCATATTTTAATAAATTGTCCAAGCCACCCTATCCTTCTGCAACCACCACTCTGACCAGTCAGTAAGCCCTTCACAAACAGAACAAAGGACTTGTTGAAGGCTCAAATGATAATTAGCATTTTTAATAAGAAAGTGTTTTATAATAAGTGATATACTTTTTTTTAGACATAATGCTATTGCATACTTAATAGATGACAACATAATGTAAACACAACTTTTGTTTATTGGTAAATTAAAAAAAATAATGTGACTTAATTGAGATATCCACTTTATCGCAGTGGTCTGGAAACTGATCCACAATACCTCCCAGGTAAGCCTATACCATAAGAGACATAATGGTTTATAGGACTTCAAGAAAGAAGAGATCATATTTCACTGCATTAGAATTTGTAAAATTAGCTGGGGAAATAGGAATGTGAAATGGTTCTTTATAGACAGGAATCATTTAGCGTTAGAAAAGAGGATGAATAAGAGCTGTCGACATAACAGTTCTCAGCAGGGGACACCAAGAGAAACACAGATAAAGAGACACAAAATAAGGAGTGAGGTTGTGGACTAGCATAAAATCTCATTTGATTCAATAGAGTGTATGAAAGAAGTGGGGATGAAAAGTTCCATAATTCGCTTGGAGGTAAATGATAGATGATTTTAGATGTCAACCTGTGAATTTCAGAATAATTTCAGTAGGCAAAAAGATGTTTCAGAGTACATAAGGTATATTATTAAAAAAAAGTTTAGGAGAAAGGCTTTTTTGATCATATCCTAAGAACTGGATAGTAAGCTATGATTCTATATATACTATGGAATTTAAATTATCATAGTAACCCTCTGAAGTATATATTATTATCCCATTCATATACCTGAAAAAAAGGAGGCTGCAGAGTTATCAATATATTTCCCAAGATAGGAGAATCAGAAAAAAAGAGTTCAGGATAATTCAAATATGTTATAAACTCAGATAATGAACTTTAACTTGAAGATGAGGAAAGTGTTGGAATAATTATCATTATTTCTAATGATCAATGCTTTTCTGACTTCCAAAAAGGAAATTGGAGAAATCAAGAAATTAAAAACACAAATCCATATAAGCACATTGCCAAAAATACAAGTACAATCATACAACCAATCCTAATAAAAAGTACTGCAGTCTTGTGGCTGTCAGCCACACACAGCTATGATCAAATAACAATTACCATCATCATTGCCATCATTTATTTTATGAAAATGTATATGGTGATAACCTAGATATTAATAAAATATGCAAAAGTAATTTATAGAGTTAATGTTGATAAATTTTACATGAGGAATAAATTTTACACACATCTCTAGAAAATTAATAGTTTAAAGCAACAAATTACATACAGGTAGATTTCGGATTTAACCTCAATTCCAACTGAATCCAAATTCTTGGCCCTTTGTACCATGCTTTACAGATTACTACAAAGTACAATTCTAAGATATCCTTCAAATTATCCATATGCCACTGGGAAATATTTTTGTGCTAGTATGTTACACGGAGTTGTCTAAATGAGTCCAGGAAATAAATAATATATTTTGGTAGGCCATAGATTCTGTGTGAGCCTACAATCTAATGTGGCCTACCAAAAAATATTAATGGCACAGTCCTGAATAGAACAGGAAGTCAAATAATTTAATGCAGAGAGGAATTCTATTAAGTGGTAGTGGATCAATTCTTGAATTTTAATATTGTCCCTTTCCTACTTTACACATATAAATGGCAATGAACTCAGGGTTCTGGATCCTCTGATATGACAGACTGCAAACTCCCCGAAGGCAACCTCGACCACCAAAAGTGAAGCAGGGCTCCCTGAAGAACAAAGAAATAGTGCAGTGCATCTTTTCTCTTATACACTCATTTCTTATATAACCTTCAAATTCTTGTTTGCATCAGCCATTTGTGATTTACCATATAGATCAGTTTCTGTCTCAGCATTAAAGCAGCAAATTTTACTAGTTTTATACTTTGTATTTTTGCATTTCCTTTTCCCAAAAGAGTTTAACATTGGGAATTATTAAAGTGGTATCTTTAAAAATATCCAAACCTCAGTTATAATTCAGCAGTGACACTGACCAGGAGACACATCTTTGTTGTCAGTTCCTCTTGTGCTTTTCTGGCCGATAGCACGAAATTAAGTTTTCACGGACCATTCTGTTTCAGTTAACTGTACTGTTGTAGAGGAAAAGGAAGGGCTTATAAACAAAACGTAGTTCTTTGTGGAGGCTTATGTTCACACATTGTCTATATAAAACATTTGCTTTGTTTTAAAAATGAAGATGTTTTGAAGACATCATTAATATGGATAAATTCAATTTCTTTTCATTTGTGTTTACCGGTAAACCAGGTATATTTTAAGTACATAAATAAATATTTTTAAAAGGCAAGGCTAACATTGTTTAGTTTGGGCAACCATATGCTATTCCAACAAACTGATATATTCTTTCTGATTTATTACAGTACTAAATATAGCTTCAATCTGTCAACTTGATTACAGACACCTTGAGTATGAGGATTTCCTTGATGCCAATATATTCACAGAGCCTAGCACAGTGTCTGACATTTACCAAATGCTCAGTGATTACTGGTTGAATATATTAATAGTTGAATAAATTATCTTCTACCGTGATTATTAATGACACAAATTAGAAATATATTCAACTTTATTAGAGGAAATTTTAAAAAATCATCAAACCAAGAGAACAATAATGAAGTAGTATTCTTTTACAAAACTAAATTCTAACTTTTCAATCTGCTCATTTAAGTACATTTATTGCAAAAGTTGCAGGTAATTTTGGGGAGAGAGAACACTTTCCATACATAATAAAAATAATAAGAAATAAGTAACCTGAGACATTATTAGTAAAATTTTGTCATCAAAGTCAAGGTG
This sequence comes from Homo sapiens, assembly GCF_000001405.40. NCBI lineage: Eukaryota > Metazoa > Chordata > Mammalia > Primates > Hominidae > Homo > Homo sapiens. Next base: position 71,956,580 of record NC_000001.11, read on the forward strand.
AGAAACAAAAATCAATGTTTTTATAACTGATATTTTAATAGTTATTTCACATTTCTGAAATTATCTGTCAATACATATCAGTCATATCAGCAGGAAATATTTCTATTTTACCTTCTGTGAATTTTAATGGACATGTAAGTACACTTGGTCTAAAGTCTAACTACAGAACATGTGGGATTTTTGGTAACACAGCCAGGATAAAGAGTTCAAAAATAGAATGTGAAGACCTGTACTCTAATTGTTATTCTGCCACCAACTAACTGCTATTCCAGACATAGTGTCTGTAGACTTAAGTTCCCTTATCTGTAAAACAGAATCAGCATTTCCCAAAGGGGTTTCCATGAAACTACTTCCCTGGGATGTTAACAAGCATCTCTTCAAATTCTACTTCCATGTGCATATAAATGAATTAAAATGAGCACATTTCCTCATCGCAGGAATACTCAGACCATTTAGTATGTTAATGTCCCTGAGGACTCTCAAAGAGACAGAAATAATACACAAGTATTCCCAAATTTATGTGTCTCTGAATATGATATCCAAGATTAATCTTCCAGAATTAGTATTCCATGGAGCAAAAAAGATGCCAAAGTGAAAGTCATGACTATATCCCAGTGGAAGTCTTCAGAGAGTTTCACTTTGTCCATTCTGGCTCATTTAGAGATTTAGTCTACGGAGCAGAAAACTAAATGCCAGTAGCTACAGCACTAGAATTAAATTCAAGGGTAAGCATGGTGTTATCAGATATTTGCTTCTATTCAGGTAAAGTGAAACTCTAAAATCCAGTTTTATGAACACTAAAAGTTATTCAAGCCAATTTGAGGCAGAGAGCTAGTCATTCTATATAAAAATGAACTGAACCAATTGATATATACTTGGTATTTTTATGGATAAATAAAAACCAATATTAGTGACCCATGATCAGTAAATATAAATTTTTTGAAAATGTATAGGAGGAAAATGCCTATATTTCTGCAGCTGAGAGGAATATGGTATATAGCAATTAAGGCCTTTGTAAAAGATTAACTTTTTGTGAGCAAAATATTTCTGAATAATCACTCTTTAGTAATCACATTAAAATGTCAATTGGGTTTGGAACCAATTTAACATATCTACTACCATTCTACCCACTTTTATCAGATTGTCCTGAAATTCTAGTGATTACATAATTTTCTGCTCAGTACCATCTCACATAATTCCTCATGGCCCACAGAATTAAGCCCAAAGGCATTATCCTAGAATTAATGACATTTTATAATCTGACCTATTTCGGCTTTCCAGCCATTTCTCCTAGAATTTTCCAATATGACCTTTGCATAGTAGGTAACTTGGTCTATTTTCTCTTTCCCCTCAAATTTTTATTATACTGAGGCCTTAATGACAGAGTTGCCTGAAATGTCCTCATTGTATTTTCATTTAAAACCTCCACCATCCTTTAATGTCCATTATAAATTACCTCTTTGAAGTTCCCTTTCTTATCACCCCACATGAATAGAGTTTCCACTGAAGTATGTGCAATTTGTGTAGGTCATAAAGGACCTTTTCAAACATTTTCTATTTTCCCACATCCACTGAGTACAGTTATAGCATTTTCATGACAAAATGAGAGATGAAATTTAATGCCTTGTAGCCTTCCCTTTCTTCTACATTTCCCCCCTTAGGGACATTTATTCCCTTAGTATTCACATCTTTCAATTTCTAACCCCTTTCTCCAAAGCAGGAGTGAACAGATTTCAAAATATATATTCATCTGCATCAGTATGTTAACTTAACCAGACATTTGCTATTTAAGCCTAATTTATAACTGGAAATAAAACTTTTGTCTCTACATAAAGGAATCCAGATAAAAACTATGAAATATAAGAGAAAAGGAAAGGACGAAGAGGAGACTTTCTCATACTCCAGGGAATCATACTACTCCCAAGACTGACTCTGATTATAATACTGATTTATTATTTTTAATATTTTGATGAGTAAGGTACTTACTCTGCCTCAAAAAAATTCATGGTCACCAACTCCTGGAATATCTTCTTCCTGCAGTTTTTACTCTACAGCTGACAAGAACTAATTCTTGTTTTAAGACCAAACTTTTCAGGCTGGGCACGGTGGCTCACACCTGTAATCCCAGCACTGGGAGGCTTAGGTGGATGGATGATGAGGTCAGGAGTTTGAGACCGGCCTGGCCAACATAGTGAAACCCCATCTCTATTAAAAATACAAAAAAAATGAGCTGGGCGTGGTGGCAGGTGCCTGTAATCCCAGCTACTTGGGAGGCTGAGGCAGGAGAATCGCTTGAACCTGGGAGGGGGAGGTTGCAGTAAGCCGAGATTGTGCCACTGCACTCCAGCCTGGGCAAGGCTCCATCTCATCTCAAAAAAAAAAAAAAAAAGACACCAAACTTCTCAATCTTAATGTTGTCGTCTATGTGGTATCTTCCATAATCTCTCCCAAACATAGTCATCTTTTGCTGATATGATCTCACAGTATTTTTTGTTTACACCATTATAATCTCATTAACTGCAGCAACACAAATGACAAAAGACAACTGATTTTTCCCCTTGGATGATCTAATTTACTTTCACTCTTCCATCATCACTTATGACATGATGATTCTCAAATTCATCTACCTAAAATCTATATATATAAAAATCCCTCCCTTGAATTCCAGATCCTTGGAGACAAACACCCACATCTAAAACCAAATTTGTTTAACACTGGACCAGTCATCCTGTATGACTTTCCATTTTGTCACTGTTTTGTCAGATGGTATACCAATATCCACCCAGTTAAACAATATTTCCTTGTTTTTTCTGGTACAAACCCAAATAAATTACAAACATCAATAAAACTAAAATTCTAAAATAACTCACTTTCTCTATATATCTCCTTGCTGGAAAAATGGGTTACGTTAGTTCTTTTAAAAACATGCATGATAAATTGTACTAAATACAATATTCAGGTCTGGACATACTAGGTATAATTTTCTGTGTCTCTGGGGTCTTACATATTTAAGGTCAAAATAAACTTAAGTTTATTAAGCTTATTAATCTTCAATTTCATCATCCTCTTTAACAGTTATGTTCCCTGGTAGTTTCATTGCCAATAATTTATTTGTCAGGTTGCCAGGTGCTTCTAAACTTCTATGTATTTTTTCATATCCAATTTTACTTTAAATATTTTTATGAAAAGAAGCCTGTTAAATTTCCTAATTATATTATTATTTTTTCAATGACGTTTTGTGACTTGAAAACCCTTAAAGATATGAAATCATTTTTTCCCAATATGTACCACAGACAACGTTGTTAAATAAATAAGAAGACAGAAACGGCATTATCAAGAGAGAAATATTCAATATATCTTATATTTCTGTCACACATTTTTATACCAACTGTGCCAAAAGTTGTATATCATATAAATGATAACAAATTTACAAAGGCATTCCTTTATCCCTTAGCTCTCAAATTAAAAACTTTCATAGGTAGGAAGTAGGGCAAGCATATATTCCCTTTGAAAGGTGCAAGAAAATGTCATTGGCATTCACATATGGTACTCTTTTCTTTAAGCTTAAAAAAATGGACTATAAAACATTTACAAACATAGCCTACTTATTGGGCATCTTTATGTTTACATAAATATTGAAGATATCTCACATACCTCTTTCAATCAAATTATCTCACTGACATTTATTGACCACTTTCTATGGGGAAAAAAATTGTGTTTGCCCTGGAAAGCTTCTTTGGAACTCACTTCTTGAATAAAAATGTTCTCCTAATTCCTAGTTTTGTGTGCCTTGTTTTATATTCTATGGTCAAGATATAACAAGGTATTTGATAATAAAGTCAGGCCTTTAAATGAAGGTTTATTGCCACACATATTTGAATCTGATAAAAGCAACTGCATATAATTTTACAAAGGTTCTATAATGTCTAGAAAATTATCATAGCATAAAATGAAGATGTAAGTTTTCTTTATTTTCTATTAAAGTTTAATCTTTAATGGCCAGAGCAGAGTTTCAAATTAATTATTTTACTGTTATTAGGTTTTTTCATTTCTTGTATCCATCCGAAACTCTGTCCAGCATTCCCATGAACATTAGTGGCTCATTAGGAGGCTCAGAGTTAATCCGCAGGGCAAAACATTTGTTCCGTCATTAAGGCCTGCTTTCCTGGGAGTTAGAAATAAGCAGAAATCTAATTTTGGTTAATTTCATTGCTTAGGTCATAGTAGTAAATTCAACTCAGTCAGCTCTTATAAAATTATCTTTTATTAAAATGAACTGTAAGTTTTGTAGAAATGCAAAAATGTCTCCACTGAGACAAAATTCCTTAGATGACAAAATACAAAATAAAATTATGCTTATTTTCCTCAGTTATCATTTAGTATAATATTAACTCTATGGTTTGTATAATTTGATAATTTCTAACTTTTCTACAAATAAATTATTATAGCAACTACGTATCAGACTTTTAACAAATACACTCACAGGAATTTTACCATATTCTTTTATTGCCTATCTAATTTCCTGATCATATTTTAGGCTCACTAAGAAGCATTATTCACTATTAAGTTGCCAACTTGAACTAAACTTTGGCTGTGGGTGGGCTAAAGGCTAAGTAAAGTGCCCATTAATAACTACTTTCATTCCCAGAGTTTGTGTGTGATTCTAAGTAAGCAATTCCTTTTCCTGTCTCTTGAGGTACGATGCTGGAATCAACTCTGATACATGTTTTATTGAACATTATTTATCGCTGGCTTGCAAGCAGGGCTGCAAAGTAAAATTCTACATTTATAGATGACACTAATTTTGTTGACTGAGTAAAATGCCAAGAGGGTAAGGCTTAACTAAAAAGCAGTCAGGTGAGAAGTAATTTTGGAGTTGGTAGATGTGAGATCCAGCCTCTAGTGCTGCCACTTAACTATTTCTAGTTTGTAACCTCCCAAAACATCAGGTTTTCTCTACTGTAAAATCAAGATTTAGGAAGTCATTGACTGAACAGGTGGTAATGAGAATGGGTGTAAAATCATTAACACAGGTGAAGCACAATAAAAAGAGTCATGGGAATCAAGAGGTCTGTCTTCAAATTCCAGAGCTATCACTTTTTAATTCTGTCATCCTGGGCAACTCACTTTATTTCTCAATCTTTCATCTTATACCTCTGTAAAATATCAATATTAACAACTATCTTCTGGAGCTATTTTATTTTTAAATAAGATACATCATCTCATTAAGAACACAGGTTTTGGGTCAAATGGACTTAGTTTGAAATTCCATTTTTCCACTTACTAGTTATATGAGTTGAGAAAGCCACATAACTTCTCTAAGCTCCATTTGTTTTCCCTTTTAAAACTAATAAATCTGACGTTAGTTTTTGTAAGGCTTAATGAAATAATCAAGTTTGGGGGCTACATTAAGAGTGGTATTTGTATTATTCTTAAGAAATCCTTGTGAATGGGGAAAATGACCAACAAAGTTGACTGTTGGCAAGTATAAAGTAATGCTTTCATGAAAAAAAATCCAACACAGTCTTAAAAAGTGATGAATGCCAAAATGTCAGATGAGACAGAAGGAAAAGGATCTATTATTACACCCTCTTTCCTGAAGACAAGAGTCCAATGTGCACTTGTCAACACAAAAGGCCAAAACAATCGCAGGCATCATTTAAAAGGTTATTGGAAAGAAATCAAAAAACATGATTTCTTTTCGGTTTTACACAGATATGTCAGGGGATGATGGTAAAGGGAAGTACATAATTATTGTGAGAAAAATCCACAGCATTTGCTTTTGCATATTCTTCCTTTAAAAATAATTTATTCTCTTATTAAACTACCATTTTACTTGCTCTCAAGTAAAATGAGCAGGAATGAACATTTACAAAAGAAATTAAACTCTCTTGATCTAGCATGGTCAGTGGTCAGATTGTGTAAGTGGGGAATTAGCCTGCAATCATTCGTATAATGATATTACATTATAATGAAAATCTGCCCTAGTTGGCTCTATTCAATATACTTAAGAATCCTTTAGAAATTAAGACACACCTATCTCTTAGATAATAATATGTTAAAGCATATCTCATTATAGCATTTACAAATGCTAATTTAGAAGAATAAAAAATGTCTCACGTTAACTTCTCTCAAAAAATACACTGTTCAAAAATTTGGACTTAGACTTTACTCTGTCTAAATTCTCCAAGTTTTTTTTTTTTTCTGTAAGTATATCTTTTGTTCTTCATCTCAACTGAAAAAAAAAGATGAGTCACATAAGAGACAGTTGTTCTCAACCCTGAATGGACATCGGATTCACCTTTGCAGCATTTTAAACAACAACAACAAAAACAAAAATATCCTACCTTTTGTCTTAAAAACAATGTATGCTTATGATAAAAAAAATACAGAAATACTCACTCTTTGTTCTAAATCTCCCAGTGCCACTCCCCCAACAGAATTGTTTTCTATGTTTTGTATGTCTTTTCAGAAATTATGTAAGCCAGAGTATTTTTCTGTATCGATATCTATTTTTTTTTAAAAGTTGTTAACAGAAATAGGGTAATCCTATACATAATATACTAAAAAACAGCTTGCTTGCCTTTATAATACACCTGGACATTTTTCTGTAATGCCTACAGGTAGGTACTTCCCCTTTCTTTTTAAGTACCTGAAGATTCATTCACAAATTATTTACAAGAGAAGACCTAGTTGATCCATTAATCAGAGCCAGGTTGTACTAAGAAGGAAGGAGCCTACTACCTCTAAGTGGTCATCAGCAGTTATTCTATGTTATAGAGATAATACAGAGAACTGTTACTATTCACGTCTTTTAGGTGGAGGTTGGTTGGTCTTTTCCCAGTATTTCTCCTCTAATACAACGCTGCCATGAATAGCTGTTAAATGTAACAATGTAGGCACAGCTAAAGTATAAACTCATAGAGGTAGAATTGCTGGTTCAAAGGCTATGTGCCTCTTTAATTTTCCCAAATTGTTTTCTAAAATGTCATGTTAAGTAACACTCTCACCATTCCTTTGCTCATGGGAATATTTTTATATATTTTAATGAATATGTGTGATTATTTAAATATACAGAGAGAGTGTGAAAGAGATATTGTACTGCAAACAAACTTTATTAAAATGTCTATGATTGGGTCTGGAGGCTCAGACATATTTTTCTTAAAATCTCCCAAAGATAATCCCATTGATTAAGCATATTTAGTAATCATTTTCTCATTTTTTTGACAGTGTAGATTTGTTGTATAAACATTAATTGTGGAAACCTATCACTAGAATTTGTGATGCAAGAAATACGAGTCCAAATCTGTAAAACTATACATTGTAAATCTCGGGTGATTAACACAGCTGTACTCAGGAATCATTTTTCTACATTACATCAGACTCTATTCTACATATAGTTTCACAGAAAATCAAAATGATGAGGGGTGGTGTTCTTTCTGTCCTCAAAATATACCTTGAATTGAAAGTTAAAGTTCTACAAAAGTGACAGCTAAAAAATTTAAAATAACCTCAATCATACTATCATTATCAATTCTATCCCAGTTCTCTTTGACCTCATTTTACTACTTGTGGCAGACTGTATTTTACAAAATGACCACATCGCCCATGCCACAGATGCTTCTGCGTTATGGCCTTGACACCCCCATCGAAAGGCAGAGTTTAAAAACCCTTCTCCAATCTGGGCTGGCCTTAGTGATTATCTTGTAACCATTAGAATGTGGTTGAAATGACGAGGCAGGAATTCTTAGGGTAGGCTCAAGAAGGCCCTAGGAATTCCACTTTGGTGATGTTCACTCTCCCCATTACTCCTCTCAGGATGTTTGTTTTTGGAATCCAGTCAGTCGCCAAGGAGAGGCCATGCGTAGATGACCTAATCCACAGTCCTAGCTGAGGCTTTGATTCCTACCTGTAGAGGTGCCACACACATGAATGAAGAGGCCTCCAGGTAATTTCAACCCTCAGCCATTCGAGTCACATCCCTTGCCCTTTGATTCTTCTCAGCTTAGGCCCCAGACATTTTTAAGCAGACATAAGCCAACCTCACTGTGTTCTCTGCATGAGTTTATGACCCAGAGTATCCATGAACAAATATGAAATGGTTGCTATTTTATAACACTATGTTTGCAGTATTTTGTTATGCAGTAATATCAATGAACACATAGCTACACCACTGGAACACTATTTTATACTTTCTAAAATGAAGAAAGAACATCTGCTGATTGTATTTATATATAATCACATTAAAAAAAAAAATCACTCCCTAAAGTGTGTTTAAGGGTTATGGGTTTGGGAAAGAGGATTTCATGTTCAACTTGAGGAAACACTGGGTACAGGTGGCACTGTTAGTTCTCTACCTAAGAATTTCCAGATGATAATCAATAATTGTTCGAGTTTAGCATGGTAATACTATTCCTTTTTTAGTTGTTGGTTTAGTAGTAGGCTTGTATCCAAGTTCTGGCCAATAAAAGCTGACCCAGACCCAATGGAAGCATTCTGGGAAATATTTTCCTTCTTTGATAAAATAATCGAGGGTCACACAAATAGTTACTTTGCAATGTTCTAGCCATCACCACTTTTGCGCTTTTACAATTTCTCATATGAAGACTTGATCCTGGAAGCAGAAGCAGCTAACTTGTGAATATAAAGGTAGGACCAAGGCACAAAACACAGGCATAAAATCAGTGAACCAGGGAATAAAACCTGAAAACACTCATTTCTCATCATAAACAAGACACTGCATGTCTATATTACTAATAACTTTAGCGAAGTTTTCTGTTACTTGCAGCTGAATGTATTATAAACACTACACTATGCTTAGACAAAATTAGCATCCACATATGGCCACTTAAGCATGCTTCATAGTCTATGTCATGAATGATACTACTGGATTTGTGTAATGCAGTGGCCCTATCAATATGCATTCTAAATCTTCCTAGACCTAGGCATTTTGCTTTGAATGGAAGTTTGGTGAGGATCAAACTGATGTGCTTTATTTATTCATGGAAATGGGCTAAAGAAAAACTGGTTTGCACCTCTACCAATTTTCTCTTGTAATTTAGAATATTAAATATCTTATTGTAGGTTAGAATGTAATTGTTCACTTGTGATTATGAAAATATAAACTTTCCTAACAGAATCCAATATAATAAATTAACATTTAGAAAGTTACAATTAGGAAATGAATATGAACTCAGATCTAAATCACCTGAAAAATATTTTAAGAGATTAATCATTATGTCCTCCTTAGATAACAGCTTTATTTGATCCTCATAATAAAGTAGAAAAAGAAAAAAATCATTTAGTAAGTTTAGACAGTAAAAGATTATAACTGCATCAATATTTTCCCAAACTTGTGGAGTGTGCCATGTGATAAAAGTGGCCTAAATAGGAAAAATTATATTATTGCATCTGTTGATTCATTCACTAATTCAATAACCATGTGCTAAACATTGATGTAGAATGTTAATAACTATGTTATCCTAAGTTCAATAATTCACCACATTCATTCAAATAATATTTGTTACTAGTAGATTCTAGGCATAATGTTACAAGTCCAAAATTTTTAGTAAAACCTCTGGGTTTTTTAGTTTAAAAATAACTGCAGCTCAGATTCATAACACTTCATTAAATGTAGATACCTCTTGTTTAATTACAGCACAGCTACTTCTTCAAATGACAACTAGTTAATCTGACAAACTTATTCAAGTTACAGCTTTAAATATTAACTTAACACACGTGCTCTGTCCAAAGCATCAATTTTATTTTAATATGTGCATGGATCGAAAAGTATTTTAAGTGTTAGAAATTTCAGATACATGCCAAAACAGTAGAATAGGCCTCAATGCTCCTTCAACCACACCGGATAGAGTTACTCTCAGCTTGGACATATTTGAGTTACACGCTGTTTTTTCTATACCTACTGATGGTTGCCCTCTGCAAAGCTCCTCAAAAGCAGGTTTCAAAATGTGAGTCTTATGCTTGGTTTTCTAAGTGTTTTTTGCAAGTGATAAATTTCTAATTGTTTCTAACTTATATGAAAGAATCAAATGGTATTTTAAAGAGTGAAGTGCATAGAAGATCTCAAACTGAATTTTCAGTGAAACAAAGGCATCTTTTGCAGCATGCTGAAAATCAACATGCCTCAATCACATCAGCAGGCAAGTCAAAATTCCTGCAGGTGATGACAGCCAATGCAGATGGTAACTTCTCCCCTCTGATTTTCTGCTCTGTGGCAAACAGAAAATAAAGGAGTTAAAAGTAACATACGGTTTGAGACTCTAGAAAAGTGGCTGATCATGCCCAAAGGACAAGAAAATAAGCAGCTTTTACAATTTTTCATATTATTTAACATGCTCACAACTTAGAAGAAGGGTGCAAGTCAATTTTACTATAATTTTATATTCAGTAGGCTAAATCTAGGCACAACCAGCTGGGTTGTTAATACAGGTCAAGGAATAATTAGCTACATTTGTTTCCATTTTAGAAAACCTAAATGAGCTCTGAGTGGGTTTGAGGCTAAGAAAGAAACAAAGATTTCTTCACTGATGTAATAGATTCTGACAAAAACATGAGAGCAGAGAACAGGGGATTATTATACTAAGATGCACTTATGAAAAAATAATGAATGAAGAACTGATATTATACTTGCAAAATTCAAATAAATGCCACAACTCTGTAATAAATGGATTATGACGGTGGGAAAAGTCCATGCTGGGTGTTCTTCCTCATAGTAAGCAGTCAGGGAAAGAAAATAGAGCAATTCAGCCCAACCGTCATCCAAAGGCACCAATCATTTTTCTTCCATGGCACACTCAGGCAACAGTGGATATAAATTTTATATCACCAGAGGCTTTTGTGGGGAAAGACAAATTATAAGCTTGAATTTTAAAGAATATGATCATATGATTTTTGGAATCTATTTAAAATATGAACACATTGAGTAACTAGAGACATACATGATTATAATTTTTATAGAGTTTTATCTCAAAGCAAATTAACCTTATAATTATACATATAACAAATAAAAAATATCTCCACATAATCAACAACTGTGGCTTGGTGAATTCCCAAGAAACACGTACACACAAATAAAAATAAGTGAATGCATCCAGGGGATAATACTGCCAATTATTTATCTTTCATTTACATGTTTTATTTCAAATGTAAATAATCCGGAAGCACTACCTTTCTTCATAGAGTAAATATAGCAAATGTCTGATGCTACATTATATTGTTTTCTGAAAGCCACATGACTGGAGGGGAAGTGGTTGCACAGACTTATGAGCAGTGCCAATATGCAGTATTCTCTATATGACATCAACTTTCTCTTTTACTCAAAGATTCTGGTGCTGAGGTGGGAAAACATTTTATAGTAATGTGTGATGATTAGACACATAAAGCACTTGATAAAATATCCAGACCACATCTTGCTACAACTACGGAAGACCAGCTTCAAGAAGCCATATGAATGTCTCATAATGTTGTATCTTTAAAAATATGCTATCAAGAATATCACTGACTGTATTATTTACTCTCTCTAAAGTCTCTGGGACTTTATCAATTTTTCCCTTCAGAAATGTAAATCTGTACGATTATAAAAAAATGTGCAAATTGCACTGGAAAGAGGAGACACTGAAAGGATCCACTCAACCAATGAGAGACACAACCAGCAAGACACAGTACCCTGCCAATGTGCATAAAGATGATTTAATAGGGAAACAAAACATTCTGAAGTTGATATGAAAAACAAAGTATTACAAAACAACTTTGGGATATCAGATTTGTTGCGGTCAGTTAGTGAGTTTAAGTTACAGTACATTTCTTTTCTATTTGTTAATTTTTTCAAAATATTTATTGAATTTCTATTGCATACTGGTTCTAGAAACTGGGGATGCATCCGTGAACAAAACACATAAAAATCCTGTGAAGCTAACATTCAATTCACAAAATCCTAGTTTACTTTAAAGGGGGAATAATATTTACTGTGCTACTGTGCTTAACAATGCTATGAGGAAGAGAGATTTAACATATTTTGTATAGAAAAGGTTTTACAAATTAAAGTGCTAAATGATAATCAAACATTCTATAGGTATTATTCTGAAATGTAGTTTGCTCCTCTGTAACTCTGATCTATTATTTTCTAATTGGAAACATCTAGGTTTCATTATGTGTAAAATTGTACACTAAATCTATAGGTACTCTACATGATGGCAAGTGATTTTTTTAGATAAATTGATAAGAGGCCTTGGTTTTAGGCAGTAATGCTTTTCTCATGGAAAACCAGCTTGCTGTAAGAAGACATGATGTTTCAAAATGTTCCACTCTACTATAGGGGAATGTGGCTTCCTGGTAAAATCATTTGCATGAATTTAAATAAGAGCTGCCATGCTGTGAGGGCTGCAGCTCAACCCCTACATCTCATATGTTTTTTTTGTTTTTGTTTTTTTTTTGAGACAGAGTTTCGCTCTTGTTGCCCAGGCTGGAGTGCAATGGTGCGATCTTGGCTTACTGCAACCTCTACCTCCCAGGTTCAAGCGATTCTCCTGCCTCAGCCTCCCAAGCAGCTGAGATTACAGGCACCCGCCACCACGCCCAGCTAATTTTTGTATTTTTAGTAGAGATGGGGTTTCACCATGTTGGCCAGGCTGGTCTCGAACACCTGATCTCAGGTGATCTGCCAGCCTCGGCCTCCCAAAGTGCTGGGATTACAGGCATGAGCCACCATGCCCAGCCTAACCCCTACATCTAATATTGTAGTTAGCGTGCATATACCATCATGTTCTAAGAACTAAGATTCTTCTGTTGAAATCCTGTTATACAGTATTGCCTTGCTTCTGTCATCATGTGAGTTTAGTGAGCTCTAGAAAAAGCATATGGGTAAATTTAGGTTCTGTGCAACCCCAGGATGCATGCAGTCAAAGGCCTTGACCAAGCAACCCAGTCAATCACATTTTCTGCCATGACAGCCCTACCATGCAGATCTATTACTTGCCTCCATATTTTCTCAGTGTGCTTCCACACTTACCATTGGGGGCAGGTGTGGAAAGAAAAGTCAGTATTCTGTCTTAATTATTACAACATGATTAGGAAGTTCTAGATTCATGAAGAAAATAACAGAAGTAAGTGAAACTATGGACATATTATTTGATTCCCAGCTGCTTGTGGGAAGCCCAAATGTGTTTCCTCCTTGAGAAGCATTGCACTGAAAAGTCAGAATAAGCCTTTTGGAAATAAGATGATGACATCAAGTCATGAATTATTAGGCAGTTTTCTGCCTTTGCTTTATCTCATGCCTAGAGATATTCTGGCTTCATTTTTTTTCTTTCAATAGATATTTGAGTGTCAGTCACTATAGTCTTGTGTATACTGAAATATATTGCATAGCTGTATTGAAATTGCAGCTGAAAATTTAAAGTTGTGATGTCTGCTCCCACAAATGACTGTAAGGTTAGGTGCTACTTAGATTATTATGGGAGCCCATAGCAGGTTCACCAAACCTATTCAGGGATATCAGAAGAAACAGCCTAGCAGAAGTGGCAAGGTGAGACCAGAAGAACAGGCAGAAGAAATAGCCTGGCAGAAAGAGTGTTGTCAGCAGAGGGAACAACATAGGAGAAAGCTTGGAGGCCAGGATGGTAGGGAATGTACACCTATTGGGTGGGGAAAGAGACGTGAGCTGGAGACGCAAGGAAGGGCCAGATCCTGGTGGGCCCTAAATGTTACTTCAAGGAATTTGGGTTTTATTTTAAAGGTAATTATAATGCATCAGGGGAATTTTAAGCAGGAGAATGCATATTTTGTGTTTTAGAAAAAAGTCACTCAATTAAGGGCGGGACTAGGGGCTCACACCTGTAATGCCAGCACTTTGAGAAGTTGAGGCAGACAGATTACTGGAGGCCTGGAATTCAAGACCAGATTGGCCAACATGGTGAAATCCCATCTCTACTAAAAAATAGAAAAATTAGCCAGGCATGGTAGTGCGTGCCTGTAGATCCAGCTCCTCCTTGGGAGGCCGAGGGAGTAGAATCACTTGAACCTGGAGGTTTCAGTGAGCCGAGATAGTGCCACTGCAATCCACCCTGGGCAACAGAGCGAGACTCTGTCTCAAAGAAAAAAAAAATCACTTAACTTAAATAATACTGCTCTATGTCACATGACCTTGGGCATTCTTATATGTAAAAAAGAGAACATATACTCAGAGGGTTGGAATGGTTATTAAATGAAATATGTACCGATCATTGTATCTGGGACAATCATACACATTCAAGGGGACAGACTCTACAGTATGTTTGTGTTTGAAGAGAGCATTCAGCTCCACCATTGTACTGGTAGGAAAGGTGTTTCCCAAAATTTAATTTGACTCAAAACCTCAGAATTTTACCTTATTAGGAAAGAGGGTCTTTACAGATGTAATTAGTTAAACATCCTGACATGAAATCATCCTGAACTCAGAGTGCCCCTAAATTTAATGACTGATGCCATTATAAGAAAAGGAAAGGGCACAGAGATACACAGAGAAGGACACATGAAGACAAAGGCAGAGATTCGATGCTACAAACCAAAGAATGTGTGAAGCCACCAGAACCTGGAAGAACCAAGAATGGTATTTTTCCCAGAGGTGTCAGTGTTAGCGTGGTGCTGTCGGTACACTGATTTCTGATTTCTAGTCTCCAGAACTTCAAGAGAACATTTAATATTTGTTTTTGTTTTGCTTTTTCTTTTTTTTTAAGCTGCCAGTTTATGGTCCATGCTTTGTTATGACAGCCCAAGGAAATGAATTCATTCATGTAGTCTTGGTATGCTTCTGAGTAAGCTACACAACTTTCTGTGCCTCATTGCTTCTTTGTAAAATTGGTGTACTAACATTTCATGTATTGATTGGGTTGTCACGTGAATTACATGAGATTATACACATGAAATATGTAGAGCAGTGCTTTGCTCACCACAAAGTAAATAATGAATGTCAGTTCATGTAAGTGCTGTTGTAAGTTAAAGTACTAGGTAGATAATAAAATGAACATATTTCAACAATTAAAAATATTTTGGTTTTTAATGCATCACATCCAAATTGATCATGACTTTGTAAGTTTTACAAATATCCATGCCACATTCCACAATATTTGATGTTAAAATATTTGCCTTTATGGCCAAATGACTACACACATTATTTTCAGTCGTTAATCAAAATATGGTCACGTATTTTTAAAGAAAAATTCATAGTCTGCTCTTAAATTTCCATATTTCACTTTTATCATAATATTTTCAAATGTATTTGCTAACGTTATCTGCTTCTTTCTCTGAATGCAGTTTTCCTCTCCTGTAGGAACAGCGTTGGCTCTATATTCTTAATTTCAAAAGGTACTCACATTTCAATATAATTCTCTTGAGACTGTTTTTAGGAAAATAATAGAGTAAATGACAGAAATGAACTATCCATTGAAGTACAATTTATCATGGAGTGTTGCATACCATTATCTCAGAAACATGCAGTGTAGTAATCACTTGGAGTAGTGATAACACATAATTGTATGCTAGTCATAAATTATAGGTGAATGGCAGTTTCAGCTAATGAGTGCCAAATAGCAGTGCAGGCACTGTAGTGATTAGGGAAGATGTGGATATGAATGCATTTATTACTGGTGTATTACAAAGCTTTTCAAATTAAAAATGGCAGGTCTATAAGTAGACACCATGCTAGGACACCTATATCCAAAAGTAAAAGACCTAAGGATATTTCACTATCCCCACCTCCCATATCAGTTTAATATTGTGGGATGGGGGGACATAGGAGGCAATAAAAATTAATGAAAAGTAGAAACTAAAAACAAAAATAATATAAATCTTTCTACATATATGGGTCCTTTCTTCAAAAATACTTCTGTCAGGTTAAATTCATTTTATATTACCTTAGGAAGAACTTAGATATACTTAACCTCAGCTGTGTTTTTTATTCCCTTTTACATCTTAAACTTTATTTATGTTGCTTCTCTGATGTGTGAAAAAGGTCACTCTTCACTGACTGGTAGTATTTGTCTCTCTAGAGGTGACTTCAAAATCTTACCAAATAGCTACGATTTTATTTCCTGCCCCACGGATACTATATATTCCACTAGTCCCTATTTATGCTTGGGATGCTATGAAATTTCTATTTATTTTGATACAGCTGAACTCAAAGGTAATTTATGAGGTAGAACTGAGTATGGATGATTGCAGTAATAACATTTCTTCCCCAGTTGATTCTTCACTTTAAGATATATTGTATACGTTAGTTTTATTGTAGCCCTTTGGTTGGAAATCTGAGATGCAATAAACACGGTTTTAAATAGTAAGACTTAAATAATGATGTTTACCCCCGAAGTCCCATCTTAAGTGTTGTTACAAGATTCCCTCGCAGAGGTAAGTGAACATATAAATGCATATTGAAAAATTCAGAAATACCGAAGTTTTAAAATATAAATTAGATCATTTTCTCTCAAATTATAGTAAAATTCATAAGGCACTCAGTTAATATTTTAATTATACTAATTAATAGAGACCATCCTGGCTAACACGGTGAAACCCCGTCTCTACTAAAAACACAAAAAATTAGCTGGGCGTGGTGGCGGGCGCCTGTAGTCCCAGCTACTCTGGAAGCTGAGGCAGGAGAATGGCGTGAACACGGGAGGCAGAGCTTGCAGTGAGCCGAGATCGCGCCACTGCACTCCAGCCTGGGCGACAGAGCGAGACTCCAACTCAAAAGAAAAAAAAAAAAAAAAAGAAACAGAATCTTCTGAAGAGCCTAGGGATGGAACACAGTCCTGGCAGCACCTTGATTTTGGACTTTTGTCCTCCAGGCTGTGAGAGATCAAATAATAAATATCTGTTCTTTTAAGCCACCACGCTTTTGTCAATTTGTTATAAAAGCTCTAGAAATCTAATAGAGATTTTAATTTTCATCCAGAAACCATTGGGATTTTTAATCTCCATGCAGAATGGAAGGGACAAAAACATTTCATTAAAATATTTATCTTTAAGCAAGTTTTGAAAATTATTTGATTATGTAATTTAATAAAATTATATCATCTCTTTTTTTCTCTTAGCAAAATGAATCTCACAGGAGATGATAAAAACCAGATACTAAATTTGTGCTAAAATGTGAATGAAATAACTTCCACCTTTATTTGGAAGCATATGCACAGAATATAACAACAGATAATTGGAACCAAAGAGGATGTCCTAAAAAGGCTGCCTGGCTTCAGTGTTGGTGCCTTGGCTTGTGGCTTCTTGTGTCTGCACTGTTACAAGAATGCTTCCTTTTTTTCATTTATTTCTCTTGTTCTTTTCTTTATTTTTCTTTTTTCTTTTCTTTTCTTTAGCACCTTAGGAGTCCATTCTGATTTTCATGCTGTATTTCTATTTGATTCATTCATTGTGCAAAAGAAATTTTATTAGAGGAATTCAGCTCTTTACAGAATTCAGTCAAGGAAGTAGATTACTTAGTAGAGCCATCATCACCATTCACCTTGTGCTTTTTATCTTCTCACTGCAGATACTCACACCATTGCCTCAGGAATCCAGTCTAAAGGACATGGGGCCATGCACATTAGCCACATTACTTCAGGACATTCACAACTGTTCATTGGACATGCTGATTTTCCATATTACATTACTCACTATCTCTGTAGGGATTCAAAGTAAGCTTGAGAGTCTCCTATCTTGGTAATATTTCAGCCAAATCAGATTAGGTTCACATTAATATGTATTCTTATGAAAATAAACAAAATGAATAAAATAGTAAACATGCTTTTACACTTGAGGATATTAAGTAAATTTCTGTTTAGTTTCTAAATCACATTATTAAATTTGTTTTTTCTTTGAGCCTCTGATAGACTATTACACTATTTTGATAATAGCATTATTAAAAATAAAAATATTCTACAAATTGACATAAAATTATAATTAAACGGCACTAGTTTTGAATACAGCACTAATGAAATAGTCATTAAAATTAATAAAAGTAATAGTGGTATATCCTAATCTGCTAGAAATATTTAAAAATTTAAGGGCAAGATATTTCTGAATCCTATACAAATAACAGTTCTTTTCATTTTGAAATTAGTCTGTTTTATATTCAATGGTATATTAATTATTTTTGCAAATGCCTACATCTGAATTCATTTACTCAGTATCAGAGATTAGCAACTCTTGTCTATTCCATAAATATGACAGACTAATGCAGGTGATCTTTGAAAAGATGTATACCTTAATCATGATGCTACATTATCTTTATTCAGTTTCCCACTGAAATTAATAGAAGCTTTAACTAACTCGAGAATAGCACAATACTGAAAATAAATATATATTCCTTTATGTTAATATTTCCTACACTAATGTACAGTGAGTCAGTTTGGGACTCACAGAAAAGACATCATGCTAATAGAATTCTGGTGAGAAAAATGTAACATTAGGAAAAGATATATCAACTTTTTTCTTCAGTCAATGTTTGTTATTCCAGAAAGAACTGTTTTTGCATGTTGAATCACTTATTGTGAAAAAGGAATTCAGAGTTTTCCAAAGAAGCACATAAAGGATTTCAAATGCATTCCTATGGTAAGGTAGAATATAGTCCACATAATTTTAGAAAAGCAATATATGCTTAATGGGAAGTAGGTGGGGGAGGCAGGTGGGGCATTGATAGTGGCTATTTTCTTTCTGGTGTATTTCTTCTGATTTCCTTTGACTTCTTATATTTATTTCCCCATCTTTTACAGTCTTCTGAAAGTGTTTCTAATATACCAAGGCTATGTCTAAGGATATTAAAAAATACTGCAACCTAAAGAAGTACAGATAATTAGATTAGGAAGGACATGATAGGAGGAGAATTATGGACTCAAACTGGAGCTCTGCCACTTCAATGGAATGCTCTTCTGACCTATTTCTCATGCAAAATGTAGAAATCTGTAGCATTTTAAAAGTGAGGCCTAATACTACTTTCACAGATGCTGCTAGATCTATGTAATGAAATCAACACAGGCATGAACCAATGCTAGATTAGCATTCATAATCTTCCTTAAAACATAATCTGTAGAGTAAAAAATATGCCTGACTCTGCATCCCATACCCTCTTCACTGTACTGAGCTGAGTCCTAGCTGCAGATGTGCTAGCTATTCGCCATGCGACTGAAGGCGGGTTCTCTGTGGCTGACTTTATTCTCTAGAAAACAAAAACTTTAGATAAAATAGATAATCTCCGAGATCCCTCCCAGCTCAAAACTTTTAATTATTAGATTCATTTTTACCATATAGTCAAATTCACCTATCACTTTGGGAAGAGACTGTCATTGAATTCAAGCACCAGTTATTTGGAGAGAGCAAACTACTTATTTCTGATTTCTCCTGAGTGCAGAGCTTTAGACTGTGTTGTGTGGTTATCATCAAGCCCAATGCTTCACATTTCATAAATCCGCGATAAACATGATTTTTTAACAAACTGAGACCCTATTAATGTTCTAGTGTTGGTCTCTATAATCACATTTATTTATTATCAAAATGGAAAAATATACACATAAGACTCATGCATAATCACAAAATCTAGAATGAATTAATCTAAAACTCCCAAAAGGCAAGTTTACATTTTTTGTTTCTTTCCTTTTGTTTTCGCTTCACTTCAAGAACTCACATCGTCATATCATAACCTTGAAATACAGTTAAGAATTTCCATCCAAATGTAGATCACTGAAGCAATGCGGATCCCATCAGCTTATGCAATATGTACGTGAACGAAGAGATAAAAGAGTAATGAGGTGGGTGTCTTAGATATTACTCTGAAATTTCAGTGCTATTGTTTTATTTTACGATTTACTGGAAGATTTCCTGTGAATATGCAGACTTGGAATACATTGGATTCAGATGCAGGGTTTCCATTCCATTTATTTTTAACACCTGATAAGTGAATCTGATTGAGGGAGACTGGCTCCCGGCTATAGGAGCTGGCAGAATTTTTTTGCATGATCTCAACTGCAGATAATAATTATCTTTTTGTATTTGGGATTTGGGTAGCTTTTTTTAAAAAAGTTACTTTAAAAAAATGCTTTCTGAGTTTATAAGTGAAATAAAAATAAATTTTATTGTGCAATTTTTTTATAACCTCCTTTTGTCTTTGCACTAAGGTTTTCGAAGAGAAACATTTATTTCCAATCACTTTAATCTCACTGACTCTAAAAGTAATAGATATGTTTTGAGTGAAATGTCAACAAGAAAAAAACAGTGTATTTTTAGTATATTCTTCAAAGGATTTAATTACAGAGCTCACACAAATAAATAATTTAAAAATAGTGAGACATTTAATATGATAGTTTTGGCCTTAGTTTATATTTCTTTCATCTCTTGGAGATTTTTAAGGCACATTCAATATGGAAATTTTAGATAATAGTTACAGAATTCTAGGTAATATGAGATATAAAGGATAAAACTAGAAAGTGGCTGGGAGTGGTGGCTCATGGCTGTAATCTCAGGACTTCGGGAGGCCGAGGCGGGTGGACTGTCTGAGGTCAGGAGTTTGAGACCAATCTGGCCAACATGGTGAAACCCTGTCTCCACTAAAAATACAAAAAAAATTAGCTGGGCATGGTGGCGTGAACCTGTAATCCAAGCTACTTGGGAGGCTGAGGCAGGGGAACTGCTTGAACCAGGGAGGTGGAGGTTGCAGTGAGCTGAGATCATGCCACTGCACTCCAGCCTGGACGATAGAGCAAGACTCCATCTCAAAAAAAACAAAACAAAACAAAACAAAAACAAAATCAAAACAAACAAAAAACTAGAAAGTGCCTGCTTGTCCTTGGATTTCAAAAGATTATAAATAATTGAAGATGCTATTTCTTATTTTTCAGATAAATTCTCTGCTTGAAGAAAATCTAGGTATCTTAAAAATGGTCAACGAGTGTATCTCAACAATGATTTTTTAGATGACCACTTTAAAGATTTCGTAAAAACCGAATCTAAAAGATTTTCATTTGTTGTACCTACTTTTATTTTTTGTAACAGAAAAGATATAAAAGTTGTTCTTTTCCAAAAAATATATATGCAATTTGGAGAACACACCAGCTTGCATACTTTTACTGTCTTGTCATTATGAAAATTTTTAAAAGAATATTTTCCTTTCTAAAAATTATAATGGGCAACATTCTAAGGAAAATAGTAGAAAAGTAGAAGTCAAAAAAAAAAAAAAAAGGAACCCCAACAAAGAGACTAAAGCGCAAAACAAAAAAAAAAAAGTAAAAGAAAGAAAATAACAGCACCCTTGGAAGGTACAATTCAATACCTAATTTCGCTCTCTGCCAGAATAAATTTCTTTCCAACCTGTGTCTCCTCAGTTGCTGCTAATGCTATTCCAAGTAAGATGGAACAAGTTTGAAGAATAAGTTATCAATAGCCCAAGTGAGCTATCTAAACTGATTTTATTGGTGATGAGTTTTTCTCAAATTGCAAGAGCTGCATTATCAAAGGTGTGTTTAAGAGAGAATAAGGCCTCTCTAGAGTCTTTTTTTTGTGAGCCCTAGCATTGAAGATAAAAAAGCCTTTTATTTCAGCCTTTATAGTGGTGGGAGAGATGCAGGCCATGCTAACCCCATCAGTTAAGTGCTGTCTGAAAATTATATGAGACTGAGCAACAACTATCATCTTGTTTAAATATGAAAAGTGTTTGTTCTCTTTGAGTGAACAAGAATTAAGGGTAAAAATTGAATGAAGTGAACTGATCTATTGACATTTAAGAAGTCTTTTCTTTATGTCATGATGCTAAAGTGTATCTCTTTATTTCTTATATTTATTTAATTCTGAGGTTCCAATGTATTCATGTTTTCTACCCTGGACTTTGTGACACACTAGAAAGATCATTGAAAATAAATACAAATTATGGCCCTGAAATTGCTACCTAACAACTACCAAACTCAATTCAAAAAGCAACCCCATTAAAAAGTGGGCAAAGGACATAAACAGACACTTTTCAAAGGAAGACATACATGTGGCATCAAGCATATGAAAAAAAGTTCAATATCACTGATCGTTAGAGAAATGCAAATCTAAACCACAATGAGATACCACCTCACACCAGTCAGAAAGGTTATTATTAAAAAATCAAAAATAACATGCTAGCAAGGTTGCAGAGAAAAGGAAACACTCATACACTCTTGGTGGGAGTGTATATTAGTTCAACCTTTGTGGAATGAAGTTCGGCGATTCCTCAAAGAGCTAAAAACAGAACTGCCATTCAACCCACCAATCCCATTACATACTCTGGGATAACCCAAAGGAATATAAGTCATTGTACTGTAAGGACATATGCACATGTATGTTCATTGCACTAGTCCCAGTAGCAAAGACATGGAATCTACCTAAATGTCCATCAATGCTAGACTGGATAAAGAAAATATGGTACATATACACTATAAAATACTAAACAGCGATAAAAAAAAAGAATGAAACCATGTCCTTTGCAGGAACATGAATGGAGCTGGAGGCCATCATCCTTAGCAAACTAACACAGAAATAGAAAACAAATACTGCATGTTCTCACTTATAAGTTGGAGCTAAATAAAGAGAACACATGGACACAAAGAGGGGAACAACAGACCCTGGGGCCTACTTGAAGGTAAAGGGTGGGAGGAAGGAGAGGAACGGAAAAAATAACTATTGCGTACTAGGCTTAGTACCTGGGTGATGACATAATCTGTACAATGAACCCCCACGGCATGAGTTTACCTACATAACAAACCAGCATATGTATTCCTGAACCTAAAATGAAAGTTAGAAATAAAAATAAGAAGAAAAAGTAAAAAAGAAACTTTCGACAACTTATAAAATAGAAATAATACCACTTCCATCTGTGAAAAAATTCCAGATTGTGGTGAGAAGGAAATCAGATGGTCAATATAAAAGCATTTTGAAACTTTCTAATGCGGGTTAAAGTCCCAGACTGATTGTGTTTACATCTTCAATTCATCCTCCAAGTACACTAAAATGTCAGTAAAGAAGGACAAAGAACAACCCACAAAGACAACGGAAATAAATATGGACATGAGAGTAAATGAAAAGTTTTTGATGATGGGAAACTAATGGATGACTAGTTACTCACAAAAAAGAAGGATGAAAACTCAGTTTATTCTGAGGTGGTGAGCAAAAGAAGCAGGTCAATCTGAGCCACTGAAATGTACAAGGGCTAAAAAATCAGAGACACCAGCTAACTTAGAAAGTGGGAATGAGGGGTGGGCTGAAAAAAAGACAAATGGTTAAAGTCGTGTGTAACTTGGATCATTCTCCACCTTATGCAACCAGAGAAATTATATCAAAGACTCTAATGTCAAGGGTGCCTGCCCAATAGTGGATAAAACATTATAGTGATAGTGAAACAAAACAAAACAAAGAATATTGTTAACCATTTCAGAGTGGTAAAAGTGAGTACTGCAACTATGAAGAAAATGCAAATGATAAAAAAGAGTTCCTGCATAATAACAATATGCAACTGCCCAAATAACAGAACGTGCATGCTATTTAGAAAAATGGAGATATGTGCAGACAGAAATAGCCACAAGAGTTACAAGAGGTTACTTCTGAGGAGCCAGAAATAGTAGTGGGAAAGCCTGTATTAATCTTTGACTTTTAAACTATGCATGTATATTACTTTGATAAAAATAAAAATTCAATCTAAAAATAAAACAAAGAAAAAATTAAAATGTAAGTCATTATTATTTGGCAACACAGTGCAACATTGGATCCATTCTCTTATGCACTGCATTGTGGTATATTCAACAAATATTGTACATTTTCCATGTGCCAGGATTTATTCTAGGCAATAGGGAAAAAGGCAATATCTAATATTCCAGGAGTGTTATGCCACCATTTATTTTCATTTAATTCTTCTACAGTCGGTTAAATATGACTCTATACGTTTTACAGATGAGAAACATCTCCCTATCCCTACTGGAACACAGCATGTGGGAAAGTTGAGATATAAATATGCATCTGCTTTAAAAGTCCCTTTAATGTAACCAGATCCACCTTTCCATGGCTTCTTCTCATCTACAAAATGAAGTCTAAGCCCCTTAGCCCATAACATAATATCACAAGGCTCAACCTCAGTATCACAAATATGCAGTATTATGATCACATATTATCAGCGCAAAGCTCAAACTCTCTAGGTTGTGGTGTGCCACTTCCTGCCCTATATGCCTTAGTTCTACTAATACCAAACCATCTTTACTGGAGTATCAGGCCTCAGTGATCCTGCATTCCCATGTTATTCCCTCTCCTTAAAATGTTCTCACCATCCTTCTTTATTTGGCTTCCTCTTTTCATTCTTTATCATCAAGTCTATCTTTGTGTGATCCCTTCAAAAAAGTTTTCCCAAACTCTGAAATCCAGTTATGTTTCTTTCTTCTGTGCATCTGTAACAAGAGTGCCCTCATCTACCTCACTACTTACAAACCAAATGCTTAATATTTTATCTGTAAGACATTGTAAAATTCATCATTGTATCCCAAGAGCTACTAGGTGTAAGAATGACAATGTTCCCTAAAATGAATCTAATAGTAGAGAGAGCAAAATTACATGGAAAGCTATAATTCTACGTAGACATTGAGAAATACTATGATAAATGAGAGTCTCTCATTCTTTGAGAGTTGGTAGAAAGAAAATATTACAGAGAGTTTGTTGCCTAAGGAAAATTTTGATTAGGTTCATCTCATGATTAAAGCAGAGGATACAATGCCCAGTAGGAGGACGCTAGAAGGTCTTACACGAGGCCATCAGAAAGCAGAAGCCTCCTTCTAAGGAAGACTAGCTCTGCTTTACTCATGTGCTGGGTGGAAAGCTGAGTTCCAACACTTGAAGGAACTTGAACATCATGAACAGGACTGGGTATTTGAAGATATATTTTGAGATGTGCATAGTGGATGGGAATGGTGGAAGTGATGGAAGTGAAACTTGATGAGATTATTGAAAAGATATTTATGAAAGTACCATGAAAGAAGCAGCAGAGAACAACAGAGGAGAAAGATTATGGGAGACCTATCAGGTGATAGGCTTTACAAGGTTTAGTGGAAGGCATAAGGGCAGTGACAAGGAGATGTCATTATGGATTCAAGGTTTTGAATCTCAGTGTAAGAATATAGCACCATAACAAGAATGTTATGTCTAATGGCCCCAGCCTTACCAGTAACTAGAAGGTGAGATTTGGAAGGGTTAGAAGGGTTAGAGGCTTCATGCATAACAGTGAAAAAGATGAAACTTTCCCTACAGTTTATATTCATGATATGAACTATTAAAAAATTTCAAATGCACATCTAGATTAGAACCATTTGGCTCTTATTTGGAAACATAAATCATATTGTTTAGCACTGTATACATTGTGGAGGTTGCAATAATGTTTAATGTCTTGTTTGGCATTTTTTTGTTTTTGTTTTTGCATCCAATGAGCAATGTCCTATAAACAAGTAATTTGTGACATTGTTACTATCCGGTTCTTTCAATTTACAAAAGGGAATAAGAATGTCAAGATATGCCAGTTAAGGAAATACAATGGTAAATGAAAACCTAATTTTCAAAAAAGGAAATCTCTCTTTTTTTCAGACTTTACAAATCCAAACCAAGGCCCAATGTAAATATGGGCTTATCTTGAACCTTAAACTTTTAAGTTCAGTATTAAACCCATGTGCTTTTACATAACTTGTTTTCTTCTAAGTAACTTTCAGCATAACACAGAAGAATTTCTCAGTCCTCACCATCTCCTGTCCCTAAAGGGTTAGCTCTCTTTGGTCTAACTATCATTTGGCATAGCACAGTGGACACAGCATCTTGATGGTACAATACAGCCAGCCTAGAATTCCAGCTTCTTTAATTTTTGTCAACACTCTTTTCATAAAAGAGATGATGTAGCTATTGATTTCAAAATGTCTGAATTTGTTTTTTCATTTGCTTTCCCAATTGCTTAGAGTTACTGGCTACTATATTATTTCCTTCAAACAATTCCACAATGCTTATTTTATTACAGTGCATATAGCAGGGGTTCAATAAATGTTAACTGATTAACTTGGAGCAGACAGCACAGTGTTTGCATACATGTAAAACTCCAATTGGATTCAGAAACTCAAATAGAGGGATAGCAAAAACAAAGCAAAATTACCTAATTGAACTTAGTTTAATTAGAGAGTGCCTGCCACAAACATTAATTTAGGAAGATATCAACAAGTACAAATGAAATATAATTTATAAAACTCTATTTCGAAGAGGAGAAATACCTGAAGGGCTAAACATGCAAAAAGAAGAAAATGGTGAGTTTCCTTTTATCAGTACACATGGAAAGATAAGTGCATTCTACTTCACATATGTGGAATTCTCTGACAATATCTTTCTCGGGTGTTGATGTAATCATTGTAGTTCTTATGAATCCTATACATAAAACAAAACTGCTGCACATGCTACCTGGATTTAATACATTTAAAATAATAAATGTTCTTTTTAAACTATATTTAATAGTTTAGTCATACAGAAAACAACATGGGTCATAAATATTTGTCAGTCATTTAGAGCACTTTGCAGTTGAAATTATTTTGCCTGTTTGTTGTGGGTGATATTTGTAAAAACTAAGAAAAATGCTGATTCAAAGTTAACCTCCAAATTATTGAAACTATTTACTATTATGAAACTTAATAAATA
Organism: Homo sapiens; assembly: GCF_000001405.40. Classification (NCBI taxonomy): domain Eukaryota; kingdom Metazoa; phylum Chordata; class Mammalia; order Primates; family Hominidae; genus Homo; species Homo sapiens. The sequence goes on from NC_000001.11 coordinate 71,983,271, forward strand.
AGTCAAATATAGCATTTTAACTTCAATACATTGATGAAGCTATAAGTACTTCTACACAGGGTTATCTGGAAAATGAAATAATGGAAAGCGCTTATTTCTTTTCCTGAGAGAAAAATCAGATTAAATAGCTTTTTATCTAGGGGCAAACTCAAATAAAATAGAATTTTTTTTCTGACAGAATTTACTCCTATGGACCACATAATGGAAGGAGATACTTCCTGCATTTGTAGAGCAAAGCATAATTCACTATCATCCAAAAATTTTTGCATACTCCACAGGGGCTTGAACTTCAGTAAGTTTTACTTTGAGCAGATACAATCAAATTAAATGCACTTCAGCCCTTTTCAACTGCTAAGTCTTCATAAGTTCAGACTGCTTTGTGAACAACTAAACTCTCAGAAATGAAAGATGTATAAAGAACAAATGTCTGTGAGTCTCACAAATAGAGATTGGACAAAGGGATGCATACATGTACAACTGTGCATCTGTATTCAACAATATGTGGCAATTGATCAAAATAGCAAGTAAATACACAGGATCATACTCCATTTTATTTGTAATTGATTAACTTATTTTTTCTATTCATAACTTGAAAAACTACTCAACATATTTTTTACTAAAAATAATAATCTATTCTTCAAATAATTGTGATTTAAAGCATTCATGAAATTGTTCTACCAGTCATAGAATCAGAATGCTAAAGGAGTCTCAAAACTTTCATTAATCAAACTATGAAATTAATAAAATGTGTCTCTGAAAGATGTTATGCCATTCCATTTTACCATGTAAAGCTAGCCCCCAGTAAAAGGAGTTCAAGTTTGTCATTTCAGTTATCTCTATGCTATCCTTTGATTCATTATTTTTCTCCCTCATTCCCATTTTCTCTTTACTGCCTCCTGCCCACCCATAGCCTTATAATCCTAACTTTTGGCTACACAATTTAGTCATCACCTATTGTGTACAATTACTTCAGGTCCTACTGCTCAACAGAATATTTATTCTGTTAAAATAACTTTTTTTTAATTAAAAAAATGATTTGTAGATACAGGGTCTCACCATGTTGCCTAGACTGGTCTCGAACTCCTGGTATCAAGTGATCTCACCTCGGCCCCCCAAAGTGCTGGGATTACAGGTATGAACCACTGTGCCCGGCCTTGAAATAACTTTTAATGTCCATTTTTCCACTTGTAAAACTAACACATGTCTAGTATGAAAAACTTAAAAATTATAGAGAAAAACAATAAAATTAAAATTTGTATGTTATGCTGACTCTGGGATTAGGCTACATGTTTTCAAATTTTGGGGCCTTTGGCAAATAATTTAATCTCACTCTCATTGAATCATGTGTAAAGTAAACCTAACAATAAGTCTTATCTCATATAGTTGTAGTGAGAAATAATTTTTAAAATTTGTGTAAAATGAATATAAGAATACTTGGCATAAAGTAAGACTACAGTAAATATCTTAATATTATTTTTCAGAGAAATTATTGATCCATTAATGCCAATACAAATATTTCCAGTCACAAGGCCAGAATTCTAGGTCTGTCTTTACTTATTTTTAGCTGTATAAACTTAAGCATGATTTTACTAATAAGAATAATGATATAAAATAATAACTAATGCTTATAATGAACCGAGCATAATTTTAAGCCTTTTACATATATTATAAATAAATAAATTCTCCTAACAACCATAGGAAATAAATGCTATTATTATCCCTATTTTTCAGATGAGGAACTTGAGGCAAAAAGAAGTTAATCATCCACGATTACCCAGCTTGTAAATGGTAAAGCCAGATTTTGAACCCAGGCAATTTGTCTCCAGGATATGGGATCTTATCCTCTACATCACACTACATTAATCTCTGTGAGCTTTGAATTCCCATTCTATATTTCAAGAATTAATAATCTCTTCTTCACAGGCAAAATCATAATCATAAATAAAAAGCAGCCGGAAGTATAGCAATGTGTGAAGTGTCTCATATGTTAAAATTTGAAATAATGTAAAAATATGAAGATACGCTGGCTATTTCTTGAATTCGCTCCCTTCTCTGTATCTTTTAAGTCAGGAAAACATTTCCCTGTAACTCTGTATAATAAAATATGTTCAAATCACTGTGGTAAGCACTTTATGTGTAATAGTTCATTTAATCTTCATAGGGTTGTGATATGAGAAAACTGGGGTGTATAAAGGTTAAGCAACTTGCCCAAGATTGTACCACCGATAAATCCCTCAATTGGGATTTGAATGTGGGAAGCCTCATACTGGGGTCTACATAATTGTATGTTATATTTTATACAGTTTCTAGGGGAAAGAGGAAGGATATATTTATGTCCTAGGTTTTCTATGTAATGACTTTGAAAATGTATGGACAAATCTATTAAATTATATATGTACACAATTTTATGATTTCTAGAAATGGTAACCATAGAGTAATGCACAGATAAGAAGTAAAAGTACTTTATCTCTTTGAATCCGTTAAGAATATCATTTATTTTCCATCAGTGGCTTCCCTTCCCGACATCTAGAAAATTAGGATATTTAATAGGCTTGTTTATTCATTCTCTAATTGGTAGACAAATTTTGCTTCACCATACTTGGAAGCACATTTTAGTTGATGAAATAATTTTCTTCAACCACCAGGGTTTCTCATATTTGAGAAGAGGATAACTTTGCTCATGAGAAGGAAACTGGAAAGGAGAGCACTTGAAATACATTTAACTGAGAACATATTTAAGAAAATACCGTTAAAGGAAAAGGAAGGAATATCTTGAGTATACATGAAGTGGAAAATACTCATATGTATTTATTTGTTTCCCAATCTCATCTGGAAAGACATAGCTAATTAAATTTGGTTTCAGTGTGTGAAAATTCTATATGTGGTAGAGTAATTGTTTTTATCATTTTATAAAATATAGCTCAGCTACAAAAACATTTAATCCTCTAAATCCAGGATATTTATCACTAGCTTAAAATTGGGCACCAGGCCTTTACCACAGCTGGTCATTAATCTACCAGATATGTTCCACACAATAGTGCATTATGAGACTTTAAAAGAAACATTTGTCTTGGCTGAGTGAATGTTTAAGTTTTCGTTTCTACTTCTTTGAACTCTGCAACTCAGTAACACTGAGACGTCCTTCTGGCATGTCTGGTCTGGTCCTACAGACTGATCTTCATCCTCCGCTTCTTCCCAACCCCTTCTACAACTATTCTGCTATCCCACTCAGTCCTGCTCCCATCTTTCCCCTTCTCCTCTCTCCCTTTTTCTGCCTTCCTCCAAGAATACATACCATGAAGGGATTCCAAATCTCAGAACATGCAGAGGGTCCCCATGATGTTGGTTAATAGAATCAAAGTAGTGTAGAAATCAGGTTGGTGTTTCAAAATAACTTTCAAGCATCTGGTCTCTCTGGGCCACCCATAATAAGGTAGACCTTTCCCTGATATCCTGACCAGCCACAGGTGGCTTCACCGGACTGTGTCAGATTTGCAGATTCTCAGAGTCCATTCTCATGAGTGTATTTGCTGCTTTCTAGCAATTCTCCTGTCAGAGATTTCTCACAGTTCTTCTGTCCCTTTTCCCCAGTACAAAAGTCTTAAGGCAAAAAGGAAATGACAATTTTGCAGCAGGGAACTGTAGAACCTACAGGTCAGTATAATAATCTACAAAAGTGAAAAATTGCAATATCTGCCTTGATATTGGTATTTTGAGGCAGAAACAGTTAACTCAAAAATTTGGTACTCTAAAAGCAGAATTTTGAGTGTTTTCTGAGCAAGAGATTTCCAGGGAGAAACTTTTTTTTTCTGTCTGTGGAATCACACTGCTTAGGAAGTACCTAACCCGTCTACTTTTTCAACAGTATACCTTTATTAGCCACACTAGAATTCCTAAAGAGTTAACGTCCAATTCCCTCCCAGAATTGCTTAATCCTGTATGTTCTATAACCTTCACTTACTGAATCCAGATAAAAGTAACAAGATGTAGGAATAGCAAGTAGTGAAAGAAGTACTCGAGGGTTTCAATCAAGGCCTGGTGCCAGCTTCACATCTGACACACAAAAAAGAGATAAAGAGACAGGCGGGAGATAGAGAGAAGCAACAGCTACCAGGGAGAAATACAAACCACTCACGTGGTACTGATCTGTGGAAGGGGTAGGTGAAGGGGGAGACAGTGCAGATATAAGACTAAATAACGCCGACCAAATAGTACACTGCTGAGCAAACAAAGAAAGGGGCAGAAACAGAATGCAGGGCATTGACCCTCTCACTCACTACTGCTGGAACATGAAGGCGCCTAGTGGTCTTCAATGATCCAATTTATTTGATTGCATGGGGTTAGAGCATATTGGAGAAGATATCACAGAAGCGCATTCCCCACAGCATTTCAGCTACCATTCAGCAGTAGGAAATAAACACCCCCATTTGTGCCACAAAGGGGAAAATTACATTCATTTCTGGCCAGGGGAAAATCTCTGGAATAATATGATGAATTGAAGAAATCAAAGGATTTTTTTATAAAATCTGCTTTATCAAAGCCATTTATTTTCTGAGTCTCTTTTTAGTTCCTTTTCTACACAATTAACTCTGAAAGGATGTGTGTAAACCAATCAGCTTTGACATACGGAATTTGAAAGAGGAGCCCTTCATTCAAAAAGGATGCTTTGGGGACTGTTTAAAAAAAATCTTAAGAAATTATTTTCCATTTCTAAGTCTCTAATGAAGAAAGAGTCTGTTTCTTGTTCCCTAAGACCCCTCACAGGCCATAGATGAAGAGCACGTACAGACAGGTCCCCTGGCTCTTGTGGCCACTGTGCCTATTAACAGCAAGAAGAGGTCACAATTCTGTTGACACTGCCTGCCAGTGAGGCCATGCATCAGTTGTCTTTTTGGTCACTAAAGTACCCTAAGGAAGATCAGTCCTCCCCTCCAATCATGCCAAGAACAGAGGCCAGAGACATCCATGTAAAAGGGAGGAAGAAAAAAGAAGGTATCATGGGGATGCTATGAAGAGTAAAGGAGGTTGGGAGGCCGAGGCGGGTGGATTATGAGGTCAGGAGATCGAGACCATCCTGGCTAACAAGGTGAAACCCCGTCTCTACTAAAAATACAAAAAATTAGCCGGGCGCGGTGGCGGGCGCCTGTAGTCCCAGCTACTTGGGAGGCTGAGGCAGGAGAATGGCGTGAACCCGGGAAGCGGAGCTTGCAGTGAGCCGAGATTGCGCCACTGCAGTCCGCAGTCCGTCCTGGGCGACAGAGCGAGACTCCGTCTCAAAAAAAAAAAAAAAAAAAAAAAAGAGTAAAGGAGAGAAATAAGACAGAAAATAGAAACATAAATTTTTCAGGTGAGGAAAACATAAAAAAGGAAGGAGGGAAAAAAACTGAAGATGCTAAATCTAAAGGGGCACAAGGTACTCAGTTAAATACATGTGTAGGTTTTACAGTGGGACACACAGAAAACATGTCTATTATAAAGAACCACATGACTAGAGAAATCACAGAGAACAAACACCTGCCACAGTGACATATGGTTTAATAAAACATAAAATAGCTATGGCCACGCAGCTAAACATCCATTATTTGGAATGCAAGGAAAAACCACATATCCATGCCATGATGTCAAGGCAATGAGCTCTATCATATTGGATGTTAAAAAAAAAAAAAAAAAAAAAAAAAGGCTTTCTATGTTCTGAAGTAGACTTAGGGAGATACACAAAACTAGCAAATCAAAAGAATGTTATTACAAAGTTGTTTCACCTCAAGCATACAAAATTATTTTTATGTTTTTTTCCACTGAGACTACCAAGTGAAAGCAAGAGCAAAAACTAAATGCCTCCGGGTTGGTGCTAAAAGAGAAGGGAAAGTGGAATGAAAAGAGGTGAAATGCTGAAGACCTGTTTTGCCATCTAAACAAATTTGCCTAAGCTGATCCTGCAGGAGTGTACACAGAGGTGATATGACTCCCAAAGTACATGTAAACCTAAACACTTGTTTACCAGCCTTCCACTCCCACAGATGCTCAGTGAGAACAAAATAAATTAGATCAACATTTTAAAAATGCATCCAGTAGCTATTTGCCCAGGGAAAGAAGACAAGTGGCTATTTCAAAAGCTGATGTACCAGGTCAGAATACTCAATATATGATAAAAATTAATGAGCCAGTAAGTGATCCAGCTGCAGATCTGATCAATCCAGCAACTGCATTTTGTGTTGCCTAAGTAGAACAAATGAGTAATGGCATTTTATGGCTAGAGCTTACATAACTGCAAATGTCATTAATAATTTTAATCCATCTTTAAAAATGACCCAAGTCCATTAAAAAAAAATCCTTCCAGCATGCTTATTCTGTAACTTTTGGGAAAATAAAGCATATGTGTGACCATAAATTGCACCAGTAAGTACATTACTGATACCACAACTAATTATTTCTATTAAATTGGTCAGTATATTTCTAACCTCTTAAAAAAACTTCTTTTTTAAATAAAATATGAAACAGAATAAATAAGACATCAGAGTCATTTTCTATCACAGCTTTCACATTTGTGACTCTCTCAGTCAAAACTCCTTGCCTAGATTTTCTCATTTATATACCATTGCAGTTAATGTTTTTTTAATCACTCATCATATGTAAATCCCAAAGTAATTCTAATTATCCTGGCTGTTTTCTCTAAATCTTTTTGATCTCTGATACACATCTTAAAATGATATAATCAAACTTGGACCATGTACAACAAGGATGCATTATCTGATATGAAGTCATTAAGCTATTTTATGATTAAAGGTTTACTTTTCTTTCTGTATAAAATACTTTTATTATCAACTATGAAAATGCAGCTGAAATTTGTCTTCTCTGTGTATCATACTGCTTTTCTCATGGAATCCAAATGTGCAATAATTTGATCTACAAAGAGCATGTCAGCTTTCCAAAAGTTGTTGATCTTATGTAGAGAAGTTGAATTTCATCTGTCACAGCTACCTGACTCCCCAGAACGCTTCAAGTTTGCTGAAGCGCCTCAACAATTATGAATTCTTCAATAACATTATTATTTAATATTGGTAAGCAAAAATACTGCTCTTTTCTATTGTACTATATACATTATTTTTATTCAAAGACTTTTGTAAGTTTTCATTGAAAGTGACATATTTTGGTACCCTTTCCAAGATCCAAGATCACATCCTCTCTTCCCATTCAGCTTTAAGAGGAATCTTAATATCTGATGTTGATATAACTTATGATAGTCTGGAAAATTTGTTGGTTATAGCTATGAAATGCATGCCAAGTAATATATTTTTATATTTGATTTACATAAGTTTGGATAATAGTGTGGTTTCCATCATTTACTCCTGGTAAAATGATGATAATTGAGGGAAGTTATAAAACATCTGTTTCTTAGAATAGTCCTAGTCTACCAAAGCGACAGATTACATTAGTAATTCTAAAAAATATATTACACAAAGTCTCTCTGGATACATCTCTAATACTTCCTAATTTTCATCAAAACTTTACTTAGTCCTTGGCTCTCTGTTCTTTTCACTCTGCATTTTCTTTCTGAGAAAGCTCAATCCGTAAACACATTAATAAAATGATTTCTTAATAATGACTCTCCCAATCTATATCTGTAGGCATATACATATATATATATATATTTTTTTTTTAATGACTAGAAGACATTCACAGATACCACAAATTCACTGTGTCCAATTGAACAGTCTTTCCTTGTATCAATCCTGCTTGTTTCCTTACATTCCCTATCTTTGAATAAATATCCTGTAGTTCAGAACAGAAAACTGAGTGGTATTCTAGAAGCCATCATTTTCTTTATTCCCTGCTCAACTTCTCAAAATAAAAACTTCTTTGCTCAGGTGGTCATAAATGCTTACAAGGACTATTGCAATTACTTCCTAATTAATTTATTCACAACTACTCTTTTCTCTCTGAAATCTACCCTCTACTCCTCTGTTACAGTTAGCTCTCAAGTTGCATATTCCTCCTCTATAATCTTCTTAATACTATGTAATAGATGTCATATTTTTAAAATCACATATTTTAGTATCATCTGGCTCAATCTCAGCTCTTATGACTTACTCTCTCCCCTTTCAACCACTACTCCCTCCCACCAATAGCAAATACATCTATTGTTTACGCTATAGAAAACACATTTACATTTTAAACAGATCACTTTTCCTGCTTCCGTATTTTGGCTAATGCTGTACCTGGAATGCTCTTACCTCTTCTTCATCTGAAGAGCATTGTGTGGTCCACAGAGGTCCTAAAACTTAGCTTCAATTCCTCTGGAAAGACTCGTGATCTCTGCACTCTCATACAACTTATAATTACTTCTATCAAAATACACTTCTCTATACTCTAACTGATATCTGCTTACCTACTTAATCCACTAGGTTGCAAATTAATTGAGATCAACAAACAAGTATTACCCAGCTTTACAGCCCCAACCTAACCTATTATAGGTAGTCATGGAATGTCAGTAAATGAATGAATGAGTATAGTATTTGTTTGTTTGTTTGTTTGTTTGTTTGAGACAGAGCCTTGCTCTGTGGCCCAGGCTGGAGTGCAGTGGCACGATCTCGACTCACTGCAACCTCCGCCTCCTGGGTTCAAGCAATTCTCCTGCCTCAGCCTCCCGAATAGCTGGGACTGCAGGTGCATACTGCCACACCTGGCTAATTTTTTTTTTGTATTTTAGTAGAGACGGGTTTCACTGTGTTGCCCAGGCTGGTCACGAACTCCTGAGCTCAGGCAATCTGCCCTCCTTGGCCTCCCAAAGTGCTGGGATTACAGGTGTGAGCCGCTGTGCCCGGGCATGAGTTTACTATTAAATATATAACATCATAGTCTACTACCAATATAGATGATTTAAGTGACATTTTTGAAGAACAGCTTTAATATTATGAGTATTATTTAAAAATTGTGTATTTCATATACATCATATTCATTTTTAGCATATAAATTAAATTACAATAATATTTCAGGGATAATTAAAAATAAGTATAAAAATTAAAGAAGAATTTATATACACATTGCTACAAGATTACAAATATTGCAGCACTAAAAATGTCAAATATTTGAAGGACTCAGTACTGTATGGTATTCTTATAATGTTCATAATTACATATCTAGAATGGCACTACCCAGTTGAAATAGAATGTAAGCCACACATGTAGTTTGAAAATTTCTAGTGACCAACTTAAAAAATAGTAAAAAGATAAGGTGAAATAAATATTAGTCATGTAATTTATCTATCTCAATATATCCAAGCTACTATTTAAACATGTAATCAATATAAAGTTATTGAGGTATTATGGAACCCTTTTTATATGCAGTCTTTGAAATCTGGCGTGAATTTTATAGTTATAGTACAGTTCAATTCAGAACAGCTACACTAAAAGTGTTCAGTAGCCACACACAGCTAGTACCTTCTGTACTGGGAAGTTCACAAAGATGGGTGGCTCAAATCCATTCAATAATAAATCAGTTAAACAGCAGCTCTGAATGAAATCTGAGTTGCAGCTAGAAAACTGAGTTTTTAAAATCTGTTTGCGTGTTTGTTTTTTGAATACCAAAAACAATGACCAAAGTAAAGTTTAAATTACTTTTAAAGAATTAACCTTGATAGACGTCTCCAATATAAAATAAGGATGACTAAGGAAATATGGGTTTTCCCTGTCCTATTATCATGCTACATAGTAAATGAGTATATGTACTCATTGCGGATTTCCAAACAAACGAAAAGAGAGCCATCATCTGCTTTCAGAGGTTTCCTGAGGCAGTTTTAAAATATAGTACATAGTATATTCTATGAGGCAAATTGCTCAGCAGGTTGCTTCATGGCCAAATTTGGAGTGGATAACTTTGACAATTCATATTCTTCTCAATTGAAGATTAATACTTTCCACACCCTAGTCAGGGAGCTAAGTCAAGTTATAAAATTTCAGAATAGTATATATTCCCTTAATAGCTTTCTTTGAATATCTAAAAGAACTTTGAAGGTAGCAAAGTAATTTTTAAGCAAGTGAACATGATGTAATGGACAAAGAACAGAGAGGAGACTTAAGAGCGCCAACTTTTAGCTGGAGTTAGCCACCGACTGGCAGTGTAGGTAAGCCATTTACACTCTCCATGTCTCTCTCTATGCATAACTAAACTTGAGAAAATAATACCTCATCTATTTAGTTGACAAAATTTACTCGTTAAAATAATGGAAACTCTAAGGCTCAAATCTCTGAAAAGGGAAACATTATGTAAAACTGAATTGTTTTATTAAAATTATTATATTATCTCTTCCTGTAAGAAAATAAAAGTTGGAGAATAGCTGAGAAATAATAATAGTGACAATGATAATAGCTATCCAGGAGATGCTCAGGGCGTGCCACAAAATGTGTTAAACATATTATCTTAGTTTTCTATGTAGTCACATTATAAAGCAGGAATTATTGTATCTATTGTATAGATGAATAAATTAAACTAAGAAAGAATAAAGAATTCCCTCCAAGTCATGCAGTTATCAAGTGGTAGATCTGAAATTTTAACTAACTCCAATGTGATCATCTTAACCACAGTTTCTACTTGAGAGAGTAACCCTGGAGATACTCTCCAAATTCTACCATTTCTTAGCTCTTTTTTATTTAGGCATGTCCAACCAGGGCCCCAGGAATAACTGTTATAATTTCTCCACTCTTCTTACCACCTACAATGTTAATAAGTCTATAAGTAGTACAGAGCCTGCCTTCTTATCCCCAAGACCTAATAGAACATCCAGCACAACTCTGTTGTTTAAGGAATGTATGAAAAAAATGAATTCATGAGGCCTGCCTTTTAGATTACTTCCCAAATGTCAATTACTTCCCAAATGGCAGCCTTCTGATTTGCTATTGTGGAAATGCAACCATGTCTTTTAGAATTATGAGCCTAAAGGTGATAAGACATTAAATATGAGGTATAAAACTCATCACAACGGCCTGGTGTGGTGGCTCACGCCTGTAATCCCAGCACTTTGGGAGGCCGAGGCGGGTGGATCATGAGGTCAGGCAATGGAAACCATCCTGGCTAACACGGTGAAACCCTGTCTCTACTAAAATTACAAAAAATTAGCCGGGCGTGGTGGTGGGCGCCTGTAGTACCAGCTACTCGGGAGGCTGAGGCAGGAGAATGGCCTGAACCCGGGAGGCGGAGCTTGCAGTGAGCCGAGATGGCACTACCGCACTCCAGCCTGGGCGACAGAGGGAGACTCTGTCTCAAAAACAAAACAAAACAAACAAAAAAAAAAAACACTCATCACAAAAATTTAAATCCCAAATATCTTATATATTAAAAACCCACCATGAAGTAGAACAGTCAAGTATTATTATACACAAGTTTGGTGTGTCATTGTTTATTTTCCGCATGGTTTTGTCTATACCTCTTGGAGGGAAGAAAAGGGAGTTATTCAGTAAAGTGCCCACATCATGCAAACTTAGACTGAGTATTTATTTCAGTGTTCGAGACCTAGAACCATGATATTACTTTGTGAACTTCCTGTATGGCAGTCTAGGAGTTCCCCAGAGACATAAGGCCTCATGAATAATTTTTTTCACTCTTACCTTGACTTGTGTAGTAGCATCTGCAGCTGGCACTTAACATCAAACTTCCTGCCAGGCATCAGTATGCCAGGATGTATGGCAATGCAATATAAGCATTAGGGAGACCTAAATCTCCAAATTTACAGGAAAAAAAAAAAAAAAAAAAAGCTCTTCTACTGACGGAATCTCCTGAAAGAGTTATTTTCTGAAAGAACACTATTTAAGATCAAATGTCTTTCGTGAGCTCAATGTATAAGCAAGTACCATGAATGCTTTTACCCACACAGAAAATTTTCCGTGGTAATAGTTAAATCACACTCAGATCAGAGGATTTGAGAGCTGGCATTTATCCATTGTTGGAAAGAGTGATCATAGATGTTAAAGGCTTCGCTTGGTTATCTTCCCTTGTCTTTAGCTCAACTCAATTAATGGGAGAATTGACAACTTAAACCCCTTCGTGCCATGTCTTCAGGAAATAGCCCATGAAGGAGGTATGAAAAAACGGTTCTATGTATTTTGATTATACCATGAATAACATTGCTATTCTACACATGTATAGGGAGCCACTATCAGAGAAAGGGTTTTTGGGAAAAAAAAAATCAGATACAGGCACATATATCAGAGAAATATCAACAGGCTAAATAGACATGTGTCTGAAGAATGGTAGAGATTCTTATAGTTTCAATGTTTGTCCATATTCATCTTCACTGTACTTAAGGATTAACTGAAATTTGTCTATTCCGAAGTATCACTACAATAATTTAAATACATCTCAATTCACTTTCATTATTTTACAACATCACTCAGGCCTCAAACATTTTCAAGAAAATGCTGAAAAGATAAAACTTACGATTTCCATGTATGAATAATTGTAGCCAGAAAGCTAAACTAATTTTTTAATGCCAAAGGCAATCAACATTTTCTTTCTCTGATCACTCCATCAGTCACCAATTACAACACAAACATGATATTCTAGAACAATTTTCTAAATGAAATTAATTGAAGTTTTGTTTTTAATGATGTTCATGAAATTCTAAAAAATTACTTTTACTCTTCCTAGTAGCTAGTTTTGTTAATTTTTTTAAATCATTTGGAATTATTTTAGAGAACGAATATTCTTCAGAATTAGGGATATCTATTTACGTACAATTGTTAACTCTGAAATTACAAAAAGAGGAATAAGCATTAACTTGTTGAAAAAATAGTAATAGTACACACCACATTGGAAACTTCCTGGAGAAAAAAGTATTTTCTGTGTAGCCCCTTGTAGATTTTTTTGCACCACTGGATGTATAATAAATATGAAATAACATTTACAACATTATAAAAATATGGATGTATGTAAAAATCAAGCCAATTTGCTCATACTTTTTAGATAAAACATACTTTCTATCTCTTTATGTAATAAACAAATATACACATTCACCTACTTGCAGCCAAGTATAGCTATAAGAAGTCACACAATTATTTTCATTGAGACAAGTTAGGATCATATGCTACCCTACTAGAAATAAGCACTTGCTATTTCTTCTGCCTATTCATTTGTGCCTATTATTTCCTCACAGTGATGTTTCAAACCTTTTCTAAAACCCCTGAGGACCTAATCAGTTCCATCATTTTTTAATATATGACTTTACTTTCTATGCCATTGAAAAGATCAAAGTCATTAAGTTGGATACTCTCACAATCTTTCTTTCTCACCATCTCAAAACTATTTCTGATTTTTTACTCAACTATCCCTTCAGGGAGCTCTCTTCGCTGTCAAGGCTACTTCCTCAACATATGATCTTGATCCCATTCCTTCTTGCCTGCTCCCATCAATGCTTACCTGGGGAAATCTGTAATCTTTCATGCCTTCAAAGTTTCAGGCATTATAAAAGGATCAGAAGACATAACCATAAATAAAATGATCTTTGCTTTCGAGAACTTTCTTTGTCGTACACACCTTTCACTTTTTACCTCTGACCTTTACATTCTGAGTAAGGTGCTTTCTAAAGTTACCAATGATCTCTCAATTGACCTTTTCCCAATGTCTGTTTTCCCTGATTCTCTTTGAAACATACTCCTCCTTTTGGTTCTATATGGCCCGAAATTTCCTCCAGTTTGCTCCCTCCACCTCCCTACTATAATTCACTAAGAGAGCTATGCTCTACTTCTCCTTTTTTCAATCTGTTTCTAGATAATATAATTGCACAGTATTAATGTCACCTCTATTTGATGTGTTCCCAACTAAATATCAAGGCTTTGTTTCTATTCTCAGCTTCAGTTGTATGTATCAAGCTACCTGTTGAATAACCTGCCATTATTCAAAATTCAACATGACTAAAATCGAAGTTCTCATTTTACCCATAAATTTCTCCAATTCTAGTTAGGTCTCTATAAGTCAATTCTTAAGATACTATTCCAGGCTTTCCATGATTTCACTTCCAATTTACTTTCCCAAGTTTAAATTCCACTACTATCTCCTCATTATTCTTCCTAAATTGTAGACACAACAGACTACTTGTTGTAGTCCAAAGTGTAAACATATCATAGCACCAATTATACTGCAATGCCCTTTCCCCAAAACGTCCAAGTACAAATGTTATTTTTCACTTAAACGCAAATGTCCAATCCCCATGAAGCATCATCTAATACACCTAAAATATTGTTTTCATTTTTCAAATAATGCTTACAACTTTCTACCCTATAGTCTAGCTCTTTGGTGTTTTAGTCCAATATTCAACTCTCCTGTGAACTTCCTGGCGACAGAAACAACACTATTTTTTGTGTCTCCCTGAGAATCTATTATAGTACCTTGTATAACTAAGACTCCAATAAATATTTATTGGATGTTTTCTTTCTGAAAAAATAATCTGACATCCAAATTCATATTTTAATAACCTGTTTATGTCTCTGTTACATCTTCTTTCCATTTGCATAAGTTACTTATTTCTTCATCTAATTGCTAATATTCAATGAGCTAAGCCAGCTTTCCAGCTATAAAATTACATTTAGTCTAAATAATCTCCAGCATTTTTGCCAGTCATAAATTTCCAAAATGTACATGAGGTTTGACACCATACTACCTTCTACCTATAGTCATACCAGGTAAAATTAACATTTTTAGGCTTTGCATTAACAGTCATTAACACTAATAGATTTATCCTTTGTAAAAATTAACAATTTTGAAACAACTTCTTAATTTTCCCTGACTAAGAAGAAAATTCCCAGGAGTTGTAATTGTGGTTGGTAAGGCTAAGAGGCTCTACGTAAAGGATAAACACTAGGATTTTTAAGTCAACAACCTGATTTTGCAATTTACATAAATTCCCTAAATTTCTGTGAACCCAACTGTTAAATGAGGCTAATCATAATACTTATCTCAAAGGTTTTGTGAAGATTAAACCAAATAATGCATGTAAAGTGATTTTTGTGATTCCTGGCATATAGCTCAATAATTAATGTGTATTTTATTAATTAATTGTGTTCCTCCCTATATTTCAGGCAGGAGGCTTTTTCAATAAAAACAATTCTATTATATACTTGTATCCTGTATATACTGCTCACAAAATAAATTCCACAATCGCTGGCATAGACTTCAAGACCTTTCATAACAGAAGTCTAATTTTTCATTCCAGCTTCATAATGCTATTGTTTATCTCACACACAGTACACTAAGGCCAAATAAAAGATACCTCATGCACCTTTAAGCCTCATGTTTTTCCTTCTTATAATGTGTTCCTGACTCCCACCTACCTTCTCTTGCTACACAGATTCTTACTCATATCACAAAGCACTGCTTAAAGGAAGTCATAACCTCCACATTTTCATTCACTACATTCATACACACTTGCATTTACATTTTATATAGAGATATAAATATATTCATATATATTAATTCTTTTATACATAAGTATATAGTAAATAGTGTAATCTCAACTATATATTGGATGTATTATATAATATTTACATACAATGTTGATATATAAAATGAATATTATTTATCTACATATACACATACTTGGGATATGATATATAGTTACATATACTATAGATACTGTATATAATACACACACACTTGGGATTATAAATTTAGGTACATAACATTCTCTTCTAAGATCTGTGAGACATCTATCTTAGCACGTCATCTGGCACATATTAAACGATCAATATAGTTTTCTTAAATGTGTGAATACATGATTGAATGAATTGGCTTCTACTCCATCATCTATGAAACACACAAATGCCAGGCTTTACTATGGTTTTAGGTTTGCCTCACTGACAGATGTCAATTTCTGAAATGTACTTTCTGAGTCTCAATTATTTTGACATCACAAAATTATAGGGCTGAAAAGGAATATAAGAATGCCCACTCCAGGCTTCAATGAGGCCATCATTACTTGGAAAAATATCTTCTATTTTAAAAGAGTTCAACTTTGAATAGGATTTCATAACCTGCCTTGTTGACTCAACCCTTTCATGTTTAATAATGTCCACTATTAGTTCCCACAGACAGTCTTGAGATTATTTTTCAAGGTAATTGAAACATTACCTTTCCCCACCCATTTTTTTCCTGTCTGGGAAGATGACAAATACCAGAAGTTTTAAGAAAGTTAAATATATCAGAATAAGCAAGCACTATGACAGATGGATCTATGCATCAGAACTGAAGTTCTTCATCTATTTACAAGCATCTATTTTCACTTAGGTTTGTTAATTCTGTCTTCTGAAAATTTTTAAGATACTGTACATTCCTTCTCACTCCCAAAATTCTTATGTATTTGCATCTTGAGCAAAGCAAATATATATATATATATATATATATATATATATATATATATATATATACATACATATTTTTGTCCGGTCTCGGAGCCTTGACTTTACATGGAGTCTCTTGTAGTCACTAAACATACATACATTTTACTTTGTTTACATACTATCAATGATGCTACTGAGATTTTAAGGCATTGCACTTAAAACCCAGCCTTAGGTTTAGTACTTTATTTACTTTGTCACAGAACATTTTGCTTCTATTTTCCTTCGTTTTAATTGGACTGTTTTCTCTGAAGACTTAGAATATAATAGTATATCCATATTTGAGCCATGCATATCCATATTACAATAGTAATACCCATATTTGAGCCTCTATTTTGTGTATGTCATTGTACTGTGAACTAAATGTGCATTATGTTGTTCGGTTCCCAGAATAACACTACGAAAGGTATGCTAAAACCAAGGCTCAAATTAGACTTCAAATCCTATACTTTTAAATCTCCAACTTATTCTGAAAACTGGCATATCATAGTGATGAATATTTCAGAAAAGTCATCATGAATGATGGTTTTTTCTATAAGCTTCCTTTAATTTTTCTTAAATTTGAACTTTGGACAAAGGTAGTTATGGGTATAATTAGAATGAATATTATTAATCTAGCATTTATTGACTGATAAGCACATTACACATATGATCACATTTAATACTGTTTCCACACAGTAGTAAATTTCCAATTCCACACAAAATGTGTTAATACACATTTAATATCTGTAAAATACTCATTTTACAAATGAGGAAATAGAGTTGAGGCAAAATATAAAAAAAAATGTAGTGCAGTTTAAGCATTAATAACTTCAAAAATATAAATGCTATACTCTTTACCAAAAATACAATTTGAAAAGTGAATTATTTACATTTTTAATAATATATTTAGCTTTGTGAATTTAAAACACATTTTTCTATTTTTAGTCAATATTTGTTATATCAGAGGAAATGAATACATTCACTTTCATCACGTCATGTTTGTAAATGCAGTTTATTAATTCTTTTTCTACACTCTTAGGTTACAAAGTTCTTCCATTTAAATTGTTTCTAACAGTGAACCAATTGGCAATTTATCAAACCATCTCAAAGTGAGAGTGTTTTGCAGCATCTATTGTTTATTTTACGCTATCACTGTCATTTATTTTATATTCTCAGGATCTAGATAGTCAAAATGAAAGAGGAAAGAAAAAACCTGACAGGCAGGTAGTTCGGGTGGGTCCTTGGATGAGTTCTTTCAAACAAAAGGACAGCCTGAAGGCACAGATAAGGGAACTTGCAAAGGAGAGCTTGCCTGAGACATGCCCACAGCCCCATAGATAAGAAAGGCTATCCAGGAGACTTGCTCAGACATGTCCACAATGGAAAACTCCATCCCCCGACACATGTGTAGTAAAGGGAACAAAGCAATATGGAGTAACTCAAGCTAAGGGCCTGCATGTGCACTAGGAGGACAGGGTACAGTTACCAGAAATTCGTGATTTATGCAAATGAGATGCCCAGACCTCATCGGCTTCTTATAAAAGCTTCTGTATTCAACTGTGAAATGGCAACCATTTTTTCAGGACCCCTCTCTGCAGCAGAGAGCTTTCTCTCTTTCTTTCCCTTATTAAACTTCTGCTCTAACATCACACTTGGTGTGTCCATGTCCTTGATTTCCTCAGCCATGAGAGAAAGAACTTCAGGTAGCACTTAGACAAGCAGGCCATTTCAAAAATATTAATCACCTTGAGGCTTACTTGAAATGTAGAATATCAGGCTTTATTCTAGACCCATTGAATCAGATCTGCATTTTAATAAACTCCCCAAATTTCATATGGACATTAACATTCACTCTTTAGGGTCAAATTTGACCTATAATCATAAGATCCTGGCATGTGAATATTTTGTCCTTGCTACAAAGAAACAAAATGCTAAATATTAAAATAGAAGCATTAACAATGGGCACTAAGAAAGGCAGAAGAAAACAAAATAAATGATAGATGGGCAACTAGATACCAGTTAAGTTCTTTGAAATTAAGGAGGGCATTACGAACATCACATGCAATCTTATAGATAGTATAATAGCTAGAGTAACCTAACCTAGTGATAAGTTAGAACTTCAAGGGGTTTGAAGAAAATGGAAAAGTGATTGCCAATACAATGTGCTAAAAATGTATCTTCCTAGAGGCTACCCTAAAATAAGTACATGTATACTCTTGATTCACTTAAGAGTGTCATATCAAGAAAACTATCCTCTTGTACTACATAGACCATAGACATGTATTTTTTCCTGTCTCCCTGCAAAAAATCAACCTGAAAACTCATTATAAAGTTTTCTCAGTGGTTGACATGAATTTGCAGTTTTCTTAAATCAAATTTTTGCTTTTGAAATTTTGGGTTTTAATAAAATTCTAGTCATCTGCTGTTCTTTTTGCTACTACTTCTCAGAGTTTAATATCCGTGTTTTTGTCTGTTTGTTTTTTGATTATATGTGAAAATTCTTAAACGGCTTTGGAAGAACATTAATTTGGGCCTGGACTTAAACTCATTTCCTTCCTGCCTTTACATTGTGTTATAATGCAATAAGGGGAGAAAATAAGTTGAGAATCTGGTAATAAAGTTGTTTTTATTAATTATTATCATCTTAATGAATGTTTCATAGGTGTGAGAAATTTGTTATAAAATAAAAAAAATTCACAATAAATAATTTTAAAGTATAGCAAGGTGCCTTTTCTAATTAATTTTTCATTCTCGCATTGAATTTCCAATAGTCCCTAGACTAAAGCACAATTCAACAGTGTTTTCTAAGAAAGTAGTATGATAACTCTAATATCAACTAAGCAGGAACAGTTCCATCCACAATTATGATAGAATCTATAGCCTATGTCCAGTGAAGTGATAGATATAACCATTAGAGAACAGTAAAAGAGAATTATAATTGTTTGGTAGAATTTTATTATAAAGCCTATAGAGAAAATGTTCAACAGGAGTTTAAAGAATTAGGTGGTAGAGTGTTAAAATAACAAAACCATATAACATGAGGAAACTATATTAAAAATTTACTATTCGTATTACTAATCAATAATGTCACATCAATTGTTTACTCTTAAATGTAAATCAATACTAACTTTCAAAAATGCAATTCATTAATTATTCTTTACAAATTGCACCAAGGAATTTACCACATATCTCTCATGGATTCCTTAAATCAATGCAAAGGACACATCGAATGTAAAATGTTGCATGTTTCTATGCTGACTAAAAATAATTGCCGCTAATGGGTTACAATTTAGATAGCATATGAATAAACACATTTGGGGAGGTTATTAACATTTGGGGACTGTTATTAACATGTAAAGTGACTCCAACATAGCACTTAAAACTAGGAGATATTCAGATGGGCACTTTCAAGGTTAGCAAATTAAAACCAAAAAACAGTGATTTAAAGAAAAGATGGAAGGAAATTCAATTCTGTGTTCAGATATTCACTTCCTTAGTAACTTTCTCTGATTCAGGAATAACCTAAAGTATGTGTCCCAGTGCTTGAGGTTTCCTTTAAGCCTTGATGCTTTTAAGCCCTATCTGAGTGTTGGGTCGGAGGTTAGGCTTGACAATCTAGAGGCCGTTCTGCTCTGGTGGTACAATATTGACTTTTACGGCTTTGTAAATATCAACATTTTTGTACCTAAGCTCAAGCTGAAGCAGCACAGCACACTGCAGCCTGCCAACAAACATGCAATGCCACTCTAAAGGGATTTTGGCAGGATTTAATTAAAAAGTTAAATAAGCAAGGAGAAAATATTGGTGGAAAAGGAAAACACAAGACATAGGTGCAGGATGGCATAGCAAGTAAAATTAAAGACATTAACAAAATAAAAAGCTAAGATTTGGATACTTTTAGGTAGAAAGAAAATGGAGAACTTAGAAAAAAAAGCTCTAAATGGAGGAATCTAGGAAGTTATCAGAAGATAGGATTAAATTTTGTTTTTAGACCATATTAACTAAACTTGTTTATCCTAATAGACTTTCCTTATCATGTTGAGCTTATGTAAATAAGCATGGCATAAAAACGATATAAAATCTTACATAGAAAAAGCACTTTGATAGGAATTGCACTACAGTCTTTTCCCCAGAGCCAATGCAATGTACAGAAAACCTGATATTACAATGAACGGAACTAAAATGTTTTACTCTAATTCAGAAACATTATAAATAATTTATTTATTTTTGTGATAGCATTGTACTGTTAACCCAGTACCACAGATTGATAGTTCATTTGCATGAGCCATTTTCTATGGAGAAAAGGAAAGATTAATGGATAGACAATAAATGAGAGATTAATGAGTAGAAAAATAAAGATATATATATTTTCTCACATTTATTTTATTTTGTGAGATCAGTATGCCTCATTAGTTGAGGAGAAAAGAAGTGTGGAGAGAATGGGGGCAATTGAACTTCCCATAATCAACAACTGCCTTAAGCCACTATTCTTTCTTTTTCTCTTCCCTTTGTCCAATTATATATTTATTTTCATAATATAATTAAAAGGCTGATATATATATATACACACACACATGCGTACATATATATATATTTGTTAAACATACATGCATAGGTATTTATATATAGAGAGAAACAGTAACGTGTTTCTTCTCTGGAAAGCAATAAATAAAATAATTTTGTTTGTTTTGTTTTGAGAGAGTTTCCCTGTCTTGTCCAGGCTGGAGTGCAGTGGCACGATCTCTGCTCATTGCAACCCCTGCCTCCCGGGTTCAAACTTCAGCCTCCTGAGTATCTGGGATTTCAGGCATGCGCCACCACTCGCAGCAAATTTTTGTAATTTTAGTACACCATGTTTGTCAGGCTGGTCTCAGACTCCTGGCCTCAAGTGATCTGCCCACCTCGGCCTCCCAAAGTTCAGGGATTATAGGCATGAACAACTGTACCTGGCCTAGAATATCAAACTTTTAACAGCAAAGTCTACATAATAAAATTATGCATTACATTTTTATGTAGACAGTGGTCACAGTCACACACATATATACCATAACATCCTTGGTATGGCAAAATAAAAATAAAATAAAATAACTATTATCTTCGTTTTTAACATTTAGAAAAATCACAAAACAATGCTTTGACTTAGAATATGATATTTAGGGAACCACTGCATAATACATTTCAATATCCTGGAGATTCAGGCTTCATTAGCCTGAAAACTCACAATGTTTGAAAAGTAAGAAGCAAAACAAAGGCAAAAGAATTGAAATCTTACAATTCAATTTAAAGTTATCTATTGAGCACCTCCAAATAGATTTTATGGTAGTCATGTTACACATCACTATATTAATCTCCTTCTACTTTATGGGTGATTAGGTATAACTTCATGCCATTCAGCTGACTTCCTATTGTACTTGCTTTGACAGTTTGCATTTTTGTTAGAGCCTGGTTAAGCACTAGCCTGGCATTTTGAAATTAAGGGCATAGAAACATGCATAAGTGAAGATTGAAAGTTGAAAATAACATATTTGGCACCTAAGCTCTGTTTATTATGTTTATTTTTGGCTATGATATTTCTACTATTATACACTGAGAACTAAGCGGGGATAGGGTGGGGGAGGCAAAATAAGAGCATAGTGAATGCAAAATACCCCAATCTACCATCAAGCCCAAATAAAAAATAGTTTAACGCCACGCTATATATAAACAAACTCAAGAAGTCAATCACTAAGATGTATGTATGAATCTCAGCCACACTTACAAACCCTAAAGATTACATACTCATTATTAGAAATGACTTCCATCTATATATTCTTTCTCTTGACAAATTATAATTTTTAAAGAATACGGTAAAATAACAAAGCTTTTAATAATTATTTTGAAATTAAGCATTCATGTTCTATAATTATACATATCCAGATTTGTATTTATTTGACATTTGTAAAAGAGTATTTCTAAAATTTTGGTCCAAATAGCTTTTGCGCATTTTAGCTGAGTTAGCTCTCCAAATCTTGGCAATAATAAATGCATGTTTGTTTATTCATAAATCAAGTTTCCATATTTCTTTTATTTAAATAGTAAGATCACCTGTAAAATTTTCCTAGTGTCTACAATATTTCAAAATATCTAGCATAAGACAATCATGTACAGATTCAGGAAAGAATATTTAGAAAAAGAAAATCAATTTTGGAAATCAACTACAGTATAAAACCACCTATATTTTCATTCTATTAATCTTTTAATTATCCTCACATATTAATAATGTATACAATAATGTTAAATATACTTTTCATCTGGCCAACCTTTTCTAATACAATTTTACTCATTTTTATATAATATGTATCTTTTTCACCAAAAAGTAACAAAGGCTTGAATTCCTACGAAAAGGAGAATTCATGATGGGCTACCAGATTTGCCATTGTTATGTCTGTCATTTAATCATGGCATTTATTTAATTTAAAACCTCTTTCAGTGTAACCCACATATATTTGAAATAAAATATGCAAATAAATTCAGTCTCTGGAGAAGGGTAAATTCAACTGTGAAGCAGAATAGATTTCTATTTTCCTAATGCACTTTGGCACTTCTGTGTGTCCACTTACATTAGCCTATGAAAGTATTTCCAGCTCTGTCAGCCCCCAAGAATGTGTTAAAATGACATGGTAAATTTGGAGTTCTGAGAGTAAATAAGCCTAGGATAGAAAAGGCCTTCTGGACCACGTAGGTATAGCAGAAACATTCCATGCATTTTAAATGGCTATAATCATAATTCTCCACCACAAAATGTAATATATGTTCTATCAGAAGAATTATTTTCCTCTATAAGTGTCAGTGCCACCAAACCAACTGTCCTGCTCACATTTTCTCATGGTCAATACACAGCATAATGCTGCTTAGGATATTCGGAAAGGAAAAGAGGTGCCACACTACAGATCCATTATGCATTTTGACATTAAGCACCCAGTAATTAGCCAAGTACCTAACTGAATTATGTGATGAGGGAGAATATTACAATTACATTAAAATAAAAGTGTTTCCAAAAAGTTCCGCTAAAAATAAGAATACCAGCAAACTAAATAATGTGAAGGTAAATCTCTACTGCTAATGTATTCTCATGACTTACTGCAGGAAAAACTGGGGGGGGCGGGAAGCATCTTGCAAAGACAAGGTTAGACTGCCCTTAACAAGTCCCTTTGACCCAGAGCTGAATATTCTCTGCAGCACCCTTACCTTTCTCACAGAGCACAGTGGGAATAAGTACATTGTTAACCACATTTTGATGAGGGTGTAAAGTGAGAGATCACGGTCAAAATTAATAGTGCATTTTTTTGGTTGTTTTTGTATGTTTTAATGAGGTTATATTTCTTTACACATCTCTTTCCTGTTAATAAGGTCTAATACCATTCCTTCCAAAAGTCAAACTTTTTCATCTAAAATAAATAATCACTTCCTTTCATAAAAAAGTGGAGTACATATTAACACTGCAGCAATTTGTTTTTTCAAAAAAAGGAGGTGTCATTTAAATACCTGGGTTCTTCCCAGAAGCAAACATGCTAAGCATTCACTTGCACTAGTAAATGTCCTTGGCCATATTAATAAGCTTGACCATTTCATTTTTAATTTTCTTCTATCTTTCTCCTAGTTTGAAGTTCTTTTTTGAAATTAACATCCAAGAGGAAATTTAGGCTTAAATTCTTTTAAAACTTTCTTCTCTTTTTAAGCACAAGTTCTGAAAAATACATATATGAAAGAATTAAAAAAAAAAAAAAGGAAGACATTTTCTCCTTTCTTTTTTAACCTGACCAATTTTCTGGGTCAAGCTCAGTGTGAGCTCACTTGGTTGGCAGCAGGGGAAGCCAGGGTGCCCCTGAAGAAGGTCATTTCTGACTTTTCTCCGCCACTGCTATGCCACATTACTCACTGTCTTATGGCCACTAGTTAAAAAACACATGTAAGCAATCAAGTACTGGAAAGAGTACGAAGAAAAGAGAAAGCCAGAATTAAAAATAAATCCTAAATTTAAAAGTGAACTAGTTAAAAAAAATCATTTACTATAATTTCTTCTGCTCAAATACTACAGAAGTATGAAGTTGTTAGCCTAGAGTAAACCCAATTTAATTTTTCACAATTTACTCTAAAGATATAGGCCATTTTCTGTCATTTGCAAATAATTTCAGTTCTTTATTCATTAAGTACATTAATACAATACTTTGCCTAAGGCCTACATCTTTTTATTTTCTTTGCTCCTCAAAGAAAATATGTCAAGTTAGCCATTTTATGGCTGGGTAATAATGAGGCATATGAAAAAGGAGCGGCTAAGTTTTAACTATGAAGAAGTATTAGAAGACATATAATAAAATATGAATTTTAAAAAGTTATCCTGTGTGTCTAAATATTACATTTTTTGTTTGAATAAGTGTTTGGAGATTTTTTTTTCTCCCTGCAATTTTACTTAACAAGAACAAATATCACTTTTGGAAATATGAGGATATGATGATGCGGATATACGTGTTCATTGGTGTTTTTAATGGGTGTCAATTATTACTATGCACATTTTAGAGAATAGGAAATTGAGTATAGCAGTCATCATGTGACCAAGGTCACATAGTTAATAAGTAGATTAATCAAAGAAGGTTAGAATTTTCCTTCTAGCAGCTCTAATCCAGACATCTAACTCCCATGGTGCTGCTCTTTCCATCATTAAAAAGAAAGGTTTTTCTATCTAATAAAATGTACTTATTTTTCTCTTGTGACCTACTAGTACACATCATTACATTTTTCTGACTCTACATTCTAAGTGTGCTACACATAATTTAAGGATACATGACAAGTTGTTTACATGAAGCTCAAATTTTTCATCTGCAAACAGCAATAGAAACAATACCTATCTATTGGGCTGCTTTAAGAATTAAATGAGATAGTCTATGTAAAGAGCTTGCTACAGGGCCTGACACACTTAATTGTTCATACATTTTAAATATTATAATTCTGAACTTCTATAAACACCTGTGATTGTAAACTCACTGAAAGTTTAGCCTTGGCCTATGTAATTACATTGGTACAACACCTTGAATAGTCCCATGATTAATGCAGTGTTTAGTGTAACTTGTCCTAACAGGTGACTGATGATAATAAAAAAAGATAAGTCAAAATATAAGGGCATTATGTCACTTTTAGACCACTTTCATTAGAATGACCCATAGCATGTTAATTGCATACTCCTAGATTACACCACTGATATTTTTGAAAACTCCTTCAGAAATTACTTTAGTGGGAAGAGTGAAGTCAAAAAGCTTCCATTAAAATCTGGTTCTAGTCCATACCAGTTAATTTACCATTAAACTTCCCTAACCACCACCTCTCATCAGTCAAAAAAAAAAAAGAAAGAAAAGAAAGAAAGAAGGGGGAGTGATCATATCTCATATTACACATTATGATCTAATATGTTATGGCTACTAATATGTAATGGTGCATATTACCATTACAGAATGGTAATATGGATGAAATAATATATTTGTCAAAATATTTTATATGATATCATCATGTAGTAGATGATGAACAAATTTAATATTTTGTTGCTAAATTCTTCTCTTTAGCTTCCATAACAGAAATAATCAGAGCTCAAACGTGTGGTTCCTTTATTGTCAACTATAGCAAGTAGGATTCACCAAGCCATCCCTTTTCCCTCCACGCTTCAGGGACAGTTCCTCTTCTAAGTTATCCCTGTCTTTGTGAGGGTTAACATATGGAAACTTACGCAATATTCTAATTTTGATTTCATTTAAATCCAAAATTAGCACAGTTTCCCCCAACTTGTGTTTTTCTTCTTTTTTAAATCATTCTACTTTTAAATGCAGAGGGTTTTTTTTATATTTATAAAAAGTACGATCTTAAGATAAAAAAAAATACTCTTTGGACAAAGCAGTCTTCAAAGACCCTACCTACTATCATCTAGAAATGTACAAGGAACATCCTAAGGATTAGGGCAGGACATATGTGACAGTTTACGTGTAACCTAAAGGATTATCCATTCAGGATTTACAGTTTTGTCTCTTGGCATCTCTCCATAGGCAACTGTTTTGTGTCTAGCTGGGTATTATACACTGATCTATTCAATAACAGGAGCCACGTGTTATTCATATCTTTGGCCCCAACATCTGGCAGCATTGGCATATTATGGATATTTATGTTCTTAGAGAATGAATGAAATCCAATGTAGATATTTGTAACTGTGGGGAAATAGCTAAATACAGGGGTCAGACATAGCCATTCTACTGCTAGTTAAATCTGGGAGGTAGAAAAAAAAAATGTAGCTATTCAAAAGCAGAGACTGGAATGTGCAATAAAAATAATCCCAGCTGTCAAAAACATACATGGAAGAAATGACAGGAAGAGGAACCACTGGCAAAAAGGAGATTTAAAAATAATTTGACTGAAAACTAAGTCCCCTCTGCCACTGTCCAGCCAGCTTGTCAGTTTAATTTGCTATTGGAGAAAAGGAAGGGACAAGAGTCAAAACAGGTGTTTGGTTTTCTTTTTTTCTGTTTTTAATGGGGCGGGGCGGGGGAATCAAGTGAAAGCATGGCTTTACCAGCTGTGAAGAGCTGCTGACACCTGTGGTTGCCACATCTCATGACTGTGAGATAGGTCAGAGGCAGCTCGAGACAGCTGATAAAATGAGGTGAGGTAGGGGAAGAAACCAGAGGAAAAGTAGTGCTGGATAAAAACAGAAAGGAAAGAGAGAACAAATGGTGCCCATAAAATGTCCAATTTCAAAATGTCTATTTTTATCTTTATTTTTCTAATTAGTACAAAGTCATACTCTCTCTTTTTCCTCCTTCTGTTCACTAAAGAAAATGTGACAAAAATGGATAAAAATGAAATCTCTGCCTTATGTGCAGTATACAACTCTTCATACCTGCCAGTCTCAACTAAAGCATTGCAATATTCTCTCCTGGGTATTTATATTCCTCTCCCTCCCCCCAACCCCTTTCTCCACTCTCCCACCCCCTCCAGGACTGTAGAAAGAAAAAAAAATATTCCTGAATGCAGAATTGTGTGCTACTCAAGGGAAACTTGACTTTGGCTACAAATCTGAGGGGGCACATTGTATAAGCGTAGGAAGATGTGAGCATTTGTTTGCTGGTAGAAGCCTGGAATATGACTGGGTGGATGGAAGTGACTTCTTTAAGCACAAGACGTCATCATTCCCATAGTTAGATATTTAAAGATAATTACAATACACAGGACAATTCATGACAACACGTGACCTAGCCTTCACTGTTATCTTCAACCTGAGATCCCTTGTTATAAAGAGGTTCTATAAATAGAATTTTAGTGCAATTAACAATGGGAAATTGAAAGGTGATGCCATAAGAATAACTGACTCAGATTAAGGAATAAAGTAACAAGAGAAAAATTTAGTACATATTAAAAACTAAATATTCCTTTCAAGTTCTTGTTTTTTTCTCAATTATCTAATATAGTACCCTCTGCATGATTTTGGTCATGTCAATGAAGATCAATTTGAGCACTGTGGGGGCTGATGAACATTCTGAGACTCTACCCAGAAAGAGGGCTTAGGGAGAACATAAGAATTCAAAGGATATTAGTGGGCTCAGCATGTCTAAGAAGTTCATTACCAGCAAGTGCCTGAATAAGATGCAGTTGGTATTAGAATAATTCAGAAAATCAGTGGGTGAGCTAATATCTTGGGGAAAGGGAAGGTTAGGATTTGAAAGGACAATCTCTCAATGTTATATAATAGCATTCACATAGAAATACTGATGTACAGATCAAACACTCTTAGATATTACAAGGGAAACTTGGAGGGTTCAAAGATTTTTAAGGTTAAACCACCTAATGGAAATATTTCCAACATTTAGTGAGGTCAGTCACAAGTAATCGCCATAGATCAAGCAAGATACCAAAGGGATGCCAGGAATTAATGAGCCACAATATTTGCCCTCAAAAAGCTGACATTTTTGGGAACAAAAAGGCACTCAAACAGATTATTAGAATGCAGCATGTTCACTTCAAGTAACAGAAGTAATAGTGTGAAAAGGAAACATCGGTGAATGACACTAAGTTCAGCTTCTGATTCAGTGGTTAAAGAAGGCTTCTAGAACAGGTGATGTCTAAGCATAATCTTAAACAATGAGTCGGAGTAGCTGCCTAGAAGAACACTACACAAAGGCACAAAGGCAAACGAATAAAATAGCCTAAAGTGTGCAGGGATCTATCAAATCCTAAGTGATGACAGAGCATTAAGTGATGAAGTACATGGAAGCTTTGAAGGTGGAGATGGAGAGTGGGCGTTTGCAAGGCTGTGAAGAGTCTTACGTTTTGTTAAAGAGCCAGGAGTTACACCGAAGACAAAGGGAAGTTAGCTTTGTATGGATTCCTCTGGTACAATGTGGAAGGCGTATTTTCCAAAACTGTGGACAGGTAGAACAATTATAATAAGTATATGAAATTATTGATATATTATATTAGTATGTTAGAATAAATATAACACAAGGTGAAGACAGTATTTGAGATTCCAAGGCTTAAATTTCAAGTTTATACACAATATCTAATGATCTTTGTCAACAGTCTGCTTTTATAATGACTATATTAGTGTCAAAGCACGCCCCAGACCAACAGACAAAATGGACTCCCCCATGGCTAACTAAAGGGCTCAAGGTTAAAGCAAAACCAGGCAGCCATAGCTGGGTGAGGCAGGGTTAACACACTCTGTGTTCTCAGAAAGATATTATAAAAGTGTCACAGGACCTCCCTTGCTACGGTCGAGCCAAATCAGTTTCTGTTATTGGTGCCAAAGTGAATTGTGGCTGGATCTTCCCTATCCCCACTACCAGCCATTTGAAAGAAACATCTGACGGAGACTTTGGTTTGGGGCTTGGACATCATCCAATCAAGTCCTGACTATTTTGAGCAATGAGAACAGAAAAAGTTTGAATTTTTTATATGCATAAATGGACCTGGTTAAGAACCTGGGCAAGAACTTCCCCTGTTTAAGCCAGACCCTCTTTTTTTTCTTCAAAGAGCACACGTTCACTTGTACTAAAGACTGTGCGTCCCCAATCTGCATATATTTTTTCCAGAAAATAAAGTTCTCCTTTTGCCTCCACAGATCTCATTGATATTTTGTTAACATTAGTAATGTGTGTGTGTATATATATATATACACACACACACACATATATACATACATATATATATATATACACACACACATATATATATATTTTTTTTTTTGTAGAGCAAGATACTAGTTGTAGGGGCTAGAAAAAACTTTCCCTTTAGCTTCTGAAGGTTTGCTGAAAAACCAACTGGAAAAAAAAACAGATTAATAGGAGATATGGCATATAACATTTATTTTAATATGAATAGCATGATGGAATAACAGGAGAATGATTATTTAATGTATAGAAGCTTATAAACCCTTCAGGGGAGGGAGGAGATGGGGAATATAGACAATTCTTTTTAGGGGTAATAAATTATAATAAGGGAGCATGAATGGACCCCAGAGACAAAAATTAACTTGTAAATAATTCTCTTTGGAATTTGAATGAGCCCCAGAGGCAGCATTATTTTGTGGGAAAAAATCCATCCAGATGTGGTTACATTCCTCACTCTTCTGTTCTGTGATAGATAATGACATTTCAGGGAGGGAAAACAATGACATTTGTGTTCTTCCTTGCATGTCTGCTTTCTAGGTAGATAAGGGAACCTCGGAGAACAGTCTCATCCAGTGCTCTGGGAGAGACCAAGGGTTCTGGGAGAGATCAGAGAGAACTTGAGGCTGCTTCTAACTTCAAACATATTAGGGGGTAAAATATTCTGGTTTTCTTCATAGCCATCTTGCCACTTTTCAGTTTGTATAATTCTTTTATTACAAACATACACACAATTAAAATCTAAATATAATTATGACAGTAAATAAGCATAAGCACTATAATTTGTAATATAAATCAACTGTAAATAAATAAACCTCTATTATTAACAAATAATTACTAATATTGGAAAGTATTAATTGAATATTATGCTCTGATGCTTATGAGCACTTCTAGAATGGAAATACCAATTTTGATGTAGTTAAAAAACTTTATTCTGGTTAGCTAGCTGACTGTCATGTTCGTGAACAAAGTTTTTCAAACATTCGCTACCCTGACATTTGACATTTAGTACTTAATTAAAAAAAAAAAAGTTGAAAACCTAAGCAATATGAATTTTGCATGCAGTATGATTAATAGGTAGGTGTTTACCTAAGAAATCATTTAAGAAAGTGTGTGGGAAGAATACAAGTCCCAAGAGATGCTCTGTGAAAAATAAAAAAAAAAAAAAAAAAAAAAAAAGGAGGTTGGGGGAGAACTAGTTAATTAATCTAGAAATTGTAGAATTTCAAAAGATTCATAATGCATATTAGCATTTAAAAAGCTCTGGGGAAGGTTAAAGAAAAAAAAAGCTGTTCAACTTTTTTTGTATGCAGATTTCCAAAATTCTTTATCATATAAGTTCTCACGTTTTAAAGTTATACTTATTAACATTATTAGCTAGTGTTGTTTATTGAGTGCTTATTCTTTGCCTAGGATATTGCAGTACAAACATTATCTTGATTAATAATCTTATTATTTAGAAATTATCATACTCTTCTCATTTGAGAAATTCTCAGCTTACATAAGGAACTGCCTGAAGTCACATAAGTGGTAAGTGATATTGAATCTAGGACTGTTGAATTCAACAGCTGTATTTTTAGACATTAAGTGATAACATGTACAAGGAATTTCTGTTTTTAACTCACTTGAAAAATGCTTTCTTAGATACTTAATGTAAAATTTCCCAGTCATTTTATTATTATTTTTACTACTAATTTCACTTTACAATTCAGGTTTTTGAATGGTTTGCTAAGTTATATTAGTCAACCAATATTCATGTACATAGCATAACATGTAAAAGTTATTTAAATATGCACAAAACCTTTAAAAATGAATTTCCATAAAATAACAATATTATATTCATATACCAAGATTTTGTTAAATAACACATTCAAATAATTATTTCCAGCCTAGAAAGGCAATATTAACATATATTATCATTAAACCAATGTGGACATTGAGTTTTTAAAGGTGGTTCTTCATTTAACTAATATCTCCTCATTAAACCAGAAATACCTACTATTTATTTATCCACAAACAAAGATGGTCTTCAATGTAACAATAATTATCAAATCTTAGTTGAGGATAAATATGACAATTAAGAGGTCCCTGAAATATGCCACAAGAAAGTATTCTTTCATAAAGTAATGCACCAAGGTTCAGGCATTTGGTTGTCATTGAAATTGTATTACAGAGTTTTTTCTAAGGATCAATTATTTTGGGTAACTCAAGTAAATAAGACTGTGTTCAATATAATACTACAGCTAACACCTTATTTCTTCCAATTATTACTGATATTCAGAAAAAAATCTTTTGACAGTCACACTAATGAGTTAAACTAGAAAATACAATTTTTAAAAATATGTAATTTAATATGTTAAGAAAAAGTGTCCCTGAATTTGTCATATAAGCATATTTCTTAGAAGAAACATACTGAATGAAAGGCCTTATTGCTGGTGTGATGTTTTTATAAGCATAAATGAAATTGGTTATTCAGCTTTGTCTTTTTAAAAAAGTTTAAAGTATTAGCGTGGCACTTCTTCTAAAAAAAAAACAGATGTATACAATTTTGTGGTCACAAAAATGCATCTTTCATTGTTCTTTAGGCCTGAGTATCCATAACTATGCTATTCAACTAAAATTATTGTGGAGACTAACAGTGAATCTTTAAGTTATGTACAACTTTCCTCTTTAGGTTTTTACCGTAAATAAAATGACCATTATTATTCTTCAAGGCCAGGCACCATGGCTAAGACCTATAATCCCAGCACTTTGGGAGGCCAAGGCAGGAGGATTGCTTCAGCCCAGGAAGTTGAGGCTGTACTGAGCTGTGTTTTCACTACTGAACTCCAGCATGGGTAGCAAAGTGAGACCGTGTCTCAAAATAAATAAATAAAAATAAATAAATACATAAATTAGGTATTTTGCTAGTTGTTGGGAAAAGCTGAGGCAGGGCTTGCATGTCTGCCATAATGTAAAAGAGTCTTGGAACATGTTCTGGGTCCAGGGTCTAAAACCCCTCATGGCCTGGTTTTGGGTCTGGCCACCCCAACACTAGTAGCTCTTAAGTCCATGACCAAAATAATCTCAAAGTATATCAGAATAAAAACAGGCCACTAAAGATACCTAATCAGTCCTAAACATGAACGCAAATCTAGGCTAACATTTTGTCTGATCCAAAGAGAAATGAGAAGAGCAAAAATAGTGTAGTGACTTCTATTTTAAGTTAATTTTTTCAATATAAGAAATTATCCTTCATTCTGAGATCATGTCAGTCTCACATTTTTGCATTTAAACACCCTTTTTAACTTAATTTTTTTTTGTTGTTCAGTCACTGATAGGTTTGAATCCCAATTTAGAGAAGCAATAACCTAAACTGACCAAAGGAGAACAGGAGATTAAATACAAAATAATTGATGAAATGTGTTAAAAAAATATAAGTGTAAGAGGAACCTGACATTTTTATACCTATCATCCTTTACAAGGAATTTCTAATGTAATCATTAAAAAAGCCACATAAGATACAGAGTGTGTCCCTATTTCACAGACAGAGAAGCTAAGGATTAGTGACGTTAACTCTTTTAAGGTGGTACAATTGTGAGTGGGAGAACCAGGTTTCAAACTGAGGCATGTGTGCCTTTGGAATCCACACTCTAGCTCCTACACTCATCTGCCTCACAACATTAAAAGGACCAGACAACCACCCAAGAGTCATAAAGATGGGAAATAGACTGGAAAGTTTTTAAAGTTTCTGGAATTTCCCCTAAACTTGCATGATTAAGGTAACCAGGCCAAACTGAAGGTGTTTGACCCTTAAATGCTGAGATCTTGCTTTCACGTATGGGAAAAACACAAACTTGGAAGACTAAAAGATGCACAGCAACTTATGAAAACCTACATTCCAAAAACTGAGGTGTTTAGGTTCACTCTAAAAACCCCTGCACTGCTCTTATCTCAGAGGGAAGTTACAGGGTTTACCAGACGTAATGAGCAGTCACTACTTGCCCCAGACAGTTTGGCCTTTCTAGAGATTTCAGTGTCGAATCCAGTTAATTACAATTTCTGGATCATTTTGTATTATACCTGAATTATAAACAGAGTTATTCATCTGAATTTATTTAGCTTCTTTGGCAACCTTTGAGCATGATTTTATACATTTGAATTTATTGCATTTGGTTTTAGATATTTATAAGAATGACTATAACCCTTCACAGTCATTTTAATTTTTACTGTATAATTTGATAAAATATATGTATTGGAGTGAATGTGGTAGGTAATGTAATGTGCATACATATACAAATAATATACAAATAATACACACATATATATACACATATATGTGTGTGTGTGTGTGTGTGTGTGTGTGTGTAAACCAAAGGGAGCTTAAAGGAATATATAACATGAGTAGATAAGTAACTAGAATAAAGGCAGACTGTGTCAGTTGACAAAAAACAAGATGAATGTTACAGAATGTCAAAAGAGGGAGAAATTTTGGCAGTTTAAGAGTAGGCGCTAGATTCAATATCATATGCTTCTTTGCAGTAGGTGTCTTATATTACTTTTGACATATTTGACATTATTTCTTTACAAAATTAGGCCTCTATTATAAAGTAAACTTCTTAAGAGCAAAGAACAAGTATTCTAACCTTAGAACTTGGCAAAATACCTGGTAATTTATTGCACCCGCAGATATTTGTTGAGTGAATGGATAAAAAAATAAAAAATTGAGTGTTTGTACAAAACTCAAATGAACCTTTAAATGATCAAACATGATTGCCCAGGATATCCCAGAGCTATCAGTCCAACTGGCATTATACTGCAGAATCAGAGCTTTTCTTAAGACAGATGTAGTTGGTCTTTCTTGTAAATCTGTTACAATCCAATTATTTTTTTTTTTCAGAAAACTGGTTTTCTTTTAATTAGTCACAGTTTAAGAAAAAAAAAACTTTCTGAAACTACTTTGGAAAGTTGTTTTATACATCAGCACAAAAATAACAGTTTCAGTTAAACTGAATTAAAGGAGAAGGATTCTTTAAAAATAATTTTAAGATTGGTCTCAATAAGTTTAAGTGGCTATTCTTGAAGATGATATACCATACATACAAAATTATTTAAAGAACTTACATTTTCTAATTTCCAAAATTATACTCATCTAGAGAAATTTACCACCAGGATTATTAGAATATAAGCTCCATGAGGGCAGATATTTATATATTTATTTCAATCTTGATTTCCAAGAGTCTAGGATTTTATCTGGCTCATTGAAGGCACTGAAAAAATATTTTTTAAATGAGTGAACAGGTTGATGAATGAATTAGAGGTATAGGGATTACAGAATTACATACGGTCAATATCGATGGTTCATATTTGTTTATATATTCTACAAGAGAAAGACTAAGGAATTTTAAAAATTATGAATGAATATTTATTGAAAGACTACTATGAGCCAGATATTTTCCTAAGGACTAGAAATACAGCAGTGAGCAAAATAAATAATGCCCTTGCCTTTAATAAACTCATAGCCTATTGAGTGGAGAAAGAAACAAAGCAAACATTGCTTTTCAGGTATTTTTAACTTGGACTAAAGATCTTTTAAGAACTACCAGTGCCTAGGATTCCCCTATCCCTACTGTACCTAGAGATTCTTACTGAATTTGTCGAAAAATATATACAAAAACAGGGTCTTGGAACATAAATATTATGTACGTTTTATGACATCTCAGGTGATTCTAATGTGTATAATTTTTAATAACTTCTCAGGTAATTCTGCCGGGACACCAGGGTAAAAAACATCCAAACTGAACAAACAGACATAAAATTATGAAATATAATGTCATGTAATAAGTGCCACAAAGCAAAATGAAGCAAGCCTAGGGAAAAGAAACTGGCAGCGGCTGAAAGAAAGAAGTGCATATTCTAGGGGCAAGCATTCCAGCAGCAGCCACAAGGCCAGTATGGCTGCAGTGAGCTCAGGGCAGGAGGGGAGGAGAAGGAGGACTTTTTTCAGTTGCACAGTCAGGGGCCACTGCAAGGATTCTGTGCTTTCATTGCAGTGTGATAGGAGGACATTGGGGAAATGTTGGCATAGGGCAACATGATCTAGCACCGGTTTCAAATACATCCCTCAGGCTGCTCTTCAGAGAATATGCTATGGAAGAGCAGGAGTGAAAGCAGCAAGACCTACCAAGAAATGTGGAGGAACATGAGGGCTTTGGGGGGATGGTCACATTGGAAATCAAGACATATGATTCGATATGTATTTTGGTGTTAAGAGAATATGTCTTCATGGGCTGGACATGATGTAAGGAACAAGGGGAGAAGTCAAGGATGATTCTAGGATTATTAGGCTTAAGCAATGGAGTGAATGGCGGCCCTGTGCTCATAAATAGGAGTTACATGCTTATGTATTTTTATCTAACTGAAGAGACAGAAGATAGATCTTACTGACTTAAAATAGTATGGTAAAATAGTCTATTCAGAGTTCTGTTTCTCATTCACATGTATATATAGTGTTAATCATATGGACACAGCATACAAGCATATTTGCATAATCACTGCACAATTATAAAATGCTCTGAAGTCTAAAGAGTCTTTTCTTGGTTTACACTAGAAAATAGTGACAGAAAAAAACAGAAGACAATGCTGTATTATAATGCAGCTGTACCATATGCCTGGTTTCATCAGTATGAACCTGAAGATTCTTTAAGAGTAATAAAAGCTATGAAGAACTAAAGAATGAAAGTACCACTAAAGACAGGAATGAACCCTTGATCAGATCAATGAATTGATTTCAACCAAGTAGAAACTTTGAGATAGTAAAGGCATTTCAAAATTGGCTTTGTCTTAATTTTAAAGTTGCCACTTCTCTTTTTATAAAAGCTGAATAATGGTTGAGCTTCATTACTGTGCCTAATTTGCCATACAATATCACATTTCTTCATTTTGTTCAATGCATCACTGTAAATTTCAAACTATGCATTTTAACCTAAAATCATTCCCAGTGTCATTAACAGTTTGTTTCATCATCTGTACTTCCTTTTTAAAGGCATTCTTCACTTAAATACTCAATATAAATAAAACCTTATGACTATTAATTTGCATTTATGGAGCGCTTATGTGGCTAACTATGAGCCAAGGGTTTCACATATTCTAGTTATAGTGAAAAACCTAATGCTGCAAAGCAGATTTTAAAATTCCTGTTTTTCAGATGAGGAAACTGAGGGCCTACGTAAATTAAAAGGTGGGTGGGTTACTTCTAAAATTACTTCTGAGTATAAGATTTAAACACTGCATACTTTATTATTATTCCCTTTGGCTTCTGGCAATGAAGCATCATCGATTTTGAGAAAGATAGTTCCAGTATAGATCACCTAAAAATATTTGATATATGGGTTAGCGAGCAGGAAATTAAGGGTAACAAAATCCTCAGAGGCCAATATTACAAGAATGCCTGAACCACGAGAGGTAAATCCTGAACACTTGCTTATCTGGAGCACACTAGTTTGAATCCTCAAGCCAATCTTGAAGGCAACAGACAAGATCTGGGACCCAGGAAAGGGGAAAGATCCAAAGACTTATCTTCCATAACGTCAGGATTCTAAAAAGTAGCACCTTTGGTAAGGAAATCAGGAAAAATTATTTTCCCTGAAAAAGGAGTAGTGGGAATGCTTGCTAGGTTGGGTCTTGTGAAGAGACCAAACAAAAATTGTCAAGACTAGATAAAACAAAACACAGATCAGCCTTATGCTATTTACAAGAAAAAAAACCTGAAATACAAGAACGAACACTGGAAGTTAAAAGTCAAACAACAGAAAAAGATATGTCAGGCAAATTCTAAACAAAATCCATCTGATATAGAAATAACAAGGTAAATTACCAGGTAACATACCAAAACAGACGACTACAACAACCACCACCACCAAAGTAGAGATAAGCACTAGATATTCATATAAGATTCAATTCTGCAGAAAAGATATAAAATGCTTAATTTTGGAGGGATTTTTATACAGCTTCAATATATTTAAATGATGTAGCTATTATACTAGCATACAAATATATAATTATAGTGGAAGATGTCAACACAACACTTTTGGTAATTGTTAGATTAAGCAGATTTAAAGAAAAAAGTCAAGAAAGCAGGACATAAACAAAATAGGCTATTAATGAGATTAACTCAATGGTCATAATTGAGCTGTGTTACTGATAGTTGGAAATAACACATTTTTTCCAAGAACCACTGAAACATTTACAAAAACCTAACACATACTAAAAGTCCTGACAAATTTCATAATGACCACATTCTGACTACGAATCCATTTGAAATCAAAAATAAAATATTACATTTTGAAAACCTCATTTGCTTGGAAATTTAATAACATACATCTAAATACCATGTGGGACTAAAAAGAAATCACAACAGTTAAGAGAAAAAAGAACTGAACACTATTGACAATTAGATATACTACCCTATCAAAGTTTGAAGAATTTATATATTTAACTTAGGAAAAATTATAATCATATTATATCATAACAGAGACTGAATATTCACGCACTAAGTATCCAAATTTATAAGTTAAAATGATGAAAGAATAAATGCAAAGGATGTAAAATGAGTACTTTTGAAAAGCAGAAATTAATGCATTTGAAATTCAGGTATAACAGAGGATCATAACATACCAAACCTCAAGAAAATTAATATTAGCAAATAGCTGGCAAAGTTAATAAATCGGAGATAAGTCATAAAAACCATATTGTGAATGAAAAAAGAAACATAATTAGAGATGTGATAGAAATTAAAAGAAAAGTAAAATGATATTTTGAAAAACTTTATAACAACATATTTTAGGACCTAGGCAAAATGCTCAATGTCAGAAAAATTTACTCAAAAAACTTACTCAAAAAGTGGAAGGAGAACATTGAAAATTTCTATGTAACTATTAAATAAATAATTATTAAAACATCATGCTTTAAAAAACAACATGTCTGGTTTTGACAGGCAAATTCTATAAGTCACTTGGCGAATTGATAATCCAAAGTTAAAACTTTTTCAAAGCGTAGAAACAAGAGGCTGGGCACGGTGGCTCACGCCTGTAATCCCAGCACTTTGGGAGGCCGAGGCGGGCGGATCATGAGGTCAGGAGATTGAGACCATCCTGGCTAACATGGTGAAATCCCGTCTCTACTAAAAATACAAAAAATTAGCTGGGCGTGGTGGCAGGCGCCTGTAGTCCCAGCTACTTGGGAGGCTGAGGCAGGAGAATGGCGTGAACCCGGGAGGCGGAGCTTGCAGTGAGCCGAGATGGCGCCACTGCACTCCAGCCTGGGTGACAGAGGGAGACCCCATCTCAGAAAAATAAAAATAAAAAAGAATAGAAATAAGAGAAAGACTCTGTACTGATTTTTTGGGGGAATTGTAAGTTGGATATCAAAACCAGACCAGGAAGCTGACAATAGAAAATTATAAACAATTTTCATATATATATATATATATATATATATATATATATATATATACACGAATATCCTAAAGCAAACAATCCAGAAGTTTATAAAGAGAATAATACCATTTAAACACATTGTTTCTATTTAGTGATATGGTACTTTAGTAATGGATTAAATAAGAAGTATATAATCATCTCAATGAATGCAGAAAATACATCCAATAAAATTTATATCTATTTATAAAAAGCATAGTAAACCAATAAACAGATAGATATAATACACATCTACACACATATATATAATTCATATATATAAACACACACATATATATATAATACATGTATATATAAATTATAGATTAAGGACATAAACTAAAAGGCTACAATAGATATTGTCAATAGTAAAAGCTAAATGTATTTTCTTCTGAACATGACCCGGTATTTGCTACCAACGCTTATTTTAAAAGTTTACAAGAATTTTAGCTAGTATAATCTGACAAGAAAAATAAATTAGAGATCTATAGACTTGTAAGTATCCAAGTTGCCACTATTCACAGACGATATGATTGTCTACATGTAGGCACCAAAAGAATCTACAAATTCATAATTAAATTCAATAATTGTTTGGCAAGGTTGCTGTATATAAAATCCTATAATTTTCCTGTAATTTTTAAAAGGTGACAAGGACTCATATAGCAAAAGAAACAACCAAAGTAGTAAGAATAAAATATCACATGTCCTTCTCCATTCATTAAATATTATTTCATTTCTACAAATCACTGCATTTCAGTGAATTGAAATGCCATGAAATAATATAAAGACTTGATGAAGTATGAATAAAATCTGCATGTATCCAACTCATCTCATTAAACAGTATTTCCTTTCCTCAATTCACTGTACTCCGGTGTTCTCCTCATTGTCATTTTTGTGGCAGAAGTTATTAAAGAAAGCAGACATAACTCCTAACTACTTTCCTGTCTTTGCCCTTGAAGAAGTGATTGTGTTATTGTTGTGGCAGTGGTGATTGTGGTGGTATCGTACCCCGAGCACAGCCCTCCACAGTTCTCTGATTCAAATTAAGCCCAAATCCTTTACACAAATAAAATTACCTTATTTTTAATTGCTCAAGTATCTGTAACCACTTAGCTAAGTGTTTACAGTTTCTCCCCACACCTATTTGCTGGATGAATCCTAAAAGCTGATTTATCAGGGGAATTTTAAAAAGGCTTAGTGCTTTAAAATTCAGATGCAAATTCTCCCACATAGAAAGCCCAACCAGCCTGTTTTTGTGTAAATGAGAGTTGTGCTGCTAAATCCCCCTTAATGAGATTAGAAAATATCTTGTAAATTAAAGCAATGGATTTTTAAAGTTAATATAATTCTTCCATACTAGATTACAATCCATGTTTAAAACATTTTAGTAAAAAAAAAACTTAACAAATAACACAAGAACAATAATTACTGAAATAACAAATTAAAGAGTTGAGCTATGTAAAGGCTTTCATATACACTGGGGATCAATGAACATTAAAGTGAAAGAGAAAACCGTTTAATGAACTAACAAAATAACATGGTAGGAGTATAAGGGACTAGTAAATGTCATTATATTTTATTATATTCTCCTATCAAATTATGCTATGCTCTCCTGCCTTGACACACTGTACTGTTTAAACAAAAGAATAATCACAGTTATAGACAGAGGCATAGTGAACTATTTGATAGCTTACAACTGGAGTGTATATCTTTTACCATCATTATATTAAGAATAACCTTTAGAAGCATTATATAAGCTATCATATTTCCAAAGAAAATCACCATTTATAACTTAGCTCTAATATAAAATTTACTAATTTTCTTTAACTCAAGGCAACACCCTTGTTCAAACTTAGATTAGAATGTTTGATTTCCACAGTGATTTCTCACACATAGCCAGCTGGCTACCTGATTTATCACTGATTAACATACCAGAAATTATTTGAGAAAAATTCTATGTATTAAGGTTTTTCCACCAAATAATTTATTTATTTCTCCATCTAAAATTAAAATTGAAAAGTCTATAATATATATGTTTTCATGGTTTTTTTTTCTTAGTTTGAGCAAGAGATGTTTTGAGCATCCTAGGGTTTATAAGGCACCTATATAAGACAGGATCATTAACAGCATTTATTGTTGTTTACTCAATTTTAAAGAAAATTCTTCATATTAAATTATATGATGAGCTATAAAATAAAATAAATCAAATAAAAATCCTTGATAAATGGTGTCACAAAAGCACCACAACCTTTTAGACCATAAACTACATGCCCTAGAAAAATTACATATCCACTAGTTTATTTTCATTTTATTAGGCAATGCAAACAAAATGCTTTTCTGCTAAGCTCTTAATGAGAAAATTTCCAAATGATTTTCCTCAGGTTGTTATGAACTTCACATAAAGATACAAAAAGCCTTTTCCAGAATGTTTCCACAGCCACGTAATACTTAATCAAGGTTATCACTGCAGTCAGCTTTGTATTTACTGTCAAAGGAAAGATTCAGTCATTATTGTGAAACGTGAGAATGCTTCAAGCTCCCTAAACCTGACGATTACAAATCTTTAAAACCTCTTTATGCAGAACTTGACAGCTATAAGCTTACCTCTTTAAAAAGACAATATACATTGAGGTACTAGAATGGTAAATTCAGATTTCTGAGCATAATATGCACATTAGCATAATATAATTGGTTCTGCCTTTTGGGTAGCCAATCAGATTGTGCAAATGTACCTATTCATAGACCTCCTGAAATGATTTTCCACTTGGGAGTTATAGTGAAACAATTCAATTTCAATTTTCTACAAATGAATTATAGTCCAAAAACCAAAGAAGTCTATTAAACTTTTAAGGAATACTTTTCAGTCTAGACTCCAAAACATATAGATATAGCTAAGTTTTTACGTCTTATATAGTATAACGTTTACATTGACTCCATCAAAAAAAGCCAGAAGCTGCTCAAATTCAATCTATTCACAACATTTAAAAAATAATATTTCCGAGAAAAGGCCTACATAGACACTGAGTGAGTTTTATTCTGAAGCCAAATGACCTTATATAACATTCCTACCATATTAGAGCATAGGTGTTTCCAAAATACCTGTTGGCCATGCAAAACTTGTTTATAAAAATGGGCAATTTTAAGTACTTCAGTACTAATCTCTTATAGTCTAAAAGTATTTATTAATTAATAAAATAATTCATTGATTCAATAACTATCTAAGGAACAACTTCCGTGTTTTCAGGCACATAGTGCCTGGAAATCAAGGGTTACCAAAATACTCTTTAAACTGAGCTTAAAATCAATCCTAGCCCAGGCAGTAGCATCAACATAGAAAAAGTTACTGAAGAAGTTAAACAAGCACATGATGGAATAGGGAAAATAAAGCAGAGTTTTAATTTCTGTGGTCTACCTGAAAGCATCTGTTGAATTCAGATTTTCATTTAGCAGTATTTAAATATATTGCTGATGAGAGACAGAGTAATTTTTGTCTGTCTTTATACTTTCTGCCAAAAACTACGTTGCAGTTCTGGAGAAAGCAGCCTTACTTTTAAGAAATGACATAATTGGCCGGGAGCGGTGGCTCACGCCTGTAATCCCAGCACTTTGGGAGGCCGAGGCGGGCGGATCACGAGGTCAGGAGATCGAGATCATCCCGGCTAAAACGGTGAAACCCCGTCTCTACTAAAAATACAAAAAATTAGCCGGGCGTAGTGGCGGGCGCCTGTAGTCCCAGCTACTTGGGAGGCTGAGGCAGGAGAATGGCGTGAACCCGGGAGGCGGAGCTTGCAGTGAGCCGAGATCCCGCCACTGCACTCCAGCCTGGGCGACAGAGCGAGACTCCGTCTCAAAAAAAAAAAAAAAAAAAAAAAAAAAAAAAAATGACATAATTAAAGCAGATGGCTCATTGGATCAAATAAAGTATTATCCCTGCTCTACCTGTGAAGTGGTTCTCATCTCAACTGATTTACTGTTAAAAATGGAAAGATAGGGAAGAAATGGAAATACAAAATTTAGACTGGGTGACTTTAGCAGTCATTTTCTAGTTCGATTAAATGGATTATTAATGGCAAATCAAAAACTAAAACCCTTGTCTCTACTTCCAAGCTACCTTTTTTTTTTTTTCTCCAAAGGAGTTGGAGTCTCCCACACCTCACAAAAGAGTTAAACTAGCTGACGTCAAAGTTGAATATATTGAAATTAAAATATAATTCTTAAAATTAGACTTTGTGAACTGATCCTTTTGCTGTTGCACGGTTCACAATGACATTCTTTAAAACAACAACAACAAAAAAAACCCTCATTCCTTCTAATTCCTTATCTCCAATATAGTCTTCAAGCCACAGTGATTTGGCTTCTTCTGACCCTCTCTCTCTCCTGAAATAGCCCTGGAAATGGCCACCAACTGCATAACTACAAAACTGCTAAGTGCAATGATTTTGGACCCATCTTACTTTCATTGACTTGGTTTATGCTGTTTACAAACTCCTCCCTGAAACCCTCTTTTCCTTTTTTTTCAATAACTTGGTGAATTCCATACATTATTTCTACCCTCTCCATCAATCCTTAACTTGCATAGCTAGCCTGGCTTTTTATCCTAGCCTCTCAAATGTCCTCACTCCAAAGATAATAGTCTTAAGACTCATGTTTTTTTTGTTTTGTTTTGTTTTTTGGTTTTTTTTGAGACGGAGTCTTGCTCTGTCGCCCAGGCTGGAGTGCAGTGGCGCGATCTGGGCTCACTGCAAGCTCCACCTGCCAGATTCATGCCATTCTCCCGCCTCAACGTCCAGAGCAGGTGGGACTACAGGTGCCGGTCACCACGCCTGGCCAATGTTTTGCATTTTTTAGTAGAGACAGGGTTTCACTGTGTTAGCCAGGATGGTCTCGATCTCCTGACCTCGTGATCCACCCGCTTCGGCCTCCCAAAGTGCTGGAATTACAGGCTTGAGCCACCGCACCCGGCCCAAGACTCATGTTTTATGTTCTCATTTCATGTTCTTTTCATGGGTTAAAGTACTACCGGCCTGAATGTTTGGTCTCCCTCACTTGCCAATCTGTTTTTAGCACATTTTGAGAAAGGTTTCATCTAATTGGTAAAAGAATGAGATTTTTCTTACTTACAAAGGATTTAGCCTTCACTGGTTTCATATGATAGATCTATTAGCTCACTAGATTCCATGTAAAATACAAGTTTCTCTCAAAAAAACAAAAAAACAAAAAACAGAAAACCTGCAAATAAGAGTGTTTCTGGTTGATAGGATAAATGAGAACCAGGTATAAATAATAATTAAAAAATAATATATAAAAAATATTAAATCTGCCAGAACGACATAATTTGCAACTTTTTATTAGTCTTTCAAATTTTGGCTTTATAGGAAATAAATTTGTTTTTAATGTTAAAGCTATATAAATAATCATTAGTCTGGCTTCAGCTGCCACAAATATGCTGAGAACTTGTGAATGTATATCTCCAGCTCTTATCTTTCTGCTGAGCATTAAATCTGACTATCTCTAAATCCTTGCTACTCAAAGGGTGATCCCTGGACAGATAGCATGGCCATATCCCAAGGGTGCCTGTCATAATTGCAGAAACTCAGGTCAACCTCATATTTAGTGTACAAAAATGTGCATGTGAAGAGGATCCCCAGGTGATCTGTATGCACATTAAGCTTTGAGAAACACTGTACTAGATTTTT
This sequence comes from Homo sapiens, assembly GCF_000001405.40. NCBI lineage: Eukaryota > Metazoa > Chordata > Mammalia > Primates > Hominidae > Homo > Homo sapiens. Next base: position 72,027,958 of record NC_000001.11, read on the forward strand.
CCACCTGGATTTTCCATCAACACCTGTACTTACAATACCCTACCTCCCGCAGATTCAACATTTTAGCACTGGTCCTGTCTCCAACCTATTCTTATCTCGTGAAATTTCTATCCTAAAAATTGACTTCCCAAATCCGCCCAGTTAGCCTAACCAATTATCTTGAAGTCTTCCTCATTTTACACTTCCAGTCACTGAATCTTATTGAATCAATGGCTTAAATAGTCCTCAGCCTGTTTCTTCCTCTTCTTACTCCAGCATAGCAGTAATCCATGCCTCATCATCTTTCATAGTGGCCATTACAACAGCTTTCAAGTGGACTCTGTGTCATCCTTGCTTTAATCTTTCACCTCTATACGTACCTTATTTTTCAAAAGTATGAATTATACTTATACTCTACTGATGAAAGGCTTTCACACAAAACATCTATTTTTAGATAGGCATACATAGAACACACATAAAAGTATGTTACTAACATACCAGGAGGTCTGCTATATGAGTGTAATTAATGTATGCAATTATTATTTCTCTCTGCCTACAGAATAAAGATAAAACAACCCTCTATCTTCTCACCCCTACCTACCTCTGCTCACTTCACCCACAAATTGTAGTTGCCTCAGCACATCACACTGAGTTCAAAGCACTAAGTGATTTCATGTCACTGTCCTTGTACACACTGATACCTTTACCTAGTATAACTTCCCACATCCTTTTAAATCTGGAATATGTCTACTTAACCTTCAAGATTCTGCTGAAATATTCTGCCTTTGTCAACTATTCTGACCTTCTTCAAATAAACTTTACCACTTTGTTTCATATTCCCACCATATCCTACACATATTTTTATTATAGCAATTTGAGAACTGCAAGAGTTTCAATGTTTATTTCCCTTATTAGACCAAGAGCTCTTCGAAGGTAAGAACCATGTCTTATATCCCTAACTCAGGGCTTGATGCTCAATATACTGTTTAGTGAATGAACGACACAAAATACGCAAAAGAATTGAGCACTTGTAAAAATGAAAATTTAAGAATGATAGTGCGAATATATCTAAAACGCTAAAGGAAAAAGCATAATGGGTCAAATGACTGGTTAAACAAGATACCAGATCAACCAATTATTTAGATTAATATATAAAGATTGATTCTTAGAGTACAAAAATATAATTTGAAAATATGGAGACTAAACTAGTGCAAAGAAGAAGGGAACAAAATAACAAAGGCATTTATTCAGAGGTAGAAGAAGGCTGGACATGGTGGCTTGCGCTTGTAATCCTGCACTTTGTGAGGCTAAGGTGGGAGGATCACTTGAGCCCAGGAGTTCAAGATCAGCCTGGGCAACATAGTGAGACCTGCATCTCTAAAAAATATAAAAATGGAAATAGAAGAAAGAAAAGGGAAGAAACAAAGACAACCTCAGTATTGTTTTTATAATGATCAAGGTATAAGAAAAAGCAAGCAAGGGGCTTGTCTAGTCAGCAGCTGAAATAGCTATGTGAACTGTCCACTCTGGATCATTAAGTATGACACTCATAGAATGGATCATTAACGATCTATCCAGTATTGTGTGCCTGTAACGGAGTCATTTTGACGTGTTTATTGACAAGTAATGCTGTCTCCTACAGAATGTAAGCATATTTCATTGAAAATCATGGACTTTTAAACAGAAAACAATGTGCTGAATTGAAGAATTATTCGAACTTTTACATTGTGCTCCAAAAGTTATATGCGACAAAATGAAAAAAGAAAACAAAGCATTTGAATGTCATAGAGTAATTCTAAGGGTAAATTATATTTCAAGAGTTCTTCGACAACCTGCAGAAAATCATGTTTATGTATAATCTGATTAAGGGAATAAAAATCTCTAAAAAAGAAATGTCAGAAAGCCAACATATAATAATACTATTCAGTTTTTATGCCCCATCTAATTTGGGAATTGAGGTAGGTTTATGAATTAAAATTATGTGAATAAAATATAAATACTGAAAAATGTAAACATGCTCTAAAAATTGTTACTAATTTCTTTCTTTCTCACAAGAATTGAAGTGTTAAGAAATGTTTAAAAGGAGTGAAATATGAAAAAAAAAATCTTACAGCTTTGCAAACAGGTAGTAAAAAATATAAAGCCAGCCCTCATGTAGTTGCAGAATATGTCAAACCAATGTTCTCTGGTGCTCACTTGACACAAGTGACAATGTAGAATGTAAAATTATCACATGTAAGGTCACAGCTAGGGATACTTTTTTTTTTTTTCTTTTTGAGATGGAGTCTTGCTCTGTCACCCAAGCTGCAGTGCCGTGGTGCAATCTTGGCTCACTACAACCTCTGCCTCCCAGGATCCCTCCAGGGTTTAAATGATTCTCGTGCCTCAGCCTCTGGAGTAGCTGGGATTACAGGTGCCCACCACCATGCCCGGCTAATAACTACAGATACTACTGAAGTACTATTAACTGGGTGAAGCTTAAGAAATATTGACAGTAGTCTATGGGTAGGCATATTTAAAATCAAATACCATACATGGGTACCTGGTATGTAAGAGCCTCATTAGAAGAAACACAATTTTATCACTTAAAATTATAATAATATATGTGTGATTATTTTTATTCATAAAGTAATCCTATCAACTGTATAAGTAAGACAAAGCAAGCAGGCCTTTCTGAAATGTAGTCATCACATTGATCAACACTAAAAAGAACTTCATTTCAAAGCAGAAAGATAAAAAAAAGTACACTACATATAATTGAACTTACATGAGAACATTAGATAAAGCAAATGTAGTTACAGTCATTGAAATTTTCAAGTCATTAGGATTAATGCCGGATACCCTTGGAAAAGATGACAGAAATATTTGATTGTTTACAAGGATCATACAAAAATATTGGCTGAGAATTCTACACACTTTCTTAGGAAAAAAGAAATTGAACTTACACATGGAAAAAAAAACAACTGAAGGAAAGATGCTCTTCACGTAGCATTCTTAAAACAATCATGTTTTGTGCATAGTTTCTTAAAATTAAGTCGTAAGAGTTTATCTTACATGTTGTGTTTCCTTTGTTGCTTCCATGGGGCAACTGGAGTTAGACTGTCCTGGAAGGCTTTCACATTAACTAACAGGACACCCTGTTCATTGAGAAGAAAAAGAGAGAAAAATATAGCAGCCTGCAGCTGGTTTGAAATTGGACCTTTCCTGAATCTTATGCAGCCGCAGAAGAGGTGGCTTACATCAGCTTGCTGGAGAGATGGGAAGGCTCACCATAAGAGACACTACTTGGATTAAAGCAGTGATTTTAGAATTGTTTCATGAAATTCAGTTTCTGTGGAACTACTTCAAGAGCACTGGAGATAGGGAGGAAGTGGATGTAAGATGGATCTGAGGAGGCCAAGCAGGCAGGACTCCTCTATATCCAGCCCCACTTTACTCAGGTGCCATTCCACTTTTACTTATTTTGGATATTAAAATTTTGCTGGACATTTTGTTTGAAAATTAAGCACATTTCCTATCTTAAACATCATCATCGTAATTATCTTCTTAAAATTGACCCCTTTCAATTGACAAGCCAGGGAGAGAAAAAATACATGCTTGCTATTATTAGCTTCACAGTTACTGAGTAGCAAAATAGGAGATACTTAAATCTGAGAGCATCACAAAGCATTACCGAATTTTATAGATGGGAAGAGGTTGAAAAATATCTCATGTGAAATCCTTTTATTTACTGGTGAGAATACTGAACACTGAGGTCCAGAGAGATTCTAGTACTTGCATGGGGTTACATGAGTTATAGGCCCAGATGTACACAGAGGGGAACCAGGAAATGGCAGAAAGGGTCTGAAGGGAGGAAGGTTTGAGCCTAAAATAAGGGGCATTCTGTGGAATGAACTGACTCATGATGTGATACATTCTGTACCACTGGGAATATTCAAGAAGAGGAAGGGGTGCTTTATTTGTGGAATATCCAAGATGTGCCAAATACTTTACATGCATTTTGAAAAAATAATCTCCACAGCCTAGTGAGGCAAATATTATTTTCTCCAGATTTAATGACAAAAACAGACTAGAATTGAGGAAGTCGCTTACCCAAACTCACAGAGCTAAAAATTAGAAGAGCTAGAAAATAAACTCAGGTTGGTCTGACTCAAAAACACTTGTTTGTCTACATTAACAATAATCATTCTGCATATGGAAGATGACTTACTTCTCATGTGTTTATAAGTGATTCAAGCATTGTAAGGTAGCTGGGTATGATCACTCTAAAACCTGTAACACCTAGATTCTGTGAGGGATAATTTGGGATGGCCCATCATAAGCATCCTAAATAACTGACGTGCAAATGGAGAAGACAGGAAGTTTCGGAACAGAGGGGCAGGAACCAAGAAGAACGTAGTGCACAGAATAATGGGCAGAGTAGGAAGGTAATAGGAACACCTGAGGATTTTAAAATTACACTTGAGCTGTCCCTGCTTATAATCTAATCTTGCAATGGTATACAGAAAGCTAGAGTTAAAGGACTTCACGCAAATTCTTCAGCTTTTCTTACTCTTCTCAGTATTAATTAGTCATTTTTAGACTATAATGTTCTAAAATGGGATATCAGGACCCAAGTTAATAGTTGAGTTTCATCAGTTTCCTTCAGTTTATTCACACTCAAAATAAAGAAGCCATTTCACACACATAAAATCTTTTTACAGAATGTTATTTGCACAGTTCTTACATTCATACATATATATATTCTCCTTTTTAAAAAATCATCTTGCTTCTCTAACATACATCTTCATCAAATACATTTTAGCATATAGCAGCAGAGACTGAGAAACCTGACCATATTGATTAGAATCTTGGTGAGGTCACTTCCTAGGTGAGTAGACTCCAGCAATTTAGTTAAATACTTTGAGACCCAGTTTCCTCATTTAAAAAATGGGAATAATGATAGAGCCTATCTTATAGGCTTATTACAAAGATTAAAGGATTCACTCTTTCAAAGTACTTGGAACAGAGCCTAGCACAGAATAATTGCCATATAAGTGTTAGCTATTATTACTATTTATGAAGCAATTCTTAAAAATTGTATCAGTTTCTAGAAATTAAAAAAACTGTACAAAGTTTCAGTAATTAAATTGTTACTCACAGAATCAAAATTTTCTACTAGAAAAGTCCAAATATAATAGCAAGAACACTTCTAAAAGCACAAAATTAAACTTTAGGCTTTGCCACTATTATAAATTAATACATTTACTTAAGCAACTATAAAATCTTTTAATATATGTATAGGATATGCCTGGCATGATAAAAGGAACAGCAGTATTTTGGTAATCATATGTTTTATTGAAGAACCTTTGGGCTATTTTAATATTCAAATCGGCTGAATATTTAGCAGTAATAATGTAAGATTAATATTTGTACAGGCACTTGCTCCTTTAACAGCAGACATTACAGTCAAGCTATTACCCTGCAATAATGGAAAGATTTTTTAAAGCACTGTCAAAAAGGAGGCTTTTATACAGGTTAGAATTTTATTCCAATACTATGTATTTCCATAAACGATGCTGTTTCTTAAAGTATGAAACATTAATCATTGGCTTTCACACTATTTCACTTTCAAGTAAATTCATGCACATTTTAAACATATTAACATATGCAACCATCTTATGATAGACTGTTTAATTTTAAGCACTTAATTAATTTAAAGAAATACACCAAACTTTAGTGACATCAATGTATGAGACATCTAACTGGGTTTATGAACAAAACAGCTTTTAAGGACCTGCATGTTTAGACTGTTATTTTTTTCCATGGTGTATATTGCCTAGTAAAAGCATGGATCTACATGATTTCCTTTGTATTTATGAATTTCATTTTATAATATTAATACAACACTCCAGGCAATGCATTTCAGGGGGATTATTTCATGTCCCTGAAGTGGATAAAGCCACTCGGACTCAAACTGTAAAACACCCCCTACGGTGTGCTATCATTACCCAGAAACATTGGCCTGCCATGGGTTATTGCTTAATATTAATATTTCTACTTTATATAAGAAAACCAACAAAATTCTGTCCTCTTTTTAAAGAATTCATATCTCAGTTACTGCAGGTATTTCAGGAAGGTGAAACAGGATCTGACTGTTTTCTTGTATTCTTATTTGTTAGTACAGCAGCCATGTAGCACAATCAACTTGAGTTAAATGTGTAGAATTTTTTTTGGTTGCTTTTTATATAAAATTATCTTCAGAATCCTCTTATTTGTAAATATTTGGCCAGTTACAATACATAGTGGTCCTCGCCAAAACCACACAGGTGTGTTACTTCCCTGTAGTACTGTTTTATTTCTTTAGCCCTTGGAAAACACCAGAAGGGGTTCCATTGTGCATGCAGGTGTGATCACCCACTGTGGAATATAAATTGTATATCTTTTTAGATGAGCAGGAAAGGGAAGGGAAGAATGTTGAGTATTTACTTCTTTGCTTGCTACTAATTAATTTGGTGTCTAACTCGGGGAAAATCACAAGCTTTACATGCCTTGGTTTCTCTCTTCTGATAAAGGTATTCCATTTATTTTACATCCACAGGACCTTATTTTGTGATAATATAGTAAACAGAATGCCAAATAGATAAAGCAGGTAAAAAAATATCTTTTGTCCATAAGAAATTGAAATATTAGTGGACAATTGCTGCCACTTCCCTGACTCAAAAGGCTCATTAATAGGTCACAAAAGGCCTTTGCATTCTCTGAACCTTATTGCAGAGTGAACAGTAAGAAATCAGAGTAGGTGATGATAGTTTACGAATGATTTTCACAACATGACCATAATACAGGAGTTATTAAGAAATTATTTTTAGTCAGCTTGAAAGGGTAAAAGTTATTGGTGGAATTTTCCTTTAATAAAACGCAGCCCCAAACCATTTTTTCGCTAACAGGAAGCAGCCTGATAGATATGCAAACTAGGAGCTTTTATATGTAAATGCCAGCAGCTGTACCTGGAAGCCAGGTACATTCAATATGGCAGTTCTCACTCTCTTCCTTGTCACCACGTTTATGGTGTCATGGCAGCCTCCAGGGAAAACCACATGTACAGGCATTATGGCCACGCCTGGTAGAGGCCACATTTGCATAATAAAAGACTAGGGTGGGAGGGCCAGTCTTTTCTCGGCTATATAAATGGCATACCTGGTCAAACCCATCCCCTAGGACCTATGTAAATCAATCACTGCCTCCTCAAACCTCTGTAGGAAATCGATTGCATTCTGCCGCAAACCGGAGACCCTCTCTCGGGCTACCAGCTTTCTCTGCATGCGGAAGCCTTTTCTCTGTCTTCTTTTTGTCTATTAAACTTTCTGCTCCTAAACCCACTCTTCCTGTGTGTCCGTGTCCTGAATTCTTTCTCAACTATGACAAAGAACCAGGGCATATACCTGAGACAATGGAGCCGTTTCAACCGGATTGGGATTACATCCTCCATTATTTCACTGACTTAAGTATCACTTCCCTTTGTTTAAACATAAAGACAGAGGGCTCAGAAAGCTTGAATGTTTGTTTAAATTCAAACAGCTACTAAACATGGCATTCAGACTCAAAAGCTTAAGTTTTAGACTTTGTGTCTAGAGTTATTTCTACAGAATATGACATAGAAGTGAGTATGAATGTATAATCACACATGGTTAAGTGGAGAGGCAGGGATCTCAGTGGTACCTTTGGGTGAAGCATACTCAGAAAGAAAATGTTTAAATGGCATAAAGCCTTCCATAAAAATGAAAATCCCTATCATGAATTGATGATGTCTATGCAGCAGATCTTGTGCTTGGCAGCTTATTATTTCATTAAATCTGCACAAAAACTCAATGAGTTTAGGTCTTTTTACAGCCCCAATTTTACATATGAGTAAATAGAAGCTCAGAAGTTAAAATGCTCTGGAAAAGCTCACATGGCTCTTGAGAAGGTAGAATTAAGATCATTTCATATTTCCCCTTTCAGTTAGGAGAGTTCTTCCCATATCTCACTCGTTGTATTGTAATAGTTTCACAAATCACAGATAGAGACATTTAGAAATAACTTTGAACATAAATAATTGCATTATAGTTGAAATGTGTACAGGCACGTGATTCAAAATTTGTTTACTCAGATACCAGAACTATTTGATTCTTTCAAATACCATGCCTACAATTCACAGTTTTTAGAATTACACTGTGATTTAGCATAAGTACATTTCAGTGAATACTGAGGCAATGCCTTTGGAAGAGAATTGTTTACAGCAATCTATTTTCCTAGACTGATTGCCTAGATATTTCATATAGCTTATTTATTTATATAGATGTGAATTTAGCTTTGAAATATAAAACCCCATGGGGCTTTACATGTGTGTAAAGCCCTCCTAGGCTATAGTAGGAAAAAATGTGCACACTACAAAGGTACAATTAAAAGCCATATTGGCTGGGCACGTTGGCTCACACCCATAATCCCAGCACTTTGGGAGGCTGAGGCGGGCAGATCACCTAAGGTCAGGAGTTCGAGACCAGCCAGGCCAACATGGTGAAACCCTGTCTCTACTAAAAATACAAAAATTAGCTGGGCATGGTGGTGCGCGCCTGTAATCCCAGCTACTAGGGAGACTGAGGCAGAAGAATCTCTTGAACCTGGGAGGCGGAGGTTGCAGTGAGCCGAGATTGCGCTATTGTACTCCAGCCTGGGAGACAGAGCGAGACTCCATCTCAAAAAAAAAAAAAAAAGCAATATTAAATTACACAAATGGAAAATTAAAGATGTATATTCATTTGAAAAACATCTATTATATATTAAGAAGTTTTTACTGATCTTTAACTTTACATATATATATGAATTACATATAGAAAAAAAGGACACTGTAAATAGGCCAAAATAACTGCAAATAATCAATATGGTTAATTTCTTTTTGTTTTTGCAACAAGGTGAGATATAAATATATATATCAGTGTAAAATGTGTGGCACAAGGTAGAGAAAAACAGTAAAATAAGAGCTTTTAAAAATGGATGATGTAAATCCTATATTTTTTAGTAGCCTAGAAAATCATAAGTATCTTAGACACTTGTCAGATCTATTTGATGGAACAAAGTTAATAATTGTACTTGGGATGTTGCTCTTACCTATGAGAACATCCTATGACTTCTACATTTATCACTGTTGTAAATAAATTTGTATCTGGATTTTCACCTTAAATATTTTCTTCTTCCTTTGATTTTTAAGTATAAAATTTAGGAAACAGTGAGACTGACTCTGTACTATAGATTTCAAAGAGATGTTGGAATAGATATTTAGTAGAAAAATTAAAAATAAAGCTTAAGACCATGTTACAAAAGATAATTGCTACATCGCCTACTAATATATTGAGTGCCTACTATATTCCTGGTACTGCTAACAATTCATAGTCATCTCATTTAATCTTTACAACATTATGAAGTCAATATTATTGTTATTCCTACTTCACAAATGAAGAAATCTGGCACTTAAGCCACATAATTAATAACTGATAGAGCCAGGAAATAAACGTGGGCAATTAGAAATTAGAGACAGAGTTCTTTTTATCCATCATTAACCAATTGTGCTGTAGAAATTCTTTGGGAAGCACTCTGCCTTTCCAAGTTAAACTATAACTGCCTTCGTTGTCATTTTTTGTCATGCTTTCCTTCATCATTAACATGTAGAGAGCAAATAACAGAATTAAATAATTTTATATTCAGAATTAAGCCATAAACTATTTCATGAATATCTGTTTACAAGTTTTGACTTAATCTGGATCATTGCAAACATCTGAATCTATTTCCATTAGGTGTGACAAATATTTCATTTTTATTTAATATTATGCAACATGTAAAAATGTAATGCAACTCTAATAGTAGAAGTACTTCCAGGATATACTATTAGCCAGGTCGCTTATTTTTATTTGCACCATGAACCACCTGTAATTAACAGAGCACCATTCTTGGTGTTTATGACCATCACTCAAAGTTGCTGCCACCTGCTGGTGGTATTCTTTACACTCATAAAAGAGCTAAAGTTTCTGTTGCTAAGCATATTTTCTAGCATTAATGATTCTTAACCATTTTCTAAATACTATGGTCTCATATATCAGGACTTAGTAAAAGTGTCACATAATTTGGAAGTGATGTAGCAAGGCTTAAAAGGTTTAAAGCCTAAATCTAACCAAAGATGTTAGCCACTACGTTATAGTGGCTTCCTCCTTAGAAAAATCTTTAAATAAGTCTGTTATATCCATGCTTTTGAATGTTCTGCAGTTGCACATACGATTAGGTCATTTTACATGCATTGGTAAGGATAAATATCTACAATGTAGTATTTAAAACCCAGTGGCAAGACATATGCCTAAATATGATTATATTTGTTAAAACAAGTTAAAGTTTAACATGTTTAAGCTGAGATTGGGGCTGGATATATTCTCATAAGAAGTTCATATTTCTTCCACCATGCCATGATGTTTCAATAAAAAGTAGTTTTCAAGGTCAAGGAAGTTACTCAGTAAGAAAGGTTACTTAGCTGAGATACTTACTGTGTTCTGTCAGTGAGTATGCAAGCTCAAGCATATTATTTTTTAAATCTCTTCTGCATAATAACTCCATTTGCAAATGATTTCTGTTCTAAAAACATCAGCGTACAAAGATAAAAGAGATCATTTCTGTCTTCAAAAAGCTTATAATCTTTTAAAATAATCACTTCATTAGTTCACAGTGATGGTAGTTGAAGCTAAGCACACAAAGACCTTTGTGTTCCAAGAAACAACATTAGAAAGAGATAGAAAAGATGTTAATATGGATGCTCCATGAATCACCATATTTTAATAAAATAAATGAATTCCAGTGCAACACTGAGTACAAGGTACTGAGTATAAGACACTGATAGGTTCTTAAGGTATCACCATTCAGGTAATCAAAGAGCTCACTACTGAGCAAAGGAGAACCCTCACATCTAACAATGATATGAGTCAGATTGTGATAAATTATCTAATATGAATATAAACAAAATAAAATGTGAGTACATGAAAAAGAAAATTTCGCAGAAGGAAAGAATGAGGGCAGTAGAAGCTGACTTGGATTTTGAAGAATTACTAGGATCTCTTTAGGTAGCCAGGTAGGAAATGGCCATTTTAAACCTACAGAACAGAATGAGTCAAGGCATGGAGGTAGAAGAGATTGTGAAAAGTTCAGAGAAACAGCAGATTATGCAATGTAATTATAGTTCAACGTGTATTAAGAGGGCAATATAATAAAATAATGTCTATTTGATGCTGAAGGAATGTGAATATTGTGCTAAGGACATTAGCTTCTTCCTGTAAGCACTGGGAAGCCATTGAAATTTCTGATCAGGTACATGATGTGGGCATATAAGTGTTTCAAAATTACCAGGTAAGCACAATAAGGAATAGATTCGTAGGTGTGGAGATGCCACTAAAGAAGTCCAGAGAAAAGACCCTGCTAGTAACAATAGACAAGTAAGCAGGAGAACATGTATTTCAGTAGTCTCTTGGTAAAGTAATAAAATGAATAATTACATTTCTTCAGGTTTCTAATATTCCAGCATTACCCATTTTGCATTTAACAGTAAGAACCCTCCAAGTGTTGGAGAGAAAAAAACAACAAAATTATTTGTATTTCCCGATACCAACTCAATATTGGGATCAAGAAGATGTTGGAGTTTTTACTATGCAGAATCCCTGATGAACATAAAGGATAAAAGAGAAACCTTCAGGAACTTGATAAGAGGAATGAATATGAGGTCAAATAATAAATACTCAAGGACTAGTTTCTTGTATTAAGTGCAAATACCAATAGCATGCCAAGAATGTGGCGAGAAGGGCTGCAGAAATCTGGAATTTTTCATGATCAGAGGGGTCTAAAGATTTATTCAGTTTAACTTACACTGATAATCATTGACCATTTTGGCAATCTATTTGAGAAGTGTTTCTGATGATATAGAAAGCTGGATGTAGGCACTTAACTCAAAAACGTATTTTCTATATATTCTGAAGTGAAGGAAAAGTGTAGTATAAAATGTACACAGCTGTGATAAAAAATACGTGTCTAATGTGAGGCTGAGAATAAACAATATACTGACATATACAAAACCTTCAATAATTATCCTTCCTGAAAAATTAAATACTTATACCACATATCATTACATTTAGCCATGTGTTATGTACATGATTCTCTAGTATGTATTACAATTCTCAAGCCCCAAATATATTTGGAGTTTCTTGATGGCAAAGCTTTGTCATAGTCTTCCCCCGAATCCCGCATCGTAACTTAAAGGTGCTAGAGAACAATACAAGCCAGATAAACAATTGTTACATTAGAGGAAAGAAAATTCTGTGTTGAATCTGCAATAGAAATAGACAAGAGCATCACAGTAGCTTGGAGTCACATAGAATGAACCATTCTACAGTATTATTCCCTATGAGGACTGCATTCACAGAGCACAGAAGCCAGCACTTAAGCACCTCTTAAATAAAAACACCTTCTTGAATGAATTGGCAACAATAGACCTTGAGTATAAAATGGAAATGGAATAGATGCTGATTATTACGAAGTTGTCAGCCTGCTAACCCTCGGCAGTTAAATTGGCAAGCACAGTAAGAGCACTGACCAAAAAAAAAAAAAAAAAAAAAAAAAAAAAAAAAATCAGAGAATAAGTCCATCAACTGGGAACCTTACTGAAAGAAAAGGAATTGGGTTTGTGTGTGTATGTGTATGCAGGAAAGAAGTAAGACCTAATGACTATTTCAAGGTTCTTGAAATGAAATATGTGACTAAGGATGTGCAGATTATGATAAACATAAAAGAAAACAACAATTGAAGTTGTAAAAAATAGCACTTTAAATTTGGTTAAAAATTAAATCCAATTCAAATATTGTCTTGCAACCATTTCCAGGACATCAATTTTATAATCTTCAACATTCCTCTGTCCACCAAAAACTATGAGTTAAGGTAGACCCAATCAGAAGCACTCTATCCCTCTCCAGACATCAACCTAATAACCTGTTTTCTGTTTAGGTTCATCCATATGTCATTGTAAGTAACCAATGTCAATAGTTCTTAATTGGAATTGTAACAAAAGACAAATTTGTTTGAGAATATCAATTTCCCTATAGACAAAGTACCACTAATTCAATCTAAAAGTTAAATTAAGCATAAAACATTTAAAAATATGCTATATGTATGCCAATTTAGGGTTGGCCATCAATTCTTTGTATACCTGTTATTTGTAATAAATTGATTCCCAGTCCTATTGTCCTAATCATTTGTCCTTTGTTTCCCTCTTCCATTTCTTCAGGTCCTCTTCCAATAGATTTTACAGGGATTTACAAATTTCCTTTACAGGGGTTTAATGCTCGGTTAATATATAGCTTTGGTATTTTGGTGTCTTTATTATAAATATTCAGGATTTTACACTTTTAAAAATATTATTCCTAATTCATTCCTTCTCTTTTCTTCTGTAGGCTTTTTTTTTTTTTTTGTCTCCTAAAGTTGCACGTTCCATTAAAGTGGGAGTTTTCTGTCTTGAATTGTTTGTGTACTCAAGGACTTAGGACTAAACAGTGGGTTAACAACTGCACCCCCACAAAGAGACAGGGTAAGTCACCTATGTGGTAGTACTTTCAAGAGAACAGTCAAATATGGTTTTGTGACCCTCCGTACCTCAAATCCCACTTGTGGGTATAAAATGATTTTTGTTGAAATGATTTATGTTATGTTAAAATGATTTATGTTGAAAAGACTAGATGGATATATATATACACACACATATATATATATATACCCATGACATGAGGTAGAGATGCACCCCATAGGCTTACAAGTATTTCTTAAATATATATGTAATATTTAAAATATACATTATATATATTTTATATATATTATATATTTTATAAAATATAATTTTATATATTTACATATAAATATATATTTGAGTTTCAAATATATATTACATGTTTATATATAATATATATTTGAGAGTCTCAAATATATATTATATATAAATATATAATACATATTTGAGACTCTCAAATATATAATATACATTTGATTAAATACAGAAATATATATATATATCTATTTGAGAAATACTTGCAAGCCTATGGGGTGAATCTCCACCTCAAGACAAATAAAAGAACCTTCAACATTAACAACATGTGGGGTCCTTCAGCCAGAGAAAGAAAGAAGAGAGATGGTATCTATTTTCTTCTTCAAACAGCAGGTGGAGGCAAGGTGGTCATGTTGGAATTTTCCTGCACTTCCTTCGGTTGTCAGAGCAAGGGGTCTTAAGTGTTTCACTTGGACCACTGATGGGCCATAATGGATAGAAAGCCAGCCTGGGATGACTCAGAGGCACTGCACCTTACAAAACTACCGGTTGGGTCATGGAGAACCCACAGAAACTATAGGATGAGGGAAAGTCAGAAGAATTTAGCCAGAGAGTGCATTTCCTGCATACAAGGAAACACAACTGATTACTCTTCAAGCAGAATTGTACAACAAAAACAATCAAGAAAGTATTAGTTTTGAACATCTGCCAAGCACAGAGAGCACCAATGTCAGATCACGATAGCACAAATAAAAGAATACTCTTTGCTTTTTATCTCCCTTCAACCTACCCTCTTCCCCATCAACTCTGGAAAGTTCAGAAACCACATAAGCACTAGACAAGGAAATAGAGAAACGCAAGTCACTTGCCAATCCTCACCATGCCTCACACAGACTACAAGTTTGAAAGAGCCCAAAGCTAGGGGAATGTAATTTGGAATTTTGTATATTACACATGCCTAGATGTAGTAGGACACATTAGCCGTGAACATATAGATGATTTCTGACTAAATATTACCAGGATGCTTTTATTACCTTAGACCATTTAGAAAATGTAAAGGATCTAAACTAGCTATAACCCAATATTTCTGCTCCCTGTTGCAGTTTTAAACAGATATGGGGCTAGAGATGGGGCTAAAACTGTTTTGTGCTACACTCTACAGAGTTGCATGTTTTCAAAGTATGCTTAGTGATATACACATTAATCTGCATGCATTGCATTTGTCTTTATTGCTAGGGGGTGGGAGTGGCATAGCATACCAGGCCACATACCCTTAAAAGCAAATATCTGCTGTACAGTCCACAAATTACCTGTATAGCCCATGAATTACCTAACCTGGCCTAGTCCATGAAGCCTCCTCCTCCAAAGTCCCCAAGTAGGCCCAGCTTTCCTGAGTTCACACCTGAACTGTCTTTAAGGTTTTCTTCTTCTCACGGAATTAGTAATCTCTACATTTTCTCTACTTGCCTTTTTCCTCTTCTAGATTTCTAATACTTTTGTAAATCATTTCCTTTATCAAGTCTTTTCTGTTTGAAATAACCAGCATTGCCTTTGTTTTCCCACCTGGGTCCTGACTGATATACTCACCCACTCTGCAGTACATACCATATAAGAATATATTAATATAAATATAAATATTTGAAGATACAGTTGAGGTAAATGCTTATGTATAACATTTTCTTATACCTATATATTATTCACAAATAATTTTAAAATGACTTTAGAATGAATATCAAAAATTTAACTCCACTTAAAAAAGTAAAATCACATTGGATTAAAAGTAAAAGAACACTGCATTCTCTAAAATGAACTGTATATTCCATAATGAAAAGCTAGCATAACTGTGTTGACATTGCTCAGAATCATATTGTCATATGTCTGAAATCACATGCTATTTGAAGATTTTGAGTTTTCCATCATGATCGAAATTGGTCTGAATGACTTTGGACTAAAGGTGTCACATATTGAATTCGCGGGGAAAAGCACTTGTAACAGTACTGTGGAATTCACCCTATTCTGTAACCCATTTTGTATTAGTACATGCAAGGACAATACAATACTCCTGGATATTTTGGTTGGACTTCCAGGACTGCTATTTAACAATATCCAACAGAAAAACATGTCAGAATAAATGCTTTTTATTTCTCAATGATACAGAAAACATAAAATGGAAATAAAAAAATTAAAAAGGCAATATTCAAAACACTATCTTAAAACAATGTTTTAAACAAGTAAAAGCCTTTATCATCATGTGTTGTAAAGACCCCCCCATACCAATCTGTATGCAGATGCTGTTTCTATCATTGAAGCCTCAAAAATATTTAATTCTTGGAGTTTCAGTTAATATTTATAAAGTGCTGAACACAGTGCTTGACATATAATAACTACTCAAAATATAATGTTTAATATCATTAAGACTTGATTACTGGTAAGTAATTTGATAAAGTTGAGAAATTCCTACCAAAGAAAAAGCCTCAATATTCTGTAAGTTCAATGATAAATGCAATAAAACAAAGTTAGCACAAAGGTCTAAGTTAAAAAAAAAAAAAAAGAAGAGAAAATGAAAAACTAATATCCTCAGACAATAAAGAAGAAACTATTTTTTTCTGGGATATTGGCCTTTGCACAATTCTATTATTATTATTTGAATAAATAGAAAATTTGAATGCCATGTGAATGGCAAATTGGCACACACTATCTTTGCAACTATATCCTAAATGCAGAGTTTCATATATATCCAGATTTTATTCAAGCAGCTTATAATGCTAAGCACAATTAGATTGGACTGAATCATTAAAAGTATCGCACTGACAAACCAAAAATAGAGTATCATAAAATCATACTTTCATTCAGTGAAAAAACATAAACTCTGATATGATAAATTGTCCTATAAGCAAATGCCTAACATTCCCTTGGGAAGTGTTCACCTTACTTTGGTGCTAAGGATTAATCATAAATAAAGAATAGCATTGTTTGGTGGCAAAGGAAAATTATCAGATGTATTTTTCTTTTACTACTTTGATAAATGGCTTATGAATAGAGTTAATACTTACTTACCTCTGGGTTTTCTTATTTCCCACCAGAAAGAATAGAGGAAATTCAGCATTACTTCATAATAATACATATCCGAGGTCATGCTTGTGGTACTTAAGAACAGGGATCAGAAACAGATTTTGTAGAATTATAGGGCTTTTTCCCTCTGACATAAAAGATGGTGCTCAAGAACTAACTTAATTTTTATGTCTCCATAATCCTTCATACTCACAAGGAATTCCTAGCCCTATCTTGTCTATATAATTTTGACCTCACCCACATAACATAGCTGCATTAGAATTTTGCAAGATTAAAATCTCTGATTCTTTTCATAATTGGAGCAAGAAAGCTACTCGAAGTTTCTTCAGTGTTTGAAAGTAAAATATTCTAATGAGAATTGGAAAGTGCATACTAGGACCATAAAGTATTATGAGACAATCTTTAGCATTATATCAAATCATCAATTGGAAACTAGAAACAAACAAGTTAGATAGGTCAGCATCTGATTCTCATGCACTTTTTAGGGCATCCAAATATCCATAGATATGGTTGGGCTCTGTGTCCCCACCCAAACTTCATCTTGTAGCTTCCATCATTCCCATGTGTTGTGGGAAAGACCAAATGGAAGATGATTGAAATATGGGGGTGGGTGTTTCCTGTGCTGTTCTCCTGATAGTGAATGGGTCTCATGAGATCTGACAGTTTTAAAAATGAGAGTTTCCCTGCACAAGCTCTCTTTTTGCCTGGTGCCATCCATATAAGATGTGACTTGCTCCTCCTTGCCTTCTGCCATGATTGTGAGACCTCCTCAGCCATGTGGAACTGTAAATTCAATAAACTTCTTTCTTTTGTAAATTGCCCAGTCTTGGGTATGTCTTTTCAGCAGTGTGAAAACAAACTAATACATCCACATTTCATGTTTCTTTATTGGTAACAATATATCAAATTCAATATGAAAAATGAAAGATCCTGAAGAGACTACCATAGGAAAAATTAGAAAAAAATATGTAGTTTCATATGGAGTTATCTACAGAAATTTCGAAAGAATATCTTAAAATGACATGAGTCCAGGTGGATTTTGTAAAACTGTTAGGAAATACAGTTTTGTCAGATGTTGTGAATTCCTTTGCTAAATGAATGAAATCTGTTCAAATCTGAAAAAAGACCCTTGAGTAGAAAGAAAGTAATTAATGGAAAATATAATCATCTAACAGGGCAATAGAGAGAGAAAAATTCAAAATATCCCAAAAAAGGAAGACTAATGAGGAAAAACTGTATTTCTGTTTGTAAAACAAGTCATTCAACCTCAAAGTTCATTTGTACATAGTCTTAGTCCTAACAAATATGAATGTCCTATAATAGAGCAAAAATGCAAAAAAAGGTAAAGTTTGAGAGAGAGTAAATATTGAAACCTTAGAAAAGGGGATTTGACACTTATAGGATGAAATGATAAAAATTAAATATTTTTGAAGGAGCATGAAGAAAAACAAAGCCAAGTAAAGAAAGAACACATTGAGAATAATAGATGTTTATAATTTTAAAATATTTTTTGAGGAAAAGTATACAAAGAAAAATAAAATTGGCTCCAGAGAGATGAGACCTCTATTCAATTCAAAGACATTTAGTTTAGGGCACTGCAACCCTTCAAAATGATAAATAAATTATAGCTTCATGATTATAGCCAGATAAATGACCTGAAGCAACAGATCTATGTTAGAATACATAAAAGCAGGTACAAGATTCAACTTGGCAGCAAATGAAATAATCTTTAGTTATTTAAATCTTTAGTTATTTTGACCATTAAAGACAAACAAATCTAAGGACACTAAAAAGTAAACCTATTTCCAATGGTAATGAAAGGTACTTTTACAGAATTTTCACTGAGTTCTAGATATAGTTTGTTTTACTACAACAGAATAAAAATAGCTCAAATATGCAAGATATAAGACAAAGAAAACACTAATTCAAAGTACGTAAATTTGTCAGAAGAAACTTAATGTATAAAAAATTAACACAGATAAGATGATCAAAAGGTCTACAACAAGAAACAAATAAAAATATTGCAAGCAAACATATTAGAATGCTATTTCACAGGCTGTTGGGGAAGTAATCTGTGTGACCTATAAACATCCATCTTCTTCCAACGTCCTTAATTTTCAAATACGCAGAATGGTAAACAGATTAAAAGAAAAGATTAACCACCCTTTCCATACTTAGTATCAAAAAACCTTTAGATTCTTACATTGAGCATTCTTGTCTTCCTGGCTTCTTCCCAAGTTCATTTAAAAGATTAGTTTTGCTGTTTTGTTTTGTTTTTTTTTTGTGCCAGCAATCTGTTCTTAGCCTTTTAAATATCTGCTCATCCATTTCAGTAAGCATTTCAAGCATACAAGGAAAAGATGAGATTTAATATTAATAAGTGATCCAAAGTTAAATCCCTAGAAAACCATTTCAATATTTATTTCTGAGAGTCTCCTGTCATGCAGCATGTAAGAAAATGAAAAAGCAGAGCAGAAATAGAGTTAAAATCCAAAGAAACGTCATTCAATTTTAATGAGTAACTATGCTAGACGATCCTATTTCCTAAAATTGTACTTAATACAGGGTATTTAAATAATATAAGCTAATTTTTAAAATATGCAAATTTTAATATAAAAATTAATGTAAGCTTAATATGCATCAGATACTAGTAAACATGATTTTCATAAATTATAAGTAATCCACTAAAATTTTTAAAAGATTTAGAATCTTTTATAATAATATATGATTCAAAAATAGATTTCAGAGTTTTTTTTGAAAGGTTGAGTTTGATCAGTATGTATTTTCAATTCACAAGAAATACTCCTATTATAAGTAATCACTCTACTCTTACGCACTGAAGCCATGAAAAATCCAGAAATTCAATTTTTAAACTTAAGAAATTATAGTTATTAACAAAGATTACTAGTACTAGTAACATCCTAATAAGCATTTGGTTTATTAATTAACACTCAAGACTTTTAATTTTTACTACACATTGGTAGACATTAAGTCTTTCCTCAAGCAGATGAAATATTCTGTATAGAAGCATATAGCACCAAGTATACAAATATTCTTCACTTGCACAGAAAGAAAGTAAAAACTGCTCATCCAGGCAGACAAGGCCTTCCAGAATCTAGCTTTATGTAAAACAGGAGCCAGCCAAAATGGACCAACTACTCTTTTGACTCATTTCTGCTTTTCCTCTCTGGGCACTTTCATCTATCTCCAATAGCCTTTCTATTTCACAACTTCCACTTTTACCTCTAATTGTGCAAAATCTAGCCATCCTATGCATCCCCGAAGACTCTACCCAAACTCAAATTTTCTTTTTTGCAGCTTTTCCTTATTATCCTCTACTAGAAGTGATAACGACAGCACTTAATTCCCATGGAACTCTTTCTTCGTTAAACTAACATTACCTTACAGAATGTTAGAATTGGAAGCAACTTTAGAGTTTGTTTCAATCACAACTCCTTTTTAATTTTTGTACCTCAGAAAGCTGAAGTCTCTACTAAATAAATTGCTTAACAGTACATCATTAGAAACAAATCGTATCCCTTCTTGCTTGCCCCTTTTCTATCTTGTTCTTTAAACAGGTTTGCAAGTGGTTTATAACCCCTTTAAATGTGTAAGCGCCTTCAAGTTTCATAAATTCTTAATACATATTTACCCAGCATTTTTTCCCCAAAAGGGAACCACTAAATAATTGATAAATCGGGTGGAATAGTGAGGGTGAGGTGAGTGGGTGGGGACAGGAACAAGCCTTACATCTACTAGCAAATAGAAACTAAAAATTTCTCTAGGGATCTAATAAGGAATAATACTACTTTTAAAATGCTCTTCTAGTCTTCTCAACCTGTGGTGATTAATCCTATATCATCTTCAAAGAAAAGAAACACACATTAAGGATCTTAGTTCTTTTCTGCCTTTAACATATTTTTGACACATTCTGAATAATTAAGTCAATTAACTGGACATTTTTTTTTGTTCTGAAACAAAAAAGGATATCCTAGAGATATTCTCCTATTACAATCCTTATACCACTGGCCCAAAATCATATGGACTGATTTTCTATTCTAATGAAGGATCCAGATAAGTAATCAGAAATATACAAAAAGTTATGCATAGTTGTATTAAGGAAATATATAGTATAATGAAATAGGAAATTTGGGTGTCCACTTTAGAGTGGCTACCAAAATTTCTCTGAGGAAGTGACATTTAAACAGAAACTAGAAGGGCTGAGTCAAGAGGATAGCTTGAGGCCAGGAGTTCAAGACACCAGCCTAGGCAACACAGCAAGACGTCTCTAAAGAAATAAAAATAAATAATAATAATGCAAAAAATTAGCCAGGTGTAGTGACATACGCCTGTGGTCCCAGCTCTTCAGGAGGCTGAGGCAGGAGTATTCATTGAGCCTAGGAGTCCAAGCTTTCAGTGAGCTATTCACTACTGCATTCTAGCCTGGGCAAAAGAGTGAGTCCCTGTCTCTAAAAATACTTAATAAATAAGCATAAAACTGAAGATAAAAATGAAGCACCTTAGAAAGAATCTGAGGATGTTTATCCAAGGCAGAGAAAATAGTAAGTACAAAGAGATATTTCAATGACCACAAGTGGTAGCATGGCTTATTGATCAGAAACTGAATTTTCCCATGGCTTAAAATGAAACAAATTAAGCATATAAAATTGTAGCACCAAAAGTTGTTTGCACAAATTTTTATTTGGATACACAGCTCTATAGCACAGAGAATTTAGCCTCAAGCTCATTCCTCTGTGTTTCCCATTGTCATTGTACACATTGTCAACGCATATAACCTTAAGCCAGGAAGCAAGCTGAACAGAAACATGTCAATCTTTCCTACTAAAAGGTGAGCGTTTTGTGAATAAGCACCATTTTTTACTCATCTTTGTATCCCAATTTTTGGCATACTGTAGGGCATTAATAAAAGCTAAATTGTTGGTGTTATTATTTCGCTCTATAAATCAGGCTAAACAGCAAAATGCTGGAAACTTTCAAAGCAGCTATTTTGAATGGCTAAGGTAATGCATATCAGGCTCTGGGTAATGTGAAGTAAAGTACCTGTATTTTTGTGCTGCTACATCTGGTGCAGATTTTGCTATGACATCTTTTGTTGATTTGTAGTTGAAGTATTTCACATTGTGGTGTAGAAAAATGGCTGCTTATATGGGATTTTAAAAAGTCAATGATGTTACAATGTTTGATTCTGTTAAAGTCCACTGCTTTTCTAGATAAAGAAATCTTTATATTGTAAAAAAGGTCAAAAAGTTTAAGAAAATCATAATTTAAAAATTAATTACATATAGTATATAAAGTTAAATTTAATGATGATTAATGTTAAAAATATGTTGGGAAAGTGAATTAAAATCTTTAACAAATAAATATTTGTAAACAATAGTTATATGCTCACTGTTATTGAAAGGCATTTATATAATGCAGTTAAATAATAAATTTCATTTAAATGTATTTTTAAATCACAAATTGGGAACAGCAATTATAAAATTGTGTAACCTGCACAATTTTAAACGAAGATTTGAATAATTATTTTTAGTGTGACTATGCAAATTTCACTGAAAGTACATTGCTGGGCCTATTAGCCGACTTATTAAAATACCTTAAAGAATTGCTTTATTCTCTAAAGTGTTTGTCTACTTCAATTCTAACTAATATGCAAAAGGTAATCATTATTTTTTATTCCTATCCATGGTTGACCCTTCTATATATTTTACTTGTGTGATGACAGCAGTTGTTTATTATTGGATGTGGTAGCCAGCCTTCAAAATAGTTCTCAATAGTCTTTGACTTCTGGCATTCACAACCTTGTATAGTTCCCCATCTCACTGAATAAACTTGACTGTGTTTATAATAGGATATTAAGGAAATGACTACATGTGACTTCTGAGGTTAGGCCATAAAGACATTGAGGCTCCTATCTTGCTCTACTGGATTGCTTACTCTGGGAGAAGCTAATGTCATGAGGATACACTAGCAATTGTATAAAGAAGCCCACTTAGAGTAGAACAGAAGTTTTCTTAATAGTGCCAATTTGCCTGCCAAATAGGTAAGCCATCTTGGAATCATATTCCCCAGTCCAATCAAGCCTTCAGATTTGAACCTAAGTAATTCTTTTTTTCCTATTCCCCCAATAAGCTAAACTTCGACCCCACTAAACTTTCCACCATCTTTAAAATCCTACATGCACTTACCACATTTTGCCTTTGCTTGTTATGTTCCCGATGCATTGTAAGCCCAGCCCTTCTCTAAATGGCTGATGTTTATCCATTTATATGTAAATTTCAGAGACATATAATTAGTGTGTAATGCACACCAAGATTATGCTGAAAGGTCACAATTTTTGATAAGGTACCTTACATTTGTTCATTACTAAAATACATATTACAATCAAGATTACCATCATGAGATGACGACTTGATAATGGTAATCTAGTACCTGAATCTGGATTTCTCCAATATAAATATATTTGTTTTAAGCATACATTGTGAAGCAAAAAGAAGAAACACTTCTTTTGGCACGATCATCGTGATGGCATGAACCCTGGAATGAATCCAGCTCACTTATGGTTTGGAGCAGAATAAAATATTGTCAGTGACTATATCTACAAAATTGTTGTCATTTCTATTATGCGATATTATTTTGTTGCATCGAAAAAAATTTCTTATTTCCTGGGACCAGTTTGAAAACTACAATGGACAGTGACATCCTTGAAAGTGTGAAAAGTTTATTTGCCAAGAAAAACTTAGCTTGGAAGGGAAGGGTTGGTAAATTTGTCCACAGACGGAGCACCTGTGAGGATTGGCAGCATAGTTTTGCTGCTTTGGTGAAGAAAGGAGCTCCCCACAAGACTGTGACTCACTATTTTCTAAGCTGTCATATAATGGCAATAAAGACACTGCCAGTAATCCTGAGAGAATTTTTGTCTACTGTCCCGAAAGTTGTCAACTTTATCAGAGCCAGGGTCTTGAATCACTGCCTTTTTAAGAAGTATGCCAAGAGAATAGAAAGAGAATATGAAGTTTGTTTGTCCTATGTAGAAGTTTGTCAACTTTCCAGAGCACTAGTTCCAAAGATCTTGATTGAACTTTCAGTAAAAAAGTTCAAGAGATAGAAAACTCATCCTCAAAACAAGCTGACAGAGTTTCCTGGTGGCTTGACTAACTTGGTGGGTATTTCTCTATTTCAGATAGAACCCTGTGACACTGTTCTTGAGAATGATGATAAACTAAGAACTATTTTATCCAAGTTGCTATTAATAATTGGGGAGAGAAATTAGCAGGTGGACAACTATATGAACTTTCAAATGCTATAGAAAGTGCTTCGTCAGGGTTGATAGTGACAAAGCCTTGTCAAATTATTCCAGAAAAATGCCTTTGGGCCCTGGAATCCAACAGAACTCTTGATTATTGCTTTTGCTGATTTGGCTTTAAAATTGAACACAGGCTGCATAATTCTGATATTGACATAGAAAACACTAGTGAAGCAGTCCTGGCCAAATCTGACTGCAAAAATTGCTCACATGAATTTAAATGAAGAATCTTGGAGAATTCTGGTGTTTTAGAAAATAGTTAACCTCTCATGGACAGAGCTGACAAAAGAAGCCCTAATTCCACTTCGTATTATTGTCAAGATTTGCATATTTCCAATCAAAAACAGGACAACTTCAATTGATGTCACAGGTGATGTATACATAACCACATTTCACAAAAATGCACAAATTTAAATTCATATTCAAGCAGGTGTCTTATCAAATAAATTAATTTTGAACAAAGTCAAAGTTTCACTTACTTTAATTTGTACAAATTTGATTCTTGCTCTTTTTACTTGTTTTTTGAATTGAGCTATTAACTTTTGCATAAAAATAGTGAAACATTTTATAAAAGTTTAACTCAGCATATGAATAAAATGCATGCTAATTTATTACATAGACTTTATGAACAATTTTTCATTTCTGTTTATATTTGCATTTGTCCAGTGCAGGGACCTCCCTTGATTCCATTAGATTCTCAATGGATTTGGTGACTGTACTAATTAAGAACCAGGCATCTCACCTCTTAGGAAAGCTTGCTTTGATTTTCCAAGCCTGAGTCAACACTGCTTCACTTTGCATTCCTACTACTCTCTGTTTCTATTACTATATTAATGCTTATCAAGTTTTATTACAGTTTTCTTTTTTCATGTCACTAGATTATCATATTATTCAGGACAGGAATCATATATTCAAATTTGTAGTCAGGACACATATTAATTAGTACAGTGTCATGCAAACAGTAGGTGCTCACAAAAGTTTCAGGAATGAATAAATGCAAATAAACATACCCTTTTCTTTGTTTTGATTTTTTTTTAGGAGCCTGTGTTTGTAGGGCTCCCAGCAATGTGGAAAGACATTGTCATCTTATTCATTGCTTAGTAAAAGAAAACTGGTAACTGGGTAAGGTAAAAGATATATCAACAAATTATATGTAATAATTTAGGATTTTTTTTTTTCACCTAACAACAAGTAATCTGTCACCTTTAAATTACAAAAATATACTTTATACAATATTTCCATGAGAATCTTAGCCTATATATAGGAAAAATCATAATTATACTCTTGCCAGTTAAATTAAGAATCTATATAGCATAAAGATGCTTTTGAAAATGACCTTTTATTTTTTTCACATCACGTTAGTCATGCTTGGCTCTAGATACAATTCACTTGATCCATTCTTTAAAATTAATTGCAAGGAACCATAGTAAGGTAATTAACATTAAACTCAAAGGCCACATATCCTCAGCCAAATTATATCTATAATTAGCTAACTTATACAGATAAATTAAAGAAAAATGAGAAATGCTTAATTATTTAGACACTGAACTTGTTTTCCACCCCTTTTTGCCCTTTAGAGACTTACCTAATAGTACACTAGTTTCATGTTTTGAATTTGCAACAGAATATCAATTGCAGAAGATTAAGTATCTCAAAAACGAACACTTTTTTGTATTTTAATTTTAAGATTAAAAAAAAAAACTCACACATATCAGAACCTCAACTAGATGTTTGTTGAACTTAATACTCCAAATATTCAGAATGAAGCCGTCTCTTGTGACAGAAAGCATTGTTCAAGCAATTAGAAGAGAATAAAGCCATAAGGTGAGACGATAGGATCTAAACCTGCTAGACTTAATTAGCTCTGGGGAATAATTTTAAAATAATAGGTACATTAGCTAGAGAAAATTACAGCAAAATATCTCCTGCATAAAAATAGAGCATGTGGCAAAAATAAAATTCTAAAGGAAATGTCTTTTCCACCCTAGTGAAAAGTAAATCATCAGAGCTTTTTCACCTTAAACCAGAAATCCTTCAGCATGCAGGGACGCCCCTTAGGAAGTTCTCTGTTGCTGAGCAAATGACTGCTGCATTTGACTCTGTGCATTTTTACATCTATAGCTGTATCTTAGCATTTTCCATCTGTCTTTGTCTTCTATCTCTCTTTCCTTTGACTTTTTAGAACTATTTTCTGAGCCTTCAGTGTTAGACTGTAGATTCTTTGGAACTGATTATTATTCTACTTCCCTATCTCAAGTCTATAAGCTACAGTGCATAGTTTCAAAAAACTAACATTTGAAATAAATTTTATTTTAAAATATTGCACCAAACACATTCAATTTATATCTACAAATACTATGGTACTCTGGTTAGCAATAGATATGTATTTAATTGTTTTGATGACAGACTTATTTTGTAAAATCAGTCTTCTAATCTTTGCCATCTCAGGATAGTGTCCACCAAAAGCACATGGTATCTCATTACAAATTTGCTGTTGACTTAATCCAGTATCTGACTTTCCATTTATCTTATCTATACAATTAAAATACCACATTTTTTATACATAAAATTTTTCTTCCAAATATTCATATATCCACATATATATGGATATTGGGGAGAAATAAATATATCTATTTCTTTCTCTGCATTAGTAGTCTGTGATTCTAATATAACCTTTGAGAAGTTATGATTTATAATTTTAGAAGAAGGCAGAAACTGCTAATTATCCTGGGGGATCAAAGGGATGATATTTCATGTGCAAGCGCATTCAATTTATGGAGACTATAGTACTCGAATAATAATATTAACACTTATAGCACGTCTCATCTTCAAAGCTTTTTCCAAATATTAAGTAATTAGCAAGTTAACACATTCAATAGGTGACGTAGACCACATGTTTTTCCTTAAAAAATAATTCATTTATAATAAAGTTTTTATGTATTTTTTCAATACTGATGCCAAATACTATATATTTTTATCTCTACTACTATTATGAATATCTTTTGAGGCTTCACTAATGTATAAGAATATTTAACAAAGTTTGAAAGTTTACATTAAAGACTAAGTTTACATCATCTTTGTCCTTAATGCCATAGGCCTGTCCTTTTGAACAAGGCATTTACAGTTAGTTTTAATAACCTGAACCTAATTTCAATAAAATTACTCCCTTATATTGAACAAAGAATCTTCTTTTAATTTAGTATCTATCTGCACTGTGATTTACAATGCTGCTTAACTTGATCTAGAATTTACTGTCATTTAAATGTGTTCTTTCCTTTGACCTTTTGGAGATAAAGTGTAATTGTTTTAACTTCATTAACAAGATAATGGGAAATGAAATATGCCTGAACACGCAGGTACATAGATTATTCCTTGATTTTAACATTTAGAAGCATCTGAAAGTATTTGTTGACAAAATTTTATTTGGAAAACGAGTGCTATCCTATTCACAAATACATTAAATGCTTATGTCAAAAATATAACAATTTGGAAAAATGAAGAGCAATTCAGATGTATTTGGAAAAATATAAAACACAGTTTGGTCAAAATCCTTTTGCAAAATAACAGTCATACTATACTGTATGTAATCTATAATATATTATATATATTATATATATATATAATCTGTACAACTCATTTATTTAGCTCTTTCAAGATAAAAAGCACAAGGAAACAAACAAAAATTAGGCACCTGGAAATCTGGCTTCTAGATACTAGTTCTTAAAATAATTACCTGTGTTACCTTAAGTAAACTACTCAATCTCTCTGGTTTCCACTTTATTATTCCTAAAATTCTGGTATTAATTCTATAATTTAATATTTTGAATGTGTATATTTCTCTTCTCAATTTCTTATTATTCTTGCCAAATTGGTAAATCAGTTAGCTCTCTGAGAGATCTAAGTACTACATATGATGTGGAATTTGAATCACTCACAGTTCCAGAAAGTGTAATTACGTATAAGAAATTCAATAATACTTGATGTTCTTGTTTTAGCTAATAACTTACTACTCTTAAGAAGTTAACCAAAATTTTCTTTTTATCTTGGTGTGTCTCACCCAGTTCAGGAGAGAGGCTTTGTGAATAGAGAGACCTTAATTTTGTACATCACAAATGAGGAATGAAAAATTTATTTTTCATTATTTATTGCATTTTTTTCTGGCAATACAAGGAGGGTTACTTTGCTAATGATCGCATAGAGAATCAAAGAGAGATTCCTGGCTGGATTTGGTTAGGATTATAAGAGAATAGCTTTTTCTTCTAAACTTCTCAGAGTTAGTGCTGTTAGTGTATTTCCAGATTCTGTAATGAGAATTGAAATTAGAATAATCTATCTAGTAAGTAAAGTTCTTGCTGAAATTATAGTGATTTACTTTAGAAGCTCATCAAAGGGATATGAATATCAACAGATTCGCACTAAGTTACTATTTTAAGAAACAAATGTCTCCTTATGCCCATTTATAATATTATTTTCACTAATCTGTCCTCTAATTACATTTAAAATGTAGTACAGTAGCCAGTAATTCATTTTTATTGAATTAGTTCCTTTTCATTACACACAACAGTGTTCTAAGTAATAACTAATAGAACATGAAAGTTTTGTTTTGAAGTCTATTCATATCATAGTTTCTCTGCTTGCCCACTGAAGCATCCGATTAATCACTGATATCTACTAACTCTGCCTCTGAACTGTTTGTGTAATTCCACATAGTTATATTACACATGGATCCTTCCATCCCCATTACTTGTTGGTCATGAGGTACAGTCTTTCCCAAACTTTCCTGCACTGATGCAAAGCCATTTCTCTGTCCTTTGTGTCCCCAAAGTACTTGATGAATTTCAGCTGTTTTCTCTGTTTTAGAAGCTCTTTCTTTCCCACAACTGCTGAGAGTTCTTGAAAGCGGTGGCAGTGCCTCATTAGTTCTCCAAGTGCCTGGCATTATTGATGGTTCACAATGTTATTATTGATTGAATGGAAGAATAAATAGATGGATAAAATAATTAATTACACAAATTACTTACAACAGTCCAAACTTGAGGAAGGAAACTCCTTGTTAAATTTTTTGGTTACAAAATTTGGATTGTGCATTATTGGAGTGCATTTAAATCCAAACTTAATTTTTTTTTGCAATTATTTAGTTTTCTATACCTTAGATTGGCATGTATAATAGTCTGTACAAGTCCATGTAGCTGGATTCTCATACATTTAAATGCTCCTATCGTCATAGTTGCAGTTTTTTTAGGTCATGGTGACAACTATGGAATAGCCCTATGATTCAATTAATTTATAGTTTGCCAGAAAATAAAAGAAAAGAGACTTTCTATTCTCAACTTCCTACCCACCAGGTATGGCTGACAGCTGGCAGGACATAAGGAGCATGAGACATCTTTCTCAGTTCTACACAACTCTAGACGAGGGGCCCCTCCAGCCCCTCAACACACACTGTATTAGTCTGCTTGGACTGTCATAATAAAATACCATGAATTGAATGGTTTACATATATAACTTTATTTTCTCACAGTTCTGGAGACTGGAAATTCAAGATAAATGTGCCAGCATGGTTGGTGTCTGGTAAGGCCTCTCCTTGGATTGCAGATGGATGCCTTCTTCCTGTGTTCTCACATGGCAGAGACAGAAAGCTCTGGTGTCTGTTTTCTCTTCTTATAATGGCACCAGCCTATGGGATTAGGACCTCATCTTTATGACCTCATTTAACTTTAATTACTTCCTAAAAGCCCTATCCGCAAACATAGTCACATTGGGGTTTGGCGCTTCAAGATATGAGCTTTGAGGGATCACAGTTAGGTCCCTGGCGCACCCTCTGATTTTTTCCTACATTTTTTTCCTGATTATTTACTGACTTAGTTGGGAAACATCTGAAGAACACTGACCTAACAGGACCCATATTCAAGTTCTGCAAATTACAGTGCCTTTGAGGCTCAGGGTCTGGGCTTTCCCTTCACATGAAACTTCACCATGACCAATATGAGATGGAACTTTGCATATGATATAACTCAGTCAAGTAAGTTGGAAAGAAATGAAATAAATATTCTAAATGTATCTAATAAGTTTTTTTTTTGTATTTGAAATCTCAAAGGTAGAGAAAATTGGCAGAGTATCAAAAGAAAGACTGACTTAATAATCTCTAATATTAGAACTGAAAGCATGTTCCCATTAGTTATTATGATATCTGGCATGTTATCCAGTTAGCAGCAAGTCAAAGGGTTCTATGAGGTTGTTGATATTCTGTTAGAGGTTTCTAAGAATTTAAGTGTTCTCTAAATAAACATAGCAGTACATTTTGAAAATGGTGAAGAGGAAGAAGGAAAATTTAAGCCACAGTTTTGGCTGTGTCTAGTTTGTTTCATGTGTACTTTTCAAATAACAATTACCAGGGTAATGCCATTATACCAATATTATCTTGATGAGCTAGGCATCTGCTACAGCTGTCTTTAAAGTTTTGTGTTATTAGGTAGGCAAATGTTTCATTTATGCAAGGTAAGCTTTACACTGTACTGCCATTGCCTATTTATCGCTGTGAAAAAAATCAATATGCATTTTAAATTACACATATAATTGTTTTGTGTTTTGGTGCCTAATTCCTCCCCTTGAAATATATGAAAAGAATTAAAATGTTCAAATTGTTTCCTTTAATTCCTTTCATGCACTTTTGTGAGCGGAATTAACCTCCACACTGTAAAATGATTGTATGTGTAATATTAAAAATGGAACATCTCATTTCCTCTTTATTTCTATTGTGGGGATTGTAAACATCAGAGGTATCTAATGAAGACTTTACTTTTACAACATCACAAAATGGAAAATGCGCATTGGAAATACAACTAGAACCTTGTCTTTCAGATTGGTCCCCAGATCCACTGCAACACATTGATTTCTTTTTGTTTCCATTTTTCTTGTTGCTTTTCTCTTACTTTCAACTTCTACTGAATTTAATGTGACAAGGTGTCAACAAAGCAGCTGCATAGAGTACAGCATCTAGTTAAAACTTGAGCCTTATATATTAGTGTCCTTGATTTTCTAGTTTTAAGCCCCAGGATTAAGGATTATGTGCATCCAACGCCACAAAGTTCTGTGTGTAATCCAAGTCCACAATCAATGGTCTGATCACCCCTCATGCTGCAGACCCTCCTTCTTTTTAAAAAATATCTTCTGTAGATACATAGACCATTTATTCTTTCTGGGGGGTGTGGGGAGTGCAAAGTTCCTTTGCCTTGACGTGTCAAGTTGTGACTTGCCAGATCTAGACACCCTTTCAAGTGAAATCCTATTTACTCATTCTGCCTTATGATTAATAATTGTTTGAAGTTTAAAACTGTTTGTTTTTTGCACTGTTGATTTTAACTAGCTATCCAATATACAATTATAAACACATGGATAACCCTGACAACAAGTTTTGAAATAGTAAAGAGATTTTAATAGTTTAATGATCATATTTACAAGTAACAAAATAAAACAGTAATTTCCTCTATTTTGGTTGGTGTTGCTCTTATATTAGGCATAATTCTCAGCTTTAGTCTCCTGCATATTAATATTATCCATGAATCTTCATTCAATAAACATGATTTAATAATTATAAAATCAATTACTTTTAATAAATGTATACATTATGCATGTTAAATCTTAAATCATATTTTCACTAGTAACTATTACAAACATAAAACAGGCAGCAAAAGTAACATTTGGAAAACAAAGGAAACATCCCTGCTTGATTTGTAATCCTTGTTTCACACACAGACCAAATGCCCCTCCATGACAGTGCCTGAAGCCTTTCAGTTTAACATGATTTAGATGGAAACTCAGGTTTTAAAGAATCCATCTTGCAGTCCTCTGACAAAGTAATTGGCTGGAAAAATTATAATAAAATTTTCATAAAGTTCATATTCATGAAGTGGCAAAATTGCTTTTAGGAAATTACGATATTAATAATTTACACCCATGTCAATAGCATTTCCAAAATAACTCAAGCTTTCTACCTCCAAGATTATGAACCTATCTTGATTTTTTTCCCTCACACACAGACAGTTAAATATGCTGAGATACACTGAGATCTAGATACAGATTATTCATTTAAGAAGATAGCTCCTTGTTTAATTAGAGATTTATCATCTTAACTAGCCGTACTATTGCTCTGAATTAGTTTTTCAAGGTTTTCAGAATTAAAGATGGTAAAAATTGATGAACCTTAGCTGTATTTCCCCCCGAAGGGTACAAACTTTTATTACATTTCAGATGCAAAACACAATTAGCCTCTAACCTAACCATGTTAATCTCCTTGAGTTAAGCTTATGTGTTTCTGCTTGTCTAGAAATTTTTAATGAAAGATCTATGTCTTTTAAGGCCAATTTTAATAACCTCTTTATTTGCATCTCTGCCCTTGTTTAGAGGAAGAGTTAATACGATAAGCTCTGGATTACAGAATGCTCTTTTAAAATTGGGGATGAATAAAATTCTGTGACATTCAATTTGAGTAGTACTCAGCAGGAGACAGACACCAACAATAAACATTACTCAAGTTCCAAAAGTTTCCATGTAATTAACTAAGATGGATACATTAGTGTCATCCATTATGTTCCATTCTGTAAACTCCAGACTTCTGGTCATTAAGCAGGGCTATTTTGACAAGACTGGATTTAAAAAATTGATTTACTTTCTGGATAGGTAGTTTTTTTAGAGGTAGATTTTTTTTTCCCTCAGCAACAGAGCAGGTGCAAGTTACCATAACGTTTTCCATAACATATTCTGAAATATTCGAACTACTCCAAAACTGTATTTTTTGCTGAGCACAAGTTTTAGTTGTGTGAATATATCCTGTCTCAAAATGGGAAATAAAGGGAGACTTGTGGATTTCCTCACTCAGGGCTAGAATCTATGACATAACTACTTCCTCATCCTCAGTGAAATGTTTAATACCTAGAGACAGAATTCTAGTTTTATGTCTTAGAAAAGATTAACATAAAAAAGAAAAAGATAATAACCTCTGTTTTCAAACTGAACTATAGATGTAAAAACTGTCTTCTCTGGTCCAAATTAGCAAAAACAAAGGAGCACAGTGACCTAATTAACATCTGACTGTATTGATGGTCTAACACAATATCATCTGTTTCATTACCAGCAGTGTGCAATTATCTCACCCAATATATAGGGAATGCATCCTAAAATTACATTTAAAAATAGATTTATTTTAGATATTTAATGGGATTTTTTTCCAGAAATGCCAATTTCCAAACACAGAATCATTACATTTTCTGATACATAGTATCATTTTCATCCACTTAACAGTGAGATGCCCATAGACAAACGTTGTGTCTAATTCAACACCCAGCACTTAGCATAATATCTAACACATGCAGATAATCCATATAGATTAATTGAATGAAGACCACGTAAATGATTGAATAAGCAGACTTTTATCCACCAAACAACATGTAGCTGGAACAAGAAGGAAGGGGGAATAGCTTTTAAAAACATAATTTTCAAAAAATATTCTCACAGAAATTTCAGCCCCCTCCAAGTAATGTATCTAAAAATATTTCTATTGTTGATGTAGATTTTCTTGCCTCATCATGATTCTTTATGACCTACAGTCAATAAAATTGTATTCTATGAAGCAAAAGTCACTCCATTATGCCACTGGATTGTGAACGATGCCCACCCTTTTGTGTTCCTTTCTCAGATTATTTTATGATTTTTATAATGGGCTCCCTGCCTGCAGTCTCCACCTCACCAATAATCCAACCCCAGACTTCTTCCCACATTGCTACCAGAGATCATTTTCCATCATATGGATTTATCCTTGTCTTTCCCTAATGACAGTTTCCAAATAGCCAGCACTTTATTGCATCAGGAATAAAGTCCATGTTACTTAGCATGTCATTCAAGATCCTTTCCAAATTGGCATGGGCTTTATGTTCCTGAATCTAAACAAGATCCACTGTCTGTGTGTATGGCTATACCTAAGAAGTATGAAATTTCCTTCCTCCTCACCTCTGTTTATTTTGTCTCCTCCCCTTTGGAAGTTTTTCCCAGTTTCTAAGCACCTTTCTTCAATTGGTAAGCTTCCTTCCAATATCACCCATTCTTTGAAGCCTTCCAGAATCCTCCAGGCAGAATTAATCACTCCTCATTCTAAGATGCCATAATATTTACTATGTACTTTTATAAGGGTGCCTACCACACACAATATTAGCAATATTCCTTAGGTGCTATATCTTGTACTACATGCATTTATATCTATCTCTCTTTGAAGAGGAAAAAGACTTCTTGTTCATCTTTAAATGCCCATCACCTAGAATAGTGTGAAGAAGCACGATGAGTTCAATAAACATAACTAGAGCATGAAATAAAGTGGTTAAAAAGAACTTTGAGGACATACATATACTGCTTGGTGACCAAAATGATGAATTCCCAAAATACATGTGTATCTTCCTATAGTCTGAGGGCTCTGTGCATGGTTTAGTAGCCTCTTGCTTGCATATAGCTTTCTAATCTAAGGAAAGTACAGACTAGCTGGTACTCCAGCATCTGGGGCAGGAGCTAACTTGTTGACTGAGCTGATTGTGGTGATCTGTGCCTGTGAAATATGAAGTGGGTGTTTCCCAAGATAGCTTGTCTTGCAAAGGAAACCAGGGACTGCCCACATGGCATTATTAACCAATTAAGAAATGGATAGCCACTTTCAGAAGGAGTTTTTCAGCTTCAGTCTTCTCTGTTCAGAAGGTAACATGTTAGTACATAAATTGAGTGAATCTTCATAAATCAATGGCACTAAAACTAGTGGGAGGAAAGGAAAAGAAGGAAGTTCTTTCTATATGTTGCATTTTTAAAGAAGCGTTGATTTTAGAAGTCTCGAATAGATTATGATATAGTATTTATTTTGAAAAAAAATCTGTTCAGTCCCAGTTTATTTCTGAAACTGTAGCAGTAAAAATCATTTTATAAGATCAATTTATATATTTTGAAATTAAATATTTTTCCTGGATAATCTATCATTGCACTGAGCTTGTAAACACTGTTTTACACATGTGTTTTCTAATCCTCTAAATTTCCTTGCAAGGTAAGATGAGGACTTGGGTTCAGATAATATAATTGACTTGCCTTAGGTCACACCTATTAGGTTGGTGAAAAATGGTGGGTTTTGCCATTGGAAGTAATGGCAAAAACCACAATTACTTGTGTACCAACTTATAGTTATGTACGGCGTAATGGAAATAAAAGTGAAGTCACACCTATTAGGTCGGTGCACAAGTAATTGCGTTTTTGCCATTGTAACGGCAAAAACAGCAATTACTTTTGCACTCACCTATAGTTATGCACAGTGTACTGGAAATAACAGTGACTTTAGAATGAGTCACTTATTCTAGCTCTGCCAGAATGTGAACCTGAATCTCACTTGTTCTAAAGTCACTTTTATTTCCAGTACACTGTGCATCTAGGGTGTGTTTTCTATGATTTGTGACCAGGTGGACTTAAATATGAAGATTAAAATTTTTAGCAGGTCACAAAACTATCTCACATGCCATCCTAAAAGTAGAATCCAGAGAGTCATACACTATACACATTTTTAATCATGACTATTAAGCCCTCAATGCTGTAACAAGCTACAAAGCCAAGATTGTAGTGCTTGATCACAATGGCTATGTGCTTCCTCTAAGACTTAATACTCAGAGAACCCCCCTGTAAGATGTAGTCGGCCAAGTGTTAGCTTTAAAGTAGTTTTTGACAGCTTCCATCCCGTAAAATAATGCTCAGTGATGGGATGGCTTACAGTTTCAATTTCAGTTTAAGAAACAATTGAAGGGATGCATTTTATAAATTATTCTATATTAGAACAAAAAGAAATTTGTAAAAGTTATTAAAAAAAGGAAAAAAAAAACTTTCTTCTTGCATTTGTTTTACTCAGAATCATACTGGCCAGAAGAATGGGGCTTTTAAGTCGGATGCAGAGAAGTGATGGGTAATTAGGTCTGTGTCATTTATTTTGTAGAAAAAAGGAGCCTTTATCACAAATCATATTGCCTTTCCAGTCTCCCAGAAGGAACATTTTTACTTCGTCTTTTTCTCTTCAGTTATTAAAAATAAGCCCTCCAAATACTGAAACCAGACACAGTTACCTAAAGAAAAGAAAGCCTCTAATCCTCTCCCCAGGCATGTAGAGGAGCTGAGGATCCTTTACCTCTGCAGCTTTGTTAGTGCACCAATAACTGAAACAAGATAAATTCTGACTGAACAAGCAATATGTTGATAGTGTCTGTGCAAAAGCTTCTGTGGTTCAGCCGCTGGGATCAAATCAGAACACAGTGGCCCTGAGCACCAACGGCTTTCACTATGCTGGCCCTATTCTTTCAACAGTGTGTCCAAATACAGTCCTTGTTGTCAGTTTATGAAGCATTTAGTTTAAATTTCTTCCCAGAATGGACTTTTTATGTTTCAAAAGGATATGCTCTACAGAAAAGCAAAATGTACACTGCAACCATTAATCATCTAGAATGAGAATCATTATTATTATTTTACTTATTGCTACCAACCTTGATACCTGACATTTAAATTGTTCTTTCAGCATGGCAAAGTGTTTTTATATTTTTCATCTCATATGATTCCTACAGCAAACCTTGAGATAGAGGAAGTACTTTCATTTTTTGGTTTATTTTATTAAATGAGGAAACTTAAGAAACACAGTGTATGTGACTTGGCCTAGGGTCATGACATTTAGTTGCAGTGTCTCAATTATAAATTACTGTTAACTCCAGTTCTGTTTTATTATTATTATTTTCACATCTAACTGTAATTCAAATATCAAATATTCCTGAGTAAAACAAATTTCAAGTATTCCAAGAAAACAACTCTTATTTTGATATGTAAGGGTGTGGATATATATAAAGGTATACTTTTTCATACACATACATAGTAAAAGTAAAAATACAAATAAGTGTAATCATACAAGGCCATAAACAACTTTTCATTTTTTTACTGGACATCTTTATTCATATGTATATTTTGCACACTGTATTATTACTTTCTAAGGATAAATTACAAGATGTTTAACTTCAAGTCTATCTACCTGCTTTTGAATCTCCCAATTTCTTCTTAAAATTTATGTATTCTTAGAAATCCTTCCTCTACTGCCCTCATAATTTACTGTCAGGTCCTAAATGGGGTAACTTTGATTTGTTTTGTCACAATATGGTAGCTA
Organism: Homo sapiens; assembly: GCF_000001405.40. NCBI lineage: Eukaryota > Metazoa > Chordata > Mammalia > Primates > Hominidae > Homo > Homo sapiens. Next base: position 72,065,401 of record NC_000001.11, read on the forward strand.
CTGATCCATTTCTCCCTCACAGATTTAGATGTGAAACTGACATTGCTAACTGTCTGCCCAAATTTGAAATAGACAAACAAACAAACAAATAAAATCAATCTGCCAAGGCTTCTCTGGGAACAGAGCACCTTCTCCACATGTCTACTAAGAGCTGTGTGGAAAAGTAGGAGAAAGGACTTGAACTCCAGCAATGGTAATTGGGACAAGTTTGCCCCACTGTTCTGTTAAGGTTGACTGACTTCAAACAAAATAAAATTAAGTATGAAGTGTACCTTTAGAAAAAAGTTAAATTGAAGGTTGGTCATCATCATATTAACATTTATATACCTAAAAATAGCAAGGGTAAGAATTCTTATTTTGCATTAATCAATGCTCTAAGAGCTTCATTTACATTACTGCATATAATGCTCACAGCACCACTATGAGACCCTGCTTTTAATTCTAATTTTGCCCATAAGCAAAATTAGGCTACCAGAGGTTATTAAATGATGTGTTATTGGGCATTAAGCCAGGAAGAGATATAGCCAAATACACAAACCAAGAAAGCCTGAGAAAAGAGTCCATACATTTAACCAACTTGCAATTAAAAACACTAATTTTAAGAATTCCCCTTCCCTTTAGAAAGCAATCCAAGTACAACTATCAATACTCAGAATATATAGAAATATAGACTCAATAATAAAAGTAGTTAATAACTTACAAGGCATTTACTAGTTGCCAGGGGTTTTTCCAATATGTCATGAATTGCATTTAAAGATATTTATACCAATTATACACATAAGAAGACTGAGGCATCGGAAGGTTGAGTTAGTTTCCCATGATCTCTCAGCCGATAAGTGGTGGAGCTGGGATACAAATCCAGGCAGCGTGGCCTAGATCCATGGATTTAACAAAGCTACACTACTCATTAACATTCACTTCAACTTACACATTTTCTGAGAACATCATAATTGTGTAAAATAAAGTCTAAATATACAGAATTAGTCTCCTACTTCTAGAGGCCTGAAATTAAGACCACATTTTAACTTTTATAGTAACAAGAGAAATAATAAATAATGATTAACTGTTATGAACTGATTTGTGTCCTTCTGAAAAATGTGGAAGCCGTGACCCTCAATGTGACTTTATTTGGAGATAGATTCCTTAAGGAGGTAATTAAGGTTAAATGAGGTCATAAGCTTGGGCTGTAATCCAGTGTGCCTGGTGTCCTTACACGAAGACAGAGAAACACCAGGAATGCACATGCACAGAGAAAAGGCCCTGTGAGGACATAATGGGAATACAGCCGTCTACAAGCTAGGAAGAGGCCTCCGGAGAAACCACCACTGCCGGCACCTTGATCTTAGACCACCAGCCTCCAGAACTACGAGAAAATAAAGTCATGCTGTTTAAGACACCCAGTCTGTGGCATTTTGTTATGGCGCTCCTATCAGACAAAGACACTGACCGAGTCAAAAATTTGGTAACTAAAGATTGAAAGAGAAGGTCTGAGAAATGTAAAAGCCAGACAGAATGCTAATGAAATATTTCCAGAGCAGGAAAGTGTATGTTTTAGGTTCTCCCAGTGCCCATTCATTTTTTTTGCCATAAAATTTTTGCCATAAGTTCCTAGTATGATCCATCTGCATAAATGTACCTTACATTTATTTCATGTTAGGTGTATTGCATGTGGTTAAAGAGGTAAAGATCTACCTTTCTAGTTGTAGCAACATTTGGTGACAAAATAGCAAGTACTATAAACATGGAAAAGATCGATTTGATTTGTAAACCAAATTATATACCTTTTAATTTTAAGATTCCAACTCAGCTCATGAATCTTTCATGTTTGGTAATATCCTATACATTAGAGATTTAAATTTTGTTGTGGTGTAACAGTGTCTGTATATGTTCAATTTCCATTACCCTTAATGAGTGTTCTGCTCAAACTGGTTTGTAAAAAGTTCACAGAGTGAACTGAATTTTGATTTTATGTAAAAGTGAGATGCATCTCGTCATACCTAGAGCAGCAAACAGAAGATAAAATGCATATTCTAACAGTATACCCATTTTTAACTACAGAAAAATAATTGACTAGATATCTACTCCAGTTTTAGGAAGTACAAATTATTCAATTTATAAAACTTTGAAGATAAGGTACCATAATTTACAGACAACTTATTTGATCCAAATCTTGCTTGAACTGTAGTTTTACACTGAGTAACTTTCCTAATCTGTGCTCTAGTTTGTCAATTTTGTTGTCCACTCTAACAAGAAAGATAGTCAGTGATGCATAATAATATCAGGTTTGTGGATTTGAAGAGATTTAACATACTGGGGGAAAAAAAACTGCTCTTAAAGTATATCATTTATATAAACTTGTTTAACTGATTTATTTTTCTTAAGACATAGGAATAAATAGCTGGTGACCACTTCTAAATTTGGCTCAACCATGTATACTTCCTATCATTACTGAAGGTTATATTCATTATAAAATATTTGGTGGATGCTTTCCAACTGGAATGTACCAAAATATTATTCCTTTGTATCTTATTTATAGGCTTTGGTATTCAGTTGTGAAATGTATATTGCCAAGTTCTCCTTTCACACCATACTGCAAAGGAAAATAAGCTCTAAAAGGGAGGAGCATCTCTTTTTTATTAGTAGCTTCACAAAATAAAATTAGAGGTTCATTGATTATAGTTTAAAACACTACATTACTGTAACTGTTCCAGACTGATCTGTAACAATGTTGAGTTGTTATTCAGTTATTATGGACCCCCAGGTTGAAGGTCACATAATCTAAGCATGCCCAGATGAACCAAGTATTCAATCACAGGTGGAACCTAAGTGCTTGAATCAGGAAAACGAACTAAGAAGTGGACACCACATGGCAGGATCCAGGATCCAATCTGGTTGAGCCCTGGCATTGTCCCATGAGAGGATCCAGTCAGATCATGCCTGCTGGCATCCCTTCATTGCAAGATCCAATCAGATCACACCTCATTACCATATGCTTATAAAACCTGATCTAGCCCCTAGCTCTGGATGACCATTTCCTCTGACTACCTGCCAGTGGACTCAATAAACCTTTCTCCTGCAAAAACCCAGTGCTTCGGTGTTTGGCTTTCTCTTGTGCATGTACAAACAGATGCAGTTTGTTTAGGTAACATTATGTGGATGGGTGGATGGACAGATAGGAGAATGATGGAATGGATAATTCATGAATTTTAGCATGTGTGCTTCTACCTCAGTGTTTTAAAAAGGTCACATAAGGCAATAAAACTTCTTGAAGTAAATAGAATGTTATATAATCAGAACTGATTTTAATATAATAGAGTACCAGCTATGTAAATACTTTACCTGAATTAATAACTATTGGTGATTTTGTCTTACCAAGAAGATAAAATTGTCTCTAAATGCCAGTTTGGAATTATTCTTGAGGAATTTTCTAGATGTAAGGATATAGTAGCAGCTAAATATGTAATCATTTAAATTTAACAAAACACATGTTTATCATGAATATTATATCATTTAATAGGAAGAAAAAATTAAGGATATATATTAAACAAGTAAAATGTTGGTCAATTAACACTCGGAAAAATAATTATTTTCCTTAGAGAAATCATTGTGTTTTCTGGTTACTCTCTTGTCTAATAAACTTTCAGACTTTAATCAATAATTAAATATCAACCTAAAAGGATTTCTTTATAGCATATATCTTTTGTGTCAGTTTAAGTATGTAAACGATGGCTGGGTGTGGTGGCTCATGTGTGTAATCCCAGCACTTTGGGAGGCCAAGGTGGAGCCACTGTTTGAGCTCAAGAGTTCAAGACCAGCCTGGGCAACATGGAGAAACCCCGTCTCTACTAAAAATACAAAAAACAAAAACAAACAAACAAACAAATAAAAAAACTCATAGCCAGGCATGGAGGCACACTCCTGTGGTCCCAGCTACTGTGGAGGCTGAGGTGGGAGGATCACCTGAGCCCAGAAGGCAGAGGTTGCAGTGTACCAGGATTGGGCCACTGCACTCCAGCTTGGGTGACACAGCAAGACTCTGTTAAAAAAAAAAGTATGTAAACTATTTACTTATTATAAGTATGAATTTTGATTAAGATGGTAGGTGGTTTATATCATATTGTATATAGAGGTCATAAATCTACTTTTGATACCTGTGAAATGGATATCCACTATCTCTCTCTTACACACACACATGCACACATAGAACACATGCACAGTCTTTTTATCTCTCTATTCAGTATTCCTTCACAGTAGTTCCCACTGAAATAACACTCTATAGGCCAAGGAAATTGGTATCCAATTAAGATGAATTCATTTTGTATCTAAAATTGAGTCCTATTGTGTTAACACTGAAACAGCTTTAGAAATAAATTTTGAATATTCCACTAATCATACATAAAAGAATACCTGTGGCACACTAATGATCTAGTCTTCTCAGAATGGCATTATATGCAATTCCTGTTTCTTGGCAGTTTTGACAGTGTAATTCTCTTTCTTCATGGACATCCAAGTTTATAGAATAATTTCAAGTATATCTATCTGTTTTTTGATTCTATCAAAATAAATTGTATTAACTTTTCACATGACCAGGCATGGTTCTTAGTGATGTGATGATTTATTTATACCATAATCTATAACCCAGGATAATTAATAGTGAACCTCATGTTACAGACATACATTTAAGACTTTTTTAAAAAATTAATACCATTGAAAATAAAAATGTATTTAATATTTAAAATATTATATCACTGAATTATATAAACTGAAAGCTGATCCTCAGATTACTGATCTTTTAAATATAATCTACAAAGGAAAGTAGATTGGCTGCATTAATTAAATTTGCTTCAAGGTTTCTGGAGGTATTCAATAACTTTTTTAAATTATAGCTTAATGTTTCTTTCTTGCACTTGCAAAATTGAAATTTCTCTCCTAATGGCTTTCTTGTACTTGTTCTCTCTTTTCCCCTAAAGAGTCGTAGGAGTAGTAGGATTCTAATTTAAAGTCCTGTCAATATTAGATATCAATAGTAATTTGGTGAAAAAAGTTTTCATGTTTAATACTATAATTTCCCATGTTTCAATTTTATTGCTTCATGTAGTAGAAGTTTTGGAAATGATAAAAAATAGAGAGCTATATTTATGAAGTAATAAAAATGTATAGATTCTAAACTCATCTTTTTGATAAAAACAGTAAAATATAAGGTTTAAAAAATTAAGTTCTATGACAACATGACATTAAAACCCAGACTAACGCCATGTATGTGAACATTAGTATTGGCAATCCCTGACTCCACCATAAAGTCAAGGAAAATATATAACATGTCATATAAACTCATCCAACTACATTGTGGTTGTGTTTCTTTGATACTTGTTATCTACTAACTATATTAAACAAAAGTCTAGTTGATTTTATGGCATGGGAGACAGCATATTAGGAAATTAAGATGTTTCAAAAATTAAGTTATATTGGTTTATAATAAAGGTATTAAGTTTATGCTATCTCTACCTTTAGAATGTTTTTTTCATTTTATGTAAACATGTCCATCCTTGAAACTTCTAAAAGCCCATGACCTAAAGCCCAATCTCTGTTTGCATTTCTTTTATGTAGTCCCATAAAAGTAAGTGGAACATAGTTTTTATTAACAACTAGAGAACAGCACCTAAAAATTAAACAGAAGATTCAATTCTCAAAGTTCTCATCAGCAACATAAGAAATGAAAAATAGAACCACAGGCATATCTGAAAAAATCCAAATGGAACTGCTAGAAAAGTGTTTATTGAAATGAGAAAAAAAGTCAGACATGTTGAATATTCTATTAGACTAAGATGAAGAAACAATACATGAAATGAAAGCTAAATCAAAAGAAATCATCCAGTGAACAGCAAGAAAAAAATGGAAAATATTAAAAATAAGTTAATGTATATTCTACTAATTCTACCAATATTGCCATTAATTTGAATATATATTCCAGCCTATAAAATATTCAATTTAATGGCAATATTAGTAGAATAACAAGTATCCCAAATTAGGTCAGTACATATGTACTTTTCTTTCAATAATCTTATTTTAGATGTCAATAATCTAGGAATGTAAATCAATGTTCATCCAGGCAAAAAATTTAGTTGTTGTTTTGGCTTACCTGTCACCATCCCCATTAGAGTTTGCTAATATATGCCTGCTACCAGTGATGAACCCTTATAAAATATTCTTCTTTATCATCCACTCAAAAAAGACCTTAGTGCCAGTGTGGAATGTCCCCTCTCTCATCCCACTTTTGCACTATGTTTGATAAGTCTCCTATTTCTTTTGAGTCTACCACTGAAATATCTTTCAAAGGGGTCTTTTCCTGTTTCCACAACCACTTCCTCAGTTGGAAACCCTAACCTTTTTTCTATGTTAGCATTTCAAACACTGTCCTCAAAATTAGTGTCTTCTTCACTCTGTAGTCCTTCTCTCCCCCAGTATTCCTCTGTGTCACAAGCTTTGCTTTCTGAAACAAATGTAAACATTGTGCTCTCCTGCTTAAGAAGTTTTCAATAGCTCCTATAGATTTTAGAAAAAGTCCAAACTCCTCAGTTAGTCTTATTTCTTGTCAGTCACTTATGCAAAAAGCAAACTCTTAATATGAATGTGTTATATGTTTTCTAGCCTCTCTTACTTAGTATTGAAATAGACTTTCCTACTTCCACACATGGCACATTCCTATTTCTATTTTACAATCCAGCTCTAATATGATCTCCTTAGTTATAAGGATCCCTAATATAACAGTCTGAATTTATTATATCTTTTGTAATCCTATTATATTTTGCTTTTTGTACATTCCTCAAGTATACCTTTAAAATACTGTGCTGTAAGGAGACTACATTATTCATCTCCATCACCAGATGTTTGAATATGGTGAGTACTGGAGATGTCTTAATCATCACTGAATTTCTAATACCTAGTATAGTCACAGAAACATAGGTGATTAAATAGGAAATATTTTTCTCATGCCGGGGGACAGCTCTTAAAATACTTATGCTAATAAAATAGTGTTCAAAATCAACACAATATGCAATTTACAAATAAAGTTTATTTGCAGACAGACCTGCATGAAAAGTGGATCTAATATACTTTTCCTATAGCCATCAATTATCTGGGTGAACAGTTTCACAAACAAAATCCTAGAGAAATAAAAGCAATTATATTTCAATATAATCTTTCCCTCAGAATAAAAGCTGAGAAAAAAATAATGGGTTTGATCTAGCCTCTGAAGGAACTGGATCTGGGCTCTCTGTGTAACACAAAGGCTGAGAGTCTTCTGGCTAGCAAAGGCATCGATCTGAGCTTGATTCTCAGCACTCCCTGTCCTTCGGTTTATAGAAAGAGAACTCCCTTTGTGTTGCTAATAGCATGATCTGCCAATGCGGTCTCATTCAATTATTGTTAAATAATTGGTGGGGAAATATGCCTAGATTCTCCATCCACATACAGATAATAGTCACAAATTAATCACCATCTTGTGTCTTGTACTACTTTATGAAGAAATACATTTATGTACTTTATTTATAAATTTTGGTTTAGCTGCTGTCCAATCTGTTCCCTTAGACACAGACTTCAAGATAGAGATTTGTATATAGGACATTTATTGGGGAATGCTCCTGGCATTAAACACCTATGTGAGGGAGGAAAAGGATGCAGGATTGAGTCAAGGGAGAATGTGAGCAGTGATACAGTCCAAAGAAGACCTTAAGCTAACTTCATGGGGAGCCATGGAGTCAGGATAGGCCTTCATAGTTATTCTCATTTGGGTCAAGGTCACCAGGCCTTTATGTGCCTTCTGAGGATCGATCAATAGATGAAGACTTTCACAGATGGGTGTCTGACCTTCAGCAAGGCAGCTTTGTGGGCTGACACTAAGGGCCATCTTTCATCAGAACTCCTAGGAGTTAGAGGAGTATGTTTCATTCCTAAAAATGATCTAGGTAATGCATCAATTATAGTCACTAAATTTTGATTTGCTTGTGCTCTGTGATTATTTCCTCTATTATCTCTCTATGTATCTGTGCAACGATCTATTTTAAAGTATTAAGGGGAGATAAGGAGATGTTTATAGCTAAGAAAACTTAGCAACACTGTAAGGACTTTGTAATTATAATTACAAGAAATGCACAATGTGATACATAAATTTAAAATAATATTTACATTTTTAACAAACAACATATTGATTTCATGTTCAATGCTACATATATACTTTCTTAAACTATGTCAATAATAATACAGTGTTCAAATAAACCAGCTCATGGTCAAAGTTTTCTTTTTTAAAAATAGATAGATGGACTCAAGATTACTTAAGCTACAGCTTGGAAAGAGATATCCTTAAGATTCATTAGATGGCTACTGCAGTAAATCATTTTTTTTCCAAAAAAAAATAAAAAACAAGAAGAGACATAAGAAAGAAAAATGGAAAATAATGACATAGCTGTAGGATTTTATATGATACTGAGCCAAAAGAAAGACAAAATAATATCACAGAATGACAAATGATACTGGATGCAGGAATATAGAAATACAAAAGTTTTGAGATTAAAAATGGAAGCTTAAATATATCAGGTAGCATATTAAGAAAATAAAATCTTTCATCAATTCTATGATACGCTATTTCATATTTTATCACCTCTGAAATTAGGATTGAATTTAGAATTAAGGGTCATTAAACTGGACCCTTTGTTTTCCTTTCATGGTGATACATAAAACAATATGTCTTATAATAGATGACATCTTGGATTTGATGAAATATGTTATTAGCTCCAAAACTGATAGAGGAAAAAACAGACTGAAAGGGTCTGATAAACGTATGAATGACTATGTTGATACTCCTAATATTCGTCTGTTGGTCAGTTGATTATAATTCAGGATATAGTTTTCCATATAAGAATTGCTACAAAATAATTGTTACAATTCCACGTGCCTCAAATATTTATATAGTTTAGTTATACTTATATTAATATTATTCTTTATCATCATTTTTATGTGCGAATATATCACATATATCAGTTGGGAAAGGAAAAAATGTGTATCTCTGTCCACTGCTGTTCCAGGTTTTATCGGCACTACACCATTTTTCCCTCTCGGTCATGGCACTGAAAAAGGACTTTTGCTATACTCCTACTTCTACGTCATTAAAAAAGCGTTGACTTTTCGACGTAAGTGAAAGTTATGAATTTGACAAGTATTATTTGAGAATGATACAATAAACTCCTATAATACCTATTCAAAAACTGTGATTAAGCATAATTTTATTAAAATTATTAATGCCTCATGAACTTTCCCAATGTGCTTTTATTTTTACTTCATTCTATATTTTCAAATATGCCTCTATACAGTATTGAATTTGCAAAACATAAATTATCACTCATATTGTAGAACCAAAGAAAATGATGATTTCTCCATTTTTTGGTCTTACAATGTTTTATTTTAAATTCAGTTATGATTTCAAACAAGTCTTTTTCCTCTCTTAATGTTTCTAATATAAATAGGTGGGAATCGTTTTCAGCATCTGGTTCACATAGTACATATTTTATCTGACATTTCTAAATGCAATTTTAAGGACATAAATAAAGACAACCTTTAGCTTAAAATATTGTAGCTTTTATTAATCTTATTCCCAACTGATATGACACTTGAACCATGGAATAAAATAACTTAGCAATTTTCCTAATAAATTAATTTTAAACAATTTTAGATGTTTTTGGAAACATTACAATATTTCAAACCACCACATAGATATAGAGAAGCTTAGTAAATATTTATGTTTACAAGTTATTTTGTAATTAAAGTTTTGAAAATATACAGGGAGCAAATAGATGGTACAGTTTTTACAATTTCTTGAAAGAAGGTGGCTTTTTCTCTGTTTTATTTAAAGGCATGCTTACCCATAGTGTTACAGAAAACAGGCAAGTCAGTCTAGTGAGGTAGAGTCCTTTTACTCTAAATTCTAATTTACTAAAAACAGCTTAAAATTGTCCTTCAAGCATTACACAATGTAGATATTAAGACTATATACTGGAATTAAAACTACTAATATGTAAACTGGCTTCTATGTTTCAAAACAAGAAAAATTCTGAGCTCTCAGGCACAATTTAAAAAATATTTCAGCAGTGTCAAGCTGTGAAGCATCTACAGCTCATCTGCATATCCTAATTTTCATCCAAGTTTTTATGGTGCTGACCATCTGGATGAATGAATGCTACAGATGACTACCCAGGTCCTTTCAACAGAAGCTAAAGTTATGCCTGCTGCTATGAAAAAGTATATTTTGGTTTAGCCTTAGGAAGTCCATTTGTCAACATGCTGGAAAGTGGAAATGTGCCTGGGTATGTTGAATATAGAATTTCTCCTCTACATATTAACTTATGTTTCCTTTAGCCCTGTGAACAAGAGCATCAGTTCCGTTCCTGATAATTGGTGAAAAAATTACAGAACTAAGATCGGAGTAAGAGTTCTTGGATTGGTTTAGAACTTAACACTTCTCTGGGTGGTTGTTGTTGATTTTTGCAAATCTCAAACTCTATGAACTCCAATGTCTTCACATTTCATGGGGATAACAATAGCTAACAAGACTGTTATACAAATCAAACCAAATAATATAAGTAAAACAGAAGCAGAAGCTGTTTATAAATATCGATAACCTTAATATACTCTTATAAGCCTGATCAAGAAAATAGAGAAGCATTTGTTACAACTAGATGTAGCCATATGCAATGGACTGAATATTTGTGTCCCTCCCAAATTCATATGTTGGAATCTTAATGTGACAGTATTAGGGACTTTGGGGAGGTGATTGTGTCATAAGGGTAGAGTCCTCATGATAGGAATTAGTGCCTCTATAAAAGAGACCCTGGAGAGTTAGCTTCTTTCACGATGTGAAGATAATAGTGCAAATACAGCCATTTACGAACAAGGAAACAGACCCTCGCAAGACACCAAATTTGCCTACACCTTGATCTTGGGCTTCCCAGCCTCCAGAACTATGATAAATACATTTCTGTTGCTTATAAGCTATCCAATTTATGGCATTTTGTCATAACAGCTTGAACAGAGTACAACAGAAACATTCCCCCCCATCCCCACCCCCCCTGCCTCACCAACCTCATTCTCAGATCTGAATTACACCACTGGTGATGCTATTCTCCGGCTGGCTGACAGTATATCTTGATCTTCCATAACAAGTGAGCCAATTTCTACGATAATATAATCAGTCTCCATATATATGTGTCCGTGTGTGCGTATGTGTGTGTATGTATATGTGTGTACATACATATATACACACATGCGTGCACACGCGCACACACACACATACTGTATCCATATGCTATTGGCTCTGTTTCTCTGAAGAATCTTGACTAATACATTATATAACAAAGTTTGTCAATGGGAGGAAAGCAAAACTGGTATTTAATGTCTACAAAAATGAATACAAGAAAATGTGTGCTTTTTTCTCATTTATCCTTTTTTTTTTTTTTTTTTTTTGGAAAACAGAGTGTCGGTCTGTTGCTAGGCTGCAGTGCAGTGGCACAATCTTGGCTCACTGCAACCTCCGCCCCCTGGGTTCAAGTGATTCTCCTGCCTCAGCCTCCTGAATAGGTAGGTCTACAGGTGCCCGCCACCATGCCCGTCTAATTTTTGTATTTTTAGTAGAGAAAAGGTTTCTACCATGTTGGCCAGGATGATCTGGATCTTTTGACTTTGTGATCCATCCGCCTCGGCCTCCCAAAGTGCTGGGATTACAGACATGAGCCACCGTGCCCGGCCCTCATTTATCTATTTTTATGTTAAAGGAACACGAATGTGATGTATGCAACCGGAGCACTCATGTTGAACAATGGGATGTCATCAATGTGTTGAAGATGGTGGAACAAGATAGAATGAGCCAGTGTTTTTTAGAGGTGGAGGGGACTTTCTATCACTTGCAGCTAGACCCAATGTTAACTGAACCACATCACTGAAGCTCCCTTTTTCTTGTCATAAAACTTCTACCAAAAGAAGTTATAAGGAAAATAAAATCAAACCTTTGCCATCTCAGGGTAAATCTGACTTACTGAATAATTACTTTAAAATTGTATTTTTGCTGGGTGCAGTAGTTCATGCCTGTAATCCCAGCACTTCGGGAGGCTGAAGTTGGGGTATGGCTTGTGCCCAAGAGTTTGAGACCAGGCTGGGCAACACACTGAAACTCTGTCTCTACAATAAATAAATAAATAAATAAATAAATAAATAAATAAATAGGCCGGTGCAGTGGCGCATGCCTGTAGTCCCAGGTCCTAGGGAGGCTGAGGTGGGAGGAACATTTGATCCTGGGAGGTTGAGGCTGCAGTAAGCCCTGAACTTGCTATTGCTCTCCAGCAAGTGATAGAGAGAGGCCCTGTCTCAAATAAAAAAAAGAAAAAGGGGATGAAAATTTCCCAAATCAAGCACAAAGAATTAAAAGTGAAATTACCTGAAAAGAACAGTCAACAACCCCTAGAAATTAGGATAAAGCATCAATTGATTTGTATTTCGGTACAATTGTAGTATAGTAAATAATTTCAAATAATCAGAACAAAGTGGAAATATGGAACGATGAATGACTACCCTGCTGAAAAGATGCATATTCTTTGTGTATTAGGTTGGAACTAACATTGTCTTGGTTCAAGAAAGTATAATTCTGATATTGTTGTCCATTAGTCAGTCAGCCTGGTTTTTCATCCATAATCAACTAGTAGTACTAATTTATTACTCCCTAAATTAACCTAAAGAGTTATCTAAGTCAAATAGTAAAAAATCAGACACAGCAGAGATGTGAAGTGTAGTGTATTTGCATGTAAACATCAAACCAGAAAAAGCAGCTATAGCACCGTAATATCTCAGTGAGTTCACCTTACTAAAAGGCCACAAAAATGACTAAAAACATTCTGAACACACTGTCTTTCAACCTTTTACCTTTGAGCTAAAAAATTTCATTAAAATTCATACATGGCTTTTGAAAAGCACATGCACATAAACTAAATGTTCACACACACATACAAACACTCTAACCTTGAAGTCTAAACTTTTATGAATCTATTTTTGCTGTTAGATATGTGTTTACAAATTCCACTGATACCAGTGGGAAGAATATGTATTACATGTAAAAATTCAGCAACTGTCATTGCAAATTAAAAGTGATATAAATATATGTATATTAATTATCATATACACTCATATATATATATATATATTTATTTATTTTTTTTTTTGAGATGGAGTTTCATTCTTATTGCCCAGGCTGGAGTGCAATGGCGTGATTTCGGCTCACTGTAATCTCTGCCTCCTGGGTTCAAGTGATTCTCCTGCCTCAGCCTCCCAAATAGCTGGGATTACAGGTGCCCACCACCCTTCCCAGCTAATTTTTTGTATTCTTAGTAGAGAGGGGTTTCACCATGTTGGCCAGGCTAGTCTTGAACTCCTGACCTCAGGTGACCTGTCCACCTCGGCCTCCCAAAGTGCTGGGATTACAGGCATGAGCCACTGCGCCCAGCCTATTTATTGATATTTTAACTATCTCCATTTCAACATATAAATCCTATTACTGAATATACCATTTAATCAAATGATAAATGAGGTTATTTAGATTTTAAACAAATGAGCAAATTTAATAGATATATGTCAATGGTTACATTTAACAGAATATATATATATATATATATATATAATATTATATACATAATCTCTCCAAATTAAATGAGTGCCAAATTTCTATAACTAAAATAATACTAATTTAAGTTAAAAAGTGAAAGTAATTTGAGCATTCTTAATACTCATTAGTTTATTTAAGAATATAGCTGCATGAGTTCTGAGTGACATATAGTTGCTTAATAATCAGATCTAAGCTTCATAAACAACTATCCATCACATTAATTCTTTATTACAGAAAATCTCACCTAATTAGTATGCCAGTGGGAACAGAAATATAACACTTAAGTCGTTGTTCCAGTTATCAAAAGTCCATAGGAAAATATTATGTTAGCTGGTAATCACTTTTTTCCTGAATTTTTTAAAAATAGAAAGCAGTATTAGATATTAGAATAAATCAGTCCTATTTAACAATCTTAGTACAAAAGAAAAAATGAACTGAAGAGAATTCCATATTTTTTCTTAAGAACATGACAAGTAAAACAATACCAGTCGTTATAATCAATATGTATGAACACAAATATAGGTAAGATGTGCCATTTCTGAATTATTTTTAAATGATCAAAACTTGGGCCAATCAATTTTCTTTTAAATTCAGAGGAATTAAGGAATGAAGACCAAATATACCTCCACAATATTCTACTATATGGAAGAGAATCTCACATTTCACTTTCGAATACTAAAAGATGTTTCTATGTATTTAAAAGTGTTCTATAATAGTTTCAAGTGAAAAATGTTTTACTCATTTTAATTACATTTAATATATATTTGTTATATTAAAAAATTTGGAGATCACTGAACCAGAAAAAGGTTTTCACATTTTAGACGGCTTAACAGAATCCGAGATTATATTTGCCTATCTGAATGAATAACTCTCAGTAATTGCTAAGGCTTCTTTCACCAGACGAAGAACCATTACTTAGCTCATTTGAGTCAATAACCCTTGAAATACTTTATTTAGCAGCCTAACATTAAAAGGGCTTCCTTTTTTTGACAATGTGCAATCCCCATGATGTTCATATTTTGGTGCTATTATTGTTGGTCTTCACAACTGATATTTGATGTTATGAATATAATACATCCCTCTAATAATCTACAATTTATTATCAGGGTGATTTTGAAGTTTAAATAAATATTTCATATCATGTCATATTGAAAATAATCTTGCATCTTTATAGGCTTATAGTATTTTGAATATATTAAGCATTTATGTACAAGCATCCAGATAGTTTCTTACTGAGACAAAAGTCTCATTCCAGAAATATATCTTCCAGATTTATCGTATTATTTAATGATTTTTATGTTCTTGGACAACATACAAGATGTATTAATTTATGCATTCAAAAACTATTTTTCTAGGTACTATGAATATTAAAAGAACATATGTAATATGGAACCTGTTGATAAGAATTTCATATTTAAATATGGAAGCTATATTTAAATTTTCTAAAAGTATAGTGAATTATGCACTAGGCACTACACTGAGATAATAAATCAAATATTATGCAAATGCAGAAAGGAAGTATGCTGGTTAAGTTAAAATTATAGTATTATACACCTGGAGTTGTATTCTGTTCTGACCATATACGAGCTATGGGCTGCAATTTTCTCATTTGTGAAATAAAAATTATAAGAGAAACCACCTCATAGGGTTGTTGGAAGCTTTCAATGAGATGAAGGCATGCAAGTGCTTATCACAGAGACTTTTACAGAAAAAAGCTAAATAAATTGTATGTATACTCAAATTTTCCTGGATGAACGAAGAAAAGCTTCCTAAAAGTCTCAGCACATGACTTGGTAGGCTCTAGCTCTTGCACTATGACTGGAATGAATGAATGAACGAATGAATGAATGAATGTGCCTCTGGTTGAGAGAGGGTATTTCAGCCTAAGGGACTGGTTAAACCAAAAAGGACAGAAACATAAAAAAATAAGAGAAACAATTAGAAGTTTTGTGAGGCTGTAATATAGAAGGAAAAATGCACTGTGGATAAGTTCTAGTCATTTACATACTTTCAGTTGTACTGGTCAGAAAAACAGAGGCAGGACTTGGGCTCAATTTAGGAGATACTAGGAAATAACTAAAGATAAGGTAGTGCAATCATAAGTTCTAAATTCAGTACATCCTAGAGAAATCAAATAAAACTACAGAGTAAATGGATAGGACATGCCCTCCTCAAGTCTTGCCCTATCTAATGAGGGTTGTCTAAAGAATGGAATAAGAGGAGCTTGATAAAGTTTTCCCACTCCCACTTACTGTATAAATATCTCTCCCTCTGAATCAAAGATTCTACAGTTATTATTCCACAAAATTTTACATCTGAAAGAAGCTTCATAAGTTATATAACCCCAAATTACAGATGACTTTCAGTTACAGCTCCCTGTAATTTTCCTTCTTTGCACTTGCCACATTTTAAAGTTATATGTTTCTGTGTAATTTATTAATCTCTATCTCTGTCTACTAGACTATGAGCATCATGAGTGTAAGTAATGTGTTCTTTTCTGCACATCATTGTATCCTATGAAATAAGCACAGTGCCCAGCACTCAAGAGGTGAATATTAATTGAATGAATGAATAAATGAAGGAGTATATTATAGATGAAAAAACTGAGGCCTAGAAGTTTTTGTGCTTTGTTTTAGTTAACATGGCTAGTGAGTGGCAAAATTTGAACCTAAAAGCAGCTCGCTTGATTCCTATCCTACTGCCTTCTCCCATCTTCACTATATCACTGTTAGGTAATCATATCCCTCCCTGACACCTCTTAGCAATGACAAGTACTTCCTTAAGAGACCTTACTAGATGTCTCTGAAACTTTAATGCGAATGACTGTATCAAGTTATTTAGTCTGTGGTTAAACATACTCAGAGAATATCTGAATTGGGAGATTTTAGTAAGGGGTGTAGCAAGCTGTATACATGGTGAAAGACAATATTAAATACCAGCTTGGTCCATTTCTCAATTTGACCTAGAACTATATTCAGGATCTCCATCCTATGATTGTGGAAATAAAATGTGTGAGCCCATTTTCCAACCAAAAGAAGAATGAGTTTCTATTTGTCTTCTCCACTCTTCCAGGTTAAGAGTTTATTTGAACAGCAAGGACTGGATTAAGCATGGAGGGTGGCAGGTGGGGGAAGAAAGGAAAGAGATCCTTAATAGTCTTTCCCTTGGAAATTGACAGCTATTATTATGCACACAATTCAGTAACTATTTGATGATTCTTAAGAAGATGACAGTAAGGGATGACATTAAAATGAAAAAGAATAATAATGTTATTTTAATTCGAATGTCATTTTTATGAATATATTAACTTATGTAGTAGAGCTTACTTATTGCTTGTGGTCATATAAGAATCCACATTCCACATAGAGAAATTTGTTATTTCTTCAACAACAATGCCATCTTAGAGATAAAATAAGTTACATTATCTGAGGACACACAAAAAGTAAAACTGGAAGAAAGGAAATCTTCAATCTTTTATCCTGATATTTTGTTTCTTCAGCAAAACTTTTCCCTGGATTATTCACTGATAAGAATGAACACTGCTACCATACATGACAAAATTTTATGCTTTCAAAACAACAAAACCACAATTAGAAAAAACAAAACAAAACAAAAAACAAAAAAAAAAAAACTAATGGGTCATCCTGAGGGAGACTTTACTCTTATTTAGTGCCTTGTTGTTAGAGTACCATATAAACTATCACTTAATTAAATGTTTTCTTAACCAATTTTTGCATTAATTTCAAGCTTAATTTTCTTCACTCAAACACAAAAGAAATGGTAACCAAAATCAAGCTGCAATCTAAAAATTAAAATGTATGCCTCAATATTGGAATACGGGATTATGGAGTGTATGTCTTACCATTGTTATAAGTGGTCAGTTGCTTCATTGTAGCAATTATTTTATCTAAAACACAAAGTATGCTATGAATTTCTTTTTAAAAGGTGACCTGAAATCAATTAAATATCAATACCCCATGATTTTAAAATCTTGGATCAATATTTCTATATTATAGAAACAAATTAATTATGCTGAATTTTCTAGTGATGTCTACTTATAATTAAAATATTTAGTATTAACTGATAAGGAAGAAAACTTTAGAAACTGATTGTATCTATGTGTGTCTTCCTCTCTCACTACCTTCTTCCATCCCTTCCTGCCTGCCTGCCTGCCTCCTTCCCTCCCTCCCTCGCTCATTCTCTCCCATCCTCCCTCTCTCCTCCCTTCCTTCTCTTTCTTCCTTTCCTTTAGTCTTTTTCATTTTTTTAGAGATAGGTTATTGCTATGTTTCCCAGGCCGGAATGCAGTGGCTGTTCACAGGTGAAATCATAGCACATTAGAACCTCGAAATCCTGAGCTTAAGTGTTTATCCTGCTTCAGCTTCAAAAGTAGTTGGGACTACAGGCACATACCACTATGCCCAGCTCTCTCTGTTTGTCTTTAAAAAATAAATGTAAAAACTAGATATACAAAAGTAACTGTTAGAATTCGATAGAAAAAAAAGAAAAATATTGTCCCATTTTATTTTAATAATAGTGGCATTTGTTAATTGCCTCCCAGCAAAAACATTCCCTCCCATTTCATTAGCATTATTTTGGAGGGAAGTTCTTTCCTAGGTTTGATTTTTTTTAATGGACTTTATTTTTTAGGGTAGTTTCAGTTCACAGCAAAATGGAGTGGAAAGTACAGTGGGTTCCCATATGCCCATTTTCCCTCTACATGGATAGCCTCTCCACTATCAACGTTCTGCCCCAGAGTGGTATATCTGTAAGACTTTGTGAATCTACACTGACTTCATTATCAACCAAAGAGCATAGTCTTGAGGTTCATTCTTGGTGAGCATTCGGTGGGCTTTGACAATGTACAATAACCTGCATCCACCATTATACCACAATACAGAATAGATTCATTGTCCTCAGAATCCTCCTGTGTTCTGCCTGTTCCTCCAGCTTCTCTACTAACTCCTGGCACCTACTGATCTTTTCATCGTCTTCATAGTTTTCTTTTTTTTTCTTTTACAGGAAGTAACATATTTGAAATTATAGAGCACATAGCCTTTACAGCAATATTTTAAACACTCCTTTGAAAGGTCTACCCATCCCCATTTTCAGCTATGGGGTGTGGAAGGAACTGACTTAAACTTTCAGCTCTACAAAATAGGCCCCTGATGTTTTAAGCAAATGACTCCATCACATACCCTAGGCACAGATGCACAAGTTATTCACATTCTCCACTTATCAGCATGGCTCCCTTCTCAGGGTTTTATTTAAATCTTACCTTCTTGTTGCAGCATTCTCTGAACATTGCACTTCAAATTCTAAAATTGCAAACGTTTCTCTAGAACCCTTAATGCTCTTTCCTGAATTATTTTTCAACTGTAATTGATCACCAATCAAAATACATTATGTTTTACTTATTTTTTGTTTTTTGCTATGTATCCCTGTATTAGATAGCAAGTTCCATGAGGGCTGGGATTTTTGTCTAGTTTGTTCATGGCTGCACCCCAGAGCCTCTTTTACTGCCTGGAACATGATATTTGCTTAATACTGATGTGTTGAGTAAAGGAATTAAATATTTACAAAAATGTTTACTGTGGTTCTAATAGTATTTGCAAGGACTAATAGAATTTAAGAAAATTTTCTAAATTAGTGACCAGGAAATAACACCTACCTTCAGAGAAACTCATGTTGGATTATTTGAATGGAAAAATGAAAAGAAAAACTGATTGTATATGAACTAAAATATCTGTTAAAAGTCACATGCTACTAAGATTACAAAGTGATAATGCAGCACATTGGAATGATGGAAACGATTATAAAAGTGAGTATTAAATTAAATGAAAGCAACATAATGATTCAGGTTAGGACCTTTTTGGGAATGGTCTGACAGATTTACAGACAAAATGAAAACGTGAGACACTTGTGAACTGAGCACATTTTCAAAGCTCAAGTTTTCATAAAGCTCATTTTAGGTATCTTCCCGCTGATTGCCCAAAGAGGTTAAAAAATCCAAGTGATTACACCAGATTATTTTGTATAAGCAGGACTGCTTCAATAAAGGTAATATGTTTTTATTAGACAGAAATGCATGTAATGCATAATTATGGGTATATGCGCATATATATATACATATGCAGATATATAGATAAATACACAAAGATTAGTATTTGTTATAACAGTGTCTGGGAAGGTTTAGTTCTGCAGGAAAAAGTCTGCAATATTTGTAGTACTAGCCTTGAAAATGTTTAAAATAATATTCCAGAGTTAATATTGTTGTCCCTGGTATGTGAAAGAGTATTTGTTATCATAGCCAATTATTGAGTCTGCTTAGTTTGTAGTTTTTGTTTTGAAAATGTTTTAAACAAGTTTTTCTTACTACCCTCAGTTGCAATTGTCAAACTAGGTGTGTTCTGCACATTTATTTCTTTGTTCTTTTAATCAGTTCTCTGAGGAAAAGCATCTGCTGTCTTTCCATATTCCCTATTATGTAATGCTACTGAATACTACAAATAATGTAATCAGGAACTAAAATAAATTATAAATATTAGTATTTCGCTCTTAAAATTTATGTTTCTTAAGAAATGTGATTCCGGCCAGGCGCAGTGGCTCATGCCTGTAATCCCAGCACTTTGGGAGGCTGAGGCGGGTGGATCACCTGAGGTTGGAAGTTCAAGAGCAGCCTGACCAACATGGAAAAACCCTGTCTCTACTAAAAATATAAAAATTAGCTGGGAGTGGTGGTGTGCACCTGTAGACCCAGCTACTCGGGAGGCTGAGGGAGGAGAATCGCTTGAACCTGGGAGGTGGAGGTCACAGTGAGCAGAGATTGCACCACTGTACTCCAGCCTGGCGACAGAGTGAGACTCTGTCTCAAAAAAAAAAAAAAAAAAAAAAGAGTGATTCCCAGAAACAGGACCTCTGATCAAGAGCCTACACCTGCAACACTGAAAGCTTACTAGAGCAAAATGTCCTCACTGGTAACTTCAACAGCAGTAATTTATCATAAATCACCTACAAAAATAGTGTATGATTATCAACCATATGATATTTATAGCAATTTCGATATTATAATGAACATATTTGAATTACTAGTTACACGTTAGTGACACTAATCATGACTCATTATTGACAAAACTATCAATTAATATGCTTTGTCAAGAGGGTGATATGGTTTCTGTGGATGAGCACAAGACAGACTGTATGACACCAGCCTCTCCTGAATTTGTAAGGACGTACATGGCATTGCTCTGATTTTTTACACTATCTATTGTTTTGCACGTTGTTTGTTTCTTAGAGATTTCTGTTAAGTATCCTTAAGGTGCTTTACAAAATTAAAAATGAGAGAGAACAAAAGAAAAAGGTAAAGGTGAACCTGATTCTTTTCTAGATTACTCCGTTGTGTGGAATATTGAGTGCCCAAATTTATTCACAACATGAATGAATACTTTGTTTACCACATGAACTCAGATAACCTGTTAGGCTTACTGCTATCAGCACTTGTGCTGCAATTTTTGTTTTGCTGAGTAGGCAGTGCTATAACTTTGGTTATTTGATTTGGTGTCTGGTTTCCTTTATAATAAGTGTTGTTCCGGTTGATCTGATATTTCTTGCATCTTGAATTTGTTAATAGATTTATTTAAAATCACATGAGTCATTTTGGGATATAAGGTCGTGTTATATTTATTATGATACATTTTAAAAATTATATTTTTTACTTTTTAAAGTATTTATTAATCATCCAATCTAAAATATTTAAACTTTTATTTCAATGCATATGTCATAACTTTTAATGTAAAGATAGTTGCAAAAGGCTTATGGCAACACAAACAAATCATTCAGTACACTGAATTATAGAGTGATTAAAAAAACACATGGTTAGAGATTAGAAAATTTGAGTTAGAGTTATTTCATTTTACTTCAACAATGTGCTGGATAAGCTGTGTGGTTCTTAGGAAGATTCATCTTAAACATAAACAGGATAGATAAATTCTAAGGCTCTCCAAATTCTATAACTCTACAATTACTTAGAATATTATGACTAGGCCGGGCACAGTGGCTTACACCTGTAATCCCAGCACTTTGGGAGGCTGAGGTGGGGAACCATGAGTTCAGGAGTTTGAGGCCAGCCTGACCAACATGGTCAAACCCCGTCTCTACTAAAAATACAACAATAACAACAACACAATTAGCCAGGCAAGGTGGCGCGGATCTGTAATCCCAGCTACTCCAGAGGCTGAGGCAGGAGAATCGCTTGAACCCGGGAGGCGGAGGTTGCAGTGAGCCAAGATTGCGCCACTGCACTCCAGCTTGGGCGACAGAGTGAGATGCTGTCTCAAAAAAAAAATATATATATATATATTATTACTTAACCTCAGTATAGCAAAACTATAGGCAGGATGCAGGAGTTATGTTCAAAACATGAAATAATAGAATGGCATTTACCCATCAGAACTACAGTGATAGAAACAACAGTATAACTCTATAAGAACATATTTGTGTTCTTTTATATTTTATTTATGTATTTTTTTATGTATTTATTTACTGAGACAAGATCCCCCTGTGTTGCCCAGGCTAGAGCGCTGTGATACCATAACTCAGTGATCCTCCCACCTCAGCCTCCTAAGTAGCTGGGACAACAGGTGTGTGCCACTGTGCTTTTTTTTTTTTTTTTTTTTTTAATGTAGAGACAGGCTCTCACTATGTTGCCCAGGCTGGTTTTGAACTCCTGCACTAAAGAGATCCTCTTGCCTTGGCCTCCCAAAGTGCTGAGATTAGGTCTGAGTCACTGCACCCTGCCAGAGCATAACTGCATAATATGGAAGAAATGCCCTTTATGGCAGAATAAACAAAATGGCACACTGAAAAGAAACAGTGAATATCTCTTTCCAAAATATTAGGGGATTCTCAAACTCCTAGAAAGTTTTCACCTGGTGAGGTATAAATCTAAAAAGTTTTGGACAATCTTTTCACTAACTTTCTATACTCAGAACTGTTTTATGTAACAGATTAGTGTAACCTGGGTCTTTCTTTGATGGCTAATTAAATTAATTTGGAGCTACTCCTATTAATCATCATAGATGAAATCAT
The DNA here is from genome assembly GCF_000001405.40 of Homo sapiens. Lineage (NCBI taxonomy): Eukaryota > Metazoa > Chordata > Mammalia > Primates > Hominidae > Homo > Homo sapiens. The sequence continues at coordinate 72,088,184 of NC_000001.11, forward strand.
AGAGCAGGAAGATAACCTGTTAGTGTGGTCCCTAGACCAGCAGTAAGAACATCACCTACAACTTGTTAGAAAGGCAAAGTGTCAGCTCTTACTCAAAGTGTCAGACCTACTGAAATCAGAAACTTTGGGGGAGTGAAGCAATAATCTGTGGTTCAAGAAGATCTACAGGTGATTTTCATAAAAACTAAACTTAAAAATTTACTATTCGGGCTATCACAGTAGACGACCATTACGAGTGATTAAGAGGGTAGGTGCTCATATGGTGCATTTCAGAAATAAAGAGCCTTATTCACCTCAGATTTTATACAATAGGAAAGAAAATGTAAGTAACTTTGTTCAACCAGCAAGTAAGAAGTAGAGCCAGGAGAACCCAGATCTGCCTTAAATAGGAGTTCAAATAGGAGTTCAAATTGGTACTCACCATTCTTCCCGTTAAAATAGCAAAATCAAGGATACTAGAATAATGTATAATGTGTTCAACACTAAATCGTACCTTCGAATTTATATACAGTTTTAAAGACACTGACCCTAAGGAGATTTTGTTTGCTTTAAAAAATGGAAACATACAATGATAAGACTGTAAAACAATGTATAATGTAGTTCTCTCTCTCTCTTTTTTTTTTTTTTTTTTTTTTTTTTTGAGACGGAATGGACTCTCACTCTGTCATCCAAACTGGAGTTCAGTGGTGCAATCTCAGCTCACTGCAACCTCCGCATCCGGGTTCAAGTGATTGTCCCTTCTCAGTGTCCCAAAGTGCTGGGATTACAGGTGTTAGCCACAGCGTCTGGCCTATACAATGTAGTTTTAAAAGGAATGCTTTACCAAGAAGCAGTATTAACAGAGCCATGCTTCTCAAACTTTGATCAATCCCGTAGTAAATCTTCAAAACTGCAAATGTTGAATCATTAGGCAGAGGTGGGGTACAGATTCTGCTTTTCTAACAAGCTCTTAGAGGATGCTGATCATCCAATGGACCATCCAATGTTTTGCCAAGACCCATACTTGTATAAAAAGCTTGAGATGGCCACCTCTGGAGCCATGATGGAACCACTAGCTACCACTTATAACAACCCGAGTTTGAGTTAGCACCTCTCTCTGATCTCCATCTGTAAAATGAGGATAAGAATAGTGCCTATCTTACAAGGGCTGGCAGACTAAATGAGTTAATACGTTCAATATGCTTAGAACAGTGGCTGACTCATGATAAACATATAATAATTTTTAGCTAATAATTTTTTAAAAGCATTACCTATTACCACAAAGCTTATGTCATTTCCAAGCATGATCATAACTGTGATTGATTAATTCGTATAAAGTAACACCAATATTATATTTGAAGCAACACATCCTGTAGAAAAAAGAGTTAATTTTTAAATTTGTAAAATAATAGCATTTATTCTTTTAGGAAATATGTTTGATTTCTGGGTCAAATCACATATCTTGGTACTTACATTTGTCCTCATCAATGATAACATCAATAACTTCTATATAAACCTTTTATTTTTCCTGATAGTCTTCTTTCCTTTCTTTAATTCCATCTCATTAATTATAGCCTATGTCTACTTGGGGCACTTTAAATAATTTCTTGCCTTGCAGACAAAAGATTAAATTATGGACTATTAAATATATGTAACTAATTAATCAGTGATTAATTTTAAATTTTGTTGAGATAAGAAATACTGAGTCACACCTCACTTCAGGGATTTGTGGTACGGAGATTTATATAATTTCTTAAATAGAAAAATGATTATATTTTATGAGCCTTTTAATCATGTAAGTGGTCAAAATGGAAATAAAGATTGGAAGTTAGGGATTTGCCAGATGACTAACAGCTTGTTGTTAGATTTTAGTCTTTGTCAAAAAAATTAGATAAAAATATGACCTCATTTCTGATTGCTCCAAATAACTAGTTCACATTTTCTTAGTAAGAAGATAGTTGGGTATTCATTTCTTAAATATACCTATGAGCAGAAGTTCCTGTAGATTTAATCATTTCCCCTGGGCTATTGACACACAGAGTCATTTAGGCATATTATAATCATTATATTAATGGAATGACTTAAGGCAAAACGTCCACCAAAAAGTAATTCTGTATCTAGGTGATGGGGGCCAGGGAGGATCAAAACAGAAAAATATCTAAAATTTTCCAACTTCAGTTTATAAAATAATTCTTTTTTTCTTAAAAAAAAAAAAAAAAAGAGCTCCCACTATAGAAATAAAGACTAAAGTAGCGAAGATTTCTTTTGTAATTAATATGTATGGGAATTTACACAGTTAATTTACATTCACATTTACAGGAATTACCTCTAACCCACATATTGACAGAAAAGGCTCTTTAATTTTATGAGTTCAAGAAACCTATCTAAGTGCCTAATTTTTTTCTCCATTGCCTTTAATTAAAATAACTCCAGGGTCATCTACCTGATAATTTGGATAATTTTTTTTTTAAACAGGAAGCAAGTTTCCTCACTGAACACATTTGCTAAGCTTCCCTAATGACAACTCTAGATTCATGAAAATTAAAACGAGCACAGTCTCGGCAGGCGTTAGGCCTACTCACATGAATTTGGGACACCTGCCTGCTTGTTTTCTCCCTGGGTAAACTAGAGAGCTGTGGGGTTTTGAGTAAGTCATGTGCCCTCTAGACCTAGTTTTCACATCTGGAAAAACAAGGGACTAGGCCAGTCTCCAAAGTGCTGTTAAGCTGATATTCCATAAAATACCATAATGTCTCCGAAAACATTTCAGGGTTCTTTTTGGGGGTACTTAATAGCTTGCAGTGTACATGCAGATGCAATCCCCAGCTATGAAGCTTTTTGTGAAAACATATATCATCACCTGCATCTGATAAATGATGATTTTTCAAATTTATTAGACAATTCCACTCCTCCAAAATTGCAAAAGATGGGTTCGGTCAGAGTTTTCCAACCCTCTAGACATTTAGACTCATTTTACTAGGGACTGGGGATGAGCATGAAGCTACTGCCTGTCCAGTAAGAGAACATGACACTCTTCAGTGTTTGAAATGATATGCACTCAGATATGTAAAGACATACATGGTCATGCACATTATATATCTACAATGATGGTGACAATGACGATATTATAGACTTCTTATTTATCAGATTCTTTTTTCTTCCTCCACCACTCTTTTTCTCTCTCTCAGTTTCCCTCCCTCCCTCCCTCCCTCCGTTCCTCCTTTCCTCCCTCCCTCCCTTCCTCCCTTCCTTCTCTCCTTCCCTCCTTCCCTCCCTCCCTAACTCCATCCCTAACTCCCTCCCTCCCTTCCTTCTCCCGTTGTATGAGACTATGAGCTTGACGTCTTCAAGTACATCACAGCCCCATAGGAGAGCCAGGAATGAATACATACTTATCCATAATAGACAAGGCATGATCATACTATAGTTGTATTCAAGTCCCATAGGACTGCAGAGTAGGGAGAACTGATTTTGCTTGGATGGAGGGTGGAAAGGACTCCAGAAACTTTACAGAGGGAGTTTACTTATCTTATTCATAAAGAATAATGAAACCTAAGATCTGTTTGCGTTGCCACAAAATACCCTAGACTATGGGACTTAAACAATAGAAACTTAATTTCTCACAGCCCTGGACACACAGAAGTCCAATATCAAGATGCCAATAAGGTAGGTTTCTTTCTGAAGTCTCTTCTCTTGGCTTATAAGAAGCTGCCATCTCACTGTGCCCTCACATAACGTGTGTGTGTGTGTGTGTCTTATTATAAGGACACTAATCCCATTGGATCAGGGCCCTATTCTTTTGACCTCACTTAACATTACTTCTTTATAATCTTATCTCCAAATACAATCACAGTGAGGGTTAGGGATTCAACATATGAATTTTGGGAAGACACAAACATTCAGTCTATAACACTGATTAAAAGGTAGACATTGAATCAGTGTAAGTGAGTAGTGGTGGGGTGGGTGGGTTCTCTGTTTTGCATAATAAAATTGTGTTCCATACAACTAGGGCGCAGGTGGTATGTCTGGAAGTGTCAGATAAATGACAGGAAAGGTAGAGACTAGCCTGAACCATCTTTCTTAGGAGGCTGGAGGGCATCCTGCACCTGCTACAATCCTTGGCAAAGTTTAATAGCAACTTTCAGTCTAGTCAATGTTCTCTCTCTACCAAACATGAAAAAATGCTTCTGAGTTGATGTGTTCCACCTCCTGTAAACAACACACTAGGAGGTGGAGAGGCATTTGGGGAAAATTTCTAGCTGAACCAGAAATTTATCTATTTATTGACTTTTTTTTCTGGAAGGAAACATGCCTTTAAAAATCATGTTGCCCTGTGATTTTCACTTATCTAGCAAAGTTTTACTTAACATGAATGACATAATCCACGAGTCAAAGGTAATCATGTTTTTCTCATTTTCAATCCACAATGAATACATTAGAGATGAGCTGTTCTTCATTGTTGTACTACAATGTATAATTTCCTTAACTTCCTTTTCTTTTTCTTTTGAGGCAGGGTCTCACTCTTTTGCCCAGGCTGGAGTGCAGTAGTATATCTTCGTTCACTGCAGCCTCGACCTCCCCAGGCTTGGGTGATCCTACCACCTCAGCCTCCCAAGTGTCTGGGACTACAGATGTGCACCACCAGTCCCAGCTAAGTTTTTGTATTTTTTGTAGAGAATAGGTTTCACCATTGTGCCCAGGCTGGTCTCAAATTTCTGGGTTCAAACTATATGCCTGTCTCGGCCTCCCAAAGTGTTAGGATTAGAAGCGTGAGCCACTGTACCTGACCTCCTTAACTTCTTATCATTATTGGTGAGTCTAATTTTACTTTGAATATTTTACAAGCCTTGTACCTACTACAAAAGTTCCTTAAAAATGAGAGACTCAAGGCTGGGTACGGTGGCTCATACCTGTAATCCCAGCACTCTGGGATACCAAAGCAGGCAGATCACGAGGTCAGGACATCGAGATCATCCTGGCCAATGTGGTGAAACTCTGTCCCTTATAAAAATATAAAAATTAGCTGAGCATGGTGGTGCATGCCTGTAGTCCCTGCTAGCTGGTAGGCTGAGGCAGGAGAATTGCTTGAACCCAGGAGGCAGAGGTAGCAGTGAGCAAAGACTGTGCCACTGCACTCCAGTCTGGTGCCAGAGCTAGACTCTGCCTCAAAAAAAAAAAAAAGATGCTCAAATGTTAGAATAAACAGCAAAAAAATTTTAGTTATTAAACTAACAATTTCACATACAAATATTCTCTCAAAAAACTTATGTAATTGGCTTCTGAGTTCTCATAGTTTTGGGGAAGAAATTATTTGCAAGTCATTAACACTCATCAATAGTTTCAAATGTGGAAAGGCAAGATTATTCTGTGGTCATTATGTTCCTGTAATGTCAGGTATTTATTATTCCAAATGCAAACTACATTTCCATATCAAAACCTAATGAGATATGAGAACTTTCTAATATTGTATTATATTGGTGATGTGCTTCTTTTTTTTAACCTAGAAATATGTTCAAAAAATAGTGAGTCTCATTTAGGCCTTACTTATAAGCCAGCATTTTACTAACACTTCAGCTTGATTAGATGGGATTTATAGATCTTGTCAGTAAATATTCTCAACTTAATGTTCTGACTTCTTAATAAACTTTTTGCAATAGAAAAGGTTAGTTAATTAGTATGCTGTTCAACCAGCAAACATTTTAGCACTTCTGGGAAGATGAACGTCTAGCTTCAAAACAGATAGGAAATCACAGATGTGATTAATTCATTTTTTAAAAAGAATTGAACAGCATAATACATTTTGTAGAATGTGTTGCTTAATGGTCAATAATAATAAGGCATCCAGAAGTAAGTATTTTGACTTATTTCATCCCTTTTCTTTACAATTTAATAATCAGTGGTGTCACTTCTTACTGAAGTAAAAGATCAGACATGGCCTTACATAGTTTATAATAGTATGTGTTGGGCGCTCTGATGCTTTCCTGATGCTCAAGTGTAGGGGAAACCAACTTAAAAAATAAGCTCACAAATGAATTCCTAATTGCACAATTAGAAAAGGGTTATAAAGAAAATTATCAGAGAACTATGTCATAAAAGAAAATGAAAGATAACACATTTATGTTTGGTGGGGGAGTATGAAGAAATCTAAGATCTCAAAGAATAAAAAGTAGGAGCCAGAGAAAAAGTGGGAAAGAGTATGGCTTACAGAGGAAATAACTTGTGCAAAGGCCCTGAACGAGGTCAGTAATGAAGTCCCTATTCTCTGTGTTCTTGAAAACTGTTGCAAAACATGTTTTTCTGTAACCAAGTCCAAGAACAGTGCCTGGTCTTTTCAACGTCAAAAACAACTGCAGATGGATATTCCATAACTTACCACCAACAGACAGTCCACCTGGAACCCTCCAATTCAGAGAGACTGGTGATTTGGGGTATAAAGATCATCCCAATCAAGTCCCTTCTCTTTACTCCCTACCACTGTCCTATGTTTTGCCTTTATCTTCATTAGCTCCCCAACCTCTGCTTGGAGCACACTTTTGTTTTGCACAGAAACCTGCTGTCTACCCAAACTGAAGATTGTTTTTAGAAAATAAAGTTCTCCTTTTGCCTCTGTAGATCTCACTGGTATTTTGTTAACACTAATTACAGTGAGTGGACCAAAAGTAATATGAGTAAATTGATCCAACAAACAAAATGTTGGATGTATACACCTTAAACATTCCAATTCATAAATAGCAAGTGCATCAAAACTCCTAAAAGGTTATATGAGAAGGTAATATAATTTCAACTGGTGATTTTCCTTTTTAATATAGCAAATTCCACTATTCTCCCCACCACTACAGTACACAAGAGAAATTATTCTACAAGTGAAGATGCTTGAAAGCTAAAACTTACAACTTAAAAATAATGAAATCTTACCGCCTAAACAGGAAGATGAAATATGATGATATGCCTAATTTTTTAACCTTGGCTTCTTATATTGTCTATATAAATATCCATTAAAATTCACATTTTAGGATATATACATACATTAGTGGTGACTTTTGATTAAAATACTGCATTTCAAATAGTTTAGTAATAGTTCATGTTTATTTTGCACTCAAACATGAATATTACTTTGAAAATCTAAAAGGATACATATTACCTGCTGCCTAATATGAGAGTACAGTCATATTTTCCTTACTTTATCAATAATTTCTTATTTGATAATTCTTTTGGACAAATTTACATTGCTTTCAAGAGTATAATTCTTTAATTATAAGAATCAAGCAGACTATGTGGAAACACTTCTATATACTAATTGATTAGTGTGATATATTTCTCTTGAATGCCTTATATTAATTATGAATCCCCTGTCCTCTACTCCTTGTTATAAAAGTCTCTGTTTGGATCATGTTATATTCTATTTTAAATGCCAAGTTTCCCACACTGCTTACATTTTTGAAAGTCGAAACCTCTCCTTCCCCATGTCATCTACATATACATATATATATTTTTTTAAACTTAAAAAGAAACTATTAGATATTTTATGTAATTCTCTATTATTTCAATTATTTCCCATGTAAGTATTTGATAAACTAAAATTTTGGAATCCACTAACTTCAAAACTACTGGCATTTTGATAGCAAGCCTTAACCCAAGCCAATCTCAGGTTAGGAATACCTACGAGGGTGAATTATGATGAAATTGGAATGGCTCTTCTTTCCCTCCAAGCTAGCCAAGAAAAGTATTTTCCTTTCTCTTTTCCTTTCCACTTTTAATCTCTGCCTTCCTCACTCCCACAGTCAATTTTCAAAATAGTGGATTAAATATTTCCTTTTTTTTAAGCTTTGATCCAAAGGGTATGATTCTTAAAGTATGATAAAGTATCTTGCTAAGACTTTACGAGGCCTCAAACCCAGTTTGTAGTACTTTTCTTCTCTCTGTGGACACATTTTTTTATACTTCAAATAAAAATCTTTAGATGATCAATTTTCCAATTAAAATTGAAAATACACCAAATAACTAGAAGTGGTGTTTGATGTTTCAAGGTGAACATGAACTTCATGTCATTTTAAATGTTTTTTAAAAGGAAAATGCTTCATTTATTCAATTCTTTGGTTTATGAAGCCCTTAGAATTTGCATAAACCAAAATTTGCGCAGAGAAGATAGTAAAGTAAGTGATTATTTATTATTTTATTACATAAGAATCTCAATAATGAATAAGAAGTTAAACTAATAGGATAATTCAGTGAAATTTGGTGTGATCTTCTGAAGTTAACTGTCAAATTTTATCTTTGTTTGGTTTTTACACTAAATGAAGGCAAAACAAATGTAATCTAATATAAAATTTCTTATTAAAATATACTTTTGTATATAGATCAGAAAATCATAGTCACTGAATAACTATTAATTACACTTTCATACATTTTTATAGCTTGACATTTCAAAAAATAACTCATTCATATAAAATAAAAATCCAGATTTTCTTGTAGTTGTATCTTTTACTTTTATTTTATTTTATTTTATTTTATTTTTTTGAGATGGAGTCTCACACTGTCGTCCAGGCTGGAGTGCAGTGGTGCGATTTTGGCTCACTGCAGCTCCACCTCCCGGGTTCACACCATTCTCCTGCCTCAGCCTCCCGAGTAGCTGGGACTGCTGGCGCCCGCCACAACGCCCGGCTATTTTTTTGTATTTTTTGTTTTGTTTTGTTTTGTTTTAAGTAGAGACAGAGTTTCACCATGTTAGCCAGGATGATCTCGATCTTCTGAACTTGTGGTCTGCCTGCCTCGGCCTCCCAAAGTGCTGGGATTACAGGTGTGAGCCACCGCACCCAGCTGTAGTTATATCTTTTAAAAGTCCATGTAACTAGATAAATATTTTGCACTTTCAAGTTTAAATTTGCAGGCAAAATAAAATTTTATAAAGTCTTACACAGTTTACTTAGTTTTACTTTTTATTTTCTCTTAAAGTCTTACTGACTTTTGAGAAGTGGTATTTTATAATGATTAAAAGTAAAGGCTCCAGAGGCTGGGTTTGAAACCCACTGCCACCACCATCTACTAGCTAATCAATATTTTAACTTGTTTAATCTCACTGTGTCTCAGTAAGGCATGGACTGTAACAATACCTATCTTTTAAGGTTGTTGTGAAGATTAGTTGAGTAATATATGAAAAGTGGCTACAACATATCTGATACACACATAAAGTATTAACTATTGTTGTCAATCTATCCAGATTATTTGATAATGTAAATTGCCTAGGAAAGACTGCCAGGCTTTCCACGTCCTGCCTCACTATTTTCCTCTATGGCACAGGACTCTGATTTGTACTTCATAATATTACCCAGGGTCAACTTTACCCCCCAAAATTTCCTTTTTAGAAAAAGAGATCTAAAATGGATTAATAGAAAAAAATATAATCTGGGCCTTAAGTTCAAAAACGTTAACCACTAAGCAAAATTTTAGACTGTTTTCTTCTGCCCCCATGCCTTCCCATTTCATGCTTCGCAAAAGATTCATAGAGTGGGAAGAATATTACATGCTGTGGTTCAGAGAAAACCAGGGAAATCATACAATTTCTCTAAGAACTGACAATGCCTTGGCTGAGAGTTTCTTGAAATTAGACAAGCTGCTTTACATATAATATTGGCCTCACGTGTTGACTCATTCTTAGGGGAAGAATGTTGTACTTACACATTACAGAGATCTCTGGGATCATTAAAATGTTTGAAAATGATCAAAGAAATCAAGAAAGTTTAAGTAATTTGGTTGATACCCCCATATCTCTTTCTGTGTGCCCTTTGCATTGGAAATGAAATCTGTTCCCTTTCTTTACACTGAAGCAAATCTGGCTCCTGGCTTAAAACCTCTGATCATAATTCTTCTCTTAATATTTGTCTGTGTTGTAGGGTCAAGAGTGACCTCCAGAGGTTTAAACACAGCTGCATAGCCCCTGTCCTATAAAATGATGGAATAATTGATCTTTTAACAGGAAAAAGAACAAGAAGCAGTGGGAGGAGAGCGAACATCCTTAGAAAATCTACCTATGACCATGACAAATCAAACAACTGTATAGACCTGGACTGATCATGTCCCCAGATCATAATAGTTTATTGTCCACTTTAGGCTGAAGAATGACTGGAAAAAAAAATTTAAAACGGAAACAACATAATTCCTTTGTCTGTAGGAAACAATACTGGAAACAGTCATATTCTCCCACCATTATGTTAAATAATACAGGGTGCAGGCCTATTTTTCTGTCCTTCTGCCAAACACGAAGGCTGTTTTTTAAAAATCATAGATGCTGGCTCTAGGAAATGCTTGTTCCTTGGAGATAAAACACATTGCTTATCAAGAATCATTTCAAGACCCTGTCACTCTCTGCTCGCCCATACAAAACTATTATGTCATAACTCTGCCCTGTCCCAACCAATTACCTACTTTGCAAGACCTACGTTAAAATCACCCACCACAGACAGTAAAATCTCTAAATACTCTTTCTCATTTTCCTATTTTGAGTATCTACAAAGAATCTCTGAACTTAGTGTTTTTCCTTACTGAACTAAATCTTAGCTTTACTTGATCAGCAAATTTTTCTAGCAGCCGTAGGAAGTCTATAGTTAATAACATCTAATAACAGGTAAACTGCAAGTAAATATTACTGTTTTTTGGACTATAAAAATTTTCTCAAAAGTTTACATCTGTGTTAAACTTCAGCTTTTCTGGATGAAGTGGCATTTCCCTCAAAAACATACAAAACTAAATAAAAAATAAAACTAAAATAAACTTTTGAGTATGATTAAGCTTATTAACAGATTTTATACTAAAATTCGCAGCAATGTAAAATTTGGAATTTAGAATATTATAATTATATTCAACTCGACTTTTAATAATTCATTTAAATTGTTATTAATTATATAATCAAATTTTATTAACATTTATTCTGAATAAGAAAATTCATAATTATTAGAGAGTATCTCTAATTTTATTTAAAAATTTATGTTTTAAAGTTTCATAGGAAAATTTCCAATATAGGGCTATTTTGAATAATAAATTTTCATAGCATTTTAAAAATTCCGTGTTATCACTCAGATTTTAAAATTCCTTGGTTATGTCTAAGAGTGAAGATGATTTTATTTCAAAGAATACAATTGCTTTTCCTATCCTAGCTTACATTCATTGTATATTTTAGTGTATTTTATTTCTTAAATATAAGTGAGATGCTTAAAAAAATATGTACTCTTCATTACTTAGTCATTATAATAGTTTTGAGCTTCTGATTTTTCTTCTTAAATGGAAAATGCAAAAATACACATGGTATTCTAGCATTTGGCCTGCTTATTTTCTAACTTGGTAATATAAAAGCATTTTTAAATGAGTAAAACACTTTTATACTCATAAATTTTCTTCTTTAGTAGTACAGAGTAAATGACTTATCACTCGCTCTGGTCCTGGTAAGTAGACTTGGTGAAAACTTTTCTCCTCACAGGTCTAATATTTATTTTGCACAGTAATTTGCCATTTCATATACATTATAACTTTGATTTTCTCACCAATTTAATTCTTTCTGATGTAGTTAGCATCTAAATTGTTTTTTAAATAATAAAATAGATTTTATTTTAAACATGTTCTACATAAATTTATTATTTTCATCTGCAAATGGTACATAAAGTACTTTTAGTTGATATAACCTTAAAAAATAAAAATTTCAATGTATACATTATATATACTCTCTCTCTCTCCATATATATATATATACACACACACACATACACATACATATGTAGAATCCAATCTTAAGTGGCAAACATTCTTATATTTAACCATTGCATGACAACTGAAATATAAACAAAACAGAAATAGTGATTTTGGCATTGCCAACATAGAAGATTGGAATTTAAATAACATAATGTCAAAAATAAAGTAATTTGATTCTTTTAAGGACTAAAGTAACTTTTTAAAATGCACTTGTAAATTCTGTCTGATTGATTTTCTGTTTCTGAAGAATAAAAAGACAGACATAGAATTGTAGCTACCACCAAAGGATCCAAGATTATAACTAAAAAACAAATCAATACTTAATTTTAAAACGTCCCCATGGAAAGTTTTAGAAATATAACATAAACTTTCTATACTAGCCCCTGCTGAGAAAACCACATACATGCATGTCCTTGTTTTTGCTTAAAATTGATTTTCTCTGATTTCAGTGCTTCCTCCGTTTTTACTATTGCAAACACCCAAGACTATCAACTCATGTACCTCAACTAATAAAAATGAACCAGCAAAAGACTTTGTTAACAATGTATTTATTCAGTGTATTAGAAAGTTCAAAGTTTTGATTCTACTCTAGAACATAGATGTTTTAGTACATAATCTGGACTAACAGTGACCACATTAATGTAACTGCAATTCATTCAATTGTTCCAGTTTTATGGAAGTAATGTGGCATAGTTTTCATCACATGCACATAAAACAGTTCTAAATTATTTGTTTATTATTTAGCAATTATTTGATGAGTGTCTCATATGATAGGGAACCTCGTCTTCTGAGGGCCAAACAAGCTAAGAGTTAAATCTTATCAATTATGTGCCTACTGTATACCTGTATTAGTTTGCTCGGGCTTCCATAACAAAATCCACAGATTGGGTGGCTTAACAACAGAAATGCATTTTCTCACAGTTCTGGAGGCTGGAAGTACATGATCAAGATGCTGGCAAATTAGGTCTCTGGTGAGGGCTCTATTCCTGGCTTGCAGATGGCTGCCTTCTCTCTGTGTCCTCACATGGCCTTTTCTTCATGTGCAAGTGAGCTCCAGTGTCTCTTCCTCTTTTGTAAGGACAATAATCCCATCAGACCAGAGCCTCGCACATGACCTCATCTAACCCTACTTATCTGTCAAAAGCCCCATCTCCATTTACCATTACACTGGGAGTTAGGGCTTGGACACAGGAATTTTCACAGGGGACGTATTGCAGTCCACAACCATTTGAAGCACAGCATATAAGTTTGACTGTGTCTTTTTCTTTGTCTCTTATAAAACATCTTTATGAGCAAGAATTCAGTAGAAGTCATCTGTGTAGTTTTCTAACAAAATCAGTAACAAAATAAAAACCTAAGATTCATCACAGTGAAAACTAGTTAAGTAATAAACAAATATACTGAATAATTACCCAGTAGGAAAAGAACTATTGAGCTGCAAAAATTCGCTCAACAGAGACCATAATATACTTAACATGAAGAATGCAAAGGAATGCTTTTAAAATATTGTTCAATGGTAAATGTGGAATGTAAAAACTGTGCCAAATGAAGTTTGGCAAATTAAAATAAAACCAAATTACTAGGTATGTATTCCTATTTCAGGGTGCAATTTTGCACCAAATAAAATAATCTCATACAGTTTGAATTCACCAAGATTTCAGGAAAGTTTTTAGGAGACTTCTTTTTTTAAATTTATTTTCAGAAACTCAGAAGACTGTAGACTTTTTTTTTTAAATGGCCAAAAGAGTAAGAGATAGGGTTAATTCAGAATGAAGAATCACATAACTGAGACCTTTGTCTCAGATTGTTTCAGAAACAGCAAATGCTGGCTTCAAACACAGCAAAGAACTGGCACTGCTTACTCTAGGGCCATTTGTAAACAACCAGGTTCAAGGACCTCCTAATACAGAGATCCATTAAAATGAATGCTAGAAGTCAAATTAGAAATTGCTACCAGTTTTATAGCAGGTTTTCATTCTGTTTTTATACTACTTGGTTTAATGAGGTATAACAACATTATATTGCTGCTTTAAATACATGTTAGTTCTTTACATATGTTTTAATATCTGTCTATCCATCTGCCCATCTATTTTCTCATGATCTCTTATCTAATCCTAAGGCTCCCACCTGAATTGTTATGCTGACTCTGCAACTCTAATAAGCAGTATTTGATCGCTAGAAGAGATGTCTTACTCTAAAGAAAACTAAAGACACATTTAAGTTTCTCAACAACTCTCAATCAAGCCTGCCTTACAAAGAACGCTATAGTAGATTTAGGAAAGAAGTATACTTATAAAATGTTTTATTTGTATGATGAAAAAATTTAGTATATGTTGCATGATAAATTAAATGATATAGCTGGTATTTTATCCAACCCCCCCATAATTCAATTATACTTTAAAAATTTCAGAAGTCCAATAATAAGAAAGCTCCATGGTCTTTATAAGTGTGACCTTCAACATTAAAATGCTACATTAAAAAAAGTGCCAATTTAGCATAAATACTGTAGTTTTGCTATTTTACAAGAAATTTAGCAACAGGAAATAACATATGCTATAACTCTGACCATGTGCCTATAAAATGGGAGAAAATAGCATTTAAATTCAATGAACTACTCATACTGGGAAGATACTAAAAACAGCCTAGGTCGGTAATCATGCTGGCTTTGTAACTTTTTGCTAATGATGGTGTAACTGAAAAGCTTTTAAAGTAAGGTTTTTGCTATCTGCATACTTACGAAAGCAAACTAAAGTGTCACATCTTATTAAGGTAACAAACAAATAAAATATTATGTGCATGTACACATACACATTTTTACATTCATATTTAGTATCATGATACATTTATATTCACTTATAAAGTTATTTTTACTTAATTATTGCTCATTTTATTGCTGAAGGAATAATACAGAAATTCAAATGAATCCAAGTATCTCTCAATAAATGCTAGAAATATTTAAGAGGCAAGCAACTTCAGCAGTAAAGTAGCACATGAAACGATTTTTAAAAGTTTTGCTAGGTTAGCGGAATGGCAATTGCTTTTGATCAAAACAAAGTCAATAGATAAGGGGAATAAAGATACATATCATAAGCAACCACCCTTATGCGAATTACCATGTTTTTGTTCTATTGTGCAATGTTTATCATTTGTCACTCTGTTTTTATTTTTATTTATCTTTTGTCTTCCCTTTAAAAGTACTTTTCTATAAGTATACAACATCATACCATGTGTTTTGTATTTGCTACAGGTGAAATAAAGTTGTTTAATTAACTCTACTGATCATGGACATTTGGCCATTACAGTCTTAAGATTCCATATGCTTGTTCCTTATATGGTACTATGCTCCACTGAGGCTATTTGAGTAAAGACTGTTAATGAAGAACATTTTAAAATGAAATATAAATCCTTCTTTTGTTTGATGGGACCAACCCTCTTTTTAGAATATGGTATGTTGACAGAGCATAATTAATGATTTAATAAAAAGCAATTCAGGATGTGATGAAGATACAACTTTACATTCTGTCTCCCACCAATTCCTTCTAACTTTATTTAGTAAGGAAAATCTTCCCCTGCTACTGGATGAAATATGCAGTATGCTTCTTGACTTCTCTGCTTATTCACAGAAAATAGGCAGTCATTATGTCACCCTCTCAATTCACTAAGAAATAATAATCATGTCTAAAATATTAACTAAGGATCTGGATTTAATTTTGTGTTAAGCTACGTTTTCCCTGGACTCAGACCTGTTTCAGGCTGGAATATTTACAATAAGATATGAGAGGAGAGAGTGGTTAGTTTCTCTCTATTTCTCAGGTTTATATTTTCTCTTTCTCCCACTTTTCCTGCCGCCCTTCAACAAGCAGAGTCTGATCCATCCCTAGTAGGGAAGTGGGGTGTTGACAGGAGTGATAAAGAAGTAGGAAAACTCTTAGGGACGTATTTTAATGATCGTTCACTGTCTCTGGATCGAGTAGATTATTATAGGTCAACAAGGAATGATGCTATACAGACAAAATTTTTAGAAGATCTGAAGGATTACAAAGTAATATATTTGATTTTAATTTATAAAATCCATATGTTTTGGTATATAACCAATGACTTTGAGGCTTCTGACTGTGCTCCAAGAATTGAAATTTGGTTCCTTCCTTCCTATAAACCACATTCATTATGTGCTTTTGGATTTGTTTTTTTCCATGGAGAACATAAAGTTTTGAGTGCAGAATGCTTACAGATTTTGTTTTTATCCCCTTGGTATGCTGAAAGCCCCTCCCAAAGATGTCTATGTCCTAATCCCTAGAACTTTCCAATTGTTACCTTACATGGCAAAAGTAACTCTGTAGATGTGATTAAGTTAAGGGTTGTGATACTGGGAGATAAGCTTGGATTATCTGGTTGGGCCCAATGTAATCATAAAAGTTTTTATAAGATAAAAGTAGTAAGGTCAGAGTCATTCATAGAAGGAGATGTGACCGCGGAAGCAGAGGCCCAAATGACGTGATTGCTGGATTTTAGGATGGAAGAGAGCTGTGAGCCAAAAAACATGGAAAGCCTTCAGCAGTTGAAAAAGGCAAGGAGAAAATTTTATCCTTGAGCTTCCTGAAGGAATATGGTCCTTTGACACCTTAATTTTAGCCCTTTGAGCCTGATTTTGAACCTCTGATCTCCATAACTTTAAGATAATAACTAGTTTTTATTTTAAAAGAAAATGTAATTGTAGTAATATGCTACACAACAGCAGGAACCAATATATTTTTCTGTCCAGTCTTTTCAACAATTATCACATCCACAATTAATTTGATAGACTCTTGTAGGAGCCTTGAATTTGTTTTTTAAATTGTCCGATTTAGTTTTATAAAACAACAATACTTTTTTGCCTTTGTATCTCATTGCTTAGCACAATATTAAATTTTCTAATTATAAAAACAATTAAATTGTCATTTGTAAACAAACACAACTACTCTTTGTAAGAATGTAACTCTAAAAGTAGAAAGAAAAATGACTGGACTTATCAGAGTACAGTCTGTTCACGTGGCACTTTTTTTGTGCTAAGATATAACCTAGTATGTTTTTAAAAAGAAATGGAGCCAGACCCCATTCACAGCAGAAATGGCATAAAGGAAAGTTTGTTGGAAGACTTTTTTCTGTAAATTCACAATAACGAGACAAAACTGTGTATCTCTATCTGTCTGATCTGTCTTTAGTTTTCATCACAATAGTTAAAGACAATAAATTCAATCTTTCCTGCCTCCAAACTATTCTCTATACTACAGCCAGAATCATCTTTCTAAAACATGTATCTGATTTTACATCATTCCCATCATTAAACCCTTCAACTAATCCACTTTGAGAATAAAAACTAGATTGTTTGATGCAGATATACATGAATTTTTAAGAGATGTTTCTTCCTTCACACTTCAGTAGAAGTAAAAGGCAATAGTCTGACTCTAGGAAGTGAGTAATGAGAAAACCTTGTCAAAATGCATAGATTATTTATTAAAAATGTCTTGAGGGCTCAGTGTTTGAGTGTGCTGGCTCAAGCCTGCAATTCCTGCACTTTGGTGGGGGGCCGAGGCAGGAGGATTGCTTGGGCCCAGGAGTTTGAGAAAAGTCTGGGAAACAAAGCGATACCTCATCTCTCCACAGTAAATAAATAAATAAATAAATAAATAGAAAGATTTTGAAATGAAGAAAAAAACTGACAGAAAAACAAAAACAATGTTAGGGATCAGCAATGTTTGCTGAAGTCTTCCTTAGGATGTGGAAAACCTGACGATAGTTTCAAACATGGAGAGAGAGAGAGATGCAATCACACAAGTAATGCTGACAGACGAGCATCAAAGGAATGGGTAGGGAAAGGAAGGAGGAAAGATGGAGACCATTGTTTCATAGTCAAGAAAGGGAAATACTAAGCAAGTTTATATGAAAGGTCTTTAACTAACTTAGTAAAGAAAGTTGCTTTTCATAACAGAATAGAGGGCAGTGTTAAGTTTACTGAGAGCAGAAGATTTTTGGAAACATTTAATGGAAAACAAAATACAACATTCATAAGAGATGCCAGATGGCAGTGAAAACCTAGATATAACTAAGATAAATATGACTTTGCCCTAGAATAAGTAAGATCTAAACTTAATTTTTGAGGAGGAGAAACAATTAGATAACTTTTCTAAAGTTATTGCATTCAGTTGAAGGAAACATAAAGAAATGTGAAGGTAAGTACAAGAAAATAATAATGGCAAAGTTAAAGAACATTTAAGAATAGTAACACTAACACAGAGTCAAAAAGACTCATTACTTGTAAGCTGTATCAAAAAAGTTACTAGACAAAAGGATTGGGAGCTTGGTCTCACTGGTATATTTGAAGTCTTACAGTTAATTTTTCCTACTTTTCCTCTTACACTATGGCACAGGGAAAAGCTGAGATGTTAGAACCCTCAAATTCAACTTGAAAAAGCAGTGACCCAGGGACATGCAAAATGAAAATTTCACTGTCCACTTCCCCAAAGTTCTTTGTTCATAGGCATGCCTCATTAAGTAGGAAAAACTTCAGTAGATATTGCTAGCTCTCTTAGCTTAAGTTACTCATACTAAATTTCAGATATCAATTTTCAATCCCAACTATGAAATAAAAAGGCTGGGAGAAAAAAAAATGAACTTAAATTATAAGATTTTAATTTCTAGGATGATTGGATTATGCCTTAAAAATGACAGATTACAAATTTATTCCTATTGCCTTGAATGAAAAACTAATAATAGAAATTTGACTAAGGAAGACAATACATCTAGAATAAGAAGTCCATCAAACATTTCAACAAAGCAAAATTGGCTGACCCAGAGCAATGGTAAATTAAAGATTAATTTACTAATTCCAAAGTTTGGATAAATCTTTTAGACACAATTGTGAGTGAAGTACCATCAAAATTTTCAGTGTTCCCTCTATATCAAAGACAAAACGTCATTTAAATATAGATATAGATACAGATATAGATATATGACAATTTCCTGTTTCATGTCATGAATTCAGGTAAAAGACATTTAGCTACTTAATACAAATCCAAGAAAATTTAGAATTGTAAAGGGTTTGGGCTTGATTTATATAACATCTTTGAGAAACCAATTTTTCAGATGAGAAAATTTCCCTTGTTATTAGGTCTGTATACAATGATTTAAATGAAATATCTTTAGGGTGAGAAATAATCACACGTAATCTTAAAAGTAGGTTACAATGAATCAACTGATTGAAAGACTACATTGAAATGATAACAGAGGAGGGAAATGAACTTACATTGAGAATATTATAAATTTCATTATGTAAAATTATCACACTGAACCCTTCTGAAACCATACTTATGAATAGAATGTTCTAATACACAAACTTCATGGTAAGTCCTATTTATACCGTGGAGTCTATCTAACTACTGGAGTATAAGGTCTTACTTTGGAAAAAACATTGTATTGAACAACATGAAAAAAAAATTAGCCTGGGAAAAGTATGATAGATACATAAATTTTTTTTCAGAAACTTTTTACATTAAATTTTAAAATATGCTAAACACTTTAACCTACTTAAACCCAAGTTTGTTATGTTTCTTTTGGCTGGATTTCTAATTTCATTTCAAAGAAAAGCTAATTTTAGATTTTTTTTAGGCAAAAAGATGTCACATCTATTGTGCTTTGGATTAAAAAATGTTTTGTTATCCATAAAAACTCTAAAACGAATCTTTCTTCTCAAAAGCTAATGTGTTTATTTAAATAAATTATTTTATCAACAGAATCTTATATATATTAGAAAAATGACTATGTAGAATGACACAGACTTAAGTGTATATATGTACATATATATGTATGTGTATATATGTACACCATACGTACATCCACCATGTGTGGTGGATGTACATATATATGCATATATATGTAAATGAATATATATGTACAAATAAACACATATACATGGGTATATACATATAACCACTTAAGTCTGTGCCATTCTACATGGTCACTTTTCTTCAAAGCTAAAAAAAAACATTTGGCTAAGCCTTTATTCTATTCTATTTCCTGAAATCTGTGGTTATGTTTGCCAAACTCTATGTCTAATAATTTTTTTAAGTGCAGCCAGGTTTTCTAAAGAGTATAATCTTCAGTAAAAATAAAAGCTTCCAGGATAAAATATGTGAAATTTGCAGCTGAGCATTTTCTAGAACATCTTAATGGGTAAGTAAAGTAACTGAATGGGTCATTACAAATAATATTTTTAAAAGTCACCTTGCACTGTGCCCTCAGGTACTCATAAATCCATAAGATGGGATATTTTATGACAAAAAGATTCAGATTTTCTGATTTTTACCACCAAATATGGTGTTCATTATTTAGGTGATTATTTCAATGTCATTAACTCTTAGTATTCTCTCCTAAGTCCATTAGAGTCATCTTCCATAAGACATTTCCTATAGTTGTAATTTTTCACATTTTGCCTCAGGGTCACTAGAGTACTTTCAGAATCATACCATTACACTGGCAAATATGACATATATGCAATATGATTAATTGGTTTGTAGGTAGATAAAAATAAACTATTTATAGTTTATAACATAACCCTAGACTCTCAGAATATATCAAAATGACTCATCATAATTCATTTCTATTTATATTAATAAAATAAATATATCATTGCAATGGCATATGACTTGTTTAGCAGAAGAAATAGATGATAATTTAGAGAAGTTGCTTTACAGAATTCATGAATATATAAAGAATTATTAGCTAAAGAAAGCATAATTTACGGGAGATTATAATAGACCTTAGGAATCAGATATCTTGACCTCCTTAGGAATCTGGAGAGGTATTCAAAGCCCCAGAACTGGATGCAAGAAGAACAATGAACCGAGCCTCCTAATTCTGCCCATGTTGCTCTTTTCTATAATACTTTAAACCCCTCTAAGTTAGGTATTAATTTTAATCCAAGTTTGTCACAGGTAAACAATTTCTAACTTTTTTTTTTAACTTTAGACTTTTACTTCCTCCTACTTAAAACACAACGCTACTTAATAGATTCTAATATTAAAGTCTTCTCCTGGCTGCAGTGAGTCAATAACTTCCCGGGTAAGCAAGTGACATTATCACACAAGGTTATCAAGTGTAGAAAACAGGTGTAATTCTATTACCTTAATCTCATTTCCACATAAACACATTTTCAGCTAAACAAAGTATAAAATTATTTAATGATCTAGTTATGTAGACAAATTTCTCAATATGACAGTAGCAAGCCTAGAATATCAAGCTTATAGAAAAGTAGAGGTGATATTAAACTTTAAAACTGTGTTAAATATTAAAATACAGCTCCAAGAATATAAAGAAAAAATATATTATTTGCTATTACTTCTCTCCGTTTTATCTGAGAGTTCTTTTTATTCCAAAGAAGATTGAGGCTAATGGTTCAGAGGAAGAGAAAGAAGAGTCATAAATAAAAACTACTTCACCTAATTCTAAACATGTGATAAGTACAACGGACTCATACCTTAAACTTTTTCTTTCAAAACCTACTGAGATGAGTATTGTTAAAAATTTTTCCTAAAAAATGTCTACAGAGACTTATTAACTTCCAACTGATTCTATGGTATCTTTTGAGACAAATGTTATAATAATTGTTCTCCTGCAGATCCTTTTCATATTCCAAAAGTATGAACATATATTATTATTTCTTCATCTTTCTATTTGCTTCAGAAATTTCATGTGTTCTTAGTATGAAGGCAGACACTTGAGATTTTCTTTAATTCCTTCTTAAGATCAAGACAACTAGGAGAAAATTAAAACTCACATACTTCAGTGATCAGCTCCTAACTGGCTTTAAATAATCCACCCAACATTTGCACTGACAAAGAACAATGAATTTATTGTTATGTTTTAAAAAGGAACAAAAAATTGAACAATGGGAAAAATTGGGGCTGGTTTACATATTTAAAAGGCTGCATATATCATTGGAGATTCTTAAAATAAAATTATTAAACCTTCTTACTCAGTTTGTTCCCCCCATCAAGCATGTAGATAACAGAAAGAAAGCACAGCTGTTCCTATTTAGGAATCCACAGTGTAGAATTTCCATTATTTATCCTGATAGGAAAGCAAAGATTTAAAAATGAAAACTTTTAGAACTTGTCCTGGCTGGGGAGACATGAGGGATCATGCAACTGTAAAACATCAGGAGATTAGTTTTCAGACCAGTGTGGAGACAAAAAGGAAGTATTATACGCACGTAATTTCCACCAGCAATGCATATGTAACTAACTTGCACAATGTGCACATGTACCCTAAAACTTAGAGTATAATAAAAAAAAAAAAAAAAAAAAAGAATTGTGTGTATAAAAATTATATACAACACACAAGTATCTTGTTTCCTGTGATATACAAGATTGTAGCTACATGACTGACTATGACTGTTGGGAATAATTCTTTTAATTATAGATGTATAGTCACTAAAGTGAATGCACTTGACAACTTGATAGGTTTAAGTAAAAACAAAGTATTAAACTGATAGAAAAGTAAGAAAGAGTCTTTCTTAGGTTTGCCTGTTTATTTTATGGTAGCCATGGTAATTATCTGCTCTCTAAGGGATAAAATGATTTTCCAGCATTAGCCACTTTTCAACGCTGAATTATTATTTTTAAAAACTTCAGTTTATTCATAAATTAAAAATACTATAAACCCGAAAAAACTTTCTCTAAAAGAGCTATGTAATTAACCCTTAATTACTTCAAAGTAAGTAATTCCATTAATTTTGAAATTTAGGAGGGTATTGTTTAACCTCTGAACGAACATACTTAGAAATAAGACACACTTGAAAAATGTAAAGAATCCTGCACACCTTGTTTTCACGACTTTTTACCCAATTTTCACTTTTTCTGGTCATTTTTACATGTAAATATAAGATTTGTGATTTTCCACATATAAATTCCGACAATTTATTATTTACAAATAGAAACTTACATTCATAATCAAGATACAGTCAGTCAAAAAATACAGGTGTTTTCTTTGGGAACATGAAAACAAATTGAAAAAAAGAATGTATGAAATAGTTATTATATCCTACTTCATGCATTACTTGGTTTCCTGGCTTTAGTTTTGTCTTATGGAGAAGGAGAAAAAGGTAATTACACTAAATTTTTAGATATATACATACACATATATATATATACACACACACACACACACACACACACGTATATATATACACACACACACACATGCAGATTTCTCATTTCTCAGGTTCTCGTGGATACTGAACATGTGTTCCATGATTTGGGGTTGGCTATTAAACCTTTCTAAGCTTTAGTCTTCTCCTCTCTACAGTGGAGGTAACACTAGTGCCCATGCCACTGAAATGCTGTGAGGATTAAGTCAGGTAGCCAATAAAAAGCAGCTAGAGATAAAGAGTATTAGCTATTATAATTTTAATATTTTATTTTAGCATCTCATTCTGGGTTTAGAAAAATTAACCATTTGGCTTCATTTTGTTTTTCTCTTCTCAAAGCACAACAGAAAAGTATCTGAATATCATGAAAAAAAGATTCATTAATACAATTATACCAACATGCATAAAGTGCTGCTTATTAAATCAATTCATTTTAAATTTTAATAAGTATTAGGCACAGTGTTAGACATAGTATGACATTTAAAGATGATAAGATACAACATGGATTCACAAAGATATCAGAGTTTAATGGTGACTAAGATAAAAAACACTTATGACAAATGATTAATAATGAATATTAATTTCTTTCCTTTTCGAAATGAGAATTTTGAAATTCTCATAGTTTGCAGTCATGGAAACGTTTTGTTCCATGAAAACCCTTTCTTGATATGAGTAAGAGATTTACCGACTTTGCAACTGAGCTTCTGGGTGTCATGAAAAGAGGAAATGGAGAGAATGGCAAAGATGATTGTCCAATTTCCTGAAATATTTGTGGCAGGAATTTGCATGTACATACATCCTTGTCCTCCTACATAGGAGATAATTAACAAGAAGGTAACAGATGTTTCCTGAGCACCTTACCATGTGCTAAGTTGTTTCCACTTAGGTGACGATCATTAAGTTCTTATAGTAATTCTGTGAAGGGAGATTAGTTCACAGACAAAAAATGGGACAGAATTGTTAATATGAAGAAGGCCACAGAGTGCCTAAGAAGCTGAGTGAAATTTTAAATTCATTTATGTTTTATTCCACATTCCATGGTCTATTCATAACATAAAGAAACCTATTTAATTTCTCCATTTTCATTCTCCAACGTAAGCATTAGCAAAATAGACCTAATTTTCTTCACTTTTTTTTTTTAATTTAGAATATTGATGGCTCAGAGTTGTACACTTTTACGTTTAAAAAAAAAATCTACCCCTTTGGCTTATTTTTCTCTACATAATTATCTGAAAATGTAAAGTAGTAATAATCAGAGTTCTTCGTTTATACTATTCTTCATTATAACTTATTTCATTTTTTCCAAAATTTATTTTTTCCATAATATATCCATTGTTTTCACATTTTATTTTATAATATCCTACTTTTTCTTCTTCCCACCATGTTTTCTGATCTCAAATTGTTCTGAAACAATGTATTATTTGTATGGCTTGACTAATATTATGATACATTTGTGATTGTTAGGTTTCTTCCTCCTTGTATTGAAGCAGATAGCCAAATCTATGTTGACTGATTCAATAAACCATGGATCTTGGTCACAAGCCCTAAAGGAAATACTTTTTGCAGACTAAAAAGATAATTTCCCTAGACTGGAGGGAGGGGGAAAGAAAAAAAAATGAAGAAAGAGTGATCTGAAGGTTACCAGTAGGCTTCAACAATGTTTCTATTAAAAATCATCATCCTTTCTCCACTCCACCTCCCTCACTACTGCCATTGGCCATAGTACAGGTTGTGCTTCTCTGGGCGCTCCCCTGACATGGGTTTTGGGGGAGGAATTTGGTGTTTTGCAAAATCTTTTCCCCGACTTTTTTCAAGCATTGCTTTTTATTTTTCCTTCCCCTCAAATTCCTCCTTTTTAACACCACCTCCATGTTCACCTGTCAGCTATTTTTTTACTACTTCTTTTTGGCAAGAAGTCTCCGACTTCCACAATTTAGTGTTTTGGATTTAAATTTATTTATTCTCCAGCAACCTGAGAAATCAGTATTGCATACTCAAGATAGGTACAGAGTTAAGAGTCCAACCTGACACATAGAAGCACAGTGAGCACTAGACCCAAGGGTTTTTCATGATGACCAGTATTATGAATTTATGAACGGACTAGCAAGCTATGTGGACCAAAGGCCTAAGTCTTGGTGCTACATGAGACTCTAAAACTGTGAATCAGCTTTGGAGTTGGGGAAAGCCAGAAGAAAAACTGGCTTTATTGACAACCCAGGTGAATGGAGACTCAAAATCAGAAAAGCAAATACAGTAGAGAAAGTAAAGAAAGTGTATTTATTGCACACCTGAGATTGTATTATAGCTGTTATCCTTGGAGAATGGCAGTTAGAAGTGAGTAAGCTTTTATACAAAAAAAAAATATGTGTTTAGAAAAAAAATATATATATTTAGAAATATAAATACACTTAGAAATATATATGTTTAGAAATATGTGTTTGTGTGTATGTGTGTGTGTGTGTTTAGAAAAGGAAGAATATCAGAAGCACTGTCAGGAAGAGGAAAATGGAAAGTAAATAGAAAAGCAGATAAGAGCACAAGGAAAGTGTGGTGAAGGATGGGTAAGGCTGAGGAATTGTACCTACTTTAGTACAGTATTTCAAATTACTCTTTCTAAGCAGATTCAAACTGTGATCTTTCTCTCCTTAATCCTGGATTTTCTGTAGAATTTGTCCTAACAGTTAGGTGACTTCATTTTCTACAAATACTGTCAGGCTGTCAGTTTCTCAGTTATTGCCACCTAACACAACACTTAGGACTTAATTTAACTCTTGTGTGTGACGTGACAGCATCACACAGACTGCTTTATCAATCAGGGCACTGTTGCTGTTTCTTATACTTTTGCCATAGAGCCTATTGAAACCACATCCTCTACTTTTCTATGTATAAACACTTGTGTAATGTTATGTTATCATCTACTAATCATAAAACCATATAGCTTACAAATTTGAAATACAGGTACTTGAGTGTTTTCAAAATTGATCAACGTATTGAGTGTGATGGTTAATTGTATGTGTTAACTTAGCCGGGCTATGGTACCTGTATATTTGGTCAAACGTGATATTGGATGTTTCTCTGAGGGTATTTTTTTTTAGATGAGATTAACATTTAAATCAGGAGACTTTAAGTAAAGCATATTACCCTCCATAATATGGTCAACCTCATTCAATGGGTTAAAGGCCTTAATAGAACAAAGACTGATCTCCCTCCCCATCACCCCACACCTCTGCCCAGCCCAAGCAAGAAGAAATTCTGCCAGTAGACCACCTTTGGACTCAAATTGCCTATCCTGTAGATATTGGACTGACCAAGCCTCCACAATCACATGAGCCAATTCCTTAAAATAAATCGTTATCTCTCTCATTTGATAGATAGGATAGATGATAATGACAGATAGATAAATAGATAGATAGATAATAGATCTAGATAGAGCTCCGTTTCTCTTACTTTTTGTCATCTATCTATCTGAGAGATAAAGATATTTGTTTCTGTTTCTCTGAAGAAATCTGACCCATACACTGAGAATTAAAATTAGGACTTGAAATAACTACATAAGCAAAAATAGATGCTTTGCTTGGAAGAAGCTTTTCACTTCCTTGTAATATTTCAAATGGTGTTGGAACACATTCCGGAAACCCTATTTATTTTTGGTTTTAAAGAAAGCAAGACAGATTTGAGAGCACCCTTTTATCTAATTGATTCCATTTCCTTCCATCCTCAAGAACAAAGCACACATTCCTTTGGAGCAAACTGCTCACATAGGAGTTATGCTTTATTTTACTGAACTTGCAATTAATTGAAAGTAAAAAGAAGTTAGTGTACTCATAAAAAGTTTGTCTTTTTGAACAAAGTTGAGTATTGTAACAAGACACCGTGTTATATTTGTCACTATTGCTTTTTATGTCAAAATGGGATCCATTGAATCTTGAAAAATCTGGCTTTCTAAACCTGGAAGCTGATTTTGTTTTGGGAAAGATAGATACTGAAACTTTGGTTCAGAGTTTTGCTCTGTTAAACTTCCTGAGTAAGCCTTTTATTTATGTCAGTGTGAGGCAAAGAATATTCTCAGGAATGCAAGTGCCTAAGAAGCTGTGAAAAATGCGTTAATTGTGGTCTTTTATATATATATTTTTTCATTTAGCATATAAAATAATGTCATAATGCACTGGGTTGAGAAACCTATTTCTCCAGATCTATAAACCAGACCAAAAGTTAGGCATGGAGGCATTCTGAACAGATCTAAGAAAATGTGGCTGGCATTAGCTTTTATACTGGTGTTCAATAGCAAGTTTTAAGTTTATTAGTGTTATATCTCTCTTTTTAATCCCTACAATTGTGTAGAAAGTCCTATTCAGCGTTTCAGCCTGGCCTCAGCAATGGGGCTCTGTAATCTTGTTAAGGCCATTGGAACACTAGTGCCAGTGATTCAGAAGACATTACTTATGCCAGAAAATCTGATATTAGCATTAGCTGCTGGACAGAACAGACATGAGTACTTTGAGCCTGACAAAAGAGTCTGAAATGGGAGCTATACCTTTAAAGTGTGTATGGAAAAGTGGGGAAAGGTCGTGTTTTTAATTGACTTGGCTGGAGAGCTCTCCAGGTATTTAGTGGGTATACGGGAAGTACCCTGGTGACAATACACTGACTAACCTAAAATCAAGCATGGGACACCCATTAAAGGGAAGGGAATTTCAAATTTGGAGTATGAGTGTTGAGGGTGTTAAGTCTTTTATCTTACCTCTTCTGTGGTGCCATCCTTATGGTGGGGTGGGTGCCAAAGCACTTCTGATAACTTTAATGTAGGCCCATGAAATGAAGAAAGCAATTTGGGTTGAACCAGAAATAGGAGTTGACTTAAGAGTATCTGGGTCACATTTCAACATTAGGTGTACTTTTATGTGTAGCCTAAATTTAAAACATTTATGCAAATGTTAATTAGCCTCTTTAAAACAAAAGGTGAATATTATGTCAGCAAGGAGATCACCCTAGACAGCATTACTGTATTATTATCAGTGTGGAGGTTCAATAGAAGGACAACAGAGATTTTCATTCTTAAAAGAGATACAGTAAAAGTTCCACTCTGGGGAGTACAATCAGTTGAGTCATGATATAAGACTTTTACTTTTTATATACTAGCATTCTGTACTTAAATCTTTTTAACTTTGTGCATATTAAAAGATACTTAGAAAGTTAAGCCATAAACTTTAAGTTAAAATGAATCCATTCAATCTCCTTGAAAAGTAACTATGATCTGTAAAGTAGCAAATGCATTAGAGATGGCATTTTAAAAGAATTGCTTTGTGAAGCAGAGATCCCTTTGAATTGTGAACAGTAACACCCAATCTGCAAACTTACATTTAGCACTCTGGATTTCCTTAGTCATATGCGGACTTCATGATTGAACTAATCATTAGTGCATTGTTCTATCTATAGAAGATAATCAATTAGTTGAATGAAAATAGTCGTGGTTTTAAGTTAATTACAGTTAATTTAATCCCTACTTCATGAAAATAAAATATCCCAGTATGATTTCCACCCTCTCCCCCTTAAAAAGTAGTTTTAATTTGCTTTATGTGTAATATTTATTCTGACTTACAGGTAACTTAAAACTTAAAAACACATTTCTATTATATAAATAAGTAGCATTTAACACTTAAAGTTTTATTTCAAATGAAATAGTCTGTAAAAGTGTTTACATTATTTATTTTCATCTATTTCTTTAGAAACAATTTGCTAACACTAAAATGCCCTCCAATATTCACATCTATATGAATTTTTATAGGTTTTTCACTGATTTTGATAACAAGAATATTAATTGAAATGTTTTATTATATGACATCAAAATAGTTCATTAATAGCTTAGTGCCACACACCTCTGAGAATGTGTCTTATCTGAGCTTATTATTGCTGATCTAAAAGCTCAAATGAAAGTTTAAGTAGTTTTCTGTGAGCTTTGGCTCAGAAAAAAGTGATGGCACTGCAAGCCATTTTAAGCTTAATCTAGTTCTTCCCTCTGTTTTCTTGGCTTCATCTCTATCATATCTAATTGATGAGTTTTACTAATACATGTTAAAATACAGTGGAGCAACAATGGTCCATTCTTCTCATATACTTTAATGCACACTCCCGCAATATATTATTTATGGTCTTAGTTATTTGTCTAATTAAATCTGTTACTTTTATTTAAACTAGAGATGTTTATGCATTTTTGTTTGTTTGTTTGTTTGTTTGTCCTCAGTGATCCTTAAGCACAAGCCTCACTGGCTGCATTAGTTCCTCTATTATTCATACCAGCAGTGTTCTGAACACAGCAGTGAATTGTCTGTTTGAGAATACAGCTATAAGGTAAACCAGAATTTAGCAACACTCACACCAATTTCTGTGCTTTAATCTGCCAGCATTCTAGGCACATATAAAACATCTAGAATGAGATATCTAACTATGTTCTCTGGGGAGGGGGAATAAATCCAGTGGTGCCTGGACAAATATGCTACAGTAATACCATGGAATTTGGGACAACCTGTCCACTTACACACACTATGGCCCTAGCATTGCTAATATTTCAGGAATCTTCCTCTGTTTACCAGTCCCCCAGAGCCAGACATTTATTCCGCAATGGAAAATAAATATCTCTTTTTGGTTTGTAGGCAGAATGCGTCTGGGGGTGGACACCTGCTAGTTTAACATTCTTTATATAGGCCAGACTGTAAGCAGAGGGATGTTCACTTGCCTCAAGGTATTTTTGATCCTCAAGTGCCACCTGCTCTAGAAACTGCAGCCAAATGTTATTTAAGAGAAGTGGTGAAAAGTATGGCAAAGAAATTCTGTGATTAGAGAGGACTATCTAAACACTGCAGCTACTCACTCTAGAAAGTCATCTGCATCACTTTGCTGGGGATGAAATGGAAGGAAGTCATCAAACACTGCTGGAATTCTCTTTGGGCAAGAAACTACTGTGTTCCTTCTACTTCTCAAAGCTAGATATAATTTTTGGGGACAAGAGATTATTCTTATGTGTGCCCCAAGATTTGTGTCCCACTATAACACTGAGCTGTGTGGCTAGTGCATAATAATATGTGGACTTGATTAAGGAGATATAGCATAGTCTTTGAAATACCCCTTATTAGGTGTGCTATAAAACACTGGTCCTGGAATAACATTACTTGTGGCCAAACCCCAACTCTGGCACCTACAAGCTGTAGCACATCTGGAAGACTGGTTTCCTCAGTCTTTCTTCAATTTCCTTTTTGTACTATTTTGTACTGTGCAGATGTGGAGGGTTTTTTAAATCCCATATTTCTTACAGCAAAGACTCCAGCAGTGACTGAGAAACTGAGTTAAATGGGAGGACAGATGGTGGGCCATACTTTATTCATTTGGGTTGTGAGGATCCAGCGGGTGTGTTGTGGCTCAAGTGGCAATAATTAGGGCAACAGCTAAGGTGGTGTGATCCTGGAAGACAGTCAGTAAAGCTGTATCCTGTTTCCTTGGCTTTCTGATTGTTGTACATTGGTCATTCTGCAATATTGCTCTAGGAGTCATTACTGGAGGGTTTTCCCAGAGTCTGATTCTCTGGCCCTTCCAGTACTTTTAAGTACCCAGTTTCCTAAATTAATTCAATTTCTGCTTAAAATTGTTATAGTGGTTTCTATTACTTTAGCCGAACCCTGACTGGAATGTATTTATGTGTATATAAATAACTTCTATAAATAAACAATTTTCTATTGTTTATTTTCTATATTTTCTATGTTCTATTTCGGGCACTATTTTCAACCAAATTTTAAATAAATGTAGATGTTAACAAGAAATATTTTATTTCTTAAGCAATTATCTTAAATTTCCATTCCCCACAATATTAAAAAAACTTGCATTTTTCTGGTTATTGGTGAAAAATTTTAATGCAGATATTATATACCAGATAGAATTGATTTTATTATATATAGTATATTTAGATATCCAACCTTTTCCAAGATAAAAATATTAACTGTTACTTTACTTATTCTAATTATTTTCTTCATCATGTTTCGTACTTTAGATATGATTTACAGTAACATTTCTTGCATTACTACTATGTCAGACATTAAGCTAGGTGTTTGCAGTTTGACAATGTTTAATCCTCTGGAAGAAAGTGAGCATTAATATATAAATTCATATGCTAATAGTTGATGATAAGAGAAGTTAAGGGCTTTCCTAATGTCACACAGTGAGCGAGCTGAATAGCAAACTGAGGAATTAGTGATGCTTCCACTAGAACACACTGCTTTTTCTTTTGTTTCTAATTGAGTAGTATATGGTCTGTATGAGACAAAACTGGAAATTAGCATGATATTATATTTAGCACACATTTATTTTAAGAGGCTATAATGCCTTAGTATTAAAAAAATGAGGGGGGCATAAGAATAAAAAAGCATCCTGAGGTAGAAGAAAGCCACATTACTTGTATGATACACAATACTGCATAGGTTATCATATTGGCAGAAATATGTCAAAAGGTAGTATTCATATTGTCGTGTATATCAGATGATCTTAGTACTTCTCAAATGGGGATGATTTAATCCCCACTCTCCCCACATGAGGCATTTGGACATGTCTAGAGATATTTTTAGTTGCCACAGCTGGCAGGGGGTTGTTCTTGGCATGTAGTGGATACTGTTAAATGTCCCACAATGACCAGGACAGCCTCCCAAAACAAGTAATTATTCAGCCCAAAATGTCAATAGTGTTGAGGTTGAAAAGTCCTAGAATATCTTCAAAGAAGGCTTCTCATAGGGAATTTGTAGACAATAGACACTTGGTTACACTCACATCTTCTGAAATGTCTGGTTATGCTGGAAGAGACAAGCTTCCTTTAACTGGGTCTTATAGTGAGTTTAAAATAAATGATGTATAAATGATTAATTACGAAAAATGACTCAAATGAATATGAAATCTTGAGGCATAAACTGGCAAGGTCAGAACCTTTTGGGTTTTACATAATTTTAATCAAGTAATCCTTTAGGTTATCTCATAGCTAACCTATTTTCAGAATAGTATTGATAACAAACACACAGAGTCTATGTCAGTGAACCTTTGGGAAATGTGAGAATTTGAAAAATTTTTCATAAATATGTGATGGTAAAAAGCATATTAGATAAAGAGTTAAACATGTTTTCCTCAAATCCAAAAATTATTTGACTGCATTGTAAAAAGGAGAGGGTCAATCTACAAAATATATTTTATAATAGAAAGAATTATTTGCTGCTGAAATAGAATATTTTTAAAATTTATGAATTATTGAAGAGTATAGCTAAAAAAGAAAACTGCAATGGTACCATGTATTCTGTAAATAAACTCAGCAATTAAGGATGAAATTAGCCACCAAATACAAATATCCATCCTATTAATGTTTTATATATCTGCACAATTTAACACTTCTTTTTTTTTCTTTCTTTTTTTTATCATACTTTAAGTTTTAGGGTACATGTGCACATTGTGCAGGTTAGTTACATATGTATACATGTGCCATGCTGGTGCGCTGCACCCACTAACTCGTCATCTAGCATTAGGTGTATCTCCCAATGCTATCCCTCCCCACTACCTCCACCCCACAACAGTCCCCAGAGTGTGATATTCCCCTTCCTGTGTCTATGTGATCTCATTGTTCAATTCCCACCTATGAGTGAGATGCTCATTTAACAAACACTATTTTTAAAAGATGAAATTGAGGTCTATTATAAATTCATTCATTGTTTTGCTTATGGTTTGCAATTTTTAGTGAATGATATATCATTCTGAAGCTGCATTATTTAAAATAACTTGCTTTCACATACAATGTTGTCATATAAAATTTTGTTTAAAAAAAAGGATCAGTAATGAAGGTGCCAACACTCAGTAAGACACAATTCACTGTGGAAATTTACAACAAATGTTTGCACTTTTATGTAGATTGACTCTATTTAAACATTGAATTTTGGGGTGTACAGAGGTTATTTTTCTTTCACAGTGTAGTCATTTTCTTACAGTTCTTTTTTGTACTTTTTGTATA
Source organism: Homo sapiens (assembly GCF_000001405.40). Classification (NCBI taxonomy): domain Eukaryota; kingdom Metazoa; phylum Chordata; class Mammalia; order Primates; family Hominidae; genus Homo; species Homo sapiens. Next base: position 72,121,111 of record NC_000001.11, read on the forward strand.
AAATACTTTACCGCAAATTTTACTATTTTATTGTGTTACATCTTTTACAATGACATGTGCAAACAACCCTTACCTGCTGCATACACACCCCAAAGCCAAAGTCAATCTTTTTGTCACCTATCAAATATTTAAACCTCCAATGTTACTTTTTAATATCACTGAACATTTTAAAAATTAATTGCATAGAATTCTGAGTCCATACTTCCAAGAAGACAATACTATAAGTACGTAAGTTTGCCATGGGATATTCGAACTTCTACTTTAGATATATAATACAGCTATAACAAATGTATCATACCTAAGCATAGGTTTTACTTTTCTATCTATGAGAAGATAGAAATAAAACTGTAACTAAGCTTTCCCTAATGTCATTAGTCAACATCTCTTAAGAAGTAAATGTCTCGGGATTGTGATATAGGCAAGAGTGTAAAGGTACAGAAAGAAAAACATGTCAGCAGACAAAGTAGAATAGACCCTCTTTTACCCTCTCTCCTTGTTACAGAAAAACTGTTATTTACTAGAAATCTATTTAAAATTCATCAGGATAGATGTATAAAAATATGATGAGTCTATCAATTGATCTGTAAGAACTGTAAGAAAATGACTACACTGTGAAAGAAAAATCACCTCTGTACACACCAAAATTCAATGTTTAAATAGAGTCGATATACATAAAAGTGCAAACATTTGTTGTAACTTTCTGAGGTGAATTGCGTCTCATTGTGTTAGCACCTCCATTACTGATCATCTTTTTTTAAATTTATATGACAACATATCAATTAAAAAATTACAACTTTAGCTCCTTTTGTGGGGCAATGCAGATAATTTTAAGGTTCATATGCAAATAACTTTATAATATTTTATGTAAATACTGTTTACCCAGATACCAAACTAAATACCGATTGTTTCCCTAAAAAGAGATTTACCCTAAAATATGCATAATTACAACTTTAGGAAGAATTTGTAATTATCAATGATATACTGCAAGAACATATTTTCTATGCTTGTTCAAATCAAAAACACCAAAACTCCCATACTCAATAAGTTCCTAACTGGATTTTGCTACAGATAAATTAGAACATGCTGTCTTCATCTATTTCCAGAAAACATTAAACCACAGCTCTCAACAAGCTGTTCTCATTTATAACACAATCCATTTGTTGTGTTGGCAAATGGGAAATCCCAGAGTGAGTGAATAAACAGGAAGCTTCATCGAGTGTTAACAATCCCCCAGGACCCTATTTGTAAAGAAATGGCCTTTGCAAGAACATGTACAAATACGCGATTTCATATTTGGCAAAAAAAACTTGTGAATTTTATTCCCAATCCATTTAGTAACTTTATGCTTTTTCACATACATAAACTTGTGACCCTGGGTACATTTATGAGAATTATATAGAAAATGTATGTGATATATGTGTATATATGCATCTATTTGATTATGTTATGTATGTGTGTATATTAATCATATATTATTTGTATATTTATTACATAAATAAGGGATTCAACAGCAGTTCTTAGGGATTGCACAATGAGCTGTTTATAGAAAATATCAGCATGTCATAAAATGGAGTGAAACTATGCAGGGTGGAGTGGTTAACTCCCATGGTAGCAATTTTTAAAGAATACTAACATTTTTAATACTATCTAAGTGTACAAAAAACAAATATTTATCACTTTGGAATGCAGTTCTCTGTAATTCCACCACCACCCTAACATAAAACAGTGAGGTCTAGCAGCAGTGTTAGATCACGATTAAACTGGAACACAGTATTTTCAAAAGACAAAATAAAACAACTCTATATTCCATAACGGCACCATGTAGGTTCTAGACATATTTTGAATATGTCTAAATAATGGGATATATTGAGAACATGTAACATTCCTGGAATACCCTTTTAAAATATTTGTTCATTGTTTTCCATGTTATTAAATCTGTTTCATGCCAGAAATTTTATTTAGGGAGCACTAGTCAATCTCCATGTGAAGTTTCTTAAGCGAATAAGAATTTATTTAGAATCATAGACCCTCAGATCTTCTATTTTAATTGTTTCTGTCTGTGTTCATTTTCATGCATATTTGGCTATAATGAAATGATGGTTTAAAAACCAAATTTGACCATTATAAATGAAAAGTTACTTATGAATAAAATCATTTCCATATCAGTTTAAATGTATAGTAGATAATCTTGACATTGTATTAGTATAATTCATGCAACTGTATATAACATGTAGAAAGAAAAAAAAAATCCCTGTAGGAGCACATGAGCATGCTGAGAAATACCTTTTGTTTAAAACCGTATAACTAAAATTGCTTTAAAAATGTTCCAGGATCATAATGATGAGAAATTGCAACTACAGGTGGTCATTCATATGGAGATAAAGGCAAATAAAACATTTGCCTTTATGGCAAATGGATGAAGAATTCAATACTAGATAATAAGTTTTCAAAAAGTTACCAAGAAACATAAAATTTTAAAAATATAATAGCTTCTCACAGGTTTTAGACAATAGAAAAGCTCTGTGGGAGGACATGTCATAGGTAAAGAAGCTTTACCTCATTTGTATCTCAGCTTAAAAAAATTAGTCTTAAGTATGAACAAATCATTATCAAAAAGGATGAGGTAACATATTATTTTATATAATTGATTTAAAAGATGGAATTCAATAGCTTCTTTATTACAATGTCTGTATTCAAGTTTCTGAGCACTGAACACCTATAAAAGCAAAAGGGAAAATTGATTTATTTGGTATGAACTGCAAATGTAAAATTAGAGAAGTGAAGTACAACTGTTGGCCTGGGGGATGATTCTGTTTCAGTTAGCACTGGTGCTGCTTCAGCCACTTTAAGCAATAATGTTCTTTTAGAGTTATGTATAAATCACCGTTTTGAAATTAGAAATCTATCATTTATATAGTTTGTATAATCTGAGAGGTAATGTTTCAAGAATTGAAAGGGATTGAAAACATATTTCTTCCTTCAACCTCAGAAGCTGCTGGCTTGCTCATCTCTTGCCTTGAGTTTTCTTGATGATTAGGACTAAGAAAGTAAGAAAATAAGAGTATTTCCAAGCCATCACCAAGGAGGTTTTCAGCTCTCCTATCATCTCCATGACCCTCTCCAGTCCTAAGCAAACATATATTTAAGTAAATACAGTGTGCCTTCTATGCTAACTTCAGAGTCAAGGTAAATTCCCTAGGTAGACTTCTCCTACTATTATGGCCCTGCTTACCCACAAAGATTTTGGAAAAATCCCTAGAGTTAAAGAGAACTGAAAAAAAGATCAGCCCAGAGCAAAACCTAAGATATTAAGACTAGGGCAGAAAAAATATACAAGGCAACAGAACAGCCAAACAATGACAGCAACAAACACTCGAGCGATATGGCAAATAAGGAAAGGTTCCCGGGACCCCGTAATTTTAGGCATATATTACTGGAAAGCAAAGACCAAATGGCTCACAAATTTGGGATTATTTGAACTAAAATTAATCTGGGATACCTGTATAAAGATAAAAAATTAGCAGGGACCTAATTCTATCATCCACACTATGTTAGGTTAATAACTATCTTATGTATGCTAGTGGTGGAAATTGCAGGTGTTGGCTGTTCGGCATTGGATACTTTTCATTGGTAGAGTTTGGATTTTATAGAAGAATTGCTAATAAAAAACTGAGGATGACTGTCAAATTAATTTCAGGCCAGCATTTTCACCATTAAAAATATTGGTAAAATAACTTCATTTGAAATTACAAAGTCACCTATATGATTTTAAAAGACTATAATTTCTCATTTGATAACATACACATTGAATTTTAAAGTGAGTAGTATTTTTTCTTAACAAAAATATTTACTAATGATGATAAAAATTTTATGGCGTATATAAAAGTCAAAAGTTACTCTAACTTACTTAGTTCTTAAGTCTTTTGTCATCACTGTACGTCACTCAAAAACAACTTCAGTAAAGAATTAGGTTGTAAAGAGTGACATCTAGGAAAACATGAAAGTTATTAAAAATTTTATGAAAATGGTATTGCTAGAATAACACTTGTGATCACACCTCATTCAAAGTTCGTATCTATCTAAGAAAAATACACAAATATTACTGTGCAAGAAATATAAAAAGCTTCAATCTTACTGAGAAAAATTGAACGTATCAAATAAAAGGCTACATGGGCACATGTATTTCAGTTACTTCTGCCTTTTGAAATTAAAAATATTTTGATTTTAAAATGATTCACATACTCTAAAATAGCAATAACAGAATAATGAAATATTCATAACACTCTATCATTACTTATAGTATGCCACGCTATGTACAAAGTTATAAAATGCAATAGAAAACGTGGCCAAATAAAAAAAAATTAGTCCATAAGCTATATACTGAATTGCATAGGCTTATTATTTGTAAGTAATTTGTAAATCACATTATTATGAAATGTCAGCTTTAAAATACAATGGAACTTTCATCATAAAGATAATAAGGAAATATTATTACTATAAAGGGATATACACAGAGCACAGATAGTGTATTAAATGGACCAAATATAGCAGCTCACGCTTATTGTATTCAAAGTATGAAGTAATGAGGTAGGATAATAAAGACTATGTTAATTTTGAACATTTTTGTATTTCTCACATAAAATAAAAAAATAGATTTTTGAATTGGACAGACCCTCTTAAATTATTGAAAGTAATTAATATTCTTTTTCCCACCAGAACAAAGTAAGAAACAATAAGCTTAAGAGATTTTACAGTGGTCATATGGCTAGTGACACAGGAAAGAACAGAAGCCAGGTGTCCAGACTCTCAGTCTAGAATTTTTATTACATTCTGGTGTCCCTCAGAGACTGCTTTCCCAACAAAATAAATAATTCTGGTTTGCGAATAGCAATAACACTAAATTCTTTTAAAAATCTACCAAGACTGTTAGGGATAGTTTACCATGTGACGTGATTCCCTTATGAGTCATTAGAGAAAAGTATGTGTGTGTGTGTGTGTGTGTGTGTGTGTGTGTGTGTGTGTGTGAAAGACAGAGAAAGAGAGAGGAACGGAGAGAGGGAGAGAGAACGCATTTTATGAAGAGACAGTGTTGGAAATGGCAATTTTTCTATTACTATTTCTATATTATTCCCTGACCTTTGCAAACTCCAAGAACATCTTTTTGCATTAAACTACAATTACAAAACAAAATTTACAAAAATATGAACAATTGTAATAACTTTCTTAAAAAGTTTTTAGTTTGCTATATCGAAGATGTAATGGAATCTAGATGGATACGTATTATTTATTTCTGATTAAGTATTTACTACTAAAACAAAAATTTCTAACTACATTTGGTTTCAATTACTTCCAGGAGGTAAATTTAATATTTTTTGGCAGAAAGCACACTCAGTAGAAGCAGCACCATACTATGACACAAACGTAAAACCAGATTTCAAGTTCTACCTTCTTGGTTACTAAGGCTTTGGGACAGTTTTTCACCATCCCTGAGCCATTTCCTCCATAAAATGTTGGTAGTGTCAAGAATTCTGAAGGGTCAGAGATTTTTATCCTTCTTGAAAGCTATCATGTCAGCCTGTCACATTTTCATAAAGACTGACAGTAGACACAAGACTCTTGAGTCAGACACAGAGAACTTTATTATTCATTGCATGAGCTTCATGTCCTCATAAGTTCTCCTTCTAACCCAAGAACGAATAAGATGATCCCAAAAGGCCCAGAGGATGCTGTTGTAGGTTTGTCTCATAACTGAGGATCCCACAACTTAGAAAACACCATCTTATAAAAGGTATTTCTGCTCAACATTTGCCCCAAAGAGAGACTTTATTTTGATTATACTGGTCTGCACACAAATCCGACTTTTTCCCTGGAGGGAGTCACTATCTGTCTCTCCTCCAAGGCTGTCTGCTTTAGAACATTCTTGAAAATATAAGGACAAAAGCTGTTCCAAGATATGTAGAAATGACAAGGAAAATTGCCCCACAACAGGTAATAGCACCATCTTGGTGAATACTGACAGCAATAATGTATAAACAATGGCACTTTAAAAAGTGAGAATTGCGGCCAGGCGCGGTGGCTCACGCCTGTAATCCGCCCGTAATCCCGGTACTTTGGGAGGCCGAGGCGGGAAGATCACGACGTCAGGAGATTGAGACCATCCTGGCTAACACGGTGAAACCCTGTCTCTACTAAAAAAACAAAAAATTAGCCAGGGGTGGTGGCGGGCGCCTGTAGTCCCAGCTACCCAGGAGGCTGAGGCAGGAGAATGGCGTGAACCCGGGAGGCGGAGGTTGCAGTGAGCCGAGATCACAACACTGCACTCCAGCCTGGGCGACAGAGCAAGGCTCTGTCTCAAAAAAAAAAAAAAAAAAAAAAAAAAAGGGAGAATTGCAATTTGTTATATAATATTATTTATCACCTCTATAAACTTTAAAAAAGCTTTCATATAATGACATGCTAAAAATTAAAAGCATCTAAAGGTGGTATAAAAGCCTAATTTATTAAGTAATTCTCAATAAAGCCTGACACCTTAAACATATGTGTTTTATTTACAAAATAAATAGATCAACAAGTAGTAGTTGACTGTCTTCAGCGCATCTACATCTTTGATAAAAAGACTCTGGAAGACACATAGTTCATCACAATCAGATATAAATGGACTCACAATGGTTCTAATTCTAAAAGGGGAAGCCAGTATCTTCATATACAACTATTTGTTCATAATCTTTTGTCATCTTTTTCAAAGTATGAAAGAGAAGACAGAAGTAAACATTATTTCTAATTGGTTGTGGAAAAAACAAAACAAACAAAAAAGAAAATAAATGTTTATATGTTAGAATAATATTGTAGGAAGAAAGAAGATATGAGAATACACAGTCTATCAGTAAAATGAATAAAACTAATATAACTAAGTCTCTAAAATGAAAATAATGATCTTACACACTCTTAGCAAATTCTTAAAGAATTATTTAATCTGACCTTAAAATTATCTGGATAAAAATCATATTGCCTTTGATGACCACAGTAAGTAAAGCATGAAATATTTCCCATTTGCTACAAGATACAGGCTTTTAACAATTCAGGAGTGTAAAAATATAAAAAAACTAAGATTGTATTATACAGTATAATCACTTTGGATCATGATAATGCATTCCATTAAAGATTTGCAATGGTGTTAAATCCCTTTAAAGATAGCATATATTGGCAAAGAGCAGGTGTGGAACATTTGGGAAAGCAAGACAGAAAGTATTAAAGTGCAGCAATAAATCATGAAACTTGTACATCTGAAAAATTGAATTGCTGTCCTCAGAGTGTGAAGTATAATAAACAGAAGTGCTATCTAACAGTAATAATTTGAAATTGAAACACAATAATAGATAATATTCACAAGTTATGTGAAATAAGATTTCCAGAGTTATGAATAAATATGGTAGTTATATAAAAATGACTAAGCTAAAACTGGAATAGGTTTGGAAATTCTATGTATGTTTAAATAACATTATTTTACAAAGAGTCATAAATGTATTATATTAATTTTATTAATATTACTCTAAATTCACTATTATAATGGTTAATGTAACGTGTCAACTTCACCGAACCAAGGGGTGCCCAAATATTTGGGTGCCCAATATTTGGTTAACATTGCCCAAATATTTTCGGTAAACATTATTTCTGGGTATGCCCGTGATGGTGTTTCTCAATTAGATTAACATTTAAATTGGTACACAGATATCCCTCCTCAATATGAGTGGGTATCATTCAAAATGTTAATAGCCTAAATGGAACAAAAAAGAGAAGGAAGGGAGGACTGGTTCAATCTGCCTGACTGCTTGAGCTGAGACCTCATGACTTCAGATTCAGACTTACACCACCAAGTGCTCCAGGTTCTCTGGCTTTTGGACTTGAGACAGAGTGGTTCACCTTGTTTTCAGGCCTGTGGATGAGGACTTGAACTACACCACTGGCTTTCCTAGGTTTCCGGCTCACAGATGTCAGATTGTGGAACTTTTCAGCCCCCTTAATAGTGTGAGACAACTCCTTATAATAAAGGTATTTATATATATGCACATATATGTTACTGTTTCTGTTACTCTACAGAACCCTGAGTAATATAAGCATATTCAGTCCTTTTAGATACTATTGTTAAACTTCATTAATAAATCTGTTTCCAAAGTCACATTTATGTTATTGATTAATCTAAAATTTAGTTCCTTGACCAAAACGTATTTACTTTTCTATATTTAATCATGCTAATGGCAATATATAACCTAGAGCAAAATAAAAGAAACTACATCTAGTTAATACAAAAGTTACAATTGCCTTATTTATTAATAGATATACAGCTTTGTTAATTGCTTCTTATATACCAGAGCTAGTGGGAGTGGGACCACAAGTGGAGAGTAGAACAAAATATGAAGAAAAGAGTTTTTGGGCGAACAAGCTACAAACAGTAATATTGAAGTTTAGGGAGAAAAGAGTTTCCAAGAAGACAAACAGATAAAAGTAATAAAATGTTGCAAGGAAGGCAAGTAGGGAGATGTTTAGGGGTCTAATTTATGTATTTGGGGTTAATTCCAAATGACAAGGTCTAAATGAATGAATGAAAAGGAATGGAAATAGGTAGTTAATGACATTTCTATGCCATTCAAAGTTGCTCAGAAGAAATAGCTTTGGGTCATCCCTCACTGCTTTTGTTCTCATACTCTATTCAATTTAAGAAAATATTGTCACATCTGCCTTCAAAATAAATTCAAAATACAACCACTTTTCACTATCTGGACTGTTAATAACCTGTACTAATTCACCATTGCCTTTGCCCAGATTAAAGTAATACACTGCTATTCAGTACCCTTGCTTTGAGAGTTTCACCCCCTAGATACACTTCTTAACCCAGGTTCCAAAATATTACTGTTAATAAATAACCCAGATACTGTCACTCCTCTGCTAAGTCTCTTAATGCTTCATATTTTCACTTTGAGTCAAATTCCCCTCCTTACTATGGTGGACAGATAGCCCAATGTATGGTCCTCCAATTACTTACGCTTTTTTCTTTGTCCTGCCTGAGAAAACACACATAATAGCCTAACCATTCAGTGATCCAGCGAGCTGCATGTTTTTAACTACAGGCTTGAACCCAACCCAGGGCCTTGAACATTCTCAGGCACAGATAAAGTTGTTTAGGTTTTTTGCCCGAAACACTGAAATATCAACCAGGTTGCTAAACAAGTATAAATGAGCCCCTGCCCTGAGACAAAATCATTAAACCTTTTATAACTTCCGTTCTTTTAAGTAACAACCCTTTCCTTCCAGATATACTGGAGTACAACGTCACTTTTCTTACGTCTGTCATGAGGAAGCTGAAGCCCTCTGTATGATGTCAAGTTTCCCTAATAAATGCTTTAAACTGATGAACCTGGCGTTTAGTGCTTTTTTGGAATCAAAACTGGCCCATCTCCAGACAATTTGGGGCAGTCCCTTGCAGAAACTCCCTCGCTACTGCTTTTAGGGTGACTCCAGTCACGTGCTTGGACAATCAGAACATTTAAGTCATGCTCCTCAGTCTCCATTACCTCTGAGACCTCATCTCCTATTAATTTCCTGCTTATTCTAGCCATTCTGACCTCCTCAGCCAACGCAAAATATCCCTAAATTCATGCCTCATATCCGCAATAGAATATAAGCTCCATGAGGGCATGAATATTTATGCTATCTCTATATTATCTATAATCATTCCTGTTAATGAGTACAAACTTTAAAAATATTTTTTGGATGAAAGGAGGAAGAAAAGAAGGAAAGAAAAATGGAGGGAAGGATTAACGGATGAGGAATAGAATTAGGAAAAAGAGAGAAATGATAGGGAAATTGCTTAATAGAGAAACATGTATCTACAGGGATCCAGTTGTTATAGCACAAAATTTCTATTGCTCATGTTGTAAGGTCATATTTATATCCACTTAATTGGCAAATACTTTTACATTTTAAGTTCTGTCTTCTAAGTCTCCTGACCAACTTGTTAAAATATTTCCCTTTTTCTTGATCAAGCTTATGGATAAGATTAACTTTGTATAATTTAACATCTAGAAACCACCCGCTGCAGGTACCTAACTTTTAATATATCTGAAAATACATATCCAACAACTATGCATTACATACTTATTAAGTTGTGTCAGGTATTTTGATATTTTAGAAATAAGTCAAGAAAAAATGATTTTCTAAAGGATCTTATAATATTATAATAGGAGAACAAGATATGCACACATACATCAAGGTAGAATACAACAAACAATGTACAAATTAAGGTAAAGAAACAATTAAATTCCAGCAAAGATGAGATTAGGGGTTTCTAAACAAAGAGAAACAAGGGCATAATATTCTCACAAATATCTTATTCTCAAACAAAGCACTTGTGGATTTGGGGACAGCTTGAAAATTATGTAACTGTGGAACTAGCACAACATTTTTAGGAAGTCCAAATACGATAACAAGATAATTTTCAGTAGTCTGTTATTCTCAGAGAAGACTGTTTAAATCAAGCGTAAAAATACATCTAATAAATAGATTTTTCAAGATAACCTTATAATGTTAAATGTAAATTAGGTGATAAACCTAGGAATGTACTACATATGCATTTACAGGTTATGTCTACATTAGTGAACCAATATATACAATATTAGTTATCCTTAAGGGTATTTTACTCCCAGTATTGGCTGAGCGTGGTGGCTCACACCTGTAATCCCAGCACTTTGGGAGGCTGAGATGGGAGGATCACCTGAGGCCATGAGTTTGAGACCAGCCTGGCCAACATGGTGAAACCCTGTCTCTACTAAAAATACAAAAAAATTAGCCAGGCGTGGTAGCACATGCCTATAGAGCCACCTACTTGGGGTCCTGAGGCAGGAGAATCGCTTTAACTTGGGAGGTGGAGGGTACAGTGAGCCTAGATTCCACCACTGTACTCCAGCCTCGGTGAGAGAGCAAGACTCTGTCTCAAAACAATAAAATAAAATAAAATAAATTTTAAAAATGTATTTTATTCCCAGTATACATGCACATAAATAGGACACAACTGGAACGGTAAACTAATGTGATTTCCACAATATCTTGATAACGTTACTATGAAGTTAGAAATTCAAATTTATTTACTGTCCATAGAGAATTAAATTTGATTGCATAGGTCATTCTGCCCATAGTGTCATGAAGTAGCCCAGTTTAGAAGAAGAAAACCTGAGGTCAGAAAAAAGGGAGCAGGCAAGGATATCTTCTAACAAGTTCAGGAGGAGCCTGAGCCTTGGAAAAATCCCTAAAAATAAGCATGTTGAAAGTTGAATCCTTATGGAGTTTTTGCAGCTAAGCCTTAAAGCCATTCATGAAAACAAACAAACAAAATAAACAAACAAAAAACTTGGGTTTGAATGAAGAATGTGATGGTGAAGATGTGATGGTAATTTTTTGAAATGACATTTCTTTAATAAATATGATACTGCTATTTGTGCACTTCACTATTACCGTAGGGTGACTTGTAACCACAATAAGTGAGAAGAGCAATACCTACTTCTCTCTGATTTTATAATAATCAAGCATAAAAATAAGATACATGGTATGTTAAGCCAATTGTGATCTTCCATATAAGTAATTTATGGTGAATGTAAAATTAAAATAGGATTATTTTAAAACTGAAAATGGAATCTAAAGTGCATAATGCAAAGACTAGAGGATTTTAAAGATATATTAGTAAAGTTATGACTAATCAAGAGTGGAGTAGAGTTGAATGATTTTTTTTCCATATTAAACAGTTGTGTTGTTTTCTTCAAGTTATTCTTGAGATGCTATTTATCTTTGAAGCAAAGAGATAGGCTAGCTAATTTCTCTTTTAGCTTCTTTTTTTCTGAAAAAATAATAAGACATTGAAACAATTCTGGCTTCTACAATGGTTAGCTACCACTCCTTTAAAATGTGACAATCATTTTGTCATAACAATACTCATTTAAGAATAAAGACTTATAACCACTGTTACTAATCAATCTATACCTGTAAATCAATCCATATCTGCAAATTATCTGCTTTGGTACTGATGTAATATATGTAGAAAAAAATTACCATAAATTCGATTAAATTTAAATGTAGAGTTCCTACAACCTAATTTGTTGCCTAGAAACAAAATCTTTTGATATGCATTGGTGAATTGCTAAATTTACTTTGTACATGCAGAATATATTTTTAACACACTACTGCCCATTTAATGAGAAAATATGTAATGCAATGGGAAATATGTGTTTTCTGTAAGAAATTCTCTTTTATGAAGGTAAGGAAAGGGAAAAAATAGGAAAAACTATTTTGTTCTATGTAGTAAAATATAATTTTGGTTTGTATTAAGCAATGGAAACACTTCACTCAGATCTATGTTATCAAAATTGCTCAAATGTACTATATAAGCTTTGATACTCAATAGTAACTTGTTAATTAAAAAAGTGACATTGTGGTTGAAATTCCCTCATATTTGAACTAAAATCAATGTTTAAATAAGTCAACTTTTTATAAGGCAAAGGAATATGAAACAAATATTTTTAGGTAAAAACTGAAAATATTTTAGCAGAGATTCATTAGCACATAAGTAGCAAAAAAAGAATGTCATCAGCTTAAACTTTTGTAGTTAATATAGAAAAAATAATTAATTATATATTATATTTCAGTCATATATTATCCCATTTAAATAAAATAAATTATAAAAGTAAATTTCATATGAATATTTTAATAATCGAGTTTTACAGTACTATTCAATGTTTGCATATTTCCAAATTCTGCACAAAGAATGTTTTAATTTTTAAATTTGATGAAAAATCATGTGTTTCATAAAACCATAACTTTGTTATATAAGATCTATTGAAATATCATACAGGAAAAAAAATTAAGATGGTATTTAGCACTTTAAGTACTAAATAATTTTTGCCATCAAAATTTATCAATTGCATTTAAATGCTTGTTAATTCATCACCTATTCCTCTTTCTTTTTATTGAAAGATGTATTTAAGTATTACTGAAAACCATGCAACCACATCAGTGTCAATGATGATGATTATTTTGGGGGGAAATACGTTTTTTTTTTCTTTTTTTTTTTTTGAGATGGAGTCTTGCTCTGTTGCCCAGGCTGGAGTGTGTCACGATCTTGGCTCACTGCAAGCTCCACCTCCCGGGTTCACGCCATTCTCCTGCCTTAGCCTCCTGAGTAGCTGGGACTACAGGCGCCCGCCACCACGCCCGCTAATGTTTTGTATTTTTAGTAGAGACAGGGTTTCACCGTGTTAGCCAGGATGGTCTCGATCTCCTGACCTCATATTCCACCCGCCTCGGCCTCCCAAAGTGCTGGGATTACAAGCGTGAGCCACCGCACCTGGCTATTTTTTGGGGAAATATGAAAAATTTATTCAGACTCAATATATAACATTGACATTATATATACAATGGCAATTTCATGCCTAAACCAACATTTATTCTAGTTTTTATTTTATATAAGATCTAGATAAGATTAGAGGTTTCCTTTTTTTTTTTTTTTTAACTACTCAAAACAATAAATGAGGATTTCCCTCAGGCCAAGATGAAGTAAAAGATATTTAATTTATTTATTTATTATTTATTCATTTATTTTTTGAGATGGAGTTTCGCTCTTGTTGCCCAGGATGGAGTGCAATGGCACGTTCTCAGCTGACCACAACCTCCGCCTCCTGGGTTCAAGCGATTCTCCTGCCTCAGCCTCCCGAGTAGCTGAGATCACAGGCATGTTCCATAACACCCAGCTAATTTTGTATTTTTAGTAGAGACGGGGTTTCTCCATGTTGGTCAGGCTAGTCTTGAACTCCCGACCTCTGGTAAACTGCCTACCTCGGCCTCCCAAAGTGCTGGGATTACAGGCGTGAGCCACTGCGCCTGGCCCGAGATTGAATTTATAAAGTAACCAAAACAATCAGACAGTATGTAAGAAATAACTTTCGGCCGGGCGTGGTGGCTCAGGCCTGTAATCCCAGCACTTTGGGAGGCCGAGATGGGAGGATCACGAGGTCAGGAGATCGAGACCATCCCGGCTAACACGGTGAAACCCCGTCTGTACTAAAAATACAAAAAATTAGCCAGGCGTGGTGGCGGGCTCCTGTAGTCCCAGCTACTCGGGAGGCTGAGGCAGGAGAAAGGTGTGAACCCGGGAGGCGGAGCTTGCAGTGAGCCGAGATCTCGCCACTGCATTCCAGCCTGGGTGACAGAGCGAGACTCCGTCTCAAAAAAAAAAAAAACAAAAAACAAAAAACAAAAAAAAAAACAAAACCAAAAAAAAAAAAAAAAAGAAATAACTTTCTTCCAGACACATGAGATTTAGGGACTGAAGGACAGTGATCTCTGGGAGATGGAAAACAAATGAGTTAGATCTATGAATGCATCAATTATTGCCTTGGAGAGTTTCCAGGCTGCAGCACAGGAAAAGCAAACCCAGACAGAGCTCAGCAAACTTCCTTTATTGAGAAGAAAGAACTGTGAGACTGGGATTATGATGCAGTTTCCAAGAGAGGATCAGAGACAACGGAATTTCACAGAGAAAGGACCCCAATATTTGCAACAGGGTCTCCTAAAGTATTCAGCAAAGTACTGATCAGTCCAGGAATTTCAGGCAACTAACCAAGGAAGAGAAAATAACTATCTGAACAAAATTAAAAAGCTTAATACCTGGTATCACATCTACATGCAATAGAGTGACTACTTTTAGTAGCTAGACTTGAAATCTCATAATTCACAAGGCACCTACACATATAATGTTCACAATAGATTTGCCTTAGTGTTGGAGAATAATTTGCCCAAGATTGAACATTGCTCTAATGTGCCCAACAGACTTTAAAAGATGGTAAATGATGAAACAATTTCCAAGTAACTAAAGTACTTCTAATAAGAAAGCACAAAAATGTTATAGGATTAAAAATGTCAGGCAAACAACAACATAAAATTCACACTGTCTAACATTCATTCAATAAACACATTACATAGAAAAAAAAGCAATAAAAACCGTAATGAAGGAAAATATATCAATCAAAATTGACTCTGAAATAAAATGTTAGGATGAGAAAGCACATGTATTAAGCAGTTATTATTGTTGTATTTCAGATGTCCAATAAGTGAAAAGATATAGAGGATATACAATTATTATATTAGAATGTAAAAGCTGAAAAATGCACAAAATAAGATTAGCAGTCGATTGCAGTTTTAAGTAAAAAGGATCAATGTCTTGAAGACACAGTAATAGAAACCACCCAAAATGAAATATACAGAGAAGAAATAATTTAAAATAATGAAAAAGTATAAATGAGCTTGGGAACAACTTCAACAGCCCTAATAAAATTTTAAGTAGGATCTCCAAAACAGGAGTGAGAGAACAAAAAAAAATGACTTCCAGAAATAATGAGTAAAAATGGCCAGACTTTATAAAGCTATTACTCCACAGGTCTTAGCCAGCAAAAAAAATGAACTGAAACAATAAAAAAAAAAATTACTCAATTTGTCCAAAAAAAAAGGCAAAAAAAAAAAAATCCAAGCACAAGATGGGCAAAGACTTCATGACTAAAATACCAAAAGCAATGGCAACAAAAGCCAAAATAGACAAATGGGATCTAATTAAACTAAAGAGCTTCTGCACAGCAAAAGAAACTATCAGCAGAGTTAATAGGCAACCTACAGAATGGGAGAAAATTTTTGAAATCTATCCATCTGACAAAGGGCTAATATCCAGAATCTACAAAGAACTGAAACAATACAAGAAAAAAAACAAACAACCCCATCAAAAAGTGGACGAAGGATATTAACAGACACTTCTCAGAAGAAGACATTTATGCAGCCAACAAACTTATGAAAAAATGCTCATCATCACTGGTCATCAGATAAATGCAAATCAAAACCACAATGAGATACCATCTCACACCAATTAGAATGGCGATCATTAAAAAGTCAGGAAACAACAGATGCTGGAGAGGATGTGAAGAAACAGGAACACTTTTACACTCATTATGGGAGTGTAAATTAGTTCAACCATTGTGGAAGACAGTGTGGCTACTCCCCAAGGATCTAGAACAAGAAATACCATTTGACCCAGCAATCCCATTACTGGGTATATACCCAAAGGATTATAAATCATTCCACTGTAAAGACACATGCACAGTATGTTTATTGCAGCACTGTTCACAATAGAAAAGTCTTGGAATCAACCCAAATTCCAACCAGTGATAGACTAGATAAAGAAAATGTGGCACACATACACCATGGAATACTATGCAGCCATAAAAAAGGATGAGTTTGTGTCCTCTGCAGGGACATGAATGAAACTGGAAACCATCATTCTCAGCAAAGTAACACAAGAAGAGAAAACCAAACACTGCATGTTGTCACTCATAAGTGGGAGTTGAACAATAAGAACACATGTACACAGGGAGGGGAACATCACAGACTGGGGGTGGGGGCTGGGGGAGGGATAGCATTAGGAGAAATATCTAATGTAAATGACAAGTTGATGAGTGCAGCAAACCAACATGGCACATGTAGACCTATGTAACAAACCTGCACATGTACCCCAGAACTTAAACTATAATAAAAAAATAAAAAAGAATACGGTGCTCAGGTACATTATAAACATATTTCTCAAAACTAGTGATAGAGAAACTTTTTTAAAAGCCAGAGAAAAACAGCACATTGCATACAGAAGACCACTTGTGTTATAAATGACAGCAGATTTCTTGTCAAAACTATGTAAGGCAGAAGACAGTGGAGCAAGATCTTTAAAATACTGACAGAAAAGTCAACCTAGAGTTCTATAACCATTTAAAATATATCTTAAAAACAAAGACAAAATTAAGAGTTCTTCAGACACAGAAAGGCTGAAAGAATTCACCACTGGCAGACTCATCACACTCCAAGATATGCTGAAAAAAAAGTACTTCAGGCATAAGGAATATTATAACAAATGGAAATACAGATATACATAAAGGAATAAGGAGGAGTAGAAAGGGTAACATGATGGAGTATATGTAAGATTTTTCTTATACATATGTTATGACTTTTACAATGCACATTTTATTTTAGTTCATACAACTAATTATTTTTTTAAAAAACAATTAAAATGTAACAATAAAAAACCACTCCAATAGTCAAAAAGAAGGCAGAAAAAAAGGAAAAGGGAAATAAACAACAAAGAGGACAAATGAAAACTACAAAGCAGGGTGATAAACCTAAATGTAATTATATGAGTAATCACACTAAATACAAGTGTTCTAAATACCTTGATTCAGAGGCAAAGATTGTCAAATTTGATTTGAAAAGCAAGGCCAAATATGTGCTGCCAAGAAGAAATATACTTTAAATAGAAAGACATAAATAAGTTAAAAGTAAAAGAATAATAAAATATATGCTATGAATACTAATCAAAAGAAAGTTGGAATGACTGTATTAATAATAGAAAAAAGGTTATTTCAGAGCAAAGAAAAACTGAGATAAAAAAGGTGATTTCATAACTATAAAGTGGCCAATTAAGATTACACAGCAATTCAATCTTAAACTGTTTCACTTAGGAACAAATGTTCAAAATACATGAAGCAAAAACTGCTAAAACTGCAAGCATAAAGAGGAAAATTCACAATTATAGTTGGAGATTTAAATATCCATCTTTCAATTAGATAAAATATCAGCAAGCATATGAAAAACTCTAACTCAACCAACTTTATATAATTTCACATTTATAGAATACCCTACCAAACAACAGCATGCTGTACATTCTTTCAAGTACACATGAATTATGTATAAAGATACACCATATTCTGGGTCATAAAAATGTCTCAATAAATTAGAATAAATTCAAGTCATAGAAAGTATGTTCTCATTCCACAATAAAATTAAATAACCATTCAAATAAAGAAAGATATTTGAAAAATTCCTAAATATTGGAAACACATATCTAAATAGCTCATGAGTCAAAAAAAAAAATCAAAGGTGAATTACAAATGTTTCCAATGTGGCTAGAGCAGTATTTAGGGAAATTTTATAGCATTAATGGCCTAGATTAGTAATTTTTTAGAAAGGGTCTGAACCAAATGACTTCAACCTCCCCCTTAAGAAACCAGAAAAAGCGAAAAAAAAAAAAAGAAACTCGAATTAAACAGAAGATAGGAAATAATACAGATCAGCATAGAAATCAATAAAATAGATAATAGAAAAAACAACAAACAAAAGTTAGTGATGCAAGAAAATTAATGCAACTGTTAAACTTTTAATCATACTGATCAGAAAAAAATAAAAATATTTGATCATTATCAAGAAATATGTAGTAATATTACTCAGATTCTATAGATTTTAAATGTATAACTAGGGAATATTAAGAACAAATTTATGCCAACAAATTTAACAAGTTTGATGAAATGAATTAACTCTTTTAAAGAAACAAAATATGAAAGCACACTCATAGGCAGACAACCTGAATATCCCTATATCTAACAAAGCACATACTGTAAAAAATCATTTATGTAAAATTCTAGAAAATGAAAACCAATCTATCAATAAAAAGTCGATCAGTGTTTAACTGGAAACATGCAATTGTAGCAGGGAGGGATGAAAGAGTGAAATTAACAGGGAGCCTAGGGAAGCATTTGAGGATGATGGATATGTTTACTATCTTGATTGTATGATGGATGGATTCATGGTTGTATTATATGTAATATATTGCAAGTTATCTCAATTGTGCTATTTCTTCTCTGTTTTTTCTTCCTCTTTTGACAACAGCCAGGTGTGAACTGGGAGAAGCAGCAGCTACTCCACTTTCTTTGGTATTTGGGATCCAGCCATTAGATGAGTTTACCACTCCATCTTTGCTTGCTCGTGCCTAGAATAATCACACTACAATTCCATATCCAATCATAAAAGATTAAATGGTCAGGTCATTTTGAGAGAACACCTCTAGTTCTCATGAAACTATCAACATGATACACACAGAGAAACTGGTTGAAGAGGCTGGAATTAATTTCTGAATCCTTATGTCACTCTATCAATTTCCTAGCCTTAATTTCTTTTCTGACCTGCTCTTCAGGACTTAAGATAACTGTTTTTGTTGTTGTTGTTGTTGTTGTTGTTGTTACAGTTGTTTTTTAAAGGATTATGTGTTAGTTTATTTTTGACGGTATAACAGAATATCTAAGAACAGGTAATTTACAATGAAAATAAATTTACTGGCTCACAGTTCTGGAGGCTAGGAAGTCCAATATCAAGATGCTGGCATCTGGTGAGAGCCTTCCTGCTGAGTCATCACATGGCAGACAACAAGAGGGCAAGAAAGGGCAAGAAAGAGCAAGAAGGGTCCAAAGTCTCCTTTTTATAATGGCAGTGATCACACCCATGAAGATGAAGCCCAGATGACCTAATCACCTCTTAAGGGTCTCACTTCTTAACGCTGTCACAGTGACAAATAAATGTCAACATGAGTTTTGGAGGGGACAAATATTCAAACCATGCAAAGTAGTATGAGCAATATAAAAATTTTTTCTTTAGTCAGTTGTTTTTCAATCGAAATAAAATATTTTCTTTCATGTAAACTAAAATATATTTTGTTAAATGTTAGTGAAGAATATACTCAAAATTATACGTATGTAATTTTTAGACATTAATAATTGGACTTGATATATTATTCATAATTATTATATTTAATTAAGGAAGAACTTTTTCACCTATTTACTCATTCACTCATTCAGGATTACTTTCCAAAAGGAATTTATATTTAGATATGAAAAGGGAGTTAAAGTTACTCATTTTTTCTAGAAAATTTATATAGCATTACCTAATATGTGTTAGATAATTTGCTGAATGATATGAATGTAAAGATTAGAGATGTAAACCCTGACATTGTGTACACTAACATGATATGATATAATGTAGTAAATCCTAAAACCGAAAAATGTACAAAGTGTTGGGGAGCATAGTAGATTAAGAATGGTATATGAGAAAAGGGAAAGGAAAGAGGCATTTTAAGAAGAGACTCAGTGTGTAATATGGTGGACTTAGGGAGCCATGAGTGGTTTAGCATTATTATAATATAGGCCATAAACACCAAAGATGCAAGGGGAAACACATGGACCCATCCTGTGGAGATATAAGAACACTTTGTAAAGAGGCAAAATGTATGCATATGTCATTTCTAAGAAATTATAAAAAATACAAATGCTATATTTTGTCCAGATTTTCCAGTCATGACATGGTATGAATTTATACCAGGGAACTAGAATAAAAAATACCAAAATCATACATTCCATAAATAGAATCAAACATCCAACCTTATAGTGTATATTATCCTGAACTATATTTGGAAGTTGGTTACTGTAATTTGAATGAGTTATCATCTTCTTAAAATACTATGCAATCAAATGGGAGCACCACTCAATTTATTGGTACCTCTTATTAAAGTTCATTTTAACAAATCAGTGACAGTAATGTTGGTCAAAGAGTGACAGTCTGATTAAGGCAATGTATTTCTTTAGGATTTGATTGATGGAATTCTTTGTTTAAATGATGGTAAACAGGTAAATACACCTCTATGATAAAATATACAGGACCTCAATAAACAGGTTCTTTATAAAGCTGGAAACATACAAATTACATTGGGCTGAAGGACAAAAGCAGAAAGTCTTTTCTCTAATGCACTGTGCCTTGTAGTTTATGACTGTCTAGTATGGTAGGGGTTTAGCAAAAGTAAATCTCCATAACTGCCAGTCAAACAATGACAGTTAATAGAAGTTTTACCCAGTGTCATGAAGGTAATAATTAACAATTTATAGCAAAAAGGAAAAGCATGATAATAAAAAAGTCAGCAGCTAATAAAGAAAAAGAATGAAGTAGCTGCATGAACACTGTACCCAGGCAATCATCATAAATAAACCAATAGAGTAACTATCCCTTTAACAAAGCATCTCCGTATCAGAGAATCAGACTGCAGAAGCTGGAGAAGGCCCGTACTTCATCATTCATTCTACCTCACTAGACTCCAACTCCATGCCCTCCTGACCAAGGAGGTAATTGGTACTTAGATTTTATAATTTAATGCTTCGTTAAGGAGGTTCTACTATGTCAGAGTGTGATTTTTTTCATTTCTACTAAGCAAAACGCAATTCTGAAAGATTATCTGAGACACATGCAAATAAAGATACATGGACATAAAAAATGTGAGATTGATCTTTCACATAAGTAAACCAATTTTCAGCTATTGAATATAATTTTAAGTTATAATGAATTTCATGCTACCAAAACATTTGTCCTATATTTCATCAAAAAAGACAGATTTTCTCATGACCAAGGCCACTTAAGTTAGGCAACAAGATAAGCCAATTACTAGCCACAATAATCTGATACCTAGATAGATGATAGATAGATAGATAGATAGATAGATAGATAGATAGATAGACAGATAGTGATAGAACATAATATCACTATGTAGTATAAACATACCCTCATATATCTTGTCTCATTTAAGCAAAATAACCAATTTGATAATATCTATTATCTTCCAGGCTACCTTACATATACAATCTCATTGAATTCTAACAGCATCAGTGGCTCGAATACTGAGGCAGAATTTAGTTTTTGTTTTTTTGTTTGTTTGTTTGTTTCAGGTCCAGTGATCCTACATGAAACCCTATTCCTTTTCTTGAAATCATGATGATCCCTAGAAAGAAAGACAGGACTCAAGGGCACCTATTAGAATGTATCTAATACATTCAAATTAATTGCATTATTCTGATTATATATTTGCTTTGGAAGGTACATTTTGCTACAGCATGAAGGGATGTGTAAGGTCATTCCTTGAAACCAAAGGAGAAATTTCTATAAAAGTTTAATGAAAATCTGTAGAAAGCTGATTGAAGTCAATTTGCTAAAATTTGTGAGCAATACTGTTCTGATGAAAAAACTCAAAACAAAATCTTCTTTCTCTCTTTTAAAATAAATTATTTCTCTGTTTTGGCAGTAAAAATGTTGGAAGCCGAGAGGCTCAAAAATTATTATTTCTGTCTCTCCTGCTCCCATTCTAAATTACTTAAAAAATAAGTCAAAGAGAAATCTTTAAAGTTGATTAAGAAGAACTTTGTTTATATATGCCAGCAATTATTTTTACTAAGTCCGAACCCCAGAATATGATAAAGTTTTACAACTAGATTTCCCCAAGATTGGCCTGAGCCAGTCATGCCCAAATATTCCTTCCATGTTCACAAATCAAGACAGTCATGATGCACCTAAGGCAAAGAGTGAATGAGAGAGTGAGGAGAGGATAAAGATACATAAACTGATGTCCTTTAATCCTGAAAGAAATATCATGAGTGGGAAATAAGGAATCAATGTGGCTAAACATTAAAAGACTCTGAACTCAATGGAAATTCCTAATAAAATATAAATAATTTTAGATTTTTAAATGTGTGTAATTTGCAAAAATTATATTAATTCATTATTTTTCTGATTAACTTTTTTGCAGTTGGTGCATCTCATGATTAAATATCTACTTTTTCTGATGCACTTAAGGATGTCATCTAAAACAGATACTTTCCACTCAATAGTGAGTATAATTTAAATAATTATTAAATAGAAAAATTTTGATCTATATACACATTTTATTGAATATGGGCCTTTTATTATCTCATATTTTAAATTGAGCTGTGTCTTCAATTCAGGAAAATGTACTGATAACAAAGAAGATGGTTCTAAATATATCATATATATCATATATTCATATATATATATTATATATATGATATATATAATATATATATATATATATATATATATTCATCCATTCAGTATTTTCAACTGGGGAGAGATTTGTAAGAAAGACCTGAGATGGTCTCAATGCCTTTTCCTCTTTTGCATCAATTATATTATTGATGAAGAAGTATTATATCCCTCAAATGCTGTGAGGTAAGATTTTTTTTTTAAAAAAGGAAAATTACTGCTTAATTGAATAAGATTCCAGAAAACAAGTATATCACCAATTTTGAGTAGAATGTTCCAGAAAC
Organism: Homo sapiens; assembly: GCF_000001405.40. Lineage (NCBI taxonomy): Eukaryota > Metazoa > Chordata > Mammalia > Primates > Hominidae > Homo > Homo sapiens. The sequence continues at coordinate 72,144,168 of NC_000001.11, forward strand.
ATACAAGATCTTTATGTTCATTCTAAATTACTTAAAACATATAGGTCTTGCAGGCACTCCCAATCATTCGTTCATTCACTTTCTAAACAGATAGTTATTGATTAGCCAGGTTTGTACTAGACTATGGGTATACATAAGGGGATATAATAGTGAGTGAAAAAACATAATTATCTAATATTATCATAATTTTCCAATGCTATTTGCCTTTGAGGTGTATTCTACTAATGTAAAGAGGATGCAATCATAAAACTATAAGAAACACTGTTAAAAACAGATAACAAACTACATATATGCACATAAACTGTAAATGCTATGGGATATGAATTTAATTCAGGACATATAATTAATATGTGCATGGAGCATACATTCATGATTAGAGAGACATATATTTTACGTGTGAAGAAGCAAAACAACATTGTAGAGTTTCACCATTGATGTTCCTTAAATGTCCACCATTTATAGCTAAGCTGTTTAGATTTTGAACACTTTTCCCAAAGACACAATCTCACTTCTCTAATGAATGTCCAAATTTCAGAGACAAGAAAGAAGGAAGTGTAGTGTGGAACAGGGTCTAGTGGAACTCCATACTTCAAAGGGAGAAATCTGTCTTCTTTTGAAATATCTTCTTGCTTCCCTGACTGTACCCCCATGTATCTTAAAACCAACATAAAGATTTTTCTCTGATTTCCTTGCAATATCTCTCCCTTTAGAAAATTACAAGAGGAGATTTGATCTTGGTCTTTCATCCAAATATAGATATGCAACTCAGTCTCCAGGGCTTGCATTGTCCTTCCATATTCTGGATACCTTACCTATGTACTTGCAACAGAAACCCTTGTTAAAAGCATGTCAGTCATGCAGTTGTCAGATTTAACAAGGAACTGTTTGGAAGACATCTGAAGTATTTCCTTAATAATAATGAATCTGGAGTTTTATAAAGAGTGAGGTTTTAAAAAAATGTCTACCTGGCCCTCAAAGGGAAAAAAATTCAGTGAAATTACATACTATAAGACCTCCTTAAATATCTGGGATAAGATAACACTAATACATGTCAATTATCTGAATAGTAAGTAGAAAGATATGCTCAAAAAATGCATCCTCAGAGTCAACTATCATTTCTATTGTGTGTGTTCTTCTGACTTCATTAAAGTATTCCCATGTAGTTTTATTTTTATTCCAAGTACATTAATCATTTAGAGTTTACTTCAAGTGAATTGAGTTGTTGAACAGCATTTTTGTTACTTGTGAACACTAAATGTAATAGCAGAAAATAGAGTTTGCAAGATGGTGTGAAACAGAATTTTGTTTAGGGCACTGAAGCAATCATGTGCAAACTTAAAGTTGACAAGTGAATGTGCATGCATCTTGCTTTTCTACATTGTTTTTGTCCACTCGATGAAATGGGTTGTTTTGGTGTTAAGTATGGTTGGACTAGGGGGTAGAGATTGCATTTTTGCCCCTCCATAGGTAAGCGGCATTTAGTTGTATAAGACACATCTCACAAGACAGTTGATATCCTAGGATAATTGTTTTGACACTGTTTCTCTGAATGATTCCACTCCAATCTTTATCTCTACCTTCATTATTTTTCCTTATTTTCTTTACTCAGAATTATCATAAAGCAATACTACTAACATGTCATTCTACTGATTTTCTTAAAATATTTTTTTCTTGGTGATTGACACTCCAATTAGGGCTTCTTTTTACTAACTCCATCCATATGGAAGAACTCCATCTGCTGTGACCTATTGTTTTGGATATGAATTACATACCTTATAGTTTTTCTTTAAAAGTTAAAGGACATTATTGAGCAGCATTCTCAGAGTTTCCTCTGTTTTCACATGCTGTGTATTTCTCTCCTCTTTTCTTTTGGCTGTTGTGGTGGTGGGGCAGGGGGAGTGAGATGTCTTCACAATACTATGTTTTCACTATACTATATTTTTGGGCAAAAGCACGTTCTTTCACTGTGTCAATAGCAACACAGGTTGAGCCTCTTCAATTCAAAAGTTAAAATCTGAAATGCCCCAAATGCACTGAAATAATGCCACAAGTGTACAATAACTTTTTAATTAAACACAACATCTTAAGTGGAGCCAGAAAGCCTGCCATCGTCTGTTGTTGTTTAAGAGCGATGCAGGTATTCTGGTGATGCTGCTGTGCTGCTCCATTACCCTGAACACATTATTTTTCACTCTATTAATGCCATGTCATACTTTTTTTACTGGTAAGTACTCTATATGAGTAAGTGTAAGAAAATGATTTCTTCTCCGTAGCTTGTAAATTTAGAGTTAGAAATGATGGTGATGCCAACCAACCACAGATTGCACACATGGGTGGCTGGATGATGACACCTTCACTTTGCAATGGTCCCATATATACAAACTTTGTTTCATGCACAAGTTTTTTTTTAATATTGTGTAAAATTATCTCCAGGCCATATTTATAAGATATACATGAAACATAAATAAATTTTGTGTTTAGACTTGGGTTCCATCCCCAAGATATCTCTTTACATATATGCAAATATACAAAAATCTGAAAAGAATCAAATTCAGATACATTTCAGGTCTTAAGTATGTTGAATAAGCGTTACTCAACCTCTATTGTATCTGTAAAGCTGATTTAATTTGCTGTTTTAACACCTCAGTAGGTTGCCTAAGTGCACACAGCAAATGCCATTTACAGGTAATCACATAATTAAGTGGCTACATTAATAAGTAGAATCTATAGTGAAATTTTGGGGAAGGTTGCATTTCCTACTATGTCTTGATGTACAATTGCTTTCAAAATCATAGGGACTATATTCTCTTCATTGACCTACATACACTTATAATAAATGAATTTTGGTTGTGTCTGACTTAGCCCATCTCTTTTACTATAAGGAAACAGCACAATGTGTATTTGTTGTGTATGCACATATGTGCGTCTTTGTGTTTGTATGTATCGGGCATAAGTCATATAAGGCAATAAAAATTTTATTTTAAAAGTAAAAATTTAGATGTATATGTGTTCATTTATTAGTTCGTTTTCATGCTGCTTATAAAGACATACCCGAAACTGGGAACAAAATGAGATTTAATTGGACTTACAGTTCCACATGGCTGGAGAGACCTCAGAATCATGGCAGGCAGTGAAAGGCACTTCTTACATGGCAGCAACAAGAGAAAAATGAGGAAAAAGCAAAAATGGAACCCCTGATAAACCCATCAGATTTCGTAAGACTTATTCACTATCACAAGAATAGCAAGGAAAAGGCCAGCCCCCATGATTCAACTACCTACACCTAGGTCCCTCCCAGGACACATGGGAATTCTGGGACATACCATGCAAGTTGATATTTAGGTGGGGACACAGGCAAACCATATCATTTCACCCCTGGCCCCTCCAAATCTCATGTTCTCATATTTCAAAACCAATCATGCCTTCCAACATTCCCCTAAAGTCTTAGTATTTCAGCATTAATCTAAATGTCCACAGTCCAAAGTCTGACTGAGACAAGACAAGTCCCTTCCTCCTGAGCCTGTAAAAATCAAAAGCAAGGTACTTACTTCCTAAATACAATGGGGTTGCAGGTATTGGGTAAATATAGCAGTTCCAAATGGGAGAAATTGGCCAAAACAAATGGGTTACAGGGCCCACACAAGTCTGAAATCCAGCGGGGCAGTCAAATTTTAAAGCTCTAAAATGATTTCCTTTGACTCCAGGTCTCACATCCAGGTCACACTGATGCAAGAGGTGGGTTCCCATGGTCTTGGGTGGCTCCACGCCTGTGGCTTAGCAGGGTACAGCCTCCCTCCTGGTTGCTTTCATGGGCTGGCATTGAGTGTCTGTGGCTTTTCCAGGTGCATGGTGCAAGCTGTTGGTAGATCTACCATTCTGGGGTTTGGAGGATGGTGACCCTCTTCTCACAGCTCCACTAGGCTGTACCACAGTAGAGACTCTGTGTAGGGGCTCAGACTCCACATTTCCCTTCTGCACTGTCCTAGCAGAGATGCTCCACGAGGACCCCGCCCCTGCAGCAAACTTTTGCCTGGGCATCCAGGCATTTCCATACATCCTTTGAAATCTAGACGGAGGTTCCCAAACCTCCAATTCTTGACCTGTGCACCCGCAGGCTCAACACCACATAGAAGCTGCGAAGGCTTGTGGCTTCCACCCTCTGAAGCAACAGCCTGAGCTCTACATTGGCCCCTTTCAGTGATGGCTCGAGTGGCTGGGACCTAGGGGTCTAAGTCTCTAGGTCGTGAAGTTTTCTGATATAGCCTAGAGACATTTTCCCCATGGTGTTGGGGACTAACATTAGGCTCCTTGTTACTTATGCAAGTTTCTGCAGCTGGCTTGAATTTCCCCTCAAAAAAAAATGGGTTTTTCTTTTCTACTGCATCATCAGGCTGCAAATTTTCTGAAATTTTATGCTCTGTTTCCCTTTTAAAATGGAAAGCTTTTAACAGCACCCAAGTCACCTTTCAAATGCTTTGCTCCTTAGAAATTTCTTCCGCCAGATACCCTAAATCATCTCTCTCAAGTTAAAGTTTCCACAAATCTCTAAGGCAGGGGCAAAATGCCGCCAGTCTCTTTGATAAAACATAACAACAATCACCTTTGCTCCGGTTCCCAACAAGTTCCTCAGCTCCATCTGAGACCACCTCAGGCTGGACCTTATTGTTTATATCGCCTTCAGCATTTTTGCAAAGCCATTCAACAAGTTTGTAGGAGGTTCCAAAGTTTCCCAAATTTTCCTGTCTTCTTCTGAGCCCTCCAAACTGTTCCAGCCTCTGCCTGTTATCCAGTTCCAAAGTCACTTCCACAGTTTCAGTTATCTTTTCAGCAACCCCCCTGCAACTTTACTGGTACCAATTTACTCTATTAGTTCACTTTCATGCTGCTGATAAAGACATACCAATAACTGGGAACAAAAAGATATTTAATTGGACTTACATTTCCACATGGCTGGGGAGGCCTCAGAATCATGGCAGGATGCGAAAGACACTTCTTACATGGGGGGCAGCAAGAAAAAAAGTGAGGAAGAAGCAAAAGCGGAAACCCCTGATAAACCCATCAGATATCGTGAGACTTATTCACTATCACGAGAATAGTATGGGAAAGAACAGTCCCCATGATTCAACTACCTCCCCCTGGGTCCCTCCCACTACATGTGGGAATTCTGGGAGATATAATTCAAGTTTAGATTTGGGTGGGGACACAGCCAAATCATATCAGTTCATAAAAAGAATCTGCATTGAGATTTCTGAAATTGTAAAGCAGACGAAGAAGCTTCTTAAAATCTTCCGTTCTATGTCATATGCTATTATACACTAAATTTAAAATAGACATTGAGATATAGTCTATTTTAACACATACATTTCTCAAGGAACCATGAAGCACAATCAATTAATTCAATCTATAAAGTTAGTATATTAAATCCACCAAGTAGGCCGGGTGCAGTGGCTCATGCTTGTAATCCCAGAACTTTGGGAGGCTGAGGTGGGCAGATCACCTGAAGTCGGGAGTTCGAGACCAGACTGACCAACGTGGAGAAACCCCACCACTACTAAAAATACAAAATTAGCCGGGCATAGTGGCACATGACTGTAACGCCAGCTACTCAGGAGGTGAGGCAGAAGAATCGCTTGAACCTGGGAGGCGGAGGTTGTGGTGAGCCGAGATGTTGCCATTGCACTCCAGCCTGGGCAACAAGAACAAAACTCTGTCAAAAAAAAAAAAAAAAAAAAAAGAAAGAAAGAAAGAAAAAAGAAAGAAAAAAAAACACCAAGGACAAGTATCCTTATATAGTAAGTTTAAGATGAGACCAGTTTATAACTTGAATATCAGACTTATGTTGAAAAAGCCTGTCACACATATCTTCATGTTGTTGTCTTCACATATCACTATTCCGAATCCCTTCCTAATTTGCCTAGTAGCAATTCATTTTATGGGCATTAAATTTCCAAAACTGAGTGTCTTAAGACAAAGATTTTGCAGACTTTCTCTGCCATTCATTTATTATTCTTTAGTATTAATTTGAATCACCACCAATCCTGCCACCTGTCATGAAGCACAGTCTTTCAAACTACAAATATACTATGAATTTGTAACTGTCACATATTGACTTGGAAAGTAGAGTCATTTATCACTTCTTTTAAAAAGGAATATATAATAAAAGAGAAAATCTGGTTGAGATTTCCTCTTGAAGGTGTAAAGGTTAAGGGGCTACTATAGAAATTGTTGCTTCTACAATAAGTAAATACAACCATTGAAAAAATAAACTGAAATGAATTTGAGGAAGATATTTCTGATGACTCTTTGATGGTTGTCAAACCAAACTAAATGAGTTTACCTGGGATCTTAGCAAATATTAAAGATGATACATGAAAATACAGTGTCTGTTTCAAATCTTAAATTTTGAACAGTGACTTTTTTTTATGGTATTTGACTAGCAGCCACTTTGTAAAATGAATGGATCTAGAGTATAACTGATTTTAATTTATGGAAAAGCCTGGACTTCTGTAGCCACACTGACCAGAAAGCTGTCAACAGTGAAGATTTGCTGGTGAATTTTAGGTTTTTAAAATATGCACATTTATATTACAGTCTATAATATGAGATTCCAGCATTTTACAAAGCCAAAAAATGGTAATTTTACTTATTCACATATTTTTTGCAATGTCATTCTACAACTTGAAAAACAAAAATATTATAATAACAACACAAAGCTTACATAATCACAATCTTCCTGACTCATCTTGCCTTTTGCTTGCTTGTTTTAGGTAATGGCCCAACAACAACTCCTTGGACTCCTTTAGCAATTGTTATTAAAAAATAAACAAATAAACAACAGAAAGGAAAAATGAAAAAAGAGAAAAATAACAGCCAAAGCCATCTAACTGACCCACCAAACATCGTCCTCATAGAATAATAATTTTAACAAATTTCGAGGAGGAATTTCTTACAATATAGAGAAACAAACAAGAAACGAAATGAAGAACAAAAGGTTTGCACAATGGTTTTCTCCTTATTTATTCTTTAATGCATAAATGTTTGCTTCTGGCAGTACATATTTATTGATTTACTCATTTTAAATTTAATAAATATAATTTAGTTTAATAAATACTTAAATTATTAAATATACTTATTTAATCTACATAATATATTTTAGGCATTATACTAATTTTAGGCATTATACTAAGCAACGGAGATATAATGTTTTTTGTTTTTGATTTTTTAAAGCAGATTTCCCTTTAAGGAATTTACACTCAATAGGTTTTTGGACAGATAAACAAGAAATGATAATACAATAGGATGCAAATTATGTATAGCGACACCCCCACATACATACACACATATACATGATAATCAATAATAAAATATTAAAAACCCTTTAAAGTTAATGGTAAACACTTTAAAAGAATAAGGACACTTTACTCTCATTATTACTATGCAAAATTTACTGGAAGTTTCAGTCAATGCAATAAGAGAAGTCAACGGGAAATATAATAATTGTAAAAGACAAACAAAATTGCCATTTTCTCTGAGAATATAAAAATACTTCTATGATCTAAGAAAAAAATTGATTTCTTCAAAAGACAAAAATCAAGCAAATCATAAAAATTTTATAAATGTTTCCACATCATGAGTGTCTTTATATAATAAAAGGATCAATTCATTCATAATATATAGTAATCCCAAAGATGTAGACACCTAATAGAATAGCCAAAATTGTATACATAAAATTAACAGAACAAGGTGAATTTGACATAGTAATATTAAAGTAGAATATTTGGATTTGTTTCTCTTAATATGGATGCTCTATTAAAATAATAGATACAGAATTTTTGTAGAACAATTAATAGAATAGATTTGATGAACACATATGGAATACTGCATACAACAGACAAGGATTACACATCCTACGCAAGCTTATATGAAGCAATTTTAAAATGATTACATATTAGAACTTAAGCATAAAATGGATCTAAAGAAATAGTAAAAATCATATTCTTTGACCATAATCTAATTAAATTAAAAAGTAAACAAATGAAAGGAATATTAAAATAATTATACATTCAAAAATTAAAATAGTAATTAACAATATTTCGTTAAAGAAGAAACCATAATGGGGTTTTTCAAACACTTGTAATTAAATAACAAAAATACTACACATAGAATGCTAATGAACTTAGTGAAAGTGATATTTGAAGAGGCATTTATTGCTTTAAGTAAATATACTGGAAGAAATACAAATCAAAACCACAGTGAGATATCTTCTCACACCAGTCAGAATGGCTATTAATAAAAAGTCAAAAAACAAGAGTTGTTGTTGATAAAGCTGCACAGAAAAAGGAATGCTTATAGACTGTTGTTGCAAATGTAAATTTGTCCACCACTGTGGAAAGCAATCTGAAGATTTATCAAAGAACTTAAAACAGAGCTACCATTTGACCCAGCAATCCTACTCGGAATTATATACCCAAAGGAAAATCATTCTACCAAAAATAAGCATGTACTTATATGTTCATAGCTGTTCTATTCAAATAGCAAAGATGTGGAATCAACCCAGGTGCCCATCAATGGTAGAATGGATAAAGAAAATGTGATACATTTACACCATGGAATACAACCATAAAAATATTTTCATAAAAAAAGAATGAAATTATGTCCTTTGCAGAAACATGGATGCAGTCAGGGGTCAAATCCTAAGTAAATTAACGCAGGGACAGAAAACTAAATACCATGTGTTCTTACTTGTAAGTGTGAGCTAAACATCAGGCACACATGAACATCAATATGGAAACAATAGACACTGGAGATTACTGAGAGAAAGGGAGGTGTGGTTTGAAAAACTACATATTCGGTACTATATTCACTACCTTGGTAATAGGATCCATACCCTAAACCTCAGCATCATGCATTGTTCCCATGTACCAAACCTGCACATGTACCCTCTGTATCTAAAATAAAAGTTCAATTAAAAAATTAAAGAACAAAAAGGCATCCAACTTAAGAAGTAAGAAAACAAAGCAAAGCTGCAAAGAAATAATTAATGAAATAGGAAACAAAGACATGATAGAGATGATCAATTATGCCCACAGATGGCTTCTTGAAAAGACTAATTCAGTGGAATAAAACTATAGTGAGATTTATCAGGAAAAAGGAGAAAAGGCACACACAAATACAAAAGCACACACTATTTAGAATGCAAAGTCTAAAATAACACAGATATATTGTTTCCAAACTGTATCATGATAGCAGTATTTTTTAAATACAAAGACCCAAGTTAAAAACTAAAATTTGGAGAAATATTATTATTATCATATGTTTGAATATATACAAATTTATATTGTGATTCTGGATGAAGATTTCAAAAAAGCAGTTAAATATATAGAACTGAAAGTCAGAATTTAGATAAGTGGTGGTGATGATACATGATAGAGTTAAATAATATGTATCTATTATCTATCTGTCTCTCTATATTAGTGTATAAATAGTGATTGAAACCACTCATATGAAAGAAATTATTCATAGACTCATTTAGAGTGAGAAGAAAATCAGACCTAAAAACAGAACCTGGATGAATAATAGCTTTTAAAAGATAAGTGGAAAAGATACTGAAGTAGACTAAGAAGAAAAAGGCAGAAGAATGGAATAAAATCTACTAACTCACGGTAGCATGGAAACAAGAATAAAGGAATTCCAAGAAGAAAGGTGGTCTTGAGGTATGAAATTCTTATAATTTAAACAAACTAAGGGCTGAAAGTTGCTCATTGATTAGTATAGTAGAAAGCAGATGGTACTCTCGGTGAAATAAGTTTCTGGGTAGTGATTGAAGTATATGTCATCTTATAAAAAAATTGACAAATAAAAGAGTGTTGAATGAGTGGAGACAGCAAATGTGAGTATCTCATTGCAGATGCGTGGGGAGATGTAACCTGGATAGATTTGGGCCTGAGAGACAATTGTTTTGTGAATTTGGTTGTGTTTACTTTTGGCAAGAGATGAGCATGTATACACGCCAATAGGTTTGATGCAATGAAGAGGGAGACAATTAAGACACAGAAGTGAACATTTTAAGGGATGAGGTGAAGTTCCTGAGATGTCAGGAATGTATTTCAACCGAATTCACTAGACATTCAAATCAAGACCCCTCCCCAAATTTTCATTTTTTGTTTTATATTATTCTGGTCTCTGGTCCATGAATGGCTAATTGTTGTTGAGCCAGTGTTCTCAGAACCTCTTCCAAAATAAATTTCTGTTATCAGTGTAACTCGGAAAGCTCTCACTTTCCTTCATGTCACAATGGGCTACATAAATTTCTAGAGCAAAAGCATTAAAAAAATCCTTTGAATGAGAACGATTCTAGGAATGCCCAATGCAAGTACGAACTCACCAAATAGGAAATATTTTTAGCTGGTTCAAACATTAACAAAGTGTTAGAGACTGTACACTTCATGGAAAAAATTTTACTTCACTCAGAATATGAACATGTGCATTCAAAGTTTATAAAGCACTTTATAATGACATATTCTTATTACATCTTAAGATCGTACATACCTTTAGGTTAATATTCTTTACACATGACTTACAGGGCAAATCTGAGCCTTGTTGCTTTGGAAGTTACTAAATGTCTACAGGTCACTGAGTACATCAATACATTAATACATTATCCTTCAGGATGAAGGTCAGAAGTCACATTTGAACAGGGTAGATAAAAGATGAGACTATCATTAGAGGCAAGTCTATGAGTAAACTTATTGTTTGAATACAATAGTAAATATAAATTACAATATATACAATGATACATATTATAGAAAAACTCTGCAAATTCTTGTCCCCTAGTGAAAAAAATACATGGTAGAAAATAGCAATCCTTAAATGAACTCTGTATTTAGTTTTCTTTTTATAATTCTGATTCTACTTTTTTTGCAACCATTTAAAACAGTTTCACGGTGTACCAGAAGTTCATACATCTCAATTACGCCTTGAGTACTTTCTAATTGTTCTAACCTTTTCATCATTGATAAAACCACTACGACTTTTATCCCACTAGTGGTTCCAAAAGCATCTCTCTTTAGTAATAAAACTGTTCACTTCAAATGTTAGCAGTTAAAGGACAATGAAAAATTAACTATTAACTTTAGAGGAAGAATCCCATCCTTCATAATATGTCCAAATCACAAGTTAAGGAAAGCAATGTCATGAGTAGCCAAATCATATAACCTAGTGGCTTTGTCAATTATCCTAAGAACAATCAGATTTCAATTTTGAAATAATTAACATTTTGGCAAGGATGATATCTCTTTATACCTAGTAATTTAATCATGACCCAAATTCTCAAAAAAAGATGCATTAATTATATTTGATTTATAAGATATTTGGGCATTTTCACTTCTCAGGTTATTAATTGAAAATAAAATATGTATCTTCATTGTCCTATGATATAAAATATTTTTAACATTTACTGAACCATGCAGAATCTATTCCAATATTAATAAAGCCAATTTAGGCTTTCAAGATCTTTACAGGCAGAATGATATATTGAATTTCAGAGAATAGACCTCAGACAAATTTCCTATCTAAAATAAGCCTAGGTTTCCTTACCTGCAAAATGGGGATGACGACAAGTACTTCACAGACACTGAATGTGATCATAAAGGCAATGTGACATTGGTGTCTAACACACAGTTGTCCAATAGTGAGTAGCTATTAACATGATACAACAAACATTAAATTGACAGGAAATATGGAGAAAAAGTAAGGAAGCAGGTCTCAATGAAATGTCACATTTGACTTATCCAAGAAACAGGGTGGTCTGCAACAATACTGGAAAGTAGTTGAAGTGTGCTTTTGATACTTCAACAGTTTCACATACAAGAAAATGATCTAAGCCATAACATTTGAAAAAGGCCTACAACCTCTTACAAGAAGTTAACATGATTCTTCTGGAAGAACGGTACTATATTATATGTGTATGCAATAGCATAGGAGTAAAATATTTTAGAAATTTTCACAGATGTAACGTGTTCTGACTCTATCTGTTTGAATAATCATTTTTATGCTTTTTATGTACTATTATGAATAATCCTTTGGATTCCTGTTGTAAATCTTCAACTACTGAAATATAAAATCACTCTTCAGCTCTCAGCACTATTTTGGGGCTTGGGAGTCAACAAGGCTACCAGCTCCATTTCACAAGGTTTCAAAAAAATGTCTCAAAATATGTCTTGAACAAGAACACAAACCACATTTTTGAAAGCAGTAGAAAGAATCATCTAATTTCTATTAGTTTTACACTTCAAATGAACTTCACTGTTAAGCAAAATATTATTTTTCTAAGTGAGAGATTGACTTTTGTTGACAGAATTGTACTATCTATGGCAGATGCTATGCATACAAAATATTTCTTCAATAAATGCAAAGTTACATCTGTATTGCTATTTTTTGTCATTGCTGTTGCTACCATAGTCTTTTTTCATTCCTCAAACCAAGGAACTACAGTGTTTCTGTGATGGTCCTGCTTTCATTTCATAATTTCTGCCCAATGTAAAGCAGAATTGATAGACTAAAATACATGGAAGGGGAAAAGTTTCACACAAATACATAAATAAATTGATAAATGTTTTTCTTGTTTAATTTGAACACAAAATTTTTTGTATTACTGTCTGCTTTTTAAATATAAGAAAGAAATTATCTAAATCTCAATTCATGTGAAATTTCCTACCTTCCAGATTACTCATTCTATTCTATATATTAATAAAACAGGGCTTGCTTGTATGTGTTTTGTTGTTGTTGTTGTTGTTGTTGTCTGTTTGTGTGTTTTTGAGACAGTGTCTCTCCGTTATCCAGGCTGGAAGGCAGTGGTACAATCCTAGCTCATAAGAGCCTCCACCTCCTCAGCTCAAGCAATCCTCCTACCTCAGCTTCCTGAGTAGCTGGGACTATAGGCATATGCCACCTTGTCTGGCTATGTTTTTGTTTCGTTTTGTTTTTGTAGAGATAGGGTCTCACTATGTTGCTCAGGCCGGCCTCAAACCCCTGGCCTCAAGTGATCCTCCTGCTTTGGCCTCCCAAAGTGTTGGGATTACAAGCGTGAGCCACCATGTCCAGCCCTGTTTGTTTGTGTGTTTTATATTGTATTGGAGATTAATACAAATGCTTCAATTCACTTCCAAAATATAAAAGTATTTTTATTCATACATCAGTGATAGACATTATGATAAAAGATACATTTAGTATAAATGTTAATTCATCCCTAATTTCAGCATTTTGATGACTTGCTTTTATGACAGTGGGTTCCAGATTCTGCATTTTGTAACTCTCACATATATTTCTTATAGACAGATATGTATGTAAGACTGGGAGTTTAACCATTGTGCCCCTTGTAAGGCTGTCTTCACACTTACAGCTGGTGCATGATTATAAAAGCATTGTTTTTAATATGAAGAGGTTATCTCTTAAATCTGAGCCAGGCTAGATTAAACATCCTATCTGGTATGAGTATATCATTTCCAAATAAAGACAAAGAAAACCTACTGGGGCCATACCCATAGCCACTGCTCACTATGAATCCAAGGCAATACCACTTCATCATGTGAGGACTGCGAGTCATTAAACTGACATACAGGTTATCTAATTCCCTTTGAAGCCTTTTCCATTCCTTGTACAGGCCAAGAACACAAGTCAACCTGATAGACAAAATTACTGCTGCATACCTACTTAAGAATAAAACTACACACTATGAGACCCTGTCTAAGAGGACAGGTGGTAGCTGTTGTCAGTGCAAACATCAGGGATTATTTGCTTGAGCAAATCTCTCCCATTTTCACCATCCAATTCATGGAAGTACTGGAAGATAGAGCCAGGGACTCCCTAAAGCTATAATACAGGTCTATATGGGAAAAAGCATGCTGAGATTAGCCATGGAAGGGATCAGTAATTTTGAAATTTCCTCCAGCAGCATATGTGAGAAGCTCTACGTGAGAGCCAGGCATTCTCTGCCACTTGAGATAGTGGTACGCTGTCACTTGTGAAAGATGGGCAGGTAACTTGTCTGAAATGTAGGCTTTGGGTCAAAAGACATCCTGAGGAATATTCTATGAATATAATATTCTGTAATATTGGCAAGCTGTAATGTCTCTTCAGTGACCTAATACAGAAAGTAGGATATTCTATGGAATTGTTCCTTTTAGTGTAGCTCTCAAGTGCTGGTGTAGCTCTTGCCCAGCTGCCCTATGGCAGGCTCACAGGTAGCAGGGTCCACTTTGCTACTGATGCAGTGGAAGGGGTCACTGCCTCAAATAGTCTTACACTTTTCATGTGACACAGTGGCCCAACCAACTCCACTCAACAGACCACACAGTGGCCCAACCAGCTCCACTCAACAGATCACTCAATGATCCCTGGCATTTTCTGTTCTTACTTTCCTTCTCCTCTGTCTGTGCCAGATGCATTTGCTTCTTAAATTTTGGATGCAATTTTAAGTCAGACAGAACTGGCACAGAGTTATCTATATAGACATGAAAATAAAGCCCTTTTTCTAGGTCACCATATATCAGATTGAAAGACAATTTGTACAATAAACTGAGCTATCATGTGAAAATGAATAATAAAACTTATGATCTAAAGCATATCTTAGTTGATCTAGTGATCCAAGGCCATTACTCTGGTGGACTTTAAAAATATGATGACTATAATTGAAATGGAGATATTGCTCATCTTTTAAATCATTAACATTTTGTAAGAAGAATTCAGTTGATAAAGATCAGACCTAAGATCTAATTCAACATGTTAAACTGAATCTAAAATGAAATCAAACACAGTTCTTTGATCCTTGCGAGGCTGAATAAAACATCTGCTGAGACTGCTGATGGTGAGTACTTTGCCTCAATAATGTGAAATTTGTGTACTAGATCCTACATATCTACTAAAGTTTAGACATGAGCATTTTCTTCTGTGCTTGTAGATGTCCACTGCTATGCTGATTTTGATACTTCGGTTTTAAAATCTATGCAGGTTATATTTTCAGCTGTAAACTTTTATTTCTGCCAGAGAAGCAGAGTATTTAAGAGTAAGAAGAGTCTTTGCAATAGTCTCCTTGCCGTTCCGTAACCTCTATCCTCGTAAGTTAGTAGAAACTGTCACCTGTGAGAAAACAATAGGCCAAACCACGTAAGTCTTGGTTGATTAAACACAAGACCCTGAATATCACTCAGAGGTAAAACAGGCACAGCAGAACATAGGTACAACATTGGATTCACATTAGTGAGTAAATGGGTCACTAGATTCTGCACAATGTAAAACCTCCCTGTGGTCTTCAAGGACAACTCCAAGTATAAAGTATTATACTTCAGTAAAGAGGAAAATCACTAGCTAACTTTAAATATTACATATAGCAAGCAGTGTCACATACCTATTCTACACAAATTAAAATATTTGGTTTCCATGAACTTAAAGAACATAGAAGAATGCAAAGCTTTGCTTAGACATTAAGTATTCCAACTTTCTTTGTGTCTGATACCATATATTTTATTTGAATATAATTTACTTGCTGCTGCGATTATTTTCTAAGAACTTTTGGGGGATACGATTACTCATATTTAAATAAGATGTAAAAAGATATCGATGATAAATGCACAAATCTTATGTATAGAAGAACACTTTAGGGTTCACATTTTGTATCTTTTAGTTAATTTAGCTTTTAAATAAAAACAAACACACAAACTATACATATTATAAACTGATCTAAAATTAAGGTGTATTATAACAGTTTCTTGACTCTTTGATACAAAAATAATTTGTAGCCAAAGTTAAATTAAATAGATTTTATAAATTGGTTCATTCCATATATATTTTTGAAAATGTGTCTGCATACTTTTGATAACTATTGGGTTTTTAGCAAATAACCAAAGTTTCTGCAAGCAATATCTCACTTTCCTCTAAAATATAAGCTGGATATTCAGAAGCTAGCTTAGTTCATTATACAGCAGAACTGAGTGTGAAACTATCAAGGTTTCATTCCTTTTTCCAACTCAAACAGCTGCTACCATCTCAGAAGAAACAGGAGTTGATGCGTGAACAATATTAGCACAAAAAGGACAGACCATTTGGTGATGACTTTTCTCACTGGAATATTATATCAAAATACTTTCAAATTCCCTAAAGTGCCCAGGTGGGAAGGCAAATTAAACATTAAGAAAACTAAAAATATCTCAATAGTTTCATTAGTTCTTCTTCTCCTTACAAATACAATATGCAACTATTAGAATTACAACTTTAAAAGGATATTATATTTCAGGAATTGTATTGTTTATGTGACTAAACATAAAAATATTTTTAACTAAAAAGTCAATTTTCAATTACAGAAAGACCAAAGGAGCAGCAGAAATAAGTCAAATAGTTCAAGTATTGAAATCCAAATTTGGAACTTTATAATAATTCTAATTTCCAATACTATATACATAGATTCTATCATGATTCTCGCTCCTGAAAATACTAACAAAGGGGATTATATTTGCATCGTTTTTCTGGAAAGATCATCAGTAAGGCTTTTATATAAATGGAGCTTTATCAGAATGCTAAAAATTACTACTTTATGTAACAGGGCATTCCTTTTGAGGCTAGAATTTAAGATTACCTGAAGGTAGAAAAATGCCTTATAAAAATGTACAAGTAGGTTCTGCCTTCAAGGGCTAAGATTTGGATTTTAATTTTTGTTGTCAATCCTTTGGTTCTTAGGGATATATAAATAAAAAACTATTATTTAAGTTATTACATAGCAAGGATCTATCCATGTTTCCTGGCTGATTGAATTCTGTGAAATAACCCAGAACTTCTGTGTTTAATAGGGGCAATTAGGTGGATTCTTTAATTACATATTTACTGAGTTGTATGTTATCACTTTGAGCAGTTGTTTCAGGAACTCCAGAACTTGAAAGGAAATAATTACTGCCAAAGAGAACGCAGCTCTGAGAGTTCCTTCATCATAATCTAGGACAGATTTGTAAAGAAACTGGTTTTAAAGAGCACAAGCATACCCTAGCTGTATGGAAAAAGGCCATTCCTGGGGCACTGAAGAAGATACCAGGTGGTGGACAGGTGCGAGATGAACCTCTTTAATATCCTTTGTAGAAGTGTGCATCTAGATTTAGGTTTGTGGTGGCTTGGAGTATTTCTGGTGTTAGAAGTTAGCTGGTACATTTTACCCTAGGTGAGTTCAAAATCTCCATGGTGTATTTCAACCATGGAGATTTTGCCCCCCAGGGGGCATTTGTCTGGAGGCATCGTTGATTGCCATAATTAGAAGAGTGTTACAGTGATGTAGTGAGTGGAGACCAGAGATGCTGTTATACATCCTACAATGTACGGGTAGGATTATTCAAAGACTATCCTCCAAAATATCAAGAGGACAAATGTTGTGAAACCCTACCCTAGATGTAAGCCAGGTATTTTACCTATCTGTGTTTTGTGAGTTTTTCTGTTGTTATTATTAATTATTTATTTTTTCTTTCTTTCTTTCTTTTTTTTTTTTTTTTTTTTTGAGATGTAGTCTTGCTCTGTCACCCAGGCTGGTGTGCAGTGGCAGATCTTGGCTCACTGCAACCTTTGCTTCCTGGGTTCAAGCGATCCTCCTGCCTCAGCCTCCCAAGTAGCTGGGACTACAAGTATGCCAGCATGCCTGGCTAATTTTTGTTTTGTTTTGTTTTGTATTTTAATGGAGATGGGTTTTCACTGTGTTGGCCAAGCTGATCTCTTAACAACTGACCTCAAGTGATCCACTTGCCTCTGCCTCCCAAAGTGCTGGGATTACAGGCATGAGCCACCATGCCTGGCCATGCATTATTCTAAATTTTTCATTCAACCAATGCTAAAAGTTACAGATTGGGTGTGGTTGTGCTGTTAGAAGTTATGGAAAAGGTAATTACCTTAACCAGTTTTAGATAATTTAATTCAGTTTAACTAAACTATGTATTAATTAAGTGCACAAGAAAATGACATAAAAACAACAAAAAGGCCAGGTGCAGTGGCTCACGCCTTTAATCTCAGCACTTTGAGAGGCCGAGGCGGGTGGATCACCTGAGGTCAGGAGTTCGAAACCAGCCTGGCCAACACAGTGAAACCCTGCCTCTACTAAAAAAAAATAAAAATAAAAAATAAATTAGCTGGGTGTGGTGATAGGTGCCTGTAATCCCAGCTACTTGGGAGGCTGAGGCAGAATTGCTTGAACCCGGGAGGCAGAGGTTGCAGTAAGCCAGCCGAGATCGTGCCACTGCACTCCAGCCTAGGCTACAGAGGAAGCCAAACAAACAAACAAACAAACAAACAAAAGAAAAACAAACAAAGCAAAATAAAACAGGAAGACTTACACCATTGCCCTAAGTTCAGAGTGACAGTCATCATTAAAACTGCCATGCTTAGTAAAGCAGTGACATCTTTGTGTCACACATATAGCAAACACAACATAGCCAAGAAAACAGGGTTCCAGAGTAGAACAACAAGTGATAAATTGGTTATTGAAAATACATGAAACAAGCCCCCAAACCTCCAGAAATCCCCTGCAGACAAGCTGATGCAGTTAGACCAATGAAGTATTGACTTGGACATAAGAACAATCATGGTCTTATTATGTGATTTCATGCAGACTGCAGAGGATAGCAGTATTTAAGTGACTGTTCATTAAACAACAAATACTTTTTTGCATATCTCTATAATAAGCAATGTTCTGAGCCCTAGGAATTAGAAAATTATAAACAGAAATTTCTTGTTGCTTGCAAGAGATACAGTTTCGTTATAAGGTAGGAATGCTGTGTTCTAGACAATTTTCTAGGGATGTTACAGATTGCTGGTGTTTAAAAAAATAGATTTAGGTTATCTTTCCTTCAGTTTTTATTTATTAAATAAAATCATGTATAACATTTATTAAATGGCAGTTTTTCTTGGAAAAGGGATTATAAAGATCTTGTGAGATTCACTAAATTGTTGCAGTGCAGTTATTTAACAGTATTCTATCCTGCTGCCATCCCGAATTTAATTATGCTATTTAGTTTTCCAGATTACATTTCTTTTACAATAAGTAATATATAACGTAAATAAGGTCATCAATTTAGTAAGTGATAAAATACAAATCCAAACCTATACCTCCAGAGTCTATTCTGCTAACCTATGACGTGAAGTTAACAATAAAATCTTTTTATTAACTACTGTATGCATTTAAAGTATTACTGATGTTATTTTTTGCTTTTTCTTTTACTTGCTTTCTTTCTACCATGCGCTACATGATAAACACAAACATATAATTAGAAAGGATTAACTAGTAAATGTAGTCAAGCTATAAATCTGAAGAACAAGTAAAGCAAATGGAGACATGAGAATGTAGTTTTAGAACAATTTAGTTGTTAAACTAGGCTCAGTATAGATTTAGTACATGTTATCTAATTTAATTAAATTATCTGAAGGTGCCTCCATATAGAAGCCAGGTCAAAACTTCTAAACATTAATTTTGTCCTTTTCTGAAACAATGTCAAGGCAAATAATATATGCCCAGATAGCTAGATTACATAGACAGATATCTAATAGATAGATAGATAGATAGATAGATAGATAGATATAGATTTAGATATGTTTAAGTTCTTAACATTAGAAAGTAGAAATATAATATTAAATTATGGCACATAGGTCATATTTTCCATTAGTAACTGAAAATAATTATAAAATACAAAATAAGAATGGTATCAAAGAAAATGAGTATTTTATTGTAAGTAAAATTACACTTGAAATTAAGAGATACCATGAAACTGAATGTTCCCAGAATACAGGAAGTATAAACTAATTTTAGCTTGCATACATCTTCAGACAAGTATTTTTTTTTTTTAAAGTAAAGTAAAAGCAGAAACAAGAAGGTTGGATGGGAAAGGAGGCTTCCATCAGTAAGTTTTCAGGTCACTGAGAAAAGTATGCAGACTATGGAAACAAAAGTTCCTTCAGCTTTGGGAGGAAATTATTATTTCCTTCAAGCTACAGTTTACCTTGTTGTGAACAACTGCTCTGAACCTTTAACGACCGTTGAAAAGGCCCTAGTCTTTCTTAAAAGAAGGTAGCTTATGTTTAGAATGTAACCCATTGACTTGAAAACTGTTTTTTTTTTAAATTTTTATTTATTTATTTATTTTGTGATAGAAGCAGGAATATAGTCTAAGACCAGGTATTGCTATCTGTTTAGCAAGTCTCTACCTGCTCTTCAACCTTAAGGTCAACCAGTCTCAAGCACTGTCACACAAACCTCTGAATCAGCTTTAATATTCCCCAAATTTTCACTTTATGCTGTGTATCTGCACTTCAAATAATATCCAATCTTTATTTTCAACTTCCAAACATTTGTCATTTTACTAATACAAGTGTTTTCAAATTAAAGTAAAAATCTAACAATTTGTACTCCTTAAATATTTTCTTTGCTTTCAGAATTTTTACACTTCTTCTGTAGAGGACCTAACACTTAATTTTCTAGACCATCAGTGTCTTGAATATTTACATTCACAGCTCTCTGTTTTTGTTTTGTTGTCTTCACTTTTTTTTCTTGCTTCCTTTATCATTATAGAAAGAAAATTAAGGTGGAGGAACCAAATAAAGTGTATATATTTGGGATTTTTAAATAATGCAGTGGTTAGATTAATGGGTATAACTCTGAAAAATAAGATGGGGCAGAGGAATATTTTTAAAATGTCATTTTTGTATGCTAAGTATCACCATAGCTAACTTCCAAATCAAATGTTTGCTTTCAAGTCTTACAAATACCCTTTAGAGTATCCTTTAAAATATGACCCTTGATAATTTTTTTTTCATGACCATTTCCTTTTTTTCTCCTTGGGGCTGCTGCAGCAGAAGGTATGAGCCTTGACATAGTTCATTATGTTGGATCTATTATCATTGGTATTATATTAAACAATTGTGATTTATCAGAACAATATCTGTGTAGAAAATTACAATTAGTGAAAGAATATTGGAGAGGAGAAGAGCATAACATCAACAACAGCTTTCTCTGTTACATGAAATATAGCATTAGAAATTTTAATTACAGTGGTCACAAATGTTCAGAACATAGCTTAGCGGTGAACCATATTTTGATATACAGAAGATACACTGTTTAGTAAGAAGCAAAATAGTTGGTCAAACAACATTTTAAACAAAGATGTCAACATTAACTAATAAAATTATTTCATAAAGATAAGCCAGAAAGAGGATATGCACAAGTTGCTATCAGCAGTTTTAGATCTGATGATTCTACTGAAGCTATGACACCTAGTTTCCTAGATCATTAATCCAACAGCATATCCAGGGAATTCTGGAGAGGATGAAGCATTACAAATAGTGTTTCCTTTAGGTGTTATTTGTGCTTGCAGCAGGAAAAGAAGCATTTCCTATTCTTTGTTTCTTCCATTGCCATACTCTTTCCTTCTCCCTTCTCATTCAATCCATCAAGTGCCCCTTCTTACCAACTAGCTTATTGAAATTTGAAATCGATTTTGTAGCAAGGCATGGTGTCCATTCTCGGCATCTAAATACTTATAAAACTATCCATCAAACTATGGTAGTTGAGTAAAATATCTTCTCTGATCTGGAAAGTATGCTTTCCACTATTCTTAAACTTTAAGTGCTACTAGTTTAGGAGATAGGTAGCAAAAAGGAAAGGAGGACTATGAATAATTTCTAAGTATCTATCTTCTCCTCTCTCACATTGGTTTTTGATTAGGCATGAATGAATATGTTATATTTTTATTTGTCTGTCTTAGAACTCTTTGGATTGCAGTGTCAGAAATTCAACTTGAACTACGTTAGGCAATAAGAGTTTATATAATAGGAAAGGGCAATGTATAGGTAGAATAGACTGGAATTAGAGACCGGGCACCTCTTTCTCTATTTATCTCCTTTTATCTATGTGCCTTTATCTTTCAAACAAGAAATCTCAAAATATATACCTTTTTTCCCAAAACATACAGCCAGGGAATCTTTGAGCGCACAACTTTAATTTTGCTACCAAAAATAAAAGAGACTTTTACTGCCAAGTTTCAGGTTAAAAAAAATATCGCCTCATACCTGTCAAAATAGCTATTATCAAAAAGATGAAAGATAAGTGTTGGTGAGGATGTGAAGAAAAGAGAACCCTTGTACACTGTTGGTAGACATGTAAATTAGCCAACATGAAAAACTGTATGGAGGTTCCTCAGAAACTAAAAACAGAACTACCATCTGATCCAGCAATCCTACTGCTGAGTATATATCCAAAGAAAATGAAATCAGTATTTCAAAAAGAAGATGTCTGCACTCTCATGTTCATTGCTGCGCTATTCACAATAGCCAAGATATGGACTCAACCTCAGTGTCTACCAGCAGACAAATGGATAAAGAAAATGTGGTAATATGCACACTGGCATACCATTCAGCCTTAAAGAAGAAGGAAATTCTGTCATTTCCTGGAGGACATTATGTTAAGTGAATTAAGGCAGGCAAGAGAGGACAAATACTGCATGATCTCACTTATGTTGAACTTATAAGAGTTGTTCTCATAAAAGCAGAGAGTATTATTATGGTTACCAGAGGCCAGGATCTGGGGAAGACGGATGGATGTGTTAATTAGCTTGACTGCATTATTTTAAATTTATACATATATCATAATATCATAGTGTATCCTATGCATACATGTAGTATTTGTGTATATATATATACACAATTATAATTTACCACTTAAAAACAAAAACAAAGTATAAAATAATATTCCAGAGAATACTTAAATGGCTTGATTGAAGTGACAGACTCCTGAATTAATCTTTATGGCCAGTAGTGGTCAAGTGAAATGATTTGCCTAGCCTGAGCCTGAAGCTAACACCTAGGCCAATCCCTGAAGGTACAGAGATAAAATTTTATAAAAGAATGGCCACTGCCACTCAGACAGTATCCTTAGTTTCAGATGAGATGCAAAATCTTAAAACAAGATGCTGTTCCAAAAATAAGAAAAAAACATTTTGTCAGGGTAAACAATAATGTTTCACTACACAACCTGTATTAAAATCAAAGCCACCTTCCAGCCATTTCCTTTGTCCATGATTTCCTTAAGCTTACCTCTTTAGAGTATAAAGAATAAGAAAAAACTCATAGAATGTAAACACATTCTTTAACATACTCCTATTTATGTATAAGATAGAGATTTTAAAACTCAGAAAACACAAATTTAAATAACTGAATTATAAGTGAGAATTTAATAATTCTCACAATATTATCATATTTTCTAAGTAAATATAACTTTTATAAACTTAATAAAATACCATTGTTTTTATTAGTAAAACAAAGAAATCATATATAGTGTTATATAACATATGAGTACTTGTACAAATAAAATGACTACATTAATCTAAATAAATGGGATAAAGCAAAATGGTATTTTTATTTCTATTATTTCTTATTGTCACTGTAGAACTGTCCTCTGATTTGAGATTTCTTGAGTATTTTCAACAACAACAAAAACAGTTTAACAAAACTGTCTTTTCTTTTTTCCCTGAAGCTATAGCTGTTTTTAGTTGAGCTTTCTTTGTGAAACTAAATTTAGACAGGCCCTGAGAGATGTTCACTTAATATCCTTCTGTAAAATGTTAAGGATTACATGTTATTCTGAGTTTTGGATCAATCGCTTTCTTCAACTAATGTGTCATTCTACATTTATTAGTTTATAAAACTCATCTCTAAAGCATTAATTATTCCAAATTACAAATGAGACTTTGTAAAAATTTTACAAAAAGTCTGTACCAGAAATAGACAAATAATGTCATGATTAATAAGGTAGTTATATTATTATTATTATTTTTTTTTTTTTTTCTGAGACAAGCATCTCACTCTGTCACCCAGGCTGGAGTGCAGTGGCGTGATCTCGGCTAACTGCAACCTCCACCTCCCAGGTTCAAGGGTTCAAGTGATTCTCCTGTCTCAGTCTACCAAGTTGCTGGGACTACAGGCATGTGCTGCCACACCCAGTTAATTTTTGTATTTTTAGTGAGATGGGGTTTCTCCATGCTGACCAGGCTGGTCTGACCTCAGGTGATCCACCAGCCTCAGCCTCCCAAAGTGCTGGGATTATAGGCATGAACCACAAAACCTGGCCAGGTGTTTATATTAAAATTTTAAGAGAAACTTGTTAGAGGAGAGCCAGTCCTTTTTTTTTCACTCCCCCTTCCATGTCCTCTTTCTTTCTTCCTATTCCTCTTTTGCCTAAACCCACACACACAGGTATGTACACAGGAACAATTTTGAAAGTTAAGAAAATGAAGATTTTCTGGTGGGTTTTCTTCAAGTTAACATTTTTAAGTGGAATTAGTGGGAATATCTTTTTCAGGCCAAAGGAAAAAAACATCCCACTCTACCATGTAATAGCCATGAAAGTAACTTCAGTCTATAGAGCACTGACAGGCTGGGAGCAGTGGCTCGTGTCTGTAATCCCAGCACTTTGGGAAGCCAAGGCAGGCAGATCGCTTGAGCCCAGGTGTTCGAGACAAGCCTGGGCAACAAGGCAAAAACCTGTCTCTGCAAAAATTAAAAAATAAAAAATTAATTCGCCAGGTGTGGTGGCTTGCGCCTGTAGTCCTAGCTACTCAGGAGGCTGAGGTGGGAGGATCACTTGAGTTCAAGAGGCAGAGGCTGCAGTGAGCTGAGATCACCCCACTGCACTCCAGCCTAGGAGACAGAGAGAGACCCTGTCTTCAAAAGAGAGAAAACAAACAAACAAAAACTAAGAAACTAGAATGTGCGTACAAAAAGTAACTGCAAATTTGGTGAAGGTTTTGGAAACTTTATCAAATGCATAGTAGCTAAAATAATTAGCGTGAACCAGAAAATGATGGGAGACAACCATAAGAAAGAAGATATAACAATTTTTAAATTTAATATCATAAGAAAAATGTATTAATTATTTTCTCCATACAAAAAATCATGATAATTAGTTGGAAAATTCAAGGAGTCAGATATCCATACATATTCAATAGCTCATTATCAGCAAAGGATATTAAATGTTGTTGAACAAAATTCTTACAATGTCTGTATTAGGAAAGCATCAGATGTAAATCAGATCTTTCAAAATCATATTTTTATGTCTTTTAGCTATCTTTTTGTGAAAAATCAGCAAGATGTAACTTTCAGCACATTCTATTAGATATCAACCTACTGGACTTTAAAAGCTTAATAAACAATTTATTACACTATATATTAATTTAATAGTGGCTATATTGCTCTATAGCATTTCAATTCTGATTTTAAGTTAATTGTCTATTATAAGATATTTTGCCTCAGGCTGAACTTAGTGTATAATCTTATAATTTAGGAATTAAGTATATTGTCTCCACTGAATTCTTCTTTATGGTTTTGAATATTATTTCGGCTTCTGAACTTTTACAAGATTCAACAGGTTAATGAAGTATAAATTCTCCAATGGTTCTCTTTATGCAAATAGTGCTTTTTCTGAAAAGGTTTTTATGTGATACAGAATTTATGCCAAACTCTCCATTAAATGGATCTATACTGATGAGCCTTTCCTTCTGACCCACTGTTTTTAACACAAAATTATGTCTGACACTTCCTAATGCTTGAGAATCTTTTCCAAATTTAGTGAACTTTAATAAATGTCAGTTAAAGGTTCACTGACAAATGGGAGGTGAGTAGAAAGACAAATGAAAGACTTAACACACTAATGTTCTGTGGAAAATGAGTAAGATATCGCTTGAAACCACCATATTGAAAGAAATAATAAAAGTATGTGATCATTAATACCAGTTTTGGGAGTTTACAGTAAATCAGGAAATTTAAATCTAGATTTCCTTACACTCAGTACTATATATTATTTCAATTAGATGCCTATAGAAAATGTGTACCTCTTTAAAACATCTTTTATAAAATTCTAAGTATATTTCCTAAGTGTTCAGAAATCTTTCTCCTGTTTTAGATAGTTCTGTGTTCCTCCACAGCGCTCAGGGCTCATACCTGCACTCAAATATTTTTTGAATGAAGGAATAAATGCTTCTTTTATATCAGTTAGTTTTTAATTGACATGAATCTATATTTCAGGCCTTTCCTTAAATATCACTTTTTCAATGATAATATTTGAAGTTTTGCCAACTCATTCTTATTGTTTTCCCTGATTTATTTTTATAGCAATTATTATCATTTAACACACTGTAAGTTCTTCTTATTTGTCCATTGTTTGTCTCCCTCAGCTGGAATGTAAAAGCTCCCTATGGACAGGGATTTGTGTTGTATTGTCTGCAGTAATACTAGTGTCTGGCACATGATAGGTATTCAAAATGGAATCTGGAATGAGCAGCTAAATGTAAGCTTTATCATTCTTGAAATTCAGAAGCTTTTGGGGTGATGCTAAGCCAGAAAAAGAGGTAATCTTTCAAATGTTTGTCCTTGCAAGTCCTATGTTGATTTTCAATGAGCAACAGAGCAAATTCATTTGTTTACAATTGTAGCTGAAACAACCAAGTTTGCTTATGTGACATGTTTACAGTTTGATGTAACTGTAGATATCAGAGGCTAACATTTCTTCTGTGGTCCTTGTTTTTGTATTCACTGTTGTTTTTGGGTTTCCTTAAGGACTTCTTCCTAAATAAAGTCTTAGATGTGCAGTCCTTTAAATTCCATTAACCTGTTATTATACAAGACCCCTACTAATTTGAGTGTAAGGTGTGGGATAGCCTTATGCTTTGTTCTCAATGTTTTAGTTAGTCTGTGCTCCTGGGCTTTGACCTTCATAAATGCTTCTCAGTGCCCTCTTTTCCCCACTGTTAGATGAGACAGAAAGGTTACAGCAGGCTATTGGTATTTCCTTTTCCCTTTGGTCTTGAATAAAACCCCACATGGTAGGCTCTGCCAAAATAGGCTATGAGGGTAGGCCTTGTTAAGAAGAACACAACGCTCTGGGTGTATTTCAGAATGGCTGTTTTTCCCTCCCCTTTCCAGAGCAGGAAGGAATTTTTCTCTGAGCTAATTTGATGTGGAAGAATCAAAAATTAAAAGAACAAACAGCCATCCAATACAAACAATCTAACAGTAGCTATAAATATTACTAGAGTTACATCAATCTCAATATAAAGATATTAGAATGCTATATCTCTCTAAATTTGTGTGCATACATGGAACATCAAAAATCTACAGACGCTCATGGTGTAAGAGCACATAAAAGTATCCCTTTGCCCTTTCTGGCACCTATTGGGATTCTATCAAAGAAACATGGAGAAAAGAAAAGTTCAGAAGCTGCTCTCAAGTAGAAATATCACCGATAGCTACATGTTTACATACAAGAACCTTCGGCTGAGATTCTAAGGGCTTTTGAAGTTTAGTCAAGTTATTTTTCGCTGTGAGTTCTTTGTCTGCTGTTACTTTAAATGATTTCCTTCCAATGCTTTGTCTTTTTTGCCATAAATAGTATATTGTCAAAATTTACTCGATAAATATTAGCAATATCTGACCTATGTGAAAAATAAGTTATGTATAAAAACTTTAATGCTTGAATTTTGAGTAAACTATTCAGAATCAACTTCATTCCCCCTCTTTAATCAAGAGAAAAATCAATATATTTCTAAGAACAGTTATTGAAACATTATTGTTTTGTGAAGTTTTATGAGGAAACACCAAATAATGTTTTAAATGGATATAAAAATCTTAAACTATTCCTTCAACAACTAAACATTTTTTTCTCAGGTCATTAAACAGTTGTTATGTTTGGGAACCCAGTATTTTCTATAATTAAAGTTTTGTAATGTCAAATGACTCTTCTAGAAAGTCAACTGGAGACCTTCCTTGTCAGGCCATTAATTTTAAAGTAAAGTTGTCTAAACAGGAAATTGAAGGAAAAAAGTAGTGGCTTGGAACTAAACATTTTGATATTATGAATCAGCAGTAGGTGGAAGGATGGAGAGGTCCAAGATGTAAAATTATAGAATATTAATGATGCAGTATTTTCATTTTTTAATAAAACCAATATGATTGCTTTTTCAATAAAAGAGCCCGAAATAGAATTTCTTCCACCTTAGGCAGGTATAATAAAATATTTCTACTAGTTCCTTTTCTACATTATTTCAATAATTTTGTCATTAGAACCAAACACCATTGTTGGCAGCTACTTCCATTTGCCACAATGTACTCTTCTTCAAAAAACAGGAGATAGCATGACCATACCAACATGCAACCTTAAAAGACACTTTTAAAAACTTCATATCCAAATATAATTCATAAATATAATATTAATAATGAGGACATGATTGTCTTCTCCATAAATAAAGGGCCCATCATTAAATGCAAGCAGCTCTAATAGTCCCTAAAACACTTCACAATAGGTTTAAAAATCCATTTTTCATCATAAAAAATGGATTTCAAAAAAATGGTATTCTTTCCTTGTCAAGTGAAACATATTGTAATCGTTTCCTGTTGTTGCTGTTAACAATTTACCACAAATTCAGTGGCTTAAAACAACACAAACATTGCAGTTATGAAGTCACAAGTCTGAAATGGGTCTCACTGGGCTAAAATCAAGGTGTTCGCAGATTTGCATTCCTTCTGGAGGCTCTGAGACGGAATCTGTTTCCTTGTGTTTTTCAGCTTTTAGAGGCTGCCCACCTTATTTGGCTCATGACCCTTCCTCCCCTTTTAAAGCCAGACATGTTGAACCACGTCTTTCCATATTGCCATCTCTCTGGTTCTCTCTGGTTCTTTCTCTTCTATGTCTCTCTTCCCTTGTGATTACCTTGTGCCCACCTGAATAATCCAGGAGAATTCACGGACCATCCCAAGGTCAAGTTTTTTCATTTTTATTTTATTTATTTATTTTTTATTGAGACAGGGTCTCATTTTGTCACCCAGGCTGGAGTGTAGTGGCATGGTCTTGGCTCACTGCAGCCTGGACCTCCTGCACTCAAGCAATCCTCTCACCTCAGTCTCACAAGTAGCTGGGACTACAGGTGTGTGCCAGCACACCTGGCTAATTTTTTGAATTTTTTATAGAGACAGGGTTTTGCCATGTTGCCCAGAATGGTCTCAAACTCCTGAGTTCAAGCAATCTGCTAGCCTGGGCCTTCTAAAGTGCTAGGATTACAGGCATGAGCCACCACACCAGCCTGAAGGTCAAATTGTTAGCAATCTTATTTTCATCTGCTGCTTTTGCTAGGAAAATTAATATATTCATATTCACATGTTCCAGGGATTAAATTTATTTTAATGCAGTGCAATTTAATGTTGGATTATCACCTCGAATGAAACAATCATAAACATGTTCTTTAGAATAAGCGTTTGAAAAGTTAATTTTTTAAAGAAAAAGTCTACAGTAATGAACTAGACTTTCCCTCCTCACTTTTTAAGCTATCTAATTTCTAATGGCCTAATCTCCAGATCTTGATTACACATCTCCTTACATCTTTTCATTGTTATTCCTGCTCTACTAAATAATAAAGGATAGATGAAAATAATATGAAGACCGACATGGTGGCTCACACATGTAATCCCATAACTTTTGGAGGCCAGGGCAGGCAGATCACCTGAGGTGAGGAGTTCGAGACAAGCCTGGCCAACATGGTGAAACCCTGTCTCTACTAAAAAATACAAAAAATTAGCTGGACGTGGTGGCAGGCACCTGTCATCCCAGCTACTCAGGAGGTTGAGGCAGGAGAATTGCTTGAACCCGGGAGGTGGAGATTGCAGTGAGCCAAGATCATGCCACTGCACTCTAGCCTGGGCTACAGAGTGAGACTCTTATCTCAATAATAATAATAATAATAATGATAGTGGCAATGCTAATAAAGTTGTAACTTCCTGGAATGCTTATAATAATCAAACTACTTTCTCATTTTCTCATTTTGTTTCACAACAATCTTCTAACATGGACATCCCAATCGTTTGTTTTTTTTAAAAAAACTGTCAATTTTATTTATGCTTTTAAATTTACTGGTATGAAGATGTAAATTTCATTATCTTGCAACTTTCTTAACGTAGACTGTTTTTTAGAGAAGTTTTAGGTTCACAGCCAAACTGAGTGGAAAGTACAGAAGTCCCATATGCCGCTTTCCCCTATACATGCACAGTCTCTTTTACTATCAATATTCCCCACCAGAGTGGTGCATTTGCTACAATGAATGAACCTACATTGACCTACGGTTATCACCCAAAGTTCATAATTTATATTAGGGCTTTCTCTTGGAGTTGGAGATTCTATATGTTTGGATAAATGTATAATGACATGTATCCACCATTATAGTATTATAGAGCAGGGAAATTGCTTTAAAATTCCTCTGTGTGCTGTCTATTCATTTCTTTCTCCCCTCCAACTCTGAGTAAACATTGATCCTTTTACTGTCTCCAGAGTTTTGCTACTTTAGGCATTTTTAAATTCTGTTTTACACGTAAGTTAACTGAGACCTGAGTGATTCACTGATATTCATCAAGTCACTTAGCAAGCCTCATGTCTGGATTTGAATTAGAACAAAGATCCCACATTACTCTTTCCAAATAATGTTATAAGCTTGCATCCTAATGTTAATGGGCCAAAAGAGCAGGAAGTTATTTCTTATAAAATTAAAAAAAATTTAAAAAAAATTTTCGGCTTTATGCCTCTATAACATTGTATTATCACAATCTAAGGGAGGCAACGAAGGATAGTAAAAACAAAAACAAAAAACACAGAATTAGAAGTCAAGTGTTCACTCAGCTTTGACAAGTTGTTTAAACTCTCTGAGACTTAGTCATTTTATCTATAATGTGTATGATATTTTCTTTTTATTTTATTTTATTTTATTATTATTATACTTTAAGTTTTAGGGTACATGTGCACAATGAGCAGGTTAGTTACATATGTATACATGTGCCATGCTGGTGTGCTGCACCCATTAACTCGTCATTTAGCATTAGCTGTATCTCCTAATGCTATCCCTCCCCCCTTCCCCCGATATTTTCAATCAACCAAAACTGTGTAGATTAGACACAGATATGGTGCATTTTAAATTATCTTGCAAATTATAAAGTTCTTTTAAATATAACAGATCATTAGATTATTAGCTGTGGATGCTCATCTACCCATCAACAACAGATGAAGATAGTTTATAAGTGGATTCAGGTTATGCTTACAAATTTTCCAGAAGCTATCATCCAAAATTAACCTACAGAGAAGGTAAGTCATATCTAGAAGTTATCACTGGTCTCCAGATTCCAATTAATGTTCTATCAATCCTGATTTTTCCTCTACTTATGATAGTGATAAATTTAAGAGTCTAATTGGGCTTTCACATGTGGTTTTCAAAAGTCACTTAAATGCAAAATGTTCGCCCTTCCTCTTTAAAAAAATCTAAAATTGCTACTAGTGCAATGACTACAATGGCATCACGATTGCATTGAGGTGTCTAGGAAACAGTTCCATTAGTCAAAGGGCTGAGGTAAAAGTGATGATTTATGTTGGAAAATAAAATTAGGTGTATGTTTCAAGCATGTGTTTAAACTAGGGGTAAATTAAAAAAAAAACACATGTGAACACAAGTACCAATATTCTCCATCTGTAAGAAAATTATTAATAATAATTTTAGAAGTATTACAGAACCAGACAGCAAAATTTGGAATCACAGCTGCTTTTCCACAAACGGTTTCTTATGTTTTTAAAACTGGCATATTCCACAAACTCCACAGCTTAAACTAGCCTTGCATTGAGGCATGGACATTATAAATAAAACTATTTTATGTCAGTGGTTTGAATGTAAGTATGTAGCTTTTAAATCTGCATAATGTCAGGGAAGTGAAGACTTATAAACACTGTAAGATACTTTGCAAGCCTTAGAAGACAGCTAAAATTCAGAACTGAATGACTCTTTTATGAAGACTTTCTCAGAAAGCAATACAAATTGCACTAGTACTGAATTATAAAGTTTTTTTGGAAATTAATAGGAAAGTTAATACAACACATTTCCATAAGTCAGTCATCTTTTTTCCTATGATATTTTTTGCACAGTTCTAGCAATGGTATGTAGAATTTTATGCAAAATTTTGTATGTTGATTTTTCTTACCTCAGAGGATGTCACAAACTTTTCTCTGTGACTATATAACTTTTTGTAAGAGTTTTAAAATGTTTACAATTATATTAATTTAACATTTATTTGTTCAAAGCATTCATAGACCAATCACTGTGCTAATGTTTTACCAGGAGCCAGAGATACACAATCTTAAGACTTTGCCATCAATATATTCAAACTCTAATGGAGAAGAATACCAAAATGGATAATTAAAATGCAAGGTAGTCGATGAAATATAGACACACATTATTATGAGGGTCCAGAGAAGGACTAAATCTAGCTCCAGAAGGATGTCACACTCACTGATCTAATTGTTCATGGATGAATAAAAGTTAATCAATGTTAGCACTGGATGAGTATTCTCAGGTACAGGAGACTTGGATAATGAAAGTGGCTTAATGAAAACAGCCTGGAATTGTATGAGGGGAAACAAACAAACAAACAAACAAAACCACTGTGGGATGGCTAGGATACAAAATGGAAGGTAGAGTGGTGAGAAATGAGCTTGCATTTGTAAGCAGGAACAAATCATGGGAAGCCTCTATGCCTCGATAAGGTATATATGCCAGGGGAGATCAATGCCCGGTTTTAATTAGGGAAATGAAATGGCCAGATGTAGATAGCTTATATTAGTGGCTACAAAATAGGAGCTGGATTTCAGTGGAAAAGGAATCAAAATCTGGGAATAGTAAGGAGTCAGTTTCAAGATAAATTCAGATGAGATCGAGCGCGTTCAGGGTTGTATGGCCATAGACTCAAGATGAATTCAATGAACATTTTCACATAAAATGGAATGACTAAAGAAATAATTATATCATCATCTTCACAATAGTGAAAATCTAATATTCATTGTGGACCTATTATTTGTCAGAAATCGATCTAAGTGTTGTAGTAGTTATATGATCTTGGTTAACCAAATAAGATAGATACCACTGTTACTACTATTTCACAAATGAAGAAACTGAGGCAAGAAGAAGGTATGCAACTTTACTCATGGTATATTTTTAGCAACCGACAGAGTAAGGATTCAAAGCCAGGCACAGGTGATATGATGTGATGAGTAAGGAAGTGGGAAGAATCATGCAAAATGCCTAGTTTCTAGCTAAATTTACCAGAATGCAGTGGCTCCAACTGAGAATCACATATGAGTGGTTTAATGTGTATCACAGTTTAACCATTTTCCTATTACTGAACATTTATTTCATTTTTCTAATAATTTATTATAACTAATAGTACATTGAACATCATTGTACATATACAATTCCATGTTTTGAATTATCTTCTTTTTATGGAAATTAATACACGTAATTTTAGTCTTCAACAACATATATCAAAGTTCCTCTAAAAAACTTATTCATACTGCCTATTTTTTAATTTTCTTACATAAAACATTAATATTCTGACCTTTTAGAAAAACAACACCACCATTTAAATGTAATTGTAGAATACATCTTTTTGTTACTATTGTTCAAGCCTTCTGAAAATTTCAAAATGCCATTTAAACGTAATTATAGAACACATATTTTGTTTTTGTTTTTTTTTTTTTGCTGTTGTTCAAGCCTTCTAAAAATTTCAATACACTCACAGGTTATTTTTACAATGACTAGGGAACACCTCCAACACAGACAGCACAAGGAAGGGCCAATAAGGTCTCCATTGAGAAGAGCAGAATGACTCAGAGATGAAGCACAGCTGGCTGCTTTTTAGATCCTAAATATGGGTTTTGAAAAAGTCATATGTGTCTAGAATCTCAAGGGCTTACAAATAGAGGACAATATTAACCTAGTTCTCAGATGTCTTTAAAAGGAGTGTTTATTTAACAGACTACAAAGAATTCATTTTAAACAGTAAAACTGGCAGTCAAAGATATTAAATTGCATATTTTTCCTTATTTTGTTTTTGTTCTTTTTTTTTAGCAGGATGGGTTTATACTCAAAGGAACAATCTGTCATGTTTAATTGAAATAATGACCATTGCATTCCCTATTATTTTATTGACAGTTAATTATAAAAAATCATATATGTTGAATTTGTGACCAATAGCCAGTTGTATTCTGTGAGTTTTACAGTCAGTCCCTAAACAGAGTATACTACATTTATTGGTCCACTTCTTCTCTGAATGTCACACATTCATTGGCTTGCGGAATTCCAATTAACTCTGTTCTTAGTGGCACACTGTCACAGCAATTCCCTTGCCCTCTACCTATTCTGCTTGACAGCTCACATAAAAAACTAGGCTAAATTAGGACACCAATGACTCACAGAGACTTGAGAGGCCTTTTACAGCTCTTAATGCTTAGACTGTATCTAGGAATTCTATGACATTTCTTTTTCTCCTTTGGTTAGGAGAATCCCTAGCTCTAATAATTATTTCAATTAAACATGACTAACTAACTTACATTCCCACCAGCAGTGTATAAGCGTTCCCTTTTCTGCAACCTTGCCAGCGTCTGTTTTTTTTTGTTTGTTTGTTTTGTTTTGTTTTTTTTAATTTAATAGTAGCCTTTCTGACTGGTGTGAGATGGTATCTCATTTTGGTTTTCATTTGCATTTCCCTAATACTTACTGATATTGAGCTTTTCTTCATATACTTGTTGGCTGTGTGTATGTCTTCTTTTGAGAAATGTCTGTTCATGCCCTTTGCTCATTTTTTTAATGGGGTTGGTTCTGCTTGTTAATTTGTTTGAGTTGCTTATAGATTCTGGATATTAGACATTTGTCAGATGCATAGTTTGTAAATATCTTCTCCCATTCTATAGGTTGTCTGTTTTCTCTGTTGACACTTCCCAATTTTAGAGGTTTTTTCATAATTGCTTTTGTCTTCATCATGACGTCTCTGCCTGAGCTGATGTCCAGAATGGTATTTCCTAGATTTTCTTCTAAGGTATTTATAGTGAGAGGTTTTACATTTAAATCTTTAATCCATCTTGAGTTGATTTTTGTATACAGTGAAAGGTAGGAGTTCCCTTTCAATCCTGCATATGGCTTAGTCAGTTATCCCAGCAGCATTTATTGAATAGGGTGTCCTTTCCCCATTGCTTTTTTTTGTCACCTTTGTTGAAAATCAGATGGTTGTAGGTGTGCAGCTTTATTTCTGGGTTCTCTCACCTGTTCCATTGCTTTATGTGTCTGGTTTTGTTCCAATACCATGCTGTTTTGAATGTTATTGAGATTCTGCAGTTATTTGTTACATAGTATTCTTGTGGCAATAATTAACTGATGCAGGGTGGTAAGGAGAAATTCATTAGCTCAGGTGAAATGCTCAGAACAGTGCCTAGCACACTGTATGTGTCCAGTAAGTATTAAGTAATTATTTAGTTATTTGCATTTGCACTTTTAGAATTCTAAGAACTGTGTTTTGCAAAGGAAAGTTTAATAAATATCTATAAGCATATTGACTAACTTGGCATAAAGTACTAGGCATTTTATTCTAATTTTTTCAATCATAAGATGAGGTTGCAGTGTACAAAACCAATAGACAAAAATAAGTAGCATTTTTATACATAAATAATGACCTAACTGTAAAATAAATCAAGAAAACAGTCCTATTAACAATAGCTTAAAAAAAACCCTAGGAATAAATTTAACCAAGGAAGTGAAATACCTGCACACTGAAAACTATAAAACATTGATGAAAGACATAGAAGAAGAAATATATAAATGGAAAGATATCCCTTGCCAATGTATCAAAAAATTAGTGTTGTTAAAATGTCAATACTATGCAAAATATCTGCAGATTCAATGGAATACCCATCAAAATCCCAATGGCATTTATAACAGAAATAGAAAAAAATCCTAAAATTTGCATAGAACCGTAAAAGACTCCAAGTAGCCAAAACAATTCCAAGAAGAAAGAAAAAGTTGGAGGCATCACACTTACTGATTTAAAATTATATTACAAAGACATAGTATTCAAAACAGTATTTTACTGGCACAAAATAGAAACAGTCCAGTGGAAAAGAATGAAGAGTCAAGAAACAAATCTAAACCTAGATAGTTAACTAATTATTGAGAAAGGCACAAAAAGGATATAAAGTGAATGAAACTGTACTCTTATATCATGCACAAATATCAATTCAAAACGGATAAAAGACCCAAACATAAAACCAAAAACTATAACATTCATAAAAGAGAATGCATGGGAAAAACTTCTGGGCATTGGCCATGGAAGTGATATTTAAAAAAAAAAATACCAAAATCTCAGGCCACAAAAGCAAAAATAAATAAATAGAATTACAAAAACTAAAAATCTTCTGCATAGTAAAGGAAACAATCAACAAAATGAAACAGAGGTATGGATTGGGAAAAGCTATTTATAAACAATATATCTGATAAGGGGTTAATATTCAAAATTTATGAAGAACTCATACAATTCAATAGTGAAAAAAATCACCCAATTAAAAAATGAGCAAATTTCCCGAACAGACATTTCTCCGAATAAGACGTAAATATGGCCAAAAGATATATGAAAAAGTGCTCATCATTAATCATGACGGAAATACTAATCAAAACTACTATGAGATACCACCTCAACCCCATTAGAATGGCCACTAACAAAATGTTATAAGAGCCCTAGGGTTTAAAACTGTCTCAGGGAGGCTCTGCTTTGTTTTCTGTTACAGATTCTGACTTCCTCCTCTGGATCCTTGCAGCAGTTAGTTTGGGATTTTTTTTTCTATAGCTTCCTCCTCACAGCTGTTTCTTTGAGCAAAATGGTGACTGTGGTGCTGATGGTGCACCATGTCTGATGGGAATACCTTCAGTGGTATCAACCGGCGAAATGATGGTGTTGACTGTAGTGTTCTTGAGACGAAGCAATAAATGAAGAGGAGGAAGGACAGTGGTAAAGAACACACTAGAACCATAGGCATTGGCCTTTAAGGTTTTAGAATGACTGATATTTTAGATGAGTTTATTTGACATTGAATGTCCATGGGCTTCTGAGCAGGGTTTCAGTTTGATTAACAGTTGCAACAACATGGGGCAGCTGTTTTGCTCTTTATCTTCAACTGTACTTCAGATAATAACCCTGAAGCACAAGATAAGGTTGGGCAGAATGCTGCTAGAGAGGACAACCTGGATGGTCTTTATTCTCTTCAATTGTCCCTCTACATCATCTGGAAGTCATCTCTTGGTGTCACTCTTGCACTTTCTTTGTCCATGCTATAGCTGCTCACACCTAGTGAGTGTGTGGAGAAGAGGGAATACGTATACTCTTGGGGTGGGAATGTAGACTGGTATAGCCATTATGAAAAACACTATGGAATGTTCTAAAAATAAACAAGCAAACATAGAACCACCATATGATGCAGAAATCTCACTTTGAGGCATATACCCACCCTACTCCCCAAAATGAAATCACCATCTCATAAAGATAACTGCATTAACATGTTCATTCCAGCATAATTCACAATAGCCTAGAGAGGGAAGCAACCTAGGCGTCTGTGGATAGATGAATGGGTAAAGAATGTGTAAAAGAAAGAGATCTTGCCATTTGTCACAAGATGGATGAACCCAGAGGACATTATGCTAAGGGAAATAAGCCAAACACTGAGGGAAAAATAGAGCATGATATCACTTATATGTGGAGTCTTAAAAAATTCAAATATACAAAGAGAATGAAACAGCAGTTACCAGAGGTTGGGAGAAGGACAGAGGGGAGAAAATAAAATGGAGAGGTGTATCTCAGAGGATACAAAGTAGCAGATGTGTAGAATGAACAAGTCTAGAGATGTAATGTACAATATGCGGACCAGAGGTAATAAAATTTCACTGTATGTGGAATTCATACTAATTTAATAGAGGTTTTGCTGTCATTGCTACAAAAGCAAATACAAAAAATGGGTAATTGTGTGACATAATGGATATATTAACTTGCTTTAGTATAGTAAGCTTATTACTATCTATATGTATCCCATAATATCCTGTTGTATACCTTAAATATACACAATTTGTCTTTTTAAAATGTTCAGGTTAGCTGGGCACAATGGCTTTTGCCTGTAATCCCAGCACTTTGGGAGACCGAGGCAGGCGGGTCACTTGAGGCCAGGAGCTCAAAACCAGCCTGACCAACATGGTGAAACCCTGTCTCTACTGAAAATACAAAAATTAGCTGGCCATGGAGGCACATGCCTGTTAGTCAGTTACTTGGGAGGCTGAGCCAGGGGAATCATTTGAACCCGGGGGGTGGAGGTTGCAGTGAGCCAAGATCATGCCACTGCATTCCAGGCTGAGTGACAGAGCAAGACTCTGTCTCAAAATAAAATAAATACATACAAATAAAATGTTCAGGTTATAATTTATATTTCCATTTTGGGTCTTTTAGTAAAAAAATGCATTCCTAATGAAGCAACTTCCCAAGGAAGTATATACCCAAATAAATAATAAGTGTACTACACAGTTCTTAAACCTGGCTTTATAAGGTCTAAATTGAAAGACATTTTGAAATAACAATTATATAATTATAATTGTGTTATATATGATGAAATTAAAATTTTATAATTGTATTGACTGATATATATGAGTATCTGTGTGTGCGTGTGTATATATATATATATATATATGTTTGTATGTGTATATGTGTGTGTGTACATATATACATATATAGTTAATAAAAGACCCATCCCACAGGTTTGCTTTTTAGCAAGTTCTATTTGTGACACTTCATATTTTCCTTAAAATGAAAACAAAAAAGTTTCACATAATATCATACAGAATGAAATTCACACATGCAAGGGTGACATGAAGAAGTCATTCATCTAAGTACCAAAACTAAGACTAAAATCTAGATCTCTTGTCTCCTTATTCAGTATTACTGGCATAATGATTTTAATGGTAAGCCCCTCTCCTCCAGTACATTGACTTAATGAGACTGAAAAGAGAAGTATGCTTATTAAAGCACTGCATGGTGCTGGGAAAAGTGGACCACTGAAACCTCTCTTTAAGAGACCCTACTTCAGGGAGCATAGCTGACTGTCAGCCTCCAGTTGTGCACTTTCACATCCAACACAGTATCTTTGCCAAGGCCGGACTTTCCCAGGCTTCTTTAAGTGATTGAGCATAGGGGTACTAGAACTGAGACATTTCTTATTGTTTGGGGTTTCTTCTGATCTTTGCTCAAGAACTTCCTATCAGCCAGGCAAAGACTGCCTAAGAACTATACTGCATTTTGAAGGTTTTCTTCAATCCTCCTTCCTCTGTCTCTCCTTCCACAGACATCAGATGAGTATAAGTGCCTAAAGTCTCTTCCTGTCTGTTCTGCTCCATCCCTTTCATCTTTCTTGTTTCCCCTATAAATACTGTAATCAAATTCTATATTGATAACTGCTTCTTGGAAAATCTAAACTGAAACACTATAAACAAATGATTTAAAAGTCTGCTGATCATCAACTGTGACTATCTAATGCCAGGTGTTGAGGATATTACTATACATAAGAAAAACTTCCCTAACTTGAAGAGCTCAATATTTAGTATTGGTAATTGTTGTTTGTATTACCTTCAGTACAATTTGCTAAATCCTGTAATCCAGAGGTCTACAAAATGTATAAGAACTTGAGAGGATGTTATTTCTTCTGCTGGAGGAGCTATAAAAGATTTCACAAATGAGCTGACATTTGAGATTGGCCTTCAAGTATGAGTAATATTTTTTTAATGGAAAATACTGATGGGAAAGCAGGTTGGAAGAGAGCATTCCAAACAGAAAGATTAGCATGAATATAGACAAAGCTGCTTGAATATAAATGACATGTTAAAGGCAAATCCAACAAGTTTAACTTATTGTAGAACTGTAATTGAACAGCCGTATATAAGATGTTTCCAAGGGCACATCATAGTTTTTCTTAGTTGTCTTGACAGATAAATGTACCTTCTCTGCAGAATCCCAGACTTTATGGGAAAGGGAAGTTTGGGGACTGTTGTTAGAAGGAGCTTTGAGGGAAAGTCAGAGTTTTATATGCCATATGCAAGAATAAAAGAAACAGAGAGTAAGTTTAGCATAGTGATTCTTCTCTGTGCTCAGTGAAGTCAGTAGCAACAACAGCAACATTACTGGCAACAAAGAGGGTGTTCAGACTGCAGAACGCAGAAGATATTTGCAAGTAGGCAGCAGAAAGACATTTCGCAAAGGAGGTACCAAATAAGGTAGCTAGAGAGAAAGTTGGCAGAATCAAAGGAAAAATGTGCAAGAGCTTTTCACAGGAAAAAACAAAGAATAAGCTCCATGAACTAAGAGAGAGTATAATGAATTATAGCTCTGAAAAGGAAATCACACATGAGAGAACAGTAAGTGGTTGGGGCCAGAGTAAATGAGCAGAGGGTTAGTAAGCTTCATGCAATACACTAAGAATGACAGAAGAAGATGATTAGATAAAAAACATGTTAGTTGTGTACAATTCACTCAAAATTTTAGGTCCATAATATTATAGTTTTATCAGGCTAACTTCAGCACGTATCCTGAAATGTTTGGTTGATACTTATGAACCATCCGGTCATAGTACTACCTACTGAATCCAAGTTCCAGCTCTGAATTCCTGCTGAATTACTTATTAGTTTGTCAATCCTGGCAATTATTTACACTTTCTATGTGGTAGTTTCCTAACCTCTACAGGTGGATAAAAACAATGCTTACCTTATAGGGTTATTCTAAGGATTAAATGAGAGAACATGAAAAAGTGTTTTAGCTCAGATATAGCATATAGGACATTCTCAACAAATGTTAGCTATTATTAATAGTTTAATTATCACTAGTAAGTTACAAAAACTCTATAAACCTCAAACATCTTATTTTTAAAGCCAGGATAAACAACACTATTTTCATGCTGTAAAGATGAGAGACAATGAGCATAAAGCAATTGGCCTGGCACCTGGAACATGGCAGGTTATCCATACATGCTTTTCTTCTTTCTTCTAATCCCTCACTCTTCCTTCTTCTTCCTCAATTATTGCTATTATTATTATCATTATTATTTTGTAACTAGATTAATCTTATATATGCAATTATTAAAGAAGAGACCATAATTTGAATAGTGTTTAGAATAAGAGCAATTAAATTATGCAGTCTTTCTGTTAGTTATATTTCCCTTTGCTCTAAAGAACTGTGAGTAAAGTGAAGACTGTGCATAATAGTTCAACAAAATATGACATAATCCAAGAGCTGAACTCTCCAAACAATCCATTAAATATGAATACACCTCTTGTGACTGACTTCATAAACTTAGCAATTCCTTGTGCAGAGTCTGAAAATTGAGAAACAATAAGGGCTGCCTTTTCCCAGGAGAGCTGTAGAATGGCTGAGCGATAATGCTGAGAAAAAAGCTACACAAATGGAAATGGAATTCATTGAGATGTTACCATGCATTAAATAGGGTTTTCTACCATTAAAATTATATTTACTACTTGAGGTCACCAACATGGGGGAGCGACTAGATGAAAAACATTAAAATACATCTAATATTTTATTACATCAGAACCTGAGTTGAAAAGCAGTGTCTTGTGGAAATTGTTCTCAAGTTACTGTTTGGATGTTTAAGATGTTGCTCAGGTCTATAACAAATGTAGAGGTGCCAAACATCCACATTTATGTTAAGTTGTCCCGCACCCAATGCAAATAAGATGGTATATAAAACCTTTGTATCACTGGTCAACTTAAAGGCTACACAAATACTATATTCACCCATATAGGGGAAAATACAAATGCTCTATTTTGGCATTGCATGTCTTTATTCTTTAGATGTAATTTACTGTGAAATATAGAAAATATTATAAAATGAGTTTCCAGATTTAAAAATCTAGTAAACACTAGTTTCAGCTTTCAAGATCATCAAAGTAGTTAGCTATTACTCATT
This sequence comes from Homo sapiens, assembly GCF_000001405.40. Lineage (NCBI taxonomy): Eukaryota > Metazoa > Chordata > Mammalia > Primates > Hominidae > Homo > Homo sapiens. The sequence goes on from NC_000001.11 coordinate 72,186,079, forward strand.
CTGTAATTTGTCAACCCTCAAATTTGTAAAGGAAATAGATCTTTCTCTCTAGTAGTAGCCACTCTTGTTCATATGTAACTTGGAAAATATCATGTAACAAAGTTTACATCATTTGCCACCTGTTGATTTGTCCCAGTCAGCTGAAATTTAACATGCCATTTGCCAACTTCCAACATGATTTGTAAAACATTAACTATAATCAAGTTTTCTACAAGTTTTACTCTGTTCATAATTTCTTAATATCCATAGTCTACTTCCCACTCATTCTGTTTTCTTCCCTACTCAATCTAAGTGGATCTCATTAGAGAGTTTATATCTTTAATTATGATGCATCTTGGACATTGCATTAAGTCATGACTAAAGTAATGCATACCATAAGCCATTCAAGAGGGGCAGCCCCAGGAGAAAAGAGGACTGGGCCAGATGATATGGTACCAATGCTAAAGTCTCAGTTTAACTACTTACTAGATATAAAACAGAAAAGCTGACATAACTTCATAATTCTAATAGGCCTTAAGATACTATCCAGACTATTCTACCTCATTATATAAGCTCAATAAAATCAGAAAGCTAATCACTATTAAAATCTGGTCTCAATCTGAGGCTTCCCAATTCTCAATGTATTAATGTTAGAATTTCATTGCGTTCTGTGTTAAGAATCTACTGCTTCTTTTAAAACAGGAATGATAAATTCTCATAGAGTACTTTGAGAATTCAATGAGGTAAAACATTTAGAAGAACTCTGAAAACTGTAATTTTTCTGCAAAAGATTATCATCAGTCTTCTGACAGGATACTCCATGGTATGCTTTGTGGGATCTTCATTCACCACTAGAGGGAAGTGATATCCATATTGTTACTTTTCTCTCCCTTGAAAGTCAAATGCTTGCTAATTTTTCTCTTCAAAAGGGGGAAAACACCTTGGTCAATTTTCTTTTTTTCCTTTGCTTCAAAGACAATCTTTTAGGATGTCAACATTTTAGGTGGCCAATCTCAAAATGGGCTGATAATGTACTTTCTCCTTTTATCAGAGAAGGGATGCTATGCTTTCTAGTGCTTTTCTCTTTAGCTGGAAGAGACTTTTCTTTATTTAGGGTTTATCTTCATTCTTAGCAAGTTACCAGTTGATATTTCTTCCCTCTATAAAGCTCAGCCTTTAATATCAAAATTTCTTAAACTTCAAAAGTTTATCAGTAAACTTCATATTTTTTTCGCCACATTTCTGTTTAATTTGTATTAGACTTTTTTCCTAGAAAATATTTATTGAAACAACATAGGAAATATCCTAACACAGTATTCAAAATATGTTTAGTATTAAATGTTTAATCTCAATTCTTAATTTATTTGATCAATTAAACCAAGAATTTAGCATCAGAGCATCTTTGAATGCTACTCATAACAGATCACTGAAAATTCAAACTAATCTATTTTGCTGTTTTCCTGGGCTCAGCCTATAAGACTTTGAGTTGCTCTACTTTCTTTTTCTTTTGTATTGAATGCCCAGGACCAAAACAAACAAACAAACTACTCTAAACCTTAAAAATATTTCTTTCTAAACATGCCATGTTGAAACAGACAATCCAAACCTGGTATATTTTTTTAGGTATAACATTAATAATAATAATAATAGCAGCTATCATGTCCTGGACCACAGGCCAAGAAGAGTCCTATATTGATGCATGATCTTTATTGATCTTCACCACAACCCCGTTAGGTTAGGCACTGTTTTTATCCTTTTTTGAAGGATACGTAACTGAGACTTAAAGAAATTCAGTGGTAGTAGAGCCACTATTCAAATTCAGGCATGTCTGGCTCTAGCACACAATCTTAATTACTATGATACACTTTCTTAACTTACATGTATGATTCATGTAATGATCCTTCTCACCACTCTACTCCGGAGAATTTAATCAATGCATAAGGAAGAGTTTAATACTCTCACCCATATTCAAATCATTCTAAGGATTAGAATAGTTTTGGTTCCTTAAGCTAAAGGAATGTTAAACTGATGTTAAATGCTGATCTCTTTACTCTCATGAGATGAATATAAAGGGACTCAACCTAGCAACTCTGTGCCATTCTCTAGTTGTAGCTGTGCTTGAAAATATCATAATTAAATTTCAAAGCCAGAATATTTTTGAAAGATGAACCTTTCAAAAGGCTCAGTTTTATCAGTAAATTATAAACTTGTAGAGATCAAGAAGGTTGGGATTTTACCTAGAATTTATGAACATAAATTTTTCCTTTAATGTGCCTACCAATGACACTTCTTTTCAATCTTCGCATTCTGTGTATTTAATACTTTAGGTGCCTGCAGGTTAATTCACACTTGTAGAAATGGCACTGTTTAATTCTTTGCAACAGCTTATTAATTGGAAATAATTATACATATTCTTTTAGAGCCTATACTTTTAAAAATGTGTTTTCTTCACAATGTTTGATTTAAAATCAACACTGACTTCTGTTGTATATCTCAGATAGTGCTTATAACCTTCTGCTTAAACAAGAAGAGTCCTTTACAATTATTATTACTCATCCTAGGAGATATTTGTAAATTGTATACTGTTTGCAATTGGTACACAAAAATCTCAGGAGACAATTGTTAGCTGACATATTAAATGGAATCATCTCCTTATCTGCTTCACAGTGTTATTAAATTTAGATTTAAAAACAATTCCCTGAGTTCTACACTACTACTGTTCTAATAAGAATTAAACAATTATTATGATCTTATTTAAACAATAGTAAGGCCATCAAGTTAGGAAGGTCACTTCAATTTTGAATGACTTATAGCCAGCTCTGGATTGCAGATAAAAACAAAACAAGAAAGGGATTAATTCTTAACCTTTACTCTTTCTTCAATATCTATTCTTATATCCATAAATATATGCCCATTAGGAAGAATCTTTTTCTTATCATCTAATGTGAAAGTATATTGTATTTTGTAAAAGTAACGCATTTGCACATTCACTTTCAATAGTTTGTCAACAGCCAGCTTGATGCCCACTGTCTCATTTTTTCACTGCAGGAAGACAGTCTCCCTATTCAAATGATAAATTGCACTTTTGGCACATAATAAAAATCTCTTATTTTATTTTCCTTTTAAATATGTAATTACGTTTTTGAGCTATGTACTCATTCTTGGAATGTTCTCTCCCAAAAGCCAAACAATGTAGCAATTATTTTCTTACCTCTCTGTGAAACCTAATTTACTATGAAGTACAACTGATGTACTTGGAATTTCAGACTTCTTCTCACTTCTTCAAGTTTACTCATATTAATCTTATACTCTTTCCCACAAGAAGCTAGAAAATTTCAATGTATCTTTCAAACCCAGCTCAGCTGAGTAGATGTCAAATGTTTGAAAACATCTTCTTGACTTTCCATGCTGTGGTACCTCTGTTCTGAGCTCCCAAAATTGTGTTGTCTCTCCTCACTGTATATATGTCTTTCGTCCTTGATAAGGAACTCTTAAATGCTTGGATGCATTTTATTCGTATCTATATCTTGAGTGACTAGTACTATGGGAGTCCAAAGTAGGCCCTTAGAAATGTTGTTTGTTTAATGATTGGCTAATGAAACCATAAATTATCCCCTGCATAAGAAGATAGAGGTTAAGAGGTTACATTGCTTGAGAGATATTTCTGTTTTATACATTTCTTTCTACAAAGCAAGTAGATATAGTAATAACCAGGCACACAATAAGACAACTGGTATTATATTGTTCATGATACAAGATTGTTATCTTCAAGTCATTTGCTGAAGAACACAGATGATAAAAGAAATAGAAGAAATTCAAATGTAGGGCTGTGTGACCTAATGACTGGACCTTGATCATTAGTGTCAAGTGGTAAAATGTACCGTGAATATCCTTTCATTTCTTTCCTACTTTTCCTACTCTCTTTTCCCAATCCTCATTTACTTATTTCTTTAATTAATAGCACTAAGAAGTCATCGACCTAGAATCTCTAAATTTAATAGTTAAAATATTTTAGTAACAGGGAAAAATATTGGCATACTAGCCACGTACACATGAATGAAAAATTTTAATTCCATTTGTCATATATAGCTATATTAATCACAACTTGATAAGTAGTCAGAATACATCCATCCATACATGTCAAAACTGTACCAAATGCTGCACATATTTTCTGAAGAAAGTTAATTTAACCCCTTCAATTATCAGTTATTTGTATTTGTATGTGTGTGTACAGACACTTACTTGTGTGTATATATGTTTACTTCTATAGAAAATATTTAGCATAATAATTGTATACAGGTATTTGTGAGCATCTAGGATCTAATTTACATGAAATCCCTTGATAATTGTAAAATGCATGAAAAACGCTTACTGATAATTAGCGATGAATTACATAGAACTGAGCAAACATGGCTTTAGGTATCTATATGGAATGGAGATATTTAATTTTAATGTTCCATTTTTATTGGAATAGTTGTTTATCAATCCATAATGCACACAGATAATCACACAATTTTACTTTCTGTCAACAAAGAAATGGTATTCCTAAACATATACTTCAATTTAATTTTGTTTCTATTTATTAATATATCAAATTTCTATGTCTATGACATTAACATTTTGATTAAACTTTTTATAGAGGCAAGAAAGTATACATTTGATAATGTACCTGAATAGCTAATGATTATGTATAAGAAAACTAGGGCCACTAAACTGCTCTTTGGAAATAAATGACCTGCCACTCTCATTAGGGAACATAACTAAATAATTTTTGATATGTATGCAAAAATTAACTTACAATATTGACATAACATATATACTATGTAATGTTGAAAGAACTTCAACCCATTAACTAGTCTGTGTTTACTCTTTAGTTTTTATTTCACATGGATTCTGCTACTTATTTTTTGTCATTTTGCTGGTTTTTGACACTCTGAACCATGTGTAAACAGTGGCTTAATTTTATAGTTTTTTTTTATGTTGGTAAAAGTTTTACTTATAGTAAAGGTTTATATAATGATTCAGTATTGATTAATCCCTAAGCCTACAGATCATTTGATGTGATCCCTAAAACTCCCATCATACCTACAGGATACTGAATGCATAATGTTCTAGTAACATTCTCCAGATAACTAGAGATCACATTGCTCTTCCAACTGATTCATAGAGTATTATTAAATATGTACATATCATGAGAGTGTGGATTGATTCTTTCTCCCTAAAGTTTTAGGTTCCTTTTGATCTCAACATCGTTTCTATGTGGTTAAAAGTTCCATGAATAGTTCCAAAAGTAAATCTTTATCATTATGAGGCAATACCTGATAGTTTATGCTGAGATCATAATACACACACATACACACAAAGGGAGAATGAGAGACAGACAGAGAGAGAAGAGAAATTTGTAGCATCAGATGCTTACTTCAACTGGTTTTTGTTAATCCCATAATAATCTAAAATCTTTTCTTAGACTTCAGGATATGTTTCTTATGATAATAAACATCCATAGGGTATGTGTATACTTCATTATAAATAACTCCCTGATAGAGACTGTTTTAATTCATTCTAGAATCCCTTTTTCTCTCATTTACCCTTACCAAATTCATACATTTATTTTATGATAAATTTTTCACAATGCATATCAAAGTCCACCTTTAAACTGTGATTACAAATGAGGCAGCAGGCAACCTAAAAAGAGCATCACAGGAGAAGGTAACCTTTTGTAAGGCCATTCATATCAACTGTATCTATCTTGCCTAGGCCATGGGGTAGAGGGAAACAGGGTGGATTGATCCAACACTTGCAGGGACTTTTAGCACCAGTTGGCAGTGCCATCTTCCTCTCACAAATCAATACTCAGAAGCAAATGTCTGTTCCCTAAGGTAACCCAGGCAATTCTCCCCGAAGATCTCTACTTATCACTGAGTATCAATACTGTTTTATCTCATATAAAATTATAGTCTTTACTTGTTTTATTTGAAGAAAGTACATTTATAAAATAGTTTTGGAACATTATAAACATTTTATTTAAATGGGTGACTCAAGCATGTTGGTTTAAATTAAACCACATGCTTGGGATATTCATAGAGCTATGTAAGGACTATATTTTATGAAAATGCAGGGTGCTGAGCAGCAAAATTTAATCTGGAGGGCACTTGTCCTCAGTCATGTGCGACAAGATGTATTAGCCATGAATGAATTGCAGCAGTGCTACTTGAGTTTCTTTAATTTTCTAAACCAAGATTGTAAAAAGAATCAGTGGTATTGAATCCCACTGGCTATGGCAAAAAGGCACTGCTCAGAGATAAAGAACAATTTATCTTCTGCTGTAAAAAAGAGCAGTTTTGGCAGATAGTAAAATACATCACTGTATAATATACTCTAGGAACAACATCAGAAAATATGGATTTTTTCTTAAAATTTTAAGAGTACTGATTCCACATACCTTCCCAAATAAAAGGTAATGATAGTGCTAATTGCAAAGTATAAATATTAAAAATCTAAATTACAGTCTAGGAGGGCATATGCACATGACTTTATGAGATGTATTTTTAGCAATGATTCAGTAAGAATAATATTTCACTTAGGTAACTGAAATACTAATTAAGCTTCCAATATTCCATGTATTACCACTATTATATCAAATTGCATATTGCCAGATTAGAATGGTGGGCTTCTTCTAGATGTTATTTTACCTACCAGGTTATAGTTTATGGATTATAGAGTTTATCATATCCAGATATTTATAAATATCATTAAATGGTAGGATGGTTCCCCTCTTTTTGAGATCCTGCTTTTTACAGTTTCTTTTTCTATGTGTAATACTTATAAGCAATTAGGTTATTGATGGCCTGATCATGTCTTATTTGTTTCTTTTTCTTATTCAGTACACCAATAATATTTAACACACTTTAAAAGAAAGCAGCATTTAATTTTGAGCTCTGATTTTTGAATACCAGGACAAAGGAGAGAAATACTAGTAAATGATGGAACCACTCACTAATTTGGGTTTTAAGTATATAATTAACTTTTCTGCTCCTTGGATAAAAGGAGCACTACCTCCATAAGACAATAGAAAAATCAATATAATTAATATTTGTCAGATTTTGCAGATGATTGAATGTGTACAGCTATTGTTTTGTCGATGTCACCAAGGTAACACTGATGCTTTATAATTGAAAAGCAAAACAAGTGTTTCCTTTTCTATCTTTGCAATAATTTCATACAGAATGATCAAGAAAGTTCTAGTCCAGAAAAAAATCTATTAATCAGTACTAATATAATGTGCATAAAGTATCAGTAAAACAAGCACACAATCAGGAATATCTCTTTAATATAATTGATATGATAGTGATTCAAAATGGAAAATTTAGGGACTATATGAATCTGCCAAATTTGTGGTCGTGCATTATAAAGCTAATTATAAAACAAGATTAGAGTGAATGTTAGCTCCTGATATCAACACCATCACTCCCTTAAGCATCCATCTTGCTGGGATGACTTGGAACAAAGAATTAGAAACAAAGGATCCTTAAAAGATCAAAATATATTTTAAGGCCACAGATATTATTTAATTTTCTAACTCAGTATAAGAAATATATATATTTTTCATATTATATATTCATTTTTAATTATATGCTATTATTTTCTGTATACTTTTATACAGATACATACAATCTGTAGGCATTACATGTATATTTTTAAAAATATAAAAAGAATATTTTTAAAGTGTTCATTTTTAATCATATTAAGGTGTATCCCAGATCAAATTATAACCCTGAAAGCCTGCCTCCCATACACCATTTTAATTTTGTAGGACTTAGCCCTATAGATTAACCCCAAGGTTTCACATTCATAGTATATACACACAGTTAGAGATAAAATATAGGGATGATATGCAAATTATTAATGATCTTGATCTAAGGTATCAGATCATTGCTGTCATTCAATGAGCAACAACTTTATACAAAATTTTAAAAATACTGAAGGTAAATTTTTTAGAATTATTAAAATTTAAAGAGCATATAGTTGGCAAATCTACAAAAGTCACATGAAAATTAAACAATTGAATTTACAGAAAGGATTTGAACACAATAAATGGCATTAATATTTGACCAAATGTTTGTCTTACTTCTCTGTGTATGTGAAAACAGTGACCCTGATAATATATATTATATAATATCTCTCTCAGAATGATAAAGGGAAAAGGGAGCTAATATTTTTGCAAGTATACTTTGTATAAGGTACTATTCAGGAGGCTGAAACAAATGAGAAGTTTTTATTTTTAGTAGTATCATGGTGTATTATATAAATATTTTATTTTCCATCAAACTTTGAGTCTCAAAAGTAAGAACATTTTTATCAGGAAGTAACCGCTGTTAGAGTGAAAGTCCACAGCAAACATGCTCAGGAAAGTTGCCAAGATTCCCTAGCTGTTTCTCTCAAAAACATGAAGATCAATTATTTCACTCAGAAATAGGCTTAAACATTTTACCTTCTGGGGGATAGTAAAAACTGAAAATAACCAGGAAGCTCCTTAACCTCACAGTAAACACTGTTTTCCACAGCACACTGGAGATGATGATACCATGAAAGCATCTAATAAATGTGAAGATCTAGAAAGGATTTTGGGAAATTGAATTTGCTTTTCACAAAGGGGATTTTATATTTGTCTTCCTTCTGTCTATTCATCTAAAGATTCTTAATTCATGACCACATGTCACATGAAAGGCAAAAGTAGCTTTTCAGAGTTTCTAATTGGACATTCATGTTGTATCAGATGTTTTCATTGGCCTCAGCTCTTCTGCACATCTTGAAAGGCCATGCAAGATGGGTTTCAAATGGGGATGATGCCTACTGTGTCATCTGCCATGCACGGTGACTTACATATGCATACAGCCCAAGCACAGTATGTGCACAGCATGTTGTATCTTGAACATGAAAGAAGGCTTCTCCCTCATGCATGTGTTTGTTGGCATCTTTCTGTCAATCTTACCATTATGCATCATGACAATGAGGCACAAGGATTTATCAAAGATTGTCACATAGCTCTACATTCAATATCCATGCTTAGCCATTGAAACAAGCCAATAACCTAACTGAAGGACGTTCATTATTATAATATTTTTAAACAACCACAACAAAAGTACATTAGAAAAGCTAGAGTTATCACTTGAGGATAAAGAGCTACTGCTCTTAGTGTTGTTTATTACTTTCCTAATAGTTTCAGGTTTTACCACTCATGACTCTACCAATGCATTCTTAATGGGCCGTACATAGTTCAAATTAATTGTTTTCCTATAAAGTGGTGGGCCTAAACTGCTTCTACATTTTTGTTGCCAAGCATAAAATTCTTTTAAAAGTCCACGTTAATTTTAATTGAAATTATTCTTCCGAAATGTAATAATTCAGATTTTTTTCTTATTACATAATGTAATGTCTTCATTTAAAAAAAATAGCAATTTGACAATGATACACCAAGATTTTTTTCTTAGACATAAACATGATGTATTTTCATAGACATATAAAAAAACACAAAATATTTATTTGTATGTTTCTGCAAAGCCCTACTGGATATGGTCAGGAAGTTAAGATTTTTTTTTTTTGGCTTAACAGCCATATAGCTTTATTACTCTATATCATATCCAGGGACCATATCCAATGTAAAATTCCTGAAAGTACAGACAGATTTAGGAATGATTGATACCTTTTATATACACCTTGTAAGATACTGCATGCCTTGTGTGGCCATTACATTATAAGGTGTTATATATAGTGTACTAAAAATTAACACCAAGCTGCAATTTTTCTTGTTGTTATTGTGATGGTACTGATGTAAGTTTGGGGAAAACTGAGAGCAGTTTTGTAGACTCAACCCAAAGGCATTTTCTGCATTAACTAGGTAAATTAGTGCCTTCCTCCCTCAGGTTCACTCACTCCCTTCTTTTTTCTTCCTTTGAATGAGTTAGGTATTACTAGAATCTATGCACAATCTTTAAAAAAATTTGTTTTATGACAATGAAAGGAGCGTATTGTGGAGAAGTAAAAAGGAGATTCCTAATAATGCTAAATAAGTTGAACATCCCAAATCTGAAAAGCCAAAATCTGAAATGTTCCAACTTTCAAAACTTTTTGAGCACCAACATGATGCTCAAAGAAAATGCTCACTGGAACATTTTGGATTTGGGATTTTTAAATTAGGGATGCTCAACCTGTATATTGCAAAAATTTCAAAATCTGAAAAAACTCTAAATAAAAAACATTTCTGTGCCAAGCATTTCAGATAAGAGATTTTCAACATGAATTTGTTTTAGGTTTCAACTTCATTTTTTATTTGCTTTTGTCTTAACTCATGCTAAAACGCTTACTAAAATATGCACCTATTAGAACATTATAGGAAAAAATGCAATTTTATACTTAGAAAAATAATCGCTGGCTGGGCACAGTGGCCCATGCCTATAATCCCAGCACTTTGGGAGTCCGAGGCAGGCAGATCACCTGAGGTCAGGAGTTCAAGACCAGCCTAGTCAATATGGTGAAACTCCATCTCTACTAAAAATAACAAAATTAGCGAGGCGTAGTGGCACATGCCTGTAATCCCAGTTACAAGTGATCAAGGATGATCACTTGAACCGGGGTGGCTGAGATTGTAGTGAGCCAAGATCATGCCACTGCACTTCAGCCTTGGAGTGCAAAGAGAGACTCCATTAAAAAAAAAAAAAAATCACTACAAGAGAAAAAATGACTTACATGTAACTACAATAAAAGGATTTCTGGCAAATTGAGATAATAAGGCATAGTGCCACAAAAAGTCATTTTAATAATTGAGAATGAAATTAAAATTTTAATAACCATTTTCTAATTTTCCTGTGTGCCATGTTACAGTGGCAAGTAGATTTAGGACAACTTATCATATAATTTTGGACAACTAATCAGGTTGTCCAAAATTATCTAGCCTCTGATTTCTATTTCAGTAGAATATTCCAAAATAAAATTATCTGAAAATTTTTGTGATGTTACCTGAGCCACAGGAAATTGAAGAATACACAAAGAGTTATGTATCATGGATTTTTATGTTCCACTAGAAGTCAATGTTTTATTGTTCCTACCCCCAAAGTGATAGATGGCAAAATACAAATAAATAAGTCCTAAAAGTTAATTTTAATCACTACAGTGACCAACTATTAGAAAATCATATTCTTTAGTATTTAAAAATGAGTATCGGAACACTGCTTAGATGCCTCTCATTTATTCAGTCTTAATTTTGCAAAGCAGAATGGTTGCAAATATAGGTTTATTAACAGAAGCACTACTTTTGTCATTTTGCCTTTAGACTTCAATATATTATATTTTATATTTTGAACTTTGCAAAAATAACTGTTTTAGTCTATCACGTAACTTGATAGCCAATGAGCTATCTCTATAATAAATGAACTAGATTATTGTACACTAGAGATCAAATATTTAAAAATGAGTTTTTAAAAGGCAATCATTCATAAATTGATTAACAACATAGAATTATAAACATGCCACTTTATTCACTAGCACAGGCACAACCAACAGTCCAATGCTTGACAATATATATTTCCAAATGCTGAAACGTTTCTCCATTTTCATCTGCAAAATAAATTCTCTTTCATATAATATTACAACCAGCGAAAGCATTTAGATTCCCAACCTACAGACCTAAAAATAGAAGACCCTAGCAAAGGAATAAATTAAAATATATTGCCAAAAAAATGGAGCAAGCCACTTCTACATTTGGTAAGATTCTATGATTTAAAAACAAAATAAGACTTTCATTAGCCCTGGGTTAAGAAACAGTCAGTTTAGATTTTTCGGATGAACCCAATTAAATTTTAATTCAGTATTTTCCTTTGCATTTTTTGTTGTATGTGTCAAGGCCACTGTATTGCACAACTCTGTCAGTTTTTCAGAGAGAAAAAGGCTTTTGTCTTGGAGAATATAATGTTCCATTGCTCTCTCCTGGTTGCTGAAAGATCTATAATTGGTGGGAGAATAGGCGGAGGCTGCTGGTATTTCCCCAAGTAGTTTTCTTCCTGTGGAACTGAAAAGGTACCTTCACTTTTTAGACGGTTGCCCAAAATAAATACCATATTTCTAGCCTCCTTGATAGCTAGGAGCGTACATATAACTAAATTCTGGCCAAAAGACTGGAGGTAGTGGAAAGGAAAAAGACCGTTTGTCTGGCAAGCATTTTACAAGAAGACTATATGACTTTGCCTTTTCCAGTTCTCTTTCCTATTCCTAGTAGCTGACATGAGATGTAATATGGGAACTGAAAAGACTTAAGCCATGAGACAACTTTGAGGATAGGGAAGATGCACATTGTCCTAGCAACAAGGTGGAAGGAGCCTGACTTTGTGATAGGAAAACCATACTAGCCCTGGATTACTAACCTCTGGAAGGTAATGTGTGGAAAAAAAAATTTCTATGTTATTTTAACAACTGTTATTTAGTTGTTTTCTTTTTTAACGTACAGCCATATCTATTCCTGATACAAGGAGAATGCTGAATTTGATTGTCCTGATACTGTTTTTTTCTGATTTATAATACTCTTCTTTGATCTTTTTAAATTGTATGCTCTCTTTGATTATAATAACAACTAGAAGAAATTACACATCATTCCAGTAGAGAAAATAATCTGATAAATGTGGAGAAATTGCGGGTCAGCAAGAGTAACAGAGAATGACATCTTACACTTAAACAAGAATGTGATATGAATTAAAGATTGCCTCAAATATTTATCTTAAAATAAGTTTTCCTTATTTTTACTTTATTTCTTTAATTGACAAATATCAATTGAATATATTTAAAAATTGATTGTGATATTTTGTTCTATGTTTAAGTTCCTCTTATATTCCTTACCCAGTCTCCCCTAATGTTAACATCATATATCACCACAGTACATTTTTAAAAATTATGAAAACAACGTTGGTGCATTACTATTAACTAAGCCTCAGAATTTATCTGGATGTCACCTGTTTTGCCACTAATGTCCTTTTGCCCTTCAAGGATCCAATCCAGAATATCATATAGTATTTAGTACATTGGAGATCTATCTAGATAGACAGACAGAGAGAGAGAGAGAGAGAGAGAGAGAGAGAGAGACTACATAATATGTATCTTGGGGGCTGCATAACATGTATACTGTAAAGGGGCTGCATAACATGTATACTGCGCTACTCTGGGGGGGGTGCCATGCACATTGCTGTGCCAGGTACTATTTATATGCTTATCTATCAACTTGTTTAATTATCACAACATCTCTAGAAGGTAGACAATATAAATATCCCTATTTTAAAAATATGGGCATTGAGGACAAAGAGCTTAAGTAACCTTAAAAGAGCACAAAGCTAATAAGTGGAGAAATTGAGATTGTAGTTACAGGGACTGTGCAATTAGAGACACTTCAAATTCGCAGGTTTCCTATCCCATTTAACCAGCTATGAGAACACAATTCTTATCCCAACAAACTGGGTGATTGACATTAAATAAGTCAATCTCTCTGGACCTCTTTTTGTGCATCCATGAAATCATAGAAGTGGATTACATAATCTATAAATGTCCCTACCTTAAAAACAAATCTATGAAATTGCAATATGCATTTTTAAATTTAATTTCTAGCTCAGAGACCTACTGCATTTTTTACTATTTTCAATCCACTTTTTAAACATAAAATGTTCATTAAAACAGAAACTACACATCTAACAAATGTCTAATACCAAAAATCTATGAGGAACTTAAATAAAACAGCACACAAAAAACAACCCCATTAAAAAATGGGCAAAGGACATGAACAGGCACTTCTCAGAAACACATACATGGAGCCAACAAATATATGAAAAAATGCTCATCATTGCTAATCATTAGAGAAGTGCAAATCAAAACCACAATGAGACACCATCTCACACCAGTCAGAATGGTTATAATCAAAACATCAAAAAGTGACAGAGGCAGGTGAGGTGCCAAGAAAATAGAATGCTTATACAGTGCTGGTAGGAATGTAAATTAGTTCAGTCACTGTAGAAAACAATGTGGAAGTTTCTCAAAGAACTTAGAACTATAATTTGACCTAGCAATCCTACTATTGGGTATTTATGCAAAGGAAAATAAATTGTTCCACCAAAAAGTCACATGCACTATGTGCATCACAGTGCTATTCACAATATCAAAGTCATAGAATCAACCTAGGTGCCCATCAGCAGTGGGCTCGATAAAGAAAATTTATTACATATACACCATGAAATACTATGTAGCCATAAAAAAGAATGAAATCATGTCCTCTGAAGCTCCATGGATGTTGCTGGGAGCCATTATCCAAGCAAACTAGGGCAGGAACAGGAAACTAAAGATTGCATGTTCTCACTTACAGGTGGGAGCTAAACATTGAATACACATGGACACAAAGATGGCAACAATAGATATTGTAGACTCATTGAGCAGGGAAGGCTACGTATTGAGCACTATGCTCACTATCTTTGTGAAGGGATCATTAATACACCAAGCCTCAGGGATATGAAATGTACCCGTGTAAAAAACCTGTACATGTACCCCCAAACCTAAAGTAAAAGTAGAAAAGAAAAGAAAAGTGTCTAAATATGACATGTAGATTTTCCTTAAAAATACAATTGGAATTTTAATAAGCAATAGTCTCACTCCAAATATTTAGAAATTAGAAGTAGCTAAGGATTTCCACTCCAATGTAAGATTGAGTGCTACTTTGAGTTATGACACGTTTTCAACCTAACTTTTCAATAAAGAATGTGTTCAGAAAGAGTGTATTTTATTTTAGCACTTATATGTATTTGCTAGATTATATACTTTACTAATAATAAGTTGTCTTTAACTGAAAGATGCACCTTTATATATGATAAGTGACAAAAATCATGTACTATTAGTGATAAACATTCTCCTTATATACTATTATAAAATGATTTAACAAAAGTTGTATTTGATATATGAATGGGTAATGTAGACTCTACTCACTTGAAAATCTCTCTCATTTACTCCAAAGGATTGGAAAATTTCTAATGCCTTCATTTTACATTGTGTGGAAATGACAGATAATTGTATTACATACATTTTAGCAACAAAACAACACATTTCATTTAAAAGTATCTTCCTTTGTTAGGTCTTATAAAGTACTTGGTTATAGCTTTGAAATAAAGTATATTAATTCATCCAATATTAAATATTTGCTTCACTAGTATAATATAAAAAATAATTTTTTTATATTTTATTTTATTTTATATTTATTTTATTTTACATCATATTTACATAAAACTATAGTGATACAAAATATCAGTATTTTATTTGTCTCAGAGTTTCTGAGAGCATAATATTCATAATTTCACTTTTATATCACATATTAGTGTATAATAGTTCAAGATATTTTAATGGCAAGTAAATTACATGCTTGTACTCTTAACAATGCACGTAACTCAAGTAAAATGAGAAAAATATGGACAGCTTGGACGAAGTTTGTACAGACACATGCAAGGACAACTGTGTTGTTTCTCTTGCTTACAAACCACAAAGGTTAAAATCACACGAATTTTAGGATGTATTATAATTTCAAAGATGTTAAAATGTGGTGGGGGGGGTGGAAGTGTCTTAGAATCAGTGAAATTCAGGGTATGTGATTTTACCAAACAGATGTCCTATTTCATGTCTAAAAGTTGATTAAATTTATCTTAATGAAACATGTAATTTTAGTAAAAAGGTATGAGAATATAAAATTGGAATGGTCCTAATAACTAGATCAACCAACCTTAATATGACTCTGCCTTGATCCTACCAAATATTTATACAAGCACACAGAATTTTATTGTACTTTTCTTTGTTATGCTTTGCAGATATTGCATTTTTCACAAATTGAAGTTTTGTGGCATCCTTGCTTTGAATAAGTCTTTTGGTACCATTTTTCCAACATCACGTACTTACTTCATGTCTCTGGGTCATGAGTTACCTGGATTACCAAAATTACCCATTTTGGTAATTCCTGCGGTAAGTCAAACATTTTAATTATCATTATATCTGTTACAGTAATCTGTAATTAGTGATATTTTATGTTACTATTGTAACTTCTAGAGAATCATGAACCATGCTCATATATGACAGAAAACTTAATCGATAAATGATGTGTATGTTCTGCCTGCTCCACTTATCAGCCATTCCTCCATACCTATCTTTCCCCTCAGTCTTCCCTACTCCCTGAGACACAACAATATTAAAATTAGGCCAGTTAATAACCCAAAAACAGCCTCTGAGTGTTAAAGTAAAAGAAATGATCACATACCTCTCACTTCAAATCAAAAGCTAGAAATGATTAACCTTAATGAGGAAGACATGTCCAAAACTGAGACTCTAAAGACTAGATCTCTTGAGCAAAATAGCCAAGTTGTAATAGAAAGGATAAATTCCTGAAGAAAATTAAAAATGCTAGCTCACTGAACACAAGTGATAAAGTGCAATAGCTTTATTATGGATATAAAGAGTGTTTTAGTGGTCTGGATAGAAGGTTAAGCCAACCACAGCATTCCCTTAAACCAAAGCTTAATCCAGAGCAAGGGCTTATCTCTTCAATTCAGTGAAGGCTAGGAGAGGTGAAGAATGCTATCTAGAACTTTCATAGCTAAAGAAGAGAAGTCAATGCCAGGCAACAAAGCTTCAAAGGACAGGGTGACTCTGTTAGCTTGGTGGCTAATGCAGCTGGTGACATTAAGTTGAAGCCAATGCTCATTTATCATTCTGAAAATTTTAGAGCCTTTAAGAATTATGCTCAATCAACTCTGCTTGTGTCCTATAAATAGAACAAAGCCTGGACGAAAGCACATCTGTTTACAGTATGGTTTACTGAATATTTAAGCCCACAGTTGAGACTACTTCTCAGAAAAAAAAATCGTTTTAAATATTACTGCTCAATGACAATACACTTAGTCACCCCAGAGTTCTGATGGAGATGTACAAAGAGATTAATATTGTTTACTTGCCTACTAACACAGCATCCACTCTGCATCCCATAGATGAAAGAGTGATTTTGACATTCAAATCTTATAATTTAAGAAATACATTTTGCAAGGCTATAGATGTCATAGACAGTGATTCCACTGATGGATCTGAGTAAAGGAAATTGAAAACTTTCTGGAAAATATTCACCATTTCAGCTGTAATTAAGGACATTTGTAATTCATTGGGGGAAGTCAAAATATCAGTGTGAACAGGAGTTTGGAAGAAGTTGTCTCCAACTCTTATGGGTGACTTTGAGCAGTTCAAATCTCCACTGGAGGAAGTAAATGCAGAAGTGGTGGAAATCACAAGATAACTAGAAATAGAAGTGGAGGCTGAAGGTATGACTGAATTGCTGCAATCTTATAATAAAACTTGAATGAATGATAAGTTGCTTCTTATAGATGAGCAAAGATAGTGGTTTCTTGAGATGGAATCTACTCCTGGTGATGATGTGTGAACATTATTGCAATTACAATAAAGGTTTTAGAATATTTACATAAAACTTAGTTGATACAACAGTGGCACAGTTTGAGAAAAATGACTCCAATGGTGAAGAAATGCTAGTGTGGGTAAAATGCTATCAAACACCATCACATGCTGTGGAAAAATATTTGGTGAGAATCAATTAATGTGTCAAACTTCATTATCCTCTTATTTGAAGAAATTTCCCCAGCCATTTCTATATTAAGTAACCACTAACCTTTTTCAATCAGCAGCCATTAACATCAAGGCAAGACCCTCCAACAGAAAAACGATTATGACTTATTGAAGGCTCAGAGGATTGTTAGCATCTTTTTAGCAATAAAGCAATTAATAAATATTCAAGTATTTTTAAATTAAGTTGTGAGCTTTTTCTAGACATAATGCTATTGTACACTTAATAGACTTCAGTGTAGTATAAACACAAGTTTTGTGGGCACTGAGAAACCAAAATGTCACTAGCAGTATTGCGATATTTGCTTTATTGTGGTGATCTAGAACCATGCCCACAATATTTCCAAGGTAAGCTTCTAGAGTGAAATGTTTCAACAAGAACCAAAATGCTAGGAACTTGAAATTGCATCAAACAAAGTTACACCGTGACAACTTTGTGATAGCCTGAATTAAATGGGTGACTACATAATACATTTCTTGACTATAATCACAAAGATTATTCAATTGGTTCCTTGTAATCATCTTTAGATCTACTAAACTCCCTAATTAATGAGAAAAAAATATCCATTTCCTCCTTCCTCACCATTTTTTCCCTCTCCAACCTGTGCAATCCAAATAAGATTAAAATTGATTTTAGGAGTAAAAGAATTTTTAGAGAGGTAAGCCATCAGCCAATAAATGCTAACAAATACAGCCATTTCAGTCAATAGTCATCGTATCAGTAGAACTTCTGTGTTTCTCAGTTCCCCAAGCAGTGATGTTTGAAAAGTCAAGAATGCTGAGCTTTGAGGGAGAAATACTGTTGGTGCTTTGCTCTCATTCACAGCATGTGAAAACAATGCAGTCTGTTTTTCAAATATCCAGACAAATTACATGCTGACTTCCTTCAAGTATTATTATAGTTTGGGTTATAAGGACACACAAAAAAAACTCTATTAAAATAATCAAGGCAGTGTTAATGAGCCTTAAATATAAATAATATACATGGATACTCATGTTTACTTCAAATCCATTATACAGAACAATTAAGACCTTATGTTTAATTTCCAAATGAGAATAAAATGTTTTGTAATTAAATATGTTAATAGGTTAAAGCCTCCAATTCTGAATCGTAAGCAACACTGAAATTATTTCCAGTCTCCCTTCCACAACTTGTCATGGCAAATCTAAATCACATTGTTAGATATGGAAGGGCACACAACAATGCTTAAAAAATAAAATCATATGCCCTGTGGAATATGATATAAAACAAAAAGCAAACATGAAACTTTACTGATGGAATCAAAACTAAGTGCTTAGAGGTATGAAAAACTGTATTACATTGCAAATGTAGGATCTCCTGTCACAGGATTACAATTGGAAACAAAACAAAAAAAATCATCTTATTTCGGGAAAAAAGCACCTTGATTAAATTGCTAATATGGAATTTAAAAGTGGTTTTATATTATCCAGGGTCAACTTGTAGTGACTAGGTTCTTCTGACTTCCTGTTACTCCTCCATTCTTACCCAACCCACATATTAATATCAGAGAGTCTCTTAACTCTATGGCCACTACTTGAAGCTTAAAGTATGGAAAAACCAAATTGGGTTGACACAGCAAGACTCTAAGAGTCAGAGGAGTAAGGGACTGATTCTCAGGCCTTTATCTAGAGATTGCCTTGGTAATCTCTAGATTACCAAGTAACATGGACCAAGCAGAATAAAACTGCATATTCAAGCCTACCTATATTTATATTAGACTGGAATTAGAACATGAAACTTGTTATAGTCTTCTAAGATTTTTTCCACTCACAATGCCTTGCTACATTTTTTTTTTTTTTAATCAACTTAAACTTTACACTCAGGTTTAACAGGTAATAGATAATTTTTGTTAACTAAAAAAAAATACTTCCACTGGACATGATGGCTCATGCCTATAATCCTAGCACACTGGGAGGCCGAGGAGTGTGCGTGAGTGGATTGAGCCCAGGAGCTCAAGACCAGCCCGGGCAAATGGCAAAACCCCATTTCTACAAAAAAAAAAAAAAAAAAAAAAAAAAAATACAAAAATTAGTCAGGCATGGTGGTGCAAGCCTGGTAGGCCTGGCTACTCAGGAGGCCAAGTTGGGAGGAGTGCTTGGGCCAGGGAGGTCGAGGCTGCAATGAGCCAAGATTACACCACCACACTTCAGCTTGGGCGAAAGAGCAGGACTCTGTCTCAAAAAAAAAAAAGAAAATACAGATAATTACTTAGAGAATATCTAGTATGTGTCAAACATGTAGCAAGTGGCTGAGGATACAGAAATGAATAAGATATCTACTATCTGGGGTACATGGTTTGGTGGAGAAAGCAAAGAGATATACAGCTAACTCTAATATAATGTAATGTGCTAAATATTATATTAGAAATTTGGTTAAATATGATGTGAGTACAGATGGCATGATTAATTATTTGGAAGAGGAAGGTCAGGAAATTGTGTGAATGTGTATGGGAAATGCTATTTTTAAAAACATCAAATACACATTATTACCAGATGATTATATTTGAGCCTTGGCACAAATATATTTTTGAAAATGTGGCTTACTGTGAGAAGAAAACACAAATAACTTTAACATTTATGAAAATACCTGAACTAATAGCAAACTTGAATATCCAAGAAATACCATGCCCTAAAGTTCATTGTAAGTATTCAGTGATATTAATTTTGCACAGGATGTTAAAGTGCTTCATAATTTGATGCTGCTATTTATACAACTTGCTATTTTTCTACATTTACAATCTTGATCTTATTTAATGGCCACTTCTTCCAATGAGCTAACCTTGACATTGTACTTTGTTCTCACTCTATAAGGTGATTTTTTTCAGAAAATAGGGATGACTAATAAATTAGAGACCAAAAAGGCTGGGTTCTCATAGTCAAGACCATTAAACAAATGCAGAAGGAAACAAGTCATGTTTCATTTTATGACCTCAAGTTGCATTTCATTTTCACCCATGAAAGACTATGGCTAGAGATGTAGATTTGCTAAACATCAACATAAAGGTGAACTCTAAAATAGCTAAAATTTCAGAAAGTCCTAAAGAAGGCTAAAGATGGGTATTTGAGGATATACCTAATTTTATTATAGGGAGGGAGCAGAAAAAACAAACAGTACAAATATCAAAGAGATTGCAGTGGTATGAAAAGTAAGAGAACCAGTAGAATTAATCACAAAGACTAACAGAGAAGACAAATTTACATAAGAAGGGGTACTTTTTGAAAGTATAAATATTAGAGACATAAGTTATTCCTAACAAGTGGCAGGCCCATGAGGAATTGGAAATAAGTGTTTGAAGAACATGTTTAGGATGAAAAAAAAAAAAAGCACTGAATGAAAAATACTATTCTGATATAACAGGCTACAAAGAAAGATGTAAGTTTGTGAAAAAAGAAAAGTTAAAAAAAAACAAAAGTCAATATATATGTACCTCAAACATGTTTATCGTAAAGTAGATATGGAAACAATTATTTCAAGAAGCAAATATCAGATAAGGAAAATCTTATCTTACTTCATAGGATTAAGTGCATACTCAAAGAATTTAACACCAGATAAACAGAAGAAAGGGGCTAGGGCAAAGATCAAACATACAGTAAAGAAGTTTAGGGCAATGTATGTGCTCTCACTTTGAACTTCTAATTAAAATAAAAAATGAAAGTCTTCTTTTTATATATAGAAAGAATGGAGAAAAATTTGGGAACTTGGAGAATTAAAATTTAGAGGAGCCTTTGTGGATAAAACAATAAGAAGTAGCAAACAAGTTTTCCTGAAAGCAAATCATTGTTAAACTATAGCTAGTAAGAATTCATTACTGTTCATATCCTATGTATACTATTTTACACTTATTTAACAAACATTACAGATACATGGAGTCTAACAAAAGATTAATCTTTTGTTTGGGAAAGTTGTTTGTTGGAAAAACGTTGAGACATACTGGATTTAATGTATCATCGTGCTCAGTATCTGGCTATGGTCATTTTTAGATAAATACTTATTTGAATAAATGCCAATTAAAATTCATGAGATTAAAAAACGCATTTATTAGCAAGTACAACTAGTTAGCTTTTACTCAATAATTTACACATACTCACATTTTAGACAAATGTTCTAACAATTTATAGTACAAAAAAGAGCAATTTGAACAGTCTGCTTCATAAAAATTTTTCAATAATTTTGATTATACTGATAAAGGTGACGATTTAACAAGGCAATCAAAAGAAAGTGAACTATAAGTAAACTGACACAATTCCATTCCACATGATTGTAAGAATAATTCTGCATATTCTAGAAAAAAAAAGTTGATCGGTTTTTCCTCATTTGTAAAAGAGAGATCCTGTCATCTGGGCATATAGTACACATTAAAGAATGTATGGCTAGCAGTAATAGAATAGAATGAATATACATATACATGTGTGTGCATTGTGCCTGCATGCATGTGTGTGTGTCTTCATGTGATTAAATAATGTGGAAAACTATGAAACAGTGATATAAATTTCAAAAATCAGTTTATGCAATTTAAATGCCAAAGTACAGATAAATCAGAGCAACTATACCATTAGTTTTATGCCAATGCATTTCTGTCAAATTATGAAAATATTCTGTTATTAACTCTCTGAATAGAAATGGGACTCAGTTTTACTGCACATTAGATTTATTCACTCAACTAATAAACCAGAGTTACATATTTTTGGCTCTCCAAAGAAATCTGCAGATAGTTTTTCTTCCCGTATAATTTTTTTTTTATGTAGAAGAACTTAAATATCTATACTGGCATCTCTAATAAGGCTTCTTTAAGTCAAAAATATAGTGATTTAGACATGATCGGTATATTACAATAAAGTAGATTATAATTAAAGCACACCTATAAAAACAAGGCTCACGTTAGCACTGAGGAAACATTTTTCTCTACGGTCTACACTAGTTTCCTAAAGGCAACTTTATTTCAAATACAAATATATTATTATTATTTCCTTTTGATAATGCTGCAATGATTTAAAGAGTTTATTTAGGCTACTTTGTTTAAACATCTTAACAAAGTGCTAGACATTTTACATTCAATGACTCTAGGAAATAATTTGGTACTTTTGATTACAGACAGAAATCAAACAGTCAAGTTACATCTATAAGGAAATGTATTGCAAGAATTTTTAAAAGAATGGGTGATTCATCAGTTAAAAAAATAGAAAAAAATATTGTAAGTTTCTTGCTTGTCTCTTCTTTTCTAGAGTTTTTGCAAATTTTACCTTTGCATTTATCTTGTGAAGATACAAAGCCAAACAAAAAACAGATGTAATTATTTTGAAGTAACTGGACACTTTCAGGCAAGTATGTGGAGATACTCCTTTTCAACACCAAGAGATTTAGATTTTTTTTCTTATTATTAAACTCTTTTAATTTTACTAATAATTATCTAGCATTCCATCGAGACAATGTACAAAAATTGTGAATTAGAAAAATAGTATATGATCTCATTTATAACAGATACAAATGTTTCTATGAACCTGTACTCAAAACCTGAAAATATATTTGACTCTTTATCTCCCAAATATTTATCATATCTTTCAGATCTTTGTCATATCTCCTTGATTCACCAAATTATATTTCTAATATCAGTGCCATTTTTCAGACTCCAGCAATATGATTCTAATTGGTCTCTTGATTTCTCTCTTCCTTCCAATACATTTCTTGGATAAATCTACTAAAATTATGTCCCATATCATGGAAATACCTTAAACAAGAAAAAAAATTCTAGAACTCTGAACACCTATCCCACTCATTCAGTGAAGATTCCCTTGACCACTTCAGCCATAATGTAAGAAATATTTTCTAAATTTCGACAATTTTTATTTTTGTACTACCGATATGACATTTCTATGATAATTATATGTGTACATTTAAAAATCTTAAAAATATGGCTAAATATTTACTTCTTTTAACATTGTCTTTCAAAGTAAATATTGAATTCATAGACTCTGGAGATACACGCATGTATCTTAATCTACCACAGTTTATCTGTAACAAACGGACAACTATGGTACTAACTTTATAGGTGGTCATAAGGAATCAATGAATTTTATAGCAGCTAGATCTATGTGACAGACACACACACTAAATAGTAATTATAGCTATAAATACAATAATAACAACTATTATTTCAGGATATTTTCCTATGCTAATTAAACTACAGACATTTCATATTTATTGAATTGCATTTGATTTTTTAGACTCATTATTCACTTGTATAAAATAAAATGCGGATGATAAAGGAATAAACTAGGCTTTGGAAGATATTCTTGAAATTACAGTAACAAAGTTTATTTTCTTTAGTTTTGCAGTTCTCCAACTGTGCTCCATGGTGTGACATCTAGGGGTCTCTGAATTTCATTTACTCCATAAATAAAAACTATTTTCATAAATAGTTTGAGATCTTGTCTTTTTTACTATTATGGCATTTGCACTGACATTGCAGAAGCAGTGGTGGATAAAACGTCAGGAATTTCAGCAAAAACCAACTCAGTGGCATAGTGCGACATCACTGAGTTGAAAAGACTACTGAAAGCCTTGAGTACACATATTTTTAATATTCTAGGTGTTGAAATAAAACAAACACATAAAACACTTCTGTTGCATTTCTAAGTACAGTTGTTGTCTCAAATAAAACACTTGGGTGATTGAAACGCAAGCAGAATGAGCCACATTTTTCATGGAAAACCATTATTACTTTAAGGAATAACTGATGGAAAAAATCAAAGTTAAACAGAGGCAGGCATTTGGCAGACATTTGCTTGAAAATAAATCACTCAGACTTCATGACAATTTTTGTTGCAAAGTTGAAGATTTGAATTTCTGACATCTTGATTCTGCCGCTGTGAACTTGAAAGCTTTCTAGTTCTCATAGTATTTTTAGAGAATATGTGTGGTGATACTAAGAAATGTGAATCTTTTATGATATTGTTAATGGAGTTGTGGAATATTTGCATAACCAGTGAACCAGTATTTTCTAATTCAAATCATACATGGTGAAAGATGTATTCAAAGTGCAATATAAACCAACGTATTTTAATATAACAGAGTAAAAAACAAGGTTCACTGATACAGTTTGAGATTCCATACTGTAATTAACCATTTAGACATCACCAGTTGTCAAGTTTTGGTGTAGTACAAAAGAAGAATCGTGGATGTGTTTATTACCTTGATGGTGGTAATGGTATCAAGGGTATATGTGTATCTCCAAACTCATGAAATTATATACAATAAACATGCACAGTTTTTTGTACATCAATTATACCTCCACAAAGCTGTTTTAAAAAGAATATTCACAATTTTCTGAAAAAGCTATTGACATGCTCATCCTCTTTCATCAGTGCCATTTTTCAGACTCCATCAATAGGATTCTAATCAGTCTCTTGCTTTCTCTCTTCCTTCCAATATATTTGTTGGGTAAATCTACTAAAATTATGTACCATATCATGGTAATACCTTAAATGAACAACAACAACAAAAAAATCTAGCACTCTGAACACCTATCCCACTCATTTACATGCCTCCTTTAAAAAGGAGCCTTTATAAAGCCTTTATAAAGGCTTTTTTCTAAGACCCATCTGCAATGCAAAGTGGTAAATGAACCAGATTTTGGAAAATGTTTTTAATATAAAATATGTAACTGTAGAATACAAAAACAGAGTTATCAGTTATATATGGTGAGCCAAGATTTTCTTTCCGTATCTAACCAAATATATAGTCACAGGTTGAATGCAGAGTCAGAATACAAGCCAGCTGTCTTCTATTAATTCATTCATTAAGTAGATATGCAAAAAATGTAGGACAATGGCATTCATTTTATTTTAAATATATATATTATTTTTATTATACATTAATATGTAATGGGTTTGTCATTTATAAATGAACTAATAATAAATGTTTTAAAGTTCTCCATTCTAATTTCCAGTAAGATAAATATTGATAGACCTAACTACATAAATAGAATCTGTTTGATGTTCTAAATTTTTTTTTAAGAATGTAAAGGTGAAGACACAAAAAATGCCTGAGAACTGCCACTGTACCTCACTCTATAAAACAGTCACTCTAGGAAGAGATAAACCATAGACTCTGCCTTATAAAAATATCTCTTAGTTCCTCACTGCCTCCTTTACAAAGGCTTTTTTCTAAGACTCATCTGCAATGCAAAGTGGTAAATGAACCAGATTTTGGAAAATGTTTTTAATATAAAATATGTAAGTGTAGAATACAAAAACAGAGTTATCAGATGAAATGCCTACTCCTAAAGGAATATGCTCATGATAGATGTGTTCTGATTCCTGCCAATCACCTTGTGATTATATTGGCAAAGATGTTTATGCTGTTTTGATTCACTCAACGTTAGGATTTAAGTAAACTAAAAGAATCAGGTTTAGAATTTTGCAGAAAAACAAGATAAATTGTGTTAAACTTTATCAATTGATGTTGTAAAATTACAATCAATTAACTTTATTAAATGATCTTTTTGCCTATATAATACTGAAAAGGTCATATTCTCCTTTGTCATGTTATGCTTTGTAATCATTTTTTCTGTCTTTCTTATATCCAGGGTGGCAGATGGCTCATTGGTTAAGCGTTATCCTGAAATGGACAGGACCAAATTAAAACATTGGCTGGAACTTGTCTCAGGAAGCCAAGGTTGGTGGTGGGCAGCAGGACACCAAATTTATCAAAAGCCCAACAACAATCAAAGCCAAGATTACCTATAAAAACACAAATGTACAATTTCTGAGGATATTCTTATAATCCAGAGCACTGCTTATATTCACCTTTAGATGTCACTTACATTTTGATAATTTAATTGTTCATAAACTATTCTGTCTAACCATGTGGTAAAAAGCAATAAAGAAGTAATAATCCAAATAGTAACCACATGGAAACTATGTGGAAGATAACAGTAGGAATTTAGAAAAGATCAAACAGCTATTCTAAAATTTTTTCTGCTTATTCAATAGGATTGGGAAACAGAACTTGCCATGAGCTAGATAAAAAGAAATATAAAATACTGCACTTCATAAGCCAGCAACATTTCAACAGAAATAAATAAGTTGATGTAAAAATGCAAAAAAAAAGTAGTCTTTAAACAGGAGATCACCCTATGTGTCAAGTGTATGATAAAGATGAAGTACTATGAGAGAGCAGTCAGAGAAGACTATGTAAGCAAGACAAGCCATTTGCGGTAGGTACTCAGGAAGGTTATGGAGTAGGGGTGAGAAGCAGTGGAGGGAGGGTATTTGACATGAAAGGCATAGTTAAAGGCATGAAAATAAGCATAAAATAAGCATTATTTTTCTGATGAAAAAGAATAAATATTGCATCTTTCAGATTACTCTGCTGAAGAACTCAAGGACATATAAAATTCTAAAGTTATTAATTTTCATATTGATATAGGAGCAGAAGACAAGGTGGGCATATTATGAATGCAAGGTGTAATCCGCAGATACGAATGAGGATTAATTCAGTGTTTTACAGCCAGATATATTTTTGTCCTGTTGATTTTTGTAAAACTTTTGCAAAATGGACTCAGTCTTTCCATATGCTTAGAAGATTTTTTTTGTTTTACTTTTTGTTCTTCTCAACAAATTCCACATGGATTTGACATAGTGATAAATTATGCAGTTTAAAAAATCTTCAATAAAAAGTTTCATATTAGATATTATGAAAACATTCATCCAGGTAATTTATAAAAGAAACACTTCTACTTTCAATCATATCTTCAGTGATTACGACCTGTTAAATAAACTTTCTACCAGAAAGTGTCAGCTATATTATATTATGAGGAGAAAGGGGATATAAAAAGTAAAATGTTTCAAACAAAATGTGGTCAACCCAGAAGTCCCAAAATATTGCTAGTTACCCTCCCAAGACTAAACCAGGTAAAGTTAAATCCCTGAATACAAGTTCTGAAATTGAGGCTGTAATTAATAGACTACCAACCAAAAAAAGCCCAAGACCAGACAGATTCACAGCTGAATTCTACCAGAGGGACAAAGAGGAGCTGGTAGCATTCCTTCCGAAACTATCCCAACAATAGAAAAAGAGGAACTTCTCCCTAATTCATTTTATGAGGCCAGCATCATCCTGATACCAAATCCTGGCAGAGACACAACAAAAAAAGAAAATTTCAGGCCAATATCCCTGATGAACATCGATGAGAAAATCCTCAATAAAACACTGGCAAAATGAATCTAGCGGCACATCAAAAAGCTGATCCACCACAATCAAGTCAGCTTCATCCGTGGGAGGCAAGGCTGGTTCAACATACGCAAATCAATAAACATAATCCATCACATGAACAGAAACAATGACAAAAACAAAATTATTATCTCAGTAGATTCGGAAAAAGCCTTCAATAAAATTCAACACCCCTTCATGATAAAAACTCTCAATAAACTATATATTGATGGAATGTATCTCAAAATACTAAGAGCTATTTATGACACACACACAGCCAATATCATACTGAATGGGCAAAAGCTGGAAGGATTCCTTTTGAAAACCGGCACAAGACAAGGATGCCCTCTCTCACCACTCCTATTCAACGTATTACTGGAAGTTCTGGCCAGGGCAATCAGGCAAGAGAATGAAATAAAGGTATTCAAATAGGAAGAGAGGAAGTCAAATTATCTCTGCTTGCAGATAACATGATTGTATATTTAGAAAAACCCCATTGTCTCAGCACAAAAACTCCTTAAGCTGATAAGCAACTTCAGCAAAGTCTCAGGATACAAAATTGATGTGCAAAAATCACAAGCATTCCTATACACCAATAATAGACAGAGAGCCAAATCATGAGGGAACTCCCATTCACAATTGCTACAAAGAGAATAAAATACCTAGGAATACAACTTACAAGGCACATGAAGGACCTCTTCAAGGAGTACTACAAGCCACTGCTGAAGGAAATAAGAGAGGACACAAACAAACAGCAAAACATTCCATGCTTATAGGAAGAATCAATATCATGTAAATGGCCATACTGCCCAAAGTAATTTATAGATTCAATGCTATTCCCATCAAGCTACCATTGAATTTCTTCTCAGAATTAGCGAAAAAAAAAAAAATACTAATGTAAATTTCATATGGAACCAAAAAAGAGTCTGTATAGCCAATACAATCCTAAGCAAAAAGAACAAAACTGGAGGCATCATGCTACCTGAATTCAAACTACAATGTTACAGTAACCAAAACAGCATGGTACTCGTACCAAAACAGATACAGAGACCAATGAAACTGAACAGAGACCTCAGAAATAACACCACACATTTACCACCAATTGATCTTCAACAAACCTGACAAAAACAAGTAATGGGGAAAGGATTCCCTATTTAATAAATGGTGCTGGGAAAACTGGCTAGCCATATGCAGAAAATAGAAACTGGACCCCTTCCTTAGACCTCATACAAAAATTAACTCAAGATGGATTAGAGACTTAAATGTAAAACCCCAAACCATAAAAATCCTAGAAGAAAACCTAGGAAATACCATTCAGGACATAGGCACGGGCAAAGACTTCATAACTAAAACACCAAAAGCAATGGCAACAAAAGCCAAAATTGAAAAATGGTATCTAATTAAACTAAAGAGCTTCTGCACAGTAACAGAAATTATTATCAGAGTGGACAGGCAACCTACAGATTGGGAGAAAATTTTTGCAATCTAACCATCAGACAAAGGTCTAGTATCCAGAATCTACAAGGAATTTAAATTTAAAAGAAAAAAACAAACAACCCGATCAAAAAGTGGGCAAAGGATATGAATAGACACTTCTCAAAAGAAGATATTTATGTGGCCAACAAATGTGAAAAAAGCTCATCATCACTGGTCATTTGAGAAATACAAATCAAAACCACAATGAGATACCATCTCACACCAATCAGAATGGCCATTATTAAAAAGTCAGGAAATAACAGATGTTGGTGAGGCTGTGGAGAAATAGGAACACTTTTACACTCTTGGTGGGACTGTAAATTAGTTCAACCGTTGTAGAAGACAGTGTGGTGATTCCTCAAGGATCTATAACCAGAAATACTATTTGACCAAGCAATCTCATTACTGGGTATATACCCTAAGTATTATAAATCATTGTACTATAAAGACCCATGCACACGTATGTTTATTGCAGCACTGTTGACAATAGCAAAGACTTGGAACCAACCCAAATGCCCATCAATGATAGATGGGATTAGGAAATGTGGCACATATACACCACTGAATACTATGCAGTTATAAAAAAGGATGAGTTCATGTCGTTTGCAGGGACATGGATGAAGCTGGAAGCCATCATTCTCAGCAAACTAACACAGGAACAGAAAAGCAAACACTGCATGTTCTCACTCATAATTGGAAGTCGTACAACGAGAATGCTTGGACACAGGAAGGTAACATCACCCACCGGGGTATGTCAGGGGTGGCAGGCAAGGGGAGGGAGAGCATTAGGACAAATACCTAATGCATGTGGGGCTTAAAACCTAGATGATGGGTTGACAGGTTCAGCAAACCACCGTGACACATGTATACCTATGTAACAAACCTGCAGGTTCTGCACATATATATCCTAGAACTTGGAAGTTATATATATATACATATATATATATATATACATATATATATATATGTATATCTATATACACACATATATATATATGTAGCTAGTGGAAATATAAAATATATTTTCATTTATGAATAATCATTTTTAAAGATGTAATTATTATTTCCAAATAGATAATAATGACAAAGTAACTTGAATAGTTTTATCTAATTATCAAATATTGTGGCCAATTAGGATTTACCACATATAAATTATTAACTTTGAAAACATAAAGTTAAAATAAAGTTCAAAACAATTTTTACATTTCTGAAATTTCAGAATATTCTTTGATCACTATGCCAGTGAGTCACAGAATTTCTAAAGCACTTCTGAATAATAAATTAATGTGATTATTGAGAGGGTTAAATGAAAGGTAATACATTTAGGGTATTTATAATAGTGTCTAGAACATAATAAAAGTTAGTTATTATTATGATGATGATTATAGAATCTATCATATATATACCTTAAACTGATTTAAAGTGCTATAAAAATATTAACCAGACTTTCCTTTAGATAGTTCTTGTCATTCTTTATATACTTAATTTATTCAGTATTTATATATTTAATATTTATATTTACAATTGATTTTTCTAATGCAGCTTTGTTAAAACACTTTTATTAAGCCTCTTTATCTGTAAGGTTTCAACTATATCTTCTATAAATTATATTAGTATCCAGATTAAACAATAGTATCCCCAATTTTAAAATCTTGAATTTACTTAGCTTGTATTTTTCTGAAAGCCATTGTTGAGAACAATCTTTTTAGGCACCATGGAATTGAGTTATAGTAAGCGTATGGCAAAAATTAATACAGCCCTTTGTTTATAACAACAGAATAAATTGTTAGGTGAAATATCAGATTATGATGTTTCAATTATGAAAATAAACATTTTAAACCCAAGGCATAATAAAAAAATTTCACATTTAAAATTGAACTTTTTCAACAAAAATAGTTGTAGTCTTTTCAGAGCCTTTTATAATATATCAATGTTAAACAAATCAACCTTTTAATCTTGAGTGGCTTTTTTTAAGCAATAAAATCAATTTAATAATAAGTAAGGACTTTCTGAGATAAGGTTAATGCCAATATGATTTCTTCTGGCAAAAATATTAATACTTGGTAGCAATGGGAAAAAACAGCATTACTTGGCAATAACTGTATTAGATATTAAGTGCCAATAAACAGTTACCACAAAATGTGAAATAATCATATATTCTATATAATTAAGGTTACATCAGAAATAATCATGTATCTTGTGTAACATATTGAGACTGAGGTAGAAAAGTATCAATTTGGTTACATTTAAATAATGATTTGTCTTTGTGCAAAACAGTGAAACAGCCCTAACAGTGGAAGTAAATGACTTGTGGATAAGATAAAGTAGTTATAAAACTTTTATGATTTGATAAACTTGCAAAAAATAAGCACAAACTTGATTTTATAAAGTGTTAGCTACCAAAGTACATATAATAAGAAAAGTTTTCTCTTAGGCCAGTTTAGTCTTCTATATCTCCAACTAAGAAAGATGGTATTATAATAGACAAGATAATATGTAGTTGGGCATGTTATCATTTAGCTGAGTAATTTATAGTTTTAATTAATAATATTTTAATTGAAGAAATTCTTTATACAGTAAAACTTTGGATTTTTCCTGTTATAATTAGGTTAATATGCAGTAATATTACTGCTGCCAATGTTTCCTTTAAAATTTTTCTTTACCTTTAAAATAAAAAGGGAAATCTGAGAATCCTGTTTTTACTAAAACTACTTAAATTCCATAAGTTCACTAGGATGACCTATTGTGACACATTTGAGGCTATTGTCATGAATTTGTTCTTATTTGGAAGACATAAATTGTCATTAGCCAGATCTATACATATGTATAATATATTGGGTCTAAAATTAAGTTCCAACGAGGATTTTATAAAATCTTTACTTGTAGGTTATGACGTAACTACTTTTTATTGAAGTCAAGTAAGAAAAAAAAGTAAGATTCTCAAAATATAAAATAAGCTCAATAAAATTATTTTATGAACAACTCACTATTGTGTTTATGGTATATGTTGACCATCAAATGTTTTCTACACCGTACTATTTTATGGTAAATAAAAATAATGTATCTTTCTTAAATGTACAAAATGTGTGTAGTAAGCAAAAACTGAATTAACATATAAATTCAAATAGAATCAATGAATATATGTTTCTTGAGTTATAGGGAGTTGTTTTTTTTTCCTATGAGACGATATAACAGAGATCGAGATGCCAGACTCATCACAACACAGAGTACTGATTCTCCTCTGACTTTTGAAGGATTAAGAGAATGAAAAGAAAAATATTAAAAAGACAAGTGTGAAAGAAGAAGCTTAGTAGTGGGTAAGATAAGGGGAGGATGTGACAGTTAAAAGAATTTAAAATATAAAGAGAGCCCTATTTGTTGCAGTCTTGAAATGCATGTGTAAAGCCCCCAAAAACTTCCACAATCTACCACAAAAAGAAAAGGTTGCTGTTTGCAGAGAGGAAATCTAGTTGTAATGACCACTGAATTCACAAATGCACACAAGAACAAATGTTAGGACTGACCAGGGCACTCTCTCCTCAGTGAAGCTTCATCTTCTCCACACAATGACATGTCCTTCCTCATACAAAGCGCCCAGATACTTTTTCTAATACAGTATCCATCATACTGAACTGAAGTTGCCTGAGTATAGGTCTGTTTTCTTACACCATGATGGCCTTGATGGTGACATTTTGATTTTTCTTTGGCAGTAGGTGGTTAACAACTTTTTGTTGATGGATGCATAACAAGCATTGCTGGCTATAAAATCATAACCAAAAAATCATCTCAAAGCAAATAAAATATATCTAGCTTTGACTTGTTGCCATCAATAATAAACAGTGATGGTAAAGGGCTTGCCATTTTTGTATGTTCTTAGAGTATTAATTAAAATTGATATTTATCATAATGGTCACATTATGCAATGTTTTGAAATTGTTATGTAATTACTCATATGTAACAATAATGTTATATATAATGAGTATTTTCTTTACAGTGCCAAGGCAAGCTTGGCATTTTAGAACTATTTTATTTTTAGTTTGAAATTAATTTAAGCAATTCCACTCTGAGTTATATCCATGTCTGCCATGGGAAAAATACTAGCTTATGATATATATTCAAACATATTAAAATTTTAGAAAGTTGTCTGTCTATAACTAATACATGATTTGATTTATTACACAGCACTATTACCTCCAAACACCATACATGTACAATCAATAGATATGTTTATAATTAAATTAAAAGGATCTTACATATAGCCACAATATTATCAATCCCAAATTTGACTGTTGTTATGATTAGGTTAATGCTGAAAATAGTGCATGGACATAACTATCTTCAATTTTAAAGTTTACAAACCAGCTAACAATCACTTTTCACATAGTGAAGATTGCATCTATTATGTATATAGTTTGCAACAAGTTATTTATTTTGGTTGTACAAATAGAAAATAATATTAATGGTTGTTACCTACAGTTCCTTGCTCTACAGATACACTATTTTTACTATTTCTTCAGGTAAGATCTACCTACTGTCCAAAATTTCACTGAATATATACTTACTGAATCCCTGTTGTGCACATAGATTCATCTTGGAAACTATTTCCCATGTTAATATTAATAGTCACTTTAACTGCCTACTGATTGATTTTACTAATAAACTCACATTATTTTAAAACATGTAACAACTCTCTATAGTTACAATTACCAATTAAATCTCAGAAAAAAATGAATACAATAATTTTGTGAAAAATAATTTTTAAGATAAAAAAATTCCCTACTCTACCCAGCTGAATTAAATAAAATTCTCTCTCTCTCTCTCCCCCTTTTTATGTGTGTGTGTAAAACACAGGGATATCTCTCAGAATCCAAAGGCAGGAATGTAAAACTAAGTTTTACTGAAGAATCAGAATCTCAGTAGTTACCGGGGACCATATGAATTGTCCCCTCCCCTCCCCTCCCTGTCCTCTCCTCTTCTCTTCCCTCTTCCTTTCTGGCACAAAGTAAATGTATTTTTCTCCATTAATTGACCAAAATCAGTAGATTACTTATAACATTGCTTTTCTAATTATTTGTGGTACTGTACCAAAGAAAGAATGGGAAAATTCTATGCATATCGGTAATATGAATTGGCCTGAATTATAACCAAATTTGTGATATAGTACTTACTAACTGAATTTCTATATAATTTCAAATTTTTCAACATTCCTGTAACAGAATTAAGATATTCAGAATATAAGGGATATTAAATAATAAATTAAATGGGCCAATTATTTAGGACTTTGTAGGAGCTAGTTTGGAAATGAACTACTATTTAAACTGTAAAAGTAAAATACTCTGAGCACTGAAAGAACACACTAAAACTAAAGAATAAGCTTAATTTGTTATAGCACTTCATTGTAAAAAGAATTTTTCTTATAATTATCTTTTAGATTTTGACAAAAAGTTACTTCTACCTACCTAAAGTTTTTTTTTTTTTTTTTAATAACAAAGAGCAATGCATTTGTTTGCTAGAGCTGACATATAAAATTACCATAATCTAGGTGGCTTAAAACATGACAAATTTATACTCTCAGACTTCTGGAAGTTAGAAATGTGAAATAAAGATGTCAGCATGGTTGGTTCTTTCTTAAGCCTCCAAGAAATAATCTGTTCTACGCCATTCTCATATCTTCCTATAGTTGGCATTCCTTGGCCTACAGCTATAACTCGGTCTCTTATCATCATATGGCCTTCTTTCCTCTATGTATCCTCTATATTCCTATGTCCAAATTTCTCTTTTAAGGATTCTAATCATTGATATTACTGTACACTTTAATCCAGGACAACCTTATCATAATTTGATTACTGGAAAGCTCCTATTTCCAAATGAGGTCCCATTCACCAGTTTCAGGTGAATGTGAATATTGGGGAGACACTGTTCAATCAAGTAGAATAAATTATTGTATTTATCTAAATCTCGGATGATTGTCAATTAATTTTAATTCAAATAATATAAAAGTTTATGTATTAAATAGACTTCTTCGGGAAGCATGAGCAATAACAAAATCACAGAATTTTAGAAATTAAAGGAAACTCAGTCCAGCATTTCCTAATTTTTTTCTGTGGAACTTTAATATTATCGGATATGAAGAAGTGATAATTTAATAAAATGTGCCATGATGAAATACAATTGGTAAACATGACATACAATACCACCCCAGAAAGTAGCCTTAAACATTAGTTGACTAAAATCCTCAAAAAATCCTGAAGTCCTATTAATTTTTTTTACACCAAGTCTTCTTTATTGGATCATTCAGTCCTTTTCCATCACGTCTATAAATAGTTTTCTAAAGCACCAATTATGATACAAGATTTAGTCTGTGGTGTTTTTAAATCATAGCCACAGGATCTTTGATATTTCTCCCACTTAGAGGTAGGGTCTAACATGGCACAACCAGCCTCAAGCTTCAGGCTGCTCCAACATAAAGCCAAGACCCACAGATATATGTTCTAGGCCCACCCCCAAGACTCAGTCCCTAGGCCCACCGAGGAGCAAGGGTGGACCCAGTGGCCCCAGTCTCCAGACTGACCCTGACACTGGGCTGGTAGTCATCAGGCCAGTACCTGTGAACCCAACCTACAGGCTGGCCCCTGTAGACACAGAGAACAGGTCCATCCCAGCACCTGGATGACCCTTGCAGATCAAAAGCCTTCCTTAGCACCATGTCAGCCCCTATGGAAATAGGCTTCAGGCCAGCCCCTGTGGATACAGGCTGCAGGCTCATACTTGCAAACCCAGGCTTCAGGCCCACCCCTGCAAACCTAAAAAACAGGTCTACCCCAGTGGGCACCTGCAAAAGGCCAGCTTGCATGAGGACTCTAGCTGCAAGCACGCTCATGGACCACATTAGCCAGCCTACTCAAAATCTCTGTGAAGGGCTTTCCCAAACAAGCCAGTCTGCAAAGACTAGAATAAATCTCTACTTCTTCAGATGCATGGACACCAACAGCTAGTCACAAAGATTAAAAACAATCAGAGTAACATGAAATCATTGAAGAAATAAAATAAAACATCAGTAACCAGTAACCAATCATAAAGACATGGGGATGTATAAACTTCCTGACCAACAATGTAAAATCATTGTTTTAAGGAAACTCAGCAAGCTTCTAGAGGTAGTGAGGTTCTCTATCCTTACACCTGAAATCTGGACAGGTATGTTAATGGTGGTTAGGTTCACTATGTGTCCAATAAGGTATGCTGAGATAATCCTACGTGACTTCAGAAGCTGAGGCAAAAAGGTCAAACAGTTTCTGCCTGGTTCTCTTGGAATGCATGCTCTTGAAAATCTTCCTAGAATTCAGCTTCCATGCTCTAAGAAACCATAATGGGAATGTTGCATCTACACACTTACATCAACAATCCCAGTTGTTCCAGACTTGAGTCATTCCCAACCCAGGTGTCAGACATGTGAGTGAAGATGTCTCTAGATTAGTACAGTTTAAAGAGCTCCCTATGATGTTGGAAATGTTCTCTATATCTAAACTGTCTACCTGGGAGCCACTATGTTGTGCCTACTGGACATTTAAAATATGGCTAATGTGACTGAATGATTCAATTATTAATTGTATTTCATTTTAATTAATGTATATTTAAAGATAAATAGTGACTACTTTATTGAGCAGTGGGCAAATAATTCTAGCCCCTAACCATCATTTGCATTACCCTCCGATGACTTCCCAGAAAACATGGAGCAAAACACAAGTCATCCTGTTTTACCAGTTCCACATTTATGACCTACAGATTCCATGAGCATTTTTGCATTAACTCAACAAAATTTGGAGTAATTTGGTAGGCAGCAATATAACTGGAACCAAATTCCAATCGCTTAATATAAGCAAACTGAGCCCCCAAAATTGTGCTTTGCACAAAATTCTGTGTCTGATTTGCAGAAAAGCTTAGAGCATAATACAGGACAAAGACTTTTGAAAATCCTACCATAAATGGACTCTTTGGATAATGTTATTATACTTGATAACCTAAAAATCTATGATGAGTGAGACAGTTCTCTTCTACATGAAGCATTCTTGAAGTATGCTGTTTAAGTGGCCGTGACTATAATTCCACTAGTCAAGAGAATGTCCTGCCTATTTTATATTGTCTCTCCTTATAAATGCAAAAAGTTGAAATAAAATTACTCTATACAAGTTATAACACTAAATAGCAAGTGATGCTATTTGCTAAACACTGACCAAAATAAATTACAATAATTCTGATAATCCTTCCTCGTCTCCTCTCAAAAAAGATCATGATTCGGTGATCAAATAACGCTTAAATACTATTTATTAAGTCAAATATCTTCTTTGGATTTTTATGTATTCAGTATTTATATTTAAAATATCGAGAATAAATTAGCAACACAAATCAGCAACATCCCCATCTCCCAGCAGCTTGACAGCTTTGTTACGGTTTAGATTCCCCAAGGAAAGTCTCAGCACCAATATATTGATTTGCACCACTGCACTTTTCTGACTAATTATTACCAATGCAGTCCCTCCAGCTTATCAACTCATCTTCACAGTAAGAGTGGCCTTCAGTTTAAATTCATTATGCTGATAAGTGACAACATCACAGTTGCATGACAATTGCTTTAATTAAAAATATTTTTGAAGATTAGAAAACTATTGTATTCTGAAGTATACCAAAATGACTACAGAAGTGCCTGTCCCCCAAGAACTCAGGCTTTCATTGATGTATGACATTCAACATTTACTGTCTAAGTTCTAAAAAGAAGATTCCTCTTTATTAAAATTTATCTTGAGAACTATGTCAGTAAGGATGACCTGTAAGAAAACTGTTTAGGAAAGCTGTCAGATTCTTTGACTTTTTTTTTTTTTCTAATGCATGACCATATTATTTGAGATGTGATGAGGGGAGATAGGAAAGTGAAGGATGCTATTAAAAATGGGGTTAGGAAAATTCTTTCTGATGAAGGGCCTTGCATATTTGTGGGAAAAGAGTTCCATGCACAAGACACACAAATGCAAATGCACTAAATTATTTGCTGTTTACACGCAATATTTTATGTAATTCTCATAACTTCCCCATGAGGTGGGTGCTATTATGATTCTTATTCATTGTAAGCTTGCATGTCGGAATGCATGGCCAAGCTTAAATAACTAACTTGCATCTTACCCAAGGTTACTCAGGTAGAGTATTGCAGAGTCTGGATTTTAAAAAGTAGCTTTTCTTTAACTTTTTTTTTTAAATGACGTCATGTTATTAGCCACAAAACAATACTACCTCCAATTTTGGAGTAAAACTGAGAAACTCACTAGTTTATTCAAAATATACTTGAATTTTTTTGCCTGATCTATAGTCAGTTTGTTTCTAGGTTTAAGCTAGTGTAATACAAGATTAGTTAAGCAAACTGCATTATGCAAAGATACGCATAATTCTTATAATTATTAATTTAATTAACATCATGAATTATGTTATAGGTTATAGTTATTTCAATGGCTTTACAAACTATGCATTTCAATGTATTTTGGACTTTCCTAATAGTCTTGAATAAGGAAGTGAATGAAGACATCTGAACACCAAGGGAGAACTGATTGCAAATCTGAGTCTTTTTGCTCCTTCTGTCTTCATTAGACCTCAGGAATCTAACAGACATTAATGGAATCAGTGAATGCCCATGTTTTTTTTCCAACACATGTAGCTGAGGCCTTCAGACCAGAATCTATATCATATAGCCCAGAGAATCAGAGAAGTAACTTATCCTAGTGAGTAAAAAAATGACAATTTTATTTGAATACAAGTCCTCCTGATTTGAGTATCTGTAAATTATTACCCACATAACAATATCCTTCATTTCTCATCAGATTTGAATTAAATGAGGTAAGATCATGGTATATCTTTTATAATAAAGTTAGTTATTGTCAAAAACTAAAATATAAAACAAACTTTTATTTTCTTTAAATATGAGTTTTGTATTATAAAATATCTTAATATTCATATTTTACATAAAAATTATTTTTCAATGTATTTAAAAGGAATAATGATTTTATGAAGTATTGACTTTATAAATACTTACCAAAATTCTTCTAGCATTCATAATTGTGCCATTAATATAGGGCTAATACTAAGAAAAATATATATTTAAATAACTGAGACTATTCTAAATAGATCCTATTCATGAATATGTATATTAGGCATATATTCAACATCATTAATGGGCATTTAGTACATTTTTAACTGATACCTGAACTAAATTTTAATAGATAATCTATCCTGATAAATAATTTTTATTTATTTTTGGAAGTGATCATTTCTAAATTAGCTTCATGTAAGACAGAAAGAGAAATCAAATTAAACTACTTTAGGTAAGACTACTATTATTCACAAGAATCACAATTACGTTTGGTACAAATCTGTCACTTTTGATGAAAGTGAATTGATTTTTTATTATTTTTGAAGATAATGTTTTTGAAGACTAATGGGGTACATTACTATGTAAATATAAGTTATTAGGAGGTAACTTAGCAGGAAAAAGTATGTCGTAGACAAAAAACTTCAGAAGATGAAGTTCAGAAATAAATAAATTTATGGTTTAAATGCACTGTAATCGAAATAGCCATATATATTGTTAGGGTGGAAGTGAAATAATAACATTATCTTCAAAAAATCTACTGGCTTAATCAAGATCTAAACTTTTTGGAAACATGTATTACCTATATTGCTAAAATAAAATTACACAGTCTGGATTTCTTATTGTTAAAGAGGAAATTTATTTATAGAAAAGGGAAGTCATAATCATATTACACAATGTTACTTTAATAACACAGGTCTTTTAAAATGTAAGAATATCAAGAATCAATGCCTATATGAGTGTGAGATCAATTAGAAATCTTATTCAAAAGTTACGTTTTACAAATGACATATGTGTGCCATCTTTGTTTTCAAAGCCAGTACCTTATAGAGGACATATACCTACTTTCTGAATCATCAGTGTCACAGGGTATTGACTTTATCAAATTTCTAGAGAATATTGAGAAAATAATTATCTTCTCAATGGCAAATATTATAGCCTTCAATTCCTAACTGTCCAAGGAGAACTTACATTTGACTTCATGTATAAATATGTACATTCAAAATTTGCAAGTTACATTAAAAATTTGATTCGGCCATTGGTGATAACCATCACTTACAGCTATCAGAAGTAAATATTTACCAGTATATTCCCAGTATGTTCCTCAAATATTATTCATTGATAAAAATGGTATTCCCATCCATAATGCTTTTTTGAAACTCAGAAAAGTGATTCAGAAAACAAATTATTTTTATACGTATATTTACTTTTATTTTTCTGAGCTTCATAGGAAACAAAGCAAAACATTCTTCTTTCCATTACACTTCTATTCTGCAACTTTAAAAATGGTACTAAGAAATGTGATAGTTCAATTATTGTCATATTAGAGTAGGAAAAATGACCATCCATTCCATTTTCACAGCATAGCTACCAAGCTGATCTCTTTCAGAACAAAATGGAACCTATATACATGCAAAACATTTAATCATCAAATACTATGTTTAAATAATGAATTTAAGAATATCCACAATCTAAATGAGAAAGTGCCATTGGAAAAATATGGACTTTGGAATCAGAGCTGGGATGTGCTCTCTTGCATTTAATGTCTTTGAATCCACAAAAAATGAGTTAATTTTCTTGGAACTCAGTTTCCTCATCTCTAAAATGGTAATGATAAAAATCTACCTCATGGGAAAGTCATGAGAATTAAAAGTAATGTTATGAAACATAATGCCTCATAAATAATGAGCATCAAATAGGCGGTAGGGAAAGGAGTTTAAAATTGTATCATCCTGGCTGCTATTCCTAGAGTCCTCTAGGGTGGGAAGTGCTTGCCTGGGAAAATACTTTAAGAGTAGGTGGACTGAGACAAAAGATGTGATCTAAAAGCAAGAATGATCCATGAAGAAAAACTGCTTTGCAAGAGAAGCAGGGGGAACCATTTTGCCTCAAAGAGGGAAGAACTGAGAAAATCAGGATGATAAAAAACAGCAGACGGTGAGGAGGAACAGGGCTGAATATTACCAGGAGTAAGAGAGTTTAAAAAATCTGAGAATGGGAATGTTTATATTTCATTGGAAGTGTTTGGCTTTTACTAAGCTTAGACTCTTCCTTTACCATATATAGAAACTTTTTTGTAAAGCAGGGTTTTTCCCTTCTGAAAACCAACGAAAAGACACTGGTTTGATATGGTATACATAAGTGATTGCATGTTTGCAAAGGAGTCAAGATGACCATAAAAAAAGCATGATTGGCAATTCATAAAGTATTAGAGACAGCTTTGAATTTCACAGAATGCGGTTCTGGAATTTCAGCTAGTGTTACCCAGAGCGCAAGTGAGTAATATTTCAAACACTGGAGCCAGACTGCCTGAAATAGAACACTGCCTTCTTCTATTATGGTGTTTCCCTGGGCAAGTTACTTACCTTCTCTGCTCAGTTTCCTCATCATAATAAAGCAATAATAGCACCTGACTAATAACGTTATTGGTATTAATGAGTTAATATATGAAATGCCCTTAGAAAGATGCCTTGCACACAGAGAGATCTTTAAATACAGGCTACTATTAGGAAAGCCTCCCGCTGAGCCTCCATGTAATGGTGAATTTTCTGTGTCAACTTGACTTTGCCACAGGGTGCCCAGATAAAGCATTATTTCTGGGTGTGTTTGTGAGAGTGTTTCTGGACAAGGTATGCATTTAAATTGGTGGACTCGGAAAAACAGTTTGACATTCCCAACATGGGTGGGCATCAGCCCATCTGTTTGAGGGCCTTAAGAGAACAAAAGTTGGAGGAAGGAGCAATGAGTTCCTTTTGCTTCCCGCATACCTGCTTGAGCTGGATCATCAGTCTTTTTCTGCCTTGGACTGAGAGTTACACCATTATCTCCCCTGGTTTTCACACCTTCAGCCTCAAACTGCAATCACACCACTAGCTTTCCTGTGTTTCCAGCTAACAGAAGGTGGATTGTGGGACTTCTCAGGCCCAATAACTGAATGAGTCAATTTCCTCATAATAAATCTCTTCACATATATCTCCTATTGGTTCTGTTTCTATGGAGAACCCTAATCAGTACAGATTTTGGCACAAAGAATGGTAGCTTTTATTATGACCTAAGTAAGATATACTAAGTGGCCTGGAGCTCTCTGATACATCAAAAGGAAGTATGGATACATCTATAGACCAAAAGATGACCAGGGACTTTTGAATGGTAATGTGCTCATGTTTTCATTCAGCTGTACTTCTTTGAGGAAAATGAAAGTTAAATAGTCTAATTCTGTGGCATTTTAATACAAAGTTTTGCTTCTTACAATTTAGCTTCTTAAGGAGGGAGGTCAGAATTAGAGCAATGGAAAATAGAGCAAGAGAATCATGACAAAAATTCATTTTCCTAGGAATACTGCTATCACTATGTTACTAATAACCATCTCTACTACCAGAATTTTTAAAAATGTCAAAGAAGGGTCTGAGTATTATTTAGCTTTAATCCATCCTGTTCCATGCCTCTCTCTCTCACAAGTCACAATGCAGGCATTCAGTAAAATTAAATTCCAAATTGGATGAAAAAATGTTGGAGCTGGCATTCCGTTATATGTAGGTTACTAAATCATCAATTTTACAGTATTAGAAACCATTACTAAAATTAGTTTCCCAACTCCATTTGTAAACAAGTCTATGGAGTCTTGACACAAATAGTAACATCACATTCTACTACAATGATTAGGTTGATCCTGGAATCCATATATTACCTCTAATTGACATTTTTGGTTTACAGTAATGTAATTACACACAGATAAGTACAAATTATATTATATTAAAATATAATATAATATTTAAGATAGAATGTAATAAAATATAATATTTTGATTTTAAATGATATTTTAGGTATCAATAGCACATTCTATCATTTAAATTTTTAAATAATAATTATATAATAAAATTCAAAATTTTCTAAAGTTAATCTAATTTAAATATTTATACATTATGTTTTAAATTTTTATTGCAAAAACAGCATTCAAGTCTTGGCAATATA
Organism: Homo sapiens; assembly: GCF_000001405.40. Taxonomy (NCBI): domain Eukaryota; kingdom Metazoa; phylum Chordata; class Mammalia; order Primates; family Hominidae; genus Homo; species Homo sapiens. Next base: position 72,229,551 of record NC_000001.11, read on the forward strand.
TATAATATATAATTTTCCAGATTATAATCTGGAAAATATACTTAAAATAATTGTTAAGTCCTTGAGTGTCATGCTTATGGTAATCAATATATCTTTCTATTCTGTTTTCTTTTTTTGGTAAGTTGATTTATAAAGAGATCTAATGAACAAAGTTTCCAATATATTTCCAAAAGTCTGTAAAATTAAACTTTTTTAGAGAATTAGATTCACTCTCTGATTTCAAAGGTGTTCTCTCCTAATAAGAAAATCTGTTCCAACAAGTAATTAAAATTACATTTCTAAATTCCACATTCTGCTTTTATCAAAAAGCAGAGTTAGTACAATGAACAGTGCAATGTATAATTTTTCCACTCAATCCCTTTAAGAAGTTAGTAAAATGAACAATCAATCCACATGATCTTTACACAGTTGCTCAGTACATTAGAATATATCATACAGATAATCACTGGTTCAGTGGGAGTTCTCTGATTGCACAGGATTTAACTGTTTAGGCAACCACATTGGGTAGGATACTTTGCAGATTCTACTGCTGGAAATATCACATGAATCATCTGCCAATGTAATTCTAGCAAGCAAGCAGTCCAAAGTTCATGCCAAAAGTTAAATGCTGCTCCTTCAGAATGGAGTTACCTATCTCCCTCACAAATTCTAAATTCACCAAGTACATGCTACATTTTAATCCACTTAAGTTAGTACATTCTCCTTCCTTAAAAAGAAGGTTAGATAGAAAAATTATCTTTGGTCTAATATAATAATTGATTATAAAATTATTTTCAACTAATATCTAACTTTTGAAAAAGTTGTGCTGATTAGTACAAATGGAATCTATAAAGTTATTTTTACAGCTTTGTTGCTAGAAACTGATTTACTGATATAAGATAAACCTGGACAGGTTTCAAATTCATTTCACAAGTCCTCCAAAATGTAAATCAAATTATGCTGTTCCTCATTACAAACAGAAAACTAGACTTTGCTGAATGAATATAAAGAAAGCACTATGCCCTTTAGCTAGTCCTTGGATCTCAAATGTCCTTCTCAAATACTGCACTTAGCCAGCAACTTTCCATCTTTTAATTTCTCTTATAACCAAAGTACACTCTGAATTGGTCTTATGCAGCTAATATAAATCTGAATATTTCTCTGATTTGTCAAAGTTAATTTGAATTCTAATCCTATTATATCCAAAATTCTACCAACCATGTCCAACATCCTGTCAACCAAAACTTAATAAGCACGCTCTTGTTTTAGCCTCCCAAATAATAAATTATATGAAATAATACTGATTCTGGAACTACATCCTGCCATTCATGATTCAACATGGCATTTTAAGTCAACACTGAGTCATTCACAAATATATATTACTAAGCTCTTCAAAAAAGATGTGCACTTTTCTAACAATCATCAGTATTTCTAAAAACTTTTATGTGATTTCTAAAGGTCATGGAAGGACTCCAAAGGTGTCCAGGAGTGTCCACATCAATGATTCATGTCCTGCCTAGATTAACATGGCAAGTGCATGATAAATGAATGCATGAAAGTTGTTGGCTAGAGAAGCAACATGAGAAAGTAGGCAGATGGAAGAAAGTGATAGATTGTCACTGTACTTTTACTCGTTTCACATCAACTCCTTCAGACTGACTCCTGAAGATTGCTGTCAACAGCTTCCATAGCTTCTTTGCCACAACACTTGCCTCTCCATTTGTCTTTTTTCATTCTGTGAAATGATTTTTCCTCCTCTTTACAACCTTTTAAAAGTTGCCTCCTCTATTAATTATTTTGATTAAGAGGACAAACTCTGAATCAAGAATGCCTGGATATGAACCTTACTCCACCATTCAAGAACCATGATCTGGGACAAGTAAGTGACATTGTTTTGTATCAGATTCCTCATATTTACATGGGGACAATGATAGTACCTATCTCAGAATTGCTCTGAATATTAGATAAGTTAATGTAAGAAGTGTACTTACAACTATAGTATTATGTGTTTGATATTAATTTTCTTATAATTATTGATGTCATGATTTATCTAACCCACGTTGACATGTGATTAATTTATCATTATTTTTCCCCAATGACTTTGTAATGATCCATTCCAGAATATACACCTTTATAATAATTTTGTTCATTAATTTGTGAGGTTCTCTATACTGCAAATAACTTGAAAACAGGAGCCATGTTACATTATCACATGATTTTCCGAGTGTAGATGGTGCTTACATAATTAGTTAATTTTACTTTTGGGAAAAATGGCAAATAGAAGAAATGAAGAAATGAATAGGGTAGAGCTTCACAAAGAAAGTAAGATTTTGGTTTTGCTTTTAGCATAAATTTGGTAAGGTCTTCAGAAAATTCGCCAATATACAGTCTTACTCATATAGATGCAGAGGAAATATACAACATATTGGTTTACAAATTGCCTGCATTTAGCTCATATGGGGACATTTTTAAAAATTCAACTCACAGCTACTGAATTAGGATTTCTTAGAGTAGCCTTGGAATCTTTATTTTAAGAAGCTTTGGGGCCGGGCACAGTAGCTCACAAATGTAATCCCAGCACTTTGGGAGGCTGAGGCGGGCGGATCACAAGGTCAGGAATTCGAGACCAGCTTGGCCGATATGGTGAAACCCCATCTCTACCAAAAATACAAAAAAAATTATCTGGGCGTGGTGGTGCGTGCCTGTAATCCCAGCTACTCGGAAGGCTAAGGCAGGAGAATCACTTGAACCCGGGAGGCGGAGGTTGCAGTGAGCTGAGATCACACCACTGACTCCAGCCTGGGTGACAGAGCCAGATTCTGTCAAAAAAAAAAAAGCAGCAGCAGCTTTGACTGGTAAGTTAATTTACAATCAAGCATACAAACCAAGTATATGCTACATTTTAATCCATTTAAGTTAGTATATTCTCCTTCCTTAAAGAGGTTAGATAGAAAAATATCCTCAGGTAGCAGAATGAGCCAAGTTAGCAACTATTACCATGGACATAACTTGCTATAGTCTGGCCTTGATAAACAATGCTAAAAAAACTATGTTGTGACAGGTTAAGCAATATTTTTTTTCTTTTAGTGTAATAGCAATCATTTTAATTGTATCATAGGGCCCTTTTTTTCACTTTTATCAAGTGTTTTTTTGTTTATCTGGAAGGACGGGTAAAATGCACTCCATTCTGTTGCCTTGGGCAGAGGATAATTATAGAGAAAATAGGTGATTAAAACAATATAGGTCATTAGCCATCCTTGTATTTCCAAGAATTTTATTGTTACCACATAAGTTTGAGTTAATTATGTAACCTCCTCAGAGCCTCTTTTTTGTCCTCTAGAGAAAACAACAGAAGGACATGAGACATCTAAAACGGTAGGAAGATGAAAGTAAACGGAAAGATGTACACAGTAAAGTCTTGAAAAATAGCCAACTGGCTAGAGAGCTGTATTTTCATCTCACAATCCAGACAGTTATTGGGTAAAGATACCTCTGTCCTATTTTTTCACTCAATTTTAGCAAGCACTTATAATCTGACTACATACAGAAAAATGTAAATACACTGAAATACAGAGAAAGGTAATACAGCTTCTATACCCAAGGAAATGAAAACACACAATAAGAAAACACACATACACACCTATATATCAAGGTGTGGTTCCTGTTAAGAACAATACATAAAAGCTAAGACAGTCTTGAGTAGGGAGTAGCAATCCACTATGGCTGCCCTTACCAGGGAAACTTTATTAATTTTTTAAATTTTATAATTACAACTTTTATTTTAGATTAACAGGGTGCATATGCAGGTTTGTTTCAAGGTTATATTGCATAACACTGAGGTTTTGGGTGTGAATGATACTGTCAATCAGGTAGTGAGCATAGTACACAATAGGAAGTTTTTCAGCCCTGTCCTTCTCTCCCTCCATCCTTCTGGAGTCCCCAGTGTCTATTGTTCCTGTCTTTATGCTATGTGTACCCAACACTTACCTCATGCTTATAAGTAAAAAAATGTGGTATTTAGTTTTCTGTTTCTGCTTTAGTTCATTTAGGATAATGGCCTCCAGCTGCAAGTATGTTGCTGCGAAGGACAAGATTTCATTCTTTTCATGGCTACATAGTATTCTAGGATGTATACATACCACATTTTCTATATCCAATCCATTATTGATGAGCACCTAGGTTGATTTTGTGTCTTTGCTATTGTAAATAGCACTTCAATGACCATATAAATGTGAGTGTCTTTTTGGTAGAATGATTTAGTTCCCTTTGGGTATATACCCAGTAATAGTATTGCTGGGCTAAATGGTATTTCTGGTTTTAGTGGTTTGAGAAATCTCCAAACTGCCTGCCAAAGTGGCTGAACTAATTTACATTCCCACCAACTGTGTATAAGCTTTCCCTTTTCTCTGTAGCCACAGCTTCCCCAAAAGCTGTTATTTTTTTACCTTAAAAAAAATTATCTTTTATTTTAAGTTCAGGGGTACATGTGCAGGTTTGTTGCATAGGTAAACTTGTGTCATGGGGGTTTGTTATACAAAGTATTCGCTTACCCAGGTATTAAGCCTAGTACCCATTAGTTATTTTTCCTGATCCTCTCTCACCTTTCAACCTCCACACTCTGATAGACACCAGTGTGTGTTGTTCTCCTCCATGCGTTCATGTATTCTCATCATTTAGCTCCCACTAGTAAGCGAGAACATGGGGTATTTGGTTTTCTGTTCCTGTGTTAGTTTGCTAAAGATAATGGTCTCTGGCTCCATCCATGTTCCTGCAAAGGATATAGTCTTGTTCTTTTTTATGGCTATATAGTATTCCATTCTGGACACGTGAACTGGCAAAAATTTCATGAGCAGATGCCAAAAGCAATTGCAACAATATCAAAAATTTAGAAATGGGATCTGGGACCTAATTAAACCAAGGAGCTTCTTTACAGCAAAGAAAACTATCAACAAAGTGAACCGCCAACTTACAGATGGGAGAAAATTTTTGCAAGCTATGCATCTGACAAAGGTCTAATATCCAGTATCTATAAGGAACTTAAACAAATTGACAAGAAAAAAACAAACAACCCCACTAAAAACTGGGCAAAGGCAAAGGACATGAACAGATACTTTTCAAAATAAGACACACATCTGGCCAACTATCATATTAATAAAAGATCAATATTACCGATCATTAGAGAAATGCAAACCAAAACCACAATGAGATACCATCTCACACCCATCAGAATGGTTATTACTAAAAAGTCAAAAAAATAGATGCTGGTCAGGTTGTATAGAAAAAGGAAAACTTATACACTATTAGTGGGAGTTTAAATTAGTTCAACCATTGTGGAAGACAGAGTGGCAATTCCTCAGATACTTAAAATCAGAAATCCCATTACTGGGTATATACCCAAAGGAATATAATTCAGTCTATTATGAAGACACATGTATGTGTATGTTCACTGCAACACTATTTAAATTAGCAAAGACATGGAATTAACCTGCCCAATAATGACAGACTGGATAAAGAAAATATGTTATATATACACCATGGGAGATACTATGCAGGAAAAGTTTTATAAAGGAGGGTGAGTTTCCTCTTGGCCTAAAACAACATGTTGAATATGAAAGAACATGGAAAATAAATAGTGGGAGAAAGGTATCACCGCAAATTTCAGAAGACAGAAGATTGTGAGTTAACGTGCAAGCGTCAGGAAAGCACAGACGTCCTTGGGATAGAATAACATATAATGTGGTTACAACACAGAGCGCTTGTGAAGAGTGGTGGGTGAAGATTAACCTGGAGGGGCATTTTGAGGGAAATTGTGGTAGAACTTTGAAACTTCACAGTAAGAAATCAGGCAATGGAAATTCACTGATAGTTTTCGAATGGGGAAAAGGGCGGAAAGATTTGCATTCTCAAATCCAGGTAAGTAGAATACAGGATGAACTTGAGGGTAGCAAGGGGATATGAAATTAAATCATACTTGTAAAAGTATTTTGTAAAATAGGAAATATAAACAATGTGTAAAACAATTCTAAAATTTTCAGTAAGAAGAAACAAAAATGAGTAAAATCTGGAAGGAGGAAACATGTTATTTAAAATAGTAAGGAAAAGTACTTATTGAAAATAGAATTGACTTAATAAAGAACAATGGGAAAAGTGAAAAAAGTGAGTTCTAAAGTGTCCACTACTAATTTTATTGTTAATAGGAAGCCATTCTAGGGTCTTGTGCAGGAAGTAACATGATTTAAATTGTGTGTTGAGATGTAACATTTGAAACAGTTAAGAATTTGGAGAATTATCAAAAAATTAGGGTTGTTAGCAAGGCATACGATTTTAAGAGAATGTAAACCAACATAATCTTAAGCAAAATGTATTTATGAAAGTGAATTTTTTAAAGTGAGGTAGTAAAACTCAAAAAGCCCAAAGGATTATAAATCATTCTACTATAAAGGCACATGCAAATGTATGTTTATTGCAGCACTGTTCACAATAGCAAAGACATGGAACCAACCCAAATGCCCATCAATGATAGACTGGGTAAAGAAAATGTGGCACATATACACCATGGAATACTATGCAGCCATAAAAAGGATGAGTTCATGCCATTTGCAGGAACATGGATGAAGCTGGAAACCATCCTTCTCAGCAAACTAACATAGGAACAGAAAACCAAACACCACATATTCTCACTCATTAGTGGGATTTGAACAATGAGAACACATGGACACAGGGAGGGGAACATCACACACTGGGGACTTTTGAGGGGTGGGGAGATAGAGGAGGGATACCTTTAGGAGAAATACCTAATGTAGATAACAAGTTGATAGGTGCAGCAAACCACATGGCACTTGTACACCTGTGTAACAAACCTGCGCGTTCTGCACATGTATCCCAGAACTTAAAGTATAATAAAAAAAAGAAGAAGAAGAAAAAAATGCAAAAAGCCAAATGTGAAAACTTTGAATCGAAACAATTTTGAAGTGCCTGTACTAATGTCTAGTTCATCATTGGAAATAAACAATAGTTGGTCCTCCTTTGTGACTCAATCATGTGTAAATTATTATTTTTATCATTTCAGTATTGCCTACTAGTTGTGGGCTATTTCTTATTGTAAAGGTACTTTCCATTCTGTAAAAGAGGAATAACTGGAATAAAGGGCATTAACACCTTTATATTTGGGGTCTCTTTTATTGAAATACTTGAATGTCTGAACAAATCACTTTAGTTGTCTTGGCTGTTTTTGATGATATAATTCATTTTTCCTGTAGTTTACAGTAAAATTTTAGTTTAGATATATAAAATAATCTATAGAGATTTCTGTTAGGCAGATAGAGCTGTTAAGAGTCAAGTGACTGTGTGTGCTAGGATTCTAAACCAGGGTTAAAATATTTTGCGTTAATTCCATTTTGTATTATTGAGGATAGTTAGAAAACATTTTCAATACTATGCTGATTTTTCAAATAAAAAATACATTCTTGAGTTTAATTAAAAAGTGAAAAATGTCTGCCTTAATTATCGGAATTTTATTTATTATTTAACATATTATCTTTCAAGAATTTTTAAAAATATGTTCACAAATTCTAAAGGTTAAAGTAGAGAAAAGTTCCTATCACCATATAGGTTTACTAGAGGCCTATTAGAGGTATATCCCAGAATTACAAATCATACAAAGCAAGTGTAATTTAATAATTTACTTTCTTAAAATAGTGGAGTACCCTACTACATTTGAAGTTCATTTATAGATTAGCAGGAACCTGATAGGATTCTTAAACCAGAGAATCATATATTTTAAATCAAAACTAATTGTCTTAGTCAATAATACAAAACCTCAAACACCATAAACTGGGTAGCTTATAAAAACACTTATTTCTCACAGTTCTGGAGCCTGAGAAGTCCAACATAAAGGCACCAACAGATTTGTTGTTTGGTTGGGGGTTTGTTTCCTAGTTCGTAGGCCATTACTTCTCCCAAAATGCTCCACCTTCTACTACCGTCACCTTCAGGCTTAAGATTTCAACATAAGAATTTTGGACAGGACACAAATATTCAGATCATAGCCAATTAAATATCAAAAATTAAATGTCAACTGGATGAAATAAATTTGATGTGCACATATTCCAGAGCATTATAAAATGAGAGGCATCTGTAACTCAGTTTCCAATAACTAAAAGTTGGATAACAAAATGTCTGTGATTTTCTTTTATTAGACCCTTTCTTTGCAGAATATTTTATTAGGGAAGCTGGGTGGTATAGAAAAATTTTGGAGGCCTACAGAACTGTGCTCTCATTTTAGTTTTGACATAAACTAGTCACATGGCCTTAGACAAGTTACATCACAAATAATGCATATGTACAATTGAGTTAATAACAGCCTTATGCAGGGTTTTTGTGAACATTAAATGAGATAACTTAGCAAAGTTGCAATACAGCAGGAGGTGCATAGTGGGTTTTCACTAAATATTGTTCTCCCTACTTCTTTCTTTCCCTCCCACCTTGAAAACCATATTTCATTTCTTGTCTTACTACATAAGTTTTTATGTGATTTAAATGTCTGATAATCTGTAATTGATTAACTTTCATCAATTTCTATGACAAATATAAAATCCCTACCTTTACTATACAACCCATCCAGTAAGAACACTATGGGGATTTTCTTGTATCTTCCTCTTTCCTCCTTTATCAAACAATAATGATTCCCTTGGCACTGTGATGAGTGTTAACAATACCAAGCCCTGCCCTGAAGAATCTCAGTTTCTAGAAGGAGAGATAGGAATATAAATAAATAAAATATGATTGAATAATGGTAATAATTAAAATACATGTAAAGTTTAAAATCTTCCTTAATTTTACAGTGTATTCTGTAAACTATATAAAACATGTATATCGAATTGATTCAGGAAATATTTACTTATTACCTTCAATGTGTTAGGCTTATGACATTTTTTTTAAAAGACACAGTCCCTACAAGGCCATTAGGTTTCAGGGACCTTAATGACAGCCCACTGCTCTAATAGTCATTAATTCAAACCTCCTTGACTGAATGCAGTACTTGACTCAGAAATGTGAGTACCATCCTCCTGAGGCACCTTCAACCTGGCACTGGAAATCTAGCAAGGTGACTTGTGATAGAAATCCTTGGATCCTACTGTCCTCTTTCCTTTGTGCAATTCTATTATATAACCCTATTGTATTTCAACTGGAATAATCACTCATGGGCTTCTCCTCCCACTCTTCCTAAAAAGCTTCATGCTAGTGCAGTTCAGAAAGATACTTGGTTTCCCAAAACTACAGAAAATGCAAAGAAGGCATAGAAGAGGAATTTAAAGTACCAAAATTGGACAATATCAAAGCTGTGGCACAGAAGAACTTTCAATGTGCCTCATACCAGGGAACCGGGGATCATACTTATGGAATAAAAGACACATCACAATAAGATGCTTTTTCTGAGAGTCTTCATTGTATTTTTCCTTCCTGAGCATTTTTCATGGGTGTCACATTCTACACTCATGGTCTTCCAAACTATTGAGAGATATCTTACTTCACATGACTTTTGGGTCAAAGAAGTGGTCCATTCAAGAATAATTGTCCCATTTTTCAAATAAGAAAAAAATAAAAACAATAAATTCAAAGATGCCAATGTCAACCAGCCACTTTTTGAAACAGAAACTACAGTTTTGATATAAGGAGAATAGACTTCTGAAATTTTTGTATTTTTTCATGATCAAAGATGCTTTATCCCTAAGTATATCAAACTGCAAATAAAGGCAATCAACTCTCTGCGTCAGGAAAACAAGACATAATCTTCAATTAATCATCAAATTCTGTTTAGTTGATATTTTTCCTAAAATTATTTCTTCAAACAACCACTGTGCTGATTTTGTTTGTATTTTACTTGTTTTGTTTGAATACATAAAAATAATATAAACAGTGTTTTAAGTATTTCAACAGAATGATTTATTAATCATTTGTTTAATGCTACTTAGTTTTGTTGCTCACAGAATATTTATTGTTTGGGGTAGTGACATAATATTCTGAAACTGAAATCTAAAAATGCAATTTGAAGTGAAACTACAAAATTTTCATTTCAAGAAAATTGCAAAGTTTCTCAATATAACGATAAAAAATATATTACAGGATAAACCATTTAAATTAAGGATAGTATTTACCTGAAAATTGCCTAACAGCTTTCCATCATTTTGTGCCTTCTAGAAGGAATACTAGAAAGGAATTAGAATTTACTTTTCATTCAGTAAAACTTCCAAAAAAAATTGAATGAGAAAAATCTGACTCCTTCTGCACATAAATACTGTATTAAAAGAATTGAAATGAAAATTGAACTCCGATGATTTTATTTAAAAATTGATTTTAATATGAGAAATATTCTATGAAATGGTACAAAGTGTCCTCAAAAAGGTCATGGAAAATGTGTATTATGAAAAAACTACACAAAACCCCCAAAATTTTTGCACCAAAGTAATCATACTCTGAACAAGGTCTAGTGTGAGGCAGTAAGAAGGTTAAGACTTCACCTTGAAAAGAGCCCCTCTCATGGCAACATGAATTCTGCTAAACTTGAAGCAAGAACAAACATTAAAATTGAGTGGAATAATGGTGACATCGCTAATGCTTAAAAAATGTTTATGGGCAAAATTATCCAAAGAAATCAGCAGTTTACAGATAAACAACTTGGGTTAAGAAGGGATGAGACAATGTTGAAGATGAAGTCCATAACAGCAGACCATCCACATCAATTTGCAATGAAAAGAAAGTATCTAGTTTGTGCCCTAATTAAAGAGGACCAAAGATTAACAGCATAAACAATAGCTAACACCTTAGACATCTCAAATGGTTCAGCTTTCAGAGTTTTGACTGAAAAGTTAAATAAGCAAACTTCCCATTTAATGGGTGCCAAAACTACTGCATCCAGATCAGCTACAGACAAGAGCAGAGATCTCAATGAAAATTTTAAACAAGATCCCAAGCATTTCTTCAAAGAATTGTAACAGGAGATAAAACTTGGCTACACCAGTATGACCCTAAAGACAAAGCACAATCAAAACAATGGCTACCAAGAGGTGGAAGTGGCCCAATCAAAGCAAACTGGACCAGTCAAGAGCAATGATCATGACAACAGTGTTTTGAGATGCTCAAGTGTTTTGCCTGTTGATATTTCAAAGGGCCAAAAAATGGTAACATCTGTTTGGTTTTGAGAAAGTTAGCCAAAGCTTTTGTAGAAAAACTCCTGGGATGGCTTCACCAGAGAGTTCTTTTCCAACATGACCATGCTCCTGATCATTATTCTCATTAAACAAGGGCAACTGTGTGAGTTTTGATGATAAATCTGTAGGTATTAATCTTATAGTACTGATTAGCCTCCTTCTGATTTCTTATTGTTTCCTAACTTTAAACAGTCTTTAAAAGACACCTGCTTTTCTTCAGTTAATAATGTAAAAATAAAATTAGATAAAAAAACTGCATTGACAGGATTAAAGTCCCAGGATGCTCAGTTCTTTAGAGATGGACTAAATGGCTGGTATCATTGTTTACAAAAGTGGTTTAACTTGATGGAGCTTATGTTGACAAGTTTGTATTTTAATTTTTATCGCTAATGTCATTTTTCAATGGTATTTCTGAAGTCTCCTTGTAGTTTTATTTGGAAGTTAGATAATAATTTATTGCTACATTTAAGGAATCATTATGAATACAGCTTTGGAAATAAGAACTTCTCTTATTTGTTTTGAGAGACAAAAAAGCAGTCCCAGAGATTAAGTGAATTCATTAAATTTAAATAGCAAATATTCAGAAGGGTCCAGATTTGTGGATACCTGATATTCCCTGTCCACTATAGTTGCTAACATGGTTTTAATTAGTTAATTCTCTGTGAGAACTTTAGAAAGGGCTTTGTTTTTTTCTTTTGACCATTAGAGGTCAAAAGAAAATGGTCAATGACCTCTAATGGTCAAAAGAAAATGGTAATGTTAGTACCATAAACTAACTACTCATGTTTTGTAAAAAGTATGCAACAGAGTCCACAAATCCTTTTATTCTTACACAGTAACTGTGACTAATGGCTAGAGTCTGCCTAGGTGTTGTGTTGCGAAAGACCCTGAAACCATCCTTTGGTTAGACAATCAGCAAACAATAGTTGCATGATCACATGAAGAAGTGCAGTGATATTATATATTCCAGGTATATATTCCTTCAACTTCTTTTTTTTTTCTGAGCAGTTACCTAGAAATCACCCAAATTACAAATCACTTTCATCATAAACTGGAAAAAAAAGTAACAACACAGATGTAACATAATTTTAGATTTTATATTAATACTTGTATATAACTGTTGAATTAACTAATGAATAGCCAGTATAATAACTTCTAAACCTGCAAGATAAGTCTATCTAGTGAAAATTACTTAAACGATCTGTGAAATGGGTGAATGAGTGTTTACCATACCCTACAGTTTGAAACCTGTATCTGCTTTCCTTTCCCAAAAGACAAAGAAGGATGGAAACAATAATTATGTGTTTTTCTAACACAAACTATTAATAAGGAGGTGATGACAAATACATTAATGGTGAAATTATGGTGTCATTATCATAGAATATCCTTGATGCTAAATTATTATTCTTGTTATGTTGCATTCATATTTTTCAAAGTGAATTACAAATTAAATTATTATCCTCTTGAATATCATTGCTCTGAAAACAACTTCTACACTTTGATTTGGCAGTATAATGAGTTGGGATGCTAAAAATTTGACCTGTAATGAGAAAAAATTAAGCTATAAAAAATTTATTAAGTCACATAAATGTAATTTTTGCATGTATATGTGTGTGTCTGTGTATATTTCATTTTATTTTCATTAATAGAATTTTAGTACTCATATTTAAATGGCAGAGACCATATCTACCCTGTTCACTGAGCTATTTTCAGGCCTCAGTTATGCATAGCGACTCAATAAATATCTCTTGACTGATTTTAGGTCCCTATGCTAGATAAGAGCTTTCATTCATTTATTCATTTAACAGAGGTTTAGTGAACATCTGAGGGGTTTAACAAATTCTGTTACTATAAACCAATAATTTACTCATGATATTATATATAAAGTATACTTATATTAATAATAATTGCTAACATTTATCAGGCACTTATGTGCCAGAGACTTAGTTCTTTACATGTGTTCTTTAATTTAATCCCACCACAAAGCTATGTACTACTTTATTATAATTTTCATTTGTCTGATGAGTAAATCAAAGTACAGATGGCTTAATCATATTATGCAAAGTCACTAATTAATAAATGAGAAAGCTGAGATTTGAGTTGTCTCATTGTTGAGTCGGCCCTGCACTATAGCATAGTGTTATAGGTGCAGAGAAGAGGGAAAAACTTGCTTTTTATTAATTTCATATTTGGAAATCATGTAATATGTTTAATAAAAGTAATATTAATTGTACTCATATTATGTCTTTATAACAGATACATTCATTGAAGACAGAATAATAAAAAGTAAATAAAATCTGCTATCATTTCTGTATTATTTATTTAACTTAAAATATTTTAATAACATGTTCTAAATCTTTTTAATTATGGTCTTCATAATATTTAGAGTAAATATTTAATAATTCAATTGTATTAATGAGGGTAAGTCATACAACTCTTTTAAATAATTATTTGTACACCATGAAGGTACACTTCTCATCTCAATTAAAATCACTGAATGTGTTCATACAAATACTAAACTTAAAAGGGCTACTTCAGTTCCTTAGAAGGATAAGCCTCTTAGGTAGGAGGATAAATAATCTTCAATTTCCTCTTCTGTATAAATGAGAAGCAAAAATCGTTATCTATCTCATAGGTTTGTTTTGAGGATTAAATAGTACATAATCAGGAATTTTAAGAATGGTTTATCCCCTGTGACACGCAATTTACCCATGTGACAAATCTGCACATGTACCCCTTGAATCTAAAATAAAAGTTGGAAATAAAAAGAATGATTTATATGTCTGTTTTTACCACTGGACTTTGCAGCAGAGTCTGTCACAGTCACATTTCTGTGCTCCTGTCCAACCAGTCTTGATATTGAGTATATTTAAGTTCATTAATAAAGTTTTTTCCCTATAATGAGTGAAAAAACAAAAACTACAAATTGATTACAATTATAACAAATTATAAAACCAAAGTCTGTGATGTGAATACATTTGCTGGATTATATCAACTATAATTATTAACTCTCATTACCTGATTATATGCATTAAGAGCCTCATATGCATTACCTATAGTGCCTGTTTTATGACACTTCAAATTATTTCTAAAAATAAGTATATTAATTTCTTTATGGCATGAGGTTTTGATACATAGCAATCTGCTATTAGAATATACTTGATCAAGGTCTTAAATTTAAACATGAAAATTAAATTATTTTTGTTTTAGGTTAATAGGTGATTTATAGAGAAAGCTAGATTTATCCTTTCAGGTTTATCTAAGTATAGCATCTTAATCTGATTTTCTAGTACACCGTATTTAGTTCCTGATCCACAGTTAATTCTGCCTCATTATTTATTTATTTTATTCAGCATTCTTCTTTTGTTCTGTTTTGACGATATATGGTAGAGAACATCTTTCAGTATACATGTGATTTCATATATTCCATCATAAAAAAGTATTACTGGATCTAGGCTGCTATTAATGCCTTAGCTTTTTATTTATTAATTGTAAGATATACACCTTTTGGAATTTTCGTCTCTTAAATAACTTATTTAAGGTCAACTATCGAAGAAATTAAGAAATGTTAGATCTGTTAGATTTTGTAAATCTTTCCTATCTATACAGGATGGTACATAATTCAGGATATTTCTACCCAACAATATTAACTCATACATGTTTTTCAATATGTACATACATATGTATGTTTACATACACATATACACATATATGTAAGTGTATGCAAATGTTGAAAAACATGTATATATGTATGTAAACACACACATATATACATATTGTTTATGCATCTTTTATTTCGTATTACCAAGACTCCCATTTGGTAATTGTAAATACAGTCAATTCTTATTATTTGTGGTAGTTATGCTCTATGAAGTCACTGCAACACTGCATCAGTGAATACTACACCATTGTTCCCCGGGGGACATATAGAGTTAGAGTCCTGTATCTCCTGTTAGGCTCCTATGAGTCTCTGGTCACATATTTGTCAATCAATAAATATATAACATTATTCTATATGTCTTTCTATTTAAAGATATCTTATTTAATATATCGAATTGTTCATTAACATTGAAAGTAATGGTCAACAGCACTACAACTCAGGCCTAAAGCTTATCTAACACATGCATTTTCTCTGTTAAGATACATCAAAGCCTTTTTGTTCTGAGGAACACCACATAGTGCTTCTGTATAATGTTTGGGGCCATTGTAAATAGTGAAATCACCGACGAAAAGCACAAAAATACAAAAACATAGCACTAGTTAGACCGTAAAGAGCATGTATTTATAGTACGAGAGTTGAAACAAGAAGAGAGAGCATTGCCTTTTTTGACCTAAGACAGGACAACCGTATTGGTCAACGTAAAATTTTTGCTGCTCTTTATATTTCCATGAAATTGTCAGAGATACAGATTTGGGTGATCACAAAAAATTATAGTGACTTCACCAATATGAAACCTACAAAGAATGAGGACTGGCTACATGTTGTGAGCATTTCCATGCTGGACTGATCATTTAGCCCAACAAAATGTAATTGGTTGAGACATTATTAGACTAAATTTTAAATAATTTATTCAGTATGTCAACTAATATCAATTAAAGAAATGTATAGGTCCAAAAGATTTATAATACTATTTCTATTGAAGTAGTCTAAGTACCCTCAGGAAGAGTTTCTTCCACTTGCATATTCTATTCAACTTCTGAGTCAGTGGCATGGTCAGGGCACAATTAGTGATTCCTGAAAGCATGCAGTACACGTTAAGATACTATGGCATCAACTCATGTTTTAATAATTCAGATATATTTTGCAAATTCTCAACTAGGCATCAACTTTTAAATCACATCATTTCAAACTAATATAGAAGAATAATATTTTTGGCTGTAAGAAAATAAAAATGTTTGGCTATTCATTTAGAAGATTCAAACACTAATTTTAAACATAAGAGAAATGTATTTAAATGAGAGAAACATTTCAACTTTGCATAAAATTCTTTCCATAAACAGTAATGAAATATAATAATGATTTATTTCAATGAAATTACTAAGTAAATATTCCATTAATCCAAAACCAACTACATATTTCACACTTCTAATACATGCTTCAAAAATTGTTTTGCAATCTAGTACTCTTAACAAAAGTTTCAAAAATTTAATGACATAAAACTGTATGTGACAACTAACTCCTAAGTGCAGATAATTCAATAGGCCATGTGAATTAAATACAACATTTAAAAAATATCTAAATATTAATTATTTAATACTCTACTAATATTCTTACCAGTATTTGTCTTCTCTTGAATTTTTTGAGTTCCATTGTTAGAATGAGTTGAATTACAGTTACCTTACTGCAGAAAGTTTTCATCCCATTCAAAAAAACAAAAGGCATTTTATCTGTTCATTGCCTGCTTGCAATAACCTAAACTAATAATTTTACTTCCAGTCTTTTTCTCTCTCTTTCCATCACTTTCCTGACTAGATGGTTGAAACAATTTACAGCCAGCCAACAAAATAAAATCCAAATTATCGCCATTTATATTGTATTCCCATTGTATTGTATAAATGAATCTTAAACATCCTTTTATGATAACATCGTGTCTAGTTTTCAATCCTTACCTCCTGATTTGCCTCCTCTATGCACTGTGCTCTAACAATAATGTAGCAAATTTAATTCACTCCAAATCATGCTAGTTTTTATGCCTCCATGCCATGCATCCACTTTAGAATTCCTTGTCCTTTAGCCTGCCTAAAGATAGCCCATTTAAAAATCAGCTTAAGCATTTTCTTCTCTGTAAACTTTGACCACCTTAAGAAATATGTTGATCATCTTTCACTTCAGAACTTTTAACATCTATTTGCCATTGCCTTTTTTATATAGGAATACATTTCCAAATGACTTAAGAGTATCTTATTGCAATAAGTCTTGCAAGCTGCTGATGGCTCTACAATTCTGCAATTGGGAGGGCAGCAGTCCCATTCCTACAGCTCCACTAGGTAGTGGCCCACTGGGGACTCTGTGTGGGAGCTCCAACCTCCCATTTCCCCTTGGCACTGCCCTAGTACGCAGCCATCTATGAGGGCTCTGCCCTTACAAAGGCTTCTTTCTGGACAAACAGGCTTTCTCATATATCCTCTGAAATCTAGGCAGAGGCTGCCAAGTGTTCTTAATTCTTACATTCTGCACACATACAGGGTTAACATCACTTGGAAGCCGCCAAGGCTTATGTCTTGCATTCTCCAAAGTAGCAGCCCGAGCTGTACCTGGGCTTCTGTGAGCCGTGGATAGAATGGGAATAGCCAGGATGTAGGGAGCAGTGTCTCAAGGCTGCATAGGGCAGAAGGACCCTGGGGCTGGCCTACAAAACCATTCTGTCTTCCTAGGCCTCTGGGCCTGTGATGAGAGGGGCTGTCATTAAGGTCTCTAAAATGCCTTTGAGGCCTTTCCCCATTCTCTTTGGTATTCACACCTTGCTCCCTTTTGGTTATGTGAATATCTCTGAAGGTGGTTGCTCCAAAGCCAGTTTAAATTTCTTTAAAGAAAAAGAAAGCTTTTTCTTTCCTTGACACGTGGCCAGGCTGCTAATTTTCCAAACGTTTATGCTTTGCTTTCTGTTTAAATACAAAATCCAAATTTAAGTCACTTGTTTGCTCCTGCATTTGAGCATAGGTTGTTGGAAGCAGCCAAGTCACATCTCAAACCCTTTACTGCTAGAAATTTCTTTCACCAGATACTTTAAATCATCACTCTGACCTTCAAACATCCACAGATCTCTAGGGCAGGGGCACAGTGCAGCCAAGTTCTTTGCTAAGGCTAACACACATGACCTTTACTCCAGTTCCCAATAACTTCCTCATTTCTGAGACCTCACCATCTTGGTCTTCATGTCCATATTTCTATCAGCATTTTGGTCATAACCATGTAACAAGTCTCTAAGAAGTTCCATATTTTCCCTTCTTCCTGTCTTCTTCTGAGCCCTCCAAACTCTTCCAACCTCTGCCCATTCCACGTTTTCAGGTATCTTTACATTATTGTCCCACCTACAGTACCAATTTTCTGTATTAGGCCATTCTTGTGTTGCTAGAAAGAAATACCTGAGACTGAGTAATTTATAAAGAGGAGGGGCTTAATCGGCTCACAGTTCTGCAGGCTTTTTAAGAAGCATGGTGCCAACATCCGCTTGGATTCTGGGGAGGCATCGGGAAGCTTACAATCATGGTGGAAGGCAAAAAGTAGCAGGTGCATCACGTGGTGAAAGCAGGAGCGAGAGTGTGCGTCGGCAGGGAGAGGTACCACAGACTTAAATGACTAGCTTTTGTGAGAAGTTGCTCACTGCTGTGAAGACAGCACCAAGCCATGAGGGATCCGCCTGCATGACCCAAACACCTCTCACCAGCCCCACTTCCAGCACTGAGGATTATAATTCAGTATGAGATTTGGGCAGGAACAAACATACAAACTATATCTCAATAAGAGAACTAATTAACCAATAGATACTCAGTCTTTGACTTTCTCATCTAAGACTTGTATTTCATTTATTTTTTGACATGGAGTCTCACTCTGTCCCCTAGGCTAGTGTGCAGTGGCATGATCTCAGCACACTGCAACCTCCGCCTTCCGGGTTCAAGCAATTCTCCTCCCTCAGCCTCCCGAGTAGCTAGGATTATTGGCGCTTGTCACCACGCCTGGCTAATATTTGTATTTTTAAGATAGATGGGGTTTCGCCATGTTGGCCAGGCTGGTCCCGATCTCCTGACCTCAGGTGATCCACCCATCTCAGCCTCTCAAAGTGCTGGGATTACAGGCGTGAGCCACCACGCCCAGCCTGAGACTTCTATTTTTATTTATTATTATTATTATTATTATTATTATTATTATTATTATTTTAGACAGAGTCTCGCTCTGTTGCCAGGCTGCAGTATAGTGGTGCAATCTTGGCCCACTGCAACGTCTGCTTCCTGGGTTCTCAGCCTCCCTAGTAGCTGGGACTACAGGTGAGCACCAACACACCTGGCTAATTTTTCTATTTTTAGTAGAAACATGGTTTCGCCATGTTGGCCAGGCTGGTCTTGAACTTCTGACCTCAGGTGATCCACCCGCCTTGACCTCCCAAAGTGCTGGGATAACAGGCATGAACCACTTATTATTATTACATAACCCTACAAGAGTTTAAATGCATTATTGTATTCTATAATTTTAACCATATTATCTGTAAAGTTAGACTTGATTGCTACTCCATTATTCATTTTTACATCTTCAAATTAAATATGACATATTGCTAGGGTCTTAATGATTGTGTCCCCCAAAATTCATATGTTGAAACCCATCACCTATGTGAGGGTATCAGGAAGTTGAACCATTGGGAGGTAATTATGTCATGGGAGCAGAGCCCTCATGAATGACATCAGTGCCTTTATAAAAAAAAGGCCCATGAGAAACCCTTTGTCCCTTCCACCATGTGAGAACACAGCTAGAAGGTATCAATTATGAATGAGAAAATGTATCATCACTAGACACTCTGATCTGCTGGAACCTTGATAGTGAACTTCTCAGCTTCTAAAACTGTTAGAAATAAATTTCTGCTATTTAAAACCTACCCAGTTCACGGTATTTTTGTTATAGCAGCACAGATGGGCTAAAATATGTTTATTCTTCTTATGATTTGTCTCATCAGCCTCAGTAGATATGTAAAAATATGATGTGAAATAAGTAATTCCACAAATATTTCCTGGTAGCTAATTATGAGCTTAACATGAGCAAGGAACTATATATATGGGCTAGAGAGGAAATATGAAGTCAAGCTTCTGACCCAAAGAAATTTAGATGCTAACACATGAAAGGCAAGATAAGAAACAAAGCAAGTGACAATTAAATACTTATCCATGTGGCCAAGATTATAGGTACTAAAGGATTTCACAAAAAGGGAGATGAATGTGAGAATAGAATATTAAATAAAACTTGACATTTGTTATGAAATTTAAACTGGATTGAGTTTTTGAAAGGAGAAAGAGGGAGGAGAGATGCAGTTCCCGGCAAAGAAGAACAGGGAAAGAAAAGGGAATAATACACATATTGCCTGGAAGGAAGTTATTCTGATATCTTTCTCAACGAATATAAAGCAACTATTATTTTGCACATGACTCATTTTTGTTACAAATGCCTCAGATCTTCAAGCAACATTTGATAGCTCTGTATTTGTACCAGTAATGACAAAAACCTCCCTTTCACTATATGGAATGGCTAGTTTTATGTTTTAACTTGGCTAGGCAGTCTAGATTTTGCTGTGAAGATACTTTTAGGATGTGATTAACATTTAAATCAATAAAATGTGCGTAAAGTATAATGTGGGTAGGTCACATTGGCCTCTTCCACAGTTCCATCAATTGAAGACTATCAGAGCAATTATTGAGTTTTCCCAAAGAAGAAGAAATCCTTCTCAATACTGCAACATACAAACCCAGCCTGAGTCTCTAGTCCCACAGTATCATAAGACAATTCCTTAAATTGTTCTCACTTCTTCTCTCCCTTCCCAACAGCACCCCCCAAGCCCCACCCACATCTTCAATTGATTCTCTTCCCCTGGGGAACTCTGACTAATATACTACCCTTACCTTTCTAGCATTACTGTTTTCCCTACCTAGTCAGAGAAAACTATTTTAAGCTTAACATATACAAGCATATTATGATATAATATGTTAGGAAAAAAATGACTGTTTGTAAATGCAGCTGCTAATTTGTTTAACTAGGAACAAACAATGAAATAGTTATTGCCTTCAAATAGTAAATAATGGAATTTAAAAGAAATATGAAAAACAATTAAGTCAATCTACTTTCATTTGCCACTGTGGCTAAGAATAGAGCATACATGGCATAGCATATTGTTTAAAAATCCCAGAATCCTGTAATATCTTCATACATTAAAGGGGCTTTAATAAGAAAATGATAGTTAACCGTGAAATTCTTTTCTTTGTCCATTTTTATCAATATCTTAAGGGTGATTACATGTGCTCTTTTTGACATAATTAAAATCTCAGCCACTGAAATATATTCAAAGCAATATGGAAACCAAGAAGAATGTGATTTTCCCTGCCAGCAGCAATCCGCAATAGGGCTGTATCTATACAGCCTAAACAGCTCACCCCCACTGGGAAATAGCAACCTCCCCATTATGGAGATGGCATTATTTTTCAAGATGATCTGCTCTATGTACTACTGCCCAGCATGCTATCCATAACTCTCCAGATAAACTGAAGGGACTGAAAAATTTATGAACTCATGAATTCTTTTCTTGTAGGGAACCCCCAGTCGAATTCACCAGAGGATTTCTTATGCCTATGTGAAGATCCTTTGGCAAAATAGAAAATGTGTGGGGAGAGTAATGGGATATTGAAACTGACTCCTGTTTACTAGAAATTCTCTTGTGACTGTGTATGATAAAAAGTAGACTATGACATAGTACAGCTTTCTAGGCTGTAGTGCACCTTAAAGATATCATATAATATAGTTAATCCACCATGTATTTTTCTTTAGTAGTTTTACACTGATTTTTGAAGTAACTACTTTAAACAAAATATGCTTAATGTATTATGTAGATATTTTTCCAACGAATCATATCCATTACAAAAATTAAATTAGTATAAACATTAATAGATAATAATTACAAAGTATTTCAGAAACAGACTTACTCAAAACCACATAAAGGACAAACACAAATTATGTCATCCCTCGGTATCCATACGGGGTTAGTTTCAGAAACTCCTGGAGATAGCAAAATCTGATGCTCAAGTCTCTTATATAAAACGGCATAATATTCGCATATAACCTACCCTCATCCTTCCATGTACTTCATCTCTAGATTTCTTATAATACCTAATCCAATGTAAATGCTATGTCAATCATTGTTATACTGTATTGTTTAGGGAATAATGGCAAGGAAAAAAGTCTGTACATACTCAGTACATACATAATCATTGTTTTTTTTCCAGATATTTTGGATCCATGGTTGAATTTGCCAATGAGGAACCCACAAAGGACTGATTGTACACATTATTTTGTTTGATTTCATTATACCTTTATAATAAAATATTTTTCTTATGATATTTCTTCAAGGCAATTTTTATTTGTTCTACAGGGCACATTTTGGCCAAACTTACTTGTTTACTCCCTCAGAAAAACCACTGATCAGAGAAGACAGTTTTCTTTAGAAAACTTTCAGCACATTACTTTTTAATGTATGGCTATCATAGCATCTTGGTTACAAGTAATTGACTATATAAGAGTACATTTCTTCATTAATCAGATTTTATTTATTTTATTTGAATCTTCCTAAAGCATCCATTTGTGAATTTTTTACATGAAAATGTATGCAACCTAACTTTTTTTTTCTTTTTTTAGACAGAGTTTTGCTCTTGTTTTCCAGGCTGGAGTGCAATGGGGCGATGTAGCTGGGATTATAGGCATGTGCCACCATGCTCGGCTAATTTTGTATTTTGAGTAGAGACAGGATTTCTCCATGTGGGTCAGGCTGGTCTCAAACGTCTGACCTAACGTGATCCACCCACCTCAGCCTCCCAAAGTGCTAGGATTACAGGCATGAGCCATTGCGCCCAGCCTTCAGCCTTACTTCTTAAAGGTTTGTCTAGGGAAGTCAGGGAGTTTATTCAAGAAATAATATTTTATGCCTCTGTGGACTTAATGTTAAATTCCTCCCAAAGCTCAAAAATATTTCAAACTATAGCATATCAAGTCCTAAAACCACAAATTTGGTTTGATAAACTCACATCTCAATATTCTAGTACATATCTGTAACACAGTTGTTGATATCTCTTCCTCTACAACTAAGTTATATTACTTGAGTGGACTCTATAGTACATATATTAACTTTAGAAACATTTGCAAAGAAGGTGAGGAATATTTGTATGCGCACGTTTACATGAGGGAGAGAGAGACGGAGAGAGTAAGAGAGAGAGAAGATAGTTTCAATGTAGTGTTTCTTGGGCATTCCAAATTCATTAGGACCCATGTCCATTTGGGGGTACAGACTCTCTGAAAGCAGTATATGATTTATACTATTTAACATATAAATTTATGGATCTAATAGTATATATCTCCATATCATTCTGTTCACACCTCTGAACAGGGCAAGGTGAAATTTTCGAAGTTTAGAAAGCAATTACATTGCGAAGGAAAAATGAATTGATGTTGCTTACTAAGAGAGATATAAATTTGCAGGTTGTTTTGTTGGTGCTGCTGCTGTTTTCATTTAAAGGATCTTTTGCCTCAAGAAATAGTTTGATAAGTATAGACACTGAGAAGACTTCCTTTAGTTGGGTGCATTGGCTCTTTTAGACCTGAAGATGTTGAAATTGTTCAAATTATTTGATAACATGGCTTCAGAATTTGCACTGATTTGATGGACAGAGGGTTTTTTTAAGATACTGGACAACATAATGTTCCATTGCCTCATTTGTCATCTCTTCCTATTGTCAACAAAGAATCTCTAATAGTTCTATTTTCATTCTCTCTCTTTTGGAAATAGTTGAAGAATTGAAAAGTTCACATTAAGATGCTTTTGGGACTCTCTAGGAAATCTTTCCATCTCATTAGGCTAGATGCCCAGAAGCTCAGGCAGGGAAGTCAGACAGTGAATTTCAGATCAAATCACAGAATCACAATACTTTTATGGAGTGGCAATAAGCCTGAAGAGGGATTAAATAATAAATCAACACTCATCATTGCTTCAATATATTATTATTTCTGCTATATCTTGGAACATAGCCAATTATGGGTCTTTTCCATTCAACTGCAGAAAAAGAGAGTATGAAGAAAGAAACAGGAAAATAAGCTAGGAATAAGTAAGTGTTCATGCAGAAAGTGATAAATGCTGGAATACTGTTACCAATAGAAATGAAAATGAGGAATCTACAAGACATTTCCAAGGCAATGCTAATCAAATAGGTATAAGAAATAAAGTATAGGAAAAACTAATCCAATGATGGATGCATTTAATTGAAATCAATAAAAATATTATTTGAATTACAAGATATTAGAAGAGATTAGCAATAGTGCATCAATGATATTGAAATGGAGATTTCAAGGAACTGAAATTGGATCTTGGATGTGTTGTTGGAGGAAAAGATAATCAGTAAATAGACACTAACTGAAGCTGAAACGCAAGATTAACTTAATAAGTCATATAATTTTTTAAATCCCACCAACTTACAGGTAATAAAATAAAATGTGAAGTGATTACAAATGATTTTCCCCAGGTCAATGAATACATTTTCCAAAGCAGAGCTGGATGACATCCTCTAACAGTAACTAGAATGGCCTACATTACCTCCTAACCCAAATTCTATACATAACCCAAGACCCAATTCAAATTTCACACTTCTCTGTTTCTATATCACATGTACTACTTGTCTGAAGTATTATGTATTGTCTTTGTAATGTGCTTATTATGTAGTACACTAATATCTTTCGTAGGTGTATTTATGGCTGCTACAATTTGTCCTAGTAGAACTGTATGTATTTAGAAGATGCTCTAAAAATGCTTGCAGCCTAGATGCAATAAATGAAGGAGAAGCTTTGCTGCCTTTGAAGTCAAGTTAAAGTTCTGGAAGATCGTTGTGCTTTCAAAAATGACACCATCGCTCCCACTTCATGTACACATTAAGAAAAAGCATATTAGGCCAGGCGTGGTGGCTCACGCCTGTGATCCCAGCACTTTAGGAGGCCGAGGCGGGCGGATCACGAGGTCAGGATATCGTGACCATCCTGACTAACACGATGAAACCCCATCTCTACTAAAAATACAAAAAATTAGCTGGGTGTGGTGGTGGGTGTCTGTAGTCCCAGCTACTCAGGAGGCTGAGGCAGGAGAATGGTGTGAACCCAGGAGGAGGAGCTTGAAGTGAGCTGAGATAGCGCCACTGCACTCCAGCCTGGGCAACACAGCGAGACTCTGTCTAAAAAAAAAAAAAAAAAAAGCATTTTATTTATTATATGGTTCAATATTTTTCAATAGCCAGGACAACGTTGACATTTTACATGAAATGCTTTTCTTTCCATATACTTCCAAGATAAGTTATATCCATTCTTTGTTTAAAAACTTGTCTCTTTCATATTATTTATAGCTGATTTTTTTTCCAGAAACCTTACAGCTGTTCTTATTTCTTTATATACCCCCTTAGAATATTTACACACCCAGCTCAATAGATGTATTAAAAATTTATATATGTCTATCTACATTTCAATATATTTGTTCTTTATGTGTTTTCCACCCATTATCCACATTAGATTTTCTATTTTCTCAAATGCTCAGACAATATTTCATTAAGTCAGTCTGTCAATTCTATTTATGGTTCATCACTATTAGCATGCCCTGAAATGAAGTTGATGTATTATGAAAAATGAACCTGTGAACAGGGACATTTTTTACTAGGAAGTACAGATAAGTTAAATGCTCTCTTTGTGTGTTAATCTATTATGCACACCATTACTAGTAGACTTTCATTTACTGCAGAGTATTTTATTTTACTTACAAATAGTTGAAATAAAAATAATAAATAGCACAAATCTTAATTCAGAATTCATGAACACCTATTATTTTATGCCAAGCAACACTAAATGATAGTTGACACAACTGGTATATAGTAGTTGTTGAATAGATATTTACTGAATGAATGTATATTCAGAATGCAAGAAAGCACAACAGTATCTTCATTCATCCTGGGTGTTGATATACTCTGACCCTTGTGTGGTACTTAAGATTTACTTATTTAAGAATGCCTACTATGGTTTATCAAAAATACTTCTTTTTTTTTTTTTTTTTTTGAGATGGAGTCTTGCTCTGTTTGCCCAGGCTGGAGTGCAGTGGCATGATCTCAGCTCACTGCAACCTCCGCCCTCCCGGGTTCAAGCAATTCCCAGCCTCAGCCTCCCTGGGTAGCTGGGACTACAGGCATGCACCACCACACCCAGCAATTCTTTTGTATTTTAGTAGAGACGGGGTTTCACCATGTTGGCCAGGATGGTCTCTATCTCCTGACCTCGTGATCCACACGCCTTGGCCTCCCAAAGTGCTGGGATTACAGGCATGAGCCACTATGGCCAGCCAATACATCTTAATTTTAAACCACTAAAGCTTACATGGAAATGTAGAAAACATTACATTTGCTCCAAATTAAATAATAGCTTAAAATGATATTGAAGTCCCAATCTAGAAGTTTGTATGTCATGTTTTATATGGTAATTGTACAATAAAAGGATCAGCAACAAATAGAGCTAAATTATTTAATGCACTCATTAATAAAAATATTAAAAATTGGAATCCAATTGCCTGGTAACATATACTTTATAGAACAATACACAGCATCTGTTTCCTTTACACCTACATGATTGCCAAAAATTAAGTCTTAGTAGCTTGCAGTTTAGGTTGACAACTGAGCATGCATTGCACATACTGAATAGATTTTCACCTTTTCAACTGAAGAGAGTTCACCAGATGATAATTAATATCTGCTAAGTGCTCTTCAGACTAACAGGATATCATCAAGAAATATCACAAAAGTGTTGACACAATGCTCATCCAGCTGGAGATTCCAAACAAGTCTGTTTTCACTGCCATTTATTGAAAATTGTATCTATGCACCAGCTGGCCAGATCGTTTTCCTCTACCCAACTCTCAACAGAAGAAAACAAGATTGTGCTTTTTGTTTATTTGTGTATCAAGTTTATCTAGTTTAAATTGATGAGGTGGTAGAAAATACACATTTGAAATTAAAATTGAATTATGAATTATAATCACCCTAACCATGTAAGTTCATTACTTTATATATATCAAACTTAATTTGTTTCCTAACATGTAATTCATTATTGCAGTTCAGAGAAGGAGAAGAAAATTAATGAGCTAAAATATATGTAAAAACTAGAATATATAATCTGTGCATAAACAAAAATGTTAGTGCTATTTGCTGTTATCAAATTTTGTTTACCTTATTAGAGAATACAGCTTAACTATATAAATTTGAATCTTTATTAAATGAGAAATAAAAATGGAATGTGCATATAAAATCCATGTAATGACATGGTAAACAGAATAGCTTCTAAAGTAACACAAATACTAATTTAAACCAAAATTAAGATCTGTGGTTTAACTTGGAATGTGCATATAAAATCCATGTAACGGCATGGTTAACAGAATAGTTTCTAGAAGTAACACAAACACTCATTTAAACTCAAATTAAGATCTGTGGTTTGACTTCTTAATCTGCATTTTCTTTGGCCAAACTGTTAAGAATAGCACATAGGCCGGGCGCGGTGGCTCACGCCTGTAATCCCAGCACTTTGGGAGGCCGAGGCGGGCGGATCACGAGGTCAGGAGATTGAGACCATCCCGGCTAAAACGGTGAAACCCCGTCTCTACTAAAAATACAAAATATTAGCCGGGCGTAGTGGCGGGCGCCTGTAGTCCCAGCTACTTGGGAGGCTGAGGCAGGAGAATGGCGTGAACCCGGGAGGCGGAGCTTGCAGTGAGCCGAGATCCCGCCACTGCACTCCAGCCTGGGCGACAGAGCGAGACTCTGTCTCAAAAAAAAAAAAAAAAAAAAAAAGAATAGCACATAACATTTCTTATCTAACAAGGTTAGATGAGAACTGAGGGAGAAAAAAATGTGTGAGTTGATTTACACTCTTCTTAGCAAATAGGAAGCACTTAAAAAATGGTAGCTTATTATTGTCATCACTGATTTTTATAGAAATATACATACGTAACATGTTGATATGTGTGTCCTCTGTCTCAAATGCCCCTCCTCCATATATTTAAAGATCTACTTATATTTATTTCCTTTTTATAATTAGTAATTTTCTCCAACATGAATAAAGTGAAGGGGCAAAAGGAGAAGGTAACTTAATGACCACCTCTACCGGAGTATTTACTTTTTATTCACTGCTTTGGCGGTACACGTCTCTTTTGTGACCTATTTTATCTTCCCAGTCCTGAGAAATGTTAACCATAATCTGAGGCTACATCAATTACTTACCTGATCATTCTTCCCTTGGAATCAAACCCTGTGAAGATCAGATATCTTAAATTCATAAAGAATGAAAATCCAAATATTACATACTTAAGAATCTCTTCCCCCAGATAAATCTCTGAACATTCTGTGAAAAATAAATGCATCTAAACTTCTCTAACTTGGAAAAAGTTTATTTTAGTCATTGTTTTATGGCAAAGATGAGATAAGAAGTGTGAAGTGTCCTAAGTTGAGGATGGCAATAGATCTATTGCCAAAAGGATCACAGATATTCCCTAATATTATCAATCCTTCCCTAATCTCCATTCATGCCGGTATTCTTAATTTGTGTTCCATGAATCAAGGGCCACTGGGCTATGACTCAGTAGTTCTCAACTCAGGGTGATTTTGTCTACCTGGGGACATTTGACAATACCTAGATTTCTTTTTTGGTTTTCAAAACTCAAGGAGGTGGTAGGTGCTACTGATACCAAGTGGATAGAGGCTAAGGATACTGCTAAACATCATCAACACACAGGACAGATCCCACAACTAAGAATTATATGGCTAGAAATATCAATAGCCCTGAAATTCAGAAACCATGGAATGGGCTTTTAGAGGTACATGATTGTCGTGTGTGTGAGTGATCATTCAGTAAACCCTAGAAGGGCATTGTTTCATTAAGGTTATTGAGAATAAATATGTCCCCCAAATGTTTAATTATCGCTGACTTAGAGTGAAAAAAGCTGTAGAAAATAGAGCAGAGACAAAGAAGAAAAGAAGAAATACATTATACATAAATAAGCTATTGACATTTAGAAAATAAAATTAGCTAGACACTGGATTCCACGGGGCAATTAAATAACTAAATTATTATATATGTTTGTAATGAATGTAATGCATATATACAGAATGTAAGCCCTCAACTGTTTTGAAACTCTACCTTAAAAATTCAAAATGATAATGAGTACTGAGAAATAGCTTACAATTGAAAACTAATCTATTTATAAATTTTCTATAAATCTACCTATAAATATACTAATGTATTTTTACAAACTAAAATTCACCAATTGCTTTTTTATTTTCATGAAAGGAACAATATATAGGAGCCAATAAAATCTTCTTTTAGTTTGCTTACTAAATAGCTACATGACGTTGGTCATCTTTTAATTTATAATTCTCCACATACCTTCATTAAGCAATTCATTAAGAACAGGAAGAAAAAAGTATGGAAGGTCTTTAAAAAGGCACCTCAATATAAAATATGGTTTTCTGCTGACTTCCAAGCCTTTTACTCTTACACATTTTAAAATTATTTTTGTTCTTCTGTTTGCATCATGTGATCTGAACTATGACAAGACCAAACAAAATGTTTTATGACCTGGTACTATCAGGCTAAAGTTTGCAGTGTAGGATATGTCAGTAGTTACCAAGTATATAGTATCAATATTAGAAAATTACATTAAAAACAAGGAGCTATAGATTGTAACTCAATTCAATTCAGTCGACATTAATTCAGGCACTGTGCTAGGTGCCAAGCACACAACAAGCTTCCTGAAGAGATGGTTAACGGATAAGGATAAATCGAGTATGAGTCTAGGTGCCATCTAAGGTGGATAATCTCCTTTATATGCTGTTTTACTCCTCTTCTCCTTCTATACATTGATATTTATTATATGTTCTTCAAACTCCCTTTCTCCTGTACACAATAACGACTCTTTGTGACATCTGAAGAAATATTTTTTTGGTTATCAAGCCATCATCTAAATTATGATAGTGGTTTTTAGTATTTAAAAGCTACATCTCAAAATCAGAGGGAAAGTTTTTTCCATCTGTAATTAGAGAAAAAAGTTTTACTAGTGTATTATATTCCACAGCAATGCAGTGCATGTTCTCAATGAATCAAAGCTATTATGGAAAGGGAGCTTATACATGGAGAAAATACATCTCATTATATCCTTCTAAAGGGTATCATGTCTAGTTAATAGATCCTTACAAGAGTATGAACATGGGGAAGACGAATAATTGTTCTTTGACAATAATGAGGTACACATAAAACTATTCTTGTATATGGTTCTATCGCAGGCAAAATCGCTATGCAGGTAGAGTTTATCTTTTGTTAATGCTCACCTTTTCTTTTACTATTCTTATTCCTCTATTTCAGTAGTAATTACTCCAATTTTTATCAGATGATTTTTGTTGTGTTTATTTTTCTCATTTAAAGTGATTTCTAAAATAATCAGCTGAAATATAACTTTAAAACAGTAACAAAAACTTAATCATTTACTATGTACTGTGCACTGCACTAAGTGCTTTATACAAATTTCCTTTCTGCTCCTTAGAGTAACCCTAAGAAGTATGGAGTCATTCTCATTTTATCATTTTGAACCATGGCTTTGAGAGGTAAAGTTGCCTAAAGTCACATTAGAAAGTGAAAGAATCTAGATTACTCTGACTTTGAAATCTGTGAACTTAAAAATTTTAGCTTCCCGCAAAGGGTTTTTATATAGTATAAAGACATCCTCCATCCTTGGTTTCAGCCAAAATCAGGATTTTATTCTCTATTGATAAGCCCAATTTTTACAAAGGATATTTCTGAACAGAAACTTTCTTCTCATTCATTAAATTATACAATCTATATTTGTAAACAACATAAAATAATTTACTCGTGCTTACTAAGCGCTTACTATGAGTCAGGCACTGTTTTTAGAATACACACATTTTATAAAAATAAGTCCTCAAACCATTCTATAAAATATGCACTATTGGCACATAGGGTTAAGCACTTTGTCCGAAAGGTGGTAGCAAGATTGTGATTTAAAATGAAGCAGTTAACTCTAGAGATGACACTACACATAAGTATGTTCCACTATTACTCTGTCAGATACTTTTCAAACTGACTAACTTGCCCCAGTAAAATGGGCTATGAATGAAATACAAATTTTCTAAATAGTTGCTCAAATTGGAATATAATATTTTAAATGAATCCCAGTTGAAATTCAATACAAATTCACACTTGATTCAGTATTTCATCCTACATAAGGAAACCAAATTCTTAAAAGCTGACATTTACATGCAGATTGCATAATTACATTTCTTTCTGAAAAGTGAACGAATTACAAAAATTAGTCTAGGAGCAAAATATAAACAATTGTTGAAGATTAACAAAATAAGCAGAAATGTAAACATAAAATGTCTGTCCATATTAATATAGATATTTCTGAAATATTCTAGATATAGTTATGGCTTTTGTTTATATTATACAGTTAGTTGAATTTTAGAAGGATCACAAATGAGCATGTTATAAAAAATCATTTTAACATTTTTGTTCTAGGAGGAAAAAATCATGTTTTACAGTAATAGCAGAAGTAAACAAGTCAGAATATGAGCCTAAACAGATGGCCACAGAATAACCTGACATTAAGTTGGTACTATAAATGATGAGACCATAAAAATGTATAGCTTTTTCACTACCCTTTCACATATTTACATTTATTGTCACTTAAGTTCATAACCAATTTGGAGACCAACAGTGTGGTTTTAACACCTAACATAATGTATTATAAATATTTTCAATTCTGTCACATTTTAAAATAGAAATTTAATAGGCAAATCTTCTAATAAATGTATAAGCATGTTTCTCAAACTTCATTATGCAGAACACTGGTTTAAAGAAATACTTCTCAGAAAAAAATCCAAAATAGTTTTATTAAAACTATATATTTGTTAACACTATAGATTTGCCAAAATGGATATTTAACATTGTCATATTAAATACTGAAAGGCCTTGTAATTAAAAAAATGTTTATAAAACTTTTTTTTCCATGAACAAAATTTCATTGAGCACAAATTGTGGTGTCCGGCACCACTTTGGCAACGCTTGGCATAAAGCATGCAAGGTCCCTGTTCTTACACAGAGGTAGTGGGATACTACTCAGCCACAGAAAGAATGAAATCAAGTCTTTACAACATGGATGAAACTGGAGGCCATTATCCTAGGTGAAATAATTCAGAAACAGAAAGTTAAATACCACATGTTCTCACTTAGAAGTGACAGTTAAACAATGTGTAACATGAACATACAGAGTGGAATGATAGACATTGGAGATCCCAAAAGGTGTAAGGGTAGGACCAGGTGAGGGATAAAAAATTACCTATTAGGTACAATGTACTTTATTTGGGTGATGTATACACTAAATGCCTAGACTTTGCCATTACACAGTATCTCTATGTAACAAAATTGCACTTGCACCCCCTAAATCTATTTGTTTTAAAAAGAAGGGAAGAAAGACAATAAATACAGTATCATGAAAGAGCATATCACGTGGGGGAAAATGGGCATCTTAGCATTTCACTGGGAAGCTATCCTAGATTGGATAACTGGGTGGCAGGGCCTGCTTGCTGAGAAGGAACCTTTTACTCGGAAACGTGAGTGGCCAACAAAGCCAGAATGGTATTTCCCTTACTTACATAAGGTTTGGAAAGTGAAGTGGAATAATATATGTAGAAATTATGATTTCTATAAAGGGAGTGCATTGGGAGATGAAGCTGTGCCCTGCCTGAGTTCTGGAAGCCTTCTCCTGAAGTGAAAGCTCAAATAGCACTGGTTTCCTTTATAGTGACAAAAGAAATCTAATTGGAACACAATGGGAGAAGAATACACAGGGTTCATTACTTTTGTCCTTATTAAAAACTATTTTCTTCTGTTGTTGTCTGTTTTTCCTGTTTCCACTTGTTTACCTGACGTATATAATAAGCTTTTGAGGACAAGAGATTTTTCGTTTTTGTTTTTTCTAGTGGATCTCAGTCATCTAATAGACTACTCTCATATACTAAATGCTCAAGCACTATTAGTTGTATCAATGAATAAATCATTATTATCTCCTTCACTCAAAAAGCAAAGAGGTTTATAAATATCAAATTATCATTTAAATGTATCTCCATGAATGTGCAATAAAGGTACATATATGCTTAATTAGTGGTACATTATTTGAAGATATTTGTCTTCTAAAATTATTCGCAACAGCATATAATGCTTTTTAAAGCAATCTCTTATAAAAAAAATCTGAAGATCATGTTGGTCAGTTAACCAAAAAGTAATTTATTATGTGCATACCATAAATATTTTATTTTTACTTAAAATATGTAAGTGTATATTTATGTACCAGTCTTAAAACGTCAGGTCAGCATCTTTTGTTAGCAAGTAACTAAGGGACTAAAATTCCACACTGTATTTCTTCTATCACATACAGCTTCCACTAAGATTACCATATTTTCAGTTTCTTGTTCTTCAAAGAGGAATGACTATTTAAAGACATTTGTGAAGCATTCTGAGTGTAGAAGTCATCTAGGTTTTAATTATTTTCCTCCAAATTTTTTAGTTACCCCATCTACATATACTTAAATATTATTAAAAATAGTTATTTTTAAAAATTACCTTTATCTAGTATTTTCAAAGAATTCAACTTTGTAGAAACAAAAGTCTTTCTCAACACATTCATATTAAACAGACTCTGCTAATCTCAAAAGGCAATTAACAAGTTTATAGTCATATTAAAGAGAAGTTTACTTACATGCTGTAGGCATCAGATTTTTTTAAAAGAGTGCTGATCATATATAAGTCAGCTGAGGGAGATTTCTTAAATATTTTTATTAACATCATGTAGATGGATAAGCATTCCCATTAGCAGTCCCCAAGAAACATCATTTGGAAAAATGTTCATCAAGAGTGATCAAAGAGCTCTATTTCGTCATTCTTTGAAATTACCTATGCAAGTTGGATGTTTTAGTTCTCTGGAGTGAATAAAATCTGCTGTTATAGTTAAATATACGCTTAATAAAAGCGACCTTAAAATTGCTTCTTAAAAGTTGTGATGAATGTAGTCAGTCCAAACAAAACAAAGAGAATTTTTAGAATCTAAAGTTATCTATACTTGAATAGTTGCTGTTCTAACTTTCTTGAATTACTGCTATGTAGGCATATCTTTTGGCACACACACACAAAAAAACTCTCTCTTACCTCTTATGTCCCAAATTAAGTGAAGTGATAAACAAACAAAAAAAATTAAAAATGACAATGAAAAAAGATGTTGATGGTATGTGGTGGGAAAAGATTAATTTTCAATATATCATACTTTCCCTGATTTTCTTATCCCTATGTAGATTCATTTCCCCTTAGATGTTTCCATCATTTATGTAATACATATATTCACTGGAAAGAGTAAAATATGATGGGGAATGGAGCACAAAAGGGGAAACGGTGTTCTCTGGAAATTAGAGGTATCACTAACTATGACAGGCATATTCAATATGGAGGCTAAAATAAAATCAAAAGCTGTTCTGGAGTCCACTGAAAATGAAATAAAATCTGTAACTCTGAGTAGTTTATATCTGTGTAATCATTAATATGGAGACAAGTATACAGAATAAGAAATCAGATTGAGTTCCAATCCAAGCTTTGATGTTTACAAGACATTTATTATTCATAACAAAAAAGAGGTCTTTCACCATCTAAGCCTGTGTTTATTCATTTGTAAAACTGGAATTTTAACACTTGTTCTCCTTCCCTCATAAGGCTGTTGTGATATTTAAGATAATATATAAACAATACAACATTTTAAGATACAAATATTATTTCAAAGATATGAAAGAAATATGTTTAAATTTAAATTTAAAATTTGTAATAAATATTTACAATTATATCTTGATGCTATTTTAATGGGATTATTTAGTCGCATTAAATAGCTAGATATTCTATATTTAAGTTTTAAATATAGAAATTAGTCACTATAAATGATTATATTTTGAACAATAAAGTCATATTTCTTTGTTGATATCTTATGCTACAATGTCTTCTATTATTTGTTATCCAAATTAAAATAACATATATATGGAAACTAAATAATTTTAGAGTAGTATTTTAGTTCTTAAAAACTTTTTAAATATTTTATGATATTTAAATGAATTACTTTTAATGACAGAAAATACAGCCCCTACTAACTCGTACAAAACGTTTAATAATGCATAGACTTTCTCAGTAATAATCATCATTTAAAATGATAATGTTTTATTTCTTCGTAGAAAACTACCTTTTTGAACATAAAGAGAAATCTAAAATAATGTACCAAAGTTTAAGTTTTCTACAGATGGAAAACACATTAACAATAAATTATTTTATTTATGTCATTTTGAAGATTATGTTAATATAATAAATTTATAATTATTATAAATTACTGTACTGAATAAATTTCCGGTTATTTATTTAACTGTCATTTCTTCATAAGATAGTTCAATGGTTGCAAATAATTTAACATTTTCTAATTAATCAAAGTTGAATAACTATATCACACTACTAATTTCTGTATACCTTACGTAGCAGATTTTTTTTCTCTAGCCTACACTTACACTAAACTCTTGGACAATCTTTTTGTTTTAATTATGCATAACTGATGATAGCTGTTTGCCTGTTTAACCACCAACCTATCTGATGATGCCAAATGAAAATCATTCAAAATTTATAATAGATTGACTCTTTCATTAGGAAGATAGTTTTGTTAGCCTTTAATTTTAATTAATTTTGTGATAGTAAGGTCAATCAGTTTCAATATTTCTATTAATCTTTGAGTACATCAAACTTCCTCTTTTACATTTTTTCTCCAAGAAAAATAACTGAAATGTAAACACCCAATTTAATTAAATAACTAAGAATTAATTTGAGCCTAAAGTATGTAACTAATATACTACAGAATAACAAGTCAATTGTTAAGTGTATTTTAAGCTTTCAAGAAAATGAAATATATGCAATCAATAAACTATTTATTGAATTCCCCACTAAATGGTAATATACCCTGTAGGCACCAGAAACTAAAAGTTTTTACCTTTAAAACCAAACTAAGAATTATTTGTTTCTTAAATCTCTAAGGCATGCACTATTAAGCATACCTGCTAAGAACTTAAAAGATATTTGAAAAATCTTCAATGAGCTTCCTATTTTTATAAATTTTAAAAATAATTTTCTTAATAGGTTATACAAATCATAGGACTGTCATCATTATCATAACAGAATATTCAAAATAATTTTCCAACTCTGAAGTTTATTTGATTAGTCCTACTAGATAGGACTTAATTCTTCTTCCTCACTTGTGATGTCCTATTTTATACTCCCCTATTCAAAAAAATACTACAGTATGTACTCTAGAATTGAAGTGATTTTATTAAGTAAAATTCCAAAAATAATCTTACTTTGAGATAGCATTAAATTTTTAAAATATAGCACCTTACTAAACTCCTAAGATCATCGTTTGTGAGAATATTTCCCATCCATGTTATTACATCATCATAATGTTATTGATATTAACATTTTCTGGGAGTATGGCAGTTATATTTACAGAAAAGTGTGCCCTTGGCCTCACAAAACTTCTGGTGAGTAATTGACATAACATTGTAATGAACTCTAAGAAGGAGATGCCAATACATATTTACCTCAACATATATTCCAAATGGATCTATGTAAACTATGTTAACTAATAACAAATTTTAATAACTTAATAAATTAAAAATGCATATGTACCATAAGTACATACACTGTCAAACTAAACAGTAGTTTAATCCTCAGTACTAATAGTAGTACTAATCCTCAGTAAAGGATTCTACTGAGAGAAACAAGTTTTTTATAGATTCACTTACTCATTTCTACACACCAAGCCTGTTCAAGGCCTTAAGAGATACAAAGGCAATTAAGGTAACAGCACCAGGTCTATGGCTGGGTAGAAGTCTTTTATAAAATATGTATATAATTAACTAAAATACAAGAAAGGAACTTCTTTATATTGACCAAACACATTTTATCAAATCCTGTATTAAATGCAAGGTAAATAAATTCACTAGGTAAATACATTCACAAATGTGTGTATGTATATACATACATAAAAATCTAAAAAATGTACCAAGTGTGTGTGTATATATATATAGACAGATAAACACACACACACACACACACACACACACACACACACACACCAATTTGGAAATGAGAAAAAAACACCATTGAGCTAAATTCAGAGAATAAATAGAACTTGAAAATTATTAAAACCCTTTTTTTTGAAAATCAATTGATGAGGAGGAAAATGTCCCACACAAGACAGGGCAATAGCAAAAAGTCCTATCTGAAATAAAGAATAATTAATAAGTCCCTAAAGCATACCGGAGGGTAAAGAAGTAATCATGTTATCAGAAAACTTTGATGTTGATTGCTATCAGCTAATTCCTTATAATATCGATGAAGGTTTATTGTTAATATTTCTAAAAATCTTACTGGCAACATTTGTTTATTTTGTACCAGGCATGATGTTGAGGAGCTTCCAACGTTTACCTTTTTTAATTCTTAGAACCTATAGGTTAGGCATTATCATTAACCCATTTTACAGTGAGGTAACCAATCGGAATCAGTTTCCTGACCCAATTTTTAAAATAATTCATAGAAATATGCCACTATTTGCAAGGACCCCATCTTACATACAATGCATATGTAATTTTAAGTAGAAAAATGATGAGGCTATTAAAGGGTTTTATGAGAAATTTGAAATAGCAAGAATAATATATTCTTATATAGGAGAAGAAAGGTGAACAGGAATTTTAATGTGAAAAAAGAATATTATCAAGAATTTTCATTTTAGGGATTTCCCCATACTAAAATTATATACATTGTGCCCTACTTAAAGCTAGATAATACGGAAAAGTCCAGATATTGTCTGTAAGAAAATAGTTATATGTATCAAATATTAAGATAATTTTTGAATGCCACAAGAATATTCAGAAAATCAACTCACCAATTATTGAAATTGCTAGAGAGAAGTGTCATCCATTCCATTGTGCATAGGCATGTTAAAATAATTGATAAAATAAAATCACAGAAGCATGAAAGTGCTATTTCAATGAAGAATTATTTGCAAAAGAATTAAAAATATCGTTTGCTTTGTTGGTAAAATAAAGCATCAGATGTCCCTTACACATATTTCAACCAAGAAAAAAGGAAAACACAAGTCTATTGAAAAAAGCGTAGTATAGTAGGAGAAACACATAATGATGGTAAGAAGATTATGATGCTAACAGAAGAAATGATGAAGAAAATAAACCTTCATAGACTTTCAGAATATGTCAAAAACTGATGATAAATTTAGAGGAAAATCCATGTATAAAAGTATTACAGAGAAAACAGTATGAAAGAAAAGCATCCCAGATGGAAAAAAAAATAAGTCCAAGAAGTAGAAACAATATGTGTGAGGTCGCCATGTCTTCAGACATACTCTACTCTTCACGGTATCAGAAAGCTGTCTTGAATTTAAAAGAGGTGAACCTGAGACGTTATTAGGGAGCAAACAGAATACACCAAATACAATATAACATGTAACAAATTCTTTAACTAAATTTTTCTGGCCATAAATTATAGCTATATTAAAGGAAGAGGAGGAAGGCAGCATAAGAAAGAAAACTGATAATGAAAGAACATGAACTGTGTCTGACACTGCTTTTGGCACATTCACGTATATTATTATAGTGTTCACAATAAGTATGGGAGTAGCTCTCAGTATTTCCATTTTACAGACAAGAAAACTGAGTCTCAGAAAAACCAAATAACTTGCTGTGGCCGCTGAGCTAAGAGTTAGTGAAGCAGAAATCCGCACGTAAGTTTTTTGTAACACACAACAGTGTTTAAGAATATAGACTGAATTACAATGTAAATTCAATAGATGGGAACTTATCTCTTATCATCATTGGATCTTAAACTCACAGAAAGTGGATAGCATACTACAGGGACTCAATGCATAAATGCTGAAATTGGGTGAATGAACTCCTGAAATAACAGATTACCTATAGGAAAAACTGTACAATGAATGGAAAAATATAAATTTACAAAGAAAGAAAAATTAAAAATCAATTCAAGGATTCTAGAATTTAGTAAACATATTCTATACAAATATACAGGATTAATAATTTTAAATAATATAAATCAATGCTGTTGACTATGTCTGTTACATTCTTATGTATAGCCAAATGAGATAACAGACTAATATAAAATTGATAGAACAATATAAAATGGAAGGGTTTAAGAACGCGAAGAAGGAGCTAGAAATGGGTTATAAAGGTTTGAAAGCCTTTTTTAACAATATGAGAGAAAAATAGTACTGCACTGGAAAAGCTTTGGATATGTAAAGCAGCCACAGCCATCATAAAATTTACACTTCTCTTGGGTACACATGCAAAGTCTCTAGAAGACGGATATATAAGCACATTTTAAAAGATTCTTAAATTATGTGCTATTGGATACAAACAAGTTTTCACTCAATTAGGCTATAAACTATATAAACTACTTCTACCAGCTAGCAGAAAAAGGCAACATATCTAATATGTTTGATTTTATTCATTGATGGCAATTAAACTTAAGACTCTATAACTTACTACTGACATGTTATTGAAATTGGAGTACAAGGAACTTTTATAGGTCTCTGAATCTTTGGATCTTCCTATCTTGGGAAATAATGGTGCTTAAAATTATTGGCTGCCTAACCCCTTTCAAAGGAGTGAATCAAGGTGATTCAGCTGTTCAGGGTTATATCAGGATGGGCATTCAGATGATTAAACTAGGGACTTGGAATACTATAACAAGGAACTACTGATTTTCATTTCTTTTAAGGACTAGAGTGCACAAAAAAGCTTCAGGACATATTGCGGCTTTTGAAAGGAAATGAGTCTGAGCTTTGGAGACACACAGGCCTAGGATCAAATCATGGTTATGCATTAATAGCTGTAATAAAGTTCGGAAAATTACTCAGCTTCTATGAGGTTGTTTCCCCATTTGTAAAGTAGAAAAAGTATAGTTTGTTGTGAGGATTCATTGCAGTGACCAATACATTATACCTAACTCTAAGTGATGTTCAATAGCTGTTTATTTTTTTCTGTTATCAATAGCTTGTAATCATTAGGGATGGAATCATTTATGGATGAGAGGTTTTTTTCAGAATATCTATAGTAGTTTTAAAAATTCAAAATTTTCCTATCTAGTAAATGCATGTGACCTTTTAATATATATGCATATATAATATATAGCATGTACATTTAATATGCCAAATATGTAATCTCATTTAAACAATTTCACGTTTCTTCAACTATAGAACATACTTTCTCGATGTTTTTAATCACTGTAGACTTAGAAGCTAAAAGGCAGTTGGTGCCGAGTAAATGCGTAATAAATGAATAGCCAATAAATCTATCAATTGTTTTGATCTCTTTTAGTAAGAGTTACAAGATAATGAGAAAGGCACTGGGCTTGGGATAAAGGACTTGGATTGTAATTGTGGCTCAGCCACTGCCTAACTGTTCCACCTGGGTCAAGTTACCTTCCCTTGCCAAACTACTTGGCTATAAGAGTGGGAAAGAAATAGCTTATTGTACACAGCTGTGAATGTATGTCATATATGGTAGATGTTCTGGGACTGTGGATTCAATCTGAATCATGATCTTGATGATGGCTCCATCAT
Source organism: Homo sapiens (assembly GCF_000001405.40). NCBI lineage: Eukaryota > Metazoa > Chordata > Mammalia > Primates > Hominidae > Homo > Homo sapiens. The sequence continues at coordinate 72,270,283 of NC_000001.11, forward strand.
CATGACTATAAAACACTATGCTATGCATTTTGCAAATATGCAGAATTAGGACAAGCATTCATACATAATTCCGAGCTTTTATTCAGTATATTGCCTAGGCAACAATGGCAATGTATAGGGAAAGTTCTTGCCCATACCTACTGCTTCTGAACTGCATTGCCTTCAGCATAACCTACAGATGCTCCAAGGAACCATAAGAACATATCTAATCCTCAATAATTATTTGCTACACTATCCAGAATCCAGAGTTTGCTAAGTTTTTAATGCTAGTCCTCTTATCAACTATTCCAATATTATCACCAGCTGTCGTATCTTCCATTCTAAACTGCCACAAATGTTCATCTTCATCCTCTGACTCTTTCACTGTCATTACATATTTCTAATTAGTCTTACTTCCTCTCTTCTGTTTCTTTCCATTTCTCACTTATGTCCTCAATGTTTCATGTGACCACCCAATTATAGTGATCTCTCACTTCAAGTAAGTGAATCAAATCACCATCAGTCTGCTGAGCATAAAATTTGTGATTCCATTTCTTTTGAGTGCTCTGGGTCTGCACCCCAACAGCTAAAACACGTTTTAGTGTGTTTCTACTTCCAAATGTGAAGCCAAGTGCCAATAAATTTCAAAGTGAGATTAGCAGAAAAAAAGCAGCATAAAATTATTAGTTAATGTACTTTTAGTACTTACTATATGTTATGTACTGTTAGCATTTTACATGTAATGTCTCATTTAATCCGTGTACTTCTGTTGTGGAGACAAGGCTTTTGTTCAAGGTCACATAGCCAGTAAGTAGAGAAGCAGGAACTCAAGCTCTGGTTACTTCCATTCTGGATGCCTCAAAGCATGAACAATTTCAATAAAACTAAGCAATCATGATAGATGATAAACTTTGCAAATAAGCAAAAGCAACTTCACGTCTAGAATTAATAATTGTTGAACAAAAATAAGTAACATAAGCTCAAGAAAGAGATGCAGAAGATTTTTCAAAGATGTATTATAATCCCTCAACGATGTGAATAGGTTCTTGGAAGCTGCAACTTTAAGTGAAACAATGTACAACAGGTGATTGAATAACATCATTTTGTTCCATGTTGCTTCCTTATAATGCTGAGGAGGGAAGAAAGGTTATTTTCATTATACATCATTTTGCTTAAGTCAGAGTTTCTAAAAACTTATCAACAACATTAAATGAGCACTTACTGTATATATAATATCCTTCTGTGAACTTATTCCAAAAAATGGCCCCTGACCCAATTGCAGGCCAAGGTATAAAGCTGCTATCTATGTTCTAAAATAAATATAGACTAGTAACTAAGAAGGAAGATATACACTTGGATGAAAAATATAATTTTCAAACTTCAATACGTACAGTGTATATCACTTCATCATGGAAAGGTTATATGGTTTGGCTGTGCATCCACCCAAATTTCAACTGGAGTTGTATATCCCAGAATTCCCACGTGTTGTCCCAGAATTCCCACGTGTTGTGGGAGGGACCTAGGGGAAGTAACTGAATCATGAGAGGCGGTCTTTCCCATGCTATTCTCATGATAATGAATAAGTATCACAACATCTGACGGGTTTATCAGGGCCTTCTGCTTTTGCTTCTTCCTCATTTTCTCTTCCTGCCACCATGTAAGAAGTGCTTTTTGCCTCCTGCCATGATTCTGAGGCTTCACCAGCCATGTGGAACTGTAAGTCCAATTAAACCTCTTTTTCTTCCCAGTCTCGTGTATGTCTTTACCAGCAGTATGAAAACAGACTAATACAGAAAATTATGGGTTTAGAATTTTTCAGTTATGTAATAAATTATAAGAAACTAAATATATTTTCTCTTATTATAGTTCTAAATAATGAAATTTCTGGGCTTAATTCTATGTCATCCCAAGTGATCTAAAGTTTAAGGTAATTTGATGAGAAGTCACTAATACAGCTTAAAATGCTTTCCTCCCTCCCTTTCTTCCTCTTCCCTTCCTCCCCATCTCTACTCTGATTCTTTCACTCAACATTCAGGTTTTGAACGCTAATAACCTACCAAGCACTAACTAAGTAGTCTACATGTCATTTTCTATTCAACTGATCAATGACCAAATATATTAATTTGAAAATACTTTCAAATCAAATATTATGTATCTAAATATATTCTACTGTAAGAAATATTCTATTTATTAAATTAGAAAAACTTTATGATCTGTTTATTAGATACCCTTATATAACAGGATAAATGTTATTAGAGAAAATACATAAAATATCTTCTGATTATAGCTCTTATATTCACAATATCTCTTAAATTCATTAATACCTCTAAATTTAACTTAGTTGCATGAAAAGAAAGGGGTTTCTGAAGACAATGGAACACATATTTTCCATGGCCCTTTAAGTTATCTAAAACCTTTACATATTTTATGGCAGTAGCCACAGCTTTAAACATACGCTAATACACACACAAACTCTATCAACAGCATGAGCATGAGCACTGGACCTATGTCCAAATGACTTAGAAAAATTCAGTAAAGAACAACTTTGTTCTGGACTGAAAAGGGTTATAAGCATCTTCCCTAAATTGAGTAAATTACCAGCTATTTGGAAAGTACAATATATTGGCTTTTATTCAAAAGAGCAACATTTAATTCTGGCAACACTGCCAAATTCCTCCTTTCCTCTATTCTCCTTTTCTTAGAGAAAGTGATTAAGAGACCAATTCCCATGCCAGCTGAATGCTTATAAGAGCATCAAAGGTCCTCTGTCAGAATTCAGAACCTGATATGGCTTAGAAACCACTACACCAATAGATAACATCCTCAACATTATAAATCAAAGCCATATGACCACATTAAAATTCTATCAGCTAGTATCAATACACTGTGGTTTATAAAGTACTGCTGACCTACCTCTAGGAGATGGTTAAAATGATACAAAAGTTATGCTCTGGTTTGGGGCATGTAGCTACTTTTTACAATTGAGTTATTCATCCATATTAACAGCAAATTCTTTCTACCTCTATATCCTTATTGATTTTGTTTAATTAAAGCTTTAGGAGAAAGGAAGAGAAGGCTCCATAAGTCGAGGTAGAAACAGAAATAAATGTTAGGAGGTCACAATAGACATTTTGCTATTTTGAACTGTTCCTGTTATCTGTTGATTATAATTGTCAAGGGCAAAAGCCTTCCCATATAATTTAAAATCTGGGATCTTCTTAAAATTATAACCACATTTCAAAATCTTACAACAACTAGGTCATTGCACTTCAAACTTTTCTGCTTAAACCGACAGTAAGAATACCCTTGAAATCTTAACATAGCACATACACACACACACGCAAGTACACACAAAATAGAAGTTAATCAAAGAATACTTTACCTTTATTATGTAAAATGCCTTATATTTTAGTACATTTTATTTAATAATACCTTTAGCAAAAAGTACATTTTCTTCAAAGTAGACTGTGTCCTGTAATTTAAATAATTTAAATAATATTTCCAATGTATATCTCTTAAACCACTAAGACTGCAGGAATTATTTAAGGCAGGGACTGTTGATATATGGATTTAAAAAAAAAAACACTTAAATACATTCATTTCTTCACTTACCCTTCCATTGATTCATTAATTCAAAAATTAGTAGATATTGGCCTGATACATGAAAGCTTCTGTGCTAAGGCCCTAGGGATAGCTGAATGAGCATTTTACCACTACAAACCCACGTGTTGTTCTTTTTTTTTTTTTTTAGTTTCCAGAATTTGGCTTTATTTTGCAGTATAGAAATCATTTGGAGCCATTTTGAGACAGAAGTAGAGGCTCTGTCAAGTCAATACTGCATTGCAGCTTGGTCCACTGAAGAAGCCATGCCTGAGATACAAAAGATGTGCTACACTTTACCCGCTTTATGTTCGATTCCTCTCCCCTTTTCTCTCATCAACTTTATTAGGTTAAAACACCACATACAGGCTTTCTCCAAATGACTCCCTATTGTCTGGAGTTTGGTTAGAATTTTATGCCCACATAAACCAAACTTGTGGCTAGGCTATTTGGGCCCTGCCATAACATTTGACATAACACAAAATATAAAGTCATAGGGAAAACTTCTGGATGCCATCCCAAACCGTGGACTATTCAATTTAGAATCTCCTGAACCTCAAGAGGACAGATGGCACACAACTGTATGGATCCAGCTCTTGAGCAGCAGAAGCACATAGCTACACTGATTAAAAGATAAACTGTCTCAAGTTGTCTGTATCGGTATCCCAATGTTTGTTTAAAACTGATCCAATTAAACTTTACAGTGAGTCTTTGGCAAGATATGGCGAAAGCCCATACCTTTAACCACTCTATGGCCTTGGAGAACTGCCCCAAGGATTTGCAAGGCTAAGTGCTATTTATGGAGGTACCTATATGCTGAAAAAACCCATTGAAGAAATCATTGTGCAGAATGGAAAAGTAATTGGAGTAAAATCGGAAGGAGAAATTGCTTGCTGTAAGCAGTTCATCTGTGACCCCAGCTGTGTAAAAGATCGGGTAGAAAAAGTGGGCCAGGTGATCAGAGTTATTTGCATCCTCAGCCACCCCATCAAGAACACCAATGATGCCAACTCCTGCCAGATCATTATTCCACAGAACCAAGTCAATCGAAAGTCAGATATCTACGTCTGCATGATCTCCTTTGCGCACGATGTAGCAGCACAAGGGAAGTACATTGCCATAGTTAGTACGACTGTGGAAACCAAGGAGCCTGAGAAGGAAATCAGACCAGCTTTGGAGCTCTTGGAACCAACTGAGCAGAAATTTGTTAGCACCAGTGACCTCCTGATACCGAAAGACTTGGGAACAGAAAGCCAGATCTTTATTTCCCGCACGTACGATGCCACCCATGTGTTTTTCTAATTGAAATTAAAATGACAAAGAAAAACAGAAAATACATCTTCACAAAATATCAAAAAATTTCTATTATTTATTCATAATGATCTTAAAAGTTATACCACATTTTTTTCTGTAATAGATACAGCAGAGTAATTAAAACTCAATTTGATAATGATTATGACTGTAGAAAAATCTGAGATTTTAGTCTCTAGTCATACGGTAATTTTTGTTTCTACTGGTTAATCTGAAACACATAAAATACCTGACAAAATAAAATGTGAACCAATTTAACATTTCCTTTAGAAAAGCAAAAAGACAGGTAATAGGATACTCCTAGGGAAAAAAAACAATAAATTTTATTTTTTTATATGCACAGAAAGTGCCAATGACAATCTTTAATCTATCAGCAAGCTTCCAGAGAAATGTAATGAATGATATCAAGAAATTTAACTTCCTTCCAAATTCAGAAATCCTCTCTAGAGCATCCCTGAGAGAGTCATTTAACGACAGTCTTAAATTATCATTTCTCCTGAATAATTACAGAAAAATGTACCAATAGTAGGACTCAATGACAATCGCTTATTTATATATGAGCCAGACACAAACATAAGTGTCTTTTAGAAATTGTTTTACAGAAGTAAACGAGAAGGTCACCACATCATCTGATATACAGTTAAGAGGGAGAGGTGGCTTTTATCTATAACTCTGGCTACTTGAGAGCTTGAGGCATAAGGATGGCTTGAGGCCAGGAGTTTGAGACCAGTCTGGGCAACACAGTAAGACACCATCTCTAAAAATAAAAATAAATTAGCCAGGTATGTTAGCACACACCTGTAGTCCCAGCTACTCAGAGGGCTAAGGCAAGAGGATCACTTGAGCCCAAGGATCTAGAGGCTGCACTGAGCTATGATTGTGCCACTTCGCTCCAGCTTGGGGGACAGAGTGAGACTCCATCTCAGAAAAAGAAAAGAAAAGAAAAGTGTAAGTCATGTGATGTCTATACTGTTCTAATTTCTGCAATTTTGAAACAAGATATGGTAGAAAAATGATCTGATTTTTAATCAAAAGATTCCACTGGTTTGAGAGACTAATTCCTACAACAGTCAAATGGTTCAATTAGGGATATTGTTATGGTCACATACTTCATAAAAACTAGAAACTTTCATTATCACCTCAGATGTTACTCTATATAAAGAAAGATCTTTAATTTTTATTAAATTCAATAGGCAACACTGTATGAATTGTCTTAGCATTCTGATCACACATCTACAAGCAGGGTTTAATCATAGTTATTTTTGGCTCAGTCAAAAATATAACACTGTTATTGAATCTCATCAATAAATGTTCATCAATTTATTTTCCACACATAAGAACGTTATATATTTTCCTACTGAAATTATTAAATGATATATGAATTCAATATTCCATTTATTCATTTGGTTTATTAACATAATCTGTGTATGGATTATAAAGCCTCTTCTTTTTTCTTTGTAATATGCCTCAATATTCTTATGGTTTAACTTCTATGCGTGTTTCCTTAAAAAACTATTACATCCAGTGCTGGCGAGCAACACTTATGGTGCCACTGGCAAAGCAGTCACTCAATCAAATATAATTAAATCACAAAAACTACCACTTTTCACTATGCATCTATCAAGGTTCTACAAACAACACTTAAACCGTTTTGGATATTTAAAATGGGAGAATTTAATGCAGGAAATGTATTTTAAAGGAGATGGAATACCTGGGAAGCCAAATAGAAGGTGGTAAGATAACCCAGTGGTTAGTAACATCAGGAAGCCACTACTACTCCTAGGTTGAAGGAATAAAGGGATAAAGCAGTAAAGAGAAACACAGGAGCTAGTTATCAGTTGGAAGTTGGAACAAAAAAGGTTCCAGTGGGAGATGAATACAGTGATATACACTGCCCAAAACAATGAAAGAAGGGAGAAATGCCCTAGCCCCTCAATTCATGATGTTGTCCCTTCACCAAAGACTACTTTCCATTGGCTAACGACAGCCTGAAGATACTTGGCAAGGAAGACTGGGAAATGTAGCTTGAGGGATTAGCTCCAGCCTCCACCCGCAGACCCCCCTCCACCCCCATAACACAGAATAGCAGATGGACAAAGTATGGGTCTGGCCAATCAGGCCTAGAACTGACACAGACCATGATGTGAACATTTCTGTAAATTCTTTAGAAGTCAGGTATTGCAGTATTAACTTATTCCACGGAGTGATTTAATTGCAAAGTCTATCTATTTAAAACAAGTAGTGCATTAACACGCTTGTGTTCAAAGATCTATACAACTACATGGGCTTTTGAATTCTTCTGAACTAAAAAGATCGGGCAAAATACATTCATCTAGAAAATTAAAAACATTATACTTTTATTAATAGTTGTGTACTAATGTATCAAGTAATATATCTTGCCAATAGAACAGTTCTGCAAATCAATATAGGTAACATTTAGCATTTATTACATATCCTAGAACATATTTTTCCAGATTGACCATTCTGATAATTCATTATCCCTGCTCTTTTTAAAAAGAGAAAAAACTCAGGATTTTAAAACTATTTCTTCATAATACTATTTAATAAACATATAGGTTTTAAAATAGTGCCTTAATGTCCTAAATTGAAAATATCGGTAAAGTTGAACTGTGTATTTGGAAGGTATAATGCATCAATGTGTAGGAATAACTCAACAGAAAATGTGAGTCTTGAATATTATTCCAAAAGTACACCATAATTGATTTTTACTGCTATTGGTAATTCTGTATTCTCATACAGAAATCATTTATTTTATTGTAACTAACAGCATGCATTTCAAATCATAACTAGTTAATGTAGTCTAATAAAAAGGCAAATGTTGTGAACAAATAGGATAAGCAATAATAAATACTTGTCATATTCATTCATAAATTTACTTGTAAAAGTTTTGCAGTTTCCAATAGTGTAGAAATACGCCCTAAGCAAAAGGCTTCTTCCGTATTAGAGTATCATAGTAGGATATCACATAACTTCCATTCAAATCTATTGCATTAAAATGACAAGAGTTGTGTTTAACTCTGCTAAAGTAAAAGAAGATATCACAATTAAGGAAAGAATCTTTCTTCCTTTCTTCGATTAAAGCATGACAAGCAGATAATAGCATATTTTGAATTCATATCAGAAAGGCGGCTAAAAAAGTACAAACTTCATAGAGAAGGGCTGAATAAGAAACAGATTGAAAAAATTAGCTTAAAAATAACCGTGTTTTAAAAATGTGCAGGCACTGGGAGAATGTAAATGAGAATGTTCGTAGTATTGTTTCCAAGGGGTATTAAACATTTTTGATATGTTTACATAACAGTATTTGTTAATAAGGTAAGAATAAAGCAACTGGTTCATATTAAAGTGACTGCAAAATGATTTTTTTAAGTCTCCTGAAATTTATGTATTGTTCTAGAGCAGAGTTATATTCCCCTGAATTCTCCAGTTCTAGAAACACTGGGTACTGAAGCATAACCAATGTGGTTCTAGCACTTCCTGTTCTCTACTAGATCAGCCCATGACACATTAACTCAGATCTTCCATGTTCACAAAATGCAACTCAAAACATGGAAAAAAAGTAAATGTCTCCATACAAGATTAACAAGTTCTGTTAAGAATAAAATACTGTATATATTAAATGTAGTAGCAATTAAAGTCTATATTTAATAAGTTAATGGCAACAGTTTGTGTTTATAGCAAATTACAATGTATTTTAGACATCATATATTTTTTAAATACAAAGCTTAAGAAAGGGAAATATCAAACATTACTATATTGAATATCTGTATCATTAAATACTTTATCAAGAAGGTCCAAATAATTCAAGTGAATCATTCAGAAATTTAGCACAGAATAACATTATTAAAAGTAAGAAACATCTTTACACTTCATATATATGGCTTCACTAACCCTAAAAGACAAAGTTAAAATGATAAAAATATTAAAATTATTAAGTGGAATGTCATCATAAATCCTGTATTTAAGCTAAACAGAAAAGATGATTTACAAAATGATAGATACAGTTAGATAACAGAATGAATTTCCCTTGGGTATTATAACTCCACTTAAGGAAAGTTTTGTTTTTCATGATCCTCTTCTCAAAAACAGATATTCTGGCACTTAGGAGACAGAAATGTATCATTTGACCTTTAAACTTCTGTTTTATTAGTGTAACCACAAGCAACAGAGTCACTGACTGGCATGTTTGCACTTTATGGCCTTTAGCACTTAAAATTATTTGATAACTGTTATGCCACTATTTGTTTTTTATTAAAGACACTGTGAGGAATATGTTACATTAAAAATAGAATATATTGGGCTAAGCTTGATGAATGATATGTAATTTGGTTAAGTGTTCTCTTGAGCACTTCATTCATGTATTTTGATGGGACAAGGGCATATGTTTGAAGGGTAGAATTTTGTTTTGTTTTCTAGTGAGTTAGAGAATAACAACAGATATGGTTTTAAGTATACAAAGAAAAAACAAAATATAACTGTAACATTACTCTTGATTAAAAAACGATGCATCACCTGAGTTGCCTATACTCAATTAGTCCTTAAGCTCTATCTGTAATGGTCTATGATCAGAGGAAATTACCAGCTGTAGAGAAGAGTCAAGAAAAAAATAACTGACAATATTTAACATTTTCTAATGGAGAGAGAATTTCTTATAAATGGATACGTTAAATTAGTTTAAAACCTACAGACAATGTAAGAAGTTCAACAACTGGATAATTCTTAGAGAATTTCAGAATTACTGTAAGCAAATTGCTTTGAGTAAAAGTAATGCAGTTCAAATTTCTATTTCATATGATAAAAAAATTTAAAAACTAAAATCTAATTTGTTAGAAACATTATTGAGAAGACACAGAGACTCTGTTCTCTTTAAGAAGTTTGAAAGTCAAGTTCCCTCAGTATCACAAAATGCGGGATATAGCATCAAAATGGATGAGGTACAGAGCACACAAAGTAAACAAGGACTGCACCAAACCAACAACACTGGAAATATATGGTCCCCACATATTAGGGAAGCTCCACTGTTGGAAGCAATGAGTGAACTAAACATGGGTCTCCTGGAAGCAGAATGTGGGTCCAGCTATCTTCACTAACCATAGTATTTATTAAATTGTTGTTTGTTTGGGAAACCAAATGCCAGGATACATTATTGAAAGAAAAGCAGTCTCCTAAACCCTTTAGGGTGGAAATGGTAATGCTCACTACAAATAAGCAATATGTTGCTTGCTACAAAAATACATATTGCAGCTCCCATGATATGTGTTTGCAATCTCTGAAGATAGTGTCTTGCCCTTACCACTGTTGTTCAAACTTCTAAAACAAACTTAACATAAAGAGAAAATACAGGCTTAATTTATATCCTCTCTGTGACAAAGAATTTATCACTGTTACCAACAATGAAAAGTTTTTTTTTACTGTGTAATATCAAAGATATTAGTTACTTTTGTATATAGTGGCATTTGTTATTCAAAACAGAAATTATTAAAAACATATGTATTAGTGTATATTAAAAAATACGATAGTATTCCAAATTTGAACTCATAGGCATGTTCCAAAAGGTGTAAGTCATATACCACACCCACATCATTAAATTTAAATATGTTGCATGTTTCAAACAGAAACATTTCCCACTCTCTTTCACCTTAGACATGTCATGTACACTGATGTTGTGCAAGCCAGACTTACAAGCCAACTACCACCCAGTGGAGAAAAAGAAGATCTTTCAGGGAAATGTGAGGTGGGGTGGCAGGGGGAGAAGGGAGGGTGATGGGAAAGAAATGAAGGAATAGGGCGTTTAGCTTTGTTTAGATCTAAGCTTTGCTGATCATCCATTTATATTTTCATAGGAAATAAAATATTCCCAGACTCCCACTCTGCAGTGTTGCTTAGGGGTAAAATCAGGGTATGGATGTTTATTAATGACAAACCACCTCAGAGCTCAAGCTCAGAGGAAAGAAGGGAAAATGAGAAAAATAAGTAAAAGTGAAGACTGATGGAGGGAGGAAGGTAGGAATAAAAAGGGGATAGAAAGACACAGAAAGAGAAAAAGAGAGAAGCAGAGACAGAGTGAGAGCAGCGAGTGAGACAGGCAGTGTGTACACATGTGTGAGTGACAATGTGGAACAGAGAAGGAGAGTATGCCTTTTAAAAACAGTGAGAGACAATCTGAATGTGGAAGTGGTTCTTACAGCATGGAAGTGCCAGTGCATGTGAGGATGTGAGAGTATGTGAGTTAGTATGTTTATGGAAATAAGATTTATGAGGGTGAGTAAATGGTACTGGAGGGGAACAGTGACCATGCCTGTGTGTGCCACAGGGGTGGGAAACGGTATGGGGAGAGGGATGAGAAATGGGAGTCAAAAGAGGGAAGACAGGGCACAGGATAGGGACATTAAGGAGGAATAAAAAAAATAGACAAAAAGAAAAAAGGGTAAAAGAGAGGAGGAAAGGGGATTAAATGTGAGGAACAGAAATTAGAGTCGTGGAGATAAAAATGAGAAAATATGAGAAGAAATTTTAAAAAGGAGGGAAAAAACAGAAAATAGAAAAGGTATGAAAAGAGATATTGGAGGGAAAAAGAGTTACAAGGAGGTGGGGAAAATGGTATAAGAGAATGAGGAAGGAGAAAAGAAAGAAAACAGAAAGCGGTAAAAGGAAAGAAAGATAAAGAGCAAGAAATCGAGCCTAAGTGTCCAAGTGAGAGGGAAAATAAATGGGAGCAGAGAACAGCAGTTTGAAAGAGTCGCTTATGCTGGAGTAAAATAGAAACAAACCTGATAAACTTGTCAGACTCTCCAGGAGTACCCCATGACAGTAAAACAGAGACCTTGTGCATTGAGTTTCAAAGTGGCACCTGCCCCTCCTTCTAAACCTGACAGTTCACTCATCCCCAGGCTACTTGGCGTTCCGGCAAAGTGCTTTAGCATCACGAGTCCAGCTTGCTACCTGCCCCAGCATAAACGGGCCGGGGCTCCGGGAAGAATCTGCACCTGGAATTCTTGGGATGTGGTCTTTCCATGATGAGCACCACCAGCATTATTGCTTGTGTTATAAAGAAGGCAAAGAGGGTTCAAAGAGAGACAGAAAGATAGACCGAAACAAGTACGAAAAGCACGCCGTTCTTCCTACCTAAGCACCGCCGTGTCCCCTTTTCTGACCATCATGTTGTCCACGGCCGCCCAGGGGAAGTCCACACTCTGTCCAGCCGGGAGGCAGGAGGGTAGCAGGCAGCACAGGCTGAGGAGCACCGCCGCCAGCCACTGGTTCGAGCAACAAGCACCCTGCACCAACAGCATCATGTCCATCCCTGCTAGGGCTGCTCACTCTCCAGCAGCTTTCAGCTCGCACTCCCCCACCCCCTGGTGCTGGCGAGTCTTCCCGGGAACCAGGCGGCGCGCCACAGGATTTTTTTTTTTTTTTTTTTTTTTTTTTTTTTTTGGTGGGTGGGTGGGTTTCTTTTCTTTCTTTCTTCCCCCCACCCCAGTTGTTGGGTGTTGTTTCTCTCTTTTTGTTTTTCGGTGTTTTTGCCTCCCCTCCTCCTCTTCGCTTTCCCTCCCTCCCTCCCCTCCCTCCCCCTGGCACCACACTACACCTCCTCTCGGTTGCTTTTGGCCGCGTCCGGAGTGTGTCTAATTCTCGGGCGGCTCGCACACCATCTAGCGAGGAGGCGAGCGCGCCGGCGAGTGAGGGAGGAGGCGCGGCGGCGGGGGAGGAGGCAGGGCGAGCGGCGGCGGCGGCGGCTGCAATCCCAGCAGCAGCAGCAGCAACAGCAACAGCAGCAGCAGAAGCAGCGCGGAGCGCTGCGCCGGCCGCCGGCTCCCGGGCTCGCGCGCGTTGCCAAGCGGCCGTTTCCTTAGCAACCCCGCCAGGGGACTGGGGATGGAGAAGGGAGGGGGATTAAAAAAATAATAAAAAAAGAAAGAAAAAAGATAGCAAGAAAAAAAAAAGAAAAGCAAGACAACGAAAAAAAAAATAGGAGGAACTGTATCACAATTATGCAAACTAAGGGGGAAAGAGAGGCACCTTAGAATGAAGGCTCTCCTTACTGTCGTAAGCGCTAGAGGGATTCTTTGCTAGAAAAGTCTCCGTGTCAGGGCTGGGGTGAAGAGAGCTGAGGGGCGCTTTGCCTTCCCTCACCGGTGCGTTTTACCTCTCGAGGCACCGTAAGTTTGAAGTCCTCCAAGTTGTGGTCGGCGCCATCATGACGCCGGCGACTGTGAGTTGTTTTTTTGTTTATTTTCTTCTAATCTTGCCTGGGTGGCTACGCTGCAGTTAGCGAGCAGCCAACTAGTTCTCTCTGCGTTTTCTCGGGAATAGGTAGGGACGGTGGCGGGGCGCTGCTTTTTTGCGGGGACACGAGGAGGTGCAAGGCCTTGCGGCAGAGCAGCTTGCGTGTTTGTGGCGGTCGGCCCGTATGGATTGCAGGACGCCCCTCTTTTATCTGTGGGTGTTGACACTAAGTTGTGTGTGTGAGTAGGGGATTGTTTATGGTCAACATGGAGTGTGTGTGTGATAGAGAGCGTGTCGTGCGCGCGGGGGCCTGTGCACGCGCGGCACGCAGGCGCGCTGGGAGGGACGGGGCGGGTCATGCTGGGATGTAGAGTCGGGAAAAGACTGCAATCAAGTGTTTTAATTGTGTAGAGCCCAGGCGGTCCAGTTATGTAAGAGGCAGTTTAACCCATTTGAGCCTATCAGGCCGAATAATCGGCGCATCCGAGTCAAGGCAGGGCAGAGTTAAGGGGTTTAACGAGTCGCAGGGTTGTATTTCTTAACAGCCTCCACACCGCGTTAACAGGCTTGCTCCTCCGCGGTGCAGAGCGGTAACCTCCGCTTCCCCACGCAGCAGCCCCTCCGCAGCTCGCCGGGCTGTTTTCAGCCCTGCCCTGGCCCAAGGCAGAAGGAGATACTAGGCGTGGGGCCACCCCTACTCTTTTTTCTTCTTTCCTTCTTGAACTCATTTCCAGATTCAAGATCCTTAAGCTTTTCCGGGCCATTTGCAAATCAATGCGAGAACCGAGGCTGAGTCGTTAGCAGTTACACCAATCAATCTTGTTCAGCGAGGAGTTTGGGAAGCAGAGCGGGGAAGTGAAAATGGAAAATAAGTAATTAAAAAATAAGCTCCCTCCCCCTCACACACTTTTTCCCTTCCTCCACCCCATCCCCCTTTAGCAGTGTTTGAAGAAGATATTCTTTGCCAGATCCCAGTTCTTCTTTTGGAGGAAATGAAGCAAAACCTCACACGTCCGTAACTCGTTTTCCATAATGCTAGCAGGGTCATTTGGCAAAGCGCACCGAAGCAAGACTCTCTGCAGGGGTCAGCATCCGGCTGCCTCCGCAGACTGAGCTCTTTACGAGGCAGGCAGGGAGTCGTTTTGCTTGGTGGTAGCAGTGTTCAGAGTGATTTTTATCGCCATGCACGGGGATATATGGGGAAAGGGAAGGGTTCCCATCACCTGTGACCACCCAGACTGGCTTACAGACGAATCCTTAACTAGCAACACCTCCCTGCTGAACTGGCACTCCAAGGCTGGGCAGCTAACGGAGACATTTGCGTCAGGAGTCACTGATGTTAGTATTCTGCCTTAACTCTCAAAACCGACTCGGAAACTGAGAGTGCAATAGTTTCAACCGCATTTTGAAACATCAATAAAATGTTAGTCATTTGCGGATGAATGAAAACATTTTCTTTACCGTCTGGTATGCTAGGGAAATAATTGTGAAATGACAGACTCTCACTAATATCGATGCCAAATACCTAAGTAACACTGTCATCTTGTTAACTGCATTTTTCTATCTTGCGTGGCACGCTGATGGATAAAGCGTAAAATTATCTAGGGCAAACGGGGGATTAGAAGACTTGACATGTCACATACATGGGCAAAGCTATGCAGTATTATTTAGCATTTCAGTAGAAACGAGCTAGATTCTATTGAAGAGACACAGAAGGTATAGCTTCCTGCATTGTGACTCAGTTTAGTGCTATTTTAAGCAGGGATGGGGGTGCCAGTGTTTTCTAGTACAAGCTATGAAAAGCATCCTTTTCTGACTGCTGTTTCCCAGAGATCTGACATCTTCAGTGTCCACGGGGGTGGGTTGGGGGTGGTAGGAGGAGGGTTTTCTTTGACCAGGGATGGAGCTATGCTGCAGTTTTAATATGTACAACAACCCTTCAGGCTTGTAAACGGAAACTGGAGCCACTTCTTTTAAAGACAGTTTCCTTTCCTTATTTCTAGTTTTTTATCTCAACTACCATTCACAGATCACACTTAACTCTTGGAGAACCCATCTAAAGAAAGCAATGACTGAACTTAGTGTATAGATGTCTGGATTATGGGGGAAAGTATTTACAGGTACGTCACTATTATTTACAGCAAGTGCAAGAATGTCAGGTAGGGCAGCCTCTCCAGACCCTTATACTTCTAGTCTTCTGACTAAAGAAAATGAATTTAAAAGCTTTTATGACTTCCTATTCCCTAAACCTTTCTAAGGGCAAAACATCTGACAGGCTTTTACGTGGTTTCTAATATTTGCTTTTGAAGTCCTGGAATTCTTACAAACAGAGACTTAAATTCGGATTGTCTTGGCTCTTTTTGAGGGAAAATCGAAACAAAACCAAACAACAACCAAATGAGAAAAAAAAGCTTAAATAGCAAATAGTTCCTTAGTAGAATTTTTTGAAATAGAAGAATTAGTAATAGCATTGTTTAGAACATTTTAGAGGCAAATAGTGGAGTGGGTATAATGGGTTACTCCTTTGGTTAGAATTTTAAGGAAGTGACATTGGAATTAATTATTATTTCTTTATAATGATGTACCTTTTTTCGCTTTAAAAGCTCAACTTCTAGTATTTCAAGAAATGTAATAATCAGTAGGGAGTTAGTATAAAAGGAGAAAGGTGGAGCCTGATTATGATTGCAGATTATTTCATTATCTAGATTGATTCCACTCCTGCCTTTCATGCCCTATGACCTGTATTTTGAATCCCTAAGGATGTTGGAAAGAGTAATGTTATATAAGGAAGCTTCTTAAGATTGCTTACTTTAATAAACTCGATTTTTATTCAACAGTGTAACTGTGATTGTTAGAATGGAAAAAAATAGAAGTTTACATTTGTTTATTAGTAGTGAATGAGTAAAGCCAGCTTCATCTTTCATGTTATTTTGTTTTAATACTTTGAGATCTAGGGTACATGTGCACAACGCGCAGGTTTGTTACATATGTATACATGTGCCATGTTGGTGTGCTGCACCCATTAACTCATTATTTACATTAGGTATATCTCCTAATGCTATCCCTCCCCCCTCCCCCCTCCCCCACCCCACGACAGACCATGTTATTACTGTGTGAGCATGAGAAGTTTTAGCCAAGACGGGTCCCAGGACCTAATGGAAAGAGCTAATGAGATCACTTTGTATTTCCTGAAGGAGGCAGTCAGGAAGCCCTTATAAACTGTACCTCTGAATAATAGCGCTCTAACTTGGTCCATAATTGATTCTCTATTTGAATTAAGCTGCCTTAAGCTTGGAGTACCTTGCCAACTAAAACTGACGTATACTGATGAATTTCAGGTCAGGGTGAGAAATATAGAGTTCCAGAAATTTGTTGGTGGAGGGGAATCTTCCACTACAGAAGTGTTTCTCAATCTAGGCCCTTTTGACATTTTGGTGCAGGTAATTTGTGTGTGTGTGTGTGTGTGTGTGTGTGTGTGTGGAGCATGGGGACTTCTGTGTGCCTTGGAAAATGTTTATCAGCATCCCTGGCCTCTATCCAGTAGATGCCAATAGTTGTGATACCCAGAATTTCTCCAGGCATTGTTAAATGTCCTGTGGATTGGAAAGGGGATTACTCCAAGTTGAGAACCACTTCATTGTAAGTTATATTTCTAAAATATATACCATCTTGTGTTTTTCAAATAAAATAATAAAGCAGATTTTTTTGTCAAAAGTATCTCATTTGGATTCTATAGCTACAAAAAGAGCTCCTTCTCATCAGTTCAATCTCTACATTTACTTGCCATGTGGTTGAGTAGCCCAGGTTACCACAGATGCAATGAATTTAATGGCTGACGGCAACAAAATACTTTCTAGGATTTCTTCCTAAATTGTAGGAGACTTGCTCAAATAACATTACAATTATACACTAACAAAGGTCTTCTATATTGTTGTAATGTATAGTTTGGTTATAAATGTTATTGTAAAGTAGGCGAGAGGGGGTCTTTTATTTAAGCAAGTATTGAACTAATAGTTCTTTGAAAGGAAATTGTCATTTTATGTTGTTTTTTCCAAAATAAAAGTGTAAGTAAATGGTGAGCTTATTTTGGGCAATAACCCATGTAAATATTTGCCTTCTTTATATTGTGACAGCTACATATTATTCACTCTGGAAATGGCTATTGCATAAAGAAGAAGAAAAAAGCAAAAAGTTATTTGCCTATTGGGTCATTCTATTTAAATATCATATATTTATTCAGTTATAATTTATTTAGCATCTTATCTATTCACCATCAGCATTGGGGGTAAGCAAAGAAGTTAGAAGCGTATATGTGTGTTTGTATGTTTGGAGGAGTGCGGAGATACCTACTCTACTTTCAGAGCTCTTCAAGCCATTTCCATAGAATGGCCCTGAAAATTTCACCTAAGTACTTAAACAAGAAAGAACAGTGTTACAATAGATATGGGTAGAAATCATTTTCAAATAACTGAAGTTTCTACCTTTCTACTTGTAAGAAAACAAGTACAGCTTTAACTATATTTCATTATATAATTTACAGTGGGTTCCAGGAAAACCAATAATTATTATTTAAGATTTTTTCTCACATATTTCTAAGAAACTCAAACACCTCTGTTCAAAAATAAACATCAAATTTTATACTTTATACTGAACTATGATGAATGTAAGATCTTTTTTTTTTCAGGATTGAGAAGGTGGCATTTTATTTTAATTTTCTTTTTTATTATTATTATACTTTAAGTTTTAGGGTACATGTGCACATTGTGCAGGTTAGTTACATATGTATAGCATTGGGAGATATACCTAATGCTAGATGACGAGTTAGTGGGTGCAGCGTACCAGCATGGCACATGTATACATATGAATGTAAGATCTTACCCTCCAAAAGAATTATTCTGTTTTATTTTATTATGTAATTTATTTAATTTCCTAAAAGGTTCTGATTTTTATTGCAGAGGTGTTTATCTTGTATATTTTCAGACTCTACTATGACTTGTTAATTTTGTCCCTTTAGCATTTTATATTTTTTTCTATAATTGATATATGTGTGTCTGTGTATATGTGTGTGCCTGTATAAATGGGAAGTACCTCACTGTGTAAACTTATGAAGACATCTTGACTAGAATTTGTAATTTTTAATTTGTGATAATTTTTACTGTTAATATAGTTTTCTTAACACAAGATTGTGAAAACATAGCTTTAAAACATAGCCCTAAGGAGAAAGAAAACTATTGCCACTTCACTCCATGTTCACTTCTAGCAACTATTGAGATTTTTATTGCTCTTGTTGTAAGTTATGATATTCATGGGTAAGTAAATCATTGGTTTTTCTTAAGATGAGAAAAAGTCAGCCGGGTTTGAAGTGGAATAATTTTAAAGGACTATATCAAATACCTTTCCAAATTTATAACAGTCACCCATGTTTATGACATTTAATTTTTTTTGTTCTGAAATACACATTTTTAACAATATACTTTTAGAAAAGTGCATAGAATGTGAAGGTACAGATTAGTGAAGCACTATTTTAAAGTTAACATCCATTTCATTCCACAGTGATTAAGAAACAGAAAATTACCAACACTCCAAATGCCTTCTGCAAGCCTTTTTAAAATTATAACCCCCATTTTCTTCCTTAAAAGTAACCACTGTAATTATTTCACCATCATCATTTCCTCATTTTCCTTATATTTTTACTATTTAGCTTTGAATCCCTCTGAAAGAATGACTGGCTTTTATATGTACTCATACAAAGCCACAATACATCATACAACATGTAATTATAACATACACTTTTTTGTTTCTGGCTTCTTTTGCTTAACATCATATGTTAGAATTCCTCTGTGCTGTTGTGCAGCTGTTGTTCCTTCATTTCTTGAATCCATGTAGCATTTCATAGTATATCTATAGAATTATATATTTATTCATTATATTTTTGGAAGATATGTTTTATGTTACTTGTCTATTAAAGACAGTGATGCTATAAACATTCTTGGATATCAGTACTGAAAACTTCTCCTAGATTACACAATGCTGAGCTGCAAGTTTTTGAGAACACTGACTGTATCAGTCAGAGTTTGCCACAGAAACAACCAATAGAAAGGAAGTATGTCTGTGCGCATATATATGTATACGTACATTTTGTATATTATATCCATTATATATATACACATACACGCACACACACACACACACACACACACACACAGAGAGAGAGAGAGAGAGAGAGAGATTGTTTTAAAGAATTCTCTCATATAGCTGTAGAAGCTGACAAGTCCAAAAGTCCGAAATCAGCAGGGTGGGCTGGGAGACTAGAGACCCAGGGTAAAGTTGATTTTACAGCTGGTGTCTGAAGGCAGTCCAGGGTTAGAATTCTCTCTTCCTCAGGAGACCACAATCTTTTTTTCAGTTAAGATCGTCTACTGATTAAATGAGCCCCACCCACATTATGGAGGGTAATCTACTTTACTCAATGTCTACAGATTTAAATGTTACTCTCGTCTAGTAAGTATTCTGCATAGCAACATCTACACTGGTATTTGACCAAAAATCTGAGTAGCATAGCCTAGTCAAGTTGGCAGATAAAATCAACCTTCACATTGGTTTAGTTCCAGTTCACCAGTATGCATGATGGGTGTGTCTACCTCATCTCAGCTTAAAGGTTTTTTAAGATACCAAGCCTTGGGTGTCCCTGTACTGTATTTTTTGTCACCTCAACTCTTTGATAAAATTTCAGATCATGGTTATACTATAAATTGTCTTTTATTTAGATAGAACCACATGCAGAACATTAATAAGCCTTTTTTTCTTAAATCATGAGAGCAAAAACTGTAGAAAAGTCTTGCTTTTGTTGCTGTTGATAATATTGTTTGTATTTGTTTTCATCATAGACCTTGAAAAATTTTGCTATTTGAAACTATATGAAAACTATACTGTGGGGAAAACCAGTCTGGAATTAGGACAGATTACAATGTTGAAGCATTCCTACTTAGAATCAACGTCTGCTAGAGCCAGTTGAATCCTATGAACTGAGTGTAATGCTCACGAACTGTTGAGAAATATTGTTGGTTCAAATCTAGGACTCTTGCCCAGCAAGTTTTCTGAGTTCAGGTTTTATTTTTGAATTGGCCTTATAATCTTATCAATACCAGTCTGTCTCTCAAAAGAAAAAAAAAAAGCAGCCTTTCAGTCACCTCTAGGATTCGAACAACCACTAATTTGTTCTTCATCACTATTATTTTGTCATTTTGATAATGTTAAATAAATGAAATCATATAGTATATAACATTTTGAAGTTGGCTTTTATTCACTCAGCATATTGCCCTTGAGATCCATGTAGGTTATTTCTTATATCAATATATTTTAGATTTTTTTCTCTTTTTATTGTTGAGTGGTCCATGGAATGGATGTATGATAGTTTGTTTAACCATGTACCTATTTAGGACATTTTGATATTTCCAGTTTGGGGCACCTACAAATAAAGCTGCTATGAACAACAATGTATAGGTTTTTGTGTGTACCTGTTTTTATTTGTCTGGAATAGATACACCGAGGTATGATTGTGATATTGTATGATAAATGCATGTTTACTTTTTTTTTAAAAAAACTGCCAAGCTATTTTGCCATGGGTGTACCATGTTACATCCCAACAGCAATGCATGAGAAATCTGGCTTCTCCACATCCTCGCAGCTTTTCCTATTGTAACTAGTTTTTATTTTATCTCTTCTAATAGGTTTGTAGTGGTTCTTAATTGTGATTTTCATTTGCATTTCCCTAATGACTAGTAATGTTGAACATCTTTTTTCTGTGCTTTTTTATAATCCATGTATCCTTGTCAGTGAAGTGTCTCTTTGTTTTGCCATTTTCTAATTGGATTGTTATTTTTTCTTACTGTTCAGTTTTGAAATTTTTTTTGATATATATTATAGCTCTGAGTCCTCTTTCAGATATGTGGTTGTAAATATATTCATCCAGTCTGTAACTTTTCTTTTCATCTTCTTAACAATATCTTTCATAAAGCAGAGGTTTTAAATTTCAGTGAAGTCTAGTTTACTTTTTTTTCCTTTTATGAATTATGCTTTTGGTATCATATCTAAAAAGTTTCACTAGGCACTAGTTTCTGAAGATTTTCTATGATTTTTTTTTCTAAAGGTTTTTATAGTTTTCTGTTTAAATCTATGATTCATTTTGAGTCAAATTTTTTACAAGATATGAAGTTCAGGTAAAGTTGCTTTTTATTTATTTATTTTGACTATGGATATTCAATTGCTCCAACACCATTTTAGCACCATTTCTTTTGAAATGGCCATATTTCCTCCATTGAATTGCTTTTGCATCTTTGTCAAAAGTTAGTTATGTAGGGCTATTTCTAGGTTCTCTATTCTGTTCAATTAATCTATGTGTCTATCCCTCCACCATTCCTGGTTATTTTAACTATATATAAGTCTTCAAATGAGGCAGTATAGTTCCTCCCACTTTACTCTTTAATCAAAATTATTTTAGATCTTCAAGTTCCTTTGTATCTCTATATACATACAGTTAGAATAAGTTTGTGTATGTCTAAAATATTGCTAGGATTTTGATAGGAATTTTGTTCAAAATATATATCAATTTTGGGATAATTGGGATAATATTTATTGAGACTTTCAATCCATGAGCATGGCACGTTTCCTATTTACTTTGGACTTCTTTAATTTCTTGAAACAACATTGTATAGTTTTCAACATACACGTTTAAGTTTTATAAGATTTATACCTATTTCAATTTTTTAACCATTCCTAATATATGGAAATAGAATAGCTTGTTATATGTTACTCTTGAATTGTCTTAACTAAAATCATTTATTCTATGTTAACTTTTATATTTCTTGAGATTTTTGACATATATCATTGTTTCATATATGCGTAAGATTAGTATTCAGTTTTATTTTTTCCTATTCAGTTGATACATCTTTTATTTCCTCATTTCTTTTTTTTAAAATTTATATGGCTTTATTGTATGGCTAGAACTTCTGGTACTATGTTGGATAGCTGTAGTGAGTATAGCCACCCTTGCTTTTTTTTTCCTGATCTTCAAGGAAAAGCATTCCATCTTTCATCATTAATTATGGTATTAGCTGTGGAGGTTTTGTTGTTGTGGTGGTGGTGGTTGTTGTTTTGTAAGTGTTCTTTATAAAATTGAGTAACTTCTCCTGTATTCTTAGTTTTCTGAAAACTTTGTTTTGAAGATCACGAATGGTGTTAAATTTTCTTAAATGCTTTTTCTGCATCAGTTGATATTGTGATTTTTTTTATTTTGTAGTCTGTTACTATGAAGGATTACATTGACTGATTGTGGAATACTGACTCAGCCATTTTTTAGTTGTTCTATCAATTTTTATCAGAGGAATGTTGTAGTTTCTAACTATGATTTTAGATCCATCTATTTTCCCTTTTAATTCTATCAGGTTTGGTTCACACATGTTGCAGCTCTGTGGTTTGGTGATGTACATTTGGGATTGCTATACTTTCCTAATAGATTGACTCCTTTCTCCTTAAGTAATGGTATTTTCAGCCCCTAGCAATTTTCTCTGAAGTGTAAGATATCTAATGTGATTGGAGCCTCATCTGCTTTCATTTGATTCCTGTTTGCAATGGTATATATTTCTCTGTTTTTTTAATAATTTCTCAACCTACCTATATTATTAAATTTGAAGTGAGTTTTTTGTAGCCCTCATACACCTGGGTGATATTTTCAATCTACTCTATCAAATGTACATTGTTTAATTGGCAAATTTCATTTACTTATTGATGTGTTGGAGATTAATTCTACCATTTTAATTTTTTGTTTTCTGTTTGTTCTCCTTGTTTTATTTTTCTTCTCTGTTTTCTGTTTTCCTGCCTTCCAGTGGGTTATTTGAACATTTTTAATAATTGTATTTTGATTTATTTTAGCATTTTTTAGTGTATCTCTTTGTATAGGATTTTTAGTGGTTATTCTAGGTGTTATATGCACCAACTTGTCACAGTCTACTAGTGTCAACACCTTACCTTATGAGCTAAGTGTAGAAATATCACTACCCTTTGTATCTCTTTTGCTTCCCAATTTTATAATTGGTTTCAGCATTTCTTCTGCATACACTGAGAATCACATCAGACAGCATTATACATTTTCCTTCAACCGTAAAAAATAATTTAGCACACTCAAGTCTAGGATAGTTTATTCTATTTACCTATACCTTTACTCTTTCTGTCTTCTTTGTTCTTTACTCACTGAAATAAAGTTTCTATGTTTCTCTGAGAATTCCTTGATTTTTTTTTAATTCCTGAACTGTATTTTTGCTCAATACAGTATCTTTAGTTGACAGTTCTTTGCTTTTAGTGCTTGAAAAACATGCAACATCTTTTTGAACTTTATAGTTTCTGATAACTCTTGACATTCAAAAGATTTTCCCCTGTAGATTGTTTCATTTCTCATGTGCTACTTTCTATTATTTTTTTTCTGTCTTGAGTGTTCAAAAGTTTTACTGGTTTTTCTCTACTATGAATTTCTTTAGGTTCAACCTGTTCTGGGTTTGCTAAACTTTTTTTTTTTTTTTTTTTTTGAGATGGAGTTTTGCTCTTGTTGCCCGGGCTGGAGTGCAATGGTGCTGCGATCTCGGCTCACCGCAACCTCTCACCTCCCGGATTCAAGCGATTCTTCTTCCTCAGCCTCCCAAGTAGCTGGGAATACAGGCATGTGCCACCATGCCCAGCTAATTTTGTATTTTTAGTAGAGACGGGGTTTCTCCTTGTTGGTCAGGCTGGTCTCGAACTCCTGACCTCTGGTGATTCACCTACGTCTGCCTCCCTGAGTGCTGGGATTACAGGTGTGAGCCACCACGCCCAGCCTAAACTTCTTGAATCTGTAGATTTATGTCTTATAGTAAATTTTTGGATATTGTTTGTCATTTTTTCAAATACTGTTTCAATTGCACCCTCATTTTCTTTGTTTTTGAAACTCTGATGACACAAATGTTAGATCTTTTGTTATAGTCTCACATGTCCCTGAGGATTTATTTTATTTTAGTCTACTTTCTCTTTGTGGTTCACCCTAGGTAATTTCTGTTCTTCTGTCTTCAGATTTACTGTTTGTTTATTCTGTCTACTGTTGAGCCCATTCATTGCATTCTAAATTATGGTTATTTTTCTGTTCTAAAATTTCTTTTTTTTTTTTTTGCATCTTTCATTTTTTAGCTAAGACTCTTTTTCTTTGCTGAGTCTCTTTGTCCACAATATTTTTTTCATTTCTTTTGAACAAATTTATTTATTGTTTTTTAAAGCCTTTTTATAATACCTGCTGTAAAATCCTTGTTTGATAATTCTAATATCTGTGTAATTTTGATGTTGGCATCCATCTTTTAATCTTTTTTGCAAGTAGAAATGTTTTTGGTTCTTAATATAGTAAATAATTTTTATTGAAAACTGGATATTTGGGTATTATGAGACTCCAGAAGTTATTTAAATCATCTGTTTTAGCAGTCTTCCTCTGGTATCTTTCCAGGGATGGGGTGGGGCTGCTAATATTTTTTGTGGTATTTGACTGAAGTAGATCAATTATTGTCTAAAAGCTTTTTATCTTTCTAGGTTGTCCCTTTATTAGTATTTGTTAGAGCATCCTTTTGTTTTGGACTTTTAAATCTATACTGTTGCAGTTTCTAAGTTACCAGCTTCTTTAGCACCTAGTCTGGAATACATGAGGCAAAAAGGAAACCCCAGGAACTCACCGTTATATTTTCTCAGGTCCTCAGGTTCCTAACCAGTCTGTCTTCTACCTTTCAAAGTCATCCTACATGTGTTTTATATATTATTTCAGTGTTTGTAGTGTACTTAGTGGAAAGAATAAGGAAGCATACATCTAATCCATCCTTCCAAATTCATACCCCTCTTTAATAGTATTTAAATTATAAATTTATTTTTTTCTAGTATGCTCAACCCAGGCTTTCATCTCTCTATCTGAGACTGTTACTTCAGCTGAGCTTGTTCATTATCATTATATAATACAATGTAAGTGATGTCTACAAAGGAAACATAACAATTAAAGGATGAAAATTTTGTGTGTGTTCACTTAATCACAGAACTCTGACTAAGGATTTAAAAACACCCAGGCTGTCTATCAATCTATGTATTTTTATGTTTCTGTCACCACTGATGATTGTCTGTGTCGATCAGAAAAACTTTGTGGCAATATACGTAAATTGTGAAGATGGCCACCTTTAGTGGAAAGACCTCATGGTTAGAAATTAATGAAAAGTAAAATTTTTCATGAATGTAGTTGAAGTTTAAACTAGCAATTTTAGGTTAAATAATAGTCAAAACTGGAAAGAAAGTTGAAATAAATAGCACGAGACCTCAATTCTTGTCAAGTTTTAGCCAGTAAATGGTAAAAAACCAAAGACAAATCTGTTTCTTTGGATTCTATTTTAGCTCTTGCAAGATAAAGGGATGGAAATAATATGTAATCTCTAAAGCTCCTTTCTGAATAATTGGATGGAATATGTATATTTAGTGGTTTAATTGTATGAAATACTGCTTCTTGATCATGGGACATCTCAGTCCTTATCATAAGAGGAGATTTAATTTTGTGTACTCAGTGCTTACTCTCCATCTCTCAATTCCTCTGGATATGATTGGATGAGCTAGCCCAACAATTGGTTCAGTTTTCTTGTTATTATTATTATTGATAAAATAAGATATAATTAAGCATGACACCTAAATTCAGTTTTTTTTTTTCCTAGAGATTATGGGTGAAATGTATTTGGACCACAAGTTAGGGATTTGCACTCATGGATAAATAATAACAAAGTATCAAACTAAATATAAAAGATTAATTAGAATGTTTAGATGTAATTTTGGTAGAAAAGTAAATATTTTTATTGTATACTGGTACATATTATTTCCTGGCATTAGCATACAAATGCTTCTGCAGGTGTGCATGCACACACACACGTACACACCGCCCCACACATTTTTACATGTATTAAAATATATTTAAGACACTGGCATTAGGTTTAAAAAATACTTGAATGGAACATGTTCCAGTATTCTATAATTGGGACAAGTCTGCAGTCTAAAGAATATTTGCCCAGCCCCTACAATTTCTACATGAGGCATGTAAATGGTTAGGTCTTAGAACAAACAAAATTATGCTCTTTTGCAATCATTGTAATCTAGGAGTTGCATTTACATGGATCTGTCAGTTTTAATTGGATTTATAAGGTAAGGTTTATCTGTGATCATTTATGGGTGATCTAATTTTCCATTACTCAAAGAGCAAATCCAGATGCTATCAGAAACTCTTAATGATTTTATTCCTGTCTCCTCTGAGAAAGGAGAGGATTGTGGCGAGACAATAGCAAATTTTAAATATTTTTATTAGCTTATTTTTTCCAAATGTTTTTTTCTGTTGGCCATATCAACATTCAGAAACTAACTTCGGCATTCCCAAATGACTCACTTATCTTGATTATTCATGTATAATGGTGGTGTTATTTTTCAGTGTGGGATCAAATGGCTTTTCAAAAGTGAACTCAGCTTATTTCATTATGACCGATTTTCTGATGTTCCATACAATTTTCACTGTAGAATGAAAGCAGCAGCATGAAAGTAATAACGGATTAATATTTAATATAATAATTTCTCAAATGATTGTTATTTATATTTATTATGATTCCACCTCAAACATGAATTTATTTCAAAAATAGTTTGTTCTAGAGGATTCAGGATTTTTCTAAATTATCTTGTGACCTGGGACACACTGTCAAGTTTTAGAAGAGATTAAGAGAACTAAATACATACGCCAAGTCACGATTTAAGGCAAAACAGATAAAATGTGTAAAAAAAAAAAATCAGATCCGCCCCAAACATTCACTGAGAACTTATGTGCCAAAAAATTATTTTATTAACTCATTTTATGTAATAGTATTTATTTGTATATTACATTTTATTTTGGAAAATAGAGGTAACATGTTTATTTAAATATATTTACCTGTAATTACATAACTCTAATGTAAAGGATTATATTATAAAGCAGTTTAATCAACTTTTTTGTTTTAACAATATTCTAAGCCTGTGTTAGTTTATTCTCACTCTGCTGATAAAGACATACCCCTGGGCAATTTACAAAAGAAAGAGGTTTAATTGGACTTAGTTCCATGTTGCTGGGAAAGCCTCACAATAGTGGTGGAAGGCAAGGAGAAGCAAGTCACATCTTACTTGGATGGTAACGGGGCAAAAAGAGAGCTTGTTAGCGCAACTCCCATGTTTTAAAACCATCAGATCTTGTGAGACCCATTTACTATCACAAAAAGAGCACGGGAAAGACCTGCCCCCATAACTCAATCATCTCCCACTGGGTTCCTCCCACAACATGTGGGAATTACAGGAGCTACAAGATGAGATTTGGGTGGGAACACAGAGCCAAACCATATCAAAACCCTATTATTTTTCCCTTTTTCTAGCTAAGGATAATACCTTCATCATTATTTGATTTTTCATCAGTAAGACCCTTACTATATCTCAAAATTAGTATTCTAAGTATTGTTTAAAACTGTTTTTATTGAGTGTATGTTAAGCCCTGAGTCTGTTTTTTTCTTCAGAAAAATAAGTACTTAATAAAGCCCTGTTTGTTCTTTGCCATTTGTAGGCTAAAATTAATTGAAATTTTTTTAACTATATAACTGCACTGGTCTTAACAGTTCTTCTTGCTTACCTACCACTTAGTCTTCCAGTGTAATATTTTCAGACCACAATATTTTCATGTTTCCCCTCTAAAACTTTTCTATGGCTTCATATTATACTGTGAAGAATACCCCAAATCCTTAACATAGTTTGTTGACTACAGGATCTGGTTTCTCTCCTACTTAGCAACCTCTTCATAGTGGTTCATGTGTTAGTTTGCTAACACTGCTGTAACAAAGTACTACAGACTAGGGATTTAAACAACAGAAATTTATTTTTTCATAATTTTGTCAGCTGGAAGTCCAAGATCAATGTGCTTACAGGTTTGGTTTCTCCTGAGGCCTCTTCCTTCGGCTTTCAGATGGCCACTTTCTCACTGTGTCTGCACATGGTCTTTCCTCTGTGAAGGTATCCCTGGTTTCTTTTTTGCTCTTATAAGGACACCTGTTATATTGAATTGGATACCTACTTTTATGATTCAGTTTAACCTTACCTCTTTATTGTTCCTATCTGCAAATACAGTCACTTTGCCGGTGAGGGGTTCAACATAGAAATTTGGGGTAGACAAAATATAGTTAATACTAGTCCATCCTCCATGAAATCTCTGTTTTTGCTTGCTGTTTTATCCCCAGGATCTGTCATCATACCTACATATAGCAGAAGCTCAAGAAATATTTGTTGAAAGAATTAAAGAATTAGTGAACCGGCTGGGTGTAGTGGCTCATGCCGGTAATCCCAGCACTTTGGGAGGCCAAGGTGGGTGGATCATTGGAAGTCAGGAGTTTGAGACGAGTCTGGCCAACTTGGTGAAACCCCATCACTACTAAAAATACAAAAATTAGCCAGACGCGGTAGGGGGCGCCTGTAATCTCAGCTGCTTGGGAGGCTCAGGCAGGAGAATCACTTGAATCTGGGAAGTGGAGGTTGCGGTGAGCAGAGATTGCACCACTGTGCGACAGAGTGAGACTCCATGTCAAATAATAATAATAATAATAATAGTAATAAGTCAACCTAAATATTCGTCATGTAATATGCATGCTTAAGCACTCTACAAGACTTCAGAAATAGAGATTAATAAGATAAGGAACCTATTTTCACGGAGCTAAAATAGGCACACACATACAGACACACTCATACCCCTAAATAAAATAGTATATAAAGTTATACTCTTTAGTTCTTTGGTTCAGATTTTTTTACCTTTAAGATGGTGATATGTTTATATTTAGAGGAGGTGCCCCATACATACAAAGAATTGAACATAAACAGTGACTGCCCATTGAGAATAATTCTGTAAAGACTACACTCCCACTCCAGTTTCTGTGCAGTATGCCTTTGGCAGCTGTTCCAGTTTTGACCCAGGCTGACTTAGAAAGTGTAACTGCCTCATTCATTCTTGTCTTTTTGTAGGAGTTTACTGCAATGGTGACAGAAATGAAGTGCTATGGCACACAGAGGAATTTGCAA
The DNA here is from genome assembly GCF_000001405.40 of Homo sapiens. NCBI lineage: Eukaryota > Metazoa > Chordata > Mammalia > Primates > Hominidae > Homo > Homo sapiens. Next base: position 72,299,578 of record NC_000001.11, read on the forward strand.
TTAACAGTCTTCACATTAGAGAAAACATTTGAGCTCTGTGTTAAAGAATATGTAGAATATATCAGTAAGAAGAGCATAAGGAGGTCTTCTAAAAAGAAGAAACAGGCCAGGCGCGGTGGCTCACACCTGTATTCCCAGCACTTTGGGAGGCTGTGGCGGGCAGATCACGAGATCAGATCAAGACCATTCTGGCTAACACAGTGAAACCCCGTCTCTACTAAAAATACAAAAAAATTAGCCGGGCATGGTGGCGGGTGCCTATAGTCCCAGCTACTCGGGAGGCTGAGGCAGGAGAATGGTGTGAACCCGGGAGACAGAGCTTGCAGTGAGCCGAGATCATGGCACTGCACTAAAGCCTGGGTGACAGAGCAAGACTCCGTCTCAGAAAAAAAAAAAAAAAAAAAAACAGCATGATAAAAAATGAGCCTAGGAATATGAGCCTTTCTAGGCAGCTTTGTTAGGCTTGACTACATAATGAGTGCTGAAATAAGTGATACACACTAATGCACAAAAAAATTAGTTTGGGAAAGATTGGGAAAATTCATAAATGTTTTCTGAATAAATTGTAACTTACATATTGTAAGTCTGGGAATATCATGATCACCTTTGTGTTTTAGAAATGTAATATGGCCACAATATGAAAGACAGACTAGAATGAAAGGAATGGTGGAAAAGGAAATGAGGGGATTGATGCAGTTAATCCGTATTTTTAACTGAAAAGAGCTATATGGTAGTTTTGTACATAGGTTATAGTATATAGCCTTGAATATTCTAACTGAAACCATAAACTGATTCCTGTATTTATAAGCTGCCATTATGTGATATGATAACGTTTACTGGCCAATATTTTCATTAAAACTATTTGGTAGTGCTAGCCAAAGACAGTCAACAAATACTAGTCTAGAAAGATATTTCTCTTTGGATAAATATGTGAGGGAGACAATATAAAACAAAAGTTCACATGGAACATACATTAATAAAATACTGCAGAAGCAAAAAAAAGTGAATCATTCAAAAATGAAAAGGGTACAAGACAAAAATAAAAGTTAAAGAAAAACCAAATGCAATAGTAGAATTAAAATTCATATTCTAAATATTAAAACATAAAAACATACAAGTAGTATTGACATTTCAGCAAATTGGATAAGTGATATGGAGGAAAAACATGAAGAAATATCCAGATACCTGAGGGAAAAAAATGTGATGTATAATAAGTATTAAATGTGTATGATAAATTTGACACAACAAGTAAATAAGAAAAGGAAAGGTTTTTTAAAAAGTAGTAATGAGAAAATGTGTTAACTACTTGGAGAAAATTAGCATTAGACCCTCATCTGATATCATGCTCTAGAGGAAACTAAAGTCGGCCAGGAAAATGGGAGAGGGTAATATTTTACTGATCTCAGGATGGGGGATTACATTAAAGTATACATAATATAAAATATCAAAAGAGAAAAAAATGAAAAATTTAAGGCCATGTTCAATTTTGTAATTCATAATGTACCATATACATTTTTAAAACATGAAAAACCATGAATAGTTTTATATATATAATATTGTAATAAACTTAATGATAGCCTCTCACTTCTAATATTACATAATTTAATCCTCACACACAACCCTATTAGGTAGGTACTGTAGTTAGCCCCATGGCACAGGAGGAAGAAACTGGGGCACAGATTGGGTCAATAACTTCAGGTCGCAAGAATGCCAAGTGTATAACTGGAATCTGAAATAAGGTAATCTTTCAATCCTGCATTTTCATCCTCTCCACAATTCTGTCTCTGTAATTTCTGTGTGAGCTAAGATTTGGCTAAAATTACAGAAAACAACTAGTGAAAGATTTAAAAGAAAAAGGTAGGGTATTTCTTCCTTTCCAACTTGGACCCGGCAGAATGGCTCCCACAAAGAAGGGTGGCAGGAAGAAAAAAGGGCCATTCTGCCATCAACGAGGTGGTGACCTGAGAATACACCATCAACATTCACAAGCACATCTATGGAATGGGCTTCAAGAAGCATGCCCCTCAAGCACTCAAAGAGATTTGGAAATTTGCCATGAAGGAGATGAGAACTCCAGATGTGTGCCTTGTCTGGGCCCGAGGAATAAGGAATGTCTCACACCGAATCTGTGTGCAGTTGTCCATAAAATGTAATGAGAATGAAGATTCACCAAATAAGCTCTATACTTTGGTTACCTATGTACCTGTTACCACTTTCAAAAATCTACAGACAGTCAATGTGGATAAAAACTAATCACTGATTGTCAAATACATCAAATAAAGTTATAAAATTGCAAAAAAAAAAAAAAAGAAGAAGAAAAAGAAAAAGGTGGGGTATTATGTGGGCATTGGGTTATTCTTTTCAACTCTTCCTCCTCCAGCATTTTCAGTTCCGTGCTGTTACATATGATATCATTAGATCTGTTCCTACAAAGTTCTATCTTAGAACACACATACACACAACATTCCCTAATCCAGAAATCAAAGGAAAACTTAGATGTACAAAGCCAGTTTTCTTAGAAGTAAAGGGAAATTATAAATCTTTCTATCTGTCCATCTATCTTCCCTTTTTTTTCTCTTTCCCTCTTCTCCTCCTCCTCCTCTCTCTTCATCATTGTCACCACCACCATTTATATATCTATGTCTTATATACGTAGCATATCTTTGGTATTCCAAAATAATAGTAAATCTTATCTTTCAGTGATGGGGTTAGATTTTTTTTTTTTTACTTTTTAACTTGTGGTATTCAGTATTTTCCAACTGTTCCATAACAAATGAGAATTTCCTTAATTTTTAGATGTTTCACATATTTTTTGATACTGTTTGAATGTGTGTCTTGCCCAAATCTCATATTGAAATGTAATCTCCAGTGTTGGGGTTGGGGCCCGATGGAATTGATTGGACCACTGGGGTGGTCTTCTCATGAATGGTTTAGCACCATCCCACTTGGTACTCTCCTCATGATTGTGAGTGACTTTTCATGAGATGTGATGTGGACATTTAAAAGTGTATAGCACCCAAGTGCCTCCCCCCTCTCTTTCTTGCTCCTTCTCTGGGCATGTGATGTACCTGCTTCACCTTCACCTTCCACCATGATTGTAAGTTTCCTGAGGCCGCCCCATAAGCCCACCAGATGCCAGCATCATGCCTCCTGTACAATCTGCATAACCATGAGCCAATTAAACCTCTTTTCTGTATAAATTACCCAGTCTCAGGTGTTTCTTTATGGCAGTGCGAGAATGGACATTTAAAAAATTTAAATAAGGCCAGGCACAGTGGCCCACGCCTGTAATCCCAGCACTTTGGGAGGCTGAGGCAGGCGGATCACAGGGTCAGGAGATCAAGACCATCCTGGCTAACAAGGTGAAACACCGTCTCTACTAAAAATACAAAAAATTAGCCGGGCGTGGTGGTGGGCGCCTGTAGTTCCAGCTACCCGGGAGGCTGAAGCAGGAGAATGGCGTGAACCCAGGGGGCGGAGCTTGCAGTGAGCCGAGGTGGCGCCACTGCACTCCAGCCTGGGCGACGGAGCAAGACTCTGTCTCAAAAAAAAATAAAAAATTAAAATGATTATGATTCAACATGGCATCAACATGCCATGGTCAAACAAAAATGCTAATGATGATTCAGTAACAGTTAAATGTTTGCCACACTGAAACCTAAAGCTGACAATCTGATATGAACCTCTGAAAGGTACCTCTAAAATTATAAGATATATAAGTCTGAATTAAAAATAAACAACGAAATTCCTGGGTTCTGTCTCCTGAAATAAGACATTTAAAAAAAAATGATGACACATCTGTTTCCCTTTGAAAACCATGGATCTTAGAAATTTACATCTATATTAACCAGAAAGATAGATAGCAACCTCGCTACTTAGTGAGTTCTCATTTTTAACGATCTTTTAAAAAATCATTTTAATCATAAAAATGTCATCATAGTAAAATAAAAGCCAGGAAAAACTCCTATAATTCACTTATCATCTGATGACATTTTAGTCTATATCCTTTCAGTGTTTTCTCTAGGCATGTTTGTGTTTATTAGTTATCAAGTGTGTAAAGTAAAAATAGACATTTATACTTGTTTGGTTTCTGTGGGTCAGGGATTTGAAAGTGGCTTGGCTGGATATTTTTGATTAAACTCTCTAATGAGTTTACCATCAGATGTTGACTGGAATTTTAGTCATTTAAAGGCTTTCCTGAGGTGGGAAAAATCATTGCCTAGGTAGTCAATCATGTGGCTGTCAGGTTGGTACTGGCTGTTGGTGGGAAGCCTCAGTTCTTTTCCATAAGGGCCTCTTTGGTTGGTTAGCTGAGTAGTCACCTATCTTTATGACTATTCCCTCAGCAAGCAATCTATGAGAACTAGAAGTGGGTATTTTTATGACCTAGCCCTGGAAATCATGTGCCATAAATCTACCGTATACAAATGGTTGTATCTGTGAGACAACATGGAAGGGCAGTACACAAATATGTGAATAACAGGAGTCAAGTTTATTCTGAGTGCCATATTGGGGGTTGGCTCCTACAGGTATGTGTTAAAATGAATACGTTTTGGATTTACAAGTATAGTTTTTAATTTTTTTTCTTTTTTCTTTTTTTGTTTTTGAGATGGGGTCTCGCTTTGTTGCCCAGCAGGCTGGAGTGCAATGGCGCGATCTAGGTTCACTGCAACCTCCTCTTCCTGAGTTCAAGCAATTCTTCTGCCTCAGCCTCCAAAGAAGCTGGGATTACAGATGCCCACCACCACGCCCAGCTAGTTTTTTTGTGTGTGTATGTGTATTTTTTTTTTTTTAGTAGAGACAGATTTTGGCTGTGTTGGCCAGGCTGGTCTCAAACTCCTGACCTCAGGTGATCCGCCTGCCTCGGCCTCCCAAAGTGCTGGGATTACAGGTGTGAGACTCCGCGCCTGGCCAGTTTTAAATATTTTAATTTCTTTTTTTAATTTAGTCGACTTTTCAAGTCATTAATAAACTTTGAAACATTGTGTTTAATTTCAAAATAATGTTTCATTATATAGCTATGTGCAACTGTATAGCCATAATTTATTTAACCTATATCCTCTTATTGGAACAATGAGGTTCTTTTGTTTGTTATCATTTTAAAACAACTGATGAGAAAATATAGTGCTAAATTTTTAGACAGAAAATAATTAATATATAAGTTTGAACTGGGTCCAATGATACAAGTCTGAATGATAAACGTTATATTGCCTGCTGTTCGCATAAAAAGTTATTTCAATTTACTTTCCCCTTATTTGAGTTATTATTTTTTTCCAATTTGATAATCAAAGCATAGTTTCTTATTTTTGTTTTAATTAATATTTCTTTGCTTGTTAATTCTTATGTTTTGGCTCTATTGAGGTGTAATTGACAAATAGAAATTGTATAGATTTAAGGTGCAAACATGATTATTTCATATATATAGTGAAATTATTATTACAATTAAGCTAATTAAACATTGATCATCTCACATAGTTACCATTTTAAATATTTTTTATGATGAGAACACTGAATATCTATCTTATTAATTTTAAAGTATTCAATACCGTATTATTAATTATAGTTACTATGAGCTACATTAGATCCTCAGAACATGTTCCTCTTATAACTCATGACCAACATCTCCCCAATTACCCCACTCCCAGTTTCTGAAAACCATTTTACTCCCTACTTCTATGAATTCAACATTTTTAGACTCTACATATACGTGAGATCATATATTTGTCTTTCTCTGTCTGGATTATTTCATTTAGCATAATAGCATAATGTCCTCTAGGGCCATCAGTGTTGTCACAAATAACAAGATTTCCCCTTTTTAATGCTGAATAGTATTTCATTATGTATACATACCACAATTTCTTTTTTCATGTATCTGTTGATCACTAAGGTTGTTTCTATGTTTTGGCAATTGTGAATAATTCTACAATGAAGATAGGGGGTGCAATTATCTCTTTGAGATACTGATTTTATTTCTTATAGATATATACCCAGAAGTGGGATTGCTGGATCATATGATTGTTCTATTATTTGAGAAACCACTGTATTGTTTTTCAAAATAGCTATATTAATTTACATTTCTACCAGTGATGTACAAGGATTCTTTTTTCTCCATGCCATTGCCAACCCATGTTGTCTCTTGTCCTTTTGATAATAGCCATCCTAACAGGTATGAAGTGATATTTCATTGTGGTTTTGATTTGCATTTCCCTGATAATTAGTAATGTTGACCACCTTTCAGTGAAGCTGAGCAACTGTTCATATACCTTTTGGTCATTTCAGTGTCTTATCTTTGAAAAAGTATCTATTCAGATCACATGCCCAATTTTTAAATTATGTTATCTATCTATGTACCTGTGTATGTGTGTATGTATGTATCTATTTTCTATCATCTATTTATTGAATTATATGAGAATTTTTGTGCAGAGTTTAATGGTACTGCTTTATTCATTTACATGTGAATATCAAGTTCTCTCAACACTGTTATGAAATTATCCTTTCTCCATTTTGTATTCTTACCAACCTTGAAAAAGATTATTTGACCATATATCCGTGAGCGTCTTTCTGGACTCTATTCTCTTCCATTGGTCTGTTTATCTGTTTTTATGCCAGTACCATACTGTTTTGATTACTGTATTTTTGTTATAGTTTGTCATCAGGAAGTATGATGCTTCTAGCTTTGTTTTCCTTTCTAAAGATTGATTTGGATAGTCTTAGTCTCGTGTGGTTCCAATATGAATTTTAAGATTTCTTTCTATTTCTGCAAATAATGCCATTGAGATTTTGATAGGGATTGAATCTGTAGATAGCTTTGGGTAGAATGGACATTTTAGCAATATTAACACTTCCAAACCTTGAAAATGGGATATCTTCTCATTTATTTAGATCTTCTTTCATTTCTTTTATCAGTGCTTTACAGTTTACAGTATAGAGATCTTTCACTTCCTTAATTAAATTTATTGTTATTTTATTCTTTCGGATGCTATTATGAATGGGATTGCTTTCTTAATTCTTTTTGGATAGTTATTGTTAGGGTATGGAAATACAGGTGATTTTTCTATGTTTACTTAGCATTTTGCAAATTTACTAAATGCATTTATTAATTCTAACAGTTTTTTGGTGGTGTGCTTAGGGACTTCAATGTATAAGACTATGTAATCTGCTAAGAAAGACAATTTTACTTTTTATTTTCCAATTTGGATATGTTTTGTTTTTCTTGCTCAATTTCCCTGACTAGGGCTTCCAGTACTGTGTAGAATAGAAGTATTGAGGGTAGCATTCCTGTTTTGTATCTGATCTCAGAGAAAACACTTTTGACTTTTTACCATTGAGTGTTATGTTAGCTGTGTGCTTGTTATATTCTGCCTTTATTATAATGAGATACATTCCTTCCTTACCTAATTCATTGAGAGGTTTTTTTGTTGTTGTTGTTGTTTAATTATAAAAGGATACTAAATGTTGTCAAATATTTTTCTGTTCTGCTGAGATTTTCCTGTGTTTTTTATTCTTCATTCTGTTAATGCAGCATGTCACATTTGCTGATTTGTAGATGTTAAACCATCCTTGCATCCCACATATAAATCTCACTTGGTCATGATGTATCATTCTTTTAATGTGCTGTTGAATTCTGTTTGCTAGTATTTTTTTTTAAGATGTTTGCATGTATATTCTTCTGAGATATTGACCTGTAATTTTCTTTTCTTTGAGTGTCCTTATCTGGCTCTAGTATGAGAGTAATGCTGGCTGGGTAAAATAAGTTTGGAAGTGTCCCCACCTCTTCAAATTTTTGGAAGAATTTGAGAACTATTGGCATTAATTCACTTCTAAATGCCTGGTAGAATTCATCCGTGAAACCATCAGTTCTGTTTGTTTTTAACATGATTTTTGTTGGGATCCTAACTGATTTTCAGGTTGGTTCAGCTTTTTTATTTTTTTCGTGATTCAGTCTTGGTAGGTTGTATGTTTATGGGAAATTATCCATTTCTTCTAGGTTATCCAATTTGTGGTTTTTCATTGTTCACAGTAGTCTCATTATTTTTTATTACTAATTCTGCTAAAATTTATTCATAAGATTATTGATGATTCATCTTTTGGAAATTGCATAATACATACACATACTTATAGATATATATTGATTTTCTTTTCTGTCTCACATTTTTCTTCAAGGATTCTTAGAGCACATTACATGTTAATACTGTAAATCTTTTTTATTAGACTTTACATTAACAACTTAGAATTACACAACTATTGAGAAGATAATAGTTTTCTTTAGGTTAACCCCTTATATTAGTATAGTACATTTGTTACAATTAAAGAACCACTATTAATATGCTATCTGCAAATAAAGTCTACACTTAATTCTGATTTTCTTAGTTTTTATCCAGTGTACTTTTTCTGTTTCAGGACTCCATCTAGGATACTATATCACCTTTAGTTGTCATTTCCTTAGACTCATCTTGGCTGTGATAGTTTTTCAGATTTCCTTGTTCTTGATGACCTTGCCAGTTTTAAGAAGTACTGAGCTAGTATTTTGTAGAATGTCCCTCAGGTGAGTTTTGTCTGATGTCTGTTTTATAGTTAGACTGGGATTATGGGTTTTTCGAAAAAAACCTCAGAGATAAACTATCATTTTTATCACATTGTGTCAAGGGTGCCTACTATCAAAATGATTTATCACTGCTGATGTTGACCTTGATCACCTGACAAAAGTGCTACTTCTCAGGACTCTCCAGTATAATGTTTTATATATAGATATAGATATAGATATAGATATATGTAATCTTTTAAACTTGGTGCAACCCACACATAAAGAATAGGGAATTATGCTCCCTTTCTTTGTGGGTGAAATATTTACATAAAACATTTGAAGTCCTTCTGCATTAAAGATTTAATTCATCTCTCATTTATTTTCTTATTTAATCATTATGTTATTTTGGGTACATTGATATTTATTTTATACTTTGGGTTATAATCCAATATCATTTTGTCTTATTGCTAAAATTCTTTGAGCTTTGGCCATTGGGAACTCTTTCAGGGGATCCTTTTGACATAACCCCATCACTCAAGGGTTTCTGTTTTTGTGCTTTTGAAACCTCTCTTACTTTTTAGCACTGTAAGATGCTTCAGGACTACAGGCTCATCTTTTACATTTCCTGTTTCAGTCCTAGAGCAGGCATTTCTTCATAGAAACTTTTGTTGTTGTTACTGTTGTTGTCTTTCTTATCTTTAAATTTCCATTCCAATTAGTGAGATAGTTAGATCCCAGTATCTGCCATTCCAGTCATGTAAGTTCTAATTTACATGCATAGCAGTATCAGAATTAGTAGCCTATATCTCCATGGGAAACTACTTCATCAACTAGAATACAGGGCTTATGTGCCATTTTCTTGTCCTTAGTCTTAAAACTTCACTTGTTTCCAAAGTTACTTAGGTCAATACTTGTTTCCCCAAGTAACTTCAGTGAAGTTTTTTCATACATTGAAATACTTGTTTCACCAAGTAACTTCAGTGAAGTTTTTTCATACATTTGAAATAGTACATCCTCTTTTCACCATTTTCTTTCATTTCTAGAGTCCTTAGACCTCCTAGCTTAGATGTTTTTAAAATAAATTGCATACATCGAGACTCACTTTTTGTGCTGAAAATTAGTGTTTTGATCAATGTGCAATGCCATATATCCATTACAGTGTCATAGAAAATAATTTTACTACTCTGCATTTCCTGTTTTTCATCTATTGTGCCCCCTTCCAAACTCCTGGAAACCACTGATCTGTTTAGTGTCTATAGTTTTGCTCTTTCCAATATGTTATTTAATTGGAATCATACAATATGTGGCTTTTTCATATGACTTCTTTCATGTAGCAATGTGCTAAAGTCTGCTATAATTGTGCTAAATTCATACAGTGCTGTATGTATGAATTCAGGGTTCACACATGTCTTACTGTGGCTTGACAGCTTAAATATTTTGTAGAATAATATTTTATATTGATGCAGCACAGTTTGTTCATTCATTATTGAAGGACATCTTGGTTGCTTTTAAGTTATTTTGAATAAAGCTATTATAAACATTTGTTTGCAGGTTTTTCTGTGGACATAAAGTTTCAATTCATTTTGGTAAATACCTAGGAGCTAGATTGCTGATTTATATTTTAAGACCATGTGTAAATTATAAATAACTGTCAAACTTTCTTCCAAAGTAGGTGTACCATTTTGCATTCCCACCATAAATGAACTAGAGTTTCTGTAGTTTGGCATCCTCACCAACATTTGGTATTTACATTTTAGCCATTCTAATAAATCTAAATAGGTATTTCGTTGTTATTTTGATTTCCAATTCACAGATTACAAATAGTGTTGAGCGTCATTTCATATGCTTATTTTTCATTTGTTTATTTTCTTTGGTGCAGTTCATGTTTAGACCATTTTGCCAATTTTTTAATTGGGTTGTTTTCTTATTGCTGAGTGCAAAGTGATTTTTGTATCATTTGAATACAATTTTTTCTTATATAATTATATAATAAATATATTATTATATTTGAGTTTGCAAATGTTTTCACCCAGTGTGTGGCTTATATTTTAATTATCTTTATAGGGTATTTTGCAAACAGAAGTGTTTAATGAAGTGTAACCTAATTAACTTTTTCTAGCATGGATCATACTTTTGGTGTTGTACTAAAACACTCATACCAAACCCAAAGTCATCTAGATTTTCTCCCATGTTAACTTACAAAATTTTTATGGTTTTTCATTTCATATATTTATATATAGGCCTATGATCCATTTTGAGTTACTTTTTGAGGAAGGTGTAAAGTTTGTGTCTTATTTCTTCTCTTACTTCTCCTCCTCCTCCTCCTCGTCCTCTTCTCCTCCTTCCTTTTCCCTCATTCTGCTCCTTCTCCTTTCTTTCTCTTTCTTCCTCTCTTTCTTGCTAATGGATTTCTGACAACTTCATCACCATTTGTTGAAAAGACTTTTTTTTAAATCTATTGCTTTTCCTTCGTCCGTTTGTCAAAGATCAGTTCGCCTATATTTGTGATGGCCAATTTCTGGAACTCTATTTTGTAACAACGTCTGTTTCCTTTTTTTCACCAGTACTGCACTCTAACTTTGTAGTAAGTCATGAAATCACAGTGTAAGTCCTCCAGTGTTGTTCCTTTTCGTCAGTATTGTGTTGATTCTTCCACATCTTTTTTTTTCCACATAAACTTGAAAATCTGTTTGTCAACATCTACCAGATAGCTTATTGGGAGTTTCATTGGGCTTTTTTTGAGCCTATGCTTAATTTTGAGAGATTCATCATTTTAACCATAAACCCCTTCCAGTAAATGAACACTTAATATAAAAGTAACACATTTGATTATCTGTCTTCAGTACATGCAATAATTATGAATTAAAATTTATGGCCGGGCGCGGTGGCTCACGCCTGTAATCCCAGCACTTTGGGAGGCCGAGGCAGGTGGATCACAAGGTCAGGAGATCGAGACCATCCTGGCTAACACGGTGAAAGCCCGTCTCTACTAAAAAATACAAAAAAAAAAATTAACCGGGCATGGTGGCAGGTGCCTGTAGTCCCAGCTACTCAGGAGGCTGAGGCAGGAGAATGGCGTGAACCCGGGAGAGGGAGCTTGCAGTGAGCCGAAATCGCGCCACTGCACTCCAGCCTGGGCGACAGAGAGAGACTCAGTCTCAAAAAAAACAAAAACAAAACAAAAAAAATTATGTTATACTTTATGCAAATTTGATTTTGGATCTGTCAATATATAAATCTATGAAGAAATTATTTTGGTTTATGAGTTGATGCAAGAGTAAATTGCTTTTTCTTTATTCTCTGACCTGTAAATTATTATTTATCAAGCACTAATTTTTATACAAGAAAGGTCTACTTTTCCATTTCTAACACTGTGCCAGTGTCAGTCACCTGGTTCTATTAATTATGGTTTTGTTATACTTTTTGATGTTTAACAGGACTTATACATTGTTACCCTTTCCCATCCAAAGTATTATTGCCTAATTTTATAAAGGCTGACTAAAATGTTAAAATACACACGTTTCATTTTATGACAGTTATAAAAATACTCTACTTATCTTCCGAATTTCTGCCTCTCTTCGACCTCAATCCTAATTTCCATATCCATTCTAAGAAAGTGATTTCTGGGAGTGGGGAAGGATGAAAGAAAAATAAATAGAATATTATAAATTGTTTACAATATATTCCATTTATTGTCTCCAAAATTAGAGCTTTGATGTTTGAAGTAATATGAACAGAAAGAAGATTATTATAGAACTTATTTCTGGGAAATGTAGTTTCTGTAAATTGTATGGACTTAGTAAATTAAGCACTGAAATGCTTCTGTAGATCGAAGTGGTATCGTAGGAATCTCAGGAAATAAAGTTGAATTGAATTGGTAGTTGTCTTTGCAAATCAACTCTTGTTCTGTAATTCTGAGGAGATTGACTAGTAGTCCTAAAGCTACCATATAAATTTAAAATAACAACATACATGCAGACAAACAAAAACAACTATAACATCTTCTTCTCGAGAAGAAGATTTTTGGATACTCTAGGCATTCCTCAAAAAAAAGTGGTAGTAATCAATGCTTATAAAAAACAGAGTCAGAGTTTCCTAAAGAAAGAATATGCTGGGATGTATGTAAACAAAACAAAGCAGGATTATATGAAAAGAGAAGTAAGAGAATTATCCTGAACGATATTAAGGAAAGTTTTTAAAAAGTTGTAAAATATGAATTTACATTTAAGATGTTATATGTTAAAACTGAGACTGTATCAGTTATGTATTAGTCAAGGTTCTCTAGAGGGACAGAACTAAGAGGATATATATATATATATATATCTCCATATATATATATATATATCCTCATATATATATCCTCATATATATATGTCCTCATATATATATATCCTCATATATATATGTCCTCATATATATATATCCTCATATATATGTCCTCATATATATATATCCTCATATATATGTCCTCATATATATGTCCTCATATATATATGTCCTCATATATATGTCCTCATATATATGTCCTCATATATATATGTCCTCATATATATATATATATGTCCTCGTATATATATATATATATGTCCTCATATATATATATATGTTTATTAAGTATTAACTTACATGATCACAATGTCCCACAATAGGCTGTCTGCAAGCTTCAGGAGCAAGGAGAGCCAATCCGAGTCTCAAAACTGATGAACTTGGGGTCCAATGTTCGAGGGCAGGAAGCATCCAGCATGGGAGAAAGATGTAGGCTGGGAGGCTAGGCCAGTCTCACCTTTTCACATTTTTCTGCCTGCCTTATATTCACTGGCAGCTGATTAGATGGTGCCTACCCAATTAAGCGTGGGTCTGCCTTCCTCAGTTCACTGACTCAAATGTTAATTTCCTTTGGCAGCACCCTCACAGACATACCCAGGATCAATATGTTGCATCCTTCAATCAAGTTGACAGTATTAACCATCACAAGTCCACCCCTTGTCAATTTGAACCCATACACATCTCCTGAGATCATACATAATCTTCAAATAAAGACAATCATAAGGTCATAATTATGCCTAACATAATACGACTATGCTTCATACAACTGGAAACTCACCAGTCCTCAGCCCAAATACTATCACATAAAGTTAACAATACTTAAATGCCAATATGAAGTCAATAAATCTTATGTCACATGATAAACAAAAAGGAAATAAAATGAAGATATTTTCTTAGTATAAGTATATGCATGCACCAACATGTTTTTAACAAAAGAAGGAGAAAATACTCATGACAGTTATAGTACTCATTTCTGCGGCTGGTCATGTGCTTGTAGCTGGTATTCATAACTACCTTCTTTTACTACCCATTCTTTATCCCCTTTGCCTTCAGCAAGCACTTCAGCAGGTCATGTTTTTTTTTTTTTGTTTTGTTTTGTTTTGTTTTGTTTTTCCTGGTGGAGTGACCCAAACCATCATTCCTGAGAGGTCTGGACCATTTGTATTCCTTCCTGGATTGGGCATTTGTTTCCCATTGACCTTAATCACAAGGCATGGTAATACTAAGACATGCCCTAATGGATCTCTTATATTCCATGCATACTCTTTCTTACCTCTGTAATGGAGTAATAGACTAATTTCATCTTGATAGTCTGTGTCAGTCACCCCAGCCAACTCTGTAGCTCTCTTCTTAGCCTGTTGACTTAAAAGTAGGAGGAGCCCTAAATGTCCAGGTGGCAATCTTAACCTCCAGTTTAATGGAATCATTGTTGTGTCTCCTGATGGCAGTGTTCCTCCTTCTGGAGCTAAGACCTCTAGGCAAGCAGAACATAATGTCGTGAGAACAGGAAGCAAAAAATTTGCTAGTCGATCACTGGAGTGATGGTGAGGGGTGCCACTTCCACTTCAACACCTTGATTGCTGGACTTGTGAATCCTGGCTATGGGAGAAACTGTACCATATATTGGACGCTGATTCAGAGCATACGTGGCCTTTTGGAGATCTTTGTCCCAGCCCTGCAAAGTATGTCACCTAGTTGGCATTGTAATTGTGACTCCAAAAGGCCATTCCACCATTCTATCAATCCAGCAGCATCAAGATAATGGGAAAGATGGTAAGACCTGTGAATTCCGTGAGCATGAGCCCACTGCCGCACTTCTTTAGCTGTAAAGTGAGTGCCTTGGTCAGAGGCAATGCTGTGTGGAATACCATGACGATGGATAAGGCACTCTGTGAGTCCACGGATGGTAGTCTTGGTAGAAGCATTGTGTGCAGGATAGGCAAACCCATATCCGGAGTAAGTGTCTATTCCAGTTAGGACAAACCTCTGCCCTTTCCATAATGGAAGAGTTCCAATATAATCAACCTGCCACCAGGTAGCTGGCTAATCATCCTTAGGAATGGTGCCATATCTAGGGCTCAGTTGTCTCTGCTGCTGGCAAATTGGGCACTCAGCAGTGGCTGTAGCCAGGTCAGCCTTGGTAAGTGGAAGTCCATGTTGCTGAGCCCATGCATAACCTCCATCCCTGCCACCATGGCCACTTTGTTCATGGTCCCATTGGGCAATGACAGGGGTGGCTGGGGAAACAGGCTGAGTGGTATCCACAGAATGGGTCATCCTATCCACTTGATTATTAAAATCCTCCTCTGCTGAGGTCACCCATTGGTGAGTACTCACACGGGATACAAATATCTTCATGGTTTTTGATCACTCAGAGAAGTCCATCCACATACCTCTTCCCCAGATTTCTTTGTCACCAATTTTCCAATCATGCTTCTTCCAAGTTCCTGACCATCCAGCCAAACCATTGGCTCCAGCCCATAAATCAGTATATAATCACACATCTGGCCATTTCTCCTTCCATGTAAACTGCACAACCAGGTGCGCTGCTCGAAATTCTGCCCACTGGGAAGATTTTCCTTCACTGCTGTTCTTCAGGGATGTCCCAGAAAGGTGCTATAGTGCTGCAGCTGTCCACTTTCGGGTGGTGCCTGCATATCATGCAGAACCATCATGAACGAGGCCCTAGTCTTCTCTTCCCCTGTCAGCTGATTATAGGGAACTCCCCATGTGGCCATCAGTGCAGACTGGGGGAGAGAAGGCAGGGTGGCAGGAATGGAGACCATGGGCATTTGAGCCACTTTCTCATGTAACTTACTTGTGCCTTCAGGACCTGCTCAAGCCTGATCACATATATACCACTTCCATTTGATGATGGAATGCTGCTGTGCATGACCCACTTTATGGCTAGATGGGTCAGAAAGCACCCAGTTCATGATAGATAATTCAGGTTGCATGGTGACTTCATGACCCATAGTCAAACATTCAGTTTCTACCAAAGCCCAGTAAGAGGACAAGAGCCATCTCAAAAGGAGAGTAATTATCTGCAGAAGATGGCAGGACCTTGCTCTTAAATCCTAGAGGCCTCCACTGTGATTCACCTATAGTGGCCTGCCAAGGCTCCAAACAGCATCCCTACCTGCCCTGACACCTCAAGCACCATTGGATCTGCCAGGTCATATGGCCCAAGTGGTAGAGCAGGTTGCACAGCAGCCTGGACCTATTGCAGAGCCTTCTGTTCTGGAGCCCACTCAAAACTGGCAGCCTTTTGGGTCACTTGATGAACGGGACAGAGTAACACACCCAAATGAGGAATGTGTTACCTACAAAATCCAAATAGGCCCACTAGCTGTTGTGTCCCTTCCTTGGTTGTAGGAGGGGGCAAATGCAGCAACTTATCCTTCACCTTAGAAGGAATATCTCAACAAGCCTCACACCACTGGACCCCTAGAAATTTTACTGAGGTATAGGGTCCCTGAATTTTAGTCGGATTTATTTCCCATCTTCTGGTACGTAATTGTCTCACCAATAAGTCGAGTGTGTTTGCTACTTCTTGCTCACTGGATCCAATCAGCATAATGTCTTCAATGTAATGGACCAGTGTGATATCTTGTGGAAGCGAAAAACAATCAAGGTCTCTCCGAATAAGATTATGACACAAAGCCAGAGAGTTGACATACCTCTGAGGTAGGCTAGTAAAGTTATATTGCTGGCCTTGCCAGCTAAAGGCAGATAGCTTCAGGTGGACCTTATGCACAGGAATGGAGATAAAGGCCTTTGCCAAGTCAATGACTACATATGAGGTACCAGGAAATGTGTTAATTTCCTCAAGCAGTGAATCCAAATTTGGTACAGCGCTGAAATTGGAGTCACCACCTAGTTAAGCTTATGATAATCCACTCTCATTATCCAGGATCTGTCTGTCTTCTGCACAGGCCACATAGGAGATTTGAAAGGGGACATGGTAGGAATCACCACCCCTGTGTCCTCAAGTCCTTGATGGTGGCACTAATCTCCCCAATCCCTCTGGGGATGTGATATTGTTTTTTATTTACTATTTTTCTAGGTAG
This sequence comes from Homo sapiens, assembly GCF_000001405.40. Taxonomy (NCBI): domain Eukaryota; kingdom Metazoa; phylum Chordata; class Mammalia; order Primates; family Hominidae; genus Homo; species Homo sapiens. The sequence continues at coordinate 72,316,498 of NC_000001.11, forward strand.
AGGCAGCTCTAATGGCTTCCATTTGGCTTTTCCCACCGTAATGGCCTTCACCCTACCAGTGATAGCTAATGTGGAGGTTTTGCCAGCTGCTAAGTATGTCTATGCCAATTATGTATTCTGGCACTGGGGAAGTGACCACAGGATGAATCTGGGGATCCACTGGACCCACTGTAAGTTGGACCTGAGCTAAAACTCCCTTAATTACCTGACCTTCACAAGCTACTATTTTAACTGGAAGACCACAATGATGTTTTGGATCCCTTGGAATCAATCTCAGCTCAGAACCAGTGTGCAGTAGTCCTTGAAATGTCTGATCATTTGCCTTTCTCAGTGCACAGTTACCCTGATAAAAGGCCAGAGGTATCCTTGGGAAAGGATGGGAGAAAGATTCACTGTATAAATTGTCGGTAATGTAGTGGGGTCCTTCCTCAAGGGTACCCTGTCTCCCCTTCATTCAAGCGGTTCTGGGTCTGTAAACTGGTTCAAGTCTGGAAATTGATTGAGAGGCTGTGATTCTCTGTTTTTATAATTCAAATTAGTCTTTTGTCCATTCGACCTAGAAGTTTTCTCTTTATATAAATTAAGTAGGAATGCAGTAGGCTTCTTGTCAATTTCACTTCTAGTAACACCGTGATTAATTAGCCAATGCCAGAGCTCTACGCTAGTCAGACTATTCTGATTGTTGCTTTGTCTCTGCTGTCAATTATGATAGCTATGCCCACCTTGCCTTTGACAGTTCAGTGCCACCACTTGGCCCCTGCCGCCTTGGGATTCAGTTATTCCCATTGCATTTAAATTTTGTGGTCGAGTGACTGTGGTTCCCACTGTTAGATCCGACATACAGATTAGAGCAATTACAGGGCTCTGTAAAGATACAGGTGCTGCCCTTACACATCTATTTCACAAGGCGTTAGTGAAGGGTAAATCTGGACCCCTCCCAGCTGGGATGAGTAGGTCTAAAGGGATTAATCCACTCCAATATCCCAATCTCCCTAAGCCTTTGGATTCCTTCCTCTACATTAAACCAAGGGAGATCAGGCATTTCCAGCTCACTCAGGGTGGGCCATCTTTTCATACATATTTCAGCTAACCAAGCAAATAAACTAAAAACCTTTTTTAGCTCTTGAACTTCAACTTTAAATGCAGATTTCCTACTTAGTGGGCCCAAATCAATAAATTCAGCCTGATTGAACTCTATGTTCCTTCCACCATTATCCCATACCCTTAATATCCATTCCCATGCCTCTTCTCCAGATTGCTCTTTATATAGAGAACTCAAACAGTTCTTTTTGAGTGTAGCACACCTCCTCATGGGTCGCACTTTCAAACTCACCTCCAGGGGCCCGCCAGGACTTTAGTCTAGTCATAGGTGTAAACGCAAACAGGGGTGTTGGGGGTGGCTTAATGGGGAGAATCAACATTTTCTTGCCTGACAACCGCCTCAGGGGAGGCCATCTCTGTTGCCTCAGGCAGCACAGGGTTTATCTCCTCAGATGAAAGTGGAAAGGCTATGGCAGTGTGGGTCAGGGAGGGGATGTTGCCACTACTGGGTATGGGGAAGCTGTTCCTTCTGGCCAAAAAGTTCATCAAAGTTTACAAACTCAGTGTCCCCAGCTTCATCAGGGTCCTCCCACACATTCCCATTCTGGGTTGCAGGGTCCCATTCTTTTCCAATCAATGCCCCCAGTTTTACAGTAGACACCTGGCGAGGCTGTGCATGCACCTTTCGTTGTAGGTCAGCCACTCGCATGGTAAGAGCTTGTGTTTCTGTCTTTCCACAATTTCAGCTCTTTCTCTAGAGGAGATAAGACTCTCACACAGGGTAATCTTAGCTGATTTGAGGCTCAGTATCTGCTTTTGAAGCCAGTGAGTTCATCATCACTTTGTCCTCTGAATTTAGAAGCAACGAACCAGCTTCATTATGCTCCTTGGTTCTCCACGTATGATTAAAGGTATTATGTATAGCGTGACTAAACTTCTTGCCTCTCAGAAGTGGTGAATCAGGAGTGTCAAATGTATTTATTTTTCATAGCTCATGCCAAGGTCTATCAGTGTTCTCCATACTATTAGAAGTAGAGTCCTTAGCATTTTGGGGTCTAATCATATTAAGCAGCCAACTCCAGCAACCCCAAAACCAGTGAAAGAACTCCATCCTTAATATTCTGTTCCTCTAGAACCACTCCTGGTGCCAAAATCTGTATTAGGCAGGGTTCTCTAGAGGGACAGAACTAATAGGATAGATAGATATATATGTATAAAGGGGAGTTTATTAAGTATTAACTTACATGTTCACAAGGTCCCACAATAGGCTGTCTTGAGGAGCAAGGGGAACCAGTCCGAGTCTGAAAACTGAAGAACGTGGAGTCCGATGTTCCAGGGCAGAAAGCATCCAGTACAGAAGAAAGATGTAGGCTGAGATGTAGGCTAGGTCAGTCTCGCCTTTTCATGTTTTTCTGCCTGCTTTATATTTGCTGGCAGCTGATTAGATGGTGCTCACCCAATTAACGGTGGGTCTGCCTTCCCCAGTCCACTGACTCAAATGTTAATCTCCTTTGGCAACACCATCACAGACACACCCAAGATCAATACTTTGCATCCTTCAATCAAGTTGACAGTATTAACCATCACAAGTGACATGAGCAAATAAATACTCCTCAAGAAAACAGAATAAAATGACATAGTTTTATAAAAACAATACTAAAGATTATTTTTGTGAATACAGCATACTAGTATTAAGAAATTAGTATTTGGCTGGGCATGGTGGCTCAGGCCTGTATTCCCAGCACTTTGGGAGTCCGAGGCAGGTGGAACACTTGAGCCTAAGAATTTGAGACCAGTCTGGGCAACACTGCGAAACCCTGTCTCTACAAAAAGTACAAAAATTAGCTGGGGGTGTTGGCCTTCATCTGTGGTTCCAACTACTTAGGAGGCTGAGACAGGAGGATTGCTTGAGCCTAGGAGTTCAAGGCTGCAGCGAGCCATGATCACACCACTGCACTCCAGCCTGGGCAACAGAGTGAGAACCTGTGTCAATTTTTTTTTTTTGAAAAAAGGAAGTTAGTATTCATTATTATATTTTAATATATCTTTTACTAAATATTCATGTATTTTGCTTTCTTCGGAATATCAATGATTGCAAAGGCTGAGGGCAAATATTTATATAGAGCTCTCTCTAATAATAAAAACATACTATAAACTGTGTTGCCAAAAATGCTGTCCACATCCATGTGGTTATTGAACACTTAAAATGTGGCTATAGCAACTGAAGATCTAAATTTTTATTTTTCTATAATTTTTAACTAATTAAATAGCCACACATGGCGAGTGGCTATGTATTGGACAGGGCAGGAGAGAGGATAGATTAGGGATGTTGTAATTTTATTGATTAAAGTATTTTGTTTTCAAAATACAATTTCTATAGACTTTATCTAATCATCTACCTCCTGTCAATTATCTATTTTTGAGGTACATTTTACAAATGGCAAGTTCACAAATTTAATGTGTACAGCTAATTTGTTTTTTTTACTTATGTCAGTACTCACATAAACACTGTGCAGATTAAAATTTAGAATGCTGCTGAGGCAGGAGAATGGTGTGAACCCGGGAGGCGGAGCTTGCAGTGAGTCAAGATAGTGCCAATGCCCTCCAGCCTGGGCGACAGAGCGAGACTCCGTCTCAAAAAAAAAAAAAAAGAAATTAGAATGCTTTTAACATTCCAGAATGTTTTCTTGTGTCCCTTTCCAGTCAGTATCTCCTTTAAAGGGTAATCACTAGTCTGACAACTATCATCAGAAGTTAATTTGGGTTGTTTGGAAATAAGATAAATAAAGTAATGATTTTTACTTTTGTATCTAACTTCTCACTATGATCCATTCATATTTATTGGATGGATTCATATTTATTGGATGCATACAGATGCATCCATTCTGTATTTATTACTAATGTGTTGTTTTCTTTTGCTCTTTACTGTTCTATTTTATAAATATTCTGCACTTTTTAACTTACTTCAATAGTAGTTATACTTAGAATGATTTAACTATTATTCAATCATAAATAAAACTCTTATGAACATTCTTCTGAATATATATATACATATACACGTTCTGACTGTGCACCACATAAGAACATTTTCATCAACAGTAGACCACATATGCACAGGTGGCCACATAAGCTTGCAGTGGATCTAAGAAATTCCATGGCCTAGTGATGTAGCATTACCTTTTGTATACTTACATACAAAATTATTTACCATTGTGTTAGTTACCTACAGTATTTAGTAGAGTATCATGCTGTATGAGGTTGTAGCCTAGGAGCAATTGATTATACCATATAGCCTGGATATGTAGTAGGCTGCACTATCTAGGTTTGTGTAAGTACATTCTATGATGTTCACACAAGGATAAATTTCCTAATGACACATTCCTCAGAATCAATCCCTATCATTAAGTAAAGCATATATATATATATATATATAGAGAGAGAGAGAGAGAGAGATAAAATAGCATATATATACATGTGTGTAATTTTAGTTGAGTTTTAGCAAGCTATAAAGAGAGTTTGATTAAGTGTTTTGTACAGTATACATTCCTACCAGCAATGTAAGAGAGAATATATTTTAGATTTACTGATCATAGAACAGTTAAATATGTTGACCAATATCATACAACTAATAAATGGCAAAACTCAGATTTAAACAAGGGAATTTACATTGAGACTCTCTTCTTAGACACCAAGTTAATCCATAAACAACTAAACAAATAAACAAAAAGTTACCAGACTGAAACAAAAAGAAACAGAAACTTGAGTTATCCTAATAATAAAAGACATTGAAGTAATGTTTTAAAAGTACATAAATAAAATTCCAGAATTAGACTTCATCTTTGATTCATTCTACCAATAATTAAGGGAATAGATATTTTAAAATTCATGGAAACTTTTTCAGATAGAAAGAAACAATACTCCAGTTAATGTTATTAGCTTACTGTAACTTTGCTACAAAATTCAAAAAAATAATTTGAAAGGAAAACAAAGCCCATTCACACTAATTAATATATAATAAAAAATACTACTCAAGTTTTTTTTTTCAAGATGGCTGACTAGAAGCATTTCAGACACACCCCATCTACTTAGAAGAACCAATATAGTGTGTGCACAATCATACTTTGAATGCATTATCCAAGAGGGGACATAGTTCAACAGAAAATAGACAAGAAAGATGAAAAGGTAGGAAGGAGAAAGAAAACCATAGACTTGCCTGGCCAGTACTGGCTGGGAACTAAAAGTGGCTCCCCAATGTGGGAGAAGGTGAGTCAGAGTTTCTCTGCAGTCCACTTTTCCAATAGGGAATTATACAATCCAGGCTACCAGAGAGAACCTTGACCTCCCAAATCCTGAATCTAATTTAGGAAGTGGCCAAGAGACTATGAGTAGGAACTGCTCCAGAGAAGGAAGATGCCATGGATCCCATGCCTTTTCTGAAACCTAAGTTGCTACAGCAAGATGCCATTCTTCATCCTAGCTTTTAATAGACTATGGTCCTGGAAGCCAACAGCACAAGCCCTAAGCATTGGGAAAACTCAGGCTGCTGCTTGCAGAACTGAGCCATGGGTGTGGGGTGTGATCCTTCAACCAGGACTGAGAAGTGAACATGGTGTGGACTGTAGCTACTGGCCCTGAAAGCAGGTAGTGCACCTGTGACTTGAATGGGATGAGAGTTGCCATGGAGGCTTGGTCTTGAGCTTGGCAAGAGGTCCTATCGTCTGGGGCTGAGTTGTGGGCATAAGCTGCTGGGTCTCACGGAAGAGCTGGATCACCTGTGGAAGTCAGACTGGGGAGTGAGACCCTCCAGGACAAGGGCATGAGAAGGATGCAAGGCCCCTACACTGGCCAATCCTGTGGCCCTTTGGGCCAATCCTACCCTCCCAATGGCAAGATCTCAGCACAGTGGTTGTTGCCAGTCACCCAATAATTCTGCTAGGAGCCTGAGCATTTCCCACCCCCACCCCTCATGGCTGGTGCCTGCACTTGCCATTGGGGGACCTGGGTGCAGGATTGCCCAGTAGGCTGTAAGCAGATTCACCTCATACCCCAAGACACAATGCAGGATCCAGGGTCCTGAGGGGCGTACAACCCAGTCTGTTACCTGGTTCACACAAACACTCCTCCCAAAGGCCTGAGCTTGGGAATTAGCACCCTACCATTACCTCCTCAGTGCCTACTACCTGCAAATGCCACCTGCTGGTCTGTAAGTTAGCCTACACAGCTCATTGCAACCACTGCCAATACAAGTGCATAGTACTTAGGAACCAGAAAAGCCTCTCATCCTTCTACTGCCATCACCATGCCACATTTGCTGCCCAAAGGCTTGGGAGCTTTCTCACCAACCTGGTACACACTACTACAAACAACATCCAAGAAAGCTACCCAAAGACCCAATAATTGGCTTGCCTGGAACCAGCAACACACGTGCCAGTGTACACTGGCCCAGGGCACAATAATACACATGCTGCCACTACTAAAACCTGAAGACAGATCCATCTGGCATTTCAGTCCTCAGCACAGCTTCACCAGAGCCTCTACCAGTAACCACACCCTAACACACTGAGGAAACCACAGATATCATGCTGTATATAGCTTTTAAAAAAGTCATACAGAGACTCCATTACTGCATTCACAGAAGCAAAGCCAACAGGGCTTCGTAGTCATAACATGATAGTCATATCTTCAAGAAACAATGCAAAAGTGCCCCCCGAAAACAAAACTAAATTTAAAACTAGGAAGAAGTTTTGAATGTAGTTTTGACTAAATACCAGACGTACAGAAAAGTAAAGACACAGGAAATGTGAAAAAATAAGATGATATGACACCCTCAAAGAGCACAATAATTCTCCAGGAACAGATCTTAACCAAAAGGATCTTCTCAAAATTCCAGATAAATAATTCAAAATATTGATTTTAAATAAGCTCAATGAGAAATGTGTGGAATCTAAAACCAGTTCAAAGAAATTACAAAAATGATTCAATGTATGAATGAGAAATTCACTAAAGAGATAGATTTAAAAATACACAGAGAATTATGGAACTTAATAATTCATTGTGGGAAACACAAAATATATTGGAAAGGTTGAATAATGCACCACAGAATAAAGAATTACACAATTTGAATACAGACCTCTGAAATAATAAAGTTAGACAAAAATAAATAACAAAGAATGAAAATGTACAAAGCATTTGAGACATTTGGGACAACATAATGCAACTAAATGTATGAATTATCAGTATCTCCAAGGGCAAAGAAATAAAAAACTTTAGCAAACCTATTTAACAAGCTAATAGATGAAAACCTTTTTAAGTCTAGCAAAAGATTTAGACATCCAGATAGAGGAGGCTAAGTGATGCCATGAAAATAAAATACAAATAGGACTGTGCTAAGACCCATTGTAATTAGACTTTCTAAAGAGCAAATTTAAAAAACAGAAACATGTTCAGTCACTTGAAAAGAAAGTCCTATCTGACTAACAGTGGAACTCTCAGCAGAACTTGAAGACAAGAAGAGAATGTGATGATATATTCAAAGCACTGAAAAGGAAAAAAAAAATGCCAGCCAATAATTTTATATCTGGTAAGATTAAGCTTCACAAATGAAATAATGTCTTTCCTAGACAAGAAATTACTGAAAAAAATTGTCACCATAAAAGAAGTTCTCTATGGAGTCTTTTTATTTATTTATTTATTTATTATTTTTTGAGACAGAGTTTCACTCTTGTCGCCCAGGCTGGAGTGCAATGGCACGATCTCGGCTCACTGCAATCTCCGTCTCCTGGGTTCAAGCGATTCTCCTCCCTCAGCGTCCCAAGTATCTGGGATTACAGGTGCCTGCCATCACGCCCAGCTAATTTTTGTATTTTTAGTAGAGATGGGGTTTCACCATGTTGGCCAGGCTGGTCTCAAACTCCTGACTGCAAGTGACCCACCTGCCTTGGCCTCCCAAAGTGGTGGAATTACAGGCATGAGCCACCGAGCCTGGCCTCAGTGGAGTCTTAAACTTGTACACAAAAGGAAAAATTTACTATTATGAGAAAATATGAAAGTATAAAACTATTTGGTAAAGCAATCACACAAAGGAGGAAGTGAAAGGAATCAAATGGCACCACTATCAAATTTTACCAAACCACAATGACAAATACAGAAAAAGAAACAAAGATTTTATAAAACAGCTGGAAAACAGTTAACAATATGACAGAAGCAAAATCTCACATATAAATGCTAATCCTGAATGTCAATTGATTAAATGCCCTACTTAAAAGATATAGACTGCCTGGATGGATTACAAAACATAATCCAACTATATGCTGCATTTAAGAAACTCACCTTACTTGTAAAATATAGAAAGAGAAATTTAAGAAAAAGGGGTGGAAAAAGATATTTGATACACACAGAAACCAAAAGTGAGTAGGAGTAGCTGTACTTCTATCAGATAATACAAACTTTAACTCAAAAAAAGTGAAAAAAGACCAAAAAAGCCATTATATAATGATAAAAGGATAAATTCAATAAGAGGATATTAATGATTCTAAATATATATGCATCCAAGATTGTGGGACTCAGATTTATAAATATTACTAAAGAGTGAGATAGACAAAGGGGAATTTAACACCCTACTTACAGCATTAGACAGATTATATAGACAGAAAATCAACCAAAAAAATTGAACTTAAATTGGACTTTAGACCAAATGGACCTAAGATATATTTGCAGAACATTATATACCTTGTCTTCAGCACATGGAACATTCTACAAGATGGACCATATGTTAGGACACAAAACACGTCTCAATAGACTAAAAAAAATAACAAAATCATGTCAAATATCTTCTCAGACCACAGTGGAATAAAACTGGAAATTAATACCAGAAGAAACTGGAAAATATGCAAGTACATGGAAATAAAATAACATGCTCCTGAATGAGCATTGAGTCAACAAAGAAATTAAGATGGAAATAAAATTTTGAAAATAAATGAAAATGGAAACAATACATCAAAACTGTAGGATATAACAAAAGCAATACTAAGTGAGAAGTTTATAGTGTTAAATGCCTACATCAAAAAAGTAGAAAGATTACAAATTAACAATGTAATGATGCACTTCATTACAAGGAACTAGAAAAGCAAGAACAAATCAAACAAAATTTGCAGAAGAAAAGAACAGAAATCAGAGAGGAGAACTATATGAAATAGAGAATGCAAAGGGTTAATGAAATGAAATATTGGCTCCTCAGAAATATAAAAAAAAATAATAAGCTGTTAGCTAGTCTAACCAAGAAAAGAAGGAAGACCCACCTAAAAACCAAAAATAAAAAAAGTAGACATTACAATGGATGCCACAGAAATAAAAACAAAAAAACTATTGTGCACAACTGTACACCCACAAACTTGAAAACCTACAAAAGATGGATAAATCCCTGGAAACATACCACCAACCAAGGTTGAACCAGAAAGAAATGGAAAACATGAGCAGATGAATAATGACTCAAAAGATTGAACCTGCAATTAAAAAAAAAATCTCCCAACAAAGAAAAGACCAAGAACTTATGTATTCACAGCCAAATTATTTCAGTGTACAAGGAAGAATGAATACCAATCCTCCTGAAACAGTTCTAAAAAAACCAAAGAAGAGGACATTCTCCCTAACTAATTCTGTGAGGCCAGTATCATTCTGATACCAAAATCAGTGAAGGACACATCAAAAAAGAAAACTACAGACTAATAAACCTGATTAACATATATGCAAAAATCCTCAACAAAATACTAGCAAACCAAATTTAACAGCACATTAAAAAGATAATATAGTTTTAAATTGGGTAACATGATATCTTAAGCTTTTTTCTATTTAAGACTGCTTGGGCTATTGGGGCTCTTTTTTGGTTTCATATGAATTTTAAAATGTTTTTCTCTAGATCGGTGAAGAATATCATTGGTAGTTTGATAGGAATAGCATTGAATCTGTGAATTACTTTGGACAATATGGCCATTTTAATATTTATTCTTATCCATGAGCATGGAATGTTTTTCCATTTGTTTGTGTAATCTCTGATTTCTTTCAGCAGTGTTTTGCAATTCTCACCGTAGAGATCTTTCACCTCCCTTGTTAGCTGTATTCCTAGACATTTTATTCTTTTGGCAGCAATTATGAATGGGATTGCATTCCTGATTTGGCTCTCAGCTTGGCTGTTGGTGTATAGGAATGCTAGTGATTTTTGTACATTGATGTGTCCTGAAACTTTGCTGGAAGTTGTTTATCAGCTGAAAAAGCTTTTGGGCCGATACTATGGAGTTTTCTAGATATAGAATTATGTCATCTACAAAGAGGGATAATTTGGCTTTCTCTCTTCCTATTTTGATTTCCATTATTTTTTACTCTTGCCTGATAGCTCTGGCCACGACTTCCAATACTATGTTGAGTAGGAGTGGTGAGAGAGGGCATCCTTGTCTTTTGCTGGTTTTTAAGAAGATTGCTTCTAGCTTTTGCCCATTCGGTATGATGTTGGCTGTGGGTTTGTTATAGATGGTTCTTATTATTTTGAGTTATGTTCCTTCAATACATACTTTATTGAGTGTTTTTAACATGAAGGGATGTTGAATTTTATTGAAAGCCTTTTCTGTGTCTATTGACAGAATCATGTGGTTTTGTATTTGGTTCTGTTTATGTGATAAATCACATTTATTGTGTTGTTTATGTTGAACCAAACTTGCACCCTGGGGATGAAGACTACTTATCATGATGGATTAGCTTTTTGATGTGCTGCTGGGTTTCATTTGCCAATATTTTGTTGAGGATTTTTGCATCAAGGTTCGTCAAGGATATTGGTCTGAAGTTTCCTGGTTTTTTTTGTTTTGTTTTGTTTTGTTTTTTTGATGTATCTCTGCCACATTGGTATCAGGATGATGCTGGCCTCATAGAGTAAGTTGGGAAGGAGGCCCTCCTCCTTACTTTTCAGAATAGTTTCAGTAGGAATGGCGCCAGCTCTTCTGTGTACATTTGGTAGAATTCCACTGTGTTTTTGTCTGGTCCTGGGCTTTTATTACTATTTATTACTGATGGAGCTCCTTGCCGGTCTGGTCCCAGAATCAATTTCTTCCTAGTTCAGTCTTGTGAGGGTGTATTTTTCCAGAAATTTATCTGGGTCTTCTAGTTGTTTTTGTTTTTTTTTTTTTTTTTTTAGTTTTTGTGCACAGAGGTGTTTGTGGTAGTTTCTGATGGTTGTTTTTATTTTTGTGGTCAGTGGTTATATCCCTTTTGTCATTTCTAATTGTGTTTATTCGAATCTTCTCTCTTTTCATCTTTATTTGTCTAGCTAGTGGCCTATCTTGTTAATTTTTTCAGAAAACAAATTCCTGGATTTGTTGATGTTTTGAATGGTTTTCATGTCTTAATTTCCTTCAGTTCAGCTCTGATTTTGTTTATTTCCTTTCTGCTAACTTTGGGGTTGATTTCTTTTTGCTTCTCGAACTTTTTGGTTGTGATGTTAGCTTGTTAATTTGAGATCTTTCTAACTTTCTGATGTGGGTTTTTACTGCCATAAATTTTCCTCTTAATGCTGCCTTTGTTGTATCCCAGTGATTCTAGTATGTTGTATCTTCGTTCTTATTAGTTTCAAAGAACTTCTTGATTTCTGGATTAATTTTACTACTTACCGAAAAGTGATTCAGGAGCATATTGTTTAATTTCCATAAAATAGCATGGTTTTCAGTGATTTTTAAAATCTTCATTTCCATATTTATGGTGCTGTGGTCTAAGAATGTGTTTAATATGATTTCAGTTCTTTTGCATTTGCTGAGGATTGTTTTATGTTTGATTGTATGGACAAACCCTCATGACACAAGTTTACCCACATAACAAACATGCACATGTACCTCTGAACCTAAAATAAAAGTTTTTTTTAAGAGTTGCCTACACAAAAAATAAAAAAGACAATATACCATGATCAAATGAGTTTTATATGAGGGATGCAAGAATGGTTCAACATACACAATTAAATTAATAAATGTAATATGTCATGCAAACAAAATTAAAGACAAAAAATCTTGTGGAACAAGCCAGTCACAGAAAATTGTTTTCACTCTTAAGTCGGTGCTAAAAATGTGTACACATGGATATAAAAGGAGGAGTCATAGACAATGGAGACTCAGAAGGATGAAGAGGTCATAGATAGGTGGATGATGAGAAATTAGTTAATGGGTAAAATGTACATTAAATGGGTGATAGAAAACTGAAAGCACTCACTTGACCACTGTGCAATCTATGCATGTAACAAAATCACACATGAGCTCCCAAAATTTGTACAAATAAAAAGATACTACTCAAAATATTGGAAATTTAAACCCCAAAAATGTAAAAAATAAATCTTATGACCACATTTTTTTCACATCAGGAATGCAATATTCCTTCAACTTGAATCACTCAATTAATTCACCATACTGACTAGAGTTAAAATTTTATACTCATTTATAATAATTCCAAAGCATTTTATAAAATCCAAAATCTACTTATAATTTTTAAAAAGATTTATCAGGCTAACAAATAGGAGATAGTTTATTAATCTTATAATGATTTCAGAAAATCTATAGTAAATAATACACCTAATTATCAAATGTTGACATAATTTCTGCTGAAATAAAGAAAAAAAAAGAACACTGTCTACTATAAATTTTATTTCACATAACTCAGACTTCTAGCCAGAGCAGTGAAGCAAGAAATGAGCAAAATTAAAATTACTATAACTGAATAACAACACAATTTAAAAATTATTGTAATATAAAAGTATTTAAGGATAAATGGTAGCACTAATAAGAATTGATGAGGAATAAGGTTGCTGGAATAAAAGAACATTTAATATAAAACATATATTATATATATAAATTTTATCCCTATCAAGTAGACATAAACCAAAAATTAAATGAAAATGTACTATTTACAGTAGTAGCACAATAAGATACACTTATTAATAATTCAGGCAATTAATGTGCAAGACTTTCAGGAGGAAATTTGTAGAAGTTTAAAGTTAATAGTAGCCAAGAAATTCTAGTAGAGTAACAAGAAGTGTGGATTTGCCAGAACATATATGAAGACTTAAAATATAGTAATTAACATATGTGGTAATGCTTTGAGTTAGAGAATTTTTATTAAAAAGATATAAGAGTTAAGATAACATGTAATACTTTGAGTTAGATAAACCAATAGAAAAAATGCTCTTCAGAAAGTTATGCAGACATATAAGGATGCTTGATGTATTCCAGGGACACACACTTCCACATAATCAGGAAAAGACCTGACTTTTCAACAAGGGTGCTGTCTTGTTAGATGACTACTGACTACAGGTTTTTCATGTTTTTCTTCATGACTTTTAAACAGAGGCACTGACTTCCTTTGTTTCGGAATACCTTTTCAAGAATTTTTGCATAGCAAATAGACATGAAAGCTAGAGATACTGTCTCCATTCTGCCACCACCACCTAACAAAAGGCAGGTTTGTTTGATTTCCCATATATTCATGATAATGTCTTCTGGGACAAAAATCAGGCATACTTGCTGCCCATTACAGCAAATTTAGATTATTTAAACCCAGTGTTCCTCTCCTGTAATGCACCTCACTGAAGGTGTGGATGTCATCCGGCCCTCTTTGAGTGCCCCTGTGGAAAAAGGAACTTAGGAAACTTGTACCAATGTTAATTCTCTGGCTATTGTTATTGCTGTGATTAATAAATTATCCTTTGTCTCTGACTCAGAAGTCTTGTGTTTTGTGTTAGCATCCATGAAATTATGGCATTCTAACTTAGATTACAAATAAGGTAAAATCTCTGATTATTCACTATTCTTGGCACTGGACTTATTGTACATCCATAAGGAAATAAAAATATGAGGGAAAAGCAAGGAAGTTGCTAGCACAAAAGTCAAGATAATGGTATCTCTGGGAGAAGAGAAGTGAGAAGAATTTGATGAGGGAAAGGTATTTAGTGAAGTTTCTGGGATGTGAACCATATTCTACTTTTTTACTTGGGTAGTAGTTATTAAATGAATGTTATATTTATAATTTTTGTTTAAGCTGTGCATATGTTTTATGCACTTTTATTATGTCCCATAATAAAAATTGTTAAAGTAATAGGTTAGGACTCAGTGTTTGTAATGTATATTTAAGCACTTAGGACTTTGAATTTAAGTAAATGCTAGGTAAATTTTAAAAAGAAAGCAATAAGCATGTACTTTATACTTAGAATACAGAATTATATACAATGTAAAGCAAGAAGCCTAGAAGAAATTAAAACCTAATGCTAATAATCTTTATCTCTGAGTAGTTTGAATACAGGTTGTTTCTTTTATCTTATACTTCTACAGGTAATTTTGCAATTTTTCTATAATTAGCATGTATTTTAAATGGAATGAAAAAGTATCCTTAAGAAGATAAATAAAACAAGAAGAGTATAAGGCAATTTTTTTTACCATATGCACTACTAAACTGTTACTCACTCATAAAAATTTACTGATGTTACTGAGTTATAGATTTAGATACTAGGACTCACACATGATTCCTCACACTAGAAGATAAAAGCATTCAAGAACCACAAGAGAGAATTCAGTCTAGAAGTCTGAATTCTAAACCCCAGAAAGGGCGAGACTGGCCGAAGTCTAGTTAAAGCAAAGTATATACCTGTCACAGAATGCTGATTGAAATAATCTTTCACTTGCATTCATAATAATAATGATGGAAGAATAAAATAATAGAAAAATATGGATGAATAAAATGTAGAAAAATATCAGTAGGAAGGATGTATTGAGTATTTACTTTGTGAAGAACACTGTGCCAACAATGCACACACATCATCTCATTTAATTCTCTGCACGATTCAATGAAGACAGAACAACTCTTAGTTCCATGTTACAAATATGAAGCCAGTCAGATTAAAGGATTTTAAGTAACTAGTCTCAGGTCACACAGGTAGTATGGGAGAAGCTATGGCAGATGCTTAGGGTATTTAAATCCAGAGCCAACACTTATCCAAATATGAAATAAAATTTTTAAATGACAGGAAATACTGACATATTTTTAAAAATCATTTAAATTGAAGATATCCAAAATCTTTGAAACCTTATTTCTGCTTTTTCCATTCTCACCCTCTGTAACATGACTTCACCTTTTGTTATTAGTTTAGAAAGAAAAAATAAAAGTTCTTTCTAGGAAACACTGCATGTAATATATTGTAATAATAATATTTCCCAATATTTGACCATTGATATGCCTTCTAAAGTGAGATACAATAGACTAATGGAATCCTGCTTCTGCCTCAAAATCATTGTTTAAATTGTAACAGCTCATTGAGACTTAACTTCCTCATGTGTAAGAATTACATAATTCATAAGGTTGTTATGAATATTAAAGTAGATCATTTAAATGAAAAATTCTGGTTTTATAAATAATTATTGATATATATTTTCAGTTTGGTAGAGAGAAGTGACAGGGTAAAGGGAACTGAAGGGAAAAATCCTTACGTTTTGGATGTCCTCCGAATCTCCATGTATTTTCTACCCAAAATACTCTCTAATAAATTCATCTCTCATTCCAAAACTCTGAAAAATTATTGTTTGTGATGCTAAATTGTTTTATGTGAGAATTATAAAGTGAAACAGTTATTTGTGTTGGTTACTATATCTACTAACACATATATGTAGATTTTGCATTTGTGTGTATGTATGTGTATTTTTTCTAATTACTTATGTAAAATCTATGAGAGCATTTTAGAGAAGAATGTTAGCTCAAAATGTTAAGTTTAATTGTCTGAAAATACGTTTACAAATATCTGCATTGCTAACCAAAAATGTTTGTAAAGGCAGTGGACCCAGAGAATGAAGAGGAATGATGGAGAGTCCTCCAATTCTAATGAGGGAGAACAGCATCCTAACCCCAGTTGTAGGTTTATAAACCTGGGATGTAGAATATAGGCTCCTGGATAGTATGTTATATATTGCAATAAAACCAAGTGAGAACTAAAGACCTTGAGCAATTAACTCTTAAGTGAAGAAGCTTTGGCAGCAATAATCACCTCTGAATTCCCCAAAGGACCCATTTGGCTGAATAACTACCCTAGAAAGCTTATCAGATTGCCCTGGTTTCTATAATAATATGCCGGGTATTATATATTTTGTCCATGAAACAGAATTGAACATTATATACTCTCTAAATCTTCGGACATATTTCTTCTTTTTTGTTACTTCTAAGTCAGTTGTCATGGTGTTTGTGGTGTGTATGTGTGTATGTGTACATGTGTGTTTTGCTTGTGTTTTTATAAGATATGGGATTTCTATTTGTGTAAAATGTCAGTGATGTTAGTGGGGAGATACACAAATTTGTGAAGTCTTTCACTTTTGTTCTCAGATCAACACTAAGTAATACTGGGGCAACCCTGTCTTTACAAATGATATGATTCTGATCCTAAATTTGTTTTTAAATTCAAACCCAACAAAAATAAATGCAATAGTAATAATAAGAGTAACAAAATGGGCTGTTATAATTTTACATTAATTTCTATCATTAGCATAATATTAATACATAACTTAAAATTAACTAGTGATTTTAAAACACTGGTTTTAGTAACGTCAAAAACCTTAAACATGCTGAGTTATGTTTACTAAACAGCTCAATAAACTGCTGCTGAAGCCATAGGATGTGGTAATCCTTATTATGGTTTATTGTACTAGAAACACCATAAGAGATAGTCTTATAAATGCTGTTGTGAAGGGTAACATACTGATAAGAAAATTACTGAATCGCTTAAATTTGAAACATTTTTGCAAAATGTTTTGATATTTTTTCACTAGAAATCAGGAACTGAGTAAAATCAAATGGAGAAACAAAAGTTACATTATAAGACATCCTGGAATATTAACATTGCTGACTTTGTTCATGCACCATCACTCAGGTAGTGAACAGAAACGTGCAGCCCTTAGCTATATTTTGCTTTGCTGAATATTTCAAACACCTGAAGGTAAAGTATTTTGAGTAAAGAACCACCTGGTTTGAGAATGAAAGATTGTAAAGCAGAAATTTAAAGCAACAGAGATTATAAAGTGAAAAAAAAAAAGAAAGAAAAAAGTCTCCTAGAAGACTACAAATTCCTGATAAATTGAAAGTAATTCAATTTACAGGGTTAGAAAATAGACTGTAAGTAAGGTGTTTGATATGTAGCTTGTAGGAAATTGGGAAACAACAGAAGCTAGGATGTAACTGCTTTTAGGAGTAGGTTCTCCAACCAGGGCTATTTTTTTTAGTGAGTGGTAGCAGGGGTGCAGGGATTTAAAAAGTGAAAGGGAGATGTTTTATGATGAATGGATAAACTATCCAGGTTGTCATCTCAAAATCAATTTTCTTGCTCAAAGTTAGAAATTATATACAACCTAGGAAAAAACATAATATTAATAATATTGCTATCAAGGACTATGAAGAGACTTACTTGCCAGCTTAAAAGGTATATTGCCATATTTTCATTATTTTCATGAGTGCTGGAAGGCACGGTACTTATGGGTCAGATACAGAAAAGAGTTTACTACTCACAGCATTCGTAGTACCCAGAATACCAATATTTCCTTGCACCTATTCTCCAAGCCCCAATTCCCACGAGAAAACAGAAAGGGCCAGATTATATCTGCATTCACAGTGTATTTGCATTGCAACTCAACAACCCCAATCTAAGGGAACCCAATCTTTATAATGAGCTTCCAGCAAGCCTGCTAAAGCTTTGCTCTACATGGAGACATTGTCTTTATTTTATAGACAGTAAAGAAATCTGCCCCTTTTTCAGGAGGGAGAATATATCTTCCAAGCCTGTTCACTCTACAAATATTCTTGAGAAACAGCAGTCTGGAAGAAAACTGTGTTTCTGCTCACAGATGTGTAGAAACAAGAGATCTTTGTTGAGTTGTCCCCCAGCATTAACATTTTACTGCATGTCTATCAGCATTATACAAATTTTATTTTCATTAACTGACTTTACCCTCAAGACAACTGAGGATCTCACCTCTCTGTGAGGTGGGAGCCTTCATCATCCTTTTAGTGAAGAGGAAAATAACGTGCAGAGAGAATATGTGTTTATCAATTGGTAAGTGCTAATCTGGCTCCAAACACATACTCTTTTTTTTTTTTTTTTTTTTTTTTTTGAGACGGAGTCTCACTCTGTCTCCCAGGTTGGAGTGCAGTGGCGCGATCTTGGCTCACTGCAAGCTCCACCTCCCAGGTTCACGCCATTCTCCTGCCTCAGCCTCCCAAGTTGCTGGGACTACAGGCGCCCGCCACCACGCCGGGCTAATTTTTTGTATTTTTAGTAGAGACGGGGTTTCAGCCAAACACATACTCTTAATATCGATGTGGTGGGAATGTTGTTGGAAGCAGCTTTGGGTAAGTTTATATATGTTCATATGTATCATATGTTATGCAAACATATATATGTTTGCACAAAGTATCAGGAAAATACACATCATGAGAGTCACTTTTTCCATATTTTTAGAGTGACAGATGTGTGAAACAAGGAAAAAATCAACAAACTTCTTATAAATCAGGATATCCGTGTGCTTTAAATATATTGGCCAATAATAAAATGCAAGATTGAAAATATCAGCAAGATGATGGGAATTTGGATTGACACATGGGGAAAGAGACATTTTAATGAGGAACGTATGACCAAGGAGAAAAAAAGAAAACAGATGGAGACCAACACAATTCCCACTCTTTGCCAGTTCCCACTAAGGGAATAATAGGAGTTATTAACAGAAAGACAGTGTAGTATGACAGTGTATTTGTTGTGATTTTTCATTTATACTCAAATTAATGATTAATCAGTTTCATATCTTTTTTAAACAAAATAACTTCAATATTTGTAACCAGATTTTTTGCTATATTTTAATAATAAAGATTCATTTAGTCACTTATAGTGCTAGCCAGTATGCTAGCTACTAGGGTATGCAGTGGTGAATAAGATAAAGCAGATGCAACTTGAATTTTAGAGGGGAAGAGTGACAATAAACAGATGACTGGAAAAGAAATATAATTTCAAATAATTAAAGTACTATGAAGAAAAATACAGCAAGGTAATGGAAAGTACAGTAAATAATTGATATTTTAAATAGTGTATTCATGAAAAGCCCACACAAGAGAATGCTTTTTGGCAACAATTTGATTAAAATGTCTTTCTAACATAGTTAAGTATTGAGTCGATTCAAGAAATGTAAGGGAAAAGTACCTATATTGGATGCACTATATAACCATTGCTACAAAATTGTGCTTTCATGGGTTATCTCTTTTAGAAATGATGCCAAGAAAACAGAGCAATCAGTGTGAAAATTGGTAGTAAAGATTGGGAATTATTGTTTTAACTGGAAATAAACTGTTTTTTTGTTGTTGTTGTTTTTTGTTTTTCCAGATAGCATGGATTATGTGATTGGTTAGTCTGGGATTGCTTAGTTTTGTTTTGTTCTAAGCCACAGATCCTACTCATGCATCTTCTGAGTTGCCTTGTCATTGCACATAAGGTCAAGTCCTTACAGCCCTTCCTTTTGTGCAGTGTCAGAATTGAATATCTCCTTAGCTGTAACATAGTCTATATACCCTGGGAAATACTGCTTCCTAAATGCCATACAACCTTCAGAAAACTTCTTAGCTCTCATTAGATGATGCAGAATAATAAGAATTATACCCAGACATATATCCCTTGATATGCATATGGCCCCGCAGCCTTGTGGAAAAGAACTTGAGTTCACTCTCAGTTGCGTTCCCACAGAAGTTGAGATGGCAGAGAAAAACAGTAGGGCGTCCTTAGTGAACACCGCAATGATTATGACAGAGTAGGCCAGACTGACCAAGAGGGCCTAGATATAAGTAAACCAAATTGGTATGAAGCTGGCCTAATCATCCTTTGGACCCAACCCACTATAGGGTTGTAGCATGATTTTTTTTTTAATAATGTTGCTCATTCCCTAATAGAACTATAGATTTATTTGTTTATTGCCTATTTTGCCCTTAGGACAGGAACTTTTTTTTTTATTATTGCATCTCTAATATTCAGCAAAACCTGGCAAAAGTAGACATTCAATTAATATCTGCTAAATACATTATTTAATTTTGTAAATTTTAATTTTTAATAAGTAAATCAATTTTAAACAATATTCTAATTTACCACTTTCTTTATAATTTCAACTTTTATTTTAGTTTCAGAGGTACATGTGCTGATTTGTTACATGAGTATATTGTGTGATGCTAAAATTTGGGGTATGAATGATGTCATTACCCAGTTAGTGAGCATAGTACCTACTAGGTAGTTTTTTAGCTCTTGCCTCTCTCCCTCTCTCCCTACTCTGGTAGTCCCCAATGTCTGTCATTCCATCTTTATGTCCATGTGTATCCAATGCTTAGCTTACACTTATGAGTAAGAACATGTGGTATTTGGTTTTCTGTTCCTGCATTAATTTGCTTAGGATAATGGTCTGCAGCTGCATTCATGTTGCTGCAAAGGACATGATTTCATTATTTCCTATACTACTGTGTAGTATTCCATGGTGTATATGCACCACATGTTATTTATTCAATCTACTGTTGATGAGCACGTAGATTGATTCCATGTCTTTGTTCTTAGGAATAGTGCTGTAATGAACATATGAGTATGTGTGTCTTTTTGGTAGAATGATTTGTTTTCTTTTGAGTATATATATATATATATATAGTAGTGGGAATGCTGAGTCGAATGACAGTTCTGTTTTAAGTTTTCTGAGATATCTCCAAACTGCTTTCTCCAGTGGCTGAGCTACTTTGCATTCCCACTAACAATGGATAAGAATTCCCTTTTCTTTTCAGCCTTGCCAGCATCTGTTATTTTTTGACTTTTTAGTAATAGCCATTCTGACTGGTATGAGATAGTATCTGATTGTGGTTTTGATTTGCATTTCTCTGGTGATTAATGATGTTGAGCATTTTTTTGTGTGATTATTAGCTGCTTGTATTTTTTTCTGTTAAGAAGTGTGTGTTCATGTCTTTTGCCCACTTTTTAATAGAGTTACTTTTGTGATTGTTGAATTGTTTAAGTTTACTTTTTTTTTTTTTTTTTTTTGAGACAGAGTTCCACTCTTGTTGTCCAGGCTGGAGTGCAGTGACATGACCTCGGCTCACTGCAACCTCGGCTTCCTGGGTTCAAGCGATTCTCCTACCTCAGCCTCTGGAGTAGCTGGGATTATACGCAGCCACCACCACGCCTGGCTAATTTTTTTTGTATTTTTAGTAGAGACAGGGTTTCACCATGTTGGCCAGGCTGGTCTTAAACTGCTGACCTCAGGTGATCTGCCCACCTTAGCCTCCCAAAGTTTTGGGATTACAGATGTGAGCTACCATGCCCAGCCTAAATGTCTAAGTTTCTTACAGATTCTGGGTATTTGACTTTTATCAGATGCATAGTTTGTGAATATATTTTCCCATTCTGTAGTTGTCTGCTTGCTCTGTTGAGAGTTTCTTTTGCTGTGTAGAAGCTCTTTAGTTTAAGTACATCCCTCTTGTCTATTTTTCATTTTGTTGCAGTTACTTTTGAGGACTTAGCATAAATTCTTTCCCAAGGAGTGCCCAGAATGATATTTCCTTTGTTTTTTCCTAGAATTCTTAGTTTGAGGTCTTACATTTAAATCTTTAATACATCTTATATTATCTACCTTTTTTATGATTAAATAAAATAAAATTGCAAACCTATTCTATTTCCTTTGCTCAAATAGGTTTAAAAATTGCTATAAAAAGGAAGAAAGGAATGATACCTAATTAAACTTAAGAGCTTCTGCATGGCAAAAGAAACTATAGACCAAGTAAACAGGCAATCTGCAGAATGGGAGAAAATTTTTGCAAACTATGCACCTGACAGAGTTCTAATATTCAGCATCAATAAGGAACTTAAACAAATTTACAAGAAAAAAAAGAACCCTGTTAAAAAGTGGGCAAAAGACGTGAACAGACACTTCTCAAAAGAAGACATACATGAGGCTAGCAAGCAATTAGACAAAAGCTCCGTATCACTGATCATTAAAGAAATGCAAATCAAAACCGCAGTGAGATACCATCTCACACCAGTCTGAAAGGCTATTATGAAAAAGTCAAAACAAAAAACAGATTCTGGTGAGATTGCAGAGAAAAGGGAACCCTTATACACTGTTGGTGGGAGTTTAAATTAGTTCAACCATTGTGGAAAGCAGTATGGCAATTCCTCAAAGATCTAAATGCAGAACTACCATTTGACCCAGCAATCCCATTACTGGGTATATACCCAAAGGAATATAAAGCATTCTATCACAAAGATACATGCATGTGAATGTTCACTGCAGCACTGTTCGTAGTAGCAAAGGCATGGAATCAACCTAAATGTCCATCAATGACAGACTGGATAAAGAAAATGTGGTACATATACACAATGGAATATTACGCAGCCATAAAAAAGAATGAGCTCATGTCTTTTGTGAGAACATGAATGGAGCTAGAGGCCATCATCCTTAGCAAATGAATGCAGGAACAAAAGCAAATGCAGCATGTTCTCACTTGTAAGTGGGATCTAAGTGATAAAAACTTTTGAACGCAAAGAAGGAAAAAAAAGACACTGGGGTCTACTTCACTGGGGAGGGCAGGAGGATGGAGGGCGGGGGCAGAAAAAATAATTGGGTACTGGGCTGAATACCTGGGTGATGTAATGTTATGTACAATAAACCCCCGTGACACATTTTTATCTATGTAACAAACCTTGACATATACCCCCCAAACCTAAAATAAATTTTTGTTTTAAAAAAAGGAAGCAAGGAGGCATAACAAAACAAAACAAGAATAATTCAGTGATAGAAGCACAAGCTTAAGAGAAACTAAGAATGATAAGCAAAATCAAATTCAAATGACTGTTGGTACAAATTTGAAATTGGAAAACATGTCACAAAATGGCATTATACAGTAGTAATTGAGGAAAAAGTGAGTATATGAACGCATTTTTATTTTCAAATACTGGTGGTAGAATCACTTACTTTTCTTTTACCCATTATCTCCTGGATTCCTATCAAATACAGAAAAGTCAGGGCACCATTACTTTAATGGTCTAGATATAAAGGATTTGGGTTATAATATTGACTTTGGAGCTAGGCAAAGTTGGTTTTGAATTCTGACTCTGACACTTTCTTGCTGATGACTTTGGACAGTAAACTTAAATTCTCTATGCCTCAGATTTCATGGTATTAAAATAATGATAGCAATAGCTAACTTACAATGTTACCAGCATGGCACATGTATACATATGTAACTAACCTGCACAATGTGCACATGTACCCTAAAACTTAAAGTATAATAAAAACAAACAAACAAACAAACAACAAAAAAAAGAGTCCTTATTATATTCTAAACAGTGAATGATTACATTTGTGATTTTCAAATATTTTCTCCCATTCCCCATATTGCCTTTTTACTCTAATAATGCCTTTTGATGAACAGTGGTTTTTAATATTTATAAAGTCCAATTTATTTTTTCTTTTGTTGCTTGTGCTTTGTCTGTAATATCTGAGAAAATTTTGCCTAGTTCAGGTCATGAAGTTTTACACCTATGTTTCTTTGCAAGAGTTTTATAGTTTTAGCTCTTACATTTAGGTCTTCGATCCATTTTGAGTTAAGTCTTTGTGAATACTATGAAGAGGGAGTCTAATTTAACTCTTATACATGTCAATATCCTGATGTTCTTGCAATATTTATTGAAAAATTATTCTTTCCCTGTAACCTTGTTGAAAATAAACTGACCTTAGACATATATGTTTATGTCTAGATTTTCACTTTTATAACTTTGATCTAAATTTCTGTCCCTAAGCCATTACCACGCTATCTTGATTACTGTAGCTGTGCGTTAAGCTTTGAAATTGGAAAGTATGTGTCCACCAACTTTGCTCTTTTTCGTAATTTTTGCCCATTTTTGGCACCTTGTATTTCCATGGAATTTTAAGATCAGATTTTCCTTTTCTGCAATAAAATGGTAGTTGGAATTTTAATAAGAATGGTGTTGAATGTGTAGATAAATTTGGGTAGTATTTTTACTAACTTAGTGATATTAAATCTTCCAGTCAATGAACAAGAGATGACTTTCCATCTATTTAGGCTTTCTTTAGTTTCTTTCAGGCAAATGTAATACAGCCTCATCTTTGCCCTGCTCTCACCCATTACAAAACCTTGCACAAGTGTTAATGTTCTTGGAATCGTATTCCTTACCCTCTTCTCGTAGTGCCTGTGGAAACTTCTTATATCAGCTTGCTTTCCTACTTTTAAGTAGCCTTCCCTGACCATTCTGACTAGTTCATCTCTCCCTATGAAAGAATTTCATAAGCACATCTCTTATTTGTAACACTCAGTATACTGATTTAAAATATGTAATTAGTATATTTTTCTACTTTGGACTGTAGGCAACATGAAGGTAATAATTGGGTCTACTTTTTTGCCCCATATCTACTTTCTTTGGGAAATGCTCTATTCCTGTTTCACCAAAATTTATTGGCACTTCAATAAAGGAAACTGCCTCTCATAGACATAGTCTTGTGATACATCATGGACTTTGTGGACTAGCAAATTGCTATTTCCTTGACTATAGTGAATGAAAGTTCATTTTGTACATATGATCCAAGCTGTGCTCATTAACATCTTTTTGTCAACAGGAAGTTTAGGTCCTGAAAAGGAAAGGTACTTTTCTAAGATAGTAAAAACTGTGGAAAGCTGGACTTTTCAAATGTATTGTTTGTTTACAATGAAAGATCTCTCTGATAAGGTACTTAACATAGAAAACACAAAACAGAGTGATGCACAGACATAATCTTGAGAACGTTGTTTCAATATTTGTTTAGCTAGCTCTACATTTTTGACATGTGAGTTAAGGAGTCAGTACATTCTTTTATTTTATTTTTTGTCTTAAGGTGCGTTGAATAGAGCATTTTTACTTGAAACTAAGAAAGCTAAGTGATATAGCTGTTTACCAGGTATATCCTCCTGAATCTGAATTTTGAAGATGTCTCTATAATGTTATCTTCTTCCCAGTCTTTTTCATCTTGTTTGCTCTGTATTCATGTATGACTGACTCTATCATTAACTGTTTCCCCTTTATTCTTTTTTCTTTACCTTTTTTGGAAATGATTAGGATTCCTTTAAAAGAAAAGATAAATTCATTACTTAGGAAAATAATCAAGAAGTGTTCAGTGTAAATCTTTCCATAGTTATAACAACGTTAACAGCCTCATTGACTGAGTATGTACAATTCACAAGGAATGCAGTTAGACACTTTACACCCACCATTACTTCATCTAATCATCATGATAAAATCTGCAAGGTTTGTATTAATGAAATAGTTGCTGACATTTTACAGAGAAACAATGTGAAACTCATACAGATTACAAAATATTGGAAAGTTTTCCTGTTTATTAAATCACAAAGTAAAGATTCAAACCAGGTCAGTCTTATTCCAAAGGCAATGTTACTCCCATTAGGCTCTGCTACTGATGCGAAAGTTACAATAGTCTGGAAATAGTGGTATTTTATGAAGAGCATTTAACATTGCACAGATTAAAAGTACAGTTCTTTAAAACACTGAATGTCTTCACAGACAATGTTGTGAGATTTAGCCAAGATGGAGAAAAGGGCAGTTTTTCCATGCTGCTTATATTGAGTATTAAATGGAGATATGGCTATGAATATGGTGTAAAGGATTTCTCATTAAAACAGAATTTGTCATATCTACATCTGCATAGAAATTTTGGGTGAATTATATACCATATGAGTACTAACCTCACAATGCAGAGTAGGATAATTTAATACTTGCTAAATAGAATTTTGTCTATGCTAGGATTTTTCCAATGAGCATTACTGAATCCAACAAAACTATCTCTATTCTATATTTGTGTATATTGAATATGATAAAAACAAATAAAAAGGATAGCTGTTTATATTCCAGTAGTGACTCCTCCAAAGAAAGCATATCAATCACATATAATTAAGCTGTCAGTTCCTAATTTAGGAAAAACTATTCCATTCTAAACTGGGAAATGTAAATATCAAAATAAAGGAAGTTTTAGAAAATAAAACATAATTCAACTACCTTCTATTTCTATTGTCACTCTGATATTAGGGTTACTATTGTCTTTATTTTCTATGCATAATAAATGGATATTTTATTTGCTACAAGAATCAGCATGTTTCAAGCAAAACATTTTACACTGAATCTGGATTGGAATTATGCACTTACCTGAAAAGGTTTATGAATTCCCCCCGGTATAAATATAAATTTGATCCTTGAAGGAAAATTTATAGTTAATCTTAGTCATGTCCTTGAGCTGTCTTCTGGTACATAGGGATGAACTAAGCAAATGAAAGGCATATGTACATGTATAAAGTTTGACATGGGACTTATTGGAGTCCTCAGATTTATGGGATAACTTTTATTGGGCTATTTTCCATTTACAGCTCTGAGATAAAGCATTTAGTCCATATAAGGTTAGTAATTAGCCCTCACAAGACTATTTATGTCACCCACACCTAAAATGACAGAAACAGTCAAGGAACTTTATTAAAGATCTTCTCATGAATACATGTCATAAAGTTTAGGAACATTAAAAATGTTTTTTTCTCAGTGATTACTTTTTATATATTCATTAATTTATTTTGGGCATTATTTACTGATAAAGGAAGACAGCCAAGGCAAATGTTCATTTTTTTACATGAAGAGAATAATATAATATTGCCCAATATGTTTTAACCTATAATCTAGAAAGAGGCAAGATGAAAGAGATGCAAATATCACTAAAATATACAGATTTCTCTATAAAAATGAACATGTATTAATGGGCACATCAATAATAACTGTAATTTTTTTATCTCTGTATTCCATTTTGCTTGTTGGAAAAATACAAGGATTCAAGGCAGGTGGAAGGCAATTTATGGAAGGTTGAAGCACAGCCATTTGTTAAGAGCAAAATAGCCAGAACTCTGAATGATCTTGATGAAGAAGGGAAAGTTTAAGTAGGAGTAAAAGGACACAATGAAGAACTCTGTGAAAGACACTGAAAAATTATGACATTTTATTCCTTCTCACAAGTGTCTTTCCCCTTCAAAGAGAAGGAAATGCCCTGAAAATTCTGAAATAATGGTGACGTGATAGAGATTAGGCGGAAATGAAGTCTGTCTGTGACCTTTCAATATTGTAGAAACTGAGGCTAAGTATTTTTATATTGTGTATAATTTCCTTCAGTAGCAGTGGGACTAAGAAAACATAATAAATTGTGATAAATTTATATGGTATATAAGTATACTAATCCTGCAGGGGAATATGAAAGAAAGGCTATGAGTCCAGTACTTTCTAACTGGTTTCGTTTTGTAAGAAATCATTTTTTCTATAAATTGGTAAGTCTTGACCACCAGGAAAAAGAATTTTCCAGCCTTTACAAGTTTCATTTCAACTGTCTAACCATGGATAGAGTTGTGGGGAGAGGGAAACATAAAGAAAACCCCTGATCTTTCTCCTTCAAAACATGTAGCATTGATTGATAGTTGTTTTAGAGAAGAAAGTATCCCATCATTACTGTATGACACTTTCTAGGACAACATTTTTATGACAAAAATTCATCTGGTGGGCATATAAAAATAATGATGGGAGAAATCTGTGCATGGCATAAAGATGCAAGTGTCTTCATAAATCTATGCAAAGTATAAGTATGTTTGAACAGTAATGAAAGAAGCAAGGTACTTTCAGAAATAAGGTCTTGTACTCATATTTCTAAATCTAAGTTTGATCATCTTTAGAAAGCTGTCTGAGCATTGAATTTTTTTTATAGTTTTGCGTTCATGAGTACAAACACTTATTTATATATTTTATTTTATTCAGGACATACTTATTTGAACGTTAACTGTATGTTAGAAAAAGTGGAAGATTTAAAAAAGTCTGAATTCCTGCTATCAAAAACTTTAGTAGTAATGAAGACAAAGACACATACTCAAGTAATTATAGAATAACTTATTACCTCTTTTTTTTTTTTTTTTTTTTTTTTGTGATGGAGTCTTGTTCTGTTGCCCAGGCTGGAGTGCAGTGGCAGGATCTCGGCTCACTGCAAGTTCCGCCTCCCAGGTTCACGCCATTCTCCTGCCTCAGCCTCTGGAGTAGCTGGGACTACAGGCGCCCACCACCACGCCCGACTAATTTTTTTTTGTTTTTTAGTAGAGACGGGTTTTCACCGTGTTAGCCAGGATGGTCTCAATCTCCTGACCTTGTGATCCACCTGCCTCGGCCTCCCAAAGTGCTGGGATTATAGGCGTGAGTCACCACGCCCGGCCAACGTATTACCTCTTAAGTGTCATAAGATGTCAAAGTATTATGAGTTTAGGTTTGTGGTTCTTAAAAGAGCAGAGTGTGTTGGGATGAAGAAAGTCAGGGAGAAAGACTGGACATGAGTAATTAAGAAAATATATAGACATTTATGTAAATTTTTAACCTGGCCTCCTTTTTTTCACACTGTACATGTAGTATTGTGTTTTCAAAATTTTGATTGTGAAGTAGGGCATATAAGTGTGTAGAGACTGTATAAAAATAATATGGAGTGATGAAAAACTAGAGTGGTCAAATTCAAATTCAATCTCAAAAAGAACAGTTTTAGGTTTATAAAAGACATTCTTTGTTCAAACACAAGTCTTTTGACCACATTTGACCCAGTGTTCAACATTTTGTGACTTTATATCCTCTTTAGAGATCTCATTCCCTCACCATTTGATTGATATGTATATTTTCTAATTCTAATATATTGTTATGGAAAACACAGTTATTGACACGTACTCTGTATTAGCTTCTGTGGAAGACATCAAACACAGCAGAGGTCAAGCAGATATAGTCCCTGTACTTTCGGAGTTTGAAACCTAGCTGTGACAGATAATAAATGAGTAAACTAAAAAATAATCATTACAAATGGTGATACATGTTATTAAGGGAATCAAGATGATGCAATGATAGAATATAATAAGGCAGTACCTAATTAGGAAGTGTGGTCAGAAAAGCTCTTAGGCTGAGATAAAATATAGGAAAAGATGTCTGCCATGTGGCTGCTTATTGGCTGAGTTTGAGGTTGAGGCTATTGATGTTCTAGTCAGAAGCAACCACCTGGGTAACTCTATGAGAAATAAAAGAGCTGGGCTTCTTTGAGAACTGAATGGAAGGCTGTATTGGGACCATATCATTTAAGGTGCAATAAGAAGCCATTGAATGTAAAAAACCACCCTGTACTCTATGAAAGTTATTTTTTTGCCCACTGATAATAGTTTGGTTCACTTGACTTAAAATATAGCTTTATTTTCAAATATTTAAAACATAAAATAATATAAAAAATCATTTCAACTCCCAGTTGATTCCTCTTTCCACCTCATTGCTAGGATGGTGTAGGCTGTTTGAGGCTATCTGAGGTCCTACAGTAAAAAGTGGAGTATGGTAGGCAGAATACTAAGATGGCCTGTCAAGGTTTCTCGACCATGTCATTCATTAAAACATTAATCTAGGTGCTGTTGTGAAGAGATTTTGTTGATTTAAATGAAGTCCCAGCTTGGTAGATTTTAAGACTGAGAGATTATCTCAGTGGATTTGACTTAATCTCTTGAACCACTTTCTAAAAAGAGTTTTAGTTGGCTAGTTGCAGAAAAGAAAATCAGAGTTTCAAAGCTTTAAGGGGATTCAATGTGCCACTGATGACTTGTAGATGGAGGGGTACATATGAAAAGGGCTTCAGAGTGGCCTCCAGGAGTTAGGAGCAACCACCAGTCAACAGCCAGCCAGAAACAGAGGTCTTGGTCATCTAAGCACAAGAAATTGTATTCTGCCAACAAGAAGATTTAGCTGACCATGAGAATGATTTTTTTCCTAGAGCTTCCAGATGAGGACTCAGTCATCAGACACCCAGATTATAGCCCTGTGGTACCCTAGTTAAAGAACTAAGCTATTCCATGTCAGAGTTTTGACCAACAGTACTATAGGCTAATAAATAGGTGTGACTGTAGGCTGTTAAGTTTGTGTCCATTTGCTATGAAGCAATAGAAAACAGGCAGCATGCTCTGTTTTTTCTACTCTTGCATCACCTTGGTCTTTCTGTTCTCCTCCATTCATTAATAAATTGCTTCTGGTTCCTCTAGGTACTAGGCTGTGGGTAGGGGAAGGTAGGAAGGTTGAGAAGAAAGTTGGGGTGTTTTTAAAATGACTTAAGTTCAGCTGTCTTCCGAGTTCATGGGAAAATAAGCCATTCTTTTTCTGCCAAACGGTGGTATTAAGGCTTGCAGGATGAAATATTTTGCTTCTGACTTCTCCAGCTGAGAAGCAGGCATAATTTTCTGTGATTATTAATATTGCAAACTCTAGAAAATGCAAGCTAGCCTTCCCAGAAATTTTCTCACTGTTCTACACTCCAATTGCCCTAAGGGAAATAGAGGGTGAAGACTGTCTTTCCTTCTCAGAGGCACTCCCAATTTCTATGCGTGATTCTCTTGGGTCACCCTCATGTCACCAGGGAATGAAATATTCCCCATCTTACTCCATGCAGAAAGGAGGAGAAAAGCCAGGACATGTTCTGTATTCCTATGTATTCCCATTAACCACTAGCTTTCTCTTACATATGTTCATTAGGGGATGAACAAGAATATTGGAAAGATTGGTAAAATCTTGTAGGGACATTTCTAGATGATTTCTATGATTGTTTGGGATATTTGCAATCTGTCCTTAGTTTTGATTCCTCTGTGAATTGAGGTAAAATTCCCATTTAAAATCCTGTTGCAAATTCTACTTTGCGAAAGTAAAAACCACCACCCTGTGCTCTATGAAAGTTCCTTTCTTGCCTACTGATAATAGTTTGGTTCTCTCGAGTTAAAATATAGCTTTATTTTCAGATATTTAAAATATCTGCTTTTTATTTTCTAAAAATCACTCTAACTACTTGGTGGAGAGTAGACTGCAGGAGGATGAAATTGGACCCTGCAATACAGATACACTTGAGGTAATCTAGACCTTCCATTAAATGGGTGATCCATGGAATGGCAGGATCAATGTCATCTGGAAGCCTGTAAGAAAAGATGAGTCTCTGGTCTTTCTTCAGACCTACTAAAGTAGAATGTACACTTTAACAAGATCCCCAGGTAATTTGTATGCTTACTAGAAATTGTGAAGGACTTCTCTAGGTGAGATTTGATGCTTGCTTATCTAGGGTGATGTGTGTGGAAATGGGGATAAGGGAATGGATACAAGATATATTTTTGAGATACAAATGACAGAATTTTAGGATGACTTGATGTCAGAAATAAGGAAAAGGAAGAAATCCAGCATGATAAGTTAGGTTTCTAGCTTGAGTAACATAGTGGTGGTTTATGAAGTTTGGGAGAGGAATATGCTTGATACAAAAAAAAAAAAAAAGCAACAAAGGTTCCAATTTGACCACATAATTATCAGGAGAATATATATATATATATATATATATATATATATACACACACATCTATATATCTACATCTCTCTCTCTCTCTCTCTCTCTCTCTGTGTGTGTGTGTGTGTGTGTGTGTGTGTGTGTGTGTGTGTATGTGTATATATATATATATATATATGTTTTTTGAGATGGAGTTTTGCTTTTGTTGCCCAAGCTGGAGTGCAGTGGCGCGATCTTGGCTCACTGCAACTTTTGACTCCCTGATTCAAGCGATTCTCCTGCCTCAGCCTCCTGAGTAGCTAGGATTACAGACGCGTGCCACCACATCCAGCTAATTTTTGTATTTTTTAAGTAGAGACAGTGTTTCACCATGTTCGCCAGGGTGGTCTTGATCTCCTGACCTCGTGATCTGCCCGCCTTGACCTCCCAAAATGCTGGGATTACAGGCATGAGCCACCACGCCCAGCCGAGAATATTTTAATAGTTATAATCCAGAGTCGTGCTTGCCTCTTATTCCTATTGTCCCTTTTCTGTTTCTACTCCATTCTAACTCCTTAGTTGAAAAACTATAATCAGTCTAGTCAGTAGCAATCTAGAGTAGATAATTTCTGTGGTTTTAAAAGGACAGAAATTACAAGGGCCCTTTCCCTGAAAATGTCTGCTTCTTTTATTTTCTTCTTATTGCCAATTCTATCCTGATAGTCAAAATTTAGTTAATATTAAATCTTTCTTCAATTGATTTTTCTACCTATTGTGAAATACAATTATCACCAAAATATGATAAAACTGTTTCAGATCCTCAATTAAGTATTAGAATTTTAAAAGAAAAATAACCAATAGCTTATTCAGAAAAAGAAAAGAAAAACAAAAAAATGCAAAAAAACCTCTTCTGTGTCTAACAATATTTTGCACAGCTTTCAAAATCAATGGTGATAATACAAAATCAGGCGTATTTTTGAAAGGGTTAGTAGGTAATTTGTGAATACCCATTGGTGGATGTGAGTAATCATCTTTTATTGGAATATATTAGACTGTACATCTTTTTAATTGCTATGTGTTTTCTGGCTTCCTGGTCAACAAAGAAGAGACACTAATCTAACATCTAAAGAACACAATACTTCATCATTGCCAGGGCAACGTCATTGGGAGTAAATCCCGAGGCAGAGCATCATAAGGATGTTGTAATTTTCATGGTGGTTATGGGGCAATTAAAGAAATGATTTTCTAAGGTGGGCCACAAGAAAACTGCTATTACATACTCTTTTTGATGTACACTATTTTATTAATACTCTGTATTTAGTGAGATTTTCTCTATGGGGCTTTTCCCCCCTTGTTTTTAGCTGCATGAAAAATAAATAACATGGGTGGGAAAATTTTCTCAAACAAAATGGCCATAGTTTTTTTTTAATTTAAAAATAATCCCTAATAAAAATAAATTTTAGGCCTAGTGCTAAATACTGAAGTATCCAGCATTTATATTTCAATTTAAAGATGAGGAAATAAAGGTAAAAAGGGGCTAAATAACTCACTCAAATTCAGTCCATAAGTAAGTAGTATAGGTGGAATTTAAACACAAGTAGTAGGGCTCCTAAATCGTATTCTTAACCTTATGTTAAAGATACTGGAACTGTATAGGGAGGAAAAAACACACACACCCCGTTCTCCCCACCAACAACAAAGAAGGAGAAGGTATTATGTTATTTCACTGATGTCACAAAAATTTGTTCTCTCTTTTCAAATTGTAAAGAGTGATTTTTATATCACATTGGATAAATTTCCATGATTATATGTCTATCAATCTCTCTCCTTTGCAAGAAACATGTAAACACATGGAGTTGCATGCTTTGAATTATATAGGCTGACTCTGAGTGTACTGCCTATGAGTTAGCTCTGCTCCATAAGGAGTAGTAATAAAAATAAATAAATAAGTAAGATAACTGAGCATCTTTGATCATGATTTAATAATTGCAAATAATACTTATAGCCATTTCCCTGGAATTTTATCTCTTGATTAGAGATAATAAAAATCTTCACAATTATCTTTATTGAATAATTTTTACTAGGATAATTTGCTGGTGTTGGGATAGCATTAGGAAGACATAGTAATCTTTAATAGAGTTTATGACAATTTTTATTTTTTCTAATTAACATTTTGTTTACTAGAATTCCAAAAGGCACAAAGTACAGCTGGCTTATTGATATTAGACAAATCTATTTCCCCAAATATTTACTAAACCTGAGTGCTGGTTTTCTCCTCCAATCGCTTTCTAAATATGTTGTGCTTCTAAATAGGGTCTCTATTAGCCCTTTCACTGGGCAAATTCTTTACTCTGCATAGCTCTCATACATATTTCAGGGCATTTAGTGTCTGTGTCCCCTGGTCATTGCAAGCCGGTGATAACCAAAACTTCCCCTACATTTCCAAATCACCCTGATTGAGAACAATGGAAAAAATTAGGGGGAAACAATAAGTAAACATTCCTACCACGTATTTGTCCTCTCCTCTCCTTCTCTTGATGCACAACAGACCAATTTTATCACCCAATAGGAGGCACTTAAAAAAGGAGAGTTTCATTAGGTATGGTATAATGGGGAAAACAATGAAGGAAAGCAAGTGATACAACCTCCTCTCAGGAAAATCACTCATCATCCAGACATTCTCCCTCGTGACGGGTGTGGCTAGAAAGGAGCAGCTCATTAATGGCCATTTTTGGGACATGACTTGATGGCTAATGTTCTATTCCAGCAGTTTGTTTTTACAATTGAATGTCATAGAAAAGGTGTACTGTCTTAGAGTCTTATCCAAATAAACAAGTTGTACAACTCTATCACTGCTTCTTGCCAAGGCTTCAGTCCTATCATAGTCCTCTTAGCATGTTTCTTTGTGTCACATTTCTTGTGTCCATCACAGCTATGTCTGGTGGTCACAGCTAACTCTACCCTAGGATTTGGAAGCTCTTTCTTGTTAATTGATTTTCTTCACCATAATTAGAGCATAGCAATACTTAGGAATGTAAATATTTATATTTGCACTCTGAGGAGTATAAAATTATCTCTAATTCAATGTCTATTTAAAACCCAAACCTCAAAACATTCTGTACATTAGCTAATCTAATCTGATCTTAAACTTAATGTAATTCACAATTTGACATTCCTTAATGTGAAATCATCACGTATAGAGCATTTAATGCAATTATTGTCTGCATAGTTCATATTAATAATAGGACAAGTTTGTGAAATGTTTATTATATTTAATAGTTATTGGAAGTTACTTAAGTTTTCATATATTACAAGTTCTTAGAAATCAGGAACTTTGCTTTATTCCTCCTTGGATGAATAAAGCCCTGGAGCAAGGCTGGGAAGAGAGGATGCTCCAAACAAATTTTTCATTTGCAATATTTGTATTTCCCGTCAGTTTTCAGACATAATATGCAAGAACAATCTTCTGTGAAATCACTTCACTCCTTTGCACTGATCTGAAGCCAATTATTAAGACATCTGTGCTCAATGTCAATAAGATGTACAGCATTGTGATTTACCAGCTAACTTCATTACTGGCTTTGGCACTGTCAGTTTTTTAACAAACTGCTAACGGATAAAGTAATAAGAGTACTAGAAAACATATTGCCTGTAGGAGCTGTTGTTATTGAGGGCAAAAGGGTAGAGAGTGTATACATTTCTCAGAAATATGAATAATTAAAGATTCCTTTAAATTAGAGTCACCTTGCAGCTGAAGCCACATCTTACAAGAAACAAAAAGTTTTGCTATGGCTTCTATTTGATAGCTTTGTTATGCAACTGTATCATAAGTACTATGCCAATTTAAGTGTTTAAAATGTATTTATTGTGATGAGTTGACATGTGGTCATTTTTCAATTACATTAATTCATTTATATTACTGATAATGATAATGACAACAAAACTTCATCTTTTATGTCTAAATCAACTAAATATCTAACTACTTTAGAAAGTGCTTACTTAAAAACCAGTATCATTAGTTTGCATGAGAGTACTTTTTTGTTAATATTGCCTCATTATTTTAATTTTTAAAGAATGAAAACAATTTCCTGAATATTGAGTAAATAAAATGAAATTTATATTACTGTCTACTAGCACTTGCTGCTTAAGCAAAATTATGAACACATTAGAAAGGCCAAAAGGCACTGGTTGTCATTATGAAAGCATATGCTTTGGCTCTAAGGTATACTAAAAAATAGTTCCTTTTCTTGGGCCTTTTTCTTTGGCTTATGTGTTCTATTTTTATCTATTTCCACATATCAAAACTACCCTTTCAGGTGTTATATCTGCTCAGAGTCCTTCTCCCTTAGCAGACTAATGTAATAAACATTTGCATTATTTAAGAGTTTCACATGTAAATCCATTATCCCATTTCAGAAACCATATTTACTCTATCAGAAAGGCTTATTAGAAGTCTAACTATTTGCTCTCACTTTCCTGGGACACTAAAGTAGATTTTAGGAAACACTAAGGTCTTGGCATGCTCAATTCCTCTTATGATGGAAGTGACCAGGTCAGGGTCCCTTCCACAAGTGGCCAGGCTTTCTGTCATCTGATTGGGCTACCATGGCATGATGTATTGTACTGGGGATATGCACCATAGCAAAGACATTTCTATGCTAGCTTGAAACAAGATCATTGCCCAATAGTGTTGTCTCAAACTAGAGAATTACCTACTGATCCATTTAGATTGTATCTCCTGGGGAGATTGAATATGAAGCAGAGAGAAAAAGAGGAAATCATAGTAGAAGATAGTAGATGGGAATACGGTAGGCATAGAGGCCAAAAAGTGTAAAGGAGAAGAGTGACTTATTGTGTTATAGAGTCCCTAGATAGGGTGCATTAGATGCTCTCTGTTGAGGGAAAGACAAGCTGAGAAGTTCAACCGGCTGATATTCGTGCTGCAGAGCCACTGCTGCATCCTGAATGGCAAAGTGTACTTATCAAATTTTTCTGCTGAAACACTTTCTCAAATTCCCTCTTTCATGTAGCTTTACAAGTAAAACTTCCTTATATGAGGTAACCTCTACATCTCTATTCTACTATAATCTGTAAAATCTAAACTAATGAAATTTCTCCACGTGCTCCTTTCACCATTGCACAAGATTTTATAGCATTATTCTTGCAAATGCAGGTGATTTCATGCAGAGCTCAGTGGAGTCTCTCTAGATAACTCTGGTTGCCACTACTCATTTCATCTATATCACAGGTACCCTCTAATTTGTAGTTCCAAAGTCCTGGTACTTTGGATTGAGAATTGTGTTTGTTTTAACTCAGTCTTTTTTCTTTCTTTATTTCTTTTATTATACTTTAAGTTTGGGATACATGTGCAGAACATGCAGGTTTGTTACATAGTTGTACATGTGCATGGTGCTTTGCTGCACCCATCAACCCATTATCTAGATTTTAAGCCCTGCATGCATTAGGTATTTGTCCAAAGCTCTGCCTCCCCTTGCCCCCCTCCCCCCGACAGGCCCCGGTGTGTGATGTTCCCCTCCCTGTGTCCATGTGTTCTCATTGTTCAATTCCCAATTATGAGTGAGAACATGTGGTGTTTGCTTTTCTATTTCTGTGTTAGTTTGCTGAGAATGGTGGTTTCCAGCTTCATCCATGTGCCTGAAAAGGACATGAACTCATTCTTTTTTATTGCTTCATAATATTTCATGATGTATATGTGCCACATTTTCTTTATCCAGTCTATTATTGATGGACATTTGGGTTGGTTCCAAGTCTTTGCTATTGTGAATAGTGCTGCAATAAACATATGTGTGCATGGGTCTTTATAGTAGA
Source organism: Homo sapiens (assembly GCF_000001405.40). NCBI lineage: Eukaryota > Metazoa > Chordata > Mammalia > Primates > Hominidae > Homo > Homo sapiens. The sequence goes on from NC_000001.11 coordinate 72,353,811, forward strand.
ATGATTTATAATCCTTTGGGTAAATACCCAGTAATGGGATTGCTGAGTCAAATGGTATCTCTGGTTCTAGATCCTTGAGGAACTAGAACATGTAATTTCTAATTTAAATTATAATCTATAGAAGAACTATCCCAGCAGGATAATGGACTTTTCTAGGCCCATTTTCACTATGTGTCGGGTGCCTTAAAATATATAGTTTCAAAGTCTTAGAGATTTTTATTGAGAATTTGTAAACTTCAAAATGCCAAGCTTCTTTATCTTATATAAATATATATGTATAGAGAATATATAAATCTGGAATATGTTATACTTGTTTATAATGATGATCTTAAAACAATTCTGAAGTACATGGTGATGAATATACTTAAAATAACTTGTGAATATATTTTATAAGTTTATTGAGGAATAAGTGGCATACAATAAAATGCATATATTTCAAGTATAAAATTTAATAATTTTTTATACAGGCATATAACTATGAGTCCAGAACTACATCTAAAAAATGAACATACCTATCACTTCCAAATTTCCTTCTGCTGTACCATCTCTCTCTCCTTCTCCTCCCATCCCCAAGCATACACTAATCTGCTTTCTTGACACTACAGATTACTTAGAATTTTATCTAAATAAAATTTGTACATTTTGTCTATTTTCTTTTACTTGAAATAATTATATTAAGGTTTATCCATGTTGTATCAATAGTTCATTACATTTATTAATTTTTTATTACTTTTATTGCTGAGTAGTATTGCATTATATGACTTGTTTATCCCCTCACTTGTTGGCATTTGGGTTGTTACCACTTCTTTTTAGTAAGCAGCTATTAACAGTCATATATGTCAATTGTAAGAACATATCTCTTATTTATCTTGAGCAACAGCTAGGAGAAGAATGAATGGGTCATATAGTAGTTACATGGTTTTCACATTTATTTACTTACAAAAATGCCAAGCTGATTCCCAGTCACTTTGGGGTTCTAGTTCTTCTGTTTCCTCATGCACATGTAGTATGGTCAGCCTATTTTTTTTTTTAATTTTAGCTATTCTAATATGTATGTAGTAATGTTTCACTGTGTTTATTTTATTTAACAAATACCCAGGCTGGGCATGGTGGCTCACTCCTGTAATCCCAGCACTTTGGGAGGGCAAGGTGGGAGGATTGCTTGAGGCAAAGAGTTCTAGACCAGTCTGGGGAACATAGCAAGACACCATCTGTGCAAAAAGTAAAAAATAAAAGATTAGCTAGGTATGGTGCTGTGCACCTGTAGCCCTAGCTATTCAGGAGTCGGAAGGTGGAAGGATTACTTGAGCCTAGGAGTTCAAGGTTGTGGTGAGCTATAATCACACTATTGTACTACAGCCTGGGCAAGAGTGAAACCCTGTCTCTAAAAAACAAAGAAACAAACAACAACAACAACAAACTAATCAAGTTGCATGACTCTTTCTGAGCTCAGTTATTATCTACCTTTGTATCTTTCTGTTTTTATTGTTGTTGAGGTACCTGTTTACATCTTGCAGTCACTTTTTAAAAATGGGTTTGTTTGTTTTATTATTGGATTTTGTGGTACTATATATTCTAGATAAAAGTAATGTATTATTATTTTAGTTATAAATATTTTCCCAGTCTGTGACTGCTCTTTTCATTCTCCTAACATTATTTTTAAAGAGCAGAAGTTTTTAATTTGATGATGTCAAAGTTATTTTTTTTGCATTTTATGGATTATGATTTGTCATATTTTTAAAATCCTCTATAACTTGAAATCATAAATGTTCTTCTATACTTATTCAATAATTCTCCAAGTTTTCAATTTTATACTAAAGTTGGTGTTCTATTTCATATATTTTTGTATGATGTGGTATGTATGTTACTTTTTGTGTAAGTATCCAATTGTTGAAATGACTATCAATTCTCTGTTGAATTGCCAGCACCTTTGTCAAGTATCAACTGTCTATATGTGTTTAGGTCAATTTCTTAACTCTTCATATTCTTCTTTTGATTTAATTGTCATACCCAATGAGACACCACACATTCTTGCTTACAGTATCTTCATAGGAAGACCTGAAATAGGAAGTATTCATTTTGCCTTTCCAAAATTATACTTTGTATTTTGATATGCATTTTAGGAATAGTTTTAACTTTCTACAAAGTGATGCCTGCTGCATTTTAGATTGGAATTGCGTTAAATCTATAGATCAATTTGAAGAAAATTGACATCTTAAAAATATTCAATATTCTGACCTTTAAGCCAACTGTATCTCTCTATAAGGTTGTCTTAGTCTGTTTCTGCTGACATAACAAAATACTACAGACTAATTTATAAAGAACATAAATATATTTCTCCCAGAACAAAAATATAGTTCTGGAGATTGAGAAGTTCATGATCAAGATTCCTCCAGGTTCAGTGTTTGTTGAGGGCCCCACTTTCTGTTTTCAAGATGGCGTCTTGTTCCTGCATCCTCCGGAGGGTATGAATAGTGTGTCCTCACATAACTGAAGGCTGGAGAGAAAAATAATTTAAGTGCTTCTCTCCAATCTTTTTATAAGGCACAAATCCATTGATTAGAGTCCTCATGACTTATTTACTTCCCCAAACGCCCACCTTTTTATACTACCAGAATGGGGATTAAGTTTGGGCATGATTTTTGGAGGAGACATACTTTCAAAACATAGCAGCATTAAATTTTCTGAACAATATTGTGTAGTTTTTACTCTATGGGTCTTTCAGTTTTTGTCTTTTTTATATCTTTGTATTTCATATTTATGTCACTACATTAAATAGTAATGTTTTTAAATTGTATTATCTGACTGAAATGTGTTAGTGTGTAAACATGTAGTTAACATTTTGTTGATCTCTTATGTTGGTACCTTATTAAGCTGTTAGTTGTAGTAGAATACTTTTTTAAAAAAGAGTCCATTAGATTTTCTACATAGATGGTTGTGTTTTCCATATATAGAGACAGTTTTATCTCTTCCATTTTAATCTTAATACTTCATTTATTCTTTCTCTTATTGCACTGGATGTGAGTTCAAATACAATGTTGTACAGACATTTCTTGTATTTTTACTAATTTGTGCTGGAACAAATTTAGTCTTTCACCATTAAATAAGATGTTAGCTGAGAGAGTGACATAAGCAAGATGGAGGAGAAGGAAGTCCTATATCCCCCTTCCCATTACAAATCTGCAAAACACACAGATTGATTCAATGGCATTTCATGGACACATTTTATTTTTTTAAAATCAGAACCTAATTAAAAAGGCCCTTGCATCCTGGGAGAATGAAAAATTGGAATCATGGAAGCAGACAGGATATTTTAAGGCACCTTCTTGTCAGAGATCCTGTACTTGGCCTAGTACTGTATAATCAAGAAGCACCCCCACTAGATCCCAGATTTACCCAGGGGAAAGATAGGGTTGGTTCACATGTCCAACACCCATACTTTTTGAGGGTCCTCCTCCAGAAAAATGACTACAGACTAGTCATTCTTTAACCTTTGATGGGTCTGGCATAGTCTATCCATCCATGAGAAAATAAAGGCAGCATCTTGGGCTGATGGATGCCAGAGACTTTATTCACTGCTTGGTATAAAATGAGCCAATGAAAAATTTTGGCTTTCAGCTTGCCCCTGGAAAGAGAAATAGTTGATCCATGCTTCCAGTACCCCAGATTCTCTAAAGATGTTTAACAATCTAGCACCTGTCTCACCAATCCTGGTGCTCTGATGAGTCAGGCATTATTTTGCAAGCTGTGGGAGAAAGTGGCAACTGGGGTTGGTGGATTGCATAGTTCCCCCATTTGCCATCTCCTGGCTCAGTACAGAGTGAGTAGACAAAAACACAGCTACCTGACTTTCTCTAGATTGAGAAAGAGTTGGAAGAGGCCCCAGAATCTCTGACTGGACTGATTTGTACAGATTTTTTTCCTGTACAAGGCCAAGATGTGAAGAATGGAAGAGGTACGTGATTTTTCCAATGCAGAGACTCAAACACAAAGAGTCAAGGAAAATGAAGAATCTGGCAAAGATATTTCAATAAATGAAACAAAATTCAGAAGTGGCCTTAATAAATGGAGTTGTATGATTCATCTGACACAGAATTAAAATAACTCTTATAAAGATGCTCACCCAGGTAAAGAGAATAATGCATGAATAATCAGAGCATTTTAACAAAGAAATAGAAAACATTAAGAAGTACCGATTAGAAATTGTGAGGCTGAAGGACGTAATAACTGAATTTAAAAATTCGCTAGAGTGTTGAATAGCAGACTAAAGTATAAGAAAGGATCACAGACCCAAAGTCTGTTGACTAGAGATAATTGAGTGAGAGGAGCAAAAAGACAAAGAAAATTATAAAACAGAGTGAAGAAACTTTATGAGAATTATGGGACACCATCAAGCATACTCATATATGCATATAAGGGTCCCAGAAAATGTAAAGAAAAAGAAGGTAGTAGAAAGCTTATTCAAAGAAATAATAGCTAAAAGCTTCCCAAACCTGGGTAAGAAAATGGACATACAGATTCAAGAAGCACAAAGGACACCACATACGCTATATCTCTCCAAATACACACCCAGGCATATTATAATCAAATCATCAAAATTCAAAGACAAATAATTTTGAAAACAACAGGTAAAAAGTGATTTGTAACACACAAGGCAACTTTCGTAAGACCATCAGTGGTTTGTTTTCACCATAGTCTTGCAGACCAGAAGGGAGTGGGATGATAGATTCAAAGTGCTGAAAGAAAATAAAAGCCAACCAAGAATACTACCACTAGCAAAACTCTTCTTCAAAAATGAAAGTGAGATATTTTCTCAAGCAAAAGGCTATATCTCTACGGGACCTATGTGTAAGAAATACTAAAGAGAGTTCTTCAGGTTGAAACAAAAGACCCTAAAGAGCCACACTATTACTGTAATGATGGTGGCTAAGTCACTTTATGATATAAAAGTTAAAAGTATTAGGAATATGTTAAATTTTCACAATATGAATAGATATAAATTTTGACAAAAATAACATAAAATCTGTGTGTTGGGAAGAGAAATTAAAGTATTTTGCATGTGATTGAACTTAAGTTATTATCAGCTTAAATAAGCTATTGTAACTGTAAGATATTTTATGTAAGTCCCAAGAAAACCACAATAAAATACCCATAAAATTTCATAAATGAAAAAGAGGGATACGTGAAAGCATATTAATAGAAAAATAATCAAAACAATATAAAGAAAGACATCGAGAGAGGAAAAGACAGAAGAACTGCAAGACTAACCTGATGCCACTAAAAATGGCAATACTAAATCTTTTGCAAATAATAATATAATGTAAATGTAAATGGATTAAATCTTCCTAATAAAAAATATGGGGTAGCTGAATAAATTTTCAAGACTGAAAAATATGCTGTTTACTAGAAATTCACTTTAGATTTAAGTACAAACATAGGCTGAAAGTGAAGTGAAGTTAAAAGATATTCCATGCAAATGGTAACCAGAAAAGAGCAGTAGCTATACTTAAATATTAGACAAATAGACTTTTAGTCAAAAACTGCCACAAAATAAAAGGACAGATATTTTATGATAACAAACTATTCAATCAACCAGAAAGAGATAATGGTTGTAGATATATGTGCATTCAACATGAGAGTCCTTAAATATATAAAACAAATGTTGAAAGATTTGAAGGAAAAAAACATAGTAATGCAATAATAGTAGGAGATTTCATTCCCCTATTTTCAATAATGTACAGAACATAAAGATAGGAGATCAGTAAGGAAATAGAGGATTTAAATAACACTCTAGACCAACTGAACCTAATAGTCATGTACAAAATATTGTGTTAAACAGTGGCAGAATTCACATTTTTCTCAAACACACATGGATCTACCTCCACGATAGATCATAGGTTAGGTCACAAACCAAGTCTTAAAAGAATAAGATGATCTTTTCTGGTTATAATGGAATAAAACTACAAATCAATAGTTAACAGACAACTGGAAAAATCACAAATATATGGATAATAATAACACACTCTTAAACCACTATGACGTCAAAGATCAAGTTTAAAGAGAAATTATAAAATATCTTGAGACAAATAGACAAACATGACATTATAATATTTATTGGATGCAGCAAAAGCAAGACTAAGAGAGAGGTTCATAGAAATAAACACTACATTTAAAAAAAAAAATCTCAGCCGGTCGCGGTGGCTCACACCTGTAATCCCAGTAGTTTGGGAGGCCGAGGCGGGTGGATCACCTGAGGTCAGGAGTTCGAGACCATCCTGACCAACATGGTGAAACCTCATCTCTACTAAAAATACAAAAAATTAGCTGGGCGTGGTGGTGGGCGCCTGTAATCCCAGCTACTCAGGAGACTGAGGCAGGAGAATCGCTTGAACCTGGGAGGCGGAGGTTGCAGTGAGCCAAGATTGCGCCACTGCATTCCAGCCTGGATGACAGAGCGAGACTCTGTCTCAAAACAAAACAAAACCCTCAAACTACCAAACTTTATACCTCAAGAAAACACAAAAAGGAAAATGAACTGAGCCCAAATTAGTAGAAGGAAAGAAATAAATAAATGAAATAGAAAATAAAATACAATAGAAAAAAATCAACGAAATTTAAGAGTTGGTTTTTTTCAGTGATCAAACTGACAAAGCCTTTGCTAGATTAGGAACAACAGAGGTGATTCATAAAGAAAATCAGAAAAGAAAGAGGAGGCATTAAACTGATACCATAGAATTAAAAAGGATCATAAGCCACTGCTATAAACAAGTATTTGCGAACAATCTAAGTAACCTTGATGAAATGGATGACTTCCTAGATATATACAATCTACCAAGAGTAAATCATGAAGAAATAAAAAGTCTTGCCTACAGCTAATATGTTAATTGAATCAGTAATCAAAAACTTCCCAAAACAAAAGCCAGAACTAAATATATTCACTGGTAAATACTACCAAGGACTTAAGGAAGAATTAATGACATCCCTTCTCACTATCTTCCAAAAAATTTAAGAGAATAAAACCTTTCCAAACTCATTTTGTAAGGCCTGAATTACCTTGATAACAAAGCCAGAAAGACACTACAAGAAAAGAAAACCATAGGACAACATCCGTGATGAATATGGATCTAAAAAAACTTCAACAAAATACTTCAACGAAATCTAACAGCACATTGACAGTATCAATTATACCCCATGACTAATGGGATGCATGGATGATTAAACATAGGAAAATCAATGTGATAAGCCACATTAACAGAATAAAGGTTTAAAATCACATGATTATCTTAATGATGAAGATAAAGGATTTGACATAATTCAACAATCTAGCAACAGATGGAATGTACCTTAACATAAGGGATGTATATATAACAATACCAGAGCTAACATCATACTGAATAGTAAAATGCTGAAAGTTTTTTTTCTACAATGGGAACAAAGTAATGATGTCCACTCTTGTCCCTTAACATTGTACTTGAAGTCGCAGCCAGAATACTCAGGGAAGGGTAAAAAAAATGCTTCCAAATTAGAATGAAAGAAGAATTATTGTTCTTATTTTCAAATGGCATGATCTAATATGTAGAATAGCTTACAGACTACATAAAAAACTGTTAGGACTAATACAAATTCAGTAATGTTGCAAGATGCAAAATCAATTGTATTTCTATACACCAACAAAGAAGTATTTGAAAAGAGAATTAGAAAAACTATAGCATTTGTAATAGCACCAAAAAGAATAAAATACTTAAAAGTAAACAACTAAGGAGGTATACTTGTATACTGAAAACTGAAAATAATTAAGGAGAAAAACTAAGACACAAACACGTGGAAAGACATTTCATGTTCATAGATTGGAAGACTTAATATTGTTCAAATGTACGTACTACCCAAATGATCTACAGATTCAATGCAATTCCTATCAAAATTGCAGAAGTAGAAAAAATTCTAAAACTTATATGGAATCACAGAAGACCAAAATAGTAAAAGTAATTTAGAGAAAGAAGAAAAAAGGTAAAGGCATCATATTTCCTGGATTTGAAATATGTTATAAAGTCATAGTAATCAAAATAGTATGGACTGACATGAAAACAAACGTATAGACTAATGGAACAGAGTAGAGAGATGATAAATCAATCCACACATAGACAGTCAACTGATCTTCAAAAAAGACACTAAGGAAACAATAGGGAAAAGATAACATTTTCAACAAATGGTATTTGCAAAACTGTATATCCACATGCAAGATAATGAAATTGGATAATTATCTTATTCCGTACAAAAACTCAGATTAGATAAAGTAACTGTAAGATAAGGCAACTGTTATTCACACTTCACAATAAACTCATTGTTTATTAAAAGTTTTAAATAAATTTGTATTTTGCATGTAATTAAAATGTTATTGTTAGGTTTAAGTCTTACTGTGAAAAAATAATCTTTGATAGTTTTTTGTCTTAATTCTCATTTTCTTTTTTAGGTTTGACTTTCAGAAGCATAACCTGTGATTAAGGAAATGCAACAAGTAAAATTTTCTGAGATTGTGAATCATTTTCTCATAACAATATACTCCTATAATAAAAAAATACATATTAACTACATGTAATATATGTACTAAAACACTCATTGACCAAAAATGGAGATGAAAATTTACATTTAATTCTATTGACAACTTGCATTTAACTCAGGTCTTTGTTAATGTTGTTTTCATAATAGTAATAACTGCTTTATTAATAATTATTATGTTTAATATATGCAGAGGAATGCTAATAGTAAAGACTTCCCTTTCAACTTCTCATGCCAGAGGTAAAATATGAATACCTTATTTGTTGTTGACAGGCTTATAGACATGTGCCTGTGTTTCTTGTTTAAAACATTATGTCTCCCAGAAATGTATTTGCTAGCTAGAGGCAGTTTGACATGTGCACGTCTCTTGCTGCCTGCAGTAATAAGCAACACCAAATGTAGACAGGTAAAATGTGACATCACAACAGCAGAATATGAAAATGTGTATTCTAAGGCAAATATCACATTCATGTCTCTTGTTTCTATTAACAAATAATGTCAATGGCAAGCTCAATTATTTTGCTCAAATTGAAAAAATAAAGTGAATAAATACCTTTAAAATAGCCTTATTTGGGAAACAATATTGCCTATAACTGAAAAACTGAAGGCAGATGTCAGATTTTGACAGCATATTTTTAATATATCTCTTCAAATGTGAAATCCAATCATGTTCACCCTCTCCCATGCCATTTAATCCCTCTCCTTGAGACATTCCACTTCCCAAAATGCTATAATGAAAGCCAGAGTTCATGGCAAAACTCTAAGCTCCCTTACCTCTCATTAGTTGAATCCAGCTTTGTCAAATTTTATTTCAGCTCTTTCCTGTGGCTCAAGTGAAATTCAGACCTCTATTGATATAAAAAATGTACAGGAAGTAGCAGGGTAATTTATTCCCAAAGGAAATATAGTGCAGTTTAATAATGTATTGGGAAGATGTGGCCAGGTCAGCCTGTTATTTATCCTTTTGGCTATGCTATTTTATTTTGAAGTCAGCAGAAATAAAACAACAACATTCTGTATACAATAGTTCACTTACTATTTACTTTTGTGTTAAAAAAAAAGTACTGAAGAAAATTCTTTTACATTTTCCCCCACTTGATTTGTGTTTGCTCAAAATTCACCTGATAAGGATTAGGAATATAATAGAAAATATTTTGAAAAGTACTGAAGTCAGTTTTCACATGGAATAACATGATTTCTAATATTTAAACTTCAAAAATAGAATGGGCTGCCTTATGAGCCAGTGACAAAGCTGACCAAAGAAAATTTTAAAGCACCTGTCATGTATTCTGTGGAACGAAGGACTTCTGTCTTCAGAAATATCTGCCCTTTCATAGAACTTTTCTCTGGAATTTATCATCACAGTCTTTGTTTATATTTTGTGGATATATTTCTTAATTTTCTTACCTGGATGTAAATAATGGAAGAGTTGGTAACATGTTTTATTCACTGTTTTCTTCATCACAGAGTCTTGCTCAGACTATATTTTAATAAAAGTATTTAATTTAGTAATAATAGTAGTATATCACATTTGTAAGATAGTGTATAGATACCTATTATTGATTATCTCATTGAATATTTAAAAAAACACTGTGAGACAAGTACTATATTCTGCATTTTCATCAAAGAAAATCAACATTAGAGATTTTAAGTAAATGCATGAATGAGTGAATATATAAATTAATTAGCAAACAAACATATGAATAAGCATATACCTGAGAACCTGAACTAGATATTATAAAAATATAATCTCTCTCTATGAATATAAAAGCATTATATTCTGTTTATAAGAGCTATGTATTAAAATTTAATGAAAAGATTATATATATTACCATCACCATCCTTTTAACTTCTTTTTTAGGCATCCTTTATACTACTTCTCAAAGGTAGCATATATCAATAGTTTCATTTTTGGTGCTATAAAAATGAAGGAGAGTGCAGAGTACAGATTAATTATGTAGAACTTCATATAGCATCTACAGATTCACATTTATCAACAGACTTCTGGCTTTATTCCCAATTAAATTCCTTTCAGTAAACATTTAATGAGCCTCTGCAAAGTACTGAATAATACAATGAAACATTCATATTACTTAGAGATGTAGCTTGTAGACTCATTGAAATGGTCTCTCTTGGAGTTATATGTGACATCAAGTAGACCTGCTGATTTGTGTTTTATTGGATTACTAGTTGCTTGGTATTTTTAAACAGCTAGAAAATGATTCTCTACTAAAGACCAGTGTGATACCCTTTGACATAATGGAAAAAAATTCAACATTATAGTAATGTTGATATACCCCTGAGGAGGATTTAGATATTCATATTTTTCCTGTATTATGAAGCTTGTGGTTTTATAGTTTTACACTTAGGGGATAAGTTACGTATTATTTTGCAAGGTTGAATTTTTGGTCTTTTGGTGTTTTTATTTCTTTTTCCTATCGCTGAAAGGACAAAAAGATTATTGAAAGGGAAATAAAATATTTAGACGTATCAGTTATAATTCAATGAAGACATGAGTAAGTAGGACACTGAAATTTATCAGAAAATTGACTTTTTTTTAAAGCAAATGCCTTGATGTAATATCAATAAAACTAATAAATGTTGTTTCAGATTATCTTTGAAAATTATGACAGTCTAAAATAAAGCTAAAAATTGAGTCCCTCCTCTGACCTTATAACAAACATCTGTTTTAACCTTCAGTGGTATGGTGAGAATAAGATAGCTTTGTACTATGAATTTGGTCTTTTTTTTTTAGAATTTTTTAATCTCTGATTTTTCATCTCTAAATTGGAAAACATTTTGCAATTAAATGGGGTTAGTATAAGATTCAGATAAAGAATGTAAAAATGTTAGCACAGTACTACACATAGAGCTAATATTCATGTTTTTACCTTTCTTTTTTCATCATTCAAATCTTCCACAACTTGCTAGTTCAACCCTCCATGAGTCTTTTTCTTTTCATTAGGCCAATACAGAATGATGGTACTATCTTCTAATCATTCTTGTAAGTTAAAATCTGTGCCACATATATTTAATTATTATAGTCAGATTTCTCATGAACTATTTATAACTCAAATGCCATAAACTTATTAGTAGAAAGTGCATAATTCTAGGGGAAAGAAATACTTGGCCAAAATTCATTAGGCTTATGATCACTGATATGTTTTTTAACCTCAGTTTACTCATCAGTGAAATGAGGGTTGTCATACTGCTCCATGGGTTTTTTTATTTTTTATTTTTTTTGGTGATAACATTAAATGTGATAACAGTAGTAAACCCTTCATGTAAATTACATGACCTAGTGTAAATCTTCAGTGTTTGTTAGTTTCTTTCCCCTCCCAACCCCTTCTTTTCCTTTCTCAACCGTGCAGTTTGCTCCTTAGAGATAATAATCAGGATTTATTTACCAAGGGACTATTTAACAGATTTAATTTTATCTTTGTGCACATCTCAAAGTTAACCACCTTTATCTAAAATAGTGGTTTTTTTTACTTCATTATATATGGAAATCATCTGGCGGTCTTGATAAAATGCAGAGCAAATTCAGCAGGTCTGAAGAGGGACCAGAAATTCTGCATTTCTAACAAGATCGCAGGTGATATCAGTGATGCTGCTCACAGACTGCACTTTCAGTGCCAAGCATTAAACTATTATAAATTTAGCTAGAAAGCTGTTGTAGCTATAAAAGCCATCTAATAATAGAGTAAGTAGGAACAAAGCTAAAACAGAGTAGTAGTACTGAGGAGAGCAAAAGTGTGTTTTGCACAGTCATTTTGATGTGATTTCAAACATTGTGTTATCTGTGTTGTTCCAAAGACTGTATTACTTTTTTTTTTTTTTTCTTTAACCCTGCTCTGACTTTTGTATAACAGTGACTTAAAGTACCTGTTGAATTTCCGGATCCCTCTCCTGGGTTCATTAAAAAAATAAATAAAAATATATATATATTTAACTGGAAACCTGAGCTAACCAGGAATCCCTAGAAAACACAGTTTGGTGACAGCCTCTGTATAAACATCTTATCTGCATACGCACCTCCAGAAATGAAGAATAAGGAAAAAGATGAATAAGACAAGGCAAGAGGGAGAAAAAGTAAAATGAAGTGTGTTTCCTAGCTGGCCCCAAGTCTATATAATTAGCATAGTTCAATTCAATTCATTCAATTTTAGGGGAGCCTTCAAAGAGGCTGTGTGCACTATTTGTCCTTTTAACAGGCCATCCTGGGAGAGTAAGAAATTGCTGTGGCTTTGCCAGCCAGATTACACAAGCAAGGTGGCAGGAAATGAGTTGCACAATCCTGGTTAGACCAATATCTGGTTTCTGGTTTCGTCACTAATAGGTTTGCCTCCTTTCATCTCTTAACCACTCCTGTTCCTCCCTCCAAAGTATAAGCTGTAACAACATATATGATTTTATGATTGAATTTTCATCTCAGATAATATATAACAAATTGCTTACATGCATGAATTGTGATATTTTGATAACAGAAATTAATTCTTATGTGTTTTATGAGGTGGCATGAAAGCAGCTTTCAACATGTACCTTATAAAAAATTGAGAATATTTCATAAAACCAGTAAAAAACACATACAATCAAAGGGTAAATAGAAGATCCACTTTTTTTTTCTAAAAGACTATAGTCACAGCCACAACTACTTTTTCCTAGGAAATAATAATTATACTCTATTCTTATGCTTTTAATTGCAGAGTTGAATTGATGAAATGCATAAAATTATTTAATTGGATAATATGGTATTTGGTTAGATTATTATATTAATTTTGATAATGATAATTCTAATGTCTCTCATTAGTGATAAGTATTGGTTTTAAAATGATTCTAAAGGAACTTTATATAGCCACTTAATTTAGTGACTAAGCAGTGCTTGGCATGGAGTGCACAAACACAAATTGTTAGAAAACTGGAAGTTTTACTTTACTCTCATTTGTCAGTAGTGTAGATTGTGGTTATTTATTTCTTATGTATCAATATTGTTTAGGAAGAAACTCTTTTTTTCTATTAAATTATTGCATACTTCTGATCACCTTTCCAGTTCTTCAAATATAAAGGGGTGTGTAATCTTTTCTATCCAAAGTTTAGCAGAACTGCATGGATTCAAGGTGGCAAATTCATTTTCTACTTTTTAAAAAAAACATTTTGAAGGACAAAGGTTTGATGATAATAATAACATAAAATAAATACATAATACCCGGTGAATGAAAGAATTGGTCCACAAATGAACTGACCTCATAGAATGGGTTAGGAAGTCCCTCCTCCTTAATTTTTCAGAATAGTTTCAGTAAAAGTAGTACCAGCTGTTTTATTTCTTTACATCTGATAAAATTTGGCTAATAATCTGTTTGGTCCTGGGATTTTTCTGGTTGGTAGGCTTTTTATTAGTGATTCACTTTGGAGCTCATTGTTGGTCTTTTCTTGGATTCAATTTTTTCCTGGTTCAATCTTGGGAGATTGTATTTTCCCAGTAATTGAATCATTTCTTCCAGGTTTTCTAATTTGTGTGCATAGAGGTGTTTGCAGTAGTTTCTGAGGGGTTTTGTTGTTGTTATTGTTGTTTTGGTTTTTCTGTGTGGCTCATGGTAATGTCCCTTTTGTCATTTCTGATTGTGTTTATTTGGATCTTCTCTATTTTTTAATTTATTCTTCTAGCTAGCTAGCATTCTATGAATCTTATTTATTCTTTTTCAAAGACTCAACCACACAATCCATTGATCTTTTGTATGGTTTTTCACTTCTCAATTTCCTCCAGTTCAACTCTGATTTTGGCTATTTCTTATTTTCTTACTACCTTTGAGGTTGGTTTGCTGTTGTTTCTCTAGTTCCCCTGGGTGTGATATTAGATTGTTAATTTGCAATCTTTCTAACTTTTTGATGTAGGTGTTTAGTGCTGTAAACTACCCTTTTGACACAGCTGTAGCTGTGTCCCACATATTCTGGTAAGTTGTATATCTTTGTTCTCATTAGCTTGAAAGAATTTCTTGATTTCTGCCTTAATTTCATTGTTTACCCAAAAGTCATTCAGGAGCAGGTTGCTTAATTTCCATGTAAAGTATGGTTTTGAACAATTTTCTTATTATTGATTTCTATCTTTAAGGTGCTGTGGTCTGAGAATGTGTTTAGTATGATTTTGGCTTTTATGAATTTCCTGAGGATTATTTTGTTGCTCATTGTGTGGTCAATTTTAGATTATGTGCCATGTGCCGATGAGAAGAATGTATGTTCTGTAATTTTAAGGTAGAAAGTTCTGTAGATGTCTGTTAGGCCCATTTGGTCAAATGTTGCATTTAGGTCTCATATATTTTAGTTAGTTTTCTGCCATGATGATCTGTCCAGTACTGTCAGTAGGGGGTTGAAGTGTCCCACCATTATTGTGTCATTATCTAAGTCTCTTTGTAGGTCTCTTAGAACTTGCTTTATGAACATGGGTGCCCCTGGATTAAGTGCATATATATTTTGGATAGTTAGGTTTTCTTGTTGAGTTGGAACCTTTGACATTATATAATGATATTCTTTGTTTTTTTTGATCTTTGTTGGTTTAAAGTCTGTTTTGTCTGAAATTAGGATAGCAACTCCTGCA
Organism: Homo sapiens; assembly: GCF_000001405.40. Classification (NCBI taxonomy): domain Eukaryota; kingdom Metazoa; phylum Chordata; class Mammalia; order Primates; family Hominidae; genus Homo; species Homo sapiens. Next base: position 72,368,959 of record NC_000001.11, read on the forward strand.
TTTTTCTCTTATTCATTTGCTTGGTAGATTTTTCTCCATCTCTTTACTTTGAGCTTGAAGTTGTCATTACATGTAAGATGGGTCTTTTTTATGCAGCATACAGTTGGGTCTTCCTTCTTTATCCAACTTGCCATACTGTGCCTTTAAATTGGAGCATGTAGCCTGTTTACATTCAAGGTTAATATTGATTTGTGTAGATTTGATCCTGTCAACATGTTGTTAGCTGGTTATTATGCAGATTTGATTTTGTGGTTTCTTTATACTGTCAATGGCTTATGTACTTAAGTCTGTTTTTGTGGTGGCCAGTAATGCTCTTTCCTTTCCATATTTAGCACTCCCTTAAGGACCTCTTGGGTGGTATTAACAAATTCCCTTAGCATTTGCTTATCTGAAAAGGATCTTATTTCTCCTTCATTTATGAAGCGTGGTTTGGCTAGATATGATATTCTTGGTTGGAATTTCTTTGCTTTAAGAATGCTGAATATAGGTCCTCAATTTCTTCTGTTTATAAAGTTTCTCCTGAAAGATCCACTGTTACCCTGTTGAGGTTCCCTTTGTAGGTGACCTGCCTCTTCTCTCTAGCTGCCTTTTTTCTTTCACTTACACTTTTACTTTCATTTCAACCTAGAAGAATCTGATAACTGTGTGTCTTGGGGATGGTTATCTTGTATAGTATCTTGCAGGGGTTCCCTGCATTTCCTAAATTTGAATGTTTGCCTCTATAGTGAGGTTGGGGAAATTTTCATGGATGGTAACCTCAAATATGTCCTCCAACTTGCTTGCTTTCTCTCTTCTTTCAGGGATGTCAGTAAATCACAGATTTGATCTCTTTATGTAATCTCATATTTCTCAGAGTTTTTTCATTCTTCTTTATTGTTTTTTTCTTTATTTTTGTCTGAGTTAGTTTGGAGAACTGGTCTTCAAGCTTTGAGATTCTTTCCTCAGTTTGGTCGATTCAACTGGTAATAATTCTGATTGTATTAGGAAATTCTTGAAGTGAGTTTCTCACCTCTATTGGATCAGTTTGGTACTTTCTTAAAATGGCCATTTTGTTTCTTATCTCCTATATCATTTCATTGTATTCCTTAGATTCCTTGGGTTGGATTTTGAGTTTCTCTTGATGGTTGATGATCTTCATTCTTATTCATAGTCTGAATTCTATTTCTGACATTTCAGCCATTTTAGCCTAGTTTAGAACCATTGCTAGAGAACTAATATGATCTTCCAGAGGTCAGAAGACACTCTGGCTTTTTGAGTTGCCAGAGTTCTTGTGCTCGTTCTTTCTTTTCTGTATGGGCTGATGTTCCTTCAGTCTTTCAAATTGCTGTTTTTGAATAGGTGTTTTTTGTTTGTTTGTTTGTTTGTTTGTTTGTTTGTTTTTGCTTTTATCTTCTTAGATGCCCTTGTGGGCTTGATTGTGGTTTAAGGTAGGTTCAGTTGACTGGCTTGAATTCTATTCTGCTTCTGGGTCTTGAAGGAGTCCCTCTTTGGTTGGGTGTTCTGGTGCATGGGGCTCCTTCATGCAGGGACCACAGTTGGCAACCAGGCTGTATTCTTACTGTGTCAGCCCAAATCTGCTCTCCCAGTGCTTCCCAGGAGAAAACAGAGTTGTGCCTGCTCACAGAGTTCCAGCAGAAGTGAGACCACTGAGTTTGAAGATCTAGCATGTGTGGACCATTTGGCTACAGGTGGCAAGGATAGCTAGAGTAGCCCACCCTGCCATCTATGTGTTTCCAGGGCAAGAGGAGGCTATACCTGTATTGGTTAATATTGAGTGTCAACTTGATTGGATATTGTTCCTGAGTATGTATATGAAAGTGTTGCCAAAGGAAATGAACATTTGAGTCAGTAGATGGGGAAAGGCAGACCCACCCTCAATCTGGATGGGCACCATCTAATCAGCTGCCAGCGTGGCTAGGATAAAAGCAGGCAGAGGAATGTGGAAAGACTAGACTGTTTGAGTCTTCCGGCCTCCACATTTCTCCCTGGCTGGATGCTTTCTGCCCTTAAACATCAGACTCCAAGTACTTCAGCTTTTGGACTCTTGGACTTATACCAGTGATTCACCAGGGACTTTCAGGCCTTTGGCTGCAGAGTGAAGGCTACACTATCCGCTTTTCTACTTTTGAGGTTTTGGGACTTGGACTGGCTTCCTGGCTCCTCAGCTTGCAGATGGCCTGTTGTGGGACTTCACCTTGTGACTGTGTGAATCAATTCTCCTAATAAACTCCCCTTCATATATTCATCTATCCTAGTAGTTCTGTCCCTTTAGAGAACCCTGACTAATACAGCACCCTTTGCAAATTCAGGCAAAATTGGCTCATTTGGCTGGAAGCTACCAGTGGTGGGGTTAGGTTGAGTTGTCTGCTCTGCCATCTGGATGCTTCCCAGAATGACAAGAAGCTCAATGGTTACTAGTGGTGGGGGTGGGTGGGGTTGCCCATCCTGCTGTTTGGGTACTTTCCTTCCCCAGACAGCAGGGGGCTGTGGCCACTGGCTGAGTTCAGAGAGAAGTTGTCCTGCTAGACCAGAAGCCACATTGAGCCTTTTCCAGGGAGGGGAAAATCTTACTGCCCCCAGGCACTGCAACTGCAGACTCTGTTGGGGGTATGGTGCTGGTGTTGGTCTGCTCCAGGGGCCAAGACTTATAGAAGTCACCTTGGACTTGAGGGGATTTGCCTCTGCAAAATGTTTGAGGGGCTCTCTGCCTCATTCTAGAAGTGAGGTTGGAGGTATGGGAGGGCCAGGGGTATTCACCCATTTCCAGTCTTGCACAGGTACCTGTTTAGAGTATGAATCACCCAGGGGGCTGTGAGTCACTTACCCTTTCCCAGGTTGGAGACATACTCCTGGCACTGCGCTGATCACAGTCAGGCTGGTGCCCAGCTTCACTCCTCTGTGCTCTCAGTGTCTCCCTCCTGCTTTGATTTATCCTGACCTTGTTTCTCAGATGATTGTCATTCACAGTCAGTGTTCACTAGCCTTTTTGTTTCCTCTCCCTGAGAGCAGCACACATGAGCTTTCTTCTAGTCTGCCGTCTTGACCCAACCCCCGCATTCAGTGATATTGAAGTAGGAAGGGACAGGCCTTTCGGTGTCCTCAATAACTATTCTGACTATCTCTTTCACTTTGTTTTTGAGCATTCTGTGTGAAAAGGCTCTCTTTCTTTTACTTCCCAGGTACTATCTTACCTAGTTTTACAAAGATGAAAATTAAACCTTACAATTATACATCTATAGATAGAATCTTTGTCTCTCATTGCAAACTATTTTTACCATTTTTTTACTTCAGTCTGAGTTGGGAACATGAATTGTCCCTTGGAATAAAAGTGAGAGAGCTGAAGAGAAAGAATGTATACAAAAAACACATTAATACTTTGAGATATAATCCTGCCACAGGGTTATGTTTTCCTTCCAACAAAAGAGCAATCCATGGCAATCTCCTTAAATCCTTCTTTTTCCTCTTCTTTAGTTTTAAAAGGTCAGAATGCAGCTGGGCACGGTGGCTTACGCCTGTAATCCCAGCATTTTGGGAGGCTGAAATGGGTGGATCACCTGAGGTCAGGAGTCTGAGACCAGCCTGGCCAACATGGTGAAACCCCGTCTCTACTAAAAAGATACAAAAAATTAGCCAGGTGTAGTGGTGTGCTTGCAGTCCCAGCTACTGAGGAGGCTGAGACAGGAGAATCGCTTGAACCCGGCAGGTGGAGGTTGTGGTGAGCTGAGATCATGCCACTGCACTCTGGCATAGGTGGAATCTAAAACGTATACTACCAATTTGGACCTTTTATCTGAATTTCAGATCTATATTAAAACATCTTCCATATCTCCATTTGAATGTGCAAAGGAAATATCTTATATGAACTGAATTCCTGATTCCTCATATCTAGCAACCACCATGACAACCAAATTTGCTCAAAGTTGTTTCTTTTGCATGATTATAAATTTTAGTAAACAAAAACTCTGTTTCTTCCAATTGTCAGGCCAAATCTCTAGTCTCAAAGACATTTTTGGCCTGTACATTTATTTATCCATCACATACACACATTCTAATTGATTTGTTTATAGATAAGGTAATAGAATAAGAATCTATTTTTAAATTATCATGACTTAGTAAAAACTCTGGTTTGCTAACTTATGTCTGAGTTATTTAGTGTATGTATGTTTGAACATGTGTTTGTATAAAAGTGTCCATTGATGAAAACATTTTTCAAACTTTGTTGTTCAGAATTTTTCTGAAGTTGCTAACTTAAGTGAAAAGAAATATACTATTCCTTTCACTTCTAGGCCAAATTTGGTGAATTAGAATGTACTGACATAGATTTATATTGAACTCTAAATATATACACATTTCTACTACAGGAAAAGCAAATGTGTTAAAATTCTAATTTATTGTTTAAGTACTGGAGATTTTTATTAATAAAAATGAATATTTGCTCTTGTTTATTGGTATTTTCTCAGGTAGCCAAGTTATAAGTTGACATCAAGTTGTCTGTGGTTCAACCCCGGTTTTAAAAGTGAGTAAAGCTGTATTTAATACAGAAAGGGAAAATAAAATACATAAAATAATGGGCTCTAAGATAAGGAAAAACTGTAACCAAATTTTCCACATCTACTGCCTATGGAGAGAGAAGTCAATGTTGCTTTATATTAATCATATTCTGCAATAGTAGCACATCATGGATGAGACTACTATTCCTGGTTAGTAGGTCTAGAATATTTGGGTATGGCCTTATTTTTAGATGATCCCATGAGGCTGTCAGAGTGCTTACAAACATGATTTTGACCCTATAAAATAATCTCATATTGTCCTTCTCTCTCTTTTTCTTTCTTTACTTTGCCATTAATGAAGCCCTGGCTATTATTCTCTATTTCCCGTTCCTTTTTCTCTTAACTCTATGCCAAAGAAGGCTTTGATGGGCAGATGAATTATCTTCTGCTCTAGGCATTGAGAAAATGATAGGCTATTTGTTATCTGCTTCTCTTTCTGATGTCATTGGTGGGTCTTCACTTAATTGGTCCTCTCTTTCATCTGTGTTAAGGTGTAAAATTGAGGTATAGGCTGATTAATTTGGTGTTGTGGAACATAGAGAGTCAAGACTAGCTTGCAGGAATTCTACATTTTGGGACAAACTCTAAACAAAGAAAGATAAGTGATATTTGGTCAACAGTTACAAATGTCATGCAGAAACTGATGTTTGATTAAGAGTAAGATGTGGCCAGGAATTCGAGACCAGCCTGGCCAACCTGGTGAAACCCTGTCTCTACTAAAAATACAAAATTTAGGGGGGCGAGGTGGCCAGCGCCTGTAATCCCAGCTACTCGGGAGGCTAAGGCAGGAGAATCACTTGAACCTGGGAGGCAGAGGTTGCAGTGAACCTAGATCATGCCATTGCACTCCAGCCTGTGCGACAAAGCAAGAATCCATCTCAAAAAAAGAGGGGAGGAGAGGAGAGGGGAGGGGAGAGGAGGGGAGGGGAGCGGAAGGGAGGGGAGGAGTTTTCTGTCATCTAAATAATAGAGCAGATATTTTATTGCTGTTAACCTATTTGCATATTGAATATACACAATAATAGAGAAATCAGTAGCAGATTAGTCAAAAGTGTATCTATATTGTTTTCTAACTTTAGAGATAGATGATATTATAGAAATAGTTCCAAGTCTTTGCTATTGCGAATAGTGCCACAATAAACATACGTGTGCATGTGTCTTTATTGCAGCATGATTTATACTCCTTTGGGTATATACCCAGTAATGGGAAGGCTGGGTCAAATGGTATTTCTAGTTCTAGATCCCTGAGGAATCGCCACACTGACTTCCACAATGGTTGAACTAGTTTACAGTCCCACCAACAGTGTAAAAGTGTTCCTGTTTCTCCACATCCTCTCCAGCACCTGTTTCCTGACTTTTTGATGATTGCCATTCTAACTGGTGTGAGATGGTATCTCATTGTGGTTTTGATTTGCATTTCTCTGATGGCCAGTGATGATGAGCATTTTTTCATGTGTCTTTTGGCTGCATAAATGTCTTCTTTTGACATTGTGCACATGTACCCTAAAACTTAAAGTATAATAATAAAAAATAAATAAATAAATAATAAAACTAGAAAAAAAAAGAAATAGTAAGATTGTGAAACATTTATCTTATTGGAATAACAATGCACTGAGTATTTGGAGAGTTTCAGGCTATGTGGAAAGAGATTTAATGGAAAAAAAGGTCATGAAATGAAAAATTAATTATCAAGTCTTCAAAGAGATTTTAATTTAAATATGTTTAAGCTGAACTACTGTTGAATATAAGCAGTTAACTTTAGTGCTTAGAGTTGATAAAAATTTAGAAAAGAGTAATTCAAAAATGTAGTTCAGTATTTGATTCATAAACCACTTTAGCTAATGTTTGTTCATCAGCTACTTAGTGTTCAGTGAACAGCTGTACAGAACTTATTAAAATTCAGAAGCCAAGACTATTCCCATTATGCATGATCTCATGAATGGAAACAATATGTGATAATCTAAATGAGCCAGTTAATGTGAAGCAGCAAAAACCCACTTAGAAGGAGTGTTTTAATTAAATGCCACTTAATTATTATAATCAGATTCCAAACAATTTTATAGAATAAATCATTGTGAATTCAGTTATTTTTGGACAATATATGCAACAATCAAATAAGGTAGTAAAAGTAAAATAAAGATTTCCTTAGAAATGTACACATGACCATCATTTCCAAATAATCATTCCATAATGTTCCATATTCCATTTGTTTTAATTTAAAATTATTTACATATATATAAGAAAGACATCAAGTACAATATTTGAATGTATTGCAATATATAAAATATTCTTTTGTATTTCTTGGTAGTGTTATTTTGCAAAGTTTTCCTTCCTTAAAAACTTTTTCATGTAAGTCCAAAAAGTGCTTTTATGACTGAGATATTTTTTTAATGACCTTACAAATGCTTTACAAATAATATCACAAAGCAATTGGGAATATGTTAGACATAACTAAATATCAATAGGCTTAAAGTTCAGAAAACTTTGCTCTCTGGTAATATTCAAATTTTGGCAAATACATGACAACAACTTCAACAGGCTGATTTTTTTTTAACCTAACTCTCATGTTTCTGACATTCATGAGATGGATTGTTAACTGCTGATATCAATCCCTAAGCATGGGCTAAAAATGATATAAAGTCAGAGCAAGAGTGAGCACAGCTTCAAAAAGTGCTTAAAAAGGAGAAAAGAATAAAAGTTGGAATGCAGAATATAAACTAAGTTTAGGAAAAATATAAGAAATAGAAAGCTGTCTTCTGTCTAAATATTTTACCTTACTTAGCTTAGAATGTATTGCTATAAATAAAACTGGGACAAAAATTTGACTTAAAACATGTGTCTAAACCCTTGCAACTGGCCTAATTCAAATAAAGAAGGAGTACTCTTATTTTGTAAAAGTGACTTTAAAACTTACATTTTCTTTCCATTTTCTTCTACATTTAGAATCCCCTTTATACAGCTCCATGTATCCTTTGCCTTTCTGTTGCTGTAGCCATTATTCATCCAAATGGATTGGTGGAGGGGTAGCTTCCCAATATATCATTTTACTGGCCATACTTCAGGTACTCTGCTGGAACTGAAAATGATTTCTTAATAAATCTTTCGTGGAAGATGGGGATATTCTAAAACAAAAGCTTTTATAATCTACGCTAACTCACCCTGTCCTCTTCTCTCTCACCTCCTTCCTTCCTTCCCTTCTTTCTTATAGTCCTCACATTTCCTTTTCCTACATACATTCTGCCTCTTTCTTCTACTTTTAAGGACTTCTATGATAACATTAGCCCATTTGAAGGATCAAGGGTAATTTCTCTATTGGTCACCTTGATTCCCCTTTGTCATATAACAAGGTTTTCACAGATAATGGATATCTTGGGGAAAGGTCATTCTGCCCACATTAATGAATACTACATTATACTTATTTTCCAAATACTTCCACCAATCCTTATGTGATATAGAGTAGAAAGTATTTTTATAAAACCAAGAAGATGGATTTTTTTTCTGTGTTTTTAAAAAATGTATTTATGAATTACTTAAAATATATTAAAGACAGATGCCATTTTCTGGGTTTATAAAATAAAATTATTTGTGAGATATAACAATTAACCTGAGCATTTGACTACAAGAGGTAAATCACCACTGAAAATTATTGGACACCAAGCCTGATAGAAGCCAACTACTGAATCTGAACTTGCACTCTATGCCAGGCTAACTGGTTTTCTTTGACAGCAGATGCATTATATTATTTGTTTGGCAGTACTTCAGTCATAGTAGATCCTTAAATAATATGACCTAAATCATAGTAGGTGCTTAAATATATTTACTTAATAAATAACTTCTCTTTATTTGAATTTTATATTAGAAATACATTTCTACAAAAATTATTATAACTTCTTATTATAATAATTATCACATTATTGTTCTTCTCAGGTTTTCATTAGGGTGTTTGAGGGACTGTATTTTATTCCCTTTTGTATTCTCAACACTTAGAACAAGCATAGGTAGGTATTTTATAGGCCCTCAATACATTTAAATTGGATTAACATTAAAACGATAACCAGATTTTTATCTTATGATTATTGCTACATTCTTTCAGAGATATTTTTTGTTGTCACATTTAGTAAGAATAGGTCAAAATAGTTTAAATATTATTTGATAAATGTGAAATGTTTTAAGAGTACACTTTCAAATAGGTAGGGGCCAGTGAAATGTTTTAAGAATACACTTTCAAATAGGTAGGGGCCATTTTGAATCAAGGATATCCTGGCATTAGGAAAGCAAAAACCATGCCTCTTACCTTCACAATGACTGCAGAAATGCAGTTAACGTATACAGGAGATAAGTAAATTCTAATTAGCTTTGTCCATCAGTCAACTGTTTCTATGAATGCAAACTCATCAGAATATCTTGACAATGCATCTTCTTGAAAGCATAAATTGGTTTAAAATATAATCAAACAAAAATTTTATTTTTACAAAATATGCCTATATATTAATATAAAATATTTAAAAATGGTAACACTTATCTCATGGAGAAAGTCCTGAGTGCATCAAAAGTTAAATTACTTCCTGAGCTCTGCTTGGTAGGCCAAGCTGAATTATTGGAAAGCTCCTAATTGTTATTCTGCAAAGAACAATGCATCTGTCTTCGTTTTGCATTTGTTATAATCAGATAATGAACTAAAATAGCTATTAAGCAAAAAGTTATGCCTAATGTCTCATCCAATGATTTTTAATCCAAATTTTGCTTTTTCTTTATGTTTCCTGAGACTGAGTGATGAGTATATAACTTTGAACATTGGGACCCCTGTGCCCATTTGTGAGCACAAGATTTCATCTTATTTTCTATTTCACAAATAAAAAGTGTTTTTTGTACTGTAAAAGTAATATTAACACTCAAAGGTATTTCAAATCCTAAAATGAATTAAAAAGAAGATAGCAAAAATGATTACTAAATTATATTATCTAAATACTTTTAAATATTTTCCTGTATGTATATAGCATTTATGAAATAACCATATTTATTATTATTATTATTTATTGTTATTATTTTTTGAGATGGAGTCTTGCTCTGTCACCCAGGTTGTAATGTAGTGGCGTGATCTCGGCTCACTGCAACCTCCACTTCCCAGGTTCAGGCGATTTTTCTGCCTCAGCCTCCCTAGTAGCTGGGACTACAGGTACATGCCACCACATCCGGCTAATTTTTTGTATTTTTAGTAGAGACAGGGTTTCACAGTGTTAGACAGGATGGTCTCATTCTCCTGACCTAGTGATCTGCCCACCTCGGCCTCCCAAAGTGCTGGGATTACAGGCAGTGAGCCACTATGCCTGGCCATATTATTATTATTATTATTATTATTATTATTTTTGAGACAGAATCTCTCGCCCTTGTCACCCAGGCTAGAGTGCAGTGGTGCAATCTTGGCTCACTGTAACCTCAGCCTCCCCATTTCAAGCAAGTCTCCTGCCTCAGCCTCCCAAGTAGCTGGGGTTATAGGCACCCACCACACCTGGCTAATTTTTGTAGCTTTAGTAGAGACGGGGATTTCACCATGTTGGCCAGGCTGGTCTCAAACTCTTGACCTCAGGTGATCTACCTCCCTTGGCCTCCCAAAGTGCTGGGATTGCAGGCATGAGACATGGCACCCGGTCCTGAAATAATCATATTTTTCAAGACATTGGTACCCTGTCAACTTACCAAAAAATGTGTGGATATTTTCCCCTTGTAATAATTGTAGATATATGTGACATGTTTCATTGTATGGCTATGACATCACTATTTTAATCATCCCCAACCACTAGACATGTATTTAGATTGTTTCCAAAATTTTTAATTATGGAGACTCCTGACAGACCACATATCTGCCAGGATTGTCCAGTTTCCAGTTAGCATTAATGCCTAGAAATACAATTAATTGACGAGCAGGTAGGATCTTGTAAAATCTGGTTGTGTATCAGGCTTATAACAGTTTATTTATTTCATTATACTTGCCAAAAAAACTACCTTTGTTTTGCTGAGCTTTTCTATTATTTTTTTTCTCATTTATGAATTTCAGTTTTGAAATTTATTATTTACCTTCCCCTAGATTCTTTTGTTCTGTTTCTAATTCACCTCCACTTTCCCTCCCCTGGCATATTAGTCCATTCTGATGCTGCTAATAAAGACGTACCTGAGACTGGATAAGAGGTTTAATTGACTCACAGTTCCACATGGCTAGGGAGGCCTCAGGAAACTTACAATCATGGCAGAAGGGGAAGCAAACACTTCCTTCTTTGCATGATGGTAGGAAGGAGAAGAACGAATGGGTAGGTGGGGAAGCTCCTTATAAAACCATCAGATCTTATCAGAAGTCATTCACTATCATGAGAACTGCATGAAGGTGACCACCCCCATGATTCAATTGCCTCCCACCAGGCCCCTCCCACGACACGTGGGGATTATAGTAACTATAATTCAAGATGCAATTAGGGTGGGGACACAGCCATACCATGTCATTCCACCCCTGCCTCTCCGAAATCTCATGTCCTCACAACAAAAACACAATCATACCCTTCCAGCAGCTCTCCCAAAATCTTAACTCATCCCAGCATTAAATCAAAAGTCCAGGTCCAAAGTCTCATCTGAAACAATCAAGTTCCTTCTGCCTATGAGCCTGTAAAATAAAAAGCAAGTTAGTTACATCCTGGATACAATGGGGGTACAGGCATTGGGTAAATACACCCATTTGAAATGGGAGAAACTGGCCAAAACAAAGGGACTACAGGCCGCATGCAAGTTCAAAATCAAATAGGGCAGTCATTAAACCTTAAAGTTCTAAATGATCTCCTTTGACTCCATGTCTTACATCCAGGGCACACGAATGAGTGGGCTCCCACAGCATTGGGCAGCTCCACCCTGTGAGTATAGGCCCTTTGCAGGGTATAGCCCCGCCCCACCCCAAGGCTGCTTTCATGGGCTGGTGTTGAGTATCTGTGGCTTTTCCAGATGCACAGTACAACATGTGGGTGGGTCTGTCATTCTCAGGTCTGGAGGACAGCGGCCATCTTCTCATAGCTCCACTAGCCAGTACCCCACTGAAGACTATGTGTTGGGGCTCCAACCCCACATTTCCCTTCTGCACTGCCCTCGCAGAGGTTCCCCAGGAGGGCCCCACCCCTGAAGCAAACTTCTGAGTGGGCATCCATACATCCTCTGAAATCTAGCTGGACATTCTCTCAAACCTCAATTTTTTACTTTTATGCACCTACAGGTCCAACACCACATGTAAGCCTTGAGACTTGCACCCTTTGAATCAACGGCCTGAGCTGTACATTGGCCCTTTTTAGCCATGGCTAGAGCTTAAGCAGCTGGGAGGCAGGGCACCATGTCCTGATGCTGCATAGGGCAGGATGGCCCTGGGCCTGGCCCAGGAAACCATTGTTCCCTCCTAAGTCTCCAGGCCTTTGATGGGAGGGGCTGCCATGAAGGTCTCTGACATGCTCTGGAGAATATTTTCCCCATTTTCTTGATGATTAACATTTGGCTCCTCATTACTTGTGCAAATTTCTGAAGTCAGCTTGAATTTCTCCCCAGAAAATGGGGTTTTCTTTTCTATCACATCATCAGGCTGCATCTTTTTTGCTCTGCTTCCTCTTGAGTGCTATGCTACTTAGAAATGTCTTCTGCCAGATACCCTAAATTATCTCTCTCAAGTTCAAAGTTCCACAGATCTCTAGGGCAGGGACAAAATGCTGCCAGTCTCTTTGCTAAAACATAGCAAGAGTGACATTTACTCCAGTTCCCAATAAGTTCTTCATCTCCATCTGAGACCACCTCAGCCTGGACTTCATTGTTTGTATCGCTATCACCATTTTGGTCAAACCCATTCAACAAGTCTCTAGGAAGTTCTAAACTTTCCAGCATCTTCCTGTCTTCGGAGCCCTCCAAGTCTCTAGGAAGTTCCAAGCTTTTCCACATTTTTCTGTCTTCTGAACCTTCCAAACTGTTCCAGCTTCTGCTTTTTATCCAGTTCCAAAGCTGCTTCCACATTTCCTGAATCTACAGCAATGCCCCACTCTCTGCAGTAGCATTTTGCTGTATTAGTCCATTCCCATGCTGCTAATAAAGACATACCAGAGACTGGGTAATATATAAGGAAAAAAGGTTTAATTAATTCACAGTTCAGCATGGCTCAAGAGGCCTCAGGAAACTTACAATCATGGCAGAAGGGGAAGCAAACATGTCCTTCCTCTCATAATGGCCGGAAAGAGAAATGCAGAGCAAAGGGAGGGGGGAAAGCCCCTTATAAAACCAGCAGATATAGTGAAAACTCACTATTATGAGGACAGCATAGAAATAACTGCCCTATGATTCAGTTTCCTCCCATCAGGTTACTCCCATGATATGTGGGGATTATGGGAACTACAATTCAAGATGAGATTTGAGTGGGACACAGCCAAACCATATCACCTAGTTCTCAAGATTAATATTTACTGCAGCATAATATTTACGAATGTGGACTCCAGAGCAGGACCACCTGAGTTTGAATGCTGGTTTTGCCATTTGATAACTCTGTAATAGTGGATAGGTTTTTCAACTTATCTCTGCTTCAATTTCTTTATCTGTACAATGGGAATAATAATAGTATTTACTTCAGGTTTGTGATGAGTTAATAATATTTATAAGTTCTTAGATCAATACCTAACACAGTAAATATGTGGTACATGTTAGCTATTGATGTAGTTTCACTGTGTCCCCACCCAAATCTCAACTAGAATTGTATCTCCCAGAATTCCCATATGTTGTGGGAGGGACCTAGGGGGAAGTAATTGAATCATGGGTGCCGGTTTTCCCATGCTATTCTTGTGATATTGAATAAGTCTAACAAGATCTGATGGTTTTATCAGGGGTTTCTGCTTTTGATTCTTCCTCATTTTCTCTTGCTGCCACCATGTAAGAAATGCCTTTCACCCTCTGCCATGATTCTGAGGCCTCCCCAGCTGTGTGGACCTTTAAGTCCAGTTAAACTTCTTTTTCTTCCCAGTCTTGAGTAAGTCTTTATCAGCAGCATGAAAACAGACTAATATGGCTATTATCTTTGTCTTTTATTTGAATAAAGAAAACATTTAAAGTTTGTATTCTATTTTGAGTACTACTCTAAATCTTACAGCTTTTTCTTCAAACTGTATGTTTTTAGTAACTTTCTAATTGTTATAATTTTATTTTGTTCTCATTAAACAAGGTTTAATAGGAGAATGATTTTTTGAAGTTGAACTTTTTGGGTCACATTTTAATAATTCATTGCAATTTTATGTGTTATCAAAGAGTATAGCCTATGAGGTCTGTATTTTAAAAATATTGTTTATTAAGTCAAGTAGATTATTTGTCTATTTATTTAGGGATGGGGTCTCGCTTTGTTGCTGAGGCTGAACTCAAACTCCTGGGCTCAAGTGATCCTCCCACCCCACCCTCCCAAGTAGCTGGGACTACAGGCATGGGCTGCCACACCTGAAAAATGATTTATTGCTTATGGATATAAACATTTATTATTCCATGCACATAATAAATTATTTCATGGATACAAACATTATTCCATTTATGAAAATATTTAAGCTTCTTCATAGTGATAAGAACATTCAAATCCCCTATAGGTGTTATATTTTGGTAAACAAGATTTATAAAATTCAGAAGGAGACATGGTGAACTCTTCCAGTTATAATTACTTTTCAGAAATAAATTTACTTTAGGCAAAGCAATCCTAAGCAAGAAGAATAAAGCCAGAGGCATCATACCACTGAACTTCAAACTATCCTACAAAGCCACAGTAACCCAGACAGCATAGTACGGGCACAAAAGCAGACACATAGGGGCCAGGTGTTGTGGCTCATGCATGTAATCCCAGCACTTTGGGAGGCCGAGGTGGGTGGATCACAAGGTCAAGAGATCGAGACCATCCTGGCCAACATGGTGAAACCCTGTCTCTACTAAAAATACAAAAATTAGCTTGGAGTGGTGGTGCACGCCTGTAGTCCCAGCTACTCGGGAGGCTAAGGTAGGAGAATTGCTTGAACCTGGGAGGTGGAGGGTGCTGTGAGCTGAGATCACACCACTGCACTCCAGCCTGGTGACAGGGCAAGACTCTGTCTCAAAAAACAAACAAAACAAAAAAACAGATACATAGACTAATGGAACAAAATAGAGGACTCAGAAATAAAACTGCACACCCACAACCATCTCATCTTTGACAAAGCCAATCAAAACAAGCAATGGTAAATGGACTACCTATTCAATAAACGGTGCTGGAATGACTGGCTAGCCATATGCAGAAAATTGAAGCTGGAATCCTACCTTTCACCAAATATCAAAATTAACTCAAAATATATGAAACATTTAAATATAAGACCGCAAGCTATAAAAATTCTGAAACACAACCTAGGAAATACTCCTTTTGACATCAGCTTGGCAAAGAATTTTTGGCTAAGTCCCTAAAAGCAATTGGAACAAAAGCAAAAATAAAGAAGTGGGACCTAATTAAACTCAAAAGCTTCTATACAGCAAAATAAAATACTAACAAAGCAAGCAGACAGCCTATGGAATGGAAGAATATATTCATTAACTATGCATCCCACAAATGCCTAATATCCAGAATGAATGGGGAACTTAAACAAATCAGCAAGCAAAAAACAACTGCATTAAAAATGGACATAGGACATGAACAGATACTTCTTAAAAGAAAACATACAAGCAGCCAACAAACATATGAAAAAGTGCTAATCATCACAAATCACCAGAGAAATGTAAATCAAAATCACAATGCAGTACCATCTCACTCTAGTCAGAATGGCTATTGTTATAATTATTTTATTTTATCTTTTTTAAGTTCCAGGGTACATGTGCAGGATGTGCAGGTTTATTACATAACTAAACGTGTGCCATGGTGGTTTGCTGCACCTGTCAACCCATCACTTAGGTGTAAAGCCCAGTATGCATTAGCTCTTTTCCCTAATGCTGTCCCTACCCCACCCCCCGATAGGCCCCAGTAAGTGTTGTTCCCCTTCCTGTGTCCATGTGTTCTCATTGTTCAGCTCCCACTTGTAACTGAGAACGTGCAGTTTTTGGTTTTCTGTCCCTGTGTTAGTTTTCTGAGAATAATGGCTTCCAGCTTCATCCATGTCCCTGCAAAGGACATGATCTCATTCGTTTTTATGAATGTATAGTATTCTGTGGTGTATATGTGCCACATTTTCTTTATCCAGTCTATCATTGATGGGCATTTTGGTTGATTCCATGTCTTTGCTATTGTGAATAGTGCTACAATGAGCATATGTGTGCATGTATTGTTATAATAGAATGATTTATATTTGTATTCCTTTGGGTATATACCCAGTAATGGCATTGCTGGGTCAAATGGTATTTCTGGTTCTAAATCTTTGACGAATCGCCACACTGTCTTCCACAATGGTTGAACTAACTTACATTCCCACCAACAGCGTAAAAGCATTCCAATTTCTCTGGAACCTTGCCAGCATTTGTTGTTTCTTGATTTTTTAATAATCACCATCTGACTGTCATGAGATGGTATCTTATTATGATTTTGATTTGCATTTTTCAAATGATCATGGATGTTGAGCTATTTTGTATATGTTTGTTGGCTCCATGTATGTCTTTTTTTGAGTAGTGTCTGTTCATATCCATTGCCCACATTTTAATGGGGTTGTTTCTTGTAAATTTGCTTAAGTTTCTTATAGATTCTGGATATTAGCTTTTTGTCAGATGGATAGATTGCAAAAATTCTCTCTTATTCTCTAGGTTGTCTGTTGGCTCTGATGATAGCTTCATTTGCTGTGCAGAAGCTCTTTAGTTTAATTAGATCCCTTTTGTCAATTTTTGATTTTGTTACAATTGCTTTTGGCGATTTCATCATAAAGTCTTTGCCCATGCCTATGTCATGAATTGTATTGCCTATATTTTCTTCTAGGGTTTTTATAGTTTTGGGTTTTACATTTAAGTCTTTAATCCATTTGAGTTAAGCTTTGTATAAGGTGTAAGGAATGGATCCAGTTTTAATTTTCTGCATATGGTTAGCCAGCTCTCCCAGCACCATTTATTAAATTTTATTTTTAAATAGGGGATCCTTTCTCCATTGCTTGTTTTTGTTGGCTTTGTCAAATATCAGATGGTTGTAGATGTGCCATTTTATTTCTGAGTTCTCTATTCTGTTCCATTGGTCTATGTGCCTGTTTTTGTACCAGTACCATGCTGTTTTTGTTACTGTGGCCTTGTAATATAGTTTGAAGTTGGGTAGTGTGAAGCCTCCAGCTTTTCTTTTTGCTTAGGATTATCTGGCTATGAGAGCTATTTTTTGGTTCATATGAATTTTAAAACAGTTTTTTCTAATTCTGTGAAGAATGTCAATAGTAGTTTAATGAGAATAGCATTGAATATATAAATTGTTTTGGGCAGTACAGCCATTTTCATGATACTAATTCTTCCTATCCATGAGCATGGAATGTTTTTCTGATTTCCTTTAGTAGTTTGGAGTTCTCCCTGAAGAGGTCCTTCACTTCCCTTGTTAGTTGTATTTCTAGGTATTTTATTCTCTTTGTGGCATTTGTGAATGGGAGTTCATTCATAATTTGGGTTTTTGTTTGTGTGTTGTTGTTGTATAGGAATGCTTGTGATTTCTACACATTGATTTTGTATCTGAGACTTTGTTAAAGTTGTCTATCATCTTAAGAAGCTTTTGGGCTGAAATTATGTGTTTTTCTAGATGTAGGATTATGTCATCTGCAAACAAAGACACTTTGACTTCCTCTCTTCCTATTAATATGCTTTATTTCTCTCTCTTGCCTAATTGGTCTGGCCAGAACTTCCAATGCTATGTTCAATAAGAGTGGGGAGAGACGGCATCCTTGTCTTGTGCCAGTTTTCAAGGGGAATGCTTCCAGCTTTTGCCCATTCAGTATGATATTGACTGTGTGTTTGTCGTAAATGGCTTTTATTATTTTGAGGTACATTCCTTCAGTATCTAGTTTATTGAGAGTTTTTAACATGAAGGGATGCTGAATATCGTTGAAGGCCTTTTATGTGTCTATTGAGATAGTCATGGTTTTTTTGTCTTTAGTTCTGTTTATGTAATGAATTACGTTTATTGATTTGCATATGTTGAACCAGCCCTGCATCCTAGGGATGAAGCCGATTTGATTGTGGTGGGTAAGTTTTTTTATGTGCTGCTGGATTTGGTTTGCCAGTATTTTATTGTGGATTTTTGCATCGATGTTCATCAGATATATTAGCCTAAATCTTTCTTTGTTTGTTGTATCTCTCCCAGGTTTTGGTATCAGGATGAGTGCTGGCCTCATAAAATGAGTTAGGGAGGATTCCCTCCTTTTCAATTTTTTGGAATAGTTTCAGAAGAAATGGTACCAGCTCCTCTTTTTACTTCTGGTAGAATTCAGCTGTAAATCCATGTAGATCTGGGCTTTTTTTTTTTTTTTTTTTTTTTTTTTTTTGGTTGGCAGGCTATTTATTACTTCCTTAATTTCAGAGCTTGTTTTTGGTGTATTCAGAGATTCAACTTCTTTCTGGTTCAGTCTTGGGAGGGTGTATGTGTCCAGGAATTTATCCATTTCTTCTAGATTTTCCAGCTTATTTGTATAGATGTGTTTATAGTATTCTCTGATTTGTTTTGTATTTCTGTGGGATTGGTGGTGGTATCCCCCTTATCTTTTCTGATTGTGTTATTTGAATCTTCTCTCTTTTGTTGCTTATTAATCTTGCTAGTCATCTATTCTATTGATTTTTTTTTTCAAAAAAAAAAAAGCAGCTCTTGGATTTGTTGATTTTTCAAAGGGTTTCTCTATCTCCTTCAGTTCCACTGTGAGCTTGGTTATTTCTTGTCTTCTGCTAGCTCTAGAGTTTGTTTGCCCTTAGTTCTTTAGTTGTTTTACTTGTGATGTTGGGATGTTGTTTTGAGATCTTCCTAGCTTTTTGATGAGGACATTTAGTGCTACAAATTTCTATCTTAACACTGCTTTAGCTACATCCCAGAGATTCTGATACGTTGTCTCTTTGTTCTTATTAGTTTCAAAGAACTTCTTGATTTGTGCCTTAATTTCCATATGTACCAAAGAGTCATTTAGGAGCAGGTTGTTCAATTTCCATGTAGTTTTATAGTTTTCAGTGGGCTTTTTTGAGTTTTAATTTGATTGCTCTGTGGTCTGAGAGACTGTTATGATTCCAGTTCTTTTGCATTTGCTGAGAAGTACTTTACTTCTAATTATGTGATTGATTTTAGTGTTAAGTGCCATGTGGCACCGGAAAAAAAAAAGTATATTCTGTGGTTTTTGCATGGAGACATCTGTAGATATCTATCACGTCTACTTCATTTATTTATTTATTTATTTATTTATTTATTTATTTTTTATTATCTTTAAGTTCTAGGGTACATGTGCACAATGTACAGGTTTGTTACATATGTATGCATGTGCCATGTTGGTGTGCTGCACCCATTAACTCATCATTTGCATTAGGTATATCTCCTAATGCTATCCCTCACCCCTACCCCCAGCCCACAATAGGCCCCAGTGTGTGATGTTCCCTTTCCTGTGTCCAAGTGTTCTCACTGTTCAATTCCCACCTGTGAGTGAGAACATGCAGTGTTTGGTTTTTTGTCCTTGTGATAGTTTACTGAGAATGATGGTTTGCAGCTTCATCCATGTCCCTACAAAGGACATGAACTCATCATTTTTTATGGCTGCATAGTATTCCATGGTGTATATGTGCCACATTTTCTTAATCCAGTCTATCATTGATGGACATTTGGGTTGGTTCCAAGTCTTTGCTATTGTGAATAGTGCTGCAATAAACATATGCGTGCATGTGTCTTTATAGCAGCATGACTTATAATCCTTTGGGTATATACCCAGTAATGGGATGGCTGGGTCAAATGGTATTTCTAGTTCTAGATCCCTGAGGAATCACCACACTGTCTTCCACAATGGTTGAACTAGTTTACAGTCCCACCAACAGTGTAAAAGTGTTCCTATTTCTCCACATCCTCTCCAGCACCTATTGTTTCCTGACTTTTTAATGATCACCATTCTAACTGGTGTGAGATGGTATCTCATTGTGGTTTTGATTTGCATTTCTCTGATGGCCAGTGATGATGAGCATTTTTTCATGTGTCTTTTGGCTGCATAAATGTCTTCTTTTGAGAAGTGTCTGTTCATATCCTTTGCCCACTTGTTGATGGGGTTGTTTTTTTCTTATACATTTGTTTGAGTTCATTGTAGATTCTGGATATTAGCCCTTTGTCAGATGAGTAGATTGCAAAAATTTTCTCCCATTCTGTAGGTTGCCTGATCACTCTGATGGTAGTTTCTTTTGCTGTGCAGAAGCTCTTTAGTTTAATTAGATCCCATTTGTCAATTTTGTCTTTTGTTGCCATTGCTTTTGGTGTTTTAGACATGAAGTCCTTGCCCATGCCTATGTCCTGAATGGTAGTGCCTAGGTTTTCTTCTAGGGTTTTTATGGTTTTAGGTCTAACATGTAAGTCTTTAATCCATCTTGAATTAATTTTTGTATAAGGTGTAAGGAAGGGATCCAGTTTCAGCTTTCCACATATGGCTAGCCAGTTTTCCCAGCACCATTTGTTAAATAGGGAATCCTTCCCCATTTCTTGTTTTTGTCAGGTTTGTCAAAGATCAGATAGTTGTAGATGTGTGGTATTATTTCTGAGGGCTCTGTTCTGTTCCATTGGTCTATATCTCTGTTTTGGTACCAGTACCATGCTGTTTTGGTTACTGTAGCCTTATAGTATAGTTTGAAGTCAAGTAACGTGATGCCTCCAGCTTCGTTCTTTTGGCTTAGGATTGACTTGGCAATGCGGGCTCTTTTTTGGTTCCATATGAACTTTAAAGTAGATTTTTCCAATTCTGTGAAGAAAGTCATTGGTAGCTTGATGGGGATGACACTGAATCTATAAATTACCTTGGCCAGTATGGCCATTTTCACGATATTAATTCTTCCTATCCATGAGCATGGAATGTTCTTCCATTTGTTTGTATCCTCTTTTATTTCATTGAGCAGTGGTTTGTAGTTCTCCTTGAAGAGGTCCTTCACATCCCTTGTAAGTTGTATTCCTAGGTGTTTTATTCTCTTTGAAGCAATTGTGAATGGGAGTTCACTCATGATTTGGCTCTCCATTTGTCTGTTATTGGTTTATAAGAATGTTTGTGATTTTTGCCCATTGATTTTGTATCCTGAAACTTTGCTGAAGTTGCTTATCAGCTTAAGGAGATTTTGGGCTGAGACGATGGGGTTTTCTAGATGTACAATCATGTCATCTGCAAACAGAGTCAATTTGACTTCCTCTTTTCCTAATTGAATACCCTTTATTTCTTTCTCCTGCCTGATTGCCCTGGCCAGAACTTCCAACACTATGTTGAATAGGAGTGGTGAGAGAGGACATCCCTGTCTTATGCCAGTTTTGAAAGGGAATGCTTCCAGTTTTTGCCCATTCAGTATGATATTGACTGTGGGTTTGTCATATTAGCCTTAAACGTAAATGGGCTAAATGCTCCAATTAAAAGACACAGACTGGCAAATTGGATAAAGAGTCAAGACCCATCAGTGTGCTGTATTCAGGAAACCCATCTCACATGCACAGACACACATAGGCTCAAAATAACGGGATGAAGGAAGATCTACCAAGCAAATGGAAAACAAAAAAAGGGAGGGGTTGCAATCCTAGTCTCTGATAAAACAGACTTTAAACCAACAAAGATCAAAAGAGACAAAGAAGGCCATTACATAATGGTAAAGGGATCAATTCGACAAGAAGAGCTAACTATCCTAAATATATATGCACCCAACACAGGATCACCCAGATTCATAAAGCAAGTCCTTAGAGACCTACAAAGAGACTTAGACTCCCACTCCATAATAATGGGAGACTTTAACACCCCACTGTCAACATTAGACAGATCAACGAGACAGAAAGTTAACAAGGATATCTAGGAACTGAACTCAGCTCTGCACCAAGTGGACCTAATAGACATCTACAGAACTCTCCACGCCAAATCAACAGAATATACATTCTTCTTAGCACCACATTGCACTTATTCCAAAATTGACCACATAGTTGGAAGTAAAGCTCTCCTCAGCAAATGTAAAAGAACAGAAATTATAACAAACTGTCTCTCAGACCACAGTGCAATCAAACTAGAACTCAGGATTAAGAAACTCACTCAAAACCGCTCAACTACATGGAAATTGAACAACCTGCTCCTGAATAACTACTGGGTACATAACGAAATGAAGGCAGAAATAAAGATGTTCTTTGAAAACAATGAGAGCAAAGACACAACATACCAGAATCTCTGGGACACATTCAAAGCAGTGTGTAGAGGGAAATTAATAGCACTAAGTGCCCACAAGAGAAAGCAGGAAAGATCTAAAATTGGCACCCTAACATCACAATTAAAAGAACTAGAGAAGCAGGAGCAAACACATTCAAAAGCTAGCAGAAGGCAAGAAATAACTAAGATCAGAGCAGAACTGAAGGAGATAGAGACACAAAAAAGCCTTCAAAAAATCAATGAATCCAGGAGCTGGTTTTTTGGAAAGATCAACAAAATTGAGAGACTGCTAGCAAGACTAATAAAGAAGAAAAGAGAGAAGAATCAAATAGATGCCATAATAAATGATAAAGGGAATATCACCACCGATCCCACAGAAATACAAACTACCATCAGAGATTACTACAAACACCTCTATGCAAATAAACTAGAAAATCTAGAAGAAATGGATAAATTCCTCAACACTTACACCCTCCCAAGACTAAACCAGGAAGAAGTTGAATCTCTTAATAGACCAATAACAGGCTCTGAAATTGAGGCAATAATTAATAGCTTACCAACCAAAAACAGTCCAGGACCAGACGGATTCACAGCCGAATTCTACCAGAGGTAAAAGGAGGAGCTGGTACCATTCCTTCTGAAACTATTCCAATCAATAGAAAAAGAGGGAATCCTCTTTAACTCATTTTATGAGGCCAGCATCATCCTGATACCAAAGCCTGGCAGAGACACAACAAAAAAAGAGAATTTTAGACCAATACCCCTGATGAACATCGATGCAAAAATCCTCAATAAAATACTGGCAAACCGAATCCAGCAGCACATCAAAAAGCTTATCCACCATGATCAAGTGGGCTTCATCCCTGGGATGCAAGGCTGGTTCAACATACACAAATCAATAAACATAATCCAGCATATAAACAGAACCAAAGACAAAAACCACATGATTATCTCAATAGATGCAGAAAAGGCCTTTGACAAAATTCAACAGCCCTTCATGCTAAACACTCTCAGTAAATTAGTTATTGATGGGGTGTATCTCAAAATAATATGTCCACTTGATTTAGGGATGAGTTCAAGTCCTGAATATCTTTGTTAATTTTCTGTCTTGATGATCTGTCTAATACTGACAGTGGGGTATTAAAGTCTCCCACTATTATTGTGTGGAGGTCTAAGTCTCTTTGTAGGTCTCTAAGAATTTGTTTTATGAATCTGGATGTTCCTATATTGTGTGCATATATATTTAGGATAGTTAGCTCTTCTTGTTGAATTGAACCCTTTCACATTATGTAATGCCCTTCTTGTCTTTTTTGACCTTTGTTTGTTTAAAGTCTGTTTTGTCAGAAACTAGGATTGCAACCCCTGCTTTTTTCCTGCTTTCCATTTGCTTGGTAATTTTTCCTCCATCCCTTTATTTTGAGTTTATGTGCATCTTTGCAAATATGATGTGTCTCTTGAATACAGTGCACCAATGGGTCTTGTCTTCATATCCAGCTGGTCACAGAATGGCTATTACTAAAAAGTCAAAAAAAAAAAAAAAAACAAGAAAGAAAGAAACAGATGCTGGCTAGGCTGCAGGAAAAATGGGGAAAAGGAAATACTTATATACTGTTGTTGGGAATGTAAATTAGTTCAGCCACTTTGGAAAGCAGTTTGAAGATTTCTCAAAGAATTTAAAACAGAACTACCATATGACCCAGCAATCCCATTACTGGGCATACACTTAAAGGAAATTAAATCATTCTGCCAAGAAGATACATCCACTTAGATGCTCATCCCACTGCTATTCACAACAGCAAAGACATGGAATCAACCCAGGTGCCCATCAATGGTAGATTGGATAAAGAAAATGTGGTACATATGCACTGTGGAATACTATGCAGCCATAAGAAAGAATGAATCATGTCCTTCGCAGCAACATGGACGTAGCTGGAGACCATAATCCTAAGCAAATTAATGTAGGAGCAGAAAATCAAATACCACATGTTCTCACTTACAAGTGGGAGCTAACACATGAACCTAAATATGGGAAGAATAGGTACTACTGACTACTAGAGAGTGGAGGGAGTTGGGGTAGGTTGAAAAACTACTTGTTGGATATTACGCTCATTACGTGGGTGGTGGGATCTGTACCTCAAACCTCAGCATCATGTAACATTCCTATGTAACAAACCTGTACATGTACCCTCTATATCTAAAATATAAGTTGAAATTACATAAAAATAACTAAACTTAGAAAAAAATACCTTTGGGAGGTTTTCTTTATATAGTTATTTGCTATCTTGTTCAATGTATAAAGGTTTAGGTCTATTACATTTTCTCAAAAATTTATACTTTTGGGATCATTATGTATTGTGTCTCTTCCCCTTATTAAATGCTTTTTTCATAGATTTCCCTGCACTGTAATATTTCCATTTTTCATAGATTTCCTTGCACTCTAATATTTCCAAGACTGTTTTATGTTGTTCATAGTTGTCTAGGAATCTATTCCCCATCTCTTATTTCCAACTTACTTTTATCATTATATTTTTTGTACACAACATATGTGTACATTTTGTTTTTAACCCATCCCAACAATTATCCATCTCTAATTGGGAAATCCAGCCTGCTCACATTGCATACAATAAATGATATAATTGTTTTTATTACTTGCATTTTATTTCATGTTAGCTGTTTATTTTACTTTGCTATTGTTTTCTTTTTCCTTTTTATTATTTTTCTGGCTTTAGTATACTTGTATCATTCTTCTTTTTTGCTTGCTAATTATGTTCTACTATGCTTTTCAATATGGTAGTACTTATCTTTCATTCTGAAAAATCAAAATTTAATATATTGTTTTCTTTATTATATTAATAAAAGCAAATGGCATAGCTTTGATCACAATCCAAGATAAAAGTTTAGAAAGCATTAACAATCAATTTCCCCTATCTTTTGTCACATGCTATTCAGGATAAACTAGGACATGCTAGAAGGGAAAAATCCACCACAGTTATTTAGTATATGAGAGTTTATTTTTCACTTATGCAAAGTCTTATGCAGATAATTCTTTCTCTGTTCCTTACAGCCATCAAAGTGACTGAGCCCATCCCAAAGTGGGTATGGTTAGTAGTTAGTAGAGAGAGTCAGAAATTGTTTCTAAATACTTGTCCTATTTATTTACACGCAATCTCACACACACACACACACACACACACACACACACACGGAAAGTCTGCAGGACCTGTATCAGCTCTGAAAAGAAGTTTCCTCTGTCGGAATTCAGTGATCTCTGGTGTTTGGATCTTTTGATTCTATCATCTCAATATATGGAACCTTCAGTTGTTATGGAAGAAGAAGGCAGCTGAATCTTCAAAGACTGTGTTCATATGCCTTACTTTCACTCACATTGCAGTATCCTGAATTAGTCACATGGCCCCACCTAATGCAGTGACATCTGTGAAATACTGTATTTGCAAAAATGAAATGATATGAACATGTGGCACTGTCTCTGCTTACCTTCCCATGCTTCTAAATTCTTGGTTTCTTGAAACAGTTTAAAATTTAATTTTAGCTAGTATTGTTCTCCATATATCTCCATATATATCTATGGTTTCTAAATAGTTGGAAAACATTTTTGATAAGGAAATCACAATCAGAAGGAAAGCTGTTTTTCTTATGGAGACAAAAAAACAGGTTTCTTTATTAGAAATAATGAGACTTAGGAGAAACAGACGGTTACTGGGGAAGATACCACAGTTGGTTTATAACTTTCACCTGCCCAAGTGATGGGTAAAAAAACAGAGTTCAACCAAATGAAACAGAAACTGCAAGTGCAGATCCCACTGTCTGTGGCCTTGGCTGCAGGCTCTTCCTCAAGTCAGTGATGGTCTATTAAACAAAGGTCCATGCAAAAAGTTAAAACAGGCTGTACGTGTGCTCAATCGGTGGTTAGCTGCTTTAGAATAATTCCAATGAGAAGTTTGAGAGAACTTCAGGCAAAGCATAAAGCTTCAGGCAAAGATAAAGTTTCAGGCAATGCTTTAGGGTTGTAACAGGGGTTTTTGAAGTCTGTGATCTTGGGAACTTCTTGGCTGTTCCTGAACTATTTTTTGACATAGTATGGTTCATGTCAGTGTAAATGAAAAACTACTAGTGGACTCAGCCATATGTAAGGAAACTCAGGGACTGAGAGTAGTAGATTTTTTTTTAACATAGCTTGCTGTTTTAGCATGTGGCTGTTTGCTACTTGGAATTCTTTCTCTGTCCCTTACTGCTACTAAGGTGACTGACCCCATCCCAAAGTGATCAGATAGTACAGAGAGTCAAAAATTGTTCCCAAATACTTGTCCTGTTTATTTACACACAATCACTCACACACACACACACACACACACACACAGCCTCATGTACATATGCACACAGGTATAGATGGTTGAGTACTCTGCATTTTTTGAAACAATGTTCTTATTCCATTTTTATTTCATTAAAAAATCTATCTAATATGCTATGGCAATCTAAAATTTTCTTAGTGATATATTTCTTTTTGATGGGGAAATGATATTTTGTCTGGCTGTAGGACTCTTGAACACCAAATCCTTTTCTCTTAGTTGACTGTGATTACTACTAGAACAATTGTGATAAACTAGTAGATGTTATTTGATCATCTTATTTCTGTACAAATATATATATATATCTATTTTTGACAAGGTCTCATTATGTTGCCTAGGCTTGTCTCCAACTCCTGGGCTCAGGCAATCCTCCTGCCTCAGCCGTTTCAGTAGCTTGGATTACAGGTACTACACCTGGCTTTGTTGTATTTTTTAAAAAATATTCTCACTTGAATTTCAATGAGCCTTTTCAAGTTAAACACTGCAGCCTTTCTTCTGACTGTAAAGATAAGTAATTTTCTGTTATTTGTTTAGTTGTTCTTCTTCTGTTGCTTTATCTCATTCTAGAATGTCCAAATTTTCTGAAGCTATTCTCCAAATTTCTCATTTTTCTCTTTATTAGTTTAATTTTTTCTTTCTTTTGTCACATTTTGGCATTGCACTTGACAGACTAATCCACTAATTATCTATACTGATTTTCTTTTTTGTTTTTTAATTTAATTTTAAATTATTAAAATATCATGTAGCCTCGGCTTGCAAGGCAGGCCTTTAGTGATTGATGGCAAGCAGAATTGTTTCTATACTTGTGGAATGGTGGTAAGCTAGAGATACTGACAGCAATTGAACCAGTGGCTTGCCTTCAGGTGTTCACAAGTCACCAGAGATAGGCCTTTTTAGAATCATATATGAGCATGCCAGGGAAATCTCCCCAAGATAACTGACAGAACTTGGTTGTCTCCTGAACTCTTTGAATGAATGCATGATCAGGAACATCATCTATGGTTTTGTAGTTATCCTCCCATAAGAACAATGACTGAGTGAGTGAGTAGGAGCTGAAAACCAGCTCATGCTCCTCTAAATCATGTGCCCAAGAAGAAGGGAGTGTAGCCAGCATTTTTCTAATTGGCAAGACGGTATCAAATGGATCAATAGTGGCCCTTTTTAAAGTTTTGCAGGTAATGAATGGTCTCACTCCAGAGAAGGGAGAAAAAGCAGGGAGGAAGAAGAATTCAGAAACATCTATCAGTGTTGTCCTCTTGCTAGAACCTGCACCTTTTACTGCTTTCAAAAACACGATTTTAGGCAAAGAAATTGTCTGTCACAAATTCTAAAAATACATTCATCACAATTAGTCTTATTCCTGTGTATTTATTTACTTTTTCTTTGTGGAGAGGGTTTGATGTTATATGAGCGTGTTTGTGTTTACTCCTTTATATTACATTTAAATTATGAAATGGTAAAATTTTTTTTTACTATTAGTTTATTTTATATCTTCTGAATTTCACAAAAAATAAGATTATATTATACCAACAAATGTTCATACATACAGTAGACATACCTAATTCTTTTTAATTATTATATAGTATTTCAGTATATTATAAAAATTTAATATCTTATTGGTATATATTTTGATTATTCCCAACGGTTTTTTTTTTTCAACAATGTTGTACTGAGCCTTGTATAAATACATCTTTTAGCAAAAAGGGTCAACAACTATTTATTGAGTGTCTACCAGGGTTTGTGGAGTACCCAAGGATCCATAGACCAGAAAGTAAAGTATTTAGACAAGTTTCTAAAAAGGAAATGTATGGGTCAAACTGCATATTACTTGAAAGTTTCTAAAATATTGCCACATTATTCACAAATTAGTATCTAAGTTACCAGCTAATATGGTTTGGCACTGTGTCCCCACCCAATATCATTTTGTAGCTCTCATAATTCCCATGTGTTGTGGGAGGGACCCCAGGGGAGATGATTGAATTATGGGGGTGGGTCTTTCCTATGCTGTTCTCCTGATAGTGAATAGGTCTCAGGAGATCTGACTGTTTGAAAAATGGGAGTTCCTCCATAATAAGCTCTCTTTTTGCCTGCTGCCATCCGTGTAAGATGTGACTTGCTCCTCTATGCCTTCTGCCATTATTGTGAGGCCTCCCCAGCCATGTGGAACCGTAAGTCCAATAAATCTTTTTCGTTTATAAATTGCCCATTCTCAGGTATGTCTTTATCAACAGCGTGAAAACGGACTAATACACCAACAGTATAAAATATTGCTTGTTTCTTCACACCTTTCTCATAATGAATAGTATCCCTCTTTTTAATGTTACCAGTTTAAAAGGTAAAAATATGAAAATAAATTATTGATTTAATTTATTTTTTTAGTGTGATTGAGCATCTCATATGCTAAACCATTATAAGTATATGTTTTTAAGTAAATTGCCTCTTTTCAACTGGAGCATTTGTATTTTCCTCATTGATTTATACAATTTCTTTATACATTAAAAATAGTAACTTTCTGTCATGTGAATTATACATTATGTTTTCCTAGTAGATAACTTGGAATTCAATAGCAGAAGAGAGAATCAATACTAGATAAAGGAAGAAAAGCTGGGTGTGGGGTCCTATGTGGTTTATATAACCTGTGCCAGGGCTGAGGAACATAATGCAGTCTGATCTGTGAATGACTCCAAGAAGCATGCTACCAAACTCTGGACTGCCTTACATGCTCCTATTGTGTAATCTGAAACCCACTTGCTGGATTGGCAAGTAGCCACCCCACAGCTCAATCCAGAACCATACTGTCCCTGATACCACTCTGCATTAAACTGGGAGCTTGAGTTCTTCCTTCAGTTCAATTGCAAAATGAAACCCAAATCACACCCATAGGACTAGTTGCAAGGGAGAAGCTAGGTAAATACACAGGTACTGGGTAGACAAAGACATGTGAAGCAGGTTGTAATTAATACTGTATTATTCATTTGTTTAAATTTATTTTTAGTGCCACAGCCACAGAGGAATTTTAAATATTTAAACCACTAATGTTTTCCTAGTTGAAAACATTTTGTCCTGTTTTCAGAAAATAATCACACATTCCAAAACAATAGAAATATTTACTTTAGTATTGCTTTAAAAAATTTTTAAATATTTGAAATATGCTTGAATTTTTCTAGGTTTACAAAAACAGTATACAGACCATAATGGACTCTATGTACTATCCTGTTGTTTCATTAATTCACTAATATTCTTATGGACTTGGTATAAAAATATTAATTAGCTTTATTGAGGTATAATTCACATAGGATCTACTTGATTTCATGGACAATGAAATATTTTTAGTAAATTTACAGAGTTGTGCAAGGAATACCACACTCCAATTTCATAACATTTTTATCACCCATTTGCAGTCACTCCCCATTAGATATATAAGACATTTAAGACTTCTGACCTCTAGAACTGTAAGATAATAAATTTGTATTGTTTTAAGACACTAAATTTGTGGCAATTGGTTACAGTAGTAATAGGAGACAAATACGTTAGATTATGCAATAAATTTATGTGTGGCTTTATAAGAAATTGTCAACCTGTTTCTCCAAGTGGCTGCACTATTTTCTATATCCATCAACAATGAGTTAGGGCTCTTCTTCCTTCACATTCTTAATAATACTTTTTATATCCTGTCTTTTCTATTATAATCCTTCTACTGTGTTTTCAATGATATTGCACTATGGATTTTATATGCATTTTCATAATGACAAATTGACATTAGTCATTTTTTTTTATTTTTATGGGTACATAATAATTATACATATTTATGTGGTGCATGTGATATTTTGATAAAAGCAAACAATGTGTAATGATCAAATCGGGTAATAGTATATACAGCACTGCAAACATTTATGATTTCTTTGTTTTGGGGATATTTTTAATCTACTTTCCTAGCTATTTTGAAATATACAATAAACTATTTGTTAACTATAGTCACCCTATTGTGCTACCAAACATTAGAACTACTTTCTTCTATCTAACTATGTTTTTGTACTTATTAATCAATCTCTCCCACCCAACTACCCTTCCCAGACTCTGGTAACCACCATTCTATTTACATTTTGATATGCTTTTATTAGATATATGTGTACTTATTTGGTAAAATATTTATGTAGTCTTTTGAGCGTTTATTTATTAAGTTGTAAGAGTCACATATTCTGGAAATATGATTTACAAATATTTTATTTCAGCCTGGGGTTTGTCTTTTCATCTTCTTAGTGGTCTTTTTTGAAGCATGAACATTTTGAATTTTGATAAACAATTTATTACATTTTTGTTTACCTCTTTGGCTTTAAAAGTCATATCTAAGAAATCATTGCCTAATACAAAGTCACAAATATGTACTGTCATGTTTCCTTCTAACTTTTTAATTTTGCTTTTATATTTAAATCTATGATCCATTTTAGGTTAATTTTTCTATGTGGTGTGAGGTAAAAGTGTAAATTCATATTCTGACATATGGATTTCTGATGTCCTAATTATATTCCCTTGTACTCAAAAACTACCCTTTGTTAGTCCCTCTCTCTCTCATTTTTTTTTTGGTTTAAATTTTTCTTATTTTTTAGAGACAGGGTCTCCTTCTGATGTCCAGGCTGGAGAGCAGTGGTATAACCCTACTTAAGTACAACTTGGAATTACTGATCTCAATTTGCCAGGATTGACCAAATGATCCTTCACCTCAGCATCCTGAGGAGTAAGGACTACAGGTGCACATCACCACACCCAGCTCTTATTTATTTATTTATTTATTTATTTATTTATTTATTTTTATTTTCTTGTAGAGATGGAGTCTTGCTATGTTTCCCAGGCTGGTTTCAAACTCCTGGCCTCAAGGAGTTCTCCCGCATTAGCCTCCCAAAGTGCTGGGATTACAGGCATTAACCACGGCACCTCCCTTTCTTCACTATTATCTCTGTAGTTAAGTTTTGAAATTATGAAGGATATGTCCTCCAGCTTTATTCTTCTAGTCAATAATGTTTTGGCATTTTAGATGATTTCCATTTCCATATAAATTTTAGAATAGCTTGTCAATTTTTTCAAAAGATTTATTCAAAGGAGCCAGTTGGGAGTTTGATAGAGTTTGTATTGAATCTATAGATCAAGCTGGGAAGTATCATCTTAAAAATATTTGTCCCTATCCATAATCATGGAATATCTTTCCATCCACTTAAATCATTTAGAATTTCTCCGGACAATATTCATTTTCAAAGCATGAATTTTGACTTTTTTCTTAAATGTGTTCCTACCTATTTTATTGGTATATGTAGAACTACAACTAATATTGTTTAATTATCTTATATCCTATGACTTCGCTGAATTTGTTTACTAGTTCTAGTAGTTTGTGTATTTCTTTGATTTATACAGCATTATGTCATGTGTGAATATTACAGTTTTATTCTTTTTATTCTTTATTTTCAGTTTGATGCTTTTATTTCTATGTCTTCTCTGATTGCACTAACTAGAATCCTCAATGCAGTGCTGAATAGATGTTATGAGACACATGCTTATATTCTTCCCAATTAAGGGGAAAACATACAGTCTCTCAACAGTAAGCAGAAAGCTAATTTTGGGGGTTTTCATAGATACCCTTTATTAGGTTGAAGAAGTTCTATTTTATTTGGAGTTTTTAAGCTTTTTTTTTTAAAGCAAATAAAACTGGATGGTGGATATCATGAAGCAATTTTCTGCATCTGTCAAAAAGATCTTATGGCTCTTGTCCTTTAATTTATTAATATGATGTTTCACATTAACCAATTTTAAGCTATTAATTCCATGTTGCATTTCTATGATACTCCTGCTTGGTCATGCTTTATCATTCTTTTTGGTTTTGCTAGATTTTGTTTATATTTTGTTGAGAATTTTTGTTTTCTAAAATAATTATTTTATTTTAGGTTCGGTGGTACATGAAGTTTGTTACACACGTCAACTCATGTCAAGGAGGTTTATTGTACAGATTATTTCATCACTCAGGATTAAGTCCTGTACCCGATAGTTATCTGTTTTGCTCCTCTCCCTCCGCCCAACCTCAGCCGTCAAAAAGACGCCAGTGTCTGTTGTTTCCTTCTTTGTGTTCATAATTTCTCATAATTTAGCTCCCACTTGTAAGAACATGTGGTATTTGGTTTTCTGTTCCTCCTTTAGTTTGCTAAGGATGATAGCCTCCAGGTCCATCCATGTTCCTGAAAAAGACACAATCTTGTTCTTTTTTGTGGATGCATAGTATTCTATGGTATATATGTGTCACATTTTTTTTTTTTTTTACTCAATCTTTCATTGATGGGCATTTAAGTTGATTCCATGTCTTTGCTATTGTGAATAATGCTGCAGTGAACATTTGCATGCCTGTGTCTTTACGGTAGAATAATTTGTATTCCTGTGGGTACATACCCAGTAATGGGATTGCTGGGTCAAATGGTAGTTCTGCTTTTAGCTCCTTGAGGAAATGCCACACAGCTTTCCACAATGGTTGAATTCATTACTCTCCCACCAACCATTTTATAAATGTTCCCTTTTCTCTGCAACCTTGCCAGCAACTGTTAATGTTTTGACTTTTTAATAATAGCCATTCTGCATTTGTATTCATTGGGAATATTGATACATAATTTACCTCAGGGATGTGTTTGTATGGTTTCGGTATCAAGGTAATATTGACCTCAAATAACACATTGGAAAATGTTCATTCCTCCTCAGTTTTCTGCAAAAAAAAAAAAAGAGAGAGAGAGAAAGACTAATAATATTTCTGCTTTCAGTTTCTGTTAAAATTAACCTACAGACCCTGTATTTTGCCAATAGAAAATTCTCAATTACTGATTTTTAATTACTAATTTAAATTCTTTACTATTTTAGTTATATTGAGCTTTTCAAATTTCTTTGGACCTGATTTAAAGTTTGTTAACCTTTCCTCTTTTATACTCAATCTGCTGTTAAGCCTATGAAATATATTTTTGATTGCATATGTAGTACTTTTCAGGTGTTTTTTCTGATGGTTATGAATTTGTCAATTTCATTTTTTTATATGTATTTTATCTTTTTTAAGGGTATTTTAGTTATTTACAGAAATCAGTTTGGAAGTTGTTGTTTCTTCCACACTTTAAAGATGTTGCTCCATTATTTTCCAGCTCTCACAGTCTGCATTGAAAAGTTATCCACAATCTAATTTATTTTTGAAGGAGCAATGTCATACATCCTCTGACTACTATTAAGACTTTTTTCTCTTTCTCTATGAGATCTTTGCATTTTGACTATGATGGGCCTTGGTGTGATTTTTTTTTATCTTGGTATGGAGTTCATTAAGGTTCTTCATTGTGTAAGCGGTCTTAATTACCTGTAGAAAATTTTCAGCTTTGTGTATTCTGATTATTTTTCTGCAATCTCCTTTTCATTTCCTTCCACCATTTTCAATTACATGTACTTATTCCTTTGACCATGTTTCTCATTATGTTGTTACTTTTTCTCCCATAGGTTTTCCTCTTGTTGCTTTAGTTGTGTTTTCCTTCACCCTGAATTTGGATTCACTGGTTTTTCCACTGTTAAGTCTGCTGTTAGATCTGTCTAATAAATTCCTAATTTCAGATATCGTGTAGATCTGGAATATAAACACAATTTTTATAAATTCCAGTTTCTATTGACATTTTCCATCTCTTCATCTAGTTTGTCATTTTTTTAAAGTTCTCAAACATAGTAATCATAATTATTAAGTTCATATCTGATATCTTCAATAAATGAATGAATCATTGGTAGTCTCTTTGTTTTATCTTTTTCTTGGTGGAGTTCGGGAGCTTATTTAATAGATACTATTTTTAGCATGTCTTAAATTTTGTTTAGTAAATTCTGCTATTATGTTCCTGCAAACAGGGTTAACTTCTCTGTTGGCAGGCAGACAGAACACTGATGGGTTTTCTTAGTAAGTCCTGGTTTTAGGGTTTCTTAGAGTTATTCTTGAGTTCTGTTACCCCAGTGACATACTTATTGTTCTTAGGGTATAGCCCTTACTTCTTGAATGTATGCTTCTTTTGGTTTCTTGACTAAAAAATGTAATGTGTTTTCCTTCATCTTATAGTGATTTGAATTCAGCCTCTCTGCCCTTGTGTCAGGGGGCTACTCTCATCCCCACTCAACTTTTTAGTCTCCTTCCAGCCAAGATTTATTGAATTTCATAGAGCTCATTCCTATGAATACACAGTTTAGAAGCTGGGCAATGACATAGTGGGAAGCTGTACTCAAAATATCAGACTTCTTTTTTCGTGTGTATGTATTTTTATTCCCTTTCCAAGATCCTCAGGACTCCACAAGTTTAGTTATCCCAGACTTCGATTTTCAGGTCTCCAGTTGTATAAGAATGCTAGTTAATCTGCTGCACTGCAAGTTAAAAAATGGCTCTAAGGAAAAAGCAGAGGTGACTAAATCTCACCATGTAAGTTCCCTTTCTCTCAGTTTCTAACTCCTCAAGCCTGTCTGCACTGGATGATCTCTATGACCTTCAAAACGTTTTCATACATATTTTTTATCAAGGGTTATGGTTTTAGTTGGCAAGATTAGTGCTATCTACTCTGTTATGGCTGGAACTGGAATTCTATTTTCTATAGTATTATCTTTTTATTTATTGCATATCTGTGGCCATATATCATTTCCCATTCCGAATGGTAGATATTTTGGATATTGCATATTTTATGTTTCTAACAATAGCCTTTATTGAAATTTGTCCATATTATCATTCTTGTCAAAAACCCTGCTCTCAGTCCCATTTATATAAATGGTTTTTTTATTTCATTATTGTATAGATTTATATTAATTGGTGCCTAAATCAATTTTATCTAGTTATAAGTTTCTTTTTCTAGACTATTTTTGTTTATATTTTTATTTTAAAACAGTATTTGTAAATACAAATGTAATGTTTTGATGTTTATGTAATTTTACTTGCCTTTTAAAAGTTTAATGTTTAATATTGTTACTGTCATACTTTTAAACATAATATATAATTAAAAAATATATTTGTCTAAAGCATTATAAAAAGAATTTTTGTAGGTTGCCTATGGAGA
Source organism: Homo sapiens (assembly GCF_000001405.40). Taxonomy (NCBI): domain Eukaryota; kingdom Metazoa; phylum Chordata; class Mammalia; order Primates; family Hominidae; genus Homo; species Homo sapiens. The sequence goes on from NC_000001.11 coordinate 72,404,295, forward strand.
AAATTTTTGCAATCTATCCATCTGAAAAAATGCTAATATCCAGAGTCTACAAGGAATTTAAATAAATTTACAAGAAAAAAAAACCCATATAAAAGTGGGTGAAGGATATGAACAGACACTTCTCAAAAAAAGACATGTGGCCAAAAAACATGAAAAAAAGCTCATCATCACTGGCCATTAAAGAAATGCAAATCAAAACCACAATGAGATACCACCTCATGACAGTTAGAATGACAATCATTAAAAACTCAGGAAACAGGCCAGGCACGGTGGCTCATGCCTGTAGTCCCAGCATTTTGGGAGGCCGAGGCGGGTGGATCACCTGAGGTCGGGAGTTTGAGACCAGCCTGACCTACATGAAGAAACCCTGTCTCTACTAAAAATACAAAATTAGCTGGGCATGGTGGCGCATGCCTGTAATCCCAGCTACTCAGGAGGCTAAGGCAGGAGAATCGCTTGAGCCTGGGAGGTAGCGGTTGCAGTGAGCCGATATCATGCCATTGCACTCCAGCCTGGACAACAGGAACAACACTCTATCTCAAAAAAAAAAAAAAAAAAGTCAGGAAACAAGAGATGCTAGAGAGGATGTGGAGAAATAGGAACACTTTTATGCTGTTGTTAGGAGTGTAAATTAGTTCAACCACTGTGGAAGACAGTGTGGTGATTCCTCAAGGATCTAGAACCAGAAATAACCATTTGACCCAGGAATCCCATTACTGGGTATGTACCCAAAGGAGTATAAATCATTCTACTATAAAGACACATGCACATGTATGTTTATTGCAGCACTATTCACAATAGCAAAGACTTGGAACCAACCCAAATGCCCATCAATGATAGACTGGATAAAGAAAATGTGGCACATAAACACCACAATACTATGCAAACATAAAAAAAGATGAGGTCATGTCCTTTTCAGGGACATGGATGAAGCTGGAGACCATCATTCTCAGCAAACTAACACAGGAACAGAAAACCAAACACCGCATATTCTCATCCATAAATGGGAGTAGAACAATGGGAACACATGGACACAGGGAGGGGAACATCACACACCGGGGTGTGTCAGGGGATGGGGGGCTAGGGGAGGGATAGCATTAGGAGAAATACTTAATGGAGATGACAGGTTGATGGGTGCAGCAAACCACCATGGCACGTGTATACCTATGTAACAAACCTGCACATTATGCACATGTATCCCAGAATTTAAGTATAATTTTAAAAAAGAGTTTTTAAATAATTTCTTATTATCAGATTATTTCTATTTTTTTGCATTTATTTTCTCCATATCACTCATTATAGTAAAAAAAAAAACAGGCTTAACAGTGAGTAATTTTGTAAATTATTCCCAGCACTTGATCAATCCTGGACAATGTTCAATAGATAATAAATTGTGGTCCAAATCTACAATGTCATTTATTTTATCTAATGATTCTGTCAAATTCTTAGAAAGGCACCTTGCATTAACTTCGATTTGCAAGCATGATGCATATTTAGTAATTTTTATTATATATTTCAGTACAATTTTTTTATTCTATGAATTCATATATTCATAGTGACTTTTAACATTTTAAAAGTAAGAATAGGTGAGATCTCATTGAGTGTTCTTGCTAGGTACTATATGATTTTTTCTTGTATTACTTCATCCAAGTTGCATTATATCTAGAAGAGCTTCTTTGGACTCTGTGGGATCTTTGTCTAATTACAAAGAAGATAAAGTTTTATTTATTTTGGGCTCCTTTGTTTGCATTTTGAAGAACTTCAGGGAAGAGAAATGTAAAACTATAAATTTTTGTACCAATCATGTGTGAAGTTTTAGTTGTGTTCATATTGACATGCCACATTGTCCTTGTTACATGGTAGGCTTTCAATGTATATTTAGATTGACTAACTTTACTAGTTTATTGTTATCTTGTGTTACTGTTTTCTAAAACATATTTATATGCTTTAGAGGTCATAAATTATTTTTCTGGAATAGTTTTGGAATGTAATTTTAAAATAGGCATGAAAACAATAATACTATTATGTCTCTATGCTAGGCACTGTGCTAAATATTTGACTTAATAATTCACATTTCATTCTTATAGTGGCCTTGAAATTATTTTTATCATATTTATTTTTATTTTACCAACAGAAAACTGAAAATCAGAGAGGATATTATCTTAATTAATTTCTACAACTTTCAGGTGGTGAATTCAAATTAAGTTTGCCTGTCTCAAGAGCCCATACTCTTAGTCATTATGTTATCTAACTGGTTATAATTCATGATTTTAGCCATTCCAGTTCCATCATCTATAATTTGAAAATCTGTTTACAAGATAGTTGTGAACTAGAGAGTAGTGTTTTATGTAAACTTCTTGATTTAGAGAATCAAGAGTGGCTGAAACTATTTATATGTGACTTCATTCTTTCATTCATCCATTCAACCAATAATTTTTTCTTATGTCTCTTGCTCTGAAAGGCAATAGTCTGGGTGCTTGAAATAATATACAAAGATGTTATAATCAGAATTTTCTTTTAGAATCTTATAGTTTATTACAGGAACTCCTGTATAGCATAATTCAACTGTAAAATATAATATGAAGTTGTTAGTTTATGGAAGAGAGGGACACTTTTAATTTTAATTACCCACAAACTTTTCTATATATGCAGTTTAAGTTTCACTCATATTTTGCTTTATAACTGTTTTCTAGATTGCTGGCAATCTATGACTGTCAATTTAGCAGTTCCCCATCATAATTTATATTTTTGCTACCATTGTGTCTTCACTATTTAACCAGTTAATATTGTCCACTGTTTTCTCATTTTTACATACATTAGAGCAGTACAGGCTTTTAAAAATTTTATTTCATTTCAAAATATATTTATAATTTTTATTTTTTATAATTAGACTTTTTATTTACAATAGTTTACTATTGGATTTTATAGGTTTCTGTCTTCAAAGCAGTCAGATATATACACACACACACACACACACACACACACTCACACATATATATATGTTTTGTTTTTCAACTCACTGATCTTAATCTACTTGCAAAATCTGGAGGATTCACATTGCTGAGGTTTGCCACCTGGGCAAGGAGAAAATAGTCTTCTGGGCAAATCATAATACCCACATTTTATTTCTTTTCTTGAGCTTTAGAGAGCACCTCCTTTATGTCATTATATTCTTCTTTAAATACCCGTAATAACCATACTGTCTTCACTTTTGTCAAATTTTGGGAAGCATCTTGTGCTAACTCTTGAGGTGGCAAAAATAACTGATTAGGTCAAGCTACAAGAGATACATATTAAATACAAATTAATATGCCTTCAAATTTATCATCCCCAAAGTATACATATTTGATTTTAAGAATATTATATTTTCATAGCCAAATTCAATGTACAAGGAGAAAAGCACATGATAAAACAGCATATGAGAGATGAATGCCAATTACCACCCAAAGGATCAAACACAAATTTTCAGAAAGAGTATAATATACAATCAGGAAACTAGAACCAAATTGTGTTTTCATTGTAGAGAAACAATTTAAATCTTGCTACATTTACACATGTTTATGGAAAAACACGTAGCTGAATGACTGTCAGTACAGATGGATTTGTCTATAAATGGGTAAATTTTGGAAGGATTTTAATGATCCACTCTTCTTTCTTTTTAATGAGCTACATCAACGTGTTTACCTCAACAATGTAATGAATTCAGAGAATCTTGAACTTGAATCCTTATTTTGGTCTCTTGTGCTTATGTGTAAAATTATATCCTTTATATATCTACAGGAAAGGGATACATTTTCCTACCATTTTTTTCATGAGTATATTAGAGTAAATAAAAACACGATGAATATTGCGAAAATAAATTATTAACTTTATGTCTATTATGTTGGTCATAACACTTCAGGATATTAAAATATAAAATATCAAGACCACAGTGGTTTAGTGTAAGGGACTTTCTTCACATATGTTAAATATTTATAAAATTTTGAAATTAAAAATCTACAATTGTACATGAAGAGTCATTAAAAAAAAACCAAGTCATCCTATTGATTAGTTACATAAACTGTATGAAGATTTGGAGCATGGAGATCTGGAATGCACAGGTCAATTTATACAAAAACTCCAGATATTTTACATTTTAACAGCTTGAATTTCTGATCCACAATGATAGTGCCTACATTACTAAATAACAGTATTTACTAATTTAATACCTTTTTTGAAGTGCTCAGGGACAAACCTAATGGGCTGTATAAACACAGTTTATCAGTGAAACCTGAAAAACCGGATGAAAAGAAGGTTTAGGATTATAAAACTCATTTGTTATTTTTTTGTGTCTCAGATCCATGATTTTAGGTGTTTTTAAATGTCCACTAACACTTGAGGTGGCAAAAATAACTGAATAGGTCAAGCTACAAGAGATACATAATAAATACAAATTAATATGCCTTCAGATTTCCTGTCAGAGAGTGGGTAAAGACTAAACTTACTTCCAGAGCCGGTGGGCATGGAAGTATCCCTGTTTGACCCACATCTGTATCATAGTTAGATACTATCACATGCATCTTCAAGGAGTGTGAAACAAATTATTTTTATCTTCATCCAAAGATAGAGGAAATGAGTAGGAAATTTTCAACTTTCTCTCAGTTTCTGACACTTATACAGTGGCCTGAAAACTGAAAATATATCTCAAATTACAGTTCCATGATAGAGACATAAGAAAGTGAAGTAACTCATCAAAGCATGCAAAGTTCCTAGTTCAGTTCTCTGGAAAGGAGAGAGTGGCAAGTAGACAGATTTTCTGTCACTCTGATCTAATGGTAACTAACAGTCATGGAAAATGTGTTAGGTATCAGTTCAAAAGGCTTTTTAGATAACAGCTTAAGCCTCAACTTATAGCCAGTATCTGAGCAGTCATAAATATACACCTCTAATTTCTGTATATTTTCCTCTTGTACATAGGTAGACTTATTTTTCCCTTTTTTTCTCATTCATCAAATATGCCTTCATTGCCCAAACCATCATTTTTATCACTGGACTCTCATGGCATACTATCTGCAGGTCAACAAGCCATAAACTGAGCAAATCTATCTGTTAAAAAAATCATGCAATGACTCAAATTGATGATCCAATTTAATTTGTCAAGCATCCTCATTGATCTCATCTGACTGTGAATCAATTTGCTGCCAAATACGTATGTGTGTGTTTCACTTTCACTACAAGTTAAAGATTCATTTGTTCAAAGAGATTTTGTGTTCAATAAACCATCCTACTTGACTTGAAGGGACTCTTCCTGAGATACTGGTAAGTAAATAGAAGTTTTGGAAATTTGTTTACGATCTTACTTGAAATAAAGGGAAAGTTTTAAGTTGTCATTTGGATTGAGGATTAGGAGAAATAGTATTAATATTATGGTGAAGATTATTTCTAGCATATTTAATTACAATATGTGGCTAAAGTAACACAAATAGGCAATGACAACAGATTACATACTTATTGGTACAAAAGAGAAATATTCAATTATTAGAATTTTTTGTTAAAATATTAACAGTATGATCAGTGACTAATCTTTAACATCATAAGTTCAGGCTTTTATTAAATTTTGGAACTAATTTTATAACGTTAACATTAATTCTACAGAACTCGCCAATACAGCAGGGACTCAGTTTTTATATCTGCATTGCATTTTTATCTACCTCCAAATTTTATCGATTCCATCCAGGAATAATTTGCCTTTCTGTTGACCACCGCAGACATGTTTTGTTTGCACCCTGCAATTTGAAAAAAAAAGAAAAAGAAAAAGAAAAAGAAAACCTAAATATTCAGTTTACCTCATGATATTCAGTTTACCTCATCATCCTACACGTGTACGTCTTGTCCCTTCAAATCATCTGGTCCCAATAAACATGAATCATGCCAACAAATAACATATTACTTTTCTCTTAAAGCTGGAACATATTACCACTGACTTGGTAGCTTAGAAAACACACATTTATTTTCTTATAATAACAGAGTCCTGAAGTCACACTGGGCTAAGGTCAAGGTGTCAGCAGAACTGTGTTTTATTCTGGAAATGATAAGAGATAATCGATTTTCCCAGCTTCTAGAGGATGCTTGCATTCCTTTGCTCCTGGCCTCATTTCAGTAGTTACATCATTCTGACCTTTGCCTCCACTGTCACACCCCCTTGTCTGACTCTTACTCTCCTGCTTCCTATAAGGACTCCTGCAATTATTTTGAGCTCACCCAGATTATCGAGAGTAATCACAAGAGCCTTAAATTAGCTACATCTGCAAACTCCCTGTTGTCATGTAGGGTAAATTATTCACAGGCTCCACAGGGTTTGGGAGCCATTATCTGCCTAACCAAAAGAGACATGTAGGAAGGGTTCCAGATATTTTTTTAAAGAGTTGAATAAAAGATTTTTAGTTTTATGCATATATATAAATTTCCTGTTTTATAAATTGGTTGTATAATGTAAATTTGAAATTTGGGTTTTTCCTGGCTCATTTTCTCATTTCTTTATATTGCTATGCACTTATTTGTTGTTTTTTGTTTTTGTTAATCTTCCCTAGAACCTGGCATTTATTTATTTGTTTGCGGAAAGAAGCGACAAAGTTAGTCAAAACTTTTTAAGATTATAAGAATAGAATAAATTATCCACAAACATTTTGGACATTATTATTTTACTTGATTTGCACAATTAGTCTTTGGAAAATGTGGATGAGAAATGGGAAGCACATGTAGTTTTTTATACATTTTTTATTAAGAAAGTACTCTGAGTTCCAGTACTTGGATGGTGACCTTATTTTTCTTTTGTTTGGGAAGATATGGCTATGTATTAAATGGTCATTTTCCCCTACACTGAAAACCATAAAATCCTGTGAAAGTTCTATATTGTCCACAGTGCCATTTTAGTGGAGGTTCTTCTAAAGGTTTATAGTAACAAACCGAAGAAAGGTATTTAACCCAGTGACTGTTTCATCCTTTATATAGATGAGAAAGTTAACTAAGTCCTCATCTGCTTCCTTAATGGATACAATATTTGCATTTCAATGTGTTTTTATCATATTCAGTCCTAATAAACTATGAGAGTTATGAATGATTATAGGAGATACAAGTTACTTTCTCTTTGGAAAATATACAATCCTTTTTATTTTATCCTCCATTTATATAACTTTTATACATGTCATATCTTTGCATGCAAAAATGGAGAGAAATAAGCAAGTTGATATTTATTTTTGTGACTATTGTTATAATAGATAATACATACTGAGCTCCTCCTCTGTGCTAGGCACTTAGTACCTCATAATATCTACCCATTTAATCCCCAAAGCAACCCCATGAAATAGATACTTTTAATACCTCCTAGTCTACAATTGTGGAAACTTTTATAAAGACACAAAGCTTAAACAACTTTCCCAAAATTATATTAATGGCCACTAATGTGGAGGAGTGATTTGCACCTAAGCCAACTGTCTTGGAAGTCCACATTCTTAGCTGAAAGGGAAATCTGCGTTTAGTAAAGGTATGAGATGGAGCTAAGTTTCTTCATCTGTATTCTGTAACTTGGTCATTATAATAATAAACATTATAGGATTCTCAGTTCTCAAAAACTAACAAAAAAAAAAAAAAAAAAGGAAAAAAGGACAGCCTGTGATGTAAAATGTAAATGTGCCAAGTAGTTTAGAACCACAGACTTTCAGGGATTTAGTCAAGCTTAGAATCATTCCAAACTATTCATGAACAAAGTACTGAATGATATAAAGGTGAATTAGAGACTGCTATTGCCATTGTTGTTGCCTCAAAGGAGCCATAGCAGGTCTGGTATGACTTATAGTAAATCTCCATACAGTCTATGAATTATTGTTAATAAAAATTTCAACCCTTCTGTCCCCACCAAAAACAGTCTCATTCTGACAAATTTATATGGCAAATCCTAATCTGAGACAAAGACCTCAGGGAGATCTGTTCCAAACCTGCAGGACGCATCACAAAGTAGTCCTTGTTACTAGTGTAGCCTTTACTTCATTGGTATTTAGGAAACTTAAAATTCACCTTATGTATTTGTATTTGAGTCATTTTACTAATATTCTTGATGCATCATTCCTACTGAATAGGAGTCATCTTCAATATTCCAGCACCCAATCCCAAGAGCAGTGATTCTGATTTGTGATTACTACCTGGTGACTGGGACCTGACTACTTGCTGAAAGAATTTGGCTATGCTGACTCCCTGCTTACTGACTATGCTTTGTGAGTAGCATCCAGTCTGTTTCTTAGTGACTGACATCCTTTGACTAGCACAGTTGAACTTAGTTAAACAAAAATTATTGAGTGTAAAGTGATTTAATATCCAATCTCTGGAGTCAAATCTTGGCTCCATCATTTACTAGGTGTGTGGCTGTGAGGCAGCTACTAACCTTTGTAATTCCAGTTTACTTCCTCTAAATAAAATAACAAAAACAAACCAACAAAAACAAAAGCAGCAAAAATATTTCGACTTTTCTATGTATACAAACTTTAGAAAAAAATAAGAGAATCAATACTCGAAATGATGAAATCAACAATTGTGTCACAACCCATGGGAATATAGAGGGGGAAAAGCAATAAATTTATGCATATCACCTTCCTATCATCTCTATCCAGGATTTTATATTGGAAGTGTCATGTCTGGCATGATATGGGATCTAGTAAGACTGAAATTAGACAGAAGTACAAAGAACTGAGTGAATGCAGGAATCTAAGAGACATAGTTATAGGGAAAAAGCATGGGCAAGTGTGGTTTGGTCAAGGGACTTGTCAAAAAAGGAGCCAGCATGAGAATCTAAGTTGAGTTACCCAGGAAAGCAGGTGAGATGACTGGAAACTGCACCTGGGGGAAGCCATGAGTAGAGACATTTAATTATGCAGGTTGATGTCTCTTCCCTCAAGTCACTTTTAATGAGCTGAGAGTCTGAGGTGGCTGAGATTCCTTTGACAGCAGTGTGGTTCAGGTTCAGCCCAGCACCTAACCAGAGAAGCAAGGTCTCTAAAATCCTGCATCCACTGCAGTGTCAGAAAGTCACAAAATCATAGAAAATTCTCTCATTTTCTTTTTACATTGGAAGACCTATTTCTATGCTGTTGGGGTACTTTTCTTTCCGAACGTTTCAAATATTTCAAGAATTCTATTGTGCAACATGTTGAGGTCACAAATGAGAAGAAAGGTAAATTTCTAATTTTTTTTCTTGTTAAAATTGAGAAATTGATGGAACATCAGTTGAGATCATGATTTTACACAGAGGCTGCAGTGGCTTTGTTTTCAGTTTATGAAAACAGTTAACAATTTTATTTAACCTGGGAAGATAAAACATTCTATTCTTTCTCAAATGAACAGGATATCAATTTTAAACTGTGGGCTTATGGTCACATCTTCTTTTCCTAACATATAGGAGATGTTAGAATGTTGCTGTGGGCACTCACACATGACACATGGTGGCTGGACTATAGTGGGGCAGTGAGAGTACAAGTAAGAGTCTCCTAAAGTCCTTATCAAGTGTAATCAGGAGTAAACTCAAAATAAACCGGCTTTTATGTACAGCTCTAACTATTCCTGAAGACTATTCTGGATTATAGAATTCAGTGAGCTTCTTTCAGGGCCGTAGCTTCATCAAAAAATCAAGGAAAATTTCAATTCAGTGGCAGGATTACTGTACATATTAGAAGTGATTAGCTGCATTCATGAATCCATAATCACACCTGCAAATGACGAATGAATCTATAGAAATAGGAAGCATTTCAAAGCCATGAATATGCATGCAGTGTGTTGCCAGAAATATCATAATAAACATAGTTTGTGAGTATCCAGGATCTAGCAATACTGTTGTTATTTTCCAGATGTCAGAACTCAGCCATTTTGACCAAAACAGATAAACCTGAAGTTCAATATTGAGAAGTCACCATGCATGGTGCTCATTTCAGAAAAGCCAGTTTTATGTGTGTTAGAGACATAACTATTCTGAGAAGTGGCTTCAGGGGTACCAAGAAAGCTCAATCAATACTCACTCACCCTCTTTATATATCCTCTCCCCCAAAATAAGATTTATATGTTGGCTGGTGCCTGGACTTTTCTTTATTAAGACTTTACTTTTAGTTTATTAAGGCTATATTTATAATTTTCAGATGGTAGAAAATACCACATGCCCACAAATTTAAAACAAACCATGCCATCAGCCTGTTGGCCTTAAAAAACAAAATACAGATGATCTCTTAAGGGACATTTTTAATTGAGAATATTGGAGATAGCATGAGGTCTTTGAGGTTTGGGAACTTGAGTTAAATATGTTTGTAATATTGCAATTAAGTGCAGATGAATATATTATATACACCTGAAGACACACAGTACTTTCTGATTCTCTAACCCTCCATTCATAAGATTGCCTTTACACTTTCATTACTTTCTGAATAATTGCAACAGAGAATTATGGATGTATAAAAATGAGGCTTATTCAGAAGCAAACAACACCACACTTAAAACTACAGAGACATTGGGAAGTTAATTTTCTTTTATTCTAATTACATTGGCTTATTCTCTCTAGATTTAGAGCTTAAATTACCAACTTCTTTGTGAATCATATATTGATGTCATCAATACTCATTAGTGTTACAAACCTCTTGGGGGAAAGCAATGGTGAAGCCTTAGAAACATGTAGTTTTATGGAACACTGATTAACCCTATAAATATATGCCAAAAAGGAGACTCCTTGGGAAATGCCTGTTTCATTAAAATCCTTACTTTGTATTCTAATAGATCACCTTGCTGTCTGGAGAAGACAAACTAAATAAAATAATAAGACCTATTTCTTTCCTTTAACCAGTTAGGTGTCTTTTTTGAAAGATAGACTTTCTGTGGGTAAACCTTCACTTTATTTTACCTAATTTAATTAGGATATGAATTGAGTGATGATGCTATATGATTATAACAATGCAAATATTGAGATATTTGTTGAGTCTTAGAATCAGAATATCATAAAGTGTGATATGAATATGATAAGAAGAAGCAAATTTAAATGAATAAATAAGTATTTTTAAGGACTGTTCTGGGCCAATTACTGTTCAAGGATGAAGATAAGGAAAGCTCTCCCCTTTTAGATTCCGCAGTATAGGAAATGAAACCAACTAATAACTAGGTAGCACACAATATTATATGGTGCTTGATATAGTCTGAATCTGTGTCCCTGCCCCAATCTCATGTTTAATTGTAATCCCCAGTGTTGGAGGTGGGGACTGGTGGGAGGTGACTAGATCATGGGGCAGTTTCGTATGGTTTAACAGCATCCCCCAGTGTTGCTCTTGTGATAGAGTTATCATGAGATATGGTTGTTTAAAAGTGTGTAGCACCTCCCTGCCTCTTGGTCCTGCTCCTGCCATGTAAGATGCCTACTTGTGCTTTGCCTTCTGCCATGAGTAAAAGTTCCCTGAGGTTCCCCAGAAGCAGATGCTACCATGCTTCTTGATAGGGTTTGGCTCTGTGTCCCCACCCAAATCTCATCTTGAACTGTGTCTCCCATAATTCCCATTGTTGTGGGAGGGACCTGGTGGAGATCATTGAATCATGGCAGTGGTTTCCCCCATACTGTTCTCATGGTAATGAATAAGTCTCACATGATCTGATGGTTTTATAGTTAGAAACTCCTTTTTCTTGGCTCTCACTCTCTCTTTGCCTGCCTCCATAAGTGTAAGACCTGACTTGCTCCTCCTTGCCTTCCGCCATGATGGTGAGGCTTCCCTAGCCATGAGGAACTGTAAGTCCAATTAAACCTCTTTCTGTTGTAAATTGCCCAGTCTTGGGTATGTCTTTATTAGCAGTGTGAAAATGGGCTACTACATTTTCTGTTCAGCCTGTGGGACTGTGAGCCTATTAAACCTCTTTTCTTTGTAAATTACCCAGTCTCAGGTATTTATTTATAGCAGTATAAATTGACTAATACAGTTCTTAATATCATAAGGAAAATTCAACAACTCACAGGATGCAACAATTGTGGTGATATATACTGGGGACATATAAATCAGTTTTGTGTGTAGAGAGTGGTAAGGGCAGTTTTCCAAATAATTTTTTTTAAAGCTGTGAGCAGTGGGGTAAATAGAAAACATCAAAACATCAACAGAATATTCTAAGAATGTTCAAAGTGAAGAATTGTGTGAAAAATGGTATTTCATTAGGGAAACTCAAATGTACTCTTTACGGAGGAGAAGCGAAGCAGAGCACAGTCTGAAGGAGAAAAAGGGACTATATAATACATATCTTTTTAAGGCATATACAAGACTTGAATCTCATCTTTAAACTAGTGGAGAACATTGTACAATTTTAAACTAAAGCTACATGTGCTTCCTCAGGTACTCTGAGACCAAAGGTAAGAGTTCTATCAGTAGTTAGTTTAGCAGTCAATACTCAGTAGCAAATAGATATTTTCTTTTGCGATCTCTCTCTCTGATTCTATTTCTCTCTTTCCCCTTCCTTCCTCCATTCCTCATTCTCCCGTCATGTTTTTGGGTTCTCTTGATAGCTCTTTCTGTCTTACACATTTATAAATGTTTCCTAATGAATAAGTTTAAAAAAATGAGTACATATTGGCACTCATTGACTTACATTCAAAGTTTTGAAAGAAAAAAAAAAGTCAGTCAAGAATCCATTTTAAAAACTTTTTTCTATTCTGCCTCTTAAGTCCATCAGAAGAGAATCTTATATTCAGCAAGACTGTATTTCAAAACTTAAGGTGAAATAAATAACTTTGCAGATAAACAAAAACTGAAAGAATTATTGATAGCCTGTTTACTTTATAGAAAATACTAAAAGGGATTCTTCAGACTGTAAGCAAGTGACTTCCAACTATAATTTGAATCCATATAAAAAACAGAGAGCACTGATACAGGTAATTTTGTAATTATAATAATCAGAATAAATGCCAACTTATTTTTCTTTCTTCTCTGATGTGACTTAGTAAGCAGCCAAATGAAACAATGTGTATGTAATTATATTGTACCTATAATATAGAAATGTAAGGTATTTGACAAAATACCACAGAAAGATGGATTAAGAGTAAACCTCAGTTACCATAAGGCAGTGACACCTGGTGATAATTCAAATCCACAGGAACAAATGAGAAGAACTAGACATGATAAATGTTAATATAATATACCTTCTAATTATGTACTGGTTCTTTTTTCTTCTCTGTATGTATTTAACATATATAAAAATAAAGGATATTATTTATAAAACAATCCAATACAGAGCAGCAGGACACATTATTTGAAAGTGAACATGGAACATTATTCAATATAGTCTATATTATAGGCAAAACAACAAGCCAAATCATATCTAAAAGGATTAAATCTCCAGAAGTATGTTCTGTAATCATAATGCAATAAATTTACAAATCAAAAACAGAAACAATTTTGGAAATTTGCAAATATATGAAAAATTTAAAAACAATAATAGCCAATGGGCCAAAAACATAAATCACAAGGAATATTTAGAAAATATTTTCAGATGAAAGAAAAAGAAGACACAACATACCAAAACTTACAGGTTGCAACAAAAGCCAGTACCTTGTGGATAATTTATGGCTGTAAACACATACGTTAAAATTTAACAGAAAGATTCACCTGCCACCCTAACATACTATCAAAATAAGAGTAAACTAACCAAAGCAAGTAGAAATAGGAAATGATAAAGATTAGAGTGAAAATTAATGAAACAAAAAAATTCAAATGGAGAACATCAATGAAACTAAAAATTGGTCGTTTTCTCTGGAAATACCAAAAAAAAAGGAGGGGGGAACAAATCTTTTGCCTGAATGACCTGGGGAAAAAATAGACAATACTGAAATCACCAATATCAAGAATGAAAAAGGGGACATTACTAATATAACCTTATTGAGATAAAAATATGTATAAGAAAATACAATAAGAAATAGTATGCCAATGAATTAAGATAGCTTAGAGAAAATGGAGAAATTCCTAAAACACACGGACTCCCCAAAATGACTCAAAACTTACAAAAAAAAAAAAACTAAAGATCTAAAGAGACCTACAACTATCACAAGGCTAGAATTAGTAATTTTAAAAACTTTCCAAGAAGACTCCAGGCTCAGATGACTTCAATAGTGGAGTTTAATATTTAAAGAAGAATTTATACCAGTAATTTAGACATTAATCCTAAAAATAATAAAAGGGAAAGAACACTTCAAAACTAATTATATTAGTCACCCAATAACAAAGCAAGAGAAAAATATCACAAGGAAACTACAGACCCATAACTTATGAGTATAAGCATAATAATTCTCAGCAAAAGCTAGATACTAAACTTGGCAATATATGTGAGGGATTTATACATCATAGCCAAATAGGATTTATCCCAGGATTGCAAAACTGGTTCAGCATCTGAAAGTCAATGTAAATGACTAAGAAAATACTTGATCATTTTTACGGAGAGAAAGTATTTAACACAACCTAATATCCTTTCATAATAAAAACACTCAATAGATTAGGAATAGAAGTAGTCTTCCTCAATTTGATGAAGGGAATCTATTAAAACCCTACACTTAACATAATACTTAATGACTTTCTTAAAGACTGAATGCTTCTCCTCTAAAATCAGGAATAAGACAAGTTTATCTGCCCTCACCACTTTAATTCAACATCATACTAGATGTTCCAGCCAGGACCATTATGCGAGAAAAAGAAGTAAAAGGCAGGTTGCAACGACGGAGCAAAACTATCTCTGTGAAATGGCCATAATCTTGTATGTGGGTAGAGAAGCCAAAGGAATCCACTAATTAATAATAGAACTTATAATAAATGAATTCAGCAGTTACAGGATTCAGGCTTGATTTCCAAAAAAAAAAAAAAAAAAAAAAAATCTTATTTCTATGCATTAGAAATAAACAATCCAAAAATGAAATTAAGAAAATAATTGTTGTGGGTGAGGGCGAGGGTTGTAGGGTGGGTGGCGGGCAGCGACTCGGAGGAGCTACTGCGCCAGGGAAGGAAGCACATCGGATTTTTACAATCTTGTCATTCTGTGTGGAAGGCCTTCTTAGCCAGCGTGGAGTGCAGGGCCACTGGCGCTTTGCCTGGCGTGGCCATGGCGGGGCCCAGTTGGTCCCGACTGCCGGCCCATTCCTACCTTCAGGCACTTCAGAGAAAGACCAGTGACAGCCTTGGGACGGTGGACATCGTCTTAGTCCCCACCTGCGCCAACTCCCCTAGCCTGACCACAGAAGCCGCAGGGCCACCTACGCCTCTCTGTTTCCGTGGATGTGTGTGTTTCATTCTCCTTGAGCTGTCTTGGTTGTAGACTCTAGTTTCCCAAAAAAAGAAAAGGAAATAAATATCCAAATTCATCTCTCACCAAGATGGAGTTTCGCTGCAAAGAAAAACGTGACTCTAATTCTATGGAATCTGGAGGTAACCCCGCCTTGAGACGGGTGGAGAAGAACCGCATCCAGTAGGTTCTGTGCCAGGACGCAGGACACAGTTGTCAAAAAACTGACTGCCTAAGGGGCAAAATTGATAAGCACAGGTTTTGTTTGTTTGTTTGTTTGTTTTTTGTGTTTTTTTTTTTGTTTGTTTTTTTTAAGACAGAAACCTTTCGGCATTGCTAAGTTTCAACATTAAGATTTTCAAAGTTGTTGTTTTTTTTTTTCCTTTTTTCAGGAGACATTTTTCATGAGGTGTTTGAAATTCAGAAACATTTTGATTCTTCTTGGAGTGCAGGAAATAGACAGGATCCCTTAAAAAAAAATTAAGAGCCTCACCCTCAGAAACTCTTAGAAAATGGAATCCGGCAGACATTTCCCGTGATGGTCAGGAGAAAAACCCACATGTCAAACTTGGTACCTGAATATGCACCAATTAGCTCCCCAAAACAACAAAACCCGCAACCCCCACCCCCCCAGTAATACACAACTCATAGGGAGTCAGAATTCCAGTGCAGTAAAGAAAGCTTAGGAAAAGGTTTAAGTTCTGAGGAGTCCATATATTAATTAAGAGCAAATCAGGGACCCCTCTCCCTCCCCCCACCACAGAATCTAAGACCTTTCAGCTTCGAGCCAGGGGCGGGGGATCCCGAGCAAAAGCCTTCCTCGGACATCAGGCCCCTTGACCTCAAGGGCTCCCAGGACAAACCTAGTTCCCCCCAAAACTTGAAGTCAGGGAAGCTGCGGCTAGACATTCCCTAAGTGCTGGCACTTACACCCACAACCTGGAAGGCTGTGGACGGATTCCACTAGCGTGGTGACCTCCCATTAAAAGGCATCAGGTTTGGAATGTTCATTATCGCTGAGGACCTGGTTAGAGGCATAAAGACCTTTTTTTCACCGTTACCTAATTTTTTTTCCCCCCTCAAGATTTTTTTTTGGTATGTTGTACAGCAGTATATTTTTTTCGCTTATTTATTCCATTAGTAGATACAGTTTGTACAATGTACAATGGTTTCATTTCAGAAAATAAAAAAATTCAAACCATGAAAAAATTGTATTTATAATGACCTAAAAATAATAAAATACCTAGGTATAAGTTCAATTATGGAAGTACAAAGCTTACACTTTGAAAACTATAAAACATTGTTCAAGTAAATTAAAGAAAACCTAAATAAATAGACATTCCATGTCCGTAGATCAGAAGACTTACTATTAACAAGGTTAATATTCCCCAGGTTGACGTGTAGATTCAATAAAATCCTATAAAATCTCGTCTTGCTCTTTTGAAGAAATTCATAACATGATCATAAAATTTATACCAAATTCAAGTGATCCAGACTAGCCCAAATAATTTGGAAAAGAAGTGATTTTAGAGCACTCATGATTTCCAATTTCAAAACACACTACAAAGTTACAGTAGTCAAAATAATTCAATACTGGCAAAAGAATAGACATACAGATTAATGGAAGAGAATTGAGAGTACAGAATAAAATAAAGTTTATGTATTTTTAGTAAATTGGTTTTCAACTAGGGAACCAAGACAATGCACTAGGAAAGAATGCTCTTTTCAATAAATGATAGGACAACTGCATGCCCATTTGAAAACAGTGAAATTGGACTTCTTATTTCTAGCACATACAAAGAAATATTCAAAAGAGATAACTGGGCCAGGCGCGGTGGCTCACCCCTCTAATCCCAGCACTTTGGGAGGCCGAGACAGGTAGATCACAAGGTCAGGAGTTCGAGACCAGCCTGGCCAATATGATGAAACCCTGTCTCTACTAAAAATACAAAAATTAGCCGGGCATGCTGGCAGGCGCCTATAGTCCCAGCTACTCAGGAAGCTGAGGCAGGAGAATCACTTGATCCCAGGACGCAGAGGTTGCAGTGAGCTGAGATCATGCCACTGTACTCCAGCCTGGGCTACAGAGCAAGACTCCATCTCAAAAAAAAAAAACAAAAAAAACCCCAAAAAACCAAACACACACACACACACACACACACACACACACACACACGAGAGATAACTGACCTAAATGTAAGAGCTAGAAGTTGAAAAATTGTATATGTAGATACAGGAGTAAATACTACATATGTGACGTTGCATTAGACAAAGCCTTCTTAGATGTGACACCAAAAAAAGAGATGATAAAAGGAAAAATATGTAAATTGGGCTTCCTTAAAATTCAAACTTTTGTGCTTCAAAATAAATGATCAAGAAAGTGAGAAGATATCCTATGAAACTTGGAGAAACATTAGTAACCTATATATCATATAAGGGAATTGTATTTGAAATATATACAATATCTTAAAACTCAATAATAAAAATAGAAATAGCACAATCAAAAATGAGTAAAGAATCTAAATAAATGTTTTTTCAAAGTAGATTTAAAAATAGCCAAAATCCACATTAAAAAAAAAATCTCAACATCATTAGCTATCAGGGAAATGCAAATCAAAAGCACTATGAGATACCACTTAAGACAAACTGGGATTACTTCATTCAAAAAGAGCAGACAATAATAAGTGTTAATGTAGATGTGGAAAAATTAAATCCCTCATACACAATTTGTGGAAATGTAAAATGGTGCAGTTCCTTTGGAAAATAGTATAGCTGTTCCTCCAAAAGTTAAACATACAGTAACCATTTAATATAGTAATTTCACTACTAGTGGAAGATAAATGAAAATATATCAACACAAAAATGTGTGGACAAATATGGATATAAGCTTTATGATAGCCAAAATTTGCAAATAATCCAAATATCTATCAGTTGGCTAATAGATAAAATGTGGTAAATTTTTACAATGCAATAATGTTCAGCTATAAAAAGGATTAAAATACTGATAACATGCTACATCAAGAATGAATCTTGAAACATTAGGCTGAGCTCTGTATTCTGATTCATTGGTTTATGTGCCTGTGTTTGTACTAGTACTAAGTTTTGGGATTATTTTAGCCGTGTAGTATAGTTTGAAGATGGGAAAAATGATACCTCCAGCTTTGTTCCTTTTTCTTAGGGTTGTTCTGCTTAGGGTTGTTGCTATTCAGGCTTGTTTTTGGTTCCATACAAATTTTAAAGTTTTTTTTTTTCTAATTCTGTGAAGAACGTTATTGGTAGATTGATAGGAATAGCAATGTATCTGTAAATTGCTTTGGGCAGTATGGCCATTTTAACTATATTGATTCTTCCTATCCATGAGCATGGAATATTTTTCCGTTTGATTGTGTCATCTCTGATTTCTTTTGAGAAGTTTTTTGTAATTCTTGTTGTAGAGATCTTTCATCTTTCTGGTTAGCTGTATTCCTATTATCTTATTCTTTTTGTGGCCATTGTGAATGGGATTGCATTCTTGATTTGGCTCTCAGCTTGGATATTGTTGATGTATAAGAATGCTACTGATTTTTGTACATTGATTATTTATCCTGCAACTTTGCTGAAGTTGTTTATCAGATCAAGGAGCTTTTGGGCAGAGACAATTGGGTTTTCTAGGTATAGAATCATATCATCTGCAAACAGGGATAGTTTGAATTTCTCTCTTCCTATCTGGATGCCTTTTATTACTTTCTCTTCCCTGATTTCTCTGGGCAGGACTTCCATTAGTATGTTGAATAGGAGTGGTGAGAGAGGGCATCCTTGCCTTGTTCTGGTTTTCAAGGGAAATACTTCCAGTTTTAGCCAATTTAGTATGATCTTGGCTGTGGTTTTGTCACGGATGTATCTACAACCATCTGATCTTCAGCAAAGTAGACAAAAATAAGCAATAGGGAAAGGAGTCCCTATTCAATAAATGGTGCTGGGATAACTGGCTAGCTATATACAGAAGATTGAAACTGGACCCCTTCCGTACACCATATAGAAAAATTAATTGAAGATGAATTAAAGACTTAAATGTAAAACTGAAAACTATAAAAACTCTGGAAATTAACTTAGGAAATACCATTCTGGACATAGGATCTGGCAAATAATTCATGATGAAGACACCAAAAGCAATTAAAACAAAAATAAAAGTTGACAATTGGGACCTAATTAAACTAAAGAGCTTCTGCATAGCAAAAAAAAAAAAAAGCTATCAACCGAGTAAGCAGTCGACTTGCAGAATAAGAGAAAATATTTGCGAGCTATGCATCTGACAAAGGACAATATCCAGAATCTATATGGAACTTAAAAAAATCAACTTGCAAAAAACAAACAACCTCATTAAAAAGTGGGCAAAGGACATGAACACTTTTCAAAAGAAGACATACACGTGGCCAAAAAGCACATGAAAATGCTCAACATCACTGATCATTAGAGAAATGCAAATCAAAACCACAATGAGATACCATGTCACACAAGTCAGAATGGCTATTAAAATGTCAAAAAAACCAGATACTGGTGAGGTTGTGGAGAAAGGGGGATGCTTTTATACTGTTGGTAGGAGTGTAAATTAGTTTAACCATTGTTTAAAGCAGTTTGGCAATTTCTCAAAGAACTCAAAGCAGGATTATCATTCGACCCATCATTTCCTTTATTGGGTATATACCCAAAGGAATATAAATCCTTCTACTGTAAAGACAGATGCACAACTTTGGTCATCACAGCACTATTCATAATAGCAAGACATGGAATTAACCTGAATGCCTATTAATGTTAGACTAGGTAAAGAAAATGTGATACATATTCACCATGAAATACTATGCAGCCATAAAAAGAACACGCTCATGTCATTTGCAGCTACATGGATGGAGATGGAAGCCATTATCCTAAGTGAACTAAAACAAGAACAGAAAGCCAAATGCCACATGTTCTCACTTATAAGTGGGAGCTAAACATCAAGTACATATAAACACAAAGAAGGTAACAACAGACACTGGAGCCTACTTGAGGGTAGAAGGAAGAAGGAGGGTGAGGATCAAAAACCTATCCATCAGTTGCTATGCTTGCTACCTGGGTGGTGAAATAATCTGTACACCAAATCCCTGTGACATGCAACTTGCCTATATAACAAACTTGCACATGGACCTCTGAACCTAAAGTCAAAAGAAAAGTACATTAGGCTGAATGAAAGAAGTCAGTTATGAAAGACCACATATTGTACATTTATATTTATATTGAAGGTCCAGAACAGGTAAATCTATACAGATAAAAGTAGATTACTGATTGGCTGGTGCTCATGGGATTTTAACAAATGGGGGAGTAATTGCAAATGAATAGAGTATTTCTTTTTTTTCTTATTTATTATTATTTTTTCTTTTATAATACTTTAAGTTCTGGGATACACGTGCAGAACATACAGGTTTGTTACATAGGTATACACGTGCCATGGTGGTTTGGTGCACCCATCAACCTGTCATCTACATTAGGTATTTCTCCTAATGCTATCCCTCTGCTAGCCCCCAACCCCCCAACAGGCCCCTGTGTGTGATATTCCCCTCCCTGTGTCCATGTGTTCTCATTGTTCAACTCCCACTTATGAGTGAGAACATGCAGTGTTTGGTTTTCTGTTCTTGTGTTAGTTTGCTGAGAATGATGGTCTCCAGCTTCATCCATGTCCCTGAAAAGGACATGAACTCATCCTTTTTTATGGTTGCATAATATTCCATAGTGTATATGTGCCACATTTTCTTTATCCAGTCTATCATTGATGGGCATTTGGGTTGGTTCCAAGTCTTTGCTATTGTGAACAGTGCCACAATAAACATATGTGTGCAAGTGTCTTTATAGGACAATGATTTATAATCCTTTGGGTATATACCCAGTAATGGGATTCCTGGGTCAAATGGTATTTCTGGATCTAGATCCTTGAGGAATCACCAGAGTGTCTTCCACAATGGTTGAACTAATTTACACTCCCATCAACAGTGTAAAAGTGTTCCTATTTCTCCACATCCTCTCCAGCATCTGTTGTTTCATGACTTTTTAATGATTGCCATTCTACCTGGCATGAGATGGTATCTCATTGTGGTTTACATTTGCTTTTCTCTAATGGCCAGTGATGAAGAGCTGTTTTTCATATGTTTGTTGGCCGCATAAATGTCTTCTTTTGAGAAGTGTCTGTTCATAAAATGTCTTCTTTTGAGAAGTGTCTCTTCATATCCTTCGCCCACTTTTTGATGGGATTTTTTGTATTTTTCTTGTAAATTTGTTTAAGTTCTTGGTAGATTCTGGATATTAGCCCTTTGTCAGATAGATAGAGTACAAAATTTTCTCCCATTCTGTAGGTTGCCTTCACTCTGATGATAGTTTATTTTGCTGTGCAGAAGCTCTTTAGTTTGATTAGATGACAATTGTCAATTTTTGCTTTTGTTACCATTGGTTTTGGTGTTTCAGTCATGAAGTCTTTGCCCATGCCTATGACCTGAATGGTATTGCCAAGGTTTTCTTCTAGGGTTTTTATGGTTTTAGGTCTGACATTTAAGTCTTTAATCCAGCTTGAGTTAATTTTTGTATAAGGTGTAAGGAAGGGGTCCAGTTTCAATTTTCTGCATATGGCTAGCCAGTTTTCCCAACACCATGTATTAAATAGGGAATGCTTTTTCCATTGCTTGTTTTTGTCAGGTTTGTCAAAGACCAAATGGTTGTAGATGTGTGGCATTTTTTCTGTGGCTTCTGTTCTTTTCCATTGGTCTATATATATGTTTTGGTACCAGTACCATGCTGTTTTGGTTACTGTAGACTTGTAGTATAGTTTGAAGTCAGGTAGCATGATGCCTCCAGCTTTGTTCTTTTTGCTTAGGATTGTCTTGGCTATACAGGTTCTTTTTTGGTACCGTATGAAATTTAAAGTAGTTTTTTCTAATTCTATGAAGAAAGTCAGTGGTAGCTTGATGGGGATAGCATTGAATCTATAAATTATTTTGGGCATTATGGCCATTTTCACGATACTGATTCTTCCTATCCATGAGCATGGAATGTTTTTCCCTTTGTTTGTGTCCTCTCTTATTTCCTGGAGCAGTGGTTTGTAGTTCTCCTTGAAGAGGTCCTTCAAATCCCTTGTAAGTTGTATTCCTAGGTATTTAATTCTCTTTGTAGCAATTGTGAATGGTAGGTCACTGATGATTTGGCTTTCTGTATGTCTATTATTGGTGTACAGGAATGCTTGTGATTTTTGCACATTGATTTTGTATCCTGAGACTTTGCTGAATTTGCTTATCAGCTTAAGGAGATTTGGGGCTGAGACAATGGGGTTTTCTAAATATACAATCATGTCATCTGCAAACAGAGACAATTTGACTTCCTCTCTTCCTATTTGAATAAACTTTATTTCTTTCTCTTGCCTGATTGTCCTGGCCAGAACTTCCAATACTATGTTGAATAGGAGTGGTGAGAGAGGGCATCCTCGGCTTGTGCCAGTTTTCAAAGGGAATGCTTCCAGCTTTTGCCCATTCAGTATAATATTGGCTGTGTGTTTGTCATAAATAGCTCTTATTATTTGGAGATACGTTCTATCAACACCTAGTTTATTGATGGGTTTTAGCATGAAGGGGTGTGGAATTTTATCGAAGGCCTTTTCTGCATTTATTGAGATAATCATGTGGTTTTTGTCATTGTTTCTGTTTATGGGATGGATTACATTTATTGATTTACCTATGTTTAACCAGCCTTGCATCCCAGGGATGAAGCCAACTTGATCATGGTGGATAAGGTTTTTGATGTGCTGCTGGATTCAGTTTGCCAGTATTTTATTGAGGATTTTTGCATCAGTGTTTATCAAGGATACTGGCCTTAAATTTTCTTTTTTTGTTGTGTCTCTGCCAGGTTTTGGTATCAGGATAATGCTGGCCTCATAAAATCAGTTAGTGGGGAGTCCCTCTTTTTCTGTTGTTTGGAATAGTTTAGAATAGTTTCAGAAAGAATGGTCCCAGCTGCTTTTTGTATCTCTGGTAGAATTCAGCTGTGAATCCATCTGGTCCTGGGCTTTTTTTGGTTGGTAGACTATTAGTTACTGCCTCAAATTCAGAACTTATTGGTCTATTCAGGGATTCGACTTCTTTTTGGTTTATTCTTGGGGGAGTGTATGTGTTCAGGAATTTATCCATTTCTTCTAGATTTTCTAGTTTGTTTACATAGAGGTGTTTATAGTATTCTCTGATGGTAGTTTGTATTTCTGTGGAGTCAATGATAATATCCCCTTTATCATTTCTTACTATGTCTATTTGATTCCTCTCTCTCTTCTTCTTTATTAGTCTGGCTAGCAGTCTATCTATTTTGTTGATCTTTTCAAAAAACCATCTCCTGGATTCATTGATTTTTGAAGGGTTTTTTGTGTGTCTATCTCCTTCAGTTCTGCTCTGACCTTAGTTATTTCTTGTCTTCTGCTAGCTTTTGAATGTGTTTGCCCTTGCTTCTCTAGTTCTTTTAATTGTGATATTAGGGTGTCAATTTTAGATTTTTCCTGCTTTCTCCTGCGGGCATTTAGTGCTATAAATTTCCCTGTTAACACTGCTTTAGTCATGTCCCAGAGGTCCTGGTACATTGTGTCTTTCTTCTCATTGGTTTCAAAGAACATCTTTATTTCTGCCTTCATTTCGTTATGTACCCAGTAGTCATTCAGGAGCAGGTTGTTCAGTTTCCATGTAGTTGTATGGTTTTGAGTTACTTTCTTAATCCTGACTTCTAATTTGTTTGCACTGTGGTCTGAGAGACTGTTTGTTATGATTTCTGTTCTTTTGCATTTGCTGAGGAGTTTCAATTCCAATTATGTGGTCAGGGCCAAGCCAATATTCAACATTCTTTTTTTTTTTTTTTTCGAGATGGAGTTTCGCTCTCGTTGCCCAGGCTGGAGTGCAGTAGGGTGATCTCAGCTCACTGCAACCTCCGCCTCCCAGGTTCAAGCAATTCTTCTGCCTCAGCCTCCTGAGTAGCTGGGATTACAGGCACGCACCACCACGCCCAGCTAATTGTTTGTATTTTTAGTAGAGACGGAGTTTCTGCATGTTGGTCAGGCTGATCTCGAACTCCTGACCTCAGGTGATCCACCTGCCTTGGCCTCCCAAATTGCTGGGATTACAGGCATGAGCCACCGTGCCTGGCCTCAACGTTCTTAGACAAAAGAATTTTCAACCCAGAATTTTATATCCAGCCAAACTAAGCTTCATAAGTGAAGGAGAAATAAACTCCTTTACAGACAATCACATGTTGAGAGATTTTATTACCACCAGGCTTGCCTTACAAGAGCTCCTGAAGGAAAGACTAAACATGGAAAGGAATAACTGGTACCAACCACTGCAAAAACATACCAAATTGTAAAGACCATTGACACTCTGAAGAAACTGTCTCAACTAATGGGCAAAATAACCAGCTAGCATCATAATGACAGGATCAAATTCACACATAACAATATAAATCTTAAATGTAAAGGGGCTAAATGCCTCAATTAAAAGACACAGACTGGCAAATTGGATAAAGTGTCAAGACCCATGGGTGTGCTGTATTCAGGAGACACATCTCTCGTGCAGAGATACACATAGGCTTAAAATTAAGAAATGGAGGAATATTTACCAAGCAAATGGAAAGCAAAACAACAACAACAACAAAAAAGCAGGGGTTGCAATCCTAGTTCTGATAAAACAGACTTTAAACCAACAAAGATAAAAAAAGACAAGGTCATTACATAATGGTAAAAGTATCAATGCAATAAAAAGAGCTAACTATCTTAAATATATATGCACCCAATACAGGAACACCCAGATTCATAAATCAAGTTTTTAGAGACCTACAAAGAGACTTAGACTCCCACACAATAATAGTGAGAGACATTAACACCCCACTGTCAATATTAGACAGGTCAATGAGACAGAAAATTAACAAGGATATTCAGGACTTGAACTCAGCTCTGGACCAAGTGGACCTAATAGACATCTACAGAACTCTCCACCCCAAATCAACAGAATATACAGTATTTCTAAATATCATTGAATTGCATTATTTAAGTTGGTGGATGTTATGTGCATTATATTCTAAAAAGCCATTATTTAAAATATAATTTGTCATGTTGACCGAACTGTAAATAAAGCATATTATCTCTCAATAGATGCATAAAAAGCATTTGAGAGAATCCAACATCCATTTCTGCAAAATATTTCAACAAATGAGTTATAGTGTTGATATGGTTTGTCTCTGTGTTCCCACCCACATCTCACCTTGAATTGTAATAATCTCCATATATTAAGGGTGGGACCAGGTGGAGAAAATTGAATCCTGGGGGTGGTTCCTCCCATACTGTTCTTGTGATAGTGAGTTCTCATGTGATCTGATGGATTTATAAGGGGCTTTTACCCCTTTTGCTTGGCACTTCTCCTTGCTGCCGCCACGTGAAGAGGACATGTTTGCTTCCCCTTCCACCATGATTGTAAGTTTCCTGAAACCCCCAGCCATGCTGAACTATTAGTCAATTAAACCTTTATAAACCTTCCTTTATAAATTACCCAGACTTCGGTATGCCTTTATTAGCAGCATGAGAATGGACTAATACAAGCAGTGAACTTTTTCAATCTACAAATCTACAGCTAAATTTATACTTTATAGTGAAATGATATGTGTTTTATTATAATGTCAAGAATAAGAAAAGACTGTTCTTGAAGTTTCTATTCAGCATGGAACCATATATTCTAGCCAATGTAGTAAGGCAAGAAAAATATATAACAGTTATCTAATGGAAAAGAAGTAAAAGTAGCTTCATTGCAAACAACAAAATATGTGTAAGGCATCCAACAAAATGTACAAAAGTCTGCCAAAACTAATAAGACTAATGAGTGAGGTTAGAAAGATTGTTGGAAGAAATAAATTGTGTCTGTATATTAACAGTGAACAATCAGAATTTGAAATAAAAAATACCAATCCTAATAAAAATTCCAACAGGTTTTTATTCCTGGAAATTGACAAATAAATTATAAATTGTACACAGATATTCAGCAAATTTTGGATAGGCAAAAGAACTTTATAAAAAGCTCTTTAGAGAAGGATTAAGTACACACAATTTCAAGAATTATTTCAAATTAATCACCACATGAAATGATGGTGAGGATGTGGAGGAACTGAAATTCTCATACACTGCCATTGAGAATGAAAATAATACTACCACTTTAAAAAATGGAGCAGTTTCTTATAAAGTTAAGTATACTGTCAACATAAAATCAAGCTATTTCATTCTGAAGTATTTATCCAAGATAATTGAAAGCATATGCCCATATCAAGGCTTGTACGTGAATATTGATAGCAATTTTATTTGTAATACCTAAATATGTAACAACTCAAATGGCCAACAACAGAGGAATGGAAAAATTAAAGTAAATTCGTACAATGGACTATCACCCAGAAGTAAAAAGGAATAAAACATTATTATACACAATAGTATATATGCATTCCAAAATATTTGTTTTATGAAAGTAGCACAACTGTATAATCCCATTCATGTAAAATTTGAGAGAATTAAAACTAATCTAGAATGGCATAAAATAAATCTATGGTTGTCATGCCATGGTGTAGGGTGAATGGTGACAGCAGAGATCTAGTGTAGTTTAGGATTCTAAAGAGCCATATCAAGAAATTATTGGATATATATGTTGAATACATGTTGATTTTTGAGATGGTTTCACAGGCATACACATATGTCAAACTTACCAAATTATACACATTAAATATGTGCAGTTTATTGTATATCAACTATACCTCAATAAAAATATTTTAAAAGTATTTGTTTTAAAACTTCCTTACCAGTAAAACAATGGAATCAAAATATTCACAATGTCAAATTTGCAGGTTTAAGTAGATACTGAATGATTTCTGAAGGAGTGGAGTGGCCAAATGATTTACAATTTAAAGAGATTTTCCCGGATTTAAGGCAATACTAGTTATAAAGAAATCCCTTTAATGTTTTTTCCCTACAATTTAGATGCGAAATGATGGTTAATTGAACTAGTGGTGTTTTTAGATATTTAGAGAGATATGAGTGGCATATGGATATATTTAGGAGGGACTTTGTGATTAATGTGTGTGTAAAGGATGTGAAGGAGTTAAGGATTCCTAGAATTCTCATTTGGGAAACTGAGTAGATGGTGTTAAGCATTAATAAGTTTTGCTTTTATAGAAAATTATTTCATTTTAGTCAAATAAATGGAAAAGGATTCTGTGACAGATTTAGAGAATAAATGTGAAGTTGTATGAGATTGTAGGACATATACATCAGTAGAAAGATTGAAACAGATGAGGAAAGTTAATCATAGCTACTCATAGTCTGGATAGGATACCAAAGCGATGAGATGTAGGGTGTGTTCATTACAAAGCTTTTCTTCATTTCATTTCAGCCGTCCTCTGCAGTGCTGGAGTGGGGAGTCAAGGAGTTGGCTTTCTGGTTTCTAGGTGCATATTCCTCATCTAATACACCTCTTATCAAGTATTGGCATCTACTCTCTAATATCCCTAGTAAATAATCATTATGTCTCTTCTTGAAACTGTGCTTTGACAGGAACAATTCTCTGGTAAGGGCTGTCTCAATCAGCCATTAAAATTATTGCAAGGTTTTTTTATGTTAAATTCAATATCTACCCCCTTATTAATTCAATTAGCATATTTTTGAAGGCCTATTATATTGAAGTCTTACAAAAACCACTATGATTAGATAGAAAAGGAATTTTAAAATATACCTGTCCTTTATTGACTCATAGCCTACTGGATTCTTACCTTACTGAATTCCAAAGATTATTCTTTGTTCATCAGAGCATGAAATATGAGGTGCATGTATTCCACATAACAGTTCTTCAAGAATTTCATAACAATGCTCAAATCCATCCTAATTCTACTTAGGCTAAATATATTTACTTTCCCAAATTTTCTTCAAACACTGTGTCTTGAGTTCAATGTGGTAGTTGTTTCAAGGAATCCTTCATTTTATTAATGCTCTCCTAAAAGTGTTTCACAAAGTTATGATAACCAATTCAAATACAATGTGCAAACGTTAATGCAGTCTAACATGGCTTTAGATCATGTGGCAAGTAAAATCACTGTCGTGTCACATTCAGCCCCTAGACAAATGAGTACGGAGAGATAGAAAAACAACTAATTTGTGGTTTAGTGTTCTCACTTCTAGTCAGCAGCATCAGCTCTAATTTAAGCTGAAAGGAAATTATTTAGGGATATATAGATAAGTCACTGTACCCTTGAGATGACTGAAGAAACAAACAAACTCTAGACTGAGATTCCTAGGATGACTGTTAGCTCTCCATACTGTAGTACAAGTCCTCCAAAGGGGCGACAGCAATTAACACAATCAGGAAGCACTAAGTCAGTAGGCTGCCACAGAACTGCCACGGCTCCTAGTAACAGAAGTACATAATTTCTGCCATAGTTCAGACACTGCTGAATTAGGAACTGCCACACCAGCTGCCAGTTTCAGGATATGCTCTTACTGCCACAATCAGCATGAGAAAAGGGGATATCCCATTGTGTATCTCTTTCCCTGTGTAATTCAGCCAGAATCAATGTCATAAACAGGGACATATGATTTCCAAAACCCAAATCACTAAAACACATCCTACAGCAGGTAAACCAGAAAAGGGAGCTTGATAGATTTCACTCCGTAATGATGAGATTTACACTTTGCAAACAAACAACATGGGAAGAGAGTGACAAACAGATGTGGGGTAAACTGATATCATTATTATCTGTTCATAATTTTTCAACATCAAGCTACATATATTTACATATCTATATTTCTATGTCTCTATATCTGTCAATATCTATGAAATTCAGATACCAAAAAAAAAAAAAAAAACCACATTCCCACTTATATTGGCCTCAGGTAAATCCCATAACTCTTCTCTCTAGCCCTCCCCAGAGGGACCTGTGGTCATGTCCCAGAGTGACTATACACTGGGCAAAGGGTAGTAATCAGGACTTCCAGGACTTATAAGATATTGACTCTCAAATTCATATTAATCTCCAGAGATCTGGAAAACCACTTCGGTTTGAGCACTTAAGTCAAGTGATCAATGGAACTGTGATTCAAGTCAGTCTTATTGTGGTTCAGTGTGCTACAGACCAATCCTATGGTTATGATTCCACTTTTAGCATTTACGGTGGTAATAACTGGCAGAAAGCCACATGGGTTTCCCCAACCAGTGTGGGGATTTTATGTTATGAAAGGTCAAGTAGAAGTCTCTGAAATAGTCTCTGTCTTCCTTTCTATTTTCTAAGATGTCAATAATGCATTCCTTGGAGAAAATAACAGATTTAAGTACCAAAATTAGAGAATGAAAAATGCAGATGTGATGATCCCTGTCCTATTTTTTTCTCTATATTTGACCCATGAATAAGCCAGGTATGTTATGAATAAGGACTGTTATCTCAAATGCAGTCTGATGGTAATGCCAATCACAGCTCCAGTTCTAGATACGATGTCTTTATAGTAGCAGATAAACAAGGACCTTTGTGTCCATTAACCAGTTATTGACTCAGAGAAAAATGCTTTTCTTCCCATCCTTATGAGAATAATCAAAAGAAATTTGCCTGAATGACAGGAAAAGTGTCTTGCCTTAACGCTATGTCAAAGGTACCATTCTCTGTCATAACATAGTCTAGAGAGATGCTGATCACCTGGATATCTTACACAGCATCATGCTCACTCATTACATGGATAACAGTATACTGATATGACCTAGTAAATGGGAAATAGTAAGAACTCTGGGGGCACTAGGATTCTGCCCCATGGATGAGGTTTCAAACTGAATTCAAGTGATTAATATCATATATGTTATGAAGTGTTTAAGCATCTTTCAACACATTCTTATAAAGGTTAAAATTTAGCTGTGAACAGTATTATTTCAGTGATTCAATGAGGGTATGTAGGAAAATTTACTTTAAAGCATGAAATACGTTGCTGTACCTTGCATCCCTGACAGAAAGAGACACAAGCTTTTTGTGCCTTGCATTTCGAATAATAATCACATTTGAAAATGCTGCTTTGATTCATTTGCTGGTTTACCTACCTGTTTTGATTTATTTGCTGGTTTACCTACAAGGCTCAGCACTGAAAGAAAAAAAAAGATTCAGCTTCAATTCTGAGCTAATGTTCATATTGTCAGCCACTTGTGCTTTATGGCCTAGTAGATCCAATGGTATTGGAAGGATTGTGATTAACAGAGAAGTTGCATAGAACTTCTGGAGAGCCATCATAAAATAACAGCACAGATTTTTAAGGTTCTGAAATAAAGCCGTGTCTTCTTCTACCAATAACTATTCTCTATTTGAAATGCAGCCCTGCCTTGTTATTGGGAGTTTGTAGAATGAACACCTGTCCATGGGACACCACAGCTATGCAACTTGTATTGTACATCATGAATTATTGTGGGTGATCTAATCCACTGAACCATAAAATTGGATGTGCATAGCAGCATTCCATTGTGAAATGAAAATGGTATATATTATTAGGCTTGGCCACATAGGTTTGGGAAGGCACAAATAAACTGTATGAACAGATGGCTCAGAGTCCCATGGTACTTGCTCCTGCTGCTTCACTGCCTCTCCCTCAGCTACTGATATGACCTCATGGGGAGTTTCCCATGATCAGTTAATGGAGTAACAAAAAATTTGAGGCTGGTTTACTGTTACATTTCCAAGATATACTGATACTGGCTGGAAGTAGACTGCTACTGCATACATCTGTGCTCCATAAAAACCCTTGAAAACAGTGGTAAAGAAAAATCCTTTTGATAGTTCACTTCCTATGGAAGTGATTAATGCATCTACAGTGATTGATTAGGGGCAGCTAATGAATTGGCTGCTATCTAAGTTTCTGATTATATTGGAAAAAAAGAGAAGAATATTCTCCAAGGATTTCTTGGAAATAGGAATACAGACATACATTTTAGAATGGATAGAGTGTGAAGATATTTATATCCTACCTAAATTCCCACTAGGAGAAAGTCCACTTTGGTGCAAAGTATCAAAAATCTGGTAAACAAGATGAGCCATCCTGTGGATAACAGTATATCTTTTCCCCTAGTCATATTGCTTTTTTTAATTTTAATTTTTAATTTTTGTGGGTGCATATTAGGTGTGTATACTTACAGGGTACATGAGATACTTTGATATAGGCATGCAATGCGCAATAAGCACATCATGGAAAATGGGCTATGTATCCCTTCAAGCATTTATTCTTTCAGTTATCAACAATCCAGTCACACTCTTTATTTTAAAATATACAATCAAGTTGTTATTGACTATAGTCACCCTGTTGTGCTATCAAATAGTAGGTCTTATTCATTCTTCTATTTTTTTGACCCATTAATCATCCCCACCTCCCCTCCATCCTACCACTATTCTTCCCAGCCTCTGGTCACATCCTTCTGCTCTCTATGTTCATGAATTCAATTGTGTTAATTTTTAGATCCCACAAATAAGTGAAAACGTGTGATGTTCATCTTTCTGTGCCTGCGTATTTCACTTAACATAATGATATCCAGTTCCATCCCTGTTGTTGCAAATGACTGGATCTCATTCTTTTTATGGCTAAATAGTACTCCATTGTGTATATGTACCACATTTTCTTTATCCATTCATCTTGTAATGGATATTTAGGTTGCTTCCATATCTTAGCTACTGTAAACAGTGCTGCAACTAAAATAGGAATGTAGATATCTCTTCAATGTACTGATTTCCTTTCTTTTAGGTATATACCCAGCCATAGATTGCTGGATCATGTGGTAGCTCAATTTTTAGAGGAACCTCCAAACTGTTCTCCATAGTGGTTGTACTAATTTATATTCCCAGCAGCAGTATACAAGGGTTCCCTTTTCTCTGTGTCTTCGCCAGCATTTGTTATTGCCTGTCTTTTGAATATAAGCCATTTTAACCGGGGTGAATGATATATAATTGTAGTTTTTATTTGCATTTTTCTGATGATGATGATCAACGATATTGAGCACCTTTTCATATGCTCTTTTGCCATTTGTATGTCTTTTTTGAGACATGTCTAATCAAATCTTTTGCCCATTTTTTGATCAGATTATTAGATTTTTTTTTTTCCTATTGAGTTGTTTGAGCTCCTTATGTATTCTGGTTATAAATCCCTTGTCAGATGGATAGTTTGCAAATATTTTCTCCCATTCTGTGAGTTGTCTTTTCACATTGTTGATTGTATGCTTTGCTGTGCAGAAGCTTTTTAACTTGATGTTATCCCTTTGTCTATTTTTGCTTTGCCTGTGCTTGTTGCATATTGCTAAAGAAATTTTTGCCCAGACCAATGTCCTGGAGATTTCTCCCAATGTTTTCTTGTAGTAGTTTCATACTTTGAAGTCTAGAATCAAATCTTTGAGCCATTTTGATTTTATTTTTGTATATGGTAAGAAATAGGTATCTAGTTTCATTCCTCTGCAAATGGATATCCAGTTTTCCCAGCACAGTTTATTGAAGGGACTGTCTTTTCCTCAGTGTATGTTCTTGGCACCTTTGTCAAAATTGGGTTCACTGTGGGTGTGTAGATCTGTTTCTGGATTCTCTGTTCTGTTCCATTGGTTTATGTGTCTGTTTTTTTGCCAGTACCATGCTGTTTTGGTTTGTTTCCCTGTAGTATAATTTGAAATCAGGTAACGTGATTTCTCCAGTTTTGTTCTTTTTGCTTAGGACAGCTTTGGCTATTCTGGGTAATTTGTGGTGCCATACAAATTTTAGAATTTTTTTTTTATATTTCTGTTAAGAATGTCATTGGTATTTTTATAGGGATTGCACTGAATCTGTAGATTACTTTGGGTCATATGGGCATTTTAACAATAATGTTTCTTCCAATCCATGAACATAGAATAATTTTTCATTTTTTGTCTTCTTCAACTTCATTCATTAGTGTTTTATGGTTTTCATTATAGTGATCTCTCATTTATTTGGTTAATTTCTAGGTATTTAATTTTATGTATGGCTATTGTAAATGGGATTTTTTAAATTTCTTTTTTACATTCTTCACTGTTAGCATATAGAAATGCTACTGATTTGTGTATGTTGATTTTGTATCCTGAAACTTTACTGAATATGTTTATCAGTTCTAATAGTTTTCTTCTAGAGTATTTAGGTTTTTCAAAATATAAGATCATACTATCTGCAAAAAAATTGACAATTTGACTTCTTCCTTTCCAATTTGGATAGCCTTTATATCTGTCTCTTGTATGACTGTTCTAGCTAGGATTTCCAGTACAATGTTGAATAACAGTGTTGACAGTGGGCATCCTTGTCATGTTACAGATATTAGAGGAAAGACTTTCAGTTTTTCCCCATTCAGTATGATACTAGCTGTGGGTCTGTCATATATGGCTTTTATTATGATTAGCCATGTTCCTTCTATCTCTAGTTTTTTGATGGTTTTTATCATGAATTTTATCATGTATGTTGAATTTTGTCAAATGCTTTTTCAGCATCAATTGAAATTTTATGGTCCTGGACTATAAGGTTGCCACTGAAAAGTCTGCTGCCAGAT
This sequence comes from Homo sapiens, assembly GCF_000001405.40. NCBI lineage: Eukaryota > Metazoa > Chordata > Mammalia > Primates > Hominidae > Homo > Homo sapiens. Next base: position 72,438,196 of record NC_000001.11, read on the forward strand.
ATATTAGAGCTGCATTTTACATTATTTGTTTCTTTTCTCCTGCTGCTTTTAGAATCTGTTCTTTATCCTTGATCTTTGGGAGTCTGCTTATTAAACACCTTAATGTAGTCTTCTTTGAATTAAATCTACTTGGTGTTCTAGAACCTTCTTGTACTTAGATACTGATATTTTTCTCTAGGTTTGGAAAAGTGTCTGTTATTATTCCTTTGAATAACATTTCTACCCCCATCTCTTTTGCAACTTCCTCCTAAAGGAAAATAAATCTTAGATTTGCCTTTTTGAGTCATTTTCTAGATCCTGTAGGCATGATTCATTGTTTTTATTCTTTTTTATTTTGTCTTCTCTGATTGTGTATTTTTAAATAGCCTGCTTCAAGCTCACTAATTCTTTCTTCTGCTTGATCCATTCTGCTATTAAAGAACACTGATACGTTCTTCAGTATGCCAATTGCATTTATCAGCTCCAGAATTTCTGCTTGATTCTTTTAATCATTTCAATCTCTTTGTTAAATTTATCTGATAGAATCCTGAATTTCTTCTCTGTGTTATCTTGAATTTATTTGAGTTTCCTCCACACAGCTATTATGAATTCTGTCTGAAAGGTCACATATCTGTTTCTGCAGGACTGGTCCCTGGTTTCTTACTTAGTTCATTTGGTGAGATCATGTTTTCCTGGATGGCGTTGATGCTAGTAGATGTTCTTCAGGGTCTCGGTATTGAAGAGTTAGATACTTATGGTAGTCTTCACTGTCTGAGCTAATTTGTAGCTGTCCTATTTGGGAAGGCTTTCCAGATATTTGAAAGGACTTGACTGTTGTGATCAAAGCTGTAGCCACTTTAGGGGCCACCACAAACCCAGTAACACTGTGGTTCTTGCAGAGTTATGAGGTATCTGCCTTGATGGTCTTAACAAGATTCAGGAGAATTTTCTGGATTACCAGACAGAGATTCCTGTACTCCTCCCTTACTTTCTCCCAGAGCCTTTCTCTCTGTTCTGAGTCACCTAAAGCTGGAGGTGAAGTGACACAATCACCCCTTTTGCCACAACTACTATGACTGCACTGGGTCAGATCTGAAGCCAGCATAGCACTGGGTCTCCCCCAAGGCCTGCTGTAACCACTCCCAGGCTACTGCCTATGTTTGCTGAAAGCCCTGGAGCTCTACAATGATCAGGCGGAAAAGCAAGCCAGACTTGTCTCCTTTCCTCCATGGAAGTGAGGCCTCCCAGGCCCTGGAGAATCCAGAGGTGCTTTTTAGGAGTCAGAGACTACAGTTAAAAACCTTAGATGTCTACCTGGTGTTCTATTGTATTGCAGATATGCTGGCACCCAAACCACATGACACAGTCCTTCCCACTCTTGCCTCCCCTTTCCAAAGGCAAAAGAGCCTCACTCAGTAGTTACCAGCCAATGTTCCCTTAGGCCCAAGATCTCCTAAGTTAGCTTGTGGTGAATGCTGCCTGGCCTGGGACTCACCCTTTAAGGCAGTGGGCTCTTGTTTGGCCCAGGGCAGGTAGATAAATGTCATTCAAGAGTCAAGTCTTGGAGACAGATTCTCCAAGAGCTTGCTTGGTGCTCTGCCCCCCTGTGACTATGCTGATATCTAAGGTGCAAGACAAAGGTCCCTTTACTTTTCTTTCTGATTTTCTCAAGCTAAAGAAGTTTTGCCCCATAGCCACCACAGCTAAAAATGTGCTGAGTCTCACCTGAAGCCAGCAAGTCTCATAGGCTCACCAAAGTTCTCCACATAGTAACTGAGTATTGCTGCTTTTTGTACAGGGCCCAAGGGCTCTTTGGTTAGCCGGTGATAAATGCTGCCAAGACTAGGTTCTTTCCTTCAAGGCAGCAGGTTAGGTTCCCTTCTGGCCCCAGGTGTGTTTAGAAATGTCATCTGAGAGCCAGGGCATGGAACAAGGGCCTCACAAGTCTGTCTGGTCCCCTATCCTGCTGGGGCTGAGCTTGTATCCAAGATGCAAGACAAAGTCCTCTTCACTCTTCCCTCTCATCTTCCAAAGCAGAAGGAAGGGGTCTCATTTGGACCACCTGGGGTTAGAGGAGGGATGTTGCCAGCACTCCCTTAGCTGCCCCAGCTGGTGTTTCAGTATGTCATATGTCCCACAAGTCCACTGTCTCTTGACCTAGTTCAGCACTAGGACTCACCTAAGAGTTGCAGTCATTCTGACCTGGACAATCTTTCAAGTTTACTCAGAAACACAGAGAACTTTAGCCCTCTGTGGTGAGGTTTGCAGACCCTCAAGTTTGGACCACTGGATCAGTGATTCCCCTCTGCTATGACTGGCTTAAATGCTCCATCTGTGGGCAGGCATCAGCTGAGTTTGCTCCAGCTTTCCTTTCTGCTCTCACAGGCCAGTACTGAGTTCAGTGCCTCCCAACTGCTGTGTTCTCCTTCCCCCAGGGCCCAGAGATGCTTTCAACACCACATCACTGTTGCTGGGAGTGCATTGGAGATTCTAGACTGTTTTTTCTATCTCTTTAGTACCTCTTTCAGGGATGTGAAGTTGAAACCAGGTACTATGAGTGCTCACCTGAATATTGGTTCTTATGAAAGTGTTTTTTTTGTTTGTTTGTTTGTTTTGTTTTTTGTTTTTTCTGTGTAGACGATTGTTAACTTGGTGTCCTGGCTGGGGGTGGAGGATGATCAGCATAGCCTTCTATTCCACTATCTTGCTCCACCTCCATATGGCTTTTTAAATGAGTCCATGAACAAAATGACCATGGTGGAGACTGCATACACTTGACAATGTAGTCTTTCTCTTAGCAAAGCTAATCTGAATGCCTAATCTGCCAAAAGCAGAGATTAATGAGTTTTCAATATTTCATTATTCCTAGGAGTCTAGGCAGCCACCTGAATAGGGTTGATTATTTTCAACCCTTTTTGCCACAGTTGGAGTTGTATGTTGTATTTTTATAAGAACTTGAAGCACATCTATCAACACCAACATTCATAGATTTAAATTATCTCTCGTGTGTTACTATTTCATCTCACATCTATCCTATCTGATTAGAAGACACACTACAGGAAAGGCAGTTGATCAAGACACACATGCCAAGGGTATTCACTAGTCTTAACACATTCTCTGTGACCCCAAATTAGTTGAGTCGATAGAATGATGGAATGCTCTGCTGAAAGCTCAGTTATGATGTCAGGTTACAAATAACTTACCAGTTGGCAAATGTGTTATTCTTTTCCTCATTTTAACTGAGCAAGTAAAATTCATAAAGGTTGTTTCTTGATATATCCATTAGATGCCATAACTGCAATATTAATTAAAATCTAAAATTTTAAATTTATAATCCTTTGGCATTTAAAATATCTCTCCAAATTTTACCCATCTATCTGTTAAACTTTATCTTCCATGACCACTTTCAAAAGATTCTGTGTTTTGTTCTCATTAAAGTACTTAATTATTCTGCAAAAAGTATTTATTGCACACCTGTTGTGCTTCAAACAGCCTGTGAGTTGCCAAGGATACAGAAATAAAATATGTGTTTCCTACCTTCAAGGAACACACACTTTAGTGTGTAAACTATCAGTCTGCATGAATGTAAGCATGCTATTACTTGCTTCATTCAACAAATATTTACCTAACTTTGGCAGAGTGAAGATATTGTCATAACCTACATACATAAACCATAATTTTATGAGCTAACATTAAGAGATAAACAGGAAACATATACGGTAGAATATGATAAATGACCAAGAGTAACACAGTGTGAAAATATGTAAATTATATCAAGCTATTCATGTTGCCAGTTTCTGACTATTTGGGATGAAATATATTTTTTTGTGATAAGAAAGGGCGTTTGATATGTGTCCATTTGATATGTCATGCCTATCAGTTATAAATGGCAAAACACGACTTTGAAGAAGACTAACACACTCTTTTTAAATTTTAACCTGTTGACATCTGTCAAATAACTTATCATTTAACCCAGTTTATATATAGGGTGATTGCTTGTTTTCTCCTGATGTTTTTTCTTTTTAAATTGATAAAACAGGAATAATGATTGATGACTTTTTCTTTCCAAATGATAGAAAATAAAGAAACTTCCATATAACTTTCAAGTCTTAATGCAACATAACCGCTTAAGTTATTAATATAGCTCAACTGGATTTCTTTTTAAGTATTCTGAAAATGGAATTTGATAGAAAAGATGTGGGAGAGAAAACGGAATTTCCATGATCCAGGGAGAAACTTTGTCCTAATGGGGGGAAAAATAATGAGCATATTTAGACTATTGAGTCATTGTGGGTGGAGTTGTGGAGGAGGAATTGCAAACTAATGTTTTTTGTATAAGCTCTAAATTGGAAGGACTATGTGTGAACATTTATTACTTATACTTTGAACATTAATACCATTAGAATCAGAATCGAAAATACTAACTTAAAATGTACATTAGGAAACATGCAGTATGCACAACAGGCAACATGTAGTATGCACAACAGGCAATAGTTAAAGCTTTCATTCTTTTGGAAAACTCTACTATAGGCCATGTACTTTTCCATGTGCTTATATATATGAATTCATACATTATGCACAACTTTGTAAGAAAATTGCCATTATTATCTTTACTTAATAGAAGAAAAAATTAAAGCACAAAGAGATTAAATAACTTGTCCAAAATGTCAAAGCCAGATAATTTGGCCACAAAGCCAAGATCTTAGCACTAATGCCATAGTACAGAAACACTTCAAGATGAATCTTGGATTTGATGACTGATTTCTCTCTCTCCATATTTTTATTATTACTGAGATTATAAAACCATAGCAGTTATCTGATTTAATATTATAAGTTGCTGTTTTATTCTTTATGTTAAACTAAGCTATTCCACAGTCTTATGACACACTACGAAATACGTTTATGCTTGTGCAAGTTTCCTATAAACCATTTGAGTCTTTGGCAATGCCACTAATAACAGAAACAATTTTTATTTGAGTATTTTAAGATTTTTTAAAATAGGTGATAACATCTGACTTGACATTTTCTTTCTCACTTTTCTGTAATTAACCTCTGTAAAAGTAACGAATAATTTCTAAGAATCTGTTTTCTGGCCACTGTTCTGAATACTTTAGTGAACTACCTAGTTTGAGACTCAATGCCATTTCTTTATTATCTCATTTAATTTATTTATTCATGTACAGAGTGATTACACTAACTTTAAGTTGTGGAGCCTTTACTTTGTCAAAGCACTTATCTTCTTTCTATTTCTAGTCTTACTATTTGTCTTCTGCACTTCAGTGTTTTATTGAAACTTTCCTATTATCTTTGTTTGTTTATCATTTGACTAGCCTAGATTTCTTTTTATTTTCAGATCTCATACCTTCAAGTCTATTATATTTCTACAACAATTTTCTTATCTATTGAGAATTTTTAGTTGGGTATCATTAATTTTGAATTTCTAGCACTTAGCACATAAGCATTTGTGAATTTAAATCATGGATGTTATACAATTGAAAAATAAAAAGTTAAATATGTAGACAATTGAAGTGATCATTTTTTTAAACAGAACTATCTTCAACTTCTCTACTTTTGTAACGTACCAATAACCAAAATCAAATATTAATCTTCTAGTTTTACTTTCTATTCAAATATGGTAATTTGAATTTATATTTATATTTTCACTTACCAATGTATTTTTATATATATATATTATTATATTGTATATAATTATATGTAATTTATATATAATATATAATTTTGCTGTTTGGACTCTAGTTTTTAGATCCTCATTATTTCTGACACTAACTTTATCCTGAATATGCTTATATTTATTTTTATGATTCCAGATTCTCTTCCATTTAACTTATTTTGTATATTTATGTCAGATAAATCTCCACCAAGTATGAAAATGTCAAACACTTACTCAAAATGCTTAAATAATTCTAATTCCTTTCCAGGGCTATGCCAGGAAAAGAACCAGCAAGGCATTTGTAATGAAAAACAATTTTTTATCTTTTATTTCAATAAGGAATTTCAGAGCCTTTCAGTAAATACTGTCTTGACAATTCCCAAATGGTGATAGTTATAAACATATTTTTACTAATTTTAACTACATTAGCTAATAAGAAGAAATTTATTTCAAATATAATTAGATGCATGCTATTAGACATCAAAGCCAAAGTCAACCTTTTAAAGTAAACACTCATGATAAAAACTGGGCAAAACAGCTTATAGTTTTATAAGCTGGTTTCATCATTATTGGTATGAAAAATAAAAAGTTAAATACATGGAGAACTGAAATAATCTTTTCTTTCTAGACAGAACTGTCCAACTTCTCTAGTTTTGTAACTTATACCAATACTGTTTTTGTATAATTATGGAAGCTATATTTAACTAATAATTTATTTTATTTTATTTTATTTATTTTTATTTTTTGAGACGGAGTCTCACTCTGACGCCTAGACTGGAGTGCAGTGGCGCGATCTCGGCTCACTGCAAGCTCTGCCTCCTGGGTTCACGCCATTCTCCTGCCACAGCCTCCCGAGTAGCTGGGACTACAGGAGCCCGCCACCACGCCCGGCTAATTTTTTTGTATTTTTAGTAGAGACGGGGTTTCACCATTTTGGCCAGGATGGTCTCGATCTCCTGACCTCGTGATCCGCCCGCCTCGGCCTCCCAAAGTGCTGGGATTACAGGCTTGAGCCACTGCGCCCGGCCAAATAAATAAATAAATAAATAAATAAATAATTTATTATGACACGAGTCACCTGTATTTGTTTATTCACTTATAAAGCATATGTTTGATATTAAAACATACCAATTAAAATAATCTCTACAAACTACTTTCATTTACCAATTTAATTAACAAAATAGAATAGGAAGAAAAAAATTGACTGTCATGTATAATAGAGCTTAAACTTAATAGACTGGAGATAACATTCTTAACTTGCTAAATACATGAAATAAAAAATTATTTAATATAGTCACTTTAACTAAAATAAATTACATCTTGACTTATAGTATAATTTCTATTAATAATTGATTGGACACGTGGTATTTGTTTTCTCAAAATGGAGATATGAAATTCTACAAAGCAGGACAATCCTCATTATGGAGGCTTTCATGGAACACACAACTAGTCTCATGCTTATATATGGGTTACATTATAAAAGTTTATTTTTACACTAGATCTTGGATGTAATCATGCTTTGCAGGAAGGAAAGATACTGTATTTTCCCAACTAACCTACAGACAACCGAAATTTATATTCACATGTGACAGGATTTCCAGCAGTGGCCTGGGAAAATGAGAAAGAAATCCTGTTCAGGAAATGGGATTGGCAAGAACTATCTCACTCAAATAATCCAGGCTCACTCTCTGGATTTGGAGCAATGTGTATTTGGACAACATTTGTTGAGTTATACCCCAGAAGGTTTTTTAAAAACTATGTACCTCCCCACCCATTTTAAAATTGACATATAAACAACTAAATTAAGAGCTAAAGATTTAAATGTTGCAGTGTCAATGCTCTTGATGTCACAGAGGACAACATTGAATTGAAAAATATCAATTTAAAAGTATGAGCTGAGGCCGGGCGCAGTGACTCACGCCTGTAATCCCAACACTTTCGAAGGCCGAGGCGGGCGAATCACGAGGTCAGGAGATCGAGACCATCCTGGCTAACACGGTGAAACCCCGTCTCTACTAAAAATACAAAAAAATTAGCCGGGTGTGGTGGTGGCGCCTGTAGTCCCAGCTACTCGGGAGGCTGAGACAGGAGAATGGCGTGAACCCGGCAGGCGGAGCTTGCAGTGAGCCGAGATCGCGCCACTGCACTCCAGGCTGGGCGACCGAGCGAGACTCCATCTCAAAAAAAAAGCAAAAAAAAAAAAAAAAGTATTAGCTAAAAAAGGACTCAGAAGAGTTGTACTGTAAATATGAAGATGATATAGAAAGTATGTAAGCAATTGTTTTTAATGAATTTTTATACGCAAGAGTGAACTATGATAAAATATGTGTAACGTATTAACTAAGTTAAAATATCTCAGTAAGTATAAATAAACATTCTAGATGATTAGAATAGATTGTATGGTAGTTTAGTTGGCAGCTTGTATTTCATGTTATTGGTGCTTCATAATTAATGGGGTGATTTGTAATCTATGGCATTTTAGATGTTATGAAATAGGCACTTCCCTCTAGTAGCTGTGCAAGGGATAGACTTGAGAGGCTGACCTAAATTGGATATTAAAAAAATTCAAATAAAGAACTCTTGTAATAGTCTAGGTGAGAGATAGTGGTAAGCCCCAATTAGAGGCAGTGGGGGCTATGGGGATTTGGATGAATAGAACAAGGCATATCTGAGAGAGCTATGAAGGAAGTAAAATGTTTTTAAAAATAGCAATATGTTTATGTGTCATAAGAGAGATAAAAAAGATTGAAGAAAAACTTCCTGGACCATTAATAATTCTTGGTATATTGTTAAAATAGTATATTATGTTTAAAGTGTTAAATATCTATAAGTAAATAGTAAAAGAGGAAGTCTATAATCAGAAAATGAAAACTAAACACAAAATTGTATGTGATACTGATTATAGTAATGCTTATTCAAAGATAGGCATAAGAGGAGTCATAGAGATCAATACAACAGTGTGTTTTGGCAAGGGATTTCTTTGTATTTTTTGTCCTTCTTTTACTTTTCAGGCAGTTAATCATGTGCAAAGCATATTCACCAAGGGCAATATTGGAATAAGGCTATGGGATATGTTAAGAAAACATTTAAATATTAATCTAACTTCATTCACCTGTAGATTACTACTGTAGCCTTTTATTTGGAAATAAATAATGAACACTCTTTAAGGGTCTCTTGTTACGTGATCTAAATAATCTCAGTAAGCTTTGCCTATTTGTAAGTTTGTAAAATGTTAAAATAGAAATAAGTTAAAAGAAAGCTACATTCTGTAATCATTTTCTTGTGTCCTTGAGTTTTTATAACATACATTTAATTTAAATTTTTAATTATTTTATAATAGAAATGTTTCTAAGTCCTAGTTTGATGTTTATAGCCTTGTTTCATTAGATTGTGGAATATCCCTCTAGCTAAAATGACATGCATGGTTTGACACTTTATTCCCACATTATACTAAGTCATATTGATCAACTGGATATTCTTCTGGCTGGGGCATTAGCCATTGTTTCCTAATGAGCAGTATAAACAGCCAACGTTCTGTTCACTGTTAAAAATTTCCCAGTCCTTTGATGAAAATATAATACGATTTACTCACTACGCACATCTGGCTAAGAGGTTTGCAGATTTCTTTGGGCCTGAAACTCACTCATTGCTATGTTAGTTTGTGTAATAACTCACTTTTCTCATACAGTTTCTTATGCTGTAAAGTAAGATACATTTAAACAGTTACAGTAAGTTTTAAAGGCTAAATAATTGATAGTGCAGTAATATGTGCATTAAGCACTGTTATTCTGAGAGAACTTACACAATTTAATAGAAAATGAGGACTCCTCATTTAAAAACACATATTTTTTTTCTGAGGTACAAAAATATGAGGGTTGTCTGAATGGCCATGAGAATGGAACCATGCCACTTACAAAAATTTGGGGACTGATTTCAATTCAGCCCTTTATTGTCCAATCTTGTCTTTGTTCTTTTGGCAAAGATTCACATTACTAAAACCTATTAGGGTTATTATTTTCTTTTCATCTACTCTACTATTTTATCTTTGGGGAAAAAAAGGAACCTTGTTACTACATATTTGACCCTCTTAAGAAAAATGGTTAATATGCCATAATTTTGTCTTTAGTGTTTTCTGTGACTTGCACCATATTTAGTTCCCACAGTGCTTGATTATAGCAAATTCAGGATATTTTCACATTCAAAGTAGATGGATAATTCTTAATAATCTCCAAAGTGCTTGCATAGTCACAAACAGTAATGTTCTTTCAATAAGGGTACCATTTCGATAGACTTTTTGACAGAAAAAAACACAACAGGGAAGATAAAAATTTATCAAATTTTGTTTTTTCTTTTAGATATAAATCAATGTTTTAAAACTTCTCCTGCTTTTATAAGAGCTATTAATACACAATGGTTTTTTTCCTAAGCAGGGGTCTTAATTTTGATTGAAAACTTTGAGAATTTTGAATATAATAGGAGAAGCAATTATACATATGGAAAATAAGACTGTATTAGTCCATTTCATGCTGCTGATAAAAACATACCCGAGACTGGGCAATTTACAAAATAAAGAGTTTATTGGACTTACTGTTCCACATGGCTGGGGAGGCCTCGCAATCATGATGGAAAGCAAGGAAAAGCCAGTCACATCTTACGTGGATGGCAGCAGGCAAAGAGAGAGTTTGTCCAGGGAAACTTCCGTTTTTAAAACCACCAGATCTCCTGAGACCCATTCACTATCACGAGAACAACACAGGGAAGACACAACGCCATGATTCAATCATCTCCCACCAGGTCCCTCCAACAACACATGGGAATTATGGGAGCCACAAATGAGATTTGAGTGGGGACACAGAACCAAACAATATCAGAGACCAAAATTCAAGAATTGCTGTTAAAAATGTGTAGTTTTCTAATGCTACATGCAAGAAGGAATGAAGGTGACACAAGCAAAATTTGGATGCCTATTACACCTCAGATTTTTTTTTGAGGTGCTTTGATGCTTTGATATTTTGGAATATTTTATAATATTGACTATGATCCATTGTTTAGGAAACTGAATTATATGTCAAATGTGCTAATACTATAATTTAAAGGGTATCAAATATTTTTCTAAAAAGTAAAAAAAAGTTTTATTCAATTTGTTGCAAATTTAGAATGTCTCAAACTGTGACAGTAGGAGGGGGCTTCAAGATGGCTGATTAGAGGCACCTGGCACTTGCCTCCTCCCGAAAAAAGGAGCAAAACAGCAAATAGATAATCATACACCGAATAGATTATCTAAGAGAGAACACAATAATTCAGCAGGGAAGTGGCAAAGTACCTCTAAGGCACAGAAGGGGGCAGAAGCAAAGCAACCAGCCCAGCTGGAATTGGTCAGAGACAGGAGAAACTACCTAGTGTGGGAAGAATGTAAGTGAGAAGTCACCAGTGTTCCACATTCCTACTGTGCTGCAATCCTAGCCATGGGAGAGCCCCTTGGCTCTCATGGGCCCTGAGACTAGTACTGGGAGCTGTACAGAGTTCACATGATGATATTGGTCCAGAGAGGGAGTCTGCACTAGGTTCCAAACACCAACTGAGACCAAAAACAGCTGCAGCATTGTGATATTTTGAGAGCACAGCCGCCACCGGACTACATCCTGCCCTTGGGCCTAACAGCCTCTGCATCTCCAAATCCCTGGAGACTCACTAACATCCCCTTATGTCCACCTAGAAGGCTGCAACATTATGACAACAGCTGGACCTAGCAGTGCTGCCAGGTCCCCAGCACTGCAATCTATGTAGTGTCCTACATCCCAGGAAATGGTTAATGAAGTGAACTGGGGAGCCTGTCCCTGGGACAAAGGGAACTGAAGCATATTGTCTTCAGAGCCTGAGAGCTACCTTCCTGGGGCCACTGGCACTGACGGCAACCCTCCTAAGGCCTGGGGACTAGTCCACCCAGGTGCCCTTCTAGGCCTAAAGACATGTCTTCCATGCCCACTGCCATTACTGCCACCATGCCACCTAGGGGTCTGGGGATCAATCCACCCACTTGCTACAGTTGGTGCTCACACACACCATCAGGTGGACTATCACCACCTCCAGAAGTGCCTGCATATGTAGTCCAGGGGGTAGGGGATCCACCCACTCTACCCACCACAGCCTGTGTTCATGTGCACCATCAGGGGCCTGAGGACAGGCCTGCCCCACCCACTACCCCTCTCTCCAGGGACTGTGCATAATGTCTGAGAGTCTGGTGACTGACCTGTTCTGGTTGTCATTGTGGACCCGTGCAGGCAAACCCATTCATCACCAGTGGTCAATTGCACCGTACAGGAGTCTGAGGAAACACACACCCCACTTGGCACTGCCCCTACCAGTCTTTGTACATGTCATCTAGTAGCCTGGGAATTTACTCTCCCTGCCTGCTGCTACTAGTTATAACACACCAGTTATGGGACTTCCCTGTGTGATGTTGCCTGCATACATTACCAGGGGCCTGAGTATTGACCCGTGCTGTCTGTTGAGGCCTGCACCCGTGAACCATCAAGGAGCCTGATGAGGCCAGGCACGATGGCTCACACCTGTAATCCCAGCATTTTGGAAGGCCGAAGTGGGTGGATCACCTGAGGTCAGGAGTTCGAGGCCACCCTGGCCAACATGGCGAAACCACATCTCTACTAAAAATACAAAAGTTGGGCGTGGTAGTGGGTGCCTGTAATCCCAGCTCCTTGGGAGGCTGAGGCAATAGTATAGCTTGAACCCAGGAGGCAGAGGTTGCAGTGAGCTGAGATTGCACCACCACACTTCAGCCTGTGTGACAGAGTGAGACTCCATCTCAAAAACAAACAAATAAAAAAAGAGCCTGATGACAGCTCTGCCCTGCTTCTTCCCCCTCTGCTAGTACCCACATTCATCTTCCAGGGACCTAGGGAATGACCAACATCAGCCACCACTGCTAACACTCATGCATGCCTTCCAGGGACTTGCTTGCTTCCAGGGACAAATTTCCATGATGGGCTTGCCCAGCATGCTACAACCAACGCAGCCAGCACCCACCCATATGCACACACCCTGCATGGGGGCCTGGGTACCAGGCTGTACAGCTTGCTGTTATTACCACTGGTGCCCATGCATGTCACCTGGGAGACCAAAGGTTAGCTCACCACTGCTACTGCCATCACTGATATGACATACTCCATCCAGAGGCCTGAGGATCTGTCCACCTACCTGGCTCACTACTGCCAGTGCCAGCATCTGAGCAAGCTGTCTGGAGGCCCAAGGATTAACCTGCCTGGACCTGCTACCACTGGTTTGTTTGTATGATGTCCAGGGGCCCAAGAGCCAACACACTCAGTCCACTGCCACCACCACTGGGACCTGAGGATTGGCCCACCTGGCGTCCCCATCCCCAGCAAAGCCTCATCATAGCCTCCACTAACAACCACACCCTAAGCCACTGAAGAACTCACAGACAACACTAACACTGATTACAGCTGAAGAAATTGTAACACTGCTACACTACACTGTATGCATATGCATACAACACTACCTCATTCACTGAGAAGCAAAGTGAAAGCACCCTACCAAAACAATAATATAGATACATCTATAGGAAAACATCTTACCCTATGAAAGCCAATCCATAGAACTGGAAGAAATGACTGTTAAACCAGATGTGCTGATATCTCAAAAACACAACAAACATAAAAAAGCAAGGAAATATGACACCTTCAGGAGAACAAAATAATTATTCAGCAACAGATTCCAATGGGAAATAAATCTGTGAAATGTTTGAAATGGAATTCAAATTAGTAATATTAAGAATAGTGAAATATAAGAGAACATAGAAAAATATAAAAGAAATGAGAAAAGCCATTCATGATTTGAGTAAGAAATTCACTAGCAAAATGGATATTCTAAAAAAGAACCAAACAGAAATCCTGGAAATGAAAAATTCAATGAGTGAAAAAAATACAATCAAGGGCTTCAATCACAGACTAAATAAGCAGAAGAAAAAATTTTTGAACTTTAAACAAGTGTTTTGAAATAACCTTGTCAGATAAAACCAACCAATCAACAAACAAAAAGCTAAAAAAGAAAGAGTAGAACCTGTGTGACATATGAGACAACATAAGGTGACCAAATATTGAAATTTGGGGTATCAGAGAAGGAAAAGAGATTGGCAAAGGAACAGAAAATCAATCAAACAAAATAATAACTGAAAACGTCTTCAATATTGGAGTAAATACAGAAATCCAGATACAGGAAGCTCACAGAACACCAAATAAATTCACCCCAAAAAGGTCTTCTTTAAGGTATATTATAGTCAAATTGTCAAAAGTCAAAGACAAAGGGAGAATTCTAATAAGAGCAAGAGAAAAGTGTCAGGTCACATGCAAGGGAAGCTCCATCAGACTAACAGCAGATTTCTCAACAGAAAGTATACAGGACAGGAGAGAATGTCGTGATATATTCAAATTGCTGAAAGAAACATAAACTGTGTCAGCCAAGAATACTTTACCCAGCAAAGCTATCCTTCAAATATGAAAAAGAAATAAAGTCTTTCAAAGGTAAGTAAAAAAATGAAGGAAGGCATCACCAATAGATCAGCCCTACAATAAATGTTTAGGGGACTCCTACATCTAGTAATGAATGAAAAAAATGTATCATTATGTAAACATAACCATGAAACACACTGATGGAGAAGACACAGAAATGAGAAAGTGAAAGAACTCAAATGTTACTACTACAGAAAACCACCAATCTCTAATGATATACAAGAGATAAATAAATTAACTAAGAATACGCAAAACAACTAGAAACAATTAACAAAATGACAAGAATAGGTACTCACCCATCAATAATATCTTTCAGTATAAATGGATTAAATTCACCAATTAGAAGATATAGATTGGCTGAAATGATTAAAAAAGAAGACCCAGATATATGCTATAAGAAACTCACTTCACTTGTAAAAGACACAAGTAGACTGAAAATAAAGAAATGGAAAATAATATTCCACGAAATAGAAACCAAAAGTGAGTAAAAGTAGCTAGAGTTGCAGCACATAAAACAGGATTTGAGTCAAAAAGAGTGAGAAGAGACAAATAAATTCATTAAATAATGATAAAGGGATAAATTCAGCAGGAGAATATAACAATTCTAAATGTATGCATCCAACAATGGATTACCCAGATATATAAAACAAATATTATTAGATCAAAAGGGATTTATATACTTTTACACAGTCATATTAGGGACCTCAATGCCCTGCTCTTAGCAATAAACAGGTTAACTAGGCAGAATATCAACAAAATACTTTGGATCTAAACTGAACTTTAGAACAAAATGGACTCAAGAATACTTACAACACATTTTATGCAGCAGCTGCAGAAAACACATTCTTGGATACATGGGACATTCTCCAAAATTACCCTACAAAACAAGTTTTGACACATTTTTTTAAAAGTCAAAATTACATCAAGTGTCTTCTTGAATGACAATGGAATAAACCTTGAAATCAGTAACAAACTTTGAAAACTGTATGAATATATGAAAATTAAATAACATGCTCCTGAATGACTACTGTGTCAATGCTGACATTAAGAAAATAAAAAGGTTTCTAAAAACAAATAAAAATGAAAACATAATGTATCAAAACATATGATATACAACAAAAGCAGTAGTAACAGGGAAGTTTGTAGCAATAAAGGCGTATGTCAAAAAAGCAGTAACATTTCAAGTAAACTACATAATGAAGCACTTCTGGGAACTAGAAATGCAAAGAAAAAGAGAACCCCAAATTAGCAGAAGTAAAGAAGTAATAAATAGCAGAGCAGAACTAAATGAAATAAAGAGTGTAAAAACAATACAAAGTATCAATGAAATGAAAAATTCTTTTTTTGAAAAGATAAACAAAATTGATAAACTGCTAAATTGACTAAGAAAAAAGACTCAAATAAATGAAATTAAAATGAAAAAAGGTTCATCAAAATGACAGTGGATCATCAGAGACTATTATGAAAAATTATGTACTAACAAACTGGAAAACATAAAGGAAATGGATAAATTCCTGTACACGTACAACCTACCATTATCATTCATTATCTCTTCAGGTTTTTTATTTCTTTCTAAGCCAGAAAGAAATATAATTTGAATATTTAGAAAAAGTACCTTTGAGGAATCAGTTTTAATATCTCCTTTTTTATTTTGATTTCATTTGAGTCTTCTTTTTTTCTTAATCAGTCAATTTGGCAGTTTATTAATTATCTTTCTAAACAAGAAAGAAATAGAAAAATAGAAGAGACCAAAAATGATAATGGGAATGAGTAATGATATTGAGTGAATAATAAAAATTTTCCCAACAGAGAAAAAGCCCAGATGTCTTTACCGCTGAATACTACCAAGATTTAAAATATGATTAACATAATTTGTCTCAAACTTTCTCAAAAAATTAAGGAGAAGGTAATACTTCCAAATTCATGCTACAAGACTGCATTACTCTGATGCCAAAACCAGACAAGGACACAGCAACAACAACAAAAATCTACAGACCAATATCCCTGACGAACATAGATGCAAAAATCCTCAACAAAATACTAGCAAATTTTAATCCAAGAACACATCAAAAATATACTACATTATGATCCCATAAGATTTATCACAGGAACTAAAATATAGTTTGACATAGTGCAAGTCAATAAATGAGATATATCAACAAAAGGAAGAACAAAAACCATATAATTATCTCAATAGATGCAAAACCCACTTAATAAAATTAAACAACTCTTCATGATAAAACTCTCAACAAATTAGGCATAGAACAAACATATCTCAGCATTATAAGGACCATATATGACAAACACACAGCTAACATTATACTGAATGAGAAAAAACTAAAAAGTGAAACATGACTAAGATGCCAACTTTTACCATTCATATTCAACATAGTAGTAGAAGTCCTAGCCAGAGCCATCAGGCAAGAGAAAAAAATGAAAAATATCATATTGGAAGAGAGAAAGTAAAATTATCCTTCTTGCAAGTGACATCATATTTGAGAAAAACGTAGACTACACCACAAAAAAATCTTGAAACTTAAAAGTAAAATTGCAGGATACAAAATCAATATACAAAATAATCTAATGCTTCTATACCAATAACAAACTAGCTGAGAGAGAAATCAAGAAAGCAATGTCATTTACAATAACTGCAAAACATATAAAATACCTAGTAACAAATTTAGTCAAGGAGGTGAAAGCCCTCTTCAAGGAAATCTACAAAACCCTGATGAAAGAAATTAAAGGACACAAATAAATAGAAAGATATTTCTTGCTTATGGACTGAAATAATTAATATCATTAAAATGACCATACAACCCAAAGCAATCTATAGATTCAATGCAACTCTATCAAAATTTCAATGACATTCATCACAGAAATAAATAAATAACTATCCTGAAACTCCTATGAACCCCCCAAAAAACCCAGGTAGCCAAAGTAACACTCAGGAAAAAGAACAAAGTTGGAGCATGACAAAACCAAACTTCAAAATGTACTATAAAGATATAGTAACCAAAACAGCATGGTATTGTAATAAAAACAAACACAAAAACTAGTGCAGTGTTCCACTGGTTTACAGATAACCCAGAAATAAATCCATGTATTTAAACCCAATTGATTTTCAACAAATGTGCATAGAGCTTAAATTTGGAATAGGACACCCTGTTTAAGAAATAGTACTGGGAAACCTGGATATCCACATGCAGAGGGATGAAAACAGTTCCCTACCTCTCACTGGATACAAAAATCAACTAAAAATGGATTAAACACTGAAATGTAAAATCCAGAACTATAAAATTACAAGACGATGTCATAGGGTAAATACCTCAAAACATTAGGCTAGAGATTTATGGCTAAGGCCTCAAAATCACAGGCAACAGAAACAGAAATAGACAAACGAGGCCATTTTAAAATGTATAAAAAGTTTCTTCACAGCAAAGGAAAGAACAGAGTCATGATAAAACTTGTAGGATGGGAGAAAACATTTACAAACTATTCATCTGACAAGGGACTAAAGTTCAGAATATAGAAGGAAGTTAAACAACTCAACAAAAACAAAATAATAATTTTAAAGTGAGCAAATAATATGAGTAGACATTTCTCAAAAGAAGGCATACAAATGGCCAATAAGTATATGGAAAAAAAGTTCAATATCAGTAACAGGGAAATGCAAGTCAAAACCACAAATAGATGTAATTTTACCCCAGTTAAAATGTCTATTATCAAAAAGACAAAAATAAATGCTGGCAATGATATAGAAAAAGGATAGCTCTTGTATACGGTTGGTAGGAATGTAAATTAGTAGAGCCTTTATGGAAAACGGTATGTACGTTTCTCTAAAAACTAAAAATATAATTATCATATGATCCAGCAATCTCACTACTGTATGTTTATCGAAAGGAAATCAAATCAGTGTATTCACAATAGCTAAGGTATGGAATCAACTAAGAGTCTGTCTATGCATGAATGGATAACTAAAATGTGGTAGATATACACAATGGAATATTACTCAGACATAATAAAGAATGAAATTTTACCATTTGCAGCAACATGGATGGAACTAGAAGTCATTATGTTAAGTGAAATAAGCCAAGCACAGAAAGAAAATATAGTATGTTCTCACTCATATGTGAAAGATAGAAAAATTGATCCCAAGGAGGTAGAGAATAGAATGATACTTAACAGAGGCTGAGACTGCTGAGGGTAGGAAGGTGAAGTGAGGTTTGTCAATGGCTACACACATACAGTTAGATAGAAGGAATAATTTCTAGTGTTCAATAGCACAGTAGAGGCACTATAGTTATCAACAATATATTGTATGTTTCAAAATAGTAAGTGGAGAAGGTTTGAAATCTTCCCAACACTAAGAAGTAATAAATGTTTGAAGTGATGGAATCCTAAATACTGTGATTGGATTATTACACATGGTATTCATGTTTCAAAATATCACATGCACCTCATAAATAAATTTTTATGCATCAATAAAAATTGTTTTAAAAAATGTCTTTAACTGGCAGTTTTTATAAATGTAATATTGTCTATTAGGAGGGCCTTTGAGTTCTTCAAAGATGTTCACTTTATTACAATTTGTAATCAAACTATCTATTAATATAAAACATTTACCTTGAAATGTATTGCTATTTTATTTTCTTTCCAGATTTTCTTCTTTGATAAGAAATTTGATTGAAACATTTCAATAAAGTGTCATATTTTCATATCATATCAGTGGTGTGAGTGCATGGTTGTGGGTATAGGACTAATGTTGGACAGGGCTAGACTAAGACGGTATTTATTGGTGATAGATTGTATAGGAAAACATGATTCATGTAATACAGTAGGAAAGAAAAATAAAATGTCAAAATAGTGACTAACATATATCAGTTGGGTTATTGAACGGGGTTTGGGAAAATCTAACAAAGTTTCATTTTGTGCCTTATAAATTGGAGGCAATGACACTCTATCAGCATAGGAATAGTCTATCCAGTGAAAACACTGATTGAATAGGCATTTAGACTAGAACATGAATGCAGATGTGGAATTACAGATTCATTTTTAAAAATTGAGTGAAAGAGAATACAAATAAATATTTAAAGAATTAGAATTATTGGAATGTCTTAGGAAAACCATGCACATTTAAAAAGAAAGAGCATAAAGAATCAGGCTTTGAAAAAAAAAACCCTTCAGATTATTAGGGAAGAAAAACAGAAACAGTGATATGGAAGTCATTGGATAAATAGGAAAATAACTTAAATCATGTATTACTAGAAGTGAAATAGAATTCAGATATTTTGTTTAGTAATGCCTCTCTATTTTCTTTCTTTTTTTTAATCTTGCGGGTTATTTTTTAAATAAGGCTATAAAGAAACGAATAGAGAGTTTGTCCTTTATTCTTCCCTTCCTCCCTCCCTCTCCCCTCCTCTCCCTTCCTCTCTCTCTCTCTGATGGTATCATCTTCTTTCCATTTGTGCCGTGTTTCTTACAACTTCACAGTGTAAGCCTGCACTTTAACTGTGGTGAATGCTATCTCATGGTGCTTTTTATTTGCATTTCCCTTGTGATTAGTGATGTTGAGCATTTTTTCATATACCAGTTTGCCATTTATATGTCTTCTTTTGAGGAATGTCTATTTAGATTCTTTGCTCACTTTTTAATGGGATTATTAGTTTTTTTGCTGTTGAGTTGTTTGAGTTTCTTATCTATTCTGATTATTAATCATCTTTTGAATGGATAGTCTGCAAATATTTTCTCTCTTTCAACAGGTTACCTTTTTACTTTTGATTTTTTCCTTTGCTGTACAGAAGGTTTTTTCCTTGATATAATACTGTTTGTCTATTTTTATATTGGTTGCCTGTGCATTTGGAGTTTTACCCAATCAAATTTTTGCCCAGACCAATGTCCTAAAGCATTTCCCCAATGTTTTCTTTGAGTAGTTTTATAAGTTTGGTCTTACATTTAAGTCCTAAATCTATTTTAAGTCAATTTCTGTATCTGATGAGAGATAGAGATCTACATTTATTATTCTGCATACAGCTATCCAGTTTTCCCAGCACCACTTGTTGAAGAGGGTGCCCTCTTCAACACCCTAAGCAGACAAGCTTAGCCAATCACCTTATTGTCTCTTACAGCACTACTTCACATCAAGATTCCTACATTTGAATCTCTGGTCCTGGCCAGACCTTTTGTTTTCAGCTATCTAAATGCTTTTAATTAATTCATTGCCATCTATCTCATGCACCATTCCTAATGTTTCTATACCTCACTGACCTTATTATGTTTTCAAACTCTAATAACATTGTATTTATTTTTTAAATTTGGGAATTGCATAGAAACTTTCTTGTGTGCTTTCATATATATATATAAATATGTATGTATATATGTATACACATATATAGAAATATAGAAATATGTATGCACATGTATGTGTGTATATAGATATAGAGTTGATCTTCATCTATGTATATGCATACTTGGGTGCACATGGACATGTAGATGAAAGTAATAATCACTGCAGACTCCAAAATGGGGGTGGTTGAGTGGGGTGCAGGTTGAAAAATTACTTACTAGATACAATGTCCAATATTTGGGTGATGGTGTACTAGAAACCCAATCCCCACCATTACGTATGTAATACCCATGTACCAAACAAGTACATGTACCCCCCAATGTAAAATAAAAGTTAAAGAAGAAGTGTCATTTCTATATTTACCAAATGTATGTCTTAAATCAATGGATTAAAATTATTTTTACTTGTCCAAATTTACTCGATCAATATACACAAGGCATTAATTTTTTTTAATTTATGTCAATTGAGTCAATTAATTCACTGGGTAACAATGACTTGGTTACCATTCACAACCTTCCATTCAAATGGCTTCTTGGCCACCACTGAAAGGGAGAAAGACTGAGACTCAAATTAAGAAAGAATTCATATTCTGATAAAGCTTTTCCTATTTTACATGATATTTTGATGCACTTTAAAAGAGTGAATCTCAAGCCTATTCTAAAGTGGTTAATTTTAAAGATGGATATCTGAAGCCAGCTCTAAAATAGAATTATGGCAATGAAATAATAAGGCAATTATACATTGGCTGTATGCATATGTCTACATGTTCTTCACAAAATTGTTTCTTCTAAAAAAAGTAGGCACTTAATGAAATTCTTAGCTCAATCCACAATAACTTCATTGACAGAGTGGAGCTGTTAGAAAGACATAAGCATAGCCATTATAAGAAGCTGATGATTAATAACAACTTCTGTTGAATACATAGTAGCTATTTATTGTGGTGCTAGCAGATGATTATATACTAAGCATATTGTAGAATGCTTCAGTATAAATTAGATGAATGGTTTTCTTGTTAAGAATTTTAAAGGGCAAATAACGTTGACTATATTTATATAGCTAGAGGCCAATAAAACAGATTTTTTTGTTATTCAAACCCAAAGCTGACAAGATATTTTAAATGCACTGTATTTTTAGATGAACATGAAAATTTGGGGTCGAATCTCCTTTCATTAAGGCACCATAGACTTAACTTTTATGGCATGATATATTTCTGTCATAAACAATAGAACTCACAAAATCTCTATATACATATTTAATAGGTCAAGCATGTGCTATACAAACCTACAAAATACCTTTCCATTTTCATTTTTTTAAGTGATAGTCTTTTCTTATCCTCCAAGGAAATGTTCCTTAATATAAACTTACAATACACCAGCCTGGCCAATGTGGTGAAACCTCGTCTCTACTGAAAATACACAAATTATCCAGGCGTGGTGGTGCACGCTTGTAATCCCAGCTACTTTGGAAGCTGAGGCACGAGAATCATTTGAACACCAGAGGCAGAGGTTGCAGTGAGCCAAGATTGCACTACTGCCCTCTAGCCTGGGTGACAGAGTGAGACTCTGTCCCCAAAATAAGACAAACAAACAAACAAAAAAAACTTACAACATAAATGGAGCGATACATGCAACCACAAGCATTGATGTTTCCTTATAGGCAAAATAACAGCAATGTTTTTCATTTGTTTTGACAACTAAAGGCAAATGCTTTACAGACACTTTCTTTGTAAAGAGAAAAATAAAAACGTTGAAAGATTTGATTAAAATGTATTAACTCAACCTAATAACAAATTATTGTTAACATTTATATGCCCTGCATTCTCTTTTGATTATAAAATCCTTACCATTTTGAAGGAATTCAATGTGCTTTAAAATTCTCTTAAGGAAATCTTATTAGTAAAACTCCACAGGAAAAGTACACATGAATCCACAGAGTGAGCCCTATGAAAAACTATGACATACATTAAAAAAAAAAAATAAATTTGTTTTTAAATCAGCCTTTGCTACCTTCCTATTTACCAATTGGTTCTCCCATTTATTGTCCCAGTTTTCACAGATAGAGCACAATTTTTAAGATCAATTCCCTGTTGTTAGGAAGGCCTGACATCCTGGCAGCCCTATTTGTAGCACTTCCACTGAGAGTTGGTCTATCCTGAAGCACTTCAGGCTGTAAACCAATCCCTTCACATGAAGTCACTGAATCTGGTTCTAGGTTGTGTAGATTGTCCCTTGAATCAGGCAGTCAGCAAAGAGGTCAATTATGGGCAGAAATCCATCCAACCTTCCAGTGCCAAGCCAGTGGTGCCCTGTTTTCATCCTCCTTCTGTTTCCTACCTCTTTTTTTCTAAGTAATGTCTCTCATACTTTTCTGAAATTTAATTTCTATAAAGTAACCATGTTTTGTGATCACTTAACAAGCTACATCTCCTGCTGAAAGCAGCAGCATTTTAATAGATAACTTCTGAAAACTTCCTTTAATATTCCAGAGAATCAAACCTACAAATAGTAAAATTTAAATAAAATTTTACTTAAAATTTTAAGTAAACTACCATGGCCATTTTTATATAGCTGTGGATACTGTAGAGTTACTGGTTATTGGTTACTGTTTTATTTTAAACATACATAGACATAGACTGAACATATATTATTTCATTTATTATGAAAGAAAATTACTAAACTAACTCTTTATTTTAGCTTTAAGATAAAAGAAATAAAGGCCAGGTGCTGTGGCTCAAGCCTGTAATCCCAGCACTTTGGGAGGCTGAGGCAGGCGGATCATTGAGGTCAGGAGTTCCAGACCAGCCTGGCCAACATGGTGAAACCCCCTCTGCACTAAAAACACAAATATTAGAAGGGCGTGGTGGTGCGTGCCTGTAATCCTAGCTACTCGGAAGGCTGAGGCAGGAGAATCGCTTGAACCCAGGGGGGCGGAAGTTGCAATGAGCTGAGATCATGCCACTGCACTCCAGGCTGGGTGACAGAGTGAAACTCTGTCTAAAAAAAAAAAAAAAAATATGGTGGGGGGGAAATAAAATCATGAAAAATTAAAATAATCTGAGATGTTTAAATTCTAAATTCTTCCTGGGAAAAAGAATGTATCTGTGTTAATAAAGCATGACCATCCTAACTGCTTTCATGCTAGTTATTTTTTTCTGTTTCCTTAAACTAATAGCCAATGTGTCCAAACATAGAGAGGAGAAACAATTCCTAAGTAAGGGGTCAAATTCCAGTAATATGTAGAAATGATACAGAAATTTTATTATGTTTACAAACCAAACAGAAAATTCATCTACTGCTTAATATTATTCTTACCAAATTGGATGGAACCTAATTGTTGTAACAGTAGGTAGGCTGCGTACTTCTTTTCATTCTCACTAATGAACAATATTTAAATTGCTGAAATAGCTCCTGTCATTTTCCTGTTTATTTCTAACCTACTTTTCCTCTTATTACCATTAGAACACATATTGTTTAATTGAGTCTACTTTACTACTTGGTTCACCTTTGCCTTATGAGTTCCTTAGAAGGAGAAAACACTCTGTATTTTTGAACAGATGCTTCATTATGGGAGGTGAGTAGCTCAGTTACATTGCCATTTCACCTTTTTCCCCATGTCTGGCAGTTGTTGTATAGGCTGTTAATCAGCTTTAATAGCAGATGAGACCAGCCTCTTGCTCTAAAGGGCATGAAAACTTTTTTATTTGTCTCACTCTCTTCATGGTTCGTTAAGTACAATGTAGAGTCATTTTACTGCAGCTAGTGGACTCCAAAAGGACCTGACAGTTAAATGAAAGTTGTCAGTCTTCCTTCTCTTTTAGCTAGATTGGGTAATAAAAGGGCAGAACCTGGAAGCGAAAACCAAAAGTGAGATCATGTGCCAAACAAATAAAATAAATGTAATGAGTTCTTGCAAAATGAAGGAGAAGAACGCAGGAGTATTTAACTGTCTAGACAAATAGAGGCCAGTGGTAATAAATCTATAATGAATGGCTTTAATAAATACAACTGTGTTTTGCATAATAGATAAGTGGAATGCTTGTGGTCTACAATTTACCAAGAAGAATTCTTATAAGGTGCAATGGAAAAATAGCATTTAAGTAAAGAAATTGCTGAGAAATTGTTAACAATTGTAGTTTATTCTACATGAGAAATTTAAGGAATTAGAAATTGTTGATATTTATCTATTCTTACTCAAAAGAAGACGTGTACTTCCACTTAATTAACTTTTCACTTTTAAAGTAAAGTTCCAATGATTAGTCATTGTTGTGCCCACAAATGAAGAAATTCAGCTTCAATTAGGAAGCATTTTCTTGCTTCTTTTAGTGTTTCTGAATAAAACATCAGAATTTGTTTTAAAAAATTACTGTGCAAACTATTCACAATAGCAAAGACTTGGAACCAACCCAAATGTCCAACAATGATAGACTGGATTAAGAAAATGTGGCACATATACACCATGGAATACTATGCAGCCATAAAAAATTATGAGTTCATGTCCTTTGTAGGGACATGGATGAAGCTGGAAACCATCATTCTCAGCAAACTATCCCAAGGACAAAAAAACAAACACCGCATGTTCTCACTCATAGGTGGGAATTGAACAATGAGAACACATGGACACAGGAAGGGGAACATCACACAACGGGGCCTGTTGTGGGGTGCGGGGAGCGGCGAGGAATAGCATTAGGAGATATACCTAATGTTAAATGACGAGTTGATGGGTGCAGCACACCAACATGGCACATGTATACATATGTAACTAAACCTGCACATTGTGCACATGTACCCTAAAATTTAAAGTATAATAAAAAAAATTACTGTGCAAAAATTTTATAAAGAATGTATAAATGTCCATATATGATTCTTGTTCCTATATTCTAAAATTTAGGATAGATTTTACCCTACAGTTAAGAAAAGTCCTCTGAAGCCTCCCACACCAAATTATAATTAATTACACAACTTGACCTTTGTTTTTTGAGAAGGATCCAGATTTTATAATTTACTTTGTAAGCTTTGAAGCTTGAAGTGGTTACTATCTAATATTTGCATTGCTGGAGGAAGAAAGGGGATAAGACAGAATTTACATTAATGCTTCTACTATTTTTGGGGGGGAAAACAAAGCAGAAGAAAACTGAAACAAAGTGATTAGAGGGTTAGAAGACAAAGAAGGTAAAGGTAGTAAGTGATAAGAAAGAAGTTTTGAATAAGATTTGTCAATATTTTTAGTTTTCAAGGTGGTCAAAATGATAAGGAGTTCTGAAAGGACATTTGATTATTAATGCCTTAAGATATACCTATAACCCACAAGAAAAGTCATAAAAACTAACAAAAGAGATCATATAACCTGTATATTTTTTGGAATTCACAAAATGATCGTTAAAAATACCAGTTTAGGAGCATCTGTCAGCATATAAAGAATTAATAGATGCCAAGAAAGAGTAATTAGTCAATATGTCTAAGTGGTCTAAGATTTTCAGTGAATGGTAACAAAGTGTGCATAGCAATAGAAAAAAAATAAGTGAATGAAACAAAGCATAAAAGGTTTGAGGTCACCATGTAAATGTCACATTCAAATTTGTTAAATAGTCAGATAACTGGGAAGACAAATGTTACGAGTTATTTGAAAATAAATCAGAGACTTTTTCTATAGGTAAAAATAAATTATATACTCTGTACTGAAGGAGTATATCTCCCCACTTTTCATCTTCTGTAGCTGAAATGCTGTGTTAATAAGAAAAGCTACAAAATGACCTGGGTATTGGTAGGGTTAAAGGATAAAAAAAACACATTATATACCTTCCAGGGAAGGAACTCATTGAAATGGGTAATTGTTATTCATATTTAAAAAGAAAAGAACATATATTTTGGGCTATATGTACTTAAGCAGTTAAAGAAAACATAAATTATTAAAACATTAAAAATGCCATTAAATTGATAAGAAGTGTTAATTTGAGCTAGTTCAACCTTATAAATCACTTCCTGAAAAACATCTACAGTAAGAGCTGCATCATAAGACTAAATTATACAGAGTCAGATGAAGCATAAAGGAAGATGTATGATTTGTCACGTAGATGTTAAGTGCCTATAAGAAAGCATGATGGTTTAAAAAATTTATCCCAAAGAAAATTGTTCATGGAATATCATAAGGTGGTTTGAGCTATTAACTTCTATAAAGGCTTTACAGTTGTATCTATATTTTGTACTGACTTTAAATTTTATGTCCTCAACCCACCCTAGTACAGACTGTATATATATATGTATATATAAAATACAAAATATCTTCTGTAAAAATAAAAATTCTGTGTATACTTGCCTTCCTGGAGTTATGTCAAGAAATTTTTTAATATGTTATTTCTTAGATAAGTTTTTAAGTTTACAGAAAAATGCCAAAAATTTTTAAGGAGCAGATTTGCAACTTATAAACAGTCAGTAATATGTAATCACAGCTGGGTTGTTTTTGTGTTTGTGTGGGAAAGAAATAAACAGATACATAAATCTAACTCATGCAATTTCTAAAGTGAATCAAAATAATTTTACAAGTGATATCAAGGGAAGGAATACAATTTTGTGATTAAAGTATAGTATTTTAAATAAATTTCAATCTGTTATGAGATTTTTAAATTATAATTTTATTAAGACTTACT
Organism: Homo sapiens; assembly: GCF_000001405.40. Taxonomy (NCBI): domain Eukaryota; kingdom Metazoa; phylum Chordata; class Mammalia; order Primates; family Hominidae; genus Homo; species Homo sapiens. Next base: position 72,465,378 of record NC_000001.11, read on the forward strand.
CAAGTTTCAAGAAAAACTTAGCCAGGTGCAATTTCCCTTTCAATATTTTGCTCTCACCTGTAAAACTTGAGTGGTTGCGTTTTGGGAAGGTCTGGAGCAAAAGAGAATGGGAAAGGGTCTTCTCCGACCAACTCCAAACATTATTACTGCCTAGGAGAAGAAAAAATAAATCAAAGAGAACTAGCATTTTTTGAATCTCTTTATGTTTACATTATTCTTCAAGATCAAAAAATCACTAAAAATCTGATGATAACCCCCAACTCCTCATTAAAGTTGTGTTTGTTAAAATCATTATGATTCTACTTACTGCTAAAACCTGGGGGCACTACATAGTGTTTGTTATATTCAGAGTATCAAAATGATTTAAGTTTTAATCTCCCCCTTTTATGCTATTTATTTATAAATGTTGTTTATTCCTCCTAAAACTCTTGATTCCTCTGTTTTCATAGCACTACATGCTCCTGTTATCCTTTCCTAAATACCAGACTTTACGTGTTTTGCAGACTTTCCCCTCTTCCCACCTCACAAAATATACTAAATCCCAACCATTATTTATATTCAGAATGAATATATTTCAACAGAGACTAGTTTACAGTCCCAGTCATCTAAACCTGTTCCCAGCTTCACATGACCCATGGAAACTAAAACTGAACTCTGAATTTTCTTCCTCAATACTTTGCACTGCCCTATCTTTCCTTCTCAGAAAATGGGACCATCAATCATCCAGTAGTTTCTGTGAATCTTGGCAATAATCCCTTCACCCTTTCTATTTTTCCCATTTTCAGTTTGCCTATAGGCCTTACACTGTAGCATACACTCCCTTAATATATATCAAATCAATGAATTTACTTCCTTCTGTTTCCCCTTATTCCAAATGGTCATCCTGTCTAATCTTTATTATTGCAATACCTTTTCAACTGGTCTCTACTTCCACTCTGGCCTCCAATCCACTCTCCATGTATTAGTAAGAATGAGATTCATTAACAAATGAAATCACATCATGTTACTCCTAAAAGTGAAAAGAAAATAAGTAAGAGACATAGGGAGAATAAATGGAAAAATCAGTACATCGTATATTTGCTTTTATTTCTGCTTGCACACTTGCCAATATTTCCCCCCAACCTACTCTCCTTCCTTCAAAATCTTGCTATACACAGGAAATAACAATCAATATATGCTAACATTTTGGCTTTTTTCCTGAAGCTTTGAGGCACTTTGTCTTTGAAGCAATTCCAATTTATGTTCCAAATGTTTTGCTAAAAAATAAAAGAGATATTCAGTGTCCCAATCAGCTATATCTGTTTTCTCATTGTCTTCCACTGGACCACTAAACCAATGCCACAAACATTATATTTGTGTTATGGCAATAACTAAGTTCAAAATTCAATTTTTATATTAGTAGGTATAACACTAATGTTTGTAACAAATAAACTAAAAACAGATAATGACTGAAATCATATAAAAGTTTATTTCTCAATAACATAAAAGTCAAAGGAGGGATTTTCCTAGTATGTGAGGATTTCATCTACCAGCTGCTTCAGGGACTCAGATCTTTCTTTCATTTTTTTGAGGATTGTTCATCTTCTGAGAAGTTATAATCTGAACCAGATAGCACAACAAGAAAGATATATAGCATCAAATCTAATTACCAGCCTTGGGCTAGAAAAGTTACACATGATTTCAACTCACACTCCACTGGAGGAAACTCAGCCCCATGATCCCAACTACTACAAGGTTGTCTTGAATTTGTGCAGTTACTCAGTGCCAAATGAATGGAGGGGTTAAGAAAGAATAAGTAAAGGTGTTTTTGTTTTTGTTTTTGTTTTAGATGGGGTCTAGTTCTGTAGCCCAGGCTGGAGTGCAGTGGTGCAATCTTGGCTCACTGCAACCTCCGCCTCCTAGGTTCAAGCAATTCTCCTGCTTCAGCCTCCTGCGTAGCTCGGATTACAGGTGTGCGCCACCACACCTGGCTAATTTTTTTTAACTTTTAGTAGAGATGGGGTTTCACCATGTTGGCCAGGCTGGTCTCGAACTCCTGGGCTCAAGTGATCCCTCTGCCTCAAATAAGTAAAGTTTTTGTCTGAAAAGGCTAGTAATCACTTAAACAAGAAAGGTATAATGTAATTTCTAAAAGTTAAAAATGCAGTTTTATAATTTACATTCTAATATAGGGAAGACATCCTCCCAGGGGGATAAATGTAACAACAAAAAACATCAAGAAAGAAGAGAAAGTAAAACATGAGAAGATGGGAAAAATATGAAGCATGAAAAGATATACTAAATCTGAATATATCAGTTGTTACAGTAAATCTAATTGTGCAAAATTTTCCAATTAAAAGACAAGTTTATATGACTGGATTTAAACATAAATACACAACACATACACACACACACACACACACACACACACACACACACATCCCAATCAAATTATAAGCTGTTAGGAGCAATCACACTTAAAACCTAAAGATACAGAAAAGTTGAAAACAAAACAAGATAAAAGTAATATGAAACTGAAATAGCAAAAAAGAGCTGTCGTATCTATTTTAATACTAAAAAAAGAATATTATAGTGAAAGCATATTTACAAATAGGAAATTTGAGGGATAAAATGCATAATTCTATGCTTTTTAATCTAAATTTATAACCATAAAAAAATTTAAAACTATAAATATGTAATATTTTAATAGTATTATACAGGCTTGAATTGAAGGATATATTTGAAATAATGTACTCCACAAGTGAAGAATTCCCATTAGTTAAAGTCCATATAGATCATTTAAAAAGGATTATATATTGGAACAAAAGATAATCTCAAATAATTTCAAAGGATTTAAATTATACATATTCTCGGATATTATTACATTTTTGATATATAAATATTAAAACATAACTAAAATATTTTCATGTATTTGGGAATTTTTATTTTGAGATGAAATTCTCAATAACTCATGGAGCATTAAAGCAATCATAAAGAGAATTAGAAAATACTGTATACTTAGTTATAATAAAGATATGTGAATACATTTTTAAACTGTATTCAAGAGAATTTTTAGCCTTGAATGAAATTATTAAAAAATAAGCCTGAAAACTTAATGAGATAAGCATTAATTTTCTAAAGTAATAATAAAAGAAGAAAAAGCAACATGATCCTCCAAAAATAATGTAATAAAGTAATAACATTATTCATAAAATAATAAGTTTAAGAGGGAAACTTATCAAATACAAAAATATGTAGTAAAGTGATTCAGCAGCAAATAGTTAGATTTGAAAAGATAAAGAGTTGATAAACTTATGGCAAGACCAATAATAATAAAGGGAAAATGAACAAATAATCAATATTTGAAGTTACAAAGGTAAATACTCCACAAATAATACAAAATAAAAAGAAAACTATGTATAAATTTATGCCAATAAATTAGAAACACCTTTCTAATTTTATTTAAATTGATATTTTAATTGAAATAAATGTTATTGCAATAAGTCTACCAAAATTGACACAAGAAGAAATGTAAAATACAAATAATCCAATTACTATCAACTAGGAATAAGGATTAGAATATAAAAAAATTTATTAGTCTAATAAAAGGTGACTATAGAAAGCCTACAACAACAAACATCTCAGTGTGGAAATACAGAATACCTTTTCTTTAAAATAGAGAACAGTACAAATTTATCCTTTTACCTATCTCATAAAATAATGTAAGAGAATGTTAAAAGGATTAGAAATGAAGAAACTAAATTGTCATTATGTGCAGATAATACGATTGTGAACATACAAAATTAATATACAGGGTCCAGGCATGGTGGTGGCTCACGCCTGTAATTCCAGCCCTTTGGGAGGCAGAGATGGGAGGATTGCTTGAACCCAAGAGTTTGAGACCAGCTCTGGCAACCTAGCAAGACCCCATCTCTACAAAAAAATTGAGAAAAACAAATTAACTGGGCATGGTGGCAGTCACCTGTAATCCCAGCTACTTGGGAGGCTGAGGCAGTAGGATCTCTTGAGGGTAGGTGTTGGAGGCTGTAGTGAGCAATGATTGTGCCACTGAACTCCAGTCTGGGCAACAGAGAGAATCACTGTCTTGAAAAAAAAATGGAAAAGAAAATAAAAGAAAGGAGGGAGGGAGGAAGGAAGGAAGGAAGGAAGGAAGGAAGGAAGGAAGGAAGGAAGGGAAGAAGGAAGGAAGGAGAAAACAGGAAGGAAAAGAGTATTCGTGTACAAATTATTACAATTAATGAGATAATTGAGAGAGCCTGGAACAATATTGGAAACTAATATAAAAATCACTTGCATTTCTTTACACAAGTAACAATCAAAATAAATATCTTCAAAAAGTAATTCATAATAGCTGTTGAATATTAGATACTTAGAAATAAATCTAATAAAATCTGTCCAAGATATTTTTGTGAAAACAATCAAACTATAAATCTTAATCATTTGCATGCCTGCTTCAAGTGATTCAATAGGTTTACATTGCCCTCAAGCATGATACCAATTCCAGTTGCCCCTTAATGTGTCTGTCATACCCATCTATCCTGCTTCTCATTGAATTATTTCTCTTAATCACTTTACTCCAGTGACATTAATAACTTTTAATTCTTTATTATGCCCGGTACATTCCTTCATTTGAACCTTCACACTTACAGCATTTACTCTGCCTAAAATGCTGTCCCTTTCCATGGATGCCACATTTACTGTTTTAGGTATCAGTTAAAATGTCATTTAATTAAGAATTCTTTCCTGATTCCCCTTTCTAAAACAGGTAACCTCCCATTATGTTTGTTCTATCCTGTACCTGTTTATTTTTCTGCATAGTATATATCAGAGCTCACAATGCTTATTTATTTATTTATTTATGGCTACATCTCTATGACAACATAATTTTCATGAAAGGACGCTCAATGTTTTATTCATTGCTATCTACCCAATCCTTAGAATGGTTCCTGAAGCCTAGTAAGTATTCAGTAAATATGTGTTGAAAAAATATATATGAGAATAAAGAATTATATACCCTGGGTTTATGAGAGCTTTGTAAACAACAATGGGAATACAGTATTTTTTTTTCTATTTGGACATTGTTTCTTCTATAGATACTTGCCTTAGAAATGCAGGATTTACTAATCCCTGGATCTTTTGGGCAATGTCATCAAATTCCTAAAACAAACGAACAAACACACCTAAACTTATCCCTAATTCGAACCAGATACCTACACTTAGATTTGTTTATTTTTTCAGAGTATTTCAAGTCATCTTACTTGTCTTCATGAAAACAACATATATGCAAATCCACTTTCTAAAACTGCAGCCAGATAAACTTTTTAAATGACTGGTTTGGATATGTTACTTCTATGCAAGCAAATTCCTCCCTCTGATTCCATTTGCATTACTTGTGGTATAGTAAATTCAATCCTCTGGACCGTGGCTTACATTGCCCTGCATGGTATAGTTCTTGCTCAACTGTCCAGCCTTACCTCTCTGCACTCTTCTGCACAAACCTCCCAACACCGTCAACTGTTTGAATGTCTGAAAACCACAGTGTTCTTTGTGATTATCATGCTTTTGCAAATGTTATCCCCATTGCTGGAACATTTCTCTCCTTCTACACTTCTTACCTACCTAATTTCCACTCATTTTCCAGATTTCTCCTTACAGATCTTTTCCTTCAGAAAGCCTTCCCTGAATCCCCAAAACCTGATTAGGACACCCATCTATTAATTGTCTTTTCATAGCACTTGCCGTATTTTAGTTGTCTTTTACTTGTCTACGTCCACCACTATGTTATAGCCATTGGATCTTACTGTGATATTCTCAGAGTTTAGCTTAGAGCTTGACTTACATAGTAGACAATACATTTTTCCAGAAGGGGGAAAGAAGGGAGGAAGAAAGGAAGGGAGGGAGGGAAGGAGGAGGAAAGGAAGGAAAAAAAGAAGAATGGAACAGAGGAATGAGAGAAAAAAAAGAGAAATGGAGGAAGGAAGGAGGCGAGTGAGGGAAGGAGGCAAGAAGGTAGGCAGCGAGGGAGTGAGGAAGAAAGAAACAAAAAAGTAAAGGAAGAAACATGCTAGGAATACATTAAGGCAGTAGTTGACAATCTTTCTCTAAATGTTTAGAGTAAATATTGTAGATTTGGTGAGCCACAAGATCTGTCCCAACTATTCAACTCTGCCATTGTGGCACAAAAGTATGTCATGTTCCAATAAAACTGTGTTTACAAAAATATGTACCAGGATGGATTTGGCCTGAGAGCCCTGGTTTGCTGGCCACGGCATTAGGGGCTTTATTTACCTTATTTTAATTAATTATAACAATAACTTTTTGAGAACAATGAGTCCAAGAAGAGAATGTAATTTGTCCAAAGCCACAGCCACTAAGTGATGAAGTCCTAGGTTACCTTACTGCCACAGAGAAGACAGTAGAGAAAATGAGAGTCAGAGTACAATGGAATATCTACTTTTGTTACATCTTTGTTACAAATTAGAAAGCTTCAGGATAACAAGATTTGCTCAAATTCCTATAGATAGTATTTAAACTTAGTTCTTATTGACTGAAGATCTCAAGTTCTTGTTGGCACATGCAGATTTTATTGAATTAAAATACATTATTTCTGAATTTCCTGCTATTTTAAAAACTGTTGATCTGAAGACGCTTTCATAACAATTCAAAATTTCAACTTATCTCCTATTGTTCTTCCTTTTGTTCCTTTTAATAGAAAATACCAAATAAATTAATAATTTATTCCAGGAAACTAGGTTACCAATAAATATTGCTTAACTTGAACATTTTTGCAAAATATAGCCATACTGTCTAGCATTCAGGAATACAAACAAGCAAAAAGCAGGAACATACATTTTATCACTCTTATGCATAGGTACAGAGATTTTATATTTGTGAGGACAGAATCTAGAGGAAGAGTATACATTTTTAATTGGAATTATGTGTCCATGCCAGTGAATTAAAAAAAGTGTGAATATAGGCACTGAATAATAAAGCTAAACAGTATCAAAATAGAATTTGTGCTAAACCTATTACTGTAAATTTTACGCAGTGTCTTTCAGGTTCCACTGACATGACATCCATCAATTTGTAAAAGTGAAACAGTGTTGAAATCAATAGCTTAGTAATCCAATATAATGAACAAGTACTCTAGGAACTTGTAAGGACCTGGACGTGTTGAACTTGAGTCATAAAACTTTTAAAAGTCTTAGGACTGAATCTTCCCATTACTATATTTAGGACTTTGGACAATTAATTTACTCTAAATTTTGTTTTCCTAATCTATGAAAAAGGAATGGTTACAGGTTGTAAAGTTCAAATGCTGTTAGAATAGCAATATCAGCTGAATCCACTAATTCCATCATTTTCTAGCTATGTTAAAGAAGCTAAATTTTTTATGTTTGTCCATCAGTTTGATTTTGGCTAAAGACCATAGTACATTAATTACTAATGATGTAAATTGACTGGCAGATGATAACAAAATTTCACATCCTGTGCTGAAGTCTTTGGAGCAAAGCTTTGTAAACAGAATCGATAGTTTTATTAGTAAAAAAAATGAGATATTGGCATATGAACATAACACTACTACCAAGTTGGCTGGAGGGTGGAGGGAATGAATCTTCACATGAATCAGAATATAGTTGAGGATAGAGACACTGTATTATATTATTTTTGCAACTAATGGGAAAATCTGGGTTAAGAGTAAAGCCGGTGGTCAGGAGAAAGAGCAATGTTAATGATGACCTACAGCAAGGTTATATTAATAGAAGTAATGGGCTATGTAGACTGACCTAGCCAGTCACAGATAATTGAATAAATATATTCATATATTATACATATATAATATATAGCCAAATAAATATTTAAGTGCAATGAAATTTTACCGTATACTCATGTAAGTAAGACCTTGATTTCACATTTGCTAGATAATACAGTGTAAAATGCAACCTAGTTCAAAGAGATTTGTTTGTAATCTTGACATTGCTATTAGTTATATGGTTTTATTTATATGGCTAATTGTGATTAAGTGTAAGTACTTTGTCTTGAGCACTGTTAACTAAGAAATTTGAACTAAGTAATATTAATATAATTGTGTGTTTAATCAATGCTAAAAACCTTGTTAAACACTTGACATGCATTATCTCCTTTTACTTATTAAAACAACTGGCATCACATATATGCCTTAATTACCCCTTTTTATTGTTGAACCAACTGAGGGTTATGGAGCTGAATTTCCTTGCCTGATGCCACGCTGCTAGTATTAAAGCACAGGCATTCTGACTGCCAACCCCAAACTCTTAACCATCATACTATATTGGTTTAAGGGGCTCATTATTTCAGACATGCTACCACTTTAACAATTTTTGTATTCCATGAGAATTTCTGTGGCTACTATCCTAGTTAGGCAGACAAAAGAAAAAAAAGTTCCTGATAAAACAATTCAGCAAGCCCCTCTAGGCTCATATTAATGAGCCACATCAGGTGAGACTTTTACACTAGGTAGCATAGGTGGCTGCAACTGAGATTTGATCCTCTCTCTGGCAAAATATTACATAATTTAAATATGTCTTGAAGAGGCCTTTTAAAGGTGAGCTGTTCACCAAGAGAACATACTTTTTTTTCCTCTTACTATTCCTTTTTTAGCAAACTGTCACACTCAACTTCACCATTCCTCCAAAACATGAAACTAAGCCCTTTTGAGCAATTTCAAACATTTCCACAAATGAATAGGCATAGCAATGTGTCATGAAATCTTGCCAATGTACAATGCCTACATTTTTATCACAACAATATATTTATTTATTTAAAAGCTATTTTATTACTTCTTTATGATTTCCAACATACATTTCTCTTCCCATTATAAAAAGCAGTAATGTGAGGAGAAAGGTGTCAGCTGAAGCACAGATTGCAAGCATTCCAATTTCCAGTGAACATAACAGACCACACTGATCACAACTTTGTATGGGGAAAATTATTTGTAAAATTATTTTTTGCATGTGTTTAAATATTATTCACAATGGGAAAATCTTTTCTATAGAAATGCTTTAAAATAATATGGCTGGCTGTTACTGCGGGAATGTTTTCTTTTAAAAAAACATAGCCTTTTATTATCACATATACTCTTCATCCTTTTCCATTTCAGTTCTGTCTTGGTAAAAATGAGCAAAATAGAAATTTCAGTATAATTTTACCATTCACATTAGCAAGAGAACAATAGCAAGCGGCTTTGAACTGCTTCTCCATCTGGCATTTCAGTTACTGTTTAGATTAATAAGTACAATAGGAGGTGAAATTTTCTGGGCCAGAATTTAATGGGGCTCAGCACTGCTCCTTTCAGAAAGGGCCCATCCACCTGTGAACAAAGCCTTCTGTCTATTTCCGTGGTCCTGACTAAAGTGACTGATGAGATGTGAGTCTGTTTCAAGTTGCAAAAGGGAAGGACTTACATTCCAGTTAACTACACTGTCTTCTTCTGATACGAATTATGCCAGCTGAGATAATCAATAACTTATCAGGCTGCTGAGAGCCCATTAGCATGTGGTTAAAATGCTAGTGTTCACGGCAGTATTCTTCAATGTGGAAAGTGGCCCTTTGGTATAACACACTTCAATATTTTAAGCTCAATAATAATAACTCTTGTTTAACAAGATATTAGATTGACTCTTATAAATTAGAAGATTGTTTTCATGATCTGTGTAATCTACTATATTAATAAATATAGAACTGAAGGCTCTTGGCACAATTCATTTCTCACTTCCACTTACAAGTGGGCTCTAAATATAAGGGATCAGGCTTACCCAATTAATCAGTGCACTGAACAACATGTCTACCTGAAGAGAATGTAAAACCACTGCTTTTAGAAAGTGTGATTTAAACCGTAGGGCTAAATTAAAGAGCTTTTAAAATACAGAGATGATTATCCAGTAACAGCAAAACATAATTATGTGTTTTCCTTTATTTTTGGAAAGTTTTTCCAGAAAAAAATAATTTAGAAGAGAATGGAAACTTACTGCTGTCATATTTTCACATTAACAAGAAAATGGCAAGAATAAACAAAAACAGTCCAGTTGGAAATGTTTAAGATCCAAAGATTTCCATTTGCATCCTCTAAGTGACAAAGACAAGGTTTTGCGTCTGGTGTCTGTATAGTAACTGAATTTTTCGCTGTCTACCCCTTAAATGCAATTCTGATTGTGCAGCCTTAAGAAATAACAGCTAAGTGAATGAGCAGGATGCGGTATTTCATGTACTATTCCCACTTTGGGATTGTCATATTGCATCTGTGGGATTAAATGTTTTAAGAAGTTGTCAAATTTAATTGGCGAGTTTGCACAGTTCTGGTTTACTGGATACATCACACACCAAGATCTTTTTCTTTTATCACTTTATGTTAACTCTATGATTTAAATATTGCCATCTGTGAACAAAGCCTACGGAATTAAGGAAACAGCTTTAGTAAATTAAAATCTTAACTGATGCATAATTTGAAGATTTTAACATTGTTTATTTGATGTTTGGTGTATTTATCTTTCTTTTCTTATGGCAGGTATCATATCTTGTACATGTTCAGCACAGCAGAATGCCCTATAAACACTTCAATAAGCTTAAAGACTAAAAAAAAGAAGAAAAAAATTTATAACATCAACAGCAGACACGCAATCCTTTTAAGAATAAGGGCAAATGCTTCAAATAAATGCTTCAAATGAAATCTAACTTTCTTCCCTACCTAGGAAGCCTGCACAGTCTAAGACCTAACACTCCATCTCTCATTCCACTCCCTAAATTTTCTTGCACAGTCTCACACATCTCGGCTCTTCTGTTTTTCACATGTGTAGCTTTTCTTCAGATCTTGACTCAAATGACACATCCACAAAAGGCACAGAAGTTCTTTCCAAACATCGTAAATTGGCCCCCTCCAGTTATTGTTAATCATTCCCCCCAAAATGTTTTTCCTTCAATGAATTATCAATAATAATAACAATATATTTAAAATGTTGTTTATTTATACATTATATGTTTACCTGCAAAATGTGAGTTTCATAAGGACAGGGATCATGATTTTTTGTTTGCTTGGTTTGTTTTTGTTTTTCTGACAGTGCAGATCCAGCATTTGGTAGAATGCTGGAGAGTAGTTGTGGAGGTAGTAGTGATAGAAGGAGGATGAAGGGAAGAAATCATAAAATTGTTTAAAAATAAAAATAATGCTTTTAATAGCTAAATAGCTAGAATGTTCTGAGCGCTCTATGAACCAGGCACTATGCCAGGGGATTTTCATTATCTTACTTAGTTCTTAAAACAATTCTCGGAGGTAGATGCAACTAATACCTAAGGTTGGTAGAAGAGAACTTGAGGCTTAGGGAGGGTAAGCCACTTATGTAGGGTCACAAAATTAATCGAGTTGGTGCCAGGATTCACACTTTGGCCATCTGATATCAGAGCCCATGTGAAAGTGGTGGTTAAATAAATGAATGGTTGTTAAATGGATGTGTGACTAAAGGAGGGAAGTAGAAAGGAAGGAAAGAAGGGAGGAAGGGAAAGAAAGAAGGAAAGAAAGACATGCTGCCTATACTAGTGGTAACTTGGCAAACCATGTTTTTTAATGAATTCAGACCAAATACCTAATGACTTGGAATAATCTATCTTTTTAAACTGTGAGTTCTGAGAATGAGAGATTGAAAGATTTCCAAATAAGTTTCAGGTGAAAATAATACTCTTAACTGGTGCAGCTATTTTCACTACCAATGACTATTATAGATAACTTCTGAGAATCAACATTGTGAATGAGGCTGCACTGTGCCTAACAACAGAACAACTGTAGCTATTTCCCTAAGGCCCATGATGGGTGGAACATTTCCACCCAGCCTGGAGGAATGCAATAACAGTAGCAATAATAATAATAATAATAATAATAATAATAATAATTGAATTAGTGTTTGTATGTACCAGTTTTGTACTGAACACCTTAATTCTGCATAATCTTCTTTAACCCTCCTGCAGTCCTAGGAGGTGAGACAGAATCACACAGCCCTCAGGGTCAATGGAACTTGAACCCAGGATTCAGATGCAGACATTTGACTCCAGATCTGACTGTAGATTTTGCAAAGTCACTCTCCAGAGGTCTTATATCATCTCTGTATAAAGTTGAAACCATGGAAATAGGGAGAGTTAATAGGAATTATGAGGTTTATAGGCAGGCATTATACATGGGTTACCTCAATGAATCTTCACAATTTGCAATATTTCTATTTGACAAGGGCGGACAATGAAACTCACAGAAGCTGAGTAACTTGCTTAAGTTTATCCAGCTAGTAAATGGTAGGATCAGGATTTGATCCCAGGGCTGTATGTCTCCAAAGCCCATGGTCATTTTTTTTAAGCCACAATATTTCATGGAGCTTATTGTATATTGTAGGCTTAAGAGAAAAGAGAAGCAGCAGGTTTTCTCTATAGTCCCCAGTAATTATCTTAATGCTAATTCTGGTATAACTCTGAAGGCTAAAATGGCTTGATTTACTTCTCTCGAAATTGTTATTTTTTAAGATGGGTGATATCTGTGAGTGCAATAGCTTTTATGGAATGACTATTCTGAAGAAGAGGCTCTTCTCTAGGAGTGGTACCCTGCATCTTAAGAGTATATAACACAGTTTCCCTTTGAATTAGTTTATTCCAGAAAAGCATTATTTATTGTAACAACTATATATTTTCACACTGATAATAAATGATGTACCATTTGTAATAAGACTTTGGAAGGAGAGGAATGTATAAGCTCAAATGTGTAAATTTGGAAATTTGGCTAAAATATAAAAAATCTCTTCTGTAGCTATAGTACTATGATATTACAGAATGAATATATTATGTCTAATCTAAATCATGAGTTATAGTTTATTAAGGAGCTCATATTATATTCACCATAAAGTAATTAAATAGTTTCACCTTGAGCTATCATTCTTTGAGGATATTTAATAACGTAAAAAAATGACTTCCTGCTGCCAGGGATTGAAGAAAAAAAAGAAAAATAATAATGTAAAAAAAAAAAAAAAAAGACAATGTCATGTGCTGACATACATGGGTCCTGTTAAAGCACACTAAATATGGCCTGAGAAGGACTCCATACTTCTATATTTGAGTCCTTGTGGATGAACCATAAACTAGCTTATTAGGCAGAAAAAACTGAAAACTTAACTTAGGAGTGTGGACCTGTAACAATAACTGAGTGTTGGCCCATCCCAGTGGCCATACTTCAACCACTCATCAATTGCTGAGTGTTCAGACTAGGTTCAAATAATGCAGGTGCTGAGGTGTAACCAATCCAGCTGTTCTACACCTCACTTCCAATTTCTGTATGTCATTTCTCTTTTTTGTCTATAAATCTTCTTCTGCTATGTGGCTGCAATGGAATCTCTGAGAATTTCCTGTGATTCAGGGGGCTGCCCAATTCACAAATCATTCATTGATCAATTAAACTCCTTTAAATTTAATTCAGCTGAAGTTTCTATTTTATCATTCTTTGCCTAAAGATTGCCTCACAATCAAAGAAGGAGGGTGAGGGAGTGAAAAACACAATAAAATATATGCTATCTTTATTGCTGCATGGTCTTAAGTTATCACCTATAATGAAGATGCTTAGAGTTGTGCCCTGAACTGAAGAGAGAGTCTACCTGTATTAGCCTGTTTTCACATTGCTGATAAAGACACACGTGAAACTGGGCAATTTACAAAAGAAAGAGGTTTATTGGACTTATACTTCAACATGGCCTGGGAGGCCTCACAATCATGGTGGAAGGCAAGGAGGAGCAAGTCACATCTTACATGGATGACAGCAGGCAAACAGAGCTTGTTCAGGGAAACATCTGTTTTTACAAGTATTAGATTTCATGAGACTCATTCACTATCATGAGAACAGCACAGGAAAGACCAGCCCCCATAATTCAATCACCTCCCACTGAGCTCCTCCCATGACATGTGAAAATTATGGGAATTACAATTCAAGATGAGATTTGTGTGGGGACACAGAGCCAAACCACATCATTCCACCCTTGGCCCCTCCCAAATCTCATGTCCTCACATTTCAAAATCAATCATGCCTTCCCAACAGTCCCCCAAATTCTTAACTCATTGCACCATTAACTCAAAAGTCCACAGTCCAATGCCTCATCTGAAACAGGGCAAGTCCCTTCCACTTATGATCCTGTAAAATCTAAAACAAGTTAGTTACTTCCTAGATACAATGGGGGTACAGGAATTGGGTAAATACAAAGTGGCTACAGGCCCCATTCAAGTTCAAAATCCAGAAGGACAGTCAAATCCTGAGGCTCCAAAATGATCTCCTTTCACTACATTTCTCACATCTGGATCACACTGATGCAAGAGGCGGGTTCCCATGGTCTTGGGCAGTTCCTCCCCTGAGGCTCTGCAGGGGACAGCCTCCCTCTCTGCTGATTTCACGGGCTGCGGTTGAGTGTCTGGGGCTCTTCCAGGTGCACAGTGCAAGCTGTCAGTGGATTTGCCATTCTGGGGTCTGGAGGATGATGGCCTTCTTCTCAAAGCTCCACTAGGGTATACCCCAGTAGGGACTCTGTGTGGGAGCTCTGACCCCACATTTCCCTTCCGCACTGCCCTAGCAGAGATCCTCCATGAGAGCCCACCCCTGCAGCAAACTTCTGCCTGGACATCCACGTATTTCCATACATCCTCTGAAATCTAGGTGTAGGTTCCCAAACCTCAATTCTTGACTTCCGTGCACCCACAGGCTCAACACCACATGGAAGCTGCCAAAGTTTAGGGCTTACCCCCTCTGATGCCACAGCCTGAGCTCTATGTTGGACCCTTTCAGCCATGGCTGGAGTGGCTGGGACACAGGGCACTAAATCCCTAGGCTGCACATAGCACAGGTACCGTGGACCCAGCCAACAAAACACTTTTTCCTCCTAGGCCTCTGGGCTTGTGATGGGAAGGGCTGCCTTGAAGACCTCTGACATGGCCTGGAGACATTTTCTGCATTGTCTTGGGGATTAACATTTAGCTCCTCACTGCTTCTGCTAATTTCTGCAGTGGGCTTGAATTTCTCCTGAGAAAATGGGATTTTCTTTTCTGTCACATTGTCAGTCTGCAAATTTTCCAAATGTTTATGCTCTCCCCCCTTATAAAACTGAATGCCTTTAACAGCACCCAAGCCACCTCTTGAATGCTTTGCTGCTTAGAAATTTCTTCCACTAGATACCCTATATCGCCTCTCTCAAGTTCAAAGTTCCAGAGATCTCTAGGGCAGGGGCAAAATGCCACCAGTCTCTTTGATAAAACATAACAAGAGTCCAGTTTGGTCCAGTTCCCATCAAGTTCCTCATCTCCATCTGTGACTACTTCAGCCTGGACCTTATTGTTCATATCATTATCAGCATTTTTGTCAAAGCCATTCAACCAGTCTCTAGGAAATTCCCAACTTTCCCACATTTTCTTCTGAGCCCTCCAAATTTTTCCAACATCTTCCTGTTACGTAGTTCCAAAGTCACTTCCACATTTTTGCGTATCTTTTCAGCAGTGCACCCCTCTGCTGGTACCAATTTACTGTGTTAGTCCATTTTCATGTTGCTGATAAAGACATACCCAAAACTGGACAATTTACAAAAGAAAGAGGTTTATTGAACTTACAGTTCCACATGGCCTGGGAAGCCTCAAAATCATGGTGGAAGGCAAGGAGAAGCAAATCATATCTTATGTGGAGGGCAGCAGGCAAAGAGAGCTTGTGCAGGGAAACTCCCATTTTTAAAACCATTGGATCTCATGAGGCCCATTCACTATCACAAGAACAGTGCAGGAAAGACATGCCCCCATAATTTAATCACCTCCCACCGGGTTCCTCCCATGACATGTGGGAATTGTGGGAATTACAATTCAAGATGAGATTTGGGTGGGGACACAGCCAAACCATATCACTACCTAAGCCCATTCTAGTATGAAACAAAGAGGAAAAATTCTGATTCCTAGTATTAGCCAGTTATATAAATTTGGGTAACTTTTATTTTGTCACAGCACTTCCTCATCTATTAAATATTTCCTCATCTATCAAATGGAACAATAGGATTACTTTCCAAATAGGATTGGTACATAATACCTGAAGCCAGAAATTTTCCCTGACCCCTTCACGGGCAGGACCTGGAGTGTATGGACACTGGCAGGGGCGAACTACACTCACTCAAACCTGCTGCACTCAACCCCTCACAGGAGGAGCAGACGCAGAAGCCCAGGTGATCGCTTTTGGGCACTGGCAGGAACAAATTGTATACTGGCCCCACAGCAGCATCTAGGGGGGTGCCTGTGATCCCTGAAGCCCCAGAAGCAATGTTACAGTCAGTGCTCTTTTAGCTTTGCCATCTGCAGGTGGCTTAAGTGTTGACAGCTCAATGGAAGGTTAGCGTGACAGCCTTTTGCACCTGCACCCAAGTTCTTATCTGGTGTCTAGGAAGAATGAGGTCACACAAACAAACTGGAGATGGTAAATGCAGGGGCTTTTATTGCCAAATAAAGTGGCTTTCAGAGTGAGAGGGAAGGGAAGCTGGAAAGGGAACAGAGCTGTGAGGTAATTTTCTGAAGCTATGCCATTAAGCCATCCCTGTGAAGTCAAGCTGCTTCTCTGCGACATCGAATTGTAGTCTTTAATGTCCATGTGCTCCTCTTCTTCTCCTCCCTCTGGCAGCAGAGCCTGGGTTTTTATGGGCACAGGTTTGGGGTTCAGGGTAGGCCATGGGTGGTTTTGGAAAAGGCAACATTTGAATGGGAAAATAGGAATGTATGTTCTCACTTTGGGCCGAGGTTCCAGGCCTGAGGGTGGGGCCCTTGCTGCAGACCCACCCTCTTCTGCCCAGAATTTCCCTGTCTTCTGTCTCTTTCATAACCACTCTGTAATGGAAGAAATTGTTAAAAGTATTATTTTGCATTTTCTTCCTTTGAATCCCCATATGTTGCAGTATGAGGGCAGAGCCCCTGTTTTATTTATCTCTGTACCCTCAGTATCTTGAGGCTGTCAATGAATATTTGCTGCAGCATGGTATATAGCAGTCAGTTTAGACCTTAGCATGCATCAGATTCACCAGATTAGCTTGTTAAATAAATAGATTCCTAGGTTGTACTCCTAGACTTTCTGATCAGGTCTGTGGTGAGGCCTGACAATTTGTATGTCTCACAATTTCCTAAGTGATGTTGCTGCTACTGGTCTGGCAACTATAATTTGAGGACAACTTACATGTGGCAAGAAATTAAATTGGCATTCAAGTCAAATATACTGTATTAAAACTTCACTATAATACTTGGTAGTATTTTTAAACATTGTAAGTCACTTAAATATTTTCGTAGTACCACTCCTCGCCTACAAGAAAGAAAGTGCACATTCAGTATTAAATCCGGTTTTCTCACAATCCAACAAATTATCTATGCTTTCCGTGTCCTAAGATTGGGTGACGTGAGATAATCCCATTCCACTCCTGTCGGCAGTAACTTTGAAAGGCCCTGTTCCTCCTCTATCCTTCTCCTGACTGCTGATATATAACTAGAAATCCTGCTCACTATACCCAGACAGCCCAAATTCCTGCTCTGTTCTAACCATCCCCAGTTCCTGGATGAAATTTTCATCATATCTATGCCTTCTTTTTCAATTTGCATTTAATTCTTAACATAACACTGGCTCAAAATTTGTCACCCACTCAGAGGTCATCTTATCTCTGGAACTGTGAAAGGTACTGTACTTTGGTAAATACAACACCTTTTTGAAAAGTATACAGTCTAGTGAATTCAAGAGAAAGGTCAAAGCTTAAGTAAATGAAACCGAGTGTTATCTATACAATGATATTTGACATAAGGAGAGTCTTTGAAATTCCAGGAAGAGCGTAAAGAGAAAAAACAAAATGCCCTTCAGAACAGACACATAAAAGGAAACCACATGTCTTTAGAAGGCAGAAAGAAAGAAGTGCACTTTGCTACACTATACTATTAATTGTTGTACTGGTTAGTCATTCAGACAGAATTCAAATCACTTCTAAAATTTTGAAAAAAGTAGACTTTATCTCTGGCCCAATTTACCTGCAACTATTTTGAGACAGTGTAAGATTTTTTTAAGACTGTGAAGATTACCAGCATCATAAACTTGTTACTCTTCTATCATGCAAGAATAGGCTGAGCTTAGTTGGAGGCCTGTAGTTTAAAATTCATCATTTCGCTGTACAGTTATGACTGTGCAAAAGAAGTGTTTGCATATCGTGGGTATTTTTTCCATTGTTTTGCAAAAATTCTTAACCAAGTTATAAGGAGATGAAAAGCTATTTTGGTCTGTATTTGAAAATCTGTATATTAGAGCACATTTATTATATATGTAAATAATAATAAAATAAATTTCATTGTTTCTGTTTTTTACTTTTTCCTCATACTACCATTTTCTTACAACAGAGCCTAACATAATTATGGCTGTTCATTTAAAAAGGTTTGGAGATGGTAATATCTAGTGAAGTGAGATAGACCTCAGCAAAAAAAAAAATCCACATCTGCAAATAACTGGTAGGATACATGTTAATGAGTTGTTTCTGTGGTCCCAGTGCCTTAAGTGTGTTCAGGATCCAAATCTAAATGCAATGTGCTTTTGAACACTAAAAGTGACAGGGCAAAATCTGGGTGGCTTATCACTGGTGAAAACAGGTGCACACCATCTCTTTCATTTCATTGACATGCATTCTGCACCATTCATCAACCTGATTTTTTCTTCTCTAGCCTAACCTTTTGGTGACAGTAAACATGACTTGACAGAGGGTCCAACAAAGAAATTATGTGATCTTTAACCTTTTCTGGTTTGTGACAGGTTTGGGACACATCTGGACTAATCCATCAGGGAGGGAAGATTTCTTTAGAATTATAATATGACAGTGATCTTTAGGAGCAAACAGGCATGTGTTTGTGTAAAGTCCCTTTCAGTTAAATCTAAATGAATAGAAAATAATGATAATGTTCAGCCTAAAGAAGCCCATTTTCCTAGGGTAAAAGGAACCTTCCTTCTCAAATGAAAGGCAATAATAGTCCAGCATACATTAAAAAAAATATGTAGCATCTACTAGAAAAATTGTTTATAAATTGGTTCTTATGGATTTATTATTGAATATAGATATGTATGTAAATGAGAAAGCAGACACTGTAGGCAACTGTGGAATTTAGTCATGTGCAGAGTGAGGATCATTAATTGTAAATATGCATTTGTGTAAATATATCTGTAGGTGAAAATGTATTTATACATGACGAACTTTTTAAACTATTTCCTCGAAACTATTTGTCCAATATAATTGGATGACTAAATACCAATGCAGCTACTCCCTAGTTTTGAAATAAAAGAGAAGAAATAGAATCAAGTATAAATACTCAGAGTTATCCTATGCCCTGGTGCAAAAATGGGTCTTTTCTAATCTCTTTGTTTTTGTTTTTTTTTAATCAGAATGATTTACATATGAATTTTATTCTGAACTAGAAAAAAAACTATGAAAATCCAGCTCAGTGATCTCTCAGAAAAAGTAGGAAAAATAAGGCATTTTACTCCTATCAAACACTATACTGGTTTAAAATGCTTTTACTCACTTTGGCATATAACTTTACATATTGAACTCCCAAACCACAATTAAACAGAATTTTCCTATCCCTCATTCCCTTTACATTTTGCCTGACTGTCCCAGAAGACTAAAGAATAAACTGATAGTCTCTACTGTCTTATATTCTGAGATAACTGAAGTCCCTCCATTTTTTTAATGGGAAACATCCAGACCTTCTTTTGTTTTAACCTTCGAAGGAAAACATTAAATTCCTACATGTGTGCTTACAATAATGATTTTAGTAACATTTTGGGTGGTGAATGGAGATCATATTTGAGCTGATTAGCAATTTAATCCCTCAGTAAATGACAGGAAAAATATTCCTATGGTGTGGGATACTTGGTAGAGGTGCTCTGCCAGGCTAAAACAAAATGTAGCCACAACTGTTTCCTGATTATATAGATTTGTAGCTGAAATAAATAGATGTTTCCCATTATTATCTAGTAGAATTAATAGGGATCCTTTAAAACTACACCTACCACATGACTAAGTTACTTTTTATAAGTTCCTACTATGTTTCTGTGATGTCATATATCCAACTGTAGGCTTAGTTCACGATGTTCTTCAGCTCCTTTCATCAGATGATTTTTAAGATGTATTTTATAAATAAATATTTTAGGCCTCAGATCTCACCTCTCAGTTTCAAATGAAGGCTTCGTTTGGATTCTGTCACTGATTTAAATCAAACACTTGTAAACTATTATTTAAGCACATGCAGAGTTTTCTAAACTACTGTTTGAGTCATAAAAAGCTCCTTCATTCCATTTTATTTAGAATTTGTAAAATAATGTACTACTTTTTAAAGTCAAAACGACTTTCTAATTACTTTCCTGCAGTTGGCTTCTAACATACAGTGAGTAATATTTCTTGTTAGCTAAAATTAAGTTTAAAAATCAGTAACAAGTCTACAGAGTAGTAGAAGATTTTCATTTATAAACATATCTTCATGAAATGTAGGTTCTCAGCCTAGGAAAGGCTTGGTGGAAAGCAGCCAGGGTGTTATAGGGAACATATTTCCAGGGATAGCAGCAAGAGATCATCAAATCTTGGCATTTTTCCTAGAATTTATCCTGAGCAGTTTAAGGAAAAATAAATGTGGCTATACACAGACCCTGGTGATAGGGCATGGTGTATTAAGTAAGGCTAAGAGATTGGTTGAAGATTACATATTGACTAGCCCTTTGGTGACAATATCAGGTAAGGGAATTAGGGAAATCTTGGAAGTCTCCAGGTGTGGCAACTAACCAGGGGCCTTGAAAACACTACAGAAAACTCCACATGGGCCTGGAATATTTCTGTTGCATTCACCTTTTTAAACCTAGTTCAGTACTGCATGTAGTGTTGGAAAAGATGAGTGAAAGGGAGGTAAAATTTAATACGTCCATAATCTTCTCCATGGTTGCTCTTATGCACTTTGAGCCACCCCAAATAAACAGAGCGCCTATGTAAGACTAGTCTTCTTGCCAAGCAAAGGACTTAAAAATAGTCCTTTAGACCTAAGTCCCCCTTCATAGATATTCTGAAGCTTTCAACAATGATAAAGTAGATGCTCAGGAAATATTTCTCAACTGAATAAAAATATTAATGAGTGGGTAAAATGAGTGTGGGGATGTTGAGCCAAACTTTAGTTTTCTAATTTAAAATGATCTAACTTTTAAAGCTTAGGATTTCTCCTGGGTGTAGTGAGAGAGTAGGGTAATGGTGTGCTTATAATTGTTTTAACAATGGGTGGTGAACCCATGTGACAATGGTCAACTCAGTCATTTGGGCTGAATTAATAGATATGAGCCACCATAGCATGTTTGATGTATTCCGAATCTGTTTTCAAGTATGTAGCATCAACAAATAAAATTACACCAAGGTGTTTATAAGAATTTTTCAAAAGCTTAGAAAAGACTTTGATAGTTACCTAAAGTATAGTAAAAATGCCTCCTTAGATAGAGGAAGGAGAATTGCTGTGTTAAGAATAATAACACTGCATAGTGATACATAAAAAGGGAAGGCAACAAAATTTCATAGGAGGTAAACCAATTAACTGAGAATTTCTTATTTTCTGCTAATGGCAGTCTGCACAGCAAGGAAAGCCAACAAATTATATAGGGACCCGAGAACTAAATCTAATATAGCTGCTACTCTAGTTTTTGGTTAAGGAAAATATGCTTTGTCAGTGTCCATCCAGTGTCTGACTAGTGTATTAATGGTGAAAAGGAAAAGGATACGTAATAATTAGCCAATCCTAAAGTTGGTAGTGGTTGACCATCGGCATAATTTAACTTACCAAAGACACTTTAATGTTTTTTTTTCCCTAGAGAAGATTCAAGAATTAATTATACAAATGATATGCAAACTCAGAAAAAAAAATTGCACACAGTACCTGTAATATCCAGCTAGTCATAAAAATTTCTAGATTTGCCTTTTGGAGTTGATCTAGAAAAATTCCAGATATGTGTATTCTGTCAGAGATTAGAGATTTCCTTTCTTAGAATATATCATGTGATAAAGAAACTTTCACTGGTAGAATGGCAATTTCTCCTTAGAGGCTTTATGCCTCTTCTGGATTAATGCTTTTGACAAATAGATGGAAATGATCTTAGATCTTTGTCTTTTGGGGTTTAAATGAAGATCATCTATATATTGTAAAAGAAGGATGTCACGATGAAATTTTATACTCTTTAGGTCTTGATTAAGATAAGTAGAAGGGGGCTTCTGTAAATAATTGATGTATAATAGACATGGCATGTGTTGATTTTTCTATGACAGGGCAAACAGATAGTGACTGTTCAAATCTAGAGGAACAATAAAAGGACATAGCACAAGTACACAACAGCAAAGTAGATGGATTTAGGCAGTACTCAGAGCAAACTAATATTTGATTTTGAGACCACTGAAAAATAGTGGATCACAATTTTGTTTATAATACTAAAATCTTGCACAAACATGTATCTATGCATACTAGATTATTTTTTCTATGAGCAATACAGTTGTGTTACAAAAGCTAGTAGAAGGAATAGAAGGATAACTTTTTGCTGAACATACCACAGTAAATCCAGACCTTCTTTTGTCTTAACCTTCAAAGGATATTGGGCAGGACTGGGTAGAGGATGAGATAAATCATTTATTACTTAGATGGGATCAGCGCCTAATAATTTCAAGATACCAGTATATTCCTTGGCTTAGAAGATACCAGTATCCTCAAGCAGTCCCTCAAGTTGTGATTGGGTTAAGTATCCAAGAATGAAAAAATAAACATCCCCTTGAACTATTAGTGTATGGTGCATGGGTCACATACAACAGATTTCAGGTATTTCAGAAAACAGTCCATCTAGAAGACGCTTGATTTGAAAGCTACCACAAAGGAATCTCTCAATAATAAATTTGTTTGGATGTTATCACAAAGGAAGAATGAATGTTGGCTCATGGGAAGGTTGAGAGGTATTGTTATATGCTGAGTGATGGGGACAGTCTGAGGAGTATTTGAAAATGCTAACACTCCAGTAGTCTGAAGATTCCTAAGAAAGTCACAAAAATAGTGGTAGGACAGAATAGTACCCATGCTATTTAGAAAGTTTTGCTTCTGCCTCTCTATTATTAGAGATGGTTCTCTTTTATGGTTTAATAGAATCATTGGAAATTGTGTGCTACAGTCTCCCTTGGAGTCCCTTTCATAACGTTTAGAAACTTTTATTTAGTTCTTTTCTCCTTTTTATTAAGATGAAGCAATTAATATTTCAGTTACCTTTTTGCTTGCAAAACCAGCAAAGGTCTTGTTGAACATGAGACTTTTATTGTTTCTTAAGGTTGTGGGAATTCTACATTCAGCTGCTTTATTTTGAAATCTGTAAGTTTAGTTTGCGGGTTGTATTTTTCTATCTAAATTATTTTCAGTGCATTCAGCAAAAGGCTGAAGTTTGTATTGTAGAGTGATCTGCCATCCAAAATTTTGTTTACATACAAAATCTACAATATCTGGTTTTAGGCCACCTACAAAAATGTTGGAGAGGGTAGTGGAAATGCCAGCATTGGGGCCTAATGCTGCATATTATCGAAAGGCATGTATTAGTCTATTTCTGAGTTCTGTGGTTTTACAATTTTGCTGTTTGCAAGAGTGAACCAATATGCAATTTACTGGGCAAGACCTGAGGTATATTCTTTAAAATAGATTGTCCCTACTTCTGTACCCTAACATATTCCATTTCATTAAGGTTTATTGCATTACATTTTAAGTCCTCCTCAGAACGCTGCAATTAGGCTTTTCCAAGCAAGTTTTGCATCTCCTGGCCCCACCTAAAAATGCATTAATCGATAGAGGTCAGGGAGGCCTTAAGTATATGTATCCAAGACAAATCTGAATGTTTCAGTGAACCTTTTTTTCCTTTCTGTCCTGGGATCTGTGAAGTTCTTAACAATGCCACAGGGATATATATATGATTAGGGTTTTAAGTTCGTGGACTAGGAATCTTCTTCATAGGAAGCTTTAAATTTTAATGAATGTTTCAGGAGAAAGGGGAAAGAATGACTAAGAAGTCCATGGAGGATGAATTAAATTTATGGGGGAAGAAGGAAGTAAGAGAAAGGTGTGATACAAGTAGGAAAGTAGAACTGAATTTACCTCTTTTCTCTTCCGTCTCTAGGGAGTCTTTTAGGGAAGCACAAATGCAGTTCAGATGGTATTTGAAAGCTTTCGCATACCAGTTAAGAAATGCAGACAATTTAACAGTCAGAATTTTATTTTTGTATGTTTTGAGGTTCCTCTCAAATGTATATTCCTGTTCATATTTAAAAGTTCCAAAAATTTTCCATTACAATTTGAAACTTTCTCCAAAGTGAAATTACCTTATTTAGTGACAGGTATGCATAAATTAGTAAAATAGAAGTCACAGTAATACTAATGGAGGCATAGGCAAAATAGAAGAAAGCTCTTATAAGGTTTTGAAAGTGGCTCAAGGGCTGTTTGTTTACAGTGCACCAGTCTAATGAGATCTTCTGAACTTGGAGCTGGCTCTAATATGAGCTTACAGGCCATATGTCTGTCTTCTCATTGTTGACTTCCTTTTATAGACAAACAAGACTCAAGAAACTGTACAAACAGATGATAGAAGAAATGCCAAAAGTCAAATTTTATAAGGTAAAACATATAATGTGGTTAAAAAGTCAAAAGCCTAGACATCAAACATAAATTTAAAATTACTGGACTGAATGAAATATTTAGAGATCAGATTCAACACAAATTTATCTTTTGTCTCAGAATATTTGGCCTTGAACAGGTGGATTTTTAGGCAGTGTCACATGTGCACACTATTACTGAGTTAGAGGACTTGTTCTGCAGCAATAGATGTTTTAGCTGAATTTTGGTGGAATTTTCACTTCTGTTGATGCCTACCAGCCACTGACTACCAGGAACATACTCATAATCAAGCAAAATTAGATGCATCAAGAAAGAATGAACCGCAGAGGAACATCAGGAGTCTCTCAGAGTTATAGGAATGGCCTCGAAGCTTTGAGCGTGGACTGGAAGATTCTAAAGCTTAAGGAAGCAAGAATCAGTTCTGAATTTGATGATGTCAAAAAGTGTGTGTAATACAGTGGCTTGGCATCTTAAGAACTTACATCTGAAGCAACCAAGATTCCCTTCAGTAGGTGAATAGATAAATAAGCTGCAGTACATCCAGGTAATGGAATACTATTTAGCACTACAAAGAAATGAACTCACTATATCATAAAAAAAGTGGAAGAAACTTAAGGGTATATTACTAAGTGAAACAAGCCAACCTAAAAAGGCTATATACTCTGTGATTCCAACTATATCAGAACTATATATTCCAACTATATTCTAGAAAAGGCAGAACGCTGGAGACATAAAAAATATCAGCTGTTGCTAGTAATTAGGGGGGTGAGGGGGATGAATAGGCAGAGCACAGATTATTTTTAGGGCAGTGAAAATACTCTGCATAATACTATACTAATGGTGAAATATATGTCATCATGCATTTGTCCAAACTAATAGTGAACCCTAATGTAAACTATGGACTTTGGGTGGTTATGATGTGTCAGTGTAAGTTCATCAGTTTGAACAAATGTACAGCTCTGATGAGGGATGTTGATAATGGAGGAGGCTATGCATTTGTGAGGGCAGGGAGTATGTGATAAATCTGTACCTTCTGCTCAATTGTACTGTGAACCTAAAAAAAGTTTAAAAAGTTAAGTATATTTTTAAAAGTTAAAAACTTATGCCCAGAGGGGTGGGAAGATTTAAAGGAAACTAGCAACAGCCTGGACAGCATAGTGAGAACCTATCTCTAAAAAAAAAATTAAAAAAATTAGACAGGCATGGTGGCACATACCTGAAATCCTAGCTACCTGGGAGACTGAGGTGGGAGGATTGCTTGAGCCCGGGATGTTGAGACTGCTGTGAGCTATGATCACAACACTGCACTCTAGCCTGGGTAACAGAGTGACATCCTGTCTCATAAACAACAACAACAACAACAACAAAAACAACAACAACAAAGGAAACTAGCAATCAATCATTTAAGTTAGTGAAAGGGGGTATTTAAACCTTTTTGTGGTTGCAGAGTGACCTTGTCATATTCTGAGTATTGCTCCTGTTCTGTCAGGTATATCATGGTCTGAATGTCAGCAAGGGTGCCCTTCATTTTCTCTAATTGTCAGAAAGGTATATTTTCAAATTATCACACTGTAATGTCATTCTTCAAATTAGGCTATAGAACTTTATTATAGGAGAAGACAACACTTTATCCCAATTTTTCATTAAGATAAAATCTCTTTGTAGTATCCAGTATGAGTTTATATAACATCAAATTTCTTATTACTTTTTAATTCCTTTATTTATTCTTATCACGTTCCAAGTACTTGTTTTAACCTAAAGAAGTATAATAAGTCAGGAAACAACAGGTGCTGGAGAGGATGTGGAGAAATAGGAACACTTTTACACTGTTGGTGGGACGGTAAACTAGTTCAACCATTGTGGAAGACAGTGTGGTGATTCCTCAAGGATCTAGAACTAGAAATACCATTTGACCCAGCCATCCCATTACTGGGTATATAACCCAAAGGATTATAAATCATGCTGCTATAAAGACACATGCACACGCATGTTTATTGTGGCACTATTCACAATAGCAAAGACTTGGAACCAACGCAAATGTCCATCAACAATAGACTGGATTAAGAAAATGTGGCACATATACTCCATGGAGTACTATGCAGCCATAAAAAATTATGCATTCATGTCCTTTGTAGGGACATGGATGAAGCTGGAAACCATTATTCTCAACAAACTATCCCAAGGACAAAAAACCAAACACCGCATGTTCTCACTCATAGGTGGGAATTGAACAATGAGAACACTTGGACAAAGGAAGGGGAACATCACACACAGGGGCCTGTCGTGGGGTGTGGGGATGGGGGAGGGATAGCATTAGGAGATATACCAAATGTAAATGACGAGTTAATGGGTGCAGCACACCAGCATGGCACATGTATACATATGTAACAAACCTGCACATTGTGCACATGTACCCTAGAACTTAAAATATAATAAAAAATAAATAAATAAATAAATAAAAGAAGGAAGGAGTCTGGGTCCTCAGATAATTACATGAAGAGCCACCTTCCAACCTTGCACTGTACTGTGACATGAACAAGAAATTAACCTTTAGTGTTAAGCCACAGAGACTCAGAGGTTGTTTATTAAGCATGTAGTTAGCCCTGACTAATAGAATCACAAACATTTCAGTATATTTTTCTGTCTCTTTTCTAGGTACATATTGAATACAGTAATGGTCATATTGAAAGTATATCTTTGTATTCTAATTTTTTATTTAATGTATCATAAGGTTATTATCTCATTAAAAACTCTTTATACATGTAAAAAATGTATAATAGTGTTTAAAACAAACAAATAACGCCAACAAACAAAAAGTCTAGCTGTTCTAATGGAGCTTATCTTCCAATGTTCTAGTAAAAAATGTAGAAAACAAGCAATTAATAACTAAATATACTTTGGATAATAATAAGTCCTATAAGGAAAATAAAAAAGTGTAAGTTGATAGAGGGCTTCAGAGTGGGGTTTGGGAATGATGTGTTATTTTGAAGATTCAGTAGAAGTGTCTTCTCTGACATGGTGACTTTGAGCAAAGGTCTGAATGAAGGAAAGGAGTAAGCCTTTTGAAGATCTAACGGAATAGATAGTCTTGCAAGCCTGGAGAACAGGATAAAGGCCAGTGTGGCTAGAGCAGAATAAGATGGAGAGTCTTGTAAGATGAAGTCAGAGAAATAGGCAGGACCTAGATGACATGGGGTCTGTAGAGCATGATAAAGAGTTTGGATTTTGCTTTTTAGTCATGAGAGGTTATGGGAGGCCATAGGATTTTTTGAGTAGAATATTGACATAATATGATTTAAGTGTTTAGTAGATTATTCTTGCTTCTGTGTGTTAAGTTGGAAATTGGTGGTATGAGTGAAAGCAAGGAATAGGAATCTGCTGCGATAATCAACATGAGAGGTGACAGTGACTTGACTAGGATGATGATAGAGTTCCTTTGGTGTGCTTGTAGAAAGGATGTGACTTGGAGCTAGAGTCACAGGGCTTATGAATAGATTTTATGTAATTATAAAGATGAACAAAGGATGATTCCTGAATTTTGAGACAAAGAAGCTGAATAATAGTGGAGCCATTTTAGAATGGGGGAAACAAAACGGGGTGGGGTTTGAAGGAAATCAAGAGCTTTGTTTTGGAAGTGCTATGTTCAAAATGCTTCTTGGAAATCCATATGTAGCTACCAAATAAACTCAGGGGAAAGGGAGGAACTGGGGATACATTGGGGCCATCAGTATGTAGATGAGAACAGTGTTAAAACTATGAACGGAGAAGATCAACTAGGGAATAAGTGTAAATAGACCAAAAGAGTACTAAATTCTGGGCACTGCAAAATTTATAATTCAAAAAAAAGGGAAGAGTCCATCAAAGGACGTAAGATGGAGGAGTAGTAAGGTATGAGATAATCCAGAGAACGTGACTTCCTGAGCACAAGTTCAAGACAGTGTTTGTGGCTGACAGAATGAGCAACTGAGACACCAGTTTTTCTCTCAGCTGCTGTAAAGCCCTTGGTTAACACCTTCAAAGCATTTCTCTAAGCAAGGAAAATAATACCATTGTATTACCAATTTATTATATGTATTGTATGTATTATATTTTCTAGTCATGTTCATTTAAATTTGATGACACAAAATTGAACTATTTTATGCTTTCATAATATCAGAGATTTAGGTGGAGGAAATAAGGTTGCTTAATTAAATTAAGGAATGACACTTCAAAATTAGAAATAGGCAACAAATTGAGATCTCTCTGAATCTTATGTCATTCTCCCCTAATCCCCTAAATTCTATCTCTAGCATGCCAGGTGATAGTTTGTTGTCAACTTAAATAACTGAAATCAAAGTATTCTCACAGCTAATGACTTTTTAATTATTATTAATAGTTTTCTGAAATTCTTTGTTAAAAGAACATTCTTATTTAGGTTGATTCCAATCCATTGTTTTGTTAGCTTTTGCCCTTTAGTCCTAGATTTCCTTCCTGAAGTAATACAGAATAGGATAAATTCTTGTTCATTATGACAACTCTTCAAAAATTATGTTCACAATGTCTTCTCTAAGCAATATGTGACACACTTTTATGGTAACTGGCTTTTAGACATCATATGATTTTTCAATTTTATCTTTTAAATATGACTATGAAAATGGAGAATAAAGGCTAGTAGTGCTAACATATCCCCTCCCTTTTTTGGGCAATATACTTCTATTAATGCTATCAGCTACTGGATGATGATGATGATAATAGTGATAATGATAACATGACAATTGGCAATAACAACTTTGCTGCAAATGTAATACTACTAGTTGAGTTAGTTTTTATTTTTTATCATTTTCAGGTTAAATATTTGATCACTCATTGTATTATTTTGAGCTTACAGATAAGTAAAATTCTCTCTCTTTTTTTTTTTTTTTTTTTGTTTTTTTTGAGATGGAATTTTGCTCTTTTTGCCCAGGCAGGAGTGCAATGGTGCAATCTTGGCTCACCACAACCTAAGCCTCCCGGATTCAAGTGATTCTCCCACCTTAGCCTCCCGAGTAGCTGGGATTACAGGCATGCGCCACCATGCCTGGCTAATTTTGTATTTTTAGTAGAGACAGGTTTTCTCCATGTTGGTCAGGCTGGTCTCGAACTCCTGACCTCAGGTCATCTGCCTGCCTCGGCCTCCCAAAGTGCTGGGATTATAGGCGTGAGCCACTGTGCTGGGCCCTAAAATTCTTAAGTGTCTTCCAATTCAAGAAAGAATTTCTGTATAGCCACATTCGTTCCCATGTTAAACATGTGCTATTGGCTTTATGCATGACATCCTTATAATTTCCATCACTGAGCTCCCTTACATTTGCTTTTGTATTGCAATGACCAGCATAGCAGAGTAATAAAAATAAATATTCTTCTTGAATTTGTTTGAAAACCTGATTCTAATACTTACTGTATAATTTTGGATAAGTCAATTACTAATTCTGTACCATATTATTTCTTCATCTGTACAATGAAGGTAATGAAATAAAGATTTGGCTGGCACCTCTTATACTACCAGAATCCCATGTTTCTAAATCAATTTTGCAATTGCTCATACTATAAACATGTGACTCCATTTCTCATAAGTTGGCCTTTTGCTGGGTTCCCTCAAATTTAAGTCCTTTGTATGATAAGACAAAGAGTTCTCTTTTGTACTTGCCAGTTCTTAACATGTTATTGTGGGATTCCTTTGGGGTAACATTGTACCTCATAATTTGCTCTTATTAGCAACCACTGAGCTGTGCCCTGTGCACATCTACCCTGAAACCAACAATAATATCAACGAACATGATGCATTGAATATTTATATATACCATCCATGTGAGAAGATTTTATCATGCAATCATTTAATTTCCATAACTCGAGAGTTAGGTGCTATTATTATTTTCTTTTTACATATGAGGAAATGAGACTTGGAAAAGTTAATTGCCCAAAGTCATAATTAGCAAGTCAAAAAACCAGATTTAAATCAATGGCTCTGTGACCTCCAAATCTAAAAACTTAAGTAGGGTGTACTGCTTCCATAAAGAGGTATTGTCCCTTTACGTACTTGAACCACAGACCTCTATGTTAACAGTCCAATGTGCTTACCAGGAATGCTATAAGAACTTCATGTTGCTGCATTTATTATTTTTCTACCTTTGAGAATTGTCACCATATTCTTCAGTAGCTTATTGTCATCTTATACTACACTCTAGATGTTGGGTCATTTCCAGATCCTGAGCCTTACAAGTCTCACCTGTTCCTCCCTTAAATGAGGCACTATTCTGTTGCCGCATAGAAATGTGTCAGTAACTGGCTATATAATCTGCCAGTTTCTGATTTTATTTTGCAAAATGTTTTTATATTGTGTACCATTCACTTGTAACCCAAAATAGAATCAAAGGCTTGAAATCTAAGGAATTTATGTGGCAAGTAGTCACTGTTAAATAAAGGCTTATTTCCACCATTCATTTTTGTTCTGTGTCTATATTACACATAAAACTGAAAGATGTTTTTTTTCTAACAAAAATGTTTCATGTCAAATTCTCCCAGCCCTATTTGGGAATGTCATTGAATAAACTAATAGTAGGCTTCCAAGCCAAGAGTAATTATGTTACATTGCTCTTTTTTTGGCAGGGAGTTATTTTTTTTCCTGTAAATGAGGCACTTTAACATAAGCACACTTTTGCACTGTAAAGTGGAAAAGGATTTGATGTAGATGTCTTTCAGGTGAGATACAAAATTATATTTTTCCCACTTCTAGATTAATGTAACAAAGTGATCAATCAATCAATTAATCAATCAACTTGCTTTTTCTGATAATCATGGTAGCAGATAGCAATTAGAAACATACGCCCTTAAATTTGAGGCTGTTCTTGATGGCTGAGGATTATGTGACATTTTACATTCAGAAAACACTTTAAAAACATTCATATCAGTGTTTGCTTTAAGCCAGATTTTGAGGAGTTATTTTTTTGCCATTTTTAGAGGAGCAGACTGGCTTAGGAGGGTTAAATAACTTGCTCAAATATAGTTAGCACTTGGTGGCAAAAGTGGAGCTAGGAATCTAGTCTGTAGCCCATCTATTTTAGCATAGGTCACTATAACAGATGTGCTATCTTAATTTCTCATTTTCTCCAGAACAGAAATTTGAAAGCATCTTGCAAGTTTATGGAAATGAGTTTATATATTGTGAGGGTCAAGACAAATCCATTTTATAAACTTATATCATGTTCATTTATATATGTATACACATATATTCATATATGATAACTATGAAGAAAAGACTAAGGGTTTTATATACATATTTCAAATACATAAATTGTTTAAACATAGAGTTTAATAGGAAGTCCATAAATTGTCTTCAGTAAATGAGATTAATTATGGATACAACGTATTGATAATTTATAGGGTAGCATGCAGTATGCTAAGAACTTAAATTATCTCATTTTAATCTCATTAAGCACTAGGAGGCAAGTACTATTATTCTTATTTTAAATTGAATAAACTGAGGAAGTACACAATTTTCTAAAGGCTACAGAGAACAAGAGCCAGGGCACCATAAAATGTCTACCCACTGCTATAAAGACCGTATAATTAAGCCTTATATGACATTCCCACTGCAGTCTACTTCTTTAAGTAAATAACACTTTCTATTTACTCTGTTTCCAATTTGTATCCTTTCTTTGCTTTATTTCTTTAGTTATGAACATGTGTACTCGGGTCCCTTTTTATTAATTAACTAACATATAGTAAGCTGGGCGCAATGTTGCACAGCTGTAGTCCCAGCTACATTTGATGCTGAGGTGGGAGGATCTCTTGAGCCCAGGAATTGCAGTCCTGCCTGGGCAACATAGCAAGACCCTGTCTCTAAATAGCTAGACAGCTATATAGGTAATAGATAGATAGATAGATAGATAGATAGATAGATAGATAGATAAATAGATGATAGATAGATATCATTTAGTGTCGTGATGACACTAACATGAACCATAGTTACTCTCTAGATTGTAGAAGAATGTGTGTTCTAAATTCATATACAAAAATAATTTTGATGCTTATATAGGCCTTTTCAGATATGTAATATGATGACTGTTGTGATAATCGAAAAAATATGGGCTGGGAGACTCCAAAATCATGAGAATGTATATACCTTTATGATAGTAGAACAGATGATCCCCATTGTTTCATTAATCAATGAACAAATATTTCAGGACACATAGTGTTCCATAACTATGCTATATGCTGATTATAAGTTTGTTTTCACACAGAAGATGCACATATCTATACATATGATAGTATTATGATATATGTAGCATATAGAATGTCTGAACCGAGGCCAAACTTAGACGAAAGAATGCTTTGGCAGGCCTAACGTTTGGCACACATTCCAACATGATTGTAAAATATTTACTCGGTATGTAATCTGCATCAAGACTCAGTGCTACACAGGGTTAGTTTGGAAAGGGCTGCTTAGGGGAGCATTGTTTTGCACTGTTTTGCAATTGTTGAGCAATTCAGTTAGGCCCCAAATCTGCATTTCCCAACAAAACAGGAAAATTCGATTAATCAGACTGTTCTTACAGCACTTTAAAAACCTTTACTACTTGTGCACAATGTCTGTAGTCTCCCTTTGCCCCAACACAAAGCAGCTCTTAAGAAGAATTCCTTCCACTTACATATAGTACTCCCCCGAGAGGAAATTTCCTTCCAATTGATATTATTCTAGTTATGCACAATTGCACAATGTCCTTCTAGATTAACACTTTGGTCAGGAGTTTGTTTGTTTCACGTACTTAAATCTCCTTTGATATGAGGGACTTAGAAGATGTTCCTAAGATAGGATGTGTATCCGTTAAGGTAACACTAGCTTCTGTAATGACAACAGCAAAATACATAATGACTTTACACAATAAACATTTATCGTTTGAACACATAAAATAGAATTAGAATTTTCTGACTGGTGGATCATACTCAGATGAAATCCAAGCTCCTTCTGTCTTATGGCCAGGCTATGTCCTAAAAGCTCAACTCCTCTGAATCCAGCCTCTGGATTTCCTCTGAGAAATGACATACCTATTTATGCTATCAACATGCTTACTTCTAACTCAGACCATCTATTAATCTATTAGAAATTATCCTCAACTCATAAAACTTCTAGAAGTATCTAAGCTCCATGAAAGTTGGGCTACTATCTGTCCGAACAAACCACAGTGCCTCACAGATGCAAGTGGGGCTAGAAAATATAGAAGCTAGATGGGCATCTTCTTCCTCGCAAGTCTACGCTGTAAAAATAGAGAATGGCATTTAAAGATGCTCTCTCCCAAAGGATGCAGTGTTAATGTGGCTTGATTAGGCATTAACCAAGTGAAGAACAGTTGGGCAGGTATTCCAGGGAGAAGGGACAGCATGTTCAAAGATTGTGAATGTGTAATCATGGATATTATTATAAAAGTGAGACCCCAGAAGAGGCGGTCACTAATGTCAGATGTGATTCAATCAAGAAATACTGAGCAGTATGCTATGTGCTCAGCAAGTTGTACAAGAAGTGGAAAATATGGAGTTCAACAAAATGTAGCCTCTGCTAGGAAAACGCTTCCAGTTCTTCTGTGGGAGAAAGACACACAGCCAATCAACTATTTTTTAAGGTCCTTTCTACTTCTAAATTCTGAAACATGATGATTTACTAGAGTCAATGTTAATTTTAAAATTTTGAATTCTGGGAACATTCTGAGCTAGATTTTTTGGGAATTTTCTGAAAAAATGCTGAGCAATTTAATTGATTCATTTATCCCACCATACAGAGTGCTTATGGTATGCTGAATTCTCTTATTGGGACAAGATTTAAGGTGGTAAAAAAACAGAAAGTAGCCCAACTTTCATGGAGCTTACATATTTTTAGAAGTTTCATGAGTTAGGGATAATTTCTAAATTGATTGATAGCTGGTTTGAGTTAGAAGTAAGCATGTTGATAGCATAAACATAAATGGCATCTTATTATATAAGGCTCTTCACATGAGTTTTTTTATTATTATTTTACAGGTTTCTAGAAGATTTTACAGTGTTATGAAAAATTACACATGAAATCAAGATTCATACATAAGGTTACTTTAAAAGACACTTTTCTTCATATACTGAAATCTAAAATAAGTGTATAAAATGAGATTAGAATGACTATTTTTAAGCACTGTATTCTTAGGAGTGTGTAAGACTGAATTACTGATGAACTAGAAATTGCATTGAGCAAATTAATATGATATACTTAAGTAGATCTAAATTTTCAGGTATATATGGTTCAATGTAACATTAAGGAGACTTTCAGCCTACACCTGATTCCTTTTTTGTTGATTCCAGTAGCTGAAATCTGATTTAGAATTATTCTTTCCATTTAAATGCAGATTCAGACTTTTCACCTGAGGGCGGGGGAAGTCATTTCTTTTGACTACAATTCTAATATATAGGGAAGTTTGAGTTACATGAATATTCCTTCTCGTGACAGGAGGTCTTTTCTTACAATATCCAGGATATTTATTGCAATAATTTTATAGCCTCCTTATACTTACGTCATTGTTATAGGCTACAATTTTATGTGCTAAAAAATGGGGATAAATACAAATTAAACTTTCACTGGGCAATGGAAAAGCAAGAGGGAATTTAAAAATGGAAGTGGTGAATTAAACAGCACTGAGTCACCAAATCAAAATTGAAATGGGGGATGCTGAAAAGCTAGGTATATTAATATACTGACAGATATAATATGTAGAGCTATTTTATGCCTTTTTCTTTCATCTTTTTTTTTAATCCTTTAAAAATTGAATCCTGTAAGTGTTTTAAAATATAGAGCCTTGGGTTATGTATGCCAACTCATCTAACGCATACCTGAAATGCTGCTACACTTATCTCCAATGTAGAGATTTATAACACAGAGGAAATAAAAAAGTGGAGATAAATCATTGTGCAAGTGTAGTATTAGCATCTTATTAAATAATTTCTTATTGTATTGAATAAAATCTAAATAGTCCCATTTTAGTGAGAACATACGACAATTTTAGCCAGTCCAAATGCTATCAGAATCTAAGTCTAAATATGTATATATAAAATAACAACTTTTTCTTGGATAATACTTATGTGTGAACAAAATGTAAAGTGGAAAATATTTACCTCAGATATTTGATTGAAAGGTTTATAGTTATTTTTAAAATGTATCCTCTTCCTCAAAATAAATTCTAGTTGAAATAATATCATTTATGGCAAATTGCACAGTTTGCAATTATCATGGATTAAACATTTACATTTATTCATTAAACCAAAAATTGAGGAATACATCTTATGTGTTAGGTACTGGAGATATAGGGCTTAAACAATCAGTCGCTGAATCATATAGTCTACAACATCGTAAAGACACAAACATGTAAATCTGAAACCCTATAACCTTAGTTTCCCTGATACCATCCTTATCTGTTTGTTTGTTTGTTTGTTTTTTGGGGGGTGGGATTTCATTGGTAGCTTCTTCTAAGTTTCCCTGGGGACTCAATGTCTTTTGGTAGTACTCCACATCATCTGAACTCTGTATGTTTGTCACACTATACTGTCCCTGCTATCCAGGTACAACCCTTCATCTATCGTCTCTATCAGGAATAATCAAACTTCAGTATGTGCAAGAACCATCTGGGTGTTTGTGATAAAGTTAAATGTAGTGATTTTAGTTGGGGTCCAGGAATTTTAACAGGAACCCACGGTCATTTTGATGCATGTCTTCAGTCTTCAGGAATAACACTTTGAGAAACATTTATCTATGAACAACCAATACTCCCAATCTATTGCTAAAGCCTAGCTCTTTCTTCTGGGCTTCACTGACGTGTAACTAACTCCCTGCTAAAAATTTGCTCTTGGATGTTGCTTATGTTCCTCATACTCTATAAACCTCTCCTCATCACACTTCCACTGCTTCCAGCATATTTTTCACACTATAGTTGATCCTAAACAACATGAATTTCAACTGCACAGGTCCACTTACATGTGGCTTTTTTTCAATAAAAGCTTTACTAAGTACGTCTCCCTCTTCTCCCTCCCCTTCTGCTTCCATCACTTCTTCTGCCTCTGCCACCCTTGAGATGGCAAGACCAACACCTCCTCTTCTTTCTCCTCCTCATCCTACTCAACATGAAGACAAGGATGAAGACCTTTCTGAAGATCTACTTCCGCTTAATGAAGAGTAAATAGATTTTATCTTCCTTATGATTTTCTTCACAATATTTTCTTTTTCTTACTTTAAGAATATGGTATAAAACACATATAACATATACAAAATGTGTTCATTACTGTTCATGTTTACTGTAAGGCTTTTGATTAACAGTAGGTTAAATTTTGGGGGAGTCAAAAGTTATGCATGAATTTTCAACTGTAAGGGGAGGTTTGCACCCCTAACCTTTGTATTGTTTAAGAATCAACTGCATATTGCCTGGCTAAGAAAATTTCAAACTTGCCTATCCTATATAAATTCAGGTGTTATCCTTGAATCTTCCCTCTCCTTTATTACGTCCATCTGAATTTCATTCATAAGGGTGGAGCCCTCATGACCTAACCACTTCCTATTACAAAATTCTATTGATATTAAGCCTTAACTAGATCCTGAATTTGCA
Source organism: Homo sapiens (assembly GCF_000001405.40). Taxonomy (NCBI): domain Eukaryota; kingdom Metazoa; phylum Chordata; class Mammalia; order Primates; family Hominidae; genus Homo; species Homo sapiens. The sequence continues at coordinate 72,502,745 of NC_000001.11, forward strand.
CTATTCTGTCCCTGCTGCCACCTCTCCTGTTTACACAATCACTATTTCTCAGGTATATTTTTTATATTGTCTCCAAAACTTTTTCAAGTTTTGACCCTCTCAAATTAAACCTACACTCTGAACTGTAACCCAAGTAATAACACAAGCAACAAATCAGAAAAAAAATAACATTTGGATAAATTAAAATGTCCTCACCATAGTTATGACTCCACACATGGCTGAGCCTCAGGATAACTCCAATATCCTGTTTTGCCCCTCTCCTGATATACCTACTGCACATATTGTCGTCCTCCAAATGCATTCTACCTTTTTTTTTTTACCTTCTGGTCTGCCTTAGTTCATTTCGACTGCTTTAATAACATACTAAGAAGTTATAAATTTCAAAAATCTATTTCTCATAGTTCTAGAAGTTATAAAGTTCAAGATCAGGGCACTGGCAGATATGGTGTCTGGTGAGGGCCCACTTTCTGCATCAGAAATTGCACCTTCTTGTATGTTCACATGGTGGAAGTGGTGAGGGGTCTCTTTGGGGATTCTTTTATAAGGGCACTAATTTCATTCATAAGGGTGGAGCCCTCATGACCTAACCACTTCCTAAAGGCCCCATCTCCTTGAGGTTAGGATTTCAGTATATGAATTTGGGGTTTGGAGGGACAAACATGCAGATCACAGCATGATATTATATTTTAATGTACTGTTCCCTTTACCTACATTCCTCAATTATCACTTGGCTAACCTCCTGTTCAACTAGATATTATGTCCTTAGTGAAGGCTCCCTTATGTAAGAAGTTTAGCTTGGATCCCTTTCCTACATGTGCTAGGATTGCCTGATTTGGCATATTTATATATTTCTCATACAATATTTGAGACACACTTACAGTAAAATAACTGCTTGTTTATGTGCAATTAAAATTTAACTGAGCAACTTGTGTTGTGTCTGTAACCCAAACAAGCAACAACCCTATGATTTATCACACCAAAATCTTCTATCCTTCCTTCCTTCCTTCCTTCCTTACTTCCTTCCTTCCTTCCTTCCTCCCTTCCTCCCTCCCTCCCTCCCTCTCTCTCCCTCTCTCTTTCTTTCTTTCTTTCTTGCTTGCTTGCTTGCTTGCTTGTATCCCTTAATAAACTGTAAATTCCTCAAAGACGGAAACTATTTCTCCATTTTCCTGCACTGTGTTACTGTACTCTTTGGGTAGTGCCTGGCAATGAAAACTCATTTAAAAAAAAGAGTGGAGTGATGTACTCAACATTAAAACCTCACAACTTCTGTTTGTTCCACTGTACTTATTGCTTCTAAATCATAGCAACAGAAAGTTTGCATACGGTAAGTGTGCATACTCTTTAAATATATTTTTTAAAGTTTGATTTTTAACAGAAACAAGGATATCATATCACAAAAAAGTCTATAAACAATTATACTTTGAATGTAATCTACCCTTCTACAACAAATGTAATTTAAAGAATCTGTGAACCCAAAGCTCTACTAGGCTAGTTTTCTCAGCTACACAAGAAAAGTGTCTAATAATGTGGAGTATCATTTTTTAAAGCTTGTTTTTATAATACAGAAGACTTTTAATATTAGAGAAAGCATTAGAAAGAAGCTCAGTAGACTTTTTCCCATTGGTACTCAGAAAAGTAAATAGTTCTCAAATTTCAAATTTTCAAAACCTTAAAAACTATTCTTTACAGAGAAATATTTAAACAATTTTCTGAAAACAGGTATACATGTTTCTATGTATTGTGACTGAAAACAATTATTTGATTATTCTGGGCAAATTATAAAAGTAGAAAATACCAATACCAATTACAGGTCCATTAAAGCAAAGCTTTTCATAATTGTCTCTACTAGCAATTGATCTCCAAATGTCACAAGATGCCATGGGCTTCTAGAATTGATGATGGATAGCAATTTTAGTAAAATTAGGCACAGATATGCAACAGCAAAAAACACATCTGTTATATAAAAAGGAGTTATTGGCATGTGAAAATTGCTGAAGAAATATATTTTGAGACTAGTTGTGGTGATTTCTGACCCCAACCAGTGGAATTAACAAGTAAAGGAATAAGTAATCAAGAAATAGGCAATAGTAAATCATATTTGTTTATTGAACAAATGTTTATTGAGGCCTGGCTTTGTACCTAATATTAATATTCTCCCTGTTGAGTGGGATATAGATAGGTAGCAAACAAGAACAAAGTAACCAGCGTTTGACTCAGCAATGCCAATTATTCACCTTTGATGACTTGTAATGCTAGATTTGAGGCCACTATGAACACTGATAGGAATTGAGTTTCTGTGTCATTTTCAATGCTTTCGTCAGTAAAACAAATTAGTTTACCTCCACCAAAGGATGTGTGGAGATAGTCCTCAAACCACAATTCTCACGCTATGCTGTACCACAGCAACCTTACCTCCAGCACCTCTCCTTGAGTATTCTCTTCAATGGACTCCTTCTTGCCATTTCTACTGATGTCCTGTCTGTGGAGGTCTCTTTGTTTTGTTTTTGTTCTAATTTTCTAACTCCTGTACATCAAGTCAAAGAGACAAGCAATTTGTCCTCCTTGCTCGAAGTTGCAACTTCCGAATTATTCTCTCCTCCTTTAAAGTTTGCAAACATAAAAATCAAAATAAACACAGAAAATCCTATTCTTTTTAAGCTGATGTCATTCAATTCTGTCACCCACTACAACTTCCTCCTTGTTCTTACCTCCTGATCTCTTATTCTTCTTATTAACTGAAAAATTCAATGTAGAAATCAGTCTTTGCATCATTACTCCTGACTTCATTTTCATGAGTTCAATATTCATGGAAGTGAAACATGTAACTTCCTGTACTCTTGGCTCCTTTACTTCTTTACCTCCAGTAAACATTTCTGTCACTCGTTTTCAGCCATTCACTTCCTATGATACAAGCTATAATCAGACCTGTCGTTACCAGAAACTGTGCCACTTCTGGGTTTTTTATTTCAAATATTTTCCTCTCCAACCATGCTTTTCTGTTCTTTTAGCTCATATGTTTAATTACCTTTAACAACAAAATGATATGATTATATTGACCTTACCTATTCATTAGCCATACTTGAATTTCACCTTCTACTAGCCCCTTCTGTCTTGAACTTCTATATCCCAGTCATTATAATTGGTCCATCACAAACACCATGAACTTACTTGACTCCCTACCTCTGTCTCACTTATCAGTTTTCTAACCCTGAATAATCAACACACCTGAGCTACATCTTCTTGGAGAAAATCACATGATCACTTTAAGATGACTGTTATTCCTTTAAATTTAACAAAATTATTGTAAAATGAACTTGCATTCTTTTATGTTTTAATATTTCATCCAACAGATGTGTGTTGGTAATGTTCTATGTACAAGAGCTGTTCTAGGTGCTAGATTTATGAGTGAAAAATCTAAAACAGACCTTGCTTTTATGTGGCTTATAATTTCAGGGGGTTGAAGAGAAGGACAGACAAAAACTGAGTAAAGAAATAAGCATTAGGAAAATATCAGATAGCTCTAAGTGCTGTTTCTTGACTGAACAAATGTATATTGAGCACTACTGTCAGGCATATTATTAGAAAAATAATAAAATAGACTAATGATATATAGAAAATCCTGAGAGGGGACTTTATACACACCCTGTGATGCTTCCCTCATGAGGAAACATTTTTGCTGAGATCTAAATTGTGGTGGTTGGATAGAAAAATATTTTATGGAAAAGATTTGTCTTCTAAAACCCCAAATTGGGTAAAAATATGTCCTGTACATAGATGGAAAGAATGTACTGAAATAAAATGAGCATGGCTGAAGCTTTGTGGCCCGGAGAGAGATTGATGTTAAGTTGAGATTGGAGAGGTAGGAAGGGACCCAGGCTGTAATTATGTCAACTGTGATACTTTTTCCCCTTTTGTAGGCAGCTATGAAGGCAGCAATTATCCACCTTCCTTCCTCAGACACTTATAATCTTTTCCTATCATTTGTAAGCTAATGCCTCCATATGATATTTAGAAAATACAAATCATCAAATACAAAATAGCTTTCTTGACTCTCCACCTATAAGCTTACCATATTTTTCATCTCATATTTTCATCCTCTCCTGGTTGTTGTATCCCATTTTCTTCACCTGTGGTCTAGATTTGCCCCTCCCACACTTTCTTCAAAGAGGCTTCCATTCTGCAAGTATAATATCAATATCTAATGTCATTAATATCTTCATCTCCATTATATCATTTCATGATTAAAACACAGTAATAGCTCCCCAATTCAAAATAAAAATTATCATTTATCCCTCTCCACCATCACCCTCTAAATCTCTCTACTTGAGCTGCCACCACACCATACCACCTAATATATTAATATTTGCCTCAAAATTATCAACGGTCTCCATGGTTGCATTTTGAAGGATTTTTGTCATCTCCATCTTAACCTCTCAGCAGCATTCTACAGAAGTGAACACTACATAGCAAAATAACCAAAAGAAAATTTCTCTCCTCCAATGCTCTCAAATACACCCCTTCAATATATCTGTATCAATCTTTATAATAACCAAGAGCTCTATGAGTCTTGTTTTTGGTTTTTAGTTCTCTGATTGGTCAAGTAAGGCCTCATGTTGAAAAGTACAAAATCCTAATCATGGCACAGAATAAATGTATATTTTGAAATACCACGCCATATAATATAATAAATGTCTATACGTATATCTTTCTTCTAAGATGTATTAAGAATATATACATATATAACATAAAGCTTGTGTTATGCATGTGATGAATATTTATATGTGTGTGTACTTATGATGTTAACCTCTCAGTATTATATACAGAAATGTTTCTTCCATAATTTTTATTCTTTTCCTGTTTTTTTTTTTTCTTTTGATATGGGGTCTCATTCTCTCACCCAGGCTGAAGTGAAACGGCATGATCATAGCTCACTGCAATCTCAAACTCCTGGGCTCAAGCAATCTTCCTGCCTCAGCCTCCCAAGCAGCTAGGATATAGGCATGTGTCACCATGCCTAACTAATATTTAAATATTTTTTAAAATTTTTGTAGAGATGGGGGGGTCTCGTTAGGTTGACCAGGTTAGTCTTGAACTCCTGGCTTCAAACAATTCTCCAGTCTTGGCCTCCCAAATTGCTGGGAATACAGGCATGAGCCATCATACCCGGCCCTTCCATAATTTTCTGAAGCAAGTCTTTTCCCTACTTCAGCTTCCTTTTGCTAATCAGAAAAGATTTTCTGTGGTATTCAAATCAGTACTGGGTTTTACCAAGCAATTCATCTCATAGAAGCCAAGAAAAGAAATAAAAGGTGGAAAATAATTGATAAATATTTTAAAGAACTTATGTTTATGACATTTTAAGTGACTGATTTTTTAGAATATATAAAATGCAAAGTAGATAATTTCTTCCTACATTTTGTTTTAAATTAAATAAATTTTCAAGGAAATCTCAGTATGTTTGTTTTTAATGCCTCTTTCTCTATCAACTAATGCTATCTTTGTTGCCCAAAGCAGGCTTTTGAGAAGTGTAGTGCAGTAATTGCTCTATTCTGAAAGGAACTTCCATATGTTGAAGATGTGAACATAATTCTTTGGCCTACTCAAACATACACATGCCCAGTGGGTAAACAAGTTGAGATTGTTAATCATTTTCTGAATACTTATATATTTGTAAAATTGTTAATGAGATTTTACAGTTTTTCTTCTCAAAGTTGTCAGAAATAACTGGTCATCATGAGGACACATTCAGAAGTTTGATAGTGCTGTAAAATAAAATGACTTTGCATGTTTTCTGCTGGCAACTCAGGGCAGCAGGTTGCCTGTCAAGTTTCTATACTTTTCCTGTTACTTGAGGCCACTGTCAGCCATGTGGGTTTTCAGAGGTTCCTTGACTTTGTATGATGGACTGACTGCTCAGACCTGGAGGCATCAGAATTAAGCTAGTGTTGACATCTAAATGGCTTCCTTTATTAAACTATAACTTTGATTTTCAATCTATTAAATTTGTGTGTTGTTCAAAGCAATAAAATAATTTCAAGCATTTTGTTAATTGGCTTTGTTTGTATAATTATGAAGTTAATATTGTCCCTGTTACTTTATGTGAAATGATCATTTCAATGCTGTCATTTTATATGCAATTTCAAAAGAATAGCAGAAAATTAAAGCAATTTTAGTGCATAAACATTTTTTCTTACATAGGATATAGCAAAACTGAATCAAATCATTTAATTTGAAAGTACAGCAAAAATGAATTCATGAAGTTTGTAAACTCTAGAACATTTTAAAGAGATTTAAATTTCAAAAATACATTCGACAGAGTGGATATCTTCTTAAGGATCTATTGTAATATAAGCCAATGGTTAATAAAGATTCACTAATTTAAAATACTTCAAACTACTTCAGTGCAGGCAGAAGAATCATTTGAACTGAGCACTTTTTCTGTTTATAAGTAAACGATTATTCTAAATGGCAAGCAAGAAGATACTTCTCTTAAATAAGTTTGGCAATCCAAATAATCTCATGTATTTGAATTTATTAAGTAGATATTTTATTCAAAGACTATTCAAAGATAAATTTTATCATGTATTCTAAAAATTTTACAAAAGTTACATTTCTTTTTTTGTGTATATTGTAAATCTACATAAATAACACATTGATCATAAAAAGAAAATGAATCCCATTGTGAAGATATTATAGCATGGTCATGTTTAAATGCCTATTTAAAGGGAAACTATTTCAAATGAAAGAGAATGGAATGTAGATCAATTCACTTTTCATTATCACATGATATGAGCAGAGGAATGACTTTCAAAGTCTTCCCAAACCTGCCTGAAATAAAGGCAGGTCTATTCTTTCTTGGTAGATAGGAACAAAAACATGGCTTGCATTTATTCTGCCAATTCATTTTCTCTAACCTGCAACAAATGGTCAATTCAAGATTATCAAGGACTCATTTTAGTTTCAATTTCTTTCCCCAGAAGCAGTTTTGCGTGGAAAACAGAAATACTAAAGTCCTGATTTGACTTCCAACTTGAATCTCTTTCTCTTTCTTTACATCCAGATTAAGGACAAAATCTGGAAGACCTTTAATTACTGTCAGCCTCTTCTCAATTTCCTTATTTACAGCATCCTCTGAACGTGAAAAAGAGAAATAGAATCACTGGTTCCATCAAGGGCTTTGATAGTATCCATGGTAAATTTACTATGAAAACCTCAGTTTTCTATTTCAAAACCTGCCCCTTATTTGAAGCCTTGTGCCAGAACTTATTAAAATTAGCAGATGCCTCTTATATATCTGGTTTTGCATTAAAGATCAATTTTCTGATTTTGGCTTCAGAAATGTATACGACATGCCAATTGGAAAAGACCAATATTTTGGTTAACTTGTCAATGATAATCAGTGTTTAATGAAGCAAAGTGTAGCTGTGTTAATATTTTTTCTTGTAGCACTTGATCATTCTTTTGTTGGCAGACCAACATTTGGCCTTTTTTAATCCAGAAAATATCTGGCCAAATACATTCTAGTTTTTAATTTACTTGTTGTTCACATCTTCTTCGGAAATCTCTGCTGACTTTGCTTTTCACTATGGAAACTTTAAAAATGAAATGTATTTACATTTACTCTCTACCTTTCTTGAAAGCCCTACCCAATCTGCATCCCATACTACTTTTCCAAAGGTCATCTTACTTCTCCCTTCATATGCCCTCTGCTTCAGCTAACCTGAGCTGATTATCATACTACAGGGAAGTCTGTCACTGTTTCTTCATTCTTGGGCTTATCTTACCTGGAATTCTCCTCCTGTCCAACAGCACATTCTATCCCCTACTTTAAGCACCCTTGCCACCAATTTAAGTATTATATATCCAGAACTTCAACTCCCTAAGGGCTGCAGTGACATTTTTTGCAAACTTCTTTTTCCCTTCTTTGAACTCTAGAAGTATTGCTTTATGTCCTAGGACAATGTTTTGTTGATAAATATCGGCTATGTACTACATCTCTCCATTCAGAGTACCTAATCAAATACTATCAATACAATTATTCTGCAAGGTAATCATTGCCTTTATTCCTTTTACTGACCATTCTACTTTCTCTCAATATTTTCAGCTATATTATCTCTCCACTAGTTTGGACTTTGTGACACTCTTAACATTGTTTTTGCCTCCTAGAGCTTTGTCTTTATTTCAAACCCAACCTTGGATGAATCAAAAATCCATCTGACCTGTGCCTCATCTTCTACTCTATGAAAATAAAAGTAGAAGCCACCAGATGGAATCTTCCAGATTATTCCTGCATATCCATAAATCCCATTCTACTAGTGCTGTTGCTCTCCATGCTCCGTCTCAAGAAAATCTCCCAACCTCTCTGTGGATTCCATCTATGCCTGTACTCATAGGCTCTTTATCCTTCTCAGATAAGCTTATGCTTTCTTTCTGTTGTATATTCCACTTCTCTTTCTCATCTTCCCAGAGATCCTAAAAATAGCCAAATTCATATAGTTAAACAAACAAAAAACAAAAACCCAAATGCAAACTTTATTCTCCCTTTCCTTCCTCTCCAGTTAGTCTCATCTCTCTTCTTCCTTTTACAGCCAGACAATTAGGTAGTGGCCTATTCCGCAGTCTCGATTTCCTTTGCTCCTACTTACTGTTTGACCCATGCTAACATGGATTTCATCATCATAATCCCATGAAATAATTTCACCAATGTTACCAACGACTTCATGTTAATAAGCCTTACATGTATTTTAAAAAGTACTTATTTTGTTTCAAATCTCTGTAGCATTTAATATAGTTAACCACTGTCTTCCTAAACACTTTTCCTCCTCCGTTTTCTTGACATGACTTACTGTTAGTTTTCTCCTTACCCTCTGGCTACGCCTTCCTTGTGTTTGGTAAGCTCACCTTCCTTAATGTAGCCAATAAATTTGGAGTTCCTTAAGACTCAATCCAAAGTCTTCTCCCCTCTGACTTCATTTCCTTTTCCTAGGTAATCTCAACCATACCCAGGGACTAATCAACACCTATGCTCATCTCTACCTCACACTTTTCCTCATAACTGGACATACTGCTCTGAGTTTTACCCATCTATTTTTTGCACAGTAACTAGGAGACATTTTCAAAAGAAATTCTAGATTGTCTTTTGAAGCTCTCTCCTCAAATTCTCTCACTCCTGCTAAAAATTCTTCAACAGGTTCCCATTGGAATCTTCCTACCCTAAGCACCTTCCATCCCAATCACCCAGATCTTTTTAATTCATAGTAGTCACTAGGATTCCTCCTATTTATCCTAAACAATGAATTTACATATGCTATTTCCTTTCTCAGCTGCTCTCCCTTTCCCCAGTAACTTGTTAAGTGCAACTCATCCTTCAGATGTCAATTCAAGTATAGCTTCCCCAAGGAAGATTGCCCTAATCTTTTTGACTAGACAATCCCTTCACATATGTATGGTATATCTCTCCTTCATACTACGGAGTACAGTTGTCAATTTGTCTTTGTTAGTGAGATTATTTGATTAATATCTCTGTTCCTTCCTAAGGTCAGATACAAGGTCTTTCTTTTCTTGGAAATACATCCCCAATCTCTACTACAGAGTCTAATGCAGAACAGTAGCTCAATAAGTTTGGTGAATGAATGACTTTATGCATGATGAATTCCTCTTTCAGTCTATGCCACTTATCAAAATATAACATTTTAACTATAGTAAGAGTTCTGTGAATGGTTGTTGAATTTTATTAAGTAATGTACATTTTTGAATGATTGAATAATGTTTGAAAGAAAACAAAAATAGTGTAGAATCTGCAATTTAGAATAACACATTTATATTCAATTCAGTTCATGATTATTTTCATATTGTGTCATGTGGCATTTGAACAGAGTCATGACAATTGGTATTTTTGGATTAAGAAATATGAAATATTCTTCCTCAACTCATTTATTAGAAAACCTGATTAAGGTTGGCTATAGTAGTTTCTGTTTAAATTGAAATGTCACTTTGTTGTCCCTTTTAGACTGACCTGAATTGACTAATCACTTACATTTACATTATATTAAACTCTAAGTTTTTGGGATGGAAAAGCTAATGCTGTCACCCTTTTGGAGTGCAGTTTTGATGAATATATTTTTTTCACTTCCCAGAAAGAAAAATGGTCATAAAAACTCAATATAGCATTATTTATTTTTCCCAGCTTACCCCACATCTTGTTTTTGAGAGCAGCATGCATAGAGTAGTAACAAGAAAAGTTATTTTTTAAGGATGATTCATTTTAGCACATTTTAAGGCAATCATTAGTTTGTGACTTTTCATTAATAGAGGGGATACAGAAACCACAAGCAATAACCACTAATCACTAATTAAAGTCATTGATGGGAGAAATTTGAGAGAAGCACTGTTTACATTTGCTTTGGAAGAAAATTCAAAAGTATGGCAGTGCTCAGGTTAAGGTAATAAATTTTATCTGGTCCAGGCTAGCTAATACCCAAATTGTACTGTATATAAATCACTATTTCTAATTAAAATTTTAAAACTTAAAATTGTCTTATTAAACAAAAATGAGTGTCAATTCCCATTAATTGAAAAGAAAATTATTATCACAGGATGGAGTTATGGAAAATTCTTTTTAAAAATTGTAGGTTGATTTTGAAATAAATATTTTAATGCAAACATCAATGAAATTATGTTAAACAATTAAAAATGGATAATGAGAGAAAGCACATTACTCTTTGTGTAATTATAAAGTAACATTTAGTCTCCTGACTGTTCTTGCTGTCTCCTGCCTGGCCATTATCAAAGCTCCATGCCTCCCTGAAGCCAGAGTAGTCTTCCTAAGTGCAAAAAAAATTGTGTCTTTTTCTTTGTTAAAGTTCTTTGATTTTTCCCTGGCATTCAGGAAGAAGTCAATTCCCTTCAATTAAAAATGACAGCACTTCAAGATCTAGATAGATCTTGCCTATCACTCTAGCATTAGTTAAAATCATTTACATAAATACATACAGCCTCTTTCTCTAGCCACATACAACCGCATACCATTTCCAAATGCTCTATGTTGTTTTCTTTTCCTGGTTGTTCATACATCTGTTTTCACTCCATGGTTAAGCCTCTCTTTTTCTTGATCTGATTTCTGCTTATTTTCAAAACATTTTCTAAACTCAAATGAATGTTATTTAGTTCAAATATCACCTACTCCAGGATGCTGGTTTCTGAGTTCCAGATTTTTATTTGTTTGTTTGGATTTTTGTTTGTTTTTTGAGACAGAGTCCCACTCTATCACCCAGGCTGAGTGCAATGGCACGATCTCAGTTCACTGCAACCTCTGCCTCCCGGGCTCAAACCATTCTCTGCCTCAGCCTCCTGAGTAGCTGGAACTACAGGTGTGTGCCATCACACCCGGCTAATTTTTGTATTTTTAGTAGACACGGGGTTTCACCATGTTGGCCAGGCTTGCCTCGAACTCCTGACCTCAAGTGATCTGCCCACCTGGGCCTCCCAAAGTGCTGGGATTATAGGCGTGAGCCACCGCACCCAGAATAAGTTCCAGTTTTTTTTAGGACCGTAGAGCACTTGGCAGTAGACCTCAGTCATAGAATATAACTGTAAGTATCTATTTATGTGTCTGTCTCAGGGCAAAAGTGTATATATTCTTTGAGGACTACATCTTCTTTAGTATCTTTTCTCCTCTAGCATACTGCATTCATTTGTCAAATAATTACCTGTTCAGTTTTATGTGCCAGTCCTTTAGCTCGCATCTGTGAACACAAATGCTAAAGACACATAGCCCCCATATTTGAGGAGTGGATCATCCATAAACAAACAAATAGTAGATGCTTAACACTTAGTTGCTAATTGAAATAATAAAGAAATCTCAATTTTGAAAACTGCCTAAAAAGAAAGCGAAGCACCATAATCACAAAATGGTGGGCAGAATGAAAAACTATTACAATTTATTACCACATGTGATTAAATGCATGCAATCTAAATTTGTGACTGTTTTATAGCTTCACTTTAACTTCATGGACAAAAATTGAAATTCAGCTCCTCCCTTTCTTTATCTAACATTAATTCCTATGAAATATCGCATTTTAAGTGTTTTGTTTATTGGCAGCTTTGGTTTCAAAGATAAGGCCCTACCCAGCCACGTTGTTGATCTCTTCTTCCTAACCTGACAGTTTAAATGTTAAAGACTGACACAAAAGCATTTCTGATTTTTAACTTGGAAACTTGATAAAGAATTTTAAGATTAGGGATGGAGACTCAGGTTGGTGTTGGGTAAGGAGAAACATAACTTTATGCTGCCCAGGCTAATGACTGGCTCCAAAAGAAAATGAAACACTTGCTCTTGGCAAACTTCCAAGCCTAGAACATTCAAACTTTCAAACAACAAGTCATAGATACTTGCTACATCTCTTAATAATTTCGAAGACAAACCTTTTGTCCCAGAGTATGATGGCAACTGCTCTTTCAATGGAAGGATTACCACTTAGACACCAGCTTTCTATCAGGATAACCCTAGGTTGAATATTTGTCTCTAGGACCATAGGGTGCTATCCGAAACAGTGTGCAATGTATGGTTGTCAAGAAGCAGCGATCTTGCTATTCCATCTAAACCTAATGGGGAAAGCACTGAGGACATTACCTAGGATTCATTATGGCCAATTTTCTGTCCTAAGGCTGGAGAAGGAAACATTTGATTCACTGCAGCCCAAAAGCATTCTCTCAAAGAATATAGATTTGGCCAGGTGCGGTGGCTCATGCCTGTAATCCCAGCACTTTGGGAGGCTGAGGCAGGCAGATCACAAGGTCAAGAGTTCGAGACCAGCCTGACCCACATGGTGAAACCCTGTCTGTAGTAAAAATGCAAAAAGCAGCTGGGCATGGTGGCATGCGCCTGTAATCCCAGCTACTCAGGAGGCTGAGGCAGGAGAATCGCTTAAACCCGGGAGGCGGAGCTTGCAGTGAGCCAAGATCGTGCCACTGCATTCCAGCCTGGGTGACAGAGCTAGACTCCGTCTCAAATATATACATATATATATATATATGTGTGTGTGTGTGTGTGTGTGTGTGTGTATATATGTATACATATATATGTATATATGTGTGTGTATATATATATATATTTGATCGCATTGATTTCTAAATAACAGATATGTGCAGTTTTCTGTATCTGTTTCAAAACAGTATTTTTATACCACAATTAGACTGAGGTAACTCTACCATTAGATTGTTCATCTAAGTGTGCATATAGATGTTTGAATGGGTTTCCTGATATTACTTAAGAAATGGATTTTCATGAAACTGGTCAACACTAACCTTCTTTTGTTGATATGTTTTACAAAAATACATGTGATGACTTGCCAAAAAATAAAATTGTAATAGAAAGATGAACTCTTTTGTGAAGTCCTTTGCAGAGCGAGTTTTAATTGGAACTTTGAAGATTTTTTTTCTCTTTGTCCATTTTTGGGTGACAAGGACAGGTTATTGAGAACATTTTTCTGAGTTATTCATTCAAAGCTCAGAAGAACCCTAATCAAGGTGTTTGTATCCTGTGTGTCAGGGGGTACTGTGAGAATACACAGGTGAGTAAGTCTACAAATTGTACAGATCTTAAAATGAGAGAAACTCCAACATACTGAAATTCTATTTTAAAAAAAAATCTGGCATTATTCCTGGAGCTCTTGGCTCTGTAGCACTTAATGAAATACTCATGATAGATGAGCAGTCTCCCTGTCATGCCTATAAAGGAATGCTTGATGATTTTATTAACACAGGCAGTGCTGAAACCTCTGTTTAATGAACATTCTAATAAGGATGCCCTCTATGCTAGCAAAGTTAAGGAAAATAACAAGGAAGAACGAACAGATGACAGAAGTCATACTTCTGATCGTAACATTCGAACACGTTGTGGATGTCTAACAGATAATCATGTGCTCCACAATAGTACGCAATACATAGACTTAGGCCTAGAGAAAGAAAAAGTCTGATGTTTAACTTATAACTAGCAATAGCACCACAATATAATGTGCTTTAAAAAACAAAGTCTTAATTTTGAGGATTTATGTTATTTAAATCATAATCTGAATTATCATAATATTTTTAATACTTGAGAATTCTTTAAATGAAATTAGGAAAACAAACACAAAATGAGCTGCTTAAAGTTTCATTTGCTCATAGAGAAACCAACAAGCCAAGACAGAATCTGCAGAAATCACTGCCAGTCTAAATATGTAAAATATTTTTCTAAAGTCCATAAAACTGTTCAGATAAAACTTTGGTAATAATGAAATAAGGGAATTGTGAAACCACAAATGACGTACTTCTTTGTATTTAAACTTCGTTCTCATTGCAAAAGTATTAATGTCACTTGTAGATACCATTTTATTATCCAATTCCTGCTAATCCCTTACAATCTAGTTTAGAATTTGGATACTCTAGGAAGCATCTCTTAAACCCCTCCACTGCCTCTCTGATGTGCCCCCATTACTTTGCCTTCATTATGTCATTTCTTACATTGTATTTAAATTTCTTATTTACTTGTTTGCCTTAATGAGATTATGATGTCCTGGAAGAGAGAACTGCTGGCTTATTTGGAATTGTAACTCTGTTTAGCAATTGACCTAGTATTTTTGAATGAGTGCACTAATGAAGGTATAAATGAATGTCTGCATTCATTATGCAAACCAATCCTGATTTGTAAAATTATTATAATTTTTTTTTTTTTTGAGACTGAGTCTCACTCTGGTGCCTAGGCTGGAATGCAATGGTTGGATCTCAGCTCACTGCAGCCTCCGCCTCCTGGGTTCAAAGGATTCTCCTGCCTCAGGCTCCCCAGTAGCTAGGATTACAAGTGCGCACCATCATACCCGGCTAATTTTTGTATTGTTAGTAGAGACGCAGTTTCACCATGCTGGCCGGACTGGTCTCAAACTCCTGACCTCAGGTGATCCGCCCACCTCGGCCTTCCAAAGTTCTGGGATTACAGGCGTGAGCCACCATGCCCGGCATGTAAAATCATTTTTGAAGTATGACCCAAAATAACACATGTGTGTTTGCAGATTATCATAAAGTTGAGGTGGAACGTCTATTAGATCTATTTGACTATTAAAAAAACTGGTCATAGTGCTTTCACTAGATACAGAAAAATGACAAATCAAGAGACAAACATTTGAACGCTCACTGTGAGTGCACAAATACACATATTTTGTATGTGTGTATATATATAAACACACATACATACATGTATATCAGCTCTAATGATATATATGTATATGCTGTGTATACATGTATCTCTCTCTATATGTATCAGCTCTATAAACTGAAAATATAATTCAACAATATTTTCCTTTATCTTAAAACATGGAAATAAGTCTTAAAAAGTACATGTTTAAAATGTAAATTCTTATTTGTTTAAATCCAAGCAAATTTTAAACTAAGCGTTAGCCATAATAAGGAGAATTTCATTTTTGTTTTCCTCTGGAGAGGATTGCTGTCTGAATATAAAGTATTTACATATCATTCATCCCAGAACTGACATTAAATTTTACTGAAAGATGAAATTCTTTTTAGCAAAAGTTATTATTTCAATTATACATTTATAATATTTTTGATAAATATACTGAAGGTACAAGTTTATGCTACAGTAAAATTTAGTAAATGCACATGATACTAAAGACACAAAGTGGATTCACGTGTTTTACCATACATTTGTAAGTATACAATTTATAATGTCAATTACAAGAGAGAAACATTTATCTTTGATAATCAGTTTATGTTGCATTGGCTTCCTTTTTTCTCTTTTAAATCACTATAAATTACTCTTAGAAAATATTTACTTTAATTTTGAAGAATGTATCTTGTTGATGTAGTATAGGTATTAAGATGTGTTCAGAATAAATATAAAATATGGACATTAATAAATTATATATCCATTCACCTTACGTCATTAAACATGTAAATTTTACAATTAATTCAAATTATATATACATATATAAAAGTCAAGATTTCAATTACTTATTTTATGAATAAAATATATTTCCCTCAAGATAACAGGATAAGCCTATAATATTGAGACTTTCACAGTATTTCAAATCTAATTTAACATTTTATGAACTTAGAAATACTCCATTACTAGCTTTATAGCATAATTATTTTCATTGAGGCACTCCTCTTCTTTGATAATCTTTTTTTTTTTAGTCAAATTGCTCTGTATTTACATAAAAACTCTGTTTAAGGTGTAAGTTAGAGGTAGTAGACACAAAAGTATTTAACAAGGTCATTATTTAGATTTGAAGAGTTCCTGCACTTTGCAATGCATCAAACAGTAATTTGTAATTGACAGTTTTCTTACCTAGAGTGCTTCTCAGACAAGAGATTGTTCTCCAAAGACAGTCAGCTGGGTAAATGTCAGAGGCTCAAAAAGTAAATTATAGTGCAAACAGTGTTGATATTTCTATGAAATGGAAGAAAAGCATATTTATTTCTAAAATATAGAATTTTATTTAAAACAAGTGAAAACCTTCTATTGTGACCTTTACAAGTTTCCAAACAGTGACGAATTTGGTCATTACAAATAACCTTTTCCAGAAAGAGCTTTACCATTTGGGACTTTCATTTAGTAATATATGTGAATTAATTTTCTTTCTACAAAATAACTCATGTTATTAAATTTTTTATGAGATATTTTATTCCTGATACTACAGCTTTAAAGACATTTTGGAAGGAAAAACAGTAAGGGAGCAACCACATGGTAGTGTATCATTTGAACTTATTGGGAGGAAATTAGTCATTTTTTGGTTTCTTCATTCTGTACAGAACAGTGTTGTATTTGTGTGAATGTTATGGGTAATTATGTCTACCAATGTTCTTTATATAGAGCTTAGTGTAATTTTATTCGGAAGCTCTACTATAAAGCTGTTTCCAACTAAACAAACAGGTGGATTCTCTGAACGCATTGTTATTATTTGTTTGGAATATGGAACTTTTTTTGCTGTATAAAAAATGTGTGTTGTGGTTTTAGGCTGTTTTCCAAGTTAGCCTCCACTACATTTTTTTTTAATTTTTGGAGACTCAAAGAAAGTATAAATAAAATATATGTGCATGATATATACAATTATGTATGTATATGACCATATAAGATTAAATAGAAGATTATGAAAATAACTAAAATGGTGGATAAATAGTATTACCACAAGCCCTAAGTAGCTTGCATAATAACATCACTATTGGAAAATGGGTTCCAAATACCAACTTGGAACTATAGAATCACATCCTGGCCTGATATACCTAACAAAAATGTTCTTTATCCTCAATCCCACATTTCTAAAACACTGAAAACCTAGAGGACTGCAGGTCTGATTCACTGATTGGGGTTTCTTCTGCCTATGATAGGGTTTCTGAAAGGCCAAGGTAGGGAGTATGCAACAGGACATGAGGGATGAAGATGCTACAAAAGACGAGGTTATTTCCTTGGTTTAAAATCCATCTCAATTTTTCCTGAGGGTTTTAAAAAACAAAAAAAAAACAAAGCAAAACAAAACAAAAATAATTTTTCTACCTCTATCCTCCTAGGAATTGCTGTCTCTTCCAGTCTTCATTGTTAAGCAGATGCTGAAATGCACACTCTACAAACCACTGGGAGCATAGAATACTTTCTACCAGATTATCTACACAACCTAATGAGGAGAGCTGATTGTCTTAAGTAAGCTAATTGAGGGGGTGGCATTATCAAGTTCCCAAATATCCTTAAGATTTCTTGGCCAGGCGCAGTGGCTCACACCTGTAATCGCAGCACTTTGGGAGGCCGAGGCAGGCAGATCACCAGGTCAAGAGATCGAGACCATCCTGGCCAACCTGGTGAAACCCCGTCTCTACTAAAAATACAAAAATTAGCTGGGCGTGGTGGTGGGTGCCTGTAGTCCCAGCTGCTCAGGAGGCTGAGGCAGGAGAATCACTTGAACCCAGGAGGCAGAGAGGAGAATCGCTTGAACTCAGGAGGCGGAGGTTGCAGTGAGCCAAGGTCGTGCCACTGCACTCCAGCCTGGCAAAAGAGTGAGACTCTCTCTCAAAAAAAAAAAAAGAAAGAAAGAAAGAAAAGAAAAAGATTTCTTAAAAATTGTATCAATATTTATTGGAAAGTAAAGAAGACTAGATTTATACCTTTTTTCTCAGTTATGTATGAGAGGTAGTGAACTTCCCTGACTACTCTATTTATAATGGTAGCCACAAATTCTTTCCTCTTATCCTGTTTTATATTTCTTCAGATGTTACTGTTTATTTTCTGCTTCTTTCACTGGAATAAAGGCTTCATTGACGCAGGTGCTTTTGTTTTGCATAACTTCCTGTGATATCCTCAGATATGAGAACAGTGACTGGCATATAGTAGACATTAAATAAACATTTGTGAAATGAATGATTGAATGAATACCAACTCAAAGACTTAGGTGCTTTGAAACATGTTTCACCTTGATGATACTTGTTTATGTTCATTTTATCTTACACACTACTAACCACATAGTTTCTTCATGCAAACAACTTTTTAGATACCTGACCATGACTACTTTACAGATAGATTACTTGCTTGAGCCACTTTCCTCTAATGCAGCTCTCTTTCCATAGAAGTCAGTTGGCCTGTCCCCTTTCTCACTGAACCTGACTTCAAGGCCACAGCTCAAACAGGCCACCTGTTTGTCCTTTTCTACAAATTAGGCACCACATGGTTAGAAGTTGCATAGGAAGATAAATGGAAAAACAACAAAGTGGATGAGAGAGAGAGAAAGTTATTGTGAAGCTCTCTAGTCAGAAGCAACCGAGGAAAAAACATGACTCAAAAAAAAAACGTGATTAGAAAATGTCCATAATTTATAGAAACTACCGTACATTGCATGAAAGGATAATTTGCTCTTGCAGTCTGTTTGGATTCTGAAGAGCTGAGAGAAATCTACATACTTTATGCATGAGTGTGTCAGAAAGAGCAATAGGTGTCATGGAGGTAATAATATAGCCTAATTCAAGGTGCTGGGCATGCCACTAAAACATATTTCCTGCTCCCTTTGTATCCGTGACAAACAAACTACTACTGCCCCTATAAAACTCATCCTTTTATTTGAACACACAAGACACACAAAAGCATAAAATCGTATTACTTTTGCAATGCTCTTATGTAGCACAGATGATGTGGAAGCTAGGCTGGATCTGAATGAATTTTGGCCTGAATGTTTATTTGTTTTGGTGACTAGTCTGATTTCATATTAAGATTTCAGGTATATTAATGAAAGGCATATATTGAAAAACAATGGTTTAAAAAGGTAATAATAAATCAGAAACTGGCAAACTATGAACAGGAGTAAAAAAAAAAAATCAGACTGAAAAAAAAGTTAAAGATAAGTCTCACATTTATCTCAGGTTAGTCACAACTCCCACAACCATTTACTAAGACCAATTAATGCCAATTGCAGTATAAAAAGATACAATGAACATGATGAAAACTCTGACTTCAATTCCAATAACGTATTTTGTTTTAAACATCTAGGATGTCCCAGACACTACAAGAAGCACTAGATTCAAAGACAACTATCCTGCTGAAAAATTGGCATATGTCTGCCTTGCCACTTCTAGTTATGTTACAATTTATTTCCACTCTCTCTTATTTTATTTTATTGACGCAGGGTCTCACTCTGTCACCCAGACTGGAGTACAGTGGTGCAATCTCAGCTCACTGCAGCCTCTGCCTCCTGGGTTTAAGCGATTCTCCCACCTCAGCTTCCCGAGTATCTGGAACTACAGGTGCGCACCACCATGCCTGGCTAATTGTATTTTTTTTGGTAGATGGGGGGTTTCACCGTGTTGGCCAGGCTGGTCTTGAACTCCTGACCTCAAGTGATCTGCCCACCTCGGCCTCCCAAAGTGCTGGGATTAGAGGTGTCAGCCACTGCACCTGGCCTCTCTCCTATTTTAAATAATTTTATTTTTACATGCTATCATAACTTCCTAGACACATAATCATCTAATATATTTAACATTATTGTACTGGTTAAATACTTCAAAGTCACAATACTGTAATAGTTCTACTGTTACTGTAAATACTTGCATCTTGAGAATATAAACACAATATAACCTTCAATCAATATACTTCTCAAAAGAATCAGATATTTTGTGGGAGTTTATGCCTAAATTCATATGCATAAAATCCTATTCTGATTTCAGAATATTCTCAGTGAAAATGACAGGCATATGTAATCTAATGAAACTAGAGCAGAAGATATTAGCGTCTATGGAAGGCCTGATATTTTCAAAGTATATGTCTAATAAATAAAATTTTTATACAATGGGGTTTAGATAGTAGCTTAAAATAATAGTTACTATTCAGTGGGAATTTATTTTATGGTAAGAAGTGTGCTAGATGCTTTAGATACTAATCTGTAATTTAATTTTACAGACATTTCCATGGATTAGATCTATATTCCTTACTTTACAGAAAGTAAATTTAGGCTTGGAGAGATTAAGACTTGTAGAAATAAGAGAAGACTAGAACATCTGGAATTTCAATTCTCGAGGTTCCTCAAAACACTAAATTCTTTGCCCTTTCTACTCAAGTATGCTGACTCTCAATTCTTAATTGAATGAACTAGTCAAAAATGACACTTAAAAACAAATTACTTAGAAGTACCCCTTTACAACCCTTCTTAATAATGCTGATCCCACGAATCAAATAAAATCTTCCCACTTAAATACTCCAGAATTTTTAGCATCTTTGCCTTTTTTAGAAACACTGTACTTTGTTTCTGTAGCATTATTATCTATTTGCCGGTTTTGGCTGTTTTATGAAACTATATTGTGGGATAGTGACACAAAGTTTAAGAGTATATTTTAAACTGGCCAGGTGTGGTGGCTCACCCCTTTAATCCCGGCACTTTGGGAGGCTGAGGTAGGAGGATTGTTTGAGTCTAAGAGTTTGAAACCAGCCTGGGCAACATAACAAGACCCTGTCTCAAAAACAAAAAAACAAAAAACTTAGCCAGGTGTGGTGGCACGTGCCTGAAGTCCCAGCTACTCAGGAGGCTGAGATGGGAGGATTGCTTGAGCCCAGGAGTTTGAGGCTGCAGTGAGCCATAATTGTGCCACTACACTCAGCCTGGGAGACAAGGCGAGATCCTGTCTCACTCTCTTAATGAATCTTTTTGAACAGGAATAAACATTCCTACTTGGTCTTGCCTGTAGGCATACAAATCCACCTAATATGTAGAAGTCCTCTCATGGTAGGCAGAACAATGAAACTTCCCATTACTCAAAGATGTCTATGTCCTAATCCATGGAACCTATGATTATGTTATGTTGCCTGGCAAAATAGAGTTAAGGTTACATATAGAATTAAGGTCACCAGTTAACTGACTTTAGGGAGATAATCTTGTATTATCCAGGAGGGTCTAATTTAATCACAAGAGTGGAAGACAGTCAGAGGGAAATGTGACTATGGAATGTGTCAGAGTGATGTGAGGTGAGCAAGACTGGACAGGCAATTTCAGCTTTGAAGATGGTGGAAGGGAACATGACCCAAAGAATGCAGGTAGCTGCTAGAAGCTGGAAGGGCTGGATAGTATATTTTTTTTCTTTTCTTTTTTTTTTTTTTTGTCTGCAGTATCCAGAAAATAACCTATCCCTTCCAACACCTAGATTTTATTCCAGTGAGATTCATTTTAGACTAAGGAAATACAAAACTGTGAGATAATCAAATTGATTTGTTTTCAGATACTAAGTTTGTGGTAATTGGTTTTAGCAGCTATAGAAAATGTATACATCTCTCTTGGCTGCTGTTTCTTCTACGCTAACAACAATTTTGGTAGATGTCAATCAATGTATATTGATGTGACAAAGTAACACTTTCTCTATTAGATTCTTATGGGGTTCTTGTCCATTGATAATTCCTTTGTTGGAAAATCAGTAAAGAGGTTTTTTACTACAATGAAATGAAAATCTGACCTTGTCCTGGAGCTACAGATTATAGTTACAAATCATGTTATGTGCTTTGAGAACATGTACTATTCTTCCCTGTTAGTCTTGAACATAATTTCTGATAGAATAAATGGCTGAATAAATATGAGTAGCTCCTGTTTATCCTCCTCATAGTTCCTTCCTGCACAAAAGTTCCATCCTCACTTCTTCCAATAAAATAAATGGGGCTTCCTTAGCAATTTGTATATTTGAGTTACTTCAACCATAAAGTGCTAATATTTTCTAATTTTTAGAAAAAGGATACAACGTAAGAACATCATGACAAGTTCTCCATCTAAACATTTAGACGATGTGAGAAAAATTTTAACTTCTGTATCTATTCTCTCAAATCCAATTACATTCCCCAAACAAATTAAAGACCCTAGCTAGATCAATATTGCTGTTATATTCCAGGAGTAGTTAGCTGGAATTATATGGGAAAAGAGAGAAAGAATACATGAAAGGAAATATTTTAGTGCCACCAGGACGCTGTTCAGCTTGTGGAGTGTCTATGGAAAACTTCTTTTAATTTATGCCCATTGGGAAAAATCTATAATCATGATTTTTGGTTTTACAAAATTATTTCATTATTTCTGGTAAGCTTTTTATGTATGCATACAACCTCCTCTTTCAGTGCATGGCATTTAAGATACTCCCAACTTCTTCGAAATTCAGAGATGAGCCTCTCATTTTCAATTGCCATTTCCACTCTTTTCAAGCCAACTCAGCTGTGCTTTCACAATATTTTACTTGTTTTGTAAGTTGGCCTCATTTCTTCTCCACTTAATATAGAGTAAAATTTATTTGCTCAATAAAGGTGTAATTCTTTGTTTTCTTTTCTACTTTGCCTTTTGGAACAGACATATGTGCCTTAGCATCCTCCCTTGAATTATATTTATGGAGGGCTATGTGGAAAAACATATGAAGATTATGACTTCTGAATGCAAATGCACCTATCGTGTATGGGAATTGTCTCAGTCCCATTTTCCTTATGTAGGGTAATACTCTACAGAAGGAATCTCTATTGGGAACGCAGCTCGTAAGTCAAGCCTGCAGTCTGTTTTTTGTTCTTCATGGTGTATGTGTCATTTTCGGTGTATATTCCTTTGAGTCTAGACTTCAAATATTTCCCAACAATGTTACCTCAGGGCATGTGAAATAATGCTTTTTGTTTATAATACATCTGTAGCCTTCAATTCACCTACAAATGATTGAAATATTCCATGCTGAGGACACTTCTCAAATCCAAAAGTTTTTAGTAACTCCCAGGAGCAGTCATTCCAGTCATGAAAACAGGGATTAAAATTACTCTGTTCCTCTGTTGAGGGGCATCTCTCAATATTTTCTTGACATTTGACTGCTTTGTAAGATTTATTCAAGATAACTCTGAGACTGTGCCCATCATCATTTTTTTTCCGTCAATTTGGGATAGTGTCAACTTTCCATTTGTCTAGTTCAAATGATAACATGAGTTACGTGTAGGTATACTTACTTTTCCTTTCATATATTAAAATTTTTTTTATCAAGTGTGGGCTTGTCTTATCCCAGTTCAATGAACATATCTTTCTTCATTTTATTTTACTTTCTAAAAAATCTGTTCTTTGAAGTATTTTTTACTGAATTTTGAGCAAAATTTATTTATTTATTTTTAGATTCAATAATTCCTGGATTATGAATTTAAGTTCTTACTTTTGCACTATTTTTTGCAAAGTTCCATTAAATGTATATTTTTTCTCTCCACCTAATTTCAATAAGATGCTATGTTCCCTTTCTAAGTAAAGAAATTTATCCTCTTTATATTTATTCATAAAATCTATCCTTCCCTTATGACTGTGGTACCTGAAATCCATAACCGTAATAAGCATTTTTATAATGCTGAATCTAGAGCCAATTTCAAATGAGGTAATGCTGGTGGATTATGGTTTCAGGCTTCAGGAACCTATGAATAAAGCACAGAAATAAGCCAGAGAGCAAACATGAACCCATCTGCCTTCTGTATTAATGACTAGTCAATATCCCATTTTTTAAAATTAATCCCATTCATTTTTTTCATTTATCAAACAATTCAATTGTGGTTGACTTAATTATTTTAAAAAGTATGATTGTGGTAAGCTCTATGGAAAATTAATAAATCAGGTTGAGGAGACTAGAGCTTGAGGGGCACGGAGGTAACTCTTCGATAGAGTGGTCAAAAAATATGATTGCATCTTCATTACACCCAGAACAATAGAATCCAGTTAAAATGATTTGTTTGGAGTTTGTGTGTGGAGCAGTGGTTGTGTTACCATGTCACCTATTAACCTTCGATAACTTGATATCGTCAGAACCGAGAAGGGCAGAATATGAATACCTTGGTAAGGAATTTCCAGACAAAGGAAATAGCTTTTGCATGTTTGTGGCACAGCAAGGAATGAGAGAGGTGAAAAGAGTGATAGATAATGACATCACAGAGAAAAGAGGAGGGTGACCTAACCAGCAACATCCAAAAGTAGAGATCGTGGCTAAAAGCAAGACTGGAATCAAGTTTTCTTCTCCTTCCCTAGTCAAAACCTTGAAATCTGTATGCTCATATGTTCTCTTGGGCCCTAAGCAGATTAAGAACAATTATTAAAAGCCCAAGTATTTGGCTTATCTCAATGACTCATGGGCAGACAGTAATACACAAAGTAGCAATGACAACAGGATAATATAGAACCCTAGCTGTGTCCATTAGATACATGACCCAATGGATAGTAAGATCAGATCAGCCATTCTTCTTCTCTTGGGAAGAAGCGGGTAAATGAGTGTAGATGAATGGACCAGATATGTATATTTCAATCCCATTTTGGAGCAAGCTATGTAGAAATCTCTTTTTCAGTGAAAAGTGGGTCTAAGAAGAGAAATATTTACTGCTAACTTCTATTATTAACTATTAACAATGCAACTTATCATTTTGAAAGTCATCTAATGTATAGGAAATGCTCTAGCACAAACCTTGTAAATAACACTGTTTTTAAATGATTTGCCAACAATACTTACATTAACATGACAGCTTAGCTTTAGAGCTGTCCATAATAAGACTGCTAA
The DNA here is from genome assembly GCF_000001405.40 of Homo sapiens. Taxonomy (NCBI): domain Eukaryota; kingdom Metazoa; phylum Chordata; class Mammalia; order Primates; family Hominidae; genus Homo; species Homo sapiens. Next base: position 72,527,792 of record NC_000001.11, read on the forward strand.
AAGGTCATTGTGAAATGTTAATATAAAATAATATTTTATTCTAGACAAAAATGTGATAGTTTATAAGCTGGTACTGTGTTAAGATTTATTTTTCAGTAAATTTTCCACAAACTTGATGAAAATAATCTCAAGCAGATGGAAATATTATAAACCTTAAAGGAAATCAATGCTGGGTCAACCTTTTTCTCACCTATTTTAAAGTCTCTATTAAGAATGATTAATTCCAGTAATATTAACCTGCATATCTCTAACGATAAGAAATCTCAACACCATAGATAAACTCATCTCTTAACAAAGGTAGCAGGTAACATGGTAACACAACCACTGCTGTACACACAAATTCCAAACTAGTTGTTTTAAGTGGATGCTATTGGTCTGGGTGAATTGAAGATGTAATCATAAGTTTTTTGTTTTGATCTTGGGAAAAAAAGATTCCAATGTTATAGAAATGACTGGGAAGATTCTTTCTTTTTAAGTAAAAAAAAGTACTTGTTCTAGTTATTCACAAAACCATTGAAAATTCACACCAAATAGATATAGAAAAACTTACGTGTAATGTCTTCAAATGTATTTTCTAACATAACTTTTTAATAAAATAGGGAACAATGTGTATATTGCTTTGGATATTATTCTCGCAATAGAATATACTGCGCTTCTATTTCCATGTCAATAAATATATATCTATGTTAGCTTTATAAATTACTTTATTCCTTTACTGGACATTTCAAATACAGTAATACATATATCAAGTATAGTGAACATATTTCACAATGTGGACATTCCATATTTTAGTTAATCATATTATTATAAATAAAATTATGGTGAACATCCACGCATAGCAATTTTTACAGGATTTTTTTAGGAGGACAGTGTGGATGGAGGAAAATTATTCCAAAAAGAAGTTTATATTTTATAGTTTGTTGAACAAGTTGTTAAGTTTTCCTACTGAAATTTCATATGAGTTTTTCTTTCTACTTCTAATGTATGAGAGTGCTTATACAAAACTGATTAAGCTGGAAAATATCATTAATTTCCTCATTATACAAGAAGTAAGGGAAGCTATATGTTTTGTACAAAATGACTGGGACTGGAATTAAATCTTTCTTTAAAATTGTCCTATTGACATTTTGATTGTAAAAATAAAATGGTTTCTCATTTCATTTTATATATCTTTAGTTGAAAGTGAGTCTAAATTTCTTTATATTTTTGAGCAATACCTTTTAAAAATTTTCTGCTTGCATTCTTTACTTATTGTTAAAAGAATCATTCTGTGATTTTTAAGTACTCTTTATGTATTAAGAACATTAACTCTATGTTGTGATTTTTTTACATTTTTTCTACTTGACCCTGCCATATTTGGTAAGCCATCATTCTGCATCTGTAATATGCAAATCCAAAGTAATTATATAATAATTCTTATGCCTGCCTCTGTTGAGATCATATGTTAAAGTTTGTTTTCCATATTTTACCATGGATAAATCTTCTCAAACTACTAAAGATTTTAATTGTCCTTTAAAACTACCTGATTTCATGGAGAAATAACTCAATTACAGTGAGCACTATAGATAATATGCATTTTCTTGACTTACAATTATATTCTTTCAAAAATAACAGTAAAAAGAACAACAATAACAATAATAATTCTCATTTCTCTAAATGCTCTCTATTAAATTATTGATCAATTTTAATCAATTAATTATCAAACCTCTCTCATATTTACTTTACCTTCCCTGGAATCCATGTCTGTCGCTATCATTGGCTACCTGTGACTGCCTAGGCATACCTCATGTTATTGCACTTTGCAAATAGTGGACTTTTTACTAATTGAAGGTTTTTAGGCAACCCTGCATTGAGCAAACCTATCAATGCCATTTTGCAAAAGCATGTGCTCATTTTGTGTCCCTGCATCACATTTTGTTAATTATCCTAATATTCCAAACTTGTGAATTATTATTACATCTATGATGGTGATCTGTGATAAGTGATATTTGATGTTACTATTTTAATTGTTTTGGAGAACCATGAAACATAGCCATATAAGAGAGTGAATCTAATGAATAAATATTGTGTGTGTTCTGATTAGTTCACCTAAAGCCTTTTTCCTATCTCTCTCCCTGGGCCTCCCTATTCTGAGGCACAACAATATTGAAATTAATAACACAAAAATGGTCTCTAAGTGTTCAGCTGAAAGGAAGAGCTGAACGACCCTCACTTTAAATCAAAAGCTAGAAATGATTAAACTAAGTGAGGAAGACAGGTAGAAAGCCAAGAAAAGCCTAATTCTAGGCCTTTTGAACTAAACAGTTAGTCAAGTCATGGATGCAAAGAAAAAATTATTGAAGGAAATTAGTAATGCCATTCCAATAAACACACAAATGATAAGAAAGCAAAACAGCCTTATTGCTGACAAGTGTTAATGGTCTAGATAAAAGGTCAAACCAGACAAAATATTCCCTTAATCCAGAGCAAAGACCTAACCCTCTTCAATTCTATGAAGGCTGAAAAAGGAGAAGAAGCTGCAGAAGAAAAGTTGGAAGCTAGCAGAGGTTGGCTGATGAGATTTAAGGAAATAAATCATCTCCATAATAATAAGGGCAAGGTGAAGCAGTAAGTGATGATGTAGAAGCCACAGCAAATTATCCAGAAGGTCTAGCTAATTAATAAAGGTGGCCTCACTAAACAACAGATTTTCAGTGTAGGAGAAACAGTCTTCTGTTGGAAGAAGATGCCACCTAGGACCTTCTCAGGTAGAGAGAAATCAATGTCTGGCTTGAAAGCTTCAAAGGATAGACTTACTCACTTGTTAGGGGCTAATATAGATTGTTACTTTAACTTGAAGCCAGTGCTCAGATACCATTTTAAAAATCCAAGGGCCCTTAAGAATTACGCTAAATATACTTTGCCTGTGTTCTATAAATAGGAAAACAAAGCCTGGATTACAACACATCTGACTGCAGCATGGCTAACTGAGTATTTTAAACCTAGTGTTGAGATCTACTGCTCAGGAAAAAAAGATTCCTTTCAAAATATTATGGCTCAGTGACAATGCACTTAGTCACTGAAGAGCTCTAATGGAAATACACAAGAAGAGGAATGTTGCTTTCATGGTTGCTAACACAACATCCTTCTCCATGGATGAAGGAGTACTTTCAACTTTGAAGTCATATTATTTAAAAAATATATTTGTAATGCTATACCTGCCATAGATAATGATTCTTCTAATGTATCTGGCCAAAGTAAAATAAAAACTTTCTGGAAACAATTCCCGATTTTAGATGCCATTAAGAACACTTGTGATTCATGGGAGAAGGTTAAAATATCAACATGCATTAGGTATATCTCCCAGTGCTATCCCTCCCCCCTCCCCCCACCCCACAACAGTCCCCAGAGTGTGATGTTCCCCTTCCTGTGTCCATGTGTTCTCATTGTTCAATTCCCACCTATGAGTGAGAATATGCAGTGTTTGGGTTTTTGTTCTTGCGATCGTTTACTGAGAATGATGATTTCCAATTTCATCCATGTCCCTACAAAGGACATGAACTCATCATTTTTTGTGGCTGCATAGTATTCCATGGTGTATATGTGCCACATTTTCTTAATCCAGTCTATCATTGTTGGACATTTGGGTTGGTTTCAAGTCTTTGCTGTTGTGAATAGTGCCGCAATAAACATACGTGTGCATGTGTCTTTATAGCAGCATGATTTATAGTCCTTTGGGTATATACCCAGTAATGGGATGGCTGGGTCAAATGGTATTTCTAGTTCTAGATCCCTGAGGAATCGCCATACTGACTTCCACAACGGTTGAACTAGTTTACAGTCCCACCAACAGTGTAAAAGTGCTAGATGACGAGTTAGTGGGTGCAGCGCACCAGCATTTTCACATGTATACATATGTAACTAACCTGCACATTGTGCACATGTACCCTAAAACTTAAAGTATAATAATAAAAATAAAATAAAATAAAATATCAACATGAACAGGAATTTGGAAAAAAGTCATTTCAAACCACATGGATGACTTTGAGAGTTTCAAGATTGCAATAGAGGAAGTCACTGCATGTGTTAGTCCATTCTCATGCTGCTAATAAAGACATACCCTAGACTGGGTAATTTATAGAGGAAAGAAGTTTAATTGACTCACAGTTGAGCATGGCTGGGGAGGCCTCAGGAAACTTACAATCATGGTGGAAGGCAAAAGGGAAGTAAGGCACCTCCTTCATAAGGCGCCAGGAAGGGGAAGTGCAGAGCAAAAGGGGAGAAATGCTGAGTAAAGGGGGAAAGGCCCCTTATAAAAGCATCAGATCTTGTGAAGACTCACTATTATGAGTGCGATATCATGAGAACAGCATGTGGTAACTGTCCCCATGATTGAATTGCCTCCCCTTGGCTCCCTCCCATCACATGTGGGGATTATGGGAACTACAATTCAAGATGAGATTTGGGTGTGGACACAGCCAAACCTTATCACTGCAGATATGGTAGAAATAGCAAGATAACTAGAATTAGAAGTGGAGACTGAAGATGTGACTGAATTTCTATGATCTAGTGATAAAACTTGAAGGGATGAGTAGTTGCTTTTTATGGATGCACAAAGAAAGCAGTGATGGAATCTACTGCTGGTGAAGATGCTGTGAAAAGTGTTGAAATGACAACAAAGAATGTAGAAATTTATTACAAAAGCTTAAATGACAAACAGAGTCAGGGTTTGAGAGTATTAACTCCAATTTTGAAGGAAGTTCTACTGTGGATAATATGGTATCAAATACCATTTCATGCTACAGAGAAATCTTTTATGAAAGGCAGAGTCAATAGATGCAGCAAACTTCATTGCTGCCTTATTTTAAGAAGTTTACATCACTTCACCCTTCAGTAACCACCATGAGTTAGCAGCCATCAACATGAAGGCAAGATCCTCCACCAGCAAAATATTAAGATTTGTTGAATGCTTAGATGAAGGTTAGCTTTTTTTTTTTTAGCAATAAAGTGTTAAGGCATGAACAATATTTTTTAACAACAATGCTATTGCACGCTTAATAGACTACAGTGTAGTGTAAACATAACTTTCATTTGCACTGGGAAACCAAAAAATTGGGAGACTTGCTTTATTGTGGTGGTCTTGAAACAAACTCCTATCTCTAAGGTATGCCTATATGAGTTTAGCATCCCTAATGCAAAAATCTGAGACCTGAAGAGCTCCAAAATCTGAGAGTTTTTGAGAGCTGACATGACACCACAGCTGGAAAATTCTACCCTTGATCCATGTGACAGATTGTAAATTGCAGTCAAAATTTGCTTTATGCACAAAATTATGAAATATAAAAATTACCTTCAGGCTATATGTGTAAGAAGGATATGAAAAATATAAATTTTGTGTTTAGACTTATCCCCAAGATATTTTAAAATATAAATGCAAATATCCCCAAATCCAAAAATATTTTAAATCCGAAATACTTCTGATTTCAGGCATTTTAGATAAGCAATACTCATCCTGTATATGTTATATATTTTTTCACATACTCCCATCACCTTTAGATTCAGCTGTCCCTTGGGAAATACATTAAATATTGATGCATACGGATACATATCAAACTACAGTTTTAATTGCCTGTTTTGATTGACTGCCCCAATTATGAAAGTAAGATAAGCCACTACACCTGCCAAAGCCAGCTGTTGGTCACTACGAAAGGCAAAGATGAAAACAGGATAAGGAAATAGGAGGGAAATGGAAAAGGTGGAGAATTGGAGAAATATCTAGTGCAACTTATCAGGTGTAATTTTGGGATTGCAGTATCTGTTAATCTTTTTGTGTGAAAGGAGAGGGTAGGATATTGAGAGAGATGAGGAGAGATGGAGAAATATAAAAGAGGAGAGAAACTTAAAACACATTGTAAGGCATTGAGGTTTTAGATTTTAGGGCATTTTATTCATGCTATTTCCCACAATTCATTACACATTTTCCTTCCCGACAGGTGTTCAATAGCTCACTGTGATTGTTGAGAAGTCAACACAGGGACAAGGTATGTAGCTGTGGGAACCTCTGTCAAATCAATGAAATAATTACCATCATGCAGTTAAAAATCCTGCTGATTCTAAATAGATATTTTGAGAAGGATTAAGCCCATATGGTCATGTTACAAAAATTGCATATTTTTTCCTTTGCTCAAAATTACCCTAATTTAAAAAGTTAATAAGAGATATTTTTATTAAAAAAGAATTGTAACTTATATAGACAATTTGGTAGAAAGTTGCCTGTCAAAAATATCACTTCAAAATAGGGTTGACTTTAAAAAGTTACTTCTAGTTTCAGTTTTTATTTAATTTTATTCATAATGGGCACATAACTATACATATTTATAGGGTACAATATGATGTTTCAATGCATGTATACATTGTATAATGATCAAATTGGGGTTATTACTATGTCCATCACTTTAAATATTCATCATTTATTTGTGAAAATAACATTCAAATCCATTTCTTCTAGTTGCCTTGAAATACACACTATATTACTATTTACTATGGTCACCTTATCGTGTAATAGAACACCAAAACGGATTTGCCTTGTGTAACTGTACTTTCATACCTTTTGACCAATTTCTCCTGGCCTCCCCCTTTCTCTTCCCCTGCCCAGCCTCTAGCAATGACTATTCTACTCTCTGCTTCTATGATATCAACTTTTATGATTCCACATATGAGTGAGATCATGCAGTATATTGTCTTTCTGTGCCTGGCTTATTTCACTTAATATAATGCCCTACACTTTCATCTACATTGCCACAAATGACAGGACTTCATTCTTTTTTATGGCTGAATAGTACTCATTGCATATATGTACCATATGTTCTTTGTTTATTCATCATTAGATGGGCATTGAGGTTGATTCCTTAGTTTGGCTACTTTGAATACTGCTGCAATAACCATGGATGTGGACATGTCTCTTTAACATACTCATTTTATTTTCCTTGGATATATACGAAGTAATGAGATTTCTAGGTTATGTGGTAGTTCTATTTTCAATTTTTTGAGGAATTATCGTACTGTTTTCCAAAATTGCTGCACTAATTTATATTCCTACCAGCAGTGTATAAGAATTTCCTTTTCTCCATATCCTCACCAGCATTTGTTATTTTTTGTCTTTTTGATAACAACCATTCTAACTGGAGAGGGGTGATATATTGTTTTGGTTTTCATGTGAATTTCTATGATGATTTTTGATATCGAGTATTTTTTCATGTATCTGTCGACCATTTGTGTGTCTTCTTTTAAGAAGTGAGTTGTTTGAATTCCTTATATATTCTGAATGTTAACCACTTGTCAGATGCATAGTTTGCAAATTCTTTCTCCTATTTTTTGTGTCTTCACTTACTGTTTTCTTTGCTTTGCAGAAGCTTTTTAATGTAATGTACTCCTATTTGTATATTTTTGTTTCTGTTGCTTGTGCTCTTAAGGTGCTATTCAAGAAATCCTTGCCCAATCCAATTTCATGAGCCATTTCCCTATGTTTTCTCCTAGTTGTTTCATAGTTTTGGGTCTTACATGTAATTCTTTCATTCATTTAGTATTGATTTTTGTATATGATGAGACATGGGACTTTAGTCTGATTCTTCTGCATGTGGATATCCAGTTTTCCCAACACCATTTATTGCACACTGTTCTTTCTCCCATGTGTGTTCTTGGCATTTTTGTCAAAAATCAGTTGGTTGTAAATGCATGGACTCATTTCTGCATTCTCTCTTCTGTTCCATTGGTCTATGTGTTTGTTTTGATGCCAGTACTATGCTGTTTTGGTTACTATGGCTCTGTAGTATATTTTGAAGTCAGGTGGTATTATACTTCCAACTATGTTCTTTTTTCTCAAGATTATCCCTATTTGCAGATGACGTAATCATATACAGAGAAAACTCTAAAGAATTCACCAAAAACTCCATTAGAACTAATAAATTTGGTAAAGCTGCAGGATACAAAATCAACATACAAAAATCAATAGCATTTGTATACATCGATAGTGAACTACCTGAAAAAGAATCAAGAAAATAATTCCATTTATAATAACTACAAAAAATAATAAAATACCCTGGGATAAACTTAGCCAAGGAGGTGCAAGATCTCTATGACAAATCCTATAAAACATTGATGGAAAAAGTTGAAGAGGATACAGATAAATGAAAAGATAGCCCATGTCATGCACTGGAAGAGCTAATATTGTTAAAATGTCCAAATTACCCAAAGTGACCTACAGATTCAATGCAATTCCTATTAAAATACCAGTGACATTCTTCACTGAAATAGAATTTTTAAAATCTTGAAATTTATAGGAAAAGGCAAAAGACTCCAGATAGTTAAGGGGATGATTTTTATAAATGTAATCACTACTCAATTTGTAGCATTGTATGTAACTGCACATCACCATTTGAAAATAGATTATCCCAGGAAAATCATTGATAATAAAGAATAATTAGCTTAGTATTAACTTTATCCAGGTATATCCAGCCCAAATGTTGTCTTATATCTGCCTTTTATTTGTTCATGGGTTATGAATTGTTGATTTCTTTACATTTTTGTTTCCCCTTTTACACTCTAAGTTCTGAAACAGAATGAAGCTTGATCTGCTTAAACCAGTGTTTTCCAAAATGTGGTCTTTACATAGCAGCATAACATCACCTGAGTACTTGTTAGAAATGCAAACTATTGGGCCTTATTCCAGCCCTACTGAAAAAGAAACTCTTGGGGGTGGAATTAAAAAATGTTTATTTAAAATCCTCCACATGATTATTATGCTCATTAAAGTTTGGGAGTCACCGGCTCAAACAGTGATTGCTTCTTCTTTTAATATTCTCTCTCTTTCTGCATGTTTCTGAAAACTAACCTTGAGAATTCTCTAGAGGCCAAAGTGACTCTCACCATTAAGGTGACCCAGGTGACTGCCTTAGGCAACCTAGAGTTGTGGCATAATTCACAGACTGTAAGTTCTAGTAGCTTTCCTGAATACTAACATCTCTGTTTCAGGCTCACAGATATGGCTTGTTGTGCCAGATCCCTACTGACTTCAATAGGGATAGTACTTTGTCCAAGAGGCTGGAGAAGAGACCTGGAGCCTAGGAACAAGACATAGAGTGGATTGAGGGAACTTACATGAGGGTGGTCCATTGGCAGAGGGCTGGAAGGAGAACTGCAACTGCTTATAAAAGGCATGAAGTATATATAGCATTTTCACTCAGTGCCCTCCACCTAGCAACCTTTATTTTATCGAAATCAAAGTTCCTCCATCCCCTGTATGGCCTGAGCTCCACAGGATGGGCCCGAGTTCATTCCTCATGGATAAGAAATGAATCTGGATTGTCCACTCCCAGATTCCTTAGCTCAGAATTCTGAACACATATTCTTTTTAGACCATAGAGTCATTGTTGAGGGATGCTTAAGTTATTGCTGTCAGGTGTGTCTGTCACACAGGGTCATTCTCAGGTTATGCTTAAGTTATTGCTGTCAGGTGCATCTGCCAAACAGTCCCCCGCTAACATACCCTTGACTGGGCCTCACACTGTCATCACAACATTCTTCCATGATTTCCCCTGGAGTCAGGTATGTACAGGAGCATTGTTTCTAGATGCCACAGCAATAATACAAACTACAACAACAAAAACAAATAATACACTTAATAACAATCATACTGCATGCAAAGTTTCTCTAAGAGCTTTGGAGTTGAGTAAACCACATGGTTATAGGATTGTAAGACAGAGATTCTATAACAGAAATATGGGTACCTAAGGCCTGCGTGGCCTGGGTTATGTTGTGAAAGTAATCAGGGATATATACACAACTTTCAGTTTTAATTAATGCACAGGTTTCACTCTGGGCAGCACTTAAGGTGTCCAAAGCCATACAATTTTGCAAACAAGGGTGCACAACTCACTACCTGTGTCTGCAGTGCCATCATTTACCCTAGCTCATCATATACAGCCTACCACACAGTGGGGATAACATTAATTTTCTCCCAATCTATGTGGAAAATATGTGGTCTCATCTCCTTAATGGTGGGGAATTCACTGCATGAGGTGCTGTTGTTGCTAAAGAGAAACAAGTGAGGGTCATTATACCACATATGGAAGAGGCTTCAGATACTCAGGTTAGCTGCTTGGATGTGCCATGGCAGGCCCATAGTGGAAGAGAGAGGCAGCTCCTCACAGACCCAACGGGCTGTTTTATTCTGGAGAGAGACCACCATCTGCACCCAGTTGACGAAGAGGTTTGCTGCACACCATTTATGGACATTCTGAGAGAGCACCACCCCTGGTAGTGTCCTGGTGTCTGATTTATAATACCAAATAGATTACCTCCCCTCCCCAGCCATGATGCATTACAAAAGGCCAGAGTAAGACAATGGGGTAGTTAAAAAGTTCCATTATAAGATGATTGTCTCTTTGCACAAGGGAGGACAAGAATTCATTATTTTAAAAGTACAAGGGAGAGTAGGGTGTAAAATAGGTGTGACCTTTACATGGTTTTCTAGGCCCTTCCTCCCATGGAGCAGAAAAGCTGAACTATCGCGGGCCGATTTGCCATTTCCAGGGCCACATACTATTTTGCTCCCCAGTGGGTAGGTCCTGTGGCAAGGGCAATAGCAGGTTACCGAAAGTACCAGCTTAGGGTAAAGGTGTACTGTCCCTTATACTTTCTACCTGGATCCTTATGGTGGTATCAGACCCTTGCATTAGAAGAGTATATGTGCTGGGTTGATAAGAGAACTTGTTTATTCAGGGTGTGGATGGCTGCTGGTAAGCAGCATGTCTGCAGAGCCAGAGAGTGTGTCTCCTGCCAGAGCTGTTGCTTCAACAGTCCATTCATCTGTTCAATTAGCCCCGCTGATGTAGGGTTGTATGGCAGGTGGAAATGCCAGTGGATATCCAGGACCTCTGCCTATTCCTGTACTGGTCACTGTTGATATCAGTGTGGACACTGCAGGCTGTGCACAGCAGCTCTAGTCCTTTTGTGGATTTCTGGGCAGCATGCTTGCCGGAATATGCCTGCAGTTGCCCCGTGCATGCGTCTGCACAAGTCAAATCATAGTGGCAGCCATCAGATAGAGGCAATTGTCATGTGTTGCCTACCTGCCAACATTTCACTGGGCCCCGGCCCCTGGCATTCTGTCCAGTATCATGCTGCAAGGGCCTGGGGAGTTCCTGCACACAGGCAGGACATTGCTAACAGATGTGCACTATGTCTTTATATCATAGTGGCAGGCCCTGATTATTTGCTATAGCCTAAAGGGTACATTGTCCCTGATGTCCTGTCTTTATATGCAGCCAGTGAGCTACATCTTCTATGGCAGCTTCCACAAGGAGATGAACACAGGCTACTTCATCTGCCTGTTGATTTCCAGGTGGTGTAGATGCAGTGTGGGTATCCATAAGGCACACCATTGTATGCATCCCCTGAATGCATGTCCTTCCATATGTCAGTGCCTCAAAGTGGGTGGCCCGCTGTTGTCCAATCCTTTGCTTCCCGTTGTAGTAGCCACATCATGAGTCCTTTAAAGATGGCCCAACTATCAATACATAGGACTATTGGGTCTGGCTCATAGAAGAAGACCATCCAGGCCACTTCCAGCTCAGCCCATTGGCTACTATGTCCTTTACCTGTATCAAGCCAGATCCTATCAGTGGACAGGTAGGTGACCATGGCTGTCCAAGAGCAAGGACTGCTTCATGATGAGCCATCTGCATACCAGGCCTGGTCAGGAACTGGGCCCTGTTTACCCCCACCCCACCTGCTGTACAAAGGAGGAAATCTGTCGATGTTCAGTGGTTTTAATCAAAGACTGCCCTTCAGTTAGTTGTCACACAGGGGACAGGACCAAGTACCAAAACAAGCTCTGTGCTCAAGAGGCTATTAGTTAACATGCTCCTGTCTTGCAGGTATGCATGCCATTTGGCCACAGTCTGTGTCTGTTTCCCAGACTTTGGTTTCTGAAAGGTATCCTTTAGCCAACCTGCTATGGGGTACCAGGTGCACCAGGGCCCCCTTTGTAATGTCCTCCACTTGAAAGGTATACTGGGTAGCACAGAATTGTTGTTTTATGACACTATATCTAACTTCAGCTCCTCCCATAATTGGGATCAGAATCCTAGAGGCACACTTTGATGTCCTTGCCTCTTCCATAGGCCCTACCCAAGCCCCTCAGGGTAACTGGCCAGTTAACAAGGCTGTCACTGCCGTAGAACTCCCAAGACTTGTATTTATTTCACTGTGTCTTTATCTTGTTAAAAGGCTTCATTCTCTTTTGTAGACCAATCCCTGTGGGCCCTAGTATTAGTCAGGGTTCTCTAGAGGGACAGAACTAGTGGGATATATGTATATATGAAAGGGAGTTTATTAAGGACAATTGACTCACATGATCATAAGGTAAAGTCTGATGATAGGCTGTCTGCAAGTTAAGGAACAAAGAAGCCATTGGTGGATCATTCCAGGTCCCCAAACCTCAAAAGTAGGGAAGCTAACAGTGCAGCCTTCAGTCTGTGGCCAAAGGCCCAAGAGCCCCTGGTAAACCACTGGTATTCCAAGAGTGCAAAAGCTGAGGAACTTGGAGTCTGATGTTTCAGGGCAGGAAGCATCCAGCAAGGGAGAAAGGTGAAGGCCAGAAGACTCAGCAAGTCTGCTTTATTCTATCCATGTTGGCAGTTGATTACATGGTGCCCACCCACATTGAGGGTGGGTCTGGCTCTCCCAGTCCACTGACTCAAATGTTAATCTCCTTTGGCAACACCCTCACAGACACACCCAGGAACAATATTTTGCATCCTCCAATCCAATCAAGTTGACACTGTATTAACCATCATAGCCCTCTTCTTGACTAAGTTGTATGAGGTCCTAAGGAGTTGGGCCAGATGGAAATAAAAGGTTGACAATGCTCTATAAGGGCTAAGAAGGTCTACAACTACTTCAGTATGGTAGGACATGAATAGGCCTGCATCTTATCTATAAACACAGACTGAGTGACTAGTCTTACCCGAAAAGATGACACCCGAGCATTTAACTGATAAACCTGGACTCTGGACTTTGCATTGACTGCCCATACTCTTTTGCCAAGTGACACAGAAAACTGGGGGTTGCAGTTTGTAAGCTGGAAAAAGACTCAGAAGTTAGCATGATGTCATCAATGTAATGGAAAACCTGTGCCCACTTCAGGGCAGTCCAACCACTGAGGTCTGCAGCTACTGGGCCATTGCAGATGGCGGGGCTATGCAAATATCCCCAGGGCAAGATGATAATGGTTCGTTTTTCTCCTTCCCAGGTGAATGCAAATTAGTCTTGACTCTTTAGGGCATTAAGGATGCTGAAGAAGGCTTTAGCTAAATTGATAACAAAATGGTGTGTGCCAAGCACTGCTTCTACCCTCATCAGAAGGGAGGTGATATTGCTAACAGCTGCATACATTGGTGTACCACTTTATTTAATTCCCACTAACCTACTGTCATTCTCCATGTCCCATCAGGCTTCCACACTGACTTTACAGGGCTGTTGTATGGGCTGTGCATTGACCTTATAATGCCTACCTAACTCCTTAAAAGTTCCTGTGATTTCATCATGCCCACACCCCACTGCTACTCCCTGAAGGGCTGGCAACTGCACCGTTGGTGTCCGTTTTGAGTTCCCCTCATCACTTCACCACTTGCTTCACCACCCTAACTCTTAGAGAGTTTCTCAGTAGTTGTTTGGAGGGTCAAGCCTGATAAGATATCCTTTCCCAAGATGCATTCTGGGATGGGAGCAATGTATACTACATTGAGTTTTGGTGGCAGTCTCCCAACTAGTACTACTGGTTCAACCCATCTGACTTCCATGGCCCCCTTTCTAAAACCATCTATTGCTGTTATAGGCCTTCGGAACAGATGAATATTATCATATATGAGAGTGCATTAGGCTGCAGTGTCTACTAGGGCATGCACAGTTTGTTTATTCTTAGGTAACTAATATACAGTTAGTTCTACATGTGGCCTCTGGTCCCTGGACACCCTGACCACCATTGCTCTTAAGGAGATTCCCAGGTCTTAGCCTACATCCTAGTCTAAAGGGGTTGGCATCTGCCATCCCTCTGAAGAAGGGGCAGTGTGTAGTGAACCTGAGGCTCCTTAGTGAAGCACTGTTCTGGCTTGAGCTTCTGCCACAATCCAACTAGAAAAGCATTAGGTTGTTTATTTATTTCCACCCTAGGTGTCCCTGCCACTACCAGGTTGCACGATATTTGTCAGCAGGTGACACTAATGGGCCTTTTGGCCATATCCTTTCCTTTGGCTCCCTTGTCTTTCATTCCAGCAGTACACATCTCTTGCTTATGCAGCTTCTCTGTTTCCCCTAAGTTGGAAGCCGCTTGGGCCACCTGAGACATTGGCTGTCTTATCAAGGGGCTCAGGATACACACTACTGTGATACACCACTGGCTGAGGGCTTACCGTAAGACAGCATCTTTCGTCGTCATTCATCTTTCATTATTACTGTAATACAGCATCAGACATGGGAATGTCTTCCTCTTTTGGCCAGGCTGCATTGTAGCCTGCAATCATCCAGCTAAGGAAGGGGATGGCCCAATCCTAATTATTAACATCATAAGGGTGCTGCCTCAGGGCTGGGTGATTTGTAACATTTTACTCATCTTGAGTCTGGAGGGTATTATACCCTCTGCTCCCATGTCCCACAGATGGAGAAACCACTCTGCAATTGACTATCTCCCCTTCTGCCTGAACCTATTTCCCAGCTCTACCAATTCCACAGCAGTATAGTCCCACATTGTGGAGTGCCGTCATCTTTTAGGTGGGGGTATGCTTTGCAGGGCTACTCCCATCATAGAAGCGACTATGGGATGGGAAGAGAGGATGGGAACCTCTAGGTTTCATCCCTTTCCTCATTCTCGTCCCCACTAGGGCTCTCCATTGGGTCTCAAGACTTAGGATCCCAAGACGATTCAGTCATGATAGCCCTAACCCATTGGCATGGGAGTCAGCAACCCTTCAAAGGGTTACCTAACAAACCAGGGTCTCTATTTTGTCATCCTATGCCCACAGGTGAGACAGTAAAGTCTCCAATGTTTCAACCTGGGCTAATCAGGCATCTCTTTCTAGTCACAGTTCATCCTGTCACTGAGGGACTCTCACCTATGCTGTGAGCTCAGCCTCAGTGGCTGCTCAGTGTGCAGTCAGAAGTGGCCATCCAACCATGGTTGCCACAGCTCGGACATCCAACTTTCACTTAGATCCTACCCCTGCAATGGCTCTTCTGGACCCTTCAGCATTTTCAGGGCATCCTTGAACTCACATGGTAGGCCCCATCCATCAAGGACAGTGGCTATCATGCTCCACCTAAACATGGATGGCCTGCCCAAGATTTCCTCCGTGGATTTCCTCTTCTCTGATCTCATGGATCCCATTGTTTCACCACTTATAGTGTTTTCTCTACCTTTGGCTGGCATGCTAGTTGTTGTGGTGATCCCTGTTGACTTCATTAGGGATGGCACGGTGTCCCAGAAGATGAAGAGACCCAGAGCCAGAAAAAAAAAAAATAATAAAATTGGGTTTATTGATGATCCAGTGGTGGCAGGCTGGACAGAAGAACCACAATTGCTTGTAAAAAGCATGCAGTTTATATAGCATTTTCACATAGCACCCTCCCCCTAGCAACCTCCACCTGACAAGCTTCATTTAATCCAAAAGAAAGGGTATTGATCCCCTGTGTGGCCTGCATTCCACGTAATGGACCAGGGTTCCTTCCTCACAGATAAGGAATAAGTCTCCAGGTTGGCCACTCGCAGATTTCTTAGCTCAGAACTCTGAACACACATTCTTTTTAGACCATAGTGTTATTCTCAGAGTATGCTTAACTTATTGCTATCAGGTGCATTTGCCATACACTTGTGGAAACCAAAGTAATGTAGTAATGTACATTTCTATCTTTTTGAGAATTAGAACTATATGTCTCAGGAGCATTTTATTTGAAGAATTTTGTTTACTTATGTGTGTACTATACAAAATATAAACCAGTTACACTATTACTTCACTAGGACTATGGTTACTGCAACCTGTGCTGTTGTAAATGTAAATCCTTGAATTATATTCAGACTAATCAGTCAATAAACTGATTTCATCAGTCAGAATTTTTCAGTGTTCTGATTGCCTATAGTTAAGGCACGAAGTAGTTTATTTCTAATTGCTATCAGAACTAGCTTACAAAACTAGGGTTAGCAATCAGCATCACTATTAATGAGAAACTCACATTCATTGAAAAACCGAATTGTCCACAGTTGGTAACTAGACTGCAGTGAGGATATACCAATTGACAAACTATCTATGATTATGTCTATAAAACAAGAGATCATTTGAATGAGGTATACAAAAGGCAAAAGTAAATGACTTTTAGATATGCAGCTCATTTCTTCTCAAGCCTTATAGTTAGAACCTCTTTCATTAGAGAAGCATTTAAAGAGGTCTCTTCCCAGGAACACACGTACATTTTGTTTACCCTTATTTGACTACACTAGTGCTAGGCAGCCAGACCATGAGTATAAACTTTGTTTGTAGCTACTTTAAACACATCTTTCTGACATGGCAATAATGTATACCAGAGGTTGATTAAAATACTCTCGAGGCAATTCCAATTATTTAAATTACTGCAATAAAAGGCACTGTTTTGATAGATACAAATTTAATATTTATTCAGAATCACACAATTATTTAAATTTGGTGCATTCCCTGATTTAGAATTACCAAGTATTTATTAATTCCATGTAAAACTTTTTAATGTAATATTCGCCATTCTTAATAAAGTTTACATTTGTGGCATGTATCAAATTTCTGCTGATGAACTCAATTATAAACTGCTGATATGTAAAACAATATGTATTTAGTAAGTGTACTTCAGAATATATTTTTGTTAACAAGGGTAAAATTATTTATTAAATTTCTATTATTTTTCAATCAATTTGGTATAATTCAGAAATTAATTGAATGTGACAATGAACTTAAGAGTGTTGCTCTTCAACACCTACGGTTTTGACACTGCTGCAGAAGGTCACATTCTTGTTTGTTTAATTTAGTGAAATTGGGAAGTGCAGATCTGTCAGGTAATTAAACTTATAAGAGGAATATGAAACATTACACTTGTTAAATTATTGTCAATGATTACATAATGAATAGAAATAATAAAGCAAGAATTAGATTATATTCATTGATATAATTAAATGCTATAAATTAAGCAAAATTATTAATTGTACCAGTCCTTCATACAGGAAACCTGAAGATTTTTATGAAGTTAGCATCTCAAATATTGTACTGTTTGTTAGATTAAGAAAGTGTTAGATTAAGAAAGCGTTCAAAATGTTGAAAGTGGTAAAATCAAATTATGTAGAGAATGTCCCATAAGTATAGCTTCACAGCAAAATCCTTGAAACATAGAGGATCTAGTCCCAGGTAATATGACAAAATTTGCAATGCCACGTTATGTAAGTTTGGGATTACCATCACTCCTTATTCTAGAAAATTTCTAGTGATGAAGAATTTATGAATAAAATGCACCATTGGATTTCAGAATGAAAAGCAAAAATGATCAGAAGATGTTAAAGATATTGGTTGTAAAGCATTGACTTGAATTCACCCTGATATTAAAATCAGTCCCAGATACATAAGTCAATGGGCAAGAAACAGTACAGCAACCTTTCATCTAGCTAAATAATGGGGTTGATATCAATGATAAAATAAATCTGTGGACAACTTCTAAACTTTATTTTTCTCTAAGTCCAAGATTTTCTTCTTGGAATTGATACAACTTTGGGAAATAAAATGTCCTTTGGAAAAAAATAAAACTAGTCCTTTTTCCCATCTTTCAGCCCTGTCTATTTTTCCAGTCTCTGAATCGATTTCTCCAGAGCTGAAATCACATGGCCTTAGTATGCAGGCCTGGTCCTGCCCCTTTGTGGTGTCAGTTCTGACTATTATTTGCGAGCTATTTGAGGAGCTATAGCTAATACTTAGGGAATATCAGCATAGCCTTATTGTGATCTGACTCTCAACTCATACCCTATTCTGGTAACTGAGCTTCTGATTTTTCCTGCCCCTTTCAGGCCTTTACTCTTCCAAACATGTTTCCTTTGCTTACATATTGACTGTATTATTGGCCTGCTTCCTCAGTCTTTTTCTTTTATAAATTGAAATAATGTTCTTTTGCTCTTTATGCAAAATAATAAAGTTGCCTACAGTTAAGAATGAAGTAGTTTATTTCTAATTGCCATCAGAACTAGCTTACAAAACTGGGATTAGCAATCAGTACGGTTCTTAATAAGCAACTCACTTCAATTGAAGAGTTCTTCCCATCCCTTACCCACCTTTACTATTCATAACCCTAAACCAGAGGCTAAGACCTGTTCACCTGCCAAGAGACAGCTTTAATGCAAACCGTTTGCTTTACTGCCCAGAGTTCTGTTGCTAATTATTCCCCATTCCCCATAATTGTGATTCAGTTAGTGGTTGGGCCCCTCACTCTGCAGTGTAGATTTATCTGCTGGTTCATTGCTTGAAGTATGTGACACTCCAATATTCAGGTAAATGAGAAATCAAAGGGCTTGAAGGCATGGTGAAAGGAAGTAGCTGCAGATATACATACAGCTGCCATTGTGTTCACTATAGAAGGCATCACCCAAGGGTGTATTATGCAATTGCCAGGTTAATTAAGGAATGCTATTACTAACATTATCTGCCACCTGACAGAATTAGAAATTAGAATAAACTAAAAATCATGAAAAAAAATTGTATAGTTTCTATCTTTGAGGATGTTATATTCTAGGTATAGAGGCACAGGAAAAATGAGAAACTTATAAGATAGAAGACTTACAGAATAATTTTTTAAAGTTTTATTTTATTTTTAATTGACATAAAATAGTTTTTTTTATAGTAAGAATCTAATTGCCTCCAGTTTTAAAAGACATACCAACATTTTTGACAATTAAAGTAGGATGGCAGTAGGGGTAAGATAAAATGTTTGAAAGATAACAAAATATGTAATTGTTTTACTTTTTGCAATAAATGGTATTCTGTGTCTACTCCAAACAAAACAAAACATGCTTCTTTGTTCTCTCTATGTTCTCTCTATTGCTAGTCTTAGCACTACACTCATATAAAAGGTAGAGAGTGGTACCATCACTGAGTACATGGCACATATCTGATATGTAAACAAGCAAGCAATCAAAACACCCAAGGCTGACACTAACTCTGCAGTGTGTAATACAGTCAACATTTAAAATCTGTTTCATAATCCAGTCAATCATCATCAGCCTAAACTACAGGAAACAAACAATGCATAAATCTTATTCTGAGACCTTAGAAACAAAATACTTCTTAAATGGTAATACAGTTTTCTAAAAACTGACGATATCTGTTGCTCCAAAGAGATAACTAGGTTGAGCATTATAGCAACATCTGTAGAAACAAAGTGAAACCATCAGTATATGTCAACAACACTTGGCAGTACTTCTCTGCATCTAGTTGTATCAAGTAATAAGAACTCTGTAGAAAAGAGCTGTTAAAATTTCAAAAATAGTGGAATACTCATACATGAATCTCTGTCATAATAAAAAGCAATATCAGAGAATACAGCCCAAGAAAACTTAGTACGATTAATTCATCAGGGAGAAAAATTTGACTCATTCTTCAATGAGGGAAGCCTCTGGGATCACATAAACAAAGAGCAGAGAGAGGAAAGAGCAAATCCCTGGGGAACAGCATTAGCATAATTGAACACTTAAATGCATAAGAAACAAATTGAGACCACTTAAGTAAATAAGGAGAAAGCTATGTAAAGACAGCATCAAGATGCTACAATTGATCTTTAACTGTTACCATCTCTAGAATTAAGTAGGGCAGATACCTCTAAGGACTAGTTCCTTAGCATTAAGCTAAATGGTTAGGCATGTGACTTTCTGCAGGGACAGCTTGCTTTGAACCCAAGTGCTAGCACCTGGCAAATGTTATAATCTTGGGCATGGTTTTTCTTTACATCATAGTTTCCTTATTGTATATAAAGCAAAATAATAATGCCACCTCATAGAATCCCATGGGTTTTAAATGAGTTAACTGGATAAAATATTTAACTTATGGTGCATGGCCCATCGTAAATAACCAATAAATGTATTATTGTTATTAAAGGTATGAAAAGGCATATCAGTTTAAAATATAAACTTATATAAGTAAGTGCAAAAGAATGGTTTGGTAATTAATAGAACTTTTCTTTATATTACAAATCCAAATAACTCATAAATATCTAAATCAAGAGCACGTTAATTAAACCTCCATTAAAACTTGATTTCTTTACAAAAAATTGAAAGGGAATTGAGTAACTTGAAGTATAAATCTTGCAATATTATAACCCAAGAGACAAAATTAAGATGGTAAGATGTCCAAATTATCTGATTTATGAACTGTAATGACTTTAAAATACAGTAACAATTTTAGTTAGTATAACCAGATATGTGGACACTAATTAGCAAGTTGAATGTTGCATCAATGGTCTAGTCTAAGAAGTAGTTTTATCCATTTAATAGAAGTGATCATAGATAAGCTGTCTGTCGAAGTACAAAATATTTCTAATAATGTTATAAATATTAAGTTTACAAATTGGTAATTTTTTTAATAACGCGAGCACACCAGGTAACAGTGCCAAGAGCATGGCATAGAAAATAATCTATACCACAAAAGCCTCTCCTGTGCCTCTTCCTCAGTCATCATATACCTTAAAGGTAGTCGCTATTACGACTTCTATCAACTCGATTCATTTCAATTGATTTTGACATTTACCATGAAATTATATAGGACGTACTATTTTGTGTTTGAGATTCTTCTGCTCAGCATGAATCTATGAGATTGATATGTACTGTTGCTAGAAATAGTACTCTTCTCTATTTCATTGCTGTATAATAGTTCATTATATAAATATATTGTGTAATATGTTTATTTCCTGTTTTATTATTGAGGGGGATTATTGTGAATTATTCTTAATGATCATTCTGTACATGTCTATGTTTTTATATATATATATATATATATATGAATTTCTATGTGGTGCCTAAGCAGGAATTGAATTGCTTGGTCATAATATATGCATGTATTTAGGTATAGAAGCTGCTGATAACGGTTTTACATACTGACTGTACAATTTCCATCACCATCACAAGTGAATGAAAGTGCTGTCGATCCATTCATGTGCCCCCAATTGGTATTGTGAATTTTATTAAGTTGTATTCATTTAGGTGACTATATACCAGTATCTCATTGTGGTTTTAATTTACATTTTCTTAATATTTTATTACATTGAGCACTGTTTCCTATGCTTGTTGGCCACTAGGATTATCTTGTTTTCATGTGTGAAAAGCCTACTCAAGTTTTTCATTTTTTAAGAAAGTTAATTGGTTTTATCATTTATTCGTAAGATTTATTGAATAAGGATCCTTTACTGGATATTTGTATGACAGATATTGTCTCCTTTTTGGAAGCTTGCCTTTTGAATCTCTTAAAAGTATATTTTAATAAATGAAAGTTTTCAAATCTGATAAAATCTAATCTGTCAGTTTTTCTTTTATAATCAATGATCTTTTGTATCCTGTTTAAGGAATGTGTGCCAATCTCAAAGTTATGAGTACCTACCTAGGATAATTTCTAGAAATTTCATTCTATTACCTCTTACCTTATTTCTAGAATGCATTTCTAATTGATTTTTCAGCATGTTGCTTCTAGTACAGTTTGAAGTTAGCTTTCGTTTTTCAGATGAATATCATTTTAAAAGACTTCTTGAAGTTGAGTAACATCTAGAGAAATTTCCCTACTACTCTTCTTTTGAGGATGCTATTGTAAATACTTTTGGGATTCTAACAATTCAAACATGTTTTTATAGCAGCAACTTTTCTTTTTTAATATATAGTCCCAATTACTAGGATTACCAATATAGTAGATATTTGGTTTAATCTACTCTTTCAAGATAACTTCTTTCAGGTTTTATTGAACCACTGCACAAGAGGGAAAGAAAAGGCAGATTAAGTAATGTTTCAAATTCATTGCTTTGTATTCTTTCAATTCTAATAGCGTTAAACTGATTAAACAAGTGCTTTTATAGGGATTGTTCACCAAACTTTTCTCTAGGAAAAGAGACATAGTTATGGCCTCAAAAACCAATGCTTGCTTGCATATGCACTATTCTAAAGATTATCAACATAATCAACATATGCTTATTGCAATAATTTATAATTGCATTATAATTATCAGATCTAAGTATGCACTGCCCTTAAGTAATGACCATTTTCTGTAAGTTGGATTTGTTAATACATTCACCCATATATTCATTCAACAAATATTTATAAAGCACAGGCTCAGTTAGGTTTTGTGGATGTATCACAAACATTTATATATTATATAAAATTAAACGGATTTAAATGTCATTAAGTAATTTTCCATATATAAAACCTTCTTATTTTTTTAACCATGCAAAGTTTTGTTTTAGATTTTCATTTAAGTGTGACAAATGTTATTAGTAATTAATGAACCATAATATAGGAAATTGATTGCTTTTAAAGTAATTTTCAGAATTGTGTTTTGAACAAATAACCCTTTGCCCCCAAAAACTTCATATACATTTTAAAAACATGCATAATTTCTGCTGCATTTTTCTATATATTTGAAACCCACATTTTATTGAAAATAACATAGTATGTTAAACTGTGATTAATATTTAAGAAAACAAATGGTTATATAATGTAGAATAAATTCAGAAATAGAATTTGAGATTATTTTTAATTGTGATGTAAGTATGCACAATATAAAGTTTTAGCTTCTTAAATGTAAATATGCAATGCTACATTCCAGTGATATTGCATTGGATTAATGATGCAGAAAAGGTGGTTTACAAAATAAAACCTTATATGCAAAATAGGATATATAAAGCAAATAAAGAGAAAATAAATAAAGCATTTTTATAGTACTACAAAGCATGCTGAAACAAAATAATTAAGTAGTTAAGTCTTAGCTTAATTATAGCTTAGCCAACAATTCAGTGTTAGCTTAACCAAATAAAGTAGCCTTAAGGAAATTTGGATTTAGATCCTGCCTCCATTGTTCATGTAGCAAGAAGTGTGGTCTTGTCAACAAAAACTACTCAGCCACCACCAGATTGAAATATGGGCTGCCTAACCAAAGGAAGACAAAAAGAATGGTGTATGATCAGTTTGTGAAAATAATTGTATATTAGCATAGAAAATTACACTTACTACAAAAAAATTGAACCTGATCTGCAAGGATGTAGAACAGATGAAAATTTTGCAGACTATAAAATGAGGAGATAATGGGAAAATTCTAAAGACACGTTTAGACAATCAGTGAAACTATTCTTGCACAAATCAAGCTGTGTAGATTACTTTGTATGGAACAGAATAGGGAATGATCTTTTTTTTTTTCTTTAATTATAAGTTTAAGATGAAGAATTTTTCCAAGTCTTCATTGTATCCTCACTGCCTAATGAATATTCATAAAAACCTTAACATCTCTCTTCTTTCATTGTTTTAATCTAATTAATCATTAAGCATTAGGCAAATAATCATTGAGATGTATCTGTTGGAACTGTCACAAGTCAGATTTACTCTTATTTCAACGATGGTTGAATGAAATGCAAAGGCGTTATTGGTGCCCTCGACTCTAATCTCTTGGCCACTTCATCTAAACCACACAACATATTGTGACAAGTCTATTGTTTTATTGTAGCATTTTGCCATATGAAGCTACCATCATTTTCACTTGTATCAAATATAGCCATTTATCTTTTTTTCACCTTTACTTTCCAACCACACTTCTGCCATTGGCTGATATGTGCTTTTACTATTATTATGATTTCTCATTATTTCTCTTTTACTATTATTATGACTTGATCATTATTTCTGTCATCTATTGTTTATAGACATAATTAAGCTATGTGTTAATTTGGTGCTTTTAAGTGATATTGAGAATTCATTGTCCCCTTATAATATCATTTCCTTGTGAAAATATTTTGAATTCTAATAAACTGCTCTTGCAATCAGGTTTGTATATATAAAGTGAGCACTGAAGATAATACATAACTTACAGTTGTTATTTGATATGTTATATTTTCACAAATATTAACTATCTGTTTCTTATTATAATGCAATCAATTTTTTAAATTACTTTTTATCTGATTTATCCTCCTATTGCGTACCCAATTCTGCTCTGTAGTTTCAAGACTTTATAAACTTCAGTTTTGTGTTCACTCATTTAGTCCACGAGTACATATGAAATGTTCAAACTGAAGCAGGAGATACACTGGAAACTGGAAATTCACTAGTGAAAATCACAGATGTACCCTCTGGACCCAAAGAGCCACTACACTTCAAGAGAAACACTTAGATGTGTTGTATTAGTTTTCTATTGCTTTTTAAACATATTACAACAAATTTAGTGACTTAAAACCCTCGTTTATTATATCACAGGTTTGTGAGTCAGAGGTCCAGGTACAAGGTGGCTCTGCTGGGTCCTCCACTCGGGTCCTCCCAGGACCAAAATTAAATTATTTGCTCTCCTTGGCTTTTATCTAGATGCTCTGGTTAAGACTCAACTTCCAATTTCATTCAGGTTGTTCTCAGAATTCAGTTACTTGGAGTTGTATGACTAAAGTCCCTGTTTTCTTGCCACTTCATCTTTAAGCCAACAAGTACACACTGGATTTTTCTTGTGCTTCAAATCTCTGACTTCCTCTTCTGCTATCAGAATGAGAAAAATCCCTGCTTCTGATGGTGCTTCTGATTATATTAAACCCATCCACATAGTCCACATAGCCCATCCACATAGCATAATCTTTCTAATTTAAGGTCATTTGATTGGTAACCTTAATTACAACTGCAAAGCCCTTTAGCCATGTAATATATTTATGAAAGTATCGCCAAGGAGCAAATTACAAAAGCCAAAATTTTGTCTACCACACATGTAGACTGAAACATCTTTATATGTATCTTCATGGTTTTCAAGAACAAAAATCTGGAAACAACTCTAAAACTTATCTTAAAAAATACAAGTAAACTGTTATAAATTGGCAAGCTGAAAGTTTACCAGAATTTAAAATGAATGAGATATAACTACAAACTATACGATGCATCTTAATAATAGATTGACTTAAATCAAAAGTAAACAAAACTAAAAGTGGGAATCTTAAGAAATAGAAATGACAAATAACATAATTTAAGACAATTATTGGGCCAGGCCTGTAATCCCAGCACTTTGGGAGCCCAAGGCAGGCAGATCACAAGGTCAAGAGATTGAGACCATCCTGGCTGACATGGTGAAACCCTGTCTCTACTGAAAATACAAAAATTAGCTGGGCGTGGTGGCGCGCGCCTGTAGTCCCAGCTACTCTGGAGGCTGAGGCAGGAGAATGGCTGGAACCTAGGAAGCAGAGGTTGCAGTGAGCCGAGATCACTCCACTGCATTCCAGCCTGGCGAAAGAGCGATACTCTGTCTCAAAAAAAAAAAAAAAAAAAAAGACAATAGTTATCTCCAAAGAGCAAAGTAAAGGAAAATATGGGTCAGAAACTCATCAGTAGATTTAAGGTAATATCAATTAAGTATTTAAGGTGATATATGAAGATAGACAATTAGAATTCCTAGAATCAAGTGGTGGTGCAGGGAAGAGCAGTTATTGTTGCTCTGGAAATCTGTGTCAAGTCTCTGTGTCTAGAGAATGATAGAAGAAGCTGTTGTGACTTGAGCATAGAGAAGGTCACAGATAGGCTGGAGAGGCATGGCCCAGATGTAGTGAGAAGCAGGGAAGTGGCATGATTGAACATATTTTTAAAAAATGACTTTGTTGATAAAAGATTTGCAGTTGGGCATTAATGGAAGTGGAGAAAACAGATAGAAAATTATGTCATGAGATCACAGAGACCCCTACAGAGTCTATTGAAAATGAGTGTAATTAATAAAAAACAACAAAGTACTCAAAGGAAAACTACCACCATGATTCTAAGATGTTTGACTTGAATGAATGAAAGAATGGAATTACCATTTACAAAGATAGGAAATAGAGAAAAGAGGAGATTTAAAGGGTCGTTGGAACTTCAGAATTGCATTTGAGCTTGAGAAGCTTATTGCACATCCAAAGGGAGATGTCAAGCAGGCAATTGTGTACACTGTTGTGGAATTCAGGGAAATGTCAGAAATGAAAGGTAAATTTGTGAATTTTTAGAATATATGTAGTACTTAAAAGTCATGATTCCAGCTGAGGATGTATGGAATCAATGTAACCTGAGTAGTCCTGGGACTCCCCAACATGGATAAAACTAATATATATATAGATACTCATATAGTGAGATATATATACATATATAAACATGAATATATATGTACACATATATATACTCATAGTGAGATATATATACATATATAAACATGAATAAATATATATACATATATACTCATATAGTGAGATATATATATAAACATGAATATATATTCACATGTACTCATATAGTGAGAGTTAAATTAAATTATATTAATTATGTATAATATATAATACATGAAGAAAATGTATAATATAAAAATGAAAAATCATATGCTTGTATATACAGTGGGTATGTAGTAAAAATATAAAAATTATGAACAGGAAATAATTCACAAAATATCAGGATAATGGTTGCCTCTGAGAATGGTGGAGAAAGAATGAAATTGGGAAAAGTATACAAATGGCTTTCAATTTGGGCTTTAAAGTTTTATTTCTAAGAAAAACAATTTGAAACATTGGAAAGTTGATTACATGGCAGGTAAGAAATTAGACAAAATGACATAGTGCATTTAAAGAATTCTATTTAGATGTTTGTCTCCAGAATAAATGAAGTAGAGAGATAGGAACATAATTGAAGAAGGTTATTGCTTTTAAGTTTTTTTTTAAAGTTTTTTACTGTTTTGCATTTTTCGTTTGTTTAATTTTATAAGAAAGGTGGTATGTAATCATGCCTTTCAGTGCTTATGGAGAAACAGCTATTGTTAAGAAAGAGATAAATTCATCATTATAATGGAAATGGAAATAGGAGAAGATAGTTGTAGCTGCAATACATTGATGTATTTGCTTTTGGCAAGATTGACCAGTTCCTGTTTTTTGGCTTCTATTTTTTTTCTAAAGTATGAGGCAACCCAATAGCTGAGATTTACAGCAATGGAGGACGCTGGAAATTTGGGAGACATAAAGGTTTGAAATTGTAAATTGTGGAAAATAGCAACACAAATTATTATAGAATTATTCTTAAAAACCTATGTGGTTTTTAGAACTTAGTTGAAGTTGAGGATATTGGTAACAATTGGCAACAATTTATATGGGTAATAATTTGTATATTTCCCCAGGAAATCTCAGATGGTTGTCTACAGTTACAAGGGGGATTTTTGGACTGATTTGTGATTTTTCTGGGAATGCAACTCAAGTTAGAAGAGGCCATTATCTGAAAGAAGAAGAAGCACCAGCTGATGTGTTGGTTATTTTAGGGCGACATTTGCAGTTGCTTGGGCAATATCATGAGCCTCACCTCATGCAGGTAAGATCTGGATGGGCACTAGATGACAGTGCACAGCTTGTATTTCTTTCAAAGGAGCGTTCACTTTCAACTACACAAGGCATGATTTCTAGACTATTTTCTGAAAGGCTGGAAAGTGAATGTGAAGTTCTGAAGACTTGGTCCCTGGCTCTGCAACCAAATTTTTTTTCTTCCTTCAAAACAGCAATGCTTTGCTCCCTGAGTGGGACTGGCATCGTGGAAATTCAGGAATTGGTCAGATTCCAAGTTTTGTGAGTTTCACCACTGAATATAAACCTCAGTTCATTAAATAAAAGTTTGTCCTATTCCATGGCAATTTATCTATGAAAATTGCTGTTTTAAATGTTAAATGAAGTTGAAGTGGTTTGTCACTCGTTGTCTCCCTTCAAATCCAATAATTAAATCTATCGGCACTTCGGACTGTTGTTATAACATGGAACATGGCTACGTAAAATGAAGGATTATTGTGTCCTTGATCTTCATTTATTGTCCAATAAGCCATATGGTTAGGAAAAATAATATTTGAGATTCATCCTCATTTGTTCAGTAAACCATTTTACAAATTGCATCATTATTGTTTTGGAAGTACCTTTATAAAAATGTGTCTTAAGCTTTAAATCCCATGTATTACTCATGATTATTTGCAGACATCCACTCAAACTAATTTAGCAAATAAAGGTATGTATAGGCTCACATCACATATGGAGTTCAGTAAAGAACTGTCTTATATGCAGGCCACAGACAATAGTCAAATTAGGTTTTTAAGACTTTTTTTCTTTGCCATTATTTCTCCTTTATACTTTGCCTCTTGTCTTAACTCTGGTTGCTATAACAAAATAACATGCACTAGGTGGCTTAAAAACATACATTTATTTCTTACAGTTCTGAAGGCTAAGAAGTCCAAGATTAAGATGCCAGCTGACTCAGTGTCTGATGAGGGCCCTCTTCCTGGTTTTCAGATAGTCAACTTCTTACTGGATCCTCACATGATGGAGAGAGGAAGCTTATAAGAATGCTAACATTATGGTGGCTTTATTCTCATCACTTCATCTAAACCTAATTACCTCTCAAAGGCCCCACTTCCTAATGCCATCACATTGGAGTATAGGGTTTCAACATATACATTTGGGAGGATACAGCATTCAGTCGATAATCTTTCTCCTTGCTTTCCTCTTTTAGACTCTTACTGTAGATGAATTTCCTTAATGTAGCAGGACATGACTGTCAATATCCTGGGCATATGCCTGTACAGCTTTTAACTGTCCTGTAGAGATGACACTAGCACATACTTTGCTAATGTCATATGATACAAATTTAAAATAGAGGTTTTTGGAAAAAAATTATAAATGAAGCATACCCAATTCCCTGAGCCTGTGTTATTCCACAGAGAATTGTGCTTAGGCCAAGTATATCTGATGGTAAAGATAGACTCTAGTAGAAAGGTCACACCCTCCTGAGTCACTCTACATATATATATGTGTGTGTGTATGTATGTATATATATATATATATATATATATATATATATATATATATTTTTTTTTTTTTTTTTTTTTTTTTTTTTTTTTTTGAAGCGGAGTCCTGCTCTATTGCCCAGGCTGGAGTGCAATGGCGTGATCTCGGCTCACTGCCACCTCCACCTCCCGGGTTCAAGCAATTCTCCTGTCTCAGCCTCCCAAGTAGTTAGGATTACAGGCACATGCCGCCACACCCGGCTAATTGTTTGTATTTTTAGTAGAGACGGGGTTTCACCGTGTTGCTCAGGCTGGTCTCAAACTCCTGAGCTCAGGCAGTCCACCCGCCTCGGCCTCCCAAAGTGCTAGGATTACAGGCATGAGCCACCGTGCCTGGTCCCACTCTACATATTTATAAGGAAAGAGAGTCATACACATCTAGTCAATTATATTAAAAATAGGAGATTACTGGTCAAGAAGAGCCTCTAGAACTAAGTGGCTTGTATGAGCCTGCTCCTCTCTTGATATGGATAATTGAGACATGCTAAGAAATATCTTTTTCTTACTGCATAGTCAGATTCATCTCATCTCATAACCTAAAAGGAAGACATATGTCTCCACACCACTTCTATAGTTCTTGTCTCCCAGCAGCTTGAACCCACTCTTCTTCATTCAGCTTTGCAATTCTGGTGCTGAGACTCTGCAAGCTATGTTTTTGCTTTGTCAGCTGGCTCCCTGTGAAGCTCTGCCAATCTTGGGCACTAGAGGGAGAGAGCAAGGCTGGAAAGGGAAGAAGGAAGACTTGTTCTTTTCTGTTTGTTCCCTGTGTACTTCTAGACTGCTTCCTGTTCCTGTGGGTATTACCCCAACAACAATTCCCAGCAGTAGCAGGGCTTTCCCACAGCAGCAGCTGAATTCAGTTTGCAGTTTCTTCCACACTGACATATTTAGCCTCATTACTTGCCTCTCAGAGCTACCAACAACACCTGCCTGTGTCCTCTCTTTACAGGTCTGGGTCCCAGACCCAAAGACTGCTCCTCCATACTCAGAGATACCAGCACTAACAGAGCAGCTCCTCTTCTTCAGTACAGATGCTTCTCAACTTACAATGAGGTTATACCCTTATAAACACATGGTAAGTTGAAAATATCGTTAAGTCAAAAATGCATTTTAATAGCTCAATAAATCCATAGTAAAGTTGAAAAGTTGTAAGAAAATCCAAGGCAAGTAGAGCACTGTCTGTAGTCCATGTTTCAACTCTTGGGACCCATCCTCTAAGTTTCTACATTTTAATTGTTTTAGCCTCTTCCCTTTGTTCCTTTAGCTATAAGGGTGATAGCTTCTTTCTATAGTTGCTACCTCTGTAATACCTTACAGCTCTCTTTTGATCCTTTCAGTTACTTTAACAATATTTTTATATAAAATAATCCTGTTCAATAACTGGCAGTTTCCTTCTTTTGACTAGACCCTGATACACCCTTCAAAATTTATTCATAAAAGTTCAAGATAGGATTCTAGTAGCTCAGGCTCAGGTCATATATCTCCCTCTTGGCCATTTGCTATGTATGATCCAGTGGAACTATGATTGACATAACCTAGGCCAAATGCTCGGGTCTATGGCTGAGATGAGGGGCACTATGATTGATAGTTTCAGAAGGATCATATGGATTTAGAGAAATTCTCCAAAGAAACAGATTGCTGTCCCCAGAATAATAGGGATGAAATGCCTGCTGAGGTGGGGGGGCTTTAGCTACCACAGATAGCTAACATAGCACTGCCTCTCTACCTATAGGTATATATGTTTATTAATGGGTCCAAATTAGTAAGGTATAAACATGATATTATGTTCTACTCTAGTCATTGCTTTTAGCCATATCCTGCAATACATTTTATTATCCCTGAAAATATATTCAGCAGGTTTTAATACTTGCCATCACTTTCAATTAGAACAAATCGATGTGGTTCTAAATTTCAACCCTATCTTCAGCTCAAAGTTTTTATCCTTCCTTTGCTATCTGAAATTATTGTTCCTCATCCCTCCACAGTCATAGGTGAAAGAAAGAAGGAAAGAGACATGTTTGTCATTGAGATACCTCCTCCCTTTGTTTTCTGTAAATTCTGTGTCCTGCAGTGTGTGCTAGAGCACATTGATAGGAGAGGAAAAATTACCAATGCCTCTTCATTAACCAGTTTTGTAGATTTCTTTGTTGGTTAATTGCAACAGCTTTTTTGGCCACCACAGAGATCCTCTGTGTGGTAAGTGTTCTAATGAACTGGGCACATGAGTAAGTTCTCCTGGAGCTGCTGTTCTCCTCACTGTATATATAGTTCCCTGATTTGGGAAAGCTGGCTCAGGCATTCTTGGCAGTCTAGCTCTCTGCCTGTGGCAGAGTATTTTACCTAGCAGGACAACTTCACATGGCGGTGCCAGCCAAGTGGCTCACATAGAACTACTTCTAGTTTCCCTTGACTGACAGAAAATTCAGACATTCATATCAAGTCATCATCATCAATGTCACTGCTTCCTCCACTTGATATTTAAATGAGGAAAAGTTAGCCACAGGGAATCAGCATCATGGTAAGATATTGTGATTGTTAATTTTATATTTCAGTGTGGCTGGGTCATGGCTCCCAGATATATGGTCAGACATTATTCTGAATGTTTCTGTGAGGGTGTGTTCGAGTGAGACTAACATTTAAATTAGTTGAATTTGAGTAAAGCAGATTATTTCTATAATGTAGGTGAGCCTCATCCAATCAGTTGAAGGCCTGAATAGAACAAAAGACTAACATTCAGCAAGAGGGAAGTCTGCAACAGATGGCCTTCAAATTTGAACTGAAACATTGAATTTTTCTGGGTCTTCAGACTGATGGTCTTGGGCTTAAACTGCAGCTTTGACTCCTCCCTAAGTCTCCAACTGTTTCAATGTTTTATTAGAAAGCAGGTACTTTGCATCTCTTTGATGCAGTTTTCGTGATTTAGGCAAAAGGAAAATTTCCACCCCACCTCCTATTACACAAAGACTGCCTTTTTTTTCTTGCATATTTATAGAGAGTAGTTTGATTTTACTAGAATATCTTATCATAATGATGGACTATAATATTGCTTTTCTTCTCCATTTGGATACCACATTTCTTACAACTGCTTCCTCAAGTCCTGTGAGTGGAAACATGTATCCTGTTTCCTCATTGAGGAAATACAGCAGGGAAATGTTGGGTAGCTACCTGACTAGAGTGCAGGCTTGGCCTTTTATACAGGAGCAAATGTTAGCAGGATTATTGGCTTCTTTGTGTCTCTGGGGGAAACTTACCCTGTGTGATTTCTTTCTTTGCTGTGGGGGCAGCTACTAGGAAACAAGATTATGTGCAAATTTACTAATGTAGGCCACAAGGGTAAGTAAAGACCATGTATAATCTTTAGAAATACAAGCTCCCCTTTAGATTTTCTTAGCTGACTTCTGCATTTGGGCATCACATATACATTCTCCTTAATTTACCAATTATTAGAGGGGCTGGAGAATCTAGTCAATGTATTTCTTAATGCCTTTAACCAATGTATACCTTTGTGTATGAGAATTATATTCCGGGAAATGAGCTTGCTCTGACTCTTTTAACTGAACATACATCAAAATGTGCTGGTAAAATATTGAGGAAATGTTGAAATAGCATAATTGAGAGCATTCTTCCTTGTTTGGTCAAAGGCTCATGGGATACTCATGTGATAACTACAAAATTATTTTCTGTAAGAAATTAGATCAGCATGTGAAAGTAGTGAATCATGAAAAATTTAGTAAAACAGGCATCATGGTAAAAAATAAAATTATTCCTAACATTAATTTTGAAATAGCAGAGAATTGTGTATGTTTTCACTAAGAAGTGGAAATGCATTTGGACCCATTATCCTTACATGCCAAATAACGTGAAACAATATACGTTAATGTCAAAGAGTTTGACAATAGTTAAAGTAGCCTGCAGCAACTCTCAAAACCTGACCTGTTAATGTTGTAAGGGTTATGAAAATGAAATACTGCTCTCAAAAGTTGTTTTCTTCAATATACATATTTTCTTGTGGAAAAAAATAAGTCCAAAAAAATGTCAATATAAACATCTGGAGAGGTAAAATTTGAAAGTTCTGTTACCTTAAGTTCGAGCTTGCCATTACCACTATACTACATTGAAAAGAACTTATTTTAGAACATTGTAGTTGTTGGTGTAACCAAAGTAGGTACCTCGATAAAGTATCCTATTGTAAAGTAGCATAGTAAAGGAATAGCAATTATCAAAGGGGAAAATATCTGGCTAGTGGCTCAATTCTGTGAACTTTTCAATGTTACATGACTTAAGTGATGCTGGGTTTTGACAGTAAACTGAGATATGATATTCAAATGTAGATGCTGATACCATTGTGTGTTGCATTATTGTCTGAAAAGGTAAATATTTAGGTTAAATTAAATGACTTTGTAGGCTGGTAAAACATACAATATAAATTTGAGAATATGGGGATTTAAAAAAATCAACAAATAAACACATGGAATACTTTATAAATTACATTATCTAACTAGATGGGAAAACCTACAAAAATATCCAATTACGTTATGCATATTTAATGTACTAACAAATACAATACTGTCATAATGCATGAGTATAGACAATTTTCACTGAAATTCTTAAAAACCTTGCTTTCCCAAAATTTAAACTAAAAAAGAGAAGCAACCAAAGGTATTTGTTGGTGCCATACTATGATAGATGTTTTCATACTGCGCTGAGAGAGACAGAAAGCCTTTGCAAACATTAAACATAAAAGGTATGATGGAAAGTGAACAACTTTAGGCATTGCAATTCTGACCTCGCTATTTGCCTTTTGTCACTTTAGGCAAGTGCCACTTAATTCCTTGGAGACATAGATTATTGCTCCAGAACAAATGAAATAACATGTTTACGGGTGGTTTGTATGTTATAAAATGGAATATGGAAGAAAGATGCACATACAATTATAGATCTCTTCTGCAGTCCATACTTGACTGGGGGACTTAGAACATAAGAGGGGCCGATGATGAGGAGGAATGCATATGCTAGAATATAATTTATATTAGGAAAGCAAAATAGCACATTTTAAAAATACAAATAGAGGGAACGTAAACTTTCTGTTTTCAGAAGAGGGCATGACTTTTTAAAATATAAGCGTTATGGATTTAATATACCCTATATTGTTATATTCCAATGTTTGGAAAAAATGTGCATTTATAGAGTAAAATCCACTGAACTTTATAATAAAGGCTATAAAATATTATACTTTACACTAATCATAGTTTACTATAAGCAAATATTTAACTTCATAAATAAAGGAACACTGAATAGTCACCTGATAATTCAATGGACACTTTCATATATTCATCCAATAAAATTAACAATAATGTTTATAAGGCTATAATATTAGAAATCAGAATGTTTATTCTGGACTCTCTTAAACTGTAACAAGAAGAGAATTGTATTTAGCACAATTCCAGGCACGTATTCCTCCTTTTGTGAGGAGCTGTGACAAAGAGATAAGGACTGTGATTTCAGAGGGTTATGTTGGCAGGGAGGATCATTTGTCTAGAACCTGAGTTTTAATATAATTGCAGGGGAAAAGGGTTCTTGAATAAGAAGAGTTGAGAGGTGAAGTGAATACAAGCAGGGAACATCATAGTGAGTGACTGCATGAAAAAAAAGATTTTAGTGGCTTCTATGACAGCCTGTTTTACTGAGAACAGTGTATTAAGATAATTTTTAGGAAGGTTTACTGGCATTTGCAGTGGGAAATGTCTATCTTATCTACAAGAAATCTACTCTAAATATATGTATTTTAGTTCTTAAAGGACTTAGATTTAGATTTAGGGGAACAGTTATTTGTTTTAGAAGTAGTACAGAGTTTAAATTGGCCGCAGAGTAATCTACATTATACTCAAGATCAAAAAAGAAAAACATCTGTATATTTCATGACCTACTACTTAATTGCAGGATAATATAAATGTTTTCTATAATTAGCATTGTTGAAAGGAATTCCATTAACTGTACATGTTCACTCCTGCAGGGCACTAAATATTGGGTTCTACATGCAAGTTACTATTTATATACATACAAATTTCACTTTGCTTAGTCATATCTGCCCCAAATCTGCCCCAAAGTTATAACATCTTACTTCAGTATTTGTGGGGTGGAAACATATTTTATTACAATTTCCATTCTGTTATTTTTCTTTTTTTTTCTTTTTCTTTTTTTTACATAGTGTATGATTTTACTCATGTAACATTCTTGAAATGATAAAATGATAGAGATGGACACAGATCAGTAGTTGCCAGGGGTCAAAAAATGGGAAAGGGAGGAAGAAGGCATTCTGTTATTTTTCAAATTTTCATCTATCTAGCAGTTGTAGAGTAAAATTCCAATAACTTAATTTTTCAAATCCTTATAACTACATTTTTTCTATAGGAAAAATGTTTTATATAGTAGATATATTTCAATAATATTATTTTGCCTCATTATTAAAATTTCCAACACAAATAGAAGTAGCTTCATTTTGTTCCTAACAGTTATTTTGATCAACTAATAGAGATTTTTTAAAGACAATCCTTAGGTATTTTAAAAAATAAATTTCAATAAAATTGAAGTATTCAATGGAAGGTTATATACAAAAAAGGAAATAAATCCTCTGTAGTAAAACTGAACAAAACATCTATGAAGCAATTTTCAATCTGAATTATAATTTAAAAAAATATTTTTATCAGGAAAAATTTCTATTCCATAAATGAGTGATCCACTTCTCTGCAACTGTAAAGCCATACTGCCTATATGATACCACCATGTAATGGTTAATCTTCCTTTCCAATTTATGGTGCAAATTTTAAAAAGAGCACTGTCTTCATAATACCAAAGTTAAAATTATTTTTCTGCTACATTTTGAAATATTGCATTTTGGCTTGGAAATAACTTAATAAAAATAGTTTAGTCATAGTAATTCTATGCCTAAACAATGTTTTCAACTGATTTATTTTGCTAGTGCTTTAATACTCATTTTAAGTACTCACCAATCTTAAGTTGCTGCATCCAAGATATCTGGAAATGGCATATAATTTAATTAATTTTATGAGTATGATTTGCCTTTTCTCTTTTATTTTCATACATTTATGCATGTTAGCTTCTTTGGCTGGAGTATCTTCCTAAACAATAACTGCTTGTCACTTCTCTAAATCATGCTTCAAGGCTTAGTTTTAATGCTAACTCCTACATGAATTCTCTTTTTATTATTTCAGCCTGCAGTGATTGCTACTGCCCTCATTATGCTATGTAGTCTTTCTAGTTATATTCAATAATTTGAAGACATTCAAGTCTCTACTTGATTATGTATAGGGCTTTTTATATAAGCATCAATTTTTGTTGAAAAAAGTAAATTGTATGAAGAGCCAAAGGTTAAATTTCTCTAAGGTATCAGTACCAGGAAAATTTACAATTCCCATGAGCATTGGGTATATTTTTAATCTCATAGACATTGGCCCCTGTAATGGATCTTATTTTCTTTTATTACTGTTGCTCAGAAGCCCAGCACCAAATTTGCACCTCATATCTTGAAGGTGTACAGCATCTCATAGCCTTTTAAAAAATATGAATATATTAGCTTTGCCACTGTTTTCATCCCTTTTTAATTTTTTTGTTCCCTGTGTCCTGATTTTTTTATTTAAATTTTTAGAAAATTCCTGATGTTCTTGAATATCTATGTAATCCACCTCAAAATTTCTTTATATCAAAGTGAAGCATATGCAAATAAATAGAGAATAAACTGTGTGAAAATAATTGTTTTTACCTGGAAACATTTCAAAAATGGGGGGGATCAAGAAAATAATGAGATGCAATAAATATATTTGGACTTCTATATGTATTTCTTATTTTAAAAATAAAAGTTAACTTTAGAAATATTTAATTTGCAAATCAAAGAAGCACATACATGCAATTTACAAATAAATATACATATACTGCGTGCGTACATGCGTGTGTGTCTCCCTTTCGGCACTGGAGAGCCTCTTCTATCAGCTGCTGGGAGTGTGACTGACATATGAAGACTCTCATACCAGTCCTGTCCTGACAGTGCCCTTAGCTGAAGAAAGTTGCCTTGCCTAAGGCCATGCCTTCTCTTTGAGAGTAGCCTGCATCCAATAGCTAGTTGATACGGAGTTATAAAACCTGATCCCTTTGCCATAACCCAGTACAGTGAAGCAGCATCCTAGCTTCAGAGTTCCCTCTGGAGTTAGTTGGCATTTTTGCTACGACTGTCTCAGTATACACCTTCTTCTGTTGATCAATCCTGCCAT
This sequence comes from Homo sapiens, assembly GCF_000001405.40. Lineage (NCBI taxonomy): Eukaryota > Metazoa > Chordata > Mammalia > Primates > Hominidae > Homo > Homo sapiens. Next base: position 72,565,197 of record NC_000001.11, read on the forward strand.
TTTATTGCTCTATAGTTGTAAATCCTTACAGCACTTCCTAATATGCTTTCCCTTTTTTTTTTTTTTTTTTTTCTTTTTTGAGACGGAGTTTCACTCTTGTTGCCCAGGCTGGAGTGCAATGGCGCAATCTCAGCTCACTGCAACCTCAGTCTCCCGAGTTAAAGCGATTCTCCTGCCTCAGCCCCTCCAGTAGCTGGGATTACAGGCGTGTGCCACTACACCCAGCTAATTTTTGTACTTTTTGTAGAGACAGTGTTTCACCATTTTGGCCATGCTGGTCTTGAACTCCTGACCTCAAGTGTTCCGCTCACCTCAGCCTCCCAAATTGCTGGCATTAAAAGCGTGAGCTGCTGCACCTGGCCCTAATAAACTTTCTATACCCTAACCTCTATCTCAGAGTCTTCTTCTCAGAGAGTTCAATCTCTACATAGACAGACAGATACATACATTTATACATACAAACATAAACGGATTGACAGAGAGGCCTGCCATCTGTCTGTAGCACAAGCTAAATAGTCCTGAACAAAGTGAACAGACCTCTGTGACACCCGGAGATCACCTAGAAATCCCTGGGTCTAAGTTATTACTTTTCATTATCATAGGAATCTATTTAATTTTCATGTTACTTTATAGTTGAGAATGAATTGCGTTCTGGCCTATAAAGGAGCTGATTTTACTGACCAGGAGGTGACAGTTATGGTCACTAGAGCCCTCTGCTTGGTTTTGAATCTCAGCTCTTCCATTTACTAAATGTGTGATCTTTGACAGGCATTTACCCTCTCTGGGCCTCAGTTTTCTTATTTGTAACCTGAGGATAATAACAATAACTATTTAACAGTGATTTGGGAAAAATACAATGAATTAATTTAAAGTGCTTGGAAAAGAATTGGACAAATGTGTTAGCTATAATCTTTATGTAAAAAAATTACATCTCAAAGTCTCAATTACCCAGGTCAGTACCTTAAGCAATTAAAAAATCTTAACTAGTTGTTTCATATGGCCTGTATAGACAATACTCAACTGAGAAGTAATTTAGAGCATGACATAATTAACAACAATGAAAACATAGACATGGGAAATTTTTTTGACATTTTAGTAATGTAAGAAAAAAAATCTAAGCTAAGGTGCTTGGGAATTCTAATTGACTGTATTTGGGCTATCAGGTTACAGTTATATTTAAATAGATGTTCTGGGTAATTCTGACCAGAAGTTAGAAGGAACTACCATAGTGGTTTTAAAACATATCTGTAAATTCTTGTAAACATCTCCTATCAAAAGTCAGTGTCCCCTCCACAGGCTAGCCTTTGGGACCACCAAGATGAATAGAATGTGGCAGAAATGACACTGCATGGTTTCTGAGACTATGTTAGCAAAGACCAGGTAGGTTTTCCTGGTCAGCCTTTGAACACTGACTCTCAGACCATCAATCACTATGGAAGAAGTCCAGGAATCAGAGAAAAGAAATCAGAGAAAAGACCTTTACGTGTTAAAATGTTCATGTGCTGCATTGTGTGATTGTTTTTAAGAAAATCACACAAGGAACCATGAAGCCACCTTATTTAAAGTCCACATAGAGCGAAAGATGGCGGAGGAGGCCTAGCTGCTCCCTGTTGAAAACTTACTAATCCAGGTACCGGACATGAAGAAGCTTCAGGATAACCATATGCAAGAACCAGAGCGAGAACTGCTGAGCCAGTCATTCCCTTGAATTGGGCAAAATAAATGATTTATATCATAAGCTACTCTTTTGCAGACATTTGTTACAAAACATGAGATAGCAACAGTAATACTTGTTTCTTTTTAGATCCTAAATTCATTAATTAGTTTTTATGTAAAAGAATGAGTGTAAGAATCAAAACTCAAAGACATTCATAAAAAATAGTTTTCATTTTTTTAAATTTTCAAGATACTGTTAAATATCTTGAAATTGTGTCAAGCAATAATTAAATATCATTTTTCCTGTCTTCTCAGCTTCCACCACAATGCAGACTTCTTTCTTTCATTTATTTCTGAAGTCTGAATAGGAGAGGACCCCTATCATCCAGTGTGCACACACACACACACACACGCACACACACAGACACACACACACACTGCATTTCTCACCCCATCCCTGCATTTTGGTGGGCAAACATGTTTTCTATTATTAATATCCAGACACACAGCCTGGTCGATTCTTTGAGGAAGTAATATGGTCTGATTATCTATACTTAAAATTGAGACAATTGAGACAATAATGACAACAAATTATAACAGCTTTTGTTCATTTGAGGTCCTGAGAAACTGAATTTCTACCCTCCAATAGAATTATTATGAAGTAGAATATACATAATATTTCAGGACAGAAAAAAAAAGAGTATCTTGTACATTCTGTGCTTCAATGTTCTTCATTGCTGTAACTTGTGAAAATTATATTTTTGGAATAATATGGCCAAGCTCTTATAATTCCAAAGAAGAAGGAACACTAGTACAATTTCTGAAGCCTGTTCTTTCTCTGAGAGAAGAAAAAAGAAACATGGCTAGTTGCCAAGAGTTTCAGTTTGCAAGCTTGAGATTTGCCAAGGAGGAATTGGCTCAATAAAAGTCCCTGTTTTCTAATGGAAATATATATAGATTTTTCAATGCTAGAATAAGCATTTGAAATTATACATTATATCAATACTTTCTGCAGCAATTAGCAATTGGACCTATTTATTCCTGTGTGGGAGAGGTTGTGCTATTGGTATATTTTTTTTTCCTGAATCTTTCTGTGCATACACATTCTCAAAACACTTTAAAAAGAGGCTGCTTTAATGAATGTACTATGTTTGTTGATTGTTTCTTTAAACAATAGGAGATAGAAGATGAAGGATTTAATAAGGGAGTTAGCTTAGTTTTAAACTGTAAAACTTATGTTTTTATTGCATATAAGCACATCTTTATAAATGAATTCAAAAGCATAATTCTGTGAGGCATTTGAAAACAGCCACCAATCCTCTGACATATGCTGGAATGTGGTTTGTCACCTGTAGAAAACTAATTCTGATTAGCACTAAGATTAGTCATTCTAGTCTCCACTGGGTTGCAGTTTTTAAGCTTCACTAGAATCTTCCCCAACTTTTGGCACCTGGGTGTTATGCATACCTGTGACCACAAACTGAAACTGAACCGATGAAATTGACATACTCAGAATGGAAACACTAATGTTGTCAGTTGAGGAGAAGGACTCTCAGAGGAGGACCAAGTTAATATGACAACTCCACTGAAGTGAATTACCACTAAAGAAAGACACTCTAGCATATGCAAATTGTTTTTCATTGTTATGCAGAATATCTAGAAGGAGAGAATACCATTAAGTTTCTTTATAACATCTGATATTATTTTCCTCAACATTCCTTCTAGCAAGTTTGCTAAAGACTCATCTTGGGGATTGTGAAATGCCAATGGTTTTAGGTGTCCAGACACATGAATACTCCAGAAAGGAAAATAGATGCATGTGTTAAAATGAGTGACAGCATTCTATCAGAATTATCTTGGGTATTAATATATCTTCCGGCCCAGATTCAAGGTAACAGCTAAACAACCACACCCCCACAGATAAACAAACATAGAAGAAGTAGATCTCTTCATACCATCATTTAGCTCTATTCTTCCCTCTCTTTGGGAACAGAATTTCCATTTCTTTGGAACAAAATGTAGTTTTCCATATCTTGCCCTCCTACTTTGTATTTTCCTGATTCATTTTTAAGGCCTTGGACTTAGTAAATTGTCAAGTTAATTGTGACATAATGAAAAATTGAATAAACTCAGGAAACACAAATAAATGTCTGGGTACTGGGGAGGTCCAAACTTTCTTTGGAATGTGTAGCACTCATATTTAGTAGAGACAATAGCTTTAGAAATGTGTTTGTGTAACAGAAAAAATGAAATTTTTTTTTCTACCTCACACCCCTCCTCTTTCATTCTTAGATGGGTAACTTTCCTCTTTCTCCATGGATGGCTCTGACTCAGGGAGAGGTTTGGAGTATAGTTTTTTTTGCTCTCCGAAAATATGTAAAAACCCATTTGAAGCCAGAGAAGGATTGTACCATGCTTCTGTACAAAGGATAAGGCAGTCATTGACACTAACTTATAGCAATATAATACACCATGAAAGAAGGAGAGTAAGGAATACACCATTTAAATAAAGGGTTTGGAAATGGAATCTGGTTCTTGAACCTTAATTGTATTCCACTAAATGACATTGATTTTTTTTAACCAGAGAGGATGGACTATAAAAGATTGTCCATATGTCACACTATAGGTTCTTTTGTCTTTATGACTGCTGAAAAACTTCCCCAAAAGCATTTTGGTGGAATATTTCTTATATTCCCAACAAATTCTTCAACCGCTCTCCAAATTATTGATGAGTTTATTCCTTGAACATAACTAAGACAGAGAAAAAGTTATTATCAAAAATATAGTTATACTTAAAAGATTTTGACTTTTCTGAATAAAGCAATAATACATGGTGCTTGATATTGCACCTATAATTTTACACCTCAGTGATTTTAATATAATGAACAATAGATATGTAATTTCAACTTTCAACTCTAGTAAGAGATGGGTTTGCCCCTGCCACTTGGAATTTAGATTCATGTCTATTATCTCATGCAAGGAAGTTTCCACATTGGAGTATGCTGGTCCACAAAATGTTCAAATTTGTGTGTTATTACCTTAATACTTGTTTTCATTTGAAGCATTTATTTTCTTGGTCAGTGAGAAGCTATCATATACAGTCCAAAAAATTTCTGTGTACAGATTTATTGAGAGATACTTCAGTTCAAACCAAAAAATAAACATTTTTATTAACTCTGTTAAATGGTCACTATCCCCAGAAGCAGTAGTTATCAAAATGTAGCTCCCAGAAGAGTAGCATCAGCATTACCTGGGAATTTGTTAAAAATGAAAATTATGAGACCTTAACCAGAAGTACTGATTCACAAACTCTAAGAGTGAGGTCCAGTAATCTGAGTTTTAATGAGCTCTCCAGATGATGTGTGGTCGGTGGGAGCCACTAATTATAAAAATAAAGTGAGTAGGATTGAAAACAAATTTGATATTCTTATATGTAGGGCAATAAAGCAGTAATGGAAAGTACCAGGAAAATCAAGTCACTGTCACATGTACCACATTAACTAAATTTAGATAATTAGTTGGCATAGTAATAGTTTCTAACTTTGTGGTACATTAAAGTTATCAAATTGCCTTCAGATACTTCACCATATTGGTTTCTCATCATAACCCTCTGAGTTAGCTAGCACAAACCAAATATTGTTTCCTTCCTATAAGAACACTCAAGATTTTGTCAAAAGGCAACCAGCTAGAGATGGCATTAGAATCATCTTCTGTCTTGGTCTCTTTGAAATTTGCTGTGGTACAATAAGACCCTTATGAAAAGGGACTGACTTAAAATATGGCATGTTTTTGTCCTGCATCAGTAATACTTTCATCTTTGGTTATCACTCTTAATATTAAGTGACATATTAAAGTGCATCAGAGAAAAGACCTTCACATGTTAAAATGTTCATGTGCTGCATTGTGTGAATTTTTTTAAGGAGATTAGCCACCTATACTCAGTACCTTAATGTCCATTTATTGTATTGAGGTACTGACATGTTTTACAATTGATAACAAAATGTACTTCAAGAAAATTGTAGTCTTCAGCTTTCCTTTGTAGGTGAAAACTCTAGTCAAGTCTCTATTGTTTTATTGACTCATAAGGTATTCTGTTGAGTGCCTATTTTATACCATGTCCTCTTCTAGGCACTAGGAAAATAAATGTCACGAGTCTCGCATTTTAAGAGCTTCCTTTATCTAGAAACAAAACAAGCCCCAGGAATAGCTAAGCCACTATCATCTTGCCCTGCAGTTTGGCAACAGCTTTCTCAACTGTCTTTCTGTGTTCTTTTCCCTGCTGCAATAGAAAATGAACCTTTTCAGGAATAAATGAGGTTATATCATTTCTCTGCCCAAAACCCTCTAGAAGATTTCCATTACATTTAAAGAATAAAATCCTAAGTATTAGTCTCTGACATACTTTGCCTTAAGTATCTCCTTATTGTTTCTTCAACATATTAAGCACATGTCCAACTCAAATCCTCTGAACCAGCTGTCATTTGGTCTGAAACATTTTTGCCCTAAAAATTTTCATGGCTCATTATTTTATTTCACTCTGTTTTCTATTCAAATAAGCTTTCTTAGAAAGGCCTTTCCTGACCAATAACTCTATGTAAAATAATCCCACACACTCCCAATCCAGTCACTTTCAAATCCTCTCACTTTGCTACTTTTCTTGTTCAAAGCACTTATGAATACCTGACAGTATATAATATATGTCAATTTGGGATTATCACTTAATATTTTATATTAAAAATAATGTATGAATTTTTAGCCATTAATTGCTTGTTTATGATTTATAATTCTTTTCCCTAGTACTTGGATTCCATAAAGACAGAGATTTTTATCATTGTGTTTACCACTATATTCTTGACACCAAGAATTAAAAGTTATGAACATACAAAAATTATGTATGAAAAATAAATCACTTTATAATGAAAAATTTAATTAATGATAATATGTAGCACAAGGTACAAGTATGCCCTAAATAACATTATTAACAAGTGTATGCAGGATAAATTGATGGATTTGAATGAGCAAATAAAGATATCACAAAGATAACAGGAGAGCTCCACTATCCATTTACTAGATCAGACATATTCTAATCTAGTAAATAGACATCATAAAATATGTGGGAGGTGAAATATAGTAAATTATGTAGAACTATTAAAATGAGATAACTAAAAGAATGAGATAACATTTCCCTGCACAAGCTCTTTTTGCCTGCTGCCATCCATGTAAGATATGAGTTACTCCTCCTTGCCTTCTGACATAACTTTGAGGCCTCATAAGCCATGTGTTACTGTAAGACCATTAAACCTCTTTCTTTTATAAATTGCCCAGTCTCAGGTATGTCTTTATCAGCAACGTGAAAATGGACAAATACAGTAAATCGGTACCAGTAGAGTGAGGTGCTGCTGAAAACATACCTGAAAATGTGGAAGCAACTTTGGAACTGGCTAACAGGCAGAGATTGGAATAGTTTGGAGGGCTCAGAAGAAGACAGGAAAATGTGGGAAAGTTTGTAACTTCCTAGAGACTTGTTGAATGGCTTTGACAAAAATGCTGATAGTGATATAGACAATAAGGTCCAGGCTGAGGTGGTCTCAGACGTAGATGAGAAACTTGGGAACTGGAGCAAAGGTGACTCTTGTTATGCTTTAGCAAAGAGACTGGCAGTATTTTGCCCCTGCCCTAGAGATTTGTGGAACTTTGAACTTGAGAGAGATGATTTAGGGTATCTGGCAGAAGAAATTTCTAAGCAGCAAAGCATACAACAGGTGACTTGGGTAGTGTTAAAGGCATTTAGTTGTGTAAGGGAAGCAGAGCATAAAAGTTTGGAAAATTTGCAGCCTGACAATGGATAGAAAAGAAAATCCCATTTTCTGAGGAGAAATTCAGGTGAGCAGGCTGCAGAAATGTGCATAAGTAACAAGCCGCTGAATATTAATCCCCAAGACAATGGGAAAAATGTCTCCAGGGCATGTCAGAGGTCTTTGAGGCAGCCCCTCCCATCACAGGCTTGGAGGCCTAGAAGGAAAAAGTGGTTTCATGGGCCAGGTCCAGGGTCCCTGTGCTGTGTGCAGCCTAGGGACCTGGTGCCCTGCATCCCAGCCACTCCAGTTGGGGCTGAAAGGGGCCAATGTAGAGCTTGGGCCATGGCTGGAGAGGGTGCAAACCCAAGCCTTGACAGTTTCCACGTGGTGTTGAGCCTGTGGGTACACAGAAGTCAAGAATTGGGGTTTGGGAAACTCCGCCTAGATTTCAGAAGATGTATGGAAACACCTGGATGCCCAGGTGGAAGTTTGCTGCAGGGGCAGGGCTCTGATAGAGAACGTCTGCTAGGGCAGTGCAGAAGGGAAATATGGGGTCCGAGCTCCCACACAGAGTCCCCACTGTGCCATCACCTACTGTAGCTGTGAGAAGAGAGCCACCATCCTCCAGACCCCAGAATGGTAGATCCACTGACAGCTTGCACCATGTGCCTGGAAAAGCCACAAGCACTCAATGCCAGCCTGGAAAGCAGTCAGAGGGAGACTGTACCCTGCAAAGCCACAGGGGTGGAGCTGCCCAAGACCATGGGAACCCACCTGTTGCATCAGCATGACCTAGATATGAGACATGAAGTGAAAGAAAATCATTTTGGAGCTTTAAAGTTTGACTGCCCTGCTGGATTTCAAGCTTGCATTGGGGCATGTAGCCCCTTTGTTTTGGCCAGTTTCTCCAATTTTAAATGGCTGTATTTACACAATGCCTGTACCCCAATTGTATTTATGAAGTAACTAACTTGCTTTTGATTTTACAGGCTCATGGGCAGAAAGAACTTGCCTTGTCTCAGATGAGGTGTTGGATTGTGGACCTTTAAGTTAATGCTGAAATTAGTTAAGACTTTGGGGAATTGTTGGGAAGGCATGAATGGTTTTTAAATGTAAGGACATGAGATTTGGGAAGGGCCTGGGCAGAATGATATTGTTTGATTGTGTCCCCACCCAAATCTCATCTTGAATTGTAACTCCCACAATTCACACGTGTCATGGGAGGAACCTGGTGGAGATGATTGAATTATGGGGGCCGGTCTTTACTGTGCTGTTCTTGTGATAATGAATGATTGTCATGAAATCTGATGGTTTTAAAAATGGGATTTTCCCTGCAAAAGCTCTCTTTGCCTGCTTCCATTAATGTAAGATGTGTCTTGCTCCTCCTGCCTTCCACCATGATTGTGAGGCCTCCCCAGTCATGTGGAACTGTAAGTCTAACAAACCTCTTTTTTTTTTGTAAATTGCCCAGTCTTGTATATGTCTTTATCAGTAAGATGAAAATGGACTAATACACATGGCAAGGAACGTCCTCTTCTAACACATTTATATGTATATTCATTGATTACCTGGTAGTAAAAATAGAAGCTTATAAGAAATTACAAATGTTCATATTTTTTCAATTACATAGATGAATGAATGATAAATCTAGTTGATATACATGTCAGAAAAGATGAGGAACTTTTTACCTTTTAACAAAATCTATTAAAGAATACATATATATTTGTGATTTCTCTTGTAAGACAAGTTTAGTGTGGTAAGATTCTTTTCTTATTCATCATCAGCGTCCCCACAATATGCAACAGATTATATTTTAGATAATTAGTGCTTAATATATAAATGATAGAATAGTATTTATTTACATTTTTATTTTCAAAAACATAGAGCTCTTTTTCTGTTTGCCATTTGAGGTCAGGTACTTGCTGTCCTTTTGTAGTGGTAAGGCATTTTTCACTCCAATTTAGTGTAAATCCTTAGTCTCTGGTGCTGTCAGCCTGTAGGTAATGTTTTTATTAATCATCAATCATTTTCCTCTTTCCTACTTACGCAGGTCTTGTGTGTAACCTGCAAGATTTTGTACAAGAAAAATGCCCATTATAAGTAAGGTACCAATTTTCTGGAACTATTACACTAGTGAATGATGACCTTTATCAAATGGTGGGCAATTGGAAAGCCTCCAAAACATCTTAACTAATTTGTTATAAGTAAACTTGATGTCTTGAAAAACAAATAGGGAAGCAATGCTTTCCGACAGTCATTGTCCATGAATCAACATGAAGAACTATAACTAATTTTTAAGAAACAAAGTGCTACTTCCAATATACTTGGGTGTGGATATAGAAGGGAAGTAAGGAATGGTTTTGGAAATACTGCTTATTTAAACAGGAAATATTAATGACCAAAATCATTATAACTTATGAAGGATAACAAAAGAACATAAGTTATTACTGGTTTATTTCAAGGGGAGTGCACACGTATTTGAAAAGGAACCCGAGAGTTCTAAGTGCACTGAAGCAAAGAGAAACATTGGTTCAAACAATTAAATGATTATTTCCCTTGGAAAGAGGTTGAAGTAGATATTATTTCTTATTGTTTTGTCTCTTCTTAGTCAGACTCATATATACATTCAGAAATATTATTTAAAGAATCAAAGTTCAAAGTAACATAAAATACACATCAAAAGTTCAAAGTACTGCTATTAAATCTACCATATTATACTTATTATTAAAAGTTTTATTAATAGTATAAAGCCATAATAAGCAATAGTAGTAGTTGTTCAGTAAACTATATTTTCCTTAGGTAGCTTTAGTACACACATTTGCTGATATATTCAGCATACCCATAATTGCTGAAATTTAGATATGCACCCTCTTTTTAATATAAGTTCCCTATTATGTAGTGCTAAATTATTTCCCTTCTCCAAACCCTAAGGACTAAACACATAATAAACTGAAGAAATGTAGTGTGCAGCAGGAAAGAAATTGGAAAAGTCATTATATTTGTCTTTAAGGAACATTATAATAGTTTTATCATCTACCTGTTATATAATTTTCAATAATATTTGTCAATATCATCTTTATAGTTTGTGGCATGTAAACATAATGACTCACTTGAAAATTCCTGCCATTAACAATGATGATAGCCTTCATTACTGAATGTATCTCAAGTACTTGCCACTGTAAATAACATTTTACATATGTTGTTTCACTACGCTTCATCATATTACTGTAAGATAGTTAATGTATCACTCTTTTTCCAGTGAGATTTTCTGGGGGTCCAAGAGGTTACTCAAAATCCTAAAGTCAAACATTCATGGAAAGGTGAAGTAAGAACTTAAAACCTGATATATCTGACTCCAACTCTGCTGTCTTTTTTCACATTGTCAAGCTGTAGGACTCTGTAAATGTTTGTTATTAGGTTGGCATTTTTGATATCTTCTGCCTGTTTCATTGAATGATTAGCAGTACCTTAGAAACACTCCAATGACCTCCTTGCTTGTCATCAGAAACAATCACTGAAGATAGTAAAGCTATTGCTCTATGTAGTCATTTTGCTAGACAACAGGATTGGGTAAAGCAGAACTCCATGGAGCCAAATGGATAATAACAGCTGAAAAAACATAAAGCTGGATGAGCGTCTTGTTTTTGTAGAATTGGTATTGCTAGTTCAGGACTGAACAGGAGCTCTGAATGAGAAATTAAAGGTGCATATTGTCTCTAGACTTTACTATGTGTTCAACTTAATTGGAAATTACAACTAACACACTTCTTAGACATTTTCTTTGTTGGGTATAAGATCAAAGTGAACTATATAAAAAAATAAGATGTGTTTGATGATTAGAGCTATAGGAGAAAAAGTGTAACACTCAATTTTGGTAGATAAAATATCTCAACAATGTCTTGAAGCAGAAGCTGTTAAAATCACATATATCCTTTTGCCCACTTGAATTTCCTAAGGCTGTGATAGACAGTTTCTTGCGCTTTGAAAAATGTCAATTTCAGACACTTTTAACTCTTTTCTACCAGAGGATATCAGAGAAGTTGCTCAGCCACAAGCTGGGTGTAACCTGTAAGTAGAGGGAAGTTCAAATGCTTAGAGACAACTGAGGAGTGGTAGTCAGTGGATAAGTTATTTCATTTCCTAAAAGATTATTGTGTATGATGATTGTATGTCAGGATCTTCATGGTTTCTCAGAGAATTCCCAGTGGGACTGAGCAGCAGTAACTCATAGAAGTATCTGGATCATTAATGTATACTTTTCAATGGCTTTTGTCATTTTGCTGTCTCTATTCCTCAAATGTACCCCCTTGGGATTGTGTCTCAAATACACTAAGTCCTTGCCTAAGTTTCCCCTTTTGGTGAACTAAGACTATTCCCTAAAGAATGCTCTTAAAGATGTAGGGACATTCTCTAATAATGTGTCTTTCCTATTATCTTATTTAATACTTGATATGGTTTGGCTCTGTGTCCCCACTCAAATCTCATCTCGAATTATAATCCCCACGTGTTGAGGGGGAGACCTGATAGGAAGTAATTATATCATGGGGGCAATTGCTCCTATGATGTTCTTGTGATAGGGAAGGAGTTCTCACGAGATCTGATGGTTTTAAAAGTGGCAGTTTCCCCTGCATGCTCTCTCTCTCCTGCCACCTTGTGAAGAAGGTACTTGCTTCTCCTTCTTCTTCCACTATGATTGTATGTTTCCTGAGGACTTCCAGCCATGCAGAACTGTGAGTCAATTAAACCTCTTTCCTTTAAAAGTTACCTAGTCTCAGACAGTTCTATATAGCAGTCTGAAAACAGACTGATGCAATACTATCAATTGTTTATAATTTTTCCTCCCTCATATACTATAAACTCTCCATGGGTGGGTGCGGAAGCTCCTTTTCTTTTCTCCTCCCTTCTTCTTCTTTTTTTTTTAAAAAATATATATAATAGCTGTTTTCTCCTTGCACCTTGCACAGTAGCTGACACATATTAGGTATTTAATAAATACTCGTTGACTAATTGAAGTTCCCATCACAACTATGTGTGGTTGGTGTTATTGGATTACTTCGTAAAATGAGTTAAGTAACTTGCCCAGTGTTACACTGAAAGTGACAATGGATACGACAAGATTCAAATTCACGTCTCTCTATGTGTCCTTTCCACTATGTGTCCTCCAACAGCCTAAGTCAGAGAGAAAATTGTTATGTTCTAAGAGTATTTTTTGATATCCTAGTTTACTGGCTACCAAAATGTTAGAAGAAAGTTCACATTTGAAAGCTTTCAGATCTTATGAACCTCTGTAGTATTTCATAAGTATATGGAACCACTGCGGTCAGAAAATGCTTTTACACAGTATACTTGTCATCCTTAGCCCATATGTATGCCCTGGAGATCACAGAAGAATACCTTTTATACACTTTAGTATAAATGATAACTGAGGGAAGAAAAAAGAATCACACTTGGACTGTTTCTTACCCCAAATTTATTATCCTAGAATTATTCCTTTGTATTTGGAGAGCGCCATACACTCATTTGTAGAAGATGTTGGGTTGAATGAAATTTCTATTTTCCTATTTTATACAGCATGAAAAGGTTATCAATCTCAAATAGTGATAGTGCTCTGGAAGGATCGTACTTTTGGAAACCAGGCATCTGCCTAAAGTAAAAATATTAGAAGAATTTCAGGATAATATTATTACATATTTTAATTTATTTCAAGTTTAATTATGTATGTTTTAAAACACTTTATGTGTTCATAAATAACCTGATTTTCTAATTGAAACTAACCAACCACAAATACATTTATTCTAGCAAGAATATATAAACAGTAATATACTCAATAAATACCATTAGCAATGTAAGTATCTATTGATAGTATTTAACTTACTTACATAAGCACTTAACATTAAATATATTAAAAAATTAGTTTTTAAAAGTTACTTCTATCAGTCCTACAATTCACCAAGTAACTTTTTAAACTATCACATGCACTTTTAGCATCACTTTCCTCATTACCCTAGAAGCATGTATTGAGTCAGATAACTCCCAGCTTCATTTTTATTACCATCTAAATAAGTAAGATACAACATTTTTTGAACCAACAGGAATTTTATCCCAAGTCACAGAATATCATTCACATAGCATAAGGGCAATTTCTTTTCTTTCATTTTTTTTTTTTGTTCCAAGTATCTATATTTATGGTTTTTCAATGTCATTCACTGCTTCTGTTATCCATTTCTAAGTTGATCTTTAAAAGGCTTCATTATTAAAATGCCTCAAACTTACAACAGTGAATTAATTCCCCTATAAATAACTGTTAAATCTCTGTTAAAATTTTCTTCTTTTTAAAATTCTATTACTTATATGAAATTCAAACTACCACTAGTTGAGATAATTTCAGGCTGTTGTGTCTTCCCCCAAAAAACATTGCTGTTCAGAATACAGTAATTGAGAGGGTGTCCTTTGATAAGAAAATATTTTAAGGATGTAAAATAACTCTGTTTTTATAAGCAATAATTTCGGTAAAATATTATCTTCGTATTTGGGCACGTTGAAGAATGTTTATTTCCTATCTATAGTAGTCTCTTGGACCCATTTTCCTGTCTTCAAAGTAAATGAAACATTTACCCATTTTCAAAAAAAAGTAAAGTTCTGGAATTAAGCTAAATATAGCAATTTTGGTACCTTGTGTTTTAAAGATGAATTATACAGATAGTTTTGCTTTACCTACAAACGTGTGTGTGTTGGAGGGGGAGGTGTTCAACTACATGTAAGTGCATGTAAGTGTCAGTATGTGTATATATAAATGGGAAGCGGTAGTGGGGACATTTGGAATACATTTTTGAAAGATACTAAAATGTAGAATAAAGTAGTCTATAAAATCAGATAAAAAGATATAATGATAATAATGATATGATGCTATAATAATAATTGTATACATGGTTTAAAAAATCTAATTCCATTTGTATACTCCAAAGATTCATTTAATAGCAATAATTTGTTTGTTTTCACTAATTTTAATGGCTTATTTGTTTTAAAGCATCACTTGGACAGACTGTTACTCATAAAAATAAACAAATGAATACACAGAATGAACACAACACAGTCATATGGGTCAAATATTTACAACGCTTGACCCTAAAGCAAAACAGATTTCCAGACAGTATTATAGACAGCAGTCATTTTATGCTCTTTTTCTTTCTTCCTGTTTCTCTGTCATTTCCCCTCTAGATGAAGAAAAACTGATAAGAAATTATGTCGTTCCATGAAAAAACTCTTGGATAATGGTTTTTTTATTAGCTATGTTTCAGTCTTTTGGATTCACTTAGTAAAAAATTATGACAAAATCTAATCAAAAGAATATTAAAAGGAAATTGTCATCCTCTTTTCTATAAAATGTGAAACAATTGGTAGTGTGTGTTCCCCAGTGATTTACTGTATATAGAAGTGAATGGGCATGCTGAAAGGCAGATATTTGATGGGTAGGGGTGATAAATATTCATAAATATAGTTAATACTAAAACATTTTATTCTCTACTACTTATTCCACTTTACTTATTTCTACTTGCTGAAGTGGTAGACATATTAAAATATTAATTTTCCGCTTTACTGGAATGATTTCAGAGTCAAGTGCCATTAAATTCTGAGTGTAAATATGAAAAAAGAGGATATGGCTCACACTAATCCTCTTCATTGGTTTTTTAAACTATTTATTTGCTTTTTTTTAAAGCTACTATTTCAAAAATTTTAATTGCTTTGGGAGATGTATGCAGAGGCCAGAAAAGGTGTCACAGTCTTGTGAAATATTGTCTGTCATTGAGAAAGCATTGGATAGTCCCCTACTATAAGCTTGTAAAACAAAGGGCAGCTTTTTGGAGGCAGGGCAACCCGTGATGGTCAAGGCCACATTTCACTGCCAAGTGCATTTCATGCACTTCCTAGCACTCTTCCCTTTCTTAAGTTACTATATATTTCCATTAGAGAGACAGGCTAAAAAATGCCTCTCAGGGCAACAGTGTTTGTGAAGCAATTGTTCATCCTTAGCAGGCTTTAGAGCACTGATCAAAAGTAGGGTTAAAAGCTCTGATGAAGAGGTTTGTCATTGTCACTGGCCAAAGGGGATTCTAAACTATGGATTATGAATTTAACCTGATGTGAAAGAGATGTCATGATTTACATCAATTGTTCTTTTACCTCTTATGATTTTTCTCTTCTTTACTGCTAATTTGAGTTGGCTGGTTGATTATAACATCACATAAAATTTATTGCTAAACTACACACACACACGGCAAATGAATATACTGAAGCTATTTTGATAAATGATATTTTAAACAATTGGAACCCTTTCCCAATATTCACTGGGTTACTAGTTTCAAGACCCAGCCCTTCAGTGGCCATGTCACCTTAGGGCCCTGGTATACCACAATGGCAGCATAGAATATTTAGCTATTGACTACAGACAGCTGTTGACACTTCTGTTCTCTGGAGAACAGCCATGTTCTGCACTAAATCTGACTCTGGAAAACTTAACAGGGGTTGAGAGGGGAACTTCCACCCAATTCAATAACAGCTCCCAGCTCCTGTGTTTTCCTTCAGTTCATCTCAATACAACCCTGGTTTCCTTGACAAAAAACAGCGAAAACTTTCTGAGCTCTGCAGAGTTCTAAGCATTTTGCATATATTAACTAATTTATTACTTACAGCCACCTTAAGAGTTAGATAGTATTATTATTTTCAGTTAACAGAGATATTAAGTAATTATCTCATGGCCACACAGCCACTAAGAAACAGAGGAGGAATCCAAACCCAATCAGCCTGCCTCCAGCATTCCTGCTTTTAGCCATAGTGATATACTGTCTTGCCTTAGCTATGGAACAAAGAAGAGACACTCCTATATTTTGTCTTGATAATATCATAAACACTTGTTTAAGACTTTTCTGATTTTGACTTTGATTAAGACTTTATCTAGATTTAAACTGTCATTTTAGAAGATTAAAAAACATTGAAAGTTAGATAAATGTGAATTAATTGGGAAAACAAAAATGACAAAAGGAACGTCTTTATGATGATGTAAAATATTTAAAATTATGTATCCTTTTGGAGATAATGGCAGTTTCCTGATCACTACATAGGAGAGGGTGCTCATATTTTATTCATTCATTCACTCATTCATTCATTTATTTGTTTCCCTCTTTCTGGATCTAACACTTTAGTCTGAATGTTACACATCATAATTAATATTAGGTGTCTATAACATCATATATATGCAACCTACATTTGTTAGTTCTTTCACCTATTATGATAATATTTGAAATTTTTATTCTTTTCAAAAGATTACCATATAGTACAAGAATTATTATAATAAATGTTTGGAGGAGAAACTACCTTATGCCTTATGAATAAGCTTTACATACATTTTAAAAAATTGTTCTTGGAACTATCAAAGTTGTCTACTGCTGCATAAGATGTTGAATTCAGCCACCAATGTTAGTTAAAACATAATTCACTCTGACATCAGTGATCCAGCTCTAATTAACTCAATATAGTTCATTGTAGCTGTAATTAAATTAATATAGATCTTATTAATGTTGAGATTATGGCTAAGGCTACATTCACATTATAGGCACCCTTACCTCAATGTATATCAAACTGTTCATACTCCTTAAATATGTCATATATTATTTCTTGTTTTTCTCCTTACACAATTTTTCCTCTCCTTGGAATGCTTCTATTTCATTTATTCATTCTGCAAGTTCCTCATATCCTTTAAAACTTAATTCAAATATTAATTTACAATGACTTCCTGACCTCCTCTCTGAATTATATTACCTTCCTTTGTGATCTCAATGCACCTTTACCTCAACCATAACATCTGCCAGGATAGTTGCTGATTTAGTTATCCTTCTTCATCACAAGAGTGTAATGCTTTAGGAAAATATGAAATATATTTTATTTGACTTTACACCCACGATGACTATCAAATGACACATTCATACTATAAACAGATATATAAATGTTAAAGTCTAGCACAATAATTGGTAAATGTTTATTTTTCATTTATATATCATATAGTAAAATAGTTGGAATAGAGAGATTTCTAATATTTCCAGGTTTCCACTCTCCTCCTCTACGTAGATACATTGTATAACCGGCCACCCTTCTGTAAGGATAGAACCTGTGAATATGATGAGATAGTCACTGTTGTGATTACATTACAAATATATGACTTCACCCATAGTAGAGTAGAGACTGGCAAAAAGACTCACTCTAGCTAATCTAGAAGAACACAGTAGCTATGCTACAGACTGCCTATGGGAGCCAGGTGGCAAGAAAATGTGGGTGGCTGATAATATCTAAGTATGATCATTGACCAACAGGTAGCAAGAATACAGCTGTGAGAAGATGCATTGTGCCAAGATGAATTTAGTGAGTTTGGAAGAGGACCCTGAGCCTGAAATGAGAATTGCAACCCTGGCTGACACCTCCATTTCAGTCTGACATGACCTTAACAGAGGACCCAGATAACCTGTACTACACACCTGACCTATGAAAACTGTGAGATCATAAATATGTGTTGTTTTAGGCCACTATTTTTGTGATAATTTATTACACAGTGGTAGAAAACTAATGGAAGGATAAACATAATTTAAAAGGCAGGGCAACTAATATACTTCAAACCCTTGTCAATAACTTAGCTACCTTTCATCTAATTTATGTATGTCCCACCTATAGATTGTTCCAAGTTACTGTCACAGTGTCTGGTTCCATAAGCTTCCAGTTTATATAAAATGCCATGAAGAATACTGACATTAACTATTTGTTAAAATATTTTTTCATGCATCTGTTTGTTTATATGTTTTATTCATTTTTACTTTTTTACTCTAAACATTTAATACCTTTTAAGTGGCCCCTAACATATCTTGGTAAAAATCATTCCCCAGTAATAAAAACTTATTAATAATATATGAAAGAGCATTATTTAGAGATTGATTATTACTTTCCCCCTGCCCCAACTAAGCTTAGAGTTAAAATACAAACTATGGAAATAAAGTAAATAAAAGTAGATAGAAGAAGTGCATTTCTAATACAATTGGCTGAAATAATGGATTACTTTGATTCATGGCATTTTTCTTTCTGAATATTTAAAATAATACTGGTAAGATTTAATTTCTGAGACTTTTTTAATCTGAAGAAAGATGATTAAACAATCATTGTGATGTCCTCTTATTTTTAGGATATTTTCTTTTATTCCTCTAAGAGCATTGTAAACAACCTGATAATGCCTTATTAACACACTTAAGAATTTGATAAATCCAGCCAATGGTTTAGTAGCATCTACAACATTTTATATGCTTTATCTTTATGATCAAATAGAAAGATGGTATAAAGAATTATTTTGCTGATCTGAAATTCAGAAAAGCTTCAGGAAACAGAATGGCGTAGTGTTTATGAATATGTTATCGGCGTTACAAATAGTTGTGTTGGATTTCAAGTCTACCAATCAGCTGTGAGGTCTGAGCATTAACTTCTTCAGATTATAATTCTTCATAAATTGTATATAATTAGTATCTATATCAGAAGGATCTACAAATAAGTTATAATACTTATTAGAATAATTGTTTCACAAATGACATCATTGATTATTTTATGCATATCATTTTGTTGTCATGCTCTAGTTATTTATCCATTACTTTTCAAATTAGTTAGAAAAAATACAAACAGCAATATTTTATTCCTCTCAAACTCATGATTACAGATAATATTTGGAATGAATATGGAATTTGAAAATATTATGAAATAAATGTGCTCAGAATGGCAATTATTGCCTTATTTCATATCTAGAAATTTTAACGTAGAAACTGGATACTATATACAACATTGGGCACATTAAATATTTGCTTTATTTTATACAATGAATAAGAATTGAATAGAGTAAATACACAAATAAAGTTGTGTATTTTGGGAATAAAGTAAAATTGAATATGACCACCAAATTCAATTAATGTGCACATGGAACTATAGTAGCTTTCACAACATTTTGAACTTTTCTCACCCAAAGTATATATTTTATAACTTAAACAAGTATATACTCATATTTGTGTAAGAGAAACAAAAGTTTTATGAAACAGTGCTTTTAATTTTTTGGCAGAGCTTCATATTTTTTAGACATTCTTCCTAGAATTCCATTCCTAGAGACATAAGCTCTATATCTTCTCTCTGTGAATCTTGGTTGGTCTGTGTCTGCTCTGAACAATAGAATATTGTTGAAGTGATATGATGCCATTTTTCTGGCCCAGGCCTTGAGAGACTAGCTTTTTCTGTTTCATGGTTCTTGGAACATTTGCCCTTGGTGTCCTTGGCTGCCACATTTCCCAAGGCCACCAAACTGTGAGGAAGCCCAAGCTGACTATATATAAGAGTCCATGTGAGCAGGGAGGAAGAAAGAGAGAGAGAGAGAGAGAGAAGATGAAAGAGAGTAAAGGAGAGAGAGGGAAGTGAGGCAGAGAGAGAGAGAGAGAGAGAGAGAGAGAGAGACCTGACCAGTTCCCAGCTACTCTAAACCCCAGTCATTCATCCGCCGTATGAGGCACCCCAGCCCCAGATTACTTGAAGCAGAAATAATTGTTCCCCAAGGCTTTCTGTCTGAAGATTCTGGACTCACAAAATCAATAAAACACTAATGAATTTTTTAATCACTAAATTTTAAAGTAGCTTGTTATGCAACACTGGAAAATCAAAAGTCTTATTAGTACATAATTTAAGCTCTATTAATCTCAAAAAATGGTCTTCAACTGCTAAATAGATTTCATAATGTGTTAAGGGATTTCAACGTATAATTTGAAAAACGCTACTATGGACTTTCCAATAAACAAAGCAAAACACGGCACATATGAAATTAACTTCAAATTCTTTGTGTCTTTGGAGTATTTGCAAACAGAAAAACAACAACAGCATGACATTCTAAAGCCTAAATCTAGTGTAGTTTAGTGGAAAGTACATGGCCTTTATTGTTAAAAAAAAAGAAAAAAAAAAGCTGGCCTTAGTTCTGTCTGCTAATTTCTTGTCAAAATTCCTTTACTTCTCCTACCTTTAATTTTTGTCTGTGTTATAAGAATAATACTTATGTAAATGTTGTTACAAACACGAAATGATATAGAAAATTAAAAAGCACTTCATGCCACAATTTAATATGAAGACATACATATTAGTTGCCATATCATCACCCTGTTTAAAAATAATGATAATAAAAATCAAGATACTATATTTTAACTATTCTTTATAAATATAACCACCACCACCACCATCACAACAGGCAAAACCTCAAAAAAAAATCCCTGTGTTGTTTCAGAAGTATATAAGTAAATAATGGCTCTAGCTTTGTTGGTGAAAGGAGTATTAAATGAAAATTATTTTACCAATCTCTCTGATCTCCAGGTAGGGGCACAGTTTCAGGTAAACACAAATAAAATTAGACTAAGACAAGCTTAACGTTAGCTTCTGCGAGTCAGATTTCTCTCTCTCTTTTTTTTTTTCTTCTGAGTTAAAATTTCTCTTCTCACTTTTAGGCGACCTACCCTTTGCACTTGTTGAGTAACTAAACACACCTGGATATAAATATTGCATAATGTCTTGCCTCCAGGCTATCTGCTTTAGCTCTAAAGACGAAATTTTGATTCTTTGACAGTTTTCACTATGAACAAGTAGAGAGATAATATTATGAAGACCTAGGGTACAGGCGTGAACTAAAATTATACATCACTTCCTCGAAGGCCAAATGTAAGATGACTGTGGATTTGGTGACAGAAAGGAAACCTTTTATTGACTCTGTTCCTGTAGGGAGGACAATCTCCTTGGTTTTGTGGTAGCTGCAGGGCAGTTTATGAGTGCTCCCATAGAGAGAGAGCATGCCACGTTATTACTCGCTTTTTCCAGGACTTCTAGTAATAGCAGGGCTATGGCATCATCCATACCTTCTCCTAAGCATACCTCAGTCTTCTATAAAAATTATATTGTTAGGATTATAAATATAGGTGTCAAAAGCCAGAAACACCAAGTTGCAATTGTTTCCCTGCTTATTTGCTGATTGACCCTGAACTTCATTTTTATGACACTCAGATTTTTCATCTGTAAAATCAAGCAAATAATGCTAATCCTATACAATTTTTTTAGTAAGTAAAATGGTATTTATAAAGCATTTCTCTTAGAGCATGCAGAAGATGGATATTAAGTATCAGCTATCATCATCTTTATTATTGTCTGTGTAACTGAGATGCAGTTCTTTTTCTTTATTCACTAACCTGAGCAAGAAACTGGAAATAACATTATGAAGCACCTACAATATGATAAGCATCATGTTAATAATTTAGATATGTGAATTATTTAAGTATTATAACAAAACTTCGAAGTAATTTTATTATTTCAAATTTTTATATGAGGAAATCAGGGTGCTGAGAGTCCCATAGCTTCATAGGCAAATCAGGCCCTTTCACCAAAATATGTAGCTTCACAACTCCTGGTCTTCCACACCATGCTACCCCTCCCCCATTTCCCCCCAGTACATATATATGTGTGTATATATATAAAAATTTTTTTGAGACGGAGTTTCACTCTTGTTGCCCAGGCTGGAGTGCAATGGCATTATCTCGGCTTACTGCAACCTCCGCCTCCTGGGTTCAAGTGATTCTCCTGCCTCAGCCTCCTGAGTAGCTGGGATTGCAGGTGCCCTCCACGACGCCTGGCTAATTTTGTATTTTTAGTAGAGACGGAGTTACTTAATGTTGGTCAGGCTGGTCTTGAACTCCCGACCTCAGGTGATCCACCTGCCTCAGCCTCCCAAAGTTGCTGGGATTACAGGCATGAGCCACTGCACCCAGCCTCTCCCAATATGTATATTTAAGACAAGATGTATTTTGTGCTTTGGAGAATAATTTACAAAACTTAGAGCTGTATATAAGGGACTTTTACTACCTTTTTATTCTTTACCTCTTTCACCACTTAAGAGAGCATTCATTTTCCTCCAATAATACTTTTACTACTGGTAAGTATATGTATTTACATTTTAATGAAGACTCCAGGTATTGAATGCTTCTTCAAGTAATAAAGGAATTCAGGTGAACTAATATTTATATGATTGTTTTAAAATACTTTCAAGGAACATCTCATCTATCAATCATTTTATCTAATTCTTGCCCATTTTATCTAATTGTTGCCCAGGCTGGAGTGCAATGGCATGATCTCGGCTTACTGTAACCTTGTACAGTACATCCAACTTGTAAAATAAGCCCAGAATATGTCATTCAACTTTAAAGAGTAGGATTGAAAAATACAAGATACATTAAAATCAGCTAGACTAATTTGATAGATGTAACTAAGGACTTACTCAGAATCAAAATCAAAGCATATGTATATTGTATGCTAGTCTTTAGATGAATTAACATATATGAGTATATTAGAGGTGGCCTTCCTAAAGAAGGCCATGCCAAACAATGAAACACTGTTTTCCTTCATAAGTAGGTACCTTGGAATATCCATGCAGCAACCTTCTACTATTTCTTCGCAGTTATAAGGGTTCTCTAATCTATTAGTCTGAATTCTCCAACAAACAGTATCCGGGAAGGAATTGCTATGCAAAAGATTTATTGGAAAAAAAAAAACACTAGAGAGAAAAGGGAGGAGAGTTGGTGGAGCCTGTGAAAACCATGAGCCTGCAATGAACATTTGACCCCTGTGAAGGAGAGGAGGAAGGCAAGAAGGCAAAAGAGAAGTGAGGAAGGCAGGAGGAAGGGAAAGAGGGAAGGAAGAAAGGTTCTAGATTGAAATGCAGTTCTAAGAATGTTTGAAGAAGCCTGATGGGGAGCTAAAGCATAGTCAAAATCTTCTCTTAGATTCTTTAGTGGAGTCCTTCGTCTCCCAGCAATAATCCTGCCTTAGTATCTTCAGTGTCCTCCTCAGTCTTGTTGGCTTGTTGGAGCCCTTAAAAACCATGGCTTTGGTTCAAATGAGATGGATTTCAGAGCACTGCAGATTGGACCAGCAATCACTTACACTTCCTGCAGTGGGGAATCTGAGAGGAGGATTTCATGGTCATTACACTGAGCATGCCTGAAATGTTGAAAATCACCTCATTTTCCTTGCTTACTGGTAGTAGTTAAGAGCTTTAGAATCAGACTGAAATGAGCTTCTATCCTCATGTCTTTGAGCAATTAACTATGCATTCTATGCTCGTTGATAACAATCTGGAAAGAATATTTTGACTCGGTCTCTACATCTTTTAAGTGTGTGTAATAAAACCTATCCCAGAGGGTTGTGGCAGAGACAGTATGTGTACAGGACTTAACACTCATTAAGTGAATAATAATAGCTATTATTACAATCGAAATGCTCATAGCCAACTTCTACCATCTTTCTCTCCATTTACTGTTGCCTCTTGCATACTGAATACTCCAACATTATACTTCTCTCTAAAATATCACAAATTTAGCCATATAAAGACCAAGGATCTTCTTTCCCATATATCATAAAACCATGTAATTGGATAATTTAATTAAACTTTGTATAAACTGGTTTGTTATTACTGTGAAAAAATAGTTATTCTATTTGTATTAAAATTAATGTTTTGGAAGACATTATAAAAGCATCTCTAAAAATTGATTGTGAACTAGTATAACCAAAGAATTCAAAAGATTTGAGATAAATAAAAACCTAGGATTCTGAATTTGGAGTGCTTCACAAACATCTTTAATTTCTCACTTCATTTTAGCAAACAAACAAATGAACAAAACCTAGAAATCATAACACTGTGTTCTAGTTGTCTCTGTGAGACAGATCTTGAGGAAATCAGCAACCCATGCCAAAAAGCCTTTTTTTCCAATAATGAATGTAGTACAATATTTTCCGTTAAATTAAGTGTTTAATGCATGCACATATTGTTTCTACTGTATTTTCATGATTCTCAGACTAAACTGACTTCTATCAACAGTAAAAACTTTGAGTTTTTTTTTGCATAAAAGGGCTTTTATTCTATTACAGTTCGCCCCAATATAGCCATTTATAGAACAGGCTTGTAAACACCTGCCTTCTTCAGGTTGCTGCTCTAAGATTAACTGAGATTGCTCATATAAGAGCATTAACTGTTGTATCTACAGCAAAGAACATGCACAATAACTATTCATCTTGAACCTTCCTCTGATTCTTCCCTTCTTTTTCACTTCCTTACTTTTTATTTCTTCCATGCTTCTTTACCCCATTATTCCTTTCATTCTTTCCAATGCTCTCTTACTGTTTCTGCTGAAAACATTAATTTCAAAAGTTTAATTCTACCCTAATTTAGTTTTCTACCACAATGGTGCAATCAGAAGGAAATACTGATTCGATTAAATCAGAAACGTGGTCTCCCATTTAAATTAAATACCACATAAAAGAACACTCACTCTTTCATTTCCTAATGATGTTCAATAACTTCAAAATCATCTAGGGAATTTTTGATGCTTCTTGATGAATTTATGGGAGAAGGGTGTAGAACATCAGTTAGTTTTATTATTTTCCTTTCAATGGCTTATAGTTTTCAAGAAACAACTTACCTTTATAAATCTAATTTTGTACCCTAAAGTACTGCTTTGGAGAAAGTGTTTAAAATTAATAACAAGTGAAATTTATGTAAAAATCAACATTTAGAACACAACTATGGTGCAATTTATTAACTAGGTTTAAAAGAAATCAGGTTCATTAATAATCTAGTGAGATTAGTGTGTGGAGGAGATAACCTTTAACAAATTCAGCTTAATCAGTATTTAAGGCATTTTGTAAATATCTTCTTGGAATTGAGGCATCTAGAAAGAACTCAGACATATGGATGAAATGCAAAAAAGTTAATTTGTGTCATAGTCACATAACTGAAGTTTATTTTGCCGTAAAATACTTTGAATGTGATTAAAGATCATATTTCTAATGCATATAAAAATAGGCCTTTGCTGAAGCCTGTAGAATTCATTGTGATAAATATCTTAATATCTTATGTGATAAGAGTACACTATGAATTTTATGAATTTTTAATATATATTATATATGTGGCTTACTTGATTGCATTAAAATATTTCTTCTGGTGGCAACTAGTTCTTTTGAGGAGAAATTTCTGAACAATGATATTATCCAAGGAAGTGAGAGGCCATCAGTTTTAACTTCCAATGTGTTGGGTTTATATTGCATTGTGCCATTAAAAAGCCATTTTCTCTCTGTGATTCTGTGCCTCCTAATAGGCAGATATTAGGATATTTATCTACCTGGCAATATTCTCAGCCAATATTTGTCAGTCTTACTCTGCACAATTACAGAAGAAAAGGATTGGTAAAAAAGGGAACAAAAAGTAATAGACCACAAAGAAAGTAAATATGTATGCCACAGAAGAGTTCATGTTTTCACTTTTCTATACTTTTTTGCTCACTTTAGGCATTTCTTTCACATGGTGAAATTTCTTAACTATAATACATAGTTTCTTCATTTATATGCAGGATTATTTTATGAAGGGCAGCTTACATCTCTTCTTGTGTATGGGAAATAGAATAAAAATGCAAAAGAAAAAATCATTATAGGTTGTTATTGATTTAAAAATTCATCTTCTGTCTTGAAAGGCTTCACAGACTTAGGATGCTTAGATGAGTTGAAGAGTGGTTAAAAAAAGTCAACTTGGATATATCTTTTGGAACTTTCTCCTATGATTTTATAATTTTAATTACTGTTCCCTCACAATATAAGGCCATGGATAAAGGAATATTCATGATGGTTATCAAGGCACATGCTATTAGGAATAAGAAATCTTTCAAAGTCATAAATGTCATTTAACAGACCAGTGGAATAGCTTAGCTTGGATATTACAAAGAGAAAGAATTGTAGCCAAGATAATAGCATGCCCAAAACTAACCATTTAAAGACATATCATATTATAGTTCTTTATCAAATAGGAGAATTAGAATGTAAACAAAAACACACACACACACACATAAATATTCTCCAATCCTGTGGAATTT
Organism: Homo sapiens; assembly: GCF_000001405.40. Lineage (NCBI taxonomy): Eukaryota > Metazoa > Chordata > Mammalia > Primates > Hominidae > Homo > Homo sapiens. Next base: position 72,591,661 of record NC_000001.11, read on the forward strand.
AGCTTATAATATAAAACTGTCTAAACAATAATAAAGTAGTTTGGAGATCTATTAAAGTAAATTACCATTTAAAGTAAAAGAAAAAAATTACGTTGTCTTCCTATAGTCTGCAAAATAATGAAAAAAGTCTAGACATTAATGTGAAAGTCCTACAGTCCTTCTTGATATGGTAGATATTTGTGTTGAAGTTAATATATAGTAAAATATACAAGTTTTTTTAATTTTATTTTTTTCTTTCTTTAATCAAACTGTAATATAGTAAAATATTTTGGCTTTTGGAGACAAATGGTTTTATATTTGGAGCTGTTTAAAGTAGTTGAAGTCTAAGATATTTGGTAGTCTATACTACTATTACAAACAAATATAAAATGCAAGGGAAGAAAGAAATAGAAAGTTAATTGTCACAAACATAACATCTCAGGGCTATACCAGGTAGGCAGGGAGGTTACTGCATGCAGTCAGTAGGATATTTCAACTTCTTTACATTCAATGCTTGACTTCAAGGTTGCTCTGGGCATCAGTATCTCAGCCAGCAACGAAAACAAGCATATGAGGAACCTTGTATGGGCTAGGCCAGTAAGTGACACATAACACTTTTGCTTACATCTCCTTGGCTTTATATCATTCAAATGGCCACAGCAGACTTTGAGGGAAGCAGAAAACAATATGCAGCCCAATGTGCAGAATCTCTGTTTGATGCATAATCCTTACTGTTAGGTCAGGGTTTGATGGCTCCTTCTGGTCTCAATATTTCTAAACTGAAAAGACAAGTCTTCTATACCTTTAAACTCAATATACAGCAGTGGATTGGGGAAAAGATATCCATGCAGAAATAAACAGGAAAGGTGAGGATGGGAAAACACTGAAATTGTAAAAATGAGGAAAAGAATGATAGTATTTTGTAGGACAGGTGTTATAAAGAATCTTACTCTGGTAATGAAGGAAATTATTTTATTAGAGCATGAATATTGTCTCAAAGAGAAATGTTAATGTTCTCAGTGGCTCCAACATTGTCCTCTGAGTAGTTATTTCTTGTTTATTAGTCCTCATGTCCACATCAGTGGTGAGTGTTGAGAATGTAATTTGCTTAGGGAATAGTACAGCTTTTACACCCTGGTTCCTGCTGGTGCAAACTTGGAAGCCCAAGGTTTATTTATAGCTTAAACAATTAAAGACATTTTTGGGGGTCAGACTTCTTGTTTCTTTGGCAATATAATATACCTTAAAACTCATGATAGATAATAATCTATTTCCTAGTAGTCAGTTTCAGGTACTGGTAACTCACCCAGACTTGCCTCCTGAACACACTTTTCAAGCCTGCTTTATTTTTAATGTTTGTTGCCCCTATTACTTTCTTGCTCTCACTACTTAATGGCAACCACAAGTAGATCATGTAGACAGAAATAGTCTTAAGTGAGAAGATAAACCCTGTATCTGATATTTACTACAGACCTAAATGGGATTTAAGAAGCCTTAATAGAACTTTGTTGCTCAAAGCCTTTTTCAACCTTATCTTCTACTTTTTAGGGTCCATCATTAGTTGTTTTTGCCAGCCTTTTGAGAGACTTATTCTTCGCTTTGCCAATGTGTCAATATTTTCTTGAGCTCATCTCTATATCATATTACCATGCCAAAAGCAGCAAAGCTATCTACACTCACTAATAGTTTTCTTTTTCCAATTATTTTTCCTAGAGCTGTTGGTAACATGCACTGACTTTTATGTTTTTCCTGTTGGAAATTTTGTAATATATTTTGTCATTGTATAAGGTGGGTCTTCAGATTTCTAACCTGTAGTATTTTAGTATTTTTTCTCTTACTGGCTGCTTCCTTTTTTTTTTTTTTTTTTGAGACGGAGTCGCTCTGTCACCCAAGCTGGAGTGCAATGGCGGAATCTCGGCTCACTGCAAGCTCTGCCTCCCCGGTTCATGCCATTCTCTTGCCTCAGCCTCCCGAGTAGCTGGGACTACAGGTGCCCGTCACCACACCCGGCTAATTTTTTTGTATTTTTAGTAGAGACGGGGTTTCACCGTGTTAGCCAGGATGGTCTCTATCTCCTGACCTCGTGATCCACCCGCCTCGGCCTCCCAAAGTGCTGGGATTACAGGCGTAAGCCACCAGGCCCGGCACTGCTTCTTAATCATTAAGACAAGACCACATAGTTTGCATTATTTTTACATCAGCATTTTACTTTACCACTTCAAAATAACCTCAAATGTAATGCCAACATAAAATAGAAGTGTAATTCTTGCTAAGTGACTCTCAACAGTTGCAGGGCATGGTGGTGGGGGAATATTTTTCTACTAGACATTGTACAAAGAGTCTGAGGCTAATGTCACTGCCATCTTAACGATGTGGTTTTCAGGGTCATAATAATCAACACCATTTCAATAGGATGCAAAGGTTAAGAGTAGAAGGGTACTCCTGGAAGATTTTCTGGGACATACATGAAAGTGATCCATAATTCCACTCACATTCTAGATAGAATAGCATGAAGTCACATGGTCACACTTACCTTTAAGAAAAACTTGAATATAGCCCATTTGCCTATAAAGAAGAGAGAGCTAGTGGTTTCTGTAACACTGATTTTATAAAGTAAAAATTGGAATTATAGTAATTACTGGGGTGAGGTAGCTCACACCTGTAATCCCAACATTTTGGGAGGCCAAGGCAGGAGGATCGCTTGGGCCCAGGAGTCTGAGACCAGCCTGGGCAACATGACAAAACCCCATCTCTACAAAAAAAATACAAAAATTATCTGGGCATGGTGGTGTATTGCCTGTATTTCCAGCTACTCAGGAAGCTAAAGTGGGAGGGTCAGCTGAGCCTGGGGGGATGAGGCTGCAGTCAGCCATGATCACAACACTATACTCTAGCCTGGATGACAGAGTACAACTCTGTCAAAAAACAAACAAACAAACAAAACGAATCGAAGAACTGTAGTAATTAATTTGAAAATTTAAAAAATGTTACTAGGGTTAGGCCGGGTGCGGTGGCTCACGCCTGTAATCCCAGCACTTTGGGAGGCCGAGGCGGGCGGATCACCTGAGGTTAGGAGTTCGAGACCAGCCTGACCGACATGGTGAAACCCCATCTCTACTAAAAATACAAAAAAAAATTAGCCAGACGTTGTGTTGCGTGCCTGTAACCCCAGCTACTTGGGAGGCTGAGGCAGAAGAATTACTTGAACCCAGGAGGTGGAGGTTGCAGTGAGCCGAGATCACGCCACTGCACTCCAGCTTGGGCAACAAGAGCGAAACTCCGTCTCAAAAAAAAATGTTACTAGGGTTAGAAATAATGAATATTATGCATATGGCATTATTATATACTCAAGTAATATTGTGTTTAAAAATAATGTCACTATTATTACCTAGGTTATTGACTGTATTTTATCACATCCAGTTGAGGCTTTCATAAAGTCTCGAGTTAATGGATTCTTCATTGTGTAATTATATATCATATGTAGATATCAAATGCTTAGCTATTAAATTAAAATTTCATTTGTTCACTAAAAAGAAAAGAGGGAATTGGGTTATTTAATGACAGATCCATAATGGAAACATGACTATTTTCTTAGAAACAAGATAAAGCTTTATCCTTTCCTCATTTCATATACCAATAAATTTTAAATGAACCAAATACTTAAAGTAAAAATAAAATGTAAAAGTTTTATCGGAATTATGAGCAAATATTTTGTAATCTATAATTGTAGAAGCTCTTTTCAAGCATGTGTGGTATTTGTACTAGACAAATATATAAAACTGTTATATTAAAGAGATAATGAATATTATCCAGTTGGCTAAACATACAAAAAAAAGGAATACATAAAAATGAACGAATGAACAGAGCCTCAGAACCCTGTGGGATAGCCTCAAGTATGCCAACAAAAATGTACACATACATAATGGGAGACTTAAAAGGAGAGAAGAAAGGCAAAGGGGAAGAATAAGTATTTAGAGAAACAATGGACAAAATTTGATGAGAAACCTTAACCTTTACATTCAAGAAGCTCAAGAAATTCCAAGAAGTATAAACTTAAAGAGATATATACCCACATACATCATAATCAAACTACCAAAAGCCAAAAACAAAATCAAAAATCTTAAAGGCAGCAAGAGAAATGTCACTTGTCACTTAATAAATGTCTTTAACAAGACTAACAATACGTTTTCTCATCAGAAGCAATGGAGACAAGAAGCTCATAGAATGGCATATTCAAAGTGCTGAAAAATTAAAGACTGCTAACCAAGAATTACGTATCCAATAAAACTATTCTTCAAAAAAAGTGGAAATTAAGACTTTATGAGATAAAACAGAGAATTCAACACTAGCAAACTTAAACTAAAATATATACAAAAAGGAATCCTTTAGACTGGAATGATGTGACATTAGATGATAACCCAAATCCACACACAGGAATAAAGAGCCCTAGTAAAAGTAAATATATAGATATGTATAAAAGACAAAATAAATGAACTTTAGTTGTAATTCTATTCTTCTTCTATATGATTAAAGACAACTGCATAAAAATGATTATGAAACTCTGTTGATTATTATTTATAATGTCTAATCTGTATGACAAAAATGACCCAGAAAGGGTGAGTAAATAGAAACATATTGAAGTAAACTTTTGTAATCTGTTGAAATTAATATGGTGTAAATATGAAGTAGATTGTTTGCAGTTAATGTGTTTATTTAATCCCTAGAGTAACAACTATCAAAACATTTATTAAAAAATGAAATAACAGAAAAATTAAAGTGGTAACTAGAAAATATTTATTTTACACCAAAGTAGTCTTCACTGGAGAAATAGAGGAGCAAAAACAATATAAGACATATAAAAATGTCAAATATCAGAGACAACTCCACAATATCAGTAATTATATTAAAAGTAAAGGGAGTAAGCAGTCCAATAAAATGGGAAAGATTAACAGAATGGATTCAAAAAATCATAATCAAACTGTATGCTGTCTGAAAGACACACTCTACATTGAAATATACAAACAGACTAAAAGTAAAATAATAGAATAAGATACTCTGCAAATAATAACTAAATGAGAGCTGGAGTGGTTATATCAGACAAAATAAAATTTAAGGCAAATTATTACTTTAAACAATGAATGGCATTTTATAATAACAAATATAAATATATATTCAACTAACAAAAGAGACCCAAAATACATGAAGCAAATACAGACAGAATAGAAGGGAGAGATATACAAATTAACAATGACAATTGGAGATTTCGATACTTCATGTTCAATAATGGCTAAGACAACTAGGCAGGCAAAAGATTAACAAACAAGTATAAGACTTGAAAAATATTATATATCCATGTCATCTAACAGATAATTATAAAACAATAAACCTAGGCACAGCATAATATACATTCTTCTTGAATGCACATGGAACATTCTCCAAGACAGACTTGTGTTAGGTTATATACAACAAATCCCAATAACTGTAAGAAGGTTGAAATAATATGAAAAATGTTCTCTGACTACAATCGAATAAACTTAGAAATCAATATAGTTAAGATAATTGGGGATATTCACAAATATGTAAAAATTTCACAGTACATGTTTCACTGAGCAATATGTTGAAGAAATCACAAGGGACAGTACAGAATGCAATAAGATGAATGAAAGCAAAAAGACAACACTAGCACTGTGGTATGTAGCAAAGACAGTGCTTAATAGAAAATTTAAACCTTTAACCACCTATGTTGAAAAGGAAGAAATATCTCAATTCAATGATCTATTCTTCCACCTTAAGAAAACAGATGCATAAACAAAATAAAAAAATCAAGTGTAAAACAGATAATAATAAAGATTAGGTGAAAATAAATGAATTAAATAATAGAAAAATAATTAAATGTTGATTTTTTCCCTACAATATCAACAAAATTGACAAACCTTTAACTAGATTGACCAAGAAATAAGGAGAGAGAGAAAACCTATATTATTAATGTTAGGAGAGAAAGAGGGAACATCACTAAAAAAGTAAAAAGAAAAATAAGGAATAATATGATAATTCCATGCCAATAGATTGTATAACCTAGATGACATGGATAAGTTCCTAGAAAAACAAAAACTCCCAAAGATGTCTCAAAAAAGAAATAGAAAATCTAAATAGACTTGTAACAAGTAAAGAAGTTGAATTAGTAATGATAACAATAATTTTAAAAACATACTAGCTCCAGAGTGCTTCACTAATGAATTATATCAAACATTTCAGGATAATTAATACCAATCCTTCACAAATTACTTTAGAAAGTAGAAGAGGAGCTAATACTTTCAAACTTGTTCTATGAATTTAAATCTATTCATTCATTTTCACCTATTGATACCAAAACTTGTCAAACACATCACCAGAAAACCACAGATCAATATTTCTTATAAATACAGATACAAAATCCTCAGCAAACGGCCCAGCAAAACTATCCCAGCAACATCTATAAATAATCATATGACATAATAAATTGGGATTCATCCCAGCAATGCAAAATTGGATTAACATATGAAAATCCATCATTTAATATACCATATTAACAGCATAATGAACAAAAATCACATGATAATCTTAATAGCTGCAGAAAAATCATTAGAAAAAATCCAAGATCGTTTTATTTTAAAAGCACTCAACAAAGCAGGAATGGAGAGATGTATTCTCAACTTGATAGAGGCTATCAACACACACCCTACAGCTAACATCATACTTTGTGGTGAAAAACTAAATCCTTTTCCTTTAATATTAGAAAGAAAACAAGGATGTCTGCTTTTTCTACCTCCTTTTCAGTAGTGTATCTGAGGTTTGATCCATGTCATTTTGGCGAAAGGAAAGAAAAGACATCCAAACAAACAGGCAAGGAAAGATTAAAATTATCCGTATTCACAGATGACATGATCTTGTAGATACAAAATCCTAAGGAACACGTGCATACACACACACACACACACACTACACGCATACAGGCATGGATACACATACATACACACACACCAACTGGAATTTAAAAATGAGTTTAGCAAGGTTGCAGGACACAAAGTCAATATTTTTTTAAAATTGTATTCATATATACTAGCAATGAATAATTCAGAAGTGAAATTAAAACAATTTCATTTACAATAATATCAAAAGGAATAAAATTCTCAGGAATAAATTTGACAAATTAAAAAGAGGAGTGAACAATTAGTATACTGAAGCTACAAAATATCATTACAAATTAAGAAAGACCTAAATATATGGAAGAACATTTTATATACTTGGATCAGAAAACTTATTATTATTAAAATGGTGATACCAAGTTGATCCACAGATTAAGTGTAATCCCTGTCTAAATCTAAGATTCCTTTTTACAGAAATTGACAAAACGATCTTTAAATTCATGTGGAAATGCAAGAGGCTGGGCCCATAATTGCCAAAACTATCTTGAAGAACCAATTTAGGGGATTTGCACTTTAAAACTCACTATAAAGCTATAGTAATCAAGACAGTGTCTGTCGTATTGCCATAAGAGTAGACACACAGAATAATGCAGTTAGAATTGAGAGTCCATGAATAACCAATTTTACACTTATGGCCAACTGATTTTAGCACAGATGTTAAGAGAATTCAATGGGAAGTTAATATCCTTTTCTTTTCTTTAATTTATTTATTTATTTATTTATTTATTTATTTATTTTCTGAAAGAGTCTCACTCTGTTGCCCAAGCTGGAGTACAGTGGTACTGTGTCAGCTCACTGCAACCTTCATCTCCTGGGTTCAAGCAATTCTCCTGCCTCAGCCTCCCAAGTAGCTGGGATTACAGGCGCCCACCACCACACCTGGTTAATTTTTTTATATTTTTAGTAGCGACGGGGTTTCACCATGTTGGCCAGGCTGGTCTCGAACTACTGACCTCAGCTGATCCATCTGCCTCGGCCACCCAAAATGTTGGGATTATAGGCATGAGCCACCGTGCCCGGCCCATTTAATATCCTTTTCAATAAATAGTCCTGGGACAACTGTATATCCTCATGTAAATGAATGAATTAAACCCCCAATTTCAAATCATACACAAAATTTAACTCAAAATACACACAGATGTAAATGTAGGGGTTAAAATCTTAAGACTCGGCCGGGCGCGGTCATGTCTTCATGGTTCATCTATATTATAGTACATATTAATACTTCGCTCCTTTTTGTGGATCAGTAATATTCCATAGTATGAATATACCACTATCTCTTTTTGCATTTATCAGTTGAAGGACCTTTGAGTTGTTTCTGCTTTTCTTTTATATTGGTTTCGTTTTTGACTATTATAAATAATGCTGTTATAAATATATATTAATACATTTTTATGTATATGTGTTTTCAATTATCTTGTGTAAATAACTAGAAGTGAAATTGCAGGGTCATATAGTAACTTTATGTTAATATTGTGAAGAATTGCTAAACTGCTTTGCAAATTGCAAAGTGGATGAAATATTTTGGATTTTCCACCAGCAATCTATGATGTTTCTAATTTCTCCACAACCTTGCCAACATTTGTTATTGTCCATCTTTTTTTATTATCGCCATCCTAGTGAGTATGAAATGGTTTCTAAATATGCTTTTTATTTGTTTTTCCCTAACAATTAATGTGTGAAGCATCTTTTCATATATTATTGGCCATTTCTATAGCATTATTGGAAAATGTCTATTCAAAACTTTTCCCATTTAAAATTTTGTCTTTTCATTGTTGAGTTGCATACGTTCATAATATATTGTAGTTAAAAGTCTATTATTAAATATATGATTTGCAAATGTCTCCTATAAAAATAAATCTTCCATTTAGGTCTTTCTTAATTTCTTTTAGTGATGTTTTTTAGGTACTGTATACAAATCTTACACTTCTCTTGTTAATTTGTTAAATTTATCCCTGTGAGTTATCTTTTTGTTTCTTGAAGGGATCATTTGAAGCACAAGCTTTTGCTCTTTTAAAAAATGCAAAAAGAAATAGTGGTATATGCAAAAGTGATAAATGCAAAAAGAAATAGTGGTATATTCATACTATGGAATATTATTGATCCATAAAAAGGAGTGAAGTATTAATATGTACTGTAACAGATGAACCATGAAGGCCATATATTGTATTTATTTGTATAAAATATGCAGAATAAAAAGCTCCATAGAGACAGAAATTAGATTCATCTTTGTCAGGGAATGAGGAGAGAATGAGTGGAGAATGACTGTTAATACCCACAGGGTTTCTTTTGAGGTGATGAAAATGTTCTAAAATTAGACAATGGTGATGGTTGCACAAATCTATCCTAAAAAATCACTGGACTGTATACTTTAAAATAATGAATTTGTTGTGATGTAAATTAAATCTCAATACAGTTGATAAAAAGATCTTTATTATTTTTAGAAGTTATAACAAAAGTATTCCTTTTTTTGTTCTAAAATACATTTATCTGTCCAGTCTTCAACTTTTGGAGCCCCCAGTTTTTCCCTGTCCATGAGCCTCATCGTGCTTCCCTCTTTTCTTATCAGGCTTAAATATTGTTTTCCATTACAAGAGTGCTTCTCTTTCATATGTCCTCAACTGACCTGCTGTTATCTACTTTACGCAAACATTCTGGACTGGCCAAATTCCAACCCAAGTCTACACAAACTCTACTCCTGCCCTAATGAGCCTAAAATTCTGCATAAAGAGATTATTATTAATGATGATATATTGTGTTTTTTGTTTTGTTTTGTTTCTGTTTTTGTTTCTGTTTTGAGGCAAGGTCTCCCTCTGTTGCCCAGGCTGGAGTGCAGTGGAGGAATCATGGCTGTATTGCAGCCTTGACCTCCTGGCCCATGGGATCCACCCACCTCAGCCTGTAGAGTAGCTGGGACCACATGCCGGTACCACCACGCACAGCTAATTTCTTTTTAAATTTTTTGTAGAGATGGGGGTCTCACTAAGTCAGCTAGGATGGTCTTGAACTCCTGGGCTCAGGTGATTTGCCCTTCCTCGGCCTCCCAAAGTGTCAGGATTATAGGCGTGAGCCACCACATACAGCCTATATTCTTGAAAAATGCTAAGAACAAATGTTAAGTCTTCTTAACACAAAAATGATAATTATGTGAGATAACACATTTGTTAATTAGCTAGATTTAACCGTCTTATAATGTATATATATTTCAAAACATCATGATGTACATAATAAATACAATTCGGACAATTAAATAAATAGCTAAATAAATAAAAGTAAAAATAATTTACACACACACACACACACACAGTCATGCTTCCTGAGATATCTTCAAATTGATGACTGGACACTATAAATATCCTTCAATGCTGCCCAGCAATCCTACTAGTTTGCTAGCCAAATCTATCCTGAAGTCTCTGAAGCAGCTATTTTAATCTTTCCCTAGCTGTTTAGGACCCCTCTATCCCCCTTTCTTCCTCAGGGTCTGATGAATACCCTTCTTCTTCTTTCTTTACGAAAATAGAAGCAAGCAAAGATATGCTTATATTTCTCCCACCACAAATTCTACAGACTTACATGCATCTATAACCCCATACTCCACCTTCCCCAGTTACGGGTGGGTGGGGGCATGTTCACACTCTTGTCTGTTCTGCATCCACCTCTTTTCCCTCACTCATGGGATTTTCTGCCACATTTTCACCTTAGCAATTTTTCTTCCCATTTGATTATTCCTAACCATTTACAAAAATGTCAGACAACTCATACTTTACGCATTTTAAAAACTCTCTCTGGATTTCATATCTTCCTCCAGTGTTAAGCCCTCTTACAGAAAAGTGACCTCAATAAGTTTCTATAATTATGTTGTTTAGTTCCTATTTACTCATTATTTGTTGCATTCACTTCAATCAGGTTTTATTTTCTAACCAAGCCACTTCAGTAAAACAACCCTGTCAAGTTTTCCAGTGACTCCCCAAATGCTAAAGGTAATGAATAATTCTGAGTCATTATCTTTTGAGACTCATCAGTTGGATTAAACACATTTTGTTGCTATTTCTCTTTTTGCTCTTTCCTTCATTGGCCTTTTGAGACTACTTTGCTGTTTCCCCCTCATCAGGAAAATGTTTAAAGATCTGAATGCCTCTGGGCTCAGTTTTTAAATCTTTTGTCTAACAATATAAACTCTTCAGGTGATCTTATCCAATCTTATGACTTTAAATCACATCTCGAAGTTGATTTAGTCCTAACCACTTCACTTCACTGAGACATGAATTATCCTGTCTACTCAACCTCTCAACTTGAAGCTTTTATAGGCATCTCAAATTTAACATATCCCCAATCAAACTTGATTTCTCTCTGTCCCCAAATCTATTCTGTGTTTTCTGTCTCATTGTATATTTACTCTATTTAATTATTTGTTCAGACCTAAGTCTTGCAGACCTTTATGACTCCTCTCTTTTAATCACACCCTATATCCAGGCCACCAGCAAATTTTCTCCACACTACTTAATATATTCCATTATATTAAGTATTATAACGTATAATAACCCTATTATATTTCTTATATGTCTAGCTTAATCTTTTATGTTTGTCATTTACTTCTTGTAGGCATTTGAATTTTTATTCTTTTTAGAGTAATCTTTAAATTAAAAAAACTAAACAAAATCTGAATTTATATCAGATGAGTACTGATCTTAGGTATGATGTTTCTTTGTAATTTTTTTCTTTAGTCATCTTTTCTTGTTTTTTAAAAAATATTTTACTAGAAAAATTACTTAACCAATTGATAAAAACCCATTATATTATAATCTAGATATTTAGTAATATTATAACTTGTTTAGATTATTTTAAAATTTATTTTACTTTGTTTTTCATTTAACAAGACAATCCCTTTATTGCTAAGATGAAATATACTAAATTGAACGGGTATTTCAGAAATTTGCAAATGCTGTTATGTGTATCATCTTCTTTAAAAAATTATTGTAAAGGATTGGAAGCCAGCACATAGAAATTGATTTAATGAAAAAGCAATAGAGAAAGTAATCATAACGAAAAATAATAATTTTCTCTCATTTTTTCTAAATCAGATATGTTTATTCCTCTTAAGAACTAAATAAAGAAACTTTATATATATATGAATGTATATATATGGGTTTTCTTCTCTCTTTATATATATATATTTAGAAATAAATAATGTGGTTATTTTTAGCTTCTCAAAAGGAAAAGTAATTTTTCATTAAGGGAGAGATTTATATATGTATAATATGTTATTTATACTTATATGATTGATGATATTATCTAATATTATGTATATTACTATAGAGTTGTTATTTACATTTACTTAGAATAAAGCAAAATCAAAATTTGGAACATTTCTAGAAAAATGCAAATCTATAAAAATATTTCTCTAATTCATTTATGATCTAAAGTAGAATTTAAAACATGTTAGTGTGTGGAAAATAACTAATATTTTGGCATTCCATTCCTTTCACATTCATTTTTCATGCTTCAGTAAAGCGAAATTTTCTAATCAGAGTAAAGTGACATGGTGAAAGTGTAGATAATATATTTGAATGAAGGTTTTTAATGAATGTGGTATTTATTAAGGCACAATCCATTAAAGAAGACTTGTATAGTTGTCTCACATTGTTTCATTGATTTTTATTTCATGCATGATTCAGGGGAGAATTATTCCTTACAAGAAGTACTCTCGTTTATAATCTTTAATTTAATAATGCAAACTTTTTTGTTTATTTACATAGTTTGGAATATTTTACATATATAAGCTTTGCATGTCCAAGTGTATATATTATAACTCTGAAATGAGAAATGAAAATTAACATAATGGTAGACATTTAAGGGTTTCAGTATGTAAACACCATTATTTTTTCTAGTAACTTACTCTGTTCAAAATTTATTTAAGTAGAAAATAGAAACAAAAAATAATATATATTTATTTTTAATTAAAGATTGGAAGACCTGAACATCAACATCAAGTATGTCATAGTGATGACAATACAAGGATTTTAAATGGAATACAAGACTAATCCCCCTTCCCATACTATTGAAGAATCCCTTGACAGGCTTTACAAAGTGTGTATCTCCATATTAGCAGAATTATTTAAAACATAACATGCATGCACTCACACAAAACTCCTACACTAGTAAAAAGATACCCACACATAAAAAATAGACTACAGAATTAAGGCAATTGTCTGGGTAATGAAATAACAATCTTAATTGTCTGAAGTATTGTCCCAGTGTTCCACTTTACTTCTTTGGTGTGAGTCTCAAATAAGCCTCAGAAGGAAAACCTGTCAATGAGTTTGCAATGTTTCCTAAGGTCAGATTGACAATCCTACCTTATCAGGTAAATCACAGTACACAAAGCATTTGCCTTTTAGAACTGTGGAATACCTAGCCAATTCTGTGCAAATATGGATTATTTATTAATGAAAATGACATATACTCTCCCATAGTAGTTTGAAAAGGAATAGTTGCATGCAAACATTGCTTTTTAATTACCTAGTATTTTTCTCTCCCCTTTCTAGGCCATGAATTAGTGTTCTTATCTATGTATTTATACTCATTTCCTTGAATAGTTTCAATATAGACTAACTTTAAGAATTGCATTTTTAAAGATGAATATATGAGTAAATGAAAAAATATATACATTAAAAAACAGGCAACAAGGCACTGATACCACCAGGTTTCATTGACACTAACCAAATTATATTCCTGAGCCTCTCTTGATAAACTGTAAGAAAAAGGATTAATATCTCTCTTATTTTGAAAGCAGGTCATACTGACCATTTTGTATCATGGAAACTTACACTGTGTTGAAATATTTAGAAATCATAACTAATAGTAAAATTTAAAAAATAAGATAATTAGGAAGCTGATGTGCATCATTTATATTAATTATCAGCTAAGAAGATCATCCTTCCTGCTACTGTTTATTTGGATTGATTTTTAGTTTGCTAACCACACCAGTCATATTTTAATATACACATGGATATTTAAACATCATTCTGCAACAATGAATCTGGAGAAGAAACGATAACAACAGAAGGTTAATTGATCAATTTACTTATCTCAAACCTACCTGTTTAGCAATGTTTCTAATGAGCTGGCAGTTCTTTTATCATAAGACATACCAAGAAAACCTAACCCTTAAATTGATTTTAGAACTCTGCATTTTTCTTGACCTAACATTCGTAACATTGACAAAAGAAACTACAAACAAAGGTGTAAACAGCTTCATAACTCTAATTTTGAGTAAAACATCATGTAATTGTTTTTAAATTACAAAAATGGTAGACATTCATTGTAGAAAATTCTAAACATTGAAAACAAGCAAAGAAGTAAGCATCATCCAGTATCCGCAGATAAATAAGCACTGTTAATGTTAAAATTATACACGCACAAAAGCAAATACACATTTTAAATAAAATTGATATCATAGTACAGGATAAAAATACATATGTATAGCTTTATTTCTTGAAAGTATATATAATTTGCTTCAAGTTGAGATGGAGTAAAAGGACTGGTTTTACCATCTCATTTTAAACAATTAAAAAAAAAAAAACAGACAAAATGTAGGAAAAAATGGCACTCAACATGTTGTTTACCAGCCAGTTAAGTATAGTAGTCTCTGAGACACACGAAAAAACAGACAAAGCCACAACATTGACAAAACTTCATGCCTGGAGAGAAGCTTTGCAGCTGCAATGGAGAGAAAAGTAACCCAGTAGGAACCAAGTAATCTCCTTGAGTTGAGGAAATGGATTTGAAATTCACAGAAGCCAAAGCTGTTAGAATTTCAGGGCCAGAGTACCAGAGAGGAGAGAGCTGCATAGAATAATACTCTAGGGATCTGTTAAGGATTCCCCTTGAATATTCAGTTGAGTACCGACCAATTGATGCATGTGAAGAAACTATCAAGGCTAAGGAAATAATCACTTGAAAGTATTAGAGGAAATTGTGTCTTCAGTACACACATGGCTGGAATCGTGCCTGTTCCCATCAAAGAAACTTGGAAAACCTCACAGTTCATGGGGAGTTGGTTTAAAGAGCCTCAAAAGTTGGCAAAAATATATAAAATGAAATAACTCTATGTTATTTTGTCTCACCAAAAAAAGAAAAAATAAAAGTGTAAAAGCAAGAGGCAGGAAATTTATAGAACAAAAACCCACATGGAAATTTCAGAGATAAAATCTTTAATGTCTGATATGAAAACCACAGTAAAGGGCATTATCAAAATGTATTCAACAGTGCAGAAGAAAAGATTTGTGTACTTAAAGATGTAACAATAGAAATGATTGAAACAATACAGAGAAAAAAGACTGCAAAAAGTTAACAGGTAATCAGTGAACTGGGAAGCAATTCCAACACACTTAATAAATGTGGAATCTGAGGCTGTAAGTGAACAACTAAATTCTAAGCTCCCAAAAAAATGAATGGACCACACCCTCTTGGCCAAGGGGTACCCAAAGAAAACCAGAAAAACTAGTTCAGGCTATGACAAGAAGGGAGGTCAGATATGCCTTATTATAACCTCTTCCCTTTGGAATTTAGGCACAACTGACCAGCATTAACATTAATAGAGAGATCATAAGACTTTCTGTAGAAATAGAATACCAAATTCCAACTTGACACTGGTATAGCATGACATGACAGATAATAAACCCTAAAGAAATCAAAGTATTGCATCCCAAAATATGTATATGACATATGACATGTCATACAAAATATGTATTGACATGTATATGAATGGCCCTGCAAAGTCTTCTCTTGTAGGGAAATTTGCATTCTGTAGAGAATCCCCTTCCCTTCCCAGGTCTTTTCCTAATCTATTTAGCTAAGGGTCTGTCACCTTTTAAGATCTGGTAAGAGACATTTGTTTTCTATTTTCTCTGAAGCCTGTTCTTACTAAGAGGTTTGATCTACATAACAAGAACCTTGAATTATACAACCCTGCTTATCTTAACTCAAGCATTTCTTTATGCTGATTTCAACCTTCAGGCATAGATTAATTTTTTTCTACCAATTGCCAGTCAGAAAATCTTTGAATCCACCAATGACCTGGAAGCCCTCCACCCCCACTTTGAGATGTCCCACCTTTTTTGGCTGAACCGATGTATACTTTACATCTATTGATATATGTCTTTGCCCATAACTTCTGTCTCCCTAAAAGGTGTAAAAGCATGCTATAATCCAGCGACTTGAGGCATATGCTCTCAGGACCTCCTCAGGTTGTGTCAGGGGCCAAGATCACTCAAATATGAGGCTCAGAATAAACCTCTTCAAATATTTTACAGAGTTTGGCTTTTTTCACCAACAAGTCCTCAAAGAATAGGAAAAAGAAGAGAAATTGAAAATATTTGAAGAAATAATAATTGAAGACATTTCAATTTGGAAGGAAACCATAAACTCGCAGACCCAAGAAATTAAATAAGTAAATCAATAAATAAATCTAAATACTAGAAACACATACACACACACAAAAACTACAAAAGACATTGTAATTACATTGCTTAAAACTAGTTATAAAGAAGTCAGGGAAAAGGCACATTATGTATGCGGAAACAAAGATAAGGATAAGATCACTTTTCTCTTTAGGGAACAAGACAAGTGAGAAGAGAGTGAAATAACATCTTTAAAATACTGAAAGAAAAAAGATCTCTCAACTTAGAATACTAAATCAGGTAAAAAGCATCACCTCAAAAATAAAGGAGAAATATAATTTTTTCAGACACACAGTTAGCTGAAACTCACTACCCAAAGTCATGCAATACAAGAAATGTTAATGAAAGTTTCTCAAGCAGAATCACAGCAATACAAAATGGAAACATATTTCTACACAGAAGAATAAAGAGCTTATGAAATGGTAATGCCATTTGTAAATATAAAGGTTATTCTTATGACTTAATGCAGTTTAAAAGGTAATGTTGAGCATAAAAATAATAACAACACCTCAAGAAGTTTATAATATGGGTGGAAGTAAAATGTATGACAACAGTAGCACTAAATCCAGCAGGGAAGAAATTATACTGTTCCAAGGCTTTCACACAATATGTAACATAGTTTAATATCATTAAGATATACATTGATGAATTTAAAAATTATAATGCTAACCTTAAAGCAATCTCAAAAGAATAAAAAACAAAACAAAACACAATACCTTATAAGCCAACAAAGCTATAATGGATTCATAAAATAATCACTAATTCAAAAGTAGGCAGAAAAATATCAAAAAAGGAACAAGAAACAGAAGAAATCAAAAACAGATAACAAAATAGATTTAGCTCAAGCATATTAATAATCATATTAAATATAAATGATCTAAACACCTCAGCTTTTCTGTCAATGAATAAAAGACACATGTCAAATTTTCCAAACACATCTAAGTTTTTGTTCATTTATTTTACTATTAATAAAATTTCCTTTATTTTTGCATTATTTGTTATCTAGTGCATCATAATTCATAATTAATGAAGTACCATTGTTGATTGAATTATTCATTTTATTTTCCTTTCACATAAATATATAGTAATACAGACTTTTTGGTGTACATTCTCTGAATTTTAACATGGGCATAGATTTGTGTAATGTACCATCATTATCAGGATACAGAATAATTTCTTCATCTTAAAACACTCCCTTAGGCTGTTGACTTTTAATTACAACTTATCACAACCATTAGCCCCTGATAACTATTCATAAATTCTCATTTTATATAGTGATTATTTAGGGAAAAAACATACACCAAGGAAGTATTTATTTATTTATAATATGACCTATTGCAACATGTTTGTTGTTTGGAATAGACTAGTAGCAGGAGTAAAATTGATGATACATGAGAGGAGGGGAAGAGAAAGAAAGATGATACATGAAAGAGATGCAGAAGGGAAGAGGGACAACTGCCGAACTGCCGAGATGGATTGAATCTAGTGAGAAAGTAAAGGAGTACACTTTAGTAGACATGTAACTGGAAAATTCATCCACAGTAGTAGAAAGAAAGACAATATATTAATACAGTAGTGCAGTTTCAATGTCAGTAAAGGACTATAATAAAATCACCTCACTATAGTCACTTTCTAAAAGAAAGAAAGTAGCACAATCTCCTACACTCAAATATCCCTCCTATTTCTCAGCATTTGTTAAAAATATAAAATTTTAGATGCATATTTTTGTTGCATTTATTATATATTTAGCTATCATTATTCTTTTATTTATTTCTCTACTATAAGTCTAGATTTCATTGTTTTTACTGTTCAACACTCGATAATTTTTATAATGTATGTTTGTACATTTGTTTTAGGATTATTTCTCTCCTGTCTCTATTATCCAGGGTATCAGCAAGCCTGTTTATAACATTGATGTATACTTACCAAATCTTGCCCAATAAATACCTGGTTTTTGCATGGATGAATAAATGACTTAGTATTAGACAACTGGATTACAAAGACATTAGTTTTGATTAATTTCTTAGTGGGCTGTAGTATGTTCTTTGCAATTGCTTTCCAAGCAGCATAATTTAGCAGCTTAGTGTCTGATTTCTTGCAGGTCTGAGAAGATTTTGTCTTCTCAAATTATAAACAGTTTGTCTGTGTTTATATAAATAATCTATTTTAGATCATAATAATGGTACAGGTCTAATCTATGTTATCTACTAGTATTAATCTTTCTATTTCCTAGCTCTCTTGGCTCTTTAACACCCACCAAGTGAAGTGCAATAATAATTACAATCCTCTTTACAATCCGAGTTCTTCTGTCTGCCTACGTATAACAATTTACCTCTGAGGAGTATAGTGTATCCCTTGCCTATCTCTTTCTTCTTCTTCTTTTTTTTTTCTTTCTGGGATCTATAGTTATTAAGTAGTAGGAGGAGGATAGAAGAAGTATACTGGCAATTTTAAAAAGTATAATCTCTTATCTGTGCAAGAGAGTTTTCTGTTAGGTATAAGGCCTGGGTCTCTAATCTGACATTACGGGCAGACTTAGGGGGTTATGTGCCATATTATTCTACTCATTCAAGTGACTGAAGTCTCTCTATTTATGGAGATACAGTTTTGGTAGGCCACTGATGGTTTTTGTCCCAACAATTTCATTGTCTTTTTTATCATTGGAAATTTCAATTGTGTTATTGTTAGTTTGGGTTCAACTTTCTTCCCCTCCAGTATCTTCTTAGTTGTATTTGTGTGGATATTCAGAGAGGATGCAAAAGGACTTCTGATTATAGTTTTTGAGTAAGAAGAAATAAAGTGGTTGAGCTAACTTTAAATTACAAATATTGTAGAAGATTAGAATATAAACTTTAAAAATGTGAATTCAAGTTATAACACATGATGAAAGAAAAATGAAGGAACTTTATGAATTCTTTAACAGGGAACCAATACTTAGAGGTTTATTTCAGTAACAGAGAGCAGCATTTATTGGAATGGAAAAAAATATGTCACAAAAAAACAGCGTCCTGTTTTATGCGTCAATATTTATTGATTAAGATTTATCTATAAGCCATATATCTTTACCCAATGAAATTATACAACACAGCCTAATTTATTTTATATTTTAGTTCCAAAATCCAGAGATAGAAATTCTTATTTAAGTAATTCATTTAGTCATCAGAGGTGTTATAGAATCCTGCTTCACTGACTCCTCACCAATAGATTAAAATTTGCTCTGACTAAGCACTGTATTGATGGTTTATACTAGTATCTCATTTGGCCTGCCCTGGGCTTTAGGTCTCTCCTTATCAATATTGTTCCCACAGGTTGAGGAGGTCAGTGCAGAATGTTTCAGAGAAGCGTTTCCTAGCAACAAAACACAGGGACATGGACAGAATATTTTAAGGGGCTAAAAATATAAACTTGTCATTCAATGATGAAACAATATAAGGCCAATGGTAAAGAGTTATTGTGAATAAATAATCAACCTAATTTTGTGAAATATCTAACAATAGGAGATAAATAGAATATTTCAAAATTAAGCATTTTTGGTCAGAAATAATAGGTAGAAAATAATTAAGAAATAATTTTTACTTATAGTGATAATACATCATTGAAATAAGAATGCCTTCAATATAGCAGAGCATGTAGAAGTGTACTTAAGGTGAGAGGTTAGGACTGAGAGGAAGGTTGGAAACACACACACACAGTTGATTCTCATTATTGAAGGTAGTTATGTTTTGTATAATTGCCACAAATTTTAAGCTGAAACACAGATTAAAAGAATAAAAAAAGAAAGTCGGGCACAGTGGCTCACACCTGTAATCCTAGCACTTTGGAAGGCTGAGGTGGGAAGAACACTTAAGGACAGGAGTTAAAGAGTAGCCTGGGCAGCACAGTGAGATCCCATCTCTACAAAAATAAAAATAAAATAAAATATTAGCTGAATGTAGTGGCATGTGACTGTAGTCCTAGCTATTGAAAACACTGAGGTGGTAGTATCGCTTGAGCCCACAAGTTTGAGGCTGTAGTGAGCAGTCAACATGGCACTGCACTCCATCCTGGGCTACAGAGCAAAATCCTGTTTTTAAAAAAAATCATAAAAAAGAAAAGGGGCATATGGAAGAGACATTGAAAGATTCTAAATATGTGTAATTGAAGGACCAGATTTAAAGATGAGAAGGAAGAAACTGACATCTGAAAATTGTTAGATAAAATCCAAAAGTGGTTGAAAGACATTAATCCACTATTAAAGTTCAATAAAACACACGCAGGATAAATACAATGTAAATTATAGACAGATATGTTTCTGTACCTCATAGCCAAATTGCTGAAGCCCAACTACAAAAATAGCATCCCAAAAGTAGCCGGAGAAAAAAAGAATAAATTCTATTTCTGTAACAGCAAAACACTAATAGCTAACATTTCAATGGAAACTATGAAAGGCACTAAACAATGGGGTGGTATCCTTAAAATGAGGAGGAAAAGGGAGAACTGCCAAAATACAAGTCTGTATACAAAAAAGAATTTAAAAAGCAGATTAAATTACAGTCAGAAAAACATAATGTGAAGTTCTTGCTTAACATACCTGAATTGAAGAAATATTAAAGTACAATAACATAATAATTCCTCAAGGAAACATAAACTTCAAATAAACCTGAAGATTAAAGGAGTGGATTAAAATGCAGGCAATTATAAATGCATATTGACTGCACTGAGTTATAATAATAATTTCTTGTGGAGTTTAAATATGTAAAAGGAAGATTTTAAAATATATGTCAAATATAAAGCAAAGAGCAGACAGAAAATTAAATTCAGGTTTAATCGTTTTTGAAAACTGACAAATACTAATTTTACTAAGTTGCAATACATTACAGATTCAAGCTGTTATCTCTACTGTAACTATTAAAAGTGATAGAATGTATAAATAATATATTAGAAAGAGGAAAAAATGAAGCAAAATATTTGAAAAATATGAAAGTATGTAACAAATGAAAGAATAAGGTTTTAGAACAGGTTTTTCAGTTAAAAATAACAAAACTGTAGACATAAACCAACCACTGTGTGTAATTACAATTGATGTAAATGAATTAATCTTCCAAATATAAAATAAGTAAAAATCAAAAATGTAAAACAACACACGGGTGACAATTTACAGTGAACATTAGAAAATATTTTGAACTGAATGATAATCATAATACTACATCAGACTTGTTGGGTGTAGCTAAAACAGTGCTTTGAGGAAAATGTTTTGCTTTAATTGTATACATTAGAAGATAAACATAGAGGGAAATGTTTGAAGTCATTGGACAAAGGAGGTAGTGAGTGGAATTGTGGCTACCAGATACTGGGAAGAGTATGAGGGAGGGAGGATAAGAGAGGTTTATTAATGAGTACAAAAATCCAGTTAGAAGGAATATGTTTTAGTGTTGAACAGCACAGTAGAGCAAGTATAATTAACATGAATTTACAGTATATTTCAAAATAGCTACAAGAGGTTTGGAATGTTCCCAAAACAAAGAAATGATCAATGTTTGAGATGATGGATATACCACTTACCCTGATTTGATCATTATACATTGCATCCATGTATCAAAGCATCACACGTATTCTATTACAACTATTATGTTGTTGTTGCCAATAATGTATGTCCATAAAATAAGAAAAATAAATGCCAACTAATCCAAACAAAATATAAGTACCCAAATAATAAATATAAAAGCAGACATCAAGTAAAGAGAAAATATGCTTTTGAATATATCTAAGTTGGTTACTTGCTAAGAAAAAAATAAAAAGGGAGAAAAAAGCATAGATTACATTATATGGAATTGAGAAGATAATCCAATGATTATGGAATTACATATGTTACATATAACAAATCTGTATTAATAAACTTGACATTTTGGATAAAAATAATGCATCTTCTGAAAAGTTTGATTTACCAAAGCAGACACAAAAAGTAACAGAAAGTTGAATATTTTTAAGTCTTTGTTTATTATTGGTATTAAGCACCCATAAGTACCTATTTACAGAGAAAATTCATATTGGTTTACACAAGAAATCTTACAAATACTTTAGAAAAATTATATAAATATTATATTTTTCCTAAAAGATATGAAGTAGAAACACTTCTTAATCTTTTAAATATAAACAGCAAAACCTTGATATCAAATATCTACAGGCATTATAAGAAAGAAAAATTAGAAACAATTCTCTCCCTTAAAATTCAAAACTCCTATATAAAATATTAGCAAATCAAATGTAAAAATATATAAAATAAAATACATCAAAACTCACTGTTATTTATTCCAGGAATGCTAAGGTCATTTAACATTTGAAAATCAATCAATGTTATTCACAACAAAAATAGATTAAAAGAGAAAAAAAATCATCTAACCAAATATGGATAAATTATTTAATAAAATTCAATATTCATTCAGAGAAAACATTTTTCCAACTGGAAATAGAATCTAATTATTAAAATGGAGTATTTTAAAAAAATAGGGCAAGTACAATATAAAATAGTAAATATTTGAAACACTTCCTTCTGATGTTAATGAAATATTAATGCTGTGGTAGGCTGAGGAATGTACCCTCAAATCTATTCACATCTTAACCCCTGAGGCCTGTGAATATTACATTATGTGACAAAGACTTTGCACATATGATTAAGTTAAAAATCTTTAGATAAGAGGTTACTATAGATTATCCAAATAAGCCCTTAGTGAAATTGTAAATTCTTAATAAGAGAGGCAGAAGGAGATTTCACAGAGAAGAGGAGAAAGCGATATGACGACAAGGCAGAGACTGGAATTATACTGCCATAAGTCAAGGAATGCAGGACGCCGCCAGAACCTAGAAGAATCAAGGAACAATATTTCCCTTAGAGCCTCAGGAAGAGGTGGCAGCCCTGGCAAAACCTTGATTCCAGAAAAATAAAAATGATTGTATATGCCTGACCTTCAGAACTTATAAAAGAATAAAATTCTGCTGTCTTAAACTAATTTTTTTTGGCTGAAGCAATTTACATGACCAACCCCAGAGTCAATGAGGATACAGGGAGGCATGAACAAATTGGCAAAATGACTGTAATCAATCCACTACAAAAGGATTATGTATTCAGTCCAATTTATAACTTTCCCTTGCCTTTCGATTTATTTTAAAGAAATACATGATTAAAATAAGTTAGTGTATTTGGGGCATAATATTCAAAAAAGATAATTTAAAAGTACATAAGCTTTGTGAGGCATATGGTTTCTGTCACAACAATTCAACTCTGTTGTTGTAGTGCAAAAGCTGCTATAGACAATATGTAAATGAGTGTGGATGTGTTCCAATAAAACTTTATTTATGTATATAACACGTCCAGAACAGACAAATCTACAAAGACTGAAAATAGATTATTGACTGTGTAGAGCTTGAGCAACTGGGGGTTGAGGGGTGATGGGTTAAGGGCATGAGGTTTCTTTGGGGGGTAATGAAAATGTTCTAAAATTGATTGTGGTGAGAGTTGTACAGCCCTGTGAATATATTAAAAGCCACACGTTATAACCACAAAAAAGTACGTTTACCAAATATAGACTTATTGGAGATTAATTCATTGGTGAATTATTAGTTTTAAATTAAATGTTTACATTTAAAAATATATAAATAAAAGTCCATAGTGCGTTAGTGGCCCAGACTGTTTTGTGTGCCTATCCCAAATGACTAAATGTGGCCAGAGTGAGCATAGGTCACATGCTCTATTTCTGAAGCTAGAAATAGAGTCCTACTCTGAGCAATTAGAGAGATAGAATGGGGAAGAAATATTTTATCAGAGAATATTTAAGATGATATGTAGAAACATACAGTGAGTAGATACTGGGTAGAAAAATCAACAGATAGCTATTAAAAAGTGATTTATAAATAGAATAGAAGATTGAGGATAGAGCTTTAAAGCTACTTGCAGTTGGGAGGATGATGGCAGTAAAAAGACAAGAAGAAACAGAGAAATGCTCTTCCTTCCTATATTGTTATCTTACCTAAGATTTTGCACCATGATGTCTTTTTGGAAATAGGGGATGTACTAATGTTATTGCCGTAGATGCTAATTCTAATAACTTTTTATATATCCCAGTTATCATTTCCTTTTAATTGTGCTCTGCTCTTTATTTTTAACTTTTAAAATCTGTTTTCCATTTTATTTCTGACATATATTTGATATTTTATTTACTATTTGGGGGCAAACTGATTCACTGAGATTTTTTAAATCCCAGTAATAAGTCACATTTAAAAAAAAGATTAAAAGTTTGTTCATGAAATTGTGTGTTGTACTGGAGTTTTCTCGATTATTAATAGCAAGAAAATTACATTTCTGGACAATTATATTCTGTAGCATGAAAGCAAAACTTTCCCAGTTGTAATTACTTTTATATTCTATTTCCGTTTCCTAGTATCTCATGGACCTAGTCACATGAAACTGGGTAAAATTTGTTCATGTAGAAATGAATAAATGTAATCCGTCCTAATTACAATAATTCGTAAACAAGGAGAGGAATGCAAAAGGATAATTTCAATGTTTTTGAATTTGGTAAGTAAATATGTTGAATACGTAGGTTGAAAATTCTTATTTGTCTAGGTTTATTTAAGATGTGGAGAACTGTATATCTAGGGTAAAAATATACAAATACATTGTCAGATAAATAAGAAATAGTAGAATATTACAAAGAATAAATTTGGGTTTTACAAAGAATTTATAACTTGCAATTGCATTGGTATTGTATTACATCACCCCTCTTCCCCCCTCCCCCCCGCACACACACAGACTTCACCACTACATCTGGGTGTCCTTATGCAATGCCTACCTGACACACCTGGATGGTGCAGTCTTGGAGCTGGTTAACCTGGATTCCACAGATTCAGCACTCTATGTTCATTCTATGAATATCCTGAAATTATGTTAACATTCAATGTATATAATACAGTGATACATAGGTTTTTCTTGTGAAGATGAACCAGAGCAAGTAGTCAGATATTCAGTGCAGTGCATCGTCCTCCCAAAAGGTTAGAAACTAACAGATTATAGGATCAAGCAATTCAATTTATAAAAAATTATTATTATACTAACTTAACTGTATTCAAATTGTTTTGTCCTGGAATAGTGACCTACTTAAAGTGCTAAGTGCATAAAGGCAATCGTATCATGGTGTCTGTTATATAATACTTTATACATTGCAGAATATTACATGGAATTGCAAATATAGATGGCAAAACTTGTAGTATGGACTTTTCCTGTGAGACTTACAAATAAAAATTCTGTATCATTTACAACAGAGACAAGAATATTTAACAGAAAATAATAAATTGTTTATTAATAGAATTGGAGGGCATAGTCTGTAGACCTGTTTGATTCAGCTAGACTCTATCTTTTAAAGAAGTCATTTTAAAACAATAAAACTGGAGATTAATGAAACATTAATTTCAATAATACTTTATTTTTTAAAAAACAGCAATGACTGTTTGTTGTTTTATCAAAATTTCAAAACTTTTATTCTTTGTGAATCCCTAAAATGCACACTTTATAAAATGTTAATTTAAATTCTCTACTGATAAATGCAACTAATCTTTTAAATGCTTTTTTAGATAAACAACACTACCAGATGTCTGCCTTTGTCAGTAATTGTTTCAGTATATACCTATGTATACATATATATGTTACATATATATGCATATATGATATTGAGCACTATTTTTTAAAGTGTTTTCATTTTACAGGGATGAAGGTATTGTTCCTCTTATCTGCAATTTTTTCCTATAAGCGCATAATTTTTAAAGCAAAGTATTTTTGTCCACTTCTGAATATGTTGCAGTTTGGGAGTGAACAGGAAGCTTTTCTCCCTCTTGGACCCATTTGGCTTTGCATGTTCAAAAAGGAGTATAATAAAAAGACAGTGCAAGTGATTTTGAATGAGTTTGACCTTAACTTGAGTCTTTCCTGAGATGTGCAGTCCTGTTTCTTTTTTTTCTCATTCTTTTGACAGATATAAGGTCTACTGCGTTGCAGATGGCAAGATTTCCTATGATTGACTTAGGCAGGGTGTGAATAGCACTGCAAAGCAGGAGAGAGAAGTTGAGCTTTCAAAGTGACAGTCTGGTTACAGACTGATTGAAGACGTGTATGTCCAAGCATGTACATAATGGGCTTGGGGAAAGAAAAGGAATGAGAATGGAAAAAGGAACACAGCGCTTGTGTTCATATTGATTTCTTTCTTTTTATGTGCATTATTGCCAAAGCATGAGAAAAAACCTATAATTCAGGTAATCTGGCTCTATCTTAATGTGAGAAATAAAATAAAATTTGTGTCAATAGGTATGGGATTGCAAATTTAAGTCTAATGAATATATATTTAAATAAGCCCAGGAAAAAATGCTCAAGATCACTAATCATTAAGACAATTCAAATTGAATTCACACTTAGACTTCACGACATACCTGTTAGAATAGAGAAAACCGCCGGGCACGGTGGCTTACGCCTGGCCTGTAATCCCAACACTTTGAGAAGCCAAGGCGGGTGGATCACTTGACGTCAGGAGTTCGAGGCCAGCCTGACCAACATGGTGAAACCCCGTCTCTACTAAAAATACAAAAATTAGCTGGGTGTGGTGGCACGTGCCTATAATTCCAGCTACTGGGGAGGCTGAGGCCGACTTGCTTGAGCCCGGGAGGCAGAAGTTGCAGTGAGCCGAGACCACGCCATTGCACTCCAGCCTGGGTGAAGAAGCAAGACTCCGTCTCAAAAAAAAAAAAAAGAAGAAGAATGGAGAAAAACAATGACTGACTATGCTTATTGACGAATATCTAGAGGAACTGGATCTCTCAAATATTCCTGGTAGGAATATACATTGTACAATTATTTATACAAAGTGTTATTCATATAATGATACAAAAAACAGTGTGGCAGTTTCTTAAATAGTTAAATGTAAACCTGCTGTATAATATAGCCATTCTAATCCTAGGTATTTAACTTTTAAGAAAAGAAACATTATGTTTTAACAAATGCTTGTATACAAAATTTATAGCAGCTTTCTTTGTGTTAGCCAGAATTTAGAAAAGAAAAAGTCAACAGGTTAATAAATAAAAAAACTTTGGGCATATGAATATAATGGAATCTACTGAACAATAAAAATAAATGAACCATTGATAAATTCACTTATATGAATCTCTATTAGTTGTCATAACTGAAAGAAGCCAGATTAAAAAGAGTAAATACTCTATAATGACATTTATATAAAATGCAACTAAATATGTAATATTTATATAACATACATGCACATACGGAAACTAATTTACAGTGACAGAAAGCAAATCAATAGTTGCCTGGGAAGCAGGGAGGGACAAGGTTGGAATTACAAAGGGCCAAGAAGTAACATTTGGGAGTTATGTATTTGTTCACAATTTTGATTGTGCTGATGGTTTTCTGGCAATATACATGTTTCAAAACTTAAATATATAACCTAAATATGTACCTTTTATTTGTATATCTATTATATCCCTAAAATATGGTGAAATTTGTAAAACTTGATAAAATGTGATGAAATTATATTGTTTTCTGAAAGCTATCTAGAGATAGTGTAAAAGAAGATGCCTGGGGGAGAAAAGACAAGAAGACCAACTGTGTCATGTAATAGTTTCCAATCCTGAAATCATTTGGTGGTGTGGGTGCTTTATGATTGAATAGATACAGAGCCACTCCCCCTAATATTTCATCTCAGTAGTTATAAGAGCTTAGAATCTGTGGGGTCCTGGGGCTTTGATAAGAAAGGTTTTTAAATCACATATGCATATCACCCTGCTCTTGTTCATTAGAAAATACTCCTTCAGGTACAAAAGCTGACAGCTAATCCATTGGGATTCACTCTAATCTTAGTGTTCTCTCTCTTTGGTAAGCTAGTATTTTCCAAATTCTTAGGTATTTGTAAAGTGAAAACAAAGGTCAAAATACATAGAAAAAATTATTTAAAAAATCCAAATCATACAAAAGATTTGATTCAAACTTTTGACTCACTGTTGTCATAGCTTCATACTATTCTAGTGATTGTCTTTGGATAGATACCTACTTTTCAGCCTAAAAGAGCTAACATAACTTCTAAGACCCATGGAGTCAAGTTGTTAGTTCTTAGATCCTGATCTATTTCTAGTAGAAACTCCAGCTTTCAATAGTAAAGTACAGAAAAATCTTTTGGAATACAACTATTGGTCAAATTGAATTCCTACTGCAAAATGTATAGATGAAAATAAAATTGCGAGATGTAAATGGAAGAGGATTTATTCATCCAATAAACTTGTATTTGTTGGTAATCAATTATTTTGCAGACATAGGTGTTGTGGCTAGAAAAACTATACTGAACAACATAAAACAGCCACTGTTAAGAGGGGAGGATTCTAGAATTTTAGATGGAAATAGTAAATCTGCCTCCATGTGATTCAGATCTAGAGATAAGCAGAAATATTGAGAAAACGTAGAGCACCCAAAATCAACAATACACTTACAGATGAGGTTATCTTGACACTTCATGGAATTCTTTCGGAAAACTTGAGAGGAAAATTAGGACATTTTATCTTTTCCTGAAAGAGAACTATGAGCTCAGTGTAACAATGACTTTGGAAAGTTCATGTACAGTTCAACATGTATAAATAAGATATACTCTAATGGCTTGCAAACTGGAAAAAAACTCTCTGAACTAATATAGTGTATATGCCATGGTGATTTTTCAATTTAGTAAAAATATTTTAGCATTTTTACTGCATGATTGAAAAAGTACTTTTCATTTGACCTGTTTTGCACAACTCATATTTTTCTTACACATTTTCTTTGGAGACTTGCAGTGTTTTAATGTCAGGTATCCACCTTTCTGTATTTATTTTTCTCCAAAAATCAAAATGGTTTCTCCTGTACAAGAAGTCTCTTTGATGAAGTCTCCAGTCAAATATTTTTTTCCATTCCTATAATCAGTTTGCTTATAATTAAACTTTAACAGTTCTTTATATATTTTGGATAAAAGTCCATTATCAGATATGTAATTTGCAAACATTATTTATCAGTCTTTGGGCTTTTTCATTTTCTAAACAGTGTCTTCAGAAGATCAAAATGTTACAATTTTATATAGTCCAATTTTTCAGACATTTCTTTCAAATATCATATTTTGGTGATGTAGCCATGAAATTTTTGCCTACATAAAAATCAAAACAACTTTTCCTCTGTTTGCTTATTGAAGTTTTATAATTTGGGGTTTTACATTTAGGTCCATGACCTATTTTGATTTTTTTTTTTCTTGGTGGTAAGAGCAATGTATCAAAGTTAGTTAATTTTTTTTTAAATATTAATATCCACTGAATGAAACAACTCTTATTTTTTCATTGAATTACTTTTGCCCTTTTGTCAAAAATCAGTTGTCAATGTATGAGTTGGTTTATTTTTAGATCTCTATTTTGTCCCCTTGATTTATTTGTTGATTTTTATGTCAATCTCATATTCTGGGTAATTGTGGTTTTAAAATAAGTCTTCAAATTAAACTTTCTTGGTCTTCCAACTTTGTTCTTTCTGAAGTTGTTTTGGCTATTCTTTATACTACTATATTAATTTTAGAATCAGCTTATCAACTTCTACAAAAAGGTGTGTGAGAACATTAATTAGGGTGGCATTGAAGCTATGGATCAATTTGAGAATTGACGCCTTAACCATATTGAGTTCTCCCAACCAATGAACAAGCTATATTTCTCCATTTATTTAGGTGTTCTTTCATTTCTCTCAGCCATGTTCTGTAATTTTCAATGTATAAGTTTTTCATTTATTCTATCTTATTTATGCCTATTTCATATTTTTAACATAATATACGACTTTCTTAATTCTAATTTGAATTTTTTCATTGTTAGTACATAGAAATGAAATTCACTTATGTATATATTTATCTTGTATCTGTCAAACTTGGTAAACTCACATATTAGTTCCCATGGCTTTTATTTTCATATAACTCATTTAATTTTCTACATAGAAAAATGTCATCTGTGAAAAACAATATTTTGCTTCTTCCTTTCAAACTGGGTAACTTTTATTTCCTTTTTCTTTGCTTATGGCACTGGCTAGAACCTCCAGCCCAATGTAAAAATAATTGGTAAGAGTGGACATCTTTGCCTTCTTCCTAATTTTAGCAGTAAATAATTCTCCCATATTAAGTTTCCCATGAATTAATATGATGTTAGCTATATGGGTTTTGTAGATGTCCTTCACTGGGCAAAGAAAGTTCCCTGCTGTTCCTGATTTGCTGAGAGTTTTGAATGGGAATGAATGTTAGATTTTCAATCTCTGCCTATTGAGATTATCTTGTGGGTATTCCTTTTCAGTTGGTAAATAAAGTGAATTAAATTAATTTGCTTCTGAATGTTAAATCTGCTTGCATTCCTGAGCTAATACCCACTTAGTCATCATATTTTATCTTTTCTTTTTTTTTTTTTTGAGACAGAGTCTCACTCTTCGTGCCCAGGCTAGAGTGCAGTGGTGCGATCTCAGCTCACTGCAACCTCCACATCCAGGGTTCAAGCGATTCTCCTGCTTCAGCTTCCCAAGTAGCTGGGATTACAGGTGCCCGCCACCACGCCTGGCTAATTTTTCTATATTTAGGAGAGACAGGGTTTTGCCATGTTGGCCAGGCTGGTTTCAAACTCCTGACTTCAGGTGATCTGCCTGCCTTGGCTTCCCAAAGTGCTGGGATTACAGGCGTGAGCCACCACACCCGGCCTATTTTATCTGTTTTTATCTTATCTTTGTTGAATTTGATTTGCTAACACTTTGTTAAGAACATTTTTGTCTATGTTCATGATAGATATTATCCTGAAATTTTCATGTAAAGTCTTTTCCTTATTTTGGTATAAAGGTGATGGTGACCTTCTAGAATGTGCTGAGAAGAAATTTCCTTATGTTTAATTTTCTGGAAGAGATTATGTAGAAGTGGTATCATTTATTCTTTAAATGTTTGGTAAATCCACCAGTAAAGTTATATGGCTCTGGAATTTTCTTTTTGAAAACATTTTAGGCTACAAATTCAATTCCTTCATTTCATAATCGGCTCTCAGATTATCTGTTATGTGTGTGTGTGTTTTATTTTAAGTGAATTGTGGTAGTTTGTGTCATTCGATGAATTTTCCCATTTCATCTAAGTTGTTGAATATTGGCATAAATTTGGTCACAATATCCTCTGCTTTTCAGCTTCAAGGTCATCCTTTTAAAAGCTTTCATATGGTTCTGAATCTGAGACTCAGTAAACCTCATTTCTGTTTTAACAGGTTATCTTCCTATCAGGATCTGCCAATAGAGGGCACTAGAAAGAAACTATACAGCAGCAGGAAGAAGGCTTTGCTGTCATTATATGCTTCCTACTTGCTTTCTGGTCCTGTCAATAACACCCGCCAACATTTCTTTACAGTGACAGTTGATTCCACACTACGTTTTCCCCAGTACTTACTAAACCAGATTTGAAGCCTGTCAGAGACACCAGAACCAGCTGACTGATGTATGCTTCTCATAGGTCCGTATGCCAGACCCATAGGGCACCTCCTCTGATCTTAGCAACGCCAGTCAGAGGTCTGAATTTCAGCTCCAGAGAAGCCCTGCTCCAAGTCACTAAGTTCTAGTAATTTAGAACTCTTCCATGGCTAGTGCTGCTCCCTGCAGATGTTACCTCACTGACCCCGTGGTGTTGTTCCCAATTTGTCTTCTGAATTCTTCAATCTCTAGTTAATAATTATTTGTATTAAATTATATTTCTTACATTCACTGGGATGGTTTTTGTATTCTACCTGCACCCTAGTTAATGTAATAACTATATATTTATTTCTACTTTATTCAAATTTTTATGTTACTTTTAATCTATTTATAGTTGAATTAGTTACCAAAGGAAGTCTAAGCAAAATGAAACTATTTTATTTAGTTCAAATATATCTGATGTTTCTACTTCCATGCAAGGAAAGAAATGGTTTGACATTTTTCAAGCTTTTGTTTCTAATATGGCACATAAAGCAGTCTACTGAAAAACAACAAGAAAGTATGAGTAAAGATGGCTAAGCACCCTTGTTTTATTAGTCTGGGTAAAGCACGGGCTAGACAACAGACATACTTTAATGTCCTCAATGTTAGAATTCATGATTGTATTAAATCAGACTCCCGAGTTATTCATGAAATTTGATTTGAGGACTAAGTCATGATGAGAAAAAAGAACCACAATTGACATATCGTTTGATTGCATCTAATTTCCTGGTGATGACCATGATTTGCTTATATTTGTAAGATTATTGCAAAATCTTTGGTATTCATTGTTTTTCTTAGCAATTTGGGATTTTAGAAAATATAAAGGTAGCATTATAACATTTGTATTTCCTACTCTGGTATTGTGTAATATTTTGCTTGAAATCTAAGTGTGGGATTGTTTTATATGGCAAATATATAGCTTGAGACACATATTTTCTTTCTTTCTAGAGATCGTAACCCCCTCGTTTTCTTCATATGTCTCCTAAATATACTCATATCAACCATGTCACATCACGTTAGATGTTCCTGGATAATTTCACTTTCATTAAGGAACAGTATTGAAGCCTATATCCTCAAAAGTGTATGCAACTGCTTTTGTCTCAACAAGAGGTAAACTGGCTGAACATTTTAGATTAACTTTGGAGGATAGTCACTGTTATTTGAAAGAAATTCTATATTGCTATAAAATTGTATTGGAAACTGCTTTAGCTTAGCTGCAAAACCTGGGCTAAAACTCAGGGCTGAAAATATTACTGTGCTGATTCATCACCTGAGCAGAGCAGAAATCATAAACATTTATAGTTTACTTCTCATAATCATTTGATTCCATCACTTCCCATTTGTAGACTGGTAATACTGTTGTGACAGAAACAAATATACTTGATGAAAGGTATATACTTGTTGAAAAGCCTTTCTAAAGAAAACTTTCAGCAGTAACAACAGTATTGCTTCTACTCTGCTTGTAGAACTCTTATAAAAAGTTCAGTTTTTATCATTCATACCTAGCATTTGCTGATCTGTGTTATTTATTACATTCCAGGTACAATCTGTATTATCCCCTTATTGATAGGACTGTATCATGTCTCTTTATACCACTCTCACTTCTAATATGGCTCTGATATGGTAGGCGCTCAAAAATATTTTGAATGGTAATGATATTGAATACTTTAGGCATGAAAACAGTTCATCTATTTCCACCATGGATTTATTCAAACAAAAAATTACTAGGTTGAGACTTCTTAAAATTACTTAAAGATGAATGGGACAAATTAAAGATAGAGCTTTCAAATTTCTTTAGTATTTGACCCACTGTTCCCTAAGAAGGTTTTTAAAAATTAATGTTAACACAACAAACACAACTATAGAAAAACAGTTAGCTTTTTTTCAAAGTCATGAACTTATATGTAATAAGAGTCAAATGCAACTACTTCTTTCAGGAAACAGATATTTCAGGATGAATATCACTGTACTATTTATAATTCATTCCTGTGTGTCTGACTGGATAATTTGTATTTATTCTTGGTTATTCTGAGCTGGGGAGGCATCAATGAGAAAAATACCAGCCATTTTCTACTATTGGTCTTTCTTTCCCTTTTTAAATATCTTTCTCATTTCTGTTTCCTTATTTTTTCACTTCTTATCATTTCATTTTGTGTGCATTCACTGTTCATTTTCCCCAACTAAATGCATTAATCATGTCATTCAAGGCTTCAAAGTTTGACTAACACTTCTATTTATATTTAAGATGATTATTATTAATATATGTATGACCAAGTAACAATGTCGTTACTGTTGCCAATACCATTGTTGTCATGAAATATTTAGTGTCTTTGGGAGATACCAAGAGTACCAGACTAGTAATAGATATATTCCTTACCACTGTCATAAAGTAGCTTCCAATCTGTTTGAGAGATCCAAGTCACATAATAATAGTTGTTCATATTTATTGAAAATATGCTATGTATCAGAAACAGATCTAACAATATTTTTGTATTCATGTACACATCACAAAACTCTACTAGATAGATATTATTATTCCCATGTTATAAACTCAGAAGTCTAAAGGATCAAAGAAAGGAAGTAATTTGCTCCAGTAGACACAGATAATAAATAATAGAGGCAAGATTTGAACCCAGGCAGTCTGGTGCAAGAGCATTAATTTTGGCAATGAATGTGATTGCACTAAAAGACACATAAAATACATTTTCCTAAGGTCTTTATGGTTTAATATAAAGTAATAAGCCATCAGAGATATGGTAAATCTTTGTGAGTGTGCTTCTGCTTTTCACATTATTTTACTTGCTTTATTTCCTTGTTTAATATAGGCAAATACAGGGAATAAAGAAAAACCTGAATTTATTTTCCTGCCAGTTGTTAATGTCAGAAAGATCCAGTCACATATTTCCAAAAAAGAATATGTTCAAGGGTTGCAAAGTAATTAAAAACTGTAAGTTAGCTGTAGGATAGAAAGGTGCACCTGTTTTTGGCTTTCATGAATGCGTGATTCATTTTATGTGAAAGAAAATGTGCAGCGTACTCACAGCAAAAAAAAAAAAAATGAGAAAAGAGTACATTATATAGAAAGTGTATTGGCCAGGCGCGATGGCTCAGACCTGTAATCCTAGCACTTTGGGAAGCCAAGGCGGGTGGATCACCTGAGGTCAGAGTTCGAGACCAGCCTGGCCAACATGGTGAAACCTCGTGTCTACTAAAAATACAAAAATTAGCCGGACATGGTGGCAGACACCTGTAATCCCAGCTACTCTGGAGGCTGAGGCAGGAGAATCTCTTGAACCCGGGAGGCAGAGATTGCAGTGAGCCAAGATCGCGCCATTGTACTCCAGCCCAGGCTGGCAACAGAATGAGACTCGGTCTCAAAAACAAAAAAAAAAAAGGAAAAGAGAAAGAAAGCGTATCATCCTCAGAAAAAAATTCATTGGCAGCCCTCACAAGAAAGTTCTATTAGGTTCTTTTTCTTGACTGTAGGTGCTCCCCAACATAGCTGTCAGACCTCGGTAACCCCTATGCAAGTAATTTCAGCTCAGTGGACTAAAATGAAGTAGTGACTAAATAAAAACAGAAACCTAATTATTGATATTTTAATATGTACAAAGATATGATTCCTACCTGCCAGTTCTTTACAATAGCACAAAAATACTATTTACCATTATTAGCAAAAATGAAATACTCCAAGGTTGTCAGCTCAAAACCTATTAATATTTGAGTAGTTGTTGCTATATATTAACATGATACTAAAGTGTTTGGTTAATTTATTAATGATTAAAACTGTCAAACCAACTTCTTTTTACTTTTAATGAGAATTATTTTAATGGGAATTTATAAGTTAGGTGAAGTTTAATGTTTTCACCTATTCTTGACCTTGGATTAACATGGGAAGGTGAAATTTTGCTTCCGTTTTGACCTATTGTAAAACATTTTCATTTGTCTATATTCTAGTGGATCTTATATAAACCCTCATTCTGTAGTTAATAAAATCTTAAAAATGACTGACTTTGCTTAGTGCTTAAGTTTAATGATAAATATTTAGAATGAACAGTACCAATTCATACATGATAGTCATTATTGAAACATGTTCCCATGTATATTACAACTCCTTGCCTAAAGAACATAGCTCAATCTTTATCCAGGAGTTGTGAGACGAGTGCTTGTGCTATTCCTGTCAAGAACGGTTTCATCACTTTATGGAATATTCTACATATATTTTTAAAGTTCACAAGATCTTTTGCTAGTTCCTCAAGTTTCAACCTTTAAACCTTTCTATCTTTACTATAGACTGAATGAACTGTATATATTTTTTTCTTCCAGCCATTGTCCAAACTCATGTGAAATCGAAAATTAAAAGTTGTAACACTCTTTGAACATTTTACTGCCCATAATTCTCCTTGCACAATATATGCTGATGAATTTTCTGCAGAATGCCATTCTCAATAGTGGGGAGAAGTTTATACAAATTCTCTTGAAATTATATTTGAAAAATAACACTCTAAATTCTGCTGAAAGACTCTCACCTTTACTAAAAGTGTTTTTTCTTCAGGTCTACCTTCTATTCTCTGGGAGCACTGGTAGAAAACTTAGCAATAGAATATCTGTGCTTGCTGTCATGCTGGTGTTTTGTTTCATTTATTTTCACCAGATAACAGAACTATAAAATAATACATTATTAAGATAAGACCTAGTAGTAAGGTTCACTTCTCAATGTTATTTAGGCATATTAAAATCTAAGAAGCTTTGCATTAATAACTTTTTGAAATTATCTATAGACTAGTAAACACAAAAAACTCTTTTGGGTTGTGTTTTTAAACTTTAGAGAAAAAAATTCAATATATATTTTTGTGTTTGCTCTTTTAATACAATGATCTTTTTTCTTGTTGTCATTCAGACACTTTGAAGGTTTGATTAGGATGCCTATTTTTAAATGAATAATTTCAATTTTAGGACAATGTTAGTTTTTGATAAGGTTTGAAATGACTGAAATCTGAAGCCTGGACTGTGCCTTTAGTATAAAGGATCTTAAAACTTTTCCTCTAATCTGTGTAATTTCATAATAAATTCGTTCACAAAAATGTCTGTTAGTTGCTACTCTCAATAGAACATTGGAATTTTTATTCACATCTACATTTTAAATAATATTTTGTTCAACCAAAATTCATTAGGCTAGTCATTTTAAAAATCTTAGGGATTTAAAACTTCTAATCCTTTTTGTTCAATTTATTTTTATTGAGTAAAATTACATAATCAACCAGTGAAAGTGAAAGTTTAATTTCTGTAAAACTAATTGTAAAACTAAAAAATAGTCTAGGCTTTTACTCTTAATAAAGATTTCCCTTACTCTAAGTAGAATTGTGTATCATCAAAAGCATACAATCCTAAATTAATTGCAACTAAATTCAGTTAAAATGATTTGAGTGCCTATCAGAGTATTTTCCTATGATTCTTGTTTAGCTCTTATAATTTCATTAAAATGTTGGTATTTTTATCCCCATTTACAAATGAGAAAACAGGAGTTCAGGGAGATTGGAGGGGGTTAGAGTGCCAACCCTCATACATTATACCGCAAGTCTTAATTGGAAAGCTGTACCTACTAGCATCAAAACCAGTGACTGGTTCCATCTAGAAGCGTTTTGGGATGGCTCACTGATTTATCAAAAATGTCACATCATAGGGCACCTCAAACCATACTGACTGAGTCTGTCAGTCTAAGGATGGCTTAATTTCATAAAAGCTTTCATAAAAGATATAATTTGCAATTCAAAATTGGGTTCACCTTTTCTAATTAGGTGAAATTACAGTTGCCATATCATAATTAAAGGTTATGTGACAGACAGGGGTGTTTATTTGGATTATATCAGATTATTTTTCTAGGCTTCTGAATATTATAGCTTTTGAAGAGCATGGATTTTAAAACCTTCTGACATAATATCTGTTTTTATTTAGGAGTAAAGCTGTTCCCTCTTTCTGAACTTGAAATGCAGCTATGATTGTCTATATTATGAGAATCATATTCAAATGCATTTCTCTTTCAACCAAACTGCCTAAAGGTATTGATGTCAGAATATTTCCCTTCTAATAAGCACATGATGTTTCCCAGAGATGCTATGAAAAATATCACTGTGCCTCAAACTGAATTAGAGTAATACCATTTAATAATGCTTTTTAAAATGCCTCGAATCATACATCATAAAAATATTGAAATATAGAGGTAATATACAGGAATTGCATTGCCAAAAATGTCTTATAGTTTTTGCCCATTGGAAAGTGAAAAATGTATGACAAAAAAAATCTGCCAAAAATATGAGAGCTTAGACCTTGGTGTTCCTCCTGGCACCAAACTCCCATAAATTTGAACAACCTAGGGGCAGTGTAGAGTAGTTGCAAAGAATCTACAGTGAGATTGCCTACAGGATGAACACGAAAGGCTTGTTTTTTGCTATATTTTTCCCCCTACAAAATATGCAAATGCATAGGGATGTTGTAAGAATTCAGAGTTAATAAATATAAATTACCCAAAATATTGTTTAACAAATAGTTTGTTCTCATAATTATCTCTCTTTTGGACAGAGAATATGTGATAGAAGTTTTGCTTACCACACTTCTTTGAAGTTAATTAAGACAATTCATCTTTTATTAAAATTCTTTATCTCTCAGGTTTCTTTAAAAATATTCTTTTTGGTACCATGTGATTTGCGAGTAACTAAATTGATCTCAGCATTACGTAACTCTTATCCCTTCAGCTTTTCTTGGAGTTTAAATCAATATTTTGCCGTTAGTTAATAAAATAGATTTAGCTCAGGGTTGGACTCTAGTGACCTCAACCAAAACACTTTAAATCTGTAATACATTGATTATATTCCTTATTCCTTACAGACATTTCGTTGTAAAACTTATCTATGTCAATATTTTAATATGTTTAATTATTTAAAATATAAGCAGTAAAACTCAATTTCTACTGGATTATATGGAAATACGATTCATAGCACAATGCATTCTGAAACTCAATAGCAATGAGAGCAATAGAATAAATATAATTTTAAGACTTATAGGATTCATATGGACACTTTCTTCTTCCATTTATTCAAATGGAGATGTATTGAGAATATACCATGTGTAAGACACTGCACATTTAGCATATTATTAACTTTAGCGCTAAGCTGAAATATCAGAAATGTTTAAAATGTCACTGAAGTTTTCCTTTGTTTGGTATTTTGTGTTTTAATTCCTTATCATAAGGTTCTTAATGTGCTTTATTCCATTGTAAATATCAAGTAATTAATTACTTAAAAGTGTTTTCCTTGGGATTATTTTATACTAACATATTATAGCAACCATTTTTATTCAATCAAAATATTTTATTTATATGTGATACTCTAAACAGTTTTTTTATATAAATGAACAGCTACTTTCTCTAAATGATTTTGCCATGATGGCAACTGAAGCACTCAATAGCAATACCATGCCAAGGATGGCACTGGATTATTATGCTAACAGAATTTTTGAAATAATTAGATTATGAAGATGCTTTGTCTTTTCTAGTTGAGAGATTTGTATAACATTGCTAAGTAAATTATTCTGAAAATATTAACTTGTATACTTTAATCAGTTATTTTCCACTGACTCTCTTATCACTGTTTTACAATCTTCCATCATATACATGTTTCAGAATTGCCTAATTTGATTCTTACCAATTCACTGATTATCTTCTGTTTTGAATTTCATTTCATGTCTTTTTCTGCCATCTTTCTGATTTTGTGGATGTGTTTCAGTACATGGGTTACAACAGACTGAAGAAGTAAGAGTCATTTAGGTCAGAGAAGCTGAACTATCAAAGAATATGATTTAGGAGTGTTACCCTTTATTTCTTGCTGTTTTGCAAGAGTTCTCTAACTGCATATAGATTCTTAGGACATTTGTGTCATTTTGATTTTCAGAGAACGTGTTTAAGTTGGGCTGTGTGTATATGTAGAGGACATCATCAGCAAATTCTTTTGTCTGAGTTGCTAAGTGAGTTTAGGGCTGGGGAAACAAACCTGGCTGGGAATCTGTCACTTGCAGATCTATACTATGTCACTTTTTCCATCACTGTGGATGGGTAAGTGTAAAAGAGTGTCAGAAAATAGATTGCTTGGACCATGTTTTCCTTAGAATATTGAAGTTGCCTGGAGAACATTTTAGTTTGTTATTGGAACAGAGCTATTAATTCAGACATAGCAAATAAAACGTTATAGCATCCAAAGCAAATGGAGGAACTAGCATAATAAGGCCAAAGATATAGTTATACAGTGGCTCCTACCAATTGTAAAACAGCGTCTACACACAAAATTTGGGGATAACAACAGTTAACTGGGAGAGTGAAGACTAACCAAACACTATTGCTTGAAATGTCTGTGTGACAATTTGGCAAAGTTTTTTGTTTTCATGATCTGAGTAATTTGCTCAGTTTTACATTTAACAGATAAATAGAGTTATAAATTAATTTTTGATTTATAAAAATACCTGCTACTTTTAATAAAACATGCAGATATTGCTTTCAGAAATGAAAAGGTATTCATTTATAAATCAATATCTATTGCTTATAGTGGTTAATTAAAAAGTGACTAATGCTTTAAAAATATCATTTTACTTGAAATATTGTAATCCTGTTTATTTTACTAATTTATAAATTTGGCCTTATTATATGTATACCTAATATGTGCAACTGAAATTATTGGTTATGTTAAAAATTCTCCACACCATAAACCCAATCCCAAACCATACTAAAATTATTTACTTCATGAAGTCACTATCTGTATTCAACATCTTCAAAAACGTATTTCTGAATCTCAAATTTAATTTTATAAAAAATTTTAAATTTATATCTTGTCAGGCTTATTTTTTCTTTTTAGAAATTTATTCTTACCTCCGAAAAGTATCTGTTCTCCAAGGTAAACCAATCAGCTGCCTACCCAACTCCATGCA
The DNA here is from genome assembly GCF_000001405.40 of Homo sapiens. Taxonomy (NCBI): domain Eukaryota; kingdom Metazoa; phylum Chordata; class Mammalia; order Primates; family Hominidae; genus Homo; species Homo sapiens. The sequence goes on from NC_000001.11 coordinate 72,632,580, forward strand.
GAAATATTTGAAACACCTAAAAACTTGCTGTAAATTTGGTTATATATTCTCTAATTGTTGAAATAGGGAATATATTAAGCTTGCTGATTTTATTAAGCTGAGTGAACAAGAATACCTAATGTTATAAGAAGAAAAAAGGTGACTAAAGCGTAGTATAAAACTAATTTGATAAAACTAAGAAATAAGGTTGTCCATAAAGAAGAAAAGAAATGTACCTGAACATTGTTGATCAGGAATAAACTGATCCGTTTTTACAGCTTTTATCGAAGCATAATTGATGTATAATAAACTGTACATATTTAATTTGTAAAATTTGGTGAGTCTTGACAAACACACACACACACACAAACACATCATATGAAACCATGACTACAACCAAGATAATGAACATATTCATCATTCTGTAAAATGTCCTCCTGCCCTGGCATAATCCATCCCTTCCTCTCCCTCCCCTACCTCATCCCCAGGCAAGCACCAATCTGCTTTCTGTCACAATAGATGATTTTGTATTTTTAAACATGTAATATAAATGAAAACATAGAACATAATTCCTTTTTTGTTTGACTTTGTCACTGCAATTATTTTAAGTTTCATCCATGTTGGTACATAGAACAGTGATAGTTCCTTTCAATGGCTGAGTAGAATTTATATTGCATGGAAAGACCACAAATTGTTTATCCAATCACCTGTTGATGGAAGTTGGTGTGCAAATAAAACTGTAATCAACATTTGCATACAAGTCTTTGTGTGGACATTTGCTTTCATTTTCCTCTCAAGGTTATGGAATGGCTGAATCCTTTTGTAGGTATATGTTTCACTTTTTAAGAACATGCTAATCTGTTTTCCAAAACACTTGTACCATTTTACATTCTCACCAACAATGTATGAGAATTTCAATCTCTATATTCTTGCTAACAATTCGATGAGCAGCCATTTTCATTTTAGACATTTTAATAAATGGGTAGTGGTATGTTGTTGTGGTTTTAGTTTGCATTTTTTCTAATGACAATGGAAGTTCAGCATCTCTATATGATATGTACTCATTTGCTATCCATATATCTTCTTTGCTAAAGTGTACACATTATTTGGAGGGAGATTATTAGTATTATTGTACTGTAAAAAATCCTTATATATTCTAGATACAGGTCCTTTTTAGAATATTTGTTTTGCAAACATTTTCTTCCTGTCTCTGGCTTGCCTCTTCATTTTCTTGACAATATCATATGAAGAGAAGACATTTTAAATTTTTATGAGGTTCAATATACTCACTTTATTTTCCTTTGGTGGTACATGCTTTTTGTCCTGTCTACAAAGCGGACCTTTCTGAATACTCTATTCAATTTTGCATGAGTTTTAACGTCTTTCTACCCTGGTTGGTGAGAACACACTGTTCCCAAACCCCTGTGTCAACTCTGATCATTATCCTACCTGCCCTTTCCTGTGTGTTTCTTTTCATAGCCTCAGGTGGTTTTCTTACACATCTGTATTGACCATTACTCAGCTAGAGACTTGAGAGATCCCTCCGAATAAACTCTTTCTCATCAATTTAGGGAGATGACTGGGCCCTGTTTAGGGTCCTCTGCGCTCTAAGGTCTACCTGAACTGTCCAAGCTGCAAGCTGGGGCAATTGCTACGCTTACTCTATTTTTCTTCTATTAAGGTCACTCTGGTGAGATGCTACTCTTCAATGATTGAAAACAAGTTTATATATTTTGTCCTGTTTTTTAATTAATTGAGGCAAGAGAATAAATCTAGACTGTTACTCTGTCATGGCCAGGAGCATACATCTATAATTATCTTTTTATGAGTCTATGTCCCTCAATAAAATCTGAACTCCTTACAGGCAGAGGATTAGATACATATATGGTGTTCAATAAATCTTTGCTGAATAAAATGTATGCATTTTTCCTAGATCCATGTGATTTATTTGGAAATCAGAAGGCCTGCTTTTATGTGATTCTTCTATTTTAACTACCACCTATTCTACTGGAGATCTCTAAAATGAGTACTAAAAGAAAGGAACATAATCTAGAATACAAGTCGTTTACTCACTACTGGGCATTTCTTTGCATGCTTTTAGTCACTGTTACTTTTAACTTGCTCAACTCAGCTTTGGAAATAGAGTAAGGTAAACATGATATCCCTTTTCCAGGAACTTGAACAGCTAAATAGTCAAATGGACAGCAGCTGGACCATATATTAAACTAGAATTCTGACTCACACCTTCAGCAACCAGCTCAAGAAGCCAAATCACCTCTTCTGTAGTCTTCAGCCTCAAACAGTCAGTATTTGATCAGATCAATAGCTGACAGCTTTCTCAATTTTTGTTGCTACTTCCACCTTAGGACTAACCAGAGAAAACCAAATAGATCTCATTTAACCAATGACATAGAACGCTCTACTTTTAGTTAATCCATTTCCAGCCTCCCTATGCCAACATCCCCAGTCAAAGCATACCTGAATCCTTCCTTTTTTTTTCCTACTGTAAAGCTTTCCCACTCCTCTGCCTGGCATTGAGTCTGTGCCAAATGTAAGTAATGCTGGCTTACTTCCTTGCCGTAGCAAGTAGTGAATAAATAGCATTTGCTCATTCTCTTTTGGGTAGTCTCAGTTTATTTCCACAAGCTTACAGCACAGCAGGAATTACAGTCCTAAACAGGGCAATTACATGTGTGATACATCATGGAAAAGAGAAACTGTGCCTGTAGATGAGAACACAGCCTAGGGTTTAGGTGAAGAGAAAAGGCATCGAATACAAGAGTATAAATGTTAAAGCCATAAAAATGTTATATTTTATTAACATATTCAGTTAAGAAAAGGCCCCCCATTTAAATTTCATAGAGCTTCCTTTCTATTATTTACTTGTTTGTTTTGGCAAGAATTTATGACATCTTTATGTACTATGAAAACTGGCATTGTTTCTAACCTTCTCATACATACTAGAAAAAAGAAGTTGGGGCATATTTTATCCATTAATTGCTATTATTTTATTTTACTTCATCCCACACTTAGATTATGGAAAGAAGGAAAAAATAATAATAGCTGTGGCATACCAGTCTAGTGCCAGACACAGGGATAAGGTTGACACCACGCTGAAGAAATAATGTTATCTCCATTTTATCAATGAAGAAACTGAGACACAAAGAACTGAAATAACTTGTCCAGGGTCACACAACTAGCAAAGTGTTTAATCCAAATCTAAACATATGTCTCTCTAACTGTACATCAAGGTTTCCCAACCTCCTCTGTCCTATTGACATTTTGGGCTGTGTAATTCTTTGTTGTGCTATCCTCTGCATTGTAGGATGTTTAGCAATATCCTTGGCCTGTGTCCACTAACTGCCAGTTGCACTCTGCGGTCATGACAATCAAAATGTCTCCAGACATTGCCAAATGTCTCTGGAGAGAGAAAAAATGCCCCTGGTTGAGAATCTCTGCTGTAGATCAAATATTCTACTTGTTAGTTTTTCATTAGCTAGCCTAATCTTTCATAATTTATCGTTTCCATAATATATTGTCAGCAACTTGCAGCGCACGCGCGCGCGCGCGCGCGCGCACACACACACACACACACACACACATACACACACACACCACCTCCCTCATTTCCCTAACCTACTGTTAAACTCCCTAACGAAGTTAGAAGTGATTTATTTTCAGCACGGGATTCTCTTTTATTTTTGCAATTGTGGTTTTGGTGGTTGACATATTTAACAAAAAAACCCTGAAGGAAATTCTGACAAAAGAACTGATTGTTGTCCTCCCAGTTGTTTGAGAAGGAACCTAAATATATGACCAGCTTCCTAATGATCATTTCGTTGTTCTTAGACCTTTAAATTAGTCCAGCAGCCTTGCTTTCTGTCGCTATGCCACAGGGTTCTCACCCTCCCTCCCTTCTTTGTTTTTACTTCTCTCTCTCTTCCTCCTTTGTTCTCTTTACTTTCCCTCCTTTCTTCCTCTATCCATCTTCTCTATTTTCCTGTTGTCTTTCATCTCTTCATCCCATTTCTCCCGCATCCTTTAGAACTCATAATACTAAAATATACATATTTTAAGATCTTCCTCTCTGTATCTTTCTGTCTCTGTCTCAATGTCTCTCTGTTTCTGTCTTTGTCTTTCTCTGTTTGTCTCTCTCTCTCTCTGTCTCTCTCTCCTGCCTTTCTCTCTCTCTTTTGCCTTTGTAGCTCCCTGCCAGTACAGCTGTCCCATACAGCCTTTGATGCTACTCTGTTATCTTTGGCACCAGCTCACAGGCTCCGCAGGGCTGAAGCTGGAACTCTTCCATCTCATCTCCTTTCTTTTGTCCTGCAATATGGTTATCCTGGAGGCCACTCAGCTGCCTCCCAACATTAGAGTTAGGTGACAAGAACAGGGAATAGACTCTCTGAAGCTAGAGGTAAGCGGCTGAACATCTTATAATAGTGAACACCTTTGTTGTTGCTAAAACTCTTTTCTAAACACATGCATGGGGTATTTTGAAATGAATTTTGGCATCTCTCATTTTTCCCTCAGCAAGCTGTGGTATCTGGCAGTGTTTTTCAAGAAAGTACTTACCTTTGATAATCAGACTGAGTTGAAATTATCCTGATTTCATTGTACTACAGACTTGAAGCAACATATTTTCCAAATTCCATGGGGTGAGCCAAATATTTTCAACTGCACAATAATGTTGAGCTGAATAAAAGGTTATGAAAAACCTGAAATAATGCATTTCTTTGGAATAATTCAACACTGCTTTAAGCCTACTTTCTTCTTTTAAGAACTCATTTCCTATTTAGAGCTAAATGAAAGTATATATTATCTCTGAACCTTGGACAAATTCTTTGGGGAAAAAAAAAAAGAATTGACTCTGATTTTAGGGTAGACAGTGCAGATCAAAGACCATGGATTCATTTTGGCCGATAACATCCTAACACTGATTCAGAATTGGTTAAGATGATTTGGAGGCATAGAAGTGTTAAAATTATATACTGCTTCAGTTCTACATTATAGTAAGAAGTTCCTGTGGAGAAAAATCTAATTTTAAGCATACCATGATTTTCCTGCATAAACATGAGGAGTTAGGAGCTCAAAGCTTTTCTTTAGAACACTGCTTGTACAAAAGATCTTTATCTGGTTCATTCTTGTTTGGTGTTATTCTGTGCGGAAAACCATGTGCTACACTTAGTCCATTTGCTTATCCCACTATGCAGCCACCTGCAGACTGATTATTTCCTTTTAAAGCAGGAGTAAAATCTCCACTTCCCTCCCTCCTGTAGGCAGCCTCAGCATAAAAGCCACTCATACAATGATGTTTTGTGAGAACAGATCCCATTAACAACAACAACAACTTAGATTTATATAGTGCTTTATCACACATGCAGCCAGGCAACTCCAGGCATTTTTCTAAAATGGAAAGCATTTCCTTTTAGGCCTCTAAAAAAATCCTTATTAAACAACAACAACACCAAAGACTAACTTGAAGATGTAAATGAATAGGAGGAAAAGTGTGTTTTTATTCTAAATTAAGGTAAGGTAGACTTCAAATCAAATTGTGCATTGCATTGTTTTGTAAACAGGTAACACTGATACTCAGTAACCTAATGAGAAAGACACTATTGTTTGAAAGACAGCTTAATCCAAGTACTTTGCTAAGTGGAGCATTTATTTATCAAGATTTAGAGGAAGTTTTATTTATTGCTGTAATGTGCTATGTAATACTTTTTTCTATATCGAGTTTAAGGTAGGGTGCTTATTTTTCCACCTATGTGATTAAGAATGTGGCCAGTTGATAATTAGCCATAAAATCACTTTAAAGAGTTTTCTTTTGTAATGGTAACTGGGGCTGTGGCTGTGGGTGGCAAAATCAATCCATGAATATTAAAGCCTTTAAGTCGCAAAGTACATCCCTCAACTTATAATGTTAGAAAATAGTAAATGTTTTCGTAGTACAAATATAACAATATTATAATACTTATTATCTATTTATGTTTTGTTTCTAACTGATAAATAGTATCATAGTTTGGATTACACCTCAATATCCATCGTTAACTGTATTTTTATGAAAAACGTTTTCTGTAGCAGTATTGTCTATGGTAAAAAAGAATGGTGTTTGAAGTCAGACATACCTGGTTTGAATGTTTGGCTTAGTTACTTCTGAATTGTCTGACCAAAAATTGAGTGATTATTTTTTTCAGGCTTAGCTTCTTATCTTCTAAACTATAAGTAAAAATATTGCAAGATATTATCGAGATACTATCCATGAAAAAAATTGGCATAATGTTTTTGATTAGGATTGAAGGTAAAATGATGTCCCAAGATTAACGGAGGGAAGAAGAGACAGCTATCTCAAAATATTGCCTTCAAAATACCAAATGCTCAGATATTTGAAAGAGCTCAGAGGAGTACAGAGAATAATCATTTCAATTTGAGGAGCAATCCCTGAAGGTACAATACAAAATTTTACTTTATGAAAAATGAAAAAAATGGGTATAAAAGCTGAAAGCAGGAGCTAGACCTCGTTTAGTTCAGAGATTTAGGGAAAGAAGGGCTGGATGAGATCTATAAAAGTAGCTATGTTTTCAGGAAGCACTCTGCCCTTAAAACCAAAGAGACATTCAGTGCTGGTGGTCAAATTGAATAAATATTACATAAAGAGACATAAAATAGGAAAGAACTCATCTACACAACTCTTGGTCATCCAAAAAAAAAGTTTTAACTTCCTGAATTATGGCCCTGAGCACTACACAGCAAATAGCTGGGGGAAGAAAAACTTCGTGTATTCAAAGATGGTTAATCAAAAAGTAATCAGTACAAGATGTATACTGCAAAACAATATCAATGACTGTGGAAAAGAAAAAAAACAACCCGCAAAGGAGAAAAAAAGAAAGCTGTTTCCATAGAGGTGATGCAATTGTGGTCCAACATTTTGCCAAAAATTAAGAAAAAAAGAAACACATTAAATGTCCTTATTAATAGGAAAATAAAGCAGTTGTAAGGAGCTCTTAAAGGTAGAGTAAGGTGAGAGGAGAAAATGAAGCAAGAGTTAGCAAGCATAAGGAAGAAGGAGGAATAAAATTCACCCACCCTGCATTATATTAATGAAAAATGAAATGGATAGAGCTAAAAAAAAAAAGTATAGCAAAGCAAGATGAGAGAAGCAAGCAAAATAAAATTGAAAATAATGGAAAAATCAAAGGATTAGTCAGTAAAATGACATATGCACCATAATTTGCAGCAGTTTTTACATTAGCTTAAGACTAGAGATAGCCTAAAAGTCTATGTTGAAATTATTATTGTCATACTGATTGAAAGAAATATTAAGAAACAGAAAATAAAAAGTTTGAAAAGATAGCTGCATGCTTACATGCAATATTCTATTGAATATGATGTTAAATGAGATTGCAAGACACTTAAGCATGTATTTATAATACAGTTGACTCTTGAACAACAAGGATTTGAATTGTGCAGGTCCACCTATGTAAGATTTTTTTTTTGAGATGGAGTCTCTCTCTGTCCCCCAGGCTGGAGTGCAATGGCGCAATCTCGGCTCACTGCAAGCTCCGCCTCTCAGTTTCATGCTATTCTCCTGCCTCAGCCTCCCGAGTAGCTGGGACTACAGGTGCCCGCCATATTTTTAGTAGAGACGGGTTTCACCGTGTTAGCCAGGATGGTCTCGCTCTCCTGACCTTGTGATCCGCCTGCCTCGGCCTCCCAAAGTGCTGGGATTACAGGCTTGAGCCGCTGTGCCCAGCCAATAATTTTTTTAAATAAATATTTTGGAAAAATTTTGGGCATTTGGGACAATTTTGAAAAATTCAAGAAATGAGCCATGTAACCTAGAATCATCAAAAAATTGAGAAAAAGGTATGTCATGAATCCATAAAATGTATGTAGATACCAGCCAATTTTATTATTTACTACCGTAAAATATACCCAAATCAATTTTTAAAAATTTATCAAAATGTTTGTGTACACTGACAGACTGTACATGGTGGCATTTGCAGTGAAAGGGACATTCAGTATTAAATAATAGCAGTAGGCAATTAATTGCAGTAAATACTGTGCTACTATAATAATTTTGTAGTCCCCTCTTCTTGCTATTGTGGTGAGCTCAAGTGTTGTGAGTGTCCACTTAAAACACCATGTGAAGGTAATCATCTCCCAGTGCACAGTTCTGCTCTTCAGTAAATTGTGTATGTTAGTAAAAAGTGACCTCTTGCAGTTCGGGCTTATTTTTCATCATGCTTTGTGCAGTACCATAAACCTGGAATAACACCATAGAACACATACAAAATGAAACTAGTGATGCTGGAGGTGTTACCAGGAAGAAGAAAAAATCATGACATTACAAGAAAAAATTTGAATGATTTGATCTGTGCTGTAGATTGAGGTCTATAGCTGGCTCAACTGAATAAATTTCTGCTGCCTGCCGTTTCAAGAGAAATGGGACCCAGACTAAGCATTGTTGTAAACAAAGAAAAGGAAATTCATGACTGTCACTGCAGCTATGCCAGCAGGTACAAAAACCTTGCACTTTTTGTGAAATAACTTTTAATTTTATATTGTATATGTAGCTTTTATAAGGGTACAGGATTGCTATAAGAAAGGCCTACCTATAGACTCTAATATTATTAGTGAAAAATGATGTCATTATATGACAACTTAAAGCAAAATGAAGGTGAAGTTTTTAAAGGTGGAGAATTTAAAGCCAGCAAAGGATGGTTTGATAGTTTTAGAAAGAAGTTTGGCTTAAAAAAATGTTAACATAACAGGAAAAGAAGCTTCTGTTCGTCAAGAACCAGCAGACAAGTTCCCAGACACAATTATGAAAATCATTGAGGAGAAAGGATATCTGCCTGAGCAAAATTTGAATGCAGACAAAAATGCCCTATTCTGGGGGAAAAAAACATGCAACAAAGGACATTTCTTAGTAAGGAATAGAAGTGAGCACTGGGATTTAAGGTACGAAGGGATAGGATGACTCTTACTGCTTTGTGCAAATGCAGTCAGGTTTATGATCAGGACTGCCCTTATCTATAAAGCTGCTAATTCTCTGAGACTTGAAAGGAAAAGATAAACACCAGCTGCCAGTCTCTGGCTGCATAACAAGAAGGCCTGGACAACGACAACTGTTTTTCTGAATTGGTTTTAATGATGCTTTGTCCCTGAAGTCAGGAAGTACACTGTCAGTAAGGGACTACCTTTTAAAGTTCTTTTGATACTGGACAATGCCCTTGGCCACCTAGAACCTCATGAGTGCAGCACCACAGGTGTTAAAGTGGTCTGCTTGCTCCCAAACATGACATCCTAATTCAACTTCTATATCATGGGATCATGAGGAAGTGAAAAGCTCCTTACACATGATAATCTATGGAAATAATGTCTCAACACTATGGAAGAGAACTTTGATAGAGAAAAAACCTCATGAACATTTGGAGGAATTACACCATTGAAGATTCCATTGTTGTTGGTGTGGAAGCTATCAAGCCTGTAACAATATATTCCTGCTGGAGAAAACTGTGTCTAGATGTTGTGCAAGGCTTCACAGGATTTACAAATAAATTGTGGATATGGCAAAAAGGTGGGTGCAGAGTGGTTGAATGAGTTCAAGACAGATTTTGAAGCAGTTCAGAGCTAATAGATACCACACCAGAGGAACAGACAGAAGACACAACTTGATGGAGATGAATGCTTCCAAGCCTGAGCCAGATGATAAGGAAGAAACGGTAGAAGAAGCAATACCAGAAAAGAAATTGACACAATACATTCAGGCAGAAGTGTTCTCATTATTCCAGACTGCTTTCGTCTTCTTTTATGACATGTACCCTTCCATGATATGGATATTGAAACTAAAGCAAATAGTGAAAGAGGGATTGGTACCATATAAAAACATTTCTAGATAAATAAAAAGAGAGAAATTACAGTATTTCCATAAAATTACACTGGCTGTGTCTACCTCTTCTGCTTCCCCTTTCATCTCTTCAACTTCTTCCACCTTTGAGACCCCTGAAACCAAACCCACCCCTTCTTTTTCTCCACCTCTTCCTTAACCTACTCAATGTCAAGATGATAAGGATGAAGACGTTTATAATGATCTACTTCCACTTAATGAATAGTAAGTCAATTTTCTCTTCCTTATGATTTTCTTAATAACATTTTCTTTTCTCTACCATACTTTATATTAAGAATACAGTATATAACACATATAATGTACAAAACGTGTTAATCAACTGTTTATGTTGTCAATAAGGCTTTTGGTCAACAGTAAGCTGCTAGTAGTTTTGAGCGAGTCAAAAGTTACATGCAGCTTTTCTACTTCACATGGAGTTGGCACCTCTAACTCCTGCATTGTCCAAGGGTTAACTGTATGACAATCTGTGGGGTGTGTGTGTGCTTGTGCCTTTGTAAGCATTTTCTTTTGTGAGCGTGTATAAGTAAAGTACAAGTAAAACTAATAACACTGAATGCCTCCAAGAAGAGAAATGGGTGGATGGAAAACAAGGATGGGAGTAAGATATGTAATAACTTTTAGGCTTTTTAAATATTATAGGAGACAAGTATATTAACTACTAAAAAGTGAACATAAACACAATAAAATATAGAAACGTATTTCAGTGCACCTAACTTCGGAAAATTTTAAAGTTATTTGCTCTGTGATTAAAAGACACTAAATGTAAATCCCATGACAGCAGGACCATTGCCCTACTTTTTTCTTTATTCACACAGGGAAGTTTGCCTAATGACTAATTGGGAGTTTACCTCAATTAACCACATGTATGGGAGGTCTGACTCTTTATATTATTGTACCACAACCAAGGCACTATCTTTTAATTGTACAGTCAATTTTATGTCTACTTCTAATGCCAATAATATTTACCACAGTATGAGCTAGGAATCCCTCCTGAATATAGGAGTGCAGACTTGGAAATACAAAACCATTTCATGAACCTGACAGTGGAAACATTTTTCTTGCTTTTCACCACTTTCTTTCTTCAATTATATCCCTTCACTTTTATATGCAGAATCTTTCATTAACGACTTATCCTCAAATGCAAAAGCATGCTGAAGTCACTCATATTCTAAAAATCACCCTTTCATCTAGACACTCACTCATTAATTTGAAAACTTTTAAAAAGAGAAATCTATACTTGCTATCTATACATTTTCCTTCCTTTTTCTATGAAATCAACTTCACTCTAACACCAACTCTGATATTGTTGCAAAAATTGCTGGTTCTAAAGATCAACTTGTTCTATTTTAACTCCTCTGCAACTTTTAATGTAGCTTGTCCACTCCTTCTGAAATCTCCTTTCTTTCTTTGGGTCTGCACTCCATGCTGAATTCTCCTTAAGATTCTGCCTAGACTATCTCAACATTTCGCCTGTTTTTTCTTTCTTCTTGCCTCTTAACTATTCACAGTTCCCAAATTCCGTATTTTCACCTTTCCTTTCCTAACTCTACAAATCTCTCTGAGTGAACTTTTCTACCCTATAGATTTTACTAATGTATGCATTAAGGTTACTTGTCACCTATAGACTTATATGTTATACAAACTCCCGGAGCGTTCTAGTGAAAATTCTCTCATATGATACTTACCTATCCAAATGTGCTTTTCTCCTATTTCATTACCATTCAAACTGATTAATCAAATTCTGACTGTTCTACCTCCCAAATGTCTTTTTAATCTATTTTTCCTCTCCTAACTGCCCAGCTGTTGCCTAAGTTCAGAATCTTTTAATCTTTTACCTAAACAGTGACCACATATAAATTGGAATATGTAGCTTTTAATCAACTCTAAATGGACTTCCCACTTTGTCATTTCTAGCTTTCCCACTATGCCTTTCATTTTCTAGCAAATATAGCTTTCATGTACACAATTTCGTTTTGTTACTTCATTTCATTAAAACTTTTATTATCTCTTCATGGCAGAAGGCTTAAGTTCAAGTAGCTGAAATATGTATACAAAACCTTCCATAATCTGATTCCAGATTATCCTACTTATATTTTTTGCTATTTCTTTTTAAGATCCTTCTTCTCACTGATGTTTTATATCTTTACTCAATATGCCACTTCCATTCCAGACTTCATGGCTTTGCACCAAAGAGCTTTTCCTCCAGCCATGTACTTCTCCCTTTTTTCCTGACCAATGAAATATCACTCAAACTTCCAAACTGAGCCCAATTACCATACCCTTTAAAGGCTATTTCTGACTTCTATAAGAATTGTTACGCTCATCTTTATTGTACATAATTTATTAGAATATCTATATATTTATAAAAATCAGATTATTTATTGCATTATAAAGTTATTTCTGATCCATGTTGTTTACTTCTCATACTGCAAAACAAATTCTTCCAGGAATCTGGTCTGTGTTTCAGTTATCTTACAGTCCCAATGGATAGCTTATTGCTAGACCCATAAATACCCTATATGATGTTTAGTTAATGAAAAAATTAAAAGATTTAAAAATATTAGAAAAATGCTTTATATTTTCTCAATAATTTTATGTATTATTTCAATTGATTTAATTAATAAGTGTGTGAAACTTTATCTCCATTTTACAAATGGGAATATCAAGGCATGCAAATGTTCAATTGTTTCATATTGTTCATACCAGTAGGCTAGGTTATGCAAATCAACACTCATGCTGAAAAATAAAATCTAAAAATAATGAATGAAAATTTTAATAAAACACTTCTAATTTTATAAAGGGTGACAAAACAGGAAACAATTGTTAGAGGCCAAGTAAAAGGAAAAATAAAACAGAGAGATAACAAACTTGTCAGTGATCTACGCTTAAGAGAAATTAGCACCTTTATATTGACAGTCCTTGAAGCTTTAATTATATATAAAAAAAAGAAACAACTCAAATCAGGTGGATCAAGGGGCAAGTTCTCACAGCAGACCATGCCCATAAAAATGAGATACCAAATGGCTGCTCTCACAGGATCAGAGTAAGTCAGAAGAAAAAAAGCCCGTGTGAAATTACTGTCTGGTGTTAATCTCCTGTGTATATTGCCTGATTCTAATCCAGTAGAGATCATCCAGGGAATTTCAGTCTTTGAATTTGTTTTAAGGTAATCTTGTTCAATCATGGGCCTGTTGCCCGAACTAGAAAAACACAATTCTCTCTTAAATATGTCCAATATAGTTCTGAAATAAATAATTTGTACTTGTAGTTATATTTGTATTAGTAGCTATATATAGCTACTAAAGTATAATATCCAGCACATAGTCAAAGATAGCTGTAAGGAAAAGAAAACTGAACTACAAGATTAAGACCTAACAAAATTGGCTGGACATGGTGGCTCATGCCTGTAATCCTAGCACTTTGGGAGGCCGAGGTGGGTGGATCACCTGAGGTCAGGAGTTCGAGACCAGCCTGACCAACATGGAGAAACCTCGTCTCTACTAAAAATACAAAATTAGCCAGGTGTTGTGGTGCATGGCTGCAATGCCAGCTATTTAGGAGGCTGAGGGAGGAGAATCACTTGAACTGGGGCAGTGGAGGTTGCAATTAGCCGAGGTCGCACCATTGCACTCCAGCCAGGGAAACAAGAGTGAAAACTCCATCTAAACAAAACAAAATAAAACAACAACAACAAAAATAAACAAAATCAACAAACTGTACAAATAGACCTGTAAGTGTTTTATTATTGACTAGAGACATGAAAACAACTATCTTTGCTGTGTTTAAAGGGACAAGAGATAGTCTTGAAGGTAGTAGCACTATTGAAAAATGAAATAAAACTTTTTGGAATTAAAAAATAAATAAAATTAAAACTTGTTGAATGTTTCAAGCATGAATATGTGGTATACTAGATTTGCTTCCCCAGGGGGAGAGAGAGAAAGAGAGAGGAAGAAAGAAAAAAAAAATGAGGAAAGAAAAGAAAGAGACAATATATTTTTATGGGCTAAATTGTTGTGTCCTCTTAAAATTTAAATTCCTAACAGACAATGTAATAATATTAGGAGGTGGGGCCTTTGGGAGGTATATCGATGATGAGAGTGGAGCCCTCCTGAATGGAACTAATGCCCTTATCAAAAGAACTTCAGAGACCTCTCTTGCTCTTTTTCTGCAAGTTGAGGATACAAAGAAAGGACAGCAATCTGCAACCTGGAAAAGGGCCCTCACCAGAACTTGACCATACTGGCACACATTCTAGCCTCCAGAACTGTAAGAAATATAAAATTCTGTAGTTTCTAAGCCACTCAGTCTACGGTACTTTGTTATAGTAGCCGGAACTAAGACAGTATTTGCCACACTGGTTTCGGAAATTAGGCAAGAGCAACACAAATTTCCAGTTGCTGACAGAAGGAAAACAACTGAAGTGAACCCTAAAATTTCCCTGGTTTACTGACTTGAGTAATTTTCAGACACCAGGGAGAAGAACGTAAGTTCTGCACTGAAGAATCACTGAATTAAGGAGTCTCAGATAACAGCTCAAAGAAACAGAAGAAAGCTTGAATTTGCAAGGCAGAGTAAAGAAGAAAAAATTATTCTGTAAAGTGATTCCAGAAATTAGCATCTTTGACCGAGCAGCTTAATTGAATATCTTTGGCTGAGGATCTCTCATAAGCCTTTAATAAAGGTGTCAAATGAGGCTGCAGTCATTTTAAGGTTCTCCTTGGGGAGGATATACTTCCAACATCACTCATATAGTTGTTAGTAGGCTTCAGGTTCTCCCTAGATGTTGCTTGGATATATCAGTTCTGCACCTTGTAGACCTCTCCAAAGAAAAGCTCACAAAATTAAAGTATGCTTTCTCTACAGTGAGGGTCAAGAGAGAGAGAGACAGGAGGGACAGAGATGGACACAGGCATAGATACACACACACACACGTCATGGTACTGTTGCAAACTAAGCTTGGATATGATATCCTGTCATTTTTGTTATATTATATTCCCCAGAGCCAGTCAACATTTAAGAAGAGAAGATCACACACAAGCAGTCTTCTATATAAGGAAGTAGGGATCATTGGGAGTCTTTTTATAAGCTGTGTACCATGAGATGTCCCCTGGTTTTTCAGTGATTCATTCCCTCCCACATGTAAATATATTCTGCCTTTCCCAAGTTCCCCAAAGTATCATCCATTATAGCATCAGCTCAGTGCCTGGACTCTCATCATCTAAATCAAATTCATGTGTAGATGAAACTCACTTAGTGTAGTTCTTTAAGTACAGCTCCCCACATATGTTCCTTATAATCTTTAGACCTATGAAATTAAAGAGATGGGTTAAGTGTTACCCACACATCTAACTTTCAGTGGCGGGACAGGCATATGAAAACCACTGTAGAGATTTCTATTTAAAAGGAGGAAAAATGACAGCCACAAAGAATCACGTGGATTATACTTAAATCTATGGAAAACATTCCTAGAAAAGGAAAACAATAGAATATTTGCTTCATCCTAAGTTTTTAAATTTTGTGAAATTTTCAACACAGGAAGAATTTCATTATTTTTCCTCACTATGCCTAACACATACTTTCTAGAAACTCAAGTCACTGAAAACTGCCATGTTTATTTATTGTTTTAGAGTAATTTGAGAACAAATTAATTATTATTAGAAGATATTCAAGAGAGAATATTTAAATCCGTAAGTACTGACATAAATAAATAATGTTCTAAATCAATTTCTACCTAAGGCTGTAGGTATACCACAAAGTGATGGCATCCACGGCCGTATGGATTGGCTGCTGAGAAGACACCACTGCAGTGGGGGAGGCACAACCTGGGCTGTGCACTCTGCGGAGCCCACAGGAGCTGGAAACAGGTGGGAACCCCACCCCCTTCCAAGTTGGTGGGGAGGAGCCCCGCCCTTCTGGGCACAGTTGCAGCTGCCCAGCTGCAGCTGTGAACCAAGGCATCTCTGTACTCTCCGGGTCTGGGGAAGAGCCCCCCACCCCTACCCCTGCAGGCTCAGAAGTGCCTGCTCCCCGGCCTGGACTCTCCCAACTCCTGGTGCCTGCTCCAATTTCAGAGCAAAGTTGAGGCCGAGCCTGAGTGCTGTCCCAACCCAGCTGGGTGTGCATGCGCTCGGGCTGGTGCTGACATGCCAGCCCCTTGTCACCTTGGTGCCCTCTGGACTTTGGGCACTGATGAGCATGGGAGGGGAGGCTGAGGGGAGTTGAGGCCAGCTTGGTACAGGCCTGCAGGTGCCCCTTGGCATGAACAGCCTGGGAACCCTGGATGACATGATGGATAGTGGCAGGAGGCAGACAGGCTTCTGGGTGGAAAGGGGTGGGTCCCCAGTGAAGCCCCACTTTCAAGCCATGGACGTCCTGAACCCCACCTTCAAGCCATAAACGGCCGGAAGCTTGGGGACAGTCTGTCAGTACTGGGTGGAGTCCGCAACTTACGATGCTTTTTCTGGAACTGCCTCATGGCTGCCCATGGACCAATCAGAATGCACTTCTTCCGTTATGAAGCCTGTAAAAACTCTGGACTCACCCAGACTCACAGACAGACGTGGGGATGACCAGCTGTGGGAAAGGAGTTACCCAATTCGGGTCTCCTGGACGACTCAGGATGACCTGCCTATGGAAAGTAGCTACCCACTTAGGTCTCTTCTCCACTAAGAGCCAGACGCTCGTTGGGACGACCTGCCTGTGGAAAGGAGCTACCAGCTTTAGGTCTCCTGAGAGCTGTTCTGTCATTCAATGAAGCTCCTCTCTGCCTTGCTCACCCTCCAGTTGTTCACATACCTCATTCTTCCTGGGTGCAAGACAAGAACTTGGGACCTGCCAAATGGCGGGACTGAAAGAGCTGTAACACAAACAGGGCTGAAACCCCATCCCCGCTTGCCACGTTGCCGGCGACAAGAAGGAGGGAAGAGCTGCAGCCCTTCAGGAAGCCGAGACCTAGGGGCTCCCTGAGCTGGGGCTGTGACACTCTTTTTTCGGGCTCTGCAGTTCCTGGCATCTCCAAGCTTCTGGGTACCACCATGTTTCTCTCCTCCAGACGTAGGTGTCCACGGTGGAAATCACCTGCGGTACATCTGGTCCAGCTACAGCCTCGCATGGAGCCGGCACCTGAGCCAGCACCTGTGCTGGTGCCTAGAGCTGCCTGCCCCGCCGCAGTAGCCACTGGCTATGCGCAGTGGCCGGACCCCATGTTCACTCGCCTACATACCCCTTGCCATTCCGCACCTGTCTCGCCCTTGGCAGGTGTGGGGTTCAGCATGGTAGTGCGAGCCGAGTGCAGCCTGCCAGGCGTGTAGGTGGAACAGGCCCAGCAGGCCTGAGCAAAACCCGCTCGCCACAGAGGTTTCTGGCTGGCAAAGTGACACCCCAAGGATCCTGTGACAAAAACATTTCCTTAGAATTGTTAGACCTCTCAAATGACATGATATAATTTAGCATTTAATGGAATACATCTTTTGTTGTATTGTCATTGTTTCTTGATATATTTTATCTCCTGTCAAATTTTATGTTTTTGAGAATGAAGTACACATTTTTGCTACTTCCCCCGCCCCTGAAACTCTGACAAAGTCCGTATGACTCAGTAATGAAAAAATATTAGGCACCCAACAACCATTTCCTATGTTATTACTTGAGGCTGTTTATAATCAATTTGTAATGTGGTGAAAATGGCCCAGAAGGTTAAAAAAATGTTGAAAAACTTGGTGAGGGAGGTCAAAGCTCTGAGTGAAAGCAGAGGGAGTTTATCCTGGAACCTGATGAAAAGACCAGGAAAGAGAATGGAGCGTTTGCTGTCTCTGGGCCAAGCCTTAGCAGCCAGCTCTATTGGAAAGCCTGAATCAGCAGCCTCATGGACCTAAATTAAACATTTTGCTAATATATAATTCTCTTCATTTTATCTAATTTTACTCGGGTATTAAGTAAATCAGATGTGGGCAAACCTTTTGCCAAATTAGTGAGTAGCTTTTGAATAACAAGAAAAATGATCATTTGCAATATTCATTGAATCTTGTTAACATGAATTATAGTGAATGAAGACCTGCAGCAAGATTTATTAAAAATTCAAACTTTTAACAATTGCAGCAAGGCTTTGGCTATTGATACAGGAGAAGCAATACAAAAAGAACACTTTTAACTTTGCAAATTAACTTGGTTAATCACTTCACAAGGGAACAGAAAAAAGATCCAAATGTTTTCTTCCACTTAATAAAAGATTTGCAAAATAATTGAGCCAGTACCATGGAGCATTTTTTTTTCTTTTTTGGCATATGGAATTTCCACTTAAAAACCTAGCAATTTAGAAATGCTCACAATTGGAAAGTTATCGATTTTTTTCAAAAATTGGTGAGGGAACCAAGATTATCATTATTGCTTTGAATGTTTGAGAAGTATTAAGCAAAGGCATGCATATATATGTACATACACACACACACACACACACACACACACACGCATATTTATATATTTCTAAGGTCAAAAAGTCAATTTTAGCCTTGTAGGTATGTGGGTATGTGGTCACTGCAGGCATTACAGATTATTGTATTTCATATTGTGCTCAATTGCATTTGCAGCTTCCCAGTCTGGTAAACAACTAATTCTCCCGACACTGTTCGCAGTGAGTTGAAGCCACTGCTCTTGCGTATTCAGCATCTCTTTTAATTTGTAAGCAGTTCTATAAATCTTTCTTGGCTTCTAGGGACATAAAGACTCCTATGATGAAGTGGCCTTCATGGTGGCTTAACAAGCTGAAGGCTAGCTTTTTCCTTCCATGCATCCTAGGGACTACTGTCTTATTCCTGGCAAAGTAGATCAGATTTTGAATTCTAGCCAGGGTAATTAGCACACTTTAGAATCTCAATACACAAAGCAGAATTGTCAGCATTAGCAAAGATGTCTTGAGAGTGTTTTCTGAGTGGTAGAAAAAAGGAATGTCCAGCTGCTGCGAGTCTTTGGCACTCTAATGAAAGTGACCCACTACATGCATTTGCACCTTAGGAAGGGTTGTGTATATCAACACACTAAACTGTGAGGCAGTGTCTTCATTACCTGTTTTCAAATGTATTCTAAAAAATAGAAACAAAGCAAGTGATGGGGGTGTCCCTAATATTCCCTAGAAAGCAAATTCTCACTGAGAAAGTTACGCTCCCTAGAATAGAAATATCACCAAAAAAATAAGTTTAAATTTCTAATAAAAGCAATTTTCCTGGAAATCAATCAGTTTAACATATTATGAAAATGCAAAATTGCAAACTATCCTAAAATAGGTCTAGTGGTGGAGCTAATATGGCTGGATTTTAGACATATTCATTATCAGTTTGTCATAAAGGTGGCAGTGTCTAGGTTTTTTGCAGCAGTATTTTGGAAGCTTGACAGTGGTGATGAAATATGTTGGAATTTTTTAGGGAGCTTCAAGACCTGTAACTAATATTCCAAGCTTTAAGTTTCATATTAGAAGAAATTCTCTGGGAAATAAAATCAAATATTTCACTGGATGCACCATGCCTTTTTCTTAGCCACTCAGGAGGCTGAGCAGAAGAAATGATTTGAGCCCAGGACTTTGAGGCTATAGTACACCATGACTGTGCAAACCAAGTGAACAGCCACTTCTCACTCTAGCCTGGGCAACATAGCAAGACCCTGTCTCTTAAAAAAAATCACATGCTGTCTTCTACCAAGGTGTCCTCTGAGACAGATAAATTCAAGTTGTATATGTGATACTTTTTATTTTAATAGACTTGCTTTTTTAGAGCCACTTTAGGTTCACAGTAAAATTGAGCAGAAAGTACATAAACATCCCATGTATTCCCTATTCCCACATGTAGGTAGCCTTCCCAGTACCAACATCGTGCACCAGAGTGATACATTTGTACAATTGATGAACCTACATTGACACATCATTATCATCCAAAGTCCATAGTTTATGGTGGGATTCGCACTTGATGTTGTGCAGTGTATGGGCTTTGATAAGTGTATAACAAGTACCTACATTATGGTGTCATGTAAAGTAGCTTCACTGCCCTTGAAATCCTCTGTGCTCTTCGTTCATCCCTCCCTTCCCCCAACTATTGGCATCCCCTGATCGTTTTACTGTCTCTAGATTTTTTATTTTCAAGAATGTCATATATTTGGAATCATAGAGCATGCTGCCTTTTCAGATTGGCTTCTTTCACTTAGTTATATGCATATGAGTTTCATGTCTTTTCATGGATCCATAGTATTTTTTTAGCACTGAAGAATATTACATAATATGAAACAACACTTTCATATTGATTTTATTAAATATGGCAATATGTAACATACCACATATTATGCATATTATACATGTTTAAGTGTGTACACTGTATGTATGTAGGTATCTGTGTATGTATATGTGTGTATGTATGTGTGTTTGTGTGCGTGCCACGACTTTAAGTCATAACATTCTTATTTGGATAATTAGCCATACAAAATAAGACAGAAGATTAATTTTTTGTCCCATCAATAAAAAGTACCTGGTTAAGTGCACATTTAAGAGAGAGAAACCTGTAATTCTATGGTATATTCGGCAATAGGTAACATACAGTGGAAGTGTCTAACAAAGCAATCTCGATAGCTGTCTGTCATTAGTTATAAATCATTTTCTTGACACACTGGCATTTTGCATAGCTTATTCTCTTTCAAGAAAGTGCTTGATAGATGCTCCAAATTATTATTTTGGGTGGAGAAACAGGACAAATCCTCTTGGTATATTTTTGGTTATTACTATCAATTTCTCATTAACCTCTTGGCTAAGTAGTGGGAGTTACTGATCCATGTAGTCAAGATGAGAAAAATGTCAGTCTATCAAATTAAAAATATACATAAAAAATTAATTTGCAATGAAGGCCAGAGGAAGTCACACATTTTTAAATTCTTCAGACTCTTTGAAATGGTGTTTCCTTCCCATTTTGCTCTTTTATAAGCAGACAGAAGACTAAAATCACATGTTAAGTTTAAGGCAAAATAATTATTTGGCCATTCTTTTAAGTATGACTCTAAATGAAAATTAAACCCTTATTATGAGACCAAACAAAGAATTGTTGAAGGATAAAGGTAATAAACTCAAGGACTGGTTTATTTCTCTAGCTTAAATTCCACTGACTGCTTTTCATTAAAATAGACAGGGATGGTGCATTTCTGTGTGCATGTGTGTGCATGCACACATAGACACACACAGACACACACACCTAAATATATCTCTATCTTACATCATTGATCACCATACAATTTACATATTGTAAAATCACTGATTCTTTGGTTCTTAACTTACTGATCACCAATGTACTTATTGTTGGCTTTTAATTTTTTTTATTCTTCAGAAGTATTATATATCTGATAAAAAGTTAGACAACACTAACAAGCAAAACAAAAATAAAATGTCAATAAACTTCAAAGGTATTCACTATTAAAAGGTTGGTGAATTTACAGAAGTAACATACAGTTGTAGTTTACAGTCATAGAAATCCAAATTTAAAACCTGGCTCAACAACTTATAAACTCTATGACTTATGGTCAATTTATTTACCAAGCTAAGGCTCACTTTCATTATCTGAATAATAAAATGACAACTAGCAGTGTTTTCTGTGAAGACAAAAATAAGAAAACATAGCTATTGCTATTATCATTAGCTTTTGCTATTATTATTTGTTATAGATGTAACAAATGTATTTGTACCTATATATTTCCTTTATTGAAAATATCATACATTTATTTACAGATATTGGACATTTGTCATTTTTAATTAACTGTATAGTTTGAAAAGTTTTCATGCCAAATGAAAAGATTTAGTGCTACATTTTAAACGATTTTTTAAATAAGTGTTCATTGAATAAGTATTCTACTATTTAGTTAGCCAGTGTATTATTTGGGACATTTAAGTTACTTCTAATATTCATTTTGTTAAGTGATACTCTCAGAAACATACAGCCAAACTTTTTAAAAATTTTAATTATCTCCATGGAATTATTATATTTTGAAAAAGTGATTTCTATAAGCTTGATAGATACTTCAGAATACCATCTAGAAACATCATACCCGTTTATACCAACACTCCAGCTGTGTATGAAAATGCCCAATGATTCTATCATAGCTGTAAGGATGATTAAGATATTTAAAAGCTGATCTAGCTAGGTGGTAATATGGATGCATATAAAGAGCTTCTCCAGTTTCTCAAGAAAGTCAGTGTCATTTGATAATCTAGAATTTACAAATATGGGTTTAATATAATCTTTTAATTGTGTGTGTGTTAAAGGTTTCTGATTTTCAGTTTTAATTTATTTTGCATTCTATTTAATATCCTATGTATTTTGTTTGCTTTGTTCTGTTTCTTGTGGCTTTCCTTTTATTTCAATACCTTGTATATTGGTGATTCTCTTAATGTTAAAATATTAATTTTTATTTGTATAAAAATTATTTTTAAACATTTTTATTGGTTTTTATTGGTGATTCTCTAAATGCTAAAATATTAATTATTGTTTTATGCTTCTTTTCAGAAACACTACTTGCTGCTGCTAGGTCAGAAACAGAAAACTGGTAAGATTGTATGCCCAAACCAAATTCACCTCTGAGTGGAATTGGTTCTTAGCCTCCATTTTCATAAGAAGACTGTATCTGATTTTGTGAAGTCCACAGTGGAGGCTCAGCAGGTTAGGTCAGGATGCTGGGCTGATTAGAGTCAGATGTATCATGTCATACATTTGTTCTTTGGATACATCAGAATAAAGAGAATGTGCATGAATATTTGAATTATAGCTAGAAAAATAACAAGGCATTTTATGGGCTATATATTTATTAAAACAACATGTATGTGGGAGAAAATGTGGTAGTAATTTCACTACTACTGACAAATGCTGAAAGTGACAAATATGGTAAAGGAAAAGAAGAAGTAAATCAATTATTGGGAATAAAAATAGCATATTCGTAGGCATTTAGAGACCCTAATGAATTCATGTACATTGCCACTGTTGTTTTGATAGCCTTTTTTTAATAGAATATATCATTATTTGGTCAACATACACCTGGGATGTTTTACACATCATTTCTTCTTTGAGTATTATCTTATCTTTACTCTAGATATCTAATCTCTTCCTGTCTTCTCATAGATTACTATGGTCTAAATGTTTGTATGCTCCAAAAATTCATATTTTGGAATCCTAATCTCCAGTGTAACGATTTCAGGGGATAGGGCCTTTGGGGTGTAATTATGTCATGAGGGAGGAGCCCTCATGAATGGGATGAATGCCTTTATTAAAGGGACCCCAGTGAGATGCCTTGCCCCTTCCACCATGTGAGAACACAGCAAGTAGGCACCATCTATGAGAAAGCTGTTCCTCACTCAATGTACTAGTGTCTTGTTCTTGGACTTTCCAGCCTCCAAAACTTTGAGAAATACATTTATGGTCTTTATAAGTTACCCAGTTTACGGTATTTCATTATAGCAGACTAAGATATAGATTTTACACTGAAATGCACATTTTCTCTCTTTAATCTTAAATTTTCCATTCTCTAATCTCTCTTCTCTAATCATTCAAACATAATATACAAATTTCTACCATCTAAAAAAATAAGAGGCTGGAAGAGGTGGCTCATGCCTATAATCCCAGCACTTTGGGAGGTCAAGGCAGGAGGATTACTTGAGCCCACAAATTTGAGACCAGCCTGGACAATATAGGAATACCTCATCTCTACAAAAAATTAAAAAATAGCCAGGCATAATGGCACATGCCTGTAGTCCCAGCTACTCTGGAGGCAGAGGCAGGAGTATGGCTTGTGCCCAAGAATTTGAGTCTCCAGGAAGCCATAATTATGCCACTGCACTCCAGACAGGGTACAGCAAGAACTTGTCCAAAAAACAAGACAAAACAATACAAAACAAAAAAAAATGAAACAAACATATCTGAAAAGTTTCACTAAATTCCTGATGATATGCACTATCATTAACATTTTTGTCAACAAGGTCAACGAGACTCAGAGATGGTAAATGCACAAAGTCACAAGTGGCATCACTGCCATTGAAACCCTAGGCATGCAGAGACCATGTTCTTTCTAGTATGTAACATGGCACATTGTCTCTCTTAAATGCAGTACTGTCCTACTGATCATATAAATCATAACATAAGATGCCAAGGAGCTTGTTTTTCTAAGATAGTCCTGAAATTTGCCAAATATATTTATCTTTTCTTAAAGGGACTGTGTCAATATGGCACTACCTGGTTCAATGAGCCATATTTTTCTGTAGTTCAAGTACATTTCTTAACTAACTCCCCTTGTGAAAGATTAGTGGAGAATTGAGCCAGCTGCAAATACATTGTGCTTGATTTTTGTGAATTAGCATGAAAACTAAAATTCCTAGAAAATTGATGGTTGGTAGAATTTACATAATTTTGGTCATATTAAGAACTCCCAGTTATTGAAATATAATTTGCCCCTTTCTGCTATAATATCATGCTTTTTTTGTGAAATGAAGATAACAGCTGAGGCCTAATTTATTTAAATTCTATTATACAGTCAGTGAGCAATATGATAAGTATCTCTTCCATAAAAAAGATCTTTTGAACATGAGTCATCTATGCTAATGTAACTTATTAATGTATTCACTTTTTATAGACCACTCAAAATTTCTTCACACATTTTTTTCATAATAAATTAACTGTAGATTTTTTAGTCATTTGGATACATGCATTATTTCATTTTAGGCTTTGGTATATTCCTGTACACATAACATACAGACACTTCCAATTATGCATTCCTGACTTTCTGAAATCTCATCAAAATTCGCTTTTGTACCTGCGATATTATCAACATCAAGAGGCTATAAATTATCTATATACACGCTCATTCTTAGTATTTTTCCTCCATTTTGGTGGAAACATTGTTTCTTCCGCATAAACAAAATACTTCCACCAGTATTCCGCATCTCAACCCTTCCTCTATCTCAGGGACTTGGATCCATCAATTATTTTCTCTGACAACTGAATCCTTAAACTCTACCTGTCTATTTTTGTTTTCTCTTCAATATACAACCTATTTCCTCATTTGAAGTAATAAACACACCAAGTCTACTCTTATAGAAAATTTCAATTATACAATACACTATTATTAACTACAGTCCCCGTGCCGTACATTAGATCTCCAGAACTCATTCATTCAGCCTAACTGAAACTATGTGCCCTTTGACCAACAGCTTTCCATGTTCCCATGCCCTAGTTTCTGGAAGCCACCATTTTACTCTCTGTTTCTGAGTTCAACATTTTTAGATTTCACATAAAACTTACATCATGCAATGTTTGTCTTTCTGTGTCTGGCTTATTTTACTTAATATATAATTTTTAATTTATCAGCTATACTTCAGTGAAGTGCAAATAATTTAAAAATGAAGTGACAAATACAGAAAAATCTCTATGTCCACTTTATATATCTTTCTAGATATTACCCTATCTCTAGGCTTTTTTTCCATTGTCAGTTCTCCTATTTCCTTCTATATACCTCCCCTATCTTCTTCTATGCTTAATGGTCTAACCTCTTAAAATGCCATGCACAATTTACAATCTCTTCCTCTATTTTTTATATTTTCTGTCTACTTCTACTACCCATCTTCCACCTATAACACTCCATTGAAAATATGCTCCATAGATTCACCAATGACAATTTAGTTACTAAATATTTCATATTGCTTAATTGCTTTATTATTAAAAATGTCTCTTTTTCTTTCCTTTGTTCCACATTTTCTTCATTTCCCATTTCTGTTGCTTTCCTTTTGTGTCCTATATTGGCTCCCTTAACTTCTGCCTGCTTTTTCATTCACACTTCCCAAAGTCCTGTCCTTGGCCCTCTTCCTACTCCTCAGAGTCCCACTGAGGAAATTCTATGTGTTCCATAGTTTCAGCTACCACCTATGGGCTGTTAGCTACCAAATGGATTTCCAGGCCAAATATTCCTTCTGAATTGCAGACCCATAGACTTATCCCAATATTTCTATTGGACATCTTGATATACACATATATGATGTTAGATTTTTCTTCTCCCCTCCCCTCCCCTCCCCTCCCCTCCGCTCCCCTACCCTCTCCTCTCCTCTCCTCTCCTCTCCTCTCCTTTCTTTTCTTTTTTGAGACAGAGTCTCACTCTGTTGCCCAGGCTGGAGTGCAGTGGTGCGATCTTGGTTCACTGCACCTTCTGCCTCCGGGGTTCAAGAGATTCTTCTGCCTCAGCCTCCAGAGTAGCTGGAATTACAGGTGCATGCCATCAAGTCAGGCTAATTTTTGTATTTTTTAGTAGAGATGGGGTTTCACCATGTTGGTCAGGCTGGTTTGAACTCCTGACCTCAGGTGATCCACTCACCTCTGTTTCGCCAAGTACTGGGATTACAGGTGTGAGCCACCGCACTTGGCCCAAATGTTTTATATATACATATATATGTGTGTGTGTGTGTGTGTGTGTGTGTGTGTGTATATATATACACACATATATATGTGTGTGTGTATATATATATATATATATAAAACTCCTATATATCTCCCCCCGGATCTTTCTATTCTTTCTATGTTTCTATCTCTATAAATAAAATTAAAATCCATCCTGTAGCATAAACATGAATTTATAAATCATCCTTGCCACTTCTTTTTCCCTTACCAGTTTGACCATGAAATTTGATTAGATCGAATTCCTTAGTTTCACCTGAATCTGGCTCTTATTTCCATTCCCACTGTTAATTTCTTAAAGATTACATAATTTTATTTATTTTCTTATTTTATTTTTTGGCATCGAAAGACTCCTAAATAGCATCTGTTTTTCTAAATTTTGTACCACATCCTCTCCCCTCAATCCATTATTTATATTGTTTTCAGTATGATCTTTTTTCAAAGTAATTTTAGTGCATCATGCCAGTCTTCTACTTAAAATCTTTTAATACAATCCCCACCCCCAATCCCTTGGACAGCTAGCATTTAGGAAATAGTTTCCCTTTCTCAATGTGACTTTTTAATGATAACACTTCAGCTTATCTCTGACCTGAATTCTCATCTCATCTCCCTCATAATGTATTTTCAAGCCTTTTTAAGGACTTGCATTTTCTCCATGTACATTTTACTCTCTTATCACCGTGCCTTTGCAAATGTTACCCTCTCTGCTTTTATCAGCATCCTAAACTAAATTTTACCTGGCTAAATATATGTGTTCTTAGAAGAAGTCACTCAGGTATTATATCTCCTAATAAGTATTGTGTGAACCTCAAGTGTAGCTTTAGTTCTTCTCCTCCACACCTGCTGCCATTCTTTCATTATTCAATATTATTGGATATGCCTCTAATATGTATATTACTAAGTACAATAATACTTAGTAATGACATATTTTCCTGTCTGTTTCCTCCATAAGAATGGAAGTTACTTGAAGTAGAAACCAGTCTTATTTATGTCTTAGCTATACTTCTTGTCACAGTTAATACTGTTAATAATAATAAACAGCAATTACAAAACCGATATTTATAAAATTTTACTTGCAAAGCTGACTTTATTTACATACACTAATCAATTTTATCCTCACAACAACATTATAAGATAGATATTATTGTTATTCCAGTTAGGAGATAAGAAAACTGAGGTCAGAGATGTGAAGTAATGGATACACAGGTCAAAAATGTCGGAGCTTGTATTTCAAAAAAGGTAATAAGGTGTCTATGATATGCTTTTAACTACTATACTCTACTAGTTCTCTAAATACAGAATGACATTCTTAATAACAGAAGTGTGATATAAGTGACCAACACAGGGAATGCATTAGATTTGGAAATAAATTATAAACTGGCTTTAGGACGTATTGATATTAAAAGAAATAGTAATGATACTGCTAAAAGACAACTACCACTTTGGACAAGTTACTTAATCTCTACAAGTCTTAGTTTTATCATCTGTACATTGAGAATAATGATTGGTACCAATTATGTTGGGTTGTCACAAACATTTAAATAATGAATTAAAGTGCTTAGACAGACATATAATTGTGCCTTTAATAAATTTTAACTTCTTCATTATATCTTCACTGTCATTACTTGTGTTAGACAATATCCAGAGAATTACCAAAAGCTATTTCTAAGATCCTAGATTTGCTAATTCTAACCTTAATGCTACCTGACTGTCTGACACAAAGGCAAGCAAGCTTAACAAAATTTTATTATTCAGTGGACACGATTTATAAAGATGAAGTCTTCAAAAGATTCTAATATCTCAATTAAATTCATGAATACCCTATTTGGGGTACCTTTTGTTGCCATGTCAATTTTTTTAGTACAAACAGCAGCAGATTTTGCATAACTTTGGTTAAAAAATAAATAAATTAGAAGGATACTCGATTACTTCATAGAATGGAGTTCCAAATGACTAAGTCTCATGTAGGACAAATAACATGAGAAGTTTATAAGCAATTGTTTGAGAAGTAAAACTAGTGTGGAGGCTAAAGAAAGCCCCTATAAATGTTTCTTTAGAAAGACCTGGATTTGTTAGCCTTTTTCTCTGGCCTCTCAGCTTCCTTGGATTTTGGGTATGTTTGCATAGACCTGCTCACAGTGAATACAAGTAAAATCTTGTTTACCAGAGAAATGAGACATTCCCTTGCTTTCACGTTATTATCCCTGAAGATACCTGTATATTTTCCCAATTGTAGGCACTTTGCTAAAAAGAGAAGAGGCTTTAACTTAGAATTTATGTGGATTCATAGTCAATGTTTAATATCTGTCAGAATGGAGCACATTTGGTGAAATAATTTGGGGTAGGTAGTTTCTGGATAGATTACTCTGAATAGACCAAGACCTGAATATTATTATTTCCCATGTAAAAATTGCCACTGTTGGTGATAGTCTTATACATAGAGGATGACTTACTGTTAATTTCAGTTGTGGTTCTTCCTCTAAGGGCCTCGTGCTTGACTAATGCATATATCATCAAAATGGTCATGGGGCAGGAATATAGACTATGGTAGGCTTAAAAAAATGGCATGTTACTCCACACAGATGACCTGAGTTATCTTTCTGAATTCTTAATTTGCTAAGAATATTCCCCAAATTAGCATTATAGCTCAAATTAACCACTATAGAATATTCTAGCAAACTGATTACATGGGATCCTTTGCATCGTAGGTGAGGGGCAGTAATTTGTTCTAAATGAAATAGACATTTATTCTGCATCTAGATTTGCTTTTCTCTTCCTCATGTTGTTTGTCAATGCTACCATCTATGGGCATATCAAAGGCTTTATGTGATGAACTCCTCAAGATCATCTTAGTACAAGGAATGTGCTACAAAGTAAAATAAATAATGATTTTATTGCCTGTAGAAGTCCTCTTCCTGACTGAGGTTGTGAACAAGTTAAAAAGCATGTAAGCTAAAACAACACTTAATTACCATTAGAGGTCAAATTGAAGATATAACTTTAGGTTGACTAAACAAATGAGCTTGCTAATACTGAATTCTACCCAGTCCAGGACACACAGAATTAGAGCAGGTGGAATGATCTGTCCACATATGATGTAAGGCATGGAAGAGCAAAAGAGAACTGTGATTTCTATAGGTACATTGACTCTCCAGAAACACAGATTTTGGCTGCACATAGATGGATATTACTCAAAATTTACAAAACTTCTCAAATATATTTCACTCCCAAAGGCAGTGAAGAGAATCCTAGAGTTGCATTAATTGATGACCTTTCATAGGAAGAAGCATCAGAAGTGCAGAAGAATATTTTTTACTACCATTTGTTACTAATATATGAAACTTCATCTTCCATATCAAAACTATGTTGATCAAAATTTAATAGACTGCTCCAATTACTGTAGGGAGAAGTTATTCAGAGGGCTAGTGTGGAGCAGGGAGAAAAGTAATTTACAGATGGGGTGATGATGGCTTTGAGAAAGCTAGTGTAAGCAGACAGAGAGAGAAAAAAATGGTTCCATTTGGGATATATTTTAGAAATAGGATCAACAGAACTCAGTGATGTGGAAGAAAGATACCAAGAAGGACTTCTAATGTAGTAGTACTAGGAGGATGAAAGTGACTTTTATTAATAAAGTCTCAGGAGAGCACATTTGTGGTAGAATATTAAGAATTTGCCTTTGGTCATTATAATTTTAAGATATCTAAGACAACTTCAAGAAGACTCACATTCTGAAGCTCAGAAAAGAAATCATATGAGGGGTCATAGTTCATGGAAATGTGCATTATGGAAAAAGTATGAATGAAGTTCCAATTTTTTTGCATCACGATTAACTTGTAATAACTTGTCATAACATGTCTGAATAAGATCTAGTTTGAGGCACTCAAAAGCATAAGATATCAGTTTTAAAGGAGCCCCTATTAGAGCAACATGAATTCTGCTAAAATTGAAGCAAGACAAACATGAAATTTGTAGTGAAGCTTGGGTAGAAGAATGGTGAAATCACTGATGCTTTATGAAAAGTTTATGCAGAAAATGCCTTAAAGCAACCTGAAACAATACAAGTGGATAACTCATTTTAAGAAAGGACTAGACAATATTGAATATGAAGCCCACAGCAGCAGGCCATCCACATCAATTTACAAGGAAAAAATTCATCTTTTTCATGACCTCACTGAAGAGGAATGATGATTAATAGCACAAACAATAACCAACACCATAGACATCTCAGTTTGTTCAGCTTACACTGTTCTGGCTGAAAAAATAAAGTCAAGCAAACTTTCCACTTAATGGGTACCAAAATCATTACACCCAGTTCAGCTGCAGACAAGAGCAGGGCTTTCAATGGAAATTTTAAACATGGGGGATCAAGATCCTGAACCATTTCTCCAAAAATTTGTAACAGAAGATGAAACACGGATTTGCCAGGCAATCCTGAAGACAAAGCACAATCAAAGCAATGGCTATCAAGAGGTGGAAGTGGTCCAGTCAAAGCAAAAGCAAAGGTCATGTCAACAGTTTTTTGGGGGATGCTCATAGCATTTTGCTTTTTGTGTTTCTGGAGGACAAAAGAAAGATAACATCTACTTATTGTGAGACTGTTTTGAGAAAGTTAACTAACACTCCAAAAGAAAAGTGCCTGGAAAAGCTTTACCAGAGAGTCCTTCTTTACCACAACAATGCTCATACTCATTTCTCTCATCAAACAAGGACAATTTTGTTAATATTTTGATAGAAAATCACCAGGCATCCACCTTACTGTCCTGGTTTGGCCCTCACTGACTTCTTTTTGTTTCCTAATCTTAAAAAATCTTTAAAGAGTACTCAATTTTCTTCATTCAATAATATGAAAAGATTGCATTGACATGGTTAAATTCTCAGGAACCTTGGGTTTTTAAGGATGAACCGAATGGCTTGTATCATCACTTAGCTGTCTTAAGCCTGATGGAGCTTATGTTGAGAAAGTTTATATTATTTATTTACATTTTTTAATTCTATTTGCCAAGAACTTCTTGAAGTCTCCTCATACATTTGGGAGATGTGAGGATTGATATGGTTCTTAAATCTTGGAAATAGAATGGTTCCTTAAGTCAGAACATCCTGAGTGAGAGCAGAATTGGTCCTGGCACTGGTTCATGAGAACTGCTTCATTTATAATTTATGTTCTTGAGGTAATATTTATTTATTTCTGTTTTATATTTATTTTGTGAGTTTTGTCTTTCTATTTTTGTTTTTGAGACAAGGTCTCACGCTATCACTAGGCTGGAGTGCAGTGTTGTGATCATGGCTCACTGCAGCCTCGAACTCCTGGGCTCAAGCAATCCTCCCAGTTTGGCCTCAGGAACAGCTGGGACCACAGGCAGGTGCCAGCAAGCCCAGCTAATTTTTAAATTTTTTTGTAGAGACAGGGTCCCACTATGTTTCCCAGGTTAGCCTTCAACTCTTGAGCTCAAGTGATCCTCCCACCTCAGCCTCCCAAAGTGCTGGGATTATAGGTGTGAGCCACTGTACTTGGCCTATTTCATTTTAATATCAATTTATTTGAAACAAAAAAATAAAAGCTCTTATTTGAAAAATGTCAAACATTTATTTGGCCAATAAATATATTAGACTAAAACCCTTCAAGTCATCCTCTGGCCCTTTCCTTTCTATCACACACCATATTCAATCCATCATTCAATTCTGCCAAGTCTCCTGTCATCCTCATTTCAATGGCTTCACTGTCACCCTTGTCCAAACTACTATGACCTTTTCTCCAAGTAGAAATCAGAGAGAGTCTTTTAGAATAGAAGTAAAATCAAGTTACTCTTTTACTCAAAGTTCTCGAATGATCCCATCACACTTAGATAAAATCTAGATTCTTTTGGAAGCCTGAAAATTGGTGCTGCTCTTCCTGATTATGGCTCTAATTTCACCGCCTGTGACTTTCTTCATGGCTTGCTGCATTTCAGGCACACTGGCCTTACGAGTATTTCTCTAAGTCTGTTATTGCCTCTAGGCATTTATACTTGCAGTTACTTCTGTCCCTAAAGCTCATCCCTCACATATGCCCAAGGCTTACTCTTCATTCCTGTTTCTGCTCAAATAACAACTTCTTAGAGACCTTTTCCATCCACCCTATCTGTAACAGTGCTTGTTCTTCTCTCTCTACTATGTATACACTTACCAGGTTTTTATGTTTTCTATATTTCTTATTAACTAGTTCCATATTTACATGTTTATTTATCATCTCTTTCTCTCTTAGGAATATAAGCTTTGTGACATTAAGATTCTATTTTGATCACTCTTACTTTCAGTGCTAGTATGTGTCTAACACACAGTGGACATTCAAATATTTGTGCAGAAAAAACTATACGTATGTAAATGAATATATAGACTTTAATATTAAAGTCACTTATCTACTCAGTTAATAATTATTCATCATTTACCTACAATGTTTTCAAAATGAGTTATAAAACAGAAGATTTTCAACTTTCTTAAATCCAATGTGTGAATAACAACTCAAAACATTCTTATTGACAAATAATCTAGCGATTGCATTAATACTTCTCTCTAGTATTTCAGATGCTTGTCAAATCAACCTAGACAGATTTATTTTTAATTGTTAAGAGATGAACTTCTGGAAATATGTTTTCTATTTGTCACAGATGTGTCTACATGTAGTTAAACTTACAGTATTTACTATCTGTATTGGCCTGCACTTTCCTTTTGCACTAACAAGAATTTCTCCTTGACAGGGTTTTGCTCCATTGCATAATTCAGATGTTCATTAAAATACAGTGAGATTTTGCGGAATCCATTGAATACTACTTATGTTTTAATGAGCATTAATGAGCTTTGTGATTGTCCTGTGGAGCAAAACTCATATCTCATTAGGTGGATTCCCAAAATGCCTAAAGGTGAGCAGACATAGCTTTAGATATACAAGGTAATTTCATACTTAATTAGTTCCTTACTTGCCACACCACAGATACACATTCAGAACTATGGTTTGAAATGGCAAACTTGTTGTTTGCTGTGACAAGTCAATGAAATGGTAGAATTCATAGAAAGCCTTTGTAAGTATTTTAAGGCCATTCTCTATTATGTTAATAAATTGGCATGTTATGATTCAATTCACAGAAAATAGACAATAAGGAGAAAAAGTTAAATGATTCCAAACTTGAGTTGACATTGCTTGGTATTTTATACAGAATATGACGTTGTGAAATACTTACATTTATATGTTCAGATGTGGGTGGCAGGGAATTTACATATAGTATTTTCCTTCTAATAAAAACTCTGAAAGTTGGAACTGTTATTTTCACATTACGAATAAGAAAACTGATATATGAAGTGTTTAAGTTACTTGCTGTGTTAGTTTGCTAGGGCTGTAACAAAATACCACAGACTGTGTCTCATAAACAACAGAAATTTATTTTCTCAGTTCTAGAGGCTGGAAGTCCAAAATCAAGGTGACAGTAGGTTTCCTTGCTTTTGAGGTCCCTCTTCTTAGACTGCAGGTGGCTGCCTTTTCTCTATGTCCTCCTATGACCTTCTCTCAATGAGTGAACATCCCTGGTATATCCTCTTCTTCTTCTTCTTTTACGATAAGCTGTTGCTCTGTCTCCCAGGCTAGAGTGCAGTGGCATGATTCATGGCTTACTGTAGCCCTTACCTCCCGGGCTCAAACAATCCTCCCACCTCAGCTTCCCAAGTAGCTGGGACTACAGGCACATGCCACTATGCCTGGCTAATTTATTATTTTTGTAGAGATGAAGTCTCTCCATGTTGTCTAGGCTGGTCTCAAACTCCTGGGCTCAAGAAATCTTCCTCCCTCAGTCTCCTAAAGTGTTGGGATTACAGGCATTAGCCACAACCCCTGGCTTCTTCTTAGAAAGACACAAGTCCTATTGGATTAGGGTTCTATTCTGTGACCTCATTTACATTAAGTGACTCTTTGAAGGCCCTATCTCCAAATACAGTCACCCTCTATAAGACTAGCAGCTAAGGCTTCAACATACAAATTTTGAGGGAATGCAATTCAGTCTATAATACTTGTCAAAATTGTACTGGTAGTACATGGCAGATTTTGATTTGAACTCATCTCTCTCTGACTTCAAGGTCCAGGTTTCATTCTATATATTCTGTAGCATAAAATTGCATAGGATTTAGAGTAATGGATGTTATGCCATAAAAGACTGATATTGATATGTTTGAGGTATCAAAAAGTAGTTCATTGTGTCATTACCACAAATAAAAAACAATTTTGCTTTATCTAATGGTTTTTAAGTTTTCATTTACTTTGAATTTTTTCTTGTGTGTTATATTTTTAAAAACCTCAAACCAGAGCATACTGATAAATCCAAGTTGTTATACATAGATTATTTTTACTAAAGAAGATTAATCTTTCGTAATTATTGAAGATCATTGTTTTAGATTGGGTTATGTAATATGACTCCCAACACACATTTTCAAAGCTGATACTCTAGTTGCTATTATCTCTTGGAACAAATAAGAAGTAAAAAGTAGGAGTAAAATTCCTTTTATTTCAATGTTTAATGTAGCATGGCTGATAATATGGCAAACACATTTCTGTAGAAATGTGCTACTCTCTTGGGGTAGGCTAATGGTGCATCTGATCTGATAAAGTAGAAAGATAGCCTCTTGCACTTTGACCTGTAGATTCTGGCTGCATAGAGCCTGGATGTCATATTGTTGCACACACATGTGCTCTCACCTACTCACCAGATTAATAGTGAACATCAGTGAAATTTTTGGCAGAATTCAGAGAGTTATGAGTTTGAATAACAATTTTCCAATCAAATATGAGGTTATGCCTATGGAGTTTCTCTGAAAATTGAAAATGCCTTTTACGTTTTACTATTGCATAATAATTAAGATGGACATTTGGACTCAGACAGCTGTGAGTTTGAATACCTGTTCTGATGCTTACCACATTGTTTCCAGCTCAGCTACATAGCCTCCCTAAGCACTAGTCAATTCATATGAATAATGAGGAAAATATCTATTTGCCTAATAGGATATGATGATTAAATCATGGCTGGGTGTCGTGGCTCATGCCTGTAATCCCATCACTTTGTGAGACCGACGTGGGCAGATCAGGAGGTCAAGAGATCAAGACCATCTTGGCCAACATGGTGAAACCCTGTCTCTACTAAAAATACAAAAATTAGCTGGGCATGGTGGTGGGCGCCTATAGTCACAGTTACTTGGGAGGCTGAGGCAGGAGAATCGCTTGAACCTGGGAGGCGGAGGTTGCAGTGAGCTGAGATCACGCCACTGCACTCCAGCCTGAGCGACGGAGTGAGACACCATCTCAAAAAAAAAAAAAAAAAACCATATTGTGTTTTTATGTCACCCAATGTTGTATAAACATATTGAATTCCTGGCTTACTCAATGGTAAAGTAACTTAGCCTTTGTGACTATTTACAATTTAATTGTGTAGTGATTTATTTAAAGCTTATCTTTCCTTTTGATGTCAGTTCCATAGAATTGTAGAATATGTTGTATTTTTAAATCTTTGTATAGCTAATTCTTGATACATTGATATACAGAAGCCCCAATACATATCTATTGAACAAATGAATAAATTAATAAATTTAGTTTTATGATTTTAATGTTATGTTCAGTTATCTTTGTAAAATTCCAAATCAAATGACTTAGAAAAGGAACAAAAAGAAACTGGATGCATATTGAATACTGTAATCAGTATCACAGTATTCATTATATAAGCTAAAAATTTTGCTTCTCTTTAGGGTAGTCCCTATTCATTGCTGTATTCCCAGTTGCATCTGCCATAGAGTAGGTGACATAAAACTTTATTGAAATAATCCATTGGAACTGATTATGCATTTTTTGTACCAAACAAAAAAGATATTATTTTGAAAACTGATAAGCTAAAACATATAATATTTTGTTCAATTTATAAGTTCTTTTTGTACATGTTGATAGCTACATCTTTGTTATTTTTATAGGAAATATCTCAGATACAGCTTGGCTGAAGCAATAGAGAAAAAAATTCCTATGAAGTAGAGAGAGAGAAAAGAGAGGTGTTTTGTCAGTTGGTAATGTATATATGGTGTTTTGTTGTGTCATTTTCTAAGTTTCTGAATTCTGAGAACTTAGAAACTTATTTACAATAACCTGTTTTTCATCTTCAAGTGGATTTGTAAAAATGATGTAACAAAAAAAAGTCCAGTTTGTTATATTCCTCAATCATCACCAATATTTTATGCTCCCAAAGAAAATGGGAAAATGTCTTTTTCCATTACTAGATGTATATCCAGTGCCCACCATGACTAGGGAAAAAGAGAACTGGTTATATATGTATATGTATTTGGTGAATTGAAACAAATTATTCTGATGTGTGAAAATATCATTTTTTGTCTAAATATAAAATATTCCTATAATGGCAAAATTCCTGGGACAAATTTAGTCATTTTCCTGTACATAGATATTAATAGAAATTATATATTTATAAAAACAGATAAATTCCTCGGTAAGTTTAATTCAACTTTATAATATTAGATGTTAAATTATAGAACACATGAAAAAGCTTTTTCTATGAAATTAGATAATGTTAAGATGACTTGGGAATATTGTCATTTCAGAGTTTCTTTATACTTGATAGATTTCCTCAAATACGAAAGTAATATTTCTTTGCCACAAGTTACCCTTTCCCTTCAGAAAAAAATAGAAAACAAATATGTATCTACTTATTTCATATACATATATACTTATGTGCTACAAAAATGTCACTTACATGTACATACATCTCTATGTTTTAGGACTTTCTCAGTTCACCTAAGGATGGGGTCCTTGTCACATGGCCATGAAAGATTAGTCTCACAGACACTTTGAAGGGTGAGAAAAATGGAATTTATTGGGGGAAAAGGAAAAAAAAGGGAAACAGGAACTCTCAGCAAAGCAAGAGTCCTGCTAGTTGGTTTTCCCACCTCATAGCTTGAATCCCAGATACTACACTGGATCAGGAGAGGCCAGGCTCTCCCTCCCCAACCCTCCCCCGACAAAGGGTGCAAACTTTCATGGCTCCACCCCATTCTCCAAGTACACAGGCTGGTTGGACATTCTCCAGTGACCCCCTTATACTTGGCTGTCTCATCTACATGTAAACTTTATAATTAAACCTCTATAATTTACTCGAGATTATAATGTTTTCACCTCTGCACTGTGAGTACTATAAGACTAGAGATTACTACACTAATTATTCTTGTTCTTAAATAGTAAGATAATTACTGAAGCAATATTCTATTCAAAATGAAAATTGGATCCACCCCCAGCACACTTAAATTAGGTGTCTTTTTCTTTCATTTTGCAAAATGTTCTCCTTTTATGCTTTTCAAATGCATATAATAAAATTAGAAATAGAAGCTCCATTAACAGGAGAGTCCATGCTAGGTAAGAATGTCATCAATGTGGTTATTCTGCCTATGCTCCAATTCTAAATGTATTCCTGTACAAACGGTAGTTCTATTAGATACTGATTCTGCTGGTTTCACCTGGCCAAACAGACACAAATTAGCGGAGGACAATAAAAATAGCATCAGTTAAGTTGAAAGTCATTAACACTTATTCAAAATATTGGATGAAATTAAACCACAAAGGCAATTAATGTTTTGGTGAAAAAAATGTTTTTTTAAAAATTTAAGAGATTATTTTTCTGTACTAGGGGACAATTCAAACAATCCCAGGCTGAAATGAATACTACCTACTTAGGGCCCCATTGTATGCTGAATACATTTCAATAAAACACCTTTAACATTTTATTTCAACTCATTTTGCTTATGTCTCCATCTGTCCTTGAGGATAGCATTACATATTACTTTTTTGGTATCACTAGTTTCAGAAAAATCGTGGCACACAGAACCCATTCAACAAGTTTGTTGCATTAATAAATTAATCTGTGTTTTAAATGTAAGTTACTTGTTTCTGTCCCACACAAGTTAGCACATGATTATATGAGGCTTTTTAATTAATCAACATAATCAATATTGTCATCCAAAAAGATGAATCCCAAAATCTCAGTGGGGATTCTCAGTGAAGAATCCTACACTCATGCACACACATATGTATTATATGCTTAAGCTACCGTCTCATTGTATTGAACACCCCTCTGCCACGTCTTTCAGTAAAGCCATTTAAGGTATTTGGTCCCAAGGGAAGAGAGAGACAAAGAAGAGCCACAGGGGCTCCTAAACTGCCTTTAATTACTTCAGTTCATGTTTCATTGGGAAGTACCAATCATAGAATGTCAATCTCACTGCAAGGGAGGTTAGGAATTATAGAGCACTGAAGTAATATTCAGTGACCACACATTTTCTCTGGCACAGTCTTTTTCTATAATGGTTTCAGAAATGTCTTTGCAGAGAGATTACAAGCATCAAGGGCAAAATACAGCACCTCATTTTATATATTTCTTAGTATAAGAGAATAGTAAGAGATATGTGGTAGGTACTCAACTTGCTGATATTTTGAAATTTATTTTTTGGAAAGTGTTATTCATTTTCCAAACTGTAGTGGTCACTAGATAAATATCTACTTGTGTTTATCTTTCCTGAAAAAAATAAGCTGGGATATTAGAAGTTTCAAAATGGTTGATATTATAACAACTATGGTGTTTCTTGAGGAGAAGGGAGGGGTTGTTAAGATGTGGTTAAGATGTGTGCACATAATCATCTGAAGTGATTTTCCAAATGTAAGTGCTAGGGTTCTGAAAGTAATTCGTTTGAGGTGTGCCACAGGAGAATCTTTTCCTGAAGAAAAGTTCTAACTATTGCTCAAACAACTTTTGTCTAAGAATAACTAGTAAGCCTAGTACATTTTGCAGAATTAAACTGCTTCATAGTTTGGGAATTGCATTGACAGAACTACCAAGCTTTTGGAACACAGAAAATCATGGAAAGAAATACAACTCTCATCAACTTATTTATGTGAAAGGCTATTTTTGATATATTTTTTATGCTTCAGGTGAATTATAATTTTGCTGTCTCTATTTGGATATTTAACAATGAAACAACTGTATTACTGTGTTCACTCTTTCAGGACATTTCTGAGAAGCAACATTGATTTATTTTCCACATAATGTTTAGGATTATGTGCCAGAGAATATGAGCTGAGTTCATTCCTGGACATAGAACTTTAACATGTATGCCAGACTCTCTTTTGGTTAGTTATGAACATATTAAGTTGCAATGAATGTGATGAAGGAAATAATGAATGCCACCTTTAGATCTTGCTCACAAACCAACCAACCAGCAAACACACCCAGGCTTCTTGAGTCATGGATTTGGAGAGATTCTCACCAAAAATGCTTGCATTGTTCTCGTATGTGAATAAGAAGGTAACTTTTATGGTCTCATGTCCTTAAGACTTTGAATTATTTTGCTATCATTAATATTAGTTATTATCTTAACTAATTTATTATTTTTATATTATTTAGGTGATTATTAATAAATCTTATTAGTCTCAAACCGTGTCACTTAAAATCATATGTTTATTCCTTCAAATAGCTTTCTCAGAGGCTTTCTGGCATTAAATTTTATTAGGTTTCCATTTCTAAATTTTTCTTGGGAACATTCTAGTATCTGAGTGCGTGTTACCAAAATGACATTATATTTTTAGTTACAAATGCTATCTCAGTTTATATTTCTGGGGAACACATATATATTTATCCCCACACAATACACACGCACACGCATACACACACAAACACACATGTACACACATGCACACTTGCACAAAACTGATTCTGTTGTTCATCACATAATTAATTATAAAATGAATTGAAGATACTGTACTGCTTGTGCACGAGTCGATATGTAAGCACTTATATCAAACATCAATTCTTACACTTTTAAATGGAACATACATGTCAAATAAAATCCACATAAATCTTATGTTCCTAATGGTTGTGGCATAACTGAGATAGACTGTGGGTTATGCACATTTCTATAGCTGTAATTCCATCCATTTGCCTTCCTTTCAAGAAAGCATATAAGTCAGCCTGACAGACCAATGGCCTCTGAAATGTTCTAATCCAATAAATCACTCATTTTTACATTTTTAAGTATATTACTCAAAAGTTTAGTTATCTTAATAACCAATGATTAATAATCAATTACTTACAGCACTTTTTGCAATGAGTCTCATAAGAGGCCTGTTCCTGACTGAGCCTTGGTTCCAGTCATGGTTCTTCCCTCCACTAGCAAATATGGCCTATGGACCTCAGTTTTCTCAACTACAAAATATTAATAATTTCAGAGATAATCTACATAATTTACTTTTTGTAACGTCTGCCTCATAGTAACCATTTAGAAAGCATTAGCTGTTGTAACAGTCAGGGATCAGTAGCAGGTAATAAAAAGCAATAGAAATATTATAAGCAGGAGCATATTTAATACAAGAGATTAGGTGCTTACAAAATTTCATGAAGGATTGGGAGAGCATGCTCAAATCTTGCAGAGCCACAACTCAAACTAATACATCAAGGTTGCTACTCACACTATGCAGCCAGGAAGGTGTGGAGTCAGGAAGCCAATA
Organism: Homo sapiens; assembly: GCF_000001405.40. Classification (NCBI taxonomy): domain Eukaryota; kingdom Metazoa; phylum Chordata; class Mammalia; order Primates; family Hominidae; genus Homo; species Homo sapiens. The sequence continues at coordinate 72,673,480 of NC_000001.11, forward strand.
CTGCATCAGATAAGTCACAAGATCAAAGGACAGTTACAGCAATTGAAGGACCTGAAGACATTACTACCCTTCAGCTGTTATGAAATGAATCATTGGACATTCCAGAAAAACTCCAGGTCTCTACCAATCTTCTTTCAAACAGCACAAGCCAAAGTAACGAGGAGCAACCCCATCTAACTCCTCATTTCCAAATCTTATACAAGTGTTTTCCAAGTCACTCTTGGTTTCCATATCTTTCTTTACTAGAGAAGTCACTATTTCTTATCCTGAGTTAAAGCAAAGGAAATTAGGTTTGCAAAAAGACCAAATATATAGCAAAAGAGGACACCAGGTTAACCTAATAGAGACATAAGCCTGACAGGCACTCACATTTGAGAGGAAACTGAATTTGCATTTAGATTCCTAGATGTAAGGGTTTGAGAAATTTAGTGATTTGTTTTCCATCATCAGTAACCCAACAATATTTGTTGGAATACATGAGTGTGGAATCACAGCTATTGTAGTTATCATCAGTGTAGACACTGGTGCTCCATGCTGTTTTCTGAAGGCTGTATCACCCCCATCATGTGCAGTATTCTCATTAATAAACCACAGCCATGCCATGTAAGATAGCCTGCTAGCTCTTTGAGGATACAAGCGTACCGAACATACAGTATTTGCCCTTAAAGGATATATAATGATGTGATTTATAAAACAGATCTAAACAAAAATCTAAAACAAATTTTACCAAATTTTAAGCTAAATGTTTGCGTAAAAGACCATTATGCCTATCAATGGGCATCTTTTCAAAGAAAACTTGCTTAGATATTAGCCTGATTCCTCCAACAGCTCTGGTTACCTTAAGTAGGATTTTACTGCTTAACATTGGGCAGTTGCTTTTAATGTCTGATAAGAGATAAATTTGAAGTTTATTGCTTGTGATTACAACTTTTAAATAATAGCATTAATAACTGTCAGTATTAAATGCAGCAACTGCCATTAATGAATGCCATAGGGACAGAAGGCTTGTGAATAACACTTTTAAAACCCTCCTATATTTAATTTTTTTCCAAGTCACTCTTGGTTTCCATATCTTTCTTACTAGAGAAGTCACTATTTCTTATCCTGAGATAAAGCAAAGGAAATTAGGCTTGCAAAATGACCAAATATATAGCAAAAGAGGACACCAAGTTAACCTAATAGAGACATAAGCCTGACAGGCACTCATATTTGAGAGGATTTCTCTGCTGTAGGTCAATGTGCACAAATATCATTATACAGAATGGGAATTAGCTATCGCACTGAAGAAAGAGTAGCTTTATTTCTAGGTGGATTATTTTTCTATATAGAAAAACACATTTCTTTGTTTGATAGACATCACTATTACCACTATGATATAATCACAGTCATATCTGTGCACACAACAGAAAGATTATGTCCCTGCATTGCAGGATGAATTTGTGAATTTTTTCATGATAAGCAAGGGCCTAGATATGCAATATCTCTCTAACAATAGAACCAATGATTTTTGCAAACACAGTGATGTTGGTAAGCATAAAGGCCAGAGAGTAGAGAGCATAAGAAGGTAGTTGCTATTTCCTTCATTTTGTTGTTGTTGTTGAAAATATCCAACTGGCGCTAGAGGTAAAAGTGTAAATAACATTAGTTTATCATGGTCTCTTTAGGACTGACAAGTAAATTTGTATTAATAAAGCAATGTGCACTAATTAAATTTTGTTTAAAGGCACAGAGATAAATAATAATACATTTGACTAGGGGATATAAGACCTATGACAGAAGACATTGTAATAACTTTCAAATACAAATATTAAACATCCCCAGGAGATAATGTAATCATCCTTCCAATGGAAAGACAAAGAAAACTTCATGAATGGGAACTAGAAGAAAGGTATCTGAAGGCCAAACAGAGAATTCTGAATAACGATAGTAGACTGAACCAGTAATTCATCTCTGCTACATCCCAAACACCTATTAAAATGAGGATTTTTTTAAAGAAATAAATTAAACATACGCTATCAGAAAAAAATAGGAAAAGAGACCATGGCAACAAAATTTTGTATGTTGGAAAGCAGATGGGTGGTTATAAATCACTTAGCCAAACCAAGAACACTCCATCTTAAGCTAGCAGAGTGGAAAGTTGAGAGGCAAGCCTGATTTATACTGGAGATGCCCTAAAAGATGAAAAATCTATCTGCACAAGATACTTTTGAAAAGAGGATAAAGATGGAGCTAAAATCAGAAGAAATGGTAGGAAGTCAGAGAGTCACTTAGGACCTAAAATCTCTTGATCTCTTCAGAGATAAAGATGACAAATATCTGAGGAAACCATCCACTTCAAAAAATCCTAATAAATAAGAAAAGGAATATCATCAGATGCACCAGACAGTCAAATGTGGACAATGGTTTTTGAATAAGCATAATACACATGCAAAGAGTCAAGGAAAGTTATTAAAGAAAAACAAGTAATAAAAGAGATCAATTATACAATTTAAGTATGAAAACATACAAGTTTACATTTAAAAAATGAAAATATTTTGGAAAAATAACATAATGAATTCATGAATTTTAAGATCAATTTGAGTAATTCTCCAAGAAGAAAGCAGGGAGGAATAAAGAAGTAAGTAAATAATTTTAAAAGTTGAAAGATATGAAAGGTAGAAAGCACCATCAGGTGTCCCAATGAAGGGAAAATGTTAAAATGTAAAGAATTAATTCTTTAAAGAAATAATAGAGATAAACTTATCAGAATGAAAAGAAGATGAAATACATCAGACTGAAAGGATGCCCAGAGAACTATTTAAAAAACAGAAAAAATTCTTAGCATTTTTAGAGAAAAAGAGGATATAACTTACAAAATAATTAGTATTTAACAGCAGATGCGTCAAGAGCAATATTTAGATACAAGAAACAAAGGAGTAGACTTTTTAACATATTGAAGAAAAATAACTGAGTCTAGCTTTTATAACTATCAAAAAACACCAAAACAGCAGTCCCATAATATTCTTGGCTTAAAATACCTCAGAAGCTTAGCCACAGAGAAATCCCACAATAAAGCTTTTGAAAACTGTACTCTGCCAGGCATGGTCTTCACTCCTGTAATCCTAGCACTTTGAGAGGCCAAAGTGTGAGGATTGCTTGAGCCCAAAGTTCAAGATCATCAGCCTGGGCAACATAGTGAGACCTCATCTCTGCAAAAATATCAAAAATTAGCTGGGTATGGTGGTGCATGCCTGTAGAATCCCAGCTACTCGGGAGGCTGAGGCACAACAATCACTTGAGCCTGGGAAGGCAAGGTTGCAGTGAGCCATGATTGCACCACTGCATTCAGCCTGGCCAACAGACTGAGACCTTGTCTCAATAATAATAATAATAATAATAATAATAATAATGATAATAGAAAATTACTTAAAAAATACAAAAGACGTGTAAGATACATGTGAGTTAAATATAATAAAATATCTTTAAAAATTTGTTATTGTCCGCAAAAAGAGTCACACTCTGTATAATATTTGAAGAGATTAATTCTGAGCCAAATATGATGACCAGTGACCTCTGACACAACCCCAGGAGGTCCTAAGAATATGTTGCCAAGGTGCTTGGGCTACAGCTTGGTTTTATACATTTTAGAAGACATAAGATATCAATCAGTACCCATAAGGTGTACATTGGTTCCATCCAGAAAGTGGGACAACTGGAAGCAAGGGGGCAGGGCGTTCCAGGTCATAGGTGGATTCAAAGATTTTCTAATTAGTAATTGGTTGAAATAGTTATTATTTGAAGACATAGAATCAATAGAAGAGAATATCTGAGTTAAGACTGGGGATTGTGGAGACCCAGGTTCTTATTATGCAGATGAAGCCTCCAGAAAGCAGGCTTCAGAGACAATAGATTGTAAATGTTTCTTATCAGACATAAAAAAGGTGCCAGACTCTTATTAATTATCTCCTGGCTCAGGGAAAACACCTGGAAAGGGAAGGGGATTCTGTACAGAATGTAGATTTTACCCACAAGAGACAGCTTTACAAGGCTACTTCAAAATATGTCAAAAATATATTTTGGGATAAAATAATTCCATTTTATTCAGGGCCTGCTATATGTCATGTGATGCTATGCTAGAGTCAGGTTGGAATTTGGTTTCTTATTGCTACAAAGAGTCTGTTTCTTGGTCTTCTCTGTTTTAATGTTAATGTTAATACTGGTCAGTTGTGCATAAATTTCAGTGGGAGGAGGGTATAATGAGGCATTTCTGACCTTTCCTTCCTATCATGGCCTGAACTAGATTTCAGGTTAACTGTGGAAAGCCCTAGGCTAAAAGGAGTGGTCCATTCAGTTGGTTAGGGGGCTTAGAATTTTATTTTTGGTCTACATTATCTAAAACAAAAAAAAGAAGCAAACAGGCCTTTCATTTTAGAAAAACAAAACATTTACAAAAGGGAAAAATTAATGTATGTACTACACATGATAGCCCCGAATTAAAATTCCACCCCATATCAATGTGATGGGAGTTGTGCAGAGGAAAATCAATCTGGACAGAAGGTGTTAAGGAGAAGAAGTAGACAGTAACTACAATGTATACATATATAACATATATTTGACATTTTGTTTCCATCTATCTGATTGAAAATGGCAAACTGAAATAGAAATTTAAATTAAAAGTTGATTATTAAGAATTTACAAAACGAAATGATGTAAAGAATTTCAAATGGTTAAACTTTCAAAATATGTATTTTAAAAAAATTTGTAGCATCTGCTTCTGAAGTTAACTCTGTAAATCTGTCTTAAGACTTTTAGAGACATACTGTTTTATGTACGTGTGTGTGTGTATGCAAAATGATCTGAGTGATCTCAGTGAAACTGAAGAAGAAAATATAGATGGAAAAGACAATTGAGGGCCTATGGGCAAAACTGAGACAGTACAGGGAAGAGATTCAGTCCTGGTAGACAAGAGACATGGTGATTGAGATCCTAGTGGTCTTCACATGTCTGGGCATATTTCCTCCCCCACCTTCTTGCCTCCCTTAACAAGTTGACCCAATTCATGTAGCAGAAAGCTGCCCCCTTCCAACATAGCTGACCAAGATGAATTCCCAACCATAAAAGGAAAAATCGAACTATCTATTAATCTTCTTAAGTTACTTCTTCCAAGATTGCTGAAGCGGGAATGTGGCATTCCTGATTAAAAACCTGAGCAGATCTAGCTAGCTAAAGACAAGATGGACTCCAGTGCTAACTTTTCACTGAGTTTTTCCCTCATTATAATTTCATTATAATACTAGAAATCACAGACCCAGGGGTGGAGATTTAGCATACTAATGAATCACACAGGCTTGAAGAAACATGTTATCAAATTAAGTAGGTGCTAAACGTTCCCCACCTCTACGTGTCTACATGTCACACCATTTCTCACCTCAGCTCCCTTAAAATGACAAGAGCCAAGCCCTTGAGAGAGCTACTCCCTTGCTTTTCTCGAGCTGCAAGCCTATTAAACCTTGCCTAAGAAAAATTTCCATTTGGCCTGGTGTTAATTTCTATTTACCCAAGAGCCAAGAACTCCGAGTCTAAGCTGCAGCAACAAAACCAATTATAGAAATAAATATAAATGGATATTTTAATGTCAGATACATATACAACCACAACAAATACACATACTTGTACACATATGAATTATTTATGATCAAGCACAATGTAAACTTGTAAGTAAAGCCAAATATTTTAACTTTTCCTTTGCCTCTGTTGATATTCACTGAAATAGGGAAAATTATAAAGGTAGTACAATTCATATCAATTTGGAAATATAAGAAACAATCTTCTTAAGCAAATTCAGGTAGAACATGTTTCAAGGCTGCTTGTTAGTCTATGTATATGTGTAAATATGCATTTGTGTGTAAGAACATGTGTGTGTAGTTTTGCCCTCTATAAATATTAAAGTTCAGCATTCAAACCTCTGCTTTGGAGTTGTACGTTGCTCTTTGTAATAAATTAATTCGGTAAAGGGGCCTTAGCATGTGTTTAAAAACATTTTTAGGAAAAGCTAAAAACAAATACATAGTTTGAAAGAAAACATTTCCACTGTGCTTTTCAACTAGTCTACAACAGAATAGTTGAAAACAGCTTCTCACGACTTCCCTGGCTTCAAAAAGAACTTTCTCAGAATTCTCCTTTGTGTTTGAAAAAATAATGAATCAATCAATTAAAAACACCTCAAATGCAATCTATGAAATGTACTTCTCTATTCTGCAATCAGCAACACTGATCAATAATTGAGCTCTCTTTTCTTTTGGGCTTCATCAAAAACTATTTTTTCCATGAGAAAGAAAGGGAAGGAATAAAAAGAAATCCAAAATTACAGTGGAAAATATGTAACCTTTTTACAGCAGGAGGGAGGTTAACTGTGCAAACACGTTATTTAAAATGACTACGAGTTGGCTTTCATCTGCACCCATTGAATGAAGGGATGATTATTTACAAAGCAGTTTTGCCTCTGGCATGGACCTCTTTGGATGGCTGCTAAGGAAACCTGAGGAGGCTGTGACAGGCCCTTTATTAACAGCAAAATGATAATTTTCAAACAAGTGATCAATTCTGGAACAAAGGACAAGCATAGCATTTACTGATAATGCAATGCCCAGACCCTGGCCAGCATTATAAGGACAAGATCACAGGATGCATTTTATTTGCATATTATTTCATTAGCATTTACCTTGTCTAAGCAAATAGAGGCTACATATGGAGCCCAGAAGAAGTCACCACCCCTGCATGAAAGGTTTTTGACCTAATCTAGCCAAACTCAGGAACCAGTAAAAAGAGGAATACAAACACACACATCTTGTCTAAATTCCAATGGTGCAATTAACTTCTGCCTACATAAAATTGTTCATGCCACTCTCACTTGAGAAGTTATTTTTCCAGCTCCCTTCCTGAATGCTGTTGTGCTGTGGAGCTGCTGTCATATTCAACCCCACAGGTGCTTGCATATCAGTGGTGGGTGAGCAATCTGTAGATAAAACCAGGAAGACATTTGAAGGTCTTCTGTGTGAAAGGTGTAATATACATATGAAGCGTTGTTCATCTCCTTTGGGGTGGGGGGCTCAGTTAACATTGACATGTAATACTAATCGGTAAAACAGCCTGGTAAACTCACTCTATTATCAGGACTTGGTTTTGCTTTAAGAGGAAATTTCAAAGTGTATCACCTCTGATTGTTCAAATGCCATATAATACCAATACTTAGGACCTCAAATGTACCTTTGCTTGAGAATGTCAAGATGCCACGGAACTTTGTGCTTTCCTTTGCAGATTTTACGTGTAGACGGTAATTGAGGTGATACAACCAGTGAATAGGGAATTATTTTAAACTTCTTCTGCTGAGTTAAGAAAAATCTCTGGTGCAGAAGCTCCTTACAGTAAACACATGAAAATACTTCTTATAGTTATTAGCAAATTAAATAACAATAGAAGTCTCTTAAAGTGTAACAACCTGATTTAAAAAAATTTTTGATACGTTATATTTGTACATATTTATGAAGTATAGGTGAAATATTGTTACATGCATAGAATGTGTAATGATCAAGTCAGAGTATTTAGAGTATCCACCATCTGAGTACTTATTATTTATTATTTCTACATATTGAATACATTTTAAGTCCTCTCTTGTAGCTATTTTGAAAAATACTATACATTTTTAACTATAATCACCATACTCTGCTATTCCTTCTATCTAACTATATGTTTGTACCTATCTAACAATCTCTCTTTATCTTTAATCCCTGTATGCTGTTCCTAGTTTCTGGTATCTATGATTCCACTCCCTACCTTCAATGTGCTCAACTTTTCTGGCTCCCACATATGAGTGAGAAAATGTGACATTTATCTTTCTGTGCCTAGCTTATCTCACTTAGCATAATGACCCCCAGTTCTACCTATGTTGCTTCAAACAACATTATTTTCTTTTATTTTACTTTTTGAGATGGAATCTCGCTCTGTCACCAGGCTGGAGTGCAGTGGCATGATCTCGGCTCAGTGCAACCTCCGCCTCCCGGGTTCAAGCGATTCCCCTGCCTCAGCCTCCCGAGTAGCTGGGACTACAGGTGCATGCCACCATGCCCAGCTAATTTTTTTTTTTTTTTGGTATTTTAGTAGAGATGAGGTTTCACCATGTTGGCCAGGATGATTTCGATCTCCTGACCTTGTGATCCGCCAGCCTCAGCCTCCCAAAGTGCTGGGATTAGAGGTGTGAGCCACCACGCCCAGCCAATTTTATTCTGTTTTATAGCTGGATAGTATTCCATCGTGTGTGTGTGTGTGTGTATATATATATATATACCAGTTTCTTAATTCATTCATCTGATGATAGACACTGAAGTTGATTCCATATCTTTGCTATTGTGAATAGCGCTACAATAAACATGGGAGTACATGTAGCCCTTTGATATAGTTTTGATGTTGGTGTTGAAAGTTTGGATTTTGGCGAATCCTTGAATGTAGCCAGACAGAGAAGTTGAATCAGCCTATTGCTACATTGTAATGACAAAGCTGACTCTGTTAAGGATAGTGATTTACCATTTATCCAATCTATAACTTATCACAAGTTTGCAGAAATATATTGAACATACCAAAGCTTCAGTTTATTCTCTGAGTATTTCAGAATGGTTGTTGTCATAATTAAATGAGATAAACTTATTAAATATATATAGCATATGAAATGTATAATAGATGACATATAGTAACATTGATTATAAGTTTTGAAATTAATTAGTAATGAGTTATAATTTCTATTTATTTCCTTATATCCTTAGATGCACAGATGGTAGGACTATATACATAAAGTATTTTTAAAGATATGAGAAAATAATTAGAAACCACAGAAAGAGGGAAATGATGACATCAGAAACTCAGGACTGACAGTTAAATTTGATTTTCAATTTTTTAAGCAGCAAAGGCAAACAAATGAAAACATGGAAAAAAATATAGAAACAAGAGAAGTTTAAACAGTTTTTCTTGTCTGATAAACATGTCAGATAATTAGTAGAATCAAACATGGTTTCATAAAATCTAATATATTTATCAACTTTAATGCAACTGTGCTCTCTAGTACCTAGCAAGCAATTTTGATTTTAGGAGTTTGACTTTGTGCAAAGTTTCATTTGTACAAAGCACTGTCCAATGGAAATATAACGTGAGCCACATATGTCATTTAAAATTTTCCAATACATACATTAAGAAAGGTTAAAATAAAAAAGTAAATTTAATTTTATGATACAGTTTATTTGATCTGATATATTCAAAATAATGGTATTTTTGTGTATAATCAATTAAAAGATTATTAATAAAATATTTTGGTTTATTTTCTATAATAAATCTTCAAAATTTGTTGTGCATTTTACACTTACAGCACATCTGCATTTGTATTAGGCACATTTTAAATTCTTAATAATATTGTGATAGTATGCCATGTTAGATAGCATGGCTCAACATTAACTCCACATGGACATAAATAATTGACTTTGAAACATGAGCACAGATATGGATGAACTGGCATGACAATGTTACAGACATTAATAAGCACACACTCTCATGATGACATGATCCTTGACTACTGTATTAAACTTGCATTAATTTTTAATTTATTCTTACATTTGACAAATATTTGTTACCTATTATATTTCTGAATGTGCAGTGAAAATGCTTAACCTTTCCACAATAGACAGTTTCTAGGAAAACCATTAGCCCAAAGAGTGTAGGAAGTCTTTTAGTCTCTGAGGAAATAACATGAAGCAAAATTAAATTTCTGCTTATCAAGCTTAAATTTTAGTAGGGGCAGACAGATAATAAAAAGTAAACAAATATTTATCATCAGCTGGTGATATTTGCTGTGAAGAAAAATAAACAGAGTAACAGTGAGGAGGTGGAATTCTGGAGTGGTACTTTAGACAGAGTGGTCAGAAGGCTATTCTATTAAAGATAGAAGATAGAGAAATGGCCCCTTAATGAGGTAGAATGAAAGCAAAAACCTGAATCAAGGGAGGCTATGAACCAAGAGGATTCTGGAGAGAAAGAATTCTGGAGAGAGAGAGTGCCAAGAGACTTTCAGAAGAGAACTTAAAATATGGAGATTAATAGATACAAGCAACAATGTGAAAGCCTGTATGACTGGAGAATAGCTAGTTAGGTGGATCTTGTTGGGATATGATGCCAGGTAAGAAGTTCGGATGTTGTTTCTGAGACAGCTGGGAAACCAATGGAGGGACATGAGCAGAGAAAGGATGTGATGCTTTCTATAATAGTTACTGAAAGTATATTTATCTGTGCTGTTGTGTGGCAAAGCGATAGTAGCAGGAGATGAGCAGAAGCAGGGACAGCCCAGATGACGTGCTGGGTAGTCTTGGCCCAGGATGTTAAAGGCAGCATATGATCTAAATGAAAATCAAAATCACCTATTAAATACATAATGCCAATAGCTTTGTTTTACTTTCAGTTAAAACCATTATTGGATAAACTGTTCTATCCATAGGGCAAGTCTATTCATATCATGCAAATTTAGTTTTCTATGTGGTATTATGTACAAATTTCCAAATTGAAATTCAATAAATTGTTCTTTCACAATGTTCTTTCAATGTTCTTTGTCACAGTGCATTGTGCCAAGCTGAGAAGAAAACAATTCACATGCCTCCTGTCTCCTTTCTTGTTCCCTGTCCAGAGGCTTATGATGTAGTCAGGAAGGTACAGTTACCAGCACAAATTTGTAGGGAAAAAGTCAGACACTGGTGAAGTGTTGTCAGGATGGGCAAATCAAGATAAAATGAAGAAACAAACAAGGAGATGATTAAATTAAACAGAGAGATTCATTAATTCATGCATCCATTCATTCTATAACTATTGATTTTGTCAGAGACTGTGTGTTTTAGCAATTCAAAGATGACTAAGGTTATAGATCTTGAGAATGGTTCATGGACTAAGAATCAAGAGTTGTTTCCCTGTTGTATAAGGTCATAGAGATGGATAGGCTGATTGGAATATTGATGCAGGAGAGTATCAAGTAGTATAGCTTTGAAAAAGATTCTGAAAGGTGGCTGCAGAGAACAACAAAAAGTCAAATCCAGAGGAGCAGTATCAAATACCAGACCCAAAGGGCAAGATGGAACACAAAGTCAGAAGCTCTGCCAATCAGGAACTGATTTAAAGCAGAACATGAGGTAGTTCAAGGTAAGCAGCTTAGTTAATGCAAAGACCATGTGCCTGAGTTTCAGAGAAAATAATGTTGTGTGGATCAGGGGGAGGCCTTAAGGTTTAAAGGAGCTGATACCACCAGAGAGATTTGTGCCTTTGGTATTTAAGCTGGAACTGACAATGTGGAAAGACACTGATAGAAGGATTTGAGTAGAAAGGGATTTCTTCCAGAAATAAAATTTGAACAGTGGTATGCAGGTTGGAAATTGCAGGGTATTACCAGGGAACAGTACATATTCAGCAAGGGTGTAACATGTCAAGAATTTGTGGAAAGAGAAGTGAAGTGGAACTGGGCCAAAACCATATTATGGAGGGTTTTGAATGTCAGTATTTATATTTATTCCATATATCTTGGTGAACAATCGAAGGTTTCATTAAAAGCATGAGTTACATATGCAAATTTTTATTTAGGAACATGTTTTAGTGTTCAAAATATAAGACATATTGTTACCAGCAGCAAATGTGTATGAGTAAGCAGCAACCTCAATTTTTGCCTCCTCAGAAGAAAGAATTCAACTAAGGGACATAAGGCAGAAGGAGAGACCAAGGCAAGTTTTAAAGCAGGAGTGAAAGCTTATGACATGGTTGGGCTGTGTCGCCACCCAAATTTCATCTTGAATTGTAGTTCCCATAATCCCCATGTGTCATGGGAGGGACCCATGGAAGGTAATTGAATCACGGGGGTGGTTACCCTCATGCTGCTGTTCTCGTGACAGTGAATGAGTTCTCACGAGATTGGATGGTTCCATAAGAGGCTTTTCCCCCTTTTGCTCTCAACTTCTCCTTGCTGCCACCATGTGAAGAAGGGAGTGTTTGCTTTCCCTTCTGTCATAATTACATTTCCTGAAGTCTCCCCTGTTCCCCTTGCTGAACTGTGAGTCAATTAAAACTTTTTCCTTTATAAATTACCCTGTTGCAGGTATATCTTTTTTTTTTTTTTTTTTTTTTTGAGACAGAGTCTCACTCTGTCACTCAGGCTGGAGTACAGTGGCGTGATCTCAGCTCACTGCAAGCTCCGCCTCCTGGGTTCACACCATTCTCCTGCCTCAGCCTCCTGAGTACCTGAGACTACAGGCACCCACCACCACGCCTGGCTAATTTTTTTGTATTTTTAGTAGAGACAGGGTTTCACCGTGTTAGCCAGGATGGTCTTGATCTCCTAACCTCATGATCTGCCTGCCCTGGCCTCCCAAAGTGCTGGGATTACGGGCGTGAGCCACGGCGCCTGGCCTCAGGTATATCCTTATTAGCAGCATAAGAACAGACTAATACAGTTAATAATATGGTTTGGATTTGTGTCCCCATGCAAATCTCATGTCAAATTGTAATCCCCAGTGTTGGAGGATTGGCCTGCTAGTAGGCGATTGGATTATGGGGGCAGATTTCCCCTTGGCTGTTTTCGTGATAGTGAATGAGTTCTCATGAGACCTGCTTGTTTAACAGTGTGTGACACCTTCCCCTTCACTCTTTTCTTCCTGCTCTAGCCACATAAGTCATACCTGCTTCCTCTTCTGCCATAATTGCAATGTTTCTGAGGTCTCCCAAAAACCGTGCACCTGTAGAACCATGAGCCAATTAAACCATTTTCTTTATAAATTACCCAGTCTCAGGTAGTTCTTTATAGCAATGCAAACATGGGCTAATATGGTTCATTAAAAAGCTTTGGAGAAGGAAAAAGAAATAAAGCACTCTTGCAGGAAGGCCAAGCAGGTGACCTGTGAAAGCAAGTGCATGATTTGAACTTTGATGTAGGGTTTTATATGTTAGCATAATTTTGGAGTCTTGTGTCTGTCCCTGATTTTTCCCTTGGGGAGTTATACACATGTTGTATTAGTCCATTTTCATGCTACTGATAAGGTCATACTCAAGACTGGGCAATTTACAAAAGAAAAATGTTTAATTGGACTTACAGTTCCATGTGGCCGGGGATGCCTCACAATCGTGGTGGAAAGCAAGGAAGAGCAAGTCACATCTTACATGGATGGCGGCAGGCAAAGAGAGAGAGAACTTGTGCAGATAACTCTTCTTTTTAAAACCATCAGATCTTGTGAGACTTATTCACTATCATGAGAATAGCATGGGAAAGACTTGCCACCCTGATTGATTTACCTTCCACCAGGTCCCTCACACAACAGGTGGGAATTCAAGATGAGATTTGGGAGGGGGACACAGCCAAATTATATCATTACACCAGTGGCCCCTGCCAAATCTCACGACCTTGTCCTCACATTTCGAAGCCAATCATGCCTTCCCAACAATCCCCCAAAGTCTTAACACATTTCAGCATTAATTCAGAAGTTCCGAGTGCAAAGTCTTATCCAAAACAAGGCAAGTCCCTTCTACCTATGAGCCTGTAAAATAAAAAGCAGATTAGTTACTTTCTAGATACAGTGGGGGTACAGGAATTGGGTAAATGCAGCCATTCAAAATTGGAGAAATGGGCCAAAACAAAGGGGCTACAGGCCCCATGCAGGTCCAAACTCCAGCAAGGCAGTCAAATCTTAAAGCTCCAAAATGATCTTCTTTGATTCCCTGCTTCACATCTAGGTCATAGGTGGGTTCCCATGTCTTGGGCAGCTCTGTCCCTGTGGCTTTGCACAGTACAGCCTCCTTCCCCACTGCTTTCATGGGAAGGTATTGAATGTCTCTGGGTTTTCCAGGCATATGCTGCAAGCTGTTGGTGAATCTAACATTCTGGGGTCTGGAGTATGGTGGCCCTCTTCTCACAGCTCCATTAGGTGGCACCCCAACAGGGACTCTCTGTGGGTCCTACATCCCTACATTTCTTTTCTGCACTGCCCTAGCAGAGGTTCTCCATGAGGGCCCAGCCCCTTCAGCAAACTTCTTCTTGGACATCCAGGCATTTCCATACATCTTTTGAAATCTAGGCAGAGGTTCCCAAACCTCAATTCTTGACTTCTCTGCACTAGCAGACTCAACACCATGTGGAAGCTGCCAAGGCTTTGGGCTTGTCCCACCTTAAACCATAGCCTGAGCTCTATGTTGGTCCCTTTCAGCCAAGGCTAGAGTGGCTGGGACACAAGGCACCAAGTCCCTAGGCTACACAACATAGGAGACCCCTGTGCCTGTCTCATGAAACCATTTTTCCCTTCTAGGCCTCATTTTGGAGCTTTAAGATTTGACTGCCCTGATGGATTTTGGACTTGCATGGAGCCTGTGGCCCCTTTGTTTTGGCCAATTTCTCCTATTTGGAATAGGTTTATTTACCCAATTCCTATATTCCCATTGTATCTAGGAAGTAACTAGTTTGCTTTTGATTTTACTGGCTCATAGGCAGAAGGGACTTGCCATGTCTCAGATGAGACTTTGGACTGTGGACTTTTGAGTTAATTCTGAAATAAGACTGGAGGACTGTTGGGAAGGAATGATTGGCTTTGAAATGTGAGGATGTGAAATTTGGGAGGGGACAGTGCTGGAATGATATGGTTTGGCTGTGTTCTCACTCAAATCTCATCTTGAATTGCAGCTCCCATAATTCCCATGTGTTGTGGGAAGGGGTGAATCTTTCCCATGCTGTTCTCATGATAGTTAATAAGTCTCACAAGATCTGGTGGTTTTATGAAGAGGAGTTCCTTTGCACAAGCTCTCTTTTTTTTTGCCTGATGCTATCCATGTAAGAAGTAGCTTGCTCCTCCTTGCCTTCTGCATGATTGTGAGGCCTCCCCAACCATTTGGAACTGTAAAGTCTATTAAAACTCTTTCTTTTGTAAGTTGCCCAGTCTTTGGTATGTCTTTATCAGCAGCATGAAAAGGAACTAATACAGTCATATACCAGTTAAATGCTGCCATTTTGCCTCTTAATGTGCATGCTTGAGTCCACTTGCCTAACTCCTGAGGTCTTATCAGGTAGCTACTAATCACCAGCTTCAGATTTATACTATCTATTAGAAGACTGCCTTTCCCTGGTGACACCTGTGACCAATTATTATTTTGAGAAACAGTGTAACAACCAACTGACCATCACTTAATGGTTTGTCTGACATTCTTGACTGGGGATGGGGAAATACTTTTCCTGCTCTCTTTATGTCTAACTAGCTACCTACTGTAATATTTCCCCACTCAAGAGTCCAATACCACAATATTTGGGGGAAAGTGAATGAAAGTCAGGTTTCTGCAATTGCTTCCTGCTGATAGAGAAGTGGTGGTGGTGGTTCTGTGGGTCTTGGCCTCTTGCTAGCTGTCAGGGAAGAATTGGCTCCATGACTTGCTGAAAGTGGTATCCAGCCAGGTCCAAGGGAGACCATGACAAGATCTTGCCTTTCTCATGTCCCACAGTTGGGCAGTCTGAGGGTCCCCTGTAGAAAGCTGATTCTTAATATTTAGAGGACAGTATTCCTCAGTGAGGATCAATTGGAGCTTGATGGCTTCAAGACTAGAGGAGACAAATCAGGTTATCAGATTTAGAAGAATGTCAAAACAAAATAGGAGTGAGGAAAGCTTTAAAAAATCCCAAGGCTGCTGACATGCTCACATAGCTGGTGGTCACAGTAATGCCTGCTAAGACTCGGGCTTATGGTGTTCCTAGCCAAATTCAATATGTGCCCAGAATTAGAATTTTGATCCAGATTTTTACATTACCCATCCCTTTGTTTTTTACTGAGCTGCAGCCAGAGATTACTTATTGGTTCACAGGAATAAACAGGGATAGTCTAAATTGCAGACAAAAACTCAAAACCACTGATGACACTAAAATCTAATGACAGGTATACCATAGTTCTTGAAAAATATTTTTATCTCTCTATTCTTGATTTTTGTTAAAAACAAATCATTATAGGACTGATTTGTTTGCAAAATAAACTTTAGTCTTATTATATTTGGCCTGATTATTGCATAAAGCACAGCAAGAATAATTACTTGTCAAATAGGCTCCTTTTTAAATTGGCTTTGATGGAACTTTGTTCCATAAGGAATCTCAGATAAGACTTTTTTAAGCCTTGAGCCTGTGAATGAGTTTGTGCCATCAAATATCTGTATGCATTGGGTAAATTTCTCTCCTCCTGAGGTTCCAAAATACCTTGGGGCTCCTGGGCCTGTCAGAAAGTAATATTTTTTACTTACCACAGTAAGGAACCTTGTACAGGATCTGTGTGGATAAGGTATGAGGCCAGTTCCCAAAGGGCTTTTATTGGCTCTATAAGCCAAATTGGTTACCTTCAAGGAAAGCTTGCCATTCCAGTCAAAGCCTTGTTAAAATAACCAGTTTCCCCAATCATTTCTTGTTGCAAAACAAAACAGATTCTTATTGTACTTATGCAAATAATTGTATTGACATAATTTAAGAATACTCACATATAGTTTCCAAATTTGGGGAAAAGCCAATAGAGAAAAATATGCTACAAATTTTGTTTATATATAGAAGTATACTTTACACAATTTTTAAAAGTTATAAAATCACTTCCACACCTTTTCAACATGCATCAACACCTTCAAGGTCATATTTTAAGGCAGGGAAGTCCAAGCCTATTGTGACAGTTAGCTGAAAAACAGGCTTCTCATCTACTACTACTTTTCATCTTTAAAGAATACGGGAAATGGGAATCTAAGAAAGAAGATAATCAGTTTGTTGCTAAAATGCTCTGAGCAAGAGTCATTATAAGGACCTGGAGAAAAGGACATAGGCCAACCCAAGCCTGCAGGTGCTAAAAAGTAAAGTTTTCCCAGCTTTTAATAACAAAGGATTAATGACATTCTAAATAAAAAGTCATAAAAGGATTATTTTCATCTTCAATTAGTACAGTCCAGGCAGTTAACTACTGTTCTGCTTGATATTCATGAACATTTTAGCTCTCCATGAAAGTCCTGAAAGATTTTTTTCTCTATTCTAATGTCAGAATCTCTAAAGTTATCAGAAACCTGCATTTAAGAGCACCTGTTAGATTCCTATAGTGGATTAAAAAACCACCTTCTAAAACAATCTTTTAACCCTCTAAACCAGGCAAAAAAAATCCACAATCTCATGCCTTCTTATAGTTTTTTACTGAAAGCATATCATTCTAGTTTCCTTACATGCCTTGCATGTAAAACTATTGTTCCAGTAGTCCCACGTACATGTTACACTGTTAACTCTTAGCAACTATTATTTTAGTGAAAAGCCTGTAACTAAGTTATTTTAATTATGTACTATGTGTGGAGCCAAGACACCAGACAAAAGTGCAGATAAGATCTGACATATTCCAGCATAGCTAGAAGGCATGGATAACTCTGTATGTCTCCAGGGTTTACCTAGCTTTAAAGCAGGGAAGTTGTACAGTTAAAATCATAATAACAGTTTATGAAGCATTTAGTAGGCTTAATAACATTTAAAATTGTATAACATTTCTTTTATAAATTCCCTTTCATGAGTTTTTTTTACAACTTACACAGAGCAATTATGACATGCTTGGACTTTCTGACTTGTCCTAAACATCTTTCTTTTTAAACAATGAGTCATTTTACTTTAGGACAAGAATTTATCATACAAGATTCTTTTCTTATACAAAAAATCTTTTTTCTTTATAACTTTCTGTCCCAGAAATACCTATACTTTACAACCTTTGAATTAGTCAAAAGTAATTTTCCTTGTTTACAAGTTATGGATTATACAACATATTGCTCTGTGACTCCTGTGAAAGAGGAGCAGATAAAGATGCTGTAGAAATACTGTACAAATTGTCTACGTACTATAGAAATTATCCCTTCTTAAGAGGTTGCTCTGTTAAATTTTTGCTGAAGCTTCTCTGGGTAAGTGTGGACTATTTCTAAACCCCTGAGGCAGGAGTGTCAAGGTTCAACTTATTGGTTAAAGTTTTAGGTAGCTTTTCCAGGAGAAATAGAG
Organism: Homo sapiens; assembly: GCF_000001405.40. Lineage (NCBI taxonomy): Eukaryota > Metazoa > Chordata > Mammalia > Primates > Hominidae > Homo > Homo sapiens. Next base: position 72,691,541 of record NC_000001.11, read on the forward strand.
CTATTCAAGAAAAAGATGAATTTAAAGGTTGGGTAAATATTAAGCAAGCACCCATCTTGGAAAAGTATATTTTTGCACCAAGGAGGTGTGAATCTTTTCTTTTGGAGGGAGGAGGTGGCATTTTTCCCTATTACCCAACAGGATTTGTAGGAGAGTTGCTCAGAGAAGAAGATAAGCATAGAGTAGGCAGCTCCTGAACCCCAAAGGGAAATTTATAATTTTATTTGACACCTCCAAAGTTTCCCTTGTCCTGTTGATTATGATGTCTGATTTGGAAGCCAGCCAGAACAGAGAGCCCCTTCAACTCAAGAATAATAGACGTTGAGATTTTGTCCTGGGGGTTCTTTGGCACTCAGGGCAGTCTTGTTTCCAGTGGCCTAGCTTGTGGCAGAGGGGGTGAGCCATCCAGGGTTTTTCCCATTTACACCATTGGGGCAGTTTGCCTTCTAGTGGCCTGACTTCCCACACCAAAGGCAGTTACCTGAGAGGGTATTCTCATGGCAACCTGAAGAGGGGGTTGGAGGGTTTATAAAACAGCCAATAATTGAGCCTGCCTCTTGTCCCAGCATTTCTCCTTTTTATTACCTCTGTGCTCTGTCCTCCTTATTCTACTCTCAGTTATAAAACAACAACAACAACAACAACAAAAAACAGAAGACTAATATGAGGACCTCCTGTACACTCCTGTACAGGGGCATTGGGTTCCATGGCTGACTTTTGTAATTTACTCTCAGTTTATTTTTATGTCAAACAGCTTTACAAAGGAAAGCTAGTTTGTGTGTGTGTGTGTGTGTGTGTGTGTGTGTGTGTGTGTGTGTGTGTGTTTAAGGTTTGGAAGATTCAAACTTTTTGGTTTTGAGGGGATGCATCCAAGTGGCATGTCCTGTGGCATGAAGACTTGTTTTTGCATATGCAAAGAGAGGACAGAGGAGAAAACATAAAAAGAAAAAAGAAGACATCACCTCTTACTTTTCTATTATCCTGAATAGGGCATTCCCCATTTGTCCTTAGGGTTCTGGAATTAACCAGTCTTACTATGTACCCTTAACCTTGGTCTCATCTTGTCACAATTACCCACTTGGGATCAGAGGAGATAACATAGTGAAGTGAGCCCCTGTTCATCCTTATGGTGCTGGAATGAACCAGTCTTACCGTGTACCCTTAACCTTGCGTTCATCTCTGTTATAATGGTAATATGTTAGCCTAAGATCAGCCATCTTCTCTGTCCTATGTATCTCTTGCACCTGAAGGCTTGGGTTGGCCTATGTCCTTTTCTCCAGGTCCTTATAGTGACTCTTGCTCAGAGCATTTTAGCAACAAACTGATTATCTTTTTTCTTAGATTCCCATTTCCCATGTTCTTTAAAGATGAAAAGTAGTAGTAGATGAGAAGCCTGTTTTTCAGCTAACTGTCACAATAGGCTTGGAATTCCCTCCCTTAAAATATGACCTTGAAGGTGTTGATGCATGTTGAGAAGGTGTGGAAGTGATTAGAGAAATTCAGGCTGCGGGAGGAAGTGGGAGGAAGCTAGAGGAATACTCATGTAAAGCCTTCATATGCTCACAAAAACAGCAGCCCTGAGATTTAAGTGAGCATTCCTTTGCACTCTTGACATAGAATAGTAACCTCTATAGGATGTGGGGATAAAAAGTTGCAAATGGCAAAGAGAATTTCCCCTCCTCCAAATGTGGTATTAACTCAAAAAAGCAAGCAGGTGAGGTCCATAAAGGGCCACAGGGTGAGGCATTATGCAGGCAGAAAAACAGCTTCAAAAGCCTATGAAAATCTTAACCCTAGAGCATGATAAGGAAAAAAAAAAGTGTAGGTAAGTCATAAGAAGCTGGCAAAGTCAGGATTCCAGTTAGTGTCTGTCCTGGAAATGTGTCAGCAGATAGTGGGAGGGTTAGAGGTATCCAAGCTGGTAAGGTAAAAGCAAGTATAAATCTCAGAGGGTATCATCAAGACAGCCCGTGTCTTTGCAGCCCAGCAAATGCAGCAAGAGCCTGAATAACAGGTAGTGTATGTTTAACGAGTGTATGTTTAAGAAGTCATGTGGAATGCAAAGTGCAGCCAGAGAAGAGGCAGACTTACCCCTGAGGCAGACAATTTGGCAGGTATGCAAGGCCATTTCAGAACACATACAGAAAAAAACAGAATAATAGGCAGTGCAAGTTCTTGGGAAAGAGCTGATTTTAGTTGAAAAAGCAGAAGAAACCCCAGACATTGCAGGGTGTTAGGCTTTAGTCCTACCACCCTCATGAGTCTCCTGTCAGGAGGGCCATTAAATACCTCAGTTCTACTAGGTGCAGACCCCAAGGTCCTTCCCACCCCCTATGAGCCACCTGTCAGGGTGAGCTGAAAGATCAGCCTGGGTGAGCAGAGCTACTTTTGGCCAAGAAGAATCTTTCTGAGAGTTGGTTAGTAAGCAGGAGAGTGAAAGGTGAGAAGAAAACCACATAAAGGGGTTTAATGCCTCTGGTCACAAAGAAGGTGAGATGTGGACATGTCTTACCACTTAGGGAACGTATCAGAGTCATGTGGACCAAAGTGTGTTAGCAGTGGAACATATATGAGTCATGTGGCACCAAAGTATGTTACTGCTGGTGAATCCATATAGGGCTACAAGCAACCTCAGTTCTTGCCTCCTCAGAAGAAAGAACTTGGCTAAGGGGCATAAGGCAGAGGAGACCAAGGCAAGTTTTAGAGCAGAAGTGAAAGTTTATTACAAAGCTTTAGTGCCAGAATTAAAGAAAATAAAGTACACTTGGAAGAGGGCCAAACAGGTGACTTAAGAGATCAAGTGCATGGTATGATCTTCAACTTAGGATTTTAGAAGTTGGCATACTTCTGAGCCTTCTGTCCCTTCTTCCCTGATTCTTCTCTTGGGGTGAGCTGTCCACATGCACAGAGGACTGCGAGCACCTGGGAGGGGAGCATGCAAGCATGCACAGTGTGTTTATTGGAGTTGTACGCATGCTTACTTGAGGCATTCTTCCCTTAGCAGTTGAATAGCCCTAGAAAGCCATATACCAGTCTGCCATTTTGCCTTTTTAATGTTCGTGCTTGGCCCTACTTGCCTAATTCTTGAAGTCTTATTGGGAAGCTGCTGATTACCACTTTCAGTTTTATTCTATCTATTGGGAGATTGCCTTTCCCTGGCACTGGCTGTGACTGATTATTATTTTGAGAAACAATGTAACAACCACCTGATCATCACCTGATGGTCAGTTGACATTTCTGGTTGGGGGCTGGGGATCCCTTTCCTGCTCTACCCACTGTAACAATATCAGATGAAAAATGTAGAAAGAATGAGCTCTTATGAATGTCCAAGAATGAGTAATTAAGCACAGAACCAGGGTAGAGTGTGAGAAACAGCAAAATGATAAAAGGAAAAAAAAAAGAGGTAAAGTCAGTATTAGCTAACAAAGGTAGAGCAGTGCAATTGTATAATTTTCACCTGGTTATGATTTCTAGACTTTGCCTGATTTATATAAGCTAAATGAAAGAGTTCCTATGTGGTGACAATTTTAGATCTTCAGGGAATGTAACTTATGTCAACAAAAGAGTCACATTCTGTAAAATATTTGAAGATATTTATTCTGAGATAAATGTAAGATCCATGACCCATGATATAGCCCCAGGAGACCCTGAGAACATGTGCCCAAGGCAGTTGGGTTACATTTTTTTTTAAACATTTTAGGGGGACAGAAGTTACAGGCAGAGACATAAATGAATGTATGTAAGATATACATTGGTTCATCCCATAAAGGCAGGACATCTCAAAGTAGTGATGTGGGGGGCTTCCACCTTATAGATGGATTTAAAGATTTCCTGAATTATAATTGGTTGAAAGGGTTAAACTCTACCTGAAGGAGTGAAGTTAGCAGAAAGAAATGTTTATTGTTAAGATAAGGGGGCTTGTGGAAGCCAGGGGTCTTGTTGTGTAGATGAAGCCTCCAGGTAGCAGGCATTAGATAGAATAAATGATAAATGTCTCTTATCAGACTCTAAAAGGTGCTCCAGACTCTTAATTAAATCTCTCCTGGACGAGGAAAAAACCAGGAAAACGAATCTGATTTTTCTACAGAATGTAGATTTTCCCTACAAGAGACAGCTTTGTGAGGCCATATCAAAATATGTCATAAAATATATCTTGGGTAAAATACTTCATTTTCTTTCAGGGCTTGGTCTCTGTCATATGATGTTATACTAGAGGCAGGTTGGAATTTGATATCTTACTGCTACAAAGAGTTTGTTTTGTCTGTTATAAGATATCTTTTTTAATGTTAATGCTGGTTAGTTGTGTCTGAATTCCAAAGAGAGGAGAGTTTAATGAGACTTGTCTGACCCTCTCTTCTTATCATGGATTTAACTGGTTTTTTCATGTTTAACTTGTAAGTTAACTGTTTTTTTCAAGTTTAACTTACTATACCTGCTCCTGTTCTACCCATCCATTTCTTCTGGTTTATTTTCATTCCTTGGCCTGAACCATGTTACATTCATTGATTTACTTTAGAATTATTGGTTGAGCATCCACTCTTGCCAGACACTGTATTGTATACTTGAATATAGCTTTGAACACTATTCTTGGACCCTCTTGATAAAATTTAGTTGAACACACAGACAATAACTAATAAATACATGTGAACTTGAAAAAAGTTATGAGAGAAATAAAATGCTCTGTGAAGAAATAATACTGTTAGTTTAGGACATGGATTCCTAATTTAGGTAGATTTGGTAGGGAAACTGTATCTCTTGTCCATTCCCTCACTTTTCCACTCTTTCTAAATATCCTCCCTGATCAGGAGACTGGTATAAGGAAAGGCACGTAAAGAACACAAGTAAAGAAGAATAAAGAAGTTGGGAGAAACCAAGTTGGTCAAAGATGCTTGAAGTTGAGTAAGATAATAATACAGATGTAACCATTGACTGTGGTCACCTAGAGGTCATTAGGAGGTAAATCATTAATGTAAAACCCTAAATACATAAAAGTACCTTAGTCTACATCTGCACACTCTTTATGGTTTTAACTATTGCAATGGATGGAATGTTTATCATTCTTTTAAAAACTAATCTTGATAGAATCAAGTTTCTTCTTTTACCATCTCTTTTCTATTCAAGTGTGATCTTTAGCAAACAATTATGTTCCACTATTTTCTATCTTTAAAATTAAGTACACAGGTAAACAAAGCTATGATTCCAGTCTGGTATGGTGGCATAATATTATTTTGTATTTTGTATCCGCCCAGATATATTAGCAAAATAGTGCTTGTTTTCTTATTGAACCATGGGGGTAGGCCATCAACAGAGAATGAGGATTTGGTGAAGCTTTGGAAATTTTAAGAATGAGAAGGTAGAAAATAGAGTGGGATGGCAAAGATTTTACGAAGTAATAGTATGATGGCTGGCAGAAAGATGATTACCTTGGGAAATGCTCAAATTTTCTCTTTTACTGAAATTTATGATACTCATGAAAGAAGGAAACAGAACTTTTCCCCTTTCCAGTATCTTTGCAAAGATATTGAAGACATGTGTGTGATTGTGTGTGTGTTTTCATGAGCTCTATTTTTCTCAGAAATCTGAGAAGTTAAGGTTTCCCTCTTTTTTTCAAAATCAAAAGAGAGAACAATAAAATTTACCCATCATATTCAACTAGTAATTAAAATAGAGTTGCCTAAAAAAATATGGTAAATTGGAGGCACAATTCCAAAGAAAATTCAGATAGGCCCAATTATATGCATAATAAGGAGGCATACTATTAAGTTATAATTAAAATTCACTATATGTATAAATTGGCTAAATAAATAAATATGTGAAAAGATTTCACCTTTACCCTATGTTCAGAATGAAGAACAGGCCTCATTGCTTCAATATGAAATAACCATTAATGATCAGGATTTAGACCATAAATTTCATTTTAAAAAATTTTACTGTTATCATCATATTGTTTTATTTTCTGGGTTCTTTCTTTCATTTGGCACTTGAAATGTAGATAATCTGGATTCTTCAGTAATGCAGTGTTGAACTTGATCCCAGTTGGCATTTTAAAATACTGATGACGTCAGACAGAAGGTAAGTACAAGAAGTGGGATTTTTAAACTTGTTATTAAAATAAGAAAATACTGCCTGTCTGTCATATGACTTATTTACCGACTCTGTACCCTTCTCCAACAACTTTGGGTGCCAGAAAACTGACTGCTTCTTTGACCTTCCTTGATTTCTGTCTTTGTCTTTGTTCAGCCAATGAAAGGTCCTAGTATGAAATCTGAAAGTGGAAGGAGACAGTGGTCAAAAGAATGGGTTGGCTTTATTGAGCTTGCTGCATTCTTCTTCAGAACCTTTCCACCTACAGCTATTTTCTCCAGGTTTTGGTGATCATTCCCTCCAGTGGCCTTAAAGGCTTAGAATAATAGCTTCCTATTTTTACTAGGTCTAGAGCACTGCATTATACCTTACTAAACCCTGTATGTACTTTATAAATAACTCCACTATCAAAATCTCTTCAAATGACAAGATTGAGCATGATGTATGTTTCATTCCAAGATCCTGACTGATAGAAAAGGTTCTCATGAGACAACAGACATTTGAACTGGGAGGAAATTAGATATAATAAAATGATATTACAGTTATGAGAACTTTGAGTCAGGCTTAGAATGGTGCATATATGGTGTGACTCTTAAGATTCAGTGAGAAATTATCTTGGTGACCTCAAGATAATAGGACACCACAGCTTCTTGAGGAGATGGAGCCTAGAGGTCTACTAAATTATTTTCAGAAATTAAAAGTAAAGTCAATCCTAGGTCTGTGGTGAGAAAATTGAACAATGAGTCTTGAGCATCTTGTAATACCAGAAAGCAAGAAAGTGTTCAAGAAACAAAAAGATGAGGGCATGTCAAAGGGACACAAAGCTCCAACCTGAGAGAGCTCCCACAAGGACATGGTAGAACAATTTAGCAACAGAATACACAAATAACATACTATTGAATTATAATCCAAAGTAAAAAATTAATATTCATGAATACATATTAATATAAATAAAAGATTAAATCAATAAGAGAGTAGAAAGAAATCTTTGGAGAAAAATCCCACATAATATAGACAGATACTCTTTTTTTTTCCCCAGGAAGTAGAGCTTAGTTTCCCTTCCTTCTCTTCAAAGTGGGCTACATTTCAGTATATCTATGCTCCTTAGCTATACAGTTTGATTCTTCACTGAGAACAATGTGATGGATTTTCCAAAGACTGAAAGTTTGTTGCCCCTGATAATCTCATACCCTCATATGATTTTGATTTATACAAATGCTACTTAATATACCGGTGGTAGCAAAAAACAAATGGACCCAAATGAAGCTTGAAACACACATACACTCAAAAACACCCTCTACCCAACTTTTTTTTTTCCAAGGGGTTGAGGGGATAGCAAGCTGTAGTTTTCTGTGTTCCATTGATTTCTATAGACAAAGAAAAATGTACCTAATAGTTTATCTGCAAAGATGTATTGACTATGATTTCATCCTCTGACTTCAGGAGGGTAGCAGGAATATATCTTTCTGGACATGGAAATGAGAAAACGTTCCTTCTGCTACTCTCTGGTTAGTTCAAACTCAAATCGTGATCTGACTGAAGAGAATGATTCCTAAGAAAACCATAGAGGCACAATTTTCCCTTTTGCTCTCAAAGAACTGTAGACATTAGTTATTACAAACATTGTTCAACTGAAAAGAGTAATAAATCAACACAAATTTATTGGATATCTGCCTTTTCAAGAAAATGTGCTAGAAACCATTTGATATAGGTGGGGGAATATTACATGTTTCTAGTGTTGCACTACATATTTTTGAAAGAAGAAAGTTCAAAAGATTTTATGAAAAGCAGGGTTCTTTTTGAAATACGTGTAGAAATAGCTAAATGGATTGAGAAGAGCTGTTAAGTATGAACATACAGCATGATCATAAACAGCTATTTTGGTGGACTAAACAATGCAAAAGCAGCCATCTTGTATTCCCTGGCTGTTAGGGCAGGCATGCACAGACTAACATAGAAAGAATCACTGTTACTAATAGGAACTTCAAGGGGCTTATTTCTAAAGAAAATTGATTTTAGAAGAAAACATGTCAAATTATTTTAGTTTGAGAAACTTAATACTCTAGCAAACCCAGGCAGAGCAATCAAGAGAAAATATGGTCTGAGAATGCTGATATGACTTCAAAACTCAGGTTTGCATTCACATAAAGAAGATTAAACAAATTTCTGATGAAACAAATCTTCGTCTGAGTCATAAGGTTGAATACAAGATAGCAAAATGTTGGAAAGGTTAAAACTCCAGAAAAAGTTTCACAAAATTGTTAAATTACTAGTAATCCTTACCTAAGATTATTTATTTATTTATTAGTTGTTTTATTTGATTAAAAATAAATGAAAATAAACATGCTTTAGCATTTTGGATTTAGCTGAAGCTCCATATATCCTGGTGGACACAGATTCTTTGAATAAGTAGCCACAGTTATTCCAAATGTCAGCAACATTTATAAGGAAGCAAGAAAGCTAAGTAAAATAACCTTAGCTAAAACCTACAGTTCAAACACAAAGGAGTTTATCAACAGAGAAATAGAATTGAATTTATCATTAGTCTTCAAAAATGTTGCAATTTTTACAAGTGTCTTTCTCTTTATATATTTGTCTCTATCCCTCTAATATTGTAAAACTACCCTTTCGTATGGAAAAATCCTGATTATTCTTTAAAACTGTGCTCATGTATATTGATTCTCTAATGGTTTTCTAAAGTACCTTTGCCTCCGCTGGTATAGATTTTCAACATTTATTCATTTGACATCTATCTATTTTCACCTAGAAAGTATAGTTACTTTTTATTATATATTTTGTTTACCCAGATTTGAAAGTTTTTTCCCTTGGGGGCAGAGGGAGGAATCCCAATCTTCTATACCAAAAGTCTTGTCCCAGCTAATAAGACTGTAATTTAAAATTTGTAATTTCAAATAACTGGTTGGATGTAGCAATGCCACAAGAAGTGATGTTTTAAGTAGCATATAATTTAATGACTAAGGCCAGGCATGGTGGGTTATGTCTGTAATACCAAGGCTTTGGGAGGCCAGACAAGAGGATTGCTTGAGGCCAGGAGTTCAAGATCAGCCTGGGCAACATAAGGAGACCCCCCCATCTCAAAAAAAAAAAAAAAAAAAAAAAAAAGCCAGGTGTGGTTTCATGGGCCTGTAGTCCCAGCTACTTGGAAGGCTGAGGCAGTACAATTGCTTGAGCCCAGGAGGTTGAGGCTGCAGTGTGCTATAATTAGACCCCTAAACTCTAGCCTGGGTGACAGAGTGAGATCCTGTCTCTAAAAATAAATAAATAATAATGTAATAATTTAATATATTTTAATACCTCAATAATCTACTGATGAGTTGGCCTGTATCAGTGGCTGTTCGTGTCCTTAGCTGCTTAGCTGCATGGATGGAACATTTATTTTAAAGAAAGCAGATATTTTTCTCCAGAGGAAAGAGAAATGCTTGGGAGACAAAAGCAATAAAAGGAGGTGATTAATGGCAGAGGCTGGAAGTTAGATAGATGGGATGGAATTCTAGCTTTACTACTTACTAGTTGTGTGAATTTGGATAATTTCCTGATAAAATTGACAATGAATTTACCTTTTGAGACTACTGAATTCTCTTTAAATAAAATCTCATCAAGTTAATGTATAAATGATAATCCTAACTTACAGCAAAGAATTGAAGAAAATGACAACCCTTTCCTGTAATATTTGGGAGACACTGATAGATATATTCTATCACAAAACATCCTAAAAATCCTGTTGGAGTATGACTACCCTTTTGTCAAAACTTCCACCCTTTATGGTTACTCACACGTTGATGGGTATTCTCACACCTCTCTCAGTTTCCCTCAATGGATCTCTTTTTCAAAGGATTGCAACACTATTCTTTCCAACCCTCTGCATTCCCTCTTTCCCATTCATCTATGTTTCTCTGATCTCATGTATAGCAACTTATCGTTCTTTTGGCTTCCCAAATTCTCTTCCTCAGACTTCGCCTCAGCACTCAGCAGAGCAAAGCTGAGTCAAGCACCTCATGAGATATGTTAAAGAAGCAAGGAAACCATCTTCCTTAGAAAACAGAAGAGGGCAATGTAAATGTTTACCTATTTTGTGTCCTGTTACATTTAATCTCTTTTAGTGTAATTTACCTCATCTATAACGATAATAGTAGGACAATAAACACCTCCTAAGAATGTTTTCAGTGTTTTAAATGTGATAATGCATATAAGGCACTTTATAATTATTACACAAAAGAAATCAATACATTAGCTATATAATATTTTGGTCAATGGCTTTCATTGATTTAGTGGACATTTTGTATCCATTACAGCATGTGTTTACCTGGCCTACTAAGATTACCCCACTAACAAATCCCTTTAAACTTGTGGAAGTCATCTTCATCCTTTGTCTATACCTTACTTCCACATCTCCAGGTTCTTGTTTTTATTTTATTTTATTGAAGGGCACCTGGAAATAGAGCCCAAATGATTTTCTATGCTATAATTTTTCAAATAAAATCATCAAATTCTCAGAAAAATTCAATACACTTGTGCCTCCCTCCTATAATCTGAATTTTCTTACAATCAAAAATAACTCTTTTAACACAAAGTAAAAACCTCAAACACAAATACCTTCTTTTGGAAAGTACATGAGATTTGAAACTTCATCATGATGTCTGTTAGCTATGAATTTTTAGGGGACTTATTTAACCTCTTCCTCTATTTGGTTAATACAGTGAATCACATTTTTTAAAAATATTGGGATGCCCAAACCCTGTGCATATGTCAATTGGACATCTAGATAAATGCTTCCATTTATAGATTGCTAGCAAGCTTCAAGTACAAAACTTATTCCAGTGTATTGACCTAGATTGCATATCCAAGGCAACCTAATTTCTATGCATTTCTTTCAGTTGAATAAAAATGGTTAACTCAGTATATTTCTGTAGATTCAGTGACCATAGTTTCAGATCTTTTGACAGGGTGAACTAAGATGAAAGTGCACTGAAATATGTAGAAAAGCCCAGAATTAACAATACCTTCTCTACATTGCACATGTGCCAATATAAATAGGTAATATATAAGAATAGTTCTATATTTCTTTTTCTATTTCAGAAGACAGATTTACTCCAACTTCATGGCTTGTATGGCTTGATGATTCTGCTTGATAGATGATATATTTTATTATATTGCAAATACAGTTTCTCTACATTGATAACCTGAAATGAAATATCATTTCCTTCTAAATGAACGAAACAAAATATATCTTCTATTCTAATTGCTAGAATTCTTTAAGAAGGCATGAAATCTGTTATCCAGGTGCTCTAAAGGAACGGCTCAATGTGAAAATACTTCGTATCTCAATATTTTATTATTTAAGCAATATTGTATGATTGTGTCTCTAAAAATATAATTTGCAATGCTGGTTTTATTTTTTATTTTGGTTGAGATGTATATTGACTTTATTCAAATAAACTGTACTCTACAATTGAGAAATTGTACTATCTAACAAAACAAATGTTGCTTAATTAACTCTTTTATAGTTATAATTTTTTTTCTATTCTTTCAAGTACTTGCTATAGCTAATAGTAAAGTTTTACATATTAAATGGAAACCCATAATGTTTAGATAGATATATTTGTTTCAAATAAACCAAAAGCACTGAGACAAAGAAAATGAAATATTGTTCACTCTGTCTTTCTGTATTAGTGGTACACATTATAAGTTAGTTGTCTTTTAATTGGAAAAGATACATCAAAGAAACATGAAAAATGATCTGAGTCTAAGCTTATTTTTATTGATTAAATCTTGATTACATTGCTCAGACATACAAACCTTATGCATATTTTCTGAGAACTTTTCAAAATTAGCTTGAGTGGTATCTGAAAATGTTAAGGAGAAAATTTTGTCTCTTTTCACTTGTGATTAACTTGATCAATGTATTCTCCCAACATTAATCATTTATTTATATGTCTTCAACCAATAATATTCTCTGTCTCTAAAACTTTAACTCTCTGAAGAGTGACCACTCATAATTCAACACATTGAACTGTGTATTGCAAAATCTTTTCTTCATCAAACAAGCAAAGTGCTCAAGAACCCAAATAATAGACTAGCATATGAAAACTTATTAGCAAGTATCTTCTGCCACTGGTCAGATGTGTGACCAGAATTGTTCTAATCAACTCTGGACTTTCAGCCAACAACTTAAGAAAGGAATGTAGCACAGGAAGTATCCATGTTATAGGTTCATTTCTCAAATCAGAAGGAAAATTGTAGATTCTGGGCTTGCAATTGGAGAAAGCCTGCTTTCCAAGAAAAAAAAAAAAAAGAAAAAAGCAGAATTGTAGATTCTGCTTCTGATTTGAGATCTGGGATAGTACCTATAGAAGTGGTGAAATAAGTGGGTTTGCAATTAAACTTAATTGGTTTTACTCTTGATTCTGCCACTTACTGGCTATTTGATCTTGAACAAGTTGTTTCAACTTCCTAAGCATTAATTTTCTTCATCTGTAAACCTGATAAATAATGATGCCTACGTATAAGGTTGCTATGTGGGTTAAGTAAGGTAATGCAACTAAATGGTCCAGTATAATGCACATACAAAAGCTCAGAAGTAATGCAATTAAGGTGTTTAGTATTAATATGTAAAGCATTTAGTGTTAACAGGAAAAATATTTAGTATGATGCACATCATAAATTGAAAAGCTAATAGAATCAAGTAGCTACAATTTATGTATTATTATGTTTTTGTTTACTTAAATGTATATATGCTTTTCTTGGCTCACTGCAACCTCTGCCTCCTGGGTTCAAGCAATTCTCCAGCCTCAGCCTCACAAGTAGCTGGAATTATAGGCACGTGCCACCACACCTGGCTAATTTTTTGTATTCTTAGTGGAGATGGGGTTTCAACATGTTGACCAGGCTGGTCTTGAACTCCTGACTTCAGGTGATCTTCCTGCCTTGGCCTCCCAAAGTGTGGGGATTACAGGCATGAGCCACCGGTGCCTGGCCATGTTTTTCTCAATTAATCTTTTTCTTCTAGGTATGTGTTGCAGGTTGGATTCTGTGAAAGCCAACTCTGAGAAAGAGATTAAAATGCTAGGAGTTTATTAGGAAGTGCAGTTGGAGTCAGCACCTGTAGAAGAAAGAGATAGAGATAGGACTGGGAGGTGAGAGAAACTCTTGCAGGCATCAGTCTCAACAAGGTTTCAACCAATTACATGGGAGCTCTGGAGCTGTTAATAGATGGCCCTTCAGTGGCCTTTTGTTGCTGGGAGGAGCCCGGGTGTCCATACTTTTATATCAACCAGGCATTGGATGTAGGCTTCTTCAGGAAGGAGGTATGACCTTGAGCAATGCAGGGCTCTTCAACTAAGGGCAATTTTCTGAGATTTCCTGAAACATATAGTTGAGCATTATCTTCCAGGAGCACTCCTCGCAGATGGGAGCACAGGTTCTTCTGACCTGCAGGGGAATCTAAGCAGCCAAATACAACAATTACATACTTCCTCTTAAGTTATCTTTTCTGGAGTCTGTTCAGAAGCTAAATTTGCTTTTTTGTTTTATATTTAATAACTATCAATGGCTGTTATTTTGAAGTCAATTAATAAAAGGAAAGTTTGCTAGTAGGAGATGTCACAGAATTCATGAAAGCCCTTTGACAATTTGCTACGCCTCTTGTATGTACTGGGATTGGATATAGTGATATGCACTATATCCAACAGGGGATATTTCCTTCCTTCCTTCCTTCCTTCCTTCCTTCCTTCCTTCCTTCCTTCCTTCCTTCCTTCCTTCCTTCCTCTCTCTCTTTCTTTCTTTCTTTTTCTTTCTTTCTTTCTTTTTCTTTCTTTCTTTCTTTTTCTTTCATCTTTCTTTCTCTTTCTTTATTCTTTCTCATATTAGGCATCTAAAGCTCTTGGTATTGACAGATAAGCAAGATTCAACTAAAATGGAACTTCTAAAGTAAATAGTAAACTTGGGGGTAAGTAAATAATTAATTTTTAAAAAGGAACTATCATTATTTAGCCCAGAGAAGAAACTTTTTGTATGGTTGGAGGACAGAGATGTGCCATCCTCTTTATGTGCAGAAAGGATAAGTTGTTTGATTTTTGTTTAATAACAGGTGGAACTTTAGTAAGAATAAGGTAGGTGGTGTGTGCCTACAGCAAAATAATGGAACAAACCAGAAACCCAGCTGTTTGATTTGAATTTATTTGGTTACAGTGTTTTGGTAACATAAAGAGAAAAAGGGAATTTATTAGAAAGATACCTGTTTAAAACCTATCACCATAATCCAAAAAGGAGTTGGAAAATCAATCACACAGTATCTTTCAAGGTTTCTATAGAATTTTAACTTTCACTCAAGAGAAAAGCCATTAATGCAATTTGGCTGTGACTCAACATAATATTTCTTACTCTCAAATCTGTATTCATCGGGAGAAATTGCAACTGACTCAGATTCAGTAAAGTGTCTATTTCTAGATTAAATAAGGGTAGCAGGTGGGCGGGATCATGTTAAGCTCATGGAGCAGCTTTCTTGTGGGCAATGGAAGGCTCTGTCGTAGCGATCAATTCTTCTGTTTACTACTACTCGGCAAATAGGGACACTATTTTACTTAGTGTACATAGGCAAATATCAAGGGTGTGTGTGTGTGTGTGTGTGTTGTAAAATGGAAGTAACTAAAAGGAAAACATTTTAGATATATGTTATTATAAAATAAGATAAATTCCCATGCATTTGGGATGATTTAAACATGTTTCTTTATAAAATCAAGAAGATTAGCTGATTTATATGATTTGCTTCAATATACTGGGCTTGCAACTGGAGAAGGCCTGCTTTCCAAGAAAAAAATTGTGTGAGTATATATTTATTTATACATATGTGTGTGCACGTATTTCTATACAGTTTTTTAAATATCAGAATAACATTGCTTATCACCTATTCAAGATACAATAAGGCTTAGTATTTTTCATTAGTTTACTTGGGAAAGTATCCATATCCTTCATTATTTTTCTGCCTACTATATTGGTCAAGTAGCTGTGCTATGTTAGTTGAGAATTAATATGGACTTATATTAGAAAAAGAATACCTAAAAATTTGGCAGCTGGCTGACTACCAGTCAATGAGAACCCATCTAAAATATAAATATATTTTTAAAGTAGCTGTTGAACTTTTTGACTTGTAACAAATGTCTGACTATAAACTCTAGCTCAAAAATAAATTCCCAGATTTTAGTAGGCTTTTTAGCTATAGAAAAACTATATGACAGAATTTTTTAATTAGTGAGTCAATTAGACATTGATTAGAACACTGTAGCACCCGTGCAAGTTTTATTATCACCATTCAGGCTTAGCAAGCTTGTATGCTCCTTACATTTTGCAGCAGTTCTCTTTGGTTTAATATTTGGAATTAATTTCTGAAATAGCTTAGACAGGCTGAGCATTCAGCCTGTCGTTTTTCTAAATCTGATAGGATGGAATAATAAGTAGCTGAAATATTCTAGAGCTATATTACAGGCTTCAGTGATCACAAGGGTCTATGATTCATTCTCAAAGCAAAGTTTCTTTTCTAATATGTCTGATGTATTGGTTTTTATTGGCAATTTTCATATCTGAGTTGGTGACCCTGCCATTTGTCTTTATTGTTATTATTCTCTCTTTGTGGCAATGATAAGAAAACTGGTTCAGGCCCTGTGGTTGTTTATGTCTGCAGTCAGTTATTCTTGAGGCTGCTCTCCTCTGCTGGGTTCCTTTCTTGCAATCTTTTTTTTTTCTTTCTTTCTTTTGTGTGGATACCTGATTTCTGAGCAGATGCTCTTTTTAATCTCATCTCATGTTAATTTTAAATACTTATGTATCAAATGTTTCCAGTCAGTAAATCAGGAATCAGTTTCTGTGTTACATTCATGGCACTCATTAAATTGTGATCTCATGATTAACATGCTTGTCTCCTTTAAGGGATTGTTAGCCAAGAATTGTGTTTTTGTCATCTCTAGAACCAGAGTCTAAGCACAGAACTGAACACACTCTAAACACTCAGGAGCTTTTGATTGAAGGAGTAAACAATAACAGAACACCAGTGCAGAACTGGAAACTTAATGGGTGGGAAGTAAATAAATTAAAGGAAACAAATAATGAATTGGCACTTACATATTGTTGGTTTGGAAAAATCCATAGAAAAGATAAATATTGTTTTGGGTTATTGAAGTTGCCTGCTTATTATCTGTATTCTTAAATGGATGTTCCATTATGAACACATAGAACAATTACAGTCAGCAAAGGTCAGCCTTCCTTTCTTTTTAGTACTTCAAGAATGTCTATCCACATACATGTTCGACCTAGCATTTTATGCTCTTTCCCATGGTTCTTTCTATTCTTCTGACTCTGTACTCAACTCTATACCTTATTCAAGCCTATATCCTTCTTTTAGTGATTATTTTAATATCTTTTTTCAGCTTCCTGAATTTGCTTCTCATTCTACTCCCACCCTATTCTAGCTTATCTTACATTTTCTTCCCATTCTTTTGGTTTCAGTAAATGTGCAACTCATTTGTAAATTTGGGGAGATATCTCTGAAGACGGTATGTAATTAAATTATGCTATTATAGCTTGGGGCCTAGATTCCTGTGAAATAAACTCAGTATGTGGATCTTTTCCAGAACCCCAGTATATGTGATCTATGTTAATTAGCTGTGTTCAGCCTCCCATATTTTGTGCCAATCCTATAAAATCTAAGTTTTCGGGGTTACAGGAAGGATCAAAAAAGATGATGAATATAGAAACATATTTTCAGTCAAATCTCATCAGTTTACGTATACATTTTGTAACAACTAATGAAAAAGATCTTACATGACTTCCTAGACAGAGATGAATACTTATGAGGATGAGTGTTAAAGTCAGAGTGCCTGCGAGCATCTCTCAGCTATGCTTTTTGCTTGCTGGCCCGGAGTCTAAGTAAGGTGTTTAAGTTCTCTATATCTCAGTTGCTTCATAGAATTATGGGATCAAATATGTAAACACATGTAAATTTCTTTGCTACTACACAGCAAGTACTCGGTTAAATGTGAGCATTTACCATTACTATTTTTCTTTTTATTGTTACAAAATATTATTGATATATTCATTTTCTATTCTCTTTGTGCTTAAGCAAATTTTGTAGCCAACTGTAATCACACTTGCAAGATATACTTCTATCTCCAAAAGAAAAATCCTAAGCTACAACTTAACAATTGTGCTCTCATATTCTTGGATGAATATTAATGTTTTTAAAATGAGAGGTCTTCAAAAGCAATCAGAGATATCCAGTGATTAATGGAGGTTGCCTTCTTTTCCAAACTGCTTTGAAAATTCACCTGTTGAAACCTGTTTTTCTGTTCTGTGGCCATAATCAGAACTTTTAGCAGCTCTAAAATACTCTGTTTTACTTTATCTCTACTTTCTCCTAATATAGCTCAATCCTATACCATCATAACTGACAGCTCCACAACAGTGGTAGAGCCCATTCATTCCAAGGAGGACTCAGATGCTAGTGATCTTCATCCTGTCTGCCACTTGTGAGGATGAAAACTGGAGTCTGCTGAGTCTGCTTTCTAGATATGAGTAGACCGAATGAAGACATCCTGGCACTGGTGAATTTTATTTCTTTATTTTCATCTTCTTTTCAGCACCCATTCCATTCTTTCCCATGCTGTATCAGCTTTGATTAGGGTGATATTAGTTTCACTTCTGTCACAAAAGGTAGGCTCCCTGTTGTTTAAATCAATAAGGGCTATCCTATCTCTCTTTCCACAATATTTCACGTAGCTTAAGTCTTGACCAGTCATAACATGACACTCCCCTGAACACAGGGACCTGTTCACAGTGTTTCAATTAGTAGGAAAGTCAGATATTTATTTGATGTCCTCTGTGCTGCTGGATGGGAATGTACCATGTTGCCCAACTGCTGGCAGCCATATTAGCACTTACAGGGAAGCCAGATGTAGCGTGAAGCCAGATTTTTGTATGGCACAACAGAGAGTCTGAAAGAAATTGAGTCCTTGATGACATTACTGAACCACTGTAACTTCAAGTTACAGGAGCCAATGATTCCCCTTTATTGTTTAAGCCACTTGGAATAGAGGTGTACTTTATAATCCAAGCAATCAAACTGATGTGCTTTCATTGAGTGATTTGTGAATAAACTCTTCACTCAAGATCACAGCACAGTCACTGTCCTTTAAATTAAAAAACTAAATAACTGTGGAATCCCCCCTATGGAAAATATTCTCATACCTGAGAATGTAGAAGTTATTTTACTAAGGTAAAAGCTAACTGGCACAATTTAGCTTAGGCAGCTGGCCAATGATTGTACAGAATATTCCTTGATTGAGGTCCAGAGATGTCCAGTGGCAGGCCCAAACTGCTCTGAGATTAGCGAGGCATAGTACATCAAGACAACCTTGTGGTATACAACCAGTCAGGTAAGTTTCCTCCAAACACAAAGGCTTTGCAACTCCACCACATTCACAGGACTCAAGTTTGTTTCAGAGACCTAAATCTGGTTCCCAAGGACTTTTTGTGTCACATAAAAGCCAGAGATAGTAAAATATCTGTGCTCAAGGCCCTCTGCTGGCTTCCTATTATGCTCAAAGAAAGCAATAGATTCTTGCAAGTGATGGAAATGTTACCCAATCTGATCCTCACTTATACCTGTAAATTCATTTCCTAGCACTCTCTCCTTCATTTAGGTCTAGTCTCAATGGCCACCTCACTTTCCTACCAACATGCCATATGTATTCCTGCCACATACCCTTTTGTACTGGCTACTCCTCTGTCTTAGAAGGCCCTTCCTGCCAATATCTGCATGGCTCTCTTAACTTTCTTCTAAGAACATTTTCACAGTGAATCTTTCATTGCATGATTTTTCAAAAGTATCAAATGCTTCTTTTATGATGTTCTTTGCTCCCCCACCATACCTACACAACCTTCCTTATCCATGCTTCTGATTTATTTTCTTCTTAGTCTTTAGCACCTAACATAGAAGTTTTAAAATTAATTATCTTGTTTACTATCTATTTCCCCATTAAAGTGTGATTTTCATATGCACAAAGGAATAATTGGTATTGGAGTTACCCTACCTTACTCACAATTATAAAACTGAAGAATATATTTATGAACAATGAGCTTCAGGCATTGGATACGGGGCAGCACAGGATTGTGAAAGAAAGCAAACATAGAAAGGAAGTGTGTAGTATTTTCCTCACTTTTTTTTTTTTTTCTGCAGGGCCTTTTCCTGAACAGTCCAGGAGGTAGGAGCCCTCAAATGAATAGAGGAGTTAGGGAATGCTGAGGCAGCTGAGAATGCAGGGCACAGTCCTAGAGAAAAGAGAGCCATGTATAACAGATAAAGAAGCCAGAAAAATAAAAAGAAAGTATGAATCATTATGTACAATGGCACAACTATAAGAATTGATGGCTGAATTTTTTAACAGATACAGTAGAAATCAGAAGACAAGAAAACCTCATCATTAAATGGCAAAAAAAATTAAAAGTCAGCCAAAAATTCTGTATCCCATGAAGATGTCCTTCATTAATGAGGTTCAAGTAATAATATTTCAATTAAAGAAACCAACAGATAAAGAATGTACATTTTGTATATGTATTGTCTTACATAAAATCAAAACTGAGATAGTTTATATGTTTAGCCTCAATATATAACACTCAGTAAGTCTCAATATATTTCAAAATAAATGTTTAAAGTTTTGTTTTAAATTGACATGATAATTGCATATATTTATGGGGTACAGTGTGATGCTTTGATACCTATTGTAATAATCAAATCAGGGAAGTTAGCATATTCATCACCTCAAACACATGTCCTTTCTTTGTGGTGAGGACGTGCCAAATCCTCGCTTTCAGCCATTTGGCAATATATGATACATTATTGTTAACTGCCGTCATCCTGCTGTGCAATAGAACAAGAACTTATTTCTCCTATCTTACTATAACTGTATGCCTGTTGACTAACCCGTCCCTTTAACAGTCCTTTCTCCCTCACCTCCCCTGCCTGTAGCAATTACTATTCTCCTTCTAAAAATCAATTTTTTAAAAATTTCCAGTAGGAGTGAGATCATGCAGTATTTGTCCTTCTGTGCTTGGCTTAATTCACTTAACATTGTCTATAAGTTTCATCCATGTTGTCACAAATGACAGGTTTTCATTTCTTTTTATGGCTGAATAGTATTCCATTGTGTATATGTGCCACATTTTAAAAATCCATTCATCTATTGATGAACACTTAGGTGTTGATTCCATGTCTAAGCTGTTGTGAATAGCGCTGCAGTAAACCTGAGAGTGGAGATATTTCTTTGGCATATTGATTTTATTTTCTTTGATATATACCCAGTAGTAGTATTGTTGGATCATATGGTAGTCCCATGTTATTTTACTTTTTAAAGGAACTTCCCTACTGTTATCCATAATGGCTGTACTAATTTACATTCCTGCCAGCAATGTATAAGATTTCCCCTTTCTTCACATCCTCATCAGCATTTCAATGGATTAAAGACTTAAATGTAAGACTCAAAATATTAAAACTATTAGAAGAAAATGTAGGGTGAATGCTTCATGACATTGATTTGGGCAAAGATTTTTTGAATAAGACCTCAAAAACACAATCAAAGTAAAAATAGACAAGTGAGATTACATCAAACGAAAAAGCTTCTGCAGAGCAAAGAAAACAATCAACAGAGCGAAGAGACTACCTACAAAATGAAAGAAAATATGCACAAACTGAATCTGACAATGCGTTAGTATTCAGAATATGTAAGGAACTCAAAAAAATCAATAGCCAAACAACAGATATTTGATTTAAAAATGAGCAAAATATATGATTAGACATTTCTCAAAAGAAGACATACAAATGGCTAATATGTGCATGAAAAATACTCAACATCCCGAATCATTGTGGAAATGCAAATCAAAACCACAGCGAGTTACCACCTCACCTCATTTGGAATAGCTATTACAAAAAAAAAAAAAAAAAAAAAAAAAAAAAAAAAAACCAACGTTATAGAATATGTTTTGAGCACCATGGAATTAATTAAAAATCAAGTAATTGAGATATCTAGAAAATCCCCAAATATCTGGAAATTTAAAAAATACATTTTTTTGTTTTTTGTTTTTGTTTTTGTTTTTTTTTTTAAATTTTTATTTAGGTTTGGGGGTACATGTGAACGTTTGTTATATAGTAAACTCATGTCACAGGGGTTTGTTGTACAGAGATTATTTGATCACCCAGGTATTAAGCCTAGTATCCAATAGTTATTTTTTCTGCTCCCCTTCCTCCTCGCAAGTAGATCCCAGTGTCTGTTATTTCCTTCTCTGTGTTGATGAGTTATCATCCTTTAGCACCCACTTATAAGAGAGAACATGTGGTATTTGGTTTTCAGTTTCTGTATTAGTTTGCTAAGGAAAATAGCCTCCAGCTCCATCCATGTTTCCACGAAAGACATGATCTTTTTTTTTTTTTTTATGGCTGCGTAGCATTTCATAGTGAATACATACCACATTTTCTTCATTCACTCTACTATTGATAGGGATTTACGTTGATTCCATGTCTTGCTATTGTTACTCATGCTGCAGCAAACATTCGTGTGTTTGTCTTTATGGTAGAATTATTTATATTCTTCTGAGTATATACCCAGTAATGGGATTGCTGGGTGAAATGGTAGTTCTGCTTTTAGGTCTTTAAGGAATAATCATACTGCTTTCTACAATGGTTGAACTAATTTACACTCTCACCAACAGTGAGAGTGAAAATGTTCCCTTTTCTCCAAAATCTTTCAGGTATCTGTTATTTTTTCAATTTTTTAGTAATAGCCATTCTGAGTGGTATGAGATGGTATATCATTGTGGTTTTGATTTGCATTTCTCTAATCATCAGTGATATTGAGCTTTTTTTCCATATGCTTGTTGGCTGCATGTATGTCTTCTTTTGAGAAGTGTCTGTGCATGTACTTTGCCCACTTTTTAATGGGGTTGTTTGTTTTTCTCTTGTAAATTTGTTTTGGTTCCTTATAGATGTTGAATATTAGACCTTTTTTAGGTATTTGCAAAAATTTTATCCCATTCTGTAGGTTGTCTGTTTATTCTGTTGATAATTCCTTTTGCTGTGCAGAAGCTCTAATTAGAAGTTTAATTAGATCTCATTTGTCAATTTTTTTGCTTTTGTTGTGATTGCTTTTGGTATTTTTTGTCATAAAATCTTTGCCCGTTGCTATGTCCAGGAAGGTATTACCTTGGCTGTCTTTCAGGATTTTATAGTTTTGGGTTTTACATTTGAGTCTTTACACCATCTTGACTTGATTTTTGTATATGGTGTAAGGAACAGGTCCAGCTTCAATCTTCAGCATATGGCTAGCCAATTATCCCAACAACATTTATTGAATTGGGAGTTTTCTCCCCATTGCTTGTTTTTGTCAGCTCCGTCGAAGATCAGATGGTCATAGATACATGGTCCTATTTCTGCACTCTTTATTCTGTTCCATTGATCTAGGTGTCTGTTTTTGTACCAGTACTATGCTGTATTGGTTACTGTATCTCTGTAGTATAGCGTGAAGTCAGGTAGCATGATGCCTCCAGCTTTGTTCTTTTTGATTAGGAATGCTTTGGTTATTCTGGCTCTTTTTTGGTTCCATGTGAATTTTAAAATAGTTTATTTTATTTTTTATTATTTTATTTAGTTCTGTGAAGAATACCATTGGTAGTTTGATAGAGTCACACTGAATCTGTAAATTGCTTTAGTCAATATGGCCATTTTAATCATATTGATTCTATCCATGAGCATGGGATGTTTTTCCATTTGCTTGTGTCTTCCCTAATTTCTTTGAGCAGTATTTTGTAATTCTCACTGTAGAGATCTTTCACCTCCCTGGTTAACTGTATTCTATTTTATTCTTTTTGTGGCAATTGTAATGGGATTGTGTTGCTGATTTGGCTCTCAGCTTGGCTGTTGTTGATGTATACAAATTCTAATGATTTTCATACACTGATTTTTGTATCCTGAAACTTTGCTGAAGATTTTTATCAGCTGAAGGAACTTTTGAGGTTAAGACTATGGGGTTTTCTAGATATAGAATCATGTCTGCAAACAGAGATAGTTTGACTTCCTTTCTATTTGGATGCCCTTTATTTTTTTTATTGCCTGATTGCTCTGGCTAGGACTTCCAATATTATGTTGAATAGGAGTAGTGAGAGAGGGCATCCTTGTCTTGTGCCAGTTTTCAAGGTGAATGTGTTCAGCTTTTGCCCATTCGGTAAGATGTTGGCTGTGGGTTTGTCATAGATGGATCTTATTATTTTGAGGTATGGTCCTTCAATACCTAGTTTATTGAGAGTTTTTAACATGAATTGGTTTTAAATTTGATCAGAAGTCTTTCCTGCATTTATTGAGAGAATCGTGTGGTTTTTGTCTTTAGTTTTGTTTATGTGATGAATCACATTTATTGATTTGCATATTTTTAATCAACCTTGCATCCTGGAGATGAAGCCTACTTAATTGTGGTAGATTAATTTTTTAGTGTTGCCGGATTCACTTATCAAGTAGTTTGTTGAAGATTTTTGAATCCATGTTCTTCAAGGATACTGGTGTGAAATTGTCTTTTCTTCTTATATCTCTGCCAGGTTTTGGTACCAGGATGATGCCAGCCTTGCGAAATGAATTGGGGAGGAATCTCTCCTCAATTTTTTGGAATAGTGTCTGTAGGAATGGTACCAGCTCTTCTTTGTACATCTCGTAGAATTAGCCTGTGAAGCCATCAGGTCCTGGGCTTGTTTTGGTTGGTAGGTTATTACTGATTCAATTTCAGAGCTCATTGTTGGTCTGTTCAGGGAATCAGTTCCCCCCTGGTTCAGTCTTGGGAGGTCATATGTGTCCAGGAATTTATCAATCTCTTATAGGTTTTCTAGTTTGTGTGCATAGAGGTAGGTGTTCATAGTAGTTTCTGATGGTTGTTTGTATTTCTGGGAGTTCAATGGTAACATCCCCTGCATCATTTCTAACTGTGTTTATTTGCATTTTCTCTCTATTCTTCATCATTCATCTGTTTAGCAGCCTATTTTATTTTTTTTTTTCAAAAAAAAAAAAACTTCTATATTTGTTGATCTTTTAAATGGTTTTTTAATGTCTCAATTTACTTCAGTTCAGCTCTGATTTGGGTTATTTTTTGTCTTCTGTTAGCTTTAGGCTTGATTTGTTCTTCTCTAATTCTTTCCATTGTGATGTTACGTTGTTAATGTGAGATCTTTCTAACTTTATGAAGCAGGTATTTAATGCTATGAATTTTCCTCTTAACGCTGCCTTAGCTCTGTGTCACAGAGATTCTGATATGCTATATCTTTGTTCTCATTAGTTTCAAAGAACCTCTTGATTTCTTCTTTAACTTCATTATTTACCCAAAAGTCATTCAAGAGTATGTTGTTTAATTTCCATGTAATCGCATGGTTTTGAGCACTGTTCTTAGCTTTGACTTTTATTTTTATTGTGCTGTGGTTTGAGAGTGTGTTTGGTATGATTTCAGGGCTTTTTTTTGCATTTGCTGAGGATAGTTTTATGTCCAATTATGTGACCAATTTTAAAGCATGTGCCATATGGCAATGAGAAGAATGTATAGTCTGTTGGTTTGCAGTAGAAAGTTCTGTAGAGGTCTGCCCGATCCATTTGGTCCAATGTTGACTTCAGTTCCTGAATATCTTTATTTTCTGCCCCTACTATCTGTCTAATACTGTCAGTGAAGTGTTGGAGTCTTGCACTATTATTGTGTGACAATCTGTGTCTCTTTGCAGGTTATCTAAGAACTTGTTTTATCACTCTGGGTGCTCCTGTGTTGGGTGCATACATATTTAGGATAGTTAGGTCTTCTTGTTGAATTGAACCTTTTACCATTATGTAATGCCCTTGTTTGTCTTTTTTTTTTAATCTTTATTGGTTTAATATCTGTTTTGTCTGACATTAAGATTGCAATCCCTGTGTTTTTCTGTTTCCCATTTGCTTGGTAGATTTTCCTCCATCCTTTTATTTTGAGCCTCTGGGTGTCATTACATGTGAGATGGGTCCCCTGAAGACACAATAACAAAAGTTCTTGATTTTTCATCCCGCTTGCCACGCTATGCCTTTTAAGTTATGCTGGCTTGTTTGCACGGTTGCATTGTAGTGTCACTAGTATGTATAATTAACTGTGCTTTTGTATTAGCTGGTAGTGATCTTTCTATATTTACTTCTTCTTTCAAGATCTCTTGTAAGGCAGGTCTGGTCATAACAAACTCTCTCAACATTTGCTGATCTGAAAAGAATCTTATTTCCCCTTTGCATAGAAATCTTAGTTTGGTTGGATATGAAATTCTTTGTTGAAGATTTTTTTCTTTAAGAATGTTGAATATAGGTCCTCAATCTTTTCTGGCTTCCCGGGTTTCACCTGAGAGGTCCACTATTAGCCTGATGGGCTTCCCCTTGTAGGTGGCCTACCCTTTCTATCTGCCTTTCACTTTCTTTCATTTTGACTTTGGAATTTCTGATGATTATGTGTCTTACAAAGAATCTTCTTGTGTAGAATCTTGTAGGCGTTCTCTGCATTTCTTGAATTTGACTGTTGGCTTCTCTAGCAAGGTTTGATAAATTTTCATGGACAATATCCTATATCCTGGATTTCCTGTATTGATAACTGATATCATACACAAAACATTGAAATATGTTCTCCAAGTTGTTTGCTTTCTTCCCCTCCTTTTCAGCAATGCCAGTGATTCACATAGATTTGGCCTCTTTACATAATCCCATATTTCTCAGAGGTTTTATTCATTCCTTATTATTAGTTTCCTTTATTTTTGTCTGACTGTCTTATTTCAGACTGCCATTATTCATGTTCTGAGATTATTTCCTTTGCTTGGTCTATTCTGCTGTTAATACTTGTGATTACACTGTGAAATTCTTGCATTGTGTTATTCAGCTCTGTCAGATCTATTAGGTTCTTTTTTTTATACCGGCTATTTCATCCTTAAGCTCCTATATCATTTTATTGTGAAAAATTTGAAATGTTTCATGAATTTGTATGCCATCATTTCACAGGGGTCATGCTAATGCTCTCTGTATCAGTGCAGTTTTAGTATATGTGCTGCCCCAGTGGGCAGTAAACAACATACTTCTAAATAACTCCTGAGTCAAATAAGAATTCACAAGAGAAAATAGAAAACATTTCTAAAAACGGTAAAACAAAGTATCAAAATTTGTGTGATGTATCTAAAGCAGGGTTTAAAAAGAAATTCATAATTTCAAATCTATATAATTTAAAAATAAAAAGGTCAAAAATTAGTAATCTACAATTCCATTTGAGAAGCTAAGAAAAAAAGGGGAAATTAAATACAAATTAAGTAGAAGAATGCATACATTAAGGATAAGATCAGAAATCAACAACATAGAAAAAGTAGAGAGAAATAACAAAGCCTACAGTTGATTATGTAAAAAAATTAATAATGCTGACAAATCTTATCATCAGCAAGATTAAGACAAAAAAGACAAAACACAAACTACCAATAACTAGAATAAAAAACAGAATATCACTAAAGTTCCTATGGATATAAAAAATGATAAAGAAATATAAATAACTCAATGCCAATAGGTTTGACAATTATACAAAGGCGATTCTTTGGAAAATACAAATTAGTGAAACTGACAAAAAAAAACTACATGTGTAATCTATTAAAAAGGAATTAAATGTTATTAAAATATTTTCACAGGAAGACTAGAGATCCTGCTGATTTTGAGAAGGCATTCTACTAAGCATTTTAGGATGCAAGAATATCAATTCAATAAAAACTTCCAGATAATGGAGAAGCTAACACTTTTCTTCTGATTTTAAAAAGCTGAGATAATCATGATGCCAAAAGATCTCTCAAATTAAAGACTAATAGCCCAAATGAAAAGATGTATAAATCTTATCACAAAATATTAACGAGTTGTAACCAGCAAAAAATAAATATGTATACATCATGACTCTGTGGGTTGATTCCTACTCAAATCATGAATGCAATTCATCACATTAAAAATAGAAAAAAAAATCAACTTTTCTTGTAAACTTTTCAATTTATGCAAAATAATCATTTAACACAATTCAGTATATAGAATAGGAATACTCAGCAAAATAGACAAAATGGGCATCTCTAATAAGAGGCATCTGAGAAAAACCTTGAGCTAGCACCATACTTAAATGGTCAAACGTTAGACATTTTAAGGAATAAAAAGTTCATCCATGATATTTTTTCTGATTTTTTATATCTTTATGTATAAAATTTCTATAAATAAAATTCACATATTTTAAGTGCAGGATTTAATTATTTCTGGTAAATGAATGGAATAATATGAGAACCATCACAATCAAGTTTTAGTACACCTCCATCACCTCAAAGAAATTTCTCATGCTCCTTTGCATTACATCTGTGCTCCAATCCCCCAACACCCATTGACTGCTAACTTTCTTTTACTGTTTCCCCTTTTTCTAGGATTTCATATAATCATACGGTATGTACTCTTGTGTATGGCTTCATTCACTTGGTGTGCTATTTTTGAGATTCATTCATGGTGGATGCTATTTGTATCAGTAGTTGATTTCTTATTATTGCTGAATAGCATTCCAATGTATAGGTATACTACATTTTCTTTACTCATTAGCCAGATGAAGGATATTTGAATGGTTTACAGTTTATAGCTATGTTAGATAATACTTTTAAGACATTCAAATACACATCTGTGTTTGACATCTGTTTTCATTTTTCTTAGCAGGTAACTAAAATGGGAGGTGCTTGGTCAGTGGTGTACCTTTTTAAGAAGTTATAAATCACTTTTAAAGTGCCTGTACCATTTTGCATTCCCACCAGCCAATATATGAAGATTCTAGTTTCTCTACATATTCATGGTATTATCAGTTTTCTTCATTTTTAGTTATTTTAGGGAATGTGTAATAAAATCTCATTGTGGTTATAGTTGCCATTTTCCTAATGATTGATGATGTAGACCTCTTTTTTATGTGTGTTGGTCATTCATATATCTTCTTTTGGGAAGTGTTTCTTTAAATATTTGACCATTATTTATTGAGCCATTTTTCTTATTGTTAAGTTGTAAGCATTCTTTCTTTATACTGGATGCAATATATTGTTAGATGTATGCTTTGCAAATATTTTAAACCATTCTGTGGCTGCTTTTTCATTATCTTATATCTTTTTGTAAGTGACAGTTATTTCTTCTAAAATCTCATTTTTAAATTGTTTTTATGATTTTTGCATAAAAGAAATATATTAAATTATTTAAAAATGTATGTAAAATAAAAAGGAATTTAAAGAGTTTAAATATACATTTTAGAATAATTGTGTTAATTTCCACAAAACAATGCCAGGAATTTTACTGGTATTGTGTCAAATCTCTACATCACTTTGGGAAATCTGACATTTTATCTATATTGAGTCTTCAAATTCATGATCATGGTGTATTGCTCCATTTATTTAAGTCTTCTGTAATGATCTCAGCTATATTTTATGATTTTTAGTGTGCAAGTCTTGAATATATTTTCTTAAACTTATTATTATTTCCATTTTTTCTGAAGCTATTTTCAATAAAATCAATTTAATTTTCTAATTTAATTTTCAGATTGTTGTTGCTGATAGAAATAACACTGATGTTTATATTGATCTTGTTAAAATCATGTATTAATTTCCATAGCTATATGCATGATTATGTTCTACATCCTCTACTCAAATATGAGTGAATATTTTTTTTATCTGTTCTTATTACACTGTCTAGAATGTCCAATATTGTTAAGTGGAATTGGTGTAAGCAGACAACTTTGCTTTTTCAGAAGGGAAGACAGTAGAGGGCATCAGTCTTACCATTAAGTAAAATGACAGCTTAGGTTTTTAATATGTCCTTTGTCAGGATGAAGAGGGTGATTTCTATTGTTTTTAAGAGTTTCCATGCTAAATACGTGAATTTGTCAAACGTTTTTGTGTCTATTGATATTATCTAATATTTAATTTATTCAGTTTACATAGTGTATTATATTGCTTTTCAGATTTTAAACCAAGCTTGCATATACTTGGTAATACTTTAATTCTTGCTGAGTTAGATTTACTGACATTTTGTTACAGATTTTCACATCTTTGAGAGTCTGTGATATTGTTTCATAGTTATTTTGTTATTTTTTGCTTGTTCTATTGTTGTGTGATGTCTTTTTCTGCCTTTGGTGACAAAGTGGTACTGACCTAACAAAATTAGTCAGAAAGTAATCTTTTCTCCTCTATTTTGTAAAAAAGGGTGTCCAGGTTTGACATTAGTACTTTCATCATAGTTTTATAAAATTCAACAATGAAGTCACCAGGCCTAGACTTTTCTTTCAGGGAAGGTTTTTAATTAGTAATGAAATATTTTACTTGATATACAGACATTTACATTTTTCTGTTGTTTTTTGAATCAGTTTGGTAAAATAATTCAATGCCCACTAAGGTAATTACATGTGTTTTAAACATAAAAGAATTATATATATAATAGATATATGAGTATATATATATATATACACCTATATGTACACCTATATATGTATACCTATACCTATATATATATACATATGTATACCTATACCTATATATATATACATATGTATACCTATATATATATATACCTATATTCATATATGAATATAGGTATATATGAATAATACATGTTTTAAAAATTGTACCCCCATATTTGCCATTTCCAGTACTTTTAGTTTCTTCCTCTATATATGAATTACCATCTAATGTGATCTTTTTCACACTGAAGTTCATTTAGTTTTTTATTAAGTAGAATTATACCACCAATGAATTATATCAGTATTTTTTTTATTTGAAGTGTCTTTATTCCATTACTACTTGTAAAAAAAGAGTTCTGCTAAATATGGGATTTTTTACTGACAGCTTTTATGTTTTTGTTTGTTTCCTCACTTTTTAGCAACCTGAATAAGTCATTGCAAGGTTTTCTGGCTTCTGTCATTTCTGATAAGAAGTTAACTGTTAATCATATCATTGTTTCCTGCAACTGAGGTTTAATTTTTCTTTTCCTTTGACCAAGCTTTTCATTTTTATGTTAGTATGTCTAGCTCTGTGGTTTTTTTTCTTCTTCTTGTTTTTGGTGTGTTTATCATATTTCAGGTTGGATAAGTTTCTTGGGATCAGTATGGTTTTCGGTTTGTATTTTTAATTAAACTTCTTTTCAAATGATTTTCTGCCTTCTGCCTGCCCCATCTTTTTCTGGAAAGCTATAAAATGTGTGCTAAAATATCTGATATTTTCCCACACATCTATGACTTAATTTTAAGTCAATTCTTTTTCTTTTTATAATTTGAAATGAATATCTACTGATCTATTTTAATCAATTACTCATTTATTTTGCCTTATCAATTCTGCTTTTGAGTCATTTAGTGAAATTTTCATTTCAATTATTGTATATTTTTATCTCAGAATTTAAAAAAATGTTGATACACAATGAGTATATGTATTTATGAGTTACATGTGTTATATTGATGCATGTATAAAATATGTAATGATCAAATCAGGGTAATTGAGATATTCACTGCCTCCAACATTTGTTATTTCTTTGTGATGTGAACACTTCAATTCTTCTAGCTATTTTGAAATATACAATAAATTATTGTTAGCTATAGTCATCCTACTGTGCTACTGAACACTAAAATTTATTACCTCTATCTAATTCTGTTTTTTACTCATTAACCAACCTCTTTTCATCCCTCTCCTCCCTAAAACTTTCCCAGCCTCTGGTAATCATCATTATATTCTCTACTTCCATGAAATCAACTCTTTAGCTCCTACATATCAATGATAACATGTGAAATTTGTCATTTTATGCCTGGCTTATTTCACTTAACATGATGACTCCCAGTTCCATCCATGTTGCTGCAAATGACAGAATTTCATTCTTTTTTGTGGTTGAATTATATTCCATGTATAATATATTCACTTTATTCATTTTTCTGTTAATGGGCACTTATGTTAATTTCATGTCTTTGTTATTGTGAAAAGTGTTACTATAAACATCAAAATGCAGATATCTGTTTAACATACTGATTTTTTATTTGTGTGTGTATATATATATATATACACTTGAGATATAAATATTTGTGTGTGTATATATATACACACACACAATTGTATATATACACACACATTTGTGTATATATACACACGCATTTGAGATATATACATATATATGGCAGCGTGAGTTCTGGTTCAACATGGCAGGTATATTTTTAATTTTTTAATGAAAACTCCACACTTCTTTCTATAGTGGCTGTATTAATTTTCATTTCCACCAACTGTGTATCTGAGTTCTCCTTTCTCCATAAACTCATAAGCATCTGGTTTTTTTTGTCTTTTTGATAATAGTCATTTTACTATCTCATTTGATATCTTTACTATCCTTTGATATCTCATTGTGATTTTGATTTGTTGATTTTATAGTTTTGTAGTATAGATTTGCATTTTGCTGATGGTTAATTATGTTAAGAATTCTTTCAAGTGCCTGTTAGCCATTTGCATGTCTTCTTTTGATAAATATCTATTCAGATACTCTGTCCATTTTTTAAAACAGATTATGTGGGGTTTTTTTCTGTTGAGTTGTTTGATTTTTTAAAATACATTTTGGTCATTAATCTATTGTCAAATAAATCTTTTCTTTCATTCTGTAGGCTGTATCTTTATTCCATTCACTGTTTCTTTGTTATTCAGAATATTTTTGGCATGATGAAATTCAGAAGTTTCTGATGAAGTTCAGAAATATTTTGGCATGATGAAATTCTATTTGTCTGTTGTTTGATTTTTGTTGCCTTACTCAAAATATCCTTGTGTAAATCAATGTCCTGAACCATTTCCAATTTTCTTATACTACTTCCAATATTTCCATTATTCCATTCCATTTCCAATATTTCTTCTACATTTCCAATGTTTTATTCTACTATTTTCATAATTCCAGGTCTTACATTTAAGGCTTACATAAGTTTTGATGTGATTTTTGTATGTGGTAAGAGATAAGAGTCGTTTCATTCTTCTACATGTGGTTATCCAGCTTTTTTAGCGCCATTTATTGAAGAGGCTATTCTTTCCCCAGTGTATGTTCTTGGCGCTGTTGTCAAATATTAGTTGGTTGTAAGTGTGTGAATTTATTTCTGTGTTCTCTGTTCAGTTCAATTGGGTTATGTGTCTGCTTTTTTGCAAGTATCATGCTGCTTTGGTTACTATAGTTTGTAGTATACCTTGAAATCAGATAATGTGATGCCTCTAGTTTTGTTATTTTTGCTGAAAATTCCTAGGCTATTCAGGGTACTCTGTGACTTCATATAAATTTTAGTATTGCTTTTCTATTTCTGTGAAGCTTGTCACTGGCATTTTCATAGGTATTGCATTCGATCTGTAGCCCACTTTGGGTAGTATGAAACTTATTAACAATATTAATTCTTCCAAACCATGAACATGGGATAGCTCTCCTTTTTTTGTGTTCTTTTCATTTTTTATCAGTATTTAATAGTTTTATTGTATAGATTTTCACTTCTTTTATTACATTTATTCCTAGGTAGTTTTTTTAGTTATCTTTGCAGGTATTTGTAAATTGAATTTCTTTCTTGAATTTTTTTCAGATTAATTGCTGTTGGTGTATACAAATGTTACTGATTTTGTAAGTTGATTTTATAATCGGAAAGTTTACTTTTTAAAAATTATTATTATTATTACTATCATTATTATTATTCTGAGACAGAGTCTAGTTCTGTCACCCAGGCTGGAGTGCAATGGTGCGATCTGCGCTCCGTGATCTCCGACTCCCGGGTTCAAGCGAATCTCCTGCCTCAGCCTCCTGAGTAGCTGGGACTACAGGCGTGCACCACCACGCCCGGCTAATTTTTGTATTTTTAGTAGAGACACGGTTTCACCCCATTTGGTTAGGCTGCTCTGGAACTCCTGACCTCATGATCCGCCCGCCTCGGCCTCCCAGAGTGCTGGGACTACAGGCGTGAGCCATCTCTCCCGGCCTAAAAAATTATTTCTACCAGACTTTGGTGGAATCTTTAGGTTTTTCTAAATATAAGATTAAGTCATAAATATCCCAATGAGTCTAAAAGAATGGATGAATTCTAGCAAGGAGAACTGGCAAGGAGCTACCTGCTCTCTCTACAGGCCTCTGGAATTCAGGAAGGAGGAGACCCCTTTGCCACCAGGGACATAGAGTTGGAAGGGAATATTACTTAGAGGAATGGAAGGGGCAGCAAGGCAGCTGATGTGGAGCCCAGCGGGTTTGGAGCCAGAGCCTCTGTAGTGGACCACAGCCAGGGATGGTGATTCCCCTGGGCTCCCCTGGCTTCCCTTAAGAAACTTTAGCTCTAGAGGAGCTATTGCAACTGAACTCTGGAGGGCAGTCTTGCCCATCAGATGGGGCCAGTCTGACCTGAGGACCCCTTGGTCTGCTGGCCTCTCCGGTGGCCCCAGCCTGGTTACCTGCTTGCAGAGCAGCCTCGGGTGCCCTGGGGGCCTGCATCATAGCTTCTGTGCCAGGGGACCATGCCTGACCAGCAGAGAGCTTCAGCAAGCGGCCCTCACAGCCATGCACCAGCCCACCCACTCCCTCCCTACACAGCAGCTTCCCCCAGCCCACGGCAGCTATCATATAGCTTTGCCGGGGCATGTGCACAGGAGTGGGTTTTGCTTTCTTTGCCCTGCCAGCGCACGTGTGTGAGCACTCTGCCTTGCCACTGCTGCAGTGGGAGTGTAGTCCACTTACCCGCCCCAGCACCACACCATCACACTCAGAGCTTTGGCAGGCACAGAGCCAGCCAGCCCTGTTCCGTTCCTGCCAGTGCCCCTCCCAGCCATGGGAGTGAAACTATGCACAGAGAACAGCGGACCTTCCCCTGCCTTGAGTAACCACCCCTGCCTGTGGCACACAGAAAAAGCACACAGGCCTGCACCCTTCAGTGGCCCGCCTGGTGCCAAAACCATCACCAGCATGACCATGCACGCAGTTCCCAGGAGGGGCCCCCACCCGCCATCTCCCCTAAAGCCACATTGCTTCTGCTGTGGTGAATGCCTCTGTGGAGACAGGGCCCCCCAGCCCCCGCTAGCACCCTGCCACAGCCAAGGAGCACGCACCCTGCCATGCGCAAAGGCTGCTGCTGGCACATGCAAATGAGGAGGAGTCCCGCTGTCACCACACTATAAATGCTTTGGCTGAGACCATCCATTGGAGTGTAGTGACCAGTAGTTCAGGAGCACATCAGCGCCCCTAGTACCGTGGATTCCTAACCTTGAGAAGCCAGAGAACAAAGTCGAGGCACAATACAAGTCCCAGAGTTAGACCACGCAGTTCCAGAAACAAAGCCATTTGACTAAATCCACCTTATACCACAATCAAACCTGTGAGGTCATCAAATAGGAGATATATATATATATATATATATATATATATAGCAAAGGTCAGCAACTGTAAAGATGGAAGGAACACAAGCCCACTAAGATGAGAAAGAATGACCACAAGAACCCTGACAACTCAAAAAGCCAGAATGCCTTCCTTCCTGCAAAAAACTGCATCACCTCTCCAGCAAGGGCTCTGAACCAGGCTGAGATGGCTGAAATGACAGAATTAGAATTCAGAATATGGTTAGGAACAAAGATCATTGAGATGCAGGAGTATGTTGAAAGCCAATCCAAGGACGCTAAAAATCACAATAAAACAATGCAGGAGCTGACAGACAAAATAGCCAGCATAGAAAATAATGCAACCAACCTGATAGAACTGAAGAACAAACTACAAGAGTTTCATAATACAATCACAATTATTAACAGCAGAATACACCACATGAAGGAAAGAATCTCAGAGCTTGAAGACTGGCTTACTGCAATAAGACATCAGACAAGCATACAGAAAAAAGTAATGAAAATGAGTGAACAAAACCTCTGATAAATATGGGATTACGTAGAGAACAAATCTATGACTCACTGATGTACCTGAAAGAGATAGGGAGATTGTAAGCAACTTGGAAAACATATTTTAGAATATCATTCATGAGAACGTCCCCAAACTAGCTAGAGAGGCCAACATTCAAATTCAGGAAATTCAGAGAACACCAGTAAGACAGTTCATAAGAAGATCAATCCCAAGACACATACATCAGATTCTTCAATGTCGCAATGAAAGAAAAAATGTTAAAGGCAGCTAGAAAGAAAGGTCAGGTCACCTACAAAGGGAAGCCCACCTGACTAACAGCAAGTCCCTCAGCAGAAACCCTACAAGCCAGAAAAGATTGGGGCCAATATTCAACATTCTTATTAAAAAGAAATTCCAACCCAAAATTTCATGTCTGGACGAACTAAGCTGCATAAATGAAGGAGAAATAAGATATATTTTAGGTAAGCAAATACTGAGGGAATTCATTACCCCCAGATATGTCTTACAAGAGCTCCTGAGACTTAATTCTAAGACCTCAAAGTATGAAACTACCACCAGAAAACATTGGGAAAATATTCATGATATTGGTCTGGGCAAAAGGGGTTTTTGGGGTAATACTGCACAAGCACAGGCAACAAAAGCAAACATGGACAAATGGGATCACATCTAGTTAAGACACTTTTGCACAACAGAGGATACAATCAACAAAGTGGAGAGACAACCCACAAAATGGGAGAAAATATTTGCAAACTACAACTACCCTCTGACAACGGGTTAATAACAAGAAGATGTATAAGAAGCTCAAACAACTCTATTGGAAAAAAAAATCTAATAATCTGATAAAAACATTGTCAAAAGGTTTACATAGATATTTCTCAAAAGAAGACATACAAAAGCCAAACAGGCATATGAAAAGGTGCTCAACATCATGGATAATGAGAGAAATGCAAATCAAAACTACAGTGAGTTATCCTCTCACCCTAGTTAAAATGATTTTATCCAAAAGACGGGCATTAACAAATGCTGGTGAGGATGTGGGGAAAAGAGAATTCTTCTACACTGTTAATGGGAATATAAACTAGTACAACTAGTTCTCCATAGTGATGGAGAACAGTTCAGAGGTTCCTCAAAAAATTAAAACTTAAACTATCATATGATCTACCAATCCCACTACTGGGTATATATCCCAAATAATTTTAAAAAATCAGTTTATCAAAGAGATGGATACACTCCTATGTATGTTGCAGCACTGTTAACAATAGAGAAGATTTAGAAACAACCTAAGTGTCCATTGACAGATGAATGACCAAAGGAAATGTGGTTCATATACACAATGGAGTACTATTCAGCGATAAAAAAAAAATGAGATCCAGTCATTAGCAACAACGTGGATGGAACTGGAGATCATTATGTTAAGTGAAATAAACCAAACACAAAAAGACAAACATTGAATGATCTCATATATTTGTGGGATCTAAAAATAAAATCAATTAAACTTATGATCATAGAGAGTAGAAGGATGGTTATAAGAGGCTGGGAAGGGTAATGGTTTGTTGGGAGGGACAAAGGGATAGTTAACGGGTGCAAAAAAATAGAAAGAATGAATAAGACCTACTATTTGATAGCACAATAGGGTGATTATACTCAGGAATAACATAATTGTATATTAATCCCAGCAATTTGGGAGGCTGAGGCGGGTGGATCACCTGAGGTCATGAGTTCGAAACCAGGCTGGCCAACATGGTGAAACCCTGTCTCTACTAAAAATACAAAAATTAGCCAGGCATGGTGGCAGGCACCTGTAATCTCAGCTGCTCAGGAGGCTGAGGCACGAGAATCACTTGAACCCAGGAGACAGAAGTTGCAGTGAGCTGAGATTGTACCACTGAACTCCAGCCTGGGTGGCACAGCGAGACTCCATCTCAAAAAAAAAAAAAAAAAAAGTAGAAATATCTCAATTTAAAAACCTAACATCACAAATAAAAGAACACATACCTAGCAGAAGACAAGAAATAATCAAAATCAGAGCTGAACTGAAGGAGACTGGAAAACAAA
The DNA here is from genome assembly GCF_000001405.40 of Homo sapiens. Classification (NCBI taxonomy): domain Eukaryota; kingdom Metazoa; phylum Chordata; class Mammalia; order Primates; family Hominidae; genus Homo; species Homo sapiens. Next base: position 72,728,667 of record NC_000001.11, read on the forward strand.
ATACCATTCAAAAGATCAATGGATCCAGGAGTTCGTTTTTTGAAAAGATTAATGAAATAGACTGTTAACTAGACTAATAAAGAATAAAAGAAAATAAACACAATTAGAAACAGCAAAGGATACTACCACTGACCTCACAGAAATATAAATAACTATCAGGGAATATTATGAACACTTCTATGCACGTAAACTGGAAATTCTAGAAAAATGAATAAATTTCTGGACACAAACCCCCTCTCAAGACTGAGCCAGGAAGAAATGGATTCCTTAAACAAACCAATAACAAGCTTCAAAATGGAATCAGTTATAAATGGCCAACCAACCAAAAAAGCTGAGAACAATCTCCATCTATATCCATGTTGCTGCAAGGGACATGATTTTTGTTTCTTATTGTTGTTGTTTGTTTGTTTGTTTTAGTGGCTGCCTAGTATTTTATGGTGTATATGTAACTCATTTTCCTTATCCAGTCCACTGTTGATGGGCATCTTGGTTTATCTCACTTCTTTGCTATTGTGAAGAGCACTGCAATGAACACATATGCCGTGTGTGTGTGTCTCTTTGATATAATGAATTATTTTGGGGGGTTATATACCCAGTAGTGACATTTTTTGATCAAATATTAGTTCTGTTTTAAATTATTTGAGAAATCGCCAAACCGTTTTCCACGATGGCTGAAGTAGTTTGTGATTTCACCTTTCTTGATTTAAAGTCTATTTTAGCTGATATAAGTAGAGCCACTCCTGCTCTTTTTCCCTTTCCATTTGCATTGAATAGCTTTTGCCATCCCTACATTTTTTTGGCTTTGCATGTCTTTATAGATGGAGTGATATTCTTGAAGACAGCAACCTGTTGGGTCTTATTTTTTTAATCCTTTCAGCCACTCTATAACTTTTAATTGGTTAATATCATCCACTTCTATTCAAGGTTCTTATTGATAGATAAGAGTTTACTATTGCCATCTTGTAATTTGTTTTCTGTGGGAATTTTTTGGTAGATTCTTAATTCATTTTTTTCTCTATTATTATCCTCCTTTGTGGTTAAGGTTAAGTGATTTTCTCTAGCAATATGTTTGATTCCATGCTATTTATGTTTACTTTATCTATTACAGATTTTTTTTGTGGTTACCATGTGGCTTACAAAGAATATCTTATAACAGGTTATTTGAAACTATCAACAACTTTGATCTCAAAGAAAAGTATCAAAAGCAAATCCTACACTTTTAATACTACAGCCCTATATTTTGACTTTTGATGCTTCATTTTACTTTTTTTATGTTGCCTACCTCTTAACAAATTATTGTAGTTATGTTGTTTTCAATGGTTTTGCTTTTGGTCTTTACAGTCTAATATGTGTTTTACTTACCAAAATTACAGTATTAGAATATTATGAATATCTCTGCTTTCTTATTTTACTAGTGAGTTTTATACCTTCAGATTTTTTGTGTGTTACCTGGTAGCATCCTTTTTTTTTTAGATTGAAGAAGTCCCTTTAAATTTATTGTATGATATATCTTGTTTGATCAATTCCTTCAGCTTTTGTTTATCTGGAAAAGTATCTGTCCTTCACATTTAAATAACAGCTTTGCTGGGCTACAGTATTCTTGGTAAGCAGGTTTTATTTTCCTTCAGTAGTTTGAATACAGCATCTTACTCTCCTCTGGTCTGCAAGTCTTCTGCTAAGTAATCTGTTGAAAGGCATATAATGACTCCACTTCTTGTGTTATGTTTCTTTTCTCCTGCTGCACTGAATTTTTTATTTTTTAGTGTTTGGATTTGCTAATTTGATTATGATATAACTTGGGTAATTCTTCTTTGTGTTGAAAGTAATTGGTGATTTCTGAGATCCTTATACGTGGATGATCTTGTCTTCCTCTTCTTTTTCTAGATTAAAATATGTTCGTTATTTCCTTAAATATGCTTTTTAAGATTTTTCTATTTTAATCTTCTTAAGGAATTCCAATTACATGGAAATTAGTTTACTTGATGGTGTCCCATAAATTTTGTATGCCTTTGTCATTGTTTTTAATTCTTTTTTTCTCCTCTGATTAGATAATTTTACATGTTTTGTCTATAAGCTTGCTAATTAATTCCTGTTTGATCAAGTCTCCTGTTGAAGCTTTCTAATGAGGCTTTTATTTAAGCTGTTGTATTACTTATTTCTAAGATTTTCTTTGGGATTTGTTTTTAATTTATTTCTCTGTTGAATTTCTCATTTTCATCCTGAATTGACTTTCAAATTTTATTTACTTTTTCATCCATTTTTAAAAATGATTCTCTGATCTTCCTTCAGAGGATGATTCTGATTTCACTGTTAGAAATTTCACAGATCTTCAGTTCTTCTGAGTTCATTACTGGAGCTCTTGGTGGTGTTTGTTGTTTCCTTTGGTGGTGTCATATTTCCCTGACTTTTCACAATTCTTACATTTTTACATTGATGACAGCCCATTTGTGGAGACAGCCAACTCTTTCAGTTTTTGCAAGTGTTCTTTGGTGATGTTAGACGTTTACTTTCCAGTATCAGAGCATAAATAGTGGCCTTTACTGTTTTCCATTCTGGAAAAAACTTACAGTGATCACCAGAACTAAATCACTGCACTGGAGCTAAATCATTGTCTTGTCATCATATCTTTGTCCAGGGAAGACTTAAAGTGAGCACCAGAGCTTAATTACTGTCCTGAACTATATTGCTTCCCCGCTATTTTTCCCAGTCTGGAGAAGCGTTAAGCAGGCACTGGAACTTAATTCCACAATTTTGTTTCCAAACCAAGGGAAGGCTCCACCAGAGCTTCTGAGATTTGTGAAAAATCTAGCTAGGAGTTTGGGCCTCCATTTAAATTGTGCCCCTGAAGTGCCTTGATATCAGCTAGTATTTTCAACATGGTTTCCCTGCTGATTGAAGTGTTGAGTAACCACCAAGATCTGCATACCAGTCACTGTGATCAGCATCCTTCTCTTTGTCCCCAATTCATCCCAGGTAGTCTAGACCTCCTTGCATTCCCAGTGGCTCCTGTGGGATGGTATGAGAGTGACCTTCCCATGAAGATTCCTAAACAAGCAGGGAGATGGAACATCTACTCTAATTTCCTCCTCTCACCTTGGCAACCATAAGTCTAAGAAAATTATCTGTGAATGGCATTATGCCAGGTTACAGGAGGGGTTGGCACAGACTGAAATGATTTTTTTTTTTTACTGGTTGTAACTTCTCTCAATTAGGCATCTCTTTAAAGTTCTGGTGTATTTAGGCTGGTATTCTTGTTTTTGAATCGTTTCTAGTTGTATTTTTTTGAAGTTAGTAATGCTGGGTGACTCCTCTATTTGGCCATCTTGCTGACATCACTTTTATATCCACAACTTCTGTTTGTCTTTTTATATTGAGATTCCTAACGTGATTATTTTTTGTATATTTACCGTTAGTTCTTTGAAGTGTTAATAAAAGCTGCTTCAAAGTATTTTTCTGCTAACTCTGAGTTGGAATCAATTTTGATTGACTTTTTAAAACCCTTGCATATGTATCAATTTTTTTATTGTCTAGTAATTTCTTGGTAAAATTACTAGTCATAAAACTACTAGTCATTAAATTTGAGCATTGTAGATAATACATTGTAGCAACTCTTGATTTTGTTTTGTTCTTCAGAAGTTTGTTTATTTTTTGCTTTAGAAGGGAATCAGCTTGTCTCAACTCAAACTGTGAACAGTATCTCCATCATGGGATGCATAGTTTAGTGTGGTTCTCTGGAAATATCTCTTGTTCTCAGTTTATCAGTAAGTCAATGCTTTGTTTGAGTGGAGATTATAGTTAGATATTAGAATCCAGTAAAGCTTATTCTTTACTGCATGACTTGTGTTTAGGTTGAGGGAAACTTTTAAAGTTGTTAAAAATTCAAAAATATCGCTAGTGTTTTAATTTTTTCAGGCTCTCTAGGATCTTCTGGTGGCATATATATTTTAGCAGAGAGAAATGTGTGGGGAGTTTCTTAACTCAGCCTATCTGTGCCTTTTTTCTTCCAAAATTGTCCCTTTAAATTTCTAGCTGTTCTTCTCCTCTCTGAACTAAGTCCCCTACCTCTACCACTAAAACTGTAGGTTTTTGTCACCTATTTTCTAAGGGGTAAGAGTATCCTTGGGCAAGAAGATCACAAACTCACTCTCTGATCTGATGCGGCAATGTTCTATGAATAAACAGTTATAAAATTGTTGCCTGCTCGGGTTGATTTTCTAGTGGCCTAAAATTCATGTTTTTATTTTAACAATTTTATCCCATCTTACATAAGTTTTATGCTGAGATTAATGCCAACATCTTTTCATGTGGCCATAACCAATGTAATATTTTAATTAAACTACCTCTAAATCTCTGCACTTGCCTTTCTCTAATCTTTAGCAGAAAACTTCAGTTTTGCTTTTTAAAAAATATTTTTTCTCTACAAAATATTTTTTAAAAAGCAAAACCATATATGCTTTATATTATCTATCCTTTAAAATAAAGCATATTTATATGTGCTTTATATCTTTAAGATTTGATATAAATGTTGCTTCTTCTGGGAAGCCTTACTGTATTTCCTTAGAAATATTTACTTGGCTCTTCATCTGCATTTTCATAGAAATCCATTTTTGTCTGTTTTAGCAGATTTCATTCCTCATTATAATTACTATTATGGTTACCTATTGTCTGCATTTAACCACTAATAATGTAGATAATTCAATGTAGAGGGACATGTGACTTGTACATCATATGCATTTAATATATGATTGCAGAATTTATGGTTACATACAACTAATTCCTGGCATCTTACAAAGGACATTTCAGTAGCCATCTTTTTTTAAAACTAATAACTATATGGTTTTGAGTAAATTATTGAAATGCTTTTTCTGGATAATCTTTCCCTCTGCCTTTTGGATCCATGTATACTCATGTTTACTTCCCATTTCTCTCTATTATTAATTGTATAACTTCATGCATGTTACTTATTTTTTGTACTTTACTTTCTTCACCCAAAATGGAAAATTGATACCTCACAGAATTTTTGTAAGAATCATGGAAATATCATATACAGTGTTCACTATATATGCCAGGGACATGATTGGTGCTGTTTAATTTGAACTGTTTTCTGCAATTCAGTGCTGACCATGTTTCTATGTCCCAGGCATAGAAAAAGAGAAACGTTAAACTCTCAGCAATGTCATGTTGATGTATGGGAAACACAAGGATCCCGAATTACCTGCCAGGTATCTACTATTGCAGAAGTTCTTTAAAGTATATGTATAGTGAACTCATTGCAGAAAAAATACAGACTCTATAGCACACTTCTTGTCCTTATACTAGTTATCGAAGATTGAACATATGTGTTTACGGTTTGTCAGTGACATGCTTAATTACATTATTAACAGACACAATGTCATTGGTAATTTTCTCCAAGATTCCTCAAAGCTCCAAAGCATTTGAAAGAGATTTTAGTATTTCTGTTCCTACTCTGGAAAAATAACCTATAATTTAACATTGTAAACCAATTGTGCATCTCAAAGATCACTATTATTGCCTTATTTTCTGATAGTTTTCTCCTCCCATGAGCTTGTGTGGGAGGGAAAAGAAGTAGTGGACCTGAAATTCCACCAAATGTGACAGTATGTGGCCAGTAATGTGCCAGTATGTGGCCAGTAATGTGCCATCATATTTGCTTTAACCCTCACAATAAATCTGAAAGACAAATATTATTGACCATTTTATAGCAGGGAAAGTGGTACAGAGAAGTTAGTCCTGTTGCTTAAAGTCACGCAGCTTTGAAGAGCAGAATTAGGGTTCAGAGTCAAGCCTTTTAAATCTGAAGTTTATGACTCTTTCTTCTAAAACACCACTTATATGAAGGACTTTGAACAAATGATACCATATTGTAGTAGACCCAGCAATAACACTGTTTCATGCTGTGCCAAATGACTATCTTTGCAATATATAAAACAACATGACATAACTGTGACATAGTCATTTAAAAATATTTGTAAAACCACCACAAAAATGCCTTTTATAATTTCAATTGTGAATAATGCCAAGAATGTTAACTCTTGAAATGTTAACTTGTGTATATACTCATGCTGTGTGCATATTAATATAAGCTTATTTTATATACATAGATCTAATACTTTTCAAATGCCATTGTTTTCACTAGATTGAACTGTCATCTGCTTTAATAACATGAAATTCTTATTTCATATCAGTATCACAAACAGCTACACTATGTTTTTTTTGACAAGCTGTATTTTTACTTTATGCTTTATTCTTGAAGCTTCAAAAATTGATACCAGTTCTTTTCAAGACAATGTGTTCAACACAATGAGGTAAAAATACTTTTTCTTCTTATATTATCGAGTCAAATTCTAGGTGATAGAGTTCAAATATAAACTTTGTCTCCACGCATAACTCAGAAGCTTGTGGAATGCCTTGATAGTTTGGCAAACATGTTAGATTTCAGTTGTAAACAGTGATACTATGTATTCACAAATGCATTCATATTTTAAATGTGTATTTTCTTGTTTGTGTTTCTGGTTTTTAAATATTGTGATTCCTGATTAAAGTATCTGCTAAAAACTTAATTTTTTTAAGTGTATGATAATGTTTTTAACTCTATGTCTTTTCACATAAAAAAGGCATAGAAATTTTTCACAGAGTGAAAAGATAGAGAGTTCAAACACATCATCTATGCCTCTAGAACTTAAGTAGAGGCTACATTAATTAAAAATGGATACTTACAGAAATGTACATTTTTTCATTAATATCTCTAAATACATAAAAATGTGAGATCATCTATATATTTGCATGTCCATACATATGTATATATATATATATGTGTGTATATATATATAATATAATACCTTATATATATAATAGCTATGAATACTCACATTTATCAAGCAATTACTACGTGACAGATACAAATCCAGATTTTGTGTGGTGAGAAGTTTAAATAACTTAGAAAAACTTCTGTAGGTAAAAATAAAATACAAAATGAGAAATACAAAATTAAGTATGAATATGAATATTTACTTGGAATAAGAATATAAATCATTTCCAGTTACATAATTTCAAAAATCTAACAAATCTAAAACATGGACGATTCCAGAAAAGTAATACATTTTATTACAATAGCTCTAAAATCTACTTTTTTTGGTTTTATGTTCTTTGATTATTTCTTCATATGACAATTATTTTGTCATTTTTTTTCTCAAAGGGAGAAGAGAAAGGTAATTCCATCTTTCCATTAGGATGACTGGTTTTATTTAATGATAGTTTAGAAAAGATTCTCTCAGCCTAATAATTCATCTTTGGTAATGCCATGTAAATTTTTGGATTGTTGTCAACTTTGGAAAAACTTTCACAAAATTTCTTTCATATATTATTGTAAGATTTCAGAGTAGTTTAGGTATTTTTGTGCAGTTACTCATCTTCAATATTCTTTGAATCAACAATACCTATTAAATAATTTGTCATTTCTATTTCCTTACTGCAGTGGCTTATATCAGTATTTTGTGTTGAATTCATAAAAAAAAAACAACTTTTCTGCTATGAAAAAAATCTTCATTAATTAATTGGACTCTTAAATTAGTCAAGCCTATATATTATTTGTAGTAAAATCTTTTGCTTAATGAATTGCTGACTTTGGAATGACCTGAAAATTATTTTAATTCACTTCTTATTGCTACAGTAATTTCTACTGAATTTATATAACAACACATGCAAACATTGTTTTATTTTATATTTCACTTATAATTGTATATCTTGCTTTATCAAATATTTCTGACAGAAGAAAAAAATCTATTTTCACTTGGTGTTTAGGAAAAGTAAATTTTTTGCTTAACATTTTACATGTTATTAAAAGAATTGCTTACTGGTTTGCTTTTGGTTTCCTAACTTTGTTTTTTCTTCACTATACACATACTTCTGTTGCCATGGGCCAGAGGACACTTTCTCATATTATGAGTCAACCTCTGGCCCCTCTTCTAGAGGTCAAAATTCTGGGTTAGTTTGCAGAGTGAGCAGTAGCAAGAATTTTTCTGGAAGCTTACATGGCTTACATATCTACCATGAATTCCTTGACTAACTATATCTAACCATAAAGAAAATGACTTCTAATCACAAGAGTATATCCCATGAAATCCAGACAAATTATTGTTCTAACCCAAATTCCCTTAGCAAAATTTCCCATATAGTAGATATCACTCCAATGGTATCATAGAAAAGGGAAAGTATAATGAATGAGAAGAATACGTGAAAAAGTGATAGGTCTTCCTTAACTCTAAATAACCCACTTACTTATTTTCAGATTTTGCAAAAATCCTAACACTTTGCCAGAACCTCTCTAGGGCACTTGAAATATATATTATTTTCATGATAAAGTTACCCTATTTATAGTTCACATAGAGTATTTTCATACATTCCACATAGAATATATTCTACATATTCCACACAGAGTATTTTGTCTAATCCTCATACACATTTTTTGAGGATAAACTGCTTTAGTGTTATAAACAAGCATATTGAGAAAGAGAGAGAGAAACTGCGTGACTTTCAAAATTATAGCTAGAACCCTGGCAATTTGATTCTGAAATCTATTGTCTTATCTCTGCCAGGCATTTTTAATTGCATGGGGAAAATTGACTTCAGAGCATGTCAGTGGTTATGATTTGTTTCGCATCTGATCAAGTTAACCATTGATTATGTTAAGCTTCATTTAGATTTAGATTCTCTTCACTCACACAGAACTGAAGTGTGTAACAGCCTCAACTTGCCTTAACTTAGGCAATCCTTTTATCCATAACAAGCATGAAGACTAGAAAAAATGCAGATACAAAGCTAATGGAAAGAAGAGCAGATTCAATGTTATGATGCATTTTGCTATATACCAATGAAAATAAATAAATTATAGCTGCATTCCTCTACATAGATAAACATAATGAAGAAGATGTTTACCATTAAGAGGAAGTTGTTGAAGTTTGTAAAAAGTATGATTCCATTTATATAGAGTTCAAAATATAGGCTGTGTGTGTGTGTGTGTGTGTGTGTGTGTGTGTGTTTGTGAATAGACCATGGAAATGAAAATGAGAATCACAAAATTCAGGATAGTGGTTGTAGAGTTGGTGGGGAAAGGAGAATAGAATCATAGAAATGAACAAAGGAAACTTCAAAAGTATTTGTGCTGTTCATTTTATTGTTATTTCATAAGGCTTAGAGACATGTTTTAAATATCTTAGATGTTAAATATTTAATTGAAACAATCAACACATTTCAATGGGATTTGAAATAATTAGGTGGGTAGTGGGACAGTTTTGGGCTGAGAAAGACCAAGCCAAAGAAATGTAGGCAGAAGTAGCATAATTGGGTGAAACTGGGAGCTTGACAAAAAGTTTTCAGGCTTGGAGATTCTTATTCTGAGGATATCTTCATGAAAAAGCACATCTAAATGTAGGTCAGAATTTGAGAGAATGGACTCATTGAAATGCCCAAGTGAGGCAGAAACATCAATGTCCATTGTTCAAGTTGAGTCATATATCCCCAATAAAAATATATTAGTTTGTTTTCAAGCTGCTGATACAGATATACCCAAAACTGGGAACAAAAAGAGGTTTAATTGGACTTACAGTTCCACATGGCTGGGGAGCCCTCAGAATCATGGCAGGAGGTGAAACGCACTTCTTACATGGTGGTGGCAAGAGAAAAAGATGAGGAAGAAGCAAAAGCGGAAACCCCTGATAAACCCATCAGATCTTGTGAAACCCATTCACTCTCAAGAGAACAGCACCTGAAAAAATGGCCCCCATGATTCAACTACCTCCCCATGAGTCCCTCCCACAACACATGGGAATCCTGGGAGACACTATTAAAGCTGAGATTTGGGTGGGGACACAGCTAAACCATATCAGATAATAAAATAAGAATAGCTCTACAATTAGCACTGTGCTAGTGGCAAGTAATTGGGGGCAATTTAGGGAACTAATGAGCAGACATTGCATTATGTGGCAGCATTTCATTTGCTATCAGAAGATATATCTAAAATGTTTACTATATATCCAAAATAATGCCAGGTCCTGTACTAAGATATTGAGGAAATGGCCACATAGATCCTGTGATTTTTCAGGGGCATAAATTGTGTTGCCTTTCAGAAAACATGCTCCTTAGGAGATGAAAAGTAAGACAATAGCCTAGTTACTGAATTACTGGCACAAATAACAATATCTGGTTTGACAAATTTGTGTTAGGAGCTAGAGATCCTAATTACAAGGGGAGTTATTGTTACAAACGCAAAAATTTAGGACCTAGAATTTAAGCTAGAATTCTAGTCATTGGTGAACTGGTGTAAGAAGATTAGAGAAGGAACAACAGCAATATGATAAGTGAAGAAGGAAAGCTTCAATACTGAGCTTGTAAACAAAAGGCTAGGATTATTTTGTTTAGGATTAAAACAAAGTAGAACAGGTTGTCATGAAAGACAGGGAGGACTTAAGTTCTTTTCATTGCTGAGATTAGTTACATATACGTATGCACTTAGGGGTGTGTGTGTGTGTGTGTGTGTATTAATTAGTGTAGGGATGGGGGATTAAAATAATGTTGCAACAATGCATTGAAACTAAGTTGGTTTAAAGAAATGTAAAACTTTGAATTATTCATAAAACAATGAAATAATGCCCACAGTGTCAGTAGACACACACACCTCTTCCAGCCCATAGATTTTTTTTCCTTGTAACTGCTAAAATAGGCACGCTTTTTGTTTATGTTTGGTGATACATGTTCACCTTTTTACATAGTCCATGAAGCAATTATAACAATGTATCATAGTTTCCAGTACATAGTATGCTAATATTTCATTTGCACTTTTTTTTTCCACTCTTCACCTCTCTCTACCTTGCTCTGTGGCCAGGGAGGCTGATATGAACGGACTGCATCAGTGAGCATTTTTGCTTCTGGCTTGTGGTTGTGTTTCTAATAAAAGCCATCAACAGGAGATCAAAAGACAGAAAGATAGTACAAACAGGGCATTTAGTCTTTAGTTCCCTCCAGCTGGGCCATTTTGGTCTTTACCAAAGCCACAGCTCCTGTCAAGCTACATTATCGAGAAACTACAACTGTGATCACTGGGTGACAGTCATTTCTCCTTCCTCTTTCCCCTTCAGGCCTAGAGGAGGCAAGATCTCTTTTGCTGCAAGCCCCAGGGCGCTTCACCAATTGTTGGTCATCTGTAATTTTGCCCACACTTTTTAACAGTTTCTTTACTAAACTCTCCTAAATTACCCATTTGAGGGTGACACCTCTTTTTAGAAAACAATCTGATATACAAAATATGCAAATGTTAATATTTGAATGTAAGTTTTCCTTTCAAATTAAATGAGATAACAGTCCTGCTTTACTGACCATGGTTAAACCACCTGAGATAGCTGAGATAATTATTTGGCTCTGGGGTTGATTTCAACAGGAATGAAGTATAGAATGGGGGTAAAAACATGGACCCCAGAGCCCCTAACTGACACATCAAAAGACAGGCAAAATTTTACTATTTTTATTTGTATTTCACTCAATATAAAGTGAAATGTTTTTAATGACTATAATTATCCAGGGGTAAAATAGCATCCTTTTGAGATAATGCATACCTTTTTGTTGGAAATGTTCAAGCAGAGGCCCAATCAATATCATCAAGGCTTTCTGAGGACTATTGCAATACTTGGTAGAATTTGAACCTAATTTGTTCTCAGGTCTCTTCTTGCTCTCTTTTGATTATTTTAAGATACTATTTGCATGTCTTTCTAGAACAGGTTACTAAAATGTTAGGAAATGCCTGTGATAATCATAATCATGGCATGATATAAATTGAGCCTTTTGAGAATAAAAATCTAATTCTCAGGGAAGACATTTGCAAAATTTAGAGATAGTGTACTACCTATTTTTAGTACCATTTTTATTTTTCAAAACAAATAAGTAAATTACAGCACACTTTACTGAAAGATAATAAAGGCCACAAGGTAGAAGATACTCTAAACTTTGCAGGTATTATGGGAGAAGAGAGAAAAGCAACTGATATTTTTGTTACACTATTACAAAGTCAGTAACTTCATATATAATTTTAATGTATTTATCAGGTTAATAGTAATTTAATATAATTTGGATTTTAATTATATGTAGTTCTTCTTCTCTTTAAAATATGAACTTACTTGGTCTTTTATCAACTCTTTTAAAATTTATATGCCAAATCCAAGAAACATAGAATACAACATATGTTTTGAACAAGTATATTTCTAACTTAATGATTTAGGAAGGAAACGTGCCTTCTCCTGCTGTCAAAACCAGCATTCTTTTTCTAGGTTTATGCAGCGAACCTATGCAATAATCCAATATCACCTAAATCACTTGGGCATGCTGCTGTCAAGTTGAAAATCATATTTTACACAATGGTGCTTTCCTTCAAAACACGAGAAAACAATAAATTTGCCTTACATTATGGGGAGAGTCTTAAGAAATACTATCAGTGAAAGAAGTCAGGGTCTGTTCTAGTTGCAGTTATAAAACTCATCAGCATCTTAACCATTCCAAGTGTCAAAAATCAAGAGCAGGTAGACAGCTCTCCTTTCAGAGACAGGATGAACTTTTTCACTGTGTGGTTCCCTTTGCTTTAATTAAATGCATCTCTGATATCTCTGGAATTGCAACCTTTTTGAATTAAAGTGTCTCTGTTCATTATTTAACTCTGAGTCCCTGAAAAGACAGTCTCATATGATATGTTCTCTGTAGGTACTAATTTATGATTGGCGTTCTGATGGAGAGCTGTCGGATGGCCTTCTTTCTCCCCTCCTCTTCTACATTGATTTATTGGTAGGAGGAAGCTGGCAATTGCAGTGGCAACTTTTTCCATTTAGACTTCACAGATACAGTGCACACCACTTCCAATGATTAAACAGAATGCAACTGACAGGTTTTCATTACTGAATCATAGAGAGGAGATGACACACTTTTTAATGGCATTGGCTTTTCCTTTCTTGGATATTTAGGTCACAAGTGAGTACAATTTTGGCAGCTCCATTCTATCCCGATTTGGACATATAAAAATCTTCTAATTTGGCACCCTAACTGCCAAATATTGAATGGCAGCTTTAGTTTCAGAGTGATGGATGATCCAAATGAGAGGCCCATTATAAATCAAGTGCATTCTGAGAGATATGGAAAGAAAGCTTCAAGTACTTGCTCAAACTCTACCTGATACCTGCTGGAATAAATATTGTCCTTAATGACTTTTTACAGAAGAAAATAGGTCAGACATATTTTAACACACATATAAGCAGGGTAGGATTGACAACAGATCTTATGTCAACCCCAACCCCTATTCTTCAGTCTATTTTTGTTTCTGCTTAAGTGCTTTTAGCCACTGGCAGAGCTAACAAATATTTTGACCTAAGATGGAGAAATGCAGAATTTAGTAGTAATGTCTATGGCAATTCAATTGATTTGACTCAAGTCAAGTTAATGGAATATGATCTAAGATCATGAGAATTGAATTCAATGAAAGTGATCCCTGGGTTTCTGTTGATGGCTTGAGTGTCATTGCTCAGCAAACCTATGCAATGAGATTTTATATATCTAACTTAAAGGGGCTATTCTTGAAAAATAACTAGTTATCTTTGACTAGTTGCAGCTTCCAAATGATTTTCTTAGACAGTTAATTTTCTAGATTGATTCCAGGCAAGTAGGCCTTTTTATTTTTATATCAGGATAGGAATAGTAAAAGACCACTGACAAAATTTTTAATGCAAAAATTTCAGAAATTATAATTCATCAATACATTAAACTCAACCTCCAGAAGCGTCTGCTATGGGCAAATTCTCTGCTATGTACTGAAACGAAAGATAACAATTTGAACTAGATAAACAGTTTCTTTACTCAAGGAGAAAATTAATAATGTAGTATTAAAAAGAATAAGCTCCATAATAAATGTATAACCCACAAACTATATTATCCTGCAGGAGAAAAAAGTGATTTTCACTTATCCACAAACCAACTCTCCCAAAGTCACCCCTTTCTGTGAGGATCAGAGAAAATTTCGCAAAGAAAAGAGCCTTGACCTAAGCCCAAAGATATAAGAACATGTAGGTTCACAGAAGTAATTTTAATTTATGTGAAGGTAACCAGGTTGCAGTGATTGACTGGAATACTTTAATAGTAATATGCATGAATATGGGTTTTTATAAGAAAAATTTCCCCACATCAGTCCATCCAGAGATGTACATAAATATTACAGCTATTTCCTTCAAAGGGCTTAGTCATATAAGAAGATAGTAAACACAGTTTTGTCCTCTTTAGAATATCTTAAGCCAAATAACATAATTAGATTTAGGTGCAGTGGTATTTATAATTTCAAGCCTAGTTTTCAAAAAGATAAGTGAACGTCTGAACAAAATTTTCAGTGAAAAATGGGATTTGGGTTCATGTTTTAGGTCACATATAATTACAACAAAAACAAAATCTATTACTTAAAATTAATACATCTGTTTATATTCGGTTCATAAAAGGTGAATTATTTTGAGACATACTAGGATTTTGTCTGGGAGGGAATGAAGCCACAGACAATCACCAGCATGGCTTAGCTGTAAGGCATTTTTTGGTCTATTGCCCAGTTAAACTATTGCAGCCTAGAGATACTATGGACAAAGAAGTTTAACTAAGAACCAACTTGATGGTTAGGAAGAGGTCTTTACACAAATGTCCCTGTGCCTATTTTCATGTTAGCTTTGTTAGACTGAACACTTGTACAATACTGAGAACAGAACTAACCAGAGATGCTTAGCACCAGTCAGTTCACATGCAAATAGGCACTGACCCAATAAGTTTAAATGCAGAGATGATCCCTCAGCAGACAATCACAATGTACCACTCTGGAGAGCTAGGATTTAATAAATTAGTCCTGCATCAATCCTGCTACTGAAAAGACTGTTTAGACTTGAAGCTGGCATTCACCTCAAATTGAGAGTAAGGAGAGCTTAAAAAAGTTGCCCAAACTCTACTCCAAGATGGGGCTGGAGGACTGGGATGAAGATATTAAGGAACAGAACAGAATGAGGTCTAATACTTGGCTCTTAATGTTAAAAAAAAAAACAAAAAACTAGATTAAATTAAAGTCAAATGCTAAATAATTTGTGTAAAGGAGAATTCGCTTAGATATCATTTGTTTTGAAACTGCTTCCAAGTCTTCCAAGACTTCCCTTCCAAAACTCTTCAAATATGGATAAAAGGATAAGTTTTGGAAAGGCAATATTAGACCCAGATATATGTAGGCAGAATAACTTCAAAGAAGCTTTACTGGGTTCCATGCCAAAGTTAGATGACAGAAAGATAGGTCATGGGACATTCAGGAGCCCCAGTGTGAGGATGTTTACATCGTAACAGAGGAGGCTGAGAAGCATCAGTTAGAAGAGGTTTGTCAGCAGTGAACTCACCAATACAGAGTAACTATCCTCAAAGACCAGATTAATGCCAGACACCCTATCCATTGCCATGAGCCTTCATTGGCCCAAATGCCACATCCTGAGTAAACAATATGGACAGGAGAGAAATCCTGAATGGGATTGTTTTTAACTGAAATGCCCAATAAATAATGCAAATGACTGAGTTCTCCCAGAAGTTAGTATTTGACATATAAATTAAGGTTTATGAAAAAAAGTTTTATGTTTTGCATACCTTAGTTAGCATGGAATGCCTATCTCCTTTCCTGTCCTTTTGCTGGGATTCCTGACCCATACAGACTCAAAGAGAAAATGCCATTACCCAGCAGCACTTCTGCCAATCAGATAAACCCAAGTGTCTGTATTTTGATTAAAGATAACTGAATCTATAAACAAACACCCACTGGAGGAATTAAATATTTATTTATATCCACTTATATGAATTAAACACATATTCACATCCACTTATATTCCCATGAGTATCAGGTACTACAGTTAGCATCATTTTTTTTCAAGGGTTGATTTCACTTTTTGTCTATTTTAGAAATTATTTTCAAGGTATTTATTTTGCAATGACACCCTTTTTCATTCCTAATTAATTCAATAATATGACTCAGCTCAACCTATGTAAGAATCACCTATGTGCAAGTTGTCTGATAGCATTTAATATGTGCCAGAACTTATGCAAGGCACTAAAGATCCAAAGATAAAAGCTTTCCTCCTTAAGGGGCTTCCATTCTAAAATGTGCTTCTTTCCTAATAGAAGTGCTATAAATTACAAGAGAGTCAATGGATAGAGAGGTGGGAAGAGGGAGTGATTATAAAGGCCTCTCTATTATGGAACAACAGGCAAAGGTTTACTAGGTCTTGTCTTTTCTCTGCTTCCACTAATCAAGTAACTGGCATTCTTCCCTGGGTCTGTTGCCTTTTGAGTATTTTCTGTGCTCTCAAAACAAGTCAGCTTGAGACATCTTCTTGAATGCCCTAGTAACTTATGAATGATGTGAGAGTAATATACAGATAAGGTAGCTAAAGATTAACCAATTTATTATAAGTTAACAAATTAACTGTGGTTGAAAGAGTTTTTGAATTTTTAATAAAAAATCCCTGAATTATGATTCTGGCTTGACTCCTCATAAACCAAATGTGATGGGAAGATATCTAAAGATGGCACCTGCTAGATTCCCATCCCCTAGTTATTAATTCAGACACTCATCTAAGCACTACTGTAAAGAAATTTTGCTGAGGTTATTAAAGTACTAATAGAACTGAACCTTAAGATACAAAGATTTACTTTGTAGGCCTGACCCAATCGAGTGAGCCCATTAAAAGCAAAGAGTTTTATCTGGCTGGTGGCAACAGAGGAAATCACAGATATTTGAAGCACGAGAGGCATTCAGCCATGTAATTGTTAACTTCAAAAATGGAGGAGTCTATATGCCAATAAATGTAGCAGCTCTAGGAGTTGAGAGCTGCCCTGAGCTGACAGCTAGCAAGAAAACAAAGACCTCAGGTGACAACTGCAAAGAACTGAATTCTGTCAACAATTTAAATAAGCTTAGAAGTGGATTCTCCATCAGAGCCTTACAGTTAAGACACATACCAGCAAATACCTTGATATCAGAAGCAGGTTATCCACCCATATCATGCCAGGCTCTGACCTACACAACTTAGAGTTAATAAATAGATGTTGTCTTATGCCAATAAGTCTGTGGTAATTTGTTATGCAACAGTAGAAAACTAATACATCAAGCAACTTTATTCAATTAAATTAGAAGTTCTGGAAGTCAGTTTCATCCTCTACCAATTACAAATGGAAATAATTATAATACATGTAGGCCTTTTCTGTTACTTGAATAAGTTGAAGGAAAATGCTTCCTGGAGAGTAAAATCTAATGCAAAGGTTATTGTCATTATTAATAGAACATCAACAGGGTATATATTATTGTATTTAGAATCCAGTTTTGGATAAGGCTGCTGCTAATTTTCCCACTGCATAGTCCTATATTCTATTCTATCCTTGTGCTGGGGTCTTTAATGCAATCCTGTAAAATTCCCATATGTCTCCTGTAGCCTTCCAATTAGAGTTTCTATTTCTTTAAGTGCATAACAAGTATGTATGTTAAACATTTTAATATCCTTTCTGCTTCCTTTAAAAAATTGCATCGTGTTTTTCTCCATCTTTATTTCTATTCGTGTAGTTAACCACACAGTCTTGGTAACAGACACCTTTAACAGACCGAATCAGCTTATGCAGCCATAAATAAATCAATTTAACCATGAGAATTCCCATATTTATGCAATGAAATGGGGCCAGTTCCCCTTATATCTCCACATAGAAACCGGCTATGCTCACAGCTGACTTTGTAGAGCTTCCCCCCATGACTGGACATTCAAACTCTTCAAGAGTTTTGGGATGAGAGAGGGATGTTGATTATCTGTTACAGGAAATACTATACTTGAATGTAATTTGAATATTGGGTATCTTGCCTTTGTGTAAAAAGTCCAACATTTGGTAACCTTAGAAATGTTATTATTCTGACATTATTATGTAAATATTATATTATACTTTTTCCTCACAAAACAGCATATGAGTTGTATTATTGTAAATATTTACTCAGTCTTAGTATAAAATTGGAAAATTGGGAAGTTGTAGACATATGGATACAACTATGTTCATATTGAGCCAAAAGTGTTGATCTTGCTTCTTGAAATGAAATGAAATTATTCTCTATGAGGATCCCATTCAGGATAGCTAATTGACTTTATTCATGTTTAACAAATGTTTTTATTAGTATCTGTTATTTCTAACAGACTAATTTCCCTTAATCCAAAAAAATTTTTGAAATCATGTTTCTGAATTTATATCCCAAATATGAATAATATATCCATTTCTAAATTATGCACTAGAAATATCCTCTAGAGAATGAGAAAAAATGTTGGACCTTTTGTAATTCTCTGCTTAAATAAAGCTTGCATCTGTAACATTAAATTGTTTCTAAGTGAGAACAAAAATATCTGAGTGCTTTTAGAATGTTAAATCTTAGGCAAAATATTCATATCTACTCCCAAAAGTATCTCTATATTTTCAGAAGCTTTGTCTGAGGAGATGGAGACCTACTTTCAAAAACTCTGTGACCTATAGGGCTGTTAGTTCTTTCAACAATTGTAAAGTTATACCACAAAGAAGCAGAAACATATCAAGAATGCATAGACAGCTGCCTTGCACTATTTGCCAATTACTGTGTCTGAGATTGCAGTCTGGCCTTCATGTACAGCTTTGCTGTGCTTGATATTATCTTTGATACTGAGACAGTTTTGAAAAAGTTGGCTTAATAGTCAATTAAATTTCCAACTATGAAAACTCATTGATTTGACTAACTTGTATTATACCATCGAGCTTATTCCCTGATTTATTTCAGTTTCTCATTGATTGACAATCATTAATTCCATATATTATTAAATTCCCTCTGGCTGCAGACTCAGTTTTCAAATTTAGAGGAGCCTAGCTAACCCACAAAACCTAGGACTCAGGATGCTATCTCAGTTGACATTTAATGGTAGTACATGATTATGATGTGAAAAACGTGAAAAAAAGAGGAAGTAGTAGAAACAGTCCTCTTTTAACATTTAGGTAGTTCAGTGGAGAAAATGATATAGCAACAATTTCCTCAACATTATAACACAGTATGTCTTTTGTGTGGCTGAAACTACATAGTGATTGGTACTTTTTAGGATTATTTTACCAGTTGCTTCTATCTTGTGTTTGTTGTTGTTGTTGTTGCTGTTTATACAGATGAAGCAAATCATATGCAAATATATTCAAAATATCAATTGCTGGTGACCCTGAAATTATGAAAGGCAATGCTGCGTTTGATTTTTCAAATATTTCAGCTGCACTGACTGCTGGGGATGAATGCAGGAGAAATATTAGCTCAAAAGTTCTCCAATTACTGTCCATATTTCCTACTATTTAAAATGTAAATGGTAGATTAATTACATCTATTATAAGAGAGAAGAAGGGTGTCTGTTATCTCTTTGTGTTGTCCCTTCAGAGCTGAGTGGCTGCTTACATTTTATTTTGAAAGAAGGAAGCTCTTTCCACACCACAGAATATTTCTCATGATAAAGGAAAATCACATATAATAAAAAATCAAGAAGCACTCCTTTTGACCATGGCTGATACCATGTAGAATATATCAACCCTAGATGATTTCATAGATTGCATGTTCATTTCACCTGTTTGCTAAAAGTTCATTTTCTGTCAGGTAAAGTACAAATTCTCTTTATGACATTAAAGCTCTATTCACAAGATAATCCAACCTATCATAGTTCTTTTTCCAGGATCTTATCAGCCACTTACTCCCTTCGCTGACCCATCATTTTCTTTCTATCCACCAAATGCCTCATTTACTCTGCACTCCTTCCCCCATGCCTTTGTTGATGGTGTTCTTTTTATCTGTAGAATCTTTTCTACCTGTTATTCCGTTTCTTCATGTAATGATCTTAAACCACTATTTCAAGATCAATTTAAATGCCACTACTTATCTGAAGCCTTATTTAATTTCTCATGGCAGAATTTCTTCGGTGACCACATCTTTTCTGCAGACATCTATCATGATAGAGATTCTGCATTATATACAGTTGCCCATTTTTTTGGCTGGTTCATCAGATTAGAGTATCCTTTAGGCCAAAGACTATATTTTATTTTTCTTTTATACTTATCAATATTCGTTAGTGTTCAAATAAATCCATTCTAACAACAAGACAGGAGACCCATAGGCACAATTGCATGAATATGATAGGAGTTTATTCTGTCCTCTGTAAAGTCATTAAAGGACTCAGGACTTTCCCACTTGATTTTCACAGGGAATGGTGGCCCCTATCTTCATTACTATCTGCAGAATGGAAAAAGAGGCAGTGCTGGGAAAACAGGTTTAGTTTTAAAGGGATGACCAAGAAGTTGTACACAATTTGGACACAATATTTATGCTTACATACGTTGGTTTAAATTCAATCTCAGGGCAGTACTTACCTAAGTACCTAGCTGCAAAACAGTCTAGGAAATATCTGTATCTTGGTGGTCAGATGCCAAACACAATTTTAATGGCGGCGGGAGCAGGGAAAGCGGTGATGTATTTCACTCCTTAAAAAGAAAATACGAATAATGGATATAGGGAAATGATTAACAGTTTCTCCCATTGTACATATATAGAGAATTTGGAACAGTTCTGGGGGGCTAATGAACACTGTTGAATGAGGGAATCAATGAAATTTATATAGAAATTGGCATGAAAAGGAAATCATATTTTCCAGATATTTAGAGAACTGTTAACACATGAGCAGACTGCAGTTCTATTGCTTAGGGTTTTCAATATTTTAGCTGAACACAATTATTATTATGATCCATTACACTGGGACTCATTTTTACCACCAAAACTTTATTGCTGCACAATAAGATCTCTCAAAACCAAAAGGGTTAGTAAAACTAATTGTATATTGTGTGAGTAACCTGGTTTTAAAATTATATAACACTTCATAGCTTGTAGGCATTTTGTGTTTAGCATTTTGAATGCCATTGTAATTAACTTCAGTGGAAACTTTGAGAATTTCATAGACAAATTGAAGTTGAGCAACACTGCAAAAATGTAGAGATTTCTGAACACTAAATAATAAGCAAATAATTTAGTTTCTCCTGTTAATAAAATCGTAGTTTTATAATATTAATTATGCATTAATTGTACATATTAGTTATAATTACCTGAGCATTTATAAACCTATTCTATTTTATAATAGCAATAGCAAGATTTTTATCATGATTTGATAATCCTTTAAAATGTTTCACTTTTCTGTTTTAATAGGGCTGAATGGGTAAGTAAATATGTTTAATTAATAACGTTTATCCTGAAATGATTTTTTAATTAAATAAGAAAACACAAATTTACCTATGATTTAGAATATCTGTAAACACTAGATGGAACTCTATTACTAATGCCAATACTAATACTCATGTATAACATATGTGCATGTGTGCATGGGTGTGTGTGCACAAACACACATAGGAAGGAAGCTATTCTATAGATTTTTATTTTTTTGACGGTGTCTTGCTCTGCCCCCCAGCTGTAATGCAGTGGCGCAATCTCGGTTCACTGCAACCTCTGTTTCCCGGGTTCAAGTGATTCTCCGGCCTCAGCCTCCTGAGTAGCTGGGACTACAGGTGCATGCCACCACACCCGGCTATTTTTTTTTTTTTTTTGGATTTTTAGTAGAGACTGGATTTCACCATGTTGGCCAGGATGGTCTCGATCTCTTGACCTCGTGATCCACCTGCCTCGGCCTCCCAAAGTGCTGGGATTACAGGCGTGAGCCGCTGTGCTGAGTCTCTACAGATACTTTTAAAGTCAAAATGCAAATATAGAATCTTGGTATTAAGCAGCATTGTCATCTAAGCACCATTTCTTGTTACGATTACATTAACAACTATCTAAAGCTATTTTTTCTAACCACTCCCACCTGCTTCAACCTCATGATTGCTTATGTGTCACAACACAAGAATATACAAGTAAGAAAAAGTAACTTCTCTTCAAATCCCTGATTTTGTTGTTCAAATGATCTGTGTACTTTTAAGATAGAGCAAGGGAACTTAAGATGATCTAAAACACCACAGTACATTTGACCCTTGAACAACACAGGTTTGGGCTACATGGATCCACTTATGTGTGGATTTTTTTTTTCAGTAAATATATTGGAAACTTGTTTTGGAGATTTGTAACAATTTTAAAAAATTTTCAGATGAACTGTGTAGCCTAGAAATATTGAAAAAAAATAGTTATGTGCTGAATACATAAAATGTTTATATACTAGTCTGTAACATTATTTACCATGATTAAATATACATAAATCTATTATAGTTAAAATTTATAAAAACTTATGCACACAAACACTTACAGACCATACATGGTGTTATTTCAGTCCAAAGAGATGTAAAGATGCACTGTTAAATCATAACTGCATAAAAGTAGCTTTAATACATACTATGCTATTATACTAAATTTGTAGCCACCTTCTATTGCTATTGTGGTGAGTTCAAGTGTTGAATCTGGTTAAAACATTTTGTGAAGGTAATTCTCTTCATGTTCATAGTTCCTCTCTTTAGTAAAATGCATATCACAGTAAAAGTGATCCCTCAAGTTTCTCACATATTTTTTATTGTGTTTAGTGCAATATGGTAAATTGCCAATAACAGGATGAGACCCATATGAAGTGCCACTTGTGATGCTGGATGTACCCCCAAGAAACAGAGAAAAATCATGACATTACAAGAAAAAATTCAATTCCTTGATATGTACCACAGAGTGAGGTCTGCAGCTGAGGTTTTTCACCATTTCAGGTTAAAACATACCAAGCCTAAAGACCATTTTTTTAAAAAAAAGAAAATTTGTGAAATCATCATTGTAGCTTATGCCAGCAGGCATGATAACCTTGCACTTTTTGCAAAATGCCTTTCATTTCATAGTGGAAAATACAGCTTTCACATGAGTGCAAAATTGCTATAAGAAAGTCATACCTAACAATTCTAATAGATTTGAGAAAAAGCAAAATCATTATATGACAACTGAAAGCAAAACAAAGATGAAAGATCTAGTGCTGGAGAATTTAATGGCAGTAAAGGATGGTTTGATAATTTTAGAAAGAGGTTAGGTTAAAAAATTTTAAGAATACAGAAGAGGCTTCTGCAGGCCAAAAGTATGAAAACAATTTCTCACATACCATAAAGAAAATCATTAAGGAGAAAGAAAATCTGTATAAAAAGGTTTTTAATGAAGACAAATGTGCCCTATTCTGGAAAAATATGCTGTGAAGGATATTTATTAGTAAGAAATAGAAGCAAGCACCAGAATTGTAGGCAGGAAGAGATAGGCTAACTCTACTGTTTTGTGCAAATGAAATTGGGTTTATAATCAGGATTGGTCTTATCTATAAAGCTGCAAAACTTGGAGCTTTGTAGGGAAAAGACAAACACCAGCTGCCAGTTTTTTAGTTGTACAATGGGAGATCTGGACAACGAAAATTATTTTTCTGGGTTGATTCAAATGATGCTTTGTCCCTGAAGTCAAGAAGAAGCTTGCTAGTAAGGAACCGGCTTTTAAAGTCCTTTTGTTATTGGACAATGACCCTGGTAACCCAGAACCTCATGAGTTCAAAGTGGTCTACTTGCCCCAAAACACAATGTCTCTAAGTTGGCCTCTGGATCAGGGTCTTGAGACCTGATCATAAAGACCTTTAAGGGTTATTACACATGACCTTAATTGAAAGAATTGTCAATGTTATGGAAGAGAACCCCAATGGAGAGAGTACCATGAAAGTTTGGCGGAATTACACCATGGACGTCATTGATGTTACAAAAAATGCTGTGAAAGGCATTAAGCTCCAAATAATAAATTCCTGCCAGAGAAAATTGTTTCCAGAAGCTGTGCATAACTTCACAAGATTTGTGATAAAGCCAATAAGGAAAATCATGAAAGAGATGGTGAATATGGCAAAAAGGGAGACAAGTGAAGCATTTTGAGATAGGGATCTTGGAAAAATTCAAGACCTAACAGATACCACAGCAGAGCAATTAACAAAAGATGATTTAGTGGAGATGAGTCCTTCTGAACCAGTGTCAGATGATGAAGAAAGAGCTGTAGAAGAAGTAATGCTGGAAAACAGATTGATATTAGATAATTTGCCAGAAGGATTCTGATAACCCAAAATTACTCTTGATTTTTTTTTTACTATAATGTGGACTCTTTTATGATGTGGGCACTGAAAGTAAAGCAAATGATGGAATTAAGGATAATTCAGACATATTTCAGAGGAAAATTACACCAAATTTGTCTGCCTCTCCTTTCACTCTCTCCATCTTTTCCACCTTGGTCACCCTTCAGGCAGCAAGAACAATCCCTCCACTTCCTCCTCCTCTTCAGTTTACTCATGTTAAGATCATGAGGATGTATATGTATTTTCCCTCCCTTATGATTTTCTTAATAATATTTTCATTTCTCTAGCTTACTTTATTGTAAGTATACAGGGTATTATATATATGACATACTAAATAGTCTTTAATCAGTCATACATGTTATCAGTAAGGTTTCTGGTTAATAGTAGGCTATTAGTAGCGACATTTTTTGAAAGCGAAAAGTTATAAGTGGACTTCTTACTGCAAGCGGGTTGGCACTCTTAACTCTTGCGTTGCTCAGGAGTCAACTGTGCATTCAAAGTAAATATTTTGATTTATATGCAAAGAAGTCAATTAAATAGGCAAAATACTTATATATTTTGTCACCCAAGATATAGTTTAAAACCAACCAGTGAACTCCAATATTAAAAAACAAAAAATTCCAGAATGAAAAGTTAATGCCCCAAGTCCCTCCACCCTTATCCCATGGCATAGTAGTTAACATTAAAATGTTTTTAGCATAACATAAAAAATTATTTGAATGATCCTGAAAAAAATTTCTTTTCTCTGATGTTTTCCTTTGTTATTTCTTCTAGGTATGTCTCATCTACCTTATCAAATCGAAGAACAGTGGGACGATTTTGGTTGTAGATTGTACTCTGTATTAACTATCCAAATAAGACATTTCCTTGGGTTGTCATCCTATATGCAGTTTTCTCTTTTTGTGTTTGTGTTTGTCAGAGTTCTCCAGAGAGACAGAACCAACATAAAGGATAAATTATAGATAGATAGATAGATAGATAGATAGATAGATAGATAGATAGATGAGATGGGACTTATTAGGTGAATTGGCTCACATGGTTATGGAGGCTGAGAAGGCCCCTGATAGGCTGTCAGCAAGCAGAAGAACCTGGAACCCAGCAGCATGGCTGATCAAGCCTGAAAGTTTCAGGATCAGCTAAAACAAATTTGCCTTTCTCCTGACTTTTTGTTCTCTCCATGCCCTCCTATATTAAGAGTGGAACTTGGCCATTCAGTCCACCAACTCACACACCAATCTTCTGCTGAAACATCCTCACAAACACATCCAGAAATAATGCTTTACCAACTCTCTAGGTATCACTTAATTTAGTCAAGTTCAGATAAGAATAAACTGCATGAGAAGGAGTAGTTCTAAAAAAAATGATTGTTACTTAAAGTATAATAAAAAAAGAAAAAAATGGAAAATATGAGCTAACTTAGAATGCATCAAGTTTTGACAGATTTTGGGTGTGTATGCAATTTTTTAACAAAGTTTTATAATAGCATAACATGACATTTTTCAATTCCTGTTTGACAATATGACTATAAAGAAAATCGTTCTTAAAAAAATGAGTGTTAATAGTTCTGGTAAACAAAGCAACAACAAAAACAAACTATAAGATCAAGGAAAGAATGAAAATTACTATTATAGTATATTTAGAAAAATGTAAAAATAAAGTCATTCTATAAAATCATAGAAAGTGTAGAACATCAATAGCTTTATTATTAAGCAAAAAAATAGTAACTCATCCTTCAAATTTAAAAAAGGCAGAAAAAGATGTTCAACACTGCTACTCTTTAGGAAAATGCAAATTAAAACTGCAGTAAGATACTGCTGTACACCTATAAGAACAGCTAAAATGAAAAACATTGATGACACCAAATGCTGGGCAAGGAAGTAGAAAAACTGGATCACTCATACATTGCTGATATGAATGTAAAATGGTACAACCACTTTCAAAAAACAGTTCAGCAGTTTCTTCAGAACTAAACATACAACTAGCATACAACCCAGCAATTGCACTCCCGGATATTTACCTAGAGGTATGCAAACTTATTCTCACATGAAAACCTGTGCACAAATGTTTATATAGCTGTTTTAATCATGATAGCCAAAATCTGGCAACAACCCAGATGTCCTTCACCAAGTGTGTGTCTAAACAAATCATGGTACACCCATGTCAAGAAATACTACTTGGTGATTAAAAAAAGAATAAACTTATAAACACAACAACCTGAATGAATTTCCAGGGTAGTATCTTGAGTTAAAACAACAACAACAACAAAGCCAATCTCCAAAGGTTATATACTGTATGGTTCCATTTATGTAATATTCTTGAATTGACAAAATTACAAAATGGAAGATTAGTGGTTGTCAGGGGTTTAGGGTTATGAAGTTGTCGGGGAGTAGAGGCAGCTATGTAAGAACACAGTGAAGCTTCCTTGTGGGGAGGAAACGTACCTTGACTGTATCAACGTCAATATCCTGGTTGTGATATTGTCCTACAAATTTGAAAGATGTTACCACTAGAAGAAAACTGGGTAAAGGGCATGGAATATCTCTCTGTATTATTTCCTACAACTGCACGTGAACCAACAGTTAACTAAATATTTAAAAAATTCAATTAAAATAAAGAAAAATCAAAACCCAACTCATCTAAGGAAAGCAACATTCATCAAATATGAGGGTAGTGATAGATTTGAAAACAAAAAAAAGCAAGAATTAATCTGGGTTCTGTTTTACACACACACACACACACACACACGCACACACACACACACACAGAGAAATAACAAAGCCCTATGCATCAAATTGAAAATAAAAAATATAGAATAAAAACAAAGTAAAAAATTAGTGGCTATAATTGCTCACTCTGAGTTGGTGAGACAAGTCAGTTGTTAATTCTGGGCTCCCACCCTCTCCCATCAGGAGAGGCCGCATTCAAAATTAACTTCCTTTTGCATCAGGGGCTGCTATATCACAGAATCTAGAAGAATGCCCCATATATGACACATTTATGTGTTAATGGGCCTACAAACTAATCTATTGAATGTTTATTCTTTGGTTGGAAGGTACTAAGATACACACTTTACTTACACACTTTCATATAATTTTCTCAACAACTACATTAATATGTTGATGTTTTTAACATCAACCTTACTTTCCTATTAAAAGAAACTGAGAGCGAAAAAGATTAATGAATGTCATGAATTCCCAAGGTCAGAAGGCTAGTATATGATTTGTAGCCAAGATAATCTGACTGCTAAATCTACTTCCTCTCGAATATCTTATTTATATGGAATACCTTCACACAACTTTCAACTTAGATGGGCATGAAAGAGATAGAAAGAGGGAGAACATCTGCTGTTATATATTTGTAGAGATTTAGGAAAGCTTTTGATATAAATTTAATAATATGTCAATTTTACTATAATTAATTCTCTTTTTAATATTATATGCATGTCAATCATATCCTCCTGTATGCAAAATCACTATTATTAATTTGTGGAGATGTTTCAAGAGCGTTGAAGGTAGAGAGAGGTATGAGGTATTGTTATTATTCCAATATTTATTATTGGGAATGTTCTTCATATTTTGAAGATAAGTTCCAGTCATTAATTATTCCCTGTCATGTTGCCTTGGTTACAATTACTCACAATAACTGAAGCTGTCGGATGTTGCAGGCTGAAAATGAAGAGTATTGGGTCAGATTACCACTGAGTTACATAGAATGAAAATCTAGTCATCTTCCTATTTAAAGCTTTCTAAATTCTCCTAAAATATCTTATTAGAAACACATCGCATAAGTAAAATATATATTTGAGTAATTTCTTTATTAAAAATTTGACTTCAAGGCCGGGTGCGGTGGTTCACGCCTGTAATCCCAGCACTTTGGGAGGCCGAGACGGGCGGATCACGAGATCAGGAGATAGAGACCATCCTGGCTAACACGGCGAAACTCCGTCTCTACTAAAAATAAAAAATAAAAAAAAATGTGCCGGGTGTGGTGGCGGGCGCCTGTGGTCCCAGCTACTCGGGTCCCAGCTACTCGGGAGGCTGAGGCAGGAGAATGGCGTGAACCCGGGAGGCGGAGCTTGTAGTGAGCCGAGATCGCACCACTGCACTCCAGCCT
Source organism: Homo sapiens (assembly GCF_000001405.40). Taxonomy (NCBI): domain Eukaryota; kingdom Metazoa; phylum Chordata; class Mammalia; order Primates; family Hominidae; genus Homo; species Homo sapiens. Next base: position 72,757,007 of record NC_000001.11, read on the forward strand.
GGGCGACAGAGCAAGACTGGGTCTCAAAAGAAATAAATAAATAAAAATAAAAAATAAAAATTTCACTTCAGAACGGTGCCACTTATTCTACACTAGGGTATCTTGCCTTTTATAAATTCAGTCTCTTATTTAAATACTTTACACTGTACATGCGTTTAAAATGGACTTCAACTAGTGTGTTATTCCTTAGTAAGTAAGTATTCAGAAAACAGAGTATAAGAGGCAAATAATATGCCACATCATTCCACCATAAGTAACCTGAATATGCAATGCTAGCAAATTACACCTAGCTTGGAGAATAAGTTTCGTTTTGTGTTTTCTCCCTCAAGGATGTGGGCTACAAACCATTTTAAAATCCCTAATGTCTACTGAAAAATTATGCATGTATGCCCAGAGGAAATGTAATTAAAGAGAAAAACCTATGAAAACACTGTTCATTTTTATATATGTTGAGAAATTTTAACTTTTATTATTTTTTTCCTCTTAAGTCCTGTTATCCAAAGAAATGCAAAACAGTTGGTTTACAAGTGTTAGATCAGTTTCCAATCACCAGCATTATAAGGAGCATTATAAAACAACGTTCTATCCCCATTGTTTTCATGAAATTATTTTATTTTATAGCTAGAATACTTTTTTGTGTTTGTGCCGCTGCTCACCTTTCATTTAGTAATAATAGTACTGGCATGGCGTACCTCATAAATTTATTACAAAAATGAAATAATCTTGAAAACTATATTACATAAAATTTTAATTCTCAGCAGGAATTGATAGTACATATACACCATAAGAATATCATCTGAAAACATGCTTCAGAAAATTTTAGATATCAGGATAGAAAGATTTAATATCATAAGAGCTCAATCAAGGGTGCTGGATAAAAATCATGGAAAAGATATTTGAATTGAAGATCCTATTATGTCGATACCCAGTTGTACAGCCATATGCAAATGCAGGGGCATAATTTTCACATCTTATTTTAGAGGTGAGGCTCTGGGTGCTTGAACAGGGAACTGACTTGTAGCAAAATGCTGACCAGGCTTTATTTTATTCTGAGTCTTATCGGTGGTTTGTGAAAAGATTCTTCTTCTCCAAAGTCTATCCAACATGTTTCTTGTGAACCCTAACCAAAAATATACATTCACTGATAAAAAAGTCCACTTCTTCAAAGTCAAGTGTCATGGTAAAATTATTGAAAAATGCCAGCAAATGGACTGTGGGAGACTATGGTACAATATGTGCATCCTTAGATTTGTGGGTGAGGAAGGAAGTTATTGACTGTCTTTAACTCATGTAGAAGCTCTGACAATGGAAACTAGTTTAGAAATTTTGCCAAGGATAGTAAGGTTTCAGCACTTCGCATCTGGGTATGCCATTAGAGTTGCTGCCACAGTCATGCACACTACATGCTGTAGTATTCTGCCTTAGTCTGTTTTCTGTTACTATAAAAGAATACCACAGACTGGATAACTTATAAATAAACTTACTTGGCTTATGGTTTGGGAGACTGAGAAGTCCAAGAACATGGCACCAGCACCTGGTGAAAGTCTTCTTACTGCACCATAGCATGGCAAAAGGGTATCACATATTAAGAAGAAAAAGTGTGTTTGTCACCTTAGGTCTCTTCTTCTTTTTATAAAGCCCCAAGTCGCATCATGAGTGTCCCATCCCAATGACTTTATCTAATTCTAATTACCTCTCAAAGACTGAAATTCCAGTCAACATATTAATTTAGAGATTAAGTTTCCAACACATAAAGTTTGGGGGACACATTCAAACCATAGCATTCTACACTTGGCCCCCAAAATTCATCTCCTTTCATGTGCAAAATACATTAATCCATCCCAACAACTCCAGTCTTAACTCGATCCAGCACCAACTCAAAAGCCCAAAGTCCAGAGTTTCATCTAAATCAGATATGGGTGTGCTTAAGGCATGATTAATCCTGAGGCAAATTTTCTTCAGCTATGAACCTGTGAAATCAAAACAAGTTAAGTACTTTACAAAATACAATGATGGGGCAGGCATAGGATAGACATTTCCATTTCAAAAGAGGGAAGGAGGCTAGAAGAAAGGGGCAACTGATCCCAAGTAAGTTCAAAACCCAACAAGGAGCACAAATTAAGTTGAAAAACTAAAGAATAATCTTTCGCTCTGTGTGCCACCTCTCAGATACATGGAGGTGAAAGTTGTGTTCCCAAGGCTTTGGGCAGCCTGACACATGGCTTTACTCAGCTCAACCCACACTTCAGTTCTCCCAGTCTGCAACGGCACACTGGTGGCTGTGCAGTTCTGGAGTCCCAATAGTGATCTACTAGGCATTGCCTGGTGGGCACTCTCTGTGGCAGCTCTGACCCCACATTTCTTTTTTGTTTACATTTTTTATTTCAATAGCTTTGGGGGTACAAGTGGATTTTTTGACATGGATGAATTATATAGTGTTGAATTTTGAGATTTTAGTGCACGTCACCCAAGTAGTGTACATTATACCTAATGTGTAATTTTTTACCCTGAGCCTCCCTGCCACCCTCCCTATCCTGAGTCTTTAATGTCCATTATATCAGTCTGTATGCCTTTGCGTATACATAACTTAGTTCCCACTTATAAGTGAGAACATATGGTTTTTGGTTTACCACTCCTGTGTCACTTGACTTAGAATAATGGTCTCCAGCTCCATCCAAGTTTCTGCAAAAGACATCATTTCATTCTTTTTAATGGGTGAGTCATAGTCCATGGTATGTGTGTGTATATATATATTACATTTTTTTAATCAACTTTAGTTGATGGGCACATAAGTTGGTTCCACATTGTTGCAGTTGTGAATTGTGCCGCTATAACCATACGTGCACCAGTGTCTTACTGATATAACAACTTACTTTATTTTGGGTAGATACCCAGTAGTGGGATTGCTAGATCGAATGGTAGATTTACTTTTAGTTCTTTAAGGAATCTCCATACTGTTTTCCGTAGGGGTAGTACTAATTCACATTCCTACCAGTAGTGAACAAGCGTTCCTTTTACTCCACATCCACACCCATGCCTATTGTTTGCTGGCTTTTTAATAATGGCCATTCTTGCAGAAGCAAGGTGATCTCATTGTGGTTTTAATTTGCATTTCACTGATGATTAGTGATGTTGAGCATTTTTTCATATGCTTCTTGGCCTCTTCTTTCATATGCTTCTTGGCCTTTATTGTATCTCTTCTTTTGAGAAATGTTTATTTTTGTCCTTTGCTCACTTTTTGATGGGATTATTTGTTTTTTTTCCTGCTGATTTGTTTGAATTCCTTGTATATTCTGGATAGTAGTTATTTGTTGGTTTTGTAATTTGGAAAAATATTTTCTCCTATTCTGTGGGTTGTCTATTTACTCTGTTGATTTTATTTCTTTTGCTGTGCAGAAGCTTTTTAGTTTAATTAGGTCCCATTTATTTATTTTTGTTTTTGTTGCATTTGCTTTTGGTGACCCCACATTTCTTCTCAGCATTGCTGTAGCAGGTACTCTGTGGTGGCTCTATGTCTGCAACAAATCTCTACTTTGTCCCCCAGGCTGTTTGCAACACCCTTTGAAATCTAGGTGTTGAAATCTAGGCCATGACTCCTCTTGCATTCTGCATACCTGCAGAATGATCACCAGATAGATGCTGCCAACTTTTATGATTGTACTTTTCTGAGTGAAGACTGGAGCCACACTTGGGGCTCCTTCAGCCACAGCTGTGGTAGCTGAGGAGCACTACACTGAAATGCAAGGAGCAGAGAACCAAGGAAGCTCTGGGCAGAGACCCATTTTCCAAAATCATTCTGCCCTTTTAGAGTTCTGGACTCATGATAAAAAGGCAGTTTTAAAGATCTCTGAAATGACTGCAGGGTATTTCTCCCACTGTCTTGATTCTTTTTGTCAGTACTAATCTTCTTAGAAAACTGTCACTGGACCATATTCTTGGTTTCTTCTGCTGAAAAATGTTTTCTTTCTCTACCACATGGCCAGGCTGTGAATCTTGCAAATTTTCATGCTCTGTTTTGTTTCTCATCTTACTGTAAGTCTTTAAAAGTGGCCATGCAGTAGTCTGAATGCTTTGCTGCTTAGATATTTCCTTCTGCCATATAACCTGGTTTATTGCCCTGAAATTCTGCATTCTATAAAGCCCTTGGGCATGAGCACATGTCAGCCATGTTCTTTGAGACACAACCACATAAGTCATTTCAAAGAAGTTGCAGAATTCCCTTAGTCTTCTTGTTGAGCCATTACCAGAATTGCCCATAATGCTTAGTTTGTGGAAATACAGTCATTTTCTAGTCTGTTCCTCCAAATTGCTCCAGCCTTTACCCATTAGCCAGTTTCAAAGCCACTTCCACATTTTCAGGCTATTTGTTATAGCAAAAACTCCACCTCTCTATACCAATTTTCTTAGTCTATTTTCTATTGTGATAGCAGAATACCACAGACTGGATAATTTATGAAGAAAATAAGTTATTTAGTTCACAGTTCTGTGGGCTGGGATTCCCAAGAGCATAGTGCCAGCAACTGGTGAGGACCTCCTTACTACATCATAACATAGCAGAGGGCATCACATGGTGCGAGGGCAAGAACAAGCCTGTCACCTCAGGTCTCTCTTTCTCTTTTTATGAAGCCCCACTCTAATGATCTTATCAAATCCTAATTACCCCCTGAAGACCCTACCTCCAATCAACATATGAATTTGGGGATTAAGTGTTCAGCACATGAAATTTGGGAGACATATTCAAATCATAGCACAGTTCTTTGTGCTTATCTTCACTCAATTCTAAGCTAAAGGATTTTCTGGAATCAAGACCAAAATAGTCTCAGCCACCTATAAGTGTAATGTAATCAGAGATTATACCACAAGCTTTTCTGATTCCACCTATTCTTCTTCCTATTTTCCAAACCGTCTCCTTTTCATGCCACAAAAGACCCTTACCAACTGATCTGGGAAACTCAGCCCCCATTGGATCCAAATATTCAGTAGGAAACGATATAATGACTTTAGGGCTAGTTTTGAAGGGCTTCTTTCCAAGACTTAAATAAGTTTTAGACTTTCCAGGAAATAGCTACTCCCTTGCTCATCTCTCCATGTGGTGGTGGGAAGAAACAGTTTTTGTTATATTTGTTTTGTATTCTGTACTGTATCATCTATTTTTTTTTTTTGACAGAGTTTCACTCTTGTTGCCTGTGCTGAAGTGCAATGGCTCAATCTTGGCTTACTGCAACCTCCGCCTCCTGGGTTCAAGTGAGTCTACTGCCTCAGCCCACTGAGTACCTGGGATTACAGGCATCTGCCACCATGCCCAGCTAATTTTTTGTATTTTTAGTAAACACGGCTTTCACCATCTTGGCCAGGCTGGTGTTGAACTCCTGATCTCAGCTAATCTGCCCGCCTCAGCCTCCCAAAGTGCTGGGATTACAGGCGTGAGCCACCACGCCCGGCTATTTTCTATTTTTTATAACATTTCTACAAGAGAGGTATTTCCTATTCCTTATGTCACATAAGTAAAATGAAACTCAGAGAAATTTAATTATTTGCCTCAAATTGCACAACCAAGACTTGACTACAGATGTTATAATGTCAAATCAATGAGAATTTCTATGGCATACATGTATTTTTTTATTCTAAGAATGATAACCGAAAATAATGAAAGCAAAAACTGCCTATAACAAGAAAATTTTTATTTCAAATTATATTTAAACTATGTTTAACACTCTTACTGAACACTGTATATTTGATGAAGTATTTTACAATATTGTACTATCAGTTTTTCATATTATTCTCCCTGAGTGAAACCTGTTTCATATCATTGACCCCCTTTAAACAGTATATGTGACTTAGAAAGACCTTTTTAAAAAATATCTTTATTCCTAAACTTCACTAAAAAAAAAAAAAAACACTTTGTCTCCTTCCATTCTCATCCAAAGAACATTTAAAATAAATTAATTTTCTTTAATTTGCTTCAAAGAACAAAGGCTCTTTATGATAAGATCAGATTAACTTTCATTGAACCTCTATTTCTAAACAGGTATCCAGAGATTAAAAAAAAATAGAGATAAAACAAAGAAGTCCTAAAATTTCTGTCTAGTAGGGTGAATGTTCTCTGTAGTAATAGATTTTTTCATATTCTTGTCAATAGAATTGGAGAAAAAAAGTGTAAATCTAGAGCATTTCATTTGAGTACTAATAGGTACCAAAAGAAAATGGTAACTGACTTCCCTTTATAGTGCCACTCTAAAAGCTGTCACTTTAGTAAATTTCAGGAAAAAGGAAAGAGAAAAGAAAGAAAACTTTCTCATCCAAGAAACAAGCATGTTCACCCTAAACTAACTTGATCTTTCTTATTAACCAAATAATTTTAGAAATGTTGTAAAGAAGAAAGAGGCAGGACTTCTGGCTATGGACAAATGAGGAGATTGGCAAATTTTCCCTTCCAAAAAGCAATGATAAAATGGAATACAGTTAATGAAAACATCTATTTTTATGCTCTTTTAATTGACCAAAGGCGATTTTTGAGAAGCTCTTCTGCTTTAGAACTGCTTCACTTTGGGTAGTGACAGTGTGAATTTGTAGTGTTCATGCCTGTGGCTACTCCTCACAGTTCTATTTGGAGTGATAAAGAATTCTCTTAGGAAATGGCATTGTTGATGAAATAGACAACCTTTGTGGTTTGGAAGCGGGGAGGAATAGTGGTTCTACTTGCTTGAGGTTGTGGTCATTGTTGAGGCATAGACATGCTTGTTTCAGACATGCAAGGTGGAAACTATACAGGGCCCAAGCTCTCCATATACTCTTAACTCAACTCTGTGTGCAGTCATGAAGGATACTTGAAAAGAACCAGTGGAAAGTAAAAGAGATATCAGATTGGAAAAAAATACCCTGAGGTTTGAATGTATATCTCTAAATACAAATAGATATACCAAAAGCCTTACTGGCTCAAGGCTCTTGAGCACAATTTCTCTCAAATCATTAGCTTGCCACCTAATTATACAGACACAGAAGTGACTGCTAGAAAATTTGACTTACATTTAGCAAGAATTAAAAACAGAACAAAACATGGACAGACAAACAAAAACTTAACATGGATATTAGGGAGTACAAACTATGGAGGAGACAGATTTCATAGATTTAGCTCAGGTAAATCTGAACCCTAAAACAAACAAACAAAAAATACAACCAACCAACAAACAATCCTAGCAAATTTATAAAAAGGTAAAAACAAAACATCAATTTATAAGGAGAAAAATAGAATTCAGAGTTGCTATGATATGCTGTCTATAAAAAAATTGAGACATCCAAAGATACAGGACAGTTAAGGAGGGAGAAACAGTCAGTAGATATTTATTTTATCAAATAAAGACTTCAGAAAAGCTATGAAAAATAAGTTTAAAAATAGAAGAAAATCATGCCTAAAGAGTTAATAGTGTAATAACAATGAATCAACAAACACAAAACAAAATAAGGACAGATAAATTATTTGAAGAGGACCAAATGGAAATTATGGAGTTTAAAAAAAATGCAATTGAAATTTAGAAAATTCAGAAGAACTCAGCAGCAGATTTGAGGTGGCAGAATAATTAGTGAGTTTGAAGGTAGATCAATACAAACTATTCAACTGAAGAAAAAAAACACAGAAGATAAATAAATTAAAGAAAAACGAGCAAAGCCTTAGAAATCAGTAAAACACCATAAAGTATATCAATATATGTATAAAGAAAAAATCAAAGGAAGAGAAAGAGACAAAAAATTTGAAAAAAAATAGCTGACAAATTTCCAAATTAATGAAGACATTTCTGTATACTTTTGAATATAAAAAATAGACCCTAAATCCTTGGTAGAATAAATACACAGAGAAACATACCTAGATGTATCAACCTGTTCAAAACAAAGCATCAGGTCTTGAAAGCACCAAGAATAAAACAGTCCATTGCTTATACATTGGATTACCATCTGAAACAATGGAGCACACAAAACAGTGAAATGACATATTCAAAGTTCTAAAAGCAAAACAAACCCACTTTGAAAACAAGGAATTCTCTCTCTAGCAAAACTCTTCTTTAAAAATGAAGGCAAGGTAAGGATACTTAGAAATAAACAAAGGCTAAGATAGTTTGTTCATAGCAGACCTTCCTTTGAATACTAAAATCCATGAGACTAAAAGGAATTGATATTAGATAGTAATTTGAACCCACAGAAATAAATAAAAAAATCTCAGAAGTGTTAAATATATGTCGATTATATTTAACACTATCTCAGAAGTGTTAAATATATTTTGTTGATTAACAAAAGGCAATACATATGTATTTGTTTATTTCTTCTCTTAACTTCTTTAAAATATATGACTGATTAAAGCAATAATTACAATACTATATTATGAGGTGAATAATTAAAGAATGTAAAACCAGAGCAAGGTGAAGACAGGAAATAATAGAGATTAGAGCAGATATCCATGAAATTAAGAAAATACAATATATAAAATTAATGAAACAAAAAAATTGTTCTTGGAATATGTTAACAAAACTCACAAACCTTAGCTAGACTGACTAAGAAGAAAAGATTGACAACACAAATTACCAAAAGGAGAAATAAAGCTAGAGACATCACTACCAACCCTGCACAACTGAAAAGGATAAAGGTGGATATACTTAACAACTTTATGACAATAAATTGGACAACCTAGATAAAATAGACACATTCCTATGAAGGTACCAACTACCAAAATGACTCAACACAAAGCACAAAATCTGTTAGACCCATAAAATAAGTAACAAAATTAAACTTGTAATTAGAAATAGTCCCCTTCAAATAAGCCCAGGTTCAGGTAGTTTCATGTGTAAATTTTATAAAATATTTAAAGAATAAACAATACACAACTGGTCTTCAAAAGTTTTGAAGAGGGGGGACTACTTTCCAACTTATTTTAGGAGGTCAGTATTATTCTGAGACCAAATCTAGACAAAAGACATGACAGAAAATGAAACTAAAGATAAGTACGCATCATAAAAAATACACAAAAATTCTTAACAAGGACTAGGGTGGCACCTCATGCCAGTAATTGCAACACTTTTAAGACAGAGGTGAGAAGATAGCTTGAGGCCGAGAGTTTGAGACCAGCCTAGCCAACATAGAAAGATCCTATTCTACAAAAACATTAAAAAAACAAATCAGGCATGGTGGTGTGTGCCTGTGGTCCCAAATACTTGAGAGGCTGAGGTGGGAGATTTGCTTAAGCCCAGGATGTTGTCTGCAGTTAGCTACAATGGCACCACTGCACTCCAGCCTCTGTGAGAATGTGAGGCCCTGTCTAAAAAAAATACAAACACTAAAAATAAAGAAAAGAAAAATTCTTGATATAATATCAGCAAAATATCAATTAATTGTTAAAAAGATTGTACACTATAACACTGTGATATTTCTCAGGGATGGACGTTTAATTAACTGAAAACTAATTAATGACTTCATCATATTAATATAATAAATCATGTTTGGTAAATGTTTTTCTATAATAAGCCAAATAGTAAATATTTTAGACTTTACAGTCCATGTGACAGCTGTTAGAAATTATTCAGCTATGTTGAGTAAGTAAATGGGCACGTCTGTGTTCCGGTAAATATTTGTTTACAAAAGTATTTACTCACAGGTGGAAGGCAGAACTTGGAACATGATTTGTGTTTGCCAATCCTAGGAGAAAGAAGAAAGGAAAAACAACATAATCATCTCAAAAGAAAAAAATTATCAAAATCCATTATCTTGTCATGATAAAAACTCACAAGAATTTAGGAAGATGAGTGGGGCCCAGTGGCTCAATGGATAACATGTCTGACTACGGATCAGAAGATTCTAGAAGTTAGGAAGAGAAGGGAACGCCATCAACCAGCTAAAACATGAAAAACCCATAGTTAACATCATGGTAAATGGTGAAAGACTGAATGCTTTCCCCTTAAGATCAGGAACAGGACAGTAATGCCTACCCTCACTACCTTTATTCATCAAGGCACTGGTAGTTCTTGCCAGTAAAATAATGTATCCCCTAACCCTTATCCGCCTCAAAAATCAAAAAGCTATCCATATTGGGAGGTAAAACTATCTTTATTCACAATCATATAAACTAACATAAAACTTAGTATGCAAGTTTAAGTTTAAAGTTAAACTTTAAATCACAAGATAGAAAATATTTGAAAGTAAAAGTGTCTATATCACAAAAAAAGAAAGAAGTAGTATCAGAACAACGTGTCCAAATGGTGACTACTTTTTTGCTCACTTTTATCCATGATTGCAGAGGAAGAAAGGGTGTCCTGACAATGAGGCATAAATAGTACAGCCTAGTCAGAAACAACGTAGCTGTAGCTGCTGGGTCAAGTGAACTCCAAAGCTGAAATAGTGTTTTGAAAATATTAGAAGTTCATTCTGTTGATCCTCAAATAAGCAATTACTCAAAATTGAAAGTGAATGCAAAGCTTTGCTCACCGATGTGGAGTAATCGTTTCTCCTTTGCCCCCTAATTTATCTCTTCCCTCTAGTCCAAAGTTAGCCCCTTGAAGAAAAAAGATCAAGGGTTTTGCCAAAATCCCTGTTTCCCCAGTAGGGCTGACAGCCATACACATCCATCTGAATAAGCTGGGGAATTTGGGGGGGGTGAGACACTCAAACATGTATGGCTCTGTTTGATGTAGGCACACACATCCCCATCTTGTGGAGCAGAGGTACCTGAATTCAACTGATAGGATTTGGACAAATTTCGCAGTACAGGAAGAAAGCAAATATGATGTTGTCAGTACAGCCAACTTTCATCCAACTTAATGTAATATTGCTGTGACTTCCACTGCTAAATGAATATTTGGCTTTGGTTTGCATAATTTTACTATGAATGCTCAAAATCCCAGAGGGGATTATCCTGATCTGGAAAGGTTGCATGGAGAATAGTACTAATAATATCAGCACATCACATCCCAAATGAGCTTTGAGATATAGGACTCTGTGATGGATGATTTTGCTGATTGGAACCTATGACAAAGTGAGGCAAATCTGGAAGCACTCATTAATTTCATACTGCTTAAACATGGCTACAAGGTATACACCAACTGAAAAGTACCTATTAGTGTTCTACTTAAGTAGAACTGAAGTAGAAGTAGTAGTTCTACTTCTACTGAAGTAGAACTGAAGGAGAACGCTAATAAAGCAGTAATTATAATACTATATTATATGGCTAATAATTAAAGAAAGCAGAATCCCTAACTTACAGGGGTCTTATGAGTCTGTGACCTGATGTTCTCCATTTAGGGTGGGCCAACTGAAATTCAATGACTAACAAGATGAGACAGGACAAAAATACTTCTCATGTCAAATGGAAGTTCAGGAATAAACAGGCCTCCAGTAGCATGACAGCATTACATGAAAAAGTAATGGTTAGGTCTTTGAGGGACAACGTTAAACCATTCTGCCATCTGAAGCAACAGTGCCATTTCAGTAAAACCAATTCACAGAAGTCTCCTTAAATGTTTGGAGCTGGTTCACTGATGCATTAGCTAAGCTGAAAACTGATTACATGTACTAAGTTACTGTAGCTGTAACTCAGCACTTGCTGTTCAAAACTGAAAAGGTATGTGGTAACTTCACTCAGTGGGTAGAACTCAAGTAATTTTTAATAACTCTGGCTGGTGCTTCTCTTGATGGAGTTTGTTTGTTTTACTTATTCCTGGGATATTTCTTGCAACCTGTTTTGTTTTAAATTTAGAAAACTACAAACTAGCAGATTAAAAACAGGTAAACTATCTGAATGACTCATGCAGTTGCTCATGGTAAGTGTCCATTCCCTGATGAGACTAACTGAAATCAAGCTGCTGATGGAAACTGCAACACCTAGAATGCCACCATTGTTGCCTGGATCCATCATCATACAGAACATGGAAATATCTTCACAATTATAGACTAGGGAAATAGTAAAAGATTCTGTTTCTGATGCAGGGGCAACCATTGCATACCAGATTTGTGAGTCTTGCCAAAGTTGGCTGAGTCCAGCTCACTTAGTATTCCAGGTCCATACACCTTTGTAAGGAAGTTTGCTCATTGAATGTGTATGCCTCCATAAAAAGATCATTTTCTCTTGGCTGATCCATGGGTTATGATAAAATAAAAAGGAGTGGTAAATGGACCTATTTTAAAAATTCAGGATTCTGTCCTGACCATTCCTGAGTATGATGGTTCATTCTTTCTTCTAATGGCAAATCCAGGTTTGCCTGATGGATGCAGTTTTACTGTGGCAGCCCATCCAAGATGTGTCCTAGGAGAGATAAGCTTAATTCTGACTTAGGCTTCTGGAGTTTTTAGTTGGGTTGACATAGTCCTTTGCCATAAGGCTAATAATCACTTAGTTGAGTACACTGCTCACCAAAGTTACCCACATGGAGCAAAGTCAGGAATATAATATATTTCTGTAATTTTATAAAATTGTTTTCCTCTTGTATGTGATCAATTCAAATGTAAATTTTGAGTGTAAGGAAGGGCTGATTGAAAAATATAGTATAGTCATAACTATTATAAAGAGCTGTGCCTAGATTTTGGTAATGGAGGAGAAATAACAACTTAGGAACCTGAGGAGGGAGCATCTCAGATCCCGGAAGCTGTTGGGGTTGGGGGAAGAGACATTTATAATGTTTGCCTTTCAAAACTTCTCTATGAACCTTCCTTATGAAATAAAACACTGTGTAGCTCTCCAAAACTATTGAAAGCATCTTAAATGTAGCTAGGTTTCTGGTCAAGAAAGGGTTAACTTAGAAGGCCTGGATGGCTCAAAACCTTACACATTCCAAAGAAAGGCCTCTGTCCAAGAGGATCCTTTGGCAGGATCCTGAGCGATAACTGCTAAGCCCTTGGAATACTCTGCTTGATAGAAATGCTTTTGTATGCCCTAATCAGTTGAGGTTGTCCTAACATTGTGATTTACAGTGAAGGACTCTTTCTTCTCTGGAGGTGATGAGTATCTGAGGTTAGTTGCACAGCACTGCATGCCTGTGTGACTGATCTCCAATAATATCCCTTTACTGCAGGGCATGGGTTGGCAACACTTCCAACATTAGACAATGTTGTTGGAAGAATTAAGATCATCCTCATGAAACTCTACTGGGAGGGGACATCTGAAAACTTGGCCCTGTTTCCTTTGTACCTTGCACCATGAGCCTTTTCCCATTGCTGATTTTGACTGTTATCTTTTCACTGTAATAAAATAATAACATTGAGTATAACAAGTTTCTTTTCTTTTCTTTTAGTTCTATGAGTCATTATAGTGAATCATTGAACCCAGGGGTGGTCTTGAGGTCCTCTGATATAGTGTACCATCCCCTGCTAGATGCCTCTTACCATGCCCTAATTGCCATTCCCCTGAACATTACTGAAGAGTCAATAGAAAAGATTAGGCGGTGGTCCCAGTTCTTGTACCTTCAGGCAAAACATGCCACAGCTCCTACAGATGTCTTCTTCTCCCACTCCTATAGCTAGTAATTTCAGGAGGCAGAGGAATTACTTGGCTTGTGACATGGAAAAACAGGACAGGTTGTACAGACTGACCTAAGACACTTCATACAAACAAGAAGTTAACTCAATTATCTGAAGTAACTATGATGCCTAAGGACAACCAGCTAGTCAAATGCATCCCCAGACTGATGTAAGTCACACCCGCAGGGACCTCACAATTTTAAACAATACTTTCTTGCCAGAGACACCATGTGTACTCCTCAGATTATACTTCTTATGTGGAAGTCAGGCATTTTCTTGCCAAAACACAGTAACTTTCACTATAGGGGTGGTCATAAGAGACCTTCAAGGGTTTAAGAACACAACAACAATATATCATGTAATCCTGGATGACTGTGGAGATCTCCTAGAGGCATAATAGACTCAACATTTTTGCAGGCCCTGTGGTCATATTTTTTTTCAAATGAATAAAAAGATGGTACAAAATGTGTTCCTGATTTTCACTGAAGTGAATAATGACACCACTTGAGCCATGGAAATAATTCACGCCTGACTCTACTCACTGAACAAGGGTTGTTAGGGATAATAGAATTGCCCTGGATTTCCTCCTTGTAAGCCAAAGCGGAGTCACACATTCATTAACATATCCTGTTACATGTGAATTAACTCCTTAGACCAAGAGGTAATTTCAATATAGAGAGACAGCCACCTGGCATTTGCAAGTAGACCTTGCTGGATTATGAGATTTGATTAGCGGGCTTATGCTGGGTCCCTAGGCCATGGCTGAGATCAATGCTGCAGATTAACCTCATCTTGCTGATTATAGTCCTATTTGTTTTAAACTTAGTTACTGTATGAGAAAAAATGAATAGTTATGGTCCCAGCTTTTGTTGGTCAGATTAGAGTGGTCAACAGATTGATATAATCATGGAAAACTTCATCAAAAGTCAAATGAGTGTTGAAACTAAGGATGGATATTATTAAGAGACAATTTTCCATGTTTGTTTTTATCTTTTTGGTGCATCTAGCAAGTTAGGCACTAATTGCTCTTTGTTAAGGACTATCTTTCCAATGTTGTTTGTAAGTATAACAGCTTTGGAAGATGAAGATAGTGTTGTTTCCCAGTGGAGTGAAAGAAAAACATGCTTGTTGACCATTATGAAGATTCTGGTTCCCTAAGCCCAGGGCTGCCTGAGAGCCTGTGCAGCAGGTATCCATCTGTGCCCATCCATGTCATTCAGGTGGGGTGAGAGGAAGTCAAGCAAATATGCCAGTGTGTATCCCGCCTTTTGTGCAGTGAGTGATACAGGCCTTTGTCTCTCACCTAGGAGTCTTGTGTCTTCTACTAGCATCTATGAAAATATGACAGACTAATTTGTTAGCTTGTAAGTAAGATAAAATATCAGACCGTTCACAGTAACAACACACAGAGTAGGAGTAATTCTGCTTGGGATCATTTAAAATATACCCTCCATGGCTATCATAAAAAATCATGTTTGAACAGCTCCTGGGAAGTTGTTTTGTCAAATTCAAAAGAACATAGGCTTTGGAATCAGAAGGATCAGAAAAGAAAATACAAGCTCACTATTTGAACATTATAATAATATCTATAATGTAAATATATTATGATGAATAAATGTAATTGTATTAATAATAAAGCTATTATTTAGCACCTGGCCTAATAAAATAAATTGATGATTTTTTAATATTTCTTAAAGAGTTGGAAACTAAATTGAGAGGCACATAAAGAAAATGAACACAAATAAAAACATAATATAGAATACATGTAAAAGTCACATACTTATTTAAGAAATAAATTGAAAATAAACCAAAAGTAAAAACAGAAAAAAGCTATAATTACATCACATAGAACAAATAATTGTTAATATTTTAATGTATTATATTTTTAATATAATTTTTAAAGGAAGGTTTTAGAAAATACAGTGTTTTGCATCCTAAAGTAGAAGCAGCTTGATATTGGTTCTGGTGAATTTATTTTAAAGAAAGAAAATATGTTAATATCACAATTCAGAAAGCTTGGCTGTTGAATTTTTGTTAAATCTACTGGTTAAGAACATAAATGGAACATCCATAGAGACTTTTCTTTAGCCCAACCATCTGGACACTTGCTGTATTTTGATTAAAAACAAAAAACCCATTTGACTAAAACTTATAATATACTTAAATTCCAGGCTTCTATAGAAAGAAAACCAGAGATAAAATAACATGTAAAAACTGTGAAAAAAGTCATTGTTGCATCAAAAAATTCTATTAATTATAGTAATTATCTATGATTGGAACTCTTAAAACATCTGCAGTGAAACAAGTGGCTATGCTTCAACATGCTCATTTCATATTTCAATCACTTAAATATAGCTATTGTTAAGGAATTAGTTGGAAGTCATTAAGAAAGTAATTGCAAAAAACCAGTTCTGCCATATGACAAAGACAAAATTGAAGAACTAATAACAGAAAATGTGCCCAAACATTATGATCTCCATCATTAAATATAAATTAGTATAAAAATGAGGAACATCCAGTTGACAATTAACTTCAATTGTATTTCTTTATTTACATATTAAGATCATTAATTCTATTAGCTAATTAAAGTCTGCAATAATGTAATTGTAATGAATCCTCATTCAGCAAAGACGAAAACTATCTATTCAATGAACATTGTGTCAGGTAACTTCTATATGTCTAGCAGTGAGGTTGTCATCATAGGTATGGAGGAAATGTGGTAATACTTCCAATTCTAATGATTTATTTGAATCACTGTAAGTTTGAAATTGGAAATACCTTCAAAACTGAGGATACATATTGAAAATATCAAAGGTATATCACATGATTTTTTTCTGTGTGATACTATAAAATTATAATAAAAAACAACTTACAATATGCAATTTAAAATATATTATTAAATTGAAAGGATGAACAAATAATATGTGCATCATCTCAATGGATAAAATAAAGAATGTTAAATATATTAAATGAGAAGAGCATTACACATGGGTTGTGGGGCTGTAGGTAAATCTATTATTTGTGCATTTCCAATTTCTAAAATTGTAGCAATGTACAACTATTTATTTTGTAATCTAAGGTACTTTTTTTTTAAATTTATGTTTGTTTTTTTGAAACGGGATCTAGCTCTGTCACCAGCCTGGAGTGCAGTGGTGCGATCTCAGCTCACTGCAACCTCTGCCTCCCTGGTTCAAGCAATTCTCCTGTCTCAGCCTCCTGAGTAGCTGGGACTATAGGTGCACACCACCACACCTGGCTAATTTTTGTATTTTTAGTAGAGAAGGGGTTTAACTATGGTGGCCGGTGGCCAGGATTGTCTCGATCTCTTGACATTGTGATCCGTCTGCCTCAGCCTCCCAAAGTGCTGGGATTACAGGCTGAGGTACTTATTCTTAAAAGAACAAAAAGTCTTGTATCCCATTTTCTCATGTTTGTATTATATTGAATAAAGTAATATAATTAATGCTAATATACAAGTATAATCAAAGCAAAGACTCAAATCAGATGACATGGCTTTTGGTCTGGGTCATCCATTAATGATCTGTTTGATCCTGAGCATAAGGTTTTGGGCCTGTTTTCCTCCAGTTGTATTTTGATTGATTTTGACTCTACCAGCTCTATAATCTTTTTCATCTCTAAGAAAATAATTATTATTGTTAAATTATCTAGGAGTCATAATGCCAGGCTACTCCTAAAGCATATCTTTGGGGAAGAATGAAGCAATCTAAATTGGGGAGGTGCCATCTTCTATAAATGAGGCAAATGGGTTAAGACCAGGGATACTTCAACTTACTGATAGACTTGCTTCTAGAGATCTGTGTATACATTGAATTGTTCCAAATGTTTACCCATGTAATGTTAAAAATGTTTTCTCCGTATTTCACATTGATTTTCAATTGGATATGGCTCTCAGACTTTTAGCAGTAAGTTTTAGACACTTTATATTTCCATTCAGTTATATTAAATGGTGACTAAATCTGTGAATAAACAATTCAGAATAATGACACCCTTCACCATTTCAGTGAGGTCTATTAACAGTGATTTGCTTTGGTAAATAGAAAAATATTAGTAAAATATTCGTCGCAGTAGTTATTTGTTTAATGGCTAATATAAAATGGAGTTTACTGCTTTGATAAGATAAAAATTAGAATTTTTGTCTATAAACACCTACTTTTGGAAGATATTTAGTATTTTAAATTATTAGGACTCTGAAGTATGTTTTTCTTGATTGAATAATTCATTTATTCATTGAGGAAATATTTTATTGAAAAGCTACCATGTGCCAAGAACTATTCCAGATGCCAAAGACACTAATAGTGAAAAAAAAAATGCTATCAACACTACACGCACAGAAAATCAGTGCCTTGATAAAGCTTATATTTAAATGATTCATGAAGAAGAAAATATATGTAAAATGTGCAGCATATTTTTAATTATAATTTCAAAGGAAATACATAGCAGAAAAGAGAAAAAAGGAATTAAGGTACAGTTATGAATAGAGTGGTATCAAAGAAAGACTCACTGAGAAAGTGACCTATCTAGGTGGTGGAAGGTACAAATAAAAAGGCTGAAAGTCAGATGCGTCTCCAAAAGGTTCTGACAATAACAAATTGGACTCTATGGCTGTTGAGCAGTGCAAGGGATAAGGGAGAGTAGCAGGAGATGGGGTCAGAAAGGGAACAGGGCAGATTGGGTGATGAGAGATCCGAGGGGTAAGGAAGCATTGAGCTTTAGGAGCAACTGCGAGTCTTAAGGAGACCTTGATTTCATTCAGTGATATGGGAAACCACAGCAAATTTTGATCAGAAGAGTAATATCAACTAACTCCACTTGGACCGCATGGAAACGAGGAAGGAGAATACTACAGCAACCTGGAAGCCAGTGAAAAATGATGGCAACACTATCTAAGATGGTAAAAAATTGACGAAGAAAAGCTCATTTCGAACTGTTGAGGAGAGAAATGTATTTGCAGAGAGAGCATGAAAAATCATGAACCACTCCATGGGTTTTGCCTTGTGCAAGTGGAAGCAAGGGAAGAAGATAAAGAGTAAGTTACAGATTTTTTTTTTCTTTAAACCAACACTTTTAAACACAACTGTAAAATGAATAAAAATACGTAACTTCTCCTGCCATACCTCATGCATCATGTTGGGACAAGCAGTCAAAGTTCCTGAATCAATAATCATTTTGATTATACTGTTCCAGAGAAACAATGTACAAAAACATATTCCAGTGCAATTTCTATGTAATCTGTTCCCCCTGTCCCATCAAGTGTGACAGTGTATTATTATGTATTGACAGAAAACATCAATATGGATGATGTTAGACAGTGGGAGGAACGCATTTTTGTGTGCTAGTTTTGTCTTTATAATAACAGCATTGATCTGTATTTCAGCTAACCGGTTTTCAGCAACTCACAGCTAATTTGCCCATATCTACATTGGTATGAGCAATAATATGGTGAATGTCAGATGGGATCTGCAATTCATAGGAACAGCTCTGCAGCCTAATGATTTTTGTCAAATGTGAATTAATTATTAATCTGATTTGCCCTTCTTTGTTCAGAGCTCTGCAAATGTTAGTAAATCAGGGTCTGCTCAAACTTTTAGTAGAATTGAGGCGATAATAAGCAGGTACTTTTTGATTTGCTTACTTTCCTCTTGCCTGATGAATAAAATATTCCTGTACTTTTAAGGCCTTGGGATTACCATTTGCTCAATTTTAAAATTACTTACTCAAAATGAATTGTTTGTTTAGTGAGTTTTATATTTTATACTCCTTTTTGTTAGAAACTTTCAGCATTCTTCTTTAAATAATACGAAAGTTTTCATCCTATTCTCAGGTTAACAAATCATGGTAGTGCTGAAGAACAAAGAAGGCTTGGAAATTGAATTAAATCAATTAATAGTTATAAACACACTATTTTTAAAGAGCATCACATTCCTTATCTATGTTATTAAATTTTAAAATATCTGCTGACAAAGACTGTCTCCCCTTGATCTAACTTTTTTTAAAAAAATTGTTTTTAGAGACTGAGTCTCGCTCTATTGCCCAGGCTAGAGTGCAGTGGTGCGATCATAGTTCACTGTAACCTCAAACTCCTGGGCTCAAGCAATCTTCTCACCTCAGTGTCCTGAGTAACTAGGACTATGGGTGTGTGCCACCATGCCCAGCTAATTTTTACGCTTTTTGTAGACCGGGATCTCAAACTCAAGTCCTCCTCAAGGGATTCTCCCACCTTGGCCTCCCAAAGTGCTGGGATTATAGGCATGAGCACAGCCTTTGACCTAACTTTATCTTCTCTGAACCCTCTGTTGGACTAGGCCTGACCTTGGTCTTTCATTATTGTCCTTGTAGAATTCAGTTTGAGCAAGAATCCTGCTTAGTCAAGTTAGAAAAAAAAAATTCCCCTTTCTTTGTATTTGACCACCTTCTATACCTGATCAAATTCCTTATCCTCTAGACTCAATATCTTCTCACCCTGGCTTCCCTTCAGCAAGAATTCTGTTCAGTTGGCCTAGCAAGAATCTCCCTTACCTCTGATATTTTCTCTTAGTAAATATTCATCCTGTGACCGCCCCCACCCCCCAAACCTGCTCCTTAGCTGTAAATCCCCACTTGTTCTTGTTGGAGTTAAAATTGATCCCAATCTCTCTCCTCTACCTAGAGACTCTATTGCAGTGGTCCCCATATCTACTGAGATAAAAGTCCTCTGTATCCTCTTTAATAAGTGTCATAAATATTTGTTTTTCTTTAACATTACTTCACAGGCTTATAATGAGCATTTAACAAGATAACATATATAGAATTCCCAGCAGAGGACCTGGCCTTAGTTTCTGCCAACTGTTTTGTCAGTGTGCCTGTTAGGCTGGAATGGGAGGCAGACTGTGTGCCCTTTAAATCAAATCATTTCCCTTCAGAGATGACAGAGAGCATGCTGCCTATTTACACACAGTATGTTCACTATTTTGATCTATTCAGCTAGGGATTTAGTCAAATTACTAACTGAATTGGTGAAAAATAAGCACATTTTATTAATTTTTATATGAATGATTTCATTAAATCATTATTACACTGGTCACCTGATCCATTCATTGACAGATAAAGCCTATAAGGAAAGCTCTACTTTCAAATAATTTGCATTCCCCAGTTAAAAGTTGATAAATTTTATATCCTTCTGGGTAAGGGTGCTTTTTTTTTAATATAATATGAAAGCAGCTATAAGTACAGAAGGCTGAGTGGGCCATGTAAAATTTTATTTTAGCTGAAGTATGAACTGGGCTTTCAGACGTTGTACAAAACAGCCTGACTTCTCAGTTCATACACATGAGTGTGACAAGCAGAAAATTAGACACCTGGCAGCTACAAGTGTTTTGGTTTTATGTTTTTAGATACATGGCCAAGATTACTTTTGTGACTGCCAAATTACTACCTTAATTTAAAAGCAGAGAAACACATCAGATTTTTACCACCTAGAAAATCATGTTAAATCTTTGTTTGAAAATGTCTTCATTAGCAGAGAGAAAGAAAAAAAAAATATTTCCTACCAGACTTAACTTCCATCCATGGTGTAGGGTTCAGACCTTGAGAAATGTCTGACAACACTGCTGAAAACTATGCTTGAAATGTTGATTTCACTGCTAGAAGCCATTTAGGGCAAAGAATGTAACTGAGTGGCTTAGGGGTTGATGCAGTTATTTGCTTACCTAATAGTGATAAGTACAAGTCAAACTTCTGTATTTTTGATATTTTCTTATTTTCCATTTTACTTACAGGATGTTTTTATGGGGCTTCTCTACTTAACACAATCCTGAGATTTAACACAGGATGGAAAAGAAGGCATTATAAAATTTCAGTAAGGTAGATTGAAACTAAAAGTTACACTTAACTCTGACATCCACTTTGAACAAAACATAGAAAGAACAGTGCATTTAAACTAAATAAAATCCAAGAGGCAAATATGGTACTTACTGTGGCAAACATGGTTTTACTGTGAGGTAGTTAGTAATAATTTAATGATAGGATATCTGAATATAAAGAAAAAAAACTGGTGACAAGAGTGTGAGAAATGTATCTTACTGCTTGATAACAATATACATCTCAAAAAAAAGGGGTGGCTTAGTGCCCAGTTTCTGAAAGAAGGTCTTTTTTGTCCTTTTTATTGCACTTTTCAAGTTTATTTAAGCTAGCCAATTGTGACTTAAATTTGGTTAAGCAAAGACAAATATGCTTGACAAGTCATTAGAGCTCTTGTGTGCTTTCTTATTTGTCCATATAGCTGTTCCCTGCCCATCTACTTGCCTACACAGTGTTATGATGTCAGTTCATTAAGTTGGCTATAATAAAATACCATAGACTAAGTGGCTTACAAACAACAGAAATCCATTTCTGACAGTTCTAGGGGCTGAGAAGTCCAAGATCAAGGCACTGACAGATGTGGTATCTGGTGAGGGATTGTTTCCTAATTCCTAGAAGGCAATCTTTTTGCTGCATCCTCACAGCCTGTGGAAAGGACTGGCAACTCTCTGAGATCTCTTTTATAAGAGCATTAACCCCATTCATGAGGGCTGTACCCTTATGACCTAATTACCTCCCAACAGGCCCCATTTCCTAATACCATTGCCTTGTGAGTCTTGGCAGGAGGGAGGTGGCCTTCAGTAAATTGTAATATCTGTTGCTCAGCATTGGCTATATCTTGGTTAGATTAACAGTGAAGAAGATCAGAAAAAAAAGATGGGGTCCAAATGGCAGCTACTGGCCATTTGTGCTCAAAGACCAATTATCTTAGAAGGGCTACTCAAAAATAAGCCCCTTGTGAGGCTCTTGGTGCTTAAGTTTTTCAGAATTGGCTATAAATGGTCTCTCTACGGGGGAAGAACTGAGCCTGGAAATCGGACCAGTTTTTGGAAAATAAGCAAAATGGAGAAGGGAAACTGAGGTGAAGTCTAATAGAAACTTTTTCTGCCAACATGTAGGAAGGAACTATGGAGGACTAATAAGTGAACCAGGAATATTAATGAGGAGATTTAGATTTAGTAAAAAATTAAAAATAAAGCAGAAGGATTATTTCACCACGAGTCTGCTGCTCCAAAACGTAACAGGAAGAAGGAAGACTATTAGTACCAAATTATGTAGGATAGCCATTACCTCTATAGCAAACATTTTTTTTTCCTTTTGGTCATCAAAAAATTAAACTAAGAATAAAGATTCTCTCAACATAAAAAAGTCTTTCTTCTAGAATAATTGATATAAAACCAATACATGAACTATCCAAGGTGATATTGGGTGACCACTAGAATTTGACGAAAGATTCCAGTATTTCAAATTCTAAATTATCGTTTTCTTTTTTCTACAGGACTGAAAATTTTCATTTGCTTATGACCTTAAATGTATATGGAAGTTTCCTTTTGAAAGTCTTATTTATGGCTTGCATGCTTATTTAAACAATGAGCTTTTTAAAAATCATTAGGTCAATTTATTTTTCTTTCTTTTAATTTTTCTTACATTTCCCCTATTTCCCCTTTACACATGGCTAATCCCTGAAAACTTCTGATATAGTAAAAAGTATCCTATTGGTTTATTTTACTAATCTCTCTTACTTTTTTACAGGACTGTGACCTCTAGAGAGCAGAGGCTGTATCTTTTTCATTTGCATATTCTGAGCATCTATTACAATGCTTCATACATATATAGTGTCTCACTACATATTAATATTTATTGTTCAATAAATGAATCCATGAACTCATTTTATGTGAAACTATGGAAAGTAGGACAATCTCTCCTACAAGAAATATTGGGAAGTAGATTATTCCAGTCATCTGTTTCTATTTAACAATTTATACAGCGCTTAGTGGCTTAAAGCAACAACTGCATTTCTGTTGGTCAGGAATTTACACAGAACTCAGCTGGGTGATTCTTATGATCCAGTTAGTGATATTCATCTGATAACTGGGCTGGGCTAAACTGGGCTGCTTCCATCTCCATGTAGACTCAAGCCCTCCCCAGTGGGCTAGTTGGAGTTTTTATAGGATGGTTCAGGGATCCTAGAAACCACAGCAAAGGCTACCAGTCTCTTTGAATTTTAGGTCTAGATCTGTATAGCTTTACTTTAGCCATATTCCATTGATCAAAATAGTCATAAGTCAACCCAGATTCAAGGCAAGGAAAAATAGACTGTATCACAAGGGGCTGAGTATAAAGAATTTGTGACCATTTTCAATCTGCAATATATGAAGGAAAAAAAGAATAAACAAGCTATATATTTAACCTCATTCGCTGTGCCTGCATCAGGTCTATACCCAAAAAAAACTTGAAGAGAAAAAATACTTTTCAGAAAGGCAACATATTTGTTCATATTTCTTAAGCAATTTTTAGCAGAGATTTCCCTGGCCTTGACTACTTTACTTGTTTAAGTTCTTTCAATGTCTAAGTTATTTTGATGTATTCTTTTCACTATCTCTGTCATTTATATTTTTTCATTTTTATTCTGACTGCTATCAGCCCCCAAAACCTGACCAGGTCCTTAGTTGTACATGTACTGTATCAATTCCTTTCTAAATAGGAGCCAGGAAGACGGCAGGCAAGGCTCCTAGAATCCTCCTCCACTGACCCATTGTCCCTTGTCCATGCCACTTCCAGATTTCCTTTCTCTAAACTAATTATTGTTTTATCATATCCCTGCTCATAAAACTATCAAATTCAATGCAGGAATTCCTCAGAGATATTGCAGATCTGGATCCACATCACTACTGTAAAATGAATATCACAATAAAATGAGTCAGAAATTTTGTGATTTCCTAGTGCATATAAAAGTTATGTTTACACTATATTATAGTTTATTGTGTGCAATAGTATGTCTAAAAAACAATGTACATAACTCAATTAAAATGTGCTTTATTGCTAAACATTGTTAACAATCATCTGAGCATTAGTGTCACACTTCTCCCATGAATGAAGTCTCTTGTCTGTATAATGTTCCTCAAATGTGCTTTGCATTCTCCTAGATCGCTTCTTTGGCTGATGTCATTCCTATGGTCTAGAGTTCCATCCCTCTGGCTCTATCTATGGTACCACAGTTATCTTTTGGGCTCTTGCTAAAAGGCCACTGTTTTTATGAAATTGTAGCTCTCATGATTAAAAATTATTTCTTCCAAGAATTTCTAATGGCTTTCACTGTATTTTTATTTTTATTTTTTTTATTTTTTTGAGATAGAGTCTCGCTCTATCACCCAGGCTGGAGTACAGTGGCGCCATCTCGACTCACTGCAAACTCTGCCTCCCAGGTTCACGCCATTCTCCTGCCTCAGCCTCCTGAGTAGCTGGGAGTACAGGTGCCCGCCACCAGCCCAGCTAATTTTTTGTATTTTTAGCAGACACGGGGTTTCACTGTGTTAGCCAGGATGGTCTCAATCTCCTGATCTCGTGATCCGCCTGCCTGAGCCTCCCAAAGTGCTGGGAATACAAGCGTGAGCCACCGCGCCCGGCCTTCACTGTACTTTTTAATGCAGTTCTTATATAATAAACCCTGCTATATTAATATTTACAAAGCAATTGATCTTTGTAAAAATAATATATTCCTAATGAGTGGAAAGTCTGATTTGCACATTGTAAAATCTTAATAGATGTTGGAATGAATAAATGAAATAGTGAATCAAATAATAGTAGAATGTTTTTATAATAATTTCTTTATTAAAAATACATACTATACAGTGGCAAAGTAATTTTTGGAGAAAAGCTGGGAGAAGGCTCAGCAGAGATTCAGATATATGATTAGGAAAATCACTACCTGTGTTCTCTAAACAAGAAGGGAAGAGTTTCTTACTGAAGAAAACTTAATAAAAATACTCCTTAGACATTAAAATTCCCAATGTAAAAAAAAGTTGAATCATATTTGAGTCAAATATGATCAGATGCTGAATCAAATTCAAGTATATTTGTGGATTTTAGATGGGCTTGCCAAAATGTCCTTATGCATAGTTATCAATATTTTTAAATATAGCTAATTGTAAAAGTCAAGAAAATGAATATGCAGTTTTAGTTTGCTTTGTGAATTTGAATATTTTGAGCATGAGCAATGCTATTTTTGGATTTGCAAATATAATTGACAATGCACAATTTTTATTAAAGCTGATGTCCAAAACACTTTGTTTGATTTTACTGAATATTTGTTTTCCAAAATGAGAATTGGCTGAGTTTATTAAAGCAATGCAATTTTTGCACTTTGAGAAATAGACCTTTAACTTACTATAAGATATCCCTGAACAAATGATACTAAATGCAACTAGAGAAGTAGCCCAAAACATTGACCTGAATTGTGTTGAAGTTTCACAAAAGGTTTAATTTGAATTGATTTTCATTTCCAGTAACATAATTTAGTAGTTCACCTGTGATTAACTAAAGCATATTATTGATTGCTTTGACTTAAGAAAGTCCTGAATTTGGAGTTTTACATGGCTAGAATAGATATGAGCAACCTTGAGATATTGTTAAAACTGTTTTAAAGTCTTTAACATTTATAAGAATGTCTTACTTTGCACTAATATAACTCATGTTCAGTCTGTAATTGGTTCAAATGATTTTAGTCCCCTATTTTATGTCTCTTTAGGAAGTCCCCCAGTATCTCAAAGGCAGTATACATAATTATATGGAAATTTCAATGGTTTTTTTCCAGAACTGTGGAACAATTCAGCAGTCTCTATAAAATGAATATCCATAGGCAGCCTGGTAGCCATATGAAACTTGTCAAAATTTGGTCAACATATAATTTTCTGCACTCTCCTTTAAAAATTTTATGTTTTTGAAAATGTCTTTTTTTTCCTTTGAAGCACTCAAAACTTGCAACTCCACATCTCCTATTTTATCTCTATTCATTAGTTTATAAATGTTCTAATTCAATATCCTATCTAAAATATTGTTGAAGGGTCAGGTTGAAATATATTTAAGGAATAAAAATAAGAATAGTTATGATAATAACAACATTAACACCAATTACAATAAGTACTGTATTCAGTAGAACATTGTTCAATAGAACATTGACTATCCTTTGGGTTAGTCGTGATCTTGTTATATATATTATTTCACTCCGTATTGATGGTCATCACATGGGAAGTTGAGTGTAGTTTTTATGTTTCCTTGTCTTTTGTTTCTTGTTTGTTTGTTTGTTGTTGTTGTAGATGGGATCTTGCCATGTTGTTCAGGCTGGCCTTGAATTACTGGACTCGAGTGATCCTCCAACCTCGGCCTCCTGAGTACATATTCCCTGGTCTATAGATGAAGAAATGAAGGTTCAAGAATACTGGACATCTGGACTAATTAAATGACAACTAAATGGCAGAAATGGTATTTAAGCTCAGGCCTAGCAGATGCAAAGTCATGGGCACATGTCAAGTATGTAATATTGTATAGCCTATTAACTCATCAATTTAGTCTTTAGAAGGCTGAATTTCTAATATGTATCAGGAATAACATAAAAGGTTGAGAGGAAAACCATAAAAAGACAAGATCCATATGCAAGTTTAATTAATTCAATAGAATTTTAATTATTTGCCATGTACTAGTAGTTGTGTGAGACACTACTGACAAATAAAAAGATAAGTTAAAAACATGTAAAATTAAATAACATGCTATACTAGGGGACTATAAAAGGACAGAGGAGAAAAGGAAGATAGACTTAAAGTTGGGGTGGTCATTGAGTTGAATTTTAAAGGAAACAGGAAGCTTTTTCCCATTTTGGAAGTTTTGGGAGGGGTTCCAAATGGATGTGATAGCACATGCAAAGATACAGAGATGAGAAAGTATGCACATAAGCTCTTCATGTTTCTTAATACAAAGCTTGAGATGAAGCAGGGGAACTGGACAGGACTGCATATAAGAGAAAGTTTTGTCTGCCCAAACACACAATGCTATTATATTCCTCAGTCTTGGCTCCGATAGTCCTGTTTTACTGGGCTGTCTGTCAAATCCTCTCTTGTCCAAACTGTAAAATTTCATCTATCAGAGGCTGAAGAGTCTAAAAGATAAGATTATACATTATAGACCCCTTTTAGCATTGGGTTCAAATGTCAGTGTTGCCACTAACAAGTTGCACAATCTGGGACAGGTTTATTTTCTTTTTTTCACTTTGTCCATTTATCATATAAGGTAGCTTTTGCATTAACATAATTAATAAATATTATTATTACAGTTTCTTAAAACTTCAGGTCCTATATGAAGTTTTTTTTACTATTCCTGATAATTATTTGCTTACTTCTTTTTGCCTTCCCTTCAGTATATATGTAGTAGATACTAAAAAAATGTAATTGTATACAAAATGGAGGTGTGGTTTATGGTATGAAAAGCTAGTATTTAGAGACTGAATATTTTTTTCTCAAACAATTGAAATCAATATATATAATCTAGTTCATCCCCTTACTGGCTTAGAAATAGTACAGCATATATTATATACCTAATGTATTTAATTATACACACACATGAATACAATGAAAAAGTTAACAGCATTATCTTTGAACTTCTGCAATACAGCTAAAGAATTGTAAACTGGGTAGTTCTTTCACTTCTTTTCACAAAAAAGTTTATACTCATAAAATTATTTTCATAAAATATATAAAACATAACACTTATTGCATGAAATGCTTTCCCGTAGAAGTATTTTTCATATTCTAATGTAAGAAAGCATTATCCTTCAATGAACAATTGCAAAATTATACAGAGAAAACAATTCTGAACTGGTCAAAATCTCATTAAAATTGTATGAGGAGAATTATGTATGCCCCATTTACAATTTTTCTTTATAGCAGAATATCAAGTAATCCATGATTTGAGAGCACACTTTAGTTTTATCCTAGACCTACTTGACCTTGTAAGTGTTTCTTGATTTTAAAGGATGACATTTAATTAAAACTGCCTTGCTGAAGTACGGTAATTATTGGTGCAGATAAAAGAGATTTACAGAAACTCAAGTCAGTGGATTGGTAAGAGCAACACAGATTTTTCTTAACATCAGGATGTATCATTTGCAAAATGTGATATACTATCTAGCTTTGTATCATTTAAAAACACATCAAGTTTGCTGGTTGAATTAGCACACATGATTGTGGAAGAGGCATTTCAATTAAGCCCAAAGTCAAACAAACTTGAAGAATTTTCTACCTTTATTTGCAATGCTGTGCATAAAATTATTCAAGCATTTCATTGAAGAATGAGAACTCATGGAGTATGAAATCGGACCAAAATCTCTCCCTTTATTAGATGATATCTTTCCTTCATAGTTTGCTGCTCATCAGCAAATGACATTTGGTAATATGTATGAATAATTGGTGAATTTACTGCTCATTACCTCTTTAAAAATCCAAGGAAGTATTAAACATACTTTGATTCTTTTATGAGAAAATAATTTTCGTTAAAAGGTTAAAACAAAATAAGTGATTTTTATTTTTAATTAGATAGCTCAGCTACAGAGTCCTTGCAATACCAAAATACTTATGATTACTTTTTCAATTGTATTTGTGCAGACTATAAAAAAAACTCAAAAAATCATATATTCCTCTCACACAACAATGATCTTAAAACTCTTTCAAATAATACTTCAGTAGCTAGAGTTCTGTTAAATATTATTTTTTTTATTTTCCCAGAAAATTATGAGTTATTCTTTACTTCTATATTCATAATTAAATATGTTATGCAAAAATTATGCATGCATATTAATTCTACATGTTTCACGTGTGAAATCTAAGATGATATTACTATTTTTCAGGTTGATATTCTCCTAAGATCACATAAAAATTATTTTAAACAGTTTTGATTTGTGTATATATTTTTGGTAGCTAATGTCACTCCAAAGTAAAATATTAGCATCTTTTTAAACCAATTTTACTCCTATTGACATTGTTTACTTGTATTCACAATGGCCTATTTTAACAGGTTCTAAATGTTAACATAGTAGTTTGTAATCATTTATTGTTGACAACAAGATAGCAGGTGTTTAGCATATTGTATTCTGAATTGGTACCCATGTATAATGAATTTCTTGGTCCTTGAGGTATTTAATAGATGTTTTCAGAAGTATTCTAAAGACTGAGATGATAAATAAGTTTTACATAACTTTAGCTAATTGAATCTTTTCTTTTTTCAGGAAAGACGAGATATATCATTTTTTCCCACATAGATCCTGGATTATTACTATCCTTCGAATTTATTTCTATAATCTCTAAGTCAGGTGGAACAGAGCTATAATTTATTAGAGTGAAACTTTGGAGGTGCATACAGTAGTCACATTATTATGTTCATCTCCTACAGGAACAACTTTTGATTTCATTTCATTACATTGAAAGGTAACTTCAAATATGAAAGGAGCCTTTAATGTTATAAATATGACCATGATGATAATCATCACTATCATCATCTAAGGTACTCACAATCAATAATAAGCCTATACACTTAGAGGTCCAAATTGAAATTAAAAAAGGAAGACAAGATCTAAACTTCAGGTAAAATCTACTTTTCTTAAACATTTATATGTGCAGGGCAGTTGAAAATGGAAACAGTTGCATAACAAGAAACATCTGGTATTCAAGCAGATTCTCATCTACTCTTTCCATCATAAAATATAAAGCACAAAATGAAATACTTTGGTTAGAACATCCCTTTGCACAGATTGAATGAATCACTACTGTTTTCCAAGGAATAAGGTTTATGCAATTTCTACTCCTCAAATCTTTTACCACATTCACATTCGCAACAACTTTTGGCAACACAATTGCTTTTATTATCATTATTTTTTTAGTTCAGCTAAAGAAGAAAAGAAGAGGTAATGCATAGAAAGCAAAAGTTAATTCCCCTTTTTTTAAATGCTTGTTTTTTTGCCTTTGTTTTGGATCAGTGTTAATATTTTTTAAAATATCGTTATATGTATATAGTTTAAAACGTATTTAAAATACTTTAACTTAAAAATGACTTTTTTTCTGTCTTTGATAGAGGAAATTGAGGTTCAATAATATTAAAACTTTATTTCATATAGAACTATTTTTCACTCAATTTTTTTCATGAAGTATTTCTGAACGGCACACACTCATGGCTTAATGAAGATAAAAGAGATAGATAATGGACATTAGGATAAGGGGTAAAATGAACATCACGATTCTTAGTGTAGAGTTGTACAAGCTAGTACACTAACAAGAAATTAGTGAAAACGAAACGAGGGGAAGGGCAGTGGAAAGAAAGACTGAACTGATGGAGCCTGATCCTGAAAGCAGATGAGCTCAAAGAACCTAGTGAACATATACAACCTATAAAGGTCAACGAATAGTAGCCAACCATAAGTAAAGGCACAGAACTACATTCAGTTAGAAGAAAGGAAAGTTGAGAGCACACACAATTTAAAAAGTGATCATACTTTTAATTAAGAGACTATAAAGACTGAGGTGTTCAGACACTACAAAAGAAGGAAAGAATAGGAGCATCGACTAGGGATGTTAAAATTATTGCTAAGTTTTAGCAATAGTTTGTTAAATGTCAACTGAGAATCAGTGTCATTGACATGCAACTCTGGAACAGAACACATAGGGGTATTTTATTAGCTTCTTTCTATGGAAAAAAAAACCCAAAGGGATAGAACATTCCTTTCCAATGATGGACCATGAGGCCAAATATTTTACTTTTACTAATAATAGCTACAGGTTATTGGTGCCACTATAGATGAGGTATTCCTTATTCACGCAAATATTTACATTATCTTGATGAGGTAGAAATTATTGTTCCCTTTTTATAGATGATGAAACTGACTTTAAAAAAGGTAAAATAACATGTCCAATATCATATAGTTTACAAATGTCAGGACCAGAATTAGAATCCAGAGATATTACAAATCCTGTGTTCTTTACTAGGCAGACTGCCTCACTTATAGAGATGTGGCTTTTAAGACACAAGAGTCCTGAGTCCCTTAAGGACCTGCCAGGATTCAAAGGTCCTGGTACTAGGTTATATTAGAAATTCATCGACTAGGCAAGCAGTTTCTGCTGTCCATATTAATTGGTATAGGATTACCTCAAATTAATGTGCAGATATAAACACAAATCTGTAAAGGGAAAAACTGAGAATCATAAGAATAAACTATCTCTCAAACTAGGAGGGAGTCAAGAGACTTACATACAAGGCACTCTTGGATGGCAGCAGGATAACTTTAGAGATGGGCACTACCTCCCATCTCTAAGCTACTTTTAAGCTAATTGTTTGCTACTGTGTGTATGTGATGGGACTGTCTTTCTTGATAGGTTCTCAGACACTCTCTGGGATGTTTGGGTTCTGAGGGTCATCTCCTTAGCTGGGCACCATGGCCCTGCTGAGGTCTTTATGGTTCAAGCAGCAGATATACACCCTTAAGTAACCTGGTGTGGGACCAATCATATTACAAAAACCCTAGTGTTATATTATAGTGTTATATTTTGAATCATGATGGTTGGGAGAAAGTCCTCTCTTCAAGGAAAAATGTAGATTTCCTCATGGCTCTGAAGTCAACTTTTTGGTAAATTTGGGGAGATTAAAATGGAACTTACTCGGATATCATTAAACCAACATTGCCTTTTAGGAAGATAAGTAAAATAACAACGTGCTGTTTGACATGGGTGGATTCTTGGCCCTTAACTCCTAAGAGTCATATAGATGGACCTTCAAAGAACCACTACTTAGTGGAAAAATATATATTTGGTTGTCTGTCTTCCACTATGTTGGTCAAGATTACAACGTATAGATTCCATTCGGGCATCTAAACCCCATAATAACAACAGAATTCATTTTATCATTGAGGAGAGGCCTGGGACAGAAAGAGAATTGGAAAATTTTCCATCACCGATACAGACTAAAAATGGATTTAGTTTTTCTATCAAATGAGAAGATTTGTAGAATTGGACATACTCAATGTACTTTCTAAAATTAAAGCAAGACAGTAAGAATAGTGCTTATTAGTTATGAGACACTACTGGGTAAGTTGACAGTGAATCAGAGAGAACCAATCCAGGTTACGAGATACTAGAAAACAGAAATTTTATAATTGGCTGGTTTTCAGATTCTTAAAACTTTTCTAAGTGGTTCAGCTTTCAGAACTCTGAAAACTCAAGAAACAATATTTTAAATTCTATGTGACAAGAAGGAAATCAATTAGCAGACATGAAAGACAAAAGTTACTAACAAAATAGGTGCTGGTAAAAAATTGTATTAGCCTGTTTTCACGCTGCTGATAAAGACATACCCTAGCTAGGGCTATGTATAAGAGAGAGAGGTCTAATTGGACTTAGAGTTCTACATGGCTTGGAAAGCCAATAATGGCAGAAGGCAAGGAGGAGCAAGTCACATCTTACACGGATGGCAGCAAGCAGAGAGCCTGTGCAGGCAAACTCCCCCTTATGATAACCATCAGATCTCATGAGACGTACTCACGTGGGAATTCAAGATGAGATTTGGGTGGGGACACAGCCAAACCATATCAAAAATTTAAAAATGAAAATTAAAAAAATGAGTTATTTAAAAGATACCAAGAAACATCTAAAAAATTTTTAAGTAAAAAATAAATGAAATAAATGAATTATGGGTTTTTAGGGCAGATAAGAAAGCCTCCTGCGAAGTAGTCAGGCAAGCTTTGGGGAGGGGAGAGCCTGGCATCAAGAAGTGGGTGTTCTCTCTGTTCGCTCCCATGAACACTATTTCAGGCAAGAGAAACTCTATAGTGGTTCCTTTGATGCCCTAACTAGGATCTAAAATGAAGACTAGGTATACCATGCTATAATCTGTGATAGCATGTGGGAGAAAAGCAGAGACCTAGAAGCATTCAGTGCTCCAGCATCAATTTTGGATTATATAGTAAAGAAAAAGCAGGAATGAGATAAGGGCTAAGTATTTTAGACAGGCAAGTACCAGAATGAGGACCGAAGCAACAGGAGTGAGAAGTAGGCAAGTAAACTAACAATCGGCATTGGAACCCAGGTGGACCCTATCTTGAATCCCTGTTGTTCCTGAACAAGTGAAATTGACCTGACAAATATGTTTTGCCCCCTTGTTACAACATGCAACACAGCTGATAAAAACTGTGGAACTTAATCAGGCAAGGAAAGGAATTAGATTATTAGAGTCTTACTATCATATCTCAAAAAATCCTGTCATTTAGGGGACCATGTTTTCCAAAAACAGGTTCTGATCTTACACATTGTTTCTGTGTTAGGAAATGGACATACATTGCAATAGTTCATTAGATCCATTCCAATCAGAGCAAGTCTTAGGAAATATTTTCAAATGGAAATATACAAATAACTCATATTAATTTGTAATTGAGTCCCTTTCTTCTGAGGAAGGTAGTTGTGGGTATGGTGGAAAAAATGAATCCTTTGAAATCACCTGCTAATATGGGTTCTGGTTCTGACAATAATTTTGTGATATTGAGCTAGTTATCTGTTGGAGCTTTATTGAAAATGTCCCAATATGTAAGATGGGGCTCTCTTGTAGACTGACTGCATTTTTAATGTTAAACTGTTGATACCATTTATGCTCCACCTCTCCCTCTTCACATTCTGCCCCACATCTAGACAAGCTGATGAGAAAGCCTGCTTGCTTCTTCCTTCATTTGGACAGGAAGGTCAAACCATGTAGGAACCGTCATCCCAGCTGCAATCCCTGACCATAGAAACCCCAAGCCAGTTTTCTTTCCTTGTTTCTCGAGTCATCTTTGGACTTGCTTGAGATTTGCCTTGTTCTCCCAGAAAAGCTCATTATGGGAGCAATAAACCTTTCCATTTCCTCTTGAGGTGTGTGTATCTCATCATCAGTCTTGACATCTGAATTAAATTTTGGGTTGGGAAGACATTTCTCTTTCTGTAGGGGGTGACCCAAATAGTTTAATTCAATAAAGCCCTGCCACAATATAATAACTGATTTTTACAATATAATAGCAAAAATTTTACCAAGTAAAGTAGAGTAAAATTTTACCATGTAAAATTTATACCAGGTGAAAAGGTTTTCTTACTGACAAATCAATTACAAATAATAGTTTTATCATTCAGTCTGTACTATAGCATAAGAAACAAAACAAAGACAGCGAAAGCTACATGCATGCAATTGTTGATTGCCAAGACCAGCTCGGTTGGGGAGACCCTAACCCGGTGGCGCAAGAAGAATTAAAGACACACACACAGAAATACAGAGATGTGAAGTGGGAAATCAGGGGTCTCACAGCCTTCAGAGCTGAGAGCCCTGAAAAGAGATTTACCCACATATTTATTAACAGTGAGCCAGTCATTAGCATTGTTTCTATAGATATTAAATTAACTAAAAATATCCCTTATGGGAAACAAAGGGATGGGCCGAATTAAAGGAATAGGTTGTGCTAGTTAACTGCAGCAAGAGCATGTCCTTAAGGCACAGATTGCTCATGCTATTGTTTGTGGCTTAAGAATGCCTTTAAGCAGTTTTCCACCCTGGGCAGGCCAGGTGTTTCTTGCCCTCATTCCCGTAAACCCACAACTTTCCAGCATGGGCATTAGGGCCATTATGAACATGTTACAGTGCTGCAGAGATTTTGTTTATGGCCAGTTTATGGCCAGATTTTGGGGAGCCTGCTCCCAACAGTTTATAAACTGAGAAATTCACAATGCATTATGAATTCATCAATTTTAAACTTGTCCCAACAGAAGACAAAATTTTAACCCTCTCTTTTTGAAAAAATGGGCTTGGCCAAGGATGAGAGACAATTAAGTACATTTGCATCATCCCATTCAGGGAATGTTCCTGTGAGGGATTCACAGTTGCCTATATTTTAAGCCTACTGCAAAGATTAAAGAAGCAGTGTCTGATCAAAGTACCCCATTAATTAAAGTATGTTTCCTCATGTCCTCTCCCACCCCAACCCTAATTACTCACAAGATGTAGGCAATCTTGTGCCTACAAGCTCATAAATCTGGCTGCCATAACTGAATGAGGGAGTGGATGGCCAGGTGGTTTCTATTACTTTTAGAAGTAACTTCTAAATACAGTACATTATCTAGGCTCTCATTTATAGTGGCTGTTAAGTCTATGATAATATTATTCCATAGAGAGAATAAGGAATTCAGATTTTATTAACTCCTTGAGGCTTGAGGGAATAGAGCTAATAAAAGTTCTACAGCATTTCTCTGGGGAAGGAGCTACAAATTCATAAAAATCTACCCTTTGACTTTCTGAACTGCAGTTGTCTCAACACTCCTTTTATAGGTCAAAGTCATGGGAATTGTCATAACAGAGCAAAGATAGCTGATTTTAAAATTCTAATACTATTTGTTGGAGTGCAAAATAGTTGCCAATCTTTCATTTTTGAATCCCAGATGAATTAGCAATATATAATATAGCAAGCACTAGGATCAGTCCTGTTTAATAATTTTAATACATTGTCTGGAAATAGAAATACAGGTGAACTAATTCATGTTCATTGAACAGATATTAAGCATTTCCTATATGCTATATATTGTGATGAGATCTGGTTGATGGGATGGGAATGGAAGTACATATGGAATTTAGAATTTAGAATTTAGAATCCTTGAGCAATGTAAAAATCTAGTAGATAGTGGAGATTTGCTGAATAATTAATATCCTAAGGAATGGAGTAAATGCTGTGTAAAAGTGTAGGCTCATAAGGTGGACAAGAGGAAAAAAGAATTGGTATTTAACTTAGGATCTGAAGAGCAAAGAATATTTTAGGCTGAAGAAATAATGTAAGAAAAGGCCATAAAATATGGATTTCTAGAAAATACTTTGGAGTGACAGAGTATGTGTGGGAAAAAGTAAGAAGAGTTTAGCCTAGAAGAAATTGAATATATGAGGGCATCTTTATGTTTTAATTTTTTTCCTCTAAGGCTATTGGGGATATCTGGAAATGTTTGATGGTAATATAAAACTTATTTTTGGAAGATAAGTGTATGGTATTAAAATTAGTTACCATTAAATAGGTGTCTGTTAGGTCTAGCATATACTAATGGCTTTGTCATCCTTATAGAGGAACTTTCTCTCCCCGTCCAAGTGTTTTCATTTATGTGGATGCAGCTCTACTACAGTATCTTCCCTTTTCTCATTCACTCACTTCTCTCATGGGAAATACCTGATCTGATTGATGAGTTTACAAATAAACTAGGCAAATGTAGCCCAATTACAGTTCTCTCTATGCTTTCCCAGAAGGGAGATGCTCACCTACTGGGAGCACACATTTCTCTCCTCTCTTCCAAGCCATGCCTTCTGTAGCAGTGCACTATGCCCTGATGAGGAGGGCTTTCTCAGTCAGCATTTCTTGTGACCAAGAGTCTGAATTTGTTTAATTCTGTGATTCAAGATTAGAAATCCCACTTGACCACTGATATAAGCCACAATTTACAATATCAGCTAAATAATAATAATAATAATGATATTTCTACTAAAGTGTTTACAATTTAAGAATTGATCCTGAACATGGGAGAGAAATAGGAGTATTTCCTCTTCAAATTCCCCATCATTTATCAGTTTCACAATGCATACAGAAATGCCTTTATATATTTGATGCAAAATATTAAGCCTTTACATCTAAGATCTCATTTAATTAAATCCTCTCTACAAACTAAGAGATAAGTTTTATTTACTGCATTTGAAAGTTGGCAAAAAGGAAACTTAGAGAAGTTAAGTATGTCCCAAAGTCACTATAAATGGATTGGGAAAAAAAAACAAAATGAGGATTATCAGATTCAAACCCATGTTGCATAACCATTAGCATAAAATTCATCTTTCTGTAGATAAAATCATATATATAAATGTGTTTTTTTAAAAAAATGTAGTAAACAAGAGCAAGACAGTTATATTTTAATAGTATCATTTAGAGAAATAAGACTTGAATTAGGCACTAGACAAAGGGATTTGAAAGGATGTGCAAAACATGAAAATATGGGGGTGATATCAATGAAAATTAAAATTATTGGTATGGAATAAAGATTTAGGGAAAAATATTTGTGATATTGATATACTTTATTGCTAAATAAGGTGATGGTCATACCAAAAAGAATAATGATGATAAGTTCAGCAGTGGGCAAAGAGAGTTTTACCTTCTGAATTAATACATATTTGTCAGAAAAATGTTAAATATGGATCTGGAGTCAAAATGGAATTAGTAAACCATCATGATATGAGTTTACTAATAAACTGTGGACTGTATTATTCTTTCAGAGCAAAAGATGGGTAAAGAAGAATACAAGTAGATTTTGGGATGTGTCTGCAAATGCAAGTGTGGAATACATAGAAGAACACTAAATAGGAATCAACAGAAAGGAAGGTAAAGAACTGAGAGAATAGATGTTGCACAAGCCAAAAGTAAAAGAAACAAATGGTGATGTACCTAAGAAGTACTGTAATCTAATGGTAGTTTAAGTTCTCAGAAGGAATTAATAATATAATTCCTTTGAGTCCCCAAAGCATTTTGTGACTTCATTCAAACTATAGGTACTCTTTTAATCATTCACTCTCAAATATTTAATAGTGTTTTGCTCTGTTGTGCATGTGGGATACAGGATAAGGATTATAGTACCTGCAATTCCATAGAAATTACAGAAGAAAGACCAAGTCTGCCAGGGGGCAGAGAATTGGGGGAAAGTATCCTAGAGTGGAAAATATTTTATTAAGGTTTTGTAAGCTGGGAAGGGGTTAAAAGACATTTTAGTGTCTAGAATGGTATAAGCCAATATCCAGAGTTATGAAGGATGGCATAATTTTCCAAGCAAGTTGGGTCTTGCACAAGCACTGGCACCATAGTTATGAGTACATACATGGACAAGAACAGGATATGCAACTGGATAGGTCACTAAAGGAAGACTCTAAAGGACCTTTTGTACAATATTACAGAGATTAGTGATCCTGTCAGAAAACTAATGAAGATTTTAAAATATGGAAGTATTTGGAAGTATTACCAGATATGTTTTAGGAAAATAACTCTGGCAAAACTTGGGAGAATACACACACACACACACACACACACACACACACACACACATATATATACACACACATATATACACACATACATGTATGTATACATGCAAACACACACACACACATACACACACACACACACACACACACACACATATATATATATATATATATATATATATATATATATATATATATATGTGCCAGGGAGTCAGGGAGAAGTCTATTAATAGTCTGAAGATAATTATAGTGACATAGAGAAGAGATGCCAATTGTCTATATATTAAGTTGCTAACATTAGTGGGCAAGGGAAAAGATTATAAATTGTTCAGTTATAAAAGTGAACTTTTTTATTTTTTATTTTTATGGGTACACAGTGGGTGTACATATTTTGGGGAAAATGAGATATTTGGGATATTTGGATACAGACATATAATTCATAATAATTATTACATCAGGGTAAATAAAGTATCTATCTCCAAGAGCATTCATTTCTTTGTGTTACAAACATTTCAATTGTACTTTTAGTTATTCCTAAATGTACAGTAAATTTTTGTCGACTATAGTCACCATGCTGTGCTATCAAATAGTAGATTTTATTAATTGTATCTAACTATATTTTTGCATTTATTAACTATAACCCTTACTTCCCTCTCCCTACTACCCTTCCCAGACTCTGGTAACCATCCTTCTACTCTCTATCTCCATGAGTTTAATTGTTTTCATTTTTAACTCCCACAAATGAGTGAGAGCATGAGAAGTTTATCTTTCTGTGCCAGGTTTATTTCACTTAATATGATGTCCTCCAGTTCCATCTGTTGTTGCAAATGACAGGATCTTTTTCTTTTTATGGCTGAGTAGCACTCCGTTGTGTATAAATACACCATTTTGTTTATCCATTCGTCGAAGGCACTTAATTTGGTTCAAATCTTGGCTATTTTGAATAGTGCTAAAGTAACCATGGGAATGGCAGATATCTCTTTAATATACTGGTTTCCTTTATTTTGAGTTTATGCCTAGCAATGGGATTGCTGGATCACATGGCAGTTCTATTTTTAGTTTCATGAGAAATCTCCATACTGTTTTCTATTGTGGGTGTACTAATTTACATTTCCACCAACAGTGTCCTAGGGTTCCCTTTTATCCACACCCTCGCCAACATTCATTATTACATATCTTTTGGCTCAAACCCATTTTAACTGGCCTGAGATGATAGCTCTTTGTAGTTTCGGTTTGCATTTTTCTGACGATCAGTAATGTTGAGCACCTTTTTATATATCTGTTTGCCATTTGCATGTCTTCTTTGAGAAATATCTATTCAGGTCTTTTGCCCATTTTTAAATCGGATTATTAGTTGTCTTCCTGTAAAGTTTGAGCTTATTACGTATTCAGATGGATAGTTTGCAAATATTTTCTCCCATTCTGTGGCTTATCTCTTCAATTCGTTGACTGTTTATTTTACTGTACAGAACATTTTTAACTCGATGTGATTCCATTTATCCATTTTTTTCTTTAATTGTCTATGCTTTTGGGGTATTATTCAAGAATCTTTGCCTAGACCAATGTCCTGAAGAATTTCTCTAATTTTTCTTTTAGAAGTTTCATAATTTCAGGTCTCAGATTTAAGTCTTTAACCCATTTTGATTTCACATTTATGTATGGTGAGAGATCTAGGGATCTAGTTTCATTTTCTGCATGTGGATATCCAGTTTTCCCAGCACCATTTATTGAAGAGACTGTAGTTTCTTCAGTGTACATTCTTAGCACTTGTGTCAAAAATAAATTCACTCTTGAAGTATGGATTTGTGTCTAAGTTCCTTATTTGTTCTGTTGGTCTATGTGTCTGTTTTCATGCCAGTACCATGCTGTTTGGGTTACTATAGCTCTACAGTGTAATTAGAGGTCAGAATTATATTTTTTGAAGAACATTTGAAATATAAGGTATGATATAAAAAATTGTTGATTCATCGATGACTTAAAGATAACCATAATTAATATTTTGTGTATTTCTTGTGTGTATATGTATGCATTCATGCACGCATTATATATATATTTATTAAAACATATTAATGTAAGTGCATATAGAAAACATATTGCAAAATCCTCACTGCTATTTAGCTTTACATTATATTATATGCGTTTCACCATATATTGGTCTAATCCTAAAAACACATTGGTAGAATTCTGTAGTATTAAACATCACTGCAATTTATCATTAGAAATGTAACTATTGTTTGAAATTTAGATTGTTTCCATGTTTTAGCCATTATATAATATTGAGACTCTTGACTTACATTGATAGCTGCTCAGCAGAAATATTACAGTGATTTTATTTTTTCAAGCTATATATGAAGCCCTTTTTACTCCAGCCTCAACAATTAGCAATATCTTTTTAAAACTGCCAATTTGATAAATGAAAATGTTATGTTTCATTTGACAGTTTATACAGTTGAACTCTTTCTTATGTTTATTGGCCACCTATATATCAACTGAAATAAATTATCTATTCATACAAATTCTTTATGTTTGTATTTTCTTTGCTTGTGCATTGTAACAGCTCAAGAAATTCAGTGGGGATAGAATCCTAGAGAATCCTCCAAAATTCACTGATTTAGTAAACTTGTTTTGTCCTTGCCTTGTGCCTGGAGCATTTCCAAGCTGCTTATTTGGTAGTGGGTATTTAATAATTTTGAAGCCCAGCGTCAAAACTTTCTGCATCTACTAATAGTCCTGTTTTGCTTTATGAATCACCATGGTTACTTCAACCTCCGTTCAGGTGTTTTGGATGGAGTTGGCCTCATTTCTAGGCACCAGAGCTGCATTATGTGTCTTGGAAAAGCCAATCAGCACATTCTATCTTTCTTATTATAATCATTACTTCAGGGACTGGCATCTTTCCAAGTGAAGTCAATCAAACCTAATGAAAATCAATTTTCTACAAGGAAATCAAACCCTTTTTATAAATTTGGTTTATTGATACTATAAGCCTGAAGTAACCTGAGGCAACCCATAGCATTTAAAAATGGCAGCAACTCACAAACAGCACAGCCAAGCCAATTCTGAATTCGACCATTCCCAACATTACACCCAACCCTGTACAGTTCAGTTAGGTGAGCTTATGCAAATAATTTTTCCTTAAACAATTTGATTTCAAATTTCTCTGATTTACAATTGATTTTTTTTTTTTTTTTTGAGACAGAGTCTAGCTCTGTTGCCCAGACTGGAGTGCAGTGGTGCAATCTCCGCTCACTGCAAAGCCCTGCCTCCCGGGTTCACGCCATTCTCCTGCCTCAGCCTCCCGAATAGCTGGGACTACAGGCGCCCGCCACCACGCCCGGCTAATTTTTTGCATTTTTAGTAGAGACGAGGTTTTACCATGTTAGCCAGGGTGGTCTCGATCTCCTGACCCCGTGATCTGCCTGCCTTGGCCTCCCAAAGTGCTTGGATTATAGGCGTGAGCCACCGTACCCAGCCACAATTAAAATTTTTAATTGATAGAATAATGAAAAATTACAACTTTTATTTCTGTTATTTACAATTGAATTTTTAATTGATAGAATAGTGAAAAAATGACAACTTTTACCAAACGTCTTGATAAATACTCCAATTCATTATTCTTAATGAAAAACTAAGTGAGAAATCATAAGTTCTCAAATCCTGCAGACTATCAGAGTTCCTAGGACCCTGAATATTAAGGCTATTTTCCTTCAGAGTGAACATACTGTAATAATGGGGCCCAGAATTTTTCACTTTAATTTTTGGAATTAACTGCATTTCTATTGTTCTAGGAAAAAACGTATTTATGAATAGAGATTAAAATTCATGAATATTTTATGCAACAAATGAAGGGATTGACTTACTGTGTATTTAGCAGAGTCGGTTACCTGTGTCGTGATGTAGTTCAAAGAATTACAGGTGTTTCCCAAATTATAAAGGTAAAGCAAAACCATGCACCTTTAATCACTATAATAAATTTCTGTTTTTAACTCTCCACTTCCTTAGCTTCCAGGAGAAAAATATAAGATTTAGGTAAACAAGTTTTATATAAATAAAATCGGTGTGATTTTATTCTTATCCCATTTAGAGTTACATCATTGGTGTCCCTTGTCCTTTCATTTATTATATATAGAAAAACACCAATGTGAAATTATGTATTTTGTTTCTTGATCACAAATCTTTCTTTCCAAAATAAAAGCGTTTGACATTTTATTATAGATAAGGAAAAGCTTTCTATCCTCATCACCTTTTTCCCTGAATTTTATAATCCTTTCATGGGAGAAACAGCTTTTTTCTCTTTTTTCCAGCTTCATTATCTAAAGGACAGTTAAATGACATCCAAACCAGGAACCTGGATTTGTTGGATGTTACTTTCTTTTCATATCCACATCCAATTAGTTACCATAACCTATTATTTTACATCCTAAATATCAACTGCGGTCCTCTCTTCCTTTCTATCTCTAAAACTTTGACTTTTTTTAGCTGTAATAATTTCATGTTTGAATTACTAAAGCAGTCGCACACGTTGTTTCCATGATTGTATTGTCTCCCTGAATCATGAGATCTGTCTTAAATCTGTTGCCACAGTGACATAATAGTGCTCTAAGGCACAAATGTAAT
The DNA here is from genome assembly GCF_000001405.40 of Homo sapiens. NCBI lineage: Eukaryota > Metazoa > Chordata > Mammalia > Primates > Hominidae > Homo > Homo sapiens. The sequence continues at coordinate 72,800,069 of NC_000001.11, forward strand.
CATACATTTCTTTTTAACCACAAATTCTTTCATGTGGTTTAATCTTGTTTTTTAAAAATAAGAATAATATTTAGAATTAATTTTAAAATTATCGTATGTCAGAATTTCCCTTGTCATTTTACTATTTCCCTCGTGCCCACCTGTGGGCTCACGTCTTACTATGTCCTCACATCCACCCTTTCTTTCAATCATATAACCATTATTTATTAAGTTCCTGCTTAAATAATAGGACATTTGAAATACCTAATTCTCATGTCAACCATATAGTGTAAGATTTATTATTTCAAGGTAAGAATTACTTCACGACTGGGTGCAGTGGCTCACACATGTAATCCCAGCACTTCGGGAGTCTGAGGTGGGTGATTCACCTAAGGTCAGGAGTTTGAGACCAGCTTGGCCAACATGATGAAACCCCGTCTCTACTAAAAATATAAAAAAATTAGTCGGCTGTGGTGGCAGGCACCTGTAATTCCAGCTACTCGGGAGGCTGAGGGAGGAGAATCACTTGAACCTGGGAGGCAGAGGTTGCAGTGAGCCGAGATCGCACCATTGCACTCCAGCCTGGGCAGCAAGTTTTAGCAAAGGTTATCAGGTGAGCGAGATACCACCACCTACACTTTAATCACACTGAATTACTTTCAATTTAACAAAAGCAGCCTTGTTTCTCCTCTCTCCATGACTCCCTTTCTCTCTGGAATACCGTTTCCTTCCAACCCACTTTGACAACCATTCATCCACAGCTCAAATAAGTTGAGATAAATATTTGACTCAGAATATGCAAAGTGGTGTTTATTAAATTTAGAAGGAAATTACATAAGCTATTTTGTTCTTATTTAAAAATACCTAAGAAGCTATTTATATAGGTCAATGATCCTCAACCCTTCAAGAAACATTTAGGGAATCCCTGAAGCATATTTTACAATTTTCAAAAAATGTTTCCCTTTGCAAAGACTTCACGTTAATATTCAAATTTTATTGTTAGGTAAGTTCATGGACTTTGGAGTCAGAAGATTTAGGTCAGAATACTGGGTTTTTCATTACCACCTGGGAAGTTGTAGGCATTAATTAAAGTCTCTGAAGTCCAATTTTATTATCAATGAAATGGGATAATAAAGGTACTTTTGTTTAAGTATTAGCTTACTGTGAAAATTAAATGAGATGGAGCATGGAAAAAGATGATCAGAGCACACTGCTAGCCACAAAGTACTTCCTTAATAAGTGATATATTTTTACTATTGTTATTGTTGACATTGTTTTTGCTGTTATTGGGCTTCCTGAAGCTTTTTTTTCAAAATCCCTTTGCTAACACATACAATATGCCAGTTATTGTAGATATAATAACAGTAAACTTTTCAGAACAATGTAAATATGCTAGGGAGATAGAATATTTTTATCGTGTGAAAACTGGCTAGATAGCTTTCAGTGATAATTTAGTCTTGCTTCTTTCATTCTACTTTAAGAATAGTTTTTTTTAGATTTACAAATGAAGCAAAGCCTGCATATCTAAAAATATGTATTTAATAATGTATTTTCCTACACGATAAAAGAATTTGATGAGAAAAGTTTGAAGGACACAGAGAGTAATCATTAATTAGAACACATATTTCTTGCAAAATGCCTTTATATTATATTTGTACTTCAAAAGTATCAAATTACAAAGGGTAATATAACACCTTTTAAGTACCTAAAACAGTGAAGAAGCATAATCCTTCTAAGGAAGGAAGAAAACTCTTTAACAATAGTGTAAATTATTTGTAGACCTCCTGCTTGAATAAGATAAGTTATTAAGATTTTCTGATATGATTGACTATTGTTTTAACTGCTATTTGTGTTTCAACATAGAGGAGATAAACACACTTTGGATAGAAAGTCCAGAGACCTTGCCTGTTATTTGCTAATCATATGGCATTCTGTAAGGCACTCATCTCTCTGGACCTCAATTTCTCATCAGAGAAATTAACAGCTTTGAATACATAATATCTAATCTACATTAACAGTCAAACTCTTGTGTAATAGGTAGGTCCTAGAACTGCATAGATTAAGAGACTGTTGTTTACAGGTTGTTAAATTTGGCACGTTGCTTTAACTAACTGAAACTTATTTTTTTCCACAGGAAAAACATATATAATTGTGTTTACTGTACAGGTTTGTTGTGAGAAACGTATGTTAATCTACATATTTCCTGGCAGGTGGTAGACATTTAATGCATGTTAACTAACAATAGTATTTTATAGAAGCTTTGAAAATATGCAGTGCTTAATTTTCTTCATTAATGCTTAATCAAAATCTATACTCTTTCAGTTAATTATGTCAATGCTTTTACTTCATTTTACCTTATTAAAATTTTTAATGTTTAATTTTCATGGGTACATAATAGGTGTATATATTTATGGGATACATGACATATTTTGACACAAGTATATAAAATGTAATAATCATATCAGGGTAAATGGAATATCCATCACCTCAAGCATTTATCATTTATTTGTATTGCAAACAATCCAATTATATGCTTTTAGTTATTTTTAAATGTACAGTAAATTATAGTTGACTGTAGTCACTCTATTGTGCTATCAAGTAGTGGATCTTATTCATTGTATCTAACTATATTTTTATACTCATTAACCATTCTCATTTCTCTCCCTGTCTCTCCCCAGTAATCTTCCCAGTCTCTGATAACAATCACTCTACTTTCTATCTCCATGAATTCAATGGTTTTAATTTTAGCTGCTACAAATGAGTAATAACATGATAAATTTGTCTTTCTATGCCTGGCTTATGTCATTTAATATAATGTCTTCCAGTTCCATCCATGCTATTACAAATGACAAAATCTTATTCTTGTTATGGCTGAATAGCACTCCATTTTGTATTTTGTACATTTTCTTTATCTATTAATCTGTTGATGGACACAAAGGTTGGTTCCAAATCTTGGCTATTGGGAATAGTACTACAGTAAACATGGGAGTGCAGATAACTCTTGGATATACTGGTTTCCTTTCTTTTGGGTATATACCTAGCAGTGAAATTGCTGGATCATATGGCAGTTCTACTATTAGTTTTTTGAGGAAACCCCATACTGTTCACCATTTCCATAGTGGCTGTACTAATTTACATACCCCAAAACAGTATACAAAGGTTCCCTTTTCTCCACATTCTTGCCAGCATTCATTATTATCTATCCTTTGGATCGAAGCCATTTTAACTGGGGTGAGATGATTTCTAATTGTAGTTTTGATTTGCATTTTTCTGAAGATCAATACTGTTGAGCACATTTCTATGTACTCATCGTTATTTGCATGTCTTGAATCATCCTTGCATCCCTGGGATAAATCCCACTTAGTCATGATGAAACATCTTAATGTATTGTTGGGTTTGGTTTGCTAGTATTTTGTTGAAGATTTTTGCATCAATGTTCATCAGGGATATGAGACTATTAGTTTTCTTTTTTGATATGTCTTTGTCTGATTTTTATCAGGATAATGTTGGTCTCATAGAATGAGATTGGAAGTATTTCCTCCTACTCTATTTATTGGAAGGGTTTGGGTAGGATTCTATTTTTATTTAAGTGCTTGGTATAATTCAGCAGTAAAGCCATTGGGTCCTGACTTTTTCTTTGCTGGAAGACTTTTTATTATGGCTTCAATCACATTACTTGTTATTAATCTATTCAGGTTTTGGAATTCTTCATGGATCAGTCTTGCTATGCTGTATGTTTCCAGGCATTTGTCCATTTCTTCTAGGTTTTCCAATGTATTGGCAATACAGTGGCTCATAGTAGTGTCTACTGATCCTTTGAATTTCTGTGGTATCAGTTTCAATGTCTCCCTTTTCATCTCTGATTTTATTTATTTGTTCTTCTTTTTTATTTAATCTGACTAAAGGATTGTCAATTTTGTTTACCTTTCCCAAAAATCGATTTTTCATATTGTTGATCTTTTGTATTGTTTTTAACATTTCAATTTTATTTATCTTTGCTCTGATCTTCTATTAATTTGGGTTTTCATTTTCTCTTGTTATTCTGGCTAAGATGAATTTTTCAGTCATTTATTTGAAGTTTTTCTGCTTTTTTGATGTAGTTGTATATTGCTATAAAGTTTCTTCTTAGTAGTGCTTTTGCTGTATTCCGTAGGTTTTGGTATGTTGTCTTTCCATTTTCATTTATTTCAAAGATTTTAAAAATTTATTTCTTAATTTATTCATTGACCCACTTGTCATTAAGGAGCATATTGTATAATTTCCATGCATTTGCATAGTTTCCAAAATTCCTCTTGTTATTGTTTTCTAATTTTATTCCATTGTGGTCAGAGAAGGTACTTGACAGGATTTCACTTTTCAAATTTTTAAACATTTGTTTTATGTACTAACATATGCTCTATCCTTGAGAATGACCCATGTGCTAAGGAGAAGAATGTGTATTCTACAGCCATTAGATAAAATGTTCTGTAAATATCTATTAGTTCCATTGGGTCTATAATGAGATTAAGTCTGATGTTTCCTTGTTGATTTTCTGCCTGGATGTTCTTTCTGATGCTGAAAGTGGGATGTTGAAGTCTCCAGCTATTATTGTATTGTGATCTATCTCTCTTTGGCTCTAATAATATTTGTTTTTATATCTGGGTACTCCAGTGTTGGGTGCATATGTATTTACAATTGTTTTATCCTTTTGCTGAATTGACATATTTATCATTATATAATGATCTTATTTGTCTCTTTTTATAGTTTTTGTTTTGAAATATATTTTGTCTGATTTAAGTATAGCTACTCTTGCTCTTTTTTAGTTTCTATTTGAATGGAATTTCTTTTTTCATCCCTTTATTTTCTGTGCCTTTATAGGCAAAATGTGTTTCTTGTAGGCAGCAGATTATTGGGTCTTTTTTTTTTTTTAATCCATTCAGCCACTCTATGTCTTTTGATTGGAGAATTTAGTCCATTTACAGTAAATATTATTATTGATAAGTAAAGACTTACTTTTGCCATTTTATAACTTCTCTTCTGGTTGTTATGTGATCTTCTCCTTTTTCTTCCTTTTTTTCACTTCCTTCCATTCTTCCTTCCTACCTTTCTGTCTACCATTTGGTGAAGATGATTTTCTCTGGTGGTATGTTTTATTTTTTGCTTTTTCTTTTTGTGTATCTGTTTAAGGTTTTTTGATTTGAGGTTACCATGATGTGTGAAAGTAACATTTCATAACCCATGATTGCAAACTGAAAACAACTTAACACTGACTGCAAAACAAATGAACTAAACTAACAAGCAAAGAGAAAACTAATAGAGATTCTACAGTTTATCTGCCATACTTTTTAACCATTTGTTGTTTCTATTTATATCTTATTATGTCTGTGTCTTTAAAATTGTTTTGTTATTTTTGATAGTTTCATTTTTTTTCCTTTTAGTCCAGAGATAAGTAGTTCACACACAACAATTAGAGTGTTATAATACCTTATATTTGTCTATGTACTTATTATTGCCAGTGAGTTTTGTTCCTTTGGATGTCTTCTTTTGCTCACTGTGGTGGTTGTTATTGAGTGTCAACTTGATTGGATTGAAGGATACAAAGTATTGTTCCTGGGTGTGTCTGTGAGAGTGTTGCCAAAGGAGATTAACATTTGAATCAGTGGACTGGGAGAGGCAGATCCAACCTCAATCTGGGTGGACACAATCTAATCAGCTGCCAGCATAGCTAGAATAAAGCAAACAGAAGAAGATAGAAAGAGCAGACTTGCTGAGTCTCCCAACCTTCATCTTTCTCTTGTGCTGGATGCTTCCTGCCCTAGAACATCAGACTCCAAGTTCTTCAGCCCCTGGACTCAGACTTACCCCAGTGGTTTTCCAGGGGCTCTTATGCCTTTGGACCCAGACTGAAGGCTACACTGTCGGCTTCCCTACTTTTGAGGTTTTAGGAGTTGACTGGCTTCTGTGCTCCCCAGCTTTCAGACAACCTATTGTGGAACTTCATCTTGTAACTGTGTGAGTCAGTATTCCTTAATAAACTCCTCTTTATATATACATCTAGCCTATTGGTTTTGTCCCTGTAGAGAACCCTGACTAATACACTCATTCATGTCTATTTCTTTCAGATTGCAGAACTTCCTTTAGTATTTATTGTAGGAGAGGTCTGGTGTTGCTGAAATCCTTCCGCTTTTGTTTGTCTGGGAAGGTCTTTATTTCTCCTTCATGCTTAAACAATACTTTCACTGGACAAACTCTTCTTGGGTAAAAGGTTTTTCCTTCAACACTTTAAATATGTCATACCACTCTTGCTTGAAGCTCCTTAGTATGTTGTTTTTTTGTCTTGGTGCTTTTAGGATCCTTTCTTTATTATTGACTTTGGGAATTTGATTTAATACCTTGAGGTAGTGCTATTTGTGTTAAATCTGCTTGGTGTTCTATAACCTTTTTGTACTTGAATATGGATATCTTTCTCTGGGTTTGGAAAATTCTTTGTTATTATATCTTTGAATAATCTTTCTACTCTGATCTCTCTCTCTACTTCTTCTTAGAGGTCAGTAACTCTTAGATTTGCCTAGTTGAGGCTATGTTCTAGATCTTGCAGGTGTGTTTTATTCTTTTTTATTGATTTTTTTCTTTATGTCCTTTGACTGTGTATTTTCAAATAGCCTATATTCAGGATCAGTAATTCTTTCTGCTCCTTGATCAGTTCTGCTACTGAAAGACTGATGCGTTCTTCAGAATGTCAATTGAATTTTCAGCTCCAGAATTTTGCCTTGATTTTAAAAAATTATTTCAATCTCTTTGTTAAATTTATCTAGTAGGATTCTGAATTTCTTCTCTGTGTTATCTTAAATTTTGTTGAGCTTCCTCAAAATAGCTATTTTGAATTATCTGTTTGAAAGGTCATATATCTCTCACTGTGGAATTCATCACTGGTGCCTTATTCAGTTTGTTTGGTGAAGTCATGTTTTCCTGTATGATCTTGATGCTTGTAGATGTTCATCAATTTGGGCATTGAAGAGTTAGGTATTTATTGTAGTCTCCACAGTCTGGGCTTGTTGGTGCCTATTTTTTGGGGGAAGGCTTTCCATGTATTCAAAGGAAATTTAGTGCTATTATCTAAGTCTTTGGTTACAGCAGCCATGTCTGTATTAGGAGACACCCCAACACAGTAGCACTGTGACTCTTGCAGACTCATCAGGGTACGATTTTTGTAGTCCTTGGTAAAATCCAGGACAATTTTTTGGATTACCAGTCAAAGATTCTTGTTATCTTCCTTTTCCTCTCCCCAAAGAATTGGAGTCTCTCGCTCTATGTTGAGCTGCCTGGAGTTGAGGGAGAGGTGACACAAGCACCCCTGTGGCCACCAGCAATGGGATTGTGGTGGGTTAGACCCAAACTCAGCACATCAATGGGTCTTGCCCAAAGTTTGCAGCAACCATTGCCTGGCTATCACCAATGTTCACCAAAGCCTAAGGGCTCTTCAGTCATCAAGTGGAAGTCCATCCAGGCTTGTGTTCTTACGTTCAGGGTGGCAAGTTACCCCCCTCTGCTCACTTCAGACCCAGAGCATGTCCAGAAATGCCATCCAGGAGCCAGGTTTGGGATTCAGAAAGTTTGAGAATCTACTTGGTGCTCTATTCTACTGCAGGTGAACTGACACCAAAGCTGCAAGACAAAGTCCTTCCAACTCTTCCCTCTCCTTTTATTGAGCAAAAGGAGTCTCTCCCTGCAGCTACCACCACTCAGGCTCATGGCAAATACTGCCTGGCTACCACCAATGTTCACTTAAGCCCCAAAAGCTCTTTAATCACCTTGTGGTGAATGCTGCCAGGTCTGTCTCTCCTGTTGGGGCAGTAGGCTCCTCTCTGGCCCAGATCAGGTCCAGAAATGGCATCAAGGAGCCAAGGCATAGAATCAGGAACCCCAATAGCCTGCTTGGTGCTCTGACCCACTATGGCCAAGTTGGTACCCAAGCTGCAAGAGAAAATTCCCTTAATCTTCCCTTTCCTTTCCTCATGCGGGGGTCTCTCCCCATGACTGCAACAACTGGGAATGTTCTGGGTCACAACTAAAGCAAGCATGTCACTGAGTCTCACCTAAAGCCCACAGTCAGTACTGCTTGGGTAATGCTAATGTTTATTCAAAGCCCAAGGGCTCTTTAGTCAGCAGGATTGAGTTGTTTTCTTCAAGGCAGTAGGTTCTCTTCTGGCCCAGTGTGGGTCTAGAAATGTCATCTAGGAGCTGGGGCCTTGAATGGGGCTGCAGAACTTTGCCTAGTGCTGTATCCTACTGTGGTTGAACTGATATCAAAGGTGCAAGACAAAGTACCCTTACTCTCCCCTTTTCTCTCCTCAAGTAGAAAGAAGATATCCCTCTTGGATCTTCAAGCTGCACTGCCTGGGGTTGGGAAAGGAGTAATGAAAATATTCCTTTGGCTGCCCCAGCTGGTGTCTCATTGGATAATGTGCACCCCAAGTCAACTGGCTTTGAACCCAGCAAAGCACCAGGACTTGCTCAGGAATTGCAGTCTTTGTGGCCTGGACTGCCTTTCAAGTTATGTAAGACCACAGAGCATTTTAACCTGTGGTGGTATGGCTTGCTGGAACTCAGGTTTTGACTCCTGACACGGATAATTTGCCTCTGGCTAGGGCTGGTCTTAATCTTCCCTCCATAGGCTCTGGCTGAATTCTTCCCATGTTGCTTTCTGTAGCAGTGCAGCACTGATTCCCACAATCACTTTCTTCCCCCTTCCCCAAGTACACAGCTTCTCTCTCCATGCCATACTGTGCTGCTGGGAGATGGGGGAGGGATGGTATTGGCAATTCAAGACTGTCTTTCCTACCTTCTTCAGTGCCTCTTTCCTTTTTATGATGTTAAAAGCAAGTACTGTGATAGCTTGCCTGATTTTTGATTCTTACGAAGGTGCTTTCTTGTGTAGATAGTTGTTCAATTTGTATTCCTCTTGGGGCTATGGCCATTGGAGGGTTCTATGTGGCCATCTTGCTTTGCCTCCACTTTTCCGTTTTTTATTAAACAAATATTTTATTAGGCTTTGATTATTTGCTATGCTTTATACAAGTCTCTGGGTACATAGTGATTAATAAAATAGTCACGGACCCTGCCTTCATGGAGTTATGTGCAAAATAAGCAATATAAAAGTAAAACACAGTTCAGTATACAATTAGAAAGTATAATGTGTGCCAGGGAGGAACAGAATAAATTTTTTGATAGTCATAAAAAAACTTCAGCCAAATTAAATTTAAATGAGTTTAATTGAGCAATGAATGATTTGTGAATCAGGCAGACACCAGAATCACAGAAGGTTCACAGAGATTCCAGGAGTGCCTTGTGGTTAGAACAAATTTATAGACAAAAAAGATCAAGTGAAGCACAGGAATCAGAAGTGAGGTACAGAAACAGTGAGATTGGTTATAGCTCAGTGTTTGCCTTATTTGCATGCAGTTTGAACATTCAGCAGTCTATGAGTAGTTGAAGTATGGCAGATGGAATTGGCCAACACTCAGCCATTGTTACAGGTGCATACTATTAAGTTAGGTTTTCAATTTTGTCTGACTATTAAGCTAGGTTACAGTTCATCTACAAGGATTCAAGTATAGAAGTATGGAGTCCTTCACAGGCCATATTTACTTCACTTTAACAATTCCCCCCTTGTGGTCATTTTCTCAATTTTGAGAGATTGCCCAAAACCTTAGGCATTGATGCCACTGTCGCTGTCATAAATGTACCAATATGGTTTTGAAATTCACTGGGAAGCAGTAGAACAGTGAGTTTTGCAAAGAGAATAAGGACTGAATAGGGGGTACCTCCTTATGCTGGACCATCCTTTTTACAGGAGAAAAACAAAACCTGATCTGTTCTAGTACTTATGTGTTTTCTTAAAGCCTTAGTTTGATTATGTCACATTTAGCATGAGTGACTCCATTTTAGTTTGGTTTGGTTTGTTAGGACCTAGTACATGAGTTCAATCCAAAATAATGGCCTCTTGTAATTTTGTTTTTAAAAAAGTCCCCCCTTTTGGCCAGGTTCTCACTTAGGTGAGAAAGTAATAAAAACTTAGAGCCTTAGCACCATTCTCAGTTACCATCGTTTTGGGTTTCTGGTCTCAGCATGTCATTCATAGGTCACAGTGTCCTCATGGTCACACATTTCTTTCTGCTTTTGTCATTCCAGTTGAAGAGAGACCATTTGATGTTCTAGAGATGGCTGCATGTGAACATTTAAAATCTTTGAGAGAATACAGTGTACCAGGAAGACCATTATGACTATTGGGAGGATAATGCCAAGAGTTTGGAGTATTCTCCTTACTCAGGGACCCCACAAACCAAACTACTTAAAATTAGATAGATTAAAGAATGAGCTAGATGAAGAGTCTACTCACTTGACTAAGTGGTCTTTTCATTAATCCCCTACAACTGAATTTTTATAATTTACATTTTATAGATTTCTCCATAGGCCACAAATGTCAGCAACTGCACAGGTGCTTCTCTGTTTAGTCAATTCTATTATTTAGCATAACTTTCACAAGAGAATTTAAAGTCTGTTGTGCGATAATAGCCTTTAAAGTACAATTTGCTGTAGAACCTATTATGAGGGAGATATTTCTAATTATTGCCTCTTTTATTCTAAACCATGGAAAAAGGACCTAACAAATGATGTCCTTCTAGAAGACTGAAGGCCTCCTGGCAATGTTCTCTTTATTCCAGGTTGTGGGTTAAGAGGAGTTTTGACTGATTATAAGGCAATGTATGTACCACTAATGTTTCTCACCTACATTGGGCCTTCATCTTTTATCTGTTGAAGTGTAAGGTTATTCATGTATAAGGCTGGCTGCAAAATCCTTCATAAATAAAAGTATACATTATAAGTGCACATAGTAGATTCTCTTTTTATTTCTACTGTTCACAGAGGCATAAATAAGGAAAAAATATTTAAAGATAAGAGTCTAGTGATAGTAGAAGTTTTGATCCATGATGTTGGGAAAAGCTGTTAACATTAAGGATGCCATCTTCTTCTGGGGAAAAACTTTCCTGGTTAGTTTTACTTTAAGGGTACCAATGGGTGTACAGTTCCAGGAGTGTGGAGAGACCCTTCTCAGTTGTGAGATTATGAACCCAAGGTTCAAGACTCCAAAGTTTTGCTGTAGTGTAAATGGCAAGGACAGTCTTTCTCTGATGTTCTCAGAAGATCCAAACTCTGGGTTCTAGATTGTGAAGGAATTGTACTCAGTGAACCATAAAAAAAGTTCTTTTCCTGGTGAAAATTCACTGTAGCATAATAATCTGCTCTTATAACATCAGGCCTCTTGAATGGGAAAGCTTTTATACAACCAGAAAACATGCATTGAAAATGACAATTGAATGAAATCCCTTTATAAATGTTTAAATGGCCCATGAGGTAGCCAAATGTACCTCAAACTTTGATTATCATTCCAGGAATATGGAACCAAAAACTTATTTTAAACTATTTCTGTAATTTATAACTCACTACATCAATATATTCAATTTGGATTAATTTTTCTTTTCCATGATGAGTCATGGAATGCAGAACCTTAATAATAAAAGCTTTAAGGAATCAGGAAGGACAAGGTGGCTGTCCTGGTTCTTCATGAGTCCATGCTTAACACTGGACTTAAGTCCTCTTGAATACTAGTTGTTTCTCCAATTTAGGTGCAAAGCAATGATAACTAATAGGTTATCAGAGGTAATTTAACTTAGACCATGGAGTTCATTCAAATTGCATATTTAAACAATTTTAATGTTGGCTGGTTTTGCATGATAATCTAGAGCTTGATTTTGAAAAGTTTGTTAAATACCAAAGTTTAAAACATTGGATATTACAAAATATAATCTTAGCTTACCATAAGTAATTCATTTAGCCAAAATGATAACTCAAAAAAATTTTAAAGGAAAAAACATTATTCTGATAGATAGGAGTCTTTTAGCTTTCCAAAGAAGACTCAATGAAGATAGCATGAGGCCTACTGACTCTGTCTCCTTTCTTTCCTCCCCACCCCCTTTTTTTGTAGTTTACTAAAAAGGTAAACAAAAACCTTTCATTATCTTTTAATATTACATAAAAGTCTTCTTTAAAAGAGAAAAACAAATTTCATGTTTCCAGTAGTATATTGTTGATGTTAAAGCTAGTTTTTAAATAACATTTTATAAATCTATTTTTTTAGTTTGACTATAATTTAAGATTTTTGTAAACCTTTTATAATCCTTTACTTTTTTTTCTCAGAGCAGAACAATGTTCTGATAAAACTCTGTTGTGCTTTTATTCCAATGTCCAATTTATGGAAAAAAACTGAATAATGCCATTTTAATTTTAGCCAATATGTCCACACATCGAAGTTTTTACAATTAATTTTTTATAAACCTTCCACAACTTGTTCACACCTTTACCTTTTTTAAAATTTAAAGCAATCCTTTCACCCTCTAACCTAGCAAAAGTTTACATTTCCATTCCTTCTTATAATCTCTTAAAAAACACATTTTATTCTCCTTGCACACCTTGTATGAAAACTTATTTTTTCATTAGTCTCAATTACATATTACAATGTTTACTCTTTTGGTAAAATGTTGGTATTTACTTTTACTTTTGGTGAAATTCTTGGTAAATAAAGGATTTTAATTACGTAGAAGGTGTGAAGCCTAGGACCCAGACAGAAATGCAGATAAAGCCTGACTCTTTCCAGTCTCTAACTCCACATGTCCCAGGCCTTACATAGGTGTAAAGCAAGCAGGCTGTACAGTTATGAGTCATAGTGACATTTTATGAAGCATTTAGGAGGTCTAATCATCTTTAAATTTTTCTTATTTTATTTTATTTTATTTTATTATTATTACACTTCAGGTTTAGGGTACATGTGCACAATGTGCAGGTTAGTTACATATGTATACATGTGCCATGCTGGTGTGCTGCACCCATTAACTCATCATTTAGCATTAGGTATACCTCCTAAAGCTATCCCTCACCACTCCACCACCCCACAACAGTCCCCAGAGTGTGATGTTCCCCTTCCTGTGTCCATGTGTTCTCATTGTTCAATTCCCACCTATGAGTGAGAATATGCGGTGTTTGGGTTTTTGTTCTTGCGATAGTTTACTGAGAATGATGATTTCCAATTCCATCCATGTCCCTACAAAGGACATGAACTCATCATTTTTTATGGCTGCATACTATTCCATGGTGTATATGTGCCACATTTTCTTAATCCAGTCTATCATTGTTGGACATTTGGGTTGGTTCCAAGTCTTTGCTATTGTGAATAGTGCTGCAATAAACATACGTGTGCATGTGTCTTTATAGCAACATGATTTATAGTCTTTTGGGTATATACCCAGTAATGGGATGGCTGGGTCAAATGATATTTCTAGTTCTAGATCACTGAGGAATTGCCACACTGACTTCCACAATGGTTGAACTAGTTTACAGTCCCACCAACAGTGTAAAAGTGTTCCTATTTCTCCACATCCTCTCCAGCACCTGTTGTTTCCTGACTTTTTAATGATTGCCATTCTAACTGGTGTGAGATGATATCTCATTGTGGTTTTGATTTGCATTTCTCTGATGGCCAGTGATGGTGAGCATTTTTTCATGTGTTTTTTTGGCTGCATAAATGTCTTCTTTTGAGAAGTGTCTGTTCATGTCCTTTGCCCACTTTTTGATGGGGTTGTTTGTTTTTTTCTTATAAATTTGTTTGAGTTCATTGTAGATTCTGGATATTAGCCCTTTGTCAGATGAGTAGGTTGCAAAAATTTTCTCCCATTTTCTGGGTTGCCTGTTCACTCTGATGGTAGTTTCTTTTGCTGTGCAGAAGCTCTTGAGTTTAATTAGATCCCATTTGTCAATTTTGGCTTTTGTTGCTGTTGCTTTTGGTGTTTTAGACATGAAGTCCTTGCCCATGCCTATGTCCTGAATGGTAATGCCTAGGTTTTCTTCTAGGGTTTTTATGGTTTTAGGTCTAAGGTTTAAGTCTTTAATCCAACTTGAATTAATTTTTGTATAAGATGTAAGGAAGGGATCCAGTTTCAGCTTTCTACATATGGCTAGCCAGTTTTCCCAGCACTATTTATTAAATAGGGAATCCTTTCCCCATTGCTTGTTTTTCTCAGGTTTGTCAAAGATCAGATAGTTGTAGATATGCAGCGTTACTTCTGAGGGCTCTCTTCTGTTCTATTAATGTATATCTTTGTTTTGGTACCAATACCATACTGTTTTGGTTACTGTAGCCTTGTAGTATAGTTTGAAGTCAGGTAGGGTGATGCCTCCAGCTTTGTTCTTTTGGCTTAGGATTGACTTGGCAATGCGGGCTCTTTTTTGGTGCCATATGAACTTTAAAGTAGTTTTTTCCAATTCTGTGAAGAAAGGCATTGGTAGCTTGATGGGGATGGCATTGAATCTATAAATTACCTTGGGCAGTATGGCCATTTTCATGATATTGATTCTTCCTACCCATGAGCATGGAATGTTCTTCCATTTGTTTGTGTCCTCTTTTATTTCCTTGAGCAGTGGTTTGTAGTTCTCCTTGAAGAGGTCCTTCACGTCCCTTGTAAGTTGGATTCCTAGGTATTTTATTCTCTTTGAAGCAATTGTGAATGGGAGTTCACTCATGATTTGGCTCTCTGTTTGTCTGTTGTTGGTGTATAAGAATGCTTGTGATTTTCGTACATTGATTTTGTATCCTGAGACTTTGCTGAAGTTGCTTATCAGCTTAAGGAGATTTTGGGCTGAGATGATGGGGTTCTCTAGATATACAATCATGTCATCTGCAAACAGGGACAATTTGACTTCCTCTTTTCCTAATTGAATACCCTTTATTTCCTTCTCCTGCCTAATTGCCCTGGCCAGAACTTCCAGCACTATGTTGAATAGGAGTGGTGAGAGAGGGCATCCTTCTCTTGTGCCAGTTTTCAAAGGGAATGCTTCCAGTTTTTGCCCATTCAGTGTGATATTGGCTGTGTGTTTGTCATAGATAGCTCTTATTATTTTGAGATACATCCCATCAATACCTAATTTATTGAGAGTTTTTAGCATGAAGGGCTGTTGAATTTTGTCAAAGGCCTTTTCTGCATCTATTGAGATAATCATGTGGTTTTTGTCTTTGGTTCTGTTTATATGCTGGATTACATTTATTGATTTGCATATATTGAACCAGCCTTGCATCCCAGGGATGAAGCCCACTCGATCATGGTGGATAAGCTTTTTGATATGCTGCTGGATTTGGTTTGCCTGTATTAACAATCAATAGCTTACCAACCAAAAAGAGTCCAGGACCAGATGGATTCACAGCCGAATTCTACCAGAGTTACAAGGAGGAACTGGTACCATTCCTCTGAAATTAGTCCAATCAATAGAAAAAGAAGGAATCCTCCCTAACTCATTTTATGAGGCCAGCATCATCCTGATACCAAAGACGGGCAGAGACACAACCAAAAAAGAGAATTTTAGACCAATATCCTTGATGAACATTGAATCATCTTTAAATTGTACAACATTTCTGGCTTAAATTTCTTTTCATAAATTCTTTCGTGACTTACACAGACCATGTATGACATGTTTAGACTTTCTGACGTGCCCTAAACATCTTTCTTTTTAAACAACCAGTCATTTTACTTTAGTACAAAGATTTACCATACAACAACCTTTCTTACATAAAATCTTTCTTCTTTATAACCTTCTTTTCATAGCTAGGGGGCATGGCTAATTCCATATATACTCAGACCTTATTTAGAATTTAATGTCTCCAAAATAAATTGAACAATTTTTAAAAGTCAAAGCAGTTTATGACCTTAAAGCATTTAGCAAACCTCATATTTGTCCTGCATAATTTAGACAAAATGTCTTTATTTTATCAATAATCTTCAAAGCTGTTTTTATTTCCCAAAGATTACTAAATTCACATGAACCAAAAGGCATTACACTTTTTATATTGCTTTCAAAATATTTGATTTAAGTGCTTATTTGTGTTTAAACCAATTAATTAGAGCTCTTTTATATAAACGTTAAATACAACACATATATATTTACACAGACAGAAAGACAGAATATTACTGCAGTAGTTGTAAGATTTTTCATTTCCCATTTTTTAAGTTTCTTAATTGGTTATTGGCTTTAGGGTGGAGTCCTTGGAAGAACAGGACCAGGAAAGGGATTTGTTGGGCCTCCTGTTTT
Organism: Homo sapiens; assembly: GCF_000001405.40. Taxonomy (NCBI): domain Eukaryota; kingdom Metazoa; phylum Chordata; class Mammalia; order Primates; family Hominidae; genus Homo; species Homo sapiens. Next base: position 72,816,221 of record NC_000001.11, read on the forward strand.
TCCTAAGAAGTCTAGGCTATCAGAGCTTGAATATCCACTTTTAAGTAAGCTGACTTTTAACCATAGCACTCTTTAATAAAGTGCTTTTGAAATTTTTTATTACCTGAATTTAGCCAGACCAAACAGCTGATATTTCTGGCTTTTGAACTTTACCAAAGGTAACCTCCCAGGTGCTCAGAGAAAGGAAAATTTCAGATAGTCCATGGAGGAGAATAGACTAGAAAAGTTCCGCAGATATTAAACCAAAAAGGACTTACTTCCTAAGCAGGGAATTCAACCTGGACTGCCAGTGTGAAAGGCAAAACCTTAGCTACTGAGTTACAGCATAGGCATTCTCCACTACTCTTCCTGAAAGGTATCCAGAGTAGTTAACTTTGAGCTTGCAAAGGCTTTTAACTACTCAAGATAATGTTTAGAGCTAACTCTGACATAAACCTCCAAATTCCTTTTCCCTAGAATGCAGAGACCAAGAGAAAGTACTGCCTTTTATTTACAAGGTCAAGCTCCCAAGGACATAAAACAAAATGGAGATAAACAGTGATTTTTACCATTCATTTGACCATTTGCACAGAGAGAGAGAAGCCAGAAATCTGACTGGTAAGAAATTCTTACCCTTTTGCCAGCATGCCAGGCTTCTAGGTTCACTTTCCCTGAGCGGCCCTGGTGACTCAGCTTGCTGCACTATCATGGTGGGGCCAAGTTGCATCAAAAGGAAAAATTATCCTTTTTTGTTCTGGCCACAGAACATAGACATTAGCCACTCTGATTAGCACCCAATATCAAACTGGCAAGGCTCAAGCTTGCCCCTGGTTGGGCCCCATCATCGTTAATCCAATCTCCAACCAGGAGTTTCAACATGTGGTCTCTGGGCAAGATGGTCACCTTGAGTAATAGAAAAGATAAGAAAGGGAAAGGAGAGAGAGAAAAGCATTGCCTGTGACAGGATGGGGAAGGCAAAATGATCAGGGAGGCCAGAGAAAGACCCACTCATTGCAGCAACACTGAAAAGTTCAGGCAGCTGCTTCTCAGTAGCAAAGGGATCTTTTCCAGCAATCCCATCATCTCTCAAGTTTCCCCTTCTAGGGAGGAAAAAGCTCCCCATATCCCACAATCTGTCACCTACAGCCATTAGTAAAGAGTGCAAGGTAGACTACTCCAAAAAGAATAGCAGTTGACATGCTGTAGTGTCAAACCCAATCTTGGCCAAAAGGGACTTTACCAAGAGCCCTCATTTTTAAAATGTACTTCAGTACATTGTTGTTCATTCTGAACATTCCACTGTAAGTTATTTTTAGTAATATTTTGCTGTTTCTCTAAGACTTTGCTGCCTCCCAGGCCTAATGTATAAGCCAGAAGGAACTCAGTTTTCCAGAAATTAAGGATCCCATTTTTATCTAAAATATTGGCTTTACTCTCAGGTTCTCTTGATTAACTTAGCCAATGACTTTTTCCTACCTTAGCACGCAAGAAAAATAATACAAAGGGGTATAACACAAAAATCCCATGAATTTTCAAAAGCCAAATTTTATAACCCCTGCAATATTACTGCTTACTACCAGTTCCTTTCTGAACAAGTCAGATGTAAGAGGCCTCTAATGAGATCCCAAACAGTTAATTCCCGAATCAAATCCATTCCTGGACCCAGTCCAGTTTCTGTCAGAATGCCAAACCCAGTTTGGATCAGAAATTTGCTCAAAGAAACTCGGAGAACTCAAAACACAAATCTGTGGAGCTCCAAAATCTGAGAGGGAGCTTACCCACAATCCCCAGCTACTCTGAGAGATCAATTGACACACGTGGGTCCTGCAGGTAACTTGAATGTTCACTCAGAGCTCCTGGGGGTCACTAGAAGCTCCACTTCGGATTCCATTTCTGACATAATCTGATAAAATAAGAACTTTAGCCTAATTAAATTTAAAAGAGTTTAATTGAACAATGAATGATTCGCAAATCAGGCAGACCCCAGAATCACAGAAGATTCACAGAGACTCCAGGGGTGCCTCATGGTCAGAACAAATTTATAGACAAAAAAGATAAAGTGATGTACAGGAATCAGAAGTGAGGTACAGAAACAGTGAGATTGGTTACAGCTTGGCATTTGCCTTATTTGAAGGCGGTTTGAACATTCAGCAGTCTATGAGTGGTTGAAGTATGGCCACTGGGTTTGGCCAACACACAGCCAGTGTTACAGGTGCATATTATTAAGTTAGATTTCCTATTTTGTCTGACTATTAAGCTAGGTTACAGTTCATCCACAATGACTCAAATATAGAAACACAGAGTCATTCTTAAGCCATGTTTTGTCTGCTTTAATAATGAATGGAAGAAATTTTGCAGTTTGGTCAGGAAAGAGATCTCTGAGGAAGTGTCATTTAAGCTGTTACCTGAAGTTTGAAAGAAAACAACCAAATTGAAAACAATCAATTAAAGATGGGATGCATATTCAGAAGAGTAAATGGCATGGGGCAGAGGGAGGAGGGTGGTAAGAAAAATCTTGGCATGATTTAGGAGAAGAAAACCCTTTCAGTTGCGGGAGTATGAGGAGTGATGAAGAGTAGCAGTCATTTTGAATGGTGATCAGGGGACAGATCATATTTGGCATCATAGAACATGGTAAGTGTTTTTTGTTTTTTTTTTCTAATCCAATCTAAGTGCAAAGTGATATCATTGGGAATTTTCAATTAGTAGATTAATGTGATTCCAATCTATGTCTTAAAAGATCATTCCATTTAGTGGCTAGATAATGGTTAGGAAAGGGGCAAAAATAGACTAAAAACCAGTTGAGTGACACAGTAGAGAATGAAGCAAAAACAGATAATGACATGAAATAGAGTTGTATCACTGAACATAAAATGATAATGACAATAATGACAAAAACAATAACAACAATTATAGTAGTCAGCCTTCACTGAGAACTTATGATGTGTCAAACATCATGTTAGACAATTTACATGTGAGTTATTATAACTCATATGGTAAGGAGATATAGCTTAGAAAAGTTTTCACTTGTTAAGATCACACACCTAGTGATAGGTTAGAACAGGCATTTAGGAACCCTGATTTCACAGTTCATGCTCTTAATTATAATGCAGTACCACCTCACTGTAAAACAAGTGGGTAGAGACAGGTTTTAATGTAGAATCTATAAAATTTAGAAATGGGTTGGCTATAAAGTTAAGTGAGAGAATGAGGGTCAGAGAATCAAAAATTGCTGAATTTCTATAAATTATTGTTAAAATCACTGTGTGTGTATTGGGACAAGATAGTTTATGAGTAGTATAAGAATACTCATGTTACTCAACTTCATACTATAGTACAAGGCTTCAGTGACCAAAACAACATGGTACTTGCACAAAAACAGGCACATAGACCAATGTGGCAGAATAGAGAGCCCAGAAATAGGGCCACACATATATGACCATCTGAGCTAACAAAAACAAGCAGTGGGGAAAAGACTACCTATTCAATAAATGGTGCTGGGTAGCCATATGCAGAAGATTGAAGCTGGACCCCTTTCTTATATCATATACAAAAATCAACTCAAGTTGTATTAAAGACTTAAATGTAAAACCCCAAACCATAAAAACCTCAGAAGATAACCTAGGATACCATCCTGGATATAGGAACGAGCAAAGATTTCATGACAAAAACACCAAAAGCAATCATAAAACAAAAGTTGACAAGTGATATCTAAGTAAACTTAAGAGCTTCTGCACAACTAAAGAAACTATCAACAGAGTAAATAGACAACCTACAGAATGGGAGAAAATGTTTGCAAACTGCACATTTGACAAAGGTCTAATATCCTTCATCATGTAAGGAACTTAAACAAATTTATAGGAAAAACAGACAACTCCATCAAAAAGTGGGGAAAGGATATGAACAGACACTTTTCAAAAGAAGGCATACATGCGGCCAACAAGCATATGAAAAAAAGCTCGCTATCACAGATCATTAGAGAAAGGCAAATCAAAACCACAGTAAGATACCATCTCACAATAGTCAGAATGATTATTATCAAAAAGTCAAAAATGACAGATGCTGGTAAGGTTGCAGAGAAAAATGAACCCTTGAACACACTGGTGGGAGTGTAAATTACTTCAACCATTGTGAAAAGAAGTATGGTGATTCCTCAAAGAGCTAAAAGCAGAAGTACAATTTATCCAGCAATCCCATTACTGGATATAGAGCCAGAGGACTATAAAGCATTCTAAAATAAAGACACATGCACACAAATGTTCACTGAAGCATTGTTCACAATAGCAAAGGCATGGCATCAACCTAAATGCCCATCAATGACAGACTGAATAAATAAAATGTGGTACATACACACAATGGAACATTATGCAGCCATAAAAAAGAATGAGATCATGTCTTTGGTGGGAACATGGATGGAGCTGGAGGTTATCATCCTTAGCAAACTGAAACAGAAACAGAAAATCAAATATTGCGTATTTTCACTTATAAGTGGGAGCTAAATGATAAGAGCTTATGAACACAAAGAAGGAAACAACAGACACTGGGGTCTACTTGAGGCAGGAGGGTAGGAGGAGGGAGAAGAACAGAAAATATAACTATTGAGTACTGGTTTTAATACCAGGATGGTGTAATACTATGTTCAACAAATCCCTGGGACACGTGTTTATCTATGTAACAAACTACTACATGTACCCCCAAACCTAAAATAAAAATTAAAAAAAATAAAAATATGACAAAGTGTGTTCTTGAAGATTATCTATGTAAAGATGGTAGAGATAACAAGAAAAACTATATGGAAATTCAACATTTTGTGTATATCATACATGAAAAATGAGAAAAAAAGGAAACGGTCTCAGAAAAACAAGCCAGAGAGGTGGAAGTAAAAATCCAGGAGTATATGAGAGCAACGTAAGGGGAGAGTTGTCACAGGAGCTTACTGTTCTTGAGGTGTTGAGAGAAACAGGGAATTAGAAATGTCTGATTTGAAAAGAGAGCTGATGTGTCATCTCAAATGAGCATTTTAATGAAGTAGAGAGTGCAAGTCAGGCTGGAGTATGTCTGAAGTGCTTAAAGGGATGTGAAAATTTGAAGACAGTGTATGCAAACAACACTGTCATGGTAGCAAATAAATAGATATTTGCTTATATTATTTCTACAAATAGTATTAAAGAAATTGAAGAGTTGAAAATAGGGAGACTAAAGAAGAACTGTAGATGATTTGAGGAGTTAAGAGGTTTAAAACAGATTAAAATATGGAATATTCAAGAAAATAATTACTAAAGCAATGTTAAGGATTGCTGGGTAACACACACTCATTGAGTGTGTAATTATAAATTTATATTGACCTCTATTTTCTTGTGTATAATTTTCTACATCCATGTTCAGCTTCATGAAATCAGGTGTAGAGAAACTAAATAATGAGTTCATCTAGAATGATGTATTCCAATTCTTCCCTATAGGAAAGACAGTCAGTAGAAATTAGGAAATTGTAAGGGATTGATTATTATAATAAATTGTAGAATATTAACAGAAAAAAAAGAGACACATGAAAATAGGTGGAAGTTGAAAAAGAAAAACAAACAAACAAACAAACAAACAAAAACCATATATATATATATATATTTGGACCAAAACTTGAAATTAAGAATTGGGATGCTTATGATTTTGGAGCCATTACCAACTCTGACACTGATAAGATCAAGAGTATCACCAAGATCCTGAGCTAGAGTGAAGGTTGAGGAAGATAGAGAGGTCTGGGAATTACTATAATGTACTGTTGCATGACTTGTCCAGGTAGATGTTTATAGCATAATGACATGAATCAAGGTGGAAAGGTGCTTGAGTTTCCAGTGAGTGAAGTGCACTGAATTTCACAGATAATTACAAAGAGAAGGGGAGAAATAAGTAACTTATTTGATAAAAACTTCAGAAGTACAGGAAATATTTTAAAAAGAGTAGAGAATGATTTTCATTAACAATATGCAATAGGATGCACTATATTGACCCATCAACCCTGAAGGATGAGAGGTTCCCTCAGAAAAACTGCCCCTACTTAGGTGTGCTATAGACAAAGCATCATTCTCTTTATGTCGCCATTTAAATTAACAATGTCTCTTCTATAATTTTCTTATTTGATGTAGAATAGATTTTTCAAAAAGTATAAGCACAATCCTTCTTCCTTATTTTCCAAGCTCACTACAAATTTCCCAAATGTGAGGAGAAATTGGAAGGGAGTCCACTGGAGAATATTCATTAAAAACAAAAGCAAGTTAATGAGACTTCCATTTCTGGACAAGAAAAAGTAACTGGGACAGGATTTACACTCTGAGAGCCCCAATTTCATATATGAAATAATATAATACATATCATAATGTGAAATAGTATTTTCAAGACATTAGATATTAAGCAATGTATTATTGTGGTCCCTGAGAGATGGAAAAAAGTAGAAGTTAGCTCTACATTTTCTCAGCTAGGAGAGTTTTAAGGACAAGAGACAGGGATAAGAAATCTAGGCAAAGCCCAGATGACTCCCATAGTTGATAAGACATTGCTGAGAGTCTGGGGACACCAAGGTTGGCTAGAGTTTGCAAGACAGAGCATAAGAGACAAGAAGATGCACAGATAAAGTACCCCAGAGGTCTGCAGAGGGTCCTGCTTATGTATTCAACAGAATACTAATCACTGTATACATGAGAAGAAAGTAATCAGAAAAAGTGTCACTCAAAGGATTAGCGAGAACAGCACTGAATGCTCACAGTGAACTCAGAATAGTGGGTGTTCCCACCAGCCAGATGGAACAACTTTGTAATTCACAGAGTATTGGGTAGATAATTCAGAAGAGTCTTTTCTCGGTAGTTGAGAGTAATTCATCAGTGCTATCGTTTGAATGTGTCCCCTAAAGTTCATGTGTCAGAAACTAATCTCTAATGCAACTGTGTGAGAAATGAGACCTTCAAGAGCTGAATAAGTTATAAAGGGTCTGCCTTTAGATTAATGTCATTATCAGGGAGCATGAGACAGCAAGAAGTTCTCTACCAGGTGTGAGTCCCCAGATCTTGGACTTCCAAGCCTCCAGAATTAAGAAATAAATTTCTTTTCTTTTTAAATGATCCAAATTATGTGGTCTGTAGTATTCTGTTATAGCTACACAAAACAGCCTAAAACCTAGTCTTAACACTGTGCTGCCCTGCCTAACAAAGCTTAAAAGCAACATTTGAAAAGAATAAATGGTTTCTAAATAAATAAAATGCATCTTTGAATGAAGCTCTAGAATAATTATAGAAGTACCAAAATATAATTTATAGAAGTACTAAAATATCCAGCACAGAAAAAGGTAAAATTCACAATATCTGGTATCCAATCAAAATTCCAAAGTATGCAAAAAAGCAGAATATAGAATGAGTTGAAAATCAACATTTGAAACTCACCTAGACCTGAAGTGGATGTTAGAATTAGAAAATAAAGTTGTTAAAACAGTTGGTGCATTCAATTACATGTAGTCAAACAGTAAGTAGAGAAATGGAATATGTAAAAATGATACGAATTGTACTTCCAGGAATGAAAACTGAAATGTCTGAGATCAAAAATATACTGGATGGAATTAATGGAACATAAGACAATACAGAAAAAAGAATAATTAAAGACATAGCAATAGAAATCATATAAAAATAAATACAGGAGAAAAGAACAATAAAAACTTTAGTAAAGACCACTTTTCCAAATTTGATGAGAATTATAAACCTACGTATACAATAAATCCCAAGCACACACACACAAAGAAATAAACTACACCAAGGTACATTACAATTAAATTACTCAAAACTACGGATAAAGAAAATATCTTAAGCATCCAGAGACAAGGGACACATTATGAACACAGGGAAAACAGTCAGAGTTAGATTACCAGCACATTTTTTTCTGGAAACAAGGAAACTTTAATGTATTGAAAAATAAAAATTAACAACCTAGGCTTTTAAGCTGAGGAAAATATCTTGCAAAATTAAAGGTAAAGTAAAAACTTTTAAAGATAATTCATCACTAACAGACTTGCATGACAAGAAATGCTAACAGAAATCTTTCAAGTGGAAGGAAAATGACACCAAATGAAAATGTGAATCTACCCCCAAAAATAAAGAGCAACTGAAATGGCAATTACATCAGTAAATATACCAGGCTTTTTTTTATATAACCTTTCCTACAAAACACTGATAGTTTAAAAAGATAATAATGATGATACAGTGTGGAGTTTCAAATATGTAGAAGTATAATTGTGTATCTTATAAAAACTGGAAGAAAATAAAAATAAGTAAACTATTGTTAAGTATTCTACATTATGTAAAGTTGTATAATAGCACTTGAAGCTAGGTGGCGATAAGTTAAAGATGTATATTATAAAGCATGAAACAACTACTTAAATTATAAAATGAGTTTTAACAAATAAGCAAAAAGTCAAATGAAGTAAACTTAAAATTCAATTCCAAAGAAAGCAGAAAAAGAGGAAAAGGGGAACAAAGAATAGAAGGCACATATATAAAACAAAGAGCCAGATAGATTTAAACATAACCAAATACAGATAATTATATTAAATGTAAATGTTCTAAACACCTTAATTAAAAGGGAATTCAAAGTTTAAATATAAATACAAAACTAAATTGAAAGTAAATGAATGAAAAAAGAAATATCATGTTTATACTAATCAAAAGAAAGTTAGAATGCCTATACTAATATTAAGAAGATTAGATTTCAGAGCAGTAAATACTGCCTAGTGTGTGGTAGGCAAAGTAATGCCCCCGTCCACAATGTGTTTATAACCTAATAGTAGAACATTGTGAAAATGTTATCTCACATGGTAAAAGAGACTTTGTAGATGTGATTAAGTTAATGACCTTGAGATGGAGAGATTATACTGGCTAATCTGGGTATGTCAAATGTGTCCTTAAAGACAGATAACTTACCTAGGTGTAGCAAGAAAACTTATCTAGCTGTAGCAAGAGGGAAAAGTCACTATGGAAGAATGGCAAGAGAGATGAAATGTTGCTGACTTTGAAAATGGTGGAAGATGGCCATAGCCAAGGAATGTGGGTTGCCTCTAGAAGTTGGATAAGGAACGGAAACAGATTCCCCCCTGGAGCCACTAGAAAGAGAGTTCTACCACCTTAATTTTAGCCCAGGGAGGTATAGGTCAGATTTCTGAAACAGATTAAAAAAATTGGGGTTGCATTAAGCCAATAAGTATTTTGCTAATTTGTTAAAATGGTCATACAAAATTAATGTAATGAATAAAGAAGGTCATTTTATAAAGCTAAAGGGTTACTTCATCAAGAAGAATAACAATCCTACACATGAATGCCCCTAACAGAGTCTCAAAATATGTGAAGCTGAAACTGATAGAAGTACAAGAAACTGACCTATCCTATGATACAGTTGGTGATTTCAACATTTCTCTCTCAAAAAATCGATAGAATACTTAAACCCCAAATCAGAAAAAAATAGAAAATTTAAACAACAGTTTCCACAATCTCGACCTAATTAGCATCACAGAATACTATTCCCAGCATGAGAAAACACATTCATTACAAGTGTACACAAATTGTTTTCCAAAATAGACCATACTCTGGGTCATAAAATGTCAATAAAAAGGATTACAGTGATATAAAATTGATTTAAATCCTGGCAAATTTAAATTAAAAATAAAAAAGAGGATAATTTTTCAAATGTCCATAATACTTGAAAACCAAACACACTTCTAAATAACACATGGGTCAAAGAAAAACTCAAAAGGGATGTTAGAAAATATTTTTAACTAAATGAAAGCAAAAAAAATAACAAAAGAATTTGTGAGCGGCAGGTAGCACAGTACATAAGGGTAGAGTTATAGCACTAAATATCAATATTAGAAAGAGATTTAAGTCAGTGACCTTGCCTTTCATTCTAAGAAACTAAGACAATAAGAGTAGTCAAAACCCAAAATAAGCAGAAAAAAAAAGATCAAAACAAGCATCTGAGAAGTAGGAAACAGAGGAAAATTAAGAAAAACTAATAAAATTAAGAGCTAGTTATTTGAGAAGTGCAATAAAATTGATAAATTTTTAGTCAGACTGATCAGGAAGAAAGAAAGGACACCAATTCTTAATATCAGGAAGAAGATTAGTATCATTAAACAAATTCTACAAATATTAAATGGAGTATAAGGGAATGTTATAAACAACTTTATTTCGACAAGTTAGATAAAATTGATTAATTCTTTGAATGACACAAACTAACAAAATTATTCAAGAAGAAATACATAAACTTAATAGCTCAATCTTCAAAATAATTTGAATTTATAGTTAAAAACCTACTCAGAAAAAATTTCTAGATTCAGATGTGTTCACTGCTGATTTGTACCAAGAATGTATAAAATAAATAATAGCAATTCTATTCAATCTCTTCCAGAAGCTAAAAGAGGAAGAAACACTTTCAATATATTCCATGAAGTCAATATTACCATGACTACAAAACCAGACAACCATTGCAAGAAAACCCCAGACAAATATCCTTTATGAGCATAGGTGCAAATATTCTAAACAAAATGGTATATAATTTAATTTGCTAATATATGAATAGTATATAATGATCCAGTGTAATACAAGGCTTATTTAACATTCCAAAATCAATTAATTTAATTTATGATAAAATTCAATCCATTTCTGTGGCTGATGTCCTTCATTCTCAATGAATCTCAACCATATAGTAAACTGTCTCAAAATTTAGGAAACTGGTAAGATTAAATTGCCCTAAATATACCGGAATGAACAGTTTTATTTAATTACTATATTTTTCTTTATTATTCATCATTGTTCAAGAGTCATACCTGACTAAAAAGTGCAGAAAAGTAGTTGGCCAAATGCGTAAATGTCCTGGGCATAGATCTGTGAATACATAATATATCCTTGACACTTACTAGAAACAAAGACCATTATCATCTGAAGTCTTAGTCAACAGTTTCTCCCAATGCTCTTGATCTGTATGTGAGAGACTTCAGACTGAATTAGATTAAGTGGTTTAACCTCATATGTTTCCTGTTAATAATCTTTCCCTGTTTGCCAAAGAACCAGCCTCCAATCAACTCATGTAGAACTTTATTACTATCTAGAACTTTATTTTCCTTGCTTCTATCAACATCTCTTACACCTGTCTAGCCAAACTGCAGCCATTATAAATCCAACTGTTCTGCCTCCTCTACTATTTATTGTTATCATCCTTGGCTATTTCAACATCTATGGTGACATAGCATATGAGTCATCCCTTCCCTGCCCCCTCAGATTTTTGAAATACTTAACATCAGTGACTTTTTCTCTACTCCACTCCTGCATGCATTCCCATGCTCACTTCTTACTTTTTATCATAAAAATGGCAATGTCTGTTAAATCTACATTTTCAGCATTCTACTCTACTTTTAATCACCAAATTATTTTATTATCACTCATTTACTCAAATAGTCTCACTCCAACATTTTTTCAAGACCTACAATCCATTTACGATTTTCACTCATGTCTTCTCCTCTGCCTTACCCATTTAGAATTAATAATTCAGCTCTATAATCACACATTTGCAAATCTCTTAAATTCGCAGCTCCCTTCTCCTTGTCATATTCACCTGGAAGCATCAAGTCTAAATTAATTCTAAGTATTAGTTTAGTCTGCACCTGTATCTGAGATGCTGAATGAATAATACAATCATCTTGACTTGTGTCATTTAAAATGTGTAATACTAGGCAATACCATTCAGGACATAGGCATGGGCAAGGACTTCATGTCTAAAACACCAAAAGCAATGGCAACAAAAGACAAAATTGACAAATAGGATCTAATAAACTAAAGAGCTTCTGCACAGCAAAGGAAACTACCATCAGAGTGAACAGGCAACCTACAGAATGGGAGAAAATTTTTGCAACCTACTCATCTGACAAAGGGCTAACATCCAGAGTCTACAATGAACTCAAACAAATTTACAAGAAAAAAACAAACAACCCCATCAAAAAGTGGGCGAAGGATATGAACAGACACTTCTCAAAAGAAGACATTTATGCAGCCAAAAAACACATGAAAAAATGCTCATCATCACTGGCCATCAGAGAAATGCAAATCAAAACCACAATGAGATACCATCTCACACCAGTTAGAATGGCGATCATTAAAAAGTCAGGAAACAAAAGGTGCTGGAGAGGATGTGGAGAAATAGGAACACTTTTACACTGTTGGTGGGACTGTAAACTAGTTCAGCCATTGTGGAAGTCGGTGTGGCAATTCCTCAGGGATCTAAAACTAGAAATACCATTTGACCCAGCCATCCCATTACTGGGTATATACCCAAAAGATTATAAATCATGATGCTATAAAGACATATGCACACTTATGTTTATTGTGGCACTATTCACAATAGCAAAGACTTGGAACCAACCCAAATGTCCAACAATGATAGACTGAATTAAGAAGATGTGGCACATATACACCATGGAATAGTATGCAGCCATAAAAAATGATGAGTTCATGTCCTTTGTATGGACATGGATGAAGCTGGAAACCATCATTCTCAGCAAACTATCTCAAGGACAAAAAGCCAAACACCGCATATTCTCACTCATAGGTGGGAATTGAACAATGAGAACACATGGACACGGGAAGGGGAACATCACACACCAGAGCCTGTTGTGGGGTGGGGGGAGGGGGGAGGGATAGCATTAGGAGATATACCTAATGCTAAATGACGAGTTAATGGGTGCAGCACACCAACACGGCACATGTATACATATGTAACAAACCTGCACGTTGTGCACATGTACCCTAAAACTTAAAGTATAATAATAATAAAATAAAATAAATGTGTAATACAAAGCCATAAATGGGCATTCAATATTGGACAACATCATGCTACATTTTTCTCATCAAATTTAATTTTCCAATGACAGACATTCACACACACTCTTTCTTTTCTTTACAAAATATGATCACCCAGCTCCCTCTTCAGAAAATGAACTCTCATTTTCCTTTATAGTTTCTCCTTTTAATCATTAATAATAAGAATTATTACTGTTTCTCTCTTTTTCTTTTTTTGCTTTTCTCCTAATCATGTCATTAACCAGCCCAAACACTCAGTGACTTTCCAGTGCAATTAGAATAACACACAAACTTCTTACTATGCCTTATGGGAGTTTATATGATCTGGCTCCTCCCTAACTTCTGACCTATTTCTTCCAATCTCTCCAAGATTTACTACACTCTAGTTGCTTTTATTTTTAATGCTTATTTCTTTCACTTGATTATTTTCAAAACAATAGATTTCCTAGAATCTTCCAAATGTCAATTTCTTCCAGTATCATTTACAGACTCACACATTTAAAAAATTTGCATATTTTCTATCCACCTGATAATTATTTTATTGATATTCCCATTGCCTCTTCTTTAGTGTGTGCCTCTCCACATTTCTGAGTCCTTTTGACACATTGACACATTCATGGTATTCTTTGATAGCTTCTTTGCTTCTGATTTGACAAGATGTTCAGGTGTGTGCAGCCCCAGCCAGGGGAACATACATTTATTTAGAGAGGTTTGGTTCCTTTTAGCAGAAAAATATGGTAGAAACTACATTTGTTTGCTAAGAGTGCTTATTGGTACTGTGGTAATAAATATTTCTTTGCCTTTTCATGAAAGCATCTTTCTGACACTCAAACAAACCAAGCATTTTCTACATGAGAGCTGTTGTATTTGTGTTTTCTTTGTCTGGAATGCACTTTCCTAAGTACTTTGTAGAAGAAGCTCCTTGTTATCACTCAGGCTTACCTCAAAAATGACACATCCTCAGAGAGGCTCTCCTAATTACCCAATCAAAAGTACATCCTCTCTTGCGTATTTTTTTTATCCCATTTCCCAATTTTATTTTTTAAAATCTGTGAAATATTGTATTTACTGGGCATTTTTTTCCTCTTGTTTCCCTCCTACCTAGTTTAGTGTTGCATCCCCATCACTTATGATATTACCAGAACATAATGGTCTTCTGTAAATTTATTAAATGGATAACTTAGATAAGAAGAACACTAGTGGTTGCAATGGATTTGAGAGTAGGAAGAAGAAAAAGGATAAATAGGTGAAGCACAGGTACTTTTAAGGCAGTAAAGCTATTATGTATGATATTGTAAAGAAGGATACATGACATTATACATCTAGAAAAACCCATAGAATGTACAACACAAGGAGTGAACCTAATGAAAATCCGCAGATCAGCAGATTCCCTCCTGAGCCTACACCACCAGAACCCTGGGTTTCAAGCACAAAACTGGGTGGCTGTTTGGGCAGGCACTGAGCTGCAAGAGTTTTTTCATACTCCAGTGGTGCCTGGAACTCCAGTGAGACAGGAGAACCTTCCACTCCCCTGGAAAGGAGGCTGAAGCCAGGGAGCCTAGTGATCTTGCTCAGCAGGTCCCACTCCCATGGAGCCCAGCAAGCTAAGAACCACTGGCTTGAAATTCTCACTGCCAGCACAGCAGTCTGGAGTCAGTCTGCGACAATCGAGTTTGGTGGGGGAGGGGCAACTGCCTTTACTGTGGCTATAGTAGGCAGTTTTCCCCTGATAGCGCTAAGGAGACTGGGAGGTTTATACTGGGAGGAATTCACCACAGTGCAGCAAAACAGCTATGGCCAGACTGCTTCTCTAGATTCCTTCTCACTGGGCAGGGCATCTCGGCAGCAAATCCAGCAGCTCCAGTCAGGGGCTTCCAGACCAAACTCTCCTCTCCCAGGAACAGAGCACCTGGGGGAGAGGTGGCTGTGGTCTCAGGTTCAGCAGACTTAATCTTTCCTGCCTGCAGGCTCTGAAGAGAGTGGGTGATCCTGACAAGGGGGATTCTCCCAGAACAATACACCAGCTCTGCCAAGGGACAGACTGCCTCCTCAAGCAGGTCCCTGAACCCTAGGCCTTCTGACTGGCAGAGACCTCCCAGCAGGGGCCGACAGACACCTCATACAGGAAAGCTCTGGCTGGCATCAGGCCAGTGCCCCTGGGAAGAAGCTTCCTGAGGAAGGAGCTGGCAGCAATCTTTGCTATTCTGCAGCCTCCACTGGTGATACCCAGGCAAACAGGGTCTGGAGTGGACCTTTGGCAAACTGCAGCAGGCTTGCAGAAGAGAGTCATGACTGTTAGAAGAAAAACTAACAACAGAAAGCAACAACAACATCAACGAAAAAGACCACCCTCCCCTCTACAAAAACTATGTCCAAAGGTCATCAGCCTCAAAGATCAAAGGTAGATAAATCCATGAAGATGAGGAAAAACCAGCACAAAAATGCTGAAAATACCAAAAGCCAGAATGCGTCTTCTCCTCCAAATGATTGCAACACCCTCTCCAGCAAGGGTGCAAAACTGAACAGAGAATGAGATGAATGGATTGACAGAAGTAGGCTTGAGAAGATGGGTAGTAACAAAGTATGCTGAGCTAAAGGATCATGTTCTAACCCAATGCAAACAAGCTAAGAACCTTGATGAAAGGTTAGAGGAGCTGCTAACTAGAATAACCAGTTTAGAGAGGGACATAAATGACCTGATGGAGCTGAAAATCACAGCATGAGAACTTTGTGAATCATATACAAGTATCAAGAGCTGAATCAATCAAGTAGAAGAAAGGATATCAGAGTCTGAAGACCATCTTGCTGAAATAAGGCATGTAGACAAGATTAGAGAAAAAAGAATGAAAAGGAATGAACAAAACCTTCCAGAACTATTGGACTATGTATAAAGACCAAACCTACAATTCATTGGAGTATCTGAAAGAGATGGGGAGAATGGAATCAAGTTGGAAAACACACTTCAGGATATTATCCAGGAAAAAAAATCCCCAACCTAGCAAGACAGGCCAACATTCAAATTCAGGAAATACAGAGAACACCACTAAGATACTGCATGATAACAGCAACCCCAAGACACATAAATCATCAGATTCTCCAAGGTTGAAATGAAGGAAGAAACTTTAAGGGCGACCAGAGAGAAAGATAAGGTCATTTACAAAGGGAAGCCCATCAGGCTAATAGCGGATCTCACAGCAGAAACCCTACAAGCCAGAAGAGACTGGAGGCCAATATTCAATATTCTTAAAGAAAAGAGTTTTCAACCCAGAATTTCATATCCAGCCAAACTAAGCTTCATAAGTGAAGGAGAAATAAAATTCTTTCCAGACAAGCAAATGGTAAGAGATTTCATCACCAACAGGCCTGCCTGCAAGAGCTCCTCAAGGAAACACTAAATATGGAAAATAAAAACTGGTACCAGCCACACCAAAATATAATGACCAATGACATTATGAAGAAACTGCATCAAGTAGTTTGCAAAATAACCAGCTAACATCATGATGACAGGATCAAATTTACACATAACAATATTAACTTTAAATGTAAATGGGCTAGATGTGCCAATTAAAAGACACAGACTGACAAATTGGATAAAGAGTCAAGACCCATGTGTGTGCTGTATTCAGGAGACCCATCTCACTTGCAAAGACACACATATGCTCAAAATAAAGGGATGCGGGAAAATTTACCAAACAGATAGAAAGCAAAAACAAACAAACAAACAAACAAAATAAAACAAAACAAAAAAAAACAGGGGTTGTAATCCTACTCTCTGATAAAACCAACAAAAATCAAAAAAGACAATGAAGGGCATTATATAATTGGTAAAGGGATCAATGCAACAAGAAGAGCTAAGAATCCTAAATGTATATGCACCCAATACAGGAGCACTGAGATTTATAAAACAAATTCTTAGAGACCTACAAAGAGACTTAGGCACCCACCCAGTAACAGTGGGAGACTTTAACACTCCACTGTCAATATTAGCGCAATGAGGCAGAAAATTAAAAAGGATATTCAGGACTTAAACTCAGCTCTGGAGCAAGTTGACCTAATAGACATCCACAGAACTCTCCACTCCAAATCAACAGAATATACATTATTTTCAGTGCCATATTGCACTTATTCTAAAATTGACCACATAATTGGAAATAAAAGATTCCTCAGCATATGCAAAAGAATTGAAATAATAACAAACAGTCTCTCAGACCACAGTGCAATCAAATTATAACTCAGGATTAAGAAACTCACTCAAAACCACACAACTACATGGAAACTGAACAACCTGCTCCTGAATGACTACTGGGTGAATCATAAAATTAAGGCACAAATCAAGAAGCTCTTTGAAGCCAATGAGAACAAAGAGACAGCATACCAGAATCTCTGGAACACAGCTAAAGCAGTGTTAAGAGGGACATTTATAGCAATAAATGCCCACATCAGAAATCTGGAAAGACTTCAAATCTACACACTAGCATCACAATTAAAAGAACTAGAGAAGCAAGAGCAAACACGTCCAAAAGCTAGCAAAGACAAAGAAATAATTAAGATCAGAGCAGAACTGAAGAAGATAGAGACCAAAATACCTTCAAAAAATCAATAAATCCAGGAGCTGTTTTTTGAAAAAATTAACAAACTAGATAGATGGCTACCTAGACTAATAAAGAAGAAAAGAGAGAAGAATCAAATAGACACAATAGAAAATGATAAAGGGGATAGCACCACTGACCCAACGGAAATACAAACTACCATTGCAGAATACTATAAACACCTCTATGCAAATTAACCAGAAAATCTAGAAGAAATGGATGAATTTCTGGACACATACACTCTCCCAAGACTAAACCAGGAAGAATCTGAATCCCTGAATAGACCAATAACAAGTTCTGAATTTGAGGCTGTAATTAATAGCCTACCAACCAAAATAAAGCCCAGGACCAGATGGATTCACAGCTGAATTCTACCAGAGATACAAAGAGGAGCTGGTACCATTTCTTCTGAAACTATTCCAAACAATTGAAAAGGAAGGACTCCTCCCTAACTCATATTATAAGACCAGCATCATCCCGATACCAAAACCGGGCATAGATACCACAAAAAAAGAAAACATTGGGCCAATATCCCTGATGAACATCGATGCAAAAATCTTCAATAAAATACTGGCAAACCAAATCCAGCAGCACATCAAAAAGCTTATCCACCAATATCCAGTTGATGGATATTGGATTTATGACAAACCCATAGATAATATCATACTGAATGGGCAAAAGCTGGAAGCATTCCCATTGAAAACCAGAACAAGACAAGGATGCCCTCTCTCACCACCCCTATTCAACATAGTATTGGAAGTTCTGGCCAGGGCTATAAGGCAAGAGAAAGAAATAAAGGGTATTTAAATAGGAAGAGAGGAAGTCAAATTGTCTCTGTTTGCAGATGAGATGATTGTATGTTTAGAAAACCCTATCATCTCAGCTCAAAAACTCCTTAAGCTAATTAGCAACTTCATCAAAGTCTCAGGATATATAATTAGTGTGTAAAAGTCACAAGCATTCAAATACATCAACAATAAACAAGCAGAGAGCCAAATCATGAATGAACAATCATTCACAATTGCTACAAAGAGAATAAACTACCTAGGAATACAACTAACAAGGGACGTGAAGGACCTCTTAAAGAAGAACTGCAAATCACTGCTCAAGGAAATAAGAGAAGACCCACACATAAATGGAAAAACATCCCATGCTCATGGTTAGGAAGAATCAGTATTGTGAAAATGGCTGTACTGCCCAAGTAATTTATAGATTCAATCCTATTCCCATCAAACTACCCTTGACATTCTTCACAGAATTAGAAAAATCTACTTTAAATTTCATATGGAACCAAAAGTGAGCCTGTACAGCCAAGACAATCCTAAGCAAAAAGAACAAAGCTGGAGGCATCATGCTACCTGACTTCAAACTATATTACAAAGCTACAGTAACCACAACAGCATGGTACTTGTACTAAAACGGTTATATAGACTAATGAAACAAAAAAGAGACAGCAGAAATAACACCACATATCCTGACAAAAACAGGTAATGAGAAAAGAATTCCCTATTTAATAAATGGTGCTGGGAATACTGGCTAGTCATATGCAAAAAACTGAAACACAACCCCTTCCTTACACCCTATACAAAAATTAACTCAAGATATATTAAAGACTTAAAAGTAAAACCCAAAACCATAAAAACTCTAGAGGAAAACCTAGGCAATGGCATTCAGGACATAGGCATGGCAAAGACTTCATTAAAAAACACCAAAAGCAATTGCAACAAAAGCCAAAATTGACAAATGGGATCTAATTAAACTAAAGAGCTTCTGCACAGCAAAAGAAAACTAGAAACAGAGTGAACAAGAAACCTATAGGATGGGAGAAAAGTTTAGCAACCTACCCATCTGGCAATGGTCTAATATCCAGAATCAACAAGGAACTTAAACAAATTTACAGGAAAAGGAAACAAACCCATCAAAAAGTGGGCAAAGGATATGAACAGACACTTCTCAAAAGAAGACATTTATGCAGCCAACGAACATATGAAAAAAAGCTCAACATCACTGATCATTAGAGAAATGCAAATCAAAACCACAATGAGAGATCATCTCATGCCAGTCAGAATGGTGATTATTAAAAAGTCAGGAAACAACAGATGCTGGTGAAGCTGTGGATAAATAGGAATGCTTTTTCACTGTTGGTGGGAATGTAAATTAATTCAACCATTGTGGAAGACAGTGTGGCAATTCCTCAAGGATCTAGAACCAGAAATACCATTTGACCCAGCAATCCCATTACTGGGTATACACTTATAGGAATATAAATCATTCTACTATAAAGATACATGCACACGTATGTTAATTGTGGAACTATTTACAATAGCAAAGACATGGAACCCACCCAAATGCCCATCAATGATAGACTGGATAAAGAAAATGTGGTACATATAAACTAGGGAATACTATGCAGCCATAAAAAAGAATGAGATCATGTCCTTTGCAGGGATATGGATGAAACCGAAAGCCATGATCCTCTGCAAACTAACACAGAAATAGAAAACCAAACATCACATGTTCTCACTCATAAGTGGGAGTTGAACCATGAAAACATATGCACAAAGGGAGAGAAACATCACACACCAGGGCCTGTCAGGGGTTGGAGGGCAAGGGGAGGGATAGCATTAGGAGAAATACCTAATGTAGATGATGGGTTAATGTGTGCAACAAACCACCATGGCACATGTATATCTATGTAACAAACCTGCACATTCTGCACATGTATCCCAGAACTTAAAGTAAAATAAAATAAAATAAAAACTACTGACTGGCTAATAATAATATATCAATATTGGCTAGGCAGTTATAACAAATGTGCCACGCAACTGCAAGACGGTAATAATACAGGAAACTGAGGGCAAGGAGACAGAGGGAATACTGGGAACTCTTGTGTTTTCTGTTCAAGTTTCTGTAAATCTAAAACTGCTCTAAAATTAAAGTTTATTTATTTAAAAAAATCATACAGCCTTCTAATTCTCAAATCTTGTCTTCTTTTAAACTGCCTTCCACACTTTTTCCAGAGTGTTTTAAAATGCGTATTTTGTCACTCTCTACTTAAAGTCCTCATAACCCTCAACATAAACACAATTAAATTAAAAACAAGTTTAATTTGACTATGTACTAGATGAAGGGAACACTTTGATAAACAAGCCCACCTATGGGATATGGTTTGGTTCGTGTCCCCACCCAAATCTTATCGCGAAGTGCAATTTCCACATGTTGAGGGAGGGAGTTTGTTGGAAGTGATTAGATAATGGGGAAGGTTTCCCCCATATTATTCTCATGATAGTGAGGGAGTTCTCACCAGGTCTGATGGTTTAAAAGTGGCAGTTTCCCCTGTGCGTGCTCTCTCCTCCCGCCATGTAAGACATACCTTGCTTCCCCTTTTGCCATGATTGTAAGTTTCTTGAGGCCTCCCCAGCCATGTGGAATTATGAATCAATTAAACCTCTTTTGTTTATAAATTACCCATTCTCAGGTAGTATGTTTAAACCAGTGTGAAAACAAACTAATACACTATGTTTTCAGTTTCCAATATTTTTAATTTTCAGGAACACTATAAATCTAGTTTTGGTGTCATAGAGCATATTTATTGTTTTGCTATTCTCAAATTACTTTCATGATGCTATATGATCTTGGAAAAACAAGTGTCTCTAAACTTTAGATGTTTGTCTATTGACTATCCTAAAGTGAGCACATACATATTAACACTTTTAACTTTAAAAAACTTCTGTATGTTATTACTGTGCTATTTACTCATTAATGGTTAATTAATCTTTCATGTGCATAAGTCTTGGTTTCAAACAATTTAGTAGGCTCAGCTAAAGGCATAAAACACATATCATACTGATATATGTCAACTTGTCCCTCCTCCCAATAGTCCCCAAACACGTTTGAACTTTTAGTTAATATTATTTTCCTTTGAATTTTTATTTTTAGACAGTTGAGTAGTTGTGATACAATGTTGAACAAATACAGATTTCTTCCCTCTCTGTATTTGTGGAGCTTACCCTCTTGGGCAGGTCAGGAGATAAACATTAAGTAAAAATAGCCATATTTTAAAATTGAATCTATGATAGGGGTCTGAAAAAGACATGAATATTGCTAAGGGATTGTATGATAGGCTGATTTTAACTGAGGATTTTGTCCAAGAAAACATTCTCATGGCAAAGACAAACATAAATACAAGGAGGAATAGGCATAAGCTAAATAATACAAGAAGGCAAAAGATTTCAAGAGAGAGGAAATTCAATTTGCAAAGCTCTGTGTCACAGGAGCAATTGAGCTCAGTAGGGGTCCCTGAAAGTTGACACTGTGGCTGGGACAGAATGAACCCCAGGGCATGATGTGTCATGAGGTTAAAGATTTGAACAGGAAATAGGCTGGACAGGTCTTCTGTTCATACTGAGAAATTTGTCCTTTACATTTTTTTTAAATGTAAGAGTTTTGTTTCCTAGAAATAATGAGAAACACTGGAGCTATTTTAGCAAAGGAGGGCCATATGAAAATCTGTGCTTTATACATCATAGTAACAATAGATAATAACAATATATTTCATAATTGAAAATTGCTAACAAAATAGATTTTAAGTATTCTCAGCACATACAAGAAAATGGTAAATGTTTGAGATAATGCATATGTTAAATAGTTTGATGATATGACTTGGATCTGTGTCCCCATACAAATCTCATGTTAAACTGTAATCCCCAATGTTGGAGGTGGGGCCTGGTGGAAGGTGATGGGATCATGGGGACAGCTTTCTCATGAATGACTTAGCACAATCTACTTGGTGCTGTTCTTGTGATAGTGAATGAGTTCTCCTGAGATCTGGTCGTTTAAAAGTGTGTGGCATCACCCCCTCTGTCTCTTGTTCCACATCTGGCCATGTGATGTGCCTGCTCTTCCTTGCCTTCTGCCATAATTGTAAGTTTCCAGAGGTCTCCCCAGAAGCCAAGCATATGCTGTAACCATGTTCCCTGTACATCCTGAAGAACTGTGAGCCAATTAAACCTCTTTTTTTTTTACAAATTACCCAGTCTCAGGTATTTCTTTATAGAAATGCCAGAATGGCCTAGTACACTTGACTTTGTTATTCCACAATGCCTACATATTGAAACATCATATTGTACACCATAAATATACATATATATGTGTGTGTATAACATCAATTACAGTAAATTTAAAAAATCTATGTTTTTATAAAATCACTCTCGTTGTAATTTGAAAAATAATTTCAAGAGAGGAGCATGAGAAACTTGAGGATACTAGTACACTAATTCAAACATGAAGTTGGTAGAAGAACCTTGATTTTTCTTAACTCACTCTACTCAATATTGAAATCTTTTAGAAAGTGACCCAGGCAATTCATCCCTAATGGTATTCTCCTTGTCATTAGAAGATGATGGGAATAGTTTACCATAAGGAGAATTGCTTCTCACTGTATGGCATATCTCTTTTATTATTCTAATTCATAACAGATAGTGCAGTCATGTGACAAATATCTTGTTAGTGACAAAAACAAGTTATGATCAGATGAATTCTCATATCTCATCTGCTTTTTCTTGTGTATTTGAATATGCCTCACTTTGTTTCATAATGAGCTCTCATAGAGTTCTCCTGTGTATTGTTGCTTCTATCATGGCTATATTTAAAAAGAATATTTGGAAGGAATATCTACAGATTGCATATCCAAAAGAGACAAAAATTACAATAGTAAGCAGACACTGATAAAGTCAAGGACAGTAACATATTTAAGACTGATTGCAAAACGTATCCAAGAAAATGTAATCTATAGAAATGATTCTGAGGGCAGGAAAAGGAGAATGGTGGCTTTACCATGCTTTTGCTGGTGGTAAGAAAGTTTCTTAAATTATGTGGGCAGGGTACAATGTATTTGGATTTTTTCTGTAATGTACAAAATTCTTGCTTGGGAAAATTTATTAAAATTGCATCCTCCTGTAAGTGAATATTTAAACTATGATTCATTATAGCAGTATTTCTTATTTTTTTATTCTGTTCCTTTATCTGCAATTTTAATCAATGATTATTCTTTCTTCATTTTTGCTTTGTTTTAACTTTCTTTTTACAGTTTTATTTAGAGAAGGCTTTCTCTACATATAAATGATAAGTTATATGTTGTCCTTGGGAAAATGTATACTCTAGGCTTCCCCTCTCACTGCCCACTACATTTGCCCAGGGCATTCATTCATTCACTCATTTTGGTTTTGTCTTGACCCTTAAAGTTTGGTGTTTAATGTCAGAGGTTTTCAGCCCTTGTTTGGAGGCATCATATGATTAAATTTTTGATTTATTTTTTTGTATATATTATGAATTATTTTGTTAAACCTGAATCCATTAGAAGAGAGTTTGCTTTAACATTCTGAAACCAAATTTATCTTCAATAGTGTCATATCATTTTTCTCTGTAGTTTAAGTGTTAATGGTCAAATAAAAAAGTGCCATCATCTGGTATACAGATTTAAATTAATTCCATTAATTTAATGAGTATCTTAGTCAATGTGGGCTGTTATAACAAAATACTATAGACTACATGGCTTAAAAACAACAGAAATTTATTTCTCATAGTTTTGGAGGGTGGATGTCAGAGATTAGGGTGCCAGCATGGTTGGATTCTGGTGAGGACCAACTTCCAGGATTTAAACTATGGATTTCTCTTTATAGTCTCACATGATGGAAAAATAAGGCCAGAGAGCTCTCTAGTATCTCTCTTTATAAGGACACTAATTCCATTCATGAGATTTCTACCCTCATGACCTAAATTACTTCTCAAAGGACCCACCTACTAATATTGTCATCTTTTTACCATATAAATTGCGGGGGGTCAGGGGGGATGAACTCTGTCTACAAAAATGAGGTTTTCTTACTCTTGACATATTTTTAAAAAGAAAGAAACTTTAAAAGGTATTTCATTTCATTTTTACATCAAATCCAATTAAGTGTCAGTAAGCACAATATTTCAGTCTAGTTTCTTTTTCTTGTTTAGAGATCAAATATATTTAGGAAATTTATTTCAATACACAAAGTGTCATTACTCTCAGGAATCTACTGATGTCAAATGTGCATGTGTTTCATGGACATAAGGGCATAAATGTCTTCAAACTGGCCACTCGAACTTGATCTCTGATATTTTTGGGTCACTCTTAGAAAATAAAATTTCTTCCAAACTATTCTCATCAAAAAAGAACATTGGGTTTGTAATTATTCTGTATAGTATATTATAACAACAACAATAATAAAGCCTCTAAACCTTGCAAAAATGACATGATTATTACAATAGACACAGAAAAAGCATTTGACAAAATCCGACATCCCTTTATGACAAAACCCTCAGCAAAATCAGTATAGAAGGAACATAACTTAATGTAATAAAAGCCATCTCTGACAAACCCACAACCAACATAATATTGAATGGGAAAAAGTTGAAAGCATCTCCCCTGAGAACTGAAACAAGACAAGGATGCCCACTCTCACCACTTCTATTCAACGGAGTGCTGGAACTCCTCGGTAAAGAGGAAGCCAAACTCTCGCTGTTTGCTGATGATATGATCATATACCTAGAAAACCCTAAAGACACCTCTGAAAAGCTCCTAGAACTGATCAATGAATTCATCAACGTTTCAGGATTAAAAAAAGCAATGTATATAAGTCAGTAGCTCTGCTATACACCAACAGTGACCAAGCTGAGAATCAAATCAAGAATTCAACCTTTCTTTACAATAGCTGCAAAAAAATACATAATACTTAAGAGTATACCTAACCAAAGAGGTGAAAGATTTTTTACAAGGAAAACTATAAAACACTACTGAAATAAATTGTAGACAACACAAACAAATGGAAACAGATCCCATGCTCATGGATGGGTAGAATCAATATTGTGAAAATGACCATACGGCCAAAAGAAATCTGGAAATTCAATGGAATTCCCATCAAAATACCATTATCTTTCTTCACAGAAGTAGAAAAAACATTGTAAAATTTATATGGAACCAAAAAAGGGCCCGCATAGCCAAAGCAAGACTAAGCAAAAATAATCAATCTGGAGGCACCACATTACCTGACTACAAAATATTATAAGCTATAGTCACCAAAGCAGCATGGTACTAGTATAAAAATAGGCAAATAGACCAATGGAACAGAATAGAGAATGCAAAAATAAGGCCAAATACTTACAGAAAACTGATCTTCAGCAAAAGAAACAAAACCATAAAATGAGGAAAGGACACCCTATTCAACAAACGGTGTTGGGATAATTGGCAGGCCACATGTAGAAGAATGAAACTGTATCCTCATCTCTCACCTTACAAAAACCAACTCAAGATAGATCAAGGACTTAAATCTAAGACCTGAAACTATAAAAATTCTAGAAGATAACATCATAAAAACTCTTCTAGACATTGGCTTAGGCAAAGACTTCATGACCAAGAACCCCAAAGCAAATGCAACAAAAACAAAGATAAATAGATGGGACTTAATCAAACTAAAAAGTTTCTGCACAGCAAAAGAAACAATCAACACAGTAAACAGACAGCCCACAGAGTGGGAGAAAATCTTCACATTCTATACATCTGACAAAAGACTAATATCCAGAATCTACAAGGAACTCAAATAAATTAAGAAGAAAAAAATAAACAATCCCATCAAAAAGTGGGCTAAGGATATTAATAGACAATTCTCAAAAGAAGATATACAAATGGCCAGCAAATGTATGAAAAAATTCTCGACATCACTAATGATTAGGGAAATGCAAATGAAAACCACAATGTGATACCATCTCAGTCCTCCAGGAATGGCCATAATCAAAAAATAATAGATATTGGTGGGGATGTGGTGTAAAGGGAACACTTTTACACTGTTGGTGAGAATGTAAACTAGTACAACCACTGCGGTTAAAGGTGAACAATGTGGAGATTCCTTAAAGAACTAAAAGTAGAACTACCATTTGATCTAGCAATCCCACTACTGCATATCTACCCAGAAGAAAAGAAGTCATTATACACAAAAGATACTTGTACACGCCTGTTTTAGTGGTACATTTTGTAATTGTGAAAGTATGGAACCAGCCTAAATGCCCGTCAATCAATGAGTGGAAAAATAAATTGTGGTATATATATATATACCATGGAGTACTACTTAGCCATAAAAAGGAACAAAATAATGGTATTCACAGCAATCTGGATGGAGTTGGAGATCATTATTCTAAGTGAAGTAACTCAGAAATGGAAAACCAAACATTGTATGTTCTCAGTCATAAGTGTGAGCTAAGCTATGAGTATGCAAAGGCATAAGAATCATACAATGGACTTTAGGGACTCCAGGGAAAGGCTGGGAGGGGAGTGAGGGATAAAAGAATACAAATTGGGTACAGTGTATGCTGCTCAAGTGACAGGTGCACCAACATCTTAGAAATCACCACTAGATAATTTATTCATGTAACCAAACACCACCTGCTCCCCAAAACCCTATGGAAATAAAAAATAATAAATGAAACAGTACCTAGAATATGGTGGGTGCTCAATGAATATTGGTTGGATGAATTAAAAAAATTTCCAACTATGACCAATATAATTGGTTGCTTTTATGGTATAAATATAGAGTCCTTAAAAGGGCCCATTATATGGTAAGACCTGGTTTTTGAAGAGTTCTCTCCCAATATTGATTATTTTACCACTAATAGTTTGAGTCCTACTTGTCACCCAGGTTCTTGTCTGTAAAGCCCAGGATTTCATATTTGGAACATATAAAATATGCAAATAATTAACATATTTAATGTATAAAACTCTTAAATAAAAAGATAACTAACAGAAGGAAGGAAAGAGAGAAAGAAAGAAAGGTAGATAGAAAGAAAGAGAAAGACAGAAAGAAAGAAAAAGAAAGAAAGAAAGAAAAAGAAAGAAAGAAAGAGAAAGAAAGAAAGAAAGAAAGAAATCTCTTTCTTTTGGAATGACTGCCTGCAGTAGACAAATGAATGGGTTCTCTATGTATAACTTACCTGAACCAATATGGCATTGGTTTCCTCTGGATGTGGCAGAGGTTTAAAGCTGACCCTTTTTTAGAGATATTTTTGTGGGTTCCTTAGAAAATTCCTTCATCACGAGGATTTCTGGTCTCTACATTCCTTGACATATACAAGTATATTTCCACTAGCCCATCAATCAAGATTGCTTTCACATCTCCTGGTCATTTGGCAATACTCTTCTCACCTCTTTCAGCTGAAGTCCATTTGCCCCGTCTTTTGAACCTCTTTGCAGGATCTAAACCAACTCTGGCCAAATTTCTCCTATGCACATAGAACATGTGCCCCATTTGATCTGCCATCAGTAGGAGTGCAGTTATTTTCAATTATACCCTGCTTTTCATTTAGCTGCACAGCAGGTAGTTTAGCTACAGCCTTTTGCCCTTTTAAAATTCTCACTTGCAAGTCTGACCCTCATCCAGTATGTCACTAGACTGCTGGGAATACAATCAACCTAGTTGAGTTATCTCTTTGAAATGACTCTCACCAAAATTAAGGTCAGAAGACAGTCATCCCACCCCAAGCCCCTAGGGAGATGGCACTCATAGCAGTGCTCTTGTCAAAGAAATACTTTAATTCCCAACTTAACTGTGGGCTTTTCCAAATTCTCTGACAGGCTGGAGATGGTTGTCAGATAAGAGCAGTAAAGCAGACAAATTCTTGCTCCCTTTCTCGGCAAGTTAATATGGTCTTTCACCTCATGTTAAAATATTGGTTTCATTTTGAGATAGAGACAAGCCAATATTGAGATAGAGTCTAATTTTATATATTAGTGGGCACTGTGTATATGTGTGTGTGTTTAATGTAGAAGACTGATTTTATTTACCCTCCACATAATGAGGTACCAAACCGATGCATGAGAAGATTCACTACTGAAATGATGCATGGCTTCCAGTGGTTTTCTGTGTTTACAAACCTATGAAACATGCTGATCTCTTGCTAGTGTCTGCTAGGCCAATTCCAAGCAAGAGCTGTGAGTAAGCTTTGTTAGGAATATAGCAGGGCAGAAAAACAAAGAATGAATAAATGGGGTACAAATGGAAGACAACAATACTACTGGGCTCAAATTCCAAGTTCTTACCTTAAGGAAATGTAAAAGGAATTCACTTAAATTCCATGGAGAAAAATCATAAACTTTTTAAGGATTATCTCAAAAATCAGGTAATAATTCATATTCACAAGATGGCTAGGAAGAGTAAACACAATAATATAAATAAAAGTATTCTATAGAATGCAAAATGCAGCCTTTATGGACATTAGAAATCCTGGCATGCTCTTATGCACAGGGAAGAACTGCTGAAGATATTAAATAAATGAAGACAAAATATGATAATCTGATAAAAATATATGTGATGGATTGGAGTAAGTGCAGACTGGAGGCAGGGAAACCAGTTGGGAAGCCATTATAATATTTTATTCATATAATAACAAGTAATATATAAATAGGGGTAGAAATTAGAGAGAAAGAAAATACGCTATTCATTTGTGCAGAAACAGAAAATGCAATAGAGGATAGACCTTACAATATTTCTTGGATAATTTGGTGTCATCTAAACGTTACAGACCACAGGCTCTTAGGCTCCCCATGTAATGGCAATTAATACGGGGCCAGGCTGATTTCCCAGATAAGGCTTTTATTTGTGGCTTGTACTCAAATGCAAGGGAGACAGCAGAGGTGCAAGGGTTCTCTGGCTGGCTCCCCAAAAAGAGTCAGTAGGGATTTTTATATCTGCAAAGTATGGGAATTCACATCAGGGGTAAGATATGCAGGCTGGGCTGGTCAAAGCACATGAAGAGTAGGGGATGCAGGTCAGTAAGTGGTTGTGGTGGTTCTCTTGAGCAATGAGCCACCTGGTGGTCTGGTTAGCAGCAACAAGGCTGTGAATAAATTGTTCAGCATTCCTTCCCAAGGTGGGACACTCTGGAACCTTGAATCGATTTTGGATCTCCTAAGGCCAGTTTTTGAAATTCTTTAAGTAAACGTCATGACTAAACATTACGGGAACACAAAAGAATGATATAGATTGGCTATTTTCTTTGTGTGACTATTAACGGGTATGACATCAGTGAGGTAGTGGTGTGGGTTTTGTGATCCGTGGGAATGCTCTAGCTGGGGTGAGCTAAAGCCAAGCCCTGTCCTTACTTTGTCTCCAAATGCTCGCAATGTGTTTGAAAGTATGCTATGAGCTACAGCAAAGGGAGTGAACAGATAAAGTTGCCATCTCACAGGTACTCCTTTACCACTCACTATCCACTAATGTGTTTGCAGCTTCCCAGTGGAAACCCTAGATCTCTTTATGGCCACAGAAAGTGTTTGGTCCATGCTTGGGACAAGTTGAAAGCATCTAGGAATTAGTGCAGCATGCAATAGCCCTCATCCAATATGAGAGGGACATTGGTGAATAAAAAGCCAGTCCTCTGCACTCAGTGAATGGGTAACCCTGAAGGCTTTCTAGGCTGTCTTCCAGCATTTGTGCAGGTTGCCCTGACAATAACCTGCCAATAAAAGCTGCCAATATTGACTTCCTTCCCTCCCATGTTTCATTTCCTCATTCCCCTACCAGTGTTGTCTAATATCACTTCTTAAGTAAATTAACTACCTGCATCCAAAGCTTATATTAGGGTCTAATTCTGAGGAACACAATCTGTGATGATGAGAGATGAGGGATGGCATCCCCTGATTCCTGATCTTAAGGTGTCTCTATAATTTACTAGAGGGGTAAGAGTAATTCGTTGCTTCTTCTCTTATATTTAGTTGTTTATCCATCTTAATAGATCATAATTTCCTTGGGAAAAGAATCTATGTATTACTCACCTGTGGCTTCTTTAGCAAGTGGCATATTGTGTTGCCCAGAAAAATGCACAGTAGTATTTGTTGAAAGGACAAGCTATAAAGAACTAAAAAGCTTCTTTACTACAAGCACTGCTCTGGGGTTGCTGTAATAAACTGATAACCTTTGCATTCAAACCTTTCTCACATGATTTTCCTGCTGGGCTAGTGTACTTTATTCAGGAAATGGACTTTCCTATGCTTTCTTTTGAATCTAGGCAATATTATTGTTATGCATATGCAGGAACTCAACAGAACAAAACACACAACTGCCCAGAGTTAGGTTGATAGCAGATTAATCATAGCTCTTTTTCTGTGGCCTTTAGTACATATTGACAAAGTCATAAGTTAAAGCCAGACTTTCAAATGTAAAGCAAAATTGTTTCCTATTACTGACTAAACGATTGTTGTGTTAGGCATTTCAGACTGATAGTTCATTCTTCAGTGATTGGTTTACTGTTCTATGCATGCACTTTCAGGAATACATCCAAATTCCAACAGGAAAACAAGCCTTACTGTGACTTGAATGAAGCTGGAATTCTATTCTTAGTTGAGGACACTAATGTGAACATAAAACAGATTTAGAACCCCAAATTGGCAGAAAGTATTCCCTAAAGATTACTCAGTACAGTCTGCCATATGCAGCAATCTCTCAATTCATGTGCTTTCTTTGCTTGATTGAGAGCTGGCTAACGAGGTGGCAGCAATCCAGTCAGTTGATATGAAGAACAGAAACACCATGCACACAGGTCTACAACACGAAGACGTTCTTCAGATGATTGTTTTACCTTCAGACAATAAAATTATGCTAACATATTTAGCAAAATATAATTTAAAATAAGAGAAAATAAAGTTGAATATGACATATATAAGTTTTATTTAATAGGCTATAAATCTAGCATATGTGTGAAATAATCATTTCTAATCACCTCACTACAAAGAAAGAACAATATTTATTTATAGGTTGTTTTATGGTTAGATGATCCTTTTTAAAAAAGCAGGCAAATGAATACATTGACAATTCTACTTTCCAATGGGTTGGAAAAAATATTATTTTTCTATCAGAGTAAATTTTTAGGGTTGGACAACCTCTGTAGGCATGCTGGACCACTCCTCATGATAGAAGTACCTGAAGCTGTTTCCAGGATCAGCAGGTCTCTGCAGCTTTTCCTGAAGATACAAGGTTGCTGAATGGCCCAGGTATAGTGTCTAACCTCCTATTTCCATAGTCTCACAAAAGTGCTGTGCTCATCTGAAGTCGGATTAGTGGCCCCGTTCCTGCATCCTTAGGCTGCAGTCATTAAGGAACCACTGCGGCCTCTCTGCAGCTGGCTCAGAGCATGTGGGATTTTTCCCAGGGTCTTTTTATAAGTGCAACTAGTTGAAAAGTGAATTTTCTCTTGCAGTATGCATCCAAACAGAGTAAGTGAGGTGGAAAAGGGAGCAAATCACTTAGTTTTCTGTGAAAACTTAGAGTATATTATCAAAGCTTAAACCCATAATTGACTTTCTTGTCCACACTTTCTTAAAAGCCTTAACATATCATAGTTGGGGGGAAAGGCTTTTATCTTGACAGTAGAACTGGAAGAGAAGTGTTACTAGAGAGGAGAGGGAAAAGGTCAGAATTCTTGGTTTTACTTAAGTGAAAAATTATTCACTAAGGAGTAGAGACTTCCTTTTAGAAAACTACAGAGTCATTCTTTCAGCTGTGTCATTTTGTAGTCGTTGTACTGAGCTTTAATTTTCTTTCTTTCTTTCTTTCTTTTTTTTTTTTTTTTTTTTTTTGAGACAGAGTCTCCCTCTGTCACCCAGGCTGGAGTGCAGTGTTGCAATCTCGGCTGCCCAGGCTGGAAGATGAGGCTGAAATTTCTATGTATTCCAGTGTTACACATATCAATTTTTATCCAGCTGGTAAATGTTTGAGTTTGGATTTATTAAAGTTAACTTGTATAAGAGAACCTTTTCTAGGGACTTATGTTCACTTAATAAAAGTTAAAAATTAAATTTGAGTGATGTAGACAGTCCAATTATATCATAGTCATAGAGTTAACATAAGTTTTGAGCCAAAAGCATTTTCAAAAATTATGCATTATAAATTTATAATTGAAAAAATCAGAAATTTATAGCCCAATATAATTAAGTGATTTCCTGGGTGATAACAAAACCAGAGTTAGAAACTTGATTCTCAAGCAAGCTTTCTGCCCCTTTCTGTCTGAAAGGTGACAGAAAAAAAGTTACTGTCTATGGGACATAATTTTTTCCCTCACTTTGTATGCAAGACTTAGGGAAATTTAGAAATTCTGAATATTGTATTAAGAAATGGTGAATTTCTACTCAGAATCCATGTTGTTTAGAGATTAAACTAGTAATTACAAAGGAATGGATGGTATAGGCTTCCACAGAAGGTCATGACTGATCCACGAAAGAGCAAAGCCTGACATTTTATCTCCATGAATGTGGGAGAATGAAGATACTATGAGATTCAGGGAGAAAGAATTATAATATAATGATATCCTTAGGCTAAAGAGTTAGCGGGACATCCCTGAAGTGCTACCTATACAGTTTCCATAATATCCGTCCAATTATGAACATTTTAAGAAACTCATGTGGGTAGAGAAGTCAAATTTCCAAAACCAAGATTAGTGATTTTATGGCACATGGCTCACCATAAAGAAACACATGTACACACACATAGACATATACATAAAAATGTACACACACATGCGGACACATATATAACAGAAGCAAATAAGATTTTGTTTTAGCAGATTACCCCACTATTATGGTAACTTGTTATTAATCATAACTCATTCTCTGTTTTAGTGTTGAGTGTTCTTTGCCTTCAGGAGTGGTTTACAGAGAGTATTGCCAGTTGACAAGAATATGTATTTTCCGAGGTATTTAAGTTGGAGGTAAATTTATGTAAAGTGGGAGATTGCAGAATATTAAGAAATTTTTTTTAAAAAATTTCAATAATTAATACTTGCACAATTGTTTATAGTTTATCCAATGGTTTGATGTGCAGAATCTTATCTAAAGAATCAGGGTCAATGTACAGCCATTGCTCAGGGAAGAAACACTAATTGATATGTTGACATGTATTCTGTTAATTTGGTACCCTCCTCCCTCCCTCCCTTCCCTCCCTCCCTTCCCTCCTCCCTTCCTTCTTTCCTTCCTTCCTCCCTTCTTTCCTTACTTCCTTTCCTTCTGCTTACTATGGCTTGCTCAATGAAGATGAGCAAAGAACTCCAGTGTTCCCGATAAATATGCCAAACTGCAGTGCTCTTTGTTGTGATCAGCATTTTTAAAGGTAGGTTTAAAAATTCAGATTGAAGCAAAGCTCATACTTTATAGAGAAGTGGTAGCAGTGACAGCCTCAAATTGTGAGATTTGGCCCAAGTAATTCAAATCACATGTTTTAATCTCAGTTTTATTTGCATGGGCTACAGGCTATAATTAACATCAAGTGGCAAGACAGGATCACATACAGTAGAGTCCTGGAGTACAGTCAGGTCACCAACATTGAAACAAGCTTTCTGCTACTTAACTATTCAAGACTAGGTCTCTGTGGCCACAGAGAAATGACTAAGGGAGTATTTAATGACCAATTATGTGAGGAGGATAAAGAGGGGTGGACTTTCACCACTAAATGTAGTGGTAAGTGAGATTGTATTTTATTTTGATACCTTCTAACTTCTTTTTCAATGCTTGATGCCTAAATTATTTTGTAATCTGGCCTTTGCCAACTTAACTTCTCATAGAATTCTACCATATACCCAAGGCATACAGACATAACATGAAAACTCCCTGCCAAAAACAAAACAAATTCTACTTCATAGGTAAGAATGTTTCACACATGCTCCTTCTTTTCAATAACTCTCTATATTCTGGAACTAATGCTTAATCATCCTCAATAATCAACTCAATTGTTGCCACTCCTGGAATGGTTTTCCCAAGCATGCCCCAGGCTGAGTTAGGTTCTGCTATGATTTGAATGCTTCTGTTACCCCAAAATTCTTATTTTGAAATGTAACCTTCAAGGTAATGTTATTATGAGGTGGGACTTTTCAGAGGTGATTATGTCATGAGGGCAGAGCCCTCACGAATCCAATCGGTGCCCTTATAAGAGCGAGAGGCCAAAAAGAGTCTGTTCATCTTTTCCACCTTGTGAAGACACTGAGAAAAAGCAGCCATCTATGATCCAGAAAAATGGGAACTTACCAGACATTGAATCTGCCAGCACATTGACCTTGGATGTCCCAGTCTCCAGAACTGTAAGAAATAAATTTCTGTTGTTCATAAGCCACCCAATTTATGGTATTTTGCTATAGTAGCCAAGTAAACTAACAGAGGTTCGCTGCTTTTATTGCATTTATGGCACTGAACCATTCTTATCTAAGTGTAACTACAAATCTGAGTTTTTCTATTACTTCTCTATTATTATTTTATAGCATACTGTCTGACATATATAAAGGGACCTATAAGTGCCTATCTAATAAATTCATGAGGGCTGGGCACAGTGGCTCATGCCTGTAATCCCCACACTTTGTGGGGCAGAGGCAGGCGGATCACCTGAGGTCAGGAGTTCAAGAGCAGCCTGGCCAACACAGTGAAACCCGTCTCTACTGAAAATACAAAAATTAGCCAGGTGTGGCGGTGGGTGCCTGTAATCCCAGCTACTTGGGAAGCTGAGGCAGGAGAATCACTTGAACCTGGGAGGCAGAAGTTGCAGTGGGCCGAAATCATGCCATTGCACTCCAGTCTGGGTGACAAGAGTGAAACTCCATCTCAAAAAATATAAATGAAATAAAATAAAATAAAAATAAATACATACTCCCTCCTTCTTCTGTACAGTCCCATTCTTCTGTGCCAAATACCTAAATTGTGTTCAGTTCATACAAGTTGTTTCTAGATCAAAAGTTATAAGCCTTCATATATCTAAGCAGTATGCATATTTCAGACTTAGGGTACTTTTGAAGTTTGGAAAGTCTCTAAAAAAGAAATGATAGATGAGACTTGGAATATTTTTGAAGTGGTGGCATTTGCAAGCTCGTTTTCTTTAATCTGTAAAGCAGAGGGTAAATTTCTATCTTCCAAATGAATTGTTGTAATTACTGAATTCAGATTGAATGACACTGTGTCCTCTCAGAAACAACTCATCCTCAGAGGATGCCTGAGGTAATCTGTAGATAATTGCTTCTAGCTGGGTTGGTTTAATCATATGCACGCCTTGGGCCCCAGACCCTAGCTCTTGAAATGTTAGTTGCTCCTCAAGAGCCTTCTTCATTGCTTTAATGGGATGTGAATGAGATTATCTCTCAGGACTGCTCTTCCTGGTACTGTATCCGCGTGCTGCATAATTGAATCTGCAAGTGGTTTTGGTAGGACTAAATCAAACCGTAGAGATTCTACAGGGTGTGTTTCTTATGTACTGTAATCTATTGCCAGGAATTCTTTGTCAGTGACATTTGAAATCTGCCCTTAATATTTTTGTAACATGTGGGGAAGCAGTTTCATTGATAGGGTCATTTTCTTTAGCCGTTATGAGAATCATTCAGGTTTCGCCAAAAGATATCATTGGAATATAATTTCCACAAACTGGGGAAATGCACCTTCATGTAATTGATGGGTAGTTATTACTCATTTTAAAAGTATTCAAGCTAATAAATGAAAAAGGGCTTATAAAGTTATGTCATCATATCACCATTTTGCAGCACTAGTAAAATAATGTATCTAAGCAATTATCATCAATGGCTACTAATATCATGAAGACATAGGCAGCACAACATCATGCAAATTCTGATTGAAGTACAGCTATAAAATATTCATGGCCAAACAAAATCAAGCCTGGATATGACCAAGTCTATAGCCCTAATCACCAATGAAGATAAAATATATAGGAAAATATATGCTGAATCTTGAGAATATGATATGTAAAATGTAGGCTGTGTAACTCTTAACAAGTCAGTAAAATATAGGACAAGCAACCTAATTTTTCAAACAAATAACTTGCAGAAAAAAACTAAGAGGTACAGGAGCCTAAAGATCAATATTACCTGGGAGAGTTAAAATGTAAGTCACAAATGTAAATCACATGCTGATTTTAAATTTCCTCTTAGCCACATTAAATTTTGAAGTGGTGAAATATGAGATTTTTCTTTTTGCAAGAAATTGACTTACAGGATTATGGGAACTCACTAGACAAGTCTAAGAACCAACGGGCAGCTCAGCAGGCCAGAAACTCTTGGATAGGAGCTCATACTGAAGTCTAGTGGTAGAATTTCCTCTTCCTCTCAGTTTTACTATTAAGCCCTTACAACTGACTGGGTGAGGCGTACTCAGATTATTTAGGACAGAATAGTCTTCTCTACTAAGTCAAATTTTTGCGTATGCTAATGACATTTATAAAATACATTTACAGCACACCTAGATTAATACTGAATTAAAAAACTGGATACTACAGCCTAGTCAAGTTGACACATAAAACTAGCCAAGTTGATACATAAAACTAGCCATCATACTAACAAACCATTTATGGGGAAGTAGTATTGATAGACTGAAATTTGGGTTCTAGAGTTACTCATTGCTATTAGTTGGTTACTGTTTATAGGTCCTTTTAGCAGACAGAGTTAGAAAATACATATTTTTTAAAAGATAAAATAGGTTTAAACTGATACTTCATATTCAAATTCAGAACCGTATGCTTCTATTTAACCTTACAAATTTTACTGTACATTTTATCTTCTTTCTGTTACAATGGTCATCCCAATTACTGCATTAGCATGGAGAAATATTCATTTCCTTCATCCACAAATACACACTTAGCTTTAGAATCACTATCCCAAACCTACCACCAAGAATGTGATTACTGAATCTATTTACAAATATTTATTGCAGTGCTTTAGGTCCTTGGAATATATCTCATTATGGATGTGCAGTCAAAACACTGTGAAAAAAAAAAAGCTTAATTTTTTGAGTAATGTTAAGTTCACAGCAAAATTGACCAGAAAGTACAGAGACTTTTCATGTCTCAACCTCACTATTGTGTGTATGGGTTGGAAGGAGGAAGTACACTGTTGACATCCTGCATCAGAGTGATACATTTGTTACAAACAATGAGCCTACATCTATAAATCATTATCACTCAAAGCCCATAGCATATATTAGAGTTTACTCTTGATGTTGTACACCCTATGGGTTTGACAAATGTACAATGATATGTATCCACCACTGTAGTATTGTACAGAATAGTTTCACTACCCTAAAAATACCCTTTGCTCTGCTTATTCATCTATCTCCCCCTCCAATCCTTGGCAACCACTTATTTTTTTATTACATTCATAGTTTAGACTTTTCCAGATTTCATATAGTTGGAATCATGCAGTATGTAGTCTTTTCAGATCGGCTTTTTTAAAACTTAATATTCACTTAATAATACACATTTGCATTTCCTTTATGTTTTTTCATGGCTTAATAGCTCATTTTTTTAATGCCTAATAATATTCCGTTGTATTAATTGTTGTCTTTCAGAGAAACAGAACCAATTATATTCTGCAATTTACAAATCCTTTCCCTCTCTCTCTCTCTCTCTCTGTCTGTCTCTATTTCTCTCTCAATTATACGTAGATGATTAATGTTGTTATGGAAGCTGGAGGCTGAGAAGTCCCATTATCTGCCACCAGTACGAGCCAGAATCCCAGGAAAACTCATGGTATA
Source organism: Homo sapiens (assembly GCF_000001405.40). Lineage (NCBI taxonomy): Eukaryota > Metazoa > Chordata > Mammalia > Primates > Hominidae > Homo > Homo sapiens. Next base: position 72,854,245 of record NC_000001.11, read on the forward strand.
ATTTCAACCTGAATCCAGAGGCCTGAGAACGAGGAGAGCCACTGATATAAAGAATCCTATACTGACAAAGAAGACTTCTTTAACACTGACAAAGAAGATTCACCAGAATTTAGGGCTCAATGTTTCCAGCTTCATCAAGGTCTTCCAACACATCTCTGTGGCAATTATAGGATAGCATTTTTTTTTGCTCAATAAGTACTCTCATGTTAAAATACACATCTTGTGAGTCTGTGAGTTCAACTTGTATTGTAATTTAACCACTTAGAAGATGAGATTTTGTGTTTGATTTTCAGCTACTCAGCCCTAAGTCTATAGGAGATAAGGCTCTGTTTAAAAGCAATGATAGAAGTTTTCAGGTTATTTATGTGGTGCTTGAGTTGGAAATTTGTATCCCTGAGCTCACTCTTTTCTTTGACACTTTGTCCAGCCATATAAGTAGCAACAAAATGATCTATCTCATTAAATTCATGATTTTTAAAGAAATGTTCAAAATATCATATACCATTTTCTAGCTTCTGGCTTTTTGTACATAGTTGCTTAGGAATATCAAATAGAGATTTGGCATATTTCTATTGCCATATTGTATATAATAGTTCATATCCATGAACTATTAGTGCCCTCTTTGCAACTGGAAATATAATTATAGCATCTCAACTTTAATCAGAAAAGGAAGCCAATATGGAATATTGGGGTTTATGGAAACCCCAAATATCAATTCAAAAAGCTCGTTTTCAATATTTTGTTACGCTAAAGCCACCTTTGGTTCCAAAACCACTGTATCTATATATCTATATCTGTATGTATATATATACTGAGATTTTAAATATATACTGAGAAGTCCCATTATCTATAGTTGGAGACACAAGAGATCCTGTAGTATAGTGTCAGTCTGAATTCAAAGGCTTAAGAACCAGCAGAAGTGCTGGTATCAGTTACAGTCTGAGTCTGAAGGCCTGAGGACTGGGAGCACTGATGGTGTAAGTTCCAGTCCAAGGGTAGGAGGAGACAAATGTACCAGCACCATCAGGCAGGCATAGAGAGTGGAAATTCTCCCTTTCTGTGCTTTTTAAATTTTATTCACACCCTCAATGGATTGAATGATGCCCATTCACATTGGCGATGTTAATGTGCTTTATATAGTCCACAAATTTAATGCTAATTTTATTCAGAAACACCCTCACAGACACACCCAGAAAGAATTTTTAACCAAATATCTGGGGCACCATATGATCTAGTCAAATTAATACATGAAATTAACCATCAGATTCATTGTCTGATGTACTGCAGTTTATTTATTCATTCACCTCCTGAAGGACATCGTGGTTGCTTCCAAGTTTGGGAAATTTTGAATAATTACTACCAACATTCATGTGCAGGTTTTGGTGTAGACATGTTTTCAATGTATTTGGTTACTAAAGAGCATGATTGCTGGATCATATCATCAGAGTATCTTTAGTTTGGTAAGGAACTGCCAAAGTGGCTATACTATTTTTCATTTCCACCAGCAGTGGGTGAGAGACATTTAGGTCTGTGATCTATTTTGAGTTAGTTTTCATGAAGGCTGTAAGTTCTTTATCTGGATTCATTTTTTTTTAAATGTGTTGTTCTAACACCGTTTGTTGAAAATATTATCTTTGAAACATATATATTATTGTCTTTACTCCTGGAGCTTATAGTAAGTCTTGAATTTGAATAATGTCAGTCCTCTGCCTTTTCCTTCAATATTAAGTTGGTTATTCTTGATTTTTTGCTTTCCATATACATTTTAAAATTAGTTTGTTGATGTCCACAAAATAACACTGGGATTTTGATTGGGATTGCATTGAATCTATATGCCAAGTTTGTAAGAACTGACATCTTGGCAACATTGAGTCTTTATATCCAAGAACATAAAATATCCGTGCCTTTATTTACTTATTTGATATATTTATTATAGTTTTGTAGTTTTCCTTATATAGATTTTTTCTGTGTGATTTAATGTTTTAATCATAGTAAACGTTGGTTATGCATTTAATGAAACTAAACATTCTTTTTCCCAGCTGAGCAAAAGACCCGTGAGCACAAGGCTTATTAACATATTTTACACATTCACTTTTTAGCATACGTGTAATGTATAAAATTCATATTTTTCTTTTTAAAATTTCATTTTATTCTAAATTAACAAGTAATAATTCTATATAAATTTTATGTGGTACAATGTGTTGTTACAATTCATATAGATCTTGCACATATTTTGTTATGTTAATACATTAGTACCTGATTTTTGGTACTGCTAATAAAGATGGCAAATTATTTTTAAATTCAAATGCTCGTTGTTCATTGCTAGTATGTAAGAAAGTGATTGACTTTTTATGTTAAACTTATATCTTGCAATCTTGCCATAATCACATTAATTTCAAGAATTTCTAATACTAGGTGACTTAGTTGAGGGTGAGATGAGATAAAGTCAGAGGTAACAGAGGCCAGAGTGTGGTGCCTTATACAGTCATGCATTGCTTAATAACTGAAATGTATTCTTAGAAATTAATCATTAGGCAATTTCATCATTGTATGGATATCATACACTACCTACACAGACTTAGACAGTATAGCCTACTATACACCTAGCTGTATGGGCTATTGCTCCCAGGCTGCAAACCTGTACATCATGTTACTGTACTGAATATTGTAGGCAATTGTAATACAATGTTAAGTATTTGTGTATCTAAACATAGAAAAGATACAAAAATATGATATAATCTTATGGAATCATCATTGTATATGTGGTTCATCTTTGACCAAAACATTGTTATGTGATACATGACTGCAATTTACACCTTTTTTCTTCTTTTCTTAGCGTGGCTTGAGGCTTATCCATTTTATTGATCTTTTCAAAGAAATAGATTTGGTTTTGTTGATTTTTCTCTATTGATTTCCTGTTTCAATTTTATTAATTTCTGCTCTAATTTTTATTATTTATTTTCATCAGTTTATTTTGGAGATAATTTGATCTTCTTTTTCTATTTACCTAAGGTAGAAATTCAGATGACTGGATTTAGAGTTTTTCTTTTTTAATATACACATTCAATGATATACACTTTCTTCTAAGCACTGCTTTTACTGCATACTACACTTTAATATTTTGATACATTGTATTTTCATTTATATTTAGTTCAACATAATTTTTAAAAATTCATCTTGATATTTCTTCTTTGACTATATATTATTTAAAAGTGCTTTGTTTAATCTCCAAGTATTTTGGGAGTTTCTAGCTATCATTTTGTTGTTGATTTCCAGTTACATTTTATTCTGGTCTGAGAGCAGTCATTGTGTGATTTCTATTCTTTTCAATTTATCACCATGTGCTTTATGGCCCAGAATGTGGGCTTTCTTGGTGAATATTCCTTGTGAGTTTGAGACAACTGTCCAATCTTCTGTTTTATTTTACCCTCACTTACTTATTTTCTGTTGGCCTTGCTCCCTTTATGTTGATATGGTTTCTCACTCATATCATTTTCCTTCTCCCTGAAGAACTCCTTTTAACATTTCTTCAAGGCAGTTATACTGGCAATAAATTCCCTCAATTTTTGTTTAAAGAAATTCTGAATTTTTCCTTCATTTTACAGGGTACAATATTCTAGGATGGTGTTTTTGTTATTCTTTTAATATTTTAAATATTCCACTCATTCTCTTCTTGCTTGCATGATATGTGGGGAGAAGTGAATATAATTCTTATCTTTACTCCTCCATTGGTAAGATGTTTTTTTCCTCAGGCTACTTTCAAGATTTTTTTCTATGTTTTTGATTTTCTGCAGTTTGAATACTGTATACCTATGTGGTTTTGTTTGTTTGTTGTTTGGTCATCTATACTATTTGGTGTTCTCTAAACTTTCTGGGTCTGTGGTTTTGTCTGACATTAAGCAGAACATTTTTCAGATATTATTACTTGAAATAATGTTCATTTATTTCTTCTTCTCTGGTATTCTATTACATGTATGTTATACCATCTCCAGTTGTCCAGTGATACTTGGATATTTTTAGGTGCTTTATTTTCAGTCTTATTTCACTTTGGTTTTTAGTTTTGGATATTTTCACTGGCATAACTTCAAGCTCAGAGATTCTTTTCTTAGTGGTGTACAGTCTCCTGATAGGCCTATCAGAGGCACTCGTCATTTGTGTTACTATATTTTTTATCTCTAGCATTTCCTTTTTATTCTTTATCAGAATTTTCATCTCTCTGGTTGCATTATTCATCTGCTACTTTATGAAACTCCCATCCATTGAGTGTGGACAGGACCAGTGACTTGCTTCTAACAATAGAATATGGTAAAGGTAAAACTGGTGTATGTAATTACATATACATAATATGTATTTGTATTTGTAAGGTAATTATGTTACCTTACATTGTAACACCAGCATTGCAAGGAGACACATTCCTTTCCTGGCTTTAGGAAGCAAGCAGCCATGTTGGGAAGGTCCATGTAGCAAGAACTGAGGGCAGCCTTCGTCTCTCGCTGACAGACAGCAAGAAACTGAGCCCCTCAGTCCAAGTCCACAAAGAATTGAATGCCGCCAACAACTATGCAAGGATGTAAATGAACTATTCTTCACTTGAGCCTCGGAAGGGACCATAACCCTGACTGATAACTGATAATAGTTTTGTGAGATCCTGAAAGCAGAGGATACTCAGACTCCTCATTCACAGAAGCTGTGAGAGAATTCATGTATATTGTTTTATGTCTCTAATTTTGTGGTAATATTGTTATACTTTAATGGCTAATAAAGCTACCAACTCAACAGAAATTTAGATTAAGTTGTTTACTTTGGCTTTATGTTCTTAAGGTGTCAACCTACATTTGTTTTCAAACAGGACCCAGTGTTTTTGGCTGGAAGGAATAATATGGCTATAATAATTTGCCAAGGATTAATAGTCCTTGGCAAACTACATAGAGCAAACTCTTCTATGATCAAATTATATCTTGATTTACCACAGCTTATAATGATAAGACACAAAAATCAACAATTCAGTAACTAAGAACTATAGTGTAGTTTGCAAATAAACAGCACTTTTTTTTTTTTTTACTGTATAAGAGAAAGAAAACCTATTCAAGAAAAATTATGAGTAAATTTTTTTTTTCCTGGACAATATAGCAATTTGAGTAGTTTCACCCTGGGAGCCAAAATTACACCATAAAAAATGTCTTGAATGGCTTTGAGATTTTGCTCCTATTTAGTTTACAACTTCTAGTTGTAGTGTTGAATAAGTCCCTTAAATTATCAATTTTGTAACCTCTGAAATATGGCTATCTAAATGCTAAGACTTATTCTAGATCCAAGTTCTTGCAATTCTCTAAAATGGACAGAGAAAGCTTGGGGAAAGAGAAATCATTGGAGTAATATAAAATTCACTCCCCTACACTCAGTGTTGCATCAACCATTTGTAAACATTTTGATTTGTGTTTAAATTTTATATTTTTCCAGGTGGATATACCACTTGTATAATGTGTGGAAATATGAGAATTTATAGTTGCTTTGGCAAAAGTATAGGCCAAATAAGATTATCATTATATTTATTGATTTTTACTAATTTACTAATTCTCAAGAGATTTTTTTCTCCTCTCTTAATTTGGTCTATAATTTGTTAATGGCTTTTTAGGACTGTTTATTTCCATTAGTTAAAAAAACTTGCAAATTATGTTACTTGAATAAATTTGTGATGATACATCTGAAGAGACGGGAAAATATGCTTTTATTTGTATTAGTCTGCTTAACTGAACTCTCTTAAAGCAAATATCCTGCCTTTTTATCTCTTTTTCAGTGAAGTACCATTGCCATTTACAGGTAAGTTATTTAAACATTTATAGCAAGTACTATAAACAAATGCTGCACAATTAAGAAGTCACATATATTAAGCACATCTATGAAAGGCTCTTGAAAGGGTCTGATTCAACTTTCCTTATCATAAGAAAACTTTCCTGTCTATACAGGCTAGCTTAATAGTCTGAAATAGAATTCTGGAACAACAATTAAAAAAAAGTATACACCACGGCTGATACTTCACATGCTTATTAGCGTAGCATGAATGAAAATGATAATACAATAGCATTTCCCAGTGTGAAATATACAAAGTTGGAGAGGAACAGCATGCGTTGTCATCGGTTAATGTGCAAATGTTCACTGCCAGGGTGAAGCAACCAGGAGTGAACCATGAAATGATTGCATTCACCCTGAAATGTCAGCAAAGCAAGGGAGTGATGAGTAGTAAGCAACTTTTCCTGAGCATGATAAAAGTACTTACTAGAGCAGCAAAAATAACTTACTTAATATTTATATTTTATTAGGAGAGGAACAACTCTGCCTTTGCATACTACGACTTCAAGAAGCACAGGCTGGGCTTAATATGTAAATGCTTATTTTGATGTGCCACCATATGTAGCCCCTTTCCTTTCCAGCTGGCTGGCCTTACTGCCTCTCTTCTTTGCTTTATATCCAACCCAAAGCTCACCAGGAAACTGTTCCTAATTAACTTTATCCATTTTCCTGTTCCACAGATTCATGGACTTTTAGACTAGCAGCATTGGAACAGACTTTAGAAATAATTTAGTTCAGTACCATTTGCCCCCTCATCTCACTTAAATAACTGTGGTTTTGTGTACTGTACACATACACTGGTATGCATACAAACATATGTGTTTCTGATTCTTACCTGTTAGTATACTCTTCATCAACAATGTATATTTTAAGTCAGCTGGGAAAAAGATTATTTAGTAAATTTTCTTTACATCCTTAGATATTTGAGAAAATCTTACTGACAAACAAATTCAAAGAGTTGATGATCAATTTTGCAATTTGAGGGGAGGAGAATATGTAAGTGATATTGAATGCACCCCAGACTGGATTTACTGAGGTGAGTGCTGCAAAATGCCAGTAACGTAATCAAGAACAATCATTTGTTAAAAAATGGTAAGTAGCATGATTGCCTCAAAATAATGAGACACACAGGATAGAGCCTGAAGAAGAAAAATAAATCTGTTTATATTGCCTACAAAATTCAAACAACTTCAAGTATATTTTCTAATTAGACATTGGGTAATTTATAACTAATGCTTGAAGAACAACTTTTACCTTTCCAAGCCTAAATGCTTACCTCATGTTTATGGCACATAATGAAGAAATTGGATGATTGGGTGATGTGGCATTAGTAGCAGCAACAGTAGCCATGGTTCTTGTCATTCTATGTAGTAAAGGCTTAACATGCATTATCTCAGGAAAAATGCTTTATGAAAGTTAATATTTATTAGAGATGAGAAAGGTGAGTCACACGGGTCAAAGCTTGCCCAAAAAATAAGAGTTCGTGGCAGAATTGGAACTTGTTATAGTATCCCAATGATGCCACTACCGGAGAGTTCTTAGCTATACTACTCTTCTCTTCTGTCATTTTATTTTTGAAACAGAATGTTCAATTTAATTAGTTTATTTAGAAAGAGATTGTTGGCTGGATGTGGTGGCTCATACCTGTAATCCCAGCACTTTGAGATGCCGAGGCAGGCAGATCACTTGAGACCAGGAGTTCAAGACCAGCCTGGCCAACAAGGTGAAACTCTGTCTCTACTAAAAATACAAAAATTAGCTGGGCATGGTGGCACGTGCTTATAATCCCAGCTACTTGGGAGGCTTAGGTAGGAGGATCGCTTGAACTTGGGAGGTGGAGGTTGCAGCAGCGAGCCAGGATTGTGTCACTGCACTCCAGCCTGGGCAACAGAGTGAGACTCTGTCTGAAAAAAAAAAAAAGAAAAAAGAAAAAAAAGATTGTCAAACTATCTTGTTCATCACATTTTCAGAAGGACTAAAGAAAAAGACTCCAGGAGCATTTCCAGGAATGACTACCATAACTCCAAACTAGCCTGACAAAGTTGCTTCTACCATTAGGCAGCACCAATATCAGGAAAGCCTCTTGAGAGCTGCTAGCCTCACAACTGTTCCACCTTTGCCACAATCAGCAAGCTGCTGAATATGGAAGCTGTTGATGTGGCTGATAATTCTTGAACCCCACTCCCTCTACCATATTTCACACTATCAAAATAAATGTCTCACAGTGTAGCCTCTTTCTCCATGTAACTTAATTCCAAATTTAAGCTTCATGTAGGTATGTCTGATTAGCAAAAACTATATAATGAGTGTTCCCCTTTGGTGCAATGGCAGCTGGGCAATGCAATAGTGGGATTGTGTACCGTTAATTTCACCATAAGTGAACCAGCAAAATGTAGGGAAAGCTTCCTAATAATGCAGACAGCCTCTATTGAGAGCTGTCCACTACAATTTCCAAGAATTTATTCAATACCTAATATATACAAAACACCCAATGTAAAGATTCACACCTACAAATTGAATAAAACACATTATCGGTATTTGCCATTTTTGGCAAGGGCTGTACTGGAGACTGAGAATAGAAAAACAAAATGAGATGTGTCTCTAATACCACAGTATTTCACTGAGGTAAATGAAGCTTACATACTAGTTATAATCATTATCTCTTTTGAGAAAGAGATTACTTAAAATATGGTGAGTATCATTTTTGCATATAATTTTCATATGCAGTGTGCCTCTCACCATATATGCACATAAAATATACCCTATTGTAAAATATGGTCAATGTCAATAGGGTTTATTGGGAATATTAGAAAACATAATACCAGGTTGATACTTCTATAATTGGACAATATATAGTACAAATAATGCTCATTCTCAAGCAGAATTTTCTCCATTTATTTTCATATATGATTGTTTAATATCAGTAAAGTATTTTCTATATGCTGTAAGGAAGTCATACTCATTTGGCTTTTATTGACTAATCAATAATAATGAGCCTGGTAACAATAATAGCTGGACATGTGTTTGGAATTTTTACGTGTCATCAGAACATTAAATTTCAATATAAGTTGAATAAATAAATTTTATTATTATTATATTTATATACTGCAAAGAAATCAATGGTAATAGAGTATAAGTGAACAGGAAAATCTACTCAGCAGACCTGGGTTGCTTAAATCCTACACATTCTGAAGAAAGACCTATCTTCAGGATTGGCCTCTGGCATGCTTCTGAGATATAACCTCTGAGCCTTTGGAATATTCTGCCATTACAGGAACTTTTTTTTTTTAATGTTTGATCCCTTGGGTCACTCTGCTGTAGCAGTTATCCTAATAATGTGATTTACGGTGAAGGCTTATTTTTGCTTGTATAAGGGGTGAGTTTTGGGGCTGGAGGGCTAGCATCTGAATAATTAAGTGATTTGGGTGCTGCATGTCTATGTGACTAATCTTCAATAAAAATATCTGAACAACAAGGCTTGAGTGAGCTTTCCCTATTGGCATTACTTCACATGTGTTGTCCCACATCACTGCTGGGACAATTAAGCACATCCTATGCAACTCCACTGGGAGAGAACACCTGGACACTTGCACCTGATTCCCCCTGGACCTTGAGCCTATCTCCTTTGCTGATTTTGATCTGTATCCTTTTACTGCAATAAACCATATCTGTGAGTATAAGAGCTTCTAAGTCCTGTGAGATCTACCAGTGAATCATTAAGCTGAACCATCATTATAGGGACCCTTGAGACAGTAAGATGTGCTAAGTACCACACAATTTTACAGGATAAGCCCCAGTGTTTTAAGTGTAAATCATCACGTTTTCTTTAAGAGCAGGCGACTTCTACATATATGACAATAGCACAATTCTGCAGAGCTGCAGGCATGTTATCTTTCCTTTGGTAAAGCACATGTTATAAGCAGAGGTGGTTTGCCTTCCAGCACTCATCAATACTGTCTTAAAGAGTTGGACCATTCATTGCTCATGAAAAGTAAAGCACAGCTATGTTCTATAAATGAGATATTATGGACAAATTGGGTTTTGTAATGGGTTTCTAATTTCATTTTTAGAGGTGAGGATGAACTGTGTTCTGGGAATCTTTCTGTTATTTGAAACTATTCAATAGAGAAAATATTGATCCTGCTTTTCTGTAGTCTCAGTGGGGTGGCTCTTCCTCTGGCTTAGTTTGCAATAATACTCAAGCTGCCTCTGGATAGAAAATGTCACTGGCTTAGCATCCTACAGGTACAAGAATTCCATTGGGATCATTGCTTTGCTCTTCTATTTTCTTAGCTGAATTATTTTCTTTTATGTTGATTTAAGACATTAATTGTAATGCTATTTCTTGATTTTATTTTATTTGTTCTGATATCAAGAAGCCCCTATATTGATCTCATATCTTCATGAGATCTAGTTGTATTTGTTAGCTCTGAAGTCATGTTCAATCTAGATACTTTTTTGTTTTGTTCATTTGTTTACCCTAAGTGCAATATTGACTACATGCTTATAAACTAACTTATTCTATTTCTGTTAGTAAATACATAATAGTTTCATATAATAAAACTGAAAAATCATTGACATGGTTGAGATTTTTTAGAGTCTTACTTTAGTTTTGACTTTAAAATACTAGGGCTATTTTAAGAAATTGGAATACTTGAAATTTCAAATATTGGATATCCACTAAGGGGAAGGAGAAAAAAAATGCAGTAGTAGTTTAGCAGGATATAAACCCTGCAGGCCTAACTGATAGTTACATTCCATCTGGTTCACGCTTTTTTCTGCGGTAGGAACACAAGCTACACACTGAAATGAACCTGATGATTTTCTATAGTTGGCCAACAAGCTGTTGCTTCTAAGTCATATGTTATTCAGTTATGTTTACTTTGAAATTATTTTCCAGTTTAATAAGATTTATGGATTTCCTTTGACATGGAGATTCTCTACATGGTTTCTGTTTATTGTTATCTTCTTGTCTTTTTTAAAAGTCCTGCAAAATAAAATTAAAAAAAAAAAACTATCGCAACATGCTATTTTGTTCTGGTTTTGACTGCAGGCCATATGTATTATTCAAGAAGCATACCAACCGGAACACAAAAGTATGGCACAGAAGTATTTTTATTATGGTCATATAAGATTATCTGAATTTCATTAGCTGCTGTGTGTTTGTGTCTGAAAGAAATGCCCTTCATTACCATTGCAAACTTGCAGAATTTCCTTCCTTGAGACCAGGCTAAACTGAGACCTCTGATTTAGTAAAATAGTTGAGAAGTGGTATATTTATATATAACCCAAAATGTTGAAGATCTACCAGTTTATTTGCTTTATAAATTTATTTGATCTTCTTCTTGGACAATGTCATTTCATGCCAAAATGTGCCTATTCTGGAAGCAGACTAAATAGATGTGAATGCCAACTTTAGTGCTTTCTATTTAGATTACCTTGACAAATTATCTTTAACTGTGAAACAGGAATAATGGTATCTGTCTGTCTAGAACGTTTTGAGAATTAAGTTAGATAATGCTTTTGAAGTCACTAGAATGTAATAAGCATCCATAAATGTAATTTCTGGACTTTAAAAACTAAATTTATAAAATTGGTCTTTCTAAAGCTCATCTAGTTGAATAACATTGCTGACTATGAAAAATAGACAAAACACTCAGATACTGATAGCATTTTTAAAAAAATTTTTGGGTGTGAAAACCAGTTTAACAAGCTAGTTTAAGATTTAGAAAGAGTGCTAGGATGAATTACCATGCCATTTTATGAGCTCATAACTATAACAACAGTAACGCTTATTAGCCATCATTTTGCCATAAAGGGTATCCTATTTGCTTTTGAGTCTTGACTTTTTTTCCCTCAAAATTGATAATAGTTTTGAAATCTTAGAATGACAGAACTAGAAACCATTCAGCCCCTAAATCTAAAAGTTATGCTAAACACTTTGTCTTAATTCCATTAGTAAACAACTGTATGTTCCTATCATATATCCTCTGGACTAGTGAAGCTGTGTTCTGCCTGCTTCTGGTCCATTCTTTCCATGGTACTGGCAGACAGAGAACATTCTATAGCAAAGTGGAAAAGTATAGATACAGCACCAAGAAACATACCTTAGGTACTAAATACTCACTGTGCCTTATTTAACCTCTCCCTGTCTCAATTTTCCTATATCTACAAGTGAATACTATGGTATTTACCTCATAGAGTTAAGACTTAAATGCAATACTTACAGTAAATGTTTAAATTTTAATTTGGAAAGGATACTAGATTTCCACTCATGATACTTAGATCTGATCAGATAATGGTTTACCCCTCATTAAAACCTTCTAGATCCAATTCCTCATATGTTAATGCCTAAATTTATTGCATTTTATTCAAACAGTTGTATTGTTAGTCTATATCTTTAAATTAATCATATTTCTTATTTTTTAATTTTCTTTTATTTCTTTGTGCTCCAGTTAGCACTGAGGTATGTACAGTTTGTTTTCTCATCAGAAATCATGGCTACTTAAGGGCAATATCTCAAAAATATGGGTGATATATAAAGGCATGCCCAAATCACAGGAGGCCATTTTTCAAAATGCATTTGCTCCCTGAAGCCTTTAGAGTATCAAGTGATCAAGCAGTTCCTAAACAGCAACAGCTGGGGCAGCTGCTAGACTGATTTGTTTCACTTCCATAGATTTGGCCAATAAGGAGACAATTAACATTAATGATTTTTGACAATTTATTACTCATGGCATAATAGGCAGCATGAACTTCACAGTCCCATCAGGTTGCTGTGTCCTCCAACTCCCATGGGCCTGACACATACATAGGCAGGCCCAGGTAGATGGGGCACATACAGTGGATCTGCCACTTCTAACGGACTCTGAGATTTTGATATCCCACTCTTACATAAGGGATTCTGGCAAAACCTCCTCTCCTCTTGAGTAAGAAATACTGTCCTACCCTGGAATGTCTCTGAAAGAAGACAGAGATGCCTCTAGCTTTTTTACTTTAAAAAGCCACCAGAGAAACAGCTCAAAATATCTCCAGAAGTCACTATCTTTATGTTTCCAAGGTCATTAAGGCAAACATCTTTGAACAAATTTGTCAACGCCTTCTGCTCAGAAGATGTGCATGAACATGTGACCCTCAGAGAATTAATTCCCAAAGAGGGGGCTATACACACTATTCACTCTTAGAATTATATAAATATTCCAACCTGATGGCTTTGTATATGATGAAAGTAAGATTCAAGAGTCAAAATAATTTAGAGAAAAGCTAAGGTTGAAACATAGATTTCACGCTTGAATCCCAAGTAACAACTCAAAACTTGACTGCATAATATTTTCTTCTAGATCATTATTTCTGTTATCTGATTTGTATCCTTATATACATATATTACGCATTCCAACATTGCAATACATATAAACACATGTATATACTAGCTACTGTATATGTTGTGTATATACATTACAATATTACGAACTACTGTTTTAAAATTATTTCCTGAAAGTGGGCTTTTTTTTTTAATTCAGTGTGGCATCAAGAGACTTGATTTTTGGCTGAGCGTGGTGGCTCACGCCTGTAATCCCAGCACTTTGGGAGGCCGAGGAGGGTGGATCATGAGGTCAGGAGATTGAGACCATCCTGACTAACAAGGTGAAACCCCATCTCTACTAAAAATACAAAAAATTAGCCAGGCATGGTGGCGGGCGCCTGTAATCCCAGCTACTTGGGAGGCTGAGGCAGAAGAATGGTGTGAATCCATGAGGCGGAGTTTGCAGTGAGCCAAGATCAGGCTACTGCACTCCAGCCTGAGCGACAGAGGGAGACTCCATCAAAAAAAAAAAAAAAAAAAAGACTTGATTTTTATCTTTCTCCAAAGTTTTCTGTATTAACCATTTGTCTTTTGCTGTTGCAGACTGAAGATGTTATCAATGAAGAATAAGTACTTTCACATAGTCTCATTTAAGATAATAAGTTATGCATTTTAATATCAAAACTCAAAAGTGTGGAATGAAAGCCTACTTACAATTTTTCATCAATACATCTTCAGAAGAGTAGATCATTCTATAGGAATACTATCATGTTGAATTTTGAAACAATTTTTTTATTTTTAATTTATTTTTAATGTAATTTATTTTTTAAAATAAAAATCATTTAACTATACTTATTTAAAATAGTCTTTACAAATATCTATGTATGTCATGTGTGTACAAATAGAACATGATGCTAGCAAAAAAGACACTCTTATTTGGGAGTTACACTGTATGAGGTGCCAATAAATGGGAAAATAGAAGGACCTGGTGAAATGCATGTCCTTTTTTTTTGGCTACAACTTTGTTTTGATCTAATATGGTTACCTGTAGGCCACATGTGTTGATTTTCTACATTTAAAAAAATTTTAAAAGATTATTTCTTGCTCTGTCGCCCAGGCTGGAGTGCAGTGGCGCAATCTCAGCTCACTGCAAGCTCCGCCTCCCGGGTTCATGCCATTCTCCTGCCTCAGCCTCCCGAGTAGCTGGGACTACAGGCGCCCGCCACCACACCCGGCTAATTTTTTTGTATTTTTAGTAGAGACGGGGTTTCACCGTGTAAGCCAGGATGGTCTCCATCTCCTGACCTCGTGATCCACCCGCCTCGGCCTCCCAAAGTGCTGGGATTACAGGCGTGAGCCACCGTGCCCAGCCTAAAAGACTAGTTCATAACAGATAAGAGAGAAAATACAAAATGAGATACCCAAAAACAAGGTGTCAGCTCTTGACAGTAGATGGTAGTCTTTCATGGAATTTACCATACTGCCTTAATTCATAAGAGACAGTAACACAGTAGGTAATTATCCCCCAAATTCCAGGGAAATCAGTCCTGCATTGGAGTAAAGCTACTGATAGAGAATGGATAGTAAGTGTATGAATTATATAGCTCTACCTGCTACAGCTGTTTTTAACTCAATCGTTCACTTAATATTTAGCGATACAACAAGTAATAACTTTTGACATTATTTCAGGCACTAGGATAAGAGCTTTACATAAATTATCTCACTTAATTCTTAAAATAAGCCCATGGATAGCTACTATTTTCTTGATGATAGCATCATTAAATTCCACTAGACTATATGTAAGCACCATCAGAGTAGAAATCATGTTCATTGTGTTCAATTCATATTCAGTGTTATGGTACTCAGCACACAGCAGATGCCAATCTTTTTTAATAAATGCATAAACAAATACTTATTTTTAATGGAAAGCTTCTGAGCTGTCACTGACCAAATTACTCATTTATAGTTTCATAAGGATAAAATGATGTAATTAGTTCTCTAGCCCCAGTCTGTTTGGCAGCTCCAAAGTTCAGCCTTATAGCTACAATTCTGAGGAATCAAACTTTGAAAATCAAAGCAAACTTTGCAATGTACTACATTCTCTTTCCCTTCTACATCAGGAAGAGTAAAAATGAGAGTAACCCTTCTTTCAGTTCCTGGGACCTTGGGGATTGCATTCACCTTGCTGAGCTCAGAAGGATGAATTAAATGCAACATGTCCACTTGGTTGAAGATATTATGCTAGGGGGATAAATTTGTGCCTGTAATAAAATTTCATTGTCCTGGAGAATAAAAATCATGTTAGTTTCCAGTGATCATGTAAAAATGATCTAAATATTCTTGTCCCCAACATACCCACTGAAAGGAGAAAGAGAGAGAGAGAGGAGGAAGGAAGGAAAGGAGGAAGGAAGGAAGGAAGGAAGGAAGGAAGGAAGGAAGGAAGGAAGGAAGGAAGGAAGGAAGGAAGGAAGGAAGGAAGGAAAGAAGAAGCAAGGAAGGAAGGAAGGAAGGAAGGAAAAAATGTTTTATCCTAGCAATTCTATCCAGAAGTTACCTGCAGCTTAAATGTACATTTTCATTTCACAACTGAATCTTTCTTTCTTTACCTTCTCACTACATTGCCTGTCTGGTTGAATTTATGACCACTGAACTGCATTTTGCTTTATTCTTCTAAAAGTGGTTTAAAAGTGTTCTGGAACTCTCCAAACAATAAAATCTAACAAGAGTAATGTCTTCTAAACAATAACTCATTTTTAAATGGTCAATAAATACAAACAAAGCAGGTCCCCAAAGTTCTCTTTGTAACTTACTAGTGAGAAGGATTAGGAAGAAAAACCCATGTGGACCTGTTGCATAGTGACAGTTATATGGATCCCTTCCAGGCCAGCACTGAACCCCAAGCCAGCTCACTGTAGGTCATTCAGCACAATGTAGTTGGAAAACAACACCTGGAAGCAATGGCTCCTGTCTTTTCGACCAGTTTATCTTCAGAAGTTCTAGTAGTTGGGATTGGAATGGAATGGGAGATTCTTTTAATTTTGAAGCTAATTTGGCTTCGCTGAAACCCAGTTACCAGATCCCATGTGACAGATGGTGAACATATAATTAGTCAACTCAATCAGAACAATTTAAAAGTAAAAGATAATGCCATTAATAATTACAATGAAACAACTTGCTCAAAGAAGGGATCTCTCAGGCAGACTGGGACCTATGTCAAACCTAAAAATGACACATTTGCAGAGTTCTTATATATCTTTGTATCCTATATGAATAACATGGATCATATACTCTTAACACTTATTATCACACACAATAATAACATTTGTATAATCCACACCATATTATGATCATACCAACAGTTTTTGAAACCTTTCCAATAATTCCTGATGAGTATTACAGATATTTTTTGTCTGTCTTTCTGCCTTTCTTTGATTTTTTGTAGTCTTTAAATTTACTCACTATTATAATATTGATTATATTTAATCAATATATTTTATATATGTTGTAAGCCTATGAATATATTGAAGACAATTACTTCAGAAATTCAATTTTAATTTGTAAGAAAATAAAATTGTAATAAATTTAATTTTTAAAATATTAAACTGTATTTCTAAAAACTGAATTTAGATTTTGGTACTCATTTTCTGTCATCTGATGATCTTAAAAAGGAAAGTAAGTATTCCTATTCAAACACGCACACATAAATGCACGTACAAACAAATAAAAGCCTTATGTTATACACCATTATTGTTACCTCCCTGAGCCACAGATTTGTGACTATATTAAAGCTGCATTTTCCTGGAGTTTGAAAACTATAAGTTCACAGCCTGTGAGGTAGAAAAGTGATTAAATAACCTTGAGCCCATCGGTAGTACCTGCCTCCCCAAAAGTTGTATCTTAGTAACTATATTCAGAATGTTCACATAACTCAAATGTACTATTCATGGCCCAAAGAGTTTAAACAGATGATGCACATAAATCAGAATCAATAGGATGATGCAAAACAAATCTTAATTTCCCATTGGATTGTGTTTTAGAGTTATTCTGATAGTGGTTGCAACACCTTTTAACTGGGCTCTTTTCTCCTTTCCTGTCCTCCACTTCTACCCTCGCTGCTCGACTCTGGCTCTGTTTTTGTCACTGTTCCTGGTCAAGTCCGAAGGTCTCATTCCTTACTTGATTCTTGTGGTTAAGGCTTGGGAGACCATTTAATTGCTCCATCTTCTCTCTGCCTATTCTGAAACTAACATGTGTCAGTGTCTATAAGGCCTCAGGAACAGGTTTATTTCTATCTTTTATGAAACTTACATAAAGTTAAATTATTTACTGCAAATTGTAAGGAGCATAAGAGATGAGATTTTATCCATAATTATGTTTACATAAGTACTTACAGTAAGTATTTGAATGGGTAAAAAATCTTATAATTTTGTGGGGTTGAAGCATTTTACTCTATCTTTACTATAAACAGCTTTTCCTTGATCAAGGATACTAACTAATTTTGTATACAGTGTTCTATTTTCTAACTATACTTGAGTTTTAAATTAGATTATATTTGCTTTTTAGGTCATTTTAATATCAGGCAATATGGCACATATTTGTCTTATCTCATTTAATATTCACAACAATCCTATACAGTAACTACTGATTATCTTTGTTTTACAAAAAAGGGAGCTCTAGGGAAACATAGGACTAATAAGTGAAGGGCAATACCCAGGCAGTCCTTATTTTTCAACCTCCAAAATTCCCTACATATATGAATAATTGCATATTCACCTATAATTCTCTACTAACAGAAATATAAGACTCAACTTCCAGTATTATATGTTTAATGGGACCCCTTATACACATACAGGGCAACCATAATTTCTGGCTTACTTCAGGCTTGACTTTATATTTCCGATACCCCAAAATGCCATCTCATTTTATATTGAATAAGTTGGATTCAGTGAAGTCAGTGAATGTAAATTATTACAGTATTAATAAACAAGTCATTTTTGGTAAATTGCAGCTGTTTCTTCAAAATGTCTATAAATGCCATTTCCTATACTGGCAACAAGCAAAGCAGTTTTATTTTCATCTTGATGTCAAGGTGCAATGTGAGCTATAATGGTTCTTGTGCATGCTAGCAATTACTTAATATGCTTTAAATTCTATTTAACTTGATATTCCGAAATTCATTCTGACAAAGGTAAGGTCTGGAGTAAGAAAAAAACAAAAATAAAGCAGGATTTTAAGAGTTACAATAAATATAATTTTACAAACAAAATGTTTTAAGTTCATATAATAGTCATGACAAAAGGCTGCATAAAGAAATCATAAAACACTCAAAAAAATTTAAACTCCCTTGTTGCATGTAACTTAAATTGCAGCATTAAAAATCTGTTTAATGTAATTAACAAGAGACAGACCTATGGGGAAGGTAGTGATAATTTCTGACTCTTTTTTCTTCAGAGATTACACATGCGTTAGCATTCATTTCAACTTGTCACTAAATGAAAACTTCATTCTCTCTTTGCTTTCCCAATCACAGATGGTATGAGGAAGAGAGAAAGAGAGGAAAATACTAGTAGATTATTCTTTGAATTATAATTTATTAAATTTCAGAAAGAGAAATCCAAACTAATTGAAATAAAAGAGGATGGGATTGTTTTTAAGGGGAAGACACATCTCATAGAAATTAAAAAAAAATTCTGAGCGTTCTGACATTACAAAGGGAACAAATTTCATCACTGGGTACCACTGGGGAGCAGTTTATGAGCCTGTGCACTAATATTGGACTATTAACATCAATCATTTATACCCAATGTGTCTTTTCTTATATGTCACTTCTGACTGACTACCTTTTCATATACTTTCTCATTCAACAGCCAGAGAAAGAACACCATATTTTTTTGTTTTCTAACCAGATAATATATTGGAAATCCAGTGATGTCTAACTGAACATACAAGATCACATAATATAGCTGGCCATGTCTAAGGGTTGTAAGGAGGGTAAAACATATTAAGTTAAAATAGGAATAATTGACATACCAATTCCTTCTCAAACATGTTTTTGTAGAATTTGTATTAGGACAGTTAATCTATTCTTGATTATATTTCTTATCACAAGTCATGCAATTCACTTCCTTGAATTAGAATGAAAGAAAAGTGCAAAGACTTCTGTGTCTCTGTTTTAAATTATCTAGAGCTCAGTCTTTAAAATTCATTAACAGTTTTCTTAATCCTCCAACAATCATTGCTCCAGCTTTCTCTTTTAGAAATTCATGAAATGCTGGAGATGTTCATCTCCTTGAATTATCAATGATTCTACAAATCATTATATATGTGCCTTCACCAGATATGGCTTAATGGTTTTTAGGCTCCTTTGGGTTAAGTGGGCCCATTACATTTTTCTATTCTTATTTAGAAATCCTAAATTCTATTTTTTTCTCTCTCTTACCATCACAAAACACTTCAACATCTCAATCCTATTTCCCTGTGTTTTTTTGGTGTTTAACTGATTTCTCTCTAATTCTATGTGACTTGTACTTATTTCAAATGTGTATCCCATAAGCAATGACATTGATGATAACAATATGCAGGCTTTGAAATATTATTTTATTCTGACTTAGGGGTATTATCCTGGAAAATAACAAAAACTAATAATTTAGGAATAAAAAATGCATTTTCTTTAAAATATATGCTTTAAGGCGAAAATCACTGAACACAAGTTAGAGAAGTTCATCTGTCATTCTGTGATGCCAGAAGAGTGAGGTAATCCAAAAGACTTGAGATGGTAGTTAAAGAAAAAAAAAAAAAGAATAAAACACAGCATTACCCATTGTGCTATCCATTCCAGTAAATTTTATCCAGTTTGTCGAACACAATCCGAGGTAGAGCTCTCAGTCAATCTGAAACAATGGGGCTTTTGCATGTCCATGACTTGTCACTATAAGAATCAACTGGGAAAATGATAGATACATTTAATATGGAGACATCCAGGCCACCATCTCAGAGATCCTGAATCAGTAGGAATCTCTGTTTTTTTTTTTTTTTGAGATGGAATCTTGCTCTGTCGCCCAGGCTGGAGTGCAGTGGCGCCATCTCGGCTCACTGCAAGCTCTGCCTCCCGGGTTCACGCCATTCTCCTGCCTCAGCCTCCCAAGTAGCTGGGACCACAGGTGCCCACCACCACGCCCAGCTAATTTTTTGTATTTTTAGTAGAGACGGGGTTTCACCGTGTTAGCCAGGATGGTCTCGATCTCCTGACCTCGTGATCCACCCGCCTAGGCCTTCCAAAGTGCTGGGATTACAGGCGTGAGCCACCACGCTTGGCCAGGAACTTGTGCTTTTAAACAACGCTCCAGTGTTTTAGAAATTACTGAGCCTATGCAATTATGGTTGACATTTAGATTAAAAGAGGCCTGGTAACTAATACGGATTCCAAAACTTACTAGTTGTCTGACCATGGGGAAAGTAACATACTTAACCATTTAAAGCCTCAATTTCATCATCTATAAAATTGGTATAATAATATTTACACTCAGTGCATAGGGCTACTGTGGATATTGAGATAATGCATGTAAAATAGTTAATCTCAGGGCGTGTACATATGTTTCCTAAAACATAATAGTAAATCAATGTTAATAGTATAATCTTCCTCATCATCAACAATAACTGGTTCATTAGCTTTGTTTGTTTGGACAAATTACAGAAGCATTCTGAGTCTTAGTTTATTTAACCTATAAATGATCACAAAGAATCTACTTCACATAGCCATGGGTCAAATATATAAAATAGTAAATGACTTAAAGCACCTAACATATTACCCGTATAAAGTTGGTGTTCAAAATTGTAATGAGCATTAATTTCAGTTTCACTGGATGAAAATTATTATTCTACTAAAGCCTGACAGACTGGTAATTCATTAAAATCACTTACTAAAAGAGAGGAGTGTAGCTCTTCTAGGCATTATTTTATAATAACATGGGCACACATAGGTGCTACCAGTTCTCTTCTCATCCCCTACCATTACTGAATGCACAAATCTGTCCAAAATTCATATGGCAAAAACTAATCACCAAGGAATTGGTGTTAGAAGGTGGGGCTTTTTAGAAGGTGATTAGGTCATGAGAGGTCTATTCACATGAATGGGATTAATGACTTTATAGATAAAGTGTAAGGGAGCTTCTTGCTCCTTTTTGTCTTTTCCCCTTCCATCCCTTCTGCCACGCGAGGACACAGTGTTCAGGTGCCATCTTTGAGACAGAAAGTGATGCAGGATAGGTAGCCAAGGAAGTAACCACGTCCTCAGGATGCAACAACTGTGGCGACTGCACTAACACAATATGCCCCATCATATGCATTGTCGTCAAGTTCATTCAAGCAAAGCATCTCCAGTAGGAAAATTCCCCTATAGAGAACATGTGCATTTTGATTTTACCTGTCCTTAGACTGACCCTTTGCTCATTATAATAGTGAAAAACACACTATTTGTGGACATTTAAGGTGGTAATGAGATATCCAAGGTATGAACAAGCATGTATAGCTACTATGCATGTGCACCCAGAGGACCAACCAAAACATGGTTTCTAGTAACACCTGCTCCCACCCCCTTATGAATAATCATGTAAGACTCCCATAAAGGGAGTCTCCTTAGTGCCAGTCTTTGTTGTCTTATCCATAGAGCAACCTGCCCTGAATCCTCTCTCAGGGTATACTCTCTATACTGTCTTCACCTAACTTTCAGAATATTCTTTCTCCTTTGCAATAAATTTATCTAAGCTTCATCTTCTTTGCTGCATGTCTCTTGTTTAAAGTATCTTAAACTGAGAAGACAAGAATCAAGATTTCACAACAGCTGTCAACAAGAGCAGGCCCTCATGAGACTTCACATCTAATGCCACTGTGATTTTGGGCTTCCCAGGCTCCAGAACTATGAGAAAATAAATTTCTATTGTTTATAAATTACAAATTATATCAAATGTATAAATAATTTCTATTAATTACAAATTATTTTGTTACAGCAGCACTAACAAACTAAATAATTACCAAGCAGAGGGAAAAATATCTCTTACTTTCCCATACCTCTTAATTTCCTCTAAAACATTGACTGCTAAATAAGATTGCCAAGTTCACAAATAAAAACCTAAGTCACTTAATAAAATTTGAATTTCAGATTAACAAAAGATACATTTTTAGTATCTTACGATTAATAGACCTCATGCATATTTTACATAGGTATATCCCATGCAGTATTTGGGAAATACGTGTAGTACAAAAGTATTTATTGCTTATCTAAAATTCAGATATTTCTGAATATCCTGCTTTGTTTTGTTTTTTGGCAATCTTGCTCTTAAGTAAATTATTAGACATTTATCTTAAACTGATTTTTTACTTGTATAAAAATGTTTATGAAAGTTGAACCTACAGGCTAGGTAATTCCCTCTCCCATGAAGATATATGGTTGAGCCTGACTATAGGTAGCCTCAGAAGGCATTTTCTGACTCTTGATCACAAAGATTCAGAAATTTGGGCAGTAAATGATTATCTATTTGACTAACCTATAATTTTCCTAAGTTGGCTAGACAATGTCAGTTATTTTCATTTCATTTCTGCATACTCTTTTTTCTCCTTAAGCTTTTCAGAATTTTTGCCTTCTTCAGAAAGTAGAAGATATCCATAATGTGTTTCTTATTGCTACTTTGCTAAGTGTCCCTGGGGACCCATCTGTCTGAAAAAGCCCTCCTGTCAGCAGTAGGGTGTCAAGGGTGACTGCCAACCTGAGAAAGGCATCGGCACTATTCTTGACATGGTGTTTTCTCTTATTTCTCAACTTTTATGTCAAAACCAATTTGAAAATAGCAAGCTAAGTTTTATAAGTAACACATAATAAAATCTTGCCTGGGACTGATAAAGAGAAAAAATTTCACATTTATACATTGCAAGATCAATGGATCTAAGATCTATATCAAAAGTTGGGCTAAACAACAACAAACCAAACTATTAGTATAGTGTATTATGCAGGATCATGGGAGCGGAAGTGTCACCACTCACCACCGCCCCTAGTGACCCACTAGCAAAATTTTGCCTCCTGTTCCCACGACATTATGGTCTGTTGGCCTAGGGGTCTTAGTTCCAGAGGGAGGAATGCTGCCACTAGGAGACACAGCAATTATTCGGTTAAACTGGAATTTAAGATTGCCAACTGGCCACTTTGGGCTCCTCCTACCTCTAAATCAACAAGCTAAGAAGGGCAGGATTACAAATGGCCCAGACCCTTCAGGAATGAAGTTTGGGTCGCTATACTAGGTAAAAATCATGACCCACTGAGGTGCTTGCTGAAGGTAAAGGGAATATGAAATGGGTAGGAGAAGAAGGTATTCATCAGTTCCAGCTATTACCACATGACCAGATGCAGAAATGAGGAAAGTAAGGAGGAAATGAATATTTCCTCTTTATTTTGTTAAGAACATGTTTGTGCATGGATATACTAAGAAAATATCTTCATTTTATTTCCTTTATTTTTGTGTTATCATGAGACATAAGATTTATTGACTTCTCATTAGCATTTAAGTGTTGTTCGCTTTATGTAATAGTAACAACATTTAGGTTAAGGATTGGTGTGCTTACAGTTGTATGAATGATGGATGTATTTTATTAGGTGGAATTATGACCTTATTGTCTGTCTTTTTTTGGAGATTGTCTATGACTTCAGGATATGTGTGTGTGTTCAAGTTGAAAACAGGTGGACTTGTGGGGGTTAAGTGTCAACTTGGTTGGATTGAAGGATGCAAAGTATTGTTTCTCGATGTACTTGAGTGTTGCCAGAAGAGATTGACATTTGAGTCAGTGGATTGGGAGAGGAAGACCCACCCTTGGGAAGAATCACCCATAATGTGGATGGGCACCATCCCATCAGCTGCCAGCATGGCTAGAAAAAGCAGGTAGAAGAAGGTGGAAGAAGCTGACTTGGTGACTCTTCTGGCTTTCATCTTTCTCCCATGCTGAATGCTTCCTGCCAGTGAATGTCAGAGTCCGAGTTCTTCAGCTTTTGGACTCTTGGGCTTATACCAGTGGTTTTCCAGGGGCTCTCGAGCCTTTGGCCACAGACTGAAGGCTGCACTGTCTGCTTCCCTACTTTTGAGGTTTGGGGACTGGTTTCCTTGCTCCTCAACTTGCAGATGGCCTATTGTGGGACTTCACCTTGTGATCGTGTGAGTGAATTCTCCTTAATAAACTCCCATTCCTATATACATATATCCTATTAGTTCTGTCCTTCTAGAGAGCCTTAACTAATACAATGGGCTAGCTGCGAAATAGGAGATTCTTGTAGTATTCCATACTGTACTAAGGGATTCTGGCAAATAATGAGGGTTTCAAATGCATTTCCCTTCTTTATAATTACATGGCAAAATATCCACTGAGAAATATAAATATTTAAAAAATAATGATATACTTCATACTAATCTAGTTTTTATTTTAAATATTCCATGGTATAGTTTCAAAAAAACTTACATGAGTTTGTTTAAAATGACCACTTTGTAGTCTGTGTAGCCAAATAACATCAAATAAGCTGAGAGTAAACCATTCTGCAGTGATTGGGAGCACAGTGTTGAAAATCTAGGGGCATGCTCATTCTCTTATTAGAGTCTCACAGCTCTGAGATGGTGTGGTGATTTGTCTCCTACAGGCTTTTATTGAACCTTTGCTCACTTCCCTTCTAGTCTGTATCATACAGCGCAGGTATGGTTGATTGCCCAAGCTGTAAGCTTCTGGAAGGCAAAATGCATCTCTAAATAAGAATGTTAAAAGTAGCGCTGCTATTGAGTGCTTTTGTGATGGACACTGTACTGAGCTCTTTCTGAATACTTTTTTTTAAATCATCATGACAGTATTATAAGTTAGATATAATTATCCCAGTTCAAGCAGTTTGTCCAGGGTGATCTAGATACTACATATTTTGAATTCAAATTCAAATTGTGGTATACATTCAAAGCTTCTAGTAATATAAAGTCTTGTGGGTCACATTACCTTTCTGGTCAGGATGTGCCATAGTGAATAACATAAAATGTGTGTACAGTGAAATATTACTTTAAAAAATAACTAATGCCAAAGTTATATACTCATAACCCTGATTTTACTGATGCTTATTCCTTTTTAATTATTTGATACTGGCCATTTCTATTTTCTCAGAAAAATAAGCAAGGCATTCCATTTCAATACATAGTACACATTGTAAAATTTTCTAATAATCTGAATAGAAGTAACAAAAATTAATTATGTATAGAAAATCTATAGTTATTAGAATAAATGGAATATTTACATATAGAGGGAATGGAATAGTTTTTCCATTCAGGCTGCAAGGATTTAAACTTTTCCAGAACTCCAACAATTATCATGTTTATAAAGAAATAATATTTTTGGACAGCTATTTACAACATGTCCTCAAGGCAGAATCATTATTATACTTACACCACACAATAAATATATATGTGTGGATACATATATAAAATCTACACACACACACACACACACACACACACACACAAGAAGAGAGAGAGAGAGAGACATGATTATTAAATATGATGCATGAGGAAATCAGAGTGAAAAAAATAGCAGAGGAAATGCAATTATAAAATTACAGAATAAGCTTTAAAACATGGATGTGGTATGCAACTAAGATGTATTTGGGATTTGACACATACTAGATAATGAAGATAAAGTTATACTTATTAAAAAAGTATAATATCTGTACAGCTAGGCTCCCATTTTTTAAATGAAAAAATGTCACATTTCAGTGTTCCATTTCCCACAAGACATAAATAAATAAATGAGTCCTCAAGTACAGTGCATGCTAACCCTGATTGAATTATTTTATTCTTATTCTTACATCTTCTTATGCTTCTTATTTATTACATGGCTTCAATGTCAGGGAAAGAGGTAAAATGATTCAATATGATGACTTTTATGAATAATAATTTCTAAGGCACTACGTTCAACTTTCAGTGATTTGAAAAAACATATGCATTGAAGTATTCCAAAAACATTATTAGTGAAACTTGAGGAAAGATTGGAAATAACATTACTCTTACATTAAGCTGTCTATTATGTAATTTATTCCTGAGTTTTTCCTATTGGCATTTGCTTGCTGGCATTGAAATTCTTGTCAATCATCAGTAAGAACTTTTTTTTCCATGTAAGAAAGACCAATGTCTAAAATAAAACATTATGAAAGAACAAAAATACACCCTTTAATGATTCCTTATGATTATTCTGATCATTTAGTCATAAGTTTTTCTTAATTTATTTTAAATCTTTGTTTTAGAAGCGGAGCTTTTTACTCAAAATAATTGTGCTTTCCCTTGGTAGTTTTTATTTTAAAAGTAGTAATTTATCTAATTGTTAAGTTGTGTGTTCTAATTCCTAAAGACACTGTCATATTTTTCAAGTTTTTACTTCTGAATAACTTTTATTTAAATATTAGCTGGTATTCATACATATGATATTGCTTGACATTCCTGCCTAGCTTTATTAAAAATTATTATAATATTGCTTCTGAGGAACTTAGATATAATTTCCAATAGCCCTTCCACAATAGACCACCACCAAAAGGGAATGTCTATGCCCTTCATTCTGATGGCTCACTATCAGCCAGTAGTATTCAATTTCCAGAAAACTCTGACCCTTACTTCACTCAGTTTGGAGTTATCATCCTCTTACAGAGAAAAAAAAGATCCATCCATTTTTAAATGGAAGTACATTTTCTCATTTAGACATCCTCCCAAAAGGCATAAAAAGTAATTTTCTACTCTTGAAACTTCTGTTCTTAACATTTTATTTTGTCTGATCTTATGAAACATGATACAAGTAGATTTCACTAGGGTTGTATGGAATAGAAAGTGGAGAGAACAATTAGACTGCTCTTTCATTTAATAAGCACCGAACTGAAACTAACATCACATTCAAAATGATTCTTAAAAAAATAAGAGATTTCACCATAGTGAATACAATTTTATGAATACAATGCATTTCAATAAGCATTTATTGTAATAAAATATGTATTATTTAGTTTACAAGGAAACTTGAAGCATATTTGATTTTCACAGAAACATTATATAACTTAAACGCAAATACATTATTATCTCTGCTTTAGAAATGAGAAAAGTAAAATTCAGAGATATTAATTTCTGAATCGGTTCTAGGACAAATAGCTGGTTCTAGGCCAAATAGCCAACTGGAGTAGAGTCATGACCATACGGAAGGCATTATGTATCCAACTCTGGTGCTTCTCCCAGTATTCTATTCTCTGCCACCCTATACAAGACATGTGCAGCAGCCTATAGAAAAATATATAGCTAAAATATGATCCATGACCTTGAGGAGCTTACACTCTATAGAGGTAAAAAATAAGTAGTCCAAGAGTTAGAATTTAGGGAAAATTGGATAAAAAATTATTTATTTTGCTTACTTGCTTACTTACTGGTTATGGTCTCTATTCAACTACTGGAATATAAATTCCATAAGGGCAGGGATCTTTGTCTGTTTTCTTTTTTTTTTCTTTAAGGCTGTATCCACAAAACCTAAAGCAATGCCTGATAGTCATTCAACAAGCAGTTTTCAGTGAATGAATAAGAATGAAAATGTTATTGAAGAGATGAGGAAGCATTAAAGTAGGATAATATTTTCCCAGAAGAACTTATGGCCAACTTTACATCTGGAACCTGGTTACATCTATAACCTTACCTCCCACCACGCTCCTGCCTCTTCACTGTTTTAGCTCCTTTGGAGTCCATTGACCAACCAATTAAAAGTAACTAAGCTGTCTCTCCAACACATCCTAGCCCTTGCCACTACCTGTTAATTGATTAATAATTATTATTTTGTATTGTTTATTCTGGTTGTTGTTCCCTCATATCTAAGGAATAATCTCAATGACAGCAGAGATCATGCTTTTCTAACCTAACACTTTATCTCCGGGGCTTAGAAAACCAAGTTATGTAAGAGTTTGATATTCGATGACTGAAGAAATGAATATAGAGGCAGGGTGAGAAATTGAAGATTAAGTGAGTAGGACATTAATAATTAATCAGATCAATAAAGTTCTTTTTGGAAATTCAATCTGAGAAATATTGAGAAAGTCTAATTGTTAGGAAACTGGCACAAAAAGGGAACAGTTTTCTTTTGGAGACCATCCTAAGGAACAATGAACTGCACCTACTGAAACAGAAAGATAAGTCTTATCTCTAGAGTTTCCTGGGCCCTAAATGACTTTCTAGGTCTATTTTCCATGAAGTCCAACAAGATAATTGCTCCTGTTTCATCTCTGGAATTGTGAATTTGTATTCTCTAATGTGATGTCTGTTTTTACATCATACCTTTATAACTTAGTGTAGTCTGAATAAAATCTGTTATAAACATAAGAGCACAATGCAAAGATCAATCAGTTCTCTTCAGGTCCCTCTCAAAACAGATATTTTATTTGCTTATTAGTGGGCTATTTTTCTGTCTTACTTATTTTAAATAATTCAAAAGTAGAGTACACTTTTCACATCATTTTATCTACGTAGACCATGTTCAGTCAGGGAAGATGATTAGAAACATCACTTTTCTATCTTCTACCAGCCTCATTGGTCTTAGGAGTTTCTAAAAATAGGAAGATCTCCGGGAGCATTGCTATCCATCAATGTATAATTAGAAGGACACTGAAAGAATTACCTAATCAACCATACTTCAATGATATACCCTCCCCTGTGATTCCTTAAATGTCTGTTTTTGAAAGGCACTCTAACTAGAAGCATACTTAAGTTATAAAACTATAGTTGTCAATCTGTGAAATTTTCAATACCAGAAGTTGTAATAATAAAAAAGTAGAGTATTATTGAGAAGGATGCACAAGAAGAGAAACTGGCCTAAAAATAAGTGTTATGTTTTTTAAAAACATCAATGTTAGTACTTTTATTTCCTTTCTGCAGCAAACTTGCTGCCACTGTTTTACATTCTATTTGAATACTATTTCACTTGTTGCTTTTTTTTGTCCCATCTGCAGAAATGTTTTATCATATGTTTGAATGATTGATCAATAAATAGAAAGGTTATACACGTATACCTCCCAAAGAATAATGGTCTCCTAGTTGTCTTTCAAGTACTTGTCAAGCTGCTTGTTGTTTTGTCACAACCTGCTTTCCCTTTTCCAGCAAAAAATGACAGGAAAAAAAATGTAGAACAGAAAAAATTCCAGAGACTATTAGAGTGATCATCTCATTTTCCAGATGTAAAAAACTAAAATCTTGAGAGATGACACAACTTCATAAGGATCACCGTGAGAGTCCCTGGCCTATGTTAAATCAACCAGCCATTTGTGACAGTAAGAAATCCAGGCAACCAAAACCTTATTACCTTTGTGAAAGGTACTATAGTGCCATATTTGCTGTGGGGCCTGTAGTAAATATTTATTAATTTCAATTAGAACAAATGTGTGAGGGGTACACGTTCCATTCTAAGTGTCGTTTCACTTAACAACAACATTCATGGTGACCTTTGTCTCATTGTGTAAGTTATGCCAAGACTTTATACATGTGTTGTTTAAAAATTTTTGTTAGTTTTATATGTCCTAGTTTCCAGCCCTTTCCAAGTAAATTTAAAAGTAAAACAAGAAACTGATTATACACTTGGCCAATATGGAAAATAGTGCGGTTCTGTGATTACATTTTTTTAAACATCTGTATTATGTATGTTCTTTGGAGCCAATCCATTTTATCAGTTAATTACATAAGTAGGGCATTTTTTATAACATATTATGCACTTCTTAGAATGGGATGGCTTCTTGAAAGCCATTCTGGTCTATCATATAATTAAGTAATTAAGCTTGATGCTCAATAAAGAAAATACCCTTTGAATAATTAGTGAAAAAGAGGGACTATAAGCAGTGTGCAATATGTTTTCTTTCACAAACTTGTTACTGAAAACATAATGTATCATGGTAATACACATCCTTGATTAGCATAATATGAAAATGATGGAACAGTATTTTTTACTATAATGAAAACATCAAGAACAATTTACTCACATATAAATATAATTTCCACATAGTAAAATCTAGACTCATTTGATTGCTAAGCAAAGAAAGGTGAGTTGTTATTAAGATAGTATAAAAATATGCTTATATTTTAAAAAGAAACTAAACAAAGGGTAAAATTCACTCAGAAACAGATTATAATCTTGATGTTACCTTGTTTTCTTTGTAGGCCTCATTTTAAGTTTATTTTAATTAAAAAATTTATTTTAGGTGCAACAAATAGATTAGTTATACTTTAAGACTTTGTTCAAAAATTGTATCATTTTAAAATAAGTGAGTTTACAAGAAAATGAAGAAAATAAATAATGTAAAATAGTTATAAAGAACATCACAATTTTGTTTGAGCCTCAATTAGAATTAATTTTACAAATTATTACAACACAGATCAGAGAGTAGACTCATTTCTAAATATTAAGTTAAGTAAATTCCTAGATCATTTAATACCCCTTTAGTGGGAACCAATGATCCATTTTTGTAGCAGCACTTAGAAGAGACAAGGCTGCTGGCCACCCAGGGACAAGTGGCCTGGGACCTGAGCAGATCAATACTTGAGCTATAAACACATGCTTGGCATTCTAAAGACAGGACACACAGCTTGGGGAAATCATCAATACAATATGATGATTTCAGTAAAAGTCATGGGATATAGGAGAAGTTGATTAAATTATTGCTGGAGCTTAGCAGAGGCTTCAAGTAAGTGAAGAATGACTAAGAGGGTTCCAGGCAGGAAAAAAAAACAAATGGAAAGGACGTTGTAACAAGAAGGACAACACTTGTAAACACTCAGAACCATGATTAAAGCATTTTTATGATCAGGGAAATGCAAGTAATTTTATATTGCAGATATATTGAAGGGAAGTTGGAATTGAAGTTACCTGTGGCAGGAAATGAGGCAAGAATTCAAGCAGAATCTAAATCTTTGAAGACCTTTGTGTCTTACTAAGCAATGTGAACATTCTTCTCTACTTAATGGCAAGCTCTTAAATGGTTTTAAGCAAGAGATTTGAATGACCAGAAAGATAATATGAAAGTTCATTATAGCAGATGAAAAGGGGAACTGATTGGAAAAGGAAGAGGTCAGAGGTGCAAGACCTAAGTGCCAAAAAAATAAGTTAATTAAAAGAAATACTTAAGGCGTGGTGCTGTGGCTCAAGCCTGTAATCCCAGCACTTTGGGAGGCCGAGGTAGGTGGATCACCTGAGGTCGGGAGTTCTGGACCAGCCTGGCCAACATGATGAAACCCCTTCTCTACTAAAAATACAAAAATTAGCCGGGCGTGGTGGCACACACCTGTAATCCCAGCTACTCTAGAGGCTGAGACAGGAGAATCGCTTGAACCCTGTAGGCAGTGGTTGCAGTGAGCTGAGATCACTCCACTGCACCCTAGTTGAGGGGACAGAGTGAGACTCTGTCTCAAAAAAGAAAAAAAAAAAAAAGAAAAGAAGAAACACTTTAGACAAATTAAATTTAGCAGAGTTTACTTGACCAAGAAAAAATTCATAAATTGGGCAACACCCTAAATAGATAAAGTTTCAGAGTTCCACCCAGCAATGTGAGCACACAGTATTTATAGACAGAAAAACAAAGTGACATTCAGAAATACCTTAATTGATTGCAGTTCAGTGTTTGTCTTATTTGGGCGTGTTTGAACAGTTTGCAGCCTGTAATTGACTGAAAGCTCAGTTGCTATGATTGGTTGAGACTTGGTTACTTATTATAAGAACATATTCTCAAGTGTGGTTACAATTTGTTTGCATATTAAATTAGTTAGGTTATAGTTTGCTATATTCCAAAACAGATTTAGGCCAAACATATTTTAATTTAACAATTCAGAAGAGAAGGTCTAAACTGAAAAAAGTAGTAGTGGAAATCAGAGAGTAACTTCACCATTGCTAGGACTTGGGCAGATGAAATAAAAGAGAACGAGTGTGGTGGTCAGCTTCCAAGATAGCCTCCAGTGATTCCCGGTCTCCTGGATTTTATAGCTTTGTATAGTTTCCTGTAATGTTGGACTAGATTTGTTCTCTGTGACAAATAGAATACAGAGGAATTGATGGTATGTCCCTTTTGAGATTAAATATAAAAGATATTGCATCTTCCTTTTGGGGTATACAATCTCTCTCTTTTGGATCATTTCCTCTTGGAGAAACTAGCTATATGTGCTGAGAAGCCCTGTGGAGAGGCCCATGCCAACAATATGCATAAGCCATCTTGGGCACAGCTTCTCCAACCTCATTCAAGCAATCAGATGGCTGAGGTCTCAGCTAATAGTTCCACTGCAACTTCATGAAGCACCCTGAGGCAGCACCACACAGCTCTAGAATATTATTTACTATATTTTAATCTTCCAAGCTTTGAAGTATTTTTTAATTCAGTAGAATAACTAATATAAAGGGGAATAAAAAATGACGCCCAGGCCAGTTGCAGTGGCTCATGCCTGTAATCCCAGCACTTTGGGAGGCTGATGCGGGCGGATCACGAGGTCAAGACTTTGAGACCAACCTGACCAATATGGTGAACCCCGTCTCTAATAAAAATACAAAAAAATTAGCCGGGCGTGGTGGCATGTGCCTGTAGTCCCAGCTACTCGGGAGGCTGAGGCAGGAGAATCGCTTGAACCCGGAAGGCAGAGGTTGCAGTGAGCCGAGATAGCACCACTGCACTCCAGCCTGGAATTAGAAAAAAAAAAAAAAAAAAAAGTAAGAAAAAGAAAAAGAAAGAAAGAAAAAAGAAAAAGAATGCCCAATTTTCTATTTTTTTTGCAACTAAGAAGATAACGGTGCCATGAGGAACTATATTTTAGAAAAGTTGGATGAACAATGGTCAAAGGCAGAAAAGTTGTCAGTTGAGAGATGTCTGTTGGTAGTTTCTCAATGGACAAGTAGAAAATACAGCACAAATAATAATATCAACTAAATATAATGATTTAGGTCAATGATAAGCAAGAAAGTGTGTTTGAGAAATTACTAAATTTACCCTAATATAGGTAGCTTAATTGAAGAACTGCAATCCAGTTGCTACTGAATATATTTTGAAGATGATAAGTCTGTAGCATCTCGCAACTATCGGCTGAATAATGCCTAATCTCATTGGCCTTAACTTACTTCCCCAGCATTACTTCCAGCTAACATTTCATACACACCCTATATTTTATTAAATGTATCTTGCTATTATCACACTCTCTGAAATAAATTCTCAATCTCAGTGTTTTTTTCGTATTGGGTTTCCTGATAACAACTAATTTTGCTAATCAAATTCTTTCTCTGTATTCTCAGTTCAAAAGTCATGTTCTTTGTTAAAACTTTCCTCAATACTTCCAAGAGAATTCGCTGTCTCTCCTTCGAACTGTCAAATTCAACATACGCTACAGGGATATTACATGTTACAAATGGAGTTACATAATAGTTACACTTATTTGTGCCTATCTGCAAATGGAATATAGGCTTTTGGGGTCATGGAATATTCATTTATTTTAAAACACTACAGAACCCAAGGGGATGTCTTGCATGCTCTAGATCTTATGCCTCCTAAACGAATAAATACATTACATGCCTTAGCTACACAAATATATGTCAGCTCACTTCAAAGTGGTGAGTTATTCCAGTAATAGAATTTCACTATAGAGAGGTTGTATCATACAGTTAATGTATTTTCTTGATTCTATAATTGCATTTAATCATATCTAACTTTCTTTAAATGTAGATAATTGTTACTGATAATATCAAGTAAGTCAGCAGCTCTAAGCCAAAGGAATACATTTTGATGCATTTATTATTTCTAGCACATGTGCAACATATTCAAAGAAGTTGTTCATGATTTTCACAACA
The DNA here is from genome assembly GCF_000001405.40 of Homo sapiens. Lineage (NCBI taxonomy): Eukaryota > Metazoa > Chordata > Mammalia > Primates > Hominidae > Homo > Homo sapiens. Next base: position 72,888,281 of record NC_000001.11, read on the forward strand.
GCTGAATTATTTATCTTGACAAACCCCTGAAATATGGGTATTCACTAAAATGTGGATTCTTAAATGTTATTTAAATGTCCTGAAAAATGTCATCCTGTGTTTCAGTCCTGTAGAAATATTATATCATTTATGAGGATGATTTGTTGTCACATTCATACAAAATAACTAAAGAAATTGCCAAATATCTCACAGTATATCTTGGCAATTTAATGTAGTGGTCAGGCTGACATGATGAGCTTATAAAACTTGCAGGGCTACTACATACATGCCAACCATCTGGGCTACTACATACATGCCAAATATCTGTTAATAACTTCTGACACACTTTCAGGTAAATTTATTTAAATTATAACATCCTCTAGCCTCTGTCACAGACTAAGTAGAAAATAAAGATAGAACCTCAAGAATCTTCACTATGCTAAAAAAGTGTATCATCAAACCTAAAGGAGTTTATGGAATCAGATTACAAATAGAGCCACTGTATTGCACAGACACAGAGAGTACCTTTCACATAATATAAAGATTGAATGGTATATTTTGAAGGTATACAAAGAAGGAGATATGTTAACAAGCCCAATTTTGGAACATAGTGTTTTAGCCTGATGTTATGCAAACCATTTGATTGCCAAAAAATTCATGAAGAATGTGTAACAACCATTAATTCTATTCTGATCTTCCATAAGATAGTAGTAATTATATGAAAGTGTACACTCTTGATAGTACTTTTTCACGTGTGCATGTTTAGATTGTATTCTGTTATTTTTTAAATTTATGTCCCTCAGTTTGTTTTCCTATGAATCACACAGCTAAAATAGCAAAATGTTAAAGTTAGAATATATGGTACCCCTGATCCAAGAGAGTGTTCTATCAATTTAACTTAGCTTCATTTCTGTTTATTTAATTAAAAGCCTTTGCAAGGTGCTACAGTTTTTCATTTGAGGAGAGATGGCAGTTAAAGGACTTCATTGTGTTTGTTTCTTCTGTTTTGAGAGAGTCAAGTGAAGACAGAGCATAAAAATATCCATGTAATTAGAATGTGTATAACTCATAGACTTGAGAAATACGTATTTTCTCTTTATTCCATTTTGTTTCATTGTGTATGTGTGTGTGTGTGTACATGGAGAAAGATAGAGACAATAGGCTCTTTTTCTAAAATACATATGTATAACTGAAGAGGGCATATGTTCTTTTGACAAAACTGACTTCAGTAGAGATGTTATTCATAAATTTGAGTGAAAATGAATACGGAGTGAATCAGGATCTATGCTCTTTTCTTTTACTGATGTCAAAAATAAAATTCCTAATTTTTAAATGATTTAACTTTGCCATAGTAAAGCTTGAAAATTATGGTTAAATTTCCTCATCTGCTGGAGTTTTAACCTTTCTTTGCATAGGCTTATGTACAATTAGAGATATTGAATTAATGCATCTGATATTTCTTCATATATTCCTGGGATTTGGGATTTGAGGAGTTTCATCTTTTTATTAGCCTTGAAGTTGGTTGTTTTATTTACTGTTAAGACACTGTGAATCTTTAGTAAAATGTTATTTGTTTTTGAAAGAAAATGTTCGTTTTATATTTGTCTTCAGTAATTCAGTAATTATTCCATATATATGAATTGCATTTACTATGCTCTTTTTCTACTTGGAGTATTTGAGCTTCATTTTCCCTTTCTGAACTTTTCTATAAAAACCATATCATTATGTATCTTTATTGTACAACCTCATATTCTTTGCTTTCCTATAAAGTATTGCTAGATATATAAAAGATAGATAGATTTTACAGCATTTTAAAAGAAACATCATTCAATATTAATTTTAATTGCTTAAAATTCTTCTGGACAATTAAAATATTATTTATTGACCCATCACTTTGTGAAGGTTTATTCTTCAACTCAAAATTGAGTACAATTGGATTATGATCTGATAAATCTGTTGTAAGAATATTACATTTTTCTGTCTTGAAGATTCTCCCCGGGCAGTAAACAATAATCAATTCCAGTGTGTCATTTATTTATTACAGGGAATATGTAAAGTCTTTTTCATTAAGATGTGTTCAATCCTCATGGTTCACGTTGCAATATAAAATTATATTTTAGTTGATTATAAGTTGATATGTGTTTCATTATGATATATCAATCTTCATAAATGACTAATGCACAAAAACAAATTTAAATTTGCAAAGTTACTATCATGTTTTTCTTTTCTTTAAGAAAATCTGAACATGTAATTATTTTCCTGTTGCACTTGATAAATGGCCTAAGTCAAAACAAATGCTTTAATAATTTCAAATATATAATATATACTGGAGTCATTATTCATAGTTAAATATATTTTTACTTCTGATAAACTTCTGGGCTTCTCAGAGTGACTAAAAGTAGTAAAAATTTTTGTTTACAGGATTGGAGAAAAACACATACTGACAACCCTAATTATAAATAGGTATCTTAAAGAATGAGCTGTTTGCATAAGACCCAACAAAGAAAGATGGACTTCGTGCCAGCTAATAATTTGATGTCATTTCTTATGTATTTGTCCATCCTATATTTCTTCATGAGCATTGCATGAGGAAAGAGAAAAGAAGAAGGGCCACTGGTAGTAGAACATTTTCTTTTCTTTACTGAGCTTGCTGTAAACTGAACTGTGTCCTCCCCAATTTCATATGTGGATATCCTAATCCCCAGTGTGACTGTATTCAGCAATAGGGCCCCTAAGGAAGTAACTAAGTTGAAATGAAGTCATAAGGGTAGGGCAGAGCCCTGGTCCTGAAGGATTAGTGTCCTTATAAGAAGAGACACAAGAGAGCTCTCTCTTGCCTCTCTCGGGTCTCTGTCTGTCTCTCTTTCTTTCTTTGCCACGTGACGACACAGCAAGAAGTTCCCAAATGCAAGTCAGGACGAGAGATCTCAACAGAACCCAATGGTGCTAGGGCCCTGATCTTGGATACTCAATTTCTCCAGAACTGAGAAAACAAATTTCTGTTGTTTAAGCAACCCAGTCTATGATACTTTGTTATGAAAGCCCAAGCTGATTAATAAAGGCCTTGAACAATTAGGTTCCTGCAAATTTATTAATACAATGGAATACATTTACCTTCTTCGGAAAGGTAGATCTAGAGCATTACTTGAGAGTGTTGTATAACCCCAAGGGATCCCTTATTGTATGTCTTCCAACAATATACTGCATTTTCCCTGTATTTGGTTTTCTCGATCCTAGTACACTTCCAGTGGTATTTAGCACCTTTTATTAGACTTGCATCTTAGGCCTTCTACCAGAATGGCAGACTTCTAATTCAGATTTTATTACTGTTATACATCTGTATAATTTATTACCAACTCTGGCACTATAGACCCCTTAATCACGACATTTAGCTTGTTGAATCAAACATTAAAAATGCTATCATCAGCTCCTGAACTACCCATACCAAATTTTAATGTTTAAATGATGATCTTCTGATCATAGGATAAATAAAACAAAAATAACACAATTATTATTTAATGAAAGCATACAATATTACTAATCTCTTGGTGCCATCCTGTTGATAAAGTGAAACATTCTTAAAGGCAAACAAAACCCATAATGACTTTGTATAACTACACAGTCATCTCTGATTATTTTTCCCTTTTTAAATTATGTCGTAATCACACTAAGTTCTGAGTGTCAAAAACTGTAAAAGTGAGTGAGTTTATTTGCAGCCCTTCTCATCAAGAAGAATGGTGTGTTTCCCCTTCCGTTGTATCTGTGTTGGTCTTGTGATTCGCTTTCACAAGTAGACTGCAACAAAACATTTGTGAGTACTGAACATGGGCCATAAGAAGCTTTGTATTCTAATATTCTTGATCTTGGAACTCAGCAAGCATTACGTGAGCAAGTCTGGGCTAGCTTGTTGAAGTATGAGTGATCATATGGAGAGAGGCCACAGATGCTTCAGCTTTCTCAAAGGCAGATGTCATAAAGGAATTAGCCTAAGCCAGTCCACAGGTGACCAACGACGCATTAGTGAATGTAGCCAAGATTAGTGAAGGTAAGCTGAAATCAGAAAAAGCATTCAGCTGAAAACCGCACAAATTGTTCACCTGCAAAATTCTGAGCAAAATGTTTATTCTTTTAAGCTACCAAATTTTGGAGTAGTTTGTCACAAAGCAAAATCTAACTATTATAGAATTATTTCCCTTTCTCAGATTACTCTCATCAAAGTACCCTCCCTCCCATTAATCTTCAGGGTTCAACACTGATGACCATTAAAGTCTAATATTTACCTCATACAATTTTCAGAAAGATAGTGTGGTTTGAATTGCTTGTGTAATCCTTAACAATCTCTGTACATAGTAATAACAGTCTCTGATTGGCAGGGTCTGTGACATGTTGCTCCAACAAAGGAAACAGTGATGATGATATACCATGACTAACAGATGAATCCAAACCACATGGAATAGAGGAATAGCTGTTTTCCAAAAAAAAATCGAGAAGTAATCATTCTAGAGAATGAAAGTTTGAAAGTAATCTGAGCTTTGGAAAGCATTAGCCTCTACAATCTATTTCTCTCTCTTCCCTGTGTGTGTATATGTCAGCCTGGGCATGCTTCTACATATCACACCCTAGACATATTTATATTTATCACATTTTATCTGCTTCTTATCTGTCTTCAGACAAAATTATCAATTCCTGGCAGATAGGGGCAATATTTTATTCATATCTATTCCCACAAAAATTAACACAGTGCCAGACACATTTTAGACAATCAGATATTTGTTGAATTAATAAATGAATTAATATGTCATAAGCTTTGCATACGTTGTATTTTATCTTCACAACCTTGCAAATTATTTGTTATTATTTTAGATGTGAAAAAGATATAAAATGAGTCAATACTTAAAAGTAAAAATCACCTGCAGAATCATGTATATATACATATATAGAGAGAGAGAGAGAGAGAGGGAGAGTCTTGCTGTGTCACCCAGGCTGGAGCACAGTGGCATTATCTCAGCTCACTGCAATCTCTGCCTCTCTGGTTCAAGTGACTCTCCTGCCTCAGTCTCCAAGTAGCTGGGACTACAGGCTAACTTTTATATTTTTAATAGCGATGGGGTTTCACCAGGTTGACCTGGCTGGTCTCGAACTCCTGAACTCAAGTTATCCACCCACCTCAGCCTTCCAAAGTGCTGGGATTACAGGCTTGAGCCACTGTGCCTGACCAAGAATCCTTAAAGGCACAAAATATTTACTATTAATTGAAAAAAAAAAAAGGATGTGGGAAAGTATACGCCATCTGCGAGGTGCTTGTATACGAGGTAAGGTATGTTGTTAAAGATGCCCACAGGTGAATATTATGCAATGATCACTCTCTGCTTCCGTCCTTAAGCATGATTAAAGCTAACCTGTGACATCATAGATAATAATATTAAACTCATTAAAATATTTATAAATAATGAAGGTAAAGTTTCCAGCCAGCCCAAGGCCTAAAAGTGATGATAATAAAAATGCTATCCCCCTTTTATTTATTTAAAATCACACTGATTTCCTTGTAAACTATACTTAGTAGCAGAATGTAGAAATATTTTATGGTCTAAATTATTTCTGTCAAAATAAGCTGGATTGAACAAAATCCTTCAATTTCACTGATTTACTCCCTCAGCAATTGAACATAATCACTGAACAATTCTTGGACTGATCTGGGACTAATGGGTAGCTGAAATGACTAATTCATAAGTTCTTCAGAAAATGGAATATGCATTGCCAATTTGTACAATATTTTCAAACTTAAAAGCTCTATGTCCAGTAGTTCTGCAGCCCTGATGTAGATAACTACATTTTTTTAAACTAAAGTCTTGATGTTTTTATTCAAGGAATAATGAGACACTAAAGCATCTTGGAGTTCACCAGTCAGAGTTCTAACCCAGTGCATTCTTGCCTTAAATTCCCTCAACCACATGCGTTATACAAGTTCTTTTTTAACATCTCATACAATTTTCAAATGTACAGAAAGGATTATACAGTGGAAACCCATACACCACTGCTTAAATTTTTCAGTTAACTTTTTTGCTATACCTTCTTTCTGATACATCCATTCTTTTATACATTATCCTATACATCCATTGTCCAATCATTTATCTTTGATAGATTTTTAGTTGCAAATAGTGTTACACTAAAGCCTTCAGCATGCATATAAGTAAATCCAGAATGTGACTTCTTTAAAATTCTTTATATTCTGTGATTATCAATAAATAATGAAACTTTACTTCTGTTTCCCAAATGCATCAAGCTTTGTGTGGACATGGGCCTGTGCATATGCTATGTTCTCTGGTTTGAAATTTGCATTCTTCACTCTCTCCTAGCCCTAAAACTCCAGCTTATCCTTCAAATGTCATCTCAAATTTCATTTCTTAAGACATCTTCCCTATGTCCTGAGTCTAAACTAGACACAGCCTACTATTCTGTGTCTGGACTTCTTGTTTTTTCAACTATGTATTTACTATTTGTTAGTTATTTGTTTTACATAGGATTTCCCCAGCAGATTATAAGCATAATAGTTCTCTGCTATAGACTTGTCACCTAGCTCAATGTCCAGCAGATTGTTCCTGAAACCTACTTGTCAATTAAATAGATGGAATATACAAACCATCCATCTACTAAGAGATTAATAACCAGAATATGTAAAGAGCTCAAACAACTTAACAGGGAAAAATTCAGTCATCTGCTTTTAAAATGTGCAAAAGATTTGAATAAACATTTCTCAAAAGAAGACATACAAATGGCAAACAGGCATATGAAAAAGTGCCCCACATCATTGATCATCAGAGAAATGCAAATAAAAACTACAGTGAGGTATCTGCTCACTCTAGTTAAAATGGCTTATATCCAAAAGACAGGCAATAATGAATGTTGGCAAGGATGTGGAGAAAAGGGAACCCTCATACGCTGTTGATGGAAATGTAAATTAGTATAGCCACTATGGAGAACAGTATGGAGGTTCCTCAAAAACACTAAAAATAGAACTACCATATGATCTAGATTCCCACTGCTAGGTATATACCCAAAAGAAAGCAAATCAGTATATTGAAGAGATACCTGCACTCTTGTGTTTACCACAGTGCTACTCACAATAGCCAAGATTTGGAAGCAACCTAAATATCCTTCAAAAGGTGAATGGATAAAGAAAACGTGGAATGTTTGCACAACAGAGTACTCTTCAGCCATAAAAATGAGATTCTGTTATTTGGAACAACATGGATGGAATAGGAGGTCATTATGTTAAGTGAAATAAGACAGGTACAGGAAGACAAACTTCACATGTTCTCACTTGTCAGAGCTAAAAATTAAAACAATTGAACTTGTGGACATAGAGAACAGAATGATGGTTACCAGAGACTGGAAAGGTTAGTGTGTTTGTGTGTGTGTGTTTGTGTGTGTGTGTGTGTGTGTGTGTGTGTGTGTGTGTGTGTATAGAAGGGGGGTTGGGGGAAATGGGGTTGGTTAATGGGTATAAAAATATATTTAGATACAATAAATAAGATCTAGTATTTGTTAGCACAACAGGGTGAGTACAGTCAATAATAATTTACTGTATATTTTAAAATAACTCAAAAAGTATAACTGGAATATTTGTAACACAAAGAAAGGATAAATGCTTGAGGGGATGGATACCCCTTTGACTCTGGTGTGATTACTACTCATCATGTGACTATATTAATATATCTCATGTACCTGGTAAATACATACATCTTATATGTACTCACAAAAATAAAAAAAAACATGGAAAATGATAAAAGTTGTAAGAAATGATAGATACATTCAAGAGTTATGTTAAAATGGTGAGTGCTATTATTAAGCAGAAAATTGCATTTCCCTGCATTTTTCAGGAGACGTGTGTGTGTGAGAGTGAGTGTGTATTTTTTTTTAACCGTTATTTGTTAGGGCCACACTCTCCTCTCATCTCTTGTCTCCCTGCTTTTCTCCACAGCTCCTCAAATATGTCTCTACAAAGGACTCTGTATCTATGTACAATCAAAGAGGGGAGGAAATAACAAAGCAAAACAAGAGAAACAATCTCAAATCTGAAAGAGAGAGAGAAAAAAAGGAAAATCCTCCTGTGAGCTGGCAGCAGCTCACTTGTCAAGTCTTCTGCAAAAGATTCCCAACAGAGTTAATATCTCAAAATTAATTCATCCACTTTTGGCAAATGAAATGCTGAGTCAATGCTGGCAGGGTATTTTAGTTGCTTTCCAAGTATTACTTTCAATAAATATACAGGAAAAAACAAGGAAGCCTAATCCAAACCTCTTTCAATATAGACATCTATCTTTTGATACTGAAGAAGTAGGCCTGTAATAAGTCTGGGGTGGTGGTTGCCAATATGATTGAAACATTTTCCATTAATTAAAATTTCAGGGGAAGGAAAAGATAAACACTTGGGGAAAGTGAAACGCTGTATCATTGGAGATTCAGAATACAGATTAGCATTGTAAGGAAATATGTTCATAAATTCTAACATTTTCCAACACTTTTGATCAAATAATTGACAAATATTTATTTGTTCAAATAACTGATCAAATAATCAAATATATTGATCAAAATATCAAAAATCAAATAATTTGATCAAGATATTTTGATCAAATAACTGGCATCTTTCTAGCAGTAACTTTTAATAGCCCATATTATTAGTTCATACTAAAAACTGATATGCATAGTTTACAACTCCATGAAACAGTTTGAGAAATGTTGTGCTTCTTAAGTTTTAACCCATTTGTATGCAGAATACTGATCTTAGAGTAAGGGTGTATTTACAAAATTATGAAAAATCTTTAACTGATTTTAAAAACAATGAGCATGTTCCCAATCTGAAGTCAATGAATTTATCAGAGATCTCGGTTCTTTTGGGCACTAGTGGAAGCTGCCACAATAATTTAGGATATTAATACTCTGGTACTTTGGCAGAAATGTCTTGTAGGCCCATATTGTCCCCCCTCCTCCCACTATCTACTTTGCATTACCACTTCACGTTGAAGTTTATACTGTAAAACATCCCTGTCATTTGGAAATTCATTTTAAGAGACTCAATTTCTGGGAAAAATAAATTCTTATTTCTCAAATACTATAATTCAAATTTCTTAGAGCATACAACTTTAGCTATAGTTAAAATAGAATATTCCAGGACTTTTTTTTATCTATGTTTCTACGAGAGTGACATTCTTCCTTTCACTGTCTAATATGTATATGATATTTTTAGGTAACGTATAAAAATATAAGTTCTAAGAAGTCTGTGGATTTTTTTAGGAAAGTCAATGATTTTTATCTTATACATATATGTATATACATAATAGGCAATATTTCCTGACAAATGTGGCAAAAACTTTTTAAGCAGGTATTACTAATTTATTAGTCCATTTCCAAAATGAAACAATTTTAGGGAAAATATATATTATCTTAGGCAATACACAAGGCATTGAGAATATTTTGTTTGGATAGTTCCTGGCAGGTATTGGAATTATGATGGTTTTTAATAAAGTGTGAATGATTCTAAAACTGTCATTATTGAAAATTACCATTATTATTTTCACACCATTCACTACCTCAATGATGTACAGCTTGTCAAAAGTTCTCCACTTAGGTTAAAATTAGTTGCATTTCAATTGAAGAGCTTTAAAGAAATTAGGATAAATGCATCCTATTATATGAAAGCACAAATTGCCCTTTTTTAGTAATAAGGTATTTTTATTCGTTATCTTACCATAAAAAATCTTATTTAAATAATGAATATTTTGGAAGGTGATAAAACAATTGAGTTCCACCTCTGTGGAAAAAAAGATAGTTTAGTACCAAAAAATCTAGAAATCATTTTTAAAAATCTTGAAACCCTTGCTAAAACTGTACACATTTATGATAATTTATATATATATTAATTTATACTTTCTGTCTATACTATATATGTTTTATATAACATAGGTACATACATCCTTTACTGTTTTACTGGAAGTAAAACAGTCCTTTACTTCCAGTAACAGCAGACCAAATGTCCCACTGAGAAAAACTGGAAAAGCTATATATATACATAAAGATTGTATTTTTGAATATATTTGGGAACAAACAAAATAATATTAATGCAATACTAAAAATAACCCTTAAGAAAGACAGCAACTTGGCTTTCAGTCATCTTAGTCCCTGATACTGTATTTAAGTTATTCTTGATTCCAAATACCAATAAGCATCACAAACAAACCAGTTTTTGAGAAAGACAACATAATCTTAGCTGACGAACTATTTTTTAACATGATTTTGCATTTATAATGACTAGCAAATAAGCAAACAAACAACAAAAATGCAGTCACATGAAGAGTCAAGGCAATATAAATGAGTAATAAAAGAAGCAAAACTAATAAAAAGAGACCACTGGGGTCTTGCCAGCAATTAATCAATTTTATTAGTCTTTGTTCCAAAGAACCAACTTTGAATCTACAATCAAAATATTTTCATTAAGAAAACTCTATACCTGAGGGAGGAGCCAAGATGGCCGAATAGGAACAGCTCCGGTCTACAGCTCCCAGCGTGAGCGACGCAGAAGACGGGTGATTTCTGCATTTCAATCTGAGGTACCGGGTTCATCTCACTAGGAAGTGCCAGACAGTGGGCACAGGTCAGTGGGTGCGCGCACCGTGCGCGAGCCGAAGCAGGGCGAGGCATTGCCTCACTTGGGAAGTGCAAGGGGTCAGGGAGTTCCCTTTCCTAGTCAAAGAAAGGGGTGACGGACGCACCTGGAAAATCGGGTCACTCCCACGCGAATACTGCGCTTTTCCAACCAGCTTAAAAAACGGCGCACCACGACATTATATCGCACCTGGCTTGGAGGGTCCTACGCCCACGGAGTCTTGCTGATTGCTAGCACAGCAGTCTGAGATCAAACTGCAAGGCGGCAGCGAGGCTGGGGGAGGGGCGCCCGCCATTGCCCAGGCTTGCTAAGGTAAACAAAGCAGCCAGGAAGCTCCAACTGGGTGGAGCCCACCACAGCTCAAGGAGGCCTGCCTGCCTCTGTAGGCTCCACCTCTGGGGGCAGGGCACAGACAAACAAAAAGACAGCAGTAACCTCTGCAGACTTAAATGTCCCTGTCTGACAGCTTTGAAGACAGCAGTGGTTCTCCCAGCACACAGCTGGAGATCTGAGAACGGGCAGACTGCCTCCTCAAGTGGTTCCCTGACCCCTGACCCCCGAGCAGCCTAACTGGGAGGCACCCCCTAGCAGGGGCACACTGACATCTCACACGGCAGGGTATTCCAACAGACCTGCAGCTGAGGGTCCTGTCTGTTAGAAGGAAAACTAACAAACAGAAAGAACATCCACACCAAAAACCCATCTGTACATCACCATCATCAAAGACCAAAAGTAGATAAAACCACAAAGATAGGGAAAAAACAGAACAGAAAAACTGGAAACTCTAAAAAGCAGAGTGCCTCTCCTCCTCCAAAGGAACGCAGTTCCTCACCAGCAACAGAACAAAGCTGGATGGAGAATGACTTTGACGAGCTAAGAGAAGAAGGCTTCAGACGATCAAATTACTCTGAGCTATGGGAGGACATTCAAACCAAAGGCAAAGAAGTTGAAAACTTTGAAAAAAATTTAGAAGAATGTATAACTAGAATAACCAATACAGAGAAGTGCTTAAAGGAGCTGATGGAGCTGAAAACCAAAGCTTGAGAACTACGTGAAGAATGCAGAAGCCTCAGGAGCTGATGCGATCAACTGGAAGAAAGGGTATCAGCAATGGAAGATGAAATGAATGAAATGAAGCGAGATGGGAAGTTTAGAGAAAAAAGAATAAAAAGAAATGAGCAAAGCCTCCAAAAAATATGGGACTATGTGAAAAGACCAAATCTACCTCTGATTGGTGTACCTGAAAGTGATGGGGAGAATGGAACCAAGTTGGAAAACACTCTGCAGGATATTAGCCAGGAGAACTTCCCCAATCTAGCAAGGCAGGCCAACGTTCAGATTCAGGAAATACAGAGAACGCCACAAAGATACTCCTCGAGAAGAGCAACTCCAAGACACATAATTGTCAGATTCACTACAGTTGAAATGAAGGAAAAAATGTTAAGGGCAGCCAGAGAGAAAGGTCAGGTTACCCTCAAAGGGAAGACCATCAGACTAACAGCATATCTCTCAGCAGAAACCCTACAAGCCAGAAGAGAGTGGGGACCAATATTCAACATTCTTTTTTTTTTTTTTTGAGACGGAGTCTCGCTCTGTCGCCCAGGCTGGAGTGTCGCCCAGGCGGGATCTCGGCTCACTGCAAGCTCCGCCTCCCAGGTTCACGCCATTCTCCTGCCTCAGCCTCCCAAGTAGCTGGGACTACAGGCACCCGCCACTACGCCTGGCTAATTTTTTGTATTTTTAGTAGAGACGGGGTTTCACCGTTTTAGCCGGGATGGTCTCGATCTCCTGACCTCGTGATCCGCCCGCCTCGGCCTCCCAAAGTGCTGGGATTACAGGTGTGAGCCACAGCGCCTGGCCAACATTCTTAAAGAAAAGAATTTTCAACCCAGAATTTCATATCCAGCCAAACTAAGCTTCGTAAGCGAAGGAGAAATAAAATACTTTACAGACAAGCAAATGCTGAGAGATTTTGTCACCACCAGGCCTGCCCTAAAAGAGCTCCGGAAGGAAGTGCTAAACATGGAAAGGAACAACCCGTACCAGCCGCTGCAAAATCATGCCAAAATGTAAAGACCATCGAGACTAGGAAGAAACTGCATCAACTAACGAGCAAAATAACCAGCTAACATCATAATGACAGGATCAAATTCACACATAACAATATTAACTTTAAATGTAAATGGACTAAATGCTCCAATTAAAAGACACAGACTGGCAAATTGGATAAAGAGTCAAGACCCATCAGTGTGCTGTATTCAGGAAACCCATCTCACGTGCAGAGACACACATAGGCTCAAAATAAAAGGATGGAGGAAGATCTACCAAGCAAATGGAAAACAAAAAAAGGCAGGGGTTGCAATCCTAGTCTCTGATAAAACAGACTTTAAACCAACAAAGATCAAAAGAGACAAGGCCATTACATAATGGTAAAGGGATCAATTCAACAAGAAGAGCTAACTATCCTAAATATATATGCATCCAATACAGGAGCACCCAGATTCATAAAGCAAGTCCTGAGTGACCTACAAAGAGACTTAGACTCCCACACATTAATAATGGGAGACTTTAACACCCCACTGTCAACATTAGACAGATCAACGAGACAGAAAGTCAACTAGGATACCCAGGAATTGAACTCAGCTCTGCACCAAGCGGACCTAATAGACATCTACAGAACTCTCCACCCCAAATCAACAGAATATACCTTTTTTTCAGCACCACACCACACCTATTCCAAAATTGACCACATACTTGGAAGTAAAGCTCTCCTCAGCAAATGTAAAAGAACAGAGATTATAACAAACTATCTCTCAGACCACAGTGCAATCAAACTAGAACTCAGGATTAAGAATCTCACTCAAAACCGCTCAACTTCATGGAAAGTGAACAACCTGCTCCTGAATGACTACTGGGTACATAATGAAATGAAGGCAGAAATAAAGATGTTCTTTGAAACCAACGAGAACAAAGACAGAACATACCAGAATCTCTGGGACGCATTCAAAGCAGTGTAGAGGGAAATTTATAGCACTAAATGCCCACAGGAGAAAGCAGGAAAGATCCAAAATTGACAACCTAACATCACAATTAAAAGAACTAGAAAAGCAAGAGCAAACACATTCAAAAGCTAGCAGAAGGCAAGAAATAACTAAAATCAGAGCAGAACTGAAGGAAATAGAGACACAAAAAACCCTTCAAAAAATTAATGAATCCAGGAGCTGGTTGTTTGAAAGGATCAACAAAATTGATAGACCGCTAGCAAGACTAATAAAGAAAAAAAGAGAGAAGAATCAAATAGACGCAATAAAAAATGATAAAGGGGATATCACCACCGATCCCACAGAAATACAAACTACCATCAGAGAATACTACAAACACCTCTACGCAAATAAACTAGAAAATCTAGAAGAAATGGATAAATTCCTTGACACATACACTCTCCCAAGACTAAACCAGGAAGAAATTGAATCTCTGAATAGACCAATAACAGGATCTGAAATTGTGGCAATAATCAATAGTTTACCAACCAAAAAGAGTCCAGGACCAGATGGATTCACAGCCGAATTCTACCAGAGGTACAAAGAGGAACTGGTACCATTCCTTCTGAAACTATTCCAATCAATAGAAAAAGAGGGAATCCTCCCTAACTCATTTTATGAGGCCAGCATCATTCTGATACCAAAGCTGGGCAGAGACACAACCAAAAAAGAGAATATTAGACCAATATCCTTGATGAACATTGGTGCAAAAATCCTCAATAAAATACTGGCAAAACGAATCCAGCAGCACATCAAAAAGCTTATCCACCATGATCAAGTGGGCTTTATCCCTGGGATGCAAGGCTGGTTCAATATATGCAAATCAATAAATGTAATCCAGCATATAAACAGAGCCAAAGACAAAAACCACATGATTATCTCAATAGATGCAGAAAAAGCCTTTGACAAAATTCAACAACCCTTCATGCTAAAAACTCTCAATAAATTAGGTATTGATGGGATGTATTTCAAAATAATAAGAGCTATCTATGACAAACCCACAGCCAATATCATACTGAATGGGCAAAAACTGGAAGCATTCCCTTTGAAAACTGGCACAAGACAGGGATGCCATCTCTCACCACTCCTATTCAACATAGTGTTGGAAGTTCTGGTCAGGGCAATTAGGCAGGAGAAGGAAATAAAGGGTATTCAATTAGGAAAAGAGGAAATCAAATTGTCCCCGTTTGCAGATGACATGATTGTATATCTAGAAAACCCCATTGTCTCAGCCCAAAATCTCCTTCAGCTTATAAGCAACTTCAGCAAAGTCTCAGGATACAAAATCAATGTACAAAAATCACAAGCATTCTTATACACCAACAACAGACAGAGAGCCAAATCATGAGTGAACTCCCATTCACAGTTGCTTCAAAAAGAATAAAATACCTAGGAATCCAACTTACAAGAGATGTGAAGGACCTCTTCAAGGAGAACTACAAACCACTGCTCAAGGAAATAAAAGAGGATACAAAGAAATGGAAGAACATTCCATGCTCATGGGTAGGAAGAATCAATATCGTGAAAATGGCCGTACTGCCCAAGGTAATTTACAGATTCAATGCCATCCCCATCAAACTACCAATGCCTTTCTTCACAGAATTGGAAAAAGCTACTTTAAAGTTCATATAGAACCAAAAAAGAGCCTGCATCGCCAAGTCAATCCTAAGTCAAAAGAACAAAGCTGGAGGCATCACACTACCTGACTTCAAACTATACTACAAGGCTACAGTAACCAATACAGCATGGTACTGGTACCAAAACAGAGATATAGATCAATGGAACAGAACAGAGCCCTCAGAAATAACGCCGCATATCTACAGCTATCTGATCTTTGACAAACCTGAGAAAAACAAGCAATGGGGAAAGGATTCCCTATTTAATAAATGGTGCTGGGAAAACTGGCTAGCCATATGTAGAAAGCGAAACTGGATCCCTTCCTTACACCTTATACAAAAATCAATTCAAGATGGATTAAAGACTTAAACGTTAGACCTAAAACCATAAAAACCCTAGAAGAAAACCTAGGCATTACCATTCAAGAAATAGGCATGGGCAAGGACTTCATGTCTAAAACACCAAAAGCAACAGCAACAAAAGCCAAAATTGACAAATGGGATCTAATTAAACTCAAGAGCTTCTGCACAGCAAAAGAAACTACCATCAGAGTGAACAGGCAACCCAGAAAATGGGAGAAAATTTTCGCAACCTACTCATCTGACAAAGGGCTAATATCCAGAATCTACAATGAACTCAAACAAATTTACAAGAAAAAAACAAACAACCCCATCAAAAAGTGGGCAAAGGACATGAACAAACACTTCTCAAAAGAAGACATTTGTGCAGCCAAAAAACCCATGAAAAAATGCTCACCATCACTGGCCATCAGAGAAATGCAAATCAAAACCACAATGAGATATCATCTCACACCAGTTAGAATGGCAATCATTAAAAAGTCAGGAAACAACAGGTGCTGGAGAGGATGTGGAGAAATAGGAACACTTTTACACTGTTGGTGGGACTGTAAACTAGTTCAACCATTGTGGAAGTCAGTGTGGCAATTCCTCAGGGATCTAGAATTAGAAATACCATTTGACCCAGCCATCCCATTACTGGGTATATACCCGAAGGACTATAAATCATGCTGCTATAAAGACACATGCACACGTATGTTTATTGCGGCATTATTCACAATAGCAAAGACTTGGAACCAACCCAAATGTCCAACAATGACAGACTGGATTAAGAAAATGTGGCACATATACACCATGGAATAGTATGCAGCCATAAAAAATGATGAGTTCATGTCCTTTGTGGGGACATGGATGAAACTGAAAATCATCATTCTCAGTAAACTATAGCAAGAACAAAAAACCAAACACCGCATATTGTCACTCATAGGTGGGAATTGAACAATAAGATCACATGGACACAGGAAGGGGAATATCACACTCTGGGGACTGTTGTGAGGTGGGGGAGGGGGGAGGGATAGCATTGGGAGATATACCTAATGCTAGATGACGAGTTAGTGGGTGCAGCTCACCAGCATAGCACATGTATATATATGTAACTAACCTGCACAATGTGCACATGTACCCTAAAACTTAAAGTATAATAAAAAATAAAAAAAAAAGAAAACTCTATACCTGGATGTCTATACCAGTGAATTATACCAATATTTAAGGAAGACAAATTATACAAAGTCTTCTAGAGTAAAGAACAAAAAAAAAATGTATCCCCAAACATACTCTGTGAGCTAGGTATAACCTTGATAACAATAACCTAACAAGAATTTTAGGAGAATGGAAAATTGTAGGTTGTTCGTACTTATAAACATAGATGTAAAACCTTTTTAAAAAGTCAAAGTCAACAGAATTAATCTGGAATGTATAAAAATAATAGTACATCACAGAAAAATTGAAATTATTACACGGATTTAAGGCAGGTTCTATGTTAAATATCAATCAATGCAATACACATTTACATCATAAAGGAGAAAAAAATTGATTATTTCCATTGGTTTAGAAAAATATGAAACAAAGTTATAAACCAATTCATAATAAACACCCTCAGAAAACTTCTTTCTATGGAAATTCTGAGGGAACTTTCTTTTATTCACAATTATAGCAAGGGTATTAAAATTATAGCAAAGCCATATTTATGTTAAAGTAGTGAAAAGTTTTTTTCTGTGATAACAGAAACTAAACAAGAATGTCTGCTGTTACCTAACAAATATCATTTTATTAAAAATGTAATTACGAGCCATCCTACCAGACTAAATTTGTTATATTTCAATGGTTTCAACATGAACTGTGAACAACTGATGGCAGAAAAGATGGTACACAATTAGCTTTGTAATGAAGAACATTTTTGCACTTATATTAAAGAAAATTGATAAGAAGCTTCATGTATTCTTGAATTTAGTGAGTCATTGATTAATTTTTTTATTTTGCTTTCGATCTTTCAAATTTTATACAATTATTAAACACTCAAATTTTCTAATAAAATATTTGTAGCTATCAAAAGAGTATAAATATTCTCCCAATTTCGCATAATACTATATGACATAAAATACTTTTAATTAAATAAAAAGTCCATAATCTTAGCATCTGGTACATAGAAAATTTCCATTCATAACATAATCAGGAGTTTCTCTGTACCAACACTTCTTGCTTAGAAAGTGTGCTAATTCAATCAATAATTACTAATTGAGTCTATTCTGTGGATTATAGTCCCTTCTCTTAAGAAGACAGCACTCATAAAGGGAGAAAAGTGTGAAAAGTACAAACATAACAGTAATATAACATAGAAAATGAAAAGCGCTATTAGAAAGGAACAGAGAAAGGGGCACATATGTTCAGAACAATGAGAGATTTCATTAGGTAAAGAGATGAGTCAGAGCTGGTTACAAATGCCATGTTTAATATCTATTGAATATATCCTTTACAATTCTTACTCTGCTTAGTGGAAGTTGGAGTAAGATGGTCTTTATCAACAATTCATGAAAATTCAAAATTTGTCTTTTCCTTGATCTATGATATCTAATAATGTATTTTCTCTCAGATAAATAGTATGCTCCGCTAGATGTGAAATACGTGTTTCAGAAAGGTTGTACATAAAGTATGGTTTCATTACATTATAATTTAAAAGCTTTAAAATATTTTCAGTGTTGTTTTGGGACCCTGTCAGGGACTATTTTCAGTAGGCAAGAGGGAAGTACTCGTCGGCAGGGCTCCCTGTAGACCTCTTCCTTCACAGGAGAGAACTACTCAAATTTCATCGCTTTTACATATCCAATAGTCTTCATAAAATTTTACTTTCATTTTGGACAACAGGTTTTCTGGTCAAAAAAAAAAAAATGAAAGAAAGAAAAATAAATTAAAAGCCCCCAAAACGTGCAGTCTATTCACTTGCTACTTATAGAAACACTGACTATCTTAATTGCAAAAAAATGGACACTTGTCATCAGTGTGCTTTTGGGGGTTTCATTTGAAGTTCCTCTTGAATGCCAGTACTTGGAATCCTGCCTTACCTTCCCAATACTACTAAAATATCTGTCATTAATCTCCTACTTTCAGAATATGTGCACTTCATCATTCATGCATTCAACAAAAAGGTATTTATATCTACTATTTGGCAGATACAGGTAATACATTGGTGGGGCAAAAAAGACACTCCCTGGTAACTTTCTCCCTGATTTCAAACACTTCTTTTCAAACTAAAACTTCAATCTCTGCTGCTGGCCATACCTGACTGTGACTTCTTACCTCATTTTTCTTGCCTTATTGTTTTTATTTACTTCAACCTCTCACATCAGCCTTTCTCATTGTCTGTGATGAAGACTTTTTGGCTGCCCTAGACACACCAGGTCTTATTACTGTCTCCATCCTTAAGATGGAGACTATTGTTCTTACAATAATCTGTTTCTACATCTCCCCCACCATTAAAACATTTTTTAAAGATTTGCCAAAACTCAAGTTCTACTTCTTCACTTTACTTTTTCCTTTAGCCACTCCAATAAAATGCTAATAAATAAATCACTTTGGTCAAATCTTCTGCTCAAATCTGCCAATTTCATCTTGAAAAACCCAACAGATAATAATTTCTGATATTAGTTAACCATTAGTTAACCTCTCTTCAGCATTTTCATTGTCAATCATTCATTTTTCAAGAGACACTTTTTTCAACTTCCCTTTAGAATACTACCATCTTGAAATGTTTTTCCTACCTTGCTACCCACCTTCAGTGTACTTTCCTGGATGGGCACTCCTCAACACCTCAATAGTGGAGAGTCTCCATGCTCAGTCTTATTCCTGTTCCCCTTTATATCTGTATTAAAAAATTTGGTGATCTCCCCTAGTCCTATGGATTTAATACCATCTACAAATTGATTACTCAAAAATTCACATAAAGAAACAGACTGATCAGACTGATGTATAGAAGATTTAGCATGTTCAGGATAAAACTCTATATTTTCTCATCCATCCATACACACACACACACACACACACACATACACACACACACACCCTTGATCCTTTTTAAAGGTTCTGTAAGTGATAGCATATCACCCAGTTCTCAAGCTAAGACCTAGCAGTTACTGCTAATTTCTCTTTTCTCATAAAAGTCTCTTCAGTGAGTTGTTCTAACATAACCTCTCCCTCTTTTATTGCCCCACTCTACTCAGTTATTATGATTTATCATTATACACTGATCATTACCTGAAGTAATAGTAGAGTTTTAACGTTTACTTATTTATTTTTTTCTCCACCTTTAGAGTGCACCTGGAGGGCAAGGACATTGTCTGTATTTTCTGAAAGTATTCTCAGAACCTAGAAATTCTGGCATATTACAGGCACTGAATAAGTCTTCATCGAAGGAATAAATGTGTATGCAATGGAGATTTGAATATATAAGCATATAACTATGTAGGTACCATCTATTTTTCTGTTAATGTTTTCCCTACCCATCTGGTTGTCTCCCAACATTTGCAGAGTAAAATACCTCTTAATCCTTTGTCTGTACTAAAATAGGCTCTTTGAAGCTTTTTTGGATTTCTCCAGGAAGTTGTAGGTGCTTACACTGTTAGGATTCTACACCTTGCACAAATCTTTACTGCTGCAGTGATAGTGTGTGCTGCAATTTTGTGTTTTATATCTTTTTCACCTATAGTATATATGTTTTTCCAAGGCTCTGGCTTCTGCATCTGTGGATTCAACCAACAATGGGTCAAAAATATATTTAAAAAATGGATGGTTGCTCCTGTACTAAACATGTACGGACTATTGTTTCTCGTCATTACTCTTAAAACAATACAGTACAACAACTATTTAAATAGCTTTTAATGAATTTTTAAAAATATTTTTACTTTTAATGTTTCCTGAAGCTTGTTGTAATACTGTAACTCTGTCTTAGCACTAGTATTTCCCAGAAGTCACTAAAAGTCCCTGAAAGTCCAACTGACAGAAAAGATGAATTTGATTAAAAGGAAAAAAATACAGAATTCAGCATACTTGAACAGTATGCTGATGCATTTTTTTATCTTTCTTTTTTAAAATTATACTTTAAGTTCTGGGATACATGTGCAGAACGTGCAGGTTTGTTACATAGGTATACACGTGCTATGGTGAAACCACCATAGCTGCACTCATCAACCCATCATCTACATTAGGTTTTTCTCTTAATGCTATCCCTCCCCTAGCCCCAAACTCCGCCGACAGGCTATGGTGTGTGATGTTTCCCTCCCTGTGTCCATGTGTTCTCATTGTACAGCTCCCACTTACGAGTGAGAACATGTGGTGTCTGGTTTTCTGTTCCGGTGTTAGTTTGCTGAGAATGATGGTTTCCAGCTTCATGCCTGTCCCTGAAAAGGACATGAACTCATCCCCTTCTGTGGCTGCATAGTATTCCATGGTGTATATGTGCCACATTTTCTTAATCCAGTCTATAATTGATGGGCATTTGGGTTGCTTCCAAGTCTTTGCTACTATGAATAGTGCTGCAATAAACATACGTGTGCATGTGTCTTTATAGTAGAATGATTTATAATCCTTTGGGTAATGGGATTGCTGGGTCAAATGGTATTTCTGGTTCTAGATTCTTGAGGAATCACCACACCGTCTTCCACAATGGTTGAACTAATTTACACTCCCACCAACAGTGTAAAAGCGTTCCTATTTCTCCACAACCTTTCCAGCATCTGTCTTTTGTTGTTTCCTGTCTTTTTAATGATCACCATTCTAACTGGTGTGAGATGGTATCTTATTGTAGTTTTGATTTGTGTTTCTCTAATGACCAGTGATGATGAGATTTTTTTCATGTTTTTTGGCTGCATAAATGTTTTCTTTTGAGAAGTGTGTGTTCATATCATTCGCCCACTTTTTGATGGGGTTTTCTTTTCTTTCTTGTAAATTTGTTTAAGTTCCTTGTAGATTCTGAATATTAGCCCTTTGTCAGGTGGATAGATTGCAAAAATTTTCTCCCATTCTGTAGGTTGCCTGTTCACTCTGATGATAGTTTCTTTCTGCTGTGCAGAAGCTCTTTAGCTTAAGTAGATCCCATTTGTCAATTTTGGCTTTTGTTGCCACTGCTTTTGGTGTTTTAGTCATGAAGTCTTTGCCCATGCCTATGTTCTGAATGTCATTGCCTAGGTTTTCTTCTAGGGTTTTTATGGTTTTAGGTCTTATGTTTAAGCCTTTAATCTATCTTGAGTTAATTTTTGTATAAGGTATAAGGAAAGGGTCCAGTTTCAGTTTTCTGCATATGGCTAGCCAATTTTCCCAACACCATGTATTAAACAGGGGATTCTTTCCCCATTGCTTATTTTTGTCAGGTTTGTCAAAGATTAGATTGTTGTAGATGTGTGGCGTTATTTCTGAGGCATCTGTTCTGTTCCATTGGTCTATATGTCTGTATTGGTACCAGGACCATGCTGTTTTGGTTACTGTAGCCTTGTAGTATAGTTTGAAGTCAGGCAGCGTGATGCCTCCAGCTTTGTTCTTTTTGCTTAGGGTTGTCTTGGCTATATGAGCTCTTTTTTGGTTACATATGAAATTTAAAGTAGTTTTTTTTTTCTAATTCTGTGAAGAAAGTCAGTGGTAGCTTGATAGGGATACCATTGAATCTATATATTACTTTGGGCAGTACCCATTTTTACGATATTGATTCTTCCTTTCCATGAGCATGGAATGTTTTTCCATTTGTTTGTGTTCTCTCTTATTTCCTTGAAGAGTGGTTTGTAGTTTTCCTTGAAGAGGTCCTTATATAGATTTTACATCGTATTAGGTATAAGTAATATAGAGATGATTTAAAATATACTGGAGGTTATGCATAAGTTATATGCAAATACTATGCCATTTTATAAGACTTGAGCATCTGTGGATTTTGGTATTTGAAGCAATACCCTGTGAATACTGAAGGGTGACTGTATACATTTTTCTTCATTTTCCTGGCACATAAAAGACACTGATGAAAATATACATGATGAAGAAATGAGATTTAAAATGCTTTCTATTAAGATGTATTAGAGAGATACAACTGAAACTCATTCCACAGAGTTTATTTCTCAAGGAATTTAAATAATTTCTTTTCAATAGGCTCTGATGGACATATATTATTTTGCTCTGAAAGAAGCATTCAACATTACAATAAAGGGTTGTCCCTTACTCTGCTGAGAGAGATGTCTTCCTAGTTTCTAAATGCTAATTTCTGTCTAGAGATGATTTCTGAATAAGATAAAGTACTTAATACATGCTGGGGCAAAGCAATATGTGAAGAACTCGATTAAGTCTGAAAATAAGAATAGAGTTTTCCATTGGATTGATCTATTCTCCCAAAATGGAGAATTAAGCTGCTTGTATAATACTCATTGATAATTTGCCTATAGTTTCATAGGCATTTAACAACACAATAGGAACAATAAGACACTTATAAGATTATGTAAAATTTATATGAATGTATCCCCTCGTTAAAAAATACAGAATATAGAAGTCTATATCAAATGATGTGAAAACTTTAGTTATAGAGTAACGGGAACTAAATGATAAACAAGGTTTTAAGGAAAGGATGGCAGTGCTTCATTCCTTATATTTCTGTTAAAGGATATTTTAGTTTACTCAATGAATCTCTGTATTCTGCTCTACTATCTGTCCTCTAGAGAAGAGTTAGTTATAAAATTGGTAACATTGGGTATATATATATTTAAAAATATAAAAAATGGTGCAAATTTAGCTCAATTGACTCAATCTTCTGTATATTTCCTGCCACATTGATGAATAGACAGACAGTGAGCTCTTTACCCCCACAGAGTAAACATAGTTGTGTCTCAGCCCAGAATCTGCCTGTCAAAACAATCTGAAAGATTGCTTCCTTCTTGTCATTTTATTTTCTGACCTGGCAAGCTTAGAAGCTGGCTGGCAGTGGGTACCACATCGTTCCCGAAGAGACTCTACAGTCCCAACTTCCCTTACGTGTGGGAACCAAGTTCTGTTTTGTGTGAAAAGAAAGTGGGTAGCTGCAGAAAAAAATAGAAAGTTTAAGTTGTGTTTGTTGTCTATACTGATTTCCCCATTCCAACTTCACTAATAATAAAGCTATTACAATATTTTAGTCTTTATCTGGCTTCTTATGTCTCTTCTTATCGAACATCGTCTGAGAAACATGTCAGAATCTTGGTCTAAAGTCATGATTAGTTACTGACATTCTAAATAAAATAATTTGCAGTTACCAGATATAGGAGATGACAGTCATAGGACATAAAGTAACTAGCATTTAAGACAAAAGACAGGGTTCCAGAAGCCATAAATATGCCAACATAAGTGAGGCAGTCTAACACTGGAGAAAATATATAGCTACATTTTCACAGTGATAGAAAACACACCTAGAACCAGAACCAAAATTCTAGTATGAACCCAGAGCCCAGAGCCTCTTCCGGTCTCCATTTCCCCAAGTATAACCATTTTTCTCTGACTTTAACAGACTAGATTGGTATTTTGTTTTGTTTGGTGTCTTAAAGATGCTTCTTGGAATGTGACAATTATATGAAAATATATCTCACCCTTCTTGGGTTAAATTGATTTTGTTCAATGGATACAGATTAATTATCTTGGCTGTTTAATTTTGCAAAGCTTGCTCAGGTTCCACAGAAAAGCAAGAAAAATTTTGAATAATATGAAAACGATGTCTTCAAAACTACTAAAATACAACTAGGGGCGTATTTGCTTATAAATAATAGCATTGGATAGTAGAAAAAAATACTACCTTTGGAGTTCACAGACTAGAGAATGTTGTTCAAATTACTGCATCTTTGAACTTTAGTTTTACCATCCATTCCCTCAACAGATGTAATAATACAGATTATTGTGGGATTATTGTGAAGATTAAATGAGAAACCTATGTGAAAGCTCCTTGATTACTTTATTTATTCAGGGAGATTTATTTGAACTTAAATGTTATTTGATGTTGATGACTCCCATAAAATTTGTGATACACATTAGGAGAATGATTGTAGAAAATAAGTTATGGTTTCATGTATGAATTTGGTTGAATGTAACAATGATTTTCAAAAATTTAAAATATTCTTCACTAGAGAAAATTTTCTGATGTTAAATTACATACTGGGCATTTTCAGTATGGTTCTCTTGGTTTCCACAGAGTATAAATTTTAAAAGAATAAATAATTCCCGGGGTTTTTTATTTCAAGCTTTGTCTTCTGAAGTTCCTTTGATGAATATTGTATTTATAGGCTCTGATGGCAGCCAGTTTAAAATATAAGGTTTCTCTAACTGCCTCTTTCAACTGTTGCATTAGAAATGTTCAGAGAACTGGCAGCACAAAATAGCATGATTTGCATTCAATGCAGTATCTGCACAGTCAAACTTTCAAGTCTTAATGAAAGGTCATAAAATCTTACAGTACTGACCGAATAGATTTCCTAGAACACTAAATCCCTCATGAATTCTCCTGTACCACTTTAAACACAAGTTAAAATTGCAAATCATAAATACTGAATGCTTTTTTCCTTAATGTAAGTTCACTATTATAACCTTGTCTGGCAGAGATGCTCCACTTAAAGGTCTGCAACATTTTCATTATCAGCTCCATCTCTGAGGGGTTGGTAATGCACCTGTTTCTGTTTGTAATGGGTTGAAAATGCTTATACTGTTTTTTTTCTTTAAGTCGGCTGCTAGTGTAGCTCTTTCTGGGTCCTCAAAGCAAATAAAGTTTCTTTAGTTTTCAGTTGTCTTTTCCATTACTACCCAGTTAAAAATACAATTCTGGACTGAAACGTACTTTTCTGTTAATAAGTTTTATCTAGAGTTTTATTCTTCTAATATATTGGGTTGCTTCATTGTGTGTATATATATGTATGCATGTGCATATGTGTGTGTGTATGTGTATACATATGAACAAACAGTATTTCCTCAAAGCTTAATATTTTTGTGGTAGAAGAGATTTTAAAAAAGACTCCCATTAAGATGCATGAAATACCTCCACAAATTAAATTCCCTACTTGAGTGGGAAGAGGAGACTTCTAGTAGTATGAAGTGTGCTTGAAGCATACAAAATAATAAAATGTTCTAAATGATATTGCATTTTCACAGAAGCAATAGCTTCACTTGTTAATGAGACTATATAAAATACATTTTTGAATGAAGTGAAATATTAATAGGAAATCAGTTTTACTTCTGTGCTATGTTCATGTCTTTGCTAAAATGCACTTAGTCTCAGCAATGCCTCAGGATCCCAGGCTGGGTCCTCTATCTAAGAAACCTAAACCACTACAGTTACCAAGATATTTTGAGCTCTTCATCAACCTATTGACAAATATAACAGGAGAAAGATGCTGAATGGCCAACGAGGGGGCTCACTGGATGGCTGCATAGTCCCTGAGTTCATCTCTGAAGTATTGCATGATTGTGTAAAGATATTTGTTATCAGAGACAAAACCCATCATCCCATTTTCCATGCCTTCTTAAGTTCCTGGAAAAATTTACTAGAATAAAGAGAATAACTTTATTCTCAGAAACTTGGAAGGATTTACTGACCACCCACATTCACCCAGCCACGACAGTCAGGTAATGACCTCATCTAATACATATGAAAAGCAAACCCCAATATTATAATACATTCTTTCATCATCTCCTAATTCCACTAATTGCTGTCACCAGATAGCACACAGGTTAGGAGATTGTTTTTGATGTTACCCTGTCCAGACACTATTTCATTCTTTGATGTTCTAAGGTTGACAATATCACAAAATAAGCCACATTTAGAAGACTTAGGGCACCACACCATATACCATATATTTGAAGTTGTGTGGATTTAATATATTATGTAAAAAGCTTATAAAATACTGTATTCTTGATTAATTAACTCTAGGCAAATATTTTGCTAGATTTAAGAAAACAATATAAGTAGTTATTTTTGGAAAGAAACAAGTAGGATTAAATTAAATTTCATAGAAAATAAATTGATGCCTATTTTAGATAGTTTTACTTTGAGAGCAAAATGCCAAATTTCTATCAGGGTTGAGTTGTGCAAGAGCCAAAGTTTTCTGTCCAGGTGAATTTATGTCAATTATTTTTGAATATCTAATATTATTACTCTTAGGTCTCTACTATAACAGACCTCCATGACATATGTGTTTATAATAATGTGTTATATAGGTTTGTGCAAAAGTAATTGTGTTTTTACCATTAAAAGTAATGGCAAAACCCATAATCACTTTTGCATCAACCTAGTATATATATGTGTGTATACATTACATATATATATGATACACACACATACGTATGTATTTGAACTTGCCACAAAAAT
This sequence comes from Homo sapiens, assembly GCF_000001405.40. Taxonomy (NCBI): domain Eukaryota; kingdom Metazoa; phylum Chordata; class Mammalia; order Primates; family Hominidae; genus Homo; species Homo sapiens. The sequence continues at coordinate 72,915,281 of NC_000001.11, forward strand.
AAATAGCTCCTGAGCTTCCCTTGGAAGACATTCTGCAATCTAATGTCACTTGAAATCTTTTCCTTTATTTATCAAGTAACAACTTAATTATTCTTTCTATTTCTTTTACTGAAATGCTTGAAGCTCTAATAGATTCTGTCTTATCAATTCAGACGGAATAGTAACTGTGGTACAGAGTCAGAAAAGAAGCAATTGGATTTACCAGGGGCTCTTTTAAGACCTTTATTTACACACTAGGTAAATGTGAAAGGTCCTCATTGGGTCCCTTTAGTCCTATTTCCCTCCTCTACTTCTATCACTGGGACGGTAACGTTCTGACCCTGCAATCCACTTCTCTAGCTTAGGTAAGTTATTTCACTCATTTTCTCCATTACCAAGTTGTGCCAGTGCTTAATGCTGTGGTCAAGGGCATGCCTAACTGTCCTTTTCTACCTGAGTTGGAAGTGCTAGACACTTGTGATTACTCCTCCCTTCACAGTTAGGGTAATTTGCATTTTGGCTGGCTGCCCTGCCAGAGACGCAGGGCTGCTATGCTCAGCCATGAATAGAAGTTAGAGATCACTGGGCTAGTATAAAGGGCTTTCGTTCAGGAAGAAGCCTGGACCATGAATACACATTTTTATAAGATAAGCTTGGAATCTTTTGACATTGCGAGTTTTTTTTTTTTTTTTGGGGGGGGGGGAGGTGCGTGTGTGTGTGTGTGTGTGTGTGTGTGTGTGATGTGAGTATATATGACATGCCTTACTTAGTAAGTTGTAAGTCCATTGTAGGTACGACATGTAAAAATAAGTTAGCTGATCTCAATGGCCTTTCTCTTCCCTTTACCATCTTTCTTTGGTATTGTTTGTCTCATTACGGAGATCTAGAAGCCTTCCTCTTCCTTATAGCAGTAACACTGTCTTCTTCTGCTGGGCCGTGTGTATTTTTGACTAGTAGACTTTTGTTCTAATCTTTATTTTCTGTTCACGCTGATGCTATGAAATCTGGTCTGAGGTAGGTATTCCGTAGAAAAATCTAATAAAAAAACATTTTAAAATGTGTTAATACAATAAAATTAAATATTAATACATGCTTATATATAACTTAATAGGTGTTAGCTACCAAAAACAAGGCTTAAAATGATGATATACTTAGTTGAAAGATATCACTTTTCAAAGAATAAATGGGAGAAAAAAGGGTTAATCTAATCATTCAAATCAACTAAACATCATTTATTTCTTTACCTGTGTCATTCTGGGAGAATTTTCTTCTCTCCCTGCTAGTTCATCACTCCAACTCAAAATTGACTATTATCTTTATATGTATAGTAAATAAAATTTAGAAAGCTATGACTTTAACTTATTCGTATGACACCTAAAATCACATTATACATTTCCTAGTGTATGCATACCACAGCTTAAGAAACTTTCTTTTATTTATAATGTGGCCTATTGGCCCTCCAGGGAAAACAGGAAATCCAGGAAAAGGGATTTAAAAGAGGGCATTAGTTACAATCCTAACTGTACACACACACACACACACACATATGTACACACATACACACATACACCACGCAATTATATATATCAATTAAAGGAGAAAGCTAAAGATTAACAGTTAAAAAATCTGTTTATAAATTAGAAAAATATCATCAGACTGTAAAGAAAGGAGAAGAAATCAGTACAGAGTAGCATCACAGAGTTAAGTTAGCAGAATGTTCTAAGGTAGTTATAATCAACAGTTCCAAGAGACACTTAAAAATGAATGGCATATTTCACTTCACACAATGTCCTCCAGGTTCATCCATATTGTTGCAAATAACAAGATTTCCTTCTTTTTTAAGGCTTAATAGTATTCCATTGTGCATACAGACCTCATTTTTTACTCCATTCATCTGTTGATGGCTGTATCTTGGCTCTTGAGAATAATGCAGCAATGAACATGGGAGTGCAGGTATGTCTTCAACATGTTGATTTTATCTCCTTTGGATAAATATCTAGAAGTGAGATTTCTGGATCATACAATAGGTTAATTTTTACTTTTTTTTGAAACTTTTTTTATAATGTTTGTACTAATTTGCATTCTCACCAATAGAGTGCAAGCATTCTCTGTTTTCCACATTCTCTTCAACCTTTGTTATCTTTTTTCTTTTTAGTAATAGCCATTCTAACAGGTGCAAAGTGATATCTCCTTGTGATTTTAATTTGCATGTCTTTGATGATTGGTAATCATGCGCATGTTAAAAATATAACTGTTGGCTCCTTGTGTGTCTTCTTTCGAGAAATATCTATTCAGGTTCTTTGCCCATCTTTTAATCAGGCTATTTATTTTCTTACAATTGAGTTGTTTCAATTCCTTATATATTTTTGACATTAACCCCTTATTAGATATATAGTTTGCAAATATTTTCTCCCATAATGTAGGTTGTCTCTTCACTCTGCTAATTGTTTCCTTGGCTATCCAGAACCTTTTTAGTTTGATGTAGTCTACCTTGTCTATCTTTGTTTTTGCTGCTTGTGCTTTAGTGGGTTCATATCCAAAAAATTATTACCCAAATCAATGCTATAGAACTTTTTCTTTATGTTTTCTTCTAGAAGTTTTACTGTTTCAGGTCTTATATTTAATATGTGCTAAATGATCACTTTACTATATATTATTTCATTTATATTATGCTACATGAACTTAGCCAGGCATAAAAAGATTACAAAACTCATGATCTCACTTATATGTGGAATTTTAAAACATTTTACTCATAGTAGAGAGTAGAATGGTGGCTAGCAGGGGCTGGAGGGAGGGGAGGGGGATTAAAGAGATTTTGGTCAAAGGATATAAAATTTTAGTTAGGAAAAATAAGTTCAAGAGATCTATTGCGCAACACAGTGCTATAGTTTAATAAAAAATCTATTGCATCCTTGAAAATTGCTGAGTAGATACTAAGTGTCCTCATCATAAAAACTGGTAATATGTAAAGTAATGCATGTTAATTATCTTGGTTTAGCCATTCTGCAATGTATATGTATTTCAAAACAACATATTGTGCATTATAAATACATATCACTTTTATTTATTTGTAAATTAAATAGATAAATGAATTTTAAAAATGAATAGCAGCATTTTGTAGTGTTTAATATTATGGACTTTGACTTCAAACTAACATAGGCAGGTAAAGGATTATGAGACTGGAGAAGTGAACTACTGATCTGGTGATGAATTGATCATTGGCAATCCTTCAAAGCCTAGCATAAAGGGGAATAATGTACTAGTGGACCCTGGGTTAAAGTAGGCAAGAGTTGTATGCCACTTTACTAATAATAAAAGAGGAGGATAACAGAAGTTTAGATCACTACCATTTTCAAGGATACATGCATTTTTGAAGATGCGATTTCAAGGGTCTGCCCAAAGTATGTTTTACTGATGGACTTCTACACTGTCAGTTTTCAAATTTCATTTCATGGGCAACTTCTAAGTTATTATCGTGTTCGTTATCATTAATTCCTATCAGTGTGCAACTGGATCACATGGAGAACTTGTTAAAACTTAGATTGCTGTAATCCACCCATAAAGTTTATTATTCTGAAAATGTGAGGTTAGTCTGAGAATTTGCTTTACTACCAAGTTCCTAAGTCATGCTGCTTTGGGTACACGGACTGCACTTTATATATATCCAAAGACGCTATTATAAAGGGGCACTTATTTTTTGTCCATTGCCCTAGGTAAAGCTACAGATCATCTCAAATTCAGTTCAAGTGAGAACAAAACGGGAGAACAGGATCATTCAAATTATTATGCTGATGGAATGGACTGAAAATAAATACCATCTCACCTAACACTGAAATATAACTGACCATGCTGTGATAGGTATTGCATAATCGTTCATTTTTATGGGAAAAACTGCTGACCTGGACAATATACTTTTGCCAGATCGCACTGCTGAGGATTTTTTTCTAAGTACATAGATTTTGAAGCTCGTGATTGCTCATAATTTTCCCCTCTATATTTATTTGTAAAGATAGCAACTGGATTTTTAATAAAGAACAATCAAAATATATGAATGGATTTTTGGCCATTTTCTGAAACTTAGAAAAAGAGTTCATACATAAATAAGTGTTGTTGATATATTACATTAGTGATTCACTATGCCCTTTGTTTATATCAGAGTTTTTATTCTATGTATCTTGAATCAGGATTTATTCACATGTAATTGTTTTAAAACTTTAATGACATAAAATAAGAGATATTTTATGAAAAAAGAATCAGATTTTTTTATTTTGCAATTAATTTGGCTTTTTGTGTTAAACATGATTAGTGGAATATTTCAAGAAATAATGCATTTTTGATGGTTAAGGAGTAAATTATAGAGTTTCTGGGGGAAAACCACCTCCATCGCACACATTTGACCATTGAACAACACAGGTTTGAGCTGCATGAGTCCACTTACATGCAGATTTTTTTCAACCCTTAACAGGGATCAAAAATACAATATTCATGGAATGCCATGGCCCTGGAACTAGTCCCCGTCTGCGTATACTGAGGGGCAACTTTATTCTGACATGTTTACAACTTTTGGACCATTTGAATTGATAGATCTTCAAACGAGCAGGCAGAATAGAAAGAAAAGATAGCACAAGAAGTAAACATCGGGAAGTACTATGAACTTGGTGGTGGGTAAATGGATGTGTATTTTTTTTTTTTTCCGCAATCTCGGCTCACTGCAACCTCCCCCTCCCAGGTTCAAGTGATTCTCCTGCCTCAGCCTCCCGAGTGGTTGGGATTACAGGCGCCCACCACCACACCCGGCTAATGTTTGTATTTTTAGTAGAGATGGGATTTCGCCATGTAGGTCAGGCTGGTTGGAACTCCTGACCTCAGGTGATACGCCCACCTTGGCCTCCCAACGTGCCTGGCCTGGATGTGTATTTTATTGATCTTACTTATATGTTACATATGTTATAATGTTTTAGTATATATTCAATATTTAATTAAAAAAAGAATAAAATTAACAAGTCTTCTGCTTTCTTAAGTGGTAAGGCATATCCCAAGGCAGCCAATATTTTTAGACATGAAAGATTTGAAGATTTGAATCCCCTTAAGGCCCTTTCCTAACCATACATAATAAGTTCATTTTATGTTTTGAACTCACTAGTTGACTTTGCGTAAATCATTTGCTTCATAGTTGCTTCCTTTTCTTTGTCTGTAAAATAAAGGTTTGTATTAGATGATCTTTACATTCCTCACAATAATAACATAGTTTGTTTTTCTGATATTAGTGATTCTGAACTTGTATAGCTGTCATAAAGAGAAGCTGAAGAATTGGACAACAGCATTATGAAAATAAATTTTGAATGTTTTTGAATGTTATTAAGACAAGTTCTTACTTTTCTATCTTTAGATTCCAATCACTGGAATGTTTTCAGGCATCATATTTTTCCTATCGCATTTTTGTTTTTATGCTTATGTAGTAAGCTTTTCTAAAACATGATAGCTTTTTGAAAAGCAGAAAGGAAACTACACAATCTATGCATGTAATCGAATTGCATTCGTATCCCATAATTTTTTGGTATATGTGTTTTTGAGACAGGGTCTCACTCTGTCACCAAAGCTGGAGTGAAGTGGTGTGAATCGTGAGTCACTGAAGCCTCGACTTCCCTGGCTCAAGTGATCCTTTGCCTCAGCCTCCCAGGTAGCTGAGACCACACATGTGCACCACCAGGGGTGGCTAATTTTTTAATTTGCCGTTGAGGGAGAGTCTCACTCTGTTGCCCAGGCTGGTGTTGAACTCCAGGGCTCAAGTGATCCTCTCGCCTTGGCCTCCGAAAGCACTGCGATTACAGGCATGAGCTGCCACTCCTGGCTTCATTAATTTACAAACAACAAAAGAAAAAAACTTATCTATTCAGGAAACAAGACATTACATCAAATTATCTAACTGTTCTTCACATTCCCCTATAAACTAGGAACTAGGAAACTGTTAACAATAAATTGTATTTGAAGTAAGTTTTTTTTTTTTTTTGAGACAGAGTCTTGCACTGTGGTCCAGGCTGGAGTGCAATGGCGCGATCTCAGTTCACTGCAACCTCTGCCTCCTGGGTTCAAGCGATTCTCCTGCCTCAGTCGAATAGCTGGGATTACAGGTGCCCATCACCATGCCCGGCTAATTTTTTGTATTTTTAGTAGATACGAGGTTTCACTATGTTGGCCAGGCTGGTCTCGAACTCCCGACCTTGTGATCCACCCACCCCGGCCTCCCAAATGCTGGGATTACAGGCGTTAGCCACTGCACATGGCTGTAAATAATATGTTTTAGAAAAAATATTCATGGAAACAAATACAATGGGAAATGGAAAATAATATTTAACATATGTTCCTTATACTCTGGACATTCTGTGAGAGTTTTTTTTTAATAGAAAAGATACAAAGTTTGCAAAATATAAGGTTCCTGTTCTGCAGTCATAGTGGTACTTCAAACCCGTAAAAACCACAGTTGGAAAATTGACTTAATGGAGAAGTATCTTTGTTTAAGTTTGCAGAGAAAATTATATCATTATAGTATAATATTCCATAATTAGCATTAACATAATTAATATACATTAACAATATTTCAGAGAGAGGAAGTCATTTTTCAATAGTACCAACTGATTCAAACCAAGAAGTTTAAGTGACTCAGCCAGTTCTTGGCGGTAGAAGAGTTGAAATTTTACTCAGATGATTCCTTTCCCATTAGTTGACATTAGAGTTTCCATAGATATACTTAAAATCAATGCCTTTTAATTGGATTGTAAACTTCCTGTAGGAATATGTTGTTAGTTGTATTGCTCACTTTTGTTTATGTGTTTCATTTATTCCAGAAAAGTCATGTAGATATGAAAATAGCAGATAGATGAGGCTCAATAAAAGCCTGATAGATTCTGTTTTCACCACCTCCCCTTGCTTGACATATGCCTTCATCCTAATTGTGTTATCCTACCTGTACCAATAGTACAAATAAATTAACAATATTCAACATCTCAAACTTGATTTCACACTCCTTAGTGAGTTCTGTGAAATTTCCATGCTTCATCATTTACAGCTACTCACAAAAAGTATGTGTGAAATAACTGTCAAGCCACAGAGGCAAAACATGAAGAAGTAATAATTCATCTGTAAAAAAAATCTGTATATGGTATATGAGCACTGACAGAACTTTTTTTCTTGACATTCAATTCCAACACTATAGAATTCTGCATCTGTCTAAGAAACCAGAAAATGAGTAACACAGGGCTGCCAAAACAAAGTGATGCTATAATTATCGGGCCTTTTAAAACTTCCCCATATTTTTCCATACACTGACAATGGCTTATGCATAGTATAATCATGTCTTATCCAGTGAATTATATGTTTTTTCCCCTTTTAACTAAGTTTTTTTTAAGCAATCCTTTGTTAAACTTCAGCTTCAAAATAATTTTAAAATCTTATAATTTTTCACTTTCTATATATCCCTACACTTAACTCACTGACAAATACTAAGTATGCAACTGTAGACACAGTTTTCAAAAAAGAAACATAATTGACATAGTTATTTATGAGTTTTTCTGGTATACAATTCACACTCCCCTCAATAAAACAAGCACCCACTTTTCCATATGCTGCATTTTGGATAACTGTAAGAATGATATCTTACTTCAGGTACATTTACTGAACACTACTGTCAAAAAGAAAAGACTGAAAGCTTAATTCTAATTATTAATACAAATTTTTTCCATTCAATGTGAATTAAAGGAATTTCAATTCATCAAGAACTAATCACACTTCATTCTGTATTTTTTATTCTTCTTATGGTCAACACGTATGAAGCAGTTAAGGTGCATGATAATCGAAGTGCTGTTTGTGGTTGAATAAATTTAATACACTTGCTTCATCAGCACAGCATATGAGAAAGTCTCCTGGCATATTTAGCTTGATTGGTTAAGATATTACACTGGATTTCTGATATTACAGATTTCAAATACAATAGGGATGGAGTGAGGAATTGCTTTTATTCATCTCTTATATGACATAAAAATTGGCATGAAAATAACTTTCTTTTCAAAAACAAGCACAAATAAATAAACTGTAATCCAATCGTCATCATATTAATGGAAAAATAAATAAATATTCATTTCCTTTTATAAGAGGAGACTACCACAAACTTCTCAGGTATATTTGGGACTTCAAAAATAATCCAGTAATGTAATACAGGGAGTAGACAGTTTTTTCAGAAACCTCATATTTTAAAAAATCCAGCATATTCTAAATATTAGGTGGGCTATGAAGGTCTAATTTAATATGTATTTAGCAACCCATTATCTATCTCCATATCTCTTTGTAGAATTATATAAAGTCATATATTCAATTTTACTTTCTAGTCCTCCCATCAAAATATTTATATTCTATCCACTTCCATTGCTAATGCATACACAGACAAGTTTTACAAGAATTTTTGTCTTGTTAAAGGTAAGAGAACTAAATATAAAACAATGACAACAACACAAATAGAAAATACTTATTCTATATATAAACTTCTTAAAATGTTCATTTATATAGTTCATGTATGCTATTCTTCCTTCTGGATTAGATTTCCTTTGGAACAATGTATTTTACTTATTTGATTCCCAGAGTTTAATATGATATGATATGTGGCATATAGTAACAAAATAGAAGGCTTGTTTTTCTTTTTAAAATTATATTCAGAAAGAAGTATTTCATTCTTTCTTTCATCCTCATTTCTCACCATCTGCCCTGCTCCCCATTCTTTCATTAAAATAGAATAAAATATGGAAAATAATTAATATAATTATATCTTCAGATCAGAACCAACAAACTGGCATTTGATGTTCCTTAAGTAGAACAAAGAGCAATTGAATAATTATTAGTCAAACTATACATGAACATAAATACTAAGAGTAGAACATGACTTCCAATCCAATCTTAGGTACATTTTATGGCAATATAATGCCCAAACAATAGTTGATAGTTATTACAAATTACTGAGGCAAAAGTAGATGAATTAAAATATTTTTCTAGTTACCTAAACTTAGCAGCTTACTGTAAATCCAGAATTTTATAAACTGTATTAAAAATAAACTGACACACACATTTTCTCAGTCAAGGATTAATGAGATCTTAATAGAAGTTTTAAAACATCAACATACTTGATGTTTAAGAAACTTGGGGAGGAAGAAGAGGATAAATAAAGTGAGCACAGATTTTAAATTCTGTATACTTTTTTTTGGTAGAATGACATCAGCATTTTGAATGTATATTGTAACCACAATTCTTTTTAGGAATCCAATCAGTGAAACCATTTTTTTCTTATATCTAGATGTTTATCTAGCTGACTTACATGTTCCTTAGGTAAATATAAATGTACTACATAGCTTTTGAAATGTTTGCTACCAAGCAGTATTAAACTACTATATTTAAATACGATATTTAAATATGATATTTAATACCTTAATCTTAAAAAGACAATCAGTGAAAATTAAGTTTAATAATGTATAATCTGAGCAGCTAATTATACTGAGAATTTAGAAGTGCAGGCTTAAATGTGTGTGTGATATTGATCTGACACCTCAGGAATAGCTAATTAGATTACTCATAATTCCCTAGGAAATAAGTAAAGGGCACATGAGAATGGATATAGCTTTGGTTTAAACATGATTTTATTACGGTCTGGACATTTAAAAGTACTTAAAATGATGTAGAAAGGCAACTGGAAGTCATTTGACTCTTCCTCTCTAATTAAACCTGTCTGATATGGATTAGTGATCCATGAAATAGGGACAAGCTTAGTCCTTCTAATATTAGGAATCTTGACCATTTAATTGGTCCCCAGCATCTTATTACTGATGCTGTTTTCCAAAAGATCATGCCTTTCTACCAGGTGACAGTGATTTTTTTCATGTTGTTTGTGTATTATACTGTAGTAATGCCGTGTATTACTTTTTAAATCAAGACTGATTCTCCTATAGCTAAGAATTTTCAAGATATACCAATCTTTGTGTTTTCTGTCTACAAAATTTCAATGAGCACAGTAACAGAATGGCCTTATAAAATGCTTAGTATCCGCAGACTGAGCAAAGAAATCATAGGATTGTGGATGATTCAATCTGTGGGTGAGGCTGAATAGGGTCTGAACCTTGGCTACTAGCTCATTAAGTGTTTGACTTTGGACAATTCACTGACTGACCTTGCTTAATCAGAGTTTCCTCATTTATCCAATGTAGACAATGATAGTTACCTCATATGGTTTTTGTGTAGATTGGATAATATAAAATATTTGGCCTATTACTCTATAGCTGGTAAGTATTTAAATTACTCTGTTGATTGGTAATGTATTTTATTGTTAATAATTTTCCTAATGTATTTTATTGTTAACATGGGAATAATAATAAACCATTTGAGGACAGTTAGTAGCAGAAAGTGGCAGCACAGGGACTTAAATCCAGGCAGTCCTTGGTATTAAACACTATACTGTACTCTCTTACCTGGATCTATGGCACGAGGTTTCAATGAGGCTACTTTGGGCTGGACTTCCCTCCAGTGTTGCTGATGGTGTTGCCAGCACCCAACCTGTGGCCTATTACTCTAAAATGGCTCCCTTTCACTGCCATGGTGGCTGAAAATCCAGTGGTGCTCTCCCCTGCTGCTTCTAGCTGCCAGCCAAGTGCTCTAAAGAGAAAGCTTTTATCCACCTTGAAAGAAAGTAATTGTTATTTTTCTTATGGGTATTTGCAAAGATAAACACTCTTATGTATAAATCCTGACATTTTCTTGCTTACATTTTCATTGGTCACATTCTTAAATTTTGCATTCAAGAATATATACATTTTGAATGTTAATGAATGCTGGCAAATTATATTCTGAAAAGGCAATGCCAAATCTTACTATCACCAATAATAAATGAGAGAGCCTATTTCACCATACATTCACTAAAAACTGGATATTCTCAAAGTTTTTTGAAATTTTTCATCAACGTTATAGGTTTAAAAATGTGTTATTATAATAACTTGCAATGAGGTTGAAAACCTTAAATTTATTGGACATTTTCTCTTTTCTAAATTAATACATAAAAGTTAATGCATGTGACCTACATTACAGAATGCTTGGCATGTGTCTGGTTCTGTGCTAAGAAGATTTTGATATCCTACTGGGTCTTCAAAAATTTCGGGTATGGTATGTTATATTTTTACTCCCATTTTACTGATAATTTATAGAAAACTGATATAGTACACTCCAAGCCACACAACTAGCAAGAGTTGAAGCTAGATACAAATCCATATTTATAATCCAGCTACAGAAATGGTTCCACTTTCCAAGCTCTAACCACATATGCATATATCCCGTATCCATTTTCTTACGTGTCTTTTTGTCCTTGATTTAGCAATACAAAAAGAATTTGTTTGTTTATTCAACAAAAGGGAGTTAGATAAAGGTATTTTAGTTAAAGTCTCCCCAGCAGTTATTAAGTCCATTGACTGGGACCAGCAAAGATCACATACATTGAGAAACAAATCACCTCTCTCCCTGTGTGGGCCAACAGGAAATCAGAACATGGGAACTATAATCATACCTCTCGCAGGCCTTCTTCCCTATTCCTTAGGAATAATGGAGGAGCTCCAGAAACCTACCCCTTCCCAGACCCCAATACTCAGGCATGACTCTCCCCTTTGGACCCTTCAGGATTAATCACATTATGTCCTTTATTGTTGCTTGTATCTGCTACAAAAAAGTCAAGGATGATGCATCGTTTATTTCAAAATAACTAAAAGTAAATTTCACATGTTTCACTAGGAATAATGATGGGTAGGCAAGGTGATCGATATGTTGATTACCTCGATTCAATCATCCCACATTGTATACACATATTAAAACATTACATTGTACCCCATAAATGTATACAATTATTATTTGTCAAAAAATCTTAAATCCCACATTCCCAGCTCACCAACCATCCCCAATTTCTTACTCTTTCTCATCCTTCCAAAGTTCATAAAATTCTTCCACTCTGTATTCACAAATGCAGTTTATTATCAGTAAAATCTGCTATTCTTGAACTATTTCTGGAAATTCCCATTACTGTTTTGCTCTTGAGAAAAGTTGACTCTGCAGTAAGTACAAAGTGTTTTTTGCATCCTCTAAACTGGTAGCTTTTTTCTCTCCTCAAGCCTTTTACTCCTAGGCTGGAAGGAAGAAGATACCTTTGAGCCTCATTTCTGCTTTTGGACTATCCTCCTTCCATAACACCCTCCATATTTGTGTCTCATATCATCATATTATATGACCCACTACCTCCCATATCAGATGTCCTCTATCAACCCCAGTTCCCTTTGCCCTCTGTTCTCAATAATGCTCTATTTTTCATAATCACTTTTTCTAATATTACACATATCTGAATTCATAGCAATTTCACTATATCTGCAATTATCTTTTAACATATCGGCCTTTAAATTCTTAAACTCTCCGCATCAGAGATCTTATCTTCCACCCTATCAGGTGGAACTGCAATACTTCCATAATCTTAACTTAATGCATTCCCTGTCAGAGGACCACATTATTCATGCCATTCACTTTTAGCTAGCACCTGATCCAATCTAATAACCTCCAATCCATTAACCACAACACATTTTCATTGTTTCCCACTCCCTCGATGTCCCTACTTCCTTCCTTGCCCAGATTATTCTGCAGTTAATCATTATACTCACTCGTGTGCATACTCTCTCAATTATCCTGTACCCTTATCTAACTTCCTTACATTTGTTTAATAATGAAAATTCATCAGTTTAGTTATATTTAACACTCTGCCTCCCTGCTCCTTGTCTCTTTTCAGCCAATAACCTTAGTTTTCATTGCATTGAGATATGAATTCATTAGACTCTCATCCCCCCATAGAACTGACTACCAGCCTGCCCTTCTCTTACCATAGTCCAGGGTTCTCAACTTTGGAAAAACTGATATTTTGGGCTAGATAATTCTTTGTTGTGGGAGCTGGAGGATGTCCATCCCTGACCTTTATACTCAATGCCAGTAGAAACTCCCTCCCAGTTGTGACCATCAAACATGTCTCCGGACATTGCCAACTATTTTTGGCAAGGGAGGGTAGATGCTCTTTCTTGTTGAGAACTAATGTCATAGATGAATTTTCTGTAGTCCTAACTAAAACCAATTCCTTCCTTTGTTCTCTTATCTATTATTTTCTTCTTTCTCTTATATCATTTATTTTCCCTCTCATCTTCATAAGCATACAAATGTGTTTATTTCTCCCATTTTTTTAAAAAAAAGGAAAAAAATAATTCTCTTTATCTCACTTCCCTCTATTTTCGTATGTTTTGTTCTGCCATGAAGCTTAAAAAAAATAGAAAAAACTCCGACAACTATGTATTAGCTTTAGTAAAGCATGTGTAAGAAAGCCGAACATTTCAGAAGAATTGACTCACAGGAATTTTTTAAAAGCCAGGTTTACTGTTCAAAATTGGTAATGAACATTTCCTTTGTTATGATATTTGGGTTAGTTTTTGATTAATAGACCAGATTTTCATTTTTTAATTAGAAAAATGCCTAAATTGTTTATATTTTTATGGCTTTTCTCAGTATGAAATATTTTCAATATCTCTGTTTTTCATGTCTGTCTTGGAATGTAAAAGTTTTAGAAATGAAAAACCTTTTCATGATATGTGCTGTACTAAGCTTGTCACAACGTCTAAGGCTAAGGGAAAGATGCCAGATTTTCTTCTTAAAAACACAAGTTCTTAAAAGAATTGTCTCTACTTACAGTGTCTAATTCCTCTCCTTTCTTAGATTCATTGCAATCTGGTTTTTGACCCTACCAACACAAATAAACTGTTCTTGTTAGAGTCACAGATGACATCCACATGGCTAAATTCAATTGTCAGTTCTCAGTTCTCTTCCTACTACACTTATTAACAGAATGGGCACGGTTGATTCTCTGATGCATTTTCTCTGCACGCCTTTCATTGTACCACATTCACTACATTTTTATTCCTATTTCATTGATGGCTTTCAGGAAATTTTCTTTGCAGTCTGTTCTCATTTTTCTGCCTCTTGAATATAAGACTATTTTCAGGGCTTACCACTTGCTCTTCTTCTCTTTTCTATCTATACTCACTATTATGGTGGTCTTCTTTAGCATAGTGAATTTAAATATCAGTTATAGGCCATTAACCCCCAGATGTATTTCTCTAGCACAGATCTCTTTTACAGCCTCCAGATGTGTATATCCCACTCTTTTCTTGACATCTCTAGTTGAACTGATGCATCTAGTGCATTCCTTGAACTTATCATGTTCAAATCCAAACTCCTGATTTTTCAACACTCCAACTATAGTCTTCCCATCTCAGTTACTGACACCCCTCTTCTCCCAGTTATTAAAAAAAAATCTGGAGTCAATTTTAATACCTCTCTTTCCATTATATCAGGCATTACTCTCAAAATATTTGCAGAAACCAACCACATATTTCCACCTCCACTGTTATTACCTCGTTTGAGCTACCATTACCAATTACCCAGAATATATCAGCTATTAAATTGTGGTAGACTGCATTATTGTTTCTAATACATTCATATATTCACTGATCTTTCGTGTGAGAGTATTATTCAGTTGTTGATTTCAATTTGACTTGTATTCAGGGCCAGCTTCATGAGTGTGTGACCTTCACTTGGTTTAATACTCTGTTATTACCACCTTGAAATTCCTAATGGTTTTTGAACAAGCGATAATGTATTTTAATTTTGCATTGGGCTTCTCAAATAATGCAGCCAATCCTGCTTGCGGTGCCACTCGACGAAGGAGAAGAGTTGGCTAATAAAATTCATGGATAAGCCAGGTAGTATTTCCTGGGATCATCTTAAAGAGCAATTTGTGTAGTGCCTCCATTTATTTTCTTTCTTTTACTATAAGAATGATATGCTCAAGATATGAGCTGCCCTTTTATCCTGAATTTGAAAATGAAGGAGACCCAGGGTACTGAGCCATAGCTAATCCCAGCAAACAGCTAACTTAAATGAGCAATACATTTTTGTTATATAAGCACTGAGATTTTGGAGCTTGGCTATCTCAGCATAAGCTAGTTAATGCTGACCAATATAGAAATTTCCCTGCCTCATCCTTGCCTTACAGAGTTTGTTCCGTATACAGTAGTCAAAGTGATCCTGTTAACAGTGAGGAGAAATCATATCATTTCTCTCCTCAAAACTAGGTGACGACTACTCATTTCATGTAAATGAAGAGCCAAAGTTCTTGAAATGGCAAGTGTGATTTTCTTCCCCCAGACCCTTTACTTATTTGACTTAATCTCTTGCTATGCTCCCGCATTCTCACTGCACCCCAGACATATTACCTTCCTTGCTGTCCCGTGAAACAGTCAGGCTCACTTCCAATCTTAGACCTTTTCTCTAGCAGTCACATTTTTAGAATGCTCTTCCTCCAGATATTTGCAATGCTAACTTTCAAATTGTTGTTCAGGTCATATTTTTCTGATGAGGTAAACGCTGACTGCTCTAAATAATTTTGCATCCTCCAAACTAGTATATTGGATCCAGCTTTTATTCTTCTACTTTGTTTCCAATAGCACTTCTCATCTGTTAACATAATATTAATATATTGTAATGTATTATATATTTTTATGCATACACCATCTCCCTCCATTAGAACATAAGCTTCATAAGCACAGTGGTCTTTGTTTTTACTGTTTTCCAAGTGACTGAAATACTGCCTAGTACATAGTTAGTGCTCTATAGTAATTTATTAAATATTTGGAGATTCAAAAAGATACATTTGTGAATATGTTTTTATGAACACATTACTCTCTGCCTATATGCTTTTAAGTCTCTTGCTTGTTTTTTATCTCCTCACATTCTTTTGACCAAACCTTAAATCTGGTTAAAACTCATCCTATAATGGCTCAGTCACTGTACCCCAGTAGGTGAATGTTGCTGGAGAAAAACAATCATATTGAGTTGTTTCACCTTAAGTTTAGGACCACAAACAACTATCAGGCCCTTAATTCTGCCAGGCAGGTGTACTACATTTCCTTGTTCCATCCTTTCTCCCTTTCCCAGAAAAAAATCAATTGCCTTTTGTTTCCTTTATAGACATCCATCCTCTTATTTTTATTCTCACTCTTACTGAAATTCATTGCCTTCAAATTGGACTAAAAAATAGAAACACCCATAAGAGTACTTCTACAAACTTCAATAATTACATACACAGACACTTTTGCATTTCTGCTCACATACTATGCTTTCCCTCCAGTTGCACTGGATGAATTCTTCACACTCATGTCAGAAGCCAACGCTTCCAATTATCTAGTGAATACTATCCTTTGCTTCTTCAAGAATATCATTCTGGCATCCTCCCTCACCCCCTCTAGAATATAATCAGGCTTTCCCTCTCTAGGCGGTGATTTTCATTAGGATTCATAAACAATATAATTCTCTCAACTTAAAAGAAAAATAACCTATATCTCCAATCAGTTATTGTATCAATTTTCTACTTTTTCTTATTATGAAGATCCTTAGCAAAGTTGTCTGTCTTTGCTGCCACTAATTCCTCTCAAGGCAGAACTTTCCCTTACTACTCCACTATTCTATATTCACATTTAATGTGTACACACATATATTCAATACATTAATTAACGAAAATAAAATATACTATAAAGAAATCAAGATTCCCATCATAATATAAATGGGTAAAACTACTTACTAGGGGAGTAACATCAGTGAGTTGGAGAACTAGGAAGCTCCAGGCCCTTGTTCCTCCACAGAACATTAAAATATTACTAGAGACTGGCTAAAGTAACTTACAGAAGCTCTGGAAATCAGTCACAGATCTATAGCAACCAAATGAATGTCCAATTATGAAAAATTCACATTTAAAAGGAAATTGGGTGGCATTTTACAAACCCTGGCCCCACTTCCTCCCTTGTGAAGCATGATGTGGTTTGAAGGAAGTGTTGTTTCAGTCCCTAGTTCCTTTCTGAGAACCATAGAAAAGCAGAAAGAACTAATTAGTGACATTCAAGCCTGCCTATTGGCTGCGTGAGGAATTGGTCTATTGGGCATTAGACAGCCAAACCTGGCACATCTCGGATTATGGGCTATGTCTTTACCTGTAGCCCTTGAAAACTACAAAGGAACTACAGACTACAGATACCTGGAGCAAGAGATCACCGGTGGAAGAATACACTAGAACAGTTAAGACCACAAGAAGAAATAGGGATTAGACTCTAAGAAATAAAGAGACTTTAAAACAACCATCTATGTAGGGAAAACAGAAAGAAGTACACACACAGGCCTAGGGGAAACATGCCCAGAAAAGACCTGAGAAGACTATAAGCCTTTGCACAAGAATGATTCTAAGGTTCGGAGTGAAGATCTTACCCTGAACAGAGACAGACTGCAAAGATTTGGACAGGTGGCTGATTTTTAAAGGTCCAATTTTCAACAAAAGGTCACCAGCATAAAAAAAGACACAGGAAAAAAATGTACATTTAAAGAAATAATCAAATCACTAGTGGTCATTCTTGATGAAATATAGGCATTGGACTTACTAGACAAAGACTTTAAAACATCTGTCTTGAATATGTTCAGAGACTGAAAGAAATACACAATAGGAAAGAAATACACAATAGGAATAGAATAATAGGAATAGAATAAAACTATCTCAACAAAATAAAGGTCATATATAAAAAACCCACAGATAGCATCATTTTTAGTAATAAAAGAATGAAAACTTTTCCTGTAACATCAGGAATAAGACAAGAATGCTCACTTTTACCCCTACTAGTTACCTTCAAAGTAGAAATCCTACAGAGCAATTAGAAAAGTAAAATAAATAAAAGGCATCTACATTGGAAAGGAAGAAGTAAAATTACCTTTGTATACAGCTCACAAGACAGAATTTTATAACCAGACAACTCTGACAATTCCACAAACACGTTTTTAGAACAAATAAACAAATTCAGGAAATTGCAGCATACGAAGTTGACAAGTAGAAATCAGTTGTGTTTTTATATAATAACAATAAACAGCCTGAAAAGGAAATTGAGGAAACAATTTTATTATAATAGTATTTAAAATAATAAAATACTTAAAAATAAACTTAATGAAGAAAACCACATTTTTTTTTTTTACTAAAAACTACAAAACATTGTTAAAAACAAAAAGATGTTACCAACAAATCGAAAAACAGGACATGTTCGTGGATCAGACATATTTAAGATTTTAAGACTATTAAGAGTGATCTACAAAATGAAATCATTATCAAAATTTCTACAATGTTTTATGTAGAAATAGAAAAATCAATTCTAAAATTTGTATGGCATCTCAAATATACAGAACATCCAAAACAATCTTAAAAGAAGAACAAAGTTGGATGTCTTATACTTTCTTATTTCACAAATTACTGTAAATCCACAATAAATAAAATAATTCAATAATGGGATAAAAACAGACAGGTAGACCAAATAGAATAGAGAGATCATAAATAAACCCTCATATATATGGTCAAATGATTTTTCACAAGGGTTCCCAGTCCATTCAGTGGAGTAAAAGCAGAATTTTAAACAAATGGTGTTTGGAAAACTGGATGTCTGCATACAAATAAAAAAGGTGTACCCTTACCATATACTATATATGAAAATTAACTTAAAAAATAGATCAAAGTCCTAAACATAATAGATATAATTGTGAAACTCTTCAAAGAAAATACAAGAAAAAAATTTCATGGCATTACATTTGGCAATGATATCTTGAATATGACAACAAAATCACATGCAACAAAAGAAAAAAATACACTTATCAAAATTTAAAATTTGTGTATCAAATGATATTATCAACAGAGTGAAAAGGCAATCCACAGAATAAGATAAACTATTTGCAAATCATATATCAGATAAGAGGTTAATATCCAGGATGTATAAAAAACTCATACAGCTCAAAAACCAAAAACCAAATAGCCCCATTAGAAAATTCAAAAGCTTGAATAGCTTTCTCCAGAAAAGACATTCAAATTGTCAAGAATCAAGTGTTCAACATCACTAATCATTAGGGAAATGCAAATCATAACCGTGAGATACTTCACATCATTAAGATGGATGTTTAAATGAATACATAAATTAGTGAATGAGGATGTGGAGAAAAAGAAGTTGGTTAGAATATGGAGAAATTGTAACCTTCATGGGAATATAAAATGTTTCAGCCTCTACAGAAAACAGTATGGCAGTTCTTCAAAAAATTAGAAACAAAATTACTATATAATCCAGAAATTCTACCTCACATTATATGCCCCAAATAATTTAAAGCAAGGACTCGATGAGATATTTGCAGACACATGTTTATAGAAGCAACCTAAGTTTCAATGGATGGATGAATGGATGAACAAAATGTGGTATATACATACAATGAAATATTATTTGGCCTTAAAAAGAAATACAATTTGGAAACATGGTACAACAGAGATAGACCTTGTAGACATTATGCTAAGTGAAGTACATTAGTCTCTAAAGGAAAAAAATACTGTATTATTCCATTTATATGAAGTATCCAGAGTAATCCAGTTTCATTGGACTTTGAAATGTTCAAATCAGAGTAGTTAATCAATTTGCCAAAGTGTATACAGCTGGTATGTAATAGAGATTGTTTTCCATTTCAGATTAGACTTTATTTTCTAGAGAGTGTTTCCTGATTCTTCAAACTGGGTGAGGGATCTCTCCAATATTTCCCCCATACTCAGCATTGTCATTTATCTTTTCACTCAGGATAATAACTTATTTAATAAATTGTCAATTCCTCCAGGCAAAGATGGTGTCTTTTCTTACTTCACAATTAAGCTCCCAGTTTTTATTAAAAATTCTGTTTCCACCATCATGTTTGCTCCTTTATGTCTTCGATTTTACCTCCATTATTCATAACAACTTTCTTTCATTTAGCACTCGTAATTTTCCTGGCACCACGCTGGCTTTCTTATATATTAACTCTTTTATGCTTCCTAACATGTCTTGTACAATAGGTAGTACCATTTTCATTTTAAAATGAACCCATAGATCCATTCTTTACTTACAGCCATTACCTAATGCAGTCCCTAAGGTCTTACCAGAACATTCCAGTTATTGCATGATGAAATAATTAGTATATATCCTTCCTCTTTCTGTTGGAGTTTCATAACTTTTCTTCAAACAGACCATAAGGGCCAGGTATCCCTCAGCATTTCTAAGAACAGCAGCAGCCAGGATGTTTTCAAGGCCTTACTTCAAAACAATTAGAAAATAGCACCTATGACTCCTATTTTAGAGGAACTGACACATATTCACAGTTGCATTTTTCTTTTGGAAACAGATTTACTTCTTGTCTTCCTCCTTTGTTTCTCCTTTTATCCTCAATGTTACTTTCTTTTGAAAAATAATCTATGGGCTGGTAGTGCATAAAATATATTCAGTAAATGAAAATAATACTTTATTCTTTTAAATTGTGATTCATAAAATAGGTAAAAAGGGGAAGATGAGTTAAACTTGTCTAAAAATAAATGAAAATTAATGGAAATTTTTAAATATTAACATTTATCAATCAGCATATGATTACTGAAAGAAGTATCAGCATAAAATTGAAATTGATTCTCAAAATTTTGAAATGCATAGACTTTTCCTTATGTATTTATTGTACAATGTGGAAATTACGTCTTCTCATTTTAAAATGCTACATAAAAATTTGAGTTTTAAATGCAAGCTTTAACCTGTATTTCTAAGTATTTGGAAAACTTATGGAATATTAATATAAAATGAGAAAAATAATTTAATATTTTCAATATCCTGCCTTGTTTCTTCCTTTCTTTCCAGGAACAGTGAGCCTAAATATTAAATACATATATTTGGATATGATACTATGTATGTACATTATGCACACACACATAAATGTATCTCATTTTATGTGAATAGTATTACCTAGCTATGAGAATGAGCACTTTTTTTGCTAATGAGGAAGAAAAGACACAAGCACTTTCATATAGCAAAATTCTTTTTCTAAATTCTTTAGTATAGTCCCAGAGATTCTTGCTTAGTCAGCTGTTAACTGGCATTTGGATGCTTACACTTAGAATTTTATCGGCCTCAGCAGCTTATTTGATTTGCAACCATTGCTGCTGACCCAGAAATATTTACTTATGTGACTTCTTATGAAGTGTTCAAATTGCACTGAGTAGGCCCTGGAAATACATTACTTTGGAGTACAGTTCTCTATAGTTTAAAACAGGACATTGCATAAATCATAGTTTTGAATGAAAGGAAAACGAGTGAATCAGACCTTACAAGCTTGCTTTAGTTTATGATAGCATAAGCTAGGAATTTGAATTGAGGGGTTCCGGAAATAACGCAAACGACCTCATTATTTTACATATATGAATTCTGAAATCACTACGAAGTGATTTTACTAAGACCTCACAATCAGTTTGAGTCTGGTCTAAGAAATTGTGTGAGCTGATACCTAGTATAGCCACATGTCTTTGTTACGAATTAATATTGGTTAATTAACAACATGGGCACTGCATAAAGTTCAGTTGTGTTCACATTCTGGCTCTGATACTTACTAGACCTCTGGCAATCAGAAACCTAACTTGTAAGCCTCAGTTTATTCATCCGTAATATGTGTGCTAAAACTGTATTGGCTTATTGTGAGATGTGAATAAAACAATGCATACTTGGCACAGTGCAGGACACATGGTATTAAGAAATGTTTGTTACATTAGTGAATCTTATGGGTTCTTTGTGCTCAAAAAATATTTTGTCTTTACTTCTAGTTGTCAGTGTCCATAGCCAGAAATGGACAAAGATTTGTTTACTTAAAAAGATAAAAGTGTAGGGCCAGCCACGGTGACTCACGCCTGTAATCCCAGCGCTTTGGGAGGCTGAGGCAGGCAGATCACCTGAGGTCGGGAATTCAAGACCAGCCTCACCAACATGGAGAAACCCCATCTCCACTAAAAATACAAAAATTAGCCGTGGCGTGGTGTTGCATTCCTGTAATCCCAGCTACTCGGGAAGGCGGAGGCAGGAGAATCCCTTGAACCCGGGAGACAGAGGTTGCAGTGAGCTGAGATCATGCCATTGCGCTCCAGACTGGGCAACAAGAGTGAAACTCCATCTCGAAAAAAAAAAAAAAGTGCATAGTTATTTTTTGGTGGAATCATAAAATGTAAAAATACTATATTTTTATACCCCCTACTTGAAGATTAGCAGTTTTCATTTCCTTTGGTCAATACCTAATTCCTTTTATACCTTTTGTCACTTACTATGAAACTTTAAAAAACTCTCTATTGTATGAATGTATAAGAAGTAGTCTTGAATGTTAAATTATAAATATTAAAGACATAGGTGTAGCTTTTGAAAAACTGAGGGTGATCTAGTTTAAAATGGGAGATTAAACAGTGGAAAAATTAATACATTTTAGGCATGCCTTTTTGCACTCTTAGGTTATTAGAAGGAAGGAAATCTGTAATGAACTCTTTACAGTTTCTGACCCTGCTACTGATATTGAACTGACAATTACAAAAGGCAGCTTGCGGGGATGAAGTGATGCATTGGCACTGAAACTAGGGCATCTTTTCTGCTTCTAGTACCCGCACTGTTTAAGCAAATATCAAGGGTCTAACAGCTTGATATGCATTCATGGCCCAGAACCCTCAAATTATACCATGTGTCTTGACACTGATGCAGATGCAGTCCTCAACCATTTGAGAAAAAAAAAAGTTAAAAAAATTTGCTATTGTGACAGTGCATTAACCTGCTCTCAGCTGCTCAGCAAGAGACAATGTAAGTGTTTGTCAGTTAAGGATGACACAAACCTTTGCCTTTGAACTAAAAGGGTTATTAAGTTAAACACAGTGCTTATAAAAAGGTAGTTACTGTTGGTTTGAAGACTATTACTATGCCATTATGTTCTGTCAATGAATTTTCTTATTGTAATAACGACTTGGAAGTGTAGAATTCTTTCCTGCAGGTTCTGAACTATAGAAGGCAACATCAAACTTTGAATTCCCTCAGTGTATTCTGGTTCCTCTAGGTTTATACTCCATTGTAATATAATACCTCGGTTTGATACTTCTGGGGATGAGATAGGACATGCTCGAGGGTTTTAACCAGAAGGAATAAACTGTTTTGTTGTTCTGTGAATACCAGCTTGCTTAAACTGTGCTTTTCTCTCAACTTCCAGGCTCACCACTGTGATTAATAACAACTCTTTAAAAACATAAACTCTTGAAAATCAAAGAAACATTTCAAAAAACAGCTGTGCCCTAATAGTAGACTGATTAATTTCTGTTTCTCTTCAACATAACTAACTAGGACAACTTGGCTCTATTTCAGCTGAAAATGCATTGGCATTTATCTAATGACTGTAAGGAAGGCAAATGTTACATGTTAATATTTCCATAAAACCGGAGCTTAAGAAAATCAAAGGCACTTTTTACTTGACTTGGAATGAACAAAATTATTCTGAAGGCTTCTCAGAGCCTTAAGATGATTCAAACCTATTGTTTCTGATTTTCCATTGTGGTGACTTCTACGGAGATAACTATCATTTTAATAGAACAAAACCAGAGGTGAGTTGCCATATTTTAAGAGGTTGTTGTCCCATTTGATTTTCTACCTATAGCCAACTAATTTTCTTTTAAATCAAGTCTATATTATGATCACAAAACTTTTGCCAGGTTTAAAGTTCTATGATGTGATTTTCACAAACAGGTGGTAGAAATTGGACATTCACCAATGGGAAAGCTGGTTTGTGCCATCAAAAAAAAAATACTTGGTAATTGTGGGATGTAAAAGGTGGGTAGCTACAGGCTGGGCACAAAATCAAATTTCCTTCTTACACAATTACTTTTTATTGTGTTTTATATTATTCACATAATT
This sequence comes from Homo sapiens, assembly GCF_000001405.40. NCBI lineage: Eukaryota > Metazoa > Chordata > Mammalia > Primates > Hominidae > Homo > Homo sapiens. The sequence goes on from NC_000001.11 coordinate 72,939,190, forward strand.
TAGTTTTGAGGATACATAAAATGACATGTAAAGACTGATTTTTTTTTACAATCATTTTAAGTACTATGACGATTTTTAAGATAGCTCTAGCTATCCTAACTCTTATGAACATTGAATCTTCACGTTGTTGTTACAGAATCCAACTATGTAGACAGCTGGTGTGGCATGTTAGTTTCTAGTGCGTTGGTTGTCATTGATACAGCATCTAACTTTAAAAAGTCACGGGCACACATACACACAAACCTTCAAATTGTGTAACTTTACAAGGAAACAATTAGTGGGCCAATTTCAGCTATGTATATTGAAGAGTTTTCTAATTTAAAAAAACAGCTAAAATCGCCTGAAACTAATGTCTCTAAATCATTTTTGGTGATCTTACACAAGAACAATATAGCTTAAATATATGTTGAGAAATCACAATTATAAAATTGGAGGGTCTGCGTGTCTATGATTCTTTAGCTTTTAATTTTCTTACCTGTAAATAAATGAACCAAAGTAGATGGTTTTTAAGGGACCTTATACATAAAGCCCCTAGACCACATCACCTTTCATTATCATGAGAATGAGATTCCATGATTGCTATGCTTTTGATTCCTCTCATTCTTAAAATGTTTGCTTTTATTTCTTTGTCAGAGGATAGAATATTTCTTTTATTAGACTATTAGATTATAGGTTTGATATTAGTTAACTGTCTTTTGAATTTCTGAGAAGCTCTTCTACAATTGAGAGTTGGTTTGTTAATGATTTATGGTGTACTACTGTTAAAATACTGGAAAATAGGGCTGGATGTGGTGACTCACACGTGTAATCCCAGCATTTTGGGAGGCCGAGGCAGTTAGATCACTTGAGATCAGGAGTTCGAGACCAGCCTTGCCAACATAGTGAAACCCCATCTCTACTAAAAAGACAAAAATTAGCCAAGCATGGTGGCGGGCGCTTGTAGTCCCAGGTACCTGGAAGGCTGAGGCAGGAAAATCGCTTGAACCCGGGAAGCAGAGGTTGCAGTGAGCCGATATTGCACCACTGCTTTCCAGCCTGGGAGACAAAACGAGACTTCGTCTCAAAAAAACAAAACAAAACAAAAAACTGGAAAATATTGCTAAGCATTTATTCTCATCATATTTAGCCAGGTGAATCAGAATGAGTAGTATTAATATGTTTCCTTTTTACACACAGACTTTACTACATTAATAGAGACATGATTCTCCTTTTGTAGACCTGTTCTTTGCAGTGCCATGTTCATTAATGCTTCATTTTTTTGTATGTCATTATTGTTTTTACTTAAGCAAAGCTCATGACATTACAGGAGGAGCAGAGTTCTATCATGTAGAAGTTCATTCACCCGAGCATGCTTCCTTATCATCATCTCATCTTGTGCCGGTATACAAGTAAGATCAGCCAGGTAAGACTAGCACTCGACAAACCTGAGTTGTAGTTTTGGCTTTCCTACTTCCCAGTTGCCCGATGTTGAACTAGTTATTTAATCCTTCTAAGCCTAATTATCTCATGTAAAAATAGGGTAAATATATGTAACGTATAGTACAGTTGCAAAATTAGATAACATATAGTGGGGATATTCTATAGTGCCTAAAGCACATTTGTTGCTCAATATATGAACATTAGTATGTGAGCATCATGTTTACTAGCAAACAGTCTTTTATTCTATTTTCCCAAAATTAAATTTCCCATTTGGAAGGAAATTTAAAAATATTTATATAATTATTATATTATTTACTGGGCTGATAAGCTAGTTTTCATGCACTCAAATGTATATCCTGTCAGTTTCTGTTACTCAAATTAGGTATAGTTTTATGGATAATTTAATGTTTAATATCCCAATTTACTTGAACTGGTATCTTAGTAAATATACTCTTTGTAAGATAATTTATTTTTCAATTCTGTACTTCAGAAAGACTTTTTATATCAATGTGCGTGTATTTGCTTTTGTTATTTACCAATAATAATGTGGTTCACAAAAATGTGAATAATCTAGACTCTCGAAGATAAATTTTATTCATCATGTATATGTCTCACCTAGTGGAGCTGTTGTACTTGAAAAACAGTCTATCATCTATCTATCTATCTATCTATCTATCTATCTATCTATCCATCTATCTATCTATCATTTTTCATCCATCCATACACCTATCATTCCATCCATCACTTAATTTATCCATGATATTCTTTAGTGAGTAAAGCTAATACCTGTGCCATTCTTGGATTTTTCACAGCTTATTTTCACTATTGCTAGCCTCTTCGTCCACTCAGTTCAAATTTGATACCTAGAAAGTCTTTTATATCTACTTTAACCCACAGATGATTTCATCTTTCTTTGAATGTGCAATCCCTATAATATGTAGCTTTTGACTAGTAATTAGTCATATGCTGTCTTTCAACATTTTTTGAATTGCTATTGACTTCTTATATGGTTAAGTTTTTAAACATGTATGTTTAATTCTAATTATTTAAATTTAGAGTTATTAAAATCGCAGACTATGACTTATGCTTCTTTATATTATTTTACTTGTAGAAACACAATAACTATTTGTTTATGGTTTATTCTAAAAGCAAAGACTAAATATGTAAACATGTCCTTTAGTTTCACAAGTGAAAGTCCTCATACTATTAAATAAAGATTCACTAGACATAGGGACTTAATAACTCCCTGGAGCATTGATCCTTCATTTTACAAATTAGGCAGCAAATACCAGGTTCTACTTTCTTGTTAGTAGAGCAGGAAGAAAAGATGTGTGGCCTAAGCATAACTTAACAAAGCATGATTTAGCGTTACTGGAAAACTTAGTTTGTTTACTTCAAGACAAAATATTTGTGAGAGTTTAAATCTCTATTCAAGTATTAGTAACTACTCTTAAAACATGTTTTGGAGCAAAAACACTTCTCTTAGCCTTAATTTGACTTTGCAGGCTGTACCTCATTTCTCTCAACCTATATTTTTCTGCAGCTGCTGAAATCTCTAAGGAATATCTCTCCATGGAGACAGAGCCAGACGGCCCAAGTCTCTTCTCTGTTCTTGAGTTCCTGTTTTCAAGTAATGATTTGGATAAACTGGAGACCAGTTTCCTTTCCTCCAACTCTGGCAGCTGAAATTAATTCTCCAAAGACTCCTCTTTGGAGGCAAGCAGATGGTACACATGCACATGTTTTAGTTTCGATTGTACCAGTTTTGAATAATTTAAAGTTCCAAATCTCTATAAAACTACTGTATTCCCATTTCCCAATACATTTTTTTCTTTTGCCTCAGAAATTCTTTCGTTATATTTTGACATTTGGCTGAAACTTCGTTCACTTTGTACTGGCTTCATTGTCACACACCTCCTGCTGTTCTTTGTTACAATTTTAGATAAGTATGGCTTTAGAAAACTAAGATGCTTTTAGAAACTATTCTGCTGGTGATTTTCCCTTTACCATTTGCAAAGCATTTTGTATACATAAACAGCACATTAGCCAAATGATATTGTTATCACAGTTTCTGTTGGTCTGCACTTGGCTCTCGCTTTAGAATTACCCCAAATAGGTTTGCAGAATTTTATAGTTGCATTATGAGGCACTCAATAATATGTATGAACTTAGGCATTTCTTTTCTGCCATTCTGTTTGAGAAACAGCCCATCCTATCTCTGCTGAAGATTCATTGCTGCTTCAGGTAGAACGTGGTAAGTAGGTAATGTTTAGAACAATCTTTAAATAGATTTGAGCTTTTCTGTCCAACTTTGAAGTGTCCTCATAATTAAATTGAGAAAACTGGCCAATAATGGTCCAAATTGTTTGTGAGATTTAGTTATTTGTGAACATGTATGTGTAAACTCACACACATATATGCACATACATAGACAGCTACTCAAATCAGTTAGGAAGCTCTTCTATTATAGCCACTAAAGCTATGATTCAGTTCCAGATGAACTTCACTGTTTTATTGTCATTGCCTTCCTCTGTTACAATGGCTAAGACACAAGAATAACTATGAGAGTGTGCTATATTAGCACAAGTCATCATCACTTCAAGAAAAAAGAAACTTAAATATATAATCAATTTAGAACAAGGTTGTAATCTCAACTGTGAAGATGAAAACAGTATAATCTACACTATGTAATTAGCCTTTACCAAATTATATTTTATACTGTTTTATGGTTCATCCAACCCTTATAAAAATTATATCACTGTAGATCACCATATTATGAAGGCATAAACTAAACCTGAAAAATATAAAGTGATTTTAATGTATACAATCATGTATGGAAATGAGGATACAGTCCTTAGGAACCGTGATGGCAAATTTCTTTTTTTTCACTTAAAATGGGACAAAATAAAGAATACACCATCTATAGAATACTCAAGTATGTTTTGTTGAGAATAACATTCTGTTATTTTAAAAATATAACTATTTGGAAATAGAATATAAAACACATTGTTCTTTTGTTATTTGTAGATAAAGTTTGGAAAACAGAAACTCAGAACAACTGAAGAGAGCCTCAGAAATCTCATCTTTTTGATAGAACACTTCCCTTAGGGACTTTAACAATTGCTATGCAGAATCAACAAATAAATAACTTTCAGTGGTGTTTTGTCTCTCTTGATTTCAACCATTCAAGTGATGTGACTTCTACCACTTCCCTTGAGGGGTAATTCCATATTCCAGCAGTTTTCACTGTCAGGAAGTTTCTCATGCGCTCTACCCAAGTTGTCTTTTCTCTAACTTCCTTCCATTTCTGAGTTACACCAAATCTGAACACATCACTAAATGGCTTCTCATTTCTAGTGAGGGCTTACACTTTTAAACATTTGGCTGACTAGTGTTTTATTTCTCACTTTCCCAAGAGTTATATATTTACCTCCAACACACTTCTTTCTTCAGTCACTCTACTGTCTTCATCAATTTCAAGCCCTTCCCTGAATAGCCTTTAAATTTGTTTCCTAAATAGTTTGAAGCGAGGCATAGGAAAATCATAGTTCTTCTATAAACCACTTAAAACAGTACCAATATTTATGTGTTTCAATTCACAACAAAAGCCAAGAAATCAGAAAGTAGATCGCTGACAAAATAATGAGGGAATAGGACTTCCACCTTAGGGACTGCTTTAATTTGAGAACTGAAAGATCACTTCTCGAGAATCTGTTGCAGAAACAGTGTACTAAAAATGGAATTTCAAAATTCACAGAATTGTAAGGTAAGTTATACTCAAAATCATCCATTCTTTCATAAGAGACTTAGAATGCACTTGTGGCTACATCAGTGCTAGTTACTGCTAAGATGAAAAGACTGGCTTGTGAATTGGTAATTAGACAAAGGCATTGTGATTACAATGGGAAAGAATCGCTATTACTTTGGTGCAAAAGTAATTGCAGCCTTTACCATTAAAAGTTTAAGTATAAAGTATAAGTGTAAAGTAATTAAGTATAAGTAATTAAGTTTAAGTATAAATATTAATACATAAATTCTATACCTGGAGCCTTGATAATGTCACAGACTGATGGATATTTTTGTTGTTTTCCTCCTCTTCCTTAAACTGTAATCTCATCTGTGTTTTATTTTACCACTTTTTCTTATTTAAGTTTCCTAAATTGTGTTTCATTTGCTGTGTTCTCCATGGTTCTATATTTTAAATTCCACTTTGATTATCTTAAAGCTAAAAATGCTTATGTTGTGACTAATCATGACTTATATGTATTATTTTTAGGCTACACCTTAAGCAGTGCCATATTTTATATATGGTTACATATTACAAAACTCAGTAGAGCCTATCTTGGCAGAAAATTATTTTCACATTTAAATTGGACTGAAATTTACTTTGCCGAAAAAGCAATTATTATATGTCTATGATGTTCAGGCAAGGTGTTGTGTTCTTGTTAGTTATGCCACTTGTTCATATCTAGCATGGAAGGGTATGTAAATAAATTTCAGTTATTTATTTAAAATTGGATAGTAGCAGTCCACAGAGGGTACACTGAGGCACAGCAGTGGGAGACCAAGCCTAGAAGGAAGGGACAGGGAGTGAGGGATGGGAAAGAGTGACGTTTCATATGAGTGTTCACTTGGAATAGGTTTTTACCAAACACCGGGAAACCATTACCAGGTTGATGAAGCAATGTCAGGTCACAAAGCATGAACCAACCTGATATGCTTGTTCAAAGAACTGTTAATAATTTGTATTCCTGGAGCATGAGATACAGCAGAGTATGGATAAACTTTGAGATGAAATGGAAGAATTGAAAAAGGCCAAATGTATGTCATAGAAAAGATTTTGAACTTTAACTTTAGGGTTATATCACATTATCATCCTTGTGCCAAATTCAGCCTCTCTTGTTTTCTCAAAGAAAGGTTTATCGGAACACAGTCATACCATTTGTTTACATATCGTCTGCATCTGCTTTTACACTACAGCCACAGAGTTGAGTATTGGTAGCAGATATTACATAGCTTGCAATACTTAAAATATTTAATATCTGGGTCTTTATAAAAAACCTTCCCTGCCCTATGCAATGTAGAGGTTCTGAAAGATTTGAGTCAAGAGATAGTATGATTGGTCTTCCCTTTCAAGAAGTTGGATTTAGGGGAAGTAAGACAATAGATTGGAGGTGTTATAAAACTAAATAGCCTGTAATAGCACTAAATAGACATGTAGTAGTGCTTTATATGTGTTGTTTCTAGTTCCTTTACTTTCTTACTTTATTACATTTTCAACTTAAATTAATGGTACCTGATATTTTGTCTTCTTGCCCAATATATTAATTACTAAAAATTTTACCTCATAGATTTAAAAGGAAAAGCAGTAGTTTTACAAATGCCGTTTCAAAAAGTAATTTATAATTTAAGGTTTGTGCGGTCTAAATGTCTATTTTTGATTATACACATTTTCTATTTTTATATAAAACTACCACCAGCAGCAATAGACATTTTGTTTTGCTTTGTTTTGTTTATCTCTTCTTAAGGCTTAGACATCTATTGTGCACTCTTTGTATAAAAAGGACTTTGTTGATACAGATTTAATATAATGAAAGCTTTTATGTTGAAGGGAAATGTAATTTGATTTTAAAAAATCCTAAATTTTACATTCTTCTAGCACAAATTTTCTCAATCACAGCACTATTGACATTTTGGGCCTGATTAAATATTTGTTATAGGGGGCTGTCATGTATTGTAAGATGTTTAGCAGCATCTCTGGCCTCTTATATGCCAGAAGCAACCCCCTGCCCCAAGTTGTGACAATCAAAAATATCTCCAGACTTTAACAGATGCCAAACATCCCCTGAGGGGGCAAAATCAATGAGGTTGAGAACCACTGAATCTTGTTCTTCACTGTTCTGCATTCTCACTGAATATATCTTTGATAAAAATAACAAAAGAAAAGAAAAGCTGTATGTTTTTTAATCACAAAGTTGAGACCACAGGCTAATGGTAGGGTGATGATGTGCTGTGTCCTGGTCTATTCCTAAAAATTGACTTCATGTTGTGACATTTTCAATACTTGCAAAAATCTTCGTCATAAAAATGAGGTATCAGATTTCAATTGTCTCATTTTTATATTCCCCCGCTGTAGTTTGTTGACCTTTTCAGTATTCTAAGCAAGATTTTGAAAGAGCTGACCATTTCCTTCTCTTCCTATTAAAAAGTACAGTAACCTGTTGTAAAGACTGAAATGACTGGCCAACTGAGATGAAGAATTTTAAAAAGGTCAGAATGGTTCACTACACAATATATTTCAGAGTGTTTGTAAAGCATTTGAATGTGTGAGTTAACTTTTTTGAAAAATAAAATCTAATCTAATGATAAAAAATATACGGTATGGACTGATTAATGCTCTTTTTAAAGTGAGTCTAACTTGTTTTTCTAGCTTTTGCTTTGTGGTCAACTTAGAGCACTGGACTTTATATAACCCCATGTTAGAATAATTACTGTGTTACTGTTAGGCAACTATTTATAGTCTTTCTGAGTCCTGGAATGCTTACCTCTCTGTGGGTCTACTCAGCCATACAGAATTTCCAGACAAAAAGGTAAAACTCATTCAAAGAAGAAACGTTAAATTTTCTGCTTCTTCAGCAACACTGCAAGAATTTTCGTTTAACAAAGTGTCAGCATCAGCAATACCATTATCAATGGACATCTGGTTTTCATTCTCATGCACATAGGCAGCAAATTTAAGGTCCAGTTTAGCATATTCAGTGAAGTAAATGTGTTTGGGAGGGGTATTGGAGAAAGTGAGTGAGCTTCCACACTCTTGAGGCAGCACTGAATTTTAAATTACTTATGTATTAGAAAGGCAAATGCATTAGGACATAAGACTTCTGTTAGCATAGAGATTTTAAAATACAATATTTGTGACACATGTAAATGTCATGAATTCTTGAATACAACAATCATGTTAAATTTTGTCTATTCTCTTTGTATTTAGTGCATGGAATTATCAAGGGACACAGCTGCTTCCTGAATACTTAACTACAAATACTGAATTGAAACAAAGGGTAGGAATTAGATATTAAAATTTATTTCTACTTATAGCATATGAAATCAATGTACAGGTGTCACAGGAACTGAGAGGTGTGTGCAAGGATAATGTAAACTAAAAAAAAATTTGTATTGGCACAACTTTTGCTATATGAGGAAGAAAAATAACTTTACCCGCAAATTTTACATTTAAAATTTTAATAACAAAGTTATTTTTGATTTCATAAGTTAACATACTGCATCCCTAAGACTGAAAGTTCAGAGAAGGAAACATGGGCAGTACATATTTTCTATCTAGATATGTCCAGAGTCCCATCCCTAAAACAAAATTCAAGGTAGAGGTCACAGAACCTGGCTTCAAATTTAGGATGTGTGACTGTAGTTCATTATTTTAGATAGATAGATAGATAGATAGATAGATAGATAGATAGATAGATAGATTATAGATAGATATATTGCTCTCTATATAACTATATATATAATTATCTAGATCTATTTAGATATTTATCTAACTTCTTGGCAGATTTCTGTAGTAAAATGGTGTTAATAACAGGTATTTTAATTAAAAGAAAATTTTTGAAAAGATAGACATATTGTTAATAGTTGTATTTTTATATTAAATACTTGGAATTATCTAGGGACAGGAATGCTAGCAGTATAAAAACTCAGTTACTAATAAAAAAATTTAAACTATACCTATTACCATATCCATGAGATAAATTTAGATCAGAAGAGAAAATTGTGTAATAGATTATCTCTTCCTTGAAAAAGTATATTATTTAAAATAATTTTTAGGAAAAAATGGAGGAGTGTTTGTGAGTAAACTCTCTTATATTTTTTGAAACAATATTCAGTTATTCAGACCTGATCAATTAATATTTGATTGTAACTATAAGCCAGATACTCTGGTTAGCCAGAAAACAATGAAAAAAATAGTACTTGATTTTGAGGAACATACAGTCTAGTTGCAGATTTGGAATTGCCTTATCACCACTTGGAACATGCTATAAATGTGAGCATGACAAGGTGCCAGGAAGAAGAGTCTGGTATTGCTGTAAGTAATTTCAGATGTAAAAAATTAAGTTTAAAAAGGTTATTTCTTGTGGTAAAAAAATTGGGCGATATAAATTAGGATTCAAATATTCTACCTCCTAACCTAAAATTCTTCCTATTAAAACCACTATTTTTAAACTGATAAACTTAATTTTGGGGGGCAGTTTAGAGTCATAGCAAAATTGAATGGAAAGTACGGTTCCCAGATAACCCCTGTTCTGACAGATGCATAACTGCCCATGTATATCATCAAAATTCTGCACTAAAGTGGTATATTTGTTACATCTGATAAACCTACAATGATACATCATTATCAGCCATAGATTATGAGGTACAACACCAATTGGAGTTGCATCAAAGCGAGTCACAGGAAACTTTTGGTTTCCCAGTGCATATAAAATTATGTCTACATTATACTCCTGTCTATTTAGTGTGCAATAGCATTATGTCTAAAAAATGCTCATACCCTAATTAAAATTACTTTATTGTAAAAAATGCTAACAATCATCTGATATTTTAGCAAGCTGCTTTGTACTAGTGGAAGGTCTTGTCTTGAGGTTCATGGCTGCTGACTAGTCAGTGTGGTGGCTGCTGAAGCTTGGGGTGGCTCTGATAGTTCCTTAAAATACGACAATGAAACTTGCCACATCAATATATTCTTCCTTTCATGAAAGATTTCTCTGTAGCATTTGATGCTGTTTGATAGCATTTCACCCACAGTAGAATTTCTTTCAGAATTGAAGTCAATTCTTTCAAAGCCTTTCAAAGCTTTATCAACTATGTTTATGTAATATTCTACATCTATACTGTTTGTTGTCATATCAACAATGTTCACAACACATTCACCAGGAGTGGACTCCATCTCATTAAATTACTTTCTTTGCTCTCCTGTAAGAAGCACTTCTGTTCATGGTTTATCATGAGATTGCAGCAATTCAATCACAACTTCAGCCTCCACTTTTAATTCTAGTTATCTTTCTATTTCTAACATAGCTGCAGTTACTTCCTTCACTGAAGTCTTAAATCCTTCAGAGTCATTTATGAGGGTTGGTATCAGCTTCTTCAAACTCCTGTTAATGTTAATACTTTGACTTCTCTCCCTGAATCATAAATGTTCTTAATGACCTCTGGAATTGTGAATCTTTTCCGTAAGGTTTTCTATTTACTTAGCTCAGATTATTCAGAGGAATTACAACCTATGGCAACCATAACTATAAAGTGTATGTCTTAAATAAGACTTGATGGTCAAAGTTACTCCTTGATCCATGGCCTGCAGAATAGATGCTGTATTAGTAGGCATGAAAACAACATGAATTTCCTTGTTCATCTCCATCAGTGCTTTTGTATTAACAGGTGCATTGTCAATGATCAGTAATAATTTTAAAGGAATCTTTTCTTTGTGAGCAGTAGTCTCAACAGTGGCCTTAAAATATTTAGTAAACCATACTGTAAACAGATGTGCTGTCATCCAGTCTTTGTTGTTTAATTTATAGAGCAAAAGGAGAGTAGAATTAGCATAATTTTTAGGGGCCCTAGGATTTCCAGAAAGATAAATAAGCATTGGCTTCAACTTAAAGTCATCAGCTGCATTAGTTCCTAACAAAAGAGTCAGCCTGTCCTTTGGAGCTTTGAAGCCAGGCATTGACTTCTTCTTTCTAGCTATGAAAGTCCTAGATGGTATATTCTTTCAATAGAAGCCTGTTTGTCTACACTGAACATTTGTTATTTAATGTAACCACTTTCATCAATGATATTGGCTAGATCTTCTGGATTTTTACTGCAGCATCACCATCAGACTCTGCTGCTTCACCTTACACTTTTATATCATGAAGATGACTTCTTTCCTTAAACCTCATGAACCAACAACATCTGCTAGCTTCAAAGTTTTGTTCTGCAGCTTCCCACCTCTATCAGCCTTCACAGAATTAAAGAGAGTTAGAGCCTTGCTCTGAATTAAACTTTGGCTTAAGGGACTGTTGTGACTGGTTTGATCTTCTCTCCAGACCTCTAAGACTTTCTCCTTGTGAGGAATAACTCTATTTCACTTTCTTATCATTTGTGTGTTCACTGAAGTAGCACTTCAAATTTCTTTCAATAACTTTTCATTTCCATTTGCAACTTGGCTAACTCTTGGGTACAAGAGGTCTAGCTTTTGGCCTATCTTTGTTTTTGACATATTTTTTCACTATGTTTAATCATTTCTAGGTTTTGATTTAAAGTGAAAGACATAAACTTTTCCTTTCACTTGAATATTTAGAGACCATTGTAATGTTATTAACTGACCTAATTACAATATTGTTGTTTCTAAGGGAAAAGGAAGTCCTGCAGAGAGGAAGAGATAAAGGAAATCATTCATCAGTGTTGGAACACATACAATATTTATTTATTTATTTATTTATTTATTTATTTATTTATTTATTTACTTTGAGACAGAGTCTCGCTCTGTCTCCCGGGCAAGAGTGCAGTGGCACAGTCTCAGCTCACTGCAACCTCTGCCTCCTCAGTTCAAGCAATTCTCCTGGCTCAGCCTCCTGAGTAGCTGGGATTACAGGTGCCTACCACCACGTTCAGCTAATTTTTGTCTTTTTAGTAGAGACAGGATTTCATCATGTTGGCCAGGCTGGCCTTTAGCTCCTGATCTCAAGTGATCTGCCCACCTCAGCCCCACAAAGTGCTGGGATTACAGGCGTGAGCCACTGTGCCCGGTCAATATTTATTGAATTAGTTCACCATCTTATATGGCCACAGTTCATGGCACCCCAAAACAATCTTAATAGTAACAACATAGATCACTGATCATAAATCACTATCACAGATATGATAATAATAAAAATGTTTGAAATATTGAAACAATTACCAAAATGTGACACAGTACATGCTGTTGGAAAAATGTTGCCTACAGATTTGTTCAACACAGGGTTGCCACAAACCATAAATCTGCACAGTACATGATATCTGCAAAGCACAATAAAGTGAATCACGATAAAAGAGCATATACCTGTAATGACATATATCTACTACATAGTCTGATATGGAATATTTTTCACTGCCTTAGAAATACTCTGTTCTCTCCTTATTTATCCCTCTCTCTCCACTCCTTTCTGTCAACCCCTGATCTTTTTATTATCTCCGTAACTGTGTTTTTAATAAGGTCTTGCAGCTGAAATCACGCAGTTTGTAGCCTTTCCAGAGTGTATGCCTTTCCAGAGTGTACTTTCCAGAGTGTAGCCTTTCCAGAGTGTACTTTCTCTCAGTAACATGCATTTAAGTTTCTTTCATGTCTATTCAATGCTTCATAGCTAACTTCATTTTAGTATTGAATAACATTCCATTGCCTGGATATACCACAGTTTATTTATTCATTTAGCTACCAAAGGGTGTCTTGGTTGCTTTAATGTTTTGGCAATTATAAATAAAGCTGCTCCACATGTCTATGTGCAAACATAACACACACAACACAACACAACTGTGCAAGGCCACAGTTGTTGAGTTGTGTGATAAGAATATGTATAGTTTTATACGAAACTGCCAAACACTCTTCCAAAATAGCAGTGCCAATATGCTTTCCCATTACTGTTTAATGAGAGTTCATGTTTCTCCACATCCTTATAGCATTTTGTATTGTCAGTGTTTTAGATTTTGGCCATTCTATTTTGTATGTAACAATATCTCACTGGTGTTTTAATTTGCAATTTTTAAATAACATATGATGCCCCAAATCTTTTCACTGCTTACTTGCTACTTGTACGTCCCTAGTGAGGTGTCTGTGTCTGCTTGGGTCTTTTTCTCATTTTTTAATCAGTTTGTTAATGGTCTTATTGTTGAGTTTTAGGAGTTCTTTGTGTATTTTGAATAAGATTTCTTTATCAGATATGCCTTTTGCAAATAATGTCTCCTAGACTGCTGCTTGTCTTCTTTTTCTCTTGGTATTGTCTTTTGAAGAGAAGATTTTTCTTAATTTTAAGGAGCTCTAGGTGATTATGCCTTCTTTTCATGGATTGTGCATTTCATGGATTGTGCTTCTGAGGATGTGAAGCAACAGATACTGTCATTCATTTCTGGTTGGAAAGCAAATCAGTACTGCTCACTTAGTTTTTCTCCTGTGTCATCTTCTAGAAGTTTGATAGTTTTACATTTACATACAGTAGTCTATGATCTGTTTTGACTTAACTTTTTGAATGGTATAAGGTCTGTCTAGATTCATTTTCTTTGCGTGAATGTCTAATTTTTTCAGCACCATTCTTAAGACTATCTTTGCTTCATTGCATTGCCTTTACTGTTTTTTTCAAAGATCAATTGACTATATTTATTTTGGTCTATGTCTGGGATCTCTATTATGTTCCATTGATCTATTTGTCTCTATTTTCTCCAGTACCATACAGTGTTTATTACTGTATGTTTATAGTAAGTCTTGAAGTGGAGAGTGTCAGTCCTCTAGCTTTGTTCTTCTCCTTCAATATTGGATTGTCTATTTCAGCTCTTTTGTCTCTCTATGTAAACTTTAGAAACATTTTATTGTTTTAAATTTAATCATGGTTATATTGAGTATATAGGTCATATTGGAAGGGATAAACATCTTGAAAATATCGAAATTTCCTATCTGTGAGAATGGAATATCTCCCCAATTATTTAGTTCTTCTTTAATATCTTTCACCAGAGTTTTATCATTTTCTTGATAAAGATCTTCTACATATTTTGTTAGATTTACATCTAAGTATTTCATTTTGGGGTGCTCACATAAATGGTAATTTCAAATTCCACTTGTTCATTATTGGTATATAAGAAAGCAATTGACATTTGTGTATTGATCTGTATCCTCCAACTTTGCTATAATTGCTTATTAGTTCCACTAGCTTTTTGTTGATTCTTTCCACTTTTCTATACAGAAAATAATGTCATCTGTGAACAAAGGCACTTTTATTTATTCCTTAAAAATCGGTATATCTTCTATTTCTTTTTTTATCTTATTGTATTAGTCATTATGTCATTATGATATTGAAAAGCAGTGGTGAAAGGGAAGATTCTTGACATGTTCCTGATCTTAGTGGGAATACTTTGAGTTTGTCACCATTAAGTATGATATTAGCTATAGGTTTTTTTGTAGATGTTCTTTATCAAGTTGTGAACATTATCCTCTATTCTTAATTTGCTGAAAGTTTTTATAATGAATCATGACTGGTATTGACTTTTGAAAAAAAAAATTTCTGCATCTATTGATATGTTCATGTGTTTTTTCTTCTTTAGCCTGTTGATATGATAGATTATGTTAACCGATTTTTGAGTATTGAACCAGCCTTGAATACCTGGGATAAATAACCATTATCTTTTAAATTATTTTTAAAGATAATTAAGATTAAAGCCAGAAATCAATAATTCATGAAAAAGATACAATGTATAAAGGGCATTGAGAAGTAGAATAAGACAGAGTTATTAAAACTAAAGCAACAATGGGTCGGGTATGGTGGCTCATGCCTGTAATCCCAGCACTTTGGGAGGCCAAGGGGGGCACATCATGAGGTCAGGAGTTCGAGACCAGCCTGACCAACATGGGGTGAAACCCTGTCTCTACTAAAAATACAAAAAAATTGGCTGGTCGTGATGCTGCGCACCTGTAATCCCAGCTACTCAGGAGGCTGAGGCAGGAGAATCGCTTGAATCCGGAAGGCAGAGGTTGCAGTAAGCCAAGATCATGCCACTGCACTCCAGCCTAGGCGATAGAGTGAGACTCTGTCTCAAAAAAACAAAACAAAACAAACAAACAAAAAACAAAAAGCAAACAAGCAAACAAAAAACCTAAAGCAACAGATTATCCTGTTTTATAGGATAGCATGTGACAGTAAATAATATTAGTAATTCTTAATTATTTCAAGAGTATGCATGTGTGTACAAACATGTATATACATGGGTATGTGTACATGTGTACATGCAAGTGTGTTTACATGTATATGTGTATATATGTTAACATAATTCATACTCTTTACTCATGACAGAAATTTTACTGTCTATACAGAGACTCGACAGTACTTATAGACTCAATGCCCCTTCTTTGAGAAAACACATATGCATACAAGTATTCAAGGACTTCTTGGAATAAGCCTAAATTCTACCATGGCTGGAAAAACACATTGAAATCAATAAATCAAAGAATAATTCATTACATCATAGATCATAATTGGACACTAATAACAATACCTTGTCTCTGATTATTTTGGCAATCTTAATATACACACCAAATTATCAATTGGTTAAGGCACTTATTTTGTAAGTGAGGACAGTCTAAAGAATATGTTAAATAAGTAGCAATAGGTATATACATTTATACATGATAACATATTTATAAAGATTTTCTGTAATCTTTTGTCTCCAAACATTTCTGCAATTGGAGCTTATGACTCAGAGAGATGTATTAAAAACAACACTAGACTGGCCTTTAGGTGACTTGTATCAGTCTTCCCTCTGAAACTTATGAGTCTTCTACTGAGTCACTTTCAGGCTTGGTTATCTCAAATGTAAAATAAGAAGATTGAATCTAATGATTCCTAAAACACTTCTATGTTGACTATTCAATAAGCTCATGATTCTGTGTAATTACCCTCCCTCTCACACCTAATTCATTATGATGATTAAAAAAGCAAGTAGTATGGTGTCACAGATCCGGGTTCAAATAACAGCATTTATTTTGTAGAAAGTAGTGTCTTTTGTAGCAGACACATATTTATTAATTTTCTACATTTAGTTCATTTTGCTTTTCCCCCTCCCCAATGAAATTTAAATAATCTTCAAAGCAAAACTGTAACAAGTGCACCAGTGTGGTATCTGTTATCTTTAAACCTACTTGAAAACAACAACCACAACAACAAAACACTAGTTGGTTTTTAGGAAAAATGAGGCAATTTTTTCCTTTCTTCTCACTGTGATCTTTGTGTATGCCTATGTATGTATCTATCTCCTCTCATTCTCTCCTAGAGAGCAAGAGACAATGTGCTTTTTATTTTCTCTAATGATTTATTTACCTTCAACAATATACAGAATTCACTCTCTAAATTCACTTTATATCCATTCAAGTATTTTCCCCATTTTAAATAATATTTCAGGTGATATTGATCTGCTTGAATGATTTATATAAACCTTTGTACGTTGTGAATATATACTGTAAATTTATATCATGTTAACCAATTAAATATGGCCAATCTTATTCAATCTAAAATAATAGACACTGAACACTTTGTCAAAAAGTTAATTTTTTATTATAATGTAATTAGAAAATGTATTTCAACTTACAAGACTTCTTTCAATAACATGTATTAATGATGACGATGTACATCATATTTAAAATGAAATTGATAAATGATTTAGTATTATTCAATTAGAATGATGCCACTGTAATCTAACATTAATCCAAATTTTTCTTGATTTCCTGAATCCTCTCTTTAAAAAGTTAATTACTCAGTATTGACTTATTATCCTAATTAACTGTACACTAAATAATTTAAAGGACCTTAAAATAATTACCAGGCAAAGAGTTTGCATAATTGGTCACAATTTATGGACAATAATTATTGTTATTTTTTTAATGATAACTTGATATATGCAGTAGAAAAAGCTGGAATGAGCAGAGTTTTATCATATATTCCCTCCAGTCCAAGAAAATAGCCTATGAAGTTAAGGAGGCATATTCTTTCATTCAGACCACAGGGGTACTATTTTAATAAATTGCCACTTCAATGTGCAAAATAATGCCCCAATGGACTGGAAGCGAAGACTTGCTTCTGAAAGTCTAATTTGCACTATGGGAGCAGTTTACTCACCTGACAAGTGCTGACCTGATGGATCATATTCTAAAATGCCAGCAGATTTATGCAAGCATAATTGATAGCAAATGCAAGCTGCAAAAGGCCACTTTTTTTTTTTTCACTTCCCACATTAGGTTCCTAATTCACCAGTGTATGATTTCACAAAGCAGACACCTTATTAGGGCACAGGGACTTTGTATGACATTATAACTCAACAGCTATTTTCAGGATTTATTATGTGATATGACTCAATTTTTTAAAAAAAATCAGTTCAGGTGTTGGCACTTAAGACAAATTAACTTTCTGACAAGCCATTCTCCTTTTTTAATATACTGTTGCATGATGAACATTTTACAAAATAGAGAAAATACGACACATTAAAAAGCAATACAGAATCTTGTGAAAAATCCTAAGAACAGATTTTGTTTTAAAAAAAGCCCTTTAGAAACAATTTTAGACTTCGCCAAAATGGTGACAAGTGCTGGATCATTAACACCGTTCCAGCTCTCTGGAGAAGAAGTGCCATTAGTATCAATTTTCTAATGTGCCTGATAAGGCATTTTAGTGTAATATTAAATATACTTTTTGACACATTCTTTTGGGGCCATTTTAGAAAATGCAAATGAGAGCATCCAATGAAAGATATAATAGGTAACTCTGGTCAAGGCTGTTGAAAAGTTTGGGCTGGTCAGAGGGGACGATTGAAAAGGAAGAGAGCTATTCAGAAGGCAATGAAAGGCAAGGCTGGAAAGGTGGATGGTTCTCTGCTTTCATTTAACCCTGGCTTAAACCCTGCTTTTCTTTTTAATAAACCTTCTCAAAGTTTTCTTATTCAACATACTATGGGAATTCAAGTGATTGGCTGAATGATAGTATTTTCAAGATTTAAAGGAACTTATAAACCATTTAGTTACAAGCTCTTCTAATTAAAGGTGAAAAAACTAAATCAAGGAGAAGAAAGGAAACGAGGAAAATATTATACAGATAGATATTAGCAGAACCAGATTAGGAAGTTAGAACAAGGAATCCTTTTCTGTTTCATGAGCCAAATTATCTTTGAAAATAATCGAAATAGTTTACAAATTAACATTTTAAAACATGAGAAATAATTGAGAGAAAAATCTTTATGTTTTAATTGAGAAGATCCTATAATTTTTATTTCATTTATCTGGAAACCCCATTCAAAGGACACAAAGAATGACATTGTTACCTACTTTCTTCTACTTTTCCAACAGTGCTTTTGGGAATAATGTACTTTTGGAATCTAGTGAGCTTTTACTAAACTTTTTTAAACTTCATCTAACAGAATCATATTTTGGAATTTAAAAGTAACATTTCTATTTTGGAGAACATTTAATCCATAATTGGTCAGTGATAAAAGCAAAAATGAATCAATTTCACCATTCAGTAACAAAAAATCAACCCTAGAGACAACTCAGAATAGGATGTAGAGGAAGTAGCATCTACAGGGAATAGAGGGGAGCCTTTTCCTTGCTCCTCTGTGAATTTTAAGGTGAGAATGCACTAGACGGGGGAAGCAAGAAGCTCTAAATACATTCTCTGATTTCTACTCTGTGGGTCCCAGAATGGGAAAGCATGCTATCTAGGCTGAGAAGAAACCTGAAATTAAGAAAGATTTATGATCTATCTATCTATCTATCTATCTATCTATCTATCTATCTATCTATCTATCTATCTGTCTGTCTCACTATCTATCTATCTATGAATGATAAACAAAAGTCATCTTTTGGTTTGGGGACCTGAAAAGAGATTGTGATGGAGGCTGGCCACATGTATCATGAGTGCTTATAAAATGGCAATAACATAGAGAAATGTCCATAAATGAAGCTGTGGTATGCTGCTGGCTCTCTCCTTGCTGTATGCTGCAAGGGATCTAGAGGTAGTCACATGCCCAGGGGAAGGGACAGATAGGTAATTAGAGAACGGATGGGCCAGTAGAGGATGGTGGTTACATTAAACACATTATGTTATTCACCAATTTACAACTGAAAGTAAATGCTGAGAGTGACATACCCCAAATGTGGATGTGAGCATGGGATTACCAAAGTCCAGTTATGACATATCACACTGTCCTGTCACCAGTCCAGAGATGGCAAAGATGCTTGTATGGATGAAAGGACACCAGATGCTCCTTGCTCTACTGCTCTTATGCCCACACCCAATTCTTCATCAACCTTAAAAAGAGAAGGGGGAGTGGAAGTAGGAGAACTAAAAACTCACCCATAAGAGAACACTCAAAGTGAAAGACACCTTTTTTACATTTAATTTATACTTTTATTTTGAGGCACCCTGTTTTAATTTTTTACAAAATTATTCTATTACTTCTTAGTCGAATGTAACTTCATAAAAAGATCAGATTAATTATAGATAAAAAAGAAGCTATATTATCTTTGCACATTTGAGATATACTGGAGTGCACATTTTCAATCTTGCAATCCAGTATAGTATGTAGATAAGATGAATACAGGTCAAAGACACATTCAAAAGAATAGTAATTTTAGGTCAGGGAAAAGAAAGAAGGATATACATTTACTCTTGCACAGCTCACAAGTCTCCTGCAACAATATAACAATTTCTAGAAAAGCAGAAAATTCTCACCCATTGACAAAATAGTTTGTGGAATTGCTGAAAGTTAGAAACCATATGATGTAGAAAACCTCAGAGGAACTAACAACTTGACAAAGCAAACAACAAACAAACAAAATGCAAATCTGGCTATGCATTCAATGAGGCAGAAGGGATACAGAGATAAGAATGACTCATTGGGCAATTGGATTCAGAAAAACAATATAAGAAGCCTCCTTCTTTTCTTATAATGTCCTTACCCCTGGACTAAGGCGAAGTGCTTGAATCAGAGGATGAGTCCACTGCCCTAGCTGAAAGTGACTCCTCCAAGGAGATTAGAACCTTCTGTGCAGATGAACAATCATCTCTACTCCCAATGTCTTAATGGCGTAATAGTTTAAGGACTACAGGTATTTATTCATAGACTGTTTTTGAGAGCACATGTTTATAGGCTGTTAAAAAGACTGTTTTAATTAAAGAAATGTGAATCCACATGAGTATTTGTTGAAAAACAATATGATGCAAGTGGAGCACTAAAGACAGAAACAGATGAACCAATAATTTTTAAAAATAATAATAAATGTAGTAAATACAAAAATACTCTGACTTTAGTTTAATTAACTTAGACTTCATTGGGAGGATACTAAAGTCAAAAAATAAATGATATCTATAATAAAAGAAAAGCAAGTATAAAATCTTGAAATAAAATACAGGGTCGAAAGGAACTAAATGGATAAGCTGAAGAAGAGAATAAACTCCACTGAAGAACAAATTTTTATGTCTTAAAGATTAAGCTAAAGGGCTCTTTTAGGAAGACTGGCAAAAGAACAAGGGGATTCTTCCTCTTATAATACCATGGCAGTCTAGACATTCTGAAAGAACTTTTCATTTTTAATATGCAGATAAAAATAAATCATAAAATTAAAATTCATATATGGCTGGGCTTGGAAGAAAATAAGAAAATTCCCAGAGATAATAAAAAAGAGTATCAGAATAACACCAGAGTGGTTAAAAAAATGAAGCTGGGGTTTCCCTAGAGCACATCAGGGAACATAGAGCCCAGGGAATTAACATTTGTGCCCTGGACAATAGTAGAAGAGGCCTTGAGTTTATTCAAAGGAAGGAAGCTTAACTTAATATATAAGCCAAAATTTGGAACACACTGAACAGCTATATCCTTAAAGTAGTAAACAACAAAACAAAACAAAACAAGCAAAACTGTGGCTGGAAACCAAGGGAACTATTGAGGAAACCAGGCTCTGTATGCCATTTCTAGGTGGAATAATAAAACTAATTGTTTACCTTGGGAATTTGAAGCCTTAAGCCTGTGCTCACACTGGAATATGATTTTATTTTGCATTACTTAAGCAGCGTGAGAAACATCAAGTTGAGAAATTGACTAAAGTATTTCAAAGTCAGTAGGACCACTCTGTTGCCTGCCAAAAGCGGTTACAAATACTTTCTGAAGAGTAGAATTCTCATTCCAGGTCTCTCAAGATTCTCCAAGATTGAGTTTCACAAAACATGAGCTCCTAATAAAATGGTATCAAACTCAAGAAGAAACATGCTGTCATGAGAAGACAATAAACAAGAGATTTACATTCTGAAAGACCCCAATATTGCAAAGACAATTTGCAGAACATAAAGTAACAATGCATGCAACAACAAAAAAAAAGTTCCATTATATGGGTTTGTAGTCCAAAATCACATTATTTATCTTGTGTGGAAAATTCAGGTCAAGATTTATTTTAATATTGGTTAACATTGGCCCAGTAGCTTGATAGATACAAACACAATTCCTCTGGAGAAATGAAGTTTCCAACACAAACTTACATATTCCTTATGATAAAGATGAGAAGAAATGTGTACTCATGATAAAAATGTCCTATGTTTTGAATATTCCTGCATGCTCACTCAAACTTAGACAACCACAAATAAACAAAGAATAATGAATGAAAATTAACAGAAAAAAGTCAGCAGCATCATTTTTCCTAAGATTTCAAATATAGGAATTATAATTAAGGCAAAATAAATAAATATATTATTCAAGTAATGGAAAAGAAAAAAATAGAAAGCATAGAGGTGTTTATAGTATTCTGTGATGGTAGTTTGTATTTCTGTGGGATCAGTGGTGATATCCCCTTTATCATTTTTTATTGTGTCTATTTGATTCTTCTCTCTTTTCTTCTTTATTAGTCTGGTTAGTGGTCTATCTAGTTCTGTTAATCTTTTCAAAAAACAAGCTCCTGGATTCATTGATTTTTTGAAGGGTTTTTCCTATCTCTATCTCCTTCATTTCTGTTCTGATCTTAGTTATTTCCTGTCTTCTGCTAGCTTTGAATTTGTTTGCTCTTGCTTACCTAGTTCTTTTAATTGTGATGTTAGGGTGTCAATGTTAGATCTTTCCCATTTTCTCCTGTGGGCATTTAGTGCTATAAATTTCTCTCTAAACATTGCTTTAGCTGTGTCCCAGAGATTCTGGTACATTGTGTCTTTGTTCTCATTGGTTTCAAAGAACTTACTTATTTCTGCCTTAACTTCATTATTTACCCAGTAGTGATTCAAGAGCAGGTTGTTCAGTTTCCATGTAGTGCAGTTTTGAGTGAGTTTCTTAATCCTGAATTCTAATTTGATTGCACTGTGGTCTGAGAGTCTGTTTGTTATGATTTCTGTTCTTTTGCATTTGCTGAGAAGTGTCTTACTTCCAATTATGTGGTCAGTTTTAGAATACATGCCATGTGTTGCTGAGAAGAATGTATATTCTGTTGATTTGGGGTGGGGCATTCTGTAGACGTCTATTAGGTCTGCTTGGTGCAGAGCTGGGTTCGAGTTCTGAATATCCTTGTTAATTTTCTGTCTTGTTGATCTGTCTAATATTGACAGTGGGGTGTTAAAGTCTCCCACTATTAGTGTGTGGGAGTCTAAGTCTCTGTGTAGGTCTCTAAGAACTTGCTTTATGAATCTTGGTGCTCCTGTATTGGGTGAATATATATTTGGGATAGTTAGCTCTTCTTGTTGCATTGATCCCTTTACCATTATGTAAAGCCCTTGTTTGTTTGTTTGTTTTTATCTTTGTTGGTTTAAAGTCTGTTTCATTGAAGACTAGGATTGCAACCCCTGATTATTTTTTTGCTTTCCGTTTGCTTAGTAAATAGTCCTCTATCCCTTTATTTTGAGCCTAGAAGAAATGAAGAAATTCCTGGACACATACACCCTCCCAAGGCTAAACCAGGAAAAAGTCAAATCCCTGAATAGACCAATAACAATTTCTGAAATTAAGGCAGTAATTAATAGCCTATCAACCAAAAAAAAGCCCAGGATGAGACAGATTCACAGCCAAATTCTACCAGAGGAAGAAACAGGAGCTGGTACCATGCCTTCTGAAACTATTCCAAACAATAAAAAAAGAAGGACTCCTCCCTAACTCATTTTATAAGGCCAGCCTCATCCTGATACCAAAGCCTGGCAGAGACACAACAAAAAAAGAGAATTTCAGGCCAATCTCCTTGAAGAACATCGATGCGAGTATCCTCAATAAAATACTGGCAAACCAAATCCAGCAGCATATCAAAAAGCTTATTCACCATGATCACGTCAGCTTCATCCCTGGGATGTAAGCCTGGTTCAACACACACAAATCAATAAACATAAGCCATCACATAAACAGAACCAATGACAAAAAACACATGATTATCTCAATAGATGCATAAAAGGTCTTCAATAAAATTGAACACCCATTCATGCTAAAAACTCTCAATAAACTAGGTATTGGTAGAACGTAAAATAATAAGAGCTATTTATGAAAAACCCACAGCCAATATCATACTGAATGGACAAAAACTGGAAGCATTCCCTTTGAAAACTAGCACAAGACAAGGATGCCCTCTCTCACCTCTCCTAATCAAGATAGTATTGGGAGTTCTGGCCCTGGCAATAAGGAAAGAGAAAGAAATAAAGGATATGCGAATAGGAAGAGAGTAAGTCAAATTGTCTCTGTTTGCAGATGACATGATTGTATATTTAGAAAACCCCATCATCTCAGCCCCAAATCTCCTTAGGCTGATAAGCAACTTCAGCACAATCTCAGGATACAAAATCAATGTGCAAAAATCACAAGCATTCTTATACACCAATAATAGACAAACAGAGAGCCAAATCATGAGTGAACTCCCATTCACAATTGCTACAAAGAGAATAAAATACCTAGGAATACAACTTAAAAAGGATGTGAAGGACCTCTTCAAGGAGAACTACAAACCACTGCTCAAGGAAATAAGAGAGGACACAAACAAATGGAAGAACATTCCATGCTCATGGATAGGAAGAATCAATATGGTGAAAATGGCCATACTGCCCAAAGTAATTTATAGATTCAATGCTATCCCCATCAAGCTACCATTGACTTTCTTCACAGAATTAGAAAAAAACCACCTTAAATTTCATATGGAACCAAAAAAGAGACCTCATAGCCAAGACAATCCTAAGCCAAAAGAACAAAACTGGAGGCATCATGCTACCTGACTTCAAACTATACTCCATGGCTACAGTAACCAAAACAGCATTGTACTGGTACCAAAAGAGGCCTTCGATAAAATTGAACACCCATTCATACTAAAAACTCTCAATAAACTAGGTATTGATGGAAAGTATCTCAAAATAATAAGATATATATGTATATATATATCTCAGTGGAACAGAACAGAGGCCTCAGAAATAACACCACACATCTACAAATATCTAACATTTGACAAACCTGACAAAATCAAGCAATGGGGAAAGGATTCCCTATTTAATAAATGGTGTTGGGAAAACTGGCTAGCCATGTGCAGAAAACTGAAACTGGACCCCTTCCTTATACCTTATACAAAAATCAACTCAAGATGGATTAAAGAATTAAATGTAAGACCTAAAACCATAAAAACCCTAGAAGAAACCTAGGCAATACCATTCAGGACATAGGCATGGGCGAAGAATTCATGACTAAAACACCAAAAGCAATGGCAAACAAAAGCCAAAATTGACAAATGGGATCTAATTAAACTAAAGAGCTTCTGCACAGCAAAAAAAAAAAAAAAACTATCATCAGAAAGAACAGGAAACCTACAGAATGGGAGAAAATGTTTGCAATCTACCCATCTGACAAATGGTTAATATCAATAATCTACAAGGAATTTAAACAAATTTACAAGAAAAAACAAACAACCTCATCAAAAAGTGGGCGAAGGACATGAACAGACACTTCTCAAAAGAAGACATTTATGTAGCCAAAAAACATATGAAAAAATGCTCACCATCACTGGCTATCAGAGAAATGCAAATCAAAACCACAATGAGATACCATCTCACACCAGTTAGAATGGCAATCATTAAAAAGTCAGGAAACAACAGGTGCTGGAGAGGATGTGGAGAAATAGGAATGCTTTTATACTGTTGGTGGGAGTGTAAATTAGTTCAACCATTGTGGAAGACAGTATGGCGATTCCTCAAGGATCTAGAACCAGAAATACCATTTGACCCAAGAATCCCATTACTGGATATATACCCAAAGGATTATAAATCATTCTACTATAAAGACACATGCATACCTATGTTTATTGCAGCACTGTTCACAATAGCAAAGACTTGGAACTAACCCAAATGCCCACCAATGATAGACTGGATAAACAAAATGTCACACATATACACCATGGAATACTATGTAGCCATAAAAAAGAATGAGATCATGTCCTTTGCAGGAACACGGATGTAACCGAAAGCCATCATCCTCTGCAAACTAACACAGGAACAGAAAAACCAAACCCCACATGTTCTCACTCATAAGTGGGAGCTGAACAATGAGAACACATGGACACAGGGAGGGGAACGTCACACACTGGGGCCTGTCGGGGGGTTGGGGGCTAGGAGAGGGATAGCATTAGGAGAAATACCTAATGTAGATGACGGGTTGATGGGTGCAGCAAACCACCATGGCATGTGTATACCTATGTAACAAACCTTCCCATTCTGCACATGTATCCCAGAACTTAAAGTATAATAAAATAAATAAATAAATAGAAAACATGGTGAGTTTTTAAAATTTATTTATTTATTTACTTTTTAGAGATGAAGTCTCACTATGTTTTTCAGGCTGGTCTTGAACTCCTGGCTGCAAGTCATCCTCCTGCCTCTGCCTCTTGAGTAGGTGGGATTATAGGAACAAGCTGTGGTGCCTGGCTCTAGAAGTGTGGTGCTTTAAAAGAAAAATTTCCAGGAGATTTATAAGCCTTCCAAAACTATAAAGTGTAATTATTCATTCATCCATACAACTCTTAATGGATATATAATATATGCCTTATATTTATTTAGATCACAGAGCCAGTCATGAACAAAACAGACAAAAACTCCATTCGTGTGTTGATTGCATTCCAGGGCATGTGGGGGTTGGAGGGAGAACAAAAAAAAGCAAAGCAAAACAAAACCAAAGCCATGTATAATACAGTAAGGTGGTAAGCTACACAGTGAAAAATAGATTTGAGAGGAACAATACATAACAATTAGGGAGAGAAGCAATACATCTATAAATAGATCGCTGATGAAAATCTTAAACATAACATTTGGCCAAAGACTTAAAAAAGGCAAAAAGTGAGGAAATGAGATATCAAAATTTATGACTACATAGATCAGAAGGCCAAATTGACCCTGTGGCATTCTTTTGTGTAGACTGGGAGCTAATGTTTTTGTTGCTGTTTTTTAATTTTTGTCTAAGGGTTGTAAAACATAAACACAGAATAATTTATGGTAGAGAACCATAGTGGAATACCAAAAATATTTATTATCTGGTTCTTAAAAAATGTTTGCTGACCCTTGACCAGAGGAAAGATATTTTGATAGAAGAAAGAACAAATGAAAAAATATTACAAATGGTACCAGGAAAAGAGTCATCTCATGAGAAAATAAAGAAATTGGGTTTGTATCTCACACTATGCAGAGAAATCAATTTCTAATGGGTTAAATAAAAAAATTTAAAGGTAACACATTAAGCCTTTTAGAACAGAATGTAAGAAAATACATTTATTACTTCAGGATAGAAAGGGACTTCTTAATCTAAAGCAAAATGTGCTAACCGTGAGAAAAAATATTAATAGAACTGACTATATTAAAATTAAGAACTGAGTTTATCAAACTGCAACAAAAAGAAAATTTGAATAAATAAAAAAGGTAGAAGATATTGGTAACATATTTAAAGCAATCAGGATTTAATCTATTAAATATTAAGAATTTATAATTATACATAAGAATAAGACAAGCAGCCTAGCACAAACTAGGCAAAAGTCATGAACAAGCATTTGTTCTGATGAGAAAACAGGATTAGCATTTAAAGACATGGAAAGATCTTTGCCCTAATCAATAATACAATAGGGCAAATTAAATCCATAATGAAACACTATTTTTCACAAACTATGTTGACAGAAATTAAGAAATTTTGGTGGAGGATGTGAATCAATGGAAACAGTATGAACTGATATTGAGAGTGTAAAATTAGTACAAATATTTTCAGAAACCATTTTGCTCTTGCTTGTAAAATTGAACGTCTGTGAAATCTACAACACTGACGTGGACTCCTGGATCTTTCTTACTTTAATTTCCTCTAGATGCAAACTCTGAATCAAGAATAAGAGTGGTAGTAACCTATTTGAGAATTCATTTCAGGAAACATCAGAAACGCAATGAGAAACTGAGAAAAAGAAGAAAAGTAAGCCAGTAAAGGGTGGATTATAAAGCAAGTTACCACTGTAGGCAATTAAAGCATTATCACACTTTGGTAAACTCTGAGAGGCGGTACACACTAGGGTTATCCCACCTGAGGTGGGGTGAGTGTGCAGCAAGAGGCATTATTTATATACCAAGTTTCATCAGTCATTGAGTTCTGATCATTAATTGCCAGAACGTCTGACTTGCCAAGAGGCAGAGCATGCTTCAAAAGACAGAGAAATTATTTGGCAAAAGGATACAGCAGCTTGTGTGTGATAGTTGGATCCCCACGGATAGAAAAGGTAAAGGCTGAAGTATACAGAGGTAGCATTAACAGTGCATATACCAGAGACTATCTCACACATGTGTGAGAATGCAGCAGAATGTTCATAGAAACATTGCTTATGGTGGTTAGCACTCACAAAGGATTCAGATTCTCAAATCACCTAAAAGAATTAGGAATCTTACCCAATATCCAGTTCTACTAGTAATTCATAGATACAATAAATCAAGAAACTATGATGAAGCAGGTGGAGGTTCAGGGCATTGATAGTGGCTCTCCAGATCCTCTAATGATTTTTGAAATAATTGAGTCATACAACATCCACAGAGGACTTAAAGCAGTATCTACTGCATAAAAGGCACACATCATTTTTGTTTTTAACTAATGACAAAAAGAGCAAACATAAAAATATTAAGTCTCTGATGCTCATGAATCTAGACAAAATAATAAAATAATTTCTGTAAAAACAATTGAAGTTGTAGTAAAATATATATTTGTTTTAACTTTTAAAAGATAAATTAAAACCAATATAAAATATATATTTCAATTTTTATTTTTTAGTTTACTCCAAAAATTAAATATCATAATTTGCATGATTGTTACTGCAAGTGTTCAAAGTAGCTCATAATTATATAACACTACTAAGTTTTTTCCCATATAAAAAATGAAAAATGCATATTCTCTGTTAATCCCTTTTCTCACCAGTAACTTCTGCTTTTCTTTATTTAGAATATAGACTGATTGAAGTAGCCTAATTTCAGTCATGGAGACTATAGTCATGAGTTTGGTCAACATTCTAAGGATATATAATCTGAAATCATTTCAGTATGGGCTGAGAAATTTTGACTTCACTATCTTTTAAGTATAGCAAAATATTACTCAAATAAATTTCAGTGAACAAAGTAGCGTATGATTAAAAATACAAAGACTAAAAACGTGAACTCTAAGCTTCTTTTCATTTATCTTTGCAGTTCCAAACACAGGAGACAGCAGCTCTGTTTCTCCTTGCTTTATTGCACTTTATGTTTTAGTGCCTGTCATTTTCATCATACTTCTTTCAGTTTCTTTCATGACTTTTTGACATAGAGCATGAGAGTAATCTATACCTGATGAAGACCCTGCAGAGGAAAGCCATTTCTGTTGAATGAACCACCACATAAAGAAAAGATATTCCAAAGCTGAACTTAAAATCCAAGGCCAGGGTGGAGGGCTGGATTGAGGGGATCATGTCAACAACTCTCTGTTAAACAAGTCTCCACCTCAGCAATCATGAAAATCACTTTCAGGCAGACTTTCCCGGAGATTGTTTATTTGTTCCTTAGGTGTCTTACCTGAATGTTGATGCCTTTTTTTGCCCATTTTCCGTGCTCTCAAAACTTGGTAGTTTTCTTTGTTTCAGATTATTCTGTTAGCCGAGGAGGTTTAAGGCCATTCATTCTGATTTTTGCATATCCATGACAAATATCTACTTTTTGCTTTGGAAAGGATATTTTGATCTACTCAGTCATTATGAGACACTAAAAAACACTTTTTTTTGTAAATTTAGGAGTCTTTCCAGTGCAGCAGACTTCTTTTGGAAGTAGAAATGAAGCATAATCTTTTTCTGGTTTTTGTGAATATGTTTAGTTATGGAAACTTCATGCTTCCAGCCTCTTAAAAGAGTTATTCTCACCCCTAACCTACTTCTGATCTGTCATTTTCTAAACAGCTGAAGCCTTATGTTTATTTCTATTTTTGTTTTAATTGCCATACATTCTATAGGTTACTAGAATACTAAAGTTATAAATTGTTTGGATTTTCTCATATCTAGACATACCACAATGTTCTTAAATCTAGTACAATCAGAAAACCAAATAACCCATGGTCTCAGAGACCCTTTATATCTTAAGAATTTTAAAATACTAGAAAATGTTACTCCTCAGCACATCATATATTTTAAGGTAGTGGTCCCCAACATTTTTGGACCAGGGACCAGTTCCATAGAATACAATTTTTTTTCCACTGTGGGTGGAATGGTTTGGATGAAACCAATGGTTTCAGATCATCAGGCATTAGACTCTCATAAGGAGAACACAACCTATATCCCTCACATGTGTGGTTCACAATAAGGTTTGCATTCCTGTGAACATCTAATGCCACCACTAATCTGACAGGAGGCAGAGGTCAGGGGGTAATGTACACTTGCTGGCTGCTCACCTCCTACTGTGCTGCTGGGTTCCTAACAGGCCACAGACAGGTACTGATCTGCAGTCTGGGTGTTGGGGACCCCTGCAAGTTTAAGGTATAATAATGGTTATTGAATGAGCATAATATTACAATATGTTCTTTAATTTGCTCTGGCATAGTTCAATTCCTTCACAAGCTGTATATTCAATACTTAGCAACACATGATATAGAGTAACCTGTTTCCTTCAATATGATTTCCAATTATAACTCAGAATATTCTTTGGAATCATTATATTCTATAATCCTGCCAATTTGCATCATTTACAGTTTTACTTCTCCTTTGGAAGACACAATTCTTTACAAATTCACACTTCATTTGTTGTTTGTAGAAAACAACCATACTGCCAGTAGTATTTTCTGAATTCCTTCTGTAAACTGCTACTTAAATACTGGCGTGGCCAAATGTGCATGGCTTTGGGCAAAGTCAAGATGCACAATATATAGCCTTGTACAAAGTTAAATTAAAATTGTTTATTTTTATATACATGTAAGATGCTAAAATGTTTTCTTGATAGAGAAAAGGAAACCCAATTCTTGTAGTAGATGAACTCAAATTAATTGTCTATAACTATAATATTTTGATGTAAATAGAGATAATGAAAATATTGGATGTAATTTACCAAGAACAATCCAACATATAAAATTGTCTGAATTGTGATTATAATTTATATCCTAAAATATCATAACTGAATGATAATATACTTCTCAATAACAAATATGTTAAAATGAATCTTTTTTATTAAAAAATTGTTATAACCCAGTCATGTTGATTTAATGAGTACTAAACAGCATTATTTATTTAGTACTGATTAAATTTAGTATATATATAGTTATATATTTCAGCACTAAATTATATAGATATATCAGTATGAAATAATATATCTAAATTATTAAATGTTATATATTATTATATATTATATTATATATAATTATATATATAAATTCCTCTAGTTTAAGTTAAACATTAACATTGTAATAGATTGAAAAAATTTAAAAGCCATTGATAAGCAATACATTTTAATATCACTCTCAGATTATAATCATAACCCTTTGTTCTAATTAATTCAATATCATGTCTCTAAAAATAACCAAATAGAGATAAAGACCTAATAAGTTCTTTTAGATAAAATTGTTTTAAAACCTGGAATTGAGAATATATAATAATATGGAAATTTGGGTAAGCAATGTTTCCTT
Organism: Homo sapiens; assembly: GCF_000001405.40. Classification (NCBI taxonomy): domain Eukaryota; kingdom Metazoa; phylum Chordata; class Mammalia; order Primates; family Hominidae; genus Homo; species Homo sapiens. Next base: position 72,970,516 of record NC_000001.11, read on the forward strand.
TTATAAATTTAGAGCTAATGACATTGTTAATATTTACAGATTTACTAATATGTATATAATTGCACTTCATGAAATTCTTTTAAAGAACAATTTGGAAATTTTCATTTTAAAAGTCAAAGAATTCATCACAGTATATTACCTTTTATAAAAAATACTGAAAATTCTACATGGTCTCTATCGGGTGGTACTTATCACCTAGCAAATATTTTAGTTTTTAATGTTCCAATAATATAAAACATTTTATCTTTTTTTCCTTCTCTCCTCTTTCCCTTCTCCTCCCTCATGCTTTTTTTTCCTCTCTTATTCCACCCCATATAACAATGTCTCTTTTTTTTACCTCTCTCTTTCAGTCTCCCTCCAGATTTGCACATGTGTGAACACTTGCACACACACATACATACAGAGATAGAATAGTTAAAAGCACATTTTGAAGCAACAGTGCTTGCCTTTGAACACTAGCAATGGTTATTGCTAGATGTGTGACATTGGGATAATTACTTAATGACTATCAGTTTTCTCATCTAACACAGAGATAATGGAAAATCTATCTCACGTAATTATAATACAATTTGAATGTGCTATGTAAAACATTTAAGTCAGTGCCTGAGACACTGCAAAATCCATTTTTAAAAAGTTTTTTTCCATAACCAACCACCAGATATTGACATATGAAGAAAATTAAAACGGGGTCATATTGACATATGCATCCTTGAAAATCAGGATATCTTCCTGGGTAAGACATTTAAGTTGTAGGTGGGGTATATATGCTATAATGAGTAGCTGGGATGATAGTGAGTAGCTGGGACCTTGAAATCCAAGTTAGCATGATTCAGTCTAATGTACACTGAATTTGTAAATGTTGTGCATGTGTATATTTATATATGAACATGTATAAATAGATGTTGAAGAATAGGAAGGTGCATAAATAGATGTTGTAGGTCTTAAATCTAGATGATCAGAACTGAAATAATGATAGGTTTTAAACTTGGAGAACATACTTAAGAACATGGGAATAATTAAATTTAACTTTATGTTATCTTAATATTTAAAGAGTACATCACCATGACTTTCAAAAGAAAAAACAAACAAAAACCTTTTTTACTATTTTGCAGGATTTATTGGCAAGGGTAAGTATTAGACACTGGATTCAATTGTTTTTACAGCTGTGATTTTTCTAAAACAGCATTGGTTCTCACAAGCAAATTTTTTACTGAATTATTTTATGGTCCTGCAAACCAAAACACTATGGTAAATCTTTTAAGATTGGGTAGGCAAGGTACTGATTATAGCAGACAGTTTTTTGATTTCTTCTTAGGCTACAATGGCTCCTATGATTTCTTCCTAAGCTACAACATCTCCTAGAATGTACCTTTGATTGTGTGTAATTTCTAATTCCAACCTTGCAGTAGTTGATTGCAGTAGATAACCTGACCCATATTTAGACTATTACATTCTCTCTTTTTCTTTTTTGAGACAGTCTTGCTCCGTCTCCCAGGCTGGAGTGCAGTGGCACCATCTTGGCTCATTGCAACCTCTACCTCCCGGGTTCAAGCGATTCTCCTGCCTCAGTCTTCCAAGTAGCTGAAATTACAGGTGTGTGCCACCATGCCCAGCTATTTTTCTGCATTTTTAGTAGAGACAGGGTTTCACCATGTTGGTCAGGCTGATCTTGAAATTCTGACTTCAAATCATCCGCCTGCCTCAGCCTCCGAAAGTGCTTGGATTACAGGCATGAGCCACCGAACCCGGCCGACTATGACATTCTTTTTCTTAGGAATGTGCAATCTGAACTCAGTTGCTGTTAGTTTCCTTTAGTAGCTAGAACTAAACTGACTTAAATTTAAGAGTTAAGGGGCAAGAATGCATATGGGGGAGAAGCTGCAGATCCAGCCAGTAGAGAGAAAAGAATAAGGCAAAGAAGCACAGAGAGTAGAAAAGAAAAATAATGTTGCAGACTCAACAAAATGGTGAGAAAATAATTCTTAGAATCCTGGCAGCTTTTAGTCCCTGATCTAAACATTCCTGGCTTATAGTTATTGCAGTCTTGGGATACTGCAAGATACCAGTTGCCTTCTAGCATAATCAATGGTTTTGTTTAAACTAGTAGATTTAAGTACAATAGTAATGAATATCCTATTAAGCTGAATTTATTGCAAGAATTTTTTTCAAATTTGTATACTTTTTGTTACTTGAAATAATAAAAATTAAACTTCTATAACTATCATGTGATAATTATGGAAAATTATATATGCTATATGTAATATATTTGGACAAAATTATAAATCTGTAAATAAAATAATAGCTGATATTTGTTGAAGAGTTATTGTGCATCAGATTCTGTTATTAAACACATTTGATTGTATTAACACATTTAATTCCTCAATAACCTTATGAGGTAAATATATCACTACTGTTTTATACATGAGGAAATTGTGGTGTCTTGTTCAAGATCAGTCATCTAGTTACAGGCAGAATTTGAGATTGCATCCCAAAAGTCACACCCCAGAGCCCATATTCTTAATCATTATTTGTTGGGCTCAGCTTCCTGTATTTGTCCACTGAATTAAGATTATAATATTTTAAAAATCATATATTCTTAAAAAAAACTTTGGACATTTGAGCTATTACAATCTAGGTGATTTTTATCATTTGTCAAATATAACTATAGACTTGTCAATTTCTTTTTGCAATTCTGTCAATTTTTACATACATTAATAGTATATAATTAGGTATACATAGATTCAGTATTGTTATGACTTACTAGAAAATGGTAATTAAATCTATCAATATTTGATCTCTTTTTTTATTATTGCATCTTGTATTCCACTATTTTCTTTTGAATTTGTTTTCCTTCTTACTAAAGTACTTTAAATTATTCTTGTAATGAAGATGTGTGAATTATAAAGTCACTCAGTGTTTGAGAATACAGTTACATGCTTTGGTCAATGAGGGATTCCACATAAAATGGTGGTTCCATAAGATTACAATGGACAGAAAAAATTTCTGTCAAAGTTACACTTTGTAACTGTCATAATTTCATCATGCAACACATTACCTTTCCTGTGGTTAGATACACAAATATCATTGTGTTACAATTGCCTGCAGGATTCAGTACAGAAACATGCTGTACACTTTTGTAACTTAGAGGCAATAGGCTATACCATATAGCCTAGGTTTTTAGTAGGCTATACCGTCTAGGTTTGTTTAAATATATTCTATAATGTTCAAAAAATGACAAAATTGCCTAATGACATGTTTCTCAGAATGTATCTCCATCTTTAAGCAAAGCATGACTGTATTAATTTTACTTTTGTTCTTCAATGGTAATTGAAATGAGTTTAGAAACCAAGACTGAGAGTCATTTTTCTTATTCATTTGGTGTTTTTGTTCATCTGTTGTTGTTGATTGGAAGTATGCTGTTAATTTAACATTTATTTGTCCTTCTAGAATATGCACTTTTCCCATGTAATTTCTATGTGTTCATTTGACTTTGTCGCACTTTTTTTATTTGTACTTCTTATCTCATTCATTAAATATTTTATTTCAGCACATCTCTTTTTTATCAGTGAGAAGTCCTACTTGGATCATTTTTAACTTTACTTTTTCTTAATTCAAACTCTTTAATTTTGTCCTTCTTTCAGTTTAAGAATGTGTTTCATAATGTTTTATTGTTTTATGGTTTGAGATTGCTGAATATCCCATTTCTTCTCTTAACTGACTCTTTTTGTGGTTATTTGGTCCATGCATGTTTTTATGTATTTATTTTTCTTTAATTGTGGGTGGAGTTGACACTTTCCAAGTGAGTCTTGTATGTCTAAAATTGTGAAAGTATGTACATATTACTTCAAAAGTCACCAGATATTTAATACCTCTGGGCTTTTTTGTATAATTTTAGAAGTTATGGATTTCTTTTCAAACAGGTTGTTTAAACATTTTTTCTGCAGTTTGTTTTCTTTGTGTGGACAAGGATTTGTTTTGTTTTGTGATGTTTTTGTTTTGTTTTGTTTTGTTTTGTTTGTCCTCTACTCAAAATCCACTGTGAAGGTTAAGGTTCCTTGCTGCTGTTCAAGGCTTCTGGATAAAGTTTATTTTATTCTCAGCTGTGGAAAAGGTAAAGAAGTCTAATGTCCCTGGCTTTGGTGCCACGCTTAATGCTTAAACATCTCTCAGCCCATAGCCCTCTGGGATAAGTATAGTCTGAATTTAGTTTGGTGTAGCAAAGCATCAGATCTCCCTACCTATTCTTATTTCAATTTGTTTCTCAGTTTCTAGCGTCTTGTAGGTCCTTTATTTTGTGTACAATTTTATCAGTTAATTATAAAATATGTTCTATGTATTTCATAGGGAATTTCTAAAACTTGGAAAAAACAAACAGCCCATCCTTTTCAACTGAATCCATCATCTACCAGAAGTCTGTCATTCATATTGTACTTCAAAATTGTTATTGATTTTAATATAATTTAACTAACCACTTAATTTTCTGATTAAGTCAGAAATGTTAAGTGTTTCTTTTGAATTTTCAAAAAAGTTTAATGAAGTCTTCTACTACTACTGATAATAATTTATTTCTGTTATAGATGTCCCATTTCTTGGATTATCATGTTGGCTCCAATTCAGAGGAATATGAATTGAAAATAGTACTTATAGATAGCCTTGATTTTTCATTAACATTAAGGATAATTTTAGTATTTTCCCATTAAATATATGATGGATCTTTATTGAGACAGAAGATTTTTTTATTACATTAAAACATGCCTTTTATTATATATTTCTCTTTGGGCTTTCCCCTCACCTTATTAGATATTCTTATGTTTTAAATCTGTTTTCACAAATATATTTATAATGCTATGGTGTTCTTTACTTGTTAGCTATAAATCTATAAATTTGTTGAAATAAATTAATATATTTTCTATTATCAACCAGTGTTTGCAGAATAAACTCTACTTAGTCAAAGCATATTCATTTTGTAATAACTAGTAGGATCCATTTACAAGTATTTAAATTGACATTTATTATGCCATAAATTGACATATATGATAATAATTATCCTTATCAGTTATACTTTTATGTGCATGTGTGCATAATATACATTTGTTTAGAACTTGTGAGTTTTAATTTACGTTTCATATTTTCAAATATTAATTTATGTATTTGATATATGCATGTATATATAAATATATATTTAAACTATATAAGAGTTGAACCAGTTTAGAGAAAATATATGCAGTATCAGTGAAAGTATGTCATTGCAAGCAATATAAATTTGCTTTGTAAGTATTGAAATATGTTATCATAAAATGTACTTAAAGATCACTGGGCAGTTCGTGAATCTCTAGAAAGAGAACCAGGGTTTGGATTGAAATCCAATAACAATTTTTTTAAAATCATGTAGCAGACTTCTTTCAGTTAAAAAAAAATCTCCCTTACTACTTTAGAAACACTGGATGTGTTTACCTTTTACAACCATCTGTATTTCTGGCAATGTTTTCTTTAGCTTGGTAAAATTTGTGGTTTGTCTATCACTAAGATGCATAAAGTACAGAAAGGGTTCAGTTACTAGGAAGCACAGAGGAAAGACAAATATCTTGGTTATTTTAAATAAATTACTTATTAAAATTATGTAAGCCACTGGAAAAATTACAGTGTGTGATTTAATCATTCTTCTGATGAAAGAATTTTCTTCTTCCTGAGCATAGAAATCAGCAAATTGTATAGACTGGGAAGATCATAAGACCAGAAGCATACTGCTGGTTCCAGGTTTTGGTTTCCATATGGGTTTGTTGCCCAATTTTGTTACATAAGACTCTGTGATTTCCTTAAAGGAATGCTCTGAAAGATGTTTATTCTTTGATGCTGATGCTATAAAGAAACAGATCTACAAGGAAGCCACACTTCCAGGACATTGGAAGCAAGCGGGATGCAATGCAGCTGAGATCCAGGCAGGAGTAGAGGCAAGAGGTAAAATAAATGTCTTGGAGGCCCAAGTTCATGACTCTACTCTTGTCTCACACAGCAATACTGGTTCCAATTATGTGAGGCCAAAATCTGTGTTGCTGGAGTTTTTGTTTGTTTGGCACTGTGGGACTCATGACTAAATTCCTTTTTCTCTGTGTCTCCCTGGATTATCATTCGACAATTTTTCAATGCCTTTTTGCATTAATTTGGAAAATATATAGGATATTATCCAGATTATTGAGAACTTCAAATATATTGCCATAGAGTTTTAAATAAATCTTACACTTTAACATTTAGATCAATTTTATTTTATTTTATATTATTTTGGAATCCATAGACACAAGTGCATACATCAGTTTTATAATTAATTTTTCTAAGTGGTATATGGTAAGATAGTTTTTTTTTCTGGTTCTTTTTTTCCGAATATGTATATTCAATTATTCCAGCACCATTTGTTGTCAAGTCTATCCTTTCCATCAACTATATTAGTTAAAATGTATACATATTAAAAAATTATAATTGGTCTACAGAAATATTAACTTCAGCCCACCCCTAGATATCAGAATATGACATGTAATGGGCAAAGGAAAACCCGGGCTCGCAGTTAAAGCAAATGACATTAGTATTGTATGTAACGGCCCATAAAACAGAAAGGCAAGTGCTCTGGAATAGCTAATTGATTTTAAGTATTAAAGTACAACTGCAGAAATTAAAAACAATTGTCTTGTATGTCACATAGCTTATGTAGTTTCAAATGTGCCCAAGGACTCTAATATGCAATAATAAATCAATCAGAGAGAAGACATCTGAATTTTGATTTGTGCTAGAGATTTATGACCTTTTTCTACTTTGTAAGGAGAACATACTGTCATCTAAAAGTACGTTTTTGCATATGAATGATGAATATCCATGCATGCCTACAGAAAGGAAAATTTAATTAGAAAAGATTCTAATTTTAATTGAAGAACAAAGTTGTTTGCTTTTGATTTGAACCTGCTTTCAGAAATTCTTACATCTTCTCTCCAGAAACTGCATTTAATTGCCTTTAATAAAATTCAGAGAAGTGCACCTTTAAGGACAGGTGATGGTACACCTGTGGAGACAAAGCATAGGCTACTAATGAGAATAAAAAGACAAAGAAGCAGTGTCTGTAAGATTTACTACAAACTTAACCTCATGCTCACTTCAGTTTTTCTACTTTTACCTCACTCGAAGTATTGGGTTTTTGCTTGAATTTAAAAATTCATCTTCAGATCAATAATTTACCTATCAATGAGCTGCTCTTATTTATTTTATCTCAAATATCTAAATGTGGATATTCCTTCACAAATCCTCTCATGTGCACTAGAGTCTAGTGATTTACCTAGATATACTTGGCTTTTTAGAATCTAATTAATTCCTGATTCCATATTTTAGTGTAAGAATTCTTACTGTTCTCAGATGCATAGTGTTTCACATCATTTTTGCCTGGGGCAAGGAGATTGACTTCATTGGGAGTTGAGAGAAACTTCCAGGGTAATGGAATTGTTCTAGCTCTTGTTGCAGATGGTTATTACATAGGTGTATGTGATTGTCAAAACTCATCAAATTCTACACTTTAAAAATGAACATTTTATTTTATATTAATTAGACCCTAATTTACAAAAGTAACAGGAGTGAAATTGAAGTCAACAAATATAGACTACACTTTTGAGGAATTTCATTTTGATGAGAGTATATAACCAGCAATTGATGAGTTCTATGAAGTTATAAGAGATTTATTATTATTAAGATTGAAGAAGTGACAACAATTTTGTTTTCTGATAAAATAGTTGTTAGAAAAATAAATAATGAATATGCAATAGAAGAGGCAAAGAATGTAGTAAGAGTGCTTCAGTGTAAGCAAGAGTAGAAGGGATTTAGTACACTTGGCATGGGTTGGCCTCAAATAGGGACAGTGGCTGTACCATCTATGATGATGAGAGAGAAAGCACAGTTGCAGATTGGTAAATTGTTGGGGTGATAGGAATTTGTGAACATTATTGTTTGATTTTTCTCTATTTTATTATTCAGATAGAGAAGCATGTATTAGAAGTTTGAGGAGATTGGCTGCATTTAATACTAGGTGAGAGAAAATTCAATGATAACCCTGCCTTAGTATTTTCTTATTTAAATTTTTTATTTTTTCATTGATTTTAAGTTCTGGGCTACCTGACTTCAAATTATACTACAAGGCTACAGTAACCAAAACAGCATGGCACTGATACCAAAACAGACACATAAACCAATGGAACAGAATAGAGAACTCAAAAATAAGACTGCACACCTACAACCATCCAATCTTCTACAAACCTGACGAAAACAAGCAATGCAAGCAATGTGGTGAGGATTCCCTATTTAATAAATGGTGCTGGGAGAACTGGGTAGCCATATGCAGAAAATTGAAACTGGACCCCTTACTTATACCTCATGCAAAAATTAAGTGGCTTAGTATTTTTTTTTTTTTTTTTGAGATGGAGTCTCACTCTGTCACCCAGGCTGGAGTGCAATGGCGCGATCTCCACTCATTACAACCTCCGCCTCCCGGGTTCAAGTGATTCTTCTGTGTCAGCCTCCTGAGTAGCTGGGATTATATGCACACATCACTGCGCTGGGAAAATTTTTGTATTTTTAGTAGAGATGGGGTTTCACCATGTTGGCCAGGCTGCTTTTGAACTCCTGACCTCAGGTGATCTGCCTGCCTCAGCCTCCCAAAGTGCTGGTATTACAGGTGTGAGCCACCACAACTGGCTGACTTCATATTTTTAATCAATTCTGTGCTTTACCTATTTGTTGTGGTTACTGTATAACATAGATCAAAATCTCCCAGAATAGTAGAGACTTTCTTAGAATGGTTTCTTGATATATTTATTCTATGCAAAATAAAAATCATTGGTTGGCTATTTCTCATAGAATTTTTTTTCAGCTGAATAGAAATGGAGAAAGGTTCTATAGTAAGAACTTAAGTTGTAAGGTATAAAAGTTACATGGCTCTGTGAAAGTTAGGGCAAGAGATTAAAATTTTTCTCATATAGAAATGATGCATTGTTTCTTCCTGGGAAACATTTACTTTTTCTAAACTCAACTGAGATGTTGCTTTTCTTTGTGGGTCCCCTTTCTGTTTTTAATTTCCTACTCAGAATTATAATCCCCATCACCTGTATTCCACTGCTACTTTAAGTATATCTCCATCATAACACTCATCATAATACATTATAGTTCTTTGTTTACATTACTGTATTCTTAATCAGTTTATGAAGAAATAACAATCTCTAGTTCATTTCCATATTCACAATGTCTAGAATGAGGGCATGGAACCAAATTAAGCAATAAAAGTTTATTGCAATGAGTGGAATCCTCTATCCTCTGCTACAAATAAACTCTATTTTAGCATGACTAATGGACATAGATTTATCTTCTTTCAAACATATGTTCTTTCACAAATAAAATAGCAATTCATCAGCAGAACTGGCAAAACAATAGCAAAAATATTATAATATTTAAAATACCAGTAAACTCCTGCAGTGCCAAAACCTAGGAAAATATTAACTATATATTAATTTTACCATTACATATAATCACGTTGTCTAGAGAAAGATATTCAAAACTAGATATTAATAATATATTTTAATGCTAAAATATATTTAATATTATAACATTGCATACGAATTTAGAATGCCATAAGACATTGGGGATCAAAACCTTTCTCATACTTTCAAATATATTTTCATGACACAAAGTGGAAAAATATGTTCTATTCCAGGTGGCATTATCCAAATTATGATATTTCTCATTCAAACCACTGTATTTTTCGCAAAAATAGTCATAAATCTGGGGTTTTCTTACTTAGAACCCTTTTCTTTCTAATCTCTTTAAAATATTTAAAAATGAACTTCAGCTAGGTGAACTGGATAAGAATTTGGAAGGAAGTCACCAAAATTGTAATGGTGGTTAATTTCATGTGCGTCCGTGTGAAGAGACCACCAAACAGGCTTTGTGTGAGCAACATGGCTGTTTATTTCACCTGGGTGCAGGCGGGCTGAGTCCATAAAGAGAGTCAGCGAAGGGAGATAGGGGTGGGGCCGTTTTATAGGATTTGGGTAGGTAAAGGAAAATGACAGTCAAAGGGGGTTTGTTCTGTGGAGGGGAGGAGTGGGGGTCGCAAGGTGCTTAATGGGGGTGCTTTTTGAGCCAGGATGAGCCAGGAAAAGGACTTTCACAAGGTAATGTCATCACTTAAGGCAAGGACCGGCCATTTACACTTCTTTTGTGGTGGAATGTCATCAGTTAAGGTGGGGCAGGGCATATTCACTTCTTTTGTGATTCTTCAGTTACTTCAGGCCATCTGGGTGTATACATGCAAGTCACAGGGGATGCGATGGCTTGGCTTGGGCTGAGAGGCCTGACATTCCTGCCTTCTTATATTAATAAGAAAAATAAAACAAAATGGTGTTGAAGTGTTGGCACGGTGAAAATTTTGGGGGGGTGGTATGGAGAGAGAATGGGCAATGCTTCTCAGGGTTGCTTCAAGCGGGATAACGGGCAGCATGGGAACTTAGCTGAAGGGAGGTCTTGTGGTAAGAGGTGATATTGTGGGGATGTTATAAGAAACATTTGTCATATAGAATGATTGGTGATGGCCTGGATATGGTTTTGGATGAATTGAGAAACTAAATGGAATAACAGAAGGAGAAAAACAGGTATAAAAGGTCTAAGAATTGGGACAACTCAGGATATCTGATTAGAGAGTGCCTAAGGAGATTCAGCATAGTCCTGCCAGCAAAGATTATTTATTTACTTCAAGAGTTAAGAGTGGCAGTTTGGGGATAGCACCAGGAGATATCAGCTGTGACGGCTTGGAAAAATGGTGTAAACCAGCAGTGTAAACAAGAGCAGGGCATGTATGAGTAGTTGAGAACGGTGAATAGGAGTATGACTAGACAGAAGATAGTAGGGATGACAAGTTTTTTGGGGGGCACAGTCTAAGTTGGTCTGGTGTATGGAATGAGACTGGGGCCTAATAAAAAGGAGCGTCTATACAGGAGCTCAAATGGGCTGTATCCTGTAGCATTCCGAGGACAGGCCTGAATTCTGAGAAGGGAAAGTGGTAAAAGTATTGTCCAGTCCTTTTTGGTGGCTGAGCTTGGTGAGGTGTGTTTTTAAAAGACCTTTAGTCCATTCTACTTTTCTTGAAGATGGAGGACCATAAGGGATATAAAGGTTTCACTGAATACTAAGAGCCTGAAAAACTGCTTGGCTGATTTGACTAATAAAGGCTCGCCTGTTATCAGACTGTATTGAGGTGGGAAGGCTAAACTGAGGAATTATGTCTGACAGAAAGGAAGAAATGACTGCAGTGGCCTTCTCAGACCCTGTAGGAAAGGCCTCTACTTATTTTGAGGGCCTCTAAAATTATTAAAGCAGCGGCAGCCTCTGCACGCAGACATGAGGGCTAGGCTAAAACAGTAAGGTCCAGTTGTTTGGACAGAAAGGCTACAGGGTGCGGTCCTGGCTCTTGTGTAAGAATTCTGACTGCACTGACCATGCCTAGGAAGGAAAGAAGTTGTTGTTTTGTAAGGGATTGAGGTTTGGGAGATTAATCCGACACGATCAGCAGGGAAAGCACGTGTGTTTTTATGAGAATTATGCCGAGATAGGTAACAGATGAGGATGAAATTTGGGCTTGACTGAAGTAATGGGGGCTGTCTGTGAAGCCTTGCGGCAGTACAGCCCAGGTAATTTGCTGAGCCTAATGGGTGTCAGGGTCAGTGTAAGTGAAAGCAAAGAGAGGCTGGGATGAAGGGTGCAAAGGAATAGTAAAGAAAGCATGTTTGAGATCTAGAACAGACTAATGGGTAGTAGAGGCAGGTATTGAGGATAGGAGAGTATACGGGTTTGGCACCACGGGGTGGATAGGCAAAACAATTTGGTTGATAAGGAGCAGATCCTGAACTAACTTGTAAGGCTTGTCTGGTTTTAGGACAGGTAAAATGGGGGAATTGTAAGGAGAGTTTATAGGCTTTAAAAGGCCATGCTGTAGCAGGCGAGTGATAACAGGCTTTAATCTTTTTAAAGTGTGCTGTGGGATGGGATATTGGCATTGAGTGGGGTAAGGGTGATTAGGTTTTAATCAGATGGTAAGGGGTGCGTGATCAGTTGCCAAGGAGGGAGTAGAGGTATCTTATACTTGTGGGTTAAGGTGGGGGGATACAAGAGGAGGACGCAAAGGAGGCTTTGGATTGGGAAGAAGGGTGGCAATGAGATATAGCTGTAGTCCAGGAATAGTCAGGGAAGCAGATAATTTAGTTAAAGTGTCTCAGCCTAGTAAGAGAACTGGGCAGGTGGGGATAACTAAAAAGGAGTGCTTAAAAGAGTATTGTCTAAGTTGGCACCAGAGTTGGGGAGTTTTAAGAGGTTTAGAAGCCTGGCCGTCAATACCCACAACAGTTATGGAGGCAAGGGAAACAGACCCTTGAAAAGAAGGTAATGTGGAGTGGGTAGCCTCTGTATTGATTAAGAAGGGGACGGACTTACCCTCCACTGTGAGTTACCTAAAGCTTGGCGTCCGAGATGGTCTACGGGGCTTCTGAGGTGATCAGGCAGCGTCAGTCTTCAGCCGGTAAGCCAAGAAGGAATCCGTCAGAGAGCCTTGGGCCAGAGTTCCAGGAGCTCTGGGAGTGGCTGCCAGGTGAGTTAAACAGTCCGATTTTCAGTGGGGTCACACACAGATGGGACGCGGCTTAGGAGGAATCCCGGGCTGCTGCGGGCGTTCCTTGGCCCAGTGGCCAGATTTCCGTCATGTGTAGCAGGATCCTGGAGGAGGAGGTTCTGGAGGAATGCCTGGCTGCTACAGTTCAGACGTTTGGAAGTTCTTGTGTGCTGGAGATGTGGCTGGGGTTTGTCTCACAGTGGAGGCAAGGAATTGCAACTTTTTTCTGTTATTACACACCTTGAAGGTGAGGTTCATTAAGTCCTGTTGTGGGGTTTTAGGGCCAGATTCCAATTTTTGGAGTTTTATTTAATGTCGGGAGCAGATTGGGTAATAAAATGTATATTGAGAATAAGTTGGCCTTTTGACCTTTTAGGGTCTAGGGCTGTAAAGCGTCTCAGGGTTGCTGCCAAACGAGCCATGAACTGGGCTGGATTTTTATATTTGATGAAAAAGCCTAAACGCTATCTGATTTGGGATAAAGAAAAAGGAGCATTAACCTTGACTATGCCTTTAGCTCTAGCCACCTTTTTAAGAATAAATTGCTGGGCAGGTGCGGGAGGGCTAGTCACGGAATGAAACTGCAAGCCGGAGCAGGTGTGAGGAGGGGAGGCGATAAAAAGATTATAGGGTGGAGCAGTGGAGGCTGAGGAAGAATTGGGACCTAGCTAAGCCCTTCGAGGAGGGGAGAGGTCAGATGGGTCTGTAGAAAAGGGAGATTAGAAAGACTCAGTGACGCTTGGGGTTGGTACTGAGGGGACAGGCGGGAGGGAAAGAAGGAAGATTTGGGATGAGTTGCACTGGGCACAGAGACTAGGAAGGGACTGATGTGTAAAAAGAATGCCTGGACGTCAGGCACCTCAGACCATTTGCCCATTTTATGACAAGAATTATTTAGATCTTGTAGGATGGAAAAATTGAAAGTGCTATTTTCTGGCTATTTGGAACTACTGTTGAGTTTGTATTGGGGTCAAGCGGCATTGCAGAAGAAAATAAGGCACTTAGGTTTTAGGTCAGGTGTGAGTTGAAGAGGTTTTAAGTTTTTGAGAACACAGGCTAAGGGAGAAGGAGGAGGAATGGAAGGTGGAAGCTTACCCATAGTGAAGGAGGCAAGCCCAGAGAAAAGAGTAGAGACAGGGAGAAAGGGCAGAGGGTTCTTGCCCTCCAGAAAAGCAGAGAAGGGGTTGGGGCACAGAAATAAGGGATGGGGGCACAGAGATAATAGGTCAGGGTGCAGAAATAAGTGATGGGGGCACAGAGATAAGAGGTTGGGTTGCCGAAATAAGCAATTGGGGGGTTCTTGCCCCCTAGGAAAACGGGACTTGCCGCTAAGGGTGAAGGAGAAGGGGTTGAGGGGTACTTGCCCTGCCCCAGGAAAGCGGGACTTGCTGCTAAGGGTGAAGGACCAAGGCAGGCATCCCTGCGTGGTCTGACACCCTTGAAATGTGAGTGTATAATCAGAGAGGCGTCCCTGCAATGATTAAACACCAAGGGAATGCTGCCTTCCCAGTCCGTGACCTGCGCTGGAGTTTTGGGTTCACAGATAAAACATGTCTCTTTTGTCTCTACCAGAAAATGAAAGGAATTGAAATTAAGAGAAGGGAGAGATTGAAGTGTGGTGCCAAGATTGAAAGGAGAAAGAGGTTGAGGGATAGTGAGGGAGGTTGGAGAAGAGAGTAAAAAGAGGCCGCTTACCGGATTTGAAATTGGTGAGATGTTTCTTGGGCTGGTTGGTCTGAGGACCTGAGGTCGTAGGTGGATCTTTCTCACGGAGCAAAGAGCAGGAGGACAGGGGATTGATCTCCCAAGGGAGGTCCCCCACTCCGAGTCACGGCACCAAATTTCATGCACGTCCGTGTGAAGAGACCACCAAACAGGCTTTGTGTGAGCAACATGGCTGTTTATTTCACCTGGGTGCAGGCGGGCTGAGTCCAAAAAGAGAGTCCGCGAAGGGAAATAAGGGTGGGGCCGTTTTATAGGATTTGGGTAGGTAAAGGAAAATGACAGTCAAAGGGGGTTTGTTCTGTGGCGGGGAGGAGTGGGGGTCGCAAGGTGCTCAATGGGGTGCTTTTTGAGCCAGGATGAGCCAGGAAAAGGACTTTCACAAGGTAACGTCATCACTTAAGGCAAGGACCGGCCATTTACACTTCTTTTGTGGTGGAATGTCATCAGTTAAGGTGGGGCAGGGCATATTCACTTCTTTTGTGATTCTTCAGTTACTTCAGGCCATCTGGGCATATATGTGCAAGTCACAGGGGATGTGATGGCTTGGCCTGGGCTCAGAGGCCTGACAGTTAAGGCTACGCTGTGTCTTAGAGAAAGGAAATAAAAGTGTATGTGACTATGCTGTGCACAGCAGAAGGTTGATATTACTTTTACAGGTGCCTGTACATGTAGATTCTAAGTTGGGGATAATTTATAAGCATGTCAAAACTTGTAAAATTTAGAAAATGTATTGTAATGAGATATTGTCATGGAAAGCCTAATATTCAGGTATTTGAACATTGCAGAACAGGACATTTCTATGTACTAATAATTTTGAGTACCTTGACGCCTGTTTTATGCTAAGTGTTTTGCTCCCTCAAAATTATCCTCTCATTTTACTCCATGAATCATGCAAATCACTGGTTAGACAATTTCGCTGAGTGGATAACTGATGGTCTGCTGTCCTAGGTTTAAATGAAGAATGCTCTTTTAAAGGTAAAGTTGAATTACGGTGGTAATCTTCTTTTTGGGTAAAATATGTTTCTAAAGTGGATCCTTAACATAACTGATTCCTAAATAACTTTACACTTGTAATCTATTTAAACAGGACTCTTGTGTTTGCTTGTGTGTGAAGGTCCAGTTAAAAAAACAAAAACAAAAACAAAAACACTCTGAATATCAAGCTTTGCTTTACCTACCACAGAAATCAGTGGTATTCTCTATGAAATAAGCTTCTGTTTCCATGGAGAGAATTTGACTGAGATATAAGTTGTTCTCATGCACATTATAAGGACAGCTGAACATTCTCAAATAATTTACTAGCAACATACATGCATTCTTTGCTTGGAGTAACCATACAGTATTTAACAGATAATTCAGTATTCAAAGATATCTATTAAAGTATTATCTTAAGTATGATGTCATTACCAGCTTTTTTGTATGGATACAAAATAACAAAACTCCACAAGGAACACATATTCAAGTTGGATAGATAACATGTAACACACCAAAACTTAAATTGAGAATTAAATTAAAACATGATACATGCTTCAAGAGAGGTCACCCAAATATGGGTTATTCAAGAAGCGATATAGTTAGGGATGAGTGCTAAAAAAAATTATTAAATGCGATCAGAAAAGGCTTTCAGGAAGTAGAGACTGAACTAGATCTTAAAGAAGAGGATTTGGTCATGCTAATTGAAATAGAGCTTGTATAATCTTTTGGGAATGAATGCAGGGCATCCTAGGAATCCTGGGGCCTGTAGATTGCAAAGATCAAAATGCATGTGTGGAGCTACAAGATATTGACACAAAGAATGGAACTTTGGAACAAAGTTGAGTCTCACTTTCAAGGCCAAGCAGAAGTCCCATTGTTAGAAGTTAAGTACAAGCTGTGAGCAAAAATAAGAAACATTATTAAAGTCATGTGGCCAGTGTGTATATCTGTGACATTCTCATTCAGAGATCCCATTTAACCTGCAAACATTGATCCTTTTGTGATTCAAGATTGCTAATTGTGCTGCCAAAGATGGTAAAGAAACTTATCTAAGCCATCTCTTCTCAGCACTATTCTAAGTACTTTAATACAGTTTTTTTTCAGGTGTCAAAAAACAGGCTCATATGTATTACAGAGAGCCAATTGAGGCTCAAAATCTCTCAGGTGTGGTACAGGTCTCTCTGACTCTGCTGTCTATGTTCTTTGTTAAAACGCATTCCGTAATCCCACTTCACAGAAGGCTGGCAAGTTGATTACCATGGCACTTACCACTCTTCTCTACATTTCTCTGGATGTGTCATGTTCTTTATTAAACTCAATCTCAATTTTGTTCAACTCCTCCCTGTTATATCTATCTGGAATAACTCAAACCTTTGATCACTGTTACTATAGTCACTCCCTTACCACCAACTCATTTCTGCAAAATCTGAAATGTCATTTATTCAGGTCCTCAACGACACCATACTTATCCAACTCAGTGCATATTTTTCAGCTTAGGATCCTGGTGGGCACCTCTGCAGTATTTAATATTGTTGATCATGGTATCTGTTTGGAAAAACTCCTGTTTCTTGCTTTTCATAGCACACTTTGCTACCTCTCACACCACTAAGGCCATTCATCTTTACTTCCTTATGGGTTCTACTTCATCTCACTTATTAACATGTGGAATTTTCTCCTCAAATTCTGACATGCACACAGCCCGAGGATAATCTCTAGTGAAATTATTTTAACTACTAACATACATTCTGAAGACTCAAAACTTCATATATTGTAATACCTCAGTTTGCCTGTCACTTCTCTGTCTAAATCACATTAATAGCTTCCCAACAACATATTCACATACCCCAGAGAATGGGAAATGATTACAAGATTCATGTTTGGTCTGTGCTCCATATTATTCCTTTCATGCGCGTCCGTGTGAAGAGACCACCAAACAGGCTTTGTGTGAGCAATAAAGCTTTTAATCACCTGGGTGCAGGTGGGCTGAGTCCGAAAAGAAAGTCAGTGAATGGAGATAAGGGTGGGGCCATTTTATAGGATTTGGGTAGGTAAAGGAAAATTACAGTCAAAGGGGGTTTGTTCTCTGGTGGGAAGGAGTGGGGTTCGCAAGGTGCTCAGTGGGGGTGCTTTTTGAGCCAGAATGAGCCAGGAAAAGGACTTTCACAAGGTAATGTCATCAGTTAAGTCAAGGACCAGCCATTTACACTTCTTTTGTGGTGGAATGTCATCAGTTAAGGTGGGGGAGGGCATATTTACTTCTTTTGTAATTCTTCAGTTACTTCAGGCCATCTGGGTATATACGTGCAAGTCACAGGGGATGCGATGGCTTGGCTTGGGATCAGAGGCCTGACATTCCTGCCTTCTTATATTAATAAGAAAAATAGAACAAAATGGTGTTGAAGTGTTGGGGCGGCAAAAATTTTTGGGGGGTGATATGGAGAGAGAATGGGCGATGTTTCTCAGGGCTGCTTCATGCGGGATTAGGGATGGTGTGGGAACCTAGAGTGGGAGAGATTAAGCTGAAGGGAGGTCTTGTGGTAAGGGGTGATATTGTGGGGATGTTAGAAGAAACATTTGTCGTATAGAATGATTGGTGATGGCCTGGATATGGTTTTGGATGAATTGAGAAACTAAATGGAATAACAGAAGGAGAAAAACAGGTATAAAAGGTCTAAGAATTGGGACGACTCAAGATATCTGATTAGAGAGTGCCTAAGGAGATTCAGCATAGTCCTGCCAACAAAGATTATTTATTTACTTCAAGAGTTAAGCGTGGCAGTTTGGGGATAGCACCAGGAGATATCAGCTGTGACGGCTTGGAAAAATGGTGTAAACCGGCAGTGTAAACAAGAGCAGGGCATGTATAAGTAGTTGAGAACGGTGAATAGGAGTATGACTAGACAGAAGATAGTAGGGATGACAAGTTTTTTTGGGGGCACAGTCTAAGTTGGTCTGGTGTATGGAATGAGACTGGGGCCTAATAAAAAGGAGCGTCTATACAGGAGCTCAAATGGGCTGTACCCTGTAGCATTCCAAGGACAGGCCTGAATTCTGAGAAGGGAAAGTGGTAAAAGTATTGTCCAGTCCTTTTTGGTGGCTGAGCTTGGTGAGGTGTGTTTTTAAAAGACCTTTAGTCTGTTCTACTTTTCTTGAAGATGGAGGACCGTAAGGGATATAAAGGTTTCACTGAATACTAAGAGCCTGAAAAACTGCTTGGCTGATTTGACTAATAAAGGCTCGTCTGTTATCAGACTGTATTGAGGTGGGAAGGTTAAACTGAGGAATTATGTCTGACAGAACGGAAGAAATGACTGCGGTGGCCTTCTCAGACCCTGTAGGAAAGGCCTCTACCTATCCAGTGAAAGTATCTACCTAGACTAAGGTATTTTAGTTATCTGACTCGGGGCATGTTGAGTAAAGCTAATTTGCCAGTCCTGGGTGGGGGCAAATCCTCGAGCTTGATGTGTAGGGAAGGGAGGGGGCCTGAATAATCCCTGAGGAGTAGTAGAATAGCAGATGGAACACTGAGAAGTTATTTCCTTGAGGATAGATTTCCACGATGGAAAGGAAATGAGAGGTTCTAAGAGGCAGGCTAGTGGCTTGTACTATAGTATAACCTGCCTTTGCTGTGTGTGGCGATTAGGCCTGGAGGAACCGCCATCAATAAATCAAGCGTGATCAGGGTGAGGAACAGGAATGAAGGAAATTTGGGGAAATGGGGTTAATGTCAGGTGGATCAGAGAGATACAGTCATGTGGGGTCAGGTGTGGTATCTGGAATAATGTGGGAGGCCGGATTGAAGTCTGAGCCAGGAACAACGGTAATTGTGGGACTTAAAAAAGAGTGAGTACAGCTGAAGGAGCTGGGGAGCAGAAAGTATATGCGTCAGGTATGAGGAAGAAAATAGATTTTGGAAGTTAAGAGAACTGTAGAGAGTGAGTTGAGCATAGTTTGTGATTTTGAGGGCCTCTAAAAGTATTAAAGCAGTGGCAGCCGCTGCATACAGATATGAGGGCTAGGCTAAAACAATAAGGTCAAGTTGTTTGGACAGAAAGCCTACAGGGTGTGGTCCTGGCTCTTGTGTAAGAATTCTGACTGCGCTAACCATGCCTAGGAAGAAAAGGAGTTGTTGTTTTGTAGAAGGTGCTTGGGTTTGAGAGATCAGTTGGACACGATTGGCAGGGAGAGCACTTGTGTTTTTATGAGAATTATGCCAAGATGGGTAACAGATGAGGAAGAAATTTGGGCTTGATTGAAGTAATGGGGGCTGTCTGTGAAGCTTTGCGGCAGTACAGCCTAGGTAATTTGCTGAGCTTGATGGGTGTCAGGGTCAGTCCAAGTGAAAGCGAAGAGACGCTGGGACTAAGGGTGCAAAGGAATAGTAAAGAAAGCATGTTTGAGATCCAGAACAGAATAATGGGTTGTAGAGGCAGGTATTGAGGATAGGAGAGTATATGGGTTTGGCACCACGGGGTGGATAGGCAAAACAATTTGGTTGGTAAGGCGCAGATCCTGAACTAACTTGTAAGGCTTGTCTGGTTTTAGGACAGGTAAAATGGGGGAATTGTAAGGAGAGTTTATAGGCTTTAAAAGGCCAGGCTGTAGCAGGCGAGTGATAACAGGCTTTAATCTTTTTAAAGCGTGCTGCGGGATGGGATATTGGCATTGAGTGGGGTAAGCGTGATTAGGTTTTAATGAGATGGTAAGCGGTGCATGATCGGTCGCCAAGGAGGGAGTACAGGTATCTTATACTTGTGGGTTAAGGTGGGGGGATACAAGAGGAGGATGCAAAGGAGGCTTTGGATTGGGAAGAAGGGCGGCAGTGAGATATAGCTGTAGTCCAGGAATAGTCAGGGAAGCAGATAATTTAGTTAATGGGGATAACTAAAAAGGAGTGCTTAAAAGAGTATTGTCTAAGTTGGCACCAGAGTTGGGGAGTTTTAAGAGGTTTAGAAGCCTGGCCGTCAATATCCACAACAGTTATGGAGGCAAGGGAAACAGCCCCTTGAAAAGAAGATAATGTGGAGTGGGTAGCCTCTGTATTGATTAAGAAGGGGACGGGCTTACCTTCCACTGTGAGAGTTACCCGAAGCTGGGCATCCGTGATGGTCTAGGGGGCGTCCAAGGTGATCGGGCAGTGTCAGTCTTCAGCCGCTAAGCCAAGAAGATCCGGGAAGGAATCAGCCAGAGAGCCTTGGGCCAGAGTTCCAGGAGCTCTGGGAGTGGCTGCCAGGTGAGTTGAACAGTCCGAATTTCATTGGGGTCCCACAGAGATGGGACGTGGCTTAGGAGGAATCCTGGGCTGTGGGCATTCCTTGGCCTAGTGGCCAGATTTCCAGCACATGTAGCAAGCTCCTGGGGGAGGAGGTTCTGGAGGAATGCCTGGCTGCTGCGGTTCAGGCGTTTGGAAGTTCTTGTGTGCTGGAGATGTGGCTGGGGTTTGTCTCACAGTGGAGGCAAGGAATTGCAACTTTTTTCTGTTATTGTACACCTTGAAGGTGACGTTAGTTAAGTCCTGTTGTGGGGTTTGAGGGCCAGATTCCAATTTTTGGAGTTTTATTTAATGTCGGGAGCAGATTGGGTAATAAAATTTATTTTGAGAATAAGACGGCCTTTTGACTTTTTAGGGTCTAGGGCTGTAAAGCGTCTCAGGGTTGCTGCCAAACAAGCCATGAACTGGGCTGGATTTTTATATTTGATGAAAAAGCCTAAACGCTATCTGATTTGGGATAAAGAAAAAGGAGCATTAACCTTGACTATGCCTTTGGCTTTTTAAGAGTAAATTACTGGGCAGGTGCGGGAGGGCTAGTCACGGAACGAAACTGTAAGCCGGACCAGGTGTGAGGAGGGGAGGTGATAAAAAGATTATAGGGTGGAGCAGTGGAGGTTGAGGAAGAATTGGGACCTAGCTCGGCCTGGCGAGGAGCAGCCTGGGGAGGAAGGGAGAGGTCAGATGGGTCTGTAGAAAAGGAAGATTAGAAAGACTCAGCGAAGCTTGGGGTTGGTACTGAGGGGACAGGCGGGAGGGAAAGAAAGAAGATTTGGGACGAGTTGCACTGGGCACAGAGAGTAGGAAGGGATTGATGTGTAAAAGAATGCTTGGATGTCAGGCACCTCAGACCGTTTGCCTATTTTACGACAAGAATTATTTAGATCTTGCACGATGGAAAAATTGAAAGTGCCATTTTCTGGCTATTTGGAACTACTGTCGAGTTTGTATTGGGGTCAAGCGGCATTGCAGAAGAAAATAAGGCATTTAGGTTTTAGGTCAGGTGTGAGTTGAAGAGGTTTTAAGTTTTTGAGAACACAGGCCAAGGGAGTAGAAGGAGGAATGGAGGGTGGAATGTTGCCCATAGTGAAGGAAGCAAGCCTAGAGAAAAGAGAGTAGAGAAATGGAGGGAAGGGGTTTGGGGGTTCTTACCTTCCAGAAAAGTTGGAAAAGGGGTTGGGGTGCAGAGATAAGAGGTTGGGGTGTGGAAATAAGGGATTGGGGCACAGAGATATAAGAGGTCGGGGTGTGGAAATAAGGGATTGGGGCACACAGATAAGAGGTTGGGGCATGGAAATAAGGGATTGGGTGTTCTTGCCCTGTAAAAAAGCAGGACTTGCTGCTAAGGGTGAAGGAGAAGGGGTTGAGGGGTACTTGCCCCTGCCCCAGGAAAGTGGGACTTGCCACTAAGGGTGAAGGAGAAGGGGTTGAGGGGTACTTGCCCCTGCCCCAGGAAAGTGGGACTTGCCACTAAGGGTGAAGGAGAAGGGGTTGAGGGGTACTTGCCCCTGCCCCAGGAAAGCGGGACTTGCCACTAAGGGTGAAGGACCAAGGCAGGTGTCCCTGCATGGTCCAACACCCTTGAAACGTGAGTGTATAATCAGAGAGGCGTCCCTGCAATGATTAAACACCAAGGGAAGGCTGCCTTCCCAGTTCGTGACCAGTGCCGGAGTTTTGGGTCCAGGGATAAAACGTGTCTCCTTTGTCTCTACCAGAAAATGAAAGGAATTGAAATTAAGAGAAGAGAGAGATTGAAGTGTGGTGCCAAGATTGAAAGGAGAAAGAGGTTGAGGGATAGTGAGGGAGGTTGGAGAAGAGAGTAAAAAGAGGCCGCTTACCGGATTTGAAATTGGTGAGATGTTTCTTGGGCTGGTTGGTCTGAGGACCTGAGGTCGTAGGTGGATCTTTCTCATGGAGGAAAGAGCAGGAGGACAGGGGATTGATCTCCCAAGGGAGGTCCCCCGATCCGAGGAGTCATGGCACCAAATTTCATGTGCGTCCATGTGAAGAGACAAACAGGCTTTGTGTGAGAAACATGGCTGTTTATTTCACCTGCGTGCAGGTAGGCTGAGTCCGAAAAGAGAGTCAGCGAAGGGAGATAAGGGTGGGGCCATTTTATAGGATTTGGGTAGGTAAAGGAAAATTACAGTCAAAGGGGGTTTGTTCTGTGGCGGGCAGGAGTGGGAGTCGCAAGGTGCTCAATGGGGGTGCTTTTTGAGCCAGGATGAGCCAGGAAAAGGACTTTCACAAGGTAATGTCATCACTTAAGGCAAGGACTGGCCATTTACACTTCTTTTGTGGTGGAATGTCATCAGTTAAGGTGGGGTAGGGCATATTCACTTCTTTTGTGATTCTTCAGTTACTTCAGGCCATCTGGGCATATATGTGCAAGTCACAGGGGATGCGATGGCTTGGCTTGGGCTCAGAGGCCTGACAATTCCTACCTTTACTTCGCAGTTCCCTAAGTCAACTGAAGAATGGTGAGTTTCATACATTTGGAAAGGAGAGCCTTTTTTCTCATAAAGTGCTGCAGCCTTCAGAGTGTCCATTCAGACAGGTTGGGAGGCACTGCCTCCAGCCAGAAACTGGAAACATATATTTTGAGGGAGGGAAACAGAGAAAAGGAATTTATGCTGAGTGTGGCGACCAAATATTTAATAAGCTATCGAGGAGTCCTGGATGTTTATGAAAGGAGAAATATACCCGTGGGCAATTGAGATTCATGCTCCCTTATGGAATTCATGTACAAAAAAATGACCACGTTAGCATGATCTGAGTGTGTAGTTTGTGGCCCTCTGACATCAAAAGATGAAGCTGTGGACACAAAATCTCTTACTGCATGTTCATAGTTCTCCATAGACAAGCCAGAACCACTCCATGGTTGGTGATTACTTATCAGGCAAAAAAGGAGGGACAGAAAATGTAGATGGTTTGTTGATATCAGTGGCAGAGTCTTTTGAAATGGCTTGTTTCTGTTAAGCCCATAGGGAAGAAAGCCTAATTATGGTTGGCAAGGGAGGATGTATATCAAGGTGTATCTGATCCCCTCATGTCATGGCTGAGAACTCAGTTTTCAAGGTTACTCTGGGTTCTCTTTGGCCAAGAGAAGGTCCATTCAGTCTGTTAAGGGGCTTAGAATTTTAATTTTAGTTTATACCCATATTCACTATACAATGGTTTCCCTTTATGCAAGTGCTTCTTCTGCTTCTAATTAACCTCCCATTCTTCTCATCCTCATATACTCGATTTGCTTGGCTAACCCATATATAAATGTCTAAGACATATTGAAATTCCTTTAATCTTAAGAAAGTTTCCATTGATTTTTTGCACACTTCCTCTGTGCATACAGCTTCCCAGTAGACTAAACTCTCCACTGTCATGCTTGGCTAATAACTATTTGTATTGTTTTATTATTACTCTGGCATAATGTTTGTTAAATAACTATCTAAATGCTTACCTTGCTGCACAATGCTTTGTGTTAGAGTATGCAAAGTGTAGGGCCTTGTTTTCATTTCTAGGGTAACCACTAAAAATTATTTAAAAGTGAATAATTTTAAGGCAAAAGGAAAATGGAATAAGTAAGATATATCTGAGCGGTGTGAAAGAAGAGAAGGAAGTAGAGAAAGGGTACATAAAACAGGAATAATAGACAACAAAAAATAGATCTGTATGTCATTATTTACATAAAATGTATTTGAATTCTAGATAAAAAAGAAAGATTATCACACATGGTGAATAAAACAATATCCTACTTGTAAGAAACATATTACAAGTAAGTGCATAGAAAAATGCATAGCAATTTTGCAACTAAATGTGTGGAAGAGATACACACTGCAAACAGTATCCCTATTCCTCCTTGTATCTCTGCAAACACACAAAATCTGGTACATTTATACTGATAACAGAAAAAAATAGACTTTAAGGAAGAAAAGTTTCAAGAGATATAGAAGGCCTTACATTATGATGAAAATAGAATATCTAACAATGAAGAATCTCTTTGCATGCAATAATATACCTTTAGAATATATAATGAAAACACAGACAGAATTAAGAGGAGAGACATATACTTACTCCTAGAGGAAACTTTAACACACCTCTCTCAATAACTGATCAAAAAAGCAGACAATAATTCATCAAGCATATAGAATATCTGAGGAACAAAAATAACATTGATCTAATCAACATCTATAGAATAAGACATCCAATATTGATAGCATATCCATTTCTTCAAGCATCCATGAAACACAGAAGCTGATCATCTGCCAGGCCATAGAGGGATTAGACTAACCTTGCTTGCAAATGAAGGCCTTAGACAAACTCTAACCATAGTCAATCATGACTGAGCAAAATCTATAAAGATTAGCTGTTCCTTTCCTGAAACCATATCCTTCAGTGTAAAAGACAGGTTACATACACTTCTCAAAGGAGTGGTAGAAATTCCCTTTTAGATTATGATCACCAGATTCTAGAAAAATGCAAAGTAAAAGAAGTGAAAAATTCTTTAGTAGTTGACAATAATGTAGGAGATAGGGCAGGACTTAATGTGTCTCAATTTCTACTGGGTCATATCTCATCTCCTTTATATTTCTATCCTGTGAGTTTGGCTTGGGTGAAGCCCTCAGAACTAAGGGATTCTGGTTGAGGCATATTTTTTTAACTTCTTCAAATGCATTACTCTTGAGAGAGGAGACAGAATTGAACACCAGAGATATTTTTGGTGTTTATATTGTATTAGGGCAGAGAGAGGAGATTCCCATGTATTAATTAAAGAAAGAAAATTAAAAGTTTTCATTAAAATGTCTGGTCACAAGATCTTGATAATGAGTTGAATCAATTATACATATTTTAATTTATGATATTCTAATTAGGCTCTATTGTAATTGAAAGAAAATATTTGGTTTATTAATTAGTTATATTCACAAGACAATCTGTATTTTTCAATATTAGAATGCTGTTGGGAAAAGTTTAGAGGAGACAGATATGCAAAACATAAATATTACTCATTATGATAAGTGAAATAATAGAAATATAATTACTTTAATTACAATTGCTATCTTATTTTTGCTCTCATTTTAATACTAGTATGGTATTCTAGTATATAGTAAATCCTAAAAAAATATTAATTTATGAACTCAACAAAATGTTATAAAAACAGAATAGTGAGTTACTACATAGCATAGAGGAACATTGTTCTTTTTCTGTATTAGAGATTTTTCATCTATAAATATGGATTTGATATTAAATATAGGCATAGCACAATGAAGTTATTAGCCAATATTTGGTCACATTAATTCTTCATAATAGTAAGTAGCTTTAAAAGAGGTTATGGGGTGTCCTGGAGAGTGTAAAGTTTGGGGATAGGAAAACAAACACTAATTGACACTATAACTCTAAATGTGCCCTTCCATTTTCTGGTCCCCAAGTCCTCCCATGATATAGTGAGGTCATTTGTTTTAAAGGCTTTTTAAAGTCATTTTGATAGTAAATGGCAATAAGATAAAGATAAATCACTATTAGAAAGTATGTTTGTATGTACATTTATAATATGTTCTATGTTGATAGAAATAGAGTAGATGCTTCCTGTCTTCTTAATTAAAATTATGGATTATAACACACAAACACACACACACATGCACACACACACACACACAACCTACTATAGTATGCAATCTCTTTGATTAGCTAAATTCAACAAAGGGAAATCAGTTGTAAGCTTTCTATTTTTACTCTTAAGAAAACTAACACCAGGTTTTCTCTTACTGAGTATAAAATAAAAGTGCCATTGTAGTAACCCAATCTTTCATAGATTTTAAAGGATTTAATACGTATATTTGTGGCTATAATGTATTTAAAATTTTTAAAGGTTCCTAGAGCATAATAACGAAATGATCTCATTCTCTCACAAATTAAGACCAACCATACAGATTTTTTTCTTATTATTCTTGTGTATGAAGTTAATCCTCACTGAGCTCTCATAAAGACTTCTTTAAGCCATCCAGGTGAGGGAGAAGCAGCCCTAATGAGCATGAATCAGTGGCATTTGATCTCCACCATAGTAAAATTCCGACACGGATATAATCTTTTGCTCTTCCAAAGGCTTTTAACATGAAGAATAAAGAACTCAAAATCTCCAACATCAGCAAGCCTTTAAACTAGTTCTTTCTTCTATCCAACAGCTTACCCTCCATTATTTTGCAAAAATAAAACTACAAGTGTTTTATAGGTTTCATTTGGAGAGAATGTGGGAATTGTAGTAGAAAAGGGACCTATATTCCTTCTATTAGGGTTCCTGTTTCTTCCATTTGATCAGGGGAACTTTCCGTTCCAGAGCTTATTGAGTCAAAGTGGCAAATAGAAAGAAATGAGTTTATACCATGTGTCAGTGAAGTTACCACATAAGTGTGGATTTATATGTGAAATATTTTAGATGAATTAAGTGCTCCTTTGGGAAATATCTGGAAAGTACACACAAACACAGATGAGCCAAATGGAAACAGCGATCATAAATTAAGTACATTCTCATTACCTTTTCACACCCCCGACTAGAAACAATAACCTCTCCTCCAATAAGCACACAGTTTCAGAAAAAAAGATTAGTGTACCCAAAGGGCAAAGCAAACAGATATATCTTGTGGTATGTTCGAACAATTGTAAAGCTGTACCTCTGGCAAATGATGGGTGGGCGTGAATTAGAGAGGTCTAGGTGAATTATAGAGGTGGGAATCTTCCATCAAGGAGGCCCAGCTGTCTGCCTCAAGGTGCTTGACCCTGGCAAGAGAAAACAGGAGCAGTAAAGCCAGAGATGTTTGTTGCAGAGGAAATACAAGAAATAAGTGAGGGTCTTATAACTGGGGCCTGGCCAGGGTAGGAAATATATTCTACCATGAGGTCTCTTAAAGTTAAATTTAAATCTAAGTCATATTATTAGACTGAACCTGTAATTGTATACATAATGTATTACACACACACACACACATACACGCACACTAGTGACCATAATATTGGATCTTCAGGAGACAGAATTTTTTCATCTTTTTTTTTTAAAGGGTTGATATCAAAAAGAAAGCACAGGTAATTAGAGTATCTCAGCAAACTTGAGGATTTCTCTCTGACACATACTTAGTTCTTGATGTTTTTTGGTGGCTGTTCTCATTAAATTTTGTATAACAGAAAACCTGAACAAAAGCCAGTACAGTGTTAGGGAACAATGATTCACTTTTGCACGGAAAAGGAGATTTATGGAGAAAATCACTTGTATCTGACAGTCACTGACATCAGTCCTTAGTTCATGAAAAGTGACTGGGGCCTGATAGATCCTTCTCTGTTCATCATAAAGCTAGTGTTTTTCTTGTCTCAGCAATGAGTAGAAAAAGGAATAATGATTATATTGATGTGCTAGACAAAAAAAAAAAAAACTTTTGTAACTGAGGAAAAGTTTTTACAAATTCAACATTGAATCATTAGAAATGCAGGTTAGACAACTGAAGGTATTTCACAGAATAACATCCCTCCTTTGTTTTTTTCCTAAATAAAATGTTTATTTAAAAACAGATATTAAAAACATAAAATGTTTATAAAATAAAATTAGCCAGCACAATATTCCAAAGTAGAATGAAAAGATGTGACTTCTTAGAAAAAACAGGCCAGTGATGTTTTAGTACTTAAAGCAAATGTACAACACTTACTGGCTCACTTAATTTCTCATTGCTAGTAGTTTTTCTTGTTAAGCAGAAGAAGAAGCTGGCCTTCTGATTGAACTACATTATTAGTATCAAAATTTGTCAGGCAGTGAATAATGCTTCTAGTATGAACCTTTAGCTTCACCAGATTAAATAAAGCTCCAAACAGTCCCAATGACTTAATCTGCTCTTAAATAGAAATTCTTTTTCCAGAAGGCTTGTATTTTTGCCTAGAATTATATCAGACATAGTTTTACTTTGGCTGTATTAGTGATAAGACTACCTCATACCAAATAAGTAAAGGTAGTTTATTATAAAGAATAATTTTAAGTGGTATGAAAATTCCATGAAATTTAAAGAACAGAAGCAATAGCTATAGTAGGGTCCTTATCTAGATTTTCTAAAGGTGGAAACACTACTTGATTTAATATAAGACAAGGACTTAGCAACAGTACCTGGCTAGAAAAGTGCCTTGTTGAGTGAAAAGAAATGTGAACCATCCATATGGCTCTATGTGGTCTATAGCTGTCAAAACTTGGGCTCTTTCCAAAGACTAATGCAGACTAGAGCCTAGCCTTGACCATTCCCTAGTACTCATTTCCAGAGAGGCGTTTAAAAGCCTAGGGGAACACAATAACAAGTGAAGATTCCAACTCAAAATAAAACAGCTGAACTACCTATGAAATCTACAGCAAAAGCGTTGGAACAGATAAACCAAGAACTTAAAACAATGATGAATGCATTTAGAAAGATAAAGGATATTAGCTATTTGAAAAAATAAGATAACATTAAGTGGCTATGTTAAATATCAAAAATATAGTTTTAAAAAAGGTAACCCAATAGATAAAGATAAAATAGTAGAATGGATAAAGAAAAATAAAAAAATGATTTGGAAGATCAGTGTGAGTCTCTCCTGCAGAGAGCAACAGGACATAAATAAGACAGAAAAAACTTTATACATAAATATACATAAACATCTATATATGTATATATATATACACACACACACATATATATATATATACACAAAACCAAGGGGCCATTGAATAACATTTTAATGTTTTATTTAATAGATGTTGACCTTATCATTTATATACAGAAAATTGTTCAAGTTACTGTAATATTATAATATAATATCAGAAATGACCATTCAGCAGATTTGTCCCCAAGACTCATAATGTATGTGTGAGGACGACTCTTAGATAGCATAGTACCAACACAGAAAAAGAAATAGAACTTTTAGACAAGCAGAATTAATCTCAGTCTATTTAAGAAAAATCAAGAGAGAAAGGAAACAAAAGGAGGCAACAATAAAAGGAAAATAATATCAGGATTAAGTCCTGATGTAATAGCAACTACAGAAATGTATGATTTAAAGGCATTAATTGAGACATAGGTAAACATTTGTAATCAAATTAATTCACATTAAATTAAATAAATTTAACCTACACCTATTAGGAAAAAGTATAAAGTGACATAAAGTGACACAAAAGCAGAAAAGTAGGAGTATAAAAATCCTCATGCTCTCTACAAGAAAATGTAGGCTGAGGTATCCATTCAGAAGGCATTTTGGTACTAATTATTCAAATTAAGTCAAACATACCCTGTGATCCAGCAATTCCAGTCCTAAGTGTATATCCCAGGGAAATCTTTGTACAGTATGTGAGGAGACATGTTCTAGGCTATTCATTGACTCATTACCTGTGTTCAAATGTTTGAATACTCTCAGTCTCCGTAACATATTTATGTAGGCAAAATACGATGAATGTGGACCATGTGTTCTCATACAACAATAAAAAATGGAATAGCTTTAAAACTAGCAACATGGGTAGATCTTAAAAAATACACTTAACTTTTTTTTTAATTAAGAAGAGAGAGACAATGATGCATTAAACATGTTTAATGTAAATTAAAAATACATAGCCCTAAAACATTGGCATACATTTTTCTAACAGACATTTAAATATGATAAATGCCTGGGCTATATTAGAATTGTTATCTGAGAGACAGGATGAGACAGGGGTAGGAGCATGGGAATAAAAATAAGTAAATAAACAAACCATGAATGGAGAAGTTAATGATGGAGATACACTATGAATTTTGGGAGTATAATTAATGCAATCCTTTTCTTATCCTGTGTGTTTTTACCTCAGTTTCATGTAATTTTAAGACACATAAACATATAAATAAATATATGTGAATAAATGGTATGGCTAATAAAATGATTCCTGCTTTATGATTAAATCAGTGGTGATTTATATTGTTATCGTTTTTGTTATTCTAATACTATCTACATTGAATTTGTGCTGTATTATTAATAAAAAAGTCAATTAAATGTAAAGAAAATTAATACCAAATATAGATTAGGAGAGGAGATAATTTTCTTGAACATGTTCATTTTGAGTTGCTTGAAGACATCCAGAAAATATATATAATTGAAATTCAGAAATATTAGTTTGAGTCACAGAGATCTGGAGTAATTTATTTATCAGTGATCAACATCACGGGTAGTCAAGACAATTAGGTGAATGTGATAATACTGAGAGTCTGGAGGCAAAGAAAGTAATTGAATATGTATGCACCCTAAGGAATCCCAACATATAATACAAAGTAAATTAGCAAATATTATTAGATTTTACTAACAGAATTTGTCTACTTTTTTCACACCATTATATTTTTTTTATCCATACAAGCAAAACCAGATAAAGCTAAATGTTTAAAGCACGGAAGTAGCAAAGCAAGAAGGTTCTTAGGATCAGAATGGAAATGCATTGAAGTTGTTAAGATTTTGGCAAGTATGCAAAGGTTTTCAGGAGTGTGTAAAACTTAATGCTCAGTGTTGCAGGTTACGCTCAAGGTTTCCAATTGGGTCATTAACCGGGAGCTTCCAACATAGATTTTTGATATTGCCTTTTAAAATAAGTTAAAACTAGCATTTTATAAATGAAGAGCAGTGGGAGAAAACATATTAACATGTACTTCAATTCAAGAATATGAAGACCAATACTAATAATATATTTCATTCAATTAAATTCCACAGTAATTGCATATGTTACAAGAACCATCCATCCATATGGTGCTTATATTTGAGTCACCGGATTTTGGAATCTCAATTGCCTAAACTTTACTGCATCTGTAAAAAGTTGTTAGTGGAATCAACTCAGTGAAATTCAAGAACTTAGATTTGCACCTAAATTTATCCTTGTAAGTGTCAAACATTTAAAATCCAGTAATTATTGATGCACAGGAATCTAAACTGTTTATGTTTTGGAGAAGGGAAAATTACATTGAGCGGAACAGACATTTCAGGAATACCTAATATGTTTCAAACAAACTGGGTCGCTATCACCATTGTAACATTATTTCAATAAGTCTT
This sequence comes from Homo sapiens, assembly GCF_000001405.40. Taxonomy (NCBI): domain Eukaryota; kingdom Metazoa; phylum Chordata; class Mammalia; order Primates; family Hominidae; genus Homo; species Homo sapiens. Next base: position 73,002,222 of record NC_000001.11, read on the forward strand.
TTATGAATGTGGTATCATTATTTCTGTTTTAGTAAGTAGAAATAAATAGATATATTTGATAGACTACCTAACAATCCAAAGTAGCAGAGCTAATAAGTGCTGGAGCTTATTTTTAAAATTGGCAATTTTCTAGAAATTAAATATTTTATAACAGCTGACAATCCGATTATTAAATTTATTTGGAAATGTGAATAACCTAGAATAGCCAAAACAATTTTTGAAAAAGAGAAACAAAGTTAGGGGACTTAACATACCTGATTTCAGGACTTATTCTAAAACTACAGTAATCAAAAGAGAATGGTGTTGGCATAAGGATAGATAATACAAATCAACTGAGCAAAATATAAAGTTCAGAAACAGATCCACAGCCAACTGATTTTCATCAAGGTGCCCAAGTAGTTTAATAAAAGGGGTAATAATTATAACAACTGTTGCTAAAGCCATTGAATTGTTATATGGAAAAACTGAATCCCAACTTTTATTTCATATCATAGGCAGAAATTATCTTGAAATAAAGATAGACCTAAACACAAGAACTAAATCTATAAAAGTTGTAGAAAAAATAGGAAAAAAATTGTGTAACATTGGTTTAGGCAAAAATTCTTAGGACACAAAAAGTACGAATCTTTTACAAAAAACAATCTATATTGACATTTGACAAAATTAAAAGTACATGCTCATCAGAAGACACTATAAAGAAAATAAAAACACAAGCTATATAGACTGAAAGACAATATTTGCAAAATATATATCTAATAAAGAACTTGCCTACAGTATTAAACATAATTTCCTATGATGCAATAATAAAACAATCAACCATATTAAAAACTGCACAAAAGACCTGAAGAGCCATGTCGCCAAAGAAGGGCTAATAAATATATGAAAAGATGCTTAACATCATTTGTTTTAGGAAAATGCAAATCAAAACATCAGTGAGATATGACTACACAACTACTGCAAAGCCTAAAATTGAAAGAATTAACAAGATAGATATTGGCAAAAAAGTGAAGCAACTATGACTTTTGCATGTTACTAGTGGGAATGCAATACTTTGGGAAACAGTTTAGTTGTTTCACAAGAAGTTGAACACACACCTACTATATGACCCAGGATTCTCACTTTTAGATGTATACATAGAAAAATTAAAAACATATATCCACACAAAGAATTAGACACAAATGTTCATATCTTTATTTCCAATAGCTAAAAACTGGCAACAATTAAAATGTCATCAATTCTGAAAAAATAAACAAAGTGAGGTATATACAGACAATGGAATACACCATTATTACTAAGTAATAAAAATAGATTCACAATCATGCAAAAACATGCATGACTCTCTAAAACATTTTGCTAACAGGAAAAAGAACAGACACAAAGAAACACATATTTTATTATTCCATTTATAAAATAATTTTGGAAGACGTAAAAATTGTGACAGAAATCAGAGCTGCAGTTTCAGAGACCAGTGGTTTGAGGAAGGGATTAATTGCACAATGGGGTGCAGGAACTTTGGGGGTGATACAAAAGGTTTCTACATCTCACTTTTTAAGGTAGTTACATAAATATATACATTTGTCAAGTCATTGACTTCTACACTTAAAGTCAATGAATTATACTGTATGTAAATTACACCATAATAAAGCTGATTTTTACAAAAGTCAGATTTAGCTAATTTTGAGACCATACTAATAAGCTTGATATGGCTGTATCATTAGTCATGCCTTAAAGTATGCACAATATTTTGCATTAAATTTTAGCATTTGGGCATTGATCTGTTGACACTCCATCTATGTATTCAGTTAGAAAATGAAGCACTCTATTTTTATTTTGAAAACACAAATGCTTTCTGATTCTGGCCTACCAGACATTTACGTTAAATAATGTATCTAATAGTGATTTAGCACTGTTTTCTGTTGACCAGCCACAGGTAATCTTTGAAGTGAAATGAGTCAGGATATCATGGTGAAATCTTTCCAACATCAATGTTGTGCATGACACATATCTATCTAAGAATGATTTAAACTTTATTGAAAACATTATAATTCCTATACTGTGGTTTATTGTTTTAATTGATTTTTGTCATTGCTTTTGGCTAATTGACCTGAAAACTGCATCCATTATGATGAGTTATATCTGTATAAATATCAGGTAATGTGGTAGTTTATGATTTTAAAATTTGTTATTCATTGTTATAAGAATATTAGAGAAGAAAATATTGAAAATAATAGATTTTAAGAATATTTTAGTGGTCAGTCAACAGAACATTTACATTTACTTAAATAGATATTACATTTTAATAAATACATGTGTAATTTAATACCCATATTGTTCAGAAAATAGATGGCTATCCCGTGTTTTAAATGCATATAAAATGACTATTTCACTTTGCTAAAAGAAATATAAAAATGAATTAATATTTATTTAGTGCCTATTATTGGCCACTAATTTTAGATTCTAGTCATTCATTTATTTATTCATTAAGCAAATGTATTATGAGCCCTTACAATTTACTAGAGAATATTATGGATGCTGTGATTGCAGTAATCACACAACTTTTTACAGATGCCTGCAGTAAATATTAGGCAATTGAGATTCCAAAATCCAGTGACTCAAATATAAGCACTATATGGATGGATGGTTCTTGTAACTTATGCAATTATTGTGGAATTTAATTAAATAAAATATATTATTAGTATTGGTCTTCATATTCTTGAACCGAAGTACATGTTAATATTTTTTCTCCCACTGCTCTGCATTTATAAAATGCTAGTTTTAACTTATTTTAAAAGGCTTCTGATCCAAGATGGTAGACTGACTATACATTTAACTATTTATGGAAGAAAGGTAGCAATGGAGGAAAACATCTTAATTGAAAATCCTGCACATAATTAGCTACTAAAATCAGCGTATATTATAGACTTCAGATATCACATAATATTCCACATCCTTCAAAGCTTTAGTGAGGCACATTGTTGTACAGAATCAGGACTACATTTAATGGTTTTCCTTGTGGTCAGCTGTGCTGTGACCATTTGGCAAAGTTGGTTAGTGAAGCTGTAAGCCAGCTTCTTAGAAGTGTCCTCATAGTGTACTTCTTTATGATTACTGAAATGTTAGAATTGCCTTAATGCCAGCTCTTTTCAAATCTCACAGATACGAGTTCTTCAGAAGCTGAACTTAGATAATGCACTGCTTTCTCATCCGGACATGATTCTCTCCATACTTCCCTCAGCCTCCATAGCCAATAGCCTCTGATTCCTGAGGTCCCCTAAACTTTGTAGGCAAACCTCTTGGTTAGATTATATCAAAGCAAATGGAACCTTCTCTGGCTCCATTTGGAACTGATGAAACACATGACCAATACAGATATAACTACTGTGGGCTACATCATTACTCTCCACTCGATTTGTCCTGAACGTATAGCCAGAATGATCCAGGCAGGCAGCAGCCTCTTTGTTCATGTGTACCTCTAATTAAAAAGGATAAATGCCAAATTCTTCTAAGAATACTTTCAGATAGGTTTGCTCTTTCTCTCTCTCTCTTTTTCTCACTTTCTTTCTTTATTTTTTTTTTAGAGGAATGTCACTCTGTAGTCCAGGCTGGAGTGCAGTAGCACAATATCGGTTCACTGCAACCTCCACCTCCCTGGCTCAAGCAATTCTTGTGCCTCACCACACCCCCAAACCCCGTCCGGCAGAGTAGCTGGGACTACAGCCGCATGCCACCACGCCTGGTTAGTTTTTTTTTTTTTTTTTTTGACTGAGTCTCGCTCTGTCCCCCAGGTTGGAGTGCAGTGGCGCGATCTCGGCTCATTGCAAGCTCCGCCTCCCGGGAATTTTTGTATTTTTAGTAGAAACTGGGTTTCACCATGTTGGCCAGACCAGTCTCAAACTCCTGCCCTCAAGTAATCCTACCGCCTCTGCCTCCCAAAATGCTGGGATTAGAGCCACCACGCCTGGCCTGCTCTTTTTCTGCTGCTACAGGAAAGCAGCCCACTGCTTTCCTTAAAGGCCAGCATCCCTTCTTTGTGGGTTCCTCAAGCCTCTGTGTTTTAAAAGTGTGCCTGATGGTGTCCTGGAGACTTATTTAATTAGCCTACAATGAGTAGAGTCACTGCATCTCTCTCTAATTTCACATTCTGTGATATTAAGTTAGTAACTTGAAAAATCTGCCACAAAAATTTGCAAATACTCAAAATATCAGGTTTTTGTTTTGTTTTGTTTTTTTGTTTTTTGAGAAACAGTTTACCAGCACATTATTGAGTAGAAATACTCAGTTTGTGGCTAAAGGAGACCCTAGAACTCCATAATAGGATGCTAAAACAGCTATAAAGTTTGATTATTTTTCTATATACTCTAGTATCCTGATCATACAGACTAGTTAGAAAAGGTGATAGGCTAAGAGTAAGAAGGGAAACATAGTCATCTTTTAAATGGTCCTTTCCATGGTATTTATTAGTTCCTTCAGTGTAAAAGAAAAAAGTCCTATTTTATATCTTGGTACAAATTACAGACTTAATTATGGATGTGGAAGGAAATGTATAGCTTATCAATTAAAAGAAATTTAAAGAATAGTTAACAAACTTTTGAAACTTTGGCGGTAGAATGGAAGAGCATAAGAGGAAGACTTACACATGTTACAAAGTTAGGCGTCAAAGACAAAAAAAAAGGAATGAGATCATGTCCTCTGCAGGGACATGGATGAAGCTGGAAGCCATTATCCTCAGCAAACTAATTCAGGAACAGAAAACGAAACACCACATGTTCTTACTTGTAAGCGGGAGCTGAACAATGCCAACACATGGACACATGATGGGGAAAAAGACACGTTGGAGCCAGCTGAGGTGGTGGTGGGAGGGAGAGCATCAGGAAGAATAGCTGATAAATACTGGGCTTAATACCTAGGAAATGGGTTGACCTGTGCAGCAAACTACCATGGCACACACTTACCTATGTAACAAACCTGCATATCCTGCACGTGTATCCCAGAACTTAAAATAAAAGTTGAAGAAAGAAAATAAAGAAAAAACACATGAAATTTTAAAAATTACATTTTTTGAAAGGATGAAATATTTTTAATTTTAAAAATTAAATATTTATAATATGCTTTAGAGTATGACCTTTGCGACCATTTAAACATATAGTTAAAGCTTTCAGTTTCTAATTTACAAGGGTATGAGGGAGTATTTTAAAAGTTATTTTTATGGTCTATGAGATCAAAAAATGTTTGGTGAGCCAAAGCACTTTTTAAAAAATTACAGAAGTTTAAATATGATGTTAAATATAAATGTAAGGAAAATGAAAAGATGGGTTGAGTCAAGCTAAATTTTGATCTATTATTCTAAAAAAACAATTTCTAATGTCTTAAAAAATCTCAAGAAACAATGACATAAGCATATTATACGCAGCTATGAGGTCATCTCTTAGAAAACATAAACCGTTGAAATAATTCAATGTAATTTTCCTCTGGGGAGTAAGATTGGGTGTTGGGAATTTTGAGGCAGGGTGAATTTAACTGTTATATAATAAACCCTTTATTAATAGATATTTTAACCATATTCATATACTATTTTGTGTCTCAGTTTATTTTGTGCTACTATAACAAAAATACTTAAGACTGGATAATTTATAAAGAAAAGAAATGCACTCTCTCTCAGTTCTGGAGGCTGGAAAGTTCAAGATCATGGCACTGGTATCCGGCGTGGATGCTTCTTACTGTGTCCTCATGTGGCAGAAGGTGGAAGGGCAAAAAAAGATAAACTTTGTGTCCCTGCATGGCAGAAGAACAGAAGAGAGAGAGAATCTATTCCAGTGTGCCCCTTTTTACAGCAGCTTTAATTGATACATGAGGGTGAAACTCTCATGACCTATACACTTCTCATCAGGCCTTACCTTCCAACACTGTCTCATGGTGGATGCAGTGTTCAACTCATGAATATTGAGGGACACATTCAGATCATAGCACTTTGGAAAAATATATATTATTTTTAAGTTTAAGAAAGACATTTATTCTTCCTATGTTGATAGCAGTATATTGAGGAAGAGGTACAATTAAGTCAGAAAACGAAGTACAGCATGAAAAGAGGTATAATGGGTGAAGGATAACGTGGAAGAAATACTAACCTAATACTAATTAGAGAGTCAGGAATGGCTGCACAAAGAAAGTGATGCTTAAACTTAAACCTCAACAATAAATATAGCTTAGTAAGTGAAGTAGAACAGGAAAGAAGAAAATATTAATTTTATTTAGAAGATTATCAAAAGCATTTATGATTTACTTGGAATAAACACCTCACAGAAGCCAAAGAGTCAGTTTTGCCACTCTAGAGAACAGGAGAGGGAGAACTATGGAAGAACACAATTATTGGCAGAATTGAGATGGAAAATATTACTTCATAGTTGTATAAATCTGAGAAATTTTGAGATTTTCTCCAGTGTTCTTAAGCTAGTACAGTGTTACACAAGCCCTGAGAATGTTTTTAATGGAGTGTGGGTGAGCAGGAAGGGAAGAGAGTAAAGGTTTGTGGAAAGAAGTAAAGAAGTTCAGGAAGTAAGTTCCAGAAATCCCTGGATGACTAATGCAACCTGTTGGTGAATGGGAAGGTGAGGCTAAAGAATAGGGGCTTCAAGTTATTATATCAAAGAAAAGAAAAAGCAATATTAGGTAATAACAAGAATCAAGAAACAAATGAAGTTATAGAGAAGACGAAGATACTAGAAGATGAAGAGGCTAAGCAATTGGTATGCTAAACCAAATTTTTTAAATTGGTTAAATTTTTCATTTAGAAAAATTCTAAATTTTTCATTTAGAAAAAGGCATAAATTTAGGAAATAGCTATTTCCAAAGGAGTCTCTATACCATTAAAAACTCATATGTTTGTAAATAAGTAGATCTTAATTTCATCAGAATACCATTGCTAATAATTACTGAAGTGTAATAAAGCAATGCCTCTTGCTAGGTGCACTGAATTTAGCACCTATATTCATGCCCATATGGGACCCAGGTGATCTGCAGTTTAGTTACCTATAAGATTTTTTTTTAACTTTTGTATACTTAAGTGTCAAACTTATCTTTTAACAAAGATGGATATTAACACATTCTCATTAGATCACTTTTGTGTATGATGGTCATTCGGCTTGAGTTCTAATTAAATTCATTCCTCTTCTTCCATTGTTAAAGGTTTCCAAAGAAAATTTCTTTATCAAGATACTTGTATGCTGATATGTTTAGTCATTTCTTTTAGTTGCAAATGAGAAGATTTTAAACACTCACTGAAACATTTTCATTCATCCACAAGAAAAAAAATGTGCAAGGTGCTTTGTTATTTGACAGAATAAGTTGTTCTTAGTCTTATGTGCCAGTTAAAATGTGAAAGCTCTTTCCTAGTGTCTTTTTTCCTTAAATCTAGGATTAGCAATTTTAATTTGAACTGTTACATTCATAGACCTTCAACTGGCAGAAAACAGCTGTGGAATAGATGACAGAAGTTAGTACATTTTTTTGCAGATATATTTTAAAGATATTTAACAACTGAATAAAATATTTTTATGAATAAGGAGACTATTTCTTGTAGTTATTTTTTCTGAACTAAAGATGTTTTCTCTTTAAATTTTTTAAAAACAAAATAATAGTAACAGTAAATAAAATTTCATTTTTTGTCCTCACACTCCTAATTGTTAGGTCTGTTATATAACCCAGACAAAACTGAGGTAGGAGACCAGCAAGGCTTATTTCCTGGTCCTGACAGGATGAAGTTAAAACAAACAAACAAACAAACAAACAAACATCCTGGCAGGAACAAGCAGATGGTGATGAAAGTAATTCCTAGTTGCTTGCATTTCTCATTAGCATAAAAGACTCCCACCAGCACTATGACAGCTTAAAAATGCTGTGGCAATGACCAGGAAGTTATTATCCCTTTCTGTGGCAATGACCCATAAATTATTGCCCTTTTCCTTGAAAGTGCTAAATAACCCACTCCTCAATTTGCCTCTTAATTTGCATGTAATTGAAAGTACGTATAAGTGGGTATAAATACAGTTGTTAACAGCCCATAAGTTTTGGACTCTGGGTCCACTGTCTATGAGTTAGCCTGTTTCACAAGGAGCAGCACTGTTCAATACAAGATTGCTATCTAACACCATCAGCTTGCCCTTGAATTCTTCCCTGGGTGAAGCCAAGAGCTCTCTGGGGCTAAGCCCCAATTTTGGAACTCGCCTGTCCTGCATTAAAGTCATAGTCCTACTGCACTAAAACATCATGTGTTCAATTATGGATTTAGAGAGTATGTTCTAGGTGCCGAAGTTACTATGCTCGGTCAAAATTGATTAGATACAAAATTTTTATTACATCTCTATTAAAAGTTTTAAAGGTTTTCTTTCTGTTAAATATGGAGAACTTTGTGTCACCGAAGGATTAAATATGTGAGAAAAATATTATATCTGTTCATTTTTAATCTCCATTGATTTACAGATATTTTATCCAAAGCTATTTATAAACTATAACCCTGAACCAACATATCTTATTTTCAGAAAATAAACCGTTGTGAGTATCATCTGCATCATCATTTTATTGAAACCACCCTTTCGAGTTCCCTTCAAATCCTGTATGAGTACACATTCTCTCATTCTCATGCTCCCCAAATTTCATATGAAATGTGGTTCTACCTAAGCACCTTGGCTTAATAAGTTTTTTTCTTTCTACACTATGCAATACCCTCCTCCCCCTATTACCACCTAAACTCTTCTCCATCTGGAAAATAACTAGTTGCACTTTCTTTAAGTCACATCCTTTGGAAAGCTTTTCTTGATCCATCCCTATTGCCCTCACCATTAGGTAATATTGATAGTTTTTTGGCTGACACTCACATAACTTTTACTAATTATGTGAATTAGTCATGTCTATTAGTTAGCTGAGTTACCATGTTTAATTTATTGTATTTATTATACTCTAATAGATGACTAGAGGAACCAGAAATGGTTAATCTTTCTTGGCCTTAATTCACTCTTCTATTAAAGAGGAAATTAAGGTTAGTAGCTCCCAACTCAAGTTGCTGTGCTGATCAAAGTGCTCACAGTAATAGTCATATAATAATGACTCCATAAATGCTTTTTCTTATTGCTGATGTGGTGTTGTTTTTGGTCATTACTATTAGTAGTAGTATAGCAGTAGTAGTAGTGTAGTAATGTAATGGTGGTAGTAATTGTAGTTATAATAGTAGTTTTATGTTCTAGAGGGCAGGGACAGAGTTCTAGTAGTTTATTTAAACCCAGCACCTAGTCCAATTCCGATAACATACATAACTAAATAATAATTTTCTTTAAAAATGAGCTATTGAATTCATTATTAAACTTGAAATGCATGTTGGGTGACTTTCTCAGGGTTATTTCCTACCCTACAAGTTTTATAGTTATGCTAGCTGGCTCGTGTTGACAAATGATGAAAACACAAAATAACATAAAAGCCACAGAAGAGTTAGTACAAATTTCAGCATAAACACTAGCAGGAAGTGCTCCAAAATTTTGCTTTGGAAATAAGGGAATGATTCAGAGAAGTGACATTTGCTCTTTAATGCTGCTGAGCAAATATCTCCAGTAATGAGGTATAGAGATATCCATTTTTAAACAATCTTTTAAACCCAGTATAATTTATGTAACTAACATTTGGAAACCATTAGTGTAGAAGAAATGGGAAGCTATTATCAGTTTCTCACACCACATTGTACATCTCCTTGCAAAAACTTTACTGGGATAAATAGTAAGGTGATAAGGTAAAAACTCCAGAAGCCCCAGGTGTGAGTATCCACAGCATGGGAAATAAATTAACACCTAGAAAAGCACATTACTACCTTCTCTATTTTGTGTGAAATTGGCTTTCTTAATGACAGATCAAGTAATATTTATTGTTAGCATCAAATATTTATAAAGCATGTTTTAATTTATGTTTACTGTATGACAAAAACAAAAGTAAATAAAAGTAGGCTGATCTATTGAAAAATAGTCTCTGAAACACAAGACTGTGAAATCCCCAGTGAAAATACAGATCATAAGAAAACTTCATTAAGTAGTAATTTTCAGCTGTTTGCAAAATTAGTAAGGTAAAGTTGAGGTAGGGATGGGGAGTTTCCACAAGTTTCAGAGGCTCTCCTGTTGAGGGATTTAGAACAGGATTAGTGTCACAGCCATCATATCATAGGGAGGCTCATAATTAACTGGAAACAAACATGAGATTAAGCTATATAAGGTATGTAATTTTTTAGAAAACTTGTACTTGTGAGTTGGCAATCTTTTTGCTTGTTAGCAAATGGAACATAGTTTTTAATAAGGGCATTAGCTTAAATCACACATAAAACAGTCTTAGGTTTAAGTAAGCTTGATAAAGTATTGAAGACTGAAGAGGAAATACTGACTGTTCATTCCACCTTAATACAAGGGCACCCAGAAGACAAGGACATTTGAAATAGCAAAAACAAAAGAAAAGACCTTCTGAGAGCCAAAACAGCCAGAGATACGTCAACACCAGAGCAGTCAGGACCTTGCGAACAACTATGTAAAAACCAAGCCTTTAAATAGAAAAAAAGCTTGATAAAAGTCTGAGTTAATTTTGGAGAAACAAAAAAAGCAAATATATTAAAAGTTTTAAAGTTTATCAGAACATATCCATTTGTCTATAAGTAATCGATTTTTCTTAACTTTTTATTGAAATACAATATATAGTCAGATATATATAGAAATCATATTAAACAGCTTGAGAAATTTTCACCAGAAATGAAAAAAAAAATCTAGATAAAGAACCCATTAGATAATGAAATGTAGCATTACCGGAATTCTAGAAGTATACCTTGTAACCCCTTTTAAACACCACTCCAACAAGGGTAATTTTTATTTCTCTTGCATCTGGAAACAAAAGTTTGTTTGGAATCCTATAGGATGTACTCTTTTTGTTCTAATTTCTTTCATTCAGTAATATACTTGTAAAATTCAAACATCATATTGCATATAGTTGTAGTTAATTCCTTTTCATTGCTATGTAGAATTCCATCATCACATAAACAGCATCATTTATGTATCCAATCAACTATTGAAGATCACTTGAGTATTTTCTAGTTTTAGAGTATTACTCTTGGTAGTGCCATGACCATTCTGATATGTGTCTGTTGATGAAATGCCTGTTGATGAACATTATTTATATGGTAAATATATACATAGAATATATTCTGATATATACCTAGGAGTAGAATTGTAGGAATATAGAGTATGCATATATTCAACTTTGGTGGATACCACCAAATAGTTTTACAAAGTGGTTGAACTTTCCGTAAAACAGTAGAGAGTTCCAGTAGCTCAAATCCTTGCCAACATTTGGTATTTTCCATGATTTTTAAAATTTTATTAAAAAATTTTAGTGGTTGCTTTCATGCAATTTAACTTGCATTTTCTTAATGACTGATACAATTTAGAACCTTTCCATATGCTTATTGGTCATTTGGATATGCTATGCTATACTTAAAAACTGTTCAAGTATTTAGCATTTTTGCTATTGAGCAGAGCTCTTTAGGCGGCCTGAATATGACTCCTCTGTTAGAAGAAGGTATTGTAATACCTTCTCCCACTCTGTGGACTGCATTATATTTTTAGTGGTTTCATGTGATGAACAGAAGTCCTTAATCTTAATACTGTTCAGTACACCATTGTTTTCATTTATATCAAGCCCAAAACTTCCTTTGTGTTTCTTTGTAACTAATCACTCCCCCATCCACCACCTCTGGCAACCACTGTCAGGGGTTTGTGTCAATGGTTCTAATTTCTGTCACTATAGTTTTGCCTTTCCAGAATGTCATGCACATAGGATAATAAAACTTTCAGCCTTCTGTATCTTGATTCTTTGGTTTCTCTTTTTCTACTCTTTCTCTATGCAACTTTAAAATTCAGTAAACTATTCATTTTTATTTTGATTTTCTTCATTCTAAAAGAAAATTGCTGATTTTCATTCCAATTTTTTGTATATTTTTATTACTACATTATCAGTTTATAAAAGATTGCATTTAATGAAGATATGCATTCTTGGAGGGAAAGTATGGGTATACTTACTTATTGGAGTGATAAACACTTTTTTTTAATAACATGCCGTAGCTATATTGAAAGCTATATGAATTGTCTCTGACTGAAGGGGATAGGCATCAGCCAAAACACCATAATACTGCAGATGAGGTGATTACTGGTTCTGTTTTTGCATATTTATATACATTCGTGTCTTATTAGTTTCTAACATATTTGCCAATATTTTTATTCTCAAAACCAGGGAAAATCTGAATCAAATTAAGAAATATCTTCAGCAGAATATATTTGCTTCAGATTTTTCTATAAAGAAGGGCCTAGGGGAGGCTGGGCACAGTGGCTCACACCTGTAATCCCAGCACTTTGGGAGGCCGAGGTGGGCGGATCATGAGGTCAGGAGATCAAGACCATTCTTCCTAACACAGTGAAACCCTGTCTCTACTAAAAATACAAAAAATTAGTCAGGCATGGTGGCAGGCACTTGTAGTCCCAGCTACTCGGGAGGCTGAGGAAGGAGAATGGCGTGAACCTGGGAGGCAGAGCTTGCAGTGAGCTGAGATTGTGCCACTGCACTCCAGCCTGGGCAACAGAGCGAGACACCATCTCAGAAAAAAACAAAACAAAAACACTCTAATTGAAATAGAGATGTTATAATCATTAATTACAAAAGAATGAATAGTCTTACTAGCAACTCCTTTTTCTAAAAAAAAAAAAAAAAAAAAAAAAAGAAGGGCCTAGGGCCTAGGGGAGGGGCTCCTAAAAATACTATAATTAATCATATAATTATGTGTCACTCATCTCAAGTCTAAAGAAAACTCTTCAAAAAAGGAAGGAGGAAAGCTCACATGACAGATAGTATACTGTAGATACTCATTATTTGTGAATTCCATATTTGCAGATTTGCCTATGTACTAAAATTTTTTGTAACCCCAAAATCAACACTTGAGGTGGCTTTTGGTAATTCACAGAATGTGCACAGGTACAATAGAAAAAGAAATTGTTGTCAGACAGGCATGTTCCCAGATAAGGTGAAACAAGCAATGCTCTGCCTTCTGGTTTTAGCTCTCATACTGTAAACAAGTGTCCTTTAGATGGTATATTTAGTGCTACTTTTTTTTCTTTGCATTTCTGTGTTCTTTGTTGGTGATCTTGCTATTTAAAATGCCCCCCAAACTAAAGTGCTGTTTAGTGTCCTTAAGCCTAAGAAAGCTGTGATATGCCTAATGAGGAAAGTACATGTGTTAGATAAACTACGTTCAGGCATGAGTTACAGTGTTACTGATCATTTTCAATGTTAATGAATCAATGGTATATATTTAAAATACATATTTAAACAGAAACACACCAAAAAGCAGTTATGTATTGGTTAGTTGATGTCAATGTTGTGATCAAAGGCTCACAGGAGCTTAATCCTATATTTATTTCTCCTAGGGGCAATGATTCAGTATTTGCTAATTCAGTGTTCATGATGAATTTCTAGAATGTAGCTACTGTGAATAATGAGAATCAACTATATTTACAAATATAAACAATTTTTTAAAAACATAAGCAAATGTGTTGTAATTTTAAAAAGTAAAATAAATATGATTTTCAGGGAGAAATTTGTTAACCAGTAAATAATATATTTAATGAATATTAATGATTGACATCACAATATTAATATACTAATATAATGAGTCCTTTGTGTATAGATGAAGAATTTAAAACTTCAGAGTATGCTGAATGTCACTTTAGAGCTAATGGTTACTAATTATCTTTTTGTGCGAGCGCCACATAACCATCTATAATGCCTAGGTGATTACAATGATAATATTTGTGCAAGTGATATGTATATTTCTAAATAATTTATTACCGAAAACCATATGGTAAGCAAGTATGTACTAAAAATAATTTCAATCTAAGAAGAATGTTGTCATTTGCTAAAAGTGGGTGATTCATTGATTCATTTCACTAAATTTCAAATATACAACAATAATCTCAATAGTCAATGAAACTTCTGTACTTATTGTATACGCACATTTAGTAAGCATGATCTAAGGTCTTCCTTCATCTTAATTTTATGTGTCGAAAGAAATATGTACTTTAACACTGACTGATTGACAGAAGTATTTACAAATATTTACTCATGAAGCTGTCACCAAATTCTCTTGCATTCTAAGTTTCCTTTTACCTCCTAAATATTTTTGACATTTTAGAGGTATGTTGGTTGGATGATTTACAAACATGTTTGTGTCACTAAGACTGTTTTTAAGTTTTAAAATTTTCTAATCTTTCAAAATGCATTTGTAATTGGGGTGCAATTAGATTATGTAGCTTAAAATATTTTATTTTTTGATATCACAACATATGATAGTGATCCTTTATTACTTCATATTTCTCAGTACACAGGTCAGAATGTTTGTTTAGAAGTAAAATGTGAAGAACAAAAAGTATAATATCACTAATTAGATTAATTTTGATTATATACATGATGTTAAGGGGTATAAATGTATTTATTCCAACCTATGAGATAATGGTACCTTTGAAATATTTAAATAATGTTAGAAAAAAACAGACATAATCATCTTTTGTATTGAACAATAAACAAGTCTATTCTAAAATAATAGTCAATAATATTTGTTTAACACATTTAGATCTTATCATATTTTTGTTACCTTAAATGTTATATCAATTGTTTATAATTTCATATTTTAATCATATTTCTTCAATATGTCAGCCATCCTTGATAACAAGGATTTTGGTGTCTGGCAGTCATGTATTCAAAAATCCACATCTGCTACTTATTTGCTGTGCTTCATTGAGCAAATTACTTTATATATTAGAGAAAAAAATGGCCAGGCATGGTGGTTCACGCCTGTAATCCCAGCACTTTGGGAAGCCGAGACAGGTGGATCACCTGAGGTCAGGAGTTCAAGACCAGCCTGACTAACATGGAGAAACCCCGTGTTTACTAAAAATACAAAATTAGCTGGGCATGGTAGCACATGCCTGTAATCCCAACTACCTGGGAGGCTGAGGCAGGAGAATCACTTGAACCCAGGAGGTGGAGGTTGCGGTGAGCTGAGATCATGCCATTGTACTGCAGCCTGGGCAAAAAGAGTAAAACTCCACCTAAAAAAAAAAAAAAAAAAAGGCAGAAAGTGCTATGACCTTTGCACCAACGTAATAATTAAGTTTCTATTTCCTCATCTTGTTTATCTCAGTGTATTTCAATTATTTATTGACTTGTCTTCCCTAGATTGCAAGCTTCACAGGGGTTGAGAAAAATGCTTGGTTACTTTTTTGCCCAGTCGTGGATTAGCTCCACATATGCCACAAGTTAAATAATATGCTTATTAGATGGAAATAAAATATAGTGAAGAGGTACTGGAACGTGAGAACAAAAATCAGCTAAGATATTATATTTTGTATGAGAAATATGATACAATTTGTTATCTCAATAGAATTCTTTTTAAAACATTTTTTAAAAAAGGCTTTGATTTGTATATCTTTCTTACAAGTAACTTTTATCTTTTTAAGTTTCAGTATGTTATTTAAGAAACTATAGGCATTTAGTATTTTTTATCAAG
This sequence comes from Homo sapiens, assembly GCF_000001405.40. NCBI lineage: Eukaryota > Metazoa > Chordata > Mammalia > Primates > Hominidae > Homo > Homo sapiens. The sequence continues at coordinate 73,017,850 of NC_000001.11, forward strand.
TTATTAAATAGTAATAGAAATTATTAATCAAACAATTCAGCTTTCACTTTTAAACTTTACATTTATTGAAAAATTATCAAAAGTAATTTCTTAAGGGAAGCATGTTATTCATTTCACTATTTCTTCTACTGATAATTAAAACCTATAAATGCAATTCTTTTAATACTTTTATTTAGTGCAGGAAGTAACACGTAGTTTCATGTAGTGTAAGATGTACACCTTGGGTTTATTTTTATTGCAATGTGTTAATATATTTTGATGTGTAGGCTATTTATTTGATTATCTTACTAGATTTTCTGTGTTGGCATTGTGATTTACGTTTGCTAGAGAAAATTATAATTTAATTTGTCATATATGTTTTTATTTAATGTATATTCTGTGACAGCAAGTGGTAAATTGAACTATTGTCTAAAGCTATACATCAGAAGTCATTATCTTTTGGGTTTTTGTAGTATTTTTAACAGGACATTTTGGATATGTCATGCTAGTCTGATTGTCTGACTTTTTATTTCTCTTAACTCTTGTTCATCATAAATTTTAGCGGATACAAAGAGAATTCTTGACCTGTTTCTGCTGCACATTTAAGTAACGTGCTTATCACTGAAATTGTCTAAAAAGATTTCACACTTTCCGTCAGAACAGCAGATTTATCCACTGTTGAAGACTTCTCCAGAAAATGTCTTGTACAGAGAAATAATTCAGATAATCCCTCCTATTTATTTTATAATTAAAATAATTAAAGATCATATCATTGGAGAAGGAGAAGTGATGGATCAAAGTAGCAGACAAAGCTTCTGCAACCTATTTCCTTCCTCACATTCTTAAAAATGGTAGGGAAGTTCACATGTATGTGATGCATACACACGGAGATCTTTTCCTGTTGCCTTAGAATCTGATTTGAAATATCAAAGCCAAGAAGAGTGGATGATGAGTGCCGCAACATGTTATAGCAAGGTGACTGCCTGGGTGCTTTAACAATCCTTCTGATATTCCACCTGCAGCCCCTACACACTAGGAAACCTGTGCTATGGTACCCACATGAGTGTGGTGACAGTATTTTTGGCAGAGTTTGCAAATGTTTTCAGGAGTTTGGAGAAACATGAAGTCTAGAAGTTGGGAGGAGAAACTCATAAAAGTTTACAGTGAGAATATCCTCTATATACAGAGTTTGGTAGAGTAGAAGTGAGTACATTTCCCTGTGGACCATATTAACACCACAAAGAAAAAACACATGGTAAAAGCTGTCTTCACATATTTGCTACCCAAGAAAATTACTAGATGGAGCAGAAGACTTCTCCAAAACAGAAATTATAAACATGTCACAAGAAAGCCCCAGGCCTTGTTAAAAAATATGAAAATGCTGTGGTCTACGGAACGCAGTCTCTCAAGAACTCCCAGAAGTATTTCACAGGAGAAAACAAACATTCGGATGACTTCCATTACAGAGGGCATTCAGTGAAAAAATAAGTGCAACAAACACTAGCTATGGAAAGAAATCTTTGCTCTATTGCCCCTTTCCTGTTATCTTTCATGTTCATGTAACCATTATCCTCACATAGAGTGAGAAATATACGGTAATAAAAAAAGTGAAAGAACACAGTACATTCCCATTATCTCTAATTCTGGAATCTGACCAAATTTAGACTGAGGATTGAGACATGGGAAAGCAAAGGGAGATGTCATGAATGGAATGAGAAATTGTAGGTTTTTTAAATTAATGAATAGAGTTAAGATTGATATACAGTAAACTGAACATAGCTAACATATACAACTTGGTAAGTACACACTCAATGAATTATCGCCACAATCAAGACATTGAATTTTCCTTCATCTTCATATTTCATTTTGCCACTTTGTAATCCATCTGTCTCACTGCTTACCATCCACAGGCAGCTACTGTTTTTCTTTCTGTCAGAGAATTAGTTCATATTTTTCTGTAGTTTTGTGTAAATGGAATTGTACAGCTTGGATCGTTGGCTTCTTTCATTCAGTATAATAATTCTGAAAATTATTAATTTTATTGCACACATAAATAATTCATTCATTTTTTAATGCTGAGTATTCTGTTGCGTGGCTATAGTATAATTTGTTTATCTATACATAGGTTGTTGAATATTTTGGTTGTATTTTATAATTAAAGCTTCTATGAACATTCATGTACACAGCTTTTTTTTTTTGTTGTTGTTGTTGTTGTTGAGATGGAGTCTCACTCTGTTGCCCAGGCTGGAGTGCAGTGGCACGATCTCAGCTCACTGCAGGCTTTGCCTCCCAGGTTCACGCCATTCTCCTGCCGCAGCCTCCTGAGTAGCTGGGACTACAGATGGCTGCCACCATGTCTGGCTAATTTTTTGTGTTTTTAGTAGAGACGGGGTTTCACCGTGTTAGCCAGGATGGTCTCAATCTTCTGACCTCATGATCTGCCTGCCTTGGCCTCCCAAAGTGCTGGGATTACCGGCTTGAGCCACCGCGCCCGGCCGTCATGTACACATCTTTTATGGGCATATGCTTTTGGCAAAAGACCTAAGAGTGGTAATTGTAGGTGTATGACTTAATTTATAATAAACAGCAAAACTTTTTTTTTAAAGGGTTGTACCACTAGAAATCCTGAGAAGAGATGACTGAGAGTTTTCTTCCCATCCTTGCCAGCATCCCATGATGTCATTTTCATTTTAGCCATTCTATTTCATTGTAATTTTAATTTGTATTTTTTATGACTAATGTTTACTTGCCATTCTTATATCTTCTTTTGTGAAGTATTTTTCACATTTTATCCAATTTTATTGTGTTGTTTTTCCTCCTATTACTGAGTCTTAAGAATTTTAAAATATTTTATAAATTGATTCATTACTAAGAAGTGGGAAACAAGAAGGAAATCCAAGGATATATACCCAGCATTTCTGGTTTAGTTAAGATTCAGGTCAGTTGCTATTTAGCTAAACTCTGGTGCCTTTTGTGTATATATATGTGCGTATGTGTGTGCACACACATGTGCACATGCAGGCGCTTGCATGCTTGTATGCGTTTGTGTATGTGTGTGTAGAGACAGACATCGAGAGAGAGAGATTTTTATTTTGTTTGTTTTTTGCTAGGAGTCATATTCTTAAAGATTTATCTGTTGAAATTGTTCAACCTTTCATTCAGAGATGTTTTAAATATACTTTGCACTTTTATTTTAGATTCAGGGGTTTGTGTGTAGGCTTTTTACATGGGTATACTGTATGATGCTGAGGGTTGAGGTATGAATGATCCCATCACCCAGGTAGCAAGCATTGTACCCAATAGGTAGTTTCAGCCCTTGCCCCTGTCCTTCTCTGCTGTCTCTAGTAGTTCCCAGTGTCTATTGTTCCCATATTTATGTCCATGTGTACTCAGTGTTTAGCTCCCACTTATAAGTGAGAAAATGTGGTATTTGGTTTTCTGTTCCTACATTAATTCACTTGGGAGAAAGATATCCTAAGTGTTGCTGCAAGAACATGATTTCATTTATTTTCATGGCTACGAAGTATTCTGTGGAGTATATATACTACATTTGCTTATCCAGTCTCACATTGATGAGCACCTAGGTTGATCCCAAGTCTTTGCTATTGTGAATAATGCTGCAATGAACAGATAAGTGCATGTGTATTTTGGCAGAACAATTTCTTTTCCTTTGGGTATATATCCAGTAATGGGTTGCTGAATCAAATGGTAGTTCTGTTTTAACAGAACTACATCTCAAATTTCTTAGAGAAATTCAACGGTAATTCACGCTTCTGCTGGGTTCTTGGAAGTACTTTAACTGTGGAATTATTTTTAAACTGAATTCTCAGTCTACAGTTTTTTAAACAATCCAGTTGGAGTAAATTTAGTCTGCAAACACATTTAAGAGCCCTACTATACTCATAAATAAACTACGTCCTTCATACTTGAAATAAAATGAAAGCATTCTCCTTCCTAGAATTTTTAACCCCAATTTTTTTAATGAATCAGCATTGCTATTATCTATTTCTAGGTTCACAAAAGTGTTTAAAAAAGTTAATATATGTGTTTTTCATAGTTCGTACACTCAATAGTTAGAATGCTTACTCTTCAGAAATTTAAAGTACAGCTAATATAAATAATGAGAAGCCATTTGTTTGCATTTATGGCCCTTTAAACAGACAAACATTAAAATACACCTATATACTCTCCCATATATATTTTATTTACACACATAAACACATATGCACAAACTTGCATCTATGTTAGAAAGGTTCAAGTTACTCCTCCTACAATGTTAATGCATATATATATATATATTATATATAATATATTGATATTCTCTACAATGTATTAGTATAGGGCTTCTAAAACGTCATTTGGCTTATATATCAAAAGTCTTTAAAAGGTACACATACTTTCATCATAATTTCATACATGAAAATTTTTTCTAAGGAAATAATTATAATTTTGATGAATAGCTAGAAGAATGTTTATTGCAGAATTACGTATTACATGGAAGAAAAATTAAGAAATAAAAGAAAATTAAAATCAACTGAAATATCAAACTAAAGGGGTTATATGCATGAATTATTATTTATTAATATAGTATATTATATTTAAAATAATACTTACAAAATGACTTTTTTTCTAGCATATTAGAAGTATTAACTTATGTAATCTTCATAACAACACTGTTAGTTGCTGTATTGTCTCCATCTTCAGTTTACAGATGAGAGAATTGAAGCATGGGATGATTAAGACATTTTCCCACTACTGCAGAGCTATTAAATAGTGAAACCAGATTGAAACTCAGGAAACCTGTGTCCAGAGTCCATGCATCTGAGTTTATGACTCTATGCTTTCCTATTATATTATTATACTTTTACTATTATAAATTTAAGATGTATGCCACTTGAGAATAATTAACATTACAAAATTTTAAATAAAATATAATAGTATGTACTGTATGATTGTAATATAAATGTATGTGTTTGTGTAAGTAAGAAAAAATCTGAAAGAGAACAATTTTTAATCTATGAAGGATGAAATTATGAAGGATAATTGGTGTTACTTTTTATTTTGCTCTCTTAAATTTTCTACAATGAGAATATACAGTAGTAGTACTTTGTAATAAACTATTTAAATAAAATCAGGCAGTGAATTATAGCCTGTGTTTGAATTAAAAATACAATAAAGAGGCCGGGCGCAGTGGCTCACACCTGTAATCCCAGCACTTTGGGAGGCCGAGGCAGGCGGATCACGAGGTCAGGAAATCGAGACCATCCTGGCGAACATGGTGAAACCCCGTCTGTACTAAAAATACAAAAAAAAATTAGCCGGGCGTGGTGGCGGGTGCCTGTAGTTCCAGCTACTCCGGAGGCTGAGGCAGGAGAATGGCCTGAACCCAGGAGGCGGAGCTTGCAGTGAGCCAAGATCGCGCCACTGCACTCCAGCCTTGGCGACAGAGCAAGACTCCGTCTCACACACAAAAAAGAAAATACAATAAAGGCTGGGGCAGTGGTTCATGCCTGTAATCCCAGCATTTTAGGAGGCCAAGGTGGGCGGATCACTTGAAGTCAAGGGTTGGAGACCTCCTGGTCAAGAGTTTGAGACCAATATGGCGAAACCCCGTCACTAGTAAAAATACAAAAATTAGCTCAATGTGGTAGTGTGTGCCTGTTATCCCAGGAGGCTGAGGTAGGAGAATCGCTTGAATCCAGGAGGAGGAGGTTGCAGTGAGCCAAGATCGTGCCACTGCACTCCAGCCTGGGAGGCAGAGTGAGACTCCATCTTAAAAAAAAAAAAAAAAAAAAAAGAAAGCATCACAGTAGAATGTCTCTGTGTGTTTGTGTGTGCGTGTGTGTGTGTGTGATTTGCTTTATTGTGATTATTGTGATATTTGCTTTATTGCCATGGTCTGAAACCAAACCCACAATATCTCTAAGGTATGTCTGTATAAGTTCCTAAGCATAGTATGGAGGCATATCTAACTAATGTGTACCATTTTAAGTAGTGGCTACTTTTGAATTTACACTTTCACATGAATTTTAGAATCAGTTTGACTAGTTCTAAGGTAAGTCCTCTTGAGAGTTTTAAAACAGGATTGAAATTAATTCTTTACAACTTAACCTTCGCATTCATGGCCATGATATTCTTCTCCATTATTCAAGTTTTCTTAACTATCTTTCAAAAAAAGGACATAAGACCCTAGCATATTTCTTGTTAGGTTTTTCCTAGGTAACTTTTAATTGCTATTATAAACAATATCCATTTTTTCCCATAAAATATTGCTATACGTTTGTATATTAATCTTGTACTGTTTCCTTTTTCAACACTGGTTCTGATAGCTTTTCAGTTGTCTGTCTTTCATATTCTAAGTAATATTTCTTACAAATAATGAGATTTGCTTTCACTTTCCAGTTTATCTCATTACTTTTACTTGTCTTATTGCCCTGGCTGGGACACCCAACAATACTGATGAATAGAAGTTGTAGAGGGTATCCTTGTTTGATCCCTGAAAAGAATTCTTCTAGCATTTCACCCTTGTATATAATGATTGCTAGATATAACTTATAACAGGTTAAAAAATTTCTAGTTTGATAGGTCTTTTTTAGGGAACATGGTATGGTGGTTTTAAATGGGATCCACTCCAGTTAAAGACTATGACAATCTATTATTATCACTATTCAAACTCATGAATAATGAACAGTATGTAACAAATCAATGATATATGTTTTACTTTAGCACCCAGGAAGCTCAAAAACAAACTATCTGAATATAAAAACTCTGAACAGCATAACCTGATCATCTATATGACTTTGACACCATTCCCTCCCCCAACATACCGCCTATTCTAATTTATATTATCCTAAATGTTTTTCTCTTATTTTTCTATTTTATTGAGTGGATTTCCTATCAATTGCCATAAATTTTTAATGGAATAAGATAAAGTATAAATAAAAACTTTTAAAAATGTGGCTACATTTGGATTTAAAGTGAAACGTTAATTAACTGAAATTTAAAACCTGTAAGCTTTTGTGTTTTGTTTGCTTGTTTGACTTGGTACTTTTGCAAGAAAAGCTTGTCAAAAGATAACAGTGTTCAGAAAATTCCCTGAACATTGAGAATTTTGGTAGAATTGTATTCATTCAGCCCAGTCTGTAATACCATGTCCACATGTACATGTAGTACACACATCTATATTTTATACTATTTTCAGATGATTTGTATGTTTCAAGTCTTGACAATGACCGCTAAGGGTATCTGAGGATAGAACAAGTGCATTAAAGGATAGGCTCTCATTGAAACTTCAAAGAGAGAAATTAAAACAACTGAATTTCCCTCCTCATTGACAGGTGGCTAATAACTGATCCAGCTCATGTACTCTGGCAGCATTGCATAGGTTCAGGTTGAGTTATTTTCCTCTTCTGGAAGCTGTTAATGTGTTGCTTTGCTTGCTGCTAGAACAGATTTCACTCCCTTGGTGGCATTGCTGTAGCTATCAAAATAGTTGTCACACTGAGTATTTGTGTACTTTGAGCCTTAGGAAGGGTCTCTTCACATGAATACCATCTTGCTTAACTTACTATCATTATGGTTCCATGACTACATGGGTTCCTAGGTACCTGGCATAATGTAGCAGATTATGTTATATTTCTATCTTGAAGCTGACCCTCACAATGGAGTTTGTAGCTCCTGAACTCCTTGCTCCTTCATTAGATATAGTTACAATTTGCCTTCAGCAAATGCAGAGTTCATTCCTATCAAAGAGATATTTGACTCTGATCATTGTTTGATGCTTAATAAAATATAAAAGTAAATTGATATTAAAAGCAATGTAGTATAGTGAATATTCATTATCACTTTCACCACTAATTAAAATTTTGACCGTAGGTCTATAATTCAGTATCAGTGAATCTCAAATTTGTTACCCATAAAACAATGGTAAAGCATTCTTGGTCAGATAAAACAGGTAACTAAACCACTTTATTTCTTTAAATTCCCCTCACAGTATAATGGCCATTTAGAATATGTTTATGCCTTGGCATGAGGTGCAGTGTGCTGCAGGGAAGACATGGAAATTCAGCGCCTCTGCTGAAGTCCTAAAGCAGTGATATTCAAGTGCATGTTGAGGAAAAGACTTGAAGTAAAGGAGAATAAGAAATTCATCCTTTCTATGCTCTTCATCTTCACTCTACTGACAGGGATTGCATGATGTAAAGTATAAGAAACTGTAGAATTTCCTTACTAATATAAAAATTGTCAATGCAAAGTAATTAGGATGTATACGTGCACAAGGTCACTTCTGCTTGCTATTGGCATAAGGGTAACATTGATATGGAAAATTATGATATTAAGAGGGTTTGAATCTGAACTACCCTTGTTTCCTAAGTTTCTGGCTCTTGCTATCAAAGTATAGAAGATCCTAAGAATACAATTGCCCTAGAGGCTTATGAAGCTACATTACTTCACAGGACTGAAAGTTAATGGGCCGTGGTTAGTACTGGGTGGGGTTAGAAGCAGAGTACAACTCCTAGGTAACGCGTCATGATACGTGATCATGTCACCTCAGGAAGGTATGAAATTTCCAGTAATTTCATCTCTGAAATAAATATTCATGGTTTAAAACTTAGTCATTTGCTATATATGAAATGTATCATATATAAGAGCAGAAATCAGCCATGTGAAGATGACTTTCATTCCCTCCAAATCTCTGGATCAATTTTATTATCTGTGATGGCCTTATAGTAAATAAATATAAACCATATACGATAATTTTTAAGGCTCAGACAGAATTCCAGCCCAGATATTACTTGGGAAAGAAGTGTCCCTATGACACTACAGATATAATGCCCTACCCTAGACCCCAGAGTGATAAAGATCTTCTTCATATCACAAAGCAGTGATGTTCTGAAAAAAGTACTCCACAGAGAAGAATGTTAATCCCCATGTCTATAACTATAAACCCTGCTAAAGATAGGCCTTACCTGGAATCCAATTTATCAAAGCAAAATAAGAAAATCTACAAAAGTGTAATCAAAAAATGAAGTTTTTTTGAGGGGAAAAGGAATAATGAAAATGAAAACTATAGAATTTAGATCAGATGAATCAAGGACAAAGTTGTCTGCCCTCTTCCCAATTATTTCCTAGCTTATTGCTTTAGAGCATCACAACCACAGCAGAAACTTTCCTCAGGGATCTGATGATTAACCCCAGAAAGTTGTCCGGACAATTTTCTTAATTTCACGAATCTCAAAAAGATTAGGAATGACACGAGAAGGCCTTTCTTTCCCTGACTCCAGTTTATGGAAGACTGTACATTAAGATGCTATCATGATTTTGCCACCATTCTAAATCCAGGTGCTGAGATGTGCAGACATTACCCAAAGTACATGAAACCAGAATCATGGTATTTTATAGTAGAATAATGGATCAATTCTCTTAGCTTCTAAAGTGCAATTTGATTTTTTAAAAATGTTTTGGAATTTCAGTGAAGTAAAATATTCTTGGATATCATGATAACATTTGCTTATTACCCACTGATTATGTTTACTAATTGGGCTGTTATTTTATACATATATAACATTTAAAAATATTTTATCTGAAAGCATATGAAGACAAATCATATTTGTATCATACATAGGTTTTATAATGTTACCATTGAGCAAGGGAAAAATATATTCTTGCCTCTCATCAGTTTTAAGATGATAAATCAGAACCATGAAAGCTATCAAAATCTAAGCTGCTCTTTTCCAAAAAAATTAACAAGTTTGTTTGAAAATTCATATTGATAACTAAAGGATCCAGAAAACTCAAAGGAATCTTGAAAATGAAGAACAAACAGATCAGAGGTGGAAGACTCACACCAGGCCGTTACAAAACTGACTATAAAGCTATAGTGATGAAGGCAGAGGTATTGACATTAAGACAGATGAATAAATAGATCAATGGAAGAGGAATGAAAGTACAAAAATAAATCCAGGTATTTATGGGCAATTGATTTTTGACAAGTGTGCCAAGATAATTAAATGGGAAATAGTATTTCAATATATGATACTGGGAAAAGTGTGTATCCACATACAAAAAAATAAAATCGGATCTCTAACTCAAACCATGTACAAAAATTCACTCAAAATGAACTAATCAGCTAAATTGAAAAGCTAAAACTAAAAATCTCAGAGGAAAACACAACAGTAAATTTTTCTTACCTTTGATTAGGTAATGATTTATTAGATATGACACCAAAAGCATAAATGACAAAAAATGGATAGGTTAGATTTCTTAATTAAAATATTTTGTGTTTCAAATAATACCATTAAAAAGTGAAAAGATAATCCATATAATGGCAAAAAATATTTATAAATAATATATCTGATAGTGCCTAGCATGCAAATTATGTATTTTTATAACTAAACAACACAAAGATTTTAAAATATGCAAATGATTTGAATACAGATTTTTCTAAAGAAGGTGCACAAATAACAAATAGTACATGAGAAGATATTTAACATCATTATTCTTTGGGAAAATGCAAATCAAACTAACAATGTAATATAAATGTACATCTATCAGGATGGTCCTAACAAAAAGAGCATAACTGCAAGTGTATGAAAAAATTGGAACTTGAATACATTGCTGGTGGAAATATAAAGTGGTGAAGCAGTCTTGAATACAACTTAGCACTTCTTCAAAATGTCAACGTTCTTTGAAATGTTTCAAAGAATATTGAAACATTTCCACACAAACATGTATATTTGTGTGGAAATCATTTCCACACAAAATGTGTATATGAATGTTTGTAGCAGCATTCCTCCTCATTATACAACAGTAACAACAGAAATGTCCTTCAAATGGTGAAGAGAGACACAAAAGCTGGTATATCTATTCAATGGAATATAATTCAGTAATATAAAGGAATGAAATACTGATACATACTATAATTTGGATGAACCTTGAAAACATTAATGCTAAGTGAATGAAGCCATTTATTTTTGATTCACATATTTATGATTTAATTTATATAAAATATCCAGAATAGTATATACATATTTATGATTTAATTTATATAAAATGTCCAGAATAGTATGTCTGTTATTGCCATGGCTGGGTAAACGGGTAATGGGAAATAACTGCAATTGGTATGGGGCTTTTTGAGCGTGGTGAAATATTCTGAAATTAGTCATTATGGCTTTATAGCTCTGTGACTCTACTAAGGGCCACTGAATTTTACACTTTAAAAATCATATTTTATGTTACATACATTATATATCAACAAAGCCATTATTTAAAGAATAAAAACAGAACATTGAGCAAAGTGATTGCTGAAAAATGCTCATATAAATTTATGGCAAATCTGAATTCATATCAATTTTAAGATTTAGAATCTACAATCTAGAATTGTGTATTGCTTTAAACCAGTCAGATCTGATTATTATTATGATGCTAAGAAAGAGGCCAGATCAGTTACATTATACAGTGAGAAGTACAGTAGCTCAAAGAGAGATCTGTAGTTACAGCACGACACAAGTTTAAGCAAAGTTTATTATCAGGTAGTAAACAGGTATCGGCTCCTAGTCTCTCTGATTAATTGCAGCTCTCTACCTAAAATACTGTTGCTAGATTCTGAGGCAACACTTGGGAGTGTCAGAAAGGCTTTTAGGTAAATTAGAGATCTTTACCATCATCAAGAAAATGAGAATTTGTCAAGAGAACTACCTGTATTTCCTTTTCTCATCTAGGAATGCAGCTCAAAATGAAATTGGTAGCTGAGATAAGAATGGATGTACTTACTGAATTCTGTGTCATATTTCACTCAACCCTTATGGCAAATCTATGAGGTAGACACTTTTGGTTTCCAATTTTATAGATAAAGAAACTGATATTTTGAGATTGTATCACTTGCCTAAAATTACTTTACTACAAGAATTTAGCATTTCAAAGTTCCAAGTGATTTTGCTATTAATTCTTTACTCCTATTGCCCAACATTGCCTCTAGCTGTCCAATGACTCAGAAACATCAGAACGGTGGAGGCAAAACATTATTTTGCTTCACATTAGGCTAGTGGGATCTGTATAGACAGAGTGATGCAGGTGAACAACACAGATTTGGCTGTGGATATCAGTCACAAAAGCTTACATATTCAAATTACGATTCTAGGGACAGAGAAGTAAAAACTAAAGCATTATGAACTTTAGGAGACTACAGAAACAGTAAGTTTGAGGCATAATCCCATATCACAATTCCAATCATTGTAATTTTAAGTGTTGAAATCTTGAAAGATCAAATTTCTGAAAATATAATTCTGGAAAAAATGATTTTCAAAAATTGTTTAGAAGATGTTTCTGTACATATTTAAAACGGATTTATTTAAGACTCAAAACAGGACAGGACACTTCATAGGCCACTCTACACAATAAAATAGGTGCCATAACATATATATTTTTGCAAGCTTAAACATTCAGGTTTAGTAAAGACATTTCTAGAGGTATAGTAGCTATGAGCTGATGAAACTTAAAAGCAAAATATATAAATGCATAATCACGAAGGTTGGTAATTATGTGCACCCAGCTTTATAACTGCAGTCATCTGAAATACTATGACAGATAACCTACATCTTTTAACAAGATGCATAGAAAACTCCAGTGGGTCACGACCACATGTGCAATTGCCCATAGAACCAAAATCTCAAGAAATTTTATCTTTCACAAATGCAAATAGACAAAAAAGACACCTTTTCATTTATTGAGAAACTTTCAAGATATTTAGGTATACACACAGTGCTTCCACTTCAGGTCAACCTTGTGATACTGTACTTTGGTGGAGTCAAAATTCGGATGTCCAAGGCAGCAGGAGAAAATTCTGTCCCAACTCTCAGAGAGAGAACAATTTGCACCCCACATTTCTTCTTTCTGGGCCTGCAGAAAATTAAATGGTGTCCACCAACATTGGAATAAATCTCTATCTAGTCCACTAGGACCCAAACACTAGTCTCTTCTGGAAACACCCTCATCGACCACCCAAAATAATACTTCCCTTGGTTTATAAGTATTCCTTCCCTAATCCACTCAAGCTGACACTTACATTAAGGTCACAAGTTTACCTCTTGTTAATTTGGCACTTATATGCATCTCCTTAAACCATACCTAATTTCCAAATAAAGACAATAACCAGGTAATAATTCCTCCTAACATGAAGCAACTATCCTGCGTACAATGGAAAACATACTAATCCCTTCCTCAAAATTTGGCATTCAGGATTTAAATCTTTTCAGATTATGATTTTGGGGATTTGAGAAGTTTGGGATATTAGACTTTAGGGATTTTCATCTTTCAAAATTTCAACATCTAGGATTATGGCATTTAGGACTATATCTTTTGGGATCGTGATCAGCACCAAGAAACAGTGAACATGGGAAAAAGAAAACAGTGTAATTATGAGGAGACTAGTTCATAATATTTCAGGAATCTGTGGAAAAATTGTCCCTAATACTGAATCAACACTTGCCCCAGGCAAAAGTTAATTTTTGTTGTTCTTGTTGTTCACTGTTTATGGCCAGAAGAATATTTTGTCCTGTCTAAAATTACCGGACAAGTACCACATGTGTGAGGCAGGTAGAAGATGGTGATGATTGAAACTATATGAAAGGCAAATTTAAAAGGAGAAGGTATCACAAAGCAGCAGCTGGCAACTCTGGAATAATGATATACTCTTTCATACAGTTTCACTCTAAGCACAGAAGTCCTATATCTCTTTTTTGGCACCAAAATGTATAGCCACCAGCTTTGCGTACCAAATACCTATTTAAGATCCAATTGTCCACCACTGCAGTAATGAGTGGTTCATATGCCATAGAAATCATCATGATGTGGTCTGCATTATAATTATAGTATTCTTCAGTTCTAATTCCCCAGCCCAATTTTTAGATTAGGAATATTATTTCACTAACTTTGTCAAAAGTAATTTCTGAAAAAATATTGAAAATTTATATAATCTGGAAAAAAAATTCTCTTCCCTACATTCTTTCCCCTTTCTGGTAGTCATAAACTTTATATTGTATAGTTCCGTTTGGTTAGCTCAGTTTTCTAAAGTGGACTTGGAGTTATGTATTTACCATAGTCATCTATACCTCTGATATTTAAAACACTGTAATGCCGCTAGGACTTCTAATCCTCTACCAATTTTCTGAGATTAAGTACATGTTCTCATGTGTTTAGCTTTTACTTTGAAAATGTGAGTCAGCCATGGTCTATCTATCTTCTCTTGTCAAGGATCAAAATTCTGGTGAGATGAGATCCCACCAGTCAGTTTCAAAGGCCTTCTGCCATTTTTCTCATGAGAATAGCATGCTCGATACAGACAAAATTTATGTTGCTTTGCTGCTTACCAGAGTTCCTGGGTTGGTGAACATTAGGTCTCACCAATTAAAAAGGTCATGTTTTGTTAATTTTATAAATTTTCTTATAATAACTAAAGGTTTTCAAGCTTTCTGAAAAATCAACTAAAATTTTATATTCTCCAACATTCAAACCACTGTTTTATTAACCACAGACAGTGATCCACAAATCTAACTCTGGCCCTGTATTGGTTTATTATATTTTTTCATCTATAATTTTGGTCTCTTTAAATTTTATCTATATTTTTATAGCAATGCTTATGGCAGGGTACCTGCCACCTTTAGGGGACAGTGTACGAGAGGTTGGTATAGGCAATTTAATTATTGGTTTTTAAATTTGGAAATGATAAAATTATATCCATGTGCTTTTATAAGGTTAGCAATTTATGTAAAGTGATCACTACCATGTTGCAGTTAACAACTCTTATCCTTTAAAAAACTATCTCATTTAACATTGTTTAATGAGCCACTAGATATATTCAAGTGTTCATTAGAACTATTTAAATGTTCTGAAAAACATAAATGCACAGTATATACGGCTGAAAATGGTTCAACCCAGTTCATAAGGCATAAAATGTGTCCTGAATTGTTGCCCAACTATATGCTTTACTCACTGGAAAATCCACAACTTGCATTCTTCTTTTCATTGAGCTCTAAAGGGTGTAACACCTCCAAAGCTCCTTAAAGGGAACAAATTCTGTCCTTACCCTTTATGCTGTAGGCAGAAGTTAAATCTGCTAGCTGTGGAAAATGTTGGGGAAGGCTTTCCAACTGGATTATTTGCCCTAGATCTCTTTTACTTGGGGAAGGCTTTCCAACTGGATTATTTGCCCTAGATCTCTTTTACTTGGGTCAGATAACAAGAAAAATAATTTACGTGTGAATGAAATTTTTATGATTTTCCTTAAAAAAAAAAAAATCTCACATTCATCACTGTTGTCTGAGTTAATACATCCCCCTAGAAGAGCAACATCAGTTTGTATGTGAAATCTTTGCCTTATTGGCTGTGATCACTCAGGGACAGGCATTTTCTCAATTTGAGCCTGGAGGTATTTCTAACAAAGAGATACATGTTTGTTTGCTGTTCTCTTAGAAGGGGGAATGAATTTGTTTCAAGAGGAGAATATTATTGTGTTAATTTAGAACACTCGAAATGTATGTGCCAAGGAAACCCATAAAATGCCATATGCCTTCACCCCTAAAATTATGATAATAAAAATGCTAATAATGTATCTATTCCACATAATTCAAATGCCTCAATTTCCCTGTATGCAAGAAGTGAGTGGGGAAATTTATCTCCTCTCTTGGCCAGGGGCATTGTAAGGAATTAATTTCAGAATAATTTTTTCCTCCTAAGATGAAAGTTGTCAAGACAATAGTAGTAAGAATTATTATAAGACAGTCTTCATATCCAGGCAGGCTGCAGTTTGGAAATTTGTACTGTTTGAGTTTTAAAATGATTATTTATGCCAACACTTTTTCTAGTTGCCTTTGATAAGCATCATAAATACAGTGAATTACTTGTGTTTTCTTTTTAAAACTGACTTTGAATCTTTTAAAACAAGTTTCTTAGTCACAATAGACTTGTTTCTACTTGCAGCGCATATAGTAATCTTGACTGCAGCTTCCTGCAGGGTCTAGGATACCCTGCCGAGCTTCACATGACCAACATTATAACAGTACTGCCTGCTACCCCACTGTTTGTTTACTTCATATTCTCAACTCAAGATTGTTCATCTCTCTTCCCCCCAAACCGATGTTAGTTGTTATTTAGCAACTGTGACTTTTTAAAATCTTCTAAACCAGATTATTTTGGATTTTCAGGTTAAGAAGGTAGCTAGCCGGTGCTTTCACCAGACTTCCACTGAACACACAGAAAGAGAAGGAAAGTTATAGCAGCAAAAGGAATTCAAAAAATTGATTTAAAAAATGTATCAGACCTTAAGAGGATTTCTAATAACCAAAAAATGCTGGTATGGAATATCAGGACAAAAGCATGAAATCAGTAGATTTAATTTAATATTGAGTCTATACTCAATATGTTTCTCTGCATCAGAGGTATGGATAACTTGCTGATCTGAGCGGGGGTAGCCATACTTCATACCACACTGGATCTGCTTTATGTGGCAGGAAGGCAATAAGAATGACTTCATTTTTCTATTCCCCCATTTGGTATTTCTTTTTGTCTGCATCACTTATCAAATAAATTCCTCAGCAGTGTTACCGGAAGGAGGAGTGGGAAAGCAATAGAGTGCTACATCCTGAGATGTGGATTCAGTGACAGAAAATGGGCAGAACAAAGCCCTCTGGGGGTGCGGTTTTATTGGATTGTTTTCAGCAAGAGAAAAATGGTAGACTGCTTCAAATTGTCTGGAAAATGTGCCCTCTTCACAAACCAAAGATCAGGAATGGCGAGCAGGCAATCTTACTCTATTGAGCAGAGCTATGCTAGATGAATGACTGCTAGAAATTGCAAATGTGGTTTTGGTCTAAAGCAAAAAAAACAAATAAATAAAATAGCAGTGAAATAGCGATACTTTTGCCAGTCTCTAGGCTGATGCTTTTCAGCATGTGCTCCATATACCACCTGCAGCAGCCTTACTTTGGAAGCTTGTCAAATGCACAATTCCCTAGCCTCTCTTTTCCCACGTTTGTCAGCTTTGTTGTGATAATACCCCCATACTGCAATCTCAGTGCCTTACAAAAACAAACTTCTGTATAGTGCTCAGGATTGCTGGAACTTTGCTTTACATGTGTTGGACATTAGGTGAAGGAACAGCCACTGGGACATTGTGGGACATATGGATCTCTTGACAGAGGGCAGCATCAAGAGATAGATGGGACCCACAAAATTTTATTTGAAACTTGGCCTTGGTGTTACATCAACTTATATTCCATTGCTTAAAGCAAGACACCCACAGAATGTACCATAAGCCATGTAGCAATGGGTTAGAATGTGTATTCCTTTACAAGAAAAGGAGAACATAGTTGTGAAAATCACTACAATCTCTTGCAATCCCAGAAAATATTTTTTCAATAGGTCAAGTGAGGCCAATGATTTGCAGTTTATCAGTACTCCCACATCATATTCATAAATATTCAATTTGAAAATCATCAAACCATGTGAATAATGACAAGCTTTATGCTTTACCTTATTAATATATGATAAAGTGGGGGTTGTGCTTGAGATGCAGAAGGAAAACATTTTGAGAAAAATATTTAATGTTGGTAAATTTTTAGAAGTATCTCCTTTGTGTTATAACATTAAATAGACTCTAGGATTGAATAAATGATGACATGAAAATACAATGTGCTGATATTAATAGAGAACAGATTATTAAATAAGCAGAGGTGAAATGGGAACTTGAAGAGATGTGTATTCAATACTAAACATTTAATCTAAAGTACAGTATTGATAAGCATAATTGACAACACACAGTATTAAACCTACAATATGGAGAACAATCTTGAGAAATTAGCCTTAAATAAATAGGAATAAATGAAGAAGATTAAATGGATAAAGGAGAAGAGACAGAAAATGGAAAATGGGAATTTAATATTAAAATGAGTGATGTCACAAATGAGAGAAGAAAATCAAATTTGAGTAATTACTTAAAAAATAGGACACAAGTTTCTGAAAAGAAAAATGTAAATTAGTTTTCACATTAAAATATCACATTAAGTACCAGCCTAATTGTTGAAATGATCCAATTCATATATATATATATATATATAAAAAATGATCCATATGATATATATGAATTGGATCCAATATGGATGAATATGAATTGGATGAATGTGAACATGATCTATATTATCTATATCTCTATATAATATATGTATATATATTAATTGGATCATTTCAACAATTCATCTGGCACTTATACATATATAAATGAATTATGTGTAATAATTCATATATTTATGTTATATATGAATTTAAGGAAAAGTTTTTCAAATATCCAGTAGAAAAAGATTACTTTCATCATTTAATTTATTAGTATAACCTGAGACTTCTGCTGTACAATGTTGAGAACATTAAGCCAACAAAACAATTTCTGCTGGTATTTGAAGGAAAATGTTGTGACATCAGATTGCTATATAGAGCCAATTCATCTTTCTCATCTAAAGGCAATAAAATAACACCCATATTTCCAAAGCTCAGAAAGTACACAAACATATTTTTTCCAAATGTGTCCCAGATATAACAGTTTTCTAAATATATCAGAAATAATTATTTTAAAATGTTGTATAACATAAAATAAATTATCTGGATATTAAAAAAACAAAATATGCTAACTTAAATGTGAATTTTGGGAGGAAATTGGGAAGAAATATAAGGAGGCTAAATTCTTCATCTTTTGACAATATAAGTTTTGATAAATTCTAAAGGCCCAGCAACGTGTAAATGGATAAATAGGGTACATTCAAATGATAAGCCTTCAGAGCATAGTTCTGAAAATTATTCAACAGATGATATTCTTATTTGATTGATTAGCTAAAATGTATTCAATATATTAAATCGATTATAAAATGTACATGCTGTATATAATCTTGCTAGGTATTTATGATGTAAAAAAGACAATAAGTAGCAATTACATCCCAGTAGCAATGAGCATACCTAATGCCCAGGTCTAATAAAATTATCTGTTACAAAAGGAATAAAACAAACAAACAAAAAATAATGCTCATTTGGAGAAATGGCTCATACCCCAACTGGGGAGGAGAGTATTCAAGGTGAGCCTGGAGCATTTTGTAGTGTAAGAGAGTAAGTTTTAAAAAAAATGAAGCAAAACAAAATAAATTTTACAATGATGGAAGTATGACAAAGGGACACAGAAGCCAAGTAAAAAAACAAAACAACAACAACAACGAAAAAAACACACCTCCCACTGACATAAGCAGGTACGCTTGAGCAACAAGTTAAAATAGTATTGCATTTTAACTCAATGTATAAAATATACACCCATGTATACATACTTTGCTTCTTTTGTTGAAAATTAATTAATCAATTGGCCTTACTAGTGTAGATCTGTTTTTAACACTCTTTCTTCATATACATAAAAATGTACTATAGCACTGACTTTATATATAATCCAGCAAAGCAGGCATGCATTTATTAATGTGGGCTATCTACATTACTCTATTTCTTTCTCCTTTCTGTTTTCCCATTGCTTACAGTGCTCTTACTCTCTCCTCCTTGCTCAATTCTCCTTCACTATCTTATTCTGTCATATCCGGCATCATAGATGATGGGCAAAGATAAAACTTTAAGTTTTCCATGATAGTAACAGACATTTAAAGTTGAGGCATGTTATATTTGTCCTTCAAAGGGACAGGCACAAAAAAATAGGTGTTCACATTTAGACCTTGGGACTCTTCAGAGAGTCACCAAATGCTTTATAAATACAAGAATAAAACCAGCTATAGAGATTTTCTTTTTAAAAAGAAAGGAAAGAGAGAGAAAACAACATATAATGCAAGAGGAATTTGAACAACATTTTGCAGAATCCCATATGAAAAACAGACATTCTCCCATTGCAGCTAAATGTCAAAATACTCCTGTTTTATGGAACTTTTAACAACTACACATTCAAAGACCTGCCCTGAATATTACGATTCAATTTACCTGAAATTGAACCTATGCGTCTATATTTTTAGAAGATCCAATAGATTGAAGCTCTGACTTAAGAGGCACACATATGAAATTTCTGCTAGAAAAGAGATTTGAGAAAAGTAAAATATTTCTGACAAAAACCTTCAAGAACACAAGAGGCAAAAAGCTAAAGATGAATGAGGACCTTTGAAAGAGGCCTTTGGATTAGGTTATTAAGGGGGGGACTATGAGGTTCATAAGATATTACTTAATATTTTAAAAAAGAAAATTCAAGTAACCTGGAGGTTTGTATTAATATGGGAACAATAAAAAAGGTATTTCCATTTTCTAGACCAAAGTTTTTGCTTTCAGAGTATGAACAAGTTAACATATTATAAGTCATGTTAAGTCAATTATTTAAATCTGCATGACACTATGTTACCATTATCATTCAGCATTTATCAAAGAAAGGCAAAGTTGACATGATGCAACCAAAAGAACCCTGGATTTAGAGCAAGAAACCTGAGTTCAAATCATCACTCTGGCTTGGGTTCATTGGGAAGGGTTTTCCCAATCAGGTGATGTATATAATTATCCCAAAATGCAATTACCAACTTATTTATCTTTCTCACTAACAATTTTGTAAACTCTTTGAGAGACAGAGGTTGTGGTCTATATAACTTCAGTTTCTATTGTAGTGACTGGCATAGAATTTTAGCAACTAGGTTTAGTAAAATTATGTATTAGAGGGTGGTATTAAAATAAAAAAAAAACACACATGCAAATCTCAGGGGCATAACGCGATAAAGATTTATTTCTCTTACCACAGTTTAATGTAGATTGGGCTAGGGGAAGATACTAACCCATGCTGTCAGTCAGGGTACTGGGTCATTTTACTTTGTAGCATTGCTATTTTCAAAACATCATATCTAACAGTCCATGGAACAGAAAGATAAAATAATGTTTACATGTGAAAGATTTTTTATAGGCCAGAACTGAAAATGGGAAACACATCTTATCTATATTCATTTGCTAGAACACTGACTGTGGCCCCAATCTAACTATAAGGGCAACTGAAAATGTTCTTTAGCTTTGTGAGCAGAAAAGAAATGGAACGTGTTTGATGGGCTCATAGTATTATTTCTGTCCCAGCTTATGATGTTCTAAGCTCTTTATAGGTATCAAATTTTTGACACACCTTTATGAGCTAAATATTACTATTACCTCCAATTTAGGATAGGTAATCTAAGACACAGAAAGATTAAGAGATACGTCCAAGGTTACAAAGGCCATAAATGGGAAAGGTATGGTTCACACCCAAGCATTCTGGTATCAACGTTTGTACTTCTAAGCATTTCAATAATGAGCACATAGTAAACACTGTTTGAGTGAATAAACAAAAATGACGATGATGGACCTCAGTATTTTAAAAACTACGTCCTGTGAGTTCCTGAAAGTATAGTGATAGTTAACAAGTAGAGCAGGCAGGTACTCAGTATCAGTAGAGCAATGATAGATGAAGAGATAGGTATAGATATACGGATAAATTGCTATTATAGAATGTTGAATGTGAAAGGGAGGATAACACATCAAATGTTACTGGGCATGGGGCAAGAATAACTATCTCCTACAAAGGCCATGATGGACATTTTATGAGTGCTTTCTAAATTGAGCTAGACATTGGAGTCACCAACAAATGTAGGTAGGGTATTCGCAGAATCATCAGAAGTATCAGGTAGAAAAAAATATTAACTATTTTGATATGTATTCAAAGTTTCTTTATCTGAAAGCTTGATGTTTGAAATAAAACAGTAGAAAATAAAGTAAGGTCAGATAATGATGAGTCTAAAATGACACATCTTTCAAATTTATACTTCAAAAATAGGAAGCTATCAAACATCTCTAAGCAGTGAAGTACTATGAATATATCTCTATGTTTATGGACATAAGACAGATAGATATGAAGTGGAAAATACTGGTGATAAAGATCCAATCAGATTACTCACAAACTATTGCTGTGGCAGTATTATGTGTCACGGATCCTTAAAAGTGGAATTATCTGTCATTCTCAGCAAACTAACACAAGAACAGAAAACCAAACACCGCAGGTTCTCACTCATAAGTGGGAGTAGAACAATGAGAACACATGGACACAGGGAGGGGAACATCACACACTGGGGCCTGTCAGGGGTTAAGGGTTTAGGGGAGGGATAGCATTAGGAGAAATACCTAATGCAGATGACGGGTTGATGAGTGCAGCAAGCCACCATAGCACATGTATACCTGTGTAACAAACCTGCACATTCTGCACATGTATCCCAGAACTTAAAGAATAATAAATTTAAACAAAGGGGAATTATTTGGTTTCTATGTTTACTGTTTTTCTAAATATTAGTGTAAAGTGTCTTCACTTCACTATTAGTACTAGGATTCCAGATTGGAATCATCATTACCTTCCTAATATGGGTAAACCTACAATGTATATAATGTTTGGAGTCTAGCTCTCAAATCTACATGTCTGGAAAATGCTAAGACTATAAGCATGACTTTACACTTTGGCAATATCTAACTCCATAGCAGTAAAACACAGATGTAGAGGAAAATCCAAGTGTTTGATTCATTGGTTCCTAAATACTCTCTTAGCAATGTTGTGATAAAAATGAGATTTGGGAGGTGAGAATGCATAAGCTCATGTAAAATGTAGGCTTTAATAAATAACTATTCAGTGAGTAAAAGAAGTGGTGTAAATGAAGCAACTGAATTGAAATGTGAAAGCCTTGTAAATATGTTTACTTTTGGTTACTTACTGCTAAAGGTTGGAAAATCTATATAAGTTGCTATAATTAAGGGCATAGAACAATGTTGAGAACATAGTATCTCATTAAAATATGGACACTCTGATGGTGATAACGAGAATTACATAACATGAGCAAGATGAAGAGTCCCTGAGAAGCTCTACTGCACCAAAAGCTCTTTGATACTTACAGACTTTTTAAAAAAATTAAATTTAAATTTATAAATAAGTTGCCACTCTGGTAGATTATATTAATAGCCTCAATTCTTAATTCTCCCTGTATCCATACCGTTAGTCACATAACTAGTGCTATCCCACAGAGGGCAGGTCAAAATCTGTAGTCACATGGCTTGCTTTGAACAAAAGGATGTTAAAAGGTGTAATTCAAGGAATGTCTTTGAAAATACTTGCACAATTTAGCCTGTTTTCTAGTATGCCTCTGTCATGCTTGAGTTAGCCAACTTATCCCAGGAGGCTGAAAGACACATGGGGCCATTCCCAGCTAGCCCAGGACACACAAATGAATCAAATTTAGATCTTCAAAGTGGTTCAGCTGAACTAACTCTGATAAGCTAACAGAGAGTAACTACACAGACTCATGAGAAATGATAAATTGCTGTTTCAAGTCACTCAATTTGGGATGATTTTTAAAGCACTAACAACTAACTGATAAAATCCTCTCAAAATATTTCTTATCAAAAGTAACTAAAATACCCTTCCTAGCTCTAGAATAACTACAAAGAAGTTGGAAACTCTTCAAATAATATTCATGGCCTTGTGAGAATTTTAACTGTCCATGATGGACAGTGTTGGGACTTGGAAAATGATACCCAAAAGTTTGATACCTTGGCATGCTGAGTACTTTGAAATGACAGAATTTGGAAAAGCCTCAGTAGGAAGGTCCTGACCTTCACCCATCCTCCTGCCTCTTGCCCCACATTGTCTTCCTCTGAGGTGAGTCATAGAGAACTGAATTCCTCTTCCCCAAGTCAGGTCATAGAAGCTAGAACTTTTGTCCCCCAAAGAAAGCCATAGAACTTGGAAAGGTTGCTCTCTCCCCTTTCCTTCTCCCTTGAAACCCTTATTTCAGAGGGGGCCTGCCCAAAACTCAGGGGGAAAAATGATGCTATGCAAAGAGGCCAGGAAGAATCTGAATATACAGACCTTGCTAGGTTTTTCCTCTCAGTCTATTACCATTTGATCATACTCTTTTTTTTTCAGTCATATTTCTACACAGCTGTCTGTTCTTCATTGAATTTAAGCATAAAAATAGACAGTTTTCCAGGTCTTTGGGTCTTCATTTCTGAAGGCTCCCATGTCAGGAAAAACTTTGATTAAATAAATTTGGCATGGTTTTTCTCTTGTTAAACTGTCTTTTGTTATAGGAATGTTGGCCATGACCCTTATGGTAGGTGAAGAAAGAAATCATACCTTTTCTTCCCTACAGCAGAAATAAAATTAATGAATGAATGCTCCTAAAAGGCTATCTTTCTGGAATGGCGAGAATCCAATGAACACTGGAAACTTATAGCTTTATGGGTTTTTGACCCATGTAAGAAAAATGGAAGGGTTTCTAATTAGAGACTTAGGAAACAACTTACAAAAAGTAAGCGTGATTTTTATTCAGAGAGAGAAGATCATTCTCGTTTCCTTCTCTCCATCTCACCAATTTAGAATTAGTTTCATATAAGTTTCAAAGCAGAATAGCTGTGCTTTTTTTTTCCATTCATTTCCCAGTTTCTCTGAAGTGTTTGTTTTTCTTGCTCAATCCATTCCTCTCCTTTTCTAATTTATCTACCTCTAATTGTGAAAAACAGATAACTACAACTTATCACATTGGTTTTCTTAGAGGTAGTGGTTTTCTTAGAGGTATTTATATACCATATAAATCATATGTAAAGTCCAGTCCTTAGTAATGTAATATAAATTTACAAATGATGCCATTCTTATGCTAATTCAGATAAATGCCAGATTATATGACTCCAACCTGCTCAGAGAAGCTGAGATAGGAATGGAATCATGAATGAGTCACATATTCTGATTTCTAAAGGGTAGAGAATACCAAGAAACAACCATTTTAGGTTCCTACTCCTTGAATATTTCAGTCAGACCTGGGATTAATAATTATAAATCGCTATGCATTGAGAACTGTGGTAGTCTTTAGCATTATTCAATAAGCATTTCTGGCTTCCTCTTATCCAAACAAACTTCCAGGATTTTTCTGTTTGGGTATAACTCTATGACCAGTTATGGTCAATTAATCGTGAATGAAAATGACTCTTGTAATGTTTGGCCAGAACATTTTGTTGCTGGTGTGAGACCCTACAGGGCTTGTTTCCCTCTAACACCTTGACTGGCAATATTTCAGATAATGGCTGCTCCATTAACTTGGGTCCTGAAGTAAAGATAAATTATAGCACAGTATTCAGCCTCCCTGTGACAAATACCCTAAGTATATACCTTAAGTGTGAATACAGCTATATATAAAAGAATCTAGAAGAAAATTTACCAAGTGGTATAATCAGTAATTGTTAGGCAGGGAAATTGTAGTTTTCTTTTTCTCTTGTTTTGCTGGTAGAAATTTTAAAATTTTTATTTAATACATATAATATCTTTCTGTATTGAAAGTTATAGTTTACTTTAAATATATATGATCTCTTAATGTGCTTGAAACTGTAGCAGCCTGGTAACTTAAATAAGAATTATACAGTGGACAGCTATTATTAATTTCTACTGTGTGCTCATTTCCCTTTTCTTCTGGAAACTGTTCTTGTATTAGAGTTTTCCTGAGAAACAGAATTAATTGTGTGTGTGTGTGTGTGTGTGTGTGTGTGTGTGTGTGTGTAGAGATTTTCATTTATGGAATTAGCTCATGTGATTATGAAGGCTTCAAAGTCCAAAATCTGACAGATAGGCTAGCAAGAAAGAACTGATGTTGCAGTTCAAATCCAAAGGCTGCCTGTTGGCAGAATTTGTTCTTGCTCAGGGTAGGCCAATCTGATTTGCTAAGGCCTTCAACTAGTTATATGAATCCCATTCACATTATGGAGGATTATCTGATCTACTTAAAGTCCACCAATTTAAATGTTAATCTCATTTTGTTGTTTTAGTTTTTGTTTTTATTGTCCAATAAAACAAACGTTTTATTGGAAATAATATCTGCCAGAATCGGCCATATCTGCCATATCTGCCAGAATGGACGTTGCTTGGAAGGACCAAATAGTGTGTAGAAATTCACACTGTGAACTTTTTTCCAAGAAGCAACATAGGAACTTAATAGAAAACCAGAAAAACACACAGCCTCATTGAAAGAAGTGACAGGCTGCAGCCCACACTGTGAGACAGGTGACAAACTGTAAGTCCCAGAGAGTAAGAGGGGGAGAGACTGCCTCCAGGATACACATTCTGACCAGGAAACCTGAAAATCTAGGTCATAAGGCAAGGCCTTAACTCTACCTAGGGTTGAAACTGATTTAAGGAGCAGTGAGAAATATAAAAGTAGAAGCAGTGGTGGGAAATGCCTTTTGGGCATTCGCAGTCTCCAGCGTGAGCCAAGGAAAGCCATTTCCAATTATATCTCACAGAGGACCTTGGGGAAATCAGCCAACTAGCTCAGAAAATGGTCACAGTTTGAAAGAAGTTCCCAACTGAATTTCACAATATAATATCAAGTGGGGATGAACTCTCTTGGCTAGAACCTGAGGGGTGAGCAGGAAGTGCACTGCATCCAGGGGCATGGGGGCAGCTGCTGTCTCCACAGAGAAAGCTCATGGCCTGGGGTAAGTTTGAGTTCTGAGCACAAGCTGCCTGGAACTTAGCCCAGTGCTGCTAGCGGAGCACTGTGAGAGCAAGATCTGCCTTGCCAACTGTGTGGGATCTGGGTGAGGCTTACTGCCGCTTATTACTCCCCACTTCCTGTGCAAACTTTTCTGTGCAGCAGAGACAGTTACACTCCCCTCTGGAACACCAAAACAGCAGCCTGAGAATTGCACACCCAACCCCACAAGGTCCATGGCTTGCCCCACACATGGTGAGTCAGAGCTCAGACCTGCTTGACCCAGCCCCTACCTAGCTGTCTGTGCCCCTCCACCTGTCCTTGGAGCTCAGCATGAAGGACAGAAAGTTTTGGGAGTTTTATGGTCCTGTCAATCATCTGAAAAACCAAAATACTTTCCCTGGGCAACATAGGGAAAGCTCAGATTCCATTGCTACTGCTGTAGCTGGTGCTGTTTTACAAGCGTCACACCGTGGCCAGGGGCCAACCAACACAGTTCATTACAGCATCTTTAGGTAGAATAACACTGTTCCTGGCAAGAAGAAAACCAGTGTGTTACCTTAGCTAAATTATTGTCTGCAACACCCTAGCTAACAAGGAGGTCCTGAGTCTGTCCACATAACCAGTTCACTATTATTATAACCAGCATTTAAGAAATCTAACACACTAAGGCTATCTATAAGCTAGGAATCTCACAAAGTCTATGTCACTCCCCTCCCACCCCCATCACAGCTAGTGCTGGTACCCACTGCTGGGAGACTTGAGGACAGATCACATCACTGCCTGCCTTGCAGACATTCTCCAGCACCAGCCTGGATTGTGGCAGCCCCACAGGGTGGCTCAGCTCAGAAGAGCAATAGCAATCATGGTAATCTGGCTCTCTGGAACTCCTACTCCTAGGGAAGGGGGAGAGCTCCACCTCAATGGAATACCCTATAGGACAAAAGAATCCAGATGGCAGACATTGAGTTCCAGATTTTTCCACTGATGGGAAGTTTATTTCAGGAGAGATACAATTACAATGCTGGGCTCAGCAGAGAAAGTCTGAAGCTCTACCCCAACCGTCATGCAGCCTTGGTGCTTATGAAGGGTTTTGGGTTTTGGAGAAGGGGTCTACATTCCCCCTTTGTCCACCACTGCAGACATGGCTTGGGCTTCTTCATGGGATCTTGGCATAGGTGCACCTACATACAGCCTTTCTAGAACCTTTCAGGTTGACTGCATCCCTATAAGAGGAGCACACCACAGGTTCAGGTTTGCATGAGAGGTGGACACACAATTCCTCTCTGCTGGGAACATCAACATTCCTACAGAAGAAGAGAGGTGCCTGTTTGATCTGGATAGCCAACTGGGACAGGAGTGAGTCTTGGATGTAGATAGCTCTTCTGCTGACCTGACAGGGGAGCTAAGGTGGATCTCATTCTTCCCCCTGAAAAGACCTCAGTGTGTCTAATTGGGAGCTCCTGTAGCTACCTTCATCAAGGCTGGGACCTCTGCCCATCATTGGGTATTGCATTTACCCACTTGCTTTAGCTACAACAGGTTCTTACCCAGGGATACCTCTCTTACTGGCCTGAAGCCTGAACCACAAACTCAGTAAAGAAAATACTGGGGAAAAACTGAATAAATAAAAAAGCATACACCACAAGGGAATGGGATAAGCTTCAAGAGACCTCTGTCATTCCATCCCCATAAGAGACAGTGAATTTGCCCACACAACAAGTACATAGCAACTACAGCCATTATCTGATGAAGCCATCATACAGAGACTCTCCATAACCAAGAAACTCACAGAGTCTTCACCCCTAAAAGCACCAGGAATCAAATTAGGCTGTAACAAAGTATAAATATTAAAGTCACATCCTTAAGGGGAAAAAAAGAAATTAAACCAAACCCAGTCAAATCAAAAATAAATTCAAGAACAATTAGAATAAATAGTCAATGCAAATGAGAAGGAACCAGAAAAGTAATTTTGATAATATGAAAAAATATGGTTCTATAACACCCCTGAAAGATCACACTAGACTCCCAGCAATGACTCCAAACCAAACTGAAATCTTTGAAACAACAAATGAAGAATTTAGAATGTTGATTAAGCTATTCAAGCAGATACCAGAAAAAGGTGAAAACCAACATAAATAAATTTCAAAACCAACTCAGGATATGAATTAAAAATTTTTCTAGAGAGGAAGATATAAAGAAAAGCCAGCAGAACTTCTGAAAATGAAAGACACACTTAGGGAAATACAAAATGCAGTGGAAAGTTTCAACAATATACTAAACAAGTAAATAAAATAATTTCAGAGTTTAGAGACAAGGCTTTCAAATAAACTGATTCAAAGATAAAGGATAAAGCATCAAAGAGATGAACAAAATCTCCAAGAAATAAGGAATATGTAAAATGGCCAAATCTATGAATACTTGGTATTCCTGAGGGAGAAGAGAAGGCTGAAACTTTGGAAAACTTGTTTGAGGGAATAGCAGAGGAAAACTTCCCTGGCCTTACTAGAGATTTACATACCTAAATACAAGAAGCTCAAAGAACTCTTGGGAAATTCATGGCAAAAAGATATTCGTAAGTCACACAGTCATCAGCCCATGTAAAGTCAACATGAAGAAAAGAATTCTAAGAGACAAAAGCATCAGGTAACTTATAAAGAAAAATCTGTCATACTAACAGCAGACTCCTCAGTAAAACATTACAAGCTAGAAGGGATTGGGGTCCTATCTCTAACCTCCTTACACAGAGTAACTGTCAGCCAAAAATTTTGTATCTAGCAAAACTAAGTCTTATAAATGAAGGGGAAAAAAAGTCATTTTTAGACAAATCCTGAGGGAATTTGCCACTACCAAACCAACAATACAAGAAATGCTAAAAAGAGTTATGATTCTTGAAACAAAAGCTTGATATGCACCCAAATAGCACCTCTTGAAAGCTTGAAACTCACAGGGCCTATATAATAATAACGCAATGAAAGAAAAAGGGTACCTAAGTAACAACTAACATGGTGAATAAAGCATTATCTCACATCTCAGTATTAACAATTAATATAAATGGCCTAAATGTTCCACTTAAAAGATATGGATAAAAAAGATATGGATAAAAAAGAATGGATAAAAGACTCATAAACCAAGTATCTTCTGTCTTCAAGAGATTCACCTAACTTGTAAGTATTCATATAAAGTCAAGGGAAAGGCGTGGAAAAAGATATTCCACACAAATAGAAACCAAAAGTGAACAGCAGTAGCTATTCTTATATCAGACAAAACAGACTTTAAAGCAACAATAGTAAAAAAGAAAAAGGTCACTACATAATGAAAAAAAGATCAATCCAACAAGAAGATATTGCAATTCTAATATATATGCACCTAGCACTGGAGCTACCAGATTCATAAAACAGTCACTACTAGACCTAGAATTGAGATAGACAAGAATACAGTAATAATGGGGAATGTCAGTACTTCACTGACAGCAATAGACTGATTATTGAGACATAAAGTCAAGAAAGAAGAAATTGACTTACATTGTATTCTAGAACAAACAAGCTTAACAGATACTTACAGAATATTCTACCCAACAACTGCAGAATATATTTCTTCTCATCATTACATGGAATATGCTCCAAGACAGACCATATGACAGGCCACAAAAAAGTCTCAATAAATTTAAGATAATCAAAATACTATCAAATATCTTCTCAGACCACAATGGAATAAAATTATAAATCAACTCCCGAAGGAATTCTCAAAACTATATTAATGCATGGAAATTAACTAATCTGCTTCTAAATAATTTTTGGGTTAACAAATCAAGATGGAAATTTAAAAAAATATTTGATATAAATGATAATAGTGAAACAAATTATTGAAATTTCTGGGATATAGCAAAAGCAGTGTGAAAAGAACGTTTACAGTATTTAATGACTACATCAAAAAGTTAAAGAGCACAAATTGACAACCTAATGTCACATCTCAAGAACTAGAGAAACCAGGACAAACTAAAACCAAAGCCAGCGAAGAAAGAAAATAACAAAGATCAGGGCAGAATGAAATGAAATTAAAACCAAAAACATTACAAAAGATAAATGAAACAAAAAGCTGAGCTTTTGAAAAGATGAACAAAATGGATAGATCATTAGTGATATTAACCAAGAAAAAAGATCCAAATAAGCTCAATTATAATTGAACCTGGAGGCATTACAACTGATACAACAGAAATACGAAAGATTATTTGAGACTGCTACACACAACTTTATGTGTACAAACTAGAATATATAGAGGAAATGGATAAATTCCTGGAAACAAACAACCCTCCTAGATTAAATTGGAAAGAAATAGAAACCATGAATAGATCAGTAACAGCAGCAAGATTGAATCAGTCATCAAAAAATTGCCAGCGAAAATAAAAAAGCCGAGGACCAGATAGATTCACATCTGAATTCTACCAGACAGTCAAAGACTTAGTACCAATCCTACTGAAACTATTCCTAAAGATTGAGAAAGAGGGACTCTTTTTTAAAGGATTCTATGAAGCCTGTATTAACCTAATATCAAAAAAGGAAAGTACCTTAAAAGAGTACAGATTAATATTCCTGATGAGCATACATTAAAAAATCCCCAACAAAATACTAGCTAACAAAATCCAATAGTACATCAAAAAGATAATACATTATGATGAAGTGCCTTTTATCCCAGGGATGTAGGAATGGTTTAACATATACAAGTCAATAAATGTGATATATTGAATAACAGAATTAAAAACTATATGATCATGTCAATAGATACAGAAAAAGCATTCAATAAAATCCAGTATCCTTTTATGATAAAAACCTTCAATAAACAAGGCATAGAAGGGACTTACCTCAAAATAATAAAAGCCATATATGACACACCCACAGCTGACATTATACTGAGTGGGGAAATGTTGAAAGCTGGGAAAAGTTAAAAACTAGAATAAGCCAAGGACGCCCACTTTCAGCACTTCTATTCAATATAGTACTTGAATTCCTAGTCAGAGCAATCAGGGAAGAGAGAGAAGTAAAGGGCATTCAAGTTGGAAGGAAGGAAGTCGAACTAGAGCTGTTTGCCAATAATATAATCATATACCTAGAAAACCCTAAAAACTCATCCAAATGACTCATTGATCTGATAAACAAAATCAATAAGGTCTCAGGTACAAAATTAATGTACACAAATCAGTAGCACTGCTATACATCAACAATGACCAAATGCAGAATCAGATAAAGAACTTAATCCCCTTTACAATAGGTACAAAAAGAAAAAAATTCCCTAAGAATATACTTAAACAAGGAGGTGAAAGATCTCTCCAAGGAAACATACAAAACACTGCTGAATCAAATAAAAAATGACACAAAGTAAAGGTGACACATCCCATGCTCATGGATGGGAAGATCTTGTATTGTGAAAATGACCATATTGCGTAAAGCAACCTACAGATTCAATGTAATTCCATCAATATACCATCATCATTTTTCACAGAACTATAAAAGCAATTCTAAAATTCACATGAAACCAACAAAGAGCCCACATAACAAAATACTGAGTGAAAAAGCAATACTGAATGAAAATAATAAATCTGGGGGTATCACATAACTGGGCTTCAAATTATACTGCAAGGCTGTAGTTACCAAAAATGCATGGCACTGGTATAAAAGTAGGCACATAAACCAATGGAACAGAATAGAGAACCCAGAAATAAAGCCAAATACTTAAGTGCCAACTGATTTTCGACAGAGCAAACAAAATCAGAGTGGGGAAAGGACACCCTAGTCAACAAATGGTACTGGGAAAACTGGCAAGCCAAATGTAGAAGAATGAAACTGGATCCTTATCTCTCACCTTACACAAAAATCAACTCAAGTCGGATCAAGAACTTAAATCCAAGACCTGAAACCATAAGCATTCTAAAAATAACATTGAAAAAATTTTTCTGGAAATTGGCTTCAGCAAAGAATTTATGACTAAGACTCCAAAAGTAAAAGCAACAAAACAACAAATAAATAAAATATACCTAATTAAACTAATAACCTTATGCACAGCAAAATAAATAATCAGCAGAGTAAACAGACAATCCACAGAGTGGGAGAAAATATTTGCATCCAACAAACGACTAGTATCCAAAATCCACAAGAAACTCAAACAAATCAGGAAGGAAAAAAAAAATCCCATAAAAAAAGTGGACAAAAGATATGAATAGATATTTCTCAGAAAAATATATACAAATAGCCAACAAACGTATTTAAAAAAGCTCAACTTCACTAATCATCAGCGAAATGCAAATTAAAACCACAGTGAGATATTATCTTACTTTTGCAAAAATGGCCATAATTAAAAATTCAACAAACAATAGATGTTGGCTTGGATGTGATGAAAAGGGAACACTTTTTCACTGCTGGTAGGAATGTAAATTACTACAACCTTTATGGAAAACAGTATGGAGATTTCTTAAAGAACTAAAAGTTGCTCTACCATTTGATCCAGCATCCCCACTACTGGATATCTACCCAAACAAATATAGGTTATTACATGGAAAGACACATGCACATTCATGTTTGTAGCAGCACAGTTCACAATTGCAAAGGTGTGGAACCAACCTAAGTGTCTATTAACCAAAGAGTAGATAAAGAAAATGAAGTATATATATACCATGGAACTCTACTCAGCCGTAAAGATAAGCAAAATAATATATTTTGCAGCAACTTGGATGGAGATAGAGGACATTAGTCTAAGTGAAGTAACTTAGGAACATAAAACCAAAAATCTTATGTTCTCACTTCTAAGTGGGAACTAAGCTATGAGGACGCAAAGACATGCAGAGTGATATAGTGGACTCTGGGGACTCAGGAGGGGAGGGTGGATGGGGGTGAGGGATAAAAGAACACGAATTGGGAACAGGGTACACTGCTCAGGTAATGGGTGCACTAAAATTTCAGAATTCACCACTATACAATTTGTTTATGTAACCAAAAACCACTTGTACTTTAAAAACTATCGAAATAAAAAGGAAAAATGAAAAATATATAAAAATGTTAATCTCTCTTTTTTTATCCTAAATATGTCAGTGTATTTTTTTTTTTTAGAAAAAAGACCCTCTCTTACATAAACCCAGTACAGTTATAAAAACCTAGAAGACTTGGGTATAATTCTACTATCTAACCCACAGTCTACATTTATATTTCACCGGTTGTCCCAACGATGTCCTAATTTATAGCTATATTTGTTATCCCAGTCCAGAATCCAATCTAGATTTACAAGTTTAATTTCTGTATGATATATCTTAGGGTCTCCTCTTTTTTGGAGTAGTTCTTCAGCCATATTTTATGTTTCATGACCAAGATATTTTATTTTTTAATGAATCTTATTGGGTATATTTAAGGTACAAATGATGTTACATGATACATATAAATAGTAAAAAGGTTACTATAGTAAAGCAAATCCACAGATTCATCAGCTCATAGTACACTTTTTTGATTTGTTTTTGAAGTAAAAGCAGCTAAAATCTAATCATTTAGCATAAATCCCAAATACATTACAGTACAGGTTTATTACCTACATCCCTCAGAGAATACATTAGATCTCTAGACTTCTTCATCCTACATATATGCTACTTCGTATCCTCTGACATACATATCTCCATACCTGCCACCTGACCCCACTCCTGATGATCAGTTTTATTCTCTATCACTGTACATTAATTTTTTAGAGTCTACATTTACATAGACCAGTGATACAGATTAGAGAACTCAGAAATAAATCCAAACACATACAGTCAACTCAGTTTTGATAAGAGCACCAAGAGAACACAATGGGGAAACAAAAATCTCTTCAATAAATGGTACTTGGAAAACTGGAGTTTTCACATGCAAATGAATGAAATTGCACCCTTATCTAATGATATACACAGAAATCTACTGAAAATGAATAAAAGACCTAAATATATGACAAGAAACAACACAACCCCTAGAAGAGAACATAGAGGAGAATGACTGGACATTAGCCATCGCAACAATTTATTGAATATTACACCAAAGCTCTGGCCACGAAAGCAAAAATTAATAAATGAGACTATGTCAATCTAAAAAGCTTCTGCATAGCAAAGGAAACAGTCAACGAAATAAAATGGGCCTGGTGCAGTGGCTCATGCCTGTAATCCCAGCACTTTGGGAGGCCGAGGTGGGCAGATCTTGAGATCAGGAGTTCAAGATCAGCTTGGTCAACATGGTGAAACACCATCTCTACTAAAAATACAAGAATTAGTCAGGTGTGGTGGCACCCACCTGTAATCCCTGGTACTCAGGAGGCTGAGGCAGGAAAATTGCTTGAACCCAGGAGGTGGAGGTTGCAGTGAGTCAAGATCATGCCACTGCACTCCAGCCTGGGTGAGAGAGCAAGACTCCATCTCAAAAAAAAAAAAAAAAAAAAAAAAAAAAAGAAAGAAATGACACCCTACAGGTTGGGAAAAGGATGTTTGTGAACCTACATATGAGGAGTTAATATCCAAAATTTATAAATAACTCATACAATTCAATGGTGGAAAAACAAACAAACTGATTTTTTAAATGGGCAAAAAAACTGAATAGATATGTATCCAGAGAAGACATAAACATGCACAATAGGTATGTGATAAGGTGCTCAGCATCATTAGTCATCACAGAAATGCAAATTGAAACTCTTATGAGATACCACTTCATGCCCATTAGGATGGCTATAATTAAAAAGTCAAAAATTTATAAAAATGTTGGTGAGGATGGTGGAGAAAAGGAAACTCTTTTACACTGTTAGTGTAAATATAGATTGGTACAGCCATCATAGACAATAGTATGGGGGTTTCTGAAGAAATTAAAAATAGAAGTACCATATGACCCAAGAACCTGTCTTCTGAGAAAATACTCAAATTAAATAACCACTACCTAAAGATATCTACACTCTCAATGTCCATTTCAACATTATTCACAATAGCCAATTTATGGAAGCAAACTAAGTGTCTGCTGACCGACAAGTGAATAAACTGTGGCATATATATATACACATATATGTATGTACATACAGTGAAATATTCAGCCCTGTAAAAGAAGATCTTGTCACATATCACAACATGGATGAGCCTGGAGGAAATTGTGCTAAGTGAAATCAGCATATAGAGAACATATAAGCCACAGAAAGAAAAATACTGCATCATATTACTTATATGTGGATCTAAACATTTCAATGTTAATCTCATCTAAATAAACAACCTCACAGAAACATCCAGAAGTATGTTTAAACAAACATCTGGGCATCATAGCTCAGCCTAGTAAACACACAAAAGTAACTATCACACATAGGTATTAAGTTTGGCTAACAAATTATGGCTCTTTCATCCCCTGGCAATTGGACCAGAAATATATGTGACTGACGTAGAGCCAAGGAGAGTCTTTCTTAGGAACGAATAAGGGACCAAGATTTTTTCTGCCTCTCTCCTTTTGGGTCTATAGGCTGAGATCTTCTGAAATCTAGGATATATTTTTCCCACCATCCACAGAATAAAGTCAGCATAGCATGTTCTAGTTCTATAGAGATATAAAGAGGGGGATTTCTGACAATATTGAATAATTATGTAGATACAGGTATATCAAAAGGCACTAAAATGTTGAGGCTGTTTTTGACTGCAGCATAACCCAGGCCATCCTGACAAATATTTCATCAGCTAATAACCACTCCTTCCCCACACACACCATTTTGCAATGTATGCTTTATTAATTCTCTTTACTGTATAAGATATTGGAATTTCTGTTAAAGAACATTTTTTAAAATTATTTTTAATCTTTTGTACTTCAAATATCTATGATTCCTTGGCAGCACCCACACATTCTGTGTCCTCTTAAATATCATTGAGGAAAGTGTTGATTATATTATGACTGCTCTACAGAAACTCAAGTGCAACAGAACAGCAACCACTGCTACCTGCAGAGTTTGAGAATTAAAATATAATATACTGGCTGTGTCTGATGATTTAGAAAACAATAGGTCAGCATTTACCAGTCACTAAAAAATAAGACTTGCAAAGCACAGCATCATGCCAAAACCACCATCTAAAGGATTATTATAAGCAAACTGAAAAAGGCATATTATAGACTATTGATAACTATAACAACATTAGCTTCAGGAATAAAGATAAAACACCTTTTAATTACTAATTATTATTCTAATTTGTATTATTATATTTGATTCTCACATTAACCATGTTACATAGGTAAAGCAAGCTTTTGCTTTAAAGATATACTTTTCCCTGCATGTGAAACCACATTACTCCTGCCTACATCAGGCAAACAAGTCCATCCTTAGTGAGCAGTGGGGGTTTAAAGAACTCTTCACAACTGATGCTGCTGTTTCAAGTCAACCATTTGGTTACTCCTGCTCCATTTCTACCTCTATAATGGAACATTTATTTTGTACTTGTTACCAAGTCCCCTGCTTAATTCTGTTTTCTCATTTGTTTATGTCAAAAAAGTATAATGTAGAAACCCATCTGATGCAATAATATTGTTTTTTTTCCTTGCCTTAAGGGAGCAAACCCCACCCTCCATGCAGGTTCCTGTGCATCCAACTCTTGGTGACCGCAGCATGCTAATGTGTAGCATGCAATCTGGAGTCATAATGAAGCTGATTTGCTATTAAGCATGACAACACTTTGTACACCCATTTCTTCATCAGCAAAATTAGAGTAACTAGTATTTGCCTCACTTTGTTTGAAAGGAGATGATACTGTTTTTGTGCTTAGTATAAAGCTTGATATATAATAAGAACTCAGGAGATAACAATATCCCATTTCTGTCCTTTATCTATTAATCACACTATATTTTACTGTTCAGTATTGTTTGCGCTAATCATTTCATTTCTCCACACTAACCTGACCCAGTGGGTATTCTACATTTTAGCTGCTATAGACAATTCACCAACTTCAAATAGAAAGTTTATAGATAGTATAAATGAGAAGTTAGAAATGTGTTTCATAAACACACTCATCCACATAGGCTTATGTATATGAACTCATGTATATTTAAGTTGAATATAAATGGGTCCTCAATTTATCAGAATCTTGTAGTCAGAGAATTATTTCTTCTATATTGTCCAGTGGACTGAAATCTGCATGCTTCTTAAAATACAATACACAAGAAGTTAAAAATTAGTCTTAATGAAAGTGCATATACTGCAAGCCAAAAAGGTAAAATGTGCCACATGTTAAATAACAAAAAAACTCCTAAGAAATAATTTACTCTTTAAGAAACAATATAATTCCTATTACATATTCACTTCTAACTACAAAATTCAAATAACTGGTTATTTTAATTCATTTACATAAAATACTGAGCTGATTGAATAGAATATACACGGCATGCAGATTTTGCAGAAATTTTCTATGGTCAATTAAAATACATTAAAGGAAAATTGTTAAACTATTTAGTACATCTTTAAAACTGCTTTTAGAGCTA
This sequence comes from Homo sapiens, assembly GCF_000001405.40. NCBI lineage: Eukaryota > Metazoa > Chordata > Mammalia > Primates > Hominidae > Homo > Homo sapiens. The sequence continues at coordinate 73,055,861 of NC_000001.11, forward strand.
TCCTATAATGCCCTAGAGTTCATTCCATAGCAGGCTATTATAATCCCACATTTATAAAGCATTGTCAAGGAATGAGTTAATCCCTATAAATAATAAATAGAAGAAGTATTTCCAAAGAACTAAGCCATTATTTATAAATGTTTCTATTTTTGTATTTTATCAATCTTTTGGTGGAAATCTTTCTAACACTTCTGTTAAGGTTCCTGCTCTCAATATATATAATTTATCATATCCTTCCATGTACTTCTCTATAGTGCTATTTATCTTTTTTTAATTGTTGTACTTTAAGTTCTACAGTACACGTGCAAAACGTGCAGGTTTGTTACATATGTATACATGTGCCGTGTTGGTTTGCTGTACTTATTAACTCGTCATTTACATTAGGTATTTCTCCTAATGCTATCCCTCCCCCAGCTCCCCACCCCATGACAGGCCCCAGTGTATGATGTTCCCCGCCCTGTGTCCAAGTATTCTCATTGTTCAATTCCCACTTATGAGTGAGAACATGCGGTGTTTGGTTTTCTGTCCTTGTGATACTTTGCTCAGAATGATGATTTCCAGCTTCATCCATGTCCCTACAAAGGACATGAACTCATCCATTTTTATGGCTTCGTAGTATTCCATGGTGTATATGTGCCACATTTTCTTAATCCAGTCTATCATTGATGGGCATTTGGGTTGGTTCCAAGTCTTTGCTATTGTGAATAGTGCCACCATACACATATGTGTGCATGTGTCTTTATAGTAGCATGATTTATAATCCTTTGGGTATATACCCAGTAATGGGATTGCTGGGTCAAATGGTATTAGTGCTATTTATCTTTAAGTGAAAAGAGGATTCTAAACTATTTTGGCCTGCTTTACTTGTAGAAAATATATCTAATAAGTGCTGAACCTCCTAAAGTAGACTAGATAATGACTGTTGCATTAGTCTAGGTTTGCTGTTCCCACATTATTTGGTTCAAAGATAAATGTGATATGCAAATGTGTATGAAAAACTGAAACTGCAGTTCAATTAAACTCAGAGGTAAAGGACCCTGGTTTACGTTTTAATGTTTGAAAAAGGCAAGACAATATAACTTCCTTTTCCCTCATCTTCCTGGTAGCAGCTGGTATATTTCTTGCACTGGTCCTTGATCCTCCAGAAGATACTCTGTGACTCATGCCAGGAAGTCCACAAGTCCACCATTTACTACCCAATTGCTATGTTTGGTGACATCAGTAGCAGAGACATGCATGATGAAGTGAAGCAATAGAGTATAATATTCACTAGTAATCATAAGATAACTATGCTATGGCAAATTATTTGGGCCAGTAATTGGCCCAAATAATTTAAAACTTACCATTGTTATGTTAAGTAATAGGAGTTTTCAAGTGTTCAGTTGATACCTACCATTTACCCACAACAAAGGAAGGACATATAAATGTATAACTGAAAGTTCTTAAGCATCTTTCTTCAAAACGTGAAAACAAACTAAGGATCATATTTAGAAAGCAAGTACATTGAAGACAATAGATCATACATACAATGGAAATGGCATTATCTCCTCTGTTTGAACAGAAAATAAAATATGATAGAAAGTAAATGAAATGTGTAATAGTATAATTGTCATTAAAATGTTTTTGTGTCCCTATCTTTGGAGATTATATAAAGGTTCGTGCAGTTCCAATTGTGTTGATGTAAGGAAAGAGCAGTTGTCCTCGGTTTTGGGTGGGGGAGTCTCATTAATTTTGACATGGGTGTCACAGGAATTTTCTTTGAAGCTGGACCTCCAAAAATTCTTCCTGATGGTTACATTCAATATGTTGAACAGGCTAGGTTAACAAAATGGCATACTCAAAGCTCTTGAATATAACACAATTTCTAAATATATATGCAACCCCTATATAAGAAGATGTTATCACCAAGAACATTTCTTGGTGGCCCTGGAGAGTTCATCGATATTGCTGGGCAGGTATCTGCTGCAGTTATGTGATAGGCTGTATTAGTCTGTTTTCATGCTGCTATAAAGAACTGTCGGAAACTGAGTAATTTATGAAGAAAAAGTTTAACTGACTCACAGTTCCACAGTGCTGGGGAGGCCTCAGGAAACTTACAATCATGATGGAAGGGGAAGAAAACATGTCCCTCTTCATATGGCAGCAGGAAGAAGAATGAGTCCCCAGCAAAGAAGGAGGCTGTTAGAAAACCATCAGATCGTGTGAGAACTAATTCACTATCATGAGAACAAGATGGGGGAAACTGCCTCCGTGACCCAATTACCTCTACTTGGTCCCTGCCATGACATCTGGAAATTATGGGAACTACAATTCAAGATGATATTTGGATGGGGACACAGCAAAATCATACCTTTCCACCCCAGCCCTCCCAAATTGCAATTTCTCACAATCCGGAACACTGTCTTTCCAACAGTCTTCTAAAGTCTTAATTCATTCCAGCATTAACTATAAAGTCTAAATCCAAAGTCTCATCTGAGACAGGTCCCGTCTAGCTATGAGCCTATAAAATCAAAAGCAAGTTAGTTATTTCCAAGATACAATGCATTGTGGTTTCCCCCATCTTGTTCTTTTTCAGGCACTGGATAAAGGCACTGGGTAAATACACCCATTCCAAATGGGAAAAATTGGCCAAAACAAAGGGGCTATAGGCCTCATGTAAGTCTGAAATCCCATAAGGTAGTCATCGAACCTAAAAGTTCCAGAATAGTCTCTTTTGACTAAATGCACGGTGCAAGCTGTTGAAGAATCTCCTATTCTGGGGTCTGGAGCCTGGTGGTCCTCTTCTCATAGTTCCACTAGGCAGTGCGCCTCAATGGAAACTCTGTATGGGGGCTCTGACCCCATATTTCCCTTCTGCACTTCCCTAGGAGAGGTTCTCCCTGAGGGCTCTGTCTCTGCAGCAAATTTCTGCCTAGACATCCAGGCATTTCCATGCTCCTCTGAAATCTACGAAGAGGCTCCCAAACCTCAAATAATTGTCTTCTATTCATGCACAGGACCAATACCACGTGGAACCTGCCAAGGCTTGGGGCTTGTACCCTTTGAAGCAATGAACTAAGATGTTCCTTGGTCACTTTTAGCGTGGTTGGACCATCTGGGAGGTAGTCCCAAGTCTTCACACAGCAGGGAGGCCCTGAACTTAGCCAAGGAAACCATCTTTGCCTACTAAACTTCTGAGCCTGTGATGGGAGGAACAGCCATGAAAGTCTTCGACATGCTTTGGATAAGATTTCTCCATTGTCTTCATTATTAGCATTCACCTCCTCCTTTCTTAGGCAAATTTATGCATCCAGCATGAATTTCTCTGCAGAAAATGGGGTTTTCTTTTCTATCACATAATCAGGCTGCAAATTTTCCAAATTTATGCCTCTTCCTCTTGAATGCATTGCAACTTAGAAATTTATTCTCCCAGATACCCTAAATTATCTCTGTAAAGTTCAAAGTTCCATAGATCTCTATGGCAGGGACAAAAATCCACCATGCTCTTGCTAAAGCACAGCATGAGTCACCTTTGCTTCAGTTCCCAACAAATTTCTCATCTCTATCTGAGCCCACCTCAATTTGGACTTCATTGTCCATATCACTATCAGAATTTTGATCAAAACCACTCAACAAGTCTCTAGGAAGTTCCAAATTTTCCCGCATTTTCCTGTCTTCTTCTGAGTCCTCTAAACTGCTTCAACCTCTGACTGTCACCCAGTACCAAAGTTGCTTCCACATTTTCAGGTATCCTTATAGCAGCACCCCACTCTACCAGTATCAATTTACTGTGTTAGTCCATTCTTGTGCTGGTATAACTAACTGCCTGAGACTGGGTAATTTATAAAGAAAGAAGCTTTAATTGACTCACAGTTCAGTATGGCTGGAGAGGCCTCAGGAAACTTACAATCATGGCGGGAGGGGAAGCAAACGCATCCTTCTTCGCATGGCAGCAGGAAGGAGAATTACTGCCCAGTAAATGGGGAAGCTGCTTAACAAAACCGTCAGATGTCGGTAGAACTAACTCACTATCATGAGAACAGAATGGAGGAAACCACCCCCATGATTCAATTATCTCCACCTGGTCCCTCCAATGGCATGTGGGGATTATGGGAACTATAATTCAAGATGAGATTTCGGTGGGGACACAGCCAAACCATACCATAGGCTGAGCTTAAAATCCACAAAATTTTCCTGTTAGGTAATCTTTGGGTGATTACCTCTACTACATCCCTTTTATTGTTAATTATATTAGTCAAAGTGGGTAGGCCATGGTACCCATGATATCCAGATGTTAGTCACACACCAATCTAGATATTGATGTGAAGATCTTTTTGTTTTGTTTTACATTTGATTAAAATTTAAATCAATAGGTTTTGACTAAAGTAGATTACACTCTATAATGTGAGTGGGCCTCTTTAAATCAATTTAAGACATTAAAAAATGATTTATGTCCACTGAGGAAGAAGCAATTCTGCCTCCAGATTGACTTATGACTTCAGCCTCAGTATCTGTCTATCTATGTATCTGTCTATGTATCTATCTATCTATCATCTATCTATCTATCCATCTATCTCCTATTAATTTTATTTCTATGGAGAACTTTAATATAATCCCATACTTAGGATATCTATAGAAAAACTCACATATATTATGAGGAAAATTCAAAGCATTAGGAAGTGATAGTCTGAATATCCAGTGCTAATTAATGTTTGGTTAAATGTCAGTGGTCTAAACTGGTGATTAGTTAACATTTTCAACAAATAGAGTATGGCCTTGAATTAGTGCATTCCTGTCTCTGAAGACATAATAATTGCAAGTCACTCCTCTTCTAATTTGGTCAGAGTTATGAAACATTCACATGAGCATAAATTTGCCAGAACTAGGATCCTCTTGGTGTGGTCTGCTACTAAATATTGTATTTAAAAATAGATTATATATCAGTGATATAGTTTTATTGTGTCCCAACTGAAATATCATATTGAATTGTAGTTCCCATAATCCCCCCATGTCGTGGGAGGGACCTGGTGAGAGGTAATTGAATCGTGGGGGCAGTTACCTCCATGCTGTTCTTGGGATAGTGAGTTCTCACAAGATCTGATGGTTTTATTAAGGGGCTCTTCCCCCTTTTGCTGGTCACTTTTCCTGGCTGCTGCCATGTGTAGAAAAATGAGTTTGCTTCCCCTTCTGCCATGATTGTAAGTTTCCTGAGGCCTCTCCAGCCATACTGAACTGTGAGTCAATTAAAGCTTCTTTCTTTATAAATTACCCAGTCTCAGGCAGTTAGTTATACCAGCACAAGAATGGACTAACACAGTAAATTGATACTGGTAGAGTGGGGTGCTGCTATAAGGATACCTGAAAATGTGGAAGCAACTTTGGTACTGGGTGACAGTCAGAGGTTGAAGCAGTTTAGAGGACTCAGAAGAAGACAGGAAAATGTGGGAAAATTTGGAACTTCCTAGAGACTTGTTGAGTGGTTTTGACCAAAATTCTGATAGTGATATGGACAATGAAGGCCAAATTGAGGTGGGCTCAGATAGAGATGAGAAATTTGTTGGGAACTGAAGCAAAGGTGACTCATGCTGTGCTTTAGCAAGAGCATGGTGGATTTTTGTCCCTGCCATAGAGATCTATGGAACTTTGAACTTGAGAGTGATTATTTAGGGTATCTAGTGGAAGAAATTTCTAAGCAGCAAAGTGTTCAAAATGTGACTTGGGCACTCTTAAAAGCATTCAGCTTTATTCATTCACAAAGATGTGGTTTGGAATTGGAACTTATGTTTAAAAGGAAAACAGAGCATAAAAGTTCAGAAAATTTGTAGGCTGAAGATGCAATAGAAAAGAAAATCCCATTTTCTGAAGAGGAATTCAAACTGGCTCCAGAAATTTGCATGAGTAATGAAGAGCCAAATGTTAATCACCAAGACAATGGGGAACATGTCTCCAGGACATGTCAGAAGTCTTCACAGCAGCCCTCTTATCACAGGCCTTGAGGCCTAGGAGGAAAAAATGGTTTTGTGGGCCTGGCCCAGGGCATTACTGCTTTGTGAAGTCTGGAGAAGTGGCGAAAAGGGGTCAACATACAGTTTAGGCCATTGTTTCAGAGGGTGCAAGCCCCAAGCCTTGGTGGCTTACACATAGTGTTGGGCCTGTGGGTGCACAGATGTCAAGAATTGAGGCTGGGGAACCTCTGCCTAGATTTCAGAGGATGTATAGGAATGTCTAGACGTCCAGGCAGAAGTTCAGAAGTTTGCTGCAGGGGCGGAGTCCTCATGAAGAACCTCTGCTAGGGTAGTGCAAAAGGGCAATGTTGGGTTGGAGCCCGCACACAGAGTCCCCACTAGGGCACTGTCTACTGCAGCTGTGAGAAGAGGGCCACCATTCTCCAGACATTGGAATGGTAGATCCCAAAACAGCTTGCACCATGTGCCTGGAAATGCCACAGAAACTCATTGCCAGCCTGTGAAAGCAGCTGGGAAGGGGTATATACCCTGCAAAGCCACGGGGATGGAGCTGCCCAAGGCCATAAGGAGCCCACCTCTTGCATCAGTGTGACCTGGATTTGAACTATTGAGCCAAAGATGATCATTTTGAAACTTCCAAGTTTAATGACTGCCCTGTTGGATTTCAGACTTGAATGAGGCCTGTGGCCCCTTTGTTTTGGCCCATTTCTCCCATTGTGAAAGGATGTATATACTCAATGCCTGTACTTATTGTGTCTAGTAAGTACCTAATGTGCTTTTGATTTTACAGGTTTTTAGGTGGAAGGGACTTGCCTTGTCTCAGGTGAGACTTTGGACTTGGACTTTGGGTTAATGCTGGAATTTGTTTAAACTTTGGGGGACTGTTGGAAGGGCATAATTGTGTTTTGAAATGTAAAGACATTATATTTTGTTGGGGCCCGGGGCAGAATGATATGGTTTTGCTGTCTCCCCGCCAAAATCTCATCTTGAATTGTAGTTCTCATAATCCCCACAGGTCATGGGAGGGATTGAATTGGTGGGAGGTAATTGAATTATGCAGGCGGTTACCTCCATGCCATTCTCATGATAGTGAGTGAGTTCTCACAAGATCTGATGGTTTCATATGGGGCTTTTCCCTCTTTGTTCAGCACTTCTTGCTGCTGCCCTGTGAAGATGGGCATGTTTGCTTTCCCTTCCCCCATGATTGTGAGTTTCCTGAGCCCTCCCCAGCCATGCCGAACTGTGAGTCAATTAAACATCTTTCCTTTATAAATTACCCAGTCTCGGGTATGTCCTTATTAGCAGAGTGAGAAAGGACTAATACAAGCAGTATTGTATTACATTGGCATGCTCAAGGTAGGCCAAGATCTTAGCATGAAAATAAATAAAATCTTTGCCTTTTATAATACTCTAATTTTTGTGGCATTCAGTAATTTTTGTGATATATAATAATGAACAAATTGTTCTTTTCAAAAAAAGTCAATTATTGAGGTGATTAGAGCAGAAATATAGAAATTGAACTTGTGGGTTTATCTCGGAAATCCTCACTCTGTTATGTTTAATTGGCCTAAAGTGAGAAGACAGAAAATGGTTCAGGAATTCTGCCTTGGGGCTCTCAGATACCTGTCTTTTATAGGTTGTCATAGAGGTGGTAAAATGTCGGGATCAAGGACTACTGAAACACAGTCAGGATAGAATACTAGAATATCATTTAGAGAACCATTCCTTTTTCATGAAAATCTTTAAACAAATAAAACATGGAGGGTGCTTTCTAGAACCCTTCTGCCGGTTCAGAGCACTTAAATTGTCCAAAGAATAACTTAAATAAGAAAAAAATCTTTCTATTATATCTCAATAACCCCAAAATAAATTAGATTATGAAATATGAGACATAGTTTTACAGCGCATTTGACAGAGGACTTCAGGGATCGTTCAGGTTAGGTGAAAGACTCATTGGTGATTTCATTAAGGTAGAGGTCCAGGCAGAGGCCAGGTATTTTCTTCTTCCTTTATGACAACCATCTATTCCTACCCAAATCTGATGATACCCTGCCCTAAGATAGTACCATGTAGATTTCTTAGTCTTGGACTCAGAGAAAATATGAATTGATTAATGGGAATACAGTCCCATTAAACAGATCAATTGCAAAGTTATATTTGAAGTGCTGATAAATGGAGTTGATGGTGATAGTGACAGTGTTCACTGCAGTGCTCTAGTTAGAAGGTGTGTGGTGTCTGTGACTAGAAATTGATCTTCCAAAATATACCTTAGATGCAAGAAATTGTGTGCATTATATAATAAAGTATATTTACTGGTGACCCCAAAAGGAATTTGATGGATATGTAATACATTTTATTCACATTTAAACAACAACAATCTGTATCTCATCTTTTAAGAAAAAAAATTAAGAAAAATAATCCTTGAGAATATAATTTGATTTTTCCTAAATGTCTAAACCATGTCTGAATGACCATTAAAATTACAGAATCACACTATATACCATACAGTCTATCATATTACTTTACATACACACATACACAATAACATATGCAACTTGTAGTGTGTATATTTTTTTAAAAAAAGTTAAATATGCTTATTTGATCAGTTCTCATTTATATTGTCCATCAACATTGAAGTGAAAGTAAGTTATTTGGTTTATAAGGAAGCCTTTTTAAAATTACATACTACAAAACTTACTGTAGTTTTTCTATTGTTTTGTTTTTAGATAAGTATGACCAAAGAGAAATAGGAGAAGTGTACACTTCTGAGCTGACATTGACTTTAATTCTGAATTTAAGCTAATGGGATCTGAAGTTTCTTATTTATCCAAATATTCCATGGCTTTCTATATTTCTTTACTATTCTAACTGTGTTATCATTTGACCCTATGTGATTGTACCACTTAGTATGAGTGTGTCAGTAATCAAAGACTGGGTTGCAGGTAACTCACTGCAATTTCTGAGTTAGCACATAGAAATCTGTTTTTTGGATAAAGCTACTGAATCAAGTAGTTCTATATAAATATCATAAATAAATGAATTCATCTTTCCAATTGACCTAGAAATGTACTACAATATTATATACCACGTATCTTACTATATCCTTTTTCCATTTCTTACTCCCATTCTGTTTGATAATAATAATAATAAAGTATCATTTTTTTACCTGGAGAGAAATCATGCTTTCCCTCGAACCCCACCCCAAAGTATCTAATTCTTGTTAAGGACATATAGTGAAAACACTTGTGATACTAAAGTGAGACTACAATTTGTCATTTCGTCAGCTTAAAGGAAGAAATTGGTTTTAAGATAAAGCTCAAGAAAACCGCAAATAGGCAGATTTCCAAATTTTTTACATAGAACATAAGGTTGATGGTCTATCTCCAAAATGCATTTATTTTCTGTACTTTATAAGAAATTTTGAATGTGGATAATTTTATAGGTCTTAGTCTGAGCTTAAATAGTAATAGTTATTATTATTATTGTTATTACTGGGCATGAGAAAAAGGGACTGATGGATTCTCTTTTTCAAATCTGATTTTCAGTCTCTCAATTTTGCGAGCAGGGAGAGAAAATAAGCTCTATATTTTAACTGTCAAGGCAATGGCTTAAATATAATTTTTGGTTGGGTGACTCAAGAGTGGATTAGTAACAAAGCTTCTGCTTTTTGGCATTTGCTCTTCAAAGTCCTGAATAAGAAGGAATGATGCCTTGTTTCACTATGTGCATTTTTAAAAATGCAGAAAGAACAATCTGCATCTCATCTCTTTATCGGGATTCTAAGCAATTCTGCAGTCCTCCTCTGTTTAAATCTGCACAGACAACACGGCTGTAGATGTTTGCAGTGGAGGGCTTTTGCTTTCACCAGCATTTTCTTGACCCCAGGGGATTCCCAGTTGGCTCTGGACAAAGGCAACAGAGGCTTTGTGTCATTCCAGGTGTCATGCAGCTAACCTCTAGAGAATGTGAGGCTTTTTATGTACTCTGCCTATTGCTTAACCGCCTTTCTCATGAGCAGATTTCTTTAGTGCACTCAGACACTTTGCAGAGCATGGCAATAAAATGCTTAAGTTAACATTATTAAGAAAATGTAAACACTGTTTTGATAGATGTCGTGAGTCGACTCGAAGTACAGAATCAGTTGCAGTGGAACAGCTGGCTACTTACTGATTTAAGAGGAGCCGAGAGGCTGAATGCAGTAGCTTTTATCTAATTCTTCCTTCAATAGAATCCGAAGATGTCCCTGGAGTATTGGTGCAGACATTTGCCCGGACAAAAGAAGGGATCTATTATGTGATTAATAGATAATTTAGAACTCAAATACAAGTTCTGCATCAATAAAATCTGTATTTATTTTAGCTGACTTTGATCCCAAGTCCTTCATCTAATTTCTTAATGGAAATAATTATTTACAAATACAATCATTTTCATGTGATGTTTTATTATAATGCTAATATCTAACTTCACACTTGGGTTATGAACATTTTCAAAGTTTATTCTCAAAAGACTGCTTTTATTTGTTAGACATTTATATTTTAATTCTTATAGATGAGCTTCCTTATTTTGGGGGGAATCTATTTTCAGTGGCTAATAAATTTCCCCCTGAAAGTTCATATCCTAGAGATGATTTATTTTTGAAATTTAAAAAAAATCCATTCATTGTTTTTTGAAAACCAGATGCTAAAATCAGTCATGGGTAAATGAAATGCTTAATTTCCTGAATAGCATGCACACTGGCACTATCTTGTTTTCTGATTAGAGCTCACTTTCTAGGGCCAATATCATGCTAGCAGATATTTGTCTTTCCGTCCTTCTCAAAACAGTTAACAGAAGGTAGGAAAGCTTATCAGTACTCTGTTTTCTGAAACTCAAACAATAAGCCTATATGTTCTACCCAAACATAAGTTATTTGTCAGAAACAGAAAGGAAGAAGCAAACCAGGACCCCAGAAGACTGATTAAAAGTTAACTTCTCTTCTCTCGGTTTTTCTAAATCTTTACTTTTTTTCCTTCTGTTCGTTATCTATTGTAATCTTCAGACAGTGCCCTCTATATGGGTAATTTTATTGGCTGATCCTATGAATCCTACTGGGCAGTTTGAGAATAGGAGGCTGTTGAGACCAATGAAATCCATCATGGGTCAAGATCTATTTTATTTTCGTTTAAGAAACTGTGATCATCAGGAAATAGAAGAAACCATCTTGACGGCCTCTCACTGATACATCTCTTTGGAGAGTTAGAAAGTCTGAAGACTGAGTGATGGCTCTTAAATCACAGCTTATTCCTGACAAAAGGCCCCTTAATGCACGTTAAGTAGCTGAAACTACTCAATGCTCATAAACATAAAACATGCTCTGCCCATAGCCAAAACCCACTCACCACAGCTGAAATAAATGAACTCATGATTACAGTGGTGAAGTATCTGATTTGGTCTGATGTTGCACTGTTTGATTAAGATTACTTTCCCAGGTATCACTAGTTAAGATAAATTTTTCTATTCATTACTTGATGAATTACAAACATTTCTATTTTTAGCATAAAAATATTGCTAAATTACTAAGGCTTTAGAAGAGCTGACATTATATTAGGTTATAAATACTTATAATGATGGAATATCTGTATAGAGACAGTTCTCAACTTACAATTATTGAAATGTTAATTTTTTGACATTATTATTGTTTTATTGGGGTATTAACAGAATTCTTGACTTAAAGTATTTTCGAATTATGACAGGCGTAACCACTTCATAAGGACCATCTGTAGTTGAAAAAAAATAGAAAGCAATGTTAGAATCATAGAAACCTAGAGTACAAAAAGAATGAAAGATTATAAACCTTGTATTACTCCTTATTCTGATGAAAGGACAGTTCAAGTATTTGCCTGGGTCACATAGCTTGTGCTATGGTTTGAACCGGTCCCATCCAAAATTCAGGTGTTGTCATTGTGATAGAATTAGCAGGTAGGGCATTTAAGAGATGATTAGTCCATGAGGGCTTCTCCCACATGAATGGAATTAAGGCCCTTGAAAAGCGGCATCATTATAGCTTTTGGTTAGCTTGCCATTCCACCTTCTACCATGTGAAGACACAGTTTTCCTCACCTCCAGAGGATATTGCAAGAAAGCAGCCCTCACCAGATAACCGAACTTGCTGACACCTTGATCTTGAACTTCTCAGCATCCGGAAATGTGAGAAAATAAATTTCTGTTCTTTATAAATTAGTCAGATTCAGAAATTCTGCTGCAGCAGCACAAACAGACAAAGAGAGCTTGTTAGTGGCAAAGGAGATATTAAACCTAGAATTCCTAGCTCTGTGACTCACTTTATGGATCTCTTTCCTAATGTCTAGTGTTAGCTAAGTGTTTAGATACCCAGAATAATAATAATATGACGATGACCATAATAATAATACTACCACCAACCAATAATAATAGGTCTGTAGAAAATTAGCCCTAAGTAGCTCTGTTTTCCAGGTACATTTTTCAGCCTAATTAATAATTATAAGAAAGAAGCTCATTTTTTGATATAACAGCTACTTTATAACAATGTGGTCTGTCATATAAATAAGACTAACTTGTTATGAGATCTTGGTCAAATCACAACTCCATTAAGCATGGCTAGTCATCTTTAAAAGCAGGGAATTTGGTCAGATATTTTTGGGAACACTTTGTTCCAGTTTTGAGGTTCTGTAATTCTGTGATCTGAACATTCTTATTCAGAAATGATATTCGTTAAAATTCTTAGTTTTTATTTAAGCAATTTGTGTCTCCTAGAGATATCTTTAAGTCAAATAGCAGATCTGTTAGGGGAACAACAACAAAAAAAACCCCAGAACAAATAATAACACCTTGCCAAAGACAATGGAAAAGTATAGAATATCTTTAAGCATCCTACTAACAGTTCTGTAGTTAACTTATGCTAACTCTATGGAGGGTTGTAGAATATAATCCTAATTAAAATTTAGGTTTGAGCCAAATTGCCTCTTACAAAACATTATAACATGGCCACATACATATTACATTTCTGGCAAATCAACACCACAAACATTGGGCAGGCTGGAAATAATCATTTGAGGCTTGTATTGGCATGTATTAAAGTTCATCCTTAATACACACAGTTAATACACTTTTATTCAAATATCCAAAATTTTCCATAGAGAAAACAAAATGTAACCCATTATTTTTTGTTATCTCATTACTACATTGGAAAAAGCCAAACCAGTTTTTTTCTTAGCATGAGTAAAAAACAAAGATTAACAATAAAAAACAAAACTTCTATTATCTCTATATATGTGTATATATAAAAGTTTTTTGTATATACGTATATATATTATATATAAAACCTGTTATTATAAAACATATCATATAACTATATGACTTTCATCCTCTCTCTCACTATTATGATAGATGGATAATTCAAAAGTCTGTTTCGAAACAATATGCAGAATGCAGGAAGTATACGTGTCCTAAATTTTTGACTAATTACTTTCAAGATATTTACTCATCCAACACAATTCAAGATGTGTCTTGAACAACTTGAACAACTATTAACATTAGTATAGTGGGATTCATGCATGAACTCCATACTGTAACTGCATAATATAAAATCAGTGCAATATAAGACCACTGAAATGGATATATTCACGTTAACCTAGAGAAAGAGTTTTTCCCCCTATTTCAGAGTCACTGATAGATTGCACAGATACAACAATACTTTTAGGTTTCAAAAATTTGTATAAAAATATCAGATCTTTTGAACCATATTATACAACTATGAAATAGGTGATAAACTCAAAATAACAGTTTGAAAACTAAATTAAAGGTTAAATGGATAAACAAACAGTCATCCTGATCCTATTGCAAGCCTGATTGGATCTTTAAGAGATGGCTATTTCTGTTGACCTTGTTGATGACCTTGTGAAACTTTCTTCTCCAGATGAAGGTGACAGTGCTCTGACTGATAGACAAAAACAGAACCATGCCATAAAAAAATAGGTTAAAAAATTATATGGAGGTGCTAGCAGTGCTCTATAACACCTTTTGGAATTAAAATTTCTACCAAATATGTATAAAAGACTCATTAAATAAAAGCTGAATTCAGACTTAGGAATCTCTGAAATGTCTTGTGTCATCTTATTCTCTTTGAATTTATATCACTGAAAGGAAAATACAAATAATTGCTTCAGATTCTTTCTAAATGTAGATCCACAGAAGTCAGTGGTTAAAGAATTTTGTAAAAACTGACAATATAATTTAAAAGATGCACTCTATGGAAGCAACAACATTCACAAATATACACCTTGTATTTTTTCTTTTCCTATGTATCCTTTGATACATGAGATGGGGAAGCTCAGAAAGTTTCAGACACTCCCTTTGGGTCATATAGCTGATGAAATTTAGACACCAAACCTCATTTTCTCTCTGTCTTTCTGGACTTCTGGACTTCTATTTTTCATTTTGCTTTATTATTACTTTTTTTTTTGTTCGCTTTAGTTAGCTAACTTATATTTTTAAATCCAGCTTGAAGAACTGGATAAAAAGTGAGATTCTGCTGGGGGGTGGGAGTATCATCTCTACGTAGAACTTGTTCCTGTCTTTTTCTGTGGGCTAAGTAGTGTTCATGAATATAATCTAGATATCTTCCTAAAAAAGAGATTCCCTCATTTTCTTCTTTCTGTTCCAGTTGCTTAAATATATATTTGGAGGTGTGGAAGCCAGCTGTTAAATATGAAATCACCAGATGTCCCCATAGTAACTGGTTGCTAAAGGCGTAACACTTAATTCCTGAGCTTAAATTTGTCAATATGGAAACCATAATTGGTATTATGAGGGGGCTTCACCTTGCTAGCAGTTATTTTACTGCTCCAGAGAGAGCAGTAATTTATGTGGAAATATTTTCAGGACACATGATTTGATTGTTACTATTTATGGAAATATGGATTAAAATGCTTTCATCAAAAAAATTAAAAAGAGATTGACTCCCATACACATATTAGGAATATTGTGTTTTTTTTTGTCATAGCAATAAATATCTAAGAAAGTTAATGCATAGGATAAAGTAGATCTGTCTCATGGGTTCAAAGTTTGCAGGAAAATTAAGAACAGGTATCAGTCATTGGTTAGCACTTCCACTAATGTAGTATTTATTTATTCAGATAAGTCATATCATATGTAGTTTGACTTTCAAAAATATAACAGGAAATTAAGTGGGCTTATAGAAGTAGAAGGTGAATTAATACAATACTGTAATACATTATATTACCTTATTTAATTCTCATGATAGCTTGATTTCATGTAAAGATCTATTGGGGAACTCTCACCTTCAACCATGATAAAATAAAAACTAGGAAAACAATAACAAAATAAAATAGTGATTTGCAGATAGCCAAAGCCTGTGGGTTTGCTCTGTCATTGAGGCAGGTTTAAAGTTTGATATGAATGTGGCTAAAATTTTCATGGTAGAATACTGAAGATTGGGATCAGCACCAAAAGAGAGCATTGGTATTCAGAATGATTCCTTGAATTCTTTTTTTTTCTTTTTTTTTTCTTTTTTTTTTTGAGACGGAGTCTCGCTCTGTTGCCCAGGCTGGAGTGCAGTGGCGCAATCTCAGCTCACTGCAAGCTCCGCCTCCCGGGTTCGAGCCATTCTCCTGCCTCAGCCTCCCGAGTAGCTGGGACTACAGGCGCCAACCACCATGCCTGCCAAATTTTTTGTATTTTTAGTAGAGATGGGGTTTCACCGTGTTAGCCAGGATGGTCTTGATCTCCTGACCTCATGATCTGCCCGCCTCAGCCTCCAAAAGTGCTGGGATTACAAGCATGAGTCACCGTGCCCAGCCGGTTCCTTGAATTCTTGACTGAGTACTGATTTGTGTATATGAGTGTATATGAGTGAAGAGGCTACCAAGATTAGGCAAGTACCACCAGAAAGTAACAGAAGGAAAAACAAACTGGAGCTTACACAGTGCAAGGAATAGTTGGTTTTCTTGTCAGACTGATGAGAAAGAACATAGGACATAAGAGAGAGTCCTAAGAATGGTTTCACCGCAAAAGGGTTTTGCTGTAGTGATAAAATAAAATTAATCCTAAAGTAAAGGTGTTCCAGAACCCCTGCTAAGAAAACTTAAAGTCTCAAGGGGATCAAATTAAATTTAAGAGACTTAACTATACGACAGAAAAAAAAAAAAAAAAACTACACTAAAGATGTAAAATAGAGTGCAGTAACCAATAAGGTAACATATTTGATATCAAATTAAAAATGATAAAAACAAAAAATGCACAGCCAGGAGACAAACCAATCAATAGAAACACACATAAATAAGAGAGATAATGAAATCAACAGACTAAAACATTAAAACTGCTATTGTAAATAGTTTTCATATTTTTAGGGATGTAAAGAAATGCATGGATTGAGGATAAGAAGTATAGAATATTTTTTAAAAACTATATGAAATTTCTAGGCCGGGTGCGGTGGTTCACGCCTGTAATCTCAGCACTTTGGGAGGCCAAGACGGGCGGATCACGAGGTCAGGAGATCCAGACCATCCTGGCTAACACGGTGAAACCCTGTCTCTACTAAAAATACAAAAAAAATTAGCCAGGCGTGGTAGCGGGCGCCTGTAGTCCCAGCTACTCTGGAGGCTGAGGCAGGAGAATGGCTCGAACCTGGGAGGCGGAGCTTGCTTTGAGCCGAGATCGCGCCACTGCACTCCAGCCTGGGCGACAGAGCGAGACTCCATCTCAAAAAAAAAAAAAAAAAAAAAAAAAAAAAAAAAAAAAAAAGAAATTTCTAAAGGTGAAAAACACAGATTTAAACTGGAAAATAGAAAATGAACAGCAGATTAGAAACCACACGAGACAATTTATTGAACTTGAACATACAGCAATAGAATATATCCAAAATAAACTTTTTAAAAAAGGAGAAAAACACTGGGAACAGAAGAGAGCTTCGTTGTGCTATAGGGCATTTTCAATCAACTTAATGTATGTATAATTGGAGTCTCATATAAGAGAAAAAGATAAGCAGAAACAAAATAAGATATGTCATGAAAATATTTTAAAAACACTTTAAACGCGAAGTTCTAAGATATTCAAGAAATATTGAGCAGAGGAAATATGAAGAAAATCACATCAACATACATTATAATTAAATATCTGTAAATCCATGTAATACAAAAAATTTTTAAAGTGAAGTAGCAAATATATTTTTTAAAATTGAAGTAGAAATAACTTGTTTTTCTCTCAGAAAAACAAAAGCTTATATGATCAACAAAAAGTGTAAGAGAAATATAATAATCATTAATGAAGTCTTTCAAGCAGAATGATCATAACAGATGGATATTTAAATTTGTACCAAAAATTGGTGAGGACAAGAAAAAGTAAGTCTATGGGTAAATATAAAATACATTTTTATCTCATTTAAAAAATCAATTTCGAAGATAATTTTAAAGAAGAGATAATGACATGTTACACGTTTTTTTAAATAGGTGGAATTAAAATAGCAGCAATGACATAAATGCTGTGGGGCGGGGGGAATGAAAGCATATGTTATAGAGGTTTTATATTGTACACAAAGTGCTATAATATTGTTTGACTATAGTGAGTAAAAAACATATATTTTAAATCTTAAAGCAACCATTTATAAAAGAAACCACGAAGTACAGCTTATAAACCAATATTGAAGGTGAAAGTAGATTCTAAAATTTACTCAATCTAAAAGAAGGTAGACAAAGAAAAAAAATTTAATGGTACCAATTGAAAACAAATAGCAAAATGGTAGATTTAAATCCAATTATATAAATAATAATGTTAGATGCAAATGTACTAAAAAGCTAAACAAAAGGCAGAGTTTGCCAAATTGGATGAACAAGCAACGCCCAACTGTTCTGCTATCCATCAGAAACACACCTAAAATATAAAAACACAGGTGGATTTATAGTAAAAAGATAGAAATATAACACACAAATGCTATAAAAAATAAGCTGGAGTGGATATATTAATATCATGAAAAGTTATTTTTAAAAGTTGTTTTTAAAGAAAGGAAAAATGCCAGGGAAAAACATTTATAAAGGGGTCAATTTGTCTAGAGGATATAACAATCTTAAGTGTATAACAGAACATCTATGTACAAGAAAACTCATAGAAATATAAAGAGGAATAGGAAATCCACAATTGTAGCTAAATATTTCAAAACCTGTATCTCAATACCTAATATGATAAATTGACAAGACATTAATATAGATATGGAAATATTTTATAGCCCTAGCAATCATCTTCATTTAAATGATATTTATAAAATACTTCATACAGCTTTAGCAAAAGACATATTTTTTCTAGTGCACATGAACAATTAGTAAAATGAATAATGTTGAAGACCATAAAACAATTCTTAATTAATATAGACTATTTGAAACTGATCTATATTAATATGTTTTGGTCCCCAACAAAAGTACACTACAAGTAAAAACAGAGATATCTTGAATATCCCTTCCCCAAATATTTGAAAATATTAAAAAAAGCTGTAATAACTCATGGGTCAAAGAAATCAGAAAACAAAGCAAAAAATATTACTTGCTTAAAGAATATGAAAATGCAGCACATCATTATTTGCTGGGTGGAGGCAAAATGGTACTTTTAGGAAATTTTATAGCATCAAAAAATTATTAGAAATATGAAAAGTTTTCCTATCAATGATCTTCACTACCACCCTAAGAAACAAAGAAAGAAGACCAACACATAACCAAATTAATCAGAGTGAAGGAACTAATAAATGAGTTAAAATTAATATAAGAGAATATAGAAAACAAGAGTAAGAAATCAATGAGAACCAAAGATAATAAAGAAATAAATATGTTTATATTGTCAAACCCAAATTATCAGGAAAAAGAAAACAAAAATTACCAGTCTATTTGGTGACAATTAGAGGTGACTTTTGTACACATATACTAAAATATACTATAGGTGTTAAATGGATAATAAAGAAGAATCACAAACATCTTTCTTTCAATAAATCCAACAAATCTGGTTAAGGTGATCCTATAAATAATCTTGAATCTATTAAAGAAATTTAATTCATAGTTTAAAGGCAATGAAACCCTCAAGAGCAGATGACCTAACTAATGAATTATAATAATTATAACACACATATATATATACACTACACAAATATGTAAGTAAAAAAGTAAAAATTCTATACTAGAAGAGAAAGTCAATCAAAGCAAATCACTCTAATGGACCATTACTCTGATACCAAAATAAGACAACGATATTAAAAGTAAACAACAGACCAATAACTCACATAAACATAGATTTTTTAAAAAATTAATTAAATACTAGCAAATAAAATCCAGCAATTTCTATTTTTAAAAATAATTTTATTTTAGATTTTAGGGTACATGTGAAGGCTTGTTACATAGGTAAACATGTGTCATGAGGGTTTGTTGTACTTATTATTTTATCACTCAGGTTTTAAGCCCAATATCCAATAGCTATTTTTTCTACTCCACTCCCTCTTCCCACCTCCCCTTCAAGTAGACCCCAAGATCTGTTATTCCCTTCTTTGTATTAATAGTTTCTTATCATTAAGTTCCCTAGCTAGTACCTAGATATAAAGCATTACAATTTAATAATATAGAGACAAGCAACCTTGTTTAAAAAAAAAATTGTCCAAAGATTTGAACATAGTTTCACCAAAAAAGATAAATGGTTTGCAAATGATAATGACAGACATTATTAATTATTGGGAAAATTCAAATTATGGGCACAATATGACACCTGTACACTACTCCACAAATGACTAAAATTAAGTGAGAATATGCAGTATTTGCTTTTCTGTTCCTGCATTAGTTTGCTAAGGATAATGGCCTACAGCTCCATTGATGTACCTGCAAAAGACGTGAGATCGTTCTCTTTTATGGCTGCATAGTATTCTATGGTGTATATGAACCAGATTTTCTTTATTCAGTCTGTCATTGATTGGCATGTAGGTTGATTCCATGTCTTAGCAATTGTGAATAGTGCTATAATAAGAATTTGCTTGCATGTGTCTTTATGGTAGAATGATTTATATTCCTCTAATCCAGCAATATCTAAAATTAATAATGTATAATGTCAAGTTAGTTTTATCCCAGTAATGCAAAACTGATTTTCTTTTTGAAAATATTTTGCGTAATAACATCTTTAAAGAAAAATCACATGATCATCACAATACATGCAGACCAAACGTATGACTAAATTCAACACATGTTCGTGGAAAAACTCCCAGTACACTGAAAATACAAGGAAATATTCTCAACATGATAAACAGCACCTACAAAAAACCTACTGGTAACATCAAACTAAATAAAGAATCAATGCATCTCATTAAGTTTGCCTCTATCAGTAGTTCATTCCTTTCTATTGTTTCTAATGCTCCATTATGTAGTTATATCACAATTTTCTGCCATCAAGGATTTCAACTCTCAAGAATTTTTTCAGTTTTTTTTACTGGAGACTTTAGCAAGTACAATAAGGCAAAAAAGAAAGGACACGTACGTATTGGAAGCAAATTACTAAAGTCGTACTTATTCACAGTCAACATGGTCATTTATATAGACAATCTTAAACAATTTACAGAAAATAAAAATACTAGAAGAAAGAAGTGAGTTTAGAAATGTTTCAGGATATAAGATCAACTTTAGAAAATCAATTTTATTTCTGTATCAACATGAAATTTGGCAATATGAAATTTTATAAATTATAGTAGCACCAAAAATATGAAATACTTAGGAAAATCTTAAACTATGTGCAAGATCTGCATCCTGAATAAATTAATAATCCTGAAAACAATGCAACACTGCTGAGAGAAATTAAAGAATTTATAAATAAATGGGGAGGTAAACCATGCTTAAGGATCAAAATACTCAATATTGTTATCAACTTTTCCCAAATTGTTCTTTAGATTCAACACAATCCCAAACAAATTCCCAGCATATTCTTTTGTAGGAATTCCCAGCATATTCTTTTGTAGGAATTATCAGGTTAATTCTCAAATTTATATCAAAATGCAAAATAGCCAATTTTTTTTTGAAAAATTACAGTATTAGAGTTGTGAGCCTACCTGATTCGTGAATTACTCTTAAGCTGAACTAATCAAAAGAGTAAGGCATTGGCATAAAGGTAGACATAGATAGAAATAACAAAATAAAATATTTAAAATAGACCAATACATATATGGCCAATTGAATTTCAAAATAGGTGTCAAGGTAATTTAGTTGGGAAATGATAATTGTGTCAAAACGTGGTGCTGGTAAAACAGACATTTCTATGCAATAGAGGGAACCTTGACAGATACTTCATCTCATACACAATAACCTGAGCTGCAGAATAGACTGAAATATAAATGCTAGAGATATAAAACCTCTAGAAAAAAATACCATAGAAAATCTTAATGATCTTGGTTTAGTTAATGCTTTTTTTTAATAGGACACGAAAGACATAAGTTATAAAGGAAAATTTGGTAACTTGAACTTTTCCAAATTAAAAACATTTCCTCTTCAACTAATGTGATTAAGAAAATCAAAAGATAACTATAGACTGAGAGATATTTGTTTGCCAAACATATGCCCTCTAAGGAATTAGTACCCAGCATATATAACCATGACAATTTAATAATACAAAGACAAGCAACCTTGCTTAAAAAAATAGCCCAAAATTTTGAATAGAGCTTCACCAAAAAAGATAAATGAGTCGTGAATGATAATGATAGACATTATTAATCCTTGGGAAAATGCAAATTTTAAGCACAATAAGACACCTGTACACCACTACAGTAATGCCTAAAATTAAAAAGACTGATACTTCTAGTGTTTTGGAGGATGCTATACAGCTAGAACCTTTCATATTTTGCTGTGGGAATGCAAAATGGAACAGTGACTTTGGAAGACAGTTTGGTAGTTTCTTTTAGAATTAAATATACCATATTTCCTAGCAATTCCATTCTCAAGCCCAAGAGATACATTGACACAAGTAATTTTATGCAAATATTCACTGCAGATTTATTCATAATAGCTGAAACTAGAAATAACCCAAATGTCTATCAACTGGTGAATGCATAAGAAAATTGTGATATAACCATATAAAGGAGTACTGTAAACAATACAAAGGAATGAGCCACTGATTGAGACAACCACATGGATTAATCTCAAAAGCTTTATGCTAAGTGACAGAATCTAGTCACAAAAGACTACATACTTTATGATTTCATTTGTATAACATTAAAAAAATACAAATCTATTATTACAGAAAGTGCATGAGAAGTTGTCGGGAACTAGAAACTGCAGGGACAGAATTTTCTATAAATTTCCATATGGAAACTTAGCGGTGAGTGATAAAAATTTACCATATCATCATTGTGGCATTAATTAGTCAATTGTATATATTTGTCAAAACTCATCAAATTGTACATTTAAAATTGATTAATTTTATTTTATGTAAACTGTACTTTACCAAAGCCGACAAAATTTAATATGGGGTAAAATATCCCATTGCCTATGTATAGGACATTCAAAAGAAATATTAATAAACAAAAGGGAAATTCTTACAATGCTATTTATTATTTTACCCAAGATGATCCAGAGCTTGTTTTCTTGTTATTGCCAATATATCCTACCAAGAATCAGCAAACATTTTCTCAAATGCAATGTGATAAGTATTTTAGGCTCATTTTATACAATCTCTGTAGCAACTACTCACCTCTGCAATGTAGCATGAAAGCAGTCATTGACAACGTAAATAAATGAGTTTGGCTTTGTTCAATAAAACTTTATTTACAAAAACAGGTGATGGTCTAGTTTGCTAACCACTTTCTGGACTTTCAGTAACTGAGGCTGGCCTCAATATTTTGATGAAAACACTGTATAATTTGGCAAAAGATCTGTTTGTTTGGGGTAGTACCAGATTTTATATATAATGTAGAAAGTTTTTATATATGTGTAATTCCTGAAACAATTTTGATGTACCAGTGTTGGGAATAAATTAAGAAATTGCTTAGAAAGTTCTGTCTTAGTAATGTACAGATCTCAACTCCACAAAATTCTTTGTTCCCACAGGGGTTACTTTTTTAAAGCCTCATTTATTTTAACAGATACTTATTTTGTTTCTACTATGGATAAAGTGTAGACTGGCTCTTTGTTTCAGCTAGTCAGTCAGCCATTCATATGTGTGTGTATACACACACACACTCACACACACAAACAGCATCAACATGTCATGCTATGACTTGTGATATAGCCGTAAAAAATAAAGAAAAAGAAATCTCTGGGATTACAGAGATTTTATTATAGTAGGTAGCATAAAATAAGCAATAAACATAATACATTAATATAATATATAGCATGGTAGAGTGGTAAGTGTAATAGAGAAAGAGGTCAGGATAAGGAGATATGAGATGCCCAAGGTGTAAAAGGAGAAGACTGGAATTTTAAGTGAATGGTTAGGATTGCCCTCTAGAGATGGTGAAGTGGAATAAGCGAGTCATGGGGAAAGAGCATTACAAGCAGAAGTAACACGTATGACAAAAATATAAGGTTAGAATTAGGGAATCTGGTTGAAAATCCATTGCAGTAATATGTGAGATGATGGTGGTTCAGAAGAGGGTGATAGAAGTCAAGATGGTGTAAGGTTCCATATTGTAAACATGAAATGAAAGTAGGGCCGAAATAATTTCCTGATATGATATAGATATGTTTTGTAAAGAAAGAGAGGCATTAAGAATGACTCTAAAGAATCAATTGTTTGATATAGTTAATATTCAAATGTTAACATTTTGACATGATTAACAATTTATTTTTTAAAAATTTGTTTAAATCTCCTGTAATTACTTAGAAAAACTTTTAAGTTCAGGGGCACATATGCTGGTTTGTTACATAGGTAAACCTTTGTCATGGGGGTTCATTGTACAGATTATTTCATTGCCATGTATTAAGCCTAGTACTCATTAGTTATTTTTCATGACACTCTCCCTCCTCCCACCCTCCACCTCCAGTAGGCCCCAGTGTGTGTTGTTCCCTTCTATGTGTCCATGTGTTCTCATCATTTAGCTCCCACTTATAAGTGAGAGCATGTGATCTTTGGTTTTCTCTTCCTGCCTTAGTTTGCCAAGGATGATCACCTCCAGCTCCATCCATGTCCCTGCAAAGGACATGATGGTGTATATGTACCAAATTTTCTTCATCCAGTCTATCACTGATGGACATTTAGATTGATTTCATATTTTTGCTATTGTGAATAGTGTTTCAATGAATATACTCATGCATTTATCTTTATAATAGAATGATTTATATTTTGGAAGGTATATACCCAGTAATAGGATTGCCAGGTCAAATGTTATTTTTGTCTTTAGGTCTTTGAGAAATTGTCACACTGTCTTCCACAATGGGTGAACGAATACGTACCCCTACCAACAGTGAGTAAGCATTCCTTTTTCTACACAACCTTGACAGCATGTTATTTTTGACATTTTAATAATAGCCATTGTGACTGGTGTGAGATGGTATCCCATTGTGGGTTTGATTTCTTTTCTCTAATGATCAGTGATGCTGAGCTTTTTTAAAAAATATGATTGTTGGTTGCATGTATGGCTTCTTTTGAGAAGTGTCTGTTCATGTCCTTTGCCCGCTTTTTAATTGGGCTGTTTTTTCTTATAAATTTGTTTAAGTTCCATATATATGCTGGATATTACACCTTTGTCACATGTATAGTTTGCAAAATATTCTCCCATTCTGTACATGGTCTGTTTACTCTGTTGATAGCTTCTTTTGATATTCAGAAGCTCTTTAGTTTAATTAGATCCCGTTTGTCAATCTTTGCTTTTGTTGCAACTGCTTTTGGCATCTTCATTGTAAAATCTTTCCTTGTGCCTATGTCCCGAATGGTATTGCCTAGGTTGTCTTCCAGGGTTTTTATAGTTTTAGGGTTTACATTTAAAATCTGTAGCATTCCTATATACCAACAGTCAAGCTGAGAGCCAAATCATGAACAAACTTCCTTTCCCAATTGCCATAAAGAGAATAAAATACCTAGGAATACAGCTAACAAGGGAGGTGAAATATGTCTACAAGGAGAACTACAAAACACTGCTCCAAGATATCAGAGATGACACAAATATATCAAGAAACATTCATTCTCATGGATAGGAAGAATCATCATCATTAAAAAATTGTCATATGGCCTAAAGCAATTTATAGATTCAATGCTATTTCCATTAAAAACTACCATTGACATTCTTCACAGCACTATAGAAATCTATTTTAAAATTCATATGGAACCCCAAAAGAACTTGAATAGTCAACACAATCCTAAGCAAAAAGAACAAAGCTGAAGTCATCATGCTACCAGACTTCGAACTATACTACAGGCCTGCAGTAACCAAAAGAGCATGACAATCATACAAGAACAGACACATAGACCAATGGAGCAGACAGAGAACCCAGAAATAAGACTACACACCTGCAAGTATCTGATCTTCAACAAGTCTGTTAAAAGCAAGCAATGTGGAAAGGATTCTCTTTTCAATAAATGGTTCTGGGATAATTGTCTAGCCATATGCAGAAAATTGGAACTGTACCTCTTTCTTACACCATATACAAAAAATTAACTACAGATGGATTAAAGACTAAAATGTAAAACCAAAAATAATTAACAGTTTAAGAGTGGACAATGTAAACATGATGATTAACTCAGAAAAATAATACTTAAAAATTTAGGCAAGCAGTAAATTGATTTAGGAAAAAGTTTTCTCAGAAAACTTATGAAGCTGTGTGTATGCCACATTTTCCTATTTTCTGTGTTCTTTTTTTTTCTTTTTTTAAATTATACTTTAAGTTCTAGGGTACATGTCCACAATGTGGAAGTTTGTTACATAGGTATACATGTGCCATGTTGGTTTGCTGCACCCATCAATTTGTCATTTACATTAGGTATTTCTCCTAATGCTATCCCTCCCCCAGCCCCCATCCCCCCAACAGGTCCCGGTGTGTGATGTTCCCCCCACTGTGTCCATGTGTTCTCGTTGTTCAACTGCCATCTATGAGTGAGAACATGCAGTGTTTGGTTTTCTGTCCTTGTGATTATTTGTTTAGAATGATGGTTTCCAGCTTCATCCATATTCCTGCAAAGGACATGAGCTCATCCTTTTTTATGGCTGCGTAGTATTCCATAGTGTATATGTGCCACATTTTCTTAATCCAGTCTATCATTGATAGACATTTGGGTTGGTTCCAAGTCTTTGCTATTGTGAATAGTCCCGCAATAAACATACATGTGCATGTGTCTTTATAGTAGCAAGGTTTATAATCTTTTGGGTATATACCCAGTAATAGGCTCGCTGGGTCAAATGGTATTTCTAGTTCTAGATCCTTGAGGAATCGCCAAACTCTCTTCCACAACAGTTGAACTAATTAACACTCCCACCAACCGTGTAAAAGTGCTCCTTTTTCTCCACATCCTCTCCAGCATCTGTTGTTTCCTGACTTTTTAGTGATCACCATTCTAACTGGCATGAGATGGTATCTCATTGTGGTTTTGATTTGCATTTCTCTGATGACCAGTGATGATGAGCATTTTTTCATATGTCTGTTTGCTGCATAAATTGAGAGGTGTCTATTCATATACTTTGCCCACTTTTTGATGGGGCTGTTTGTTTTTTTCTTGTGAATTTGTTTAAGTTCTCTGTAGATTCTGGATATTAGCCCTTTGTCAGATGGGTAGATTGCGCAGATTTTCTCCCATTCTGTAGGTTGTCTGATGATAGTTTCTTTTGCTGTGCAGAAGCTATTTAGTTTAATTAGATCCCATTTGTCTATTTT
The DNA here is from genome assembly GCF_000001405.40 of Homo sapiens. Classification (NCBI taxonomy): domain Eukaryota; kingdom Metazoa; phylum Chordata; class Mammalia; order Primates; family Hominidae; genus Homo; species Homo sapiens. The sequence goes on from NC_000001.11 coordinate 73,082,646, forward strand.
GGCTATTGTTGCCATTGTTTTTGGTGTTTTAGTTATGAAGTCTTTGCCCATGACTATGTCCTGAATGGTATTGCCTAGGTTTTCTTCTATGGTTTTTATGGTGTTAGGTCTTACATTAAAGTCTTTAATCCATCTTGAGTTAATTTTTGGTATAAAGTATAAAGAAGGGATCCAGTTTCAGCTTTCTACATATGGCTACCCAGTTTTCCCAGCACCATTTATTAAATAGGGAATCGTTTCCCCATTACTTGTTTTTGTCAGGTTCATCAAAGATCAGATGGTTGTAGATGTGTGGTGTTATTTCTGAGGCCTCTGTTCTGTTCCATTGGTCTATATCTCTGTTTTGGTACCAGCACCATGCTGTTTTGGTTACTGTAGCCTTGCAGTATAGTTTAAATTCAGGTAGCATGATGCCTCCAGCTTTGTTCTTTTTGCTTAGGATTCTCTTGGCTATGCAGGCTCTCTTTTGGTTCCATATGAACTTCAAAGTAGTTTTTTTCCAATTCTGTGAAGAAAGTCAGTGGTAGCTTGATGGGGATAGCATTAAATCTATAAATTACCTTGGGCAGTATGGCCATTTTCACGATATTGACTCTTCCTATCCATGAGCATGGAATGTTCTTCCATTTGTTTGTGTCCTCTTTTATTTAGTTGAGCAGTGATTTGTAGTTCTCTTAGAAGAGGTCCTTCACATCCCTTGTAAGTTAGATTTCTAGGTATTTTGTTCTCTTTGACGCAATTGTGAGTGGGAGTTCACTCATGATGTGGCTCTCCGTTTGTCTGTTATTGGTGTGTAGGAATGCTTGTGATTTTTTTCACATTGATTATGTATCCTGAGCCTTTGCTGAAGTTGCTTATCAGCTTAAGGAGATTTTGGGCTGAGACGATGGGTTTTCTAAATATACAATCATGTCATCTGCAAATAGAGACAATTTGACTTCATCTTTTCCTAATTGAATACTCTTTATTTCTTTCTCTTGCCTAATTGCCTTAGCCAGAACTTTCAACACTATGTTGAATAGGAGTGGTGAGAGAGGGCATCCTTGTCTTGTGCCAGTTTTCAAAGGGAATGCTTCCAGTTTTTGCTCATTCAGTATGATATTGGCTGTGGGTTTGTCATAAATAGCTCTTATTATTTTGAGATATGTTCCATCAATACCTAGTTTATTGAGAGTTTTTAGCATGAAGGGCTGTTGAATTGTTTCAAAGACCTTTTCTGCATCTATTGAGATAATCATGTGGTTTTTGTCGTTGTTTCTGTTCATGTGCTGGATTACATTTATTGATTTATGTACGTTGAACCAGTCTTGCATCCCAGGGATGAAGCCGTGGTGGATAAGCTCTTTGATGTGCTGCTGGATTAGGTTTGCCAGTATTTTATTGAGGATTTTCACATTGATGTTCATGAGGGATATTGGCCTAAAATTCTCTTTTTTTGTTGTGTTGCTACCAGGCTTTGGTTTTAGGATGATGCTAGCCTCCTAAAATGAGTTAGGGAGGATTCCCTCTTTTTCTATTGATTGAAATAATTTCATAAGGAATGGTACCAGCTCCTGTTTGTACCTCTGGTAGAATTCAGCTGTGAATCCATCTGGTCTTTGACTTTTTTTTGGTTGGTGGGCTATTAATTATTGCCTCAATTTCAGAACCTGTTATTGATCTATTCAGAGAGTCAACTTCTCCTGGTTTACTCTTGGGAGTGTATATGTTTCCAGGAACTTATCCATTTCCTCTAGATTTTCTAGTTTATTTGTGTAGAGGTGTTTATAGTATTCTCTGATGGTAGTTTGTATTTCTTTGGGATCGGTGGTGATATCTCCTTTATCATTTTTTAATGTATCTATTTGATTCTTCTCTCTTTTCTTCTTTATTAGTCTTGCTAGTGGTCTATTTTGTTGATCTTTTCAAAAAACTGGCTCCTGTATTCGTTGATTTTTTGAAGGGTTTTTTGTGTCATTATCTCCTTCAGTTCTGCTCTGATCTTAGTTATTTCTTGCCTTCTGCTAGCTTTTGAATTTGCTTGCTCTTTCTTCTCTAGTTCTTTCAACTGTGATGTTAGGGTGTCAATTTTACATCTTTTCTGCTTTCTCTTGTGGGCATTTAGTGTTATAAATTGCCCTCTACACACTGCTTTAAATTTGTCCCAGAGATTCTGATATGTTGTGGCTTTGTTCCCATTGGTTTCAAAGAACATCTTTATTTCTGCCTTCATTTCGTTGTTTACCTAGTAGTCATTGAGGAGCACGTTGTTCAGTTTCCATGTAATTGTGCATTTTTTAGTTGAGTTTATTAATCCTGAGTTCTAATTTCATTGCATTGTGGTCTGAGAGACGGTTGTGATTTCTGTTCTTTTACATTTGCTGAGGAGTGTTTTACTTCCAACTATGTGGTCAATTTTGGAATAAGTGTGATGTGGTGCTGAGAAGAATGTATATTCTGTTGATTTGGGGTGTAGAGTTCTGTAGATGTCTATTAGGTCCACTTGGTCCAAAGCTGAGTTCAAGTCCTAGATATCCTTGTTAACCTTCTGTCTCATTGATCTGTCTTAATATTGACAGTGGGGTGTTAAAATCTCCCATTATTTTTGTGTGGGAGTCCAAGTCTCTTTGTAGGTCTCTAATGACTTGCTTTACGAATCTGGGTGCTCCTGTATTGGGTGCATGTATATTTAGGATAGTTAGCTCTTCTTGTTGCATTGATCCCTTTACCATTATGTAATACCCTTCATTGTCTCTTTTGTTTTTGTTGGTTTAAAGTCTGTTTTATCAGAGACTAGGATTGCAACCCCTGCTTTTTTTTTTTGCTTTCTATTTGCTTAGCAGATCTTCCTCCATCCCTTTATGTTGAGCCTTTGTGCATCTTTGCTTGTGAGATGCGTCTCCTGAATACAACACCAATGGGTCTTGAATCTTTATCCAACTTGCCAGTCTGCGTCTTTCAATTGGGGCATTTAGCCCATTTACATTTAAGGTTAATATTGTCATGTTTGAATTTGATCCTGTCATTATAATGTTAGCTGGTTATTTTGCCCATTAATTATGCAGTTTCTTCATAGCATCAATGGTCTTTACCATTTGGCATGTTTTTGCTATTTTCTGTGTTCTTGTACTAGTTTTTGCAATGACCATTGCAGCATTCCCCATATCTTGATTGAATTTATATTTTTGTTATGTCCACCGTCAATTATGATCTGTGAGTTTCTTTACAAAAGTGTATGAGTTTTATCAGCTGTATGGTACTCACACCAAGCATATTGTTTGTCAGATGGAAGACACTTAATTAATGCTGGTTCAATTATTGTTTGATGGATTTAGCTAATGTTAATTGAACACTTGCTGAGTTTCTGAGCTTATTTTAAATGCTTTACCTGCCTTATGTAATTTTATTCTTAGCAAAATGATATAGGGCTGCTCCATTATCATCTTGTTTCAAGGTTAAGAATGTAAGCTTTAGAAAGATTCACAATCATTCTCAAAATTACACAGCAAGCAAGTGGAAGGGAAAAGGTGTAAATCCTTACCCCACCCTGTACAACACTATAACATATAAAGAACTGAGCCCCATGTCAAAAGAATGGGTTGAAGTTTGTAGGATTGCTTGAAAATTGATGTGTTTTTTTTTTTTCTGGTAGGTTTTGGAAGATAAGTAATCTTAGCCTTTGGAAGACTATTTCGTTGGTCATATATTTATTAATTATCTATGAGTTTCTATGTGCTGTTTAAGTAATGGATATTAATAGTGAACAAAATATGTAGTATACATTTCCATTAAGCATTAATTTTAATGAGAAATAGAGACAATAAATAAATAGATACCATGTGTGACCAACTCACACAAATTTTTATGGCCTTACTCAACAGACAGGTCCTCAGTGATAATGTGACTTGTTATTATATTTAAAATAGATAAATTCTCTTATTTTATATTCTACCTCCTTACATATTTTCTTGTCAATAATCTCCAGTATCTACAATTCCTGGGGGTTTGAAATATTTAAGGCTGATTGAAGAAAAATATATGACCTCAAGCGGCATTAACCAACAACAAAATTTATTTGAGTTGCTGTTAGAGAGGGTTGCATGAGAGGGAAAATCCCCCACACAGGAATCTATTCAGGCTCCAGAGCTGGAGTCACTACTCAGAAAGGGAGGAAAGCAAGGGAACTCCTGAAAGAGAAAAGTGTTATCCAGAGAGGGGAATCATTTGTCTAGATGAAGTTCAGTAGCACTAGAAGGGAATAACTGGATCAGAGCACTCTATAGCAGCTTGAGGCCTAATACCTTTAGGACTCTATCTTATCCATAAGTGCTGGGTGTGATTTCCTGCATGTGTGAAGCAAGTGGTCTCTACCTGGTTAAAAAATTGTTGTTTGGGCTATTTTTAAAATATGTAGATCTATAAACATTTTAGTTTGGTGCCAGTAGCCATTTTGAGCTAATGAGTCTCAGCCTGCAGGGAAAAAATTAACAACCTAGGGACTAATACAGACAGGATATTTCTGGCTCACTTATAAGACAAACATACATATATATTATAATTATTTACCTTGTTTATTGTCTATCAATGTCACTAGAACATAAGCCAAACATTGCTGACCATTCAATCTTCAGGTCTTAGTAATTTGCTAGGTACCCAACAACTCCTCAATAAATATTAATTGTCAATTATTTTGTTAATCTTAAAAATGTGAAATATAACTCATCTCAACATCATAAAGGAAAATAGTTTGCTATATAATCAAAATAGTTACTTAAATCAGAATTCATTAAAATTTTGAATATTTAAAATAACTATGTAATTTAATTCTTATTTTTTATAGGTACATAGTATGTGTGTATTTCTATTATATACATGAAAATATTTAATATTTTGATACAGACATATAATGCATAATATCACATCAAGGTAATGAAGTACCTCTCACCTCAATAATTCACCATTACTTTGTTTTACAAACATTCCAATTGTACTCCCTCAGTTATTCCAGTTATTCTAAAATGTATAGCACATTACTACTGACTGTAGTCACCTTGTTGTGCTATAAGATATTAGATCTTATTCATTGTATCTTACTGTATGTTTGTGCCCATTAACCATCCCCATTTTCCACCCCCTCCCATTCCCCTTCCCTGTCTCTGATAACCATCATTCTATTTTCTCTCTCCATGAGTTTAATTTTTAGCTCCCACAAATGAAGGAGAACATGTGAAATTTGTCTTTTTGTGCCCAACTTATTTCAATGTCCTCCAGTTTCATCCATGTTGTTGCAAATCACAGGATCTCATTATTTTTTGTGTCAGAATAGTACCCAATTGTGTATATGTACTACATTTTCTTTATCCATGGGTCTATTGATGGACGCTTAGGTTGGTTTCAAATCTTGGCTATTGAAAATTATGTTGCAACAAACATGAATGCAGATATCTCTTTAATACACTAATTCCCTTTCTTTTGGATATATATTTAATAAGGAGATTGTTGGATCTCATGGTAGTTCTATTTTTAGTTGTTTGAAGAACCTCCATATTCTGGCCATAGTGTCTGTACTCATTTATATTCCCACCAACAGTGAAGGAGGGTTCTCTTTTCTCCATATCCTCACCAGCATCCATTATTGCCTGTGTTTTGGATAAAAACCATTTTAACTGGAGTGAAGTGATATCTGATTGTAGTTTTAATTGTATTTCTCTGTTAATCAATGATGTTGAGATATTCCAATTTACCATTTGTATGTCTTTTGAGAAATATCTATTTTGATTTTGTGTCCATTTTGTATTCAGTTTATTAGATTTTTTCTATTGAATTGCTTGAGCTCCTTATATATTTTGGTTATTAATTCTTTATCAGACAGGTAGTTTACAAATATTTTCTCCCATTCTCTAGGCTGTCTCTTTGCTTTATTTATTTATTTTTGCTGTGTAGAAGATTTTAAGCTTGATGTGATCCTATTTGTACACTTTTGCTTTAGTTGCCTTTGCTTTGAGGTATTAGTCAATAAATCTTTGCCAAACCAATGTCTTGAAGCATTTCCCCAGTGTTTTCTTTTAGTTGTTTTATTGTTTGAGATCTTATATTGAAGTCTTTAATCCATTTGATTTGATTTAATTTTGGTATATCATGAGAGACAGGGTTCTAGTTTCATTCTTCTGCTTATGGATATCCAGTTTGCTGAGCACCATTTATTGAAGAGACTGTCCTTTACTGAATGTAAATTACTACAAACTTTGTTGAAAATGAGTTCACTGTAGATGTACTGATTTATTTCTGGATCCTCTATTCTGCTCCACTGGTCTATGTGTCTGTTTTTGTGCCAGGACCATGCTGTTTTGGTTACTATAACTTTGTAGTATAATTTGAAGTCAGGTAATGTAACTCCTCCAGTTTTGTCTTGTGGTTTTTTGCTCAGTAATACTTTGACTACTCTGGGTCTTTTGTGGTTCCATATAAACTTTTTTTTCTTTTTCTGAGAGCAGTGCCATTGGTATTTTGATAGAGATTGCATTGAATCTGTAGATTGTTTTGGGTACTATGGACATTTTAACAATCCATGAACATGGGATAGCTTTCCTTCATTTTTTTTTTCTGTCCTCTTTGATTTCTTGTATCAGTGACATTGTTTTCATTGTGGAGGCCTTTCACTTCATTGGTTAAGTTTATTCTTAGGTATTTAATTTTATTTGTAGCTATTATAAATAAGATTACTGTCTGGATTTTTTTCCAGATTGTTCACTGTTATCATGTAGAAATTCTACTGATTTTTGTATGTTGATTTTGTAGCCTGCAACTATACTGAATTCTTGTATCAGATGAATAGGTTTTTGGTGGAGTCTTTTGGTGTTTCCAAATATAAGCTAATATCATCTGCAAACAAGGATAATTTGACTTCTTCCCTTCTGAAGTTTAGAAAGGACAGTATAGATGTCTTTCCTCTCCAAATATCATGTTGAAATGTAATTACCAATGTTGGAAGTGGGGCCTATTTAGAGGTGATTTGATTATGAGGGTGGATTACTCATAAATAGTTTAGCACCATCCACTTGGTAATAAATGAGTTCTTGCTCAGTTATTTCATGTGAGATCTGGTTGTTAAAAAGTCAGAAACCTCCCCCTGCTTGTTGTCTTGCTCCCAGTCTAGTAATGTGATGGACCAGCTCCTGTCTGCCTTCCACCATAATTCTAAGTTTTCTGAGGAGGCCCTTAACAGAAGACAAACAGATGTTTGTGCCAAGCGTATACAGCCTGCAGAACCATGAGCCCATTAAACCTATTTTCTTTGTAGATTGCCCACTCTCAGGTATTCCTTTGCAGCAACTCAAGAACAACTTAATACACTTTCCAATTTGGATGCCCTCTTACTCTTCTCTGACTGTTCTAGCTAGGACTTTCAGTATTAGTTTGAACAGTAGTGAAAGGGGGCATCCTTGTCTTATTCCAGATTTTAGAGAAAAGGCTTTCAACTTTTCCCCATTCAGTATGATACTCGCTGTGGATCTCTCATATATGACTTTTATTGTGTTGAGGTATGTTCCTTCTATACCCAGTTTTATTAGAGTTTTTATCATGAAGGAATGTTTAATTTTATCAAATGCTTTATTCTCATCAATTGAAATGTGTATGGTTTTATTCTTTATTCTGTGTATATGATGTATCATATTGATTGATTTACATATGTTGAACCATCCTTACATCTCTGGGATAAATACCACTTGGTCATGATGAATAATATTTTTAATGTGTTGCTGAATTTGGTTTGCTAGTGTTTTTGGCAGAGGAGTTAACAACATTCATCAGAGATATTAGCCTGTAGTTTTCTTTTTTTTTTTTTTATGTATCTTTGGTTTTGATATCAGGGTAACACTGGCCTTGTAGAATGAGTTTGAAAGTATTTCCTCCTTCTCTGGTTTTTGAAATAGTTTGAGTAGGATTGGTATTAGTTCCTCTTTAAATGCTTGGTAAACTGAGCAATGAAGCCATCAAGTCGCAGGCTTTTCTCTGCTGGGAGATACTTTGTTGCAGCTTTGATTACATTACTTGTTATTGGTCTATTCAGCTTTTGGATTTCTTCATTGTTCAATCTTTGTTGGTTGTATGTATCTAGGAATTTATCTATTTCTTCTAGCATTTCTAGTTTATTCTCATATAGTGGCTCATATTAGTCTCTAATGATCCTTTAAATTTCTGTGGTATCCATTGCAATGTCTCCTTTTATATCTCTGATTCCATTTATTTAGGACTTCTGTCTTTCTTAGCCTGGCTAATTTGTTGATTTTGTTGTCTGTTATTTTGTCTGTCTTTTCAAATAACCTACTTTTGTTTTATTGATCTTTTGTATTGTTTTCTTATTTTAATTTCATTTATTTCTGTGCTGATCTTTGTTTCTTTTCTTCTAATTTTGGGTTTGCTTTGTTTTTCTCTTTAAGATTCATTGGTAAGTTGTTTATTTGTAATTTTTCTACTTTTTTGATGTAGGCACTTATGACTATAAACATTCCTCTTAGTACTGCTTTTGCTGTAGGTCTAGGTTTCCATTTTCATTTGTTTAAAGAAATTTTTAAAGAAATTTAAAATTTAAAAATTTAAAAATTTCTTTAAAAATTCTGGTATGTTTCAATTTTTGCTTTCTATTTTTTTTACATCTGTTGTAGGTTTTTTGATTTGAAATTACCATGAGGTTTGCAAACAACATCCTATAACCCATTATTTTAAACTGATAATAGCTTAATGTGGATTGTACAAACAAACAAGCAAAGAGAAAACTGACAGAAATTCTACACTTTAACTTCTTCCTCCCAACTCTTGACTTTTTCTTGTTTCTATTTATTATACAGTTTATTACCATAAAAGTTGTAGTTATTACTTTTGGTAAGTTTATCTTTTAGTCTTCCTACTCAAGATATGCAGAGTTCACACACCACAATTATACTGTGCAATAATCTGTATTTGTCTGTGTACTTACTGTAACTAGTGAGTTGTCTGCCTTCAGATGATTTCTTATCTCTTATTAACATTCTTTTCTTTCAGCTTGAAGAACTCTCTTTTTCATTTCTCATAAGGTAGGTCTGGTATTCATGAAATTCTTCAGTTTTTGTTCGTCTGAAAAAGTCTTTATTTTTTCTTCATGTTCGAAGGATATTTTCACTGGATATAACATCCTAGGATGAAATATTTTTTCTTCAGGACTTTAAATATGTCATGCTATGCCACTGTCTCCTGGCCTGTAAGGCTTCCCTGAAGAAATTTGCTGCCAGATATGTTGAAGCTCCTTTACATGTTTATTTCTTTTTTTTACTTTTATTTTCTTTTGCTGGTTTAGGATCCTTTTTTTTACCATTGAGCTTTAGGAGTCTGATTATCAAACGTTTGAAGTAGTCTTATTGGGTTAAATCTACTTGTTGTTCTATTGCTTTCTTATACTTGAATATTGAAATCTCTCTTTAAGTTTGGAAAATTCTGTTATTATCCTTTTTAATATATTTTCTACCCTAATCTCTCTCTCTACCTCCTCTTTAAGGCTAATAACCCTTAGATTTGCCCTTTTGAAGCTATTTTCCACATCTGGTAGATATGCTTCTTCATTTTCATTCTTTTTTCTTTTAACTCCTCTGTGTATTTCCACATAGCTTGTCTTCAAGTTCATGAATTCTTTCGTCAGTTTGATGAACGCTGCTGTTGAGAGACTATGATACATTATTCAGTTTGTTCATTAAAGTTTCTATCTCCAGAATTTCTACTTGATTGGTTTTAATTATTTCAATCTCCTTGTTAAATTTAATTGATAGATTCTGAATTCCATCTCTATGTTACTTTAAATTTCACTGAGGTTTTTCTAAGCAGTTATTTTGAATTATCTGTCTGGAAGGTAACATATCTCTGTCACTCCAGAGTTGGTCCCTGGTGGCTTATTTAGTTTGTTTGATGATGTCATGTTTTCCTTAATGGTCTTAATACTTGTGGATGTTTGTTGGTGACTGGGCATTGAAGAGTTAGGTATCTATTGTAATCTTTGCAGTCTTGGCTTGTTTGTACCTATCCTTCTTGAGAAGGCTTTCCACATATTCAAAGGAAATTGAGTGTTGTGATATAAGTCTTTGGTAACTACAGCTGTATGTGCATTAGGGGCCACACAAGCCTAGTAACACTGTGACTCTGGCAGACCAAGGTACCACCTTGGTTATCTTGGGTAAGATCTAGAAGCATTCTCTAGATTACCAGGCAGAGTCTCTTGTTCTCTTCCCTTACTTTCCCCCTAAAGAAATAGAATCTCTCTGTCCATGCTGAGCTGCCTGGAGTTGGTGGAGGGGTGTAGCAACCACTCCCATGGTCACCACCTCTTGGACTGTGCTGGATCACATCTGAAGCCAGGAGAATACTGGGTCTTGCCTAAGGCCTATGACAACTATTTCCTGGCTATCACTGATGTTTATTCAAGCCCCTAAGGCACTTCAGTCAGTGGTGATGAATCCTGTCAGGACTTGGTCTCTCTTTTTGAGGGAGTGGGTACCCTTCTGGCCCAGTACTGGTCTAGACATGCCAACCAGGAGCTAATGTCTAGGATTGAGAACTTTGAGAATCTGCTGGGTGCTTTTTTTTTTTCTTTTTTCTGTGACTGAGCTGGTACCAAAGTTGCAAGACAAAGTCCTTTTTACTCTTCCATCTCCTTTACTCAAGCAGAAACAGTGTCTCCCCATGGCTACCATAGCTGGAAATGTGCTGGGTCATACTTGAAGCCAATATAGTGTTGGGTCTTTCCTAAGTCCCATGGTGGCTGCTGCCTGGCTACTGCTGATGTTTATTCAAAGCCCAAGGTCTCTTTAGTCAGCAGGTCATGAATTCTGCCAGGACTACTTCCCTTCAGGGCAACGGGTTTCCTTCTGGCCAACGTGGGTCTAAACATGTCATCTTGGAGCTATGGCCTGGAATGGGGACTTTAAGACTCTGCTTGGCGCTTTATTTTACTGTGGCTGAGTCAGTATCTAAGGTGGATGACAAAGTTCTCTTTATTCTCCCCTCTCATCTTCTCAAGTAGAAGAAGGAGTCTCTCCCAGAGCTATAAGCTGCACTGCCTTGGGTTAGTGAAGGGGTAATGCAAGCACTCTTTTGCCTTCCCAGCTGGTGTTTCACTGGGTCACATGCACCCCAAGTTCACTGGCTCTGAGCTCAAGACAGCACCAAGACTTGCTCAGAAATTACAGTCCCTGTGGCCTGGGTTGTCTTTAAAGTTTAAGGCCCCAGAGCACTATAGCCCATGGTGGTGGGGCTAGCTGGAACTCAGGTTCTGACCACTGGGATGGACAATGTCCCTCTGGCTAGAACTGGTCATGATGCTCCCTCCATGGCCACTGGCTGAATTCTGCCTGGCATTACTTTCCACTGTGACAGAGCAGCACTTCGTTCCAATGCAAAGTCCCACAGGCACTTTGCTCTACCTCACACACAGAGATTCTCATTATAAGCCATGCTGTACTCCCAGGAGATGGGGAGTGGTGGTGTAGACAATTAAAGACTGTCTTTTCAACCTTCTTAAGTGCCTCTTTTCATGACATGATGCCAAAACCAAGTACTGTGATTGCTTACCTGATTTATGCTTCTTAAGAAGGTGCTTTCTTGTATTGATACTTGTACAGTTTGGTGTTCCTGTGCGGGGAACAATTGCTGGGTTCTGTTTGGCCATCTTGCTCTGCTGGTCTTTGACAATAACATTATTTTAATTATAATTTGTAAATATATGGTTTCTTTTAGACATTTTAATATAGGAAAAAGTTTTTCTTTTAGAAATCTAACTGCAGTTTCACTTAGTGTTTATAGAATAAAAAACAGTAAAATGTCGTTAATTATAATTTTAAATTTGGTATAGAAGCTATTTGTAAGGAAACATGACTTAAAGTCATCTAGTCTCTTTACATTTTCCCATTCTTTGACAATTATTTTGCCTATAATGAAACAATAATATTTCTTTTAGTCACTAATACTTATTTTTATCTAAACTTCAAAAACATGTAACTTGGATTTCATAAAAACCAATTTTTATAATACTTTATATAATTAAAATCTGAGGTTACATTAACAAATACCTGCTGCATAAACATGTTTGGGAACAAACACATTTGTTTATAGGTGAAGATTCAACTCAACTCATGAGGGTAGAAGTGTGCTCAAACATTACCCAGCAGTCTAGAGTTTTTGCTAGTCTGTTTCTACTCTGGCCATCAAAAGATAACTCTAACTGAACTTGATCTCCTGATACAAACAAGAGAAAATGGAACAAACTATGTAAAACCACTCTTTCAGAAATTGTACAACATGCAGTATAGGACTATGATCCTTACAGGAGAAAAATAAGAGAGGTTAACTCTATGATCTCTCTGGCTTTCTACCTGCAGTCAACAGAGAATCACATGAATGGTATACTAGTCACATAGGGTTGAGGAAAAAGACTTTAGAGTTTGGGGAGATTGATGTGACGGGGATTTTTGGAACAGATGGTGAGAGATAAATGAGCTATGTAGAAAAAGAGCTCCAGAAACATGTATATGAATTTCCTTAAGTGTTTTGGCCAAATACTAAACCGCACACTTACAAGGTAGAATATTACAAGGATTGGCAAGAAACAGTTCTAGAAGAAAGACAAACTACTGGAGAAATGAGAGATAAAAAATCTTGAGAGTTCACACTTTTGAACTGGTCAGAGTAGAGTTTTCATTGAATGTGTGATACATTTAGTAGAAACCTCCGAGTACAGAGATTTTCAATTAGAGGTAATATTGCCCTTTAGGGATGTTAGAGACAATTTTGGTTTTCACAATTATAGGGTGTACTACTGGCAACTTATGGATAGAGGATAGAGATGTCACTAAATATCAGTAAATGCAATGCACAAAACAGCCTCCTACAACAAAGAGATATTTAGGTACAATGTGAAAATTACTGATGTTGGGTAACTCCATCTTGGTAGTACAGCTAAACTAGCCCTGGAGTAAAGGTTACTGAGATGTTCCCAAAGATTAAAATTAAGCTGTGAAAGGAAAATCCAATTCAATAGTATATTTACTGCCTATCAAACAGAACACTGTTTAAAGAAAGACAACATAATCAGAACACAAGGCAATGCAATAATCACAATGTCAATCATACAATCAAAAATTAATCAGTGTGTGAAAAAGCACAAAAATATCTCCCATAACTCGGGGAAAAAATAAACATTTAATCTGAAGTGTTAGAAATGAAAGAGATGATGGAATGAGCAATCAAGAACTTTAAATATGCCATTACATATATTCTTTAAAATGTAAAGAAAAATATAAGCATAATAACAAGATTAATGAAAGGCATAAAAATAGAATTGCTAAGGATAAAAAATACAATATCTGAAATTTAAAAATTAACTAGATTGGACAAACTGCTGATAAATAAACCAGTGTCGAATCTCAAAACATGTTTAGTGAAAAAATAAAGCCAATATGAAAGAGCCCCTAGATTAAAATTTGTATAGTTCCATTCATATGAAATTCTAGAATAGGCAAAAATAATTTATATGGACAGAAGGAAAGTCAATGCTTGACTGAGGGTAAGGATATATTGGGAGATTGACTGCAAAGCAGTATGAGGGAACTTTATTGTATTATAGAATATTTTTTATTATGATATTTACACAGGTATGCCTATATATGTCAAAACTCAATAAACACTATACTTAAAATGGATTCATTTTACTATATATGACAAATAAAGATGAAAATAATGAGAAAGAGACATCTTGTAAATTAACCTTACAAAATGCCTTCCAATGTGAAATGGCAACATGTGACAATCATCTTAAATAAGAGCCTGTGAAGTAAAACAAGTGATCATTAACATCTTCAAAGCATTCTTCTGGAAATAGATTGATGAGTCCTAAATTTTCATTAAGGTACTTGCAAAGGCTAAATCATAGGGAGGTAAAATATATAATATGTAAATAAACCAACTTGAATATAGTCACATTTTAAAAATAAACATTTGAATCTGAACAGTCATGGACACTGGGAATTTCTATTTCTGATTATGTTATACCTTCAGAGAACATTTTTACATATCTTGATGTGTGTGTGTGTGTATTTGTGTGTGTGAGAGAGTGTGTGTGTGTGTTGGGAAATTCTATTAGCACAGCTTTAAATTTTCCTTGACTTAATTTTATCATCACAACATTATCTGCTTTCATTTCAGGTGCTTCAAACTTATCAGCCATGGTGATGTGTTTAAAGCAAAGAATGTCAGAGATAAATAGCATAGCAGGCCTCTGTATTATTGTCAATAACACTGAATGTCTACATAAACCGCAAAATTAAATGACTTGAAATATTACAAAGTACTGTGTTTGCATAGGCATCAATTGGACTTAGAAACAGGAGTCCCAGAGGGGATTAATTTGCATAACATTTACATTGCCACTCTTGTCAATTAGCTCAGACATAAGCCAACTCAGTAGACACATATGGGGCCAAACTAAAGGAAAATATGTCAGTTAATTTTAGCTTCCATAACTAAAGGCACACCTAGAGCACTGGGGAGAAAGGGGAAAAATAGAAAGGTCAGACCTAAACTTAATATTTTAAGTGTTTTAATATTTCAAAACACAAATCATATTTTTGTATGTGTGTGTATGTGTGTGTGTGTGTGTGTGTCTGTTTTCTTTCCTTCAAACCTAAACCAAGCCTGTTCAGAAGCACAGATAGTTTTTATTGTAAAGTTGCTTAGCCATACTTCTATGGAGCAAAGCATCCCTTTCAAACTCTGAAAATGGATCACTAAATTCAGTTTACCAAAAGTTGGCATGTAAATTTTCAAACAAATGTTGGCAACATCCACATCTATTTATGTTTCAGTTAGATTGATTTTTTTATTCTGCTAGAAGATTTCTGATACATACATTATAAACTTGTGTAAAATTCGGGAACTCAATTTAGAAACCTGGTAAACAATTTTTATTTCAAAATTTAGAATAGAAAAGCAAAATTTATCACTTGAGAATAAATTCTAAAGTTCTCCATAAAGCATTCAAAGCAGTTTACCTCTCTAATAGAAACAATACAGAGTTTGCAAGTCCAAATGCAATCATGAACATTAGACATAGATTTTGTTTCCCTGCAATATCATAAACTACCAACTCAACCTTAGCATTACCAGTTTATACATTCTCAGTGTGCTTGCATTTCCTATTAAAGCTTTGAAAATTTGTATATACATTGAAAGAGAATATGATGCTTACGAGTCCAAACATCATTATGTTATTGTTACCCAAGGTGAGAATATGATTTCATATGTATGATTATTACCTTATTTTATGTCAGTGATGTCAAACCAGAAACTTTTGTTCTTTTTACTCCCTCTGCATATATGTCATCTCCTTCTATCTATCCACTTTAACTTTCTGTGAATGTCTGCCAGGTTAAAGACCCAGCTCAGAGTCCCTGCCAAATTCTTTCCTTTGTCATGATGAGGGGAATGAATTCAACTGACTGTTATCTGCAAATAAATTTAGAACTAGGAGCCATCATCAGCTGCTGTGCTAGAATGCCTGTTTAATGGCAAAGGCCATAGCTTGTATCTTTACATGCCTTTAAGGTAGCATATTGCTTGGAATATAGAAAATGCCTAATACTTATAACAACAAAAAAAGAATTAATAAATAAATTACTCAATTCTAGTGCATTTATTTTGTAAATAAAAGAAATATACACAAGTATCTAAATAACTTGCAGCTATTTAGTGATAAAGCTTCATAAGAAAAATTCTTTAATATATTTTTCTTCCCTTTAAAAATTTATAAATATAGCAGATATACAGAGGAGTGCTTATATATTATACTTAACAGATATAACAACAATATAATATATATACCAAATAATATATCTAATCATGTTTTCAAAATAAAAATTTTATTTACTTGTGAAATATCTAAGCTCATAAAATAAAAAAGAAATAAACATTTTAAAATTCTTCTTAGTGTACCATCCTGATTACATTATCTCCCCTACCTGAAAATGTTTGTACTTTTCTGAGTTTGTATACATCAGTTTCATGCTTTTTCTCTTACCACAGTTTTGCAAAATATACATATTCCTAAATAGTACTTTTAAATGTAGCCTGATTTTTAAATGTATATAAATGGAATTATACCTCATCTTAAATTGGGAGGAAATATTCATATTGATTTATGGAATTCACTCATTTTTATTGTTCTATGCTATTCCATTGTTTCTCATTTACTCTCACCATTGATTGATATTTTGATTGTTTCCAGTTTTTAACAAATACAAACAACAATGCTACAAATATTCTTATAGAGATTTATTAGCACACAAGTGAAAGAATTTCTCAAGATATGTTAGAAATAGAATTACTGAGTCATAGAGTACACATAATATTTATCTTTTGGGTAAAATAATGTATAATTTAATTTTTCTCAGTCGTATTAGACTTAATTCTTACAGAAATAAAATTTTTACTAATGAGATAAAGAAGTAACCACAAATGTTTCCGTTTAACGTGGAAACCTAAATTCAATATAAATTACATTTTCAGAAATTTTCATTTTGAATGTTTGTAAATCTCAAGATCGCTGTTTGTGAACAATGTTTATATATGTTTTCTTTTTTCACTTCTTGACAAAATTACCCATATACTTTTATTTTCAAAAATATTATTTGAGAAGCACCACGATGGTTGACTAGAAGCAGCTGGTATACACTGCTCTCACAGAAGAGACAGAATAGTGAGCAAACACTAGTTCTTCTAGTGGATCATCCAAACAGCCACATAGGGATTCATCAAGGAAGCAATTGCAGCTAGTGCATACTGCTCTCAAAGAGAGGAGATGCAGCTAATCACTCCAATTGACCATGGCTCTATATTTCTCTGGGATGGAGCCACCAGAGGCAACTGACAGGTTCTCTGCCATTGCTGCTACCACAATCCTTGCCCCTGCTGCCCCCAAGCTGGGGAGCGGACAAAATGCCTGAGATTATCCCAGGGCAGCAGTGTGTATCTTGTGAGTGCTGAGCAGAGATCCCTGGGCAGTACTCAAGCAGGAGAGGAGCCCACTCTCTCAGAGAACTGAGAGGGGTGAGTCACATGCGCTCATGGGGAGCCATGGGAGTAGGGTGTGCCTCCTTCCACAGGGCTGGCCTGGAAAAAGTATGGTCTATCTCCCTGCTGTGGCCTCTGCCCACAGGAACCCCATGGCTTGGAACACCTAAGAAAAGAAATGCAGGTGTAGTGCTAGTGATCAAATGGGGCTGATACATTCTGGCTGTGTCCCTACCCAAATCTCATCTTGAATTGTAGCTCCCATAATTCCCACATGTTGTGGGAGGGACCCAGTGGGAGATAATTGAACCATGGGGGCAGTTTCCCCCACATTGTGCTTGTGGTGATGAATAAGTCTCAAGAGAGCTGACGGTTTCATAAGGGGTTTCCCCTTTTGCTTGCCTCTCATTCTCTTTTGCCTGCTGAGATATAAGATGCGCCTTTTGCCTTCTGTCATGATTGTTAGGCCTCCCCAGCCACATAGAACTGTGAGTCCATTAAACCTCTTTTCCTTTATAATTACCCAGTGTCGAATATGTCTGTATCAGCAGCATAAAAACGAACAAATACAGGGACACCCCCAAGGCCCAAGAGTCAACCTCATGAGAGGGTCACCTCTCTCCACAACACACCACAGAATAGGGCTGCAAACACCAGGAAATATAAAAAAGCCATCCAGCTGAGTAAAAGCCTAATTACAAGCAATGACTTTTAAGCACCATCTAGTGAATCAACGCCCAAACTACAACAATAAAAATACGTTGCTAATATACCCTACTGTGAAACCAAAGGCAAAAATGTGGCCACAAATTAAGACTCTACCCAGAGCCTCAGCCTGCCAAAAACATCCAGAAATAAAGTCAACTGACTATACTCAACTTACACCAGAGTTAAAAGAGCACTAGCACTCTAAGAAGAGAAAGAATCTGTGTAAGAACTCTGGTAATTCAAGAAGCTGGTGTCCCCATACCTGCAAATGAGTCCACTAGCTTCCCAACAATGGTTCATAACCAGTCTGAAATAACTGAAATGACATATAATTCAGAATCTGGGTGGCAAGGAAGCTCAGTAATATTCAGAAGAAAGTGGAAACCCAATCCAAGAAATCCAGTGCAATGTTTTGAGAGCTAAAAGACAACATAACCATATGAAGAATAAGCCAAACTAAACTTCTAGAACTGAAAATTTCACTACAAGAATTTCATGATACAGTCAGAAGTATTAACAGAGTAGAGCAAGCTGAGGAATGAATTTCAGAGCTCAAAGACTGGTTCTTTGAATCAAGTCAGTCAGTCAAAATTATAGAAAAAGGATTTTTTTCTTAAATGAACAAAACATCTGAGAAATACAGGATTATGTAAATAGACCAAATCTATCACTCACTGGCTTTCCTGAGAGAAAAAGAAAGAACATAACAACTTGGAAAATATGTTTGAGGGTATAGTCCACAGAAATTTTCCTAATCTTGCTAGAGAGATTGACATGCAAATCCAAAAAAACAAAACAAAAATACAGGAAAACCCTGCTAGATACTCTACAAGATGACCATCCCCAAGGCACTAAGTCATTAGTTTCATCAAGGTCAATGCAAAAGAAAAATCTTAAAGGCAGCAAGAGAGAAGGGACAGGGAACTCCATCAGGGTAGCAGCAGACCTGTAGCAGAAACCTTACAAGCCAGAGAGATTGGGGACCTATTTTCTTGTGTTTTTTTTTTGTTGTTGTTGTTTTTGACGGAGTCTCGCTCTGTCGCCCAGGCTGGAGTGCACTGGCACAATCTAGCCTCACTGCAAGCTCTGCCTCCTGGGTTCACGCCATTCTCCTGCCTCAGCCTCCCGAGTAGCTGGGACTACAGGCGCCTGCCACCAGGCCTGGCTAATTTTTTGTATTTTTTAGTAGAGACAGGGTTTCACCATGTTAGCCAGGATGGTCTTAATCTCCTGACCTCGTGATCCGCCCGCCTCAGCCTCCAAAGTGCTGGGATTACAGGCGTGAGCCACCAACGCCCGGCCATGGGGACCTATTTTCGGCATGCCTAAAGAAAAGAAATTCCAACAAAGATTTTATATCCTGCCAAAATAAGCTTCAGAGTAAAGAAGAAATAAAATCTGTCTCAGATCATCAAATGCTGAATTTGTTTTGACCAGACCAGCCTTACAATAGGTCCTTAAGGGTATGCTAAACGTGGAATAGAAAAATGACTCCTGGCCAGGCGCGATGGCTCATGCCTGTAGTTCCAGCACTTTGGGAGGCCGAGGCCGGCGGATCATGAAGTCAGGAGTTTGAGACCAACCTGACCAACATGGTGAAACCCCGTCTCTACTAAAAATACAAAAATTACCCAGGCATGGTTGTGTGCACCTGTAATCCCAGCTACTCAGGAGGCTGAGGCAGGAAAATCGCTTGAACCCAGGAGGCGGAAGTTGCCGTGAGCCGCGATCACGCCAGCCTAGGTGACAGAGTGAGATTCTGTCTCAATAACAACAACAACAAAAAAGTAAGAAGGGAAAGAAAAATGATTCCTGCTACCACAAAAACACACTTAAGGACATAGCCCACGGGTACTATGAAGCAATCACACAGCCAAGCCTGCATAAAAAAGAGCTAACAACATGATGATAGGAGAAAAATCTCACATATTAATACTAACCCTGATTGTAAATGGGCTAAATCCCCCCAATTAAAAGTTATAGAGTGGCATACTATATAAAAAAGACAAGTTCTAATCATCTGCTATCTTCAAGAGATCCATCTCAAATGTAACGATACCCACAGGCTCGAAGTAAAAGGATGAAAAAAGACATACCATGCAAATGGAAAGCAAAAAAAGAGCAGGAGTCACTATTTTTATACTAGATAAAACAGATATTAATCTAATAAAAATTAAGGACAAAGAATGGTATCTCATAACGATAAAATGTACAATCCAACAAGAAGACTTAACTATCCTAAATATGAATGCACCCAACATTGGAGCACTCATATTCACAAAACGAGTTCCTCATGGCCTAAAAAAAGACTGAGAAAACCACACAATAACAGTGGGAGATTTCAACAACCCACTGACAGCATTATATAGACCACCAAGGCAGAAAACTAAACTCTGGACCTAAGCTCAATACTTCATCAATTAGACCTAATAGACATCTACAGAACACTCCACCCAAAAATCACATAACATACATTTCTCTCATCTGCACATAGAACATATGCTAAGATCAACCACATGCTCTCTCATAAAGCAAATCTCAATAAATTCAAAAAAATAAAATCATATAAAGCTCACTTTCGAACCACAGTGAAATAAAAATAGAAATCAATATTAAGCAGATCTCTCAAAACCACACAAATACATGGAAGTTAAACAACTTGCTCCTGAATAATTCTTGTGTGAACATTGAAGGCAGACATTTAAAAATTTTTTGTCATTAATAAAAATAGTAACTCAACAAACAAACATCTTAGAGATGCAGCCAAAGCAGTTAAGAGGAAATTTTATAGTGCTAAACACCTTCTTCAAGAAGTTAGAAATATCTCAAATTAACAATCTAACTTTGCACCTAAAGGAACCAGAAAAAAAAGAACAAACTCCCGCTAGAAGAAGAAAAAAAATTAACTAAAATCAGAACAGAACTGAGTGAAACTGAGATGCAAAAAGTCTATATAAAAGCCCAATGAAACCAAGAGTTGGTTTTCTGAATAAAAATAAAGAGTTGGTTTGAAGAATAAACAAGACTGATAGACCACTAGCTAGATTAACAAAGAAAAAGAAATCCAAATAGGCACAATAGAAATGACAAAGATGACATTACAACTGATCTCACAGAAAGACAAAAGATTCTTAGAGACCATTATAAACACCTCTATGCACACAAATTAGAAAATCTAGAGTAAATGGATAAAGTCCTAGAAACACAATCTCCCAAGATTGAACCAGGAATAAAGTGAAAACCTGAACAGACCAGTAACAAGATCTGAAATTGGATTAGTATTTAAAAACTTACCAACCAAAAAAAGCCTAGTACCAGATGGATTCATAGTTAAGTTCTACCAGATGTACAAGGAAGAATTGGTATCAGTCCTACTGAACTCATTCCAAAAAAACTGGAGAGGAGACTTCTCCCTAACTCATTCTACAAAACCAGCAACATCCTGATGCTAAAATCTGGCAAAGATACACCAACAAAAACAAAAAAACTTCAGGCCAGCATCACTTATAAACATAAATGCAAAAATCATAAACAAAACACTAGCAAACACAACAAAACAATGGATGTAAATCCAGCAGCACATCAGAAAGTTAATACACCAGAATCAAGTAGGCTTTATTCCTGGGATGCAAGTCTCATTCACCATAAAGCAAGTCAATAAATTTGATTCACTACATAAACAGAATTAAAAGCAAAAGCCATATGATCATCTCAATAGACACAGAAAAGTATTTTTATAAAATCTAACATCTCTTCATGATAAAAACCCTCAACAAACTAGGAATTGAAGGAACACACCTCAAAATAATAAAAGCCAGACAGTAACAGTCATCTGTAACAAACCCATCACCAACATCACACTGAATGTGCAAAAGCTGGAACCATTCTCCTTAAGAAATGGAACAAGGATGCCTACTCACACCAATTCTATTCAACATAGCACTGTAATTCCTAGCCAGAGTAATCAAGCAAGAAAAAAAAAATGCAAGGCATCCAAATAAGAAGTCAAACTGTCTCTCTTTGCTGATAAAATGATTCTGTACCTATAAAACCCCAAAGACCCTGCCAAAAGGCTCCTAGGACTGATCAACAGTTTTAGTACAGCTTCAGGACACTAAATCAATGTACAAAAATTAGTAGAATTTCTATGCACCACTAATGTCAATTCTCAAAGCCAAATGAAGAATAAAATTTTATTTGCAATAACTAGAAAAAAAAAGAAATACCTAGGAATACATCTAACCAAGGAGATAAAAGAGCTCTACAAGGAGAACTGTAAAACGCAGATACAACACAAATAATCAGAAAATCTTCTATGTTCATTGATTAGAAGAATCAATATTATTAAAATGACAGTACTGACCAAGAAGCAGCTTCTCCTCTCCTTCTGGAATCTATGCCTGGTTCAGCCTGCCTGCCTCCACTCCTGCCTCCACCATGTCCATGAGGGTGACCCAGAAGTCCTACAAGGTGTCCACCTCCGGCCCCCGGGCCTTCAGCAGCTGCTCCTACAAGAGTGAGTCCGGTGCCTGCATCAGCTCCTCGAGCTTCTCCCGAGTGGTCAGCAGCAGCTTCCCGGGTGGCCTGGGCAGAGGCTATGGCAGGTCCTGTGGTATGGGAAGCATCACCACTGTCACCGTCAACCAGAGCCTGCTGAGCCCTCTTAACCTGGAGGTGGACCCCAACATCCAGGCCATGCGCACCCAGGAGAAGAAGCAGATCAAGACCCTCAACAACAAGTTTGCCTCCTTCATCAACAAGGAGCAGCAGAACAAGATGCTGGAGACTAAGTGGAGCCTGCAGCACAGAAGATGCCTCGGAGCAACATGGACAACATGTTCAACAGCTACATCAACCTTCGGCAGCAGTTGGAGACTGGGCCAGGAGAAGCTGAAGCTGAAGGCAGGGCTTGGCAACATGCAGGGGCTGGTGGAGGACTTCAAGAACAAGTACCAGGATGAGATCAATAAGCTTACAAAGATGGAGAATGAATTTGTCCTCATCGAGAAGGATGTGGATGAAGCTTACACGAACAAAGTGGAGATAGAGTCTCACCTGGAACGGCTGACTGATGAGATCAGCTTCCTCAGGCAGCTGTCTGAAGAGGAGATCTGGGAGCTGCAGTCTCAGATCTCAGACACATCGGTGGTGCTATCCATTGACAACAGCCTCCCCCAGACATGGACGGCATCATTGCTGAAGTCAAGGGGCAGTACGAGGAGCTTGCCAACTGCAGCCGGGCTGAGGCTGAGAGCATGCACCAGATCAAGTATGAGGATCTGCAGATGCTGGCAGAGAAGCACAGGGATGACCTGCAGCATACAAAGACTGAGATCTCCAAGATGAACAGGAACATCAGCGGGCTCCAGGCTGAGACTGAGGGCCTCAAAGGCCAGAGGGCTTCCCCGGAGGCTGCCACGGCAGATTTCGAGCAGCATGGGGAGCTGGCCCTTAACAATGCCAACACCAAGCTGTCCGAGCTGGAGGCCGCCGTGTAGCAGGCCAAGCAGGACGCAGCGAGGCAGCTGCAGGAGTACCAGGAGCTGATAAACTTCAGGCTGGCCCTGGACGTCCAGATCGCCTCCTACAGGAAGCTGCTGGAGGGCAAGGAGAGCTGGCTGGAGTGTGGGATGCAGAACATAAGTACCCATACGAAGACCACCAGCGGCTAGGCAGATGGGCTGAGCTCGACCTATGGGGGCCTCACAAGCCCCGGCCTCAGCTACGTCCTGGGCTCCAGCTTTGACTCTTGGGCGGGCTTCATCTCCTTCAACCGCACCAGCTCCACCAGGGCCATGGTTGTGAAGAAGATGGAGACCCTCGATGGGAAGCTGGTGTCTGAGTCCTCTGACGTCCTCCCCAAGTGAACAGCAATGGCAGCCCCTCCCAGACTATCCCTCCTGCGGCTGGCTGCCCCAGAGCCCGGGAGGGAGGCTGCTGTGTAGGGGAGCACAGGGAAGAGAAGACCCACCTAAGGCTCAGCCCTGGACTTCAGCCCACCCGTTGGGGGAGTTCCTGCCTGGGGTACCCCCCTTGCCCATGCCTCCAGCTACATAACAATTCAATTGGTTTTTTGTTTTTTTACAAAATAAAACCTCAGCTAGCTCTGCCAACTGTCAAAAAAAAAAAAAAAAAAAAAAATCAATACTACCCAAAGCAATCTACAGGTTAAACACTATTTCTATCAAAATACCAATTACATAATTTGCAAAAAGGGAAAAAAAAATAAAATTTATATGTAACCAAAAATGTTCCAGAATAGCAAAAGCCATCCTGAGCAAAATACAAAACTGAAGAAATCACATTACCTGACTTTAAATTATACTACAGAGCTGCAGTAACCAAAACAACATGGTACTGGCATAAAAACAGATATAGACACCAGTGGAAGAGAATAGTGAACCCAGAAATAAACCCACATACAACCACTTGGTCTTGGATGAAGCTGACAAAAACAAGGAATGGGGAAAGGACTCCCTATTCAATAAATGGTGCTGGAATAACTGGCTAGCCATATGCAGAAGGATGAAACTAGACCCTCACCTTTCACCGTATACAAAAATTAACTCGATATAAAGTAAAGATTTAAATGTAAGACCTCAAACCATAAACATCACAGAAGAAAAACTAGTTAATGCCCTTCTCAACTTTGGCTTTGTCAAAGAATGTTTGGCTATGTCCCCAAAAGGAAGTGCAACAAAAACAAAAATTACAAGCAGAACCTAATTAAACTAAAGAGCTTCAGCACAGCCAAAGATACTACTGATAGAGTAAACAGATAATCTGCAGAATGAAAGAAGATATTCACAATTCATGCATCCAACAAAAGTCTAACATTCAGAATCTATAGGAGCTGGAGGCCATGATCCTAAGCAAATTAAGGCAGGAACAGAAAACCAAATACTTAAAAGTGGGAGCTAAACATTGAGCACATGTGGACATAAACATAGGAACAATAGACACTGCAGATTTCTACAGAGGAAGGGAGGGAGGGAGTGTGGGTTGAAAAACTATTTATTGGATACTATGCTTACTAGCTCAGTGCAATATAGCCATGTGATAAACCTGATCATGTAACCCCATATCTATAATAAAAATTGAAATTAACAAAATATATATCACTTTACATATGATTATATATATGTATATATATTTTATGCTTAATCTGTAATCAACACAATGGTGGGTAAAACATTCATTTTAACTTCACCAGGGTACATTCTTAAGATCAGAATTTCCATCTTTATTGATATTCATTCTACATTAGTACCGATAGAGATTCTCATTCATGTTAAATGAAATATTTGGAATACATAGGTTCAATTTAATGGAAGAACAACATGTTTGCTAAGAAATCATGTTGTGTTACAGTCCAAAGTAAAGTGAGATGGAATTTGGCTATCACATTATATGAGATAGAATCTTCCCCATGATATTAATGCCAATTAACGGTTCAAAGAAATCCCTAATTGTCATCTTGCTTGACTGTGCTTTTAAATTTTAAAATATATATCTAAAATCAAACAAAAATATTTTTGGAATTTATAAAGATGCACACATGCTGAACTTAATAGATAATATCAAACATTTTTCTGTAGTGGGTGTATAAATTTGTACACCCCTAGGCAATATAAGAGTCTCCAAAGCTGTACATTTTGCAAATCTTCAATATTGTCAGACTTTTTATATTTTCTTAAATGGAAGTTATGATATGGTATCCCATACTTCAATTTACATTTCTCTGATTGTTATTGAGGCTAAGCATCATTTTATTTGTTTACTGAACATTAGTATTTTCTTTTCTGTGAAATTCCTATTACAATGTAGTTGCAAACTATGGATTCTGGAACTAAACTGCATTCAAATTCTGGCTGTGCCATTCACTATATGTGGGATTTAGGCACATTAAAAAAAAAATCTCCCTGCTTAATGTATCACCTATAAAATAAGGATTGCAAGAATATCTAACTGATAATGCTGCTGTGAGGATTAAATAAGTCAATATGTATAATCTGCATTAAAAGTGTCTCCACATAGTTACCTATATAAGTGTTTATTATCATTTCTTCGGACTGTCTTTTTTGTTGGTTACAATATACAATATTTAGAATATACAAAATTTTAGTTAAATTTTTTTAGAATTTCTCATTTGTACTTTTTCACATCTGGCTTATTGGTATTGATAGTCTCTTGCCTGTCATTGTTTCAGTATATTTTATATTTCTTTAAAAATATTATTTTATATTTTACATCTGATCTTTTAACAGCTAAATTTGCTTTGGGCCTAATTATACATTTTTAGATGTTTATCTCATATTTCCTCATGGTGATTGGTTTTTCTCATAGTTTAGTAATTTTCAATGGTGAGCCTACCTTCCTTGGACATTTGTGGGAAAACTTTGAGGCCTGGGTTTGAAATTATTTCCTACAGAGATGAATTGCATGCGCTTCTCCCGAGTGATTGTGCTTAATTATTGCAAGGGATAATAACAACTCGCACTCTTCTTCAAAGGCATTTTCAAGTTTAAAATTTGGGGATTTTGAGGGAAGGTTGTACAAATGTAGGGTTATTGAAGATTTGTGTTTAGAATTCAGAGACAATGATGAGACTGGGTTAAATTCCCAAATTCTTACTCTCCTGAGAGTTTTGTTATTCTTTCAGGTCATCTACTAAGAATTCTTTCTTTGGGGATGTAGAATATGAATATGGGATAATGGGGTATGGTTGGGGTTAGTGGCCTCTCACGAGCTTTGTTCTATGGCTTGACTTAGATGCTAGCATGCCTAACTCATTGAAAGCGGGCCTCTAAACTTGCAATCATTGGCTCTACTTTCTTTTTCTTTTCTGATTTCTAAAGCATTCTCTAAATTTCTAGCTACATCAGGCATGCTTTAAATATATATCTTTATATTTTATCCAGCATTAATAAGTGTACTGTATCTGGAGTAGTTTTTCTGAACATTTAATCCTCAACTGTTCTCTGAATTTTTAATCCTTAGCAAGCATACTCTGATTTTTCTCACTAGGTAAATTTAAATTTCTAAAAGTACGTGGCTGGTGAAAGTCAATATCCACTTCGTACGTTTTTTTATGCAGTTCTATTAGAACTTTTCAAGTACACAGTTCATATGTTCAAACACATGGTTCACATCTGAATTCAATACTAGACTATAGAACTAATCAAAAGCAGGCCATATCTGAGGCTAACTAACAGATCAGGAAGTAAGAATGGAAATAGAAACTATTTAGAGGAAATAATGATATGTATGTGTAAATATTTTTTGCATATTTATGAAGAATAAGAGTTTTGAGATTGGAGAAGATAGTTTTGAAAAAGCATTTACAGGAAAGTTTATGAAACACAAATGATTCTATATAAGTTTCTTTTTCCTTCTGCTAAATTATCAGTTAGAAAACTTAACAAAGATGAAAGCAATAAGCCTTGTATGTTTGAGTTTTCTGAAATTATAAGAAGATAGCTCTTTGTGTTCAAAATGAGAAATATATTTTAGCTGCTTATATAATAAGTTGAAATCTAATAACCTAACTTTTAGAGAAGCGTAATGTGAGTATGGATATTTCTGATGTTCAGTTTCCCTTTATATGTCCAATTAACCTTTATTTACTAAGAAACCATAGCATTCTAATTTGATTGGCAGCACAAGAGCTGGCGCCAGTAAAGAGAGTTGAGAAACTCTGCTGGAAAATCATGGTTTATTAATACATCATTAAGCACTTTAAATGGATTCCAATGGCGTATGTCTAAGGAAGGAAATAATTCAGCATTTGTTAGTTACTGACAGAGTACAGAATTGAAATTTACATTTTAAGCCTTACGTTCAAAGTCCTAGCGTGCCAGCAATTGAATTACACATTACAAAATGATAGTGTATGTCATCTGTCCCTTTACCGGGCAGAACTATAAATCTTAATAATTATATATGTTTATCCAGACAAATGCATATTATCATGCAGTAATGTAATCTATAATTATAAATAAAATAAAAATTAAATGTATTTGCAATATGTGTACAATACGTGTGTGATAGACATTTAGTACACTTATTACTTGATGCTAAATGATATATACAGTGGAAGTATGCAATTTGAATTGTACTTTACTTTTAATGAACACATAGTAAGAATATAAGTGATTTTAAAGCACTACTATATTTTCTCTATATGTTAACATTCTAAACCACTTCCAGGAAAATAAAAATAACTTTTGAGGTTAGAAAACATCCACATCTTTATTTTAATTTCTAACATCAATCTATACAATGAATGTATTCATTAATTTATTTCTCACTTTTATGTTTGAATGTATTGGCAATCTAAGGATAAATTATTTGTATATATATCTAATTAATTCATGCTTAGAAGACAAAAAATTTTAGGAGATTTTTGACATTTCCAAGTCTTGTAGAATTTTAAAGTATTTTTCACCAAATTTGGGCTCTTAAATATGAACAGATAAATTCTTCATGTAATTTTTTTTACAGTATTAAAGATCCTTAAATAATTGAATTTGCATAACAGTACTCTAAATGTTTTTCTTTTGGTGTAAGCTGAACTGTGAACTTTTGTTTTATTTTTGTGCACACATAGTTTAAACAGAATTGACTGATGTACCAATAACAACCACATAATTAAAGTAATTTGACCTATGTTGACTAAGCCACTTGATTGAAATCAGTGTTTCTCAAACTGTATACCTTGATATTTAAGAAAAGTGATCTCTAAATAATTCCAGGGAACAAATTGGGGATTGTATATGAGGTAGTAATAGTAATTGCTCCCTCAGTTTATATCATAATTTTTCTTCTTTCAATCAAAATTTTTTTCTTCCTCTCTAACCACAGCATAGATTTTGATATATGCTAACACTCCACACATTGTTGTAATTCATTGCTATATTCTATCTTTTCCTAATTTAAGTGAGAACCTGATCAATAGAGACAACCATTTTCAAGGAAAATTTCAGTGTTTTAATTCACAGCATGGGCATGCAGTGAGGTGGCTGGGGATAGAGGCATAGGGACAATCTGCTTTTTTGCAGATAGAGATAATGATAGCATGCCTTCGCAACTGACACTGATAGAACATATTTTAAAGTCCTTTGGAATGTTTCAAAAGATAGTTTCTAGTGGAAACAGCATGAAAGGCCATGTTCAAAAATGGAGTTTTCTATCTCTTCCTTTTGTTTTCCTTTAATATAATGAGAACCAATCATCTTCAAATACTCAATCGTCAGTTTCGTATAGTTTGAAAACTATACCACATTATACTCACGATCAAGTTTTCTGGGTATATATTTGAGGTTATTTGAGCTTACAGCCATGCTTTAGTATGTAGCTTCTTTTAAAAACATATTAATAGTTTAATGTCTTTCCATGAAAATAAAGAAGTATACCTAAGGTTATAATTAATACATTGATAAAATATGCAAAGTCTTCTTTATGTCTTTAAATTTGATATAAAAATTATACTGGTTTCTATATTAAGAATAGCCTTCTTAAATTTTCAACATTTTTTTATTTTGATAGGTTTAGGAGGTACAAGTGTTGTTGTGCTACATGGATATATTGTGTGATGGTGAAGCGGCTTTTAGTGTACCCATCACCCCAATAGTGTGCATTGTACCCAATACATAGTATTTCATTCCTCACTCTTCTCTCACCCTCCTACCTTTCGGAGTTTCCAAAGTCTATTATAAGAATAGCCTTGTAAACAAAGATTGTCAAGTAGATCCACAAGTATTTATTGAGAGTATCTATATTTTATCTCATTTACATTACATAACTCCTGCCTTGAAACATTTTATATGTTGAAAATAAATATGGATATGCACTTAATCTCTATTATCATGTATCTTTCAAGTAACTAAACAACAATTAAATGGAAATAATGTGAAAAAATCAACAAACAAAAATGTTAGAAACAATAATAGAGAAATCAGGAATATTAAATTGGCTTCTTAGATATCTCTGGAACCTCATTGCCCATATATTTAAAAACATGTAATTTCCTCTCCACACACTATATATACTAGTAACATTCCATAAGTGGCTAGATTTCAGTGGACTCTGGTAATGGTTAAAGAAAAACAATAACAAAGGCCATTTCTGAAACTAGAGAATCATGTATCCATGTAAACGTTTTGCCACAATTGTAGTTTATAAAAAAAATTATATATACATTTTGCAAAATGAAATGTATAGAAGAAAAATTACTATCATTGTGTTCATAGTTTAGATAGGAGTAAGATAGTGAAGTCATAAATAACAATGATCAAGAAGAGGGTGCGAAGAGCAAGAAATAAGCTGTATGTTTAAAATGAAAGTAAGGGAAACGGAAACAAAAGGTAGATAGAGATGATACTGAAAATAGAGTGTAATAAGAAAACTAGAATCACAAACTCACAGACAATTTTACACACTGCACTTCTGTTAGAAGTTATAGGCAGGGGATCAGAAAACCAAAATACAACCTGATAGAAACAGAAATAACTGACATAATGCTAAAAATAAATTATATTATATACTTTAATTTTATATGACCACTAATAACTGGAGGTACATCTGAGATTTTTCCATTTTGGATTTTTTAACATCAATAATCTGCAATACACCCAAACACTCTATCTTCCTCCCCTTCCTCCAACTTGAAATGGCATATTTTGAGTTGGCAGGAGACAGAATTGAACCTACTATCATATGAATTTTTAATATCAAAATATTAACTTTTCACTCTGGCAATTTATTGTATTTATTCTCTCTGTGTTTAGAAAGCTATCAAGGGCCAGTAAGGAAAAAAAAGAGCAGTAAGTAAAATTAGAAGTAAGACATTTTTGATTTTTAAAATTTTTCTGGGACTCCATAATTGTGCCAGTTACACGTATCTAAGTGTAGATGTTTAGTTATAAAATCCTTGTTAAAAATCAAGGATACAGTGAAATAACACGTATGCATGCATGTACTGTGCTTTGGTAACTTGGTAAATAACATGCCATGAGTATAGAAAGGGTGAATCCAAAACTTGACTGCTATTTCAACAATCAAAGTAAGGGGAAGAAAGATAGCATTAGAGAACTGAGGACTAACATTTCCTAAATAACAAAAACAATAATAACATCGGCATCAAAACAAAACCCGAGCAGTGAGAAAAAGTATAGCTATTATTTGTTTATTTGCTTTCTTGGAATAGTATATATTTTTTAAACAGATGGAATAAAGCTATGTTTTCAAGGCCACAAAATAGAGATTAATATAACCAAAGTAGCAAGCTAGAATGAAGTAGGTTAGAACCCTATTAAAAATCAGGAGGTTGTTTTTAGGAGAAGGCTAGACTTTGTCAGATAGGAGGAAACGATATACAGAATCATTTAAAGAGAGATGAAATATATGCTCTAAAGACCAAAAAGATTGTTTGGAATATAGGAAAAGATAGAAATGGAAAGAACATAAATGATAAGAAGCTACTTTGTCTGAAGCAGCATGAAACATAGATTTAGAAGTATGTATGCAGATAACAAAAGTCTGTAAAACAGCTAAGACATTAATCATGGAAGATTATAATTGCACCAGTGCCTACAAGGCTGACAATAAGACGATGTCTATAGAAGGTGGCACACTTGGAGAAAACCAAATGTATAATATATACAAAATATTTATAAGGAAAACATTTGTATATGAACCTTGGAGTTAGATTTTGGAAACAGCCTTGTAGAAATGATAAATGTGGTTGGTATATAAAGAATCAATAGGAAAATGAAAAAAAAGATATAGTAATACACAGTGATTAAATACCAAGACAGTTTTATGTAGTTCAACATAAGAGATTTCAACATGCAATAGATTTAGTGAACACCAACTGTGGCTAAGGCACAGAATTTTAGAGACAAATACAAAGATGGATAATACATACTTTCCAACCTAAAGATCCACAGTTTGAATTTATGGAATATTTACTGGGTGTTTAGTTAGTTCGCCAAGTCTTTAATTTACAGTATAACTAACTAGGTTGAAAATAATACACTCTTTTTTAGTCGAGTATTTTGGCTCAAGTAACAGGACCTCACAAAGCTTAGTTATATTTTTAAAAAATGCATCACTTTTATGTGGGAAAGTTGGAACACACAGGCAAAAAGCAACAAGGCCACACAAGAAACTGAATTTTCATCTGAAAAGCCAAAACAAAAACAAAACAAACAAAACCAAGCAAACTCTCTCTCAACTTGGTTGTTTCTAAGTCAAATAGTTACTTTAACTCAGGGTTTTTTCATGCAGTTTTTCAAAGAAGCATATTAACACTGTTTAGTGTCTGGTCTTTGCTTGGCTGGATTTGAATCCTTGCACCACACACATTGACTGATAGTCTTGGGGCAAATGCCTTAATCTTTATGGGTCTCATGTTCTTCAACTTTAAAATGGAGCCAATAACACCTATTGCACAGATTCTCTCCACCACACAGATAAAAAGAGAAAATGTATGCAAATAATTTAAATAATATCTAGCACATTGTAAGGACTTAATAACTGTTCGCTTTCATCTTAGTCTTCACTCCAGAGGTGGCTGCCTTTTAGCACTAGAGTTTTTACTTAATATAACCTACAATTTTATAGCAACATGACAAGATGACAATGTAGTCATTATATTGCACATCTAAATTTGCATAAAAAGGAGACCTGCTGGGCGCGGTGGCTCACACCTGTAATCTCAGCTCTTTGGGAGGTCGAGGTGGGCCAAGCACAAGGTCAAGAGATCGAGACTATCCTGGCCAACATGGTGAAACCCCACTGCACCCCAGCCTGAAGACAGAGTGAGACTTCATCTCAAAAAAGAAAAAAAAAAAAAAAGAGACCAATAATCACAAAATAAATACAAATTTTTGTTAAAAAATCTATTATTTGATAAGAATACAAATCCAGATGGTTTTATAGCTGAGTTTAATCTATCCTGTAGATAAGAAACCACATTTTTTTTTTTTTTTGAGACGGAGTCTTACTCTGTAAGCCAGGCTGGAGTGCAGTGGCACGATCTCGGCTCACTGCAACCTCTGCCTCCTGGGTTCAAGCGATTCTCCTGCCTCAGCCTCCTGAGTAGCTGGGACTACAGACACCTGCCACCACATCCAGCTGATTTTTTGTATTTTTAGTAGAGACGGGGTTTCACCATGTTAGGCAGGATGGTCTTGATCTCCTGACCTCATGCTCCGCCTGCCTCGGCCTCCCAAAGTATTAAGATTATAGGCGTGAGCCACTGGGCCCAGCCTCAGAATCTTATATCTTATTGCAGATAGCCAAGATCATAGAAAAAAGATGATAACCATTCTAGTTCATTTTATAAATTTAACATCATTTTAATAGCAAAACTTGATAAAAATAATGTAAACACGTTCATGCGCATGCACACACAAACATGTTCTCATGTAAAATACTACAGTCAACCTGACTTGTGTATACAATTGCAGAACTCTGAAAGAAAGTGTTACAAAAATTTTGAATTTTATTAAAAGCATAATAAACCATGATAAAGATGATGGTTTAGTAATATGTCAACATGGCTAAACTAAACTACATTCCCCAGAGTTCCTTTTCTTATTTTTTATGGTCAGGGTGAGCCACAAATGAGATTCCTGCAAGACTTGTAAGTTGGAAAGGAAGCAGCACTCACTGTGTAGCATGCATGTTGTGTGACACCCTGACCTTTCTTGTTGGAGGGAATGGCAGCTGGACAGGCCATTTCTCTACCTTCCTATGGTTCCTTTTTAGCTTCTTTGACTCCTGGCCAGGTGTATATTTTTCATCTTTGTAATAAAGGGCTCAATTTATTCATGGTAACCTTATTGCCAAGGTGGAAGGCAATAGGAGTTAACACAAGCTTTAGTCTATTCTCATGGATTTCCACCTCATGCGTGTGTGTTCCAGCCTGCTTGTGATATTCCCTTTCTGACTGCCTTCCCTATGAACTTCAAGCTTCGGCATCAGAGGCAGAGGGAACAGCCTTACAGACCCTTAAATCAGCTGTCACAAGTATGTAAGCTAATTGCCTTTAACAAATCCCTAAATACATAAAATATGAAATGTTTTATAAAATGTATATGTGCACACACAGGTGTGAGTGTGTATGTTTGTGTTGGTTCTGTAAGTTCTAGAATTGACTCTTTAATCTGATTTGATTTAAAAGCAAATGATTCTGTTTCTAGTGGTAGAGGAGAAACTGGTAAATCATAGCATGATATGGCAAACGACGTATTCAAATGATCACCTTTAGATAACTAAAGCACCTATAGAAGGCAAAACTTTGGGGGACAAAATATTTTCCACCTTAGAACATTTGAATTAAAATGAACACATAATGGAATTACTTGAGTGTTTCTAACTGTGCTAAAGAACTTAGGAAAATGAATTTATAAGCTTAGGATCTTAAGTTAGCAGCTCAAGATCTGCATGAAAGACATGAAAACTTCTATGATTGCTCTGAAAATAATTCCTATTTCCTGTAACTACAAGGTCAAGATTTCTGAAAACTAAACCCAAGGTCACGTTTTGCAAGTGACTTAATTACAATGCAAATTAGAACTTCAAACATGCAAAGTCACCTTTTCAAAGTTAGGCATTGACTGAGGAAGAATGGGATACTGAAAATCAGAATAGAGACACATGGGTAGACTCCAGTGAAAATAACCTCTAAAAATTCTAAATCTGGAAGTCTTTAGACCTCCAAATTCTGCTGAGGCTTTTGGCCAGTAGAAGCAGCTTCCACCCTGCCTGAGTTTCAAAATTCCTATTCACCATTGACTGAATTTTGTCTTTGAAAAGTCCCTCTTCAAAGAGGGAAAAGGTTTCAAAAAGGGAAAAGGTTAGCCCCCTTTGACCTAAAAAACCTGTAATGGCCTCCCTGAGTTGCAAGTCCTGCTGATTCTCCTCAGGACCTACCTTCAAAATCTCTCTTTACTTCTAGACCTATCATTCAACTCAAGTACCAGCCGGCTCCAGGGGGTAAGGTACAAAGTATTGTGACCCATGAGAAGGATACTAAAAATTGGAATGGGGACATGTCTTAGTCAGTTTTACTTGCTACTACAAAATACCATAAACTGAGTGTCTTATAAACAAGAGAAATCTGTGTCTCACAGCTCTCAAACTGGGAAGTCCAAGATCAAGACACTACCAGATTCACCGTCTGGTAAGAGTTCATTTCCTGGTTCAAAGATAGCTCCTCTTCCCTGTATATTTATATGGTGGGAGGTAGAATTTCAACCTATGAACTTTTTGAGGGGAGGCATAAGGAAAGATGCCATTGAAATTGGGAAATTGAACCTTTAAATTCTGTTCAGATTTTAATGCAGGTACAAATGGCCCTATTTTTATCTCAGGAAATTAACTCTACTTAGCTTGATGAATTTGTAATGATCTCCCCCAATGTAGCCTTGAAAGCTACTTTTTATTTTTCTTAGTACCCACCCCTGCCATCCTCCTTTTATTCTAGATCTAAAATTAGACTGGAGTACCAGCAAACCCCAAGGGTAAGGTAAACAGTGTGACCCCACAAGGTGATGCAATACACACGAGAATGGCATGATTTTCCTCATTTAAATATACAGAAACCTAGAGCATATGTGTGGGCATGGAACTTAAGGGTGAGGAATCAAGGTAAAAGGGATATAACATTGGATCAGACCTAATTTATTGATATGGCCTCACTAAGCTGCAATTCTGTATTTAATGTTTTAGCTCAAATGACTAGGAAGGGCTCTAAAAGTTGCCTTAGTTGGCAGACTGAAACATGGACTAAAACATGGCCTACACTAAGCGAAGTTGAAATGCTAGAAAGTCATTGGTATACTATAAAGGAACATATCCACACACACGTACTTTTAACACATAATACAAACTTTTTATCAAAACTATAAGAAATAAATTTCTGAGGGGAACCTCACCATCCTTGAAGATCTCTGTTGCAACCCTTCCTTGTAGGTCAAAGATTCCAGTGGTAAGTTTTACCATTGAACTGGGATCCCTAAATGAAACAGAGATGACAGAATGCTAGGGTAGTGGGACCAAGTGGCAGAAATTATTCACCAAAGACAAGATGATCATGGTTACTGTAATGGATAGTGGAAGCAAACGATAATCGGAATAGTCATACTCACACAGAACTTTGACATTGGCTATTTTAAAATGGAGTCCCTGGAAATTTAGCAGATAAAAAATCTAGTATATTCTTCATGTGGCTGATCCATATGGCTTGAGCTCGCATTATGAGTGCCTGATTCCAAAAGGAAGAAAAGCTTAGAATCAGAAATCCCAGTATTTGATTTCTGTGACATTCTATTGTCCAAAGCAGTCAGAGTCAGCCTATATTTAGAAGTGAAAATAAACTCTATTCTTAGATGTGGATATTGGTACAGGGAGGGAAGGAATCCGTTGTAAGAAACTATCACAGTCCACCCTCTTGCCACAACAATCCATATCCTTCTTAAAGATAAAATACATACTCAAGTCCTCCTTCAAAATATGTAATTCATTAGAGCATTAGCTTATAATACAGGATCTCATCATTAGGTATTGATGATGCTCCTAAGACATACTTCTGAAGAAACATCTCAGGTACATTTCCTCATTTTCTTTTTCTTGAGTAGTTGGGGCCACAGCCGAACGCCACCACTTCTGGCTAATTTTTGTATTTTCTTTGTAGAGATGGGGTTTCCCCATGTTGCTCAGGCTGGTCTCAAACACTAAGCTCAAGTGATCTGCCTGTCTTGGCCTCCCAAAGCGCTGGGATTACAGGCGTGAGTCACTGCACCTGGCCTCTTCCTTTTCAAAGTCAAGTTATCTTCCCTCCACACATCCAACATCCGGTGATGAGAAATGGACAACATAATCACAACAGACCTCTCAGTTTATAAGAGGGAAAATGAAAGACACAAAAACAGAGAGTCAGGCCCCTCAGCAAATTCCCAGGCTTGATCCAGTTTAGAGACCCCAGAGCCCTTTGAATACAACGGATGCCTTTTGAATAAAAAGTTCTTCTTGAGGAAGGACAGTACTTTGCTAACAAAAAATGACACTGTTACTCTTTCTCTCAGGCTCCCCAAAGGGCCTATGGCTATTTACCAGAATGACTTATACATTGGAAAAAAGAATAATCAAACTTTTTCAGATTACTGGACAATGGCTCTGAATTGCCAGTACTTCCAGGAACCCCAAAATGCCATTGTGGTCTACCATAAGGGCTTATATGGAAGCCAGGAGATCAATGGAGTTTTAGCTCAGTCTTATCTCACAATGGGCCAAGTGGGTCCCCAATCTCATTTTGTGGTATTTCCCCAGTTCTAGAATACATATTTGGAATAGATACATGCAGCAATTGGAAGAATGTTGGTTACTTGATCTAGAAAGATAAGAAAGGCACAGTGAAAACCACTAAAACTGCCTCTACCTAGGAAAATAGTAAACAAAAGTCAACACTACATTCCTGGAAGAACTGCAGAAATTATTGATACCATCAAAGATTTAAAGTGTACCTGAGTGGTGATTCAAACACATTTCCATTCCACACACTTATTTGGTCTGTGCTGAAAACAGATCCTGGGAATGCCTGTAGATTATTGTATGCTTAGTCAAATGGTGACTCCAATTGTAGCTGCTGTACCAGATGTGGTTACCTGGCTCAAGTAAATTAACTCATCTCTTAGTACATCATATGCAGCTATTGATCTGAAAAATGCTTTTTCTTTCCTATCTGTTAATAAAAGCAACAGAAACAGTTTGCACTGGCTGGCAAGGCCAGCTGTATACCTTAGCAGTCCTACCTCATAGGTATCTCAACTCTATTGCCGTAGGACATAGTCTAGTTCCTAGGAATCTTGATAACCTTTCCCTTCCACAAGTCATCACACTGGTTCATTGCATTGATGATATACTGATTGGACCTACTAAGAAAAAAGTGGCAACTACTCTAGGTTTATTGATAAAACATTTGAATGTCAGAGGGTGGGAAATTCAACAGAAGTTCAGGGGCATTTATGCCTGAGTGAAGTTGGGTGTACAAAGCAGCACTCCTTCATCAAATGGAAGTGGTGTATATGATGTTGAGCTGGAGCTGGCCCTGGAAGCACAAGTAAGTTACATGAAAAAGTGGCCCAAATGCCATGGTCTCCACTTCTACTATACTGTCTTCTCTTTCCCAGCCTGGACCTGTATTTGTTTCTAATTTTGACTGCATTTTCCATAATGCACAAACTGTAGGATAATAATGGAGGCAACAGGCATCTGCTTCTTACTTATATCTTGTATAGAATAACATTAGTATTTCACCATTTATTATGACATCTATATTTTGTCATGGTCGATATTATTTAGCAACGGTTGTGTCCACTATACGATGCTGTTTCTTCCGTAGTCAGGAATCAAGGGGTAGAAATGGGAGAGTTATCACTCACTATGTATCCTGTTAACAATTAGTATAATTTTACTTCCTGTCCTTGCATCCTTTTCTCTGCTTTTCTAACGGTGTTAGCTCCAAAAGGATATATGATTCCACCAGGAGATACCAGAGCAGTTCTACTGAATTGGAAGTAAGACTGGCACCCATCTACTTTTAGTTCCTTATGCTTCTGAATCAACAGAAAAAAATGGGGAGTTACTTTCTTGGCTGGGGTAATTGATCCTGATTACCAATGGGAAATTTGAATGCTAGTACAAAATAGAGGTAAATAAGAGTATGTATAGAATGCAGGTGATCCTTTAGGTAGCCCCTTAGTACTACCATCCTCTGTGATTGAAGTCAATGTGAAACTTCAATAACCCACTTCAGACAAGAATACTAATGGTCCAAACCCTTCAGGAATGGAGATTTGGGTTAATCCAACAGACAAAGAACCATGACCAGCTAAGGTGCTTGCTGAGGGCAAAGGGAATATGAAATGGATAGTGGAAGAAAGTAGTTAAAGATATCAGTTACAACCACGTGACCAGCTGAAGAAATGAGGAATGTAATTGTTATATGTCTTTCTTATCTTGTCATGAATATATTTGTGTAGGCACACAAAGATAGATAAATAGATACAAAGAGAGAACATTATGTTTTCTCCCTTCTCTTTTCCTCGTGCTGGTCCATTTGAACTTCTATAACAAAGATACCATACACTGATTGGCTTAAAAACAACAGAAATTTATTTCTCACAGTTCTGGAGACTGAGAAGTTCAAGATCAAGGCACCAGTAGATTCACTGTCTAATAAAGGCCCAGTTTCTGAGTCATAGTGTCCTTACTTGGCATAATGAGTCAAGAGAGCTCTGTGAGACTTTTATAAGGGCACTAAAATGATCCATGAGGGCTCTACCCTCATAAGCTATCAACTCCAGAAGAACCTCCCTGCAATACGATCACACTGGGGATTAAATTTCAACATATGAATTTTGGGAAGACACAAGCATTCTAGCTATTGAATCTCCTTATTACATAACATAAGATATATTGACTTCACACCATATTATTTAAGCATCATTAACTTACATCATAATATTTGTGTTACTGGATACCAGGAAGAGTGAGCATCAGTTAAGGATGTTGCATTTTCTTCTGCATAAAGGGTTAGTATGTTTGGTTGTATTCAGGATAGTTGTATCATGTTAGGCAGAGGGAAGAGTTTGTCATTTTCTTTATTTAGAGATTTATGCATGGTTTAAGGAGATGTGGAGTCTCTCAAATTTACAAGGAATCAATGTAATGGTTAATTTTACGTGTCAACTTGTTCACTTGTTCTGCTATGCTAGGTTAGGTTAGTTGTTTGGTCAAATAGCGTCTAGATGTTGCTGTGAATATATATTTTAGGATGTGATTAATCTTTAAATCAGTAGACTTTGAGGAAAGCATATTATTCATACCCTCCATAATATGAATGGGCCTCATATAATCAGGTAAGGGAATTAAGAGCAAAGATATAGGCTTACCAAAATAGAAACAATTCTACTTCAAGATTGCAACATAGAAACTCTACCTAAGATTATGGTCAGCTGGCCTGCCCAGTAGAATTTGAACAGAAATATCACTTCTATTTTTACCTGAATGTCTAGATTGCTGGCCCATCCTACAGATTTCAAATTTGTCAGCTCCCACAACTGCATAAGCCAATTCCTTAAAATAAAAATTATTTTATATTTCTATCATCTCAGTGTGTCTGTCTCTGCCTCTCTCTCTTTCTCAAATGCTATATTTATATATGTGTATATATATATGTATATATACACTATATCATATAATAGACTATATATTAATACTATATACAATATATTATATACACATATATGTGAATATATGTAAGTATGTATAAAACACTATATATACACTATATATTATTTAACATAATATATATAAATATTATATACAATATGTAACACTTAACTGCTCTCATTTGTTTATATCCTTCTTTGTTTTATTAGATTTTAAACCCCATGGTTTTATGGTCTTTTATTCATAAATGAGCTCTCTTTTATTTATCCTGGTTTTCTCATCACTTAGCACAATCCCTACAGTGGACTAGTTGTTTTCAAGAATGTCACTGGTGAACTTTAGAAGGATAGATTGAATGAATTACACATACTTTTAATCAATTTAAAATTATTCATGTTTAAAGAACTCCTCCATTGGATATAAGCATACACTTTGAGGGAAAAATGTAGAAATCTGCAACATGCAGGGTATTGAACTTATTACCATGTTAAAATATCAATTTCCACAACCATCTGTGCTGAAAACATGGCTGATATTTTTCATTATGAAGTTATAGCTTTAGTCAATAACCACATGCATCTAACAAACTAAAGTTCTAATGGATAATCCAACTATCTTAATTATCTGTCTCAGATGTGCACATTAGAACATCTCACCTGAGAGTAGGCATGTAGGCATAAGACTTCAGTTTTTAAAGCATTGAATTGTGCATGTAAAAGTCACAGTTGAGCACTATAGGTTGAAATGTTGAAAAATATATTCACAGCACAAAAATGTTTTTCCTTGAGATTCACAAAAAGTGAAAAACAATTAGAGAATAATCATACACACAGGTAAACTTACACAGTTTTGAAAAATATATTTTAATTTTCCTTTATTTCATTTATTTATTTATTTAGAGACAGCTTTCACTCTGTCACCCAGGCTGGGGTACAGCAGCATGATCATAGCTCAATGCAGCCTCAAATTCCTGGACTCAAGCTATCTTCCTGCCTCAGCTTCCTGAGTCACTGGTACTACACCTCTGTATCACCATGCCATGCTAATAGATCTTACTTTATTTTTTAAATGTATTTGATTGCAGGAGAGTATAAAGACTTGCAGGAGTGTATAAAGGCTTGCAGGAGAGTATAAAGAGGGTGTGCTTTTTTTCAGAAGCAATCAGAATAAAATATAATCATTAAGATAATTAGAAAATCAGTTTCAAATAAATTCACATTTTCCAGAAAAACCTCTCCTCTTGTACTTCAGGTGACTTTTGCAACTGGTAAAACAGGATGTGTCTGTAAACTCTTTTGACTCAGTGGAATGACAGCTCTGATTTCTAAACAAAGTATAATAAATGCTTTTTGATACCATTAATGTAATTTACATATCTATGCTAAAATGTGTTCTTCCTAATTACATGAAAGATACGCAGAACTGGCAGAGTTTTTTTTTTTTAATTAAAAATGTCATTCTCACTATTGCCTTTTCATTACATACTTTTGTGTATGTATGTACATGTTACGTTTTCTTCAGTTGAAATATCCTTAGTGACGTGATATACTAGACCGCTAGGGACTCCACGATACCACCCTGAT
This sequence comes from Homo sapiens, assembly GCF_000001405.40. NCBI lineage: Eukaryota > Metazoa > Chordata > Mammalia > Primates > Hominidae > Homo > Homo sapiens. The sequence goes on from NC_000001.11 coordinate 73,124,243, forward strand.
TTTCTAACTTTGATAGATATTTAAATATAACATCTCTATCTGGCCTGCTCCTTTGTCTATCCTCTTTTTCTACATTTGCTTACTTTCCATTGCTCTCTTCCAAGCATTCTGCTTCAGACTGGGGAGACGTCTGAACGTGGATATACGGGCACATCCCCATCCAATTTACCACCTTGATCTGAATTAAGTAATGTGTGTTTGCAAGGACAACATGACAACAAAAAATATAACAAGAAAATAATAGGCTTAGCTACTTTGTTTTTTCCATTACTATATATCTGATTATGTAATATACTTCACAGATGAGAAACTGGGAAAAGGTTCTTTGTAAGCAGTATTATGTAATCAGTAGGATGCAATTATAGGGAACAAGAAATTTTATTCTGTCATAATTTCCAGATGAAATCCTCCCTTTACATTTACTGTCTAAAAAATAAACGAGAGTATATACACTTTTTAATCCTCTATCAGTCCTTCACAATATGGAATAAAGTAGTTCAGTAATACCCATAATTTCTTAAAGCTTCTTTTTAGCTAAGAGCATTATAGTTTCCATTTTTAACAATTTATAATTATGTAACATAAGGTACTTAATTTTCTTGCCTTTTAAGTAAATTTAAAAATTCTCAGAAAATTTTACTTACTAATTTTTGATTGACAACAGACACATCATACATGGAATAAACCCATGTAGATTCCTGAGCTGAGGGAAATATCGTTGTTACAGCTGGTGAAAGAGCATCCAGGCAGAATCATGATTACTGCAAATCCTTCAGACAAAAATGTGCGGAGTGTTTGGAGAATACATGAGAACATTGCGACAGCATATGTAGTAAGAGAAGGTGTTAGAGAAGAAGTCCTGGGCAACATTAATGAGGCCTAGTAAGTCTTGGTATGAATTTGGAATCTTAAGTGTAATTTAAAGTCATGGGGTGAGGGTGAGAGAATTTTATGATCATATTAATTAAAGATTAATTACAGACAAATTTCTTCAAAACCATTACATCAAAGTAAGATACAGAGAGAAAAAGATTTGTTGTTGTTTTTCAATGCACAGATTAGTTTCCAGTTTTGGAGAAAAATGAAGCTTGAAAATGCTCTTTGGTTTTTAGTAAAAAAGTGCATTCTTTGGTGGTCCTCATTTCCTAAACATTATCTCCATGTTTTCTTTCCACCAATTCCATCCATTCTTAGTGCTTCAACATGAATCAATTACAAATGCAAACTGACTAAATAAATTCCCAACATATACTCACCACACACATCTGCTTCATTGGAGTCTGTAGAATAAAGATCACAATCCATGGCCAGCAAAACTGCTTAGGAATTGACCTGTCTGTCTCTCATCCTTTTTTTTTTTTTTTTTTTTTTTTTTTGGAGAGAGACAGAGTCTCACTGTGTTGCCCAGGCTGCAGTGCAATGACACAATCTCAGCTCACTGCAACCTGTGCCTCCTGGGTTTAAGCAATTCTTGTGCCTCAGCCCCCTGAGTAGCTTGGGATTACAGGCATGTACCACCATGCCTGGCTAATTTTTGTGTTTTTAGTAGAGACAGGGTTTCGCCATGTTGCTAGGCTGGTCTCGAACTCCTGGTCTCAAGTGATCTGCCTGCCTTGGCCTCCCAAAGTGCTGGGATTACAAGTGTGATGTCTCACTTTTTAATCATACTTTGCATCACTTCCCACTTCCTACTCCATTCTTCAGCCACAGGTGGCTTTTTCTATTTGCAGTCCCTTGAACAAAGTGTTTTATCCTATCTCAAGTTGTTGCCACGTGCTTATATGTCATTTCTCCAGAAAACCAGGCTGCATGCTTCAGACTATATCAGTCCCATCCCACCTCTATTATATCCTCTCTACCTACTGGAAGGAAAGTTTCATAAGAAGGCCAATTTACTTTTCCTTTGAATCTCTAGCACTTAGAACAGCACCTGGCACATGGTGAATGCTAAATAATCATTAGTTGAATTAATGAGTAAATGATCTTCCTTCGAGGATATACAAGAGGTTTCAATCACAATTTTTTAGAGGGTTTTATGTTCAATAATTTTCAAAATAACAGTGACTTAGAAAATCAAATGTTGTGAAAATGCATGTTATTTATGACTACTACCTGAGAGGAAAATTTCACCATTATCTTATTTCACCACTAATAGTTGATTTTAACTTTATCTTTTTTTCTATAAAAAGCTGTCAGATAATAGATGTATCTCATGTATAGACTGCATATAATTCTACCCTGTGTCTTTTCTCTTTTTTGTATACTGTCTCCTCTTAGTGTGATAAAATAAATTGAAAGTAGGAAGAGTATGTTTTTTATTTAGATTCTAAAATATTTACAGATAACTTTCATTGTTTCTAGCCTACCCAATTTTAATTAATTTTCTTATTCTATTTCTGCAGTGGTTTTTTTCTTCAAAAAATTCAGTTGTCCTTGATAATAATTCAATCTGAGATGAGAACCCTAGCTCTAAATGGTTACATAAACTGATATAAAAAATGAGATGTGAAATGATTGGTGCATTAAAATTGGTGGGTTTTATAATATTTTCCATTTATTTCACATTTGAACATTATGGAAAATATAGAGAAAATAGGTTGATATGCGAGTTTAAAAAGCAAAAGACAACTAAATTACCATTTTTAAGGTATTTTACTGTTGACTTTCTAAAAACTGCAGCATTCAATTGATGTTTAGTTCTAGAGTACCATTTTATACCTCCCCAATAAAGTGGCCTTAGACATTTAGTTTAAGAGAAATAATATTGGTTTTGTTTTTATATACACATGCTTTATAAATATATCTTCAACGTTTATAAAAATAACAACTGTTGTATATTCTCCAAGAAATGGAGAATCACAGAGATTAAAGGAATTGCCCTAGGTCTTACAGCTAGCTTGTGGAAAAACCAGATGTAAGCTCTCATTTTCTTACTTCAATGCCCTCGAGTCTTGTCATTACATCTGTGTTGCCTCCTTGAAATACTATTATCATCGTGGAGTAATAGACCCTTGCTAAAGTATCAGTTATGTACCCTGCTGCCTATGGTAGAGAGGGGCTCAGGAGGACTCAATCAGTGACTCTCCATCTGTGTCCAATGACTGGAAGTCAGTAGGTCTTTATGGCTCTAGATTTTTTTTTTTTTTTCATAATTACTTACTTCTCTTTGGTTTCTTGAACCAAAGCAAAAAAAAAAAAAAAAAAAAGCGGGTTTGTTTTTGTTTTTGTTTTTGTTTTTTTGTATACTGTCTCTTCTTCTTAGGGTGATAAAAGAAATTGAAAGTATGAAGAGTAAGTTTTTATTTAGATTCTAAGATATTTGCAGATAACTTTGTTTCTAGGCTATCCAATATTTGATTATTTTTCTGATTTTATTTGTGCAGTGTTTGTTTTTCCTTCAGAATGTGGTGTGTTTTTTTTGCTTTTGTTTTTAGGTTTTTTAAAAATTATTATTGCATTGCAATAATCAATTATAATTGGGATTCACTAAAAACAAATTACATGAAAATAGAGACTAAGTTTGAACTATCAATTTTTTTTCATAATGAAATTGTGCATATTTTTAAATTTACAGTAGCTAGAGTATTTTCATGCTTTCACTGCCTTAGTGTTTTTCTAGATTCTTTTTCATTATTCTCTGGAATCTTCCTAGGCTTATGCAAGAGAGTTTATGAATTACCATATTTTAATAATACTTTTAGTTCCTACTAGGGCTATGTGGTTTTCAAAAAAAAAGAAATGACTACTCTCTACTGTTTCTTTTGTGCCTTTTTGTCATCTTCTCTTTCTCTGGTAATTTTCTCTCATTTGTTTGCACATGCTGCCACTTGCATTGCAATGCTGTGTGTATTTTGCTGTTGTTTCTCTTCTGACTCCATTGCATGGTGGTCAGTCTCCATGATGCTATTTTTACTTTTGTTTCCTTTCTTTTTTCCCTTTGTGTTTTCCTTTGCATGTTATCCTTCATTCCTCCATAACTGAATGTTTGATAGGTCTTGCAGTTTGTTTTGGTTTACTACTCTAACCTTCTGTATCCTCAGATGATGATTTCACAACTCACTTTTTGTTTTTACTTTTATTCTGCCTCTGTACTGGGAGGGATAATTTATCTTCCTATGGATCTAGGAAGAGAGCAGCATGATGTAGAAAAATCATTCACCGTTGCCTTCTTCTACAACATGAAACCTGACTCTGAGATCCTTTCTTGATTATTTCTTTCAAATCATCACTTTTCCAATTACCTGCAGGTTAAATGATATGATCTAAGTCTAGGAGTATAAGGGCAATTAAGTAGGTTATGTGGTTTATAGGGACAAGCTTACTTTATTTTTTTTTTTTTTGAGACAGAGTCTTGCTCTGTCCCCCAGGCTGGAGTGCAGTGGTGCGATCTCCGCTCACTGCTGCAAGCTCCACCTCCCGGGTTCACGCCATTCTCCTGCCTCAGCCTCCCGAGTAGCTGGGACTACAGGTGCCCGCCACCCCACCGGGCTAATTTTTTGTATTTTTAGTAGAGACAGGGTTTCACCATGTTAGCCAGGATGGTCTCGATTTCCTGACCTCGTGATCCGCCCGTCTTGGCTTCCAAAGTGCTGGGATTACAGGCGTGAGCCACCGCACCTGGCAAGTTTACATTTTTTTCTAATAGGTTGCATTCAAAATTAAAAGAAAGAGGTAAGGAATATAAATAATTTCAATAAAATGTTTTTATCATAATATTTTTGGTCTTTGAAAATTATTTTAAGCAACTTTAACATTAAGAATAATAGATAAAATTGCCAAAATTGAGATTTTTTTCTTTTGAATATGAAAAGTTTTCAAGTGGAAAGGATCAGCCACACAGCTTGAGGTTCCAGTTCATTTTATGTTATTTAATGAGTCATATGTATTAGCTATTAACCACTTATATAACACAAAACTTTAGTTTTAAACTCAAAACAGAGTAAAAACTTACTGTAAGATAATTGATGATAGAAAATGGTAAGTATGCTGAATGCTACACAGAAACTTCTGTAACATATATTTTTCTCTTTTATTACTTCTCTGGTTGGTTACATGTGAAGGGGTGGGTTGCCCCTCCACACCTGTGGGTGTTTCTCGTTGGGTGGAACCAGAGACTTGGAAAAGAAAAAGACACAGAGACAAAGTATAGAGAAAGAAATAAGGGGACCCAGGGAACCAGCGTTCAGCATATTGAGGATCCCGCCAGCCTCTGAGTTCCCTTAGTATTTATTGATCATTTTTGGGTGTTTCTCAGAGAGGGGGATGTGGCAGGGTCATAGGATAATAGTGGAGAGAAGGTCAGCAGATAGACACCTGAACAAAGGTCTCTGCATCATAGACAAGGTAAAGAATCAAGTGCTGTGCTTTAGATATGCATACACATAAACATCTCAATGCCTTACAGAGCAGTATTGTTGCCCGCATGTCCCACCTCCAGCCCTAAGGCGGTTTTCCCCTATCTCAGTAGATGGAACATACAATCGAGTTTTATACTGGACATTCCATTGCCCAGGGATGGGCAGGAGACAGATGCCTTCCTCTTGTCTCAACTGCAAAGAGGCATGCCTTCCTCTTATACTAATCCTCCTCAGCACAGACCCTTTACGGGTGTCGGGCTGGGGGACGGTCAGGTCTTCCCCTTCCCACGAGGCCATATTTCAGACTATCACATGGGGAGAAACCTTGGACAATACCTGGCTTTCCTAGGCAGAGGTCCTTGTGGCCTTCCACAGTGTATTGTGTCTCTGGGTACTTGAGATTAGGGAGTGGTGATGACTCTTAAGGAGCATGCTGCCTTCAAGCATCTGTTTAACAAAGCACATCTTGCACAGCCCTTAATCCATTTAACCCTGAGTTGACACAGCACGTGTTTCAGAGAGCACGGGGTTGGGGGTAAGGTTATAGATTAACAGCATCTCAAGGCAGAAGAATTTGTCTTAGTACAGAACAAAATGGAGTCTCCTATGTCTACTTCTTTCTACACAGACATAGTAACAATCTGATCTCTCTTTCTTTTCCCCACAACATGAGTTGTTGATCTCCCAAAAGATGAAGAGACATTCTGCTTCATGAGGACCCCAAATGGAAACCTGAGGCAGTCACTGGTTCTTCACTGTTACCCATCATGGGATTTTGTGATCTACCATTGGGTAAAGTGGACCAGCCCGTGTGTTTGGGGAGAAAAATCTAAGAGTTGGGCTCTTTTCTACAGTTCATAATTTATGTCACTAGGAGAAAAGTAAAACATTTAGCCTCTCTAAATCTAATTTTTCAACTGTAGTAAAACATCATAATAATTCTGACTTCCTACGGTTATTGTAAGAATGTATCAAAAACTTGATTGAATTGCTAAAGTACTCTTTAAAGTAGGTACTTTTAATTTGTTTGTTTTCTTCTTTTTTACTCTCTTCATTCTCTCCTTTACCTTCTTTCCTAATCTATTTTCTTACCTTCTATGCTCATAGTTCTTCACTTCTTTCAGTTCTCTAGGAGTTAATAGATTACTTAGTTAAATCAGCACCATTCTCAGCCAATAAAGGCACTAGACTCTATATCAAAATTGAAGGTTAATTGTAGTATCTTAAATATTGTGCCTGAGTTTTTCCACACCTTTAAGGAATAAAATAAAGGCTTATCTCAGATACCTTTTCATCTGCCCTCATACTTACGGTATGTGTAAGTTCTTTCTTGGAATAATATATAGCATTCTCATACATTTTACAAATTCTCATGACTCTCTGATATGAAGAGTTTGCAGAATACAACTCTCTGGCCCTGAAATGTAGATAAAACAGTGTTGGCAATATGAGACAGCATTACTATAAACACACATAATGGCCCTTAAAAGGATATTCTCAGCCAACCCTGTCCAGTTAAACTTGCTATGTCAGAGATGTCTACACTGGGATTTGCTATGATAGCATATTACAAACCAATATGTTTTTTAAAAAAAATTGCTCCACAGGTGTGTACCTTAAATATAAAGTCTTTAGGTAATCATGACAATTCAGGGTTATGGGCCTACTGAAAAACTTTACTTTTTAAATGGAAAGTAAACTTAAAAAATTATGGAACGACCCTTTATTTCGACTTGTGCATAACAAGACAACAATAGACTCTGAGGCCAAGGAAGAAACCAAGTGATATTGTAGCAGTACATTGTCAGAAATAACTTTGGTCTCTGAGCTGCCAAATTGGCTTCAAATATTAACGCTATGAGTATACTCTGAATGTTGAGGATCTTCTGATACTTCTGAGAAATCACCTACAGAGACACTAACAGATGGGAAGTCTACAGTTTAACAATTTGAGCTAGTGAAAATTCCCTGAAGTCAAGGCTCAGGAGATTTCTTCCATTCAAATGTTGTTGTTGCTGTTGTTGCTTATATCTGTAGTGTCTCTCACATCAGAGTAAGTACATCAATTAAGAAAGAGAATATGAGGAGTATATAGATGAATATTTTTATTCCTGTTTTACATCATTCATTTTTGTGCTATTGACCTTATTAACAGTTTATTTTGATTGAATAATGAATAAAAATACAAGAAACATCTTCACCATAATGAAATGGCCGATAATGTTTCTTTGAACACTTTTCCAAATTTATTTTAATTCTCTTAATTCTCCATGTCATATGAAGTCCAATCACTTCACAATATCAGACCTTGCCAATGCAGTGAAATTTGTCCTCTGTGCCCCTATTCCTCATCTGTCATTCTTGATAGACTCAGATTTGTCTTTAGACTTTGTACTCATCTTTTATTCTTCATATTTAATGATGCATAAAAATTGTGCAATGAAACTCATTGTAGTTGTCATTTATCTATGTTCAATTCTTATTGTTATCTATTGGAAATACACATTTAAGTTACTCCATATCTACATACGTCTCTCCTCATTATTAACTTTTTTTGCCATCATCTTCTTTCCTTTGTTTGCTCATTTCTTCCTTTTCTATTCTTTGTTTTAAAAATCTACATTTGAAACTATTTGCACAAGATATTTTTTAATCACTGACATTCATTTACTGAACAGAATTTTGTAATAATAGACAATTTGCAGGTGCTATTCATGATACATTCTTTATATTAATCTTAAAGTACATTCTTTTGCAAGGATGAGTGGTCAGTACTCATCTTCTTCATACTAATGAACATAGTTGAAAGAAGGTCCTGTGTGCAACTGCAAAATAGATAGCAAATGCTCACCAAGGATTTCTTTTACAAGTTTCTCACTCCTGTAACATCAAAGCAAAGAAAAGTTGGGTGTGAAAAAAGCAGTCTCTAAGAAGAGAAGGAAAATGTCAGAGTGAGGTAGTTTTTTTTTTTTTCCCTACATTAATTACAAGAAAACTTTTAGGCAAGACTATTTGGGAAAAAAAATTGGAAAAACAAGGTCATATATGTCTTTCTTAATTTGCAAAGTGAGTTAGAGAATTGAGACAATTTTCTGGATAACCTAGGCCCAATCATAATTTCACTAGAAACTCATTAATGCGGCAAAATTGTATGTGAATGCATGTTTTCATCCTTGCTTGTTTTATCTGAACATTTCTTTCAAATCTCTTGAAGTAGGCATGAAAGAGGCATTTTAAGTTCATTTTCATGTAAACTGGGTGAACACTTACAGAGCTCAAGTTTGGCTTAGAGTTCATTTTTCTTGCCCTATACAGGAAAGTAGCTTTGTAGCCTTTGATTTTTATACCTCTAAGTTATCAGTTAATATTTTGCTTCTCCAAGGAGAGAGAAATTTTAACCACAAATAAGGGTCTTGAATTAATTTTGTACATTTCAAAGTGCTCACCACTTTTCCTGGATTTAATTATAATTATGTCAATTTGTTATATTTACTCTATAATTACAATAACTGCTCTGCATTTATTTATAGTACAGTTCAGAGAGGAGTTGAACAGGTTGTGTATACTGTATGTTAATGACACTTTAAGAGCACATAGAATCAGTGTGTATTTTCTCAGTGGAATTACACATTAGCAAACCTCTCAGGTGTGGAAACAAAGGTTAAAAATGTGTTCCTAAATTTGAATTATAAAATCAAATGTGAATACCGCACAGCATAAAAGGAAATCTGATTTGTAATATAGATGCTGTTTGTCTTGTTTTAGCAGATTCTTTTTCAGAGTGTAGTGTACCCTCTCTAACTCTTATTGTAGCACCAATACTTCTGTTACGTAACATTTAACAAACAGTAGTATTTGCTTCTTGGAAACAAAAGTATGGACAAATGCCTTGATATTATGGTCCACAGCTTCATTAGCATGTTGGGTAAAATGCAGCATTAAAGTGTAGATGAACACTGTTTAGATGGGTTGCTGAAATATTTTTTCCTTGTTTCTGTCAAAGTGTCTATCAATGAGATCATTAACCTTATTTTTAAAAAACCCTCAGAATTAGACTTATGTACTATGATAAAGACAAAGACTCCAGTTTTGATGTTTGATCTTTAACTATTTGCAAGATCCACGCTTCCCCTTTCCCTTTTACTTAACAACTGGATAAGCTGGTAAGAAAGCTGCAGACTTCCCCCCTCGGTGCTGGTGGAAGTTAAAAGCACACATATCCCGGCCTACGAGTGAACATTCCCCCTAGCCACACCTCCTAACTACAATTAAAATCAGAATCATCCTTCTCCCTTGATCTTCTTGTTTCACTCCAGACCAAACTTCAGCCCTTCTCCTCAGTAATTATTTAGATGTTTATTGTGTGAATAATAAACTTTATTCATTTTTATATCCATTAGTGCCTATGTGTCATTCATCCCAACTTACATATGAAGATTTTTAGTGGTGATTTCTGAGATTTTGGTGTACCCATCACCTGAGCAGTGTACACTGTACCCAATGTGTAGTCTTTTATTCTTCACCCCCCAATCCTTTCTCCCAAATCCCCAAAGTCCATTGTATCATTCTCATGTCTTTGCATCCTCATAGCTTAGCTCCAACTTGTGAGTAAGAACTGGTTTTCCATTCCGGAGTTACTTCACTTAGAATAATGGTCTCCAATTCCATCCAGGTTGCTTTGACGGCCATTATTTTGATCCTTTTTATGCCTGAATAGTATATAGTATTCCATGGTTATATATATATAATTTCTTTACCCACTCATAGATTGATGGGCATTTGGGCTGGATTCCATATTTTTGTAATTATGAATTGTGCTGCTATAAACATACATGTGTAAGTATCTTTGTCATATAATGACTTCTTTTCCAGTAGAATTGCTGGATCAAATGGTAGTTATACTTTTGGTTCTTTAAGGAAACTCCCTACTGCTTTCTATAGTAGTTATACTAGTTTACATTCCCACCAACAGTGTAAAATTGTTCCTTTTCCACCACATCCCTGCCAACATATATTATTTTTTAATTTTTTTCTTTATTATGGCCATTCTTGCAGGAGTGAGGTGGTATCACATTGTGGTTTTGATTTGAATTTCCCTGATCAATAGTGATGTTGAGCATTTTTTCATGTTTGTTGGTCATTTGTATATCTTCTTTTGAGAATTGTCTATACATGTCCTTAGTCCACTTTTTGATGGGATTGTTTGTTTTGTTTTTGCTGATTTGTTTGAGTTCCTTGTAGATTCTGGATGTAATATACTTCTAAGAATATCTAAATGTGCTGTTAATAACATATATAGCAATGCTCCTTAACATCTGAAAGATTTTATGGAGGCTTTAGCTCATAAAGCTACATGAGAAAAATAGTGCTTATTAGACATGCCTATCCAGAATTTCAAATCCTTTTATAAATCATTAGAAAATAAGGATGAAATGAATAAGCAATGTTGTCAAAATGATATGGCATTAGCAACTACAGTGATACTAATAAGAAAAGAGGATTAGAAAGACATTCGAAAACTAGCTCACAAAAGGAATAATAAAATGATTTCTATAAAAGGCTATTTTGAATACTGGCCATTTTTTCATGTTTATGTTTTATGGATGAATATAGATGTGATTGAATGTGATTGATGGGTCTTATGAGAGAGTAGAGGGATTTTAAAGTCCAAATATTTGGATGGATAGGTTTAGAATCAAGTAAAAATGAACCCAGGTGGTAAGAGAATAGCATGATATGAATAATAATTTATGAAAAAATGAATAAAATGATCTTTTTACTTTTTCTCTTTTAATTTGCACATTCCAAAACCTAGTAAATATTGTTGGGGCAGAACATTTAGGAAAGAAGCAAACTAAAATCTGTGGAGTGCCTATCATATGTTTTCATCTTACATAAATTTATTTCACTTAGGCCTCATAGCAATCTTATGAGGGGCGTAAAATATCTCCAAATGATAGCTTTAGTTCATGTGTCTCAAAGATATTCTTCATTTGTTGAGAAGAATGTTTTAAAATTTTGGAATCTAAATTATTTTGGGTGAGAAATTCTCTCTCAGTCAACCACAGATGAACTCTTCTCTTGATACCTTTGACCCCCACACCTGACTGATCCCCAAAAGCCTTTGTTATGATAGATATTAAGTATTTTGATATGAAGAACAGAAAATGGGGCTAAGAAATTTAAGCAACTTTCATACATTTGAAAAACTAGCACCTGGCATAGAAGGAATCCAGGCAAATAATTAAAGGTCCCTCTCTATGTTTATTTTCTTCTTTCTCAATCCCCATGCCCAACCTCATATATCCTCATCTTCACTCCTATAGTAAGAAGTATAATGTCCCTCCAATAATGCTCATATCCTAATCCTAGAAACTGTGAACATGTTATTTTACATGGTAAAGGAAAATTCAGTTTGCAGATGGAATTGAAGTTGCTAATCATTTGGCCTTAAAATAGCGATCCCGTATTATCCAGGTAGACCCAATTGAATTACATGTGTTTTTAAAAGTAGAGCACCTTTCCTGCTGGTTCAGAGATATGAGACAGAAGGAGGAGGAGAGATTTAATGTGAAAGGTGCTAGATCTGTACTAAGTATAATCAAAGATGGAGGAAGCCATCATGAGACAAGGAATGTGTGTGGCCTCTTAAAGCTGGGAGTGGCCCTTGGTTGACAGCCAGCAAGGACACAAAAATCTCAGGCCTACAACTGCCAGGAACTCAATCTTGCCACAACTCAAATGTGCAGAAAATGGATTATTCTCTAGATCCTGTAGAAATTGTAAGATTATAAATTTATGCTGTTTATGCCATGAAATTTGAGGTAATTTATTTAGGCAACAACAGCAAATTGCTGTAACCACAAAGGAAAAATGTTATCAATCTAATTTCATAGCATCATTTGGACCAATAGCTAGTAGGTGCCATCACTACATTAAAATATCACAAAGGGCTCTTGCTTTTACTATGTCAGTGTAGGAAGGGCTAAAATTCTCCCTGTGGCTGTTTTGTTCTTTCTCTCAGTTGTACTTGGGATCACTGCAGCTACAGCTGCAAACTGTGAAGTCGGTGACAAGTGAACCATGTTTTCTCTCTCTCTGATAATGGGGTGTATGTGTTTGTGTGGGTTTGCAAGACTACCACTCAGACAGGTGGTAGTGTGGGGACAAAGGTAGGCCCTGACATTTACAAGACCTAATGTTATTTAGACTTTATTAAGTAACATTTAGAAATAATGGTATACCTAGCTACCAAAGTTGTCTGCCTTTGGGTTGGGGGCCAATGCTATGATTAATAATAAAAATTTGTGTTTTTTCCCAACTAAAATTATTTGTTGTGTTCAACTTAGCTCTGGAAACTTATGGTTGCCTTGTCTCATGCAGATTTTGAATAATTCCAGGTTCTCTGTCTTCTAGCAGGTTTGAGCCTAGGACAGAAACCATTTATGTTTTACAATGTATTAACTAGCCCACCACCTGATCTAGTGCAATGTATTTTACAATGTATTAACTAGCCCACCACTGATCTAGTGCAAAGTTATCAAGTTGGATAATTACCACTAAGAGTTCAATGCCTAGCATATAATACAGCTATGTTGAATTAAGTGAGGTTCCACAGAAAATATAGGACATAAAGAAGATTTATTTCTAAGCTCTGCTGACACAGTGAGAACACTTGAATGCATTAACAAGAAAACATCTAAATCACACTTCCTAATAAAAATATGTCTTGATTTTATTTTATAGTTCCTATCCCAAAGCAAGTACCATTTTCTAATAAGAAAAAAGCAATTAACAATTTAACCTTAATATAATATTATACTAAGTGATTTTGTCGCTATAGGCAAAATATCTACTACTCTCAAGATAAAGGAAATCTGGAAAGGGCATGGTGCCGTTTTTCCCACCCTCTTAGGATCTGATATTATTTTAAATTCCATTAACAAAAGGAAGGCATTCCCTTTTGGTGGGACATGCTTCTGGAAGAACCTAAAGCTAGTTAACTGAAGGGGAAGATAGCCTATCTGGTCATATCTGTGGAGAGAAGGTGCAGGTGATTTTCTCCAGATGAGGTATTGTTTGTGCCTGAAGGTTCAGTAGCTTTTATAAAGACGGCTTTGTATTTCTGTGCTCTCGGTAAAATTATAGTAACTAAAATTGAAGTTCAGCTAGTAAAACACAATTACCCTTTTCAAATGCCACTGAATCCTCAGACAAATTTGAGGATGACACTGAGGTCCTCCTTTAATTAAGGGGGCAACACTCAAGGGACTCTTCTGAGCTCAGTGCCTCATGTGGTGTCAATCAACTCTGAGCTATAGAATTATGATTTCCTAATCATTTTTATAATAAACTTATTCAGGAATACTTGTGTACTGAATATTATATAATAAACTTATCATTTGGATAATAATCCAAATACTTCAATATATTTAGTATACTTCAGAAATACTTCAATGAACTGAATTTCCACTATGTGCCATGGAATAAAACTATTTATTATATTTATTGCCTTTCTACTATCTTACCAATCCAGTATTGTAGGCACTATCATTCCCATTTTCAGGGGAAGAAAAGTGAGACAAAGTGAGGTTCAGAGATTTAACTTTCAAGGTCATTACATGATACCTCAGTGTATCTCTACCTTTTGGTCTCCTCTACAATGTGAGATGTGTAATTCATTGTTTGTATTTTGTGATATTCTGAAAAAAGGAAACAAAATATATTCCTTTCAAATTTAGGTAATGTGGTTTCAAACCCAGGGGTGTCTATCAGTTAATCATATTATTTAATTTTTTATTTCAATAGGCTTTTGGGGAACAGGTGATGTTTGATTACATAAATAAGTTCTTTAGTGGTGATTTCTGAGATTTTGTTGTACCCATTATCTGAGCAAAGTACACTATACCCCATGTGTTGTCTTTTATCCTTCACCCCCCTCTCCCACTTTCCCCAAGTCCCCAAAGTCCACTTTTATGTCTTTGCATTCTCACAGCTGAGCTCCCACTTATGAGTGAGAACATATAATGTTTGGTTTTCCATTCAGAGTTACTTCACTTAGAAGAATGGTCTCCGATTCCACCCAGGTTGCCATTACCTTATTCCACGTGTGTGTGTGTGTGTGTGTGTGTGTGTGTATTCCATGTATATACATATATACACACACATATATATACATGGAATATATATATATACATATACATATATGTGTATATATATGTACAAACACACATATAATTCTATAATATAATATATATTATATTGGTATATATATATATAAAATTTCTTTACTCACTCATAGATTGATGGGCATTTGGGCGGGTTCCATATTTTGGCAATGGAGAATTGTGCTGCTATAAACATGCATGTCCAAGTATCTTTTTTATATAATGACTTCTTTCCTTCTGGGTAGATACCTAGCAGTGGAATTGCTGGATCAAATGGTAGCTCTATTTTTAGTACTTTACAAAATCTCCACACTGTTTTCAATAGGGTTGTACTGGTTTACATTCCCATCAGCAGTGTAAAAGTGTTCCCTTTTCACCACATGTACACCAACATCTATTTTTTTTTTATAGCCATTCTTGCAGGAGTGAGGTGCTATCACATTGTGGTTTTGATTTGCATTTCCCTGGTTATTAGCGATGTTGAACATTTTTTCATATGTTTGTTGGCCATTTGTATATCTTCTTTTGAGAATTGTTTATTCATGTCCTTAGCCCAATTTTTGATGGGATTGTTTTTGTTTTGCTGATTTGTTGGAGTTCCTTATAGATTCTAAACATTAGTCCTTTGTCAAATGTTTAGATTGCAAAGAGTTTCTTCCACTGCATGGGTTGTCTGTTTACTCTGCTGATTGTTTCTTCTACTGTGCAGAAGTTTTTTAGTTTAATTAAGTCCCATCTATTTATTTTTGTTTTTATTGTATTTGCTTTTGGGTTCTTGGTCTTGGTCATGAAGTCTTCACTTAAGCCAATGTCTTGAAGAGTTTTTCCAAAGTTATCTTCTAGAATTTTTATGGTTCCAGGCCTTAGAGTTGTCTTTGATTCATCTTGAGTTGATTTTTGTATGAGGTGAGAGATGAGGATCCAGTTTCATTCTTCTACATGTGGCTTGTCAATTATCCCAGCATAATTTGTTGAATAGGGTGTCTTTTCCCCACTTTACGTTTTTGTTTGCTCTGTCAAGGATCAATTGTCTGTAAGTATTTGGATTTATTTCTGGTTCCCTATTCTGTTCCATTGGTCCATGTGCCTATTTTTATACCAGTACCATGCTGTTTATACTAGTACCATGGATGGCCTTATAGTACACTTTGAAGTCAAGTAATATGATGCCTCCAGATTTGTTCTTTTTGCTAAGTCTTGCTTTGGCTATGTGGACTCTTTTTTGGTTCTATATGAATTTTAAGATTGTTTTTTCTAGGTCTCTGAAGAATTACGGTGGTATTTTGATGAGAATTGCATTGAATTTGTAGATTGCTTTTGACAATATGGTCATTTTCACAATATTAATTCTACCGACCCATGTGCATGGGATATGTTTCCATTTGTTTGTGTTGGCTATGATTTCTTTCAGCAGTGTTTTGTAGTTTTCCTTGCAGAGGTATTTCACCTCCTTGGTTGAGTATATTCCCAAATTTTGCACCTATTGTAAAAGGGGTTGAGTTATTGATTTGATTCTCACCTTGGTTGCTGTTTGTGTATAGCAGGGCTACTAATTTGTGTACATTAATTCTGTATCCTGAAACTGCTGAATTTATCAGTTCTAGGAGCTTTTTAGAGGAGTCTCTGGGGTTTTCTAGGTATGCGATTATATCATCAGCAAACAGTGACAGTTTGACTTCCTCTTTACTGATTTGAATGCCATTTATTTCTTTTTCTTGTCTGATGGTTCTGGTTAGGACTTCTAGTACTATGTTGAATAGAAGTGGCAACATGTGCGCATCCCTTGTCTTGTTCCTGTTCTGAGGGGGAATGCTTTCAACTTTTCCCTGTTAAGTATAGTGTTGGCTGTGGGTTTATTGTCACATGATAAACTCGATAGACACAGAAAAAAATTGACAAAATGCAGCATCCCTTTATGATTAAAACCCTCAGCAAAATTGACATAGAAGGGACGTACCTTAAGGTAATAAAAGCCATCTAGGACAAACCCACAGCCAACATTATACTTAACAGGGAAAAGTTGAAAGCACTCCCCCTCAGAACAAGAACAAGACAAGGATGCCCACTGTCGCCATTTTTATTCAACATAGTACTAGAAGTTCTAACCAGAGCCATCAGACAAGAGAAATAAATACATGGCATTCAAATCAGTAAAGAGGAAATCAAACTGTTGTGATTTGTTTTTAATTCTGTTTATGTAGTGTATCACAGTTATTGACTTGCATATGTTAAATCATCCCTGAATCCCTGGTATGAAACCCACTTGATCATGGTGGATTATCTTTTTGATATGTTGTTGGATTTGGTTAGCTAGTATTTTGTTAAGGATTTTTGCATCTATGTTTATCAGGAATGTTGGTCTGTAGTTTTTTGTTGTTGTTGTATCCTTTCCTGGTTTTGGTGTTAGGGTGATACTGGTTTAATAGAATGATTTAGGGAGGATTCCCTCTTTCTCTATCCAGTGGTACTATTTCTTCTTTGAATGTCTGAAAGAATTCAGCTGTGAATCCATCTGGTTCTGGACTTTTTATATTTTTTGGCAATTTTTAAATTATTATTTCAATCTCATTGCTTGTTATTAGTCTGTTCAGAGTTTCTATTCCTTCCTGGTTTAATCTAGGAGGGTTGTAGATTTCCAGGAATTTCTCCATCTCCTCTAGGTTTTCTAGTTTATGTGCATAAAGGTGTCCATATTAGCCTTGGATGATTATTTTTTTAAATTCCTGTGGTATGGTTATAATATCTCCCATTGTGTTTCTAATTGAGCTTATTTGGATCTTTTCTTTTCTTGGTTAATCTCACTAATGGTCTATCCACTTGATTTATCTTTTCAAAGAACCAGCTTTTTGTTTCATTTATCTTTTGTATTTTTTTGTTTGTTTGTTCCAATTTCACTTAGTTTGGTCTGATCTTTTGTTATTTCATTTCTCCTGCTGGGTTTGGGTTTGGTTTGTTCTTGTTTCTCTAGTACCTTGAGGTATCACCTTAGATTGTCCATTTGTGCTCTTTCAGACTTTTTGATGTAGACATTTAAGGCTATGAACTTTCCTCTTGGTACTGCCTTTGCTGTATTCCAGAGATTTTGATAGGTTGTGTCACTATTACCATTCAGTTCAAATAATTTTTTAATTTCCATCTTGATTTCATTGTTGACCAGAAGATAATTCAGGAGCAGGTTATTTAATTTCCTTAGCTTTGAGTTGATTTCCAATATTATTCTACTGTGGTCTGAGAGAGTACTTGATATAATTCCAATTTTCTTAAATTTATTGAGACTTGTTTTGTGGCCTATCATATGGTCTATCTTGGAGAACATTCTATGTGCTGATGAATAGAATGTATATTCTGCAGTTGTTGGGTAGAGTGTTCTGTAAAATATCTGTTAAGCCCATTTGTTCTAAGGTATAGTTTAAATCCATTATTTCTTTTTTGACTTTCTGTCTTGATGACCTGTCTAGTGCTGTCAGTGCAGTATTAAAGTCTCCCACTATTATTGTGTTGCTGTCTATCTCATTTCTAAGATTTAGTAGTAATTATTTTATTTTATAAATTTGAGATCTCCAGTGTTAGGTGCATATATATTTAGGATATTTTCCTGTTGGACAAGTCATTTATCATGATATAATGTCCCTCTTTGTCTTTTTTAACTGTTCCTGCTTAAAGGCTTTTTTGTCTGATATAAGAATAGCTACTTCTGCTTGCTTTAGGTGTTCATTTGCATGGAATAATGTTTTCTACCCCTTTACCTTAAGTTTATGTGAGTATGTGTCAGGTGAGTCTCTTGAAGACAACAGATACTTGGTTGGTGAATTCTTATTCATTTTGCCATTCTGTATCTTTTAAACGAAGTATTTAGGCCATTTACATTCAACATTAGTATTGAGATGTGAGGTACTCTTCTATTTATCATGCTATTTGTTGCTGAATACCTTGTGGTTTCTTTTTTTTTCATTGTGTTTTTGTTTTACAGATCCTGTGAGATTTATGATTTAAGAAGTTTAAATTTTGGTGTATTTTGAGGATTTGTTTCAAGATTTAGAGCTCCTGTTAGCAATTCTTGTAGTGCTGGCTTGGTAGTGGTGTATTCTCTCAGCATTTGTTTGTCTGGAAAAGACTGTATCTTTCCTTCATTCACGAAGCTTAGTGTCACTGTATACAAAATTCTCGTTTCATGCATCTGTGTGAAGAGACCACCTAAGCAGGCTTTCAGTGAGTAACAAGGCTCTTTGTTTTCACTTGGGTGCAAGTGGGCTGAGTCCAAAAAGAGAGTCAGCAAAGGGTGATAGGGATGGGGCAGTTTTACAGGATTTGGTTAGGTAGTGGAAAGTTACAGTTAAAGGTGGTTATCTCTTACAGGTGGGGTTGGGGGTCACAAGGTGCAGGGTGGGGAGATCATGAGACTCATTGTCCAGGGGAGCAATGTCCCAAGGTCAATTGATTAGTTACGGTGGGGCAGAAACAAATCACGATGGTGGATGTCATCAGTTAAGGCAGAAATTGGCTGTTTCATTTCTTTTGTGGTTCTTCAGTTGCTCCAGGCCATCTGGATATATACGTGCAGGTCACAAGGGTTATGATGGCTTAGCTTTGGCTCAGAGGCCTGACAATTCTTGGCTAATAATTGTTTTGTTTAAGGAAGCTAAAGATAGGGCCCAAATTGCTTCTAGCTTGTAAGGTTTCTGCTGAGAAATCTGCTGTTAATCTGATAGGTTTTCCTTTATAGGTTACCTGATGCTTCTGCCTCACAGCTCTTATTTCCGTCATCTTGACTTTAGATAACCTGATGACTATGTGCCTAGGTGATGATCTTTTGGTGATAAATTTCCCACATGTTCTTTGAGCTTCTTGTATTTGGATGTCTAGATCTCTAGCAAGGTCAAGGGAGTTTTCCTCAATTATTCCCTCAAATATGTTTTTCAAACTTTTAGATGTCTCTTCTTCCTCAGAAATATCAGTTGTTCTTAGGTTTGGTCATTTAACAGAATCCCACTCTTCTTGAGGTTTTGTTCATTTTTTAAATTGTTTTTTCTTTGTCTTGTTGGATTGAGTTAATCAGATCTGGGTATGTGTCTAGTTTTTTCTTATCATTTCTGAGTTTAAACTTCAGGGGATTTCCCTTCCACATTGGAGACAGGGAGGATCTCTTGTATGGGATTATTTGAAGAAAATATCCAGAAGGAAATTATCTTAGAGAATTTAAATTGATAATAAAAATACTACCATGAAGGTTCCCATGTTTTGGCAGTCACTCTCTCTCCACTTAGACTATATGAGTTGTCTCTGCTCTGTGTTCTGACAGTATTGTAATTTGCTATATGAAAATTATCTATGTACCTGCCAGTCCTCTTCCATAAGATTGAAAAATCTTGGTGGGCAGGTGCTGTGTGCTTCTTAACATTTAAGAAACATTAAGTGCTCAAAGATATTTTTTTGAAAGACAAAATTTGTTTCAGTGATACAAGGCCCTTATCCAACATGAGCCCATTTCTAATATTTCTCAGCAATGAAGGATTCAAAGGTCTTAACACCAACTCTGTGAAATAAAATGAATCTACTTTATATCCCCTGTCTTTCTTTCCCTCACTTTGTAATGTCAGGGTAATGTTCTTTAATTAGTCTCTCTATTCCCAGGATATCAATATGTAAATGCATTGTGTTTCACACTTAAATAGAAGTAGCAGATGTCAAGGGCTTGTGCTTATCAGTACATTACAGTGTTTGTTCCAGCCTCTGTCATACTTTCTCTGATGCCTTTGACAATACTGTACCTATAAATATGCTTTCCACTTCCCTTTTTCTGGTGACCTGGCCCCTCTGCCTCTCTCTGATACTGACTCTCCCAGTGTTTTCCTTGTTTAATCTCTAATGAGTGTGGCCATGACTACAATGTTAAAACATTGGATAACAGTGGGTAGGTCACCTGGGCTTGACATTTTTGATGGAAAAAAAAAAATGATGGTATATAGGAAAAAGAAAGGAAAAGGTGGATAAACACTTAAGATAGAAGACCAAAGATGTAGAACAAAGAGAAGAGTCAAATCTAGGGTCTCTAAAAATAGTCATGAATCTGAAAACCCAAATATAGCAATTATTTAAGTAAGTAAAGTCAGTTTTCCATACTTTTATTTTCCTAAGACCATCAAAGTATATATGTGATAAAAATCCCTATAAACTGTCTTTTTTGTTTCCCTCATTTAACTAGTTTATATGTACACCTGTTTTATTTGATACTGATATTGATTTTGTTCCTGGTTAGTTTTATATAGACATTACACCTGTATGTTCCTAAAGGAAAAATTTATTATAGCAATTGAAATGTATAATTTGATAGAAAACATAAACAGAGCAAATAATTAGCTGATTTACAACTTGCTTTAGATAACATCTTCAATTATTAAAATAATTAGTGAAATTGAATTTGAGATAAAAACCTTAGCTTAATTTGAACTTGTCCTTGAAGCTACTTTCTGACCCATTTTAACATATTACCTGTTGAAATATTCATAAGAAAAAGGAAATTTTAGGCTTTGTGTTTAAGGTGACTTTTTTTCAGTTCACTTCCAATTTTTTTTTTAATTCCCTTCTCTCTTATATTCCTTTACCTAGATAAAAAGTTCTTGAACACAGAAATACAAATTACTTTGGTTCATTTTTTTTTTTTTTGAGTCTGTGTCCTTTAGTGAAAGACTTGAAGGCCTCAGTGTATCCCTACCTTTTGGTATCCTCTACAGTGTGAGAGATGTGTAATTCATTGTTTGTATTTTGTGATATTCTGAAAAAAGTAAACAAAATATATTCACTTCAAATTTAGGTAATGTGGCTTGCTTTGAAATACAAACAACACTCTCTATAAGATAAAAGACAATGAACATTAAAGACAATGTGATTACTATCTGAAATGCTGTCCAAATTGCTTCTGTTTCTTAAAATGAGCTTTGACCATGAATTTGGGGTTTTATATAATAGAAATACATACTGACTTATGGCATAAATATATATATTCATAGTGGGAATATTTGTCTTCTTTATGAAAGGCAATTTAATACAATTATATGGGTTAAAATAAAAGGAGGACAAAATTGTATTTTTTCTTTTCTCTCACAAAATCATGCTTTTATCTAGGAAAAATTTGTAGGTGCTTCTGTGATCATCATAAACTTGCTTACTGTATAATAAAAAGTTATGTAAGATAAATGTGTTGAGTGTAGAATATTTCTTACTATGCACTCTTTAAAAGGCGTAGGCCTGAGCCTATGGAGTTTAGATGAGATTTCTTATCATTTGATAATGGACAGTTTGTATTTCTTTGTGCAATAACCTTGTAGAAACTCTGATGTTCCTATTAGTATAAAATTCTGTGATTTTTTTCATAAGAACATACACATTACTCTGCAGAGTTACCTTTTATTTTTTAACTGGATTTCATAATCTGAATCCAACTAAGTCCCATCAACAGAGTCACTAGAGGTCAAGGTTATATTCCTAACAGAGATCACAGGATCATGTTTAAACAAGACTCTTGTATCCCCATGCCTTCCAGAAAAATACTTATCTTTCTAAAACGTATGTGTGTTTTCATCCAGCAATACCTACAGGATATTTGAAGCAAACTAGGTAAGTGGAAATACATTCTGACATGCTACAATTGTATCAGAGTTTTAAATTTAGGTCAATTTAACATATTTACTAGGTTTTTTTCTATGCTAAATATTCCATGCCAAGAAGAGGGTATAGACAGCTCTCTAGAACAGGGCTCCCCAAACCCCCATGCCACAGACTGGTACTGGATGATGTGGTACTGGATGATGTGGTACTGGTTGATGTGGTACTGGACGATGGCCTGTTGGGAACCAGGTTGCACGGCAGGAGAGTAGCAGTGAGGAAGTAAAGCTTCCTCTGTATTTACAGCTGCTCCTCATCACTTGAATTACTGTCTGAGCTCTGCCTCCTGTCAGATTAGCAGCAGGATTAGATTCTCATAGGAGAGCAAACCCTATTGTGAACTGCACATGGGAGGGATCTAGGTTGCCTGCTTCTTATGAGAATCTAATGCCTGATGATCTGCCACTCTCTCCCATCACTCCCAGATGGGAACTTCTAATTCCAGGAAAACAAGTTCAAAGTTCTCACTGATTCTACATCATGGTGAGTTGTATTACAATAATGAAATAGTTATACAACTCATTTATTGTACACTTTATTTCTATTATTATATATTACAATTTAATAATAATAGAAATGAAGTGCACAATAAATGTAATGCTCTTGAATCATCCTGAAACCATCCCTACTGCCCCTTGGTCTGTGGAAAAATTGTCTTCCACAAAACCTGTCCCTAGTGCCAAAAAGGTTGGGGACCACTGCTCTAGAACACAATCTTGACACTCCTTAAAACTCAGTCTAGTAGGGTATATATGTAAGCAGATTATATCACACGAAGATAAAATCTATAATACAAGGTCATAGAATCTATTTTCTAAATCCAGCATGGGATCTGTTTTAAGTGCAGAAGTTAACCAATAAATGGAATGAAAATACCTGATATTTCTTCAAAACCCTGCTTCTTTGAATAACAGTATTTTTTTCTTTTACTTACTATGGGATCTCTTTAAGAAGCTCTATCTGGCTAGGGCAAGCACATACTAGAAAGAATTCATAAAAATTCGCTGGTCCTCTTCCCCATTCCTTCTGGATCTCCCATGGCTCTATTTGCCCCTTTAAATAATTTGGACATACTTTTCTGACTTCACTCTTGGCCCATAGTCTTATGAAAAATTTTGCCATTCCTAGTTCTTTGTATTACACATGTAGATAAAAACTCTTTCTGCCTTCTCCTCCACATATTGCAGAATACGTGGGAGGAAGAAATAATCTCAGCGATGTGTTGGTATGTATTAAACATCCAGCTCTCTGGGAAAATGAAACAAACAGGCAGCAAACAAACCTGTGTTGTAGCCTTTGTTGATATTCATGGTATAAAAACTTTCACTATGGCTTCTATCAAGCTACTGGCATGTCACTAAACATGTTAGGAAGTTCTCAATTCTCAAGATCCAGAAAGCCAGCTCTACTACATAACTGAATATTCCCTTCATGAGATAATTGTGACACGGTTCTTAAATATTAGGTATCAAGTACATAACTGAAGACTAACAATTTGTGACAGATCATGAAAATTAAAAAGGTATCTGCTACAGTAAAAGAAGAAATAAAGCCAGTCACAGAAAAAGAAACAACAGCCCCTGGGCAATGCATGAATGATAGAATTCAGAATCAAACACAAGAGAGCGGTTACTTTGATTTCACCTGAAGACTATTAAGCTGTATTACCACTGTGTCTCATATAAAATTTGCTTGTCAAATGTAACAGATATTGTGAGCATTACAACCATTTACCAATATCTTCTTTTTCCTCTTTTTCGAGGTATTCTGTAGGATGCTACTTATAGTCTCTTCTGAGGTTAAGTGTGGCTTCATATCATTCTTAGGCCAATAAGATTCAAATAAAAGTGGCATGTGTCACATTCAGGTGGAAAGTTTTAAGGGCAAATATTTGCCTTTCCACTTCTTACCCTGCTGTGAAGATGGTAGGGCATAGTGTTGATATGACAGGGCCATGGGGAATCTGGTCCAACACATAGACAGCAGGGCGTCCCTGGACAGTAGCCTGAACATGCAGCACAAGGTTCCTCAGTCAAAAGTAAACATTTAAAAATATGTTAAGCCGGCCGGGCATGGTGGCTTATGCCTGTAATCCCAGTACTTTGGGAGGCCGAGGCGGGCGGATCACGAGGTCAGGAGATTGAGACCATCCTGGCTAACACGGTGAAACCCCGTCTCTACTAAAAATACCAAAAATTAGCTGGGCGTGGTGGCAGGTGCCTGTGGTCCCAGCTACTCTGGAGGCTGAGGCAGGAGAATGGGCGTGAACCCGGGAGGCGGAGCTTGCAGTGAGCAGAGATTGCGCCACTGCACTCCAGCCTGGGCAACAGAGTGAGACTCTGTCTCAAAAATAAATAAATAAATAAATAAATATAAAAATATGTTAAGCCAACGACATTTTGTGTATTTATTACCTCAGCCCACCTGTACTGTCCTAGCTAAAAACATATACGTGCCTAAATTCAGTAATAGTAGTGGGCTGATAGTTCTTGCTCCACAGTATAGGTTCAACCTCTGATAAATTTCTTGCTGAATTTATAAAATCTTGAATTAAAGGGGTCATTCAAAAAGTACATATCAAATGATTCTCCATGATTTCCCCCAGGAAGCTGGCACTGGAGTTTTGGAAAGTGGCAATTCTCACTTCTATCTTGATAGAAATTTTAATGTGGGTAGATTATAGGTGACTTTTACTTTATAGTATAAATCCTCCTCTATTTTTAAAGTCCACATTCAAGACCCAAGTAAACCTTGCATGAATGTTGCATTTACAGTGTGGAAAATATCTAAGAAGTATCCATAAGAAATATTTTCGTTTTGGCTTATCACTGCCCCAAAAATTGCTGCTTGGTAATAAGGAAGCTACATGTTTTACTCTTATCTTTTTAACATGAGCAGCCCAGTTAGAGAAGAATAATTGTGTCTATTTTCTAAAGAGCTGGGGAAAAAAAAATCAAACTAAATTCACCTGATTTCCCAGTGTTGGCACTTCTAATAATTTATCAAATTAGAAGCCCAAATTCAAAATGGTTCCCAGGTGAGTCTGATCTTGTCCTCTCTCTCCTTTATTGGAAAACACTGGATTCAGAATATGGCTATCTTCTCTCTATGACTCCCAATCACACTATAAGGTAGTTAAACTCTCAAACTTATGGCATTTTCATCAAAAATGTAAACAATGCCTATATCCTTATGGCATCATAATAGTAAATTAAAATAGGTATTTAAAATGCTTGGCATATGTGTATTTTTCTAAATAATTCTTATTGAGAGTATAAAAGCTATTCCAGCTTTTTTAAAATTTGGTAAAACAAATTATTTTTACCTTATTCAAAATGTCTATAATTTTATATATTTGAATTATGTGGTGTCACAGTTTTAGCCTTTTCATGAAGAGTGTCCAATCTTCAATCTACACTGCACTGTGCCTAGTACTTGCACATTTTCAATTTTACATTAATAATTATTATCTCATTTCATTGTAACATAGCCGTGTAAATTTATTTGCAAAAGTCATTCAGAATTAATTGATAAGAAAATTGAGATTTAGGGATATTACCTGGTGGCTCAAAGGTCACAATAATATACTCAAGGTTTCCTGCTTCTTAGTTCATTGTTCTTCCGACTAAGTCCATAGTGACTACCAGATAATGCTCAGATAAATAAAGGATGTTTATACAAAACGTCTCTCACCACTAAATCTAAGAATATCTAGTACTAAACAACAACTACATTTTTATTAGTAGAAGTGATGTCAACCATGGTGCCTTGAATCAGCCTGAAAATGTCACAGCCACAAAAAAAAAGGAGAGTAGACAAATCTTTCTTTGGTGACAAAAACTGCATTTTTTTGTGTTGAACTTTTTTTCTCAGCTTTGCTGAAAGGACCAACTACAAGTTGCAAAATCTAGGTTTTTTTTTTACTATTTTTATGTTAATTCTGTTATTTCTGATGGCTTTTGACATTTGATGGCCATAGACTGTGATAATTTGCTGCCAAGATGTTACAATATATTGTGCCTAGTCTGTGTCCTACTGAAGAAAAAATATATATATATACACACACACACACATAATACTTTGAGCAGGATACAGGATACAGATTATATATATATATATATATATATATATATATATATATATATATATACACACACACACATATATCTATATAGTATATACACACATTATTGATATATGTGTATGTATATGAATAAAATTATGAAGTGATTGATTGTAAAGGCAGGTGCTCAAATACCATCTTCTCTGTGAGAGTCCCTGATTTACTCTGTTCCCACAGAGAGTAGAAAGTGCACCTCATTTCTACTGCTTTAGCACCTCACACATGTCTCTGTTAGAGCACTTTGCAACTTGCACTTGAATTGTCTTGCTGCATAACTGCCCTTCCCAATTATCTCGTGCTGCCTGGAGGGCATGGAGTGTCTATAACTTTTTAATCACCATTTAATATTGACCTTGGCCCATATTGATGTTAATGTCCATTATTTAAGAGTAGAATGAATAATTACCAAAGATTTGGGATCAGGAGAAATAGGACCTACAAACGATATACTCTCCTTTCTTCATGTTTCATGCTCATCCCGGCTGTGCAAATATTAAATCCCAGTGAACTTCTAATACATGCTCCTATTTTAAAACTCATGAACACTTGCTTGCCTATGTGACCCTTTCAGTCAAAATTCAGCTTCCATAAAGATGATGTTCAGTCCCATACCCAGAAAACATTTAACATCACTTAATATGATATTTGAATCAGCCTGACATTTCACAGCCAGGTAGCTGCCTATGCAGCCCAATTGATTCCACAGAGAATACTGCCAAATCAGGAAATTCTTTTTTTCCCTGACCAGAAAAATAGCATCACAGTGAAATGAAAAAAATACAAAGGCTATCTGAACTAATGGGGTTTATTTGATGAAAACATTTGTTGAATTAAATATTTGAGTGTTTGATATGATGATGATCCCCCAATGGGAGAAATGTAAAAATCTATTTCTCTAATATGAAGAAGTCACATCACCAGAATGAAAATAATGGAGCTCCAGTGAGAGCTCGCACTGAAGAATTTGGTTTATTTTTGGATCAGCATGGTATCCACATATTTATACTACTATTACAATGGTATCCATGTTTTCTTTGGGGAATAGGAAACAAACTGTAAACAGTGGTATATTAGTCCATTTTCACACTGCTAATAAAGACACACCCGAGACTGTGTAATTTCTAAAGAAAAGAGGTTTAATTGACTCACAGTTTCACATGACTAGGGAGGCCTCAGGAAACTTACAATCATGGTGGAAGGGGAAGCAAACACTCCGTTCTTCACGTGGTGGGAGGAGAGAGAAGTGCCAAGTAAAAGGGGGAAAAGTCCCTTATAAAACCATCACATCTCATGAGAACTCATTGTCACAAGAGCAGCAGCATGGGGTTAGCTACCCTCATGATTCAATTACCTCCCACTGGGTCCCTCCCATGACACATGGGGATTATGGGAACTATGATTCAAGATGAGATTTGGGTGAGGACACAGCCAAACCACATCATTCCAAACTGGCCCCTCCCAAATCTTATGTCTTCACATTTCAAAACACAATCATGTCCTTCCAACAGTCCCCAAAAGTCTTAACTAATTCCAGCAATAACCCAAAAGTTCAAGTCAGAAGTCTCATTTGAGACAAGGCAGGTCCCTCCCTCCTGCCTATGAGCCTGTAAAATCAAAAGCAAGTTAGTTATTTCCTAGATATAATGCGAGTACAGGCATTGGATAAATACATCCTTTCCAAATGGGAGAAATTGGCCAAAACAAAGGGGCTACAGGCCCCATGTAAGTCTGAAATCCAATAGGGCATTCATTAAACTTTAAATTTCCAAAATGATCTCCTTTGACTCCATGTCTCACATCCAGGTCATGCTGATAGAAGAAGTGGGCTTCCATGGCCTTGGGCTCCTCCACCACTGTGGCTTTGCAGAATACAGCCCCCCTGCCAGCTGCTTTGATGGGCTGGTACTGAGTGCCTGCAGCTTTTCCAGGTGCATGGTGCAAGGTGTCAGTGGATCTATCATTCTGGGGTCTGGAGGATGGTGACCCTTTTCTCACAGCTCCACTAGGCAGTGCAAAGTGGGGACTCTGTGTGAAGGCTATGACCCCACATTTCCCTTCCACACTGTCCTAGCAGAGGTTCTCCATGAGGCCTCCACCCCTGCAGCAAACTTCTATCTGGGCATCCAGGTGTTTCCTTACAACCTCTGAAATCTAGATGAAGGTTCCCAGACCTCAATTCTTGACTTCTGTGCACTGCACGCACAATACTACACGGAAGCTGCAAAGGCTTGGGGCTTGCACCCTCTTAAATAATGGCCCAGGTTGTACCTTGGCCCCTTTAGCCACAGCTGGAGCTGAAGCCGCTGGGACTCAGGGGCATCATGTCCCCGAGGCTGCAGAGAGCAGGGGGTCCCTGGGCTGGGCCCACAAAACCATTTTTTCTCCTAGGTTTCCAGATCTGTGATGGGAGAGCCTGCTGTGAAGGTCACTGTTATGCCCTGCAGACATTTTTCCCATTCTCTTGGTAATTGACATTTGGTTCCGTACTAATTATGCAAATTTATGCAGCCAGCTTGAATTTCTCCCATAAAATGGGTTTTTTTCTATTGCATCATCACGCTGCAAATTTTCCAAACTTTTCAAACTTTTATGCTCTTCTCTTAAACACTTGGCCATTTAGAAATTTCTCCTGCCAGATACCCTAAATCATCTTCCTCAAGTTCAAGGTTCCACAGATCTCTAGGGCAGGAGCAAAGTGCCACCAGTATCTTTGCATAGCAAGAGTGACCTTTACTCCATTCCCAACAAGTTCCTTATCTCCATCTGAGACCACCTAAGCCTGGACTTCATTGTCCATTATCACTATCAGCATTTTCCATTCAACAGTTCTCTAGGATGTTCCAAATTTTATCACATCTTCCTGTCTTCTGAGTCCTCCAAGTCTCTAGTGAGTTCCAAACTTTCCCACATTTTCCTGTCTTCTTTTGAGCCCTCCAAACTGTTCCAACCTCTGCCTGCTACCCAGTTCCAAAGTTACTTCTTCATCTTCAGGTATCTTTATTGCAGCACCCCACCTCTGCTAACAATTTACTGTATTAGTTCATTCTCATGCTGCTAATAAAGACATACCCAAGATTGGGTAATTTAAAGGGAAAAGAGGATTAATTGATTCACAGTTTTGCATGGCTGGGGAAGCCTCAGGAAACTTACCATGGCAGAAGGGGAAGCAAACATGTCCTTCTTTGCATGGCAGCAGGGGAGATAAATTCCAAGCAAAAGGGGGGAAAAGCCCCTTGTGGAACCATCAGATCCCATGAGATGAGAATGGTAGCATGGGGTAACCACCCCCATGATTCAATTACTTCTCACTGGGTCCCTCCCATGACACATGAAGATCATGGGAACTACAATTTAAGATGAGATTTGGGTGGGGAAATAGCCAAACCATATCATGTGGATTTTTCTATTTATAGACAAACCCTCACCTAAAGGAAGAATAATGGTAGTCAATGTGATATAATTTGAAAGATTTTGCAATATGCCCCTACCTAAATATTCTTCCCCTTGGCCACACATATATCCAAGGAGCAGGACTACAATGATTGTCTTGGTGGGGATAAAAAGCTAGAGAATTCTCAGGCATAGATACAATGCCTTAGTTAACAGGTATCCCCCAAAGTAATCAAATTTATTTTTATTTTTATTTTTACAAGCCCTGTTTGAAAGGGGAAGACACACTTCTATTTTTGAAATTTAAGAGGGCTGAAATAATATCAAGTAAATATTTTGATCACAATGGTAAAAAACTAGAAATAAAAAAACAGAAAGTTTTTTGGAAAATTCACAATATATGTAAAGTAAACCCCATGCTCCTGAACAGGCAATGAGTCCAAGAAAAGATTAAAAGGAAAATTTACAAATATTAAATGGCACACAAAAATGGAAACAACATACCAGAACTTATGATGTGCAAGAAAAGCAGTTCTAAGAGAGAATTTTATAGTTACAAAAGTCTGCATTCATAAAAAAAGAAAGAACTGAAATAAAATCCAAATATTATACCTCAAACTAGAGAAAGAAAAACAAACTAAACCTACAACTAGCAGAAGAAAGAAGATAACAGATACAAGAGCAGAAATAAATGAAATAGGGTCTAGAAAAGCGATAGAAGAGATCAAACTAAGAGTTGAGTTTTTAAAAAGAAACTTTAGTCAGACTAAATAAGAAAATAGAAGATTCAAATAAACAATAAATGAAAGAGGAAACTTTACAAATATCAAAGAAATACAAAGAACTATAAGAAACTACTATGAACAGTTATATGCCAACAAATTGATAACCTAGAAGAAATGGATAAATTCCTAGAAACATGTAATCTATCAAGACTGAATCATGAAGAAATACAAAATCTAAACAGACTGACAATGAGTAACGTAATTGGGTAACTAATTAGAAAAAGCTCCCATCAAAGCAAAGCCCAAGACCCAATGGCTTCATGACTCATTTCTACCAGACATTTAAGAAATAACCGGCCAGGTGCGGTGGCTCACGCCTGTATTCCCAGCATTTTGGGAGGCCAAGGTGGGTGGATCATTTGAGGTCAGGAGTTCAAGACCAGCCTGGCCAACCTGGTGAAACCCATCTCTACTAAAAATACAAAAATTAGCTGGTCAGGTAGTGGCACCCGCCTGTAATCCCAGCTACTCAGGAGGCTGAGGCAGGAGAATTGCTTGAGCCTGGTAAGCGGAGGTTGCGGTGAGCCAAGATCACACCACTGCACACCAGCCTGAGTGACAGAGTGAGACACTGTCTCAAACAAACAAACAAAAACAAGAAATAACTAATAACATCCTTCTCAAACTCTTTTTTTTTTTTTTTTTTTTTTTTGAGATGGAGTCTCGCTCTGTCGCCCAGGCTAGAGTGCAGTGGCGCCATCTCGGCTCACTGCAGGCTCCGCCTCCCGGGCTCACGCCATTCTCCTGCCTCAGCCTGGAGTAGCTGGGACTACAGGCGTCTGCCACCACGCCCGGCTAATTTTTTGTATTTTCAGTAGAGACATGGTTTCACCATGTTAGCCAGGATGGTCTCGATCTCCTGACCTCGTGATCCACCCACCTCGGCCTCCCAAAGTGCTGGGAATACAGGTGTGAGCCACCGCTCCCGGCCTCAAACTCTTTCAAAAACTGAAGAAGAAGAGGAAATAACTTCTAAATTCATTTTACAAGGCCAGTGTTACCCTTATAGCAGAGCCAGAAAAGGACAAGACAAGGAAAGAAAATTACAGTCCAATATTCCTGATGGACAATAATGTGAAAGTCCTTGGCAAATACCAGCAAACTGATTAAAAGGCACAGTTAAATGATTATTCACCATGATCAAGTGGGATTTATCCATGGGATATAAGTTGGTTCAACATATGCATATTAATACAAGTGATATACGACATTAGCAGAATGAAAGACAAAACTATATGATCATCTCATTAGATAAAGATGAGGCATTTGAAAAAAGTCAATATCCTTTAATGATAAAAACCCTCAACAAATTAGGTATAGAAGAAATGTTACTCAACATAATTAAGGCCATACATACCAAGCCCACAGCTAATATCATAATCAATGGTGAAAAGTTGAAGGCTTTTTCTCTAAGATCAGAAACAAAACAAGGATACTCATTTTCAATATGTCCCTTAAATACAGTACTAGAAGTTCTGGCTGGGACAACTAGGGAAGAAAAATAAATAAAATACATCCAAATCAAAAGTTTACAGATGACATGATATTTTATAGAAAAAATGCTAAAGAGTTCACCAAAAATACTGTTAAAAATAATAAACAAATTCATTAAAGTTGCGTAATATAAAATCAACATACAAAACTTAGTTGTGTTTCTATATATTAACACTGAACATTTTTTGCAAGAATGAAAAAAAATCCTAAAATTTGTATGGAACCTCAAAAACAAAACAAAACAAAAAAACAAAAACCACGCCAAAGTAGTCTTGGGCAAAACAAACAAAGCCGGAGACATGACATTACCTGATTTCAAAATGTATTACAAAAGTATAGTTATCAGCCAGGCACAGGGGCCCACAACTCTAATCCTAGCACTCTGGGAGGCCGAGGCAGGCAATTGCTTGAGCCAGGAGTTTGAGATCAGTCTGGGCCACATGGCAAGATCGCTTCTTAAAAAAAGAAAAAAAAAGTATAGTTATCAAAACAACACGATATTCAAGTTCAAGAGATCTGTTATACAGTGTGGTGGCTACTGTTAAAAACATTGTGTTGTATACTTAAAATGCGCTCAGAGCATAGATTTTAAGTGTTAAACATAAAAAATGATACGTGTAGTAAAGCATGTTAATTAACTTAATTTATTCATTCTACAATGTACGTATATTTATATATCTTTCAAAATATGTTGTAAACCATAAATATATAGAATTTTTATTTGTTAACTTAAGATACAAATAAGATAATTTTTCTGAGAAACAAAACCCAGCACAGTATTGGCATAGAAACAGACATATAGACTAAATATACAGAAGAGAGAGCCCAGAAATAAATTCAAACATTTACAGTCAACTGCTGAACAAATGTGCCAGAATACATAATATGGAAAGGACAGTCTTTTAAATAAATAATGTTGGGAAAACTGGATATCCATAGGTAGAAAAATAAAATTAGAACCTCATCTCACATCATATGTAAAAATCAACTCAAAATAGATTTAAATGTAAGGCCTGAAACTAGAAAACTACTAGAAGAAAACACAGAGAAAATCGCCTTGACATTGATCTGGGCAAAGTTTTTTCTGAATGTGACCCCAAAGGCACGGGTAATGAAATAAAAGGAGACAAGTAAGATTACATCAAACAAAAAGCGGCACAGCAAAGAAAACAATCAACAGGGTGATGAAACAACCTCCAGAATGTGATAAACTATTCTCAAACCATACATCTGACAGGAGGTTAATGTCCAAAATATATAAGGAACTCAAATAAGTCAATACCAAGAAAACAAGTAACCTGATTAAAAAATGGGCAAAGAACCTGAATAGACATTTCCCCAAATATAAGACAAAAATGGCCAACAGGTATATGAAAAAAAATGTTTAACATTTTTATATTTATATCATCAGGGAAATATAAATTAAAACCACATGAAATATCACCCCATACCTTTTAGAATGCCTATTATCCAAAAAACAAAAAATAAGTATTGGTGAGGATATGGAGAAAAAGAAAGGCTTGTACACGACTGGTAGAAATGTAAATTGGTGCAACCATTTTGGAAAACAGTATGTAAATTTCTCAAAATACTAAAAATAGAAATAGCATACAATTCAGCAGTCCCATTTCTGGTTATATATCCAAAAGAAATGGCAATCAGTTTGCCAGAGATATTTGCATTCCCTGCTCATTGCAGCGTTACTCACAATAGCCAAGATACAGAATCGAGCTAAGAGTCCATCGATAGATGAATGAATAAGAAAATGCAATGTATACACACACACATACATATATAATATGCACATACACAGAGAGAGATATATACACATATATGTATACATAAAATGGAATACAATTCAGCCTTAAAAAGGATTCAATCTTGTGATTTGTGACAGCAAGGATGAACCTGGAAGACATTATGCTAAGTGAAAGAGGCCAGGCATGGAAAGACAAACACTGCAATCCTGTCGTTTATATGCGGAATTTTAAAAAGCTGAACTCATGGAAGTAGAGAAGAAAATGGTAGTTATCAGGGGCTGAGCAGGGGTGTGAAGATGGAGAGATGTTAGTCACAGCTTACACATTTTTAATTAGGAGAAACAATTTTTGGAAATCACTTGTACAGCATGGTAACTATAGTTATTAAAATTTATTGTATAATTGAAAATTGCTCAGAAAATAGATCTTAAATATTCTCACCTCCAAAGAAATGAAAAATATGAGAGGTAATGAGTATGTTTATTAGCTTTATTTATTACACAATGTATACAAATATCAAAACATGTTGTATACCATAAATATATATAATTTCTATTAAGCCTTAAACCTAAAAAAACTGCTTTCTATTTTCCAATATTATGTTAATTATTGATTCCCATGACTAAATTGTTTTTTCTTTCTTTTATTAATTTTGGGATTAAATAAGAAAATTTAGAAGTAATTTTGTAAAAACATTTTTATATTCCATACACAAACCTATCCTAAAAATATCTCACAAAAATTCCTTTGTGTCTGTTTTTTCCCCAAGCCAAATATATTTTTAGCCAACTAATTAATACCAGAAAGATAAAATTATCTTCTCATTTAGTATGAAATATTCGTAGCTCTGAGTATTTAATTGTAAGAAATACATAGAATTAAAAAGCAGAAATTAATTTGTTCGGTAATAAAATATAAACCTTCTAACTTAAGGGATTTTCACTGTCCTCTTAGAAAGTAGCTCTTCTTAGAGATTTCAACCCAGATGTCTAAGTAGAGGTGTGACTACAAACCTAACTGTTTTGCATGTAAGTTGAAGGTCAAAGACACAAATGCAGCTGAAAAAGAACTGGGAGAAACTAGGAGATCCCCTACTATGGGGAAAACAAGATCTACAAAAATTGCATCTGCATGTTTGAAGTAGAAAAAGATTGAAAATTATGTAATGAAAAATTAAAATCTACGTTAAGTCCTACAATTGCCAATAGACAGAAGATTACTAGGATCCTCCAATGAATCATATGACAAGGGCCATGAAAGTAGTAAGATCCCTTTCTGACTAGATATTTTCAATTCAGTAGTACCCATCCCAACCTTTGCTCTGGTTTTTAATTTATAATGAAGCAAGACTGACTTTACAGGCATCCACCTTTCGGATGCCCTTTCTTTATTCTCTTATAGCATAGATGATCACGTTTACTGGGTGAATGCAGATAAAATCTAAAGAATTGGATCCATTTCTTGTCTTCAAATAACCTAGCCACAAAGAATGACCCAACTTTACCTAAAAAGTTGGATAAACTTATAACACAAATCAAGCAAGTAAGGAAATGCAGGTGTCTATCAAATCAACAAGTCTAGCTTTTTTAGCTTTTCAGAATTTTATCAGTATTTTTGTTTGGAAATACATATCACCTTCCTCCTTCCAAATCTCTGTCCCTTTTGCCTTGCACCTAACTCTCTCACTGTCTCCATATCATTTATAATTATTTATCTTTCTTTAAAAACTGACTGTTATAGTAGGGTATATTCTTCATTTAAATACAAACATACAAAATAAAAACATTTCTGCAAAGTTAGAGGTCCTATAAAAATAGGAATTTTTTTTGTTTCTACTTTGCTGCTACTTTTATTTCTCTTTCAGTTACCCAGATGTTACTTCAGACCTTTTAAATTTCCTTTATTTCTGAGGCACTGAAGATATGTTTGCTTGAACTCAATCATGCTATAACATTATTAAAAATAACTATAAATTGACCAAAAAATGAAAGCCAGAAAAAAAGAAGAGAAAAAGAAACAAAATAAAAGGACAGGAAAGCAAAGAAATGTGTTGCAGATTTGTCTTTAAGCAAAATAGCTGGTTCATGTATAAGCAACAGTTCTTCAAGTGGGGATAAAAGTGTTTGCCTGAGTACAGATCAGCAGACCCAATATCGCACATTAGTTGAGAATGGATAATAACACTGCTGCCCTGATGTGACAAAATGAGGCATCTCCCATGAAGTACGGCAATATGCAAGGATTTCTAGTGGGTTGGGAATCAAACTGAGCCATGGTCCCAATTCTACCAGAGACACTTTTCTAGGTTTCAGACATCTCATAGAAAAAATGAGGGATATTGCACTTGTTGTCTGGGCAGCATATGTCAAAGGAACCCCTAGCATAATGATTTTAAATATTTTACTTTGCTATCAACATAAACTCACCAAATGGACTATAATAAACAATTCAAATTCAACTTTTATTCAACAAACAAATGAAATATTAAAGGTTCCAGAATTTTCAATATTATGTTATCAGAAAAAATCGTTTTCTGCCACATGTCATAAATATTTTGTTAAACCATGTTTTCTAATATTGAGATTAAATTAGGGATATCATAGTCACCACATAGGTTTATAAATTTTGCAATTCATATTTCACAAGCATCAGCAGCCTGTGGATATTCCAGCAGTAGTAACCCTAGGGAATTTTTTGGAGACCAGAGGCTATCTTTCATTGAACTCACAAACAAGTTCATGCCTGCAAGGTTTTGATGCTCCACTCCTACTTTTCCAAGGGGTAAGTTAGTCCCTTCATTAAATTCTAGGTAAAAAGTTTCATGTTTATTTTTACACTGTTTCATTTGGCCAACAAATACTGCTGCTGGATTGCAGGCTGTGACAATCCCCAGCATACATAAACTGCATTCTATCTGTGGTTGCTACCCTTGGCACTTATGTCTCTTGTTTCACCAGGCACAGCATTTACTCATGATTGCCACCATTGCACAGTAGAAGGACCTGGTTTCTGTGGTGTCTGAGTTTCTCAATGGCAAAGCTCTAAGGTGGCCTGTGACTAAGGACATCGGAAAGAGAGGAACAAAGAACCATTATTTCTTGTTACAGTGATGCTAGGCAGTGTTTGTACATTAATATATTTCATAGTTCAATGAACAAGCTCATTCAGTATTTTAGGAAGATATTTAATGTAGTCTATCCCTACCCTTCATAGGTCTCAGAAATGAGTCCAATGGGGACTGAGTAGAAATGTAAATCCTACAGACCAATTCCATATTCTGTCCAGAATTACTCCTTAATGATTAAGACAGTGGTATCAAGTTAATAGTTTTATACCTCGTTCTCTTACTTTAAAATTTATTTTCTCCTAAAAAGCTAATTATTTTCCCTGTTAACAGACTTCTCTTGAATAGTCCCACCAGTTTTCTACACATAACCGCAGTGTCTGAATCCCCCAAAGGGTCCTCGTTGATATTATTCCCCAGAGGTTTCTTCCACCACATAGATAAAGAGATTCCAATTAGGAATTGCTAGGCAACTCACCAGATGTCTTCAGATATTCCATCACTTAGTAATAGACCAAGTGTGGGCTAAACCTGATGTTAGTGTTACACTTCAAACAAAAGGCACATAGGAAGAAAAACAGAAACTTACTGTCAAGACCTACCACAAGCTACTAACTATTTCCTACTGTAAAGTTACACATGAGTTTTGGTTTCTTTTTCTTTCTTTCTTTCTTTTTTTCTGGATCTGTACCTCTCAAGAGAACTTCAATAAGGATATATGAGATTTTAAAATAAAATAAGGAAACTTTTTTAAAATGACAGTCTATCTAGTTCCTACCAGGATGCTGAAGTAGCAAGACTGCTGGATTTCAGCTTTAAGAGAAACTAGAGAGAAATCCCAGATAAATTGCAAAGGGAAAACATAAAACATCAAGGACAGGAAAAAAACTGTAAGAAATCCTTGGGTGATGGGTGGCTCTTTTAAAACTGCTGTGTGAGGGGGTGGTACAGGGAGCAAGACCTACTACAAGGAGAAAACTTTAGCGGGGCAGAAACTGTAGCGTTCTGCCCTTGTTCTTCCACCACCCTCCGTAACTTCTGGTTGTTGCTTCTGCAACCATTCAGGAAGTATTCTCACCCTATTATTGGGGTAAAATAAATGAGGTCATAATCTGAAGAATTATTTTAGAATGAGGAATACTCTCATATCAGCTTCCTCCATCTCAGGGCTCAATCCACCCTGAACTCACAGGGGTTGGACTGAGGTCTGGCCTTGCTCACATACTGACTGTTCATAGACGTGATAATAGCAGGTTGGAGGCTGTAATTTTAAAAGAGCTCCCTTACAAGTTTGGCCCTTGTCTGGTGTCTGGAAACTTGACTTCTGAAACATTCTCAAAATGATAAGATTGTGTCTCTTAAGTCTAGGTTGTTTATACAAACAATGTGCTTTGTGGTGAAAACATGCTCTTCTTCTGGGAGTCTGGCATGTTTGTTGCTAGACTGAGAATGGCTGTGTGACCAGCCTCCACTAAAAATCCTAAATTATGTCTCAAACAAGATTACCTGGGTAGAAATGTCATGAAGATGTGACTGCATTTTTGGTGATAGAGGGGGGGCATACTCTCTGCGACCCCTTATGGAAAGGAGAGAGCATAGGAAATCTGCACGTGGATTCCTCCAGACACTGTTTATTTCTCTTTGTTGGTTCTTATTCTGTCTCTAATAAATCTCAGCTGTGAGTATAGCCACATGCTAAGATTGCTGAGTTCGTTTAATGAGTCATCAGATGTGTGGGCATCCCTGAGACACTGGAAACATTGATGAAATAACTGATAACCTCCGGGAATAGGAGGTCCAATGCCAAATTAACAGTACCCTTGAGGAGCGCAGCCATCTCTAAAGAAAAACAAATATTGGCTTACCACTTTCACCACAAGCAAAATGTTAGAACAGATGGGCCAAGAATTAAAAAGTATCTCTATAAACCTTCTAAAAGAGATAAGATAATATTTTGACAATAAGAAAAAAGGGAAGTATGAAGTATCTTCTAACCTGTTTTTAGTCCATCTGCATGCTGTAATATAACTCACTTCTTCTCATATATTTTAAGAATTTCTTGGTCCATGTTGATTTTTGACTGTATTTCTTGCCTCCATCTTCTCTCTCTTCTTGTATATTTGTAGAAAATTCACGTGGAATGCTATCTAGCTTACATTTCAGATCAAAATTTAGTTGATTCTTCTTTTCAAGTGTTTCAGCTTCACCTTCATGAGTCAAAATCATAGTCTTCCTCCAGGTCCAGCTTAAATTTCATAATCTCTATGAAACCACATTACTGTTCAATTCCTTAATTACCAATTCCATGCTACATTAACCACAATACTTTTTTTCATAGCATTATTTGTAAGGTGTTTGTATTATTTTGAACTGATATATGATTGCCCTACTAGAATATAGTATTTTAGGGAATAGAGACTATACCTTAGTCAGCTATGCTACAACACTCTGCAAAGATGTATTGCATTAGTAAAAAAGATGGGATGTAATAAAAACAATAATTGCAATTGCTAATGTTTATTAAACACTTACTATATGTGTTATTAATTTTTCAATGTTCTACTTTTAATAACTTATGTAATCCTCAAAACAGTTTATAAATAAAGCTCTCCTATATTCGCCATTTTGAAGATAAAACAACTAAAGCACACGGGAATTTAATAACCTCCCTAAGGTTAAAGTGGTGCTAAGTGAAAAAACAATCTTTGAATCAGTGAGGTCCAGTCTCAGAGGCTGAACTGTTTAAATACTCTGTGAAACTTCTTTTATTAATAGATGAGAAATATTAGAATTTCCTGATTTAGAAACAAAATCTAACAAATCAAAACAAAGTATTAAATTTGAATTTCAAGTAAACAACAAATCATTGTTTTTTATAAGTAGTTCCTAAATACTGCATGGGATATAATTATACTAAAATTTAATTGTTGTTTATCTGAAATTCAAATTTGACTGGGTGTTTTATATTACATCCAGTCATTCTACAAATACAAATAATGATATACATCTAAACAGAAGTGTGACAACTTGTGTGGTAGATAGAGAGATGTACCACCCAGATAACCTTTATGAAATAGTGTACTTTCCAACTGTGGAGTGTGGAATGTCCAGACAAGCCTCCTCCCAGCACTTCCTCAGGGTCTGCTTGATTTCTGTCTGATCATTCCCTTTCTAGGGCAGCTGGCATCTGCTGACTGAGGATGGTGCCTATAAAGGCTCGGCTAGTGTAGCCCAATGCCAAACAACCCTAACAGGCAATATTGACTGTAAGCTTCTGTAGGCAGTCCAAGCCTTTTATGACTTCCTGATAACCAACTATACCTCCTTCCCCTTCCTTTCACATACCTCAATCCTTAATAAATATCTTGAGCCTCAAACTTTGTCTTCATGTCTGCATTCGGAGAACCCAACCTTCAACAGCTTACATTTAGAGATAACCAAGTAACGACAAAAAGAACCCATTTCTTTCTACAAAGCCCTTCTATTGACAGACAAATAATTTTTACTGTAGCCCCTTTGCTGAAATCAGAGCAATATACCTTGTATCAGTCAGGATTTGGACAGGAAACAGATATATACTCAAAGGTGACAATTTAAAAATTTAATGAAAAGACTATTTACAAAGGTGTGGACAGGCCTAAGCAAACCCAGAAGGTTGTTACATAACTTGTTACGAAGAACAAAATTTGACATGGAGGCTATAAAAATCTAATTAGCAATGCAGGAAGACATCACTAACCCTAGGCCTGTAAGGGATATGGGTAAGAGATGGTTACCGGAACCCAACAAGCTGGGACAGGAGTATCCCTCACAGATGAGAAAAAAGTATAGCCATGGACCAACCATAGCCTAGCTGCAAGAAGCCATAAGAACACAAACACAGATCTCTCATTCTTTCCAGAGTCCCAACTATCGCTGGTGCTTGCCATGGGGTGAGCCCAGCCAGAAGCCAGAGGGCCAGGTAGAGGACAGCCTGTACGCAGAGAACAAGGCCAGCACAGAGTGAAGAGTAGATTTGACAGGAAAATAAAGACTAGACCAAAGTAATAAAGCTCAAGATCAAGAATGGTATGCTAATTCATGAAGCAAAGGAAAGGCAGAACATGAGACAGACTACTGCATCAGAAATGGAAAGACCTCAGTTATAGTACTATTAATATACCTGATTATTTTTTATATTACAATCAAGTCACTATCTCTCTGGGTCTGTTTTGTCATCTTTTAAATGAGTCCATAAACTCTAGGGTTTCTTCAGGCTTTTACAATCCATAATTATACCTACCTAAATTTCCTATATGAAGTCTATGAAGAGAATGACTTTGGGAAATGAGATTCAGAATTATTTAAGAAAGCAGAATAATTATGAAATAGCAATGACCTGCTTTAAGAAAATTAAGAGAGCAGCAGGAAAGGTAATATGTAGGATTTGCTAATGACAATGGGTTATTAACAAGAACAAGAGTTGTCACAGGAGATGGTGTGAAAATAAAAGGATATAACATAGAACACAAAGGAAATACAGATGAATTAAAAAATCCATAAAAATTTTAATAGTAATTTTTAGTAAGCCCAGTTTAGTATGATCAAATTCAAATCATGAAAGACTAAAAGGAGATAAAATACCTACACGTGTAATTTTTTTTCATTTGGAAATAAGTACAATATGGATTAATAAAAAGAACAGGTAAATTTAAGATCAAAGTTCAGAGTTCAAATATTCATAGAGTACTTTGAAAGAACAAATGAGATATTTAGTTGAAAGTGCTTTGAAAGCTTTAAATTGCCACTCAAATATTGTTGACCTTTCTGTTGGGATCAATCTATTGGTATCTTAATGGATTTTTTTTTTCTAAATAGAAAGTGTTTGAATGTTTCTAAACACAATATTTCTGAAAGAGGGATCACGGGTCATGGCAAAATATGGCATGGATAAAACACAGTTTATTAGCACGGTAGATTATATTACTTGTTACCAAAAGTTCCAGTTCCTGTCCATGTAGTGCCTCTTGGTGTGAGAAGATGATGCCCTGTTGAACTTTGAAGTGGCCTTAAGACTTGCTTTGACTGATGAAATATAGGTAGAAGAGACATGTGTCACTTTGGGGCAGAAGTTCATGAGCTGACATGTCTCTTTCCCCTCTGTCCTGATGAGTAGCAATGTACTGTGAAGCAGCTGGTCATCAGCCTGGGTCCCACAGTGGCTATGACATAAAACAAAGCCACAGTCAACCCAAGATAGACATACGTTGTTAAAGAGAAATATATTCGTTGCTATGACTGACTGAGATTTTTGTGGTAACTTTTACTGTATCATAACTTAGCCTATATTAACTGATGAAATTGGTTTTCTACTGTATTTACATTATTTTTCTTGCCTGAGCAGCTTTTGGGTACCCAGTTTTTGTTTTGACAGTTCAGCTTTAGTTGAAAACATATGTCTCCGAAGAGACATACGCTTGCTGCAGATTTGGCCTGATAGTTTTAGGGTACAAATACCTTTCCTGCTTCCTTCACTCTCAGGTAGATTCTGGACCTGAACTCAGGAATTGTGATCAGAGAGTGTAGTAAAGCTAAGGAATTACTCACTGTGTGTATTAGGGTTCTCCAGAGGGACAGAACTAATAGGATAGATGTATATATGAAAGGGAGTTTATTAAGGAGAATTGGCTCACACGATCACAAGGCAAAATCCCACGATAGGCCATCTGCAAGCTGAGAAAGAAAGAAGCCAGTAGTGGCTCAGTCTGAGAATAAAGCCTCAAAAATAGGGAAACCAACAGTGCAGCCTTAGGGCTGTAGCCGAAGGCCTGAGAGCCCCCGACAAACCACTGGTGTAAGTCCAAGAGTCCAAAGGCCGAAGAACCTGGAGTCTGATGTCTAAGGGCAGGAAGTAACCAGCACAGGGGAAATATAAAGGCCAGAAGACTCAGGAAGCCAGCTTCTTCCACCTGCTCTGTTCTAGCCGCACTGGTAGTCGGTTGGATGGTGCCCACAAACATTGAGGGTGGGTCTTCCTCTTCCAGTTCACTGACTCAAATGTTAATCTCCTCTAGCAACACCCTTACCCTCATGGACACACTCAGAACAATACTTTACCAGCTATCTAGGCATCCTTCAATCCAATCAAGTTGACACCTAATAATAACCATCACACTGTGTTAATCCTATACAGCAGTCTATGGATTTTTCTTCCTGAGGCAAACCAGGGTGCAGTTTCTTGTACCAATGCATTTTTCTTACTAGTCTTCTTTGAAATTATTACTTTGACTTGTTTCTTTGACCCTTTTTGTCATCATGTTCAAATTTAATATTCTTATTTATTTGATACTGTTGCAAATATTTCACTGGACAGCTGCTGAAGTTGACATTAAATGCTATATTTATTGTGGGCAATTTAAATAAATCTGTTCTGCAGAGGCCATGTCATTACAAAGACTATAGGGTATGTGTGTGTGTGTGTGTGTGCGTGTGTGTGTGTGTATTCATAACTCTAGCCAATAACTTGATGACATATATAGAAAGAGAAAAGTATACAGAAGGAGGGAAGGAGAGAAGACAAGACAAGGCAAAAAGAGGAGAGAGAAGTATCATTCAGAGAAGTGAAAATAAATTGCCATGATAGTTCAGTTCAGGAGAGATTACATCTTCAAAGAAAAAGTGACAGCCAACCTGTAATTTGCGGGTGCTGTGAAAAATCAGATCATGCATGTTTAGTACATATGTATCATATGAGACAGATGTTTACTATGAAATGAATAAAGCTTAAGTTTAAGCATCAATCCTTTTGCTTGCACTGAATCTTCCAAAACCCTGGGTGGAGGGTGTTTCGCAAAACAATATGATCACAAGGTGATCTTTCTATAATGCAGTTTTAAACTGCTGTGAAGATTATTTTCTCGTTATACACTGACTTCCCTTTGTTGCAATTCTTATTTTATTAGTGTTCCAGTGAACAAGAATATTTTCGGAATCTGGCTAAGAGCAAGTTGAATGGGGAATACATTTATTTGGGGTTTAATGATATAATTGTGTGTTTCCTAACCACTTCTGTGTCAATTTATTAATAACTGAACTAATATAGAAATGTATTCCTGGAATACCTCTTTCTGCCTTTAATGTATAGATGATATACGTGGTATTATGACCTGAAAGTGGAGGATCATTAGATGTATCTTTATTCACACTTTTCAAGCACTGAGCATTACAAGTATGTGGTTAGTGTAGAAAAATAGTATAAGGAGCAAGAAGGTATTCTGTGCAAATTTCTTCTAAATATCAAACAGACATGGAAAACTGTAAGTGGAAGATAAGAGTTTGCCTCAATACACAGTCAGAATGGACCTTATATCCTGTCAGAAATCCAGTTGATAATGTGGTATATACGATGATAAAAAGGCAAACCTTCAGTTTTTCCACACTGTTTTTAATGGGATTCAAAAAATAAATTTTTTCAGAGTGCTTCTGTTCAAAGGATCAAACTTTCAGCAGTGTTATGCAAAAAAAAAATCAATATGTGGTACAGCATATTTATGCATCTAATCTTTTAATAATAAAAATATCCTGCCAGTCATGCTAAATGAAAGATTGATTTAACTGTAATTTCTCTAAAGAAAATAATATTACAAAATCATTGTCATTCAAAGAGATGATCAATGTGTATGTATCTAAGTCAAGTAAATACAAAAAAGTCAAGCAATTCATTAATAAAAATGTAGTTATTTTGGAGTTTGTGATGTTTATACTGTTTGTCACCCTTTAAAATTTGTAACAGGTTTGTCTTTTGAAATAAATACCTAGATTTATAACCAAATTTATATTTAAACTTTGTAATATTTAATGGTAAAAATGGACCCTAAATTATATAAGCTTGAGGATGCGCAAAACCTGAAACTCTATGGGTAATAGAAAGAGAGT
The DNA here is from genome assembly GCF_000001405.40 of Homo sapiens. Classification (NCBI taxonomy): domain Eukaryota; kingdom Metazoa; phylum Chordata; class Mammalia; order Primates; family Hominidae; genus Homo; species Homo sapiens. The sequence continues at coordinate 73,168,959 of NC_000001.11, forward strand.
ACTATATAAAGATTATGGCATAAGGAAAGGTATGGAAGTGCTAAATTGATAGCATTTATGGGAGGGGATAAGATAAGAATGCATTAAGTGGGATGGAGCCACTAAATACCATTTAAATAATTTGAGTAATTATCAAAGGCGTTTTATTGAGTTGATATCCATGTCTATAATTCAGTAGTTATACTTTGGCAGCACTGATGAAGAAGAAAAATGATGATGAAGAATCATATTAAGAGATAAGTAAAGGATAGGAGGAGGCATAAACATATTCAATAAAAAATGTATGTGAAAATTATCAAGTCAATGAATCATTCCATATAGGAGTAAAAAATAAAGGAAAATAAAAAACACAACCTATTTCAAGATGTTTAGAATGATGGCAATGCTAATAACTAACATCAGTAATAAATTCTAAAGAAATCAGATTAGGAAAGGAACATGTCCTGGGTAGGTGTTTAAAAAACAAAAAATCACCCAATTTTTCCTTCCTCTTCAATACCAGCTTCCTTACTTTTCCTTTCTCACTTATAGGCCAGCTCCTGAGTTTACAATATTCACAGCCTCCATTTCCGAAACCATTACTCACTTGCCAAACTACTGCAATTTGAATTCCAGTTCCCGTTCTCCACTGCAACTACTATTTCAAAAATTACCATAAATTTCAGTGTTTGCAAACATCAATGATTCTTAGAAGTCTTATTTCTAAACATCAGTAGATATTTTCCATCTCTTATTTTACTAGCTATCTCAGCAGAATGGTTGACATTCCCTATTAAAACACTCTTACTTTTAACACTCTTTGTTTTTCTCCCCACATTTTGACTACTTTGTCTATGTTTATTTTGTATCTCCATCCTCTTCTACATAGCTATTCAATGTCAAAATCCCTAGAAATCTATTTTAGATCTTCTCCTTTTTCCACTTTATACTCTCTCTAGAAGACATCATTCAAATCTTCAATTACTATATCTAAATCTATGACTCACAAATGCATATCTCCAGTCAAGAACTTTTGTCTGCACTTGGTACTCATATATATATATGAGAGTATGTATATACATATATATACACACGTGTGTGTGTGTGTGTATGTTTGTGTATACTATTTGGTATATGCAAGAAACTCAAAAATTCTTATACAAAATGAAATTGAAAATTTTCAATTTTATCTTCTTCCAGTGTTTCCTAACAAAACTATTGTGTCCACATTATACTCATAAGAAAATTACATAATCTTTATTTCAGTCAAACAAACAAACAAAAAAAATCACAGCAAATAGTTTATTTGGAGGATGCAGCAGATACCAGCAGAAAAGTAGAGAAGTTATACACGTAAAGAGAGTACGCCAATAAAGGGTGAATTACTAAACCAAGTATCACAGAGAACAAACAAAACATAATTCTGTAGGGAAATGCGTGAAATGGTGAAAAACACTCAGCAATCCCACTTAAAAGGACAGGAAATTGGAGTATTTAAGCACCATCTCCTACAATCATTGGTTAAGGACTGTTCTTGAGACATGTTTATTTCTTGGTACTTCTGGAATATAAAAAGAACTGACTTCCATGGTTCTAAAAGAAACCACTCTTGGGCCAAGATGCAGATATTGACAGCTGGAAGTGATTTTTATTACAGCAAAGCAATAATGTCTAAGGGACATATACAAGGGACTGTCAGTGACTGCTACAATCACCCTTTGCAATGCTCAGATTCATTTTCTCCCTTCATGAAGCTCACTCCATCTGTCACTGCTTACTCATGATATTTGAAAAAAAAACTAAAATAAAACAAAAAGAGTTACAACAGAGGAATAGTGGGACAAGTCAGACTAGTAGGACAAGATGACACAGTTGGTCCCAGGAACACAACTGGTTTTCATTGTCTCTGTCTTCTTCCATCCATTCTAATGTTCTTTCACCTGAGGTTTATTTCTGAGGTTCTGAACCCCAGATTAACACCAATGAATCACAATTACTGTAATTGTTCCTTTACAGTTATTACTGGATATTAAAGCACCAGGCAATGCCACAGTCAATCACCTGGTTCCAGATATATTCCACCCACCTTATTATATAGTTGCAATCTCAAGACTTAATGATAATCAGAGTAAATCATCCTTGCCAGTATAGTTACTCTTTTCTTTGCCTGCTAATGCACTGGCATATAAATCCAACATAACCAAACCAAGTTATAACTTTATGTTTAAGGGAACTCTTACTATCTAAAGGTAAAAGTGTGCTTCTCCTGGGAACAAAAACCTCTGTTTCAACAAAGCCTAAATTTGTCAAGACAAAAAGGACAACATTTTTAAGTGGATTATTGAGAGTAATGTTGAGACAGGTCACTCCTTTCATTTCTTGGTTTTTATGCCAAGTTATAAACAAACACCTATCAGCATGAAGCATCATATAATGTTCATTGGTTCAGAGTACCACCCCAACCCCGCATACAGGGTATCACTTCTAAGAATATACATTAGCTGTGCTTTTAAAAGATAATCTCAACATTCTATCAGGATAGGCATTCCTAGATTGTGGAGTATGTGGTAGGATCAGTGGATACCATGGTCATTTGCCCATGATCATATCTCCTTATTTATGAAGTGCTTTTCCATTGTCATGTGGGATTCCATCATGGTAAACTACTTTTTGTTCCCTAGCATAGAGAGCTAGGGTGAAACAGTGTATAGATGAATTGTTGCCTCCTCCAGGATGGAAGGATTTAATAAAATGAACTTTACTATGTGGATGGGTGGTTTCTTTAAGGGAGGATAGCATACAAAAGTTTAGTGTTGGGTTTTGTTACTAAAAAGTCAATCATGCAATCTCATTAACTAGATGAGCCTGAATGAGAAGGAGCCAATGATGTTAGGCTCATGCATAGCCTTCCTCCTTCTGCTGAAAGGGTAAGCCCACAAAAGACACTGAACAAGTTGGGCAGTAGAACTCTTTCAGCAGAGGCCAATCTTTACTCTTGGCCATTCCAGTTTTTACACAGTGCATGTAATAGCCATGATTGCAGGAATGAATGAATGATCCTCATGCTTCCTGGCATTCTCACAGATAAGTCCCTAGATTCGTTTCTTTCCTTCCAGTCATTTAACTTTGTTCTTTCCAGGCCCTCAAACAACCAGCTAATCACTTTTCATTGCTCAAGACAACATGTCTTTACATAAATTGAAGACCACTTAAAACTGTGGCCACTGTAAACATTTTACCTACCTTCCAAAGCCATTTGAAAATATGAGGATAAAATATGATAAACATTTTTAGCTATGATCAATGCATTGAGCCTACTTATTATAAGCTGGGTCATGGTTTTATGTAAATTACATGTGCCCTATAGTCTTACTTGCACCTTCTACTGAATGAATAATCCCCATCATATGATGGATTTCTACTGTTGGGTCTGACAATACCCAATTCATGAGCACTCTGAATGCAAAGTAATTTGATTCCCGTGGTTAGGCATTCATTCTCTGCTAAGGCTAAGAGCATGATAAGAGAAATTTTTCAACTTATGAACAGTTTCTTGCTACAGAAGATACGCCATGCCTCTAGAACACTAGAATCTCTATTGCAGCCTTCAATATTGGGACTTGACAAATATTCTACATGCTTATGTTATTGACTACAAATGCCCCTAGCAACATAGGATCATTTGGATGATATTACATAAGTAGCAGGTCTGTGTACTGCTGCAGTGACCTTTCTTGATATGGCCCTTCATCACAATTAGCAATCCTCTGACTCAACTGATAAATTAGCTAGAGCATTATTTTCAAATGATGTACTGCCTCTGCAACATGAAAGGATCCAAAGTGTGAGGTAGAATATGTGTTCTTTGTCTGGGAGAGGTGTGTCAGAATTTTTCACTCTAATAGAGCCTTAAAAGTTTTACCCATGTGGCAGGAATCTGAAGCTTTTTAGGTTTTATCTTCTACAATCTGGTGCATATGTGCCTCACTAGAGCACCTAGAGTATGATCTACTTTTTGTTCTCCATGCTTAATTCATAGAATATTATCAATATAGTGAGACCAGCTTATTGTTCTGTAGAATGTCTAATCAAAGTCCTGTGTGAAGAATAATACAAGTATAATATAGCTTTGGAACAAGACCATAAATGCATCGTTTGTCTCATGACTGTTTCCCAGTGTCTATTCTTTGTGAATTGCTTCAAATTATTCCTCATAATAAGGATTGAAAATACCACATTTGCCAGATCAATAGCTTCTGGTGCTCGCTATGAAGCTATTGATCTGGTGAATGTGTTCTCATCAATTCCTGTCATAAATTGTTATTGTCTATTATTATCTATTTTGAAGATCAATTATGGTACATTAAATATACTCAATATAGCAGCTCCGAATGAGGCTGACAGTTAAGTTTATGACAGTCCCCATAAAAGGCCATCATTCAGTCATGTTTTGAAAGGGCCAGACAGGTGAATTAAATAGAAAGGTGACCACCAATCCTGCATCCTTTAAGGCTCTGAGGTGGCACTAATCTCTCCGTTATGGCTTCTAACTTAACGTCTCCAGGGCTTGGCGAGTCATGGTTTTACAAATATTTTCTTGGCTTTTTCTACATTGCAGTTCTTATTTCACAAGTGAGATTCCTAGTAACTATTATGCTATAAAAAGCCAGAGATCATTACCATTCCATTTACTTCTTTCTGGTTAGTGATTCAGTTCCAGAAACTTCTCCTAGAAATCACTTTCTAATCACTTTTAATTTGAATTGTTTGATTTTGGATTTCCTAAGATGCAGATTCTGAGATAAGGGCTCAATTTTAAGTAGCTAATGTCAGCTATTCAAAAAAAAATGAATATAGGCATGAAAAGCAAATGCAAGGATGAGAAGATGTCTCTAAAACACTACCTGTGGTGACTGAGGTCACGTAATCACACTGGGAAAATGTACAGATTGTTTTTCAGGATAATATAATTGTTTGAGTACTAGTTTATTAATGTCTGTCAGTTATTGTTTGAGGGCTAATATGGAGGGGTTGTTTTTTCTTAGCGCTTCTGGCCTCCCATCCTTGTAGCATACAGTGATCTTCAGTACTTTTAGAAAAAAAGCCTTCAGGCATAGTGATGCAAAGACGCACACCTGGAAGTTGGCAGTCATCTAGAGCAAAGAAAACATTGAAGTCTGAGCTTCTGCTACAAGTTCGCTATTAATAATTACTCTAGGGCAACGGGCTTGTGCTGAGGCTATTCTGGACAAGCTGGAACATATGGTAACCTTATCTTTCTACATCTAAGTTCTCTCTTGACTCCCGCTTTCTCTACACTGAAGAAGATCACCAGATTGATCTTCTCAAGACACAAATCTGATCAAGTCATCTCCTTGCATCAAACCTTTTGGGGGCTTGTTATAGTTCAAAGGATGAAATCAAATCTCCTTAATACGGCCTATGTGTTCTGGATGACATACTCCCATTTGTTCCAGGGCCTCTGCACCTGCGGTTCCCTCTGATTTCAGTATGCTTCCCTCTTGTCTTTCACATTTTAGTTCAAGCATCACTTCATCAGAGATGCTGATGTGCATCTTATCTGTTGGCATTTTTACTTATCTTTAATCAAAACAATCTGATTTATTATGGAGAATATGGGACATTTGCTAGATGCCATAGACAATAGAGGGTATAGAATGTTTTTAAAGTGTCTGAATCATTATAAAACCTCTTTCTCCTACCTAATCTCAAGGTTCATGTCTAAGAAGAAATGGGAAAACTTTTCTTAATCTAATGTATTAGTCTGCTTGGACTGCCATAAGAGAATACTGGAGCCAGAGTGTGGGTGGGGACCTGGAAGGGAGCAGTGGTGTGGGCTGCACCCCACAGAACCATTGAGGTGATGTCGCCTCATTGGTGGGCCCAGACTGAACAACATCTCAACAAAGAGGATTGTTTTTGTTTTCCACGTGCTTAATGGGAAGGAAGTTGCCTTGTTAAAGATTTGCCTTGCTAAGTTTTGGAGATACTTTGGACCCCTCATCCCTCTCTTCTTTCCTATTTCTCCCCTGAGCATGAGAATGTCTATCTTATGCCTGTAGAACAATTGTACTTGGCAGCACACAACATGTTTAGTTTCATAGATTCACAACTGGAGAGAAATTTTGCACCAGGATGAATCATACATACAGTCTCATCCATGTCTGATTTAGATGAGATTTAGAGGAGACTAGACTTTAAAGTAGAGGCTGGATTGAGTTAAGACTTTGGGGCTGTTGGAATGGAATTAATGGATTTGTTGTGTGGGAAGGACATTAATTATGGAGGGCCAGGGACAAATGCTATAGACTCAATGATCATGTCCATTTGAAATTTATATGTTGAAACCCTAATCTCTACTGTGATGGTATTTGAAGATGGGTCCTATGGAAAGTATTTAGGTCACAAGAGTAGAACATGCATGATGGGAGTAGTATCCTTTTAGAGGAGATATGAGTTAACTTGACTATTTCTCTCATTCTACCATATGACGAAATATCAGGAAGACAGCCATATACAAACCAGAAGCAGTGCCTTCACCATAACCTGACCATGCTGACACCCTGACCTCAGACTTTCTATCCTCCAGAACTGAGAAATAAATTTCTGTAATTTAAGCAACCAGTCTATGTTATCCTTGTTATAACAGTCCAAATTTACAAAGGTAGGCACTAATCCCATTGTAAGAGCCCTACCCTCATGACTTTATCTTTCCCTAATTATCTCTGTAAGGCCTCATCTCTGAAAACCCATCACATACTTCTGATTTGTCTTGATTTCTTTGTTTTCTCTTTCTATTCTTTGTTTTGTTTTGTTTTGAGATAAGGTCTTACTCTATCACCCAGGCTGGAGTGCGGTGGTGTGATCTCAGCTCACTGCAGATTTGACCCCCCCCTCCCCCGCCAGCTCAAGTGATCCTCCCACCTCCACTCCTGAGTAGCTGGGACAACAGGTGTGAGTCACCAAGCCTGGATAATTTTTTGCTGGTGTTGTAGAGATGGGGTCTTGTTATGCCGCCTAGGCTGGTCTCAAACTCTTGACCCCTAGCAATCCTTCCACCTTGACCTCCCAAAGTGCTAAGATTACAGGCCTGAGCCACTGCACCTGGCAATGTCTTGATTTCTTTCATCTTGGATTGAGTACAGGCCCAGAATACTTGCAACCTATTAAAGACTCCATTTACCAAGGCTAATTGTTACTAACTGTGACATGGAGATAAACATTTCTGGACTACAGCTTGATGCAGCTATACATATATTTCCAGTGTTATATGTGCAGTTTGAATCAGGGCATCTATAGCCTGTTAAAGGTGACAGAGTATTGATGTCATGCTTATATAGAAATCCAGCAAGTCATCTCTTATGCTACCTTTTGGCATTGAGATTCTAAGGTTCCTACTGTCAATAGGGCCATTAGTAGAGGATTTCTTTTTTTGTTTGGTTGTTTCCTGCTCTGCTCCATCATATATTGATGCTGGCCGGACATGGGCTTTACATAGATTTCAGACAGTTTCCTCCTTAGCTGTGGTAGGACATTGTATAGCAGCACTGACACTAACAACCCAGAATTAGAACAGAATTCCCAGGTTAATGGCTAAGTCCTCCCTAAGACTGAGTCCCCTCACTTCAGCTACCAACTACAAGTTCTAGGGGTTCCAAATGTGACCATACTTCTCATTAACAGGTTATAAATTTGGCAATTCCCACTACTTTCAGGTTTAGTAATTCACTAGAATGAGTCACAGAATGTGGGAAAGTGCTCTACTTACAATTACATGTTGCAAAGGATAGAAGTCAGGAGCAGTCAAATGAAGAGAGGCATAGGATGAAGTCTGGCAGAGTCCCAAATTCAAAGTATCCATCTCTGCAAGATGTGTTACCTTCCCAGACTATCAGTATGTATCAGCAACCAGGAAGCTCAACCCAACTAGAAGTTTCAAGGTTTTATGAGATTTTATAACATAGACATGATTGGTTGAATTGCTGACTATGGTGTTGAACTCAATATTTAGTCTCCCTTTCCTCCTCAGAGGTCAGACTGATATTAAGTGGCTCAAAGCTCTAACCCTCTAATCATGTGATTGCTCTTTCCCACATGGCCAGCCCTATCCTTAAACTATCTAGGGGCCGACTATGAGTCATATCATTAGCATAAACTCAGGTATGATCGCAGGGACTCATCATGAATAACAAAGGCACTTTACCACTTGGGAAGTTTCAAAGATTTAGAAACTGTGTCCCAGGAACCCAGGACAAAGACCAGGCAAATGCTTTATTATACAATAAATATGCATAATATTGTCTATGTTCCTAGAAGTTAGATTATTGGCAAATAAACTACCACAATTTCTGGGTAAATAAACTGTTCATAGTCCATGTAGAAACAAAGTAACCTAAGACATAATGATGTAATGACATAATTAATTACTCATATATCTTGACTATGAAACATATAAAACACTGGTCTATTTCATCATGCTGAGAATAGTTTCTTTTTCTAATGCTTTTATTTTGGTTAGTAGGTCATATACATTTGTGTTTTAACATTTGCAAATCATTATTATTTTTACCTGACATGTGAAGTATAAAACAGAAATAATTTTTTTTTTTTTTTTTTTTTTTGGAGACAGAGTTTTGCTCTTGTTGCCCAGGCTGGAGTGCAATGGCGCAATCTTGGCTCACTGCAACCTCAACCTCCTGGATTCAAGCTATTCTGCTGTCTCAGCCTCCCAAGTAGCTGGGATTACAGGCGCCTGCCACCACGCCCGGCTAATTTTCTGTATTTTCAGTAGAGACAAGGTTTCACCGTGTTGGCCAGGCTGGTCTCAAACTCCTGACCTCAGGTGATCTACCCACCTCTGCCTCCCAAAATGCTGGGATTACAGGTATGAGCCGCTGCGCCTGGCCAAACAGAAGTAAATTTTATTAGAAAAAATTTAAGGACACTTAGGTCCTGCATGACCCTTAAAAAATGTAAACCACATTATACCATACAATCTTAAGTGCCACAAATGGGAAAAAAAAAATCCACATTTCTTCTCAATATGCTATTTAACTCATCGCCAAAAGAATGGATGGTTTCTTTTAAAAGTCACTGTATTTTGATTAGTAAGATTTTCTATCTGGTTAAAATAATCTAGCTATTCCACCATTTTAACTCTCAAACATACTATCCGGCCTGATTATTTGGTTTAAATAAAAGTAAAAGTAAAAGAAGAAACTTTCAACATTGCAGGATGTAACCATAGTCTCAATTCTACTTTTTCCACTAAAGAAAACCTCTGTTACATGGATAATAAAGTCATAGGCACTGTGATATCTTAAGCAAACAAAAAACACTGTTCCTAAATCTTTATTAGCATATCAGTTTCCCCACTGGAATGTTAAACATGCCACTTAAGCCTTGGAACTATGGCTTTTTTTTTTTTTTGAGACAGAGTCTTGCTCTGTCGCCCAGGCCGGAGTGCAGTGGCGCATTCTCCACTCACTGCAAGCTCCGCCTCCCGGGTTCACGCCATTCTCCTGCCTCAGCCTCCTGAGTAGCTGGGACTACAGGCGCCCGCCACCACGCCCGGCTAATTTTTTTGTATTTTTTTAGTACAGACAGGGTTTCACCATGTTAGCCAGGATGGTCTCGATTTCCTGACCTCCTGATCTGCTCGCCTGGGCCTCCCAAAGTGCTGGGATTACAGGCATGAGCCACCGCGCCTGGCCGCTATGGCTCTTTTATATTAATTAATCATCATATTTGGATGGATCCCAGAACTGCCCAACTATTTTAAGCATTGTTTCTTTTTGTTTTGAAATCTCTCAGAATGCTCTGGGGTTAGAGAAGCAAGAGAAGTAAAATGAAGGGAGGCTGATAATAGCAGGAATGAAACATTGTGTTTGTTTTCTTAGAAGTATAATTTTACAAGCCTCCTCTCATCTGCTGAAGGAATGTGGGCCCATTATATTTTCAATGTTATACTGTTAAAATATTCTCCTCATTTGATATTCTTCACCACATCAAATTATGCTACATAAAATCGGTGTTAACTTTTAAAGTATTAACATGGGATATTCTGGGACTAAATGTTTCCCTCAAATGTATGTGAATCTTGCTGGCACTCAAGACTCATCCTTCAAGAAATGGATTTGCTCATACAATTAAACATAAGCAATTGAGAGTTAAGCAGATTTCTATTGCCTCTTACCAGCCAAACTCCAGTGGGGGTCATGTAGGAAGAGCCTTAACCTTTAAAAGTGTGGCTTTCTGCCATGCCGGTATTAAAGCATCCATGGTGTGGGGACTGGGCATATACGATAATGAGAATTTAAAATTCCAAACTAAATATACTGAGGAAAATTGTTGCAGACCTAACTAGCCATATGCAGGCTAAACCACTCAGCTTTTAGGAGCACCGTGAGAGCACATACAGTTACTGCAAAGAGGGAGATGGCAGGCTAGAGTGTGAGTGTTAGCAAAAGTTTAAGTGGCATGACTTCATTACTACTGCCATCACCACTCTATTTAGACCCTCATCGACACTGACCCATCATGTTCCTAATGGTCTTGAACATTTGCCCTGCTGCTGCTATTCTACAGTCAATTTCTCTAGTCTCTCTTCTGGTTTCCCTCATATTTTTCAAACTGCTGCCTGGGTGGGTATATTTTCTAACATTTAGAAATATATAATCATATCACTCATTGTTTAAAATTATTTAAAAGCACCCTATATGTTGTATTCAGGTAAACCACCTTAAGAAGGTACCTCCTTTACAGTCAGGCCCTTACGTTCCTATCTATTTTCATCACAAGCTATGATGTGATTTCTTTTATTTATGTTATAGGAAAATTCACATGTTGACTCATATCTGTATACATCATTAGAATAAACAGGATGATTAATCAAGATTCCAATTCTGTATACAGTGTGTAGTCTTCTTATAGTGCCACTCTGCTCTTGCTATTGGAGGTTGGAGAATGAGAATTAACTACAACATTTTTCACCAGATCATTGAATCAAGAGTGAGCTCTTTGTTTTTCCTTACTGTCTTCTTGCTGGGAAAGAAAAAAAAAAAGAAAAAAAAAAGAAATACGAAAATCCCTTTAGAGCGCAACTCTTTTATTTGCTTAATAAAATTATATATAGTAATGATATTTAAAGCACTTTTGTGATCAGCACTTGTTGACCAGGTGAGCATTTTCCAGCATTCTTATGTCTGTATTCTTATGGTGCTTGTATTATTTTAGCTTTTGTTACAGGATCTTTGGGGTGTTACTTTTCTGGCTGAAAACCTCTGTGGCCGGTGGCTCCTTTGCCTGAGTTCTTGTCCTGCATCCAGGAAGAATGAGGTACACAGACAAGTGGAGAGTGAGCAAGATGAACAGGAGTTTATTGAGTGTTAGAACAGTTCAGAGGAGACCCGCAGGGGTAGGTCCTCTGTGCAGGCAAGTCATCCCATCGAGTGTTCAGCTCTCAGCAGAGTAGAGGCCCTGGAGTGGGTGGCTACTCTCTGCAAGCAGGTCCTCCCATCCTCTCTGCAGTTAGCAGAGAGGAGGCCTGGAAAGGGTGGCTACTCTCTGCAGCTGGTAGTCCCAACATCTCTGAAGGTCTCTGAAGCTCTCAGCTGAGAGGGTGGTTCCTCTCTACTGCTGGTCGTTCTGTCATTTACTGCTATCAGCAGAGAGGGTAACTCCTCTCTGCAACTGCTCCTCCCATCATCTCTCCCTCTTCTGCACTGCTGTGGCTGAGCTCAGGGCTTTTATAGACCTCAGAGGGGAGGAACTGTGTGCATGGGCAGCCATGGGAGGGCCTGGAAAGGGCAAAAGATCCCGCTGGGGACCCCTGACTGGCAGTCCAGCCCCCAGCCTTCTGGCCCTCCCTGGCCTGAAGGTGGGGCTTTCCTGGGAACCCGCCCCCTTCTGCCCAGGAGCCTGTCTGCCTCTCACTGCCATCCATGACACCCAGCCTGCTTGAACCAAGGAGCACTTGCAGGCCAGCGTCTAGCCTCCCTCAGACTCCTTCAGCTTCCCCTCTCATGTTCCTTGGGCCCAAATTCTGGAGAGGACTGAGGTTTACGGGGATTGGCGTGTCAGTGCTGCCCTGAGCTTACTCACACCTAGCTGGACTGTGCATCACCTGGGCTCGGCCTCAACCCCGCTCCCAGATCAGAGCAGGCACTGACAGCAGGGAGAAGCCAGGCAGCAGGATAAGGTACTTCTGAGCCTGTGAGGGTCGGGGGGCCTTCGCAGGCCCCCAAGAGTGCAGGGATGCCTGAGTCTTCAGCGGCGGTTTGGATGGCTGCAGCTGTGCCCAAGACAGGGCTCCTGCCTGCTCTGTGGAGCAGGAGGCTTGGGTCTGCGCTGTGGATTGGGCGGCTGCAGCTGCAAACGGGAGGGCAGGGATCCTGCCTGCTCCCGCTCCTGCGACACCCCAAAGGCACGGGGAGGCTCCGATCCGCAGCCATAACTTGGATGGTTGCAGCCCCACCGAGGAGGGCAGGGTCCCTGCCTGCTCCATGGAGCTGGAGATCCAGGTCTACAGCCCTAGTTTGGGCAGCTACAGCAGCACCCAGGGAGCTCCCTTCCCAACACGGAAGGGAGGGGGCTCCTGCAGACTCCATGGAACATGCAGCCATAGCGGGCATCCCTGCTGCAGCTGCGTGATGGCAGCGGCAGGCCATCTGGAGTGGTGACTGCCAAATATCTATCTCCATTAACTGAATTTGATATTGGTTCCAATTTTTTCATTGCTCAAAGTGCAATAATCTATCCACACAATCAAATTAATATATCATGGAATTTCAGAGGTGAAAATGGATTTAAAGATTGTGTAAGGCATCACAATTTTGAGCTACTCTGGATTAAGTAATTCTCCACCCATTACAGTTTATATGAAGTTAGGTAGATCCTCGGCAGGAATTATGTTTTTGTATAGGGATGGATGGGGGTAAAGGAGGAAACAAAGTATTAGACCAGGAATAATAAAATTTCCAAATTCCTTTCAGCTCCAAAATCCTAATCTAACATTCCTTTTATAAATATCAGAAGATATAACCGATGTTCTATGGGTTTAACTACATTACTCAGTTCACACAGCTATATGCTAGAAAGCTTATATTAAGTCTCACTTCCTGAACAAATGTTATTTCCGTCGTATCCTGTATCTCTCCTCAAAAACTAATCATATTAATTTTGTCCACTTTTCCTTGTGCCATTCAAACTTTAATTCCAATCCACTAGGTGTGAAGTTTTAAGCTATTAAAGACATAAGCCATATTCCGGCCCTAGAGTTTAAAGTTAATTACAATTAAGAGGAGTAATGAAAAAATAATAATTATTGAAAACTTAGGAATCCATGAGTGCTGAGATATATGCCACAAGGTGGAATGATTGAAAAAATATATTCCTGGAGAGTCAATTTTAGCTTCAGTTGAAATGGTGAGGCATATGGGTGTGTATGTGTGTGTATTGTGTGTGTGTGTGTATGTGTTTTGATGGAGAAAGGGTTGAAGTCATTTTATGAGAAAAAGTGTTGCTGAAGTTCTTAGAGCTAATGAAGTGTAGTGTTCTGGTACAATGAACGTACCTTGGACATTTTCATCTTTGTTCTACCCATTTTTAAACTGTGTTTTCTAGAATACTGACATTCTACAGACGGTAAATAGTTTAGCAGTAAATAATCAGGGAGAACTTTTAATATCAGATCTTACTCTTTAGAAATTAAAGTCTCATTATATTAAAGGTATTTGCATAAAGAAAATTTAGTTAATGTTATTAAATCCAGTGTCTTCCAAGGTTTAACCAGGAACTCTTTATTAGCAGAACAAATATGAATATTTTGAAGAACTTAGTTTTTTGTTTTTGTTTTGTAGAATACTCTATGAATAACATGCTCCAAATAGTAAAGTATCCTATTCTGAGTCTCTGATTTCTCTAGCCAGGCTTATTCTGTTTGTTAAAGTATTTTGTTTATTGTGTCTATTTGAATATTTTGTCACCCATCTTGTCCAGATAATTCATTCTCAGTCTGTTCTGAGTCAAGTATTCACTAATGGGCTAGGATAGGGCATTGTTTCATTTCCACAAGCTGGGGGCTTTTCGTGCAGTGAAGAAAAAGATCCAGAAAAAGAAATAACAGGTCTTCCTGAGAGAGCAGATTTCAATCAACCACATTCAAGAATGTGAAATATTTGAAGTGTCAAAATATTTCTACATAATTTCAAAGCTGGAAATAAATGGAAAAATAATTATCTGTGTTAGATATGAGTTCTAAATTTCTTTTCAAAGAATCAGTATGTCAGTATGTTCAATTCTTTGCCTTCTACTTTTAAACTTAACTTCCTGAACCAGGGAGGTGGAGCTTGCAGTGAGTGAGATTGCACCACTGCACCCCAGCCTGGGCAACAGAGCAAGACTCTGTCTCAAAACAAAACAAAACAAAACAAAAAAAACTTAACTTCCTCATAAAGCAACCTTTTTCGATTACCTGCTCCACCCTGACTCATTTCAATCACCTGCTCCACCCTGACTCATTTCAATCACCTGCTCCACCCTGACTCATTTCAATCACCTGCTCCACCCTGACTCATTCCCATTACCTGCTCCACCCTGACTCATTCCCTTTACCTGCTCCACCCTGACTCATTCCCATTACCTGCTCCACCCTGACTCATTCCCATTACCTGCTCCACTCTGACTCATTTCAATCACCTGCTCCACCCTGACTCATTTCAATCACCTGCTCCACCCTGACTCATTCCCATTACCTGCTCCACCCTGACTCATTCCCTTTACCTGCTCCACCCTGACTCATTCCCATTACCTGCTCCACCCTGACTTATTCCCATTACCTGCTCCACCATGACTCATTCCCATTACCTGCTCCACCCTGACTAATTCTGATTAGCTGCTCCACCCTGACTCATTCTCATTACCTGCTCCACCCTGAGTCATTCCGATTATCTGCTCTGTCATAACCATTTTTCCCACCAAACCACTCACCCCATCACTCTCTTTAAATTAGTCGGAATTAGTTTAGCCTGTGCAGTCTAACCCTAGCCAACAGGGGAACGACACAGCAGCAGGCGCCACGGGCGTCAGGGATGAGAACCCCTCCCTTGTCCAAGTGTGTGCTCACCATTGCTCCATCTGTAAGGGCGCACCCTTCTATAGAAGTAACTTGCCTTGCTGAGAATTAAAAAAGACAATTTTATATTCGAGTGCTATTTCTTTTGCGGCACCAAAACTTTATTTATAACACCTGGATAATTAAATATTCATTAGCTATAATTTCTTTAAATAGCTAAAAATTTGTAGACTTTTTAAACTTTTTTGGTTTCTTAAACCACTGCCTTCTACAGTTTTTACAAGAGCACCAAACTCAGTCATTATAGAACTATTCTTCACAATGAGATAATGATCCTGTGGTCTTAACTGTCCTAATAATGCATCATGGCCTAATACGTAATAGAGATGTGTTGTTTTGATAATATCCCTTACTAGCAGGCATGATTAGACAGCTCTAGTAGGAGGTATGCTGGAAAATTACTTGTATAATTAATCAGAAGCCAGCCTAGGCCTGAATATTCCTCTGCTTATAGGTTACCCATTGCCTAATTATACCCTCTTTAATTTTAGTGAGTTCAAGCTTCTCCTTTTGTTGCTCAAGGGGGTTATTTGGGAGTGTGTTAACACAGAAACTGTTGCACAGTATTTTAATGAGGTTGTGTGGTGGCTCAGGTAACAAGATGAGGTTATACAATTTATCAAAAGTTTGGTTGAACTGAATAATTTTTAATGTCTAAAATTTATTGAATGTTGTTTAGTTGTAGGGCGATGAATAATCATAACCATGTTCTCATTTTAATGAACATATAAGTATTTGACTATCAAGTAAAAACAATATAATAAAATATATTTCAGCAGTTCCATGATGCGATCACTAATCTAATTTGATATTTATAAAAGTTATGTGAATTAGGCAGTCACATCTTATTGGCCACTTTGCCTAAAATCTGTTAAATTTTACCTTGCTCAATACCACATGACAATAAAGAGAGCTAAAACTAAAATCCACATTAGATATCCTACAAAATACATCAATAAGATAATATGTGATTATAATATCTTCAGTCTTCTTCTAGTCTCATCCCTGTGCCATCACCATCAAGGATCCAATGAATGGTTATTAATGCTATCTTTTCAAGGGGTTCTGTGATGGTTAATTTTAGGTGACAACTTTACCCAGACATTTGATTAAACATTACACTGAATGTGTCTCTGAGGGTGTTTTCTGGATGAGATTAGTATTTGAATTAGTAGACTGAGTGAAGATTGCTCTCCCCAGCATAAAGGAGAATCATTCAATTGGCTGAGGGTCTGAATAGAACAAAATGTGGGATAGGGGACAATTTGCTCTCTCTACTGAATGTTTTTAGTGTGGGACATTGGTCTTTTCCTACCCTTGAGCTAGAACTTACATCATTGGTTCTCCATGCTCTCAGGTCTTTGAACTTGAACTGGAACTACACAATAGACTTTCCCCGGTCTGCAGCTTACAGACAGCAGATAGTGGGCCTTCTCAGCCCCCATAATCACTTAAACTGAATCCTTATCATCTCACTCTCTCTCCTCTTTCTTTCTCTCTTTTTATGGGTTGGTGTGTGTGTTTGTATCTCCTATTGGTTCTGTTTCTCTGGAGAGCGCTGATTAAAACTTTGGTATAGCAAGATTTATAACTGCATCAATACATTTTTTATTGTTCTTTAAAAAAACAGGTAATTGAAGTTTATGTTTTAAAAATAGTCTCAAGAGATGAAGGAAATCACACTTTACTAAAGGAAAAGTTAGAGCCAAAAAATATAACAAATGAAGTTTATTATGCAATTATAAGCAATTATACTGCCATTCAAGCCAGTTATTTCATGAGTTTTGAAAGAGAATGGGAGAGACTAATAGGTTAAAAAGTTTTCTGTGTGCTTGACTTCTTTATTCCTTCTTATAAACTATTATTGTTATTATAATGAAACATTCTGAGAAAGATTGTAAGGCATTTCTTTATAACTGTGTGAAAACAGTAAATTCAAATTTAGTTATAAAATTCTGATTAGCAATACAGAATTTTTGAAAATGTGTATTCAATTTGAAAAATCGAAATATAACACAACATATTAACAAACTGAATGGTTTTATTCTTTAACAGTGAGAATAGACTTGTGAAGAGTGTGACATGACATCAATGGAAAGGCAGAAGTTTTAGATATTGGCAAAAGTATACATACATCTAGCAATGAAAGATTTAGCAACAAAATGCATGAGATTAAAGAATAGAGAAGGGTCTATTTATTGTTATATAAAATACTTTTATCTTTAATAAAAGTTTGGTATGTTAGATTATGAGGTTACATAAAAGATTTGTGAAAATTCAATGTGAATTCAGAACAATTAATATTTGATTTTTAATAATATAATAGGAGTCCTAGACACATCTTATATGGGATCTGGAGAAAGCTTATTCTTACAGAGACTATAAAAGGCTCAGTTAGAATGTCAGCTAGATAATAGAGTGCGAAGAGTTACTGTACATCAGGGATGCATATCTTTTGTGTTAGACACTGTTTAGAATGCCTCAATATTTTCAAAGGTAATATGGGAAAATGATTTTAAGAATGACACAGAAATGCACTGAAAAAAAGTACTAGAATAGTAACTACTGCACAAAGAAGTAAAATTAAAGCTGCCAAAATTCAATACATTTCACCAGTTGAAAAAGTGCCCCTTTAAAAGCTTATTGCTTAATTTTGAAGCAATTGGTATTCCTTATGGAAGTTAAATAAAAAATAAAATTACTAGTTCTGGCATTGCAACTTCACTCAGAAATTCTTGAAGTAGAGTTAAGTAGACATCATTGTTATGGCTATTCTTTTATGTATTCTGAATGGCATGCCAACCATTTCTGATGGAGTTGTTCATCATAAAATAGAGCATATAGACTCACAGATTTGGTAAGTCAAATCCTGTTATAACAATATTGACCAGTCCAGGAGAAAAGAATGGCCTACCTTGATTTATTAAGGAATATGACTGTAGGTTGTAAAACTTTCCCATATTGCTAATATTTTCTACAAATCATTAATGGTCTGTTTATTTTTTCTTTCTCTTCTTTATGCTTCATGTTGGAATTCTATTACTGTGTATTCAAGTTCAGTGGCCTTTACTTCTCCAGTGAATTACCTGCAATTCATTCCATACAGTGTCTTTTAAATTATAGATAATGTATATTTCATTACTGGAAGTTCCATTTGAGTTTTCTTTTCATCTTCCATTTCTCTCTTCATGTTCATATCTTTCATTTTGAACATGTATATCTTTCCTAGTTACATGTCACATTTTTTATATTTCTACATGCTAGTATTTTTATTGAATGTAAAATATTATAAATTTTACAATTTGCTACTGATTTTTAAAAAAATATTTTGCCTTTATTTTGGGACATATTTTATATTCTAAGAATTAGTTTGTTCCTTTAGGGCTTGCTCTTAAGTTTTATTTTTTCGATGGCCCTAGTAGTAGACCTAGTAATCTCACTTCTAAACCAATTCCTTCCTAAAGATTCTAAGCAATTTCCTATGGATCAGGAGGTCTTTCTATTGTAGTGGTAGGAGCATGACTTTTTTTTCTTTCTTTTTTTTTTTGGCTTTAAAATGCTCCAACAAGTGCTCCTCCTTCTCCTTTCTGATTGTTCTTTCTCTGGCTACAGGTATTTTCCTCACACAAGCTGATAAATTCTAAGCAAAAGACTTAAAGGAACCCTTCTGCATATCTCCAGAGCTCTCTCCTTACACAGCTTCTTCCTTTGTTGTATTTTTCCACTAAAGTCTAACCATTGTCCTCTGAGAGCTTTGATCACTGTCTCCTCACTGAAGCAGGACTGCTGATTTCTATTTTAGTTTCTCTTCTCCCTATTGCATCTTGAAAATTATTACTACATACTAAGTAGGACAATCATCCACCTCATCTGCTTTCCTTCTTTTAGGTGTCATTGTCCTGAAATGCCTCTTTTCTTGTGTCTAAAAACTGTCTTGCATATTGTGACTGATTTTATAGCAGTTAATATGGGAGGGTAAATTCTGCTCCTGCCATTTCTTTGTGGCCAGAAATGGAAGTTCTTTACCCTCAGATTTTGATGATAAATGTACTTAAATTTTGCCATCGAATGCCTTACAGAGTGTTGAAGTTAATAGGCAAGTGAAGGAATAGAGTAGCTTTTAGTTTAGGCCTGGGGTTATCACCACTCTAAAACATAAATATGAGTTGAATTTCTAGATCAAAACACGGGCTGGTTAGGTGAGATGGCTGGCAAGCCTGTGGGTATCAGATAAATACTATGGATAAAGGATAAGTAAAGACAAACATTATTGTGTGAAACCCAGAGAATCACATCTATTACTTGAGGACATCTATATGTAGAGTTTAATTTAGTCCATTATTGACTCTGGGTCTAAGAAGTCTATTTGGATTTTTTAGATAAATATTACATCTGTGTAGATCCACCTCAAATTTACTTTGAGTGTATATCTTCTACTCTTATGAAATCATAATATTTCAAATGTGGATTTTGTTCTTTCCTACAGACACCAACTACTCAAACTAAGCATATGATAATATAATTTATTTAAGAACATTAATAATGATTGAGAAAATGATATAACCAACATTTCTCTTTGGGTCCATAATTGTTCCTGTACATTATATAAATAACATTCATATTGATGTTGTGCAGCAGGCAGTTCCTTTATGTGTATTTACAAGCATTCATTCAACACATACTTATTCAGTGCCTGTGTGCCAGATAACTCTTGAGGTAGTAAAAATACAGTGAAGAAAAAAGAAGACAAAAATCTCTGCCCTATGGCGTTTTAGGAAAATCAGACTATAATAAACAAATGATAAAATAGGGAAAATAGGGTATGGCAGAGACTTCTATTTATAACAATAATGAAGTAAGTGGAAATGGATTTATCCTTTTCATGTAAATACTTTTAAGAAAATATAGAAACCAAGAAAGATGTGACTGTGATTATTCAGAGAAAAAATAAATCAATTTAAAATAAATAAATAAATAAAATGACTTTCTACCTGGAAACATTTTACAAATCTCAGTAAAGGTTTAGGTTTCCACGCAGAGCTTGTTGGTCTGGCTAAGGTGACAAGACAGAGCTCTAAGTTCAGGGAAGTGGAGGTGGTTTCACTTTGTAAGACAGACTACCTAGAAGAATAGAGTAATATGGAGAAAAAGCTGCAGAATTCTGCACAGGGGCCTCCCTCTAACTGTTACATGCCTCCCTCTCTGTTACTGAATTCTAGGCAATACATGTATAGGTAGAAACATCATAAGGATAGGGAGAAAATAACTGGGGATATGTGAGATAAAAGTTCCCAGAGAGAACACAGGGTTGAAAGAAGTTTGCGTTTCAACAATTAAGAGTGGGAAACTCTTACAAAAAATAAGAGATGTTTTTAAAATCCCAAATGATATTTCTAAAAGTAAAAAAGTACAATATGTAAAAAGAATTCACTGAGTTGGCTTAATAACAAATATAAAATATTGCTGAATATAAGGATCATAATAGCTAAAGTCAAAGCTATAAGAACTATCCACATTGAAAAAAAGATTGAGAAAACACACACACACATACACACACTCCCAGAACTTTAGTGAAAACATGGGACAATATTGTTTCATAATAGCTTATTTTTTTGTTTGTTGAAAACTATAAATTCCCAGATTTAAACAGTTCAGCAAACCTCTGAAAGCATAAAGAAAAGACACTAGTCCTAGGCAGATTATACTCAATTGATGAAAACAAGGTAAAAACAGAAAAATTTAATGGCAAAACAAATAAAGGATATTTTATGTACAGACAAATAGGAAAAAATAGCATAGTTATCATGACAAACTATGCAAGCAGAAAATGGGGCATTTTAAAAAATGAAAATAGAAAAAGTTTGTCAATCTAGAATTTTACAACTAGAGAAGATGGTGTTCAGACATTAATGTAAAATAAAGACATTTTCAGAAAAACAAATGGAAGAGAAAACCATTACCAGTAACTTATACTATGAGAAAACTTAAAGCACATTCTTTAATCAGGATACCAGGTGAAAATTTGAATCTAGACAAATAGAAAAGGACCACCAAAAGAAGGTAAATATATGGATATAGAGAAAATACATTTTCTACTAAAGAAAACAATTATTCTTCTAAATGAACACTAATAAAAAATTTATTATAAATCTATTTTAATGCCAGCTTAGTTTATTTTATATATATATTTAAATGTGTGACACAAATAGCACAAAGGATAGGAGGGAGGATGTTGAAAGATACTACTCTTAATTGTCCAAGATTGTCTTAGTCTATTCAGGCTGCTATAACAGAATACCATAGACTGGGTGGTTTACAAACAACAAAAATTTATTTCTCATAGTTCTGAAGACTAGGAATTTCAAGATCAAGATACCAACAGATTTAGTGTCTGGATGGGGCCTGCTTTTTGGTTCAGAAATGACTGTCTTTTTGCTATGTCCTCACATGGGAGAAGGGGTACACTCATAAGGGTACTAATCCCATTGGTGAAGTCCCCTCTCATGGCTGAATTACCTCCCAGAGGCTTCACCACCTAATTCCATCACCTTAGATGTTAGGACTTCAGCATATACATTTTGGGGAGACACAAGCACTCGGAACATAATATTCCACCCCAGGCCTTCAAAAATTCATGTCCTTCTCACATGCCAAATGCATTGATTTCACACTGCATTAGTCCATTTTCCCACTGCTGATAAAGGCATATCTGAGACTGAGTAACTTACAAAGAAAAAAGAGGTTTAATAGACTCACAGTTCCACGTGGCTGGGAAGGCGTCACAATCGTGGCGCAGGGCGAAAGGCAGGTCTCACATAGCCGCAGGCAAGAGATAATGAGAGCCAAGCACAAGGGGTTTTCCCTTATAAAACCATCAGATTTCATGATACTTATTCACTACCATGAGAACAGTATGGGAGGAACCACCCCCATGATTCAATTATCTCCCATGGGATCCCTCCAACAACACATGGGAATTATGAGAGCTACAATTCAAGACGAGATTTCAGTGGAGACAGAGGCAAACCATATCACACACCAAGAGGTCCAAAAGTTCTAAGATGAGGATATGTTAAGATTTCTGCCTGGTACCTCCTCATATCACCCTTTTGCTGTACTTGTCAGCTGTCTCAGATATGGCTCCTATAGGCCCAGATGCTGTGTGTACTGTATCTAGCGTAGCTGTGAGGGCATGGCTTCCTTCACCTAGATTTCAAATGATGCCACAGACAGCCATGGCTAGGCTTGGGGCCCTAACACAGAACCCCACAGAACAATGCTTAATGGAGTCATGCAGGGAGTGTCACAACTGAGACCCTAGACTGGTAGAGCCACCTGTATCCACTTCCAGCCAGGAAGGGCAGCAGGCACATGCCCAATCTGTGTGAGCTAGAATGTGAGTGCAGGGACACCTGGAGCCTTGTGGCCCAATCCATGCACGGAAAGGCTGTAGGAGTTGTACCCACACCTTAGTGGTTCTGGAAGGCAGGACAGCATTTCCAGTAGCCCTAGAAAATAGAGCATTGAGCCACAGATTGGTTTTAGACTTGCTCAGAAACTGTCACTACTTTCTCCTTTCTTTTTTCCTATTTCTCCCTTTTGAGAGCTTGTTTGGAGGTTCTAGCAGGGGAGCACAGTTACTCATATGCTCTTGACTGAAGAAAGTCCTCCTCTATTGGGGAGGCCATTCTCATCAACTGAGCACATGGAGCAGTGAAGAAGAAAGGGGAAACACGCCCAGCTACCCAGATCACCCTCACATCCCTATTTTTCTGTTTGAGAATGGCAATGTCTATCATAAGCCTGTCCCCCCACTGAATTTTGGAAGCACATGAAGTTTCATTTTACAGATTCACAGCTCGAGAGCAATTTGCTTTAGGATAAAACATACTTTGAATCTCACTCATATCTGAATTAGATATTTAAATGAGATGGGACTTTAGACGTTTAAGTTGATGCTGGAATTGGTTAAAACTTTTAGGGCTATTGGGATGGAATGATGTATTTTTTATGTGAGAAAGGTAGAAACCTCATGAATGGGATTAGTGCACTTATAAAATAGGCCCAAGGGAGATCATTGACCCCTCCCACTATGGGATGCAATGAGAATGCACCATCTATTAACCAGAAAAAAGGCCTTCACCAGAACCTATATTTCCCAGAGCCTTGATCTTGGGCTTTCCAGCCTTCAGACCTGTGAGAAACAAATTTCTGTTGCTCATAAGCTACTCTGTTTATGGTGCTTTGTTAAGGCAGGCTACCAGACTAGGTCAGTGTTCCTAATATTCATAAGAGACTTCATCAGAATAGGTTCTACCATCCATATTTCTACCAACATTTGGTTTATCATGATTTAAGTATTGTTTAAGAAGATGCTTTGTGTCCAGCCGTGTTCTTTTCTTTTCTTTCTGAACTCTTATCAGAATCACCTTTAAAAGTCCCTTCACAGAAATATTGGCTTTGTCTAACATGTACTTCAAAACTCTTTCAGCCTCTACCCATTATACAGTTCTGAATATTCTTCCACATCTTTAGGTATTTGTTATGGTAATACCTCATTTCTTGGAACCAATTTTTGTCTTAATCAGTTCAGGCTACTATAGGAAGGATATCATAGTCTGGGTAACTTAGAAACAACATAAATTTATTTTTCACTGTTCTGAACATTCATAAATCCAGGATCAAGGTGCTGGCAGATTAGTGTCCAATGAGAGCCTTCTTGCTGGTTCATAAACAACTCTCTTTTCACTGTGTCCTCACATGGAAGAAGGGTTAAGGGAATTCCCTTAGTGTCTTTCATAAGGGCACTATTCCACTCATTAGGGCTCCATCTCCAGGACCTAAATACTTACCAAGGCCCTACCTTCCTAACCTTAGTGGTTAGGATTTCAACAAATGAATTTTGGGAGAGACACCAAGTGGTTAGGATTTCAACAGGTGCATTTTGGAGAGACATAAACATTTAGTCTATAACAAAGACCTATGTAAACTTGTTTAAATTGTGATAGGTTAAAGGTGCACATTTAAAATAAGATAAATATTGTGAAGCTTGTGTATAATAAGATAAATACTCTGTAGATAAAAGTAAAACTTTGTATTTTTTGTTGACATAATTATGTGATTAAAAAACAAAAATATCTATTCAAAAAATTGTTACTGATAAATGAATTTTGTAATACAATATTATACAAGATGAGTAAAAAAAATCTATTGTATTTTTATACATCAGCAATGATTAATGGGAAGAGAAAGTTTAGATTTGTCATTTGAAATAGCATCAAAACAGGTAAAGACTTACCTAAATATTTGACTCAATGTGTGCAAAGCCTATATTCTGAAAAGTATAAAATATGGCTTTGAGAAATTAAAGAAGTTTCAAATAAATGGGAAACCCCACCGTGTTACTGGATTGGACAACTAAACATTTTAGTGTTACCATTCTTT
Organism: Homo sapiens; assembly: GCF_000001405.40. NCBI lineage: Eukaryota > Metazoa > Chordata > Mammalia > Primates > Hominidae > Homo > Homo sapiens. The sequence goes on from NC_000001.11 coordinate 73,193,536, forward strand.
CCACATTGATTTAAAGATAAAGAGCAATCCTTTTAATGAAATAAGTTCTTTTGAATAAAATAATTTTCAACCCAGAATTTCATATCCAGCCAAACTAAGCTTTGTAAGTGAAGGAGAAATAAAATACTTTACAGACAAGCAAATGCTGAGAGATTTTGTCACCACCAGGCCTGCCCTAAAAGAGCTCCTGAAGGAAGCACTAAACATGGAAAGGCACAACCGGTACCAGCCGCTGCAAAATCATGCCAAAATGTAAAGACCATCGAGATTAGGAAGAAACTGCATCAACTAACGAGCAAAATAACCAGCTAACATCATAATGACAGGATCAAATTCACACATAACAATATTAACTTTAAATGTAAATGGACTAAATGCTCCAGTTAAAAGACACAGACTGGCAAATTGGATAAAGAGTCAAGACCCATCAGTGTGCTGTATTCAGGAAACCCATCTCACGTGCAGAGACACACATAGGCTCAAAATAAAAGGATGGAGGAAGATCTACCAAGCAAATGGAAAACAAAAAAAGGCAGGGGTTGCAATCCTAGTCTCTGATAAAACAGACTTTAAACCAACAAAGATCAAAAGAGACAAAGAAGGCCATTACATAATGGTAAAGGGATCAATTCAACAAGAAGAGCTAACTATCCTAAATATATATGCACCCAATACAGGAGCACCCAGATTCATAAAGCAAGTCCTGAGTGACCTACAAAGAGACTTAGACTCCCACACAATAATAATGGGAGACTTTAACACCCCACTGTCAACATTAGACAGATCAACGAGACAGAAAGTTAACGAGGATACCCAGGAATTGAACTCAGCTCTGCACCAAGTGGACCTAATAGACATCTACAGAACTCTCCACCCCAAATCAACAGAATATACATTTTTTTCAGCACCACACCACACCTATTCCAAAATTGACCACATAGTTGGAAGTAAAGCACTCCTCAGCAAATGTAAAAGAACAGGAATTATAACAAACTGTCTCTCAGACCACAGTGCAATCAAACTAGAACTCAGGATTAAGAATCTCACTCAAAACCGCTCAACTACATGGAAACTGAACAACCTGCTCCTGAATGACTACTGGGTACATAATGAAATGAAGGCAGAAATAAAGATGTTCTTTGAAACCAACGAGAACAAAGACACAACATACCAGAATCTCTGGGATGCATTCAAAGCAGTGTGTAGAGGGAAATTTATAGCACTAAATGCCCACAAGAGAAAGCAGGAAAGATCCAAAATTGACACCCTAACATCACAATTAAAAGAACTAGAAAAGCAAGAGCAAACACATTCAAAAGCTAGCAGAAGGCAAGAAATAACTAAAATCAGAGCAGAACTGAAGGGAATAGAGACACAAAAAACCCTTCAAAAAATTAATGAATCCAGGAGCTGGTTTTTTGAAAGGATCAACAAAATTGATAGACCGCTAGCAAGACTAATAAAGAAAAAAATTGTTAACTTGTCTCTAAAACTTACATGCTATATTTGTCATCTATTGCTGTATAAGAAATTACCACAAACTTACCAGCTTAAAACATTGCACATTTATTTTCTCATAAATTGTGTGTCAGGAATAAAGGTTACTGCTTAGCTTTTCCTCTGACTCAGCATATCTCTGGATTCAATCAAGGTGCCAGCCAGGGCTGCCATCTCATCTGAATATTCACCAAGGAAAAGATGTATTTTTAGTATTACTTATGAGGTTGTTGGTAGAATTCATTTCCTTTGTGGGCTATTGAAACAAGTGCCTCAGTTCCTAGCTGGTTGTTGGCTAAAGGCCATCCTCAATTCCCTGCCACAGAGCCTCCCTCACAAGACAACTTGTTTCATAAAAATGTGCAAGAAAAAGAAGTTGCTAGCAAGACTATTCATTCTTTTGTAATTAATGATTATAACATCTTCATTTCAATTAGAGTGCGTGTGGTTTTTTTTTTTGTTTGTTTTGTTTTTTTTTAAACATAGTCTCGCTCTGTCACCCAGGCTGGAGGGCAGTGGCGCAATCTCTGCTCACTGCAAGTTCCGCCTCCCAGGTTCATGCCATTCTCCCTCCTCAGCCTCCTGAGTAGCTGTTATTATAGGCGTGCGCCACCACACCCAGCTAAGTTTTTGTATTTTTAGTAGAGATGGGGTTTCACTGTGACTGTGTTAGCCAGGATGGTCTCGATCTCCTGACTTCGTGATCTGCCCGCCTCGGCCTCCCAAAGTGATGGGATTACAAGAGTGAGCCACTGCGCCCAGCCTAGAGTGTGTGTTTTTCGCAGGGCTATGAATCCCAGGAGGTGAAGATCATAGCAGAGCATCTTAGTATCTACCTACCATAAATGGAAATGCAAAGGACCAGGAATCACCAACATTATTGTTTGAAAAGATAAATGGCCAGATGCAGTGGATCACGCTTGTGATCCCAGCACTTTGGGAGGCTGAGGCAGGCGGATCACCTGAGGTCAGGAGTTTGAGACCAGCCTGGCCAACATGGTGAAATCTTGTCTCTATTGAAATACAAAATTAGCCAGGCATGGTAGCACATGCCTGTAATCCCAGCTACTCCAGAGGTTGAAGGAGAATATCTTGAACTCAGGAGGCGAAGGTTGCCATGAGCAGAGATCGCGCCAGTGCACTCCCGGCTGAGCAACAAAGTGAGACTCCATCATCTCAAAAAAAAAAAAAAAAAAAAAAAGACAAAGAACACTATCATTTTTCCACTAGCTGATTTCAGGATTTAGTACTCATCTGGAGTGGTCAAGATAATATGATATAGGCAAATAGATAGTCATATACGTCAGTGAAAGAGATTAGAGAGTACAGAAATAAACTCACAACATAAGTGGCCAATTTTATTTCACCAAAGGAATCAAACTAACTTAATTGAGAAATGATTGTCTTTTTAACAAATAGTCCTGGAGTAACTGAATACACATATGTTGTCAAAATAAAAATGCAGCCTATTGTGGCTCATGCCTGTAATCCCAGCGCTTCGGGAAGCTGAGGCAGGAGGATGGCTAGAGCTCAGGGGTTTGAGACTAGCCTGGGCAACATAGTGAAAGCCTGTCTCTACAAAACTTACAAAAATTAGCCACATATAGTGTCATGCACTTGTAGTCCCAGCTACTTGGGAGGCTGAGGTGGTAAGATCACTTGAGCCCAGGAAGCAGCAGTTGTAGTGAGCCATGATTGCGTGACTGCACTCCAACCAGAGTGACAGAGTGACACCATGTCTCAACAACAGCAACAACAACAAAAAAGCATTAAAGAAAAAAATGTAAAAACCCCAAATTACAAAATTCTCAGAAAAATAAAAAAACTCAAGGGAAAAAAATTGTGACCTTTGCATAGGCCAACTAAATGGGCCCATTTAGTCCCATTCCTAAATGGGACTCAAAAGGCACAAGTCATAAAAATTTTTTAAAAATTGTTTAAACTTCGACTAATTAATAGACACTATTATGAAAATGAAAAAGACATAAACTTGAAGAAAATATATATCTGACTTTTATTAAGATGATAAAAGTCTCCAATATCTCAATGATAAGAAAATAGCAGAAAACTACAAAGTGGGTAAATATTTGGATAGGCAACTCATGAAAGAAGATAAGTAATCAGATTTAACATGTCAAACATGCTCAATATTTTTAGCTATTAGAGAAACGCAAATCAAAACCACAGAGATATCATACACATCCACTAAAGAGGCTAAAACAAAAGAGTCTGGCAAAATCAATTGTTGATAGGGACTTGGGGCAACTGGGATATTAATATGTTGCAATGGGGAATAAAAAATGGTACAACCACTTTAGAAAACATTTTGCTGCTTTTTAAAAAGTTAATTTACCATGAGACACAGAAATTCCACCCTAATTATCAAAAGCAAACATATTTAAAAAAATTTGTACCTAGATACTTGTAGCAGCTTCATTCATAATATCCCCACATTCAACTTAAAGCAAATGTCCATCAAGGGCAAAATAAGTAAAATTATGATATATACATATATCCATATATTGAAAGGCTAATTAACACTTTAAACCCAATTATTACACACAACACTAATAAATATAAAAACCTTATATTTAGCCAAAGAAAACAGAAAGAAAACTTTGTAGACTATATGATTCCCTTTATATGAAAACCTAGAAATGCAAATATCAGATGAGTGGTTGCTGAGGGCCAAGAATTTGGGGGCTTTTGACTGCAGTGAGGCATAAGGGGACATTTTATGTTATTGAAACATTCTGTATCTTGATTTTGCTGATGCATATAGGTGTGTATATTTGTCAAAACTCATAGGACTCACAACATAATACGGGTATATTTTATTAGGTAAGTTATCAATAAGGTTAATTAAATTATAAAAATAGATGCCAAAAAGTGATTTGAAAAAAAAAATAGGAAGGTAAGGAACTCTCTAAAATGGGGACTTCCATAAAATATAGTGGTCAGTGAAGACTTCATCTTCATTGACACTTGAGCAATTTGTTAAATGAAGACAGTCAATGAGGCGGAAGAACATTTTAGGTCAAGGGAACAATAATTGTAAAGTCCATTAGCTGGGAGTACACATGATATATCTGAAAAACAGCTAGAAGGTTATATTCTGGCCAGTAGTTAGTAAGAGAATAGTAATTAGAGATGTTGTTAGAGCAGTAAAGTCAGAAGTAGGAGAGAGGTGAAAAATCTTCAGAATCCTTGTAGGCTATTTTAAGGATTCAGTAGTTTTGAGCAGAGTGATGACACTATTTGATATATTTTAAATAGATAACTCTAGCTGTTGTATGGAATATTAATGTGAGGAAAGGAAATGGAACATGCAAGCAAACAATTCAAAAAGCTATAGCTAGATTCTAAAAATATTTATATTACCTTTATATTTTCAACAGGATTTTCTGACAGACTGGATGTTGGATTTGAGAGAAATTAAGGAATTTTAGATGACTCCAAGCATGCTGGATGAATAAAGAGAAGAATAAAACATTGCTTATGAAAGTAAATAAAACTACAGAAGATTCAAGGTTTTACTATCAGGGATACAAAATTTCAGTATTGAGTATGCTAAGTTTAAAGTACTTATTATTCATCTATCTCTAGAATGGTCAATAGGTAATTGAAAATATATGACTAGTGTTCATCGAGATATACATTTATAAGGTATCAATTAATACATAAAATTTAAATTATGAAATGTTTGAGATTACTAAGAGAGTAAGTGTGAATGAAGAAAGTAAAATGCCCAATGACTGGATTTTGGATCATACCAAAGTAAAAAATGTCAATGAGAGTATGACGTTAAGCAGATGGCAGAACAGAAACCTCTTTTCTGTGAGTGAGACGTGAGACGCCTAATAATTAACAATAATACAAAGACCAACCTCCTTTGTGAGAAATCCATAAACCAATTAATAAGTTCCTTTATCCCAGGCAAACAGAAAAACAGCTGCATCAAAGCTGGCAGGAAATTTGTGGGGCCCACTCCATAGAGCTGCTTCCCATGGAACAACAAGGTACAATAGGGAAGAAATTTCCAACTCCAGCCTTCTCCCTGGGAAGGAAAAGACTTGACTGTACTTCCAACATTCTGACTTTTCAGAGGAATAAACAAGTGATGGATTTCTGTATTGTCTGAAGCTAGAGGCTGCTGAGAAAGAAAAAAAAGCCACAGTTTTGAATATAGGCGTGCATCTGTGAGAGCCCCTCCTCCTGATACAGCACTGAGTGAGTGGGAAGCCAAAGAATTCCAGTTTCTCCATGGGTGGAGAGTGGTGGGGGGAGAGTTGGAACATGCATCCAGTGTTTTAGCTTTTCCAGGGGCATCAAAGGAATTTGTTGCTATCTGGCCTGTCTTGGAGTGCTAATGGCACCTAATATACTCTACATGCTTGGGAGTTGCTGAGGACAAAAAAGAAGTAGCCGTTGCTGCTCCAGAGAACCTGTAATACTGCTGCAAATAAAAACCTGAGAACACAATAGCTTATGAGCTCCTGAAAAGAGAAACCAGTAAAGGAAACCTCTGTAGTTGGGCATTCACATGCACAAACCTGAGAAGATGTATCCCCAGAAAATAGTTGAGACATTTCCATAATCTATACCCAGGCTGATTTTCAAAGATATTTTCCTGTATGAAGCTAGGCTGTAAAGTCTAGGTAGGAGAGGTTGCTGTTTTATTCAAATGTGGAGATAACAACATAAAGTTATAAGACACGTAGAAACAGGAAATCATGGCACAATCAGAGGAACAAACTAAATCTCCAGCAAATGTCTATAAAGAAATGGAGGTCTACAAGTTACCTAACAAATAATTCAAATTTATTTTCATAAGATGCTCAATTGGCTTAGGAAAATGATATATGAATAAAATTAAAATTTCAACAAATAGAAAACATTAAAAATGTAAAAGAACCAAACAGATTTTAGCTTGGAATAATATAAAAGCTGAATTGAAATTTAGTGAAATTTCAGCAGTAGACTTAACAGAAGAAAGAAATGGCAAATTCAAAGACAGGTTATTTAAAATTATCCAGTCAGAGAAGCAAAAAGAAAAATGAATGAAGAAGAATGGGACATCATGAAGCATAGCAATGTGCACATTATAGCATCCCAGAAAATAAAGAGAAAGATAAAAGGATAGAAAGCATATTTACAGAAATAGTGGCCACACATTTCCCAAATCTGGGAAAGAAAACGGACATCCAGATTCAAGACCAGTAGATGCTAAATAGAATGAACTACACTGAGCCATATTATAATCAAACTGTCAAAATTCAAAGACAGTATTTTGAAAGTAGCAAAACAGGAGAGAATCATCATCTACAAAGGAACTCTTGTTCGTAAAATCTCAATCAGCAAAATTGTCAGTAAAAATCTTGCAGGACAGAATGAAGTGGAATTATGAAATTTCATTTACATTGAAAAGAGAAAAAAATCAGCCAAGCAAGAATATTATATCTGGAAAAACTGTCCTTCAAAAATGAAGGAGAAATAAAAACCCTCCCAGATAAAAAAAAAGCTGGGAGAATTTATTACCACATATCTGGCTTACAATTAGCTAAAAGTCACCTTTCAAGTCAAAAAGAAAGGACAGTAGATAGCAACATGAAGGCACAGGTAAGTATAAGAGTACCTATAAGCTTTCTGATAAAGGTAAATATGTAGACAAATAAAGTATACTGTAATATTGTAATGGTAGTGTGTAAATCATTTTGAATTTTGGTATAGAATTTAAAAAGCAAAAAGACTAAAAATAGTTTAAACTGTATAATATATAAATGGATAAATAATATAAAAAGATATAATTTGTGACATCAATAATATAAATAGTGGACTGTGGAAGTAATTGAGTACAATATTTGTATGCGATTAAAGCTAAGTTGACATCGGTGTAAAATAGATTGCTGTTTTATGAAAGTGTCATGGTAACCACAGGAAAAAAAAAAAACCTGCAAAAGATATACACAGCTGGGCATGGTGGCACATACCTGTAATCCCAGAAGTTGGGAGAACAAGGCAGGAAGATTGCTTGAGCCCAGGAGTTCAAGACCAGCCTGAGCAACATAGAGAGCTACAAAAAGTACAAAAATCAGCTGGATGTGGTGGCGCATACCTGTAAGTCCCAGCTACAATGCTACTTGGGAAGCTGAGACAGGAGGATCACTTGAGCCCAGGAGGCTGCAGTGAGCTGTGTTCACACCACTGTACTTCAACTTGAGCAATGGAGTGAGACCCTGCCTCAAAAAAAATATATATGGTATATATATAACGGTATATATAAAATATATATATATGGTATATATATAATGGTATATATAAAATTTATATGGTATATATAATGGTATATATAAAATATATATGGTATATATAATGGTATATATAAAATATATATGGTATATATAATGGTATATATAAAATATATATGGTATATATAATGGTATATATAAAATATATATGGTATATATAATGGTATATATAAAATATATATGGTATATATATACACACTATATATAGTGTGTATATATAGTATATATAGTGTGTATATATAGTGCATATATACCATATATATTATATATACCATTATTTATATACCATATATATTTTATATATATCATTATATATATACCATATATATATATATTTTGAGGCAGAGTCTCACTCCATTGCCCAGGTTGAAGTACAGTAGTGTGAACACAGCTCACTATATACCAAAGAAAATTAAAGAAAAATCAAAACATATTACCAGAAAGAAAAAAAATATGAATGAAACACAAAGGAAACAGTAGGAGAGGAAAAGATGGGCAAAAAATTATCAGATAGATAAAATTAATTAACAAAACAGCAAGACATTTGCTATTAATAATTACTTTAAATATAAACAAACTCCCCAATCAAAAGTCATAGTGACTGAGTGGATATAAAACAAGACCCAACTCTATGTGGTCTGTAAGAGACTCCTTTTAAATTTAAAGACATAAAGGATCTGAAAGTGACTAGATTAAAAAAGACATTCCATGCAAATGCTAACAAAAGGAAAGCAGGAAAGATCATACTTATTGTAGGAGATCGATCAGGGTGGTGGAAGATTTGTAAGAAAAGTTACAGGGAAAGACACAAACCTTCTTGGAAGGCCGGGAGGTTTTGCAAAGTTTAAGGAGAGAATAAAGGCTGAAGGCAGCTAATTCTCTTACCCTGAGGTAGAGGGCGAAAAGTAGGTGCAAGGGAATGCAGGGGAATTTATATAGATAAGTTTATTTATTTTATTTTCCGGAAACCAACCTTTGATCATCCACGCACAAGACTGCTCCCTGCAAGGGGGGACAACAATGTTAATTATCTACAAGTTGTGTTAGGTCCAGGCCTTTGTCATTAAATCTGTGCTGAATAAATATAAGCAGCTCTGGCTTATCGAGATTGCTAACTGTCTTCGGCCCCTGGTGCTGGTAGTCCCCTAGCCCATCCTTTCACTGGATACCTGTGTCTAAGTACTCCTTTCATCTGTCACTCGGCCAGGGTCTGCGGGACAGACTTGACAACTTACATCGGAAAAAAATAGTTGAAAAATCAAAAATTTTCACAAAAGACAAAGAAGGACATTAATGATAAAAAAAAATTCACCAGGAAGATATAATTATAAAGATATTATGCACACATACACGTGCACACACACATACACATGCACATATTACATGTATATATTCAGACACCAAAATATAAAAGCAAATATTGGCAGAACTGAAGTGAGAAATAGGTAGAAATACAAAAAGAGTTTGAAATTTTGTTATCCTACTTTAATTATGGATAGAACCACCAGAAAATAAAGAGAGCATTTGAATAACACTATAGACCAACTGAACCTAATAGACATATCCAGAACTTCCACCAAACAGCAGCAGAATTCATTGTTTTTTCCTCAAACTGATATTAAAATTTCTCCAGGAAAGATCACGTTAGGTCACAAAACCAGTCTTACAAATTTAAGATGATTGAAATCATATTAAATATCTTTTCCAAGCACAATGGAATGAAATTAGAAATTAATACCAGGAGAAAACTGGAAAATTAACAAACGTAAATATTAAACAACATACGTGTGTGTGTGTGTGTGAGAGAGAGAGAGAAAGAGAGCGAGAGAGAAGGTCTCACTCTGTCAACAGGCTGGAGTGCAGTGGCACAATTTTGGCCCACTGTAACCGCTATCTCCCAGGCTTCAACCTCAGCCTCCTACTAAGGAGGAGCTGGGACCACAGATGCAGGCCACCATGGCCGTCTAATTTTTGTATTTTTAGTAGAGATGGAGTTTCACTATGTTGTCCAGGCTGGTCTGGAACTCCTGAGCTCAAGTGATCTGCCCACCTTGGCCCACCAAGTGCTGGGATTACCAGCATGAGCCTCTGTGCCCAGCCAGCTAAACAACATACTTTTAAACAGTATGTGGTTTAACTACCAATAAATTACTAGAGACTTAGACAACATCTTGAGACAAACACAAAAGTACAGTATACAAAACTTTATATAATTTAGCAACATTAGCAGCAAGAAGGAAATAATAAAGATTAGAGCAGAAATAAAATAGATAATATAAAAACAGAACAAAATCAATAAATGTAAAGGTTGTTTTTTGAAAAAATTAATTAACAAAATTGACAAATCTTTAGCTAGACTACCTAAGAATGAGAGGACTCAAGCAAAAGCAACATTAGCAATGTTGGACATTTTTACCACCATAATAAAAATGCCAGTAAAATGAGAATAAAAAAAAAAGGAGAATCAGTAGAGTACGGAGGAAAAGAAGTGTGTGATATTCATGAAAAATAAATAATATATATATATTAATAGTCAAATACTGATCTAGTTACTTACAGGAGGATTCATTCAGTTTAGCAACATGTAGGTCATTGGTAAATTTCAAAAGAACATTTACATAGAATGTGAGGACAAACCTAATATGAAGATGATTAAAAAAAATAAACTGTGGCAGAAATGTAAAAATGTGTTACTATTAGAGTGAAAATAGCAATTAGGATAGAAAGAAGCGTTTGTCATTGAGGGAGTATTATGAAAGGCTTCTGAAAGTCAGGCAAGGTTCTATTTCCTGACTTGTATAGTAGTTATAAGCTGGTTTGTGCTAAAATTATTTAAGATACGTATTAGTTTAATGATTTTATTTATGTTAAATTTAGTAACTTCTAAATTTAAAGCTTTACAAAAGAATGATGGAAAAAAGCAGGACAACCAATTTTTCTGTATATGCACGCTGAGAAATAGGGTAGTAGGTTAGAGAAAACTATAGAATCAAGAACATTTTATATTTTTTAATGGATAATACAGGATATGTTTATATTCTAATAAAAATGATCCAACTGGGAGTGAAAACTGGTGATTCAAATTAAGTGGGAGAATTGCTGGTGAAATATTCTTTAAAAATACATCAGAAGATGGCATCTAGTACACATGGATCTAGTACACATAGATCTAGTACACATGTGCTTTAGTTAACATCAAGGACAGTTTATCTATAATAAGGGTATACTTCAAGAGTGACCATAGATTTAAGTAGATGAGCAAACAAGGATTTGAGCTTAGGAAAGAGCTGTTCAAATGTACATTTCAAGCTTCAAAAGATACTAGGTCATCAAAGAAGTTTGAGTTTTGAGTAGGAGGAATTGCGGTTTAATATGACTAAAGAACTCATAAAATTGAAATCTAAGAGAGTGGAAGTGGGACTGAAATAGGCAAATGCAGTAAGATTGTTGGCGTTGGGACTTTCTCCAAGATGGCCAACTAGATGCAGCTGGGAACCTTTTTCTACAGAAAGACCGTGATTGTAACTACACCAACAAAATTTTAACAGATTTTCAGAGAGAACATGCAAAATATTGATGGAGAAAAGATGCAGTTGCTAAGGCTAAAAAGGGAGGAAGCAGAGGACCCTATATGGGGTGACTGGATGGTGCTTGGGGAAGTGGTGAGTTAAATGACTGGGGAACTGCCCACTCTCACCAGGGACCTCTGGTATCCTAGCTGCAGGAGATCCCACATCCCCACAGACATGTGAGCTGACAAGGGGATATCCATGGATATTAGATGAAGATATTAGATGAAGATAGAACTGCAGTAGGCAGAGAGCTGAGATTCTTTGAGCACAGGTGAGTTCTGGCAGAGCCTGGCCATGAGTGCCCACCCACGAGGGCTCCCTGCCTCCCTCCAACCGAGAGGTCCTGGCCCCAGCTAACAACCAGGGAGAAAGCAGGACCAGCTTCCTCACAGGACTGAGGCACATCTGTCCTGCAGACCTGTCTATTCACCAGCCCCTCCCATGGTCCTTGCCTGGCCACTCCATAAGAATGCATACCCAGTGTAGCCTCTGCTGCCCAGCCTAGGTGCTTTGTTTCACCTGAGTGAATCCTGGCAGCCTGGGAACGCTTCAGATCCCACACTGTACCAGGAACCCAACCACAAGCATTCAGAAGAAGAAGCAGCCAGCATGTCCTCGCACCCCAGGACTGTGGCCTGCAGCTTAGGAGTGCCAAAATGGGATCTGTGCTTGGCACTTGAAAGGGGGAGGAGCCCACACTCTCAGAAAACTGAGAAGGCTGCATTGCACAGGTTCAGAAGTCGGTGTGGAGCCTAGCCATACTTCCCTCCAGGGTTACTCCAATAAAGATGTAGCTTATTTTCCTGTCAGACCTCTCCCCAACAGAGCCCTGTGGCCCAAGAGGCCTAACGACAACAAAAGCAAACCCTATCTACTGCCCATTGCTCTCAAGCACCATCTGCTGGATCACAGCCCAACTACAAAACCAGAAATCACTTTACTAACTCTTCTCCTGCAAAACCAAGAGCAAGAATTCTACAACAAAGACTGTACAGAGCTTCGTCATCTGAAAACTTCCAGAAATGAGGTCAATAGACTATAGTTGATTTATTCCTCAATAAAAGGAATGTCAGCCCTCTCAGATGAAAGAATCAGCACAAGAACTGTGACAATTCAAAAAGCCAGATGCCCCTATGCCTCCAAACAAGCCACTAACTCCCCAGCAATAGTTCTTAACAAGACTAAATTATCTGAAATGACAGACATGGAATTCAGAATCTGAATCACTAGGAACCTCATCATGATCTAAGAGAAAGTTGAAACTCAATCCAAGGAATCAAGAAATACAGTAAAATGATTCAAGAGATGAAAGACATAATTCCCATTTTAACAAAGACTCAAGCTCAGCTTCTTGAGCTGAAGAATTCATTACAAGAATTTCATAATACAGTTGGAAGTATTAACAGAAGAACAGACTAAACTGAGGAAAGAATCTCAGAGTTCAAACACCGGTTCTTTGAATTAGCTCAGTCAGACAAAAGTAAGGAAAAAAGAATTAAGAAAAAAGAACAAAAACTCCCAGAAATATGGGATTATGTAAAGAGACCAAATCTAAAACTCATCAGCATTCCAGAGAGAGAGAAGACAGAATAAACAGCTTGGAAAGTATACTTGAGAGTATCGTGCATGAAAATTTCTCTAATCTCACTGAAGAGGATTACATGAAAATCTGAGAAATACAGAGAACCCCAGCCAGGTACTATACAAGATAACCATCCCCAAGACACATAGTCTTCAGATTAACCAAGGTCTATGCCAAAGAAAAAGAAAAACAAGGCAGCTAGAGAGAAGGGGCAGGTAACCTACACAGGGAACCCTATCAGCCTAGCAGCAGCCCTCTTAGCAGAAACCTTACAAACCAGAGGAGGTTGGGGGCCTATTTCCTGTGTCCATAAAGAAAAGAAATTCCAACCAAGAAATTCATACCCTGCCACACTAAGCTTCATAAGTGAAGGAGAAATAAAATCCTTCTCTGACAATTCATTTCAATTAGACCTGGCTTCCAAGTGGTTCATAAGGGAGCACTCAACATGAATTCAAATGAATGACACATGCTAACACAAAAGCACACACCTAAGCACATAGGCTACAGGCACTATAAAGCAATTATGCAATCAAGTCTGCATAACAACCAGCTAATAATACAATCGAAGGATAAAAATCACGCATATCAATACTAACCTTGAATGTAAATGGACTAAATGTCCCCACTTAAAAGACAGAGTGACTTTAAGGGATAAAAGAACAAGACCCAACCATCTGTTGTCTTCAAGAGACCCAAATGTAATGACACCCAGGGGCTCAAAGTAAAAGGGTGGAGTAAGATTTACCATACAAACAGAAAAGGAAAAGAGCAGGCATCTCTATTCTTATATCAGATAAAACAGACTTTAAACCAATAAAAACTAAGGATAATGAAGGGAATTACACAATGATAAAAGATACAATCCAACAAGAAGCCTTACTACCCTAAATATATACTCACTCAACATTAGAGCACCCAGATTGATAAAACATCTTTTTCTTGTCCTATAAAAAGACCTGGACAACCATGCATTAATAGTGGGAGACTTCAGCACTCAACTGACAGTGTTAGACAGATCATGGAGGCAAAAAACTAAGAAAGAAACTTTAAACTTAAATTCAACTCTTGACCAACTGGACATGGTAGACATCTACAGAACACTCTACCCAACAACCATGGAATATACATTCTTCTTATCTCCACAGGGAACATATTCTAAGACTGACCACATACTTGGTCATAAAGCAAGCCTCAATAAATTTTTAAAAAAGAGAAATCATACCAAGCACACTCTTGGACTACAGTGCAATCAAAACAGAAATGAATACCAAGGACATCCCTCAAAATTATACACATACATTAAAATTAAACAACTTACCCCTGAGTATCTCCTGGCCAAATATCAAAATTAAGTTAGAAATAAAAATAATTCTTTGATGTCAATGAAAACAGGAACACAACCAAAATCTCTCAAATGCAGTCAAAGCAATGGTAAGAAGAAATTACATAGCTCTAAATGCCTTTATCAAGAAGTTAGAAGGTTTCAAATGAACAATCTGGCATTGCACTTAAAGGAAGAACAAACCAACCTCAAAGCTAGCATAAGAAAAGAAATAACTAAAATTAGGTAAGATGTTAATGAAAATGAGATGCACAAATGAATACAAAATACAAATAAAACCAGGAGTTGTTGTTTTTTTTTTAATAATAAATAAGATTGATATACCTCTAGCTAGAGTAACAAAGAAAAAGAGAAAATACAAATAAGCACAATCAGAAATGACAAGATGATGTTGCAACTGATCCTACAGAAATATAGTAGATCCTCAGAGACTGCTATGAACAACTCTATGGATACAAGTTAGAAAATCTAGAGAAAATGTAAAAATTTCTGGAAGCACACAAACTCCCAAGATTGAATCAGGAAAAGATTAAAACCTGAATAGACCAATGTCAGCTTCTGAAATTGAATCAGTGGTGAAGAAACTACCAACCTAAAAAAAAAAAAAAAGCCCAGGACTAGATAGATTTGCAGCCAAATTCTACAAGATATATAAAGAACTGATACCAATCTTACTCAAACTTCTCCAAAAAATGGAAGGAGGAGGGGCTTCTCCCTAACTTGTTCTAAAAAGCTAGCATCAGCCTGATAACAAATCCTGGCAGAGACACAACAAAATGAGGAAAACTTACAACCAATACTCTTCATGAACATAGGTACAAAAATTCTTAATGAAATACTGGCACATCAAATCTAGCAGCACATCAAAAAGTTAATACACCACCGTAGAGTAGGTTTTATTCCTGGGATGCAACACTGGCTAAACATGCAAATCAATAAGTGTAATTTACGATATAAACAGAATAAAAACCAAAAACCATATGATCATCTCAAT
Organism: Homo sapiens; assembly: GCF_000001405.40. Lineage (NCBI taxonomy): Eukaryota > Metazoa > Chordata > Mammalia > Primates > Hominidae > Homo > Homo sapiens. Next base: position 73,208,834 of record NC_000001.11, read on the forward strand.
AGACACAGAAAAGCTTTTAATAAAATTCAACATTCTTTCATGATAAAAACCCTCAAGACACTATGCAATGAAGGAACCTCAAAATAATAAGAGCTATCTATGACAAACCCACAGCCAACATCATGCTGAATGGGCAAAAGCTTGAACCACTCCTCTTGAGAACTGGAGTAAGACAAGAATGTCCACTCTCACCACTCCTACTCAATGTAGTACTGGAAGTCCTAGCCACAGCAATCAGACAAGAGAAAGAAACAAAAGACAACCGTATAGGAAAAGAAGCAGTCAAACTTTCTTCACTGCTAACATGATTCTATACTTATAAAATCCTAAACACTCTGCCAAAAGAGTCCTAGAATTCACAAGTGACTTTAGAAATGTCTCAGGATACAAAATCAATGCACAAAAGTTAGTAGCATTTCTATACACCAACAACATCCAGACTGAGAGTGGAATCAATAACACAATCCCGGCTGGGCGCAGTGGCTCCCACCTGTAATCCTAGCACTTTGGGAGGCTGAGGCAGGCTGATCACCTGAGGTCAGGAGTTCGAGACCAGCCTGGCCAACATGGCAAAACCCTGTCTCTGCTAAAAATACAAAAATTAGCCGGGCGTGGTGGCATGCGCCGATAATTCCAACTTTGGGAGGCTGAGGCATGAGAATCGCTGGAATACAGGGGGCAGAGGCTGTAGTGAGCCGAGATTGTGCCACTGCCCTCCAGCTGGGGTGACAGAGCAAGACTCCGTCTCAAAAACAAACAAACAAACAAACAAATAAAAAACATACTTATGATAGTCACAAAGAAAATGAACTAAATAGGGATACAGCTAACCAAGGAGGTGAAAGATCTTTACAAGGAGAGTTAACAAGCTACTGCTGAAAGCAATCAGAGACATGCCACATAAGTGCAAAAACATTCCATGCTCATGGATTGGAGGAATAAATATTGTAGAAATGATCAAACTGCCAAAAGCAATTTACAAATTCAATGCTATTTCTATCAAATTATGAACATTGTCTTCACAGAATTAAAAAAAAACTATTCTAAAATTCTAATGGAACCAAAGAAGTGCTCAAATAGTCAAAGCAATTCTAAGCAAAAAGAATAAAGCTGGAGGCATCACATTACTTGACTTCCAATTATACTATAAAGCCATAGTAATCAAAACAGCTGGATACTAGTACAAAAACAGACATATAGACCAATAAAACAGAATAGAAAATTCAGAAATAAAGCCACACACATACAACTATCTGATCTTTGACAAAGCTGACAAAAACAAGCAGAGTGGAAGTGGCTTCCTATTCAATAAATGATACTGGGATAACTGGCTAGCGACATGTAGAAGAATGAAGCAGGATCCCTAACTTTCAACATATGCAAAATATTAATGCATAAGGTATTAAAGATTTAAATGTGAGACCTCAAATTACAAAAATCCTAGAAGAAATCCTAGGAAATAATCTTCTCGACATTGGCCTTGGAAAATTATTTTTGGCTGAGTCCCCAAAAGCAATTTCAAGAAAAAATAAAATTGGCAAGTGAAACCTAATTAAACAAAAGAGCTTCTGCATAATAAAGAAACTATCAACTGAACAAACAGATACCCTACAGATGGGAGAAGATATTTACAAAGTATGCATCCAACAAAGATCCAACATCCAATATCTATAAGGAGCTTAAATCAACAAGCAAAAAAACAAATAAGCTCATTAAAAGATGGGCAAATGACATGAACAGACACTTCTCAAAAGAAACCATACAAGTGACCAACAAACATATGAAAAAAATGGTCATCATCACCAATAATCAGGGAAATATATATATCAAAACCACAATGAGATACCATCTCACAACAGTCAGAAACAACAGATGGAAGAAGCTGCCAAGAAAAGGGAATGCTTATATACATTGGTAGGTGGTGAATTAGCCCAACCACTGTAGAAACCAATTTGGAGCTTCCTCAAATAACTTAGAACAACCATTCAACCCAGCAATCCCATTACTGGGTATATACCCAAAAGGAAATAAATCATTCTAGCAAAAACACATGAACTCCTATTTTCATTGCTGTGCTAGTCACAATAGCAAAGACATGGAATCAACCTAGTTGGCCATTGATGATAGAGTGGATAAAGAAAATGTGGTACATATACACCACGGAAAACTTCACAGCCATATAAAAAGAATGAAATCATGTCTTTGCAGCAACATGGATAGTGCTGGAGGTCATAATTCTAAGGAAATTAATGTAGGAGCAGAAAACCAACCAAATAGTACATGTTCTCATTTATAAGTGGGAGCTAAGCATTGAGCACATTATAGACATAAATATGGGAACAACAGACACTGTGGGCTATTGGAGGGTGGAAGCAGGGGGCTTGGATTAAAAAGCTACCTATTCAAACAACACTCACTACCATGGTGACAGGATTAGTACAACAAACCTCAATATCATGCAATATTCCCATGTAATAAATCTTCACGTGTACCCCTTGTATCTAAAATAAAAATTGAAATTAAAAAAGAAAGGTCATATATCTTAAAATTCTAAAGAATAATAATTTCACTTGATTTTCTTAGCCAAATTGAAGTAAATCATTTCATAAAAGACAGAAAAGTCAATCATGCTGTACAACCTGCTGCTATTGAGGTCAGATAGTAAAATGACATTAAAAAATAGAATTAAATATATTTATAGTTACTTAAAAATACAAAGATTGCTGACATTATTAAAGATCAACTTGAGGTTAGCGGTTATGATTTCAAAGTGGTAAGAGTCAGCATGATTATGTTTTTTTAAAGTTATGGTTTTTATGAGTGAATAAGAAATAGCAAAAAAGGACCAAGGGAACTAAAATGTGAAAGGAAGTAATTATAATAATTAATTTTGCTTCAAGCTAAAAATGAGGGAAGTAAGAGATCAGAGGTTTGAAAGGCAGTGAATTAGGATTTGTGGTGTGAAAATATTATTGGAGTTGAAGTATTTAAAACAGTGAGCTATTAAGAATCTGTGGTTAGAGATTAAGGGGTTTGAAACTGAATTTACAGTAAGAATGAGATTAAGGTAGTTACGTAGGATGAACATAGGAATGCATTGCTTAGGAAGGGAGGTAGATGAGATCATTGAAGGCAAAGAGATCAAGTTACTGAAATGTTAAATTATTGGAGATATAATCCACATGGATATTTGAATTACTGAAAATTATGACAGGAGTGATTACACAGAGTGGCAGTGAGCCAGGATTTAACATCTTCAAGGAATCAGAAGTTGTAGTTGAAGAGTCTTTGGAGGATCACAAGGTAGAATTGGGTGGCTTAATTTGCTGAAAACTTTTAGATTTTTAGGGTGAAATGCAGGAGAAAATCCTGGAAATGATAGTGAAATGCAAGAAATGTACCTACCTATGTCACCCAAGCCTCATGATATGAAGCTTGGTGCAAAAGGAGCCACTCAATTTGTGTTAGAATAAGAAGATACAGAAAAAGATATTGAGTTGGAAAGCTGAAGATTTCAAGAGTTCCAGAAAGTACATTAAATGAATGTTAGGATTACAAAAACTGTGATAGATGGGGTCAGCACCTTTGGAGAATAGATAACAGAGGTTATATAGAACAAATTGGTAATCCAGGATATTTTGATGGAATTGACATAGTGATCAAAGGATTAAATATTGTTATTACAGATAGTTTCAGAGATAATTGGTTGAGATTGTTTTAGGGAAGGAGTGGTGTGGACCTTGTTAAAAGTATGCAGAATTCTGAGACAGTTGTTTAACTTCTTATGTGGTATAACATCTAGGAAATTGATGATCTTATTCAAGGTACTAGCATTCCTGATGCTCCCTCCTAGCTCTGGGACCACACTACAGCTTCAATGCTGAAGTTCTGAACACTAAATGAGAGGTGGTCCTACCTAGACCACCTAGAATTCTGTAGTCCTTTCTTAACTTCACCCAGGGAAGGTGTATTCCAGGGAAGATCCATTCTTGTATTGTATAATTACCTCTGCATCCATCCCTTTTCATACTGCTATGAAGAAATACCTGAGACTGGATAATTTGTAAAGAAAAAGAGGCTTAATGGACTCACCGTTCCACATGACTGGGGAGGCTTCACAATCATGGTGAAAGACAAAGGAGGAGCAAAGGCACATCTTACATGGTGGCAGGCAAGAGACTGTGTGCAGACGAGCTGCTTTTTATAAAGCCACCGGATCTTGTGAGACTTACTCACTATCACGAGAACAGCAGGGGAAAACCCACCTCCATGAGTCAATTCCTCCCACTGGGTCCCTCCCATGACATACGGGGATTATGGGAGCTACAATTCAAGATGAGATTTGGGTGGGGACACAGCCAAACCATATCACCCTGAGACTGGATAATCTATAAAGAGGTTTAATTGGCTCATGGTTTTGCAGGCTGTACACAGAACATGATGCTAGCATCTGCTTATCTTCTGCGGAGGCCTCAGGAAACTTACAATCATGGCAGAAGGTTAAGAGGGAATAGGCATGTTACATGAGCAGAGGAGGAGCAAGAGAGAGATGGAGGAGGTGACAAACACATTTAAATGACCAGATTTCCCAATAACTCATGCACTATTGCAAGGATAGTACCAAGGGGATGGTACTAAACCAATCATGAGAAATCCTCCCTCATGATCCGATCACCTATCACCAGGCCTTTCCTACAACATTGAGGACTATAACTGAAAATGAAATTTGGGTGGAGACACAGATCCAAACCATATTAGGAGGCAATGTAATTTCGCTGAATATATATCAGCTACTTAGGGCATTTTGTACACAATAAACTTTCTCTAATCCACAAAATCTCATACTAAATTATCATCACTTTCTTTTCTATCTATATTTCTAACTTACAAGTCTGCAATCTCTTTTTGAAAATACAGTTTCCTACTCATATCCCTAACTGATAAGATTTATACATAATAACGAAAAAATGGATTTTTTCTTTTCTCATACTGAACTTGCAAAAATTTCAACTGAAGCAATAAATCCCTCTTGTGTGCTAGTGCTTGTACTTCCTTTCAATAACACTTTTCATTTTCTAAATACAGCATTTAAGTGGAAAATTCTGAGGAAACTTTTAGCAATTAAAACAATTAGCAATTCAGTTTTTTTCAGAAATTTTTGTTTTTCTTTTTCTTTTCTTGTGTCTTAAAATTTTGCTAAACCTTAATGATAAAAGTAAAAAAAAAAAAACTATTTTCTTTAAAGGTAATAATATTAACTGAAACACTATCTTATGTCAAGAACTTATGACATAACAATAAAATTATTTATTAACCTTCAGTCATTATGCTTATAATCTAGAGAGAGAGGCAGACCTGGAAATAAACTGCAATAAAACAAAGTGCTATCATTCAGAGATTAAAATGTCATGATGGGAGAAATTGTATGATTAAAAAATACGCTCTATTTATTTATTTACTAATATTTTCTTAGAATAAACATAATTCCAAAACCAATTACCCTTAATAAAAACTGCACTGGAATATACAAGATAAATTGAGTCTCTTGCAAGCTTTTTAAATTAGCATCCAAAACATGGAGGATGTTATACACATGACCGGCAGGATAATCCTACAAAATAAGTATTATTAATTCCATTGTATTTACTGAACAATCAAAACTTTAGAGAGATTGTATTGTTTGCTAAAATTAGAAAGTGACACAAAGAGATTATCAGCAAAGGCTTGTGAGATGGCAGAACCAGTATAATTTCCAATATACCACAGATGCTCTAGTAATATCTGTAGGAACATGAGCTTATACAATTCTTTCTGTTTTTGGTGTGGATCTTTGCAACTTCTCTTGGATGTTCTCAGAAACAAAAAATACGTGAGTCATTTTTAATTGTAAATTTACTTTCTGGAAAAAAGGTTAACGACTTAACTTATGCAAGCAAGCTCATAAGTTATTTAATACTTTTTCACTGTTAACAAAGTCAATATGGATTTAAAGCATAGCATTCTATTAGAATGTAAGTGAAAGAAACTTTACCCTACAAACATCTTCTTGTCCAAATGAGTTTGCCGATAAGGCAATGTTGTGCTCCCACTGAAAACTGTACAAGGTAAGTGCCATCTGCATCCTAAATTAAACATCTTCATGCAGAGAATCAGTCTGCCTAATGCACTGATATATAATACAATGACAGCACTCACTTTTAAATATATTGCCGAAAAGGCAAAACAGCGCATTATTCTTATAGCATTTTGCCTACCATGTATTTTTCCACAATATAAATTGCCAGCTTTTCAAGGCAAACTTCATCCTTCCTATCATAGATACAAAATGTACAAAAAAGTCTTAGTATATATTGTATGGTTTAGGTTCTTCGAAAACTAATTTTTGAGACAGTTTGTCCGAATGCTCATATTCAGGATTAATGAGCTCCAAGCCCTAACCTTTTATATGTTTCTAAATTAAATCATTCTTCATAAATCAAAACATAAACTGTACATAATATCTGATTGTTGGCAAAAAGATTTATTACAATGAAAATAAAATAAATCACATTGTAAAATGTTGGAATATCTATAAATGTAAATAAAAACATTAATACAATAAAAACCCTATTTACAATGCCATGTTAGTGAACATTTGATTATGTTGCTAGTTAAATTAGGTTTCTACATATATAGTAAGATATCATATGTGTTCCCCATAACATATAAACCCATTAATATATATGTAACCCTTGTTTTATAAAATAAGAATTCAGAGTGATTCATCACTATTACGGTAAAACTAATACAGCCTTCTGATCCTTGAAAATAAAGGCATTACCAAATAGTTTATTACACTGACTTTATCCACTAGTTTTTAACTCTTTTAAAAGGAAACTAGAAAACTATTTTTTGTATGAACCATATTGGGTGTCCTAGTCCATTTTACGTTGCTTATAACAGAATACCAGAATCTGGGTAATTTATAACAAAAAATTATTTATTTATTACAGTTCTGGAGGCTGTAACATTGAGGGTGTATATCTTGTGGGAGCCTTCTTACTGTTGAGGACTCAGAGCAAAGTCCCGAGGTGGTGCAGGATGTCAAATGGCAAGGAGGCTCAAAGTGGTCACATGCAATCTCAAATCTCTCTTTCTCTTCTTATTAAACCACCAGTTACTCCCTTGATGACCCATTAATCCATGAACCCATCAATCCATGAATTAATCTATTAATGAAGGCAGAGTAATCATGATTCAATCACCTCCTAAAAGGTCTACTTCTCAGTACTGCCACATTAGGGACTAAATTTCAACATGAATTTTGAAGGGAACATTGAAACCATTGGGCTTTCTGTGAATGAGGAACTCACCAACTCTGGTTGAAAAACTAAATCCGGAAACAGAAATAATACACCAATTTGCATACACTGTACTTGTTTGATGGTAGCTGATACACAATTATGAACGTCTTAGCTGCTGAGAAGCAGGGGTATTATCAGTTTTTTTATGCATTGTTATCAAAACATTATCACAAAAGCAAAAAATAAGGGAAAAATTACAGATTTCCTTCAATTAATACTGATTGGCCAATTTCTAGATCTCTGAAAATTCTGGGCTAAAGTATTAAAATATGAGTAAGGTAATGCCTCTACTACCAAAACCTTTAATGTCTACTAGGACAAAGAGGTGCATAAATACATAATTATAGTGTTGTATGAACTATGCCCTTGAAAATTATTTCAAAGACTAATCATAAGCTGAGTTTTTTAAGTGGACTTTGTTCATCAAAAGTTTTAAATTTGATATTCCATTTTATTAAAAGCATGCTTGGAAACTAATTTGGGTAAATATGTTGATGTTTATTAAATTACCACCATCTCAGAGGAAATTACTGGATGTTTACCTTTTTACTCAAGACTTCCTTCTTTTCTGGTATATATGTTCAGTCCAAAACATTCAAGTTACACAAGTTTAAATATATCGTTTTCCCCCCAAGATTTCATACTTACAGTCTCTATGTAGGGTTTAGCCTGTTTTTAATATATTTATGAGAATCATTGGATAATAATCTTCCAATATCAGTATACTTCTGAGGCTATAAATTGCCTGAGATTCTGAATTTTCAATATCCTAGGGGGTGCTAATGCTGATGGTGCTTACATCACACTTCAAGTAGCTACAATAGGGAACATTATTTCTAGTGACAGTAAGAGAAAAGGTTAAAACAGGTCAATGAAATGGAGTCCATTTGGAAGCATGCTATAGCAATAAGTGAACTAAGAGGTTTTGAAGTATTGAGCTTGATTATTTAAATGAATTGCCCACCTGTTAACAGTGAGAAAGTGTTCTTGGTTCCAAGCAATTGAAAACTATCCTGGCAAAATAAAACAAACAGGCAAAAAAATAAATTGAAAAAATCTGGGATACTTCACAGACTAAATGGAAAGATTAAAGAGAATCTCAGCAAACAACCAGGAACCAAGGAAAGCTTAGCCATAGAAATCATAAGCAAATTCATCCTACAGACACATTTGAGATACGATAGCTGGATCCATTGCCACTGCTGTCAAAAGGCCACCATCACTGCTGGAAACTGACTATAGTTAGTGCCCTGTTGTGAACATTCACCTGCATATTACTTGCTCTGGTAAAAACATCTGATTTTCAAAACTAGGACATGGGCTCTCATCCTGGATGTCAGACCATGGAGAGAAAGAATATCTCTCTGGCTTTCCTTTGAATTATAATCATAGGGATTTCAGGCATTTGGGAGCAAAATTAAGCTAATTAATGCCCACTACAATTACTTTTCATCTCAACTGCCGTACAACCTTCAAGGTTATCTGAGTCATCTTTCTAGCACATACATCCAATCTTGTCACTTCCTTGCTTAAAAGATTTCAGTGGATTCCCACTACCTACTTAATACTGTTCAAAGTTCACAGTGGAATTTAAGCTGGTCCCAACTGACCTTTTTCAACTTTCCAGCTTCACTAAACTTTCTGTATTATGCAAATATGCAACACTAAAAAGTCAAAATTTCCTATTTATGCCACATATTTTTTATAACTTTGGTTCTCATCATTTTAATTCCACATCCCCTTGTTAAATTGGAAAAATAATTTTAACCATGTATATTCAAGGTTTTTAAATTTATCACCTCTTCTTTTAAATCTTTCTGTACTACTTTTCTCAAACACAGAATTACCTACTCTATTTCCTTTGCTTCTATGTACTCTTATTTATACCATTTATGCAAGTGTATACATACTTTTGTTTCTTCTTGTAGATCCTGAATTTTTTGAGAGGGTGAGCTATGTTGTATTTGATTTGTTCTCCAATCATTAAAAATAATTTTATTGGCCGGGCGTGGTGGCTCACACCTGTGATCCCAGCACTTTGGGAGGCCGAGGCAGATGGATCACTGAGGTCAGGAGTTCAAGCCTGGCCAACATGGTGAAACCCCATCTCTATTAAAAATACAAAAATTAGCTGGGGATGGTGGCACCTGTAATCTCAGCTTCTCAGGAGGCTGAAAGGCAGGAGAATCACTTGAACCCAGGGGATGGAATTTGCAGTGAACGGAGATCACACCACTGCACTCCAGACTGCGCCACAAGAGCAAAACTCCATCTCAAAAACAAAAACAAAAAACAAACAAACAAAATATTTTATTAATTACCTGTTACATATCTTTACTTGGTACTGAGGATGCAGTGGAGATCTTATCTCTCGTTTAAAACAACAGTTGATATCAAATAAGAATCAGTGCTCGTTGAATGAAGACATAAATGACAATCATTCAAGGATGTTGCTTTGAAACTCTTATTTTCAAAAATTATGGGGATAAGAAATTATTTATCAATTGCTCCTGATTATTTCTCAATTCTGACCTCTATTTGAGAATTGAGACTGATATAGATTGAAACACTTGCAATCATTCAGTTTTTATTTATTTCCCCATTATTAACAAAATTATAGGAATAGATATATTACATAAAACGGCGACTTTTTTTCCAACTCTTGGAATTAGACTGGTCTTGGTGGTAAGTAGTTATTTGTTAAAAGGTTTCCAGTTTTTCCAGAATTTTTGTAAGTTCTGCTTTAAATCCCAAGCTAGATATACCAAGCTGATACCTTTGTATTCATTCCACACTGTTAAAGATAAGTACTATCTTTTACAATTTCACTGTGAATAATTATTTTTAGTAAAACCACCTATTCAAATCTCAGTAGAAGCCATTTAATCTTCCCATCAAATCCTCACACGTTTCTTTAAGTGTTCCTACTAAACTATCCTTAAATTTTTCTGTCACAGTTTAGGTAGCAATACTGATTGTGAATGCTCTATGATGACTTGCTGTCAAGATTGGAAATCTAGTCAAGCTCAAAGAAATGAATGGTGTCAGTGATATAACGCTATTTAATAAGTGTGGCAGCATTTAAATCCTTCTACTTGTAATAGACATGGATTTATTTCAAGGGAGAAGACAGTAAAAGCTAGGTGGAAGGAAGTGTGAAATTTTGTGAAGAATGTGAAGGAAGACTGTGTTTTCTTTTGGAAGGCTGATTCTTCCCAGGATGAATAAAGGAATGTTTTAGCTGTGAGTCTTTAATTTCTTGCAACCTGCAGAGGAATCATGCAATGCTAACCACCTCCTCATATTTGCTACCATTTTGGGGGGTTTTTCAAATCATGGCCCTAGGATCCCTGGGCTTCTCTGAACTGTTTTGTGAAGGACCCCATGGTCAAAATTTTTTCCACAGCAGTATTAAAATTTTACTTGCCTTTTTTACTCTCACTCACAAGTCTGAAATTTTTTAAAGTCTATATGATATGTAATATTGCAAAGATTGAATACAGAATCTATATTGTATTTGATTTATTCTCTAGGGAATTTGAGAATCTTTGAGAATCTACCTGTCTTCTGTGAAGCCAGACATCGAAAAGATTGGAAACATGTAATAGAATGCCACTCTTTTCATTGCTTTTTACAAAATGTAGTTATTTTTCCACAGAATATGTTACTTAATGTGCAATGAGATTTTATTTTTAAACAAATTGAAATATTTAAAAGATTTCTGATTTTTAATGTTTAATATGTAAATACCAACAGATATAACTCACAGAAACAAGATTGAGAACATTTTGTGATTCTCAACAATTTTTAAAGATGTGAGGAGTGTTGAGACCAAAAAGTTTGAGAACTACTGATCTAAGGAATTTAACTTGCTTTGCGACACTCCTAAACTTCATATTGCTTTTCTAATTTTGCTTAGGTAATTATATGCCTTATGTTATATCATATAAACATTATTTACTCTGGGACACAGGCTTGTGAAGAGTTCTTCCATCTCTCTTTTCATAACTACCATTGCACTCCACTAGAATTACTTATTTAATATCTGCCAACCCCATATCTCAAAATACAGTGGATAATGACTGAAAAGTAGATTGAGGTAATAAAATTTAATGATTTATTAATACTGTTTTAATATCTGTATGGCCAGCCACTCAATTATACATCTATATATTCAAGTGTACCATACACAAATATAGCTAAACTCCCTTGTACCCCTTCTTTATTTGTCTTTACCCTTTTGCCTTAGGATTAATTTTATTAGAAGTCAAAAGTAGAAATTGCGTCTAAGCTAGTTATTTTCCTAGAACATGCTTTTCAAAGCCTTAGCTAATGGTAGGAATTGTGCAACAGCACAGAGGGCAAGGAGGAAGTATATCTGAAGACAACAAAATAGGATATAAAGAAAAGAGAGAAAAGGTGAGAAAGAGAGACAGAGACAGAGACAGAGACAGAGAGAGAAAAAGAGATTGGAAGAGAGAGAGTTAATCAAGGTTAGCAAGTTGGGATCTGTATTAGTTTGTTTTAATGCTGCTGATAAAGACATACCCAAGACTGGGCAATTTACAAAGGAAAGAGATTTGATTGGAATTACAGTTCCATGTGGTTGGGGAAGCCTCACAATCATGGCGGAAGGCAAGGAGGAGCAAGTCACATCTTAAGTGGAGGACAGCAGGAAAAAGACAGTTTGTACAGGAAAACTCCCCTTTATAATAACCATCAGATATCATGAGACTCTCTCACTATCACAAGAACAGCGTGGGAAAGACCTGTCTCCATGATTCAATCACCTTCCACTGGGTCCCTCCCCTAACACGTCAAAATTCAAGATGAGATCTGGGTGGGGACACTGGCAAACCATATCATTCTGCCCCGGGCCCCTCCGAAATCTCATGTCCTCACATTTCAAAACCAATCACGCCTTGTCAAGAGGCCTGCAAAGTCTTAACTCATTTCGGCATTAACTCAAAAGTCCACAGTTGAAAGTCTCATCCAAGATAAGGCAATTCTCTTCCACCTATCAGCCTGTAAAATCCAAAGCAAGTTAGTTACTTCCTAGATACAACAGGGATACAGGTATCGGCGAAATACAGCCATCTTAAATGGGAGAAATTGGCCAAAACAAAGGGGCTACAGGCCCCTTGCGAGTCCAAAATCCAGCAGGGCAGTCAAATCTTGAAGCTCCAAAATGACCTCCTTTGACTCCATGTCTCACATCCAGGTCACACTGATGCAAGAGATGGGTTCCCAAGGTCTTGGGTATCTATGTCCCTGTGGCTTTGCAGGGTATAGCCCCACTCCTGGCTGCTTTCATGGGCTGGCATTGAGTGTCTGCAGCTTTTCCAGGCACACAGTGCAGCCTGTTGGTGGATCTAACATTCTGGGGTCTGGAGGATGACAGCCTTCTTCTCGCAGATCCACTAAGCAGTGCCCCAGTAGAGACACTGTGTGGGGGCACTTGACCCCAAATTTCCCTTCTGCACTGCCCTAGCAGAGGTTTTCCATGAGAGCCCACCTCTGCAGCAAACTTTTGCTTGGGCATCCAGGCGTTTCTATACATCCTCTGAAATTTAGATAGAGGTTCCAAAACCTCAATTCTTGACTTCTGTGTACCTGCAGGCTAAATACCACGTAGAAGCTGCCAAGGCTACAGGTTTCCACCCTCTGAAGCAACAGCCCGTGGTATACCTTGGCCCCTTTTAGTCACAACTGGAGTGGCTGGGAGAGAGGCACCAAGTCCCTAGACTTGCACACAGCATGGGGACCCTGGGCCTGGCCCACTAAACCATTTTCTCCTAGGTCTCCAGGACTGTGATGAGAGGGGCTACTGTGAAGACCTCTGACATGCCCTGGAGACATTTTCCCCATTGTCTTGGGATTAACATTCAGCTCCTCCTTACTTACGAAAATTTCTGCAGCCTGCTTGAATGTCTTCTCAAAACAAATGGGTTTTTCTTTTCTATCACATTTTCAGACTGCAAATTTTCTGAATTTTTATGCTCTGCTTCCTTTTATAAAAGTGAATGCCTTTAACAGCACCCAAGTCACCTCTTGATTGCTTTGCTGCTTAGAAATTTCTTCCACTATATACCCTAAATCATCTCTCTCAAGTTCAAAGTTCCACAAATCTCTAGGGCCAGGGCAAAATGTCATCAGTATCCTTGCTAAAACATAATCAGAGTCACCATTGCTCCAGTTCCCAACAAGTTCCTCATCTCCAACTGAGACCACCTCAGCCTGGGCATTATTGTCTATATCACTATCAGGATTTTGGTCAAAGTCATTCAACAAGTCTCTAGGAAGTTCCAAACTTTTGCACATTTGTCTCTCTTCTTCTGAGCCCTCCAGACTCTTTCAATCTCTTCCTGTTACCCAGTTCCAAAGAGCTTCCACATTTTCGGGTATCTTTTCAGCAGCTTCCCATTCCTGGTACCAATTTACTGTATTAATCCGTTTTTATCCTGCTCATAAAGACATACCTGAGGCTGGACAATTTACAAAGAAAGGAGATTTAATTGGACTTATAGTTCCTTGTGGCTGGAGAAGCCTCACAATCATGGCAGAAGGCAAGGTGGAGCAAGTCACATCTTATATGGATGGCAGCAGGCAAAAGAGAGCTTGTGCAGGGAAACTCTCCCTTATACAAACCATCAGATCTTGTGAGACTCACTCACTATCACGAAACAGCACAGGAAAGACCTGCCCCATGATTCAATCATCCCTCACTGGGTCCCTCCCACAACACATGGGAATTCAAGATGAGGTTTGTGTGGGGACACAGCCAACCCATATCAAGATCCGCAGAAAGTAATGACCTTAGTACTTGAAGACTTAGGACTTTTAGGGTAAGTCTGCATTTCTATAGTGCGTGCATATTTCTGATTCATTGGAAAATAATTATAGAATAATATTGTCCTATTCAATTATGCCATATTAATGAATTATAAGAATTAAAGAAAAACAATGCAAACCCCTTTAGGAAACAGCATCCACACTGTTCATTCATGTGAACTGTGAGGGAGAGACATGAAGCAAGATCATTTGCCTAAAGCCACAGAGCTGCCTAGCTTTTTGGTCAGTCTTCTGAGTTACTCTGGAATCTTCCATCTCTTGGAAAGACTAGGTTTTCATTATTAAAGAACAGAAGGCCTGCTTCATAGTTTGCCCCAGTGTGCCACTTTAAAAAAAAAAAGTGATATTGAACATTAAAAACAGAAGCTTGTAAAGGGCCAGAGGAACAAACAGTATCCTTGTGCCAAGATACAAAATCCAAGTGCAAAATTGAACTCCTTCTATTATCAATTCTCAGGCACCCTCAAGCTAACCCTTTGAGATCTGCCTTCTGTTTCAGTGACTTTTTACATTCAATTTAGGAAGTTGGACTATCAAACAAATATCATGGCAAAAAACAAAAGCTACTCATGGCATGTTCCTGGAACCCTCTATACAGAGAAACTGGACTGGATAGACATTCTTGAACTTTTTATATTTCAAGTTTTTTCTATTTTGGTAAAATAATGTGGTAGAAACTCCTCTTGTATAACATTAGCAGTTTATTATTTTAATAAGTGTCTCATCATCTTTCATTTAACTATATTCTATATTTGGGTAAGAAATATAACATTTAAGAAAAAAGTAATTTTTTTTTTTTTAGTTTCAAAGATCATGCCTGCATAATTGCTTTCTCCTGATGATGTAACCAAATTATTAATTTTAAGAAAATGTTTCAAATCCCAGCTAGGGGTGGTGGCTCATGCCTGTAATCCTAGCACTTTGGGAGGCTGAGATGGACAGATCCCTTGTGCCCAGCAGTTTGAGACCAGCCTGCTCAACGTGATGAAACCCCGTCTCTACAAAAAATACAAAAAATAGCTGTGTGTGGTGGTGTATGCCTGTAGTCCCAGTTACTTGGGAAGCTGAGGTAGGAGAATCACCAGATTCTCAACCCAGGAGGTTGAGGCTGCATTGAGTCGAAATTGCACCACTGCACTCCAGGCTGGGTGACAGAATGAGACCCTGTCTCAATAACAACAGCAACAACAATAATAATTCGAACCCCATATCTCATCCTAAACTGACTTTGAATGTTGATCTTAGAATAGGAAGACCACTACTGTTTTCTATATGAGTGTATTTTTTTTACCAACTTCATGCTAATCCTCTGGGTAATCTACATTATCAAATAATCATTAAGCTGTAACTATGCAAATACAGTCTAAGATGGTTGTCAGAAAGACTAAAATTGGGAGAGAGGCAGGAGTTCAAAGGATGTAAGTATGAACTGCTAGACATTTTATCATGATACATATAGCAGTGATGCACTGGAACTGGTTTATACTACTTCATGAGAGCCATTTGGTAAATTGCCAGAACTTTTGTGATCTGGCTGACACAATGTTAGTAGATAGAAGTTGGCCATAGTGGAACTATTTACACCATAGAAGCTAGCAAGTGCTATAAAAATCCTTCCACCCCATAAGAAAATCCACCCCATATAAAAATCCAACCATCACCCCATAAGAAAGCAGGTTGTTAAAATTTAAGACCACACCACTGTATATAAGGCCGCTATTGGTATCTGCATTTTGTAGTACAGTAGTTCCTGTCCACAGTTTTGCTTCCATGGTTTTAGCTAACAATGATCAACCATGGTCCAAAAAATAGGTGAGTACAGTATAATATATTTTGAAAGAAAGAGATGACATTGGCATAATTTTATTATAGTATATTGTTAAAGTTGTTCATTTCATTATTACTGTTGTTAATCTGTTACTGTGCCTAATTCATAAGTTAAGCTTTGTCATAAGTATGTATGTATAAGAAAAATAACATGGCATATATAGAATTGGGTGCTATCTTTGATTTTAGGCATCCATTGGGGGTCTTGGAACATACATCCCATGGATAAGGCGGGACTACAAACATAATATTTGTCAGGAGCACATGTCTCTTCAACTAAAACTATTAAGGTTATGTACAATGAGATAATTTCAGCACTTTTTAGCCATACTATATAATCAATACTTTTCTTAATTGTTAAAATTTCTTTTGACTAAATTGAGAAAAATAAAATATGGAAGTCTTATTTTTTGTCAAAATATTAACATATAATTCATTTTAAGTACCCTAAATTGTTCTAAAAACTAATATGTAAGATGTTATTGGCTATGAACATATCAATTGTCTTATTCAGTATGTCCCTAGGTAGTTCTCATTTTCAAGTTTAAGCACTTATTTGCTAATGATAATCATACATTTAATACTTTTGGGAACATCCTTTACTTTCATAATCTTTTCTTATATATCTAATGTGTGCCAAGTATTATACTAGACCAATCACATTCCTACCTAAATTAATTCTCACAACCATTGATGTCCTTTTGTTCATTTTAGAAATAGAGAAAATTGGGATACTATGAGATTAAGAGCTCCTGATTTCATACAGCTAGTAAATTGTATGAGAGAGAATCTTATTTCAGATTTCCAAATTTTTGTTTCTAGTGAAGAGCTATATATATGTATCCAAATAGCAATTTATTTTTCTTTATAATAAAGAACACTCAAACACTTTTCATTATTATTTACATCGTATGTTCCATAGCCACAAACCAACCCTGATTCATAAACACATGTTACATTACTTTTCATACCTGCTTAGTATATATCTAATATTCCATTGCTAGAAGGGGGGTGAAGGACATGTTTCTGCATTTAAACATTATTATAATTTTTCTTAGCAAGGAAGAACATGTGCCTATTTCTTCGATGTGAAAACATAATTTACACATTTAGCTTTGGTAATGTGAAACAATTAAATTTTACTAAAATATTCTCAGTTTACATATTTACCCGTCTTGGATATTTGTAAAAATATAATACAAATCATGAAATGTAAACTTTGTGAACCTCCGCTTGAAAATAAAGTCGTAGACTATATTATTTAAATACAGTTGAACTATTTTTTACTTTAATAGAATCAATATGTGCTAAGCGCCACACAGGATTGGAACATTTTGTTGGACACAGAAACAGAAAAATAAACAAGACAGACTTTGTTCTGTCAACAATGTCATGGTCTTCTTAAAGAACTGATATGAAGATATTTAATCCTAATAAGCCATAAGGACAATGTCTTCACTCAAAGGATAGAACTCTTTGACTTTAAAATTCCAAGATCATATTCTAATTTTTCAGAATATCTACAGGTGCCTTTTCATCCTTTCTCACCAACTTTGTTGATTATCCCCTATATGCAGTCTATATTTCATTGTCTAAAATCTGATTGATTCTCTCTCAATGTTACCTGTTTGCATTTTTTTGTGGTGCCTGATATTATTTGTACTTTATAGCACAATGATTGTCTCAACTGCTCCTCCGTTCCTTGCAAACATATGAAATCATTAGACTCCTGAAATCTGAACTGGCATGTAGCATCTAGATAAACTTGTTCAATATGTAAACATACTTCTTTTCATCCCTCACTTCCCACTACCTTTCCCAACCTCTGGCAACCACCATTCTACTCTCCACCTCCATAAGATCCACAGTTTTAATTCCCACATATCAGTAAGAACATACAATATTTGATTTTATGAGCCTGGTTTATTTTACTTAATATAATGACCACCAATATCATCCATGTTGCTGCAAATGACATAATTTTATTACATTTTATGGCTGAATAACATTCCACTCTGTATCTATTCTATATTTTCTTTAGTCATTCATCCAATGATGGACACAGGTTGATTACTTATTTTGGCTATTGTGAATAGTATTGCAATAAATATGGGGGTGCAGATATCTCTTTGATATACTGATTTCCTTTCTTTTGTGTACATACCCATCAGCAGGGTTGATGGCTCATCTAGTAGTTCTATTTTTAGTGTTTTAAGGAAACTCTATAATGTTTTGCATCATGGTTGTACTACTTTACATTCCCTCCAGCAGGGTATGAAAATTACTCTTTCTCCACATCCTCACCAGCATCTGCTACTTTTAAATATTTTGGGTAATAGCCATTTTAACTGGTCCAGAGGATGTCTCATTCTGGTTTTAATTTGCATTTCCCTGATGATTTGTGATACTGAGCATTTGTTAATGAGTACAAAATTACAGTTAGATAGAAGGAATAAGTTCTAGTATTCTATAATACCACAGGAAGATAATAGTTAACAATAATTTATTGTATATTTCAAAAAAGCTAGAAGAGAAGAATTGGAATTTTCCTAACACAAAGAAAAGATAAACGTTTCAGGTGATGGATAACTCAATTACCCTGATTTGAGCATTACATATTCTATGCATGTAGCAAAATATTAAATGTACCCCAAAGATGTGTACAACTATTATATATTAATAAAAATGTTTTAGAATGTAAGCCAAAACTTTGTGAAGCTGGATATTGCCAAAGATGGAAAATGTATATCAATCAGCATGATGGTGAGATTTTCTTAGTAAATAATCAATATCCTTGAGCAGAGAGGGAATTTCATGGAATTTATTTATGTTAGGACATTCCAAACTATTATGAAGACCTTTTAAAAAGTTAATAACCATTTTGTACAAGCTTATCATTATAGAAATCAAATTTGGAAGAAGACTATATGCTTATTGGAAATTGGATAATCAAGAAACTTTTTGAAATTCATAAGAAGATGTAGCAAAATTAAAAATGTGAACAAGTTGTAGATATAAAAGCAGAAGTTTGATTATTGTATTTTAACATGAAATTAAACATTTTTAAAGTCTTAAAATTCCATGTGATAGCAAGATTTATAATGTAGTCTGGTTCTGGATTGAAACACAGTATAGTGAGGAATTGGATATGAAGAAGGTATGAAACTTAGTTACTATTAAGACTGTCTATATGGCCAATTAACTTTTCCAATATAGTTGAAGTGTATGGAAATTTGAGAAAAGCTACAATCTGGATATGAAAGGCCCAACTAAATTTACTTACACTCAATATCTAACACATTCAAGTTTAAAGTAAAGGTATTGACTTGGAAACGAGTGTTTGGGTTGCAAAAAGTCAGATGCATGCTTCCACCTTTGGCTATGACAAAGTAGATAAATTCTTCCATTGAGGACAATAATAAGAGAAGGACAAAATGTAAAGTTGAAAATAAAAGAGCTATTGAGGCAACTGGGATTTGGGAAACAAAGCTCCCAGAGGAAGATGAACTTAGAGAAGTCAAACATTTATGTTGTTTTTCCTCTTGAAGCACTTGCTAATTTGTAAGAAGCAGGTGACAGGCTGAGAAACTCAGCAGTAAATGGTGGTTAAAGACTGAGACACTAAGAAGAACTTTCAGCAGTAATAGAACAAATCAGAATCCAGAGATGGCGAAAGAGAAGAGGCTCTAGAAAATAACCAAGCTTTCATTTATATCTCCTAAAGCTATTCTGTTGCAGTAAGTATAAATTGGGGATAGATCTGCTCTCAAAAGATTGAACTCAGGTTCAAATCACTCAAATCAACATGGGCAAATTTGCTCATATTCTAACTCTTTGTCAGAGGCAAAGGTAAATCTATGCTAAAAAAAAATCATTTAGGGCCTTGACAGTTTTTTAATATAACATATTTAACTTTCAATTAAAAATTGCCAAATATACCAGCAAAAATAATAAGAAAATAAACTTTAAGTAATGCCATTCACTTCTACATCTGATTAAACTCCAATATATTATGGCAGCTGGATATTTCTATACATAGAAAACTTTCAAATATTATATTTTATAAGCAATGCCTAGCTTCAGAAGCAACAAACACTAGATGAACTAAAATTTTAGCAAGGAAAAAGCCCTCTAGTAGGGACAATTCTCAAGAATGTCATTTATCAAGAATGGCATTTATTTTCTTCCAAAGGAGATGGTGGGCAGATTTTGCTGGACCCAGCCAAATTAGACTCAACTGAGGAAAGCAGAAGCCAGAAGAAAATTAGCAGATCTGTGTACTGTGACTTTGGCCATGACTGATGGAAAACCAGAAGAGTTCCAACTGTAAAATCATTTCTATCCAGAATATGTCTTGGGCAATGCAGGTTGTAGGCAGAAGCGAGAACAAAAGTTAAACGGTGGAGTATAATTTTCTGTGTCTGGAGGTGCTTAGAGACAAAACCCTGCTGGAAAAATACTGCTACAAACAAAAACACAGTGGATCTCAGATTACTACCCACAATTTACAATCTCATGGACCTAAAAGATAAAGAGCTTAGCTCCAAACCTCTGCACAACTGTATTTCAGAGCTGAGGCATTAGGGAACTGCCAGGCTTTCAATCACAATCCCAGAAAAGACAGGGCCAAGGAGTAGAAATAAATCAGAGGTGGAATTAAACTGCAATTAAGCATTAACTCAGCTTAAGCCCTGAATGAATTGAAATGGTAGGAACTTTGTTATATAGTTTGACACAGGAAAGGGAGAACCCTGTCTAGTGCAAGACATGAAGTTTCCATGCTTTTTTATATGTAATGCCAAGCATAAAATTAAAAATTACTAGATAGTTGGGTTTCACTAAAATTAAATCTGATTTGTGAAAGACACTATGTAGAGAATGAAGACACAAGGGAGAGACTGGAAGAAAATATTTGCAAATGAGACTTCTGATGAAGAACTGTTATCCAAAATATACAAAAATATACAAAGAACGTTTAAAGTCGAACAATAAAAACCCCAAAGACTTGATTACAAAATGGACCAAATACCTTAACAAATACTTCATCAAAAAAGGTATGCAGATGGGAAACGAATGTATAAAAAGATGCTCCACATCTTATGTAATCAGGGAAATGCAAATGAAAACAACAATGAGATACCACTACACACCTATTAAAACAGCCAAATTCCAGAACACTGACACCAAATGCTGGTGAGGATGTGGAGGAAGAGGAGCGCTCGTTGATTGCAGGTGGAAATGCAAAATGGTACAGCCACTTTGAAAGAGAGTTTGGCAGTTTCTTATAAAACTGAACATATTCTTACCATAGGATGCAGCAATCATGTTTTTTGGAATTTACTCAAAGGAGTTTAAAATTTGTATTCACAGCTGGGCGCAGTGGCTCACGCCTGTAATCCCAGCACTTTAGGAGGCCAAGGTGGATGGATCATGAGGTCAGGAGTTCGAGACTAGCCTGATCAACATGGTGAAACCCCATCTATACTAAAAATACAAAAATTAGCCAGGCATAGTGGCGCATGCCTGTAACCCCAGCTACTCAGGAGGTTGAAGCAGGAGAATTGCTTAAACCCAGGGGGCAGAGGTTGCGGTGAGCCAAGATTGCCACTGCACTCCAGCCTGGGCAATAGAACAAGACTCCATCTCAAAAAAATAAATAAATACATAAAAATAAATAAAATTTGTGTTCACACAAAAACCTGCCCATAAGTCTTTAGAGTCACTTTATTAATAATTGCCAAGATGTGAACATAAACAAGATGCCCATCAGTAGGTGACTGAAGAAATAAACAGTGGTACCTCCAGAAAATGGAATATTACTCAATACTAAAAAAGCATGAGCTATAAAGCCATGAAAAGACATGGAGAAAACTTAAATGTATATTGCTAAGTAAAAAAAAAAAAATCAAACTGAAAAGGCTGCATACTGTATGACATTCTGGGAAAGGCAAAGCTATGGAAACAGTCAAAAAGCAGTGGTTGCCAGAACTTAAGAGCGAGGAGGGATGAATTGGTGGAGTAGAGAGGACTTTTAGGACAGTGAACTGTCCTGTATAGTATCACAATGGTGGATATCTGTCATTACATATTTGTCTAATTCTATAGAATGTATACCAAGAGCAAATCCTAATTTAACTATGGACTTTGAATGATGATGATGTATTATTGTAGGCTCTCAGTTGTTATAAATATGCTACTTAGATGGGGAACGTTGAAATACGAGGGTAGCCATGCATGTGTGGGGCTAGGAGGCATATGGGAAATCTGTGTCTTCTGCTCCATTTTGCTCTGAACCTAAAATCATTCTAAAGTTCAAAATAGTTACTAGATATGAAAAGAGGCAGGAAGTGTGACAACAAATAGAACAAACTCATCTATGTTTCAGTTATTGAAATCATAAAACTTTTACAAGAAAACCTGAAATAATCAGTACATGACTTGGAGGTAGATAAAGATTTCATAGTTCACAGAAAGCAGTAACAAAGAAAAAAAGTGATAAATTAGACTTAACCAGAAATTAAAGTTCTGTTCATTAAAAGAAAACAATACTAAGTAAATAAATGAGCAGGGCACAGGCTGGAGAAAATATTTTCAAAACATACATCAGACAAAAGTACAATGCCCGTGACATATAGAGACCTCTTACATCTGAATAATAAATGAAACAAGCAACCCAATAAAATAGAAAACAGAAGAGACACTTCAAAAACAAAAAATATTAATTGCTAATACGCTCATGGAAAAGTTCTGAACATCACTAATCATCAACAAAAGGTAAATTGAAACCAATGAGAAAACAGTAAACATCTACCAAAATGTCTAAATTTAAAAGAATTATATTACCAAATTTTACTGATGATTCTAACAAATTGTTCATGGAACTGTAAAATTGTACAACTAGTTTGGAAAAGAGCTGACAACTTCTTGTTAGAGTTCAGAACAGAAGTCTCTTGACACTGTATTATAAAATTAAATACCCTAAAACCTGGCACTCTTATTCCTAACTGCAGTTTGCCAAAAATAAATGGAAACATATGTTCCTGAAAAGAACAAAATAGAAATATCTATAGCAGCTTTATTGATAATAGGTCCCTGCATGTCCATCAATAGCAGAATGGATCAGCACACTGTCATATATTCATACCAGTGGAATCATACTCTGCAAATGTAAGAATATACTACTAATCTGCCCAACAACAAGGATGAATCTGAGAAACATTAGGCTGGGTGACAGAAGCATTACACAAAGTAATATATAATGCATAATTTTTGAATTTCTGGAACAGGAAAAATGTTATGATGAAGAAAAATCATAATAATGTTACTTGTGATGAGGGGATTGATTGGAAAAGAACATGAAATAATTTTTATGGAATGATGGAAATGTTTTTTGTCATTATAGGTATTTGGGCTACACAGGAATATGCATTGGTCAAAACTCAGCCAACATGCATTGAATATATTGGAACTCTATTGTAAATGATAGCAGATACCAAATTGGTGCGCAAAATTCAAATGATAGAGTCAACACAGCATGGACTATATAATGCAAATGAAACTTAAGGCCTAGAATTTTTCAAATCAGATCAAATGGAAGAAAGCAAACAGAGGCTTATGAAGTGCAACTAAGAATCTTATATAAAGAAAAAATGTTCAGCATGAAAATCTGAGAGGACAAACCAGTGACTTGAAGCCATCACACCAGCCAAATTATCCCTCATATAATTATATTATTAAAACTTGGAAGATGAGAATCACTTTCCTGATTAATTTTGAACTCACCAAACAACAATAGATATGACTCATCTTGAATATTTCTATCCCAGATAATGACATTTATCTTTATACTATAGATAAATTAATTGGATGATCTAATTTATATATCAATCTTCCGTAAGATGGGTTATTATAAGCCAACTTTTAAAAATGTACTTTAACCTAGGAAACTTATAAATGTAAATTTCTGGATGTGAAAAGATAAAAGAACACTTAACCAGAGTAAATTGATAAAGAAAATTAAGAGAAGATGTTTTTGACTGCTTTAGTTATATACTTTCCATCATTGTCACGGTTTTTAATTTGTTATTAAAAAAAGATGCCATTACCAACTATGAAGCTATAAAAAATAAAATAACAATGTATATTCCTTTTTTTTTTTTTTGAGATGGAGTCTTGCTCTGTCACCCAGGCTGGAGTGCAGAGGCACTATCTCGGTTCACTGCAACCTCCGCCTCCCAGGTTCAAGCGATTCTTGTGCCTCAGCCTCCTGATTAGCTGGGATTACAGGTGCCTACCACCACACCTGGCTAATTTTTGTATTTTTAGTAGAGACGGGGTTTCAGTATGTTATCCAGGCTGGTCTCAAACTCCTGACCTCAGGTGATCTGCCCGCCTCGGCCTCCCAATGTGCCGAGATTACAGGTGTGAGCCACTGCACCCGGCCAATAATGTATATTTTAAATGTTGTGGAAATTGAAGAGGGAGAAACTAATTCAGGCTGATTATGTGATCAAGGAAACTGCACTGAAAGAATTGAATAAGTTAAAGTTTGAACTATAAAATTTCTTAATTTATTCAGAGCTTATTGTACACATATCACACAAAACAACTGTTTTTCTAGACATGGCAGCATTGTAACTGGATGAAATGAGAAAATCTTTCCAGAAATGTTGAAATTTTATATTTATGTGTGTAAGT
Source organism: Homo sapiens (assembly GCF_000001405.40). Lineage (NCBI taxonomy): Eukaryota > Metazoa > Chordata > Mammalia > Primates > Hominidae > Homo > Homo sapiens. The sequence continues at coordinate 73,233,553 of NC_000001.11, forward strand.
AGGCACGCATGTATATATGCATGTTTATGCATTTGGCTACATTTTCATTGCATAAAAATGAATTAAATTACCTTACACATATTAACAATCTTCCAATCCCCAAGTATTTTCTTAACACACCAAATAACTCTTCGGTCCAACACTGTATGTTATTCCCACTGTTGTTATAACCACAATCTAGCACAGTGATGGGCACATGTAGCTCAGGAAAATATTTGTTTCATGACTTCTTCAGAATCCTTTCACAAACTTCCCATAGAGCTTTCTGACTGACACTTCTATTTGTGCTTTTGTATCAAAAGCTCATAATAGTGCTTAGGAAAAGTAAATGTTTCAAAATGGCAAGTTACTTTCAAACTGCGTTTCTTTCATTAAATGCCATCTCTTTGGGATAGAATAAGATGAATATAACAAGACATACACATTTTATCTTTCATAGACATAAACTTTATGTTTTATCACTAATTAATTAACTCATTTATTCATTTTCCCCAGCTTTATTAAGGTATACTTGACAAAAATTGTGTATATTTATGGGTTACAATGTGTTGTTTTTATATATGTATATATTCTGAAATGATTAAATCAAGCTACTTAATATAACCATTACTTCACATACTTATCAATTGTTTTATGGTGAGAAATTTAAGATCACCATCACATCTCTTCATAATTTTCAGGTATACATTTGCTACTAACTGTAGTCACCATGCTGTACAAGATCTTCAGAATTTATTCTTCCTAACTGAAACTCTGTACCCTTCGATCAACATCTCCCTACCCCAAATGCCCCTAGACCCTTAAAACCACCATTTTATTTTCTGCTTCTATGAGTTCAACTTTTTTAGATTATATATATGAGATTATGCAGTATCTGCCTTTCTGTGCCTGACTTATTTCACTTAACATAAGGTCCTCTAGGTTCATTCATGTTTTTGCAAATGAGAGAATTTCCTTCTTTCTTAAGGCTGAAAAGTGCTCTGTTGTATATACATAATATATTTTCTTTATACATTTATCTGATGACTGGCACTTAGGCTGAGTCCAAATCTTGTCTATCATAAAGAATGTAGCAATGACACAATAGTGCAGACATCTCTTCAACATACTAATTTTATTTCCTTTAAATGTATGTGATGATACATTTAATGTGAAGTGAGATTGCTGGGCCACATAGTAGTCCCATTGTTAAGTTTTTGAGGAAAAGCCACTCTGTTCCATAATGACTGGGTTAATCATCAACAGTGTACAAAAGTTCCCTTTTCCCACCTTCTAGCCAACACTTGTTATCTTTCAACTTTTTGTTAATGACCATTCTAATGGATATGATTATATCTCATTCTGGTTGTAAAGTGCATTTCCTTGATGATTAGTAATGTTGAACTTTTTTTTTTTGAGATGGAGTTTCGCTCTTGTTGCCCAGGCTGAAGTGTAACGGCGCAATCTCGGCTCACTGTAACCTCTGCCCCCAGGTTTAAGCGATTCTCCTGCCTCAGCCTCCCAAGTAGTTGGGATTACAGGCATGTACCACCACGCCTGGCCAATTTTTTATTTTTAGTAGAGATGGGGTTTCTCCATGATGGTCAGACTGGTTTCAAACCCCCGGCCTCAGGTGATCCGCCCACCTCAGCCTTCCAAAGTCTGGGATTACAGATGGGAGCCACTGCGCCCAGCCGTAATGTTGAACATTTTCACATAACTATTGAATACATAAAATTAAATGCCATTTTATTTTACTTTGCCACTGATATACTTTCTTGAAGAACATTTATCATGGAAAATATTTTCTCAATCATAAGACTATTTATTTTAAAGGTAGAATTGTAGTCAAAGGGAACTGTGATTTTCTTTGTCACTTCTTTTGAGTAGTTTAGAATTGTGATTTATGCTGCTGCCAAATATCTAGACATTTCTAAAGCAAATCTTAATTTTTCTAAAAAAAATGATAACCAGTGTAAATTAGTAATACTATTATGCTTTATTATATTTCATATTTATTCTTGTTTATAATATTTGCTTAATGAATTATCAATGGTGACAGAAGACAATATCTAATATAAGATGACTTACAAAGCACTTTGGCCTGTATGGTATGGCCACATTTATAATGGGTGTCGGTGTGGTACAGTGGGAAGAACATGGAAATTTCACAAATAATGTTTAAGTCTTTGCTTCAACTCTAGCTTACGATATTACTTATAAAAAAATTGTTGAGACATTATGAGTATCATTGGCCTGTTCTGTTAAATTTGTAACAAGCATAAGTCATGTATAATAATAATAAACAAAAAATAGATTGTTTTGAAAATTTCAAACTATAAAATATGAATGGAAAACATAATTATATATAATTTTTTGCACATCAAAGCTATACTTATTTATTAGATTACATTTGTCTTTGATGACCTAGCTGATAGACTTTCCTTTTATAACATGAACTATGATAAATTACTTTGGCATTTTTTTTTTCTTTGTACTACCGTGTAGCTCATAGGTACTAAATATGTTCTATTGCTGACACCCTAAATTTCTGACAACAAATCACAAATATGTGATACATCTTTTAGGCTTCAATGTGGTTATAGTTATGAGCTTTTACACTTTTAAGTAGGTTTTCACTCATTTCTTTTAAGCAAATAAATTATGACTGACTTCTACGTGATTCACATCTGTTAGATAGAAAAGATGCAATTGTGAGTAGGAGGTCCTTAAATTACTTTTTGATAAAGACAAAATAATTAGAAAACTAGATAAAAAACAAATATTTGATTGTAAGTAACTTCATAGTAGAAAAAATGTTCCAAACCTATTAAAAACTATTAAAATCTGTGTTAGTTGTTAAATTGATTAATTGTTGAATGGCTGGAAGACTACTGACTGGGAGAAAGGAGCAGCTCATTTAGGATCTACTCATTCCCTTCAAATGTGAGTTGATGGTCACCTTGGTAAATACATAACATAATGCATTGATATTTGGAAGGAGGAAGAGACTTTATATTTCACTTTAACAAGATGCCCTGTACCTGTATGTCCTGATTTCCTAGGAAATATCGCTATGTCATGTAAGGAAGGCTATGCAACTCTCTGGGGGTATAAAATGATAATTTTAGTATTTAAAATTCCTCTCTAAATTAGGAATCCTTTGAACCTCCCATGGCTATTCTCATGCAAGAAGAACTTAAGAAATTGTCCTTTACCTCTCAAGACCTCTATCTGCTTCATCTGAGTCTTTGAATTGCCTGTACCCTTGACATTAGTTAGTCAAGCTTAATGTGTGCGAGTCCAGTTTGACAATCTAATAATTGGTGTAAATTCAGCTATATCATGTATGGATAGATAAAAAAAGAAAATAAAATAGTTAAATTTAGATGCCTCTTTGTACATAAAGCAAGTAATCTTGTTTGTGTCTGCGTATGTGTGTCTGCATTGTTTGATATATGTTTTGACTACTTTTATTTGAATCTTTTCATACTGTTATTTTATATATTCCCAAGTGCATTTAGGGAAGATATTGAATCAAATGTCAAGTCCAGTAACATACGTATAGATGATCTGAACACATCTGTCTTAGACACAGAAATGAAAATAAGTTGTTTCCTATTTGGACAAAATTCATTCATCAAGATATAAAATAGGTGGGACAGACCACTCTTGCTGTGGGCCTCTAGGATCCTAGCTAAGAAAGATCCCACTACCCCTATAGACATTTGAATTGGCAGGGGGATATGCCCAGAGACTAGGCAGAGACAGAACTCAAGCCTGCAAAGAGCCCAGAGGGGATTCTGGGTGCAGGATAACTATGGTAGAGCATAGCCATATAAGCCTGTATGTTTTATGGATGAGCCATATGAGGCCATCCCTCAAGGTTCCCCATCTTCCTCCAAATTGCTCTATCTCCAGCTTATTATGGGACAAAGAGAAAGCAGTGCCAACTTTCTTGCAAGGGCATTTCTGATCTGTAGGCTCTCCTGCCTACTAGCCCCTTGCAAGACCCCTGCCTGGCCATTCCCACAGGAATATGTACACGGAGCAGCCTCTGCTGCCCAGACTGAGTGCATTGCAATTATCCCTACCATAGTAATTCCTGGTGGCCTGGGAGTACTTCAGATCCCCCAACAAAGCTGGTGTCCAAACACAGGAGCTTGGAAGGGGAAGCCAGGTGCTGGTGCCAGCACTCTAGAGCAGCAATGTGCAGCTTAGGAGTACCAAGCAGAGAGCTCTTCTCAGCACATGAGCAGGGGTGGAACTCCCACCCTCAGAACACAGAGAGGGGTGAGACATGTGGGCTTCTGGATTGGTCCAGGGGCAGGGCATTGTCTCCCACTGCATGGCCAGTCTAGGAAGTGTATGACCTCTCTGCCAGTTGCAGCCTCCAGCTGACAGGACTCTGATAGTCCAGAACATCTCACAAAAGAAATACAGGCACAGGACCGGTGATCACAAGGGGCTCCCCAAAGCCTAGGAGCAGACCTGGTGGGGGGATAATTCCTCTCCATCCTCAACACTGAGCACTACTGCAAATACAGCTGAGTAACTGCGTATCTGCCAGCAATTACTCTTAAGCAAAATCTACTGGTTTTCACCTCAAATTACAACACCAAAATATTCTGAAATTATACACCACGTATGAAATGCAGGGAAAGAATCATCTACTCACAAATGAAGATCCTGCACAGAGCCATAGCTCTCTGAAAATACCCACAAATGAAGCCAATTGACTATTCTCAGATTACAATACAATTAAAGAAACACTAGACCTCTCAGATAAGAAAAAAATTAGCATAAGAATGCTGGCAATCCAAACCATAAGAGTGTCCCCTTACCTCAAGAAGAGCACGCTAGCTCTCTAGCAGTAATTCTTAATCAGATTGAATGCAGAAAAGGCCTTTGACAAAATTCAACAGCCCTTCATGCTAAAGACTCTCAATAAACTAGGTATTCATGGGACATATCTCAAAATAATAAGAGCTATTTATGACAAACCGACAGCCAATATCATACTGAATGGGCAAAAACTGGAAGCATTCCCTTTGAAAACTGGCACAAGAGAGGGGTGCCCTCTCTCACCACTCCTATTCAACATAGTGTTGGAAGTTCTGGCCAGGGCAATCAGGCAAGAGAAAGAAATAAAGGGTATTCAATTAGGAAAAGAGGAAGTCAAATTGTACCTGTTTGCAGATGACATGACTGTATATCTAGAAAACCCCATCATCTCAGCCCAAAATCTCCTTAAGCTGATAAGCAACTTCAGCAAAATCTCAGGATACAAAATCAATGTGCAAAAATCACAAGCATTCCTATGCACCAATAACAGACAAACGGAGAGCCAAATCATGAGAGAACTCCCCTTCACAATTGCTTCAAAGAGAATAAAATACCTAAGAATCCAAATTACAAGGGATGTGAAGGACCTCTTCAAGGAGAACTACAAACCAATACCCAGCAAAATAAAAGAGGACACAAACAAATGGAAGAACATTCCATGCTCATGGATAGGAAGAATCAATATTGTGAAAATGGCCATACTGCCCAAGGTAATTTATAGATTCAATGCCATCCCCATCAAGCTACCAATGACTTTCTTCACAGAATTGGAAAAAACTACTTTAAAGTTCATATGGAACCAAAAAAGAGCATGCACTGCCAAGACAATCCTAAGCAAAAAGAACAAAGCTGGAGGCATCACACTACCTGACTTCAAACTATACTACAAGGCTACAGTAACCAAAACAGCATGGTACTGGTACCAAAACAGAGATATAAACCAATGGAACAGAATAGAGCCCTCAGAAATAATACCACACATCTACAACCATCTGATGTTCGACAAACCTGACAAAAACAAGAAATGGGGAAATGATTCCCTATTTAATAAATGGTGCTGGGAAAACTGGCTAGCCATATGTAGAAAGCTGAAACTGGATCCCTTCCTTACACCTTATACAAAAATCAATTCAAGATTAATTAAAGACTTATATGTGAGATCTAAAACCATAAAATCCCTAGAAGAAAACCTAGGCAATACCATTCAGGTCATAGGCATGGGCAAGGACTTCAGGACTAAAACACCAAAAGCAATGGCAACAAAAGCCAAAATTGACAAATCGGATCTAATTAAACTAAAGAGCTTCTGCACAGCAAAAGAAACTACCATCAGAGTGAACAGGCAACCTACAGAATGGGAGAAAATTTTTACAATCTACCTTTCTGACAAAGGACTAATATCCAGAATCTACAAAGAACTCAAACAAATTTACAAGAAAAAATCAAACAACTCCATCAACAAGTGGGTGAAGGATATGAACAGACACTTCTCAAAAGAAGACATATATGCAGCCAAAAAAACACATGAAAAATTGCTCATCATCACTGGCCATCAGAGAAATGCAAATCAAAACCACAATGAGATACCATCTCACACCAGTTAGAATGGCAATCATTAAAAAGTCAGGAAACAACAGGTGCTGGAGAGGATGTGGAGAAATAGGAACACTTTTACACTGTTGGTGGGACTGTAAACTAGTTCAACCATTTTGGAAGACAGTGTGGCGATTCCTCAAGGATCTAGAACTAGAAATACCATTTGACCCAGCCATCCCATTACTGGGCATATACCCAAAGGATTATAAATCATGCTGCTATAAAGAGTTATGCACACATATGTTTATAGCAGCATTATTCACAATAGCAAAGACTTGGAACCAACCCAAATGTCCATCAATGATAGACTGGATTAAGAAAATGTGGCACATATACACCATGGAATACTATGCAGCTATAAAAAAGGATGAGTTCATGTCCTTTATAGGGACATGGATGTAGCTGGAAACCATCATTCTGAGCAAACTATCCCAAGGACAGAAAACCAAACACCGCATGTTCTCACTCATAGGTGGGAATTGAACAATGGGAACACATGGACACAGGGTGGGGAACATCACACACCCGGGGCCTGCCAGGGGGTGGGGAGAGGGGGGAGGGATAGCATTAGGAGATATACCTAAGGTAAATGATGAGTTAATGGATGTAGCACACCAACATGGCACATGTATACATATGTAACAAACCTGCACATTGTGCACATGTACCCTAGAACTTAAAGCAAAATAATAATTTAAAAAATAATAAATAAATAAATAAATAAATAAATAAATGGGATAAAGAAAAGGTTAAGACAGTTGTAGTAAAACAACTTGAACAACAAATTTCATAAAGATGAAATATGAGAGAACATTGAACATTCTCCCTCTTGGTATTTGGTTCTTAAATACAATTCTAAGACATTGTTAAAAAAAAAGTGGGAAAAATTCCAAACTATAGTTTTTTAGTATTACATATTTCAGTGAATTATATTTTAGTGTCAAAAAATTCTCATGAACAACTAAATGTACAGAACTCTTTGATATACCAAGATATGACTTTACAACTTCTTTTAATGTAATACACTTTAGTGTCTAAAAAGCATCACTAATTTAATATTAGAAATTCTACTCAATCCAAGTAAAATATATGTATTCCAGATCTTTGCCCTATTAAAAATGGAAAATCAGATTCCCAATTTAAAAAAATTATAAGCACAAAGATTTCTTTAAAAATCCTTAACTTTTTTTTTCTCTTGACTTCTTCACTTAACTAAATAAATACCAATTAAAAGTTTAAAAAAAATAGAAATGACAGACATAGAATTCAGAAAGTTCACTGAGATTCAGGATAATGTGGAAACCAAATCCAAGAAATCCAGTAAAATAACCCAAGAACTGAAAGATGAAATAGCCATTTTAATAAAGAACCAAACTGAACTTCATGGAATTAAAAAATTTACGAAAAGAATTTTGTAATTATGTCAGAAGAATTAACAGCAAAACAGATGAAGCTAAGGAAAGAATTTCAGAGCTTGAAGGCTGTTCCTTCAAATCAACTCAGATAAAAATATAGAAAAAAGAATCTTATAAAATGTACAAAAGCCTCTAAGCAATATGGTATTATGTAAGGAGCCCAAACCTCTGACTCACTGGCATTTCAGAAAGAGGAGAAAAAGTAAATGACTTGGAAAACATATTTGAGGATATAGTCCACAATAATTTCCCCAATATAGCTAGAGAAGTTGACATGAAAATTTAATAAATGAAGAGAACATTAATGAGATACTATGCAAGACAACCATCCCCAAGGAAATTAGTCATCCAGTTCACCAAGGTAAATGTGAAAGAAAAAAATCTTAAAGGCAGCTAGAGAGAAGGGATAAGTCATGTAAAAAGGAAATCCCATGAGGCTAGCAATTAACTTCTCAGTAGAAACCTTACAAGCCAAGAGAGATTGGGGGCCTATTTTCACCATACTTAAAGCAAAGAAATGTTAACCAAGAATTTCATATCCCACCAAATTAAACTTCATGAGTGAAGGAGAAATAAAATCTTTCTTAGACAAGCAAATGCTATTGGAACTCATTACTACTAGACCAGCCTTACAAGAGGTCATTAAGGGAGTGTGAAACAAGGAAAGGAAAGAATGGTACCTGCTATCACAAAAAGACACTTGAGCACCTAGCCCATAGACACTATAAAGAAACAATGCAATCAAGTCTACATAACTAGCAAACAACATAATAACAGAATCAAATCTTGACATATCAATACTAAACCTGAATGTAAATGATCTCAATGTCCTATTTAAAAGGCATATAGTGGAAGCCCAGATAAAAAGAGAAGACTTAACTATCTGCTGTCTTCAAGAAACCCATCTCACAAGTAACAACACCCACAGGCTCAAAGTAAAGAAATGGAGAGTGATCTACCATGCATACAGAAAAAAAGAGAGTAGAAGCAGCAATTCTTATATTTGAAAACCCAGACTTCAAACCAACACAATATAAGAAGGACAAAGAAGAACATTACATAATAATAAAAGATTTAATTCAAAAATAAAACTGAGCTATCCTAAATATATATGTACCCAACATTGGAGCTCCCAGATTCATAAAACAAGTTCTTTGTGACCTACAAAAGGACTTTGGTAGCTACACAGTAATAATGGGAGGCTACAGCTCCTTACCGACAGTGTTAGAGAGATCATCAAGGAAGAAAACTAACAAAGAAACCCTGTCTACTCAACTAAGTGAACCTGATAGACTCAACAAGAATACATTTTTTTTCTCATCTGCAAAAAGAACATATTCTAAGATCAACCACATGTGTGGTCATAAAGTCAGTCTTAATAAATTCAAAACAATCAAAATCATATTAAGTACACTCTCAGGCAACAGCAGAATAAAAATAGAAATCAATACAAAGAAGATCTCTCAAAACTATGCAAATATATGGAAATTAAACAATTTTCTTCTGAATAACTCGGGTGAACAATGAAATTAAGGCATGAATACAAAATATTTAAAATTAATGAAAATATAGAAATAACTTTTTAAAATCTTTGAGATGCAGCAAAAGCATTATTAAAAGGAAAGTTCATTGCACTAAACACCTTCATCTAATAGAAAGATCTCAGACTAGCAATCTAACTTTATATCTAGAGGAACTAGAACAAAAGAGCAAACCAACCTCTTAGCTAGCAGAAGAAAAGAAATAACTAAATCAGGAAAGAACCACACAAAATTGAGATGCACAAATCCATACAAAAGGTGCATGAAACCAAGGGCTGGTCCTTCAAAAAAATAAACAAGGTTGATAAACTGCTAACTAGATTAGCAAATGGAAAAACAGAGAAGATCCAAATAAGCACAATCAGAAATAACAAAGATGACATGACAACCAATTGCACAAAAATACAAGGATCCTCAGAGACTGTTTTATACACCTCTATACACATGAATTAGGAAATCTAGAGGAAATAGATAAGTTCCTGGAAATACACAACCTCCCAAGATTTAACCAGGAAGAAAGTGAACACATAAACAGATCATCAACAAGTTCCAAAGTTGAATCAATAATAAAATCTCTACTATCCAAAAAAAAAATTGGACCAGATGGATTCACATCTGAATTCTACCAGACATACAAAGAAGAACTACTATCAATACTACTGAAATGTTTGCAAAAAATTGAGGAGTAGGTTTTCCATACCTCATTCTATGAAGGCAGTATTAGCATCAGCCTGATACCAAAATCTTGCAGAGACACAACAGTAAAAGAAAACATTAGACCAATATCCCTGATGAACACAGATGCAAAAATCCTCAACAAAATACTAGCAAACAGAGTCCTGAAATAATTCAAAAATTAATTCACTGCAATCAACTGGGCTTCACTCCTGGGATACAAGGTTGGTTCAACATATGCAAATCAATAAATGTCATTCACCACATAAACAGAATTAAAAATAGAAACCATATGATCATCTTAATAGACATAGAATAAGCTTTTGATCAAATCCAATATTCCTTCATGATAAAAATCCTCACAGACTAGGCATTGAAGTAACACACCTCAAAATAATAACACTCATCCATGACAAACCCACAGCCAGCATTATACTAAATGGGAAAAAGCTGCAACTATTTTCCTTAAGAACTGGATCAAGATATGTATGACTGCTTTTGCCACTCCTATTCAACATAGTACTAGAAGTCCTAGCCAGAACAATTAGACAACAGAAAGAAATAAAAGTTATCCATGTAGGAAAGGAAGAAGTCAAACTATATTTTTTCATTGGTGATATGATTTATACCTAGAAAACCCTAAAGATTCTGCCAAAAGGCTTCTAGAACAGATAAATGAATTTGGTAAAGTTTCGGATACAAAATCAATTTCCAAAATCATTAACATTTCTATACACCAATAATGTTTTAGCTGACAGTTGAATCAAAAACACAATTCCATGTAACATAACTACAAAAAAGAAGTACCTAGGAATACAGCTAACCAAGGAGGTCGAAGATTTCTACAAGAGAACTGTAGAACACTGCTGAATGATATCAGTGATGACATAAATAAATGGAAAAGTATTCCATGCTCACTGGAACTGGAAGAATCAATATTGTTAAAATGGCCACAATGTCCGAAGCAATTTATAGATTCAATGCTTTGCCTACAAAAGTACCAACATTATTTTTCACAGAAATAGGAAAACCTATTCTAAAATTCATATGGAATAATAAAAGAGCCCAAATAGTCAAAGCAATCCTAAACAAAAAGAGCAAAGCCAGAGGCATCACATTACCAGACTTCAAACTGTACTATAAGGCAGTTTGAACCTACCTTAAATAAACTAAAAAAAAAAAAAAAAAAAAATGATACTGGTACAAACACAGACACATAGACCAATGGAACACAATAGAGAACCCAGAAACAAAGCCACACACCTGCAACCATCTGATCTTTAACAAAGTCGATGAAAACAAGCAATGAGGAAAGAAATTCCTATTCAATAACTTGTGTTGGTATAACTGGCTAGCCATATGCAGAAGAATGAAACAACTCCCACCTTTCAACATATACAAAAATTAACTCAAGATAGATTAAAACTTAAATGTAAGATATCAAGTTATAAAAATCCTTGGTGAAAATCCAGGAAATACCCTTCTCAACACGGGCCTTAGGAAAGAATTTTCAGCTAAGTCCACAAAAGCAATTTCAACAAAAACCAAAAGTGACAAGTGAGACTGAATTAAACTAAAGAGATTCTGCATGGAAAAAAGAATTACCAACAGAGTATACAGACAGACTACAGAATGGGAGAAAATATTCACAAACTGTACATCTAATAAAGGGCTAATATCCAGAATCTATAAGGAACTTCATCATCAAAAAGCAAAAAAAAAAAAAAAAAAAAAAAAAAAAAAATTAAAAATGGGCAAAAAACATGAACAGGCACTTCTCAAAAGAAGACATACAAGTGACCAACAAACATGTTGAAATGGTCAACATCACTAATCATCAGAGAAATGCAAATCAAAACCACAATGAGACACCATCTTACACCAATCAGAATGGCTATTATTAAAAAGTCAAAAAACAACATATGCTGGTGAAGCTATGGAGAAAAGGAAACCCTTATATTCTTTTGGTGGGAATGTAAATGAATTCAGCCACTGTGAAAAGTTGTTCGGAGACATCTCAAATAACTTAAGAGAGAGCTATCCTTAGACCCAGCAGTCCCATTATTGGATCTACATTTGGGTATATATTGTATATACCCAAAGGAAAATAAATCATCCAACCAAAAAGTTACATGCACAGTGTTATTCACAATAGCAAAGCCACAGAATCAACCTACATGCCCATCAAATGGTGGATTGAATAAAGAAAATGTGGTACACATACACCATGGAATACTAAGCAGTCATTCAAAGGTAAGAAATCATGTTCTTTGCAGCAACATAGATGCAGGTGGATGCCATTATCCCGAGCAAATTAAAGCATGAACAGAAAAAAAAAAAACAAAAAAAATGTTCTCACTTTCAAGTGGGAGCTAAACATTGAGAACACATGGATATAAAGGGAAGAACAATAGACACTGGGGGCTATTAGAAGGGGGAGAGAATGGGAGACATGGGCTGAAAAATACCTATCCAGTACTATGTTCACAACCTGGGTGACTAGATTATCTGTACCCTAACCCTCCGCATCATGCAACACACCCATTTAACAAACCTGTACTTGTACACCCTGAGTCTAAAATAAAAGTGGAAATTATTTTTAAAAAGGTATCTTCTTGAGAAAAATAGCTATCTTTGGTCTTTTTCATTAAAAGCAATAAACACAAAACTAGTAGTTACATAATGAATCCTGTATTTATTTATTTATCTCCCTTTTCTTGCCTAGTTGCTGACAATTTTATACTGCTAAGAATGACACACTTCTATGTTCTCACATACAGCCAATTTGTACCACAATAAAGATTTCACATACTAAAATGAGAGAAGATATATAACATCTCAATCTCATTTTTCTTGATAAAACAAAAGATTGTAAACCCTGTTTGTTCTCTGTAACTTAAGACAGGGGACAATTTTAAATATATCATTTCCAGCTGCTTATATATGTTATCCATGAAAGATTATGCATTTCTGTTTATTTTTAAACTCGTATACACTAAACAATCTGTCAAAAATATTTGCATTAAACATCATATACCTTTCTAGACAATCTAGTTCCTACAAATGCCATTATGGAATTTCCTGAGTTTCTTCCTAGTATTAATACTAGTATTAACTAGTATTAGCTAGTTAGGAAATAAGAAAAAGTAGCTAAACATTTTAAGAAGTTTGCCTAGGTTTCGAAGTACAGAACATTCTATTTAACTTAATTGTGAAGCTGTGCAAAGAGGATAATATAAGTATCTTAGCTGTATATTTTTAAGCCACTCAGTGTTTGTATTATTTAATAATACCAGACCAGATCCCTAATTGAATATATGCAACAGCAAATTTTCTAGGAAATGTCCTCTATTTATTTACAATATAAAGTAACTTTTCTTATTAAGTATTGTGAATTAAGGCTAAAATTAATCGTTCTTAAAACAATCTTTCTCAATCACTTCAAACTATTAAATATATCTCAATTAAGGGTTATGAATTTCATCCTTTCTGAGCTCTCAGCTTGCTTTGCCTTTTGTGTCCTGTATGGCTGTCAAACTAAGAACTGTCTAATATTATGCCAACTGTTTTAATATAAAAGAAACACTTCAAAATGTGAATAGCGTTAGTAAAATAATATAAAACAGAGTCATTATTAGAAAAATGTGCTTTTTCTGAACATGAATAATTTCTGGTACCTGCATAGAATGAATTCAATTTTATTGGTTGAATTTGTAGATTCAACTATTAAGTCTCACCTGCTTCAAATCTCTCCATAACATGGATTCATGGGGATCTTATATAAATTTGAGGTACTGCTCATATTTATGGTTTCATTTGTATAGGAGGAAAAATATTTTCCTTATCTTAAATAGAAGAAACATCTGTTGGTATGTCAAGTAGTTCATTCATATCCAAAAGAATATTCTTGCCTCAGAACTAAATTTTTAATTATTGGCTAAATATAGCCCTTTATAGCCTAATTAAGAGAAGACAGATGTACACATAAAAACTAAGATAATTTCAAAATTAATAAGAATTGTAATATATATTCTACTAAAAACAAGATTCATAAAGCTCCATGCATCTGCATAATTGGATCCCGGCAGATGAGGTATCTCTTTTTTCAATATCACTAAACATTCTTCAATGAAAGATTTGTAATATTTCTAAATCAAAGATTTTATAAAGCATATATACTATTATTTTAAAAATTATAGTGTGTGACCTATCATTAATAGATAAACAAGAAGGTCATTCAAATAATAAAGTCCAGCATTTTTTTACATACTGGGTACATCCTCCTTTTACTCTTGGCTACTGGTTGCTCATATATGCAAATAATATTCTATTTACACTATTAACATTAGTTTATGGTTTGTAACTATTAAAACTGCACTCATATTAACTATTAATTTTCACATTTGTTGATAAATATAACATCATTTTCATGTGTACCTTTTTATAGGCAATAAGTATATTGCCTATAAATATACATATTGCCTGTAAAATGTATACATAGCTAATGCACACACAAACACACACACACACAGACACACAAGCTCTCGTGTGCTGCATAATGATGTTTCAGTCAATGACAAACCACATATAGAATGGTCTTCCCATTAGATTATAATACCGTATTTTTGCTGTACTTTCTCTATGTTTAGCTATGTTAAGATACACAAATACTTGTTGTGTTACAATGGCCTACAATATTCAGTACAGTAGCATGCAGCACAGGTTTGCAGCCTAGGAGCAATAGTCTATACCATATAGCTTAGGTGTGGATGAAATTGCCTAAGGACCATGTATTTCTCAGAATGTATCCTTGTCATTAAGTGACGCATGACTGTGCATGTGTATATATATATTCAACACAGTCACTAAAATGTTGGTGTATTGGTAGGTTTTATATATACATATACATAAATGTGTATATATGTATCTTCATGTTTTATATATACATATATAAATGTGTGTGTGTGTGTATAACCTACCAGTACACCAACAATTTAGTGTAATACTGCAGTTTAAGTAGTGAACAATGGGGCTTCAAATAGATTTTGGTAATGATCAATGAATTAATTCATTAGCATATGAGATGCACTGGTGAAATAGAAAGCTTAGCTAGCCAAACATTGTTCAACAGATTTCTATCAGGTAAAGTGAAAATGTAACAAAATGAGTATTAGCCAGTCTCTAAAGTTGTCCCAGCCAATAATTCTATAATCTCTTAAGTCTTATACTGTAGGCATAAGGTTACAGAAATTAGTCTGTAACTTACCTAATAATAAAAAACCCCCACAAATCACATAGAATATTTCATGCATTCAATTTAAAATTCCTATCACTTAATTACACATGAACATTTTTATAGAAGTTTGTAGCAACATTATTCATATATTTTAGTGAATTAAATAAACAGATTTTTATTATAAACTTTATGCCTGGTCCTGCAAGTGAAAATGCATTTAGTAAATAGCTAAAGCAGAATCTTGATTACAAACTTTACTTTCTGTTTCTCAAAACAGCATAGGTTTCTCAAGCAATTGTTTTTCCTCAGCTGGTTTGGAATGATGTGGTGAAAGATGTTAACATATTCATATTTTTTCATATATAAATCCGGGAGTAATTGACTCTGTTTTGTGGAAGATGATGTATTCACCATCTCTTATTTTGTTATCACCGTCATCTGATGGTTTGTTTTGTGAAAAAGGCAAAGTGCAGCTGTCTCAAATGTGAATTACAGTATAGAGGGTCATAGCGACTTCATCTTGGATAAAATATGTATCTAATAAAATTGAATACTTTTTTTTAGCTTTCCCTTTGTGTGCTTATGCCCAGGCAGATACCATATTATAATTCTGGATAGTTATTTAATTTTTTTTTCAGACAGTAACTCTGATTTTCCCCGTGCAAGAGGTGTACTTTGCTAACATGGGAGGTACATCAATTCTTTCAGAATATCAGAGTTGATTTAATATGATTTTTCCCTCACTCTCTCTTCCTCTTTCTGTTAACTTAGGGAAGGCCAAATATTTTCAAATTTAGTTATTCTCCTATTTATGTTTGCCAGAAAAATCAAATGAAAATGCAATGGAAAAACAGAAGAACACCTGAAATAAGAATAGAAAAAAAAGACGTTATTAATTATCTTCCTGACAGAATGAACTGGTAAAAATGAATTAACCACTTTGGACTGTAATCTTCACAGCAGTTGAAAGTTGATAATTTCTGGTAGTCATATCTTAATCTACGTATTTGTAGATATATATCTACATATATATAGATATATATGTACGTATATATATTTCTCTACATATATAGATATACATGTAGGTATATATATTTCCCTCTATATAGATAAATGTTTCATATGTAAAATAATATATGATACAATCTAGTATATATTCTGTATAAATATATGCATATATAAAATTCTAAAAATGTCAATAATATTATTTTTACTCTATATTTTGCAAAATCAAAATAAACATACTTTCATTAGCAGTAGTTTCTTTGAGGACAAGGACTGCATTATGGCTCAGTGTCTATGTGCATGTAATACTTGATAAACCACTAGTTTCTGAAATGCTTTCTTTCTTTTTTTTTTTTTTTTTTAGACAGAGTCTTGCCCTGTCACCTGGGCTGGAGTGCAGTGGCGTGATCTTGGCTCACTGCAGTCTCCGCCTCCTGGGTTCAAGCAATTCTCTTGCCTCAGCCTCCCAAGTAGCTGGGACTATAGGCACGTGCCACCATGCCAGCCTAATTTTTTGTATTTTTAGTAGAGACAGGGTTTCACCATGTTAGCCAGGATGGTCTCGAATTCTTGACCTCGTGATTCACCCGCCTCGGCCTCCTGAATTGCTGGGATTACAGGCATGAGCCACAACACCCGGCCGAGATGCTTTCTTGGAATGTAAATTTCTCTCTCCTCTACAACCTAGTGGCCGCTGTTCTAGTTCAAGACCTCATCCTTTCTTGACTAGACTGGTGATTTTTGCAGTGACTTTTTAAATGACAGTAAATATACTAAAGTATTACATTAAAAATCCCACTTTCTAGATTCCAGACCTTCAATGGCAGATGTTTAAGTTCCTTAACACTATTGGCAAGGTCCTCCAATAATTTTCCTTTATCTTATTCATTTTTTTTTCAGCAAACATTTTTGATATCTTATATGCCAGATAATATGATTACTTTATGCCACTTACTATATTATAGTAACATAAACTATACCATAATATTTCACACTTCTATGCCATTCTGTTTTTAAATTGGGGTAAAATTCACATAATATATAATTCACCATTTTGACCATATTATAGCATACAATTCAATATCTTTTAGTACATTCACAAGGTTGTATGACTATCACATATATCTATTAACAGAACATTTTACCACCTGAAAATGAAACCTCATACCCACTGATAAATCATTCCTCATTTACCACTCTCCCAGGTTCTGGCAACCACTATTATACTTTCTGTCTCTATGGATTTGTCTATTATGGATATTTTTATATAAATGATATGTTACCTCTTGAAACTGGCTTCTTTCACTTAGCATAATGATTTTAAGGTTCGTCCATGTTGTAGTATCAGCACTTTATTACCTTTTATGGCTGAATAATATTCCATTGTATGTATATGTCATATTTTGTTTATTCATTCTGCAATTGGTAGACAATTGAGTTTTTGTTTCTACTCTTTGCCTTTCATAATATTCATCTTTCTTTATAAAAACCTTATCCAACATTGTTTTTAGATCTCTCTTGCATATTTATAAAGGTCTAAACATAACTTCCCATGAAGCTTTTCTTTAAACTTGACAATACTTCTTTTTTCTAATCATTATATTATGTTAAAGTTGCATATTTTTTAGTTTATGAATATGTTAGAAAGTTAGGGAAATATTTACTTATCTTGTAATTGCATAATATGTGACACATATTTATATTTATAGTTTAACCACTTATTTCTAGAATAAAGCAAGGAGATTTGAGTAATTAAGAAACTGACTAGGAAGGTACAAGAGCAAAATAAAACTTGATACATATATATCAATTTATGATCCATGCAAAATTCTGGCAGGTCAGAAAATTTATTAAAATGATTATTATGTTTTTCACAGTGGTTAAAGCAGTTGAGATAGAGATTGTTTTCTTAATATAGATGTCAGATTATTGAGATTACATATTATTCACAATCTACAGGTTTCAAAAGCCATAATTTATTGAGTATTTTCTGTATGTAAGAGAGCAATAGAAAATATAAAATTTTGCTTTGAGACAGCAATAATAAATAGAGATACCATTTACCAGGAAGGATGTGAGGGAAAATGGAAGAGAATAAAGTTGAAACACATAATTTCAAGTTGCCTTTACAACTTCAGTTCATGTCATTTAAAAGTACAGTGAGCAATTAAAAAAAATTGTGCATAATTTTAGAAAACATGAAAAAACTACATGTGTTTTCTTACTGCAACTTCAGTAACGTGCACATAGGAAAAGAAGTTACGAGCTAAGAAAAAATGAGTTTGATAAAATATATGCAGCAAGTGATAATGTGTAATTTTTTTTAATTTGAGACTATTCTAAAGCATTCTTTTGGTCACTCACCAAGCATTTCTAAAACTGGACTGTTTTCTTGAGCATTTAATAAAGAACAAAAAATTTGCTTTTAAATGTGTAAAACATGTTTTCCTGACTGTGTATTCGTGCTGTTTCCACAGAAATAAACTTTTCCTTAACTCTGTGTTAACAACAGTGACTGAACTTGAAATACAATTAATGACACTACTCTACAATACCTATGAATCTACTACAAAGGTTAATCTCAAGAACTTGAAGATAAATATACATCATTTTATTTCAGTTAATATGCATCATATGTTTCCTATAAGTGTGTGTCCTGCTGTAATAAATGCCCATTCCAGAAATGTATTTGGTCATTGGAATTAAATAATACTAAATTAAAGGGAGAAAATCAAGCCAAATTCAGATTGCTGAAAGAAAGTGATGGATTCTACTAATAAATTTTTGCTAAATTAAAGATTTTTCTATTAAAAGAAAAATATTATTACTCTATTATCCTAAGTTAATAGAGCTTGTAAAATTTTCCAAAGGTACTACCTTTTCAGAACATCTATTACTAAATATTATCATTCATATGGTACTAAAGTTGAAACAATTTACTATTGATTATATTGCTCTATTAAAAATAAATGCTTCATGTAAGGTTTTGGCTCTCGATATATACAATGCAAGTTTTCTTTATAAGTGTTCTGGTAACTTGAGGGAAGAATTGACCAAGAAGGTAAATTCCCATACAAAACAGGGAGATGTTAAACCTTTGACATCCTGGTCTCTTTAGGATAGAATGGAGTATTACTTTGCTGCTGCAGTCTTAAGTACTAGTCAAATTAATACGACAAAATCTAAAATCCATTGAAAGCCAAAACCAGGCCTAGAGCCAGGCTCAGTGTTCTTTCATTTAATGTAAATTTATTGAATATTTATTATGCATCAGTCTTTTTAGGGGGCCTTTAGTCTGAACAAGCACTTGTTAGAGAATTTAAAACTAACACTGTTACCGAAACACCAGGGATTTGGTCTAGGTCCTGTTGCTCACTGTACAGAAAGCCAATCACTAAGATAACAAGTATTGCCAAGAAAGAAGGCTGTCACCAGGTGCTGCAATGGAGAAGCTGGGATCTCAATCTCCCTGATCGACTAGAACCAGGGGTTTATGTAGCAGGGAAGAAATGTAACAATGTGTAAGGAAACAGGAGCTTGGGAGGGGCAAGGAAGCAATTAAGGTGAATGAGGGGTCCAGAATCAGATATGGTGATCTGGTTTCAGATCTTTGATTCTTTTTGTGAGAGGCCTGAGGGTTGTTTCCCCCAAGAAGGAACTCAGATAAAACAAATATAAGTTTCAAGCTTTAACAGCAGAAGGGTCCAAAAGCAACATTATTCTTGAAATAGGTTATCTTTGTTAAAAAAAATTTAAAAACTTAATCACTGCTTCATTACCCTAGCCCAAAAGTTATGAACAAAGACATCTGTGTTTTTTTTTTTTTTTCACGTGTCTCCCTAACTGATATTTTATATTTAGGAAAGTAAAGCCCCTACATATGTCAGCTAATTATCGGAAACATTTCAATTCCAGATCCACCTTAGTAACAACAACGTTTTTTCCCTCCTTTCTTTGCTTCCTTTTCCTTCCTTCCTTTCCTTTCTTTTCTTTCTCTCTTCCTTCCTTCCTTGCTTCTTTCCTTTTTCTTTCTTTATTCTTTTATTTATTTATTTATTTATTTATTTGACTATGTTGTTGTCGAGGTGAATGAATGACTTTTCTCAGAGGGACCCTCTTGGTTTAGATCTAAATCCTGTATAACCAAGATGGAGGTAAAACTCTGTTTCTTTTAAGTTGTTTTTGATCTTATATTTAAATTTTTTTCTATTTTGTACCACACAAAATGTGTGAATTAGGTGTGTTAAGAATTTTCACATGATATTGAGAGGTGAAGCCGGCTGGGCTTCTGGGTCCCGTGGGGACTTGGAGAACTTTTCTGTCTAGCTAAATGATTGTAAACACACCAATCAGCACTCTGTGACTAGCTAAAGGTTTGTAAATGCACCAATTAGCACTCTGTAAAAACGCACCAATCAGCACTCTGTGTCTAGCTAAAGGTTTGTAAACGCACCAATCAGCACTCTGTAAAATGGACCAATCAGCAGGACATGGGCAGGGCCAAATAAGGGAATAAAAGCTGGCCACCCCAGCGAGCAGTGGCAACCCACTGAGGTCCCCTTCCGTGCTGTGGAAGCTTTGTTCTTCCTCTCTTCGCAATAAATCTTGCTGCTGCTCACTCTTTGGGTCTGCACTACCTTTATGAGCTGTAACACTCACCACAAAGATCTGCGGCTTTGTCCTGAAGTCAGCAAGACCACGAACCCACCAGAAGGAAGAAACTCTGGATGCATCAGAACATCTGAAGGAACAAACTCCGGACGCACCATCTTTAAGAACTGTAACACTCACTGTGATGGTCCACGGCTTCATTCTTGAAGTCAGCGAGACCAAGAACCCACCAGAAGGAACCAATTCCAGACACAATATGTCCCATTAGCCTTCACAATTATATTACTTTTATAATTTAGCCACCTTTTTACCCCCAAAATGGAACAGGGGCTTAGCAATTTTTAATATCTTGCCTAACATTTAGCTTCAAGTAGGCAATTTCAATCTGCCCCATCTTGTTCGCTTTGACAAGCTTTAAAGCTATTACAATAATTACTATTTAGTGCATATATCAGAAATAAATATCCCCTATCTATTTAGTAACAGCTGCAAGTATTGAGTACTTTCTTTTTTTTTTTTTGAGACAGAGTCTTGCTCTGTTGCCCAGGTTGGAGTGCAGCGGCGCAAGCTCTGCCTCCCAGGTTCATGCCATTCTCCTGCCTCAGGCTTCCGTGTAGCTGGGCCTACAGATGCTTGCCACCACGCCCGGCTAATTTTTTGTATTTTTAGTAGAGATGGGGTTTCACTGTGTTAGCCAGGATGGTCTCGATCTCCTGACCTCATGATCCGCCTGCCTCAGCCTCCCAAAGTGCTGGGATTACAGGCGTGAGTCACCGTGCCCAGACGTATTGAGTACTTTCTATGTGACATATGGTCTGCTAAATACAGTACTTCTATATAAGTATAAAATGTTCTTCTATTCTTATATGCTCATATTTATATCTATATACTTATAAAATCCTCAACACCTCTGGGAGGTATAAGTTATTAAAATCTGTTTAAAGATTAGCAGCCTTAGTCACAAAGGGGATAATTTTCTAAATTCTTAAGAAGCAGAAATATTTGGGGTCTATATTAAGCTCATGTATTTCTGATTTGAATTTATGTTCAGTTTTATTAATTTCTAGCATCTTGTTTAAGTCCTGGCACATAGTAGGCACTCAAATTAGACCCATCATTCCTCATAGAATCAAGTAAATTGCCTAACACAAAGGACCCCAAAATGGGTTGAGTGGAATGCTTGCTTCATTCTAAGATATTTGTTTAAAAATATTCTGCAGAAAGTATACTGAGATAATTTCTAACTTGTGATGAGAGAAAACACTTCTTTCAAAGCCAGGAATATTTTAATTTTATTTCTAAATGGAGAAAGGATAATATCCATTTTGCCAGAAGTTGGATAATTACCTGACAAAGATGACAGTGATTTTCACTCCCACAAAATGGTTTTTGTTTTGAGAGATGCAAAGAAGACAATAGCTGTGCTTAAAAAAAAAAAAACCAATGTGTTCTGCTGTATTACAACACCGCTACTGCTATTTTACATGCAGAAGCTGAAAGGTGCCTAATTCATTTTATTCCACTCTATTTTTAAATTTGAGTAAATCTTTTGTATACTCTGATTTTTAAGCCTTCAAATGTTATTAAATATAAGAATTACACAAATATTCTCTTCTGACCAAAGATTACATAGAAAATATGTACAAAGAATTGGCTCTGTAAACAGGAAATCTGTATTCCAGGGACTAATTCCACTGCAGGAAAATGTTTTATATAGTAATGGAATACAAACTTTGGGACCAGGCTAGGATTTGAATTACAGCGTAGGGGATAAATTTGGAGAGGTGCTCAGATAATAATAATGCTCTTCTTTTGCCAGCCCCTTAGATAAATAGGGTCCAGCCCTCTGAATTTAAAGTGTAATCTTTCTCAGCCACAAGAAATTACATACTGATCATTAAGCATACATGATGGCCTTAATGGTTTCAACATATATATTCTATTATCTGTAGGCTGTCAGATAAATTGTAGAGCACCCAGTTGAATTTAAATTTCAGATCAACAATTTACAATTTTTAGTATAAGTGTGTCCCCAAATCATTAACACATTAATCTGGATATCCAATCCAGTATTGGGGGAAATATTTATACTAAAAAAGTCAGCTGTTGATCTGAAATTCAAATTTAACTGAATACCTTGTATTTTTGTTTGCTAAACCCAGCAACCCTAAATATGAGATTTTTTTGTTTTGTTTTGTTTTGTTTTGTTTTTTGTGTGAGATGGAGTCTCGTTCTGTCACCCAGGCTGGAGTGTAGTGGTGTGATCTCAGCTCACTGCAACCTCTGCCTCCCGGGTTCAAGAGATTCTCCTGCCTCAGCCTCCCAAGTAGCTGGGATTACAGATGCTGCCACCACGCCCGGCTAATTTTTGTATTTTTAGTACAGACGGGGTTTCACAATGTTTGTGAGGCTGGTCTCGAACTCCTGACCTCATGATTTGCCTGCCTTGGCCTCCCAAAGTGCTGGCATTACAGGCATGAGCCACCACCGCCTGGCAGAGAGCTTTTTATAAAAAGGAGTCCAACAGAGTTTTCAGGTAGAGATGAAAAAAATTCAGAGATTAAGATCTAATATCTTAACACTTAAGTGGTAATATTTTGCCTATAAAACCAAGAGATAAAATATAAACTTTAAATATGAAAGATTGTATAGATTTTTTTTCAACTGGACAAAACTTTAAACAAATGCTATTTTCCTTTTGTGTTTGTGAGCATGAGCACGTGTGTGCATATGTGTAATCTTAATATGCTCAGTTTCACTTTCTGAAAACATCAGTGCTCACATGAGATAAGAAAGGATTAAATGTTCAGTCCTGAAAACATTTCAAAAGTAAAGCTATATCACTTCTTAGAGGATACTAAGAAATCTATATTTTGAGGTTTAATAATAATAATAATTCAGAGTTTGCAATATGGAAAAATATATATAAATTATATTTTGACAACTGCTTGCCACTTCAACTTTTAAAACTTATTTTTTTACTATGGAAAATAATTGTCTATTAGTAGTGTAATTGTCTTTGATTGGAAGTGAAGAAATTGAGAATGAAACAGATATCTGCAAAGTAATCCCTACATAGTATAATTGAAAATCAATATTCAAAAAGGAAATCTTGAAGTTTTAAAAAATATAATAGTCAGCTGGGCGTGGTGGCTCACACCTATAATCCCAGCATTTTGGGAGGCTGAAGTGGGTGGATCATGAGGTCAGGAGTTCAAGACCAGCCTGGCCAACATGGTGAAACCCCATCTCTACTAAAGATACAAAAAATTAGCTGGGCGTGGTGGTGCATGCCTATAGTCACAGCTACTCGGGAGGCTGAGGCAGGAGAATCACTTGAACCCGGCAGGGGCGGAGGTTGCAGTGGGCCAAGATTAGGCCATTGCACTCCAGCCTGGGTGACAGGGTGGAACTCTATCTCAAAAAAAAAAAAATGTATATATACACACACACACACAATATACACACACACACACACATATATATGTGTGTGTGTGTGTGTATATATATGTGTATATATATGTATGTGTGTGTGTATATATATGTGTGTGTGTGTATATGTATATATATAATAGTCAAAAGAAATCTGGCTTAAAAATTTAAAAATATAATTTCTAGTATTTATCTCATAATAAATAAACAAAAAAATTTGTTGATGTATACTAACATTTTAATGTAAATAGTTATGTTATATTCTCTTTAATGACATATGTTCTATTTCAAATTCAAATTCGACTCCACCTTTAAATGGTAATTATAGGAAATTTTCAATTGCCATATTAAAACAAAATAATCATACTATACCAAGTGATTAATATTCTATAATTAATCAAATGACAAACATTGCTGGAATTGTCTACTATATTACCTATACATTTTATGTAATGTACAGCTTGTGAATGTCTTTTTAAAAAGGTAACGTGGAATGGGTAATATAAATGAGTTTTACTTTGATCTGAAGAGGAAATTGTTTCTTCTGCAATCTGAGTAAAATTATTTCATATCGAATGTTTATGTTTCTTTTATGAATCTATTTTATTTGGTCAAATATTCAAAGTGTTGGCCAAGTATTTTGATGAACATGAGAAAACTGTTGCTTTTCCAATTTATGGCATTGTTATGCATGTGACAGTATCTGGAATTCTGCCACTAAATTTGGTCCATTTGACTTTTCACTATCAAGGTTATATTTCCTAGTTCTAGACTCAAGTGCTTGCACATTACCCAGATTTTCCTACCACATAGGGAGATAATTCATATTATTCAGGGAATCTAGAAATGATGACCCAATACACTCCCCGACAAAGTTCAAAATTTTTTCTAGTCAATTTCAATGCTAATACTTAATTATCTTAAAACCAGGAGAGGATTTGGATAAATGTCTTGAATAAGGCCTTTTACAAGTTTGTATATTTTTAAAGTTAGTTTAATTATTAGAAATTTTGCAGTTGATTAGGGTGCTTAGTCACTTGAAATAAAAAACAGCATTTCACCAGTGTTTGTTTAAAGAAAATCAATTAATTTTGCCAATTTGTCAGTTGCTTTCTTCTAAGAAGTTTAAGACAACTAACTTGTGAAAAGTTCATGTATAAACCTATTGAATTCAAGTTACTAGAAATTTTAAAATTGCAATTTAAAGAATCAGAATTAGCTTTGCAAATTCTGTTACTATTCAGTCAGAAGCCTACCACCATGGCTAGTATCAAACGAGTTAATTTTTCTTTTCATTTTCATTTTTGTCCACCCACTGCCACAGCCTTTTCATCATAGCTATGACACAATGATGACAAAACTAGTTTTATAGCTGACTTTTTTTTCAGTTCATCAACTCATCAGTGGTTTTATTTTCATCATTTTAATACATAAATATTTAACATAACGGGGAAAATCTGGTACCACTATACCACTTGAATGCTCAGAAGAAAAAAAAAAGAATTCAGAATATGTGTATTAAAATGGGTACAAAAATGAGTAAAAAACTTGAAAGAAGCTGGAGTGGCTGCCAATTCAACATTATTCTGTGATACCTTAGCAAATTATTATTTTTCTGAGTATTTAAACATCACCTCTCAGATATACTTAATGATAAATGTGATAACAAATGTTTCCTTTATCAAATATTGGTGTTAACCTTTGATTATATTTTTGCATAAGCATACATTTAAGATTTTTTGGGCTGTTTATGTCATTGATTATTTCCCTGAACTTAAAAATAACATCAAAAATATTGATCTTTAATTATACTAAGGAATCAATAGCCACAGAGTATATAGATGTGTGCTCCAAGATAAAACTTAATAGAACTTATGTTTGTGACTTAGAATGTGCTATTTTTATTGAATTTACAATGTTTGTTAAGCATCTATTCTGTACAGTACATTCTGTCTTTATTTAGTATTATGTTAAATAACGACTTCTCTTAAAAAGTAACAAATTAAGAATGACAGCAAAGAATGTATTTGTACAAATATGGGTTTATTAAATAGGAAATGAAATAACTTTTCTTAAATATATCATGAATATATTTAATAACAAAGTGTTTATGAAATTAATATTTATGAAATAATATATTATTTCAAATATATAATATTATATATCATTATTATTAATGATATATAATAATAATTCAAATATATAATATATTATTTCATAATATGAAATATTTCATAGATATGAAATATTTCATAGATATGAAATATCTATGAAATTATATATTATAAATATATATTTGTAAAAATATTTATGAAGTAAAATAATACATTAAAAATAAAACAAAAGCACCTATATATCTTTCAGAGATATCTATATTAACATTTCAGTGTACATTCTTAATAAACATTTAAGAGTGTATGTGTTTGTTTGCATATGTGTGACAAAAGAAGTTATACATTTACTGCATAACAATGTTTTGGTCAATGATGGACCATGTATAAGATAGTGGTCCCATAAAATTATATTACCATATTTTTACTCTACCTTTTATGTTATCATTGCATTACAGTTGCCTACAGTAGTCACTACAGTAACATGCTGTAAAGCTTTATAGTCTAGGAGCAATAAGGTATATCATATTTCCTAGGTGTGTAGTAGGCTATACCATCTAGGTTTGTGTAGATATACTCAATAATGTCAGCATAATGACAAAATTACCTAATGATGCATTTCTCAGAATACATTCCCACTGTCAAGTGATGCACGACTGTATATTATTTATTCTGCTTTTCATGTAAAAATTTAAAATATTATGCCTAAAATTATCCTGGTTAAGCCAACAATAACTAAGGGAAACATGTTAATTTATTATGTGCTGTTTTGGCATTGGTAATTAATGTGCAAATCTAGAACCTTGGAAATTAATTTTAAATTTTTATTGTGCCTTGCATTCATATGATATCTACATACTAATGCTTTGAAAGCCACTATCAAAATTTATTTAAGTAATTTGTTATTGAATAGTCTGTTAAATATTAATTAAGAACTTACTATGAGTCAGGAATTGTTCTCAATATTGGGGTTGCCTGGGCATGAGTTAAGACATAATTGCAATTGTTTAGGAGATAAATGATAACAGGAGTAGAGGTGTTGACTAGCGGTTAGGTAATGGGCATATATTTTTTCAAGTACATTCACATATTGAAGAATCTACAATAAAAGCACAGATATTTTGTTCAAAGTTCAATACATTTCTAAAATATATGCAGTCTTCTAAACAACATCCCCATCAAGGAAAACTCTGTATCACCCAAAAAGTTCTCTATTTATGCATGGTGATCACTACTACCCATCTTTCAACAATATAGAAAATCATTGTTGTAATTTTTGTCATCACAATTCATTAGCATTTTCTATACCTGAACCTCATATAAATAGAACTGTGTAGCATGCTCTCTTGTATCTGCCGTCAATAACACTATATCGTTTCTGAGATTCATCTATATCATTGTATGTTACAGAGGATTGTCCCTTTAACTTCAAAGAAGTTTCCCATTGTATAAATGTAGCACGATTTGTTTATACATTACTTTGGTGATGAACATGTGGTTGTTTACAGGTTGGGGCTATTATATATAAAACTATTACTTTTGGTTTATAGGTCTTTTTTTAACATATGTTTGATTTCCCTCAAATTTTATTTCTACGTCATGGAGTACATGTATGTGTCACTATATGAGAAGGTGCCAAACACTTTTCCAAATTCCATGTAAAATGTTAGTGTGTGAGGTTTTCAGTTGCTACCCATCCTCACTAAAACTTAGTATTCAGCCTTTGTTTGTTTGTTTTAATGTTTATAATTCTATTGATAGTGCACTGGTATCACATTGTGGTTTTAGTTTGCATTTCCTAGAAGCTAAATGATGTTAGGCACATGTTCATTTGCTTTTAGATATTCATATATATTCAGTGGGTAGAGTTCACTTCAGTCTTTTGTACATTTTTATTGGATTGTTTCTTTATTGGCTGTTGATTTATAGAAGTCGTTCAACATTATGGATGTAAGTCCTATGTCAGATATAGGTATCATAAATATTTTCTTCTAGGTGATGCCTTGCTTTTTCATTTTTAAGGATGACTTTTGATTAAGTAAAAGATATGAGGTGTTTTTCATGATCGCTATTTTTTTAGTAAATTTATTTTTTAGGAATAATTTTATCTTTACATAAAAACTGCAAAGACAGCATAGAGAGTTTCTGGATAACCCTCACCCATTAAGACATTAATTTTAATGAATTGATGATGATTAGAAATACCTCATAAGATAACCTCACCAACACAAATGCCATAAAATATACTTTATGCTTTATTTCAGAAGCATTAATATTTTAAGATTTTAATTTAAATCTGTGATTTGTCCTGAATTAATTTTGTTTGCATGTGGGGTTTACTTTTCCTATGCAGAGATCTCATTGTTTCAGCACCATCAGTTGAAATGATATTCTTTTCTGTATTGAATCCTTTGGGACCTCTGATGGATATTGATGATAAAGGAATTGCATCAATAAAATGTTTTGGACAGCTCTAGCCCTTTAATATTGTTTTCCAATACATAAACATGATATAGTTCTCTAATTTTAAGGTTTTCTTTCTTCTGTATCTGCAATTGTATGTCATTTTCAGCACTGAGTTTCCTTTTACACACCGTTGGCTAAATTTATTACTAAATATTTTACTTTTATGCTATTAAAATTTGTTTTTTCATGTTTATTTAAATACAAATTATGTGCCCTAAACTTCATCCTTTTAAAAGTATACTATTTAATGAGTTTTGAAACATGTAAAAAGCCCTGTAGTTAGGAACAAAATAAAGAAAATGAATATTTACATCACTCTCAAAAGATTCTTTGAGTCCCTTTGAAGCCAGTTTTCTTCTCCAACCCCCAGCACATAAAAATGGCTCTGCTTATCGTCACCATAGTTTTATATTTTCTAGAGTTTTAGTATGACTGGAACCTTAAATTATGCAGACTATTAAGAATCTTTAGGGAATTAACTATGTTGTTTGTATATTAGTAACTTATTATTTTCATTACTGAGTTGTATACCATTGTGCTGATGTACCATAATTTTTTACTGAGTAGTTGATGGAGACTGGTTTTTTATAATTATGAACAGAACAGTTTGGAAAATTTACATGCATGTATTAGTAAGAACCTTTGCTTTTGTTAGTCTGGGGTAAATACATAGGAATAGTATTGTTGGGTAGTATGGTTAGGGTATGCTTAACTTTACATATTTTTTTAAACAAAGTATTTTCCCAAATTGCTGGTATGGCATTGTTGGTGCATCATTGTTTATGTTAATTTTACCAACAATGTATAAGTTTTCAATTAGGACCACGCTGTGACTTTATTTACATTTCCATGTTGTATAAGGATATTGTGCATCTTTAAATGTGTGTATCAAACATTTATATATCACCTTTTTGCCCATTTTTATTGGATTGCTTCTCTTTTCAATATTGAATGTGAAATTTCTTTATTTGACTCAAAAAAAGTTCTTTATTAAAGACACGTTTTGTAAATATTTTTCTTAACTATGTTTTGCAAAGATTAGAAAGTTTTAATATTAATGGAGTCTTATTAATCGTTATTTTTTATATCTCATGTTTTTTGTGTCTTATTTTGAAAATCCCTGTTTAACACAAGGTCACGAAATTTTTCTCTGATATTTTGTTCTGGAAGTGTTAACGTTTAAATTCTTATATTTAGATTTAGAGTCTTAAGATTCATTTTTAGTTAATTTTTATACATGATTCAAACTAAGATTGTATGATTGTTCATTTAGTTCACATATATATGTGAAATATGTATATGTGTATACATGTGAAATATGTATAAGTGTATATATATGCATACACACGTGTACACACATATGTACATATATATATATATATATATATATAATCTCCAGTTTTGAGGACTATGTGTTGAAAGGATTTTTTTTTCAGTGGATTTTCTTGACATCTTTGATGAATGTCTATTGATCATATATGCATGGGTCAATTAATGAACTTCCTATTCTGTTTCCTATATATGTAAGGACTATAACATACTATTTTATTACTGTATCTTACTAGAAAGTTTTAAATCAATTAGTGGTGGCTCTAATTTTTTAAAATTGACTATTCTAGTTCTTTTTCATTTCCATATAAATTTTATGATTATCAATTTCTAAAACAAATTGCTGAGACTTTGACTAGAATTTCATTGAATCTATATGTCACTGGAGATAAATTTAAATTGGTATTTAAAAATAATGAATCTTCTGATTTGTTAATCTGTAAAATCTGTTAATATATTTGCTCTTCTTTTAATTTCCATTGGCCTACGTTGTAGTTTTCAGTCACAGAACTTACACATATTTTCTTATATTTATTTCTGATTTCTGTAAGTTCACTAGGCACAAACCACTAGCCAGCTTTCTCACACTGAGGATATCACCTTTGGGACTTGTCCCATTCAGGACCAGAAACCCTTTAATCATTTACCAGAGCCAAAGCAAACTGGGATTTAAGGTTCCAATTAGTGCCAAACTGCTGTATCAAGAGGATACAACAATTATAAACAACTATAAATCCCACAGTGGAGAGCTCAGATATATGAAGCAAACCTTAGTAGATCCAAAAGGGGAGCTAGAGTGAAATAAAATAACAGTAGGGGACTTCATCAGTCCAGTTTCCACTCTTAGTAACAGACAGATGATCCAGGCAGAAAATAGACAAAGATATATTGGAGTTCAACTACACACTAGACCAAATACACCTAACTG
Source organism: Homo sapiens (assembly GCF_000001405.40). Classification (NCBI taxonomy): domain Eukaryota; kingdom Metazoa; phylum Chordata; class Mammalia; order Primates; family Hominidae; genus Homo; species Homo sapiens. The sequence continues at coordinate 73,264,722 of NC_000001.11, forward strand.
ACATTTAAAAATCAGTTCACCATTCTTTTCATCAGCACATGGAATACATTCTTTTCATGAGCACATGAAACATTCTCCAGAATACACCATATATTATGCCACAAAACAAGGTTCAACAAATTCAAAAATGTAGAAAATATATCAAGTATCTAAAACTAGAAATCAATAACAAGAAAAATCTCAGAAGCTGTACAAACTCACAGAAATTAAGCAAAATAATCCCAAACAACCAATGGGTTGATGAATAAATTAAGAAGAAAATTAAAAAAATTTTCTAAATAAATGAAAATGGAAATAACAACATACCAAAACTATGGGATACCACAAAGTAGTAGTGAGAGGGAAGTTTTTAGCAATATACATCTAAATAAAAAAGTAGAAGGACTGCAACTAAAAAACTTAATGATGCACCTCAAGGAACTAAAAAAGCAATAACAAAAAAAATCAAAATTAATAAAATGAAAGCAAGAATAAAGAGCAGCGTAGAAATAAATGACATTGAGACTAAGAAAACAATACAGGAGTCAACAAAACAAGAAATTTGTATTTTGTAAAGGTAAACAAAATTGACAAATTTTGTCTTAGAATAGCAAGAATGAGAGAAGATACAAATAAAATCAGAAACAAATAGAAGATGTAACAACCAAGGCCACAGAAATACAAAGAATCATTAGACGTGATTATGAAGAATTCTAAATCAACACATTGGAAAAAATAGAAGAAATGGATTAATTACTGGACGCACACAATCTACAAAGGTTGAATCATAAAAAAATAGAAAATCTAAACAAACCAATGAAGAGTAATGAGATTGAAGCTGTCATAAAAAGTCTCCCAGCAAAGAAAATCTCATGGCCTGATGGCTTCATTGGTCCATTCTTTTAAAGCAAACTTTTAAAGAAGATTTAATATCAATTATACTCACTCTTTTCAAAAAAAAAAAAAAAAAAAAAGGAAAGGAAGGATACTACCAAATTCATTCTATAAGGTTAGCATTACCCTGATACCAAAAGCAGACAAGGACTCAACAAAAGAATTACAGACCAATATCACTGATGAACATGAATGGAAAAGTCCTCAACAAAATACAAGCAAACTTAATTCAAAAATGTTTTAAAAATCTCCATGATCAAGTGAGATTTATCCAGGGATACAAGAATATGCAAATCGATAGATGTTATACATCACATTAATAGAACCAAAAACAAACAAAAAAAAACTATGTGATCAGTTCAACAGATGTTGAAGAAGCACTCAATACAATTCAACATCTCTTTATGAGAAAAACCCTCAAAAAACTGGGTATGGAAGGAACATACCTCAAAATAATTAGGACTGTGTATGACAAACCCATAGTGCCTCATACTGAATAGCGAATAACTGAAGCCTTTTCTCTATGATTTGGAAGAAGGCAATGATGTCTACTTTTGCCACTGTTATTAAATATAACAAATACCTGAAGGCCTAGCTAGAGCAATTAGGCAAGAGAAAGAAATGAGGGCAACCAAAACTGAAAAGAAAGAAGAAAAATTATTATTGTTCACAGATGACATGATCTTGTATTTAAGAAATGCTAAAGACTCCACTAAAAACTATTAAAACTGATGATCACATTTAGTAAGTTTTCAGATTAGAAAATCAACATAGAAAATCAACATACAATATCAGTAGCATTTATATCTGCAAACATCAATCAATCTAAAAAAGAAATAAAAATGTAATACAATTTATGATAACTACAAAAATGTAAAATATGTGGGAATCAGTTTAACGAAAAAGCAAAAGATCTATACAAGAAAAACTATAACACACGGAGGAAAAAATTGAAAAGAATACACAAAAATAAAAAGATATTTCATGTTTATGTATTGGAAGAAATAATACAGTTATTATATCAATGTATAATAAACAATGACAATATTACCCAAAGCAATTTTCAGATTCAATGCAATCCCTATCAACATACCAATGACTTTCTTTATAGAATTTTTTAATCTTAATATTAATATGGAATCACAAAGGATCCTGAATAGCCAAAGCAATCCTGAGCAAACAGAACAAAGCTGGAGGCATTATACCACCTTACTTCAAAATATTACAAAGTTATAGTAAGCAAATCAACATGGTAATGGCATAAAACAGATACATAGACCAATGATATGAAATGGAGAATCCAGAGAAAAATCCATACATTTACAGTCAACTCTTTTTTGACAAGGCACCAATAACACAGAATGAGAAAAACCCTCTTCAATAAATTGTGCTGGGAAAAATGGATAACCATATGCAGAAGAATCTCTTGCCATATACAAAAATCAAATCAATATGGATTACATACTGAATCCTAAGATGTGAAACTAAGAAATTACCAGAAAAATCTACTAGAAATGCACCAAGATGCTGATCTAGACAAAGATTTTTTTCTGTGTGTAAGACCTCAAAGGCATATGCAAGAAAAGCAAAACTAGGCAAAATGGGTTACATTAAGCTAAAAAGCTTCTGTACAACAAAGAAAACAATAAAAAAGTGAAGAGATACACACAGAATGAGAAAACATATTTCAAGTTATCCATCTGATAAGGAATTAATAACCAGAATGCATAAGGAGCTCAAATAAACAAACAAAAAAATGATTTAAAAATGGGCAAAAGATCTCAATAGACATTTCTCAAAAGAAGACATACAAATAGCCAACAGGTATATGGAAAAATGCTCAACATCACGAATCATCCAACAAATGTGAATCAAAACCACAATGATAGCACCCCAGTTAAAATGGCTTTTATCAAAATGACAGGGAAAAACAGATAATAATTTGAATATTCCTGACAAATAAAATATAAATATTTAAGGTGATAGATATGCCAATTGTCTTGAATAGATCTTGACACATATTATATGAAAGTATCAAATTATCACTAGTACCCTAAAAATATGTACATTTATTATGTATTAGTACAAAAATGGCTTAATGATACTCCCCTTCTTCTTCTATATTGTGGAAGACAATATGAAATATATCTTTTTAAATTTATGGTAGAATTTAACATTGAAGTCATTTGAGCCTGAAATATGTAATGCAGAAAGTTTATTTTTTCTGTTATATTTGTGAAATTATTTTATCTAATATCTATAAAAGCCAGATTACCTATTTCTTTTTAATTGAGTTTGGATTAGTTGCAGCTTCTCAGGGAAATTTTCATAAAAGTTATTAAAAATAAAATACTTTGATTTTTTTCTATTTTACTATATACATTACCTTTCTTTCATTCCCATATGAACAATATTATGTTTTTATTTTATTTATTAACCTGAAGATTAGAAATTTTATAAAAATCAACTTTTTGTTTTATTGATTTTTCTCTGTTGCTCTTCTGCTTCGTATTTCATTTTATGTTTATTATTTTCTTCCTTTTGATGTATTTGGGCTTATTATTCTCTTCCTTTGTTATTTATTAAAGTAGGACTTTATATTATTGACTTGAGATTTCTGTTCACATATTTTATAAGCATTAAATGCTATATATTTTTTCTAAGCACTGTAGAAAAAATTTGTAGCTGTATCTTACAATTTTGATACATTGATTTTCATTTTCATTAATTTCAAAATATATGCTACATTTCTTTGACTGACTCATTTAATATTTTAGTTTTCAGATAACACATTTCATATTATTTTGGTCTCTAAATTTGGTAACACTTGTTACATAGGCCAGAATTTTGTCTATTTTGTTAAATATCACATTTGTACTTAATTAATATGTATACTCTTTTTGTCATGTGAAGTGTTGTAAAAATGTCAAATAAGTCAATTTTTTTGATAGTGTTGTTTAAGTCTTTAATATTTCATATGACTGTGTTCTTACCCAAATTTCATGTTGAATTGTAATCACAACCGGCACATGTCTAGGGAGAGACCTGGTGGGAGGTGATTGGATCATAAGGGTTGGTTCCCCTATGCTGTTCTCAGGATAGTGGGTGAGTTCTCATGAGATCTGATGGTTTTATAAAGGGCTCTTTCTCATTTGCTCCTCACACTTTTCTCTCCTGCTGCCATGTGAAGAAGGTTCTTGCTTCCTCTTTGCCTTCCACCATGATTGTAAGTTTCCTGAGGCCTCCAGAGCCATGTGGAACTGTGAGTCAATTAAACCTTTTTCCTTTATAAATTACCCAGTCTCAGGTCATATCTTTATAGCAGTATGAGAACAGACTAATATAGTCCATTGAAACCACAGAGAGTGGGGCACAGCTATAAACATACCCAAAAATGTGAAGTAACTTTGGAAGTGGGTAGCAAGCAGAGGTTAGAACAGTTTGGAGGGCTCAGAAGAAGACAGGAAGATGTGGGGAAGTTTGGTGGTTCCTAGACACTTGTTGAATGATTTTGATCAAAATGCTGATAGTGATGTGAACAACGAAGTCCATGCTGAGGTGGTCTCAGATGGAGATGGGAAAATTACTCGGAACTGGAGAAAATGTCACTCTTGCTATGCTTTAGCAAAGAGACTGACAGCATTTTGCCTCTGCCTAGAGATCTGTGGAACTTTGAACTTGAGAGAGATAATTTAGGGGATCTGGTGGAAGAAATAGCTAAGCAGCAAAACATTTAAGATGTGACCTGGGTGCTCTTAAAAGCACAGTTATCTGCATTCACAATGAGATGGCTTGAAATGGGAACTTGTGTTTAAAACGGAAGCAGAGAATAGAAGTTTGGAAAATTTCCAGCTTGATGATGTGATAAAAAAGAAAAACCCATTATATGGGGAGAAATTCAAGCCAGCTGCAGAAATTTTCATAAGTATCAAGGAGCCAAATATTAATCACACATACAATTGGGAAAATGTCTTCAGGGAATGTCAGAGGTTTTCATGGCAGCCCCTCCCATCATAGGTCTAGAGGCCAAGGAGGAAAAAATGGTTTTGTGAGCCAAGCCCAGGACCTTGCTGCTTTGTGCAGTCTCAGGATTTGGTACACTGCCTCCCAGCCATTGCTAAAAGGGGACAATGTACAGCTCAAGCTGTTGCTTCAGAGTGTGCAAGTCCAAAGCCTTGGAAGCATCCATGTGGTATTGGTACTGCAGGTCCTCAGAAGTCAAGAATTGAAGTTTGGGAACCTTGCCTAGATTTCAGAGAATGTATGATAACACCTGGATGTTCAGGCAGAGGTTTGCTGCAGAGGTGGAGCCCTCAGGGAGAACCCCTGCTAGGGCAGTGCAGAAGGGAAATGTGGGGTTGGAGCCCCCAAACAGAGTCCACCACTGCATAGGAGAACTGTGAGAAAAGGGCAATCATCCTCCAGATCCCAGAATGGTAGATCCACTGACAGCTTGCAAAGTGTGTCTGGAAAAGCTCCAGACACTCAATGCCAGCTTGTGAAAACAGCTGAGAAGAGGACAGTGCCCTGCAAAGCCACAAGGGCAGAGCTGCCTGAGACTGGGGAAGCCCACCTCTTGCATCAGCATGACCTGGATACAAGACATGGAGTAAAAAGACATTATTTAGGAGTTTTAAGACTTAATGACTGCCCCCACTGGATTTTGGACATGCATGGGGCCTGCAGCCATTTGTTATGACCAATTTCTCCCATTTGGAATGGGTGTATTCAACCAATGCCTCTACCCAAGTGTATCTAGGAAGGAACTAACTTGCTTTTGACTTTACAGGCTCCTACGTGGAAGCAACTTGCTTTGTCTCATGAAACTTTGGACTTGGACTTTTGCGTTAATGCTGAAATGAGCTAAGAGTTTGTGGGACTGTTGGAAAGGCATGACTGTGCTTTGAAAAGAGAGAACAAGATTTGGGAGGGGCTAGGGTCAGAACGATATGATTTGGCTGTGTCCCCACCTAAATTTCATCCTCAATTATAATCCTTGTAATCCCCATGTGTCTAGGGAGAGGCCTCATGGGAGGTGATTGGATCATGAGGGCAGTTCCCCCATGCTGTTTTCATGATAGTGAGTGAGTTCTCGTAAGATCTGATGTTTTATAAAGGGCTCTTTCTCCTTCACTCCTCACTCTTCTATTTCTTGCCACCATGTGAAGAAGGACCTTGCTTCCTCTTCACCTTACACCATGATTGTAAGTTTCCTGAGGCCACCCAAGCCATGTGGCACTGTAAGTCAATTAAACCTATTTTATTTATAAATAAGTCAGTCTTGGGTAGTACCTTTATAGCAGTGTGAGAATGAGCTAATACAATATTTTATCTATTTTTTTCTCTATAATCTCTCAGTTACAGAGAGAAAAAGGCTGACATCTCCAAATGCAACTGGAATTCTTATTTTAACAATTCATTTGCATTATGGATTTTGATGACATTATTAGGTACATACAGTTTTAGTATTGTAACAGGTTCTTGATGAATTTATCCTGTAACTGTTCTCAAAATAATTTTTTTTTTGAGATGGAGTTTCACTCTTGTTGCCCAGGCTGGAGTGCAATGCCATGATCTCAGCTCACTGCAACCTCCACCTCCTGGGTTCAAGCGATTCTTCTGCCTCAGCCTCCCAAGTAGCAGGAATTACAGGCACCTGCCACCACACCTGGCTAATTTTTGTATTTTTAGTAGAGACAGGGTTTCACCATATTGGTCAGGCTGGTCTTAAACTCCTGACCTCAGGTGATTCCAAAGTTCTGAGATTACAGGTGTGAGCCACTGTGCCTGGCCCATTCTTGAAATATATTTAAGGGTCATATCATTAGTAATTTTTCTTGTTCTAAAGTCTACAGTGATTGATAGAGCCATGAAGCTTTCCTTTGATTACTGTTTATATGAAATATTTCCTCATCTTTTTACTTTCAAATTATAAATGTTTTGGTGAATTTAGTGTACAAATCATGTTTTCAGGTATCATTTTTATATCCAATCTGACATATTCTTCCTTTAATAAAAGTGCCTAGACTATTTCCAATTTACATGGTTAGGCATAAGAGTCTTATTTTTTCGTATTTGACCTTTTTCTTTTTTGTTTTTGTTTTTCTCTTTTTCTGCCTTTCTTAGGATTGTTGTACATCGTAATTGAAAGACTAGCAGAGACTGTGATAAATATTATCTATTTCCCCAAATTGTTTGCCCCTTTTTCCTGTTATTCCTTTAGTACGAGTAATTAAATCAATTTAGTAATTAGGCCAAACTGAAGTTAGGTTGTTGTTATAGTTACCTTCAACATACCACTGACTTTCTATCTCTCCAATGATGAACTACTGATTCATCCTACTTGGTGTGAAGTCTGGAATGCCGGATTTTTTTCTCAGTGCTATTTTTCCATCCTCAGCTTTCTACAGGTCCTTCACTATTGTACCACAGAAGAAGGAATGAGAAGCTAACGATATTTATGCCTACCTTTCAGTAACAGCTAATCATCAGCAGCACAGCTGCTCCACTGAAGATGCTCTCTCATGTCACACGTCTGACCTCCAATTTTTCACTTGAACATACAGTGGAGGTCTATGGAAAAAGAGTTAGCAAGTCAGGATGGCCTCCTGTTATATCTGATCTGCCTTGTTAGCCAAAACTGACTTTAAACATCCATTATATTTTCAGATTTTTTTTCTTATCACTTTTTTGGTTTACTCCTATTCTTTTAGTACCCTCGTATAGGGAAACAATTGATGATTTTTACCAAAAGGGCTTGTCATATTTTGGAATTTCATTCATCTGGTTGCCTTATTTCCTAAATTTTCTTATAGGTTCAACAAAAAGTTGGAATTTTATATATTATCTGTTTTATTATTTTTGTTGCTGTTGGTAAAGATGGAAAGAACATTCTCTTGTGGCTTTCCATGTCCCAATCAGAAGTAAAATCCTAACAATATATTTTAATTTTATTTTCAATTTTTATAGTATTTAATCTGCAATTTTTTATTGTAATTTTATTTACTTAGTCCTTCTAAATTTACTTACTAAATTTAGCTTTTTGCTGATTTTATAGAAGCTTGAGATTAATGTTTTAACCAAATCTAAAATGTTTAAAAATTTTTTAAAAACATTTTTGTCTTTTCTCTCATTTTGTCTTTTCTACTCTTTCCTTTTCTCCAGACTATGTTTCCTGTATTTTTTCTATTCTTGCCTAGTGCATTATATAGTGCACATTTTGATTACAGTTGACATTTCCCGACATGTATTTCAGGCTCTGTTAATTTTTTTTCAATCTTTTGTTTCTCTATGCTTCACTTTACATGCTTCTGAAGAGCCCTATCTTTAGGTGAAGCAACTGACTCTTTAAGACATTGTATTTCTTAGTTCCATATTTCATAATTGATTCTTATCTCAAATTTACTCTTCTATATACTTCTTAAATTATTTAACATGTTTATAACAGTTATTTAATTTTTTTCCTGATTCTAACATCTGTATAATGAGCCTGTTTCTGTTGACTATGATTTTCTCTAGATTATGTTTCCTATCTTCCTTCTCTTCTTGCCTCATTTTTAAATTATATAGTGAACAATATATATTGCAGTGGGTGCCATATTGCAGTGACATGGGATTTTGTCATCTTCCTCTAGGGAATGTTGGATTTTGTTCTAGCAGGTAGTAATTGGCAGCTACTGTCAGTTCACCTTGATCCAATGGAGGCTTGGTTTTAGACTTTATGTTAAGTCTATTATTTCTACCCATACCTTGGAATATAGCACATAATGCTATAGCTGTTTTATTTCTAATGTTTGTTGCATCTGAAGTTCAGTGGAAGCCCAAGATGTTTACAATGCCGTGTAACTTGGGGGACTTGAACTCTTTATTTTCACAACTGGGTAGCTTATATATTATCTTCTGAGATCTTTAATCTTACAGCTTTTACTTATCTCTGCATTCCTGCAGTTTCTCCAGGTGTGTGTGTAATTTAATGGCAAGATATTTCAGGGTGAGTTTGTTTGTAAATTCTTAAGGTTCCTTAATCGTGATATTTCCCAAACCATTTCTAAGTATTCTGGCATCCCAAATTAGAAACTTTGACTTACTACTCCTGTGACATTGCTGCTACTTTTTACTTGCATTGTGAATCTCACACTCTGCACTGTAAGACTGAAGGCTGGGGAGATTCTCTGCTTTAATTATCTTTTGTTCACCCCATTAGCAAGGAAAAGATTTCTAACCTATTGTTATGGGGATAGTTTAACAGATGACACCCAGTCCTGGACAGATGGGATGGACAGCAGTTTATTAGTCACATATACTCACAACCTGGGGAAGGAACATACTACGTGTCCTGCACAGCCACATAGGGATTGTACTTGGAATTACCAACCAGAAGCAGTGGCAGGTAAACTTCATAATATCAAGAGGACAGGGTATCTCTGGTTCCCAAAAGAGAATGTAATTGGCTTGTTTGAAAAATTATGCAGGCTGGCTGGAAACCCATTACTCAGCAATAAGCAGGAACTGTCATTTTCCCCCTTATGGTTGTTTGGCTAGGGTAACTTATCTGTAGGAGCAGAGGTGGGAAGGCAACTGGTGGTGAGCCCACTGGAGGCCCTCCCAACTTTACCAGATTTTGAAGCAGTTTATAATACTGGAACTTAACTTTAAGACTTAAACCATACGCTCTAAGCAGAAAAGCCTGTTAAATGTGGATCTCACATAGCGATATTCGTAATGTGATTTATTGTTTTAAAAAGTCATATACCTTTCAGCTTCTACCTATTTTTGGTCATTCTTCACAATGTTCACATTTTTACAATTTTTATATTTGTCAAAAATGTGTAATTGTTATTGAGAAGGAATTTAGTCCTCTGCAACTTTAGGAAAAATAATGTGTCATAGATGTTTTCCTTCTGAATATTTTATTATGAAATGTTCAAATATATAGAAAAATTATCAGAATTACACAGAGAAAATACAAAACCCAGCTAGATTGACAATTAACATTTTGCTATATTTGATTTATGACACATCTATCTATTCATTTTTTATCTAGCTATCAATTCTTCTTTTTTATGCCTTCATTGTAAGTTGCAGACATTAATGTATTTCACTCTACAGGCATATTGTGATGGTAGATTCAAGAGCATTAGCTGATAGAGAGGATGTAAGGTATGCAAAAAAGTAGAGTGAAGGTTTACACTATAGATTTTTGACCTAACAATCTAGAAGGATGAAGTGTTTATTATCCCAAGGAGAAATAGTTTGTGTGTGTGAGAGAGAGAATATGAGAAGCATGACTTTAAAATACGTAGTTTAAGGATCCTATCTGACATCCATGAGTTCTTTAGGTATACATACTAAGAATGCATTCTAAAGATCAGGCTAGAGGTACATATCCATGATTAACTTATTTCTTCATCTTCTATCCTCAGCCTAAGCAAAGAGCCTGAAATACAGTCTGTGTCCATTAACATTCGCTGGATGAATCAATAATTTAATAAATGAGAAAATTTAAGAAAAAATTCTTGGAAATTTTAATTATTGTTAATTTCAAAGGAAAATATTTCAACGTAGAGAAGAAGGTACCTCAGGGTTCTGATGGTCTATTTCAATTATTTTCAAGAATTTCCATTGATACGAAAGACACATGTTCTTTAAGAAGTCTCATATTGCTTAGAAAAGATAAATAATTTTGACAGTGTGATTCAATCATTTTTTCAATTATGAAATGAGGTAGCTCAAAATTTTAATTATTTATTTAATATCAGGAACATTACTTTATGTTTCTATGACCCTAGTTATTGACAAGATAAGTACATTGTAACATAAATTTACCTTGTCTATTTAAAAATTTTGACATAAATAATAGGATATTTAATTTAAATATCGACAATATTTTAATTTATTTTCTAATTGGATTTGTTGGTTATCTTCTTGTAGCAGGCAGGTAAATAACAATATACTTTTTGATAAAGGAAGAATTTCATGGGGCCAAAGATTAGCAACTACACTACAAAACATCTTGTAGTAATTTCCATATGTAAATTTGCATGTTACAAATATAGAATATTACATGAGGTAAATTATTTTACTTAGCCCCAGAAGGTAAAGTTGACCTAAGCTTGACTTGCTTATTTTTAAGTTTGTTGTTCAATGATTTGTTATAAATAATGGCTGGAATAATATATCTAGACTCTCTTGAAAGTCACAAATTTATTTTTGGGGGCATTCTAATTAACATTATATTATTAATGGAATAACTGGAAAACACTGCAGTAATTGTTGGCTGTGTCAGTGCTTTTGACAGCACTCCTAATTTTGTACTCAAGAGAAAATAATACCTCATGTTGTTCCCTTTGCATGATTAATAGACTAAGAGTCATTCATCAACTTTTGACTGGTTGTGTAGGATGAGGTCAAGGCAATCACTCAACGTTCTTATTCTTCAGAATTGTCTGAACTGGAAATCAAGAAGTTCTTAATCAGAAGATAAAATTTGCCAATGATATGAGTGAGTATTTTTTTATATATAGATGAACTAAAGGTGTTAAACTCTTGGTATAGTAAGAGTTTGGTATTAAGAATAGACTTAGATTTAAAGTGACATCCTGAGCGTGAATTATTCTGTTTGTTGATCTCCAGTCATTCTTCAAATACACTGCAATATTGGCAATCATCAGGGCTATTTTTCATAATATCCTTTAGCACATTTCAATGTCAGTATATGTTTCACTGTGACTGAATGTCGCTGCACTACAAATCTTTAGGGAGACAGGCTTGCCTGTCTCTGTGGAATTCTAAGACCTGAAGCATCTTCTACCTGTCACTTTCTGTCTATAATTTTTGAAAGGTGGGTGGAGACAGCCTGGTTTTATTTGTGATTTCTCAACTGCAACTTAATTTAGAAACCTCAACCTCCCTTTGACCATAAAAGAACATATTTGTAAGAGATCTACAGCTGACCTATAGTGTCAATATGTATAATAAAGGAGAATGGACTTACAGAGTATTCGTATCCACTTGTAATGATAATTACAATAAAGTCTTTAGTGCAAAACAAAAAGTATTTCATTTTAGAAAAAGTAGGCCAAATATTAAATTAGAATTATTAACAATAACAATTATTTTACTGTATATTTAATTTTAATATTACATTAATTAAAAGATGACCCTTTTTGAAACAATCATTTTATTAAAAATGAATATCAATTTATAATTTGTAACAATGACATGTACTTGGTTAAATATGCTTTATAATGATATTTATATTACAAATTTTGTACTCCATGTATAAAACAAACTATCAGTTTATAAATCAAATCACAGAATTTGATGCATAAAATGTATGCATTAGCTGGGTTATAGAGAATGAATAAACATTTCAACTGAAGAAATTCTATATAGCACTGAAGAACACATGCACTCATAATGGAAAATATGTCCTCTCTGTTGAGTTCTAAAGAAATATAATTTAAGCATACAGATATTAAGGAAATGATATTTAGTGAAATCATGAGCTCAGGAAACTTTTTATTTCCTAAATTAATTTAATGCAATCAGCTTGAACTGAAGAGAAACAGATGTTGGTAACATTCTCCAAATTTACCTTCCAAAAATCATGTTATAAACTATATGTGTTAACTTTGTTTTTATATAATAGTTTGGCCTCTAGTATTTATAATTTTTACATGAATTACAGTTTTTAATAGTTTATGATAGTTCAAAATGTATACTTGCTTTTTCTTGCTTGGGTTTTACCCTAATCTTAAAGAGGCAGAACCCAGCCTAATTAATGCAAAGCAGAAACAGAGAAGGAACATTTTTGTCTACTTTTATATTGACGTAAAAGTAGAAAAAATTTGTTTTCACCTATAAAACTAGATAGATTTCAGCAAATAGTTCTCATTTATATATAACTTTTCAAACAAATGACAGTAAACAAGAAATAATTCTTTCTTGTTTTTTTGAGACGGAGTCTGGCTTTGTCGCCCAGGCTGGAGTGCAATGGCATGATGTTGGCTCACTGCAACCTCTGCCTCGTGGGTCCAAGCAATTCTCCAGCCTCAGCCTCCGGAGTAACTGGGATTAGAGGCACCCACCACCATGCCCAGCTAATTTTTGTAGTTTTAGTAGAGACAGGGTTTCACCATGTTGGTCAGGCTGGTCTTGAACTCCTGACCTCAAGGAATCCACCCTCCTTGGCCTCCCAAGAAATAATTCTTGGTTAATAATACTATTCATCTTTAGAAATATAAATGAAGTTTTATTGCTAAAATATATGAACAAATACTAAGGAGGATTATCAAAGGTTTGAGATAAGCTGTGAGAATAAAGCAAAATTATGAACACTTGAGGAAACAAGAACAAGAGATTACATCTACTGGATGTTCGATTTCATTTAAGAATTTATTAAAATAATTGTCACTTATTAGACAAAATAATATATTATAGTGGTGGATGGAAATGGCTTCATACAGATGCATTTTTGAGAGTTACATAAATTATAGAAAAAAACACCTGTATAATAATATGTTAAGCCAGGTGAGATTGTCATATCCTTTTCTGTAACTTTTTAATAGGTATTGTTCCCTTGTTATCATCAGCCAGAACTGTGTACTGATACTTCCTCCAAACACTGTTGGTATAATGAAGGTATCCCAAACACTGTGCTTTGACATCATTGTTGTCCACCTGGAGCTGCCCTTGGTGGTCTTGAACATCAGTAGTTTGGGTTCTCTTTCTCTGACCACTAGTTCCTCACAGCACAAAAACATTATCTCATTGCTATTATTAAATATGGAAGAGACAGTTCAGTCTGCTCTTCTGTTTGACACGCCTATGATTTAAACCTTGTGACAGCAGGTGAATATCTAGTTGAGAAGCTTGAAGAAGAAATAAGCTACATTTTTTCTAATGAGATCTTAGACACTATTGGAACATTTGAAGGAAATTTTTATATGCCCACTTTGTTTTGTTAGATCATGTTTACTGAAAAATAATTACAATTAATCTGAAGTGCCTTCCATGTTCTCTTCCATAGTTTATAGTTGATACAGTTAATACTCTAGAAGACCTTTCTCATCACTGCTTTTTCTTACTCATCCCCAGGTAACTAAAAGAAGAGTGTGTGATAGAGGATTTGTATCAACCTCTTGCACACACTCTCAACTCCCTTGTTTATTTCTACTTTTACTATACTCATTAGCCCTCTTTCTTCTACTTGTATCCTACACTACACTGATTTTATTTGACCCAAATTTGTCCCCTCTCTTTATTTGCCTCAGAGAAAATATTTTTAAAATATTTTATTTCTATCTCACTGGCTCTTTTGTAAGTCTCTATTTGGTGGCCTTTCTGTTGTTAAATAATCTCTAAATACTAAAATGCCCCAGGACTCAGTACTCATGCCTGTTTATTTTCCTTGTCTAATCTTATTTCTTAGTGCTTTAGCCAGTTTTTTTTTGGCTCTAAATATTGTGTATATTATAATGATTCCTGAATACATATTCTATTCTGAGAGAAAAGTGGAGCAAGATAGAATAGGATTCCCAGGAATTGTCCCCTCACAGAAATCTCAATTTGAACTACTATCCACAAACATGCCTAAACAAGAGCTATAAATACTAGGTGAGTGATACTAGAACTGGTTGAGGCAAAATAATGAGAAAAGAAGCATTGAAGAAGATAGGAAGGAGGGTTTTACAATACCCACTGTTATCCTTTCCCCAACCCCAGGCAGCACAACCCAGACAGAAATACAATCCACTTGAAGGAGAGAGGTAAGTGCATACAGGACTTTGCTTTGAGATCCCAAACTGAGCATACAACAATAAAACTCAGAATTGAATAGGCCCCAATAACCTCAAACTCCAGGCCAGTATCCATCAATTGAGCCCTCAGACTAGCTAGCACTAAGCCAGATGCTGTTGCCCCAGGTTTCATGCTTGTGAAGCAGACTCCATCTCTGGTTCACACTCAGTAGCTCTGTGTTCAAAACATCCCTCAGTGGCTGACAGGCCTCAATGACCCCAAGTTTCCAGCCTGTCCCAGTGCCATGCTAGCCTCCAGGTTTTGGGCGTGCCCTAGCACCACAGAAAATACAGTGGCCTCAGGCATCAAAACCACTTCAAATGGTCTGCCTAAAATCTGCAAAGACAAAGCCAGTCTGCAAAGACTGGAATAAATACCGACTTCCTTAAATGTGCAGACATAGATGCACAACCATGAGGATCAAAAACAATCTAAAAACATGACATAACCGAAGAAATAAAATAAAATGCCAGTAACAACCCTAAAGAAATGGAGATGCATGAACTGTCTGACAAAATTTCAAAATAACTATTTTATGGAAGTTCAGTGAAATTTAAGAAAATACAGAGAAACAATTTAATAAAGTTTGAAAAACAATAAATGACCAGAAAAGAAAATTTAACAGATTGAAATATTTAAAAAACAATAGAATATGAATCCTGAGCAGAAAACACAATTAACAAAATGAAAAATGCAATAGAAAGCATTAATAGAACTGATCAAGCATAAGAAAACCTGTGTGAACTTGAATAAAAGTTATTTTAAAATGGACAGTCTGAAGAGAAAAAAGAATACACAATAATGGAGAAAGCTTATGGGATTTATGAGACAGCAACAAAAAATAGATATTTGATTTATGAAGTTAAAGAGACAGATAAATGCATAGAAAGCTTATTTAAGAAAATAATAGCAGATAACTTTTCAAATCTAGAAAAATATGTAAATATTCAAGTACACAAATGTTTTAAAAAATTACTAATCAGAATTAACCCCGAAAAGAGTACTCCAAAACATGAACTTTGCATTTCTATGTGAATATTAGAACCAATTTGACCATTTCTCAAAAAAATGCACCTGGTACTTTAGCATGCAGATAGGTATTGGGTTGGCTCTGTAGATGATTTGTGGGAGTACTGCACTTTTAACAAGCTTTCTAGACCATGAACATAGAATGTTTTTAAAAATATTATTTATATCTTCTCTAATTTAATTAATGATGTTTTGAGTTTTCCTTGCACACATTTTGTACTTTTGTTCCTTATATTTTTAAATATTTTATTTTTATTTAAGCTTTTGTAATATAATAGTTTTATAAATTTTATTTTTAGATTGTTTACTGTTATTGGACAGAAATACAATAGATATTTTAAGACTATTTTTTAAGATTGCAGCAATTTTAAGAGTACAGCAAAATTGAGGAAGTTACAGATATTTTCTATATATCCCTTACCCTCCACATATGCATAGCTTCCACTATGATCAATATCACCGCCCAACAGAGTGATTGAGTTGTAACAATGGATAAACCCACAATTACACATCATAACCACCCAAAATTCATAATTTACTTGAGAGTTCCTTCTTGGCATTGTACATTATGTGAGTTTGCACAAATGTATAATGACATGTAGTTATTGTTATAGTATCACATAAAGTATTTTAGTTGCCTTAAAAATCCTCTGTACTCTGCCTATATATCGTTTCTTTTCCCCAACCCCTGGCAATTAAAAATTTCTTATCAGATTGCTTTCTTATTGTTAAGTTTTAAGAGTTGTGTATTTTAGATAACAGTCTTTTTTTAGAAATATCTTTTGCAAATATTTTCCCATTGTCTGTACTTTGCTTTTTATTCCCATAACATTGTCTTTTACAGGCAGAAACTTTTAATATTAATGATGTCCAGATTGTCAATTATTTCTTTCATAGTGTCTTTGATGTTGTAAAAAGTCATTGCCATACCTAATCTAGCTCATCTACATTGTCCCCTGTTATCTTCCAGAAGTTTTATAGTTTTGTGTTGTATATTTAGATCTATAATCCATTTTGAGCTTATTTTTTGAATGGTATAAGTCTGTTTCCAGCTTCTTTTTCATGAGAATGCATAGTTGTTCTAGAACAATTTGAAAAAAAGACCATTTACTTCATTGTATTGCCTTTGCTCCTTTATAAAAAGATTAGTTGACTATATTATGGGATATATTTCTGGGCCCTCCACTCTACTCTATTGATCGTTTTGTATTTCTTTCAGCCAGATGTCTTGATTACTCTAGCTTTATAGTGATTCTTTAAGTTGGGCAATGTCAGTCTTCCAGTTTTGTTTTTCTTCTTCAATATTGTGTTGGCTCTTCTGGAACTTTTGCCTCTCTCTGTAAACATTAGAATCAGTTTGTTGATGTCCACAATGTAACTAGATTTTTATTGCAATTGCATTAAACCCATAGATCAGTTGTAGAAGAACATATCTTTACAATATCAAATTTTCCTATCAATAAAAATGGAATCTTTCTCCATTTGTTTAGTTCTTTAATTTTTTATCAGATTTCTATAATTTTCCTAATATAGATCTTGCACATATTTTGTTAAATTTATATGTAAGTATTTCATTTTTGAGGTGAAAATTTAAATAGCATTGTATTTTCAATGTCAGATTTTACTTGTTTATTGCTAATACATAGGAAAGCACTTGACTTTAACATATTTGCCTTGTATTCTGCAACCTTGTATTCTGCTATAATTGCTTACTAGTTTCAGGAGATCTTTTTCTTATTGTTGTTTCTTTCATATTTTCTACATAGACTATCATGACACTGCATGCAGAGTTTTATTTCTTTTTTTTCCAATGTACAAATTTTATTTCTTTTTCTTGTCTTATTGCATTAGATAGAACTACCAGTACAACGTTTAAAAACATGGAGAGGAGACATTCTTGCCCTGTTTATGATTTTAGTGAAAAAGCTTCTAGTTCTTCATAATTATGTACAATGTTAGTTGCATGTTTTTTTGTAGCTAGATATTATTTTACCAAGTTGAGAAATATTTGCTATTTCTCATTCCTGGTTTGCTGAGAGGTTTTGTTTTTTAGTTATTTTTTGTTTTGTTTTGTTTTTTATCATGTACACATTTGGGATCATGTAAAATGTGTGGGGTTTTCTGCTTGTTTTGTTTTGTTTGTGCATCTCAATGTGACCATGTGATTTTTTTTCAGCCTGTTGATATGATAAATTGCATTAGTTGATATTCAATTGTTGAATGATATTTTCATATATAGAATAAATTTTTCTTGGTTTCAGTGTATAATTCTTTTTATGTATTGTTGGATTTGGTTTGCTAGTATTTTGTTGAGGATTTTTGCATCTATTTAAATGAGTGATACAGGTCTGTAGTTTTTTTTTTCTTATAAGATATTTTTCTGGCTTTGGTATTATAATATTTTTGTCCTCATAATGAGTTAGAAATTATTCTCTCTGCTTCCATCTTTTGAAAAATATTTTAGAGAATTGGTATACTTTCTTCCTTAAGTGTTTGGTACAATTCACCAGTGAATGGATCTGAGCCTGATGCTTTCTTTTTTGTGTATCATAGTTCATAAATAGGTAAAGGCATGTTCAGATTGTCTATTTCTTATTATGTGAGTTTTGACTGGTTGTGTCTTGCAAGCAATCAGTTCATTTTATCTAGGTTATCAACTTTGTGGCTATAGAGATGTTCATCGTGTATCTTTTCTAACCATTAAAGGGACCTGACATGGAATCATAGTGATATTCTCTATTTAATTTCTGATATTTGTAATTTGTGCATCCTCTTACCTCCAGCTCTTTCTCTCTCTTTTGTTTTTGTTTGTTTGTTTTTTGGTAGCCTGGCTAGAGGTTTATCAATTTTATTGATCTTTTCAAAAAAAAAAAAACAGGTTTGAGTTTTGTTAACTTTTATCTCCTGTTTTGATTTCATTAATTTCTTCTCTAATTTTTAAAATTTATTTTCTTTTTCTTTGGATTGATCTTGTTTTTCTTTTTCCTAGATTTCTATGGTAGAAATTTAAGTTATTTATTTTAGATCTTTAGTCTTTTCTAATATATACATCCAGTGATATAAAGTTCCCTGTGAGTTATGTTTTTCTACATCCCACAAATTTTGATAAGCTGCGTTTTCATTTTTATTTAGATACCAATATTTTTTCAAATTTCTCTTGAGATTTTTTTTTGACCCGTGTATTATTTAGAAGTGTGTTCTTTAATCACCATTTATTTTGGAATTTTGCAATTTTCCTTCTGTTATTGACTTCTAGTTTAATTCCACTGTGGTCTGATAGAAGACTTTGTAGGATTTCTATGCTTTTAAATTTGTTACAGTGTGTTTTATGGCACAGAATATAGCCTTTCTTGGGTGAATCTTCTACTTGAGTTTAAAAGTGTATTGTGCTGTTGTTAGATGAAATAGTTTATAGTCAATTATAACTAAATGATTGATGGTGTTGTATATCCTTACTAATTTTCTGCCTACTGAAACTGTCTATTTTTGATAGGCTGTTAAAGTTTCCAACTACAGTAAAGGATTCATACATTTCTTCTTATGTTTCTAAGAGATTTTGCCTGTCATAATTTGGTATTCTTTTGTTAGGTGTATACACATTAAGGATTGTTAAGTCTTTCTAAATAATTGGCTTCTTTATTAAAATATAATATCTTTTTTAACCACAGTAACTTCCCTTGATTTGATGCCTGCTTTGTCTAAAATTAATATAGCTACTCTTGATTTTTTTATTGTTGTTATTATGGTAAAATTTTCTATCCCTTTTCTTTTAATCTATTAGGTTGGTCCAAAAGAAAGTGCGGTTTTTGCCATTAGGAATAGTGCCTTTATTAACACCACACATCTACAACCATCTAAAATTTGACAAACTTGACAGAAACAAGCAATGGAAAAAGATTCCCTATTGAATAAATGGTGCTAGGAAAACCAGCTAGCCATATGCAGAAAACTGCAAGTGGAACCCTTCCCTACACTTTATACAAAAATTAACTCAAGATAGATGATTAAAGACATAAATGTAAAACCCAAAACCATAAAAACCTTAGAAGAAAACCTAGGCAATACAATTCAGGACATAGGCATGGGCAAAGACTTCATGACTAAAACACCAAAAGCAATTGCAACAAAACCCAAAATTGATAAATGGGATCTAATTAAACTAAAGAGCTTCTGCACAGCAAAATAAACTATGATCAGAGTGAACAGGCAACCTACAGAATGGGAAAAAAGTTTTGCAATCTACCCATGTGACAAAGACCTAATATCCAGAATCTGCAAGGAACTTAAACAAATCTACAAGAAAAAAAAGACCCTATGAAAAAGTGGGCAAAGGATATGAACAGACACTTTTTAAAAGAAGATGCTTACACGTCCAACAAACATATAAAGAAAAGCTTAACATCACTGATCATTAGAAAAATGCAAATCAAAATCACAATGAGATACCATCTCACACCAGTCGGAATGGGCATTATTAATGGGTCAAGAAATAACAGATGCCGGTGAGGCTGTGGAGAATTAGGAACACTTTTACACTGTTGGTGGGGATGTAAATTAGTTCAACCATTGCAGAAGACAGTGTGATGATTCCTCAAAGATCTAGTACCAGAAATGCCATTTGACACAGCATTCCCCTTACTGGGTATATACCCAGAGGAATATATATCATTCTGCTATAAAGACACATGCACACGTATGTTTATTGCAGCACTATTTACAAAAGCAATGACATGGAACCAACACAGGTGCCCATCAATGACAGACTGGATAAAAAAAATGTGGTACATATACACCATGGAATACTATGAAGCCACCACAAGGAATGAGATCATTTCCTTTGCAGCAAAACGGATGAAGCTGGAAGTCATCATTCTCAGCAAACTAACACAGGAACAGAAAACCAAACACTGCATGTTCTCAGTCATAAGTGGGAGTTGAACAATGAGAACACATAGACACAGGGAGGGGAACAACACACACTGGGGCCAGACAGGGGTTCAGAGGTGAGAGGAGAAAAATAATTAGGACAAATAAGTAATGTATGCGGGGCTTAAAACCTAGATTACAGGTTGATAGGTGCAGCAAACCATTATGGCAAATGTATACCTATGTAACAAACCTACACATTTTGCACTTGCATCCTGAAACTTAAAGTAAAATAAAGTAAAAATAAAAATAAAAAATAAATTTTTAAAAAGTATTGTATTATATTTAAAGTGGGTTTTGTAGAAAACATACAGCTAGGTCTTATTTTTTGATCCACTTTAACAATTTCTATCTTTTAATAGGTGCATTATATCATTGTTTTTCTATTTGTCGCCCTTGTTTTTGATTCCTATTTTTATCTTCCATATTTTTTCTGCATTATATGGTTTTAATTGAGCATTTGATATGATTCTATTTTCTCTCCTTTTTTAGTATATCGGTTTTGCTTTTTAAATTTATTTTTAGTGGTTGCCCTAGAGTTTGCCATATACATTTAAAACTCACTCAAGTATACTTTAAGTTACTCTACATTGCTTCAAAGGTAGTGTGAATATTTTATAACAAAATCATCCTAATTTCTCCCTTCTCTACCCTTTTATTATTACTGTCATTTATTTCACTTATGTGAGCATATGAACAATGTATATGATATATAAATGATGCGTACATATGCATACATAATCAAACACACTTTTGCTATTATTTTAATCTGTTATCTGTTAGATTACTTAAAAATAAGAAAAATAAAAGTTTTCAGTTTCACTTTACTTGTTTCTCCTTTGATGCTCTTCCTTTCTTTATGTAGATCAGAGTTTCTGACCTATATTATTTTCCATATCTCAAAATAACTTCTACTCACATTACTAGCAAGGCAGGTATAGTGGCAACAAATTTCCTCGATCTTTGTCTGAGAAATTATTTTTCTTTCATTTTTAAAGAATAAATGCAGAAGATACAGAATTCTAAGTTAGTGGGGTTTTCTTTCAATACTTTTAAGTTTTTCACTCCATTCTCTTCTGCCTTGCATGGTTTCTGAAGAAAAGTCATATATAATTCTTATCTTCGTTCCATTATAGATAAGGTGGGTTGTTTTTTTTTTTTCCACTCTGGCTTCTTTTAGATTATTTTTTATCTTGAAAATGCCATATCTAGATGTAAAATTTTTTGTTTGTTTGTATGTTTTGTTTTGGTTTATGTATCCTGCTTGATGTTTTCTGAGTTTCCTGGATCTTTGTTGATGGCTAATAATTTGGATATATTCTCAGCCATTATTGTTTCAAATATTTCTTCTATTTTGTCCCTTACGCCCCCTTCAAGTACTCTTATTATGTGTAAATTACCCTCAATTTTCTATTAAAGTATCCTCAGTTTTGTAGATTCATTTCTTAGTTTTGTCCCATTTACTAATATGGTCATCAAAGACATTCTTTATTCCTCTTATAGTGTTTTTGATCTCTAGCATTTCTGTGTGGTCCTTTCTTAAGATTTTCATGTCTCTACTTATATTTTCTACCTGTTTTTGTATGCTGTCTATTTCATCCCTAGAGCCCTTAGCATATTAATTACAGTGATTTTAAATTCTCAATCTGATGTCAACATTTCTACCATGTCTTGTTCTGATGCTTGCTCTGTCTCTTCAAATTGTATGTTTTTTTTCTTTTAGTATGCCTTGCATTTTTTTCCTGCTAGCTGAATATAATATAATGTGTAAAAGGAATTGCCGCTAACAGACCTCTAGTAATGTGATGGTAAGGTGTGCAATGAGGGGATCCTATTATTAGGTCCCCGTCTTTTAGGGAGCCTATGCCTCTTGACAATGAACTTCACATGTACTTCTGGGTTTTCCTTCTTAGGTGCAGCAGAGTGGTTAGTGTGGACTAGAGTTGGATATTTCCTCTTTGCCAAGTAGGGGGCTAGAGTGGACTGAAGTTGGGTATTTCTTCTACCACATAAAAGGTTATTGCTGGCCAGGCACGGTGGCTCATGCTAGGTCTTATTAAGAAGAACAGAATGATCTAGCATGTTTCACAATGAAACCTCCACCAAACCCATCCCTGCTGCCAGAAACAACCGGGTTTTTTGTCCAATATTTACTCTGAGAACCTGGTTGTTATTCTGGAGGTAGAATTCACAAAAGTGTAGTAGCCTCACTATGACTGGTTCTCTTTAAATTTTTAATACTCAGATTATCCAAAGATCATCCAACAATTTCTTAATTACAATTTAGGTTTTCCTACCCTGGCACTAGTTCCTGTGGTTGTTTCTGCTTGTGATTCTCTACTCTGGTTGGCCATGACTCCATTTGTTTGCCTGTCTTTTTCTTCAGTCATGGGGACAGCAGTTTGCCTTTTGTCTGTCCCTCTCTTACGGATCCAAAAAGAAGTCGATTTTTCAGTCTGTTCAGTCTCTTACTTGTTGGGATAAGAGTAGCAAATTTCAAGCTTCTTATATGCAAAACCTTCCAACAGATTTTTGTATATTGATCCTATGCCCTTTAAACTTGCTGAACTTGTTTTTTTTTTTTTTTTTTTTTTTTTTTTTGAGACGGAGTCTCGCTCTGTCACCCAGGCTGGAGTGCAGTGGCGGGATCTCGGCTCACTGCAAGCTCCGCCTCCCGGGTTCACGCCATTCTCCTGCCTCAGCCTCCCAAGTAGCTGGGACTACAGGCGCCCGCCACTACGCCCGGCTAATTTTTTTGTATTTTTAGTAGAGACGGGGTTTCACCGTTTTAGCCGGGATGGTCTCGATCTCTTGACCTCGTGATCCGCCCGCCTTGGCCTCCCAAAGTGCTGGGATTACAGGCGTGAGCCACCGCGCCCGGCCCTTGTTTAATAGTAAGTACTTTAGTGGATTACTTCAGATTTTTCATATAAAGGATCATACCATCTGGAAATAAATATGGTTTTATATTTTTTCTAATCTGTGTGCCTATTATTTCATTTTTATGCCTCATTTCCCTGAATAGAACCTCCAGTAAAATGTTAACATAAAGTTTTATTACTGATCTTTTGGTAAGCTTTGAGTATTTCACCAATAAGTATACTAGTCAATAAGCTTTGCCTTTATTAGGTTGAACAAGTTTTCACCTATTCCTGGTTTGTTGAATGCTTTTATCATAAAAGCATACTGGATTTTTAAAATGCTTTTTCTAAATCTACTGAGATAATCATGCCAGGTTTTTTAAAATTTATTTAATATTTTGTATTACATTAATTGTTTTTTAATGTTAAATAATGCTTGCCTTTCTCAGGTATATTCTACTTGATCTTAGCCTATAATCCATTTTGCATTGTGTGAATTCAGTTTGATCGTATTTAGATAAGGATTTTTGCATAATATTAATAAACTTGGCATACATCTTTCTCTTTCTGTGATGTGTTTCTTAAGTTTGGTATCAGGGAAATGTAACACTAGCCTCATACAACAAATTTTTAAAAGTTCGCACCTCTTTTATATTCTAAAAGTTTATGTAATGATTGGCATTTTTTTTGTTAAAAGTATTAGAATTCACCAAAAAAGCCATCTAGGCCTGGAATTTTTTTATAGGAAGTATTTTTACTTCATAATTCACTCTTTAATTAATTTCATTATTGTTTCATTTGATATATTTTTCTCTTTTGTTCTATTTTCTTAGTGGTTGTCCTGGGGATTGTGAATAATATTTTAACTTAAAACAATATAGTTCTGATTAATATCAACTAATTTTAAATACTACCTAATAATTTTGCTCCATGTCAACTACATTCCTTCCAGGTCCTTTTGTTCTGTTATTGCCATGTAAACTAAATTTTTATACATTTTTGTGAGCATCAACAGTTATATAATTATTGCTTGGTGCCATTGTCTCTTATATCAGATAAAAGTAGAAAAAATTATAAAGAAAACACATTTTTATTAACAGTTTAGTTACATTTACTCATGTAATTTTCTTCTCTATGTGAATTGAGTTATTGTTTAGGGTCTTTTCAATTGAGCCTCAGGAATCCCTTTAATATTTCTTCTAGGCCAATTCTACAACTTATAAGATTTCATAGCTTTTGTTTATCAATGTATTCTTGATTTATTTTTTGTTTTAAAGGATAGTTACAATAGATATAGAACCAGTGCTTCATAGTTGTTTTGTTTTGTTTTGTTTTGTTTCAGTACTTGGGCTAATTCCACAGCCTTCTGGTCTCCACGGTTTCTGACAAGAAGTTAGCTGCTAATCTTACGAGCATGCCCTGATACTTTTTATTGAATCTTTTATGATTCACTCTGTGTCACTGAATTTCCACAACTTGACTCTGATTGTGTCTAGGTGTTGATCTCTAAGTTTATACTACTTTGAGTTTATTAAGCTTCTTGAATGTACTACTTAAGTTTTACATCAAATAAAGAAACTACTTTGCTTGCTTATCCCTAAGAAGCAATTTTGCATCTGTTCAAGTTTTGTCACAAAATTGTAGCAGTGCAGGAACACCTTCAGACTCCACTTTTTAAGTCAAGTTATATTGCTGTTTTTTTCATATCTGCAGTTACATCCTCTGCTGAAGTGCTGAACCCTTCAAAGTCATTTATGTGGACTGGAATCAGCTTCTTCCAAACTCATTTGAATGTTCATATTTTGATCTCCTTTCATGAATCTCAAATGTTTTTATTTTTTATTTTTTTTACAGAGTCTTGCTCTGTCACCCAGGGTGGAATGCAGTGGCGCAATCTCGGTTCACTGCAACCTCTGCCTCCCCAGTTCAAGCAATTATTCTGCCTCAGCCTCCCAAGTAGCTGGGACTACAGGTCCACCACGCCTGGCTAATTTTTGTATTTTTATTTTTAGTTTAGTTTAATTTTTGTATTTTTAGTAGAGACAGAGTTTCATCATATTGGCCAGGCTGGTCTCAAACTCCTGACCTCGTGATCCGCCTGCCACGGCCTCCCAAAGTGTTGGGATTACTTTGGGACGCAGGCATGAGCCACTGTGTCCAGCATTTACAATGTAAATCCTTTCTAGAGAATTTTCAATGTGCTTTTCTCAGATTGATCAGATGAATTATAATCTATGGCAGCTACCATCTTTCAACCTATTTTTCTTAAATAATAAGACTTGAAAGTCTAAATTAATTCTTGATCCATTGACTGCAAAACGGATGTTGTGTTAGAAGGCATGAAAATACTAAACAATTTGTACATTTTCACCAGTGCTCTTGGGTAACCAGATGCATTGTCAATGAGCAGTAATACTTTAAAATAAGTCATTTTTTTTTTTTTCTGAGCAGTAGGTCACAATCGTGGGCTTAAAATATTCAGTAAACCCTATGATGTAAACAGATATGCTGTCACCCAGACTTTGTTGTTCCATGTATAGAGCACAGGCATTGTAGATTTAACATAATTTTTAAGAGCCCAGTAATTTTTGGAATTGTAAATGAGCATTGGTTTTAACTTAAAGTCAGAAGCTGCATTAGCCCCTACCAAGACAGCCAGCTTATCATTTTAAACTTTGAACCAAATATTGACTTCCTCTCTCTAGTTATGAAAGTCTTAGATGACATATTTTTCCAATATAATGCTGCTTCATGTATTACTATATTGAAAAATCTGTTGTTTAGTGCAGTCACCTTCATCAGTTATCTTAGGTAGATGTGGATAACTTGCTGCAACACCAAGATAGGCACTTGCTGTTTCATCTTACACTTTTATCTTAAGGAGATGGCTTCTTTCCTTAAACCTCATGAACCAACCTCAACTAACTTCAAACTTTTCTGTTATTTTTCTGTTGAGACATTCTAGGAAATTTTTCATTTCAATTACTGAACTTTTCACCTCTAGAATTTATGTTTGCCTATTTTTTATTTTTTATTTATTTTTTATTTTTTATTATTATACTTTAAGTTTTAGGGTACATGTGCACAATGTGCAGGTTAGTTACATATGTATACATGTGCCATGCTGGTGCGATGCACCCACTAACTCGTTATCTAGCATTAGGTATATCTCCCAATGCTATCCCTTCCCCCTCCCCCCACCCCACAACAGTCCCCAGAGTGTGATGTTCCCCTTAAAGACTTAAAACATTAGACCTAAAACCATAAAAACCCTAGAAGAAAACCTAGGCATTACCATTCAGGACATAGGCATGGGCAAGGACTTCATGTCTAAAACACCAAAAGCAATGGCAACATAAGTCAAAATTGACAAATGGGATCTAATTAAACTAAAGAGCTTCTGCACAGCAAAAGAAACTACCATCAGAGTGAACAGGCAACCTACAAAATGGGAGAAAATTTTTGCAACCTACTCATCTGACAAAGGGCTAATATCCAGAATCTACAATGAACTCAAACAAATTTACAAGAAAAAAACAAACAACCCCATCAAAAAGTGGGCGAAGGACATGAACAGACATTTCTCAAGGGTAGACATTTATGCAGCCAAAAAACACATGAAAAAATGCTCACCATCACTGGCCATCAGAGAAATGCAAATCAAAACCACAATGAGATACCATCTCACACCAGTTAGAATGGCAATCATTAAAAAGTCAGGAAACAACAGGTGCTGGAGAGGATGTGGAGAAATAGGAACACTTTTACACTGTTGGTGGGACTGTAAACTAGTTCAACCATTGTGGAAGTCAGTGCGGCGATTCCTCAGGGATCTAGAACTAGAAATACCATTTGACCAGGCCATCCCATTACTGGGTATATACCCAAAGGACTATAAATCATGCTGCTATAAAGACACATGCACACGTATGTTTATTGTGGCACTATTCACAATAGCAAAGACTTGGAACCAACCCAAATGTCCAACAATGATAGACTGGATTAAGAAAATGTGGCACATATACACCATGGAATACTATGTAGCCATAAAAAATGATGAGTTCATGTCCTTTGTAGGGACATGGATAAAATTGGAAATCATCATTCTCAGTAAACTATCGCAAGAACAAAAAACCAAACACTGCATATTCTCACTCATAGGTGGGAACTGAACAATATTTTTTTATAATTCTATTCCTGTATTCATATTCTCTATTGAGTGAGAAATCATTGTTATAATCATTTTGCCTGGTTGCTGTTTTAAGGATATTTTAAATTCTTTGTTTGGTTCATTCAACATTTGGGCTTCCTTGGGGATAATTCCATCAACTGCTTTCTACCATGTGTACAGGACACACTTTTCTATTTTTTGTTTAACTTTTTGTTGTTGTTTTAAAAGTTGCCATTTTAATAATCTAATGGATAACATTTTAAATCAAATTTTCTCACAGGGTTTCTTCTTGTGGTTGAGTATAGTGGTTTTCATTATCATGTGTGTTTGTTGCTCAGTGAATTTGTTGGGCTAATTCTGTAATATCTATATTGTTTTTCATGTGCAAGCACTTGATGCCTTTGCTTAATTAGCCTAGTAATCATTAAATTATTGGACAAAAATTTCTGTTAAATATCTTAGGCCAGTATGTATTTTAGCCAGCTGAGTGATTCTGTGTGTATGTTGAGACAAGTCTCTGTGCTCTGAAAGGCAGTTTATTACTCTGTTTTAGCCTCTATTTCCCACTTGAGCAATACCTTAAGGTCAACCAGAATTGAGAAATTAAGGCCTTCTCAGGTATTTTCTTGGCTTGTACACAACATTTCAAATGTTCACGGCCTTTTATGTTCCCAGGAATTTGTTGAGTCTATAAAAATTTCCCAGGTACAGCCATTTCCAAACTTTTTTCTGGCCAATGTCTTCTTCAATTAACTGGTAATATTGTCACAGACAGTTTTCATATTAAATACTTCTTGTTTCTTGGTTTTGACAAATTCCCTGAGGATAAGGCTATTTGAACAAAGTTAACTCAAAGTTAGATAAAATAATAACAAGCTCTAAGAATAGAGCTCTTCAACAAGCTGCAAAGTTAGAAAATGATAATTCTCTAATAATGGGGGTCCTGGAGAGCTCTAAATCCATCTACCCCCTCCAGATGCTACTAAGGTACTAGTTTTAATAGGTACCGTACTTGTGAAATTCTTGATTTTCAAGACTATGATGGAGTGATCAGAAAAGGATAGGATTAGGGCAAATTAAAAAGCTAAAGACTCACTGTTCTTATCAGGATTCAGTCAGTTTTCTTTAATTCAATCATTTTGGCTGGTTGAAATTAACAAGTTCTGAAAAAGTTGATAATGACAGCTCTCACCATGATCTCATAGTTTTTATTAAAAAGCTAGTTTTCAGAAGTTCTTACTCCACCGTTATAGTAGTGGGAAACTTTATATTATAGTATTGTGCTCTAATAAACAGTGAATACAACCCATAATCGGAGAATGGGAAGCCAACTTAATCTAACAATAAAATACTTAAAGGTAGCTTATAAAAGTTAAATGTTTTGACACACTTTTGGATTCATATTATTGCAATTAAAAATCGGAAAGCAGTCTTAATCCATATATCAGGTTTGAAAAGTTTATTTTTGTGGATTACTTACCAAATGATGTTTAGTACGCAGTATCATCTTTGCAAAAATTAGCTAACTTACTGCTTACAGTAACTATATAAGGAAATTGAAGCCCAGAGAGAAAAGCGAGGCACAGACAGAAAAGATAATTTGATCGAAGTCCGTATTTACCAAGTGAGACAGTCAAGGCTAGGATGAGGCCCTCATATTGTGGAGTCCATGACCATGGTCATAATACTTAATGTTCCTCATATAGAATATAATGGCTTAGACATCCCTGACCCATGGATAAATAAGCATTGCAGGTTCCTAGCCATCTGGAAGTCTCACCTTAAGGGTGACACAGAGCTTTTCATAAAGCACTAGTTGAACAAAATATTTTCCTACTTCACAATTTTGTCATTAAATCTGATATAGACTAAGTGTACATTTCTAAATTTTAAGTATGTACCAATTTAAGATATAGGAATAAGAAATTGATAGCTCATTAACAAAAATTCCAAAGCAAATGGGCTAATAGTTGGAACATGAGTAGATTAATACTGAGCAGAATAAGGCAGAATTATCACTTCTTTATACAGACTCATTGTAATTTATCTTTAACACAATTTATTGGTATCTACTTTGGTACTTAGGAGAATGTAGGCAAAATGTATTTATTGACTAATGACTGCAACTGAAATGTGTTGCAATAAACTGATAATTGAATGATACTGAGGAGAGCTAGGTTCTAGTTCAGCTCTCCTTTCTTCTTTCTTGAAAAATAATTTCACCATTCCAGGTCTCAAGTTTCTTAGAAAAAAATGAAAATTTGGGTAGAACACCTTTAACAGTCATTCCAATCAACACAATTTGCTTGTCAAATATAAGGAAATTTATACCATAAATTTCTTTGAAACAAAAAATAT
Source organism: Homo sapiens (assembly GCF_000001405.40). NCBI lineage: Eukaryota > Metazoa > Chordata > Mammalia > Primates > Hominidae > Homo > Homo sapiens. The sequence goes on from NC_000001.11 coordinate 73,294,740, forward strand.
ATATTTTCTGCAGTTTCTTGTTTATATGTGAAGATATAACAATTATTCAAAAATACAAAAGGCACAGATCCTACCCTCAAAGATAGATAACAAAATTATAAGACAGAAATATTCAGACCAGAGCAGATCAAGAATAGTTTGGTGCAGTCTGAAATTTTATCATTAACTATGTAGACAGTTCTCATAGTTGATGAAAATGTAGCTGAAGTGGTGTTTAATTGGAAATTTCTTGATTAGCCACTGCAACTCTAATGAATGCAAATTTTAACACTTTCAAAATTATATCCTACTGTGTGAATCTTTTTTATGCAATCAACAACAAAACTAAGTACTGATTTACTAAAATGATGCTAAAAGTTATTTTATTGTTAATCAAATTTCACTTTCCATCTTTCTAAAAACTAAATTTGTATATGCTTTTGTCTATGTAACATAGTGGGATTCTGTTGGAATCTTAACTAGTAAACTACTTACTTCTAACTCTAATTTAGTCAAGGAAAAATATATCAGAAATAAAGTGTATTTTAAATTATTATTTTAACAAAAACAAGTCATAAAGAAGCAATATAATTGTTTAGGTATCTTTTTTTACGTACTTCAACAATATCTACCAAGCACAGTTTGTTGTACCACTGGAAATTTGCTTCAGATCCAGAACTTCTCGTTAAAGTTCACAATGATAGTATGAGATAAGAAAGGAAGAAGATATCTACTCATTTGCAGAAACAGAGGAATGTATTATTTTGCAAACATTCATTCATAAACATGGGATAAGAGAGTTGGAAACAAACCTAAGTTTTTCTAATTCAACATTTTTTTTTTCATTTCATGGGGAGGAAAAATAATCCCACTTGCTCCCAACCCCATCATCATAGCCATTTGTGATTTATAAGCTGTGCCTCTACTTTAGAATCTGGAAGATAAATCCGATTCTTGAGTACCTGTTGAGTGTTTTCTGCTAAACTACATTACCTTTTGAAAAGTCAACTTATTTTTCACTAAAATAGGATAAACAAAATCTTGTCAAGAGCAAACTGATATAAGAGTTCTTCAATGTTAATCACAACTTTTACTGATTAGTCTGCACATAATAACTTGTGCTTCTTTATTAAATACATTTAAATATTCTGTCCTGAACTAGTTTACTTAGGGACTACAGCATAACCACTTAGTTGAACTAAGTAATACTTATGAAGTGCTTAATAATATTGAGAAAGGCTATCACAAATCAATGTGATATTGGTTGAAAATAGTGATTCAAGATAGTTAATCTGCAGGAATTTGGATTTGCCTTTAATGCAATTTGAAAGCTATTGTGTTGATTTGGATTTGATATGCATCATATATTTTCACGTCATTCACCTATTGAAACACCCAGGATTTGCACAAAATGTGGAAGATCACATTCATTTCTACCTCTGAGTTTGCCTGCAGCCAGTGTAGCTTTCATGCTTACACTTTCCCACTACTCCTTTAAGGACTTTTTCCAGAAACATTGCAGCTTCCTTGAAAAAAACAAACTTAAGATGGAATTAATGACTCCAAAGTAATCCTCAGCTCCTGAAGGACAATATGTGAATAACCCGGATTCACCGTATTCTGGTGGGACAATTTTGAGGCAATATAAGACAGAACAATCCAATCATGAATGCACATTTTATTGGCTTTTCCCCTTCCTTCTTTCATATTTCTCATTGCCTCACTTGTTCCTCCTGGTGTCACCTCCCAAGACCAGTACTCAAGACTTTCTCTTAAAGTTTGTTTTCATAAAAACGTAAATAAGACATTGGGTTGGGAGTATTCTTCACTGTTAATTATTTAAGTCATAAAAGTGAACCACCTTAATTTCTCACACTTATATTCACGGAGCTAATAACCTGTTGGCAGCGATGACTATGAATTATATAAAATAGTATATACAAACTGGTTAAGTATAGATTTCTATTTTATAGAACTTTAAAATGTACAGGGCACCTTAGAATATATAGTAGAACAGTTCACACCTGAATAATAATGGTGTATGAATTTACTTAGAAATTTGACGTTTTAAGTTCAAGAAATGGTATGGCAATAAACTCATGCTAAATGACCTAAATTGCTGGTTGGAGATTCTTCAAAGATGTGTGTTGGTGTCTTAAATACAATATCTTATTTTTAAGTGTTTTAATAATCTATATTTTTTCTTCTTTTTCAAGAATCTTTATGTGAGAATTTGTCATAATGCTTTTATATGACTCTACTTCAATTAAACATGAACTTTCTGTACATAAATATTGGACATTCCATTCTAGCAGCAGAACGGGTTAGTGAAATTATGGCTCAGAATCAGCTCATATGATAAATACCAGGGTGTTTTAGAGGCAGAAAATACAGTACAAGTATGTCAGTCATTATATGAAAAGAAAACAGTCTCCAAGTCACTTTTAGAAGCCAATATACACCATGAAAATAAGACTCAACAAGAAAACTACAGATCTATTCCATATTCCTCATAAATAAAAATATCCTTAATAATATTTAAAATACTTTAATATATATATTATATATATAATGTGTATGTGTATGTGTGTGTGAGTCCATGTATGTGTGTGTGGTTTTATGTGTATTTCAAATATCATAGTATATCCAAGCAGAAATAAACTTGGTTTTATCTACCAAGCTCTATCAAGGGCATTACAATTTTCTTTACAAAATAATTTTTAAAAGGTAGTACATACTATATAATGAGAACTATGCACACTTCGGTATACAAAGACCATTAATTTAAGCATACCTGGAAACTCTTGCACATGTGAATGAATGTGTTTATAATTGAAAATATTTGAAATCAACTTCTTTCCAATAATGAAAACTCTTTGCAAGGGGAATGTTTCATTCAATCCCTGTTTTTCTCTCCCATATAGTGCTAATCTTTACATCTTGAACATGCGTGCTCTACATTTTTATTGAATCCACTCTGTAATATTAGGGACCATATAGTATAGTAAAACATTCTTGTACTTTCTTCTCTAATTTTTTTTATTTTTACATAAGCTTTATTATTATTACTTATCTTTTGAAGTGGATACCTCCATTCAGTATGCTGCAAAATACTGGCTCCCTGCCCTTAACTCGCTAAGAAAGGCTTCTTTTTCTTTGCTTAGTGATAATTCATCAGTGAACCTCTTGCTTTACTCTATTAGTCCGTGTTCACGCTGCTGATAAAGTCATACTTGAGACTTGGGGAAAAAAGAGGTTTAATCGGACTTAGAGTTCCACATGGCTGGGGAGGCCTCAGAATCATAGCAGGAGGCAAAAGGCACTTCTTATATGGCAGCAGCAAGAGAAAATGAGGACGATGCAAAAGCGAAAACCCCTGATAAAACCATCAGATCTCGTGAGACTTATTCACTGCCAGGAGAACAGTATGGGGGAAACCGCCCCCATGATTCAAATGATCTCCCACTGCGTCCCTCCCACAACACGTGGGAATTATGGGAGTATAATTAAAGATGAGATTTGGGTAAGGGCACAGAGCCAAACCATATCATTTACCTAAAGCCATATTTTTTCTCTGTTCCCCACCAAATCTAGAAATCAAACAGTGCTTGGAACACAGTAGTTCACAATAATTGTTAAGTAGGGAGGGTCAACATTCTGAAGTGATGTAAGGAGAAGAGTCATTTCTTTTCTTTTTTCTTTTTTTTCTTTTTTTTTTTTTGAGACTGAGTCTCGCTCTGTCGCCCAGGCTGGAGTGCAGTGGCGCGATCTAGGCTCACTGCAAGCTCCGTCTCCCGGGTTCACGCCATTCTCCTGCCTCAGCCTCCTGAGTAAGTGGGACTACAGGCGCCCGCCACCACGCCCGCCTAATTTTTTTTTTTGTATTTTTAGTAGAGACGGGGTTTCACCGTGTTAGCCAGGATGGTCTCGATCTCCTGACCTCGTGATCCGCTCGCCTCGGCCTCCCAAAGTGCTGGGATTACAGGCGTGAGCCACCGCGCCCGGCCGAGAAGAGTCATTTCGTAATTAATTCTGAGTTAAAAGCATCTTCTGGCCAGACACAGTGGCTCACTCCTGTAATCCCAGCACTTTGGGAGGCCGAGACGGGCAGATCACTTGAGGTAAGGAGCTGGAGACCACCCTGGCCTATATGGCGAAACCCCGTCTCTACTAAAAATATAAAAATTAGCCGGATATGGTAGCGGGCGCCTATAATCCCAGCTACTCAGGAGGTTGAGGGAGGAGAATCACTTGAACCTGGGAGGCAGAGGTTGCAGTGAGCCGAGATCGTGCCACTGCACTCCAGCCTGGGCAACAAAGTGAGATTCCATCTCAAAAAAATAAAAAAAGAAAAGAAAAGAAAAGAAAAAAAAAAGCACCTTCTTCTTGGAGCAAATACAACATGATTCTCCTTTCCTGAATAAAACTACTTAAAATCTTCCCATCCCCAATACAGCAGCATGCTTTGCCATTTAACATTATTTTCAGCAAAATTTTACTATACTTTTAATTTTTAAGGGCTTTCACAGGTATATCTGAAAGTATCTTTGGTTCAATTAGATGATTTTATTTCCATCTAATAATGGAATTTTGGTAAATGTTAGAAGAGGTTGATAGTCTATTGTGGTACTAATTTATAGTCATTATATATTTATTCATTCAGTAAATATTTTTTATGCTCTCAGTGTTCTAATCATTATTTCATTTATGACTAGCTACAAATCTATGCTTGTTTAAGAGCTATTCAGTAATCAACAAGCTCTATGCTAGTTTCTCAGAATAATAAATCCTTTGTGACATCGAGTTCACCGTCTAGTAGTGGAAATAGTAAAGAAATGGGAAAATTGCAATATTGTGAAATTAATGCAACAAAAGGTGCCTTAGTCCATTTGCTGCTGCAGATAATACCTTAGGCTTGGTAATTGGTAAATAATAGAAATTTATTTCTCACAGTTCTGGAGACTGGAGTTACAGCACCAGAAGAATTGGTGTCTGGTGATGGCATCTTCTATTCCTCCTCAAATGGCAAAAAAAAGACACAAAGTAGGGACAAATGTTGTGTCCTTATGTGGCAGAAGAAATGGAAGGGTGAAGCAGTTCTCTGGAAGCCTCATTTATAAGGGCATAAATCCAATTCATAATGGTGGAAACCTAATGACTTAATCACTTCCCACAAGGTCCCTCTTCATGCCATTAACTTGGGGTATAAGATGCAATATACAAATTTTGGAGGGACACATACATTCAAACAATAGCAATTGGGACAAATATTCACTTTAGTGGAAATACAAGAAGTCACCTAGCCCATCCTGGGTGAGTGGGGAGACACGCAGAGCTTTATCAAAGACTAGCTTCAAAGTCATGACCTTAGATAAACAGTTGACTCTTGAACAACACAGGATTTAGCTGTGCAAGTCCACTTATAAGGACATTTTATTTCACCTCTGCCACCCCTGAGAAAGCAAGACCAGCCCTGCCCTTCCTCTACCTCCTCAACCTACTCAATATGAAGATGACATGATGAAGTTGAAGACCTTTATGATAATTCACTTCCACTTAATAAAGGATAAATAAATTTTCTCTTCCTTATGATTTTCTTAATAACATTTTATTTTCTCTTTCGTACTTTCTTGTACGAATACAGTATATAATACATATACCATATATAAAATGTGTTAATCAACCGTATATGTTATTGGCAAGGCTTCTGGTAAAAGTAGGTTATTAATAGTTAAGATTTGAGAAGTTAAAGTTATACACGGATTTTTAACTGTGTGGGGGTCAACACCCCAACCCCCATGTAGTTCAAGGGTCAACTCTAGTTCATATATAGCTAGTTAGCCAGATGAGTGATGTGAGGATGGGGACAGAGAATAGAAAAGTACTCCAGTGAGAAAGTGTCAAAGATAAAGCTGAACACTAAAGTGCTAAGGACAGATTGTAATCAGTAATATATTAGTGTGGTTGGAAAGAGTCCAGCATGAACTGAATTCAACTTGATTTTCATAGAGGTAACGGCATTTTAGAAAGAGTATGAGGGAATAAAGGTAATGAACATGGGCTCACTAAAGTCAGGGAAATAAAAAAGTTATTAAAATGAGGAGTGGGGGTTTAGTCAATGTGAAACCCATTTTGGGTTTGTTAACTGAGAGTTATCAGAGTTAGGCTCCTACTTTCTCATACAGGCTGGGAGACACAGGCCCTATCTTTAGGTGTTGAATGACAAACACTCAAGTCCTTTAGCAGTCTTGAGTTTTCTCACACAGGCACTTTAAGGGGGCCAAGGGTCATTCTAGGGACGTAGCCTTTAGGTGTTAGAAACAATGTTTGTTTTTTGTTCAGGTCTTTACATGTCAAGGTTACAGCCTAACTGAGAAGAGGGCTCAGAGGAGCCTGGCTAAAATTTGGTCAAAGAGAGAATCTTTGTAAAGAGTATTACATATATAACAACAGAGAGGCAGAAGAAATATACTGTTTTAAGTATTGAAAGTGGCTTTATCAGTCATGATATAGTAGGTTACAATGCAGTAACAAACTAAGAATTCCTAATGATTTAATACATCAGAGGTTTATTTCTCACATATACCAAGTCAGCGGTGTTTTCAATACTTCTTAATGGCAACTCCCTCCCATGTGATGACTCAGAGATATGATGGGTCTGCCTTATCAACAATGGCTTCCAGGGTGCTACAGCCTGGAAACAGAGAACAGGTTGCTCATGTGGAGCATTTTCTTTGCCTAAGTCCAGAAGTTTTCATTGTTAGTTCTGCTCATAATTCATTAGCCAGAACAAACCACATTGTAAATGAGAGAAATTCAATTTAAAGAAGGTTACACAGAAAATAGGAATTAAAGAGAATAAATCTGATATTTTTTAAAAAGTAAAAGAATTTAAAACATACAAATCTTGGTAAAAGAATGAACAAGAACTAGAACAGAATACATCCATAACAGAAATTTATGCAAATTCTGTTTATGATACCAGCATCAATGAATGGTGTGACTTATCTCCTTGTATATTTCCATTTCCCTTTTTCCAAGTCTCACATTCCCAAGAGAAGAAATCCAATTGTCTCAGCTCAGGCCTGTTTTCTCCTTCTGGATCGTTCAGCTATGACAGGAGAGGCACTGCCAATTTAGCTAGATATTGCTACAATATTCACTTTCATTATACAGAGAACATTCCGAGAAAGAGGAAATCATGTCACCAATTTGACACTGAAGGGACATCTACTGAAATAAGTAGTATGAATATTTTTGATAAAGAAAGGTATAAATAGCAGGATATCCTATGAAGTAATAATTTACTTCATTAAACTTCAATTACTTCAATAACTAAAACATCAACTGGCAAGTTTCGTACTTCAACATAGGACTGACCTCTTTCAATCACATGATAGTTGCCCTGCTTTTCAGGGGAATGAGCAGACAGAAAGTTGAATTAGGAGAGTTGAGAATAAATAGGTTGTACCTTTTTTCTTGCCCAAGACTCTGAAGGCAGCCACAATGCTTTATACATAAATGTGCTTATACTGTCAATGTAAATATGAAAATCAGTGGAAGTGGACTTCAGATATATCTCAGCAGCAGAGGGCCAAAGAAATGGAAGATAAAAGACTTTAATGGTTAAAAAATATACTCCCAATGCTCTAAAGAAGATATACAGTGGGGGGAAATGTGTCCTCAGCAAGAGAATGTGGCTGAGAGTAAACTATTCCAGTTTAACAGGGTGGAGCAGAGTGGGGTACAGAGCGTTTTCCCAACATTTGACGAAGTCACTGTAGAAGCTAGTATGAAAGAATCCCAAGTAGACATCAAATAGGAGATGCAACGAGACGTCAGGGGATTAGCTCCAGCAAAAGCCAAGATAGAACGGAATTAATGGAAAAAGACTGCAAAGGCTTCCTGGAGCAATCACCTCAGATTGTGCCAAACAACCATAGATACATTTTTATCAGCATGAGCACAGACCAGTCGCATCCTTCCACAATGGCGTTAAACTTATCCTGAATCCAGACATAATCCCAATATCTGAGGCAGATGAGCAGCTCCTTGAACTGATGAAATATTAAATTAAAGTGACTGATAAATCACTGGAATTGAGCTAATTTGGCCGAAAGCATCCAGATTAACATTTTAGCTTCAGACAGACTGGAGCTCAGAGTCAGAGTTTTAAATCACTACAAGAAATAAAAAAAAAAAAATTCTATGGAAACTGTAATATTATCCCTTCTACATGTTTCTAAACTTTGGAATAAAAAGCAAAAGTATAGTGAATATGTTCAATTTTAAAGGCACAATGCAAATATGCCTTAAGAAATTAAATTAATAGCTTGTTATAATAAAAGGAGGTAAAGAGAAATTGATGTGAAGTCTAGACTTGAGACTCTAAAATCGGCCGGGCGCGGTGGCTCACGCCTGTAATCCCAGCACTTTGGGAGGCCGAGGCGGGCGGATCACGAGGTCAGGAGATCGAGACCATCCTGGCTAACACAGTGAAACCCCGTCTCTACTAAAAAACACAAAAAAATTAGCCGGGCGTGGTGGCGGGCGCCTGTAGTCCCAGCTACTTGGGAGGCTGAGGCAGGAGAATGGCGTGAACCCGGGAGGCGGAGCTTGCAGTGAGCCGAGATCCCGCCACTGCACTCCAGCCTGGGCGACAGAGCGAGACTCCGTCTCAAAAAAAAAAAAAAAAAAAAAAGAAAAAGAAAAAAGAAAAAAGAAAAAAGAAAAGAGACTCTAAAATCAACTCTCACACACAGAATGTATGTTTTGTGTATGGAGGATGGATATGGATGATAGCTGCTTGAAACTTTGAGATCAAAAAAGATCATATTATCAGATTGTAATGAACAGTATATTTTTGGATTTATATATGTGGGTATGTACATGTGTATAATATAAATAATATACAGAATAAGAGAGGTTGTTATGATTCACTGCTTTATCCTAATTAAATTAAACCTAAAATATTTTATTCAGCTAGCGGCCAACATTTAATATTCTAGGAGAATAGAAGAGTTACAGACAAATTGAGACTTATTAATTATTAATAGTGATTACTTCTTTTGAATATAAATGGTCTTCTACATAGAATGGAGAAATAGTTGAGTAAGCTGGGCTTTAAAGCACTTTTCATTCTAAAGTATTTTCATTCTTTCGGTTGTTAATTTTTTAGGACAGAGATTCAAAATTGATTATTGAACTTAAACATTAAATTAACCCTATAATTTCCCAACTTATCCAACCATGCAAATAACGCCCTAGGCACCACTGACCCTGCATTTGCAAGGAGTTAGAAAATTAGGACAGTGGCTTTTTTGTCTGGACATTCTTTTAGCTGAATCTAAATATTCTTATTCTTAACATATAATGAGAATAAAGATATGAAATGATCAATATTTTAAATTCAGTGAAAGTGAACATTTTTATCTCACTGAAGTGACTATTTTTCATCAATTATAATTTCTATGATAACTTTAGGGATGTCTTGCATTTATTTTATCACAATGTTATTTTAAACACAAACTGATGTAACTAAAACTTATAAACATTTAATTTGCACGCTAAACACCAGCTCCACATTTGTAAAGAAAAAAAAAACTTAGTATTACCTAGTGCAGAACTTCATCCAGTATTCTGTGATTTTCGAGATATCTGAGACAATCATTAAGCAAAATTTGACTAAGCAAAGATATATTAATATTACACCTGCTGGGACACAATAAAGTTGACTGAATCTTACAATACTCCCTTGCTGTATCTTATTAGGGGTATTATCAACCCTCATTGGCTTAGGTAAGTTAAAGAAATTTGGGAAGTTATTAGAAATTTTTAAACAAGTCAATTATCAGGTCAAATATACATATTTTTTTATACCACTAACACTTGGTGTAGTATGTGGAAGACATTAGAGCATGGGCAATTAATCATAAAATAAAAGTGTTGTAAGGTCCCTATTTGGAAACAGGAGTGGCAGGATTAAAGCATAGATTAACCTTGATCTACACTATTTAAGCCACGTAAAATTTCCGAATAAATATTTAAATTAAATATAAATTGTTGCACTTTTCAACAATGATAGAGGTTGAATGTAAGAAAAAAATCAATAAACAGAATAAGACTCAATCAATAAATTTTTTTAAAAGGAAGAAAAAAGCTTACGATAATCATTACAGGAAAAGACATGAAGTAAGATGATTCTCAAAAATGCCATATATTTCAATCATGATAATAAATATTAAAGTACAACATTTATCAGCTGAAAGGAAGAGATCAGTTTGAAATGAAACAAATTACCATAAGAATTATGTAATTTACAGGAGAAATATCTATAATGTAAGAGCTTGGAAAGCTTATATAAAACTATTTGGAAAAAAAATGCATCTGGTGTAGATTCACCAAAATAAAGCTAGAATAACTATATGAATATTACAAAATAGACATTAAACTCAATAGTGTCTTTAGAAGTAGATATGGTTATAGTAGTTTGAAAGCTTCAATTATTCAGATAGATTTAATAATTGTACACTTAATTTCAGTTAATTCTATGGTCTCAATATATAAAGACAAATGATTAGAATTATAAGAAGAAACTATATATCATAGAACAATTCAATATATCTCTGTAAAATATTGACCAATAAAGTAGAAATAATTAGGAAATGTATAAGACATTTGAGAAACATAATTAATATGTTATTTAAGAAGCAGGTATAGAATCATAGAATTAATATGTTATTTAAGAAGCAGGTGTACAATAACTTGAAGAAACGTAAGTTCAAAGCTTACATGAAATAATTACAAAATGTAAATAATCACAAAGCCTTAAAGCAAGCCTCAAAAAATTTCAAAGATTCAGTATTATAAATACAATGTTTTCTGTTCATAGTAGAATTTTGATTGGATTTAAATATAAAAGAAGGTATAAAAAAGCAGAAAATATATTTCCATATAACTCATGAGTCAAGTTATCAAAATGGACATTTGAACATACTTAGAATTGAATGATAATAAAACTATCAAATAACAACTTCATGGGATATAATAAAATTTATAATGTCAACTATTATAAAAATTTTTGAAAATTCAAGATAGACATCCAATTTAAGAAATAAAGGAAGCATACAGTCAAGTAAATTATGAATAATAAAACAAATTATTAAGATTAAAAGGAGATTCTCAAAATGAAATTTGATTCAGTAAAAAGACCATTGTCTTCAGTAAAAAGACCTATGTTTTCAAGTTGAATTGAAAGCCAAAACATATTTTAACTATATTTTAAACAAGTTGAATTGAAAGCCAAAACATATTTTAACATATTTTAACCATAACCAAAACATATTTTGACCATATCCCTTATTATTGAGGGAGGTATTTCTTCCCTAGTGCTGTGGGGATGACTTGGACAGAAACCACTGGACACTATACAGATGTAGACTGACAGTTTACTGGTCACCTGCACTAACAGCCTGAGAGAAAAGGACACTGCATATCACAGAGAGATGCATAGATGTTACACTCAGAAAGAGAGTGAACAACTAGAAGATGTGGAAGGCAAGCTTTTTAGTATTAAGAGGGTAGGTTGGGATGTTTTCTGGTTCCTGGTAAAGGATGAGATTGTCTTGTTTTAATAATTCTTCAGGCTTGCTGTGAACTGAACCTACTATTCAGCAATAGGCAAAAACTATACCTGTTCCCTTTAATAAGGTGGATATTTTGGCTTGGGGAACTTATCCATGGGAAAAAAAAATGGGGAGGAGAACTTGCAATTAGGCAATTTTAAGTCCCCCTTGATTTTACCAGATGTCAAAGAAGCACAAAATATGGATTTTTAATTTTAGGTCTTACCTATAAAACCAGTGCAAAAAAAACCCCACAAGTAAATAAATGCATATATAAATAATAAATAATATAAAAATAGTAAAAAAAATGCATTATTTATACATGAAATGTTACCTACACAAATATTTTAAGCATGATTTACAATAGAACCAGTAAGTTCTCCCGTTTTCAGATATTAAATAGTTATAAAATAGATAACAAATTATAGTAAACTAGAAAATGTTATTTTTATTTTGTTCAATTTTAGAATAGGAACAAAAACAGTAAAAATATCAGAAGGAAATCTAACAAAAGATAACACATTTATGGAGATAATTACAAAAGTCTTTGATAGAGTGTAGCAGAAAGATAAATTAGGTCAACCACCACTTTTTAAATTTTCTGGTAAATGTGCATTATTATATTGCATTAATTAAAAAAAACTGAAAACCACATTTCTCACATTCCTTTGCAGTTTAGATTCCAGAAGATATTTAAGCTCTATCAATCCAACTTGGATTTGAGCATTGTACCCAACTGAACTTGGACTTGAATTTGGAGTCAAATTCCATTGGGGATTTTGCCAGTGTGCAAGGCATTTATTTTTGCTGTTGCATTTCTTTTAGAACCAGTTTGGCTCTGGAGTCAAGAATTCTCAAAACAGCTTTCTGAACCTGAATCGCACGCAGTAAAGCTGGTGTTCTCCTGAAGCCAACATTTATGGTATCACCTTGCTGATCCAGGCAAAATGGCAAAAGTGTAGTGAACATAAAGCCAGGGGCTGAGATTGTGGATGTCCTCTGTACCAAGTTTCTTATTATGGTAAGGGTAGAAGTTCACCAGGTCAGTAATGTGATTTTGTCCAAAGAGCCATTTCTGGAGATCTAGCCTAAACATTGCTCCTCCAACTCTTCCCATAATTTGTTAACAATTGAATAATTGTTCTGTTTAAAATAGTTTGGATGTTTTATGTTTTCTGCAACTTTACTGTTATCATAACAAAGACATAAATAAAGATCTAAATAAAGTCAGAAATACACTCTTACAGAAAAGGTTTACTATTAAAAGGATATAGGTGCTTTTCAAATGAGTTGATATATTGTTTCCCCTGAAATTTTATTGATTCTAAAATGTATGCAGAAATATTATATTAACAATTATTAACATAATATGAAATAATTATGGTAAAAAAAATGTATTGACATAGGGAAAGAAAATAAACCAAAGCGGCAGTAAATCAAATTCCTAAGAACTCAGACGTAGGTCCTTGTTCACATTCATTCATTCAATAATATGTACTTATTCAACAAATATTTAGTTATTGCTAAGTCAGAAACTGTTTATAGGCTGTGAAAAACATAGGGAACAAAAGATAAAAATCTGTCCTTATTTAGCTTCTATTCTGGAGCAGGGAATAACAGAACGCATTTTCTAAACAATTGTATTTTCTAATTAGTGCAAAAGTATAATTTAATTTCTGTCTCATACTATACACAGAACAACATATATCATTGAAAAAATTTTAAAAAACCAAAAAGGCTCATTAAAATTATTTAGTATATTTAAATATTGTCAATTAAAAATAAAATTAAAAAAATGATTTAGAGTTTCAGTTCTGACATGCAAAGTGCTAGTAAGTCCTCACTCTATGCCTTTTAATAAAAAAAAAAAAGGTGGGCACACTATACATCAATGACTTTTGTGAGACTTCTGTTCTGTGAAAGATATCATTTATAGAATCAATAATCAAGCCACAAATTGAAAGAGCAACATGTATCTGATAAAGAACATTTATCATAAGATAAAGAGAGCTTTAAAAACTCAATGATAAAATAATACACTCAAAACATGGGCAGAAAATCTGAATAAGTATCATCCAAGATATTCAGATGGTAACATATGAAAAGAAAGTAAATATCATTTGTGATTAAGAAAATGTAAACTAACAAAATAATGGCATACTACTACATGACAATTAGAATGGCCCAAATTTAAAAAAAAAAAAACAAAAAAAAAAAACAACCAAAAACGTGACAATGAAAATATTTAGCAAGAATATGGAGAAAAGGAACACTCAATAACTACTAGTAGGAATACAAAATTATACATCTACTTTGGAAGACAGGCTGTCAGTTTCTTTCAAAGCTAAACATAGTGTTATATTATTCAGCAATTCCCTCCTAGGTATTTACCCAGATGATTTGAAATCATGTTCATACAAAGACCAGCATTTAAAAGTTTGTAGAAATTTATTCATAATCAACAAAACCTAGAAGCAATCAAGTTGTCCTTTAAACAGATGAATGAATAAACACACTGTGGTACATCTAATATGATGGGCTACTATTCAGATATAAAAAGGAATGAGCCATGCCAGAACATTGATGAATTTTACATACATATTGCTAAGTAAACAAAACAAGTTTGAAAATAGTACATAATGTATGATTCCATTTAGATGACATTTTTGAAACAGCAAAACTGTACACACAGTAAAAAAGTTCCCTGGTATTAATGGTGGGGAGAGTGTTTGGGGAGTAAATCATAGGGGATTTTTTAAAGGAGAGTATTTTGAGTGATAGGGTAATGGTGGATACATGACACTGAATTTGTCAAAACTCATGGACCTTTCTAGCATAAAGAATAAACCTTAATTTATACAAAATAAATAATTTAGGATAGCTGATTATCCCTATTTGGAAGACAAGCTGTGAAAAAAGTATAAATGCATTACAAATATATAAAATAATCTCAATAAGAGGAATGAGAATAAAAGGTTCTGAACTTAGTAATTTTGGAAATAACTGGAGAGTATACTGTTAGAGGGAAAAAATGTACTCTACCTGATAAAGCTGTTTGTCTCCTATGATAACAATTCTGAAACCATAATACACGTATAACAGAATCAAATAGTTAAGCATATACATAGCAGGTGGCAGAGGCCTTGTTTCTCACTGTTGGACTGAGGTTACAGACAAATAAGGGAGAAGTCTTGAATGATCTTTGTGCAATGTATTAAAATTAACATCAGTACAAACCCATTTTTAGCTTGAAATATGTGGTGTTATGTACACATAGAAATATTAATACTTGTCTGTATATATACTGATTAATATGCACAAATACATTGTCTTGTTCTGCAGCTTAGTGGGCCTCAAAACACTGCCACCATAGCAGTCATAACAAGCCTAGTGCCCAGATCTTGGATTCTGAAATCATTCTTCAATAAAAGTAACAAGGTCTCTTTGAAGAAATATCTGCTTCTAGGTTCAGGACAAAAAATATCGAATGATCCTGGAGCTTCTTGTAGTGCCATAAAGGATGGAGGTACTAAAATAGCTACAATGAGGGGTATATCAAGGGAACACAGGAGCCAACTAAATGAGTTCCCAATGGCCAAAGAGGAATACTTTGAGCAACAAGATACGTAAAGTTGCAACCAAAGTATAAACTGAATATTCATGAGTTTATACCGATTTGAAAAAGTAATTAAATAAATAATTGTAGAAGATGAGGCAAATATCTCATGCAGAAGAATTCCAAATAATTTATGATTTATGTGGATGCTTAGTCCTCAAGCAGGAAAAGTATAACTGCCTTCTCTTTTGGTGCGACATGCGGTTTATGACTTTACAAAGAGGAGAAAAGAGTAACTTTACAGTTGGGAAATCTGAACAATACTACCTCAGCCAGGTATCAGAGTTAACAACAGTTATATGTTATGTTGATAGTATGTATCCTTGAAATGATCTGATAAGAATGGCACTTTACCTCTTTGGTGTTCCGCTAAAAAGTTCATTGTCTCAGTTCAATCATAAGATTAAAATTAGATAAACCTCAATCTAGGAAAATTTTACAAAATATTTGAACAGCACTGCTCAAACCTATCAAGGTTATAAAAAGCAAAAAATGTCTGTGAAACTGCCGCAGCCAAGAAGACCCTAAGGAGCCATAACTAAATGTAATTTTACATTATGAAAAGGAACTTAAAAATAACTACATAAAAAAACTAAGAAAATCTGAATAAAGTATGGACATGAAATAATCATAACACACTAATATTAGTTCATTAATGGTGACAAATATTCTAGCATAATATGTCAGTAGTAGGAGAAACTGGGCATGATATATGTGGAAACTCCGTGGAATCTTTGTGACATAACCGGGTATCCCAGCCTCAAAATACATTTAAATTGTTTTTTCCTCTCTGGCTCTCAGCCTTGAAACATACTTTGAAACTCTTTGTTTTTCCCTTTTCCTCCAGCCACCTCTGTGAATAATGCTCACTTATCTAATTATGTACTTTCTTAGAAAATTCCAAGGGCCAATTTTGAAACAAACCAGGCAGAGACCCAGATGCAGAATCCTGCAGGCTGAGGGATGTTAGGAAGAGTTAGCCCACCACTGCTGCGCTGAAACCAGGATGACGCAAACTGGGCCTCAGGCCAGGTAAGTTCTCAGGATAATCATGCAAACAAGACACACAGACCTGCACCCTCCTGCGCCACGTCCACATGTTTCCCACACCAAATTTTCCTTCTTAAACCCCTTCACTCAGCCCAAAAAGTTGGTATGGTCCTTTAAAGGCAAGAGCCTGCCCTTCCCCAGTTGCTAGCATTTGAATAAATTCTCTTTCCTTTTACTCACACCTCACTTCTCATGTTTTCCATCTCTGAGAGGCAAGCAGCCTGACTTGAGCTGTTTACTGTGACATTGCTTTACATCTAAAACTATTCTAAAACAAAAAGTTTATTTAAGAGCATTGAAAGACTTGACAATATTTTAAAAATCTGTTTAACAAAATACATCACATTAAAAGTTATAACATTTGGAAAAGATAATGGTAACATTTGAAACTGATAAAGATAAGTATGCAAATTACTTAAAGAAATTCTATTTTGAAAGGGAATTTGAATAAGCAGTTTGAGAAACTGAACCTCTAATACCTAATAAAATATTAAAAGGCTCAAATTCACTGATAATCAGAGAAATGCATATTACAATAGAGTCCATTACATATCCATAGGCTGGGCAAATTAAACTATTAGCAAATGTTGATGGGAATGTGGAAGCTCTTGGATCCTGAGAATGGGCCAATAAATAAGTCAAACCACATTGGAGAGACATTGGCAATATATAACAAAATTAAAACTGCATGTACTGTTGCAAAAATGTAAAACCATGTGATTTTCTTATTACATCTTTTTAGAAAAATAGTAATTTTTAACAGAATTTTATTGACATAAAATAGTTGTTTTGTTATTTTTGAAATAAACTACTATTTTATACAATTCTCAATTTTGATTTTTAATATATTGAATGCTTAATAGTTATAATCCTCATAAACAGATGATCTTTGGGATGCTCAATACCTTTTAAGAGCATAAATGGGTCTAGAGATCAAAAAGTTTGAAAACTGATTCCCTAAAGGAATCCTTCCACATGCATTCTGATAAGGAAACATTTATCAGAAATTGCATGTGCTACATGGCATACTACAGGACATTAGTGTGGAAAGCTGAAAGTAACCTATCTGGGATTGATAAAAATAAATTCATTGTATATTTTTAATACAACAAAATTTTTAAAATTTAGTGATTAGAATAATTATATTGGTACCAATATGAATGAATCCACAAAACATGAAGTGTTCAAAAAGTAGTTTACTGAGTATAAGAACATGTAAATTTAAAACCACAACATAAAAACCACTCTGTATACTCTGTATAGATTTTTATATATAACTGATATGGTTTGGCTGTGTCCCCATCCAAATCTCACCTTGAATTTTAATAATCCCCAAGTGTCAAGGGCGAGGCCAGGTGGAGATAATTGAATCATGGGGACATTTTCTCCCATACTGTTCTCCTGGTAGCGATTAAGTCTCAAGAGATCTGATGGTTTTATAGCAGTTTCCCTGCATAAACTCTCTTGCCTGTTGCCATGTAAGACATATCTTTCTTTCCCTTCACCTTCTGCCATTAATCTGAGCCCTCCCCAGCCATGTAGAACTGCGAGTCAATTAAACCTCTTTCCTTTATAAACTACCCAGTCTTGGGTATGTCTTTATTAGCAGTCTGAGAACAGACTAATGCAATATTCAAGTATAAAAACATCTATGGAAAGAATATACATTAATTGTAGGCTAATGATGATCTTGGAGTTGGGTGGAACGATGAGGAAGAGCTTCACTCACATTTTAAACATTTATTATGTTTTAAATTGAGGAAATAAATTTTTCAAATGTAAATATTCATTAAGTGCAATGTTTGACAGATTGATGGTTTGGTATAATGTCCTCTATATTCTGAAGTGTTAAAACATGCAAAACGTAAGTTGGTATGTGTGAGGTATATGTGTGTGTGAGAGAGAGAGGAAAAGAAAGAAGGAGGAAGAGAGATTTAGAATTCTATATTAAAATTAGGATAATTTTTAACATTTTGGGAATTCCTAAGGATGTTACAAAATTCAGAATTCATAAAAGGTATCCTCATCTCAATTGAGAATTTACATCGATCAATTTGTGGAATAGCTTGTAAAAACCAGTTAATCTGCTAAAAATAAATGAGGAAATTTGGGCAAAATATTAATAATATGTGCTTGAAAAATCTAGAAACTTTTCAAGGTTGTAAGTATTAGCAGTGCTGCTTTTAATAAATGTCTTGAATTCCTTTCAAGAACAGAAACCTTAAATGAGTTCAGCATCCTTTCACCTTCAAGGCATTTTAAGTATCTATATACAGCAGTGGAAGGGCTAAGAAATAGAAAAAAAACCTGAGGGATTCATGAAGATAGCAAGAAAAATTGTATTTTGTTTCTTGTAATGTAAGTTTCCTAACAAACATTCCAGGATACAAATTGGAGCACTAAACAACTACATTTGTGAATTAAGAGTAAACCAATAAGGGCCCAGTCCTCACAAAGGAAAAAACACAGCTATTTATTTATTTATTTATTTATTTATTTATTTGTGTTTGAGACACTATCTCACAGTCACCTAGGCTGAAGTGCCCCCACTGGATCTCAGCTCACTGCAACCTCAGGCTCCTGGGGTCAAGGGGTCCTCCTACTTCACCTTCCCCAGTAGCTGGGACTACAAGTGCAGGTGAATCTAGCTAACTTTGTATGTATAAATGTTTGTTTGTTTGTTTGAGAGAGAGATATATATATATATACACACACACACATATATATGTAGAGACAGGGTTTCTCCTTGGTGCCCAGTTTGGTCTTAAACTCCTGGTCTCAAGTGATCCTCCTGCCTTGACTTCACAAATGTTGGGGTTACAGGCTTGAGCCACTGTGCCCAGCCAAGCACAGCTTTAAAACCTTGTGAATCCAGATGAAATTTAGGAATTTTGGATTGCTTGTGTCCAGTTACTAGCCAGAGAAAATATTAACCAAACTGTAAGGGAATGTAATATCCAGAGTTACAAATAATTTCTGTACTTTTTCATATAAAATATCAAGAAATCAAATAAAAATAGGCACACACACAGCAATATGAATAACAAAAAGAAGTAAAAAATAGAAATCGGAAGCTAATTCAGATAAAAGAGTTATCAGACACAAAGTTTAAGATACCTGTAGTTTGTATGTACAGTAATAGAAAAGCACACATTTTAGAATAATTTTCAGAAAACTAGAAATTTTTAAATAGAAATTTTAGAACCAAAATTACAATTAAAATTAAAGACTCAATAGCTAGAATTAAAAGCTGATTAAACATGAATGGTAAGAAGATAGGTAGAAAGTGGGAAATGGGAAAAATAAAATATCCTAAATAGATCACCAAAAGACAAAAGAATACAAAACACAGCAAAATGTTTCAAAAAGAGAGCGGACAAAAGATGTATTTAGAAATAAAATTATTCAAAAATGATGAAAGGCATCAAATAAGAGAGCTAAAGAAACCGAATATAAAGGACAAATAAGATCAATTTTAAAAATAACTAGGCACAATGTATTTCAAAAGTTAACAAAGACAAACCTTAAATCAAAGTAAAAGAGGTATCATGCTTTAAAGAAAAACAAGACTGACAGCTATTTCCCAAAAGAAGCAATAAAAAAAACAGAAAATAATGGAAAGAGATCTTTATGATGCTAAAAGAAAACAACTTCCAGCAATAGAATTGTATACCTAGCTAAGCTATTATTTTGAAATGAAAGTGAAATAAAGATATTTTTGAAAAAAAATTTGAAAGAATTAGTCATCAGTGTATCTATAATAGTAGAATAGAACTATTATTGGAAAGAAACAAAAATGTAATTCTTTGCAGACCCTATGATTTAGTACATTGAAAATTTAATAAATCATTCTATATACTATTAGAATAAATAAATCGATTTAGCAGGAGTGTTTTATATAAGGACAACATAAAAATAGTATATCTATCCAGTGGAAACAAATAAAAAGAAAATTTAAAATACTTTCAGTAACCTTTAAAACATCAAATATTTAAGAATTTTACTTTGGGAGACCAAGGCAGGTGGATCACAAGGTCAGGAGTTCAAGACCAGCCCTGTCTCTACTAAAAATACAAAAAATAAACAAATAAATAAATAAATAAATAAAATTAGCTGGGTAAGGTGGCGGGTGCCTGTAATCCCAGCTACTTGGGAGGCTGTGGCAGAGAACTGCTTGAACTTGGGAGGCAGAGGTTGCAGTGAGCCGAGATCATGCCACTGCACTCCAGCCTAGGCGACAGAGTGAGACGCTGTCTCAAAAGAAAAAAAAAAATTAAGAAAAGATAGCCAATATTTTTACACAGAAAACAATATAGCATTTTTGAGAGAAAGAATTGAATAAAATATAATAAATTTATGGATTGAAAGATTAAATATTGAAGTAGTCCCCATTCTTCCCAAAATAATCCCTATATCATTTTAACAAATACAGTTTTTTTTTGCTATGGAACTAATTGTTCTACAAAATTAACAGAAATTGACTTATTTAATTTTCATAGCAACAAAATGATATCGTTATTATGGTTATTTCCATTTTATTTGAGAAACCTGAGGCCCAGAGATTTAAAAAAAAAAAAAATCATGCTCATCACACTGAAGTAAATAGAAGGGTAAGTAAACAAACCCAGGCAGTTGGTTCCAGAATCTCCAACATTAATTAGTATATTGTGCTGTCTATCTAGAGAGAGATGAAAAGTTACAGATATACATATAGTTATAGAAATATTTATAGCTTTAGATAGAAATGTAAGCATGTATAAATGAATGTATATATCTGTGTATATATGTATATAATTAAAGTTTAACTTTAATTTAATAATTATTTTTATCGATTTAAAAAGTAACCTTATGGTCATCAAATCAGTTAGTCCTTGACTTCGCCATTTTTAACTTTGGTCCCATAAAAAAATATATAAACATATATACATCTGTGTGTATGTGTGCTATACATTTTTATACGTATGTCTGTAGGTGCACATCCATGTATATGTATTTTTCTTTGTTTAGACCAAAAATAAATGATTATGATAAGATTATTTTTAAGTCAATAAAAACATATTACTTAAAGTCAAATTATCAAGTTATTTGGTGGTATATCCATCTAAAATAATTACATTTGCTTGTAATAAGAAAAAAATTGCAATAGAAGGACTAAAATTCACGTAAAGCAATTGGCAGTGCCAGAAGGATAAACAATGAATGAATGTTTTGATTATTTTTCCTGGTACTTACAATAAATTAGGTCCATAAATAATTTCTTAGACATTATTCTGACAGTATGTTTTCTAGCTCCATTTTTATCAGTATAAATTAGAATGAGTCCTCCTAGGATGGAAGAAAGTACAGTTCTCGATGTTGTGATACATATGCAATGACATGATAGAAAGATACATAATAAAATAGATATGTCTAATGAGGAGATTAACTAGAGTTGTACTCATTACAACTATTTAAGATTCTCTGACAAATTGAACTGGCTTATATACTCAACTTATAAAACAAAAAAGTACTTTTTTTCCCTGAACATATTTTGTCTGTGGCTACCAACTATATGTATCACCAAAAGTTACACTGTAACATACTATTTGATTCAGTAATTCTACAATGTAAACCCTGACATGTCAAAATAAGTGTCAAGATTATAAAACAGAAAACTATTCCACACAGAAAATAAGGTAAAATCCCCCAGTTCATCTCTCTTGGGACACATATTAATGAGTAAATGAATATTATGTGTCATTGTGCTGTTTAATGAGAAAAACACACAAAGAATAGCAACATCCATGAAAAAGATAAAAGATATTTGTTAAAATCTTTTAAACAAAATGTTACATGATTAAGAAATTATAATCAAACTGTGCATTACTCCTTTTTTATGGTACTCATCCACCATTAATTTTGTGGTAATAATTCTAAACTTAAAGAGCATAGTAATTGGTAACTTAAGTATACTGTTAAAAAAATTAAGACAGTCTATATTACAGACTGTCTATAACTTATTATTACTATGCAACATTTTCAGAAAATGTAAAAAGAGAAAAGACAAAGAGAACCATATGACTTTAATGAGTCATCTCTGAAACTTTCCTGATGAAGTAAAAAAATGGTAGTGCTTCCCAAATACTTTGTGTTTTTTTATGGAAAGCATTAGTCTCAATAGAAAACTTCTTTATTGATTTATCTTTATTGGAACACAGAAATAGCATACCAGCAATAAAAGAAAAAAAATTCTATCAAATTAAAGACCGGATTTAACTCTTTAAATTGATTGTAAACTTTAGTGATTTGTATTCCAGTAAAAGTACTGATTGCTAGACAATTTGAAAACTTTTTCATTATTTCATAGGATATTTCTGCTGCTAGCTTTTTGTTTAATGAAGATTAAGTAGAAATGGGGGAAAATACACAATTCACATTTCTGAATCTAAAAATGTTCCAAGCATTACAAATTTGATTGCAGACTAAACTGCATAGTGATTTATTACACATACCTAGGATAAGGATTGAATTATAGTTGGATCCAGCATTGGATCTAACTTGCCACTCTTAAAATATTTTTCATGTGAGGCCAATTTCTTAACCTCAGTTTCTTCACTGACAATCTGACAATAGTGATAAAAATTGAGTCATATTTTCAAGGATTTTGTATGCTTGTTTACTTTGTTGAGATTTTTAAAACTTGAATGTTTTATAGATGAGAATGCATGGAATATGCAAAGCATTGGTCACAGAAGTTAGTAAGCATGTCATACCTGTATGTTGTAATTTATAAGGGCTTATTTAGACAAGGTAGGTTTGAGAGTATATTAGTTTCCTTGTGCTGCCATGATAAAACATCACAAATTGGGTGGCTTAAAACAACAGAAATATATTATGTCACAATTCTGAAAGCTAAAAATTCAAAGTAAAAGTGTTGGCAGGGCGGTGCTTCCTGTGAAGCCTGTAGAAGAGAAGATGTCCTTGCCTCTTGTTAGCTTCTGGTGGTTTGCCAGCAATCCTTTGCAGCTGCCTCACTTCAATTTCTTCTTCCATCGTGACATGGTACTCTCCTTTTGTTCATCTGTGTCTTTTCTGGTTGTTTTACAAGAACACCAGTCATCTTGGGCTAAGTGCTCACCCTACTACAGTACACCTCGTCTTAACTAATCACATCTGCAGAGATCCTGTTTCCAAATAAGTTATTTTACTGAGGTACTGGATTTTTTATTTCAACATACCTTTTTAGAGGACACAATTCAACCCCTAACATTAAGCATGGCGACCATTCACAGTGATTAAACTAATACTTTGGAAGAAACTAACAGGCTTTTTAGGATCAAATTATAGAAATAAACTGAAGATTCTGATGAAACTATTACAAAGCAACATTAAATTGCATGCCTAAAAGTATCTGACTAGTAAACTGAAAATTAAGAACCCAGTTTCCTGCGTTTGTGGCAAGTGTTCTTTTCGGAGATCTTCCCAGGTTATTCCATTTATCAACAATGATATCAACAATGATAAATGGAATAGTCAGCTAAACTTCATCCAGATGACTTCCATTGTTTTCTATCATTTAATGTATCAATTGTGTTTCTCAGGATAATGCACCTTTAGTTGATATTTTATATTAAATATGCTTTAGAACTTTAACAGTCCATAAAATTATTTATTTTGCTTTGTATTACACCTCTAAAGTTAAAAATATAACACAAGTCTTAGCTTTTCTACCTGTGAAATGAAGGAAATAATAATATATTCCCATTTTGTAGACTGAGGAAGGTTCAACAAAATTATACAAAGACAACTCAGTTAATAGGAAGTGTCCAAGTGTGTTTAAATAATGAGTATGTTGAGCATTTGCCTATGTTATATATGATATGCCTATAAAATTTTGTTTTAAAATATACATTTTATACTATAATCTATGTTTATGTATAATTACATACATTCCACCTCCTTTTTAATTTTATGTAAAAGATTGAGAAATAATTTATATAACATACAATTCATCCGTTTAAAGTGTATAACTCAATGGTTTTTAGTACATCCACAGAATTCTGCAACCATAATCTGATCAATTTTAGAACATTTAAATCACCATAGAAAGAAACCCAGCCTCTAGAAGCAATTACTTCCCATTTTTTCCCAACCTCCCTAGTTATAGTAAGCCAGTGATCTATAATAGGTCTCTATAAACTTGCCTATTCTGTGCATTTTATATAAATGGAATCAATAATATATATTCCTTTTTAACTGGCTTCTTTCACTTATACTGTTTTCAAGGTTTATCCTGGTATTACGTATGCATCAATATGCCATTCCTTTCTATGGTTGAAAAATATGATGCTGTATAGATCAACCTCATCTTTAAAATCCATTAACAATTGATGGACATCTTTCTCGTTTCCACTTTTTGGCTATCATAAAATATGTTGCTACGAACAATTTTTATATGGACATATTTTCATTTCCCTTAGGTGTATTCCTTGGAGTATAACTGAAGGTTTACTTGGTAATTCTATGTTTAACTTTTTTTGGAACTTCTGGACTATCTTCCAAAGCAACAGTACCATTGTACATTTTCACCAGCCACGTATGACAGTCACACTCTCTCCACATTCTTGCCAAAACTTGTTATCATTTTTCAAATAAAAGACAGCCTAGTGTGTATCTGAAAGATGTCTCATTGTGGTTTTTACTTGCATCCCCCTGATGACTAATGATGTTGAGAATTATTTCAGGTGCTTATTCCTCATTAATTTTTTTTGGAGAAACATCTATTTTCTTTGACCATTTTAATTGGTTTGTCTTGTTATTATTGATTTACACTTTTTCTTTATGTAGTTTAGATGTAAGTCCCTTATGAACTATATGATTTGCAATATATTCTTTGTTTCTCTAGGCTGTCTTTTCACTTCCTTGTTGACATCTTTCAAAGAACAAATGTTTTTATATTGACGTTGCACAATTTATACTTCTTTCTTTTGTCACTTGTGCTTTTAGTGTCATATCGAGATTGGCTTTGCCTGATTCAATGTTACCAAAATTAACTTCTACATTTTATCAAATGTTTCATAGATTTAGCTCTAAGATGTAAGTCTACAATCTGTTTCAAGTTAATATTTGTGCATGGCATGATGAGTAGCTCTGTTACGGATTGAATTGGGTCCTCGAAAAGCTATATTGAAGGCTTAGCTCCAAGTACTTAAGAATATGATCTTTATTGGAAATAGGGTCATTTCAGAAGTAATTAGTTAGGGTAAACCCTAAATCCAATAGATTTGAGTCCTTCTAAAAAGAAGAAAACCTCATGTGAAGCCAAAGGCACACAGAGAGCATGACATGTGATGACAGAGACAGAGAACTGAGGGATGCAGCTGCAAGCCAACGATTTCAAAATATTATTTGCCATTACCAGAAGCTAGGAAGAGGCAAGGCATAATTCAATTCATAATCTCAGAGGAAGGATGGCTGTGCTAGCACCTTGATTTCTGATTTCTTTCCTGCAGAACTTTTACACAACACACTTTATATTGTTTTAAGCTAAACAATTTGTGGTATATTTTTAGAGCCGCCATAGAAATTGAATACAGATTTTGGTACTGGAGTTGAAGCTCTAGTGTAACAAATACCTAAAAATGTGGAAGTGTCTTTGGGACTGGATATTGGATAGAGGCTGAAAGAATTTTGAGATACTTGATAGCAAAAGCCTTGAAGAGATTGCTGGAGGAAACGTGGACTTTATAGGTGATTCTGGTGATGGCTCAGAAAGAAGTAGGAAGTAGGGAAGTTGTACAGAAAGCTTCTATCATCTTAGAGAATACAACAACAGACTTGCTTGAATTATGAATGTCAAAGGTACTTCTGAAGAAGTCTCAGATGGAAATAGGAACATGTTGTTGGAAAGCGAAAGAGCTATTTTTATTATAAAGTAGCATAGAACTTGACTAAATTGTGTTTCTGTTCAGTGATGCAAAGTAGAACTTGTAAGTCATAAGCTTGAATAGTTAGCTGAGGAGATTTCCAATCTAAAAGTGGAAGGCATGGCCTGGTTTTGCTGCTTATAGTAGAATGTGACAGGAAATAGATAAAGTGAGAAAAGAAAACAAAAGAAAAAATAAACCAGAACCATTTATATAGGTCCTCTTCAATTAATTTCAACAATGTTTTCTTTTTTGTTGTTTGTATTTATCATTTTTTACATTTTAGATTCAGGGAGTACATATTTTTTTTTGTTGTTAGTTAGGGATTACATGGATAATGGTAAAGATTGGGTTTCTACTATACCTATCAACCAAATCCTGAGCATTGTACCCAATAGGTATTTTTTCAAATTCTCATTTCCCTTCTCACCCTTCCCCCAGTTGGAGTCTCCAGAGTCTACTCTCTCCATCTTTATGTCCATGTGTACCCATTACTTAGCTCCCACCTATACGTGAGAACATGCAATATTTGATTTTCTGTTTCTGAATTAGTTCACTTAGGATAATGGCATCCAGTTCCATCCATATTGTAGCAAAGGATATGATTTCATTCTTTTTTATGGCTACATGGTGTTCTGTGGTGTGTACATATACTAATATTTCTTTACCCAATCAACTACTTGTGGGCACTTAGGTTGGTTTCACAAATTTGCTAATGTAAACAGTGCTGCAATAAGCATACCAATGCGGGTGAATTTTTAATAAAAGTTTTTATTTTATTTTTCCTTTTTTTGAGACAGGGTCTCACTCTGTCACTCAGGCTGGAGTGCAGTGGCATGATCACAATTCACTGCATCCTCAATCCCAGGGAGCAAGCTATCCCTCTCAGCTCAGCTCCCAAGTAGCTGAGACTACAGGAGCATGCCACCACACCCTGCTAACGGGTGTCTTTTTTATACATAATGATTAATTTTTCTTTGGGTACAAACCCAGTAATGAGAATCCTAGGTTAAATGGTAATTTTATTTTTAGTTATTTGAGATATATTTATGCTGTTCGCCACAGAGATTGAACTAATTTACATTCTCACCAACAGTGTATGAGCATTCTATTTACTCCACAACCATGCCAATACCTTTTTTTTTTTTTTTGCCTTTTTTATAAAACCCATTCCGACTGGTGTAAAATGGTATGTCGTTGTGGTTTAAATTTGCATTTCTCTGATGATCAGTGATGTTGAGCATTTTTTTTTCATTTTTCTTGGCCACTTGTATTTCTTCTTTTTTTTTTTTTGAGAAAAATCTGATTATGTCCTTTGCCCAATTTTTAATGGGGTTGCTCATTTTTTTCCTTTTAGTTTGAGTTCCTTCTAGATTCTGAATATCCATCAATTGTCAGAGGCATAATTTGCAAATGTTTTCTCCTATCCTATAGGTTATCTGCTTATTCTTTTGGTTATTTCTTTTGCTGTGCAGAAGCTTTTTACTTTAATTAAGTCTCATTTATCTATTTTTTGTTTTGTTGCATTTGCTTTTTTGGGTCTTTGTCATTAATTCTTTGCCTAGGTCAATGTCCAGAAGTATTTTCCCTAGGTTTTCTCCTATGATGTTGATAGTGTCAGCTCTTATGTTTAGGCCTTTAATCCATCTTCAGTTAATTTTTGTATGTGGTGACAGGCAGAGGTCCAGTTTCATTCTTCTTCATATGGTTAGCCAGTTTTCTGAGCACCGTTTATTAAATAGGGTGTTCTTTCCACATTTTTTTGTTGACTTTATTAAAGATTGGTTGGTTGTATGTCTGTGGCTTTATTTCTGGGTTCTGTATGCTGTTCCACTGATGTATGTGTCTATTTTTTACCAGGACCATGCTGTTTTAGTTACTATAGATTTGTAGTATAATTTGAAGTCAGGCAATGTGATGCCACTGAATTTGTTCTTTTTGCTTAGAAGTGCTTTGGCTATTTGGCCTATTTTTTTTTTCTTTTGGTTCCATATGAACTTTAGGATCGCTTTTTCTAATCTATGAAAAATGATACTGGTAATTTGCCAGGAATTGTGTTGAATCTGTAGATCTATTTGGGTTATGTGGTCATTTTAATGATATTGACTTTTCCAATGCATGAACTTGGAATGTTTTTCCAACTGTATCATCTGTGATTTCTTTTATCAGTGTTTTGTAGTTCTCCTAGCAGAGATCTTTCACCTCCTTGGTTAAATGTATTCCTGAGTATTGTATATATGTTTTTGTGGTTATTGTAAATGGGATTGAGTTCTTAATTTTGTTTTCAGTCTGAATATTTTTGGTGTATAAAAATGCCACTGATTTTTACATGTTGATTTTGTATCCTGTGACTTTACTGAAACTGCTTAAGTCTGGAAGTCTTCTAAAGGAGTCTTTGGGGTTTTCTAGACATGCAATTATATAATCAGAGAACAGAAGTAATTTGACTTTGATTTTTTTTTCCAATTTGTGTGCCTTTTATTTTTTTTTCTTTTGACTGATTGCTTCGGCTGGGACTTCCAGTTCTATGATGAATAAGAGTAGCAACAGTGGACCTGTCTTGTTCCAATTCTTAGGAGAAATTTGTTTATTTTTCCCCATTCAGTATGATGTGCACTGTGGGTTTGTTATATATGGCTCTTATTACTTTGAGGTAGGTTCCGTCTATGTCTCACTAGTTGAGGGTTTTTATCATGAAGGGATAATGAATTTTATCAGATGCTTTTTTTACATCTATTGAGATGATCTTATGGTTTTTGTTCTTAGTTCTGTTTATGTGGTGGGTCATGTTTATTTATTATTTTCAGATGTTAAACCATCTTTGCATCCCTGGAATAATGATGAATTATATTGTTAATGTACTGTTGGATTTGGTTTGCTATTATTTTGTTGAGGATTTTTGCATCTATGTCCATCAGGGATGTTGGTCTGTAGTTTTCTTTTTGTGTGGTGGCTTTCCTTGATTTTTTATCAGAGTAATATTAGATATGTAGAATGAGTTAGAGAGGGATCTGTCCTCCTTGCTTTTTTGAAATAGCTTAAGATTGGCACAAGCTCTTCTTTGTATGTCTCATAAATTTTGACTGTGAATCCATCTTGTCCTGAGTTTTTTTGGTGAGAAGATTTTGTATTGTGGATTTGATTTCATTACTTATTACTGGTCCATTTAGGGTTTCTGTTTCCTCCTGGTTCAATCTTGTGAGGTTGTATGTTTTGAGAAATTTGTCCATTTCCTCTATATTTTCTAGTTTTTGTGCATAGAGGTGTCCATAGTAGTCTCTGGTGGTCTTTTGTATTTCTCTGATATCAATTGTGATGCCACCTTTAAACTTTCTTATTTTGCTTAATCGAATTTTCTATCTTGTTTTCTTGGTTAATCTAGCTAGTGATCTGTTAATTTTGGTATGATTTCAAAGAACCAACTTTTTTATTTCATTGATCACCTTTATCATTTTTCCCTAATCTCATTTAATTCGCTCTGATGTTTGTGATTTCTTTTCTTCTTCTATCTTTAGGTTTGTTTTTTTCTTGTTTTTCTAATTTCTTGAGATGTGATTTTTGTATAATTTTGACGTAGGCATTTTTAGTGCAATAAACTTTTCTCTTAGAAGTGCTTTTGCTGTATGTCAGAGGTTTTGGTATGTTGTATCTTTATTTTCATTTGTTTAAAATAACTTCTTTCATTTCTGTTTTAATTTTATTGTTGACCCAAAAGTCATTCAGAAGCAAGTTGTTTAGTCTCCATGTTCTTGTGTAGTTTTGAGACTTCCTTTTAGTATTGATCAATAATTTTATTTCACTGTGGTCTGAGAAGGTTCTTGATACAATTTTAATTTTTAAGAATTTTATTCAGAATTGCTTTATGGCCAAGCATATTGTCTATTTTGGAGAATGTTTTGTGTGCAGATGAGGAGAATGCTGTGGGGTGGAATGTTCATTAAATGTCTATTAGGGCTATTTGGTCTGTAGTCCAGTTTAAGTCCAGAGCTTCTTTGTTAACTTTCTGTGTCAATGATCTGTCCAGTGATGTCAGTGGCATGTTGAAGTCCTGCACTACAGTTTTATTGCTATTATTCTGTTTTCTTGGGCCTAGTAGTATTTGTTTTGTTAATCTTGGTTCTCCAGTATTGGGTGCATATATATTTAGGATAGTTAAAACTTTTTTTATATTCAATCCTTTATCATTATATAATATCCTTCTTTGTCTTTTTTCTTTTTATTTTTTTTTCTGCTGTTGGTTTAGAGTTTATTTTATCTGATATGAGAATGACTACTCCTGCTTGCTTTTGTTTTCAATTGGTGTAGAATTTATTTTTCCACCCTTTTAGTTTGAGTCTGAATGTGTATTTAGCAAGTAGATGAGTCTTTTATAGACATCAGATTATTGAGTGTTGTATTTCTATCCAATTTTCTACTCTGCCTTTTAATTAGGCATTTAGGACATTTACATTCAAGGTTAATGTTGATATGTGAGGTTCTATTTCTGACATAGAGTTGTTAGCTAGTTTGTTTTGGAACTTTGATTTCGTAGTTGATTTATGGGATCTCTGAATTTTGTACTTATGTATCCTTTTCTGGTAGCCAGTATCATCCTTTAATTTTCATGTTTAGAACTCCTGTGAGCATTTTTTTGTAGGTCTAGTTTAGTGTGACAAATTCTTTCAGTCATTGCTTGTCTGGGAAATATGTTATTTTTCCTTCATTTGTGAAGCCTGGTTTGGCAGAATATAAAATGCTTGGCTGGCTAAGAATCTAAGGAGGCTGAAAACAGGGCTCCAACCAATCTTTTCTGGCTTGTAGGGTTTCTAATGAGAAGTCTGTTATGAGTCTGATTGGTTTGCCTTTATAGGTAATTTGACCCTTTTCTCTAGCTGCATTTAAAATGTTTTTAAATCTTGACCTTGGATAGTATGATGACTATATGCTTTGGTGATTTTCATTTTATATAGTATCTCATAGGCGTTCTCTGGATTTTTCTTATCTGAATGTTCACCTGTTTAAGAAGATTAGAAAAAATTTATTGAATTATTTCCTCAAATGTTTTCCAGGTTCCTTACTTTTTATTCTCTCTCAGGAGTCCCAATAAGTTGTAAGTTTGGTTGCTTTGCATATCCCATATTCCTTGAAGGCTTTGTTCATTTTTTGAAATTATGTTTCTTTATTTTTGTGAGACTGGGTTAGTTCAAAAGACTTGTCTTCAAGCTCTGAGTTTCTTCTGCTTCGTCTAGTCTATTAGTAAAGCTTTCCATTGTATTTGGAAATTTCTTGAGTGAAGTTTTCATTTCCAGAAGTTCTGATTGATTTCTTAAAATATTCATCTCTTCCTTCATTTCCTGGATTGCTTTCTTAATTTGATTTTGTTGATTTTCAACCTTGTCTTGGGTCTTCCTGAGCTTTTTTGCACTCCATACTCCAAATTCTTAATCTGTCATTTCTGAGTTTCGATTTTATTTAGGGCCTACTGCTAGAGATGTAGTGTAATCCTTTGGAGATGACACAATATTCAGATTTTTCTTGGTGCTCAAATTCTTAAGCTGATCCCTTCTCATGCAGAGAGCCTGACACTTCTTATTTTTGAAATTATTTTTGTTCAGATAAGATGTTTTATTTTCCTTTTTTTGTTCTTATTCTTTCCCCACCCTCCCAAGGGAGTATGATTGCAGAATATGTTGGATACGGTCATTTGGGTTTATTTCTATTGTCCTGTGCATTTCTTCAGGCAAGTTTTATATTGGGCTGTGAGGCTGGACCTGCAGACCAGTAGGTGGCACGTATGGGTAGGTTCTAGCTGTGACTCAAGCCAATGTGTTCTTAATCTTTGTTAACTGTGAGGGGCTCTCTGTTGTTAGGTGACGGGATGGACAGTGGAGTGCTCAGTGCCCTCAGCTTCCTTTTCATTGGGGGTGGGTGAGGCGCAGCTTGGCAGAGTTACACCCACTGGCTTGCTCACAGACATCCAGTGATGAGCACAGGCACCAGCCCCAACAGCGGAGGGAGCTCCTTGTGAGGTAAGCTGAGGTCTCTACGAAGGGAAAGAGGGCTACACTGGCTCCACATCCTAGAAGGGCAGGAACATGATCTGTTTCCCTACCACATCCCTGTCCCAGGGCTTGTCACTCTTAGTTCAGATGCACACTGCAGTCTTTCTACAGACCACAGTGTTACTGAGAGCCACAGAAAACACCTGTTTTGTGATTCTCCGTGGAAGTGGTATTGGGGTGGAACTTCTTCACTCAGCCTCATACAAACAGCTTTATGGCTTGCCTGTTCTCTGACATGGTAACACTGCTGTGTACTGTGGTGGGTGGGGGGAGGGCTCCAACTATCAGCCCATGTGGGTAGGTGTTAGTTGTGGTTGCATCAGCTGGTTGTGTTGGCCTGACCTCAGGCCCTGGGGAATGTGGTTAGGTGCTAGTAATGTTGGACCAAGCTAGGTAGTTCCCTAGTTCTTAGGCCACTAGATGTCCCACTGGATGACATACTCAAGTCCTGAAGGGGTTGGACTGGGGTAGGGCTAACCCAGAGTTCAGTTGCTGGCTGCGATGGGAGGGGCAGACTGGTTCCTATGTCACTGGCAGAACTCTCAGGTAGGGGCAGGCAGAATACTCAGGCAGTGGGAGGCCAAGGTAAAATCAAAGGTCTGTGGGGGTTGGACTCTCAGAAGGGCTCTGGGCTGCAGTTGAAATGTTCAGGCCAGGGCAGGGCAGCTGCACTGTGTGGATCTTTCACTGGGGAAGGCGGGTCACCTTAACTGGACCAATGGAGACTGCAGCTGTGTGGCAAATGACATGCTCAGGTTTCCCTCCTACTGAAGTGGCACCGGATTTTGCTGTTGGGGGAATGCAAAAGGGTCAGGCTTCTTCACTCTCTCCATGACTCAGGGGTGGTAGGAACAGAGGCAGTGACTGCTGGGAATTGAACTCACAGAAGAAAGCTGAATCATGGCTCTAGTGCTCAGGCCGGGGCAGGATGGCTGAGTTGGGAACCTGTCACCAAAGCCAGCAGCCTCATTTGGCAGAGTAAGGGAGGCAGGAAGTCATGGAGTACATAGTCTGCCTTCTGCTCCTCTACACCTAGGCTGTGGTTATATGCATGTGCTGAAGACACATTTAAGTGGTTTAAGTATTCAACCTCCTTGTACCCTCCTGGACTGGTGGCAGAAACAGTGGTGCGGGTGGCTATCACAAAGGGCTTGCCAGTGACCTCTGAGAGTTGGGCTGTCCAAGGAATGTAGAGCTATGGCTGCCATGTTCAGGCAGTAGTGGGGCTGGTGTGCTGGGTGTCAGAAGCCTGCAGGCCTCATATGGCAGGAAGCAGCAGAGGCCTGGCGCTGTGGTCACGCAGTCTGCCTACTGCTTCTCCATACTTGGCTGTGATATCTGTACTGTAAGCACAGGCAAGCACCCAGGTTCCCCTTTACCTCCTTGGCCCACTGCATCAGGACAGAGACTACAACCATTGCAAAAGGCTTGTCAGTTACCACTGGGATTTATGAACTCAGAGGAAAGAAGCCACAGTGGGGATGGAGCACGTACACTGGGTGCCTAAGCAAGCAAGCAAGCATCATTTGGCGGGGAGCAGCAGAGATAGAGAGTCACATGATATGTAGTCTGGCTGCTCCTCCATACCATGGTTGCAGGATCTGTCCTAGGGGTGCATAAAATGCCTGGCCTCTCTTTAAAGAAAGGCTGCAGCAGCTAACACTGGGCTGTTCAGGGATCAAAAGGCTGTGGGATTCCCTGTTTGGCTAGTAGTGCCTTTGCACAGTGCCTTTGCTCTGATTTATTATTTAGAGTAGTTACTGATTTTGACAAAGTTGTGATAGTCTTAGTTTTATGTTTTTGATTTACTTCATTCAATTGTGATAGGAGAATGTACTTTGCATGCTTTTAATCCATTAGTATTTATTGAAATGTTTTTATGGCCAAACCTGTGTTCTATCCTGAAGACTATCCCATGTGTACTTGAGACAAAATTATATTCTGCTGTCCTTGGGTTAACTGTCTATAGTTATCTTTTGGGACCAGTTGATTTACACAGTTGTTTGCATTTTCCATTCTCTTATTGATCTGACCAGGTATTATATCCATTATTGAAAGTATAGTATTTTAGTCCTCAACTATTATTTCTGAATTGCCAATTTCTCTGTTTTTCTTATGTGAGGTTTATTTAAGATATTTTGGGACTCTTATTAAGTGTATATATATTTACAATTACTCTATAATCTTGTGGAAGACCTTTTCATTAAGTGTCCCTCTTTATTTGTAGGAACATTGTTTGCTTTCAAGTCTATTTTTTTCTGATATTTATATAACCAATTAATAGGGATTTTAGTTTCCTTATTCTTGAGGTTTCCATGATATATACTCTTTCTTTTTGTGTGTTCAACTTGTATTTCTTAATCAAAAATTCGTATTTTGTAGAGAGTATATATCAAAACTTTTATTTAAATTTAGACTGACAATTTCTGACTTTTTATTAGCGTGTTAACTCATTCATATTTATGGTCATTATTTATACAATTAGATTAATATTTGCCATTTTAGTTTGCTTTATTCATGCTGCATGTCTCTTTTCTTCCCTCTATTGTTCTTTTACTGCCTTCAATTGAATTAACTGAACATTTTTTATTTTAACATTTAAAATTTTTTTTATTATACTTTAAGTTTTAGGGTATATGTGCACAACGAGCAGGTTTGTTACATATATATATACATGTGCTATGTTGGTGTGCTGCACCCATTAACTCGTTATTTAACATTAGTTATATCTCCTAATGCAATCCCTCCCCCCTCCCCTCACCCCACAACAGGCCCCGGTGTGTGATGTTCCCCATCCTGTGTCCATGTGCTCTCATTGTTCAATTCCAACCTATGAGTGAGAACATGCAGTGTTTGGTTTTTTGTCCTTGCAACAGTTTGCTGAGAATGATGGTTTCCAGCTTCATCCATGTCCCTACAAAGGACATGAACTCATCTTTTTTATGGCTGCATAGTATTCCATGGTGTATATGCACCACATTTTCTTAATCCAGTCTATCATTGTTGGACATTTGGGTTGGTTCCAAGTCTTTCCTATTGTGAATAGTGCCACAATAAACATACGTGTGCATGTGTCTTTATAGCAGCATGATTTATAATCCTTTGGGTACATACTCAATAATGGGATGGCTGGGTCAAATGGTATTTCTAGTTCTAGATCCCTGAGGAATCGCCACACTGACTTCCACAATAGTTGAACTAGTTTACAGTCCCACCAACAGTGTAAAAGTGTTCCTATTTCTCCACATCCTCTCCAGCACCTGTTGTTTCCTGACATTTTAATGATCGCCATTCTAACTGGTGTGAGATGGTATCTCATTGTGGTTTTGATTTGCATTTCTCTGATGGCCAGTGATGATGAGCATTTTCTCATGTGTCTGTTGGCTGCATAAATATCTTCTTTTGAGAAGTGTCTCTTCATATCCTTTGCCCACTTGTTGATGGGGTTGTTTTTTTCTTGTAAATTTGTTTGAGTTCATTGTAGATTCTGGATATTAGCCCTTTGTCAGATAAGTAGATTGCAAAAATTTTCTCCCATTTTGTAGGTTGCCTGTTCACTCTGATGGTAGTTTCTTTTGCTGTGCAGAAGCTCTTTAGTTTAATTAGATCCCATTTGTCAATTTTGACTTTTGTTGCCATTGCTTTTGGTGTTTTAGACATGAAGTCCTTGCCCATGCCTATGTCCTGAATGGTATTGCCTAGGTTTTCTTCTAGGGTTTTTATGGTTTTAGGTCTTACATTTTAATCTTTAACCCATCTTGAATTAATTTTAGTATAAGGTGTAAGGAAGGGATCCAGTTTCAGCTTTCTACATATGGCTAGCCAGTTTTCCCAGCACAATTTATTAAATAGGGAATCCTTTCCCCATTGCTTGTTTTTGTCAGGTTTGTCAAAGATCAGATAGTTGTGGCATTATTTCTGAGGGCTCTGTTCTGTTTCATTGGTCTATTTCTCTGTTTTGGTACCAGTACCATGCTGTTTTGGTTACTGTAGCCTTGTAGTATAGTTTGAAGTCAGGTGGTGTGGTGCCTCCAGCTTTGTTCTTTTGGCTTAGGGTTATCTTGGCAATGCAGGCTCTTTTTTGGTGCCATATGACATTTAAAGTAGTTTTTTCCAATTCTGTGAAGAAAGTCATTGGTAGCTTAATGCGGATGGCATTGACTCTATAAATTACCTTGGGCAGTATGGCCATTTTCTTACTTCAATACAGCTTTGTCTCTTCTCACCTCATTTGTGCAATTATTGTAAATTATATTACATTTATATATGTTATGGTTCTAACAATGTGATTATGCACATCTTATGTACAATTGTTTTAAATATCTGCTAAGAAAAGAAATGTATGTTTAGCATTTATAATTCCATAAATACCTTGAATAATGTTTTTACATAGTTTGAATAGACACTCTATTATCTCTTATCTATTTATTTTATTTTTATTTATTTATTTTTTTTAGACGGAGTCTTGCTCTGTCACCCAGGCTGGAGTGCAGTGGCACAATCTCCGCTCACTGCAAGCTCCACCTCTAGGGTTCATGCCATTCTCCTGCCTCAGTCTCCTGAGTAGCTGGGACTACAGGCACCCGCCACCACATCTGGCTAATTTTTTTGTAATTTTAGTAGAGACGGGGTTTCACTGTGTAAGCCAGGATGGTCTCAATCTCCTGACCTCGTGATCTGACCGCCTAAGACTCCCAAAGTGCTGGGATTACAGGCATGAACTACCGTGCCCGGGCTATTATCTCTTATTTTAAACATGTATAACATTTTTAATTATTTGTGGTAAGACAGGACTACTAGAAATAAACTTCCCCTTTATTTATTTATTTATTTTTTGACTGTCTTTAGTTTGCCTTCATTTTTGACAGATCATTTTGTTGAATATAAGATTTCTGGTTCACAATGTATTATATTTTACTCCGTTATCTATGTCATCCTATTGCCCTCAGGCTTTCATTGCTTCTAATTAAAAGTCAGCTGTCAATTTTATTGGGTTTTCTATCCTCATAGTGAGCCATTTTTTTCTGTTGCTGCTTTCAAGGATTGTTGTCTTTTATCATTTTTTCAATGATATATCTGGTTTTCTATCCATTTGTATTTACCCTTCTTTGTGCTATTTGAGCATTATATGCACATATTCATGTTTTTAAATCAAATTTAAGAAGTGTTCAGCCATTATTTCTTAAATATTTTTTCACTCCTTTCTCCCTTCTCTTCTCTTGGTACGCTTATTACTTCAAATGTTGGTGTACAAAATTTTGTCTCACAGGTCCGTAAAGAACACTTTTTAAAATTCTTTTTTTCTGTTTTCTTTTTTTAATTTTAGATTGGAAAATCTTCATTGACCTATACTTTCTGCTAAAAATAATTCCCTCACTTTTATTCATCTGAAAAATGCTTGAGAAGAAATTAATGTTTCTTATCTTTATTTTTCAAACATAGTTTTCAACCAAGATTCTTGGTTGATTTTTTTTCCTTCACCACTTTGAATATGTCAACTCACTTCCTTCTGGCACTCATTTTATCTGATGAAAAATTAGCTTTTAATCTTATTGAGGTTGTATTGCACACAGTCCCTTTCGTGAAGCTTCCAAAATTTTTAAAAATTTATCTTTCAATATATTTGCTATGATATGTTTGGGTGTGAATTTCTTTATTTTTGTGCTAATCCTATGTATTCCACTTTTTGGAAGTTAACAGTTGTGTCAAATTTGGGAAATTTTTGGTCATTAATTCTACAAATTTTTGGTTGCTTTTTCTCTGTCTCCTCTGTTGTTCTCATTTCATATATGCTGTTGCTTCGAATTATACTCATATTTATCTAAGTCTTTGCTCATTTTTCCTTTTCTGTTATTTGCATTGCATTATGTCTATTGACTTATCGTCTAGTTTCCTAATTCTTTCTTTACTAATTCAAATCTGTTGAATCCCTCGAGTGAATTTTTCATTTCAATTGTTGCAATTTTCAACTCTGAAATTTTAATTTTGTTATTTTAAAAAATATATGCATTGATATTTTATATTTAATATGACATTATTATTTTACCTTTCCTTAACTTTATAAACACATATAGGTGTCTGTATATATACCTATATAGATACCTACATATACTTCAATACTATATATAATACCTATATATATTTATACTATACACAATATATATACTATATATAATACCTATATATGTTTATAAAGATAATGGAAGTATAATAATATAATTATATATGTATATAATAATGATATAACTATGCATATACATATATCTATATATAGGCATTTTTTATTGCCTACTTTTTTCACCATATCTACACATCACATTTTCTTTTATCTGAAGGTCTTAAAATTAATAGTAAAAAACTGGACATTTTAGATAACATATTTTGTTAACTCTGAATATTGATTTTCCTCCCTGCCCATTCCTGGGCTTCTTATAGTTGTTGTTTGCTTATTTGTTTATTGACTTGACTGTAATATTTTAATGAAGTGTATTTCCTTCATAATGTGAAGCCTCTGATGGTGCTTCTCATAGTGCACAGCCTTGAGCTTGTGCACAGTTACTCTGGGACTATACAGATTTTATAATTATTCCTAATTGACTCCTTCTCAAATTTCTCCAATTAGCTCTCTGCCACTTTTGGTTTCATATCCAGCTTTTAGCCTCCATTAATTGCTGAATGATTGCTCTGTTGTTTTTGACTCTTCTGGGGCATAAATTTCTCTAAATCCAAACCAACTAAATTGGGTATTTCTTACATTAGTAGTTTTAGAGACCTATCTATGATTTTTTTTTTTCTTCTGACCCTTGGAGACTTCATAGCTGTGTATCTCCCTGATTCTTCTGGTAACCTAGTTGGCCTAATAGTTTCTCTCATTTAACTTTCCAGACTTTTCTTAATTGCTCATCACCAAAACCTTTATTGCTTTTAAGAATTCCTTTGGGGTTAAATATCCCAACTTTCTGTTTAAAACAAAAAAGTCTGCTCTCTTATCTTTGGAATTATCTGTTTTAATGGCTTGACTCTTTCCATTAAAAAAAAATAAGCAAATGAGCTACTGATCTGAAGCTAAGGTCAAGAACAGAGTCCCACTTCTCTTAGAGTGACACATGTGGCACATAAACGGGGGCTGGGCAAAGTGGTGGTCTCTGGTATTCCTGACTTGCCTCTTCCAGAGTAAATTCTCCAACTGATAAATGAATTAAAGTGATGTCAATCAAATACCAATTTTACTCCTCCAAGCTAGAGTAGAGCCTTTGCTATATGTTTTAGTATGAGAGAGGAAAGGTGTTTTAGAGCTTTTGGCTTTGCTTGCCTGGAATTTAACCTGTGGGACACAGAGCTGAGGTGGATGAGAAATGTTAGTGACCTGCCCCTCCAAGTGTTAATTATTAGCCCATTACTAGATGTTGGGGATAAAGGGCACAACATTTTATTGTTCACACACCTAACTGGAGTAGAGCTTCTGCCACTTTGAGGTGGGATTGAGAGAGGGACTTCTTGTGGCTCAAGTCCCACAGATGCTTGCTCTCTTTACAAGGCTTAATATATTTTTGAAGTAAATGTTTCTTCATTTACTGTATGACTTCAGAATAGTTTCTAGAGATTTTAAATGGCTGTCTTTTATATCATTTTCACTTTCTATGGTTGTTTCACTAATGAGAAGTTTCATAAAATTTTCCATACCACCATTCCAGAGGTGGATTCAGCTTTAATGCATTTCTTAAAAGTCTACACTAAATAGGGAATTTTATCTAACATATTTCAACTTTGTACTTGTTTTTTCAAAACTAAGGCTGTCAAATTAACTCAAATTTAAAATTGAAATAAAAGATTGTCAAATTTTTTATCAGAAATTATCAAAAGAATTACACTATGGACTGAATGTTTGTGTTCCCCCTTAAATTTATGTTGAAACCCCAATCCCCAGAGGGATGGGATGGTATTGGATATGGGATCTTTAGAAGGAAAATTAATTTATGAAGGTTGAACCCTCATGATAGAATTAGTACTCCTCACCCTCTCTCTTTCTCTCTCTCTCTCCCCTTCCCTCCCTCCCTCCTTCCCTCTCTCTCTTTCTGTCTTTGCTCTTCACTATGTGAAGACACGGCAAAAAGATGGCCATATACAAACCAAGAAAAAGCAGAGGGCTCTTATCAGAACCTGACCGTAGTGGCACCCTGATCTCAGAAATCTCAGCCTTCAGAACCGGAAGAAATAAAATGGTATTGTTTAAGCCACTATGTGTATGGTAATTTGTTATAGCAGCCCTAACTGAGACAAATGGAAATAGAGTGGAGTAGCTAAAGGCAGTCCAATAATTTTACTGAAAACTATTAGAAAATTCAGACGGCTTCTAAAAGCTATCTGTTTTAAGGCATCAGTTACCTGTTGAAGCAACAAAGCCTAAGGTTGCTGAGTTTTGAGAGAGTAAAAGAAATAAGAGAAGTGAAGTGCTGGGGTTCTTTAATTTGGTCATTTGCTGATTTTATAGGATCAACATCTTGTCTAGACAGAGAAATATTGATGGAGATCAGAAAATTTATTAGAGTATTTGAAGGTCTTGTGGGACTGGAGAGACAACGTTGGACACTTAAGTGGAAAATCTGACACATAACAGAACTGAGACTATCATTGTATTTTTTAAAAATAGTGGTTTTTGACAAACTGCAAAGGTTGCACAGTGGAGAAAAAAGTTTTTTCAACAAATGGTTCTGAATCGATGAAATATCTATATATGTTTTTAAAGTGAGCTTGAATCCATAACATTGTACCACATAAAACATTAAAGCAAGATGTGTCATAAACATAAAAGTAACTCATAATTATACATTTTCTAAGAGAAAATATGGTAAAAATGTATTTTTGTTAGGTAAAGAAATAGATAGTATGATAAAAGCATGAGCGTACAAGTGAATAAGTTAGACTTTATCAAAGTAAAAACTTCTGCTCTTTCAAAGACATGCATGAGGAGAATAATAAGAAAAGCCACACCTTAGAAAAAAAATTTCAAAATATATCTTATTACAAACTGATATTCAAAATTTAAAAACAGCTTTATAAACTCAATAAAAAGAAAACAAATTATTTTAAAATTGAGTAAAATATTTGAATAAACTCTTTACCATAAAGACAGGTGGATGGCAAATAAGCCATTAATAGATGCTGAGTCATTACAGAAATACACATTAAACACAAAGTGAGATAGTACTGCACACATATTAGAGAAGCTAAAAGTTAAAAGACTGTTGATATTAGGTTGTAATAAGGTGAAGAAAATTGGAACTCATACACTTCATGTGGGAATGTGAAGTGGTAAAAGCACTTTTGAAAAGCAATGTTTTGTGTTTGACACAAAAAGTGATAATAATTTTAAAAACAGACTATATTAAGATTATAATTTCTTTTCACCTAAAGATACACCAGTTAGACAATGAAATGGAAAACCACAAAATAGTAGAAGATATTTGCAATAAATATACCTGATAAAGATATTATATTGAAAAAATATAGAGGTCCTACAAATCAATAAGAAAAAGCCAAATACAAAAATGTGCAAGTGACTTACACAGAAATGTTATACCAGACATCAAAAAGGAAAAAAAAATTCACTACTTCGTCATTATACAAATTCATAACATAATGCCAACATATACTCCCAGAATGGCAAAAATGAAAAAGAAGGCAGTTACTATAATTTTTCAGTGGGAATGTAGAACAACTAGAGCTAACATAATGTGTTGACTGAAAAGCAAAGTGTTTTACAACCTTTGGGAAAATTCATTTTTTTAAAATTTTAAAGCCAAACATAACTCTTAGGCATATATCCATATGTATATATGTTTGGCTGGGCGTGGTTGCTCACGCTTGTAATACCAGCACTTTGGGAGGCTGAGGTGGGCGGATCACGAGGTCAGGAGTTCGAGACCATCCTGGCTAACACGGTTCCTGGCTAACACGGTGAAACCCCGTCTCTAGTAAAAATACAAAAAAATTAGCCAGCCTTGGTGGCGGGCGCCTGTAGTTCCAGCTACTCAGGAGGCTGAGGCCCGAGAATGGTGTGGACACGGGAGGCAAAGCTTGCAGTGAACCAAATTCATCAAAAAGGAGATCATACTGGGTAACCTTAATCAGATGAGCTCTTTAAAAGAGAATCCAGACATTCCCTGTAGAGAAAGATTTGAAAGTAGAGTTTCTCCCACTGCCCTAGAAGAAACCAGTAACAATACTGTGAACTCCCTATGAAGGGGGCCATGGTACAAGCAACTGAAGGAGGCCTCTAGAAAGTACGAGTGATCTCCAGTGGACAGCCAATCAATAAACAATAACTTTAGTCCTACAACCACGTGAAAGAGGACTCTGAGCTGCAAATGGAATGCAGCCATGACTAAAGCATTGCTTGTAACCTGGTGAGATTCTGAGTAGTGGATCAAACTAACTATACCCAAACTCCCAACACATAGTGATTATGAGATAATGAATTTGTCTTATTTAACATCAATTAGTTTATTGTAATTTGTTACACAGAAATAAAAAATGAATACAGAAAGTT
This sequence comes from Homo sapiens, assembly GCF_000001405.40. NCBI lineage: Eukaryota > Metazoa > Chordata > Mammalia > Primates > Hominidae > Homo > Homo sapiens. The sequence continues at coordinate 73,337,504 of NC_000001.11, forward strand.
AGGATAATGCTTCCATTTGGTGAGTGGGAGGGGATTACTGGGAAAGAAATCTAGTGGAGCTTCTGAAATGCTAGTAATGTTCTATTTCTTGAGTTTGGTATTATATAAATAAATATTGACTTTGTAGAAATCCATCAACTAGATACTTTTAATATATACAGTCTTAGGTATGCTCTATATTAATCTCTAAAAAAGAGATATATAAAGAAAAAATGAAAACAGAATGAACCATCAATATATATTGCATTGTTTTATCTGCAGAATAATTTTAATACACATATGAATAAAACTACACATTCAATAATTTCATAAATGTAGTTTTAATAGTTCTTAAAATGGCTATATTTCTCAATTAGTCTTTTCCTAAAGGTTTTCAGTCCTGCTATAATTTTTCTCTTTTTTCAGTCCTGTTTCAATTTGTATTCCATTTTTTCTTCCAAATATGGCAAAAAATAAGACAAATAAGTAATAAAACTACAGCTAATTTTTTAATAAAATATCACCACTCCTGTGATTAAAATACACTGTATATTTATATATTTTAAGTACCAATTAACACTATTGCCTTTCCATTTCAACTTTGCCAACAATATTGATGATTTTAGAAATGGCTCAAGGAAACTTTATGTGAAAAAGAGTTGCTCTATGTGGTTGACTCTGAATAAATTTTTCCCACTCCCTTTTGAAAGCTTCACTAACAAGATATAAATTCTCCATTTTCGATATCTTACTGGCTAGTCTTGTGTTTTTGTTACTGAATGTACTATATTTTATACGTGATATAACAGATTCAGTACTAGTGTTTAATTTTCTAATATTGAGTGTTTTTCCTTTCTGCTTTCATGTGTTTTAAATAAATGTGATGTATTCTGGGAGTCAATATTTTTATACTATCTTACAATCTATGATGATTACAAATCTGAAATTTGAATAGACACTTTTAGCTCTTGGCCATTTTAAGACATTAAAGCTCATTAGCAATCATTTGTCTACATGAACTACTTTGTCTATAGCAAAACTGAGATCAAATAAATGGTAGGAAACCTGCCTAAAAATTTCCTGCTCTTCACACTAATTTGAATATATCATCAATTTTTACTAACAGATTTGATATGATGGTAAAGAAAGATATTAAAAGAAAGGCTAAGTTGAAATATGTACATTAGCAGATGTTTGTTTATTCAGTTGCCAGTAATTTCTAAAATTAAATAACTTTATTTTTAAATAATTCCAAGTGATGCATATTATTTCTTTTAAATAATTAGAAATAATTGTTTTTGATTGACAAATTATGATTATATACATCTATAGGATACAATGTGATGTTTTGCTATATGTATACAATGTGGAATGAATAAATCAAGCTAACACATATATCGCCTCGCTTACCTTTGATTTTTTTATGATGAGACATTTGAAATTTACTCTCAGTTATTTTGAAATATATAGTACACTATTATTGACTACAGTACTCTGCTGTGAAATGTATCTCAAAATCTGTTTCACCTGTCTGAAATATTATGCCCTTTTATCAACAACTCTCCTTTTCCTCTCTCTCTAATCCCCCAGCCTCTGGTAAACATCATTCTACTTTTTACTTCTATGAGTTTAACTTTATTAGATTCCACAAATAAATGAGATTCTGCAATATTTCTTTCTGTTCTTATATCTCTTAGCATAATGTCCTCTAGATTCTTTCATTTCATCACAAATGATAGAATTTTTCTATTTCTTAAGGCTGAAGAGTATCTCATCATGTATAATGTATCACATTTTTAATCCATTTATTCATTGATGGACATATAGGTTGATTCTATATTTTGAGTCATGTGAATAGTGCTGTAATGGACATAGGAGTGCAGATATACCTTCAACGTAATATTTCAGTTCCTTTGAATGTATGTCCAAAAGTGAGATAACTGGATTATAGGGTACTTCAGTTTTCACTTTTTTGACGAGTCTTCATACCATTTTCCATAATGACTGTATCCACGTATATTCTGACCAACAATATATAAGAGTTTTCCTCATATCCTCTCCAATATGTGTTATCTTTCATCTTTTTGATGACAGCCATTCTAACAGGTATGAAGTTATATCTTGTGGTTTTAATTTTCATTTCCCTAATGATTACTGATGCAGAGTACTTTTTTATGTAACTATTTGCCAATTTTATGTCTTCTTTTGAGAAATGTCTATTCAGTTTTTTTGCCCACTTTTCAATTATTTTTTTTTCTTGCTATTGAAGTGTTTGAGTTCCTGTGATAGGCTGTTCTTGTGTTGCTATAAAGAAATAACTGAATCTGGGTAATTTATAAAGAAAAGAGGTTTAATTGCTCATGGTTCTGCAGGCTGTACAGGAAATATAGTAGTATAAATTTAATATAATATAAATATATATTTATATGATTTAATATAATATAATATCTAGTTTCAGCATATACATCTTTAGGAACAGAGATGTTCCCATTCTTAGTAATTCCATGGAAGAAACTTGGATTGGAGGAATCTAGAAGAATTCAGGGTCTAATCAAGTTGACAGGTAGATAACAGGTGTTATAGCTTTTCTTTAGAAACTTATTTATTTTTTCTCCATAGTCGTCCTGATTTCCACCAAAGATAATCAGAGTAAGACAAATTTGTTTGTAAAATCAGTTAGGTCTCATCAATTTTTTTCTTATTATTTACATACGTGCATCCAGAATACCAATTTGCCATATCATAATTTCAGTTTTAAAAATCTCCTTGAGGCTAGGCAGCAAAACCAAGGCAGAATTCAGATTTTACCTACAGTCTTGAGGATTCTGTACCTGTTAGGAAGTGATAATTACCTACTATAAGGCTGTGAAATATGAAAGCCAGTGTTTCTATGCACATTCTCAAATATGATATTCATGTTGAAGCTTTGGTAATATAACCAATATTTTAAATTGTATCCCATTATGAAGAAAAGGCAAATTTTTATTGAACTTACACAAATAACCATATTGCCATTAAAATAAAGTATACTCATGAATAGCTTCCAGACTGGGGAGAAATAAAGTAAAATATACATGTTTTCACATTTGCTCATAAAAGTTTACTTTACCAAATTGCTGTTAAACTGTGGAAAGCTTAAGAGAAAAAGTCTTTTTCTTCCTAAATGTGGAAAACAAAGCATTGAAGTGAACAACCAAAAATGTTTCTAAAAAAAGTCATGAAACATTGTTTTCATCAGATACTTAATCTCTTGTAATTAATTTTTGCCCTGTTTTATCTTGATTAGTAGTTTAATGAATTCATCTGTTTCTTCATTAGAGTTTTGAAGCATATTTATTTAGTTCATTAATATTAAAGTTATTAGAAACTTGTATTTAAGAGCACTTGTTAGAGTCTTTTTCTATGAATCTGGTTGCAAGTGCTTTTAAAGAACTATCAAAATAGTAGGTGGCAGAGACAGAATAGCCATGGTTAAGAATGTGTTGAAAGCTTATTATAACCAAAAACTGACAAGGAAATTTGGCTATTTTTGTGACATAAAAAATAATAGACAAAATCAAGACTGGTAACTACAAGGTTTTTAGAAATTTTATGCAATTTTTGAACATTCATTTTTTAACTTACCCATAAACGTAAGTGAAAGACCTAACATCATCTATTATTTGACAATGATTTACATTTTACTCAACATCTAAAATAACCCTTTTTTTTTTTTTTCTTTGAGACAGAGTCTTGCTCTGTCACCAAGGCTGGAGTGTAGTGGCAGCATCTCGGCTCACTGCAAACTCCACCTTCCGGGTTCAAGCAATTCTCCTGCCTCAGCCTCCCAAGTAGCTGGGATTACAGGTGACCACCACTACAGCTGGCTAATTTTTGTATTTTTAGTACAAAAATACCTGTTGGCCAGGCTGGTCTTGAACTCCTGACCTTGTGATCCACATGCCTTGGCCTCCCAAAGTGCTGGGATTACAGGTGTGAGCCACTGCATCCAGCCTAAAATAAGGCTGTTTTAGCTGAATATCTCTATTTTAGAAACCTCTGAGAAGCTCTAGGGCTTCCTGGATTTTCCTTTTGGGAAAAAAATCCCAAAGTTATTTGAGGTCAAGAATACTTAATTGAGACTTTGATTCTGGGGAATTTCACTAAATATGTCAAAGGATTCAAAACACTTGATCAAACTAGGATCACAGGTCACTATGACATAATAGTAATGCTGTTAACGAGAGTAATAATCAAAGACTTCAAAAGCAATCAAAATGCTACACAGGTATAACAAACAAACACACACAAAACCTTAACCCTTTCAAAGCTTATTTTTTCTAAGTAATCAAAAACTCTAATAAAGAAAAGAAGAAATTACCTGTTTAAAATGTAAAATATCTGTTTCCTTGACCAGTTACAAAAAAAGTAAAGAAAAACTGCCTGAAGTGTAATTGATTCTTCTAATGAAAAGTCCATTTAGATAACCTGGAAGTCAAACTTGATGAAATGTACTTGAACTTAATCAGACACAGGAAGAGTTTGTGTCCAAAGTTATAAGTGTCCACCATATAATAGAAGAATTTAAACACAAAAACTAGTACCTTGAGCAGGGGAATACATGGCTCTTATAAACCCCACAGGAAGATTTCTAGTTACATGGAACTACAAATCAAGAAAAGTAAAGAGTACAAAATAAAATTATACTGAAGGAAAATGTTTTTCCACTCCTTCAAGAATGAACATTTTAGTGTCAGGCCCTAACTACAGAGTTGGAACTAAAGAAAATAGTTGCAAGAGCTGACAAAAACAAACAAACAAACAAACAAACACATTAAAACGTTATTACTCCAACCAAAGAAAATGTGTATACCCTTGAGGAAAGAAGGACCTGAGACAAGATGCAAATTACATGATGTGAGATATGGCAAAAGTTGAACTTCTGAGATATGAAGCTGAGAAGTTTTAAGAGCAAAACCTTACCTTGATAAATAAAATCACCATTCTAAATGAAGAAGATAACACTTGTAGTCAGGAATTGGGGAGACTAAATGGAGACTGTAAAAGAGAAGAAAAAAATGCTTTAGAAAATGGTTGAACAGTTAAAGAAAGTGATTTCAGAATTAAATCAAAACCTCTTGCAAATTTTACAAAGAGCAAATCAATAATTCAAGAAAACCTTGTTTTTCTAACATAGAGGACTAAAACTCTGGTTTTATATTAGTGTATTTTTAATATTAGAGCTCAGTATTTTAAAATACTTATAAATAATTCCCTTCTATTTATACTCAACTTGATCAAACACATCTTTTTTTTCATAAATTCATCCTTCAGAAATCTTTCATGACTTAGACCATCCACAACATACTTATACCTTATGCTTTGTCCTATATTTCCTCTTTCTTTAAAAACCAGTCATTTTACATTTGGACAAAATTTACTTTTATTTTTCCCTTATCATTTCAAGAAAAAAGGAAAATAAATTTCACTTCTTACTTTTTGCTCTTTGCTTTTTAACTTTTGTTCACTCAAATGCATCTTCATACTTATAACTTACTTTACATCTCTCTCCCTGTTAGTTACTGATTTCTTTCTATCTTGTTTCTATTTCTTTTCTAAATTTAGTTTTTGAAATGGCTTTTAAATAATGATATGGTTTGGCACCCAAATGTCATCTCTCATGTTGTGGGAGGCACCTGGTAGGGGGTAATTGAATCATGGGGGCAGGCCTTTCCCATGCTATTCTTGTGATAGTGAATAACTCTCATGAGATATGATGGTTATAAAAAGGGGAGTTTGCCTGCACAAGTGCTCCTTTCTTTGTCTGCCACCATCCATGTAAGATTTGACTTGCTCCTCCTTGCCTTCCACCACGATTGTGAGACTTACCCACCCACATGAAACTGTAAGTCTGATTAAACCTCTTCCTTTTATAAATTGCCCAGTCTCAGGTATGTCTTTATCAGCAGTATGAAAATGGACTAATACAGTACATTGGTACCAGTACAGTGAGGTGCTGCTGAAAAGATACTCGACTATGTGGAGGCAACTTTGGAACTGGGTAACAGGAAGAGGTTGGAACAGTTTGGAGGGCTCAGAAGAAGACAGGAAAATGTGGGAAAGTTTGGAACTTCCTAGAGACTTGTTGAATGGCTTTGACCAAAAGCCTGATAGCAATATGGACAATAAGGTCCAGACTGAGATGGTCTCAGATGGACATGAAGAACTTGTTGGGAACTGGAGCAAAGGTGACCCTTGTTATGTTTTAGCAAAGAGACTGGAGGCATTTTGCTCTTGCCCTAGAGATTTTTGGAACTTTGAACTTGAGAGATATGATTTAGAGTATCTGGCAGAAGAAATTTTTAAGCAGCAAAGTATTCAAGAGGTGACTTGGGTGCTGTTAAAGGAGTTCAGATTTAAAGGGAAGCTGAGCATAAAAGTTTGGAAAATTTGCAGCCTGATAATGCAATTGAAAAGAAAAGCCCATTTTCTGAGGAGAAATTCAAACCAGTGGCAGAACTTTGCATAAGTAATGAGGAGCTGAATGTTAATCCCAAAGACAATGGGGAACATGTCTCCAGGGCATGTCAAAGGTCTTCACAGCAGTCCCTCCCATCACAGGCCCAGGGGCCTAGGAGGAAAAAGTGTTTTTATGGGCCAGGCCCAGGGCCCCCCTGCTGTGTGCAGCCTAGGGACTTGGTGCTCTACCTCCCAGCCACTTCACCCGTGGCTGAAAGGGGCCAACTTAGAGCTTGGGCCATGGCTTCAGAGGGTGCAAGCCTCAAGCCTTGGCGGCTTCCAAATGGTGTTGAGTCTGCCGGTACATAGAAGTCAACAATTGAGGTTTAGGAACCTCTGCCAAGATTTCAGAGGATGTATGGAAATGCCTGGATGTCCAGGCAAAAGTTTGCTGCAGGGGTGGGCTCTCACGGAGAACTTCTGCTAGGGCAGTGCAGAAGGGAAATGTAGGGTCAGAGCCCCCACACAGAGTTCCTACTGGGGCATGACCTAGTGGAGCTTTGAGAAGAAGGCCACCATCCTCCAGGCCTCAGAACGGTAGATTGACTGATAGCTTGACCCATGCGCCTGGAATAGCAGCAGACACTCAAAGCCTGTGAAAGCAGCCAGGAGGGAGGCTCTACTCTGCAATCCCATGGGGGCAGAGCTGCCCAAGACCATTGGAACCCACCTCTTGCATCAGCATGACCTGGATTTGAGACATGTAATCAAAGGAGATCATTTTGGAACTTTAAGATTTGACTCCCCTGCTAGATTTCAAACTTGCACGGGGCCTGTAGCCCCTTTGTTTTGGCCAAATTCTCCCATTTGGAATGGCTGTATTTACCAAATGCCTGTACCAGCATTGTATCTAGGAAGTAACTAACTTGCTTTTGATTTTACAGGCTCATAGGCAGAAGGGACTTGCCTTGTCTCAAATGAGACTTTGGACTGTCAAATTTGAGTTAATGCTGAAAGAGTTAAGACACTGGGGGACTATTGGGAAGGCATAACTGGTTATGAAATGTGAGGACATGAGATTTGGGAGGGGCCAGGGGAAGAATGACATGGTTTGGCTCTGTGTCCCCACCCAAATCTCATCTTGAATTCCCATGTGTTGTGAGAGGGACCTGGTAGGAGGTAACTGGGAGCAGGTATTGCCTGTGTTGTTCTTGTGATAGTGAATAAGTCTCATGAGATATGATGGTTATAAAAAGTGGAGTTTGCCTCTACAAATGGTCCTCTCTTTTCCTGCCACCATCCACGAAAATGAGACTTGCTCCTCATTGACTTCCACAATGATCATGAGGCTTCCTCAGCCATGTGGAACTGTTAAGTCCATTTAAACCTCTTTCTTTTGTAAATTGCCCAGTCTCAGGTATGTCCTTATCAGCAGTGTGAAAACAGACTAATACAAATAACCTCAAATTTAGAAAAAAAAATTTTGTATTTTTTAATAGAGAACATATTTTTATGCTTTTCTTATCATTTCTCTTATTAAAATATATCTTACTTTTTTGATATTCTTTCAATACAGAATTATATACTAATTATAATTTTAACTCTTAGTAACCTTACCTTCTAGTGGTAACCTAGAAAATAAGGAATTTTAAACTGATTTGCCACATACCAGTATTTTCTACATGGTAATCTTCTAGGTGTTTCTAATTTTTAGAAACATCTTTTGCCCTAACATGATTTTATGTATGTTAATAGACCCAAATATTTTTACTCTTCCTGTAAAATTTAAGAAGCTGAAAACAAACTTATGTTTATATTCAATAATTTGCATTTCAATGTTTTTTCTTATTTGAAAATAACCTAGCCATTTGAGTATTTATCACTTATATAACTTTAAAATTTCAAATTACATGCAAAGCTTATTTATAAAGTTGATCCCATTTATATTAACTTTATTTACTTTTATCAATTATATCAAGATTACTTGTAAAAACTGATAGAAAAAGCTAGTCATCATTTCAAGTTATTTTCTTGTTACCCTGTTTTAGAGCCTATAAATATCAGATGTTCACTGAAATAAGAATCTTAAGCTAAATATATGAGTATTTCACCAATAACTGAGAAGATATATCTGTTTTCAGCAAACCAACAATTTTAGTCTTAGTATTCAAATAGTTACACAAACAAAGATCACTCTGTTTTAAGTATTAATTCATATTTGTATACCTGACATTTCACTTCAAAAGGAAGAGGAATTTAATGACAAACTTCTCAGCATTTACAGAACTATATCCTAAGTGTGAATTTTTAAATAAATTAAAACTGATATAAAAAACAGTATACTTTCTTTGTAAGTGTATATTAAACATAACATAGGAAACCATTTTGGTTTCACAATGGAATTTGCTTTCTTTAAAAATATATGAAGAAAAAATCAAAACAAAAATATAATTATGTATTCAATTAATATTTATTAAGCTCCTGCCTAGAGACAGGCACAACTAGACACTGACGAAAAAGTATGAGAAAACATATGCAAAGTACCTGCTTCATGCTTACATACTATAAAAGGAAAATGAAAAGTTCAATTGAGTTACTATAGCACATATATCTCAATATCTATATCTGGACAGATAGTTATAAGTTACACTGTCATATTACATTTAAAAAATAAAAGAAAGAAAGAAAAGAACAAATGTTCAAATATCAATGTTGGGAGTAAATGGATAGTAGCAAAGGCTGACTGTGATCTCTGGTCGGGGATCATAGAGAAAGTTAGCCTTTAGGAGAATTTAAGGCAACTACCAACTAAATTAAAGCTTCTAAAGTTATAATTTTTGGTAATCATATAGAAAATGGATGGATTTTAGTGAGTATCAAGAATCCAAATAAAGAAAAAATTGATTTTTGCATACAAGCAAAAGTAATTTATAAGCCTTGAAGAAAAATTACCCCAAATCATCTTTGTATTATGCTTAAACATATATGGCAAACCCACAACTTGCTTATTTCATTGATTTTTTTCCCAGCAAATTGTTGTGAATTGCCTAGACTTTGTAACTGAAATATAGTTGAAGACTACTCCTGATAGGACTGCTGTTTTCTTCCTTCCTGCCTTAAATAGTTCCAATATTGCAAGCTTCATGCCATGGAGCGATGAGGCAAAACACACCTAAATACATAGAACACAGGCAGAGGTCTTGGTTTTTGGTAATACATTTAAGTTACCACAGATCTGACCTGATCTCTTTAAAACTGCTTGCTATGTGAGAAAAAAAAAAAAACTTGTAAAAGTTCACAGCTTTATTCATTATGACTTCTAACCAATTGCATCACTGATTGAAAGACTGTGCAAGAATAACATCATGTGTGGTTGGTGTGTTCCATTTTAGAGATATCTTTTTCACCCTTCTTACATGTGAAGTGATACAAGCTCTCTCTAATATCCCAGGGTATATTGGTATGATAATTTGCCAGTTGAGCAAATTTGCTTTAACCTTGGTTCATGAAACATATATGGAGAGATAAATGCACATTTATTTAGTTCATGAGCAGAGAATCCACTACATTGCATTATTGCAGGCATGATATAATAGCAGAATAGATGATTGAGTAAATAATATATAACTATACAATAAAAATTTCAAAATATTATATATGTTATTATATGAATATTTTAGAATGACACTTGAAACATTCAGTGCATGTACCATTTAGTACCATGTACTGAAGGGTACAATGCAGGGTGTAGGTTTTGTATCCTGGCTGGCCTTTTTGCACCCTGGCTGGCCATGTACTAAATAGTACATGCACTGAGTGAGACAATGCAGTATGTCAGTTTTGTATCCTGGCTGGCCTTTTTGTATTCTGGCTGGCCATGTACTAAATAGTACATGCACTGAATGGGACAATGCAGTATGTAGGTTTTGTATCCTGGCTGGCCTGGTTTGCAATCTTTGATCAATTGTGTACTTCTACACTTTTATCTATCTCACTTTCTCATTTGTAAAATGAGGGTAAGTAATTCCTGTTTCAGAAGAGGTACATGGAAAACATATGTAACAGAAAAGTACTGTCATTTTTACTTAGCACCTAGTAAATGTTTGTACTGGATTTTCCCCTTCATAAAAAATTAATTCTCACAAAATAAAATTATAATTAATAACTATTATGAAGATTCATTGAATAATATTTCCTCTGTTTTATATTTTAGTAGATCAATAAACCAAACTCCCTGTCACCTCAGACTCTGCACCTGTTAAAGCCCTGTAAAGAGCCGACATGTAAGGACTTATACTGACTGGATACAGAGAATATGGAGCAAATCAAACGTATTTAAATAGTAAATTATCATATTGTTATAAATAAAAATTTACATTGCATTTCCTTTTAGAATGTTACTTGGATATATATTCTTCAACATTTACAAATGCTGATGCTTCATGTACTTAAAAACGGAATAATTTTTTTATTTGAATTTCAATCTCTTGAGTTTGAGCGTGAAGACTTTAATATTAATTAGTCAGAGATTAAGCTGAATATGTCTTAAGTCTCAATGTTCTATCTTTCTAACCATGTCAGGCATGGTCTTGTGATCATTACACAGAAAATCTCTTTAGGCAGAAAAGCCAAGTGGAATTCAATAAGAGAAACTATGGCAACAAACACAATAAAAATTTTTATTCTCTTTGCTTAGGATGTTCAGTGAAGGCTCAGATCAATGAGTGTAAGTAATATTGGGTTTGAAGTACTTGGTTCACAAAGATCTACAAAAAATTGACTTATTTGAAGTTAAACGAGATAGGATAGATGCAAGAAGACAAGTGAAAAGAGATATTTTAATTTCATTCACTGTCACTTAAAAGTAGAACGATTTGCATGTGTTCTTGTGGTTGATATATATAAAAAAATAATTATACATCACATGGAACCAGGTAAAAATTAAATACGGATACAGGTTAGATTCTCAACATTTATTTAGTGACATAGCTACAGAGGGTGAAATGTGAGGTAAAACAAAATACAGCTTGCTATCAGGTTCCAAAGGAAATGAATACTTACTCATATCCAGAGTGATTATGGAAGACTTTGCAGAGGACATTGAATTTGTTTGATAGCGAAGAATAGCTACTCTTTTAAGAAATAGTTGGAGGGGGAAAAAGAAGGCTCTTCCTGATTATATTTTCAAAGAAAGGTCCATTTACCTGTTAGTCTCTTCTAGAACTTATTTTACAACGTAGTTTGAAAAGCATACACACAGGCGCGCACGCACACACACACACACACACACCTGTAATATGGGATTGTTTTAAGAGTTAAATGAGAAAAGAATATAAAACTTTTAGTGCTGCATTTTGGCACATGGGTAGAAATATATAAATCTGAGTTCATGCTATTATTTTTTGTTATTATATCAGAAGAAAACATCTTTCTGTGTTTTCCAATCAATATTTGGAATGTTTCCTTAATGTTCAGAAGTTTATTTGGTTAGTAATATTCCATGCTAAAAGTATAAAGCAGGCATCGTATAATGGAAGCAGAGATCTAGAAGACAATTCCAAATCCTCTGTGAAACAGCTGATTAAAATTAGGATTGAAAGACATGAGTCTGTGTGTGTGTGTGTGTGTGTGTGTGTGTGTGTGTGTCTGTGTCTGTGTCTGTGTGTGTATATATATATAGAGAGAGAGAAGAGACATATACAATGATAACCAAATTTTAAATTATGAAAAGCTAAACATAACGATACTAGTTTCTTCATCCCTTCCTTCAAAAAAATAAATTGTAGGTCCTATTATTATGCAAATTAAGCACCTTAATCTAAAAAAAATTTCTTAGTTATTTTATTAAGTTATAAGGTACAAGAATATCCAAAGAATATAATAAAATATGGGTAGTACTTTTAAAGCCTAGTTTTTTTGAAAAGTGAAATTCTTTCTATTTTAGTGGAAACATCTAGGCAACTGCACTTGATCTACTGAAATAAGTCAAAGTCTCATGATAAATGAATTATTTTTTAGACCTTAGAATGTGTTTATGACTATTTTCTTGGGACCTAAATTTTTAAGGCAAGATGTATTTGTCCTCATTGTATCTAGAATTAAGCATAGAACTTAGTAGGTGTTCAATAAATGTGGGAACAAAATTAAGGTGTGAAGAAAATAATACTTCAAAACGTTAACCTTATAGATTTTCACTTCTGTAGTGCAAGTCACATTTCTAGCAACCATTTTTTTATATTATGACCCTATAAAGAGACAGGAGGGCAAACAGTATCACACAAAAAAATTGAGATCATATAGGCAGTATTTTCCAGACAGTTAAAGAAAGACTTTCTGATTGAGGAAGAAGTTGTAGGAAGAAAAGCTGGTTTTAAAAGTGAAAATGATCCAACTCTCATTTGACATGCCTCTGTATCTACTCTTCAAATCCTGAAGGGTGATGGAAGAGAAAGGACAGAAGTAGAGAGTAGAACATATTTTGTCTGGCTTTCCACTTGATAAATTTTGACAAATAATTTTTTTTAATTTAGATTTTGTGGTTCTAAATTCAATAGAATTACTTGGTCATTTGTTTTATAAAAAAGAAATTTCTAGTTTCTATTCTTACCATACTAGATCAGAAGATCTTATCTTTACTAGATCTGTAGATGATTCTGGTGCACTGTCTGTGATTGGGAACAAATGGTCAAATAAGACAGCAAATGATGTGTAAAAGGATCACTCTCTTGGAATCTTTGCTGATCACTGTCAGTGAAATAGACTATGAGCAAGGATATCAGAAGCCATCATACTTCTAAACATGTTTACGTTGTTTTTTCTAAAAAATAAGAGAACTTGAATATTTAAAATAATTAATGTAACAATTGACAAATGCAACTTTAGTACTTATAACTTTATATTAGAATCTACTCTAAGTGAAATATATATTTGATACCTTACAAATGTATTACACAGTGTATACATCAATCTTTAGTTTAAGCTGTGTTCTGAAAGCCATTTGTGTAAAACAGATGTATTTTTGATGAAATAACTCTATGGCCAAAGATTTTGGGGAAATACCACAGACCCAATCCACCATCTGGATAGTCCTATTGCAAATGAACATAACACCGTCTCTGTGATTTTTGATGAAATAATTCTATGGCCAAAGATTTTGGGGAAATACCACAGACCCAATCCACCATCTGGATAGTCCTATTGCAAATGAACATAACACCGTCTCTGTGATTTCCTTCAGTTAACATAATAAACAAAAACTTTAAAAATATGTATGAATTTCTTTTTTATCTTCATGCCAATAAAATTTTATTTTAAGTAAACTCAGATTTTGCCCACAACACAATTTTAGATACATTAGCTTAGAACAATCATTTTCAAACCATGTTCAAAAGAACATTAGGACTCTATGAGACATTTCTTTGGTTTTCAGGGAAGAAAGTATGATCACTCTCTTCATGTTTAATTTATATCTGATCTGTCACCTTAGCCTATGTCTCACTCAATACCACCACAAAAGTTGAAGTTCTGAAGCATAAAAAATTTCCCGCAGGGTTTCCAAATTCCAAGTTTAAGAAGCACTGGTGCAGATGATGAAAGCTAGAAATCCGAGTGCTAATTTCAGCTCTGCCACCGACTGTGCAATCTGCAATAACTAACTTATATTCCTTGTGATTTTGTATATTTATAAGTAAGCCAAGAAAAGGACTCTTATTCCACTATCTGCAGATAAAGCTTATTGACATGTACTGAGTAAATGATTATGTATGTTAAAGAAATGTTACATTTAAAATAAATGATTGTGAAACACTTCATAAAGGAAAATTATTATAGATATACATATTAGGTCATTATATAGAAAGGGAGAAATGAGCATGGAAACATTTTTGTGATAAGAGAAAACAAGTAAAAATCTGAGATGCTCATATATTTCATAGTTATAGAAAAAATATGTATGGGCAACTTTATTTAATGCTTGCCTAAGTAAAACATTAAATGACTTTTTAAAGAGTCATTTATTTACATAGCTTTTAGATAAAGTATATTTGGCCTTCTAATGGAAAATAATAAAGCTAAAGGTAATCATATGCTACGTTTACATAATATATTTATTCTGCTGTGCTGGAAGTATTTTCACAAAACTGATATTATTCATCTTTTGATGACATTCTTGTGTGTTATACAAGTACATGTAACAGTAATAGATGTAAAACATGGACAAGGGAGCGGGGCAGATAATCAAAAGAGAAGAAAGGTATTTATCAATACAAAAAAAGGACTAACTTCCAGTTATCTTAGTTTGGAAACACAGTAAACAAAATGCACAGAAATTATTTTACAAATTTAAGATGGCAGATATTTTTATTATTTTTTCAATCACTTATTTGAACTGTGTGTTTATTTTTTGTTTATGTACCTCTTGCCCTATAATAAATATATATTTTTTCCATTAATACATTGCTTTTGTAGTCAGCATTTTATGTGTTTATAATTATGTATAGATTTCATACTACAGTCATTGATATTTGGGCTTCTCAAGTCTTTATAAGTTAATCAAATTCATTAATTCTGATCATGATAGATATCCTAAGTTTATACTGTGAACATCTCTCTGATCTGTAAGCATACAGCAAAAATAAACAAAATAATAAGATGTTCACATTCAAAACCAGGCAAAGGTTCACATTCAAAACCAGGCAAAGGTTTTTTATGGAACATTGCAGAATAGAAAAATATAATAGCAGCAGGCACTGGTGCTTCAAACTTTCTAGACTCCAGATGTGTCTAGTATACAGTCACATATCCTTTGAGAAGCAAAGTACCTGAGCCAGATTCACTGACTGACATCAGAAAATTTTATGTGGTTCTAATGCCATAAAAAATAATTTGATAAAAACTGGTGAAACACTCAGGAGATAAGTTTTAATAAAGCTTCATACTCAGAGAATGTGGATCAGTGTTTTTCAAACTACAAGTTGAAACCTTTATTGGATTTGAAATCAATCTAGACTGGCATAACAAGTATTTTTTATAAAAAAAATTAAAATAAAGAATATTACAGTGCATCACATGCAAACTTGCACATGTTTTGCTTCATAAAGGTTTCTTTTCCTAATACGTACATATGCACATTAAGAAATGAAAAAAATTGATTTTTTTCTGTTGCTATACATCAAATAGTTTGAAAGGAAGTAAACAAAAGTAAGTAGAAAACATTTGTAGGAAATCCAGAAAATACAACTTCCTCTTAGTAGGGGTATCTATGAGATCAACATTATCACTGTAGGATAAGAATTATAGTTGCGTCATATATCTGTTTCTGGACTGGGAGCCAGCGGAGCCTCAAGGACAGAATATTTACCATGAGAGTAGCATGGGGGAGTGTAGAGAACAAGAAACGAACAAAAATAACAAAAGCAACACAAGCTCCCACTGAACATTAAACTATAAATTAAAATTACAATTGTAAGAGAAAAGCCAAAACTAAGAAAGATAACAAGAAAAAACTGTAACTAAGATGTAAACTGATTTCGATCTAATAAAAACAGTAGAAGAAGATAAGGATGACCTTAAAATAAAGATGTTGTAGAAGAATGGTGCGCTGGGAACATGGCAACCCAAACACAGTTCCCAGTTCTAATCTGAACTCCAAGCTAACAGTCTTTATGAGCCAAGTAGCATATAGACAATAGGCATGTAAGTTCAAGAGAGGTGCTATCCTCTAATGGGTTTCCAATAGAGGAATATAAGGAAGGTTTTCTTCTCCAGTTTTTCCCCTTTAGCCTTCCTATCCTCTTATTCCCTACCTAACTCTACCACCCCCAACCCCTCCGAGGGAGACTGCAACCCAGCTTAGTGAGGTATGAGCCTGGGAGAAGATCAGAAAGTATCAAGTCCTTGAAGATGTGGTATCCAGAGATGTTTGGAGCTCTGGAATAATATGTGAATGAGCTTCACATCTCCTTAGCCTTCTAAAGTCTAAGAAATAGCTAGAAGGATACATTGAGTCTACCCTGCTACTGAAGTTTGAAAAATACAAAACAATTTTGGAACACAGATGCTTGTTTCAAGGGCCAGGCACTATGTCCCAGTCTATGACAGCAGATATTGCTTTGTTTTTCATCATTTAATAACAAATCTTGACCCAAAAAGCAGAAAGCTCTGCAATCATAGAGGAGAGCAAAGAGGAAATAGAGAGACAGAGAGAGAGAGAGAGAGATTGGAAATTGTGAAATAAAGCTGCAGAGGGATAGAAATGACATTGTGAACAAACAATAATAATATGTGCATTTTCTGGTATTCAGGAGAAAAATTCACAAAAATAATTATGGAGGAATTAAAGGAAGAAAACAATTGCTATTGATACTCAGTTTTGTAACTTATAAAATCTCTGGTGAGTGAGAATCATTTTGAAATACAGGATAACATATAAATATAAGAGAATCAAAAGGCAAAATATAATAGATTTTGAAGAGTGATCAGGAGACCCATTGTATAAACAACAGCTATTCCAGGGAGAAATGAAACAGAAGGAAAGAGGTAATATTTTAACCATAATAGAAAATATCTTCTTGACTTGGAGACAAAGTGTGCAGAGGGAAAAAATAACTAATTTATCAGCTGTTATAAGACATAAAACTAATGCCTACCCTTGTGTACTCACACATTGGTGAATTATTGAACTCTTCTGGCAAACAAAAAATTCTTATATGTTTCCAGGCAGAAAGAACAAGTTATCTTTCAGATTATAATCAAATTGGTATTGGACTTTTCATCTGTGCCACTGGAAGCTAGAAGATGGTGGAATACTTTCGGCAGAACACTAAACTTAACAGCAACACAAGAACCATACTCAGTCAAGAATTAATTCCTTGCTAAGAATAAGGAAAAATATTTGGGGTTATTTAAGAGTTTAGAGAGTAGATTATCAGTTATTTATCACTATGACAATCACTCGGGTGCCTACATAAAAGTCATTCACACCCCATTCTTATTTTCCTGCCTGAAACTTAGAGGCTATAAAAGCTAAGAACTCAATTCGTCAATTTATCTAGTAGGTAATGATGTCCATATTACATGGTTCTAACAAATAAGATTTAGCAGAAATATGCTGGTGCTGTTTATTAAAAGCTATTTATTCTTTCTCTTGTTCCAGGCTTAGAATATAAACTGACACCTTGAAGAAGTGACCATCTTGTAATCAACACTTTATTCTAAGGATAACAGAGATAAATGATATAAGGATCTCTGTTTCTTAATGGCATTGTTGAGCCCTAAACTTTCTACTGCTAGATATTTTATCGCATGAAATAAATAAGCCTTAGTTGCTTAAAATATTTTTCAGGGATTTCTATTTTGGTAGGCAAGTATATTGTTAACTTATACAATGCACAGTTGTATAAGTTATGTGGACATGGAATTATGCACAAAACAGAATCTAAATGGTGGAATTGGAAATGCAATAGGTAGGGTATATCAGGAAATGAGAATCCTGCCACTATAGGCTAGAACGTTGATGAGTCTTGTTTTGTAGTAGTGGGGCATGTATTCCATTTGACATATGCTGTGTCTTGGGATGCAAATCACATACCTTGTGAGGTAAGTAGTGGGATGATTTCAGAATGTTGGAATGTTCTGGTTACTCAAGGGAATGATCATCTGACATAGTAGTGCCTTTAGATTGTGGAAAGCCAAGGCATAGAATAATAGAGGGCCACAAAAGTAAGTTTTTCTTAAAAATTTAGTTTCCATGTAAGTGGTTGTTTCATTGGCACTTAATACATCATTAAATAACAAACAACTACAGTTAGATAACAGAAAATATTACATTATTATACCATACTCATAAGAATGGGATATTTTACCCAGTATCAAACATTACTAAAAATTTAACAATTTCATTTTTATCACCAAACACCTATAAAAAAAGCCAAATACCTTTCAACTGCTTATTAGATAAACTGTTATATACCTATACGATATAATACTATTCAATGATAAAAAGGAAAAAATACAGATGCATGAAACAAAATGGATGAATGTTCATAACATTGTGATAAATGAAAGGAGACAAACTCAAAAGATTACATACTTTATGATTCTCGTAAAATGACATCCTGAACAAGACAAAACTTTAGGGAAAGGAAAGAAATCAATACTTAGAAAGGGCTGGAGGTTATAAAGGGTATTGGCTACACAGTAGCAGCACAAGGAAACTTTTTGATTTAGTAGCTGTTATGGATTTAATTATGCCTCTTTTACCAAAAATAATCATATGTTGAAGTCTTAATACTCAGTACTTAGAATGTGACCTTATTTGAAGATAGGGTCTTTCACTTATAGAAGTAATCAAGTTAAAACAAGATCATTAAGGTGGGCTCTAATACAATGTCTTAGTCTGTTCTCACATTACTAATAAAGACATACCCAAGACTGGGTAATTTATAAATGAAAGAGGTTTAATTGACTCATAGTTCCACATGGCTGGGGAGCCCTCACAATCATTGCAGAAAGGTGAATGAGGACCACAGTCACATCCTACAGGGTGGCAGACAAGAGAGCATGTGCAGAGGAGCTCCCCTTTATAAAACCATCAGATCTCTTGAGACTTATTAACTGTCACAAGAACAGCATGGGAAAGATCCACCCCCATGATCCATTTACCTCCTATCAGGTCCCTCCCATGACACGTGGGAATTATGGGAGCTACAATTCAAGATGAAATTTGGGTGGAAAAACAGCCAAACCATATTAACAATATAACTGTAGATCTAATCTGATAAAAGGGGAAATTTGCTCAGTGGGATATGCAGAGAGGGAAGACAAGATAAACAGACATAGGGAGAAGATGACCAGATGCAAGCCAGCAAGAGAGGCCTGGAACAGATTATTCCTCAGGCCTCAAAAGGAATCAATCCTGCTGTCACTTTGATGTTGAACTTCTATTTCCAAAAGCCATGAGACAATACATTTTTGTTTTATTAGGGTTAGGGTTAGGGTTAACCACCCAATGTGTGGTTCTTGGTTAGGGTAGTCCTAGCAAATTAATACAATGGAACTGTTTCATACTTTGATTGTGGTAATTATATGATTGTATGCATTTGACAAAATTTACATAATTGTACACAAAAGTGTGCATTTACCATGTTTGGTTAAAACATGAATGAAAAACACAGTTTATGAAAAAATATTTATGTTGTCTCAAAAATATGACATTGCAATATAAAAGAGATGGGAGATTTAACACAAATACTTCACAATGAAGATATACAGATGGTCAGCAAGCACATGAAGAGATGGTCAACATCACTAGTCATCAAAGAGATTCCAAGTAAAACCACAGGAAGATATCATTGCATATTCATTATAATGGCTAAAATTAAAAAGTTTCACAATACTGAAGTATCGATGAGGATGTTGAGTAACTGAACTTCCTCTCAACTTTGTGGCTCTTGGGAATGTAAATTGGTATAACAAATTTGCAAAAGTTTGACAATTTCTTGAAATCTTTAACATGTGATTACCATAAAATATGAGAAATACACTATTACTTACCAAAGAGAATTGTATTAGTTAGCTTTGTTTTCTATAACAAAATACCACAAACTAGGTGATTTATCAACAACAGAAACTTACTTCTCACAGTTCTGGAGGCTGGAAGTCCTAGATCAGGGTGCCAGCAGTTAGAGTTCTAATGAGGTTCCTCTTCCAGGTTACAAACTGCTGACTTCTTATTGTGTCCTCATATGGCAGAAGGGGTGAGGGAATTCTCTAGGGTCCCTTTTATAACAGTACTAATACCATCCAGGATTAGTCACCTCTCAAAGACCTCACCTCCAAATACCCATCACATTTGGGATTAGGTTTCAACATATGAATTTTGAGGGGACATGAACATTTAGTCTA
This sequence comes from Homo sapiens, assembly GCF_000001405.40. Taxonomy (NCBI): domain Eukaryota; kingdom Metazoa; phylum Chordata; class Mammalia; order Primates; family Hominidae; genus Homo; species Homo sapiens. Next base: position 73,357,823 of record NC_000001.11, read on the forward strand.
CAACAAGCATGAAAACTTCACACCACACAAAACCAACATAGAATTTTCATCATGACTTTGTTCATAATAGCCCCAAAGTAGAAATAATATACAAACGTCCATTAAAAGGAGAGTGAATAAACAAGTGTGATATATCACACAACAAAGTACTACTTCACATTAAAAAGTGAGGAACTGCAGATATATGTGATAACACGGATGCATCTCAAACCATATGCTAAGTGAAAGAAGCCAAACGCAATAGAGAATATGTGATATTATTTCAGATGTATATGTAATCCAATATGATATATATGTAATCCAATAACAGATCAGAAGGACAACATAAAGCAAATATATATTGACATAAAGCAGAAGTGATTGTCTGGTGCTGGCTGTTGGGGTTATTGAGAAGGAAAACTTTTAGAGTGGTGGAAATATTGTATATCTTCTTTGTAGTGTTAGGTGTACAGGTGTATACATGTATACATTTGTTAATTTCACATTTAATATGAGTGTGTTTTATAGCATATAAATTATACCTTACTGAGTTTTATAAAACATTTATTTACATAAAATGTTCTTTCTTCCATCAAATTCAAATTTGTCAGTTTTATAATTGTAATGGAAATTAATATGTTTCCATCATATAGTAAAATATATAATAATACAATGCATAATAGTTTGTAAAGGGGAAGTATATGCCAGGATCATCCACATAGGATATTGTCACATGCTAATTAATAAGCTTGTTCTAGGTTTCAGATTACTTTTCACAGGCAATTTCTGTAAGCGGCAGTATTGACGTTAAGTCAGACTTAACGTTAGACAAAAGTCTATTCAAAGCTTACCTCTAGTACATACCATGTTGGCGGGTTTGGGGAAATTGCCTAACCTTTCTAAACCTATAAATTCATTGTTCTTCATTTGGGTTATTTTATGAAATATTAAATAATATATGGGGCATTTTCTCACAATGACTGGCACATTAGTGCTAAATAAATACATACTGTATATATAAATAAATGAATAAATAAAAGAAAAAATGAACGGTAAATTGCTCTGATTGCCCCAGTATTTACTTAGCTGGTAGCCTGTGTTAGGTGAATAATACAGGAGGATGAATGACTCCATGACTATAGGAAGACATGATACTCAGTGGCAGAGGGCACAGGAGTTATCACATGCATGACTTTAAACATATAGATAAAGTCAGGCATAAAAACCCTTGTCATGCATTGATGGATACAATTTTATCTCTTGAACTATGAGCTTGAATATTTTTATTTATTACATCTTAACTGTGTGAGAAAACATTTTAAATGGTCCATCTTCAAGGCATGATAAATCTGAGCACTGGCAGCCAGCCAGCCTGCAGATGTAACAAACCACAGGGCTCATGCTCCTATAAAGTCATGATAAGCAAAAAGAATGTAGAGGAGGGGTCAGCCCATAAGAGGGAAGAAAGCTCCATTATTGGGAAATCGAAACTTAAGCGGAGAAGGAGACAGGATATAACCTTGTGAGGGGGATAATGAAACTTAGGAAATGTCTGGGAAGATTGTAACCCCATAGTATTTGACCAGTGACGAACTGGGAGAGGGAATCGCATGCTAGGAGATAAATTACCTGCTGTAACTGCCCCAGGTGTGCCTGCCTACTAGACACCCGATCTTGCAAGACCACCATTAAAAGTCTTGCTTCCACTGTTCTTTGTGTCTCCCAGTCCATTCTTTGGGTTTGGATGGGTGAATGTGTGTTTCTCACAACTGGAAATAAGCTGTTTCCCTTTCTCTATGTAAAATGTGAAATAAGAGCTTAGAAGGACAAAGGACAATTTCTTCTTATTCTCCTGTACATTGCTGAACAACTATAGTATTCTTTTGTGCCGCAAAGAGAATCTTGTTCTTTTTTTTTAAATCCATACAGTCTACTATTGTGTACTCCGCTGTATAATATAAATAAAGCTTAAATAGACATTTCTGAGACTCCTATCATCAGGGCAGAGCAGAGTATTCACCCAAAAAAGCCATGTTTTAATTTTTCCATGTGCATTTAACTTACATCCGAAGTAAGTGACTAATGTCATTTCTACATGATGGAGCATCTCAGATGCTCTATACTTTTATCTTAAAAATATGTTCTTCATTAGAAATCAAACTACATTATAGTATTGAGCAAATCTAAAGCCAAAATCAATATCTATGTCAAAAATTGTTGAGAAAATTCAGAGGACTTTGGCTTTTGAAAAAAGATGAAATAACAGGAACCAATTTACCAGTCCCCCTAAACAGCTGAAGTACAAAATACTATATATAAAACCACAGTTTTAAAGACATTAGACAGCTAGTAATTAAGGACATTGATACCTGAGAAATTGAAAATGAAAGAGGTGAGTCCTACAGTTTTCTTAGCTCTAACACCGGGTTAGAGTTCTCAGAATGTGGTGTGGATAATGGGAATCTTGACAGAACCCAGAAGTTTCTCTAAGTTGAGGAAGTGAGGCTGAGAGTTCAGGAGGGAAAGGCCAAGTTGGCTAGGGTTTATAGGAAATTCACCAGAGACATTAGTTCTACCAAAGGAGGGAGAGAGGGAGAGAGACAGAGAAAGAGACAGACAGAGTGAGAGAGAGAGAAAAAAAAAAAAAATCCAATGTCATGCAGAAAGTAGTCCTGAAGCCTTCAGCTGAGTTCTGATCAGTTATGTGAGGAAACTACCATGTCTACGAACAAAAACACAGAAAAATTTGTGAAAACAATTCTTAGAACTCACACAGGGCTAGGAGGAATAATTCCTGATCTCAACAGACAGAGGAGAAAACCACTTAAGTCATGAAACATGAAGTAGGGTACTCAGAATTACTTTGCCTCAGTAATGGAAGAAAATTAGCCATAGACTAAAGGCTGCTATGAGCTCTCCTGAGAAAATTTGAAAGCAAGAACTGAAAGTATCAAACTATTTCCAACCAACTGATTGTGTTCCAGAAAAAAAAAACCTGAAGAATATTTATAGAAATACAAAAATATTCAACAGCAACCAAGCATGGCTGTATCTAATAAAAACTTACCATCCATGGGGGAAAAAAAAGGCTGAAAAAATAGACCCAAAATAAGGAGGAAAAACAACCCATCAAAATTGAACCAGAAATGACACCAGTGAGGGAATTAACAGACAAAGGAATGAGAGCAGCCACTATTAGATACTCGATAGGTTAAAAAAGTAGAAGAAATATGGAGTATGGTTAGTAGACATATGGAAGATATTTTACAAGAGGCAAAATTCAACTTCCATAGATGAGAACTGCAATGTCTGAGGTAAAAAATACACTGGAAGGGAATAACAGCAGATTCAACAAGGCAAGATTAAAGATTTGCAAAGACCTAGAAGAGAGAATCTCTAAAATGAATGAGAGAAAAAGTATAGAGCATCAATGAATGTGTAGTATTATAATACATGAAGTGAAAAGAAAAGAATTGCATGAAAAAAAGATGAATTCACATTCATAGTGAAGAATTTCAAAATTCATCGCTTAATAAGTGATAGAAAAGTAGAAAATTTTTTTAAATGATAGAACCCATAAGGGTAGTGAATTATCCTAACAACCAAATCGATCTGATTGACATTTATAGAACATTCTGCCTAACAGCAGAGTTTTTGTTATTTTGTTTTTGTCTCAATGCATTTTTTTCAGATACATGTAAAACGTTTGCCAAAATTGACCATCATCTTGGCCATGAGATGAGTCTCTATGTTACCTAAGAAAAATAGAATTAATGAGAATACTACAAGATCTCTGGAAATCAATTACAGAAAATCTTGGCTGGGTGCAGTGGCTCACACCTGTAATCCCAGCACTTTGGGAGGCTGAGGCGGGCTTATCACAAGTTCAAGAGATCAAGACCACCCTGGCCAACATGGTGAAACCCCATCTCTACGAAAAATGCAAAAAATTAGCTGGGTGTGGTGGTGTGTGCCTGCAGTCCCAGCTACTTGGGAGGCTGAGGCAGCAGAATCACTTGAACCCGGGAGGCTGAGGTGGCAGTGAGCCAAGATTGTGCCAAGCACTCCAGCCTGGCAACAGAGTGAGACTCTTTCCCCCCCTCCCCAAAAAAACAAACAACAAAAAAAACCTCTGGAAAATTTCCAAATATTTGCTAGTTTGGCAAGATTGCAGAATTCAAGATAGACATAAAATGATCAAAGTATTTCCACAAATCCACACCGATACTCATAAATGAATATTTAAATTGAAATATGATTCATAATGACATAAAAAATAAAATGGTTAGAAATAAATCTGACATGAAGATGTTGTTAAAGAATCAATTATCTCCAACTTGATGTCTGTATTCAATATAATACCAATCAAAATCTCATATACTTTTTTGTAGAATTTATCAAGCTTAGCCTAAAATTAATATGGCTACAAAAGGACCTAGAATCACCAAAAACAACTTTGAAGAAGAAAAACCAACTTGGATATCAATAATTATTATAAAGCTAAGGCATTATCCAATCATGAAATAGAGATAGACTACTAGGCTAATGGAACAAAACTGAGAGTCTAGAAATAGACACACACCTATATGGTAATTTGATTTTTAACAAAGGAGCTCAATTTTAACTTTCAACTCGGCTTTCGCCACTGGGGGCCCAAGTTGGTCAAATATTATTTTGGTCAAAATATTTGACTAAACGATATTTGATCAATCATTCTTCTGGATGTTTCTGCAAGGGTGTTTTGGGATAAGATTAACACTTAAATTGATGAATACTGAGTAAGGCAAGTTGCTCTCCATGATGCAGATGGGTCTCATTCAATCATTTGAAGACCCGAATAGAACAAAAAGCCCAGTCTTCCTTGAGCAAGACAGAATTCTACAGAAGAGCATTCTCAGACTCAAACTGAAGCATTGGTTCTCCTGGGTCTCCCGCCTGCTGGCCCACTCTAAACATTTTAGACTTGCTGGCCTCCATAATTATGTGAACCAATTCCTTATAGTAAATCTCTTCACACACACACACACACACACACACACACACACACACACACACACATTCTATTGTTTTTGTTTCTTGGAAAACCCTGGAGAATTCTGACTAATATAGGTAATAAGTCAGTGGAAGCATGATAATCTTTTAAACAGATGGTGATTGAATTGAATATCCAGTAAAATAAGACTTAATCTATATTTTGCACCATATAATAATATAAAGAAAAAATGCATCATAGACCTAAATGAAAAACCTAAAACTATAAAACTTGTAGAAAAAAATATAAAATAAGTTATTTATAGCCTGAGTTAGGTAATGCTCTCTTTGATATGAACGCAAAGAGCAAAGTAAGAAAAGAAAAAACGATAAATTGGACCTTGTTAAAATTAATATTTTATGATCTGCAAAAGATACTGTTAAAAGAATGAACAGACAAGCTTACAACTGAAAAAATATTGAAAATCAAAGAGTTTAATAAATAATTTCTATCTGGAATATACAGAAAACACTGAAGACTCAATTATTTAAAAAAATCTAACAGGCCGGGTGTGGCAGCTCACACCTGTAATCCCAGACCTTTGGGAAGCCAAGGCGGGCTTATCACATGGTCAAGAGATGGAGACCTTCCTGGCCAACATGGTGAAACCCCGTTTCTACTAAAAATACAAAAATTAGCTGGGCATGGTGGCGAGTGCCTGTAGTCCCAGCTACTGGGGAGGCTGAGGCAGGAGAATTGCTTGAACCCAGGAGGCAGAGGTTGCAGTAAGCCAAGATCATGCCACTGCACTCCAGCCTGGCGACATAGTAAGACTCCATCACAAAAAAAAAAAAAAAAAAAAATTCAAACAAACCCCCAAAATGAACAAAGTATTTTAATGGCTGCTTCACCAAGAAGATATATAGATGGCAAATAAGCAATGAAAAGATGCTAAGCATCACTATTCATTAGAAAAATGCAAATTATAACTACAATGATTACAACTACATATTTATTAATATGTCTAAAATTAAAAAAACAAGTGTCACAGGATGTGGAAGAACTGCTTACAAAATGCTACAATTTGAAAACTCTTACATTCTTAAAACATTAAATATGTAGCTACCATGTGACCCAGTCATTCTCCTTCTAACTACACAAGGGAAGTGAAAGCAAATATGCATACAAAAAGTTGCACATTAATGTTCATCACAAGTTTACCTGCAATAACACAAATCTGGAAACAACTTAAATATTAATCAAAAGGCAAATGCATAAACAAATTGTAGTATAGATCTATGATCTATAATGGAATGTTGCCCAGTGGTAAGTTTTCTTATTCCTTTTTGTAACCCTGTCCAACCCTCTTAACCCCTCATCCTCAGGGCAACCACTGATTTTCTTTCCTGTCACTATGCTAGTTTCTTGACATGAGCAACAACATGGATACATCTCAAATTAATTATACTGAATATACAGTATGCACATTTTTGGGGGGTCTAGCTTCTTTTACTCACCATAATTAGAGATTTATCCACGTTGTTACTCATATCAAGAATTCATCTATTTTTTCCCTTCTCCTTCTTCCTTCTTTCTCTCCTTCCTTCTCTACTTTTCTTTCTGCTTTACTTTCTATCTTGCTTTTTCTTTTTCCCTCTTTCTCCCTCCCTCCTTCCTTCTTTCTTTTTTCTTTTTCTTTCTTTTTCTTTTTTCTTCTTTTATTTTCTTTTTTAATTTTTTAAATGTATGTCTTCCTGCTTTTCTTTCCATTTGGCTTGCTCTCTGTCTTTTCAGTTGTGTTCAATAGCAGGTAGACAAATGCATGCATATAGTAACTGCTCCCTTGTTACCTATCTTGCTAAGATTTAAAATGGAATGTTTGGTAATAAATTCTAAATCATTTTTTATGCTTCCATTGTGTTGATTGCCATTGTGATGACTATATAGTTTTTAATTGGTTAATACATGAATTTATGTTAATAAATTATGTGTGTTGTCACCATATATTACTTGGGAAAATCCTCATTTGATTTGCTATATTATTATTTTGCTTTCTGTTTTTTTTTTTCTTAAAACTGACATTTTACAGAGAAATAAAGCTATGCAAAGTGAAGCACAGAGCGAAAAGACTAAAAAAGAAAAAAAACACAACCTTATTGAACAGAGGGACAACATCAAACATTTCATACATAGTTATGTTTAAAATTCCAGGAAGAGAGAAAGAAGAGGAATAGAAACAAAATTGAAAAAATGAATAAAGATTTATCAAGTGAAAACTATACATCTACAAAGGCAAGAAGCTCAAGAACCTTTCTATTGTCTTTCCTGAGTATCTCCTGGCCTCAATGACGTCTTTTTACTCTGGGAAGTTTGATGAGTCAAGACTCCATTAAGTTGTTTTTGCCTGGCCTCCTGGATATTCACTTCATGTCTATGCAGATTGGTATTTGGCCAGAGACCTTAGGAAAAATCTATGCAAATTTCTGGGCTCTTCGTCTATATGCTCCTGTATTGTACTCTGCCCTACAAAATCTAGGTGACTTTGTCTCCCTAAACCCTGATCTGTGTCACCTAGAGCCACGAACATCTCTTGGTTCTATTTGAGCTCTCTTCCCTGAACTGTGTTCCAGAAATTGCTCCTAGTCAGAAAGCTGGGAAGATTTTAGGGCTCTCCTCCTCAGTTTCCTTTCTCTCAGTAATCACAGTCCTGTTATGCCTGTTTTCTAATGTGAAAATTCTTATTTTAGGTATCTTGTCAATTTGTCCAATTGTTTACAGTGGGAGGATAATTCTAAACCATCTTATTTCCTCATGGCTGGAAGAGATACTTAAATTTAAATTTTTTTAACCCTCAGTTTTATAGAAAAAGTAAGTCTCATGAAGTAAACCATAATATTGCAGCCTTCATCATGTATTACCACCAATAAGTAACAAATTGAGTTTTTCATTTTTAAAATAACAAATTTCATTTCTCAGTTTATTTGAAGAGGTTGACTACAACAACGAATAGAAGAATGCATTTTTTAAATATAAAACCATTAAATGGCAATTGATTTTGTAAACATATATTTTATGCTAACACTGAACACATACAATCGTACAGCTCCATCTAGGTATACCTTCCAAAGCCAATATACATAAATAACAGTACTGGCCCCATAAATGAGAAATACTGCAGGTTTCAAATGTTATTATTTTAGACTTCTACTTTTAATTGCAAATTATTAAAATAACACTTAAAATGTAAGTAATTTTAATGGCATCTGCATCACCTATGCATTATCATCAATTAAGAGGTTTATAGTATTCTGGGAAATATACCTGATATATAAAAAGTAGCACATAATGATCAGTCTTTGAGTCCTTAAAATGTGCACAAATAATGAAACGTCATGCAGAAATTCTGTCTCAAAATGACCCAACCACTGAGCTTTGCAAGTTATGTCCTTATGTGAAAAAATTCCTGAAAAGATTTTAAGAAGACGCTATTAATACAAGTGTATTTTTGATCTGTGAGAATGGTCAATCATAATTTTGTCCCTTCTGTTAAACTTCCAACTTACTGCTGAATGACTCATTCCATTGATATGTTATCAGCAGTTCTAGAGCTAGAAATGTTAAAAAGACTTAAAATGTCAATGATGGATTAGATGCAGAAGCTTGGAGGAGAAAAGAAATGCATAATGAAGATAAGAACTTCAATAAAAACATCAGCCTCTGGAAATCAATGCTTTTATCAATATACATATTTGAAAGCAAGAAGATAGTACTAACATCTACTGGATTTTACTATGGCACAGGTGCCATTGGAAGTGCTGTACACATAACAACACATTTATTCTTTGCAGCAGACAACCCTATTAGCAAGACAATATTATTATCTCCATTTTACACTTGAAGAGACTGAAGAACTGGATGTTAAGTAACTCACCAAACATCTGCAGGGCCATAAATTGAACCTCACAACTTAACAGCTATGCTCTACTGAAAGTATAATGGAAGCATTATTAACTACTGTTACAACTCAGTGCTCATAAAATTATTCTGCCCATCTCTATCCAATAACAAATGAGGACATATAAGCAACCCAGAATATTATAATACTGGTCCTACCAGCAGTTTCAGATGAAAGTCCTGGGCATAGACCAACGCTGTTAGCGGTAGACAGATAAGGTCCTGGAGCCAAGGTCACACCCCGGAGCCTCCCATTGACCCTGACTTCCTGCACTCCATTCTTCCTTGACTCCTATATTCCTTTCCTTTACATATTTCTATCCTGGGTTTTTTTCCTTGAACCTTCAGAAATTCCATTCTCATTTTCTTTCATGATAAAAATTGATGCATTAAAAAACAAAATCCCAAACATCAGCATATGAGAAACAGGTTTTAGTTTCGATTGTGCTGAATCTTCAAACGCTTCCTTGGGGTGACAAGAGAGATATGATGCAACTCATGCTGGAAGTGTCATCTGTGTGAGAAGACTTCCCTCCTATAATGAGTTTAACTCTTAAATTATAATGCCTATTAGGACAAGAGCACTGTCTGCTCTGTTGAGTAATGGATCCTCAGTACCTAGAAGTTTCTGTCAGGTAGTAGTAACTCAATAAATATTTGTTGAATTTATGAATAAATGGATTATTATACAATACAGGTAACTAAAGGTGGAAAGAGAACATAGTTAAATTTCCATATTAAAATGTGTTGAATGTTCATTTCTTGGCTAGACAAGTTGTAATTTACGTATTTGAAACTTCGTTCTCCTTGTTTCCTTACAAAAATATCTTTCATAATCAATTAGTTATTTGGCCCACTTTCTCAATCCATTACCTTGTATAGAACATGCATATTCAATTGATTGTTCTTACACTGTAGCTTTAAGGTAGTGTTTACTGAAAATAAAGAAGAAAGATCAACCATTTGCTTTATACTAACTTTGAAAAGATAAAATTACAAATGTTAATAGTATCACACTTAATTCCTGGTAAGACATGAGAACCTGGAGGAAAATGAAGATATCACATGACCAAACTTCCCCTAACATACCAATTGCAACACATTTGCATAACTTTTTGAAGACTTAACCTAATATTTAGTTTTCAGGCCATCTCCCTCACATTTGTAGTCACTTAACTAAAGAATAACTCTTAAATATTTTTGTGGCTAAAGGCAGATGATGCAAAATCGTTGCTCTCAGCTGAACTGTGTCCACCTTTGAACACTGAAGCTTATGGAAGTCTGATTGCCAGACTTTGAGAATATACATTCACTAAAAACGAATATAGGTTCCAGTATCCTGGTAGGAATAATCCATCATATTTTACTTCAATGACACTTTGAGACCTGCAGTTTTACATTCTTTTATAGCCTTTTACTCCCAAGCCTATAAAATTACTACACTTTTTGAATGCTATCGTATTTTAAACACTATACTCTCTGAAAGATATATGGTTAAACTTATCTTACGTTTTTCTCTTGAGATTTTTATTTTACACTTAAACTTATGTGCTACCTTTGACAACTTGTTAGAAATTGCAAGCCTCTACAATAGAAAGCAACCCAAAATAAGAAGGATCTAAAACTCATTTGCCCTCTTTAAACCTTTCCTTTTATTTATTTATTTTTATTTATTTTTTTTCATTTTAAGGCTATTTTCTCATCAGAAAACAGGATGACTAAATTAAAAGCTAAAGGTTATGTAAGAAAGGCAATTTGGTCAATGGCTTGGCATTTTCCTCTGCAGGCAGAGTGTACTTTTTTGGGAAGACTGCCATTTTGGCAACATTAAGTCTGCTTTCGTAGATAATGCAACAGCATATAGTCATAGCTGACCTACTGAAATTGAGATGATTCATTGATATAATTTTCAATAATGGGACTATTAACTGTTAATAATTACCAAGGACCATGGACCTAGAAAAGAGGACTGAGGACCTACATATAAATAAGGTACTTGTTTCACTGGGAAGAGGGTAGGGCAATTACAAATGGACTATGTAGAGATTACCATGCAATTAACTATGTTACAAACTCCTGTCTTAATGCTTGTGTCCTTCTTCTCTGCCTCTCTACATTAAAAACTTTGGCAGGAAGCAAGTCATGGGAGTGGTTTAAGTTAAGATACATGGACTTGACAGTGCCCTAGCAATAGTCTGACTATATTTCCTCATAGGTAAAAGCTAGGTGTGGAGAAATTTTTAACAACCCAGGTGTTTACCTAAATGGCAAGGGCACATATGAAGGACACAGTGGTGCTGCTGAAATAAGGATATCCAAGAAATCACTCTGGACTATTGTATCCAAATACGTTTTTGAAAGCTATTTAAATAATAAAAGGATGAAGTCTGTCAGAAACACTAGGATACTTAAAAACAGTTTAGGCATGCAAGTTTAAGTTTAGGTATGTTACAGGAAGTAAAAATTATTTTGTTTTCCAGTAATTACTTAACTGTATTCTACTAGAGTTGAAATCACGTTAAGTGATATGGAAATATTAATCTAAAAAATTTGACAGGTGTCAAATAACTATAGCATCTTCTCCATATTTATGTCCAATGAGAAGTTAACATAAGAAATGCTTCATTAGTGTGCCCTTGTAGTCATTGTATTAGTTTGCAATCTTTCAATTTGCAGTTATGCAGATGTATCATGTGTAATGGGCTCTATTCAGCAAGCTATTTTCTTTATTGGTTGCTTCTCACATGGTCAAGGGCATACTAAACATGTTCTTGGAATGATTCCCTCTTTCAATCACTATGCCAATAATCACTTAGAATACAAGTGGATTCTTTTCATTTAGAACAACCAGGTGGCTGAAGAGAGCCAGTTAATAAGCAATCAGCAAAATCAAAAGCAATAATGAAGCCCTTCAAGGTTTTGTGCTGCACTGCCTGATACATAATCTCTATTTTGTGAGAAAATATACAGTATGCCTAGCAGTTGAATGACTTTGCTGATGCCACATTCCACTCAATAAACTCTTTGTGAGTTTATTGAGCTTTTAAGTTCTCACAACCAGGAGAGATCTAACATCTGTTTGAAGACACTACCTTGTGTTGTAGAAGACTCTCACTGTTGCAAAGTTGGGTTTTCTACTGATAACTACAGTTTTTGGTAGTGCCTGTCAATATATCTTTTTATCTATAAAAAGAAGTAAAAAATATTAACTACAAAAAGTATATTAAATCTATTTATCTAATTTGACAAAAAATACATTCTGTAATTAGAGGAATTTGACCTGAAAGCCCTGTTAAGATTTTAGATGTTAACTTATAAGATATTTCTTGCGCATCACAATCTACTTTGACTCAAAAAAAAACTTTACTATGTTCTGTATTACTTTTACGTAGATTGGAACATTACTTTTCTGATGACATAAGTCAATATTTCTTTTTTGTCCTTAATATTACTCTCTTTTGTATGCCAAATCCAATGTCAATCTGAGTAAAATTGAAAGTTTAAATCAGAAAGGATATTCGAAAGCCTTGAAACAATCTTCATTTCTCAATTATATATTAGATGACTTTAGTTTTATTAGGTTATGACTGTGTTCCAGATTGAATAGTATATTTAATGGAAGAGAGACTGGGGGCTATCAAGCACAGATAACATTCTGAATAAGGAAAGTTTATTGCCTCTGCCGCTTTATCTTCTTTCATTTCTGTCTCTTTATTTTCCCACCACCCACTCAATATAGAGAGGCAATCATTGTTTTCATTTTGATTTTGAATTAAGAGTTCCAAAACTCTTGATTACTGTTAGTTCTACTTCATAAGGAACACTTCAATGACCGTAGTTTTCTTATCATTATTTGGACATCGTGTTGTAGTATATGTATATGCCTTTGGCATCATTAATGTGCCCCAGAAAATATGCCAGAGCCTCATCTCATATAAATGTATTAATCTCTAATAATTTCAAAGGATGAAGATCTTAAAAGTTAAAAGCAAGAGGAGAGCAAGACAGTACTATGTTGATTCACAAATATAGTTCTTTGTTTTCTAGGAAGACTTTATGAAGTGCAGTGGGAGATGAACCTTATTCTACTGCCTGCTTCCCCTTGTGTCACATGATATCATATATTATAAAAATGTTACCAAATGTAATGCCTATATGACATAGTTGAACTTCTACCCCACTCGACTTCTGCTTATCTTTAAGAAATGGGATGCCTGCTATAAGAATTTCCCTTTATAGTCAGACCAGCTGAGACTGGTTAGAACCAGGATAGCCAACCTAAAGCTTCATTCAAATCTCATTTCCGGCCGGGCGCGGTGGCTCAAGCCTGTAATCCCAGCACTTTGGGAGGCCAAGGCAGGCAGATCACAAGGTCAGGATATCGAGACCAGCCTGGCTAACATGGTGAAACCCCGTCTCTACTAAAAATACAAAAAATTAGCCGGGCATGGTGGTGGGCGCCTGTAGTCCCAGCTACTCTGGAGGCTGAGGCAGGAGAATGGCATGAACCCGGGAGGCGGAGCTTGCAGTGAGCCGAGATTGCGCCACTGCACTCCAGCCTGGGCGACAGAGCAAGACGCCGTCTCAAAAAAATAAAATAAAATAAAATAAAAATCTCATTTCCACTCCCATCAGCACCATGACAGTTGAGAATTGTCATAACAATGACTAGAAGAAACCATTGAAGGACTTAAAGGAAGGTGCCACTACCAGTTCAGAGGAGTTCACCACTCATTTCCAGAAAAGACTTGAATAATTCCTCCCCTCACTTTTAAAGTCCAATCCCTTCATTAGAGAAACCCTATATTTTAACTGCCTCACTTCTCACTAGTTAAGAAGTGGATTTCCAAGCCACGCTCCCACTTCTCCATCCCCTGCTCATGGAACAAAACTTGCTCTGCTTGATGCTCACTTTCAGTTTCATGTATTGGCTCTGCAGCACTGAAGAGGGAAAGATGCTATTTGGGGGGGCCACCAAGTTTAATGGTAACAAAAACACCCCACACCTTCTCTATATGCTCATAACTTCTGCGTCGTGTTTTGTATTTGGCAAGTTCTAGATGGGACAATTTTTTGTCTATTTTCATCACAAATGGCAAAACCCTAGTATTGTTTTGGTTTTAACTGTAAGGTTTACTCCATTTACCCTTTAAAGATTCTTCAAATGCATTAACTTCCTCAAAAGCAATTTTTAAATCTTTCCTATTCCCTAGCTATATAGTTGGATAGTGCTCTAATTTAGATTGTCAACTTTAACTCTATGGATTGTGTGTAAATCATGATTCTGTTTTGCTTCCATTTTAGACCATTTAAATATCAAGAGACACTGTTAAGAAAGATAGAAAGTACTAATCTTAAAATATTTAACTGGTCCTACAAAATTGGCAATTTTATGTCGGCAATTGTAATATGTAGGCCAAAAAAAACTCCTATTCTTTGGAATATATATATATATATATATATATATATATATATACACACACACACACACACACACATATATACACACACACACATATATATGGAATATATATACACATATATATACATATATATGGATTATATATATACACATATATATACATATATATGGATTATATATATACACATATATATACATATATATGGATTATACATATACATATATATGGAATATTATATATATATAATACAAATGAAAAATAAAGCCTAATAAACTGGAGTAGGACTTAGTTAACAAATCAAATAAGTTTCTTTCCTAAACATCTTATTAGGAACTTTAATATATTTATAAGACTTGTGAATTTCCCAGATAGGAACAAAGCATAAGGCAAATCCCAAAGAACTGAGAAATTTAACTTTTTAAATTTTTTTTAAAAACAATATTTTATGTTTTTGTGTCCTCCAATCAGATTCATTGTGATAATGTCATTTTGCTAGAAGAAATAAAAAAAAATTCTCATATATTTTGAATCAAAATTTGGGGTTTTGTACTAACAATTCATTTTTTGTATGATGAACTCAGTTCATTTAGCAAATATTTAAATAGCAACAATATTCCAAGCAGCCATCAAATAATTTGCATGGCAGATAGTATAAATTCTTAGTGATGTTATCTTGTTTTCACAGTCATACTTTTGTCATTTGGACAAATTTTTATATAACAAAAGTTTTCTAAACCTGTTTTGTATACAGGTAAATAAGTACTATATTGCTATATTAGTCATCACTGTTACAAGGCAATTGAAGGGGTGTGGCCTAGGGAATAGACAGAAAGTTAATTCAATATGGAAGTTCCAGATTTGGTTTGCATGCATCCTAGTGGCAGTGATTTATTTCTGCATACTGCAACGTCAGAACAATGACAAAACTAGCACGGAGTGATGGTATTGAAGATTGGCACCACTATTTTCTATCGCTTATAACTCCTGAAAACTGGCAGTTTTGTTGTTAGAACTGGAACAGTGATATAACCAGGAAGGAGAAATTTTATGAGTTTCATACAATAAATCTACTAGAAGGGTGAGAAGGGACTGGGAAAACTAAGTTATTTTACTTTTAAATAAGCACAGTTAGGACCCAGATAATCCCTGAGCTAGCCTCAGGAATGCTTTAAGATCCAAACCATGCATGGAAATGATAGGCACTTTTCTTAACTGTAAAATATTTGAAAACAGAGCACTCAATTATTTGAAGATTTCAAGAAAGAGTATAACAAAAAAGGGGACTTGTCTATATGGATACATAATGGTATGGCAATAATAGTCATTAAAAGGAGATTATTTAATTTATTACTTGCTTCTCATTTTACTTAAAAACAAAAGAAATCAGAAACTATATGAACTTGTTGACAGAACTTGTTCACAGGCTTCTTTACCAATACATCCACCAATTTATCTGTGTATCTATTCCCCCAATCTCGGCTTCCCCTCATATTTCAATGAGTGAACTGGTCCCCTCGTTTCTAAGATCAAACTCTCTACTTGTGTATAGATCCTATTTCCTGCCACCTTTGTTTTTAGAACCTCATCAAAATTTTCTGTGATCTACCTTATTATATTTTTCTCTACTATACCATCCTCATCAGCATATGAGCATGATATAATGTCTTCCATCTTAAACTAAACAACAACAACAAAACTTTCTTCAATCCCATTCAACCTACAATTTCTGTTCTAAGCATTTTTTCTGGTTTTAATAGGCAAAAAAAAAAATTCAGATGCTTTGACTCCACTTTACCTCTCTTGACTGCCTCCTTGAATTGATCCTTAACTAGGATTTTTTTTCCATTATTATATAAACCTACTTTTGTTGAAACTCACCAATGGTCACCCCATTGCTATTCTAATGTCACCTCTTAGGCTTCAGCTCACTTGACTTTTGGTGAGATTTGACACAGCTGATCATTCCCTTCTCTCTGAAATAATCTCACCAATTGGCTTTCATCGTATTCTCCTAGTTATGTTCCTGTCTTACAGGCTCTATTCCAATCTCTCTGCTGGATATCTCTCATCTTTCTCAACTGTAAAATTTGTAGTATTCTAGGGAACAACAGATCTATATTATTCTTTATTCCTGCTCATTTCTTAAGTAATATTCCTAATGTAATATTATATTTTTACAGCAATCTTTATGTTCACTATTCTCAAATAGTATCTGTAGTTCTAAAGTTTCATATGAAACCAAAACACTATCCACCTAAGAGGTGAACTAAGAGCAACTATAAATGAACAAGTTAAAAAATTAGACTTCCTCAAAATTTAAAACTTTTGGTCTTTGATAGACCATATAAGAGAGAATGAAAAGACAACCCACAAAATAGAAGGTGAAGCAACATCATGTTCATTCATTTACGACAATGAATTTGCATTCTAAATATATTAAGGACTCTCAAAAAAATTCAGTAACAGAAATAAAAATCAATAAAACATAGGCAAAATATTTGGGCAGACATTTTATCAAAAAATATATATGGTTGGATAATAAACACATAAAAATATACTCAATCGCATTAGTCATTAGATAACAGAATACTAAAACCATTATGAGGTACCACTTCATGCCTATTAGAATGGCAAAATGATTAAAAAAATAAAATAAAAAGCTGGACATTACCAAGTTCTGGAAAGAATGTTGAACAACTAGAATGCTTACATCTTGTGGGTGAGACTATAAAATAATGCAGCCCTTTTTGAAATATGGTAATTTCTTACAGAGTTAAAAGTATACTTACTATATAGCCCAGCAATTTCACTCCTTGTAATTTACCCATAAGAATTTTTTTAAAAAAATTTACAAAAATTATGTGAGTATTTACAGCAGCATTATTCATAATCACCAAAAATTGGAAATAGACTAAATGTCTGTAAACAAATTGGTATATTCATATGCCTTTGTACTTCCATGCTTCAGGCTAAAATCTTTGTTGACACCACTTTTTCTTGGGCACCATATATTTGACTTCTAAACAAAGACCACAGTTTTACAGTTTTACAATGAAAATACATCCAGGCCCTTTGTCCCATCTCTAGTTTATACTACCGTCATCTCTCATCTGGACTATAGCAATTGATCCAACCCTGAACATTTATGGGGCCAATGGTTAGAGTAGAAATGGAAGCTGACATATCATATATCTAAATATGTAAAAGTGTAAATAAAACATCCCAAAAATGATTAAAATATGGCAGCAAAGGAAAAGCCAGGTTATTGACCTTGGGCACCAGGTGCCTGTTTGTAGCCCGTGTCCTTCTGTTACCACTTAGCCCCCACCCCCACCCTGCTATCTTCCATATATGAGATCTCTCATACAAATACATACCATTTAGCTTGTACATTCAAGTTTAGTTCCCAACCTCTGAGAACAACCTGTTTTTGACCACCCCTTAGACTTGGATACATTTACCCAGAGGTGGTTAAATAATCTGTGGAGCCCAGCACAAAATTAAAACAGGGCCCTCTGTTTAAAAGGCAGAGTAAAAAAGGATGCCTGTAAAGTTACTACATATAAACAAATGTCCTTTCTTCTGTGGTCTTTTTCCTTGTCATCATGTTTTTTGTTGGCTATTTAATATCATTCTACACACTTATCAGAATGACAAATATATATATATATAAACTTCTGTGTTTATGTATAAGTACCAAGAAATGATTTACACGCATCTTGCCTATACCTCCTCTGCTTATGCATAAGCTTGATTGGACTTCACTGAACCTCATTTACAAGGCAGAAATTCAAATATAAAATTACTAAAATGATGACAAATGCATTCAGCTAACTGGGGTCCCTTCTGAATATGGGGTCCTATGTGACTACAAGGATGTGTGCCCATCAAGCCAGCCTTGCATACACTACTGGTGTGTTCTGCTCTTGGAGAGGCACACCTGGAGCAGAGTCATGATGCATCAAGATCCAGGGATCCAGATGACTAGAGAATGGAAGAGGACAGGTGGGATCTGGGTTGGTGGGAATGTATTCTCTTTGCTTCATGGATTTCTCATTGAGAAAGGCGCAGGAGTAGAGTTTAGGACAGAAGTTTCTCTTCTAAGCTTAAGGGAAATAGTCTCCTAAATGGCTTTTGTCTTTTTTTAACTGATATGGTCTGGCTGTGTCCCCACCCATATTTTATCTTGAATTGTAGCTCCCACAATTTCCACATGTCCTGGGAGAGATCTGGTGGGCGGTAATTGAATCATGGGAGTGGGTCTTCTTTGTGCTGTTCTCGTGATGGTAAGTCTCATAAGATCTGATGGTTTTAAAAAGGGCAGTTCCTCTGCACAAATTCTCTTCTCTTGTCTGCTGCCATGTGAGATGTGACTTTCACCTTCCACCATGATTTTGAGGCCTCCCCAGACATGTGGAACTGTAAGTCTATTAAACCTTTCTTTTGTAAATTGCCCATTCTCAGCTATGTCTTTATCAGCAGCACGAAAACAGACTAATACATTAACCCTACTAACTTATCCTCGTATCATACATAGTAATCCCCTTTAAATATATGTCAGATCATGACACTTTTCCACACCAAACCATCAATTGCATTCCATGTTAGAAACAAAACAAAAACCTTATAATGGGCTGCATTGCCCTAGATCACCTGCTCCTCCCCCATTTCTTTTCTCGCATTATATCTTACTATTATTCTCTCCCTATCTTTACTACAGTTACATTTGTCTCTTCTCTATTCTTTAAATGCATAACTAAACTCCTGTTACCTCTTTCTTTGTAAGTTATTGACAGCTATCTTCTTGATCTCTCCAATTTGCCTTTGTTCTCCATTCATCTAATGCCCATACTGCAAAATTATCTTCTTAAAATCATAAATTTGAATTGATCATCTAATTTAATATGGCATTCCACTGGATGCAGGGAAAAGTCTAAGTCTCTTAACATGAGAAACAAATAGAATAACCTTCATAATAGTTGAGTATATGGCACATATTAAGTACTAAATGAGCAAACGCTATTCTTATAGAGGCAACATTTAGTGATGCACCCAAACACACTCTCCTCCATGGAACATGGTGTTATTTTACTCTATTTATTGTAATAAACTAATGTCTTCCTCCACCTCAAATAATATTACTTTTCCTATATCTTCTCCTTCCTATTGCTCCTCTTCTCCTTCTTTCTCTCTGATTTTCCTCTCTTTGTCACCGTTTTACTCACTTTCTCTTACCTCTATCTTTACTCAGTGGTGTTTGCACAATATCTGCTTAATAGGAAACTCTTCACAGATATGATAGAGAGCACTATTGAGTAATAAATGTTAAGTACCAATAATGCTCAATTGGAATTAAAAAGACTGATCATCAGCAATGCATATTAGTAGAAACCTGCAGTGGGTGTGAAAGAAATTGAGTTAGGTGTAAAATCAATCATATGGTAAGTAAGATGTCACTATTAATGACAGAAATGTTAACCTTCAGGATTAAGCCCATACTTTCTTGGACTGTTGTTACTTTTTGCTGCCAAATAAATGCTTTGGCTTTTGCCAGTGTATGTGGGCATTAATGGTGGATTAGTTGGAGTAACTACAATTATGCAGCTTTCTCACTAGAGATAATACTTTTTCATGTTGTTTATATCATATTCCACAAATCTCAAAGTTTATCTAAATTGAATGGTAAATAAAATGCATTTTTATAATATTTGATCATTGTTCTTGGGCAGAACAGCCAAAAATAATCTTTTCATTTGGAGACCTTGCTAGAAAGGTTTTCAAATCACTTAACTTTTAAAAGTAATATCAAAAGATTATTGTCTCAATTACTAGATTTTTTAAACTGTCAACTTTATGAGAATAATTGAGATTTACTTTGATAAATATCCTTTAATGATAAATAGATTGCCCTCCACTATGTATTAAAAAGCAACTTGTTTCCTTTGGACTAAATTTTTATGGTAAAATGCAAATAATTTTATTTCTTTTAATTTATGATATCATTACCATATCTTGTTACATAAAATGACAATGAGAAAAAACACTCCTGCTGCTGCAATCTGTGCTGAAAAGCTTCCTCAAAATATATTGTCCCTGTTCCTATCTGTAGTTTTAGCTATAGGAAGTAGGAATTTTCTCACAGTATTTGCTATATGATGCTAGTACTTGGTGAAAACAGACACTAAAAATATAATGTGAGTTTGCTCAGCTCAAATTACAAGCAGCCAAAGACCTCCAAATAAGAATAATGTGCTTTTAAGGTTTACTTATGCCTGTCAACATTCTCTGTGTATTATTATTGGCATTTATTTCCTATTTATATATAAGCAAATTCAACAGGAATTGTTATACCCTATGTTTAATATGATACGACAATCCAATTCCAAGTAAAATGTGTGCAGCCTTCTAAGAATAACTTTATAATTTGAATAACTATATCTAATTGGAAGAATAGAAAGTTTTAAGGCACACAAATAACCCAGAGGCTCCTTGTTTTTTTTAGGCTTGAGAAGGCAATGAGCTATTGTGTAATTTACACTGTCAAAAGAAAAAATTACAGAAAACTTAGCTTAAAGATCTAATTGGCTTTTATTAGCAATTCTACAATTGGGTGACATCTTATTCTATAAAATAGAATAGGTGTTCCAATGAGCTGAGAAGAGAAGTTTGGCTTTATAGAGAGAAAAAGGCTGAAGAAAGCAGAAACAGAATAAAAAGGGGATAGGTCCTTTCAAAGTTATTTTCCTTCCTTGTGGTGTTAAAACAGAGAGGACTTTCTTATCATGCCAACTTAGGTAAACTCGTCTCCTTATGTCTGGTTGCTGTGAATCTCCTGTTTTTGTTTTTTTGTTTTGTTTTGTTGAAAAACTGGCCCATTTCTTTTTTCTTTTTGATTTCCAACTTTTAAGATCAGGGATACATGTGCAGGATGTGCAGGTTTGTTACATAGGTAAATGTGTGCCACGATGCTTTGCTATACCGATCATCCCATCACTTAGGTATTAAGCCCAGCATCCATTTGCTATTCTTTTTGATGCTATCCCTCCTCCCACCCCCCACCCTCTGACAGGCCCTAGTGTGTATTGTTGCCCCTCATGTGTCCATGTGTTTTCATTATTCAACTGTACTCTTAAGTGAGAACATGTGGTATTTGGTTTTCTGTTCTTGCATTAGTCTGCTGAGGATAATGGCTTCCAGCTCCACCCACGTCCCTGCAAAGGATATGATCTCCTTCCTTTTTATGGCTGCATAGTATTCCATGGTTTACATGTACCATATTTTCCTAATCTATTCTATCATTGATGGGCATTTGGGTTGATTCCATGTCTTTGTTATTGTGAATAGTGTTACAGTGAACATACATATGCATGTATTTTTAGAATAGAATGATTTATATTCTTTTGGGTATATGCCCAGCAATAGGATTGCTGGGTCAAATGGTATTTCTGCCTCTACGTCTTTGAGGAATCTCCACACTGTCTTCCACAATGGTTGAACTAATTTACATTCCCACAAACAGTGTAAAATCATTCCATTTTCTCTATAACTTCACCAGCATCTGTTGTGAAAAGTAGCCCATTTCAAAGTTGAGTTTGATGTGGTACCTTGCATGAGTGATTCCACTCTGGTTTGGTCTGGTCTGTCGGAACCTAGTGCAGAAAAGCCTAGTCTAAAGCAATGGCCTATAAATTTTGCTTAGCAATTCTCACCTTTTTGTCAGGTTCTCACTTAGATGAGAGCCTGATCAAAATTTAGGGCATCGGCCCTACCCTCAAGTCACCATCACGCTGGGCTTTAAGTCTCAATTGCCTTCTGTGGATAGTGATCACAACCTCTATTTTCAGAGTCAGTAATGGCAAGTAGAGCCCCTTTCACTTCACATCTCTCTGACTAGAGCCTGAAAAGATTCTCTGCCTCTAAGAATTTATGTATTTAGATTATGCCCACCTGGATAATCCAGGATAATTTCCATACTCAATGTCCTTAAACTTAATTGTGTGTTCAAAGTACCTTTTGCCATGTAGGATAACAGTTCCAAGAATTAAGTTCTAAAGATATACTTGGGGGATCTTTTATTCTGCCTTCCACAGAGGGTGTGAATGTGTTATGTTAAATGGGATCACTACAGTCAGGACACTGACCTGAGTCATACCACTCTGAAATATGACTTGAAACGGGTAGTGTGCTTAGTGACATAAACAGGCAGGAATCTCAAAGCACCCTCCATGACAGGGGTTGATTTGTAAGAAATTTAATTTCTGGGGAGTAGTAGTATAAGAGAAACTTTCTTTTATACATATTTTTCATTTTCCACAATTAATTCCTTTGTTCCCTGGGAGGTCCCAGTGTTATAATGAGGATAATAATGCATATTACACTTTAACTACACACTTTTGGTCTCTGAAACAGGAACACATTTTTTGTCTTGGGAATGTCATTCCTTCATAGTACAGACTGTACCCTATATGTTGGTATCAGTATCTGTTAGTGAGAGCACTTTTGGCATTTTAGGCGGGATAATTTTTATTTATTTATTTATTTTGAGATGGAGTCTCCCTCTGTTGCCCAGGCTGGAGTGCAGTGGCGCGATCTCGACTCACTGCAAGCTCCACCTCCCAGGTTCACGCCATTCTCCTGCCTCAGCCTCCCAAGTAGCTGGGTGCCCACCACCACGCCCAGCTAATTTTTTGTATTTTTAGTAGAGACTGAGTTTCACCATGTTAGCCAGGATGGTCTCGATCTCCTGACCTCGTGATCCACCCGCCTAGGCCTCCCAAAGTGCTGGGATTACAGGCGTGAGCTACTGCGCCCGGCCCTAGGTGGGATAATTCTTTACTGTGTAGGACTGTCTCACACACTGCATGTTGTGTATTGTCCTTGACAACAACATACTAACATCTCTGGTCCCCAGTCACTGGACAGCCCAAAACAAAATCACACACACAAAACTATCAGTTAATAGGTTATTGATATGGTTTAGATGTTTGTCCCCTCCAAATCTCATGTTGAAATGTGATTCCCAATGTTGGAGATTGGACCTGGTGGGAGGTTACTGGATCACGGGGGCAGACCCCTCATGAATGATTTAGCACCATCCGCTTGGTAATAAGTGAGTTCTCGCTCAGTTCAGAGTTCTGGTTATTTAAAGGTCTGGCACATCCCCACCTCACTCTCCTGCTCCCTCTCTCACCATGTGATATGCCTACTCCCTCTTCACCTTCCACCATGATTATGAACTTCCTGAGGCCCTTACCAGTTAATTTGCTGGTGTGCATAAATGTTTTGGGAAGTCCACATGAACAGTGACTAGACTAAGCCAAAATTATAATTGACCTCATATTATGATTCTTCCCCCACTGTAATGCAAAACTTGCTATGGTTTGCATTACTTGAAATTCCCCCATCTCCTGCCCACCCAGGTTCCCATAAAATAATGCTAAATGTTGAAATATGAACTGGTCTACACAGACTCCAAAAACTATGCAAGAAAACATGGAAACTAATTACAATCGTACAGAATCCATACATAAAAAGTGACATTGAAATGGGGAAATAAACATTCAAGACAAGCACAGTAGGCTCCAGAATCTACACCACACCTTAGAATCAGGTGGAGATTTCACAAGGAAAGGAAAAGACTGTGGGTTGCCAGGGATGAAGGAATGCAGAAAACATCAACTAGGGCTTTGCCCAAGTGGTGCAATACTGAGATCAGGTGTGCATCTGAGTTTGGATTAGCGGAGACTGGAGAAAGAGGATGATAAAAAGTGCTTGGGACCAGACTCTGGGAAACTCATAGCCTTTCAGGGTGACCAAGACATAGTGGAAGAGGGTAGAGTTTTCCTCAAGAAAAAAAAAAAAAAAAGGCAATATGTTGAAGATAAGTGTTCTATTGCAACAAGATAGTATCAAAGGACTGTGATTGAGTTTAAAGAACCTTTTATTTCTAAGAGTGCTGATATCATCAACGGGAAAAAGTATTCCTTTTTATTCTATTCTTAAAGTTTGGTTCTGTTTGTCATCTCAAGGGTTTCTCCTGTCAGCAGCCGTGGTACTTACATAAAGGAACTTGAATACACAGCTATATTTTGAAAACTGGAAAATTTAACCCAAAGTACATTTTAGCTTTGGAATGCCCTTGGGGATGGAAGTGAATTGCTCAGGAGATGAATAATGGGATTCATTACTATGACCCACTGAAATCTAACATAACCCAAGGTATTCCCTTGCTGTTGAGCAGCTTAGAGACGGAGGAGAGTAATGCAGCCTCACTTAAGTGATTTCTTATCCTGCCACTGAAGCTACCAACCAAAGGCTATTTTCTCCCCACAAATAGAGGTGTATCTATGTTTATTGATATAGGGGACAGAAGCATATTCTTTGCATATTCAAATGACCTTGTTTTAGCTCTTTTTAGTTCCTGTGATGCCAAAAAGTGTTTATCTTGCATACTGTAAAAATAGACTTGATCAACATTCTATGATATAAATAACTACCTACATATTTTGCTTTTGTTAGTGAGTCGAAATAGTCATATAAATGATAGATTTAAATCTAATGTTAGTTTATCAATTAAGACAAACTTTTTATGTTTTTTACCTTATTATACAATAGTCCCCCCTTATCCACAAGGGTGTTCCAAAACCCCTAGGGAATGCTTGAAACCTAGGACAGTACCAAACCAATTGCGGTCAATCAGAACACGTTTTTGTTCATGTATTCCACCCACAAATTTAAAGCCTTTTCTTTCTTAACTAAGCACTTATGATGCACTGCAGCAGTAACTTTATCAGTTTGAGGTGCAATAGCAAAATTAGCACGAATTTCTTTTTCCTTTTTCACAATTCACAAAGAGAAGATTTGTTCCTATAGCAAATCTTAGCAACTTCAGCATATGATTATTTTTCTTTATTAAGAGAACTTTCACCTTTTCACTTAAAGGAAGTATTTTATGGCTTCTCTTTGGCATATCTGAATTGCCACCATCACCACCCTTGAACTTTGAGACCATTATTGAGCAAAACAAGGGTTACTTGAACACAAGCCCTGCAATACTTCCACAGTGAATCTGATAACCAAGATGGCTACTAAGGGACTAATGGGTGGGGAGCTGTAGACAGCGTGGAGACGCTGGACAAAGGAATGATGCATGGACCAGGTGAGATTTCATGATGCTACCAGAGTGTGTACAATTTAAAACTTATGAATGGTATATTCCTGGAATTTTTCATGTAATATTCTGAAACCTCAGAAAGTAAAACCTCAGATAAGGGGAACACTACTATACAGTCAGATCTTGAATAACCATCTTTTGATTCAACATCACTTCCTTATAACGTTGATGATAAAAGAAAAATGATTCCCAGTAGGCCCACTGCCTGTCTGGAGTTTACATGTTCACCCTATGTCTGCGTGGGTTTTCTTGGAGCACTTCAAAGCTGTGCATGAGAGCTGAATTGGCACGTCTAAAGGATCCCAGTGTGAGTGAGCCAGCATGTCTGATGTGGGCTCCCAACTGGTTCCCCAAACTGCTGGGATGGGCTTTGACAATCTGAGACCCTGGAATAATTAGGTAAATAAATACCTTACTTGTTTTTATTAATCTTTGTTAAATATATATATAGATCACATTTATTTGAATATTTAATATTAGAAGTGTTTTCATCCTTATGTAAAAGTGTGGTGATCATTTGTGATCAGAAATATGCCATAGTAACTTAACTCTTGTTTATATCAGTTAGCCTATGATAAATTAGTTTAATTATAGTTGTTTTGCTTAAAGTGGCAGTTTCCAAGGCAACATTGAGAACTTACTGTACACTCAAAATAAAATTTACTGTAAAAAATATAAATTCAAAACTGCGAGGCCACATATTCTTTATAATATGGGAGATTCAGACAGATTGTTTCTATAGCAAGTCTTGTCAAACACTGAAAAATATTATAATCTAACAGAAATTTTTTCAGATAAAAGAGAAGGAAGCTTCACATGCCTTTATTTTTTATTTATTTATTCTTTTAAATGAGGCTGGTGTAACACTGTTACAAATATCAAACCAGTAAGATGGAATAAATTTAAAAAAAACCTGTAGGGCAATCTTATTTAAAAATATATGTAAAAATGGAATGGGGCTCAATCTGTATTCAGGAAGCCCTGATAAGGGACAACTGTCACACTTAACACAACACAAATGATATTGTGACCTCATGACATTAAAGTGATTTGTTCAAGTCCTACATATTGTAAAAGTCTGCATCAGAATCTAAAAATGCTGATATCCAATCCTAAGATTTTCAAATAAGCCATCCATATTAGTCCATTTTCACACTGCTGATAAAGACATATCTGAAACTGGGAAGAAAAAGAGGTTTAATTGGACTTACAGTTCCACATAGCTGGGGAGGCCTCAGAATCATGGTGGGAGGCAACAGGCACTTCTTACATGGTGACAATAAGAGAAAAATTAGGAGGAAGCAAAAGCAGAAATCCCTGATAAACCCATCACATCTCATGAGAATTAATCACTATCAAGAGAGTAGCACCAGAAAGACTGGTCCCCATGATGCAATTTCCTCCTCCTGGGTCCCTCCCACAACACGTGGGCATTCTGGGAGATACAATTCAAGTTGAGATTTGATGGGAACACAGCCAAATTATATCACCACCTTTTTCTATTTTATGATTGGATCAGTTAGGATAATATCTGCTGCTATCACAAACCAACTCACAAACTGAAAGATTTACCCCAATTAAAGTTGATTGTTGCTCTCCTACACCAACAAATACTGATAGGTTTCCACCTGGGTATCGAGGCCCACTGACATCATGCAGCATGTGGCTCTCCCATTCTCTAGGGCCTACTTTGAGTGCTTTGCAGTCAGCCGAGAGAAAGAGAAACAGGTAAGAAAGCTCATCTTCTTCTTTATTCTAACAAATGTAACACTAATTACTACATTCATATTCCACTACTGAAAAGTGGTCAGATGATTTCGTGGGTCCCAGAATGGGGTCTAGAATATGGAGTCCCTAAAATATCCATAAAGTTCGTAGTGAAGTTCTAATTAGCTCTTCATTTAGATGTATGCACAGCATTCCAGTTTACACCTGGTGCCCTGTTTTAATCTATTTATTTTCATCCAATCCAGGATACTTTTAGTGTTGCTGTTCTCAAAAGTGTCCTGCTTTGAATGATAGGTTATAGGATCACCCTGTGCCTTGTCACAATGCTCTCAGACAATTGCAAGAGGTTTGTTTGTTTTTAATACATAAAAAGCAAATAAATATGCCAACATCATAGTGTTTTGCTGTAGTTATCAATCAACATTCTGTTGAATGTGCCTAGGCTGTAGAAAATCCTTAACACCTCTGATAATCCAGAATGATCTATTTTTGAATATTTTTCCAGACACATTTAAAAAATGATAATTTTTGAATAAAATTATATATGAGAAATTTATTCAAAATAGCATTATGGTAGTTTTTCACCCTAGATAATATAAATTTAAGCAAATTCTACATGGGTTATTGGAACATAGCCAGATGTTCCAAGGCATGGTGAATATTTTACGAACATCATGGAGGAAAATTTAAATATTCAGTAAAAATATGCTTAAAAGGAAGAGGACAACCAAGGCGCTCTGTTGCCTGAAGGCAAAATAATTGGATATATGTCCCTTTAAAGTCTCTTTCAGTCCCTTAGTACAATAATAAATTCCCCTGCAGAGTATAACTTGAGTATATAAAAATGTTCAAAAATGATATGATAAAGTGAAAATGTAGTAATAGACCCTTTAAGCAATATTATGCACTGTCTCCTGAATACTAGCGTTCTGTGATATCATGTAAGATTTGCTTATGAAATCTATCTGAGAAACAGAACGTAACATGACAAAGTGTTGAGTTCTCAGGGTAAAGGCAATATTCTCTCTCTTGAAATATAATGAAGACTACACTTCATTAAAGTGTAATTGTCAACTTGGGGAAACAATACAGCTTTGCTGTGTCAAAATAACCCAAACAAATAGAACAGAACATGAATTTTAAAAAATCTTGGGACAGAAGCATGTATATTTAATAAGATGTCTTTTATCATGGCTTTTCAAAATGAAAAAATATTAAATATGAACGTGGTAGATACTACTCATTATGTTTTTCTACCAATCTGTCCACCCTTACCATAATACCCTCATTGCCCCTCATCCTCACTTCAAATATAAAATAAACATAGCTGTTTGATGTCAGTGTCACAGTGAAGATTGTATAAAATCTTAAATGCTTTTCAGCTCTGAAATAACAGCCTGACCAGTGCATTCTGAGCTGAAATTCTTAAATGCAGTTTTCAATGGCAAATGTTCTAAAACCTTCCCAATACTGACTCATGCCACAAAAAAAGAAAAAGAAGAAATAGATACCTTAATTTTTTTGATAGAAAATGTCAAAATTTTTTTTATTTTTAATGTCTTGCTGAATTGAATAACTGGACACTTTTGAATGCTCTCAAATTCTTACATTTCAAAGTTTTATGAATTGTCCTTTGGAGATTACTGTCCATTATATACACCTTCACTAAGATGTCACTAATCATTCTTTGAAAAATGCAAATATTGATTACAAATAATTTTTATGTACTTCTTTGAAATATGTTATTGGTAACATACAAAGCAATATAGATGAAATGATTTTAGTACAGACAGTCCCCAACTTCCAGTGGCTCCACTTATGATTTTTTGACTCTAGTATTGTGTGAAAGCGATACAACTTTCAGTAAGAACCGTATTTCAAGTACCAAAAACGATTCTGTTTTTCAGTAAGAACCATATTTTGAGTACCAAAAACAACCATTCTGTTTTTCAATTTCAATAAATATCAATAAATTACATGAGAGGTTAACACCTAATTATAAAACAGGGTTTGTGTTTGATGATTTTGTCTAACTGCAGATTAGTGTAAGTGTTCTGGGCCTGTTTAACATAGGCTAGGCTAAGCTATGATATTTAGTATGTCAGGTGTATTAAACACATTTTCAACATGATATTTCCAACTTACAATATGTTTATTGGGATGTAAGCCTATTGTAAATCAAGCAGAATCTGTAATTTAATTGATGTATAACAAATAAAGTTATAGAGAAATGGTCCTAAGGATTATTACATCCACCCACTAATTTTTAAATCACTTAAGGCACAAGATTAAGTAAGTTTCCATAATCACTCCAAAATTTGGTGGCAGAGCTGGAACTGGTATTATATCCTTTAAATATTTATTATTTACTATGTGTGTAGCACTTTGTTATATTATTTCTCTTATCAATGCTAAATGATAGAGTGATCATTAACATTTCCATTTGGCAGATCAGGAGAATGTGACATTGGCTTAAGCAATCTGAGCAGTTTGGAAATATAGTGTGACATGTGTAATTTATAGATCATGTAAAGGATATCTCCTTTTAGTTATTTGCTTCGTGTTTTATCAGTGACCTACTGTGGAAGGCCAGGTCTCACTAAGACAGGCCTCTGTAACAATTGTTTCAGCACTGACTGAGTGGCTAAGTTAAATATTAAAAGCTGAGAGAGACAGTGACCTTTTACAAACGCTGGGATATAACAAAAGCCCCCCAAGAGTTTTGCCCAGGCCTTTGCTGGGCCTTGGAGCCTTCCTCACAAGATAATGCAGGAATTCTTAACAGGACCCATTTGGGATTAAACAAGTTTATTGGGGGTCTGAAGGGACTCCACAAACCTCCATGATTTTGCAGGAGACAAGATAAGGGTATTCACCCCAGCATCTGGACCCATTAAGATTAAATAAATTTACTGAGGCTCCAGAGGAAGGTCTTCAGGACTCATATCTTAGTTATAGATTAGAATAATTTAATCACTTATATCTTCAGATGAATGCACACTTACATGTAGACATATAGATTAAAAGGTACATAAGCGCTGGTAAACATTGTAATTTTGAGTTGCTCTGGTGATAATTTCCATGCCTTCTCTTTGTACCTGGCTGCAGAAATAAACTCCCTTCTTTTTCAGTTTATCTGCATCTCGTTATTCGGCCACGAGAAAAAGCAGCCCAACCCTCGATTTGGTTGGGAACACTACTACATTGGCAAGCGTATTTTTTTTTCCTAAAATGTCTAAATGTGTTTGCTGGATCATTGTGCTACTTTGCTCAAAGACAGGCTGTTTTAGAGATAAACAGCATTGTGTATATCGCCTTTATTTAAATAATCTGAAATGTTTAATATGTTTATGTGAAACATAACGTGAACATTTAAATATGTTTATTCATTGTATTTTTATTTCAATCTGTCCGCTTTTTGATAAATAAGTGTTTTTGAATAAATGCACCAATGAGGATGTAAATAAGAGACACTTTTTGAATAAATGCACCAATGAGGATGATACAATACTAAACCAAAAGAATGTAAGATGTGTTTATTTGCAAACAACAACCATCTCCCGGAGTCTCTTTTGAGTATACTGCGCTGTCTACAAAGCATTTTGCGTAGGGCTGATGATTACTATGACCTTCTTGCTCTTCTTAGAGTAAAGGGTATTTGTGAGAAAAAGATCAACAGATATTTTGCCTTGGAGTAAATGACAACAGAAGGCAGAGAGAAGAAGTGACTGACCAAACCTTCATAGTAAGTTAACGCCTTTGTTGTTGTTGTCGTTGTTGTTAGCTCACATGCTCGTTTACTACTCTAATTCAGTAGTTTTTAAACTTGAGCAGCAAGCATCAGAATCACCTGGAGGGTTTGTTTAAACACCATCTTCTGGGTCCCAATTCCACAGTTTCTGAGATGGTAGGTTTGAGTGGGGCCTGAGGATTTACAATTCTACATGTTTAGGTAATGCTGACATAGTTGCTTTAGGTACCACTCTTTCAGAAACCCCGACTGAATTGCTTACTTGCTCAATCTAATTGTTGAATGAGATGTAGCAAGCAATAAGTGGTTTCTGCTTTTCCTGGTTGCCCCTTCTGAGTGACATCTTTGAACCAGGTGTTTGATAATTCGAATTCTAAATTTTACAACTACAGCTATAAGATCTACAACCATAAGATCTGTGCTCTTTTCACTGAATCATATATTTATTTTTGAAAAACAGATATCATTAGAGCTTAAATCAACATTTTGTAATAATTTAGTGAAAGAATAAGAGAAGTCAAATTTCCAGCATTTTGAGAATAAGGAATGGTTATGGCCAGTATGTGTCTATTTTTCACAGTTCTGGAGGCTCAGAAGTCAAAGATCAAGGTGTCCATAGAATCACTCTCTGAGGTGGGTCCTTTTTTTGGTTTGCCACAGCCTCCTTCTTGGTGTGTCTTCACGTAGTGGAGACAAAGGGACGGCAAGCTCTCTGATCTCTTCTTATAAGAGTGCTAATTATCTTATGGAGAATTCACCCTCATGACCTCATCTAAACCTAATTACCTCCTAGAGGCCCCACCTCCAAATGTCATCAAATTCAACATACAAATTTTGGGGGAACAAAATTCAGTCTATAGCACCTCATATCCAGTTTCTCATACTATTAACAACTTAGACTGATATGGTACTTTTGTCACAATATTGCTATATTATTATCAACTAAAATTCATAATTTATTAATTTATCTGTTTTTATAAAATATTATTTTTCTATACCAAGATCCCATTCATGGCATCACATTAAATTTAGTCACCATGGCTCATTGGGTTCCTCTTGGCTCTGACAGTTTCTCAGACATTTATTATTTTGATGACCTTGGCAGTTGTCTGAGGCATACCGTATTTTGTAGAATGTTCCTCAACTGCAGTTTAATGGTTCTTGGTATATTTTGGATACCAGTCCTTTATCAGATATTTGATTTACAAAGATTTTTTCTCCCATTCTAGGCTCTTTTGTTCTTTTTGTTTTGTTTTATTTTGTTTTGAGATAGGTTCTCCTATGTTGCCCAGGTTGGAGATCAGTTGCTATTAATAGGCATGCTCTTAGTGCATTACAGCCTGGAACTCTTGGCCTCAAGTGATCCTCCTACCTCAGCCTCCCTAGTAGCTGGGACTAAAGGTACATGCTACCAGATGAAAATTAGAAGTTCTAAAAATAAGTTCAATTTATCAAATTTTTTCTTTCATGGATCATGTTTTTGGTGCTGTGTCTAAAAAGTCATCAACATAATTACGGTAACTTAGATTTTCCCAGATACTACTATCCTTGAGGAGTCTTGTAGTTTTATATTTTCCATTTATCTGTATGTTCTATTTTTACTTAAATTTTCTGTAAAGTGAAAACTCTATTGTCTAGGCATGGTTTTTTTTTTGGTCCTCTTCCTCTCCTTCCTCCTCCTCGTCCTACTTCTTTCTTCTTCCTCTTCCTCTTCTTCCTTCTTCTTCCTTTTCTTCCTCTTCCTCTTTTTCCTTTTCCTCTTCTTCCTCCTTCCTCCTTCTTCTTCTAACTTATTCCTTCTTTCCTCCTCCCCTCCTCCTCCTTCTTTCTTCTTCCTTCTTCTCTTCTTCTTCTTCTCCTCCTCCTCCTTCTCCTCTTCCTCTTCCTTTCTTCTTCTTCCCCTTCTTCTTCGCCTTTTTTTCCTTCTTCTTCCTTCTGCTTCTCCTTGTCCTCCTCCCCCTTCTTCTTCTTTGCATGTGGATGTCTGATTTTTCTAGCACAATTTTCTAGCACTTTAACAAGACCAGCCTTTCCACATTCAAATTCCATGGAGCCTTTGTCAAAAATCAGTTGACTACATTGGTATGGGTCTGGTGGATCTGTTTCCAGGCTTTTTGCTCTTCCTGGAGTGGCTATTCTTTCATCAATACCATGCTGTTCTGTTTACTGCAGTTTTATGGTAAGTCTTGAAATCTAATAGAGTCAGTCATCTAACTTTGTTCTTCAGTATTGTGCTGGCTCTCCTAGTTCTTTGTCTCTTTATATAAATTTTAAAGTCAATTTGTTGATATTTACAAAATAATTTGCTGTCCTTTTGATAGATTGTGTTGAATCTACAGACAAAGTTATGAATAATTGACATCTTAAGAGCATTGAATTGTACAATTCATGAACACAAAATATATTTCTAGTTAGTTAATTTTAAAATAAATTTTAATCATGTTTTATAGTTTTCTGACACAGATATTGTACATATTTTGTTAGGTTTACACTTGAGTATTTCATTTTGTGTAATATTGTAAAATAATCATTTTTATTTCAAGTTCTGATGATTTGTGGCTTGTATATAAAGCGAAATTGACTATAGTAAACTGACTTTGCCTCCTATGACTTTCCTATAATCACTCATTACTTCCAGAAATTTTTGTAGAATCTTTTGTATAGACTCTGAAGACAGTAATATAATCTCTGAATAAAGGCAATTTTATTTCTTCATGTACAACTGATATACAGTTTGTTTTTTGAACTTGCTAGGACTTCCTTGTATAGGAATGGTGAGACAAAATATTTTTGCCTTGTTCCTGATCTTAGGGGGAATATATTCAGCCTCTCATGATTAAGTATGCTATTATCAATACTTTTTTTGTAGATTTTCTTTATGAAGTTGAGGACATTCCCTTTTAGTCTTAATTTGCTAAGAATTGTTATCATGGAAGGGTGTTGGAATTTTTTCAAAAGCTTTTCTGCATCATTATATTTCTTTTTTCTGTCTGAAAAGTAGATTAGATATACTACACTGATTGACTTTCTAACACTGAATCAGACTAGCATACCTGAAAAAAAAAATGAGTTGAAGACATCTTTTACTTTACTCTGTCCAACTTGAAAGTCCCAAATAAATGTTAGACGAGTAAGTTGTAATTCATAAATTCCCTAACTTAAAACCCACTGGGCTTTGATATCTATTTCTTTCTTCCCGAGAGGTCCTCAAACCCAAATTTTAAGTTACCTAAACCTGGAAAATTCTCTCAGAACAAAGCAAGTGTTTAACTGTTCAATTCTCAGTTACTCATCTAGTTTTATGATTTACTTAAAATTTCTAGCACTAAAAAAAATGTTTAAAAATTCTTAAGGTCGAATTTTCCTAATGTGTACTACAGTTCTGTTTTTTCCAACAGAATATTTGATCTGAATAACCTTACCTAGCATATTTCCCCTCAGTGTAGGTGTTTCTATTTTAAAATAATTCATTTGGAGAGTGACATTTTTATTTTCAAAAATAAATAAAAATAAAAGATAAATCGAATCCACCGATAGTCTCATGTTCCCATTACTTAAATATAGCTTTATTATTTTTCCCTTTTTTCCTCCTAATATCTTTTCCTCCCTAAGGTTTCTTTACACAGTTGTAATCAGTTTTCACAATTAATATTGTATTTGAAATATTTTTCACGCTACTTCTTTTTCATAAACTTCATTTTATATGGCTGCTTGATGACTGGGAGCATGCCTTTTGCATCTACCCTGATGTTGAACACAGATATACATGTTACACTTTCAGTAATGTTGTCAACTTTAATGAAAGTACAGGCATTTTAAGGAGCAAAGCTTTCTTGGATATTTATTTAGTTCTTTTTGCCATACCGCCTAATATAGTAATGTAGTCAACAGCCAACATTTAATAAACAATTGCTAATTTGGCCGGGCATGGTGGCTCGCGCCTGTAATCCCAACACTTTGGGAGGCCGAGGCAGGCGAATCACTTGAGGCCAGGAGTTTGAGACCACCCTGGCCAACATGGTGAAACCCCATCTCTACTAAAAATACAAAAATTAGCTGGGCATGGTGGTAGGCCCCTGTAATCCCAGCTACTCCAGAGGCTGAGGTAGGAGGATTGCTTGAACCACGGAGGTGGAGGTTGCAGTGAGCTGAGATCATGCCACTGCACTCCAGCTTGGCCAACAGAGCAAGACTCTGTCTCAAAAAAAAAATAATAATAATAAAATAAATTTAAAAAAAAACAATTGCTAAATGAAATGCTGTTAAGTAAGGAGTTAGAGTCCTGTTACTGAGAACCACAATAGAGAAGGGGGTGTGGTATATGTAAATGCGTTCTAGTCCTACTCCCAGATCTTTGTTGTAGTCAGTCTAGGAGAATAACAAAGAATATCCAAACAATGGGTTTAGTACTTCACATCTGTACCCCAAGATAAGGGATATTCACATCTTAACTAACCTATCTGCCCTTACCTTTGCCTTCCTATTGGTAGTTCTCAATACAATAGCCAGAATTATCTTTTTAAAAGTTCAATTTGATTATGTCATTCTTCTCTTTATGACCTACAATAACTTTCCATCTCAGAGTAAAAGTCAAATTCCTTAAAGTGGTTTATCAGGCTGTCTTAGCTCAGGCTGCTGGAGAAGAATACCATCCACTAAGTGGCTTAAACAACTGACATTTATTTCTCAGTTATGGAGGCTTGGAAGCCGCAAATCAAGATGCTGGCTGGTGGGTGTGGTGGTTCACGCCTGTAATCTCAGCATTTTGGGAAGCCGAGGTGGGTGAATCATTTCAGGCCAGGAGTTTGAGACCAGCCTGGATAACATGGTGAAACCCCACCTCTACTAAAAACACAAAAATTGGCCAGGTGTGGTGGGTCACGCCTGTAATCCCAACTACTCAGCAGGCTGAGGCACGAGAACAGCTTGAACCTGAGAGGCAGAGGTTGCAGAGGGAGACTCTGTCTCAAAAAAAAAAAAAAAAAAAAAAAAAAAAAAAAAAAGATGATGCTGGCTGGCTGATTTAGGTTTATGTAAGTACTCTTTTCCTGGTTTTGCAGATAGCCACATTCTTGCTGTGTTCTCATGTCATTTCTCTTTTCTTATAAGGGCATTAATCCCACCTTGAGGGAGCCACCCTCATGACCTAATTACTTCCCAAAGGCTCACATCTCAAACTATCATCACATTGGGGATTGAGGATAACATGAGGACCTCTTGCCATGTAAAATTTTGGGGGACACATTCAGTCCATAGCAAAGGCATTATGTCATCTAGTTATGTTGCCTCTCTGACCTCTTCTTCTTCCACTGTATTTTGATTGCTCTGGTTCACCCACATGGGCCTTGCCTCCTTCCTTAAATACACTCTTTTATCTCAGAAACTTGGCATTTGCTATTCCCTCGACCAGGAAACATCTTTGCCCAGGTATCATATTTTCTTCTTTGCTCAAATCCTTCATGTCTGTTCAAATATTCTCTCTTCTGAGGTGCCTTCTCTCTCTTCAAACCCCTTTACTACTTCATTGCTTTCTTAGTCCCCAAAACAACTGGATATTGTACATATTTGTCAATTTTGGATTAGCTTTTTCCAAACTAAATATAAGCTTCTTGAGTGTTAGACATTTATCTGTCTTGTTTGCTAAAATGAACTTCATCACCTAGCAGCTGGAATACTGAACTGCTCAGTAAATATTGGTTAAAGATAAAATGAATGGATGCTGAATATTATGTCTACCATGTAGTCAGTGTTTTTATTACACCATAGTTCTCTTTAATATCTAGATCACCTTTGCAAAATATTATTAGCACAATGTTATAGAAAATAAAATCAAGAAGCTAAGGACCTTGCTCAAGGCAACACTAAAAAATAATAATAGTGATAACAATTAGCAAGTGTAATCTTCACACCATGGACTTTCTCTTTCCAATGCCCAAATTCATTTCTTTGTATCATGCTGAGATACAAATTAAATACAAAGAATTTAACAATTTTCTGATAATTTTACAATCTAATTTAATGTTGGATTTTGGTCTTTGTCATTGTTACAAAAGAACAAATCCTATGGCTAAAGATCTTGAAACCCACACAGTACATTACAGTAGAAGATAAAAATCTTTGAAATTCAAAGGAAGATAACTTCTTTGCAACTCAATTTGTTTCTCTATAATATTGGAATAACAATACCTTGCTGAGATGAAGCCACTATACTCTGACTTTTCAGGCCTCAACCTTGACATTTGCTGTTTAGCAGTAGAGTGTGCTTCCCATTCTGATATGCATGCCTTAAGGTTTATTTGTAAAGAAGTATCCCCTCCCAGAAACATTTACTTCAAGTGAGTTAGTCAACCTGTATGATGCTAGAATTCATGGGAAATATCTCAGGAACAAAATTACTAACAGGACCAAAACTCTAAAAGGTGTTATTGTAAATTTATGTCACATCTTTAGTGGACTGTCACTTTTTGCTCTGCTTCTGAAATAATCTAGATGTATTGATTTTTTTTCCTAAAATAAGAGAATTAATAAATCTGAACTTAGGGCAAGATTTAGTTTTTAATCTCTATTCTCACAGTAGTGACCGACTGAAAAAAACGGTTTAAAATAATTTGTAGTTCTCTCTAGATGATGATATCATGACTGCCTTGGCTGTCCATAAGGTTATGACTTGAAGTTTAATTGGTAGTAAAAACAGGTTCTTAATGTTCCTGACACACAGTTGTTGAATATAATGTATTACTAATCCTGAATTTGACTCAATTTAATTTAATTAAAAGCTATTTGTTAAGTTTTTAATCTTTGTCAGGTATTTTGTTAGGTGCCTTTAGAATCATGTGTCAGTAGAATGGAAGAGAGAAACGTTGACTGATCCATACAGAGATCAAATCAAATCAAATGAAAGCTTTAGTCCCATTTGTACTGGTATTGTAACCAATGAGAACCCCAAAACATTTGGTTACAACTCTTGACTAACCTTAGAGGGATGCCCCGACTCCACCATCACTCTGGCTATTTGGCTCCATGCAATTACTATAAAATTATTGACACAAATCAATAAGTGTACAAAGTTATCACTAGCCTATAAGAATATTCAAAATTGGGGTAAAAAGCAGAGGGCTTACTTAATTCAGCTGACAAAATAAAAGTCTGAAAAGTGTTGAACTGGAGGACAAAGTGTTTTGCTTTAAATTCCATTATTAAAACCACATGATCTCCAAGTATTCATATATCTTTCTACTTAATTTGACTTCTTTTTATTTAGATTAGCTTCTTGACTGATTGTGCACCCTCTTGGGAGAGGATCTATGTATTTGATAAGCAGAATGAGAAATTCAATTATTGCTATGGTAAATTTATCTTCAATTTGACATTTACCCTCAGTTGAATATTTTCACTCAATTGGAGAGTCCGTTACCCATCTCTTTTTTTCAAATTATCCCTGTCTCTGTAGTTATCTTTTACTGTTCACAAGACAGTTTTCAAAGCTTAGACAACTAGCATAGAAGTTTTCTCCAGGAAGTTAACTTGTCTGACTCTGAGTATCTTCATATTTATAACAGACATAATATTTAGCTTATAATACTTTTAAAAGCAAAATAAGATTATAAGAGGAAGTGCTTTACAAAAATAAAAATGTATTACAAAATTAAATGTATTCTCCATGGATGGCATATTATTTGAACTTTTATACAATTCTAATAATTAGATGATTATGACTTTGAAAACAGTTTTGGTTATTCAGAGTTAAAAATTAATGTTATAAAATATCAAAGGTTATAGGAATGAACCATGGGACAGAAAATGATTCACAAAGACAGCCAAAGAATCATAAGACGTAAAATAACTTGCCCAAGGTCACATGCTCTTTATTAGTTCATCCATCATCCAGCTAGCCAGCCAAAAAAAAACATTTATTAAATACAAGAAATGCAATGATGATCAAGGTATGTCCCATGTTTTCAAGGAGGTTACAGGATCCAGGAAAGAATTCCTCCCAGAAAATAACAGTGCCTTTTCAAACCACAACTATTTAATATTAACAACAACAAAAAAGCTCTGAGGTTCTGAAACAGAGAAAGATGAGATACCACATACTGAAGCCTTCAATCTCATAACTAATTTCTGGTCCCCTACTATTAAGATAATATGATTAGAGAGTTTTCTTTATTCATTTGGCGACCATTTTATTTAATGGAAACTACACCCTCTGTTCAACGAATTAGGAAAACCTCAAGAGGCACATGCCTTTGAATTATTTATCTCTTCAACATAATTTTTTGTTTTGTTTTCCTTGAAAACTCTAAATGACTCTATGATTGTACACAAAGATAAATAATATATATTCCTGTCCCAAACTATTCAAAATCTAACAGAGAAAATAAATGTAATACATATTTGTAATAGATTATGATATATGCAATCACATACGCTTGGCACGGGTGAATTCTACTTAAAAGAGCCAGGAAATGCTTCATATAAATGAAGAACCACTTTTAGAATAAAGTTTCAAATAAACTTTTCTGTTCATTCTGTTCTACGTTCTGTTCTACTTTTAATTTGCAATTAATTTGATGAGGTAAGACTGTATTGTGGCATTTATTCAATAAAAATTGATTGAGTATCCACCATTAGACAGACTCTGTGATAATCACTAGGGATATAACAAAGGAAAAAGACAGTTTGTGGCTTGAAAAACCCAGTATAGCAAGGAGGTCAGACAGGAAACAAATTTATTCAAGTACAATTTGGGCCCTTACTACATGTTCCAGGCTGTGCAGGCAGAGCAGCAAGAAAATAAAACAAAAATGTTGATTTTTGTGATGGAGCTTATATACATATATTTATTTATTAGGGACAGGGTCTCGCTCTATCTCCCAGGCAGGAGTACAGATGTGGGATTTCTGCTCACTGCAGCCTCGACCTCCCGGGCTCAAGTGATCTTCCTACCTCAGCTTCCTGAGTAGCTGGGTCTACAGGCATGTGCCACCATGCCATCATGCCCAGCTATTCTTTTTTTTTTTTTTTTTTTGTGGAGATAGGGACTTGCTATGTTGCCCAAGCTGGTCTCCAACTCTTGGGCTCAAGCTATCCTCCTGCCTTGGCTGCTCAAATAGCTGGGATTACAGGTGTGAGCCACTGCGCCTGGCCAGGGAGCTCATATTCTCATAAAAGGAAACAACAAATAATTATAAATAAGAAACATACTACTTAATATAAGATGATGAGGGGGTTACTAGAAAAAATATCAATATTCATGATTTGCTGTGAAATTGCAGCGAAGTAATATCAGATGGAAGAAACTGTTGATAATCATAGGCTCCCTAAGATGAGTTTTGAAAGCCAAATAAGAACTGTATGAGAGTTAAATGAGGGAAAGAGCTTGTTAAATAGGGAGAACAGACACCACATCATTCAATTTTCACAGGATCCTAGAGTGGCATAGAAAGAGAGAACAAAGTTCCTGGACCTCTCATGAGGAACAAGGAAGTAGCCACAAGAATCCTAAAGCAACTGAACTGCTAGAGGCAGTGCTGTAAGTAGTGACTGCCAAGGACCCACCTGACCATGGTAGGCCATGATAAGACTGCAGATATAAGTGGTGTATAGAGCAGTTACCAGGCCCAAAACCCTAGGAATGGTGTTATGCCATAGCAGATTGCGGTGCAGAATGACCACTGACCTGACGTCTGTCTTAATGACATTCTCTCACATAAGATTCCTATACCAGAAATGCTAACTTTGGGAGAGGTTAGGAGAAAATAAGAACGAGTGTACAATGACTAGTCAAAAGAAGACTGAATAACCTAAAATTTGTTGAAGTGATACTTAACTGACGATTGTCATTTATTGCTATTGAGTGAAATAAAGCAATACTTTTGAAAGGAAGTTTACTTGTAGTACAATAAAGTCTTTGAAAATTATTTTCTTCTTTGTATTACTGTTGAATTTAAATGTCTTGACAAAATGATGTTGTTGTGAAAATACATATTAACAAAGTTTACAGAAGGAAATGAACTATATGAAAGTAAGAAACACTAGCACATAACTAGCTCTAAACCTATGCACTTTTACAGATGTTATTCACTAAATCAAGGCACTTTCATAGGTAGTATATATACTACTACATTCCTTGTAATATAGAGAAAGAAAGAAAGCTCCAAAGCATTAGGAGGAAACTAAAATTTTAGCATATAAAGTTCCTTCCAGGAAGGTAAGAATATTGCAATACCAGAAAATTAACAAAATAACATTGAGGTTGAAACATACTTCCAATATGTTATCATTTTAACTTATATAATTGGTAATTTTATGTTGCTTATATTATAATATTAGAATATCAGAGAAAAAAGCAATATAAGTTATTTTTGTTAGGTGACAAAAAGGCATC
Organism: Homo sapiens; assembly: GCF_000001405.40. Lineage (NCBI taxonomy): Eukaryota > Metazoa > Chordata > Mammalia > Primates > Hominidae > Homo > Homo sapiens. The sequence goes on from NC_000001.11 coordinate 73,399,190, forward strand.
TGAAAAATCAACAATCAATAATCAGTATTTTTATACTTTTTTTCTGAGATATAAATATTCCATTGTATAAATATGCCACAATTTGTTTATCTGTTCTCATGGTGAAGCACAATGCTTGTTCTTATTTTTACTTTTTTCCATTATTAATATTGCTACTATAACCAATTGAGTATAAGTCATTTTGTAGACTTAAATTTTTGTTTTACTTCAGCAGATACCTAGATTTGCTGGGCTATAGAATAAGTTATTTTTAAATGCATAGGAAATTGTCAGTCTTTCAAACTGTTTGTATCATTTTAACTCCTACCGGCTTTGTATGAAAGTCCATCACCCCACATCCTTGCCAATAATTAGTGTAATCTTTTTTTTTTATTTGGCCATTCCAGCGGGTCTACAGCAGTAAAATTGCAATTTTTGTTTGCTTTTCTCTGATAATTAAATGGTGTACATAACTTTTTCATGTGCTTACTTGTCATACTTATATATTCTTTGGTGAATTGTTGTTAATCTTTTGCTCATATTTATTGTTATTTTCAACATAAACTCTCATCCGCATCCAAAGTTTGTCCTGGTTTGTTCCCCCTCTCTTCAGTTATAGAAGATCCCATTTATGCAAAGTTCTTGCTTTCTTTGCAACAGGACTCAGAATTTACCACTTAACCCTGGAAGGCACATCTGTTCCTTAAATCAATTATGTTAACTTCACTGACTACAAATGAAGGGCCTTCTTGTATTTTTCTATTTACAAATGCTTGAATTTTTTAATATAACCATCTTTATAAGAAGCATGTATGCTAACTATATTTTGATATATACTTAAATCTCAAAAAGGAGAAAGTTGCCATAACTGTCTCTTTAGTATGGCATACTAAGCCAATAAACATTGTTAAAATTGTACAGTTCACATATTTGTTTTTGGTAATAGAGTTCACTGTACAAACCAAGAAGCCAACTTCATATTAAATCTTTGTCCATTTCTTGGATGTTTTTAATAACAACTAATTTCTGATCTAGGTCAACAGTTCTATCACGTACCTTGCTTTATCCTGCAGCTTTTGTCTTATCAAAAAAATTGCTTTCATGAGATGATTATCATAAATTACACACAAATATAGTTAACAACTGTTTTAATAGCACTAGACTGAATGAAAGCAATACACTTTTCAGAGGTCATTTTATACTACATGTTTTGATAAGACAAAAGGAACTGTGCATAACTTATACAGCTGCCTAAACAAAGTATTTACATCCCACATACTCTTGTATTTTTTAACATCTTATGTGCAAGTATGTATTTATCAAATATTAGGAAGACTGAGAACCCATATTATTTGTGCATTTGTGCTTCCATGTGTGTTTTTTTTCTTTTACACATGATATTCTGGTATATTGAATGATATCACATTTTACTATATTGTATTTGAATGATGAGTTAACCACTCAAATTTTTATTTTTATTTTTTGGAGTAGTGTCTAGCAGGAAATATGTTCACACTATAGCTGTATGGGGTAGATATTACCCATTAAAGGAGAAGATAAGATCTGGAAAGATCAATTGCTTGCCTGAAGTCACAACAAATTCAGAATTTAAACCATCTGTCTATTAAGTCCACAACATTTAGACAATATTGGTGCTGTCAATATTAATCGAATGCACTAATTGAAGTTATGTGTCAATACCAATGAGGTCTAAATTAGTTTGTTAAAAATTATGCTACAATATATATGGAAAACAATTACAAATCTTGGAGTTCCATTTCAATTTGAACAATGGTCCTTAAATACTCCATGATTTTTCCCCAATCAAAACTGTTAATTGATAGAAAAGAAAAATAACTCCCCCGTTATTTTAGTTGCAGAATTCTCTGGTACAAGGTAATGTACTACATTGGCATTCATTTTATTTTCTTAAAATTATTTTGTATATATCGGCCAGATGAATTTAAAACTTGGTGATGCTCCATAAAGAATGAATGAAATTATGAGAGAAAAGGGAAAAAGGGAGCACTTTGTAGGTAGGACAAAGTCAGTGATAGAGTTGTTTGATCTAGAAAGACAGTGAGAATGGAAAAGAACAGTGACAGTTTCTGAAGGTGTCAGTGTTAACAACAAAATCTTTTTTTTTTTTTTTTAGATGAAGTTTCACTCTTGTTGCCCAGGCTAGAGTGCAATGGCACGATCTTGGCTCACTGAAACCTCCGCCTCCTAGGTTCAAGCAATTCTCTTGCCTCAGCCTCCTGAGTAGCTGGGATTACAGGCATGCACCACCACGCCCAGCTAATTTTGTGTTTTTAGTAGAGACGGTGTTTCTCCATGTTGGTCAGGCTGGTCTTGAACTCCCACCTCAGGTGATCTGCCTGCCTCGGCCTACCAAAGTGCTGGGATTACAGATGTGAGCCACTGTGCCCGGCCAACAACAAAATCTTAACAAGCATTCCCATTACATGAACAGAACGTAAGAATCAAAGAGCAGCAATTAGTAAACAAGGGGCAGGCTGCCTAGATATCCTCTATTTGCCCCACCAAGTGCACTGTCTACATTTCTCCCTTCTTCCCAACCTCACCTTGTGCCCGAACAGATTCTCACTGCCTATCACTACCTGAGCAGGAGGCTGATGCTATAGGATTGCATCCACTGGCTTCCTTAACTGCTGACTTCCATTTGAGTGTGTCCAGTAGGAGGCATTACAGTATATCGGGTAGTGAGAGGAGACTGATGTCAGGGTTTGTACTCCTCCCACCATCTTTCTGCTAGATCTCCACAGGTTGACTGAATAGAGATTCTCTGGTGTTCATCTGTCTCCTAGATCATCAGTTGCTTACTCCTTCATCACCAACCACAGCCAGCCTACTTTGTGGAGGCCCCTGGGGTTTTACCAGATAAATGTGACTAGTCACAAGACCAGACTCTGACTTGTCCAGTACATCTGGTATCAGAAAAACACCACACCAGGGAATATGGAACCTGGCTTCCAGAGCAGCTACTGAAGGAATTAGGCAATTGAACCTGTAATAATGAAAGTTAATTTCCCATGTGGAGAAAGTTGAGAGGCAGTTAAATGAAGGATAAATTTCTGTTCCCTCTCTCCCTTGGATGGACTGTTTCAAGGCATGGTTGCTAGTTTTAGTAAGTCTAGAGAATTCCAAGACCGAGAAATCATAGTGAATAATTATTTCTGTTGATTGGCTCATTGTGAAAGAGTGACAGCAAAGTAAAATATCAATTTGCATTCCTTTCCACCCTTAGAACTTCACATCCATTTTTAATCTGTCTCTGCTTTTATAAGGTTACACACCCCAAATAAAGAGTTGACACTTAATCCTTGCCTGAGTTTCTGTTTATTAAGGAATGTAAGCTAAAATATATAAAAATATATATTATATGTTTTCTATTATGTATTTTATGTAATTGTATACTATACAGTTGTGTAATTATATATAATATATATCTTACATATATAAATATATATAGAGAGAAATTAGGTATATATCCTACTTTCACTCATTTTTTTCAAATTTTATTTTTGTTATTGTTTAATCTTTGTAACTTTGAGGAGTACATAACTCTTAAAAAAATTTCAGCACCCACACTATCTCTTACTTTTCTCTACTTTGTAAGGTGACCCTTCCCTTCAACTCTTCTAACTTCCCTTCCTAAATTCTGTCAACTGAACTTTTATTTTCTGAATTGTGAATGCTGATGATAGGTCATTTTTCTGAAACCATAATTTTAAATTTTATGTGTATTGTCTGTAGTTCATTTATGAAATTTAATGTCAGTAAGTATTGCTTATATCTTGGTGGACATGCAAATACTATACTTTGCAGAGCCAGGAATATTAGTTGTTACATTTTTTTCTTATATCACTTATCTGGGATTTTAATTGCTTTATATTTGCTAGTAGTATTGGAAATATACACATAAACACACATATGTGTGTGAATATATGTATATATTATGCTTTGCTACAGTTTCCCTTATAAATAAATATTTTCCTCACAACATTCTTCCAGGCTTTTGCATCCTCCTACATCAAATTAAATGAGGTAACATCTAGGCCTGTTGCACAGTGGCATCCTAGAACTTGACTCCTTGCCCTCTTCAGTTAGTTATCTTGTTTACTGGAATTGACCAAATTTAGCGTTCACTCCTGTTATAGACTCTAAGAAATGTAGAAATACATGAGAATTTCATCAAGCTAATAACCACTCTGAAAACAATTAGGCTGTTTTGTAAAAATTTAAATGTACACCTACCATATAATTCAGCATTCTCCTAGGTGTTTCCTCAATAAATGAGATATGTTCATACAAGGACTTGCACATGAATGTTTATAGCAGCTTTTGCATAATAGCCTCAAACTGAAAACAACTCAAATGTCAAACAGTTAAACAGACATACAGTGGCATAGCCATAAAAGAGAATACTACTACATAATAAAAATGAAGTGAACTCTTTATACAAGGCATAACATGAAAGAATATCAAAATAATTATGCTGAATAAAATGTCAGCATTAATAATGCTATAATAAATTTATCAATTAATAATGTTGCAATCAATGAAAAGCAAAAAACACACTAAATGCTTCCACTTATTAAAAGAAAACACAGGAATGCAAATATATAGTGACAAAAAACATCCATGGTTGCCTAGAAAGGGAGACAAGGATGGAAAAATATGGAGAAGGGAATGAGGAAATGTTGCAAAGGGGTAAGAAGAAATTTTTCAATTTTATTGCTCCCAATATGAAGTAGTCAACACGGATCACTTAAGTTACACAAAGCTGTTTGAGATAGTGGAAGCCAAATTTTAAGTCCCCTTGAAATTGTTTTAGGCTAGCACTGAAATGTCAAAATATAAAATTTAACCCAGAAATTGAGCTAAGAAATGCGGCACTTGGATACAACAATGATAAAAATAAAACTCTGTATTTCAGGCATTGTGTTAATAACTTAGTATATACTGTCCCATGTAATCATCTCATAAAATAGGCCTATGAGGTAGGTATTTATATCTCTAATTTAATGAGGAAGAAACTTGAGTTTCGAGAAATTACATAGTTCAAGTATTATATTTACATCAGTACATTACAAAAGGCCTTATTTTGTGTGATTCTAATAAATGTGAATGGTAATTATGGAGCTACATTATTCGTGTGCATGTACTATGATATGCTTTTTTGCAAGGATATTTTAAGAGCTATATAAAATAGATGGACTTTTATTCTAGGTTGTTTCTACAAAGATTCGCAAGCAGTGAGAATCAGTGCCAATCTCCTTTTAATTATCAATAGATCTATATAGCTGATTGAACAATGAAGTCACCTTCATCCAGCTCCCCATTCTCTTGGTTTTGAAAACACTCATCCAGTGTAGTGCTGCATGAAGTTTCATTTAATTAACTTCAGGCTTTTTTTTTTTTAAATGTTTATAGGTATCTTGTTCATCTTCTATCACAGCTGGAAGACTGGCATATTTCTCCTAGAAATACTTCATGTGTATGTCATGGAACTCTAATGACCACATATATTTAAATCTGTCTGATATATTTCTTTTCAATCTTATGAGTTAATTTATTTTAGCTGAACTCTAGTTCATAAGACTAAAATGATTATTGGCTTGCAAGATACATGCGTAGATACAAATAGAATGAGATAAATTACAATATAAAAAATAAAACTAGTTCATTTGCAATGCCAAATCAATAGCATGCTGTTTCATTACATAATATGATAACAGAACTGTTTTGATTCAATAATTTATCTCAAAAGGAATATTCCACGTGTTTTAGAGAACACATTTCGAAGAACAGTTAAAAGATAAAAGGTTAATGGAATCTGGCTGCCAAGAAAATAGAACATTTCTTTTCTTAGAAGAAAAGAACTCTTGCCCAATTCTTGTACTTTTTTAATTAATGAGCTGTGGAAATAAGTCAGGAAACTATTTCTAGAATCCAGGAAATTAAAAATATAATTAAAAGTACATATTATCATGCTGTAGAAAGATATTGTATCTGTCATCAAAAAGTGATTCTTTCAAATTTCTACTTATCTATATACAATCAAATAAACTTGAGGAACTGAGGCATAACAGATCTCAGAAGAGAAATACATTTTGAGATTTCTATAGCCCATGATACACATCTCCCCACATGCACACACCTAGGCACATAAACATATACACACAAACCTACTTCCATATGATTTGGTGAGGGTATGGGAAAAAAATACCATTAGAACTGTAGGTAATTTTTATGTTCTTTTTTAAAATTTGGCCAGAAATGAAGAGAAAGTGTATACAACATCAAATTTAACAGTATAGTAAAAATATATATCTTCTAACAAAACTTCATGTATAAAAATAAAATGTAGAGTTTTCCAGTTAACATTTTACCTTTAATTGCTTTATTTCCAAACTTTGATTCTTTTCTTTCTTGATTCAGATACCCATTGTATCTCTAATTTGTGCGTTTTGATTTATGAAACCTTTCTGACTCTTCTCCTTATAAAAGTAACCACTATTTTTGTAGCCTACTGTTTTTAACACCACTGCTTTTAAGTGTAGTGGCCTGACACTTTTTTGTCTTTTTTTGAAATGGAGTCTCACTCTGTTGCCCAGGCCGGAGTGCAGTGGCAAAATCTTGGCTCACTGCAACCTCTGCCTCCCAAGTTCAAGTGATTCTCCTACTTCAGCCTTACAAGTAGCTGGGATTAGAGGTGGGCACCATCACGCCTGCTAAGTTTTGTATTTTTAGTAGAGACAGGTCTCACCATGTTGGCCAAGCTGGTCTCAAACTCCCGACCTCAAATGATCCACCCACCTCAGCCTCCCAGAGTGCTGTGATTACAAGCGTGAACCAACACGTCCGGCCACCTGACACTTTTTAAAAATGCAGAAATGTTAGTCCAACTAAAACCGTTCCAATCGTCCTTTACTGATATGGCTTCTTTTGAATAAACATAGAAAGTGGCCCTCCTGGTCTTAAAACTTGAGAAAATTACAATTGTCTTATCTGAATTCCTTTTTTCAGGAAACCAACCATCAGCCCTCTCAGATAATATCAAGGAACTGAAATTTGCTGTATCACTGCATCTGAACAACGGGGCACCATACCCCTCACACATTTTGATTGGCTAACTGACCACCTGCTTCCTGTTGGTGAACTTATCTTCCTCACTCCTTCCTAACTGTTCTTTGCCCACACATGGTCACATTTCTTACCTGCTATATAAAACTATAGTTTTAGTCCATCAGAGAGATGGATTTGAGACTGACAGCCCATCTCCTTGGCTGCAGTGCCCGAATAATACCTTTTTCCTTGGCAATAATCTTTGTCTCAGTGACTGGCTTTCTATACTGTGAGTAGCAGGACATAGACAAAAATCTTGGAGTTTTAGTAACACGACTTCAGGTCTATTGATAAAGAATATGTATTTTATTGGACTTCTTGAATGATTCTTAGACATATTAAAGTCTGAGAACCACTGTTTTAATCTACAAACATTTAATTTTCTATTTCTTTACCTTTACATGTTTGCTTAAATATTTTTCTCTCCTATGTAAAGAATAAGTCCCTTTACCTGTAGAAGGAATACTGAAATTGTTGATCACCACTGCTTATTGCTTTAACTGTACATAGTAAGATTTAAGAAATCCTTACTGAATGTATACAATGTACTAGTTACCTTTGCTGGACAAGATTCATCTTTAAATGTTCTCATTAAAATATTTTTTTTTCCATTTAATTGTCCCTTAGGAGTATAAACTCATTCCTCTGAAATGCTTTCACTGGTCTGTGACTCTATAGAAACTCAAGCAGATTATAAGGACACTTAATCCAAAAGTAATAGTGATTGCATTTGTGATGGCATGGGCTCAATAACAAGCAAAGAGGTCATTTACTGTAGCACTGTAATGTTATGGGAAGGCAACTTACAATTTTATATTCATACTTACCCACTAATTATCTCTATGACCTTAGAAACATTATTTATTATTCGAGCACATTAAACCTCTCCTTTTCATTTTTACAGGTGTAAAATAGGAATACAAAAAGCAATATCAAATAATAGTGTAAAAATTGCATCCAGAGTAGTGGCGAAGCATGCTGGTCTCAGTGGTAGTATGTTGGGGGAAGTCAGGGATCCCAAACAGAGGGATCAACTGAAGCCATGGCAGAAGAATGTGGATTGTGAAGATTTCATGGACATTTATTAGTTCCCCAAATTAATACTTTTATAATTTCTTATGCCTGTCTTTACTGTAATCTCTAAACATAAATTGTGAAGATTTCATGGACACTTATCACTTCCCCAATCAACACCCTTGTGATTTCCTATGCCTGTCTTTAATCTCTTAATCCTGTCATCTCATAAGCTGAGGAGGATATATGTCATCTCAGGACCCCATGATGATTGTGTTAACTGCACAAATTGTAGAGCATGTGTGTTTGAACAATATGAAATCTGGGCACCTTGAAAAAAGAACAGGATAACAGCAATGTTCAGTGAACAAGAGAGATAACCTTAAACTCTGACCACCGGTGAGCCAGGCAGAACAGAGCCATATTTCTCTTCTTTCAAAAGCAAATGGGAGAAATATCACTGAATTCGTTTTCTCAGCAAGGAACATCCCTGAGAAAGACAATGCGCCCCTGAGGGTGGGCCTCTAAAATGGCCCCCTTGGGTGTGGCCATCTTCTATGGTCGAGACTGTAGGGATGAAATGAGCCCCAGTCTCCCATAGGGCTCCCAGGCTTATTAGGACAAGGAAATTCCCACCTAATAAATTTTGGTCAGATCGGTTGCTCTCAAACCCTGCCTCCTGATAAGATGTTATCAATGATAATGGTGCCCGAAACTTCATTAGCAATTTTAATTTCACCCCAGTCCTGTGGTCCTGTGATCTCGCCCTGCCTCCATTTGCCTTGTGATATTCTATTACCTTGTGAAGTACATGATCTCTGTGACCCACACCCTATTCGTACACTCCCTCCCCTTTTGAAAATCCCTAATAAAAACTTGCTGGTTTTACGGCTCAGGGGGCATCATGGAACCTACCAACATGTGATGTCTCCCCTGGACGCCCAGCTTTAAAATTTCTCTCTTTTATATTCTTTAGCTTTATTTCTCAAACCAGCCAACACTTAGGGAAAATAAAAAAGAACCTACATGAAATATGGGGGATGAATTTTGCCCAATATCTGGCTGAATTTCCCCCGATAGTAGTAAGTTTTCAAAAGCCAGAATAATGAACTGAAGCCCTTCAGAGGGAATTCAATCAGAGCAGAGTGTTTCTCATTCTTCATCTGTTTTTACTCAGTATGTGCAAAATGCAGCTTGGAAATTGAACTGTATGAAAATTAAGAAGAAAGCAACAAGCACACCTAGCACCCAGAGATTGGTTTCTAATACCATTCTCCAATGAAAGAAACAAGCACTCCTAAAAGAAATGACTACTTCTATTACTAGAGAAGAAAATATCCAAGATGAGCCCAAAGCTTCTTGGAGTGCCAGAAGGTAAGGTTCTACTAAAAAAAAAAAAAAAAAAACCAATGAACCAAAAGAAATCTGAACCAAACCAAGACCAAAGCCAAAACAAACACCAAAGACTCACTACATTGATACAGGTGTGTCACAGAAGCACAAGAACCAATGGAAAGAGCTCATAATGGCCAAATTTAGAATAATTTGAGCAACAAAACAAATTAAGTGATGCTGGATAATAACTTAAAGTATCTAATGAATATTCCTGAATCAACATTGATATAAGTAAGCAATTAAAGAAATAAATAAATGGAGAAGAAGAGACAAATCTCCAATGCAGAAGAATTCCAAATAATTTATATAGATATTCTACTTTGCAGGAGGTAGAGCATAGCTCCTTACTCCCTAAGTGTGACCTGCACATTGTGACTTTCTTTCAATGTGGAATGGAGGGAGAAGAGGAAATTTACAGTGGATAAACTTAATGAACACTACCTAAATCAGGTGATAGCGGTCAAAATGAACAGTAGGATGACATGTATATAGTATGTAGCCTTTATGTGCTGAAAATGGCATTTTACATCTCTGGTATTCCTTCCCAAAACCCATCATCTCAATCTAATAATGAATGACATTAATAAATCCTAATAGAGATAATCTACAAAATATCTGAGTAATACTCCGCAAACTGTTAAGTTTATCAAAAGCAGGGAAGAAGCTGCCACAACTGAAATAAGCCTAAGGATACACGATGGATAAGTGTAGGGCGGCATTTTTAATAGGATACTAGAATTTTAAAACATATTAGGTTAAAAACTGAAAATATCTGAATCAAGTATAGATTAACTTCATTTTGCAATAATACATCAATATTACTTTCAACACAAATGTACCATATTAATATAAGATGTTAATAATTAGGTACAGAGTATATGAGAACTGTCTATTACCTTCACATTTTTTCTGTAAATTTGAAACTGTTCTACAATAGACATTTTGATTTTAAAAAGGTAGAAGATAAAGTTCCATTTTTATTTCCACTTCTTAGCCATCAAATTATTTGGATATTCACTTATTATCTATGCTTAATTTGCCCATATACATTTAAGTGAAAAATAAGCGCTTGGTTTTCTAATTCATTAAATTGTTATGTGGTTCAAAGGAAACAAACCATGATAAAATATTTAGTAATCTTCAAGGTAGTATTACTAATACTATGTCACATAATTAATGTGCTGAAGACTTTTTTAAGTGAGTTTCGACTTTAGTCATTTGTCTTTTTAAAAGAGGAATGTCCAAATTATTAAAATGGTCCTGGAGAAATGAAAACAATGCCTATTCTTGAAGAGTTCTGAGAAGATAACAGGGAATAATGCAAAGAAATAAGACTTGAAACCGAGTGTTCACTGGTTCACGTGTCTAAATTTTATCTCTTTAGGATTTCATCTCCGCAGTTAGGTTGCAAATCTCTACAGGAGGAGAGCTATATTTACATTTGAATGTGTTTACATATATTCCCCAAAGGGTTGAATGTTTCCTAACATTATGAACTATTCTTAATAGATATTTATAATATACATGAATGCATTCGATGCCCCAGAGTAAAAGGGCAAGTCTGACACAGATGTCAACTAAGATGCTGAATCTAGGTTTAGCAAAAGATACTGGAGAAGCTAAGTAGGTGGCTACTAAGACTTGTAACATATCTTTTCCCTTATCAACAATTTTTAAAATAAATTGGTTGAACAACATGGCTTATGCCTGTAATCCTAGTACTTTGGGAGGCTGAGGCAGGCAGATCGCTTGAGCCCAGGAGTCCAAGACCAGCCTGGGCAACACAATGAGACTCTGTCTCTAAAAAATATATATAAAAAAAATAGCCAGACACTGGGACGTGGGCCTGTAGTCCCAGCTATTTGAGGGCTGAGCTTGAAGGATCACTTGAGCCCCATAGATCAAGGCTGCAGTGAGCTGTGATTGACACAGGTGATACATGCTTGAGTGACGGAGGAAGACCTTGTCTCAAAAAATAATAAATTTATTCTAAAAAGTATACTTTAAGCAAATTTCAACTAGATTGGTTTTGGAAGCAGATTTTCTAAAATCAAAGTTAGAAAAGAATAGTGTGTTTATAGCTGGAATGTGCCCTGTTCTTATATTGGGGAAAATGCTCTTGAAATATACCCATACCGATAAACTTTATGGAATCACACTGAGCAGGAATTATTCCTACAATTGTCCCTTCCCTTGGGTCATTTAAATGGTTTAAATTCCATTTAGATATTAGTTGTAGTGGAGCACCATAATTACCTAAGATAAATGCCTCATCTACTTTCAAATCTTCATTAATATTAGGTTTTTTTTTTTTTTTTGGTGCCCAATACCAAAGCTATTAGAGTTAAGAGTCTGTCAGCATTTCCATTTACAAACTCTGTTTTTTAGGGTTCATTATCTTTTCTGTTTTGAATTACATTAGTCTGAAAATTAGCTGTCAGCATGAATATGTATTATATTACCCAAACTCCATGTACACATCAGTTTGGCAATAGAGAAGGCAGAGATCAGTAACCTCTTTCCTCCTTCTTCATAAAATTCTAAAGGTGTGTTGACTGCTTCATTATCTCATGGCCAGGCACAGACTAAGCCTTTTAATCATGAACTTTCTCAGAGCATTGGTCCTAAATCTGACCTGATAATTTTGATATTTAAAAATTCATGAAGAAGACAAATTGAATATGTGTTGCACTTGCTTTTCAATATATAATTCCTTTTTAAGCTTCTGAACAAAATTACAGTCTCATATAATTAGAGATCTAAGAGAGGTACACACGGAAAGAAAAAAAAGGAGGGATCTGTGATTTGTGCTATTTCAGCTAAAGAATAAAAGCAAAGTAAATCACAGTGAGCGCTGTTTCATTCATTTTGTTAGAGACATTTCTTCACTTTCAAGTGGGCAGTGACAGGAGGTGATGTAGCAATCACAACAGAAGTAGCAGCTGCAGGGCATGTGAAATGGTAAAAAAAAGCATCTGGAATCTGGGCCACATGATGTACCCCTTCTGTCCAGAGCAAACGCTACAAATGCAATTCTATATTCCTTGTTCTCTCAATGTTTCTTTCACAAATATACTCTTAGTTTACTTAATTTGTCACCACCTGTTTCAACATCAAACATCTGTCAATTCTCATTCAGTGTTTATCAGAAAACAGACCTGATATCCCATTTTGTTTTCTTTTAACATGTAGTTGGGAGAGAGGTAAGATAAGGTAGCAGTGAAATAACTAGCCCTTGCACTATTTTAAAATAGAATGTGGTGTCACACATAGTCTGTCAGAAATAAAATAATTAAATCTGCCAGGATCACTAGGGCCACAGGCAAGTGACACTAATATGAGAGAAAAATATTGTCTCAGAGGAAATGTTTGAATGATAAACTTATCATCTGACCTATTTGTAAGGCAACTGAAAATTAAAGGGAAAATTAAAAAAGAGAAGACAAGAGTATTGTAAGAATTTTGACTATAAAATACGCTTTTATGTCTAGGTCAGGCCTAAAGGTACACAGTGGGTAATGTCTACAGAAAGGAGTAAATATGAAAAGTTATATTTATGAACCACAAACAGAAACACTTATTAATTTTAAAATATTTTTACCCAACATAGAAGCCATGGACTGGTTAAAATAAAAATAAAATAAAGTACTTTTGTGACACGACAAAGCATTAGAAGTTCTCTGAATTTATAACTGAAGAAATACCACATTCAAATTCTAATTTCTTATTAAAATAGGGGATCATATTCTGTCACTTAAATTATTAACCTTCCTGATAGAACTCTGACTCTTGCATAATGGCTCTTACCTAATGTTGGATATTAACTAGTGCTTATCATTAGGAATATCTGATCCATGATGAACTTTGAGATCTTCATTATTATAATTTCCTCTTCAGCATTTGACAGTTAACACTTACAAGATAATCCAAACAATTTGAAACAGATCTTCCATCTTTCTTCTATTTCAAGTGAAGATTGAAGTTGCCAAATAGCTCAAGCTAATGTACACATTTATCCAGCCATCAATTCAAATGATGGTTCCTGTGGATCTACATTCCCAACACTGTTCTCTCAGGACCTTGCATAAAAAGATGGAGAAGATACAATGGCTTTCCTTCAGCAACAGTAAAGGAGAAAAATATAAAGAATTAATTAAAGTACAGATCTTTTAAATACGATTTTATGGATGCACAGAAGTCAAATGTAGTTTGGTATATCTTTCATAGAGAAGGTGATATCTTAACTGATCATTGAAGGCAAAAGGAAACATTCCTAAGCCATGCAACGTGCACCTGATGTATAAGTAATAAAAAAAACTAGTAAGGAGCAAAATAACAGCGAAGGATAAGAAAATCTTGTAGAATGAGAGGGGCCACAACACACAGTATTCTTTTGATAGATATTTGCTGGATATATGAATGAATTTATGCTTAATAATAGTTACCAAAGCTAACATTCATTATACACAAAATGATGTGCATTTTAATAGTGCATATAGCAGCTCTATTACATTATGCTACTCCCATCTAACAGAGGAAGGAAAAGTAGGAATACAGAGTTGGAATAGATTAACCAATGTTACACAGGTATTAAGATTCTGAGCATGGGTGCCTGTAATCCCAGCTACTCGGGAGGCTGAGGCAGGAGAATTGCTTGAACCCGGGAGGCGGAGGTTGCAGTGAGCCAAGATAGCACCACTGCACTCCAGCCTGGGCGGCGACAGAGTGAGACTCCATCACAAAAAAAAAAAAAAAAAAAGAAGAAAAGAAAAGAAAAGATGCTGGGCAGAGATTTGAATCTAGGCAGTCAATCTCTGAACAGCTTCCTTAATTTATATTTATGACTGTTTCCTTTATGAGATATTACTGTTACATATTAGTATAAATATTTCTTTATCTGTCCTCAATATAACAATAACCTGTTTTGAGTTAAAAGTTTGTTAAATATGGAATTTTTTTGCTAGTTTTGTTTCAACTTTTAAAATGCTGAGTGTTCTATTATAATTTCAGGAGTCATAGGTCTTCTTTAAAATTTTCTGTAACATTTCAGAGGAAATTATTCTTCTTTTTATGGGAGAAGTCCTAAAGCCCTCCTTGTGTTTGGCATGAAGAAGAGAAATATACCCCAGTGCTAAATTCCAGACTATTGTTTTCTATAAAAGCAGCTGATTTTTAATGAAAAATTGTATCAAATTATTGATAATATCTAAAAGCAATCAAAACAATCATATTTTGGTTAATCATAAAATACCCCGTTCTTCTCTCTACTTATATCGTACCATCTTCACTTCACTAAGTTTCGTTTTGTTTTTCTCCTGAGACAAGGACTTACTCTGTCACCAAGGCTGGAGTGCAGTGGCACGATCATGGCTCACTGCAGCCTCCACCTCCTGGGCTCAGGTGATCCTCCCTCAACCTCACAAGTAGCTGGGACCACAGCGGTGCACCACTACGCCCGGCTAATTTTTGTATTTTCAGTAGAGACAAGTTTTCACCATGTTGCCCAGGCTGGTCTCAAACTCCTGAGCTCCAGTGATCTGCATACCTTGGCCTCTCAAAATGTTGGGATTATAGGCGTGAGCCACCACACTCAGCTATGTTGGAATTTATATGTGAATTCGTTGATCTTAATCAACGGTTAAAGTGAGAAAGCACCATTAATCTCTTAGAGCAGCTGTGCCAAAAAATAAATAGTACTGTGATACTGAGTTGGTAGTTAACAAGGCCATAATCAACCACTTGCATTTTCATCGAAAAACTTCAGTTCTGTTTTATGCAGTAGAAATTCTTCCTGGTATCACCAATTTTATTGTCGGTGTTGTATCGTGATGTTTCCATTTCTGAAATAAGTTATTGAATTACACATTTATAAACAAGTGTTAGTACTTCTTTTATGAAAGTAATTAATTGACTAATTCGAATTGAAATGAGATAATAGATATAATTTGGTTTTACTGAGCTTTTACTTAACCATTTTATATGTATCATTTCATTACATTCTTACAATAATTTAATGAAGTAGGTGTGGTGGTTAATTTTAGGTGTCAACTTTATTGGATTCAGGAATACCCAGGGAAATGGTAAAGCATTATTTATGGGTGTGTCTGTGAAGATGTTTCTAGAGGAGACTGGCATGTGGGCTACAGAACTGAGCAGTGGAATATTTGCCCTCATTGAGGGCCGGCGCCATCCAATCGGCTGGGGACTTAGATAAAACAAAAAAGCAGAGGAAAGGTGAACTATGTTTTGTCTCTCTTTGAAAGTGGGGACATCCATTTTCTCCTCTAGGACATCAGAACTCCAGACCCTCCCGCTTCTGGACTCCAGGATTTACACCAACAGTTCCCTGGGGTTATCAGGCTTATAGCCTGGGACTGAGAGTTATGTCTTAAGCTTCCCTGGTTCTGAAGCTTTCAAACTTAAGATTGAGCCCCAGTACCAAAATTCCAGGGTCTCCACCTTACTGAAAACATGTCTTGGGACATCTCAGACACTATAATCACATGGGCCAATCCCCTTAATAAATATACCCTCATGGATATATATGAGAGACACCTAACTAATACAGTAGGTATTTTATCAGGGCTGAGATTAGGGTGAGATGAGAAAGATGAGTCACGTAAGTTCAGGGCAAATCTTATCTTTATGTAAAACTTCGATATTTTGTTCATCATCAATATTTTGCATTTTGATTTTTTAAAATATTATATTAGAATATTAGTTAGCAGATTAATTTGTTTTGGGGTAACCTCTTAAGTTCTGCATACAAGTCAACCCTAGTTTCAGCCCTGTATTTTATCACCTACATTTTATACATGCAGAATTTGAGGATTAGATGTCTTAAAAGACTTGCCCAGGTTCATACAGCTAGGAAGTAACTGTATGACCTGTATAACAGAACTGTATAACAGAACTGACCATGTTCTTAAGCATTAGGCTGCATTCATATTTGGGTTGCTGAGTGTACCTGATACTTTCTCCTCAAGGAAATATTGATGACTGGATTTTGGTGTACTTATTAGCAAACATATAGAATGCAATTAATTTTAAAGAAAAAGAGTGAAAGAGGACAACAAAGGTGAGGCAATTAGGAATGTAAAAATGTTGCCTTTTCCTTGAAGGAGATTATTCTTAAGAGGTTGGGAAGATATTCGGATATATGGTTCCTGGTCTAAGAACTTCTGGAAAAAGGCAGGTTAAACTCTGCTGTCAAAAATCATATATCGGATTGAGTGGAGGAGAATGACTTAACTCATTTGGACCTAGGATAATTACTTAGGGTTTGTGGTAAATATGGAGATATTTACTTCGTTGTAACAGCCCATGGAGCGTTTTCCATATTTCAATCATTTTTCAAAGCCCAATCAAAGTATGACAAACTTGATGCCTTTTTGGAAAACTCTCCTATTCCTTTACCAAATTATAGAACCTTATAACAGTTACATGAGTATAACCCTTGAGTATATCTTGTAGTGTACTCTTTCCTAATTATTGTGCTTATCTCTCTCAAAATGTCTACTGACAGAGAGTAAGGGATAGGTTGTATAAACTTTCTGCCCTCTAGTATCACCAGCACATAATTTGGCTTTCATAAATGCCTGATACCCAAACTGTAACACAAAGACTTAGCATTACATGATTGTAGATGAGGATAAGAGAAAACACAAGATAGTGAATTTTAAAAAATATTTTCCAGCACTGGTCTCTGCCCACTTAGGAAGGGTACATTCTCTCTGCAATTTATTTATTTAGAACTCTGTGCAACTATTCTCTTCACCAGCTGTAAAAAAAATATGAACTTTTAGATTATCTCCTTTTAATTTTTTTTTACTTATTGCAGTAACACTACACTTCCTTTCTGCTCCTTGAATTTTTCCTACTTTAATGTATTTGTATTGCTGGGCATTCACGGAATACTTTTTCACTTAGAATTCATTTGGTCAACTTTTAATTTTGTATATTAACTTAGAGGTCATCCAACCTACCATATTTTTCCTGACCACCAAGTCTAAGTTAGGTATCCTCTTGTTTTCTATCATAGCACCCTACATTTTCCCTATTCACAACAGATAAAACTGTGAAATAATTATATATTAATTCTCTGAAATAATTTATACATTAATTAAGAGCAGAGATGAAGACCATTTATATTTACTATTTTATCCATAATACTTAACACACAATCTACTAAATAGTAGGTACCCAATTTATTGACCCACACTGAATAGTCAGTAAATGGTTAGACAAATACATTGAGATGTCAAGGAAGAAGAAGAGATATGGACTTAGAAGTCACTAGCACATGGACTATGTGATCAAGTTTAGAAGATGTTTTTAAACATCTCTTGTCATCTCTGCAATAAAAATAATGACAATTTAGAATAACTATATTTCCTAGACTTCCAAAGTAGCTAGGTGGAACTATATGATTAAGTAATTGCCAATGTTAGGTAAAGTGAAGTTCCCCACATCAGCTTCTGGAAATCGGCCTTAAAAGATGGCTGGGGTATGCCCACTGTCCCTTCTTGTGCTTCCTCCTCTCTGAAATGTAGATGCACTAGTTGTGGCTGAAGCAGCCACTGCAAACCATAAAGTGGCCTTGGAAACTAAGGCCATGCATTGCAGAATATAAAATAACTCTGTGGAGCAGAACTACCATATCACTTAGGGACACCTGAGCTATAAGAAGCCTTATATGCAAAGGAAATTCATGTTAATTTATTTAATCCAATATAATTTTGAGTAACAACTGACCCTAAATGAACATATAATTACTAACTCAGCAGAGTAGATGAGAGTGTATAATAAGAGCATGTCATTTAAGTTTCTTAATGGGTACAATGTATATTATTTGGGTAATGGATACCCTAAAAGCTCTGACTTCACCACTATACAATGCACGCATGTAATAAAATTGAACTTGTGCTCCATGAACTTAAACAAATCAAGAAATGAAGGAATAAATAATTGAGATCAATAATAAAACATATACAAATGAAAAAAGCATAGTTCTGTAAAAGTTGAAGAGATCTATCCAATGAAATCCCCAGGGAATTATCAGCAGAAATAATTCCTTTCAGTCTCAGGTGAAAATCTTTCCTATATGTCTGCACAGTGGCTTTCCTTACTCCCAACATACTACAAGATTTCCTGCATTGTAGCCCCATCACACTGTTCATTAAGGATCTGTTACATTGTCTGCCATCATCACTAGACTGCAAGATCCTTGAGAAAGGACATATTAGTTGTCCTTTTGAAACCATGAAATATCAGCTAAGTTGAAGGCTGCCAATACAGACTGAGCAGATTGATGAGTTCCATAAAGTTCCTTACGTCTTTTTCCAATGTAAGTGTCATTTAGAATAATCCAAAGTAAAACAGAAAAGAGAGATAAGTTTTCAAATAACTTTTCCTCAAGTTATCAAGGTAACCGAAACCAACCTGCTATGTATGGCACGAAACAACCAAATAACAACGCACTTTGTACATGATTTTATCATCTCAATGCCAGTGTCATTCTTCCCATTTGCTATTGATTTTTTTGTGTCACTTTACACAATGTGTGAGCCCAGTAATTCCTTTTCGGGTATATAAATCTTATATATACCTTTCCATTTAGAAATAAAAGCAATGATAATGCACTAAAAGCATTACAATTCCCAAACAATTGATTCAGAAGGGGAGGAAAGGGCTAAAATGGCATTAGCATTCTTTAAATAAAATCAGTTTAGCACATTATAATGCTCAGAAATTTTTATTCTTATTCAAATAAAAATTTCTCAATATGTGCTATCTCCATTTGTAGAACAAATCAATATGGAGAGAAATGTATGATATCTATTCATATCTAGCATATATTTTGAATTTCAAGATGTGTCAGTGTGAATATATTTTTTCTTTCTCTTTATAAATTATTTTAAAATGTGAAATCAATTTTGAACTATAAGCATCATACAAATGTCTTTGTACTGCCTAATAAATTATGCTGGTTGAATTTTTTTCTTAAATTATTTTTAATAAGTAAGAAATCTAAATGGAAATGAATCATATGCTTGTACCATTGCTGTCAAAATGAGTTTGCATAAAAAGAATATGTATTAATATTGCATAGAAAGACCTTTAGGATATAAAGAATGTGGTTATAGTATTTATGAAGAAAATAATTTTCTGAGTTAAATTTCAGGAGCAACATTATGCTCTTGATACTGCTACATTAAATACTATTACATTAAAAATACCAAAATGAAAATGCTCACATTAAAATATGAACATTTTATTATTTTATATTTATAAAATATATAAAATTTTATATTTTATATTTATAAAATATAAAATATCACATTTTGAATAATATTCAGTCTTTCACAGCCCCTTTTTCATCTTCTTCTCATTCTCTTTAAATGGCTCAAATGCAGATTCAGGTCCCGTATGGTTTTCCTATAAATTTTTCCAGCTTTTCGTGTTTACCCTTTACTTTGGTGTGGTATCATAATAATAAGCTAGACAAGATGTCAGGGCATGTGAGATATCTTCCTTATTACCTTCTTAGGGTAATTTTCCCAAACTTTGCAAACATAAATTTTGTATAATGTAAAACTGCTTCCAGTGATATCATTCTATGAAAATTGTGATAAGACATTTGAAAAGTATATATTTAAGGTTTATTATTGACAAAGCAGACACATCTGAGTTGGCAAAATTTGGCAGTAAGTTCTATAATGTTATTGAAAAGTTTGATGGCAAAAGCAAATATTGTTTTGTCTTGTGGCCAAAAACTGTGTATCCAAGTTATCACAGAGGATGGCAGAGTGATAAGCTCCTGGAATAAGTCCCTCCACCAAAACAACTACTAACATGGCAACAACTATTAAAATCAACTATTTTGTGACTGTGAAGTCTAACATTTACAACATTCAGGAGAATACATGACGAAGAAAGAGGCAGATAATGTTCCATATATTTCAGTGTTTTTTTCATAGCAGCTGCCACTCCTTGGCTTCTGAGTAGGCAGCTTCAGGAGACACCTACTTTCACGGTGTAGCTTGCTGGTGCCAGGATGGGCAATAAGAACAGAGTCCTCCAAGCATTAGAGGTGTGTATCGTGATTTTCCCAGTTGGTCACTGAGAGACTTGCCCAGAGGTTGACCATTATTTCAACCTCATTAAACTAAATTAGCTTACTAGGTGGCATCTGCCAAAGGAATTTAAAGAGACAGGATACTTTTTAAATAATTGGATTCAGGCACACAAGGAAATTCCTGTCAGGTTACTAGCTGTCATGGTGATAGCAGAACAAAGATTTCAGTGACTACATAACAAGAAATAGAGTCCGTACAAAAAAGAGTTCGGAAAGTCACTGAAGACATGGGCAGCTGTAGCCATTAAAACAGAAAACAAGAATCTGTGAGAACCTGGGAGAATCCAATATCCAGGGATAAAACATTACAATAATCGAAATGCCTAATTCTCAACACAACTATAGAAAATAAAAAGAAACTGGAAAGTGTGTAATGTAGATAATATAGATAAAAGTAAACTCATACAATATTCACAATAGCAAAGATATGGAATCAACCTAGATGCCTGTTAATGGTGCACTGAATGAAGACAAGATGGTACATATACACCACAGAATATACAAGGCCATAAAAAAAGAACAAGATCATGTCCTTTGCAGCAACATAGATGGAGCTGGAGGCCATTATAACCAGTGAAGTAACAGGAACAGAAAACCAAATACCATAAATTCTCACTAATAACTGGGAGTTAAACACTGAGTACATATAGACACAAAGAAGGGAATAAAAGACATGGGGGCCTACTGGAGGGTGGAGGGTGGAAGGAGGGTGAGGATTGAAAAACTACCTGTCAGATACTATGCTTATTACCTGGGTGACAAAATAATATGTACACCAAACCCCAGTGACACACAATTTACCCATGTGACAAAACTGTGGGTGTACTCTATGAACCTAAAAGTTAGAAAAAAAATCCAAGCCACACAATGCTATAGCCTATTCTAGAGATTAATAAACCCTAATATATTGTTTTCTCCTAAAAAAGCCTCATACAAATCAACAAAACGGATAAAGAATATGTACAGATAATCATAGTATAACATAAATGGAAAATAACGAAATAAAAAACATTCCAACTCTCACAATTAGATAAATGCAAAGTCAAGAATCAAGAAGTGCTGATTGAAAATATAAAATAGACACCATCACACACTGCTTTCAGAAAAACTTGAGAAGAAAATTTTATAAAAGGATTTAGGAAACTACAATATACTTACTACATCCCTTTGTTTCAGTAATCCATTTCTAGAATTCTAAACTGAAGAAAATCATAAATGCAGACAAAGAATTGCATACAAAGACACTTAGTATTATGAGATAAATGATTTATAAATTATAACATAAATGACATCAGAATTGTTAGACAAATGAAGTCTAACTGGGTGGTATAATATAAAGGTATTAAAACTATGTTTTAAAAGGCTATTTATGAAAATTAAAAAGTGAATATTATGCTAAGTTAAACATATGCCTATACAAAAATTGATTTTAAGTATACAGCAATATCTCTATAGCCTTTCAGATTTTAACTATAAACATATATTTTCTTATGTACATAAAAATTGCAGAATATACATAAAAATATCAAGTGTTTATTTCTAATTGGAGTAATGATAGAGTAATTTTTACGTTCTTCATTTTCATTTTAGTGTTTTCAAAAATATTTTATAATGACCCTTTATTACTTTCATATTCAGAAAATAATAATTAACAATATTTTCAAAACAAATCTAAAAGCAGGTTTTTAGCATTCAGTAATGGCAAAATAGGTTATATCAGATAACCCTCCTGCTGACAAACATTAAAATCTGTAGACAAAATATAAAAAACAATTCATTAATTGAAGGCACTGTAGAATGAAGAAAAGCAGGCAGATACTGGAGGAGATTAAATCATTGAAAGGAGGAAAACACAGGGGGTGAAAGCTACAATTATACAGCTCTTCCCTGAAAACCCTCTTGTCACATGGCTACTAGGTAGAATTCAAACAGAATGCTGAAGACTTATTTCTTAAAGGATCAAGAGGTATAATTTAGGGTCGCAGCAGGGTCTGAAAATTGAAGGAGAAAATATCGGAATGATAAGATCCACAGAGTAAGAGCTCCAAAATATGCTTAGAAACATCTAAAATCCTTCACAGATACACAATTATGATGTATTAGGCAAGAGACCACAAAATCAAAAACAATGGGTAGAAGCTTAAAAATCCAGAGTTCCCATTTGTTGCCTGTCATAGAGGGGAGCAAGTTTGGAGTTTAATTATCAGCAAATTAGAGAGGTTAGCACCACAGATTTTCCACTGTAGCCAAGAAGTCAAAGGCAACAAGTAAAGGCTCTGTCCAAGGACTAAGGAATTCAGTCTGTAAATTAGGGCATAACTGAAATTTGAACACAATAATCAAACCATAGGTCCAGGAAGCTCAGCAAATACTATGAAATAGTAATTACAATGACACTCATATGTAGGCACAATTTTAATTTCAAGTAACCTGTGATAATTTAAAACTGCCTACTCTAATCTCTGGAGCAACAATGAAAAATGAATGACACCAGAAAGAATTACGGATAACAAGCCTATAGAGGAGAGAGCATGGTATATAAAGAAAAGACTGGAGTGACACAAATGACATGAAATCTAAAAGAACAGAGAGACAAAAAAAAAAAAAAAAGAATCTAACCTAAAAATACCAAAAAGTGCTATAAATGTAAGTGGATTAAACACTCAAAATTTAAAGGCAGGTAGTTTCAAGCTGAAGAAACATGAAAGACAGGGAAATGATGCCAAGTAAAGAGATAAAAAGTTGAAAACACGAAGCCTAAGCAACCTGGTATGCCTATATCCATGTCAAATAAAGCAGGATTTAAGAAAAGGAGTATTACTAGTAATAGAGAAACATTTTGTAATGATGAACACTCGTTCACTGAGATATATAGTATCTCTAGAGATTAAAAAATTCAACCACCTTAAATATATAGCAATTATAATCAAAATTCAAAATATATAAAACAAAAGTTGCCAGAAACACAGAGAGAAATAGACAAATCCATGCTAAGGCAATTTTTTTTTTTTTTTTTTGAGATGGAGTTGCGCTCTTGTTGCCCAAGCTGGAGTGCAATGGCACAATCTCAGCTCATTGCAACCGCTGCCTCCTGGGTTCAAGCAATTCTCCTGCCTCAGCCTCCCGAGTGGCTGGGATTACAGGTGCGCACCACCATGCCCAGCTAATTTTTTGTATTTTTAGTAGAAACTGTGTTTCATCATGTCAGCCAGGCTGGTCTCTAACTCCTGACCTCAGGTGATCCACCTGCCTCCCAAACTGCTGAGATTACAGGCTTGAGCCACTGTGCCCGGCCCAAATTTTTAAACTGCTTCTTTTAGTACTGAATAGACAGCCAAAAAAATTAGTAAGTGTATAGAAAATATTAACCACACTATTATCCAATGTGACCTAACAGTAACTAAGGGAATACTACTTCTAATTATAAGAGAATGCATCTGGAATATATACTCATATGAATCTTATTCTAGGTGCTAAAATGAGCCTCAAAATACCTTAATAATTTAAATCTTTACAAAATATGCTTTCAAATGACAACAGAATTAAATTAGAAATGAGCATGATAAGATAGCTAGAAAAGTCCTAAATAAGTAGAAAGTAAGCAATACACTTTTAAATAATTTATTGCTTTTAAAAATCGCAATGGAAATTATATATATATGGGTGTGTATGCATGCACACATGCAGGTGTGTGTATGATTTATAGGAATTATAAGAATCCATCAATATTTGTGTAATTCAGCCAAAGTAGTGTGTAGGTGTAAATGCATAGCTCAAAGTGCTTGTCTTAGAAAAAAAGAGAAAGTTTTAAAATCAATAATCTAAAAAGACACAAATGAATAGAGAGCCATAACATGACTACGGATAGGAAAACTCAATATTAAGACAGCTATTCTACCCAAATGAATCTATAAATTCAATTTAGTATCAATAAAAATCAATACACCTGATTGACAAATAATTCTAAAATTTATCTATCTAGAATAATCAAAACAATATTGAAAAGGAGCTTGGGGAACATACTCTATACAATGAAAAGACTTATTATAAAGATACACTAATGAAGATGGTGTCATGTTTTTGCAATAATATGAATATTTTTAAATGGAACAAAAGAAACAGTTCAGAAATCGATCTACAAGTACACATTCAACACATTCCTCACAGGTGCAAAGGTAATGCAGTGGGGAAAACATTGATCCTTTTAACAAATGATGCCTGATGGAATAAAGTCTGACTCCACCTTTTGATGTTTGACAGTTGACAGCTTTAAGCCTCACTTCTCCCTCTTCTGCATATGCCCCATATCCTGGGCAGGATGATAAGACTCTTCCTCATTTGGTGCTAACTTGAAGTTAAAACCACGTAAAAGAATCCTCACTTGGTGCACATACCCTAACTACTATAAAAAGTCCAAGCCAAGGTATTTTCTCAAGTCTCTTAAACCATTTTCAAACCAATGTGGGAAGCTGGATTTGTTCTCTCCAGAAATCTCCATTAAGTGAGTAACAAACCTTATTATAATCTCTTTATGGGTATATGTGCCATCATCAGCCTTTTTATCTGAACCAAAGTTTTTGTGAGGGCCCATGCTGGTTTTGTGTGGTGGCTACTATACTGGAATGTTTGGATATTCACATGAAAATATAAAATTAAACCTCTACCTCACATTATACACAAAAAGGCAATTGAGAAAGATCTTAGAGCACAGGAACTTTTATTAACTATAAGGCTTCTGGAATAAAATATAGATATAAAGCAACATATTTTTAGGAAGCAGGAACTCTTGCTATGAAATTTAAAATTTGATAAGCTAGATTTCAGCAAAGCAAATATTCCGTTCTTCCAAAGAAGAAAAAGATAAGAAAAGGCAGAGTAAGAAAATAGTTGCAATATATATATCTAACAATGATTCATGGCATGAAATAAATAAGTTTTACAATCTTTAAAAACCACACACAAAATTAAAATTTAGAGTAAAATGTTAAACATAAAGTTCAAAAAGGGGATATATAAATGATCCATTACACATGACCAGGTGCAGAAATCTGTAAAATCATTAGTAATGGAAATGCATGCTAAAATCGCAAACATTTTTAAACATGACAATGTCAAGTGCTGAGACTGTAGAGCAATTGGAACTCTAATGCAATCATTTTGGAAGACACTTTAGTTAAATCTTATGACCTTAAATATAATCTACTCTAAGACCCTACTTGTAGGTGTAATAAAAAATGAAAATGTATGTCTATGAATAACTTGTACACAAATGTTCATATGAGTTTTATTCATAGAAATAAAAAATAGGCCGGGCGCGGTGGCTCACGCTTGTAATCCCAGCACTTTGGGAGGCCCAGGTGGGCAGATCACGAGGTCAGGAGATCGAGACCATCCTGGCTGACACGGTGAAACCCCGTCTCTACTAAAAATACAAAAAAATTAGCCAGGCGTGCTGGCAGGCGCCTGTAGTCCCAGCTACTGGGGAGGCTGAGGCAGGAGAATGATGTGAACCCAGGAGGCGGAGCTTGCAGGGAGCCGAGATTGAGCCACTGCACTCCAGCCTGGGCGACAGAGCCAGACTCGTCTCAAAAAAAAAAAAAAAAAAAAAAAAAAAGAAAAGAAATAAAAAATAAATTCAATACAAATGTCCATCAATAAGTAGAGAGATAAACAAATCATATTTACTCAGCAATAAAAGGGAACATACATCAATATAAATAAATCTGAAAAATATACTGTATGTACATACTGTATTTGCAACACAAACCATAGATTTTCATTTATTTGAATTTCTAGAGCAGGCAAAAAAAAAAGCTTTGGTGATAGAAATTAGAAAGTAGTTGTCACTTTGTAGAGGTGCAGGGATTGACAATATAAAAGGCATAAACTGTCTAGAATGATGGAATTGAGGTCATGCATTTGTCAAAACTCATGTAATTTCAGAATTAAAATGTTGGTTTTTATTTATATAAAAGATCCTTCACTAAAAAACAAAAAACAAAAAACTGGCCAGGCACAGTGGCTCATGCCTGTAATTCCAGCCCTTTGGGAGGCAGACAGAACACTTGAGGTCAGGAGTTCGAGACCAGCCTGGCCAACATGGCGAAACCCTGTCTCTACAAAAAATACAAAAATTAGCTGGGCATGGTGGCATTCACCTGTAGTCCCTGCTCCTTGGGAAGCTGAGGCAGGAGAATTGCTTGAGCATGGGAGGCAGAAGTTGCAGTGAGCCAAAATCACGCCACTGCACTCCAGCTTGTGCGATGGAGTGAGGCTCTGTCTCAAAAAATAAAAATAAAATAAATAAATAAATAAAAATAAAAATAAAAAAAACAACGAAAAACTAACAAAAATAGAAAACAAATTGTTCAGTGAGTATCATTAAAAGACAGTTTGGTGACATTTCCACTTAAAAATACATTAGCAATATGATTAAAGGTGTAGAGTATAAAAAATGTCTTTAGGAGAAGTGGAGAAATCATGAGCTCTATCAGTTATCTATGTAGAAAGTTTGGGCAGAAAGTTTATCACCTACCATGAATGGATTTCAACAATACTAAACTCAACACTTCCAGCACCCCATGTACAATATGTTTCCTCCAGATTTTTAAGTCTCCTATGTTCATGAAATGCATATTTTATGAAGAAGCAATCTACTGACATACTAATAAATTTTCTAGCTTCAAAACATCTAAATTTTAAAAAAGTAGAAAAAATGTAACCATTGCTTCAAGCATCTTCCTGAGATACTTTACTGGAAACATTACATAGTAGATGAAGGTCAGGTTAAGTTTCTAGTTCCCTAGAACTGCTAAACTCACTTTTCCAGAGCAACTCTACTTTCATCTGCTTTATAACAGGATTTCTCAAGAGATGTTGATTAAAGAATAAAGTATAGTGTTAAAAGCTATCTGTCCTTGTACAGAAAACAGATCCGTGGTTGCCAGGGCCAATGAGGGGAGGAAGAAGCAGGAGGAGCATCATGGGACTTTTTTCATTTATCAAAATGCTCTATATTTTGATTGTGGTAGTGCTTGCAGAAGTATGTGCATTTTTCAAAATTAAAAAAACTGTACACCTAAATAGTGGGAAAATTATGTGACTCTAACTTTAAAAAAATCAAAGGATGATTAAACCACCTGCTCTACATTCTGGTAAGAGTCTTTGTAAGAAGTTGTACATGATATATCACATTTCCATTTATTTTTACTATGCCCTATCTGCCTGAGGAATTAGTATGCTGTGTACACAGATTTTGGTTAGCAGAAAGGAAGCCATGGCTATGTCTCTTTCACTGAAAAAAAAAAACACACAAGTAAATAACTTTGTAAATAAATACTGTCTCTTAACATCACACTCTAAGTGCTTCCTATCTCTTTTTTACACATAACCAAAAAATGTAGCAAGAAAGAATTCTAGAAATGTATTGCCTCCATTTTCTTCCTTTCATGCCTGCTTAACTTATCAAATATAACTCTTCCTTTTTACATGCCACTTTAATTATATTATGGTAAAATAATATTTTTGTATTTTTTCATTATTTTAATTACCTTAAATTTTTTGAGATTTGATTTGCTTTATTGTTAAGGTTTATATTATAGTTTATCATTTTTTAGTATTTCATATGACCTTGAAAAGAATGTGTATTTTGCTGTAGTTGAGTGGAATTGTGTATAATTGTCAGTTAAATAAATTTAATTGACAGAGTTATTCAGGTATTGCATATCTTTATTTTCTGATTATTATTGAGAGAAGAATGTTGAAGTCTTCAACTATACTTGTGCATTTGTCTGCTTCACATTTCAGTACTGTCAGTTTTTGATTCACGTATTTTGGAACACTCTTGTTGACTGATGCATGTACATTCAGGATTGTCATGTCATTTTTATTTCTGATTTTATTATCTACTTAAACTGGGTTCTTACAGACAATATGTAGTTGGATTTTTTTAATCCAATTTAACAGTCTTCTAACCAATGTGTTTTAGCCATTTAGACTTTATTTAATTTGTGATATGATTGGATTCAGTGATACCGTATTACTTACTTTTTTTTTCCCAGTTTGTCCACTCTGTTTTAACTTTATTTTGGTCATTCTTTTTGTGGCTTATTTTGGAGTATTTAGTTTTTTTTTTTAGTATTACATTTTATTTACCCATTGGATTTTTAGTTACACCTTTCCATTATTTTTCAAAGGGTTGTTTAGTGATTACTATATGCACACTTAACATTTCACAGTCTATTAATAGTTAATGTAATACTTCAAGTAAAATATGGAATCCTGGCAAATATACAGGCCCCCTTATCATCATCTACTGAACTTTATGGTATTGTTATCATATGTGTTATTATACACTTACAAAACTCCAATAGACAATGTTATGATTTTAATCTAAAGATTCATATACTTTTTAAAGTATTTAAAGTATTATTTTATATTTACCAAAAATCTACCATTGCTGTTGCTCTTTCTTCATACTTAAGCCTCCAAATTTCCATCTGACATCTTTTCCATCGTTCTAAAATACTTTCTTTAGTGGTTCTTTTAGAATAATCTCACTGGAAACAAATTAACTTGGTTTTCTTTTATTTAATATTTTCTTTATTAAGCCATCTTCCTGGTCTTCCTGATGAGAAACCTGTTTTCATTTTTAAGGTTAAATTTATGGTTAATATCCATGTCTTGCATTAATTTTTCTTTCTGATTTCAAGAATTTCTTATATTTCATTTTTACTAGTTGAATATGATGTATCTATTTGTTGCTGTCTGAGTTTAACTTATTTGGAATTTGCTGATCTTCTTAAATCTTTGAATTTATGATGTTTGCCAAATTAGAAAAGGTTTTAGTCATTATTCAAATATTATATTTTTTTTCTGTATTTATCTCTTTCTTCCTTCTGAAGCTCCAACAAAAGCTATTTTCAGTATGATATTGTTCCACAGGTCTGGGGATTTCTTTTCATATATTTCAAAACATATTTTTCAGATAGAATAAGTTCTATCAATTTATCCTCAAGTTCACTGATTACTATCTCCATTATCTCCCTTCTTTGTTTTATTATTATACTTTAAGTTCTAGGGTACATGTGCACAACGGGCAGGTTTGTTACATATGTATACATGTGCCATGTTGGTGTGCTGCACCCATTAACTCGTCATTTACATTAGATATATCTCCTAATGCTATCCCTCCCCCAGCCCCCCCCCACCACACGACAGGCCCCAGTGTATGATGTTCCCCTTCCTGTGTCCAAGTGTTCTCGTTGTTCAATTCCCACCTATGAGTGAGAACATGCAGTGTTTGGTTTTTTGTCCTTGTGATAGTTTGCTGAGAATGATGGTTTCCAGCTTCATCCATGTCCCTACAAAGGACATGAACTCATCCTTTTAATGGCTGCATAGTATTCCATGGTGTACATGTGCCATATTTTCTTAATCCAGTATATCGTTGATGGACATTTGGGTTGGTTCCAAGTCTTTGTTATTGTGAATAGTGCTGCAATAAACATACATGTGCATGTGTCTTTATAGCAGCATGATTTATAATCCTTTGGGTATATACCCAGTAATGGGATGGCTGGGTCAAATGGTATTTCTAGTTCCAGATCTTTGAGGAATCGCCATACTGTCTTCCACAATGGTTGAACTAGTTTACAGTCCCACCAACAGTATAAAAGTGTTCCTATTTCTCCACATCCTCTCCAGCATCTGTTGTTTCCTGACTTTTTAATGATCGCCATTCTAACTGGTGTGAGATGGGATCTCATTGTGGTTTTGATTTGCATTTCTCTGATGGCCAGTGATGATGAGCATTTTTTCGTGTGTCTGTTGGCTGCATAAATGTCTTCTTTTGAGAAGTGTCTGCTCATATCCTTCACCCACTTTTTGACGGGGTTGTTTTTTTCTTGTAAATTTGTTTGAGTTCTTTGTAGATTCTGGATATTAGCCCTTTGTCAGATGGGTAGATTGCAAAAATTTTCTCCCATTCTGTAGGTTGCCTGTTCACTCTGATGGTAGTTTCTTTTGCTGTGCAGAAACTCTATAGTTTAATTAGATCCCATTTGTCAATTTTGGCTTTTGTTGCCATGGCTTTTGGTGTTTTAGACATGAAGTACTTTTCCATGCCTATGACCTGAATGGTATTGCCTAGGTTTTCTTCTAGGGATTTTATGGTTTTAGGTCTAACATTTAAGTCTTTAATCCATCTTGAATTAATTTTTGTATAAGCTGTAAGGAAGGGATCCAGTTTCAGCTTTCTATATATGGCTAGCCAGTTTTCCCAGCACCATTTATTAAATAGGGAATCCTTTCCCATTTCTTGTTTTTGTCAGGTTTGTCAAAGATCAGATGGGTGTAGATGTGTGATATTATTTCTGAGGGCTCTGTTCTGTTCCATTGGTCTACATCTCTGTTTTGGTACCAGTACCAAGCTCTTTTGGTTACTGTAGCCTTGTAATATAGTTTGAAGTCAGGTAGCATGATGCCTCCAGCTTTGTTCTTTTGGCTTAGGATTGACCTGGCAATGCAGGCTCTTTTTTGGTTCCATATGAACTTTAAAGTAGTTTTTTCCAATTCTGTGAAGAAAGTCATTGGTAGCTTGATGGGGATGGCATTGAATCTATAAATTACCTTGGGTAATTTATAGGTATTTTATTCTCTGTAGCAATCATGAATGGGAGTTCACTCATGATTTGGCTCTCTGTTTGTCTGTTATTGGTGTATAAGAATGCTTGTGATTCTTGCACATTGATTTTGTATCCTGAGATTTTGCTGAAGTTGCTTATCAGCTTAAGGAGATTTTGTGCTGAGACGACGGGGTTTTCTAAATATACAATCACGTCATCTGCAAACAGGGACAATTTGAGTTCCTCTTTTCCTAATTGAATACCCTTTCTTTCTTTCTCCTGCCTGATTGCCCTGGCCAGAACTTCCAACACTATGTTGAATAGGAGTGGTGAGAGAGGGCGTTCCTGTCTTGTGCCAGTTTTCAAAGGGAATGCTTCCAGTTTTTGCCCATTCAGTATGATATTGGCTGTGGGTTTGTCATAAATAGCTCTTATTATTTTGAGATACGTCCCATCAATACCTCATTTATTAAGAGTTTTTAGCATGAAGGGCTGTTGAATTTTGTCAAAGGCCTTTTCTGCATCTATTGAGATAACCATGTGGTTTTTGTCTGTGGTTCTGTTTATATGCTGGATTACGTTTATTGATTGGAAGAAGTTGAATCCCTGAGTAGACCAATAACAGGCTCTGAAATTGAGGCAATAATTCATAACCTACCAACCAAAAAAAGTCCAGGACCAGACTGATTCACAGCCAAATTCTACCAGAGGTACAAGGAGGAGCTGGTACCATTCCTTCTGAAACTATTCCAATCAATACAAAAAGAGGTAATCCTCCCTAACTCATTTTATGAGGCCAGCATCATCCTGATATCAAAGCCTGGCAGTGACACAACAAAAAAAGAGAATTTTAGACCAATATCCCTGATGAACATTAATGCAAAAAACCTTAATAAAATACTGGCAAACCGAATCCAGCAGCACATCAAAAAGCTTATCCATCATGATCAAGTGGGCTTCATCCCTGGGATGCAAGGCTGGTTCTCCCTTCTAATATTGAACACAATCAGTGATTTTTAAAAAAATTTTAGGCATTAAAATTTTCAGTTCTAGAATATCAAGTTAGACCTTTTAAAATATTCTTAATTTCTCTGCCAAATATTTATATTTTTTCATTTATTTCAAATGTTTATTTTTACCTCACGGCTCCCAGTTATAATAATGATTTCAAAATATTTGTCTGATATTTCCAACATTTGAATTCCAACATCTCAGGGTTGGAATTTGTTGATTATTGTTTCATTTGAAAATTGTTCACATTTTCTAGGTTATTTGTACGTCATGTAACTTTGGATTGAATCCTAGACATTCTGAATGTCATGTTTTGTAGACTCTGAATTTTGTTAGAATCTTACAAACTATGCTGTTGTTTTTGGTGTGTTTATTTGAGTAGAAAATCAGTCTGATTAGGTTCAGTTTGCAAGTTCTGCCTCACTTTCTGTGAGCAGTGGCTCTAATGTCACTTTGGTTTTCAAGGACTTTCATGCTGTTTTGGGTCTGTTTCATGCAGACACCACTTAAGTATTAGTTTGCGACATAAGCAGAAGTTTAAATTTGAGTTCAGTTCTCAAATTCTTTATTATGCTCTTTTCAATCACATGTGCCCTTCAGAGATAAGCCCAAAACCAGACTCACATGGATTTATGCACAGAATTAAAGGATATCTTTCTTCAGTTTTCTCTTCTTTGGATTTCCCTACAATCCTTGCCTACAAAGCTGCAGAAGCCCTTTCTTCATTTGCGCTGGCCAGAAAATTGATTTTCTAGTACAGCCTTAGCTGACCATATTACTGCTTCACCAAGCAGCAACATGACGGGGGACTGGTCTTTAGGCAAAGCTGCAGGAGAAAAAAAAGCGTGGCTAGGATAGAAGGAAATTTAACCCTTTGACAATTGCTTCCCTAAGTTTTGGCAACCCTTCACAATTCACATGCTTTTGATTCCTTTTGAGAGTCCTCAGATAATAGCTTTTTGTATTTTTCCAGAAATTTTATCTGTAATCAGTAGGAGAAATAGATTATAGTAGACTGATCTTATTTTAACCAAAATCAGAATCATAGACAGTCTCTTTAAACAGCATGTATGTGTAACTTTGATTGAAATAAAAATAATCTAATTTGATTTCCTGACCATTTTCAAAAAGCGTAAATCTAATATAACTATACAAATAAATAGAAATTGTATTGCTTAGAATGTCTGCTATGATTATCAAATGTATTATGTATAGAAAAAAAGATGTGCATTTGTCTGTATTAGATTTATCTTCTACTCATAAATAAGTTATCCCTTAAAACAGGTTTTCCCAAAGTGTCCTATACCTCTAACTAGTTATTTTATGACTTAAAAAATACTGAATTAAACAAAATTAAGCCCATTATTAGTGATGTTCCCAGTGAAATGTCAAGAGGGCACTATATTTTACCATGTAATCTTTTTTTATTCCCTTATAGCATCTCAATCATCTAGAGTTCTACACAACCATCTTTAAAGTGCCTCTTAAATATCTATATGTATTAAAAATAACTGAAAGATTAACAAAAAATTATTTAATGGAATTACTTAGGAAATTAGTTGGCTCATAAAATTCTAGGTGGCATTGTTCAAAAGGAAAAATTCTGATTTGGTATTACGTTGAACTTGGATCTAGCAGGATTCATTAGTTTTACGATGAAGGGCTATAAGAAATATGAAGAGAAAGCTTATTATATTTATGTCAAAGTGTTTCTGCAACCAAAGAGTAATAGGCAATCATGTGTAGGAAGAGGAATAACCATATTGGTTTGACTCATATGATTTTTGCTTTATGGAGTGATACATTAGTGCAGAGTTTGGCAAAAAAAAAATGAGAGAGAATTACAGTTAAACTACTATATTTAAATAAGGGACTTGTTTATGTATTGAAAGCTAAATAAATCCAATAGGATTTTTATTTTTTAATATTTTCTGATATACTTTGATTTTATAAAGGTACGCTCACCAGGTAATGTGAAATTTCAGTGCCGACTACTCTCACACTGTACACTTGGCATTCTCATTTTCAGATGTTACAAACATTACTTGCACACTTACTCTAAATAGAGGTAATCAGTGCCAAGCATTATAAATGGCAGCGTACATTGTAAAGGTTTGGTGATTGAATTTTAAATTCCTTTGATTTAAACCTACACAATCAGACTAAAAACTACTTCTATGCACTTTGGTATTTAATTATCTTAAAGCACAGAAACATATTATCATCCTGAAAGTGTTTTATTATAAAAATTCATATAAGTAGTATATGTTTTCAAATTCCAAAGCTCTCTTCTAATCTTGTTTTTATAATGAAATTTATTTAAGTCTAATATAAGCATAATGTAGAGTAATGTGTCTTCTGTACCACAAAATAAATGTGGAGAATAAATTCATTATTTCTTCTTCAGCAGGTCTCATTTTAATCTTGGTACTATAGACAAAGTAATTTCTTCTCTGACTACACTGATGAAGATTCCAAACTAATTCTCAGTAAAATGAGAAGTCTTTAAAAATATGGTTTTATCATATTCTGCAGTCTCCTTAATTTCCCAAGTGCACTACTTTTTTATCTCAGCCTTAATTTTAATGTGGCATCGTTTGCCCTGCATGATCAAATATAAGATAGGACATGTACATACTGAAACACTCTTAAGAAAGATATTTTGTAAATATTCTTTATTTGATGTATCCTGTATTTTTCAGTATGTTCAATTTTTACATTTTTATTTTATACATTTACTATTTTTATAGATGGGACAGGAATATAATTCTACAAGTAAACACTCCTTTTTAGGTTTAAACTTCAATGACTTTGCTATATGATCTTTTTATTTGTAGGTCTAGTCCCTTTCCAATGGTCTAGAAACTGGGTTGTTAACAAATAATCCATATGGCAACATAAGTATCTGTGGAGGAGGTAAATAGCTGCATATGTTTGAGAGAACTGATGCAGAGAAAATCGGCTGCAAACCCAAAATAAAAACAGAGTTTATGTCTCCCAAAATGTTTCTTTATATTTATTTAGCATTTTAATTTCTTTACATTTATTTAGCATTGTAATTTCTTAAGTCCTTTTTTAACCAATTTGAACATTTTTATTTTGTTTTGTTCTGTTTATTTCTCTTTTATCACAGGAAGTCTATAGTACGTGATTTCCACTTAAATAGGAGATAAAGGCCTGAAGTTTCAGAATTACACTCTGAAGATCTTCCAGGGGTCAGAGTGGAAATGAAGTACACTCTCTCCCTAGATTGAGTGCAAGGGCTTCCCTGCTTTACCTGAGTCTTTATGAATACATAGACCTATACCCAAATCTCATTAGCATATTTAGTCTGATATGGGACTAATCCTTATATATACTGCCAAAGTAAATGTGTATACACATTGTTCATAGCTTCACACACTTCTGAATTGTTCAGTAGAAATACATTTAAAAACAAAAAGTATAATAGCTGCACAAACAGTTATTACTTGACTGATTAGCCTACATAATTTTCCTTTAACAAAATATTTTTGGAAGAAAGAAAACATTCTTAGCATTTTTATTCTTGAAAAAATAACTAGGCACTTATTACTAAATAGACATGTTATAAAATCACTTAGTAATTTATGAAAATATGCTATTTGTTTTAAAAATTATGATATGTGTGAATATATGCCATGGTGAGCATGATCCTCATCACCATGGAGCTCAGTTCAATAAGTTTAAACAAATATAACCAGCAATGAAATCATATCACATGAAGATATAAAATAATTTGAGCACTCCCAAAAGATACTTCACTTCTATCTGCATATTGAATGTTCCCCCATCCCTACAGATTCTTTTAACCATTCATTCCTTTCCTTTCCCTAGCATTTTTTGTTTCTTTGCTTGTTTGTTTTCTGTCATTTCTACAGAATCACATAAAAAGAATTATGTGATATGTAGCCTTAACATAATGCTTTTGGGTTGTATACTCATATTGCATTTTGTTTATCAATTACCCAATATAGAAAATACAGTATTTTTTTTAAAATGGTGCTGGAACAATTAGACATATATGAACAAAAAATGAATCTAGACACAGACCTTACATCTTTTACAAAAATTATCTCAGAAGAAATTACAACAACTAAATGTAAAAGACAAAACTATAAAGCTCCTTAGAGATGGGAGAAAATCTAGATGAAGTTAGATTTGGCAATGACTTTTTAGATAACACCAAAGTCTACAATCCTTGAAGAAAATTTTGATAAGCTGATTGCATAAAAATTAAAGATTTCTGCTCTGCAAAAGTCACCATTAAAAGAATGAAATGTCAGGCCAGGCGTGGTGGCTCACACCTGTAATCCCAGCACTTTAGGAGGCCAAGGCGAGTGGAACACGAGGTCAGGAGGTCAAGACCATCCTGGCTAACAAGGTGAAACCCCATCTCTACTAAAAATACAAAAAATTAGCCAGGAGTGGTGGCAG
The DNA here is from genome assembly GCF_000001405.40 of Homo sapiens. Taxonomy (NCBI): domain Eukaryota; kingdom Metazoa; phylum Chordata; class Mammalia; order Primates; family Hominidae; genus Homo; species Homo sapiens. Next base: position 73,435,958 of record NC_000001.11, read on the forward strand.
GCACCTGTAGTCCCAGCTATTCGGGTGGCTGAGGCAGGAGAATGGCATGAACCCAGGAGGTGGAGCTTGCAGTGAGTTGAGATCGCACCACTGCACTCCAGCCTGGGTGACCGAGTGAGACTCCGTCTCAAAAAAAAAAAAAAAAGAGAGAATGAAATGTCAAGACACAGACTAAAAGAAAATATTTGCAAAAGATATATCTGATATAGGACTGTTATCCAAAATATACGTAGAATAAAACAATAAGAAACTAAACAACCCACTTAAAAAATGGGCCAAAGACTTTAACAAACACCTCATCAAAGAAGATTAAATGCAAAATGGTACAGCCACTTTTGAAGTTTTGTTTTGAAATTTTTGATCTTTTCTTATGAAATTGCAAAAATGATTCTTATCATTTGGTTTTAAACCATTATCAAAATGGTTTGGCAGTTTCATACAAAACTAAACATACTTGTACCATAAAACCTAGCAATCATACACTTTGATATTCACCCAAAGGAGTTAAAATCGTATGTTCACACAAAAGCTTGTATATGGATATTTATAGAAGTTCTATTCATAATTGTCAAAACTTGGAGGCCATCAAGGTGTCCTTCACCAAGTAAATGGATAAACTGTAGTACATCCAGACACGAACTATTACTCAATGTTAAAAAGAAATGAGCTATCCAGCCATTAAAAGACATGGAGGAAAGTTAAATGTATGTTACTAATTGAATCTAAGCCATTCTGAAGAGACTGCATACTGTATAATTCAACTACATGTCATTCTGGAAAAGGCAAAACTATGAATACAGGGAAAAAATGATTAGTGATTGCCAGGGATTAGGGAGAAAGGAGGGATAAATAAATTGAACAGGATTTTTAGAGCAGTGAAATTATCTGTATGATACTATAATGGTGAATACATGTCATTATACATTTGTTCAAATCCATACAATGTGCAATACCAAGAGTGAACTTTAATGTTAACTATGGAATTTGGGTGATAATTACATGTCAATGTTGCCTCATCAGTTATAACGAACATGACACTGGTAGGGGATGCTGATAATGGGGAGGCTATGCATGTGGGAGTATGTGGGAAATGTAGGATATCTCTTTACCTTTCTGTCAAATTTGCTATGAATCTAAAACTGCTCTAAAAAATAAAGTCTTGTATTAGTTCATTTTCATACTGCTATCAAGAACTACCTGAGACTGGGTTATTTATGAATAAAAGAGCTTTAATTGACTTGCAGTTCTTCAGATTTAATAGGAAGAATGACTGAGAGGCCTCAGGAAACTTATAATCTAGGTGGAAGGCAAAAGGGAACCAAGCATCTTCTTCACATGGTGGCAGGACAGAGTGAGAGACTGGTGAGAGAGAAAGAGAGAGAGAGAGAGCCCGTGCAAGAGGGGTAAAGTGCCACAGACTTTTTGTTTGTTTTGTCTTTTTTGAGATGGAGTCTTGCTCTTGTTGCCCAGACTGGAGTGCTATGGCACAATCTTGGCTCACTGCAACCTCCACTTCCCGGGTTTAAGCCATTCTCCTGACTCAGCTTCTCAAGTAGCTTGGATTACAGGTACCCATCACCATGCCCAGCTAAGTTTTTGTATTTTTAGTAGGGACAGGGTTTCACCATGTTGGCCAGGCTGGTCTTGAACTCCTGACCTCAGGTGATCCACCCTCCTTAGTCTCCCGAAGTGCTGAGATTATAGGTATGAGCCACCGCGCCTGGCCGCCACATACTTTTAAACCATATGATCTCCTCAGAACTCACTCACTATCATGAGAACAACATGGGGGAAATCTGCCCCCGTGATCCAATCACCTCCTACCAGGTCCCTCCTCCAACACTGGGAACTACAATTCCGCACGAGATTTGGAAGGGGACAGAGCCAAACCATATCAAGTCTTTCAAAAAATTTATTAGAAAGTGCTGTTAGCATTAGTTTAGAGGTCCATCAGTGGACATATGTTTTAGTTTCTTTTAGACAAAAAACAAAAATGGAAATGCCAGATTGAATGGTGTTATATTTAACTTAAAAGAAAATTCCAAACTGTTTCCCAACATTGCTAACCCATTTTGTATTCCCACCAGAATCAGATGAGAATTCCAGTTGTTCCACATCCTCAACAGCATTTGCTGTCATTAATCTTTTTAATTTTAGCCATTCTTAAAAGGATGGAATAGTATGACATTGACATGTTAAATTACATTTACTTAATGACTGACGATGTTGTGCACCTTTTCATGTCATTCGTTATCTGTATATGTTATTTGGAGATGTTTTTGTTTTATTTTACTTTGCTTATTGTTATTGAGTTGTTTGTCTTATTGATTTATAAGAGTATATAGTATGGAAAAAGTACCTTGTCAGATATGTGTTTGTATTAGTCGGGTGTTGCTGAAAAGATACTCCAAAATGTGGAAGCGACTTTGGAACTCGGTAACAGGCAGAGGCTGGAACAGTTTGGAGGGCTCAGAAGACAGGAAAATGTAGGAAAGTTTGGAACTTCCTAGAGACTTGTTGAAAGCCTTTGACAAAAATGCTGCTGACAGTGATATGAACAATAAGGTCGAGGCTGAAGTGGTCTCAGATATTGATGAGAAATTTCTTGGGAACTGGAACAAAGGTGACTCTTGTTATGCATTAGCAAAGAGACGGGTGACATTTTGCCCCTGCCCTAGAGATTTGTGGAACTTTGAACTTGAGAGAGATGATTTAGAGTATCTGAAGAAATTTCTAAGCAGCAAAGCATTCAAGAGGTGACTTGGGTACTGTTAAAGACATTCAGTTTTATAAGGGAGGCAGAGCATGAAAGTTCAGAAACTTTGCAGCATGATGATGTGATAATGAAAATCCCATTTTCTGAGGAGAAATTCAAACCAGCTGCAGAAATTTGCATAAGTGACAAGGGGCGAAATGTTAATCCCCAAGACAATGGGGAAAATGTCTCCAGGGCATGTCAGAGGTCTTCACAGCAGCCCCTCCCGTTACAGGCCAGAAGCCTAGGAGGAAAATGTGGTTTCGTGGGCGAAGCCCAGGGTCCTGTGCTATGTTAGGCCTAAGGACTTGGTGCCCAGTTTCCCACCTGCTCCAGCCATGGCTAAAAGAGGCCAAGGTACAATGTGGTCTGTTGCTTCAGATGGTGCAAGGCCCAAGCCTTGGTAGCTTCTACGTGGCACTGATTCTGCAAGTGGACGGAAGTCAATAATTGAGGTTTGGGAACTTCCACCTAGATTTCAGAAGATGTAGGGAAACGTCTGGATCCCCAGGCAGAAGTTTGCTGGAGGGGCAAGGCCCCTATGGAGAACCTCTGCTAGGGCAGTGTGGAAGGGAAATTTAGGGTTGGAGCCTCCACACAGAGTTCCTACTGGGGCACTGCTTAGTGGAGCTGTGAGAAGACGACCCCAGACCCCAGACCCCAGTCCTCCAGACCCCAGAATGGTAGATCCACCAACAGCTTGCACCATGCACCTGGAAAAGCCACAGACACTCAATGCCATGCTGTGAAAGCAGCCAGGAGAAAGGCTGTACCCTGCAAAGTTACAAGGGCAGAGCTGTTCGAGACCAAAGGTGTCAAAGGAGTCAAAGGTGGTAATTTTGGTGCTTTAAGATTTGACTGCCCCACTAGATTTCTGACTTGCACGGGGACTGTAGCCCCTTCGTTTGGCCAATTTCTTCCATTTGGAATGGCTGTATTTATCCAATGCCTGTATCCCCACAGTATGTAGGAAGTAACTAACTTGCTTTTGATTTTACAGGCTTATAGGTGGAAAGCAATTGCCTTGTCTCAAATGAGACTTTGGACTGTGGACTTTTGAGATGATGCTGAAATGAGTTGAGAATCTGGGGAACTGTTGGAAGGCATGATTGTTTTTGAAATGTAAAAATATGAGATTTGGGAGGGGCCAGGAGCAGAATGATATGGTTTGGCTCTGTGTCCCCAACCAAATGTCATCTTGTAGCTCCCATAATTCCCTCATGTTGTGGGAGGGACCCGGTGGGAGATGATTGAATCATGGGGGCAGGTCTTTCCCATGCTGTTCTTGTGATAGTGAATGGGTCTCACAAGATCTGATGGTTTTAAAAAGGGGAGTTTCTCCACAAGGCATCTTTGCCTGCTGCCATCCACATAAGATGTGACTTGCTCTTCCTTGCCTTCCACCAGGACTGTGAGGCCTCCCCAGCTACATGGAACTGTAAGTCCAGTAAACCTCTTTCTTTTGTAAATTGCCCAGTCTTGAATATGTCTTTATCATGACATGATAATGTCATGATAATATGGCATGAAAATGGACTAATACAATGTTTTAAAAACTAAACTCTGTGACTTTATTAAATAGTGTCTGTCAAGGAAGATACTATTAATTTTGATGAGGGGCATCCAATCTATCATTCTTTTCCAATATAGTTTATACGTATATGTCTTGTTTAATAAAGTGTTGCCCAATCCAAGGTCATAGAAATGCCACATCTGGCTAATTCTTGACATGTTATAGTTTTAACTCTTCTGTTTAGGGCCACAACCCATTTTTAGTTAATTATTTTATTGCATATGATTTAAGTAAACGATTGAGTTTCATCATTCTTTCTGTATTTTATGTGAAAGTTTTCTATCATCATATGGTGAAAAGACCATTCTTCTACCATTGAGTTACTTAAGCTTTATATTAAAAATGTATGGACCACATATGTCTGGAGCTATCTATGGACTCTAAATTGTGTTACTCTGTGAGACATATTTTTGTTCATAAGTCAAAACCATACTTTCTTCACTACTATATATTTACAATAAGTCTAGAAATCAGGAAGTATGAGTTCTCCCATTTCATTCTTATGTATCATCTTAAATGGCAGAATAATATGCTTAAAATAATAAAATATTACAGTACTGAAAAAAGCAGAAAGAAGACCATCAACTGTGTATAAGAATTGAGAATTAATTAGAATATAAATATAATATTTTATTGACTGAAAAAGAAGGCTAATATAAGTAACAGCACACAAATAAACAAGGACAAAAACATGCCAAATTTAAAGAAATATCAGTGGTATACCAAGAATAAATCAATAAATACTAAGATGAAGAAAGGTCTCTAGGATCCTTATTAGGGTGGTTAAACACTACATTCAAAACACATAGGGAAAGCAATTCCCACACTAGACCTTCAGTACCTCCATCTACACCAAGGTTCTCAGCTCAATGTCTTGTAGTGTGATTTGGCTACAAGTAACTGAGAACCAAATAACAATGGCTCTATTGATATAAAACTGAGTACACACAATATACACACACCCAAGCATATATATAAATATATTTGAAATATGAAATACATATAAAGATATACATGAAAATTATATCATAACTCAAATTATTATCCCAATATAGTAATTTTTTGAGTTGGATTCCATACCAATCCCATCACAGATATCTTGTAGATGTTTGAATTTTAGCAAATTATTTCACATCTTTGATCTTTAATTACCTTTCTATTAATCAGAAAGTATGATACCATTTGTAGGAATACAGTGTCCATTACCTCATATACAATATTAAGAACTGAGTACAATTAATTACCTTGCCTTCCATGAATATTCTTAACATATATATTTCAATTTCTAGCACCACACTGACCAACAGTTTTTTGAAAAAATAAATGATGAAAAACTATTATTCATAGAGTATTGTAACATATCTGATTTGTTTAAATATCATCCTAAATATGTGCTTTTTTTCTCAACTGATATTTCCAGGATCCTCTCCATCACCGAATTAGAGATTTAAAATTCTCTACTTCCCTTACCCTATAACCACATCCTTCACATATAAATATATATCTTCTCATATACGTATATATATCTTCACATATATATATCTTCATATATATATCTTCACATATATATATATTCATGTATACATATATATGTATATGTATATATGCATTTATCCTTATTTATCCTTATCCCTAGAGTCCTAGGTGAAGCTGTACTCATTATGGTTCTATATTACTGCAATAGTCTCCTAGTCTCAGAACTATCCTTGTTAACTATAGGGTAGCTTTCGATTTCCTCAAATCAATCCTTCAAATATATATCAAAACAATCCATGAAAATTTGATTTTGTCAATTTTAGGATTAAAATTATTCATTGGAATGGGGTTGCCTCTGTGACGATTTAGAATTGCTTTAACATGAGAGGTTGAAGTTTTCATTATCTGGCTACTGTGGTTTACATCAGCCTTATCTATATTACTCCATTTTTCACAGTTAAATTTCAGTGATAAAAAATACATGTAATTACTCACAATGACATATTCTGTCGATTCTCATATTTTCCTCATGTACATTAATCTTGTTAAACAGACATAAACTATATTTCTAGCATATACCCCCTTTGCACTTAATGTAGCATTGAGCATGGCACAGAGATAGTAAAAGCACTTTCTGAAACCATTTGTGTTTAATATTTGTGGATTCTTTAATTAAAACTAGTTAAGATATCCCTTCTACTGCTTGTAAGATATACCTGCTTGTATATGCATAAATAATAAAGGTAATCTGTGAGTTTTAACTGTTATGCATTAGCTCAAAATAGTTCTTTTCACAAACTGACTAGAGAAAAAAATATTTATAAATCAATTTACTTGAATTCATTCTTAACTTTAAAAATTGAAGTGAATATTTTAATTCAAAAATAACAGTGTGTACCGAATCTTTTTTATTGCTTACAGGTAGGTCTATAACATAATGTCTTGATATACATATACATAGTGAGAGGATTACTACGGTCAAGCTCAGTAAGATATCCATTATATCACATAGTTATCTTGTGTGTGTGTTTGTGTGTGCATTATAATCTCCCAAAATCTGCTTTCTTAGCACACATACAGTGTACAGTATATTATTAACTAGAGTTCTCATGCTATACATTCCATCTCTATACTTCTTATTCATTTTACATGACTGCAACTTTGTACCCATTGACCTACATCTCCTCGTCTCCTATTCCCTCTCCAATCCCCACCTCTGGTAGCCACTACTCTACTCTGTTTCTATGTATTTGATTTTTTTATGATTTCAGATGAGAGAGATCTAAATCTTCATATTAATCCCAAACATCCCTTTCTTATTAAATCTCAAGAGATAGAACACAGTTCCCAAACAGAAGGCAATTTAGCCTTTTTTGTGCTTCGAATATTACCCATCACTTTGGATAGGCAGGCTTCCTTAATTGCTTTGTTGCAAAAACAATTTGTGTGCTTTTTAAATGAGTTTAATTTTCTTTTAAGTTTTTCTTATAAAAAACATCCAGCATAGTAAAATCAAATAAATTATCCACATGGCAGACTTGATTCTCTCTTCTTCTATCAATAAAACTAAATTCCTCCAGACTCAGACTCAGTAAGGCATATTGTATAGAAAATCATATGTTGGTAAAAAATTCAAAAGAAAAATATTATTACCTGTATTATAAATCTCCTTCTCCTTTTTCTGAATAGTCATTGCAAATAAGGTAATTCTCTAAAACTAAATTGTAAAAAGTTTATGGCCTGAAATACAACTAAAGATAACTAAGATTATAGTGTAATTATGACGCACTTTCATAGCAAACTTCAGAGGAATTTTAATATTCTACTTAGGATTTAAATGGTTTTTAAAAAACCATGGGCATTTTCAGCTGATCACAAGTGTTTTGCTCTCATTTATTTCATTTTCATACTGCAGTGATGATAACTGTGAAAAGAAACATTGGGTACAAGATAAAAAGAGGCCCAAGATATTAAACTACTGGATTGATCCTACTTAGATTATCATAGCATAAAAATTTAGGTAAGCTCTATAATATTATTATGTTATGACTTACAAAAACACTATTCTTAATGATTCTTCACTTTTGAAGGCTTTTATGTCCAAGGTAATGGGAAGAAATCTCAATGCCTAGGTATGGCTAAAATAATAAATATCCAACAGCCCCTTGCATATATTAAAAACAAGTGTGCCTAGGTTGCATATCCGTCTGATACACACTATACTCAAGAATTGCTGCTAGAGTTGCAAAACTAACAGTGATATTCCAGTTGACTGAGGAATAGTTATGTGCATTTCTTTTCACAGGAAGATAACATTCATGGCCACCTTTGGTAGAGCTTGTGTTTTATTTGTTTTGTCCTCACATTGAATGGGTGGGTATGCCTGCATCTCCTCCAGGCATTTGCTTTCAATTAGAGGCCATACAGACCTGTACTTTCCTCATACTTTTAAGTCTCACAGTGTGCTGGGAAATGCAAAACCTCAATGTTGGCCTTTGCTAAGTTGATCTCTGGGGCCCAGCTTAAACACTTCCCTTCTCCATCTTATTACCACCAAAAGGCTTAAAAAAAAATCAGGACAGCAAGTAATGCATCTTATATGGCATGTTCTTTGATCTCCTTCCAAGAGTGAGGGCAGAAAGGAAGCTGCTGAAATGACTTACAGTATTCTCACCTTATCCATAGTTTTGCTTTCTGTGATTTCAGTTACCTGCATTCAACCGTGATCCAAAAACATTACAGTATTTTGAGAGAGAGAGAGAGAGAGAAAGGGAGGCCACATTCACATAACTTGTATAGCATATCATTATAATTGTTCTATTTTTTAATTTTTATTTTGTCAGTGAACCTTAGTGAAGAGCAATGCTCTATTTCATTGTTATTATTGTTAATTTCTTACTGTGCCTAATTTACAAACTTCATCATAGGTGTCTGTATGTGTATGTGTGTGTGTGTGTGTGTATATATATATATATATATATATATAGACAGTGGTTTGGCATTATGTGTAGTTTCAGGCATCCACTGGAGAGTCTAGGAACATATCCCCTGTGGGTAAAGGGGAAGTACTCTTTTGGGGACCTGTGCTTTCGGAGTTGGCCACTTTTAATGGCACTCACACACTACTAATAAATCTTATTACGCTGTGGAATTGATTATTGCAAACCTAGGAAAATCAACAAAATAATTCTTTTTGTAACATGTACTAGTACTATTTTTATGAACCTTATTTAACGTTAAGTGTTCAGATAGCTTTTCCTTCAGGCATATGAAATGACTTTGCTTCAAGCTGCTAGCACTGACAGAAAAAGAGTGATTACACTTTCCCCTTACACATCCAGCTCAACTGCCCCTCACTTAATAGCTACTAAAACGTGTCCTAAAACGTTCTTTGAAAGTTTTGAATACAATGTTGGTAGACAGATTCATTTTACACTCAGGAATCAGACTCTACTAAACAAAGTATCAAATAAACCATGATTAAAAGAAAAAGCATAATTATATGTCAATGTTTTCTTAAAAGTATGTGAAGAACATTAAGATGACCAAAAAGAATTTTTTTGCTAAACTGATGTACCAGCTAATATTGAGCAATTTCTACATTTATTTGCCTTGATAGTCAAAATGCACTGGACATTTGTTAGTAGATATAAAACAATGTCCATTCTGTGAATGGAATCTGTCATCTTCCTCAACTGCAAGGCTTACTTTATCTCCAAGCCTCATTTTTGTATGAAAAATGGAGAGATAATTTGTAATCCCTATGTTCATTCAATCAGGAACTAAAACCTCTCCAACAGTGGGACATTTCCGTGCCCTTTAAAGCGAAAGCTTAATCTATAGGACCTCTTCATTATCTGAAACTTGATGATTATATGATTGTTAATCTTTCTTCACATCAGTTTATATAACTTTAAAAACACTGTTACCTTAAATTTTTTTTTTATTCTTAGATAAATTCAAACATTTACTTTGCTATGCCTGCAACTTTTTGCCTAGGATCTGTTAGGGAAAGTCAAACCCCAGTGTGGTGGGTATTACTATCAATCCAGGGTTACAAGGTTATAAATCTGTCTAACTTTCCAATCTCCCAATCACTTTAACTTTGTATCTTTCTTTACTTATTAATTACATAGTGAAACTAGACTAACAACAATAAAAACAAACCTTCATTATGATTGAAATACACCTGTTTGAAATCAACCAATGATTTCACAATAAAAGCGTTCACTAAATTTGTGCAAGTTATTCTCACCTCATCTCTATTTCTACCTGCTTAAAATTAAATAAAGTTTTAGATATAGTCATTTCTCTGTAAGAATAAAAGACATGGAATTCCTTCTCTGCCTCCTGAATTTTCGTCCCAGACAAGCTTATATTTTTGCTGCTTTATCTTGAAAGACTCCCTCTCTTGAAATTAATGATCTGTGTGTGCCCACTGATTCTTCAATTGTTTTGAGTAGGGAGAGAATACAGGGAGGCAAAGATATACTTTCTTCTCTCATTTGAAGGGCCTGCCACTAATTATTCTGAAACATCACATCCTCACAGATGTGTGAATCATGTAAACTAGAAAATAATATAATTTTACACATCTAAGGAATATCTTTGAATTCCGTTTATTCATCCATTAATTCATCAACTATTTCATTTGATAAGCATTTTCATGGACGCTGGGGGCAAAAAAATGCCAATTTTGTACCCAAGTAGCTTGTAAACTCTAATGGCAAAAAAGTGTAAATAAATCAACATATAAAGGATACGGGGTGCTGGAATGGAGGTTTGTTGTGGGTACCACAAGAACACATTAAGTTTTTAAATTATCTCTGAAGTCAGGCTGCCTAGGTAAACACGCTACCCCTGCTGTACCACACTATGTTCCAAGTTTTCTTGTTTGTCAAATAAAAATTTTTAAAAGTAGTAGCAATATAACATGTTTGTCAAAAGTAGTAATGAAAAATACACAAGACATGATCAGAATAGGTTCTGGTACATCATGAGCCATCAATAAATGTTAGCTGTATTATTTCTGTAATTCTATTTTTGTGATCAAAGTAATATTTGGTGATTTTAGAACAATGAGAACGTGTAAATAAGCAAAATATTTTTAAAATCTACACTATATCCCTCAAGATAACTATTAACAATATTTATACTTATCTTTATCTATATGATTATCTACTGTGTTCTTGTTTGTGACTGTGTATGCATGTATTTAAAACATGAGAATTCTTTCATATATTAGGTAAACTTTTTTTACTTATCAAGTATTGTAGAAATCATCTCAATCAATATTCATTTACAACATCTTTCTTAATGGTTATATTATTCCATTCTCACACTGCTATAGAAAACTACCTGAGAGTGAATGATTTATGAAGAAAAGAGGTTTGACTCATAGTTCTGCAGATTGTAGAGAAGCATGGCTGGGAGGTCTTAGGAAACTTACAATCATAGCAGAAGGTAAGGGGGAAGCAAGCACATCTTACCATGGCGAAGCAGGAGAGAGAGAGCAAAGGGGGATATGCTAAACACTTTTAAACAACCAGGTCTTGTGAGAGCTCACTCATGAGACAAAACTAGAGGGATGGTGCTAAACCATTAGAAACCACCCCCATGATCCAATCACCTTGCACCTGACCCCTCCTTCAACATGTGGTGATTACAATTTTACATGAGATTTGGGTGTGAACACAGATTCAAACCATATCATTCTGACCTTGGCCTCTCCCAAATCTCATGTCCTTCTCTCATTTCAAAACACAATCATGCCTTCCCAACATAAGTACCCCAAAGTCTTAACTCATTCAAGCATGAACCCAAAAGTCCAAGTCCAAATTCTCATCTGAGACAAGGCAAGTGCCTTCAGTGTATGAGTCTGTAAAATCAAATACAAGTGAGTTACTTCCAGGATACAATGGGGTGCGGGCATGGGGTAAATGCTCCTGCTCAAAATGAGAGAAATTGGCCAAAACAAAGGGGCTCCAGGCCCCATGCAAGTCTGAAACTTAGCAGGGCAGTCATTAAACCTTAAAGCTCCGAAATAATCTTTGACAACATGTCTCACATCCAGGGCATACTGATGAAAGGGATGGGCTCTCAAGGCCTTTGGTAGCTCCACCCTTGTGCCTCTGCAGGGTACAGACCCCTCAGCAGTTTTCACAGGCTGGCATTGAGTGGCTGTGGCTATTTCAGGTGCATGGTACAAGGCGTTGGTAGATCTACCATTCTGGGGTCTGGAAAATGATGGCCTTCATCTCACTGCTCCACTAGGCAGTGCCCCAGTGGGGACCCTGTATGGGGTCTCCAACCCAACATTTCCTTTCCGGACTGCCCTAACAGAGGTTCTCCATGAGGGCTCTGCCCTTGCAACAGGCTTCTGCCTGGGTATCCAGGCATTTCCATATATCCTCTGAAATCTAGGCAGAGGTTCCCTAACCTCAGTTCTTGCCTTCTGTGCACCTGCAGTTCCAACATCATGTGGAAACTGCCAAGGCTTGGGGCTTCCACCCTCTGAAGCTATGGCCCAAGCTATACCTTGTCCCCATTTAGCCATGGCTGGAGCTGGAGCAGCTAGGAGGCAGTATTCCATGTCCTGAGGCTGCACAGAGGAGCAGGCCCTGGGCCCAGCCCAGGAAACTATTCTTCCCTCACAGGCCTCCAGGCCTATAATGGGAGGGGCTGCCATGAAGATCTCTGAAATGCCCTGGAGACATTTTTCCTATTGTATTAGCTATTAACATTTGGCTCCTGTTACTTATGCAACTTTCTGTAGCTGACTTAAGTTTCTCCACTGAAAATGAGTTTTTCTTTTCTACCATATGGTCAGGCTGAAAATTTTTAAAATTTTTAAGCTCCACTTCCGTTTTAAACATAAGTTCCAATTTCAGACTATCTCTTTGTGAACGCACATGACTGTACACTTTTAGCAACAGCCAGGTCATGTCTTGAATGTTTTACTGCTTAGAAAGTTGTTTCAACACATGTCCTTAATCATCTTTCTCATATTCAAAGTTCCACAAATCCCTAGAGCAGGGACAAAATGCCACCAGTCTCTTTGCTAAAGCATAGCAAGAGTGACATTTACTCCAGTTCCCAAAAAGTTCCTCATCTCCATCTGAGACCATCTCAGCTTCGACTTCACTGTCATCATTTTGGTCACAATCATTCAATAATTCTCTAGGAAGTTACAAACTTTCACTCATCTTACTGTCATCTTCTGAGCCCTTCAAACTGTTCCAGTCTTTGCCCATTAACCAGTTCCAAACTCACTTCACATTTTCAGGTATTTTGATAACAGTGTCCCACTCCCGGTACCAATTTTCTGTATCAATCCATTCTTACACTACTGTAAAGAACTATCTGAGACTGTGTAATTTATAAAGAAAAGAGGCTTAATTGAATCAGCATTCCACAGGCTGTACAGAAGCATGACTGCGAGGCCCCAGGAAACTTACGATTATGGCAGAAGGTGAAAGGGAAGCAAACATGTCTTACCATAGTGAAGCAGGAGAGAGATACAGCAAAGGGGATAGTGCTAAAAGCTTTTAACCAGATTTTGTGAGAACTCACTCACAAGACAGTACCAGGAGGATGGTGCTAAACCATTAGAAACTGCCCCCATGATCCAATCACCTGTCACCAGACTCCTCTTTCAATATGTGGCGATTACAATTTGACATGAGATTTGGATGAGGATGCAGAGCCAAACCATATCAATGGTTCAATAGCATTATGTTGAATAAGTCCCCAATGATTGCTTAAGCCAATCCTTTATTATAAGACACTTACATTTATTCCTTATTTTTACTGATATATAAAATATTATGATAAATGTCTTAGTAATTTAATTTCTTATGACTAATTAGTACCTTAAGATTTTTTGTTGGAATTTGGAATTGCTCTGTCAAGTATAATGTAGCTTTCTAAAGCTGTAGAATATAAAATTTAAACTGTAAAATGAAACTCTACTATAATAACCATTCTAAATCTGCAACTAAAAGATAATTATAAAACACCAAAAGCAATGACAACAAAAGCCAAAATTGACAAATGGGATCTAATTAAACTAAAGAGCTTCTGCACAGCAAAAGAAACTACCATCAGAGTGAACAGGCAACCTACAAAATGGGAGAAAATTTTCGCAACCTACTCATCTGACAAAGGGCTAATATCCAGAATCTACAATGAACTCAAACAAATTTACAAGAAAAAAACAAACAACCCCATCAAAAAGTGGGCAAAGGACATGAACAGACACTGCTCAAAAGAAGACATTTATGCAGCCAAAAAACACATGAAAAAATGCTCATCATCACTGGCCATCAGAGAAATGCAAATCAAAACCACAATGAGATACCATCTCACACCAATTAGAATGGCAATCATTAAAAAGTCAGGAAACAACAGGTGCTGGAGAGGATGTGGAGAAATAGGAACACTTTTACACTGTTGGTGGGACTGTAAACTAGTTCAACCCCTGTGGAAGTCAGTGTGGCGATTCCTCAGGGATCTAGAACTAGAAATACCATTTGACCCAGCCATCTCATTACTGGGTATATACCCAAAGGACTATAAATCATGCTGCTATAAAGACACATGCACATGTATGTTTATTGCGGCACTATTCACAATAGCAAAGACTTGGAACCAACCTACATGTCCAACAATGATAGACTGGATTAAGAAAATGTGGCACATATACACCATGGAATACTATGCAGCCATAAATAATGATGAGTTCATGTCCTTTGTAGGGACATGGATGAAATTGGAAATCATCATTCTCAGTAAACTATTGCAAGGACAAAAAACCAAACACCGCATGTTCTCACTCATAGGTGGGAATTGAACAATGAGAACACATGGACACAGGAAGGGGAATATCACACTCTGGGGACTGTTGTGGGGTGGGGGGAGGGATAGCTTTAGGAGATATACCTAATGCTAAATGACGAGTTAATGGGTGCAGCACACCAGCATGGCACATGTATACATATGTCACTAACCTGCACGTTGTGTATTATACCTAAGTATAATTAAGTATTATACCTAAAACTTAAAGTATAATAATAATAAAATAAAAAATAATAAAAAAATTAAAAAATAAAAAATAGAAAAGATAATTATAGATAATTACCTGGATTTTTTTAAATTGCCAATAAATAGCTAAAATGGATTAAGAGAAAAATTCTACATTTGCTATGTAGCTAACCATCACTCAACTCTACATATCCATTAACTTCTACAGAGAAAGTATACAAAAAACCCTCATGAAAGTTATACAGACTTGCCTCCTTTTCTGAGCAAAATGAAAAAATTTGTATGAATCAGTATTTCTTTAGTAATTTTGTTTTATTATTCTTTGTAAAAATTTCAACTCCAGGCTTTCTTGATGGAGTGTGCAGTTGGGGGGTTGTGAGAGGCTCGCCTGAAGTGGTGACAGAAGCAAATTTTATTCCTTTCTAGAAACAGGGACATTTAGAATCAGTCTTGGTTTCTTTGTTCTCTGCTGAATACAAACAAAAAATTAAGTTCCATAAATTTCAATTCTCTTTTGAAGCTTTATCTTCTACATCGAAGGAACTAAACTTTAAAAAGTATATTTTCACAGCATATTTTCTTCTGAAGGGGTGTTGAATCTTTTAATTTGGATGATAACTGCAAAATTTGATTTGCACTCATGAATATTTATGTACTCAGGAAGTGTCTGCAAAAAAAAAAAAACAATATTTCAAAGCAACTAAACTCAAAATAACACTTTTTCTCATATGCAAGGTTGGCATGAACAATGGGTCAGGCTGTCTCTTCTTTTACTGTGCCAATCTTAGATCTCAATAGGGAGATCAATCCTAGTGAACCTGATTCTGGGCAGTCTTCAGATACCTACAGCATCTTCTTTCCCAGATTTGAGCACTTATAGTCTACCAGGAGCCACACTTAGTGATTTAAAGTCATCTGTTTTAATTCTCACAGCAGCCGTATGATTTCAGTATTTTATCTCTATTTTTCAGATTTAAAAAAATGAGGATCATAGATTTGAGCTAGATTTGGAAAGCTAGTATCTTAAAATGGAAAGACCCCAATTTTCATTTTATCTTGCTGCTGCTCTTTTTCTATATTAATTTAGTCCTAGATAATTTTTTAGATCTTAGGTAATGCAATGCCACCATGTGATCAGCCCCATGCCTCCTGTACCTTGGTTGACTTAGGTACCTACTTCTCCTCTGCCTTGATACCCAATCTTTCTTTAATTTTTATAGATATTGAATTTTTCTTTCATAATAATATCAATACAATATTCTTTGCAGCAAATTGATATTCAGGTATTTATAGTATTCTCTTCACTCTAAACAACATTTTTGTAACTAAAATTCCCTATTCAAGTAATCTTATAGAAAGGTGTTTTCTTTTTGTTTTTTGTTTTTGTTTGTAGGTGAGAAAGACGCTAAAAAGTGTGATATCTGGGCCAAAGATTATATGTGCTTCAAAATGTATTTTGTAATACCATATTATTTTCTAGCAATATTGTAGCAAATCACATTCTCAGAAAAAACAAAGAAAAAGCCCAATTCTGCATGTTATTGTCAGAACTAGATAACTTCGATTTTCAACAATTTTAAATTTGATCGGTAAGACCTTTTTTTTAACTTTCGTGTCCAAGTGCCCCATAATTAAGCAAAAGTTCTTTTCATATGATTATTGACCAATTGTATTTCCTCTTCATGAATTTATATTCTTTGAAATTATTTCCACATTTTTAAAATTTATTGGAACCCCTCAAATACTAAGGACATATTAAGTGTTCATTTATCATATCTTGTATATCTACATTTTCTCAATCTGCTGTTTGTCTTTTTATTTTGTTTGGGTATATTTGCCATGCAGACATTTTACTAATTTGTATATAATCAAATCTGTTAGATTTTATATGGCTTCTTGTCCTGCTTGAAACTATCTCTCCCACCAGAGGGCATTCTGATATTCTGCATTTTTCTCATATTCTTATTATTTAATGTTTTTCCTTTCAGATCTATTCACTAAATGCCTCATTTTGCAGAAAGCAACTTATAGCCGTCTGTAATCAATCCTATCTGTGTTATTTGAACCGTTTCTTATAGCTGGTTTTGGATACAGTTCTCCTGGGAAGGGTGTCCAGAGATCTTGATTTTCTGCCATAATGTAATTTTTAGTTCTTTTCTTCTACAAGAATGATGAATAAGAGAGTGAACCACTAATTCAATTTGTACAACTGTCAAGCCATTTTTCTAGTAGCCATAATAAAATTGCATTTAGAGTAAACATAATGCCAATAAACTTCTTTTTCTTCTATCTTCATATTGCTTTGGGGACAGTTTGCTTCAAGGATTTCCGCCACACATAAACTTCATGTATATGAGTATTTATCACACTACTACTGAAAAAGTATCTTTATCTCCAAATAAAAAACATTTTAATGATCATTTTCAGCTATTTAATGCCACCTCCATCCAAACACTTCAATGTTGAGGGTTGGTGGTGTGAATTTCAGTTCTCTTCTCTCTTCCTTTCCAACCTGCAAAACATCCTCGTCCTTGAGATGCTATGGGAATGCTCACAAATCTTTTCTCACTAGTAACTTTCATAGACAAGCATACAGATTGCTAAGGTTTGAATGTGTCCCCCGAAGTTCATGTATTGAAAACATAATCCCCAGTGCAACAGTGTTGGGCGGCAGGTCCTATTAAGAAGTAATTAGATCATGAGACCTCTGCTGTCATGAATGGTTTAACGTCATCATCACAGGGGTAGGTTAGTTATTGTGAGAGTGGGCTTTTTATAAAACTGAGCTTGGCCCCCTCGTGGTCTCTGCCCTCTCTCACATGCTCTCTCACCACGTGATATCCTCCACCATGTTATGATGCAGCAAGAGAGCCCTCACCAGATGTGACCCTGCCATCTTGAACATTCCACCCTCCAGAACAGTGAGACAAATACACTTCTACTGTTAATCAATTACCCAATTTGTTATTCTGTTCCAGCTACACAAAAAGGACTAAGACACACATCTGCTTCTACCTCCCCCATGTCCCATGATCCTGAATACCTTGTTAGTGATCAATGCTGATCCTACTTTTTCCTTGTCCATCTTTTAGGTCAAGTCTTATTAATAATCCTGAATTGTTCAAAATTGGTTTGAGAACTCACTAGAACAGAGCTATTCCATTCCTTCCTGGAAATATGACAACCGCATTTTTATTGATCTTTGTTACTCCCTATCAACTGCAGCTACTTTTTTTCCTACAAATATGTAGTGACGTCTTTTTGAAGTATATCTAGCTCCAAGGTTAAAGAACACAGATAAACTTAACAATGTGATATATCATGTGAGGCTGTTAAATATATAATGAAATAGGTGCTTTAAGTGAGCAATGCCATTAACTGAAAGAGATTTAACAGATAACCCTAGGACAAATAAGCATTCTTAATTTTATACAATTTGTGCATAACCAGATGGAAGAATATTTTCTCTTTCTTTGGCATCCCAGATAAAGGGGCAGAGAAGAAATGCATTAGATTAGATTACCAAGGGAGGTGGCTAGATTTTTAGTTCCAGGAAATAATGCATTATTAAAAGAATAATGTCTCATATTCTATTTTAGCATATTTGTTCTGCTAAGACATAAACTCCATCAACTCCCAAAGCAGAAACTCGTAGCATTTATTGAGAACTTACTGCATGCCCAGCACTATTTTAATGTATTCCTGTGTAACACCTCTATTAATTATCACAATAGTTTCAAAAGGTAGGTGTTACTATCATCTTATACTTACAAATGTGGAAAATTAAAATAAAATTTGAGTGATTTACTGAATGTCTCAAAGTAGTAAATATGGTGGTAATATTTGAAGTAAAGCCATTTGACCTTGGACCCATTGAGCGTAAGGACTGAGTTCTACAGCTTAGTCAATGTGTGGCAGGACACCTTGTGTTCACAAGGTAATTTCTTCATTGCCACTTCTCTAGTCCAAGACAACATCCTTTCTTATATGAATAGGATGGCTGTATATACTTTTGTATTGGTTTCCCTATTTCCATACTTACATTTCTTTTTTTCCATTTAGTAATAGAGCTACAAGTTTTAGCTGGTTATGTGGCCATACAGTTAATTCTAGACAGTGAAGTGTGAGCAGAAGTAGTGTGTGTAATGTTCACTAAAAAGAGAAATTGCTTACTTTCCACTTTCTTTTCATTCTCTGTAAGCTGGAATGTGGACATAATGCTGGTAAATCAGCTGCAATGGGGGAAATGGAGCTGTCACAAAATAATGGAGATAACAGAGAACAGAGAATGACATTACCATGAAAGCAACAATAGAGAAGAATCTGGGTCCTGGGGTGATCCTGTGGAGGACAGATGCCTATGTACTGCTGACCACCTGCCTCTCTGTCTACCTGAGAGAGACACTTTCATCTTAAACACACTCGACTGATTTTGGTGGCTATTATGGAGGTTACTCTTTGCCCCTCAGGATACATTCTTCTGCAATGCATTTACTACAAACTCACCTAAGTTACTTAAAATATCACTCAGAGCACCTCACTGCTTTGTTTAAAAATCTTCCTATAGTTGTAATGTGTTTTATTCGAAAGAAAACCTACACTTTTTTTTTTGCTACAGTTTGCTTTATAAGACCTTTTAAAATCTGCAAATACCTTCCTTCTCAGCCATTATCTTACTACTCTCAACTCCAGCCACACTGGCCTTTTTGCTGTTCCTTGAACAGCTTGTCCCTGCTTTTGGTCTTTGGTACTTAAATGTTTCCTCTGGCTAAAGACTTGTTATCCCCAATGTTCTTTGCAGAGGCAAATCATTTTCTTCATTTAGATCTTCTAAGAGAGGGCCTCCATTGAGTTACTGTCACTCTCAATCATTCTCTTTTATATTACTGAGATTTATTTTTTTAAAACTTTTTAATTTTTGAAATAATTGTGTTTATTCATTTGAACCTTGCCTTCCTCTTTCTTCCAGGAGGTGAGCTAACTGAGGGCAGGAACCTCTGCCTTCCTGTTCAGTTCTTTCTGTATACTACTATCTAGAAGAGTGTCTGTCTCCTAATAAGATTCAATACATATTTGTTGAATATCTAATGTGAAGTGATTCAGTAGATGAAGGAACTGAAAAGTGACTGAGAATACCCCATTATTCTTCATTGTATGACATATATCAACTTTCTTTGATTTTTAATAGTGTACTAGGATCATTAGAGTTTGTAAAAGGAAAGAAAGAAGATACAGAGCCAGTATACATACATACATACATATATATATATACACACATAACCACGTTGAACCTAGCTGACAAATGACTTTCAAATCTATATTTGATACTTGACTTTTATATTCAATGGATTCAATGGAACATAAATTTCTGAGGAAATTAAATGTTCTGGATGTAATCAGAAACTTAGGTTCTTATAGTTTAGGGAGATAGAGAGTGGCTTGATCACTTGAGATAGATACAAGAGTAAAAAGGCCATATAAGCAAATGTAGGTCGTGGGATTTTGGATCATTTAAAATTTTTTAGCTTGATGTTTCAGAGAAATATTTATAACTAACATCTATATTATTCAGTCTTTATTTTCAAGAATTAACTTCTTACCATAAATACTCAGATGGGAATAGCAATCTAGATTTAATTGTAGTGCTTTAGGAGGGTGACAACTCCTTGGCTGAAATTCATAAAAATAAACTGAAACAAGAACAAACAAAAACAAAACAATGAAGCAAAGTTTCTAAAAACTCCCCAGCTTATTTGGTAGTTAAAGAGCAGAAATAACATGTACATTCCCATTATACTCCTCATAATAGCATAGTGTGAGGAAAATATTTGTTAATAACATATAAGTTCCCCTTATATTCCTCATAATAGCATAGTGTGAGGAAAATATTTGTTACGTTGGCAAGAGAAGGGTCAGTAGGCTTACTAGGACAGATTATTTGGACAAGATAAGTTTCTTTTTGTTTTTACTTTTTTATCTTGAGAGATGGTAGAGATTTTATACTCTCATTGAAGCTATGAAGTAATGATGACTAATGTTTCTTAATTTACATAGCTAATTTCATTTACCTTTGATGTTTCTATCACATTTTCAAACATTATAATTTTTTTCCTCTCTAATGCCACACTTCTGTCCCTGATAGCACTTAGCACAGAGTTTTGCATACAGTAAGTGCTAAAACATTTTTTGAATAAATTGTCATCAGGAAACATATCTTACATATAAATTATATTTTCCCATGATCCGCATATAAAAAATAAAACCTCTTGTCTGAGAGAATTTAAAACCTATGCCTCTCCAACTCTTCAGTCTCCAAATCAAAACAACCTATAATGTTAAATTTGTGGAACCAAGAGGTATGAATGTGTGTTTAATAAGTTAACTTCATATGACTTTATGCTGGTGAATTATATTAAAGAGAGCCAGAAAAGCAACCAAGCTTGAAGTAAATATTATAAATTCATAAATCCAATATTTCAAATGTTTAATTAGCTATCACAGCATGATCCCTTCCAGGTATAGTATTGTTTAATTTCCTGGCAATATACAGCTTTCTTCTTCTCTTTGGCATTAAGGTTTTTATTGAACAATTTGATGCATTTTACTGCAGGAAACCAAAGAAAGGGTCAAGAGAAACCTTTGAATGTCTTCCTTAAGATTTTAGCAGAAAAATGACAAAATTCACATTTAATTTGTCTTTGAGACAGGAAGTTTCTGCATGGAAGAGACTACTCTGTTGTTTTAGTTTAATGGTAATATATTTGAGAGAGGACTTTGTGGTACATTAGTGCTACTTGGGGACAGCTAGGTGTATGAACTACAGTGCATTTTCTTAAGCTGTATGTCCATTGGATTCATATACCAAATATTCTCATTAGGCCAGGGATGGAAAATAAACCTCAAAAACCTGTCAAAAACTGTACGAAAAGTGAGCCTGAGAGACTTCATTCCTACAAGGTTGGGGTTGTGGAAATCACTGGCAGTTTGGAATTACTGCATTGTTTGGGAACTTAGGGTGTGAATACTAGCTGCTCTCATTAGGCACAAAAAGAGAAAAGAGAGCTGCTAGCATCTGCCAGGATGGGATGTTAGTGCTTTTCCAGAAGCTAAAGGAAGAAGTGACACCAGTTCTATTCCAAATGTAAAATGTCCTTATTTCTTCACACAAACATCAATAAACAACAATAAAAGATATAACTGGAAATGCAGAAAACAAACAAAGAGATAAACTAACTGCCTGGGTGTGGTTTTCCCTACACATTTGTTATGGGTTGAACCGTGTCTCTCCAAAAAGATATGTTGAAGTTGTAATACCAAGTGTCTGTAAATGTGACTTTATTTGTAAACAGGGTCTTTTCAGATTTAATCAAGTTAAGATGAGTACTCAATCCAATAAGTCTGGTGCCCTTATAGAAAGAGGAAAATTTGAACACAGACACACAAGTAGAAAATTATGTGAGACAGGCAGAGATTGGAGTAATGCATCTATAAACTAAGGAATGCCAAGGTGATGGGAACCATCAGAAAGTGGAAGAAGCAAAGAACGATCCTCTACCAGAGGCTTTGGAAGCAGCAGGCCCTGACACTTTCATTTTGCCCTTCTGGCCTCCAGAACTGTGAGAGAATAAATTTCTGGGTTTCTGTAAGCCTCCCAACTTGTAATACTTTGTTATGCCAGCCCTACAAAGCTAATGAAAGACTATTCTTACTTAGAATGTTATGCTAATATCCATTTATAATTACCCAAGTAATCCCCATTTCAGTTATATACAGAGAGAAATTACATACTTATTTAAAAGCTTAGTCAGTGTTTCTGTTATTGTTGCTTTTTTAGTTTTTTCCATTAATTGTCCTAACCTTATGTATTTATTTATTTTTATATTGTACTACTTTATAGGTAGAGTCTTTAGATGGAGTTACATCTACATTAATATTTACGTTATAATAAAATAATATGGCAATGAATAGATCTTTAGATTGCACATAGAAACCATACATTAGCATATTATAAATGTTTTAAATGTTTGTTTATAATGGCTGCTGGATAAAAGGGTGTATTCCTGACTTATGATCACCAATTAAAAGTCTGTATTCTAATATTACATTCAGAATTATTTTTGGCTAACTCATAAAACTTAGATCTTCTCTGTCTTCATTAAAGTGCAACTGTTTAAGCTTTCTATAATTAAAGGCAATCTTCTTCCTTACATAACCGAAGGTCAATCCCTGGCATGTAGTACTCAAATACATTGTTAGAAAAGTAAAAAGATAAAAAAAAATTCATTTTACCTCCCATAATGCTACCTCACCATTATTTTTTCTCTCCCTATTTCTCCTACTTTGACAATGGAACCCTATTTTCTTCCTGAAATACTAAATCACAAAAGTTGTTTCGCATTCTACTTAATAATTTTATGGTAGTCAGATGAATTCCCTATAATTACATGAGATATATTCGAATGGTATTTATTTCTTAAATCACTCACCTACAAGTATCTATTATACACCATTATATGTCAAATATGATAACAATTGGTAGAGATGAAAAGATAAATAAAACATAGCTTCCCTCTTCTAAAAACTCAGTCCTCTGAAGGAAGTAGGTATGAAAATAAATAAATTATAATTCCATATGATATATGGCACTACAAGGGAAAAAACTGTTGCATCATTAAGAATGGAATAAATATTTCTGCCTGAGACGCACTTTGGAGGATACACTGATGTAGTAACATGTAACTTGTTTTAGCAGAAATTCCCTGGATGTTCATCAACTGCCCTGTGATTTTTCCCTTCCTGGAGCTTTGAAACTAGAAAGGCCATGTGACTATTTCTCACCAATGAAAACAGAAATGGCACATGGCATTTCCAGAAGTGGCCCTTAAAATTGCTCATAAGACATTTCTTCTCTCAACACTTGATTAAATGTAGAGAATCCAATGGAGGACTCTGAGACCATAGAAAATCAGTGTTGAAATAAAAGTTGTCTGGGTTCCTGCATTACTCTGGAAGGCAACCTGCCAAATACCCAATAGTGTGACATACAACTTATTTTATTATGTTTAGCCACTGAGATTTTGAAGCTGTTTGTTACAGCATTTATTCTATACTGACTAATGCACCACCCTTGCTATATACAGTTAATATATTGAAAGTTGAAGACTTAATGAAAGCTTTCCAGACAAAGGGCTGACATGCACTTTAGGAATAAGGAACGGCATGTATAAAGAAGTTAAATCTGTTCATTCTGAAAAGTAGTGGAATATCCTGAGAACCATCTCCATCAGTGAAGAGTGTTATGTTATCCTGCAAAAATGAAGAGTGGACTTTCAAAGGAGTATCAGGAAATAGGACAGCAAGTTGAATGGCTTTGGAGAGATTTATGAATCGAAGAAGGGAAAAGGAAACCAAGAGCAGAAAATATTTTTAAAGCAAAAGAATGTAAATGGCATAATCAGATCTAGTTTCCTTCCACCTTCATTATTACCCTCCCTTTTCTCTTTTTATTTTTTATTTTATAGATAGGGGTAATTCTTAATAGTGTAGTTAAGGGTGAGGCTGTAAGAAAGATTTGGTGGTTGGGAAGTCAGTTGGAATGTCACTGAAGCAGTTCAGAAGTGATATTATTAGGACCAGGGTTTGGTAAGGAATTCAGCTTTGATAAAATCAATTTTTCTATTTTAAAAGTAGTAGTAGTATAATTTATTCAGGGCTTTGTGCAGCCCAAAACTTTTTTACTTCTTGATTCTTAATGGACTCTTTAAAAGTGCTTTTTTTTCTAACTCAGGGAACATATACTCTTCACTAAGTGCTGTATTAAACCATTAGTGACTTCATTGTTCTTTAAACTGTATCATACCTTTTCATCTGAAAATAAAACCAGTATGTACATCTACTTTTAATATGCTGATTACCCTGACTAAAGGTCCTATGCACAACTAAGAAAGAGTAAAAAGTTTCAGGGTTTCAAGAATCAGATATCCTGTCTGACTCTGAGAAATTGTAATTTTATATTAGAAGATCTCAGGCAGGAGAACAAATAAGACAGTGCTTATGTAGATTGGGAGACATAAAAAATAAATAAATGCAATTTATGTGCTCTCGTTAAGCATCAGAGACCTCTGATTTAAAATTCATATCCTCGGTAAAAAATGATTCCTGTTCCACTGTGGCAGGATTTCTCCGGAAGAAATTGTAGAGCAGGTAATTTGAAACAGAAAGCATGGCCTTAAATTCTTTGAAATAGAAAATATGCATCTAACACTTATAATATGCCTTCCTCTGTTCCGGACATGCTGAAGATATACAAGTTTATTTAATCCCAATAATAACCCAGTGAAGACCATGTAATTTTCCCATTTAATAGATGAGTAAACTGAGCAAAGAATGAGTTAATCACTTGCCCAAGGTCACATAGCTAGTGTTTTAGTCAGTGATCTCCAGAGAAAAAGCACTAAAAGGATGTGTGAAGATATACAGATACTTATTTTAGGGAATTGGCCCACACAATTAGTGGCAAGACCAAAATCTATCTGAAAGACTGGAGACCCAGGGAAGTGTTGATGTTACAACTGGAATCCTAAGGCAGTCTGTTGGCAGAATTTGCTCATTCTTGGGAGGCCTCAGTCATTATCTCTTAAGGCTTTCAACTGAATGGATGAAGCTCACTCACATTATAGAGAGTAATCTGCTCTATTCAAAATCTACAGATCTAACTGTTAGTATAATCTAAAAGAAATCTTCACAGTGACATCTAGATTGGTGTTTGATCAAATCTGGTGTTTGAGTACTGTGGTCAAGCCAATTAAATTGACACAGAGATTAACCATCACTGCTCGTAAGTTTTAGGGTCAAGATATAAATACAAATGGTAGAAGACTGGTGGGAAAACTGTAACAAGAAAAACTCTTTAGCCCAAAGGAAAATTTGTGAAATGTTTCAGTGTGGATTTTATTTTCTTTCCATAATCCATTCTTCTAGAAGTCTCTTATTTTTACCTTCGTTTCTTCAGCTAGTTCTACCAAAGTGTGCCTTGACAATAGATGAAGACCCATCATTTCAAAATTATAAAAAATGATTGATATTGTTATATGTTTGTCCAAACTAATACAAAGTGCAAAACTAAGAGGGGACCCTCACTTTTTGCACCATGAAACTTCCAACAAATCAATCTACATAAATCCAATCCTAGAGAAAGTACTTTGGGACTCAGATTGTAAGAAATGTTTTTGGGTCCTGTCAGTTCTCACTCAGACTGTTTTTGATTTTTGCTTTTATTGATTTGCTTGTTTTTCTGCAGGTAGTAACATTATAATACTGTTTAAATTGCCAGAGTATCAGTAGGAGTTAAAATCATATTCTGAACACAAATTGAGCTTATATTGCACAGCAGCACTGCTGTGATGAAAGTAAAGATAATTGTTACCTGATGCACTAGCCATGAAGAATAATTAAATAAATTTCCCTATTGCCCAGCCTATTAATATTGAAGAACTCATATGTGAACAGATGGATCAAATTTGGCAGTATTTTTCACAATCTTTAAAAAATATACCCCAACAGAATTTATACAATACTTGCATATTCTGTTTCAGCCAGGCTTGTTTCAGCTAATCAAGCTTTCCAAAAATCGAAAAGAATTACTCAGAACTTGAAGTAAACAGAATATTTTTTTCATAGTACAAATGGCATGGAAGCTGGTGATCATGTGGACTGTATAAATGTTTCAGACTGTCACATCATGCTTCGAACTCTGGCAGGAGAACAGTTAAAGAATAATTGCTCTTGGTTCTGAAGTTCAAGCAAAATAATAATAATAGTTTCAATTGAATGACATTTCCATCGTATTATGCATTATGAGTGCAGATACACAATTGTCCTAGTCATTCAAACTTGAAATTTATTGCTACTGGTAACAACAGACATATGTCTACTAAGTAAGGATGCACAAAAATATTACAGGGATCAAAAAAGGAATCTTGAATCTGTTATGGGGACTCCCTTAAATTGTCCTCTAGGAGAACTCTACAAATAATTATTGTTTATTAAGTGTAGGTACAATATGTCATGCACTACACAAGACAATTTAAATATATTATCCCACTTAATCCCTAGGAAAACACTGAAATGTTGACATTTCTATTCTCATGTCACAGATTGATACTGAAGCTTACAAATATTAAGTAACTTATTATTATCAAATAGTATTCAGTACAGCCAGAATTTGAGTTCATTTTGTTTAACTCAAAGTCAAAACACTTATTCACCATGCCATACAGTTTTTCTGTATATGGGCTGGGATTAAAAACTAGAGATAGAAGATGAATACAAACAAATTGTTTGCTTGCTTGCTTGCTTGCTTGGTTTTTGTTATTGCTATTGTCATTTTTAGACAAGGTCTCACTCTGCCACCCTGGCTGGAGTGTAGCAGTGAGATCATGGTTTATTACAGCCAAGAGCTAATGTTTATAGTGTCTGATGCTTCCTTCTAGGAACTGTGGTAGTTGCTTTCTGGATATGCTGTGTTATTTAATACATATTACAACCCTACGAAGTAGGTAATGTGATCTCCATTCTGACAGCAAGAAATCTTAAATGTCCAAAAGGCTAATATTATTAGATAATACAGTTAAAAAGTGATAAAGCCAAGCTCCAAAACCAATTTAGTTATCCTCTTAATATTGCAGTCTCATAATGGTCCAATCAGTCATCCAAAACTGAGTACAAAACTGGGGAGGTGCTTTTTGCTTCTCCCTCCTTCCTACTACCCACTACCAAATAAACACAAAATGCTGCCAACTTTAAGTTCTAAATAATTACAGATTCCACCTTCTCTTCCCCAAATCTTCAACCATTATTTTGTTTCAGGCCATTCTTATCTTTGCCTAGAAAAGTCCCATCTGTCAAGAGTATGACTGACATTTGTTGAACTTTTTATGAATAGGAGAGATTGCAGAAATTTATCTTGTCTCAGGAACAAGCCAGGGAAGAGGGTGCAGGAGTGCTGCCCTCCTTTTCTTGCTGACAAAGGCCTGTAGCCTCTTTTCATGGAGAGATTATAGGGCTGAAATTATTTCTGGAGAAAGTCGAGGAAGAAGGTACTGGGAATGCCATTCCTCCCATTTAGGCCAGAGGAGATTTGTTCTGCATTTGATAAGTAGAGGCCAGAACCACTGGGAACTGCTGGAAAAGCATGCAGCCAAACCCCTTTCCAGGGGAAGTTGGAAGCTGGGCTGATCCCTAGGGCTACAGCTGCTGGAAGTGCTTGTGCAGCTCAAAATCCCCTTTGTTCTTTGTGCTTGAGGGAAATCTTTCTCTGCCCTGTCCCTGCCATTCTTCTACCACAGTGAATTAACAGCCAAATCCTCTGGCAGGGACTACAAAAGTTGGGCACTACATGTATGATATAAGCCCTTCAGACCGCTTGGGAAGAGCCTAGGAGTTGTGATTTTTTTTCCTGAGTGTAAGGCATTCTGCTCAGGGCGGGGCTAGTGCATGAGTGGATCTCCACTTTACCACCCATTTCGATGTGGGTATCTTATTAGTTATCCAGTGTATTTGAGTCTTTCAACTGGATTCTGGCTTTCTCTGGACAGAATTGATCCATGTGTAGGTGTTTATTAGGTGTGTCTGTAGGACGAAGAATAGTTAGGAGTCTCCCATTCCATTATATTGCTGATGTCACTCTCCTTTTGCATTTTTATGCATCTGTTAATTTACCAATATTTATTGGTTACATATTGCAGTGAATGGCCGAATATTAAAATTTAAATATCATAGTCTAAAATTTTAAAAATTCTTACTCTCTAGTAACATAAGTACATATAACTTCATGTTTAAAAAGAAAAAGAAATGAAAGAAAGTCATACATTTCAGAAGAAAGTCTCATACTAAATTCTATTGTTTTGAAAGAGAGAAGCACTTATGGATGGAAAATCAGGTAAGGTGTCATGGAACATTTATACTGGACCTTTCTTAAAAGAGTGGTCAGGATTTGAAAACATAGAACTTGAAAAGTTGGAATGACTCTGTCCTCCTAAGAATGCTTTTAAAAAACAAAGAATTGATTTTCTTTACCATGGAAAAGGAACGCAGACACTGTATTAATTAATACATCAAGTGATTATAATTGTTGATTAAAAAAAGCCAAACTCTAAAATATTTAAACAGATTTATTTTAATTCAAATGTGAGAACCATGACCCATGAAACAGACTTAGGAGGTCCTGAGAACATGTGCCCCTGGTGGTTGGGTTACAGCTTAGTTTTATATGTTCTGGGGAGATATAAGACGCAGTCAATACATGTGAGGTATGCATTGGTTTGGTTCAGAAAGGCAGGACAACCCAAAGCAGGGCTGACAGGTCATAGGCAGATCCAAAGATTTTCTGACTGGCAATTGGTTGAAAGATTTAAATTATTATCTAAAGACTTGGATTCAATAGAAAGGAATATCTGGGTAAAGATAAAGAGTTCTGGAGCCCAAGGTTCTTATTATGTAGATGAAGTCTCATAGGTGGCTACCCTTAGAGGCAATAGCTGGCAAATTCAGACCTTTAAAAGGTGCTAGACTCTCAGATCATCTCTTCAAGATTAGAAAAAGACCTGGAAAGGAAAGGGAAATATCTGCAGAACATAAATTTCCCCTAAAAGAGACAGCTTTGCAAGGCCATTTCAAAATATGTCAAAGAAACGTATTTTCAGATAAAATACTTTTATTTTCTTTTAGGGCCTGGTATGTGTCATGTGATGCTATACTAGAGTCAAGTTGAAATTTGGCATCGTATTGCTAAGTCTGTTTTGTCAATCTTAACAATTTCTGTTTTAATGTCAGTGTTGGTCAGTTGTGCCCGAACTCCGAAGAGAGGAGAGTATAATGAGGCTTGTACAACCCAAGTGTCCCATCATGGCCTGAACTAGTTTTTCAGGTTTCTTTGGAATCACTTTGGCCAAGAGGGGGATCCAGTCAGTGAGTTGAAGGACTTAAAATTTAATTTTTGGTTAACATATTTTTGTCAATTATTTATTGATAGAAATTAATTCACAATTTAATAATTATTAAAATGTTCGGCTTTCCTTTTAGTTGTTCTACTACATGAGGGCAAGGACTGTATCATGTAGCAGATCATTAAAGAAAAACCAAAAAAAGGTGTTTGATGAGTAAATGAGTAAAAGGACAAACAAAATCTTCCACTTTTTCTTCCCTTGAGTGTTGGGAAGTTGATTTAGCATTTAAAAGATTTCAGGAATATGGAAAGAAAGGTATTCATTGGTATCTCAAAGGCATTAGGATAACTATATATGAATAAAACTATTTTAGAGCTTTGAGTATCTTTGTAAGGAAGGTGCATTTTTTATTCTCATGAGGATACATGTTCATAGAAATTGATTTTATTTCTTGAACATAAGCCCAAAAAAACACACAAATAAGCAAGCAAGAACAATAAAATAAAGTTTATCACCAAGAGGTTAAGAACTTCACAGAAAATTAGTTAGACGAAATAGACAATAATTACTGTGTATATGTCCCTTTAAATGAACTCCCCCTTTCATGCCATGTCACATAAGTTGTCTGGAATATCAAGGGGCAAAAAAAAGTCAGGAATGTAAATTACTTGGTGATCATATCTAGTGACCAACTTTAGAATTTAGGAGTAGACATGTTCCATTTAATTTGGCTAGATGAATAAAAAGTTTATCAGCCCATTTGGCTGAGATTCCCTTGAAAAATATGCAACAATATCAAATATATCAGATTTGCTTGTAATATTCGTTATAGATGCATTCTGTGGATAGAATCAAAAGGTACTCTACAAGCTAACCCTTCCAACAGGTTACCTAACTCATATTTGTAAGGAAAACCACAAGTGACACACTAAAACTGGTAAGAAGTTTCTTAAGAGATATTTTAAAATGTTAAATTTCACCTGGAAAAATGAAATGGTAAATTCTTAATAAATGTTTCAGACTCTGAAGTTAGACTAGTTCAGTAGTCTACTATTCTTATGCATGAGATTGAAATACCATACATTTATATTTTACACACAGGAATAAATTCAATTAGACATTAGCAATGATCTAATCAGCTAAATGATTACTAGTTTCCATTACACATACTTCCATGGTCTTATTTGGAAAGTGGCTATTTTATTTTAAAAAAATGCTCAAAGAAAATATTTAAGTCTAAATGACTAACTTGGATTCAGATTTTACAATCTAGTATAGATTGTCTTTATCTCATTTCAACATAGTCATAAAGTATAGTGTTTAAAAATTTTTTAATAAAGAAGGGGGACCTCAAAACCAATTAGTCTAGGGTTCACAGAAGTCATAATATGGCCCTAGGCTAAACATGCTCTTGTAGCCAGAAAGCCTTCAGGCAGAAAGTCAGGCATACAAAAAGTAGGACATTACAATATCTGCTACAGGGTATTTTCAAGTGTTAAAATATTTGCTTTTTGTGAAACACTCACTGTGTGCCATTTACTCCCCATCCTGTCATGTAATTATCCCCTAATATATGCACATACACTCTCACAAATGCTTCTGATAAATTAGATTTATTTTTTCTTACTGACCCATTTAAAAGTAACTGCATCTGGGAAACATTCTCTGATCCCATGTCTGGACTAGATGCAGTGTTTATGTACTTTCAAATCCTTTTATATTTCCCCTGTTACTGTGCTTTTCATTCTGGGATTTTATATTCACCTGCATTCTTCCTCTCTACTAGATTATGCCTCTTGTGGAGGTAGAATCCATTTTTGCACATGCCTGGACCATGTAAGCACAGTGACTAGCACATAGTAGGTAACAAATAAATATTGGATAAGTTAAACTGATTAGTAGTTATGAAATTATTCTTAGTATTTGAAATCAAGTTTTTTAAAAAGAGTATGCTGGTACATGTTATGTAAAGTCTGCTAAGTCTGGACATTGTTTTCCAGAATCATCTTCTCTGTACAATTCTGGGTAAAAGTTAGCTAAAAGAGGAAAGTGCATGAGATTTGGCAGAAGTAAAGCAGAAACCACTACTCTCAGAATGTTGTCACAGTCAGCCAAAGTGACAGACAGATGGAGATGCCCAACTATTTCTCACTCTTCTTTGTTTCACATCCAACTCATCTTCCTGACTGCTGGCCATGCTAAACCAAAAGTGGATTCAAGCCCACTTAAGTTAAGGGCTTGGCTGTGGACCTACAGCAGTGATGACTACACATAAGGAACAGCTTCCTCAGAGTTGGCAGTTTAGTTTCAACAGAACTTGTCAGGGGGTCCCTGTTGATGGTTCCTCTTTAGGGTCCAAATATGCTTGGTTTCTTTGATGTCTCTGAAAGCTCCAACTTGGTTTAGGCATTTTGATTATCAACTCTTTCTCCCATTCCCCATTTCCAGATTTGTAGTGCCCCCATTCTCCCATATTTGTTATATCTAATTCTTATAAAATATCAATTTTTCCTATATGTCTAATTGTATAGTTGTACTATAACTTATTAAACTACTCCCATAATGCCATACATTTAGTTTGTTCTCACCTTTTCAATCTTAACACTGTAAAAAATAGTCTTACATATAAGTAAACTTTCATTAATATATCCTAATACATTGCAGTATTGATCTTGACATTTTTTTCAGGCTGTGGGACTCCTACATGTCATGCGTTCTTTTAGTGAGCAATGTTGAAAGAAAATTGGAAGAACTGTTTATGTTTTAATGTTTCCAATGCTTGTGTAACAGGATGTATTCATCAGAGTTCTCCAAAGAGACAGAACCAATAGGATATAGATTTTGATGAAGATGATGATAGATGATAGATAGACAGATAGGTAGATGACAGATAGATAGATAGATAGATAGATAAGATAGATAGAGTGGGGATTTATTATGGGAATTGGCTCATGCAATTATGAAGGCTGAGAAGTCCTGCAACAGGCTATCTGTGCCAAAGGCCTGACAGCCTGGGGTGAGGGGAGAAGAGAGGGTGTTGTTAAGTCCAGAATCCACAGGCCAGAGAGCCTGGATTACGCTTTCTAAGAACAGGAGAAGCACGTCCCAGCTCCAGAAGAGAAAGGGTACATATTTTTCTATGTCTTTGTTTTATTATTATTTTTTTTAATCCAGGGTCTCAGCCAACTGAATGGCACCCATACACATTGAGGGTGGATTTTCCCCACTTGGTCAATGGACTTGATAATCTAAAAAAGCTGAGTTTGAAAAATCCTGGCCAAAGTAATTTTTTTTAAATAAATTTTCCCTCTGTGTCTCCTCGCTGTCAAGACAAGATGAGTCGTTCGCAGTAGTGTGAGGGGAGGCCTTTCATCCACCTCAAGCCTAGTATGAGAAACTTTAGAGGGCCACATGGAAGATTTGACATGTATTACCTGGAATTTTTTAGGAGAGGTGAGGCGGTGAAAGTGCAGAAATTAATGGTAGTTGGCCTAAATCCAAAATACTAAAGATAAAAATCTGGGTCCGGAATGCCCTGTCTAGTGGTAGAGGGAGAAAAAGGTGGCTACATTGGGAGGAAGCTGTGTATAGTAGACATGAGTATGACCTATGAACCAGATGTGGGACACTTTGTAGAGAGCCAGCCAGGAATTATCTTCACAGGGACTTTGCCCAAGAGAGTCTCTTGGAGGCATTGTAGTACTCCAATATACAGTGGTGTTGAAAAGGTTTTAAAATGCCAGGAACTGAGGGCTCGAATAATAAGAAAACCAGAGAAAATCCAGCTCATCATAGAACTTTTAGTTGGGTGTTCTCAATGAGAAAATCTCTGAGAAACCCACAGAAGCATTCATGTGAGAAAAGCCACATTTACAATTGACTATTTGCAGTATGCACCAATGCCATTCACAAATGTACCAGTAAAATAAGCCCTTTTAAGTCTCATATCATCTCTTCTGCCTTGCTCACAGCTATAACTAGAAGGTTGGAAACAGCAGAGAATGGGCAGAGGTACAAGGGAAATAAATATTAACTTAAAAACATAGAGAAGAGGTTTAGTAGGCCCTTCTTCACCATTGCAAGCTTCTCAGATTCAAGTTGTTCCAAGATAAGTGAGGTAAGAAGACACAACTTTAAAAGATGTTCAGAATTTCTATATTAGACTGTTGGGTATTATAACAGCTAAATTATAACTTTTATTTGGCCAAAGTAATCAAAATAAATTGTAATATATTAGAATGATTGAATAGTTATAGCCTTCTGAAATTTCACCCAAGATGCAAAGAAGAATGAGTCCACAGATTTACATGAAAAACAAAAAAAATGTATCCTATTCAAACCCTATAGAATCCTGTTCTTGCAGCATAATGGTTACATTCATTCTGGTTATAAAAACAACAAAAGCATACATCTCTGCATATACAAAAAGAAAAACTGTCATAAAAGTTTAGAGTTTACCACGGGGTAAAACAAAAAATACAGTTCCATAGATTGACAGTCTAATGAGATCTCAGGTTTAACCCATATAAAGAGGTAAAGTATCTGCCAGGTTATGCTAAGTCAATGAATCAGCTTTGTTATACTTTACTTGTTTGAAATTTTTTTTAAAAACTACCTGTTTTTTTAAAATTTCGTCTATTATTTGCATTCTAACAAAGTTGCAAAATGAGTAGTTTTTAACATTAAATTTTTATTTTATTAAAATGATTTAACAGTAACCAAAACAGCATGGTACTGGTACCAAAACAGAGATATAGACCAATGGAACAGAACAGAGCCCTCAGAAATAATGCTGCACATCTACAACTATCTGATCTTTGACAAACCTGACAAAAACAAGAAATGGGGAAAGGATTCCCTATTTAATAAATGGTGCTGGGAAAACTGGCTAGACATATGTAGAAAGCTGAAACTGGATCCCTTCCTTATACCTTATACAAAAATTAATTCAAGATGGATTAAAGACTTAAATGTTAGACCTAAAACCATAAAAACCCTAGAAGAAAACCTAGGCAATACCATTCAGGACATAGGCTTGGGCAAGGACTTCATGTCTAAAACACCAAAAGCAATGGCAACGAAAGCTAAAATTGACAAATGGGATCTAATTAAACTAAAGAGCTTCTGCACAGCAAAACAAACTACCATCAGAGTGAACAGGCAACTTACAGAATGGGAGAAAATTTTTGCAACCTACTCATCTGACAAAGGGCTAATATCCAGAATCTACAATGAACTCAAACAAATTTACAAGAAAAAAACAAACAACCCCATCAAAAACTGGTAAAAGGATATGAACAGACACTTCTCAAAAGAAGACATTTATGCAGCGAAAAAACACATGAAAAAATGCTCACCATCACTGGCCATCAGAGAAATGCAAATCAAAACCACAATGAGATACCATCTCATACCAGTTAGAATGGCGATCATTAAAAAGTCAGGAAACAACAGGTGCTGGAGAGGATGTGGAGAAATAGGAACACTTTTACACTGTTGGTGGGACTGTAAACTAGTTCAACCATTGTGGAAGTCAGTGTGGCGATTCCTCAGGGATCTAGAACTAGAAATACCATTTGACCCAGCCATCCCATTACTGGGTATATACCCAAAGGATTATAAATCATGCTGCTATAAAGACACATGCACACGTATGTTTATTGCGGCACTATTCACAATAGCAAAGACTTGGAACCAACCTAAATGTCCAACAATGATAGACTGGATTAAGAAAATGTGGCACATATACACCATGGAATACTGTGCAGCCATAAAAAATGATGAGTTCATGTCCTTTGTAGGGACATGGATGAAGCTGGAAAGCATCATTCTCAGCAAACTATCGCAAGGACAAAAAACCAAACACTGCATGTTCTCACTCATAGGTGGGAACTGAACAATGAGAACACATGGACACAGGAAGGGGAACATCACACACCAGGGACTGTTGTGGGGTGGGGGGCGGGGGGAGGGATAGCATTAGGAGATACACCTAATGCTAAATGACGAGCTAATGAGTGCAGCACACCAACATGGCACAGGTATACGTATGTAACAAACCTGCACGTTGTGCACATGTACCCTAAAACTTAAAGTATAAAAATAATAAAATTTAAAAAAAAAGAAAGTAGAAATTCCAAGTAAAAAAATAAATTAAAAAATCATT
The DNA here is from genome assembly GCF_000001405.40 of Homo sapiens. Classification (NCBI taxonomy): domain Eukaryota; kingdom Metazoa; phylum Chordata; class Mammalia; order Primates; family Hominidae; genus Homo; species Homo sapiens. The sequence continues at coordinate 73,471,915 of NC_000001.11, forward strand.
TTATATATCAAATAAACAAATTTCTTCATTTTTCGTTTTTAAATATATAATATAAATATATTCTTTGATACTCTTTTACATTTATTGACTTTCTTTCCAAAGCCTATCTATCTATGATAATTTGGTCACAAAATTCTTAGCCAAGAAACAAATTTTACTTTCACCTATGCACCAATAGGTAATACAGAATGTGAGATTTGTTGTGAGAGCATAATATAAATATGCAATGATGGTGTAAAGTTGTGACTGAAAATATTATAATCAATACTATTGTGCACTGACAAAGATATTTTGCTTCTGTTTTAGACAAAATTATATTCAATAACCATCAATAAAATATGCCAAAAGGCATACATTTTAAAATGAAATACTTATCTGTTCCTTGACAAAGAAAATTACTTTCCATTACCTATGAGGAAATGCCTATTTTGTGAAGGGCAACATAAAATAAAATAAAAAAATCTATTTACAAATAGAAGATATTATTGGACCCGCAAAGAAGTAGAAAGAGTATTGTTCATAGAAGCCATTAAACTTAAGTTCTAGGCCACTTACTAGTTATTCATCTTAGGCAAGTCATCTAATTTTTCAACACATGATACCTTATCAGAAAACAAAATAAAACAAAAATACTAGTTAATATACACTTAGAGCTGCTATAGTTTTTAAAAAATCCACTCACATAATATCTCATTTCATTCTACTTCTGTTGAAGTACTATTATTTTCTCAATTTTACAGATAAGAAAATTGAAGTGTATACAGTTTTAGTAATTTTTCTAAAGCCCCATAGAAATGTAGGGACAGAATCAGGTTTTCGGACTATTAGGATTATTTATCCCTACTTAACAACCTTCCCTTATGTGTTAGTCTGTTCTCACGCCGTTAGGAAGAACTGCCTGACTCTGGGTAACTTATAAAGAAAAGAGGTTCAGTTGACTCACAGTTTCTCATGTCTGGAGAGGCCTCAGAAAACACAATCATGGCGGAAGGCACTTCTTCACAGGTTAGCAGGCGACAGAACGAGTGCCAGCGGGGGAAAATGGCAGACACTTATAAGACCATCAGATCTCGTGAGAACTCACTCTTTATCAGGAGAACAGCATGGGGGAAACCGCCTCCATGATTCAATTACCTCCCACTGGCTCCCTCCCGCAACACATGGGCATTATGGGAACTACAATTCAGCCAAACCATATCACCTTAGCCCCATGTGAATCCAATAAGTTAAAAGAAAAACTCTTTTGTTATTGTTCCTGCTTTGGTCCCTTGATTAGCATCAGCTGTTCCACATGACGTCAGCTAGTGCTATAAGCATCAGGTGCTCAGGTGCCTGTTAAGTTTGTAATATCAAAGACGGTTCACCTGTGTAACAGAGTTGATGTTGTCTGTTGATTGATCATTTTTCTTGAGCTGTAAGACAGTGATTACACATGGTTTCTCCATATGGTTCAGGCTTTTCAGCATGGTAGTTGTTTGCAAAAGGAAGATTCACAAAAGCAAAAGTTCTAAAAGACCAAGAAAGAAGCTGCAGGACCTTTTTTATGATCTAGATTAGCTGTGAGACAAAGCAATGTCATTCTACTGCATTTTATTGGTTACAGAGAAGCAGCCTGGATTTAATGTGGAGGGAAGCTACCTTGGCATGAACACCTGGAGACTGGAATTATTACGGGAAAATTTTGGAATCTAGTTACCACATTGACTACAAAGCTACTGCATCAAATTATCTTTGTATGATGGTATCTGCCTCAATTATTTCAAGTGTGGTTACTGAATATAAAATGGAAAACAATTAATACCAGAATCATATATCTCTGTCCACTAAACTAGAGTACTCTGACCATATGACATGCTTATAGGAATCTAAAGTAAATTATTTTCTTTCCACATGTATCTTTCTACTAAAAACACCTTATACCTAAAACAGAGTGAAGATGTAGATTTCGATGTCAGTTTGACTTATGTTAAAATCCTGACTCTACCAATTACAAACTATGTAACATTGATATAATAATTGATAATGTTATAGGGTTTCAGTATACTTGCTAATAAATAGAGAATCATAAAAATTAGATATAAAGTAGCTACTTCTTTTGTTGGTTGTGAAGACTAAATAATATAGTGCATTAAGAATACTTAGTATGAGACCTGAAAAGTAGTAGTTAAATATATGGCAGCTACTTTTATTATATACAGCCAGCAATTTAATGTAGCAAATATAAATTTTAGAGTATAAACATAGTGAACAGAAAATGTAACTTTTTTTCTTCATAATAAAATTTAATTTCTAGTTCATGACTCTATTTTACAAAGGGTAGTTTTATCTTGGTCACCCCAAGGAAATTTCAATTAATTTATAGCCTTTCCACCTTTCTCTAAGATAGTCTCAGTGGGTTGTACAAGGAAATCTCAGATAACCTTGGGAATATTGAAGAGCAGAGAATTCTGTGCTGTGTTCCCAATGGGATCCTGGGAAAATGTTTTAAAATGCCCAATTTTTCTCGTTCCTAGCATGTGGCACACATGGGACAAAAATCCTTAAGTTTTACCTGTTACCTCATGATTCCAGGTTGTTTTAGAAAGAGCAAATGTTTCCCAAGTGCCAGGGAGTGGTAAGTTGGTAGCTGAGAGGGAAAACAACAACAACAACAACAACAAAAACAAAACAAAACAAAACAAAACAAAAACACCAGGAAAGGGCTTGCATTTAGGTTCAGTGTGTTGCAACAGTGCTGCAACCTAAAAGAGGACATCTTAACAGATGATGACATGGCCATGTGATGGAAGCCTAAAGGCCATCCATTGCCCATTGCCCCGTCCTTTACCACTGCTAGAGCTCCCTAGAACCAAAGATAGAATCTTGGGAAACAGAGTGGGCAAGGCAATACAATAAATTGATGGGGATTATAATTCTTTCCTTCATTAGAATAATATTTTTGAAAAATAATTTTCATTCAATTATAGAGAGAATGTAACATGTTTATACTTGAATTACTTGCTGAGATTTGCATCAGGTGCATATGCATCGAAAAGAAAGATAATTACAAAGAGTTTCCCAGTTATTTTTTTGTTACATTTCAAGTCATAGTTCTGCTATCATATATGGAAACCTTTATCATCAGCCTACCATAATATCGGTTTAAAGACTCATTCTTATTGTTAGATAAATTAGCTTGTGGGTATAATTGGGTATGCACTATATTGGACATTCCAGATTACTTCCATGTGTAACTTTATGAAAATCTATGTTAAGTTTAAATCTGTTTTTTTTTTTTTATTTGAGATAGGTTGTTGGAATTATCAGAAAATAAAATGAAATATAGTGACAGAGTGTAAATCACATAAGTAGAGATCACTTATGTACAGGATATAAAAACTTCCTAGAGTCTACAGAGATCTTCCTGGCAGCTGCTCAAAAGCCCATTTTCAAGTATGAAGGACAGAAATATTCACTTCTAATGAGTTTTTATTTGTCCTGCTATGGCATGGGACTTAAGATCTCAAAACAACTGGGCCGCTGTGAATTAATATATCATTTTCTCCTGTTTTCTATGTAGCACAGTGTTGAGTTTATATAGCACCATGTCAAACTTCATAAATCAACTTCTGAGACAGAGGATAAACAGCCACATAACAAAAACCATGTGGACAAATGCTTGAGCTCACAAGTCACAGCTCACTGAGCAGCTTTCCCAAAAGCATCTACCTCAGTTCCTGACAGTGACTTGCCCAGAAAATGCTGCATTTTGCTTCTCTGTTTTCACCAAACTCACCCAGGCTGATGACATGCAATCAAAGCTTCAAAAACAAATCAATGAGTGCCTTACGTTCCGAGGTCTTTGTTCTTATCTGGCAAGCAGTGACAATGACAATGGATCCAGTACCTTATGCATGGTGTAGCATGGCCAAACCACTTGTGTTTTTTGTTTTAGTGCTTCACTGAACAGGATCTAGCATAATTTTTCTAAGTCAGTATGAAGTGTCTCTTGTTGGAATATTGTGAAAATTGCACTCTTTTCAGTCACTTTGCAATCAGTTCTTATGAAACTGCAGGGGGAAACAGTGAACTGCTCCTGAAAATTTAAATTCACCATGTAAACCTTGACTTGCTATGGAAATAAGTTGACTAACACTCCTGGCCCATAGTAGCAAAGAGGGATACTAGTTGTACTGTACTTTATCAAACGAATTCCTTTGGCTGTTTGGCCACAGAAATGAAAACAATTCTATTTCAGCTAAAATTTTAGAGTTTCCAAAAAGAAAATAATCTGGAGATCCATTCTCAATAGTCACCATTACCCTCTTTATTTTCCTTAATGATCAGTGGATACTCTCTACCTTAAGACTTATCCATAGTATACTGAGGGTTTTATTAATATTTTTCACTTATATTGACTTTTTTGCTCTTAATATCAAGTGTGATTCTCCCTAGAAAGACTGGTTTTGGAAGGACACCTCATGTATCTTTCTCTTTAATAGTGCATCTCCATTACTCTGTGTAACTTTTCTTTAGTGTACAAGTTTAACTATGATGTAACTAAAGGTGAGCAATAATAACAGCCATATCTAATATGCTCTTATCTACAGATTAGTAACCTTATTCCACTTCAAAGAAGAGAATGTTCTGCAAGAGAAACAGAGAGTGTGAACACATCTTATGGTGAAATGTTTGTTCTCTTTCTTGATAATTTAAGGGTACAGCATAAAAAAATAGATAACTTTTGAGTATGTTTATATGGTAGGTACAATTCCAAGTTACTTATCTCATTTTTTAAATTCTCCAGAATATCCTATAAACTAGACACTACTATGATGTCCATTATATTACTGAATAAAGGTGTAAAAGGTTATTTACCAAAGGTTACATAACAAATGGTAGGGCCAAGATTCAAACACAGGATGCCTAGTTTCTGAATCCTTTATTATATTCACTAGTGTGGTTTACAGTCAGACAACTGTAATAGATGTTTTTGTTGTTGTTGCTCTTAAAAGTTAACAGAGGGGAGCTCAGCTCCTTAATGGCAGAGTGAAGACTTTGTTCAGCTCATTCTCCCTGTAAAATAATAAAAATATAGGCAAAATAACTAAAATCTTTTATTTTATAATTCTGGCATTTAGCTAAAACCACAGAACAAACTGAAAATTGCCTATCCAAGTGACTCTACCGTTAAGTCATTAAACTGGCGCGGTCAGTGATTTTTCACACTGGGGCTATTCCCATCCCTTCTCTACCTTGCTCACTGGTGCAGTAAGTAACCTAAAGCCAGTGGCACTGTAGACAGTGGAAATATTTGCCCACATTTGGAACTCTGTGAAAAGCACCATTCCAAGAGCACAGTCAATATTTTGTCCTAACTTGTCCCTTGGGATCACTATTCTTAGAGTGTGGTGGCTATTTGATTTGACTCAGAGTTGTGCTTAGTTGGGGGCTCAAAGAACTCCAAGTAGGATAATCCCAAAGAAATAGACATCTAGACACATCACAGCCAAATTGTCAAAAGTCAGGCACAAAGAAAAAAAATTTAAAGCAGCAAGAGAAAAATGATTTATCACATACAAAAACCTTCAAACTAAAGGCTGACCTCGCTAGAAACCACAGAAGACAGTGGAAGAACATCTTCAGTGGTGACAGAAAAAGAATGTCAACTAATCTAACCTCTCCTTCAAAACAAAGAGAAAATTAAACATTTCCAGATAAATGAGAACTGAAAAAGTTTATTGCTAGCAGATTTGTCCTACAAGAAAGAAAATTTTGGGAGTGTAAATAAAGTATACTAAAAGGTAATTTGAATCCACATGAAGAAATAAAGAGTACTGATGAAGGAAACTACAGAAGTAAATATTTTACAAAGTAAACATGTATTTTTGTATGTAACACATCTTTTATCTATCTTAAATGACATTATATAAAGCAACAGTTATAAAAGTTTGCTCGGATTATAGCATAAAAAGATGGATTTTGTATGACAATAACAATCCAAAGAAGAGGACTGGAATGTGGATTCTAGTTACTTTTAATATCCAGAGAAGATGTACAAATGGCCAATAAGCATATGAAAAGATGTTCAGAATCATTAGTCATTAGGGAAATGTAAATCAAACCACAAGAAAATACCACTTCTATTGGTATGGCTAAAATCAAAACACAGGCAATAATAAGTTTGGCTAGAATGTGGAGAAGTTGGAACTCTCATACATTGCTGGTAAAAATGGAAAATGAGCAATCATTTTGTATTTTTAAAAATGGTAGTCTCTCAAAATGCTAAAGAGGAGAATTATCATATGACCCAGAAGTCATATGATACATAGCTAGGAGAAATAAAATATGCCTAAATAGCAAACTTGTACACAATGTTCACAACATTATTCATAATCTGACAAAGTGGAAATGACCCAAATATGTACCACCTGATGAATGGATAAACAAAAGTAGTATATTTATGCAATGGAATATTATTTTGCAAAAAGAAAGAAATGAAGTACTGGGACATATTACCATTTGGATAAACTTAGAATCCATTATACTTACTGAAAGAAGCCAGACAGAAAACACCAACTATTATATGATTTCATTTAAACAAAGTCTAACACATCCAAATCTATAGATAGAAAATAGAATAGTTGTTGCTTGTTGATGGAGAAAGAGTAGAGGAAGAATGGAGAGTGACCACTTATGGCCTTAGGGTTTCTTCTTGGCTATTGAAAATATTCTGAAACTAAATTGTGATAATCACTCCACAATTCTGTGAATGTACTCTTTAAAAAACTGAATTCTATACTTCACATGACTGGATTTTATGTTATGTGAAATATATCTCAATAAAATTGTAAAAGAGAATGAGAAAAAAAAACACATCAACTGAACAGCAGGGAAAAAGATTAAAGATAAGGAGACTTTCTTGGGTGGTTGAAAATTTGTTTGGAGGTTAATAAGTAAAATAGCCAAAAGAAAACCACTTAAAATTCTGGTATCTTCCACATTTGCGAAATAGCTGGTAGGAACAAACTAATTAGAACCATCTTCATAGTTGATAATTCTATATTTTAAGTCAAGGCATTTGACAATTGCAAATAAAGAGCCTCAGAATTTTCTATGATTGATATGTTAGCACAATTACAAGTCCTTTTTCTATCTGTATCCAGACAAGCTTGAGACTTGGACTATTACATGAACAAAAGGCAACAGTTAGCAACTTAAAACCAAAATAAAGAAGATTTAGACAGGATTGGATAGTAACTTTCTTTGAGTCATTGTTGATTGATTTTTAAGTACTATAATGAGGTTAAATAAGACACATTTTTTTTAAAAAACTTGCATATTCCTTGACACAGAGTCAAGTAATAGGAAATGATCGCAGAGACATATATTTATTGCTGTTGCTTTACTTGTTGTTATTTAACTAGCTAAGCCTTTGTGCCAGACCACTAACCACTATTGCATGTTTTTATTGTCTTTTTTAGAAATATGTATATGTGTGTGTGTGTATATATATATATATGTATACACTACATTTAATAATTAATTGCAGATCATGCTAAATTACTCATTCAAACTTTTGTTTCTTACAGGATAAAATTTCAAGTAGGAGGCCCCGGGGTGAAAATTAAAGTCAAAATTGAATTTCTTTTGAATAGGCAGCCACATAAGCTATAATCTAAATATAATGGTGCCACAGCATGGCTCCATATTTTCTAAGGGTGTCATATTATACAAGTATACCGTATATCACCCAGTGCTTTCAAATAATAAACCACCTTAGCTACTAAGAAAGCAATAAAGCTTTGATAGTTATAATGAATCCTTGAATCCTGAGTGAATTACTGAATGGACACAGGCATTTCAATACCATCGTCTTCCAATTTGGGACAGAGAGAGCATTCACTCACGAGGTAAGACTTACATTCTTTACACCTACAAATTATTTTTGTATTTTAGTTTCAGAAGCACATATGTCCAAGCCAATATTATTCAAACTTCTGCCTTTTTAAAGGCATTTAAAAATATATTTCACCTCAATTTAAAACACACATCATTAATTATAAAGATTAGAAAAGAAGCTAATTCAAAAGAGTGTCATCATATCAGATGCATAATTAAGACAAGTTTGTAGTCAAAGAATGGCTACAATACAGCCTCTACAGATAACTGTTTTGTCACGTCTCTTGCTGACCACTGATTTCTTGCCTTTAGTAGGAATATTTTTCTGGTAATAATAACTCTGAGAAGGATACTCTCTTTTTTTTCTCTGTTTCTTCATACTCTGAATTATCAAGCTAAATACTTGGCTTTAATGATACTGGCTTATCTTAAGAAGTAAATATTACATAGGTAATATAATTATGCTACAAGGGTACATAGTCTGGATTCAAGTACTGTTTTGTATATATGTAATAACCTAAGCCAAAATATATTTCCAGGTTATTTGACATGTATCATGCTGGTCTAGGAGTAATTCACAAATCTCTCATTCTTTGTTTATTCATCCATTTACTTGTGCAACAAATATTTAAGTCCACAATATGTGCCAAACCCTGTAATAGATGCTGAAGCAATGGCATAAATCAAAGATATGATCATAGTGATATGAAGTTTAAAATCAAGTGATATGTTCAGATATTGAATGAGTAATTACAGCTTTGATGAGTAATATGAAGTATATCCATAGCATATCATGGGAAAATACTATAGGGTAGAGGGCTCAAAGGGGACAAGAAATGGTGTTTTCCTAGATGAAGGTCTTAGCATCAATGAGATAAGAGAGAAATAAAAGAAAGATTTGAGCTATAATTAAGAAATAAGGCTAACAAAACTTAAACAGACATTTTAAAAATGAATTATTTATTTATTTGAGATGGAGTCTCGCTCTATCGCCCAGGCTGGAGTGCAGTGGTGCGATCTGCCCACACTGCAACCCTCACATCCCAGGTCAAGCAATTCTCCTGCCCTAGCCTCCCTGGTAGCTGGGATTACAGATGCGCCACAACACCCGGCTAATTTTTGTATTTTTAGTACAGACCAGGTTTCCCCATGTTAGCCAGGCTAGTCTGGAACTCCTGGCCTCAAGTGATCTGCCCGCCTTCTGCCTCCCAAAGTGCTGGGATTACAGGCATGAGCCACTGTGCGCAGCTTTCAACAGAAATTTTTAAAAATGGAAATGGCACAGTAGGGAGAGAAGGGATCACAGTTGCTGTTACTGGGAGCCAGTATGCTGGCAAACATTATAAATTCCTATTTGTGCATTCTGCACCTGATGTGCCAGAAGTGGGTCTGAGCGGGAACATAAGAATCAAGATAACTGGAAGATATTTATATAGTCAAGCCTGAAGTATGGAGAAATTCTGGACTGCAGATATAATTTTGGACCTGCGATTAGGGAAATTTGAACTATGAAAGGAGATTAATTCACTCAAGGTAAGTGTATAGAATGGCATACTCTCAGAAATAGGCAAATTTCCTGAGCATACAAGCTTAAGGCAGATAAAAAGTAGGCTGCGCAGGTGATAAGAAGAAACACTCACAGACACTGGAGTTCTCGAAGTCCATCAAATAGTGTGTTCTAGAAAGAAAAGATTGGTCATTCTTGTTAAATGTTTACAATAGGGAAATGGAACAGGGAGTGAGTTGTGTTTATTAGAATTGATATGCTACCAAATCAACACTGGAGGAGGTTGTTTCAATAAAGTAATGAAGGCAAAAGTAGGATTGCTGTAGATTATAAGCAACCAGATTGGTTTTTTTAACCACACATCTTATTAATCATTCTCTTGCTTTAAAACTGTGGTAGCTTTCCATTACACATAAAATAAAATATTGCCTCCTTATTATGGCCCCCCAAACTCATCCTAAACCACTGCCTTGTATATAAAATGTTTCTTGCTTACCTCTTTACATCTCCATAAAACAAAAAACTCTTTACTACATTAAGGCCTTTGAAAATTGCTTTTTTGCTCTCTGAAAGAAAAGGTTGTCAAACTTTCACTTTAGAGAGTTTTTCTCCTTATTGATTTTAAATAGCTCTTTGTATTGTATATATATTAATTATGTTTCTAATATATGCTTCAACTATTTTTCCAGTGTGTTCGTTATATTTTCAAAATGCAAACACTTTCTGAAACCTTTTGACCACCAATAGAAAAATGAGAAAAAACAAATATTCTAACCCACAAAACCCATTTGCTAAGGGCAAAGTATTGTCCTTTAAATATATAAATGAGATTAGTAGAAACTCAGCTTAAGACTTCCCAGTGGCTGGCCATCATAATTGGGAAAAAAAAAAGCCTGCTTACAACAGGCCCTAGGAATATAACCCCCTTTATCTCTCTGAATTCTCCTGGTACCAGACTTCCCTGGCTTGTTCCATTCTAGGCACACTGACCATCTCTCCGTTCCGAAAATATCACAAGTTTGTTTCTGCTTCCAAGTCTGACTTTAATGATCCTTACTAGCTTCTTGTCACTTGGATCTCAGCTCAAATGATAGTACCTCAAATAACAACCTGTTTATTTTTCCCAGGGCTTTTAATTTCTTTGTCTAGTTTTCTCCTTGACTGTTGGTCCTCCCACCAGAATAAAGTCATAGTTCTGGGGTTTTGTTTCGTTGACTGATGTAGTTCAAATACATTACTTACACTTGGGGTTTACAATTGTTTCTTGAATAAATGAATTAATTACTGAGAACATGGATTACTGATTAAATTGACGGAATTTCATTGCTTTGTTTTTTGTAAGGTATGAGAGATTTGAGCATTTTCAGTACTGTTGGGAAGCAGCCAATAGTTGAGGACAGGTTCAATATATAGAAGAGAGAAAGTAAAATTGACAGAATAAAAATCTTTGGAACATTTAAAACACAACACTATTCTCTACAGTAACCTACACTTTCTATTTATATAAGCTACTCATACTTGCTTTAAGATGATAATTTTTCAAGCCCTGTGGTAACAATTTCAAGACAACAATTGCGTTTTTGAAATATACTATTCTTGGGAGGAAAAGAACTCAAGAAAAACTGGTGCTTGAAAATGAGGTCAATAAGGAAGACAATTTCAGAATCCTTCACTCGCACTAATATACGTCATTCAGCAAGAGGCAAATGGGACCAAAGCAATAGCACAGGAATACAGAGAAAATTATTTCTTCAATTTACAAGAGCTACAAGATGTAGGCATATTTCTTTTGTTGACTTTCTGTACCTCTCATACTGGAACATTGCAAAAGTCTCTTGACTATGCTATAGCTAAACTACATTTCTTAAAGACCAAAAAATGACCCCAAGATTTCTTCAAGAAACATTTATTGATCTCTGACTCCATTTCATCAACTGTGCCAAGCATTCAAGAGGGATACTTAACAATTTAGCATTATATCAAAAATTGATGCAATGAAATAGAAGGGCTTATTTTTTTTTTAGAAGTTAAAGAAAAGGAACAATGATTTTCATAGCTAGACAATTGCATTAACTTCTCAGATGGTCACCTAATTTCAGTCTTACCTACTCACTTCATAACCCAGAGTTAGCCTTCTCCAAAATAAATTGAATCTTGAATCTAAGTAGCAAACTGACTTCCACCTTCCATTGCCAAAAACATTTCATTGATTCAACAGGATTGATTTCCCATGACCCCAAAGAGTCTTCTTGGTCTGGCTCTTTTCTTTCTCAATTTTATGCAACCCCCCCTCCTAACCATGCAGCTTATGTTCTAGCCATGGTAAACTGCTCATATCATTTGAAATAAACCATGCAATCAAGTCTCTGAGGCTTATCACATGTGGTTCCCATATTCTGATATTCTAGAGTGTGTTTTTAAAAATACTTTTGACTATTCCTACATATTCCTAGACTAATATCTGTATTTTCACCGTAACTCGACGATTTAGTTGGCCTTCCTTTCAGTGATTTCTATAATACTCTGAAACAATCACACTGAAATTACCACATTTTACTGTAACTGTTGATATAATTTCCTAAAGGAGTAACGTATGATGGTGGATTTAAAGATTTTAGAAAAAAACAGACTTAGTTACCAAATGTAGTTTCACTAAGTATTAGATGTGAACCTTTGAGTAAATTATATAGACTTTCTAAGCTTCCATTTCTTTATCTGAATAGTAGAATTAACAATTCCCAAATAATTAATTTGATGCATTAATTTGTCACAGAACATGGCATGTAATAAGGCATTCAGTAACAACTCAGTCTGTTTTGATCCCTGCCCCTTTATTCACCACTGATTTTCAAGCTCCTAGAGAATAGTGCCTCTGTCATATGTTCCTCTGTATTCCAAAGCCTGATATTGTAATATGACAGTTCTCAATGTTATTGAATAGTGGAATCAATTGTGATAACTACAACCATGTAGTGAGGCATGAACATTTTTAGAGTATTGTCATAACAGGTTTCAAACAATATTTACTTCATTATGAAAAATCATGTTTAGTGTTTGAAAATAGAAATTTTATGTTTTTGCCAACTATCAAATAACGTTTCTTATAATTTATTCTAAAATCTTTGATGAATGTTTCCTTCTAAATGACTTTTAAGCTTAAAGAACAAATTATCAGAAAGATAAACATCTTAATTTGAAGGCCAGTAGTTTTCATTTATTGAGTATGCTATAAATGATATAGGAAGTTAGTGAAGATATTATATATGTAATTTTAGAATTAAGTAGTTTCTTCATAATTCTCTGGGAGGTATATGGTTATGCCTATTTCAGAATCTACCTGAAGCAATATTGTCAAAGCAGCACTGTGTAAAGAAAGCCTACTGGTGTTAAGGCAGAAACAGTGTAGTCTATTTCTTAGTGAAGGGTCAAAAAATCTGAGTTCTAGATATGGATTTGTTGTATTCTTGTTCTATGACTCTAAGCAAGTTTCTAAACCTTTTAACAAAAAAAAAATTCTCAACAATGTCTTATTATGGTACTGTCTTATCATTAGACCCAAATGAAAGTAGATGTAGTTTTAATGTTTTAAGAACTATACAAATTTAAAGAAAACTAAATACTAATCAAAGCATAATAATTGAGGAATATCAATGCATTTGTTTATCGAACTATTCTTACAATGGAAACAAGGTAGAAAAAAATATTGTTAATAGCTGTTTTGACTACCCTTGATTTTTTTAAGGTATATTCTGAACAGGCTGGAGAATTTCATTTTCTTGACAGAATAGGTGGTTCTATGTTAAACACAACATGAAGAAAAAATAAATGTACTTAAAAAGAGGTTGTAGAAGGACTAGGCATGGTGGCTTGCGTCTGTAATCCCAACACTTCAGGAGGCAGAGACTGGTGGATTGTTAAGTCCGTGAGTGCAAGACCAGCCTGGAAAACATGGTGAGACCCTGTCACTCCAAACAAACAAACAAACAAACAAAAACAATAGCCATGTGTGGTGGCATGCACCTGTAGTCTCAGCTACTAGGGAGGCTGAAGTGGAAGGATTACTTGAGCCCAGGACGCAAAGCCAAAGGAAACGTACAGGGTGACATAATATAATAAGAGGCCTACATCTATAGGCAGAGATGGAACAAAGTTGTCTGTGAAGGAAGACCACAGAGACACTTCGTTTTCTTCATGCTGATAGCTCTCCATATGAAAAATAATTGGACCCATATGTATCCACCCAATTAATGTACCATTTTACAGTACAATTCTACACATCTTTAATTTCCCATATAAAAATTATTATTGTTGTTGTTTTATATCCCTAGTTTTGTTTTATTTTACCAATATTTTTTGCCAATCTTTAGGCTTAATATATTTCTCTGAATTTCAGCTCTTACTTCATTTCCATATTAACTCTGATTTTTTTTAAATTTTGCATCATTGCTTTTGACAAAGACATTAGATAGATGGTTCCTCACATAAAATTTATTTTAAATGTTTTGACATAATTATAGATTCCCAAGAGACTGCGAAAAACTATGGGCAGGGATGTTTCATGTACCTTCTTACCATTTCCCCAGTACTGTATTCTGTATGATTGAAATGTTTTCTGATGATTTAAAAGTCTTACATCCTAGCTTTTTTAGTTGTCCTTTATTTTACATTTGCACTTTTCAAATCTATTTTTCTAACAAATTTAAAAATTATTCACTCTTCTCTTGTCTTGAACAAAATAAAACCTTTGAATGCAATACCATCTTCTTAATCCCTTTCTTATTTTCTTCATTACAGTCAAACCTGTTAGCTTCTATTTATTTATTTATTTAGAGACAGAGTCTCGTTCTGTCGCCCAGGCTGGAGTGCAGTGGTGTGATCTCAGCTGTGCAACCTCCGCCTCCCAGTTTCAAGCGATTCTCCTGCCTCAGCCTCCCGAGTACCTTGGACTATATGCACGTGCTGCCACCATGCCAGGTGAAATTTTGTATATATATAAATATTTTACATACTTTAAGTTCTATGTACATACACGTGCACAATGTGCAAGTTTGTTACATAGGTACGCATGTGCCATGTTGGTTTGCTGCACCCATCAACTCATCATTTATATTAGGTATTTCTCCTAATGCTATCCCTCCCCCAGCCCCCCACCCCCTGAGAGGCCCCCACACACAGGTGTGTGATGTTCCCTGCCCTGTGTCTAAGTGTTCTCATTGTTCAGTTCCCATCTATGAATGAGAACATGCGGTGTTTGGTTTTCTGTCCTTGTGATAGTTTGCTCAGAATGATGGTTTCTAGCTACATCCATGTCCCTATAAAGGACATGAACTCATCCTTTTTTATAGCTGCATAGTATTCCATGGTGTATATGTGCCACATTTTCTTAATCCAGTCTATCATTGTTGGACATTTGGGTTGGTTCCAAGTCTGCTATTGTGAATAGTGCTGCAATAAACATATGTGTGCATGTGTCTTTATAGTAGCATGATTTATAATCCTTTGAGTATATACCCAGTAATGGGATCACTGGGTCAAATGGTATTTCTAGTTCTACATCCTTGAGGAATCGCCACACTGTCTTCCAAAATGGTTGAACTAATTTACACTCCCACCAACAGTGTAAAAGTGTTCCTATTTCTCCACATCCTCTCCAGCATCTGTTGTTTCCTGACTTTTCAATGATTGCCATTTTAACTGGTGTGAGATGGTATCTCATTGTGGTTTTGATTTGCATCTCTCTGATGACCAGTGATGACAAGCATTTTTTCATGTGTCTATTGGCTGCATAAATGTCTTCTTTTGAGAAGTGTCTCTTCATATCCTTTGCCCACTTTTTGATGGGGTTGTTTTTTTTCTTGTAAATTTAAGTTATTTGTAGATTTTGGATATTAGCCCTTTGTCAGATGAGTAGATTGCAAAAATTTTCTCCCATTCTGTAGGTTGCCTGTTCACTTTGGTGGTAGTTTTTTTTTTTTGCCATGCAGGAGCCCTTTAATTTAATTAGATCCCATTTGTCAATTTTGGCTTTTGTTGCCATTGCTTTTGGTGTTTTGGTCATGAAGTTGTTGCCCATGCCTATGTCCTGAATGGTATTGCCTAGGTTTTCTTCTAGGGCTTTTACGGTTTTAGGTCTAAAATCTAAGTCTTTAATCCACCTTGAATTAATTTTTGTATAAGGTGTAAGGAAGGGATCCAGTTTCAGCTTTCTACATATGGCTAGCCAGTTTTCCCAGCACCATTTAAGAAATAGGGAATCCTTTCCCCATTTCTTGTTTTTATCAGGTTTGTCAAAGATCAGATGGTTGTAGGTGTGTGTTGTTATTTCAGAGGAGTCTTTTCTGTTCCATTGGTCTATATATCTGTTTTGGTACAAGTACCATGCTGTTTTGGTTACTGTAGCCTTGTAGTATAGTTTGAAATCAGGTGGTGTGAAGCCTCAAGCTTTGTTCTTTTTGGTTAGGATTGTCTTGTCAATGCAGGCTCTTTTTTGGTTCCATATAAACTTTAATTTTTTTTTTTCAATTCTGTGAAGAAAGTCATTGGTAGCTTGAAGGGGATGGCATTGAATCTATAAATTACCTCGGGCAGTATGGCTATTTTCATGATATTGATTCTTCCTATCCATGAGCATGGAATGTTCTTCTATTTGTTTGTGTCCTCTTTTATTTCATTGAGCAATGGTTTATATTTCTCCTTGAAGAGATCCTTCACATCCTTGTAAATTGGATTCCTAGGTATTTTATTCTCTTTGTAGCAATTGTGAATAGGAGTTCACTCATGATTTGGCTCCCTGTTTGTCTGTTATTGGTGTATAGGAATGCTTGTGATTTTTGCACATTGATTTTGTATCCTGAGACTTTGCTGAAGTTGCTTATCAGCTTAAGGAGGTTTTGGGCTGAGATGATGGGGTATTCTAAATATACAATCATGTCATCTGCAAACAGGGACAATTTGACTTCCTCTTTTCCTAATTGAATACCCTTTATTTCTTTCTCTTGCCTGATTGCCCTGGCCTGAACTTCCAACACTATGTTGAATAGAAGTGGTGAGAGAGGGCATCCTTGTCTTGTGCTGGTTTTCAAAGGGAATGCTTCCAGTTTTTGCCCATTCAGTATGATATTGGCTGTTGGTCTGTCATAAATAGCTCCTATTATTTTGAGATACATTTCATCAATACCTAGTTTATTGAGAGTTTTTATCTTGAAGGGCTGTTGAATTTTGTCGAAGGCCTTTTCTGCATATATTGAGATAATCATGTGGTTTTTGTCATTGGATCTGTTAATGTGATGGAATACGTTTATTGATTTGCATATTTTGAACCAGCCTTGCATCCCAGGGATGAAGCCAACTTGATTGTGGTGGATAAGCTTTTTGATGTGCTGCTGGATTTGGCTTGCCAGTATTTTATTGAGGATTTTTGCATCAATTATCATCGGGGATATTGGTCTAAAATTCTTTTTTGTTGTGTCTCTGCCCGGCTTTGGTATAGGATGATGCTGACCTCAAAAAGTGAGATAGGGAGGATTCCCTCTTTTTCTATTGATTGAAGTAGTTTCAGAAGGAATGGTACTAGCTCCTCTTTGTACCTCTGGTAGAATTTGGCTGTGAATCCATCTGGTCGTGGACTTTTTTCTTTTTAGGCTATTAATTATTGCCTTAATTTCAGAGCCTTTTATTGGTCTATTTAGAGATTCAACTTCTTCCTGGTTAAGTCTTGGGAGGGTGTATGTGTCGAGGAATTTATCCATTTCTTCCAGATTTTCTAGTTTATTTGTGTAGAGGTGTTTATAGTATTCTTTGCTGGTAGTTTGTATTTCTGTGGGATTGGTGGTGATATCCCCTTTATCATTTTTTATTGCATCTATTTGATTCTTCTCTCTTTTCTTCTTTATTAGTTTTGCTAGTGGTCTATCAATTTTGTTGATCTTTTCAAAAAGCCAGCTCCTGGATTCACTGATTTTTTTAAGGGTTTTTTTGTGTCTCCATCTCCTTCAGTTCTGCTCTGATCTTAGTTATTTCTTGCCTTCTGCTAGCTTTTGAATATTTTTGCTATTGCTTCTCTAGTTCTTTGAATATGATGTTAGGGTGTCAATTTTAGATCTTTCCTGCTTTCTCCTGTGGGCATTTAGTGCTATACATTTCCATCTACACACTGCTTTAAATGTGTCCCAGAGATTCTGGTAAGTTGTGTCTTTGATCTCACTGGTTTCAAAGAACATCTTTATTTAGCCTTCATTTCATTATTTACCCAGTAGTCATTCAGGAGCAGGTTGTTCAGTTTCCATGTAGTTGTGCGGTTTTGAGTGAGTTTCTTAATCCTGAGATGTAATTTGATTGCACTGTGGTCTGAGAGACAGTTTGTTGTGATTTCTGTTCTTTCATGTTTGCTGAGGAGTGCTTTACTTCCAATTATGTAGTCAATTTTAGAATAAGTGCGATGTGGTGCTGAGAAGAATGTATATTCTGTTGATTTGGAGTGGAGAGTTCTGTGGATAGACTAAGGACTTGCTTTATGAATCTGGGTGCTCCTGTGTTGGGTGCATATATATTTAGGATAGTTAGCTCTTCTTGTTAAATTGATCCCTTTACCATTATGTCATGGCCTTGTCTCTTTTGAGCCTTGTTGGTTTAAAGTCTGTTTTATCAGAGACTAGGATTGCAACCCCTGCTTTTTTTTTTTTTTTTTGCTTTACATTTGCTGGGTAGATCTTCCTCCATGCCTTTATTTTGAGCCTATGTGTGTCTCTGCACATGAGATGGGTCTCCTGAATACAGCACACTGATGGGTCTTGATGCTTTATCCAATTTGCCAGTCTGTGTCTTTTCATTGGGGCATTTAGCCCATTTACATTTAAGGTTAATATTGTTATGTGTGAATTTGATCCTGTTATTAAGATGTTAGTTGGTTATTTTGCCCGTTAATTGAAGCAGTTTCTTCATAGCATCGATGGTCTTCACCATTTGGCATGTTTTTGTAGTGGCTGGTACTGGTTGTTCTTTTCCATGTTTTGTGCTTCCTTCAGGAGCTCTTGTAAGGCAGGCCTGGTGGTGACAAAATCTCTCAGCATTTGCTTGTCTGTAAAGGATTTTATTTCTCCTTCATTTATGAAGCTTAGTTTGGCTGGATATGAAATTCTGGGTTGAAAATTCTTTAAGAATCTAGAATATTGGCCCCCTCTCCTCTGGCTTGTAGAGTCTCTGCCAAGAGATCCGCTGTTAGTCTGACGGGCTTCCCTTTGTCGGTAACCTGACGTTTCTCTCTGGCTGCCCTTAACACTTTTTCCTTCATTTCATCCTTGGTGAATCTGACAATTATGTGTCTTGGGGTTGCTCTTCTCAAGGAGTATCTTTGTGGTGTT
Source organism: Homo sapiens (assembly GCF_000001405.40). Taxonomy (NCBI): domain Eukaryota; kingdom Metazoa; phylum Chordata; class Mammalia; order Primates; family Hominidae; genus Homo; species Homo sapiens. The sequence continues at coordinate 73,490,662 of NC_000001.11, forward strand.
CTCTGTATTTCCTGAATTTGCATGTTGGCCTGCCTTGCTAGGTTGGGGAAGTTTTCCTGGACAATATACTGCAGAGTGTTTTCCAACTTGCTTCCATCCTCCCCATCACTTTCAGGCACACCAATCAAACACAGATTTGGCCTTTCCACATAGTCCCATATTTCTTGGAGGCTTTGTTCATTTCTTTTTGCTCTTTTTTCTCTAAACTTGTCTTCTCGCTTTATTTCATTAATTCAATCTTCAATCACTGATATCTTTTCTTCCACTTGATCAAATTGGCTACTGAAGCTTGTGCGTGTGTCACGAAGTTCTTGTGCCATGGTTTTCAGCTCCATCAAGTCATTTAACGTCTTCTTTACACTGTTTATTCTAGTTAGCCATTCGTCTAACCTTTTTTTCAAGGTTTTTAGCTTCCTTGTGATGGGTTAGAACATGCTCCTTTAGCTCGGAGAAGTTTGTTATTACCAACCTTCTGAAGCCTACTTCTGTCAACTCATCAAAGTCATTCTTCGTCCAGCTTTGTTCTGTTGCTGTCGAGGAGCTGCTATCCTTTCAAGGAGAAGAGATGCTCTGGTTTTTAGAATTTTCAGCTTTTCTGCTCTGGTTTCTCCCCATTTCTGTGGTTTTATCTACCTTTGGTGTTTGATGTTGGTGATCTACAGATGGGGTTTTGGTGTGGATGTCCTTTTTGTTGATGTTGATGCTATTCCTTTCTGTTTGTTAGTTTTTCTTCTAACAGCCAGGTCCCTCAGCTGCAGGTCTGTTGGAGTTTGCTGGAGGTCCACTCCAGACCCTGCTTGCCTGGGTATCACCAGTGGAGGCTGCGGAACAACAAATATTGCAGAACAGCAAGTGTTGCTGCCTGAGCCTTCCTCTGGAAGCTTCATCCCAGAGAGGCACCCTCCTATATGGGGTGTCTGTCCGCCCCTACTAGGAGGTCTCTCCCAGTTTGGCTACACGGGGGTCAGGGACCCACTTGAGGAGTTCTCAGAGCTCAAACACCATGCTGGGAGAACTACTGCTCTCTTCAGAGCTGTCACACAGGGACATTTAAGTCTGCAGAAGTTTCTGCTGCCTTTGTTAAGCTATGCCTCGCCCACAGAGGTGGAGTCTGTAGAGGCGGTAGGCCTTGCTGGGCTGCAGTGGGCTCCACCCAGTTTGCGCTTCCCGGCAGTTTTATTTACCTACTCAAGCCTCAGGAATGGTGGACTCCCATCCCCCTGCCCGGCTGCAGCCTCGCAGGTCAATCTCAGACTGCTGCACTAGCAGTGAGCAATGCCCATGGGCATTGGACCCATCGAGCCAGGCACAGAAGAGAATCTCCTGGTCTGTCGGTTGCTAAGACTATGGGAAAAGTGCAATATTTTGACGTGAGTGTCCCATTTTTCCAGGTACAGCCTGTCACGGCTTCCCTTGGCTAGGAAAGGGAAATCCCCTGACCACTTGTGCTTCCCAGGTGAGGCGATGCCCCACCCTGCTTCGGCTCACCCTCCATGGGCTGCACCCACTGTCCAACCAGTCCCAATGAGAAGAACCAGGTACCTCAGTTGGAAAAGCAGAAATCACCCGTCTTCTGCGTCTATCATGCTGGGAGCTGCACACCGGAGCTGTTCCTATTCAGCCATCTTAGACGAAGAGTGTTAGTTTCAAATTATAAAACACATGCATACACAATTGAGTTTATTATTTTTATAATCAAGTGTTAATTGGCTCTAATTATTTATTTGAATTATTTTCCTATGTGCCCCTTTTCATCACATATTGTTTTCTTCTCCTTACTTGTGAGTTTATTTTTCCTACTAGTAAACTACATGCTTTAAAAATGTTTGCATTGAGAACATAATTCTCTTAGCCTTTGTATACTTACAATATTTTAATTTTATTCTCACTCTTAAATAATATGGAGAATTCTAGGTTAACAGTTATTTTCCAATAACAGTCAGAAGATGTAATTTCATTGTCTTTTGGCATCTAGTACTGCTTATGAGAAAATTTTTAGTCAAATTTTGTTCCTTTTAAAAGAAGTAATTTTTTTTGTTTGAAACTCATTATTGCCAATATTTCAGTGTATAAAAATGAAGATTTCTTTCTTCCATCTTTCCTTCCTTTTTTTCCTTCCTTTTCAATTTCCTCTTTCCTCTTCCATTTTCTTTTTTTCTCTTTCTTTCTTTCCTTCTTTTCTTATATCATAATTATTGTTCACAGTGTGCATTCAATTTAAGCATTGTGTCTTCCTTTAGTAATGGGACATTCTCAACCATTATTTTATTTAGTGTTTCTTCTGTGCCTTTCTCTACATTTTCTAATTTGTAATCATCTGAAATTAAAGCTGTAATTTTAGTTTGTTCCTCACGTAACTTATTTTTAAAAAACCTTTATTTCTCTATGTGTGATTCAAGGAGTTCTATAATATAATCTTCCATTGCACTAATTCTCTCCTCTATTGTCTTCAGCATCTATTCTGAAGTAAAATTAATAAATTTTACTTTTATTAATTTAAGTGAATATATTAATTTTAGTGACTATAATTTGCCTTTTTATAACTTATAATTAATTTTTGGTTTTATATATGCCTATTTTATATTAATGCTATGTTAATTAATTTCACATAATACTTTTATTTTTATTGACATAATTTTCATATAGTGAAATGCACAGATCTTAAATGCTACAATCTGTGATGGTTTGACACATACTGAAATTTATACACATCCCTACCATGATGGAGAATATTTCCATCATTCCAGAAAATTCTCTCATGCTTGATCCTACAAAACTAGTAAATGTTCTGATTTTTTCCATGATTTTTGCCTGTTCTAGAACTTTATATAAAAGGAGCCAATTATGTGTATCATCTTTTGCTTTGAATAATGCATTTCACTTAGAATAACTGTTTTCATTCATGTTTTACATGTATCATAAATTTATTAATTTTTATTGCTGAGTGACATTTTATGTTTTATTATATTAGTATCACATATTATGAACATATTTTTAATTCTTTCTCTTGTTCATGGAAATTTGACTTATTCAAGGTTTGAAATATTGGGATATGACTATCCATGAATCACTCATATTTTCATATATCTAGTAATTAATGGTCAACTTGTTTTGGACTGTCCTTTAAAAAATGTTCGTATAAGCACATCCCCATGGAAAATGAGACATTGATTCCACCTGGAACTGATTAATTTACTTTCCAGGGTAACACATATAGAGATATCTCTCTCTTCTTGGAGCAGAGTTACTTACATTGCAGAAAAATAAAGGTAAAATCTCTCTCCAGTGGGGAAGAGGGACAGATTTACTTTCAGCCTCTGTATAAGATCAGGCTCCACTAATCTCAAGGGTTTTCTCCTATAATACATCTTCACTGCATGTGCAGGCAACATCCGTCCCCATCAAATTACCCTGTGGGAATTGGCACTCAAAGAACTGGTGCCAAGATGTTACTCTTGCTGATTGTATTGCTGTAACAAACCATCTTTTCTTCTAACCAAGAGGTCTCATGTCTTTTTTCCAATGTATATGAACGTATGTAAGACTAACTGCCCTTCATTATTCTTTGCACATTTCCTTACTTTGAAAAAAAGACATTCTAGGTTTATCTTTAATTTCCCTGTTTCATTCCTGAACTAACATATTTCTCTAAGATATCCTTATTAGTTTTAGAGGAAACAGCTCCTCCAAATGAAAATTTGGTGCTAGATCCACTTATTGATAGAGAGACATGATTGCTTCTAGAACCTGTCAGCATAACAAGGTAAGAAATACATGTATTTGTATCTCTCTCACTATCTTTCTCACACACACATGCATATACACAAAGAAACACATGCAGGCCTATTTCTATAGCCATCTTTCTAAATAAATCAACCACCTGAGTTCACACTAAATTTCCAATCCCAATTAATCACCATACGGTTTATTCCAGGCTTCATCCCTTTTCTGACCTATAATTTCCAGTAATCAGAAATCTGGTTCTCATTGTCTTAATTTGCTTAATCCCTTGTATATAGTTAAACTCCTAGTCATATAGGCCATTTCTTCAGCCCAACCCAACTATCTCTGGAATTCCCGGCATATTACTTACCTGCAACTAAAAGTATTTAAAATAAAATGAAAAAGATAAAGGAACCTATAACTTATTTTATCTTTTGAAGTTATCTATTTTTCCATTTCTTTTTAGTAAACAGTTTGAATAATATGTGTGTGCATACATGTATGATGGCAAGAACTAAACAAAGTAGTTTTCTTTATTTGCTATGAAATTTTAATGGTATATACATTACAGTGTAAATTTTATTTTCAGTTTTTATTTTTGTAGCTTTTATTTTTATTATCTTTTTTTCCTTCTCTTACTCATCTTTTCATATGTAATGGTTTTGTGCTTGATTCCTCAAAATTTTTAGAATAAAAAGACTTAAATATTAAAAAAATACATAATCTTAGCCAATCTGCAAAAAAGAAGATTTATAAAATATAAATGTATTTCATATGATAATATGAAGCAACAATACTGAAAGTGCTATATAGGTATAGGCACTGCTTGCACAGTAATCTAAGCATTTGTTGTAAAACATTTCAATATTGGTTTGTTATTTTGTTAAAGATATTTATTAATTTCTGTAATAATGTCTTGTTCCATAAGATATATATTTATATTCATTCTTTAAATTAAACATACATAGAGATATATTCATTCTAGGAATTCTATTTTTTTTTTTTTTTTTTTTTTTTGAGGCAGAGTCTCGCTCTGTCGCCCAGGCTGGAGTGCAGTGGCATGATCTCGGCTCACTGCAAGCTCCGCCTCCCAGGTTCAAGCCATTCTCCTACCTCAGCCTCCGGAGTAGCTGGGACTACAGGCACCCGCCACCACGCCTGGCTAATTTTTCCTATTTTTAGTGGAGACGGGGTTTCACCATGTTAGCCAGGATGGTCTCGATCTCCTGACCTCGTGACCCGCCCGCTTCGGCCTCCCAAAGTGCTGGGATTATAGGCGTGAGCCACCGCGCCCGGCCCAGGAATTCTATTTTTTAATTTAAATTTTCTTGGTAATATTTTTTAACATCTGAGTATAGTAGTTCCAATACCTGAAATTGTGTGTATTTGGTTTTATACAAACTACAGCTCTCCTTTATTTATAAACAATTCTGTTTCCTAAATGTTCCAGCTTTTTTTCCCTCACATTCAGAACTATTCCCAAGGTGTCTTCACAATGCTAAGGTAACTTGCTCAAGAGGAGATTGCTCAGCACATTCTGAACCTGAAATGATCAACCTCTCCCTCTTGGGCACTAGGCTCTGGAACTGAGCCCTGATTACTTAAAGAGACCTCTTTTTCCTTCTTCTTTTTTTTCTTTTTTTCAACCAAGAGTTCTTTCCTGGGAAACCTGGCGACCTTTTCTATTGGTTGATCTCAGCAGTATCACTTCATTCCATTACAGAGGCTCTAAAAATATTGAAACCCCAAAATTGCTATGTAAATTTATTTATATTCTCCTTTATCCATTAAAAAAAATCTTGTTATTTTCTTCTCCAAAGGCAATTGGTGTTCACTTGCTTATAATTTATAACAGTAAATAGACTCATTGAGTGATTCTTTGCAAAAATATATTGCAAAATGATTAGATGTCCCCCACTCTTAATAGAGAAATGTATAGCAAAGATTCAATGTTAGCTATTCTCGGAAGGAAGAATGAAAAGGAGAGATGAATAAATATTAACTTATGCCTTACTTAACCCTCACTACTTTAGAAGGAATTATACAGAAAAAATTCAGTGATGTGCACTAAAAATAAAGCGCCTCTAAACAGAAGAAAGAGAACACTCAATTTATTTTCCTTTTTTCCACAAATAATGCCCCATGACCTCACATTTTGTCCCAAATGTGCACAGGACCACCCACACATAAATCTCTTTCTCTCTTTTAGGGATGGTGCCCATGCACCATCCCTAGGTAAGACTTTAGCTGTTGTTCTGGTTAGGTTTTCAGCCAACCAAATGAAAACTAAACAGCAATGAAAAAGTGAAGGTTCATCTAATCTGACAAAAGAAAAGTTATTTTTAGCACAAAAACCATAGAAGAATCTTCAAAGGAAAACTCAGACATTTGACTACATAAAATCAAAAACTCCTATCTCAATAATGTAATATACAAAAAGGCAAAAAAGGGTAATGTTTCCAGATTAACAATATGTTTACAACCTTGATATATAATGACTTCATTAAAATTGGTATTAAAACATAAGATTGTAAAAAGACAAATGACATAGCATGTATAATAAGTTTATATAGAAATATTCAACCTCATTACTAATAAATGCAATTAAAATTTGTTGACACTTTATATAGGCTAAAATGTTACATACATAATTCAATAAAATAATAAATCTATTAAAGCCATTATAATTTATGGAGTACTTACCATCTATGAGTACAAATTAGATGATTTATATTAAAAAGCCAACTAATTTCATGCACCAACCTTATGAGGTAAGCATATTTCCCCACTTTAAAGAAGAAACTATGTCGAGAAATGTCCAAGTCTTCCCAACTGTAAATCTGGTTAATTTCATAGCCTAGCCATACCGCCGCACTAAACCTTTTATAAGCAATTATCATTTTTGCCTATCTAATTAGGAAATGAACATTTTTTAAATGATATTGTCATATGTTAGCTAGTGCTATAAAAGAAGCACTGTCATTAACTGTTGGCCAACTTATACATTGATATACTTCTAGAAACAATTATTCAATCCATATTAAAAGCTATAGACTAATGAAAACACTTTGCTCCAGTGTTTCTTCTTCTAGATATCTATCCTAAAACAAAAGCTGATATGCAGACAAAGATTTATGCAAAATTATATGCATCACCGTACTTTTTGTGTTAAGAAAAAACTGTCAAGACTAAATTAACAATATTGAGTAGGTAAATAAATGATTACATGTCTTGAAAATGAGACACCATAAAAATGCAAAAAAAAATCTTAACAAATATTTAATCATATGTAAATTGACTCCCAGAGTAGTATGAAATGAAATTTTTTGAAAACAGATAGTAAAAATTAGGGCAACCTGCACTGTGCCCAGCTATGCAGCATAGTGTTAACAAGAATGGAAATACTATGATAAGGATGGAAGGAAGAGAGAGAGATTATATAGGCAATACATTCCAATGTGAATCATTTTTCTGTACATTAAGGGAATGCTTCAGAAGAAAATGGGATACTACTACAACAATCTGCTATCTTAATATGTGGTAACATTTGGCTGTATTTTGATAGGTGTTTTATGTTATGTTTATGGTTCATAACCATTGTACTTACATTGTATTTTGACTTTTATATGTTTTAAAATACACAGACATAAATATAAGAAAAGACTTATCAGTGGTTATTACTGAGTGTTAACATTATGGATTAGTTTTATATTCTTCATTACTCTCATCTGCATTTTTCTGAGATTTTACAATGACAATGAATTACTTTTATGTTAAAAATAAAGAGGATAATTTTAAGTAGCTACACCACACAACACAAATGGTTATTTTGAGGGTTAAATAAAACAGTATATAATAATAATCTAGCAAAGAACTCATAACAGATATTCAATAAATAAGTTAATTTTAGTATATTAATTCTAAAATTAGCAAATGCATCCCTTTAAGATTAATCCATGCACAGCTTTTAGCCCTGAAAGTAACTACTGGACACTAAAAATTAGAACTTACAGAATCCTTTATAATTTTTACTTCTTTACCATCATATATCTTATATTCCAAGGATGAAGCGAGAATGAAGAGAATAAGATGAAAACAAGAGCAAGATATTTTCCTACTGCCTTATAATTGTACAATGTTTCAGATGCAGGGATTCTCAAGAGAGGTGAAACTCAAGGAAATGTCATTTACTGCTCTAGTTTTCTCAAACTTTACACAATCCACAAGCATATTGGAACAAAAATGGTGGGGAACGTAAGAGAGAGACTGGAAAAAATGCTCATCAGGTAATTATAATACCCCCGCCTCCCCTCCCTAAAATCAGCTGTTTTGATCTCTTTATTATTCTCCTTCTGCAGTGAATTCATATGGAAGCTACAGAAAACCTTTCTATATGATTTTGAATGAATGGGATGAATTATATTTTATTAAGTTGATCAGAACCATAAATCCAATAATTCCAGATCACTCAGTGATAGTTATTCTTTTGAAAAAAACTTATATTTTGTATCTTTTTGGCATCTTGGTGTTATGTTTACTTGAGAGAGGCAAGTACTAATAGGAATGGGTCTTAGAATACTATATTTGTGATATCTCACTCTTGCACAACTCTTGGAAGGCTTTGTAGGCACAGGCCATTAACAGTGATAATGTTTACCTTCTCTCAGCCTGACACAAATGTACAGAGAGCTGGTGCACAATATTTTAAATTTCTTATCATGGTCACCTTGCAGTTAACTGGCATATTCTTCTGGCTCTCCCTTTCCTAGACCTCTGATCTGTTCCTATAGTCAAAGTTTCTCAAAGTCCTATTTACTAAAAAGGACAATAGCCAGTCCTCACAGTCCATTTCTGAAGGAGGCATCTTTCAGATTTTTCATAACACTTTCTACAAAAGCAATAAAGCCTACCACATGCTCCATCCCCCCAACTCCCACTTTTAATTATTACTTATACTAAATATGTGATGGTCTATTATGGTTAACACAATCTTTACTTTTTTTGATGCCTCCCCATCATCCCTTTAAAACAAGAGTAAAGAGCAGAAGAAAGAAATGGATGAAGTGGATATAAGACCTGTCCTGCTACACAAACAATATTAAGGTAAATCAAATATCCATCTTACAATTCAAAATGACAGTTCTATATTCAACTATTGCACCTCTATAAGTTATTAGAAAACCAGCAGGATGAAACTGTTCCATGTAACAGCATGGTGGTTTCTTTAGAAAATCATTCATTATATAAACCACTTACCAGTTCGTTATAGGACAACTACCTCTGATATATGACAAGTAAACTGTACAAAACAAAGACCTCTCTAACAGGCAGTGAGACCCTATGACTTCTTCTGGATGGCTTTCAAATTTTAGTCTCAACATTAATTCAATGTTGCTTCAATTCCTGTTTCTCAAAACGTTGGCATTTGGCTGGTAATTAAGCTTATCTGGGCTTGCAGGCTTGGCAAACTCGGGAACTTTTGGCACTTTCCTGGTTCTAATTGTCACTGTTGTGAAGAAGAAAGCATTAGCTTAATAAGGAGAACTATGAGTTGCAAAACCAGAGTTAGAGCTTTTCCTTTGGTTGGCAAACCATCACATGTGTGCCAGAAAAGAATATAATAAAAGGTTTGAGGTTGCCAGTGGAGAGGTGGTAGACATAAATCCAAAGGGCCTAGTGAATTGCATGTTTAGCCTTGAAATAACATTTCTATAGAGCACTGCAGAGAGAATGGGAGAATATCAGTCAGCTAGACTGTATAGTATGAGAACACCATCACATAGCTGACTTTTAAAAATAACGCTGCAACCCAAAAAGGCACACATATACTCACAAACATTGCCATGTAGTCAGAAGTTGGAGAACAGCTGTTGTTACAATGCAAGAGTATGCAAATGGGAGAATGGCAGTTTTAATTGCTAAGAGCCCTAAGGGCAAGCTATACTCAGCAATATGAATTAGGTGCTATGGGACAAAGAGAATAACTTCTGCATGGGTAGGCCATCTGCAGTACAATGATCTTGCCAAGAAACATGCAAATCCGAAATTGACATTGCAAAAAAGATACTAGAACCTTGGCATCTCCATTGTTTTCTGAACCATCTTGGGTAAGACAGCTTCCAGGCCAATCTGGTGGCCAAAACAAGCAAAGTAAGTGGATTTCAATCATTCAGTGCTAAGTTCCTAAGTGTGCTCTTGAACTGTGCTACTTACAACTGACTTTACAGAAGGGAAGGAGATAGGCACATTCTGGATGGGAGCAGTGCTACTTGGAACTCTCTTCCTTCCAAGGTGCTTATATGCCTAGGAATATGTATTAGTTTTTCTACTGCTGACACAATAAAGTGTCATAAACTTAGAGGCTTAAAACAACACACACTTTTTATCTTACAGTTCTAGAGGTCAGAAATCCAAAATGGGGTTTAAGGGCTAAATTTATTTTGTCAACATAATTGTGTTCCCTTCAGAGGCATTATGGGAATGCATTTTCTTGCCTTTTCTGGCTGCTAAAGGCCACCTACGTTTCTTGCCTCAAGGCCTCTTCCTCCATCTTCAAAATGCATTACTCCATCTGTCCTTCCACTGTGACTCTCCTGCCTTTCTTTTTCAACATTTCTCCTTACTACATTGGGTCCACCTAGATCGTCCAGAATAAACTCCCTCATCTCAAAATCCTTAAGTTAATCACATACGCAAAGTTACTTTTGCCATGTAAAGCAATATATTCACAGATCCAGAGATTAGGAGGTAAACATCTCTGAGGGCTGTGAAAAAAGGGAAGACAATTATTCTATATGTCATAAGCTATTTGTTTACAGTCATATGTATGTACATCTCTATAGAGAAGGGAGAAATTCAGTTTCAAGAACGTCAGAAAATACAGAAAGGAAAGAAGACACAATCAGAAAGATTGAAAAGGACTCAACACACTTGTAACAATGATGTGCATATATATACACCATTTAGATATGAAAGGAATGTTACCAAACTATTGTAAATGGCATACATATTTTAAATTCTCCTTTATTTGTAGGATCAGATAGAGTGACAACTGCAACTTTTCAGTGAGTCTTCTGTATTAGCAGGACCAATCTACATTTATACACTGAAACTGGCTCACCAGCTGAAATGAGGCTTTGGTGCATACCCTCGAACTTGTGAGCCCCCTTGTAGTCACTTATGATATTAGGTCATATCTGCATAAAAAGTGAATATTAGGTTAAATATTTAAGAATATATTCAATTCCACTCAGTAAGTATTAAGAAAAGGAGCAATGTAGGGTCATGCTCCAGGACAAAGCTGCAAGGAACTGACAAAGAGAATGTCCTCTCTTTCCTTGCTAAGTTCAACTCCCACCATGCACCTTTATTAGTTCCCTGAACAAATTATATTTCATTCACATTTCTCTGCCTTTGCCTTGAGCCATTCTCTCACCCATAATGTATCTCCCCTCTTTTCTCTGTCTATTAAATTCTACGTCGTATTTCAATTCTCAGCTCAAAGGCAGTCTCTGGGAAATTTACTTCCATCTTCTCCAAGTGACATTAATCACTCATATAGTGGAACTACCGTGGAACTCATAGTGCTTTAAGTGGTACCACATTTTAGCCATCTCCATGCCCTATACAGAAGTTCAAGTACTTTTCACATCTCTAATCAATACATGTGAGTTGTATTGAATTGGATTGTTTCATAAAAATAGCTACCTTGAAATAATTTATGCCATTTAATTAAAGGAGGTTCCCATACAAGATAAAAGGGAAAAAAAACAAATTTCTCTAGCATCAGAACAGTGACTCTTAAATATTCACGTGTTTAAAAAGCAGCTGGATGGTTTGTAAAAGCAGATTCCAGATTTCCATTATCAGAGAATGAAAATCGGTGGGACTGAGGTGGATCCCAAGGATTTTCATTTTAATAAGAATCCATCCAGAGATACACTGATCTGAGGAGTCCTGGATTACACTTTGCCATACATTACCTCAAAAAAAAAATGGTAATTCCAATGGACAGATGTACTTGCAGAGAATTATCTCCTCTGTAAGTGTTAAGTAAGACCCTCTTTTAGTGAATAATTTACTTGATCAATGGAGTCCTCCATAGTGATGGGGTAGGGATAATAGGTATGTTGACAAAAAATGCAGTCTTTAAATCCCTAATGCCATCTGGAAAGTAGCATCTGCTGATGAACTTGGGATTTCCTGTCTTGTACCATATGCCATAAAGGCCAGCACAGGGTCTTAAATATATTTCTTTACACAGAACTCTTTGAGAAAAGCAGAATTAACTCCTAAACTGTATACATTTTGAAGAAGACATAGAAAAAAATAGAAGTGAAAAGGAACATCTAGTATGTCCTGTGTTCTACCTAATTTGTATCTAATTACAAATACGATACTTGCACACTGCATGTATCTCCTGTCCTCAGACCAGCAATTTTTTATTGTATTTGACTATTTCTCAGTACCTGAAACTTTAATGAGAATATACTTGTGAGATGGAAGGAAAACGTAAGTTTATAAAATAAATTTACAGATGATGTTCTAATTTCAGAGTATTTTATACTTAATAAAGATCCTACTCATATGTTTTGTAGCATTTAGGCTTACTAATATGTTAAATTACACACACACACAAACACACACACACACACACACATATGCCATATCATTAGTTAATCTTATCTTCAAATTAGACTTTGGCTTATTAGTTAGAGCATGCCTTTCACGGCTCTCTCATTTCTTCCACTCCATAAGGTGTCTCCTTCCATAATTGGCTCACAATTTAATATACCTAGAATTAATATCTAGATTTGATTTTGTTACAGGTATGCTACTTACCACTTCTCTCTACCCACATGCGCATTTTATTGGTGAAATAGTATATCCTAATTTAAACCAAAAAATTAACTGATTTACTGCCAAGGAAATATTTAAAAAATATTACCAAAAGCAACCATAGTGTTCTTGTCGTGTCTTAGCAAACAGTTTTTTTCAGTAGTACTATTCCCTGTGAGTACTATACCTTTTCTTATATTTTCTCTATGCCACTTGGCAGAAATATGAAAGAAATTATTTCCTCATTCAAACCTACTCTTTCAAAACAATCATTTAGGAAACTAAAAAATAACATAAATGTTCAAAACTCTATAGGCATGTATCAACTTATTCTGTAGTTTAGAATATGCCTGATCTGAGGTAGTTCCCACACCCGTGTCTTAATATTGCTGTGCATATACAGAAGTAAAATACTTAATTAGAATTTTTACGAGTATATATGTATACGGGGAAGAGGGAACAGGATAGGGATACAAAATATAAAAAGGATTTGTTCACTGACCTTAAAAGCTTTTTACTGTAAGAGGAAAAAACTACCATGTACATCACAAAGGCAACACAAAGAAGTGCATGTTATGTGCCATTATAATATTCCACGCCCTTTGGAAGAACAGAAGTGAATGGGAAAAGAAAAGGTATGGTAAAATCAAGAAAGACTTCTGGAAAGAAGCAGCAGCATTAGAAATTAAGAACATTGTCTGTGAAGTCTTTCACCAGCGAGGAGTGGGGTTGTGAGGGAGAATATCTGACATATCATTAAGAACATGAAAAAACTAGAAGGCAGGAGGGTACAGAGTAACTTTGAGGAAAACCATAGAATCCATGTTGATGTGTGAAAGGAAATCATTTTTTAGATTGATTCAGAAATGGGGTAAATGAAAAATAGTTATGAACCTCAAATTTTAAGCGAAAGAACTAAGAATATATTCTAAAGTCATTGTAGACCAATGAAAAGTTTCTGAATAGGAAGTGGTGATATAGTTTTGAGAGAATTTTGAACTAGTAAAGAAAAATAGGCCAAGAGATAATTGTGGGACTTCCTCTTCTGGTCAAGATGGAGTAATAGGGTCTGACATCCCACCTGAAGCAATTAAAACATTCAGACAAAATCTATGAAAAAATAACATCAAAGACATTGAAAATTAAACAACAAATATCAATGGTCCATGAGAGGTTGTAAACAAAAGACGTAGACACTATGATTGCTGCAGCTTGTTACCTAGAAAAAATTTCTAGGTAGCCCTCAGTTGAGGGCATGAATCTGAGTCCAGAGAAACCAAGGTGAAAAGAGTTTACTGAGCAGAGTATGGGCAAGGACAAAGATGCATAGAGAAAGAACTCCTGAGATCTGCACAGAATTCCTCTAAGTATTTATTCAAATACTGATTATCTTATGCATATGAGGATATCATCTGAGCCCAGAGGGAAAAAAATGACTTAAAAGGAATACAAGGGACAGTGACTGAAGATCACTTAGCCAGGTAAAGCTCCTGTTCCCAACAGTAAGAGCAGAAAACCTCATAATAAAATAGAGTGCTAACAGAGAGATATTCTCAGTAGCTAGGTAACATTAACCCTAGACTAAATAGTGCTGTACACCTACTGACAACATGTAGTGGGCAGGATCCTAAAATGGTCCCCAAGATTCTTGCCCCGTGATATACACACTCTATATAATCTTGTCCCATTGAGTACGGGTATAATCTGTGGATACAATGGAATTTTATATTCAAATATAGGAGATATGTTCTATAGCAAAGGCGGAAGGATTGTGGAGGTGTAATTAAAGTTTCGAGTTAGTCTTTAAATTAATGAAAAGAAAGATTATTTGGGTTGGGCTTGATTTAATCAAGTGAAAGCCCTCAAAGCGGGGCCTGGGCCTTTTTGGAAGAGAGTGACTTTACTGCTATTTTTTTGAAAAGGTAAGCTGCTGTGCTGTGAGACGGACACATGTCAAGGAATTGAAGAGGCCTCTAAGAGTTAAAAGTGGAACCTGATTGACAGCCAGTCAAATTGAGACTGCAGTCCTACAACTTCAAGCAACTTAATTCTGCCAACAAGCATATGTGCATGTAAGAAGACCACGAGCTCCAGAAAATAATGCAGCCCATCCAAGAATGCAGTCTATCCAAGACTGAGACCTTGAAAAGAAGACCCACCTAAGTGCTGTGTCACCTAATCCACAGAAACTATGAGATAATAAATGTTTGTTAAGTCACTAACATCGTGATAATTTGCTCTGCAGCAATAGAAAACTCCTACACTAACTAAACCTAAAATTAAGACCCAGAAGAATTAAACAGTTCCTAAGTAACTTTGCTATGTCTGAGAATAAAGTTCAAAGATACTTATAAGCATACAAGTCCCAAAATCCAACAAGATGAAGTTTACAATGTCTGACAACCAATGAAAATTACCAGTGATACACAAAACAAGAAAATGAAAAACCATGGTTAAAAAAAAGAGAGACACTGACACAGAAATAACACAAATCATAGAATTAATACACAAATACATTAAAGCAGTTACTAAGGCTGTATTTCTTGTATTAGGAAAACTGGAAGAAGTAACATGGAAAATATAAAAGAGATTTAAACCTAAATTCCAGAGGTAAGAAAAATAATGTGTGACTTGAAAAATACCCTACAAAAAATTGAAGCTACATTAAACATTTCTGGTGACCTACAGGACAATTTCAAAGAGCCAAATATATGAGTTATAAAATTCCAAAAGAGAGATATCCAAAATAATAAAAATTGAAAAAATAATTGCCAACAGTATTTTTAAAATTTGATGAAAACTATAAAGCCATAGATCTAAGAAATTAAATGAATCTCAACTAGAAGAATTTTTTTCAAAAACCAACACCAAAACACATTATTGTAAAACTGCTTAATATCAGCAGTTAAATTGGGAAAACAAACAAAACAATCTACAAAGATCGAGAAGAAAAAGTTACCTTATATATGGAAAAACAAAGATAAGAATGACAGAAGCAGATTTCTTGTCAGACAACACAAGTTAGAAGACAGTAGAGCAACATTTTTAAAGTGCTGAAAGGAAAAAGTAAACTAGCATTCCTATGCATTTAAGCTCTCTTTCTAAAAACAAAAATGTAATAAAAGCTTTTTTACACAAACAAAAGCTTGAAATAATTATTAGCAAACTTGCACTACAATAAATGTTGAGGGAAGTCCTTCTGTGTAAAGGAAAATAACAAACAGAAACTTATTTCTACATAAAGGTACAAAGAGTGTCAGAAATGGTAATGACATAATTAAAACGGCATAAATCTAGAGCATTTTTCTTACTATTTAAATATCTGATGAAGATAATCTTTGACAGTAAAAACAATAATGTGTTATAGGGATTATAATATGCAGATGTAAAATGTATGATAACAATAACATAAATTCTAGGAGAGGAAAAATAAAGGATTTTTCAGATGGCCTTTATACTATATAATAAGTTGTATATTATCATTTGAAAGTACATTATGATGAGTTACCCGTGAATCTTATAACCCCTAAAATAATAAACATGATAAGACAAGAAGTTATAACTAATACAACAAAATATGAAAAAATAATAGTACAAATTACTTAAATAATCCAAAGGTAGGAATAAAAATAGATTTAAAGAGGAATACAGATAAATGGGACAAATAGGACACAAATAGCAAGATGACAGACACAACTAAGGACCTATACTAATAATCATTAAGTGTTATCCGAAAAATATCTAAACATCCCAATTAAATGCAGAGTTTTTTTAACTGGCTACAGAAACACACTGAACTATATGCTGGTTATAAGAGTTTTATATACATATATGCATATATGTATAATAAAGCATTATAAGTATTATAATATATAATGTTTAATGATGTATTATGGGAATTATAATATGTAGAAGTAAAATGTATATATACACATATGTATATGTATGTGTGTATATACGTATATATATATATGTGTATGTGTATGTATGACTCATATATATGTTATATATATCAATATCACATAGAATAAAAGTAAAAAAGATGGAAAGAGGTATACTATACAGTAATCAAAAGAAATATATATAGTCCAAATATGCTATACAGTAATCAAAAGTAATTATAACACTAACCAAAAGAAACATGGAGTAGTTATATCAACATCAGTGGAAACAGATTTCAAAACAAAATATACTTCCAAATATGATGAAGGTTATTTTATCATGACAAAGTGGTCAATTCAGCAAGAGAAAATAAACAATTCTAACTTCTAAATTCTAATTTATCAACCTAACAGGGTTTCAAATGCAAGAAGCAAATAGTGATAGAATTGCAACAAACCAATACAAACTATAGACAGAGAAATAGGCAAATCCAAAATTATAGTCAGAGAGTATAATAACTCCTCTCAAGACTTTATAAAACACAAATAATCAGTAGTGATATAGTAGACATTGGCAACAGTAGTAGCCAACTTGATCTAGTTCACATTTATAGAATACTCCAACCAATAATAGCAGAATACAAATATGTTTTCTACGATACAGTACATTTTAACCAAGATACACCATATTTTCAGCCATATAATATCTCAAAAAATTAAAATGACTCAGATCATACAAAGTATATTCTCTGACCATAATGGAATTATATTGCTGATATATAATATAAAAATTTTTGGAAAATTCCCAAATATTTGAGAATATAATAACATACTTCTCAACCCATCCATCAAATAAGAAAAAAAGTGAATAATGAAAGCATTTTGAGCATAAGGAAAATTAAGGCACAACATATCAATATTTGCAGGATGTGGCTAAAGCAGTATTTAAAGGGAAATTAATAACCCTAAGGTAACTACATTAAAAAATAAGAAAAGACTCAAATCTATTACCTCAGTTCCACCTTGATGTACTTGAAAAAGCAGAGCAAATAAAATACAAAATAAGCAGAAAAAAGAAAATTATAAAGATCAAAATGGGATATCAAAGAAATAGAACACAGGAAAACAATATGAGTTATTCAATCAAACCAAAAACAGGCTGTTTGAGTTTAATAAAAACCAATAACCATCTAAATTGGCTAAACAAGAAAAAAGATAGAGAAGACACAACTTGCCAATATCAGGAGTGAAACAGGTATCATCAAAGATTCCACAGATATTTAAATAATAAAGGAATATTATGAACAATTTTATTCCAATAAATTCAGCAATTTAAATATAATGAACAAACTCCTTAGGAAACTTCTGAAGCTCACTCAAGAAGATAGAAATAAACTAGACAGCCTTAAAGCTATTAAAGAAATTGAATATGTAGTTTAAAATACCTCCACAAGGAAAACACTACTGAGAGAGATTTAAAATCTAAATAAATGGAGAAATATCTCATGCTCATGGATCAAAAGAATGAATATTCTTATGATGTCAGTTCTCCCCAAATTGGTCTATAATTCTTTGACATCTCTATAAAACACTCAGGAGGCCTTTATTTTAAATATTCACAAACTGTTTCTCATGGAATACATACAGAAATGCAAAGGACTGAGAAGAGCCAAACAACTTTGCAAAAGAAAAAAAAAAGTTATAGAATTTACACTTTCTGTCTTAAAGAACCCTCATAAAGGTGCAGGAATCACCTGCAGTATCAATGTCAACTTACATCAGTGAAACAAGTAAAGATTAAATAAGTATGTCCATACACATATATATGTTCAAAGGATTTTCAAAAAAGCTGCAAAGCCCGTTCCAGGAGTCAGCAAACCTTTTGTAACAATCCAGGTAGTAAATATATTAGACTTTTCTATCTATATAGTCTTTGCCACAACTACTCAAATCTGCTGTTGCAGCACATGGGTGGCCATAAAAAATACCTATACGAATGAGAGGGACTATATTACAATAAAACTTTATTTATAAAAACAGGTGCCAGAACGGATTAGACTGGCAGGAGACAGTTTGTCAACCCCTGAGACAGTCGATAAAGAAGAGACAAGTTTTTCCATTAATAGTACTAGAAAAAAATTGTATATCCGTTTGCAAAAAACTAAAATATAATTCATACATCACATTATATGCAAAAAGTATCTCAAAATGGATTAAAAAATTAGATGTAAAACTAAAAAGTATAAATTTCTAAAAGAAAACATAAGGAAAAACATTTGTGATCTTGTTTTAAGCAAATATCTCTGATAGGTAAGACACTAAAATTAAATCCGTAACACAAAAATACAATTGTACTTCAAAAAATTTATGAACTTTTGTCCTTCAAACAGCCTCTTAAAAGAATGGAAGTCAAACACAGATTAGGAAAAAATATTTGTGAATCACCTCTATGGCAGAATACTGTATGCAGAATATGTGTAGAATGCTCAAATCTCAACAATAGTATTAACCCAATTTAAAAAATAATCAAGATTTGAGTGTAGACTTCACCAGAGAAATCATGTAGTTGACAAGTAAGTACTGAATGATGCTCAACATGATTCGCTATTAGAGAAACAAAAATTAAAACCACAAATAGAAAATACTAAACACATATTAACATGTCTAAAAACAAACAAGCAAAAACCATATATACCAACTGTTGGAGAGGTTATAAAATAATGTAAACTCTCATACGCCACTGATAGAAATGTAATGATGATTATTTTGGGACCGGTTGCAATGACTTACGCCTGTAATTCCAGCACTTTGGGAGGTCAAGGCGGGTGGATTGCTTGAGCCCAGGAGTTGAAGACCAGCCTGGGCAACATGGTGAAACCCCATCTCTACAGAAAGTACAAAAATTAGCCAGGCATGGTAGTGCGTGCCTGTAGTCCCAGCTACTCGGGAGACTGAGGCAGGAAAATCATCTAAGTCCAGAAAGTCAAGGCTGCAGTAAGACAATATGGTGCCACTGCAGTCCAGCAGCCTGGGCAGCAGTGTGCGAACCATGTCTCAAAACAACAACAACAACAACAAACGAAAAACACTGCGTAAAAGTATTTGGAATAATCTACAGTGACAGAAACCAGACAGATCATCGACTTCCTGTGAATGCAGAAGGAGGTGAGAAGGATGAAAGGGGGCAATTACGAGGAATCACATAGCAAATTTGGAAATAATGATGTTCTTAATTTTGATTATTGTGATGCATTCACTCATGCATAATATACCAAAAGTTAACTGACTGTGCAGTTTAAACAAGTTCAGTCTATTTTATGTCAGTTACACTGATAAAGCTATTAATTAAGAAAACATTAAAATTTTCAAAACAGGTTTTATATTATACTTTAATTTGGAGTAATACCAAGAGGAATGCCTAAGCAGCTCAATTTTTGTTGTTATTTATGTTACATGCATTTGTAAAATGGGAAACATCTTGCTTTAATCAATTATGTCTCTAGTCTGCTTGAACTCACAGTGATAATTTTAGGCTTAGGCTGGGGAATGTTACTTTAAATAAATTTTCAAGCCATTCTACTGCCTCTATGGTAAGAAAACATTACACATGTAATAATAATTATATTATTTTTAAGCAGTACTTTGTTAATATTTGCAGACTAGTGCAACTTTTAGATAGAGCAAGGACTACTGAAACAAATGTGAGTATGTAATTATATATACCTGGACTACTGTTAACAGTGTTTTCATTTTTTTTTTTTTACCGATGTATTCTACATAATGTAGACATTGATACAGGAGCAAAAAGAACATCATCTAGAACTGACATTGCAAAGAAGGTTTCAAACCTGAAAACATAATTGTTAAAAGGAAATATGTCACAAATGCATAATATTAAACTGCCAAAATAAAAACAACCACCATTGCAGCAATTTCTTACAAAACTAAGCATGTACTTATCATATGACCCATAAGTTACACTCTTTGACATTTACTCTACATGATTAAAAACTTCTATTTAAACAAACATCTCTACACAAATGTTCATAGCAGCTTAATTGTAGTAGCAGAATCCTGGAAACAACCAACACATCCTTCAATGGATGCATGGTTGAACAAAGCCTGGGATACTCACACAATGGAATGCTACATAGCAATACAAAGGAATGCATTGCTGATGCATGCAATAGCTTGAGTGAACTCAAGAACATTAAGTTTAGTGAAAAAAAGTCAATCTTGCAAGTTTATGCACTGATGATTCCATTTATATAATGTTCTTGAAATGAAAAAAACTGTAGAGATGAAGAACAAATTACTGGTTGCTAGAAGACAGGGACAGGGGCTGGGGGATGGGTGCAAATACAAAGATATACCTCTGGGAATTGTTCTGTGGAGATGAACAGTTCTACATCTTGATTGCAATGATGGTTCTACAAATTTATACATGGAATAAAACTGCACAGACCTGCATACACACATACAAGTGGATGAATGTAAATGCCTTTTTAAAGGTGAAAACTAAATTAGGTTCACTGTTCAGTCAACAGTAATGTACCAAAGTCAATTTCCTAGTTTTGTTGTATTATACCTACATAAGGTATCACCACTGAAAGAAGTTGGGTATACATGAGACTATTCTTATTTTTAAAACTTCCTGTGAATCTCTAATCAAATTAAAAAATTCTTTAAATATTGCATGGGATATTTAATTGTAGATCTTCTTGATTTCCATCTTTTATTTTACATTTTTTAAACATAATGGTTGAAACCATGCTATTATAATATGCTTTGCTGATGTTGGTTTTTGATTTATGGAAGGTAGTGCATATTTTTGGTGTGGAGTAATTGACTACTGCTACATCTGCAGAAACTAAATTGTTCCCAGAAATAATGTTCCCAATCCAGCAAATATTACTTAGATTATGTCTACTAACTGCCAAATTATAATTTAAAATCTAATCACACTGGTTTATTATCTTTCAATACTTAGCTTGAGGACAACTTTCTGTATAAAAACTGTCATCCTCACCAGAATCCCACCTCAAATGCCACAGGCAATCTATCAGATTGCTGATGTAAAAATGAGTATTCCTTCTTTCATGGCTCTATGATGCCTTATATATTCCTCAATCGTGGTATGTTATCTAAAGTTATTTGATAGACATCCCTTGCTATCGAGATACCGCATTATTATTTTTTGACTTATTTGCCTATTCCTCGGACTCTTCCTGATTTCTTAATAAGGGAATCTTCCATAACTTTGATTCATCTGTGTTCCAATCCTCTTCCCATTAATAAACTGATATTATGTGCCCAATCTAAAATACTTGGAGTTATTTTAGATCTCTCTCTCTCTAGATCATACATATTTAGACAATCAATGAATCTTTTGTTTCTCTCTCTTAAATATTTTTTACTCTAATATTTACTCAGATGGTTCAGTTTGTCCTCATCCATTGTTATCAGAATTTGATAGTCTGTCTCCAGTCTTGCCCTCTCTTACCCACCATTTACACCATCTTTCTGATTTGTAAAAATAGTCATGTCACTTGTTTTCTCTGCTTGTTTGTTTGTTTTCTGCTTTTTCATCCCCAAGGCTATTTCTTTGGTTCTGAATTTTCACTCAGGTTGTATACCTGTATCACCAACTTAAGGAGAAGCCCCTCATCAGAATGAGAATACAACTGAGGCTTCCTAAATGTCATAAGAGAAATTCAGCTTTTCTACCTGAATGTTTAGAACCTAAAACATATGGATAACTTTAATCAATAGCTCAGAATACCATAACTCTAAGCTATAGTGAAACCATGTGCAACTCAATTGAATGACCCAGCACTAGCTAACAGCTCAGCTGAGAATCTAATAGCTGAGAGAAAGAAGCATGTTCTGTAAACTCTATCCCAGTGTTAAGTTAAATCCCACATGCAATGTACTTGGTGTACATTGGCTTAACTTCTCTGCAGAAATACCATCACTGAATTACGATGTTATGTTATGGACGCAGATTTTCTTTTAATAGGGAAGCAATTTATATTATATTCATAGAGGGTAAGATATTAAAATTAATATTATTAATTAAATGTTTTCTTATTATTCAAAGTATGATAGCTGAAAAAGGCATGCATTGCTCAACTCGGATAATGGTCAAAAGGTCAATTCATCTCCAAGTAGAGCCCTGGAGAAATAATGTTATAAGGCAAAATTGTTTTAACCCAAAGCATATTTTAGAATAAAATAATTCTCTAAGGCAGAAAATTAAAAGTATATTTAGAAATAAACTAAGACTAAATTTGACATTTATTTTCTCGATATAAAAATCCTGAAATAAAAAGAGTGTAAGTTTGTTCTTTGTTTTCGTAATCTAGGGCTATTTTTGGAAACAATATGAGGAGGAGTATTTCAAAATAATAGTCATTTTGAATTATTAATAGGAAGGTGCATTATTGTGTAACCTTAATATTACTGCATTGGTCAATTTATCAAATTACATTGCTGTGTTTTGTCAAAAAAGAAAAGGTTATATATGAACTATGAATATTTCAGGTAGTAGGTACTCAAATCATGAGTTTTATTCATTTCTTAATAAGTAAAGGAAACATATCCCAGCTGTAATTGTCTATCCTCCTAAACAGTTAATTGATTCAGGTGTCTGTGATCCTTTTAAAACAATTTTTAATTGATACTCTTCTACCTAAAGTATGTTTAAGTATCTTGCAAGAATCAGTTCCTTTTTTATTTTATTTTATTATTTTTCTTTTGAAGAATAGGTGTTATAAATTTTAAGAATAATACCACATCTGTAAAATCAATATTTGGCTCTGCTACTGTCATAAACTTAAAACTTCCAAAACTAAAATAATTATCTTAATTGAAAAATAACTCATTTACCCAGCTTCCCTTTTTCATTAATAGTTTCATTTGTTTTTTTTTTTTAAGAATCTAGGATCATCCCTTTTGCTTTCAGTATCCAACCAAACATCATCCTTTACTATTGACACCATGAAATGTTTGCTATGTATTCCCTCTCAAGTTAACATCCACCACTCTGTCCAGGTTTAATTATTTGTGGATTTCTGCTAAAATCTCCCACCAAATCTCTATGCCTTTAGGGATGTACTTTATTTCAAGTTCATTGTACTGCTGTTGCCATAGTCCCTACCCTAAAATTTTGCTTTAATCATATACTGTTTCCAGAATTTTCCCAGCAAAGTCCATACTAGCTATTGAACTTAGTTTTTCAACCATTTTCTAACAATAGCTTTACTTTAGCCAGATCAGTTGTTGCCAAAATAGGACATTTTCCTTTCAATTTCAGAAATATATGTCTTGGGTAGTTTCTTATGCTATTTTAATTCAATGAGACTTTTTTAGAAAAGAAGATGTTTATGAAAAAGCAAGGTTCAAGGGTGGGGAGAAGATAATGGAAGAAATGATGAGTGTGTTATAAGGATGTCACTTGCGTACTTTATTTAGTAAACAGTTTCATGGTCCCATTTCTTTTGGGGACAGAAAATACATTTGATTATTAATATATCTCTTGTAGTAAATGATTGCCTTAAAATGTGAAATTCCATATCCTATTTCCTAATTTTTACTATATTTCCCATACTTTTCCCAACAGCAAGTCTTATTTTATTCTCACATGTCTTTTCCCCAGCCAAATCCATCTATAAGTCTCAGAGGAATTGCTATACCCAATATTTCAGAGTTGAAATTAGCTTTTTCCTGTCAATTTCTACAGAATTCTATTAAAAACTTGATAAAATAATATTTTATTTATGAAATAAAAACATGATATTTTATTTTAATTCCTTCATGTTTATATTTAAAAGTGACATATCTTGAAGATAAAATATATGATGGATAAATATTTGTAACTCTTACAGTTTGACATAGTGCTGTGCACATTAAGATTCACTAAATATAAGGTGGATGATGAGTGAATAAATTATTGTACTAATACAATAGCCTCTAAGTTTTGATATTTTGTTAGTTTCATACCTAAGTCTTTATATAATCAAAATACTGTCTATTAGAATGATCTATTGCTCTAATTTATTTTAAATGTACTGCATAGGATTTGTTTTAATGGTACACCAGCTACTTGGTAAATATACATTTTCCTGGTAAAGACAAGGGAATGAAACCACAACAAGATTAAAAATGTGTCCAAAATCATAGAGTTATTAGGTATTGTAGCTGAGATTCCCCAGCAATGGAACTTGTTCCACTGCATTAGTTTGCTCTTCTTGTGCAAAATATGTACTCATTACTACCACAGAAATCATTTTAAAACATAGAATATAAACACTACTGGGGTATACATAAAAGTTTTTGGATTAAGCAAAGAAATTTCCATTTGAGTAACTATACAAACACTATATAGTATAAATTTGACATACATATTCATAAAATATATATGTAAAATGTAAATGCTGATTTAATTAGTTTTTATACTGCTTTTTTCAGTAAATTTTTATTCAGTAATCACACCATCCAAATGATACTGTGTGACATGTACTTCTATTTTTTTACAATTCAAAAATCTGTGCCCAATGCAAAATTGTCTTGCAGCACAAAAGTATGGAAATCCAATATTTTATATGCATGATGCACAAACAGCCATAGTAATTAAAACAATTGGCAAAGATAATACCAGGGTCAGATAACAGAAGGAAAATGAATCATGACTGACTTCATGATTATTTTATAAAATACATTATTAAATAATTGAGATGTTTATAGCCATCCATATTATTTTTAAGTTATTTTTATTAATTCATACAATTTTCAACAAACATGATTTGAGTACCTACTACCTGAAATATTCATAGTTCATATATAACCTTTCCTTTTTTGACAAAACACAGGAATGTAATTTGATAAATTGACCAATGCAGTAATATTAAGGTTACACAATAATGCACCTTCCTATTAATAATTCAAAATGACTATTATTTTGAAATACTCCTCCTCATGTTGTTTCCAGAAATAGCCCTAGATTACGAAAACAAACAACAAACTTACACTCTTTTTATTTCAGGATTTTTATATCAAGAAAATAAATGTCAAATTTAGTCTTAGTTTATTTCTAAATATACTTTTAATTTTCTGTCATAGTTCTGAGAAATCCAGATATTTTTACTCATAATCTATTGTAAGGTCTTTCATTCTCCATAATCATGCTCAGAGTGAATACCCTCTCAATTGTTAGTTGACAGGGAAGGAAAACAGAACTTGGGCATTAACATTGGCCAAACTGAGCTCCAACTCCATTTCTTCAACTCAATGGCTGTAGGACCTTGGGCAAGTTAATTGCTCTCAGCTGGGCTTCAATGTCCTTATCTGTAAAGTATAAATATTTATGTACAGAGCTGTTACTATATATCTGAATAATTTACGTGTATATAAATGTATGAAAATCATAGATAATAAGAGTATTTCATACAGTTGTTGCAAGGAGTGCATGAAAAAAGCATGTAAGGAAGTTAACAGAGTTCCAGGAACAGTAGAATTTAAACAATTGCAGCTCTTATTGTCCCTTATTTTCACTTCCTCCTTATTTGACAACTTATATTTTGCTTCCTGTTTCATGTAATTTCTTCATCATTAACAGTACACATTATGCTGTACTTGGTAAGAAGTCAGAAGTTGATATTGCTTTCTATTCTTTTCATGTTTATGCATTAATTATGAACTTTGACTCTTTTAAAATATTTAAAAATAAAGTTGTTAATTTCACAAATACAGTCTCTCAGAAATATATCCAGTATTGGATCATGGTGTGTTATATTGTGTTTTTAAAATATAAGTTATTAATTATGTACTAGAAGGAGATGAATAAATTTGCCATTTTAAGAAATTAAGATGTTGACATTTTCAATCATTACTGTAAATATAGAATTGGGTTAGATCAATTAGGAAAACAATTTATCACATAAAATAAATTGCTTCTCAATGTGACCTATAGAATTTGAGGAAAATATGCCTAAAAGAGTAATAAGAGTCATTTCTATTTTTTCAGACCCATACAATTCTAAAAGTAAACACAAAAAAAACACAAGTTTTTTTAATAATCAAACAATAATCGTTAAAGATTAAAGGCTTAATAAAAGAGAGGACTATTTTACTGAACTTATATGAGTTTTCTTATATACATTTAATAAAAGAAAGGAAATTAGTCGTTTTTATTTTCAGACTTTAAATAACATTTTCTCACTTTGATCTAAATGTGTTCCGAGGAATATCTTTTTAAATTCATATTTCAAAGGGATGTTTTCTAGCCAGTTGGTGCCAGCATTATAAAAAATCATTACAGCCAGTGCCTTTAGAGAAATGAGTGGCTGCCTTTTCATTCATTAAGCTGAAAAAAAATCCTACAAAAAATTATATGCATTAAAGCTGCATAAATGATAATACGGTAATCCTAGCTCTAATTCTGACATGAGCTGTTAAGAAGAAACCATATGTTATGTTCATAAATGTATTAAATACACACAAATGTGTCTCACTTATGTAAGATTTCTAAATTATAATTTTTAGATTATGAATAGAGTGCTGATCAGAATCTAAAAAATGAAATTCCAGCAATATGCATATTCTGCGATATCTTTAGTATTCCAGTGTGAGTAAGCAACAAACAACCAGTTTGCCATGTGCCCTTTATATCTGAAAGGCCACCTGCCAGCTCATTCCCATTTTCCCCTCAATGGGTTATCAGATGAATATAAATTAGTACAGTTAGGAGATTTTCAATGGGAGCTGCATTTTCTACTCCATTGTAAAATGGGTCAGATGGCAGCACTTACTTCGATACTGTCATTCAGATCCAAACTCATGAAGTGCAACTTGCAAACCATTGTCCCTCAAATGATTATTGTAGGCAGTCGAGGTAGCATGACAGTGATTGAGTGTCAATTAGTTCAGTCCAAAAGCAACCAATCCAAATTGTTAGGGATTTTTAAAATAAAGCATGTGTTCCCAATTCCCTTTAATACCCAATTGGC
The DNA here is from genome assembly GCF_000001405.40 of Homo sapiens. Lineage (NCBI taxonomy): Eukaryota > Metazoa > Chordata > Mammalia > Primates > Hominidae > Homo > Homo sapiens. The sequence goes on from NC_000001.11 coordinate 73,518,110, forward strand.
AGCAAGTCACTGGCAAAATCTGCTGCACAGGGCAAGTTGTTAATGTGTCTTTCTCAAAGGTAACAAACAGATGTGAATAGAGCTCGTCTAAAAGGAAAGCATGCTGTATACTGTTACATTAGTTAAACTCTTAACAGGACTGGAAAAATATGCAGATAAATAAACAGTTGTGATGGTTATGACAACTGCTGACTTTAAAATAACATGGAAGAATTAAGATTTATCTCCTGAAATTGCATCAACTGTTAAGAACATTTTTAATTTAAATACTTATAATTATATAAATGTTGCTTTAAATGTCATAAATCCTTGTGTATTTTCTTGTGTCTGTTGTTTTCTTACTCAGGTAAGAACATGGACTTAATTTAAATCTACAAAATTATTTTAACATTTATTTTAAAAGAATATACAAACTATTCTAAATTAAAAGTTCAGAAAATACCAAGCATTTGGCAAGGATATGAAGAAATAGAAACTCTACTACTATGTTCATGGGACTATAAAGTAGGACAATGTCTTACTGCTGTTGTGTAAAACTAAACACACTGCAAACAGTGCAACCTGGCAATTCCACTCTCAAAATACCATAAAACAATGTGTGCATGTAAACATCAAGACACATGTACAAACTTTTTCATATCAAGATTGTTAATACAAGTTTAAAATTGAAAGAAAAAAATCCCAAAGCTTCACAATAATATAATAAATATATTGTTCTGCATTCATTTAATAGATACATTGATATAATAAAGCAATGAAAATATGTTACAATAGCTAATTATACCAACATGGGTATATCTTAAAAATTGACACAAATATATTTAATAATTATATAAACCTAAAATATCCAAAAATATTTCCACCTCCACCTAACATAAGTTACTTGGTATCTAGAGTGGTGTAGGTTAGCCCTCATAGTAAACAATAACAAGGTGAACAAATATATGATTATAGTTTTCAGATATTGGACAACAGCCAGCATAGACTGTTAATCCAGAGACTAGAGGAACCCAAGAGTTGAGTCCCATAGTCACTCAGCTGTGTGCCTGGATGTCAGAAATTCTATGCCTGACTACGGTGTAGAATTCAATTAGAATAGAGGGATTCTGTTGAGACTAGGAGGCAGAGACCAGAGTAAAGGAAAGTTCGAGTTGCTAGAAGAGACAGGGGAGGGCACTAGAGAAGAAAATCCTCACAGGGAAGGTGTCAAAAATGTAAATGGGAGTTGAAAAAGTCTCATTGACCAAACGCTAATCAGGTTCTTCAAGGTGCTGTAGGCTGCAACATTGGTGTCTATCTCATCTGGCACGCATCAATCAGTTTTAGCAAGAATCTTCCTGAGTCAGTTTAGTGAAAATCTTTCACCCTTGGTATCTGATCACCCTGGGTATTCCAACAAATTCCACATCCCCAACCATTCTCCAGACAATATCTAATCACCCTGCACTGCCTTAAGAATCCTGTCAAGTTGGTTTAGCAAGAATATTTCATATCCTTGATGTTTCCTCTTAGTAACTGTCCATCCCCTGAAAACCACATCATGCTCCTTGGCTACAAATCCTCACATTTCCATGATGGATTTGGAATTGAACCTTGTTCTATACTAACGTCTCTTTTCCTCTTTTGTAATAGTTTTGAATACAATATTTTTACCGTTCCAATTATTTTCCAATTCTGGTTTTCTTTAACAGAAGTTTCCTTCAAGTCCCTGGCTATTATCTGGGTTATGCTTACAAAAGTCTTACTAGAAGTGGCTGATAAAGCAGCTTCTGTCTGCTTGAGAAAGAAAGAGTGACACTTGAGGTAAGACAGCACTGACGATGTTAGAGGTACAACACAACCACAGTGGAGACTTCATTAATACCTTGTTTGCAACACTCCTTCCATCCAGTTGATATACTAGCAATTCCTCAACTTAAAGGTAAGGACCACAACCAGGAGGAAAATCTACCCTAGGCCCACCCTAAGCAAGTCTAAAACCAAACCCAGACAACATCCTAAGAAAAAAAGAAAGCATTTCATGGTTGGACCTAGTTAATTTATGAGAACCATGGAAACACCTTAGACATTCCAAAGATCTTCCCTAACAAAACATAAAACCATAACGGAACACAAAACTTTGATATATGTGATCAAATGGTGATTGATCTGCCTACAGGAATAAAAATCAATAATCTTTAAAATAAGATAACAGAATTGAATCCTTTACAACATATCAACAATAGCCATATGCCAAAAAAAAAAACAAAATTACCAGACATAGAAAACTAATAAAACACAACAGGAAAATATTGCCCAAAGAAGGAAAAAGGTAGTTAATAGCAAAGAATCTCTAGATTTCTCAGAGGCTGGATTTAATAGCCAAGTACTTTAAAGATGCTATTATAAATATTTTCAAATAACAAAAAATAAACTAAAGGAAACATTAATGGGCTAATAGTTCAGGTAACCTCAACAGATAAATGGAAATTTTAAAAATTAAAATGAATATTCTAAAACTGAAATGTAACATATATTTTTAAATGTATTAAATGTATGAACCAGCAGATTGTGGATAACAAAGAAAAAAATCAGTGAATATGAAGGCAGATTACTAGTAATAATTCTATCTGAAGAAAAGAGAAAAAAGATTATAGAAAATGAACAGAAAGATACAGGGACTTGTGGAGGAATATCAAACAATCTAACATACCTATATGGGTCAAAGATGCAAAAAAAAAAGAGATTGGGGATAAGCATATATGAAATGCAAAGTTTTGAAATTTGTTGAAAACTATTGATTAACAAACGGAGAAAGATGAGAGAACCCCAAATAGAAAAGTCTTTTCCCTGACACATAGGCTGGAACTCTAAGCTCAGCTGGTCTCTGACTCCAGAAAAACTCTCAAGAAGGTAATAAGATCAGGGACACCTATGCATTCTCCTGCTGACCTTTGGCCTCTGTAAATTCTTTAAAAAAGTCTCTTTCCAAGTATTTGTATGTGATTCAGATGACATCCATCTGGCATGAAAGGATAAGACCTAGAAGGGATCTACTTTGTACAATATTCCCAAATATCACACACAGAGTTTTGATTTGTGTAGTACAAAGGGTCAAGTAAGTGTAAAGAAAAATGTATAGAGTCTACATGAAGGATAATTACTGATGTTGAGCAATAAAGAGAAACACTAGGTTCCTGCCTGGAATTTCTTACAATTGAGTTGAAAATGGAAGGCATATATACCTTCAACGTCTGTTGTAGAGGCCTCAAAACATGGTTTGAAGGGAAAAAAAAAGTATGTAGAAAACAATGAGCAAAAGAGTTAAAGTATCTGAACTATGAATAACTTTATCTCTTGTAAACTTCCTCCTGGGGGATAAACTGGGAAAGCGATAGTAATTTGAGTGAAGTGAAGCAATCAAAAAAGACTATGGCCTGTAGGCTAAATCCAGCCCACTGCCTATTTTTGTAAATAAAGTTTTATTTCCTCATTAGTTTACATTTGTCTGTGGCAACACTCATTAGTTTACATTTGTCTGTGGCTCCCTTCCTGTTCAGGCTCACTTCTAAACCCCCATGTTAGAAGGTGACTCTGTCTCTTCCTCAGGAACTGTAAAGAGAAAGATATGAATTTTAAGGCCAAACTAGCAAGAGGATTTCCTCAGGGCCTATAAAGAAAAAGATATGATTTATAAGGCCAAGCTAGCAGGAGAATCCCATCAAGGAGATGTAATTTAGTTTGGCCTCCACTGGGCTGGTCCTGGTTCTGGTCTGCAGCTTCCATCCAGAGCCCAGACAAAAGTTCTTTACCCTATGTTTGCCTAGTTAACAGTATTATGGAATTTGCCTTCTCAAAACAGCCTGCAAAGCTGGGTTAAGTGCCTTCGTTATAGTGATTGGCTTATTGCTACCTGCTGTAACAAATAAATCCAAAAATTGTATACAAAAATAAAAATAAACAAAAACCTGACTCATCTGTAGTAGAACTGAGTAGTTGGAACAGAGACCGTATGGACCACAATACCTACAGTACTTACTATCTGTCTCCTTACAGAAGTTTTCTCAACCCTGTTACAAGTTCTCAAATACTAAAAAGACATAGAATAAGGAAGAAGCAGCACAATGATCTCTATAAATTTCTTTCTATGAAGAAAATGAAAATAAAAATTTCTTAGTTAATGGAAAAAAAAACTGGCAATAGAAAACAATAAGAAATGACTTAAAAAATAGAAGAGAGAAGAAAAGGCGATGGAGAACCTTGAAATTCAGAAGACATGATACCCGATTTTACAAGACTGCAGAATACATTGTCACTTATTCTTTATAAACCCGGTAAAATTTTTTAGTGAAAATGTTTTTCAAGTGGTGGAAAAAACTATTTTACCTATGGTAACATTCATATTGTCAGTTATTCTCCTCATTTATGATTAAAAACAGAGGAACTTTATATTATTTTTTCGTAATCTTTCTTTTTCATTTACAACATAAAATAAATTACTAGTCTACATGCTCAAAGGCCTAAATGTAATTACAGTGGGTCACATTAATTCATGCTCTAAATATATTTTGCAGAATTTTACATATTCTAATACTTTGTCATAGTTGCATATGGATTTATCTTCATTGCAAAATATAGTCATATCATGTATAAAATCCCATCTATTCTGAAATAGAACATATGTTCTATAAGTTGGTAAAACTGTATTAATCGAGAAAAACATTAAGGAGAAGTGAAATAAAACAAATTAAGAAAAACTGAAATTTTCTTAAACAACCACAGTATTGCGTAGTCCGACAAATCATTTTTCAGTTATTCCATTTTATGCCACATTTATTGTGAAAATGATAAAAAGTAGACTACTTACTTTTACAGGTATTTGGGACACCAAATTCTCGAAGCTTTGAATTTAATACTAAAACAAGTTATTTATATACTTTGTGAGTGGAATTTTAAGTGCTTAAACACGTGAATATAGTTCCCACACAGCATTCTTAGTGACAGAAAGAGCTATAATAGACAGTCTCTTAGTTTGTTTCCTGCCAATGAACTTTGCCTAAAATACTAATTTTTTTAATACTAGAGTTGAATTTTTTCCTCTAATGCAAAACTGAGAACTTCAAACTAAATATCACTTTCCAGCAGCATTTTTCAGTAGGCTAATCCTTCTGCTACATTCACAGTCTTGCTCAAGACTGGCATGGGGTCTATAAGTCTGTCTTTGATAAGTCCTGAGAACAGAAATCATATCTCAGAGATTCTGCTGAATGTACAATCAGTAAGTGACTTCCACCTCGGTGGCATCTACCCAAATTTTATACGTGTTTGCTTAGCACTTGCAGACAATGACTGACCAGGGAAAGTGACATGACTGAAAATAAGTATAACATTTTAGTTAAAAGTGTTTGAAATCTGTATCTTTACTAATGCGGTTTTCTCAGTCATTGTAACAAGTTTTGGCATCAGCAAATCAAGTTCATATATATTTCTTGAGATCTGAAAAGAAAAAAAAAATCTTAAATCCTTACATGCTAGTTGGCAACGTGTTGTGCTGGAGGCAAGAGCCAATATGTTTCTAGATTGTATATTTTAAAGCAGCATGTTATGAAGTATTGAAGATAAGTTCAACATGAACAATGAACACAAGAAGGGCATTAAAAAGCCCAAAGGTGTCTTTCTCTTCTTTTTCCTCTACATACTTTAATGAGCAAAATTTGGTTATGTTAACCTTTCCTTCTGGAGTGATCATTCACCTTTTAATGATGTTTGTATTTCTCTAAATTCCCTCTGGTGAATGTATGTTTTTCCTCCATATTGACATGACCTTTAATATGGTTTTACTACTGTGTGCATTCTACAATAACTATGCTGTCTTTTGAATAAAATGTTCTCCCTAACTCTGGAGCATATTTTTTGGAGCTTATAATGTTCAGTGTGGGCCCATGTGCGCTGTTATTAGGTAGTCAACCTACTCTTCCGTCTCATTCTGGAATGTAAGTAGAAAAATTAAAGCTAATGAGTATCTGTTATTTTTTGCAGACATCAGTCAGTGAGTTCCCAATATTACAGTGACAGTTATGTGGAAATCTAAGCTAAGCTCCTCTATTCTCTGTCACTGCCCTTTAACACCACCAGCACCAGCACCACCATCCCCTCACCACTAGCACCCTCATCACTTCCACCATCACCTCAAAACCACGACCACTACCATGATCGTAACCACCATCAGCATCACCATCACCATCACCACACTGTCAGCATGTAGACAGCATATAATGTCTCTCAGGATTTGGAAAAAAAACAGTCCTCACATCCACAATCAAATAAAGTAGCTTCAGAGCTAATTATCCAACATCCAACGGAACTAAGAAAGGGAAAGTTCTTTGCAATTCTTGTGGAAAAGTATATTTATCATGAGGCATTCAGAGAAAAGTAATAAAATACATCAAAAGTAAATGAAGCTGGCTAACAAATTATCTTAAAAAGACAATTTTATTTCATTACATCTCAGTCTTTTCCAAAACATGCAAGTGCAAGCAGGTATTTGATTAAAACTGTTTATACAATTTTTAATTTAAATTATCATTAAATAATTTAGATTAAAATCATTTAAACCATTAAAACCATTTAGGACTTAAACACATTCTGAAATTCAATTCAGCTTGGGGTTCATTTATGTTTATATTAATTAATGTTTCATAACATTAATTTAGGGATGGAGTTCAATTATCTGACTAAAAGGAAAAAAGATGATTTCAAAGTGAAAATCAATGTTCCACATTTAAAAGAAAGGTGTTTTTTTTAATCACCACAGTTGACAAATAATCATAAAAAGGAAGAAATTATGTCATCCTACTAGCTCTCTGACATACTATTCTAACTAAAAATTCTGCAGACCTGATAGAATGACATAATAATACATATTTACTGCATAGTAAAGAACAATTCTGTTTGTTGATAAAATTCCAGGAGATTTTAATCAGTTGACTCAGAGCTATATGTAAACATATGTAATCATGGATCTTTATGAAAATAAAAATTATCTTCCAGTTTAGTAAAATATGAAAAATAAGGATCCTTGGGCAAATAGGGGGTATTTTCTGGCATTTTAGGTATAGTTTCAAAATTCCTGAAGATAATTTAAAAATCTCCACGTATCATTGTCATACAGCTTGAATCTAATAAAAACTCTCATGTAGAAATAATTGTGTGTGTGTGTGTGTGTGTGTGTGTGTCTTAACATGTTACCTAGCAATTTCATACCTAGTATTTACCCAAGAGGAAAAAAAATAAATATCCACACAGACATCTAAACAAAATGTTTATAAGCTGTTTTATTTACTACTGCCCCAAACTGGAATCAATCCACATGTTCTTTAGCTGGTAAATGTATAAGCAAACTGTAGTACATCCATATAATGTGGTATTACTCAGCAATCAAAAGGATCAACCTGTTGATATCATAAATGACATGAATAAGTCTTAAAAACATTATGCTAAGTGAATAAAACATAAATAAAAGGCTGCATATTATATAATTCCAATTATATTATGTGTTAAGGCAAATATATAGGGTTGCTTTAAGATCTAATTTTTTAAAATTATTTATATTGTGTATATTTAAGTTATGTGACATATGCTATGGGATACATATAGACAGTAAAATTGTTACCATAGTAAAGTAAATTCACATATCCTTCATCTCACATAGTTACCATTTTTTTTGTGGCAAGAAAAGGTAAAATCCTATTTGCTTAGCAAAAATATCAAATGCAATGTAATTTTTATTAACTATAGCACTCATACTGTATACTAGATCTCTATCCTTGTTTATTCTACATATCTGTCACTTTGTATTATTTGACCTACATTTACCTATGCATTTCTGTCCCATCCCCATAAACACTGTTTCATTCTCTGTATATTTAGTTTTTTTCTTTCTCTGTTTTTTAATATTTCACATATAAATGAGATCATTGAACATTTTCTTTCTGCGTCTGGTTTATTTCACTTAGCATAATGCCCTCCAGGTTCATCCATGTGTGGCAAATGGCAGGATCTTCTTTATTTAAGGCTGAACAATATTTCATTGTGTGTGCATATATGTATATAGATTTCTGTATCCATTCATCCATCGACAGATACATGGGTTGTTTTCATTGACTATTTTGAATACAACTGCAATGAACTTGGAAATGTAGATATTTTTACAGAGTGGTGATATCATTTCCTTTGGAAATATACCCAGGAGAGGAACGGCTCTGTTATATGATCATTCTATTTTAATTTTCTTAGAAAACCTCATACTGTTTTTCATAATGGCTACACCGAAGTACATTCCCATAGTGTACAAAAAAATTCCCTTTTTTCCACACACTCAGTAATACTTATTATTGCTTGTCTTTTTGATAATAGTCATCCTGATTTTGTGATTGTTTTCCATTTTATAAGAAACAAATTTCAACATTTTTAAGTAAACATTGGTAAAAGTCAGTAATGAATGACCTCTATAGAATAAGCTATAACACAGAGAACTACATATAAATGATACGAAGTGCTGGGAAGGGAAGAGCGTAGTCCCTTTAAATGATATGGAAGGGGAGAAGGGAAGTGCTGGGTAGAGGAAGGGTGTGGTCCCTGGCTAGGGCTCCATCCTCATGGACTTAGGTGAGGACAGGTACTCCTGTCTTCATGCCCAATTGTTGCATTTCCCAACACCACCCTGGCCTACCATGACCCCATCCTGTGTCTATAGAAACCCTCGAGAGCCTAGCAGGGAGACACATAGGCAGCTGGACGTTGAGAGGAGCACATCAGTGGAGGAACACACAGGCAGCTGGACATTGAGAGGAAGGCACAGACAGGCACAGGCACTTCGGCAGGCCACTGACCAGCAGAACGACACAGAGTTTTGCTGTGGCGATCGGAAGAGCGCTGGGGCCACCATCTCCCTTCCAACTCCCCCATCTACTAAGAGCTACTTCCACTCAACAAAATCTTGCATTCATTCTCCAGGCCCACGGCAAGAACCACTGGATACAGAAAGCCCTCTGTCCTTGCAATAAGGCAGCAGTCCAATTGAGCTGGTTAACACGAGCTTATTGACGGCAAAGCTAAAAGAGCACCCTGTAACTCATGGCCACTGGGGATTCAGGAGCTGTAAACATTCATCCTTAGACACTGCTGTGGGGTCGGAGCCCCAAAACCTGCCCATCTGTGTGCTCCCCTAGAGATGTGAGCAGCGAGGCACTGAAGAAGCGAGCCACTCCCCCTGTTGCACACCTTGCAAGGGGACAAGGGAACCTTTCCCATTTCAAAAACACATAGAACTAATGACTATCCCACAACCAAATCAAGCTGAATGACAAGATGTTATATGTAATAAATAAGAGATTTTTTGCATATGTATATGTAGTTATTTTCACAAAAAATAAATGTGCCAAATGCCAAAGGATTATTGCTATGGACTGAATTGTTTCCCCTTCAGAATTCATGTTGAAGACATAATCCCACGTGTGGCTATATTTGAAGATAGGACATTTAGGGGGTACTTAAAATTAAATGAGGTCATAAAGGTAGGGTACTAATCTGATGGAACTGTCAGCCTCATAAGAAGAGGGGCTGATTCTTTCTCTCTCTTTCTCTCTCCCTCCCTCCCCACAGGCACACACCAGGGACTAAAGAAAGATGATGGTAACAAACTGGAAGAAGGTGGTGGCTATCTGCAAGCCAGGAAGAGAGGCCGTACCAGAAACCAATTCTGAATTGGCTGGCATCCTGACATCAGATTTACAGCCTCCAGAATGTTAAAAATAAATTTCTGTTGCTTAAACTACTCAGTCTATGGTATTTTGTGATATCAGTCCTAGCTGACTCAGACAATTACCAAATAAGTTTCTAATTATGAAACACTTTTTCAAAAAACAAGCATAAAACATCAAACATATCTCATTATCAGTGAGTATAAATTGAAATGAGAGGATATATCAATGTGCCATGCTGAGAAGATAAAGATCATGTTATCTCTGAATTGTTTATATTCTCCAAAGGTCAAAACTACTGCATCATAAAAATTGTAATGTCACAAAGCTTATAAGTTGTATATTTTTTATTTAAATTTTGCACATATATTATTGGAAATCTTAAATTACTGAAACGTGAAATGCTGAAATCAGGTCATGTTATTTATGGTATTGACACTAGCCGAGACTTTTTTAAAAAAACCTAATCAATTGTCAGTGGTTACAATGATTATAAAATTACTTGTGAAACTAGTTTGTGTATATACCCATAATTGAAAGAGAATTACATTCACCACTCTTTATTCACTAAAAAGAGAGATGATATGAATATCTTCTAAATATTCGTATTTTATTTAGTTTTTAGTCCTTCTTTGAAATGTGTTAGTCAAGGGGGCCTTCCTGAAATGTAGATGTGTATAATATCATAAGACTTTAGTTATAATATTTGTTTCTAGAAAAGTCACTGAAAAATTCTTACTTAATGGTCTTATAGCTGAAATGTCTAAGGAAATACTTGCTTCAACAGTAATAGTAAGCAGCTACTATTTCCTGAGGACATGTTATGTGCCAGACTTACTGCATAAAATATCCTTTCATTCTCATAACATTTCTACAAAGCATACCCTACTACTTTCATTTCACCAATAAAATTAATAGCTAACATTTATTAATTATTTACCAGGTGCTAAGCTCTGTATTTCACATGAATTAACTCCATTAGTGCCTATAGCAATGAGGAGTCCCTCAGAGAGCAGTTGGGAACTGCTGCCAGTTATGAGGAAGTAGATACTATTTCCACTTTATGGGTAGGGAAGCTGAAACACAGAAATATTAGGTGACTTGTCCAATATCACACAGCCAGTGTGGGTTAAACTGTCTTGTCTCCTTCCATGGCTGCAGACTTAATGACTGCTTAGAACATTCTGCCTGATGCCCTAAGCAGGAAGAAAATTCCTTGATGTCACCCAAAGTAACAAATTATCCAATTTTGACTCCAAAATTGAAATATTTCCACTCTATACCATACCATCACATGAAATATATGCATTCACTACAACACATTGTTATTAAAATATTTAGAGATCAAGCCTAACATAGCAATATATTTAATAATTTTGTTTTTAATCCTAGAAATTTCAAATCATATTACAAAATATATATGTACACTTATCCATTGCATTTAATTCTTATCCTGAAATCTGTATACAAAATTTTAAGTATTGTTGGTAAACATTCACTTAAGATTTTGATAGATTTGTTGACAAATGAATGATATACAATACTATATTATCTTGGTACATAACAATCATAATTCTATGAATACAGGGATCCTAAATAGCTAGATTCCTTAGATATCTCCTATAGATGTGATAGCACTGGCTTGATACATGAGCTGTTTAAATTCTCAATTGTGCTACATTCAATTGGCCTCTTGTCTTGTCAAAGAACTATGTTATTGCATGCTATTTTTCTAGGGTAATCAGACAGTCTGCATCGTGTAGTAATAGAGTAATTGAGTTTTGGATACCTTGTGTTTAATGTATAGACTTTTTATATTGCTTACTCTTCCTCCCTCAATAGTCTTTTGAAACATCATAGAACATTTGCCTGTCTTTTTCATAGTTAATATTTCTGTCTTTTCACATAATTGAGCATTGACATATGTTCATAATTGCCATTACTATACAACCTCTTCTAAAATGGTAGAAAATATTAACTTTCAGATGAGAGGTGGTTTAGACACATATTTAGAACTCATGAAACATACTTTTTCAGAAAACTCAAAATATTATAAGAACAGAAGGAACTGAAAGCACATGGATTCTAACCATCCAATTTATACTTGCATCCTCTGATCAGTAACCCTGCTAAATGACTATCTAGCCTTCATTTTAATGTCTCAATAATGAAGAACTCTAAAGACAAATCTTTCTATCTTTACACTTCTCTGGCTATTTAAAATTTGTCATTACACTGAACCCACTTGCCGTAATTCTAACCTTTAAAACCATCTATAACTGCAATATACATTTAATATAAAATTATGATGACTAGAAACATAACATTTTTTCTCTAATCATCTCTGGGCTCATCTCTCAATAGCTCGGAAGAGTGCATCTTTTACCCAGTGAAAAATAATTTTCTTTATTAATACCCAGAAATTTTACAAACTTTCCCATTGTTCTGCAATAAGATTCAACTGATCAAGAGACTTGAAGTCATTTACACCAAAAATTTTAACTTTTTATTCTTAACTTCTTGTTTGAAAATAGAAAAAAAATAAACTAAAGGTGGTTTAAATACAAAGGTAAGGCACTGGCTTGGGTAACAGCATAGGCCAGCTACTGTTTGATTTGGAAGCCCAAACAACATCATCCAGACCTATTTCTCATGTGAGGTTTCACAATCCATTATGTGTGCCTTATTCTCAGGATGTATGTGGGGTCCTCATCAACCAGTAAGAGGTATTTTCTTCTTTTTTTTATGTTTTTTGGGCCATGTTCATGTATATCAGAAGAGAAAACATCTCTTTTGAGATTGTTCTGGTAAGATTGATTTGGGACAGCTCATGTTCAGTCAGTAGTGGCTAGAGGAACCTGATGCTGGGTATTCTGATTCTGTAATGCTCAAAATACAGCCTGGAACATTTTACAAACTCAATAGGTGTTCACTGTTCTTATTATTAACCAACTACAGTTTCTATGCTACCTCTGGAGCTAGAAGTCATTTGAATTAAGCCAATGGAGTACCATAGTAGGTATGGGTACTGTTGCCTGAGAAAAGGGTCAGAGATATTGCCCAATTTCAGTTTCAAACATCCACATCCACCACACCAACCCCTGCCTGCACTGAGTGTTCATTTTTTCTCATCAGCATTGTTCTACTGTGTCCAATATTAAGATATTTTTATAAGTAGAAAAGGAGACACCATTTTTTCTCATTTTTTCACAAAATTAATTATATGTCTATTTTATCTATTGAGATTCTAAGAGGTTCATTTATATTTTCAAACTTTGTCTTCCTCTCTGCTTCAATTTTGATGATTGTTATTGATGTGTCTTCAGATTTAATGAATCTTGGAGTCTAATCTACTGCTAAGTTCATATAGTGAGAACTTTTGATTTTCAAGACATTGTATTTTTTACTTCTAGAAATTCCATTTGTCTATTATTAGAGCATCAATTTATCTCTAAAATTCCCAGCCTCTTAATCCATTAGACCCTTATTTTCCTAAATTTGCTTTAAGATCTGTATAATTATTTTGAAGTACTTTTATGATTATTCCTAACTGGTAAGTTGTGATTTTTCTTCTGTTGACTATGCTCTCTGTTAGTCATGGGTGATATTTTCTTGCTTCCCTGAATTTCTAATGCTTTGTAATATAATCTAGATACTATGTAAAAAGGACTATGGAGACTGAAGTAATATTTTGTATTCTTATAAAAGTTAAGCCCAATGCTCTCCCTGGCTTATGGATTTTTCAAATTGGTTGTGTACCTAGCAACCTTGATAACCTTTCTTATTGGTTCTAAAAATGTCTGCAGTTATTTTGGAGGAAGTTATCAACATAGAAAGTTATATAATCAACAATTATTGATCTATTGCTTATGTATTTTATTCCTTTTTATTTTCCTAATTACTACTATATTGTCATTAACTATCATAATATTTTTATTTTTAAAATGAAGAGCAATTACCAGCAAACATTTTGCATTTTTAAAATAATTTTAATTTATTTAACTCTTACTTTAGGTTCAGGGGCATATATTCAGGTTTCTTACAGGTAAATTGAGTGTCATGGAGATGGGTGTATAGATTATTTTGTCACCTAGGTAATGTTTTATCATCCTCCTCCTTCCAACCTCCACTATTAGTAGGCCTCAGTGTCTGTTGTTCTCTTCTTTGTTTACATGTGTTCTCAATATTTAGCTCCGAGTTATAAGTGTAAACTTGCCATATTTGGTTTTCTGTTCCTACATTACCTTGCTTAGGATAATGGCCTCCTGCTCCAACCATGTTGCTGCAAAGGACATGATATTGTTATTTTTTATGGCTCTGTAGTATAGCATCATATATATGTATTTTTTTTGTCCAGTCTACTGTTGACAGGTGCATTAAGTTGAATCCATAACTTTTTTATTATAAATAGTGCTGTGATCAACATATGTGTGCAAGTGTCTTTATGGCAGAAAGATTTATATTCCTTTGGGTATATACCCAATACTGGGATTGCTAGATTGAATGGTTATTTGGTTTTAAGTTCTTTGAGGAATCACCACACTGCTTTTCACAATAGCTGAGCAAATTTACATTCCCATCATCAGTGTATAAGCATTCCCTTTTCTCTGCAACCTCACCATCATCTGTTCTTTTTTGACTTTTTAATAATAGCCATTCTGACCGTATGAAATTGTATTTCATTGTGGTTTTATTTGCATTTCTCTAATGATTAGGGATGTTGAACATTTTTCATATGCTTACTGGCCATGTGTATGTCTTCTTTAAAAAAGTGTCTGTTCATATACTTTGCCCACTTTTTAATGGGGTTGTTTGTTTTATACTTGTGCATTTGTTTAAGTTCCTTACAGATTCTGGATATGAGACTTTTGTTGAATGCCTAGTTTCCAAATATTTTCTTCCATTCTGTAGGTTGTATACACTATGTTGATATTTTCTTTTGCTATGCAGAAGCTCTGTATTACAATTAGGTCCCATTTTTCAATTTTTGCTTTTTCACAATTGCTGTTGGTATCTACATCAAAAAATCTTTCCCAGGGTGTCAGTCCAAAATGGTATTTCCTAGATTATCTTCTAGGGTTTTGAGAGTTTTGGGTTTTACATTTATGTATTTAAAACCATCTTGAGTTGATTTTTGTATACGCTATAAGGAAGCGGAACAGTTTCAATCTTCTGTTACGGCTAGCCAGTAATTCCAGCACAACATACTGAATAGGGAGTCCTTTCCTCATTGCTTGTTTTTGTAGACTTTGTCAAAGATTGATGGTTATAGGTGTGTGGAATTATTTCTGGGATCTTTAGTCTGTTCCATTGGTCTATGTGTCTGTTTTTGTACCAGTATTACACTGTGTTTTGGCTACAGTAGTCTTGCAGTATATTTTGAAGTTAAGTAAAGTGATACCTGCAGGTTTGTTATTTTTGCTTAGGATTGTCTTGAGTATATGGGCTCTTTCTTGGTTCCATGTGAATATTAAAATAGTTTCTCCTAATTCTGTGATGAAAAATCTTTGGTAGTTTGATAGGAATAGCATTATATCTATAAATTGCTATGGACAATATGGCCATTTTAACAAGATTGATTCTTTCTATCCATGAGTTTGAAATGTTTTTCCATTTGTTTGTGTCATCTCTGATTCCTTAAGCAGATATTTTGAAATTCTCACTGTACAAATCTTTCACCTCCATGGTTAGGTGATATTCCTATGTATTTTAGTTTTTTTTGTGTGTGTGTGGCTATTGTGAATGGCATTGTGTTCTTGATTTGGCTTTCACCTTGGATGTTGTTGGTGTATAGAAATGCTACTGATTTTTGTACACTGATGTTGTATCCTGAAACATTACTGTAGTGTTTTGTCAGTGCCAGGAACACTTTTGTAGACTCTTCAGGGTTTCCTAGGTATAGAACCATAACATCAGAAAAGAGAGATAGTTTGACTTCCTCTCTTCCTATTTGGATGTCTTTTATTTTTTGCTTTTGCCTGGTTGCTCTGGCTAACACTTCCAGTGGTATGTTGAATAGGAGTGGTGAGAGAGGGCATCCTTATCTTGCTCTGGTTTTCAAGGATAATATTTCCAGTTTTTGCCTCCTTAGTATGATGTTGGCTATGGGTTTGTCATTGATGGCTCTTATTATTTTGAGGTATGTGTCTTTGATGCCTATCATGTTGAGGGTTTTTAACATGAAGGGATGTTGAATTTTATTGAAAGCCTTTTCTGCATCTACTGAAATAATCATGTGATTTTTGTTCTTAGTTCTCTTTATCTGGTGAATCTTATTATTGATTTGTGTATGTTGAATCAACTTTGCATCCCAGAGATAAAGCCTGCTTGATTATGATGGATTAGCTTTTTGATGCATTGCTGAAATCACTTCGCTAGTATTTTGTTGAGGATATTTGCATCTACGTTCATCAAGGATATTGGCCTGATTTTTTCTTTTTTTTGGTGTTTCTACCAAGTTTTCATATCAAGATGATACTGCCCTCAGAGAATCAGTTGGGGAGGAGCTCCTCCTCCACAATTTTTTGGAATAGTCTCAGTAGGAAAATGGTATCAGATATTATTTATACATCTGGTAGAATCTGGCTGTCAATCCATCTGGTCCTGGGCTTTTTCTGTTGGGTAGGCTTTTTATGAATTATTCAATTTTGAAACTTGTTATTGGTCTGTTCCAGATTAAATTTCTTCCTGCTTCAATTTTAAGAGGTTGCGTATTTCCAAAAATTTATCTTTTTCTTCTAAGTTTTTTAGATTGTGTGCAAAGTAATCTTTGTAATAGTCTCTGAGGATGTTTCGTATTTCTGTGGAGCTGGTGGTAACACTCCCTCTGTCTTTCCTGATTGTGTTTATTTAGATCTTCTCTCTTTTTTTTTGTTTATTCATCTAGCTAGTGGTCTATCTAACTTATTTATTTTTTCAGAGAACCAGCTCCTGGACTTGATCTTTTGTATGCTTTTTTTTGGCACCTCGATTTCCTTCAGTTTAGCTTATTTTGGTTATTTCTTGTCTTCTGCTAGCTTTAGGCTTGGTTTCTTGTTGCTTCTCTAGCACCCCTAGATGTGATGTTACATTGTTTCTTTGTGATCTTTCTAACTTTTTGATATGGACATTTAGTGACAGACATTGTCTCTTAACACGGCTTTAGCTGTGTGCCAGAAATTTTGGCATGTTGTACTTTTGCTCTCATTAGTTTCAAGGAATTTCTTCATTTCATCCTTAACTTTATTGTTTACTCAAAAATAATTCAGGAACAGGTTATTTAATTTTCATGTAATTGTATGGTTTTGGGTGATTTTCTTAGTATCAACTTCTATTTTTATTGTGCTGTGGTCTGAGAGTATGGCTGGTATAATTTCAGTGTTTTTGAATTTGCTGAGGATTGTTTCATGGCTTATTTTGTGGTCAACTTTAGAGTATGTGCCATTTGCAGATGAGAAAAAAGCATATTATATTGATTTGGGGCAGAGAGTTCCGTAGATATATACTAGGTCTCACTGCTCAAGTGTCAAGTTTGGGCCCTAAATGTACTTGTTAGTTTCCTGTCTTGATGATCTGTCTAATATAGTCAGTCAAGTGTTAAAGTCTCCCACTATTATGTGTGGGAGTCTAAATCTCTTTAAAGGTCTCTAAGAATTTCCTTTATTAATCTGAGTGCTCCTGTGTTGGTTGCATATATATTTAGGATAGTTTGGTCTTCTTGTTGCATTGAACCTTTAATATTATGTAATGTTCTTTTATCTTTTTTATCTTTGCTGGTTTAAAGTCAGCTTTGTCTGAAATTAGAATAGCAACCCCTGCATTTTTCTGTTTTCTGCTTGCTTGGTAGATTTTTCTCTATCCCTATACTTTTTCCCTATGTGTATCATTGCCAGTGAGGTGGGTCTCTTGAAGACAGCATACTGTTGGATCTTGCTTCTTTATCCAACTTGCCACTCTCCCTTTTAATTGGAACATTTTGCCATTTACATTCAAGGTTAGTATTGGTATGTGCAGATTTGACCCTGCCATGATGTTGTTAACTTATTATTATACAGATTTGTTAGTGTGGTTGCTTTACAGTGTCAATGATCTATGTACTTAAATGTGTTTTTATGATGGCCAGTAATGTTCTTTCCTTTCCATATTTAGCATTCCCTTAAAGGTCTGTTGCAAGGCAGGATCAGTGATAATAAATTCCCTTAGCATTTGCTTGTATAAAAGAGATTGTATTTCTCCTCCACTTTTAAAGCTTAGCTTGGGTGGATATGAAATTCTTGGCTGGAATTTCTTTCCTTTAAGAATGCTGAATAGACCAGGTGTGGTGGCTCACGTCTGTAATCCCAGCATTTTGGGAGGCCAAGGTGGGTGGATTACCTGAGGTCAGAAGTTCAGGACCAGCCTGGCCAACGTGGTGAAACACTATCTCTACTAAAAAATACAAAAATTAGCCAGGCGTGTTGGCGGGCAACTGTAATCCCGGCTACTCAGGAGGCTGAGACAGGAGAATTGCTTGAAACCGGGAGGCAGAGGTTGCGGTGAGCTGAGATCACACCATTGCACTCCAGCCTGAGTGACAAGAGTGAAACTTTGTCTCAAAAAAAAAAAAAAAAAAAAGAATGCTGAATATAGCCCCCCGAACTTTTCCAGCTTGTATGGTTTCTGCTGAAAGGTCCACTGTTACTTTCATGGGGTTCTCTTCGTAGGTGATCTGCCCCTCCTCTCTAGCTGCCTTTAACATATTTTCTTTCATTCTGACCTTCAAGAATCTGATGACTCTGACAAGAAGTGTCATCTTGTGGGTATCTGCATTCCCTGGATTTGAATGTTGGCCTCTCTAGCAAGGTTGGGAAATTTTTCATGGACAATATCCTGAAGTATCTTTTTCAGGTTGCTTACTTTCTCCCCTTCTCTTTCAGGAATGCCAATGAGACATAGATTTGGTCTATTTACATAATTCCATATGTCTCAGATATTTTGTTCATGCTTCTTCAATCTTTTTTCTTTATTTTGGTCTTACGGGGTTATTTTGGAGAACTGGTCTTTGAGCTCTGAGATTCTTTCCTCAGAGAAAGAATCTGGTTGACTGTGCTGTTAATACTTGTGATTGTATTCCGAAATTCTTGAAGTGAATTTTTCAGCTTTTTAAGATCAGTTTGGTTCTTTCTGAAAATGGCCATTTTGTCTTTCATTTTCTGTATCATTTTATTGTATTCCTTAGAATGCTTGGATTGGGTTTTGACTTTCTTCCAAATCTTAATTATGTTCATTTGTATCTATAGTCTGAATTATGTTTCTGTCATTTCAGCTATTTCAGCCTGATTAAGGACCATTGCTTGGGAATTAGTACAGTGGTTTGGAGGTAAAATGCACTCTGGCTTTTTGACTTGCCAAAATTCTTGTGCTTGTTCTTTCTCGTCTGTGTGGCCTGATGTTCCTTCAATTTTGAAGTTGCTGTCTTTTGATGTTTGTTGTTGTTGTGTTGCTTTTATGTTGTCTGATACCCTTGGGGTTTGATTTTTGCATAAGGTAGGATCGGTTGACCTTTATGGGACCAAGCCTCAGTTCAGCGCTCCTGGGTTGCATCCTCTAATTCTAGGTGGGTGTTATCAGGCCTCTGGCTTTGTTCTCTGGACCCTCAAGTTTAAGAACCTACTGCACTGGAGTGGCCCAGGTATTTCTGCACTGCTGGCCATAGCACTCTAATGGGTGGAGCCAACCAAAGTCCTTTGTTGAAGCAGTGGCAGTGGAATCTGTGCTTATTTGCATATGCCCCTTGTGGCAGTAGCTCAGCAGGGTGCCTGTGCATCAGCTGGGGCAGGGTACTGATAGGAGCCAGACTGCAGCCTTACTGCAGTGCTGTCACACTGGCAGCAGTGTCAAGGATGCAGCACTGATGGGAGTGGGGCTGCTGGCCCCCATGTGTGCATTTGTGGGGGCGGTGGTTTTGGCATTGGGTGCAGGACTATTGGCATTTGTGTTAGCGTTCACAGTGGTAGCAATATCAGCACAGATTGGGGATGGTGTTCTGTATTCCTTTTTTTTTTTTTTTTTTGAGACGGAGTCTTAGTCTGTCGCCCACGCTGGAGTGCAGTGGCACAATCTCGGCTCACTGCAAGCTCCACTTCCCGGGTTCTCGCCATTCTCCTGCCTCAGTCTCCTGAGTAGCTGGGACTACGGGTGCCCGCCACCACGCTCGGCTAATTTTTTGTATTTTTAGTAGAGATGAGGTTTCACCATGTTAGCCAGGATGGTCTCGATCTCCTGAGCTTGTGATCCGCCCGCCTTGGCCTCCCAAAGTGCTGAGATTACATGTGTGAGCCACCACGCCCGGTCAGTGTTCTGTATTCTTGATGATAAAAGGAATTGCCTCAATAGTTCAACAATAATATTATATATGGTCTGGGTTTTATTTTGATGTTGTTGTTCCTATTGTAGTGGATCTTAATTATTTTCTATGAGTATTTTTTAATGTGAACAAGATTTGCATCTTAACACATGCTCTTACTGCATTTGTAGAAGTAATCAAATGATTTCCCTTTAATTTATTATTTTAGTCAATAATATTCATCCATTTTTAATAATAAACCAATTGTGCATTCCTCAAATAAATCACAGAAAATCATACACATTGCTGTATTTGGTTTGTTAATATTTCATGGTTGAGTGTTGCATGTTTGTGAATAAAATTGACCTGTAACTTCCCTCTCTAGTGTGACTGTGCTTGGTTTGTCAATCAATATGTTCCATTGTCACAAAATGAAAGAAGAATGCCTTTTTATTTTATGATTCTGAGATTATCTGTGAAGAATTGGAAACATCATATCCTGGAATGTCTTGCAGATGTTGACTTTATACTAACTGAACATATTGTGTTCTCTGTGGAGAGTTTAATTATTGATATAATTGCTAATAGGACCACAGAAATTACATTATTTTGTGGCTAGTTTTAATAAATTATACTTTGTTAGAAATATGTTCATTTTTAAAATTTTTTCAGATGTATTGGCATTATATTTTTTAAATATTTTCTTATTTTCTGTTTAATCCCTAAAATATATCTAGTTCTGTTTCTATTTAATTCCTAAAATTGTTTAATGCCTTTTAATTATGAATGTATTTGTCACTTTCCCCTATTTTGTAAGCCCTTAGAAGTGCCAATATTTGGCTTTGCTGGCCCTCTTTATTTTACATATTTTCTATTTCATTAATTTCTAACTCTATTATTCTCTTACATTTGTATTTTTGAAGTTTATTATATATTTATTTCCACTACTTATAGTGGTGGTTTAGCTTATCAATCTTGAGCTCTTGTTATTTTTTAATCTCAGCTTGTGTATCATTAAATACTCCTCTATATACTGATTTAGTTGCAGCCCATGAATTTGATTTGTTATTTTTTTCACTGTGACACAATAATAAATATATATTTGGTCTTTGTCTCCAGTTCCCAGCACACAGTTCTAAAACCTTTCTAATTTCCTGAGTGATAATCATGCTAGGAGCATCTTTTGTTCTAATATTTGGTTTTGACCTAGATTGCTGACACAAGAGCTCCTAAATCCCTTGGAATTTCTTGAGTGATCAGAGTAGGTTTTATTCTAATGAGGTTCTCTCGGTGGACTCCTAAATACTTTTAGGAAGCGGGGTGGTCACTAGAAAGACCAAGCCATAATTAGAAGCCTAGAATTTTCAGCCCCACTCCCCAACTCCAGAGAGGGGAGAGGGCTGGAGAATGAATTAATAATTGATCTGTTGACATTGCCTACGTGATGAAGCCTCCATAAAAACCCCCAAACTACAGGATTCTGAGTCCTTCCTGGTTGCTGAACACAGCCATGTGCTGGAAGGTTGGTGCACTCCAACTGCAGAAGGACAGAAGCTCCTATGCTCAGGATCTTGCCATATCCACTTCTTCATCTGACTGTTCATCTATATCCTTTATAGTATCCTTTTTAATAAACACGCAAATATAAGTAAATCTTTCTCTGAGTTGAGTGAACCATTATAGCAAATTATCAAACCCGAGGAGGTTATGGGAGGCTTCAGTACACAGCTAGTTGCTCAGAAACGCACAAGATAACCGGACATTTGTCATTGGTGTCTGAAGTAGAGGCAGTCTTAGAGGTCTGCATTACCTCTAGGTAGTTTAAGTCAGAATTAAGTTGCAGGACACCCAATTGGTGTCTACAGAGAATTGGAGAATTGTTTGGTGTGGAAAACCCACACGTTTGCTGCCAGATGTGCTATTTGACAGAAAAAGAAGATTTTTCTTTCATTCATATTTTTCAAATCTAATTTTCTTCTAATTTTTATTATGTTGTGTTCATTGTCCCATGATTTGATTAGACTTTTAAAATTTAAACACATAGAGTTTAGGCTGGGCACCGTGGCTCAGGCCTATAATCCCAGTCCTGTGGTAGGCTGAGGCAGGTAGATAACTTGAGGCCAGGAGTTTGAGACCAGCCTGGCCAGCATGGAAAACCCTGTCTCTACGAAAAATGCAAAAATTATTAGCCAGGCGTGGTGGCATCCACCTGTAATCCCAGCTACTTGGAAGGTTGAAGGACAAGAATCACTTGAACCTGGGAGGCGGAGGTTGCAGTGAGCTGAGATGGTGCCACTGCAGTTCAGCCTCATTGACAGAGCAAGACTCTGTCTCATAAATACATAAATAAACACATAAGGTTTGTTCTAATTACTTTTGTTATTTCTGACTTAATTTTTCTAAAATACAAAGTAATCAGTTCTGTTTGAAATAACAACATTTTAGAGATAGCTTTATGGTTTAACATGCACTCTACTTTTATAAATGTTTTATTTATATTTGAAAAGCATAATATCAAGCAGATGTATTCTCTAATTGTTAAATACAATTTTAGATACATTTGTAAAATTGTACATCAAACAATTTGTGCTATTTCTGCAGGTGAAAATTTCTATGCCTTCATTGCTTTTTTAAAATCAGCCTGCTTTCTATATTTATTGGGTGACATGTGATTAAAAAATGGTGAATTTGCTGATTTTTCTTTATATAGCTCTCAAATATCTGCTTTTAGTTTTTTTTTCTGACTGAGATCTATTTTTCTAATTTTCTTTAGTGAAAAAAAATCTGTATTTTTTTAAATTTGAAAATATTTCATTCTTGAAAGGTGAGTTAGGTAGATGTGTAATTCTAGTTTGATAGTTTTTATTTCTCCATAAATATTCTATTATTTAAACAAATTTTTTATTGTTCTTATTATGCTTGATAATTTGGCTTTTAAATAAGTTGCTGTTCCTTTGAAATGTGATTTGTCTTTTTTTTCTTAGCTATCTTTAAAATATATTTGCTGTTGGTATTCCACACTATCAATACAAGGTGTCCATATGTATATTTCAAGTAGGTAAAGTATTCCTATGTCTATTTCTCTGTTGTTTCCTTTGGGTATCACTTGTATCTCATTTTTTTTCACGTGTGCCTTGTGATATTTTAATTAAGAACTACTCGTTTTTCTCAAACTTAATATTATCATCTTTCACATCTAGGTTGAATTTGAATTACTCAAGAAAGGATTTGTGAAATTTTGGGGGCCTACTTTTCTGGGAAGCTAGCAAGGTAAGTTGAGAAATTTTCTAATCAATTTCCCCACTTGACCTTTCTTTGTGTGTTTGTTTTTCCTCTTCACTGGCAGAGTTAAAGCAACCAAGTTTTCTGTCATATTCGAGATGGTGGAGCTCATCTGTCACTTTATTTTGTAATATAGGTGTACCACTTTTAGTTTATAGCCTTATGTGGGGATTCTGCTTTTAGTTTCTCCACCTTAGGCTTTACCTTCTGCCTTGGGCTATATCCTCAGTTCTTCACATTCTGGGAGGTTTTCAGTGTACCTTTTGGTAGCCTGGGTTCATCACAAAATTTCAAGTTGAATACAAGTTTTCAAACCCACTTACTTCCCAGAATCATTGTTTTCACATGACTTCGAGGGTTTAAATATTCTTTTATCTTGTGCCAGGTCAAAGATTCTCTTCCAAAGATAATTTTAATATTTTTCCCCTTCCTGCAGCGACATCCAATCCAGGTCTAAGTCCTTTCCTATCCGAAAATTACATGTTCAGTTTTTTTTTTTGTTTTTTGTTTTTTTTAATTGAGACGTTGTCTCTCTCTGTCGCCCAGGCTGGAGAGCAGTGGCGCGATCTCGTTTCACTGCAAGCTCCGCCTCCTGGGTTCATGTCATTCTCCTGCCTCAGCCTCCGGAGCAGCTGGGACTATAGGCGCCCGCCACCACGCCCGGCTAATTTTTTGTATTTTTAGTAGAAATGGGGTTTCACCGTGTTAGCCAGGATGGTCTTGATCTTCTGACCTCGTGATCCATCCACCTCGGCCTCCCAGTGTTGGGATTACAGGCGTGAGCCACCGCGACCAGCCACATGTTCAGTTTTAACAAACCTGTATTGCTGATATTTTTTCCCAGGTGTTTTTCTTAATCTAGTAAAATGAAACGAATGAACATAGGTTTTAACGAAATTTACTTTTTAGTGAGGTTTTTAGATTTAGTTAAGGTAAGTTACAAAATATGCATGGAAATTTGTCACACTTTCCAATAAGAAACAGAAAAAAAAATAGACAATGGCATGGATTCCGGCTTTACTTACTAAGTGGCACACAGGACTTTTAGAAACACCATTTTTCCTTTTTTCTTCTACCTACATAAAGCAATGTTGTTGCATCTGATAATGCTAGAAAATGACCTTCATAAGCTAAGAACATTATGGAATCCTAAAGCATTAATGATTCATATAAGATAAAAAGGTTGAAGAAATAACCTTCCATGTTCCCACGTCTTCCCAAATCCACATGATCATGTCTTCTGAATAAATATAAAGTAGACTCTTTTCTCCCAGATATATCCAGCGAACACATATCTAGGTATTCAAACATATTCATAGTACACACATTGCAGTCAATACTGTCATTCTAAATGGGAAATGTTCAAAACATATCCCTAAAAATTTCTCTTTAAAAGGTGATTAATGAATTTTGATAAATTTTGATATTTTGATAAATCAATGTATTGATACATTTTCCTATAATCAGCAAGATTTCTGAAGGAACATGAAACTTCATCTACAATTATTAAAATAACAGTGAACTCTTTTAATCAGTTTGATATTTACATAGTTAATTATATTTATGAGAAAGTCTGTATTTCCCAGTCTATTAGGATAGAAATAAAGCCTTAACAAATATTTTTCTGCCATTCTTATTCCTTTTTCAACAATATTCTCAAAAGATTCTTTAAACTATTTTAGAAACATTGCACATCTATGTCGAGTTCTCTAGCTTTAACTTTCTCTCTGTACATATACATGTTAAAATCAAGGTTCAGTGACTGCCAAACTAGCACTGACCTCTCAATAGGGGTGACATTAAGACTTTTTTTGTGGTTTGTGATTTTTAGCAAAGTAACACATAACTTCTGGAAGCTCCCATCCAACGCATACTTTCACAGTTCTTTGTTCATCTTTTTCTTTTGTGTCAGTGACTTTTAGAGGGGAAAAAGATAGCTCTAACTTTAAGCTTTGCTCTTTTAGCACTTGCAAATTGTAATTTTTTTTTCATGGCACCCACTAACACATAAAGATGATGTTATTATGATACATAGGAGAAAGAGAATGAGTGTGAGAGATAAGAGATTGGATATTTTGTGGGTAAAATACCCATATTGTTGAATTTGTACAATAAAAACTCTCTTGAGAGGAGTGAACATTAGTATTAAATAGACATGGTGTCCTATTTGTTTTTAAGGTTTGATGATTTTCTACATTCTATGTAAGATAATCTTACAAGGCAAAGGTAGCCTCTTGTGAACCACATTCCTCCTAGAATAATAAGAGTACTTATTTCTTGTATTTTAAATGTCAGTAAGCACTGATTTATTAAAAAGCATGCAGGTGAATGTGTTTATTCTTTCAGCATAAATTGCATAGTCGCTTAATTTTATTTACTATTGTAAAATACCTATATCACTGCAGATAGGGTAAGCAAGGATTCAAATGCACACATTTGATGGATCTCTCAAACAAACAAAAGGTGTGTATCCATGACAACCAAACCACTGAGATCCATTGGTATGTGAATAAGATACTCTTTAGCATTATGCAGATTTTTTTTAAAAAACTGACATGTAGTTACTGGGATAGAATTTATGAATGTGTACATTAAGTGCATTATGTGTTCCTGAATTCATTTATGATTTACTTGACCAAGAGCACTAGAAATGTTCAACCCCAAGAATGACACTGGCTAAAATCAAATTTTCTACTCTTTGTTTTGATTTTCATTAGAGGGAAAAGAGCTTTGAAAATTTTATTTTTTCAAGTATTTTTCACCCATTTTGTTTTTTAGATTTTTGGTGGTGGAGGAGGGAGTCAGAAGAACCAAATTCCTTGACTAGATTATAAAACAAGAAAAAAATAGTAAGCATTAAGCTTTTGCACTCCTGCCTCTGAGAAGTGAAACATGGGTGAATAAATTTCAATTTTACCCTTTAGGAAAAAGCCAAAACTTTCCATGCCTTAGCTATTTCTACTATTCTTATGTGGTCACTTGTAATATATGCTCCATAATTAGTTGGTCTGGTTTAATTCTACCTAATTTTATGGTAAGTTTGAGTATTTAGTAATGCCTACTTGTTTTCTTCTTCCATATTATTTTTAAGAACTTTTTTTGTCTGTACATATTTTATAATAGCCTAACTTCCCTCATCATCAAGCATATGCTTTTCATGTTAGCCCTATTTCATCTGGGGACTTGGGGCAGACTATGTCTATAAAGATCACAAATACCTTTAAAAGAATAAAGAATACCAGTAGAGTCCAAATTACTTTTAAAGTATTTCACTCTTAGGTTTATATAAAATTATCTAATTTAACTTATATGAGCCCCAAAACTTAAAGCATCTTGAAAGGTTCTGCCTTGCCTATTGCATTTAAGTAGACAAATCTTGACTCTAGAATTTAAGGCTGTGCAGTTAATTGCCCCAAATTTCTCTTCCATTTACATTTTCTCTCTTATACCTATGATCTATGTTCCAGTCAATCTGAATTAATATCTTAGAAATTCATCTCCAAGATCCCAATACAGTGACTGGCACATGGTTAGTTATAAATATTAAACATGTGAAGAATTTACATATTTGTTGGAGCAAATCTTAGTGTAGCAGACCCAGGTTTTTTTAAATAAAAACTTTCCTTGTGATTTATTTAAAATTTACATAGAAACTTTCACTTGTACCTAGG
Source organism: Homo sapiens (assembly GCF_000001405.40). Taxonomy (NCBI): domain Eukaryota; kingdom Metazoa; phylum Chordata; class Mammalia; order Primates; family Hominidae; genus Homo; species Homo sapiens. The sequence goes on from NC_000001.11 coordinate 73,545,106, forward strand.
ATAATGGTGACTTCCTAGATGTAAATCTCTTTTCATGTTCTCCCCCAAAATCTATACATATCAATGAGGTGTGCAATAAAATCACACACAATCTTGTGATTTTTCCTGTTTCAAGGAAAATGAACACATGAACCACAAAATATCTGGAATTAGAGAAATAAACACAAAATACCCACATGTCTCTCAACAGAGTTTGTGCTGTAACTACACAAATATATTACATGACATGAGAGGAAAGGGTGCATGAATGACTGTGCAATGAAGAAGAGGATCATAGAAATGAAAGCACAACTAATGTAAAAATAAAGTTACCTCCAGAAAGAGAAAGTTTATCACTAAGTGCTGAAGCATATAATGCAAATTTAGGCCTTGCTAATACCCAACACTAAAACTAAGGAACATAATTGAAATATGAAAGACCAAGCAGCAGTCTCAGAGAGGCATCCTATTTTGGGTAGAAAAAATAAAAGAAAAGGCATCCTTTTCAGTAGATAAAAATCCATTCACTGAAACCAACTACAAGGGGGAGAAAGCTGCAACGTAACCCTTCAGATATGATTAATAATTTTAAAAATTGTGTAAGAATCAGGGGGAAAGAACTTGAATCAAATATTTTAAAACGAAGGACAGAAATGAATAAAAATAGAAATAAATCAGTGTAATTTCTCAAACTCAGGGAGGACATTAAAAAGAAAATTGAAAATCATTTGAGTATTAAAGAATAAAATATAAAATAACCAAATAAGAATATGTTTGAATAAAAATTTAATAAAGGTCATTAAAAGTGGTAAATATACAAGATTTTCAAAAATAAGATAAATAAATAAATTAAAAGTATTAGAATGAAAATAATTAAAGAGTAGAAGGCAGGCAATGAATATCATGCAGACATATAATTGGAGCCGCTAAAATAGAATAAGAAAACAACCCAAAAACTCTGAAATAATTTTAAGCTACAATTTTTAAAGTCTTGTCAAAATTGAAAGAAAAATAAAATCCACATATTGAAAGAATCTATCATGTTTCTGAGATAACTGACTCAGAACAATCAACTACAATACACATCCTAGAAAAAGTTTAGACTAAAATCAGATTAAAAATTTTTCACAGACTCTAAAAGGAAAAAATAAAACTTTTAATAATAGTACAAAAATAAGACAGGAATAAGAATTCTTAAAATTAACAACTCAAAAAATTATATGGAAATCAAGAAACTCAAGAAAATAAGTATAACTGTTTGATGTATCTTTTATATATTTAAGACTATAGAAAAACAGTTTATGCATGCAAAAATTTCAATACATACAGTACTCCTGAATCCTTCCTGAGGAATCCATTGGCAAATAAGTATCATTTAACCCAGATATAAATGAGGAAGATTTTAGCAAAAGAATTATAAGTGATCATTTAATATATTTAACTATAGAATAAATATATTAAATTTTTAATTGTATATTAAAACAATGGAACAGGGTTAGAAGTATCTATGTGAAATATAAAATACAAAAAATATCAAGTATAAAAAAATGGAGAGAAGGAAAAAAGAAAAAGGAAAGCAGAATAAATTCACTGATTAATGCATAGGAAATAGGTGAGAATTAAAGGATAACATTTAACAAGAAAAAATCAGATTAAAAAAGCTAAGAAAGAAAGGAGGTTAAAGGCACTAAAATTATGTAAATGAAAGTGTAATCAAAGTGACAAAAATACAAACCTTCCTTACACCAAAATATATTTAAAAATTCTATGCACTGATAAGGAATGATTCTCTGACAAGATTTTGAACGGGAAAATAAAAGCAGAGTTCTGTATATACAAAACTTTATATATATATATATATAAAACATATACAATTTACATATAATTTTCTCACTTTTCTGAATAAAATAAGACAGAAAATGTATCCCAGGTGTCTGTTTAATTTTGCAAAGACATAAATTTTTTGTGTGTGTTTCTCAAAAACACAGGAAGGATAAACTTGCCTACAATTAAATGAGTGGGGTAAGAGAATGGGATGGAAGGGATAGAATGGAAGCTACACTTGTCTGAGTACATCTTTCTGTACTGATTTAACATTGGAATCATGTTAATGTTCCTCATATTCAAAATATAAAACTAAATTTTAAAAGATGGAAGTATGTCCTAAAATGGAATATAAACATGAATACAACTGCATTTCAAATGAATAATATGACCACACTGAAAAAAAGTACTAATTCATGTAACTTTTGATGAGAGTACCTTGACTTCTTGCCCTCAGTCTAAAAAGAAATTGTAAATATATTCAACTTTACTCCTAGGTATATGTTTTTATAGTGGTACTGGTATAGCAATTCTGAAACTATATTACCTACATTGTAAGATTATAAAAATAAGTATATTCCTTGTTAGAAGTCATAGCGTCATTATAGAAGAAAACAAATATCAAGATTGAATGGCAAAAGTCAAAAACTGAATTTGTTGGGGTATACAAAAATAGGAATTATTAGTAGAAAGTCATGAATTCCAAATACCTTGCTCTGTCCCTTGTTCATCCCTAGCAGGGATGAACATCACCAGGGATCAGAGAATGATCTTTCCTGCAGTAGAATGCAATAAATAAATGTAGAACAAATGATAGATTCAGAACGTCACCCATTTTCAAACCTCAAAATTAGAATCAATTGAGGCAAGAATCACTAAGAAATTCTAAAACTAAACAGTGAAAATTTTATGAGGAACATATATTTATAGAATCACAAAGTATATTCCACAAATTGTGTTTTAATTACAAAGGGAAAAGAGTAACTTTAAAATGAAGGCATATGATGGATACCACCTTAGCTCTCCATTTTATTACTAAGCTCCCTGTCTTTTGTCTCTGCATATGATTTGACACTGCAGATTATTAGTTACCATATCTAGTACACTGAGATGAGATTATTTAATTAATAATAAGCTATATCACTTTTCAAAGATTGAAGAAAGAATGAGATGTAAAGAATTAGAAAAAGTCATTGGTGATTAGTCTGAAGTAATTTGGCTGTGATAGAAAGAAGAGAAATTTGTAGCTGAAAATAAATACGGGTCTAAGAAAGTATTATTTCTTTAAAAAGCAGATATTTGAGCATATATATATATGTATATATATATATATATACTCGACAGAGGTGCAGTGGAAAAGTGACTTTAGCTTTTGCTGATTTCAATAATGTAAATATTCCCACTATGAACATTTTCAAGTTGCCAACAGTTTAACAATCTCTTAAATCCCTAAATATTTAACAGGAGCAGCAGGGCATGGAGACATCATTATGGGAATCCAAAACATGGTTGGATAAATTAGCAACTCTGATGCTAAAGAGAATAGGAAAAAGATTCTAATTATCTAGAGTGATGCTTAATGCTTTTGGCCCTAAATCCGTTTCCTCTAATGTTGATAGCACAAAACCAGCACATTTTTCTTAGAATTGGCCTGATAGGACTTTCCCTTCAGTTTTCTTTCAATCCCTTTAATTACTTTTTTATTTTTGAAAATTTGTCTTTTAAACTTGAGCAATCTGTTTCCAATTTTTTGGTAATTAATGATGTATATTATATGTACCATTGTGTTTTCTACTTGTGTGAGGTAATTTTCTGGGTTTTTTCATCTTTGCTTGGCAAATTTTGACTGCTTGACCATTTTGTAATTCCTTTATTGTGCATCATGTACAATTCCACATGATGAGTCAATTATTAATGATGACTCTAGCAATTAAAACATGCACACTGAATTTAGTAAGTCAAAATTTAGGCAATATCTTTTTCTTCTTTTTAAATAGTCTAACTAATTTAGGACATTTAGCTCAACTTAATGTTACCTTAAAGGTTAATATTTTAATCTGTGTTCTATCATCATTTTCTTTTCTCTTTAAAAACAAAACACTGCTATTATTGTTATTTTACAGAGTCAAGGTTTTATTTCAATGTTTACCCACTTTATTAGTCTGTTTTCACACTGCTGATAAAGATATACCTGAGACCAGGCAATTTACAAAAGAAAGTGATTTAATGGACTTACAGTTCCATGTGGATAAGTAGGCCTCACAATCATGGCAGAAGGTGAAAGGCACATCTTACATGGCGGTGGCAAGAGAGAGAATGAGAACCAAGTGAAAGGGGTTTCCCCATATAAACTATCAGATCTCCTGAGATTTATTCACTACCATGAGAACAGTGTGGGAGAAACTGCCCCCATGATTCAATTATCTCACACTGGTCTCTCCTACAACACATGGGAATTGTGAGAGTACAATTATGATGAGATTTGGGAGCGGACACGGAGCCAGACCATATCATTCTTCCCTGGCCCCTCCTAAATCTCATGTTCTCACATTTCAAAACACAATCATGCCTTCCAAATAGTTCTCCAAAGTCTTAACTCATTTCAGCATTAACTCAAAAGTCCACAGTCCAAAGTCAGTCTGTAAAATCAAAAGCAAATTAGTTACTTCCTAGATACAATGGGGGTACAGGCATTAGGTAAAGACAGCCATTCCAAATAGAAGAAACTGGTTAAAACAACGTGGCTACAGGCCACATGCAAGTCCAAAATCCAGCAGGGTAGTCAAATCCTAAAGCACCAAAATGAACTCCTTTGACTCCATGTCTCACATCCAGGTCATGCTGATGCAATAGGTGGTTCCCCATGGCCTTGGGCAGCTCTGCCCCTGTGGCTTTGCAGGGTATAGCCTTCCTCCCATCTGCTTTCATGGGCTGGCATTGAGTGTCCACAGCCTTTCCAGGTGCACAGTGCAGGCTTTCAGTGGATCTAGCATTCTGAGGTCTGGAAGACAGGGCAGTGGCCCTCTTCTCACAGCTCCACTAGGCAGTGCCCCAGTACAGACTCTGTGGGGGGACTCTGACCCCACTTTTCCCTTCTGCACTGCCTTAGCCAAGGTTCTCCATGAGGGCCCCACCCCTGTAGCAAACTTCTGCCTGGGCATCCAGGTAGTTCCATACATACTCAGAAATCTAGGCAGAGGTTCTCAAACCTCAATTCTTGACTTCTGTGCACCAACAGGCTAAATACCACATGGAAGCTGCCAAGCTTGGGGCTTCCACCCTCTGAAGCAACAGCTTGAGCTGTACCTTGGTTCCTTTCAGTCATGGCTGGAGCATCTCGGGGCACAGGGCACCAAGTCCTTAGACTGCACACAGGAGAGGGTCTCTGGGCCCAGCCTATGAAACCATTTTTTCTTCCCAAACCTCTGGGCTTGTGATGGGAGGGGCTGCTTCAAAGATCTCTGACATGTCCCGGAGACTTTTCCCCCATTGTCTGGGTGATTAACATGTGGCTCCTTGCTACTTATGCAAATTTCTGCAGCTATCTTGAATTTCTACTCACAAAATGGAGTTTACTTTTCTGTCACATTGTCAGGATACCAATTTTCTGAACTTTTATGCTCTGTTTCCCTTCTAAAACTGAATGCCTTTAATAGCACCCAAGTCACCCATTGAATGCTTTGCTGCTTAGAAATTTCTTCCGCCAGATACCCTAAATCATCTCTCTCAAGTTCAATGTTCCAAAAATCTCTGGGACAAGGACGAAATCCTGCCAATCTCTTTGCTAAAACATAACAAGAGTCACCTTTTCTCCAGTTCCCAACAAGTTCCTCATCTCCATCTGAGACCACTTCAGCCTGGATTTCATTTCTCATGTCATTATCAGCATTTTGGTCTAAGCCATTCGACAAGTCTGTAGGGAGTTTCTCACATTTTCCTGTCTTCTTCTGGTCCCTCCAAACTGTTCCAACGTCTGCCTATTATCCAGTTCAGAAGTTTCTTCCACATTTTCGGGTATCTTCTTGGCAGCACTCCCCTCCTGGTATCAATTTTCTGTTTAGCCTGTTTTCAGGCTGCTGATAAAGATAACCAAAGTCCGGGCAATTTACAAAAGAAACAGGTTTCATGGACTTACAGTTCCACATGGCTTGGGAGGTCTCACAATCATGGCAGAAGGCAAAAGGTACTTTTTACAAGGCAGCAGCAAGAGAGATAATGAGAATCAAATGAAAGGGGTTTCCACTAACAAAACCATCAAATCTCCTAAGACTTATTTACTACCATGAGAACAGTATGGGAGAAACTGCCCCCATTATTTAATTATCTCCCACCAGTTCCCCCCACAACAATACAGGGGAATTATGGGAGTACAATTCAAGATGAGATTTGTGAAGGCACACAGATCCAAACCTTATCACTCACATAGTCACAGTGTTCCATATTCTTTATTCTTTCTTGTAATACGAGTTTGCTGTTTGAGGTCAATTTCTTCTAATGTTTATCTTTTATAGTGCCCTTCAGTGAGGAAGTGATAGTGGCATATAATGTCTTTTGTTTTCTGCAAATGAATTTCCCTGACTTAAAACTATAGGTTAACATTCACTTTCACTCAATGTATTTAAGATATCATTTTACTATCTTGTAATTTCCAATGGTGTTGAGGATAAATTAATCAATGTGGTAATCTTTCTTTGAAGGAAATTGTTTTTACCTAGCTGAGGTGTTCTCTTCATCATCTACACTTTCACAGTCAGATATGTAGCTAACTTTTTTCTATTTATCCTATTTGATTTTGATTTATCTGTGTATTTTTCTCTTTTATCTCTTCAGACAAATTAAATCAATATCACTCTTACCTTTCTCTGGAGTCAGATTTTCATGTGACAACCAGAATTTTAAACATATATTTTAAATAATATATAGATGATACATTTGTGCATATATATAATTTATATATAATTTGTAATGTAGACTATATATGTATATATAATTTTTAATCCTATTAGGAAACCATATTAGGTAACCTCCTCTATTTAAAATTTCCTTTAATCTTCTGTTCGTATTCAAAGTAAAATCATAATTCCTTAACATTTCTAATCTCATACTACTATTTCTCTTCATTCACAGACCACATTTTGCTGTTCTTATAAGAATTGAGGTGTGCTATCTTCATTGCCTTTGCACTTGCTTTTCCCTCTGCATGTAATTTTTTTCCTCTCAGAATGTGATGTTTGGTCTCTCACTTTCTTCACATCTCTCCTCAATTGTTATCACCTCCTGAAAAACCTTCTGGGATCACTTTAGCTAAATATTCTGTATCCTTTCCCAAAATATTCCAACTCCTTCTCTTTTATTCATAACACTTATATTGTTATACATAATTTCATAATATATTATTTATTTATTTTATTATTGTATGTATCTTGACTATAATATAAGCTGCATTTATCCAGGAGTTTAATCTATGTTATGCAATACTATATCCCATGTCTTTGGGCAATGTTTAGAACTTACCACATTCTTAAGAAAACAGTATTGAATCAACAAATTACTGAATAAGATTTTCATGGTATTGCTCAAACTCTATTTAAGTTCTGTGATTATATTGAAGTAGAAAAGTATAAGTAGCCTCCGCCTGAGAGTACTATAAGAAGATAGTTTTTTAGAGGGAGAAATAGGATTCAAATAACATAAATAGAAACTAGGAATAATATTTAATAAAAAGACCATACATGCCAGGATTTGAATTTATATGCAGTTACTCTAGAGCTATAGGATCTCTAACAGATGAACCTATTTAAATTTCAACTTTTATTTTTAAAATACTAGTTAGTTATGAACAGCACTTGTTCAACGCAAATAAGCATCATCCTCAGCAATTTACACAAATAACTTAATTCTCACAACAAATATATGAATTAGGTTAATTATGAATACAGAAGAGTTAAATAAACTAATTGAGGTTCAATACTTAGTAAAAAGCAGAGCACAAACCTGAACCCAGCAAATCTGATTCAGAGGTTCTGTTCCTTTTTATTTTTTATATTTTAAATTATAGATCACAGGACATTGTACTATTAGTACTGAAAGGCCAATTCACCCAGCTTCCTCCAATTCACCCAGCTTCCTCCATGGTCACACCTTCTGTAACTATAGTAAATATCAAAACCAGGCAATTGATCTTTATATAATGTTTATTTTTGTTATGGTTAATATTGAGTGTCAACTTGATTGGATTAAAGGATGAAAAGTATTGTTCCTGGGTGTGTGTGTGAGGGTGTTGCCAAAGGAGATTACCAGTTGAGTTCATGGACTGGAAGAGGCAGACTCACCCTCAATTTGGGTAGGCACCATCTAATCAACTGCAAGTGTGGCTAGAATAAAGCAGGCAGAAGAAAATGGAATGAGGTGTCACTGAGTCTTCCAGGCTTCATCTTTCTCCCATGTGGGATGCTTCCTGCCCTTAAACATCGGACTCTAAGTTCTTCAGCATTTGGACTCTTGGACTTACAGCAGTGGTTTGCCAGGGGCTCTTTGGCCTTTGGCTAAAGACTGAAGGCTGCACTGTTTGCTTCCCTAATTTTGAGGTTTTGGAACTCAGACTGGCTTCCTTGTTCTTCAACTTACAGGAGCCTATTGTGAGACTTCACCTTTTGATCATGTGAGTCAATTATCCTAACAAACTCCCTTTCATATATACATATATCCTACTAGCTCTGTCCCTTTAGAGAACCCTAATACAATGTTTTTAGAGTATACATGTACATAATGCATACAATATGGGCTATGTCATTTTTATCAGACATATTGATTATGTTGCCATCACTTCAATAAAAATAAATATTCCATCACCATAAAACCTATTTTACCACTCTTTCATACTCAAACCAAAGTATCTCTAACCCCTTAAAACAACTTATTTATTTTTTTCTGTAGTTTTATCACTTTAAGTATGTTACTTAAATAAAATCATATAGTATATCAACTTTGAGGATTTTTTTCAGCATAATCCCCTTGAGATTGTTATATTTGAAGTGTGTTCATTGTAGAAAGCATATTCTCCTTGAATCAGTATTTTTTCCCCACACTGGCAATAATTATTTTAATTGATGCATTTAGATCATTTATATTAAGGTAATTATTGATATATTAGAACTTGTCATTTATGTTTCTTTTCTGTTGTTCTCTGCTTTTTTCTTCAGTTTTGTTTTTTCTATTTTTCTATATGTTACGGATACATATTTTATAAATCCATCTTGATTTACCTATAGTGTTCTTTTTAACACCCTAATTGAAGTATGAATGATATGCAAAGTACTGCACATATATAAATGTACACAATCTGATGTGCTTGGACACAGGCAAACATTATGATACCAACACCACAATCAAGATCATAGATACATCCAATATCTCCCAATGTTTTCTGTGTCACTTTGTTTCTGCTTTTAGTAATAAGAGCACTTAATTTGAGTTCTACCCTCTTAAAAAAAACTTTGAAGTACACAATACCATATAGTTAACTCTAGGCACTATGTTGCACAGCAGATCTCTAGAAGCTATTCACCTAGCATAACTGAAACTTCATATCCATTGAATAACCACTCCCCATTTTCTTCTCACCATGGCTCCTCCTTTGGTATAGAAATAACACTATTGTATTTTTAGCTTCTCTAGGTTTGGCTCTTTTAGATACCTCTTAAAAGTGAAATCATGCAGTATGTGTTATGTGAATGTATCTGTAATGTTTTTTAGTATATCTCCTTGTTTAGATTACCTAATGATTGCTCTAAGTATCACATTCAATATAAATCCTTTATCAGTGTCTACTGGTGTCAACATTTGACTAGTTCAAGAATGGAAATCTTACCTTTTTGATATCTCTTTATCCATTACCATAAAATATTATGGCATTTTTTTCCATAGGTTTACTATTTCCATTCTTCTTTATTTATCCCTGTCATTCCAAGACTTCTTCTTCTCTTATTTCCTTTCTGTTTAGAGAAATGCTTTTGGCTATTCTCTCAGGGCATATGTGCTGACAAAAAAATTCTCATGCTTTTCCTTCTTCTGATAATGTATTGATTCCTCTTCTGTCCTCACAGATAGTTTTAGTGATACAGAATTCTGACTTGACAGTTCTTTTAGCTCTTGAAAGATGTTGCGTTCTTCCTTCTGGCCTCTGTGGTTTCTCATGAGAAACCAGAGTTGTCATCTGTATTAGTTTTTCACTAAAGGTAATGCTTTATTTCTCTCAGGTTGCTTTCAATATTTTATTGTAGTTTTTAGAAGTTTGATAATATTCCTTGGCATGTATTTCTTTAGATTTTTCCTCTTTCAGGCTCAAACAGCTTCTTGAATCTGTAGATTATGTCTTTTACCAAATTTGGGAATTTTTCAACCAGTACTTTTTAAAATACTTTTTCAGCAATACCTTTTCCCACCCTTCATGTTGTCTCCTCTCCTTTTGATACTTTGATGACAGCAGTGTTATATCTTTTGCCATAAACTCCCATGTCACAGACTTTGTTTATGTGAATTCATTCCATTTTCTCTGTGTTGTTCAGAGAGGGTATAATCATGGTATTGGCATCAGCTGAGTGTCTTTTCTCCTCCGAGTTGAGATTTTTCTGGCTGGTATAATCGATGATTTTTTATTAAATCCTGAAACTTGGGTATTATATTATGAGACTCTGAATCTTATTTGCAGCTCCTCTTTTAGTGAGACTCCACTGACAAGACTCTGGCAGGAGAAGAGTCTCTGCATCATTATTTCCAGGAGGCCACGCTACAAACTTGGCATCCATTGACACATTGGGAGAGTGGTCTCCGTACCAGTGGGTTGTAGTGATAGTTCTGACTCTCCATTAGGCCTCCTCTAACATCATTCCAGCAGGAAGAGGAAGAGGTAACTCATTAGTTTCAAATGGTGTTGGAAGTGCAGTCTTCCAAAGTCATTTCCACTTGGCACAATAGAGGGAAGGGACCTTGCTATCTCTTGGCAAGAATGAAAGGCCGGGTTTCCCAGTCAATCTTTAATTCCATGCTAGCTGGAGCTTAGGTTTCTCCTTCTTGACTGGAAAGGGTGAATGTCTTTGTTTCCCATATGAACTTTGCCGAGGCAGTTGTGAGTGTGGCCAGTTTTCTCTAAGGTATTTAGCTAGGGTAGAGTAATTATTGTTGAACATTTTTCTGTCTTGCTAGGCTGCCCCTTTACCAGTCTTTTGGTTAGCACAAATAGGTTTTTCTGACGTTTTTTCACCCTTTGCAGTTGGTGTTTCTAGGTTGCTCACTTCTCCAGCATAAATTTGAAATATATGTGGCAAAATAAAAACTTAGAACTCATTACCATTGCATTTTTTGTCTACTTCATCTTTTTGAAAGCCCAGAGTCCATGTTTTTAACTTGCATTTTATCCTGCCTCTCAGTGAAGTTATGTATAAAAATCTTAATACATGAAAAAATTTTAAAAGTCTCCCTACTTGCATTTGCAAAATCAGCATTATAATATTTATAGCCCAAGATTGCTGTGACTACTAAATCACATATGGTAAGTAAAGATTTTGGCACAGTGCCAGGTGTTTAATAAGTATTCAATAAACTACAGTTATGCAAATAGGAATTGTAACTTCAAAAGATTTCAGTATTAAAATAACTGGTAGAAAGAATAAGGTAAAAACTCAGGAAAGATTAACACTAGAAGAAAATTAATATTCAACCAATAATAATGACTCTTAAGAGTTTAACTACCAATTATGTTCCAAAGCCTTTATACCTGTTTGATGTATAATTGTGATTATCATCTTATGAGACAGATAATATTATCATTCTATTTAAAAGATCAGAATACTTAGTAAAAGAGAGGTAAGTCCCATCACCCAGTATTCAAGGGAAATAGTATGCAGACAAAGTTTTAATTCTGTCTAGGCTGTATTCTACCAGAATACAACTGATATATAAATATATCATTCCCAATATGAAATATCTGAACATTTCCATACTGACCTCTTCAAATTTTGTCATGTTAAATATATGCTTATGATTATATAAAATAATCTAGAGCTTTTATAAATCATCTAAATAAAAGTATGAATATACAATCCACACCCTATGAAGTGAGTTTAAATCAGTGCTGTGTGATTTAAATCACAATTCACAAAAGAATAAATTGAATTATTTTGAATATCTAGAAACAATATAAAGTGATATGCTTAAAATAAAAAAATAATTTTAAAACCAGGGAAAATAATTTTTCTAGAGGAAATTAGACAATGTGGTATCTTGCAAAGAAAAAAAATGGTATAGATTCATTATTATTTCAGATATTCAAGGTGAGGCATCAAGCTACACTAATGCTTTATGAGTTTATAATTCCCTTCCCACAGTAATGCTAAAGGACCAAGAAATGAGATGAGAAATACCCTCCCACTCTAATTCTTCTAAGCTGTGGACCATGTAACAAACCACTGGTATTACGCTGATAACTATGTAGTAAAACTATGTGTTACTGACTGATATTGTTTGGCTGTGACCTCACCCAAATCTCATTTTGAATTGTAGTTCCCATAATGCCCATGTGTCGTGGAAGGAACATGGTGGGAGGTAATTGAATCATGGGGGCGGTTATCCCTATCCTGTTTGCGTAGTAGTGAGTGAGTACTCACGAGATCTGATGGTCTTATAAGCAGCTTTTCCCCCTTTTGCTTGGCACTTCTCCTTGCTGCTGCCATGTGAAGGGTGTGATTGCTTCTCCTTCTGCCATGATTGTTAGTTTCCTGAGGCCTCCCCAGCCATGCCGAACTGTGAGTCAATTAAACCTCTTTTTTTTCTTTTCTTTTCTTTATAAATTACCCAGTCTTGGGTACGTCTATATTAGCGGTGGGAGAACAGACTAATACAGTAAATTGGTACCAGGTAGTGGGGTGTTGCTGTAAAGATACCTAAAAATGTGGAAGCGCCTTTAAAACTGGGTAACAGGCAGAAGTTGAAACAGTTTGGAGGACTCAGAAGAATAAAGATGTGGGAAAGTTTGGAACTTCTTAGAGACTTATTAAATGGCTTTCAACCAAATGTTAATAGTGATATGAACAATGAAGTTCAGGCTGAGGTGGTCTCAGAGGGAGGTAAGGAACCTGTTGGGAACTGGAGCAAAGGTGACTCTTGTTATGCTTTAGCAAGGAGACTGGTGGTATGTTGTCCCTGTCCTAGAGATCTTTGGAACTTTGAACTTGAGAGAGATGATTTAAGGTATCTAGTGGAAGAAATTTCTAAGTAGTAAAGCATTCAGGAGAAAGCAGAGCATAAAGGTTAGGAAAATTTGCAGCATGGTGATGCAATAGAAATGAAAAACCCATTTTCTGGGGAGAAATTCAAGTCTGCTGCAGAAATTTGCATAAGGAACAAGGAGTGGAATGTTACCCACCAAGACAGTGGGGAAAATGTCTCCATGGCATGTTAGAGACCTTCACAGCAGCCCCTCCCCTCCTAGGCCAGAAGGCCTAGAAGGAAAAAATGGTTTTGTGGGCTGGGCTCAGGACTTTCCTGCTGTGTGCAGCCTAGGGACTTGGTGCTCTGCGTCCCAACTGTTTCAACCCCAACCATGGCTAAAAGGGGCCAAGCTACAGCTTGGGCCATTTCTTCAGAGGGTGCAAGCCCCAGCCTTGGTGACTTCCACATGGTGTTGGACCTGCAGGTACCCAGAAGTCAAGAATTGAGATTTGGGAACCTCTACCTAGATTTCAGAGGATGTATGGAAATGCCTGGATATCCAGTCAGAAGTTTACCATAGGGATGGAGCCCTCATAGAGAACCTCTGCTAGGGTAGTGCAGAAGAGAAATGTGGGGTGGGAGCTCCCACACAGAGTCCCCACTGGGGCACTGCCTGGTAGAGCTCTGAGAAGAGGGCCATCGTCCTCCACACTCCAGAATGGTAGATCCACTGACAGCTTAAACAGCATGCCCAGAAAAGTGCAGACACTCAACATCAGCCCCTGAAAGCAGCCAGAAGGGGGCTGTAGACTGCAAAGCCACAGGAGTGGAGCTTCCCAAAGCCATGGGAACCCATCTCTTGCATCAGTGTGATCTGGATGTGACACATGGAGTCAAAAGAGATCATTTTGGAACTTTAAGGTTTAATTGACTGTCCTATTGGATTTTGCAATTGCATGGAACCTGTAGCCCCTTTTTTTTTGGCCAGTTTCTCCCATTTGGAATAGGTGTATTTACCCAATGCCTGTACTCCTATGGTATCTAGGAAGTAACTAACTTGCTTTTCATTTTACAGTCTCATAGGCAGAAGGGAGTTGCCTTGTCTCAGATGAGACTTTGGACTGTGGACTTTTGAGTTAATACTGGAATGAGGTAAGAATTTTGTGGACTGTTGGGAGGGAATGGTTGTGTTTTGAAATGTGAGGACTTGAGATTTGGGAGGGAATGATATGGATTGGCTGTGTCCCCACCCAAATCTTATCTTGTGTTGTAGTTCCCATAATCCCCACATGTCATGGGAGGGACCTGGAGGAAGGTAATTGAATCATGGGGCCACTTACCCCCTTGCTGATGTTCCAATGATAGTGAGTGATTTCTCACAAGATCTGATGATTTTATAATGGGCTTTTGCCCCTTTTTCTTGGCACTTCTGGATGCTTCCATGTGAAGTAGGACATGTTTGCTTCTCCTTATGCCATGATTGTAAGTTTCCTGAGGCCTCCCCAGCCATGCTGAACAGTCAGTCAATTAAATCTATTTCCTTTATAAATTACCTAGTCTTGGGTATGTTGTTATTAGTAGCATGAGAATGAACTAATACAGTGACTTAATCCTTATTCTGTAGGTTTGCTTGCTTGTTTAAGGGATTGGTGTAAGAGCAAATGGAATTAAGGATGCATGCACAATTCATGCAATTCTACTGAAAGTTAGTGTCTATTCAACAGCAGTATTTCTCAAAGTTTGTTCTCCTGACCAGCAGCAACCACATGAACTAAAAATTGCTTAAAATGCCAATTCTCACTTGGAAGCTACTGAATCAGAAACACTAGTGTTGAAGCCCAGATGTTTGTGTTTTAAGGAGACCTCCAGGAAATTTTTATGTATGTTAAAGCTTGAGGACCACTGGTGTTGAAGACATAAGCCAGCTTCCTACTGTCCTCAATTCTTCTCAGCTTATGCCACTAACTTCTATGCATTAATTTACCCAAGTACACTTCCAAAACCAATTCTAACAAGGACAGAAATTTAAGAATTATGCCCTCTAATAAGTCTTATTATATAAACCTAAAGTATTATTTCATTCCATGAGCACTATACACTTGTTTTCTCACTAACTCATTGTCTGTCAGTGATCTCAATCCCCACCTCTTTCCTCAGCCTCTTGGCTTTGACAAACTACTGAGAGACATCTTAGTTTCCTCCACTGACAACTGATTCTTCCTTCAAACTTTTTTCTTGAACCATTATTCTTTCCTTGAATTCTAACCTAATTAATGGATATTCTGCTTCATATTCTGTCTAGATCTAAGCAATCTTGGAAATTCCGTATATTGTTACTTTTTGCTGTTAGTCTACTCTATGTAAGTTACTGAAATTATGGGAATAAATATTTACATTTTATGTGTTCATAGAATTTATAATCTAGAGTGGATGAAAAATATTGATGAAGTAATTTTAAGTATGAACTGTTATGAAGAAGAAGTTTATGAACTAGGAGCATGTTAGGGGATAATAATAAATTCCCCATTAAAAATTCACAAAACGCTACCCTGATGAAGTGCATTTAAGTAGAATCCTAGAGGAGGATGAGCAGGAATTAGTCAGACACAGGTGATGTAAAGAGGAATGTGTGAATTTCCTAACAAAGAAGTATGAAGTATTCAAGCATCTGAAAGAAAGATATTTGGAAGAGAAGTACACAGAGATAAAATGAGGGAGGATACATGGTTGCACAGTACTTGGCTTGGGAGAGATTCAGGACCTTGTAAATCAGATAAAGGGTATTGAACTGAATTCCAAAGACAATAAATAAAGCAACTTATGATATGTGACATGAGGACATTTGCCATAAAGAAATATTGCTCAGAAGATAGCAGATAATGAATTGAAGAGAACAGGAATAAATGTCAGGAAAAGAACCAGGAAGGTATTGGGGTCAAGTGAGCAAAAGAAGATGATAACTTGGGCTAGTATGACAGTATTGAAGTTTGAGTGTTGCAAATACATTTGCAAAATGATTAACTGTTGCTATGGAGAGTCAAGAATAAAAGATGGCTACTATTATATGTAACTTGAAAACCCCAGTATCATATTCTTAATTCAATTTTTGGTGCCATCTATTTCGTTCTAAAAGTGTTTTATGAGATTAATTTTTAAGCTCCTATTCGTGAGTGACAAAATTTGATATTTGTCTTTCTGTGTCTGGCTTATTTCACTTAACAAAATGTCTTCCAGTTTCATTCATGTTGTTGCAAATGGCAGAATTTCATTTTTTATGGCTGAATAATATTCCATTGTGTAAATGTACCACATTTTTTTATCCATTCATCCACTGATGGACACATGTTGAGTCCATGGCTTGGATATTGTGCATAGTGTTACAATAAACATGAGAGTGCAAATATGTTTTTGATACACTGATTTTCTTTCTTTTGGATATATATCATCAGTTGGATTGCTGGATCATACTGGTTCAATTTTTAGTTATTTGGAGAAGCTCCATACTGTGTTCTGTAATAGCTGTACTAATTTACATTTTCACCAACAGTGTAAGAGTATTCCCCTTTCTTAATATCCATGCCAGCATTCATTTTTTTTATGTTTTTGGTAAAAGCCATTTTAACTGGGGTGAGATGACATCTCATACTCATATTGTACTACAAAACTGTAATAACAAAAAACAGCACGGTAGTGGCATTTAAAGAAGACACTTAGAACAACAGAAAAAAAGCAAGAACTTTGAAATAAATTCATGTATTTATACTCAACTCATTTTTGGTCAATGACCCAAGAACATATATTGGGGAAAGGACAGTCTATTCAATAAATAAATGGTGGTTGGAAAACTGAACACTCATATGAAGAAGAATGAAACTAGACCCCTATTTCTTACCATATAAAAAAATCCACTCAAAATAGATTAAAGACTTAAATGTAAGACATGAAAGTAACAAAATTACTAGAATAAATCGTTGGAAAAATGCTCCAACTTCTTAATCTGGGCAAAGATTTCTTGAGTAAGACCTCAAAAGCACAGGCAGCCTAAGCAAAAATATACAAATAGAATCACCAAGCTAAAAAAGGTTATGCATGACAAAGGAAACAACAAAATGAAGAGATAACCTACAGAATGAGAGAAAATATTTGCAAACTATTCAATTGACAAGGAACTAGTAACCAGTACATGTAAGCAACTCAGAAATCTCTACAGCAAAAAACCTCACAAATAATCAATTTAAAAGTGGGCAAAATATCTGAACAGATATTTCTCAAAAGAAGACATACAAATGAGCAACAGGTATATGGAGAAATGTTCAACATCACTAATCATCAGAGAAATGCAAATCAAATTCTTTTATACCATTTGATTTTTTTAAAGCAACAATATGTCTCATTAAATTTTTTATTCAAGGGCTATAAAACTAAAATAACTCTTAATAAATAGTTAAAAACCAAAATTCACAAATGGGACCTAATTAAACTAAAGAGCTTCTGCACAGCAAAAGAAACTATCATCAGAGTGAAAAGGCAACCTACAGAATGGGAGTAAATTTTTGCAATCTATCCATCTGACAAAGGGATAATATCCAGAATCTACAAAGAACTTAAAAAAAATTACAAGGAAAAGACAAACAATCCCATCAAAAAGTGGGCAAAGAATATGAACAGACACTTCTCTAAAAAAGACACTTATGTGGCCAGCAAACATACGAAAAAAAGCTCATTGTCACTGGTCATTAGAGAAATGCAAATCAAAACCACAATGAGATACCATCTCATGCCAGTTAGAATGGCGATCATTAAAAAGTCAGGAAACAACAGATGCTGGAGAGGATGTAGAGAAATAAAAATGCTTTTACACTGTTGGTGGGAGTGTGAATTAGTTCAACCATCGTGGAAGACAGTGTGATGATTCTTCAAGGATCTAGAACCAGAAATACCATTTGGCCTAGCAATTCCATTACTGGGTATATACCCAAAGGATTATAAATCATTCTAGTATAAAGACATGTGCACACATATGTTTACTGCAGCACTGTTCACAATAGCAAAGACTTGGAACCAATCCAAATGTCCATCAATGATAGACTGGATAAAGAAAATGTGTCACATATACACCATGGAATACTATGCAGCCATAAAAAGAGGATGAGTTCATGTCCTTTGCAGGGACATGGATGAAGCTGGAAACCATCATTCTCAGCAAACTAACACAAGAACAGAAAACCAAACACCACATGTTCTCACTCATGTGTGGGAGTTGAACAATGAAGACACATGGACATGGGGAGGCGAACATCACACACCATGGCCTTTTGGGGGATGAGGGGTTAGGGGAGGGATAGCATTAGGAGAAATACCTAATGTAGATGACGGTTTGATGGGTGCAGCAAAACACCATGACATGTGTATACCTATATAACAAAACTGCACGTTCTGCACATGTATCTCAGAACTTAAAATGTAATAATAAAATAAGAGTTAAAAATTGTTCACTTATCATTTTCATCATAATTGGCATTTTTAAAAATCACAGATATTCTCAATATTATACATATTAATATTTTGCATTTGAAGTGAAAAGCTGAGGTTCTTCAAAGTACAGAATGTATCTGTGGTGTATTGATGAGAAAAATCACTTGAAATCATAAACAAATGTCTTGCTACAATTTGTAATATCAGAAAAATTTTGTATTTAATTTTAATACTTAATTCAAAAATTTGTGTTGTCCTCTTTTTCTTGAAAGCCAGCTTAAATCATCTCAGAATAGTATTTTTTCAGATCTTTTGCCAGTTTCCTTACAGAATAAAATGAGAAGTAAACTCAGTGGCCACAGTTTATATATCCAGTTACCAGTAATTTTATTAAGACTTGATCAAGATAAAGATATATAATTTTAACAACTATCTTCTATGATTAACTTTGATTCACATTTCCATTATACTTATTCATGCTATATAAATGGTAGTCTATATATATTGATGCCTATGCATTTTTGTATTCTACTCACTAAACAATCACTAACAAATGAAAATCTCTTATTTTGTGTCATGAATTTTCAATATTAAATTGAAGAAAATATCATCAAGCTACAGTTTAACTTTGAGATGTAAAGAGCTGAAAACAAAAGGAAAAGCATTGCTTCCTCAATTTTAAAAAGGAAGTAGATTGGAAAAACTGAAATTCAGTATTTTTCATAATCCTAGTAGAGGACTGAGGTTGCAGAGAAATGAATAATCCAAAATCTGGAGAGAGATGAACACCTGCAGGAAGAAACAAAACTAGAGTGACTAGAACATTTGCTTACCTGTCGTAGAGGCCACAGAACACCATAGAAACTAGTAAGAAGCTGCAGCTTGGAATTTTAAGAATTCCTTAAAGTCAAGTGTGGGCTAGCATGAGAGTGTGAAGATACTGCAGGTTACAGAAAGAAAGTCAACGCCTCCCTTTCATGTTTTTCCTTCAAGAAATTCTCTAAGAGCTCACAGGCTCACAGGGAAGAGAAGAGAGAGTCCAGAGAAAGCTTTCTTTGTGGTGATGACTCAGGGGAAACGGAACGGTGGACAGTGCTGAAATTCCATCCATGATCATTTTGCTATATCCCCTAAGGAATCAGATCTATAATCTTCAAGGAAATAGCCAAAAACTCAAAAATAAACAAATAAATCAAAAAACAAAGAAACAAAACCCTCAAATCTACAACCTGTGTGCACCGGTGGAAACTCACTGCCAGTTGGGAATAGAAATAAAAAAAAAAGAAAAAGCGCCACTTTGGAAGAGGGGCAGGAATACATGCCAGCATTGCATCTGTAAGTGGACAGGAACATTTGTGAAGGCCACACGCAAGATTCAGGTTTACAGTACTTTCCTAAAACTATGGCTTAATTAAAAAATTTCATTCCACTACCCACCACCCACACAATAAAAAGCACCAAGGAAAACTAACAATAAAATACATAGAGAGAAGGGATTATTCTCTCTGGGAAGCAGCACAAGGGAAGACCCGAGGTCAAGTGAGCAGTACATTCATTCACCAGATGAATTTGAGGTCTCTGGTCCTCTGTCACCATAGCAACAATAAACTCCAAACCCACCCCAATTTCCTACTAGAGGAAAACAAACCCCTATACTAAAGGCCTACTACAGAAAAACATATAGGCATCTCAAAATATTTTCTTTGTTATCTACCATTCTATATAACAAGTATAGTTTTCAACAACAACAACATATAAAAACTCAAAACACACAAAAATCACAGTCTGAAAATATAAAGCAATAATCAGAACCAGATTCAGATATGTTACAAATATTGTTATGATCAGACAAAGTCAAAAAATCACAATGATAGATACATTGAGGCCTCTATTGGACAAGGCAGATATATGATAAAGCAGATAGGTAATTTTATCAGAGAGGGAAACTGTAAGAAAAACCAGTGGAAAATATTAGAAGTTTAAAACACAGTAACATAAGTAAAGAGAGTCTTCAACAGGCTCATCAGCAGACTTGACTCAGAGAAGAAAAGAATCAGTGAATCTGAAAATAAGTTAATAAAAATTACCCAATTTGAATGCAAAAATAAAAAAGAAAACAAACAAAAACAGAACTGAGTATTCAAAAGTTGTAGGACAATGATGAATTAAAATAGAGACATAATAGATACAGTAAATAAAACCAAACGCTGATTATTTGAAAAGATCAAGAAAGTGGATGAACCTCTAGTCAGGCAAACCCAAAAAAGAATGAGAGAAGACACAAACTGCCAATATCAGGAAGAAATGAGTGGACTTCACTACCAAATCCATCGACAGTGAAAGTATAGTGAAAGGATGCTATGGATAAGTCTATGCCTATAAAGTTAATAATTCATATAAAAGACAGGAATTAGCAAAAATTAATCAGGAAGAAATAGATCATTGGGTTAGTCATATGTGTATGACTTCAAATACTTATATATATGTGTATACATATGGGTGTATATATATGTATATGTGTGTATGTATATGTATGTGTGTGTGTATATATATATGTATATATATATTCAATTTGAATATGCATTTGAATTTGAAGTAAACACCTTCCAAAAAGGAAACTAGGACTATATACTTACACTGGTGAATTTTATCCAACAGTAATATAAGAAATAATGTCAATTCTACATGATATTTTCCAGAATGAATCAGAGAATGAAATACTTACCAACTTATTTTATAATGTCAGATATGCCTTAATATCAAAAAGAGACAAAGATAAAAAAAGATATAAAACAATAATCACCATGGACATATATACAAAAATGCTCAAAAAAATACAAGTAAATAAAATTCAGCAATATATTTTTAAAGCGGATAATAAATTACAATCAAATGGGGTTCAGCATAAAAAAGTAAGGCTGTTTCAACTGAATTGTATGTCTCAAAATTTAGATGTTGAGTTTCTAACTCCCAAAGTAAATGTATTTGGAAATAGGACCTTTAAAGAGGTCATTAAGATTCAGTGAGGTTATAAGGGTAGTACCCTAATCCACTATGGGCAGTGACGTATAAAACTAGGAAGAGGCGGTACAAGGGATGCACACACACACACACACACAGAGAGAGAGAGAGAGAGAGACAGAGAGAGTAAAGGCTATGTGAAAATAGCAAGAAGATGGCTACCTGCTAGCTAAGGAAAGAGACCTCAATAAAAACCAAGCCTGTCAATACCTTGATCTTGGACTTCCAGCAACCAGAATTGTGAGAAAATAAATTTCTATTGTTTACTCTCTGTGCTGTCTTGCCATAGCAACTCTAGCAATTCATCGTATTAGCTGACAAAGTCAAACAACAGCAAAAACCACAAACTCATGATTATCACAATAGAGGTAGGAAAAGCATTTGCTAAATTCACGTTTATTCATAACAAAAAGTGTAAAACTCTTGCAAGTCTAAGAATCAAAGGTAACTTCTTTTTACAAAAGGAACATATTTTTCCTATATGGTAAGGATCATCTATAAAAACCTACAGCTAACATTACATTTAATGGTAATACACTAAATGCTTCACCCCAAGTTAAAGATACTCTCCCTCATCACTTTTATTCAACGTCACACTGAAAGTTTTGGCCAATGCAATAAGCGAAGAATAAAAAACATAGTTTACAAGTAAAGAAATAAAACTATCTGTATTTGCAGAGGGCATAATTTTCCATATAAAAAAATCCAAATGTTATTTTAGCAAGCCCCTCTAACCAAGAGTTGAGTTTATCAAGGTCATAAGTTACAAGGTCAATACATAAATATCAACTGGATTTCAATATACCAGCAATAAACAAATGTAGTTACAATTTTAAAAAATTCATTTATTATAGCCCCCAAAAGTGAAGCATTTAGATATATCTAACAATATTTGCTAGACCTGTAAGTTGACAATTACAAAACACTGATGAGAGAAGTCAAAGGAAAGCTATAATCGGAGATACATGCAATGTTTCTGATTTGGAAAGCTCAATATTGATAATATACCAATTCTCCCTAACTTTGATCTATATATTCAATACAAATTCCCCCCAAATCCTTTTGTTTCACAGTTTGTTGCCCGTAATCCCAGCTACTCAGGAGGCTGCGGTGGAAGAATTGCCTGAACCCGGGAGGCAGAGGCTGCAGTGAGCAGAGATCATGCCATTGCTAATATTGTTATAAGCTAATTTTAAAATGTATATGAAAAGATGAAAGAAGAATGGTCAAAACAATTTTAGCAAAGAACATATTTGGGACACTAATATTTTCCAATTTCCAGGCTCACTATAAAGCTACAGTAATCTTGACAGTATGGTCTTTGCGAATATACAGACACATAGATTAATGGAACAGAATAGATAGCCCAGAAATAGACTGACAAAACTTAGACAATTGAATTTTGATTAAGATATTAAAACAGTTTGATGGAGAAAAGTATTTTCAACAAGTTGCAAACCAATAGAATGTTCATATGCAACCTAATAAACCTCAACACATGTCTCACACTTTACAGCAATGTTATCTCAAATAAATCACAGCTCTCAATGTAAAATTTAAACCTATAACACTAGTAAAAGAAAATGTAGGACAAAATATGCATGACCTTGGATTTGGCAATTAGATTTTAAATACGATGGCAAAATCACAATTCATGAAAGAAGCTGATAAACTAGACTTCATTAAATTAAAATTTTTGCTCTGCAAAATAAGCTATTAAGAGAATAGCTTACATATTGGGAGCAAATATTTCCCAATAACATATAGAAGATTCATATAAAATATTAAGAACATTTATAACTCAACAATAACACACTTAAAAATAGCAGATCTGATAAATACTCCTTCAAAAAGATATACATATAAGGATATGAAAAACATGCTTAACATTAATAGTTGTGAGGAAAACGTAAATTAATACCACAATGATATACCACAAGACATCTATTATAATGACTTAAAAAAAAAGAAGACAAATATCAATATGAAATTATGGAAATAACACAACGCAGAACATCATGAATTCTCATTTTTTCTTGCTGGGAATGCAATATAGTATAGACACTTTGGAAAAGAGGTTCAGGGCTTCTTGAAATATTAAACGTATACCTACCAAAAACCCCAGCTATCCCACTCCTTTGTATTTACCCTAAGTGAATCAAAATTTTCTAATCATACAAAACCTGCACATGAAAGTTTGTAGCAGCTTTGTTGATAATGGTAAAAGCCTGGGAATAAGAAGATGTCAACATGTAAATGAAACGTAAACGACTGTACAGTCATAAAATGAATTACTACACTGACCTAAGAAAGTGATCAGTTGGTTCACACAATTACATAAATTAACCTTTCACACATTTTGCTACTTGAAAGAAGCCAGACCCCAAAGGCTACATATTGTATTATTCCAATATATATGGCATTCTGGAAAAGGTAAAACAACAGGGATGGAAGACTAAACAGTTGTTTCCAGGAGTTGCCACGGGCAAGACTGAGTAAAAGGGAATCCCACATGACAATTTTCAGATGATGGAACTGTTCTGTGTTATACTTCAGTTCTGGATATATGACTCTGAGCATTTTCAAAACCAGTAAAACAACACAACACAAATAATACATTTTATGCAAATTATGAGAAAAGTCAAACAAGATACCAATTCAAGTATGGAATTTAAGCGGTGACAAGTTAATCTAACCCTATTACAAATATAACTACAACTTCAATGGAATCTGAAAAAAGTACAGTCTTGTGCTGCATAACAATATTCTGATCAACAATGGATGACATATACAATGTGGTGGTCCCATAAGATCATAATATTGTATTTTTATTGTTTCTTTTTTTTTTTTTGAGAGAAGGTCTTGCTATGTTGCCCAGGCTAGAGTGCAGTGAATATTGGCTATTCACAGGTGCAATCATAGTGCTCTATTCCTCCAAGCTCCTGGGCTCAAATGATTCTCTTGCTTCAGCCACCTGAGTAGTTGCGATTTTTATGGTACCTTTTCTAAGTTTAGACATGTTTAGATACAAAATTACTTATCGTGTGTTGCAATTGCCCACAATATTCAGTACAGTAATATGCTGTACAGGTTTGTAGCCTAGGAACAATAGCTTATACCATGTAGCCTGGGTGTGCAGTAGGCTATACCATCTAGGTTTGTGTAGTACCCTCTATAATGTCTGCACAATGGTATCTCCTAAGAACACATTTCTTAGAACTTATCCCTGTGGTTAAAGAACACGTGACTGTATATATATTAGCACTCTCTTTCCAAGAGAGAAGCTGACCTCCAATCAATATAACTCAAAAACAGTTTTGACTAGAAAACAAGGTTAAAGACAAATTACAAACGAACAAAATCTATGACACACCTGTAATATAACATTATACTCTAGTTAGTAAAGATGTTTCACATAGAATTTCATTTAGCAATTGCCTGGGCACGGTGGCTCATGCCTGTAATCCCAGCACTTTGAAAGGCCAAGGCGGGTGGATCACCTAAGGTCAGGAGTTCAAGACCAGCCTGGACAACATGGTGAAACCCTGTCTCTAAAAAAATTAGCTTGGCATGATGGCGGGTGCCTGTAATCCCACCTACTGGGGAGGCTGAGGTGGAAGAATCACTTGAACCCAGGAGGTGGAGGTTGCAGTGAGCTGTGATCATGCCATTGCCCTCCAGCCTGGGCGACAGAGCGAGACTCTGTCTCAAAAAAAAAGAAAAAAAAATTCATTTAGCAATTATGAAATTAATTTGGATGCATGTTAGAGTTCATCAAGTAGTTAAATGCATTGTAGATGATGGGAAATAGGTTTCTTATTGCTAGGGAAATAAGTTACTTTCAAATATAGTAAATTCTCATGTAATGCCTTCCACAGATTCTTGAAAACTGACTTTAAGCGAAGCAACATATAACCAAACCAATTTTACCATAGCTCAATTGATATAAACAAGAATTCAGTGCTTGTAGCATATTTCTGGTCATAAAACCATCATCAAACTTCTAAATAAAGACTGAATCACTTCTAATATTAAACATTAAAACAAATGTGAACCATATATACATTTAAGAAATATAAATAAAGTAATTATTTACCTGCTTATTCAGTTAAGGGTTAGAGGTGGCTAAAACCCTTCCCAGCAGCCCAGGGTGTGAGGCAGAAACCAGCCCTGAACAGTACACCATTTCCTCCCAGGGCTCACTCTCACACACACCCCCACACTCACTCAGACTGGAACCATTTAGGCATGAAAATTCACCTAGTATGCACGTCTTGGATTGGGATTGGGATGTGCATGCTAAGTAAATTTGCTTGCCTAAATGTGGGAGGAAACCATAGTACCCAGAGAAAAGCCCTGTAAACATGAGGAGAACATGCAAACTCCATAGATAGTGGTCCCAGCTGGGAATAATTTTTTTTTTTCTCATCCACATTGTAACAAAATGGTATTGAATGAGACAACATTATTCACAGACCTGTTGTACATAAATAAGCAAGGAGGGAGATATGAACAAACCCCATGGTTTGTGTTAAGGTGGGATATATTAATATGAGCTCATGTTTACTTTAATATATATACAGATTAAATAAATGCAGAAATAAATATACATATGGGTGTATACATATGAAACAATACATAAATATATTTGCTAGCTTTTTCACATAAAGGATCTCGAACTTGTGACTCTGTAAGATTGGATTTTAAATTCCAATCTCCAAGTAAAGGACCAGGGTTCTTTTTAGCACTGACTGATTCTAGGGCTGTAACTCAGAAAATATAAGATGAGCCTAGCACCTTAGGCTGCCAACCATAACAAAGTGTTAGAAACAAAGTCTGAGTACATGTCAAAAGGATATCAAAAGGATATGGCGACCAACCAGAAACAGCTCCTAACATCCAAAGGTAGAATATTTGAACAGCAAAATAAATTATTATAATATTGGATTATAATTCAAAGAATGAAATAAATATCAATGAGTATATACTAATATAAATAAAGGATCAATTAAAAAAATAAGTGGCAGAAAAGGGACAAACCTCATTTACAGATGGATTCGAAATACAAAATGTAGGAGAAATGAGGAAAATAATAGAAAATCATTATTTGAACACCACAGTTATAATTGCTGCAGACAAGACCAAATGATGAATGATATAATTAGCGGGCAAACATTAAGGAGAAGAATAATTTCATAGCCTCAAAGTATCTCCTACCAAATATTTCTTAATTATTGTAGTTGTTTAACTTATGCCCATAAAGTCCTTGATATTTCTGCCTCCAAGAGGTGGAGACTAATTTCCCTTCCCTTGAAAGCATGTCAGAATGAATGACTGACTTGTTTCTAACAAGGAGTATATGGAAAGGAAAAAAAATGAGCAACATCTCAGTGGAGAAACCTAGCAGACATCACCTTAACCATGTGATCAAGGTTAAAATGACCAGCAATAAGTCATGTTGATATCATATACTTTTGATGTGATGCAATAAAAAGGGCATTTCCCCTCTACAGTAATATTAAACATCCTTAATCCCAGTTTGATCATGAGAAAATATCAAACTCAAATTGAGTGATGTTCTATAAAATACCTCACCACGACTCTTCAAAAGTGTCAATGTTATGAAGGACAAGTTAGGACTGAGAAACTTTCATAGATACGAAGGAAACTAAGAAGAAATTATGACCAACTGCAATGTGGTATCCTGGATTGTATGCTGGGATATAAAAAGGACATTAGTGAAGAAAAAGTGAAGAACTGCAATCTGAATAAATATATAATGCAGTTAATAGCATTATTCTGATATTATTTTTCTAGTTTTGATAAATATATTATAGCTATGTGAGATGGAAGCTGTGGTGTATGGAAATTGTATCATCTTTGCAAATCTTTAAAATTATTTTAAAATAACTATTTAAAATTTAAGTTATTGAGCTTGTTTTCTTTTTATAGCTTCTACTCATATGTCTAGTGCTGATTCACACTTTCAATATTAGCCATTTTCAATAACTCAAAATTGATAGATCTGTTAAGACACATAGGGGATATTAACTTTTCTTCTATCTTATATGCCATTGATAATATATGATGACCAAGAGTGCCATTTGACAGAATAATTCTGCCAACAGCTAATTCTGTTTTCCTTCTGAGCAATTGTTTTCTCTCTGTTTATTTGCCTGGTTTTCCAAGAGCCTTGGCAGTTTATCTTATACCAGTTAATGCTACATATGAAGAGCAACTTTGAATAATTCCTACATAGTTGGGTCCTTCTTCTGTGTGTACTGACAAAATTCTTTTTTTTAACTAGAAAGTACTGATTTGTAATTTTGGAGAGAAAAATAAAATAATTTGGCTTACTAGAGCGATTAGCATGTTTAATTTGAAAAGCCTGGCAATCTGTGATGATTTAGCACGACTTTTTTAGAAAATTTCCATAAAAAAACAATGCAATTTGGATTGGAGCAAACTAATCACTGCTCCAAATATATATATATATATATATATATATATATATATATATATATATATATATATATATAAAGTTTATCTTTCTGATATTTATATAAATGCACTAAACTTTGAGACTCTTATCTAGCACAAACAGACTTAACATTATATATGTTTAGAGGGGCCTTGTTCACCATGATTACAACTTGATTCTGCACTTTCACTTTCACACTTTCACTTTCTCAGTGAACTGCTTTTAAACTATACATACATCATTGTGAATTTGTGGTTATATTAGTTTTCTATTACTGTGTAACAAATTAGGACCAATTTAAGGGCTTTAAAATACCCACAATTATTTCACAGTTTCCATGGGTCAGAAGTCAGGACACAACTTGTCTGAGTCTTTTATTCAGGGTCCCACAAAGTTTCAATTAAGGTATTAGCTGGGCTGCATTTTCATCTGGAGGTTATACTGGGAATAATCTGTTTCAAGCTTACTCAGACTGTTGACAGAATCTGTTTTCTTGTTATGGTATGACCAAGGGCTCTAGCTTTCTGCGATCTGCAGATTGTTCTGAGTTCCCACAGGTATGTACAGTTCTGAGACTTTCCACAGTTCCTTGCCACACAGGTTTCTCACACACAGTCACTTTCTTTATCAAGCTTGCAAGTAGAGACTTATATAAGAGAAGTCTTATATAATGTCACTTAAACATGGGAGTGACATCCTGTCACCTTTGCCATATTATACTGGTTAAGTCCAAGTCACAGTCCCCATTCATACTCAAGAGTATGTGATTGCATAAATGCATAAACACCAGGAGATAGGGATCATTGGGAATCACCACAGTACCTGTGGCTACAGTGATGGAATAGAACAAATATCACAAAATGTAAATTTAATAAATGAAACTATCAGAATACAAAGCCTATAAAATTATGTTCACTGAGAATTATTTTGCCCTATCAACTACATATTAGCTTAAAATTTCTTGTAAAACAGTGCCAACTTTCATAAATTTCATGATTATTTAATAACATAATGAAAATGTATGTATAATTATAAATAAATTTATATATCCTGTGTATCTCATGCAAGTTTATTTCTCTCTAAAGCCACAAAATGCTTGCCAGCCATTTAATATGTCACCCAAGACGACCAGTATTCAGCAGACTATTCTTTAAGAAACGGCACCTGAAGTAAAGATCTCTTCTTAGAAAACAGTCCATATTATCTCATCAAGGTAAAATGTGGATTTGGGGCATTTCCCACACTCTAATTGCAAAGTGCTCTTTTAATATATACATTTTTCTCTTTAATAAATTCCTGTGGAGCAATACTACCATCAATGTGAAAATTACAGTGAAACTGTTACAACAAGCAACAGCTCACTGTCTTCTTGTAAAACAATTTATGTGCTAGGGTGAACACATAACTTTGTTTGATGCATTGGAGCTTCAGCTAAATTGTGAAAATGTAAAGAGGTGAATAAGACAATATCCCAGAATTTCTGGCTATTTAAAGTATGTACTATAAAAGTGTGCCTTAGCAACTGTTTATGTAAAAGATGGATAAGAAGTGATCTTCCCCCAAAAGATAATCATTTATTTTGAAGATGATTTGAAGAAGATTTATTTAAATCAATTGCAAGGAGAAAATATCATTTTAAGTACAGCTTCAAAAACAAGGAAAGGAATATATTACACTTGTAGCTCTTTTGCTAAAGACTTGTTATTTTTGTGCTAACTGGCCCATTTCAAATACAGACATTCAGTCAGCTGGAGTACATTCATTGTCTTCATGTTATTTCATTTTCTTGGCCTACAAAGCCCAAGTATGCTATTAAGCTAAAGAAAAAAAATAGATACAAAAGGTATTAAAAATATAAATGGAGTACTTCAAATATGGCACTATAATAAGTAAGTAATATGTCTCCTTTTATAGTCGTAGATGAAGCACAGAAAGTGATTACAGCCACAGATTTATGAAATGTTGCAGGAAGCTTTTTTTTGTAAGTTTTTAAGGTATAGTTTTTCATTTGCCTTGAACTAACTACTATTTCAGGTGGCAAAACTAACACAAAACACACTATTTTATTTCTATAGCTTAACTTTCAAATAGTATAAAAGTGTATTCCTCTGAAATGCATGTTTGCTTTATTTGTATCCACAACATTATCAAGACATTGATAACTTCTCTAGATATGCTTAAATCACATCATATAAAGACTTTTTTTACTTGTTCTTTTACTTTTGCTCACATTCAATAGCTATATACAGTAAATCTCATCTGTGTCAGAAAGTAAGAAAATTATACATTAATGCTATATAATAGGTTTATAGTTAAATTTCACAAAGGCATAGTCTTTCATTGTTAGCTTTCCCTTTAGCAATATTTCCCTGTGATTAAGTTAGAGATCTGATAACCTCCTTATGCAGTATATGCCCAATAGCAATATAAAACTCAATATCTGCTGCATTATTTTATAGACTTACTCCATTTTACATGTAAAATGAATACAAAATAAATAGATAAACCAAATATGAAATATAAAACATGGACATTTATCACTTGCAAATATGAATGGAAAGAACAAAATAAATAGAAAACATTTGTGATGGCAATATAAGAATATGGAGAATAGATAAATCCACAACTTTGTATTTTTTATGTTTTAGATGGGCTTTGTTAAAGCTCCGATCCTCTGAAATGGGAAGTGTGCATTGTATAATCATCTTCATTAATATTCATTCCAAGTGCAGGCTAGGTATCATATTCATTTATTTTTTTTTTCCTGAAAACTTCAGCGTTACATCGTTCAAACAAAAATCAAGGAATTAGTACAACTAAAGCTACATCTGGCTGATTTTCTTAGTTTATGGGAGAATAGCGTGGTTGCAGATTATTATTGATTTGAAAGTGATTAATTAGCCACTGAAAAATTGACTTTCTACTCATGTTAGATACCATTATTGGGCTTTTTTCCAAGATGGCAGATTAGAGGTTTTTAGCATGCCTCAGCCACTTAGAAATAGCTACATAGTGCATAAAAATCAACTCTGTTAGCTTTAATTCAATGAGGAAAATGGGAATCCACTGCAATAATGAATGATACTCTAGGTCTCAAAGAGAAGGCAGGCAAATAGCTCCCATGACGGCATCCTGCTGATAAAAGTGAATAAAACCCCAGTACATGAGAGAGACAGACAGCCTCCCTCTATGACTCACCTTTCCACTGGGGATTAGAGCAAACCAAACTGAGGGAGAGCACTTTGTTTTACCCAAGCCCTAGAGCTAACACGGAGAAGCTTGGAGATGTAGTGAGGCAAAGACACCAGGAAAAGCTGCAGGTGTTTTCCCAGAACTGGGACAGAGAGAAGGATGCCATTTTTTTTTCTTTCTTTCTTTTTTTTTTTTTTTTTTTTTTTTTTTTGAGACAGAATCTTGCTGTGTTGCCCAGGCAGGAGTGCAGTGGCACAATCTTGGCTCACTGCAAGCTCCAGCTCCCAGGTTCACGCCATTCTCCTGCCTCAGCCTCCCAAGTAGTTGGGACTACAGACGCCCATCAACATGCCTGGCTAATTTTTTGTATTTTTTTTTAATAGAGACAGGGTTTCACTGTGTTAGCCAGGATGGTCTCGATCTCCTGACCTTGGATTACAGGCGTGAGCCACTGCGCCTGGCCAAGGACACCATTTTTAATACAGGCTCATACAAAATCAACCATTCTTTGGTCTGCAGCATGACAGCACAGACATTTTAGTCTTTGCGCAGAGATTGAGTACCTGCCCTGGAGTAGAATAGAGGCCTCCACAGCCAGAACTATGGAAAGTGCCTCAGCAGCAGGAACTGGAATTGTAATTTCCCCTGTCATTGGCCTGGGGCAGGAGAAGAGCTGCTACAGCTACAGTATCTCCTATATGATGGGAGTTGCAGCCAGGGCCAGCTTGGTAACTTGGAACTGGTCTGCGTGTGTCACTTCTTTGTGCCCCAGCTGGCTTCCCTGAAACCACAGTGCAGGGTCCAGCAGCCAGAATACCCACACCATTCCTGTGCAGAGATCCTGTGCAAGGAGGTCTCTCTGCTTCATGTCTAGGCAGATTCTCCAGACACTTGGAGCACCCACTTGCCTTGTTCAGCAGCCTGACCCACACCACCATTTCTGGACACAAATCATGGTATGGTGAGGCCATCTCCACTTCATGCCCAGGAAGATCTCCAGACATGTGGAGCACCCACTCACCTGGATCAGCAGCCTGAACTGCCCCACCTTTCCTGTGCAGAGATTTGGGTGCACTAGGTGCCTCTCTGCTTCCCACTCAGGCAGATCTCCAGGCATTCAGAACAACCGCTTGCCTAGTTCTGCAGCCTGAGTCACCCAACCCCTCCTTTGCAGAGGTGTTGGTTCAAAGGGGCCCTCTCTGCTCCATGCCCAGGTAGATCTCCAGGCATTCAGAGCACCTCCTTGCCTGGAACAGCAGCTGGAGCCAGCCCACCCATCCTGTGCAGAGCTTTATCAATGGACTGAACCAAGCAGAATTAAAAAAAAAAAATCAGAGCTTGAAAGCTAGTCTTTCTAAGTAACCCAGTCAAACAAAAATAAAGAAAAACAATTTTAATAAATGAAAAAGTTTTCAAGAAATATGGGATTATGTAAAGTGACCAAACCTATATAAATAATTGGCATTCCTGAGGGAGACAGAGAAGAAGAAAACAACCTACAAATAATATTTGAGGGAATAATTCAACAAAATGTCCCTGCTCTTGCTAGAGAGGTAGATAAGCAGATACAAGAAAAACAGAGAACACTTGTGAGATACTCTGCAAAACAAACATCACCAAGGCATATAGTCACCAGACTGTTCAAGGTCAATGCTAAAAAAAATTCTTAAAGGAGGCTACAGAAAAAGGCCAGATAACATACAAAAGGAACCCGCTCAAGCTAACGGTGGACTTCTCAGCAGAAACTGTACAAGACAGGGGAGATTGGTGGCCTATTTTCAGCATTATTAAAGAAAATAACTTTCAACCAAGAATTTCATATCCCACCAAAGTAAGTTTCATAAGCAAAAGAGAAATACAATCTTTTGCAGAAAAGCAAGTGCTAAAAAAATTCATTACCACTTGATCAATCTTGTAAGATATCCTTAAGGGGGTTCTAAACATGGAAATAAAAGAATGATGCCTGCTACCACAAAAACATACTTAAGTACTTTGCCCACAGACCTTATGAAGCAACCACATAAAAGACACTAAGCAACCAGCTAACAGCTTAATGATATGATCAAAACCTCATATATCAATATTAACCTTGCGTATAAATGGTCTAGACAGTCCAGTTAAAAGGCACGCCATGGCAAGTTGGGAGAGAAAACAAACAAACAAACAAAACAAGAAACAACAAGACCCAGCTGTCTGCTGGCTTCAAGAGACCCAGCTCATGTGTAACAACACCCATTGGCTCAAAGTAAGAGGTTTAAGAAAGATCTATAGTGCAAATAGAACACAAAAGAGAGCAGGGATCACTATTCTTATATCATATAAAACAGGTTTTAAACCAATAATAAAGGACAAAGAAGAGCATTACATAATGATAAAGAATTCAATTCAATAAGAAGACTTAACTATCCTAAATATGTACACACCCAACTTTGGAGCACCCAAATGCATAAAACAAGTATTTCTAGACCTACAAAAATAGTTAGGAAGCCACACAATAATAGTGAGGGATTTCAACACCCTACTGACAGTGTTAAACAGATAATCGGGGCAGAAAACTACCAAAGAAATTCTGGACATAAATTTGACACTTGACCAGTTGGATGTAACAGACAACTACAGAATACTCCACCCATCAATTGCAGAATATAAACCATTCTCATCTGCACACAGAATTGGCTCCAGGATTGATCACATGCTTAGCTATAAAGCAATTCTCAATAAATTTTTAAAAAACCAAAATTATACCAACCATTCTCTTGGGTCATGGTGGAATAAAAATGGAAATCAATATCAAGAATATCTCTCAAAATGACACAATTATATAGAAATTAAACAACTTGCTTCTGAGTGACTTTTGGGTAAACAACAAAATCAAGGCAGAAATCAAAGAAATTCTTTGAAATAAATTAAAATGGACACCACATACAAAAATCACTGTGATGCAGCCAGAGCGGTGTTAAGAGGAAAGATTATAACGTTAAATGACCATGTCAAAAAGTTAGAAAGAACTTAAATTAACAATTTAACATGACCCCTAGAGGAAATACAAAAATAACACTAACCACACATGTAGCAGGAGAAAGTAAATAACTAAAATCAGAGCAGAACTGATTGAAACTGAGACTCCATAATCCATACAAAGAATCAAAGAAAGGTTGACCACTAGCTAGATTAACAAAGAAAAAAGAGAGATAATCCAAATAACCATAATCAGAAAAGACAAAGGTGGCATTATAACAAATCCCACAGAAATACAAAGATCCTCAAAAAGTATTATGAAACCTCTATGCACACAAACTAGAAAATCTAGAGGAAATGGATAAATTCCTGGAAACACACATTCTCCCAAGATTTAATCAGGAAGAAATCTAAACCCTGAACAGACTAATATCAAGTTTCAAAATAGAATAAGTAATTAGAAAACAAAAACATAAACAAAACAAGCCCCAGACCAGCTGAATTCTAATAGACATGCAAAGAAGAGTTGTTACCAATCCTACTGAAACTATTCCAAAAATCTGAGGAGGAGGGACTCCTGCCTAACTCATTCTACAAAGCCAGCATCACCCTAATACCAAAACCTAACAAAGACCAATGAAAAAAGAAAAGTACAGGCCAATATCCCTGATGAACATAGACTCAAAGATCCTCAACAAAATACTAACAAAACAAATCCAACAGCCCATCAAAATGTTAATTCACGATGATCAAGTAAAATTCATTCCTGGAATGCAAAGTTTGTTCAAAATATGCAAATAAATAAATGGGATTCAACATATAAACAGAATTAAAAACATGAACTATATGATCATCTCAACAGATGCAGAAAAGCTTTTGATAAAATCCAACATCCCCTTATAATAAAAAACCATCAAAAAATTAGGCATTGAAAGAACATACTTCGAAATAATAAGACCCAACTATAACAAACCCCCAGCCAATATTGTACTGTGCAGGCAAAAACTGGAAGTATTCCCCTTTAAAGCCAGAGCAAGATGAGGATGCCCAATCTCACCACTCCTATTCAACATAGTACTAGAAGTGCTAACCAGAGCAATCAGGCAAGAGAAAAAAAATGTAAGGCATCCAAGACAGGAAGTCAAATTATCCCTCTTTACTGATAATATGTGTCTATAACTAAAAAACCCTAAAGACTGCATCAAAAGGTTCCTGGAACTAATAAACTTCAATAAAGTTTCAGGATACAAAATTAGTGTACAAAAATCAGTAGCATTTCTATATACCAGTATTTTCAAGCTGAGAGCCAAAGCAAGAACACAATCTCATTTATAATAGCCTCAAAACAAACAAATAAACAAAAACCTAGGAATACATCTAAACCAAAAAGGTAAAGTTTCTCTACAAGGAAATCTACAAAACCTTGCTCAAAGACATTATAAATGATACAAACAAATGGAAAAACATTCCATGCTCATGGATTGGAAGAATCAATATAACATGGTCATACTGCCCAAAGCAATCTGCAGATTCAACACGATTCCTATCAAACTGCTAACTTCATTTTTCACAGAACTAGAAAAAAAACTATTATAAAATTCATATAGAACTGAAAAAGATCCCAAGTAGCTATCTTAAGCTAAAAGAACAAAGCCAGAGTCATCACATTATCTGACTTCAAGCTATAGTATAATACTATAGTAACCAAAACAGCATGGTACTAGTACAAATACAGACACATAAATCAGAATACAGAACCCAGAAATAAAGCTGCACACCTACAGCCATCTGATCTTTAAGAAAGTCGGCAAAAATAAGCAACAGTAAAGGACTCCTTATTCAATGAGCAGTACTGGGATAGCTGGTTAGTCATATGCAGAAGAGTAAAAATAAACCCCTACCTTTCACAATATACAAAAAACAAAAAACAGTACGGGATGGATTAAGATTTAAATGTAAGACCTCAAACTGTAAGAATCCTAGAAGAAGGAAACACCATCCTGGACATTGTCCTTGGGAAAGAATTTATAACTAGGCCCTCAAAAGCAATTGCAACAAAACCAAAATTGACAAGTGGGACCTAATTAAAATAAAGAGCTTCTGCACCAGAAAAGAAACTATGAACAGAGTAAACAGACAGCCCACAGACTGGAATAAAATATTCAAAAACTATGCATCTGAGGTCTAAATCCAGAATCTATAAGGGACTTAAACAAATGTACAAGCAGAAAACAAGTCACCCCATTAAAAAATGAGTGAAAGGCATGAACAGAATCTTCTCAAAAGAAGACATACAAGTGCCTAACAAACGTGAAGGAAAGCTCAACAAAACTAACCATCAGAGAAATGCAAATGGAAACTATGAGATATCATCTCACACCAGTTTGAATGGTTATTACGGAAAAGTTGAAAAACAACAGACACAGATGAGGCTGTGGAGAAAAAGGAATACTTACACACTTTTTGTGAAAATGTAAATTAGTTCAGCCACTGTGGAAAGCAGTTTGGAGAGTTCTCAAAGAACTTAAAATAGAACTACCATTAGAACCAGCAATTCCAATTCTGGGTATATATCCAAAAAAAATAAATTATTTTACAAAAGGGCACATGCATAGGTATGTTTGTTGCAGTACTATTCACAGTAACAAAGATACGGAATCAATGGTGGATTGGATAAAGAAAACGTGGTGTATATACACCATAGAATACTATACAGCCATAAAAACTAATGAAATCATGCCCTTATATGCAAATACACCATAGAATACTACACAGCTATAAAAACTAATGAAATCATGCTACAGTACACAGCCATAAAAACTAATGAAATCATGCCGTTATCCTAAGTGGATTCATGCCAGAACAGAAAATCAAATATCACATGTTCTCACTAATCAGTGGGAGCTAAACAATGGTTACTTCACGGAGATAAAGATGGCAACAATAAATTCAGGGGCCTACTGGAGAATAGAGGGACAGAGGGGGCTAAGGATTAAAAAACTATTGGGTACTATTCTCACTAACTGAGTATGAGATCATTCATACCCCAAACCTCAAAATCACTTGATATACCCAGTTAACAAACCTGTACCCCCTGAATCTAAAATAAATTTAAAATTTTGTTTTAAAATTATAAGAATTTGAGATAATGCATGTGTTAGATTTTCTTAATTATTCCATATGGTAGTAATAAGTCACAATACAACTTTGTACCCCATTAATACATACAATTATACATTCTCAATTTACAATAAAATAATAAATAAAATTATGATTATTTAATGCAAAGCTGATAACATTATGATGCAAATGAAATATACACTAGTAATATTCACACTGGTCACCCAATAAATATCTATTGAATGAATAAATAAATGAATATTTAAAAATTAAAAAAATAAGAAATCATTATTGTCATTTTCAAACAACATCTACTTAATGTTGGTTAGGACATTGATTTAGGGATGGAAGCAACTGTAAACTGTTTTAGTAATATCTAATATAAATGTTTCAGTTGAATCAGAATTGTGTTAAGAATTCTGGTTATTTTCTAAAATTTATTAAATCATATACAAGGTGATGCTATAGCCTTTAGAAAAACAAAGCTTTCTGAAAGCCCTATTTGCTTTGGATCTTCTATAGCTGGGCAAGTTTAGGATCTGTGTTACACAGACAAAAATCAAACACAAACTTGGAAAAATTAATTTGTTCTGCTTTCAGAACATATTTAGTCAAAATTCACATTGAGAATTGCCAAGTTGAAACTTGCAAATTTAAAACTCTTATTTCCTCCCTTTCCTTGGCAAATTAGACAGTGATGAGTAAATACTTTCTTGAACATCACATACTTTTTATCGTTTTTAGAGCTTTCTATTTCCTCTCTTATTTGTACACAAAAATTCTTTTCCAGTTTTGACAGCATTGGCTGATTTTATTAGCATTTACTTTAACTTTCCAATCAAGAATAGTATCTATTAAATCTGTTTATTTTTATCTTACTTCTTCTAAGTAGGCTTGGCTTACCCTGTAGGAAGTCAGACATTAACCACACTTCTCATTCTTAGCAGCACGATTTTCAGATAAGCCTTCAGAAGCAAAGATAAATAAGTATTAATATATGTTGTAATAATACCTTGCAGACAGATCTAAGTTATGCAATTTGAAAATTAAGAAAGAAATATTTTTCACTTCTCAAAATCAGAGATGAAAAAATATAAATTCTCCATTTTGGGGATTTCTATAAGAAGGTTGACATCTATTTATCCTGAGTACTTTGCCATTTACCTCCCTGGAAGCATTTAGTAAAGAAATTGTTTAGCAAACTTTGTGCTGGGATCTTTGCTAGGTGGCTCTGCATGTACTTTAAAGATATTCTTTTGTGCCATCAAGGAGTATGCTGTCAGCAGAAGAGACAAAAAATTCACAATATTTTAAATGCTAAGACTGGGAGAAGCACTGGGTATTTGGAAAACAGGAACCTCTAGCCAAGGTGGAGTAGTGTAGGCCAAATGAAAATCAATCATTCCTTCAAAGGAGATGCAACATTTCAAGTCCACTAAAGAGAGAGTTCTGCCCATCCTCACTTTTCCCCATCTTCAGTTCTCTTTCTCCTTCTATTTAGAGAGTAAAATTGTCATTTGGTATAAAATCATTACACAGATGATGAAGCAGGGTTGTGCTGTATCCTGAGATTCTCAGCAGTGTAAAGAAAGTGTTTTATGAAATTCAAGGTAAGTGCTTAAGCTTTACCTACAGGGTACTGTATTTGTTCTTGTGCTTATTTCCTAGATGAGACAGAGACACGAAAGGGCGGTTATTCGCCCCAGGTCCATCAGATTCACACTCAAGGCATGCTCAAGTGTTGGGAAATCATGAGAGATGGCAGAGGCTGTAGTAATCAACATGGCCTTCACACTTGAGTATGAGCAAGTAACAGGATGTAACAGATACAAATGGACATTGACTGGACTTATAAATATATCTCCAAATTTGAAGATAAATTAAGAGAATAAGTGGTGTTCCAAGGAAGAAGAACACTGAAGTAAAAAAGATAAAATAACACTACTGGGAAATCTCTGTGCAAGAGAGTATTTCTTCATAATCTTTCATTCAAAAAATGCAATTTTGTAAGAGTCCAATTAACTATCCTGGAAAAATAATGCTGGAAAAAACAGGTTTTACAAAAAAGCATTGGTAGTTTGAAGATAGAAGAATATTGAAATAAATATGCAATGGAAGATCATAGAAAAGTAGAAAATAATTCAACAAACCTAAAATGCAATAGTGTAATTTAACATAATATGTATTTTAATGCAATATGCAGTTTACATATAAGATGCAGAATAGCATTAGAAAGAAAATTAGAGAGATGATGGGCAAACAAGAATCTCTATCAAAATTAAGAGAGAAGAAACAAAAAGACAAGGAAGAAAATAAAAGTATAAGAAAGAAGGTGATAAATAACAACAGAGAATGTAAATCCAACCTAAGAATGCTCAGTAGCCAAGGAAGAAAATAGAAAAAGAGATCTAAAATAGGGTGATGGTGATGAAGAGGTGAAGAGGGAGAATAAAGATGGTGACACTAATAATAACATTACTTTGTTAAGACAAGTCCTAAATACAGGCAAAATTATTCAATACTTAGAAAACGGTATTTCTAGAAACTCTGAGAAAGATAAGAAAAAGTCCAACCCTCTAATGCTTGTTTTTTTTAATATAAAAAGTGTGGATTTACAAACACAAAATATGAGAATTATGAGACAGGAAATCTAGGGTAATGTATATGTATCCAGATGAATACACAATACAAGTTGTTATTTTGTTTTTAACTTTGGTACCTACAGAAATAATGTTGTCTTCAACACATTCACTTCAATAACTTAAAGAAAATCACTAGAGGAATTAAAAACTGGATTTCTATCTCTAAAAATCACTATAAAATCTGATTGTCAAGTTCCCAAGGAAATGACCAGCATATACATAAAAAAGTTAAAAATCTGAATAACTGCTGAAAACTACGTTTTGTTCTGTTTTTTTTTAGATAAAAGTTGATAGGATATTATTGAAAAAGTACAACGGACTTGTTTTCACTCTCTCTCATATTTAAAAGACAAGAATGGCATGGGAAATGCACATAACAAAAATAAGACTTCACTGTCATAGCCAAGCTTGAAGAGTGAGGCTAGAGCCTGAGGCAAGCTGATAAACACACAGAGAGCTACATGTTTCAGAAACAGGTGACTGCATTAAAGGAATCCTTCAAAGAGAAACAATCTTCCTTGGAGCAGTCAGCTACAAACAATGGTCTACCAAAGGGCAGA
This sequence comes from Homo sapiens, assembly GCF_000001405.40. Lineage (NCBI taxonomy): Eukaryota > Metazoa > Chordata > Mammalia > Primates > Hominidae > Homo > Homo sapiens. The sequence goes on from NC_000001.11 coordinate 73,585,566, forward strand.
ATAGTGAAAGCACTCTGTCCTAGACCAGAATGTAGAGGGTGAAGACAGAGGAATAAAATAGATGTGAGTATAAACAGATAGATAGATGACAGATACATGATAGATTAGAAAGATAGGTAGCTAGCCAGATAGATAGATAGATAGATAGATAGATAGATAGATAGATAGATAGACAGACAGACAGACAGTTTTGGATATACATTATTGTATTTATGTCTCTTTATATTTTATATAACTCCTCCCAAATTTTAAATGAACAATAAAAGAATCAGAGAGTAAAATGAAACGTTTGAACAACTCTTCTAAGAATCTCTCCTGCAAGCATATTTGCCCATGTAGAGGAATATTTATGCACAAGAATGTAAATGCTAACCCTACTAATAGCAAATATCTGGAAACAATCTAGAAGCCTATAAAAAGAGGACTAATTATATAAATGGTGGTGCTTCTATACAGTGAAATATTGTAGCCCTTTGAGTAAAAATGAGTTTACTTAATAGTGCTGGAATATGTGTGATTACATTAAAAATGAAGCATGATAGAGAACAATGACAATGGTATGTCCCTGCATGTTCATAAAGACCACATATATATATATATATATGCACAAACCATTTCTGTAATTGATATGTCTATAATTTTGTACTAGTATTATGCCATATTACTTATGTAGAATTATAAGTAGGCTTTGCCAATTTAGAATGAATCCAGATTGAAGGCTTTAGATTATTTGTTTTCTACTATAATTAATACCCTTTGACAAGGGCACAATTTTGTCCTTCCAGAGGGAACCCACAGCTCAAGCTCTTTAAAAACAATTGGCCAAATGAACGTCATTCACCAATTTTAACTTAACCATGCAGGCATTTGGGAATTGGGTGGGGAATAGTGACCAACACATGCCAGATGGAGTCGGGAGAATTGGCCACAGAGCTCCAGATACTAGAGAACCACTAGGACACACTACACACCAGGAGTAGTACAATGTTAAAATGTTATCTTGGATGAAGAAATGGAAAAGAGGCCAAGTCCTTCTCAGTGACATAATTGTTACTAAAATAAAAGAGAATTTTAAACACTTGATTCATAGAGAAATTTCCTATATGCCCCACAAGCAACTTTGGGCAGCCAATGCCTCCAAAAAAGTGAGAAATATTTAAGCATTAGTTCTTGGTACCTGCTGGAAATTATGTGCATTTATAAGTCAATGAGAGAAATATTATCAAGTCTTTTGTTGCAGACTGTTGGTTGCCATCCCAAATCTATTAGCCCCTTTTTCCATAATAATTAAATTTTAGTGGGGCATATGGCCACAACTAGTCAGTCTAACAATTCCTAGTCTCTTTTGCAACTTGGTATGGTGAAGTGACTAAGTCCTCTCCAATGGAATGAAAAAAGAAATAATGAGTGTACAAGACATCTCAGATGCTCAAGAAAGTCCAGTTTGCCCAGGACTCCATTTACCCCTTTCATACGGTCTGGAGCACAGATGGTATTAAAGTAGCTTCCATCATGTAGACATGGAAAATTCTCTAGGAGATGGTGGAGAAAAAAAGGTACAAAATTACCAAGACCCTGAATTCCTTCTGTAACAATATTTTGCAATACAAATAAGAAATAAAATTATATTGCTCCGCAAACACTATGTGGATTATTTTTGCAGCAATGTGGCCATTATCCTACCTATTAGACCTTTATTTTAGCTAAGTCAGCATACTGAGCCTCTGATACAGTGACCTGACTGAAGACAGAGGCAAATCAATTATTACCTCCAGCTATCTTGATTACATTTGTCCACATTCCTTCCAATGTCCTTTTCTAGCTGACTTTAACTCAAATACTTTCATGTCTCTGATACCCATTAGAATAACCACTTGTCTCAGGGTCAATTTCTTATTTTTTCTATGCTAATAGTACTCTGCAAAAGGATTCTCTAAGAAAATGTATGAAATTGGATATTGCCTGGATTGCAAAGATAAACTCAGGAAGACCAAAAAAAAAAAAAAAAAAAAAAAAAAAAAAAAGCCTGAAAGCCTTTTATGGGTCCCTGTCTCTGAAACCACATACTCATTAAGTTTTGTTAAATTATGAATGCATTCATGTCATGACAGCTATAAAAGGTGAATTAAAATAATGTGTGGATGCATCTAGCACAGTATTAGAAGCTGAGAGAGTCTCAATAATCGTTACTCCCTTTTTCTTAGCCAATCTGATGGCAAAAATTTAATCCAATTATTATTATTTTTTTACACTGCAAATAAAACCAGTGTATCTTTATTGGAAAAGAGAGGACATAAGGATATAAAACAAAAGATCCTGTTAATTAATAATCTTTCTTAAAAATACAAACAACTCATAACGTGTTTATTAGCACCTGTTTTGAATCAAGGATTGAGACAGTAGCCATGGGTACTGTATAAATTGATATCCAAGGTAACAAAGAATTAACTGCAATTGAATCTGAACATTTTTTCAAGAGATCCAGGGTTGGATTTGCATATTTAAAATTTATGTTACCCTAGCAACTGTTAAGTCATTTTTTACACATGGTTAGTATCATGTGATTGTATGTATTAATAATCTTTTAATAGTTTATAATTCACTAAGAATATTTATAATTAAAATCGGGGACATATTAAGATGCTAATAACACAACATATTAATGTGAATGCAGACAAAAAATAATACATGGTAAAATTCAATTTTTTTTTTAAGTTCCGCAAAACGTGCAGAATGTGCAGGTTTTTTACACAGGTATATGTGTGCCATGGTGGTTTGCTGCACCTATCAAACCATCACCTAGATTTTAAGCCCCACACGCATTGGCTATTTGTCCTGATGCCCTCCCTCCCTCCACCCTCGCACCGACAGGCCCCAGTGCCTATTGTTCCCCTCCCTGTGTCCATGTGTTCTCCTTGTTCAAATCCCACTTATGAATTAGAACATGTGGTGTTTGGTGTTCTGTTCCTGTGTTTGTTTGCTGAGGATGATGGTTTGCAGCTTCTTCCATGTCCCTGCAAAGGACATGATCTCATTCCTTTTTATGGCTGCATAGTATTCCGTGGTGTATATGTACCACATTTTCTTTATTCAGTCTCTTATTGATGGGTATTTGATTTGGTTCCATGTCTTTGCTATTGTGAATAGTGCTGCAATAAACATATGTGTGCATGTATCTTTATAATAGAATGATTTAAATTCCTTTGGTATATACCCAGTAAGGGGATTGATGGGTCAAATGGTATTTCCGGTTCTAGATCCTTGAGGAATCGCCATGCTGTCTTCCACAATGTTTGAACTAATTTACATTCCCACTAACAGTGTAAAAGTTTCCTATTTCTCCACAGCCTTCCAGCATCTATTGTTTCTTGACTTTTTAATAATTGCCATTCTGACTGGCAGGGGATAGCATCTCATAGTGGTTTTGATTTGCATTTCTGTAATGAACAGTGATGTTGAGCTTTTTTGTGTATGTTTCTTTGCCACATAAATGTCTTCTTTTGAGAAATGTCTGTTCATATCTTTTGCCCACTTTTTGATGGAGTTTTTTTTTTCTTATAAATTTGTTTAAGTTCTTTGTAAATTCTGGATATTAGACCTTTGTCAGATGTGTAGATTATTTTGTAGGATAAAGAACATTAGCAAATTCCAAATTGAAGATACATTAGGCATGAGAATAAACAGTATCTTTTTAAAATTTTGCAATCTTTCTCACAAGTTTCTTAAAGTTACTACTCTACACAAACTGTCCTAACCTGGAAAATCTTTTCTACTCTTAGTACATCAAAGGAGCCTTTCATTCACCACATGTGTGTATTTATTGGTGCAGTTCTGCTTAACACTTCTCACTGTGATCTATCTAGATATTTCTAAGACCAGTCTTTGGTACTTCTTTGAATCTCTCTTGTGATATTTGCACATAAAAATATGAAATAATGAATGCCAGGCAGTGTGGCAGTCATTTGGTAAGTACTATTACTATGTTTTACCAAATCTTCTGATGAATATACTGAGTCATCTAAGAAACCAATGACATGAGCCCTGTAAAGAGTGGAGCCAGAATTTTAGACCAGGTTATTTTAATTACAACAGACTTTCCGATATAGCATGCCACTGACTTAAAGAAAATGTTTCATAAGTCCAAGTCAGAGGAATGATAATCAGCTTGAGAGTTACAAATGGAAATCAATCATGTACTTTCCTATAATTCTACTTATCAATGACATAAAATAATTTGAAATATGCACACTGATTAGGTTTGTGTTACAGTTGAAGTATACTGACGAAGTCGCTGTTATCCTGAGATTTTATTTTTATAAGGGAAATAGTACAAAAATAATAGATGGTTTTAAAAAGTGGTTACTGTCAGGAAAATAATAAAATAGTAACATGACAGAAAGTAATGGAGGCTGCGTTACTCAAAAGAGGCCCTGGTCCAGACCCAAAAAGAGGGTTCTTAGATCTCATATAAAAAAATAATTAGAGGCAAATCCATAGAGTAAAGTGAAAGCAAGTTTATTAAGAAAATAAAGAATGGCTACTCTATAGGCAGAGCAGCCCCGAGGGCTGCTGGTTGCCCATTTTTATGGTTATTTCTTGATTATATGCTAAACAAGCAGTGAATTTATTCAAGAGCTTTCCAGGAAAGTGGTGGGCAATTCCTGGAACTGAGGGAGGATCCCCTTTTTAGACCATATAGGGTAACTTTCTGACATTTCCTTGGCATTTGTAAGCTGTCATGGTGCTGGTGGGAGTGTTTCTTAGCATGCTAATGCATTATAATTAGCGTATAATGAGCAGTGAGGATGACCAGAGGTCAGTTTTGTTGCCATCTTGGTTTGGCAGCTTCTTTACTCCAAACTGTTTTATCAGCAAGGTTTTTATGACCTGTATTTTGTGCTGACCTCCTATCTCATCCTGTGACTTAGAATGCCTAACCTCCTGAAAATGCAGTCCAGCAGGTTCCAGCCTTATTTTACCCAGCCCCCATTCAAGATGGAGTCACTCTGGTTCAAATGCCTCTGACAGCTGTGGACTCTTTATTTTAGGCCTGAGAAACTTCTACGAGATCTAAATAACAAGTAAACTCTAGCTATGAAGTTATCTGCATGATGAACTTTGCAAGCAGAAGGCACAGCAAGTGCAAATGACCTAACTAAGAGCAGTGTTGGAGAATTTCAGAAGCAAGCAGAAGGCATGTGCAACTGGAGAGTTCTGTGTAAGAGTGAGCTAATATGTGTCAATGAATCTACTGAAAATAATTTTCTTTTTTAAAAATGGAGAGATTTTATTTGAGTACACAATTTGCAAACCAGGGAGATACAGCCTTCACTATGAAAATGAGGAATGCAGATTTGTTTGGTTGTGATTGGTCAAAGCAGGTCACAGTGTATTGTCTAGTCCAGGAGGCTAAATGATATTTTCCAGCCATTGTTTCAGGTGGCATAAATAGGACACAGCTATGAAAGTCCCAAAGTTATGTGAGCACGTGGGTTTTCTGGGAACACATGGTTTATGTGTGACCTTTAGTGAGTACATGACCATTGCTTCTATTCTGAATTTAGCCTCAAGGACTGACTCTTTCAGGGTTTACCTATGACATGAGGTCCTGAGAGGAAGGCTGAAGCCAGATTATACAAGCCATAGCAAGGCTTGAATTTTATGCCAAACTCAACAGGAAATTACTGAAAGGCTTTAAGCAGGGGATGACATGGGAACATGTGTATTTTTTAAAAAGATTCTATGAATGAGTAAAAAATTACGTATGCAGGTAAGAAGAAAAGATCCAAAGCTCTATCAGTGAGGAGATTATACAATAGTGAAAACAAAACAATGATGGTAGGTAGAACAAAAATGGGGAAAGGGAAAAAACTACATGTATTTGGTACTCTATTAGAAAGGTAATGTCAAAAAGACTTGCCAATAGATTAGATACAGAGAGTGAAGAATAGAGAGTGCTTTGTCTTGGATGTTTTTGTTCTCTCCAAAACTCATGCTGAAACTTAATCCCCAATGCAACAGTAATGGAAAACACGGCTTAATGCAGGGTGTTTAGATCATAAGGGCTTCACCATCATGAAAAATGTGATACCAGTACTAAAAGAGCTTGTGGGAGTGGGCGCACTCTCTTTTGCTTTTCTGCCATGTGAAGAACAGTGTTTCTACCCTCCAGGGAATTTACCCTCTAAGGCACCAACTTGGAAGCAGAGACCAGGCCCTTACCAGACACCAAACCTGCTGGTTCCTTGGTCTTGGACTTCTCAGGTACAGAGCTGTGAGAAATAAATTTCTGTTCTTTATAAATTGCTCAGTCTTAGGAATTCGGTTATAGCAGCATAAACAGACTAAGATAAAGAGGGAGGACCTAGAAGGACTTTTAGTTGTATACATTAAAACCAAAAAACCTTGAATTCAAATCCAGGATATGCTATGTATTAATTCTGAGACCTTATTCAAGCAATTTGTCTTCTATTAGCTTCATTGTCCTCATTTGCAAATTGAGACAATACTTACGTTTAGATAAGAAAAATAGATAGATTTAAATAGCACTAAAAGAGGCCAGGCACGGTGGCTCACACCTGTAATCCCAGCACTTTGGGAGGTTCAGGGGGGTGGATCACCTGAGGTCAGGAGTTCGAGACCAACCTGGCCAACATGGCGAAACCTCATCTCTACTAAAAATACAAAAATTAGCCGGGCATGGTGTTGGGTGCCTGTAATCCCAGCTACATGGGAGACTGAGGCAGGAGAATCACTGGAACCTGGGAGGCAGAGGTTGCAGTGAGCCAAGACCGTGCCATTGCACTCCAGCCTGTTAACAAGAGCAAAACTCAGTCTCAAAGAAAAAAAAAAAAAAAACATACTAAAACAAATCATTAGCACAGTGTCAAGTATATAGTGAACTTTCAATAAAGGTGATATTAGTATTAATATTATGTTTACTTCAAACTGAAAAGTACCAATGGAATTCATATTTTTGCTGGAACCATGATTGTCTCTCGTTGTCTCAAGTCTGTTAAAAACAAACAACAAGAGAAGTTTTATATCTGAGGTAAATGTAATGATGTAGTTTTATACAAACCTTTATGGTGGTGTATATTTGGGTAAGACAGCATGTATCTCTGCATAACAAGAGAAATATTAGAGAAACTTACAGGGAAGAGTTTTTCTGGGTAGTCCTGTAGAAAATGAGGTTTAAAAAAAAAAGAGAAGGACATTCTGAATTGAAGGAACAGCATCAACAGAAAGACTACAGAGAAAAGTGCTTGATGCGCTTCCTGGATGGAGAATAGACCAATGTAATGAGTGCTGAGTGTCGCTGACAGAGGAGCAGAAGGGTGAGAGATAAGGTAGGTAGACAGGGACCCTGCTCTGCCCATGTTTGTTCGGCTTCAAGGTAGGCTGAGGCAAGATTTGTAAAGGGCTTTGAAAGTGTGCTATGAAGTTAGGAGTTATTCCCACAGGCAATGCAGTGTCAGAGTAATCAGAGTTTTAAGCACGATAAAATTGATGTTTTAAAAATATTACCCTTTTGGCTGTTGAAGCTGAAGTCAGAGTAAAAGCTACTAGAGCAGTAAAATGAGTTCAGAAACTGCAGGAGGTTTTTTTACTTTTTTTTTTTTAGATGAAGGTGGAAGTGGTACCTACTCGATAATTATTAAGCATATAGAGTTTTTGTCGTGCTTTATTTCCCTCATAGTCAGTCATGGGCGAAGTCAAGGTCAAAAAAACAAGTCAGGGACGTAAACCCAACCCACAGCTTCGGATTCTCGGTTCAATACTTTATGCAGCTAAATAATGTGAAAATGTGCCTGGATGCTGCCTGATAGAGGGAAGGTTCCATTTTTAATATGTAAAACTTACCTTTGTATGCACGAAATAAATTATAAGAGCTGTGCCACTTTAATCAATCTGTTTTGCTAGAACTAGGCTCTATAGCTATTAAAAGACTTCTACTTCCGGAGACTTCCTCATGCCATGCAGCTTAGTCATGCCTCCTTGAGCACATGGAGGCATGAATAAACTTTAAAAGAGAAAGAGGAATATGCCTTCACTGGTTTTGTAAACACAGCAGCCAATGTGTTTGCCTAAAGGGAGAGATCTGCCACTTTGTACGTTAAGCCTGAGTGAATTGCAGGGCTTCTAGACAGATACTCAGGAAATACATCTGCAAAGTTTTAAAATAAAATCATTACCCTATTTCCAGGGCACAAGATATATAGGGCAGCTGGCTATTTGGAAACAAAGGGTTGAAAGGTTCAAACGGAATGGTTTGTGCCTTTCAGGATCATTTGAGTCCATGGAAGTGGCTTCATACAAAGATCTATTTTTTAAATGAGGAATCAAAATTAAAGTAATCAAAGTGCTGTGCACGAGGTCAAATGGTTAAGTGGAAGACCTTCAGCTGCAACCCTGGCCTCATGATGACACATGCAGTGGGTTTTCTACCCTGCTACTTAACATGTTATGAAAACAGGGGCAGTGATTAAGCATGCTTTCACCCTGCCTTCTGATTGTGCGACTACACCCAAGAATGATATCTTCACTGTGTGTTTCCCCTCCTTGCTTCCTTCTTTCCACGGAGAAATACATTCTTTATAATTTCAAACTAAACTTTCTATTAATTTACACATGCATTGACTCATTTATTCATCAAACATTTATTATGGATCTATAAGTTAAGCACAGTGACAAAATCTCCAAGGAGGTCATAATTGGGAGATAGAGGAAGAGAGAAAGATATTAAACATTTAATCATCAGGGAGTATGAACAGTATTTGATTTTTTTTAAAGAACAGGAGAAGCAAGAATGATTAACAATTATTCTTACCCTTTAAATTGCAGAAAACATACTGCTTAAGATTCTGTTAAGCCCACAGGAAATAACCAGGCTGGCATATTTAGATTCATTTTCAAACTTTGACATAAATGAAATGAGATGTCCCCCCCAAACACCTGCTGGCCTGCCAAAGTTTGAAACTCTCATAATTTGAGACATTAAATTATTAGACAACAAAAGCAGCAACATTATTGAAAATGAGTGAATCCCAGTTAAAATCACATTAATTCACTAGCAGGATTCATTTACTTAGATTAAATTGTTGATAGATCAGACTCTTCAAACATCGATTATGAAAAAGGTGACCTCGGTGAGCATTTGGACTGTCAGTAGATTCATCTTAAACACTTTTCTCTAATGTCTTAAAAAGAAGTTCTCAATAGTTTGCTGCAATAGAAGCATGACAAAGGATCTTTGAAATAAATCAGGTTTTAGAAACCTGTCCCTCTCAAGAGACAGGAAAAAATGATGTGCTTATCCTTTCCCTCAAACTACACAAGCACAAATCACCAATACAATAAACTACTTAAATTTAAAAATCTACTCACTTCCTAAAAACAGGGTAATTAAGTCTCATTTCAATTTTTATACAAAGAATTTGCTATGGCCTGATATCATAAAACCTTGAAGTTATAAATAAGTTACTATTTACCTGTGAGAGGGACTTTAAAAGTGCACAAGAATTTCAAGTTCTTTTCAATGCTACTTTCTTCTGATTCTTTCCACTTAAAATGAAGTAAACAAAGAACAATATATAAGCAAAAAGGAAAAGTATTTGTGCTCAATCTAATATACTAAATAATACATTTAGTTTTATGGATGACTTCTCTGTTGAATTCAAAATATTATATTTATACTTTTTCTTAAAATCTTGAAAGTTTCTGTTAACTTTTGTGCATGCCACCTTCTTCAAAGCTTGCTATGTTTTAAAATATCAACCCTTAGATGATAAATAGAATTGAATAACCAAAATAGGAGGATACTTCATACTTGATTTAAAATTAATCTTTAGTCATTATCATTAAAACTCTTTTCTAGTTCTAAGGAGAAACTTGTTCAAGGCTTCTGATAACCGTATCTCTGAGGAGGAGAAAATGGTGGCTTCCTTAGAGTGAGAAAATCCACTGGCGCTCATAGGGTCTGGGCCTTATCATGGGGCATCAGACATGGACCAAGAGACACGAATCTAACAGCACTGAATTGGAGGGTGGATGGAGGGAAGGCCAAGGTTACACCCTTACCTTTTCAATGTCTCTAACTCATTAGATCTTTTTGATCCTGTACTTCTGTGGCCTTATTCATGTCTGTCTTATCTGATGAACTCATTAGCTTAATTACTGTCTGTACTAGCATTTGCCAGACCTTACTACTATGAAATGAATTTCACAAAGTTTGACCCAGAAGCTATCTGCATCAGAATCACCTGAAAACTTGTGACAAAGGCAGGTTACCACAGACCTACTGTCTGAAGATGGGTCTGATAACCCTTTATTTCAAACCAGCACCCCAAGTGATTTTCTTCCAAGATTAAGTTGGAGAAACACTGATTTTACAACATGAGAAATAGTTATTCTAGAAGTTGGTATCAAGCCTTTGGCTGCAAAATCTGAACCAATACTTTACTGAACTCTCAGCTTATTGATGACATTTCCTATTTCCCTTTTAATGATACAGAAATAGCATAGCTATGGAAATGATGGGCTTTAGAGTAAGGCAAACCCAAGTTCCATTTTGCCTGTCTTTTCACCCATGGAAGAGATAAATCAATGCCTCCTCAAGTGTTTTGGTTATTGTCTGTCTTCTACAGGAGATAAAACGCCATGAAAATAGTGTTCCAGATCAACTTTCTCTGTATCCTCAGCATCTCAGACAGCCAACAGAACATAGTAATTGCTCAAAAAATACTTGTGAGTTTATTGCAGATGTTAATTTGATAAAATTTGTATATAAAATTGTAATGGGACCTGAAAAGTAAACTTAGCTATTGCTACTATTACTACTATTATTATTATTACTTTAAAATATGAGAAGTTTCAAAATAAGATAAATTAGTCATAACAGATATGTAGACTCTGGTTCTCTTCAGAAGAAAAATAAAGGGAGATTAAATTTTATTTAAGAATGCATATTTCATTTCAGCAAAATAGATTATTCCGATTCAGAGCAGAAATATTTACAGGTAATAGAAATCATACAACTGGAATGTAAGTTTACTCAGGTATATGAGTGCTTAGAAAAGTAAAATTAAAGCTTATAAATTTTTCTTTTTATGAATAGCTCAAGGTAGATTTGGAACTCCCTTGAAAAAAAATCAGAATGGTGGCAACTAGCCTTTGGTTAATGGCTTAGATTTATTTAAGAGATGGTGTCTTTCTCTCTTGCCCAGGCTGGAGTACAGTGGGACAATCACATCTCAGTACAGCCTTGAACTCATGTGCTCAAGTGATCTTCCCACCTCAGCCTACTGAGTAGCTGGGACTCCAAGTTTGCACCACCAAATCTTTAGATTATTTTTAAAAGGGGAAGAATGTATGTACATCTTCCCATATAAGTAAAGTTGAATTATGAGACTAACTGTGTACCTGTGCTGCCAGAGATTCTCAAATAGAGCCTAATGGTGTCCTTGGATAAAACTAACGTTACAGCCAAAGTTATGATGAGGCCCATCTAATCTTCTGCCATTTGTTGTCATCAACTCACTCATGCACCTCTGCAAATCTCTGTCCAAATATCACCTGATTGGAGAAGCTATTTCTGCTTCCTCACCTTACATGGTGAGTGCAAAAGTAATTGTGGTTTTTGCAATGTTGAAATTTGCCATTTGATAGTGGAATGCTTTCTTAGACAAACGTGGCTGTGTTACACATCATTTTAAGGGGATTTCTCACTTTATGTTTTTTGTTAATGATTATTACTTGCTGTTTATGTTTATTTTAGAATAAGGAAATGATGTTAGACAAAAAGCAAATTTGAACAATTTTCTTATTTAAAACTGGTCATAAAGCAGTGGAGACAACTCGCAACAACAACAATGCATTTGGCCCGGGAACTGCTAACAAACGTACAGTGCAGTGGTGGTTCAAGAAGTTTTGCAAAGGAGAGGAGATCCTTGAAGATGAGGAGCACAGTGGCTGGCCATCGGAAGTTGGCAACAACCAATTGAGAGCAATCATTGACACTGATCCTCTCACTATAGAAGTTGCCGAAGAACTCAATGTAGACTCTACATTCAAATGCTGAATGACTCTATGGTCATTCAGCATTTGAAGCAAATTGTAAAGATGAAAAATCTCAATAAGTGGGGCCTCATAAGATGACTGAAAATTTTAAAAAGTCACTTATTCTACACAACAAGAAGGAACTGTTCCCTGATCAGATTGTGAACATGCAAGGAAAAGTGAATTTTATATGAAAACCGCCAATGACCAGCTCCGTGGTTGGACTGAGAAGCTTGAAAGCACTTCCCAAAGCCAAACTTCCACCAAAAAAAAAGGTCATAGTCATTGCTTGGTCTACTACCACTCTGATCAACTACCATTTTCTGAATCACAGTGAAACCATTACTTCTGAGAAGTATGCTCAGCAAATCAATGAGATGCACCAAAAACTTCAAAGCCTGCAGCCACATTGGTCAACAGAAAGGGCCCAATACTTCTCCATGGCAATACCCGACTATATGTTGCACAACCAACACTTCAAAAGTTGAACAAATTGGGCTACAAATTTTGCCCTATCCGCCATATTCACCTGACTTCTCACCAACCAACTACCACTTCAACCATCTTGACAACTTTTGCAGGGAAAATGATCCCACAATCAGTAGGATGCAGAAAATGCTTTAAAAGAGTTTGTTAAATCCCGAAACACAGATTTTTATGCTATAGGAATAAACAAACTTATTTCTTATTGGCAAAAAATGTGTTCATTATAATGATTCCTATTTTGATTAATAAAGATCTATTTGAGCCTAGTTATAATGATTTAAACTTCACGGTCCAAAACTGCAATTATTTTTGCACCAACCTCCACTGGTGCAAGTTAAAAAGTAGCGTCAGCTAACTCACTGCTTATTTTTTAACCTCTTATCCTCTTTATTTCTCTCTGTAACACTGATCACCATTTAAGATGCTGTTACTTTCTATTCACTTATTGTCTCTTCCTCACTCAACATAATATAAGTAGAAGGCCTGGATGATGCCCATCTATATTGGATGAGGGCAGACCACAAGCAGAGTGTTGATTTAAGGTTATAAAAATGATAAAATTTGAGCCAAGATAGAGTTAGACTTTGAGGGGTCAAGACTGGTTTTGGGCAGTGATAGACGTACAGTATAGATGTGACTCTCTCCAGCAGAATGCTAGTAGTACTGAAAGCCATATGAGAAGAATCTGTTTGAATATCAAAGCCTAAGTCAGCATTTCTCAAAGTGTGTTCTATTAAATACTTTGACAGATTAAGAAGAAAAAAGGAAAGAAAGAAAAGTGAACAAGGTGGGAAAATAAAATCAGGAACCTTTAAACTACATCTTTTTTTAGGTTTGCATTTAATATTAACACATCATAAACTATGAGAATCCATGGAGCAAAACAAAACAAACAAAAAAAAAACCCTCCTTAACTGAATATCCCTTGTTTCCTAAACTTATTTCATCAAATACTATTTCTTCCTCACATCACATGCTTTAACAATGAGTTTGAAAGAGGTAATTTTCACAATAATTAAAAATTACAACAATTTTAGCCATGTAGGGAGTGAATTAAACCCCTTGGGTTATTTCCAATGAAAAAGACATACCACCAGTGGCCTTGAAGGAGAAAAAGAAAGAACAGCTTCTCTGTTAGTACCTTAAGCTGTTGTCCCCTACAAACTCAGCTCAGTGAGATGTGACCTCATCCTGAGAGATTCAGGTCTTTTACTGACTTTATTAAATACTTCTTCTTGCTGAGTCTGAGTTTGAGTTCTGTGTGGGGTGCTGTATTCTCCAACGACCCGCTCAAATGTATTATTTATTTTGTTCCCTGTGATTTAATGAAAGATTGTGGTTACAATATCCAAACTGAACCCAGATATCCTGTATTAGTTAGGGTGTTCCTGAGAAACAGAGTCAATAGAATATATGTAAATAGATAGACAGATGAGGGGAAATATATTATGGAAATTGGCCTACATGATTACGGAACTGAGAAGTCTCACCACATGCCATCCACAAGCTTGAGAACTAGGGAAGGTGGAGGCATAGCTCAGTTCAAATCTGAAAGCCTGGGAACCAGAGAAGCTGAGAGTGTAACTCTGAGTCTGAAGCTGAAGGCCAGAAAATCTGGAGTCCTGGTGTTCAAGGACAGAAGAAGATGGATGTCCTAGCTTTAGAAGAAAGAGAAAGTGAATTTATCTTTCTTCTGTCTTTGGTTCTACCTGGGTCCTCAAGAATTGGATGGTGCCCTTCCACATTGGGTTAGGGCAGTTTTTTCTTACTCATACCGCTGAATCAAATGCCAATCTTTTCCAGAAACAACCTTGCATTAGTTTATTTTCATGCTGCTAATGAAGACATACTCAAGACTGGGTAATTTATAAAGGAAAGAGTTTTAATGGACTCACAGTTCCACATGGCTTGGGAGGCCTCACAATGGTGGTGAATGGCTAAGGTAGAGCAAAGGCACATCTTACATGGTGGCAGTCAAGAGAGCATGTGCAGGGGAACTACCCTTTATAAAACCATCAGATCTCATGAGATTTATTCAGTATCATGAAATCAACATGGGAAAAATTCATCCCTATAATTCAATTACCTCCCAACAGGTCCCTCCCATGATGTGTGGGAACTATTAAAATTCAAGGTGAGATTTGTTTTGGGACACAGAACCAAGCCATATCATTCTGCTGCTGGCCCCTCCCAAATCTCATATCCTCACATATAAAGATCATTCATACCTTCCAACAGTACCCCAAAGTCTTAGCTCATTTCATCATTAACCCAAAAGTACAACTCCAAAGTCTCATCTGAGACAAGGAAAATCCCTTCTACCTATGAGCCTATAAAATCAAAAGCAAGTTAGTTACTTCCTAGACACAATGGGGGCGCAGGCATTGGGTAAATACACCTGTTCCAAATGAGATAAATTGGCCAAAACAAAGGGGTTACGGGCCCTATGCAAGTCTGAAATTCAATGGAGCAGCCTAGTCTTAAAGCTCTGAAATGATCTCCTTTGACTCCATGTCTCACATCCAGGTCATGCTGATACAAGAGGTAGGCTCCCATGGCCTTGGGCAGTGACACCCTGGAGGCTTTGCAGCATACACCCCCCTTCCCAGCTGCTTTCATGGGCTGACACTGAGTGCCAGTGGCTTTCCCAGATGCACCGTGCAAACTGTCAGTATATCTACCATTCTGGCATCTGGAGGACAATGGCCCTCTTCTCACAGCTCCAACAGGCAGTGCCCCAGTGGGAGCTCTGTGTTGGGGCTCTGACCCCACATTTCCTTTCTGCTCTGCCCTAGCAGAGGTTCTCCATACCCCTGCAGCAGACTTCTGCCTGGACATCCAGGCTATTCTATACATCCTCTGAAATCTTGGCAGAGGTTCCCAACCTCAATTATTGACTTCTGTGCACCCGTAGGCTGAGCAACAGGCAGAAGCTGCCAAGGCTTAGGACTTGCACCCTCTGAAACCATGGTCTGAGCTGTACTTTGGCCACTTTCAGCTACAGCTGGAGCAACTGGGACACCAGGCACCAAGTCCTGAGGCTACACACAGCAGGGGCCGCCGGATCCAACCCAGGAAACCATTTTTATCTCCCGGACCTCTGAGCCTATGGTGGAAGAGGCTGCCAGGAAGGTCTCTGACATGCACTGGGGACATTTTCCCCATTGTCTTGGCAATAAATATTAACTCGTTAGTTATGTAAATTTCCGCTGGCTTGAATTTCTCCTCATAAAATGGGGTTTTCTTTTCTCTCACATTGTCAGGCTGCAAATTTTCCAAACTTTTATGCTCTGCTTCCCTTTTAAAAATAAATTCCAATTCTAAAGCATATCTTTTTGTGAATACATAAAACCGAATGTTTTTAACAGCACCCAAGTCACATATTGAATGCTTTGCTGCTTAGAAATTTCTTCCACCAGATGCCCTAAATCATCTCTCTCAAGTTCAAAGTTCCACAGATCTCTGGGGCAGGGGCAAAATGCTGCCAGTCTCTTTGCTAAAGTATAACAAGAGTCACCTTTGCTGTAGTTCCCAACAAGTTCCTCATCTCCATCTGAGACCACCTCAGCCTGCACTTTATTGTCCATATCACTAGTATTAGAATTTTGGTGGAAACCATTCAACAAGTGTCTAGGAAGTTCCAAACTTTCCCACATCTTCCTGTCTTCGTAGTCCTCCAAATCTCTAGGAACTTCCAGACTTTCCTATATCTTCCTGTCTTCTTCTGAGCCCTCCAAACTGTTTCAATCTCTGCCTGTTACTCAGTTCCAAAGTCACTTGGATCTTTTGAGTATCTTTATAGCAACAGCCCACAACTGGTTACAAATTTACTGTCTTAGTTCGTTTTCACACTGCTGATAAAGACATACCCAAGACTGGGTAATTTATAAAGGAAAGAGGTTTAATAGACTCACAGTTTCACATGATTGGGGGGGGCTCACAATCATGGCAGAAGACGAAGGAAAAACGAAGTCATGTCTTGCATGGTGCAAGCAAGAGAGCATGTGCATGGGAACTCCCCTTTATAAAACCATCAAATCTCATGAGAATTATTTACTATCACAAGAACAGCACAGGAAAAACCTGTCCCCATAATTTAATTACCTCCAACCAGGTCCCTCCCATGACATGTGGAGATTATTACAATTTGAGGTCATATTTAGGTGGGGACACAAAGCCAAACCATATCGACCCTCATAAATATACCCTGAAATAAGGCTTTGCCAGCTATCTGGATATCCCTTAATCCAGTTGAGTTGATGACTAAAATTAATCATCACATACACAGTGGTGCCCCTTAAATGATTTTTTTTTTATTTCATTGATATTGAAAACAGGTAACTTTGATTCATATTCAACCCAAAACCTGAGGGAAACCTGGAAAATCAAACTGCATTCTTTTTCCAATAATTATCTGTCCAAAATTCATTTTGGAAAATATCAAATTTAAATGATCCCTCTTTTGCTAGGTTTTGAAACTGACAAAAGGAAATTTTAGTATTCTAAAATAGAGCTGAACCTGGGCCAGTAAATCTATGCTGCATCCCTTCCCAAGTCCTTACCATCAACCTTGAAGATGGGTCTTTGAAGTCAGCGTAGGGATGGAAATGGGCCTTGTTGGAAGCAGTAACAACAAGAGCTCCAGATGTTCTGACAGGTGGCCTCCAGGAAGGTTTCATTATCAGGGCAATTAATATGGATGTGACCTTCATCCTGAAATGAGCCAAGGAGGCTTTTTGATATTTTCCACATTTCAGGTCTGAGAACCTTTCACAGCAGTCAAGATCAGATAGAGCAAGCCTATTAAGTCTCTCTGGATTCAAATATATACAGTGTGTTAAGAAGAGAGTAAATTTATCATAAAGGGCCTAAACTATTTTTTCCCTCTGTAAATGATAAGACTATATCTAGAAGCCTACCTCTACCACACCCTTGTCCACACTCCCCCCACAACACTTTCACAAATTTACAAATATACAAACGTGAACACACAGAAGCACATTTTATACTCTAAACTGTGTACTCTGAAATCTGATTTAGTTATATAATACGTGTCACATATTTTTCACTTCACGAGGTTCACATAGAATAGATTTATCCACTTTAACTTCAAATATCTTACTCATCTTTCAACTTTTAACTTCACTGTTATCCTCTCCAAAAATTTTCTTTTAACTTATCTTTACCTTAAGTGCCGCCTTCTCTGTATTTCCAAAGCATCCTAAAACTATCTATGTCTTTTGGAACCCTTATTGTATTGCATTGAAATATGATTCAGTATCTTGTGTCTAAAGATTTCTAACAGGGCAAGGAGCTGGTCTTGTATTCCCAGAACTAGGCACAGAGTCTAAAACATACTATATTCCCAATAATGCTTATATGATTTATCATAACCTGAGTCTTTATACACAGTTAAATAGTAATCTATCAGGCTGGGGTGGTGGCCCACGCCTGTAATCCAAGCACTTTGGGAGGTCAAGGCGGGCAGGTTACCTGAGGTCAGGAGTTCGAGACCAGCCTGGCCAACATGGTGAAACCCCGTCTCTACTAAAAATACAAAAATTAGCCAAGCGTGGTGGCACATGCCTGTAGTCCCAACTACTCAGGAGGCTGAGGCAGGAGAATTACTTGAACCCAGGAGGTGGACGTTGCAGTGAGCGGAGATCGCACGAATGCACTCCAGCCTGGGTGACAGAGCAAGACTCTGTCTCAAAAAAAAAACTAGTAATCTATCAGACAAAACTTTCTAACATCAAGAGAGTACTGGCAAATGAAAATATAGTAAAGTTATGTACTAATTGTAATTCTGTGTGTATGAGAAAGATCTTTGTTAAAATAACATTTAACTGAAATTTTCATATAGGAGTGGTCATCTAAACAAATGTCCTTTAAAAATAAAATGTGGCTTTTCATTCTGGGATGAGAAATCTTAAATCCCAAATTTTTACTCTGTGGTATAGAATCTATAATATTTTATTAAGATTGAACAATTTAATTTTAGCTTTAATTAAATATTTCTTTGATCAAACATTAAGGACAATAGGGTAAAAAGATAAATTTGATTTCTCACATTATTTTTCATAGCTTTGAACATAGTATCTCAAGCATGCTTATTTACACCAAATAAATATATTTATAAATGGTTTATACTTGACTTGCCACCTTTTAGCATCATTTATTCCTCTTCACTTGAAACAACTACTCTGGTTTTCCTTTGTTGAAATAATTACACTCAAAGAAGGACACTCCTATTGTGAAATGAGATTGTAGGATCATGACAGCTGTCATCTGGATTATGAAATTCCCCAAAAGTACTTTTGTTTTCCATTATTGTCACACTGTAAACACGTATTTCACTCTAGCCCCCAGAAGGACTGATTGAACTGTCATAAGATTAGAAATGTTTAAATACATAACTGAGGCTATATTTTTTAACAACACACACTATTTCAGGTTAATCTAAGTAATACTTCCCAAAAGCATAACATCTAATACTGCATCTGGAATTTCTCACAATTCTCTGAAGTATTCACTCTCAGAGACAACTTAGCATAATAGACAAACTTTGCCAACTTAATACCTATTTCGTCTGCAAAATCATTAATAAATATAGCATATAAACCATCTGCATCTCTACTCCACTGTTGTTAAATAGCTTGAGGCTGATTTTACATTGCAAAGTTGTTTCAATTGCCCTTCATACTGTTGTTAACTATTTCGTTAAGTGCAGGCAGTTTCATCTTTAAATCCTTTGTTCATCATAAGAGTATGACTCATCTTCCTCCTTAAGGGAACAATACTTCACTGTGGAAACAAATTTTTACTTCCATGATCATGGTGAAAACAGCTATCATAAACTATTCAAGGTTACACACCAGGAAACTAACTGCATGATTCCATTCTCCTTTCTAGGCACCGAAAAAGGTATTCAAAGAAGCAATTTATTCATGAGAGCAGGAAATTGGTTCTTGCTATAATCTTTCCAATTTATTGCTGAAGTGGGTAATTCTGCAATAATTAAGCTCATCCCTTATTATTCTCAATGTGACATGATTTTGCACCCTATTGTTATTCGATTTATAACCTTTGCCTTTCAGCTACAAGTGAGCATTAACCACATTTTATGAATAATCTCTCCTTCTGGAGAAAAATAAACATAAAATCAAAGGACATGCTGCAATAAGGATACTTTACGCAGTAACCAGAAATGATACCTACCAAGATGGTGACTACGGGTTAAAAATAAACTATCAGAATATGTTTTTAAAAAACCATCAATAACAACAAAAAAAACAAGCATCTGTCTCATCTCCTTTGTTTTTTTAGAATAGTGTGTTTAAGAAGAGTAAAACATAAAATCAAAGGCCTAAGTTTGAATATTCCATCTCCCTCATTGGTTATGTGACTTTTGGAAAACTCAGCTAACCCTTAAATTTGGCCTCTTTATCTATAATGTGGATGATAATGACTGTCCTGTTTACTTCAGCAGGCCATTATAAGACTGAAATCAGGCAAAATATATGAAGAAAAATTTTAAGATGTAGACCACAATACAAAAGTGATATAATATCAGCAGTCTTTCCAGAAAATGAATAACGTTAAAGATAATTTAAAATTAGGACAATATGATGATTTCTAAACAAGTATGTGGGAGCCTAATATGTTTCCTTTCCTGAATGTTGAAAGGTAATGTTAAAACCCATGCCTGGTACATTTACACTGAATGTTTAATAAGTTGTGGTTACAGCAAAGCTGTGCTTCTCTTTAATGGAAATAAATATCAAGCAATTAAAAAAAAAGAGTCAGGTAAATAATCTTCCCACAAAATAAGATCAAATGATTCTTCCTAACAAGACTATTGTTTTTCTAGTTTATTTATGTATGATGGCCATATACTAGAAGGAATAAGGGAATCAAGAAATAAACTAGAAATTTTGGTGGGAGTCCTTAAAAAAGTAATCTGAAACCACCGTCTATGTCTTTGGTTTCAAAGCAGTTAGCGAAATAGAGCACCAAATTACAAGTCATCTCAATAAACTTTGCTTAAAGATAAACTAACTTCCTAGCTTTGAGGCTGAGTGAATTGTTTCAAAGAAGATTGCTGTCAACAGGATTACTAGAAACTGACTATGGTCAAAAGGAAAGCTTTATACATTTCAGAAGTGACAAAGCCTATTGAAGTGTATCTTGAATAGTCAGACCATGGTGACCATTCTGTGAATATCTTGTCCATTTATTTCCCTTCCCCTACTTCACTAAGAGCATAGGTAGTAAAATAACAATTGTAGTTAAATCCTTCCCAGTAAAATAGGCCTGTAACCTTAAACAAAACTGTGACATGGTACTCTGCAACTTGTTCTGTGAAGTGGGGAAGTCAGATTGTTCCAAATTTTAATTATATTTTCTAATATTCCTTCTTCTTTGCAGTATTCTTCACATACATCCTAAAGCTAATTTGTATTTATTTGCTGGCTTTCAGGATAAGACCTAAAACTTAATGCTCTTATCTTTGGTCACCAGTGTCAAATGTTGCTTACACTCATCTCTGTGTCCTTCTATATGGCCCCTCATTGCCTTTTTTTCCTTTTGTCTTCATTTTAACATTCATTTCTGTATTACTCGGGCTGCTTCTTTGATGTTCTAGGGTTTTGAAAGGTTCACTAGTCTAGAAATCATTGTACAGAGGAAGGGCTTGAGATTTTGAAAAGCTAGTATAGCAGTGTCTAATCATTCTCTCCATGAAAATCATGGCGTGGATATCTGAATGCTCATTGGGGCCAGACATAACTTGGGGGCAGAGTGTAAGGGTATCTTTCATGGTCTTTTCAGGCAACACCCTGACTCCTGTACCTGGTATTTCTGAAATTCTTGGTTCATAATAAAAAAAATCAGATATCACCCTGTATTAGTTGGTTCTCATACTGCTATAAGATACACTGGAGACTGGGTAATTTATAAAGGAAAGAGATTTAATTGACTCACAGTTCTGCATGGCTGGGGAGGCCTCAGGAAACGTACAATCATGGCAGAAGGTGAAGGGGAAGAAAGGCATCTTCTTCACAAGGCGGCAGGAAGAAGAAATGCTGAGTGAAAGGGGAAGAGCCACTTACAAAACCTTCAGATCCACCCGCCTCGGCCCCAGCTACTCGGGAGGCTGAGGCAGCAGAATGGCGTGAACCAGGGAGGCGAAGCTTGCAGTGAGCCGAGATCGCGTCACTGCACTCCAGCCTGGTCGACAGAGGGAGACTCCGTCTAAAAAAGAAAAAAAACCTTCAGATCTCGTGAGACCTCACTCACTATAACGAGAATAGCATGGGGAAAACTGCCCACATGATTCAATTACCTCCACCTGGTCTCTCCTTTGACTTGTGGGGATTAGGGGGATTACAATTTAAGATGAGCTTTGGGTGGATACAAAGCATAACTATATCACACTCTCATGGAGACATGAGTCCTGCCATGATCCTGGTAGTAACTTTGGGTCTAAAAGAAGATACGATAAATGTAGGGAACATATTTTCAACCACCCACCAAAATATTCATCTATCAATCGATTAAGCAGGCAGTTTATGATAGTATTTTGTTCCTTTAGCATATTCTAGATGTAAAGACTATGCAAACAAATTAATCAGCTCATGTATTTATATTAATATTGTGATATGCAGTATATATGATAACCAGGGATATAGCTCAGCAATATGTACACTGTGGTGTGTTTTTGCTTGATTTTGTTTGTTTGTTTGTTTGTTTTGGTCAGGAATTATAGTTTAAGGTACTCAGTTCCGTGATACACTAAATTAGCATTCCTCAGTAGGCCTTCCAATTTCATTCCTAAGCATGTTCAACACCTTCGACTTTAATAAAAGAAAAAAAAAAAACCTCGGCATTCAACAAAGTGCAGAAGTTTGAATGACAAATGTGTTACACCTCTAACACAAATGTCACCTTTGAGATGAGAATCTGAAATACTCTCCTGATAACCTTAGGATGAGGTTATCTCATCCTGAGAAAACAGGGAGAACAAACAGGCAAAAATACTGCCATGAAAGATGGCCAAAATGAAAAGTAAAGAAACACAGGCACTCACTCACCATAGTAGCTACAATGTACTCTATGCCTAAAATACAACGGGGTGTTTCCTTCATCATTGGTAATACTGACTATTTCAAACAAGCTCAGAGGAGTTTAATAACCTCTCTAAAGTAATGTAGGTTGTAAGAAGTAAAGCCAAAGATTTGTTGCCAGGTTCATCAAAGATTTGATGCCAGGTTCTTCTAAACACAGGTTCAGGATCTTTTCAGGTGCTATTGAAGATGCTAAGTCATTTTGCATGCACAATTTGAACCATGACCTTACTTATTTCTGTATAACAACATTTGGATAGATATTTTTACAGTAAGTCCTCAATGTTGCCTATAGGTTCTTGGAAACTGCAACTGTACTGCAAAATGAAACCAATTTTACCGTAGGCTAATTGATATAAACAAGAGTTAAGTGTCTACAGCATACAGTACATCATTTCACTTAAAGGTGAGCCTAGAATCTATCAATTACATTAAGCAAGAACTTACTGTATAATTCCTATATTAAGATAAAGAAATGAAGGCATAGAAAGACTTCAATTAGCTTGCTTGGTATTGCCCATCTCCTAAGTGGTGAAAACCTGAGTGTTACTTTGACATCAAAGCTCAAGTTCTTAAGCACTGTGTTTGTTAATATACAATATGTGAACTCTAAAAGAATACATTCTAATTTGAAACCAGAATTCCATACTTATCACACTCAACATATTCATTCAATGAACACTTATTTATACTGCTGTATATGACACAGTCTATTAATCAACTATGGATCCAGGAAAAAGTAAACTAATATCTCTGCCTTTGGAACCTTATAAAAGCAATGGCACCACCAACAAAATCCAATCATAGAAGGATATTATATTTACATGAAACTACATTTGGTACAAATCACAAATCCTCACCTAAGTAGAAATTGAAAAGAAATAGGATATTAAATGAAAGATTAAAGTAATGGCAATATTTATTTCAGATACATGTAGAGTTATTGATTAATTTAGTAATTAATTAAAGTTAACCCTCAAAAAGAAAAAATCCTGTACCAGGCTCTTTTTAGGTACTAAGGAAACTATGGGTAAATGAAAAATTGAGAAAAAATTTGCTATTCTAATAGGCTCACATTTTTAAAGCCCCAGTTGTCTCTACTGTGTTACCTTTATTACTGGAAGCACTATTTGTCTAACTGATATATAAATAAATAAGACATTCTCTATTGATTTGGCATATTTTTAGACATATATAGAAATACTATAAAACATGTGATTTTATAAATAACTTTTATGTACTCTTTAGAACTACCGATTTATAAAATATTTATCGTTGGTAAATGTTAACATCAGTACATGATGAATATCTTATCTTCTTGCTAGTTTGAATGTGATCATTTTTCTCTGGAAGTTAGTAAAATAATGCCCATTCCTACTTTTAAACCCCTCTGTTAAGCAGTTGGTTTTCATCCCAGCAGTGTGTACGTATGTGGAGCTGCATGTCAATCAAGATCGCTGTTCCTTACTGCTTGGCACTCCCCCTCATCTCACCACACACATACTAGCTCTCTTAGATTAGTGAATACCTAGTATAAAATAGGATACCACATCTCTACCCTACTTCTACACCCTATCGGACTTTATGCTAAAGTATTGCTTTTTTCCTGGCATTTCTAAGATATTTTTCTCAAACATATTATGCTTTTGACCTTGTGGCAAATAGGCAAATTAAATGTGAGGAAACAAAGGTACTGCCCCATCTGACTAGAGAGCAGAAGTCCATTTAATTCTACTGTTCTTCCCAAGTAGTTTCCAGGGTCCACATGGAATGAATATAATTTTGCAGCTGCTAATTTTCTAAGGGATTCAAAAGAAGTCATGAGAAAAAAATATGTATGTGGCCAAGGAAAGATTCTTTTAATGCATTTTGCAATTTATGCAAATCTATACCTACTATAGCTTGCCATTTAGGAAATTACATTAAACCATTTTCCATTCATTAACCATTAACCTAGCTTGATGAATGTCCACTAACTTCCCTACAGTTAAGGTACTACAAAATTTCCATTTATCCCAGCAGTCGGATTTCATTTTCCTCAAAGGACTCCTCTCACTCCCAGTGGTCATCAGCCACCATGTAGAGCCTCCCCACTTTTGTTTCAGTGAAAACCTTTCAAACAAGTACTCAAGAGCAAGTGCCTTAGAATCCTCCTTTCTTATATCTTACATGTGTCACTGAAAACAAAGCTCAAAG
This sequence comes from Homo sapiens, assembly GCF_000001405.40. Lineage (NCBI taxonomy): Eukaryota > Metazoa > Chordata > Mammalia > Primates > Hominidae > Homo > Homo sapiens. The sequence goes on from NC_000001.11 coordinate 73,610,429, forward strand.
ATATTTTCTCTTTATCTTGTTTTTCTTTTTTGATGCAATTGCACTTAAAGGGCTGTACAGTTTGGGAACAGATTGATACAAATCATTTCTGATGTGTAAGCATCCCTGAGTGATGCATGTGCTGTTACCTGTCGGCATCTTTCTTTCCCTGCTTAAGTTTACCTGCCAACTTTGAAAGAGGCAAATAGCTGATTTTATATCCAAGCTCATCTGCAAGTAGAGGCTCAGAAAGAAACTTGAAATGGAGGGAGGAGTTGTTCTGAGAGCTTTCTTTTCACATGATGCCTTGTTCCTACGGAAACCATTTTTGTCTTGTTTTTAGATGAACCGACCTGCTTCTGTCATATAAAAAAGTGTGTGTGCGTGTGTGTGTGTGTGTGTATGTGTGTTTCTTTTTGCTCATTTTTGTCCCCAGAGCATAATTGTAAACTCTGATTAAATAAAAATAAAGTGGCATTGTTTTTATATTTCTTATATGATTATCCTTTACTCAGTGAGAAGGCTTGAAATTGAACTGAAGCAATTGGAGTCAAACTTTGTTATTATAGAAATTTTAAATGTTTATTATGTCACTATGAATTTACCGAGGACAGAAAGGTAAATGCAATTACATCACTGTGTTAAAGTTTATTGGTATAGTACTACAATAAGGCGGTAGTTATATGAGGATTAAGACAAAGAAGAAAAATGCTGTTTATAAAATATATAAATTTATATGCTTATATTCAGGAAAAGATGTTGACAGTCTCACACTAGTGCATTTAGTCAGAAGTTATTATTTGTTCTCTATAATTTTGAAAATCAGATTGTTTTAATCTTAAAACCTTATTTTTCTTCTTCCTCTTGGGAAGAAAAGCTGTATATTTTTCAGTGACTTTCAACAACAATGCTAGTTACTCTAGATTTTTCACCTTCCTGGAATAAAGGAATCAGCCTCAAACTGAAAACCTTTTCTTCTATCTGTAATAGATATAGCTATCTAGCTAGCTAGATAGATAAATAGATAGATAGATAGGTACAGATAAAGATATGTAGAGACATATACACACACAAACATATGTACATTTTAAATTGTGAATCTAATGTCAATGTATCATGGGAAATAATGAATAGTATCTGTTATTTTTTTGTTTCTGAGTCTGAGATGTATCCCAAATTGCAGAGCCTGGCTCAGAGGCCACTCTGAATTTATTTTTCTCAAATGATTATAAAATCAATGGAATTAGTAATCAGAAAGTCATAAAATAATTGTGCATTATACTGATGACTCCTCTCCTTTACTATCCCACTCTTATCAGTATGCAAGACATAATTACCTTATTTTTTCCCCTCATAAATAACACCTAACAGCTTGAGAAACATGGTTCATATTACTCATTCTTAGGACTACACCTCCTGTAGTTGATACTCTGGGCACATGATCAGAAGGAAGTTTGCTTACCAAATTCCTTCATCTTTGCTGCTTCTCTAGTATGGTTACCAATCACTCAACAAAAATGTTGTATAATTAAAGCACTGTGTTTGCTGAACTGAAAGGACAGCCCAACAGCAGCAAAGTTCCTATCATAGATTTGGTTTTTCCTCATCTATTCTGCCTCTGTTGTTACTTTTTAATCATCACTCCCACCAGGCATTGTCTGACTATTCAGACAATAGCTAAGTGAATTGAGAATTCTATTAGGTTTACATCAGCAGTGGGCACTGCAGACATTACCAACTCATTAGAAAAGGAAATTCAAAAGAAACAAATAAGAGCTTTTTTTCCTCTCACTTTCGAAAAATTTCAGATACCACTATGTAACAATGACTATTCATAGTTCAAAAGGTAGAGATGCAAGCTACAGCTTCACAGGAGACAGACTCGTTATTTTTGTTTATACAATATTTATAAATGTTCAATAAAATATTGTCCTCTAATTTCATTTTTCATTTTAGACCACAGACATGTGGATTATATGCCTGCAATTGTTTAAATGACCCTGTATCAGCTAAACAATATTTATTTTGAAAAAGCCCAAATTACCATAGACTGTGATATCTTATACTTAATTCCTATATTGTTTTATCGTGATTCTTAGCTTCTTTGCGTTGGGTTATAACATGCTCCTCTAGCTCAGTGAAGTTCATTATTACCCCCATTCTGGTCTACTTCTGTCATTTTAGCCATCTCAGTCTCAGCCCATTTCTGAGCCCTTGCTGGAGAGGTGTTTCGGTCATTTGGAGGAAAAGAGGCACTCTGGCTGTTTGACTTTTTAGCATTTTTTGTGTTGATTCCTTCTCACCTTTGTGCTGTTCTCGTAGGCCAGAAAGAAAAACCAGGCCAAACTCAGCTGACGCCCATGGAGGGAGGATTTAAACCAGCCTGACCTCCCAAAGTGCAACCCTGTTTGTAGGTTATCCAGATAACCGCACACTGCAAACAAAATCTGAGCTTGACAACAAGTTACCTTCTGTGTGACTAAAACTATCGCTTAATTTTACTATAACACTATTTCTATTGAATATTCAATACCTTATTCTTCTATTCAAAATTTACGTACTCCAACACGATCTAAAAAATGTGTCATTCTATTTTCACCTGATAGTTCTATTTCTGCCTAGCCACCCACTATACTTTCAGGCACTTTTAGAATAAAGATAATCATACAAAATCTAGTGCCTAGAATTATCATAAGGATGGATTTTAAATAAGAACAGTGGTTGTTTAAGAATTCACCAGTCAGAGGAGAATTCTAATGAAGTATTTTTGTATACACTTTTATATTATATCAAGCTTTGTTATGTTATTTCAAAATAAAAATATATGCCCATTACTAGCTAGATGTATTTAATATTATAACGATAAGACTAAAATAACTTATCTTGACAGCTGTATCAATTAACTATAATCACTCTACTTAATATGCATCCAGCCTAAATTTTATTGCTTCCCTTGACCTTAATTATTAGACAAAATAATTGTCTGTAATAGAACATTGGTTTTTATACAATGGATTGTATTACAATCCATTGGATTGTATGGATTACAAACAATCCAATTACATAGTTTAAGTTATGTAATAATATACAAGTAAGTATTATTAACTATACTCACCCTATTGTGCCAAAAGTAGTTGGACTTATTTATCCTTTCTATTTTTTTGTACCCACTAACCACCCTCACCTCTCCTCAAAGCTCTACTGTCATTCCTAGTCTCTGGTAACCGTCCTCTTACTCTCTACATCCATTAGTTCAATTGTTTGATTTTTAGATTCAACAAATAAGTGAGAACATGTGATGTTTGTTTTTCTGTGCCTGGCTTATTTCACTTAACATAATGATCTCAATTTCCATCTGTGTTTTTGCAAATGACTGGATCTCATTAACTGAGGTGAGATGGTATCTTATTGTAATTTGATTTGTATTTTGATGATGATCAATGATGTTGGCACCTTTTCATACGCCTGTTTGCAGTTTGTATGTTTTCTTTGAGAAATTTGTATTCAAATATTTTGCCCATTTTTTATCAAATTATTAATTTTTTTCTGATAGAGTTGTTTGAGCTCTTTATATATTCTGGTTATTGATTCCTTGTCAGAGGAGTAGTTTGCAAATATTTTCTCCCATTCTCTGTGTTGTCTCTTTACTTTTTTGATTGTATCCTTTGCTGTGCACAAGCTTTTTAACTTGATGTGATCCCATTTGTCCATTTTTGCTTTGGCTGCCGGTGCTCGTGGGACATTGGTCAAGAAAACTGCCCAGACCACCAACATCCTGGAGATTTTTGCTATTTTTTTTTTTGTAGTGGTTCCATACTTTGAGGTCTTATACTTAATTATTTAATCCATTTTGATTTTATTTTTGTACATGGTGGGAGATAGGGGGTCTAGTTTCATTCTTCTGCCTATGGATACACAGTTTTCCCAGCACTAGTTATGAAAGAGACTGTCTTTTCCCCAGTGTATGTTCTTGGCACTTCCGCGGAAATGAGTTCACAGGAGGTGTGTGGATTTGTTTCTGGGTTCTCCGTTCGGTTCCATTGGTCTATGGGTCTGCTTTTATGATAGTAAAACGACCTTTTGGTTACTATAGCTCTTCAGTATAATTTGAAGTCAGGTAATGCAACTCCTCCAGTTTTGCGCTTTTTGCTTAAGACACCTTTGGCTATTCTGGCTCTTTTGTGGTTTCACATAAATTTTTTCTATTTCTGTGAAGAATATCATTGGTATTTTGATAGGGACTGCACTAAATCTGTAGACTGCTTTAGGTGGTATGGATACATTAACAATATTGATTCTTCCAATCTACAAACATGGAATATCTTTCCATTTTTTGTGTCCTCTTCAATTTCTTTCACCAGTGTTTTATAGTTTTCATTGTAGACATCTTTCCACATTTTTGGTCGTTAATTCCGAGGTATTTAATTTTATTTGTAGCTATTGTAAGTGGGATTACATTCTTGATTGCTTTTTCAGATTGTTTGCTGTTGGTATATAGAAATACTACTAATTTTTTGTACCTTGCAATTTTACTAAGTTTGTTTATCATTTCTCATATTTTTTTGGTGGAGTGTTTAGGTTTTTCTGTATATAAGATCATAGCATCTGCAAACAAGGATCATTTAATTTCTTCCTTTCCATCCAACTGGGATGCCATTTATTTCTTTCCCTTGTTTAATTTCTCTAGCTAGAATTGTCACACTAGTTTGAATAACAGTGGTAGTGAAAGTGGGCAACTTGCCATGTTATGGATCTTAGAAGAAAGGCTTTCAGTTTTTCCCCATTCAATATAATGCTAGCTGTGGTTCTGTCTTAAATTACTTTCATGATACTAGTTGTGGGTATATTCCTTCTATACCCAGATTTTTGAGGGTTTTTATTATGAAGGGATGTTGAATTTTACCAAATGCTTTTTTATCATCAAGCAAAATGATGATAAGGTTTTTATTCCTCATTCTGTTGATATGGCGTATCATGTTGATTGAGTTGCACATGTTGAACTGTTCTTGAATCACAAGGATAAATCCCACTTCGTAATAATAAATGACCTTTCCAATGTGTTGTTGAGTTTTGTTTACTAGTATTTTGTTGAGAATTTCTGCATAAATAGTCATCAGAGATATTTGGCCTGTATGTTTTTTATGTGTCCTTGTCTAGTTTTAATACGAAGGTAATACTGAACTTGTAGAATGAGTTTGGAAGTAGTCTCTTCTCTAATTTTCAGAATAGTTTGAGTAGGACTGATATTAGTTTGTCTTTAAATGTTTGCTAGAATGCAGCATTGAAGCCACCTGGTCCCTGATTTTTCTTTAATGGAAGAATTTTTATTAAGACTTTAACCTCCTTGTGATTGGTCTGTTCAGGTTTTGGATTTCTTTCTGGTTTAACCTTGGAAGGTTGTGTTTATCTAATAATTTGTTCATTTCTTCTAGGATTTCCAATTTATTGGCATATAGTTGCTCTTAGTAGCCACTAATGATCCTTTAAATTTCTGCAGTATCAGTTCTAATGTCTCTTTTTTATTTCTGCTTTTATTTACTTGTATCTTCTTTTTTCTTAGTTAATCTGGTTAAAGGCTTGTCAATTTGGTTTAGTTTTTCAAAAAAACACCTTTTTGTTTCATTGATCTTTTGTTTCAAAGACATTTTCTTGATCTTTTTTTTTCACTGATGTTATTGTTCATTTTAATTTTATTTCTGTTCTAATCTTTCTTTTCTTCTTCTAACTTTGGGTTTGGTTTGCTCTTGCCTTTCTGTTCTTTAAGATCCATTTTTTAAAATTTAAATGTTTTCCTCTTTTTTAATGTAAGCACTTATAACTATAAACTTCCCACTGAGTGCTGCTTTTGGTGTATCCCATAGGTTTAGTATGTTGTGTTTTGATTATCATCTGTTTGGAGAAATTTTTCGATTTTCTTCTTAATTTCTTAATTGACCCACTGGTCATTCTGGAGCATATTGTTTAATTTCCACATATTTGTAAAGTTTGTAAAATTCCTCTTTTTATTAATTTTTAGTTTTATTCCATTGTGGTCAGAGAAGTTATCCAGATACTTGAAAAGTCCTGTGTATTGTTATCTAAGATGTTTCTGTTTTAGGGAGTACCTGAAGCCCCATAATGCTGTGCTTTGTGCAGACTCGTAAAGATACTACCTTGATGGTCTTGGACAAGACATGGAAGAATTTTCTAGATTACCAGACAGAGACTCTTGCTCTCTTCTCTTACTTTCTCTGAAACAAAAAGAGTCTTTCTGCTCGGAGCCACCTAAAGCTGAGGGTGGAGTGTGACAAGCACCCCTGTAACCACCACTATGACTGCAATGGGTCAGACCTGAAGCCAGCACAATACTGGGTATAATAACTCAATAAACAAGAGGAGAAATAGGTACATGCCAATAAACAAGAAGAAAAGTAGATACATCTGTGCTATTCCCCCAAGTCCACCAGATCCAATCTCTGTACTTCTTCTTTTATTAATTTTGAAATGGCAAGCTTTATTATAGCTTTTACAAACTGTAAAAATGAATATCTTTTAAAAAGATCTATACCAATATTTTAACAAGTCCTGCTGGAACTACTCCCTAGCTACTACCTATGTTCACTCAAGGCCCTGAGGTTCTACAATCAGTAGGTGGCAAAGCCAGCCAGGCCTGTGTCCTTCCCTTCAGGGAGGTGATGTGCCTCAGGCCCTGAGTGGGTCCAGAAGTGCCATTCAGGAGTCAGAAACTAAAGTCAAAAATCTCAGAAGTCTACCTGATATTCCACTGTGTTGCCACTGAGATGGCACTCAAACCACAAGACACAGTCCTTCCCACTCTTCCCTCCACTTTCCAAAGGCAGACAAGCCTCACTCTGTAGCTACCACCACCCATGGCCATGAGGAGTACTGCCAGCTTACCACCAGTGTTCTCTTATGGCCGCCCTCTTTAGTCAGCTTCTGGTGAACGCTGCGTGGCCTGGGACTCACCTTTCAGGGCAGTGGGTTCCCCTCTGGCCGAAGGCAGGTCCAGATGTGATGTCCAAGTGTCAAGTCTGGAATCAGGAACCCCAAGAGCCTGCTTGGTGCTCTACCCACCTGTAGCAGTACTGGTACCTAAGGTGCAAGAAAAATTCCCCTTTACTTTTTTATCTCTGCTTTTCTAAAGCAGAAGGAGTTTTGGACCATAGCCACCAAACTTGCTAATGTGCTGAGTCTTGCCTGAAGCCAGAAGTTCTCAGAGGCTTACCCAAGGACCATGATGTAGTAGCTGGGTTTCACTGTTGGTTTATTCAGGGCCCAAGGGCTCTTCAGTTAGCACGTGATAAATGCTGACAAAACTGGGTCCTTTCTTCAAGGCAGCAGGTTCCCTTCCGGTTCAGGGTTATTCTAGAGATGTTGTCTGGGAGCTAAGGCCTAGAATGGCAGCCTAATTACTCTTACTAGTGCCCTATCCTGCTGTGGCTGAAATGGTATCCAAGCTGCAAGACAAAGTTCTCCCCACTCTTCCTTCTCCTTTCTTCAAGTGGAAGGAAGGAAACTCTTGGCTGCAGTAGCTGGTATTTCAGTATGTTGCGTGCCCCCAGCCACTCCACTGTCTCTGGGCCTAGTTTGCCCCTAGGACTCACCTACAAATTGCAGTCCTTATGGCTTAGACTTCCTTTCAAGTTTCCTTAAATATCCAGAGCACTCTGGCACTAGGTGGTGAGGTTTGTGGGCACTCACGTGTAGACTGCTGGGATCAGCAATTCCCCGCTGGCTAGGGCTGGTTTAAATCCTCCCTCCATGGGTGTCAGCTGAGTTTGGCCTGGTTTTTCTTTCTGGCCTATGAGAACAGCACAAAGGTGAGAAAGAATCAACACAAAAAATGCTGAAAAGTCAAACAGCCAGAGTGCCCCTTTTCCTCCAAATGACTGAAACACCTCTCCAGCAAGTGCTCAGAAATGGGCTGAGACTGAGATGGCCAAAATGACAGAAGTAGACCAGAATGGCAGTAATAATGAACTTCACTGACCTAGAGGAGCATGTTATAACCCAATGCAAAGAAGCTAAGAATCACGATAAAACAATACAGGAGCTGACAGCCAAAATAGCCAGTTTAGAGAGGAGCATAACCAACCTGTTCAAGCTAAAAAACACACTACAAAAATTTTACAATGCAATCACAAGTATTAATAGCAGAATAGAACAAGCAGAGGAAAGAATCACAGAGCTTGAAGACTATCTTTCTGAAATAAGACAGGCAGATAGGAAAAAAAAAATGAACGAAAAGGAATGAACAAAACCACTGAGAAATATAGAATTATTTAAAGAGATCGAATCTATGATGGATTGGGGTACCTAAAAGAGATGGGTGAATGGAACCAAGTTGGAAATTATACTTCACGATGTCATCCAGGAAAAATTCCCCAACCCTGCAGGACAGACCAACATTCAAATTCAGAAAATGCAGAGAACTCCAGTAAGATAATCCATGAGAAGATTATCCCCGAGGCACATAATCATTAGATTCTCCAAAACAGAAAAAAAAATTTGTTAAGGGCAGCCAGAGAAAAAGGCCAGGTCACCTACAAAGGGAAGCCCATCAGACTAACAGTAGACCTCTCCGTGGAAACCCTGCAAGCTAGAAGAGACTGGGCGCGTATATTTAACATTCTTAAAGAAAAAAATTTCCAACTCAGAATTTCACATCCAGCTAAACTAAGCTTCATAAGCGAAAGAAAAATAAGATCCTTTTCAGACAAGCAAATGCTGAGGGAAGGCACATGACCTGCCCTGCAAGAGCTCCTGAGGAAAGCACTCAATGACGAGTTAATGGGTACAGCACACCAACATGACACATGTGAACATATGTAACAAATCCGCACGTTGTGCACGTGTACCCTAAAACTTAAAGTATAATAAAAAAAAGAAAAGGAAAGGAAAAAGCATTACCAGGCACTACAAAACACGCTGAGGCACACAGACCAATGATGCTATGAAGCAATCACATAAGCAAGTCTGCAAAATAATCAGCTAGCATCATGATGACAAGATCAAATCCACACATAACAATACTAAACTTAAATGTAAGTGGGCCAAATGTCCCAATTAAAAGAAACAGAGTGGAAAGATGCATAAAGAATCAAGACCCATTGGCACGCTGTCTTTAAGAGATCCATCTCACATGCAAAGACACACATAAGCTCAAAATAAACAGATGGAGGAAAATTTACCAAGCAAATTGAAAACATAAAAAAATAGGGGTTGCAGTACTAGTTTCTGACAAAACAGACTTTAAACCAACAAAGATAAAGAAAATACAAAAAGGGCATTAAATAATGGTCAGGGTTCAATTCAACAAGAAGAGTGGACTATTCTAAATATATACGCACACAATATAGGAGCACCCAGATTCATAAAGCAAGTTATTAGAGACTTTCAAAGAGAATAAAACTCCCACAGAATAATAGTGGGGGGCTTTAACATTCCACTGACAATATTTGACAGATAATTGAGACAGAAAATTAACAAAGACATTCAGGACTTGAACTCAGCTCTGGATCAAGTGGGCCTGATAGATACATATAGAACTTTCCATCCCAAAACAACAGCAGATACATCCTTCTCATAGCCACATGACACTTACTCTAAAATTGATTGCATAGTTGGAAGGAAACATTCCTCAGCAAATGCAAAATAACTGAAATCGTAACAGTCTTTAAGACCACAGCATAACCAAATTAGAACTCAAGATTGAGAAATTAACTCAAAACCACACCATTATATAGAAACTGAAAAACCTACTGCTGACGGACTCTTGAGTAAATAATGAAATTAAGGCAGAAATTAAAAAGTTATTTGAAACTAATGAGAACAAAGATACAATGGATTAGCATTTCTGGGATGAAGCTAAAGAAGTGTTAAGAAGGAAATTTATAGCACTAAATGCCCACATCAAAACCTAGAAAGATCTCAAGTTAATCTAACAACAAAACTAAAAGAACTAGAGAATCAAGAGCATACAAGCTCCAAAGCTAGCAGAAGCCAAGAAATAACCAAGATCAGAGTTGAAGTCAAAGAGATACAGACAGAAAAATCCCCTTAAAGCATCAATGAATCCAGGAGCTGGTTTTTTTGAAATAATCAATCAACTAGATAGATAGATAGCTAGACTAATAAAAAAAGAGAGAAGATTCAAATAAACACAGTTAGAAATGATAAAAGGGATATAATCACTGACCCCACAGAAATACAATCATCAGAGAATAGTACAAACACTTCTACGCAAATAAACTAGGAAACATAGAAGAGATGGATAAATACCTGGACACATACACTCTTCCAAGTCTGAACCAGGAAGAAACTGAATCCTTGAATAGAGCAATAACAAGTTCTGATATTGAGGCAGTAATAAATAGACTACCAATGAAAAATAAAAATAAAAAAAGCCCAGGAACAGACAGATTCACAGCTGAATTCTACCAGAGGTACAAAGAAGAACTGGTGCCATTTATACTGAAACAATTCCAGAAGTCCTCCCTAACTCATTCTGTGAGGCCAACACCAACCTGATACCTGGCAGAGATACAAAAAAAAAAAAAAAAAACACACACAAAAAAGGAAAGAAAAAAAAAAGAAAATGGCAGCCCAATGTCCTTGATAAACATCGATATAAAAATCCTCAACAAAATACTGGCAAACTGGATCCAGCAGTACATCAAAAAGCTTAGCTACTACAATCAAGTAGGCTTCAGCCCCAGGATGCAAGGTTGGTATAACATCCACAAGTCAGCAAGTGTGATCGTGTCCTTTGCAGGGACAAGGATGGAACTGGAGGTCATCATTCTCAGGCAACTGATGCAGGAACAGAAAACCAAATATCACATGTTCTCACTGATAAGTAGGAGCTGAATGATGGGAATACATGGACACAAAGGGAGCAACACACACTGGGGCCTGTCAGAGGGTGAAGGGGGGAGGAGGGAGAGCATCAGGAAGAATAGCTCATGGATTCTGGGCTTAATACTTAGGTGGTGAAATGATCTATTTAGCAAACTACCATGACACATGTTTACCTATGTAACAAACCTGCTCATCCTGCATATGTACCCCTGAATTTAAAATAAAATAAAAATAAATAACAAATAAACCTATTTTTATTCATTTAAAGAAGATTAAATATAAATTAAAAATTGGCTTTTATTACCTTATAAAATTATTTTCAATATTTGTCTCAACAATTATAATTTTCAATAAATCATCATCAAGTACTCAAAAAAAAAAAAAAAAGAAGAGCACTGAATTCAATGCCTTGCAGTTGTTGTGTTCTCTCTCCCAGTACCCAGGGATGCTCTCCATACCATGTAGCTGCTGCCAGGGATTGGGGAACACATGGCATTGGTGATTCAGGACTATATTTTCTATCTCTTCAGTGCCTCCTTCAGAGAATTTTAAACCAGGTACTATGGGTGCTTAGCTGATTTTTATTTTTTACGAAGCTATTTTCTTCTGTGTAGATAGTTATTAACTTAGTGTCCTTTGTTGGGAGTTCCGGGGGTGATGTGCCTCCACCAATAGAACATTCTTATTTAGCTTAGAGCAGATACCTTTTTCTCTGGTTTTAGAGTTAAACTTACCAAATGCATTACTTAAAAATATAGATACTTTCTAAATATGTGATATCCTTTAAACCTTTTGATAAAAGCTAGTATTTCCTTCTAAAATATATTGCAGTTAATCTTTTAAAATAGATTTAGCCCTCAATACTGGTGATTTTTTAAAGTGTCTTTTTCTATTATAGTGCTGTTATAAAACTATCATGACTAATAACCCAGTAAACAAGAGAAGAAATAGATACATCTCCAACTATCCCCCAAGCCCACCAGATCTGATCTCTTTACCTCTTGTTTTATTAATTTTGAAATGGCAAATCTTATTTTAGTTTTTAAAGGCTAAAAGAAAAATGAATATATTTTTAAATGATTTAAATAAATAACAAATACACCAAAATATTTACATACAGGAATATATTCTATTCTCTGTAGTAGTTACTCAGAACTTGCACTTGCAAAGTTTTAATCTCTCAAGACACTTTGAGACAGTTCCTAAAGAATTTCTTTCTAAGAGATGGCACGCAGAATGAATGAAGATTCTGGAGTTTTATATTGGATAGACAGTAGCTTAAAGCTTAGTTTTATTTTATCACTAGCTTTGTAAAAAATTACTTAATCTCTCTGTTTATCTCAGTTGTGAATTTATAAAATGAAGTGCGTGACAATAGCATTTACCTCCAGATTGTGGTAAAAATTATGAGAGTTTGAAGAATGTCAAGCACTGAGCAAATTATTTGGCACATAGTAACACCTCAATAATACAAGCTATTTTATATTAAAAAACAACCTTTTGAAAAATTAAATCATACCCTTTAAGACAATACTAATATGTCAACATTGGAGAAAATTAAAACTATGTGTGGAGGTTTAGAAAAGAATTCCCAACAAAGAAATCCAAAATTGCTTTTAAAAAATGACTTAATCTTTAAAATTCAAATGTACTGGACTCTGAAGTTATAACCTTATGAAATGTATAGCTATAACTTATAACCCATAAGCAAGTAGATTATTTAAAGGACCTAGGGATATGCCACAAAAAGAAAATCCCAGGTGGTGATATACCTGGTAGCCTGAAAGTAGGAGGGTAATATCTTTGGGGGTATACTAATACATATATGCTTTATTTCTAAAGACTGGGCAACTGATAAAATAATAAAAAAAAACTGTCACTAGCTAAGATACAGTGGTTATTCTAAATAGCAACAGAGTAGATGAGCCATTTACCGAAACTCATATTGAACTTCAGAATACCAAGAAGGTGGAAAAAAACATGGATAAAGACTTGGTCTGGAATCTGCTCCTACATTCGCCTCACAGGTAAAAATTACAAAATTTCATCAACTTGTTTAATAGTGGAGTTTGCTTGACTACTATTTTGTTTTTATTCTTCCTCAGCTATGCTTGCTGTTTGTTTTTTGAGTGTGTTTTCCTTAGTATTCTGTTCTTTTTGCTTTGGTAAGGATGCTTAGAGCATCTGGGTGCTATATGGAGCTTAGCTGTAGATCATCGAGTTGTCTATTGCTGCATAAAACTACTGTAAATATAGAAACTTAAAACAGCCCCTAGCTATGTAAGTCAAAAGCCCAGGTATACTGATTGTGTTCTCTGCTTAGCATCTTACAATACTGCAATCACGTTGTCTATAGGTTATGTTCTCATCTAGAGCTCTGAATCCTTTTCCAAACTCTCTCAAACTATTGGAAGAATTCAGTTCTTTTGAGGCATAGAAGAGAAAGAGTCCCTTTCTCTTCTTACTGTTAGCCAAGTATTGGTCTTAGTTCTTAGTGAGCACCTCAGTCCCTTCCCACATGGCCCCATTCAACTTTCAAGTGAACAAGAAATCTCCCTTGTTTAGAATTTTCCTCATGCTTCAAATCTCTGATTTGCTCTATGAACAGGTAAAGGAAACTAAAGGCTCATGTGGTTACGTCAGGCCCACCAAGATAATCTCCCTGTTTTAAGGTCAACTGATTTGGGACCATAATTATCTCTTCAAAATCCCTTCAGAGTTGGTACATGGATTGATATTTGGCTGAATAACTTGGAGAGAGTGCTGGTACAGTGGGTTTTTGGAATCTCAATAGCCATCTTACAATCTGCCTACCATGGATGGATGAACAGATTGAGTAGACACAGTCATTCTTTGGATTCAACAGAAGTCAAATTCATGTACAAGAATAGTCTATTCTGGGAAGCTTGCCCAAATTCTACAATTGAAACAATAATTCAGACTATAAGAAAAAAATACTCGGTCTTCTCAGAGGGTAGCTAGTTCAGACAGGTGTGTTACCCAATGTCTTCTCTAAATTTAACATCCCTAACTGTGTAGTGAAAATTATTAGTGCTTGGAGCTTAATTGTAGACTCTAGAGGCTTAGATCAGACAGTTGTACTGTTGTTCACTTTCCCCTGATGTTTATATAGTAACTGAATGTGCTGCCGCTACTGGCACTTAGAACAGAGGCTTGGGCTTTTATTTTTTATATGCCTCTGGAAAGAAAATCAAAATCAATTTGCTTTTACTACAGAACATTAATGAGTTAGACTAACTCTACTTAGTAGGAATGTAAACTTTTGGTGGATGTACAATCTGTACTAAGATGACTTTTTGGTAATGATCTCTGCTAAGAAAACTGCTTACAACATTGTATTGAATGCCATATAAACACTGACTAAAGATAAATGGACTTTGCTAGGGCAAAATCTATGACCCCACCACTCAAGTGTTCACCTTGGGAGCTATCCAGACTACCACCAAAGAATATTTAAAGGCAAACTGTTAATAACAACATAGGAAGCCCAACACCTGATTAGTCACTTTGGGTATTGAAGACAGCACATTCTACTCCCAGGAACTTTATAACAACCTCTATAACAAGTCAATAGACATATGTTCAAATTTAAGTGGAAGTTCTTATAGCATGAAGCCTTGCAAGAAGTACAGACAGTAAATTAAGTTCAATCCTAGAGACCTCTATATTCTTTAGACCTCATAGAGTTAAAGCTAATTGGGAAGTGTGCCAAAATATTCCATCAGTACTCAGCATCTTCTAGGCTTTTATATTTGAAGATATCATCCCACTACAGATCAGTGACTATAAATATTTTGCAACTTGCTCTTAATAGAAATGGAAAAACAAATTATGACTTTCCAATCAATCTTCTCATCCCACAATGAAATCTTTAATTAAGGGCTCAAATGACCCTCAACACCTTAGCCACATTTACAAACAGATAACTGCTCACTTATTAGACATAGAAATAACCTTGCCTACTACTCCAAGCAAATTTCTGGCTTACAGAGGGCCTTGCCTAAAAGACCTCATACTTCCAAAGACAATAAGGATTACTATTGAAAACAGCCTGTCTTCAGATTGGATCAATCCAAAAGACTACCACAGCCATTCATCATAATTACTTCAAATTACCATTGAACCATAGAATTGGATACTATGTACAATGATCCAAATATCAAATGGTGTTCCTGTCCATACAGTGCAATGAGATAGGCACACAGATTCCTGGGCTACCAATAATAGGCTAATCCTATGATGATGACATTAAGCTATCAGGACCTTATTACTAATGACACATCCATATACATTAACTTGTTCATGAACTAATCTTTATTTTTACATATTTATGTCCACATAAAGTGACCATAATTAAGAAATAGTATCTGGAATGATGAGCCCCATCAAACATGCATGGCCATCTTGTCTACCAAGCCTATGGGTCCTATTCTCTCATTCTCTAATCCACTGCAGTAATGAAAATTACTGTAAAGAACTGGGACGTACACCAATAAAATATTTTTGCATATGTTGGAGCCCCTGTTGTTCACAAGATCTTTCCTTTTGCCAGCTATTCTCACTTATTAAACAAAGTCCTTTTCCAAACCAAAACATTCCATTGTCTTTAACTATTTGTAAGTTTCTAATGGCATGCTCAATTGTGCCTTTGTTGATTTTTCTGGCACCCACAAGTGGGGTATAAAACAAGGAGAATTTAAGAAAGAACCTAATATTCTCCTCCTTTTCACATAAGGGTACGCTGCTTCCTTTTTTTGTGTTTATTGTGCTCTGTGAAAATGTGTGGGAAATTGTGGCAGTGGCAGAGCAAGGTGGCTGAATAGAACTTTTACTGATTGCCCTCCCTACAAGAACACCAGGTGAACAACTATCTGCACAAACATGCACCTTCAGAAGAACCAAAATTCAGGTGAGTGATGAAAGTACCTAGTTTTAACTACATATCACAGAAAGAGGTGCTGAAGAAGTAAGAAAGACAGTATTGAATTGCCAATGCCACCCCATCTTCGTCTCCTAAAAGCTGCAGCTTGGCCTGGAGAAAGAATCTATGTGCTTGCAGGAAAGAGAGTGTCATAATTGTGGGAGTTTGGATTGAAACTTAATGCTGCCCTGTCAGAGTGGAAAGGAACACCAGGCAGAACTCAGCCAGCATCCACAGAGAGAACTTTTAGATCAGCTCTAGCCAGAGGCAAATTGCCCATCCCAGTGGTTGGAACCTGAGTTCCAGCAAGCCTCACCACCATGGGCTAAAGTAAATAAACTTGAAAGGTAGTCACGCCCACAAGGACTGCAATTCTTGGAAACATTCTAGTGCTGTGGTGAACTTGGAGCCAGTGGACTTGGGGGACATGTGACCTAGTGAGACACCAGCCAGGATGGTCAAAGTAGTGCTTGCACCACCCCTCCCTCAACCCCAGACAGTGCAACTCACAGCTCCAGGAGCCTCATCCTCTCTGTTTGAGAAGAGGAGAATGAAGAGTAAAGAAGACTTTGTCTTGCAACTTGGATATCAACTCAACCATAGTAGGATGGGGACTGGGCAGTTTCCCTGAGGCTCCCATTCCAGGACCTAGCTCCTGATGACATTTCTTCACACACCCTGGGCCAAAAAAGAACCTTTTGCCATGAAGGGAAAGCAGTCCCAGTGGGATTTACCCCTGCTGATTAAAGAGCCATTGTGCCCTGAATAATCAGCAGTGAAATACCCAGGCAATACTTGCCATGGGCTTAAATGAAACTCAGAGATGTGCTGGCTTCAGGTGTGACCCAGCACATTCCTAGCTATGGTGGCTATGGGGAGAGACTCTTTCTGCTTTAGAAAAGAACAGGGAAGAGTAAAGGGTAATTGGTCTTTCAGTTTAGGTACCAGCTCAGCCACAGTGGAGTAGACCACCAGGTGGGCTCTTGAGGTCCCCAATTCTAGGTCTTGACTCTTGGATGGCATTTCTGGACCTTTTCTAGGTTAGAGGGGAGTCTGCTGCCCTGAAGGAAGAATCCAGGCCTGGCATCATTGAATACAAGTTGACCAAAAAGCCCTTGGACCTAGAGTGAACGTTGACAGTAGTCAGGGAGTACTTGCCATGAGCCTGGGGCAGTGAGGCAATAGGGAGAGAATCCTCTGCTTGTGAAAAGTGGAAGGAAGAGTGAGAAGGACTTTGTCTTGTGTCTTGAGTACCAGCTCAGCCCAAGTAGAATAGAGCACAAGGTAGATTCCTAAGGTTGCTGACTTGAGGTCTGGGCTCCCAGGTGGCATCTCTGGAACTGCCCAGGTCTGGGTGGGGGGGACTCATTGCCCTGAAGAGAAGGACACAAGACTGGCTGGGTTTACCACCTGCTGATTGTAGAGCACCAGGGCCTTAAGTGAACATAGGCAGTAGTTACCATAGGCCTTGGATGAGAACCAGTATCATGCTGGCTTCAGATCTGACCCACTGCAGTCCCACTGGTGGTGACCATGGGGGTATTTAGGCTGCTTCTCTTCCAGCTCCAGGCAGCTCAGCACAGAGAGAGAGAGATAGAGACTCTGTTTGAGAGAAAGTAAGGGAAGAGAACAAGATAATCCAGGTAATTCTTCTAGATATTATGCAGGACCACCAGAGCAGTACCTCTACAAGTCTGCAAGAGCCAGCATTACTGAGCTTGGAGTGCCCCCTAATGCAGATACAGCTTCACAGACCATAAACTTAGATTACTACACCTAAGTCCATCTAAACAGCTGAAAAGCTGTATTAGTCCTTTTTCATGCTGTTGATAAAGACATACCTGAGACTAGGCAATTTACAAAAGGAAGAGGTTTAATTGGACTTACAGTATCACATGGGTGGGGAAACCTCACAATTATGGTAGAAAGCAAGGAGGAGCAGGACACATCTAACATGGATGTCAGCAGGCAAAGAGAGAGCTTATATAGGGGAACTCCTCTTTTTAAAACCATTGGATCTCATGAGACTTATTCACCATCATGAAAACAGCACAGGAAAGACTTGCCCCCATGATTAAATTACCTCCCACCAGGTCCCTCCCATAACATGAGGGAATTCAAGATGAGATTTGGGTGGGGACATAGCCAAACCATATTATTCTGCCCCTAGTCCCTCTCAAATCTCATGTCCTTACATTTCAAAACCAATCATGCCTTCCCAACAGTCCCCCAAAGTCTTAAGTCCTTTCAGCATTAACTCAAAAATCCATAGTCCAGAATCTCATCCGAGACAAGGCAAATCTCTTCTACCTATGAGTCTGTAAAATTAAAAGCAGGTTAATTACTTTTTAGATACAGTGGGGGTACAGGTATTTGGTAAACACTGCCATTCCAAATAGCCAAAATAAGGAAGCTACAGGCCCCATGTAAGTCCGAAATCCAACAGGGCAGTCAAATACTAAAGCTCCAAAGTGATCTCTTTGACTCGATGTCTCACATCTAGATCATGCTGATGCAAGAGGTGGGTTCCCATGGTCTTGGGCAGCTCCACTCCTGTGGCTCTGCCGGGTACAGTATCCCTCTCAGCTGCTTTCACATGCTGGCAATGAGTGTCTGCAGGTTTTCTAGGTGCATTGTGCAAGGTGTAGGTGGGTCTACCATTCAGAGGCCTGGAGGATAGTGGCCCTCTTCTCATAGGCAGTGCCCTCCACTAGGTAGTGCCCCAGTAGGGACTCTGTGTGGGGGTTCTGACCCCACATTTCCCTTCCATACTGCCCTAGCAGAGGTCCTCCATGAGAACCCCACCCTTGCAGCAAACTTCTGCTTGGACATCTAGACGTTTTCATACATCTTCTGAAATCTAGGTGGAGGTTCCCAAACCTCAATTCTTGACTTCTGTGCACTCACAGACTCAACATTACATGGAAACTGCCGAGGCTTGGGGCTTGTACCCTCTGAAGCTATGGTCCAAGGTCTATGTTGACCCCTTTCAGCCACAACTGGAGCAGCTGGGATGCAGGGCACAAATTCCCTAGGCTGCACACAGCATGGGGACCCTGGGCACGGCCCACAAAACCATCTTTGACTCCTAGGCCTCTGGGCCTGTGATGGGAGGGGCTGCTGTGAAGACCTCTGACACTCCCTGGAGACATTGTCCCCATTGTCTTAGGGATTGACATTTGGCTCCTCATTACTTATGCAAACTTCTGCAGCCAGAAAATGGGATTTTCTTTTCTATGGCATTGTCGTGCTGCAAATTTTTGGAACTTTTATGTCCTGTTTCCCTGATGAAACCGAATGCCTTTAACAGCACCCAAGTCCCCTCTTGAATGCTTTGTTGTTTAGAAATTTCTTCCACCAGACAACCTAAATCATCTCTCTCAAGTTCAAAGTTACACAAATCTCTAGGGCGGGGGCAAAATGCTGCCAGTCTCCTTGCTAAAACATAACAAGAGTCACATTTGCTCCAGTTCCCAAAAAGTTTCTCATCTCCATCTGACACCACCTCAGCCTGGATCTTATTGTTCATATCATTATCAGACTTTTGGTGAAAGACATTCAACAAGTCTTTAGGGAGTTCCAAACTTTCCCACATTTTGCTCTCTTCTTCAGAGCCCTCCACACTGTTCCAACCTTTGCCTGTTAACCATTTCCAAAGTCATTTCCACATTTTGGGTATCTTTTCAGCAATGCCCAACCTACTGGTACCAATTTACTGTATTAGTCCATTTTCACTCAGTTGATAAAGACATACCCAAGACTGGGCAATTTACAAAAGAATGACTTGTGCAGGGGAACTCTTCTTTTTAAACCATCAGATCTTATGAGACGTATTGAGAACAGTATGGGAAAGACTTGCCCCATGATTCAATTACCTCCCACTGGGTCCCTCCCACAATATGTGGGAATTCAAGATGAGATATGAGTGGGGATACAGCCAAACTATATCAAAAGCCTTTCCAAGGAGGACAACTACAAATAAGTCCAGACTGTGAAGATTACAATAAACACCAAGCTCTTCAATTCCAAGACACCAAAAAGCATCCAGAAACATCAAGACCATCAAAGAAAACATGACCTCATCAAAAGTACTAAATAAGAAATCAGGCACCAATCCTGTAGAGACAGAGATATGTGATCTTTCAGAGTAAAAATTCAAAATAACTGTTTTGAGGAAAGTCAATGAAATCCAAGACAACACAAAGAAGATATTCAGAATCCTAGCAGATAAATTTAACAAAAAGATTGTAATAATTAAGAAGTCTCAAGCAGAATTTCTAGAATTAAAAAATGCAATCGACATACTGGAGAATGCAGCGGTGTTTTACCAGCAGAATTGATGAAGCAGAAGAAAGAACTGGTGAACTTTAAGAGAGGCTTTCTGGCAATACTGAGAGGAAACAAAGTGAAACAATAATAAAAAAGAATGAAGCATGCCTACAAGATCTAGAAAATGGTTTCAAAAGGGCAAATTAAGAGTTATTGGCCTTATAGAAGAAGTAAAGAAAGAGATTGGGGTAGAAAATTTATTGAAAGGGATAATAGAATGTCCCAAATCTAGAGAAAGTATTAATATTAAAGTACAAGAGATTATACAAGGAGGTTTAACCCAAAGAAGACTACCTCAAGGCATTTAATAACCAAACACTCAAAGATCAAGGATAAAGAAAGGATCCTAAAACCAGCAAGACAGAAGAAACAAGTAACATACAATGTAGCTCCGATACATCTGGTATTTTCAGATAAAACCTTACAGGTCAGAAGAAAGTGGCATGACATACTTAAATTGCTTAAGGAAGAAACATTTTACCCTAGAATGGTGTATCCAGCAAAAATATCCTTCAAACATGAATAAAAAATAAAGACTTTCCCAGGTAAAGAAAAGCTGAAGCATTTCACAAACACCAGACTTATGCTAAAAGAAATGCCAAAGGGCGTTCTTCAGTCTGAAAGAAAAGGACATTAATGAGCAACAATAAACCATCTGAAGGTGTAAAACTCTCTGGTAATAGTAAGTACACACAAAAACACAGAATATTCTAACACTGTAATTGTAGTGTGTAAACTACTCATAGCTTTAGTAGAAAAACTAAAATGTGAACAGATCAACAATTTAACTGCAATGGCTTTTCAAGACATAGACAATACAATGAAATAAATAGAAACAATAAAAAGTTAAAAAGTGGGGAGATGAAGTTGAAGTGTAGAGTTTTTATTAGTTTTCTCTTTGCTTGATTGTTAGTTTGCTTATGCAATCCACGTTAAGATATGATTTGCAAGCCTCATAAACTACTCATAGCTTGAGTACAAAGACTAAAATATGAAATGATTAAAAATATAACTACAACAAATTTTCAAGACATAGACAATGCAATGATATATAAATAGAAAAAATTAAACTTTAAAAAGTGGGGAAATGAAGTTGAAGTGTAGAGTTTTTTTCTCTTTGCTTAATTGTTAGTTTTCTTATGTAATCAGTATTAACATATTATTTGCAAGCCTCACGGTAACCTCAACAAAAACTATAACATAGATATATAAACAATAAAAAACCCAATGAATTAAAATGTACCACTACAGGAAATTACCTTCATTAAAAGGCAGGCAGGAAGAAAGGAAAAAAGGAAGGGAGGACTAGAAAACAAATAACAAAATGGCAAGAATAAGTTCTTACTTATCAATAATAGCATTAAATGTAATTGAACTACACACTTCAATCAAAAGACACAGTAGGTGAATGGATTAAAAAAAACAGGATCCAATGGTTTTTTGCCTACAAGAAACACACCTCACCTATGAAAGACCACTTAGACTAAAAATAAAGAAATTTAAAAAAGATATTCTATGAAAATTGAAGCCAAAAAAGATCAGGAACAGCTATACTCATATCAGACAAAATACATTCCAAGACAAAAACTACTAAAAGGGACAAAGAACACCATCATAAAAGAAAAAAAAGGTCAATTCAGAGAGAGGATATAACAATTCTAAATATGTATGCATCCAACACTGGAGCATTGAGATATATGAAGCAAATATTGTCAGAGTTAAAGAGAGAGAGATAGTTCCCCATACAATGTTAGCTGGAGACTTCAACAGCCCATTCTCAGCACTGGACAGACCATGCAGAAAGAAAATCAACAAAGTAGCATTGAACTTAATTAGTACTGTACATCAAATGGATCTAATAAATATTTACAGAACATTCCATCTAATGGCTGCAAAATACACATTATTCTCTTCAACATATGGATCACTCTCAAGACAGACCTTGTGTTAGGCCACAAAATAAGTCTTAAAAAATTTAAAAACACTTAATTTATATTAAGTATCTTCTCTGAACACAATGGAATAAAACTAGAGGGCAGTATACAAGAGGAAGTTAGGAAACTGTACAAACACATGGAAATTAAATAATATGCTCCTAGATGACAATTGAGTCAATGAAGAAATTAAGAAGGAAATTTTAACATGTTCTTAAAACAAATGATAATGAAAGCAGAGGGTACCAAAACCTATGGGATACAGAATACGGTGAAAGCAAAACTAACTGGAAAGTTAATAGTTATTAAGTGCCTACATAGAAAAAGTCAAAAAAACTTCAAATAATCAACAAAATATGGCATCTTAAAAATTAGAAAACAAACAAACAAAACTCCCAAATTAGTAGAAGAAAATAAATAAAGTTCAGTGCAGAAATAAATAAAATTGAGGCTAAAAAATACAAAAGATCAACAAAACAAAAGATGGCTTTTGAAAAGGTAAATACAATTGACCAAACTTTAGCCAGACTAACTATGGAAAAAAGAGATAAGAATAGAGTAAATAAAATCAGAGATAAGAAAGGATACTTTGTAACTAATTCAACATATCATTAGAGACTACTGTAAGCAACTATATATCTATAAGTTGTAAAACCTTCAGAAATGAATAAATTCCTAGATACATACAATCTAACAAGATTGGACCATGAAGAAAACCAAAACCTGAACAGATCAAAAACAAGCAACAAGATTGAAGCCATAATAAAATGTCTTTGAGCAAAGAAAAGCCAAGGACTCAGTAGCTTTACTGCTGAATTTTACCAAACATTTAAAGAAGAAGCAATACAAATCCTACTCAAACTATTCCAAAAAATAGAGAAGGGGGGAATATTTCCAAACTCTTTCTATGAGGTCAATATTATTCTGACACAAAATCCAGATTAAGACACATCAAAAAAGATAACTACAGAGCAATAACTCAAAAGAACATTAATCCAAAATTCTCCACAAAATACTAACAAAGTGAATTCCACACAATGAGAAATCATTTATCAAAACCAATTTTGGATGTATCCCACAGATGAAAAAATGTTTTAACATGGAGAAATCAATCAATGTGATACATCAGATCAACAGAATGAAGGATAAAAACCTTATCATCATTTCAATTGATGAAAAAAAGCACTTGATGAAATTCAACATCCCTTCATGATAAAAACCCTCAAAAACCTGGGTATAGAAGGGATGTACATCAACATGGTGGAAGTCATATAAGAAAAACGCACAGCTAGTATCATACTGAAGGGGAAAAACCAAAAGCCTTTCCTCTAAGATCTGTAACATGGTGAGGATGCCCACTTTTACTACTGTTATTCAAACTAGTACTGAAATTTCTAGCTAGAGAAATTAGACAAGAGGAAGAAATAAATGGCATCCAAGTTGGATGAAAAGGAAGAGGTTAAATTATCCCTGTTTGCAGATAGGATCTTATATTTGGAAAAACCTAAAGGCTCCATCAAAAAACTATGAGAACTGATCGACAAATTCAGTGAAATTGCAGGATACGAAATCAACATACAAAAATCAGTAGCATTTCTACTGATTGTTTGCCAGCAGCAAACAATCTGAAAAGGAAATCAAGAAACTAATCCCACTTACAATAGCTACAAATAAAATAAAATACCTAGGAATTAACTTAACTGAAAAACTGGAAAGATCTCAACAATGAAAAATATAAAACATTGGTGAAAGAAATTGAGAGGACACAAAAAATTGAAAGCTATTCCATGTTAACGGATTGGAAAAATCAATATTGTTAATTTATCCATACCACTTAAAGCAGTCTACAGATTTAGTGCAATGCTTATCAAAATACCAATGACATTCTTTACGGAAATAGAAAAAAATCCTAAAATGTGTATGAAACCAGAAGAGACCTAGAATAGTCAAAGGTGTCTTAAGCAAAAAGCACAAAACCGGAGGAGTCACATTACCTGATTTCAAATTATAGTAAAGAGCTGTAGTAACCAAAAAGCATCATACTCTCATAAAAAATAGACCCATACACCAATGGAACAGAATAGAGAACCCAGAAACAAATCCACACACCTAGAGTGAACTCATTTTCAACCAAGGTGTCAAGAACATACCTTGGGGAAAAGAGTTCCTTCAATAGATAGTACTGGGAAAACTGAATATCCATATGCAGAAGAATAAAACCAGATCTAGTCTCTTGCCATGTACAAAAATAGAATCAAAATGGACTACAGACTTAAATATAAGACCTCAAACTACGAAACAACTACAAGAAAGCTTTGAAGAAAATCTCCTGGACATGGAGCTGGGCAAAAATTTCTTGACCAATGCCCCACAAGCACAGGCAACCAAAGCAAAAATGGAAAAATGAGGTCATATCAAGTTAAAAAGCTTCTGCACATCAACAGATAGTCAACAAGGTGAAGAAACAGCACAAAGAATGGGAGAAAATATTTGCAAATTACCCCTCTAACAAGGGTCCAATAAACAGAATAACACACACACACCCTCTTTCTCTCTCGTTTGCTTACATACATGGTGGCCAAAAATTATTTTCTCCAACTATTTTGAACAGTGACTCATAAAGACAATTCCTTAAAAGGTTGAATATGTTACTCTATTTGTTACAGATGCACGGAACCTTATTAAGGCCTCACTCCAAGAAGACACGGGAAAACTACCACTCTGAGACAATGCTGTGATGCCCTCTACTGATACCAGCAGCAATCAAAGGTGATGACATGCTTATAGTCAATAAGCCTGGAGATCCAGGGTATGAACTGATCAAAAACAGGTCTGGGTGAGTCTGGAAGCTCATTTCCTTCCCTCTTCTGATAGTTTGGCAGAGTGATGGCTTAGCTGAACTAAGCCCATTTAAGGAGAGACAACAAGACTTGCCATGAATGGCCACATTCCTACAAGGTAAGGCTGTCCCCAGGTCTTTTAGTTGCAGACTTTGGCTCATTTTACTTAGGGAAAAGGTATACCTAGTCATTCTTAGACTAGCCTCCAAATATGTATACAGGATAGGAGCAGGACTCAGTTTCACTTATGGGTTTCCTATTAGTTGTGTTAGATCCCTCTCCACTGTAATATTGTCCATGATGCATAAAGAACATCTATGTCTGGTCTGCTTTTTGGAACAACGGGAGTTGCTGCGTCTATGTGCTGTACTATTTCTCTGCTTGACACTTTCCCCTTAATAAGCCCTAGATCATATCTAACCTGTGTGGTGCTAGTGGTCTGCGCTCATGACCTTCATGCTGCCTACTAGAGGATTCAACTAAAGCAATGATGAGAAAAAAATCTATGGTCTAAAATGCTCATACAAATAGTCAAAAAGGAAAAAATGAATTAAGCACCTAAATAATTTAGAAAAATTAATAAAGCACAAAAGAGCAGATGGAAGAAATTAATGAAGCTGAAGCACATACTAACAAATTAAAAAACAGAAAACTAAAAAAACCTAAATTGATCATTTAAGACAAGACCACAAAAGCAGAGATAAACTGCTAAAAATTTAATTGAGATAAAGGGAGCATGAATAAGCAATATAATAAATTAAATAAAGAAATAACCGCCAGAAGAGAGGTAATTTAAAAAAAAAAGAAGAAAATATTTGGACTACTTTAAATTTACTTTTAATGACTAAAATATAATTTACTGAAGTTAACTCCAGGAAACATAATATCTGTGTAGCCTGATTTCCATGGCCAAAATAGCGATAGTTATAAAAGAACACCATGCCCAGATGGCTTGAGAGTGCAATTCAATCAAAACTTTTTTTTTTTAGAAAAAGAAGTACTTTCAGTGCTATTTAAACTCTTCCGGCATAAAATGCGATAAAAGTCCAAATTCTTATTATGAAATGGGCATAACATGGGACAATTTTACAAATATTGCTCTGTAAAAATACTTTCAACTAAGTTTACTTTTGAATACAATCAAATTCCTTAATATGTTTAGCATATAGAATCCAGCAAGATATTGAAAGAATAATACATTGATTTTTAGTAGATTTGGTTACAAATATGGGTAACTATTCAATATAAGTAAAATTATCAATATGGTTTATTATATTAACAACTCATTCTCTCTTGAATCTATTTCAGTTGAGTATTCACTGTCACCATTTATCTGAAATAGCACTTGTAAGTGTTGCCAATCACTCCACAGTACTAAACTCAGTAGTTCTCAGTCCCTGTGTTTCTTAACATTTTAGTAAATTCTGATACAATGGATTTCTCTTCTTTTTAAAATATTTTCTTTACCTGACTTTTAAAACTTTGTGATAGCCTCATTTTCTCCTTCTATCTCTGGATTTTCTTTTTCAGTGTTGCTTACTGGTCCCTCCACATCTCCCGGAGCTCTCAGTGTTGGAGTCGCTAATGGCTCAATTCACAAACTTTATTTTACTAGAGCCAAACTTTAACTCTTGGCCTTCATGTTCATCTTATGGTTTGAAATAGTATCTATGCATGATGGAATCTTCAGCTCAGACCTTATGCCTGAAGTCCAGAGTGGTTATTGAACATCTCCGCTTAGAAGTGGACAATGTATCTCAACCATAGCATATTGGAAACTGTGCTCTTGATCTTAAACTTTCTTCAAAATATATTTCTTGTGCTATCCTCTCTATCTCAGCATACAGTAACTCCATTCTTTCAAGACTGTCTTTTCATCATAACTCACATTTATTTCATTAGGAAACTTCATAAACATTACTTCTTACCACTACATGTAGAGCTAACTACCACTCTATTCCAAATCATTTCTCACTCAGATTATTGCAACAACTTCCTAAATTTCCTCTCCACTTTGCCTGTGCTCTCTTACAATCTATTCTCCATTCAACAACCCATGTAATCTTTTAAAAACGTAAGTCAGATCATTTCACTTTTCTGTTAAAAACTGACTTCCTGCCTCACCCAGAGGAAAACACAAGGTTCCTATAACAGCAGTTTCACAACATGGCATCTAATCAAGTGTCTGACTTTATTTCCTGTTTTTGTCTCTTGCTCTTTTTGCTTCAGTCACTTACCATTTCTCATTTTACAGAGAATGTAACAGGTAAGCTCAAGGTTCAGAGCTTCACACAGACTGTTTCCCCCTCCTGCAGTGCTATAATTCCTCCTCTCCAAAGCTTCGCTTCCTCCTCTTTCAGATTTTTAGCTCAAAGGCCACATTTACCATGAAGCAGCCCATTTTTTTTTAAGATAGTATCTTTTTTCCCCTCAGAAATTCTATTCCCTTCCCATGCATTATTTTCTTCTTAGCACTTATGAACATCCATATTACATGTTACTTTTTCATTTTGAGGCCTGTCTCCTCCATTGGAATATAAGCTCTGCTAGGTCAGAGTTTTGTGTGCTTTCTGCACTGCTGAATTTCCAGTGCTTACAGCAATGCCTGAGACACAGTCAGCATTTGGTAATTGTTTGTTGAATGAATTGATTTAATAAATGAAAAGTAGCATCTCAAATTACAGAAGAATCTAGTGGCCTACACAATAAATGATGTTGGCGCAGCACTGTAGCCATTTTTGGTCAAAAACTGGATCCACACTTAATATCAAGATACATTCCAAAGGAACCAAAGATGTAAACATGGAACAAAAATCTACCATGTAGGGTAGAAAATTTAGGGGGATTATTTTATAACCTCAGTGTAGGGAAGCTTTTATAAATATGACACAAGATCCAACAGCCATAAAAGAAAAGGTTGATAAATTAGACCACAAAATCTAAATTCTAACCATAGGGCAAATATTATGTTTAAAGAAACTCAAAAGGCAAACAACATAGAAAGAAATATTTAAAACATAGTAGAAAAAATGATTAATCTCCTTAATATGTGAGTCTATAAATTGATATGAAAATGACCAACCCAGCAGAAATTATGGGCAAAAGATATGAACAAACAGTTCATTGTAAAGGAGATACAAGACATTTTATTTTATTTATTTTTATTTATTTATTTATTTTTGGGTGGGGAAATGATAAGGAGTGGCTAAGCCATCTGTTTCTCTGAAAGGTCTAGGGAGATCCAGCTGCCACGTCCACCACCTGTGGATGACACCTCCAGAGGTGATTGAAATGACCCCACTTTGCAGTCAGGAGATATGAGAAATTTTAAATGTGAAAAGATACTAAATAAGTGAATTGCAAAGTCCAAATACATAAGGGCTCAGTAAAGACTTGAGAGTTTAATAACAATTCTGTTGGCATGGGTATGGGAAACAGGAAGCCTCAAAAAATGCTGGTAATTATATATATGAGCACAATACTTATGGAACAAAGTTCAGCAGTATCTATCAAAATTACAAATCCATATTTCCTTTGCCGCAGAAATTCAATTTCTGAGAATATATACTTCAAGCATAGTAGTATCTCCACAAAATTATGTATATCAAGTGTAGAGTGAATTATTTAAAGGATTTTTGTAATAGCAAGTTATTGACAATTTTTAAATGAATATCAATAGAGAACTGATTTAAATAAGTTTAATTAATGTAAAAGAAGAATGAGAAAGTCGGTATATGCAATTTGCAAAAATTTTCAAGTTATATTATTAAGTTGCATAACAGAGTTTATATGTGCAATTACTTAGGTTAAAAAGGCAAAGGGGGAAGAAAGGAGATGTATTTTTTTAAAATGTTTTAAAACTCTGGAGGCATAGTCAGGGTATCCAAAATGAGGGCTACTTGTGACTAGGAGGTGTTAAAATGAGTTGATGGGACAAGGATTGAGGGAGGAAGTTTCACTATGTAATTTAATTTTTGAACTGTGTAAATCTTAACTTTTCAATAGTGTGAATTTTCCTATTTAAAAAGTTAAATCTGTATTATGATAAAAAAAGAAACTCCCTGCATAGTACAGACCAGTT
The DNA here is from genome assembly GCF_000001405.40 of Homo sapiens. NCBI lineage: Eukaryota > Metazoa > Chordata > Mammalia > Primates > Hominidae > Homo > Homo sapiens. Next base: position 73,639,394 of record NC_000001.11, read on the forward strand.
GCTGTAATCTTACCAAATCATGTGCCATTTCCTCACCTTGGCTTTCAGGTCTTCATGCTCTTGAATATGTGTCCAAATAAGTCTCAAAAGGATATTCCAAAACTGATGGTTCAAAATGAGGTTGGCCAGCAGCTCTTATTGAAGCATTACCAATTTTCCATGGGTATACGAAAATTAGATAAAAGCATAAATCATAAAAACTAAGACAGACTGAAAGCAAGATGCCAAGTCCCTAGGGGAATGTACACTAAGTGGACTGAAAGGTACACTCAGACTTTAATTATGATCCCAGGAAATTCTACATGTCAGCATTAAAAGCTATTTTGAACACCATAAAACTTAGAATGCTATATTCCAGAAGAACAAAGAGGGATTACATAGCCTTATTCAATAAAAACAATGGGTTAATGTAGAAGGAATCAAGAATACCGTTGGCATTTAGGTGTTAAATTTTCTTGCGACGTGAAAACATACCTCGCTTATCATGAATTCTTATGGAAAAAAGCAAAAGCACCTTCCAAATTAGATTTCTTTCATCATGGGAGATTATTAAAAATTTGCTATTTTGTATTTTAGCAACATCAATCTAATTTTTAACATTGTTTAACGTCTATTATTCCAAACAAATACGTCTTATAACACCCTTCATTTGGCTTTGTAACATGTATTAAAATGTTTGTACCATGTGTCAGTTGGTACTTTCAGGTAAATATTCACAAGGAAAAAGGGAAAAGAAACAGTTGAATACATGATGACCAATGTAGCCATGAGTAGGAAATTTAAAAATAAAACAGCTAAATTTACTGAGTTTATTTAATTGAATTTGAAACTTTTTAGAGCCATCTCCTTGAAAATACCCCAAAAAAGAAAAGTTTTAATTGGATGACTCTAAAATAATCTAAGAGCATGGGAATAAGTTTTACATCTATGTTACTTACTTTTTAAATTAAGGTTAAGACTGAGTGACAGTTTATTGAATTTTAGAAATATCTTTCTTTTGAAAATATTTCCAGACATTCAACAAGTCCAAAATGTGACAGGATTTATCTTTCCTCGATTTAGATATCTGATTTGACTAATGAGGCAAAGCTTTTCGTTTGGAAGTGTTTTCATTTTGGATTTATTTTGGCTTAAAATTCCTTCAGATCAAAGAAATGACATAAGCACCCACCTTGACATAACTATCCCTTTCCTCTCATCTTGTACCCAGCATTTTGTTGTTTGCTCATTTCTTGGGCAACCATGGTCACTAAGTATACTCATCAACTATTAAACTCTTATGTAATTTATTTAAACATCCTGATTCCTGATTCTTGTTCAAATAGCATCATGAACAGAAGATATAGTTTCCCCTTTCCTTTTCACACCCCTAAAAACAACCATTAAAATAATTTGTCTTAAGATCACATCTAACAACAGCCAGGAAAAATAAAAATACAGACATCAAATAGTAAGCACGTTATTTCTAGTTTGATATAAGTTGTATATCTCTTGGGAAAGCCATGAAGCCATGTTTCAACTTTCCATGGTGTTTGTGTGTGTGCATTCTAAATTGTTAGGTAACAATAAGCTATAATAATAACATAATTGGTAAATAAAGCTATTATTTGGATAATCTTCCCAGTTTTATAGCCCACCTGTTGCTGCATTATTTCAACCCATGTAACTTTTGCATAGTACTACTCTAGATACAATTAGATGATTAAAAGAGAAGTAGAGCAGGATTAGAAGAAGAAAAAGGAAATTATAGGGTTTGTTGTAAGCTGCTTGTAGCTAAGTGACCCTCACCAAAATTCTGCTGCCAATGCTTTAGCATTTTCTTTAGCATTTTCTCTTTGACTGTGTGAACTGATAGGCAGAAATATTCAATTCCCAGTTCATTGACAGACCTTCATTAAAACAGACATAGGAAACAGCAGCCTACAAGAATAATACTCCCATAATGCAAGGTAATGATAGTAATGAAAAGGAGTCATTTATATTGGCATTGAAAAGAGGTTACATATAGAACACACAAAAGATTCATTATCGAGTTACACAGAGTATTGCAAAATCAAGAAACTGCAATATCAATCATCAAGTATGACAGTGTAATATTGAACCGCTCCATATATGTGGAAGTGAGTAAAAAACAAATTTTATTTTTCCTCAAAAATGTATGTGTATCCCATTGCTTAAAGCCTGCCTGTGATTATTGGCTTTTCATTGGAAGACATATAATTCAAAGATGAGAATGTACTTTTTATCTCACTATAACTATTTAGCAGTGAGAATGAAACAATGTGGATTTTACTTGTGTCTCTGGCTTCTATTTGTTCTATATTAGTTTTCCAGTTCTGTTTCCTCATGTAGAGTATGCAAAGGCATGCCATTCTCTAGGATATTTTCTGGCTATTTTATAGTTGTCTGGTTATCTCATAGCCCAGTGAGGCAGCATCATTGACAAACAGTTCATAAATAGCATGTTTGTTTATCATCAACTGGGATACCAGCCATACCTTATAGGATTTGTAATATCAGATTTCTTTTCAAACATTGAGTATTCTTCTCCATAAGGCTACTTTGGTGGTATGTGAAAAGATCATTGGACTCAGACTGACACCTGGGACTCAAATATTTGCTGTATCTTAAAAAGAACATTATATTTTTGTGTAAATTTTGTCTTTACTTTTCTCATCTATAAAGTAAAAGTACCCCTCGGTTCCTTTCTAAATGTAGCATCCTGTAATGTTATGTGGCAAATCTGTATGTAAATCATATGAGTTGTTTTATGAAGAGGGGGTGGTGTAAAAAAGGATAAAGGCATATAGGAAAAGAAACGTGTAATTATGATGATAAATGACCTTGTTTCTAGTCATGACCCAGTACTGTCATAACTACAGTAATGTTAGCAAGTGTTTTAAACTCTTTAGTCATTGGTTCCTTCAACTGTAAAATGTGAGAGTGCTCTGGATCAGAAGTTTTCAACAGGTCTTCTCAGGGACCTAAAGACCATGCCAGTTGCAAGTGAAAAAGGGTGAAACCTTCCTTTATTCCATGTCTTCCATTCTTTTTCCAGGTCCACGATGTTTTGTTCATGAAGTAATTGCTAAAATTTTACTAACCTCTTCACCTCAAAAGTCTCCCTAATAAGTCCTCTTATATACTAATTGGTATGTTTTTCCACCCACCATGTATATGGATGTAAAAACTGTTGTCTAAACATATCAAATTTTTACCTAAGGTAACATTGCTAGGTTGACAGCAGAGTAAAAACCAGAACCCACTTCACTTATCATTTTTTCACCACAAGTTGTTAATGAGGAGTAAATAATCATCGCATCAATATGTTACAGCATATCTACATGGTGGTATGACACATGACACAGTAGCGTTATACCATTAAGTAATTCAGAAATTTATATGGTCTTAAATTCCTATAAGCATAGGTAAACATCGGACTCATAGAGTTTTAAAACTAGAAGGGAATAGATATCATCTAATTTAATTACACATGTTAAATAAATATTCTCTTTGTATTTCTAATGAATAATCACCCCTGTCTATAATTTTAAAAAATTCTGGTGTTGTTTAGGACATATTCTCTTAGTTTTTGCAGTTGGCTGTGGCCATGTGCCAATTTCATGGATCCCAATTCTTTCCTGAGAGTCCCAACTACTGCCATGAAAATACTCTGTAATGAATAAGTTACTTTTACCTAGTAGAGGCCATGATCACATAAGCCTGGATTAGTAAGGATTCTTGTGCCTTTATTGATAAATCCTTTTGGATAGCTTAGGGAAAATAGACTGTGAAATTGTTAGTTTAGATCATGAAGATGACTTCTCAAAGAGAACAACTGTGAATTGTGGCCAAGTCTCCCAAACTGGTTTTGTTCAGTTCTGAAACTTGCAATACACCAGAAATTTTAGGGTTTGGAAATTAGGAGATCAAGAGTTTGAATGAAGAAGTGGTAAACAGTAAGTGCAGGACTATTAGATAGTAAGAACATTGAATTAAAGCGCTCAGAGAAATAGATATGGGAAGAGCCTTGGACTTAGTGGTAACGTCTTAAATCTACACTCTAACCCAAGATAGAGTATGATGAGCATCTTGGGAGATGGCACAGAGACAGTAAAAGTCTGGCTGTACAAGGTGGAGTTTCTTTCCTCTGACCCTGGCTCCTATGTTAATCCCGACATCGCCAATGAACTTTAGTCCTATAGCATGCTTACAGTTATCTTGAGACAGAAAAGTGGTTGAAGATGGAAGGAACAGTCATACAGATGGGGGCTTGCCTAGTAAATGTGGACATGAAAGGGCCTCTCAGTATTCCTGTCAAGGGGGCTTGGGAAGTGTGACTAAGGACAAATGTTCTTTAAATTTCTATGTTAATTCATAGGAGGCAATAAATCTCAATATTCAATCACAAAGAATTTAGACTTTGAACGGTTCCTGTCTCTATCCATCAGAAGCTATGGATTCTAGGTCAAGTTACTTAACTTTTCTGAACCTTAATATCCCAAATATAGAATGGGACAAATAGAGTGCCTACCTCATAGGGTTGTTGTCAGGATCAAATAAGATAATCCCCATAAAGCAGTTAGAACTGGGCCTGGGAGGCAGTAAGAGCTCAATAAATGCCATCATTTTATATAGAAATTGTGTACCAATGCCTCCACCTTCTATCCAACGTTTGTTTGGAGAAGGCCCTCTGGGCTTAGGTTACCTGGCTGTAGGTCTGTGTTGCCAGTAGTCTTACGAATATAGTAGTTCATTCATATTATTTTAGTATTGTAATAGTTTCCTTATAAGGTGCTATTCTTCTAGAAATTAAGAATGCATTATAAATTCCTTCTAAAGACATTGCAACTATGGCTGTGTGGCAACTGCAGAATTAGACCCACATTGTTCTCAAACACTAAAAGCAAATTAAGAGGCTGTACTATTAAAAGCAATACTTATTCAGCTCCTTTCCTCTTTAAAGCACTTTGTAAACATGAACTAATTAATCCTCACACTCTTATGAGGTAGGTAAATAATTGTTAGCCCCCAGTTTGAGGAAACCAAGGTTAAGGTTAAGAGGTTTGCTTGCTCAGGGTAATAGAGTGTGGCAATATTTAAGTCCCAAATTAAAGGGTTTTAATTTATATTAATTTATTTTGGACACTGTATTGAATTCTAATAATAATTTATTATACTGTATTACCTTACACTATTTCTGTCCACATAGCAGATAGAAAAATGCAATTCTTTCCTGAGTGAATAAAAATTGGTAGAAGAAACACCAGAACTGCTGGTATCCATAGCTTCTGTAGGGTTCCCCAGTTTCCTTGCTTTCTTTCTGTGTCCTGCCTGTAAAATCACTGATTGCCTTAACTGCTCTGTAACCCAGTCAACTACAGGTTTTTCCCAGCAGGCTTGAATCCAAACCAAGGCCTTGAACATTCCCAGGCACTAGGTTGTTGCCCAAAACACTGAAATAAACTGGCCCTGGCTCTGAGCCAAATTTCTTAAACTCATATAAACTCCTTACCCTTACCTGTTCACTGCAAACACACTTAGGCAGAACACCCCTTTTCACTTGTTGTCCGTGGCAAGGATGTGAGTGCAGCACCTCTGTGAGCATCCTTAATAAATGCTTTGCACTGGTGAATTTGCTCATGTCTAACTTTGGTGTCCACCAAAGAAAAACCATTGCTGTTTGCCTGTACTTGTGCTTTCTAGTCTTCTTATCCTTTCTTCTCTCTAATCTCATATCAGATTCTCTGTGCCTTCCTGTAATCTAACTTTAGGCAAACTTCTGGGAGCATGGATATATATTGGATAAAAGTTTAGTAAGAAAGGTTTGTAGGTGTAAAGAAATTTTTTCAGCAGAAATTTTGTACATAGAATACATATATTTAACACTTTACACTACCTCTCCATGAAGCCAACTCTGTTTTACTTATTTTATCTGGTTACTTAACTAAAGAAATAATGCAAATTATTATTTTAAACATTGGATACACGTGATATGACATTTTTTGTTGCTCTATGACTATTTGAATTCAAAGCTGGGGAGAAAATTGTTTTAAGTCTTGTGAGGCTGTGTTACTCCAATAGTCACCCCAAGTCCTAACTAATTCTTAGGATATATAAGTGCATAAAGAAGAAGAACAGGGGAAACTTTCAGAGCCATAATTTTTTTTTGTCTTGTGGGGAATACTAAGCCAAATAAAGAGAGCTCAAAGATAATTCTTTATAGGAACATGTTGATTACAAGAAGTCTACATTATCAGTCCCTAAAAAATGCTGTTTAGATATAAAAAGGCTGTTTATATCAGTCCCTAAAAAATGGTGTAATTATGTAGCAGTCTCTCTTATCTCCTTTGATACTTATATTAATAGTAATAGAAGAAAATTGGAGAAAATCTGGGAGTAGAGGGAGCACACAGTAGAACAGCCTGCATTCCCACAGTTTGGCATGAAATGGATGCATACGTTTCATATGAGCCAAGCAGATGCCATGCAGCATAGTCAGACTTTAGCTATCCTGTTAATACTTCATCCATGAAAAGGGATCCTAGCAGGAAGACGGTTTGGGGTGAATTGGCAAAGGTGGGATCTCAAAGGGGTGAAAAATTGAGACATTCTACAGGAGCCTGTACAATGAAGAGATCCATGAAATGCATCCTAAAGAGCAAATTCATGCACCTTACAGGGTTTGGATGCCTACTATCAAGAGGCCGGGTGATGTTAGAGCAGTAGCAGAATCAATCAAGGACAAAAATAGCTCCAATTAAGTAAATCCCAAAGCACCAGAGAGGAGAAAATCTTAGAAAAAGGAAATGAAAAAAATAAAATCATAGCCCACTTCTTATCATAACTGAGGAAAGGCATAGAAGTTCCTACCAATTACTGTGTTTCAGTGGTCCACAAGAGGACCCAGTCTCAAGAGATTTGTATAACAGTGCGACTTCCCCCTTGCTGAGGAGCTCAGCAAATGTTCTTTACTGAAGACTTGCTTAATAACTTACTACGTCAAGATGCTCAAGCTGAAGTTTGAGGAGGGCTGAGAAATGGGAAGAAATAATCACTATCTTGGAAATAATATTGGAGTTTCCAAACAGAGTGAAGTAGACAGGACTGAAAATAAATGGAAAATTATGAGATTTGCCTGAGACATCATGGCTGAAAGTAGTAATAGGAAAAAAATTATTTCATATTTATGCATCCACTGAATTCAGGCTATTCAATGAAGTGGTTAGAATAGTATTCAGTAATTATTGAACAAAATTATTAACCATCTTAAATATTTAATTCTCTAACATTTTAGTTGAAGAGTAAGCAACATATAATGTTACCTCTGAAAAATAATAATCTATTTCAGGTTCTTGATGACAACTGGCATGATGCCTTTTCTTATAATGATCCCTCATGACAATTGTTTTTGGTAATATCTGTTGTCTTAGGTGTTCTGCCAGTAGTAAACATCTAATTGACTAAAAATAAGTAAATAAATAAACAAACAGATAGTCATGTAATTTAAGATTACAATGACATAAATATATAGGGCTGTTTGGTAAATTGTGAGCTACTTTTTTTCAGGAGCCAATAAAAGTGTGCTCTTGAGTAACCCGCAACCCAATAAGACTGCTTTAAAAGTCTCTCATGCTGTCCCTGTTGGTATGCTTTCAATCTTCTGTCCTAAAGATTTCAAGGACTCAAGAAAATAAAATATAATACTGTGTCACATAGAGTTCTCGAAGCCATTGAGTCTGAAAGACAGTTTGTCATTGGTGCTCAGGATAAGATGATGATATGTCTAGTGCCTCTGACCTGATAGTAGTTTTATAATCAGTGATATAGCTGTTTGCTCTGCTAAGTCAAAAATCTGTCTAAAATATCTGTATAATGTTTTTGTTTGTTTTTTGCTCATTTTGAAATTGCCATCACATTTATCAGATATTTGCTCCATAGTAAAAAGAAAGGAATCCAGCAATGTAGTTAGCTCTCAAAAGGCGCAATAAAATCTCTTCACAACCACTGTGCTGACCTTACAGTGTCAGGAATACCAAAGGGGGAGAGATTTTGATGAAAATAGCAGTGATGGCTCTTGAATAAATTTAAAAATTATGAGATATGGACAAGAACAAGCCTTTCCAGTAATCAAGCACATGCCTTATTATTTCTTAGCCCCAGAGTGATACAAGTTCAATGTATTCAATTTTAGAAATATAATTGCAGCAAATTCAAGAAAATACGTATTTTACTAAGCAATAAATAGAGCCATTTCTTTTTCTTTCTCTGAATGATAAAAGGATCAGTGCTAGAAAACAGCTGCAACTCCAAAAAGATAAGCTTAGCATCTCAGAATACACGGTTTGGATTTTTCTAAGTGGTCTAAAGGAATAGCCAGTTCCATTTCTCTACCCCCAGGAAAAGGATGCGAATGAAGGGTCCTTTCAGACAGCTGCAAATGTGAATGATTAAAGTGGCTCAGACAATGGAAGAACGAAACCTGCGTTTGCAGATGTCACCTTCAAAATAGTGTGGAGTTGACAGCATTGTTTTTATCTGCTCCTAGCACCTAAGAACAAGCAAATTGATTTTAAAATGAGGAACCAATATGTTCATTTTCATGAAAAATACCAGCCAAGTCTGGACTCTGTATTTTTGTTGCTTATCCAGAGGCTGATGCACAGCAACAGTATTATTTTCTATAACCATAGAGTTGATTTTATCTTTTGCAGTCAATTGAATGCAAAGATATGTAAACAAAGAGATTTTGATTCTCATGTAATTTCATAAGGTTTTAGTATCTTTCCAAGATTTTTTGTTTAAATGCACTTTTCTGATCTTCAAATTTATTTGGAATATTTTTCTTTTTAGATTTCTGCATGTCTACTATGCCAACGGCCGCCCTTACTAATGAATGAGTAGGGATCCTCTGATTTTACAAATTTTAATTCTCACTGTTTCTAGGACAAACAGAGGTATTTTGTGGGGTGGAGGGTGAGATAGCTGTAGCAGAAGGTATTTTCACCTTGCTTCTTAAGGTATAGGCAAGACTGTCTGGAACTACGTTTTCTGTGAATTCCTCATGTTTCATTATCTTACTTCAGTTCTATTTCTGTTAGTCTCTGTTTTATATCCTACAGCTGGTTTTGTTATCTCCAGGCCCACATCACATCAAAATAGCATTCAACACAGGCAACTGTATGTAACACAGTTTTAATGGAAACTAAGGTGTAATAGGTATATGGCACCAATTAGAACAGAAAGTTGAAAATTAAACATTAAATCTTTCAATTTTTCAAAAGACCCCAGGTTTTTCCATCAGCTTGATTCCAGCATTCTATAATGTCTCTCCGTCCTCACTTTCTCCCCTCTTCTCTGCTCTTCTTCACCTTTCTTCCAAATTCTTGTTTATTCCTTATGCAGAGGTGTTCGGCTGTTTGTTCTTGGCCTTTCTCCAGAACACTCTGAAGTTCTCACCTTATCTTTCTAAGAAGATGAATAGATATTGTCGTGGGATTTTTTTTTTTTCTTTTTTTTTTGAGACAAAGTCTCACTCCATTACCCAGGCTGGAGTGAAGTGATGTAATCTTGGTTCACTGCAACCTCTGCCCCAAGACTCAAGCAATCCTTCCACCTCAGCCTCCCAAGTAGCTGGGAACACAGGCATGTGCCACCACACCAAGTTAATTTTTGTACTTTTTGGAGAGATAAGGTTCTGCCATGTTGACCCGGCTAGTCTCGAACTCCTGAGTTCCAGTGACCTGCCCACCTCAGGCCTCCCAGAGTTCTGGGATTACAGGTGGCAGCCATCATGCAAGGCTGGACTATTGTTAATACAAAAATTTTCCTCATATCACACAACGAATAAGCTCTACCTCATACCATTCTGCTTCACTCTTATTATGGATTGGCCTTTTTTTTTTCATCCCTAAATGTCAGCAAACTGATTTGCTTCTTAGAGTCTTTGCAGTTACCATGTCTTCCATTTGATCATTCAACCCTAAATTATGTTCATGTCTTACATCATCTTGCCATCTAAATCTCATCTCAAAAATATATTTTGAGAGATCAGTCATTGATACGCTATTTAAGTTACACTCACATCACATACTCATACTTGATTTTTAGGATATAATGCTGTGTTTGTAGCACTTATTCTTACATAAAATTATTTTGGATGTAAGGCAGCAGAAACAATACAGAAAAGGTTCCAATGTTACCACCACTACTAAAGTACTCCAAAGTCTCTGCTGTAGCACATGTGGCATCATCATGTCACCACCACGTGTTTCCATGTGTGAAACCCAACCACTCCTTCATACCCACATCAGACACTCCAGACCCAAATTCCTGTATGGGATTTCAGATTATCTTGGCTTTAGATCACGGGCCTTCACCTTGGCTGCCATGAGAAAATTCTCACTGGGTATCCCTTCTTCATTTTCAGTAGATGATAGCAGAGTACTATAACTCAATAACAAGCTGTACAGTAAGGGACTTCTCCCACAAAATAGCAATGATATTTAGATGCTGAGAAGCCAAAAAATGATCAAATATCAAGAGGGGATATTGTAAGCAATATGCAATGTAAAACAACATTCCTAAAATGCAAATAACTAATATACATATATATGTAATATATATACAGTATATTGCTTTGTCCCTGAAGTTTCCTCTGGAAATAGTGAAGTTAGCATAGCAAATTTTCTTTTAATGCCTATTACATTATTAGAGGTGGAATAAGCAAAAAATAAAGCTAATTGTCCATATTTCTCTGCTAAAAATACTTAAGTGACTTCTGTCCTCATAGAATTATTACCTTTGGACACAGAATTAATTTCCTACATATAAAATTTAAAAGTAGAGGGCATTCTTCTTATTTTTTTTAAAAATTTGCCTTTTCTGTACCATCAAACAGAGAAAAATGGAACAAAGTCACTTTTAGAGTTTCAGGACAGTTTTTAGATGAAATTAGGCAAAGCTCTTTCAAAATCTAAATTACAAAATCTACCAGCTCATATACATTATACACTGATGAAATTTGAATTTGTGGATCAGAGCTATGCAAAAATGTTTAGTTCCTGATAAGTTTGCTGCAGTTACCTATTATGGAAATTCCACCTGAATAGTTCATTTGTATTCACAGAAGTTATAGAAGGAAAGAACTACACAATTACTAGGTCATTTAATCTGTTCCCTAAGCAAGAGAAGGCTATTCCCTACACTGTGTTTTCCAGAATTTTGTGATGAGTATGTGATTGGGCCTAATTCTTGCCATTTTTCTGCAAATCTCTAAAGTTGTTTCTCATTCTTAAGCTTTGGAAAGATGAAAGAAATGTTTAAGCATGCACAAAGGAAATGATTCTCATTTGAGTCTCCTTGGTTTGTGATTTAATATATCTATGCTGTCTAAAGTTAGATTATATGTATTTGAACAAAGATATCTGGTGTGTTATTATTATACCTAGTTAAAGCTACCATTCTCTGTACTACAAAAGGAGGAGAAAGTGACTTCATTATTAGAAGTCCATTTTACTTATGTTGTAAAACCAGTTAACATTTATCTATTCAGAATATTTTGTAATTTTTTTTGTTGTTGTTATTGCTGTTGTTTTTCCAATACAGACTCTTGCTGTTGCCCAGGCTGGAGTGCAGTGGCTCAATCTCAACTCACTGCAACCTCTGCCTCCCAGGTTCAAGCAATTCTCCTGCCTCAGCCTCCTGAGTAGCTGAGATTACAGGCACATGCCACCACGCCTGGATAGTTTTTGTATTTCTAGTAGAGATGGGGTTTTACCACGTTGGCCAGGCTGGCCTTGAACTTCTGACCTCGTGATCCGCACAGCTCAGCCTCCCAAAGTGCTGGGATTACAGCCGTGAGCCACCACACTTAGCATAGTTGTTAATACTGATAATATATTTAATCCTCACAACAAACCTAAAAGTTTGGTGTTTCTCTTACCATTTTAGAACAAAAAAAGTTAAAAGTCAAATTATTTATTTAAGATTATACCACTAGAAAGTGGCAGAACTGAAATTCGGACCCAGCCTCATTGTTTTCAGAGCCCATGTAACAGTCTATTAAATTGATTTATTTTCAATAATATAATAAACATCTGGTATCTGGAGTTTCCATTCAGTTGGTGCCAAATCTATAGGTCTTTCTTTAGAATTTTCTAGCTCATTAAAAGAGTGTCAAATTTATCAGACAGTAGGGAAATCATAAAGGTAATAAAAAATAAGCAGCTCCTCATTTTTGTGTTACAGACTCTGTAAACCATCAGTGTATTCCTGAGGATTCCTACAGCAGAACCTCCTATAGTTTTTTGAACCACATAGAAGTTAAAAGTGACCTTACCATGTGTTGTATAAAGTCTAATCGTTTCATAAATAGCTTCCACCTTACCAACCAACCTAGTAGTACTTCTTGAACAATCCTTTATACTAGGCAATATGACCATGTCTCAGCCCATTTTTTTTTTGGTCAAGTATTAAGGAAAAGAGTGAAGAAAAGGTGAGGAATAAGGGCAACAGTTCCACAAACATCTCTTTGTGAAAAATCCACAGCCAGACTTTCTAATAATGACTTTAAGTATTTAGGTCATGTAAGGGGAGATTCTGAGTATATATACCTAGATGCCAAATAGGTATCTCGAAATAAATATATCCAGAAATTTCTGATGACACTCCTTCTCCCCGCCCCAAACTTCCATCTTTGACTTTGCTCCATTTTAGTTGATGGCTACTCCATCCTCCCAGTTGCTCTGGACAAAATCCTTTGGTATACCTGGAACTATTCTCTTTTCTCCCATACCTTACCTCCAGTCTGTTGTAAGCTCTGGAGTGTGTACCTTTAAAATATACAAAGTTGCTTCAAAGTAACTCAAGAATTGGGAAGGAGGTTGAAAGTCGATGGGGTATAGATAAACAAGTTTATGTATGACTTGATAATTGAGCTGAGTGACAGCTACATGGGAGTACTTCCACTTAACTTTTTACTATCTGATTTTTTGATAATGTATACGTATATAGAAGTGTATGCATATTTCTCTTTCAGAGAGACAGAAACAGAGATATAGTAAGAAACAGAGATAGTTCAATCTGAATCACCAATAGCATTTTGGGGACTAATTGCAACAGCCACCTATGTAGTCCCTTTGTTCCCTAAAGTTTATTTTAAATAAAACAGTCAGAGTAATATTTTTAAATGTAATTTTCTGCTGAAAAGCCTGCAACTGCTCCTCATTTTACTCAAAGTGAAAGTCAAAGTCTTTACCATGCTCTTGTTCTTGTCTTTCTCACACATTCCTTTCCCCTTTCCCATCCTACTTCAGCCATACTAGCCTGCTTGCTCTTGCTTGCTCATAACGGCTCCTTACTTAGAGCCCTTGATTGACAGTTCTTTGCCCCAGAGAAGCTTAGCCTGTGTATCCTCAAGTCTCTCTCCTTTGCTTCGTCCAATGAGATCTACCTAAATCAGCATACTGCATGCCACTTCTACCTCTGACACCTTCAATCCCCGTTACCCTGCTCTATATTTTCTCTTTGCCATAGCAATAGCCATATTGTAACTTAATATATGTAATGATGTAGTTATATAGTATATATTTATGTTTATAGCTTTTCTCCCCCCTTCTAGAGTATAACTTCTATGAAGACAGAAACCTTTGGATCATCCTTGTACCCTAAGTACAAGGATGCACTTGATAATTTTTGTCAAATGAAAAGCTAAATGAATGATCCATGGAGAAAGTTTGGTTGCTTAAAAGCACCACTTAAAAGAAAAATTTGAAAAGTCACCTGAAAGAAAGTTAGCATTAGCTTAAACCTTCCCCTAAATAAATCAAATAATTTACCCAATGCTCTTCTTGATTTTACAAGAAGTGATGTTTGAAAAAAACGGAATCTTTAATTAAACTTTATGATGGCTAAATAATTTGGGGTCCAACATTTGATCATATTGTTTTATATTCTGCATAACATCATAAAAATGAAGCCCCAAACATGAGGTACAATACTACTTAAATATTTATGTCTATTTTATAGTACTTGAAATATAGTTTTATTATTTTTCAGTAATTGAAGAAGATTATGAATATTTTATATTTGTTTTTTATCATATATTGTTGAGTATGCCTCTGGCTTGTTTTATGGTTAATATTTAGAAATTAACTCTTTCTTTTTTAATTTTGTAACATTGATTTCATGGGAGTCTGTATTTGCCTTCTGGTGACCTGATTCATAACAATGTTACAGGATGTATGATTATATAAACCAGGTGCTTTTGAACCATGTTTTTTTTTTTTTCTACCATTTAATTTTAGCATTTGCTGTGATTTTGGAGATACAAATTACATATCTTTTTGATAAAGTTATCTGAATCCTCAAGCACATGAAAGCAATTTGACCCCATATTCTCATTATGCACTGTGTTTTTCTTTGTCACCAAAAATCATATTGTTTTATTATTATGTAATGCTATTGTGTAATGATCTCTAAACCAAGTCTAAGAATGTGCTTAAGATGGAAAAATTTAGGCTGGAGAATAAAATAGTAGTAACTTATGTTTCTTATTATTACATTTAACTAATTTTTTAAGTTTTTTTGAATCTAAATAACATAATAACATAATTTATTGCCACTGTAATTGTTAATATTATTTATAACAAACTAAAACAAATAAGAGAGACATGTAGAACTTTTAATGGTGATGTGCAACAGTCTAATTGTTTTGAAGGCCTCCAATTTAGATTACTTAAGAATATATTAGTAACTGTGGGTTCCAGTTATCTATTCTGAGGTTGCAGCAAACCAGTGCAAAATTTAGTGGCTTAATACAATTTTTTTCTTACAGTCTGTGAATCAACTGGACTCAGTAGGGTGGTTCTTACGAGATTACTGTTGTAATGTGGCTGTCTTGTATTATTAAACTGAATTAGACTGAATTATCTGAAGGATAGACTGGAAGGACTCCCATCATGACCTCTTACCTCACATGTCTGGTACCATACCACTCCTCCTGCTGCCTTTGTCTCCAGTAGGTAAGCATGAACTTCTTACATGGTGTATGCATCTTCCAGAAGCAGGTAGCAGAAACCGCCAGGGCCCTTAGAGGCTCTTAGAGAAAAGACTCAGAACATGCACTGATATGGTTTGGCTCTGTGTCCCCACCCAAATCTCATCTTGAATTGTAAACCCCATATGTAGAGGGAGAGACATAGTGAGGGTGATTGGATCCTGAGGGCAGATTTCCCCTTTGCTGTTCTCATGACAGTGGGTGAGTTCTCACAAGATCTGGTGGTTTGATAAGTGTCTGGTGCTTTCCCCCTGCTCTCTCTCCCTCTCCTCCCACCTTGTGAAGAAGGTGCCTGCTTCCCATTCTCTTTCTGTCATGATTGTATGTTTCCTGAGGCCTCTCCAGCCATGAGGAGCTGTGGGTCAAATAAACCTCTTTCCTTTATAAATTACCCAGTCTCAGGCTGTTCTTTATAGCAGTGTGAGAATGAACTAATACATATACAGAAGTGACAGGACAGGCCACATTTAAGGGCTTGGAGAAATAGACTTCACCTCCCATTTGGGGAGTTACAAATGCACTGTGAGTCACAGGATTGATGGCAGACTTATTGTAAATAAGCTTTGTAAATAAGCCATAATTTATACTTGTGAAATTCACTTCTTCATAAATCAATTTTTCTCAATTGTAGAGTGGGAACAATAATAAAGTCTACTTCTAGCATAGTTATGAGGGCTAAATGGGATAATGCTTGTGAAGTCCCTAGCACTGTGCCCATAATAGAAGCTCTAAACAAATTCCAGCTAACATTACCATCCTTTCCTATGGAACTGAGACTTCCTTAAGGACAGATATTGCCTGTTTTCATCTATATATCTGGACATAATATAGTATCTGATAAATTGCAGACCATTAATAATCATGAAATTAATTAATATATAAATAAATGAGTGTTAACCTAAATATTTCTGGATTATAATGCCACAGGGTCTGTGTACTGGCATCAAGTGGAAAAACCTTAAGCAATCTGGGTCCAAAATTGTATGTTCAGGATTGTCTTTCCTAAATTAACAATACTTAATAGAATGGTTTACTATTGCTTTGTTTCTTATAGACACAGTCTCAGGGTGACAGATTAAAATATCCTCCCATACAGTGAAAAATATCTGAAGCTGGAAAATAAATATGGGCACACCTTGTTTTTGTTGGTAGACTAAGCAAAAGAGCAGTACGTTGATGTAAAATGCTTTCAAACAACTCAAATACAGGTTATATAAATGATCAAGAGGAACAGAATTGCAAAGCATCATGGGCTGCAAAGCACAAAGGTCTTCAAATTATTTCTTATTCATTTATAAAAGTATGGATAATAGACCATATCCAGTAAGCAATAGCTTTTCAGATATAGATAGACAATCTCTTAAAAACCAGTTTACGATTGAGAGGAGGACAATGAGAGAGGAGCTTGAAACATCACCTCCTCTGCCCACAGAGTATTCTGCCACCTTTACGGCTCTGTTCTCAGATCAAACCTGAGTCTCTTGTATCCTGGCTGTAGGATCTACAACACTTCCCAAGTATCCAACCCCTTATTAACTCAACCTCTGTTTGCCAAAGTATATTAAATGTATCAGAACTTAGCACATGGTCCTTCCAAGCCTTTAAGCTCAGGTTATGACCTTGTAGTTATCTGGAAAAAAATACAGTTATAAATATTTTGGGATCCTTAAAGATCCAATAAACTGATTTTGAAACTATGGTAACCACTATGTGTACCTTTGTTATCATCAGGGAATATGATCTATATTCTAATCATTTTTCTTACCAACTTACGGAATATATATATATATATATATGAATACACCCTCTCCAACACACACACAAATGTTTTAAAGTAAGCAATGCCTTTTTTAAGCACCTATATTTCCTCATAATAGTTTATCTCCTTGATTGGCAATAAAATAAAAAGTACAGTCATGCATTTCTTAACAGAAGAACATGTCTCTGACTTCCTTTTTAAACATTATTATAAAAATGCCTTATTTTAAGTTCTTTACTTTTGTATTGGTATACTTACACCAAAACGATATTTTTGATTATTTTTTGTGGTATTTAAATATGAAAAACACATTAGAATATATATGTTTTCTAACAGTTGTCTTAATGATCAACAATGTGTATCTAAACAAAGGTTTAATCAAATGACAGTATAGTCGGCATTAAATAAAATGGGTAGAAGTAGCAACATCTTAAAAAATGTATGGATAGTTTTTACCTGGTAAATAATGATAATCAGAATATTTTGTTTTCCTTAATGTAAAGTTAAAGGGATATAATTCTGAGGCACTGGATCTTGTGGGATTTCTCAGCTCTGGATTGTTTATACTTACTGCCAGGCAATCTCACCAGATAAAAGTAAGGGTGTGAAAGGCCAAGTATTTGGGAGAAGTATTATTTAAGAGCTCAAGCCACTTGACCTACTGACTTATAAAACAATAATAATTTGAGTATATTGACAATCTGTACTTCATTAAGAGAATAATGTTGTTTCAACTCCATTTAACTTTTGCATCTCTGAATGTTATGCTTTTCTACAAGAAAATGGGCTGCCATGGGAGCCGTCGTAGGTCCTGACTGAATGAGTAACTCCTCTCATTTATACTTGTCGTTAAGGGTCAGAGAATCTTTTCAACATAGACTAACCCACCAGTACACATAATTAGAGCCATAACATGGTTTGTGTCAAAATTAATCATACTTAGTGTTTAAAACAATCCGTCCTGAAGGAGGAGATTATATCGGCTTATTTTGTGATAATTTTGAGGATGCACTTGATAAATACTAATAAACTCTTTTTCAGAGGAAGACTTACAGATAATTGTACTTGGCCAAAGAAGGGTTGACATATGTCATTTATGTCATAGAAAAAAAAATAGGCCTAATTCTAAACAACATTGAATGTAGACTTCATTATGTGCTTTGGGCAAGTGTCCAATTTGACACCATTTTTTCCCCTATTAAGATTAGATTTTCTTATTGAAAGAAACATTTTTTAGAAATGTGAATGGTTATAGAGTATTACTCATAGGAATTAAAAATGTCTTTTCTGCCCAAGGCAAAATGACATTGCCAATCCCATCATAACTCTAAGCAATTATAATATAATAGTAATTGTGTGCATGAAGATGAGTGTGATAAGTAAAGGATACAATCGTTGTTTAGAGATACACACACACACACAGGCATACACTATTTTCTTTGAAATATTACAAATTATTACATATTTCTCTTGTAGTCCTTAAGGACTATATGGTACCATATTTGGCTTCCAATGGTGTCAATAAGTCACTGTTCTTTCACTACCTATAGAATGGCAGAGTACAGAGTGATCATTTTTAAGGAGATTACCCAGAAGCTACACAGATCACCTCTCTTCACACACTGCCTTTTCTCAAACTTAAATAAATAATCCCTTATAGATTTAAGAGAGACTAGAAAATACAGCCTGTACCTAGGGGAATAAATTAATATTTGTGGTTAATATTAAAAGGATCCTATTACCAAATAAAATAAGAGATATTGGATACTGAGGCACGTTTGTAGTTTATACCTTATGGAAGTTAGAAGATTTTTTGGCTGCTAAGTATCTGTCCTTTTTTCAGCACTCCAAATTTCCTGTGTGGAACCATGCTTTTTCCACTTTTTCTCTGGAAGATTTCATTTGATTTTCATTACCTGATTGCAGGAGTGGAGCATTTTACCTAGGTCTATCAATTAGAATGATTTTATCTTGAGGGCCATAGTGATTGATTCTGCACTGGGTGTTAAACTGACCTAGGTTCAAATAAATACTCTTTCATTGTTGACAGGAACTGAATTCTTTTCCATTTGATGTGACTATAAAGCATGATTGCTTTGATGCTATTAGGGGCCATTTAGCCATAACATGGAGCCTAACAATGAAGCCAATACAGAGTAAACCTGAACCAAGCAATAGAGATAGACAAGGTTTTAATTACCTTCTATGAGCCCTGTAACCAATCCTTTTTAAACTGGCATTTATCTGTAGACATTTCATCTATATAAGTCAAAACATACTTGTCAAGACTTAATTGATAAAAAGCATTATAAGGAAGCACGTAAGTGAGAAGAGAATTAATTTTTTGGTAAGTTTTTAGATAACTCTAAAATACAATGGAGTAAACTAAGTGTTTACCCCATAAGCACTTTCTTCAATTATGCAGAATTTTGAAATTTTTTTTATGGGTTAGCTTAGTTCATCTGGGCTGCTATAACAAAATACCATAAACTGGCTAGCTTATAAACAACACAAATTTATTTCTCACGGTTCTGGAGGCTGGGATCTCCAAGATCAAAGCATCAGTAGGTCTGGTGAAGGTCTGCTTTCACCTTCACAGGGAGGACTTTCTCTGTGCATCCTCCCATGGTGGAAGGGGCAAAACAACTCTCTGAGGCCTCTTTTTTAAAATAATTAGATTTTATTTTATTTTTTATTCTTCTAACCTTTATTTTAGGTTCAGGGGTACACGTATGTGTTTGTTACAGGGTAAATTGCATGTCGTGGGGGTTTGTTGTACAGATTATTTTGTTACCCAGGTAATAGGTAGTTTTTCAATCCTCACCCTCTTCCCACCCTCCACCCTTAAGTAGGGCCCGGTGTGTGTTGTTCCCTTTTTGTGTCCATATGTACTCAATGTTTATGTTTCACTTATAAGTGAGACGTGTAGTATTTGGTTTTCTGTTCCTGTGTTAATTTGCTTAGGATAATAGCCTCCAGCTCCAATCATGTTACTGTAGAAGACATGATCTCATTCTTTTCTATGGCTGTGTACTATTTGATGGTGTATATTTACCACATTTCCTTTATCCAATCCACCATTGATGGGCATTTACGTTGATTCTATGTCTTTGTTATGGTGAATAGTGCTGCAATGAACATAATGCATGTGTCTTTATGGTAGAATAATTTATATTCCTTTCATTGTCTACCCAGTAATGAGATTGCTGCGTTGAATAGGAGTTTTTGTTTTATCTTCTCTGAGAAATTGCCAGACTGCCTTCCCCAGTAGCTGAAGTAGTTTACATTCCCACCAGCAGTATATAAGTGTATCACATAAATCTAACTAAAAATGAAAAACATATGATTATCTCAATAGATATCTATGGAGATATCTATTGAAATATTATCTCAATATTTCACGCATGAAAAGCTTTCAATAAAATTCAACAACATTTCATGTTAAAAACCCTAAACAAACTAGGCATTGAGAGAATATACCATTGAATAGGCAAAAGCTGAAAGCATTCCTCTTGAGAATTGTAACAAGACAAGAATGCACACTCTCAACATTCCAATTCAACATGTTACTGAAAGTCCTAGCCAGAGCAATCAGGCAAGAGAAAGAAATAATATACATCCAAATAGGAAGAGAGTAAGTCAAACTCTTTGCAGATGGTATGATCTTATACTTAGAAAGCCCCACAGTCTCTGTCCAAAAGCTCCCAGAGCTGATAAACAACTTCAGCAAAGTTTCAGGATACAAAATCAGTGCACAAACATTAGTAGCATTTCTGTATGTCAACAACATCCAAGCTGAGAGCCAAATTAACAATGCAATATCATCACAATAGCCACAAAAAGAATAAATATCTAGGATTACAGCTAACCAGAAGGTAAAAGCTCTCTACAGTGATAGTTACAAAATACTGCTGAAACAAATCAGAGATGGCACAAACAAATGGAAACACATTCCATGCTCATGAATGAGAAGAATCAATATTGTTAAAATGGCCATACTGGCCAAAGCAATTTACAGATTCAATGTTATTTATATCAAACTACCAATGACATTTTTCACAGAATTAGAAAAAGAAGATTCTAAAATTTATATGAAACCAAAAAAGAGCCACAACAGTGAAATCAAACCTATGAAAAAAGAACAAAGCAGGAGCCATCACACTACCCAACTTCAAACTATGCTACAAGGCTACAGTAACCAAAACAGCATGGCACTGGTACAAAACAAACAAATAGACCAATGGAACAGAATAGAGAACCCAGAAATAAAGTCATACACCTACAACCATCTGATTTTTGACAAAGTTAACCAAAACAAGCAATGGGGAAAAGAATCCCTATTCAATAAATGGTGCTGGGATAAGTGACTAGCCACATGCGTAAGATTGAAAATGGACCCCTTCTTTTCACCATATATAAAAATCAAATTAAGATGAATGAAAGACTTAAAGATAAAACCTTAAACTATAAAATTCATAGAAGATAACATTGGAAATGACATTTGATGAATAAAAGACTTAAAGATGAAACCTTAAACTATAAAACCATAGAAGATAACATTGGAAATGACATTTTGGACCTAGGTCCTGGCAAAGGTTACATGATGATGATACCAAAAGCGATTGCAACACAAATAAAAATTGACAAATAGAAACTGATTGCAGAGCTCCTGGGAGGCAAAATAAAACAAAACAAAAACAAAATAAAAAAAAACCCAAACCAACAACCAAGAACAACACAACAAAACCCTATTAAGAGAGTAAATGGGCAACCTACAGAATTGGAGAAAATATTTGCAAACTATGCATCCAACAAAGGCCTAATGTCTACAATCTAAAAGGAACTTAAATCAACAAGCAAAAAGCAAACCTCATTAAAAATGGGCAAATAATGTGAACAGACACTTCCAAAAAGGAGACATACAGGCATACAACAAGCACATGAAAAAATATTCAACATCACTAATCATTACAGGAACACAAATCAAAACCAAAATGAGATACCATCTTACACCCATCAGAATGACTATTATTAAAAAGTCAAAAAATAACAGATGCTGCCAAGGTTGTGAAGAGAAGGTGAGGCCTCTTTTTTAAGAGCACTAATTCCAATCATGAGGGTTTCAACCTCATGACATATAATCACCTCTCAAAGGTTTCATGTCCCAATTCCATCACTTTGGGTGTTAGAATTTTAATATATAAATTTGGATGGTGGGATCAAAACACAAATAGATCATAGCATGGGTAAAAAAAACATTTTCAACAATGACACTTCTAGCTCACCTTATATGAACTTACGATATTAAAATAGTTCCATTTTTCTAAAGTGCTTAAATAAAATGATTCTTTTTTTCTCATATTAGTAACAATTCTACACTGTTGCAGCATGTAATACAATTATTTTAAGATTTAGCTCAAACAGAAAAGTAAAATCTCTTCCAAGAAGTTTCATTTGGCTTTTCTTGTTACTTAGTTCTCTTATCTTTTCTATGCTGTATGTATACCACTGTCTTGTCACTCAATTATATTGAAATTACTTGTTTAATTGCCTGTTTTTATCACTTCCATGTGCTTAATACATCTTCATACTCTCAAGGCCAATAATAATGCCTGGCACATAGCAGGAATTCAATTTTTTTAACATAAACTGTTTTTGAAGCTGCTTTAGTTTCACAGTATAAAAAACTGAGCAGAATATACAGACAGTGCCCATACATATACTCCCTGCCCTCACGTACCTACAGCCTCCCTCACTGTCAATTTCCTGACACTCCCATAGTGTTATTTGTTAATAATGAACCTACTTTGTCACATCAGGATCACTCAAACTCCATACTAGACATTAATTAGGGTTCATTCTTGGTTTTGTACATTCTATGGGTTTTGACAAATGTATAATGACATATATTCACCATTATAATATCATATGGAATAGTTTCACTGACCTGAAAATCAGTGCACTGCTTCTTGATTTCTTCCTCCTCCCAACACCTGGCAATGACTGATATTTTTAGTGTCCCATAGTTTTGTGTTTTCCAAAATGTTATATATTTGGAATAATATAGTATGTAGCCTTTTCAAATTGGCTTTTTTCATTATGTTATACTTATTTAAGATTCTTCCATGTCTTTTCTAGGCTAGATAGCTCATTTTGTTTTAGCACTGAATAAAATAATTCATTGTTAGGATGTACCACAGTTTCTTTATCCATTCATCCATTCACCTACTGAAGACATCTTAGTTTATTCCAAGTTTGGGCCTTTATGAATAAAGTTGCTATTAACATCCATATAGAGGTGTTTGTGCAGATACAAGTTTGCAACTCCTTTGGGGAAAAATTGAGGGGTGTGATTGCTGGATCATATATAAAGAGTATGTTTTACTTTGCAAGAAACTTGCAACCTGTCTTTCAAGTGGCTGTTTGCACTACCACCAGCAATAAGTAAAAGTCTCTCTTGTTCTACATCCTTCCCAGCATTTGGTGTTGACGGTGTTTTGGATTTTAGCCATTTTAACAGGTGTTAGTGGCATCTCATTCTTGTTTTTGTTTGCAGTTCCCCAATGACATGGTACTGTGCATCTTTTCATATGCATATTTGCTATCTTCTTTAGTAAGCTGCGGTCTGTTCAAACCTTTTGCTCATCTCATTTTTAATTCAGTTTGTTTGCTTTTGCATTGCTTTAAGTGTTCTTTATGTATTTTAGATAAGAGTTCTTTATCAGATATGTCCTTTGCAAAGATTTTTCTCCACCTGCAACTTGTCTTATTATTCTCATGGCAGTGTTTTTCACAGAGCGTAAGTTTTTTTTTATTTTAATAAAGTCCAGTTTTTCCATGATTTTATTTATGACATGATTTCTAAAAAGTATTCAGCATACCCAAGGTCATCTAGATTTTCCTGTATGCTATCTTCCAGAATTCTTATAGTTTTACATTTTACACTTAGGCATATGACCCTTTCTGAGTTTATTTTTGTGAAGGATTTTGCTCCAGCACCATTTGTTGAAAAGACTATATTTTCTAATGTTTTGTTGTTGATGTCTGAATTATCAATATTTTTTAACTTTTAAGTTCAAGAGTATATGTGTAGCCTTATTATATAGGTAAAATTTTGTTGTGGGGGTTTGTGGTACAGATTATTTCATCGTGCAGGTATTAAGCCTAATACCAATTAGTTATTTTTCCTGATCTTCTCCTCCCTTCTTCCCTCCACCCTTTGATAGGCCCCAGTTTGTGTTGTTCTTCTCTGTGTGTCCATGTGTTCTCATCATTTAGCTCTCACCCATAAGTGAGAACATACCACACACCTACAACTATCTGATCTTTGACAAACCTGGCAAAAACAAGAAATGGGAAAATGATTCCTTATTCAATAAATGATGCTGGGATAACTGGTTAGCCATATGCAGAGGATTGAAATTAGACTCCTTCCTTATACCATATACAAAAATTAACTCAGAATGGATTAAAAACTTAAATATAAAACTCAAAACTATAAAAACCCTGGAAGACAATCTAGCCAATACTATTCTGGATATAGGAACAGGCAAAGATTTCATGATGAAGACAACAAAAGCAATTACGACAAAAGCAAAAACTGACTAATCATATCTAATTAAACTAAAGAGCCTCTGTGTAGCAAAAGAAACTATCAACAAAGTGAACAGACAGCCTACAGAATGGGAGAAAAGTTTTGCAAACTATACATGTGATAAAGGCCTAATATCCAACAACTGTATTTTCTCTATTGTAATGCCTTCACTCCGTGTCAAAGATAAGTTGACTATATTTATGTGGGTCTATTTCTGAGCCTTCTATTCTGTCTATTGTCATTGTCTATTTGTCTGTTTTATGGCCAATACTAAATTGTCTTGATTATTGTAGATTTATAGTGGGTCTGAATTTAAATATTGTCTTTGCTATTTTTCATTATTGTGTTGGCTATTCTGGATCTTTTGCCTTTCCACATAAACTGAGGTCAATAAATTGTGAATAAGTGGAATTAAGCATTTGCATGTACTTATCTCACCGATTCTAAAGTCTTTGTAATAGAGATGGGCTTTCCCTCATGGAAAATACAATAATCCTGATTCATCATCAATGGGATATAGGAGTTAAAATTTCATGACCACTTTGTCAATAACAATAAAACAAGTGTCCTATTATCTCTCATTTAATAGTCTTGTATCTTATTTTGAGTTAGCTGGCTGAGCTAGGCTTAGAGCTTAATTTACGTCTGTGCAAAGTAAAGGAATGGACAAAAATATGGATTGTAGCCTTATATATTGATAGAAGTGATTATATTTCAACTTTAATTTTGTATGCTTGAAGATAGCTCTGGTAAATGAACTGGAATAGAGTCCTGCACTTCCATTTAGAAAATCTGGTCCAGTCCTGCTATTTGCTGTATAATTAACTGTTTAATCTTAGAAAACTCCTTACCTACCCACACCCAGTTCAACCAAAAGCAAACTTTGTTTTATAGCCTGGAACAATGTTTTTTCCATAAAACAGAAGTTGTTTCTAACATTAGAATATCTAATACATGTGAAACTGTATCCTTTGGGTATAAGGGAGGTATACATAGGTAGTGATTTTTATTTGATTCGTTGCACAGTAGTATTCCTCAATCCCTTTGTTTTTAAATAGTACTGTTTCTGTGATGAGATAATATAGCCTCTTAGTAAAAATCTGTTCCTAAATGTCCCAAACTCTACCAAATATACGAAGAGTGGGAAGAACAGGCATCTTAAAACAGAGAGGCAGCTTTCTGCATTTACTATCATTTTGAACATTAAATTCCTGAGGAAAGCAAAAATCTGTATAATAGGTGACATGGTTTGGCTGTGTCCCCACCAAATCTCAACTTGAATTATATCTCCCAGAATTCCTACATGTAGTGGGAGGGAGCCAGGGGGAGGTAATGAAATCATGGGGGCCAGTCTTTCCTGTGCTATTCTCATGATATGAATAAGTCTCACGAGATCTGATGGGTTTAGCAAGTTTCTGCTTTTACTTTCTCCTCATTTTTCTCTTGCCATTGTCATATAAGAAGAGCCTTTCACCACCCGCCGTGATTCTGAGGACTGGCCAAGCTATGTGGAACTGTAAGTCCAATTAAACCTCTTTTTCTTCCCAGTCTTGGGTATGTTTTTATCAGTAGCATGAAAATGGACTAATACAGTAAATTGGTACCAGTAGAGTGGGGCACTGCTGAAAAGATACCCAAAAAATGTGAAAGTGACAAATGGAACTGGGTAACAGGCTGAGGCTGGTACAGTCTGGGGGGATCAGAAAAAGACAGGAAAAAGTGGGACATTTTAGAACTTCCTAAAGACTTGTTGAATGGCTTTCACCAAAAGCCTGATAATGATATAAACAATAAGGTCCAACTGAGGTGGTCTCAGATGGAGATGAGGAACTTGGGAACTGGAGCAAAGGTGACTTTTGTTATATTTTAGCAAAGATACTCGTGGCATTTTGCCCCTGCCCTAGGGATTTGTGGAACTTAGAACTTGAGAGAGATGATTTAGGGTATCTGGTGGAAAGGATTTCTAAACAGCAAAACATTCAGGAGGTGACTTGGGTACTCTTAAAGGCATTCAGTTTTAAAAGGGAAACAGAGCATAAAAGTTCAGAAAACTTGCAGCCTCACTATGTGAGAGAAAAGAAAAATCCATTTTCTGGAGATAAATTCAAGCCAGCTACAGAAATTTGCAAAAGTAGCAATGAGCCAAATGTTAATCCCCAATACCATGGGGAAAATGTCTCCAGGCCATGTCAGAGACCTTCACGGCAGCCCCTCACATCACAGACCCAGAGGCCCAGGAGGAAAATGTGGTTTAGTGGGCCAGGCCCGGGGTCCCTGTGCTGTGTGCAGCCTAGGGACTTGGTGCCCTGTGTCCCAGATGCTCCAGCTGTGGCTGAAAGGGGCCAATGTAGAGCTTAGGCTGTCACTTCAGAGGGTGGAAGCCCCAAGCCTGGGCAGCTTCCATGTGTTGTTGAGCCTGTGGATGCACAGAAGTCAAGAATTGAGGTTTGGGAATGTCCCCTAGATTTCAGAAGATGTATGGAAACACCTGATGCCCAGGCAAAAGTTTGCTGCAGGGGCAGGGTCCTCATGGAGAACCTCTGCTAGAGCAGTGTGGAAGGGAAAAGTGGGGTCAGAGCCCCCACACAGAGTTCCTACTGGGGCACGGCATAGTAGAACTGTGAGAAGAGGGCCACCGTCCTTCAGACCCCAGAATGGTAGATCCACCAACAGCTTGTACCATGTGCCTGGAAAAGCTGCAGGCACTCAATGCCATCCCATGAAAGCAGCCAAGAGGGAGGCTGTCCCCTGCAAAGCCACAGGGTCAGAGCTGCCCAAGTCCATGGGAACCCAGCTCTTGCATCAGTGTGACCTGGACGTGAGACCTGGAGTCAAAAGAGATCATTTTGGAGTTTTAAAATTTGCCCCGCTGGATTTCAGACTTGCATGGGCCCTGTAACCCTTTTGTTTTGGCCAATTTCTCCCATTTGGAATGGCTGTATTTACCCAATACCTGTACCCCCATTGTATCTAGGAAGTAACAAGGTTGCTTTTGATTTTACAGGCTCATAGGCAAAAGGGACTTGCCTTGTCTCAGATGAGACTTTGGATCGTGGACTTTTGGGTTAATGCTGAAATGAGTTAAGACTTTCGAGACTTTTGGGAAGGCATGATTGGTATTGAAATGTGAGGACATGAGATTTGGAGGGGCCAGGGGTGGAAGGATATGGTTTGGCGGTGTCCCCACGAAATCTCAACTTGAATTGTATCTCCCAGAATTCCCACGTATTGTGAGAGGGACTCAGAGGGAGGCAATTAAATCATGAGGGCTGGTCTTTCCTGTGCTATTCTCATGATAGTGAATAAATCTCGTGAGATCTGATGGGTTTATGAGGGATTTCGCTTTTGCTTCTTTCTCATTTTTCTCTTGCTGCCACCATGCAAGAAGTGACTTTCGCCTTCTGCCCATGTTTCTGAGGCCTCCCCAGCCATGTGGAATTGTGGAATCTCACTTCATTTCATTCATTTGAACTTCAATCACTGATGCCCTTTCTTCCAGTTGATCGAATTGGCTACTGAAGCTTGTGCATTCGTCACATAGTTCTCGTGCCATAGTTTTCAGCTCCATCAGGTCCTTTAAGGACTCTCTGCATTGGTTATTCTAGTTAACCATTCATCTAATCTTTTTTCAAGGTTTTTAACTTCTTTGCGATGGGTTCGAACTTCCGTTAGCTCGGAGAAGTTTGATCTTCTGAAGCCTTCTTCTCTCAACTCGTCAAAGTCATTCTCCATCCAGCTTTGTTCCATTGCTGGTGAGGAGCTGCGTTCCTTTGGAGGAGGAGAGGCACTCTGATTTTGAGAATTTTCAGTTTTTCTGTTCTGTTTTTTCCCCATCTTTGTGGTTTTATCTACCTTTGGTCTTTGATGATGGTGACATACAGATGGGGTTTTGGTGTGGATGTCCTTTCTGTTTGTTAGTTTTCTTTTTAACGGCCAGGACCCTCAGCTGCAGGTCTGTTGGAGTTTGCTGGAGGTCCACTCCAGACCCTGCTTGCTTAGGTATCAGCAGCAGAGGCTGCAGAACAGTGAATATTTTGCTGAACAGCATATGTTGCTGTCTGATGGTTCCTCTGGAGGTTTCATCCCAGTGGGGTACCCGGCCTTGTGAGGTGTCAGTCTGCCCCTACTTGGGGGTGCCTCCAAGATAGGCTACTTGGGGGTCAGGGACTCACTTGAGGAGGCAGTCTGTCCGTTCTCAGATCTCAAACTCCATGCTGGGAGAACCACTACTCTCTTCAAAGCTGTCAGACAGGGACATTTAAGTCTGCAGAGGTTTCTGCTGCCTTTTGTTCGGCTATGCCTTGCCCCAAGGCAGGCAGGCCTCCTTGAGCTGTGGTGGGCTCCACCCAGTTCCAGCTTCCTGACCGCTTTGTTTACCTACTCAAGCCTCGGCAATGGAGGGTGCCCCTCCCCCAGCCTCACTGCCACCTTGCAGTTTGATCTCAGACTGCTGTGCTAGCAGTGAGCAGGGCTCTGTGGGTTTGGGACCCTCCAAGCCAGGCACAGGATATAATCTCCTGGTGTGCCATTTGCTAAGACCATTGGAAAAGTGCAGTATTAGGGTGGGAGTGACCCAATTTTCCAGGTGCCATCTGTCACTGCTTTGCTTGGCTATGAAAGGGAATTCCCCGATCCCTTGCACTTCCTGGGTGAGGTGATAGCTCACATTGCTTCAGCTCATGCTCGGTTCACTGCACCCACTGTCCTGCACCCACTGTCCAACAAGCCCCAGTGAGATGAACCCGGTACCTCAGTTGGAAATGCAGAAATCACATGTCTTCTGCGTCACTCACACTGAGAGCTGTAGACTGGAGCTGTTCCTATTTGGCCATCTTGGAACCTGCCAAGTGTTTTTTCTAAAGAAGTGGTATTTGTATGTCTTTTTATAAGCATTTGTACAGTTTTTTATATAAGTGATTTTAAAATGATGAATTTGGCACCTTTTCCTCTACAGTCATTTATTATTAATACCATTGATGATTTTAAGCCATGAGTTCTTTACACTAGGTGTTATTTTATTTATTTGCACAAAGACTGTAGGAAAAGGCTAAAAAGAAAGATAATGAGCAAAGTTAACTACTGTATGTTTGGGGGTTGGAAATGCAAGCTTTTTCTTAAGTTAATATAAAATGATGTATTTTATTATTTTATTTCTGAAAAGACAAGTAATAAATTTAAAATTATTCATCCAAAATACCCAATAAAAAGCATTTCTCTATCTTAGTACATGGATATTATATACTCAATCCTTTAATACATTTCATGTCATTATTTAGAAAATTTCATTATTCCTTTCGACCAAAGGGAGAGTCAGAATAGCTTTAAAAAACTGATAATAAGAAATGGATGGTTTAGAAATAACCTTCCAATATTCAGATAATCTGTCACCAAAAATAAAATAATATGTGACAATTGTTGAGCTCTTACTTAATTTGGAGCAATGTGTTAAGCACTTTCTAGGTGAAAATAGGTGTTAAAAATCAGATCTGGAAGTACAAAAGAATATTTCTGCCTGTGGAGATATGATAAAAAAATCTTTTTGGAGGGTTTCTTTTTTTTTTTTCCAGGGACAAAAACATGGAAAATAGGGGTATATCAGATAAAGTAAAAAATGGACCTGAGGCTGAAAAAAACATAGGGGTCAGAAGTTTAAACTTGATCTTAAATGGAACAGGGAGACTCTGCAACTGTGGATGCATACACACAAATTTGTATTTGGAGATGACAATTCGTTATATTGCAACATTCCAAATATATAGTAATATAATCCAGAATTAAAGCACTAGCCATAAGAACTGAAAGAAGAGGGTATATATATATTTTTAAATCTCAAAGTAGAAGTGCAATTATTTGGTGACAAAATGGATATAGATGATCATGAACAACAACAACAAAAAGATGACTCTAGAGATTCTAATTTGTCAAACTAGAATTTCTTATTATTGAAAAATTATTAAAATCAAGTGTATTGATGGCAAAATAGTTTCATCTGAGATGTTTTAAACCTCTCAAATGTTAGAATTTCACATAGACTAGATCAAACACAGCAGTAATTAGTAATGTTACTAAAGCATAAATGATTCCTCTGATTTGCCCTTGTGAATTATGAAATAGTAGCTCTCAGAATATAACTTTTCTCCTAGCAACTTAGTGATATTATAAGAATTATAAAGGGAAGATTTAAAAAATACACAAGTTCTAAATTATGCCCAGATTTTGTTATACCATGAGGGGCTGTGGAGTAGGAGGCGATGAGTGGTGATATTTGTCTGTATTTCTCTTCCTCACCTCCAGCTGGAAATTAAAGTATTATAACAATAACAAATAAAATATAACAAAATGATGTGTATTCATCATGCAAAGTAGAGATATGAGTGTGTGTTTTAATGATCTAGTCAACTTCTGAATTTGGAACATATGGCAAAGATAGGAAAAAAATATGATCTGACTATAAATTTGCTGATCAGTTGGTACTATGAATATATTGCTCTACACATCTTGGGGACTTGAGAAATGTTCATTTAAAAAATGAAATTGAAAACCTGTTTTTTCAAATGTTCCCTTATCACATTCATACAATTTTGGTCATAGAGTATGCATATTAACAATTGCAAAGAAGAAATTTAATTATGAGAAGACACTGATGTGCTGAAAAGATCACTGGCTTGAAGTCGGATAGCTCTGGATTCCAGTGCTGGCTTTTTTACTAGAGTTATGTGACCTTGAAAAAATATGTATTGAAAGTCATTTTCTTCATTTAAAATGCTAGGATAGTACAATATAACTCATTGTCATTGGGTTCTTGGAAGGATTAGCTTAGATATCACACATAAAAAACACTTAGAAAAAATCTGTGCCAGATGTGGTGGCACACACCTGTAATCCCAGCTACTTGGGAGGCTGAGGCAGGAGAATCACTTGAACCTGGGAGGTGGAGGTTGCAGTGAGCCAAGATTGCACCATTGCACTCCAGCCTGGGCAACAAGAGCAAAACTCGGTCTCAAAAAAAAAAAAAAACCCAAATCCGTGCCCTCTAAATTAAAATAAAACATTACAAAAACATAGGTCTGAATTAACTTGTCAATAATGTAGCCATTAATATTGAATATTTACTATTAACATAATCAGAATGAATCTGATACGGTTCGACTGTGTGCCCGTGCAAATCTCATTTTGAATTGTAGCTCTCATAATTCCCACCTGTTGGGAGAGAGACCCTGTGGGAGATAATTGAATCATGGAGGCGGTTTCCTTCATGTTGTTCTCACGGTAGTGAATAAATCTCATGAAATCTAATGGTTTTATTAAGGGGAAATCCCTTTCACTCGGCTCTCTCTTTTCACCTGCCACCATGTAAGACATGCCTTTTGCTTTCTGCCATGATTGTGAGGCCTCCCCACCTACGTGGAACTGTGACTACATTAAACCTATTTTTCTTTATAAATTACCCAGTTTCAGGTATGCCTTTATCATTAGTGTGAGAACAGGCTAATACAAAATCATCTGTGTGACTATGGGTTTTTTGTTTGTTTGTTTGTTTTTTGAGATGCAGTTTCACTCTGTTGCCCAAGCTGGAGTACAGTGGTGCAATCCTGGCTTACTGCAACCTCTGCCTCTCAGGTTCAAGTGATTCTCCTGCCTCAGACTCCTGAGTAACTGGACTTACAGGTGCATGCCAAGATGCTCAGCTAATTTTTTGTATTATTAGTAGAGACTGGGTTTCACCATGTTGGCCAGGCTGGTCTCAAACTCCTGACCTCAAGTGATCCACCCACCTCAGCCCCCAAAATGCTGGGATTACAGGTGTGAGCCACCATGCTCAGCCTTCTGTGTGATCATATTTAAAACAAACATGGAAACACAAAGCAAAATTAAAATAAACAAACAAAAACAACAGCAACACCAAAAGAATGACCTCATTAGTTTTAATAAGCTCAAGAGATGGTTTCCATAATTCTATACTAAGACCACAAGTATCACTGGAAATATGTTGTTGAATATGTACTAAACGCCAATAATAATTATGCCATTCTTCTTCTTCAGCTGTTCAGTTTGAAATAATGTTGGGTTTACTGAAAAGTCACAAAAAATATTAGGGAGAAATTCCATATACCATACACTCAGATACACCTATTTTTATTTTACTACATTTGCTTTATAATTCATATAAATATATATACATCACACTTATACATAAACACGTCAATGTATGACCATTTTATTTATCTATATATATAAATAGTTGTTCAAGTTTATTTTTTATTTTTGCGCCGCTTGAGAATAGATTACAAACGTCGTGTAACCTTATCCATTAATACTGTAGTATATATTTCCAAGGAAGAAAGGTATGTTTTGTATTTCAAAATAAATTAATTTAACATTGATATGTTTACCTTATCTATAACCCACATTCTAATTTTCTCAATAACTTCTTTAGATTAACTGAATAAGTCTCCATGAGCACAGGTAATAATAAATAAATGCATAACCAACTAACTAAAGTAGTTAATTAACAATGAAGAAAGGAATGTGGATAAATTGTAGAATTAGATAAGCAACACTTTGCAACCAACATAGTAATAATTGATATGGGCAAGAATTTAAACAGAAATTTGATAATCACATGGGGAAAAAAGTCAAGCAAATTGAGCAAAATTGACATTACCAGACAGACATCACATACCTCCAGATAAAGTACCCTAAAAAAAGGACACAACAAAGTTTTTGTGGTATTTCTACTGGGAAGCATAAATCAAACTTAATCATGAAATAATATTAAATCATTTATTTTTTAAAAGAAACTTGTAGCAACATCAATTCAGCTGTTATCATCCTATTTTCTAGGCCTAGCACCAGAGACACTTTCCAGAGAAGAATTTGACTTTTCTTTTGCCCCAGACTGGCAAGCATTTAGCATCACGCTGGATGCAGATTATGACTGAGCTCTGGAAGAATTCTTTAAGGAATCAGAGTGGTAGTTGCTTATAATACTCAAGGTCTGTGACTTGTAGGCCTTTTCCTCAACTTGGAGAACGTAAACTAGAAAATAGGAAATTAATAGTTCCTAAAAATAGGCATATATTGCTAGCCATTTTCTCATTAATAATTGTTCCAGAGACAAAAATTTCAACCAAAATTTGCTCAAGCAGCATGTTGTATAGATGGAGAATGTATATGATTCTACCCGTCTGTCAAATTCATAAGTAAAACGACACTCTGCCATGCAAATTAAAACAAACATGCAATGCAGAGAGTGGTTAACTATATTCTCCCCTTCAAGTATATCATAGTCTTATGCACTTGAAAGGAGAATATCACTAAAATTATTTTGAAAATAAAAGTATATCTTTCCAAATCAACATTCTTGTGTATTTATTGAACACCTGCTTACCTGTCAGAGGACTGTAAACTGTACTGAGATCACTATTTAAACCAGTTATAGAGATTACCGTTGGAAGTGGAGAATCAGTTCTCACCAAATACTCTGAGTTAATATTCAAGTCAGCTCATACTTTCTAAGATTATTAAACTAACATCTTCCTACAAATAGCTTATTCTCATCTTTCATTAGGAGGAAAATTAGTCCTGAGTCCTCCTACCTCCCGGTACCTATCACTCACCTCTTAGTACAATGTTAGATCCTGGGTCCTTCTATCTTTCTGTACCTGTCACACTTATTTGTCGTGGTTTGGTAGCGCTTAAGAAAATAATAGAATGCAGATTACCTCTGTTTTATATTTATAATGAAAACTGCATTGTGAGTCTGGTCACTGGTCAGTTGTACAATACCCCCTTCCTATATGATTTGGGGGATTTAAATACTGACTATGACCTGCTGAGATTTGGGGTTGTGTAATTTTTTTTCTGCTTCTTTGGCTCTCTCTGGGTCTATTATATTATGACTTGTTTGTTCTCTGTCTGTCCTCTGCCTGTCACTTAAGACTGAAACGACACCTCTTATGCTAAACTGATAACATCAGTATGTGCACCTTTCCTGAAGTTTAAATATAGACCTCATGGCTATACTGTATTTTTAATAGATAAAAATTATTCATTCACTGTAATTACTAAGTGAACTTTTAATACAGGCCATTTCCCTTCTTACCCTCACAGCAATTACCCGCTGTATATGACTGAAAACAATAGCATCCTTTTAAAACCAAAATGGCGATTGATACATATTAGATGCAGAACTATATTGTTTGCAGGTTAGTAACTGTGGGAAGACTGTATTCTTATCTGTTTAATTAATGATGTAGGCTTTTATATTTGGCTTTCATAAGAAATCTGTTGCCTGGTAACAGATTTGCCTGTGGGCTCCCAGAAGAAGCTGGGCTTTCTAAGCAAAGCACCCTGTTGTCTTATAAATAGGGCAGTAAAGCTTGCTCAGACATGCCTTAGGCATTCAGCAGTTCTTTTCCTGTACAAGTATCTGATTCCAGCTGGGAGGTTTCCTTCACCAGACACACTCAAGTGGACAAAGAAAAAGAATAGCCCCAATTTCCATTTTAGCCTAATACTATGAAGAAAGAGAAGAGACCAGAGAGATATTTGTTCTCATTTCCCAAACTGGCAAAATAAACTACTTTAGAGAAGTATTAATTAGCTGAAAATAAAAATCAATTATAATTCCTGGACATTTAGCTTTAGGACAAACTAAAGCACAGTGGGACAATGGCAAGCAGTGTAATCAAAACAGAAACACTGAAAAAAATCCTATTTATAAAAATGGATTCTATAAGTTATGTATCTCTGAGCACGAGAAAAGGTTTTGTTCAGTCGGGGTAACTATCCCCTAAGCTACCTTTTATCACTTGTATGAAATTACCTTCTATTTTTTTCTGTACAGCTATTGGTTGGTTTGCTTGTTCTCTATGCCAATACAAGTTCCAAGAGGGTAGGATGCTTTCCCTGTTTTTCTTCATCTATGCTCACAATACCTAGAACAGAAGATGACACAGGTATGTGCCCAGTAAGTGCTTTCTGAATAAAAGTACTTTAAATAGTCTATGAGCTCTTTAAGGACAGAGGCAACGTAAAATTCCAAGGTTTTTTTAATTGGTTTTAGTTTTGTTTTATTTTTAAATTTTCACTGCCCAGCACATGATTGTTTTTCAATTAAGTTCTATTAAATGAATGGTAGCATGAGTGAATGGATGGATAGCTGAGTGGGTGGAGGGATGGATGGATGGATGGATGAATGGATGGATGGGATGAATGAATAAATGAAGAAATAAATGAGTGAATGAAGAAAAGAAAGAAGGAAGGAATAATGAAACCTCTTTCCTGGTGAAAACTGAGTTAAAAGCTACTAACATAAAAGGACACCATCTAGTGGTGACTAAATAACAACAGGTGAAAGTAGAAAGCAGACAGTACTGAGGACGTGCTCGAGAAACCAATTTTGACATAATCACTAAATGACTGTGGGTGTGTGGAAGGATCAAAATTGTTGCCATATATTCTAAGAATTTACTATAATTCATATAATCACTAAAATCTGTTTCAAATACATATTTTTACCATTTTAAATTTAGCTACTACTTACTGAGTGCTTAATATATTCTAGGTACTATTTTCAAATTATTTCTAATCTTTAACATATATCTTCTTTCATTCACACTGAGAAAATTAAGACAGGCAAAGACTAAGAGATTTGCAAAGCCTCCATATAAACTAAGTAAAATATACCTGTGCTGTGTAAAATATACCCATGTTTTGCAAAATAAATTGAGGAGAAGCATTCTATATATATATGTATTTAAATGATATCAAAATCCAAGTAAATGTTAAGGGTCTAAAGTAAATTTAATATTTAGAATTTACCTGCAACATGGAAAAAATATTGACCATAAAAATGCTAAATCTTTCTTTATCTTAATATCCTGGAATATTTACTTAAGAAGGCAGAAAAATCTTACAAGAATTATATACTAGGTAAGCATGTGTGATGTTTTGTTACTGTTGTTATTGTTATTTTTGTTTTTTGGTATAAATAGTAAAGATTTGATGTCTACATGAAGTACACATAAAAAGTTTAGTCAAATTTTTGGCAAATTAGAGCATTTATTAAGAATGGTTAAAGTCTCAATTATAGAGTATCGAATTTTGGGGGTACTATTAAATATTTCAATACTACCTTCAATTCCTTTAATTACTGCTTAGAGATTTACTAGTAGTTATTTTGTAAAGGGGAGGAGCTTTATAAACAAATGTAAATGACTTTAATGTATCCTATGCTAGCACCACAGCAATGATTTATATTAATATCACGTGTCTCAAAGTAAATAATACCTTCTTTTTCTTAAGGCAAGAGTTATTTCTTAAAGTACATTTGTATTTCTAAGCTACATAATTGGCTCTGTTAAAACAGTGGAATAGAAAGAAGTGAAAAATTAAACTCATTTAATAGAAAATATTTTCTCTGTTCTTGAAAATATCTAATCACATCATATATACTAGTGTTGCAACCTGCATGAAGTAGCAAGTAAAATACCCATCTTTCTTTCTATACATTTATAATAGTTCGCTCCCAAAATAGCCATTTTGTTGCAGCTGTCATGTTGGAAGCACATCAACTTACTAGCAAGTCTAGGAGGGGATAGTAAGAAACGATGGCAAAGCAATGGTTTCAGAAATATAATGTCACAGATTGAGCCACGTGAAACAGAGCAACCCAACTCATTTAATGTAGTATAAGTAAAACTGTTTTATATAAATTTATTTCTTGAAATTCAACTCTTGATTTTGAAGCAAAGCCCATAATCTAAAACTCAGTACCCTCTAAAATGTTATAATACTTTATCATTTATACCATCTGGCCCTTCTGAAAATAGGAGTCTTTCTTATTCCTGGAACTCATAAATCTGTTCATTCAAATATATATCATCATTAATAAGTAATTAATAAATATATATCTATCAAATAAGACTAAAAGTCTTCATTTGCTTTTATTATGCCCTTAGTGATACATCTTTGTAATGCTAAATAAGCTGCTACAGTAGTAGTAGCACTAAGTCATTGTGGTTAAGCATGCAGACTAGAATCAGGCTGCCCCAGTTCTAGCACTTGTTAATATTGTGACCTTAGCATTACCATTTTGCATTTTCACAGGCTCATAAAATTAAGATAATAAAAATATATCTGTCTTATGGGATTGCTCTAAAGATTAAGTAAGACCAATGATGTGAGGTATCATTATTAGCTAATTCCAATAGGATAAAAGTAGCATATAAAATATTTTTGGTATATTCTACAGAAAATAAACTTACTCAATTTAATCTAACTGAAATTTTACAAAAGTCATGGGCCTTGTAGTTTACTTCACATGTAGATACCAATCAAGAAGCAATTTGTCAAGAAAATAGCATGAGCTAGTTCTCTTAGAATCTAGATACCATATAAGTGCATATATGAGTTCAATAACAAAAAGTACCAATACTCAATTTTATTATGATTGAGCTAGAATTGTGAGCCCATTTTTCACAGAACAAAAACAAAAGTCAGATAGGAAGAGTAATTGTAAATGAAATAAGCATTTCACAGAGATCACTTAGATCAAGGACAAAACAAAATTCTAATACCTGGTACCAATTTTCTGAACTTTAAATAAAACCAATTTTTTATACTGGGCCATGAATATTTCTTCCAAAGCATATTTCCTCCAAAAATATTTCCTCTGAAACAATAATAAAAGGCAGGGAGCCAGGCATAGTTGTGCATTTTTAAAACTGTCAAGTTGTAACTTAAAAGAGTAATCCAAATTAAAAAGAGCATTTCAGAAAAAATAGTTTATTAATCCATAGTTAAGTCTCTTCTCTAGTCATCTACAGATGAGTATTTTGGAAAATTTCAATTCTTTTCAGTTATCAGATCCTTGATTTTAGACAATACTTAGTATTTGCAGACATTTATGCCAGTTCACTTGTTCGACACAGAAGGCTAACAGACCACCAATATTCATGGTCTTCTACAGTATAACATTTGCTGTCTCTCTCGTATCTAGATGGTGCTATGTGACTAATTCTGGTTAATGAAACATGATCAGAAGTGATAAGTGTCAATTACAGACTGTCATTATTAAGTATACGTGCTCTGCTCTCATTTTTAATCAATTTAAAAACCTAGTTTTACAGATGGTAGGTTCACAAAATGAATGAAGCCTGAATTAGTGAGAGACATCATGTGAAAGAGAGCCACCCTGTTGAGCTACTTGATAAGAACATCAGCATTGGAATTTATATAAACAAAAAATAAAATTTATCATGGTAAACACTTTAATTTGCAGCTTGCTTCTTTAAAAAAGTTAGTCTACCTGAATAATAAAGATGTCTAGACAATTTGGAGACTTTGGAGTCAATTTTCATTACACTATAAAATTGATCAATTATTAACAAGAAAGTTGTTCCTAAGGAACATCATAGGAATAAAAGACCTGTTCTTTGATATGAATTTCTCTAGCATCTTTCCTCTGTATGTCAGGCTTCATTTCATAAAAGTTTTGAAAATTTATGTCTTCGTTACTAAGTATATATATTCAGACTCTATCTTTTAGGAGCTCAGAGACATGTTAAAGAGATGCTGGAAGTACACACAAAGGGCATAGAAGAACAGAAGAGTTGAAATTTCAACCTTCTTTGGTGTATCAGGGAAGTTTTCATCTGATAGTTAATTTTTAAGCTAAAATCTATGAACAGGAGTTTGACAGATGGCCAAGAGGAGTGATAGATATTTCAGACAGATGGAACCATATGAAAAATGACAGAAAATTAGAAAAGGAATGGCATGGAGATAAGTTCAATAAGGATAAAGTCTGGAGTTCTGGTGGGTAGTACTGGGGAGGGGAAATAGAGAGGTAGAGAAGTGAAGGTATGGTTATCAAATTAACTGGCTAGATTGGAGTCAGGGTTGTAAGATGGCATAAGTCTTACTAAAAAATTTATTTCCACAGACCTTATATAAGTTTCTTTTATAGTTCATGAAAGGTACTTCTGTAGCTACTTGGTCCATTTGTCTGTCTTCCAATATGAGATAATTCACATTAAAGGCTCTGAAATTATCACTTGTGTATTCATAATGATACACACAATGCTTAGTTGCTCAGTAGATTAAAAATGTTGAATAACTATTTCTTCAAAAAATGGATTTGATGTGTCATACAACTGGATTTTGAAATAGTCTAAGTGATTATAGGAGTTGGAAAAGAGGGAAAACTGTTCAAATATGTACCCAAGTCCTCTTCAAAAGAAGGTGAAAACACTAGAGGCCTATCTACATGACCTAAGATGATGGAAAGTAGGAGGGAACATGGTCATAAAATATATTTACAGAGGAAAGGCTATTTTAGGAAAAAATAAATACAAACCACAAAATTTCAGTGGAGCACTGGAAGACAACTGCTTTTCCTATTGTACCAGGAAATGTTGGGAGAAGAAAGGGCAGATTGGAAGGAAGAGGAGGATGGCCAACTCCTAACTGCTAGTTAAAAGTGAAGAGAGGTTCTGTGGACTTTTTGAGGTCACAGGCTAGATGAGTGTTCTAGGAAAAGAATGATATGTGAGAGAAACTCTTGTAAATAGGACAGGAATTCCGGAGGATACAGTGGAAAATGTTAGTTAAAGGACAGTACAAGGAGTTAAAGCAAAGTACAGGGAGTGATAAAGTTCGATCCAATGGCAATGAGCATATTCTAGCAACACTTCTTGACTTTTCAAGAATAAATCATTTTGAAACCAACTGCATAACATATTACATCAAATGTCACCCTTGATCAGTGTGGAAACTTTGAAAACTTAATTGAAGACGGATTCGGTACATGATCCTCCATTATGTATATTGTTTTATTGTTTTGTGTGATTCTGGAAGATCAATGTTTCACTTTATCTCTGTGGTTATGCTAGCACACTTGCACACCACAATGTGACTACTATGTCTTCACCATTAAACATGAGGCCCTTTGAAGACAAGGCATGTACTTCACTCACCATTACCTACTTTTCACATGAATAATGAAAGTTGATTCCTTAGGATTACTGATATTAAGAAAAGTTATGATTAAAAAGTAAACTCACACTTGCTTCAAGTCTCTGTGTCATTTATACAATGGAGATTAAAAAATTGAAGTATTTCAATTAATTTTATTGAAATGGAAATTTGAAATAATTTTTTAAAAAGATTCCTTGTTCATTTGTCTATAAATATATTATCATTTTCTGTACAGTGCTTGAAAATTTAGCCATGTTTATGAAATAATCACCATGAAATGAAACACCTGCTGCATTTTTTCTAAAGTACAGGGGAATGATAAGTCAACCAGATAATTCAATTGACCAATTTTTTTGACATCAGCAATGATAGATTCTTTTTTTCCCATGATGTTAGAAAGATGCTGATGAAGTATATATTTCTTTTGAAAATTTAAGACATGAAGTTCTTATAATCAACTAATATTATGAAAAGTGCATTTTCCTGTATTGCAAAGGCTCTTAAATTCAAAATTCGAGATAGCATGATTAATAAGAGAATTAATTGTGAATTTAGCCATGTCTTTTCAGAACTGACAGCTTTGCCTCTTCTAATCAAGTACTTGGTTTCACTGCACTGTCAATCCAAAAAAAAAAAGATAAATAAAAGAGACAGTGTCCAGTTTCTATATTATTAATTTACAATACATGGCTAAAAGGTTTATATAAGAATCTTAAACAAAGGCAAAAAAACTCTGATTAAGCAGATTAGAAATAATTTATGGCAGATTATAATAAAATTGTATGATAACAACTGACAATATTATGGAATTGATAGTGTTTTGTTATAAGTGAAAGTAGCCATAGATTCTCTCTCTTTTAAAGGCTGCAATGAGATCATTTAAATTAGATTGTCATGTGGCCAACTCACCATCTACAAGACTATAATCCTATCTAAATGTGCCACAATAGATATCACCATGTAATTATTAAATCAATAAACTAATTTCCCCCTCAAAAATAGAAATTATGTTAATTCTTATGATATAGTGCCAACAAATGTAAGTTTCTGCCTTAAATAATAAGTAATAGACAAATGATTAAATTATTTTATCATTTTATTATTTTTACATTTACTCCTATAGTTCAGCAATTATATAGGACTGAATCTTGTTTCTAAGAAAGGAACAATTACAATTTAACTGCCTAATTAAATGTTGATTCAGAGATTTTAGATTTGATAAATTATTATTACTATTTGTAGAATATAAGTAGTTCCTATATTTTTGAGTGTCAGTTTTATTCATTAACTCTTATTAAATAAGTACTTACTAAGTATTTACAAAAAATTTATTAAAATATATGGAAATAATAAATTGGCAGATAAATGTATTTCATTTTATGATTATTTCATAAACATGGCTAAATTTTCATGCGCTGTGCAGAAAATGATAATATATTTATAGACAAATGAACAGCATACTAAAATATGGTGAGATTCACTATATTTGATTGTGTTATAGGAATCAAATATTTAAATTTTTTTTATGTTAAAAAAGAAGATATAAAGCAAGTGGCAACTTTTAAAACCTTTTTTAGATTTAGCATATATTTATACAATCATCTAGATCAAGATTTTGAACATATTCAGCACCTCAGAATATTTTCTGGTGTCCCCTGGTGTCCTACTCATTAATTACCTACAAAGGTAGCTACTATTCTGATTTATTTTTACGATATATTAGTTTTGCTTATTCTTGAACTTCATGTACATGAATTTATGTGATATGTACTCTTGTATCTGGCTTCTTTTTTTCAACATAATGTTTATGGGATTTCTCTTGTTGTTGCATATGGTAGTAATTTATTCATGTCATTGTTCCATAATTTT
Organism: Homo sapiens; assembly: GCF_000001405.40. Classification (NCBI taxonomy): domain Eukaryota; kingdom Metazoa; phylum Chordata; class Mammalia; order Primates; family Hominidae; genus Homo; species Homo sapiens. The sequence goes on from NC_000001.11 coordinate 73,681,658, forward strand.
CTGTTTTGTTAATATGTCACATTTTATTTGTCAAGTTTGCTGACATCAGGCATTTGCTATTTGCAATTTGTCTTTAGCTATTACGAAAAAAAGTAGTCATGCGTATTCTCGCACTTTTTTTTTTATAGACAGAATTTTACTTTGTCACCCAGTTGGGAGTACAAAAAAATGATCACAGCTCATCACCATGTCTGGTTAATTTATCTATGTTTTTTGTAGAGGTGGGTTCTCACCATGTTGTCCAGGCTGACATTGAACTCCCGGCCTCAGGTCATCCTTCTGCCTTGTCCTCCTAAAGATTTGAAATTATAGGTGCAAGTCACTGTCCCTGGCCTCTTGTACATATTTTTGATGAAGATATACACTTATTTCTGTTAAAAATACGCCAGGCAGTACAATTCCTGGGTCAGTTCATAACATAAACCTATGATCAAGTTTTAGGTACTATGAAGTGATTTTCCAAAGTAGTTTCGCCAATTTATACTCTCACCACCTATATATAAAAGTTCCACTTATACCATCCTCTTGTTATTTCTTGCTATTATTAATCTCATTTTAAAAAAAATTTTAACTTTTATTTTAGGTTTAAGAGTACATGTGCAGGTTTCTTATTTAGGTAAATTTGTGACTTAGGGATTTGGTGTACAAATTATTTTGTCATCCAGGTACTAAGTATAGTACCCAATAGTTTTTACTTCTTGTTTGTTTTTTTCCTGAACCACTATCTCCTCCCACTCTCCACCCTCTGGTAGGCCTCAGTGTCTGTTGTTCTGTTCACCTTTGTGCCATGTGTTGTCATTGTTTAGCTTCCATTTATGAGTGACATCATAGGGTATTTGGTTTTCTCTTCCTGCATTAGTTTGCTAAGAATAATGGCCTCCAGTTCCATCCATGTTCCTGCAAAGGACATAATCTCATTCATTTTTATGGCTACATAGTATTCCATGTTGTAGACATACCACATTTTGTTTATCTATTCTACCACTGATAGGCATTTATGTTAATTCCATGTCTTCGCTATTGTCAATAGTGCTGCAATAAACATGTGTATGCATGTGTCTTTATGGTATAATGATTTATAGTTCTTTGGGTATATGCTCAGTAGTGGGACTGCTGGGTCAAATGGTAGTTCTGTTTTTAGTTCTTTAAAGAATCGCCACAGAGCTTTCACTAATGGTTGACTAATTTAAACTTCCGCCACAGTGTATACACGTTCCCTTTTCTCTGCAACCTTGTCAGCATCTGTTATTTGTTGACTTTTCAATAATAGCCATTCTGACTTGCTTGAGATGGTATCCTGTTGTGGTTTTGATTTGCAACTCTCCAATGATCAGCGATATTGAGCTTTTTTTCATATGCTTGTTGGCTACATTTTTGTCCTCTTTTAAAAAGTGTCTGTTCATGTAATTTGACCACTTTTTAATAGAGTTGTTTGTTTTCTGCTTGTACATTTGTTTAAATTCCTTATAGATTCTGAATATTAAGCCTTTCTCAGATGTATAATCTGCAAATATTCTCTCCCATTCTGCAGGTTGCCTGTTTACTCTGTTGACAGCTTCTTTTGCTATGCAGAAGTTCTTCAGTTTAATTCAGTACCATTCGCCAATTTTGGCTTTTGTTGCAATTGCTTTTGGCATTTTCATAATGCAATCTTGGCCAATTTGTACATCCAAGATGTTATTCCTAGGTTATCTTCCAAGGTTTTTATAGTTTTAAGATCGACATTTAGGTCTTTAATCCATCTGGAGTTGATTTTTTTATATGGTGTAAAAACGGAGTCCAGTTTCTTCTAATTGTATACTGGTATTTCGTTGACAATTATTTTTACACAGGAAAAGTAAGCCTCAGGAAAAAAAAAGTAATCTGAGAAAAATGACAATTTATGTTTTTATAATATCATAATTGTTTTAAAATATCCCAAAGAGTGTAGGCAGCAAAATCATAAACTATACATATTATTTATATTTTGAATGCAAAAACAAAATATTTTCTATTGAGTTTTTTTTTTATTATACTTTAAGTTCTGGGATACATGTGCAGAATGTACAGGTTTGTTACATAAGTTTACATGTGCCATGGTGGTTTGCTGTACCCATCAACCTGTCATCTACATTAGGTATTTCTCCTAATGCTATCCCTCCCCTAGCCCCCCAACCCTGACAGGCCCTGGTATGTGATGTTCCCCTCCTTCTGTCCATGTGTTCTCATTGTTCAACTCTCACTTATGAGTGAGAACATGTGGCGTTTGGTTTTCTGTTCCTGTGTCAGTTTGCTGGGAATGATGGTTTCCAGCTTCACCCATGTCCCTGCAAAGGACGTGAACTCATTCTTTTTTATGGCTGCATAGTAGTCCATGGTATATATGTGCCACATTTTCTTTATCCATTCTATCATTGATGGACATTTGGGTTGGTTCCAAGTCTTTGCTATTGTGAATAGTGCCACAATAAACATACGTGTGCATGTGTCTTTATAGTAGAATGATTTATAATCCTTTGGGTATATACCCAGTAATGGGATTACTGGGTCAAATGGTATTTCTGGTTCTAGATCCTTGAGGAATCATCACACTGACTTCCACAATGGTTGAACTAATTTACACTCTCACCAACAGTGTAAAAGCATTTTTGTTTCTCCACATTCTCTCCAGCATCTATTGTTTCCTGACTTTTTAATGATCGTCATTCTAACTGGCATGAGATGGTATCTCATTGTGGTTTTGATTTGCATTTCTCTAATGACCAGTGACAATGGGCTTTTTTTCATATGTTTGTTGGTCACATAAATGTACTACTACCCCTTTTGTACTCCTTGTTTGAAACTGCTTGAGAAATAAAATCCAAGATACAGACAATTAAAAAAGTAATTGTCATTTTATCATATGGCTAAAGCTATTTGAACACTATGGCTCTAGATTTGCAACCACATCCCTCACCATATTTAGACAGTTATGCCCATTGATGTAGATGATCACATATCTCTCTAAGAGACAGAATCTGCCCACCTCTCTGCCTGAAAGAAAGCTGATTAAATACATTCTCACTTCAGGATACTTTTTCAGCAGGCCCTGAACAAGAACAAGAAATAAAACAAAAAACAAAAAGGAATGGGCTCAGCATACTCTTTACTTCTTCCAAGAGTAACAATTGGATAATTACAAAGAAGTGGAGAGAGTAGAGAGTGGAAAAATTTTCTGGGAGTATTGGGAGTACTAGCATACATGAAGTCTCACCACACGGCTACACAAAGCCAGAGAAATTTCTTCCTCCTATAATTTCCTAAAAGGGCTACTTCTTCATAATACAGCATTATTTAAACAACTGCTCTTTGCATTATCAAAGTACGTTCTTATGTGTACACTTTTGATAAAGATAAGCCTTTGCAAGATAAATTGTCATTTTTTAAGTTGGCAGACTGATCATTATACCTACTTCTTTTCTTGCAGAAAATAAGAGGTTTATTATTTGAAGAGATTCAATCAGAGAGAACTTGGACCCAAGGGCCCAAGACACAGTTGAGGTAGAAATATCATATGAAAAGTAGTAGTATTAAATAAAAGACTACATATTAAATAAAGAAATCTCTAGCATTTTAACTTCATTCAATGCACAGCAAGCCAGGCTTCTCCCTTTTATATAGAAGGTTGGTGCCTATGTAGGAAAATGGAGAACCAAGAGTAAAGGCCTACAGCCATTTCATTCTGTAATGAACTTCATGACTCAACAAGTCCAGCCAATATAAACCTAGATTCCCGTTAGGTTTTTACTTATTCTGACAATCTCCTTTAAGCTATTTAAGTTTAACATGTTGTTATGATTGGATTTAGGCTTATTGTTTGTTTCTTGTTTAGACTTTCTTTTTTGTTCTTTTGCTATCTTCAGGTTAAATAACTATTCTTTTTAAGTAATTTCATTATAATTTATGTATTGGCTTTTTGCTGCAACTTTCTGCAGACTTTTTTCTTTAGTGTTTGCTGTAGGATTATAATGTATAGCTTTTATAGCCCACTTAGTGTTGCTATTACATTATTGAAAATAAATTGTAAGAATTTCACAAATCAGTAAGTATATTTACCACCACCACCATCATTTATGATCTAGTTTTTATTTGTATTATATCTATATTTGTTGTAAACCTCATAAAACAAATAGTTTTTTCTTTAATCATATGCATTTTAAATAAATTAAGAGGAAAAAGTATTTTATATCTATTTATATAATTACAATTTCTGGTTATCTTCATTCTTTCCTGAGGATGTTTCCACCTGGTATCAGATCCCTACAGAATGAAGAATCTCTTTTCATTTCTTATTTATTTATGTATTTATTTATTTTTATTATACTTTCAGTTCTGAGATAAATGTGCAGTACCTGCAGGTTTGTTACATAAGTATACATGTGCCATGCTGGTTTGCTTCACCTATCAACCCGTCATCTAGGTTTTAAACTCCGCATGCATTAGATATTTGTCCTAATGGTCTCCATCCCTTTGCCCCCCATCCACTGACAGGCCCCAGTGTGTGCTGGCCATGTGTTCTCATTGTTCAAATCCCACTTTTGACTGAGAACATGCGGTGTTTGGTTTTCTGTTCCTGTGTTAGTTTGTTGAGAATGATGGCTTCCAGGTTCATCCATGTCCCTGCAAAAAACACGAACTCACTCTGTTTTATGGCTGCATATATTCCATGGTGTATATGTGCCACATTTTCTTTATCCAGTCTATCATTGATGGGCATTTGGGTTGGCTCCAAGTCTTTGCCATAGTAAATAGTGCTGCAATAAACATATGTGTGCATGTGTCTTTATAGTAGAATGATTTATAATCCTTTGAGTATATACCCAGTAATCGGATTGCTGGGTCAAATGGTATTTCTGGTTCTAGATCCTTGAGGAATTGCCACACTGTCTTCCACAATGGTTGAATTAAATTACACTCTCACCAACAGTGTAAAAGTGTTCCTATTTCTCCACAGCCTCACCAGCATCTGTTGTTTCCTGACTTTTTAATGGTCACCGTGCTAACTGGTATGAGATGGTATCTCATTGTGGTTTTGATTTGCATTTCTCTAATGACCAGTGATGATGAGCTTTTTTTCATATGTTTGTTGGCTGCATAAATGTCTTCTTTGGAGAAGTGTCTGTTCATAGACTTTGTGCACGTTTTGATGGAGTTGATTGTTTTTTCTTTTAAATTTGTTTAAGTTCTTTATAGATTCTGGATATTAGACCTTTGTCAGATGGGTAGATTGCAAAAATTTTCTCCCATTCTGTAGGTTGCCTGTTCACTCTGATAATAGCTTCTTTTGTAGTGCAGAAGCTCTTTAGTTTGATTAGATCCAATTTGTCAATTTTGGCTTTTGTTGCAATTGCTTTTGGTGTTTTAGTTATGAAGTCTTTGCCCATACCTAAGTACTGAATGGTATTGCCTAAGTTTTGTTCTAGGGTTTTTATACTTTTGGGTATTACATTTAAGTCTTTAATCCATCTTGAGTTAATTTTTGTATAAGGTATAAGGTAGGGGTCCAGTTTCAGTTTTTGGCATATGGCTAGCCAGTTTTCCCAACACAATTTATTAAAAAGGGAATCCTTTCTCCATTGCTTGTTTTTGTCAAGTTTGTCAAAGATCAGATCATTTTAGATGTATGATGATATTTCTGAGGTCTCTGTTCCATTCCATTGGTCTGTATATCTCTTTTGATACCACTACCATGCTGTTTTGGTTACTCTAGCCTTGTAGGATAGTTTGAAGTCAGGTAGTGTGATGCCTCCAGCTTTTTTTTTTCTTTTTTTTCTTTTTTTGTTGTTGTTGCTGTTGTTGTTGTTTGTTTGTTTTTGCCAAGAATTGTCTTGGCTACATGGGCTCTTTTTTGGTTACCTATGAAATTAAATTTAAAGTAGTTTTTTTCTTTTATTATTATTCTGCAAAGAAAGTCATGGGTAGCTTGATGGGAATAGCATTGAATCTATAAATTGCTTTAAGCAGTATGGTCATTTTCACGATATTGATTCTTCCTATCCATGAGCATGGAATGGTTTTCCATTTGTTTGTGTCCTCTCTTGTTTTCTTGAGCAGTGGTTTGTAGTTCTCCTTGAAGAGGTCCTTCACATTCCTTGTGAGTTGTATTCTTAGGTATTTTATTCTCTTTGTAGCAATTGTGAATGGGAGTTCACTCATGATTTGGCTCTCTGATTGTGTATTGTAGGTGTATGGGAATGCTTGTGCTTTTTGCACATTGACTTTGTATCCTGAGACTTTGCTGAAATTGCTTATCAGCTTAAGGTGTTTCGGGGGTGAGATGATGAGGTTTTCTAAATATACAATCCTGTCATCTGCAAACAGAGACAATTTGACTTCCTCTCTTCCTATCTGAATACCATTAATTTCTTTCTCTTGCCTGATTGCCCTGGACAGGACTTCCAATACTATTTTGAATAGGAGTGGTGAGAGAGGGCATCCTTGTCTTGTGCCAGTTTTCAAAGGTAATGCTTCCAGCTTTTGCCCATTCAGTCTAATATTGGCTATGGGTTTGTCATAAATAGCTCTTATTATTTTGAGATATGTTCCATCAATACCTAGCTTGTTGAGAGTTTTTACCGTAAAAGGATGCTGAATTTTATCGAAGACCTTTTCTGCATCTACTGAGATAATCATGCGGTTGTCCAATTTCAATGTAGTTGTGTGGTTTTGAGTGAGTTTCTTGATCCTGAGTTGTAATTTGATTGCATTTGGTCTGAGAGATTGTTCGTTATGATTTCCATTATTTTGCATTTGCTGAGGAGTGTTTTGCTTCCAATTTTGTGGTCAATATTAGAATATGTGCTATGTGGCATTGAAAAGAATGTATATTCTCTTGATTTAGGGTGGAGGATTTTACAGATGTCTATTAAGTCTGCTTGGTCCAGAGCTGAGTTCAAGTCCCGAACATCCTTGTTAATTTTCTGTCTTGTTGATCTGTCTAATATTAACAGTGGGGTGTTAAAGTCTCCCACTACTATTGTGTGGGAGTCTAAGTCTCTTTGTAGGTCTCTAAGAACTTGTTTTATGAATCTGGGTGCTCCACTATTGAGTGCATATATATTTAGGATAGTTAGCTCTTCTTGTTGCATTGATCCCTTTAATATTATGTGATGCCCTTTGTCTTTTTTTGTCTTTGCTGGTTTAAAGTCCCTTTATCTGAGACTAGCATTGCAATTCTTGCTGTTTTTTTTTTTTTTTTTTTTTTTTGCTTGCAATTTGCTTGGTAAATATTCCTTGATTCCTTTATTTTGAGCCTATGTGTGTCTTTGCACATGAGATGGGTCTCCTGAATACAGCACACTGATAGGGCTTGACTCTTTATCCAGTTTGCCAGTCTGTGGCTTTTAATTGGGGCATTTAGCTCATTTACATTTAGGGTTACTATTGTTATGTGTGAATGTGATCCTGTCATCATGCTGCTACCTGGCTATTTTGCACACTAGTGGATACAGTTTCTTCATAGTGCCATTGGTCTTTATATTTTGATGTGTTTTTGCAGTGGCTGGTATCAGTTTTTATTTTCCATATTTAGGGCTCCCTTCATGTGCTCTTATGAGGCAGGCCTGATGGTGACAAAATCCCTCAGCATTTGCTAGTAAAGATTGTATTTCTCCTTCTCTTATGAGGCTTAGTTTGGCTGGATATGAAATTCTGGGTTGAAAATTCTTTTCTTTAAGAATGTTGAATATTGGCCTCCACTCTCTTCTGTCTTATAGGGTTTCTGCAGAGAGATCCACTGTTAGTCTGATGGGCTTCCCTTTGTGGGTAACCCGACCTTTCTCGCTGGCTGCCCTTAACATTTTTTCCTTCATTTCAACTTTGGAGAATCTGACGATTATGTGTCTTGGGGTTGCTCTTCTCAAGGAATATGTTTGTGGTGTCCTCTGTATTTCCTGAATTTGAATGTTGGCCTGTCTTGCCAGGTTAGGGAAGTTCTCCTGGATAATACCCTGAAGTATGTTTTCCAACTTGGTTCCATTCTCCCCATCACTTTCAGGTACACCAATCAATTGTAGGTTTGGTCTTTTCATATAGTCCCATATTTCTTGGAGGCTTTCTTCGTTCTTTTTCATTTTTTTTCTCTAATCTTGTCTTCATACCTTATTTGAAATAAGTTGGTCTTCAATCTGATATCCTTTCTTCTGCTTGATTGATTCAGCTGTTGATACTTGTTTATGCTTCACAATGTTCTCATGCTGTGTTTTTCAGCTCCATCAGGTCATTTATGTTCCTCTCTAAACAGGTTATTCCAGTAAGCTGTTCTTTTACCAAGATTTTTATCAAGGCTCATAGCTTCTTTGCTTTGGGTTAGAACATGCTCCTTTAGCTCAGAGGAGTTGGTTATTACCCACCTTCTGAAGGCTGCTTTTGTCAGTTCGTCAATCTCATTCTCCATCCAGTTTTGTGCCCTTGCTAGAAAGAAGTTGTGATCATTTGGAGAAGAGGCACTCTGGTTTTGGGAATTTTCAGCATTTTGCACTGGTTTTTCCTCATCTTCACCTCTTCTGCATGTCTGCTGGAGTTTTCTGGAGGTCCACTACAGACCCACTTCACCTGGGTATCATCAGTGGAGGCTGCAGAACAGCAAAGATTGCTGCCTGCTCCTTCCTCTGGAAGTTTCTCCCAATTTATTTATTTTTTGAGATGAGGTCTCACTCTGTAACCCAGGCTGGAGTGCAGTGGTGCAATCTTGGCTCACTGCCGCCTGGACCTCCTAGGCTCAAATGATTCTCCCAATCACCTCAGCTTCCTGTAGCTAAGACTACAGGGTTGCACCATTACATCCAGCTAATTTTTTTTTTTTTTTTGAGACGGAGTCTCGCTCTGTCACCCAGGCTGAAGTGCAGTGGCGATTTCGGCTCACTGCAAGCTCTGCCTCCCAGGTTCACACCATTCTTCTGCCTCAGCCTCCCAAGTAGCTGGGACTACAGGCGCCCGCCACCATGCCCAGCTGATTTTTTTGTATTTTTAGTAGAGACGGGGTTTCACTGTGTTAGCCAGGATGGTCTTGATCTCCTAACCTTGTGATCCTCCTGCCTCAGCCTCCCAAAGTGCTGGGATTAAAGGCGTGAGCCACCATGCCCGGCCACTAATTTATTAATTTTTGTAGAGACAGGGTCTCACTGGGTTACCCAGGCTGGTCTCAAAATCCTGGCCTCAAGTGATCCTCCAGGCCTGGGCACTATAAGTGCTGGGATTATAGGTGTGAGCCATCATACCCAGCTTAAGAATCTTTTAGTACAGGTCTGCTGGCAATCAATTTTCTTAGTTTTGATTTATTTAAAAATGCCTTATTTTGCTTTTACATTTGAAGGATGTATTTCCCAATATATAGTTTTTTTCTTTCTTTTAGTCCTCAAGAAGTAGTTTCATGATCTTCTGAATTCCAATGTTTCTAATGAGAAATACCCACTTTTGAAATTGTTTATTATTATTTTTTCAAGCTTTTTTTTTTTAACTTTTACTTTAAATCCAGCAGTACAAGTGCATGTTTGTTACATAGGTAAACTTGTGTCATGGGGGTTTGTTGTACAGCTTATTTCCTCACTTAGGTATTAAGCCCAGTACCCATTAGTTATTTTTCCTAATTCTCTCCTTCCTCCCACCCTCCACCCTCTCAAAGGCCCCAGTGTGTGTTATTCCCCTCTACAGTTAGCTCTCACTTATAAGTGAGAACATGCGGTATATGGTTTCTGTTCCTGTATTAGTTTGCTAAGGATAATGGCCTCCAGCTCCACCCATGCTCCTGCAAAGAACAAAATCTCATTCTTTTTATGGCTGCATAGTTATTTCACATCCTCCTGTTTTAATGTAATATTTTTCTAGCTCTTTTTAAAATTTTGTCTTTATCCTTAATTATCTCAGTATAACTATGATGTAATTTACTTTGTATTTATTCTGCTTTGGGGCTAATGACTTTTGAATCAATAGATTTGTGACTTTTACTAAATTTGGGAAGTTTTTGGCAATTATTTGTTAAAATATTTTTTTCTGCTTTTCTTTCTTCCCCTTCATTTCTGAGACTTTAATAGCTTGTGCATTAGAACTTTTAATATCACAAATTCTTTAGGCTCTGTTTGTTTATGGGACCATTTTTGTCCTCTGTGTTCTTCAAATTCTATAATTTGTACTGATTTATCTTTAAGTATACTGACTATTTACATAGTACCTATATTTCTTTTTTTAAGCCCAACCAGGTATTTTTATTTTATATATTCTAATTCTCAATTTTCAAATTTCAATTTGATTCTTTGTGGTTTGTATTCTTCTGCTGATATTTCCAAATTGTTCATTTATTTTAACCATATTTTTATTTATATTATTGAACATAGCTATAATAGCTGTTTTAAATGACTTTTCTCTCAAATTTTGCATCTTTCTGTTGGTTTCTATTGATTATCTTTTGTATGAAGTACTGTTCTCAGTCAATGAACAAAACAAACCCATAATCTTTCCTTGTGGAATTTACATTCTAGTAAGAGAAGGCAGACAATAAACAAGTAAATTATATTACATATTAAAAGACAGTAATTACTACAAAAGTGAACAATAAACAGATAATTTTAAATGCGACAATTAGAGAAGACATCACTGAACATGATTGGGGCAAATATTTGAGGATGATGAGGGAACAAGACATTCAGTTCAAATAGCTAAGATGAAGGCTTGAGGCTCAATGAACAAAAAGTGAAAATGCCATTAGGAAAAAGCATGAATGGTGTGCTTAAACACCATCAACCAGGCTTGTTTGCTTAGAATGAAATGGGCAAGGGGAAAGTGCATTTGAAGCAGGTATAGATAAGTAGTGAGGATGCCAAATTATGTATTGGCTTGTAGGCCACTTTAAGGACTTTGGTTTTTACTCTTAAAAAGATGGAGAATCATTAGAGGGTTGTAAGTAGAGAAATAATATTATCTGATTTCATCTTTAAAATATTATATTCATCAATATATTAAAATATTTTCATTAATATATTAAAAATATTTTCATTAATATATTAAAATAGACTATAGAAAAAGAAGGTTATAAGCAAGAGGTCAGGTAAGGGACTGTTGTAAAAATCTGAGAAAGAAAAGGTAATGCCTGGGATCAGAGCAACAGCACCTGATTTGCCGGAAGAAGTGAGCCCTGTTTATGTTGAAGATAAAGTGAAACATATTTTGTGATGATATTGTGAGTTGTGAGAAAAAGAGAAGAGTAAAGCTTAACTTCAGGGTATTTGGTTTAATTGCCTGGAAGAGCCATCAATACTAACTAAATAGGGAAAGGCTTTGGGTAGTACATGTTTAAGGGTTAAAGAACAGGCCTGAATTTAAATTTTTGCCTTGTTACATTTGAGATATCTAACAGACATTCTAATGAAACTTTAAAGAGAGAAGCAAAAACAAACAAACAAACAAACAAAAAACAAAACTTTGGAGTTCAAGTTACAGGTCCATGTCTGATATATGTGTTCAGAAAGCAACAAAATGTAGAATATTTAAAACCATATTGCTAAATTAGGTTACCTATTGAGTTAGTACAAACAGAGAAGAGAACCAAGAGTTGGGTCTTGAGATACCACTACATTAAGAGGCTTAGGGAGATGAGACAAATCCATTAAAGAAGATTCATGAGAATCTGCCAGTTACTTAGGTGGAAATACTAGAGAGTGACATCCTAGAAGCCAAATAAAGCAAGATTATCAATGAGGAGGGAATAAGCTTTTGACAAATACTGATGACAGGTTAATTAACATGAGGGCTGAGAACTGGCTATTTAAATTAGCAAAAATTAGGCCATTAGGAGCTTGACAAAAGAAGTTCCAATAAGAACAAAAAACTAACCTACTAGCAATAAAGATATGTTTCACATGAGTTTAAGGGAAAATGAGATGAGAAAAAATAGAGACAGTGGGTATAAATACACTTTTCAATAAGTTTTGCTGTAAAGATAGAAAAAAATGACTGGTTAGCTGAAGGACAGAGCAGGGCCAAGAGTGTTTAAGATGGGATAACTTATTGTATGATGATACGTTGATAAGAATAAGCCTGTATAAAATGAAAAAATGATATAGACAAAAGGTTTGAAAATTCCTGGAGGGATGTCTTTCAGTATGTGAGAGGATATGGAGCCTTTGAAAGAAGCAGGGCTAATTCATCTATAGTAATAGGTAGGAGGCAGAATAAATATGTCCAGGTGGTGGTATCTGGGTAAATGTCATTCTAAAAGTCTGTAAAACCTTTTTTTTATACAATATTTTCTATCTTTCTCAGTGAACTAGGAAGCAATGTCTTGAGCATAGGAGAGAAGGTCTTGTAAATTTGTATTCAGGGGTTGAAGAAGAAATTCATCATCTATTAGAAAAATTGAATGGACTGGGGTATCTAGTGTGATTGTACAGCAGTATTAAGGATCTGTAATAAATAGAAGGCATTAGAAAAGAAATATTTAGAGAAAAAAGAATTCATAGAAATTAACTTATGATAGCAAAAATGCAAACTTCAATTGAAAATCTAGAAAAAAATTTGAGGAAATATCCTAGAATAAGAAGTAAAGAAGTAAGTGGTTATAAAATAGGGAGAAAATTTCAAATATAGGGGAGCATAATATCTAAATAATAGAAGTTTTATAAATAAATAAAAAATAAAACGTACAGGATTATAAAAGAGTGAAAAATTCATGAAAATTACTGAGATAATTTTCAAGATCTCAAGATTAGAAAAGATTTAAAAATTACTCCCAAACAGGAAAGAAGCACAACAGATAAGAAGGAAGAAAAAGATTCACACCAAAGCCCCATTGACATGATATGAAAATTTAATACAGGAAGGCTCAGGGCAAAACAATAATGTCTTCAAACTTACAAGAGGAGTTAATTCTCAATTCATATATATATATATATATATATATATATATATATATATATATTTTTTTTTTTTTTTTTTTTTTTTTTTTTTTTGAGATGGAGTCTCCCTCTTGTTGCCCAGGCTGGAGTGCAATGGTGCAATCTCAGCTCACTGCAACCTCTGCCTCCCAGGTTCAAGTAATTCTCCCACAACAGCCTCCCGAGTAGCTGGGATTACAGGCGCCCGCCAACATGCCTGGCTAATTTTTTTGTATCTTTAGTTGAGACGGGGTTTCGCCATGTTGGCCAGTCTGGTCTCAAACTCCTGAACTCAGGTGATTCTCCTGCCTTGGCCTCCTAAAGGGCTGGAATTACAGGCGTGATCCAGCACGCCCCAGCCAATGTATCCATTCATTGTGAGGCTTCAATACATACATTTTCAGACTTGCATATACCCAAAAAAGTAATTTTGTTGTGTTGTTTTTCAATAATTTATTTAAAAATTTGCTTCACCAAAAGGAGAGAGTCATGAATAAAGAGGAAGACTTTGGATAACATACAGGATATTTATTACAGGCAAAGGGCATCCTGCAGATGATGGTGAAGGGAGATTCCAGGATAAGCACATTCGTTAGGACTTCCATTCAGACTGCTATATGAGGGCAAGAGCCCTGGCAATAATGATTTTTAAAAAGTCCAAAAACCTTAGAGTTCCTGATATGTGTAAACAACAGAAAAAACAAATATCTCACCTGATTCCCTGTAATTGCCTCCTAACTCTTCTCTCTGTTCCACCCTGTTTGCCTCCCAATATAGTCCCCACTATTCTCAACCCAGCTGCCAAGCAAATCCTCTTAAAATGCTTTTAAAAGACTTTTAGAAACACATTCTTTTAAATTCTTTTAAAACTCAAATAATATCACTTCTCTGCTCAAACCCTGAAAACTTATTTCCCATAAAATAAAATCGAAGTTTGAACAGTGACTTACAAGTCCCCACATATGTAAACCCCATTTCCTAACTTTATCTCCTACTCCTCAACTCCTCATTCTGTCAGTTCCTACCACACTTTTCTCCAACATGCCAGGCATGCTTCTAGATTGGGTCCTTTGCTCTGACTACTTTCAAGGATGTAAAGGAGGTCCTTTAAACCTCTTCTCTAATGTCAGCTTTTCAAGGAGACCTATGAACTCTGCTTTCTATTCATCATAGCCTACCCTACCTTTTGCCCCCATAACTTCTAGCACTTCTAATGTTGTAGATAGTATGTGCCTTGTTACAATATAGTTTACTATATGTCTCACTGGCCAGATTGTGAGCTCCAAATAGTCAGAGAGCTGTTTATGAGGATACTGTTAGGTTCCAGATTCTCAGAGAAGTACCTAGCAATTTAAAGGCACTCAGTAAATATTTCTCAGAGAATTGTTTCTGTGCCAGATTTTGAGGATGAAGTAGCAAACAATATGTATTAAACAAAAGAAAAAATGCTCCAGTTATTAATTCTAAAAAAATAATATTTGTACAAAAAATAAAATAAGCTCATAGTCTACTACCTCACTCAGCTGTGGAAATATTTACACAGTATTTATAATACAAGCCTTGCTTATATTATATTATATATTATATAATAAAAGCTTTGTTTATATTACTATAAACAAAATTGGTGATATAAACTTAAGAGAAAGGTTGAAGGAATAGTGTGTATGTGTGTAATAAGTAAAAAAAAACCTAGGTCTTCCTATAATTCTAGGAAATAAAAGTATATATCTAACTAAAATATCACAATTACAAAAATTGCGAGAACAATTTTAATAAAAAATAGTGGCAAAGGGCTGGGTGTGGTGGCTCATGCCTGTTACCCCAGCACTTTGGGAGGCTGAGGTGGATGGATCACTTGAGGTCAGGAGTTTGAGACCAGCCTGGCCAACATGGTGAAACTCCATCTCTACCAAAAATACAAAAATTAGCTGGGCCTGGTTGCAGGTGCCTATAATCCCATCTACTCGGGAGGCTGAGGCCAGAGAATTGCCTGAACCTGGGAGGCAGAGGTTGCAGTGAGCCAAGATTGGGCCATTGCACTCCAGCCTGAGTGACAGAGTGAGACTCCATCTCAAAGAAAAAAAAAGTGGCAAAGTTTTTTTTTTCTAGTGGGTAGAAATTTGGGAATTTGGGTGATGAAAACTTTTTTTAATAGTGAGATATAAAAATAATTTTTAAAACTGTATCCATCAGTAACTTGGATTTATCTTAAAAATAAATGTATAAATATTTTAAAATGTTATTCATCATTTTGTGAACTATTCTTCCTTGTCATGGTCATAAGCTTTAGGTTAACACCAATGAATCAAAACCACTAAATAATTTAAGCCCCTTTTTCATTTAGAGGTCCAGAGCACTGACAAACTAGTTTAGCCAATTTGTATTAAAAATGGATCCACTGGCCGGGCGCAGTGTCTCACGCCTGTAATCCCAGCACTTTGGGAGGCCGAGGCGGGCCGATCACGATGTCAGAAGATCGAGAACATCCTGGCTAACACGGTGAAACCCCGTCTCTCCTAAAAAATACAAAAAAAAAATTAGCCGGGCGTGGTGGCGGGCGCCTGTAGTCCCAGCTACTAGGGAGGCTGAAGCAGGAGAATGGCGTGAACCCGGGAGGCGGAGTTTGCAGTGAGCTGAGATCGCGCCACTACACTCCAGCCTGTGTGACAGAACAAGACTCCGTCTGAAAAAAAAAAAAAGGATCCATTTATTTAATCATAATTCTCTCCGAAGCTATGGCACAAATAACTCATTTAATGTTTATTAAAACATATTACTGGAACCATACCAGTCTAATTTATGCAAAATTTGTCTTGATTACAATACGTGTAGTTCATATGGCTCTTACATAGTACAAATGGGTTTGTAATTCTTTGGCTGTTTAAGGGGATGATTTACAAGTAAGTTTTGCATGGTTATAACTTAGATTTGACTTAGAATGAGTTGCAAATTTAACCCTCTCACTCAAATAACAAGAAAATAAAGCATGGCAATTCTAGAAAGACTAGGACATTTAAAATATGGAACGAAGTTAACTTCTGAAAGATAATGGAAACCTCAAAGACAGAATCATTTTAATGTTGGGATATTTCTGCAAGTGTTTTGTAAATGTGCTCCTTAGCTTCAAAATCAAATCTGCTAAGTGAACTGAAGTGAGAAAATGAAGTGCATTGTTCAAGTTCCTGAATGTCAGGCTACAAGTTTATCATTTCAAAGCTTAAAATGCTTTATAGCTTTTCAACTGGCCTGTGAATAGAGGTGAATATATTAGTTAAGCCAAAGACACTTTTTATAATCTCACTTAATTTTATTTTTTCTAAATCAGGTTCACAGAGAAAAAATATTCTTTTTCAGTAAACTTTAATCATTAACCAAGTACCAATAAGAAGAAATATATACTCTTTACCTTATATTTGAAAGGTCAGCTGTCTGTCATATATTCTTTTTTGCCTTGAAAGCAGTATGAGATTACACAATCTTATTTTACTTGGCTTGCTTCAGATTTATCACTTCTCCAGCTATCAGTGGAACACAGCTTATAGCATGTTGTTCACATAAGCTGTGATATACATCTGCCAGCAAAACATTCTAGTTTCTAAGATTTCTCTCTCTTCTTCATAAGAAAAATTCTTCCATTTCTCATTTGCTTACTTCAGAAGCATCCCTTTTGAAACATTTCCCTGTTGTAATACATGTCTGGTTGCAATCACTTGTGAGACTTGGCTTTGGATCATGGTACAGTAAAATACAATATATGATCTAATTCATTTAACATAATTTCAATGAACAACCATTACATGCAAAACTTTTAGTGGATGTAAAAGGATGTGTATCGTGTATTATATGAAGTCTCAATATAAATAATAATAAATTTTCCAAAGATAAAAGGGATCCACGTTAGAAGTAGTTTCCCATCACCAGAAGTATCATACATGGGAAAGATGACTAATTAGTACATGATGAATTTTTCTGAGTATTACATATGAGGAAGAAGAATCGATCACAGAGTAAGGTGGGATATTGTGTAGTAAAGAATTTAATCTTGCCCCCAAAATAGTATGGGCCTTGCCCTTGATTTCTGGGAGGTAAACTATAAGCCTTTGGAATGTCATGGATGATAGGATTATTTTTATATGCCTGGAGGCCTTGGGTCATGCCAGACAGTCTAACAATGTTATTCAGGAAACCAGCCACTTTGTTGGCTTCTAGTGAATTTTCCTGTAAGTGCACTAATCCATTGTCCACTTAGATTAACCTGACCAATAAAGACTGGAACTCAACCTGCTGTATTTGTCTCATAGATAACTTAATTTGTCTTAATAGATAACTATTAACAGAGCTCCAAGCATCAGGATGAGGCCTACCTGTAGGACTGGCTCCAAACAGGCCTTCCAAGTCCCCAGACACCACAAGATTAATACATTCCACAAATCATCAGGATCTAACTTAGGAATCTAGCTTCATTTTTTCTTTCTTCAGTTTGTGTGTTGAGTTTTCTATGGTTTTTGTGTTATCCCCTTCACTCGGCCCAAGGTAGAGCAGAATGTGTTAGCAGTTGCACAGACTCTGCATTGACCAGCAAGAAATAATTCTGGGGAAAGTCTATTGTTCATCATAATCCTGGCCAGTGTTTTGATGCTGAATTGAATGCCATGTAGGGATAAAAGTGTACATGGATTAATTCAGCTACAGTCAGAGACAAATTTTACAACATATTTTCCTAATGGGAGAGCTCTCATTGTATAGATAACTGACTATAGTATGTAAATAATAAGCTAATTATTCTTCCTATAAGTTTTCTCCCAAGTAACTAATGGCAACTTCATTTTAGAGAGACCTCCACAGTCATGGGAGGGATATAAGTTTACTGGTGACATTCCCTTAAATAAGTGAAGGCCTCTGGGACAATTCCTAAAGTGCCAATTTCTGTGTTTTGGGGAAGATGGCAAGATAATGTCTGGCTTCCACACAAGAAGCACAGTCCTGGAGTTACATATGGGAGGAAATTGTTGTTTACAGTTGTTGGGACACCCTAAATAGCAATGATATGAGTTGGGTGACAGGTTGACATTTCTTCCAACAGTCCTCTCAACCAACTGATATGCCTTAGAGTTGCCAGTTCAGTTTGAATATTTTACTCTAGTTCTTGTTTTGGAGGGAATGTTTGAAGACAGTTGGTTCAACCTGTCCTGTTTGTTCATGTCACCAGATGGGTGGTATGTCCTCTTTCTTCATGTCACCAGATGGGATGGCTACTTTGTGGAAAAATGGAGAGAAGAGAAGACTACAGTGATGGGACCAGGTACTATATCCAGTGGTATTTTTCTTGGGAGGTGCTGGAGTCAACCTACTGTTTCCAATACACTTCTTAGTAAGATTAAGAGAAATGGCAATCAAATTATGGTCAGACCAGAGTCATGATGTCATGGTGAGAGGGTAGGGAGGGGATGGCAGTCAACCCAGCAGTCAGTTACATTTAAGGTGCTTGCCACAGTGTGGGAGAGCCACACAGGGCATTTTCCTTTATTAGAAAGGGTGAAGGCAAAAGAGCTTCTGAAAGACAAATTATCATTAATGGTTCTTTCTCTTCCATACCTCCCAGGGTCTAAGGTATTTTCATTCTCTCCTCAGATACTAGGGTTACTCTACTCCACTAGCTCAAAATCAATCTGTTCCTCTCCAGTAGCTATAAGATCACTGTTTTTCCAATAATTTCCTATTCACACCTAGAACATTTGTCCATAAGAGTCAATTGCAAGAGAGGCAAGAGCATTATTATAAAACTCAGCCACAATTAAATTTGAATCCCCTCTTTTGGCTGAATTGCCACTTGGAGGGTGCATCAGCTATGCCTGCCTAGGGTTTCCATTAGAGGGAAAGAAGTACCCATCATGCCCAGAAATTGTCAGGGTGGAATCCTGAACTTTCATCACTTTTATAAATATTTTTACTCTTGTAAGACTATTTTTCTCCCAGTCCAGTCTCACTTGGCTAACTCCCACTATTTCTAATTATAAGTATCTCCACCAGAAGTTCTTTCATCCCTCTTGACTAAGTTAGTTGCTTTTCTACTTTCTTCCAGAAAGTATCTTCCATAATATATAAAATTGCCTACATAGATTCCCAAGTTCCCTACCCTAGTCTTTACTGGCTTAGATTATGTTTTAATCAATAGTGCATCGGCAGCTTTTAGCATAGGACCTTGCACATAATTGATCTTAACAGTGTAGAATAAATGAATAAAAGAAACCTAGAAAAATAAAATCTTTGCAGGATAGTTTCAAATCATCAATAGAGAGAAACTAAGGCTCAGCAATCTCACTGTCAAGTCCAGAAAATGTGCATTTGTATACTGATTGCACTATTGTTCGTAATAACAAAAATTGGTAACTAAATATTGAACAGTGAAAGAATTGGTTAATAAATTGTGAGGCATCTCTGTTGTAGAAAACCATGCAGCCACAGCAAAGAAGATGTTGGACCTATATACATTTTATACATTGAAATAATGTATCATTCACATATTTAAAAAATAGCAAGTTACAGATTCTTATGTATACCATTATCCCATGATTATGATTATTAAGAAACAAAATGTACACTTGCACATAGGTCAAGAGAAGACAGAGAATGAGAGAGACAGTGAGAAAGATATGAAGAAATCCAATTAAAACACAGGAATGCTGTAGCCATCTCTAAAGAGGGGTTACTTCTGAAGGTGAACTGGAGTTGGTGGAAAAGACTTTTGTTCATTTCTTTATATCATGCAAAAAAAATTGGAACCAAGGGTAGTTTCTCATATTTTGTTATTTCTATTGTTCAAATAGCTTAAGCAATACATTTTGAAAGAGGAAACCAGATAAAGTATTAGCAGTGCTATTTTAGTGAAGTTAGATTGAAGGTAATTTATCTTACTACTTATATTCTGCTGTATTTTTCACTTTCCTGCAATAAGCATATATATTAAATAAAAGTTATGTAAGAATCTTTCTTGGCAAAGCCTGGAAAAGCAATGAAGATGATTGCTAGAGCAGAGTATGCTATTATTTTATCTTCTACTCAATTCATCTTGAAAGTAAATAGACTGTAATGTAGGCCATAATTTTGTGTTTAATTGCCACCTATATATGTTTCTCTCACTGCAATTAAAATGGACATAATGAAGAAAATGTTTATACCTTCTGTATAAATCATCAGAAAGTGTCCCTCTGGAGTTCTCTGTCAAGAGTAGTTGTAATGTTTGTATTTTAAGTATTTATTATAATAGTGTGAAAACCCATCTTGCTTATTCCCACAGTGTCTGGGCTTATATTAGGCACATGTAGATTTAATAAATGTTTATTGAACACCAAAATCATTGAATAACTCTAAAACTATAAAATCAAGTCAATTAAATAGAGAAAGAAAGTTAATTCCCCTAGGGAGCTTTTTCTGAAACAAAATTTCACAGCCTGGGGAAATATCCATTTTGGAGTTGAACTCTTTATGGCTAAAACTGCATGGGGTGTCATGATAAATACGTTTCCTTAAGGTTGCCTTTGTCTGACTGCTAGCAACTCACCAGGTGGCTGCAACTGTGGAAAAATATTTAGTTCTTTAAACATTTCAGTCATGCAGTAGTTCTTTAAACAGTGACAAATAGCCAACATTTCTCCATAGTTTACAACCTTTTTCTTAATAGGTTTTCCAGTGGGAGTGAGAGCTCCTATTTAGTCAACATTTAGTTAATGTTATTTTTCTAATTATCCAATATGACTAATTTAAAATGTCTTAACTTTTAATCAAATCATCTTTCTGCACCAGCATGGCTACTTTTTCAAATGCATAGTTTTATAGTTCTCAGCCTACTCAACTGTTCAGAAACAACTCTCCTTTAAATTGTGAATTTAGCAAACATTATTGACTACCATGTTCTGGTCCAAATCTACACCAAAATAACTCTATTAAAGCTATCAAATTGTATACTAGTAATACATGTAAAACTTTAGAATATTTGCATTTGACAATCCATTTGACCTTTGCTTTCATCATTCCTCTATTCTAAAAGTTAATCTTAATCTTCACTTGTTAAAATTTATTTCATTTATAAAATCTGGCCAAATACCACTTCTTGATGCTTAATTGATTCTCCTTATTCAGAAGTCATTTTTCCTTCCTTTGAAAATTCATGGTATGTTTTTATTTACATTCAAACGTGTTTTTATATTGTGCAATCTGTTTTCACCTACCTATTTTGTTGATTCATCTATCATTTATTTGATACTCCATAAAGTATTCAGTAAGCATTAATTATGCGCATTGTACATGATGAGTACCATTTTTAGGCACTGAAGAAGTTATAGCAAATATGAGAGAGTTTTGTCCTTAAGGAGCTTACTATCTGGGTTTTTCACTTAATGCATTCCAATTTATGTTAAAATTTCTCTGGTCTTAGAATACTAAAATGAAAGCATCTTAAGTAAGGAGATATCAATTTATTTATTCTTGGATACCTCTTTGCTCATCACAGAGTACATAATGAGCTTTGCAATATTTACACTAATATAACAAATTATTATTGATCAAATATGTTATAATATATTATCTCTTTTAATCCTCATTGCAACTATAAGATATGTACAATTAGCCTTATTTTAAAGATTTTACTAGAATTTCATTGGTTATTCATACCAAATAGTATATCAAAAATTTCCAAAGATTTCTTAAATAGTAAAAATTGTAAAAATATGCAACTCAGTGGTCAAGAAATCAGAGGCTGTATGGACCAAATAGCATGACCATTGTTTTCTGCCTAATAGCAAATGTAAGGATTCTAAAATAGTCATGATTATTTGAAAATAAGTATTATTGCCATATAACTAGACATGTTTAAAACATTTCTCACAGAAACAGTGATGAAACATAGAAATAAGAGCTTCCAAAATTGATATAAAATGTGATAAGACACTAATAATCACTATTATTATTATAAATATTTAACCTTATAATTGCCATAGAACATGGGATATTAATATTCTAACTTTTATAACTATATTTAAAAACTTCAATGATTGTAGAACACATCCAGTGCAGGATCAGTCATTGAATTAATTTACACATATGTAAGTCTAATACTGGCTTCCTGGGGTTAAAAAAATATGATTCATCTACATAACCCAGAGCTCTCATGACACTATACTCTTTTGATCTCTGTCATTTACTTCTTCATTTCTTGAGCTAGTCTTTCCAACCTCACTTAATCATCACAAATTAAAGTTTCTCAGATTTCTTGCTAGGCCCCTTATCTCCTGACTTTATTTTCTACAAATGTAATCATAGTCACCCCCATAACTTTAATTACGTGGCCATACTTCAATCATTGCCAATTTTCTAGCTGTAACACTTGCTCACTAATTTATGAGGTTCAACCTGACTGCAGAATGGGTTCAAAACTATTTTTTTTTTTAAATCCAAAGGCTATTTTCCAAAGAATTCTCCATGGCTCACTCTGGCAGATATTTTAGTTTAACAGAGTCATAGAGCACCATGTAAGCTGTTGTAAGAATTTGTTTTCACCTTCAAATGAAATGGTGACTGTAAAAAAATATGTGTTTTGGGGTCAGGGGTGGGGGTGGGGAATGGGCAGCCTCAAGAAAGCAAGAAGAGAGCAGTTAGGACAGAAGTTTGAACAGACATGTTTTGCTGATGTGAATATTACAAAAAGAGAGTAATCAAGGATTAATATAATTTTTTTCATCCAAGTATCTAGAAATTTGGAGTTGTCATTTACTGAGATTGAGAAAACTGCAGAAAAAGCAGCTGTGGAAACACAAATGGGATTACACTTTAAAGTTAAGTTTTAGAAACCTATTTTATATCCAAAAGAAGATGTATGAGTCTATATTTGAAGGGAGATGTTCAAATTGAAAATAGAGACTTGGAAGCCATTAAATGGGTTTTAAAGCAGTGAGATTTGATGAAATGCCCTCTTGAGTAAGGGACCAGAGGGGTAGATCTGACTTATTTGTGACTTAGCCCTTGACATGTCTCAGAACAAACATAGATGAGGCTGTGCAGATACCACATAAGTCAGTGCAATTTAGACTGTTAATGTGAACACGATTTATTTCACTTACAGACAAATTAGGACCTCAAGGAACACAGATTAGAGTCGAATAGTTGAGTATATATTTGTCTCATTTACTAGACTGGGGATTTCTCAAAGCTAGAAGTCATATATTATTTAATAATTTCAGCTAAGACTATTTCTTGAATATATTAAATGTGCAATCATTGTTGAGTTAAAGAGAATAGGAAAGTATTCCTATAGAAAATGCAGTTGATG
Source organism: Homo sapiens (assembly GCF_000001405.40). Lineage (NCBI taxonomy): Eukaryota > Metazoa > Chordata > Mammalia > Primates > Hominidae > Homo > Homo sapiens. The sequence continues at coordinate 73,704,866 of NC_000001.11, forward strand.
CCCACGCAGATCTTTGCAAGCCAGGTTTGCACATCCTTCAGCCTTTGCATTGTTTCTGTCTTCACTATTCTCTGGAGACTTGCCCTTGGCAGATGAGAATGACCTTGCAGGGAGAAGCAGGTTAGACCCCATCCCCTTCCAAGAGTTACTAGTAGTCAATGCCTGACTTGTGAAGCCCTTAAGAGTCTAGCACCTTTAGCTCTGTGGTGTAATTCAGTTACCAGAGCTCCCCAAATAATCAGACCTGGGCTACATTTCTCCTGAAACCATATCTTTGCATAGCTTCTTCTCCTGCCCTATCACTTGAGTTTCTCTTGAGAGCCCTCCTTCAATGAGTCACATGTGCAAAGATTTCTGCCCTAGACCTTACATCTAAGAAACAAGAAATAAAGTAATAGCCAAGTCACAAATGGACACATATGACTCCCCAAGCATTTATCTAATATAATTAAATTAACCTAGAACTTCTAAATTATTAAACCTTTCTGGTTTGGGGGATGGAATGGAGAAGGGATTCTATTCTGTATTATTTGTGAGCTTTCAAATATAAGTGACTCTGGAAATTTCAGGTCATCGCTTATTTTTCCCCCACGTCTCACCCCAGCAAAATGTCAGACTCCTCTTTTTTTCCAAGGTAAGGAGCCGCTCATAGGTGAATGTATAAATATGTAAACTTTCAAAATTAAAGTCATATTTCCAATGTTGTAGAGAGAAATGCATCATCAGGCAAATTCATCTCTATGTGAACATCATAGAGTGTACTCATACAAAGCTAAAGGGTGTAGACTACTCTACACCTAGAATGTATTGTATAGTCTATTGCTTCTAGGCTACAAATCTGTACAGCATGTTACTGTACTGAATAGTATAGACAATTGTAATACAATGGTAAGTATTTATGTATCTCAACATATTTAAATATAGAAGAGGTACAGTAAAAATATGGTATAAAAGAAAAAATGATAAACCTGAATAGGGCATTTACAATGAATAGAGTTTACAGGACTCAAAGTTGCTCTGGGTGAGTCAGTGAGTTAATGACTGAATGACTGTGAAGGCCAAGGACATTACTGTACACTACTGTAGACTTTGTAAACACTGTACACTTAGACTACACTAAATTTATTTTTTATAATTTTATCTCTTCAGTAATAATGTTATGTGTGTTATTGATTTATGTACTTTGAACCATCTTTATGTCACTGGGAAGAATCCTACTTAACCACAGTCAATTATCTTTTTAATATATTGTTTAATTCAGTCTGCTGGTATTTTGTTGAGAATTTTTGCATTTATGTTCATCAGCGATATTGACCTGTAGTTTGCTTTGTAAGTTGTGTCTCTGTTTGGTTTTGTTATCAGGGTAATTGTGGCCTTGTAGAATGAGTTTGGAAGTATTGCCTTCACTTAATTTGTTAAAATACCTTGAGTAGAATTGGTATTAGTTCTTCTTTAAATGTTGGTATAATTCAGCAGTGTAGCCATCTGATCTTGGGTTTTTCTTTGGTGGGAGGCTTTTTCATTACTGCTTCTATCTCATTCCTTGTTATTTATCTGTTCAGGTTTTCTATTTTGTCATGGTTCAATCGTATTAGGTTGTATGTGTCCAGAAATTTATCCGTTTCTTCCAGGTCTTCCAATTTATTGACATATAATTGATCACAGTAGTCTCTGATGATAGTTTGCATTTTTCTGGTATCAGTCATAATGTCTACTTTTTCATTTCTGATTTTATTTATTTGGTCTTATGTCTGTTTTTCTTAGTTTAGTTAAAGGCTTGTGATTTTGTTTCTCTCTTAAAAAACAAACTTTCCATTTCACCGATCTTTTGTACTTTTTTTAGCCTCAATTTTATTTATTTCTTCTTTGATATTTATTATTTCTTACCTTATTTAATTTTGGGTTTGATTTGTTCTTGCTTTTCTAGTTCTTTAAGATGCATCATTAAAGACTCAATTTTTTGGATGTGGTCATTTATTACTATACGCATCCCTCTCAGTACTGTTTTTGCTGTATCCCACAGGTTTGGGTATGCTATGTTTCCATTTTCATTTGTTTCCATTTTTTTTAGATTTTCTTCTTAATATTTTAATTGACCCATCAGTAAATCAGGAGCATATTGTTTTATTTTCATATATTTGTATAATTTCCAAAGTTCCTCTTGTTTTTGATTTCTGATTATATTCTATTATAGTCAGAAAAGACACTTACTATGATTTCATTTTTTTTGAATTTGCTGAAGACTTGTTTTATGGCCTAACATATAGTCTATCCCGGAAAATGTTCCATGTACTGTTGAGAAGAATGTGTATTCTGCAGCTGTTGGATGAAATGTTCTGTAAATGTCTGTTACGTCCATTTGGTCTATATTGCAGATTAAAACAGATATTTCTTTGTTTATTTTTCTGTCTAGATCATCTGTCCAATGCTGAAATCCCCAATTATTGATGTTGAAGTCCCCAGTTATTGGAGTTAAATAATAAATGAGCCCTAGCTTATTTTAACTTTTTTACTTTATACAATTTTTAATTATTTTTAACCTATTACCTTTTCTGTAATAATACATTTTAAAACACATACATTGTACAGCTGTCCAAAAGTATTTTCTTTCTTTACATCCTTATTCTAAATGTTTTTATTTTAAGTTTTCTTATTTTTATTTTTTACTGTTTAGATTTTTTGTTGAAAACTAAGGCACAAACACACACAGTAGCCTAGGCCTACACAGGGTCAGGATTATCGGTATCACTGTCTTCTACCTACACATCTTTAGGTAGATCTTTAGGGGCATTAATACACATGGAGTTGTTATCTCCTATTATAACAATTCCTTCTTTTGAAATGTCTCCTGAAGGACCTGCCTGAAGCTGTTTAACAGTTAACTTATTTTTTAATGAATAGAAGGAATACACTCTTAAATAATGATATAAAGTATAGTATAGTAAATACATAAACCTTTAACTTAGTTGTTTATTACTATTGTCAAGTATTATGTACTGTACATAATCATAAGTGCTATACTTTTATAAGACTGATAGCATAATAGGTTTGTTGACACCAAAATCATCACAGACAGGCAAACATGTGAGAAATGCATTGTACTAAAACACTACAATGACTCTGATGTCACCAGGCAGTAGAAATTTTTCAGCTCCATTATAATATTATGGGACCACCATCAAACGTGTGGTCCCTCATTGGCTAAAATGTTATGCAGCATGTGACTGTGTAGCAAAACCATAAAGAGTTCAGGAAGTCTTTGAAATGTTTTAAAATCCCTGATGTTTAGTTGAAGTTATACTATTTAGAAATAAAAACAAAATCCTAAGCCCCTCAACTGACTGAAATCTCCCCTCTTGGCCAAGGGATCACCAGGAAAACTTTGGAAACTAAGTTCTCAGCCATGACAGGATGAAAGGTCAGACATGCCTGTTATAACCTCTCCCTTGCTAACTACCATTAGGCTTTCTTCCCTAAGGGCCAAACAGAAAACAGCCCTTTCAAAAGACTCCATCCCTGCCATCAACCAACCGCCTGACTGCCGGCCTTCCCTTTTGGAGTTTCAACAAAGCTAGTGACCACCATTTCTTCCTGATGAGAGACCATTAACCATTGGTTGTTCTGGCCAAGGGTTTTCGTGTCTTCTGTTTCACCTTTTCATGTCAGGGAGTTGAAAATTCCACCCTTGAATCATGCCAATGCCACTGATTTTTTGTACATGGAACCCCTGAAGAGGCATGAAGCTCAATTGTGCACATTTCTCCTCTCATAAATATCAGGACTCCTCCTGTAGCTTATTAAATATGTGTATTTGGCTTTCCTGCTCAGTATAAATTTCTATTCCCTTTACCTCTCCCTCAAAGTATGTTTCTGGCTTCTGGCCACAGGCTATGGTTCTCAGCCTGTCAGAATGGCCATCCTGCAGGCTGCACCCTCTTGTAAGAAATAAAGCTCTCCTTTCCAAATTTATGAACTTTGTCATTCTTTAGTGGACACTGTGCTGTTATAACAAATATTTATTTTGAAAGACAAAGCCAATACCCTGTGCTTTGACTTTGGAAATGTCTTTATCTTTTCTTTCTGTAAATCATAGGTCATTATGCTCTGCCCACGTGCCCATCTGTTCACATGTATGTAATATGCAGCATGTGCCTCACACTGTTACCCATTGGAGTGCCTATGTGACTTAGCTGACTCCTACGCTGCTTGTTTTTGCCCAATCAATATCTGTGTGATATAGCTGAATTCTTACTCGGTGTCAACTCTGCTTATTTTTAGGAAACAGGATATCTGTGGTCAGAAGTTGCCTCTTAGGACTAAACCAGTGAAAGATGGGAAAATCCATGATGGAAGCTTGCTTGAACTCTGAAGAAACACTGGCTTCTTTGTAATCCAATTTCCATATTAAATGACAGTCCAGCCAGTACCATGAAAGTTGAAAATCACCATGACAATGACAAGAAGAGACCAAAAAAGGGCAGAAAAGGGGCTCCTTGATTCCAGGGAAATCTTCAACCCTCCTTGATTCCAGGAAAATCTTTATCCCTTCCTAAGAAAAGCGTAAGTATTCCTGCCTTTGCTTTCAATTCCCAACCCCTTCATTAAAGCTATCCTACATCTGTAACTTCCTGGTTCTCAGGAGCCAAGAAGTTGATTGGTGGGCCACTCTCCCACTTCTCCATTTTATGACCATCAAATAAAGCCTGCACTTCTCAATGCTCCTTTCCCATTTCATATACTGACTTCACAACACCAAACATAAAAGACCCCACCTTTTACGGTAACTGGGAACCCCTAGTAACAATAATGGTTAAAGTGTCACAGAAAATATTAGGCCCAGGCATTAACATAACTAGAATCCAGAGAGAGAACAAGGAAGGTCCTCTTGGGGGAAGGAAGCAAGAAGGAAGAGAAAATGAAAGGGAGATGAAGGAATGAAAGGACAGAACTATGAAGGAGGGAGGATGGCTAAGAATGAAAGGAGCCTAGAAAGCTGGCCTCCAAAGAAATTTAGGCTCAGCGTCTGCAGAAAATTTATTTCCTTGACCCAGGGAGTCCTCTTCGGTAAGGAGGATTATTAAAACTTCGATATGTCTCCCTTGGCAATGTTCGTATATTATTTCCCAACTTACATGAAAGAAAACAAAGAGACAGCTTGCCTTGTGAGAAGACAGTGTGGATGTGGCAATGAGAAGATGAAATGTAAATCCTTTTATATTGTTACAAGTTAGACATAAAGAAAGACTTCACTGGTGTGTCTAACAGTCAGTGATTTTGCAGAGACAGCTTGTCTGGCTCTGCCCCTTGCCTGGCATTGTGCTGTGGCTAATTGGACCAGGCAGCTCTTTTTCATTAGTGTTTTTAGTTCCTGCCCTAGTAATGTAAAGGTAAATCTATTTTTATCTTCTTGGCTGTATCTATTGATATTTAATGACAGGAAGTTCACCTTTCAGTACAACTAAAAATATTATGCCTCTCAGGATTACTGGTTTTCTTTTTATTCTTTTTTCATCTACACTGAACAGAAAGATCACCATAATAATCGTATGCTATTTTAATGATAGTGTAAATGTATTGGCATTTTTCCTCTCAGGTAGAACTCAAAGTGAAGCTTTCAGGTTTCTGGAGAGAAACATTTTGGTCTCTTCATAGTTCGCACTGTTACACCCCACAGTCAGCTGCCCATTATTCATTCTCTCTGCCCAGATGATAAAATAACAAGCTTTGTACTCCATTGCTGTGTGTGTTGGTGCTTCAAAGATGGCGTGCTGAGAGAACCTGCCCTCTCCTAAAGTGAATGTTAGAAGTTTCAGGAAAAGGTCCAACGTCCTTCAAAATCTTACCTTCTCTAATAAGGGAGGTGAAAGATGTCAAGAAAAGGCCACTAGCAGTCCACTGTGAATTATCTGTTTCCTCACCAAGAACTAATGGTCTGCACTGGGATTCCTCATCTTCTTTTAACTCTCATGCCATAGTCAGGTTTCCAAGAAATGCAACATATAGCATCCTACAGAAAAAAAAATACCCAGTATTAGTTATGTATGGATTTCTGTCCTGAGAATGGCTCTAGGGATCTGGGATCAGAGTATAGGAGAAAAATAAGAAAGTCATTTTCCTCCATTAATTCTAGAGCTTATCCAAGTTATCAGGTTCCTTAGTCATACCAACTTCCAAATTTTTCAAAACTAAAGGTAATATTGAATTAACTTAATCTTGTAAGAGAAACAGGTTGATAATACTAAACTTGGAGTATATAGGTGCATTAACCTTGGAATATATAAGTTCTTTCTATCTCCTCAAGTTCTTCTGATTGATTCTCAACTTCACTAAACAAGAATCCGTAAAGGCAGAAGACAAAAAATATGTGACTATAGTCAAGTGGGCTCAAAAGTCTTCACTCATATTTATAGAGTCCTTACAATGTTACTGGCATTGAGCCAAGTATTTTATATGTATTATCTCACTTAATTCTCACCAAATCTGATGTGGATGATGTTATTTTCCCCTCTTGTGGATAAGAAGATAAGAACCAGGGAGGATAAATAACTTGCCCACAAACATATAAACAGTAAGTTGCAGAGTGAAGTTTAAATCCAGAAACCAGAGACTTTGCTCTCAACTGCTGATCTGAAATAAAAGTTATTACTCTTCTAATGAGGGAGACATTTCCTTCAAGTCTTGTTTTTCTGCATAAAAATTCATGCAGATATTATATGTGACAACTTTTAATATTTGTTTTAAGAATAAAATTTGTTTAATGCAACCTTTTGGCTACCAGAAAAGACACTGTTGCATTTTAAAAATTAGTTTCTGAAATTTTGGTAGAATTGAAAAATATAAATATTACATATCAAATTTTCTTATTATTGTATACATACACATAGATTTGATGTAAAAAGCGATCAACTGATGAAGGAACAAATGTGTGATCTATTAATTCTGTTGTCTTCCACTGTACATTCCTAAAAATTGGGTCTAGTCTGGCTTAAGAAGCAAAGCAAAATAACGCTCCACAGATTAAAATCCTCCAGTGGCTTGTCTGGAATGTAAAGTCCCAACTAGGGAAAATATAGCCCTTGATGTTCAATTCCTGGCTAATTCTCCAGCTTTACACCTAACTCTAGTCATATTCAACTTCACTTAAAAATCCATACACTATGCTCTAGTTACTTCTAATTTTTCCTAAATCCCTGCTCATGTCCAGAGCTTTTTGCAATTCTATTGCTCAGTTAATCACTCTTCATCCTTGGACTTCTATTTAAACATTTCTTTTGGAACATCTTTCTTAATTCAGTTCTCTAAATTAAAAGTAGATGACTTTCCTATGTATTCCCATATATACTATAATTCTCCATTTAGTACTTGACCCTTAGTATTGAAATCGACTTACTATTGATCTGTATTCTCCATTATATTATAAACTCTTTGAGAGCAAGTGCAATGTTGTATTCAGCTTTATTTTATTAGCACTTAGCACAGTATCAGACCTTCATAGTAAATGCTTAAGAAAATATTGACTATTGAATTAATTATTTTACCTTTACTACTGATGAAGGGAGTTGAAAAGTAGTTATTAGATAAAACAATTGTATCAGTAAATATCAACTCCTTTTACTAACCTAAAATTTGGGACATTTCACAATGTTATATAATTACAATGGTGCTCAATGAATTTATATCTTTCATCATTATTTTATCCATTTATCTATTTTTTTAGAGTCTCTTTACTCTTTTTGTCATATCTTCTTCCTCTGACGTTAGCCTCTATATAGAGCTCTGTCTGAGCAATCTGAATGAGATTTGAATAGAGGTGACAACTTGGTTTAAGTTCAGGCCTATCCAAATCATTGCTCTCAGTGGATTCACTTCTACTTCTTAAACTACATAATTTTCTCATTTAATACACTTATAATCGTTTTATAAAAATAGAGTACTTATTTGCCTCTTTGAGAATTGTAATTAGTTGTTATCTTTCTGGCATCATCTTCTAGATTGTGACTTCTACTTCACTTGATGAAAAGAGCAATGTCTGCCTGCTGACTCACTGTGATTAGTAACCCATTTTACATACAGGAAGAAACAAATAGGTTTGCTAACTATGTTATTGATTGGACAATTCATTTGGAAAAAGAAATTCTTTTCTTTTGATGTAATTTTTGCAAAAGGGAGAGAAAATGCACTTCATAAAGAAAAGACCAGTACCTGTCCTCCATAATTCTGTGTATGAGAGTCACAAAAGCAGATAGATGGGACATTCAAATCGAGTAATATGAGAAGAGGTTATTTAATGTACTGTTTATAAAAGTGCATTCATAACCACAACATAGGGCTAGTGTGGTGCCTAAAGTTAGTAATAGTAGAACACCAAGAGGGAAAGATTACCAAAATCTGTAGACAGAAAGAGAGAGAGATGTGTGGAGCGATCTTTCCTCAAAAGATCCAGCCTATTTATGGCATATCCACAGGGAGTAGGTTTACTCCTTTCCTCCAGTCTCCAGCCAGTACTCTGGAGTAATTTAATATAACTGGAATCCAGAGAGAGAACAAGAAAGGTCATGGAGGTAATTCTTACAGATTATCCTCTTGGGGTACACAGCAAGTCAGAGAAGGTTAAAGAGTAGATCTGAATGTCCAAACAGAATTCGTGAATACATCTAGTTTCCAGTTGAGCTCCACCGACTATTATTAAGTAACCTTTAAGTTCATAGGAAAATAACATAACAAGCTTAGACTGATCCTTCATTCACCCAGCTCCAAGACCTTTTGCTGAACTCAGGGACTCTGCCCTTCTGCTAGGGGTATTCTAGCAAAATTACAATTTACAAATTGACAACTTCTAAAATTGACAGCTCTTGTATATGTATTTTCAAATGCTTCTTAATGCTACTACATCATTAATTTCTAATTATTACCAAGCTTTCTACAGTTTAGAAAGATGTGTAGTCTCACAGTATATTTCCATCATCCAGAATGTTTATGTCATTGTAGTTATAACTTCTCACCCTTCTATATTGTGTCGTTCAATGTGTGGTTTCTCTGGGGAGATGGATTACATTTTCAATAGATCCTAACTAACCTCTGGTCATTAGACTGAAAGTTCCAAGAATAAAGGATTCACGTTAGGATATATTTTTGGATATTTAACCTTCTATTTCAGCAAAAGTTCAATAAGTCTTTTTAAAATAAAAATGAATATAAAACATATTTACCTTTTTTCCATTTTGGCAATTAAAATCATTTACCATAATGAAATACTTTTGAATTTTTTTAAGTGTGGCCAAAGCATTTTTCAGGTCTTTATCAAGGCCTTTGTCTCAGTATATTTTTCTTATAAAAGATAGACTAAAAATGATTTCATATAGAGTTTGAGATTTATTGGGAGGTACATTACCAAGGCAGCAAAGGTGAGAGAGGGAAGAAGGTAAATCAAATACAGGATATATATTTCGAAACTATTCAAACCTCCACAAGAAAATATAACAGTGCCTTAATCACATGAAACAGGTAAAGTTGTTCAGAGCCATGCTGCTTTGCAAAAGTTTCCTGGGGAAAGAAAGGAAAATAATTTATCTTCAGATTTCCTGACCTTGTCTCCTCTTTCTCAGTGGCCAAAAATTGACCACATGCATTAACAAAGCCTACAAAAAAAAAACCTTTCAGGTTGTGTCAACCAGACACTCCAGCAAGGTGCTCTGGAAGGCATAACCATGCTCTGACGTGTGAGGCTTTACCTAAGTCCAGAGTGGTGGAAGGAGCCAGAGCCTCTTGAGATCTGTTTATTCCTGGCCTGGGCTCCTAAGTCCTAAAGCTCCTCATTATGTTGGGGCCAAGGGAAGCAAGACATTAATCATAATCTTGAGGCTAGCAGAGACAAGTGGCAGTATTATATGATGGAACATGACTTTCCGTTGGGCAAGAGGTTTGGGGCCAGGAACTTAACTATTTAGCAATTAACTGTGAAACAAAGTGAATCTGGGGAACATCATAAATTGAGTCTCTGAGATTCACATACATACTCCCATGATACCTGGCTTTGTGGTAACAAGAGAAATAATAACAAAATGTTATAACTTCTTCTGTGAAACAGGAGGTACAAGTTCAATCTCTGAAGATGATGGAGGAATATATCTACGCTTGAATCCATCTGGAGTTACAACTTTACACCTCTCTCTTCAAAGTCCTCTTTCCCAAGACAGGCGCCCCTTTCTAGGGTCATTCATTCTAAAATCTATGTGTAATTCCAGCCTATTTGAACTGGAATAGGAGTAATCAACCAAATCAGTGTTGTTTTCAACAGTAAGCTCTAAAGATGAGATATATTTTAATAAACATGTATCTTTTTTATTATACTTTAAGTCCTGGGATATATGTGCAGAATGTGCAGGTTTGTTACATAGGTATAAATGTGCCATGGTGGATTGCTGCACCCATCAAACCATCGTCTACATTAGGTATTTCTCCTAATGCTATCCCTCCCCTAGTCTCCCATCCCTGACAGGTCCCATTGTGTGATGTTCCCCTCTCTGTGTCTATGTGTTCTCATAGTTCAACTCCCACTTGGGAGTGTGAACATGTGGTGTTTGGTTTTCTGTTCCTGTGTTAGTTTGCTGAGAATGATGGTTTCCACTTTCATCCAAGTACCTGCAAAGGACATGAACTCATCCTCTTTTATGGCTGCATAGTATTCCACGGTATATATGTGCCACATTTTCTTTATCCAGTCTATCGTTGATGGGCATTTGGGTTGGTTCCAAGTCTTTGCTATTGTGAATAGTGCTGCAATAAACATACGTGTGCATGTGTCTTTATAGCAGAATGATTTATAATCCTTTGGGTATATACCAGTAATGGTATTGCTGGGTCAAATGGTATTTCTGGTTCTAGATCCTTGAGGAATTGTATAGTATATATTCTTGTCCTGACAACAGAGTAAGATAGTAAATAAAACACATACCTGTGACAGACTTTCCAATGGAAAATATTCTTAATGGAAGACACTGACTAGAGCAGTCCTTGTTAGTTTCCCTGTAGAATTCTTCTAAAATTATAGAAACACTCAGCGCATAGGCCAATCACAATTATACTTACAGCTTGTGTTTATGAAACGCCTAAATTTCTGAATAATAATATCATTAAGGAAACAAAAAATAAATAGGATTTTGGCATTTACCTATTTCCTAATATTCCTGATTGCATATATATATTTTAAAAATTCCTTTTGTATAAACTCATCAAAATGTTTTATTATTTTGTTCTTTGTATTTTACCCATTTACTTAGTAGTTCTATTTTTAAAAGCATATGTAGCATGCCATGAGATATCACTACAAAAATAAGTACCTCATTCTTTCTCTCTCTTTTTACTGCATTCTGTCTTGAAACCAATCCAATTCAATCTAAATGGAGGTGACTCCACAGCACCACTATTACGGCTAATGCAATACTGACTAGTGTTTTCCACAATACTCTGTTGATGGTCTGACATCCTATCTGGAACTATCGTACACAGGTGATGGAAATGATCATTCTTTCCTTCTTAAAGTATTCTCTTCACTTGACTCTAGGACACAATATATCTAACAACAGCTTTTTACCTCAAGAGCAGCCTATTCAATGTCTCATTACCAGCTTCTGCTCCTCTTGCAAACTTCTCAGAGAGTGTTTCACTTCTCTCAATTCCTGTCTTCTCATGTACAGATACCTAAATAAACTCATCCAATCCGATTAAAAAATACTACTTCTGCTCTGATGATTTCTAAATTTCTATGTCTAGTCTGAATCTTTATTCTGAGCTGCATACTCATATACCCATGTGTCCAATTGTGTTCTCACATCTCCATCTCATATCTAAAAGGCATCTCACATGTTATTTGGCCAGAACAGAATACTTTTTCTCCGTGTAAATTTTTCTTCCCTCAGGTTTCCAATAAATTGAACCATTTCTTCAGGTAGTCAGGCCCCAAAACTTAGAGTCTTCCATAGCTCTTCTTTTTCTTCTAAACTCCTTACTCAATTCATAAGCCAGCACTAACGTAATAACTTTTAAAATACGCGCTGAATCACCATTTCTTGATCCGACGTTACCACTGTCCTGGTCCATGGCACCATCCTGTCTTCTTTTGACTGCAGCACTGAGCTGCAAATTTTGCCCCCATTCATGTACATTCTTTACGGAGCAGAATGGCAAATTTCCTTTTTTCTCGCCCAGCCTTTTTCCTCCTCTATATCACTCTTTATCAGAACAGAACAGAGAAATATGATTCATGCTGCCACTTGCATTTCTCCTAAGACTCTGGCAATAAGTAACTGTTGAATTTTTTTTCATATTGCTCCTATCTTCCTAAATTTTGTAAGTTACTCCTCCTTTCTAGGGCCTTTAGTTAACATAAAAGGAATTTAATTGACTAAATTTTGCATTTTAAAAGCATTACATTACTATAAGATCAACTATAAAGCAGCTTCTAACTAAAGATCTTATTAAAGGTATCCAAGTGTTTTCTTACCGAACATTTTAAGCACATAACTAAACATATTTTAAAACTAGTGTTTTGGTTACACTCTATTCACACTCCATGCAAGTTCTAGAAAATTTGCATTTTGGTCAAATATGTGTAAATCAATTCAAATTAATTCAGGAGAAAGATTTATTTAAGGAAATTGTACAGTGAGTCCTTTTTAAAGACTTTTTTTTATTAAGTGAATCATCACTCTCTAAAACATCTCATTTTAAAATTCAGATTTGCATTTATAAGGTTTACTTATCATAGGAGCCCCTCTATCTCCAAAGTTCTCTAGCTTAAAAATATTTTTGGCTTGGTTTTTCTCTTAGTAATAAAAACATTGTTTTACTATTTGATTAGTATGTATCTTAAACTGACTTCAAAACTGACACATTTCCCTGTCTTAATTCTACTGAGGGTTAATCCTCTTGGTCACATTTGAACATCCTTCCAATCACTGTTATCTGACATAATTAAACTAAAAAAGTCACCTCTTTTTATTTTTATTCATTTTTACAATTCATTATGTAATAATTTAAGCATACGTAAAAGTAAACAAAATTATTTTTACTTATAACCACTTGTTTCTGCACTTCAGCAGTGTTGACATTTTAGACCAAATAGTTATTTTGGGGAAGTGCAGTCCTGTGCATTTAGGAATATTTTAGAAAATTTAGCAGTATCCTTGGCTTCTTTTTCTAGATGTCAGTGGCATCTGACTCCCAGCCATCACAATAAAAAATATATCCAGATCTTGCCATATGTTCTCTGAAACAGAGCTTCTCAACCCCCGAGCCATGGCCTGGTACCAGTCCATGGCCTGTCAGAAACTGGGCAGCACAGCAGGAGGTGAGCAGTGGGCAAGCCAGCATAACTGCCTGAGCTCTGCCTCCTGTCAGAAACAATGATGCCATTACATTCTCACAAGATGGCAAACCCTATTGTGAACTGCACATATGAGGGATCTAGGATGCACAGTCTTTATGAGAATCTCATGCATGATGATCTGAGGTGAAACAGTTTCATCCCAAACCCATCACCTCCAACCCCATCTGTGGAAAAATTATCTTCCACAAAACTGGTGTCTGGTGCCAAAAAGATTGGGGATCGCTGCTCTGAAGGACAAAATTGATCCTGCTTAAGAACTACTGCAAAGGCCATCCACCACTCCCTTACTTTCCAGATATATGATCTAATCCATATATTCTCCAGTCATCCATCTATCTATCTATTTATCTATCTATCTAAAGACTTATAAACAATCACAACACCTTCACCACAGCTACAAATATGTAACAACAATTGCTCAATATCATTAAATAGCCAGAATCTTCTCCAAATTCCAATTCACTCATATATAACACATTTTTCTTTCTGCAGTCTATTTTTGTGTGTTACATTCTGTCTCCTCTCTTTTTCAATCTCTAGATAGATAAATGTTAAAAGATAGATAGATAGATGATAGATAGATAGATAGATAGATAGACAGATAGACAGACATGTAGGTACATACGCTTATCTCTGGAAAGATAAGTACATACTCACACGCACACAGACAAAGAATACACATATATTTGTGTGAGTGTGGGTATGAGTGGGTGCATGTGGATAGTTTGAATTAGAGTACAAAGTAAATATAATATAATTAGATTTAAGTCTTTTAAAATCTTTATGGTTTCATTATCATTCTCTTGATGTTCCTAGGGAGTTATATATTAAAGAAACTGCTTCATTTTTCCTATAGAATTTCACAAAGACTTGATTTTCTAATTGTACCCCCATAGTGTAGATGGCTCTGTTTTTCTTGGTATTTCCTGGCATTTGAATCCAAATGGAAGTCTTTGCACATCCATCTGAGGGGATTAACCCTTTATTTCCCAAGGAAACAGAAATGGCCTCCCTTGAGGCAACTGCCAATCAAAACTTACAGCTCCTCCTCAGTACCTATGTCCACCACAAATTTTTGCTTCTGGACTTATAACTAAACTCAAGACCCAGCAGACCCCTCAAGGTGAGGTGCAAGTGTGAGCCATGAGAAGGTTTGTGACACTCCAGAAGCTCTAGATTTTTCCAATTTATACAGATAGAAATCCAGGGTACCTGTATGGGAATGTAAGCGAAGGATTTAGAATAATGATGAAAGGAACATAAAGTTGAATCGTGCTGAATTTACTTATATTGGCTCACTATGCAGAGATTTTACATTTAACGACGTAGCTCAGAGAATTTAAAAAGGGCTGTAATAGTTTATTTGGTTTGTGGGCTGAAACATGGATCAAAAGATGATCTCCAATGAGTGAATTAGAAATGTCTAATCTTAGCCGGGCATGGTGGCTCACGCCTGTAATCCCAGCACTTTGGGAGGTCGAGGCGGGCTGATCACGAGGTCAGGAGATCCTGGCCAACATGGTGAAACGCTGTCTCTACTAAAAATACAAAAATTAGCTGGGCATGGTGGCATGTGCCTGTAATCCCAGCTACTCAGGAGTCTGAGGCAGGAGAATCGCTTGAATCAGGGAGTCGCAGGTTGCAGTGAGCCTAGGTCTTGCCACTGCACTCCAGCCTAGCAACAGAGTGAGACTATGGAAAAAAAAAAAAAGGAAGATGGAAAGGAAGGAAGGAAGGAAGGAAGGAAGGAAGGAAGGAAGGAAGGAAGAAAGAAAGAAAGAAAGAAAGAAAGAAAGAAAGAAAGAAAGAAAGGAAAGAAAGAAAGAAAGAAAGAAAGAAAGAAAGAAAGAAAGAAAAGAAAAAGAAAGAAAGAAAGAAGAAAGACAGAAAGAAAAGAGCGAGCCTAATCTTCCTTAGTTTAATGTAGAGGGGAAAGGATTCAAAGTTCAAAGCCTTTAGGAAACTGGAATGTTAGAGTAGATTTGTCATTTAAGATACTTGCTCACAGTGGGAAGGTCTAGAAGACATATTTATTATGAATATTTTGAGAAATAACATTATGATAGAAGCCCTGCATCCTTGAAGAGCTTCATGATCATTATTCTCTGCAGGCCAGACCTTTCAGTGAGAACTGCAGCCACTCAATTGGGAAACCTGAATGCAACAGGAGTAATTGGACCTCAGGGTGGCAGCAGCCAAAAGGCAGCATTCAACTGCCGAAGGCAATGCGGAGGTGGTTACCATTATAGACTGCAGAGTCAATGAAGCAATCAGAATGGTATGGCTCATGCAGACTAATTGATCATAGTGTTTCCAGAAGTGAAATTGATAGGAAATCTACTAAATTCTTACTTGATCCTCCATCAATGTCCAGACTTGAGTCAGATTACAGACCCAGAACCCTTTGAGTACAGGGGAGGTCAAGTTCCCTTGAGGAAAGACCCTGGTATACTACACAAAATGTATACTGTTAATCTTTCTACCAGGCTTTTCCGAAGGAATCAAAAAGGATCTATGGCCTTTTATAAGCATAACTGTATATTGGAGAAAAAGAAATAATTGGGCCTTTGGGAGACTACTTAACGTTGGCTCTGAACTGACACTGATTCTAGAATAACAAAAACATTATTGTGGCCATTCAGTCAGAATATAGGCTTATGAAGCTTTACCTCATGTTCATCACATACTGGGTAAAGTGGGTTTGAAAATCCATCATGTAGTTATTTCCCCAGTTTCATAAGTATAATTGGAATAGAAATACTTAGCAAGAGGCAGAATTCTCACATCAGTTCCCTGATCTGTGGAGTGAGGGCTATTATGGTGTGGAAGGTCAAGTAAAAGCCATTAGAACTGACTCTACCTAAGAAAATAGTAAATCAAAAGCAATATTAAATTCCTGGAGAGATTGCTGAGATTAGTGCCACCTTCAAGGACTTAAAAGATGCAGGGTGGGCAATTTCTACCATATCTTTGTTCAACTCTCTGATTTGGCCTGTGCTGAAGACAGATTAATATTGATGAATAACAGTGGATTGTTACAAGCTTGACCATGTGGTGCTTCCAAATGCAGCTGCTGTACCATAAATAGTTTCATTGCTTGAGAAAATTAACACATTGCCTGGTACCTAGTATAGAGCTATTAATCTGGCAAATGCCTTTTTCTCCATATCTATCCCCTAAAGTTCACCAGAAGCAGTTTGTGTTAAGATGGCAAGTCTAGCAATACATCTTCACTGTCCTATTTGAGGGGTACGTCAACTCTCTAGTTTTATGTCATAATTTTGTTCACAGGGATCTTGATTACCTTTTTCTTTCATAAAATATCAAACACTGGTTCATTTCATTGATGCTATTATGCTGACTGAACCTAGAGAGCAAGAAGTAACTACTGTAGACTTATTGATAAGGCACTGTATGTCAGAGGGTGGGAAATAAATCCAACTAAAATTCAGGGGTCTTCTACCTCGTGAAAGTTCTAGGCGTCCAGTGGTATGGAGCATCTTGAAATATCCCTTCTAAGCTGAATGATAACTTGTTGCAGTTGACTTCTCCCTCAACTGAAAAAGAAGCACAATGTTTACTGAGCCTCTTTGGACTTTGGATACAACATAGTTCTCATTTAGGGATGTTACCTTAGGCCATTTACAGAGTGATCTGCAAAGCTGCTAGTTTTAAGGGGAATCCAAAGGAGAAAGCTCATTGTAACAAGTCCAGCTTACTGTGCAAGCTTCTCTGCCACTTGGGTCACATGAACCAACAGATCCAATGGAATTTTAGGTGTCAGTGGCAGATAGATATGTTGTGTGGAGCTTTGGCAGGTTCCCAGAGGTGAATCCCAGTGCAAGCCTTTGGGATTTTGAAGTAAGATCCTACCACTAATTATAGATAACTACTTTCCTTTTGAGAGTCAGCTCTTGGTCTGTTACTAGGCCTTAACAGAAACTGAGCACTTGACTATGGGTTAACAAGTTACCATGCCCATCATAAACTGGGTAATATTTCACCCACCCAAGCCATAATTGGGCATAAATAGCAGTACTTCCTCCTCAGATGGAAGTGATATCTATGTGAGCAGACCTGAGCAGGCCCTGAAGGCACAAGTAAGTTACAAGAAGAAGTGGCTCAAATGTTCATGGTCCCCATTCCAGCTACACTGTCTTCTCTTTTCCAGCCCGCACTTACAGCCTCATGGAGAGTCCCCTATGATCAGTTGACAAAGGAAGAGAAGACTCAGGCCTAGTTTACAGATAGTTCTGCATAGCATGCTGCAGCCGTGGCAAATGGACAGCAGCAGCACTACAAACCCTTTCTGGGACATCCCTGAAGGACAGTGATGAAGGGAAACCCTCCCACTGGGCAGAACTTTGGGGAATGCAACTGGCTGAGTACTTTGTTTGGAAGTATATATGACCAGATTTAGAATTATAAACCAATTCATGGGCTGGAGCCAATGGTTTGATGGATAATTAGGGTCTTTGAAGGAGCACAGTTGAAAAATAGGTGACAAAAATATTTGAAGAATAAGTCTGTAGATTGACTGGTCTGAATGGGCAAAACACTAAGATAATTCTGTCTCATGTGAATGCTTAGCAAAGAATGACCTCTGCAGAAAACTTTAATAACCAAGTGGATAGGATAACCAACCCTGTGGATTCCAGGTTCTTTTCCTAGCCCCCTTTGTCATTGTTCAATGGGCTCATTAACCAAGTGGCCTTGGTGGCAAGAATGGAGGTTATGCATGGGTCCAATAACATGAACTCCCATTCACTAAGGCAGATATGGCTATGGTTCCCGTAGAGTGCCCATCTTATCATCAGCAATGACCAATACTGAGTCTCTGATATGGCTTTATTAACCTGGGTGATCAACCAGCTTCCTGGTGCAGGTTGATGACATTAGACCACGTCCATCATGGAAGAGACAGTGTTTTGTCCTTACTAGAACAGACACTTATTCTGAATTTGAATTTGCCTTCCCTAGACTCATTGCTTCTGCTAAAACTACCATCTGTGGACCCATAGAATGCTTAATCCACCATCTTGGTAGTCCACATAGCATTGCTTCTGATTCAGGAACTCAACTTTGCAGTAAAATATGTGAAGCAATGAGCTTATTCTCATGGAATTTACTGTTCCTATCATGTTTCCCACCATCCTGAAGCAGCTGACTTGACAGAATGGTGTAAGGGCCTTTGAAGATGAACTTACAGTACCAGCTAGTGGCAATACTTCTGATGGCTGGGGAAAAGTTTTCCAGTTGGTTGTATATGCTCTGAATCATCATCCAATTTATGCTGCTATTTCTTTGATAGCCAGAATTCATGGGCCCAGGATTCAAAGGGTAGAAATGAGAATGTCTTCATTCACTATTACTCCTAGTGAACCTCTCGCAAAATATTTGCTTCTTTTTCCATGAATTTATGCTCTTTTGGCCTAGAAGCCTTAATTTGAGCAGGAGGAATGTTTTCACCAGAAGAAACAATGCTGATTCCACTAATAGTGGAAGCTAAGATAGCCACACAACCACTTTGGGCTCCTCATGCCTCAGAATCAACATGCAGAGAAGGGAGTTAGAGTGTTGTCTAGGGTGATTGAAATGTACTACCAAGGGGAATTGGACGACTACTTTAAAATGGAAGTGATAAAGAGTATGTCTGGAAGGCAGAAGATCCCTTAAGATATGTCTTAGTATTGTCAGGCTCTTAATTAAGGTCATTAAAAAATTACAATGACACACTCCAGGCTGAACTACTGATAGCCAAGATCCTTTAGAAATAAAAGGTCGGATAACCTTGCCAAGTGAAGGACTACAACCAGCTGAAAGCAAAAAAGAAAATACAGAATGGGTAGTAGAAGGTGCTTATAAATGCCACATGCAACTACATAATAACTTACATAAATGATAACTGTAATTGTCATGAGAATTTCCTCCTTTTTCGTTATGAATTCATTTGTGTTTACACATATATTATATACATTAAGCAAGTATCTTTTTTCCTGTTATTTATCATGCACCATAAGATGTATTGACATTATATCAATATTTAAGTATAATATTTTTATTATATTTTTAAGTTACAGGATAATAAGTGACGAGTAAACATCATTCAAAGATATTAACTCCCTTTCTGGGGAAGGGACTAATGCGTTTTGGTTGTGCTCAAAACAGTTTGTTTTATGTTAGGTAGAATTATGACTTTGTCAGTGTCTTTATTTGGAGTTTAGGTATGGTTTAAGGAGATCTATATGGGTGCCATGATGACAAGTGATAGACTTATAATAGTTAATTTTATGTGTCAACTTGACCAGGCTAAGGGATGCCCCGAGAGCTCATAAAACATTATTTCTGGATGTGTCTCTGAAGGTGTTTCTGAAAAAGCTTAGCATTTGAATTTTCAGACTGAGTGAAGAAGATCACCCTCCCCAATGTGGATGGGCTCTATCCAATCCACTAGGAGCCCAAAGAGAATAAAAAGTTGGGAGAACAAAAGCAAATTACCTTCTGTTTGAATAAAGACATCTTCTCCTGGCTTTATATATGAGCATTCCTGGTTCTAAAACCACAGGACTTGGACTTACTTGCATCACTGCATTTTCTTGTTCTCCAGCTTTCATAGAGCATGTAGTGGAACTTCTCAGTTTACATGGCCATGTGAGCTAATCCCATATATAATATATGGAATATATATATACACACACACACACACACACATATGTATATATATTCTATTGGCTCTGTTTATCTGGAGAACTCTGACTAATACAGATGACATCACAAGGTTTTGTGTCCCTCCAATAGAAGGTACATGATGTCTGAATGTCTTTCTTTATATAATGCTAAAAGTGATTGATACTCAATGTTTGGGTACTTTAATCCATTAAAGGTTGAAAAACTGCTATTCTAATTCTATTATTCCTTCTTTCATTTATTAGCTGGGGTATTTCTCTAAATAGAATTTTCTCACAACTACTATTGGACTACTCAGGGGTGGAAAGTGTATAGAAAGAAGAGGATAAAAGCTAAATTATTTCACCTTATGGCTGCTTTTCATAATAATAACCAATTTCAGCAGAATCTTCCAATGGTGATAGGCCAGGTTTCTTTTGTTAATATTATTATCTTTATATACTCATGGATTTAAATATGCTTTATTCATTTCAACTCATTACAGTTATTAATTTTTGTTAATGCGAAGTTTTCCCTTATATTTTCAGTAGGATCTCTTCAAACTGACTCCTGAATCCTCTTGATAGGGCTCAAGAATCTTTGAAAATATTTTACTCCGTGGTATGTTCAGATGTCCAGGCTCATCTTGCATATTTCCAAATCTGAAGTCAGCCATTTCTTTAAGCACAGAAGAGCACAGTTCTCACGACAATTAAAATAATGTCTTTCCATGTCACTCACATTTCATCACATCTATATCTATATCTACTTAATTTTTCCATGCATATGATGTATGAAATTTACAAGTCGACCGGGCGCAGTGGCTCATGTCTGTAATCCCAGTACTTTGGGAGGCCAAAGCAGGCTTCTGTCTGTAATCCCAGCACTTTGGGAGGCCAAGGCAGAACTTTGGGAGTCCGAGGCAGGCAAGGTTAGGAGTTCAAGACCAGCCTGTCCGATATGGTGAAACCCCGTCTGTACTAAAAATACAAAATTTAGCCGGGTGTAGTGGCGGGCGCCTGTAGTCCCAGCTACTTGGGAGGCTGAGGCAGGAGAATTGCTTGAACCCAGGAGGCAGAGGTTGCAGTGAGCCAAGATCGCACCACTGCACTCCAGCCTGGGCGACAGAGCAAGACTATGTCCCCCCACCCCACCCCCGCAAAAAAACTTTACAAGTTAATGTTTATTGAAAAAATCTCAAAAATATGCTAATGAAAAGTAGTGAGAAAACTATTACTGGAGTATCATTAAACAGCAGAGACTTTGGAGTGCAACAGTAGTTTTGGATTCAGCTCCTCCATTGACTAACTCCTTGACCCCGTCAAGCAACTTAATCTCTTTGAGCTGATTTTCTCATCTTCAAAATGGAAATATAATGTTTACCCTTTTTTGGTGTAGCAATTATTAAACTTATCAATGTATTTTACCATGCCATGTGCTGATGTATTTTCTGGTGCATGGACACAACACATAATCTTCGCTATTATTATTATTCCTCTCCTTTTCTAATTGACTCTTTTCTGTTAGGAAAACCTATTTCTTTGCTCTCAGAACCTTATAAGTTATTTTGGCCATAGATGTCTTATTACCTGTCCACCACATGGTAATAATTTTTGTCTGCAATACAGAAACCACAGATTTCTGAGTTTACTATGGAAAATAGGAATTAGCTGTAGTAAAAAGGAATTATATCGGATTGTTCCTTTCTCTCTTGTTACTAACATAACCTATCATCTTTACCTTCCTTGACTACTACTGTGCACTGAACTGAGTTTCAATGTTTCCTTTATAATAACTTCCCAAACCCTCTTACTGGTCAGTGTGCTAAATAATTCTTCCATTTAACATATACTCCCTTGGCTTGATTTCCAGCTCCTAAAGAAATAAAGACTCAAGCTGAACTCTAGCAGCAATCTGCTTGTCTGGATTATAAACCAGATTACTTGTCAAAAGAACCTGTGAGAGGGAATAGAGTGGTTATGATTTTTGAAGCTAAGACTATTATGCCAATTTAAATAGGTGAGACCACTTGCCCTATATTCTTACTTATTCCATCAACAAGTGCACTTTAAATTTTCTTGCAAGCCTGAAAAACATTCTCCGGTTGAGTGACACCTTTAGGAAAACCAATATCTCAGTTCAAAGATTCTATTGCCAAGAGGAAAAAAACTGTTTGAAAAAATAAAATGAAACAAAATAAACCTAATGCCTGTTTTTATGGGGACTCTGCACTTGCCTTGTTTTCAGCCATGCACAAGCTAAACAGATTTAATTGCCTTTTCATATGTCAAAACCAGCCTGTCCAGAGGGACACAATAAGAGAAGCTTGTACAGGAACATTTTATGCTGTATCTGTTCCTGGAGCAATGGTGCTTATGTTTCCAAGGCTGTCAATTAAGCATATTTTTCCCCAGCACATATTCATTAAGACACAGTTGCCAAGTTCATTGCCACTGCATTTTTTATTATATACATTAGTTCTGGTTAAAGGACAATTTAGGAATGTTTTTATGGGGAATAAAGAGGGCCTCTGGCTGGATGATTTTTCTATCATTTATTACATTATAGTAGCAGAGAAAAATGGCCCTGTGTCCCTCATGATACACACCTATCTGCATTTAACTTAGTCTGATCCTTTGAATACCTTTATTGAGTGATGTTTTATCACCATATAATTTGTTCAAATACACAGTAAATATGTATGTATTGGCCTTTCATTGGAGATGTCTTACTAAATATTAGCTAGCAGGGATGGGAATATGAAGCAAATGACCAAAGGGATGTTATAATAAATATGATATAGGTATATTAAGAAATTCAAGCAAGTTGTTGTGTCTAGATGGTCATAGGTATGGAACAATGGCAGAAACTAAGAAACAGAAAAAGTAACCCCCCCATATTAGGAGAGTCAATGATGTTCTAAGGACAAAACAGATGGGGTTGAGTATACCTTTACATATAACTTGTAGTTTGTCTTCCAGTCCTGTTTCTATGCACTCTGTCCTAGTCCTAAAGGAGTTAAACAATACTGCTCTTTGATGGATTGTGTCCTGATTTGAGGGGCAGACAGTTTCCAACCTTTCAACTTGTAAAGAAGAATACACAAGAGTGAGCATGTGTCAGAAATCACAATGTGCACATGCTTACATTCAAAGAGGTATACATTTCTAAATGGTTATTTACATGATATACTCACATTTTGTCAATTACTTTAGTGTAGTAAATTGGACTCTATGTGGAGCTATCAATAAAAAGGGCAGAATAAAAGGACGCCACCAGAATGTCTTGGTTTTTGAGGCTACGTGAAACATCTCTGTAGCCCCTAGGATGTTTTTGCTCTTCCCATCTGAGTCATGACTGTTGGAGAGAAACAGACTCCAAGACTGATAAAACCATGCAGGAAGTTTATTAATGAGTGATTTTTGCATCGTTATTTATGAAAAGAAGGGAAAGAAACACAAATGGAAAGAAAAAGAAGTTAAACTGTGATGCAACAGAACCTTAAGTGACCCTGCAGTGGTCTCTGAAGATAAGGTGATGCTTCAGAGTTATATGGAGTTGGGTGGAGAGATATAGGTCTTTATAACATTAAATTAACTAGCCATTCATTTTGAACAGTGAAGGGCTAGTGAGCTTGGGTGAAGCAGCTCTCTTCAGCTGGGGCAATGCTCTACAGGGGCTGGGAGCTGCAGGGTATATTTCTGGACAGCATTCCCAGAAGATGTGAAGATTCTGGGTACTGTATTACAACTTCTACAATGGTGGAAATGGTGACAATTTTTTTTCAAAATACTGCTGTAATGATTAAATTTGATCAACCTATTTCTTGGCATAAGGCTGGGGCTCGATAAATATTAGTCAAATTTGTCCTTCTAATAAAATTCAAGTAAGAGTTTTAAAAACTTTTAAAATTTATAAAAATTTATGTGGAAGGTATTTCTGCTATAATATATTTCTTTCCCCTTGGAGCGGGAACAAACGTTTTTGAATAATAATATCATCTCATCTTATAATAACTTTATAATGCTGGTGTGATATACATTTTATTTTGCAGGACAGGAAACTGAGATTTAGATTAATTTAGAAATACTTGCACAAAGTCACAAAAATCAACTGTAAAGAACCCAAGATTTTATATGACAGTTTGTTTTCTTTTTATTGTAAAATGAGAAGATTTGCAATAAGAAGATCTGATTTGCTTTATAAACTCTTGTAATTGGGCAAACTTAACAAACGCTGGTTTTAATTTTTTTTATTTATGCATGCAACTGCATCTCCAAGCTCTGTGAGCCATGTATGTCAGGGGCACATCCCAATACAAGTGACATATAAAGAGACACTTTAAGGGCAAAGTAAAGAAACATAGGCTGTATATGTCAGTAACAAGAAAGTATGGTATATTCAGATATTTGAAGACAGTTTTCTATGCCAAGAGCATATAGTGTGAGGACATGAGAGAAGTAGGGATGGGTAGGAAAGAAAAATAACCTAACATGACATGATTACGAACTTGGACTTGGAGTCATAGACAATGATAAGCCACTGAAGAATTTTAAGCCGGAGAGTTGCATTATGTCTATTGATCTTAGAAATATCACTCTGGAAGTAAATGGGTGCTAGATAAAAGGAGAAGAAGCTGGAGGTGAAAGCCCTATTCAGAATTCCGGAATACTATTCAGAATTCCATGTCAGAATTATTAGTACTAAATTGGAAAAAAGTGAGTGATAGTATGAAGAAGGGAGGGTTTAGGTTCAAGAAATACCAAAGATATAAAATAACCATGATTTAGTAAAATCTTTCATTTATTGATTCATTTAACAAAGTGTTGCTGAGTATCTTCTTTGTGGCAATAACTTTGTGAATCCTTGGAGATTTCTCCATGGTTGAGTGGAGAAAAATATATAAAACTATTTATAATTTTTATTACTATTTGAAGAAAACAAAAAGTACATATCCATTAAACTCTTCCGTACAACTGTGTTTTCCCTTACTGTCCTCTTTGAAAAGACTCCCTGCTTTATAATCTTAATTTTTCCTCTTTCTTGGCTTTTTCGTTTACTTATATTTTATCCAGAATTAATATATGTGTATTAATTCAAGTATCAGGGTAATCCTAGCTGCTAACAGAAAGGAATCCTATAATTTATACTGCTTAATTCACTAAGAGTTTAATTCTTATTTACATAATATTCCATTGTGGGTGCTTCTGATTGACAAAAAGCCTCCTGCTTGAATTCTCCTCAGGATACTTTCACTCTTGTAGCTACATTCAATTTTAGGTTTTTGGAGTTCTATGCCTTCAGCCATAAACTGAGAAAATATTGGGAAGATTAAAAAAAAAAGGAAGTTGTTATATAACCTGATGAGAATAGCACACACTATTTCCACTTATAATACCTAATACAAATGCAAATGCAATGTAAACGGTTGTTCTACTCTATTGTTTAGGGAATAATGACAAGAAAAAAGTCTGCACGTGTTCAGTACAGATGCAACCAACTTTTATTTTTTCAAATATTTTTGATCCACACTTAGTTGACTCCTCAGGTGCAGAATCCATGGATATAGAGGGCCGAATATATTAATATTTCAAAAAGTATAAAATATATTAATAATAAAAGAAAACACATGGGGAATCTCAGTAGAGAAGTAGAAGCTATAAATAACAAACAAATGGAAACTCTACAGCTGAAATGGATAATCACTGACATAAAAAATTTACTTGATTGGTCTCAGAGTAGACCAGAGATCGCAAAAGAAAGTCAGTGAATTTAGGCCAGGCGCGGTGGCTCATTCCTGTAATCCCAGCACTCTGGGAGGCCAAGGCAGGCAGATCATCTGGGGTCAGGAGTTCAAGACAAGCCTGGCCAACATGGTGAAACCCCGTCTCTACTAAAAATACAAAAATTAGCCAGATGTGGTGGCACAGTGCTGTGTGCCTGTAGTCCCAGCTACTCAGGAAGCTGAGGCAGAAGAATCGCTTGAAGCTGGGAGGCAAAGATGGCAGTGAGCCAAGATCGTGCCACCGCACTCCAGCCTGGGCAACAAGAGTGAAACTCTGTCTCAAAAAAAAAAAAAAAAAGAGTCAGTAAATTTAAAGATAGGGCAATAAAAAAATTCAACTGAAAAAAAGAGAGAGTAAAGTTGAAAAAAAAAAAAAAACAGAAAAAGGCTTAATGTGCTGTGGGGTATTACCAAGTTATTTAAATATGTATATTAGAAGTAGCAGGAAGATACAAGAGGGAGAAGAAAGCACAAAAGTATTTGAAATACTAATGGCTGAAAACTTCCCCACATTGGTAAAAGGAAATAAATATCCAAGAAGCTCAATATATCCAAAAGAAAACTTACTCAGAAAAATTCAAGATAAACTCGTAGTTCTTTTTGATTTTATATTGTATATCAATATATACAACCAGAGCAACATGTTCAAAATTTTCTTGAATCAATTATTTTCAGTTTAGTTATGCTCATTTAATGTAGTTATATTTTTGTTTGCCTTTTAACTTTAAAGTTTATGTTTATAATCTTCTTTATTGAATGTTATTTTAAATATATGAAATATTACCATGTTACAAAAATTAAACAAACCCCTTTTCTGTACCAACCCCCTCTTACCATAATATCAGTTTAAATAGTAACCCAGTCTCTGTGCACCTCACAATACATGAATTTCGAACAAAGTCAAGTTGTGCACTTACTCAAAGAACAGGCTTGCAATGCAACATTTATTTATATATTTATTTATTTGTGATGGAGTCTTGCTCTGCCACCCTGGCTGGAGTTCAGTGGTGTGATCTTGGCTCACGGCAACCTCCACCTCCCGGGTTCAAGCAATACTCCTGCCTCAGCCTCCCAAGTTGCTGGGATTACAGGCACCCGCCACTATGCCTGGCTAATTTTTTTGTATTTTTAGTAGAGACGGGTTTCACCACGTTGGCCAGGCTGGTTTTAAACTCCTGATTTTAAGAGATCTGCCCACCTTGGCTTCCCAAAGTGCTAGGATTACAGGCGTGAGCCACCACTCCCTGACAAAATTCAACTTTTAAACTAATATCTGTATGATATCTGTATCAAGAATACATTAAAAGAATAATAAAGAACTATCATGAACAACTCTTTGCCTGTAAACTTGATAACCCAGGTGAAATGAACTAGTTCCTTGAAAGACACCCTCTACTCAAACTCATACCAGGAGAAACTGACAATTTAAACAGGTCTATATCCATTGGATCAATAGTTAATAACTTTCCCAAAATGAAAGCACTAGGCTTAGATGGGTTCACTGGTAAATTCTACCAAACATTTAAGAAAGAAATATACAATTCTCTACAATATCTCCCAGGAAATATAGGTTGGAGAAATACTTCCTAACTCATTATATGTGGCCAGCATTATCTTAATACCCAAATCAAATAAATATATTTCAAGAAAGAAAAACTACAGACCAATATCTCTCATGAACATATGTATAACAATTGTCAACAAAATATTAGCAAATCAACCCCAATAGTTTGTAAAGATAATTACACACCACAATCAAGTGGGATTTATTTCAGGTATGCAAGACTGGATGAACATTCAAAAATCAATTAATGTAATCCATTACATCGATAAACTAAAAAAGAAAAATCATATGATCATATCAACAGATGCAGAAAAGCATTTGAGAAAATTCATCAGCCATCCACGGTAGGAACTCAGCAAAATAAAAATAGAGGGGAACTTCAACTTGATAAAGAACATCTACCAAAAATCCTACAGCTAACATCACATATAATGGTGATAAATTAGATACTCTCTCACTAAGATCAGAAACAAGGCAAAGACTGTTATTCTCACTACTTGTATTCAACATTGTACTGGAATTTCTAGCTAGTGCCATCAGGCAGGAAAATAAAATAAAGCATGCAGATTATAAAGAAAGAAAGCTATCTTTGTTCATAGTTTTAAATTATATGCTATATAATATCATTATAAATAATATAAAATAACAAGAGACAATCTATGTCATTTTGGGTTTTGTGATTACTTTAGATGTACCACCACAATTAAAATCTATGAAAAAAAGATAGATTAAACATCATTAAAGTTAGAAACTTCTCTGTAATAGTCACTGTTAGGAGAATGAAAACACAAACCATGAGCTGTGAGAAAATATTTGCAAAACACATATCTGACATTTAAAAAACCCTGGTATTCAAAATCTGCAAAGAATGTTTAATGCTAAATAATAAGAAGGCAAACAACCCCATTAATAAATTGGCAATACATCTCAACAGACACCTCACCAAAGGAAATCAACCAATGAGAAATACACATATGAAAAAATAATCAACATTGAATGTCATTAGGGAATTTCAAATTAAACAACAATGAAATATCACTATATACCTACTAGAATGGCCAAAATCAAAATCACTGACAATAACAAATATTATGGAGAGTGTGAAGCAACAAGAATTCTTATTCACTACTGGTAGGAATGCAGAATGGTACAGCCACTTTGAAAGATAGTTTCATAGTTCCTTACAAAACTAAATATACCCTTACTATATGATATCATTTGGTTCTGTGTCCCCACCGAAATTTCATGTCGAATTGTAATCCCCACGTGTCAGGGGAGGGACTTGGTGGGAGATGATTGAATCATGGAGGCGGATTTCTCCTATGCTGTTTTCATAATAGTGAGTTCTCATGAGATATAATGGTTTAAAAGTGCAGCATTCCCCCCTCACCTTCTCTTCTGGAGCCTTATGAAGAAGGTGTTTGCTTCTCCTTTGCCTTCTGCCATGATTATAAGTTTCCTGAGGCCTCCCCAAGCATGCAGAACTGTGAGTCAATTAAACCTCTTTTTCTTATAAATACCTAGTCTCAGGTAGTTCTTTACAACAGTGTGAAAACAGACTAATACACCATATAGTCCAGCAATTATGCTTCTTGACATTTACTCAACTGAGTTGGAAAACTTATAGCCATACAAAAACCTGTATATAAATGTTTATGGAAACTTTATTAATAATTACCAAAATGAAAGTAATTAATGCATTCTCTAACAGGTGAATGGATAAACAAATTGTAATACATTTGTATGATATATGATACATTCAGATATTAAAAGAAATCAGCTATTAATGTAAAAAAGACCTGGACAAACCTTAAAAGCATATCTCTAGGTGAAAGAAATCAATCTACAAAGTCAACATACTGTATGAATCAAATTATATGACATTCTGGAAGAGGCAAAACTAATGAGGCAATACAAAAATTAGTGGTATCCAAGTGTTCAGTGTAGCAGTAATGGAGTGGGGAGAAAAGATTTGGTGAGAAACAAGAGGTTGTTGGGGCAGTAAAACTACTCTGCATGATATTGTAATGGTGCATACATGCCGTACATTTGTCAAAATTTATGAAATATACAATATGGAGTTAACTGTAATATAGACTATGGATTTAGTTAGTAATGATGTATCAATATTTGCTTATTAGTTGCAGCACATATACCACACAAATTGTAAGATGTTAATAATAGGAGAAAGCAGGTGGGGGGTGAGGGACTATATGGGAACTCTCTGTATTTTCTGCTCAATTTTTCTACAAACCCAAAACTACTCAAAAATAAACTATATTAATTTGTTTAAAAAGAGGCTTTCTGATTTTTAAGCATCTCAGGCTTGTGGGTTTCTGTGATGAGTTTTCTAAATTATAAAATTCTGGTGTTCTTTAGTAGAACTAAATAAATGCACTATTTTGCTCATGTTAACTATGGTTTTTGTTTCTTTGTTCTTTAATTCTGAGATCAATATTAGGAGACTGAGCCCTCAGAGAGTTCTATTCTGTCCAAGCAGGGATTCATATTAGTGAATAGAATACTGTGACTCTTTTAATTAGCCTGTTGCTTTATTCTATGAAAAAAGTATTACTTTACTTCCAGGGTTTGATGATGGCCATATTTATTCCCTGATGCTCTGAAAACAGAATCTTATAAGATGTCTGCTACAAGTGTGTGAATAGGAACAGCCCAGAGTACAAACACAGTTTGCACTTACCTATTGGCTATTATAAGGCTGACTGTACACACGTGCCAAGATTTCTTAGGGCAGGCAGAGAGAGAATGTCAGTCACTCAGAAATTATTACAGGATATTTTGGGGCTTTGATTTTTTTTTTCTACTGGGATTTTGCTAACTTGCCTTTTATCCTATTTGGCTAAATGCTTTGTTCTGTTGATTCACTCGTACTATCAATATGAACATGATTGTTGCTTTCTAAAGATACCTGAAAAGTAAAGGCAAAGAGATCACAATGTATAGAAAAATAGATGTATCCCCAGGGTCATAGCCTGCTGGAAACTGATGTGTTCCTTTTGAAGAGATTAAGTATAAATTTTCCTTAGTCAGAGGTCTGGAAGAAAAATTGGGGAATAAATAGCACCTTTTCTGATTAAGAATAGGATACCTAACACAAAAAGAGTATAACTTTATCCATGTAGTGGGATGTAATTATTGAAATAATAGCAATGATAATAATGTT
Organism: Homo sapiens; assembly: GCF_000001405.40. NCBI lineage: Eukaryota > Metazoa > Chordata > Mammalia > Primates > Hominidae > Homo > Homo sapiens. Next base: position 73,735,452 of record NC_000001.11, read on the forward strand.
ATAATTTATAGAACATGTATTTTATAACAAATAATTGATTTGCCTACCTTGTATCATTTTAACATTTGCCATGTACTTTTGAATATAACGTTCCATAATTTTACACATTATATAATTGAGTCTTTATATATTTATGTAACTTGTCTATAGTCACAAACTAATAAGGGATAAAGCCAGGATTCAAATTCAAGTTTACCTATTGTGAGGTCAAAGGTGGCAAAATTAATGGTACTTTAGCTAAATCAAGAATGTAAACAGTCCAATAACTTCCTATAAAGAAGTTTATTAACGGCCCATCTGTATTTGCAGGTATACTTCAGATGACAGCATGTGATGTGATGGAAATCTCTACTATTCCCAGGAAAAATGTCCTGTCAAAGTTATCAGATCCATTGCCTAACAAACTTCTATCCTAGCCAATTGACCAACTGAAAGATTTCTGTTGTAAAACATATTCTCCCTTAGATTTTATGGGTTGATTTTCTTTTCTTTTTTTATGTTTCTTCAAAACACACACAAAAATCATTTCTTGCCACCAAACAAAATAGGATTTAATTTGATTGATCGGAACAGGATACAATTAAAGTGAGGATATCCAATGACAATTATAGTCAGGTTGTTTGAACAGATTTCCTGGTATCTCTAAGAATCCCTTAATGATTCACAATTACAAATTTATGTTAAATCCAGGTTTCTCATTCTCTGGACTAACAGGTAAGAAACGAGACATCAGTACTTTGCTGGTTTGAAGATATGAGGAGTTTAGTACTCTGATTATAGTACTCTACAATAAGTTTGCCTAGTTCTTGAAAACATTGAGCTGTCACTGCAAACGAGAATTTTTCCTTTCCCCTGTAGTTTGAACATATGATGCAATCAGTCTTCTAATTTTTGACAGAAGAGGAAAAGGAAGTGATGTCAGCTATTGACTGGATTTCATAGTTGTAAAGATTAGACTAGGACTGGTTCCTGACTAAAAAAATATAGCAAAGATTTCTAGTTTAAGATGATGGATTAAGCACATATGGTTATCAGATATTCCACTTAAGACTTCAGTGAAATAATGGTAAGGGAAAAAATAATAACAACAAAGAAAAAGGAGAGTGGTAATGTTTCAAACAATTATTATAAAATAGAATACAAATAATTTCTGACTTAAGAAGCTGAGGGAAAACACTTTATCCAAGGATACGTAAGAAGGGAGCTGCAGCCAAGAAATAAATCTATTGCCTTCAGTACTGTAAAGAGGTTCAGACACAAGACACCTCAAGTATTTCAGAGCCAGAGAAAGAGAACTGGAATTGGGAGGATTCAGGGCAGTACAGGTGAAAAGGCACTTTCCCAAACGTCATCAACTTGTGACTACATAATACAACAAGGAGGCATTTACTCCTCAGCAAAAGCAATATAAGGTTTTTTAAATTTTTATTTTATTTTTTATTTACATATATTTATTTATTTACTTATTTATTTTCTTAAAGAAACACTGTCTAGAAACTCTGGGAAGAACAAGCACTAGCACACCAGAGCAAAGCCCAGCAGATGCTGGCTCCTCAGGGCCACAGGGCACATTTTCCAGTGCCCTGCCTACCAACAACAAGGTCAAGCCTTCAGGTCTACAACTCTTTCACTGATATATGGAATAATAAAGGTGTTCAACTGACTCATTTTAAGGTATAGAAGTTTACCCAGGCATTAGAAGAAAGTCTAAAACATAAATACCTTTATTCAGAAGTAATAATTAAATCCTAATCATGTGCCAGGCACTATTCTAGGCACTAGAAAAAAAAACCAGCAGTGAACAGAAAACAGATGAAAATCTCTGATCTCATGAAGTTTGGTGGGAGATAAAATACATATATACATATATATAGACAATTTACAAAATAGCAGAATTTCATAAGCATTCTGGAGGAGAGTAAAAAACAAAAGAAGACAGTGAAGAATGAGGAATGTGGCAATTTTAAGTGGTGTTGTCATGGGAGTCCTCACTGAGAAGTGGTATCTGTGCAAAGACCTGAAGGAGACATAAAAGCCAATCTCAGTAGATATTAAAAAACAAAAACAAAAATATGGAAGTAAGAGTAGTAAAGTAAAAAGCCCGAGGTCAGATCATACTTTAACATTTAGTAAAAGCATGGACGGTTGTGTGTCTTGGATGCAATTGCATGTGCAGGCAAGTATTAGATGAGGTGCAAACGAATAGAGTGAGGCTAGACTTCAATAGGCCATGTAAGTCATTGTGAAGACTTTGGCTTTTTCACATTCAATAAAGTACACAAACTTTAAGTATACAGCTCAATGAATATTGACAAATGAATAGTCCTGTGTAACCGTGAGCCAGATCAAGTTTAAGAACTTGCCTCTCATCCCAGAAAGTTTCTTGTGCCTCTTTTGACTCAATTCCCCCCAGCCAGGCAACCAATACTATAATTTCTATCACCACAGATTAGTTATTTATGTTCTTGAACATTCTGTACATGTGTTCATAGAGTATATACTTTCTGCTGTCTAGCTTCTTTAGCTTTACGTAGAATGTGAGGGATAGGTATGATTACATTAGTCGCTCATTTTCTTTTATTGCCGATAGTATTCCATTGTATAAATGTACAGAGTTTGCTCATCTTTTGTACTGTTGATAAACATTTGGGGGCTACCAACGTTCTTGTTCACAAGTCTTTAACTGAATGTCTTTCTCGTGGGTAAACACTTAGGAGTAGGAATACTAGGACCTAGAGTGTTAACTATATTGGAAATTATTCAAAGGGTTTAGCATTTTGCAGTCCTGCCAACAATGTATGAAGGTTCCAGTTGCTCTGCCTCCTCCTCATTATGCCATATTGTCATTCTTCTCATTTTTATCCATTTTCCTGAGAATTAATGATGCTGAGCATCTCTCTATGGTTAGCACCCTATGGTTAGCATATCTTGATTGTGAAGTGTACTTTTCATGATAGTTTTCTCTCATGTTTAATTAGAGTGTCTGATTTTATTTATTGATTTGTGTAGATTGTTTTTATTCTGATATTAGTCCCTTTTTGGATATATGTATTGCAAGTAATTTTCTCCCAATCTGTAGCATGTGCTTTCACTTTCTTAATAGGCTCTTTGGGTTTGTTTTGATGTTGATGAGAGTTTTATTATGGATAGGTTTTGTTTGTCAAATTTTGTTTCTCTACTTATTAAAATAAATATTTGCTTATGACCTAATTTTGGAGATTTTTATTTCTCTTTGATTACATTGTGGTGAGAAAGTATATCCTGTGTGGTTTCAATATTGTGAAATATATTGAGATTGAGATTTATGCTTTTGGCATATATATTTTCAAGTGCAATTAAAACAATATGAATTCTGACATTAAATGTAGTATTCTATAAATGCAAATTGTTCCAAATATGTTAATAGTATTGTTCAAATCTTCTTAAGATCAGTAATAAGGCAAGGACTTCCAATCTTAAGATATCTACTCAACGTTATACTGGAAGATCTAACCAGATTAATAAAGCATTAAAAATAAATAAAAATTATATAGATGGCAAAATAAGAAAAACCATCACTCACATCAAAAAACATGATCTTGTGCATAAAAACTATGAATCTACAAAACAAAATTGTTGAAACAAAGTAAATGTAGTTATTTACTAGTATATAAGTTCAATATACAAACATAGACAGTATTTGTATATATTAGCAATAAATAATTTGAAAATTAAACAATGTCATTTAAAGTGACATCAACAATAAAATACTTAGTCATACATTTTAAAAATGTGTACAAAATCTGTACAATAAAAACAACAAAATATTAATGAGAGTAACTCAAGAAAATCTTATAAATGAAGAAGTAGGTCAAGTTCATGATTTGGAAGACTCAATATTTTTAATACCTGACTTTTTTTCTAAACAGATACATAGATCTAATGCAATTTCAATCAAGATCTCTGCAGAATTTTTGTTAAAATTGATTAATTTATTCTACAATTTATATGGTAATATAAACATAATAGAATAGCAGAATCAATCTTTAAAGTAAGAAAGAAAAGGATAAAAAGCACTATGTAATTTCACAATTTAAGTCCATAGTAATTAAGGCAGTGAAGTGTTGGCATAAAGATATACATAGATCAGTGGAAAAGGCTAGAATCTAGAAATAAATGTACAAATTTATGGTCAATTAACTTTCCAAATTAATTTACCAATTTATGGTCAATTAATTCAAATCATACAGGAAAAACCACCCTTACATTAGGAAACAAATTAAATCTTTATTGTAATCTCACACCTTAAAAAAAAAAACACAAAACAAAACTCAGAGTGGATTATATACCTAAGCATAAACAACAAAACTATAAAACTTTTAGTGGTAACGTGGGAAAAAATCCCTAGAGTCTTGTGCTAGGCAAAACCCATTTTGGTAAGTCACCAAAATTAATACAAGAAAAAAATGATAAATTGGACCTCATCAAAATGCAAAACTTCTGAACTTCCAAGGACACTTCTAAAAATTAAAAATCAAGTCACACGCTGGGAGAAAATATTCACAGCATAACAAAGGATTTGTAAATAGAATATATAAAGAATTTTCATTAAGAGGATAACAATTTAAAAATAAGCTAGGACTGTCATGGTGGCTCAATCCCATAATAAGAGCACTTTGGGAGGCTGACGTGGGCAGGTTGCTTGAGTCCAGGAGTTTGAGACCAGCCTAGGCAACATGAGAGAACCCTGTGTGTGCAATAAAATATTAAAAATTAGCAGGGCATGGTGGCATGTGCCTATGGTCCCAGTTACTGGAGAGGGTGAAGTGGGAGAATCACCTGAGTATGGTATTTCAAGGCTGCAGTGAGCCATCATTGCATCAGTGCATTCCAGCTGGGGCAACAGCATGAGAATGTATCTCAGAAAAAAATCAGAATTAAATAAAAACAGGGTATTAATATGAACGAATGCTTAGTAAAAAATACATATAACCAATGAGGATATGAATAAATGCTTAACACCTCTAGTATTCACGGAAATGCAAATTAAATTAACAATAAGATAGCAATACACACCCACTAAATAAGGAAAACTTAAACAACTAGAAATACAAAGTGTTGACAAGCATATGGAGCAACTAGAATGCTCAATATTTAGTGGTGGAAACATAAAATGGTATAAGCACTTTGGAAAATTTTTTGGCAATTTATTATACATTTAAGCATTTAATAATTAAATAGCCCAGAAATTCATTTACTTGACAGACACAATAATATATGTTCACAAAAAAATTTCTAAGTCAATGTTCATGAAAGCCCCAAATTGGAAACAATAAAGATGCTTCTCAACAAGCGAACAGATAACCTAATTATGGTTTATATATACAATTGAACACCACTCCACAATAAAAACAAGGAACAGACTGCTGCTACATTCAACAACATGGATGAATCTCAAAAACATATTAGACAAAAGAAACGCTATGTAATCTACATATTCCAAATATGTAAACAAAGTCATCGAAGTTTTAGTTGCCTTTATAATAAGGAATGATTATCTTAAAAGGAAGTATGTTCCTATTATAAAATAATAGATGGAAGTAAATTCCTCAAAAAAGGTGCCAAACACTAAAATTTAATATATAATGGGGAGCTCATTTTACACCTACTTTCTAATGAATTGAAGAGTAAATAGATTTTAGAAAAATTTATTCATTTCATTATAATCAACAAATATTTTCTGCATTCCAACTACAGCCCATGCACTAGTTTTATAGCAGATTTCAAAAAACAAAACAAAAAACCTATTCTCATGTAACTTACAAGCTAATGGTGGGGTTAAGAATGAGAAATAAGGAAAACCAAAATAAACTAGTAAAATATGTAGTACTTTAAATAATGATATGAGTACTTTGGAGAAAAATAAAACAGGAAAGGAGGAAATGAATATCTTGGGGTTTATCATTTTAAATAGAGTAGTACTGGGGACCTCACTAAGAAGGTAACATTTGAATAATTAGAATAAATGAGTGAAAGTGCCAAGTGGCCATTTGGAGACAGGGCAGTCCAAGCAGAAATGTCTTCCAAGAGTTTAAAGCATCGTTATAGAAAAGTATATCTCTACATTTCTAACTCAATCATTTTCAGAAGCTATTTAAAATATGCAGAAAATAATTTAAAGGATTTGGGAGATGATAATCAAGGGGTACAAAATCTCAGAGAAAAGGAATATGTTTGTTTTCGGATCCATTGCACAGCATGGTGAATATAGTTAATAATAGACAATTGTACATTTCAAAATTGCTAAGAGAATAAATTTCCCATGTTCTCAGAACAAAATTTTTAAATATTTAAGGTGATAGATATCTTCCTTAGCTTGATTTAATTACTTACAATGTATTCATAAACATGACACTACTTTGTACCCCATAACTTTATACAATTACATATTGTCAATTTACCAAAAAAAAGAACTTAAAGGATCTGATTTTTAGGCTGTTCTTTCCTTCTTATCAGAGGAACATCCCTGAGACAAAGAAAAGAAGGCAGATGCTCTAATTTATCTTCTTGTTAACATAATTATTAGACCTCCGAGTATATAGAATAGCTATATTTAGTAGTAGGGGGGTTTACTTGGAGGTATATCTGAGAAACGTTCCTAACATAACATGCCTGGTTGGCAATTGCTTATAGAAACAGTTTCGTGATAAACTAAAAGTTTGGACCTGTGTCCTTGCCCAAATCTCATGTTTAATTGTAATCCCCAAATATGGAACAGGGGCCTGGTGGGAGGTAATTGAATCATGGGGACGGACATCCCCCTTGCTGATCTCCTGAGAGTGAGTGAGTTCTCACAAGATCTGGTTGTTCAAAAGTATGTAGCACCTCCCCCTTCACTGTCTTCCTCCTTCTTGGGCTATGTAAGACATGCCTGCTTATCCTTCCCCTTCTGCCATGACTGTACATTTCCTGAGGTCTCCCAACCATGCTTCCTATACAGCTTGTGGAAGTGGGAGCCAATTAAATCTCTTTTCTCTATAAATTACCCAGTCTCCATTATTTTTGTATAACAATGCAAGGATGGACGAATACACTTAGAATTTATGCATTATAAGATGTGGATCTCCGGAAAATGTCATCACTTCTCTGTTATAAAAAGACTGAACACTTCTTGCTATGTGAGGTAATAAAATTAGTACCTCACTTGGAGGCCTTATCTACTCTGAGACAACAGGGTGCCTCCATGCAGAAAAGAAATATTCAGAATAGCCCTCAATCTCCAAAAACATTCCATGCTTCTTCTAGCCTCTTGATTTCTTGTATCCTTGAAATTACTCTTAGAATTTGATACTGCCAAGCACAGTGGCTCAAGCCTGTAATTCCAACAATTTGGGAGGGTGAGACAGGAGGAATGCTTGACAGGAGAGGTTCAAGATCAGCCTGGGCAACATAGTAAGACCATGTATAAAATAAAGTTTAAAAGTAAAAATAAATTTATATGTAATACCTAATAATATTTTTGCTAGATAAAAATCTTTGAAACTCTTCACGGAGTAAAAACCTTACTAAGTGTGAATCTTGAGAATTTGACTTCAGAATCCAATCATTTCGATAAGTTAAAGATGATATACAGTGTGATATATGTTCATAGTTGCCAAGATAACTCAATGTTAAACCATATATTCCTGAAGTGTTGATTGTACTGAATAGTAAATCTGTATAATAGACATTCATCATTTATGTCTAGCCAACATCTCTTCTCCTTTTTCAGTAGCAACATTCTGCTTTCTCACTGGAGAACTCTGTTTTACTATTTCTGTGGTTCTACTGGGATTGTCAAATTTTATTCATCTATTCCAATTACCTTCACTTTTTCAAGGACAGGCACACAAATCAAGATACTCTATTCAAATTCTCTTTTTAGGGATTTATTTATTAAGCAAAGTAACATAGGGAGAAAAAACACTTTACGGCCACTGGCAGTGTTCTGAAGGCATTGTTCATTTATTCCTCTTCTTTGGTTTCCTTAAATTGACTTGATTCCAGTAGTGACCACAGTGAAAATAATTTGTACCCTCGACTTAAAATGGATGTTTTGTATGTATTTTAGATCTCAGATTTATGAGAGGAAATGTGTAATAACAAATAGAAAAGTTTTGTTAGATGAAATTTATTATTCATCCATAATCACCTACATAGTGGTGCATTGCTACACAGAGTATGTGTTTTAGTCAATTTTCATACTGCTATTAAGAAATACCTAAGACAGTGTAATTTACAAAGAAAATAGGTTTAATGCATTCACAGTTTCACATGGCTAGGGAGGCCTCACAATCATGGACCAAGGAGAAAGAGGAGCAAAGGCACATCTTACATGGCAGCAGGCAAGGCAGCATGTGCAGAGGAACTGCCTTTTATAAAATCATAAGACTTCAAGAAACTTATTCACTATCATGAGAACAGCATGGGAAAAACTCACTCCTATGATTCAATTACATTCCTCTGTTCCCTCCTATGACACAGGGGATTGTGGGAGCTAAAATTCAAGATGAGATTTGGGTGGAGACACAGCCAAAACATATCAGTATGTCATAGTATTATGATACAAGTTAGTTCAAGTATTAATGAATCTAAAACTTCAGTTTGATTACTGGAGAGTTTATTAAAATTCAGAATTATGCAACCCATCTCATTCAGTTGATCTGCCTTTTTAACAAATACCCTAATATTTCCCAAGGAATGGGAACAATGCAAGCAAATTGAACTGGATAGGTCTCACAATTTTAGTGTTACTAACAGAGTACATATCAACTTTCAAATAGCCTATAAATAAGTTCCCTACTATCTCTGAGAATGTGGGATATGTTGGGTTGGGTGGGAAGTGCTTAAGAGATTCCATGTAAAGAGCAGAGAGGAATGGATTAAACAAAAGACATATTAAGATTTCCCCATAAGATTAATTGAAATAAATCCCAAAGTACTAAACACAGATGAAATTTCCTTTTAGAAAAAGGACTTGAAAGTGTATAGAACAAGAAGTGGCAGCTCAAGAAATGTTAATTTTGAAAGAGAGGAATATATATGGAAGAAAAAGGTATGGAAATAAATGGAACAAAGAAACTAAGAGACAAAAAAAGAGTGAAACAAGAATCATTAATACTTCACTTCAACCACCTCCCAAGCACCGTCACTATCTGTAATAGAAACTGCTGAGTGGGGCTCTCAAACTAAGAATTCATTATGGGAAATTAATTGGAAAAGGGAAAGTAGACCACATCCATACAAAAGTAATACAAAAAAATTAGAAAATACATGGAAAAACTTTCCTATTAACAAAGTCTCATTACCCCAAAAAACACAAAATTGAAGAAAACTGAAAAACAATACCCCAACTGAATTAAATATCCTCAAACAAGCCTTTAGGTATGTGAAGAAATACTTTGAATCTGAAAATCAAAAGCAAAGAACAACAACAACAACAACAACAACAACAAAAACAACAGAAAAAGCTGGAAGGAATAAAACAAGAATTAAATTTAGCAAATAAATAGAAAAGAAAGATAACATATTGATCATACTCTCAGTATGAGATATATTAAGTAAATAACTAGAAACACAAACTAAATTATAAGCCACCATAGGGAGAAAAGATTAAACAAAAATTTAATTAAGGCCAAAATAGAAAAGAACAAAAACCAAAAGGATTATAATGAGGAAATAAAAAGCATTAGAAAGAAAATAGCTGAAATGGAAGGCCAGCAAAGAAGGTAAATCATATGTATAATTGATATCCCTAAAGAACAAAATCAAAACAACATAACAGAGGTAATAATTAAAACTTTTAAAGAAAACTTCCAAGAATAAGATCTGAATTTATACATTGAAAGATCCCACTAGTTCAACTGGGTATTGACAAATGTTGACCCAGAATAATAATCTCTAATATATATTGCAGTAAAATGACTAGAATTTAAAGATTTAAAAAAATTCAACAAGCAAGAGATGAAACTTTCAAAGCAACATAATTATACTGGCATTAGATTTCTCACAAGCAATGTACAAGGCAACAATGGAAATGTAATTTCAAGAACCTTAAGCAAATCAGTACAAACCACCTAGGCTGTTAGCAAGTGCAAAGGCAATAGGAAAAACAGTGTTAAGAGGAGCCAGAACTCAGTGAATACTGTAGACATGTGTCCTTCCTGAAGAATATTAAAGCAGAGATTAGCACACTATTCTATGACACGTTTGATAGTAAATATTTAAGGCTTTGGGGATCATTTGGTCTCTATCAAAACCACTCAACTATGGTATTGCAGTACAAAAGCAGACACAGATAGTACATACATATTACATAATGAAATCATTAATGCATTACAATAAAACTTTTTAATTATAAAAACAAGAAGCAAGCTTAATTTGACCTGTTAGCCTTAGTTTGTCAACCTATACTAAAGGATAAGCTTTATCCAACAAAACAGTGACTGGAAAAGCTTTCTTAAAGTTACTAATAATGAATACTTTTCTTATTTAAAACATTTATTTAGACGGTTAAGACTAAAACAATGTTAGTGTCATTAATAAATACATATGTAAACACAACATGTTTTGAAAAAGGTAGAAATGATTCAGAATTATTTAAAAAGAGAAGAAAAAGGGAGAAGTAGGATAAGATCATAGTTTTTTAATAGGAACTAGGTTGGAGTCAAAAGAATGCCATTTATAACTGGCATATCAAATGGTTAAGGTTACAGTTAGGTTAGATAGAGGGAATTAAGGGTACTAAAGGTAGTATTCACACAAAAGTAACTACTAGCATATTTTTAAAAACCTTCCTAAATAGTAGAAATACATTTAAAAACAAAATAGGCATATAAAATACAGAAATAAACTCAAATATAAATCACACAGAATATATACAAATAAGATAATATGATAGAATTGAGACCAAATATAATTGCAATTTGCTGAGTAAAGCAAAACCTATTTTATAATCTATACAAATGACCTAATAGTGAGGGACAAAGATTTGCCAGGTGAATGGGAAGAACAAAAAAGTAAGGGCTGAAATCCTGACACATAACAAAGCAAAATCTAATCAAAAGCATTAAATGAACCAAAGAACACTCTGAAGTTAAAAGCCATGTCCCACTGTATTAGCTTGTTTTTTCATGGCTACAAAGAAGTACCAGAGACTGGGTAATTTACAAAGAAAATAAGTTTAATAGGTTCATGGTTCTGCAGGCTTTAAGGGAAACATGGCACCTTCATCTGCTCAGCTTCTGGGGAGGTCTCAGGGAGCTTTTACTCATGGCGAAAGGTTAAGAGAGACCAGACATCCCACATGGTAGAGGAAGAGAAAGAGAGAGAGAGTGGGTGGGGCGGGGTAAGGTGCCACACACTTTTAAATGACCAGATCTCCTGGAAGCTCAGAAAGAGAGCTCACTTATCATCAAGGGGATGGCCTAAGTCATTCATGAGGAATCCATCCCCATGATTCAAACACCTCCCACTGGGCCTCAGCTCCAACATTGGGAATTACATTTCAACGTGATATTTGAATGGGGACGAATGTCTAAACTATATCACCCACAGTAAAAATATGAATATATATGCACCAAATGACACAATAATGATTTACATAAAACAAAAGTTTAAAAATGGTAAAGAGAAATAGAAAGAAACAGAATAACAATAGTAGCCTTTAATACACCACACTCAATATGTGATATATCAAGTGGACAAAAAATAAGTAGGTAGATCCAAACATATATTACATTCAGATAGTAAAGAATACATCTCCTCAAGTTTATATGGAGCATCCACAAAAAATGACCATCTATAAAATAAAAATATTATAACCATTCTGTGTGACTGCCATTCATAAAACTGAAAATTAAGAATTCCTATTCCTATTCTTTGTCCCCACACAAAAAAATCCCTTCCAACTGGAAACTTAGAATATATTCTATTAAACAACTCTGGTGAAAGGAGAAATGCAGACAGAAATTATAGAGTATCTGAAAATAATAACAAATAAAATACTACATGTTAGAATTTAACAAGTGCATTCAACAATAATTGGACATTTTCTAGCTCTAAACATCTATATCAATATAAAGTAAATAATTATACATAAATGCTTATATTTCTAAGTCAAAGTGCTTGACAATAAAGACTACTGTAAACCCAAAGTAAGTACATGGAATAATATAATAAAGATAAAAATATAAAATAAGATAAAGTAAAAATAATAGATTAAATTAATAAATCAAAATCCTGTACCTTAACAATTTCAACAAAATAGACAAACAGTTGTTTTAAAAGAAAAACTGAGATAAAAGCATACAAAATAAGAAATTACTTTGGTTATTATAAAGATATTGTAAAAAATTTTTTTTAATTACACAGGGAAATAACCAGTGATATAAAACAATTTAAGAATGAAGGTTAATTTGCCTATCTCAATGCAAACAATCATTGTTATACTATTACTTAGATTGTAAAGGTATGTTTACATACTTTGTACACTTTTATTTTATTTTATTTCATTTTATTTTATTTTATTTTATTTTATTTTATTTATTTTGTTTTAAAGACAGAGTCTTGCTCCCAGGCTGGAGTGCAGTGGCACGATCTTGGCTCACAAAAACCTCTGCCTCCCAGGTTAAGGTGATTCTCCCGCCTCAGCCTCCCAAGTAGCTGGCATTACAGGTGCTTGCCACCACGTCCGGCTAATTTTTGTATTTTTAGTAAAGACGAGGTTTCACCGTGTTGGCCGGGCTTGTCTCAAACTCCTGACCTCAAATGATCCACCCACCTTTGCCTCCCAAAGTGCTTGGATTACAGGCATGAGCCACCACAACTGACCTATTTATACATTTAATATAATTCACAATAAACAAGAAAATACAATATTAAGTATGAGCATTATTTAAGACAAAAAGTGATACAGCAATAATGTGACATCTTAGGAGAGAGTAGCCTAACTTAGTTGACATGTTTTTGTTACTGAGATTTGAAATGTACCAAGAAAAGTGGCTCCATTTTTTCTACAAGAAACCCATTTGACAGGAAGTATGGCTCTCACCTATAAAGGTGAGATAAAAGAAGTTGAACTGTCTAAGCTTCCCTCGGGGTCAGCATTTCTCAAGATTATTATATTTTCAGATCCATTAGAAACAACATAAGCCTTCTTTATCGCTTTGAAAATAAAATTTTTTAACAAGTTCTCTAGCTCTCTCAGAACTTCTGGTTACCTTTGGCATGTGTTTTTCTACTTTGTGCCCATCATTCTGCATTTTTATCCATAGTCCGTTACTGATGGTTACTTAAACAAATTATTTAATTACCATAAATTGGTAGTACTTCCTAATAATTTCTCCAAGATTCAAAATTATTTCTGTGAATTCTGTATTTTAAATCTGTAAAATATTTATAGCAATCAGCTCTAGTGAATACACTAAATGTTTGAGTATATATTTTAAAATACCTTTCTAGTACTATGAAGACTAAATTTTTTTTTTCAGGCAGGCTCTGTCTTTATAAATGTTAGATGATGAAAAAGGACATAAGTCCAAGTTAAATAGTCATTGAACAAGTCTGCACTGTAAAACTTCATTAGATTGAAACAAATTCAGAATGTGTTTAAAAAAATCACTTACTATGTAGGAATTATGCATGCCATATTTTAAATTTTGCTTTATAAAGTCATTTCTAAATTTAAAAATAAATCTATGTAAGAAAACTATAAATCTTCAAAGGAAAAAAATGTAGTATGTTTTCAACTTATTAAAAAAGTTGTAGCTGAATTTTTCTTTTCCTTTATCTGTATAATCATGACTTTCAAATGTAGAACTATTTTAGTTGTTATTTATTATAAGCATCTGTTTTATTAGTAACAGTTAAACATTTTGACTAATATATGTTCTGCAATGAAAGTTTATAGCTGTAAAAATGTTTCACAATTTTCAATTGGTCAAAATATTTTCATGCACCCACTGAAATTGATCAAATTTGAAATAGTATTATCTGGATTATTATTAAAATCACAGATAACAATAATATATTAAATTTATATTAATAGTTTTAGTTTGAACATATTTTCTCCCATCCAAGTATTAACTAGGCCCGACCCTGCTTAGCTTCCGAGATCAGATGACATCTAGTGCATTTCAGGGTGGTATGGCCATAGACTGAACAGATTTTCTCACACAATTCTCAAACTTTCCTTTCCATAGTCCTTTTGATCCCATTACGGTGAACAGCTCTCTATTAGTTCCGCAATATAATAGGCTAAGCAAGACCAAAAGAAAAATTTTCTCTTGAAGTTTGTATTTTATTTAAAAATTTATGCAACATTTGGCTTCTACTATCAATTATGCCCATATCCGCTTTAATATAAATTTAGCATGCGACTTCATTACAATCATTCATTTGCATATATCTTCAGCTCCCTTGCCTCTCTTTAATTCTTTGTCCTCCCCTGGAAAATTCCAACCCTGATTAAATCTAATTCTCTTCTCACTTCTGGCGTGCTCTTCTGCAGCTAAAAATAGCTGGAGGATTAAAAAAAAAGAAGAAGAAAAACTCATACCCATGCTGACTGATTAAATTTTAAATTTACAACTCCTAATCTCAGTTGGGTTATCTCTTCTACATAGCTATCCATTCAGTCTTCCACTATCCTAAAGAATGATTTTACACATTCTTCTCTTTCATTATACTTCCAACTCATCTCAGTAGTTGCAGTGCCAAAAGTCCTGTGGTAATCAGACCACCTAAGGCTGGTTGTACTGATTGCCTTATCCTATTGTGCCAGCACAACCCTAGTCCATATGGTAATGTAGAATAAAATTTTAAAAAAGATGCCACTGTCTCAAGACACTTTAATAATATCTGCCCAAATTTTACTGTTATAACTGTACAAATCTAGGATGAATGTGAGGTGAATGTGTTCTCTAGAGTTGTGCAAAACATAAGTTGCACAATCACAAGTAGCATCTTGAACCTAGCCAATCTGATGTGATGATTTTTTCATGCGAACCAAAATATGAAAAGAAAATGGAAATATTACTACCAGAAAAATCTTAACCATTTCTAAATAATGGAAAGAAGGAAAGCAAGCCAATCAGCTCACTGGACATAAAAGGGAAGAAGGGAAGGAGTAAAATTATTCTAATTATCTTCTCTTAATTGAGAGTGGTGTTTAGGACTATAACATTGTAGTAGGAAAAACAATGCATCTCGAAGATGAAACGACTGATACTATCTTTAAAAATATAGTAGAATGCTATGTGTTCCATTAAAATAAAGAAAGCAAAAGCAGTCATTAGCAAGAAAAAGTGTCAGAGAACTTCAAAAAAGCAAATGAAAGAAAGAACAAACCAATTAGATCCAGCCATCAAAAATGGGGAATTGAAAAAAACGAATCGATAATCTAAATTTGTTTACAAATACAGAGGCTATCAAATTGAATTAAAAACTAAAACCTATACAAATGCTGTTTATCATAAGGACACTTAGAAAACAAATCAGTAAAGTGAGATCTATTGAGAGATAACTGCAAAAATAACTCCAGTTTTCCAACCATGTTATTTCTATACCCTTTTCCTATGTAACTCCTCTGAACTAGATGTGGAGTCTATCACCTCACTCCTTCATTCTGAGCTGTTTCTGGGACTCAGAATCAAGGGGAGAGCTGTTCCTGGGACTTGCTCTGGCCAAATGAATTTGATAAAATCGACAATCTTGCATGTTTCTGACCTATATTGAAACCTTACCACCATCATGGAAAAGCCTATGCTAGCTTGCTGGAGGGTAAAAATCCACACGGAATGAAAGTCCAGTTTTCCCATCTGAGACCATCCTAGATAAGCCTATAGCCAATTCCCAAATATTTCAGAAAACTGGTCATAGATCAGCAGAACCACCTACTGAGACTGCAGTTTACAACAGATCCATGAGTAGAACAGCCAAAGTAAGACAACAACCAGCTGCCTCTTTAAGAATATACAGTCGTTATTTTAAGCCACTAATTTTGGGGATAGATTGGATTATTTTGTATCAATGGCTAATTGGTACATATTGAAAATAAAGAAAAGCAAAAAGATAAAACACAGGTACTATCTAAAAATAACAGAATGGCAATATTAATATCAGACATGGTGATATTTAAGTTTGAAAATAATAAATAGGAGATAGTGAACTAATGATGAAGACACAATTTAAGAAGCTCTAGTGTTAGTGAAAAATATAGAGATTTGAAAGGCCACTTTCTCTAATGTTGTCAATAAAATTGGAATTATTTTTTAATTACCAAAATATTCCGTAAAATTAATGAACAGCTCCCGGATAATACTTAGGTAAAAGATACACACAAAAAATAAAAATTCTAAACTATCTAGTAAGAAATGAAAGGAGAATTATTTGCAAGAAATCTAAAGAATAAGCAAGACCTGTATTTAGAGGATAAAAGTATAATTTTAATTGTCATGCTTATCAAAAAAGAACAAAATAATAAATTCAGTGTCCTTCTCAGGGAATGAAGTTTTTCTTTTCACTAAATAAACCAAAGAAAATCATAAAAATGAATTAATAAAATACAAAAGCTAATTAAATATAAAAAAGAAATAAGACATGTATGAGAATATAATATTGACAGAGCTAATTCAATACATTAGGAAAAACATGAAAGAATTTGAACAGTACTGTGACAATAGACTTCCATCTGGAAGAAAAAATAAAATAATTCAATAAAGAAATAATTTCAATTGAATTAATGAAAAGTAGAGAAGAAATGAAAATCTTGCAAATAAAATAGAAAAGTTGCATGTATAAACAATATGATATTTTGCTCAGTCAAGACTGAAAACAAAGAAGCCACAAATAATAGACACTATGACATAACAATTTTAAAACTTTACATCATTAAAGATACCAAAACTTCAGTGAAAATAAAATGAGTCTAAAAAATTTGCAATTCAGATGATAAATGAAGGAGTTAATATCTATTTGGAACTAAGTGATCTGAAATAAAATCATCTAGGAAAAAACAATGAACAAAAGATATTAACAGAAGTTTTTTAGCAGAGTAAATTTAAATGGCCAAGAGAAATATGAAGAAATACTAAAATTCAGTAGCAGGCATGCAAAAGAAAATTAACAATGAGAAATTATTTTACTCCCATTAGACTGGCAAAATATTTGAAAATTGTTTTAAAATGTATTGTTGACAGGTATGTGGTGAAAGGGATTCCCTCATACATTGATGGTAGAAAAGTGAATTGTTTACCACTTGGGGGAAGCAGACTTTTAGCCCCTTGAGTTAAAACCTGATACATTAGTCAATCTAGCAATTCTATTTCAGGAAATATACCCCATACAAATAAAAATACATATAAAGATATAGGTAGAAATAGATCTATTGTTTGTGGGGGAAGAAACCTTGTGGGGGCAAATGTTTGTGGAGGCAAAACCCAGGAAGCAAATAAATGGCCATTACTTTCTGAATAAAATATGGCACAGACACCTATGAACTATTATGGAGCTATTAAGCATGATTAGAGCTACAGAAGAATATTAGTTCTTATTTCCGTTACGTAGTTTTGAAGAAGAAAAAACAAAATTCAGAAAGGATAAATTATATGATTAAAATTGGGTAAATGAAACCTAATTTTAAAAACCATATTTATATGTTTGAAAATACAGGCTCATATACTATTATGAGTTCTAAGGAGTGTGCATAAGGAGAATACAGACTGTTTGTAAGGACAGAGAAAAGAGAAATACATGGAGAGATGGAAAAGCTCAAGGCTCCTCCAACTCCAGAAGCCTTCTTCATATCCTAACTTAATATAAATAGCACCCTTGGGTTTATAAATAGCACAGTTTGCACAGTTGTACATGGCAGCTATGCATTGATCGAAGTTCTGTTTAGAGTAAAACTAGGAACCTGATCTGAGTTTAACAATAACAGATGCTGAGGTCATCCAGTTGTCTGCCATGTTCTTATGGACCTAATGTTTGTGTTCCCCTAAGATGCCCTAACCTCAGAACTGATGGTATTTGAAGATGGGGCCCTTGGGAGGTAATTAGGTCAAGAGAGTGGAGCCCTCCCGATGGGATCATTGCACTTATAAGAAGAAACTCTGGAGACCTAGCTTATTTTCTCTGCCATGTGAGGACAGACCAAGAAAGTGGCTGTCTGCTAGCCAGGAAGAGAGATGTTGTTACCAGAACATAACCATTCTGGCACCCTGATCTCAGACTTACAACCTCCAGAAATGTGAATAAAATTCTACTGTTACATCACCTAGTCAATGGTGTTTTGTTGTGGCAGCCTGGGCAGACTAATACATACGAGCTAAAAGTAGAAGGTGGTAAAAAGCATATCATATTTTCTTGTAAATTTCTGCTTTAGAATATAACCATCATTTCTTGTAATGCTTTGTGGGAAAATCAGCTCATAATTTTAATTTGACACCTCCATCAAGGAGCTCATAAAGAGTTCAGGAGGAGCAACATGCAGACACCAATTAACTGTGACATAATATGATGAATAATGAAGTTCTAATACTCTACTATGGAAGGAGGGAAGAAACAATAGTTTTGAGTTGGGATTTAGAAAATATTTCAAAGAAGAGACACATTATTAATAGATCTTGAAATATGAATTTTTCCCCCAAAAGGAGAGAAGTAAGACATTAGAGATAAAGAGGAATGTATAAATAAATGTACACAGATTGGGAATTTGTTTACTTTAAGAAAGATAGATAGCTTTGATTGAACTAGATTATAGGTATATGGCTTAAAGTGGCCTAGATGAAGTTGGAATGCTCACTGGGAAAGATATTTTTCTTAATTTGTGCTCCCAGAATCAGACGATGAGACAATAATTTGAATACAAGTAGTTACTTGGAAGGGGTGGGCACCAGTAGAGGAGTGGAGAAGTGATCAAATAAGAGAATGCAGCCAATGGGTTTGCATTATCAAGCTAATTACCACGGCAAGAGTGACTGGGTGTCTGGAGCTTAATCTCATGAGAAACATAAGAAATGGTGTAAAACACTCACTAGGATTGTCCTTCCCAAAGTGTGCATGAGATTTGAGGTATGATCTTATCAGCTCCCAAGTGGCATTATTTGAGAGCGGTTCCTGGAGAGTGTTAATTCTCCAGCTATACGCATCTTCCTATATGAATCTTCCTATATGCAACTTCCTATATGCATCTGCAAATTGCAGAGAAATCAATATTATCAGGAAGAGTATCCTGAAATAGTTAAAATCAGATTAATATGGCAAAGGACTTACAGCATTTGATACAATCTTGCGTATTATGCAAAAGAGTTGGAACTTTATATGTTAAAAGGAATGAGTAAGGTTTTTCTGAGTAAAGGAAAGTGCATGATGATCACAGGTGTCTTGTAAATTAATTATAACAACAGCATGGAAGTTCAATTGTATTACGTGGAGAGTGAAGCGTGATGGTGAAAGTTTAGGTGAAAGATGAACTAGTGCTCCAACAATGGCAATAGGAAATAGGAAGGATAGATGTATATTAGTGACATCACTTTAATTTTTAATTAAAGTACAGACTTGGAAATTCAGTAAATATGTTAATCTAGGGATAGAGAATACTTGAAAAGATCAGTAAAATATATATTTGAATGGCTGGTTAAATGGTGATAGCATTTAACCAGCTAGGGAATTTGGGAAAAAAGACTGGTTAGGAGTGAAAATTTTAAGTGTGGCTTGTGCTGTATTTACTGACTCAGAACTCACTTTGGAATATTCTGGTAGAGATGCTTAGTAGATAATTACGTTGCAACTGGGGCTCAGAAAATAAGTAGGACTTCTAGAAAGAGGAGATGTATGAAGTCCTAGTGTTGTATGAGTGAGTATGTGGCTGCCTCTCCACTTTCATGTACTTTGAATAAAAAAATCTTGATTCTAATTTCCAACAAATTAAAACTCTTGTGAAAGGAAGAAAACAAGACCTGAAGTAACAAAATTTGGATATGAGTTTAGATTTGCCATCAATTAGTTTTAAGGTTGAAATGAAGGGACTTCAAAAGGAAAACACTATAATAATAAGGGCATGTACTACAAGTTTCTTACAGGAGATGGGTTGCTGGAGAAGGGGGATAGATGTGACTCTGTTTGTGTTACATTTGGTAAAACAGGTTCTCTAAAGATATAGGGAGAAAAAAGTGCTCTTTCCTACACTACTCTCCACTCAACACAACACTTCTGACATTAGATGTTGGGGAGTTTCCCCATGCACTAACCATGCAATTCTCCAGCTGGCCCCAGCTGGGTGCCCTCTTATTCAATTCAATTCTGATACTGTCTACCTGGAGACAGCATCAGTGCCACAGGTTGAAGGCTCAGTCCCACAAGACTGCTCTCCACTTCAGATGCCACTTGAGAGTAGTTGATTGTCACTTATACAGTACTTCTGACCTCCCTGGCTATAAACTGGGCGCTCCCATAAACCTCTTCTCAGGTTTATTAATTTGCTAGAGCATCTTACAGAGCTTAAGGAAACACTTTACTTACGTTACTCAATTCTTATAAAGAGTACTCCAAAAGATACAGTTGAACAGTCATATGGAAGAGATGCATAGGGCAAGGTATGGGAGAAGGGGCACGGAGCTTCCATGCCGTCCCCAGGCATGTCACTCTCCAGGAATCTTCACATTCGTCAGCTATCTAGAAGCTCTCTGAAACCAATTCTTTTGGGGTTTTGTGGAAGCTTCATTACATAGGTATGATTAATTAAATCATTCGCCAGTGGTGAGCACCTCAACATTCAGCCTCTCTCCCTACCTGGAGGTTGGGGTGGCTTTGGTCCAATCATGCCAACATTAAGTTGATTGGCTTCGGTCCAATCAATAATGCCAAAATACAAAACAAAACAAAAAAAAAAAACATGCTTTGGTCTTTTTGGTGACCAGCCCTTATCCTAAAGCTATCAAGGGGCCCCAGCCAGCAGTCATCTCATTAGCATATAAATGTGCAAAATACACTAATCATTAGGGATTCCAATGATTTTAGGAGCTTTATGTCAGGAACCTGGGACAAAGACCAAATGTATATTTCCTAATCTCACATAGGTCATGTGGTTAAATAAACAAACAAATATGTAAAGTATAACTTTGGCAAACTTACATAAGTGGGGAAAATAAATTCTTAATGGCAAGGCTTGATCTCATGACTTTGCCTAAATTGTTTAAATTCCAAATGTATATTGCAAAAATTAATAGAATATCAGATAACTTTTAAATTACATCTTCAAAATTTAGCAAATTTTGGTGATAGAAAGCTATATTCTACCTTATGGTGTAGTGTGTATGCATTTTTGAGTGATATGGATTAGGTCTGTATGTTTTATTTCTCAAAAGGAAATTATCCCTAAGAAATGCAGAGACGGTTTGCAGGAATTTGACATAGATTGAGATTCCTGTGTACTACAAATGAAAGAGTTCAGAGCTTTCAAATTGCACTATGTAAACCGAAGAGGCTGGTTAAATAACAGATCCATCCTTCTTTCTCTTTTCAAATAAATTGAATACAAACAAAATGCTGACTTAGTAAAACTGTTGAAAAAGCTTGTTTCCTGAAGAAACATAAAATTTAATTATTATTATGTGAAACAGAGAAAATGTGACTAGTAATGTTTTACATGAGTGAACAGGATGGTAATTTTGAGACACAGTAGTAAATATCCAGAAATCAAAAAAAAATAGGTAGCAATGCTATGATGGGTGACTTCCCATTAGAACTAATTGTCTATGTCTATTTGATATGTAATAAGACAGGCAAAGGAGATGCAGAAATTCATTTATAAGTGGTCGTCTTACAACTGTAGACAAAAGATTTACTGAGAAAACGTATGCATTAAAAATGTAAGTTCCAAGGCCTCTTTTTGTATTAACTGGTATTCATCTCCTCTGAGATCTAATCTGCTCAACAGACTTCAACCACGTTCTTACATGGCAACAATAAAGAACTGCAATTAAAAGCATTTTAAATTTGACTTAGCAAACTGTTTAAAGCTTTTTCAGAGGAAATAATGTGTGTCCTTTACAACAGTCCATTCTTCATTATCTCCTAAATTAGCTGCATAATATGTGAGCAAATTTCCATGCCTAGTTAGAGCTCATTATTCAGTGAAGTCTCTGGGAATTAGGATTTTTTTAATCAATTTTTTTTGCCTTTGCCCTTTAAGCATGTTTCCAATTTAAACAGCCCTAAAGAACACTGATATCATAGTACCCATTAATTTCTTCTTGTTTTTGATGAAATGGCAAGAAGCATTGATTTTTTGCATTGACGATTTATGTGTGTATATGTTTTGAAATATATTTATTATTGTAAAAAATGCATAACTTGGCAATTGTAAATGTGTAAATATAACGTGGAGATTATGAGTCAGAGAAGATTAAATGTAGAATAAATAGCCAACAGGATAAAAAGAAAAAAAAGGCTGCATAGAATGAAGTCTTAAATTGCCAATCTATTACTTGAATATATGAAGTTTCTTTCTTTGGGGTGATCATTTTCTAGATTTGATTTAAAGACGTTCTAATCATTGTTTGCTGCTGCTACTGCTGCTGCTTCAGCTGTTTGCAACCTCAATATGTGTCCATGTCAAATCGTAATGTGGTACAGTCAAATTCATAAGTGGGAGCCTTTTCTTTTCTTTACTTTTGTGTCCAGGATTTCCAGATGCAAACCTAAGAATTAAGGAATTCACAAAGAACATATCTGTTTGATCTAAATCCTAATATCTGCATGTGATTTTGTGTTTCCTACTTATTTGCAAGGTGATTTGTAGCAGGTCAACAGACAAAATTAAAATAATTGTGTTTAAGGAAAATGGCTCTTTTAATCAGATCCAACTGGGATAATGAGGTATTTTTTATCAGAAAAACAATATATGGAAAAAAGGAGAATACAACAAAATTGTTTTAAATATGTGTATGAATAACCATTATTATTATTAAGGACAGTGAGGAAAAAATCTAAGATTAGAATTGGCTTAGATTAAAATCCAGCTGTTGGCATTTACCAATTTGCAGCACTTAATCTCAAGAAATTTCAATCATATTATTAAGAAAAGTGGTAATATCACCTAAATCACAAAATTAATGAAGAATTTAAAGTAACTATAGTATTTGAGAGGTGTCAATGTATTTACTACATTTCACTTAAATTCTTCAATTTAGTATTCAAATTTATTAATCAACTCTTGTTATACTGATAAAATTCAAAAGGCAATAAACTGAAAAAACTGCTATGCCTCTGAAGGTGTAGTATCACATGAACATGTAACATTTGCTATTGTCAGGGTACAAGTTTCGGTTTTTAAATCCAACCTCTAAGTATTTATTGATTCATTAAAAGAAATAAACTGATCATTGGGGTATGCTACAACCATATGGCAATAGATACTTTAATATCATTACCAAAATGCAAGAATCTGGTGTTAAGATTATTATGGTGGGTCTCTAATTTCTTTGCTTTTAAAATCATGAGAAACTAATGATGAAAAATCAATGCAATGGAATTAAAAAGAGGTCAAACATGTGCTGGCCTCTATTGCTTTCCATCGTGCTGAATGCCATCTCTCTCTCTCTGCTATTTCAAGAAACAAAGCTGCCCATGGCTACTTTTTTTTTCAATTGGAGGTTTGTTCAGCTATATTTCTCTTCTGAATTTTGAGAAGCATTGTTCCTCAAATTGCCTTTTCTTTTCTAATCACTACATTAGTAGCAAGCAATGGTTGCCTTAGCAACTCTTTAATAGGCTGCAACTCTCAAAACTTGCTTTTTCTGGAGAGAGTCTTCAGACAGGCTTTCTAATGGAACCAATAGCTCTTTTTAATAAATATGCAAAAACATCATTTCTGACTAGAAAACTAATCTTGTAGCTTAAATATTTAAAATATTTTATTGCACATTTGAGAGTTAGCTACAAATATTTATCAAAATCTTAGTTTTTATTTTACAAAGTAATAGGTGATAATGGTAACGTCTCTAATTTGTTAATTATTGTATTATCTAATTTTTTTCTACCTAAGAGGTATGTATATGCAGCATTACTTTTTATGTTTATCAGATGAGAAAACTAAATTTTACAGTAGTTATTTTGGTATCATGCTGGTAAGTATTTAACAACCAGCAAACAGCCCTCTGAAAAAAAAAGTATGTATTTATAAAATTTTATTTTAATATATTACTGAAATAAAGTATGTATTGCACACATAATATAAAAATAATAATTACCTTTGTTTAGCACTGGATATTTTATTTTATGTTTATGTAACTTAATTTTTAATAAAGGCTGTATTTCATGATTGGCTTGCAATTTTCCTGAAAATTAAAAAATAGACACTTGCAATCTAGTACTAGTTATCTCCAGCTTACCATTAGGTTAGTTACTACCTCGAAGTCACACTGCTACTAAGGACTGGAATATGTAGCAGTAACAGTAATATTTAAGAAAGATACTTTAAAAAATGTGGCTACAGAGATGTCTCGGAAGTTCAAAGAAAGAGTTCCCTGTTGGCACAAGCTACTCACATTTAACTCAAACTTCTTCGGTGTATTTCTCTGCACTTGTGATTTCCCTGGTAATATACTGCTCCAGGACCCAGCACTTACTGCAACTATAATTTTCTGGCACAAAAATATTCTTAACTCATTCATTCTTAACTCATGACCTACTGCCCACTTCCACAGTTGGCCTGAGAATTTGCCTCCTCAGTTTCGACCCTGTCAACTACCTTTCTTTGGAGACCTCTTCTCAGTTTGACCTGTTCTTCTGGCTTTGTTGTGCTGTTTCCAACACAGTTTTGTTTTTCAGCTGCTAGATTTCCACATGCCTTTACAGAAAACAGGTGCCCTTTGAGACAGCACTGACAAAATGAAGTTAGAGCATGGAACTGTTTGGGCCTGAGGACTAACCCCAAAGTACCAGTGGCACACTGACCAACAGCCTCAGCAGTGTTTGCTGCTGGCAAAGCTGTGAAGAAGGTGAAACTTATGTTTCACACTTCTTCATCCTCTTTTTATTACTCTCCTTTTATGTATTCTTAAGTCACCTGACTCCTCTTTTTCATTTAATTTCCTCACTCTTTACTACCCTTCCCTATAAGTAGATCCTCAAGGCCCAGCTCAAATGAACATATTCCATTAAACTTTCTCCTTTAGCCACCATCTGAGTTAGTATCAAACAACTACGTCTCTTCCCTCCCACAACATTTTGCTCATTCCTACACTATAATCAACAGTAATACCTTTCAAGAAAAATGTACGGATTAATCCTTATGTGCTAAGCACCAAGATGTGTGCTAACAATACAGAGCTAAATATAACCAGAAAGTACACCTTGATGTAAAGGATAATTTTTGGAAATGCAAGGTACTGGGGACAAAGGAAATTGTTTTGAAAGGGGAGTGAATACGTTTCTTTTTGCTGATCCTCAAATCTCACATTGTGGCCACCTAGTCTTATTCTGCTTAGGATCAATCTTAACATCAGCTAAAATAGAATAGAACCTTAATTTCGTCATTGAAAGAGAAAAGGCAAGTGCTTTTTTTATCCACTTTACTTCATTTATTAATGCATCAATGGTATTATTGCCAAGTACTAAAAGCAGAGTTGGGGTAGGAGACCCTATTTGGATTGAAAGTATCCTAAAGGGAATCATGTTTTAATTTAACAAATATTTACGGAACATTTACTCTGTGACAGGTACTAGGCTAGAGATTTTCAAAATGACATTTAATCCTTCCCACAACCTTCTCTTTTATGGGTGAGAGAACTTATCTTATAAATGAATCCCGCAGCTCCTTAGAGCTTGACCATGACAATTGGGAAAATAACACAAATACCAGGGTCCTGTCTATATAAGAGATGACAGAGTATAATGTCATTAATTCATTGTTATCTTAGCCAAACATAGAAAGCCATGCATATTCACTAATAATAGCATACTGTCTCTGAGGAATAATTCCATGGTTGATTCTACAGGGACAGCATGTGTTTGTTGTTGTTAATGTTGCTTTCTAAAAAGATGATAAGTATTTTCCTTTTATTGTTGTTTTTGTTCAATTGTTTTGTATTTATAGAAAGAGAAGCACTATGGGCATGGGCTGATGCAGGTGAAGTCCAAATAATTGTCTTGAAACTTGCATGGCATTCCAATTCAATCTTAAATGCTCATGAAATTTAAAGCAGAAGGATCTAGCGTGAGGCAATACTTAGGCTTTAGCCCTCTCTAGTTTTGTAATTGTTTGCTTTTCCTTGCTCTATGAATACTTTATGACTCAGGATATCAAAAATGCACCAACAGTTGCAGTAGATAAAAGACTCTCCACCATGTGCAATCCATGGGGAGAACGCCATTGGAGACCAAAGGAGCACTCTGACCTTTTCCAGAATATTCACTCCTTGCAGGAAGTAAGGATTTCATAGTAGTGGTTTCAGTATCATCACAAAGCACCTCTTCTCTTAAATATCTGGCCCTCTCAAGGTTAAACTTTTGATCCAATTATCAAATATCTATCTAAAATATTTCGCTTTTTACTTTGTATTTGGCTGTGAATTTCGTTACTTATAAAATACGAATCTTGAAATCCAGGTAGATATATATCCTTTGTATTTGCCCGACTAGCTTTCAGGAGAATAATTTACCTGTAATCTCAACAGGGTTTAATCATTTGTTATGCTTCTCAAAAGCCTTAAATATATAGGAGTTTATACTTTGAGTATACATTTACATGCAATAAAACAAATCCAGTATTTATAAAATGTCTTCACATGGTCCTATTATACACCCTGAATATTTTAAAGGGTTTAAAGTAAATTTAAAACCAATTAACCTATAAAAAAATCTCTATCATGTAATTAGTGTCAACAAATAAATATCTCTAGAATTACACCTGCCCCAAATAGTCTCACAGATATTTAAAAATGTTTAACTATATGTGGAGTCCTTCTAGAGAATCATGAATTATAACTTATATAAGATTTGTAATAGGAAATGAATATATAAATGTACAACACATAGAAAAATAGGTTTTTTGATATTTAACGTCATCAGAAAAAGACAGGGCAGATTTTTAAAGAATCCTCATATCTTGTTTTCTCTGATTCCATGGTGTTCTTTTAAAGAGATTGAAAAAGGCTAGAATTCATTACAAGTTCTTAATTGCCAGTTTCTCTACAAAATAGATGTTTATGTGCAGGCTTCAGAATAGCTACCATTCATTTGAGGGAGATCTTGTACAGCCGAAGTTTAAATAAACAGCAATGTTTTACTAAGTTTGCAAAAGCATAATTAGTCCTAGAGGCACAATATTTTTAAGCACCAAATACTTGTTCTCCAGCTGTACTCGTTGGTTCTGTAGTTTCAGAAGCAGCTTATAGCCATCTCAATGAAGTCCAAGCCTTCTCATGACTGACAAGCACTTTCACTGTGTGTTGTGCTCACAGAAACAGAACAGTATATCACCAATACTTCTTTGATAGAGGCATCTGCTACTCTTTTTGTTGTCCAGTAGTGCATATAAACACTGCAAAATGGATTCCATGGGGGCCTGGTAGCATTAATTTGTGTTTGTTCTGTCATGCAATTATATTAGAGAAATAAAAGAGCTGATGAGACAATTCCCAGGGGGCAGAAATGGTAGTTTAAACATATCTTTTCTACAATTCTGTGTTAGGATCTACAGGGGATTATAGTATTCATTTCTTTCCTCTAATAATACCCTAGTCAAAGTCATTTTTAGGTATTCGAAGATTTTTGTTTTTAAATAGAATTTTTTTCCATGCATATAATGAATAACAAAATCAGCATTTATAAAGCATCTTCACCTTAACAGCTTTCTAAGTAATGCAACCTTCTTATTACAGCTAGCTCAGGTGGTACCTTTATGGAGTTAATGAGACACAAGTCACTGGCCATAGCACTAAGTGTGGACCACATTTAAACCAGTAGACTATGTTCTGTACCTTGAAATGTGTATATATTTGTAACCATATTTACAAAACATAAAGATTGTTATTGCTCCTATAAAGAATTAATATGTTGCCAGGTGTGGTGGCTTATGACTGTAATCCAAACTACTTGGGAGGCTGAGGTGGGAGGATCACCTGAGGGCAGGAGTTTGAGGCTAAAATGAGCTTGATTGCACCACTGCACTCCAGCCTGGATGACAGAGGGCGACCCTATCTATAAAAAAAAAAAGAATAAAAATTTATGCCATATAAGTTAGTTCAAATTCATCAGTGCTATGTGGAATAAAAAATAGATATAAGAAAGATAGATGATAGTTAGATGATAGATAGATAGATAGATGATAGATAGATAGATAGATAGATAGATAGATAGATAGATGATAGAGAGATAGATAGATTATATCCTTTTGTAGGTGGCAACAGGCCATTTCCTTCCCCTTCTTTGTGTACTTGCTGACACTGTGAAGCTTGGAATGCTCTTTTTCTCCTATTTCAAATATTCAAATCTTATTCATATGTAAACATCTAGCAAATGCTATCTTTTCCATGAAGTTTCTTGTTTTATCCAAGTGGAGGTAACTTATTTTCTCTTTTGACACTGAACAAGGATTTTGAGAACAAGGATTATATCATTTTGTTATTTAGTTCCTTGTCAAATACTAGATGTTCAAAAAGACTCTAGATACGATAAATTATTTTATCCCTATTCTAATAAATAAAGAAAAGGAGATTTTATAAGGTGTCACATAGTCTTGAATACAGTTCCCTTATCATATATCTATTAAAACACTTTTCAAATATGAAATGGGCTTCTGACTCTGAAGAGCAGAATGATATCTCTGATTTATGACAATTCTTCAGATGACAGTAAAGGAATAATAAAAATATAAATGCACAACAACAAAGAGAATGGCAAAGAAGATAAAAGCAGACGAAAATCAGATGGAGTGTTGGTGACTGACTAGGAAAAAACAAAAACGTTATATGTGGGAATACAAAAGACTGAAATATTTGCAATGGTAAGTAGGGGCAAGGAAATGGCCATATTTTAAGAGTATAATTTTGCATCCGTAGAGCAATGAGAAGCTATTGAAAATTGTATTTTGGGAGGTTGACATAATAAGATCTACATTTTGTAAAGACAAATGAGACCTGGGGAAATATTTGGAATATATGTTAAAGATACAGGCTTATCTGTATATAAAAAGCATATTAAAAGTTCTTATACATCTATAAAAATGATTTCTAAAAATGAGCAAATGATATAAATTGCCAATTCCCAAAAAAACACATGTCCTATACATAGAAAAATAAAATTTTAAATATCAGTGAAACATGGTTTACCTACAAGACATCATAATTAGAAATTGCTAGTGTCCATGCTGTAATACTCTCTGCGGCCATTGGAAATCATATTAACTATATATATTGGTATGAATAGATGTCAATGATTCATTATAAATAGAAAACATGAGTTTCAAAAGTCTCTGCATTGAATTATTCCATTTTTTGTAATAGTTGTTTGTGCATGTGCACACACACACACAGAGATTAAAGTATATAGAGGTAAAAATATAGTAATTATTCCTTTATATATAAGAAATTGCCAAGCCTATGCATGTCTTCCATTTTTTTCCATTTAATCAATGTCTATGCATACACTGTAAGCTTTCTTTAGATATTTTCATTGATATTTTACATGTATGTATAAATTATTTAAAATAGAAAATAATTCGTATTTTACATGTATGTCATTGGCATGTATTACTTATTGCTGACATGATAAATTTTCAATCCAATTACATTATACACGTGTGTGTGTGTGTGTGTGTGTGTGTGTGTGTGTGTGTGTGTGTGTGTGTGTACACAGGGCCTTATCAGTGAGACGGTAAACAGTCTGTTCCCAAAAAGTTAAAGGGATGTGCTGAGCTGAGCATTCTCACTACATAATGCATCCAATCATATAAGTTGCTCTAGAGCTTACTTATATTATTGTGTGTATTTTGATGTGTAGTCCTTCTTCGTATACTCGTCTATCTTCCTTTTGAGATCCTTGAGGTCAGGAACTCTATTTTACATTTCATATTTCCAGGACTTACCAACAACAAATAGAGACTGGGAGCTCAGCATTTTTCAATGACATGAATAAACTAATCTTGAGCATTCCGCCTGAAAATCAACAGTCATCTCTCCTGTGAGTTTAGGTAGCACATACCATTCCCTCATATTTGACAATGGTTTGAATTGGTTTAGTAGTTTTAAATGCACTTATTCTTCTCTCTTAACTAGAGTGGCTGCTCAAAGACAGAAAACATGTCAATGTTTGCTTACCCCAGTCCATTTGGCACAGTGCTAAGTGCAGCCTGCAGCTCAGCATATTCAACATTTTGATAATAATGCATTCATTCTTTTAACAATGAGAATTGCTTTATGGTTTTTAGGTTTCAAAAGTAGTTTTCCCATCTAACAATGACCTGATATAATCATTTCTTCCAGTCTTTTATTCTGTGAAGACACACACACACATACTCTTTCTTTCTCTTTCTCTCTCTCTCTCTCTCTCACCACATTACATAAGCCTTTGACGGGTGAAATTCTCTAATTTCTCACAGTAGACTACATACTCCAATTTATTCTCTATTAGTATCAGTCTCACATTTTGTCTTAATTCTCAACTGATTCAACACTATGGGAGTTATGGTGCTCATTCAAATTGTGAGCATTGTTGAGAAAGAGACAATCTCAAAATGAGGGTAACATGAAGTGGAATTGAGCAAGCCATAATTTGAAGAAAAAAGTTGACTCTTATCTTTACACCAATGTGGTATTTTCACAGTAATGATTAATGGTGATTTTGGTGTGATGGGAAATAAGCTTGAGATTTTTCTATGTATTATTTCATATAATCTTCACAAATATCCTTAGAGAGTGCTCCTTCATTTTAAAAATAAGTAATTTGTATACTTATTTTACAGATAAGTATACAAATTACTCTCTCATTTTACTTGTAAAAGACAACCAAGTTAAAGACCATCAAGACAGTAAGCAGTCGGATTACGGTTCAAACCCACTACTGTCTAGCATCAGAATACATGTTGTTTAATAGTAAACCACATTAGGTTTTTAATAACTCTTTTCCAAAATATCTTCTTTAACAGCATAAGCTTTTTAAGAACTTAATATATGCTAGACACTTCCTAAGTATTGTGAACAGAAAGATAAATAAGCCAAAATCTCTTATTTAATAATTTCACTTTCTAACCACTTCCTCTCAATATAACTTTTTGCCTTTTCCTTATTGCTATGAAAATACCACTAAATAAATGAAACAACTATTTGTACAGAAATGACTGAATAGATGTAGGAAACTTTGAGTCTCCAGACAAAAGCATTCTATGAGCTTACGGTATTGTAATTATTATGAATTGGCGCAAAAAGTTCTATGACTCATTTTGTTGTGGACTTTGACTTTATTTTCTAAGTGTAACCTTTCATACCCCAATTTTTCTAACTTTTAGAAATTGTTCATTTTTAAAAGATGAATTAAATACATAGATTTCCAGTTCGCTTACACTTCAATTAGCATGAGATCATCCATAAAGGGTGATGAGACTTAGAAGCAAAGGACACATGAGCCCTACTACAAAAGAACTTGTACACAAAGAGTAGTCCAGTGCTGAGCTGCACAGCTGCAATTCTGGACATAGTCTCATCTTGGCAGAGGGCATTTTCTTCTTGTAGACACAGTGTTGAGGAACAAAGATTCCATGTGGATCAATTCTGATTTATTATGTTTCAATTTAACCTATAATTTTTGGCACTCAGGAAAGGTTTGTAAAAACCACAAGTGATAAAAATGCACACTATTTTATAAAAGAGGACTTAAGGATAAAAGCAAAGACAAACCACTTTTCTAACAAACCACTTTTTCTAAAATACTGATGGAGTTTAATCCTTAATAGTTCTTATCTGGAGAGATAAAAGTATAGTAATTATTCTTTTATGTATAAGAAATTTGCAAGTCTGTGCATATCTTCCTTTTTTCCCATTTCACCAATGTTTATGCATGTAAGCTTTCTTTAGATATTTTAATTGATATTTTACATATATGTATAAATTATTATTATTATTATTTTAAATTTTATTATTATTACACTTCAAGTTTTAGGGTACATGTGCACAATGTGCAGGTTTTTTACATATGTATACATGTGACATGTTGGTGTGCTGCACCCATTAACTCGTCATTTAACATTAGGTATATCTCCTAATGCTATCCCTCCCCCTTCCCCCCTCCCCACAACAGTCCCAGGAGTGTGATGTTCCCCTTCCTGTGTCCATGTGTTCTCATTGTTCAATTCCCACCTATGAGTGAGAACATGCGGTGTTTGGTTTTTTGTCCTTGCGATAGTTTGCTGAGAATGATGGTTTCCAATTTCATCCATGTCCCTACAAAGAACATGAACTCATCATTTTTATGGCTCCATAGTATTCCATGGTGTATATGTGCCACATTTTCTTAATCCAGTCTATCATTGTTGTAAATTATTTAAAATATAAAATAATTTATATTTTACATGTATGTCAGTGGCATGTATTACTTTTCGTTGACATGATAAATTTTCAGTTCAATTACATTACAAACTTCTGATAAATAGAAACTATCAGGGTTTTTCCAAGGTCACTGAATTTGAAATTTAAAAACTGCAATCAAGCTAAAACCCTAATAATTTTAGAATCAGTATGTAAATAGAGGCAAGTAGTAAAGGGCATGGCTGTTAGGTCAAATGGTTCTCCCCAAAGATAGGAACTTGAACCAAAAGCAGATAAAACCATTTGAGAACTGCTTTTAAGCAGAACGATAGCAATATAAGAAAGACCCTAAAATGGTATGCAAGAGAAAAAGCCATATTAAGCATGATAGAGAGAGGATAAAATATTTAAATGAGTCATATTTTGTTTAGTTCTGTTTTAACCAAGAAAGTGTTGACACATTGAAGTTGTCATTAATGTGGAGTGAGTGCTCAAGATTTTGGATTCATTCAGTATAATCATAATACTGAAGACTTCAAAAAGTTCTATACTTGGGAGACGGAGTTATATTTGCACAGTTGTTTTCCCCAAACTTATATATACACAATTCTTTACTATATATGACTAACATAAATTAAAATAACACCACACCATCATAAGTGACTTGATGAAATAGAAATACATTCAAGTAAGACATGCCAGGACTCCAGCTAAATTAAAATTCCAGAAGAGAAGTTATGTCCTTTTTGGTTACTGATAAATTCTAGTACCACTCACATGCCAGGCATGTAAAAAGATGTGCAGTAAATGCTTATTAAATGAACGAGTAAAAAGAGAATGTAATAAGTAAGTGAAGGAAGGAAAAAACATAGATTATTTTGAAATAGCTACCAATGAAGACTATGTCATAGGGTTTTTGGTAAGATTAAATTAGCTAATATATGTACCATGCTTATAAAAGCATCTAGAAATTTGTAAGTGTTCTAAATTTTAGCTATAATTATGAGTTATTTACAGAGAAGGTAGAAGTTAGGGCCTATTAGATTGGAAAACAAACTGGCTCTTAAAGTTGCTGAGTTAGATTTAGACAATAAACACTTTATAAAGAGGGTGAGAAAATGTATATGGATTACTGAAGGCATTGGTGTCTGAGGTTTAAGAATCCACCAGAAACTGTATGACTGTCAATGAGGCAGGTTTCTCACAAATCTTAATTTGAGAGTTGGTATAAATGATTGTAGGGGATGCACGTCCAGTTCCAATAAGAATTTTACTTCGTGGCTGGGAACACACAAAATGGATCAAGTTCTTAAAAAACAGCATTCACAAGAGCATGATGCTGTTCCCAAATGATCTACAATTAAAAGTCTTCCCTGAAAAGTCAGTAGAGAACCCATTAAAACATAACTTCATACTGTACCACTGAGACTTCCCTCCTGTTCACACTTTTGACCTGCTGCTGTTTACTTTTACCCATGTAACAATCCCTGACCATCAATTACCTGAGGGTAGTAGAGAAGGCTTTGATCTCTTTCTACATACATTTGTTGAAACACTTGCACAGCATCCAGGTCTGCTCAGTTATGGAAGAAAAAGAATGGCTGTACCCCTAAAGGTATGTTCTTTTAGTATTGGTTTGTTCTACTTATTTGGAAGCAAGTCTGCCATTTTAGTTACATGTTCTCATGATTCTTGGATTTTACTGTTACACTAAGTTCCTACATTTTTGTATTCCCACCTAGCTGCCTTTTTCGTTTGCCACTGTCATTTTTGGCCAAGAAAATTGCTCTGAAGAGATTTGTCCTGTCTCTAGTACTGATGGCAGCAGCAGACTGTCTGGAGCAGCCACTGCCATCACCAAACCACTGCAGGGAGGGTGTGGGGAGGAAGCAAACCCCCCTGCAGCCCGCCACCTTGCTGACTGCCAAGATAGGGCTAAGTCATGTCACCCTCTGGCAGGGAAGCAGCACCATCAGACAGAGAGGAGCTCTGAGGTAGAGCTGGGCCCTGGCAGTGCTGTGCTTGTACACAGAGATCTGGTACTGCCCAGGGAAAGTGGAGCTGGAGCCATGCTTCTGGCCTGGGGTGGAAAGTGGGAGCTGCGATGCTTTAGGGACCTGGCCAGTAGTACAGCCACTGTGCCCACCCAGCCAAGGCTGCTGGGATCCTCTGCCTTGGGAGGAGGCTCTGCATGGAGCCACCAGAGGCCATACCCCTGGGGTCAACCCACA
This sequence comes from Homo sapiens, assembly GCF_000001405.40. NCBI lineage: Eukaryota > Metazoa > Chordata > Mammalia > Primates > Hominidae > Homo > Homo sapiens. The sequence continues at coordinate 73,770,223 of NC_000001.11, forward strand.
TCGGGGGTGACCGCCAAGCCTCACACTCCCTATGGCTGGGCCCAGGGATGATCTGCTCTGTCCTGGGTTGCCCCTGAGCACTGGGGTAAAGGGGAAGCTCTTAACAATGTCACCCCTGCCCCAGACACCAGCCCAGGCCCAGCGAGGACCTGGAGACCCCACCCCAGGCTGCAAGGGGGCACTGCTGGGGCTGCATGCTCCACGGAGCTGGCAAGATCTGGGAGCATGTGGCAGCCCCACCCTCCCAGGTGTGGCTACAGCTATCTGACTCAGAGTTGTCATGCCCATTCCAATCTCAGAGCACTGTGGGGCCGAGCTCTGGTGCTGTCACAGCCAAGCCAGGGGTACACACACTTGAGGTAGTGCTGACATGCCAGTCGCCTGCTGCCTCAACACCCTTTGGAATTTAGGTGACAGTGAGTGTGGGTGGACAAGCCAAGGGTGGGCTGAGGGCATCTCGGCACTGGCCTGCAGGTGCCCCTCCGCATGAACAGCCTGGGCACTATGAACAGCAATGGGAGGCAGACAGGATCTTGGGTGGAACGGAGTGGGTCCTGGGTTAGGCCCCACCTTCAAGCCAGGGAGGGCCTGAAGGCTGGGACCTGGGCTGCCAGTCTTGCTGACCTGCGTGGGCACTTGTGGTTCCTTTTCCAGGCCCACCCATGGCTGCCCATGAACCAATTGGTTCACACTTCCTTCCCTCTGAGGCCTATAAAAGCCCTGGGCTCAGCAAGAGAATAGTAGAGGATGGGGAGATGATAGGAGGACCAGCTGCAGAGAGCAGCTACACTCTCTGCTGAGAGCTGCAGACAATGGGATAACCAGCTGCAGAGAGGAGTTGCCCTCTCTCCTGACAGCTGAACAATTGTTAGATTGATCAGCTACAGAGAGGAGCTACCCTCTCTGCTAGGAGCTGAATACCTGTTGGGGCACCCTGGCTATGGAGAGGTGCTGCCCACTGAGGGTTTTCTCTGAGCTGTTCTATTGTTCAATAAAACTCCTCTTTATCTTGCTCACCCTCCACTTGTCTGTCTACCTCATTCTTCCTGGTCGCAGGACAAGAACTTGCTACAAACTGAAAGATGAGGGTAAAAGAGTCACTATAACACAAACAGGGCTGAAACATGCCCCTTGCTCACCATGTTGCAGGTGAAGAGAAGGAGAGAAGAGCTGTGGCCCTTTGGGGATCCTAGACCTGGGAGCTCCCCAAGCCAGGACTGTGACTCCCTCTTTGGAGACCTGTGGTTCCTGGCATCTCCAAGCTTCCAGGCACCACTGCATTCCCCGGTGCCAGCCAGGGAAGCTGCTTGCAGTGCGCCTGGTTCAGCCGCAGCCACAACCTCACAGAGAGCTGGCACTCATGCCAGCACCTGGAGCTGCCTGCCCCATGTCAGCAGCCGGCATGTCTGACTACGCAGTGGCTGGACCCCATGCTCGCTCACACACAACTCTTGCCACTCCATGCCTGGTTCCAGTCACCCTTGGATGCATGGGATCCAGGCTGGTAGCATGAGCTGAGCACGGTCTGCCAGGCCGAATGAGTGGAACAAGCCCAGTGGACAAAGGTATCACCAGCCAAAGATTTCTAGACAGAAAAACAACACCCCAAAGATCCCATAATGGCACCTTGCCATAGGCTTAAGAAAATAGTGGCTCTGCTGAACATCTCTTCTAGTTCTAGCCATGAAGGTGCTATTTATCAGCAGTAAAGGGAATGAATATAGCCTTAAGGAGTGCGTGCATGATCTTTCAACCATCCTAGTCTCCTTGCTCGTTCTCAGCCCTCAGATTCTGGGGTAAAATCATAAATTGATTTTTATAGCAGTTTTCTACTCTTCCCCACCATAATTTACTGTACTTTCCATAAAGAAAGAGACATATATTCTTGACATTATCTTTTAAGGGTGTCCTTAAAAAATATTTCTTGCTCTATTTTATGTAATAGTGAGAAATTAACTTTTACACTTTTTGTAAACATATATTTTGGTCCTTTTATGGGATATGTTCACAGGGGTTTTTAAAAATGTATTCGCATAAATTGATGAACTGATACATTATTGTTACTTTTGTGCTCCCTTGAAATAGCAATGACAGACATGTAGACTCCTGCTGATAACAGACATTATTTTTATTTTTACAAATAATATGTGGAAATGGTTTGATAGATGTAATAAAGCACATCTAAACAAGCTAATGATAATCATTTTAAATTTATTTTTAAAGGATCTATAAACAAAAACATATTTCTTCTAAGCCACTATAACACCAAAAATTTACCCATGATCCTAAAGCAACAAACAAATAAAAAGAAAACACACACATACAAAAAACAAGCCTAAATCCACTTTGGTGAATATCTTTTATTTTCAAAACTTATATAAATATCTAATTTTTAATGGCATGTTATTCTTGTGTTATACACAAATGACTCCAAATATATATAGCACAATAATTAGAATTTAAAAGACAAAACATAATGGCACATATCAAATAATGATGTATATTGCAGTTTCATAGAGATTGACATATTTCATTGGAATAGCATTTATTTTTTCAACAGCTCTTCATTAACTTTTATTCATAAAAAGATAAGCCACATATTGGGAAGAGATATTTGCAGCATGTAAAACTTGATAAAATATTAGTATCCGTTGTACTTAACAACTCTTAAGAAAATGATAAATAATACAGTAAAAGTAGGTAAAATACCTAAATAGAAAATATAAAAGGAAACATTGAAACTTCAAAACAGGCTCTACACCTTTAAGGTAAAGGTTTTAAGGTGACAAAATCAAAAGTTAAGATTGCAATTAGATAGCTTTTATACTTACTAGATTGGTGAAAAAATTTCACAAAATCAAGTATTTGTAAGACTGGAGGAAGGGGAACACTGCTGGCAGACGTATAATTTGTTTAAACAACTTTTGAAAAGAGTTTGGCACAATTTGTTACTATGACATATGCTATAACCAGTGATTACGCTCCTCGGCATATACTCTAGAGAAATTTTTGAATTTTGAATTACTAGGTAATTAGCAGAATGTTTGTAATAGCATTATTCAAAATAGCAAAATCTTAGAATCAACACACATATCTGTCAAAAGGAAATTGGGGCTGGACACGATGCCTCACACCTGTAATCCCAGCGTTTTGGGAGGCCAAGGCAAGTGGATCACTTGAGGTCAGGAGTTCAAGACCACCCTGGCCAACATGGTGAAACTCCATCTCTATTAAAAGTATAAAATTTAGCCAGGCGAGGTGGTGCATGCCTGTAATCCAAGCTACTCGGGAGGCTGAGGCAGGAGACTCACTTGAACCCAGGAGGCGGAGTTTGCAGTGAGCCGAGATCGTGCCACTGCACTCTAGCCTGGGCAACAGAGCAAGACTCAAAAAAAAAAAAAAAAAGGAAATTGAATACAATAAAATAGTCCATAAGAATGAAAAATTAATGAGCTATAGTTTATGAACCAATATAGATGAATTTTGAAGGGTGATAATATTGAGTTAATAAAAAATAAGTCACAAAAGGCTGTTGTTATTATGATAACATTTTAACGAAGTTCAAAGCAATACTGAAAAATATATTGTTTCAGTATTGCTGAAAGAAAAATACATGCAGCCAATATTGAAAAATATATTATCTAGTGAAATTCGATGCATGAGATTAAAATCTATAAGCAAGGATATGATACACTAAAAATTCAGAATAAAGGTTATTTCTGTGAGGAATGAAGATGCATTGAGAAAGGGGTGTACTAGTAACAATATTGTTTTGATCTATTCCTTAAGTAGAACGTTACAACCATATCTATTTGTTTTCATTATTATACTTCAAAACTCATATATAAAGATTTTGTATATATAAGTTTTTGTATAATTACTTATTTTAGAGTTTTGTATGTATGTCATAAATACATAGCTATATGTATATATCAAATATTACATTATTATCATGCATTGTTTTTTAAAAAGAATATGATAGCTTATTTAAATGAATTACTTATGTGTGTTCTGAATATGATAAAAAATTAACTCAGTATTCAAAATTCACAGAACAAATAGTCAACAAATGGTATAGTAAGAACTGATAGGTTTGCACTCATTGAGGAGTTTTCAAGATCGGAAAATTTTTATTTTTTCACGATTATACTCCATGGACAGTCAAGTCATAGAACCTAGTTTGTTTTCATGTGATCTCCCACTCTGGGTCAATTCTCTGGCCACAGGAGTTGTGGGCCGGAGTCAGGGATGTGAGTAAATGTCAAATTACATATTATACAGAGAGGTCTATGAAGTGGTCTCTAATAGCGTAAGTACCCAAAACAACCATAGGGAGAAAGTAGATAAATCTCAAGAGTGGCCATTAGAAATTATTACACTGCAGCTGTTGAGCGAACCACACAGATCTAAATTGCTAGAGCTGCCTTGGATCTGGAACATTTCCACAGCAAAGTCTCCTTCCAATCTGAGAAAATTCTAGCTATATTACTGTTACCTTCTTTATGTGGGGTTTGGCTACCCAGCTAAGATCACTGCCTTCCTAATTTTCACAGTTATTTTATTTTATTTTATTTATATATATATTTATTTATTTAGAGACAGAGTCTCGCTTTGTTGCCCAGGCTGGAGTGCAATGGCATGATCTCAGCTCACTGCAACCTCTGCCTCCCAGGTTCCAGCACTTCTCCTGCCTCAGCCTCCCCAGTAGCCGGAATTACATGCACCCATCACCACGCCCGGCTAATTTTTGTATTTTTAGTAGAGATGAGGTTTCACCATGTTGGCCAGGCTGGTCATGAACTCCTGACCTCAAGTGATCTGCCTGCCTTGGCCACCCAATGTGTTAAGATTACAGACATGAGCCACTACGCCTGGCTTAATTTTCACATTTATGTTTAGAATACTTATGATTTGAGATTGAAATGTTCTAAGAAGTCATCTTGCTGTAACTACATCAATATCTGGTAGAATGCTTCCCAATATATATGGACATATAATCCAGTTTCTTTCTTTAATGTGTGCATATATATGGTCACATATAATTTTTGTGTATTTATACATAATTTTAAATACAATATATTATTTACATTTTCTAAAAATTTAAATTAATATTTTACTTCAAAAGTAAACTTGTATAAGACAAAAAGAAAGCATAAAAGTAGAAAACCAGATGAAAATTAAAAGTATTTTCCAATTTCATTTATAACTCATCCTCCACATGTAACCACATACAGCTGACCCTTGAAACAATATGATATTGAACTGCATCGGTCCATTTATACATGGATTTTTTTTCAACGAATATCTTTTTAAAAATTTTTAGGGATTCACGACAATATGAACGATGTATCCCAGAAATATCAAAAAAGTATGTCATGAAATACACGTATATATACATAAAATACATGAATAATACATAAAATACATGTATATATTAGTCTATTTTATCATTTATTGCCCTAAAATACACACAAATCAATTATCAAAAGCTAAAATTTATCAAAGCCTATGCACACAAATGCTTACAGATTGTACCTTGCACCATTCAAAGTCAAGATAGATGTAAACAAATGTAAAGATGCAGTATTCAATCTTAAGTGTATCACTGTCATAATTTTGTAGCCACCTCCTGTTGCTATTGAGGTGAGTTCATGTGTTGCCAGGATCCCGTGTAATGCTTACTCTGTGTGAGGAGTTTGTCTTTCCAGGAAATTGCATTATCACAGAGAACAGTTATTCCTCCATGTTCCAGCATATTTTTTCTCATGTTTAGTGCAATACCATAAACCTTGGATAACACCATGAAACACATATGAAATGGCACTGGTGATGCTGGAAGTGCTCCCAAGAAGCAGAGAAAGTCATGACATTACAAGAAAAAGCTGAATTGCTTGATATGTACTGTAGATTGAGGTCTGCTGCTATGGTTCCCTGCCATTTCAGACAGATGGTCCATCCTGTAAACAGATGATGGAAATTTACAGTATTGATAAATACAATACAGTAGTGTAAAGGCATTTCCTCTTTCTTATGATTTTCTCAACTTTTTTTCCAACTTAGTGTATTTTAAGAATATTGCATATAATGCATATCATTTACAAAATATGTGTTAATAGATTATGTTATCAGTAACTTTTCTGGTTAACAGTAGGCTACTAGTAGTTAAGTTTGGGGGAAGTCAAAAGTTAGATGTGGATTTTTTTGATGCCACAGGGTCAGTACTCCTACCCTTATGTTGTTTAAGGGTCAACTGTAAATACATGTGTATGCACTGTAAATATATATGTATGCATATAGCAGGCTTGTCTGTAATAGCAAAATCTGGAACTGAACAAATTGAGATGGAAAGGTCTCTCAACAAATAAATGCAAAAAGGTATTGAACATTATATAAAGCATTGTATCATTTGTCCAAGAAAGAGATAAGCACAGGTGCATATATTACGAGAAGACTATTTTTGGAAGGACACGTAAAAATTTTATATTCTTATATAGCCACACATATATATACGTACATACATATATACATATACATTTATATGTATACATGCATATATGTATATCTACATATATATGTATATATACTTATATACATTTTTGAAAGAATAGATTGAAAAGAATTAGATAAGAACTTTCACTCTGTATAAACATATACATATATACAAACATATACATATAAACACTGTATAAATACACATAAATGTATATATGTGTGTTTATATAAGATTATAAAATTTAGTAAGTACACAATAAATACTATTATTATTATTATTTGGAGTTAAAATTTAAAAAATAAAAGAAGCTATGCTACTCCTCTGTACAGGAAAACCCCAAATGTTCTGTTTCATGTATAACAGAACATGGAAGATTTACACTTAATGAAAATTATTTTACTATTAGAGTTTCAGTACTCTATTTCACAAATAATCTAGCTATAGAAACCAAGTCTAAATATTAAATACTGGTAATCCAATCTCTCTTCCACATGTTTGCCAGTCTTGAATGATTCTGAAACCATAATATTCCTGATAGGCTTGCTATGTTTCCTCCTGTTTAAATGGAAATTCCAAATTCAAAATCACTGTGCATGTAACCCTGGAACAGAAACAGGACATTAGTGAAAGAATTGATGAAATCTGAATAAAAGTTGAAGCTTAGTTCGAGACCAGCCTGACCAACATGGTGAAACCCCATCTCTACTAAAAATACAAAGAAATTAGCCGGATGTGGTGGTACACGCCTGTAATCCCAGCTACTCGGGAGGCTGAGGCAGGAGAATCACCTGAACCAGGGAGGTGGAGGTTGCAGTGAGCCGAGATTGCACCCACTGCACTCCAGCCTGGCGACACAGCGAGACTCCATCTCAAAAAAAAAAAAAAAAAAAAAAAAAAAAAAAAAAAAAAAAAAAAAAAAAGTTGAAGCTTAGTTTATATTTATATATCAATGTTGGGCTCTTAGTTTTGACAAATATAGCACAATAATACAAACTGAAATTTGGTTTGAGTATACAGAAATTATCTGTACAACATTTGCAGCTTTTATGTGAATTAAAATTAATACAAAATTAAAAGATTTTATATACATTATTTCATGCATAAACCTATTTTAATTTAAGTGGTTCAGTGAAAATTACTAGATTGAACCTAACATAGACTCTATCAATCTAATATTGAAAGTATTCTGCTATATTTTTTCAGTCCTCTTATTTACTCAGTTAGAAAACGAATTAGAAATACATATATAGTCAGCAAATATTTATCAGATATCTACTCTGTACCACTAGCTGGAGGATACATTAATGAATTAGGTATAGTTTATTTTCTAGAAAGAGCTACAAATATGTATATAAATAATAATGATTCAATAGAAAGAGTTGTTTCCTACAGGAAGGGTTTAAAGTGTTACTAGAATTTATAGAAGAGAAAATATCTTCTCTTTGCAACTATTGGATCAAGGAAAGTTTTAAGTAAGAGTTGTCATTTGAATTGGACCTTGAGTGATCACTTGTTTTTGGATAAGTATTGATTAGAAAATGTACATAAAGAAAGACTACAGTATACAAAGTCAGTAGAGTATATGGAGTTTAGGGGACATACAGAATTATAGTGGAAAATAAAGACAGAGACAGAAAGGTAAGTTTCCAGTATTTTGTAGAACACATTAATGACCAGGTTGTAATGTACTTGATTTTTCAGGGTTTTGACAAAAAAGTAATGTCAAGACTGTAATTTCAAAATACCGCATTCTTCTAAAGATACTGTCTTGTTTCCATATGGAATTAGAGAATGTTCTGACAACTTTTTCACTTAGTAGGATGAATTAGAACCCCTCAGGAGACAGATCCTGGGGAACAGAGCAAGCCAGCAGCTGGGAAAGTTTAGTGTGAACGCAGATAGTTCATCAAAAGGAAAATGTTGACATATGCCAAGTGGTTACGTGGGAAATCAGTTATTTCCAAGGACAGAAAGTAACAGATTTCTCTACAGGACAACAGAGTGTGAGGATATGGAAGCCAGGATGGAAAAATTGTGTAGCAAAACATATGGTCAACATAAGGGAAACAGATATCAGAGTCCAAGCTATTGTGCGCACATTTAAGACAGAAATCCAAATTTGCAAAGAAATGGAATTAATCAGACCAGTACTTAACCCTTGTCTAGAAAGGATAAAGCAGAAAGTTGATTATAACTAGATTCCTGTTTAAATCCATGGAAAACCCCACTATTTCCTATCAATATTAAAGAAGACTCTAATCTGGCCTTTGACAATGATAGAAATTCATGAGTTGACAGGAGACACTTACACTATTGAAAGGGCACTTGGAAGAAAGAGAAATGGAAGGACAAGGAAAGAGGTTCAGTAGGAATTTGTACTTCGTACTCTGAGTACCAAGGAGAAGAACCAGAGCATTGGACTGAGAACTGTTGGATTGTACAAAAATTAAAACCAAGGCTCCAAGAATAGCCAATAATAGACATTTTAATCTCAGTTAAACTAAATCACACAAAAATACTTGTATGCATGAGGAAGCATACTGGTTAAAAGAGAATTAGAAGCCCTGCCTTCTCTACATCTATCTGCCTTCCAAACTTGGACAAGTTTAAACATTTCCCTCGGCATGTGCCACCTAGATTAAATGCACCTTCTTTCTGTAAGAACTGATGGTTCAAGCGGAAAGGCCATCATAACTCTCTGAAATTTGACCAGTCTAGTTCTGAGTCATATTAAATCTCATGACCCATGTGGGTAGCCACAGTTGCAGGAATCACTGCCTCTGGAACAGTAATCAATACAGAGATTGGGTATTGAGGATATCACAGGTACACTTACAAAAACCAGGTTATGCATCTGACAATGAGTCCGTAGAACAAGGCAGAACAAAGGTTTTCCAAATTGAAGAGTAGTTTTTCACTTTTTCAGACTGTTGTTCAAGTCTAATATGACAGAAAAATGTATTGAGAGATTAACATATAAAACAAAATATGTAATAGTTTCTTCAGCATGACTGACTATATATCAGTAATATACAGAAGCAAAATAATATATACCTTACATCATGTATGTGAATACCAGCATTTTAAAATTTAAATTATCTATCAGAGGGATATATTTATGTTTGAACATAATGCTGTTCTCTAAAACTAAAGTCATGTAAATAACAAAAGGAAATACTTGGAGGTTGATAAGAGAAGCTACATTTTAAATGCATATATTATAAAAATGTAAAATACATCTTAGTTTTCCTAGCAGAATATGATTTAATTGCCTCTTTAAAAATCAACTGTTGTCTTCCTATAAATTGAATGTTCTCTCATAACATTTTAATACACTTAACTCTTCTGCCTCTTTCAGCATTCTACATCCATTTCTAGGTCAGGTGTTTACCATTTTCAAAGCATTTATTCTGTCATCATTAATATGGAATTAATACAGGTCTTAGCTATTTATTCTCAACAATTTTCAAACCAATCATTTAGAGTGAAATACAGCTTAAAATTTATGGACAAAATAGTTGATAAATTATGAAGAATGACAAGAAGAGTTGAGATGATTAACATTTCTGCGTTACTTTTCCAGAAATAGACAAAATAAAATAAGTTATTTTGATGAAGATGTAAATAACATGAATCACTTTGGTGGAATATAAAAAAAGTGAATGTTTTTTCTTAGAACAGCTAAAAATCTAGTTGTTATTTTTCTAAATGAGCTATAAGAAAAAGTTGGTATTTTTAATTTAATGCAGCAGTGGAGTCTTTACCTGCTGTATGCACTTTTCTAAGCTCTATTCTTGTGAAAGCCTATTAGAGATCCTGGAAATCTGTGAGGACCTGTTAGTGTTATTTTGTCAGGAAAAGATCTTTCTGAACAGTAGCCAGAGAAAAAGCTCTTTGATTTAGAGAAAATAAATGGATTCTTTCATTATAATGCCATTCTAAGTTAACACAGTGTACAATTTAAAAGTAAAACGTTTAGGAGGTTTAAAAAAAGTAGTAATGCATTAGTTTTTGTTTGTTTTATACACTAAGAGATACATGGACTTTAGGTACTGGTATTGCAAATGAAAGTCAAATCAAGTGAAAAGCCACTCAAAAGCATAATCAATATGGGGTAAAGATTCTAAAGACTGTGAACTAGGAGACTCACATAGAACTAGGATTAGGTTTTAGTAGATTTAGTCCAGGTTTAGTTCAAAAAGCTCTTTAATTGCACATTCAATTAAAACAGCTACATGTGAGTAATGACTATCATATTAGACAATGTAGTGTTAGATCATCCATTATATCTATAGTTTTCTTTAGAAAAAAACCATTTTTATTGCTGAATCTTACCATCACCAATAATGCTATGCACCCAGTTTGACCATCATCTCTTTTTATCCAGGTCATTTCTTTCAGTGCCATGATCCAAACTATCCTTTATCCCTTTGAATTTATTAATCCTAACACCTTTTCACAGAATCCATCTTACATTCCATAACGTAGTGGTTAATTTTATGTGTCAATTTTACTAGTTCATGGGGTGCTCAGTTTCTACGAGAGTGATTTTGAATGAAATTAACATTTAAATTTGTCGACTGATTGAAGCAGATTGTCCTCTTTCATGTGGGTAACTCTCATCCTATCAGTTCAATCCATGGGTAGAGAGAATCCTTCCTGCCTGACAACCTTTGGACTGAGACATCAGCATTTTTCCTTCCTTTAGACTCAAACTGAAACATTGGCTTTCCTTTGTCTCCAACTTGCTGACTCATTCTGCAGATCTTTGGACTTGCTGGCCTCCATAATCATATGAGTCAATTCCTTATAGTAAGTCCCAATCTCTCCCTCTCTCTGTCTCTCTCTGTACATTTGAGTATCAATCTATCTATCTTATTCATTTTGTTACTCTGAAAAGCCTTGAAATAGTCAATTATTATAATTAGGCTAAAGTCTCTTGCTTCTCTCTTCATTATACTCTGAATGCTCTGTCTCTCTGCCTTCTCAGAACCTCTTCTTTGAAGATGAATGTAGAAGAAAAAAGGATACAAAAACAATAATCAGTGTCATGTTGGGTAGCAATCACCAACATCAGTGCTGTAAGAAAAACATTCTATACATTTCTAATTCATTTACTCTAGAACTCTTCTAAGTGAATATTTACAATCTTTTTTCTTTCCTCACATTTTAACATTTTTCTCCCATCCCAACTCTCAGGTAAGACTTTTGGAAGCAATTTCACTAATAAATTTATCTGAAGAACTTCTTCAGGTGCCCATTATCACATCACCTACCTACCAGAATTCTTACCCATATATGCTGCCTCTTCACCTGAGCTCACACATAGGGCCAGACTCCGAAAATAGCCAGTCCATTCTTTGTTTTTTGCATCACATCCCCTCAGCTATTACTTCCCTTAACTTCTCTTTTTTCTGAGTGAGAATGAAGATAAAGAGAACTTTTTAAAGAGATAAAGGCAGAGGCCACTTATCCTTAAAGAGAAAAAAATTCCCCAAGACTTAAAAGAGCATATGTTTTTTGAGGGTTAGGTTTCCTAAATAAGGTGTACTATCATCATTTTTTATAGAACTTTGGAGAGTTAACTTCAGATCAAAATTTCTGTGGAGTGGTAGTATCAGGGCTTTAAAGTTACTCAAGAATATCCATGCTCAAAACTGACATGAACGTTTTAAAGTTTTCTCTGTAAAATACATTGCAATCTTAGAAAATAAGTATCTCAGTAGTAACTATGAGAAACAGAAAAGTAATTATTCTTCTCTGACTTTTCTCATCACTTTAGTAGTCTTCTGATCCTTATATAATTCTAAGTAGGAGAGATCACTTCAAGATCAACTTTGAAGTTCTTCCCATATTGATAAATATAATTTCATAGTCACATTTTATTTGATTTAGAAATAATAAGCCAATGTGACAGTTCTGAACTCAGATGTAGTGACTGAAAATTCATACTTGGTACATATATGAAAAAATTTCCAAGATTATTAAAAATTTGTATGCATCAGATAATGACACCTCAGAGAGAATACAAACTCTAGAATTGGAGCTGACTTTAAAAACAGCCATGATCTGGGATAAATCTAGTGCATAAAAGTAACTGTGAACTCTCAAAAGTTACTGGTGACTTTGTAAATATGTGTAGACTGTTAGGAGTCTGAGTTTGCAAAATTATGTCAAAATGCTTTAAAACCCTTGAGAAGATACAGGGTGACAAGGCAAAAGGACTTTCAAAAAGAAGAAGGGTGTGAATTGTTTCCTTGCTAGAATTTTTTGACAAGATTAATATCTGCACAATTCCCTATAAAGCAAGGAGATTAAAAGTGATCTTTCACCTTCATGTTTCAGACTATGGATCTAAACATCCTGAATCATCCTTAGAGGCACGAAATACTTAGTTGTGACTCATTCTAGTTTAAAGAATGCCCTTGTTTCCCTAATGCTGTACTTATCACCATATTTTGGATAGGTGGTAAAAAAAAATTGTTTTGCCTATTTAAGAAAAGTACTCCCAAATAAGGATGCGTTTTAGGAATAAAATGGCTCCCAAAGAAGAAGAGTACATTGACTATTAAGTAAGATGCAATCTCAGTGCTGTAGCAATGGTGATTCTCTAGGCTAGGATACAGTCACAATTGATAGAATTTCGTGTTTTCCCATATTTTGTAGCCGTTTACATTCACTGACTTAACAATACGTCATTGACAAAACAGCTGAGAATATTGGAATATGTTCCTGGAATTTCAAGTAAATCATACTTTATATCAAATATTTGACTCACTGGGTGTTGCTCTGGAGAAAGTCAGACTCAGGAAGTTTGCCTTAACTACATTACGGTCAGTATGTAGGCAGGGCAAGTTAAGTGGCGTGCTCTGCTCCAAGCTCAGACAGCAGACAGCACTAACATCCTGCTCCTGACTTCTTCCAGCCACCAAAGCTGTTTACACATACACAAAGCAGAGGAGAGGAAGAAGTAATTGATTTCCTCCATAACGAGGGCAATCACACACACAGATAGGTCAATTTCAGTGGTACAAGACCAAGCCTTGCCACCTGAGGTGTTATTATAACAGTTCAAAGTCTCGACTACTTGTCAAGCTCTTGAAAGGCCAGAAGAGAGTACCTTTCTACATACCTCCTGAAACTTTGCTGCTGAAAGAGTCGCCCATTATCCAACAGCATTAGCATTGCTGGAAGATTGCTAGAAATGCAGCAAATATCTAAGATTACCCAAAATGTATTGAATCAGAATTTGAATTCTAACAAAATCCCTAGTTTAGTCATATGTACATTAAGGTCTGAGAATCAATGCCCTAAATTCTGCCTTCCAGAGTGAGAGAACCTGCATATCATCCTAAATATTACTGTCCTTCAAGCACTTATGGTTATTATTGCCTACAGCTCCCAGGACTTGGAGTAAGAGAATAGACTATGTGCTAAGACTGCCTGAATACAAACACAGAATATTAGCATTTGCCAGGGAAGCACTACCATATGTTATGGAAATAGACAACTCAGAAATCTCACAATACGATAGAAGGTTTTGGTTTTAGATTTTTGTTTTCCCTCACACATGTTATAACTCAATATAAGTCAGGTGATCTTCTGCATGTTATAGCTTTACCATCTGGAACAAGTGGCCTCCAACGTCACCATGGCAGGAAAAAAAAGAAAAATTAAAGGGGCTCACTAGCTCTTCATTGCCTTAGCCTATAAGGGACAGATATTATACCTGTTTGTGAACCACCAGACAGAACTAGTTAAATAGTGAAAAGCATAAATATTTAGTGAGCTCTGCTTCAATCTTCCTAAATGCTTTTATAATTATATTTTATTTGGTTCAAGTTTTCATATTTCTCCTATAGCAGCTCAAATTCATCAGGGGTCACCTGTTTTGGGGTTCTTGTGCATTTTTTCCTCTCACTGGCTATTAGATCCCTATTTGATGGCCTGTTATTTTCATTTATCTGCTTATTGGGGCTCAGGTCCAGCTTCCCGGACAGCTTACGTATGGGGCTGCCAATGACTTATGCAAGTGCCCATGTCTTTGCTCTTGTGAACCAGCAGGTATTAGCCATCAAAGAGGTCAGTCTCTGGTCGTCACCTAGCAGAAAGCCCTCAGTTCCTCCCAGCCCCAGTGCTTCAGAAGAAGATTAAACTCAGCCCATCTTTTAAGTTTCTCTTTAGTTCTTTATGAACCATAGAGACTATAAACACACATTAATGTCAACCACCTCAGATAATTTGAGATCTCTCTGGCTGGTTTATCTTTATAATCTTCTATGTTCCAATGCTTACTCCCAGGGCTCTTAAGTGCTGTCCCCAGGCTCTTCTCCCCTGGAGCAACAAATGACTGAATGAGCTCTTTCTATCAGGAAAAGACAGAGACTGGTCTCATTTGCATTACCTCTTCTCGGGCAGCTGCTCAGCAACCTAAAGATATCCAGGAATACAGTACATCTAGGAAGCATCCAAACTATTATTTATCAGGATTTCTCTCCATCCTTTACAGAAAACTCGGCTTAATGCATTTCATTTCCTTTGTACTATATTAATTAAGCTGTAAAATGTAGAACAGGGAACAGAACCAAGGTTAGCTGACTACAGCTTCTAAGGTACCTGTATCTGACAGGTTCTACTGAGTCACATCAGCTTCAGTGTCAAGAGCAGGACAGAGGAGAAAGACAGATGTTGGAATCACAAAAGCAAGTTGATCACATCTCTATATACGATTGCCATAGGATCTGAGATGGGGGAGGAGTACTTAAGAAGGGTGAATGAGCCAGGAGCAGTGGTTCATGCCTGTAATCCCAGCACTTTGGGAGGCCAAGGCAGGAGGATCACTTGAGGTCAGGAGTGCAAGACCAGCCTGGCCAACCTGGTGAAACCCAGTCTCTAATAAAAATACAAAAATTAGCTGGGTGTAGTGGTGCACGCCTGTAGTCCCAGCTACTTGGGAGGCTGAGGCAGGAGAATCCCTTGCACCCGGGAGGCAGAGGTTGCAGTGAGCCGAGATCATGCCATTGCACTCCTGCCTGGGTTACAGAGTGAGACTCTGTCTCAAAAAAAAAAAAAGAAAAAAATGGTGAATGAGGTCTCACTACATGGATAACCAGAGAATGGCTGTGGTTGCCTTTTGCTCGAACCTGTTTCATATCCCCAACTTCATGTGGAGGGGTCAAATAGATAGGTGTCAGATTTCCCTCTATTGCATTGATGGAAGGGCTAAATGAAAGAGTCAAGTGGGATGGGTCAAGAAACCCAGATGCCTTGATCCAACTGGAAGCCGGACTGGGTATCCTGCCATACATAACCTCAACCTCTACCTCCACCCAGGCCATGGCTATCCTAAACTTTCCAGCTAACCAGAACAGCAAAGTTTCAGTCAAGTATCAAGAAGACTGTAAGAAAAATCTTGGTATGGTAAATACATCAATCAGTCCAGAAAGACTGGCCAGACTAACAACCTTTACAGATAGACTAAGCAAATCTAATCAGACTATGGGACCGGGCACATAGCTTGGACCTTCTCAGATGTATTGAAGACTCTAAGAGACCAGCCATTCTGCTTACAAGGATGGTCTAGATACTCGGGGTGCTCCGGAACACTGTCTCAACAAACCTTAACACACACAATTAAGGCAGTTTAGAGTCACTGATCACCTCAAAGCCTCTGACCGTCTAAAATCAGTGAGCTAAGGCAGACAGAAAACGCAGTATACCACCATATTTGACCTTTCCCCGACCCTCCCCTTGGCACCCAGGAAAACATCTGCCCTCAGTACCTTGGCTGCCTTGGGTTACACATAAAGGGCAGAGAAGGCTGAGACTACTCAGTGATTCTAGTTCAAGGCTGAAATTTTGCTACATTTCAGTTTGGTGTGGTTTTCTCATACACACATCAAGCTAAAAACACAAAACATCTGTGAGAACTACACTACATCTTGACAGGGACATGTGGCAAGAAGGTAGTAACTATTTTTGAGATTTCCTTCCCTACTTAAGGTTGTGCACACCTCTGATCCTGCCATGGAAGCAAATGTTGAACCAGATTATCTAAAACATCCTCTAACCTGCCTTTATCTTTGGCAAATATACATTTCTCTTTCAAGAATGCTGTCATTATATCGATTTGATGTCGTATTTGAAGTTTTTAAGACTATAAAAAATTGAACGAAATGTGCTAATATATTAGTGACAACTATTAAAAATGCTCAATGTACAGATTTTATACTGTATAAAGATTATTCAAGTTACATTTTGAAGGGTGAAAGAGAGAGAGAGAATTGGAAAGAGACTCCTGGTATAGAAAGTAGCTTAAATAAACAAAACCAAAACCAAAAGCCTTTCCAAGGGACAAATGCCTTTGTAGAAAGCAGTGAGGTCAGTAGTTGAGTATTTCATTAATTCGTTTGAGAAGAAATAGAAAATGGGTTGAATGAGGCAAGATAGTGCAAGGCTAAGGGCTTGATGAATGCCAGATCGAGGGGTTGAACAGTTGTGTTGAGCTCTTAATTGGGGTTAAACAGATAATTTTCATTTGATTATATATCTAGTAGACAGTGGAAAGTTATGTGAGGATATTCACAAGGAAGGATATGAGAAGAATAAAACCAAAAAAGTAGAAGTGAGTCCATTTTTGTCAGTGTTTAATTGCAGAGGATATTAAAGAAATGAGAGAATAGAATCCTAAACATGGAAAAATATAATGAACTCTTAATAGTCATTTCACATAAAAATATATTCCTAGAGTAATATTTCTCTAAAACTATTATAAACAGGCAACTAAATAAATCATTTTATGTTTAACAAACAAGTATCTTTCAAAATACGATTGCATTTTTAACTTGGCAAAGCAGTTTTGCAGCTGTCAATGAATAACATAGAAAAATCTTACCAACAAAAGAGCCATTACATGGAAAAGAGAAATTCCAGAGGAATAATGAAAGGCTTACTTAAGGAAAAAATATGATTTTCAGTAAATTTAAATACATACTTAGATTTTTCACCTGCATTTTTGTCTACATAAATGAAATGACTGATTTGAAGATTTCCATAAAGAGTTTAGATAAATGCTTACTATCAGATAAATAAATAAATATTAAAATCCTATGCTGCTGTTCTCAATGATCAAAGTTAGCCAAGAAAGAAAATGGACAATATTTCCAAATGATCTAAAATTTATGGAAAATTACATTTTCCAAGGTTGTGCTCACATCTGATCATTAGAGTCATTTAATTATAAGGTTTTTGGGAAGAGCAACGGTAATTTTTTTCCCTAATCCATCAAAGACTCCATAGCATAGTCGTTAATATTACAGACTCTACAGGCCAGATTGCCTGGGATCACATTCTGATTCTGCCACTTACTAGCTATATGATTTACTTCTCTGTGCCTCAGTTCCTCATCTATAAAGTGGTAATGCTGATCATAGTACCCATTGTCCTAGGGCTGTGTGAAGCAGGTTCACTGTGCACTGGTTACTGACCTGTCTGAATCTGGTGAGGCAGTATACCTGTACACACAACATTACATGAAGTGGTTTTATTGCCTACTGATAGGTAGCAAGGGACAAAAGAAGACTGGCTGTGTCAAAATACCATCCCGCCAAGGTTTTGTTAGTTGTGGTTGTGACATTGTGCCACCTTAGACCAGCTAAATTAAAACAGGGTCCCTCTGGCTCCCTCCCATGTGGCAAGTATCAGGTCTTCACTTGATAATCCAGGGCTCAGCTTCTATAGACGCGCACTGTAGTATTGGGAATGCTGGTGTAGTTCACCACTGGCAGGATGTAAAGGTGTCTGTGATCTGGGACAGAATGACGTCCAGGACAGCAGATTCAGCATTTCTTCAGGTTACCTGCAGTGGCTGCAGCTTACACAGCCAAATCAAGGCATTTTTCTTCCAGGTCTCTGCTGTCACATCCTTGTGAAAAAAGCAGACTGACAGTTAGTACCTCAACCCACTTCCCTCCTGGGGTCCCAGATGTTCCCCATCTATCACATGGGGATTGGGCTGAGTTGGTGTAGTGACCCAGTCCTGTTTCAGTCTCAAGACTACCGCCTGTATAAGGCATCCATTGCCTTACGTTGTTTGACCAATAACTTTCAACCTTCAGGTTAAGAAGAGGTCATGTCCCATACTCGTTCACCCAAATGGAAGGATTACATGCCCCAGAAGCTACTAGAGGGACCTTAGCACCTTGGTATTCCTTGGTTCTGTTCCTCACCACTGTGGGAGCTCATAAAAGGGAGGCACCTGGGGGAAGAAGTGCCTCCAGATTAGAGTCAGGGGTCCTTGTCTGGGGTACTACGACAATCTGAAATGCAAACCACCCCCAGGATGTGCACTGTAATGGGAAAAGGGGAAAAATGTTGGGAACACTGAAATTGATATTCTGCAGGCACAGCTTAATCAGGAGGCTGCCTGGTTGACCTCCACTCCCACCATGCTCAGTGTTTTCTAACATGCACTGTGTGCCATTTTTCCCTTGCATTGAGTCCAGTTTTTAGTGTACATACTACCTTGTTAGATGGGGGCACCACCCTTCTAACATTGGCTAGAATATTCATGTACAGTCTCAGTCAAAACAAGGCCATCCACTGGCTGGACGGTGGCCATACCCCTGTGGACCCTGTCTGCTTATTTCACAGAGCCATCAGTAAACCATGCTATGCTGTTGGCATGCATATCTCTGAATCTTGGGTTGCAAGTACCTATGAAAGGAACTGGAGGATCCCTTATGGGTCATTTGGTCCCTTCTGATAAGCTAGCCATTTGCTTATGGAATCTACTAGTAACTTGGAGTCCTGGCTGGGCCTGATATCAAATGTACGATTTCCATTTGATAATTGAGCTCTGTGGAGCCTGTCTAACATTACTGGTTCAGTTTGTGAGGCCCAAGAGAGAGAATGAGCAGTTCAGGTCACAGCATCCCATGTGGCACTCCACCTGTAAGATGCTCAGTCTCCACCTGTGCCCAATAGCAAACAAGGAGTTGCTATTCGAAAGGGGATATATCTGCCTCAGACAACTTATAAGTCCCAAATTTGAGAGACTGGTATGCCCTGGTAGCAGTTTTCTGTTGTCA
This sequence comes from Homo sapiens, assembly GCF_000001405.40. NCBI lineage: Eukaryota > Metazoa > Chordata > Mammalia > Primates > Hominidae > Homo > Homo sapiens. Next base: position 73,789,804 of record NC_000001.11, read on the forward strand.
CAGACTTCAATCTGCATGCATAAACATTGCACACACCAGTAATTCCATCAAGGTAGCAGACTCAAGGTTTTCAAGGTGGTGCCTGGGTCTTGACTTGTTGAATGGCTTCCAAGATCTGCTGCTGCAAAGGGCCTCATTTAAACTTGGCAGCTTTGCTGGTCAACTTGTCTAAGGGGGGCCAAAAGAATATGCAGGTGAGTTACATGATGCCTCCAGTACAAAAGACACCTACTGGCTGTTGGGCCTCCTTTTCCTGAGTGGATACTGCCAAGGTCAAAATTATCACTTGACTATATCTGGGATACTTCTTTTGTTGCTCACCCAAGTAGCTTTGGCATTCAGCCTGCAATAGTTCATTGTTAGTCTCCATTCCTCTGAATACCTTTTTGATGAGCCAAACTGAGGTATTACACTGTGACAAGGTGGGTTGTAACATTTTTACCTGTAGCAAGTTTTGAATTAACCAAGTAGTATCCTCTCCTCCACTTAGTAAGCATCACAGCTTTTATTGAATAGCTAAGGCTCAAATTCTTAGCTGTGAGGGAACACATCCCCTAGGGTGGTGGTGATGTTCTGTGTCACAAGCAGCCGAAATAACAATGCTTAAAGTAATTCAGCAGTGGGAACCATGGTCATTGGCACCCAAAATGGCCCACAGAGTCCCACCCACAAACAGATAAGCATCATAAGCAAGTAAGCACAATGAATCATCACATTTGTCTCAAAAACCTCCTGATGTCATCAGTTTAATTTTTCTCCTAAGAAGCCCTAGAAACATTGTCATGTGGGCTCAAGTATCCAAAAACCCCAGAAAAGTCCTTTCTTTCTTTTTTCATCTTCACAGGAGTATAGGGTCACTGGCCTCTGATGGGGATCTGGAGACTTTGGCCCCATTCTTAAATGCACCGTTTGGTCTGAGACACTTGGTTCTGCAATGTCACTTTATCAGACAAACACATCAGCTAGACTACAGAAGGTTTCCCTGGCTTTTCTTTTTATCTGTTTTTCAGTGCTCCCTTTCTTTTTTAAAGACCTCTAAACCAAGTGTTAATTTCTGCTCAGATGCCTCAGAATCTACCTGAGCACTCATTTCTAGAGCTCCCCAGCCCTGGAAATGAACAATCACTTACATGCCCCCATAAAACAGGAGATGGTGCACTGCTCTCCTGTTTCCACAATTCTTTTTGTGCCTCGATCTATGCAGCCAGCTCATTCACATCTGTTGGGGGGAAGGGTGACTTATCTTATATTCCCCTTACTACCCATTCTTCACCTTAAAACATCTGATTGCATGTCCAACCCCTGCACCCCCAGGCTGATGTTTCTGTCCTAGGCTGGGTCCTGGGAGGTATCACTCTTCCTGGTTTGCCAATAACCCATGGTTCTGTCAGACTGGACCCTGCTTGCTAAGCCAATTTTGTAAAGCAGGTTCACTGTGCACTGGTTACCAGCATGTCTATGTTTGGTAAGACAGAACACCTGCACACACAACAAGTTACATGAAGCAGGCTTATTACTTGTAGATAGGCATCAAGGGAAAACAGAAGCCTAGAATTTTTCAATGTGAGATATGTCCCCCAAGCTCAAGTAAGCTGCTGGGGCAGATGAAGTCTCATCTGTGTGTGCCTCACTTGCACCACAGCTCAGGAACCCTGGAAAGCAGGCATGCCTGGGATTTATATTCCCTGGGGTCACTGACATGTTGGACAGAAATGCTGATGGACATCTGTTTTTAGGGGAGGATTAGAACTGATCCAGTCTGTTCCTGTCAGTCCCTCCTCACCTCAGGTTGTTGCATTCCCAGCACAATATACTATACAGCACGATCTACAGCTGTTCTTGAGAACTACAAGTGAGAAAAGGGAGCAGGCTAATCAGAAAACTGTCCTGCAGGTTGTTAGAAAGAGCAAATGTAAAAATACTTAGCAGAATGCTTGGCAGTGCTAGGCCTTACTACAAATGACAGAACTGTACATGGCCCCACTCTGGAGAGAATATTGATAATCATTAAGGTAACAATAACAACTGAGGAAATGAGAATTCAAATGTGGAGGAGACAATGAAAAAAGTGAAAGAGAAAATGCAGAAAGGAGAAAAGACAGAAGTTGAAATTTAGGTTAAAGTAGCTAAAATATACAGAGAAAAAAAAATAATGTTCCTTTGAGGATGTAAAAAAAATGATGGCAATATCAATGACATATTACACTCATCCTGTTCTCCAGTGTTCTCCATTAGAATTTACATAAACAGATTCTGACTACCTAGCATTTTAGACACAATGCTCTAATTAAGCCAAAATTCAATATTATTAGACTAAATGCATAACATAATTTATTGTGTAACTAACCACTAACACTCAAAATATAAGATAAATTATTCTTTTCCCCAGCCGTCGAGTGGACAATTTAATGGTTATTACTAGGCATAGGATTTGCCAACAATCAATATAAAGAAAAGCTATTGTTTCTGAGCTATATCACACGTTTTGAGAGATGGCTCATTTATTTCTTCTTTCATTCTATATAATATATTGGTTAGAAATCAATCCACACCATCAAAGTCCATGGGAGAAAAGCTGGAACATAAGGTTACATAGCCAGAGGTCTTCAGTGACAGCTAAGGCATCCAAAGAACAATCATGCAGTAAAATAAATATTCCACTGGAAGCTGGAAGCAGAAATTAGGAAGGGTTTGACTATCATTTTTTAGTTCTATAGTGTGATAAAGGTGTTCTAGATATTTGTGCTTTCACTAGTACCCAGATTTATCAATGATAGCAAAGAATGACTGGAAGCTTAAGCCCAAGATCTCCTAACGATTTTGACAAATTTCAGACACTACTTGATAATTCAAGGTAATTTCATATTAAATCCTAAATGTGTTTTCAGTGTGTTAGGCAAAGTATAGTCTGTTTTTACTTAGTCTGTATAGTTTCCAGTACCCACAGGAAGAAACAGCATTCAAGCATCTATCCTTCTAATTATTAGCACAGATCTTTTCTTAATGTTGACATTATCACCTCCTGCCTTGTAAAAGACTGAAAACATCTAAATATACAGGCAAAATGTTAAATATTGCAAAAATAACATTTCATGGTATGGGAATAAGTGATCTTGAACAACTGCTAGAATCATAGGCAAAGCCACTGGTATGTGACGATTAGGCTGATTTAAACCTGTTAACAATTGAAGAAGAGAAAATTAACAAGGTGCTTCAAATGATAATGCTTTGAGTTTTAAAGTCTAAAAAATGGCTCTTGGAAAAATTGATGAAGCTCTAGTATATTTTGTAAAATTGATTCTTTTTGTGATTTTGCTGCATAAGTCAAAACTGTATTTAGAATATAATGTGGTGCTATCATACCACTATTTTATCTAAATGTAAAAATACTATATATATATATATAATGCTTAAGTCAGTCTGTTTTAAAAATTAATAACAAATTAAGATCGTAGCACAGATTTTTTTTCTTTGAGATGGAGTCTTGCTCTGTTGCCTAGGCTGGCATGAAAGGGCACAATTTCGGCTCGCTGCAACCTCCGCCTCCCAGGTTCAAGAGATTCTCCTGCCTCGGCCTCCTGAGTAGCTGGGATTACAGGTGCCCACAACCACGCCCTGCTAATTTTTGTATTTTTAGTAGAGATGGGGTTTCACCATATTGACCAGACTGGTCTCAAACTCCTGACCTCAGGTGATCTGCCCACCTCGGCCTCGCAAAGTGCTGGGATTACAGGCCTGAGCCACTGCGCCTGGCCTGTAGTCCAGAATTTTAAAGCATAAGATAAAATTACTTTTATTATTAATTTTTCAAAATAAAGTCTCACTCAACCCCCACATCTCCCAGCATTTGGTATAAAATTTTGACCTTATTTTAGGAGATTTTCTTATGTCTATTATTTTATGCTAAGTTACCTTGTACGACAAGGACCTCGTGTGTATGTATGTACGTATCTATCATGATATCTATGGTAAGAATTCTAGTTGTAGCCCTGTCTTTATCTCCCTAATAACTTGTTACATGTAATTCTAAATACAAGAGAATGTTTCTGCAAGCTCCTGGAGGAATTCAGAAATTCAACCAATTAGAGATTATCTACTATTCACCTTTCCAGAGAACATCATGAAAATTTAAAATAGGAAAACACAAAGAAAGCCTAAGCATCTCATTTCAGAACAAAAGATGTTCTGTAGTAAAGAAATTTGTATTTCTAAAACATGATTTTTTTGTCTTAAGCCTCCTAATGTTTGAAGCATGCCAAGAAGTAAGTAATGCCATTACATTTATTACCTAATATATCAATGATAAGGTGCATTTTGGAGTTAGTGGGAAAGATATGGCAGATTAACATTAGACCGTTTAAATAATAACTAAGCGTATTCTTAGAAGGTGTTGGATATATATGAGTGCTGAAATTCATATTATTCTTGCTCAAGTGTTAGCCCAAGACTACTGAGGTTTTCTGGGTGAGTATAGCTAAAAGAAAAGTGTTTTAATGATAGTCATTTCCACCCCTTTTTCATGCATGTTTTAGCATTCTGTTTGGAATTGGAGAGTTCTCTTTTGATCTCTGATGTAATAATGAACTCTGACATACATTTTTCTCAGAGATCTGCTTCCTACTGTTATTTTTCAGATTAAGGTTCCTCCTCAGTACATAACCATCTCATTTTTTTTTTCTGAACAGAATCTCCTCATTCAGTGTCCCCTGCTTGCACAGCCTGTGCACAGCCTTGCTCCAGGCATCCATCCTTCCATCTGATACTATTTATCCATTAACAACAAAGATAATATGGCCTCAAAGGTGCTCAAAGTTTTAACAGTTTAAGGTCGCACTGTCAAATTTGCTGCCTCTTTAGGGAACTCTTTGTTGTCTTTTAGGCTTTGCTTCAATACCTTAACAATTTATTAGAACTCTCAATGTGACAGAGTTAATGTACATTTAAGATAATTTGACTAGTACTATGTTAAGTATTTTGAAGGCTACATAGCTATAAGAGGGAAACAAATAGACAATTAACCTCGATGAGTTCAAGGCAAGGTTATTAATAGAAAATAAACTATATCCATTATTTCTGTCCAGTGGAAGAATTAGTTTTCAAAACACATCCAGCAACAATTTGATATACATACTTTTCTTTCTAAAAGTAGCAGTAGGGACAGAACAAACAACAGAACACAGAGAGAGGAACAGGTAGATATACATATGGAAAGAACGCTCTTGTTAGCTACATTTAGGACCTACACAAGTGTAGATAACATATGGATGAACAATTCAATTACGTTCTTATATCAGTTAGAATCTTTGGCAGGCAACTGAAGCCAGAGCTGGCTAAAGGCATTTGAAAGATGAATACAGGATAGAACATACAATTAAAGAAAATAATTTTTTAAAAATCATCTCAAACAGTTTTGGAAAAGCAGCTACAGGAATCTGGAATCAGAAACTGCTGAACAGTCTCTTTAAAAACAGAAGCAATCAGCTGTCACCATGTTTATTCTTTTGGTTCTCAGCTTAGGAATCTAATTCTAAGATGAGAAAATCTAGCTGGCTTAACTTGGATCATTGGCCCTTTGCCTTGAGAAGGGCAGGGCCCTTGATGAATGGTTACTTTGCATCATATCCAATGGGATAGGCTCCTTAAAGCAAAATCACCTCCATGCTATCAATAGGAAGAGGAAGAGATGTCGAAAATGCAAACCAACCAATGTCCACAACATACTTCAGAACAGACTTAGATAGGAACAAAATAAGAAAACTAGGATAATTTAAGATGTCTAAAGTGGAACAGAATTATTCTGTTGGCAAGAAAAATAAAAAGGGGAAAATAATTTTACTAACTGGTGAGAACAAGTTAGAAATTCATTCTGGAGCAATCTGTATTAGCTTCATAATGTCACATGGCAAAGGATCTTCTCCGAGCATTTTAAAAAATATTTCTAGGTCAGGTGCAGTGGCTCACGCCTGTAATCCCAGCAGTTTGGGAGGCCGATGCTGGCAGATCACGAGGTCGGGAGATTGAGACCATCCTGGCTAACACGGTGAAACCCTGTCTCTACTAAAAATACAAAAAAGTAACCGGGTGTGGTGGCGAGCATCTGTAGTCCCAGCTACTCGGAGGGCTAAGGCAGGGGAATGGCCCGAACCCAGGAGGCAGAGGTTGCAGTGAGCTGAGATTGAGCCACTGCACTCCAGCCTGGTGACAGAGCAAGACTCCACCAAAAAAAAAAAAAAAAAAAAATTCTGTATTTGGTATATACCACTACCTAGTACAATCAAAATTCTGATGCCCAACATAGATAAACCAGGTAAACAAGATCACTAATAGCATCTTGCTGTGGCTTGACTTTTTTCTGCCTGGTTGAGCTACCTGTGGTTTGTTCAATTGTGATCATGGCAGAAACTGTGACCTAAAGAAAGATGAGAGAGCTCTCCTATTACTTCACTTGTATTGGCAGAAATAGGGTACGAACTCTTATGTTTTCTGCTTCCAAGTCCAATTGCTCTACTAAAAGAAAAAGGTCTCTTCAAGTACTTAGAAAAAAGTTGTATGACCATAGAATAAACTGCAGTGAAGGAATTCCATTAGCAATTTCCACTGGTAAAAAAAAATAAACAATTCGAGGACCTGCTTGACAACAGGTAGGAAACCCAAAGTAGAATCCCAGCATAACCACTCGGTTTGCTATTTGAATCCAAGCAACAGCATTCTGCTAACTGCCTGTTAATTGTACAGTGAGACGTTGTATCTTAGATAGTATTGTTGGAAGGGTAAGTTGATCATATTAAATTGCTTTTCAAGGGTACAGCTAATTTTGGTTTTCTACAAAACACACTATTTTTCCTCTTGTATTTAAAATGTGAAGATTTTTTTTGAATACACTAAGCAACACCATAGTTATTACAGTTCCCAGAGACCAACACTTTACTCCTCCAATTTAGCAGAATGTTGTTAGTGCTAACCCATATTTTCATCTCAGGAAACACAATATTGAAGAAGAGTATGATCTTTGGAGTCAGTTGGATGGGCTTGCATCCCAGTTCTGCACTTATGCACACTGTGTCTCCAGACCTGTCACTTAATTTTCCTAAGCCTCAGTTTCCTCTTCTACAAAATGGGAACAATAGGGGTGTGTGTGTGTGTGTAATAAAAATTATGCATATAAAATGCTCAGGACAGTGTCTGAAACATATTAAGCATTCACAAGATATTGGCTATTATTTTATAAACTGCTGAACCTGTCCCAGGATAATTATTTTATCTATAAGTTACAAATAATCTATGTTTTTATTGCTAAAGTGCAATTAGGATCGAATGAGATAATATATATATAAAACTCTGTAAAATATGAAATACCATTTTTAAAAAGTATTTTGTGATTATAATAGTGAAGTATTAAAAGTAAACAAAGAGACTTATCCCTGGTGTAAATTACCTCCTATATAACAGAGACAAAAAAAAATTACAGTTAAGAAGAACAAAGAAGAAATACATGCCACAAAAAAGCATAAGGTAGGATTCTCTGAACTTATTGCCTACTAAGTATGAACTCTTGCCAAAACAGACTAGTGTAAGCCTTAAAATGAATCATACCCTTTCCAGAATAAGAAGTAAAAGGCTGCTATAGCAATACTGGTGTATCTACAGCATTTGGTAGCAAACTCAGGTAAAAGCCTTGCTATAGTTTGAATGCATCACCCAGAATCAAGTGCTAGAAACTTAATCCCCAGTGGGACAGTTTTGGGAGGTGGGTTCTAGTGGGAGGTATTTTGGTCACGAGGGCAGAGGTCACAGAAATAGATTAATGCCATCTTGCAAAGGGCTCATGGGAGTGGGTTTCCTGTCTTAAATTCTTACTCTTCTACCTTCCATCATGTGATGATGCAGCAAGAAGGCCCGGTTAGATGCTAACATCTTGATCTTGGACTTCCCAGCTTCCAGAACTGTGAGCCAATAAACTTCTTTATAAATTACCCAGTTTGTGGTATTTTCTTATAGAAGCACAAATGGTCTAAGACAAGCCCCTTTTCCAAAACAAATAAAATGATAAAAAATCAAATCAGCCTTTTGTTTTAGAGAAGTCTGAAGCCATGAGATTGTATATGTGCTAAATATATTATGTATTACAATGATATGATATATATCATAATTATGTAAATAGAATGTCTTCTGAATCCAAACAAGAATGGATGTCTCTCAAAACAAAACAAAACAAAACAAGCTGTACAATATAACAACTTAACATGCAGTAAATATGCCAACCTGACAGAAGGTCTGTGGTCTATATGAAGGATTGAAAGTGGATGTCAAAGGATAAGGAGCACTGGGTGTCAATCTAATACTAATATATAGTGACTGTGTTTCTGGCCTGTGGGCGGTCATGGCATCAAACTTCCCTATGCTGATGAAAAGAGCCCTTTGTAGTATCTCCTTCTCTCTTAATTAAGGCTCTTTAATACTAACTGAATGTATTTACCCACCAGAGGAGACCAGCAGCAGACTTTGGATTAGTCAAATATTGCTTAAATGTCAAGTGAGTCTGTTGGCATCCTGATTTTCATGGCATATGTACGTGTCAGTACCTCTAGGCAGTTTATTAGGGATAGATGAACTCTGTGAGGATGGAATCGCATGATGTTTTATTGTGATTCTAACAAACCACTCACACCTGTGAGATGCTGCCTGAAGCAACTGGGTTACCCCTCTCTGTATATGTTTCTTTGCAGCAGTATGTTACTTCGACTAGCTTCCTCATTTTATGGAAAAAGAAAATAAAGCTAACATGTGTAAAGACAATTAGCAGTAGAGTTAGAAATAAAGCAGAGGTCTTCCAGGCTTGTTATTTTCAAGTATAACATTGTATAATTGGCAGAAAGACAAAAATGGAGGGAGAGGGGGCAAAGGTGAGAGGGAAAAAAAAGAAGAGATAAATGAAAAGAAAAAAGGAAAAGCAAGAAAGGGAAGGGGAAGGAAGAAAATAAATGAAATTCTGGCCAAATATTTGGAATAAAACTTTTCCCACATGTCTTATTAAGACAAAGAACAAAATGAAATTTCCATGGTCAGAACACTCATGATTTTCTGTCCCTCTTCGGCTTTTATTTTAATGTTTTTGAATGATTGGGACTGGAATATCATTTTTCTCAATATTTTACACAAATAGAAATATACAAACAAGCTTAAATAATGTACTTTTTGGAAATGTCATTCAGAACATTGAAATAAAGACAAGAACACTAATGTTGCTTTTACTTTTCCTAAGCGTCTGTATAAGCAGCAAGGCCTTTAAGAACATTCAGGCAAATGAGGAATAATAAACTGTCTTTAAAATAAACTGAACAGGACAAAGTAAGGAATTCATGGAAAAATATCCTAATAGCTGTGTTCTACTCTGATTATAGGCACTATAGTAGACCAGACACTCCTAGAGTGACCACCAATTGTCCATGTCTTCATATAATCCCCTCCCATTGACTGTGACAATTCTAAACAACGAAATCGATAAAGTTGATGAAGTGTCACTCCCATCCTTACATTGTGTTTTATTTATACATATAAATATGTATAATTATAACATGTATAAATACAATGCAAATAATTTATATATAAATTATACTTATAAATATTTATTATATCATGGAAACCCTAGAATAATAATAATGTCTTGTTTTAAGTCACTAAGTTTGTGATAATTTGTTACACAGCAATAGAAAACTAATATTGCTCTGGTCTACTGCAGTTTAGCCTGGTAAATCTAATAAATTTTCCCTGAACTGACAGGACAGAGCCAGATACACCCACAGTAAGAGTCCAGATTCATCAGTACTGACTATTCCATTTTGGTCAAGTCCCTTAATTTTACTGAGCCTCAGTTTTCTCATGTATAAAAATGGCAATACCCTTAACTACCTTGCAGTTTTGGTATAAGGATTAGAAACAATAAATATAAAATGCATGGTACATAATAAGCATTCAGTAAATAGGAGCTCCATTGCTAGCTGAAACTTGGCCTGTTGTTTTTGGCTATGAAAGCCAGAACATACTCCGCAGATTTGCTTTCAAAGAAGATGCTCTTGTCTTTCTGGTCCTGGTGGTGACCACTGAGACCCACTATCTAAGTTCTATCATTCAGGCCAATGATTTTACTGATCACATGGGCAAGAGGCAACTTGAGTTAGAGCTAAGATTTGGGCCATGGAACAGAGCAAGTCTATGCAGACTGCATAGATTCAAACATATATTTTGAGTTTAATCACATCCATTTGTAACCCACAAAAGAATTGGTCATGGCTAGAAAAAGGAAATTGTGTAGCCAGTAAATATCTTTTTCCATGAGTAAGAAAAAAATTACAATCACTTAAAGGCTTGAAGTTCTTAGTTTAGTCAGGTAAAATTTCTTAGCAGATCTTAGCACTAATTATAGTAATTTAGTCTCTCTCATATATTTCTGGGGAACTTTAATCAAAGGAGAGTGAAGCTGTATAAATACTTTGATTTTACTGTTTGTATGTTTTTTCAGTTCTTCATATCTGTTTCCATTTGATTAGTTCAAGAACGGCTGGGTTTTAACCCCTAGAGTGAGGATTCATTATCAATAAAAGTCAAAAGAGGATTACTTTACAATAGTAAATGTCATAAAGAACAGGCTATTCCCTGGAGAAAATTTCTCCAAGTGGGACTAATAACATCACAATTTCTCATCAGCTGTAATTGCACAATACAGAGGGCAAGATGGTAAAAATAACAAAGCTCTGACTCAGGGAAAAATCTTTTTCTTAATAGCTATACGAGAGAATGGAAGTAGGAATTTAATATACTACAGTCTCAGCTAGTGCTTTATGTTTACATAAAACACGTTGGTTTGGTTTGGTTTGGTCTGACTCCCTTGGATTGGTAACATGGAATAACACATTATGAAAGCACAGAACCATCCACTTCTATGTCATGAGTGTTCTGCTCTAAATACACACTGAACACCTCCACCAAGGGAAATAGTCTCTGGGAGCAGAGGGAGTTATGGTCCATGCACTGTTTCTTTTGTGCATCCTTACTACCTCTGAAAATTGCACAGTCAGAAAAGATCCGATATTTAATTTTACACCAGAAAGGGAAAATATGATTGGGCTATATAAAACTGCTCTCACACTAACACCAATGCAGGTATTAATATTCCAAATCTTTCAGGCCTCGGTCCCACTATGAAAACAAGGAAAATATTCTTGATTGCTTCTTTTACTTAGATTTACTAAGGGTCCAATATTTTGCGTATTTTTAAATGAAAATTTAAGACAAAATATTTTTCCACTTTTTTGAAACTTACTGAGATTAGTGAGTATGCAGAATTCAAAATACAGATCAAAGGAGTCAATGGTATATTCATTTTATTGAGTAAACTTGAAGTTCCCATTTCTGGTTATATTCCTACAATTTTAATGATAAAGCCATTCATTTCTATATAGCTCGTAATTAAAACTGTAACAATCCATTAGACAAAGCTTGTAAGATTTGATAAGCATAATAAACATCACTATATATATGAACTTCAGAATTAAATTAAGAATTTTTTATCTTTCATAGCATAGAAAAATATTAAATATATTAAAATATTAGCTACTTATGACAAATGCCAAGTAATAATAAGTATTCTTATTATTATAAGTATAATACTTATAATATACTTATAAGAATACTTATAATAAGTATTCTGAAATTAATATATATGCATGTATAATTAATTTATCTTTCATGTTTACCAAAAAAAGACTCAAAGCCTATTTATTTCACCATAGAAAATTCATAAGAACTGTAATGAATATTGAAGAACAATTGATAATAATTTTTTAAAGTGACCTATATTTTTAGCAGGCATCTTGAGTTTTTCTCAAACGTAAGTCTCACAACATCCTCCAAAAGAGTCAGTCAAGAGTAAGATGTAGTGAGAGACTTACGCCAAAAAAAAAAAAGCCATTCTGTTATTGAGTTAAACCCATGTTTATATCAAAGCCAGGGTTTCTAATGTCAGACTTGAAATACCCAGAAAATGTGTTTATTAAGAAAATGGCATTATCACATTCCTTCAATGGTGGAGAAAAGCTTATACTTTTATGCTCACCATATCTCTCCTCTTCCAGTGTTGTGTACATTAAACAGTAATCTAAATCCAGGTCACTGCTTTACACTCTTACTCCTCTTCAAGGATAATGTTGGGACAATTGCACATCTATTTGTGAGTCTCTGAACATATTATGTCCTTGCCTGCCTCTGGCTTCTATTCCTGCTTTTCCTGAGCCTGGAATATTTTCCAAAAACTCTTCTTTTCCTGCATCTCCATCAGGCCTTTATAAATGTTACTCATTCTTCTAAATACAGCTAAAATGACACTTCCACTCTGAAGTCTTCAGTCACCACAAGCAGGAATGAATCACATCTTCCTCTGGGCTCCCTAGTAATGTGTTTATACTTAACTTTTGACACTTGTCACTTCATGCTTTTTGTTATGGTAATTTTGAAACATATTTTTCTTCCCGACTAGACTGTAAAACATTTAGGCCAGAGATGACACCTTAGTAAACATTGGGTGAATTTAATTTAATTGCAAATGTTTGCTCAAAATGGATAGAAAAAAAATGAAAATACGTGTTTGGCTCTTATTGTTGAAATATGTTTCTCCCCAGCTTCACAATTATTCCCAGTAGTGAATGAACTCTGAGATATTGTTCATGAATATAGGCTTTTAATGGATATTTTCTGATGAGATGTCCTTTATTTGAAATTTCTTGCAAGGAACACAAAAGCTCTGGAAACATTTTTTTTTTCTTTTCTGTAGCCTAACTAGAAAGCCACAGTAGATTGTTTTCTTTACTACTCCTCAATTAAATTGCTAATTAAGCTTTTTCTAACCCTGTCTAGACCAGTGGTTATCAACTTTTTTGGCAAATAAGAATCTCTTTTCAGTATCAATAATATCAGGAATCTCTAACACTGTTTTGTCTGCTGCCGTATCCTCACTGTTTTGTCTGCTGCTGTAACCAACATTTCTTAGATCTCAATGAAACACTGAATTAATTGCACCATCACTTGTTCACTCTTCCCCCCGACCACCCACCAACTCTCCACACTCTCCTTCTCTTCCTCGCTGAGCTTGGCATCTATGATTTATCATTATATTTCTGCTTTGCATACATCCTCAACTCACTCCATCTTCCAAGCCAGGCTAAAATCCAACCCTCGTTAAACCCAACTCTCCTCACATTCTACTCCTGCCTCAGCAGGTGAAAGTGGCTGCAGAGAAACACTCTCTGTTCTGAGCTATATCCTTGAATCACTAGTGGAGCAGAAGTGCTATACTGAGCAGTCTGGCTCTATTATTCTTTTTTATTTTGTCCGCATATGCATACATATTTATTAATTAAATATTTATTGAATGCCTACAATGTACCTAAGTATATTTGGCCACAGTAGAATTTTTTTTTTTTTTTGAGACAGGGTCTTGCCCAAGCTGGAGTGCAGTGGCACAATCTTGGCTCACTGTAGCTCTACTACTCTTAACAGATAATTTGACTTCAGATTTCACAAAGATTTTGTACTTGCTCCCCTCAGATTTACCAAATAACTCACACGTATAACCTGACCCTCTGCATGTCCCCCATTATGCTGTCTGTATAGCTGTCTATGGCCTATTTACACAAGAAAAATATGGCTCAGAAAGGCTTAAGGGCGTGTTCATGTGAGGGTCTAGCCTTTGAACATAAGAACTTAGGCATTCTGATACTCATAAATTCCCAAAGTAAACATTGTTTTCTAGGGTGGCAAAATGATAAGTAACATTTGAAGAAAAACTGGTTAGACAAGGTTGTGTTCAAATCATGACACCACCTTGCCCTAGTTGCCTGACCTTCGTCATAGTATCGAAGTTCTCAAGGCCTATATTTTGTAAAATGAGGATAATAATAGTTGTGTTACAATTAATTGTTAGGCCATTATTGAGCACTAAGTAGGTACCCTATAAATTTTAATGCTCTTCTCTTCTACTTACAAAGAAACTGAGTCCTGGTCTCATATTCTTTGCATTGCCCATGGAGAAAAACATGGCAGAAATTCCATAACTGTGAGTTAATACATCAGAAAACAAAGAATAAGCAAGGAGACATTTACTGAAACATGCACATTTCTGTTCATTTCACTTTGAAATTTTAAATATTATTGGGCATTACTCTCTTAATCCTAATCTGAGACATAAGCATGAACTATAAATTAGTTAATTTTGGTAGGACAAAGTAGGTCAGAAGAATGCACAGTGTCCCATTATGGGGATCCTGGAATTTCTTCCTATCATGGCCCATCATTGCTCTATATGTCAACACCAGCTCACAATAGTGTGTGTCTGTTGCTTATTTTACCTTTCCTACCTGACTGTATGGTCATGTGTCTTGCAAAATAGCCTATTTGTACCTTCCCTGTTGTAATTATCTCAAGTGGTGCCTTCTAATCATGGCAAAGATAAAAGATAGGCACAAAGGTCCCCCTCAGTGACACCTGAAAAGTTGGCCACTTAGAAATGTTGTCAATGAGAAAATTTTGAAGCTGTCTTTCAAATCCTGATGTCTAGTGTTACCATATTGTGACAGGCAACTTTAAAAGAGAGAATAAATCTTCTAAGCTACTATCCTTTCTGCAAGTTGCAGATTTATTTCCTTTTCAAATTACAGCCTTCACTCTTGCTTAATTTTCATTGTCCTAATAATTCATCACAGTAGGCTTCATCTCAACGTGACAGCAAAAAAAAAAATGGAACCTTTGCTGGTGCTCAATGAATTCATATGTGAGGGAAGAATTTATTCAGAATAAATGTTAATAAAATGCAAGCACAGATTGCTAGATAATGTTAAGACACAGCTATATATAGACAATCAAAGAAGGCTGCTTCAGATAAAATCCTATATTATTTATGATTACTATTTAATTTTTCAATTCCAGATAATTTACCGTTACTAAAATGGTTATGATTGAAGCTGACCTGAGTGTCCCTCTTACTCATCTAAGAGCACAAGTAAATATATAATTTAAAATACCAAATACTTATAATCCTATCCATAGAAGTTGAAAGTTAGTGGATAAATTTCAGTGAATAATACTACTCTTTAAAAAAATTAGCATATCCAATCTGTACTCATAGTACCCATGGTAAATAAGGGAGTGAAAGCTAGGAAATACAAAATAAAATCCGGAATACTAATTTAAATTCAGCTTTCACTGATACATCTTTTTCCTCTAGCCCAAATAAAGACCTTATGTAGGAAAACAATTACAAGACACAGAACCCACATGTCACTTCCTTTGACATCTGTCACACTTTCTAAGGATTTGCCAATGAATAGAACTGTAAGTGCAAATGTACCCAAAATAAACTCTTTTCTATATTAGGCTAGAGAGATCCTGAACGCTGTGCATTTATTATTTTAATTGATGATTATTACAAACATCACATATAAGTTTACGATTCCATTTGTCTAATGAAGAGATAGCAAATTCAAATTATTTCAGGTGCCTGACAGAAAACGCAAATGTAGAATCCAGAAAAGTGGGCCCTGTTTTGAAGAGGAGAGGACATGCCCTCTGTAAAAGTATTCAAATTAAAAAATATATTAAACACTCCAAAGGGTAAATCTCCTTTAGTCGCTAATTTCTGACCCCTGGTCTACATTATCTAGCTTTATTCCCTAACATGAAATTACAGAATGAGCATGGATTTAAGAACAATTATAAGTGACAAAGAGCATAAAAAGTCAGCTATAGCTGTTGGGATTTTCTACTGATCATTTCTTGCAGCTGAGTAAGTCTTAAGAAGCATAAGCAAAGGCAGAGTTGTTGAATGGTAAGGAATACACAGATCAATGAAGACATAAGGTACTCCTCAACTTAAATAGAATGATGGCCTCTGAATAATACGTGTGTCGGTCATGGTCATATTTTCCTGATGATTACTGACTTGCAACAGATTATTTCTGTGGCCTCAGGAAATCCTAAAGTTCACAGCTTCTTTAAGATTGTTGCTCCAGGAATATCCCTAGTCTTTCAGAACTCCTGAACAAATCCTAGCTTAACCTATTTTGTATAAACACAGTGTACTATATTTGGATATTCAGGTATTAAAACTATTGTTTACACAGGAAACAGTTCAGGCAGACCTGCCTTAACATTTCTTGTGCACGCAAAATTCATGACTTTCATAATTTTAAAGTGAACGCTCAGCATAATGTCAACTCATATACTCCAGGTTCTCTTCTAGGATGTCAAAATCCGTCTAACTTGTTCATTGGTTTGAGTAAGTTTCCTTATTGTGCTTGTTCATTAATTATCAAACAGCTGGAGAAGAGGCTATAAATTTTGGCATAGCAAGTTATGTTCTTATTACTGGTTAGAAAAGGTTGAAGAAGTAATTCTTTCTCAAAGATTTCAATATGATAAACTGAATTTTAAAATAATAATTCTTGCTTAGGATTTGATTTATTATTTCTGTTGTCTTATCAGGTAAACAGTTGCCTCCTCCATGTGAGCTTGGTGTTTAACTAATTTAGGATTACTTCCAGGCTCTACAGATGCACAAATTGCACCCAAAATACTCCTTTCTTAAAACGTAAATTTTGAAAATAAAAAAAATCAATCTTTATGTTTACTGTGAACATGACAAGAAATTAACATCCACGTGTTTACTAGATTGCTTCTTCATTTTTGGCCAGCTCAACTCAACATAAAATGAAGTGGAACAGGCCAGGCGCAGTGGCTCATGGCTGTAATCCCAGCACTTTGGGAGGCCGAGGCGGGCGGATCATGAGGTCAGGAGATCGAGACCATCTTGGCTAACACGGTGAAACCCCATTTCTACTAAAAATACAAAAAATTAGCCAGGCGTGGTGGCACATGCCTGTAGTCCCAGCTACTCAGGAGGCTGAGACAGGAGAATAGCTTAAACCCAGGAGGCAGAGGTTGCAGTGAGCCGAGATCACATCACTGCACTCCAGCCTGGGTGACAGAGCGAGACTCTGTCTCAAAGAAAAAAAAAAAGAAGTGGAACAGAATAAATATTTTGGAGGAAAAAAAAACAAAACTTGTATGCTCTAAGAGTTTAGATAACAGTTAATGATGTGAGGCGAATGTGATAACCACTACACTATGGAAACAACTAGATATCATCTCACACCAGTTAGAATGGTGATCATTAAAAAGTCAGAAAACAACAGGTGCTGGAGAGGATGTGGAGAAATAGGAACACTTTTACACTGTTGGTGGGACTGTAAACTAGTTCAACCATTGTGGAAGTCAGTGTGGTGATTCCTCAGGGATGTAGAACTAGAAATACCATTTGACCCAGCAATCCCATTACTGGGTATATACCCAAAGGATTATAAATCGTGCTGCTAACAAGACACATGCACCTGTATGTTTATTTGGGCACTATTCACAATAGCAAAGACTTGGAACCAACCCAAATGTCCAACAACGATAGACTGGATTAAGAAAATGTGGCACATATACACCATGGAATACTATGCAGCCATAAAAAATGATGAGTTCATGTCCTTTGTAGGACATTAATGAAACTGGAAACCATCATTCTCAGCAAACTATCGCAAGGACAAAAAACCAAACACCGCATGTTCTCACTCATAGGTGGGAATTGAACAATGAGAACACATGGACACAGGAAGGGGAACATCACACACCGGGGCTTGTTGTGGGGTAGGGGTAGGGGGGAGGGATAGCATTGGGAGACACACCTAATGTTAAATGATGAGTTAATGAGTGCAGCACACCAACATGGCACATGTATACATATGTAACTAACCTGCATGTTGTGCACATGTACCCTAAAACTTAAAGTATAATAGTAAAAGAAAAGAGTTAATGATGTATACCTTTCTCCCCTGGAGCAAAACATCCAGAAAAAAAAAAAAACCCTAAGATCCTAAATATGACAAGAAGACAGGGAAATAGACTTGCTGTTATCCAATTGATTCAATTAAAGTTGCCTGAAATCATCTCAAATCAAGCATTTTAAAAGAACTAAGATAAAGTCAGTAAAATGTTTCAATTTTTAGTATTCTGTCATTTTTCATTGAAGATGATATAAGGAGACTGTAAGTTCCAGAGATTTCACTGATTCCCTTTTGCTTGCTTCCATAAAATAAACTTCTTATTGGAAGCAAAGCCCTCTGCCATCCTGACTGTCTCAGCTATGTTGACTTTACCACCAGACAGGTTTGGCATAGCTTCCTAATCCAGTTCTTCAGTAAAAGCATACTTGTGAAATTATTTTACTCTAATATTTTGTGATTACAAAAGGAAAAATAAGCCAGTTTGACTTGTCTTATTGTAGTCTGTTTTAACCCTGGTCTCTTTTTTATACGTTGTAATATTGTTATTTTTGCTCTTCTTGTTATTTTTGTTATCATTGCTCATGTTTTTATTGTTTTAATAATTAAGCCATCCAATTGCTTAGAGGGTAATTATCAGGAATAAATTAAAAAGGTTGTAAAGATTGTCATCAAAATAAAAGGGAAAGTCATTTAAAATTTGTCTAGAGTTTAATTGAGTGAGAGGGCAAGTACTTTATACACATGGTAGAGTATAACCAAAATTCTTGCTGTAGACTTATGAATTTTGACACCAAAAATCAGAAGATGAGCCACTTTAACTCATCTCCCCACTCTTTATTCCAAACCTCTCACACAAGTCTGCATTGTACTTTATTGTCTCCATCTCCGAAACCCATTAAGGGTAGCATTCAGCTCATTCAAACTCCTAGGATGCTACTTTTTCACCTTGGCTCTAGTAATCTAAGTCTCTGCAGTCCAAGAATGTAAATTGGATAATACGCCATTTTTATTGACTACATTTCTCTGAAAAGGACTGGCTAATTAACAACATCACACATTATTCAGAAACAAATCTTAAATGCCCACTAGGTTAAAAGCACTATCCATAGCTGAACAGTAAGGCAAGGACTAATACAGGTTCAGCTTTCTGCAGAAATAATATTAGGAACTTTGGAAAGAAAAGTATGCTCTTATAAACCAAAACTGAAAGTCATTTTTATATATAAACACAAGTAAAACAATATAGTTTTTAAAGTCTATCC
Organism: Homo sapiens; assembly: GCF_000001405.40. Classification (NCBI taxonomy): domain Eukaryota; kingdom Metazoa; phylum Chordata; class Mammalia; order Primates; family Hominidae; genus Homo; species Homo sapiens. The sequence goes on from NC_000001.11 coordinate 73,808,942, forward strand.
TGGAGATTATATCCCTATGGCTTCTTGAATAGATCAAGTAAAAGTGGCTGAAGAGACAGGAAAAAAGGGAGAAACCACAGAGTATTTTAATTACACATAAATTTATTGAATTTGTAGATTTTGTACCAAGATGTGAAAGTTGTAAATATTGAAAAATGCATGTCGTCTGCAAACAAAGACAATTTGACTTCCTCACTTCCTATTTGAATACGCTTTATTTCTTTCTCTTGTCTGAGTGCCCTGGCCAGAACTTCCAATACTATGTTGAATAGGAGTGGTGAGAAAGGGCATCCTTGTCTTGTGCCGGTTTTAATGGGGAATGCTTCCAGTTTTTGCCCATTCAGTATGATATTGGCTGTGAGTTTGCCATAAATGGCTCTTATTATTTTGAGATATGCTCCATCAATGCCTAATTTATTGAGAGTTTTTAACATGAAGGGATGTTGACTTTTACCGATGCCCTTTTCTGCATCTTTGAGATAATCATGTGGTTTTTGTCTTTAGTTCTGTTTACATGATGAATTACACTTATTGATTTGTGTATGTTGAACCAACCCTGCAGACCAGAGATGAAGCCGACTAGATCATGATGGATAAGCTTTTCAATGTGCTTCTGGATTTGCTTTGCCAGTTTATTATTGAGGATTTTTTCATCGATGCTCATCAGAGATATTGGCCTAAAGTTTTCCTTTTTTGTTGCATCTCTGCCAGATTTTGGTATCAGGGTGATATTGGCCTCATAAAATGAGTTAGGGAGAAGTCCCTCCTTTTCAGTTGTCTGGAATAGCTTCTGAAAAAATGGTACCAGATCCTTTTTGTACCTCTGGTAGAATTCAGCTGTAAATCCTCTAGTCCTGGGCTTTTTTTTTTTTTGGTTGATAGGCTATTTATTACTGCCTCAATTTCAGAACTTATTATTGATCTATTCAGGGATTCAACTTCTTCCTAGTTCAGCCTTGAAAGGATGTATGTGTCCAGGAATTTGTCCATTTCTTCTAGATTTTCTAGGTGGTTGCATAGAAGTATTAAATAGTATGTTCTGATGATTGTTTATATTTCTATGGGGTCACTGGTGATAGCCCCTTTATCGTTTTTTATTGTATCTATTTGATTATTCTCTCTTTCCTCTTTATTAGTCTAGCTAGTAATCTATCTATTTTAACAATTGTTTTTCAAAAAACCAGCTCCTGGATTCATTGATTTTTTGAAGGGTTTTTCATGTCTCTATCTTCTTCAATTCCACTCTGATCTTGGCTATTTCTTGTCTTCTGCTACCATTTGGGGTTTGTCTGCTCTTGGTTCTGTAGTTCTTTTTGTTGTGATGTTAGGGTGTCAGATTGAGATCTTTCTAGCTTTTTGATGTGGGCGCTTAGTACTATAAATTTCCCTCTTTACACTGCTTTAGTTGTGTCCCAGAGATTCTTGTCTGTTGTTTCTTTGTTCTCATTGGCTTCAAAAAACTTCTTGATTTCTGCCTTAATTTCATTATTTACCCAAGAGTTATTCAAAAGCAGGTTGCTCAATTTCCAAGTAGTTGTGTGTGGTTTTCAGTGGGTTTCTTAATGTTGAGTTTGAATTTGACTGTGCTGTGGTCTGAGAGACTGTTATTATGATTTCAGTTATTTTGCATTTACTGAGGAGTTTTTTACTTCAAATTATGTGATCTACTTTAGAGTAAGTGCCATGTGGCACCAAGAAGAATGTATATTCTAGCTTTTTGGGTACAGAGTTCTGTAGATATTTATCAGGTCCACTTGATCCTGAGCTGAGTTTAGGTCCTGAATACCCTTGCTAATTTTCTGTCTCCATGATCTGTCTAATATGCAGAAAATTGAAACTGTATCCCTTCTTTACACCTTAGGCAAAAATTAACTCAAGATAGATTAAAGACTTAAACAGAAAACTCAAAACTATAAAATCCCTGGAAGAAAATCTAGGCAATGCCATTCAGGACATAGGCATGGGCAAAGAGTTCATGAAGAAAACACCAAAAGCAATTGTAACAAAAGCCAAAATTGACAAATGAGATCCAATTAAACTAAAGAGCTTTTGCACAGCAAAAGAAACTATCATCAGAGTGAACAGGCAACCTAGAGAATGAGAGAAACAATTTGCAATTTATCCATCTGACAAAGGTCTAATATCCAGAATCTACAAAGAACTTAAACAAATTTACAAGAAAAAAACAAACCACCCCATCAAAAAGTGGGCAAAGGACCTGAACAGACACTTCTCAAAAGAAGTCATTTATGCAGCCAACAAACATGAAAAAAAGCTCAACATCACTGATCATTAGAGAAATGCAAATCAAAACCACAGTGAGATATCACCTCAAGCCAGTCAGAATGGCTATTATTAAAAAGTCAAGAAACAACAGATGTGATGAGGCTGTGGAGAAATAGAAATGCTTTACACTGTTGTTGGGAATGTAAATTAGTCCAACCATTGTGGAAGTCAGCGTGGCGATTCCTCAAAGACATAGAACCAGAAATGCAATTTGACCCAGCAATCTCATTACTGGGTATATACACAGAAGAATACAAATCATTCTGTTATGAAGATACACGCACTCTTGTGTTCACTGCAGCACTAGTCACAATACCAAAGATACAGAATCAACCCAAATGCCCATCGATGACAGACTGGAAAAAGAAAATGTGGTACATATACACCATAGAATACTATGCAGCCATAAAAGGAATGAGATCATGTCCTTTGCAGGGACATGGATGAAGCTGGAAGCCATTATCAAAAGCAAATTAACACAGGAACAGAAAACCAAACACCACATGTTCTCACTTATAAGTGGGAGCTGAACAATGAGAACACATGGACACAGGGAGAACAACACAAGGTGGGGCCTGTCCAGGGAGCAGCGGGAGGGAGAGCATCAGGATAAATAGCTAATGCTTGCTGAGCTTAATACCTAGGTAATGCATTGATAGGTGCAGAAAACCACCATGGCATACGTTTACCTGTGAAGCAAACCTGCATGTCCTGCACATGTATCCCAGGACTTAAAATAAAATTAAATTTAAAAAAGAATTAAATATAATAATTAAAAAATTAAATGAAAAGAAATAATGAAAGAAAAAAGAATTCAGTTTTTTTGTTATAAGCACAACAATACTCTGGAAAGATACTTAAGAAAATAAGGACAGTGATGACATGTAAAGAGGAGTTTCTTGGAACTAGGCAAATGAGATGAAAATAAAAACGGGATGGGATAATTTACACTATGTATATTTTTACAGATTTTTGAAACCATGTGAATGTTCTACTTCTTTTAAAATTAAATAAAAAGTAAATGAATGCCTAATAAAAGTCAAAACTATGTAAACACACATTCATTAAAGAGTTTTCACCCTCTCTCCCTAAGTCTGTGTAATAAAATTCTCATTCTAGGCCTATGATTCTGAGTGTTCTGATATATTGTTTGCTTTAGAGTCACTGGCAAGAAACGGAAAGTGATGGGAATTCTTTCTTTCTATAATGTCACAAAGGGACACTCTCCCTCTTTTCACACAATATATCTTATTTATTTTTAAATTATGTTTTTATTTTATTCAAACCTTTTTTTTCAATTTTCACAGGCCTATTTTCTTTGATTATCCAGAAAATATTCCACCTCTAATCTTTGTTAGTGAGTTCAATTTACTAATCCCTTAAGTTTAGGTAAAATGTGATCAGTCTTGGAAATTAATACTCATTTTACAATTTGTCTTAGATCTCAGCTCTTTATATTGATATCTCTTCAATATTACATTGTGGATTCTACTTGATTGCTATATCCATAACCAGCTGGGTTCAAACATTTTAGTTGGTATAAAACTGTTACTGAAATACTCTTTTAAGCCTATTGTACAGGGCAGCATTTTAAAATGCACTTTCTTCTTCAAAAAGCCCAAATTTGCCCTAATTTGATTCTTACGATCTTTCTTCTGACCAATCCCATAATCCTTCAGTTTGATCAATTTCAGCAATTCCTTATGTAAAACATGTGAAAATGCCATGTGTCAGCCCTCTAATTAGTCAAGTGAATTTTCCAAATAGACTCAAGGCTGGGATGGTAATGACAGTCACAAAACTGAAGCACCTATGTGCAAGAATCACATTACTGTTTTATCATTCCTTTTTAATAGATCATATTTACTGTGAATTTGATGGTTTTTTCTACTATTGAACTAAGAGAAATGGAATAGTTTTATCTAATTTCTCTGCTGCCATTCCTAGAAAACCCTGAGATACTTTGCTACATCTTATGGATTTGAACACTTAGCACAATATATGACAAATAAATAGCAACCAACCTCCCCCTCCATACACACACACACAAAGAAGTAAATAGAAACAGTCCCCATTGGGGCGTTTAACAAAGTTATCAGTTTTGTATTTAAGCTGCTAAAAGAAAACCACAGACAACAGTATGCATAAATTGAAAGACTGTTACACAACAAACTTGAAAATGTTATATTTACATGGCAACCAGCTTATTATATTTACATGAACATCTGGTGCAGGTTCACTAAAATCTTAAAAACAGATGGACATGAAGAAAGAACTAGTAATTAACAAAGCTATATGCTGATTGAATCAGCATGTGGTTAATTTTAATGATTGCTGATCTTTATTAAGGATGGCGAGATTTTAAAAATCAAATCTCTTTCACTGACATGTCAATTGACCAAGGAGGTGCTGATAGCTACTCTGGTTATTAACATGCTATTTCAGCAGTTACCACAGCACCCTAACTGCACAAGGCATGTTTGTAGAAGTAAAATTCAAAAACTAATATTATATTGCCTCTGAAACCCTCTCCTTATTATATCTGCAGACGGGAGCTTAGCAGCAACAGTTCTTATCCTTTGGGAATAATCACATACAGATGTATATTATTTGAATATTGCTTCCATGTTCTGAATCATTTCAGTCAACTCAGCGCCTCCTGCTGCCCTTCATCCATCCTGAAGTCACATTGTACACCTCTCTGAGCTCTCCAAATAAGGCACCCTTTGGTTGCCAAGCAACCACAGATTTTCTACAAGTGTCTGTGCCATGTGTACTTAAACTGCAGTTGGCCTTTTTTCCTTTAACTTTTCCAAGTTTAGAAAAATAAATATATGAAATAAAGGTAGAGCTATGTATGTTTTGAAGGAGGCACTGGGAACTCAGAAACCACTAAAATAGCAGAATCCCTTTCAGATATTGTGTCCAGATATGTACCTTAAAAAAAGGAAACCGTTACAAATATGTATTTTATTTTATTTTACTTTTAGGGAAGGGTCTCTCTCTGTTGCCCATGCTGAAGTGCAGTGACACAATCATAGCTCACTGCAGCTTCCAAATCATGGGCTCAAGCAATCCTCTTGTCTCAGCCTCCCAAGTAGCTGGGACTACAAGTATGTGCCATCACACCCTCTAACAAAAATGTGTTAACAAAGTAATTAATTCATCAAACAAGTAAAAATTACACTGTCAATATTCTCTAAGATAGAAAATATTTTATATCCAGCACCAAGTGAGGGGATGGCTGTTCCTGTGTTTTTCTATCAAGCATTACAGAGCTTCAATGTGAATACATAGAATGTTAGTTCCGACAGTCAAGTTACAATTAGTCTATTAGGTCTAGCAATGATCCCCTTCTCTAGATGGAGTTTGTCTGGGTTGAATGGCCTTGATTTCCAGAGAGAGGTATTGAAAACTTGCTCACTAGTGACCTTTAACACCAATTTGCAAAAAAATAGATAGATTTTAGAGAATCTATCAGTCATGTCAGCATTGGAGAATGAGTCTTATGGTTGGCTTTAAAGAAAAGACTGAGGAATTATTCAACATCCAGGAAACAAAACACTTCACTATAAATTAAGTTTATCTCATTTAAAATCAATTTTATTTACATATTTTGTTTGTAAATGTTTATATTTCCAGAACAAAATAGGAATTTTATTTTCATGTAATTATATGTCCTTGAATTAACTATTTTACCTAAGTGTGATTGAAGATTGGTGTGACTGATATTTGTCATCATGAGATTTGGCATCTTAAGTAGAATTTGCTTTTTCAGGAAGCTAAGTTTAACTGAGTGACCTGTGAATTACAGAAGAGGAATTTATCTTTATCAGCCATGTTCTAATAGTTCTTGTGTAACCTAAGACCGGTAAGACACTGAAGTCATATTTCCTTGGTGAAAGTCTTGGCTCCATCATATAGTAGCTGAGTGACCTAGAACAAATCACTTCTTTTCCATTTATCAGTTTTCTGTAAAATCAGAGGGTAATAGTACCTATTTAATAGATGTTATAAATATTAAATGAGAGAGTGGCATGAGCAAGATAGCAAAATAGAAAATCCCCAGGCATCACTCCCTCTACAAAAATACAACTAGAAAGTATTAAAAGATAAGAATACCACCCTGGAAACACCAGAACTTGAAAGAGAAGTGGAGGAAATTCCTAGACCCACAGAATTCAGAGAAGCTGCAATGAGTAAAAGAAATATTCACTTTAGATGACACCCCCCTGCAAGCTGGCATACTGCCACTCACAGGAATTTCTCTAAACCCATGGTTGCCAATGGGGGAGGAGAGAATTGGAGGTACACATTTGATCTCCCCACTGGCTTGGGAATCTTCATGGGAATCTGACTCTTGTCCTGTCCCATGGGAAATACTGGGAGTGCCAGGAGGACTTTAACCACCTGAGTTAAACTGGGGACAAAAAGTAGGTGCTGATCTTAGTGACCAGTGTGCAGATCTCAGTGGCTATTAAGTGCTCAGACTAGTGGGAACACCATGTTGAAGGGAATGTTCAGTGCCGTAATCATAAAAGAGGACACAGTTCATGACAAGACTTGAATCCCTAGCAAGTTTTTTCACAATGCCCAGGAGCTTAGGTGAAGCCTTCTTTTGGCCTGTAAACAACTAAAATGTTGATATTACATTCCAGTGCCTGCTTTCCCGGAAGATGGCCATTGGGAAACAACAGCAGGACAGCAATATCATTTCAGGACAGTATTTAAGCTCCAGGGTTCACTGTAAGTTTCCCCACACCATGAAACAATGGCAGGGCAACAAGTTATGTCTAGTGTAGTGCATTAATTCTTGTGCTCACTATAAGTCCATTCCAGAATGAGAAGCAACAACAGGACAGTGTTTAGGTTCTGATACTAAGAAGTAATGGTCTAACACCATTAAAGAACACCTGCAAAAGCTGGAAGCGGTGGCTGTGTTTTTAAATGTACAGGCATCAATGTAAAGACACAAGAATTTTAGAACTCAGAGAAACATGACACCACGAAAAGAAGCCAATGAAGCTCCAGCAATGGATCCAAAATAATTGCAAATCTCTGGAATATCTGTTGAAGAATTCAGAATAATTTTCTTAGAGAAGTTCAGGGGATAACAGAAAAATAGGGGTAGAAAACTAAATAAAATTTGGAACACAATTCAGAAACAAAATGAGAAACTTAACAACCAATAAAAACATTGACAACAATTTAAAACATAGAAAGCCTAGAACCTGAACTAAAAAACTCATTAGAGACCTTCAAAAGCAAACCTGATCAGAGAAAATAATTAATGAGATTGAAAACAAAACATATGAAATTACACAACAGAAGATCAAAAAGAAAAAAAGCATAAAAAAAGAGTAAAGAAGACCTACAAAAATCATGGGACACCATCAAGCACATTAATCTCTACATAATTGAAATTCCCAAAGTAGACAAGGGGTAAAATTGGCCTACAAAACATATTTAATAAAAATGGCTAAAAATTAGCCAGATTTTGAGATAGACAACACCATCAAAGCACAGAAAGTTCAGGGGTCTCCAATGAAACTCAACACAAAAGGAACTTCCCAAGACACATCATAATCAAATTAGCAAAAATCAAAGACCAAGAAAGAATACTCAAAGAAGCAAGACAAAATAAACACATCACATTCAACAGAATCCCAATACAGCTTTCACTAAATCTGTCAGTAGAAACCCTGTAGGCCAAGAGAGTGAGAGATGCTACATTTAAAGTGCTGAAAGGGAAAACAAAACAAAACAAAAAACTCACAACAAAGAATACTCTACCCAAAAAACCAATTATTTAAACACAAAGAGATAAAGACTTTCCCAGACAAACAAAAGCTGAGATAATTCATCAACAGCAGACCTGTCTTAGAGGAAATACTAAAGAGAGTTTTTCAGTCAGAAATAAATGGATGCTGACACATAACAAACAAAAAATCTAATGGTAAAAACCTCACCGATGAAAGAAAACAGACAAGTTCAGAATACTCTAATAATGTAATTATGATAAATAAACCAGTTTTATTTTAAATATTAAAACTAAAAGACACCATGCATGATGGCCCACACCTGTTATCCCAATGATTTGGTAGGCCAAGACAGGAGGATTGCTTGAGTCTAGGAGTTGGTGACCAGTCTGGGCAGCATAGTAAGACACCATCTCTATGAAAAAATAAAATAAGTAGCAAGGCATGCTGCCATGCACCTGTACTCTTATCTACTTGGAAGGTTGTGGGAGGGTTTTTTGAGCCCAGGAGTTCAAGGCTGCAGTGAGCTGTCATGGCACCACTGTACTCCAGCATGTGCAACTGACAGGAACCCCATCTCTAAAAAAAAGGACTAAAAGACAAAACTATTAAAAACAACAAAACTATAATAATTGATTGAGATATATGCAATCTGAAACATCAAAAGTCCAAGTGTAGGGAGGGATGGTGTTAAAGTGTAGAGTTTGTTTTTGATGCTTTCTTTGCAATCAATGCTACGTTGTTAGTATAAAATAGCCTGTTGTAACTATAAGATATTTTTTGTAAGCCTCATAGTAACCAAAAAGCAAAAACCTGTAATAGATACACAAAAATTTATAGCACAAAATCAAAATATCTGCTAGAAAAAAAAAATCCCTCAACCACAAAGACAGTAACAGAGAAAAATAAATAAGAATATATAAGACCATTATAGAAAAAAGATATCCAAATTAGATGAAAATTTTAGAAGATCTAAATAGATGAATAGCTATGACATGCTTACTTATTAAAACATTCAATATTATGAATATCTCAATTGTTCCAAAATATAATAACCTTCAAAGTAAATATAATATCAATAAATATCTCAACAGAAGGTTTGGGGAACTTGACATATTGATTTCAATATTTATATGAAAAGCAAAGGGTCAAGAAAGGCAAGGTACTGCTAAAGAAGGGCAGTGTAGAGGATCTTTGTACATAAGGTATAAAGACTTTTTATAAATCTATTACAAATTGTGGTATCAGCACTGTAATCACAAATAGACTACCAGACTGAAAGATCTCATGCAGAAACAGACCCACACATGAAAACCTGAAAAATGAATTGGAAAAGGGCAGAAAAAACTTAAAGATAATTTGTGAGCAGAATTCCTAAAATTCATGTGAATAGTAAAATAATAACTAAAATAAATGACAGTTAACAAACAAAGTTAATTCAATTAGCAAATTTAGGCTGTGAATTATCTTATTTGGCTGTCTAAATATCAATTCAATAGAACATGTAAACTGAATCACCACTTGAATTTTTGCTGTATAAACAAAGTCTGAAAGACATTTTAAAGATAGAGGGATGTTTTGAGTAATTGACATTTTCTCTGGACAGAAAGTAGTGATATTTTGTAGCAATGCAGTAACATCAAACAGGTCACACGAAAGGAATGTCACTTTTTTATTGAAAAGAGGGAAAAACACCATGGAGAAATTCATTTTCTTGTCTACATAATTGGAAGTCCTGCAAAGAAAACAAGACAGAAGGCTTATAAGGGGACTATGATGCTTGTTTCCTGAGCTTCAGCACTACATGATTTTAGCCTAGTATTCTGTGAAAAATGGATTTATCATCACTGGGCTTCGAGCCTCTAGACCTTAACTACAAGATCATCTGAACTTACTAAGGAGATTCCCTTGGATCAAGATCAACCACAGCCTATCATGTTCAAGTATTATGAGTCTCATTATTAGTTTTAAAATGGAAAGCTGTATTCTACAGCACTCTATAATAACAAATAATGATTTCTCTGAATCTCCTAAACATGGTCATGTCAAGAAATGAACATGGAAAACTGATCTTATGAGAAAAGCAAAATATAGCTCCAATAAAAATTGCACTGGTGAAGGGGTATTGCGGGTATCTCAAACTCAAAATGTAAGCCTCACAGATAAGGAATGCTGCTATGTACTAAGCATCTTTATCCTCATTCAGCAATAACAGAGATCAGCAAAACATTGTTAGAAATCATTTCAGTTAGCATGGATGCTATTGTCAAGATTAGATAAATTAAACTGATAAATCCCAAGTTTAGATCGAAAATCTCTAACAACATGAAATAAGTCAAAATATGTGTCAGGCAGTGCTGCCAAGAAGGTTTTCAAAGTTCCCACAAGCATAGTATGATTGGAAAATCTACAATTTTTAAGGAAAACAATAGACCAATTGCCAGGTAAGTATAAGCATATAGGTCTGGCATTTGTCAGAAATCTGGCATTGGAATCAAATCATGGCCAAAACAAGGTGCACAGTGTATGTAAGTGACTTAGGCAGTTTCACATTGTCAGCCAACCTCACAACAAATGACACTGTGTTTTATTGGCAAGTGTTTTGTACCTTCTTAATTGAGTGCTACATGAGAGTAACTTACCTTGTACTAGGGGCAACAACCTAAGCATCTGGAGATAAGAAAGATGTAAATTTAAGTCTGCATCTAAGAAAGAATTCATGTTCTTCTGCAATAAAGAACTAGCTTTGAAAATATACTGGAAATTCTCAGATAGATTTTTCTAACATATTACTTAAAAAATGATAGCTATTGATGGAATTAAAGAGAGAAACAAAAGGATGAAAGGAAGGAGGAAAAGAGCAGTTGATGAATCTATAACTATGAGAGCCAGTGGAAAACACGTGGTTCTATGTCTCATGAAGCAGATATGCAGCCCCAAGGGGAGTCTTCAATTTTTTGAAAAGTCAATAAGAGCCCAAGAAGATTTTCACTTTATTTTAATATTCCAATCACTTTTGGAAGATCCTAACAGGTCAGTCTTACTCTCAAAGTTTTCCTCTGAGATGTTTTCTGGGGTTACTTGCACACTTTGAGAGTAAGTTACAAATCTTAGCTTTCCAGAGCCAGAAAGAACCTTCAAAACTATCTATTCCAATCTCAGCATTTTGTACAAAGTCACAGATCATGAAAGAGTTTTTTATCCCTGAATTAATATGTTATATGTTTTTGTATTTACAGAGTTCTTTAAAATGACCGAAGAACTGTCACAAACGTAGCAAAATGGTCTTCATATGTGATACAGCCGCCTCTCCAGAAGTCAGCTTTCTTACTCTATTATTGATTCTAACCTTGGGAAAGCCTTCCTATTATCCTTCAAGTTCTGCTGAAAATGAAGTACTTGGGGTCAAGGGAAAAAATACCTACTAGTAATGCTCAGACTTCAGGAATAAATGATCTCCAGGATGACATTAGCACAGTCCTTCACCTGGGAGACAGCAAGAACTAAGAGAAAGGAAAAAAGTACCCAGGTTCAAATGATGACTTTTAGAATAATTTTCTGATCTGGCCAGGACAGATTTTACTGTAATGATCATGCTAATCTAGTCTTGATTAGCATGACCATGAAAATAATTATCATTTATATGTAATTTTAAATCTTAAAAGCCTTTGTTAAAATGTTCTTTCCTGCTATAATAGCACATGCAGTATTGACTAGAGTAATGAATTCATTATGGGGCTTCTGATTTTTTTTCAAAGTCTATAAATACATACCTTGTACCCAAGTCCTAATATTAGCACATAGACTATGTATTGAATCTTTAATATGTCTTTCTGGTCATTAATATTTTAAAATTTTAATGTATATTTATTTTTGGTATGATATGTTGGGAGACATTTCTGTAATGTGTGTATATGTATATATATATCTTATTTTACTTAGAAAATTACATTCTTTCTGATCTTCATTATTTCTTCACTTACATCACTCTAATGTTAAGAGCTTGAAGATCATATAAACTTAAGTACTTGCTAACTACTTTTTCCTGAAGGTATTTTAAGAAACTGTCCTCACCACATAATTATATGAATAGTCTCACTTCTGTTTTCTAAAAAAATGACTACACTAATACCTTTTAATGTTTTAAAATTATACTAACAATAGATGCATTTGAAATATTGAAACTGTAGTGAGATTTTAATATCATAAAATAAATAAAATAAAAAGCGGGACAGTTTTTCAAAGAGAGCAACTTGATATCACTTTTAATGTGTTACATTCCAAAAGTTCTCCTTTGTGAAAAATTAAAAACAACTACATACATTCTAGGAGGGAAAAGTCAACTGGCAAACCTCCTTAAGTCTGAATGAAGAAAATTTAAGATAATTTTCACATCTGCAAACATAACACTCTTCCTGACTATAACACCAATAAATGTATGAGAATCTATTATCATGATAAGAATGTGTCTAAGGAAAGTACTCACATGTTTTTGTCTAAATAATATAACTTCATAAAACTGTATAAAAATTGGTACACAAAATAACTAAACTCCTAAGTGTGGAGTTTTGTTGAAAGTGTTTTTATCAATTTATTATTTTTTCAAGTGAACTTTAGAACAAAATGTTTCTCTTTTGTAGAATACTGGTCTAAAGCACACAATACTTTAAGGTGTTAAGAACACATGTTTTCTGTTTCATTTACAAGAAAAAGACAGAGTCCTTTTATGACTCTGAGGGCAGATAGGTTTAGTTGTGGTTTTCAAATTGGTCAGACTCACTCAAGGACTGTTAGAAGTGTAGTTTCTAGCACTTCATCCTGGAAGTTTTGTTTAATAGTTTTTAGGGTAGAGTCTAGGAAAGTTTTTATCAAACACTCCAGGTACTTTGGTATAAGAGATCTACTGACCTGTATGTAGGATCCATAAGGATAGGATTGAAAAATGATAAAATTCAAAGTAAGTTGACAGAGGAAGTGAGCCTTCGTTCTGCCATCTCCTATCAACATTTGTATAGGAATGTCACTGTGATCCTATAAGCCTAAACTTCCTCAATTGTAAGGCAAAAATATTTTGAGAATCAAATGAGATAAAGATAATGCAAAGGTATAATAAGTAGGAAAAAATGAAATGAATACTAATTATAATTGAATATCTTCCTACAATAGAGTAGATTGAAATTAGTGAATGCATTTGGTAGGGGAGAAGCTAAGTTATACGAGGAGACTTCAAAAAAATTCATGGAAAAATTGAGCAAGAGCATTGTTTGTGGTGGAGCAGGATCTCTGATGAAGCTTTCTCAGGCGTTTTTCCTACGTCCTCCCTCAATTCTCTGCCATAGCCTCTCTGAAAATCAAAGAGAACATGAGAATGGCAAATGTAGCCTCTTGCAATCTAAAGAAAAGCAGTGGAAGGCTGGGTCATGGATCTGAGAGCAAACAGGGAGTTGACCAGCATAGTAATCTAGTTAGACTGTAATGATTAAAGATATAAAGCAACAAATGCATTAAAGCCTAGAACCTAGCTTGTTCTAAATATGCCTACTACTGGTAGGCTTCTAAGCAGGAGGGTACAAGGAATGCTTCCTTAAAACCATTAATGATTTAATTGAGAGGCAGTATAGCAACAGCACAGGTTTTAGGTTTCCACCCTGGCTCTGTCACTTCCAAGTTATAATAAACCTTCTCGCAGCCTTAAATTTTTAATCTGTAAATTGTGGTTAATAACATTTGCCTTACCAAACAGGTACAAATGATAAAAGAGGTAATGAATATAAAGATATTACTACAATGCCTCAACTGATTGTAACAATAATGGTGGCTTATAACATTATTGGAAACTAGAAAAGAAGAAAATAAAAGTGGTAGCTTAGTAAATGTCTTATAAAATCTTGCTTTAATATATTTTTTCTATATTTAACTGTGATTTTATTACCATAGTTCATTAAATATAGATGGCGTCTAATGTAAGAAATTTTGTAATTTTTATATACCTCTAAGACAGAAAAACATTCCATTAAACTATGACACAGCAATATTTCTTTCTTTTTTTTTCTCATTTGAACTGAATATCACTGGAAGTAGCTTCTGTTTAAAGTAAGCACAAAGTTTCTGACAAATTATATTTGATACCCTATAAAGATAGTTCTGCACAATGCATAAATGGATCATATGAGGCTCTTGCTGCTTTGAAATTTTTTACTTCTCATGTCAGTTTACCTGCCTTTCTGTTGCTTTGTTTAATATTTGTTAGACAAGCCTTATGCATGTATCTCAGTAACAACATTTAGCCTCACCTCTTTATAAGGTTCTTTTTTTGAGTACTTTCCTTTTCTTATGTGTTGCTTTGCAAGAATTCGGTTCATTTCTCTCAAGACAAATATTTTCTTCTATCATGTCAAATTAATATCACCGCACTTTTCCTGGAACTTTCAGTATACACAGCAACTTTTTGCTTAAGTGCTGAATCATAGTGTAAATTTCTTCAAATTATTTTAAATGGCTATTAAATTCTAAACTCTCTAGTGTTAAAAATGTACAAACTCAACTTATGTAATGGCAGTATGAACAAATATGATCAAGTTCACACACCATGTCAAAGTTGTTGCCTGATCAACAGCAACTGTGGTATGGCAAATATTTTAGGATGCATCCCAATTTTATTAATAGATGTGCTTCTTGGTACCAATAAAATATGATCACATTTACTGATGTACCACATCAATTTGTGGGCAAGTGAAAAGAACAGAAATTAAAGAAAAAAGAATCAAACACAGAATTTTCTACGGAGAATGTTTGTTTTTAATAGATAGAAAATAATGACATCTATTTAAGTGTTTATCAGAACCCAGAACATATTTCCAATATTTAGCTATTTTATTCTACGCTTATAACTTATATGCTGCCAGGGAAATATCATGTATCTTTTTATTTTAAAAATAATAAGCAGTAGTAGTGAATAGGCATGAGAATTCTAAAATTGAACTCTACATGGGCAGAAATTTTATAGATATTTTCTCTAAGATCAGTAGTTCTTTTCTGTCAAAAATTTCATTGAAAAACTGCATCTTAAAGCATAGCTGGGATAAATAATTTTTAAATGATTTCTTTTAAAGAAATCACCTATTTTTTAAAAATTAAGACAAAACATGATACATGATCACTATTTGCTCAGTAGTGGTGAATAGGCATGAAAATTCTAAAACCAAACTTTATATGGGTATGAAAAAATATTAAGGTAAAGAATATTTAAGATCTGTGGAGGAATATGATCACTCATGGAATTAGTAATGTGTTGCTAATAGCACCTAATACAGCATCGAATTACATTTTTATAGCCTTTATAGTCCTAGTTAAACCATTCAACACCCTGAGAAACGGATCAATGCATTTATCTCTAGCTTCTGCAGGAAAAAGGGATTCGGTAATGAGCTATCTTCATTACCGAATAAGATAGAGGTTGGTAGAGATAAAAGTAGACAAAAACGAAAAAGAAGCTTGTTGCTTATATGAGTTTGGTTCATCCTGATTGAGGGTGGCATTAACCAGAAGTTTCTAAAGCTCCATTGTAGCCAACTGTAGCCACAGCCCAGTAGCTAATAGTTGAGGAAGATATGTTAAATCAACCTGAAGCAAAGAATGAACATTTGAGTTATGATTCACAAAACAAGAAAATCCTCAGTGGGGGTTCCAGAGGGAAGGGATACTAGTAGAAGGTGGATTGTTAAAAATATTTCAATCCAGAAGCAAAACTATCGGGAAACTCTATAGCATCTGGAAGCATAAGAATCTAATGGGGATCAAGATTTAATTCATTCTGAATTTCCACATATATCTAAGAAGATTCTAAGTTGCTAATAACTAAGAAGGCATAATTGAACAAAGCTAATACAGATGCTTTTATAGAATACTGTTCTTACTCATACTGGGACTGACTGGGCCTAGAGGGAAACCATACTTCCTCTCCTTAGAATATTTTATCATATCTAGACCAAAATCCCCTCCATTTTCCAAAATTTCCCTGTTTGCTTTATTCTTTTCACCTCTAACCTACTCTGTTCATATAGATAATGCATAAATGACAGCTAGAAATCTTAGTGGACTAATGTGTAAAATACATACACTTTAAACATAGAATCATTTGTATCTTAATTAAATATATGATGATCAATAAAGTAGTGTGTCGTTATTAAAGTCTTGTGAGGAAACAAAAATGAACCCAGGTAAGTTATCTGCCTCTGGAGGGGCATACAGACTAGTAAAGAAAGTGCATCTATAAATATCTAATCATAATAAAAGCAGAATAGAGTAAGTGCTAAGTAGAAGCAGAAATACTGTACTGTAGCAATCAGAGAGGGAATGATTAATTGTAATTTGGAAGATCAGTGTCAGTGACAGCCTCTCTGAGGAGATGGTATTTCAGTCTCTTTTGAAGGATTTCAATAAATAATGTAGGGAAGATGATTTCAAGCTGAGAGAGACAGCATGAGTAAAGGTAAGGAACGTTGAGAGTGCATGTTATTTTTGGAAAGCCAGGAGGAGGAGTTAGTTTTGCAAACAAAATGTAGATTACAAGGAAGAATAATATGTTTTAACTTGCTTGAGCTTCTGATGCATTGGCTAGTTATTTTCAATTGGCTTTATGTTATGTATTCTGCTTACATGTTTTAAATGTATGTTGTGGTTGAGTTTACTTGTTATTTGCCCGAATGTATTATCTTTTAGTGGAAATGCTTTTTTTTTCTAGTGATGGTCACACAATACACTCAATTCTACACTTTCTTCTACAGTGTGACATTGACACATTTCAAAAGAGTGGTAGAGAGTAAGTTCTCTCCTGTTTTCCCCAATCTAGCCTTATGACTTGCTTGTAACCAAAAGAATGTGGTGAAAGTGATGCCACAGGACTTCTGACATTAAGTCAGAAAAGGCCATGCAGTTTCTGCCTGGTTCTCTTGACAATAATCCCTCTCAGAATACTTCCTCTTGGAATCCAGCTGATATGCCATAAGAAGACCAGACAGCATGGACAGGCCACATTGTAAGTCCTCCAGGCAACAGTATGATCCTAGCGTGAATCAACCCAGTCCAGGTACCAGCCATGTAACTGAAACGGTCATTTTAGAAATAGATCCTCTAGTGTCAGCTGTTTTAGCCCCCCACACTGCTCACCCCAGACTGAGGTCCCAGATACTGTGGAGCAGAGGATATCTTTTCCTGACAAATCTCCAGTTAAACAACCTACAGATCCTCTGAAGATACAAAAATTGTTGTGGCTTTATGGCACAAAGTTTGGAGTGTTTTATTATGAAGCAATAATAATTGATACACTTTTCCTCCCTGTGTAAGAAAATTACACAGGGAGGAAATAATATGCTGATTATGCTTTTAATAAAATTTAAGATATAAATATGCTAAGACAATGTATAAATAATGAAGTCAGGATTGAGGAATCATGAAATTTTTTTTGTTGTAAGCTTTTTAAAGAACTAACTGATTTAAAAAATTATATTACACAAATTATTTGTACTTAGTCCTTTCATTAATAAAATTAAAGTTTATTTTTTTCAAAAATAGCTAACTGGAACATCCTACGAATGAATAAATACATTTTTCTCTTCTATCTCTAAATCCAAATCTTCAATGAATTTGGGTCTCTCTCTTGTTATCACTCTCTCACATACACAGAGATACACACACACACACACACACACACACATTGCAGCATAGGATAGAGTAGATCACTGAGAACTCTCTGGAAGTTATGATACAGATGGATTCTGTAGTATACTGAAATTGGCTTCAATTTTTTGAAATACCTCTTATCAAGAGTTGGGATCTATTTCTGCACCTCTTGAATTTGAGCTTAAAACAAATAATAGGGAGGGGAGGAGAGGAACACCAAAGGGGAGGGAAAAGGGAGTGGGTAGGGGGAGGGGAAGAAGGGAGGGTAGGGGAAGGGAGGGAAACAGAAGAGGAGGGAAAAGGAATGGGGGAGGGAGGAAAGGAAGAAAGGGAGGGGAGGGGAGGAGAGGGAAGGGAAAAGGAAAGGAACGTGTACATGTTCATCTATTAGAAATGTCTTGAGAAAGACCTGTACTATATAAAAAGATGCTTGTGTTTCTGAGTATAAAAAAGAAACTGGCTGGGCACGGTGGCTCACATCTGTAATCCCAGGACTTTGGGAGGCTGAGGCGGGTGGATCACCTGAGCTCAGGAGTTTGAAACCAGGCTGGCTAACATGGCAAAACACTGTCTCTATTAAAAATACAAAAATTAGCCTCGTATGGTGGCATGCTCCTGTAGTCCCAGCTACTCTGGAGGCTGAAGCAGGAGAATCACTTGAACCTGGGAGGCAGAGGTTGCAGTGAGCCGAGATCATGCCACTGCACTCCAGCCTGGGCAACAGAGTGAGGCTCTGTCTCAAAATAAACAAACAAACAAACAAACAAATAAACTGACAAAATTGATAATATGCATAATAAAATATTTTAGTAATGACGTAATTCAATTTAAACAACTTTAAATTTTATGTGCATAATCCCTTAATTTCCTGAGGCCAAGACCAAGAAGGATCATTGATTTAATAATTATTAGTAGAGACAGCAAAAAAAAAAAAGGAAAACCACATTAAAGGTTAAACAAATATTTTACTAATTGAAATACCATCAATTTAACCATAAAAATCGGAATTGTTTTCTTTTTTAGTATCGTGACATGGTCAAGTTTGTGAATCTAATTCAGATTTCACTGATTCCTCTGAGTCATGTGGGGCCATCAGAAATTACACATAGAGTCATATACATTTTTCATAACCCCTGCTTATGAAATTCACATTGTTTAGTAAATTTATAATTATTTTAATTTCAAGATATATCAAAAATATTAGGGCTTATTTAAAATAAACTTTGGCTAATATTATAGTTGTAAGTTTTAAAAATTGCACTTTATATTGTGGGAATTTAAACCTTTACTCTTAAAATTGAGCACTTACATGTATGTGAATGGAAAACATTTTGAGTAATACATGCCCAACATGAAAGAATAAGAGTGGAAAAGGGCCAGAGGTTGCTGTTTTCACTTTTCAAATATACTTTTTATATTTACATGATTATATACTTTTCATATATAATATGTTTTATATTGTTTAAATACACTTTTATAATACATTTGGAAAATTTTATACTTCTTTTAAATGAGCTTAGATAATCAAATTTAAAAAGTTATGTTTCATATATGGAAGGAAAAAAGGGAATGCAATTTGGAATACCCAATATGGACACAGGAACTGACGGACAAACATTCCTAAGAAATTTAAAATGGGAACAGAAAATGACTAAATGATTTCTGATACGGTGACTTTTTTTTTTTTTTTTTTTTTTTTTGAGACAGAGTCTCTCTCTGTCACCCAGGCTGGAGTGCAGTTGTGCAATCTCTGCTCACTGCAACCTTGCCTCCTGGGTTTAAGCAATTCTCCCGCCTCAGCCTCCCGAGTAGCTGGAACTACAGGTGCACGCGACCACACCCGGCTAACTTTTGTATTTTTCATAGAGATGGGGTTTCACCATGTTGGCCAGGCAGGTCTTGAACTCCTGACCTTAGGTGATCCACACACCTAGGCCTCCCAAAGTGCTGGGATTACAGGTGTGAGCCACTGCACCCAGCCAATATGGTGACTTTTAAGACCCCAATTAAATCGCTGGTACACCTCTTTAATGCCATTAAAAACGTTGAAGAGAAAGAAACATAATTAGTATATAGAGATGCACTATCAGAAATTTAAGAAAGAGCATAGACTAAAAATCAGGCACTATATATCTGTCCTCATAGGATCATAAAACAGTGGAGTCAATATGCTGAAAGGTGTGTATATTTCCTGTTTTCAAGAACATTTTCATAGTTATTTTACTACAAAAATATTTTTAGTTATTTTACTCCCTACCTCGTAACTTTTTTGACTTAAAAAATGAAAGGAACTGTAAGTTTCCATGCTATGGTTTTCTCCCTCCAGGTCCTCAAAATCTTCTGTCTTCCACTAGCATTGAAAAAGAATGGGAGTGATACACTATGGGCCATGCCTGGAACTGGTTCACATGTACTTGTCCATACCTCAGTTCTATGGCTATATTTAACTATAGGGAGGTGGGAAAATGGAGCTAATTTGTGAGTCCAGGAAGAGGAGAGCACAGCCATTGGTGACCACTGAGATGATGAAATGGAATATGGCCTAGTCGTTGTGATACAGTGCCTTTCCAGAGAGCCAGAATTCCCTCCTCCTAGATTCCCAAATCCTACTTTGTTATGACTGGGATGGAAATTAGAGAAAATGTCAAACTATATAAGGACATCTACTCATTTTACCTTCAACAGACTTATCTGCCATAAAGTTTTTTTAATGTTTGGGAGTCATTTGCTGTGCCTAGTGTTCCATTATTGGAACACTAAGCATGTGGGTGTTATTTATATCCTACTCCTCAAGGTCATCACCACGGTCTGAATGCAAAAATTCAAAATATTGCAACCTCAGTCATAACTGGGTTAAAAAAGCAAGTTACAAGTAACATAAAAATGTAGCCCTAAGACTTTGCTATAAAGAACTTCTTTAATGACAGATTTAGTTATGCAGCAGATGATGGACTATCCTGTGTATATAGTAGTGTGAAAGGACTGCTCCCGTTACAAGGAGCTTGGATGCTCTTGTCCATAGGTATTAGCATTATAAAAGTCTCTAACGATAAATAGATACAAGTACTAAACTTGGAATAGATAAATAAAACTTCTAATAGTACCTTAGTTTGATCATATTTGGCTTAAAATGAGTAGTAAAATAAAGATAAAAAGATAGCATTATGTAATAATTGGAAGGGCTATTCTCAGTTGAGGCTGAGATAGGTGGATATTTCTTTCCTACAAGCTTTTGAATGTTGTTTTGTCCCAAACATAGTGAGGGTTGGGGTAAGCTGATAATTGGTGTAGTTTCTCTTGCCTGGGATGTAGGCGTCTCCACGCTCAAGCGGTAGCTCTATTGCCCAGCCTGGCAACAGTATTCTTAAACATATTAAGCCATGTACTTTATGGTTGTCTGTCAAAGAAGAAATGTAAAAGCTTATCATCTGAATCCAAAATAACTTTTAACCATAAGTTTAAAAACCAATATTTGTTGATTAAAAAAAGGGGGGTTTCAAAATTACTGTGTCACTTCCTTTAGCATGTCAAGGAGGCAGGCCCAACTGATGATAGACTTTTATAAAAGGGTGCTCACATCTTACAGATGGAACTGAATGACTAGAGGCAGAAAAAGGAGAGAGGGGAAGGGAAGTAGATAGTCAGGCTATTGCCCTGACCTGGTAAATGCCAAGAGAGGGCTTTTGCTGTGGTTGCCATTGAGAACTCTAGAGGACAGTGCCTCTACCTAAGCCTAGAAGAGGATATACCTAAGCAAACAGCATTGCAGTTAGGCAGTCCGAGGGTCTGAGCTCAGTTTTCCTGGTTCCTGGGTGGACTAACACAAAGCACAGAACTTCATGATTAGCATGGAGTAAAACAAAGCACAGAACTTCATGCAGGCCTAACTTTGGCATGAGAATTGACAGACTATCTGGCTGGGGAGTTCACAGGAGCAACCATTGCAAGGACAGAGGCAAAGGCCACAAGAAACAGTCTTCATCAGGAATATATATGTCATAAAGCCAGAATTTTAGAAAGATCCAACACCAAAAACTTGTTAGCAATCATCAAAGTCTCCAACACCAAGAAAACATTGTGTACTGTACTTTCATCTGCAATACATTTAATTTTAATGCTAATCCCTAGGACAAAAAGTATTAACCTTATTTTATTAACAGTAAACTTGAACCTTAGAGTAAATAACTTGCCCAGACCACCTGGTAAGTGGAATTTAGATTCATCCTGACTCCTCACATAAAGTTGAACTTGTTCTCATTTAATGTGGCCTATAATATATACTGTTTTCTGTGCCATCTTTCTGTTCTGGTACAGGATATATAATTTATAAAATCGTTCTTTTGGATTTTGTCTCCAAAAAGGGCCTTATAGAATATCTTCAATCCATTTTGCTAATAATTCTGCCTCCAGAATTATAAGTGAATATGTAGTTGAGGGCATGATGTAAGTTTAGAGTTATGTAACACCCCAAGTTCCCAAGACCTCCACTGCCCTGGAACAAGATTATACAACCCTACTTGATTATCATGCCTGAAGGATCTTCCAAGTTAAGGGATTTCCGTGACTTAAAATGAGATGCTTCCTCTGACAGGTTAAACAATAAAACATTTTACAACCGTTTTTACCTAAAAGGTATTATAATCTAGAAGGACTGGGACATAATTAGGTAAAGCCAAGATTTATAGAGATATGACCATATGCAAGGAGCCGTCCCTGGCATTAAGAAGTGCATACTCTCATAGACAAGCCAAATACAGTGATCATAAATCTCTGTGTGCCAGATACTGTGCCTGACTCTTTACATACAAAGTCCAATTAACCCTCAGAGAAAGTTAAAATTAAAGGTCATTATGTCTGTTTTATAAATAAGGAAACTGAGGAAAGAGAAGTTAAATCACTTGTCCATAATCACACAGCAAATAAATTGTAAAGCCTGGATATAATGTGATACATGTCAAGATAGAAGAAATAGAGTTAGACATGTATATCTCTTATTTAAAGCAAGGGTTAAGGAAAACTTAAAAAACAACAAAAAATGTTGACACCTGAGCAGATGTCATTTGAAGTTTAAATAAGTTTGACAGACAAATTAAAGAGCACACAAAAAATGTGATATAATATATAATGTCCCTTACATATCAGACAGAATTCTTTCCGTGCATTAATCCTAGTGATTCATCTTCAAGATGAATTGTTTAACCACTTAAATGTCAAGGTAAAAATGAAGTATATGCTTGTCACATAACTATAACCTTTTTAACAAGGTACTTTTTGTTTTGGAAAGGTAGGGAAATTTCTGGAGTAAGTATAACCACACTTTTGAAACATGTTTCCTAGTAAGAGACCCTGGGTGCCATGGATGAGTTTGAGAGGCTCTGGTTAGCAGTACAGAGCCCCCATTCTTACCCCAGCACAGAAACAGCTGATGGGTTCAACCTAGGTAGGTGAGGGTACGGTTTTCAAATATTCATTTCTTCCAGCTTGCATGGTCTATTTATCTCATAGATAGCGTTTATCACATGATATTGTACTTATTCATTTATATAACTGTTTTCCCACTACCCTGCAGGCTTCAACGGGGCAGGGAATCACATTCCACAGCACCTATATGCCACTGTGATACCTAATAAGCTCTAACCATGTGATGGTTGAACTAAACAGAAACAATCCTTCTTGCTGATAGCAAACATCATCCCAAACTGAAATGACAGCTTATTAACCTAGCTTGAAATACCAGATCACTCTCTCACTCCCGAAGACCTATTCACATTTCCACAGTGACTCAAACTAGAATGTGGTGGTATATGCCAAAAGAGCCAGATGTACTTCTCTATTCATTTTCCTCAGGCTTTTTAGGCCATATGGTTCTCACCAGTCTTATAATGAGACTTTAGGTTTAAGATGCATAAGTCCATCATTTCCAGAATGCATAGCCCAGACACAGAGCCCAGGCTATTTTTTCCCAAGTTGACTTGGCGCTGGATCGTGGTGTGATGAATTTATTATGTACAGCAGCAGGCATGGCACTTTTTAAAAGCAAGTGCCAGAAACAGAAGCCATTGATGAAAAAAAAAAAAAAAAAGTCAAAACTTTGCCAATTTTCTCCAAATACCAGCAGAGTAAACTATCATCAAATACAAGTCATTTTCCCCATAAATAACAGCATGAAGCAAATGTATTGCATTCTCAACTCTTTAAAAAGACTAAAAATAACCTCAGAAAGCTGATCTAATTATCCTACATAAATACAACATGTGAACATTAGAGTATGGCACCGACTAATTGAACAGCTAAGGCTACTGGAGAACTTTTAATGGAAGATTCTAAGATTACATGAGCTAATAATGATGGCATTAAAAGAATGCACTGATCTTCGCAGTATAGTTTGAAGACCATAAAACATTGCAAATGACAACAGCTGCATTTTTTGATGTGCAGACAAAGGTCTTCCATAAGGGAACTCTGCTTTCAAGCTTTTTATAATATATGGTAAATTCAAGGGGTCTTCTTCCATTTTTCTGCGGAAACAAATATTTTCTTAATTTCCTGGCATTGCACATTTGATTACTACAGAAATGTCACTACTTCCTATTATACTCTAGTAAGCCTAGTTATGCTAGCATTCTCCAATTTAGACTGATAACACTATCATTAAAAGTTATGTTTTAGTTATAGTGCTGATCTCCATGAAAATGCTGGTAATAAGTACGTGCAGTACCATCAAACATGAATGTTACATGTGAAGTAAAATTAAAAAGTACTGTAACTAATCACTGATTTCCTTTAAGAGATGCTACTAAATATACATTATTAAAGCACTACATACCAATATTGATGAAGTTGAGACACTAACAAATAAAGTCCAGGAAGTTAAACACTGAAATCAAAGCAGTGACTTCAATGCAAACTGTACAAAATAAACATACAATATCCATACTGATATGAAATCCAAACTTCTAATATGTCATTGGATTTCTTACTGGTTGGACTTTTCTCTTTCTCCAGCTAGTCAAAGATAATTAAATATTTTCTTGAATAGGAAGTGTTTTTTATTTTGTGGTAGAGAAAGAAAGCTAAGCCATCGTTGCCGAAATCATTTCACTGTAATTGACTTGCATTTATTTCTTTGTTCAATTTTCCTATAAAATTATAATTTTAAAACCTACTTTCCCTATCATTAGGGATATGTTTCCTCTTTAATCACTAAAAATTCAAAGAGCTCAAAACTTGGTTACATTAGCTTCAAAAATCTGTCATTGGAGAAGGGTCATAAAAATGCTATTTTATAGTTGTAAAAATCACTGATCTCTATTGAGTGAGTTTATTCAGTTAATGTGTTTGAGTCCTATGCAAGCCACTGAATCAGAGTGAAGGGGTTCTAAGGATTTAAGGACACCCTTTCTGCAAGGTGTCCTCTGTCTGACAGAAGAAGTTCAAGGAAAATATGTAACCACCTATAATACAATGTAATAATATAATAGTTGCCATTATTAAGATAAAATTGTTATGTGATTTTAAATGAGCAAAAATAATATATGGATAGTGAATGTAAAGTGTCATTAAGTAGAGGATGGAACCTGAATAAGAAGGATTTGGTAGGTAGTCATGGGAAGGCCATGGATATTATGCAAGGAAGGGCCATGATGAGCAAGTAGCCTGGTTTTATTGGAGTTTCATATGAGTGATACAATTTTAAGGACATCAGACTAGATGGGGTGGAGTGTGCAGTGGGGAAAAAAGCCTCAATTGCTGGAATTAAGAGTTGATATTTAATTTTATCAGCAAGGAGGTATATTGAAAATGACAGGATTGAGGACATGCAACCCCAAAATATGGCTCCATGACATATTGAATATTTTTAAAGAAATTTGAGAAATGGCAGGTATAGGAAGGATTCTCTGAAATTCTCCTAAATTAGTTCATCAGACCCTCATGTGAGAGGTGCTCTTCTCATCCAGAGGAAAAGAGCATCTCTATCTCCAAAGACAGAGGGAAGCCAATAAAACTCTGAACCAACAGGCTTTGCTAAGATTTCCCTTAGCTTCCTACCCCTAGCTCATACCCTTTTCTCCTATCATATTTTTCTATAACTTGCTATTCTTCAGTCTTCATATAAAAATGCTCGATTAACTATATCCTGTGATCTTTATTTCCTTAGGAAGGCTCCCATGCCATGTTAAACATATTAAATACATTTGTGTTATTTCCTTTTGTTAATCTTTCTTTCGTTACACAGTATCAGCTGATAATCTAAAAGAGTAGAAAACAAAATGTATTTTTCTTCCTCTACTAAAGTTCACCAGCAAGAAAGGATGCAAAAAAAAAAAAAAAAAAAGGCTAGTCTGGCAGTGGAGCAAGACATTCAGAGAGTGAAGAAAATCTGGAGGAGTTAAGTTAAGGAGATTGAGTAAAAAAAAAAGAGAGTACAAAAATCATACTAATAAATTAAGCTACCTATATAGTAATTTTAGAAGTCAAGAATTCAAAAGTAGAAATTGAATTCGTTAAATACAGGGATAAATTTTTAGATGAAAAGGTTCAAACTGAAGGAATATCTTGAACACATATATATTTATAATAAAATCTATATATATTATATATACATATATGAAATATATAAATATATATAATATATACTATATATATGAAAAATGAAGTATTTTGAAGTCTTGACCAGACTCAGTAGAAAATACAAAGGTCATGATCAACTAATAATATACAGTCATTTGAGTGCTGATTATTTAGCATCCTTAGTTTACTTCAGATCTTGTTATTAATTACTTTCTAACAATGATATAGGAAATAATAATAAAAGGGCAAACAAATATGGATACATAAACATCATTACCGTGCTACTATTCAAGTAGAAAAGTAGAAACAATCTAAATGTCTAACAGACTGAGAACAAATAAAATTATTTTAAAGATTATTTAATAATAGGAAAAGGTACAAATAATAATATTAAAAGAAAAAACTATATGATCTAATCGTTTTAAAATTATATAGAGGAAAGAGTGTTAAGAACTACTTCAACTTCACAGAATTTAGGATTGAATAATGAGAATATAAGTAATTTAATTTTGTTATTTGTACCTTTCCATACTTTACAAATGCTTCAAAACTATTTGTAATAAAAGACACATTTTTAAAAGTTTAAAATCTTCCTAAGAGAGGAATTGCTTTCTTCCTAAATAGAAGCGCCATTTTATCTAATATTCTCTAATCTAAGTATAGCCAGACTAATCCTCAGATATACTTCTCTGTGAAAAGAAATTCCAGAGTTTCCTGTATTTATTTCCCAATTATTTCATAAGTAATCAATTCAGCTTTCCAATTTTTAAGAAGCATAAATTCACCCAGGAGCAATGTGGGATTAAGGACACTACCCTTAGAAGAGGGGGTGAACTACTGACCCTAAGGAGAAGAAGAGAGAAGGAAATGGGAAATTCTGTATTCTTTGGAGTTGTGTTCTTCATAAAACATGTTAGGTACAGAATAGGCACAAAAGTCTTTTTTTGTTTGTTTGTTTTGAGACGGAGTCTCACTCTGTCGCCCAGGCTGGAGTGCAGTGGCCCGATCTTGGCTCATTGCAACCTCCGCCTTCCAGGTTCAAGCAATTTTCCCGCCTCAGCCTCCCAAGTAGCTGGGATTACAGGCGCCTGCCACCGCACCTAGCTAATTTTTGTATTTTTAGTAGAGACGGGGGTTTCACCATGTTGGCCAGGCTGGTATCGAACTCCTGACCTCAGGCAATGTGACTGACTCGGCCTCCCGAAGTGCTGGGATTACAGACGTGAGCCACAGCACCCAGCACTAAAAGTCATCTACTTTCAGTGTAATTTAAAACACGCATTGTTGAGTCTTATTATGTGGCAAAATCTGTGCCAGACTTCATTGTTTAAAGGAGACACCCTAAGAAGGACTCTGATGCGGCCGGACCGGGTGGCTCAAGCCTGTAATCCCAGCACTTTGGGGGGCTGAGACAGGAGGATAATGGAGGTCAGGAGTTCCAGATCAGCCTGGTCAACATGGTGAAACCCCGTCTTTACTAAAAATAAGTAATAACAATAATTTTTTTAAAAAAAAATAGCCGGGCTTGGTGGCACGTGCCTGTAATCCCAGCTACTGGGAGGCTGAGGTGGGAGAATCGCTCGAACCTGGAAGGCGGAGCTTGCAGTGAGCAGAGATTGCACCTTTGCACTCCAGCCTGGTCGACAGTGAGACTCCGTCTCAATTAAAAAAAAAAAAAAAAAAAAAAAAAAAAAGGGCTGGGCACGGTGGCTAACGCCTGTAATCCCAGAACTTTGGGCGACTAAGGCAGGCGGATCACCTGAGGTCGGGAATTCGAGACCAGCCTGACCAACATGGAGAAACCCCGTCTCTACTAAAAACACAAAATTAGCCGGGTGTGGTGGCGCATGCCTATGATCCCAGCAACACGGGAGGCTGAGGCAGGAAAACTGGTTGAACCCGGGAGGAGGAAGTTGTGGTGAGCCCAGATGGTGCCACTGCACTCCAGCTGGGCAACAAGAGAGACTCTGTCTTAAATAAATAAATAAATAAATAAATAAATAAATAAAGACTCTACTGAATCACAATCCTGTGGTGTTTGGCCTGGGCGCAGGGGGAAACATCTTCCATTTTCTTAATTAGTAATAACTATGTTGTAATTATAATTATATAAATGCAAGAGTTAAAGGCTAAGGGAACAATTCACCAAATTAAACATGAATAAGCAATTTTCTGAAACCCATTTGGTCTGATAGTAAACAGCCCAATGGAATATAAACTGTGGATATTATGATTTCCCCAGGGTGCTTTTCTGTCATAACCAAAGACCCAAAGCCTTATGAATCTGTTTTGGTTCTATCCAATTTTAACTCAGCTAACCTAGCAGTGTTACTAATCCAATTGAGTGTGTGACCTGGCTAAAGTGGACAGCATAATAGAGCTGTAGCTGTTTTGACAATGTCATTTCTCTGCTAGGTTCCAGTTATTCAGTTCCATCTATGATTTATATGCAGAGTTCTCCATGGTTTGGTAATAATTTTCTCTGTTTTTATGATTCCAGGGAAATAAAAGATGCCTTGCAATCCATTTATGCCCACTAGCTCTACTTTATAAACTCTTTATCACTCTGAGGAACATGATATTCTACTTTATCCAAGTTCTAAGAATGTTTCTTGAAGAATTGAGAAAGTTCAATTCAAATAAAACTAAAGAGTGGCTCACAAAAGAAAGGTTTTAAAAATGTACTCCAATCTAACTCTTCTAGTAACTGAGGCACAATGCCACTTTCCTGTTTAATCAAAACTGCTGAGCCTGACATTAAGGACCTTTTGCTATAGCCCTTTGTAAGTACAAAATTAAATATCTTGCCATATTTTACCTCCTATCTTTTACCCCAGCCACATAAAGTTTCTTTTAATTCAAGTTCACATGTTCTCTTAGACACACTGTTACTCCTTCTGCTTTCTTTCTCTTTTTTTTTTTTTTTTTGAGACAGAGTCTCCCTCTATCCACTGAAATGCAGTGGTGCGATCTCAGTTCACTGCAACCTCCACCTCCTAGGTTCAAGTGATTCTTATGCCTCCCAGGTAGCAGTTACGATGACTTGCTTCTCTTCATCTCCCCCACACTTAACCCCCAAACTTCCCTGAAGAATTTCTATTCAACCACCAACACTCTGATTAGGTTATAAAATTAATGAATACTTCCATTCAAAAAGAAAATTTGGATATGTCCTGAGATCTATCAGTATTATACTCTGTTAGACAATTTAGTTGATTAAATGATCTTTGTGTCTGGTAATGTAGCAAATTTGTCATCCAGTATTGACGAGAGACAGACCACCCTGGAAGGGTCACAGATGGAGCCAAAATAGATAGGCATTTGGGCACTTGCTGAAATTGTAGAAGCATACGCACTAAAGAAAGAAATTTCTGGTCTTTCTATTTTTTTGTGGCTCTGGTTTAGCATTAATTCTTCAGGGAAATTCAAAATCACTGTTATTGTTCACTTTCATAATGGTTGTATGAGGCACTCAATGGACCTGTTATCCAGTAAAACAACCATAATTAGTGAAGATCGTATATTTTAAAAATAACCATTTAAGGTCTCTGAAAATTTTACCAAAGGCATATAACAATTAAGAAATGTGTTCAAGAAAATATGCTAATGTTCTGTCAGAACGGTGAGAGTCTATTGTACTTGAGCCATTACCAGTTTCCTCCTTCTCCTGTTCCAGTGTGATGGACACTCTGCTCCAGGAAGTTGTGGCTAAGAAGATGGTGCTCCCTTTTGCCCAAGCTCACAGTGAAAGGCTAAAGTAACTTCATGGTATGTTCAGGCTGTCAGTATTTTTCACAATCCCCAGCCTTGTGTTACTGATGTTCAATTCCAGGCAAGTGCCAACAAGAATTTGAGCATTTCCCTTCTCCATCCAATCAGTTCTCAGAGGGTAAAGTCTGTACTCCATGTGTGGCACACAGAGAATACGGGGGCCTCAATTACTCTTACCTTAGCTGCTAGTAGGGCAGATGTTCAATGCCAGGAAAGGCAAGCCAAGAAAACCTGATGCTACCACATTTTTCCAGGGTGCTGCTGATAAAGCAGTGTTGTCACTCTGGGAAAAGTAGGACACTATCACCATCCTCAGTTCTGGAGTAGTGATTCAGACATTTAGCCTGGAGAAAGAGGCAGGCCATAATAAGAGAGAACTCTGAAGTTCTCCCCAAAGGAACTGACTTTATTTGGAACAGGGTGTGGAAATTTTTAAGGCTAAGAGTATTTGGGAAAACAATATAGATTATATTGTTAAGCAATTATGAAAAGGCTGTTAGCTCCTCCTAAAACATAGGGCAGCTAGTTTACCAGAGAGAAGCAGGAAAACAGACAGCTGAGAAGAGTCTTCTTGAGTCATAACCAACCTCAGATACTGGCTTTAAAAACTAGACCTGCAAAGGAACTTGAATTCAATTCGATCAGAGTATAAAAAAATGTATGTCCCATGACATTGATGAAAACAACAACACAATCAGATAGCAATTAGGAAAGCCTAATGCTGAGTATGACACTAAGAGAGGCAGCTAGCTTAACAGTGATCAGGGAAAGAGACAAAGAGAGTCCTGCTAAAGAACCATCATTCCAATGTGACTGTTGGCATGTGCAAGGTTTTCTCCTCTAAGAAGTGACATCAGAGGCTTCACTGTGGGAAAAATGAACTTCAGTAAAATAGTTCAGCCAAGTCTCTGAGTAAATAAGCAAATCACATCAGCAAAGAGAGTAACAAAAAAGGTAAATACAAAAAGATTCACAGACGACACATCATATTAAAAACATAGAAAGCCAAAGACAAGACAAAAATCTTGAAAGCAGCAAGAGAAAAGTACTTGTAATATACAAGGGAACTTTAATAGAGCTAACAGCTAATTTCTCATCAGAAACACTGGCCGCCAGGTGGCAGTGGGACGGCATGTTCAAAGGGTTGAAATAAATTTTTAAAAAGTTAATCAAGAATCTTGTATTCAGCTAAGGTATGTTTCAAGATGAAGACAATGTAAGGGCTTTCCCAAATAAACGAAAACTATGATAATTCATCTATAACAAATTTGCCTTACAATAAATACTAAAGAAAGTTTAAGGCCAAAAGCAAGTGGCACAGACAGGAATTAGAATACACATGCAAACACAGACATAGGTAAAAATAATTATGAAATTATTAAATACAACATATGTGCATATTTCTTCATTTCCTTCATAAGTTACTTTAAAAGTAATTTTATAAAGAATATATTTACATATAAATGCTTCTTGGGATTAAAGCATATAGAAATATAGAATATACTGGATAACAATAAAGAAAAGGAGAAAAGAGAGAGCAAAGTGGTAGGAGAATGCTGTGAGATAATAACTTGAATGCACAGGAACAAATAAAGAGAACCAGAAGCAATAAATAAAAAGATTAAAATAAGGATCTCTAGAAATATATACTTACTCTTTTTTTCTCCTAGTTTCTTTAAAAATTAAATTATATGTAGTAATAATTATATCAATAGACTGTTGGGTTGTTAACATGTATATATGTAAAATATACAGCAGTAATAGTTCAAAAATGGGAAAGAGAATAGGGCAATATAGGAATGAGTTTCTGTGTATCACCGGAATTAGTATAAACCAGAAGTAGACACTCATAAGAAAGCAGTATATAGTAAGTCCTAAAGCATCCACTAGAAGATAAACTCGTATAGAACTGGTAACATTATACTGTAACATTAAAGAAATATTAGCAAACATTTCAATGAAATCAAAATTTTACACACTAGAAAATATTCAGTTGATACTAAAGAAAGCACTAAAGAAGAATAAAAAAGACATGAAACATATTGAAAACAAAAGTAAAATAGCAGATATAAATCCAGCTATATCAATAATAGTATTAAATATAAATAGATTTTAAAAGTTAATCAAATGATAGAGATTGTCAAATTTGATTTTTTTTTAAATCCACCTACATATGGTCCACAGGGGACATACTTTAGATTCAAACATAGAAATAGGTTAAAAGTGGAGGGATGAAAATATATGTCATCCAAAGAGCAACCATAAGAAAACTGGTGTGGCTGAACTAACTAATATAATATAAAATAGACTAAAGAAAGTTACTAGACATAACGGATGACATATTAACAATGATGTAATAATTCATCAGGAAGTTATAATAATTATAAAAATATATCCAATTAACAGAACCCTAAAGCACATGAAGAAGAAACTTACAAAATTGAAAGGCAAAGAGACAACTCATAATAAAAACTGGAAATTACCATACCTAATTGTAATAAAAATTAGATCAACTATGTGGAAAATAAAATGAAATTTAAAATTTAAAAAATTTTATATACCAACTAGATCTAACCAACACATATGGAATACTCCACTCAAAAATAATGAAAAAAGGTAGAATTGAAACCATACAGAGTGTGATTTCTGACTATAATTAAATGAAATTAGAAATCAATAATTAAAAAATGAAAATTCATGAATATGTCAAAATTAAGACACTCCTAGAACCAATGAGTCAGAGAAGGTATCACAAGATAAATTATAAAATACTTTGAGAAGCATGAAAATGAAGACACAAAATTCCAAAAATTATGGAATGCAAACCATACATACAATAAGAAGTTAATATTCAAAATATATAAGGAATTCAATTCAATAACAAGAGAACAAATATTATGATTAAAAATTGGGCAAAAGACCTGAATTGACATTTATCAAAGGAAGACACAAATGGCAAACAGGCATAAGAAAAAGTACTCAATGTCACTTGCCATCAGAGAAATGCCAATAAAAACCATAATGAAATATCATCTCACACCTGTTAGAACGGCTACTATCAAAAAGGCAAATGAAAACAGACATTGACAGGGATGTGGAAAAAAAGGGAACCCTTGTATAAAGTTAATGGGGATGTAAATTAGTGCAGCCATTATGAACAATAGCATGAAGATTCCTCAAAAAATTAAAAACAGAACTACCATATGATCCAGTAATCCCTCTTTTGGGTAGATATTCAAAAAAACTTAATAACTACATATGTCAAAGTGATATATGTACTTTCATATCCATTGTTGCATTATTCACAATATCCTAAATATGAAATCAACTTACATGTCTATCAACAAAAAAATTGAATAAAGAAAATGTGCTATAGATAAAAGATGATAGATAGATAGATAGATAGATAGATAGATAGATAGATGTATAGACAGACAGACAGACACAAAACTGAGTTCTATTCAGCCTTAAAAATAAGGAGGAAATCTTGTCTTGGGACAACATGGAAAACCTGAAAGACATTATGCTAAGTGAGATAAGGCAAATGCCATATGTTCTCACTTATATGTGGAATATAAGAAAGTTAAATTCATGAAGAATAGAATGGTGTTTGCCTGGGGCTGACATGGGTGGAGAGTGTAGCAGAGAAGGCTTGGGGAGATGCTGGTTAAAGTGCACAAAGTCTCAGTTAGAATGAATAGATTCTGAAGATGTACTGCACAGCAGCATCACTATAGTTAACAATAATAATGTATTATATACTCAAAAAAGAGATTAAATCTTAAATATTCTCACCACAAAAAGTATATATGATGGATATGCTAATTCATTTGATATATTTCACAATATATACATATGTTAAAACATCACACTGTACTTCATAAATATGTACAATTTTTATTTGTCCATGATTCCTTCATAAATCTGGGAGAAAAACAGAAACAAACCAAGTGCCCAACAATACAAGAATAAACAAATTGTGATATTATCTGTACAATGGAATACTACTCAGCAATAAAGAGGAAGAAACTTCTGATACATCCTACCACATAAATGAATTTCAAAAGCACTATGTTTAGGAAAAGAATCCAGAACAAAAGAGTATGCACTGTATGATTTTATTTTTATAAAGTCCAACAGTGGCCAAAACTAATCTATGCAATTTAAATTAGAATAATATTTACTTTTTATGGGGAGAGGCAAAGAATGAAAAGGGTCATTTGGGGGTATTTTAAGGTGATAACAATGCTCTGTGTTTCAACTTATGTGTTGGTTACATGGGCATATACTTTGTCAAAACTCACTAAACTCTCCACTTAAGATCTGAGCATTTTTGTGTGTGTAATGATATCTTAATCTTTAAAAATCAATTTTCAAACTGTTCAAGTCAGCAAGAAAAAAACCACAAACAAATAAACAAAGGAATGAAGTCCTGATACATTCTATAATATGGATGAACCTAAAAACATTATGCTAATTGAAAGGTCAGTCATAAAGGTGCACATTTTGTATGATTGCATTTACATGAAATATCCAGAGTACGCAAATGTCTCCAGACAGGAAGTAGATTATTGGTTGCTTTGTAATATTGATAGAGGCAGGGAACTGGGAAAAATGGTGAGCGATTGCTAACAGATGCTGGATTTCTTTTTTGGGTGATTCAAAAAGTCCTAAATTTGATTGTGGTGACTGTTATACAATATGTGAATATACTAAAAAACATTGAATTGTAATCTTAAAATGAGTGAATGGTAGGCCATATAAATTATATCTCAATAAGTATATTATGCTTTGAAAAACCAAACTTGTTATTCTCTCAAGGAAATATATGCCATAGCAAGATTATCTTCCAGCACTTTAATAGTCAAAACCACAGGGATAACTAAGATCAATGAGGAGGTGCCTTCTGAACTGGGAATTTGACATTTTCAGTGTGTTCAGAACAGTATCCCTATGGTGGGCTTTTTCAACAATCAACAAACAACAATAAAGGGGAGTTTATTTAGTATTAACTTACACAATCACTAGGTCCCACAATAGGCTGTTTGCAAGCTGAGGAGCAAGGAGAGCCAGTCCGAGTCAGATTTTCCAGGGCAGGAAGCATCCAGCACAGGAGAAAGCTTTAGGCTTGGAGGCTAGGCCCATCTCTCCTTTTCACGTTTTTCCACCTGCTTTATATTCGCTGGTAGCTGTTTAGATTGTGCCCACCAGATTAAGGGTGGATCTGCCTTCCCCAGCCCATTGACTCAACTGTTAATCTCAATATTAACCATCTCAATATTAACCATCACAGTCTGTTTGAAAATTGCACTGTATAATTTAACAAAATGTCTAAGAATCAATGTTTGAATTACAGATGAATTTATGGATGGAACACTTTTGTTTTCAAACATATCTTCATTACTAGTTATGAGCTAGAGGTCTGGGGCATTACCTCCAAGAGCTTCCACAGATGTCCCTTCATAACACAATGTTTTGTGTTTGTTGAATTACCTTTTGTCTTGCCTTCAAATTCTCTTAGCTGAATATGTATTCATAGTATTAATTGAAGGGTGTTTGGAGAAAAAGAAAGGCACATAAAAATTTCAAGAAAAATAAAACCTCAATAGAATTCAGAAACTACTATTGAAAAACTGTTTACTCAGAAGTATAGTTTCTAAGTCTAAACTCAATTAATGTATCTAATTAAACATCGAAAAGAGTTTCTGTGAATGGAATGAAAACACATTGAGAAATCAAAAAATATATGAAAATCTATGTGAAACTGGGCTTATTACTTCTTAGAAGCAGGAGAAAAGCTCTTCATTAAAAAGATATATATTTCCAGCTAGGCACGGTGGCTCATGCCTGTAATCCCAACACTTTTGGAGGCCGAGGCGGGCAGATCACCTGAGGTCAGGAGTTCAAGACCAGCCTGGCCAACATGGTGAAACCCCATCTCTACTAAAAATACAAAAATTCACCGGGCATGGTGGTGGGCACCTGTAGTCCCAGATACTCAGGAGGCTGAAGCAGGAGAATTGCTTGAACCCTGGAGGTGGAGGTTGCAGTGAGCCGACATCATGCCACTGCACTCCAGCCTGGGTGACAGAGGGAGTCGCCATCTCAAAAAAAAAAAGAAGAAGAAGAAGATATGTATTTCCTCTAATCCCAACACTTTGGGAAGCTGAGGCTGGTGGATCGCTTGAACTCAGGAGTTCAAGATCAGCTGGGCAACATGGTGAAAACCTGTCTGTATGAAAAATACAAAAAAAAAAAATGTCTCGTGTGATGGTGGGTGCTTGTAGTCCCAACTAATCAGGAGACTGAGGTAGGAGGATTGCTTGAGCCCCGGAGGCAGAGGTTGCAGTGAGCCGAGATCAGCCCACTGCATTCCAGCCTGGGTGACAGAGTGAGACCCTGCCTTAAAAAAAAAAAAAAGATATATACTTATTTTGATTACATAAATAACACATTTAAATAAGTAATAAACCTTTGAAATAACTAAAATTATGTGTCAACAATTATTCTTTTACCCCTTACCTCCTTGTGTAATTTAATCGAGTCAAAAATAGTATCAATATGAGATTTTTGGTGTCTTTGAAGGTAGCTTTCATACAAAATAAATGCTATTCAATATCTATATTATTAATATTTTATTAATGGAAAAATTTAAAAACCTAATTTTTAGCTATACTTCTAATTTAAATATATCATGTTATTCTGCTGATAAATCCAGCATGTCAATAATTACTTTTATGAGAAGTTTTATTTATTAAAAATTTTTAAACATTTTAATCTACACACAAATTTAGTATTTCGATCTTATTTTTCAGGTACATTGATTGTCTAATAAGTTCTTATGTGGTTCTTGTAAGTTAAAAATTTAACTAATAATTTTAATGTCTCTTTAAAATACTAATAATTTTTCACAAATTTAAGAAAATCTTGGTATAAAAAATCACAATTAGTGACAAATTTTAAATTAAAATTACAAGTCTAATCTGCTAAAAACTTTAAATTGCCAAATTGTACCCCTAAAATGCCAAATCCCCTTCAATGCTACAAATACTCAAAATACTAAATATGCACAGATTATTTCCAAATATAACACAAAACTACGAATACTATGGATTTGATTTATCTCATCATTTAAAACTTAATTTTAAATATTCCCAAGATTAAACATAGTCATTCATAAAAGACACAATTATGTGTTTTTCAGCAATTCAAAACCTGATAATTCAGGTTTATCATCCAATGCGATTTGGGGTTTTTTACCGGAACAATTTTGGGGTTTGCTTCTCAACTAGCTGAGGCTGCATGTCAACAGAGATTTAGGTTAGATGCATTGGTTGTTGTAGACATCCAAGGCTATTTTTCTTTCCTTTTTAAACTTTTTTTCGAGATAGGGTCTAATTCTGCCACCTAGGCTGGAGTGCAGTGGTAGGGTCTTAGCTCATGCAGCTTCCAACTTCCGGGCTCAAGGATTCTCCTGCCTCAGCCTCCCAAGTAGCTGGGACTACAGACACATCATCATGCTCGGCTAAGCCTACTTTTCTTACCAGAGTAAGAGATAAATAGGTTCCTCTTCTGGTTTTGATAAATCATTATGCCCTTTACATGAGGCAGTCTCACAATTCACATCCCTGGAATGAAACACACATTATCTAATTACCAAGCATGATTTAAGTTCTTAACCACTAAACAGTTCTATTCCTTCATTGGATCCAATTACTCGAGCTGCGGCTTAATCCTTGTGTGAATCATTTTCATAAACTTCTGGTCTGGAAAACAAGAACTCTTTATAGACCTTTGAGTAATATACAACATCATTCTGAATCTCTTTTGTGGAATGTCTACGTCTACAGTTAAGGCATTAAAATAATGTTAGTGAGGGGTTTCTTCTTTTTCCTATATTATTATAACATCTTATTATTCATTAATTTATCAAATCTGTCAAAAACACCTACTGAATCCTAAGCAATCACACTGTGTTCTACTTATGTATTCACATGTTACGTTTCAGCACTGGTTTTAGTCAATTTTCAAGCAACACAATTGTTGGCACTGAATGCAAGGAGGAATTAAGAATCACATGATGAATTAAGCAAGTACTTTGATCCCCCTACTCCTTCTTCCTCTTCCCTCAACATCAAACACAAACAACAAACTCAATAACAACAAACTTATATTCATTTTATTAATATACCCCAAAAATTTTAAAAAACATATTCTGGATTGCTTATACTTTGTCTTTTGGGTTCACTGCCAGTTTTTAAAATCTTTTTTAAATTGTTGTAGCATACATATAACATAAAACTTACCATCTTACCCCTTTTTCAGTGTATGGTTCAGTGGTATTAGGTACATTCATAATTTGCAACCAACACCACCACTCATCTCCATGACTCTTTTCATCTTGTAAAACTGAAACTCTCCTCATTAAACAATAATTCCCCATGCCTCCCTCCTCCCAGCCCCTGGCAACCACTGTTTCTGTTTCTATGATTTTAATTACTCTAATTGCTTCATATAAGTGGAATCATACAGTGTTTGTCTTTTCATTTCTTGTTAATTTCCTTGAGCTTAATCCATGTTATAGCATGTGTCAGAATTTCCTTTCCTTTTGAGGCTGTGTAATATTCCATTGTATATGTGCATGTGTGTGTGTGTATGTGAACGTGTGTCATGCCTTGCTTAACAACAGAGATACATTCTGAGAAATGGCTGGTCAGGAGTTTCCATTATTAGGCGAACATCCTTTAATGCAGTGGTCCCCAGCACTTTTGGCACTAAGGATCAGTTTCATGGAAGACAATTTTTCCATGGATTGAGGATTAGGGGAGATGGTTCCAGGATGAAACTGCTCCACTTCTGATCATCAGGCGTTAGTTAGATTCTCACAAGCGGGGTGCAACCTAGATCCCTCACATGCGCAGTTCATAATAAGACTCGTGCTCTTATGAGAATCTAATGCCTCCCCTGACCTGACAGGAGGCGGAGCTCAGGCAGTAATGCTGGATAGCCCACCACTCACCTCCTGCTGTGTGGTCTGAATCCTAACAGGCCAGGGACCAGTACTGGTCTACGGCTCAGGGTTTGGGGACCCCTGATGTGTGTATTCACAATGGTATGGCCTACTACACACATAGGCTATGTTGTAAGGCCTATTGCTCCTAGGCTACAAATCTGTACAGCATGTTACTGTACTGAATAGTGTAAAGAAGTAAGAACATAATGGTAAGTATCTGTGTGATAGAAATCTTTCAACTCCATTATAGTTTTATAGGACCACTGTCGTACATATGGTCCATCGTTGACTGAAACATCGTGATGCAGGGAGTGACTACATATCCACATTTTATCTGTGAATTGACACTTGTGCTGCTTACAGTTTTTAGCTATTGTGGATAATGCTGCCATAAACATGTATACAAATATCTCTTTGAGATTCTGCTTTTAGTTATTTTGGGTATATACCCAAAAGTGGAATTGTTGGATCATATGGTAATTCTATTTTTAATTTTTTAAGAAATTGTCATACTGATTTCCACAGCAGCTGTACCATTTTACATTCTCACTAATGGTGAAAAAGGGTTCCAATTTCTCCATATCATCATCGACACTTTTTGTTTGTTTGTTTCTTTTTGTTTTTTTTTTTTTTTGATTTTTTGTTTTGTTTTTAATGGCCATCCTGAAATGTCACGTGGTATCTCATTGTAGTTTTGGTTTGCATTTCCCAATTGATTAGTCATGTTGAGCATCCTTTCAGGTGCTTATTCGCTATTCATATATTTTCTTCGGAGAAATGTCTATTCAAGTTCCTTGCCCATTTCTTAATTTAGTTGTTTGTTGTTTTCCTGTCATTGAGTTTTAGAAATTCGTAATATATTCTGAATATTAGTCCTTCATCAAAAATATAACTTGCAAATCTTTTCTCCCATTTTGTGAGTTCCCTATTAACTGTGTTAATAGTGTCTCTTGCTGCATATTTTTTTAAATTTCCATTAAGTCAAATTTTTCTGTTTTTTTACTTGGTTGCATATGCTTTGTATCATATGTAAGAAATTAATGCCAAATCCAGTGTTCTGAAGCTCTTGTTCTATGTCTTCTTCTAAGAGTTTTATAGCTTTAAGTCTTACATTTAGGCCTTTGATCCATTAAGTTAATTTTTATATATGGTCTTAATAATCTAACTTCATTATTTTTCATACAGATATCTAGTTTTCCCAGTACCATTTGCTGATAAGACTGTTCTTTACCAATGAGTGGTCTTGGTACCCCTGTCAAAAATCATTTTCATGTATGTGAAGGTTTATTTCTGTGCTATCTATTCTATTCCATTGTTCTATACATCTGTCATTATGTCAATACCACACTATTTGACTAATTTAGCATTGTAGTAAGTTTGAAATCAGAAAGTGTGAGTCCTCCAACTTTATTCTTTTTCAAGGCTGTTGTGGCTATTTAGGATCTCCTGAGAGTCCATATGAATTTTGGAGTGGGGTTTTCTATTTCTGCAAAAAATATTATTGGGGTTTTAATGGGATTGCATTGAAGCTATAGATTGCTTTGGGTAATACTGATATCCTAACAATATTGCCTTCCAATTAATGAACATGAGAGGTAGTTCCATTTATTTTTGTGTTTTTAAATTTATTTCTGCAATGTATTTATGTTTTCATTGTACAAGTTTTTCTCTCCCTTTGTTAAGTTCATTTCTAAGCTTTTTTATGATACTGTAAATGGAATTCATTGAAACACCAAATTTGGGACATTAAAAGCAAGCTGAACCACACAGGCTTAAAGCCTCAAAATTTACCAATTATATGATGTACAGAAAGATCCTGAGCCACTCTCTGCTTCTGTTTTCTTCTCGTCTTTACAATGGAAAAAGTAGAAGTCCCCATCTCACAGGGTTGTGATGAGGTTTCCATCTATAAAGCCTTAGAACATTGCCTGGAACATATGAGGTACTTAAAGCCCATTAGATATTTTG
Organism: Homo sapiens; assembly: GCF_000001405.40. Lineage (NCBI taxonomy): Eukaryota > Metazoa > Chordata > Mammalia > Primates > Hominidae > Homo > Homo sapiens. The sequence goes on from NC_000001.11 coordinate 73,849,991, forward strand.
TTAATACAGAGAAGAACAATGGACCAAAATAGCCCCTGTTTTCAAGTAGCTTACTGTCTTAAGTAAATTAATGCAAATTCTGAAAAGTCATTCAATAACAGACTCAAAGATGAAACAATTGCAGTATTTTTTGCCTTCAAGAGGTATTCATTCTCCCTTGCTCACAAATCCTCACTATCTCCCTATAGATTACAGTTTAATTTCAAATGCTGAAATTTAACATAAGCAAAAAGAATGGAACACTGGTTTGCAAGCTGATGTTTCAAAAATCTCACATAAAACTATCCACCGCTGCATAAGCCTTTCCCATAGTTATTAGCTGCTGGATATTGTTCATGCTGTCTTCACTGCCTTGGATGCTGCCATTTCCACCAATTTAAATCATTAATACCTGAATCAAATGCAACTTGAAATTTATTCCCACCTGATTTAACATATTCTCTCCTTTCATGGAGCCCCCATAACATTGTGCATCTTTCTAATAGCACTAAATTGATCCTGATTTACATTATGCTTATTTGTTCCCCTGTGGTCACTTTCTAGTTGACCTTATTTCTTTGTTTTTTATCCATTTCTTTAACCTCTCCTCCCTGTGGTGTTTTAAATGCCATAATTCTCAATAAATGTTTTAAAATAAATATGCTGAATTTTTGATGTGTACATCAAATCTATCGGTAAACTTAATGAAAACTAGTTGTACCAAAACCAATTAGTTCAATGTACCATATTTTGGCCTTTTAATATGTGTTGAATTTCATCAGTGTGTAATTACCAAAGTGATGTGATGCAAGGAAGAATGACGAAGCTTATTTGAGCACTTACTCTATGCCAGGCATATTATTCTACATTTTACTCATAACAACCTTTGTTTTACAAATTAAAAAAAAAAATCAAAAGAGAGGTTAAGTAACCTACCCAGCATCACATAGCTAATAAATAGATAACTTGGCAAATGACACAGATCTATAGAGCTCAAAATCCATGAGTTTTGTCTTTGTTTTTTGTTTCCTCCTTCTTGTCCTACTCCTCTTTCTCCTCCTCCTTCTTCATTTTCTACAACACAAGCCTGCCATCAAAAATGTTGCCATGGACATTTGAACCAGAATTCAATAGTGGAAATTATCAGATAATTAAGAATCACTCAAAAAGATAAAAATTAGTAAATGTTATTAATGTTTCTCCACTTGAAAAAACTGCTGCAACCAAATCTCTGTTTTATTTTAATTGAAGTGACCCCTTAATTTTCAATTCTATTGTGTTTGATAAAATACACCTAGAAATGGGAAATATATGGATGAGGAAAGCAAATCTTCTTGATACGTAGTTATTGACTTAATTAATATTAGCTCATGAATGTGAGTACTACCTATCTCTTCTTTTGTTATCTCAATAAAAATAAATTTTACCAAAGTAAAGAACAAATAAGAAGTAATAAAAGACTAAATATAATCAAATTTATCAGCACTTAAAAGCCAGTATAAAGTACACTGAAAACTGTCATATCCTAAAATATAAACTAAACATATATCCCCTCTTCCACAAAACACCTAAATCATAGAGTACATGTACTGTGACCATAACAGAAAAAGATGTTCTTTTACGTGGTAGGATTTCTAGCAGTTTATCTCTGTAGTCCCTTTAGAAACATATACTTTTAAAAAAGACCACCATAGGCTCATTTGATGATTATAGATTATTGATAAAAGTGGACTTTGAGATGGAGTGCAAAAAATATATACAGAGGAGGCATGTAAAATGTGAACACTGTGTCTAATTTTAGTATTTTGACCTAGTAATATACAATTAAAGCCCAAGAAATCTCTGATATCAACACTGTCTCTCACTACTCCAAGCACCTAGATTTAAGAAATGTAGTAGAAATCAGACCTCAGGCACACCTTGGCACACCAGAAGTGGAACTGCTATCTACATCTTCACCTGGCATTACTGTAGAACTCTTGTATACTTTGTTTTTTGATTCAGAAAAGCAGGAGACTAGCTGAAAAGTTAAGTAAGAAGAACAGTATTTGAGTTTTGATGGAAACAATGTCTCTCTGCTTCAAATTTATTCCAGACACCCTTTAGAGCCCAGTATGTTTGAAATGTAATAAAGGCTAAACAGACAGCTGTTATGTATTGCACAAACTTTCTGTGGCTTCCAGTGAGGCAGCCATTCTCTGAATCCCTCCAGAGTTCTAAAATAAACTAAAGAAAAAACAAGGCCTAGATGATCATTATGTGGCATGAATATGTGAAGTAATAAAGCAATGAAAAGAAGTGGTGTCTATGGAAAATTTCCTAAAAATGTTGAAAAGGAGGGCAGGAAAAATAACATTTAATATAACAAAATATTCTGTAAATGTTATTTTGTTGTGTGTTTGTTTATTAGGACTTATCTACTTTGTTAAATATTTTGTGCCCAGATCCTAGCCTGATGCCAGGCATATAATGGGGACTTAATGAAGATATTTTAATGAATGAGTGAATGTTCCACAATCCAGTGTTCTGGGTATTATTTCTGGGCTGTTCTCAAATTTTTATATCTCAAGTTATATAAATGCAATGCAAGCCAATATATATTTATGTCTTTCAAATTAGATTTTTAAGCATAACCTACTTGCAATCTATATGACAAAAGAATTTTAGTTTGAAGAGACTTGCTTATTTCATGGACGGATTAAAAAAGGAATGTTCTTCCAAAGACCTGTTTCCGAATGAAGGAGGGAAATACAATGACTAATTCTGTATTATGTATTCAACATGTCTTATTTTATTTAACCCATACAATCTGTTTATAAGTTAGCTATTATTATCCTTTCCACAAAGAAGAGAACAGAATTAAATAACTTGCCCAAGCTTAAAAGCTAGTCAGTGTAATGATTTGAGCCCTAAAACTCATTGTGTATGGCTCTAAAACCTATGCTCTTACCATCACACTATATACTATGGAGATGGCATCTTGTAAGACAAGACAAAGCTACCTTAAATCAAGAGAAACTGCCTCTGAGTAGTCAAGTCTTAACAGACTATTATTTTTCCTTGATGTCTTTTCTATTTTAAAGCAGCAATACTTTTAGGGTGATGTATAAAATGTAACTAAAAGTGGAGAGTAGATTAAGAAATTTACATTGCACTCTCCAGCAAGTACAAATTATATCTCTTCCAGTTTTCATTTGAGGATATATATGAGAATTTATTTTTCAAGGATTACCATACAAAGATAGATAGATAGATAGTGATAGCCCATCCAATATGCTCTTCATACAATTCAATGTTGACGTATCTCGATTAAGAGGGGGCAGATTTTTCTATCCTTAAGACCAGTCTGAGCAACACAATCAGACCCCATCTCTACATAAAAATGTTTTAAAATTTAGCTGGGCATGGTGGCGTGTGCCTGTAGTCCCAGCTACTAGGGAGGCTGAGGTAGAAGAATCACTTGAGCACAGGAGTTCAAGGAGGCAGTGAACCATAATTGCTCCACAACACTCCAGCCTGGGTGACAAAGCAATTAACACAGGATTCCTGTCTAAACACCATTGATAGAACACTTGCATCTGTTTACACCCTTTACTGAAGTTCCATTGAAACGACATTATACATACATACCTCATAAGGATAGATAGAATGGGAAAGTAGCAGTATAGTGGCCATGAAAATGTACCTCTCTGATCTCCTACTGTGGGAAGCATAAATGATGAACAGCTCAGCTGCTTCATTCTGAAATCCATCATTGCATTCATCCAGAGGCCACATTTCCCATAAGCAGCTAAGCTGCTCCTGGTCAAAGAGTGATCTCTATAGGAATGCTAACGTCAGGTCCTGGGAGATGTGGTACTCCCCTGAGGGTTGACTTTGGCTAGATCCATCCCATCAAGTTTGCTGAACTCTTAAAAAAATGCATTGCTGTGTAAGACTCTTCCACTTAATACTTCTTTCTTCCTTGCTTTTCCTCTCTCCTTCAAAAGTATCAGACCAGCATAATGGTCTAACAGCCCTCCCAGCTTCCTTCAGGTTCCTCCTAATTTTTCCTCACAGGCATTTCCTATAAGAAATAATATGTTTCTGATATGTCTAAATCTATCTTGGTGTCTTCTGTTCAGATGACCTCAAACTAGCACAAGCAGTAAGAAAGTTCAGAAATTTTTGGAAAAGGGAAAGGATACAGAGTGTTAACATACTTAGCAAAATTTTTTTTTAAAAAGCTAAAACCCAAAAGCCTGCATAGGAATGACAAAAAGAAATAAACAGGTTCACAGCACAAAAACCATAGAAATGTGCATAAATTAGAAGCATGAAGTATTACAGAAGATGGTGTTTTGGATATGTCTGATGCAGGAACATTGATTGGAAGTCTAAATAAGGAGACTGAACAACCAGGTTCACCTCCACTTCTTACAGCCAGAAGACAGCCCTTCCTCTCCCCAGAGGAGAGTGTGTGGGTGTGACACTGAACTAAAAATGAAAGGGTAAAGATATTTTAGAAATATCTTTATTTAATCTCCCCACACTGAATGACAAGATTGTTATGGACTGAGTGTTTGTGACCTGGTCCCCCCATCCAAAAATTCATACATTGAAATCCTAATTACCAATGTAATGGTACTAGCAGGTGGAGCTTTGGGGAGGGAATTAGATCATGAGGTGGAGCCCTTATAAGAGAGATCTGAGAGCTAGTGCTTGCTCATCACCCCGCCCACCACCACCTGCAGATACAGGACAAGACAGTCTTCAGCAAAGTGGGAAGATGCCCAACCAGGCACTGGATCTGCCTGCACCTTGATCTTGGACTTCCAAGCCTCCAGAACTCTAAGAAATAAATTTCTGTGGCTCAACCCACACAATCTATGGTCTTCCATTATAGCAGCCCAAACTGACTAAGAAAAAGACTTTCTAGATAAGAGAGACAGAGGCAGAGTGAGAGCGGGAGGGAGAGAGGGAGGAAGGAAAGAAGAAAGGAAGGAAGGAAGGAAAGAAAGAAAGAAAGAAAAAAAGCACTCTGAGGCACTAGGATTGGCAGATTTAGCAAATAAAATACAGGATACTCAGTAAAATTTGAATTTCAAATAAACAACAAACAATCTTTTCATATATATGTTCCATGCAATATTTAGAGCATACTTCAAGTAAAAATATATTTGTTATTTATCTAAAATTCAAATTTAAGCCCAGCATGATGGTATATCCCTATAGTACCAGCTACTGTGGAGGCTGGGGCAGGAGAATCACCTGAGCCCCCAAATTCAAGGTTACAGTGAGCTATGAACATGCCACTGCACTCCAGCCTGAGCAACAGAGCAAGATACTATCTCTAAAATTAAAAAAAGAGAGAGAACACAGAGTTAATTGTGTTGCATATTGTATATGGAACTCTGTGAGATACATCATTGAAAAAAATTTCAAAATACTCAAGATAAAGAGATCTTAAAATCTTACAGAAAAAAATTAAAAGAATCAGATATAGGAATGACATCTGGCTTTCCAAAAGCAACTACAAAAAAGATACACAAAAATTGAGCAATGCCTTTAAAATTCTGGGGGTAAAAATTTCATCTTAGAATTCTATACCCAGGCACACTGAGTTAGTTTGGATATTCTCAGACATGTGATGTCTCAAAACATTTACTCCTGTAGCCATAGTGGTATAAGTTGGACATTGACTGAAATAAAATTATAATACAACCACTTGGCTAGACTGAAGTAAGTTAGAGAAAAGGAAGGTGGCAGGAAGCTCAGAGACAGTGCTGGAAAATGTGGTATTTAGCTCCTATGAGGGAACCTAATGTCCCTGCCTCCCTGTATTAACTCCTGTGTGTATGCTCCTCTGGCATTGCACTAGAGTTTGCATGGATGACCAACAGAGTATGATAGGGAAGATAAAAAGTCACATCCAAGATTAGGTGATACAAAGTCATGGTATCTTTTATTACCCAACATCACAATGTGCACGCCCTGGGGAAGCCAGCTGCCATGCCTTGAAAACACTCAGAGTCTCCCTTGGAGTGGTCCACGTGCCAACAGCCTCTCTTGGAATCAGATTATCCAGCCCCAGTCAAAGCTTCACATGATACAATCCCAGTTCAAGTGAAACTTCCTGAGACAACCTGAGACAAAACCAGCCAATGATGTGGGTCCCAGATTACTGACCCTCCGAAACAGAGAGATAATAAATGTGTGTTGTGTGAAGCCACTACATTTTGGCATAATTTGTTACTAAGTAATAGATAACTAATATAAAAGATAACAGTGCAACATCTCAGTGTTCTGTAATAGTCAAAAAGAGCAGTATAAGCTTTATTTTTTAATTTTAAAAATTTCGTTAGTGTAAATATCAAAGGAAATATCTAAAAGATAACAAAGTGTTATCTGTAGAGGAGATTCTACATCTGTGGACAGAAGAAGCAGATGGCTATGATTTTTTGTTAGAATTCTTTTTTATAAACTACTACTATAATTTTTTAATGTTCATTTTAATGAAAACTAGATGTGTGATTTAATAGTAAATGGATGTTTATTTACTACAGAAAATGTAGTTATTCCATGAAATGACTGTGTTTAAACTCTTAGTTTTGATAATTTTTTTAGTCCTTACTAGAGTAAGAACTAACAAGAAATCCACATAAACATTAAAGAAATAAAGTAAAAATAACCAGATCTTTCTAGCTATATCTGACACAAAGTAGGTGTTCAATAGCTGCTAAATAATAGTTGTGTCTTCACCATTAATATTATTATACATTTTGCATTATATAAAGTAACGCTTGATTCCTCATCCAACTGGCTAAAAGGGAGATGAAAACAGAGTTTAATTCTGGAAGAATTGACTAAGGTAATTTTTAATTTTTTTGTTAATTGTGTTATCAAGACAAGCCATTCATTTTTTTTCTTTTTTCATTTTTCAATCACTTAGGCCACTGTTTCCTTTCATCAGCATAGGTAATTGAGCTGACTTCATGTTTGGTTGAACCAGAAGCAGGGACCTAACAGAATGAATTATAATCTATCTCTCCGATACTTGCCAAAACAATGAACTGATCTCCTGCCTCCCTATTGAACAATGCAGCTCTGAGGCTGTTTTGGATAACAAAATACAAATTCCATAGTTCACTTCAGAAGTGACTCCTTAATACTGTTTAATAATAATAGCAACCATATGACTTTTAAGCACTCCAACTGGAACATTACATCCCAAGCCAGTTTATAGGTTGACCTCAAAGATAAACAGTGTATACTTTCACATGCAGTGTAAGTCAAGAATACCAGGTAGATACTTCTGTTCAAACTATCACCTCTCATACCTACCAATATCTCTGATATTTCATTATTAAAAGGTATATTGACAGGGGAAATTGTTTAAGGTTTTTGTAAGATACACATATTCCTAGGAATGACACTCTTTTAAGATAAGGGTCTTCATGCTTCAAAATTCTATGATCACTGCTAAAGAAAGAAGGTACTAATGGTAAAAGCAGTGACTGATCTTCTGTGAGAAGATCTTGAACTAGCTCTAACTGGATATATACATGGGGTCCAGAGATCTTTTCAAAAACACAAATAACCAAATGCCACCCCATCTTGTATTATTATTTATTAGATCTTGGATATTCACCATATGTCATTTCCCTCACCCCTCCCAGAAAAGTTCCCCAGTTAACCAGTCAGGGTTAGCTATGATGAAAAAAATATTTAATATCAACTGAGCTATCAGGATCAACTGATTGATAACCTAGGAAATGATACACATGCACGCAAATTAAAATCATGCCTCCATTAAGAAGCCTCTTCTAATACCATGTATCATTCTCACCTAATAAATCCTAATTATTTAAAGTGCCACACAGCTTTGGAAGACAAAGCAAGTAATTCAAGAAAACTTCATAATTTGGAGATACTATGTTCTCTTTATTCCCACAGTGACATTTCTTAACTTGAAATTAAGTAGTGCTGAGGCTCTATAGCTTTCCCAAAATGATAGATGTTACCCTTGAAGGGAAGAGACCATGCTTGTTTGCCTCCTCTGCTTCCAAAGGCACGATTAAAATAAACAGTTAGGATCAAGAATGGCATTCTGTGATCTCTTGGATCTTTCTCCCTTGGCTTTGCAGAGCATGAGAAATCTAAACATTCTGCTGCTTAGTATATTGCAGATGATGAGTGCCACCACCAAGATTCAGACTTACCCCCAAACTCCTAAATGGATCCTCTTTTTCTTCTCTTTATCCAAGAGTCACCCAAGCAAGAAGGCGGGAGTAAAGAGTGTTCTTACCCACAAACTCTTCAATTCTCTTCCTTCCTTTACTCTCCAGACTTCTTTAAATAGATAAGAAGTAGGGTGTTGGAAGAGAATACAGGAACTTTCTATTGGAACGTATCCACTTTCATATCTACGGGCTGTAAGTTTATATCTTTTCCCTGAGGGAAAAAAAATACCTACAGAAATCTTAAGTTTATGCTTTCTTGAGTTTAGAAGCTACCAAGTGGATTGGCATTGAACAAATTGCTTACATTGTCTATAATTCAGCTTCCACATCTGTAAGGGTCATAGACTTAATGATCTCAAACAACTCTATTAATTTCCCAAATATTTTGTTCCAAAATTCATCTGACTCTCTGGCCATGTCATACCTACGTTGTATGTTTTAAAGATTCATTTTGGCAAGCTGAAGCCAGAGGAAGTGCACTGAAATGGGTCAAGCACTGGTGGTTGTCTTTGAAGAGACAAATTTGCTGTTAGAAGAATAAACTCTTGGATGTTAACTTGCATTGAGCATTATGGAATATTATTAATTATATTTTTACTATTATTCTGGTGGAGATCTTTTTTTTTTTTTTTTTTTGAGATGGAGTCTTGCTCTGTCGCCCAGGTTGGAGTGCAGTGGTGCGATCTTGGCTCACTGCAAGCTCTGCCTCCTGGGCTCACGCCATTCTCCTGCCTCAGCCTCCTGAGTAGCTGGGACTACAGGCACCCGCCACCATGCCTGGCTAATTTTTTTGCATTTGTAGTGAGACAGGGTTTCACCGTGTTAGCCAGGATGGTCTCAATCTCCTGACCTCGTGATCCGCCTGCCTTGGCCTCCCAAAGTGCTGGGATTACAGGCTTGAGCCACCGTGCCCAGCCTCTGGTGGAGATCTTATATCCCAATTTAAAAATTTATCTGTTTGGATGCCTTTATTCTTCCTTTTTTCCTTCCCTCCCTCCTTCCTTCCTTTCTTTCTTGTTCTTGTTGCATATTGGGTGTCCATACATGACGCTCTTATTTGTTAGTTATTGTATTTGCCACCCATTGCTATATAACAAACTAGCTCACACTCTGTGGCTTTCAGCAATAGTCATTTAATTTTACTCAATAGCCTACAGATTGGCTTCACAATTTTTCTGGTCTGGTTCAGGCTGACTCATGAGTCAGCTGAAAGCTGGTAGGTGGCTTTATTATGTTTGTTTGGGCTCTAATACATTTTGGGGCCAGTTTGGACTTGCTTTCATGGTTGTAGCAAGGATTTAAAAAGAAAGTAGAATAATGAATAATGTCAGTCATCTTATGGCCTGTAACAGAACTGACATAACATCACTTCTCCACTTTTATTGTACAAAGCAAGTCTCAAGGCCTGCCCAGATTCAAGGCATAGATAGACAGACTCCACCTTCTCATGGGAGGAACTTCAAAGTCACATTGCAAGGGGCATGAATACAAAGAGAGAACAAATTGAAGCCATTTTGACAGTCAATTTATCAGAGTTACTTAATCATTTTTAAAAAGAAAATAAATACATGAGAATCCACCACCTAAAGGAACAACTAGACCTTTGGCAACACTTAAATGTAATAATATACTTTCCTCATCATATCACTGCCCTTCTTCCCAACTCAAACCATCATCTGAATCACATGATCATCATTCACTTGCGTTTATTTTTACATATTTGTATTGCATATATAAAAGTTACTTTTTGGTTGTTTTTAATTTTTGCAGGTTTACCATGTGGTTTTCAATCTTTCAGAACTTTTCCCATTGAGTATTTTCCTACTAGCATTTGTCTATATGTAACTGTACATCCCTGTAATTCATTCATTTCAACTGCTATATAATATTCCAATGTGTGACTCCATTTCACCTTACTATTTATTTTTTGACACGGTTCCCCTAAAATTTTCATTAAGATCTGTAAATCACCCTTAGTAACTTCAATATTTCAATGTGAAACACATCCTTGAATAAGGTCTTTTAATGAGGTAGTACCTGATTCTCTCAACAGTTATGTGAGCAAGACTCATATTTTCACTATCCATAAAAATATTCCCACAAAAACTAAGGTGGAATGAAGGCATTCATTGTGTCTCTCTTTCATTGAAAATAACAACAACAATAAGGGGAAAACAAATCAATTTCTAAACTCTTCAGCGATTTTTAACATTAGATTGTCTTTTGTTAGAAAAAGGAGTTACTTTTGCAATCTCTATTTGCTGATATGTGGCTTCAGATTTAAATAGCTTGGTATGTCTTTTAATGGGTTCTCCTCAATGAAAGCCCTATAGTTTGTAAACACTGTACTTATAAGTATACACCTAGGCACTGCTGTTTCAGAAATGACAGGCATTAAAGAGCTGCACTAACCTTCTGCCAGTTCAGGACCAGTTCCAGACTATCTTATGTGCCAGTGGCCAGTGTGACTTAGTGGCTTGAATACACAGAATTCCAGATCTCTGCTATTGAAGAGTTAATCTTGCTAATCTTGGATACAGAACAAGGTCCCATTAGGCCCACTGATAAAATTGATTCGCTTTCTCCCTGCCTCATCTTGTTGAGGTTTTACAGGCTATCATATCAGCTATCATTATTGTAAACAGGACAGAGCTTTTGGTTCTTTGTTCCTTTTTCTGCCCCTCCTCCACCGTCACTATATTGACAGAAGCAGAATATGCTGCATGAAGTGAAGCACTTATCTCTTCACAGACTTTTTACTGAGCAAAGTGTGTTTCATGTTCCTTGAGGCAGGTACTACTTCTCTAATTATAATTTTGCAATAACTAATGATGTTCTGTGTGTGGTGAGGGAAAAAAAAAAAGAGGTTTGGGGAAATTCAAAGAGCAGCTATAAGTAGACTGTATAAAATTGAGCAGTACACAGCTGTATTAATCAGGGTTCTCCAGAAAAAGAAAACCTAATAAATAGGATATATGTATGTATATATGTATATGAGGAGATTTATTATGGAAAATGGCTCGTGTGATTGCGCAGGCCAAAAGTCTTTATATGACACGGTATGCCATCTGCAAGCTGGAGAACCAGGAAAGCCACTGGTATAATTCAGTCTGAGTCTCTTTACTTTTTTTAGAGGCACTGTGGCTTCAGCCTAATTGGCCTTCCTTCAGTTCCTTGACATGAAATGCTCAGAGCTTTCAGAGATGCTGCTTCATCTAACTGATGCTGTCCCCAAACTCCTCTCTCCCCTAGTCCCTCACACAATCCCTGTCGCAGTTAATTCCTACTCATCCTTCAGAACTCAGTTCAAAACTATTTCCTCATCATTTCCCTACCTGCCTAAGCTACATGCTCTCATAGTACCTTACCCTTTACCCTCTGTATTAGTTCATTCTTGCACCGCTAGAAAGAACTACCCGAGGCTGGGTAATTTATAAAGAAAAGAAGTTTAATTGGCTCATGGTTTCACAGCCTGTACAGGAAGCATGGCTAGGGAGGCCTCAGGAAACCTGCAGTCATGGCAGAACATGAAGAGAAAGCAAGCACAACTTCCATGGCCAGAGCAGGAGGAACAGAGAAAAGGGGGTGGTGCTACACACTTTCAAACAACTAGATCTTGTGATAACTCACTCACTATCACGAGAATAGCACCAAAATGGAAATTGGCCCCCATGATCCAATCATCTCCCACCAGGTCCCTCCTCCAACATTAAGGATTACAATGAAATTTACGTGAGATTTGGGCAAGGACCCAGACCCAAAGAATGTTGCCCTCACTACACTACTATGCTTATAGTTAAATAATCACTAGTTTCATGTTAATCTCCTCAGCTAGAAATTAAGCTGAGGGTATTGAACGTGTCTGTTTCTATTTACCTTCATGCTTTGCACATAGTAGTCATGCAATAAATGTTTACAGAATAAAGTAGTAAATGTACATACACTAAATAATTTTATTAAAATTACAGGAGGTTTACAATTCCTAGTATCTAGACACTTTTCAATAAGAATCTCTGGTAATCATTAAATTCCTTTTCAGATGAAAAAAATGACTATGTTTTGCACTGGAAACTTTAAAAAAAGATTTACAAAAAGATCAAAGAACAGGAGAATGTAAAAGAGAAAGGGGAATAAAAAAAATAAAAGGGAGGCCTTTGGAGAATTGCTAAAAGTTGTATGCTTATGCCAACATTGACTTCAATTGCTTTCAGCAAAGAGAGGAAACTAATTAGTAGAATAATCTTTGTTTCCCAGTTTGAAAGATTACTGTGATTGCTTTCCTCCAGTACCATGCCAGGCCTTAATGGTTTTAAAGATTAATTGACAGCATGTGAAAGCCAACTAGCTAATGGCTGCATGTCACCTAAGTGCCCTGAAGAATGTGTGTTCACAGCGCTCAGGTAGTGAGGACTCATGCATTTGTTTACAGTGTTTTGTTCATTGCTGTGTGTCTTCTGCATATCTGTTCCTATTATATAGACTGCTAACTATGTGTCAGTAGCTCCTCATAGCTACTTTGTAAATTAACATTTTTTTATGTTTAGTAGTAAGAATCTTACCTATACCAATTAAAATTCCTAGCACTTCAATAATTATTATAACATCTTCTTACATATAACATGTATTTTGAGATGTTACATATAACATCTCATGTCTAAATTTTGTTTATGGTGAATTTTAAAATGAAGATTAATTATGTGAAAACCTATCTATTCAGAGTTCTATGAAATAGACAAAGCACTTGATCTCAAAATGTTTCCTTTATAGAAAAAATTAAAAAAAAAAAACACAGACCATTCTAGCCACAGATCAGTAAAAGTTGTTTTGAGTTTAAAGCAACTTCTTTGCTACAGACATCATAAATTCTTTTACATTCATTTCTTTTCCCCCAATTATAAGGATGTGAAACACACAATTGCTTCTCAAATCTATTAAATTTGTAATACTTTATAGTAAATGTTTTGAATATTGACTCATCAGCTTCATATTGCGACCTTCATTTTTCTTTGCAACCCCAATTCATTATCAATTTTTTTATCTCCTAATAAATGTATCCCTGGAAAATGCCTAAAATTATTTGGAGAACAACTGTAAATTTTTTAAATTAATACATCTATTAATTAATTAATCAATTATAAATGCAAAATAATTTTCAATAATTAAATGCTCTCATTCTGTAGTGAAAAGAACCAAACCACATGGACAAACTCATCTATTTCCCAAATCCTATTTCCTCTGGTTTCCAGTTTTAATCAGAAAATATTCTGAGCTTTTAAAAAGGTCCCAGGACATGAAATAGTCATATGCAAATAACCATTGTAGCTGTTAATTTCAATATGTCAAAATATTAGACTTACATCTCTCTATGGATATCAGCGTTTTAAAAAGAGGAATGACATCCCTGATTTCATTCTATTAAGGCATTTAAAGTAAGCAATCCCACACCGCTCTCTAATCACTCAACAGAGAAGAGGGTTTAGCTGTGCAGGCACAGACTGAAATCCTTGTTCCTCCTAGTGTAATTCACTGGAAATAGAAATACTGGGCAGAGCAAGCATTGCCAACCAAGGCAAGCCTCTTTGAGAGATTTGCTGTTTCTTCATCCAACTAAGGAAGCTCTGCCTTGAACTTAACATTCATGGTGTTTACCTGGCAACCACCTACACTTTCCTTAAATCTTTCTGTTGCATGTTGTTTGTACTTGCTACTGATTTTCTATGAAGCAATGTGTCTTGGCTGATCAGAATAGAAAAACCCTCTCTTCTGGCCGGGCGCGGTGGCTCACGCCTGTAATCCCAGCACTTTGGGAGGCCGAGGCGGGCGGATCACGAGGTCAGGAGACTGAGACCATCCTGGCTAACACGGTGAAACCCCGTCTCTACTAAAAAAAAAAAAAAAAAATACGAAATATTAGCCGGGCGTGGTGGTGGGCGCCTGTAGTCCCAGCTACTCAGGAGGCTGAGGCAGGAGAATGGCGTGAACCCGGAAGGTGAAGCTTGCAGTGAGCCAAGATCCCACCACTGCACTCCAGCCTGGGTGACAGAGTGAGACTCCATCTCAAAAGAAAAACCCTCTCTTCTGTTTCCAGGAATTAAATTGTCACTGCACATGCACAAGTATGTTCATCACAGTACTTTTCTCAATAGCAAAGACATGGGATTGACCTAGATGTCCATTAGTGTTGAACTAGATAAAGACAGTGTGGTACATATATACCATGGAATACTATGCAGCCATAAAAAAGAATCAAATTATGTCCTTTGCAGCAACATGAATGCAGCTGGAGACCATTATCCTAAGTGAATTAACACAGGAACAGAAAACCAAATACTGAATGATCTCACTTATTGGTAGCTAAACATTGAGTACGCATAAACACAAAGCAGGAGCAATAGACACCAGGGCTTACTTGAGGCTGGAGGGTGACAGGAGGGTGGAGGGTGAAAGGAAGGTGAAGATTGACAAACTACCTAGCAGGTGCTATGTTACTACCTGGGTGACGAAATCCTCTGTACACCAACCCAACAACATGCAATTTACTCGTGTAACAAACCCGCAAATATACCCTCTGAACCTAAAATAAAAGAAGCAAGACTATTTTTTTAATTTTAGAAAGTTAAAAAAAATAGTTCCAGTATAAACAAAGAGACTGATGTCAAAGATAATTTTGGAGAGTTTGAGCAAAGTTGTTTTGTGATATATGAAAAGAAAGAAAAGGCATACTTCTAAACAGATATATTTTATAAATAATATATAATTTATAATTAGTAAACATAACTAATTAATAAATTAGATTAAATATTTTTAAAAAGGAGTAATTTGTTTCTGCGTTGTCACTCCAATCACTGCCCTATACAATGACTTCTGACACAGACCTATGCAACACAACAGAAAAATGGTGCACATCCACTAGATTGCTGAGTCTAAAGGAAAAAACATCTGGGCCCCAGCTGGTTCTACTGCTGGTGCCAACTGGCCATGATCTTCAGGCTATGTGAAGTTCTCTAGGTCTCAGTTTCCTTGCCTATAAATTAAGAGGGTTGGTCTGCAGTAGGAGTCAGTTAACTTCGACGTGTATATAATTCTCTAGGAATCTTGTTAAAATGCAGTTTCTGATTCAATAGATCTTGGATGAGGATAGCTTTAGGATTCTGCATTTTTAGCAGTCTTTTGGGGTGATGTTGATGTTGCTGATTTGTGAAGCACATTTGAATAGAGAGAATCATTAAAAAAATTGTTGATTTCATTACACCATCTAATTTAAAGATGACATGTAAATAAATAGGAGAACTTCTTCCAATATTACTGTTGGGGGAAATAATTCACTTTAAAATTATTGTATTCTTTGTGACTTTTAATTGTCCTCAGTGTCAAACAATTTCTCCCTCTTTCTAAAACTCCTTTGCCCTTGATAAAGAACAAAACTGATATGTATTGAATATCACGTGCCATGTGTGTACCTTTAGTATATATCGACAGATGATGAAATTGGTAGCAGAGCAATCCTACGACAAATCTGGATTCAAACCCAAGTCTTCTAATAGTGATATCTCTCAGGACTTCTGCCTAAAAGAATAAACTAGGGGACTCCAACAACATTGCTGTCATCCACACCTCAGTTGTATCATTGCTATGTTTTGAAGACCTAGAACAGCCATCTCACTCAGAAACAAAGGTTTTTAAAACACATGTAGAAGAAAACACAAGGAAGCAGAAATGTTCTGGTGGCCTACAGACATTCAGGGCTTAGAAAAAATGCCCTCCCCAGAAGTAATGGTGGTAATTAAAGATGCAGGCCTACCAGACTCCTGTGAACAATGGAAGATGTTCTAGAGGCCATTCCAGCAGAAGACTCAAAGCCAAGTCTCCATGTCATACACATTTAACTCTTACCCAACCACTTCTATGTCCCAACAAAAGCTTATTCCCATAAATATTATTTAGGAAAGACATCAAATTATTAATAGTTCTCTTGATAAATTAAGAGTCACCATTTTACAATTATATAGATAGATGATAGTTTTCCAAATTTCTTCTAGCTAAAGTGCAGTTATAAAAGCATACAATTAATTATTTATAAAAGTCTCTTTTAGGCAGGGCATGGTGGCTCATGCCTATAACCCCAGCACTTTGGGAGGCCTAGGTGGGTGGATCACCTGAGGTCAGGAGTTCAAGACCAGCCTGGTCAACATGGTGAAACCCTGTCTCTACTGAAAATACAAAAATTCAATGGGCATGGTGGCACGTGCCTGTAATCCCAGCTACTCAGAAGGCTGAGGCAGGAAAATTGCTTGAACCTGGGACGCGGAGGTTGCAGTGAGATGAGATTGAGACACTGCACTGCAGCCTGGGTGACAGAGTGAGACTTGTCTTAAAAAAAAAAAAATCTTTTTCAGTGTAAAACTGCCATTCAACACATAACTTTAGTATTATTCCAACATTATTCCTGAAGTAACTCCTACCTGCTCTTTGAGTTATAATTCTAATGCTATTGCTATCAGCTTTCTCTAAATTGACCTCTTACAAACTCCTGATACCACAGTAACCTGTGTGTATTTGTGTAAAGCACAGGAGAAAACTTCCTTTTCCTGTCCTTTTTAACAAATTCTTTCTGAACATAGATTATACACAAGGCAATGTGCTAGGTACTAGAAAACATGTATTGTTTTTCATTATTCACTATGTCCTAGGATATACATCTCATGTAATCCTCATATATAATCATGGTATAGAAGTGAATATCTTCATGTGGCAGATAAGGTACAGGTTTATCAAGGAAAGTGACTTTCTTAAGATCAATTTCTCGGCCGGGTGTAGTGGCTCACACCTGCAACCCCAGGACTTTGAGAAACCGAGATGGGATGATTAATTAAGGCCAGGAGTTCGAGACCAGTCTAGGCAACAAAGCAGGACAATATCTGTACAAAAACATTTTAAAAATTAGCTAGGCATAGGTGTGAGCCTGTAGCTCCAGCTACTTGGGAGGCTGAGGTAGAAGGATCCCTGTAGCCCAGGAGATCAAGGCTGCAGTGAGCTATGATCACACCACGACATTCCAGCCTGGGCCGTAGAGCTAGACCCGGTCTCAAATTTTAAAAAGTCAATCTCTCCACAGTAGCAGAGTGTGAAATCCTACCTGAATCTTCTAAACCAGATCTTTGTTCTTAAGCCATATACACTTTCCATTTCACACACTCAATTTTAGGATTTGGTACAATTATGGCATCTATGACAACTTTTGCCAAAAAGATTTTTCTCTGTTACTTCTATAGGTATGCAGGAAAGTGTCTGAGAACTCCAAGCAGCATGTGCTACTAGCAGTCTGAAACAGTCCACTTTTTCTTGGAGCTGTGCCACCAAACACAAATCCAGGGACTATGCATTCTCTGCATTTGGCATAAAACAGAGGAATATGGCCAGGTGTGGTGGCTCACGCCTGTAATCCCAGCACTTTGGGAGGCTGAGGTGGGTGGATCACCTGAGGTCAGGAATTCGAGACCAGCCTGGCCAACATGGTGAAACCCCATCTCTACAAAAAATACAAAAAATAGCTGGGCATGTTGGCACGCACCTGTAATCCCAGCTACTTAGGAGGCTGAAGCAGGAGAATCACTTGAACCCAAGAGGCGGAGGTTGCAGTGAGCTGAGATTGTGCCATTGCACTCCAGCCTGGGTGACAGAGTAAGAGTCCATCTCAAAAAAAAATTAAATAAATAATAATAATAATAAAACATAGAGGAATACATTATAGACAAGATAATACCTGCTCTTTGGAGCATATTAATATTTTTGCTAGCAAATCCTACTCAGGTGTGTGATTTTCTCCTCTCTCTCGTGGGTGTTCTATTACATAGTGCAAAGTTGAGCGAACCAATACAAGTTGCCTTTTATAAGTCCATTTATAAGAATTTTCTAAAAATATGATGTCGCTTTCTGTAGCTTTTAAAAATACTGTGCTAGCTTTACCTATCTAATGCTCCACCTTCTGCTTCCCACAGAAGAGCTAAGCACAGAAAGTCCTTAGTGACCTTCACTGTTTGCATCTCCCTGGCACAATCAGCTGCAATGGGAGTGGAGTGTAGTCTCCTCCATAAAACTGACTTTCCCCATTGAGGGTAAACCACCAATTAAATTGATTTAATATCATGGAATGTAAACACAGTCAATATTTAACTGAATTTTCCACTCTTCAAGACATTAGCTAGGTATAATACCTGTTCTAATTCTCAGTAATTCCAAACTTCAGTAAATATTTATTAAATGCCTACTATGTGTCAGAAAATGTGCTAGGCCCAGGAAGAAGAAAGGAGGCAACAATCATAAAAGAAGACATAAAAATTACTAAATCAGATGGAGTATGTGAAAAGATTCTGTAAATGAGAAAGGTATGGAAACATAAGATATTTCTGTAAAAGCTTTATTTTCTTAAGTCTGAAAAGGGATATAATGTTAGGCATATTAACATATGCTTTATTCTAGAAAAAGAAAATATTTCAAGTCTTAGGAACCAAAGGCATCTTATCAAACACTTATGACCTACCTGGAGTCTGTATTGTTTTAAATATTGTCTGGGAGAAAAAGTCATCTGGTGTATGCTACAATATTTTGTAGAATCTAATCTCTCGCCTACAGAGAGAAATGGTCTTTGAATGCAAGGGAGTCTTCAGCAGTGGCACTCAATATGACAAAGCAAATGCAAACTGGGTCTAATAGCTAAAGACTTTTTGACTTTTAAGATGTTCAATTGAACATTTAAAAGGTTTAGTCTCATATCAGTTCTAGAAAGCCCCCCTGGGGCAGGCTTAAGTAACTATGCCATTAGGCACTCACTGCAAATTGCCTATTAAGTCTGACTGAAACTGTAAAATTGCTTTTCACAATGCAAATTAATGTAAATAAGAACAATTGGTTACACATATCACAGGCTATCAAATTGTCGACAGATGATGCATAATTTTTTCCCCTCTCTGAATTAGCATTACTTTAAAGTTACATTTAGTAGGTCTTAACAGGCTTGGGTGTCCCCATGATAAATTTCACAAATTTATTATCAGCAGTACCTGTGTCCTCTGTATGTTATCTATATGCAATACAAACCTCTTTTTATCTATTCTCAGGGCACTTACATCCAGGTACAGTGGGTACAGCACAAAAAAAACTTAGCTTTCACTCGGGTTACAGTAGAATTATTCCATTACTATACATTTTTAAAAATATTTATCTTTTAAACAAATGTATTATAAGAATGAAACAATTTAGAACTAGATCATAAAAATGGCATAAGTCTTCTTTAGTAATATGCACAGAGAAACCTTATTGCTGTTATATTTATGATTCTTATATTGGAAATTTGCAAGTTAACCTTTTAATCCCTTAGTTCTCACATCTGTCAGATCGAAAGTGGTAACATGTAAGCACTAGGAATGTTGATGGGGAGTGGGGGGAGATTAAATAAAATGCTGTGTGTTAATGTTTGAAAGTATTTGTTAAAAAAAACTCTCCTTTGTTTTTCAACCCTAGATTGAGGACAAATTAAAATTTAGGCAAATAAAGGTAAAAAGATTACCTATATTTATGATAAATCTATAGTGATGACCATGGCTTGCTGATTATACTCTATCCCAGACCTAAACTGACCCTCTGAATTGTTAACAGCATTGTACAATAGCCTACTTACTGGGACCAAAACTTCCACACCCAATTTACTACCTGGTCAAGAGCAGGGAAGAGCATACCTCTTTTGCCTGCCTCATCTCAAGGGAGTACTGACTATAGGGGTATAGCAAGAGACAAAAAAGTATTCTAATGAAGCTTTCTTCACAGGAAAGAGAAAGGAAAAGGAAGTTCCTTCAAATGATGTTTGTAAAGCACAGGGCCCAGTGTCTGGAAGGAGATTCTAAATGTACCTATTGTGGCTATAATTTATTTGTTCATTATGATTTTTCTGACAACTCTGAGGAATAATACCAAACAGCTAAACTTGATCGCAGTGGAGTAGAGAGGTGGTAGCTGGCCTAGGTGCACACATTTCCCTGCATTCTTAGGTCTGTTGCCTCATTAACAAACAGAATTGCCAGTGAGTCCCAAATATGGTTTCAAGCCTCCTTCCTAGGACAGAAAACTTCCACACCCAATTCACTACCTGGCCAAGAGCAGGTAAGAGCAAGAAGTCCTTGGCACCTTAGAGACTGGTATCGGTTGTTGTCTACTTGCACCAATCTGTTCATTTCTGCTTCACTTTGATATGAGAGGGATTTCATACCATAACTATAAAGTTCACATAGTGAGACTTGAATGATGCCACAGGAAAAAGAAATATTCTTAACCACTATACCTCACTAAAAGAAGATAATCCATAACACTTTAGGGGTTTCATCATGTAAGTTCTCACTAAGGAATGTAGAAATACAACTTGCTACTATCATTTTGTCCTCAACATTTTAAAGATTCAACCAAAAAACTGATAGAAAAATATTTTAAATTTAATATTTATTACTATGTTACCTGTAAACCTGTCAAAATTAACAGTTTTAAACACCTCCTATCATGTTTTTATCATTGTGCTCAAGATAAATATGAGACAAGTCTCAACTATTCTGGAAGAGAATTTAGCAAGCAAGTAAAATAATAAAGAAATGTAAGTGTCTGACTTTTGTGTGTGTGTGACAAGGTCTTGCTCTTTTGCCCAGGATGGAGTGCAGTAAGGCTATCATAGCTCACTGCAGCCTCAAATTCATAGGCTCAAGAGATCCTCTGGCCTTAGCCTTCCAAGTAGCTAGGGCTACAGGTGTATCACCATAACCAGCAATAACCAGCTTTTTTTTTTTTTTTTTTTTTTTTGGAGACACGGAGTCTTGCTATGTTGCAGAGTCTGGCCTTGAACTCCTGGCCTCAAGCAACCTTCCTGCCTCAGCTTCCCAAAGTGTTGAGATTACAGGCATTAGCCACTGCATTTGGCCTGACTTCTTAAAAGAAACTATAAAAAGCAGTATTTCTCCAATTATAGTAGTTACATATCTTCTCCATCATATAGTACAAATATTCATGTGAAAACAGTCTACAAAATTTTATTTGTGAGATCATTCTAATAGTGTTTTGCAGAAATGATCAATATGTTGCTTTCAGAAGAAAATTTCATACATAGTACCAATTAAAATTTTATGTAATTCTAAGAAAATGGTATAATTCACATGGGAAGAAGGTTGTACAAATGAGGTTTCTTTTCATTACCTCAATCACGTTCAAACCGAAGTGGCAACTTTTAACCTTGTATAACAACACAAAGTGGTACACTCATTAACAAAAAGAGATGTCATACTGCATTCCAAAAGATATCGCATATACATCTTTCTGTAATTTCTATATTTTGTAAATCACATATCTATAAATCACATATGAAGCATAGTTTATATTTTAATGCAGCTCTTTCAGTTACCCTCAGTTATTATTAATAATTAAGAGTAATGGCAATTAGAAAATAATTTCTTTTGGAGTAAAAATAATTATTGCTCAAGACCAAATCATAATACAGACTTCAGTTTCATGGAATCACTACTGAACATCCCAGCAAGAGCAACATTCATTCTTAAAAAAAAAAAAAAAAAAGATTGTAGGAAGACCAAGTCATATTGTTACCTTTGCAAAAGATTTAGAAAATCTAAAACTATTATAGCATTGATATTTAAATTATTATTAATTACCAGTTTTTGTTATTAATCATCTATAATAAATGCTGTGGATACACACCAACACCTTTTAACTGCAATCACCTGTTACTCTTTCTGCACAGGGGAGCCAGGAGTAGGAGTGCCATGGCATTAAATTTCCTAGGACTATGACTCAGGCAATTGAAGATAAGCACCAATTTTTTCTACTTTTTGAATGCAACATTGCTAAGGAGTATTCTGTATTGCTTCCTGGAGTTCTCTAGCATAACTGAACATAGATTGCCCACTGTAGAAACCTGCTCAATAACACACTTTATTAAATTTCTCTCCATTCTTTACTTCCTTACTTTCTTACCAGTGTTTCCTGGACGACCCCACAAATAAACTACCTGTACTCAAACCTTTTAAAGAAACCCAGCCTTTGATAGCAACCATTATATACTGCATGATTTTATGTATGCCATCTACAAAGTAGAACTCAGTTGAAATGTTTAAAGTTTACTTTTTCCTTTATTAATTTAATCTTCATAATAATTCTACAATGAAAGTATTAGGCTCTTTATTTTACAAAGAAATTGAGGTTCAGAAAGGTTAATGTCTTGCTGAAAATTCATATATTTAGTCAGTGACAGTGCTGAGAGTTGAGCCTTTTTATTTGAACTCAAGTCCATATGACTAGTGTGGAGGATTTCTGTTTGAATGCGTTTGTGCAAAATCTGGTTGATCAGTTGTTAGTGATATTGAAGAAGTGTTTTGAAATATATGCACATGTTGCCTGAGGTCACTGATAGTTTTTTTTATACCATTCAGCATCAAATTATATAAGGTATAAGACCTTGTCATGCCTATGAGATTAGGTATTCCTCTGTCATTGGAGGAAACTCTGAAAATATCTTATTTTCACTGAGGTTATCAAAGCAGCCATGTTTTCTGTAGTGAAATAGTGGAGAGTTATATAATGTACTCCCTTATCTAGCTTTAAATATATCTATGTCTTTCAGAGCATTCTGGTAAATCGCATTGCACTGAAAAGGAAAGCACAGATAAAATTGGGGATTAGTGATCTTTACTAACCTGAAGAAAAGGCTTGAAAGCATGGAACTGGGTTGAAGGTAAAATGTATCCATTGGTAGAACACAGAAAATACTATATTTTGTTGACTTCATATTTGAGCATCATCTTTCTCTTTTGCCCCTTTGCTATTGCTTGCTGAAGAGGGTGTTCTCTAAAATCCAGAGATCCTTTTTAAGAATTTATAGCAGGGCTGCCCCCTTAATCTTTTCCTCATCTATAAATCACTGATCTTGAAGCTTTGCTTTGAAGGTTTATATGAAATGCATCCAAATACCTAGTATATACTAGGCATTCAACAAATGGCAAAATATCATCCATATGGCAAAATAATCTCTTAAAGCAGAAATCTTTGAATGTTTGGTCCTTTCTTAACTCTGACCCTTTTGCTAGTCAGGACTCTATTCACATTACCTAGGAAATAAGAAGGACTGATATTGGAAAAAAAAAAAAAAAGAGAGAGGGAGACAAAGACAGACAGAGAGAAAAGAAGGAAGGAAGGAAAGAAGGAAGTCAATTTTTTTTTTTAATTTCCAAATAAGGCCTTGGAATCCGATAGGAATAGCCAAGTAGGAAGTCAAGAATGGAATTTGGCTGGCATGGTGGCTCAAGCCTGTAATCCTAGAACTTCAGGAGGTCAAGGCATAGAGATCGCTTGAGGCCAGGAGTTCAAGATCAGCCTAAGCAACATAGCATGATCCCCATCTCTACAAGAAATCATTTTAAAAAATTAGCTGGGCATGATGGCACATGCCTAAACTCCCAGTTACTCATGAGGCTGAGGTGGGAAGACTGCTTGAGCCCAGGAATTCTAGGCTGCAGTGAGCTATAATCATGCTGCTATTCTCCAGCCTGGGCAACAGTGTGAGACTCTGTCTTTAAGAAGAAAAAAAAAAGTTTTTGTTGTAGCAACAATAGATTAGATTGGGAATCAAACCAAATTTCCAACCACTCTTGTACTTAGTCAAAGGCCTGTCATTCTTGCTATGCTATTGTCTGAGAGTGCACCTGTCAATAGCTGTCTAGTGTTTTCTATGATCATTTAGGAGAGATGACAGTGGCTGGGCCCAAAATTTGCTGTGCCTCAACTGATGAAATAAGCCTCAGCTAAATACTGCCCAGTGTGGTGGTTCAAAACATCTCTAAGAACCCCAAAATTGAGTATGAGAGAATTGAGACTCACAGGCAAGGGAGGGTGGGACAGAGACAGCCCCCAAGAGCCTAGTGATTCTGCCCAGTGGTATTCTAGTTGCTGCCATTGTCACCCTTGAAACCATATTATATTTTCACTATTGTGCTTCTCAAAATAACACAGTAGTCCTTATATTGTGTTGGATTTGGCTTCCATTCCCTATTCCAGAGACAGAAGTGTATTGCTAGACTCTTCACACAAAAGCCTCCCCCAATGCCAAATAACTCATTTAAATATGCTTTTTATTTTTAAGACAAATATTTTGTGTCATATGCAAAACTGTCAGTGCTTTTAGATGTTTCTGATGGTTTTTAAGATAATTCTCATTACACATTCAATCTAATTTTGCTTTATCCTGACATTTTAATATTAAAGATATATTCTATTAGTTACTATGTTGTTTCTGGGAACAGTTTATTTTAATTCTACAAAATTTGCATTAGTCTCCTTCTATTAAGAGAGGTTTTATTCTCCCCTGATAAATTTTGCTTTATAAGAACATGAAATTTACTGATATACTAATGGCCATTTTAATCACATGTCCATCTTGTAGAAAGGAAAAATAATTTTCCCTCTGCCCTTCTAAGTTCTTAGTTGGGACCCATGTAACTAAAGCTGATTAACAAGAGAAAAACGAACAAGTTTATTAACATGTATACCTCATACATATGGGAGAAAAGTCAGGGAAAATGTACCTCTCAACGAAGTGGTTTACAACTCTTTTTTAAGCAGCATCATCACTGAAGAACAATAAATTTGTAAAGAAATGACAGAACAAAGGGAAAAGGGCCTAGAGTCTCCAGGGGCAGAAAACTGTGGGAAGGCAAATATATGGGGAACTAAATACATTCCAGCTAGTAAAGCTTGTGACATAGGCTCCTCTGGTGCTGACTCCAGGCTGATGTCATCTTCAGTGATCAACCTTTGTGCTTCTGGTAAGAGAGGGGAAGAGAGATGCTTTTTTAAATATTTGTCCTGCTTTTCAGGCAAATGGGGGAAGATAGAGCTCTGCTTTTATCTGCTGTTTCTCAGCTGCCTTCAGCTCAAAATAATCTTTATGCCACAGTGGCATATTTTGGAGTGGTATATTCTGCCACTTTTCAATCTTTAAAAGAATATAGAGACCTATATTTGGTCCAAAGAGTAAAAAAATAAATTAAAAAGATTATTTTAGCAATCAAAAGTCAATATCAAAGCCTGTGGCAATTTGCTGATAGATTATCATAGGAGTATTTTAATAATAAAAAGTAAACTCTGAAAACCAACTTATATTCATTTGACTATAAGAATAAAAAATTATACTACATCTTTTAATATTTATTTTCTAGGAAATTTAGGAAATTCTCCACTGATGTTTTTTATTCTGAATATAAATTAAATGCTGTTCTCACTTATTATTAACTAAATAGCAGTCTGAAGGATTTACTGTGAGCCCACATTTTATTTTTTAAGATTTGATTCATTTCTCTTTGTTGTTATAGTCTTCATGTGACTCCTCAGGTGTTGTTAAGCGCCATTACTAATGTGATCTATTTTGCTCCAGGTATTTAATTACTTTTTAAATTTAACTAATACATGTTCTTTTGTAGGAAATACAATAGTGCAAAGATAAAAATCCTAATTCACTGATAGCACTAATATCCAGAAAAAAATCATAGTAACTTATTAGCATATAAATGTAACCCACCTATGCATATGTGTCTGTAAATGTCTGTATACGTGTGTATGTAAGTGGCAAAAGTTAGTTTAAACTGTGCATGATGTTTTCTCTCTTCTCAAAATTTCACTTTTATAACTTCCAAAGAGAGAATTAGGTAAATGTATTAATTTTCTCTAGCAATATTTGGTGCTTGTAATGATATCCTAAAAAATTTCATTTACTAATCCAACTACTATTATAAATAACAATATATTGTGCTTTATTTGGTTTAAATATTTTCATGCAATATAAGTGATGTAACACTAATAAAGAGTTTCCAAAAAAAATATTAATTATATATTTCTAGGTATTTCATTTTATTTTCGAGGTAAAGTTATTGAGGAATTCTTTGTTTCAATGACTCATCTTCTCTTATCTGGTAGAGATTTCATTTATTTCCTCCTCCTTCTCCCACCCTTTAAAAAGATAATTTGCTTACCTACCTGCAAATTGTTCATCTTTGCTAAACTTTGAATTCTTTCCGTTTCTTTTAGTATTTGGCTACAATCCTCCAAACTAACTTTTCCAATTTTTCTCCCTCCCACCTGACCTAAGGTCACTGACAGCTAAAACCTTAAAACCCAGATCCCCATCCAGACTCTGTTCCCTTCCAGCTTGACCTTTTCCTCAGGATCTTAAGAAGCCTTGAGAACCAAAGCTCAGTGATATGGAAGACCTCATATATGGACTGGGCCATATATGGACTGGATTTCTCGCTAGACAAATTATTATTTGATTCACTAAGAAAGCTTGAATGAAATGCTCAGATCATCCATGTCATTATATAGGAGGTTTAAGACTGGACAATTTCAATGAAAGCATTGACATACTATCTAGAGTACTGGAAAAAATTCAATGATCCATGCTGCATAATTGACAGATTTTCCTCCTTCAATGTCTTGAAATTCACTGGACTGGTTAACTTCAGAGTTAAGCTATTGGCTTTTCAATATAATCTCTAATATTAATGTTTCTCTTTTTCATTTTAGGTGTCCCACTTCTAAAAATGACTGAACTCATCAAAACAAATGACTTTTTTTTCACTACCTCTCTATAAATGGTTCAACTGGTTTTGCAGGATCAAGTCCCAGAAAAGGCCTCCAGAGGCCTATTTTTTGACCTTGTTATAACCCACTCAGAAACCACTCATATATGTATATATTTGTTATATATATAAAAAATATCACCACAAAATTAATGAGCAATATTTGCCTTAAATTAAAGAAGAGACTGTCAACTTTGAACATTACCTGACTGTATACTCCAAGAAATTAGGGACTGTTGGAACCAACTCCCCCATCCCCCAACCTTTCCATATTCCAGAAAGGCTCACCACCTAACCAGCTAACTGCAAAAGATTACATTGAACTGGAATGGTCCTGGATAAGACCCACCTTCACCCCTTCTCAATGACTCAGACAAGGCCTATCTCCATGTTTCTTCAAAATTCCTTTGTTGACTGGCCCCATAAGACCTCAGTCCTATCTTTTCCTTGTAATCTTTCTCATTATGAAAGTTAGCCTTATTGTACCAACCTGAATAAAATCACCTCCTTAATTGCCTGGTTCATTATATATAGCTTGTAGTCAGAAGGTCAAGATCAAAATCCAGTTCTGAATGCTATTTACATGACTCTAAAGTTGCATTGGGTAGCAGATGCAAAAATTTTCCCACAAATAAATTTTTTTTTCTAGAATTCGCTTGCTACAATATCTCATTTATACAAATGTCCTCTTCCTTAAGTATAACATTTAATAATAATGACAAAGAAGTATACATTTGACAGGGTCCAATGTATCCCTGTCAATTATCAGATCCTCTTCAGTAGTTTAGCCCTAAGAACTAGAAGTCACTGTTTATTAAATGTGCATTAACTTTTAAACATTTTAGAGCATTTTCTACTTTATTTTATTTTTAAAAAATAGGCATTAATATATACTTTTTATCAAATTGAAAGGACTAAGGATTATTTTTCTAGTGCCACTTCTTTTTAAAACTTGATGTTAATATAAACACATTCTCTCTTACAAAGAGCTAGTTCATAACAAGGCTAAGATTAACAAAGAGTCAGTTGGCTCTAAGATTCATTAGGGGAAAAGACTGAGTTACTTTCAATATATCACTGGAACCACATTTGCAAAGATTATGACAACAGCAAGAGAAATCTAACATGGCTGACTCTGTCTTGCTTCTAACCTCACATTCTGGCTATCTTCACTCATTCCTGGGTGCAGGCAGAGCTGACTATGGAAGGAATTTAGTTGACAGTTTAACTTGGAAACAAGGAGGATACTAGGCCCTCTCCAAAACTAAATCCCTCCTTGCTCAGGGACCAAAAACTAATGAAAGGCCATGAGATGAGGGTTATGGGAGGGGCCTGAATTCTGCTAAAATGCAGGTGTAGTTTCTATAATCCCTTACAGCTCAGGAGTCATGTGACCAGAAATCACAAGATTTGTGACTTCCCAATTGATCCGATAGACAATATCACTATTGTAGAACCCAAGATTGGTCTTCTGAGATTTTTTTTAGAATTTTGCATTCTGTCGACCTACTGACTTCACCCGGACCCATGACTCATGACTCAGCAGGTCCTGTAGTTGCCCAGCCAGTGGCAGACTCAGCACATGTGTACCATTTTCCTCACCCCTATGATTTCATCCTCAACCAAGCAAGAGTACCCATTCGCTAGGCCTCTGCCTATCAGATTATTCACGAAAACCCTAGGCTTTGAATTTTAAGGGAGGCTGATTTGAGTGATAACTCCAGTTCTGTCACGTGGCCAGCCTTGAGTTAATTAAACTTTTTCTTTACTGCAACACCATGGTCTCAGTAAATTTGCCTGTGCAGTGGGCAGGAAGAACCTGTTGGATGATTACATTGCCTTAAAACTATTTAGCATAATAGTGCACAGCAACAGGTTAAAGAAGATGCATCTTGGCAGGATTAAAGATAAAGTTAGCTTATGGATGGGCTATCTACAAAAACTGAAGGTGTCCTAAATATTCTCAACTTTACCTTCAATTTAGGGCCCACACAGATTGGAAAGAGCTGGAAAAAACTGGAGCTGGAGGTCGAAGCAAATAACAGAGATACCCTAGAAAAGTAGAGCAGAGGAAATAAAGGAAACACATGAAGAGATCAAATTGATTGAACTGCTCTAGGGTGTGGTGATGGGTGTGTACTAATCTTGGAGACTGAAAGACTTCTGAGGATGGAAGATGAAAAGCTAAATAGATTAGAAAGGCCATTTCGGAAGCCCAAGCTCCCTGAGGACTTCTTATAAATAGAAAGATACACCCCACATCAGATAAAGGACTATTTTGTACATTCTTCCCGATTTTTTGTGTGCTTTGCCAGCTAACAACAAGAATGTCAAATAGTAAGAAGTGTAACTACTCTCTCCCACCGGTAAGAACTTTAGTAGATTTTCAATACATGCATGTCTGCCTCTAAAACATATGATTCTTTCTCTCTCTTCTCTCTATGCTTCTTTCTTTCTTTCTTTCTTTCTTTTTACTATATTTTGCTGTTCACTATTGATTACTCTGTCTTTTGTCTCAAGAAGTCAAGAGTTACTACATAACCTGGCTTTAGTTAAGAATAAGGGGGTTTAGTGTACACATAAGTAAAGGAAGCTGGATAAACTCTATTAGTTCTCTTACGAAAAGTGCCCTGCAGTCCTTGAGATGTACATTTCACAAAGCAGTTTTCTGCTCAGAACTTTGCAATGTGTCAGTATCAGGTTATTTACAATTGTATTTCCTTGCTAAGGTAAAAGGTAAGCACGGAATGAAAGCAATTATCACTGTTTTTTTTCCACTTGGGCTGTCAATGCAACATGCCCCTGTGACACAGCCTGACACTTTTAATGAATTCCCAGGGTTATGCGACAATACCACTAACTCCCACATCTGTCACACAGAGATAGGGATTTTCCTTCCGTTCTTGAGCTTGGATGCTAACATTCTTTGTCCCAGCTAATGAGGATCTGACTTTTTATCCTGGAACAGGGCACTTTAATAATGTGTCTCTACAGATCGCATTGAACAAACCCTAAAGTGTGATTCAGTCAGAGCTGATTTCAAATACAATGTTTAATAAAATTCAGTGGAACATGCTTAGAGGCTTTTTTTTTCTGTCTGTAGAGATAGCTGCATACGTTGTGGAGTCAAAAGGCCCATAGTTAAATTTACCACTTTCTCTTTACAACAGCACTGCTTTGCCATAAGTCCACTTCTATTTGTGTGCTTGCTTGCCTCTTTACTGACAGGAACTTCTGAAAATTTGTTTTGTTGAACTCTGGCAGAAATGCATGACTGCCTAGCATTATTTAACTGTCTGTGCTAGGAGAGGCAAGCTCGCCTCTAGGAGTCATAGGCTCTTGGCTCCCTACTCAAACATGACTACAAAGTGTCTCTACTCACTCTGTTTTGTTATGAAAGACAGAAAATAGTAAAAGGCAGGATGTAAGGTATGAGCCAATGTAGGAAAACAGTTTTGGGGGATGAAATTCATTAGTATGGACACTTGACATGAACTGAAGCATGAGTTATAATAGAGCTTTAGCAACTTAGGAAGAAAGGGTACAGGCTAAGAAAGACAGCTTCCTAAAAGTTTGCCTCTGGATGGAAAGTAGAAGCTTAAAATATTGGGTGCAGTCATAAGAGATGTGGTCAATATAGCCTAGTTTGGAAAACTCAGAAGATTTATTGCATTAGGTGAGCTGCATCAAGGAAAGTCCAAGTAGCGGGTAACATTAGCCTCAGATGTGCAGCTCTGGACAGATTTCAAATTCTCAGCACATTCAAAGTGAGATAGTAGCCACGAACTGGAGGGATCATAGGGAGATAGGATCCAGCTAGAAGAAGCTATGGAGGGTGTCTAACTCCAGCAAGTGGACTGCAGAAGAGAAAAAAAGCTTCAGTACTAGAGGAAAGCTTAGGTACCACATTCCAAAATCAAGCCAAAAGCCCAATGATGACACCTCAACAAAGAAAAGAAGCAAGACAAGAAAGGGCATGAGAGAATTGGCAAAGTGGGTTAAATTTTAAATAAAGCGTTCATTAAGCAAAGTGATCAGTAAGCAAACAGATGTGAGGTTAAATGACTTTGGCAAAGCGGACTTTTCCCAGGTGCAGAAAGAGATAAAGGGCAGGCTGCAATTTGAAGAGCCTATAGGTGCCTAGGACAGAATCCAGTCAAAGGCAGCAAAACTAGCTCCATGTCCCATAGGTTGAGGTGCTGATGTTCTTAATAGGTAGCTTACCAAGATCAATGTTGTTCAGAAACTGAGTGAACCTCAATGTACAGGTGGAAGGCATTAGCAGCACCAGCAGAGAATTGCTGAAAGAAGGCAGGGGCTGATTGGCAAGTGAAATCATCACAGGAAGTTTATAAATAAATTCTAATAATTAGTCAGCTTTAGACAAGCATTTAAAAAAATACAGCCTCTGCTGCTACTGCCTTCAAAACAACAAAGACAATGAATCTAAAATTCCCTTATATATATTAATATATTTAATCTTGCTATATGCATACCACGTTTATTACCTTTGTTTTTCACTTGCGAAAATCCACGGATAGAAAATTTTTGTGACTTTTTTAATATCCCACAGCAGAGCCATGAAGTAACATCAGGTACCCTAACTTATGAAAGACACCCTAAAAAACTACTACTTCTTAAGATAATAAACAATAAATAGAAAACAATGTTAAAGCCACACATACAGAACAGTGAAAGCAGCTACAGTTGTGATTTCTACCACTGTTGCAAATCCCAAATCCCCAGAGGTGACAGCATATGAAATTGGAATGTCCTATAGACCTCACCACATTGTGGGCCCTCGTTACTGACACCTTCTCCCAGGGGGTCCCAGGGTATGGTAGTGGTGAAAGTAAAGTCAGAAAAACACTGGTTTAGTAGTTAATGCAAGATTTTTAGTTTCCTGGAAAGGTAATAATTTGTACTCCCAAGGTGATGAGACATGGGCATAGGATACATACTTGTATAGAACTCTTTCTTTTCAGTCTTCTTGCACCTATACTGTCAAGAATTCATGTGTGATGGTAGAATTTTGTCATTGAAAGTCTTCAGCTTTGGAAGAGCCAACCTTGGGCTTATAACCTGGGTCAACGATTTACTAGCAGGGAACATCATTTGCACTTGCCAGCCTTAGTTTCCTCCTCCTTGTAACACATATAATTTAACCTGACTCAAAGTGTTAGGAGGAGGATTAAATGAGACATTATAAAGTGTCTAGGGCTACATATGGTAACTAGTAGGTAGACATTCAACAAACATGACTTCCTTTTCCTTGCTAATCTCCCTCTCATGAAAATTACTTGAGGCTTCAGCAGTCTGTAGAAAGCAGAGAAGTTCTAAGAGACCTGAAGTTTGGTGCAGACTTCCAGGCTAGGATCTCTTTCTAAAGGGTGAAAATTTTGAGAAAAGTTTTCTCCCACTCAGGGATGCCCCATATGGTTCTACAGGCTGTGCCCCAAAGACAATAACATATCTGAAAGGGGACCATTCACATTGTAGACCTCATCAATTCGTTTATTTAGAACAACAATTTCCTGGCAGATGGCAGTGGTCTGTTGCAGCAAAGTCAGCATATCACAATTTTCCAACAGATGAAAGTAAGGTGTCTTAAGGAATGGGTACTTCTGATGTCCAAAGATCCTTTATGTGCTAGCAGAGGCCTTGGACACTGTTTGCCTAAATGTTTTTCATTTCCTTTTCCACAGTGCTTGAAATTCCATAAACTAGAGATTCATTTTGCTATATATATATATATTTAATGTTATATATAAATAAATATAAACTAAAAGAACTTAATACATTTTATTAATAAATATAAATTAAAAGAATTTATATAGATTTATATATAAATCTATATAAATTAAAATAATTCAAAATTATTGACTCTAAGTTATTCATATATGCTGCTTTTAGGGTTTATGGTTACGCTCTTGGAATACCTGTGAGGAGGTATGACTCTGGACAGATTTCAAATTCTCAGCCCATTCAAAGTGGGACAGTAGCCATGAACTGGAGGGATCATAGGGAGACAGGATCCAGCCGGAAGAAGGTGTGATTCTAAATCTCTCTGCAGGGATATGTTATCTTTACCTTCCTAAGTTGTTTTCTACTTAAACAGCTAAGAAGATCCATACTATAAAGAAATGTAAAAAAAAAATCCATACAGAATTATCTTTCAACACCATTCACCACAGAGTCATGAGGTGTAATAATACTATTACAAAAGAGTAAAACATTGAGATGAATAATTCAATATACCATACTCTGCCTAATATTTCCATTAGATTTAAATCTTTATGAGTAATCCATAATATTAAAATATGTGAGGGATTATATATTGTGCTAATTTTAGAGTTCAACCAATATATGTGTGTTCTAATTTACCACTTAATAAAATCATAATTAAATATAAGGTACCTATATTACCCACGAAGGTATAGAGTGTTACTTTAAGGTAGACTTAGATTACTTGTAAATACATATTGCAAACTTTAGGGATGTGGCTAAAAATATTTTTAAAATAAGTATAATTAATATACTAAGAAAGGAGACACAATGGAGTTACATAAAATGCTCAATTAAAACCAGAAAAGTCAGAAAAATAGTAGAAGAAAAAAAAAGAAAAAACCCATGACAAAAAGCTGTTATAATTAAGGTAGCTATCCAATCAATAATATCAATATCACTTTAAACGTAAATGGTCTATCAGTTAAAAGAGACTATCAAAGTGGATTTAAAAAAAAGCAAGACCTGATAGAATGTTTTCCACAAAAAAATCACTTCACAAGCATGTATCTGATAGACTCATATCCAAATTATACAAAGCATTCCTAAAATTTGACAATGAAACACATTTTTCTTGGGATTACACTACTGTCCAGTGAAATCATAGTGAGAGTAACACTGCTAATGACATTAACTAGAGCTCTGCTTTACTCTGGTGCAATTTTTGAAAAAAAGAAAAACCCATTTTCCACAAACACAAAATCTCAACAATGAGAAAACAAACAACTCAATAAAAAACGGGCTAAAGCTCTGAACCAACACTTCGCCAAAGAAAACATATCAATGACAAATAGCATATGAAAACATGTTCAACACCACATATTATTAGGGGGTTGCAAAACAACGACAGTGGGATATGACTAAACTCCTATTTGAGTGGCAAAATCCAAAGTACTGACAATGCCACATGCTGGCAAGGATATGGACCAACAGGAATTCTCATTCATGACTGGTGAGAATACAACCACTTTGGAAGATAGTTTTGCAGTTTTGTGCAAAGTCAAACACAGGCGTGGTAAATGAATCAGCTTTAGTGCTGCTAGGTATGTATCCAAATCAGTTGAAAATTTATGACCACATAAAAACCTGCACACAAAAGTTTATATTAGTTTGGTTTATAATTGTCAAAAATGAAAGCAACTAAGGTATTCTTCAACAGGTGAATGGATAAATAAACTATTTATATGTATGAGAATTTTATACGATCAACATCTAGACAACGGACTATTATTCAGCACTAAAAAGAAGTAAGCAATCAAGCCATTAAAAGACACGAAGGAAGCTTAAACGCATATTGCTTACTGAAAGAAGCCAGACTGAAAAGGCTACATACTGCATAATTTCAACTGCATGACATTCCGGAAAAAGTAAAAGCATAAACACAGTAAAAATATTGATGGTTGTCAGGGTTTGAAGGTGGAGAGAGAAGTGATAAATAGGCAAAGCACAGGACATCTTTAGGAGAGTGAAATTATTCTGTAAGACACTACAATGTTGGAAACATGACATTACATGTT
The DNA here is from genome assembly GCF_000001405.40 of Homo sapiens. NCBI lineage: Eukaryota > Metazoa > Chordata > Mammalia > Primates > Hominidae > Homo > Homo sapiens. Next base: position 73,884,668 of record NC_000001.11, read on the forward strand.
TTTCAAAACCCACAGAAGTGCACAACATAAAGAGTTAACTCTAATGTAAACTATAGACTTTAGTTAATGTATTAATATTAGTTCATTAATAAATACACCACATTAATGTGAGGTGTTAGTAATAGGGGAAATTTTGGGGGCAGAGGAGGAGAAAGAAGAAGTATATGGGAACTCTCTCTACTTTCTGCACAATTTTTATTCAAACTTAAAATTGCTCTAAAAATAAAATATATTCTTAAATTATAACAAAATATGTGTTAACATGATTTGTTTAATGTCTCTCTCTTCTCCGTTCTATGCTGTAAACTTTATAAGAATCAGAACTCAGTAGTTTCTTTATTTTTTGAGACGGAGTCTCACTCTTGCCGCCCAGGCTAGAGTGCAGTGGCGCGATCTGGGCTCACTGCAACCTCTGCTTCCTGGGTTCAAGCAATTCTCCTGCCTGAGCTTCCTGAGTAGCTGGGATTACAGGCCCCAGCCACCATGACTGGCTAATTTTTGTAGTTTTGGTAGAGATGGGCCTTCACCATGTTGACAAGACTGGTCTCGAACTCCTGACCTGAAGTGATCTGCCTGCATGGGCCTCCCAAAGTGCTGGGATTACAGGCGTGAGCCTCCATGCCCGGCCAGTAGTTTCTAGATAAATATTTGTTAAATAAATTAATTAAAATTCAACATGTAATATCAATATAATCTAGCCTATCTGTGGAACCCCAAAAAAGAGTTCATGAAATATTACCTTTTCTGGTGCTATGATCTGAATATTTTTGCTCCCCCCAAATTAATATGTTGATTGATACCTAATCCCCAATGAAACAATATTAAGAAGTGGGGCATTTGGGACGTGATTAGGTCATGAAGGCTACACCCTCATAAATAGGATTAGTGCTTTTACAAAATAGTCCTGGGGAAAATTTGTTTGTCCTTCTGCCATGTGAAGACTCCATAAGAAGGGGTCATCACTGAAGCAGAGTGAGACTTCTCCAGATTCTGAATCATCTGACATCTTAATCTTAGATTCCCGGCCTTTAGAACTGTGAGCAATAAATTTCTGTTGTTTATAAATTACCCAGTCTATGGTGTTTTATTATAGCAACTTGAACAAAGGCAACTGGGATGCTCTCACCTTTATCATTTTTGAGTATTTCTGGGAATACCTGACACACAGAAAAATGTAATCTTGCCAAACTACTTCTACGTCTTACCTCAAGGTAATCAATGAAGATATTTAACAAAAGGTTGTATGTAATGACCATTAAGTCAGTGTATAATGGCATATGAAAGCTGAAAATTTCACAAGTTACTGAGCTCCAATTTTGAGAATCTTATTTTTAATGGGTGTAAGTGATGTGGAGCCTTCTAACAGAATTCCCTTACTGGCCCCAAAACCATATCTGTGAAAATTTCCTCTAAATCTTTGTTTTATCATCTTGATCTAATCACCAACTCTGTGCCCAGCTGTGAATAATATCTCATTTCTGCCACTCATACACATAACCTTAAAGAAAAAAAAATTGAAAAACTACAGATTATTTCTCTCTTTTTTGCTTTCTTTTCACCTCCATAAATATTCTACTTTTTCCTTTAATAGTTCTTGAATTATTTGAATTTGTTTTATTTTTATTTTTTTGCTCCCTTGAAGGATTTTATTACTTCATCTACCAAAATCTTGCCCCTCCCCTGCCACCATGGCAACCTATAAATCACCACAGCATCCTCCGCTCAGTGTGGGGCAACAGTCAAGCCAGAATAATCTCCAGGTGTTTTATATTGACTTCCATATGTGTTGCATCCATGTGCTTAATGTACATGCATGTGAATATCTACATGCAAATGAAAAACATCCTGATTTTCTGCTGGAGTGAATTTTGGACATTGACAGATGCAACCTTTTTCAAAATTGAAACTCTGACTAAAATCATATGAACTGGTAATGAGAGATCCCGGATTATAATTATGAATTTTTGATTATCAATATAATGCTCTTTCTACAAACCACTCTGAAATTAGACTCTATACTTTCATGTAGTATAATCATTGCCTACCCTGGATGGAAATAAAGATGATTTTCATTAACATTTTGCCTGAGGGATTTCAAGTGGAAGTAAGAGTCCCTTGAATCTTCCAATTTCTTGTATTCAAGCTTAGTAACAATTGAAAATTATTCTCTGGCATGACGCCATTTTCTCGGCAAGGGGAAGCTAAGTCCCACACTGGTGCAGTTTGCATTTTAGTGTATTTTGTAAATAAATTCTTAACAGATGGACAAACCAGCAGGAAGCCAGCACCAGGGAGTCAGCAGGTGGACAGGAAAGCCAGAAATGGACTGGCACTGATCAGATTAACAAAACTAAAATATCTTGGGATTCACACATGCTGCCCACAGAATAAGTTGGCACTGACCAGATAGGCAAACTCAAATCAACCCTGAGCATGGAAAATTTCCATTACTCTGATGCCTATAGGGTACCAAGGTCCCACCCAGATGGTGACGCCAAAGCTATAAATCCTTCAGAAAATCAGTCTGTCTTATTTTTCTTCCCTTGAAGTTGACATCCAGCAAAAAGGCGAGAGAAAAATTATAATTTTAAGGAATATCAAACTTCTCTTTATACAATTGCGTTAGCCACAATAGTAAATGGGAATGGAGGAAGACACTGCCACTGAACACTAAAAATTATTGGTATAATTTCCCAAAGGACTTGAAATATTTCACTGCCACTATAGGCACATTCCCTTCTACTCTTCGACCCATGGCATTGTTCCCAAAATGTACAGCTCTAATAGACTCATTTTAATGTCTGCTGCCCTCTCACACAAAGATGTTACTCTTGCATTAAAAGCTACCTTCCCACACTAAAATGTGACTCCCAGAGGATCTCTGCCCTCTGCCTTGCATCGTAGGTGTTATCCGGTGAGATAATGGCTGGCAGCAGAGGTCTAGTGCTGGCAGGACATCCAGGAACAGTGCACTGGGCACTTGTCCTGGTCAGGCTCAGGGGTTTCTACATGTGTCAAGCTTTCCCAAATCTCCATGAACTCATAATCTTCATTTGCAAATTCTGAAATGCTTAATCACATCACTTAAATTTTTATGAGTTTTATAATAGGTGTAGCAAATCCCTAGAGTCAAGGTAGACTCAGATTTAAATTCTGACTTTGCCATTACCTAGCTGCCTGATTATGAAAAAGTTGCCTTGGATCACTGAGTCTAACTTTCCTCACTTCTGAAACTAGGATTGTGAGGATTCACTGAGAACATATATATAAAGAACTCAGCCAAGCAGCTAGCACATAATAATAAACAAATAACCATATCTATTAATATTTTTCATTATTATTATTTTATTTGCTATTAGAAGTTGAAGACTGGGTGCAGTGGCTCACACCTATAATTCCAGCACTTTGGGAGGCTGAAGTGAAAGGATCCCTTGAGCCCAGTTCAAGATCAGCCTGGGCAATATAGTGAGATCTCATTTTTACAAAAAAAAAAAAAAAAATATATATATATATATATATATATAGCTGAGTGTAGTGGTGCATGCCTGTAGTCCCAGCTGCTGAGGCAAGTGGATCACTTGAGCTCAGGAGTTTGAGGCTGCAATGAGATATACTCACATCACTGCACTCCAGCTTGGGTGACAGAGTGAGACTCTGTCTCTAATAAATAAGTGAATAGAAATTGGAGTAAGATTGGTGTGAAGACACTGATTTTAAAATTATTCTTAGAGATCACTGATTCACCTGGCATAGGAGATTTAAAAACCAGTCATAATGTATAATGAGGCTTCAGAAGATCAGGAACATACAGGGATAAGGTTAAAGAAAAGTAGGTTTGGAGGCTTATTGTGCCTAAAAGCAAATTATGAAATCCACAAGTTTACATGTAATGTGTTGAGCCTATATTTAATCTAAACTGATTCTATATAATAATCAACTAGATTAAATTAATATCCCAAGTTTAGCCCAAACTGGATGAACTTGAAATAGATAGAAAGTTCTCCAAATAGCAAGGATAATCCTACTCAGAGAACCACAGACAGTGACTAGGATAATAGGGACACACCTAATTGGTCTCCAATTCCCAGAATAAAACCTAATCTACTATATTATAAGGCCTAAAATTTCATGAGTTGCCTTGCCATCTTCAAACCTCACAGGACCCCAAAGAACGAACTATGAGTTTCCTTGCTCTCACCAGATGTGGCCCTCACAGAAATGGGAAGGCTCCCCACCCAGCTGCTTCCCTTGTCAGCTAGAGCAGCTACACTCCACCCCGTTCTGTCAGAAGTGAATCTAACAGGATTCACCTCCTTATCATCACATTAAGGTAGTCAACAAAATTAATACCATACTCCCACAGGAACCGGGGATCACAGCATCCTCTTGTTACTATAGATCCTATCTCTCACAACCCATGCTTATTCACTCTGCTCTCATGCACAAGCCCTGTGCGGCCCTGCATTGTGTAGTGTCCTACTCCCGGCGTCTGTGACTATCCATGACTTAGAAACTTTTGTCAGCCTCATGTGTCCAGTACTGGGTGCTGTGTGTTCAGACATCCTCATAATCTTAGTTGGGGGAAATCTCCCTCAACACTGGAATGAAGAGGAGATAGAAAAAATACCTACCAGAGTCCAGCAGGTTGAATACAACATAGGTTTACTCTCCTGTTGGAGAATGAGCACATAATCAGATAACGAAGTCCAATTGACTTGTCATTCCCAGTGAGGGTTTGAAAGGAAAGGTGCCATATGCAGCAGGCTTGAGACAACAAAGACAGGAAGCAGGGAGGCTTTTCTGCAAATCTGAATCCTTTTTTTTTTTTTTTTTGAGACGGAGTTTCGCTCTTGTCGCCTGGGCTGGAGTGCAATGGCACGCTCTCGGCTCACTGCAACCTCCACCTCCCAGGTTCAAGCAATTCTCCTGCCTCAGCCTCCCGAGTAGCTGGGATTACAGGCACCCAGCTAATTTTTGTATTTTTAGTAGAGACGGGGTTTCACCATGTTGGCCAAGCTGGTCTCCAACTCCTGACCTCAGGTCATCCACCCACTGCGGCCTCCCAAAGTGCTGAGATTACAGGCATGAGCCAGCATGCCCAGCCTTCCTTCTGATGTTCTACTAGAATGGGACCAGAGACAGCAGCCCTCAAGGCCTGGCTTTGTACTTACCCCAACTGAAAATTAAGCTGTCAGAGCTCAGGGATACCCCAAAGCTAGTGGTATACCAAGATGCATTTTATCACTCAAAAAAGAGAGAAAAAAAATCATTTTATTTCCCATTCACTATTTCTATAAAATGATGAAAAGGAAAAATGAATTAAAGAGAGAAAATTTAGAATTTGATCATTGTCATTTGCCTTCCACAAAGATTCACCCTCTTGCTCTTAGGGAGGTGGTGACAGAATACTATTTATGGCGATCAATTGGATGACCTTCATTTACCCTTTAAAATCTCCCACATGACACAGAATAGAAAGCAGGAGTGGAGGCTGAGTATATGTGGCCCCTTAGCTATGCTATGGACAAGTTTATTCAACATGCTCTATCTCTAAATGGCATTTTAAACTATCAATAGCTCTAGATCTATGTTAACTTTAATGAACTAAACTGAAAAACTGACATTTTAGGACCCTGTACACATTATTTAAACAAAATATAGCTCTAACAGATTTAGCTGAGGTGATTTCTTTTCAAACCCATATTTACCTACATCTGTGAAAAATAAGGGTAGGATGAGACTCTCAAATCTTTTTGGAGAGATGTCCTCAAATGTTCCCTTAAAAGCTTTTCAACATCCCAGAAATATTACAAGGATTGGGTTCCACCTATTCCTGGATGAAATGGCTGCATTGTGGATAATGGTTTAAGTGCATAATTATTGATATGGATACCTCTATTACCATCATGAAAGTTAAGCAAAAAGCAGATTAAGATTTAGAAACAGCAGTAGTAAGTCATGCAGGAAAGAGCTATTTTTCGCAAAGGATATTTTCCAACCTGTTTTTTGTAACAATACACCAATCAGAAGATTTTGTTTGGGTTAATATTTTGCAACCTGTTTTTTGTAACAATACACCAATCAGAAGATTTTGTTTGGGTTAATATTAATGTGACCAATCTAATGGTTTCTTTCTTTCTTTCTGCTTCATTAAAGGCTATATGTAGAGTGTCTTAAATAAGTTCCCCCAAAGTGGACCCCGAGATGAGGATTAGGGGAAAAGCAGTTTCTCTGTGACCTGAGCCCAGGAAACATGAACATGGGAGTGGGGGATAAGACAGGGAAGAGGAGAAAGCCAATACAGGGTGCAGGATCAAGGGAGTTACTACTGTGGGCAGCCAGAGCTCGGAGACAGTGGATCCTTTGCTTTAAAAATGTCAAAGAATAGGGTAGGGATTTCTTTCCAAGATGATTTTAGTGCAGCCCACCCCACTTTGGTAGGGGAGAGTGAACCAGATGCCCTCTCAAGGTCTCTTCCAATCTTATGATTATATGATTGCTCATTATCAAAAATTGGCCCGTAATTGGTTTGACTCAGAGAGGTCAGGATGTGAAGGGGACTGCATAACCTTTTGATTTTACAGTAAAAACAATGTAGTTATCCCAGTCAAGTTTCTGAAGGACATTTAAAAAATTTTCGTAAATGTGCCATGATAATCTTCATGACTGCTAATTAAGCCAGATCACCTAGGAGTAGGCTACAATTTTGACAGGTAGATACGGGAGTTTTATTATAATGGAAATGAGAAGGACCCATGACAGTCCCTAAATACTATACATGCATGTATGACCCTGCTTTGGTTGTCTGTCTGTTTTTAAACTACTACTTTGTTGATATATAATCAGATACTGGTTTTAGTAATGATTTAAGAGAGAAAAAATCTCATGCTTCATTTTGCTTGCTTTTAATTGGGGAAAAAATCATCCTTTTACAAACAAATGGGGATCTCACTTTAATTATGTGACTCTTTGTACATAATTTTACGTAAAATTAGTCACCCTGAATGCATACTTTAAAAGGACTAGCTATAGCTAATTGACCAACAGTGAATTTTCAAAGCGATCAGTCCAATTACTGTCTGCCAAGATGCAGAGATCAAACGCGGTTTTCTCTTTTTCATAGTCCTAAGGTTTGTAGGAGCAGAACATTTATACTCAGAATAACTTTTTTAATGCAGTAAACTTAATGAAATAAAGTTCTCATCTTAACTAGGAGAAGCAAAAGAACATAAAAGAAGTTATCTGAATAAATAAAAGTATATTAATTTTCGTTTTGCAGGACCCCTTGAATCAAACCGGTAACAGTATAAAATGTTAGCATTGAAAAGAACCTTAGTGACTGCACTAGTCCAGTCTCTTAATTTTGTAGATGAGACAATCAAGGCTGAAGAGGTTTCAAGAGAGGTTTCTTTCCATGATCAATTTTTTTTTGGAGCTAAGTACTTGGAGTTATTTATTTATTTATTATTGTGTATATTTAAGGTGTACAGCGTGATGTTTTGATATACATAGTGAAATATTTACTATGTTCAATCAAGTTAACATATCCATTGTTTCACACAGTACTTGCTTTTTTGTGTGTGTGGTAAGAGCACCTGAAATCAACTCTAAGCAAATGTCCGGTATACAATACAATATTAAAACTATAGCTTCCATGGTGTACCTTATATCTCTAAACATTCATCCTAGACATTTGAAAATTTTTACCCTTTGACCTATATTTCCCCGCCCTACACCCCAGCTCCTGGTAACCGACCTTTTCTTCTCTGTTTTTATGTGCACTTTTAACGGGGATATATTCTGAGAAATGAATCGTTAGACAATTTCATCATTGTGTTGACATTGTAGAGGGTACTTACACAAACTTAAAGCCTACTACACACCTAAACTATATGGTATAGACTATTGCTCCTAGGTTACAAACCTGTATAGCATGTGACTGTGCTGAATACTGTAGGCCATTGTAACATAATGGTAAGTATTTGTGTATCTAAACATATCTACACATATGAAAGGTATAGTAAAAATGTGGAATAAAAAATTAAAAATGGTACACACCTATATAGGACACTTACCATGATGGAGCTTGTAGAGCTTGAAATTTCTCTGGGTGAGTCAGTGAGTGAGTGGTGAGTGAGCATGAATGCCTAGGACATCACTGCACAATACTGTAGCCTTTACAAACACTATCCACTTAGGCTACACTAAATTTCTAAAAACAAAAAAAGTAATTGCACTCTGCCATTGTGATGGCTACGACATTACTTGGGGGATAGAAATTTTTCAGCTTCCTTATAATCTTATGGGACCACCTCATATATCTGATCTGTCACTGACGAAAACATCATTATGCAGTGCATGACTGTATTTGACTTTTTAGAATTTGAACTCAAGTGTCCCGTGTGTTAATATTCTTTTCACAATAGTAACTAGGGAAATAAAATTATATGTTGAATTATTTCAGAAACATGACTTAAACCTATCTCACCTTGAAAAATAAGAACATGTTGTAAGATATTGTGAAAAATAACATTTTCATATTATATCCAACCTCTACCCTTCACTGATAAACATCATGCTATGAATCTTCTGTAGATACACTTCAAGAAAGAAAGTGTCAGATTAGGATACTCATTGTCAAATCGAATGGCTTTCTTTTGAGTTTGACACTAAAACAACATTTTTCTGGTAATGTGGTTCAACATTACCTTAGAAATAGGTTAAAATAGGCTGGCCACAGTGGCTCATGCCTGTAATCCCAGCACTTTGGGAGGCAGAGGCTGGTGGATTACGAGGTCAGGAGTTCAAGACCAGGCTGGCCAACATAGTGAAACCCCATCTCTGCTAAAAAAATAAATAAATAAATAAATACAAAAATTAGCCAGATGTGGTGGCACATGCCTGTAATCCCAGCCACTCGGGAGGCTGAGGCAGGAGAATCACTTGAACCCAGGAGGTGGAGTTTGCAGTGAGCCAAAACCGCACCATTACCCTCCAGCCTGGGCAACAGAGAGAGACTCCGTTTCAAAAAAAAAGGAAATAGGTTAAAATATTAATCATTTCCACCAAAGTAAGTAAAACATTTGCAGTACCAAAAAGGTTAATAGGTATTGCTACTACCAGGTATTTTCCCTGGCATCCTATCTGCATGAAGATATATTTGCTTCAAAAAAAAAAAAAAAAGATGATTGATAAATGAAAAGAAAAGGTTATCTAGTTTTTCACAGAAATCTGGAAAATAAGCCACTAAAAAGCACTATTTGCCTTGGGGCATAAATGATTTTCCACCTCTACAAAAGGGTAAAGAACTGAAAGCTATGATTTTGTTTTTATTTTCCTTGTTGTAATTGTTTAAGTACTCCAACTTCAGTTTTATTAGGCTGTGAGTTGCTTGAGAGTGTCGCCTATGTTTTTATTAATCTTTATATCATTATTGTTCAGCATAATGCCTACAACCTAAAAGACAATAAATGTTGGAAAGGTAAATGAGTAAGAATCTGAGGTAGCTAGCAGTAACAATAAAATCTATAACCATGGAAATAAGAGTAAAAAATATTGATCCAGATGCTAAAGAAGAGGAAAGAAAAATTACATCAGAAGCAAAGGCTAAGAGAAGGTATTACAAATGAGCAGAAAACAGCTCAGAACTTCTCAAGAGCCAAAGTAAAAAGAATTGCTTAAAAGGTTAATATTTCAACATTTCAACATTCAACAGTGTTAAATGTTTCAACATTTAAATTGGTGGAAAAATATATATTAAAATCATATTTTAAGTTTACAAGAAACTTTGAAAAATAAAATTCAATAAATATCCATTAAGCATCTAATATTTTGAAGCCACTTCATTAGGCAATGTGGGGCTGTACAGAGATAAAGAAAATAGAGTCATCAGCCTTACAAAGGCTATCTAATGTATGACACATAACAAACACATACATGAAAATAATGCAGGGCAAGATGGAATATATCCTTAAGAAGTATGATGTGATTCAGAGACGAAGGAAATCACACATGATTGCAAAGATCATGAAAGTATTCTTAAAATAAATTTTGTTTGAGATAGGCCTTGACATTTAAGTAGGTTTATGAAATTTGGACACATGGGAGTTCAGGTAAGGCTTTCAGACATGAGGGGAGGATGTACAAAAACTCCCAGTTAAGAGAGCATGTTTCACCCTCTTAGAGAAGTGAACAGTCCTTGTAATATAAGTTTAACTCTAACAAAGGCTTTATGTCAGGAAGTAATAAGAGATAAAGCTGAATTAGTACTTGTAATACTAGTAGAAATCCACTACCTCCTGAAGAGAAGTAATTTTGCAAGAAACAAATTCAGCATCCTTATCTTGATTCAAAGCCCATCTTTAATTTCCACTCAGGTTTGAATTCTTTGACATATCTAATTTTAATAATTAAAGGACTCTTTGGACTACACAGCATCTAGTGTTCTTTTATAATTCATGAACTTGAAAAAGTTTTAATATTGTATGTATATGAGTGAGCTTAATAAAATGGGCTAACAAGCCATCTGCTTCGTGACACACACTTCCATAAATGTCATGAAACTTTATGTTATCACAAAATATGACAACAAGGAAGAACCTTTCTGTGGAAGAGAAGTTCTCTAACAGGCCTTTGCAGGATACTTTGGTCTTTGCTTGATCTGGCACATTGCAGCTATAAGAATAAATGCCCCTAATAGAAGCAGAAGAAAAATTGGCCGTAAACTTTCATAGGAGAAAGCCTGATGCTTTGACCACAGTTTCTATATTCCTTTTCTAACAAAAAATGCCAATGCTATCCAAGTACCTATGCTATTTAGAAGATCCCACAGGTCTTAAATTCTCTTGTTTAGAAGACTAAGATACTAAGCCAGAGAAGAGGATTCATCTATTATTTTAGTAATGCATAAATAGTAGATGTTTACTACTCCCTTTTCAGGGCAAATGTAACTTTCTAATGCTTTTCCATAAATCCTGCTGCTATGGTTAAGCTACCTTTTGAAAGAGTTAATCCTGTTCCCAGGGATAGATATTTTATTTCCTACTTATAGGAAGTAGCACCAAATGAACTCTCCTTACATATATTTATAATATGTAATATACATAATAAATATATTTCTTGATGTATGCATCAAAACCACATAATGAGGCTGCACTCTGCTTTAGTTCCTGGTATCAGACACATTCATAGGAATAATCATATTCCTAGTTGCCAAGGGATTGCCACAGCCAGTTTCTTATTATATGTGGCTTACATGGACTCATCAACAAATTTGCAAACTCCACAAGTCTATGAATTCATTTTCCTGTGTTTCAACGTCTTCCCTGCTTACACATATACACAAAAGAGAAGTCACCAGTAAACAACAAATATGCCATAGAAAAGCAATTCTGCAATGGTTCGGGTTTTACGTTCTAATAATGCTGAAATCCCAGCTTCTAGGATTCAATGTACTATATCAGCAATAATGAGTAAAACTACAGAAATTCATTAAAGAATTTATTAATCAGTGCATTAATTGAGGCTATCTGCTTCCCATTATACAGAGACAAATTAAGCAGGTTAAATGGTTCCCAGAAAACATCTGTGGCAGCATGTCAAAACTAATGATAAATAAAATAGAGCTCCCTTTGTGGTTGATTTTTTCACCCAGCTGCATCCTAAAAGTGCTATCAGAAAAAGCTATTCATTGTTTGTCAAATCAGAATAAAATCCCCAAACCACTAATAGGATTTTTCTTATAACTTTTGAAATAAAGGTGATCAGTTCATAAAATAGCCACCACTTGTGCCACATATTGTGGGTTGAAAAAAACAAATGGTCCTTTGGAAGACATCCACCAAATCTATGTGAAATATATAGATAGTTAATAACCTCCTGAATAATGTGTTTTACAGAATACATCAAAATTATCTTTCTAAGAAAGAAGTGATTGGGTTATTAGAAATATTCCTTTCATCAAGGTTCTACTCTTTGGTTAAGCAGGCTGGTTATTTGGGTCAACATAGTGAAACATAGAGGAACAGTATAAGAGCAAAGTAAGAGGGAATTCAAATTTCTGAATTATTTTGTGTTTGTGTGTATGTGTGTGTGTCAATATACATATATACACACATACATATGAAAATAACACCATGAAATTAGTCACTTCTAATTATATAGATACTATATGACAAATTATCAGGCAATTTCTCCTGCTTACAACCCATTGATAGCTTTCTTTTTTTCTCAAGATACAGTTTAAAATTCTTAATAGAAGACACAAAGCCCTGGGTGAATTAGCCATGGCTTTTCCTATCCGCTTATCTTCCTGTATTCTCTCCTTTACTTTGGTACTTTTTATATACTTGGTCTTCTGTTCCTTAACTGTGCCTTAGTCCTTCTTTGTACATGCTATTCCTTTCTACTAGAGGGCTCTCCATCCCATTGCCACTCTCATTCTCCACATCTGCATAATTCCAGTCCCTCTTTAGATATCAATTTGTATGTCATTTTTCTTTATAAACTTTATAATATAAATCAGATTTCCCTTTAATACACTCTTATTATACCCTGCTTCTTTTTAAAATTTTTTACAAAATTTTGAATAGATTTAATGATTAGATGTTTAGTAGTATAATTGGTAGCATTAATAGTTCACTGTGAAAAATGGTAGAGGAAGAACATTTTCGACTTTCCGATTAAGCAACTGGATGAAGGAAGGTGCCATTCATGGGGAAAAGGAAGAGTATGACAGAAACAAAATTAAGACTACGAGAGGTAATGAGTTCAATTTTAGGCATGTTTAGGCTTTAGTGTCTCAAGGACCTCCATATGAGATGTACACCTCACAGTGGCATACAAAGTGGGAAGCAAAAAATGTAAAATATAGATTGGTACAGATTTCAGAGTGCTCATTCTATAGATGATAAATAAATTGATTGAGATCTCCAAAGAAGATTGCGTAGAGGAAGAAGAGAGGAGAGTATAACACTGAAACTAGAATTTAAGGTCTAGGTATAGGAAAATAAATGGAACTGAGAAGCAGCAGCCACAACAGTAAGAGAAAACCCAAGAGAGCTGGTATCTAAAAAAGAGCAAAAGAAATACCCTCCACGAAACAGGAAGGTCAATGGTGCCAAATATGGCTAAAAGATCTGGGAAGACATTGACTGAAACTGATATTTATCAACAAGGATAACCTTGGCAAAAAGAGTAAGAATCAAGCGCTGAGAGAGGAATGAGTGACAATGAAGCAGAAAAAGTACAGTACCTATATCAAGAACTCTGTGAATGGAGAAAGACACTACTGCATCTAGAAGGGATATGAGATGGAGAAGTGGGGTGTGTGTGTGTGTATGTGTGTGTGTGTATGTGTGTTTTCTCATGTAGCAATAAGAGAATGCTCAACTGCTTGTGGAAAGGAATCAGCAGAGAAGCAGAGGTGTACTATGTGAGAGAGGAAAGAACATCAGTAAATTTCTGATGCTCTTTAGGGTAAAAAATTTCTGATGCTCTTCAGGGTAAAAAATTTAGGGTAAAAAAGGGTAAACAATTTCAGTAAATTGTGTCTTCTGAGCGGTGTAAAATTGGAAAGAAAGATTAGAAAAACATGGTTATAAAAACATGGGAAGATTGAGAAGCAGTTTCAAATGCACAGTGAACCAAACTGCACCATTCTGTGAATTCTTCAGCTGTGTTAAGCACCTCAGATGTAAAGGCAAGGGTATCAAATTAATCAACATGTGTTCCCTGTGCAAGCTCAACAGCAAAAATAGGTGATGGAGTTGAAAATATTGCTAAGAGAGTCATGAAAGTAATGGTAACTTGAAGTCTAGTATGAATAAGAAATGAAATAAGGATAGGGATTGGGTGAGGAGGCTGATAGAGAAAAAGTAGGTAGACCAAAGGATTGAATAACTAAATGAGGGGGATGATCAGCAGTAACTTATTAGACTACTTTAAAGTTAGGAAATTAGGGAAGCGAATGGAATGTTTGAGTTCAGGATTTTAAAAGAGTAACATCTGCAGATGAGAAGAAGGTTCAGAGTGTGATCATATGAATGAGTAGATGAAATGGTGTGGAAGTAATGATGCCTAAAAATGAGGAAGTCAGCGGCCAAGAGCCCAGAGTTCAAAAGCTTGCTTTTCACAACATTTGTCGAAGACACTCAGGATGATCATAAGATATTTCAGTGGAAAGTAAACATTTTAACTGGGTATCAAAAGCTTCCATGAGTAAAGTGGAATGATCAGGTAGTCAGCATTGACAGGAAACAGAAAGGTAGATTTGTTATTGGGAAGTGTGCGGGTTCTCAGTTCTTGTCTTTCTTGGGAGAAAGAATTTGGCCAAGAGATAACTTAATAAAGAGAGCAGAGAGTTTTACTAAGGAAATAGTGTACACTCTAAGAGAGGAGCAGGATGGTCTGGCTGGAAAACAGCAGCAGTAGCTGCAAGGATTAAGTAGTAGCAGAGTTTATTTAAAGAGACAGTATGCTCTGAAAGATCAGACAGAGTGGGCTCCTCAAAAGAGAATAAGCCAGCAGCCCTGAGAGTTCTGCATTGCGGTTTTTATGTCAGACTCATTTTTTAAGTTCCTGCCTCTCTCTTAAGTCTCTGTCTTATCCCTCAGCTAGTTACTGCCCTAAGTTTGTGGGATTCTTCCTTACACTCAGTTGATGATCACCTGTGGGCCAGGTGGTCAGTCAATACAAATTCTGCCTGATGGCAGCGTTGCTCATTACTGCCAGCCTAGGAAGGTCGTATAGTGGTCAAATCTGTACTTACTGTGTCTGCACATCTCTTAGGAATTTCCCCTTTGTCCCTTTTCTCTTCTTATCATCAGGTAGCTGGCTATAGTCTGACAGGTTAACTGCAAAGTCAGCAGTTACTGGGCATCTTAAGAGGTGTTTGCAGGCATTCCTTTCTGCATAGGTTTTTCCCCTCCCCTCTGCTCTTAGCATGTATGTTTCGTGCAAGTTTCAGGTAGTCTCTGAGACAGGAAATGTTCCAGAACTTCCTTTCTCAAGGGCTTCCCCTCCTGCTCATGTCTAGCTATCTGCACACTCTAACAGATTGTAGAAGGATTAAATGCCCAAATGTGGAAGCAATGGTCTGTATTTACTCTTAACAAAGGACAAAACAGATATTCAAACTTAACCTTGAAGCCAAAAGACTAGGAAGCTTGAATGTTTCTCCCATCCATCTTTTTCTATGCAAAGTCAAATACCACTTACTAAATTTGTGAAAGAAGTAAGCTGCCAAGGAGTGTTGAGATCAGTGGGTGTAAACTGCAATCTAAATATGGCCTAAAGACGCATTTTGTTGTATTAGACTTTTTTTGTTACGGTTTTATTAGACCACTTTTTACAAAAATAGAATTTGATAATCTTTAGTCAGGGAAAGCATGTTTTGTTTTATCAATAGCACTGACCACTTTCTATTTTCTTACAACTGACTTAATTTCCATATGCACATTACATGGTTCCCCCATAGGTATTTGAATAGTCAACATCTGCTCCAGATTTTTTTTTTCCAGAAAGAAAACATGGAAATTTTGGTGTTTGTGCTCATTCTCAGTACTCTAGGAAGTTCCAAATGTAGTTTTTGCCGGACAAGAAAGCTTGAGCATAGTGGTAGGATTGGTAGGGACTTCTGTGTCAGTGAAAAATAAACTAAGGTCAAGTAGTACTCTAGGTTTAGGGCAAATTAAATATTAGCTAGTATGCAATCTATAAACTGAGAGGTCACAGAAGCAGCAGGCTAAATAATCATACAGTTAAATACAGGACTTCTAGCTTAAAAGGCAGAGATATGGTTTTCCTGTGTAAAATAACTTGTAACTATTAGTCCCAGGACACATGATATACCAAGAAATAAGGGGAAAAGCACCATGATGGAAAGATATTCCTAGAAAGAACAGGGAGGAGCACTCAGTTGCCATTGCTAGATAATTTCCAGATCAGATGTGAATATTGATCAATGTTTAGTAATTTAAGCATGGAAGACGGAAGAGTGGCAATGGAGATAAGGTTAGCACCTGAAGAAATGTCAGGGCATATCATGTCATCCACCAATCTACACTGCCCATGATTTATAAGTACCAATGAGTTAAAATATTGTCCAAAAATAGAGGTAAAAGGAAAGGTTAAAAAGCACAAGAGTGGCAGGCAGTGCAGACAATTCTGGTAAATGAGTACGAGAAAAAGTTATTCTCTAGCATTCACTTATTTATTCATTGAATAACTATTAGCTGAGCACTATTCTAAACTCAGTAGTATGCTAAGCACTGAGGCCTCATAAGGAAAATAGAAGCTCTTGCTCTCACGGAGCTTATGGTCTAGTCAGACACTTTACAGAATGTTTCCAGCAATCTTCTTTCATCATCCAAGAATTAGAAAATAGCTGTAGTTAAATAAAGAAAATATAATATAGAGGGTGGACACTCACACACACACAGAAACATGCAGAGTGGAAATGTTAATATACTGTGTGGTCCGTGCTCTTTCAAACACCTAACCTGGCAAGCAAAAATAACAGTGTACATTAAGTCAAAATAAATAAATAAACTGATCTAACTTTAAAGGAGATGCAGGAGCTAGAAAACAGAACTGAACTTCGGTAATGTAAAACATTTTATAACTATTACTCCATTAGAACAGTAATGATAATCATGAACAAGTATCATTATAGATAGGCAAGCTTAATGTTAAAAGGGGGAATTAGAATGGACTTTCAGAGTTAAAATGGGCTGAGATTGCGCATCTGAGATTAGGTGATACATTTAATTGAGAAAGCTGTAGTAAAACTCATGGTGAAAGCTGCAATAGAGACCAGAGGAATAATTCCTTTGAGCTCCCTACAGAGGCCCCTACAGATCCCCTAGCATGTTCTTAGATAGAAAAAAATGACCATGGGTCAGGCCTGATGGTAATCAGCATTTTGAGAAAACGAAAAGGTCCCTCCAACATCAGAGAGTGCCATTTCCACTCACCTCTTTTCTCTGATCCTGCTGCAATATTTTCCCACCTAGATGGATCATACATGGCAAAAGGCCCAGTCTATTCATGTGCTTGATGGCCTACTAAATTGCTCACTAATATTTTTGACGCTGGCTCTATGAGGCTGTCATGGCTGTCATTTCTGTTACAGATTCACTACTTGCACAGCAACCCCTTTGACAGTCAGTAGCATAAAAGGGCATTGAAATCAAGACTCACAAACCCCTTTTGCCAAGGATAAAGGAACTTCCTGGGGGTACTTCAAGCACTCTGTTACATAGCCGAATGAGATGAAAGGAAGCAAATCCTGTTGATGGTCGTTCAGAAGCAGCCAGATTGCTCTGCTATGTGCCTTGCCTGTAGATTGCCAGTTTACCACTATTGTTTAATTTTCAGGAAGTATGAACAGCACGCAGTGTAGTGTACAAGTCCCTGTGGGCAGTCAAAGCCTTTGTAAAGAGCTGATATGCAAAAGAGATACGTAATTGTGATGGTGGAGCCCTTCCTGGGAGGTAGGTTCATATTTGCCTAACCATTTGTTCTGTTTGTTTGCTAGCTTTATTTTATGCATAAAGACATCTTGGGAAAGCGAGTATTCCCATTTGAAGGCCACCAATACCCCAAGAATCTGAATTGATCATCCTTAAGGGAGTGGGCATATTGTAAAGACAGGACTTACAAATAAAGCTTGATGAAAAGAGTGTTTCTTTCTATCAACTGCTTAAATATTTATTAGGTATAATAAACAGACTGATACCATTTTTGGTATTTGATTACTGACAGATTTCATGCCCCATAACTCTCCCTTCCCCTTATGTCCCACATTTGGGAAAGCTAATAAGAAGTCTGGTGTTCCTTCCTTTGGGACTAGTGGGAAGTTAAAATTACACAATGCTCAGCTGATAAGAGTGACCGTCATCCCAGGCCCACCTTCTAACTTCCATAAAACTCTAAGCTGGTTGCTACCCCCTGCTCATCAAGCCCATTTTGGACTGCTTAATGGGCCTTTCCAACTCTTCCCAGAAAGTTTCATTATTTAAGTAGAAAATATGTTTGTACCATGTTGCATATATGTCATCAGTCTCAACACTTAACCATATTTTGGGTAGAGGGTTCATCTCAACTTTACACAGTGACCACTACTTTAAAATTTATCAAGAGAGTCATATTACTTCTAATATGGTGGATGAAAACCAGAAATTATAGCTGGCTTCTCAGTTTCCCATTTAAAAAAATCTAAGCCCTGTATGTTGTCTTAGACACCGCTAGTCTAAAGAGAAGTGGGGGTTGGAATAGGGCCCAGATTTCTCCATTGGTTTACTGAAAGATTGAACGCTTGTTGCCATTATAAGTAGAGTTTCCTCTGGGAGACTATTTCCTCAGTTTCTCCTTTGAGTTCCCACAGAGTGAGCAAACGTGTTGTCAATAACAAAGAATGACAAAGGATGGCAATGAAGCAAACACATTCTTTTGCCCTGAGAAAGAATATCGTAACCATCTTAACAAGTGGAATAGGAATAGAGGCGAAAGTTTAGTGAAACCATCCTCAGATTGGCTAGCAGATTGCCATTTGGCCTTTGCATATTTGAGTAAAACACAGCTCATCTAGCTAGAATTCATACAGTATGGTATTTCAGATCGCCACAAGACTGGCCACAGTAGCTAGTAATGAAAGTAAAAATAGATTTGGAATAAGAAGATAGGTTTCAGTTTCAGCTCTGCCAGTGATCACCTATCACACCCCTATAATAAACCCATTTTGACAAAGTTGCCAAGAACATACACTGGAGAAAAAATCATTTCTCAACAAATGGTGCTAGGAGAACAGTATATCCATATACAGAAGAATGAAACAAGATCTCTATCCTTCACAAGTACAAAAATAAAATTAAAATAAATTAAAAACTTAAATCTAAGATGTCAAACTATAAAACTACTAAAAGTAAACTTTGAGGGAAATCTCTAGGACATTGATCTGGTCAAAAATTTCTTGAGCAGTACCCCATAAGCACAGGAAACCAAAGCAAAAATGGACAAGTGGGATCATATCAAGTTAAAAAGCTTCTGCACAGCAAAGGACATGATCAACAAACTGAAGAGACAACCCACAAAATTTGTGAAAATATTTGCAAATTCCCCATCTGTCAAGGAATTAATAATTAGAATATATAAGGTGCTCAAACAACTCTATAGGCAAAAATTCTAAGAATCCTATACAAAAAAATGTGCAAAAGATTTGAATAGACATTTCTCAAAAGACATACTAAACGCAAACTGGCATATGAAAAGGTGCTCAACATCATTGATCATCAGAGAAATGCAAATCGAAACTACAATGAGATATCTCACCTCCAGTTAAAATGGCTTATATCCAAAAGGCAGGTAATAACAAATGCTGGCAAGGATGTGTGGAAAAGGGAACCCTTGTACTCTATTTGTAGGAATGTAAATTAGTACAACCACTATGGAGAACAGTTTAGAGGTTCCTCAAAAAACTAAAAATTGAGCTATCATGTGGTCCAGCAATCCCATTGCTGGATTATATATCCAAAAGAAAAGAAATCAGTATATTAAGGAGATATCTGCACTCTGTTTGTTGCAGCAGTGTTCACAGTAGCTAAGATTTGAAAGCAACCTAACTATCCATCAACAGATGAATGGATAAAGAAAATGTGGTACATATATACAATGAATTACTATTTACCCATAAAAAAGAATGAGATCCAGTCATTTGCAACAACATGGATGGATTTGGAGATCATTATGTTAAGTGAAGTAAGCAGCCAAAGAAAGGCAAACATTAAATGTTCTCACTTATTTGTAGGATCTAAAAATCAAATCAGTTGAACTCACAGATTTAGAGAGTAGAAGGATGGTTACCAAAGGCTGAGAAGGGTAGTAGGGAGCAGGAGAGGAAGGAGGGGATGATTAATGGGTACAAAAAATAGACAGAATGAATAAGACCTAATATTTGATGGCAAAACAGGGTGACTATAGTCAATAATAACTGAACTGTACATTTTAAAATATCTAAGAGTGTAACCGGATTGTTTATAATACAAAGGATAAATGCTTGAGGGATGGATATCCCATTCTTCTTTATGTGATTATCATGCACTGCGTTCCTGAATCAAAACATTTCATGTACCTCATAAATATATATCCCTACTATGTACCAACAAAAATTAAAAATAAAATAAAAAATATTAAAAGATGTATATGACCTTGGAAAAAGAACAAAGTTTTTTTTTCGTTTGTTTCCTTTCTAATCTTCAATATGTTTGCTTGAGAAGGTAGAAAGTACAACTCACTCTTGAAGGATTAACAGAGACAACCCCCTGCACAGTAGAAAATACATGTGTAACTTTTGACTCCCCCAGATCTTAACTACTTATAGCCTACTGTTGACTGGAATCCTTGCCGATAACATAAGCAGACAATCAGCACATTTTATGTGTTATATGTATTATACACTGTATTCTTATAGGAAAGTAAGCCAGAGAAGACAAAATATTATTAAGAAAATCATAGAGAAGAGAAAGTATATGTACTATTTATTAAGTGTAGAAATGGCTAATCATAAAGGTCTTCATCATCATCATGCTACATAGACTGAAGAGGAGAAAGAGGAAGGGTTGGTCTTGCTGTCTCAGGGGTGACAGAGGCCAAAGAAAATCCATGTGTAATTGGACCTGAAGTTCAAACCCGTGTCATTCAAGGGTCAACTGTATAATCACACTGATTTTGGAAACTTTTGATTTTAAAAAGTGTCAAATAAATGTTTTGATGCTTACAGGGATTAAAAATAAAACATCTCTATTGCTAATGTCAGCAAGAGGAAAACATATTTATTCAGGTGGGTGCAATAATATAAAATGCCTGACTGCCATGATTGTTTTCTGTAGTGTTAGTACTTACTATATTCAATTTATAGAGAGACTCTATCTCTAGTAGTTCCATAGTGAGTAATCAAATAATTTTATATTACCTATACATATATTTGTGACAACTATCTTACACATATTTCTGCTATCTTATGATAATATATAATGAAGAAACAAAGAATATTAATGCTACTGTGAAATGATAATTTCAAATAGTCATTATAATTTTGTTCCTGTCTTCCCTCACTCAGTGCTCTATTCTATATAATTTCAACATCTCCATAATTCCTTTTTAATTCCTCTAGAGCAGGTAATCTTGTCTTCTCCTCCCCTTTCCCTCCCTCTTCTCTCTTCCTCCCTCCACACAAACTTCCAGGTAAAGGAATATTTATTCTACCTGTGTAAAGAAGGGTCAGGACTCAAATCTTGCTACAAATGCTCTTGGAGACATCTTTATCAAGATGAATATGAGGTAGCCAGCCTGGTTGATGGGAAGAGAAATATTATGACTATGATTCTTAAGAATCCCTGGAGACCTACTCACACATGTGCTGTGCTCATTTTACTAACTGAATACAGGAAATTGCATTCAATCTTCAGACAACAAGATTACCCTGGAGTTGGCCACTTGAAATTGCAACTTCAGTTTGCCCAGCAAGTGGGCATGAGGCAGAACAGGGTGAACAGGAGTAAAATTATATAGCTGCCCTTTATCTGAAGCTAAAATAATATTTTTTTCTTTCTTTCCTTCTTTCTTTTTTTCTTTCTTTCTCTCTCTCTCTCTCTCTCTCTTTCTTTCTTTCTCTCTCTCTCTCTCTTTCTTTCTTTCTTTCTTTCTTTCTTTCTTTCTTTCTTCCTTTCCTTCTTTCTTTCTTTCTTTCTTTCTTCCTTTCCTTCTTTCTTTCTTTCTTTCTTTCTCTCTCTCTCTCTCTCTTTCTTTCTTTCTCTTTCTTCTTTCTTTAGTATTTTTTGTTTTTTTTGAGACAGAGTCTCACTCTGTCACCCAGGCTGGAGTACAGTGGCACAATCTTGGCTCACTGCAATCTCTGCATCCTGGGTTCAAGCAATTCTCCTGCCTTGGCCTCCTGAGTAGCTGGGATTACAGGCACGCACCACTACACCTGGCTAATTTTTGTATTTTTAGTAGAGACAGGGTTTTAACCATGTTGGCCAGGCTTGTCTTGAACTCCTGACCTCAAATGATCCACCCGCCTCGGCCTCCCAAAGTGCTGGGATTACAGGGGTGAGCCACCATACCCGGCCATATTTTTTTTTTTTTCTTATTGAGACCCAGGACCATTTCCATAGTGACATAGAGACCATTTTCAATGATGTGATAGACATGCCATCTGCATGGTTGTTACTAGAGTATTTCAGTCTACAATCTTTATCTGCCCATCCTGGCACTCAGGTTCCTCTCCAGTGTAAAACAGCACTCTGATTTTGCTCTGAAGAATGCTCTCTGTATGTCTTTGCCCATGTGTTGTAGCAATGTTAAGTCCCTCGTGCTCTGGACGTGTAGATGAGTCCTGTCAAGGCTTCCCACTGACAGTGTCTCATTCTCTAGGACAGTGATAGTACTTTCTGGGATTTTTCTTAGAGTTATGTGGAAAGAGGAGTTATCTTTTTCCTGTGAAGTCTACAGCTTCTGGAGGCCATCTTGCCCCTATGAAGTTAGAATCCTCCTGAATCAGATAAACAAGTTAACACAAAGACAACTCGAGCTGAGACTTGTGGAAAGATGAATTCCTGACTATATGAGTGTGCATCAGCCTTTTCTGAAGATGGACCTGGACTATTAGTTTTATGGAACAACTCATTTTCTTTGATTTTAAAGCCTATTTGAGTTAGAATGTGGTCATGTGAAACCAAAAAAATTCTCTTTATTGTCTTTGTTTTCCTCTCTGTTTCTCCCAGTTGACTGCAAATAATTCCAAGTCAGGGATTGTGTCTTAATATGATTTTTATGTTTAATATCCAGGAAAGTATTCAAGAAAAATTCTTAAATGAATATTTGAAGAGCAAATGTAGATAAGCACACAGAAATTTGATATTATTGAAAGATTCATGCAGCAGCAACAATATATTAAACACTATCTTAACTTTTCAAAATTTGAAATGAAAGTTTTCAGAGATATAAATATATTGCTATGGAATACAAAAAATGCCATTAGTGATTTTTTCCTATGAAGCTACCTAAATTTCTCTTTTATTTTTCTTTCTTTTCCTCTTGAATTTGGAAAATATACAAGAGTGTTTTAATTATTATTACATTTCTTATATAAAAAATAATGCTAGATCAATTATTGAGAAATGGTACAGTTTAACAAAAGTTAACTTTTGGTAGGAGATTAGCCATTCACTTAGCAAATATGATCCACACAAAATAAAGCATATAGAAAATTCAAAACTAAAGAAACACATTGTTCAACTCCATTTACTAAAATTTTATTACTAGAATTTATTTGTTTGCAGGTCTCTTTGATCTCTTCAAACCAACCACATTTTAGTGATAGAATCATGCGATTTTGTGATGAAATCATGCCAGTTTGGAACCTCTTCCTTATAGCAAAACAATGAGAATGACCTCAATTTCGGCAGATGTCAGCAGTATTTCAACAAAACAGCTAAAAACATATTGATAAAATGTGAAAATAAATTAAACAATAACATGTATTTATTTAAATCTAAGTTTATATCTTTTGGTTTATATGCATATATAAAATTGTATTCTTTAGTCATTTATTTGCATCAGAATACAACTTCTTTCCTTGTAGTAGTCGTGGGTCTGACATGAGGCTAGATCATTGCGATGACTACAGAACTGAGGATTTCTGGGAAAAATGTGGAAGAAGTGGAAGATACTGATTTAAGATCTTTTCAGCCTGAAGAATTATGTAATTAAACCGTAATTCTACCGTATTTTTCCCCCTTATAGTTTCTGAGTCTAGGGAATGAGGGAAGATGACTGTTATTAAATCATTTGTTTGTCACATCTCCCTATAAAACATATGGTCATAGACATTGCTATGGCATCCCTCCACTGTGTCTCAGTAAAGAGAAAAAAAAATAAATTCATTAAAACAAGAATGAAGTCAAAGAGCTTCTAATGAAAAATAATTTTATAAAATTTATTTTATGAGACAGTATAGTTATCATGCTAAGAAATTCAATAGATTATGGAGTATGAACCCTTGCGACTAGTCATTACATAATATTTGTTCATGAGATGCCAGGAATTTACCCAATTTTTAATATAATTAAGCACTGAAACTTTAATGCATTAAATTCATATAAGTTTACAATTAAAATAGAAGGTGACAGGGTAATTAATGTTTCTTTTTTTCTCTGTGTTTTTCTTCTTTCTTCCCCCCAGCCTGCCCCAAAAAGGTCACCGTTTAATACTGCAGTCTTCTGTTTAATTGAAAGTTGTCTTGGAAATTTTTTTATGCAAAACTTTATACACATTCTCTGCTTGCTGCACTCCACATGTGTGAAGAAAATTAAGAAATAAGCTATTATCACAGTGCAAATAAAAATTTAACAACATCAAAATTGCAAACTCTCTTTACAGTATATAAATTGATGAAATGTATGAAACAATATCCTCTTTCTCTGTGTCCCTGAGGTTTTCTACTTAAAAAGGAAGCTAACTGAGCTGCTGTCAGAAGTCATGTACTGTATGAGACATTTTCACATATGTCACTGAACCTTCTTAGCAACCTCAACAAGGAGTATTTTCTCCTCTTTACACAGAAAGAGAGTGAGGCTTAACCAAAGAATAAATGAGCAACTTACCCAAGGTCACAAACATAGGAAGCAACTGACCAGGGACTTAAACTCAGTTCTGCCTAACTTCAAAACCTATTACTTAAGGGATTTGCCTTTCGGTTGACTGGTTTTTCAAGTAGTAATGAAAATAGTATCTTTATGTAGTGGAAACTGGAACTGCTGTCAGAAGCTCCTTCCAAATGAAAAGTGGCATCATTATTTTCTTTTCTCATGTAATAGGCCGTGCAGTTTATCTAATAATACATAATTATGAGATACTTATTAATCTTATAATATAAATACTTATGTAAAATAAAAATGTTTTTTATTCTTTTAATTATACTTTTAAGTGTTCCTGTAGTATAAATAATAAATGTTATTATTTTCTGACCTATGTTTCAACCAGAGAAATAACAAGTAGAGTTTGTGTTGAAAATCAATGTATTATTCAAGAACATACCAGGGGGCCAGGAAGAAGTCCATTTGCTTCAGAGCATAGAAAAGAATCTTCTGGCCCAGTCCCCGTTTTATGCATCAGCATATAAACTATGAAAGCATGCAGTATGTAATCAAGTGGTAATGTGTGTAGCATGGATTATAAAACCTTTCAGAATTTAAAGGACAGATTAAGGAATAAACTTTATCATTATAAAGGTAAAGAGATACAGCATCCCTGTTAGATTTAATTGTCTGTATATGTGTACTGCGAAAAGTTATTTTTTCCTGGGATGCACTGTAATTTCTCATTTTAAGGAAAAAATTTTCAGCTGGGAGACAAGTAGAAAGAAGAAAATATCACTGATATGATCCCATTAAAATAAGTAGGATATCATAAATTGAAGTACAGAAACCACCAGTTTCCTTTATTAGAATTTTTTTCAGGCAATGTCTCTGCTGGTCTCCTGTGCTCACACTGGATCATATCTAGCAACAGCACCATATGAAAAATGGCCACAGCATACTTAATTACCTTCGTTAATTACTCAGAGATCTGCAGCAGCAAGAGTATCTCACATGGGTCGGTTTTATTTCTGCTTTGTAATTATGTGTGCAACCAGGTTTCCCTTAGAAAACAAATGAGCAGAGCTGTAAACAAAAGTCACTAACAAGAAACAAAGGTGATCATTTCTATGGCTGAAAGCCATGAATTTGGAAAAACAAAACAAAACAAAAAACTAATCTTTCAGAAAATCCAATTTCAAACTTCCACGTTCACAAGAAGTTATCTCCAAATTCCCTGAATTAGTCATATGTGTGGTCTATGAGAAACTAGTGAGTCTCTTCTCCTCTAACTGTAATTGATGAATGAAGGAGATAACCACTACCATGTGACCTCAAATGCTGTAGCTAGTTGGCACCACAGAAAAGTTAATTATAATCCTTGAAACAATGTAGCATTTCATTTTGCAACCATGAATCATTTGCTGTTTTGTCTAGTCTCCTGAGAGTCATTTTTATAGTAAACTAGTCTTTATAGTGTCACACAGTGATTAGCAACAGTGACACATTTTACAGATTGGGTTCTCAGAGCTGTGCCTACCATGTTGCTATAAAAAGTTTGGTAGAGATCTTAGTGTTAATAATCTTGATTTGTCCTTACAAAACAAAATTGGACTAAGATTATAGCCAAATTACTCTTAACAACATTGTATGATTAAATACATTGTAATAAATTGGACCAACAAACATGAGAGGAGAAGGAGGTGAAACTGTCTTCCCAACAGGTTAACTTATATTTGCATGTTTGTCAATTAATGACATTTACAGTTTAGAAAAGTGTTTGAAAGCTCACAATGTAAGAAGAGGTTCCTATCCTATTAGGTTTAAATATCAAAATGCTCTGAATATTCTTAAAACATTCTCAACTTTAAAAATGGCAACACATTTTCTACGGATATCATTTACCAAAAAGTGTAACAGATAAAAGAAGATTTGAGAAAGAATTTGGAAGATTTGAGACGTCAGAAAGAATATGTATTAGTCTGTTCTCACAGTGCTATAAAGAACTGCCCAAGACTGAGTAATTTATAAAGGAAAGAGGTTTAATTGACTCACAGTTCTGCATGGCTTTGGAGGACTCAGGAAACTTACAATCATGGTAGACGGGGAAATGAACACATTCATCTTCACATGGTGGCAGGGGAGAGAAGTGCAGAGTGAAGGGTAGAAAAGCCCCTTATAAAACCATCAGATCTCATAAGAACTTACTCACTACCATGAGAACAGTGAGAATAGGGTGGGGGAATGAACCCCATGATATAATAACTTCCTATGAAGTTCCTCCCCCAACATGTGAGGATTATAATTCAAATTACAATTCAAGATGTGATTTTGGGTGAGAACACACCCAAACCATATAATTCCCCTCTGGCCCCTCCCAAATCTCATGTCCTCACATTTTCAAAACACAATCATGTCTTCTAGTCACCCAAAGTCTTAACTCACCAGCATTAACCCCAAAGACCAAGTCTAAAGTCTCATCTGAGACAAGGCAAGTCTCTTCCACCTATGAGCCTGTAAATTCGAAAGCAAGTTAATTACTTCCTAGATACAATGGGGGTACAGGCATTGGGTAAATACATGTTTCAAATGGGAGAAATTGGCCAAAACAAAGAGACTACAGACCCCATGCAAGTCTGAAACCCAATGGGGCAATCATTAAACCTTAAAGTTTCAAAATGATCGGTTTTGACTCCATGTCTCATATCCAGGTCATACTGATGCAAGAGGTAGTCTCCCATGGCCTTGAGCAGCTTCATCTCTGTGGCTTTGTAGGGTAAAGCCCCCCTCCTGGCTACACAGGCTGATATTGAGTGTCTGACACTTTTCCAGGGACATGATGCAAGCTGTCAGTGGATCTAATACTCTGGGGTCTGGAGTAGGGTTGCCCTCTTCTCACAGCTCTACTAGGCAGTGCACTGTGGGGGACTCTGTGTGGTGGTTCCAACGCCACAATTCCCTTCTGCACTGCCCTAGCAGTGGTTTTCTATGAAGGCTTTGCTTCTGCAGCATACCTCTGCCTGGACATCCAGGCATTTCCATACATCCTCTGAAATCTAAGTGAAGGTTCCCAAACCTCAATTCTTGTCTTCTGCACACCAGCAGGATCAACATCACATGGAAGCTGCCAAGGCTTGGGGCTTGCACCCTCTGAAGCCATGGCCTGAGTTGTACCTTGGCCCCTTTTAGCCATGGCTGGAGTGGCTGGGATACAGTGCACCAAGTCCCAAGTCCATACACAGCAGGGAACCCTGGACCTGACCCAGGAAACTATGTTTTCTTCCTATGTTTCATCCTGTGATGGGAGGGGCTGCAGCAAAGGTCTTTGACATGCCATGTAGACATTTTCCCCATTGTCTTGGTGATTAGCATTCAGCTCATTACTTATGCAATTTTCTGCAGCAGGCTTGAATTTCTCCCCAGAAAATGGGTTTTTCTTTTCTATTGCATTGCTAGGCTGCAAATTTTTCAAACATTTATGCTCTGCTTCCTCTTGAATATTTCGCTGCTTAGAAATTTCTTCCACCAGATATCCTAAATCATCTCTCTCAAGTTCAAATTTCCACAGATCTCCAGGGCAGGGGCAAAATACCACCAGTCTCTTTGCTAAAACATAGCAAGAGTCACCTTTGCTCTAGTTCCAAAGAAGTTCCTCTTCTCCATCTGAGACCACCTCAGCCTGGACTTCATTGTCCATATCACTACCAGCATTTGGGTCAAAACCATTTAACAAGTCTCTAGGAAGTTCCACATTTTTCCATATACTCCTGTTTTCTGAGCCTTCCAAGTCTCTAGGACATTCCAGACTTTCCCACATTTTCCTATCTTCTTCTGAGCCCTCCAAACTGTTCCAGCTTCTGCCTGTTACCCAGTTCCAATGTCACTTCCACATTTTGGGGTATCTTCACTGTAGCACCCCACTCCTGGTACTGATTTACTGTATTGGCCCATTTTCATGCTGCTATAAAGAACTGCCTGAGACTGGGTAATTTATCAAGCAAGAAGGTTTAATTGACTCACAATTCTGCATGGCTCAGGATGTCTCAGGAAGCTTGTAATCATGGTGGAAGGGGAAGCAAATACATCCTTCTTCAACTGGTGGCAGGAGAGAAAACTGCAGAGCCAAGGGTGGATAAAACCATCAAATATCATAAGAACTCACTCACTATCACGAGGACCACATGAGGGAACCACCCCCCATGATCTAATCACCTCCCACTATGTTCCTGCCCCAACATGTGGGGATTATAATTTGGATTACAATTCAAGATGAGATTTTGGATGGGGAGACAGCCAAACCATATCAGGATACATATGTAAGCCAAGGTAAGTGACATTATAAATGCTTTTGCATCTCTTAAGAATGCAGTTTGTGTTATTGACTGTGTATGTGTCTTTCTATAATTTAGTGGAAGTGTATTTAGATTTTTCTCTGCTACTATGAACAAGAACATATTAAAGACGAAATTGTCTCTGAGCTTCCTTTAGTCATCAACTTTAGATCATCAGACCCAAAAGATAACTTCTATATTTGAGAAAGAAAAATGAGACCTTCAAGTAAAGAGGGAGAAACATTTGAGAGAGATCTTTCTTACTTCCTCTCTCCTCAGACAGGTATACATAGCTTGAGGTAGTTTATTCTCAAGTCCATGGTTAGGGTAATGGGGTTTAATGTGCACAGGAAGGGTGAAGGAGAGACACAGTTGTATTAGCTTCCATTTTAAAATGTCTGTTACCAGGATGACGCCTATCTGTAAAAATTCCCTACTATAATTTTGTATTACAGATTGTGAATTCCCAGCTGGACATAGTAGCTCATACCTGTGATACCAGCACTTTGGGAGGCTCAGGCAGCAGGATTGCTTGAGCCCAGGAGTTAAAATCAGCCTGGGTGACATCAGTTAAAATCAGGGGCAAGGCCCTGTCTCTACAAAAAATACAAAAATCAGCTGGTCATGCTAGTACACACCTGTGGCCCCTGCTATTCTGGAGGCTGAGGCAGGAGGATTGTTTGAGCTCAGGAGGTCAAGGCTGCAGTGAGCTGTGATTGCACTACTGCACTCCAGCCTAGCTAACAGGATGAGACCCTGTCTCAAACACTATAACAACAACAAAAATCAAATTGTGAACTTCTGAAGAGCTCTTTCCATTTATCTTTGTATGCAGAACTTAAAGTGGGAGTGCCTGTTTATCATGAAGACTCAGATTTGGAATCCGTGGATTAACCACTTGTGTCTCTCACCAGGCATTAACATTTATAATATAATACATAGAAATTTTAACACATGACCATTGAAAGAAAACTGTCTGTGCCATTTGAAGATAGCTGTGTCTTTATGTAGCATCACCTAAATTATGTGCAAAAGAAGTCAATCTCATGTTGCTGACAACAATCCTCTGTAAAATCTGCAGATATAAATGTTGAGGAGTAAATTATAGCACTAATAAAGTTAACCTGGTAGAGTCCAAAATGGCATATGCAGCAGAGAAAAAAAAAGAAACAGAAACAGTTCATGCTGTTATAATTGCTACAATTTCACTGGCAATTTAAATAAAATAATTCAAATTGCTGCAATTAACACACACATAGAATTCAAAGGATATGGGGTGACCTCGCACAAAACAGATTGTAAAATCAGCCCTCCTCCTAAGAATTAACCTTCATAAATCATTTGCATCCAGAGGACGCCTGGATTCATACTCTGCAAAGATTATAAGCACAGGAAAAGCAAGGCCCCTAAAGGAGAATGCCCATCAACAGCAAGCATTCTTTCCTGGGTTGTATCACCCATATGAATGCACAGAGATTGGCCGTGTTATACTCACAAACTCCCTGGCTGAAGGTAGGATTTTGCTTTTTCTGCATGGTTGCCCCCGTGCAGCTTAGAAGGAATCTGTCAGCAAGGACTGAAGGCTGCTGTGTTGCTGAGAAGTGATTCTGATTCACATTGACAGAGATTCCACTTTTACTTGACTGCAGAAGCACAGGACCATCTTGTCTGTGATTTAGGTCTGAATAAAGGGCTCTCTCCTCCAATGCATTAGAGCACAGTAACCACAAATTGTTATTTGCAAAGTGGGGGAAATTTGTTCAATGTTTCTCTAGTCACCTGAAACCAAATTTAAGACATATTATCTGGGACACATTGAAAGCCTTTTCTCTTATTAGGTCAGACTTATGCAAGCACGGAACTGACAGTACCAGGAATGATGATTTGTGGTCAAAAATCAAAAAAGTAACACTTGAGTGAGTCTAATATGAGTGAGAGATGACCTTTACTATCCCTTGTTCAGAGGTTAAGATTTGGGGAACAAGGCAACCCATTTGAACAACTGCCGAACAGAAAGAACTCAAAAGAACTTTTAACATCCAGAATGTGTGATTTTTTTAACACCTTAATAAGAATCTTGACTCTGAATAATGCTGTTTAAATATTATAAAACTCTTTTCTCTGCCATTTTTGAGTTCACACATAAATGCTTTACAACACAAAGGCAAAGGAAGAATTAAATTACTACTTGCCACTCACATTTTCCCTCAAAATTTTTGTCCTACTATGTGTGTTTGTGGCCTTGTCTGCTTAATTGATACCAATGCATTTTGCAGCCAATTTTGGCTACAAAATGCATTGGTATCAATTTAATGCCTTGTATTAAAAATATGTAGATATATTGAAGTCTAAACAGTGTTTAATAATAATAATAAATTATTCTTATGTTAAATTTAATTTGTTTGATGACTATTAAATCATTGGCAATAGGATAGTAAAAGAATAGTTATTAACGAAGAGAATTCAAGTGAATTTGAAGGAAAAAGTACAATTGTCTCAGCTATGGAAATGATAGTTGTGAATTGAGAGGGAACTGGACCTCTTTGCAAATTATTCATATAAGGGATATTGTCTCAAATGGAGATAACAATAAACAAAAGCATCTATTTAAATTAGCCTCTCCTCTTCAAGGAGGGTGGGTAAATCCTTCTTACAGAAATTCTATGAATGGCTGTGGCTGGATCCAGATGTCTCCAGCAGAACAAAATGGTGGGAGGTATAAAATAAAAATCAGAGGAACCAGCAGAAGCATGTACCTTGCTTGTGAAAAGTTCAAGTCCAATTAGTCAGGAAACAAAAAAGTAGTGTTTTGAAAGAACAAAAATATGATTCAAAACTAGGAAACAAAATGAGAATTCTTGAATACAAAATATTTGTATGCAAATCAGTAGAAGTTAAAGAACATTCTTCTTGAAATAAGTACTCCTTAAAAGGCTGACAAAATCAGATTCTTAAGTGGCTATCTGAACATTAGTTGAAACAGCTTAAATGGTGCATGCTCAGGAATAACAAGTTTTAGTAATTTATTCCCAAAGTGACCTTTCCCAGACCATAATAAATCATCCATATGTAGTGTCTTTTTCCATGAACCTTACATTTAAAGAAGGCAAAAATAGAAATACTGCTGAGAGTTTAAGGCAGTGACTGACTCCAATAAGAAAACTGAAATTGAAGCATAAAAGCACAAATCTAACTTCCTGGCTGAAATTCATCTTTAAAGAAAGTGCATGTCCTATGGCTACACGGCTGAAATCACTCTTGCCTCATGCCCCAGATTTCTTTTGCTTCCGTGGATAGTCAAGAAAAGAAGAGGAGTCATTGCTCTTATTATTCACATTCAAATGTTAACTAAGAAAATCGGTGTTAAATAAATGAACAAAATGATTAGTGGGGATTGTGTTTGTCCCATTGAAACAGAAGCCTAAGGGACTAACTTTAGAATTCTAATTTGAGACTCAAAATTGTCACTATTACTCTTATTTGAAAATGAATTGTTTAAATCAAAGTTATTAAAGTGGTAATCATAATGACTTTTCATCCTTTATATACTTCTGTTTAACCAAAATTTGTACTTTTAACCAAAATTTAGACAGCCTAAATTCTGTCTAAATTTAAGGCTGAAATTTTAAAGAAAGAATGCTATGGGAAAATCTGAAGCTTCATAACAGCATTTCCTGCAGTTCTTTTGGCTCATTGCACATTGTTGTTCACAAATTATGCACAAAGTTGGAAGTGGTAGAACTATATGCTTAATATAAATTTATATTTTTCAAATAAAGTCATACTTATAAACACACAATACACACAATTACAATTGGTATTGTAATTGTATTTAAAATTACACTTTGTATTGTAATTGTATTTAAAATTACCCTTGGTATTGTAATTGTATTTAAAATTACACTTGGTATTGTAATTGTATTTAAAATTACACTTGGTATTGTAATTGTATTTAAAATTACAATTGGCATTGTAATTGTATTTAAAATTACAATTGGTATTGTAATTGTATTTAAAATTACAATTTTTCAAATAAAGTCATACTCAGAAATACACAATACACACAAGTACAGTTGCCCCAGCTATGGAAATGGTAATTGTGAATTGAAAGGGAACTGGACCTCTTTGCAAATTATTCATATAAGGTATTCATATAATGGTATTAATATAATGGTATTGGTGTAAAATTAGGTATAGTTATAGAGAAGAAGTGAGAAGAAAAAGAAAACAGAACAATGTAACAATTGCCATACAACAGAAAGTTTAAAGAAAAGATAAAACCACACTTCACGTTTTTTATAAATGACTGAATTTTAAATTTCAATTGAATGACACTTAAAATTCCCAAGATGGAAATGGGTTACCCACAAGCCACCCTCTGCCGTCATTCTGTAATTACAAATTAAACAATGTCACAAAGTAAATGAGGTTGATAATTTGTTATGGTTTTATAGCATCATAAGTATAATGACAATTTGATGTTATGCCTTGTATTAAAAATACGTAGCTACATTAAAGTCTAAACAAATAGTGTTTAAACTAGCTTGCATATAAATTTATCTTTGAAGAATGGTTTTGCTAAAGGAATAGTAGGCACAAAACACTACTAAAATAATGATAGATCAGTAAATGTGCATCAAAAATAATAAAAGACTTGTGATGAAATATAGATTTGAATTGAAATATAGACATGGATCACCTCTATAAATACATTGTGGATTTTAAACTATCCCGTGAGAAGAAGTATCCAGATCAAAAAAGATTGCATAACACTGTGCAGCCAATAATGGACAATTTATAGACGTGTATTTCTCTGATTGTATGAGTTATAGGAAAGGAAAAAAATGGGCTATGCTCCATGCCTCTTACTGGAAGCAAGTTTTTGCCTTGATCAGGCATACTATATTCACTAAACTAACACACACACAAAAATTCTCAAAATCCATTTATGACAACTCAAATATAGAAGAAAAGGGGAAAATCAAAGCATCTATATGAATTAGCTGGACAAGTAAAAGTAGGAGAGGAAGATATTTTTCATTTTGACCAGAGAAATTTGCTCATAGAGAATGGTTAAGAAAACTAAAAGAACAGAGGTGTCAAAGTGTTAAAAGTAACTCTTAAATTGCTCTGGAGAGAAATATCAGCAGAAATAGAATATAAGTGTCCAGTAACCTACAATATTTCTTGTTAGTATTTTATTTTCCCTAAAAAATATACTTCAGAAATCCCTTACATGAAATGAAAAAAGTAGTTCTGCTCTTCTTGAACAATGCATTTCTCAAAGCAATACTTATGAATTATTTAACCTTTCCTTATTTATTTATCTA
Source organism: Homo sapiens (assembly GCF_000001405.40). Classification (NCBI taxonomy): domain Eukaryota; kingdom Metazoa; phylum Chordata; class Mammalia; order Primates; family Hominidae; genus Homo; species Homo sapiens. Next base: position 73,918,964 of record NC_000001.11, read on the forward strand.
GTGAATAATGATTAGGCAATAACTTAAACGAAAGAGTTAGAGTTCAAAATAAATTGTTCACTGCTTCATATATTAACGTACATCTTAAGAACAAATAGCTAACTGCAGTTCAAAAAAAATAGTGTGAGACGTGGATATCAAACCAGAAAGATTTTGTTCCTGGTTTGAGGAGTATTTTGCAGTGCTAAATTACCTTAATATATCCACTTTAATCTGATTCCTTTTTCTATGGGCAACAAACAAAAGCCTTTTATGCAAATGATCAAGAGGATACTGTGATGAAAACTCTGCAGTTAGGAGTTGGAATCTAGTAAAGCCTTTACTGACTTGATTTTAGATGGCTGATGAATCATCTAAAATCTATTTGCTATGCATCGCTTTCTTCACTTGTACCTCGATGGCATGCTATTACAGAGATCTTGGATTTCTAGTAATCAAATATTATGATCAGGAAGCATTGACATTGCATAATATATCTCATTTTATAGTCCTTTCTGAGAAGCCGATCACTGTACAATATAAATGATGAAAGGAGTAAAATGAAGTCAAAAGGGAGTGAAATGAATAATCCAAATTCTCAGTAGGGAAACTATGTTATTGAAAGTAGAACACAAAACATTTGATACCAAGACAATTGCTGAGCCAGTTTTTACTCAAAAGTTATAATTTTTAAAATGAAATTTCACTAACCAATGTAGCTGGGATCACTCATTGCACAATACAATGAACAATTGATTAAGTAGACCCTTTGGTATTAAGTGCCAGGAAGCTTTATGTTAAGTAACTTAGGAAGAAAATGTGAAAAAAGGTGGAGTCAGTGCAGTGTACAGGGTTATATGCATTTTTAACTGTTGTAAGTCACATAGCAAAAAATGCCTACTTAGATACAATCATGTTGAAGAAATAGTGACCACACTGCATTTACTGGCAAGAAATTGATTTGCTTGATATCATCTAAGAAGTAGAGACTCTGTGTTCCAATTTGTACCAGGCAGCAGAGATACATATATACTGTTCTGGTTTCTCTTCATGATAGAAATGCAACTGGCTATTAGAAGTATTATTATTATTTCCTTAATTGATGCTTGTGATCCTCTGAAACAAAATGGATTTAGCAGTTCGTATTATACCAGACTTAATTTGAGAATAAAACAACAAAGTTTCAATAGCTTTTTGTTTGTCTCCAAGTTTAGAAATGCCACGTATCTATCCATTTTCACCATCTCCACTGTTTCCATCATAGATGAATATCCTGTCAATGTTCATGCAGACCTTCTCAGTAACTGGACCCCTACAATATTTTACATGGTCTTTCTATCCATTCTCCATGCTGCAACCAGAGTTAACTTTTCCTAATGCAAATCTGTGTCACACAGCAAAATACTCCACTCAAAACCTGCTAATAGCTACCCATTGCTCATAAGATGAACCTGATCTATCTATAAATCTGCCTATATGTTTTGTATAACTTACACTTCTCCATGCTGCAGGCACCCTAGGTTTTATTCAATTCTTTGCATCTCTTGCATGCCCTCAAGCCTTTGCATAGGCTCTTTCTTAGTCTAGAATGCTTTTTCCATTCTCCCCATTCTCCATTAGCTTACTTACTTCCTAGTCTCCCATTTAAAACTCAGTTCAAGCTTTACTTTGTTTAGTTTTTAAATTCCGTCACAGATTGGTATTGCTTTATTCCAATGTACCCATGTCAGAATATATTTATATGTGTTAATTCTAAGTGTTAAAAAGTTTTTCACAAAAAAATATAGAATACAGGAAAGTGCACAAAACAAAAAAGACCTGCTCAATGATTTATCATTAAAAAATAAATGATGTACCCACCACACAGGAGGTAGAATTTTGCATGCATTATCCATGCCCAATTCATGCCTATACTCAATGAATGCACATTCTCAACACTCCTCCAAACGGAAGCATTGTTATGACTTGTCTGTTGAAAACCCGAAGAATTTTACTATCTAAGCATATATCACAAACACAAAAAGCATGGATTTGTTTGCATTTTTTTCTTTTGAGCATGATAGAAATGAAATCAAAAACTAACTATTCTTTGTTTTGATTGTTGATAATGTAGGTCTTTCAGCTTTATTATTTGTACTCAAAACTGCCTACATAATTTTTGGTTGTTAGCATTTCAAAATAAACTTTTGAATTAAATTTTCAATTTTCTCCAAAACAAAAATGAAAATGCCTTACTGGAATTTCATTAAATCTGTTGATAAACATAAAAAAAGAGATATATTGGCAAAAATAGTTTTCCAATTTATGTACACGATACAGTCCTCCATTTGTGTAACTCTTATTTAATTGATCTCTACATTGTCTTATAGTCTCCAGTATAGACAACTTGCACATTTTTAGTTGGATTTATTTCTAGGTGTGCTTTTTCATTCTAAGTTGTATCAGTTTTTAAATGTCATTTTCTATTTGTTTCTAGAATATAAAAATGTAATTAATTTTGTTCAGTTCCTTGTATCTGGGATCCTTTATATAATAAATTCAGTTATTATATTTAATCATTTTTGTGGATCATTTTGGATTTTCTGCATACACAATAATGTTACCTGTGCATAATGACATTTTTATTTCATACTTTCAATACATACTTACAGTTTCTATTTTTATTTTCCTAACTTACTGTTATGGCTAGAGCATTTAATACAATACAACATAGATAAAAAGAAATGAACATTTACATCTTGTTCCTGTCTCAAAGGGAAAACTTTCAACATTTCAAAACAAGGTATAATGTTTACTGTAGGGTTTTTGTGATACCTTTTACGTAAGTAAAAATGGTTTATGTAGATGCCATTTGTTAATTGTAATACATGTTATTAAATGTTATTGATCCCTTCTATATTTTGATCTCCTCTATTATATGTTTATTTTCTAGGTTAATTTTGTGCTCACCTTTCTTATTTCCTTCTTTTTATGTTTTGTTAATATTATTTTTGTTCTTTTTCTAAAATTTTAATATTATTAGGTCATTGATTATTAACTACCTCAAGTACTGATTGATTCTAATTTCACAGGTTTTTATGTATTTTAATTTTATCATCATTCTTCTGAAAATAATTTCTTATTTTATTTTATTATCATTTTATTATAGTATTATTTCTTCTCTGGCAATAAAAATATTCGTGGTGTAAATTTTTTGATTTCTAGATAAATGTATTTTTTAACAGAGAATATGTACTGAAAAATTTTGATCCTTTGAAATGTATGGAGACTCAATGGTTAATTTTTTCAAAGGTTTTACATTCATTTGAAAGGAATGTGTATTCTTCATTTCTTGCGTACTCTATACTAATATGTTAATTAAATCAAGTTTGGTATTTCTGTTGTTCAAATATTCCATATCATCATTGATTCTTCTATTAGTTACAAATTGGAAGTATTAAAATATGCCACTAAAAATTGCAGATTTGCCTACTTTTCATCGTGGGTCTATGTACTATATGTTTTAAAGCCATGCTACTGAATACAGATAAATACAGATATCTTAGTTCCTTTATTATTATTGTTTTCCTCTTTGGCCCTACTTAGGCATCCTTCTTATTTGGTCTGCTATTAATGTAGCTACACTTTTTCACTTGAATAATGTTTGAATGTTGATGATAGTGTTTTTTTCTCACATTTTACTTGCATTTTTCTGAATCCTTATGTTTTACTTGAACCTTCTAAAAATAACATTGTTAGGATTTGTTTTTATTTGGTCTGAACTTTGTATTTTAAATGGAATTTAATCAGTTTACATTTAATATAACTACTGTTAGATTTGTATTTAAATCTATCATCCTACTATGTGCTTTCTATTTGCCATACCTGTTCTATATTTTTGTCTCTTCTTTCTTGCTTTTTTCCTTGATTCAGCATTACTTGCTATTCCATTCCCCTCTTCTGCCTCTTGCAAGTTATGCATTCCTTCACTATGCCCTTAATAATTACCCTAGAGATTAGAACATATTTTTTTCACCAATGTCTAATATTAACTGATATTTTTACATTTTATCCAGACAATGCATGGACTTTTAAACACTTTACTTTTACTTCTTTCCTGACATTTATGCCATGCATGTCATATATTTTAATTCTACATAAATTTTAGAATGCTCAAATTATTATTATTATCATACCGTAAGGACAAGGTCAATACTTAGATGTTTAACATTTTCACAACTTTTTATTCTTGCCTATATTCCTGATCTTCTGTCTTGTAATGAATGATCGTGTCCCCCACAAAATTCATATGTTGAAGGCCTACTCATCAATGTGATAGCATTTGGGCATATGGATGTGAAACCTTTTGGAAGTAATTAGGGTGAGATAAGTTCATGAGGGTAGGGCCCTCATGAGAGAACTGCTGTCCTTATCAGAAGAGACACCATAGAGGAGCTCTCTCTCTCTCTCTCTCCAGCTTCCTCTACCCCAGAGAAAGTCACATGAGCACAGAGCAAGAAGGAAGTCATCTGTGAGCCACGAAAACAGCCCCTCACCAGAAACTGAATTGGTTGGCAGCTTGATCTCAGAGTTAGCCTGCGGGACTGTGAGAAATAAATTTCTATTGTTTGACATGCAGCCTGTGGTCTTGTTATAGCAGCCCAAGCTTACTAATACACATCTAGAATGATTTCTTTTCTGGAGAACATTCTCTATTATTTTCTTAACTGTGAGTTTAGGTTTAGAATTTTGGTTTAGCAAATATTATCTCTCAGAAATTCATAATTTTTTATGTCTTCATTTTCCACTTTCTCTTGTACTTATTATTATATCAGTTCTTATTCTAATTATCACCTCTATAATGATACTATAATGATAATATATCTTCTTTTTCTTCTCCCTTTTCATAATTTTCTCTTAATTTTCTTGCTTACAGTTGATTTTCTATGGTTTATCCAAGTGAGGATTTATTTTTCCTGGAGTTCATAGGGCTTCTCCAGTGAGTAAATTGATGTTTTTCATTTTTTAAAAAACGTTATTAGCCATTTCCCCTGTCTCCTTTGATAGACTATAAACTTTATAAAAATGGGATTTATATCTGTTATTTTAGTTGCTCTTATATTCCAGCACACAGTTTTTGATAAATGTATGTTGATTTATCAACAATTCTGGGAGGTCCTCTTGATATGTCCTTCCTTACTCTTTTCTATTCTGATTTCAACATCTGCCCCTTGTGCCTCTCAGTATTCTGTCCTTAAACACACTATGGTTCCTATTGCATTGAAAGCACAGTGCTTCTCAGGCAAGGCAGTCACCTGTGGGTGTATTCAGCTATGCCATCTGGGTGAACACAGACATGAAATAACTGTGGCCCAGGCTTCAGAGGCATTTGGGTAAATAGTTTTACAATAAAGTTAAGCAATTTAATTACATACTTGAAATATTTGTATACATAACAAACACAGGTGGAAAAGAGCCATAGTTTTCAAGATGGTTCTAAGAAACCTCAGTCTGCAGCAGAGCCATCTCTGTAATGAGTGTGTGGGGTGTATATTCCCAAGTATTTTATATGTTTATCTGTCTACTTTGGATTGAATTTTCTATCAAAAATATAAATAGTGAATAAAAGGGGTCTGAAAGCCATTTGAAAAAAACTCCAAACAGCATTCTTTAAAAAGAAGAGTTATAAATGCCAAGCATTCAGGCTATCTTCCCTGGTCCCCATTCTCTCTTCATTAGGGAAATTTCAGAAGCGCTGTGTGCACTTTAATTCAGAATTTACTTGTATATCTTCAAGATTTTAGACATTGGGATGGCATAACTTTTGCTTTTAGTCATCTTTATATTCTCCAAGCCTAGCACAGTTAAAAAAATAAGAACTGAATAAATGAGTGGATGAATACATGAATTATATTATGTATTGTAGCCATTTTATGTCTTTGAGAATCACTTCTTTAGAAAAAAAGGAGTTAATAGGTGGCAGCACAAACCATGAACAATTCTCAGGAAAGGCCATTCAAAAATTAAAGTAAATGAAAAGATATAAAAGCTTTATCTACAAAAGGTAAGCACTTCTGACATGATCTGTTTCAGCAATGTTAGTAAAGCTAGACTGGAACAACTGACGTTCTACATAATCATTTCAGTTAATATATTCACTCTAACCTATTTTGCATCTATTTGTTTATTGCTGCATAAACAGAAGTGAAAGATCTACTGTTTGCTAGCTACTTAACTTTTGTGAGTGTAGCATAATTATAAGTGAATTGATAAGTAATGAAAACATTAAGTGTTGTGTAAAGATTATGACTCCAGTGCCTAGTAGGGCAATTAAATTTGATGTTTGTTACTGTGTCTCACAGTGAATAATGATACGTTTCCCCTGTGACTATGTAAATAGCTGATTGATAACAATAAAGAAGTGATTATGAAGGCCAATTCTACTCATTATTAAATATGTGACTAAGCAATTCATTTGACAATGAAAGTGATTGGTAGCAAACACTGTAATATGGCACAGATGAGATCAATGTTGGACCGTAATGAGTGTAAAATGGTAAATGCTTTTTTTTTTAATTTATTGATCTGTGAGAGGAGCAAGAAATGAACATCATGGAGCATTAGTATTTGTAAGCTGTGACTTGATTGCCAATTCATTTGCCTGACACTAATAAATAAATAATAAAATGAAATATAGCCAACATTTTCAGAAAGTAAAATTATATTAAAACCCAATACATTGCACATGGTGTGGATCCAATGAATATATGTTATTAAGTTGTTTTTATTCTTTTGTTTGTTTGTTCCTTTCTTAACATTCCTTGTAGCAATAAATACTTTAATAAATAAATAGTCCTTTTAAAACTAATTTTGTCAGATATGTAAAAATCTAAGGTCTTTTATTTTCACATTTGACTCAAGTAATAATCAACAGCAGGTCCAAGAATGAAACACATGGATAATAATAAATCAAGAAGTCTTTGTATCACATCTGGATTGCCCAACAGTCAGGCCAAATATTTGCTGAAGGAATGAGCAAAGAAGACCATAAAAATCATTTTTGGAAAGATTTTTTAAAAATAAAATGCACAGTACTAGTTATAACAAGAACTGTTAAGACTGTGTTGTACTGTCCTAAATTTATTTGATGATTTTGTATTATTTTGTATTGAATTACATTAAGCTGAGTGGAGGCTGGAAGGTAACATAAATTATAGGGTGATATAAAAGTCTTAATAAGGCCCAGCCTTTAGATAAATATAAAAAGCTGCCTTAGCCTCTGAAGAATAAATTAAACTCCACACATGAGGATGAGGAAATAGTACCTGAATGACACCGTCTTTTTTTCACAAGGTTGACGGAAGTGTTTACTGGGGTTTGGACATATACTGCCCCTGTTTTAGAGACTGAGGCTTTAAGAGTAGAGAACAGAAGGCACAGTTTAGAAGACACCTGATGGTTCATATGATATTGTCCTGTTTCTCGGAACAAAATTTAACCAAAATTTTAAAGAAAAACACATTGTTTTAAATTACATTGCACTGGTTATTTTAGAGCCTAGGCCTTTTTGAAGCATGATCGTCTTTCTGTATTTTTAGAATAATTTTATTAAAGTCAGAAATAGGCCTTTAAATTTGCAAGGTGAAAATTATCATACTAAAAGATAAATTAGTAATTCTGAAAAATGTTTTACTATAAAAACACAACTTTTACAATAACGGCAAATCTTTTTTTTTTTTTTTCACCACAATTAACCATCTGGCAAATGAGTTATAATTAGGTCATCATTTGGTAATGTGATTTCAATAGACAAAAAGAATACTAATAATACAATGAGCCAAATTTCATTATTAATATAATTCATTATAATTTCTCTAGCACTTCAGTTTTGTTTTAAATGACTCTATTTGTTAATCTTTCTACATCTCTTTCATGAAGATGAATAATACAACACATTCTCAATTGATAGACATGGAAACTGAAGATAAATGCCAAGTAATTTATCCGTGGCAATTTCTAAAAAGGCTATGTTATTTATGTAGCCTCCGGTAACTTCAGACACAATTAATTCAACAAACATTTACTGGATACCTACCATGTATCAACACTGTATTGGCCATTATCCACCATGAAGACAACATAGGCTGTGACATAAATGAGTTGAGAGAAAGAAGTGAGAGAAAATTATAAATGCATGTTGCAAAGTAAAGTTCAAAATCACCAAACTACCAAGAGAATAGGATTTGCCTGGAAACTATAAAATGGATCACAAGAATGTATTTCAAGAAGTTTACCAGATGACTAATTGGCTATGGGAATTTGTGAGAAAAAAAGAGTCTAGAATTTTTCTTTCTTTTTTTTCTTTTTTAAAAATTGAATTGATATCATTGATGGTACTGTGCTCAATATGGGCAATTCATGAGAAGTAGAAGCTTGGGAAGAGAAAGTAATTAATTCAATTTCTATGTGATCAAATTTGAGTCTTGATGGCACTTCAGATATGTAGCGTAAGAACTTGCTAAGTTCTAGAGATATTGATTATGAAACAGTTAATACCATTGAGGGGAATCAAAAAGGTTGGCCAGGGAGAATATATTGAGTAAGAATAGATAAGGCTGAGAATGAGGTTCTGGGGCAACATTTATGCTTGAATGATGAAAAGAAGGAAAGAGGCCAGCAAAGTATCTTAAGTGGCAATGGTCAGAAGTACAAAAAGAAGCAGAAAGTGGTATCATGGAAACTTCCTCCCCACCCTGAAAAATATATATATCACAAGAAGATTAAATCACCCACGGTTTTTCTTTTATTTTTCTGCATTGATACTGTATAAAAAAACCCACAAGATATCAGTGCTTACAACAAAGCATTTATTTTCTGGCATATTGATCTATGAGTCAGCAAGGGCAGCTCTGCTTCATGTTTTGGGCAGTGCCAGGCCTGGCTACAGTTATAGGTTGGGTTCAGGTGTCCACCATGTGTCTCCTTGTTCTCTCCAGACCACCACTAGCTGGAAATGTTCTCAAGCAACATGGAAAGAGCATGAGAAGCCAAGCATATTAGAGCCCTGGCTCATGTCGTATCCGTTAATAGTCTATGGGTCCAAGCAAATCACATGTCAAAGGATCAGCAGTATATACTCCACATACACTAGTAATAGAGGCTTTGCAAAGTCACCTGGAAAAGAGCACAGGTTTATAATTCTATAATATGGACAGAGTGAAGAAATAAAAACTGTAATCCAATCCAATCTGTAACAGAATAATGTGGTCAACTGTCAAGGATCAATTAAGGGAAGAGCCAGATAGAGCGGAGTCTACGGTTTTTGTAATAACTCACTCATTTCCAAGTATAAAGGTTTAGGGGAAATGAGAATTTCTTGTAGCATATATTCTCTCCTCTATTCTACAGAGAAATATAAATACCTGAGGAGATTTGTAAAAATACCTATGCTTGAAACCAGATCAATTAAATCAAATGTACTGAGGCTGAAAGGCAAACTTTAAAAAAAAATTTTTACAATTCCTCAAGGGACTGTAATATGCAGGAAGGGTTTTACAGAAGTAAACAGTCTCCACTTTGCAAGGGATGTTAGAAAAATAGTCACAGTATAGCATAGTTTTAATTTTATGTATATGCATGTACATGTGGTATTACATGTATATGTATATGTAATATATATGCAAATATGTATATGTATACACACACGTTACAAGGGAAAAGAGAGAGATACAAACATCATGTTTACCTCTGAATGATGGGTTTGAAAATGCTTATGATTTTATTATTTATACTTTTTTACATTTTTAAATTTTCTGCAATGGAATGTATGACTTCTAAACTCTGAGATAATAAATCAACATTAATAAGTAAAAATTCAGACTAAATTAGATGCCCAGGGTCAAAACTGCAAAATATTAATAATTCACAAAAACAGAGAATAGTCTTCCAGAATGAAGATGTGAAAATTATTGAATATCTGAAGGAAAAGAAAAAACTGAGAGCCAACTATTTCCTATAAGTGGTCAGCATGTTCTAAAAGATCATGATGAGGGCTAAAATGTAGTGATATACTTTTATTTGAATCTAAACTATTTCAACCCAGAATTTTGTCATAAGGGTCTGACTATACTCTGAAATATCAGGTGAAAATAAGATTGAGAATAAGTTAGTGACAGTTCAGTGTCCAATATGCATTTTTCTTCTCTGCCTTTCATGAAACTTGATAGGTTAAAATTGATCCTTTCATACCATGAAATGGGATAATTTTTCATCTCAGTTTGATCTTATCAGGCATCCTGTACCTCTCCACTTGATGATAAAAAATAAAACATACCACTCCGATGGAAAAAAAAATGAAGAAAACTGAAATAAAATAGAGATGGAGGAAAAGTAGCAATTGCCGAAAGTTTGGATATATAAATATGCAAATGTAACATATCCCAGGCTTTAACTCAGTTGATTTGTTGGGCCTTCACAAAAGATATGGGCAAATTTATGGCCCATTTTTCTCCTGTCTTTCTAAAAAATTATTTTGTTTTTGAGCACTGAAAAGGGAAGACTGTCTGTATTTTTGTAAATAAATGTGCCTGTGGTTTGTGAGATCTAGGCACATATGTTTCAAGCATAAATGTTTTCTACTGGGAACTCTATAGAAAACCTATTATTGAGAGTTAGATGATTTCATGCCTCATAAGTTTAACACTAACTGGCAGAAGTCAAAAAGAATTAACTTTTTTGCAACTGTGTCACAACTCCAAACATTGTGCCAAACATCCCAGTTTTTAAAAATTGACTGGGTAGAAACATCCATTTGTAGTTGATGTCTGTGTTGAACTCCTGACAATGACTGTTGTTGCTTTTATTATTTAGGTAGTTATTGTTCTTATTGTTTTTAAATGTGAACCAAATATATGCCCCTTTAATTACAAAATATAAACTACACTTTTTCAACCACACTGGTGGCTTTACATAAAACTAGCATTGCAACAATGACTTCTTTAATAATCCTACACTTGCTTCCATATGAATGTTAACATTACTGCAGAAAATCCAAAGTTTGTGATTATAAAGACACGAACACTAAAGAAAGAAAATTAAACAATATTTTCTTTAATAAAAGACTCTGAATATTTACATTCTAATTAAGAAAAGTTTAGTGGCTGGCCTAATCATGGTAATGGTGGAAATGAAGCATATGAATTCCCAGCCCCATACTCTGTATCTTTCCTTTATCCACAGGCAAGATTCAGGGAGCAGAGACACATGAACTCTCCCTATGACACCCCTAATGACCATTGCTTAGTAGAGGTAATACCCTTTCTCTAATACAAAACCCATTAACCTGAAGACACCCAAAGACCTCCATACTCAAACTGAGGTTTAAGTTCTGCCTGTACATCTCTTCAACCACAATTGACCTCAAGGAGAAAACTATAGCAAATGTGCTCAGCATGCGGTAATCCTGTATTGGGCCATGAAGGAGGAGATATAATCCTTCTCCCAGTTGAAAGCTCAAAGGGAGGCCAAGCTCTTGTTACATTAGTATAGAGAGTGTGCTAGTATAGGGTAGCACCACTCACTGAAAAAGGGGATAAAGTTTTTATGACCCCAGAAACACAGGAGAGAGGTTCATTCTCACTCCTAAGGAACAATGAACTTAACTGTTGTTCCTTTAGCATGGGGGGATTCCTTTACCATTTCTGTAGATTAGTACCACCTATTGAGCCAGGCTATTTTTATGCAGGGTACAAGGTTACAATGAGATTTCACTTTCTAGAAAAAGAGCAAACAACAAAGATCAGTAACCAGATTCAGAATAAAGTAGTGTCTATGTGCTTTGTTAAGTATGAAGAGAAACAGAAAATTTCAAGCATCCAAAGATGATTTCAATCAATGGAACTGCTTCTTCTCCCCTCATTGCACCCATGGGAACTGCTTTTGCTTATTAACCGCACTGAGAAAGATCAATTGCAACCTGTCGCTTTGATAGAAGAAGTAACTGTTCGTTGCACTCAAGCAAGTCTTCTTTTTTAAAAAAAATTTTGAATAGGAAATGCCACAGACATGTATGGCATTTAAAATATTGTATTCTTAGTACATCGATTTTGAGAACAGTTATTTAATGATATTTAATGAATTGCAATTATTACTATAGACACAATCTCATAATACAGCATTTATTTAGGCTTTGGAGTAAAAGGGAGTGTTTGTACAAACCTTTTTTTTTTTTTCTGTAATTGAAATGTTATTTACCTCTTCCTAACAGAGCGAGCCGTCTGTATAGAGTGGTATTTAAAGGTAATGCTGGATTTTCATCTGTTCTATTCTGGCTGTGAATATCTCCTGATGCCTCCCTCTTTTTTCTTAGATGTCATGAAAGGGCAAACTCAAATATCCAGTGTTTTCATATAAAATGTCATTCATCACATGGCTATAGCCATCCATTTATTGAAAATCATTATTGGGAGAGGTCTTAAAAGGAAAACCTAGAGATAACTCATTTGTGGCCTTAAATCTAAAAGAAACCTAACATGCAATCTACATAGAAAGAGAGACATAACTTGTTCTAAGCATGATTTATATTTTTAGTCATTTTCTCTTTCTCTAAATTTGTGCTTAGATTCTTAAATGAGTCAGAACCCTTCCTTTAAAAAATCTATTCCTTTTAAATTTCCATGGCAAAAACTATTGACAGCTTTCCATGAGACAATAGATCATATTTGGAAAGACCAATTTGATGCTAACATTTGATCTCTGAGTGGCATATCTTCCAGAAGGAGATTTAATTATACATCTGACTCCCACTCACCCATTTGGCAGAGTTTCATTTGATTTTTATTAAACACAAGACTTGAAAACATGAGATATAGCTTTATCTTTCATGTTTTTTTAATGCACCAGAAAAGTAGTTAGAAAGCTGAAGTTCAAACTTGTGTAGATACAAGTTCTTGTTCCCTCTTGCTTTGTAACTGATGCCTTCAATTCAAAAGGGAAAATATTTTTCTTCTGAATACTTTGGAGTAAGTAACTTTACTGGGACTCCTCTCTCCCTCACTCCACACTCCAGGTTATAGTCATTAAATATAATGACTTTTTTCATTATTAAGAATCCTTCCAACCATACCCATTAAATGCATAACATTAATATATTCTTGGGGTAGTGGTGACCTTGGTTTAGAGATACATGGGAATAAGATCTATAGTTCATGGGTCCCAACTCACTCCTATCTTACAATAGAAACCCTCATTCAATAAGCCTTTGGATATAGCAAAGTGATCAAGAATTTCCTCAGACTTTTTGATATACTTCAACTCTGGTGCTGGTTTTGAGTGACATTTGGCTAGTCATTCAAACTCTTTACTCCTCAATTTTCTTATGTTTCAAATGAAAAAGAAAAAAAGGACATACTAATAATTTAGGATATAGTGAGAAAATGAAATACTGCGTGTAAAACTCTTATTCTAGTGCTATGCCAGAAACAGAGTAGAAGAAAGTTACATGTTTAAATAATTTAGATACCACAATTCTCTCTAGGAATCCAAACATGAACAAGTTGTTACTTCAAAAAGTTAATCATCTGGGGAGATACAGAAAAGAAAGAAAATACAGGTGGAGTGTGAAAAGTGATGGAGGATAAGCCGGTTGCTGTGCAATCATGGAAAGGGGGAAAACTTTTGACCAGAAAAGAAGAGGAAAGCAACAGAGTTTATCTAAGCAGATGCCTGAAACGTAGGAGGATTTGGTTAGACTGTTCACAGGAAGCTAAAAGTAAAAGAGAGAAAGGAACACACGTGATCTAGTGTGCCCTAAAGATCCCTGTTTATTCATTAGCCCTTGGCAAACTACAGACTGGGTGTTAGCTGACATCCTTGCATAGCCCTCTCTTCCAGAATAGAGAACAGACCTTGCCTTCCTTCCTGAAACAAACACAAACATTCCTAAGATTGTCATATAAAAGGAGGGATAGTTATTTTATTATTCTTACATATATCATTATATACACTGTATCCACACAATAATGATGAAAATATTAATTATATTATCAATTAGTAAATTATGACAAATTTAAAACAAAACTGTTAGCAGCTATAAAACATGCCTTTAAACATTCACAGAATCTAAAATATAACTCATGATCATGAAGTTTTTGTGGTGCCTATTGTTCTGTTAAAAGGCATTACATTTAATCTGCCCATAAGTCGTTAGTAACCTTGAACCCATTTTTTTTTTTTTTTTAGACAGAGTCTCACTCTGTCACCCAGGCTGGAGTGCAGCCAGCACAATCTCAGCTCACTGCAACCTCCACCTCCCAGGTTCAAGCGATTCTCCTGCCTCAGCCTCCTGAGTAGCTGGGACTACAGGTGTGCATCACCACACCCAGCTAATTTTTTGTATTTTTAGTAGAGACGGGTTTTCACCATGTTAGCCAGGATGGTCTCAATCTCCTGACCTTGTGATTTACCAGCCTCAGCCTCCCAAAGTGCTGGGATTACAGGCGTGAGCCACCATGCCCAGCCCCCACTCATCTTTTAGGTAAACTTTTGAATGGTCTTTTAATGTATCAACTTTGCTCTCGTGTCTACTTATGCTTCATCTATCTTCCGTCAGTGTCATATATTTTATTAATAGGTGTTTATTTTTCATTCAAGTTTTACAGTGGCTTAGACAATATTCAAGAAATTCACCTTATGTTTTATAAAGTATATCCATTTTCTTACTAGTCATTTGGATCCAATCTGAATAGCACATTTTCTGTTAGAAATCACTATTTAGAGCCTAGAAGTTTAGTCTTTAACTACCACTCTTGCTTTTAAAAAAGGTATACATTTAAAACCAAATGACCCCCTAATTTTTACCCATGCTACACACATGAACATACACACACACACACACACACACACACACACACAAACTAGACTAAAACATTTAAAGTTAAAATCAATTATACTGATATTCAGTTAAAATACAAATCCATGTGATTCAGAGTATATATTTTTACATAGGCTTTATAACCGTAGATTATGTACACCCAAATCAAAATTAAATTACATACCAAAGTTTCTCAGGATAGTGTTGGAAAGGTTGTGATGAGAACAGGCCCATGGAACTGTCTCCCAATATGTCTTACAGCCATTCATACTTCCAGGTATAAAGAGCATTTAAATTTTTTTGCTTCCTCGACATTCACAGAAACATCCAAATTGCTTCTTAAATCCCTCTACTCTGAATTCCCTAGCTACTCCAACGACAATATTTTGTAATGTTATCACCTTGCACAATTTCCATCACTCTGTAGAATCACAAGCTACTCTGTAAACCTAAAACAAGTTTATATCAATATAAAAGGACCACAAGTGATTCTCTTATCTACCTTGAATCAAAACTGTTAAGACTAAAAACAACTTCAGAATAATCTTACTTAAAACCACTAGTCTCTGGTTTATATGCAGTCCATTTGTTCATCTGTTCATCAAAAATGTATATAAGTACTGGGCATACAACTGTGAGAAAATAGATACTCCTGCCCTCTTGATTCTTATGTTCTTTTAGGTAAATTTTGAATGGTCTTGTAATGTATCAACTTTATGTTCCAGTGGAGGAAAAAAATTATAATGAATAATATATGTAAAATACATAAGATGTTAATAGGAAGGGGAATAAGAAGTGTTGATGGAGTTGCCTCATTATACAGGTGACATTTGAGTAAAGACTGGAAGGACATAAATAGCAAATCATATGGCTATCTGGAAGAAGCTTTTTCTAGTAGAGAGAAAAATAAAGGCAAAGAGAATGAAGGAGGGGTGGAAGAGTAGAAATGAAGATTAGATAAATAATAAGAGTGCAGAAGCTTCCGTAGAAAGGTTTAGTCTGAGGGAAATGGGAAGATACTGGGTGATATGGTTTGGCTCTCTGTCACCACCCAAATCTCATTTTGAATTGTAATCCAAATTATAATCCCTACGTCTTGAGGGAGGGACCTTGTGGGAAGTGATTAGATCATGGGGTTGGTTCCCCCATGCTGTTTTCATGACAGTGAGTGAGTTCTCATGAGATCTGATGGTTTTATAAGGGGCTTTTCCCCGCTTTGGTCTGCACTTCTCTCTCTAGCTGCCATGTGAAGAAGGGTGTGTTTGTTTCTTCTACCATGATTCTAAGTTTCCTGAGGCTTCCCCAGCCATGCAGAACTGTGAGTCAATTCAACCTCTTCCCCGTATAAATTACCTAGTCTCAGGTATTTCTTCATAACAGCCTGAGAATGGGCTACCACACTTGGATAGAATGTTTATACCCTCCAAAACTTACATTGACATTTAACTGTCATTAAAACAGCATTAAGAGGTGAGACCTTTATGAAGCCTTTAGGTCATGAGGTTCTGACCTCATGAATGGACAAATTCTGCTTTCAAGGGAGCAGGTTCATTATTGAGGAAGTGTATTTACTGCCTCATGCTGTCTCTCCATTTGCTCTTTCATCCTTTCACCATGTGATGCCTTTCACCACATTATGATGTAGCAAGTAGGTCCATTGATTTTACACTTCTCAGCATCCAGAATTGTGAGCCAATAAATTTCTGTTCATTATAAATTCCTTAGTCTGTGGTATTCTGTTACAATAGCACAAAACTAAGACAGAGGCCAACTGGAGTGTTTCGAGTAGAAAGATAATACAATTTTACAGTTTAATAGGACCACTCTGGCTCCTCTGAATGTGATTAACTGGGACAGGAACTTATGATGCCCTATAAATATAATACCTTATAGTACATTAACACTTAGAGCAATGATATCACCAACGAGTGTATATATTGATTTTAATAAAAATATTGAAGGGCTGAACATTACGATGTAAAGACCAGAAAATGAAAAGTAGACAACAAAGAAGACTAAGAAGAAACAACTAATGAAGTAGAAGGAAAACTGGTGGTGTGTGTGATCCTGGAAGTCATGTGTTTAATGGAAAAAGGAGTATATCAGTGGTGCCAGATGCTGCTAATGCATCAAATGAGATGAAGACTGAGAACTAACCACTGGGTTTAGCAATCTGGGGATCATTGTTGACCTTGACAAGAGAGTTTCAGTGGAGGAACATAAGTAAAAGCTTTGTTAAAGGAGTTCAAGGGATAATTGCTGGAAAGTAACACAGGAGAGTGAGTACACACAACTCTTGTACTATAAAGGAAAGGTGAGTAATAGGGAAATAGCTGGAGATTAAAATAGGGTTAGAAAAGAGAGGTTTAAGATTGGAGAAATAACAGATTCTTTGTACACATAAGAAAAATCCAGTAAAGGGGAGCAAAGGAGATGAGAAGAAATAAATATTCAGGTGAGAGAAAAAATGCTGGAGCAATCTTAATGAGACCAAAGGGGTTAAGAGGAAGCCTACTCAATAAGGGAAAGGATTGGCCTTTCTTCAGATCACAGACAATTCAACTATAGTAATAGAAGTTTATTACGGATGGAAGGTTAGATGTGATGGTAGGAGTTTGATGAAATTATTTTCTGATTGATTAAATTTTTCCCAATTAAATAGAAAACAAGACCTTAATCTGATATTGTAGATAAAGGAATATGTTAACAGTTTTAGAAAAGAGGAAATTATATAAAATAATTATATGAGAGCTGAAGGATAAATGAACAAGAAAAATCTAGTATAATTGTTAGGCAGCATTAAGGGCTCATTTTAGGTTAGTGATCCTGAATTTAAAGTGAAACCATTCAGCATGGCTGTGTGTTTTTCTCTAGTAACATTCAGTTACAGAGTAGCAATTTGCAATTAAGGAAGGTTATAATTTTGGTAAGTGAATACAATGAAGTAAGAAAGGGGCAAGAGCTTTAGGAGTATATGCAAGAGAATGATTATAGTAATTGTTCATAATATTGAAACTTGAAACAGAGGATAGTCAAGAAATGAGGGGATAAGAGACAGAAAAGATCATAAAAATCAATGAATTGTAGGTCCTAGTGATATAAAATGATTGCTGGAGTTAGGGTCCTAAAATAATTAAGTTGAAAAGATTGGAAATGATGAAGAGAGAGTCAAATGCTTGAAATTAAGGTTATGTTTCAACAATGTTTAGGTTCTGCCCATTAGAGAAAGTAGCTGAGGTAGGCGGAAATTAAAATAATTAGAGAATGAAAGTTCAATGAAATGCAGGCCCAAAGTACTATTAGGATAATCTACAAAGATAATGAAATACCCTAAATTATGACAGAGGTGGTGTAGAAGAAAGTAACTCTTTGCCTGTGAATAATATCTTCAAGAAAGAGGATTAGAAGTTGACTATACCAAGGAGGTATTGTAGTTGATATAGTTTTATGCATGAGAGTCAAAAGTGGGAGGCTTAGGTAAGAGGGAGGAAGAATAAAATGGAAGCAACTAAGAGAAAATGGACAACCACTCTCTTTGCCTTCCTCCGGCAAATGTGGTACAAGATGAGTGGGAAAGAAAACAGCCACCACATGAAATGGCTTCAAGAGAAGCAGTGTCCTCATGTGAGAAGTAGATTTCAGATAGAGCAAGAGGGTGAAGACAGAGGGATTTCTCTGAAGATCTCTGTGAGTTGCAGAAGAAATAGGACAATGCTTTTGAGAGTTGTAAAGGAGTGCTATCAGAAACAGGGATATACAGTCTTTTAGACTGTGGTGTAGCAGAAGATAGAAGATAATAGATTAGATTTTCTTTTGCTAACTAAAATTTAAGAAGCCATATGAATTAAATGTATGTCAAGGTTATTGTTGAAAACCAGGAATCTAAAAGTTCAGGCATCAGAGTCTGGGAAAAGGAAACCGGTGTTTGGGCTATGGGGCTGTTAAACTTCATGAGTAGTCATAAACAATTTCCTTTTTTGTTATGACCATGATAATGATCAAATCTTATTGTTAGAGAAGTATATGACAGGGTAGAATCTTGACTTTCCACTCTACCCCGCTACCTAATTGCTGAGAGAGTACCAACCCCTTCTCCTATATTACCAAGGGATTTAGGGAACTTCCCTTCAACAACACATAAACTGTATGACATACCTTGGGCTTCCAGCTTTACACAGCCACTTTCAAGTCGAAAGAGGACCGATTGCTTTACCTGTCGGCTTTGCAGAAGACCATCTGCCTCTATGGGAAGCCAGACCAAAGAAAATTGATCTTATACACAATTACGTCCATATCTCAGGCTACACTTATGATCCCAAAATGTGGCCTCTAAGTATTATACTCCACTCTTTCAGCCACTGATACAATTTTTGTTTATCAGGCCCATGATACTAATCACTGGTCATGCTTGGAAGACCCTTGAAGACAATCAAGTCAATGAACAGGAAAAGGAAGTATGTGAGTAACACCCATGACTCTCTACTAGTCCAGAAGCCAAAGAGGCCTAGATCTAGACAGCAGAAGAGATCTCAGGAACTCTTAAACCATCATTCTGCCACATTTGGGGGACTAATTGATTTCTCTTATCACTGATATTGATCCTTATATAGGGTGACCATAGAATTTATTATCCAAGCCACATGATATTTAAGAGTTGAAGAAGATGCTTAGTCAGAATTTCAATCTTGCTCAATAGCTATAAGCTGGAATTGTTCCAGAAAAACAAAAATATGTGGTCACTCTACCTACATACAACATGTTTGCTCATGGAGCAGATTACTCCTTGGCTGGCCAACAGACTTAATTGTTTAAAATTATCCTAGCCAAAAAGCCAAGGCTAATCTGCTGCCTATAAAGCTCACATAACATCTTTGGTGTTTTGGCCTGGGATAGGTGACAGATTTTCTATTGTCCTGGTTACCTTCCTCCCAGGAATGAGATCACAAGCAACGTCATGGAGTCATTACTACTATATACACTCTACAGGTCAGAGATTGGTCATGGGTTCTGCAGGAAGGAACCCTAGAAAACTTTGAAAGGGAAGTCCAGTCACTCCCAGGGTTCAACTCTTGTGGATCTGAGGATGTAAGTGGAAATTATTTGTACATATAGGAAGAACAGCTTGTCACCCGGTTAGAGACTGTTCTTACCATAATGGACACAGGCATTGCATGTAGTTGGGAAATACTGGTATTTGCAGCTGCAAGGAATTGTAATGCTTTAGAGGAGACAGTGTGATGGGACAAAGCAGGAAACAATCAGTTCCAAAGATGTGAAAGTACTTCCCATAGGTCTTAAACAATAAGTTGAATATTTATGAATGTCGGAGATATACATGCAGAAGAGCATGATAGGAAAAGGGGATGAAGTGTTCAAAAGTACCTAGGAAACAATGGGGAATTTCAGGAGACCACATATAATGTAATGTGTCTATCAACAATAGTGATTGCTATCATTTGTCAAGTGCCTACTTTATAGGAAGAACTGTATTAAACTTTTCTCAACAATTCAACATGATCCAGTTCCTATACCAAATCCCCATCTAAGAAATAATAATCTGACTCCAGAATTCTGAAGACCGATTCAAATATTTCTTAACTATTTCTTTAAAGGAATAGCATAAGACTCTTACGTAGTACCTTATAGAAGAAACTTTTTACAAGCCTTTGTAGGTGGTTCTCTCCCAAAAGATTCCCAATCTAGGAAGCTACTAAAATGCTCCTCTTTCTGTCTCTGCTGCTGTCTCAGAACCATGCTGTTCCTTTCTCCATTTCCTCACTCCCTGTGTCATTTAGATCCAGGATGCCTGCAGTAAAATTAGTCCTCTGGAAATCTCCCTTTCCTGTCTGCTGATGCAGACCCTCCAAAAGCACTGCAGGACTTCATGACAAACACAGTCCTTGTGAAGGATCCTTTCTTCTTGCTGAGAAAACAAGCTGAGCCCTTACTCTTACTCTGCTCTTCTGGGGAACAGCAATCCACTACCTAAATTCTGCATAGCGAGAATGAACTCTTGACTATATATATATATATATATATATATATACATGTATATATACATATATACATGTATATATATGTGTATATATGTGTATATATGTATATATGTATATATGTATATATATACGTGTATATATGTATATATATACGTATATATATATACATATATACACACACATATATATATATATATATATATATATATATATATATATACAGAATGCTTACTCCTTTGTAGGTGGCATGGGGATAGAAACGGAAGAGAGAGATTATAATTATTTGAACATTAATACTTTTATTCCCATTACAATAAATTTCAACAGTGATGATGACAGATTATACCTACTGAGCACTTTGCATTGGGCATTCTTCTTAGTGGTTTAGTTTTTCTAAGCACTTCAAATCCTGAAAACAATCCTGTGAAGTAGATTCTATTGTACCCCCTTTTACATATGAGGAAACCAAGGTACAGCAAAGTTAAGTAACTTTCCCAAGATCATACAGCTCATTATATTATAATTATAATTATAATTATAATTATAATTATAAGAGGAGGCCAAAGAGCTAGCTTGACCTCTTTCTGTCATGAGAAATTACAAGAAGTTTGATGTCTGCAACCCAGATGAGGGCCCTCACCAAAACAGAAATATGCTGGCACTCTGATCTCAGACTTTCAGCCTCTAGGAATGTGAAAAATAAATTTCTGTAGCTTTTAATCCACCCAATCTATGGTACTTTGTTATACCAACCTGAACTAAGACACCAAACTAATGCACTCTGATTAGTCTGATGGTATATACTGATGACCTTTGAACCATGCTGAGCTTAGTCTTAATAAGAAGTAATATTGCATATTATTAAAGTTTTTCAAGTATCATGGAGAAGGAATAAAAGCCATGATGCCCTCCCTGCTCTACTTAGAATAGGTGAGGCATGATGAGAGAGGAATATGATTAGGCAGGTTTCAGATTTTCTTCAAGTATCTTGTCCATCATGCTAAGGAGTTTTGGTTTAATCTAAATATAATGGGGGACATTAATAGTATCTAATCTGGGGAATAAAAAGATCAGGCTATGTTTGAGAAAAATCTTACAGAAATTGTACTGCCAGCTCTCTGCATTCATAGATTATACACTTATTGTTGTCAAATTTGAGCAGCCTCAATGATTCCTGACTTGAAATATTTTGGGATTTTGCTGAGGCATGAACCTGAACCCCATGCCATATGAGGCCGGAATGGAAAGAACTATTGAGAAAGCCTGGGGTCTGTTAGTAACTATGGTCCAACTCTGTATCCTCGTATCAAGGATCTAAGTCCCTAGTATTAGCACTTTCCCAAATCACATCATACCTGTAATAATGTAATAATTTTGCTGATTTTTTATATTCTTAATTGCTCTTTGAGCCTGTCCTACATCCCATGGTCCTATCAGTCTTCCTGTAACTATATATAACTTAGAATAATAAGGCCTCATATTTTATCTGATTTTTTCAAATAATTTATACTTTCACTCTCTAATTTTTCCTTCACAACAATCCTAAATTAGGCAGGGATGGTATATAGTTTAGTAAAAGTAGACTTTTACCATTTTGGAAAAATTAAGGGACCAAAGAAGGATCAACTAGTTAAGTAGTGATGGAGTCAAAACAAGAATTTATAGTTTATTTTATGAGCACGGAGGTGTTATGGAAATGTTCTGCATCTTTATTGTTTCAGTAGTTTTACAAGCATGTAAATTTGTCAAAAGTAATCAAATTGCATGTTTTAATAGATGTGCTTCATCCAAAACAAATTATACATAAATAATATTTTAATAAGTTTAGTTTAAAAAACAGATCTACTGTTATTAACTTTAACAGTGCTAGAATTAAAATCTATCTGTTTCATTTTGGACTTTATCAAAAATCAAACAAAATAAAAAGTACTTCCAATTGTATATTTTCTACAACATTGAATTTAAACTAACTCAAAAGTTTTTCACAATTAAATTCCATATTACTTTTGTAGTCTGATTCCAACTCTTACACCTATTTCCACTTCCTATTCCTACCTCCATTCCTTTTCTGCATAAACTCTGCTACATCCAAACTATACAACTATACATTCCCTGAATCAAAAGGAGGTCTCTGTACTTTGGTTCATGTTAGACTTGGCCATGAGAAACCACCTTCCACCTCCTCATACACACCCAAATTTTTATATTTCCCACTTTCCCCCTCCTCATACACACCCAAATTGTTTATATCCTGCTTTCTCATTCCTATCTTCAAGATTGTTCTGATAGCCTTGCCTTGGTGGTTACTTTTCTTTCCTTCATTCATATAGCATGTATTGCTTTTTATCATTTGGACGTTTAGTTCTTTCGTTTAGTCACACATTTTTTCTGTGCCTCTTACGTGCCAATGATTTTGTAAACATATGTGTTTGTTCTTTATCCTGTCAAACTACTTAGATTACAATTTCTCAGTCCTATGAAAAATTATATGCTTGGTATCCCCAGTATACTTTAAATAAATAATAGGCACCCACTTAAGATTGTATGATGTCGTTCAAAGAGCCCTGGACAGGGAAATAGAAAACCTATTCTCTGGGCTCAGACTCACTAGATGAGCAAGTTGAGGTATAGTCAACTTTTCTGAACTTAAATTTTCACATTTTTGATTGGGAAAACTATATTAATTATGATACTTAGTTCTGACAGTCCAATGAAGCAATGTATGTACAAGTGCATTCTAAAACACTGTGTTCCTTCTGCAATTGTGGTGCAACTCTGTGTCAACCTTTCTTCAACTTTTACTGCTTCTTTAGACAGTCAACAATTTATTTATGTGTTGAAGGTAATCCATGCATCAATACATCGATTGATCCACAATTCATACATCCCATATCAAAGCTGATGCTCTATTATGCACAATAATTTAATCTAATTTATAGAGTAAACCTGACTTTCTTTCTCTGCCTGTTTCTGATCAACTTTTAGGAATGGCCCAACTAAAAAATATTACAAAGACTAGAAAAAAATTTGGTTAATTGAGCACTTTTGTTTTCCAGCAGCAAAATTCAACTCTTGATCAAAGAAGCTACCCTAGTCTGGCTAGCTCTGATTAAAAATTCAGTAATTCCACTATCTATGGATAATTAACTAAAATGTTCACAGAGTGGTGGGATGCTACTATGATTCATTTTAATATGCTTTTGTTTAATATTGGTAATGGAGTAAATATAATGCACTAGTTTATAAATTATGCTGAAGATAATTTTAATTCTTTTGAATTAAATATATCCTCTTCTAATTTAATTTTATACATGTAAAGTTTATTATAGATGTGACTAATGTTTACCAATTTTCAGGATACTCTGGGAACCTGGTACTTTATTAACTAGATTTCTACTTCCAAATTATTTCTACTATTTTCTTCTTTTAAAAATATAGCATTCATGCTTGAATTTACCAAATACTTATTTACCTGTGCTACTTTTTGCCAGATACTACTTTACCTAGTACTCCAACTTAATATGTTCTTCTACAAACTCTCCATTCATTTGGGTTAGTTGATGCAAACAAGTGGTTATTTATTTACTTGCAATGATTCAAGTAACATTAGGATGAGTCATTTACTTGCAAAGATTAAAGTGACTGAATCAAGTAAAGTGAGCTGTTGGTCACGTTAAACCATCTATCTGGTGACCTCTGTGCATTGTCATGCAAAATCAAGCAAGAAAGCCATGCTTTTTAAAGTGGGAATGTGCTACCTAAGCAGAACAGTAAGAAGACCTCTGCAGACACAGATCAGATGAAGGACATTCACTCTGCTCAGTAAATCTATGGGGCTTGAGAGGCTTTTCCTGACCTGGTAATGTGCTGAAATTGCAAGAAATTCTTGTAGGAAAATGATGTGTGATAGGGGAAGGGTAAAATACACTGCCCCACCTGCATTTGTCTTGACATAGCCAAGTTTCTCCATTTTTCCATCCCACATCTAGAAGTAGTAACATTTTTTACCTTCACATCTCAAAGGACTCTTCTGAGCATCAAAAGGGATCACATAGATAATAATATGAAGGAAAATGTAAAATTGAATACAAATATGAAAATCATAGTTTTCTGTTTCCATCCCTACCCATAAACTAATGAATGACATTCAGGATGAAAGATATGCAAGGGTAGCTGAGGTCCTGATTCCCCTGATCAGGGATTTTCTGAGGGAAAAGAAGCTTAAAATTTTGTTATTACTCCACTTAAAATTAATAAACATGCATTGAGAACCTACATGTGTGTATAGAACATTATGATGACTACTACTGGGAATATAGGTGATTAGTTGGGCCTCTTGTATACAAAGAAAAACTGAAAACTAAATGAAAGAAACACTGTACAACTGGAAATTCTCTAAGACATTTGCACAAGCAGAGAGAAGGAGAATTTTTTAGCAGAGTCTGAAAGATGAATAAGAGCTTGAGAAGAGGAGAAAGCACAGAGGAACCAACCACATTCATTAAGATAACAGCATAAGCAAAGGGATAGAAGTATGATTGGATAGTACACTGGGAGGATGAAGAAGAGAAACACTAAGACGTTGGATGCAAGAGGGGAATAGAGTGAAAAGTTTGATACATTAGGGCAAGGTTAGAGGCTCCTAATATGATTTTATGTTCACTTGCCAGTCAGACCAGCAAAATGACAATACTTCGGTCCGAATATTTGAATTCTAGAGACCAGTCTTTCCACATTAAATCCCTTTTATCAAACTTTACATCTGAGCAGCTTTAGGGATGTTTGGCACTTCTCCGTCTCCTAGAAAATGTTCAGAGCCACGGAACCCAAATTAGATATTACTTTGATCAAATTGCCACTGAGCTCAAGAAAAGGTTCTCTTCATGCTCTGTCACCCAACAAAACAAATAAGTATCAACCAAAAAATTACTTGTGAAGAGAATATTAAAGAACTGAAGTTGAACACGTTTTCCAAAAGCCAACTGCCTAAAAGTCATTAAAGGATTCCTTAGAAATTTTCCATGAGGACAGTATGTTTTTACACATGTGAATAATGTGCATGATGAAATTATAGAATGGAGACATGCAGCTAAAATGTAAAATTGAAATGCTCATTGTCAATATCAAATAGTTTCTGAGTGTCTTCCCACCTTACATTTACATGGACAAGCAACTTCAGATTCTTCCTAGTAACAAGGTTTAGTTCAAGCATCTAAAATGAAAAATGAATGAATCCCATTACATTTACAATTGGTGCCAGTTTTACTGAAGATTATAACTTGATGAAGCCACCATATATCAATAATTTTGACTTAAATTATTCAGAACAAAACCCCTCATTTCTACCAAAAATCTTCCTCTAACACAGTCTTATAGTATTAGTCAGAACAGGCCATGTTGTAGTAACAAACAACTCCTACATTTCAGTGATTAAAGCAACAAATGTTAATTTTTCACTCATACATCATGTAAATAAATGATAAGCTGCAGTTCTGCCTCCACGTCACCCTCCCTGTGAGACTCAGGCTAACGGAGCAACAACTATTTGAGACGTGAATTATCAATGTAGAAGACAGAGTTATGGGGGATCTCTGTTGGCAACTAAATGCTTGGTTGTCAAATAAGACTACATTTTATTATCTAATTCAAGCTTAGGGTTATATCACATATTTTTTATCTTCTCACAAATATATGTTAACACAGATTCTTTGTTATTTTAACAGACTCATCTGAAATAATTTATTCCTCAAACTGCACTTGTGAAAACTGTAGGGCTATATTTATTCCTAAAAGGTATTTTCTTGATCTTTTTTGCATTAGTGATTTAAGTGTATGAAACATATATTATATAAACTATATTTCCAGCTTTGGGTCATGTTCTTAATAGTATTTGTTGGTATATGTGGAGTACATTTTTAAAAACTTGACAGAAAGGAAATTATTCTTCTGAACCAAATTAGTTTAAAGTTCTTTCAAGCATTAAAGTCAATATTTCAACCACTTTAATCTCAGTTCTAAGCTCTAGAAACATCTTTTTCATGATTAGTCTCACAATACCAAGTTTCTTGAAAATGCTAAGTATGCAAATAAGACTTGAGCTTAATTTCTAGGTTACATTTAGATAATTAAGAGATTCAATATAGATTCTAAATCTTATCAGACCAAAAGGAGCATAGTTATAGAACAGATAAAAGTGGAAGAACAATAGTAAAATCAGAAATTTTATAATGGTGAATTAAATTAATGGTTAACCAGGATGTTATTGTTGGTCAGTAAAAAGCCGATTCAATCTGAAAATATTTTTCTGACTTGTCTTCCAACATACTCAAAAATTTATTTTTCAAAATTTATTAAGTGATTTTTTTTTGTATCAGACCCTTTGCATAGAGAAACACATGATATGGCCACTGCTTCAGGAAATATGTTCCCTAGGTGGGATGAATGGCCAATGTGTTAATAATTCTATTCAGTTGTGTGGCAGAGTCTGGGCTCTAAGTACAGTGGGGCCACAAATGGAATGGTCAATTCTACCTAAGTGGTCAGAAAAAGCTTCACAGAAGATGACATAAGAAGAGTTTTTCGAAATGAACAGGTTGGATGCAGTGGCTCATGCCTGTAATCTCAGTACTTTGGGAGGCCAAGACAGACAGATCCCTTGAGTTTAGGAGTTTGAGGCTAGCCAGGGCAACATTGCAATATCCCATCTCTACAAAAAAATGCAAAAAATTAGCAGGGCATGAGTGCACCTACTCGGGAGGCTAAGGTGGAAGAATCACCTGACCCCAGGAGTCAGCCGTGATAGCACCACTGCACTCCAGCCTGAGCAACACAGTAGACCCTGTCTCAAAAAAAAAAAAAAAAAAATTTTAAAAAAAAGAACAGATGTTCGCTCTTTGAAAACTTTAAACTCTAGCAGAAATAGGACTAAATATTAATCATCCTGTTCCACAAAGGTACTTGTTTACATTTGCCTTCTATAATTAAAATGGAATCCCATAAGGATCTCTATTCTTGGATATTTCACTGCTCCACATTTCAAGTCTAATTGCTTTGCTGTGTTCAAAAATTTGAACATACATTTAAACATATTGATTTATATTTAAACTGATTTGAGTATATTGGAAGAAGAGAAAAGTGATATCACGATTGTAAATCACAAATATTATATTTAGTTATTGATACTTTACTACTACCAGAACTATTTATCCAGATCCAGCTGTGGAGAAACAGGATGGATCTATTTATTGCCCCAACCAAAGCAAGATCAAAGCTGGAGAAATTAGCCTTATGTGGGATGATCAAAATTCTAGTGGGTAGAATCATAGTAGTGAGTCTGAACTAAAGTCCCAGAGTATGAGACCCAAGCCAGAAACGCAGGATCAGTCAACAAGTCCAAAGGTCAGTTTCAGGGTCCAAACAAGAAGACTGAAACAGCAGTAAGTTTGCCAGCAGTGATGAGAAACCACAGAGGTTAGAAGCAGCACAGGAAACATTCTGGACTGTCTTAAGTGGAATTGTAATGACATTAACATCGTGCTTACTGTTAGAGTATATTTAACGCTACACACAGTAAATGTTTAGAAGTGCATAACTTCTAAACATTTATTGATCTAGTATATATTCCTTTTGTTGTATAAAGGAAAAACCTCTGGTATAAAAAGAAAAAAAGAATTTATTACAAGAACACCGAAGTAGCTAATATAATCAAACGAATAACTATGACTTGAGATAAAAAGGCAGCAGACAGGCCCAAAGACCACTGTAGCAAGGATTCATAGACCTTTACTGTAGACACAGCTCCAGGGTCAAGTGTCTTCCCCTGTATCAATAAACTATGGTCAGTAGGCCCAGGTCATGTAATCCAGAAGAAGGAAAATCAGTGTGAGCTAAATCATCCGAGAGATGGTTTCTATATTTTCTCGCAGTTAGCGGTTAAATACAGATGTGAGAGTAACATTTGGTTGTAGGCTACAGCCACATCCAAGTATGAAACTAAGCAACGTGGCTATTATATCAGCACAAAACCTACTGGATGACTGAAATTAAACCAGTAGATTTCCCTTACCTCCTTGTCTTTTTGAGGTCAGTGTTTGCTTTAATGAGTTTCTGAATAAAGCTAGTCTATGGCATAAGTTTAAGCTATTTGTATAGTAGCATTATGAGGTCAGAAAATGGCATTAAGAAGATACCTGGCTTCTATGGGTTCCAAACACCTAGAAAAATGCTACCCGTGGAGGACTTACTAAATGTTTGCTGGATAATTTTAAAAATGAATACATGTTTCCTCTGGGAACTCTCAACTTCTAGTGATATCTAAAATACAGCAGTCTTTCTGACTGGACATTGTAGATAGTAAATACAACTCTCTTGAGACAACCTCATAATGGCTGGCACAAAATCAAATAAAGCTTGTAATTACATACAGGAATCTAAGTGCTTCTGGATGAGAAAGCATATCAACTAAGGGGAAGTCAGAGTATCTTCCAAGATCCAACAGGAGTCTTGAGTCACAGGCTAAGATACTGATCTGTAGAGCAAGCAATCATTGTAAAGTCAATTGCATGACAGTTTTATCCCTTATTATTATATTTCCCTTTGCCTAAGGCTTTATTCAGGAAAGAATTCTTTTTGAAAATCCAATAAGATTATTGCTTCTTTTTATTTCCTTTACACGGCCATAGCACATGTTTGGCTTTATTCCCATAATTTATCAGCCCTTGGTCCTCAGGCACAAGAATTTTGTAGCATAGTACAATAAATAGTGACCAGAATAAGCCAGGGCCTGTGGGACACTAGCAGTAGCAACTTAATAAACGTTGAGTTTGTTGCTTCTGGACAATCTTTTTTGATGACACAATTTAATTCTCAACACATCTTAAAGAGAGAACAATTTTCACTATTCTCACCGTAAATTTATTAAGGATCCGAAGAGCTTAAAGAAATTAAGCCATTTTCCTTGCAATATGAGAATAGCAGGGCTGAAATCAAAGAGAACCATAGTCAGAGCTTAAACCTTGGACAATTATCAACTGCCCATAAACCTTGTCCTCACTCAAGGTCAAAGTTTTCCATTGGGGAAACTTCTTATTAAACTTCTTTCAAAAATTGACTTAAGTAACAGAATGTAACTCTAGGGAGAGACTTTCATTTTGAACACATCTTGCTTATCCACAGTGGAGACAGCAATCAGTGAGCTAAGTTGCTTCCATTGACCTGACTACTGCTCCTTTGAGTATCCTCAAAGTTAGCTCTCCCATAAGGCATAGGCAGCTCAGTAATTGTGAAACAGCAGGGAATAGAATATTTGCCCCAGGAGATATTTCTTAAAGGAGTTTCATGGTCATCTTCCTTATAATATGGGGATTCTAAAAACTTGGAAATTGTAGAAGTGTGTTAGTCTATTAAAAGCTTTGATAATTCTTTGATACAGTAAAGAAACTCATTTAACACAAGATCTCCCAAACACATTGACCATGCAATCCCTCCTCATAGAATATGTCTTGCGGAACATGCTTTGGAAAATGTTACCATGAAGAATTAGGAGAGCAGATGGTGCTCTTCCTCAAAGATATTGGGTGTCTGATAATCAGTGAGATACCTTTCAGGGTTAATGCCTTCTAGGTGACTTCCTGTACAAACAGCAGCCATCCCACCAGACCCACTAGCATATCATAACTCAGAAACAAGCAAATTCATCAGGTCAGTTTCAAAGTCTGCCTTAAAGCCTGAGAAATATAGAATGTACATGCTGCAGCAGCTCCATTAGAAAACAGAAATACGTGATTTGCTCATGGGAAAGTAAGAGAACAAAAGAATATGTGATTAATTGAAGTACTGGCTCCCACACTTGGAGCCCACAGCTGGAGTCATTTAGCACATTAATAGAGATGATGACACTAAAAGAAGAAAAAAGGTGGAGGAAAAGGATGAGGAAGAAAATACAGGATAAGGGGTTGAGGAGGAGACAAGGAAGTAGCTGACAAAAAGAAAAAGATAACTCAAAGCAAGCCTACTGTGAAAATTTTTATAGTTTCAATTTAGAAGTAAGTGTAGATGTTTTGGTAATTGAGCATTTGGAACACTGGGAAAAAAAGTTTTTATTTCCAGGAATGTTATGGGTCCTTTCACCCTGGGAAAGCTCAGTCCTGAAGTTCATTAACACTATTGAGGTTTTGGAACACTACTGAGGCTGAAGAAAATACTTCTACCCTGTAGCTATAATTATCCAGTAAAAAGGTTAATTTACAAGTGGGAGCAGACTAACAAGGATAATGTGAAGAAAGGATCTTAGAGTTACACATCTCTAACATGCAACATACAGACTTCTTCTGTGGATTGACCATCTACAGGGTTAGATGTCCCCCATATAGCTGAATAACACCAGAAATTTATATAGTTACTCTGAATCACTTAGAGTCAAATAAATCCTGCCTACTACTACAGCCCATGTTCAGTGTGGTAATCAGATAAAAGGATGTATTTGGAGTCAAATAATATACCATATGATCTAAGAAATATTTTCTCTTGTGACTTACATTGTGCTCCTTCCATTCAGGGACCCTGACTGTAGCCATTTTGGGCTGACTCTGGGAGTTTCCCAGACAAGCTGTTAGATTCCTACATGCCTACCTGCTCATTCTGACAGCACCTACAAAAATGTCTTTTTCATGACCATGATCTTTTACTACACCCATAATTTCTCTCAACTCTTGATTCAATCCATTAGAAATGTATGTTAGTTCTATTTTTAAAATATATTATACCATGATTGCCCCCTCCCATTTCTTGTTGCTATATATCTAATCCAAGTCACCAGCATGTATAGTCTGGATTTCTGCAGTAACTTCCCAATAATTTCTCTCATTCCATGTTTTCTCAACACTCTTATCCCCATAATCCATTCTCTATAAAACAAAACCAAATTCTAAGTTTTTAATATCAACTCAGATCTCTTCACATTTTATTTCAATGTTTTCCTATTGTGATTATAGCAAAATAAAGCTCTTCGTCATAGCCTAGAGTGTCTTATATTATCTGGCTTCTGCCTATTTCTTTGAATTCAACTCCTACACTATCCTGCTTGTTCATTATTACAGTCTAGCCACATTGGCTTTCACTTTGTCTCTGGAACATACCAAGTTGACTCTTCTTCAAAGAATGATCCTTATTGATCTCACTACCTAGATTGCTTTAATGTGTAGGTCTCCTTATAGGTGCTAGCTCATCTTTCAGATCCTAGTTCAAAACTCATCTCAGAGAAGGCTTCTCCGATCATCACCACACCCATCCCTCCCCATCACTGTTACCTTATCTATCTTGTTTATGTGTGTTTTTGTAAATCAGACTACTCATTGTAATGTAAGCTCCAAGAGTGCAGGAACCTTGTCATCTTATTCACTGATGTGTTTTCAGTGCCTAGAAAAGTGATTGACACAAAGTAGGCACTCATAAAATGTTTCCTAGATAAATAAATGAAAAAAAAATGTCATTTGTACTGAAACTCGTTTTGGTCAAATCTTCCAACAGCAGGTAGTCCAAACTAGCCAGGACCTTCTAATAGGACTATTGCGTCAGTCTCTCTCCTTGTCTCCCCGTTGTGCATGAGTGGCAGGATGTTCAGTAGTATTAAAAGGTTCCATGGAAACCTGTGTGTCAACAATATGCTCTAGAATGTCAAGCGATGTGGCTATTTCTGGAGGCAAAAGGAGTAGTTACTAAAGGTAGTTACAAAAGAGTTCCCGAGGATGCTTTGGATTATATATAAATTTATATTCTCTATAAGGCTTGCTCTATTATTCTGAATCCTATTTCAAGCTCCACTTTGCAGATGGCATAACTCAACACAACCCCAACTAATACTGATCTCTCAGCATTTGTGCAAGTAATACCACTACTATTGTCATTGTTTTTTGACTAATATAATACTACAAGTTGTACACCATGCCAGGGGAGTTATGTATATGTTTTATTTAATATTCACAACCTTACGAGATAGATATTATTGTTGTTCATGTTTTTAAAGATGAGGAAACTGAAACTTAGACTTTTCTGTCTGAGGTTGTATAATTTAGAAATGAAATCCAGGTCTTCTTGACTCCAGAATCTGAGCTCTTAATTGCTACACTCATTTCCTTCACAATTATAAATACAGTCTTAAGAGATCCTTTGTATAAGGACTTGACACCAAAAAGAACAAAAATAAGATTTTATTGAGCTGGGTTCCTTTGTGTCTACTACTGGGCTAGGTGAAACAGATAAAAAGATGAACTGTCATAGTTCTTGCCTCAAGTTACTCATGGTTTAAAAAAGGAATTAGACCTACACAAAATAATTATTATACAGTGTACATGTTATAATACTGGTGAGGTGTGTATGGTCCAAATTAAAGTAGTCCAGGTCAAAGTAAGATTTTTGGTATAATTAATGTCTGGGCTAAACATTCAAGATAAATCCATCTTAAAACTTGAACCAATTTCTTCTTGGTTAAAAGCCAAGGCAAAGGGAATCAGACATATCTGGACTATGTTACCCAAATACCAGCCATGTAACATCTAAGGGCAAATATCTTAAATCCTCAATCAGTGTCTTGTAAAAGACTGTATGCTCTTCAAAATAGCTGTGAACTACTGGGAGCCTTGCATGGTCAACCTGCAGCTTAGAATTCCTGCTTTCCTTAATTCTCTGCTTTTTTTCTTGAGACTATTTCCTTATCTTAGTGCAGTTCCGACATCTGACAAAACCTGGGACTCTTTGCCTTGTCCCCAGCCTCCTCTTTCACCCATCAACAGAAAGTAAACCACAGATAAAAGTCTGCAGCAGAAATTTTACTGGAGATTTGTGGATCATGGTGAAGAGTTTACACCATTGAAACACAAAGAATACAAATGTAAATCATATACAGTGGATTCTTGTTACAGCTTTGTTCAATAAAGTCTGTACAAATCCTGAATTAGCAATACTGAAACATTGGTCCTGGGGGGAAGAAAGGTTAGTCTCCTGTGAAACTCCGGTGACAACATTCCATCACCAAATTAATAAATAAATTTGTTTTATGTGTGTTTCTGTTTAAAAACACCTTTTAAAAATATATATTGGTGATTCATGAACATGAAACTCACAACCAACAGCACTGTAATTCATGACTGATTTAAATTTATCTAAGACTTTTTTTTTTTTTTTCTGTAAGGCATACCACAGCCTTCTTTCACTTAACAGCAGTAGACAGCACTTCAGCACTATGCTTGGGGGCTGTTTTAAACAGAAAAATTACAAACAAAAAGGACACCAAAAAAAATGTCTAAAAGTGTCACTAAGTGTATTGCAAAAGGAATACTTTTTCACCATATAAAGGCTGAAACAGGATGACAGAGCATTGCTTTGTCCGTTGACCTCAAGCTGTGCCCATCCAAAGACTCAAATTTTTTTTTGTTTGCCATTTTGCACATATCTATGAATGACTGAAAAAGTACCACTCGTATGGATTTTGGGGTTACAGATACATTTTAGTAAGTGGGCAAGTTTTTAAATGCAGAATCCGCCTTTACTAAGCGATCGACAGTATTAGACACTCTGTTAGTACGATTGCCAACAGCACCCTCTTGCTGGCTTTCCCCCAACCCCATCCCCAACTGCCTCAACCTCTTACCATCTGCTGGTTTATTTTATTCCCTTCAATTTCCCATCTTATTTTATTATATCATTTTTCCAGATTGCCATCTCTGATCCAAATTCTTATCTTTCTACTATGAGAAGTAATATGTTCAAAGCCACCATTAAAGATATATATCTAGCAAATGATTATACAGAGCCAGCAATGTCTCTGTGATTATCGTCTTTTTTATTTCAGATTATGTTAGTTTCCTAGAGCTGCAGTAAGAAAGTACAGCAAACTTGTTGGCTCAGAGCAATACAAATTCATTGTGTTATATGGCTAGAGGCTACAAGTCCAAAATCAAGGTGTTGTCACTGTCATGCTCCGTCTCAAACCTGTAGAGGAGAATTTTTCCGTGTGTCTTCCTAATGTCTGGTGGTTTGCTGGCAATCCTTGTTCCTTGGCATGCAGGCACAGCGTTGCAGTCTCTGCCTACATTGCCACATGGCATTTTCCCTGTGTGTATCTGTACCTTTGTGTCTCTTCATTTCTTTTAAGGACACCAGTTATATTGGATTAAGGACCTAACCTACTAAGTGTGGCCTCATCTTAACTAATTATATCTGCAACAACCATGTTTCCAAATAAGGGAACGTGCTGATGTACTAGGGGTTAGGACTTCAATATATATTTTTGGGACCACAATTCATTCCATAACAAATATTACAGTAGCTTCAATAGCAGCAGCAGTAAAAGTAGCAGGTGTGGTTTTCAATAGCACCATTTTTCCCTTTCTTTTCTTTTCTCTTCTTTTCTTTTCTCTCTTTCTTTCTTTCTTTTCTTTCTTTCCCTTTCCTTTCTTCTTTCTTTCTCCCTCTCTTTCTTTCTCCTTCCTTCCTTTCTTCCTTCCTTCCTTCCTCTGTCTCCCGTCCATCCTTCCTTCCTTTCCTCCTTCCTCCCTTCCTCTCTCTCCCTTCCTTCCTTCTTCCTTCCTTCCTTCCTTCCTTCCTCCTTCCTCCCTTCCTTCCTTCCTTCCTTCCTTCCTTCCTTCCTTCCTTCCTTCCTTCCTTCCCTTCTCTATTTCTCTCTTTCAACAGAGTCTCACTCTGTTGCCAGGCTGGTGCAGTGGTGCCATCTCGGCTCACTACAATCTCTGCCTCCCGGGTTCAAGCAATTCTCATGCCTCAGCCTCCTGAGTAGCTGGGATTACAGGTGTGCACCATCACCACAGCAGCTAATTTTGGCATTTTTAGTAGAGACAGGGTTTTGCCATGTTGGCCAGGCTGGTTTCGAACTCCTGGCCTCAAGCAATCTGCCCACCTTGGCCTCCTGAAGTGCTGAGATTATAGGCGTGAGTCACTGCACCAAGCCAGCACCTTTTCTCTTTCTATTACAGTTGTAATCACAACTCTGCAATGTGACTCTTGGAAAATTGTTCAGTCTTCCTAAATTGTTCAGTCTTCAAAACTAGCTTTGAGGATCATAATAGATAATATATATGAGCCACTTAGACAATACCTGGCATTTAGTTAGAGCCTAATAAATGGTGCCATTAATAATGTAATGCACATATACATACACACAAATGCACTTACAGGTGTATGTTCATGCTAATAATGTTAGATATATATCTAGCAAATGATTATACAGAGCCAGCAATATCTCTGAGATTATGGTCTTTTTTATTTCAGATTATATTAGTTTCCTAGAGCTGCAGTAAGAAATGTTAGAAATGTAGTAATAATGTTAGCATTAATATGCACCTGTAAGTGCATTTGTGTGTATGTATGTGTGCATGTATGTCTCTATATATGCATATGCAGTTTGGCTAGTGTTTGCCTAAAAATATTGAGAAGATAATAAATTAATCAAAATGCAAGGTAATCAAAAGGAAGACTATTCTTTAACAATTTAAGAGGATCACTTATATTACATCATCATATTCAACATTATTTTTCCTATTTTCATCCAGATGTTTCAAGAGTAGTCAAGAAGTTTGGCTTTTCATTGACTAACGTGTATAAAATTTAAATATTGATTATTCCATAGTTGATAATCAGGCATTGATTTATCTAAGTGGGGCTATGGCAAGTGTCCAAGTTTTTCCTTGGGAGACGCTGTAGTGAGGAAGCTGATTTGTTGATGCTGACTCAATAAGCACCTGAAGAAATAAAGCGAACAGACAATTTTAAGATTGGATGATTGGATGGTGGCAGTTGAGAGGGTGTAAAAGGAAAACCATCACCTACTGTATCATTTTACGCTCCTGAGACGGCCACATTCATACTTTGATTCTCAATTTCTCTGACAACTTCCTTTGGCACAGTTTTCACCTGAGTGATGAGAGGCTAGTGAGACTGAAGATCTTGCAAATTGAGGAATATTCTATCAAATTTATGTCAAATATTCTATTAAAATATCTGACACCAATCCTGTAACCGAATTTGATTGGACAAGGTATGCACCAAGCTAGATCATGAATATTCTCTCTTCCAGAAGTTTGGGTGAATGGGAGATAGATGCTGGTTTCAGCTGTTTAAGTTGAATTGAGAACATCTTAATTTGGTAGCTGCAAGAAACCCAACTTCCATCATATGCCCGGAGAAACAGAAAGAGCAAAATCAAGCAGAGCTGAAGGGAGAAGCCAAGATGAGAGACCATGACTTAAACACACACACACACACACACACACACACACACACACACACACACACACAGTGGCTACCTGGGAACCTGCCAATTCATATCGCCTTCTTTCTGGAGTCTCAAGTGTGCTTTTTGCCATTGGGTTCCATGGGACATACCTGTATAGGTTAACAGGCATCCCACCTCTTTTTATATTATTTTTATTTATTCACTAACTAGCCTTCACTGAGATAAAACGCAGTTAGACCTTTCCACCATTTGTTAGTGCCCTGGGTGAGACAGTTGAGCTACTGCCATAAGGCTGGCAGGAGAGAATTTATTTGACTTCCTGTAAAACTTATCTGATGAACAATGGTGATATGTATATTACTGAAGTATAATATTTTAACCTTATGAGGAGTAAGACTATTTATTATCATAAACGGTCAAACTGACTTAGGCACTCTGTCTCCTCTTCATTTTTAAAGAAAATATATACTCCTTAGAAGAAAACATTAATAACTTTGTCAACACTTTATTTCAGCGCACTGCAAGTAAAACTCCTTTGTAGGTGTCTGAGATATATGTTTTATATTTTTTCCTACAGTCTAACCACTTGGCTCTACCTCCTGCCAGAGGCTATAATACCTTAAAGGCTTTAACAAAGAACTATCCCAAGGTTTGTCATTTTACACTGACATTGAACTTAATGAGTTTCAGCTGTCATCACGTTTTAAAACATAAATCTATGTTCTATTTATCGTTGTTTTTTTCGGTGACATTTTTAAGGTTTCCTAAAATTTTATGGCAGATTTGACACACTTGCCCTGGAGTGTTTTATCTTCACAGCACTCAGGAGCTAATGTCTAAAATGCTGAGATCTTGTTCCACAGCACATATTCGTTGATTCATTTATACTTTAAACTTTTGTGGAAAATCATCTGAAGGCAAGACTTTTGAGAGGCATTATCCTGGGTTTCAAGAATCTTACAATTCAGGAAAGCCATGTATATAAATGAATCAAAATAAGCTAGAAAACATAAGTACTTTAAGAGAGAGCATCCAAAGGATCAAGATAGTTTTGCTTCTGGATAAGCAGACTAGGAAATGTTTTGAGAAATAATAAAATTGGAATCATGATAAAGGTTGATATGATTTCGCTGTGTCCCCACCCAAATCTCATCTTGAATTATAGTTCCCATAGTCCCCATGTGTTGTGGGAGGGAACAAGTGGGAGGTAATTCAATAATGGGAGTGGGTTTTCCCATGCTGTTCTCATGATAGTGAATAAGTCTCATCAGATCTGATGGTTTTATCAAGGGCAGTTGCCCTGCACAGGCTCTCTTGCCTGCCACCATGTAAGACGTGCCTTTGCTCCTCCTTTGCCTTCTACTATGATTGTCAGGTTTTCCCAGCCATGTGGAAGTGTGAGTCCATTAAATCTATTTTTCTTTATAAATTACCCAGACTTGGGCATTTCTTTACAGCAGTATGAAAATGGACTAATACAAAGGTGAAAACTGAAAAATGGTGTGCAGATTATTTATTTTCTTGGTACTTTAAAAATTAAAATAACAAATATTTTCTTTTAACTTCAGCTAAAATATACATCACTTTTGTTTTTACTGATTGCTTCCATTCTTACAGTAATCCAACACTTATTAGCAAACCCTATGTTATTTTACCCTTTTTTATAGGCTTCCCTAATCTGATCAAAAATCTTTTCACAGTCAGTGAAGAGTCAACATATCTCATTCTTTTTCCCAGGCTTATAGGACCTGTTGCTAGACCTTCCAATTTCTTGATAATTCTGCAAAGTAAACAACTGCTTCTTCTTCATATAATCTGATCATGAATACGCCCAATAAATAAACCCCTATTATGAATCAAAATGTATTCTGCAGAAGATGGGCTCAAGAAAAAAACAAAGAATGTCTTCTATTGAAGGACGTTTGTTTATACTCAAAGTATCAGAAATAAAATTAACCACAAGTAAGAATTCAACTAAACTGTCATTTCATGTATATATTGTTTCCAAGTGATAAAAATATGCCACTTGATATTTTACAAGTTTGCATTCAGTATCAGCAGGAAATCCAAGAAGGAAGACGGCTGAATCTCCAAGTTTAAGTTATGTAAAATTATATGCTTTTTGCCTCATGAAATCTGTGACATTTGAGAAGGACCAAAAGAAAGGGTAGTTCCCTCTAAGCTGAAGAAAATTCTGCCTTGGTCTATACGTAAACTCATTGCAATAGAGATTGTAGGATTAAGTGATTCAATTCTCTATCCAAGTAAGATAAATATGCGAAAATTATATTTAGTCCACAATTTTTTTCTTCTGTCATCCTGTTTGAAGGAGAAATATCATGCATATGGATGTCGTTTTTTGTTAACTAGAAAGTCTTCCCTCATAAACACTCAATCCCTATCTCTTTCATCTCAGGCAAAAATACAAAAGAGCCTCCCTCAACAATGTACAATTCTTGTGGATATACTGATGGAAATTCACAAACTAGTTACACAGAAATGAAAACAGAAAAATGATTTGATCACCTAAAGGAAGCAGACTTTTTTTTTTTCTGGAAACAGGAGAGGTCAGAACCCTGACCACAACATGTCAGTTCTCAAACTCTGAGATGCACTGAAACATGAATGTTGTCATTTCAGCAAGACTTGGTTGTGATCCAGACCTGCAATGTATGGTTTTTCTGATTGTTCTCCAAATAAAGGCACTCAGCTAAGAGGACGAGAGGGGAATGACATCCAGCCCCTGCTTTTGGAATAAGGAACACTTTTTTTCTAGTTCATATGCAAGCTTAGTTGTCTCATAAGTCATGGGTCCTAAAGACTCCACCTCTTTCAATAAGGTGTTTTCACTAATTCCCACAACAGCATAGTATGGGCTAGTGTTGACCTAGAAGTAAACACCAAAGAAAATTATTTAGACTCTGCTGTTAAGGGTAAATGATGTTAGATATGAACTAAAAATAATGTCTTTAAAATGTACTATGCATCAGACTTAATGCAATCTCATTAAACTTTTCCATAAACTTTATAAGATAGATGCTATTACAAAGAACCCTCTTAAACATCTTTTATCTAAAAGACTCTGTAGATAAAAGACATTCTCTACCCTCTTCCATGAAACATAATGAGCACTGAACACTTAAAATCATGAAATTAATCTTTAACACTGAAGATTGCTGAAGAGTTTTAATTTCTCCATTCAAAGTTTCACTTTAATGCTACCAAGAATGAGTTCAGACAGATCCCAAACTTGTCAAATTCAGGTGTGACTGTTTTAAAATTTGTAATTTTTTAAAATAACTTATAAACCAATAATTGGAAATTTCTAAATAATGTTTTTTTTTATAAACATTAAGTAAATCATTTTTGGAATCTAATAAAGATGGGTCAATAAAAAGAATTTATCTTGTATTACAAGTTTGTGCAGCCACTATAAAGTGTTGGGAACCATAGATAAATTAAGGAAGATTGTGTAGACAGATTGCTTCACAAGTATTTAAGTTCTCATTCATTTTAAAGAAACTAATATGAAAAATCACAGATGATACATAATGGATGCGGTTTATGGAATACAACAAGGAAGTCCAATCAGCAGACTAATACTAAAAGAAATGTTTTTTACTCTTCATCAAAATATTGGCAAATGCTTATCTTTAAGTTATAATCACGTTTAGGATATGTACATCACTTTTTATGATTATCCACTTTGACAAACTTTTTAAAAGAGCTTTTACTGTGCTTTTAAACATTATAAAGACGATGAAAATGCACCGGCATATTATATAAACTGCAAAAAGTAATAGCCAACAGATGACAGAACCTTTCATAACCTTGGTCCCCACATTAATCCATGGTATATCCAGCCCTGAGATACGTCTTAAGGTCTCAATGATTTGGACTCTGCTCAGAACTACGGTCCCATCTATTGCCAAAACCTCACTGATATTCTAAACTGTATGATAAACTGCCTTGAGTTTCTCATATGTTCGACATTCTCTCACTCTTTCCGAACTTCGAAGTCTCTGAATTTGAACCTATCAAAAATATCCTTCCCTTTCCCTTCCATATTACCTGGCAAACATATATTCTATAGACTTCAAGTTTCAAAACAGGCATCATTTCTTCTTTGGAAGATGTCTGTGCCTTATGACTTCCCTCCCACTCAGATTAGAAGCCCCTTTAATAGCACCTTCACATTGGCCTTTTATACCTTTCATAATACTAGTTATTGTCTATTTATTTATCCTCCTGTCTCAACTCAAGCAGGTATTCTTTAAGCTCAGGAACTATAGAGCTCATCATCACATATACAGCATCAAACATAGTGCCTGGCACATGATTTGTCCTCAATATATATTTAGGAAAGAAAATCAGAAATGAAGACATTCAGAGGATTTTAATTAATCTTTTCTAGAAATAGAAGAATTATTGTGTCGCCAAGAGATTATAACTAAAAGAATGCCATGATGGTACCAAATATATATTCATGCCCTGGATCTTAAAGACTTGCCCTATTTCAAGATCAATTGAAAATCTATTTTTATCATCCCATAATTAATACACTTAAAATTTTAAGAGAAACACGCTAGAAAATGAGCTAGAACTTTCATAGAGAAATTTTTATATACCAAGTATTTTAAAAATTTAGTTTCACTACATGAGTCACATTATTTCAGGCTCCACTCATTAAAAATGTATAATTATTCAGTCATAGATTAGGGTGAAATTTACCTTGTGAATTTCAAAGAAAAATCAAGCTTTTAAAGCTAAAGAAGAGTATTAAAAGGGATTGCAGAGGAAATATTTATCTGATTTAATATAATTACTTAAAGCTCTTAGAAAAATGTTGCTACCTCAAAGTAATCAATACTATAATTGTAATTTTACTGTCTTCGGTTTCTTAAAGCAGGCTTCTTAACAGGTTTTCTACGTAATTTTTTTTTTTTTTTTTTGGTTAACCTGAGTTAGTTTACCTGAAGACAATAAAGTATATTTTTAAGCATATAATTTTAACTTTTAATTACAAACATATTTTGTTTGCTTGTGCTTAACTTTATGGAGTTTTACACGTAGGGTGTATTTGTTGTTTGTTTGTTTGTTTTTTACAAACTGAGGGTTTGTGGCAACCCTGTGGTGAGCAAGTCTATAGGAACTATTTTTCCCATCAGCATGTAATCACTTCATGTCTCTGTCATATTTTGGTAATTCTCACATTTCAAACGTTTCCATTATTATTATATTTGTTATAGTGATCTGTGATCAGTGATCTTTGATGTTACTATTGTTAAGTGTTTTGAGGAGCCAAAACCACACCCACAATGGTAACTTAATGAATGTTGTATGTGTTCTGACTAATCCACTGAGGATGGGCAACTCTCCTGTTTCTCTTCTTCTACTCTGGCCTTATTCCCCGAGACACAACAAAATTGACATTAAGCCAATTAATAATGCTATAATGACCTCTAAGTGTTCAAGTGTTAGGAAGAGTTGCACACCTCTCACTTTAAATCAAAAGCTAGAAATGATTAGGCTTAGTGATGAAGGTATGTTGAAAGCTGAGAAAGGCCAAAAGTTAGGTGTCTTGTGCCAAATAGTTAGCCAAGTTGTGAATGCAAATAAAAAGTTCTTTAAAAAAGCTAAAATTGCTACTCCAGTGAACAAATAAATCACAGAAAAGGGAAACAGCCTTATTGCCAATATGGAGAAACTTTTAGTGGACTGGATAGAAGATGAAACTAGTCACAACATTTTCTTAATCCAAAACCAAAACAAAGCCCTAACTCTCTTCAATTCTACGAAGGCTAAGAGAGATCAGAAATCTGCAGAAGAAAAGTTGGAAGCTACCAAGAGTTTGGTTCCTGAAGTTTAAGGAAAGAAGCCATCTCCATCACATAAAAGTGCAAGGTGAAGCAGCAAGTGCTAATGTAGAAGTTGCAGTAAGTTATCCAGAAGATATAGCTAAGATCATTGATGAAAAGGGTTATACTAAAAAACAAATGTAGACAACAATGTAGAAAAATAGCCTTCTATTGGAAGAAGATGCCATCTAGGACATTCATAGCTACAGAGGAGAAGTGAATGCCAAGCTTCAAAGCTTCAAAGGACAGGCCGACTCTCTTGTTAGGGACTAAAGCAGATGGTGACTTTAAGTTAAAGCCAATGCTCATTTGTTATTTTGAAAATCCTAGGGCTCTTGAGAATTATGCTAAATCTACTCTGCCAGTACTCTAACAATGGAACAACAAAGCCTGGATGACAGCCCATCTGTTTAGAGTACGGTTTACTGAATATTTTAAGCCCACTCTTAAGACCTACTGCTAAGAAAAAACACTGCATTCAAAATATTACTGCTCATTGACAATTCACCTTGTCACCTAAGAGCTCTATGAAGATGTACAAGGATATAAATGTTGTTTTGATGCCTGCTAACACATCTATTCTGTAGCCCATCCATGGATCAAGGAGTAATTTTCTTTCACATCCTAAGCTGTACCTGCCATAGATAGTAATTTCTCTTATGGATCTGGGCAAGGTAAATTGAAAATCTTCTGGAAACGATTTATCACTCTAGATGTCATTAAGAACATTTGTGATTAATGAGAGGAAAGCAAAATATCAACATTAACAGGAGTTTGGAAGAAAGTGATTCCTATCCTCATGGATGACTTTCAGGAAATCAAGACTTCTTTGTATAAAGTAACTTCAGATTTATGGAAACAGGAAGAAAACTAGAATTAGAAGTGGAGCACGAAGATGCTCCTGAATCGCTGCAATGTCATGATCAAACTTGAAAACATGAGGAGTTCTTACAGTTGAGCAAAAACAGTTGTTTCTTGAGATGGAATCTACTCTTTGTGAGGATGCTACGCACATTGTTGAAATGAAAACAAGGGATTTAGAATATTACATAATCTTAGTTGATAAAGCAGAGGCAGGGTTTCAAATAATTGCCTTCAACTTTTGAAAACACATCTACTGTTGGTAAAATGGTATCAAACAGCACTGCATGCTATGGATAAATCTTTCATGAAAGGAAAAGTCAATTAATGTGGTTACCTTTATTATTGTCTTATTTTAAGAAATTGCCACAGCTACCCCAACCTTTAGCAACAATCCCTCTGATCAGTCAGCAATCATAAACACTGAGGCAAGACCCCCCACCAGCAAAAGGATTATAACTTACTGAAGGCTCAGTGATCATTAGCATTTTAGCAATCAATTTTTTAAATTAAGGTATGTACATTATATTTTTAGAAATAATGCTATTGCACACTTAATAGACCACACTGTGGTGTAAACACACATTCTATATGCTCATAGAAACCAAAAAATGGGTGTGACTCACTTTGTTGAGATTTTTGCTTAATTATGGTGGTCTGAAACAAAACCTATAGTATCTCTGAGGTATGCTTATAGTTGACATTACACTTCCATTTATTTCAAGGTGTTCTCAATATTTTTACTGTAACATACGTGAATGATAATCATTCACCTGATCATTCACTTATTTACTCCATGAGAATTTATAGAAAGCCTGCTGATTTTCAAGTCCTGCCCCTTAAAAACAAAACCACTTATTTACTCCATGAGAATTTATAGAAAGCCTACTGATTTTCAAGTCCTGCCCCTTAAAAACAAAACCAAACAACAACAACAAAAAACCTTTTAAGTTCAGAAGTACATGTGCAGGTTTGCTATATAGGTAAACTTGTGTCATGGGGTTTGTTGTA
This sequence comes from Homo sapiens, assembly GCF_000001405.40. Lineage (NCBI taxonomy): Eukaryota > Metazoa > Chordata > Mammalia > Primates > Hominidae > Homo > Homo sapiens. Next base: position 73,963,763 of record NC_000001.11, read on the forward strand.
TAGATTATTTCTTCACCCAGCTATTAAACTTAGTACTCACCATTTATTTTTCCTGATCCTATTCCTCCTCCCACCTTCCATCCTCCAACAGGCCCCAGTGTCTGTTGTTCCCCTCTATGTGTCCATGTGTTTTGAGAGTTATGAAAATAGCAAAAGACGAACAGACATGATCAATTTTTTTTTCATGGAGCTTACGTTCCACCGTAGAAACAAAAATAAACAAATGAACAGAGTAAATGAGGAAATGACAAGTGCTATGATAAAAATAAAATGGTGTGATGTGTTATGGAGTTATTTCAGGTTGTATAGTCAGAAAAAAAAAATTCTAAGGAAGAGGCATTTGAACCAAGACTGAGTTTGAGTCAACTTCTTGAAAATCTAGGAAAAGTATTTCAGAAAAAATAGTCCAAGATCCTACTTAGTGAGGACAGTGGATCATAAAATGAGATGAGGTCAGAGACATCAGCAGGAATTTGAGCAGACAGGCCTTTGTAAATAAGAGTTAGGATTTTATTCTGAGGGTTATTGTGTATAATTGAAGATTTTCAAGCAGGTGAGAAATAGAATGTGATTTCAGAAGTTCCTGTGCATATCATATAGAGACTGGGCACAGGCTGGGAGAATAGGAACAGAAAGAAAATGCTAAAGCCATTTAAAAGTCATTTCAGTTGTCAACAGAAGACTAGATGGTAGGATTACAGAGGAAAAGAGTGCACAATTTTAGGTCTACAGAACATAGTGACATTCTATATGTCATATTGGAGGTAGAAGAAAGAGGAATAAAGATTAACTGTCATGTTTTGAGGTTGAGCTACTAAATTGTAATGACATTCACTTAGATGGAAAAGACAGGGAAACATTAATGTTGGATTGGAGGATCAAGAACTCTGTTTTAAACACTTAATAATTGAGATACTTCTTTCAAATGGATAAGTCACATAGTGTTGGGTCCAAGAGGCTGGAGTTCAGAGTAAAAATCGAGATGAAACTAATGGGTTTAGTGTGCCCCCGCAGAGACTAAATTTCAAGGCATAAATCTGGGTAAAATTATCCAAGAAAAGAGTAGCAATTAAAAAAAATTTCCAGAAACAAGATTGTCATAACATCAATATTTAGAGATTAAGAAAAGGTATTGAAGATAGCAAAAAGAGAAGCAGAAGTAACTAGTTAGGGAAAATAAAGCCAAAAGAACTTAGTATTATAGAATACATAAGATAAGGTTTCAAGGGCAAGGGAATCATTTACTCTGTCAAAGTTGCTGAAATCTAGTAAAATAAAAGAGAAAAATGAACCTCAGACTTTGGCAAACTAGTGATTATTAGAGACGATGGTATGAACAGTTTCAGTAGAGTAGTAACCAAGGAAGTTTGATTAAAGTGAGTTGAGGTGAGGATTAAAAAATGGTAGAATAGAGAGCACTTACATGGATAACTCTTTCAAAAATTTTTGCTATGAAAGATGAGCAGCAAAAGGAGGATACAGCTGAAGTGGGACATGACCTCAAAGAAAGATCACATCAAGAATCATGATATTAAGGCATATTTGAATGCCAATGATAATGTTGCATTTATATACTGATGTTGGTAATATGAGAGAAATATGATAATTTAAAGACTGGAATTTTTGAGAAAGTTAGGGGCAAAAGGAACCAGGGTGTTTATGGAAGGGGTGGACTGTGATTGGAGCAGGGCTATGTCATCCATTTTAACAAAAGGAAAACAAAGAGTATGAAGCAGACAGATGAGCTAGTAAGATTGGCACTGATGTGTAGTACTATTTCTGAGTTCTCTGTTCTATTCCATTGGTCTATATATCTGTTTTGGTACCAGTACCATGCTGTTCTGGTTCCTGTAGCCTTGAAGTATAGTTTGCAAAGTCAGATAGCATGATGCCTCCAGCTTTGTTATTTCTGCTTAGGATTGTCTTGGCCATATGGGATCCTTTTGGGTTCCATATGAAATATAAAGTAGTTTTTTCTAATTCTGCAAAGAAAGTCAATGGAAGTGTGACAGGAATAGCATTGAATCTATAAATTACTTTGGGCAGTATGGCCATTTTCATGATATTAATTCTTCCTATCCATGAGCATGGAATGTTTCTCCATTTGTTTGTGTCCTCTCTTATTTCCTTGAGCAGTGGTTTGTAGTTCTCCTTGAAGAGATCCTTAACATCCTTTGTAAGTTGTATTCCTAGGTATTTAATTCTCTTTGTAGCAATTGTGAATGGGAGTTCACTAATGATTTGGCTTTCTGCCTCTCTATTATTGGTGTTTAGGAATGCTTGTGATTTTTACACATTGATTTTGGATCTTGAGAGTTTGCTGAAGTTGCTTATCAGCTTAAGGAATTTTTGAGCTCAAACTGTTGGGTTTTCTAAATATACAATCACGTCAACTGCAAACAGAGACAATCTGACTTCCTCTCTTCCTATCTGAATACTGTTTTATTTCTTTATTTTGCCTGATTGCTCTGGCCAGAACTTACAATACTATGTTGAAAAGGACTGGTGTGGTGAGAGAGGGCATCCTTGTCTTGTGCTGGTTTTCAAAGGGAACGCTTCCAGCTTTTGCCCATTCAGTATGATATTGGCTATGGGTTTGTCATAAATAGCTCTTATTGTTTTGAGATATGTTCCATCAAACCTAGTTTATTGAGTGTTTTTAGCACGAAGGGATGTTGAATTTTATCGAAGGCCTTTTCTGCATCTATTGAGATCATCATGTGGTTTTTGTCATTGGTTCTGTTTATGTGATGGATTACATTAATTGACCTGTGTATGCTGAACCAGCTTTGAATCCCAGGGATGAAGTGGATTTGACCGTGGTGGATAAGCTGTTTGATGTGCTGCTGGATTCAGTTTGCCAGTATTTTATTGAGGATTTTCACACTGATGTTCGTCAGGGATATTGGTCTGAAGTTTTCTTTTTTTTCCAGGTTTTGGAATCAGGATGATGCTGTCCTCATAAAATGAGTTAAGGAGGAGTCCCTCTTTTTCAATTGTTTGGAAAGGTTTCAGAAGGAATGGTACCATCTGGTCCTGTGCTTTTTTTTTTTTTGGTTGGTAGGCTATTAATTGCCACTTCAATTTCAGAACTTGTTATTGGTCTGTTCAGGGATTCGACTTCTTCTTGGTTTAGTCTTGGGAGCATGCATATGTCTAGGAATTTATCCATTTCTTCTAAATTTTCTAGTTTATTTGCATAGAGGTGTTTATAGTATTCTCTGATGGTAGTTGGTATTTCTGTGGAATCAGTGGTGCTATCCCCTTTATCATTTTTTATTTCGTCTATTTGATTCTTCTCTCTTCCCTTCTTTATTAATCTAGCTAGCGGTCTATATATTTTGTTAATTTTTTCAAAAAACCACTATCTAATCTTTGACAAATCTGACAAAAACAAGCAAGGGGGAAAGGATTTCCTGTAATAAATGGTGCTGGGAAAACTGGCTAGCCATATGCCACAAACTGAAACTGGACCTCTTCCTTACACCTAATACAAAAATTAACTCAAGATGGATTAAAGGCTTAAATGTAAACCCCAAACCATAAAAACTCTAGAAGAAAACCTAGGCAATACCACTCAGGACATAGTCATGGGCAAAGATTTTATGACTAAAACAGCAAAAGCCTTTGCAACAAAAGCCAAAATTGACAAATGGAATCTAAGTAAACTAAAGAGCTTCTACACAGCAAAAGAAATTATCTTTAGAGTGAACAGGCAACCTACACAATGGGAGAAAACTTTTGCAATCTACCCAGGTGACAAAAGTCTAATATCCAGAATCTACAAGAAACTTAAATAAATTTATAAGAAAAAAGCAAACAACCTCATCCAAAAGTGGGCAAAGGATATGAACTGACACTTCTCAAAAAAAACATTTATGCAGCCAACGAAAACATATGAAAAAAAGCTCATCATCATTGATCATTAAAGAAATGCAAATCAAAACCACTATGAGATACCATCTCATGCCAGTCAGAATGGCAATTATTAAAAAGTCAGGAAACAATAGGTGCTGGCAAGGCTGTGGAGAAATAGGAACACTTTTACACCATTGGTGAGAGTGTAAATTAGTTCAACTATTGTGGAAGACAGTGTGGCGATTCCTTAAGGATCTAGAATCAGAAATACCATTTGACCCAGTAATCCCACTACTGAGTATATACTCAAAGGATTATAAATCATTCCACTATAAAAACACATGCACATGTATGTTTATTGTGGAACTGTTCACAACAGCAAAGACTTGGAACCAACCCAAATGCCCAGCAATAATAGACTGGATAAAGAAAACATGATACATATACACCATGGAATACTATGAAGCCATAAAAAATGATAAAATCCTGTCCTTTGCAGGGACATGGATGAAGCTGACATAATTGTCAGCAAACTAACACAGGAACAGAAAACCAAACACCACATGTTCTCACTCCTAAGTGAGAGTGGAACAATGAGAACATGTGGACACAGGGAGGGGAACAACACGCACTGGTTCCTGGCAGGGGGTGGGGAGCAAGGGGAGGGAGAGCTTTAGGATGAATACCTAATGCATGTGGGGATTAATACCTAGATGATGGATTGATAGGTGCAGCAAACCACCATGGCACATGTATACATATGTAACAAACCTGCACATTCTGCTCATGTATCCTGGAACTTGAAGTAAAATTTTTTTAAAAAAAGATTGGTCCTGAGAGGGTGTTTCTTTCTGATATTTTTCTCCAAGAATTATGACGAGGAGTCATTCCTTAAAACTGAGAGTGGGGGAAGGGTGTGAGATGTTTTAGGGAAGAGCTGATGCTATGAAACCTTCACTTGGAGAGAGGGAAAGGGAATGCATAATGGCTGCCAAGCAGTACTGGGAGTCTATTTGAATTATGTGAATATGAATTTAAAGTGTAATACTTGTGGGATTTTTAAATCTTTTTTGAGCAAATTTCAGTGCCTCTGGAGCAGGCACTATATAGACAGATGATTTAACAAGGACTGGACTTTTGCTGGCCAAGTATAAAAGGGACAAGTAGGAGGATTAAAGATGTTCATAAGGTAGTGTGTCATAATTGGGGGGTCAATAGAAGATATAAAGACTTTCCATTAACAAGGGAGTATATAAAGCTTTAATTTCCAAATATTTAGATTTTACAAGTAACTTTATTTTTCATATTGGAAACTCACAAAGGGTTCTGTTTTTTCTCCCTAAGATCCTCTAAAAAAACAAAAAACTCAATTTATTATCATCATGATCATTTCATATTTCAAAATAAAGACCAAAGACTAGGGAGGACACAACTTCAGGATAAAAGGCAGCCTTTCAAATTAAATTTAATTAAATAAACTTAGTTTTCTAGAACACTCAAAATATTGTTCTTATTATATTATTGATGAGTAGAAATTATTCACGGACCAGTACAATGTCACTGACAATTACTTGGCAATCACAGGTGTACACTATAGATACAGAATCAGAAAGACATAATCCTAGGTCCTGGTTCTGACAGCTATCACCTATGTGATCTTGGAGAAATTGCATAATTTTTGTGAACCTCTGCAAAATGAGGTATCTTATCCATACATTTCAATAAGGTATTTCATCTATACATTGCAATAACTACTACCACACAACATTCTATGAATATCAAATTTGATCACATATGTAAAGTGCCTCATATAATGCCTGGAGTATATCAAACACTCTTTTATGATATCATTTGTTATGATGATTGACTTAAAATCATGAGGTTCATAAATTTGGAGAGGAGACTTTAATTCTTATGAAGTGTTCCAGCCTGTAAGTTGGCCATCTTGACAGGCTGGGAAGTGGCAGAGACCAAAAGCGAGCACTTTGAGGATGGGGAGTGGAAAAATAATTTATGTTGAATGAGTTGGCCAAGTATAAATTTTCAGCAGATTATAGTAGAAGCTATGAGTATTCACAAAGAGGGGGGATGTGCACAGGTGTAGTACGCAAACATGCATGTTACGTATGTCTCATGCTCACTTCGGGGTGGAGATCTAACACTTTAATGCATTACAATTAGGCCCTATATATCAGAAGATGAAGCAGGAACATGAAGGCACTCAAGTGCACAGCCTCTGTAAACCGGCCAGAACCAGTCCATGGCCAGTGGTTTATCAGGAGAAAGTTACTGAAATCAGTCTCTTGTCCAATCAAAGTTGTAATTATGTCTTGCGGAACTAGTTATGGCTTGTCAGTTAGTCAGTGTCACATTTGGTGAGCTGCAATTGTTTTAATATTGTTTATCTCACTGCCAGAGGAAAAAAAAATCTTGTAGTTAGAACACAGCTTATTCTTTAAGTGAAGTGGTATGCAAATTAACCCTTGCCTGTCATGGCCTTGTGCCCTGTTTTAACATTCTCCTTTTTACCCTCTGTGAAACTGCTATTAAAACTGAGTTGTATCCCTTATAATCTTTTCATCCTTATCTTTAGTGTCTCTTATAAAAGAAATCAGACCACAAACTCCTTTAAGGTATTTATCAACTCTGTTGAAACAGGGCAGGTCTCCTCTTATTAAGACAAAAAGACTGAAGTAACAGTATCTGTACCTATTTTACATTTGCTTCCAAAGTGATAATTTAATATTCAGTTAGAATTAATATATAATCCCAACTTTTGGTTTAAATCTCTACCCTGTCAATGGGTTTTACTTTTGTAACTGTTTTTAAAAACAAAATAATATTTGTCCTTTATTGCGGGTTAATTAAAATTTATATTTAGTTCCAAGATTCCAAAGATGAAAATTAGAGAATGGAAGAGATGATCTTTCATATGTCAGTCAGAAGTCTAGTGGATCCTAGAATGAATTTTGACCTTCTCCTGAGTAAATATCTTTCAGGACCTTACAAAGTTGGTCAACCAGCTTTGACCGATATATACACAATAAGAATTCTCAACATTTGCTTGTTCATTTCTGATTGGAGATTGGAACCTTTTATGTTAACTTGGAATTGCAGCTAAAACCTTAAAGTTCACTCAAAAGAAACTAGTCAAACATATACCTCCAGGACTACCTAACCAATATCCTTATAAAACCACCCTGTCTGACCTATTCATGTAGAAGCCTAGGGAGAATTTTGAGGAATTTCTACAAGTAAGAGTTACCTAATTAGAGAAAGAATGCAATGGGAAGGGGGTACTTCCACAGGCAGGTAATGAGCCCCTCCAGGAAAAACTGCTCACAGAGACTGGGTTGCCTACAAGTGCACTTTTTGTGACACGAAATGCTGTGTGTTTCCAAAAACAACCAATTCTCCAATCTTCCAATACCAACTGAGCATTCCACAACTCAATTCAATTTTGACACTATCTACCCAGAACTAGAGCAGACCGCACAGGTTAAGGGGTCGGTTCCAGAGAACTACCCCCTCTTCAGATGCCAGCTGCAAAGGGATTGCTCAGGCTATCCACACTACATCCACCGACTACAAATTTGGGGGTTCCCCCTATGCTCTCCTCAGGATCAACAATTCACTAGAACAACTTACAGAGCTCAGGAAAGCACTTTATCTATGACTACTAATTTTTTTAAAGGATACAACTCAGGAACAGCCAAATGGAAGAGCTGTGTAGGGCAAGGTATTGGGAAAGGGGTACAGAGGTTCCATGCCTCTCCAGGCACACCACCCTCCAAGCACATTGATGTGTTCACCAACCTGGAAGCTCTCTATTCCTGCCATTGTTAAGAATAAATAAAGTTCTCATTACTTAGCCATGATTAATTAAATCATCAATCAATGGCAATTGAACTCAATCGCCATCCCTCTCTCATCCCTGGAGGTTGAGAATAGGCCTGAAAGTTCTAACCCTCTTATCACATGGTTGGTTTTTCTGGAGAGCAGCCCCTGTTCTGAAGCTATCTAGGGCCCTCAAGAGTTGTTTCATTACTATACACAAACAGTAAGCTCTAAGGTTTTAAAGAGTTTTGTGCCAGGAACTGGGGACACAGACCAAATATATATATATATATAAAAAATATATATACATATATAAAATATATATAAAATATATATAAAATATATAAATATATATTAAATATATATAAATATATATAAATATATATTAAATATATATAAATATATATAAATATGTATTAAATATATATAATATATATATAAATATATATTTATATATATTTAATATATATAAATATATATTAAATATATATAAATATATATAAAATATATTTAATATATATAAATATATATATTAAATATATATAAATATATATTAAATATATATAAATACATATAAATATATATTAAATATATATAAATATATATAAATATATTAAATATATATAAATATATATAAATATATATTAAATATATATAAATATATATATTTTAGTATATCACTCTGCAAGAAAAGAAAACTGGCGTTTTATTTTGCTTTGCACATTTGCCAGGCAGTGACCTGATGACTTGCCCTCATGACACTTCCAGAAAGGAGCACTTCTGGTAAGACAGAGAGGAAGCACTGAGCTTTTGTTCCCTTCCCTGAGGAAAGGGAAAATAGGAATTAATAAGACCTCATTTGATGGCAGTGAACATAGTTTATTCTTCAATAAATTGGCTATTAATTATATATAATTAATAATATATGTAAAATATATATATATATATATATATATATATATAATGCCTATTAAGCCAAACACTCTTCTAGTCATGCTGGACACAACTGAAAGCAGAAGAAAGTCCCTGTTCTGTTCAGGCAGTATACTGTACGTTGTGGAGGAGATGGACAATAAGCATGGGAGCACATAAATGTCATGGTTTTAAAGGTGGTTGCTATAAAGGAAAAAAAAGGAAGAAAACAAAACACAACACAACAAAACAGGGTAATGGGGCAGGATGGGGGATGGAGTTATTTTAGAGAAGCCCTCACTGTGGAACTGATATTTGAGCAGAGTTTCCAGTGAAATGTAGAGAGGCAAGCCACATAAAAATCCAGTGGGCTTATTTTGCTTTTTATCAAAACAGAAATGAATACACAGACTTTAAAATAACAAAAGAAGAATTTCAAGCTATAGTAATGATAGTTGAAAAAGTAGAAAAAAAGAGTTTGGGTAGTCTAATTGTCTGGTAAGCATGCCTTGTTTACATTTCATCAGCAACCCTTCTTTATGTAGCAATCAGAACAAGAATAAAGAACATGCATTCAATTTTTTGACTTTCACACAGACTAATGGTTTACAAGAAGTTATTTTTTAAATCATGCAGACTATCTATTGCCTTCTAATCAATATGTGGAAATCAATGATCCAATGATGTCTAATGAAATTTGAGGGATGTAATGCTTCTCTTAGTTCTTTAAATGAGAAAGCTTGAATTACATGGATCGATAGACAATGATCCAAACTGCCCTTTCTGGCAGGCAGCCTGACTGAGCAGAAGAATATATCCAACTAAAGAACTGGGTTTACAGGCACTTGGTAGAACTGCTTTCTCTTTTAAAATCCACTAAGTGGTTTGCTTTCTTTCGGTTATGACATTTCTCTTATTTGAATGGTAGTCAATTTTGGATTTGACTTTTGACCATACCGCACTGTCTGCTACTTTAGAACAGGAGCTGAGCTCTAATAATTGTTTTACTTCTCACCCAGCACATTAAGTATAAATAAATATTTGCCTTGTTCCTTAAATTCTAGCTTTAATAGACAATACATTTAAATTGTTCAATAACTAAAATTAAAAAAAGTACACATTGAAAGCCCTTACTCCCATCCCTGACTCTATCCCTTCAATGCCCACCTGTTCCCCCAACTATGCCCAGTAGTTAATGACTTTCTTGGATATATTTTAAGTGTTTCTTCATGCTAATGTATCCAAATTAAAATAAATAACCTTAAACTCTTTTATTCAAGTCTTACACAAAAATAAACAGCCGATATACTGTTTTGCTCTTGACAGTTTTTTCATTTAATAATGTGTCTTTCTATATCAATACATTGAGAACATCTTTGTACTCTGTTGTAGCTGCATGGTATTATTTATTTGTGGCTATATTTCTGCCATCATAAACTGTCTTGTAATCAATAACCTTTTGCTTTGTGGTAGGCAGAATTCTAAAATGACCACCAATGACCCATGCCTTTTTATAATTCCTTAGCCTTTGAGTGTGGCAGGAACTGGTGATTGTGATAGAATATCACTCTTCTGATTAGGTTACATTATAAGGCACATTTGCCTCAAGAATTATCCTAGGTAGGCCTGATCTAACCAGGTAAGCCCTTGAAAGAGGAGATTCTCCATGGCTGGTTTTAAAGATAGAAGGACACAGGACAAGGAAAGTAGACAATCGTTACTTGCTGAGAGCAACCACCAGCTCACAACTCCCAAGAAAATGGAGACCTTAGTCCTACAACTGCAAAAAAGTGAATTCTGCCAACATCCTGAAGGTGCTTTGATGAAGACCCCAAGCTCCAGATGACACAGCCCAGCCAACACATTGATTTCAACCTATGACACATAAGCAGAAAATCTAGTTATGCCTGGAATTCTGCCCTATAAAAACTGTGAGATAATGAACTTGTGTTGCCTTAAGCCATTAAGTTTGTGGTAATTTGAATATATGGCTCCTCTTTTTCCATTTCCCTGGATATTCTTACTTGCTTAGATTTTTTCAATAAGCTTTTTAGAATCAATTTTTATAGCTCCAGAAAAATGAAACTTGTGATATATTTTTAATTAACTTAGGAACAACTGATGTCTTTTTTATTTTGAGCATTTCTAATTTAAGAACATATTAATTCTGCCTATTTTTTACATCTACTTTTATTGAACAGAGGAAAATATCTGTGAGGTAAGGTGGATTCCCAATTATTTAACATAAGTTTCTTTCCAGGAGATAGTTGAGTTTTCAACTCTACACAAGGAGATAGGTCAAAGTACCATCTTCTTCCAATGAAATGTGGATGGTGTCTTGTGAGGATGTTTTGTGTGTGCATATGAAAGAGGAAAAAAAATGAAGGAAAAATGAAGGGAATAGGGAAGAATAGTGGAAAGAAGGGTGAGGATTTCAGTTATTTCACAGGAGGTTCCTTTTGAATACCAATAATGGAGCCAATCCAGCTACAAATGTTTTGGGAGGAACTCCACTGGTGTTCTCAAATTCAGGAGACTCTCTGGGGCATAGAGAAAGGCCATTGCCACAATTTCCAAAAGCATGTGTAAAGAGTGACAGACCACCTAACTGTATGCTCGTTGCCTTGGGCCTTGTCACTGTCTCCAAGAGCTTTCTAATGGATGGGTTAAACAACAGAAAGTTATTGTCTTACACACCTAGAGTCTAGAAATCTAAATTCAAGGTGCAGCAGCGTTGGTTTCTTCTGAGCGCTGTGAGGATACGTCTGTTTCATGCCTCTCTCCTACCTCCTGGTAGTCTCAGGATTTTTTCAGCTATGGATGGCATTCTCTCCATGTCTTCACATGATTTTCCCTCCATACATGTCTGTTTCTGGGTCCAAATTTATCCTTTTATATAAGAACACAGACATATTGGTTAAAGCACATCCTAATGACCTTATCTTAACTTGATCATGTGCAAAGACCCAGTTTCCAAAGACTACCTTCATGGGTACTACAGATTAAGACTTCAGCATCTTTGGGGGCACACAATTCAACCCACAACAGGTCTCCTCAGTGGATTTTACACAAATATCCCGTCCTAATTCTAATAAAAACATGGCAAGTTATTTTTTAAAACCTTTTCTAACTCTACCACCTTGTAACTAAAAGACCCATGTGATTTGTTTTAAAAAGATATCTAAAATGATAAAAAGTTAACTTTCATAAGTCTGAGGCTCTTCACAATTCTTAAATGGTAGGTTCAACATAAAATTATAGACGGTCATGTTTTCTTAAATAAATTTCTGACTCATCTAATTCTTGGGGAGAAAAATTAAACAGACAAAATTAACTCCAAACCTGTCAATTGCCAAGATACTTGAAAATAAAAAAGCTTAATTTTACCTTATTGCATTACTTGAAATTTAGTTAGCATTTCAGGGGGAAGGTAAACGTGAATTTTTATGAGTCTTTTAGAGCTTAATGAGTTTTATTTCTTAAGTAAACCTTTATCAGAGGAAATTAACATCTTACAAGATTTTAAATGGAACAAAAGCAAAATCAAAAGCTAGTGTTGGTAAAGTTCACAGCCTTAAACATTATCACTTAATAATTTGTTACCATATGCTGGAGATCCATTATACCTCTGGTTGCAGCTTTTGAGAGCAGACTTACCTACTTCTAAAAATAATCAATTATTTATAATGCCTTGGAATAAAATATTAATCTATATACAATCTAATGAGAAATATATTGTCCTTTATATTCTTTTTCATTCTGTTGCTCTTAATTTAAACTTTTTATCTCTTTTTTCTTTTCTTGTTTCTTTTCATCTGTTTTTTGTTTTTTTTTTCTTTGGTAGGGGGGTGGAGGTGCCTTTGAAAGAGATGAACATTGTAATCTAGGCTTGAGGAAAAGAGAAGAAAGAAGGAATGAACTTGGAAGGAAGACAAAGTCCATTTGTCTTCTTAGTAACTGTAATTCTACTCTTTTCTTCTGTATGCAGGCAAAACATTTTAGCTTTTCTCTGTTTTCATGAAAAGACTGATTGGATGAAAGCCTAAAACAGCTTCTCTCTTTCTCCTTTCCTCTCTTGCATTCTCCTCTGGCTTTACCTCCCTCTTCCACTACTGTATCTAATGACCTTGCCACAGGAGCTACAATCAGCCATAAAGCGTATCCTTACTGGAATCACCTGCATATTAAAAATATCATCCTGGATTCCACCCTCATCTTTGAAAATAGAACACGCTTAAGTCTACAGAAATTATGCCAACTCACTCAGCTTAGGAAAGACATCCTATTGTTTTAGTTATCATTATAAAGGCTGCTATTTTTATCTTTGTTAAATTTTTTATTCTTTTCCTTAAGCATGTTTGTAGAGTGTTAAAGTAAAGGGAGAAAGATAATCAAGCCAGCCAAAGTGAGCAGGTTTCTCTATGAAGCAAGTAGAAGGTGGCATGACTGCTCAGATATTCTTTGTAGGGCAGTTGCAATAGGAAGATAGTCCTGGTATAGCCTTAGTGTAAACATAACATCAGATCACAAGAAAAGGATATATAGAGATCCTCTGTTTAGGTCAAAGCTCCACAGATGAATAACCTGAGGTCACAATCTTGCAAACAGTGGCTGTTGAGGGTCCACTGATTACCACCAGTACACTTTCTCTCCTACTACCTTTTAGCAACAGAAGCTTCCAAATTTTGGCTTGGCATTTGACTTCATAGCTATAGTCTACATTTCAAAACTTCTTTAATTAGTTTTCTATTTTTGCCATAATAAATTATCACAAATATATTGGCTTAAAATAACACACATGTATTATCTCATAGTTCTATAGATAAGAAGTCCAGGTGGACTCAGCTGGATTTTTAATTTTTTAATGAACATATAATAATTGTACATATTTATGGTGTCACATACTGATATTTTCATACATGTAATGTATAGTGATCAGATCAAGGTAATTACCATATCCATCACTTAAACAGTTATCATTTCTTTATGTTGAGAACATTCAATATCCTCCTTGTTGCTATTTGAAATTATATGTCATTGTTAACGATAGTCATCCTACTGTGCTATAGAACATTATAACTTATTCTTATCTAGTTGTAATCAGTTAACAAATCTCTCTCTATTTCTCACTTCTCCCTACCCTTCCCAGCCTCTTGTATTCTCTATTCTATGTTTTACTTCTATGAGATTAACTTTCTTTAGCTCTCATATATAAATCAGAACATGTTGTGTTTAACTTTCTGTTTCTGGCTTATTTCACTTAACATAATATTCTCTGGTTCCATCCATGCTACTACAAACTACAGCATTTCATTCTCTTTTATTGCTGAATACTATTCCATTTTGTGTATATACCACATTGTCTTTATCCATTCATTTGTTGTTGGACTCTTAGGACGATTCCATATCTTGGCTATTATGACTAGTACGACAATAAACATGGGAGTGCAGATGTCTTTTCAATATACTGATTTCCTTTTTTTTTTTTTGGATAAATGCTCAGTAGTGGGATTGTTGGATCATATGTTATTCTACTGGTAGTTTTTGAGGAATCTCCATACTGTACTCCATAGTGGTTGCACTACTTTATATTTCCACAACAGTGTATAAGAATTCACTTTTCTCTAGTTCCTGGTCAGCATTTGCTATTTTTTGTCTTTTTGATAATAGCCATCCTAATTGCTGTGAGATAATTGCTCATTGTGGGTTTTCTTTGCGTTTCCCTGGTGATTAGCGATGTTGAGTATTTTTTATTTATTTGTTGGCAATTTTTTTGTTTTCTTTTGAGAAATGTCCATTCAGATGATTTGTCTATTTTTTCTGGATATGAATTCCCTGTTAAATGAATAGTTTACAAATATTTTCTCCTATTACGTAGGTCACCTTTTCACTCTGTTGATTGTTTTACTCTGAGCTTTGCAGAAGCTTTTCTATTTAATATGATCCCATTTATTTATTTTTGCTTTTGTTGTTTCTGCTTTTGAGATCCTATTCAAAAATCTTTATCCAGAACAATGTCCTGAAGCATTTTTCCTATGTTTTTTTTTCTAGTCATTTTATAGTTTCAGGCCTTACATTTAGACCTTTGATCATTTTGAGGTGATTTTTATAAAGAGCGAGAGGTGGGGATGGGGTCTAATTTCATTCTTTTGCAGATGGATATCCAGTTTTCCCAGCACTCCTAATTGAAAAGACTATAATTTCCCCAGTGAGTGTTCTTGGCATCTTTGTCAAAAATCAATTGACTGTAGATATATGGATTCATTTCTGGGTTCTCTATTCTGTTCCCTTTTTCTATATGTCTGTTTTTATGCTACTTTGGTTACTATAGCTTTGTAGTATATTTCGATGTTAGGTAATGTGATATCTATAGTTCTGTTATTTTTGCTCGGGATTGTTTTGGCTATTTGGGACCTTTTGTGATTCCATACAAATTTTAATTTTTTTTATTTCTCTGAAGAATGTTATTGGTATTAGGATAGAGACTGCATTGACTCTATAGATTGCTTTGTGTAGTATGTATGGTCATTAAAAATATTAATTCTTCCAATCCATGAGCATGAGATGTCATTTCATTTGTTTGTATATTGACTCAGGGCCTCACAATGCCAAAATTAAACTGGTGGGTGAGCTGGGATCTTACTGAGAGCCTCTGAGGAAGAGCCAGTCTTATTCAGATTGTGGGCAGAATTTAGCTCCTTTTGGCTGTTAAAACTGAGGTCTCTGTTATCTTGATATGCGGACTCTTCACTTTCAATCTGACAATGGCATGATGAATCCTTTTCATGTTTTGGAACCCTGACTTCCACTTCTGCTACCACCAGAGAAAGAACTCTGCTATTAAGGGCTCCTGTGGTTACATTAGGACCAACCAGATAATCTAGGGTAATTTTACAGTGAGTGGACTAGTAACATTAATTATATCCCTTTTGCCATATAATGAAACATACTCATTGGCATAACACTGGGGAAAGTTCATGGGGTACAACATGCTGCCTACCACTCTCTTGCACAAGAAGCAGCTATGTTAGGGCCACCATTCTCCGGCACAAGCCACAGAGTGTCATGAACCTGAAAATATAATTAAATTACATCCCATGGAGGTGTGTAGTGTGAGAGAACTGTGCTATACAGCTAGGTTTTAGCAAATAAGAGGTAAATTGAAATAATGTGTACATTTTAGATTATTTTATTAAACCCAAAGTCTCTTCCCATGTTTCTTTCCTTTCTCCCTTTAAATTAAGTTTAAAATAGCAGTAATATGAACAATCTAGGAAGCCATGTGTTGAAAATGGCAACTCCACCCTCCCAAACCCAAACCATTCATTTCTGACCTATTAAGTAAAAGAGGAAAACAATTATATCTTATTCAAGCCACTGTATTTTATGGTTTATTCATTATGGCAGCGGAGCTTGATAATGCTCCTGTAGAATCAGAAGTAAAATCCAGGCCCATTCACTCCCAGTGCAGCACTTCTTGTCGCCTTTTGTTTCTCCTTATTCATGTGTGTCTTTAGTTTCAAACACTGCCACTAATCATGGGCCTATTGTTCCAGGTTCCTTCTCATTCAGTACTCTAATATCCTCTGGTATCTGGTTCATTATTCTTCTCTTGTGTTCTTCAAAAGTTCTGTAAGAGGCTGAGATTGGAGAGACATAGCAAGCCTGGTTGGAGGGTGAAAAGGCATAGTTCAGGCTGATAATTATGAAGGTGAGGGACTTAACAGCAGTGCATGAGGCAGACTTATATAACACTTTAAGTCTTTGTGTATAAAAAATCTGGGGTTAAAAAAATGTGTATCATTATGTACGCAAATTCCTGAAAAGTGGTAGATAATTCTAACAGAAAATGAAATGTATCATGATAAAGAAAAAGCAAGTCATGTTCCAGTAGAATCCCAAAAAAATTCAGGCTTGTTCATTACACATACAACATAAATATGAAGAGTAACTAAATAATTTATTGAAAAAGTTTATATCTAACGTGTGCATTCATAAAACAATAAGTTACTGGCAATACCAAATCAAGCAATAAATAGCATTTGCCCATTCTAATAGCTGTATTTTTCTCCATCCCCTTCACTAAATGGCATTCAAAGTCTTTGTCATGTTCCAGATTTAGCAGTTTTATTAATCTTGGCAGCAATGTGGTCATTGTTCTGATGAAATCCTCTCAGGAAAGAATGCAGCCAATGTCTGTGACCCCTTAGCCTTTTTCATGCTGGCTGATAACGTTTGTCTTAACTTCAATTGTTTCTATGGCTCTGAGCCTCTTTGAAACAGTTAACTGACACAATTTTAGGCATTATTTTTAAAAATTTAAAACATTACTTAACAAAGTAACCCTTAGAAAACACATGTGTTCATAGAGTACAATCAAAGACAATTTGAATAGTACAATATCCCAGGGCAACTGGGAATGCAAATGATGGCTGATAAACCATCTTTCATTGTGCTGTGAGGCAGAGTTTCATATCAGGTTTTACTTGAATAGTTGGAAGGACTTTGAACCCACAGTATGACTAACAATATAACCCTCCTCCTGCAAAGATAAATAAATAATGAATTTCTCTCAGGTATTTCGAAGTGTATAACTACACAATTTTTTTCTATATATTAATAAAGGTGCTACTTTTTCACTTTATTCTTGAAACAGAAAATGATTGTGAATAAACTGGGTTGTGAATTTATCTACCATAGCTAGATATTTGTTAAATTTGTTATTTGTTCTAGGGATGGCTGAGCAAAAGGAATTAAAAGAAGATGCCTAGGAGGGGTAGAAATAACATTAACAAGCAGAGAACAGACAATAAAAGTCAATAGCTCCCTGGAAGATGAGCCTTTGGCTACCTATATTGCATTTGAAAAAGTTATTTTATATCTCTGACCCTGTTTTCTCATCTAAGATATGGGGATTCTAGTATCTACCTCTCCATGGATTTTTGAGAATATAATGAGAAAAAGGTAGTAACATATACCATGGTTCTAGTAACCTAGTGGGCACCCAATTATGGTTTCCTCTTACTCCCTCTACACACTCTTATCTTAGCCTTTATAAGTTAAGACAAGCTTGGAAGGAAAATATTTAGAGAGTGAGACATTCCCTGGGTACAAATTCATCACCAGCCTCAACTATATGAAACTTCAGAGGGTGGAATAGAACTCATATCTTTTGCCAAGCTTCTTCCCGGTAATATTTCTCTATAAAGGATAATATTATACCTAAGTTTATATATATTAGTTTTCTCTTGCTGTATATCAAATAACCACAAATTTAGTGGTTTAAAATAACACAGATTTGTTACCTTTTAGTTTCTGTGGGTCAGAGGTCAAAGTCTAGCTTAAATGGGTTTTCTGCTCAGGGTCTTACCAGGTTAAAATCAAGGTTCCAGCTCAGGCTGTATTCTCATCTGTAGCTCATGGTTCTCTTGCAGGTTGTTGGAATAATTCCATTTCCTGCAGTTGTAGCACTAGGACCCCTATTTCTTGTTGGCTATTCAGTGGGGGTCTCTGCTTTTAGGTTCTTGGTTATGAAGTCTTTCCTAAGCCAGTATCTAGAAGGGTTTCTCCAATGTTATATTCCAAAATTTTTATGTCTTCAGGTCTTAGATTAAGTCTTAGATCCATCTTCAGTTGATTTTTGTTTAATATGATATATGAAGATACAGTTTCATTCTTCTACATATGGCTTGACTATTATCCCAGAACCATTTGTTGAATAGGGTGTCTTTTCCCCACTTTATGTTTTGGTATGCTTTGCCAAAGATCAGTTGGCTGTACGTATTTGGCATTACTTCTTGGTTCTCTATTCTGTTCCATTGGTCTATGTGCTTAATTTTTTAAACCAGTACCATGATGTTTTGGTGACTATGGCATTATAGTGTGGTTTGAAGTCAGGAGGCGTGGTGCCTCCAGATTTGTTCTTTTTGCTTAGTCTTGCTTTAGCTATGTGGGCCCTTTCTTGGTTCCATGAGAATTTTAGGATTTTTTTTCTAGTTCTGTGAAGAATTATGGTGGTATTTTGATGGGAATTGCATGAATTTGTAGATTGCTTTAGGAAGTGTATTAGTCCATTTTCATGTTGCTGGTAAAGGCATACCTGAGACTGGGATAAATTATAAAGAAAAAGAGGTTTAATGGACTCACAGTTCCACATGGCTGGGGAGGCCTCACAATCATGGTGCAGGGAAAAGGCACATCTTACATTGGCAGCCAGCAAAGAGACAATGAGAGCCAAGCAAAAGGGGTTTACCCTTATAAAATCATCAGATTTCATGAGAGATATTTACTACCATGAGAACAGTATGGGTAAAACCACCCCCATGATTCAATTACCTCCCATCAGTTCCTTCCACCACACACGCGAATTATGGGAGCTACAATTCAAGATGAGATTTCAGTGGGGACACAGCCAGACCATATCATTCCACCCCTGACATCACATTTCAATACCAATCTCAGATCCTCACATTTCAATACCAATCGTGCCTTCTAAACAGTGCCCCAAAGTCTTAACTCATTTCAGCATTAGCTCAAAAGTCCACAGTTCAAAGTCTCATCTGAGACAAGCCAAGTTCCTTCCACCTATGAGCCTGTAAAATCAAAAGCAAGTTAGTTACTTCCCAGATACAATGGGGGCACAGGCATTGAATGTTATACCCATTCCAAATGGGGGAAATTGGCCAAAACAGAGGGGCTAAAGGCCCCATGCAAGCCTGAAAACCACTGGGGCAGTCAAATCTTAAAGCTCCAAAATTATCTCCTTTGACTCCATGCCTCACATCCAGGTCACACTGATCCAAGAGTTGGATTCCCATAGTCTTGAACAGCTCCACCCCTGTGGCTTTGCAGGGTACAGCCTCGCTCCCAGCTGCTTTCATTTGCTGGCATTGAGTGTCTGTGGCTTTTCCAGGTGCACAGTGCAGCCTCTTCAGGGATCTACCATTCTGGGGTCTGGAAAATGGTGGCTTCTTCTCACTTCTCCACTAGGCAGTGCCCCAGTGGGGAGTCTGTGTAGGGAATTCAACCCCCCATTTCCCTTCTGCACTGACCTAGCAGAGGTTTTCTATGAGGGCCTTGTACCTGCAGCAAGTTTCTGCCTGGACATCTAGGCATATACATACATGGTTTGAAATCTACACACATGGTTTAAAATAATTGAGGTTCTAAACCCCCTCAATTATTGACTTCTCTGTACCTGCAGGCTCTACACTATGTGGAAGCTGCCCTCTGAAGTACCCTCTGAAGCCCCAATCTGAGCTTTACCTTGGCCCCTTTTAGCTATGGCTAGAGCAGCTGGGACACAGGGCACTAAGTCCCTAGGCTGCACAGAGCAGGGATGTCCTGGGCCCAGTGAATTAAACTATTTTTTCCTCCTATGCCTTCAGGCCTGTGATGGGAAGGGCTACTGCAAAGGTCTCTGACATGTCCTAGAGACATTTTCCCCATCGTCTTGGTGATTAACATTTGACTCCTTGTTACTTATGCAAATTTCTGCAGGAATGCTTTTAACAGCACCCAAGTCACATCTTGAATGCTTTGCTGCTTAGAAATTTCTTCTGCCAGGTACCCTGAATCACTTCCCCTAAGATCAAAGTTACACAAATCTCTAGGGCAGTGGCAAAATGCTGCTAGTCTCTGCTAAAACATAGCAAGAGCTACCTTTACTCCAGTTCCCAACAAGCTCCTCATCTCCATCTGAGACCACTTTAGCCTGGATTTCATTGTCCATATCACTATCAGCATTTTGGTTAAAACCATTCAACAAGTCTCTAGGAAGTTCTAAACTTTCCCATATTTTCCTGTTTTCTTCTGAGCCCTCCAAACTATTCTAACCTCTGCCTGTTACCCAGTTCTAAAGTCACTCCCATATTTTTGGGTATCTTTATAGCAGTGCCCCACTCTACCAGTACCAATTTACTGTATTAGCCTATTTCCACACTGCTGACAAAGACATACCTGAGACTGGGTAATATATAAAGGAAAGAGGTTTAATGGACTCACAGTTCCACATGGCTAAAGAAGCCTAACAATCATGGTAGAAGATGAAGAAAAAGCAAAGGAATAATGAGAGCCAAGCAAAAGGGGTTTCCCCTTACAAAACCATTAGATCTCATGACACTTATTCACCACCATGAGAACAGTATGGGGGAATTTGCACCCTTGATTCAGTTATTTCCCACTGGGTCCCTCCCACAACACATGGGAATTATGGAAGCTACAATTCAAGATGAGATTTGGGTGGGAACACATTCAAACCATATCAGGTGGTATGCTAATTTTCATAATATTGATTCTACCCATCAATGAGCATGGGATGTGTTTCCATTCATTTGTGTCATCTATGATTTCTTTCAGCAGTGTTTTGTAGTTTTCCTCCTAGAGGTCTTTCATTCCTATGGTTTTTTTTTTCCAGCTATTGTAAAAACGTTTGAGTTATTGATTTGATTCTCATCTTGTCATTGTGGATGTGTGACTGTGCTATTGATTTGTGTACATTAATTTTGTATCCAGAAACTTTGCTGAATTCATTTATCAGTTCTGGGAGCTTTTAAATGAGTCTTTAGGGTTTTCTAGGTACATGATCATATCATCAACAAACAGTGACAGTTTGACTTCTTCTTTACTGATTTGGATGTCCTTTATTTCCTTCTCTTGTCTGAGTGCTCTGGCTGGAACTTCCAGTACTAGGTTGAATAGAAGTGGTGAAAGTGAGCATCCTTATCTGTTCCAGTTCTCAGGGGGAATTCTTTCATCTTTTCCCCATTCAGCGTAATGTTGATTGTGGATTTGTCATAAATGGCTTTTATTACATTGAGGTATGTCCCTTCTATGCACATTTTGCTGAGGGTTTTAATCATAAAGAGATGTTGGATTCTGTCAAGTGTTTTTTCTGCATCTATTGAGATGATCATGTGATTTTCCTTTTTAATTCTGTTTATGTGGTGTATAACATTTATTGAGTTACGGATGGTAAACCATCCCTGCATCCCTGGAATGAAACCCACTTGATCATGGTGGGTTATCTTTTTGATATGCCATTTGATTCGGTTAGCTAGTATTTTGTTGAGGATTTTTACATCTATGTTCATCAGGGATAGTGGTTTATAGTTTTCTTTTTTTGTTATGTCCTTTTCTGGTTTTGGTATTAGGGTGCTATTGGCTTCATAGAATTATATAGGGAGGATTCCATCTCTTTCTCTATCTTGTGAATAGAATTGGTACCAATTCTTCTTTGAATGTCTGACAGAATTCAACTGTGAATCCATCTGGTCCTGGACTTTTTTTGTTAGCATTTCCCCTTACTTCTTCAAAGCATGTAGTTGTATATAAAACAATCTAATCAAGAGAATAACTCCCCCATTATATTCTCAGGTCCTGCCCACATTCAAGAGGAGGGGTTTATACAGGGAATCTGTACCGGAAGGTAGGAGTCTGGGGACCATCTCATAATTCTGTCTATTTTACTCTAGAAACTCATTTTGAACCAAAATAATCTGCTTTTCCATGTCAAAAAAAAAGTGATATTTTTTAAGTCAACAAATCAGGTGTTGCCATATTCTTCTATGTGTATTATCTTTCACAATCTGATTCAAAGAATCTTAGACAACAATTTCTAATTATTTGTTATTCTGAAAAACAATCACTAGCCAGACCATGTAGTTATGTGAAAAATTACTTTAAAGAGCTAGCATAGGACATGTGCTATGTTTCATACCTGTCATCTCAGCACTTTGGGAGACTGAGGCAGGTGGATCACCTGAGGTCAGGCGTTCAAGACCAGCCTGGCCAACATGGCAAAACCCCATCTCTACTAAAAGTATAAAAATTAGCCATGTGTGGTGGCACATGCCTGTAATCCCAGCTACTCGGGAAACTACAGCAGGAGAATTGCTTGAACCTGGGAGGCAGAGGCTGCAGCGAGCCAAGATTGTACCACTGCACTCCAGCCTGGGCAACATAGTGAGACTCTGTCTCAAAAAAAAAAAATAGAGCTAGTATAAAGTGATTGTCTGAAGAAGAGTACAAATCATTAATATCTAGAAAATCCAATTCTACACAGAAGTAAAGTTTTGTATTATGTTTGTTTGATTTTCACATGATGAAAATAATATACACCTGATACAAAAGAAATACAGAAAGGTAAAAAGAAGGAAAAACATATTCATAATGTTCAACCTGCAAATAAACATTTTGTTATATTTATTTCCAGGTTTCGTTTTTTCTTCCTGTATTTAAAAGATTATCCAGATCACAATTTTACTTTATCGTTAAAAGCACAGCTCTAAAGAAGCTCCTAGAACCAATAAATGAATTCAGCAAAGTTTCTGGATACAAAGTTTCCTGGCTATTTGACCTTTTTCCAGTTACTTAACCTAAGTTTTAGGTTTTTTACTTAAGAAATATATATATATACACACATACATAATACACACATCCATATATAGACACATAGAAATGCAAAGTAAATAAGATTCTTTCTAGAATCAGATAAGAATATTTGTACAAAACATTTAGTAAAATGTGTGGGCTATAATAAGCATCATATAAATGTATTTTTACTTAAGTAGTATTCCTATAGATACATACACACATTTCTTATTGTTACAATAACAAATTACCACAAACGTATCTTCTTTAACAGTACAAGTTTACTCTTTATCATTTCTGGTGGTCAGAAGTCCACAAGTAGTCACAGTAAGCTAAAGTCAAAGTGTTGTCAGGACTGGTTCCTCGTGGAGGTTCTGAGGAGAGAATCTGTTTCCTTGCCTTTTTCAGTTTCTACGTGCTGTCCTTATTTTTTGGCTTGTGGCAATTTTCTCTGTCTTCAAAATGTACTTCTTCAAATTTCTCTTTACTCCCATCATAATTGCTTCCTTTTGCATTTTACTGCAAGCAGCAAACAGAAATCAAGCCATACCTTTAAAACTTTGCTCAGAAAGTTCCTTAGCTAAATATCCAAGTTACTCTCTTAGCAAGTTCCTAGAAAACAAGTTCACTGCTTCCAAAATATAATGGTAGGATAGTCATAGTAGAAGAATTATGGACAATTCCATTCAAAAATCAAGAAAAAGAAAAAAAGAGTTGGTTCTCTCAAGCAATTTTAAAATCCAGCAAGGCCAACTCCATTATGTTTTAAGGCCTGGAATAATCTTCTGTGACTTTAGGCTCATCCCTCTATGCCAGCGGTTCCACCATCAGAGTCATTTTTCCTTTATGTTACAGGATAGCATGTGTTTGCAACTAAATGGTTTTATCAGCCTGCTTCCTGCCTATAGAATTTTGGAAGTCCAACAGCTTTATTTCATTTCATCTCCTCTGTCCTTTTAGAGCAAAATTAACCATGTTTCTTCTGATCTAACATTCTCAAGTATCAGTGAGTGATTCTTTTGTGTATGTCACAGGAATTCACTCCATTAGACAAGTGGGTCCTCCACAGGTTTTTCTGGATTATTCTTCCTCTAATTTTGGCTTTTCCAGAGATAGCTGAGAGGATCCATGAGTCAGACAACTAAGCTCCTCAAAGAGTCCTCTGTGTGACTGAATACTGACTGTGAGCTTTTGTTACTTCTAAGAAATTAGCAAAAGGTTGTCCAGCTAAATTCTTGGCTTTTCCTCAGAGCATGCTTTTCTGACAGTGAATCTCCTCATTATAGCATCTTTTAAAGTCTAGATAAACTGAGAATGTCCAAAATCATCAATTTCTGATTCCTCTTTGCTTAATAGTTGTTTCCTCAATTTATCTCTTCCTCTCACATTTTACCATAAGTAGCAAAAAAGAAACTAAGCCTTGGCTTCAACACTTTGCTTGGAAATCTCAGCTATATATCCAAGTCCATCCCTTACAAGTGTAGGACACAATGAAGGTAAGCTTTCTGCATATATAAAAAAAGATTATCTTTATTTCTGTTTCCAATAGTATGTTGTTTTGTAAAATTTAAAGATTCTTTTGATGGCAAGATGCAATACAGGAATACTCAGATAAAAGGCATAACTTTTTGTTCTTTATGGCTTGAAATGACAGAAGGCTGCAGGCAGAGCCACATGGGGAGTTGCAACTGGAGACAGGGTAATAGGAAGCTGGAGCTTTAGGGGAAAGTTTCTGTATCTCAAATGGAGTGAAGTGTGCTAGATTTCAAGGTCTCCTTGTTGATTGGCTAATTTGAATTATTTATCCCTAGTTGGCTGGTACCTGGCTCTGGGGTGATTAAAGTTGATGCATAATGGCCCATAATATGAGAGCTTGATAAGGGATGTGGTTACAGTGTGGCCTTAGGCAGCTGCTCAAGAAGGGGAACTAACCAGCCTCTAGCCAGGGCATTGTTCCACAGTGGATACATATAAAAGTATCACTTTATACTCCACAAATATATGTGATTATTGTTTGTAAATTAAAAATAAAACTTAAACTCTGGATAAACACAGAAAAGAAAGCAGAAAAACTATGTTACATACGTTCCTCGTGTCTTTCTGAGCCCTTGCCAGTGGAATTTAACATCCATATTTCTACAAAAAGTCTATTTGAGGCAATCTAGGTTTTTTCTAACTTACTTCTCAAAATTCCTCTAGCCTCTACTCATTACTTAATTTCAAAGCCACTTCCACACACAAGTGTGTTCTACAACTGGCTTTTCCCACTTAATATACATTAGACATCTCACCATAGCAAGTAACATAGGTCTGGATCACTATTTTTTATATTCCATTATGTGGCTGTGTCTTCACTTATTTATGGACACTTAAGTATTTCTTACATTTTCACTATTTCAAGTAGTGCTACAACTGACATTTGGAAATTTGTTAATTATTTTCTTAAAACCCTCCATAATTTTGATTGGTTGGGTTGTTAACTCATACTGTCCATAAATATATTTTATCTATGTCTTTCTAAATGTTCTTTGATAGGGTTTATCCCCAAATAGTGTATATTTGTTAGATTTCTTTTTAAATACTTCAGAATTCTGTTGTTCTTTGAAAATAATATCTTAATTTCTGTTTGGTTTCTAGTAGTTTCATACCAGTATAGAGGAACAGTTGTTTCTACATGTTAATCTTATAGCCAGCAACCTTGAGAACTCTCCTTTTAGTTCTAATAGTTTGTTGAATTTCACAGGTTTCTATGCAAAACATTATAGTATGTGAAAACAGTGACTACTAAATCTCTTCCTTCTATAGAATACACTGCTCAGTGTGGCCATCCCTCAGTTGCTATGAATGTCACTGCTAATGGCTCATACAGGCAACCTCCTCCATAGAATGGCTCTTCAGTGATTAGAGCTGCTGCATAAGGAAGTGCCTGGGAATTATGCCCTCTCACTCAAGGATGGCGCATATCTCATGACTGATGATATGAGCCTCACTTACCTAAAGACAAAATAAACTTTGGGCAATTGATACTCCAGAAATCTTCTTAAGATCATCCTGAGGTTGCATTTCACATAAAATTGTGTTTCTCAGCCCCCTTTTTTCCACTATTGTCCCCTAAAGAAACTTCATAGACAGTTTTTTTCCCCTAATCATCCACTGCCATGAAATTTTAATGTCAAGAGAGACCATCTATGTATTTATTTGTGTATGGTGGTGTTTTGGAGGGCTACACACCATTATAATATCTTTCACTTCCCAACAATCAATTTTCACTCCCTTGGGGGTGAGATTGCCCCACTGAAAGTATATGATCTGAATTATATCGTTGCTTAATTTATTTCCTTTCCTTATCCTGCTTACCTCCCTCCCTCATAGGTTTCTTCTGAGAGCACTCTTAATAAATCACTTTTTCCTTTTAATTATTTGTTTCAGAGCATTGTTCTGAAGAATGTTAACATAATTTTATCAGGTGAAAAATATCCTAATTGGAATTCTATTTTAATTACAATAAACCTACAATATAAGTTTAGACAAACTGACATTTTAACAATATTCAGTCTTCTCATCCAGAAATATAGTGCATTGCTTCATTTACTCAAGCATTCTTATATGTCCCTAAAATATCACATGCATTTCTTATTAAAATTATTCCTGTTTCACATTGGTTGTTAATGTGAAAGTATTTTTTATTATTGTTTTACTTTCTGATTATTTATCTTTATAAATAATTTCAAGAGTATATTTTTTATTTTTAATTTAATTTTATTTTAAGTTCCAGGGTATATGTGCAGGACGTGCAGATTTGTTACATAAACATGCCCTTGCTGCACCTATCAATTCATCACCTAGGTATTAAGCCCTCCATATATTAGCTATTTATCCTGGTGCTCTCCCTCCCTCAAGAGTACGATTAAGAGTAAAAACATTGTCTTTCAAATAATGCCAAGAAAATTAGAATTGTTAACATCTTAAGAATAAGTAATTCAAAATTAACAAAAAGTGAATGGAAATAAAATCGAGATCAAAACACAAGCAGGCACCTAACGATGAGTAAAAAAATGGGAGTGTATTAGAAAATACATTATGAGGAATAAAAATAAATAAATAAACTGAGATCATAGTACAGATGCTTCCCAACTTAACGATTGTTTAACTTATGATTTTCTGAGTTTATGATGGTACAAAACCTAGATGCATTCAGTAGCAACTATACTTTGAATTTTGAATGGTGATTTTTTTCCCCCCAGGCTAGCAATATACAATATAATACTCTCTGGCACTGCTGGGCAGTAGCAGTGAGCCACAGCCCCCCGTCAGCCACAGGATCATGAGGATAAACACAGAGATTCTATAGTGGACTGTGTTGCCAGATAATTTCACTCAATTGCGGCTAATGTAAGTATTCTAAGCACATTCAACATAAGCTAGACTAAGCTATGATGTTCGGTAGTTTAGGTGTATTAAATGCATCTTTGATTTATGTTATTTCCAACTTACAATGGGTTTATCTGGATGTAATACCATTTTAAGTCAAGGAGCACCTATATTTCACAAACTAAGCAGATGTGTAAGCTATATAAAGCTGTCTGAGAAGAAAACAATGCATAAGATAGCAGATTATGTTAAAAAAAAAAAAGGACAAGGAAGAGTCTGTGAATAATTGTCTTTCTTTATTCAGTGCTAATTGGGCCCTTGTAATAATACTGCATTGTTGGAAGCCAATGTTTCTACCAATAATAATTAATATTAGGTTTGTGCAAAAGTTTTTGCATTGCTGAAGTTTGCCATTTGATACTGGAATACAATCTTAAATAAATGTGGTTATAAATCACTTTAATGAACATTTCTCACTTTATGTTTTTTTATTTTGCTAATGACTTATTACTTCCCATTTATTTTATAGTTATTTTGGACTATGGAAATGATGTTGGACAAAAAGCAAATTCAAGCAATCTTCTTATTCGAGTTCAAAATGCGTCGTAAAGTAGCAGAGACAACTCACAACATCAACAATGCGTTTGACCCAGGAACTGCTAACAAACCTACAGTGCAGTGATCATTCAAGAAGTTTTGCAAAGGTGACGAGATGAGGAGCATAGTGGCTGGCCAGCAGAAGTTGCCAATGATCAGTTGAGAGCAATCATCGAAGCTGATCCTCTTACAACTACATGAGAAGTTGCTGAAGAACTCAAAGTCGAACATTCTATGGTCACTCGGCATTTGAAGCAAATTGGAAAGGTGAAAAAGCTTGATAACTGGGCGCCTCATGAGGTGAGCAAAAATTGAAAAAAGTCATCATTTTGAAGTGTCGTCTTCTCTTCTTCTATGCAATAACGATGAACCATTTCTCAATCAGATTGTGATGTGCAACAAAAAGTGGATTTTATATGACAACCATCGACCACCAGCTCAGTGGATGGAACAAGAAGAAGCTCCAAAGCAGTTCCCAAAGCCACACTTGCACCAAAAAATGGGCATGGTCACTGTTTGGTGGTCTGCTGCCGGTCGGATCCACTACAGCTTTGTGAATCCTGATGAAATCATTACATCTAAGACGTATGCTCAGCAAGTCCATGAGATGCATCGAAAACTGCAATACCTGCAGCTGGCATTGGTCAACAGAAAAGACCCAATTCTTCTCCATGACAATGCCCAACCACATGTCACACAACCAACACTTCAAAAGGTGAACAAATTGGGCTATGAAGTTTTGCCTCATCTGCCATATTCACCTGACCTCTCGCCAACCAACTACCACTTCTTCAAGCATCTCAACAACTTTTTGCAGGGAAAATGTTTCTACAATGAGCAAGATGCAAAAAATGCTATCTAAGAGTTTGTAGAATCTTGAAGCATGGATTTTTATGCTACAGGAATAAACAAACTTATTTTTCATTGGCAAAAATATGTTGATTGTAATGGTTTCTATTTTCATTAATAAAGATGTGTTTGAGCCTAGTTATAATGATTTAACATTCACAGCCTGAAAGCATAATTACTTTTGCACCAACTTTTTTTTTATGGCAGTGTATTTTCTTTTATCACATATTTAGAATTATCTAATCATACATTGTTGGAGCTGGCTGATAACTTAGAGATTTCCTAGTTTGCCTTCCTCATTTAAAAAATAAAGAAGTTAAGCTCCAGGTAGGCTAAATTGATCTTTAATTAGGTGAAATTATTTTCCCTCTGATTTCCCTTCCTCAGGTGAAGCCATCAGAACTCATTCAAGCTAAAAATCTGAGTCATTTTGAAATTATTCTTTTTATCTCATATCCAATCAGTGATCCGCATGCTATTTAGTTTTATATCCTACATATCTCACTAACCCAGAGACACTAAGGTAGTTCAGGTCCTCATCATTGCCTCCACTCTTTCATACCCCAAATATTCTTCTGCATCTTCTGCCAGCCACATATTGCACCAAATACTGAAAATATGACAGTAATAGTCTGTCTGTGGCTGCCTTGGGTTCCCACTTCCCCCTAATTTTGATCGATCTTCAACACATCTATTGGAGAGTGTTTTACAGAACACAAATCGTATTATGATTTCCCTTATTCAAAATTCTTCAGTAGCTTTCTGTTACCATGTGAGATTAACATCAAGTCCATTGGTCTTTCTCAGAGTGATCCTTCCCTTTATTTGGGGAACTTTTCTTGCTCATATTCAAGCTTTGGGTCTACCATTCTACAGACCCATGTGCCACACAGAGGTACTAACTTTTATCGAACTATGACAGGCACATTCATACTGTAAACATAGAATGTTAGCCTCCCTTTCTCTAGCTTATTTGGGGGAAAGTGAGCATATCACATGTCTGATCGTGAGTCATCTCCTTTGCTGTTGCTACCACATGAGATATGTTTTCTCCCCTGCTTTCAGCTCTAACTCTGGTCTTTATTTACCCTACAGCTGGGCACTACCTGATACTCCAGGATGCTTGGTTCTTCAGTATAGCACTGCGGCAGCAGTACTAGCTACAGTGAAAGGTGATACGAGGAGCATCACTTTTTCCTTTTTGGACCCATCCGTTAATTCTCCATAAAAATCATTATAAAAAAATAAGATTTTATGTATGTAACACATTTTATTACACTGTTGATAACTAAAGAAATTAAAATAAATGTAAAACAAACAACTTTAGATGCTACTACGATTGTTCCTAGTATTCAAAGAAAAAATAAATAATAATTAATGCCCTTTTTCTTAGTCTTAATAATAGAAAACTCTAAGAAATGCTTTGGGACATCATTTATATTCTTTAAGATTGCCATGACAAGGCGAGGTACCCATGTACCTCTTAATTTTTCCTGTAGTTTTGGAATGAGTAACTATTAAAACACACACATGCACATATACAAATATACAAGCCATTCCATTTATAAGGACATTAAAAATTAATAGTCTGAAACACCTTAAGAAATTTTCTTTCTATATGCAAAAATGCTTGTACTGTTATCCCTGGCCACAATGTACGTAGAGCTGAATATTCTAATGAAGAGAAAATTTACTTTATTTTTGTAGGTTCCAGAAAATACACAAAAGATTATTGGCTTTTTTTTAAGTGGGCCATTAAAATACCTTGACAAACATCAGAACCATCTACATCTTGCTCCTGTCCAGAAAATAAAAACCCACTCAAATAATTGGACATATGAGTTTTAGAGAAGAAAGAAAGGAGATTACTCTTTTAAAACATACAGTTTTACATCTTTTCATATACTCTTTCTCTTGCTAAAGATGCTACTTCTTCTAATAAAAAGGTTCAAGTTGAAATGTCTTCTCTGTGATCCCTTCCTTACTCCCCTGTGCCTTTACCTGATTGTCCCTCCTACACTTCTCATAAAAATCTGCGCTTTACTATAACTCACCACATCTCATCATATTTACTTACATCTCTCTGTCTCTCTGTGTCACCTGTGAGCTCCTGTGGGGGCAATAAATAAGATTCTATTCATCTGTGTTTTCTGGTACTTAGTCACAATAAATGTTCAATAGATATTTGGGAATAAATTAGAGAAGGAATACATTCCCAAAGTTATACAAATTAGTGACCAGGTAGATAACAAAACTAAGGATTTATGACTCCTAGTCTAGTATTTTCCATAATTATATAACTTGGTCTCTAAACAGCAGTTAATTCCCAAATTGCAGGCTAGACATCCAAGAAGTTTAATGAATTTTTCAAGATCACATTTATAATGTCAGAAACATCATTATTTCAGTCAGCATAGATTAGGTTATGCTGCAGTAATACTCTCCAAATTCCTACATACTGAAACAATGAAGGTTTGCTGATTGCTCCTGCTACAGGTCCATCATAGGTAAGAAGAGGATATCGATACTGCCATTGAGAGACACAGGCTGATGGAGCAGCCACAGTCTTGAACCCTGATTGCATTTATGCCACAGGGAAAAAAATATTCTGAAGACTGTCCACCAGCAAATAACTTCTCTGGTCCGGAAGATGTTACTTCCCCCCATTACTCATCACAGAATCCCCAGCCAACAACAAAAAGATTGGAAAGTATAATTCTACCATGTTTGAACTGGAGATGATATTTGGTTAGCAATCATTTTCCTTAAAAATGCAAGTTGGTCAAGACTAGTACCAAGACTTACATATAATAAGTATATCAGAGATATTTGCTAAGTTGAATATAATTTTTATTTCTAGCCCAGTATTCTTTCTACTAGGCAGTTATGAGATACACTTATTTAAGAAAAATACCAAGGATGTGGGCATTTTTATTTTAAGATAATTCAGATACAATAAATGTGAAACTGTTCAAGGAATTATACATCTTAGCTTAAGAACAAGAAATAATTGTGATTATTTTTTATGGAAAATAGCTGTCTTTAGCTACACAGTAGGTGATAATAAGAAAAACCATGACTAATTCTTTGCAGATTGTTGAATACAGAGAAATAAACTTAAAGGTCAATAAAAAGTTAAATGGGGTGATTTTCGTTAAGTGCTATATAAAAGCAGCATGACACCTTCCTCCCCTAGACAGGGCTTTGGGGCAGGAAAGCCCAAAATTCTAGACCTAAATTCATTACCTATTAGCAATGTAACCTCGACTCTCCTGTAGGCATATGTCTTGCTGTATAAAATGAAAATCTGGAATAATGTATAAGATTCCTTACAATTTAAAATTATGTGAGCTACGTGAGTTAACTTGTCATAACTCAGATTAGGAGTAACTTCTATAATAGTTATAGTTGCAGTAATTGCTATAGTAACTACTCCTCAAAATTTCAATCCCATAAAATAATATAATTATATTTTTCATCCACATAACCATGTTCCTGTTTTTCCACATGGTGATTCATTCACAGGCTTCTCCACCTATTTGCTCTATCATTCATTCACTGGAGCCTCAGAGTCCTCTGCTTCTGGTGAAAAAAAGGAAGGAGAGTGGAAAAACCTAGACCATAAGTGGCACACATCACTTCTGCTTAGCTTTTTTTGGGGAGAATTTCTCATAGATGAGAACACATTACTGCAACTGTATACAAAGGAGGCTGGAGAAACATAGTTCCTGTCTGGAGATTCCTCTACCAGCACCAACTTCACACTGTGGAAGTAGAGACTCAAAGTTTTGGAGAACATCTAACCCGTGGCACATATTCTCAAGTCTTTCTTGACCATCAACTTTGTCCATTGAAGAATTTATCACTTCTCTCTGCTGCTTCCCCTACACTCAGACAGAATGCTATCCTGAGATCTACATTAGTTGGTTTCTTTAGGTGGCAAAAATTTAACAGCAGAGACAATTTTTATTTTAGCCTTGTACCTTCCAGCATGTTGCCCTGCTCCAGGATAGAGTAATTATTTTGTTAAAATAAATAAATAAATATATATATATATATATATATATGCACACACACACACACATATATATATACACACACATATATATACACACACATATATATACACACATATATACACACACACACACACACATATATATATATACACATATAATGAATTTATTCAGAGCCCTCTCTGTCACTTTTGTGTTTTATTTCTGTGTATTTGGGAAAATATTTTAATCTATAAGAACATTATTAAAACATGTACCCTGCAATACTATTGAGGGCATTAGATGAGAAACATATATTAAGGGTTTAAATATAAATGATGTTTCCCAGACCCTCACTCTCCACCTGAAATCACATCCCCTTCGTAAGTAGGAGATGGAGAGAAGGCCTATTTTTGAAATCCTAATGTTAGGTATAGGAATTGAAATATGCCCTTATTCCCTCAGTTTATGTCCATAAACGTTGTTGTTGTTGTTGCTGCTGTTTTATTCAGAAAGGTATAAGTCACAATACTACTTCTAGAAAGACAGAAAAATTCGATTTTGTAAACTTACAAGTAAAGACATAAGTGCACCCTGAAAAGCAGCACTTAGACTTCATAGGAAATACCTGGGAAGATTTTGTCCACGAGCAGCAAGGAAATATTTTGAGAAATTTAACTTTAAGTCTTATTCAGTTCAGTCAAATATATAAACATGTAATAATATGTTTAATGCAGAACATGTATTCATTCATTTATCAAACCAACATTTATTAAGCATTTACTTTGGCTTATTAACTTACATTATTTAGGAAAAAATCAAACCATGTTTTTCAAATTACCTATGTAACTATAGAATGCTTTGGACTGGATATGTAGTAAGATCCTTGGGGAGCATTTTTAGCCATAACATTTGGACCATTAAATGACCAGAGCCCATTCCTACACATTGCTTGAATTCCAATAAACATTTATGGAATAAATGCAACCATAACTATAAAAATTCATTTAAATCCCTTATTTAGACTTTTTAGCTATGACAATGTAGAATTTTACTAGAACCCAGGGATCTTGGAAAACAAAGGTGTTAAAGAAATATCCCCATCCTTTTGTGTCCCCAAAGATACCTTACTACAAAGAAACAGCCTTCCCTATGACTTATTTAGGGATGCTTTCCTTGGTTTACCTATGACCAATCCAGACAAAACCCTCCAAACTCCCATTCTTTGCTTCATTAATAGTTAACTGAACTGCTGGTCCCCACGGATCAATGAGAACAAAATGCTTGTTAAGCAAGCTTTGTTAAAGCATCTCTGCTTCCCCTAGGTCCCTGAACTTTGAACCACCTTCAGACTAAACCAGCAGACAGCCCCTTAACAGCAACTCCTGCGAATAATCTCAGTAACACAGTTTCTTATTTACTGTCCAATCTGCTGTCCACTCTTTCATCCCATTTCTCCACACCTAATTTTTTTCTAGCCTTGTTTACTTCTTATTATAAAAGGAAAACTCTTTTTGTTTAATCTTTGAATACTGGCAGGTCTCACGATCTATTACAGTAGTCCCCCTCCTTCTATTACAATTCCCCTCCTTCTATTCTCTTTCCTCCTTGCGATAATTTTAAAAAATATTTTCTTTACCCTAATTCCAGATTTGTGTTTTATTTGATACATGCTTTGAAAGAGGATTATTTCCCCCCCTACACACACCCAATGTACAAATGTAAACTAAATCTCCATCTGCTATAGTCCTAACTTCATTTTTTCTCATTTGACCTCTTAGAGTGTTTTTCTGATTTTCTAAAGTGAAAATATTTATTAACATTCAAGTTGAATAAAAAAGGATGTTTAGAGCCTATATCAAATAAAAATGCGTTGCAAATAAGAGTTCCATGACTCTGTCTTGGGGCTTGAGGAGCACTTACAGAAAGACTGCCTTCTTGAATGTTAGGGGACACTGTTTTAGTTACAGTAACTGTCTTGCCATAAGCTTGAATATGTACTGCCATCTACTGGTAAATACTACAAAATCAAATTAAAACAAATGGCACTTCTTTCTTGCAATAAGTATGTGAACACATTTGTTGAAAAAAAGGTCCTCTCAACAGACCTAACAACAAATGTTTATGTTCTATATACATAATTTATTTATTAACTCACCATGTTTAAATACTGTTTTATCTTATATTTTCTTAAAAATGTTTTTTGGTTTATAAAATATTTTTAACTGATTCAGGGTTAAATATCTGAACAAGTCCAATTATTGTACTATGTTGAATAGGATAGTACAGTTCAGAACAATACAGAGCTTTGATGTGCAAAGGTGCAGTCTGCTGACCACACTTTAGGTACAAGAAACATCTGGGAGCTCGTTAGGAATTCAGAATCTCAGTCCTCTTCCCAGACCCTCTTAGAATCTGCACTTTAACAAGATGATTAGGCAAATGGTTTTCACATTAGAGTTTGGGGAGCCCTGGCACAAAGTAAAGTATAGCACTGCATAGGCAAAATCACTAGTCTGAAATATTAAAAATCAAAAACAAAGAACAAAGGAACTCATGGTCCTGGAATCATTTTTTATTTTTCAATCTTTTAAATGGACTTCATCCTGCAATTAAAATATTTTGAATCACTGTAAGATCAATTGAAGCAGTTATGAAACAAATTATAATGCAAGACAATTAAGAACAATACCCTAGAGCTAAATGTTAATATTATACATTTGTGCATATTGGAATTCATTTTTCTGTTCAGCATCCTTGATGAGACTTTCCATAACATTAATTACTGAGACAGCTATGCCAGCAGCCTCCCAAGAAAGTCAAGAAATAGTCGAAGAAAAGATACAAAGTAAGGAGTTGGAGTTAAGAGTAAAGTCAATGAGGGGTGCTAAATTTCATGCAAATGCATACACATATACAGATGCACACACACACACACACACACACACACACACACACACACACACACTGAGAGTGATCTCCCAATATCAAGTTGGCAGACCGCAGGAGCCAAAATTTCAAGGCTCGCTGGCTCTCCACAGCTCCTACAATCACTTTTATTAGAAAGAGACTCCATCGCTCAAGTGATCTTATTTAGTGTGCCAGAGGCCTCTTACTTGAAAAAGAAACACAGATAAAAGTGTACATTCAGCAAAAGGGCACAGTTTTCTTTTTTTTTTAATGTAAGTTGTATATATTATCATTGTCTTTGGATTTATTGAGACTTTCATTATGATTAGCACACAGTCATTTTTTTAAAAATGTTTCATGTGAGCTTGAAAATGTGCATTTTCTACTTCTTAGGTGCTAAATAGATAGATAAATCAAACTTGTTAATTGTTAATTATGCTGTCCATATTGTCTATATCATTATTAATTTATTTCACTGCCTAACTGATTGATTAATAAAAGTACATTAATATCTCCCCTTATAGGGATAAATTATTTTTTTCTGTTCCAGCAGATTTTGCTTTCCATATTTTATGACTGTTTAACTAGACTGTTTATATTTTCCTAAGAAATTTATTACTTTATAATATATCGTGTCCCTCTTTATTCTTAATAACATTCATCTTAAATTCTGTATAATTTAATACTACCCGATGTAGGCTAAACTTCACAGGTTAAGAGTCAGGAGTCCCCAGGGCCACTTTTACTTTTGACCAGTTGGTGACAAATTAGAGTGTTTCAACAACCACTCTCAAGTTTGATTTTTCAAGAGAAAAATTCACAGGACTCACTAGAAGAAAGTCTAATACTTAAAGTTATAGTTTTAATATATATATTATATAGCATATATAATATATATATTCCCAAATTAGAAGAGATGCATAGAGTGAAGACTCAGAGAGTTCAAAACACAGTTTTCATCATCTTCTCAGTGTCAAAGTGCGACGATACTCAAGAGTATTGCCAACCAGGGAAAGCTCACTGAGCTTCAGTGTTAAGAGTTTTGTTTTTGTTTTTTTTAAATCGGACTCTAACTCTGTAGACACAATTGATTGAATCATTGTCCACTGACTCAGTCTCCAGTTAGCTCTCGCTTCCACTGGGGTTAGGGTGATATAAAAATATAAGGTTGATCTTTCCAGTATGGCCAAATCCAACCTAGTCAACTCCTCAGCATAAACTATCTAGGAGCTAACCATCAGTCACCTAATCAGCATAACTCTCTATCAAGTGGGTTCTAACAGGCCCACCATAACAAAGACACTCCAATTACTTGGAAAATTCAAAGGGTTTAGAGGCTACCTCCTGGAGCCAAGACAAAGGCCAGACTTCTCTTTTGGTAAAGTTAGTTCTTCACCACACAAGTACTAATATTGCCACCCTAGCTTTCTTTTCATTATGAATGACCCACAAAGTATAAAGTAAATGGTAAAAAAATCCAAATATTTCTGTAATCACAGTAAATATAAATATACGAAACTCATTATTAAAATTTGTCTTATTGGAATAAAATAATTCTTGTTATTTACAAGAGCCAAACATAAATGATATGGACACGTCATCAAATAAGTGCAAATTAAAACCACAATGAAACACCACTATGCACTCACCAGTAGAGGCAAACTTTAAAAAACTAATAATACAAAATAATCATAATCTTCATCTAAGCTGTGGTAACATGGGAATATAAATTCATCTGTAACATGTATATAAGTAGAAATTATCAAGCCATACATTTAAGATATATGCATTTCTATGTATGTTATATCTCAATAAAATAATTTTGAAAACATGAATAAAAAAAGACATTCGCTTTCAGGACAGCCTCATATTCTAGTTTCACTCTTCAAAATCTGCTTGCAGCTGGTTTCAATTCACTGATAGAAGTAATACTGCCTACTAGACAGGGTATTGGAGAATGTGGAGAAATAGGGAATGAGCCCAGAACAGAGGAAGGATATTGATATTATTACCCAAAGTTAATATAGTTGAACAGAGACATCTCAGTGCTTAGGTTGAAAAAGAGGGATAAGAAAAAGAATAAGGCATAAAAGAAGGAGATAGGTTGAATACAGGAGTACTGGCTAGAAAGTTAGGAGGGCTATGGAATCAATGTTCTGCTTCAGAATCATGGGCCTAGCTAGATAACTAGTATAGTTTTTATTCCCACAAGTCAGTGAAGTAATGTGAGAAAGTCACACCGAACTGACAGATACACCATTGAACATTTGGCTGCATCTCACATGGTAGTATGGTCCAGTTATAGGGAAATAGTTGACTGGCATATCAACATGTCCTCCTTCTCCTGAATCTAGCAAATTCTCTCATGTGTCCAGTTGAAGTCTTCCTTTCTCCAGTTGTATTAGGTTTCTAGGGCTGCCATAGCAAAATACCACAAAGTCACTTAAACAACAGAAATGCTTTGTATCACAGTTGTGGAGGTCAGAAATTGAAAATCAGGTGTCAGCAGGGCCATGCTCTCTCTGACAGCACTGGGGAAAATCTGATTGAGACCTCTCTCCTAGTTTCTGGTAGTTTCCTGGCTTGGGGCAACATAATTCCAATATTCACATGGCATTTTTCCTGTGCGCATTTGTTTCAGTGTCCACATTTTTCCTTTCTATATGGACACAGACATAATGGACCAGAGTCTACCCTAATAACCTAGTCTTAAGTTGATAATCATCAAACACCCTTTTTCCAAATAAGGTCACACTTAACAGTTATTGGGAGTAAAGATTTCAGCATCTTTTTTGGGGATACAATTCAACACATAACACTAGTCCTCTGTCTTAATACTGACACTGCAATGTCCTTGAAATTTTACCTTAATTAAGTGGCCAAGACCAAGTCTTCCTTCCTAGAATCTCCTTTGTGTCATGCATGTCCGAGTGAAGAGACCACCAACCAGGCTTTGTGTGAGCAATAAAGCTTTTTAATCACCAGGGTGCAGGCAGGCTGAGTCCAAAAAGAGAGTCAATGAAGGGAGATAGCGGTGGGGCCGTTTTATAGGATTTGGGTAGGTAGTGAAAAATTAGTCAAAGGGGGTTGTTCTCTGGCGGGCAGGGGCGGGGGTCACAAGGTGCTCAGTGGGGGAGCTTCTGAGCCAGGAGAAGGAATTTCACAAGGTAATGCCATCAGTTAAGGCAGGAACCAGCCATTTTCACTTCTTTTGTGATTCTTCAGTTGCTTCAGGCCATCTGGATGTATAAGTGCAGGTCACAGGGGATATGATGGCTTAGCTTGGGCTCAGAAGCCTGACACTTTGTGCTATCTTTTGTGGACAGATTGAGATTGCATCATTCATATCCACAAATACATGACCTGTCCATTCTCCTCTTCAAGTACCTAGCAGTTGTTTCAGCAATTACTCATAAAATTCCTATCAAATTATCACTTTGTAATATCAAAGATCTTAAGGAATCTAGATCTCCAGGCATTCTGTCATAGTGCAGATATAAGCAAAACCACTGGTTAATGCACATTACACAAATGGAGGTGGAGAGGGAGAAAGAGAAATGCTAACATCCCTTGAACTGTTGACCTCCTTTATCCCCAGTTCCATTACGTAAATTCAAGCCTTACCATCTTCTGCCTGGATTATTTTAATAACCTCCTAATGGGCTTCCTATCTCCAATCTTGTCCACCTCTAATCCATTCTCCACATTAGACCCAGAATGATCTTTTTAAGTCACCCACTCCCCTCCTTAAAATCCTATCTTAGCTCAAAACTGCTCTCAGGATAACGTACCAAATTCTTATAATGCTTTTTCAGGCGCTTATTTAAATGAAGTTCAATTCTTTAAATTCACCTTACACTCTCTGTCTCTTAGGAAATTGCTCTTGCTTTTGTTTCTGCCTGGAACTCTCTTTCACCACTGTCACTCATTGCAAGCAGCTAACTCATTTGAGCCTTTCATCTTTGCATAAATCTTTCCTGCATCTCCAAAGGATAGATTAGGTGTTACCTTCCACTACCATTAAGTACTGCCACTAAGCACTCAGTACCAGTACTTAAATCTTATTACAGCTTTTATCACTGTCTATTGTGATAATTACCTGAGCACCTCTCCGTTTCCCCAACTATTGCCTAAATTCCTTCAAGGCCAGCATCTTATGTTATCTTGTTCATCCTTCTCTTCTTAACACCCAGCAGTGCCCCCTCCACATAGTAAGTACTCAGTAAAGCTGTCTAATGTATCTAATTTTACTGATTTATTTTAATTTTACCAATTTAATAAAATAGTAAAATAATCAGATTATTCAGGAAAAAATATATTTTTTGCTGCCAATATTTCTTTCTGTGAATAAAAGTGCCCCCAAACTCATTTTTAGATGATCAGTTTCACTAATTTTAATACAATGGAATATTGCTCTAAAGCTGTCAGATACAAAGAAGTAATATTTTATGTAGAATAATCTCATATTTGATTTCATCCAAATAGGGTTAGTTGCTAATGTCCCCAGAGCACTTCATTATAAGTTGGCCAGATTTAAAAGGCTTAGACACCAAAAATGCATATCTAAAACAGATGTCTCTCTCAGAGAGTAAGCTTTTCCAGCACAATAAATTCTACTGTGCTTTGCTTCAGAACACAGAAGTGCATGACATGCAAGAAAAATGTGTGAAATACAACAGGTATTTTGAGATTTTTTTTTTAAAAAAAATGGTATAGAAGTGAGTCTTTGAACAAAAGCTGTTTTGTTTTGTAAACCAACTTGTGTTCACAAACACAACTATCCTCCACTCACTGGATAGAAAAGTGTTTTTTTTGTTTGTTTGTTTTGTTTTTTTCTTGGGAGAAATAAATACAGTATTTTATAGGATCTTTTCTCCCTGCCTTTCACAACTGGAATATGAAACTATGTAGCCCTTTAGAACACTTTTATGTCACCTTTCAAAAATGAAAACAAAACAAAAAGCACATTTTTTTATTTTTGTAAAATAAAGAAACATAAATTTGATTATTTGGTGTATTTCTGCAAACAAAGTACACAATCTGAAGGCTTCAGAGAAATAAAACATTGTTACAAGCTAATAGTTTCTTACTTGTAGCTATGTGCCAGGACACCTATCAAAAACATGTCCAGTCAAGAGGTTGACACTGTTTCAAAGTGAGGCCGTTAATCTGCTGACAGCACTCCATTAAACTAACTCTGCAAATAATTTTGTTGGAGGAGTGAACTATTGGAGAGAGACTGGGACCCCTGTTTACTGTCATTATTGACTAATTACAGCATGATTGCTTAGGGACAAGCCAATTGTTTGCATCATGTAGAAAGATAACGAAGATAAAGACACTCCACTTTGGAGGAACGCAGCTCCAAGGGGATACATTTCTCTTTCTCACTCTCCTCAGTAAATGAGAAAAAATCCTGTTCGACCATGTGGATGGAGGGAAGATTTCATTTAAGGTAACATAATTAATAGAACACATTTTTATTCTATAAATAAGCTGTATGTACATTTTGGTAGCATTCTGAGTAATGTATTATTTACTATTTCCTTTTTTATTTTTATTTTCTTTTTGAGAGAGAGTCTTGCTGTCTCCCAGGCTGGAGTGCAGTGGAGGGATCTGGGCTCACTGCAAGCTCTGCCTCCTCGGTTCACACCATTCTCCTGCCTCAGCCTCCGGAGCAGCTGGGACTACAGGCGCCCGTCACCACGCCCGGCTAATTTTTTGTATTTTTTAGTAGAGACGGGGTTTCACCGTGTTAGCCAGGAAGGTCTTGATCTCCTGACCTCGCGATCCGCCCACCTCGGCTTTCCAAAGTGCTGCAATTACAGGCGTGAGCCACCGCGCCCGGCCTGCTATTTCCACTTTATACACTACTATAGTAAAATATTGGCCTACCAGAAAATAGAGTTTTTTACATTTTGGTTTCCAACTGTGATATAGGACAGTAACAGCCAGAAAAATATTGATCTAATGAAATAAATCAAATATCTCTTGTGGTTGCATTTACCAGCTGTTTTATTTAAACTAAGTTTGTCATTAGAAAATTTCATGAGATTTGTTTGGAATTGTTCTCCCAAATGTATACTCACTTCTTGATGATCTAAGAGAGCAGAGCGTAGGAAATAGCAAAGATTACTAAATCTACAAATCCCTTCCTTGTCTAAACTTCTTCTAACAAGTTTAACAGAACAACTTCATCTCAAGTCGATATGTTAATGAGCAGGAAACCGGAGAGTGAGTAGCAAAACAGAAAAGAAACAGAAACAAGGGCTCTGGAAAATTTGTTAGCTGCTTTATTGACTCTAAAATACACCTTTATGAGGCAGCAGGGAAGTGGAGGAGGATTATTTCATTGAATAAAATGCAGGCCAAAGTTTGTTATTTTTGGATGTAAGCCAAACATATCTACAAAGGTCTTATATATTATGAGATATATTCTCTAATATGTTATGAGATATGAGAGAATAAACGAGTAGATCTTATGGTGTAGTAGAGTAAAAATTTAGTCTCTGTAACTGTGAAACAAGGAAGTAATTGGTTAAGCATTCTTAGCCATTTATAAAATATCCCCTAAGTGCCTTACAAGTTCTATGTTAGCTGTAGGAATAGTGATCATTAAGACAGGTACAGATATTTCTTTCAAGAATTTATTTAAACAGTTATTAAGTGAATTATTATAATTAATTAATTATTTGTTAACATTATGAAAAACCTATGAGGAAATAAAGGGTGTTATGAAATAACAAAACAAGGAACTGACTGAGTCTGAGAGGGAAATATCCTCCAGGGAAGTGCAATCTGAAGATCATCAGGTGGTAATTCAATTAAAAAACCTTATTGAGCCTTTACTGTATATATACCACATATATACAGCAAACTATACCACACTGCACATATTTTCGCATGTGTATAGAACTACATTTTTTGATAATAAGATGTGGTTATACAATGAAGGAATGTTAAGTCATTCACAAATAACTATAATAGGAAGCAGAATGTATTGCCACCAAAACTTGTCTTAATAAGTTTTTGGAATATCAGAGAAGAAAAAATTGCTACTGCTTCATTTTCTTGATAAGATTAGTTAAATTAAATAGAAAGAAGACACCGATCAGATTATTTGAGAAACAATGGCAAAAGACACACTTCTCAATGGCTTCCAAAGACCTGGCAGGGGTGACAAAGGCTGAATGAACAGCTTGCATGCTGGACATGATAATACCAGAGAGAGACAGCGTCCTCATGACACATCTTTAAGTATCAAATCCTAAAATAAAATGAAAACAATGGTCTTAAGGATTCTCTGGAGCTGGACTTTTTAGTAAGCCATACATAGTTATTGGGTTGTTAATTTGGGAATGTGAAGCTCAAGTTCCACTGGTTCCAAAAGCTTCCATTTTATTTCTCTTATTATTTTTTGTTGATAGGGTGAATTAGTAACACCCTTAGGTCAATTTTTCATTTGGGAAAAATGGTAGAAACCTGTCAGGCTTTTTATTAGCCTTTATATCAACAGAAATCCTGCGCTCCATAAATCTGACAATATTACATGTAAGAGTAAGTACTTAGATGATGGCTGAACTGGTAATGGGTATCCATGTAAAGCAGTATTTGTAATTTGTCAGACGAATTCAGTGAACACATTAGTTTGATCGTGTTTTTTTAAAGAAAAATTTGAGAGAATTCCTGGATGAAGAAGATCACCACCCTAATCATGAAAATAACCACCATTTACTAAGTGCTAACTATGAGGCACACCGTGATTAAAACCTGTAGTAAACATGACCTACTTTAACTCCCTCAATAAATCCATGAGGAATGCAATAGTCACCTTACACATGAGGAGCTTCTTCACTTATTGTCATTCAAAAAAACATATT
Source organism: Homo sapiens (assembly GCF_000001405.40). NCBI lineage: Eukaryota > Metazoa > Chordata > Mammalia > Primates > Hominidae > Homo > Homo sapiens. Next base: position 74,007,342 of record NC_000001.11, read on the forward strand.
TTATACCAGACATATTTTCCATACTCTGAGTATGCAGCCTAGAAAGTTTATTGAAAAGTGCTGGGAGCTACACTCAACAAGTAGTGGACTAGGAGTTGAACCCATAATTGCATCTACCATGTTATTTTCTTCAGCAGTTAATGGCAGTCAATCTTCAAATCTTAATTGAAATTTTGTTTGTAATCAATGAGTTGCAAACTTCATAGATCAAGGGAGAAAATAGATCTATTGAGGAGGAATATGTTTGTTGCTTTCCAAATTACATTTCTTATAACTGCAGAGAGCCTCACCTGCCTCAGTGGGCCCCTCTATCCATCACCTGCTGTGCAGAGCAGATTCCATGAAAGCTTTGATCTGCATGTGCTGTTTCTTTTAAATTCACACAGGATTTTTAAAGTGACTAAATATTAAAAGTAAAATTAATAAGTATTTTTAAGGTTTTTTAGGCCATGCATCTGATTCAGTGGACATTTTAAAAATATATGTTTTTATGTTGTATCTCCTCTTTTCTGCTTTGCTGGGAAGTAATCCTATGCCTTCTTTATTTCTGTAGCTCTGATATAGATGGACCTATCACCTAAATAAGTCAATTAAATCCGTAAGAGCTATTAGTCTACTGGTTCGATGACGATGTGCCAAGATTAAAGTAAATCAACTATGGCTGAAGATACTGGAAATGAATGAAGCAGAATCTTTGACATATATCCATCTTTACACACTTGATGAAGGAATAAAAAAATGCAGTGCATTGTAGTAGTGACTAATCTTAGATTTAGTCACTCTTAGGATTAGTAGCTCCAGATTCCCATCTTTTCCTTTCTCCATTTTTGCACAATTTTCAAACAAATCAATTCCTTATTCATAAAAAGCTTTTTCCGTATCATTAAAATTAAAAGTCTTAAACCAGTATATCATGATGTTGTTGGTTTTTCCATTTTAAATATGCCTTCATATTTTATTAGAAAATTACTTAGAATGCTGAGCAAATGTCTCTGGATATTTGGGCAATTATGCCAAACAGTCAAGACAAATATGACCCCTCTGAATGATCTAGTTTTGTAGACAATAGAGAGAAAACAATTGATTGTAAAACAGATCATTATCTGAGTCTTACAGATTTACTTTTAACAATAAGATTGTTGATTTTTGGCCGAGCTTGGTGGCTCACGCCTGTAATCCCAGCACTTTGGGAGGCTGAGGCAGGCGGAGCACCTGAGGTCAGGAGTTCAAGAGCAGCCTGGCCAACATGGTGTAACCCCTGTCCCTACTAAAAATGCAAAAACTTAGCCAGGCATGGTGGCTGGTGCCTGTAATTATGTAATTATGTAATTCCAGCTACTCGGGAGGCTGAGGCAGTAGAATTGCTTGAACCCAGGAGGCAGATGTTGCAGTGAGCCGAGATCTTGCCATTCCACTTTAGCCTGGGTGACAAGAGCAAGAAACAAGAAGAAGAAGAAGAAGAAGAGTATAGATTTTTTTAAGTGTATGAAAAATATACTGCTGTGACCTAAAAATGAAAATTTTCATAGATACTTTTACAATTTCCAGTATGACAAGGTCAGCTGAAATAATGTTCTTGTGATAATTTTTAGCCTCCCGATTTAGCTAAGGTTAAATGCAAAGAATACAAGTTATTTTTATGTTTACTCGAGTTTTGCCTTTTCGATTCATTTCATATTTTTTACCTGTACTTACCTGTACCTGTTTTAGCTATTTTTCTTTTCTTTTTTTTGAGACAGTGTCTCACTCTGTCACGTAGCCTGGAGTGCAGTGGCGCAATCTCAGCCCACTGCAACCTCCACCTTCCAAGTTCAAGTGATTCTCCTTCCTCAGCCTCCTGAGTAGCTGGAACTACAGGTGCCCACCACCATGCCCAGCAAATTTTTGTATTTAGCAAAATTTTGTATTAGTAGAGACGGGGTTTCACCATGTTGGCTAGGATGGTCTTGATCTCCTGACCTTGTGATCCACCTGCCTCGGCCTCACAGAGTGCTGGGATTACAGGCTTGAGCCACCACACCAGTCGTGTTTTAGCCATTTTTCATAGTAGGCCAATTCATTTCAAATACAGAAAATGTTATTCTTTCTCTATTTTTTCTCATTTCCAGCTTGGGAAACTTATTACAGCTGATATGAGACAGAGATTGATACAGTTGGTGCTGTTAACAACACTCATCAATTATCAACTGTGTACACAGTATCAGATTGCATTAGACACTGTAAAAGGATATAAGAAGAGGGGCATTTGCTTCTGCCTTCAATGCACATGCAATCTAATGAGATTTATATAATACACACCCATGGAAACATATGGTACACTAGAGAAACACTTTTTGCATATTTAACAGGCTCAAGGACCAAATTAATTATAGAGAAATGTGTTCATTTCTTTGTTCAAAAAACATTCATTAGGATTCCATTGCTAATAATATTAGGCACAATAAATTTCAAAAGGGTCATGAAAGACCCAAGCAGCTATAACAATAACATGGTAGTTAATTTTACAGAATGCCTAGTGCATGCCAAACCCTGGAGTTTTACATGCAGTCTCACTTATTCCTCCTGACAACCCTGCATGCAGGGTTGGGCCCTGTTTTCGGCATGAGGTAACTCAGGCTTAGACAAATTAAGTGTTTGGTCAGGGTATATAGCTGATAGTGGTAGAGTATGGATTAAGAACAAATTATTCCAAGTCCAAAGTCCAAGTTTTTCCCATTTTCCCACACAAGCTCTGGAATTGCTTCACCTGGCTAATCTATTCTGAATAATTATTTTTTTTTCTGTTATACTGCCTATATTTACCCTCTGACCTCAGCACACTATTATCCTTTTTTTTTGCACCTTTCTCCCTGTTTTAGGCTGTTATCAACTGTGCAACACAAGTATCACCAGTGCCACCACCAGCACCAGTGGCAGAGCACAACTTCCTGAGCGCTGCGAACTACATTTTCCTGGATGCGCTTTTCCAGGAGTGCTGGTACAGTTGGCCTTTGGGGGAACATTAACACCATTTGGAAGGTGAAAGTGAAACTGAAACTCCGTTGTTCTCCCGCGCGGGGTGCTCAGGCTTCCTGGAGTGCTTGTGCTCCAGTGTCTCCACCTGTGCTTCAGTCTGCAGTAGTGAGTGATGGTTGCCCAGTCCTCCAGCTGTCTCTCAGGCATTTCCCCTTCAACTCCTCACACATTCTTTAAACCCTAAATTTTCTAATAAACAACCTTTATTCCCAAAATACCTTACCAAGCTAAGACTGACACACTCTCTTCAATCTATAAAGCCCCCCTTTCTCACCTTCATCTATGTAATTGCAACCAATTTTTAGAAGGCAATTCAAGGGAAAGAGAACTAGCGTTTACTGAGCAGCTTCTGTGTCTGACGATGTGTGCTAAGTTGTTTGCATCATACCTGATTTTATATTCAGTAAGTCTTTATATCTAAAGTCACTTCTCACTCTCCTGAGCATCATTGCTATTTACTGATTCAACAAATGCTTACCAAGTTCTCATTATATATCAAGTACTGCGTTGCTTACTGATGAGAAAATGATAAGAAGGCAGGTCTGTACCCTCAAGAACCTTAAAGTCTGTGAAAAGAAAGTCAATGGGAAAATATATTACTATATGATAAAAAATAATGACAGAGATGTAGAGGGCCCTATGCATACGTGGGAGGGACACCAGGCTCAAATGGAAGTAGGAAGGTGGAGTGAGACAGAAAAATTTCCAAGTTTGTTATATGGAGGCAGCCTCTTAATTATGAATATAGGTACGCCAAAACCAGTAGCTTGTGAGTGCAGAATACTCCAGGCTAATGCAGCACCATGTTCAGAGTGGCTGTATGTGACTAGAACAAAAAGTAAATACCTGGTGGAGATGCGACTGAAGGCAGACGAAGAAAATAAATTTTAAAGGGCTTTCTCTCAGATGCTAAGTTGCTTGGGTTTTTAACTTGAAAGCAATGGGGGAGGCATTAAGGGTTTATTTTTTAGCTAAGGAGTGTAGGTACAGATTTATATTTTAGACAGATGATGAATCTGAGGTGTGGGGCCAGAAAAGCTGGAAGGAGAAGGGTTAATGGGCTGCATTGCAGTACATCCAGGTGAAAGATGATGAAGGTCTGAACTCGTGATGGAGAGAAGTACCAAAGAAATTGATTTTAAATATTTTAACTGGAAATGGGTTATAGATTGTTTAGATAAACAGGATAGTGGAACAGTGGGATCTAGGATGATGCCTTGGTATCTGCCTTGGATGATGGGACCTTAGAGGAAAGCAGTCCCAGTGGGGTGAAGGAGAAGGTGAGAGTACATTTGGTTATAGCTTAAGGTGCCTACCAACCTTTCAAATGGAGACACCCAGAAGATATTTCTCCCTGAGTTGGTTGAGATCTACCACATATTCTCTTTAACTGTAATTTACTATTTTTGTGCATGTTTTTAATCTAATCAAGTTTTTTTTCTTTTTTAATTCCTTGAAAGAAGAAGGAGAATTGCCTCATAGTCCTTTGCATTCATCACAGGCCAAGCACAATCCATTGCTTATAGTGGTTGCTCAGTAAGGATTTGTTTCTCAATAAATGCATTGTTTAATTGCAATAGAATGACTCTGATACATACTAAGTTAAGTTGGATACAGTTTACTTGAGAGGGCTTTACAAAGGATTTCTGTGTGAAGGGTAGAAGGACAGTAGCATGGTGCATTTATGAAAATCTTTCTGCCATTAGTTTTTTAATGTGTACCCTCAATACTCAGTATCTTAGAAACTATTACTTACATACATTTTGAGAACAAAGATTATGTCTTATTTTACCCTCATTTTATCCCAAGCTACTTTCATGGCACATAGTAGGTATTCAACAAATATGTGTGGAATAAATGCATGAACCAGAATCACTAGTTCACAGTTTATGTACCAAATTACACTGTAAAATTCAATATTTAATAATAGCTATATGAAAATAATAGATGGAATTTATGTAATTTTTACTGTCCAATAATCACAAAGTATCTTTGTTTGTTATCTTTATGATATATTTGTAGTTGGAGTCTGTCCCTTTATATCTGAGCAGCTCTGCCTCCATCTGCTAGTGATGCCAGATGGAGGAGAGGCAGGAAGACCAAGAGATTAATGAAGCAACTCATCAAGTTGTTTGAAAGGCAAAAAATATATAAGAAAATTAAATCTGTTGAGATGCCCTTTAAAGAGCAATGGTTGCATGTTGTATATGTTTAAAGTTTCTAGAGACAAAAAAGAAAAAAAACCTAAGAAAATTTCTGGGAGATAAAATTGTTAATGACTTGTAAGACATCCATGCCGGAAAAACACAGGGTATCATCTTCTCCTTAGTGTCTGTGTTAACACCCTGGTGGCAAAGGAAATTAACTCTTTCTGACCACAAGGGTGAAATTAACTGCACTGGGGAGTACAAAGTCCATTAGTGGAAATGGTTCCCCATGGCTCTTATGTGGTGATAGGCTCACAGACCATGAAATAAGGGTGCAAGCTAGTCTTTCCAAAAGAAAGCCAGTACTTAAGAACAAAGATATTGCCTGTAATTTATAGGAGGAAAAGAAAGGCAAAATCAGGTGAACTCTGCTGGACTTGCAATTCTTTGGAAAGCAGTAGTGAAAATGGAGGGGAAAAAACTCATGCACGACAGTTTAGGACAGTGCCAGATGTCAGCTAGTGAGAGATAAAAGATGAAAAGTTCCTCAAACAGTGTTGTAATGCAATAAGCTACATTATACAACTCACCATTATGAAGTGTATTCTAGTAGAAATAAATTCATTTTAAATGTTGATAACATACATTTGCATGACAAAGAAATAGTGTTGATAACATTACAAATGAAAAAATACACAATGAGAAAAATGTTATTTATTTATTTATTTTAACTTTTATTTTAAGTTCAGGGGTACATGTGCAAGTTTATTACATAGGTAAACTCATGTCATGGGGGTTTGTTGTACAGATTATTTCATCACTCAGGTATTACGCCTAGGACCCATTAGTCATTTTTCCTGATCCTCTCCCTACTTCCACCCTTCACCCTCCAATAGGTTCCAGTGACTGTAGTTCCCTTCCTTGTGTCCATGAGTTCTCATCTTTTAGCTTCCACTTATTAGTGAGAACATGCAGTATTTGGTTTTCTGTTCCTACATTAGTTTGCTAAGAATAATGGCTTTCAATATATTTTAAAAGCAGCTAAAGCAGTGAATATATCTGTATACCACCCAAACAAATATTCTTAATAAAATAATTATGGAAACTTACTCATTAGAATTATATAATTCCCTTTTCTAAAGAAAACTTTAGGTGGTTGCAGCCAAGAAAATGTAAATACTAATTTTTTAGTTTCTGTTTGCTTAGCTTTCCCTCTCAGCTCCTGGTGAGTCAAGTGCCATGTAGATCTGTAGTTCACCTCAATTTCTCCCTTGGCCTAACATTATTTTTTTTTTACATTTAACTTCTCAAGGTTAATTCTTTTGTTTGTTTAAAAATAACAGTCCTAGTAAGAATCCTGAGTTCAAATTATTTGCTAAATTTGGTTCACTTGACAGAATATAATACTTTTGAAATTTTAGTTAGTTAGAGCCACAAGCAGGCCAGACCTGAAAAGAGATATGGGGAAAAAAGGCAGAATTATATTATAGTACTGGGGCTTTCTTGCTGGAACTTTAGGAACACATGCCTTCTTTTTTCATCTTCCAAGAATTACAGTCATCATGAATATTCTCTATTCACTCATTAATCTTTCACTTATTCAACAAACATTCTTAAGTTCTCATATATGCCAATCACTATTCAAATTTCTAAATGTAGATGGCACTGATCTTAAATTTACACATATATATGTACACACACGTACACACACACACATATATATATACATACATACATGAAGTCCTCACTTAACACTGTCAATAGATTCTTAGAAACTGTGACTTTAAGGAAAACAGTGTAATAAAATCAATTTTACCAAAGGTTAATTGATACTAGAACAGAGTTATGGAGAGGATTTCTGGCAAGATGGCCGAATAGGAACACCTCCGGTCTGCAGCTCCCAGCAAGATCGACACAGAAGCTGGGTGACTTCTGCATTTCCAGCTGAGGTACCTGGTTCATCTCATTGGGACTGGTTTGACAGTGAGTGCAGTCCATGGAGGGCAAGCCAAAGCAGGGCAGGGCATTGCCTCACCCAGGAAGCACAAGGGGTTGGGGGATTTCCCTTTCTTAGCCAAGGGAAGCCGTGAGAGACTATACCATGGGTCACACGCCCACAGAGCCCAGCAAGCTAAGATCCACTGGCTTGAAATTCTCGCTGCTAGCACAGCAGTCTGAGATCGACCTGAAAAATCTGGAGCTTGGCAGGGGGAGGGGCGTCCGCCATTGCTGAGGCTTGAGTAGGCAGTATTATGCTCACAGTGTAAACAAAGCCACAGGGAAATTCGAACTGGGCAGAGCCCACCACAGCTCAGCAAGGCTGACTGCCTCTCTAGATTCCACCTCTGAGGGCAGGGCATCTCTGAACAAAAGGCAGCAGCCCCAGTCTCCCTGGGACAGAGCCACCTTGGAGAAGGGGCAACTGTGGGCACAGCTTCAGCAGACTTAAATGTCCTTGCCTGACAGTTCTGAAGAGAGCAGTGGTTCTCCCAGCACAGTGTTCGAGCTCTGATAATGGACAGACTGCCTCCTTAAGTGGATCCCTGACCCCCATGTAGCCTGACTGGGAGATACCTCCCAGTAGGGGCTGACAGACACCTCATACAGGAGAGCTCTGGCTGGCACCTGATGGGTGTCCCTCTGGGACTAAGCTTCCAGAGGAAGGATCAGGCAGCAATATTTGCTGTTCTGTAGCCTCTGCTGGTGATACCCAGGCAAACAGGGTCTGGAGTGACCGTCCAGCAAACTCCATCAGACCTGCAGCTGAGGGTCCTGACTGTTAGAAGGAAAACTAACAAACAGAAAGGAATAGCATCAACATCAACAAAAAGGATGTGAACACCAAGACCCCATCTGTAGGTCGCCAACATCAAAAACCAAAGGTAGATAAAACCACAAAGATGGGGAGAAACCAGTGCAGAAAGGCTGAAAAATTCCAAAACCAGAACGCCTCTTCTCCTCCAAAGGATCACAACTCCTCACCAGCAAGGGAACAAAACTGGATGGAGAATTAGTTTGGCGAATTGACAGAAGTAGGCTTCAGGAGGTGGGTAATAAGAAACTCCTCCGAGGTAAAGGAGCATGTTCTAACCCAACGCAAGGAAGCTAAGAACCTTGAAAAAAGTTAGATGAATTGCTAACTAGAATAACAAGTGTAGAGATGAACATAAATGACCTGATGGAGCTGAAAAACACAGCACGAGAACTTAGTGAAGCATACACAAGATTCAATAGCTGAATCAATCATGCAGAAGAAAGGATATCAGTGATTGAAGATCAACTTAATGAAATAAAGCGAAAAGACAAGAGAAAAAAGAGTGAAAAGAAATGAACAAAGACTCCAAGAAATATGGGACTATGTGAAAAGACCAAATCTACGTTTGACTGGTGTACCTGAAAGTGATGGGGAGAATGGAACCAAGTTGGAAAACACTCTTCAGGATATCATCCAGGAGAACTTCCCCAACCTAGCAAGGCAGGCCAACATTCAAATTCAGGAAATACAGAGAACACCACAAAGATATTCCTTGAGAAGAGCAACCCCAAGACACATAACCATCAGATTCACCAAGGTTGAAATGAAAGAAAAAACGTTAAGGGCAGCCAGAGAGAAAAGTCGGGTTACCCACAAAAGGAAGCCTATCAGACTAACAGTGGATCTCTCAGCAGAAACCCTACAAGCCAGAAGAGAGTGGGAGCCAATATTCAAAGTTCTTAAAGAAAAGAATTTTCAACCCAGAATTTCATAACCAGTCAAACTAAGCTTCATAAGTGAAGGAGAAATAAAAGCCTTTATAGACAAGCAAATGCTGAAAGATTTTGTCACCACCAGGCCTGTCTTACAAGAGCTCCTGAAGGAAGCACTAAACATGGAAAGGAACAACTGGTACCAGCCACTGCAAAAACATGCCAAATTGTAAAGACCATCAACATTGTGAAGAAACTAAATCAACTAATGGGCGAAAGAACCAGCTAGCATCATAATGACAGGATCAAATGCACACATAACAATATTAACCTCAATGTAAATGGGCTAAATGCTCCAATTAAAAGACACAGACTCACAAATTGGATAAACAGTCAAGACCCATCAATGTGCTGTATTCAACAGATTCATCTCACATGCAAAGATACACATAGGCTCAAAATAAAGGGAGGGAGAAATATTTACCAAACAAATGGAAAGCAAAAAAAAAAAAAAAAAAAAGCAGGGGTTGCAATCCTAGTCTCTGATAAAACAGACTTTAAACCAACAATGATCAGAAGAGACAGAGAAGGGTATTACATAATGGTATAGGAATCAATGCAACAAGAAGAGCTAACTATCCTAAATATATATGGACCCAATACAGAAGCACCCAGATTCATAAAGCAAGTTCTTAGAGACCTACAAAGAGACTTAGACTCCCACACAATAATAGTTAAAGCCACTGCACTCCAGCCTGGGCAACAGAGTGAAACTCCATCTCAAAAATAAATAAATAAATAAATAAATAAATAATAAAATAAATAATATATATTTTTAAAAAGAGTTAAGTTCTTATGGCATATCTCTGGTCACAAAAGCATCACCAAACTTCTAAATAAAGACAAAAGACTTCTAATATTAAATATTGAAATAACAGTGAGTTATACATACATATAAGAAAGACTAACTAAAACAAGTAAGATCATTATTTACTCAACTTTGGTGAATAAGTGAATGACGGTGGTCATCGTGGTGGTGGGTTAAATCAAGATGTTTGCAAAGTGAAAACTTTAAAGAGTACTTCCTATCACCACACGGTTCAAAAACAATGACAAATATGGCAAGTTCACTGAGTGCTTTTGTACAGAGTCATTTATTGTTATACATTTGTATGATTATTGTATACTTTACAAATTTTTTTGACAATAATTTGTATTCATTCAGTCATTATCCAACCCATTTATTCTAGTGGGTAGCTGGAGCCTATCCTGGGAACCCACCCTGGACAAGCTGCTATCCCATCAAAGGGCATGCACACACACATCCACACTCACTCAAACTGAGACCATAAAGACAGGCAATTCACCTAATGTGCACAGTTTTGGGATGTGATAGGACACCAAAATGGAGAAAATCCACAAATCCATGGGCAGAACATGCAAACACCCCACAGACAGTGGCCCCAGCCAGGGATCAATTTTTTTTTCTCATCAATTTTGTAAGGAAATTCTGTTGAATGAAGCGATATTATTTGAGGACCTGTTCTTTGTGTGTGTGTGTGTGTGTGTGTGTGTGTGTGTGCATTTGAAATGAAGTTCCCTTGTGATGGCTGGTCAAAGATAATGCCCCCGTAAATATTCTCTGTATTAGAGATGAACTTGGCTGTCCTTCCTCCCTAAAACATTTATCTGCTCCCCAGCATTTCCAAAAGCTCTTGTATTAGGTGAAGCCATGTGTAAAGTTCTGGCCAAGGACTCTGAGCAGACTTGACATGTCATTTTGGAGCCAAACCATTTAAGGGTTGGGCCCCCTCCTTTCTACCATGTTCTTTCTTTGCCATAGCAGCATCACAGGCCATCTGTAAGACACTGACACTATTAAACAGTGATGTCTTCCTTAGTCACACTGGACATGGAGTATCAGTGAGAAATGAACTAAACTAGGCTAAGTCACTGAGAGTAAAGGGTCTGTTACCCTAGTCTGACAGTGTCAGGCTGTTAAACATGATGGAATTATCCTGAAATGATAGAGGAAGTGTTGATATGAAGAGTAGGGATTATAATATATCAAATCATACATTTCTTGACTTCTAGGAACTGTGTGTATCAATTGAAAAGTATTGCATATTATACAGATATAACCATTTAGTTTCTGCCTGGTTGGTAATGACCTCTATTCATGAGAAGATAAAAGAAGGTTCTACACCTCTGACAATCCACTTTCTCATGAATTATTTCCTTCATCTTGAAGAGACTTTTAGATTCTCAGACTATACAGGCAGATTTACAGTGAAGATAATGAGGCTTAACCTTCAGTACCCCTCATATTATGGTCCCCTTCCAAGGCCCTATACTTAACTTGATAATTTTGTATTATTTTCCCAAAAGAGCATCCTCTCAAGTTGAATAAGCTTCAGGCCCCATAAAAACCTAGATCTAGCTCTAACTGATCTTTTACATTACTACATTTACCTGGCACTCGGCTTTATTTTTGTGTTTTACCAGTTATTTATCTAGTTCTCCAGAAGTAAACAATAAAAAAAACCTTCTCCCCTTGTGGCCTGGGCACTGACTATGCATATTTCCCTCTTTAGGTTACTGGGCCAAAAAGATGTTTCCTTTGCCTGGGTGTTTAAGCCACTGATGTTGTGAGCTTCAGTCATCTTCAATAGCTCTCATTTGCATATGGAGACTGGCACCTACATATTCACATATACATGGAAACACATATACACACCCACAGACTTATGAACACACATGGAAAACACATTTTGTGATGTGTTTATTTCATATAATAAGATCACCTTGTAATAGAGACCTTTACCACATATCAATATCAGGTGAACAAGGCCACTGTCTAAAGATTTCTACTGCAGAGGTCTGTCATTTTCACAAGGTCCAGCTCATCTCAGAGGCCACATAGTGTACTCTTAGGCAAATTAGTTAAACCATATTAACCTATGCTGATGAGTTTTTGGAGTTAGCCTATCAAATGAACAAACAAAAACAAAAATGAAAAAACAACATCTGTATGATTACCAGGTGACTTTCTTCTTCTCAAAAGTACTTTATCGTGTAAATCATGAGAGCAGCTGCCATTTTTATATGGATCCATTCTGGCTAGAAGGATGGTAGGAGGAGGCAAAAGGGGTGGCCAGGAAAAGAGTGGTTAACAATTACACATGCAGGTAGCGTGTTAGAAACTCTCTTTCTAAAGCAATGATAAAGTACTCCATTCTTTATTTAACTCTCATAATCAGTCTTCTTCTTTATCTGAAGAACCACATTTTTAGAAGTAAAATTCTAAAAAAAGTCAGCTTTCAACCTTGTATTTTTTTTCTCTAAATGTAGGAAAGAAGGGAAAATAGGAGGTTTTTGAAATTACTATAAATAGGGCTTTTAACCTAAAAGTTGATTCCTCAGCAGAATAGTTTAGATAGTTAATGCAAATAATGAAGCAGATTAGAGTTTTTTTCTTGAAATATTAGTGGCACTGAATGCTCGTATCTCAATTTTGTCAATCTATAGGATATATTTATCAATCTTTGACCTCTACATAGGACAGAAAATTTTAGTATAAACAATTAAAATATTTAAAGGGTATTATTTGTTCTTGATGTCATTCCAAGGGCTAAACAGTACACACAGGAAATTAAAAGATATCCCTCTTTCTTGTTTTATTAAGCACTGGGGATAAACAAATTAAGATACAGGGAATCCACAGTCAAATGTGTGGAACAGCATATAATCAATTTGTTGTAATGCCATGTAAATAAGTAATATAATAATACAATAATATAATAAAGGCATACACAGAAGCACTGGATAAAAGACTTTCAGAGCATGCCCCTTGACTCTAGAAGATCAATCAGAAATTCTCTAAGCAGACAAAAGCGTAAGGGCACTTGAGGTAGAGGAGATAGAGAATTGAATAATCTGATAGGTGGAACATGGGGCTTGAGACTTCTGATGGCAGGAGAAGCTGGAAAGGTAGGAACTGTCAAGGCCATTAAGATTTTCTTCTTTCCTGCTACTTGGAAAGGGTTTTTTTGTTTTTTTTTTTTTAACTTTATCCTATTGCAGTTGGGATATGACCAAAGAGTTGATTTCCACTTCAGGATATGCAGAATAGATTTGAAGAAAGAAATAGCAAGAACTAAACATTGTCATTGGAGATTCAGAGGAGAGTTTTAAGAGCAATGAGATAAGAGGATGCAAAAGAGTTGGTTATATATGACATGTGGTGGAGAATTATGTTAAGGATGACCTGCAGGATAGGTTCTGAAAGGGAAGATCTATGATTTTAGTCTGTAGCATGTTGAGTTTGAATGCCATGTGGGTCATCCAAGTGAACATGTTCAGTGGATGATTAGAAATATGCCTGGAACTCAAGAGAGATGCTGTTAGGACCTGTTAGAACATGGGCAATGTGATTATGGGCAATGTCAAAAAACATGGCCTTGCATGCCGTGAACCAGGAAACATACAAATTGAGAAGAAAGCTATATATGGGAGAATGATGCAGTAGTCTGTTCAGGATGCTATAAATACCATAGACTTGGTGGCATACGAATAACAGAAATTTATTTCTCATATCCCTAGAGGCTTGGGAGTCCAATATTAAGACACTGGCAGACTCACTGTCTATGAGGACCTGCTTCCTGGTTCATAGATGGCTGTCTTCTTGCTATGTCTTCACATGGCAGAAGGGGTGAGGGAATGCTCTGGGGCCTCTTTTATGAGCATTAATCCCATTCATTAGGGCTCTGCCCTTATGACCTAATCATCTCCTAAAGGCCCCACCTTTAAATATGATCACTTGAGGGATTAGGTTTCAACATATAACTTTTAGGGAGACACAAACATTCAGTTTACGAACGTGATAGCACCAAAATTTAAGGAAAAAATAACAGCAGGAAAAAAAGTCAGAAGGGTAAGAAAGGATATAAAGAGCAGCATGTGGTGTCATGGAAATTGAGATGGAAAAAGATGTGTCAAAGAGGGCAAAATTAATAGTAGTGAATGCTTCTGAAAGTTCCAGCAAAATACAGGCTAAAAGATGTTGATTTGACTTAGCAAGAAGGAGGTTATTGGTGATTTTGTTGATGTTTTCATTACAGGGTCAAAAGATGAAATGGAAGTCTGATTTTATAGAATTGATATGTAAAACACAAGACAGGATGTTTATGTATTTTGGTAAGATTTGAATGGCCTGAGAAAGTGTATATTTAGCAGAGAAGGAATCAATAAATGTGACAAGTGGGGCAGATAGGAAACTACAGAAAAGAGCAAATAGTTGTTTAATCATTTCAATATACATATTTACAATAAAAGTAAAAATATATATAAAGAGATTCTTTGTTCTTTTTGAATGTAGGCTTTAAAAATCTTCAACTTTGTTACACACTAAATCATAGCCAAGGAAGATATCTGTGAATGATTATTAAGGACCATTGCAATGTGTAGGACACTGCTAGAGAAGGCTGTCAATAGAAAGATGGTAACACATTTTCTGACTGTAAAGACTTTATAACCTAAGTGAGGCAATTAAACAAATAGGCAAATGACCGGAACAAAAGATAGGGTAAGATGAGTGCCATAGGGCTGTACAGGCAAAGTATCATGCCTGAACTTCAATTTATTGTGCCTTCTGATTAGCAGCCTCTGAAGCATTCCCTTCCAGTTTTCCCCAAAGCGGAAAATTCCCAGCATGGAAAATAATGAATAATAACAGCAAACACTTATCTAACACTTACTATGGCCCAGGCACTGTTCTGGGTATATCACATTCACTTATGTTTAAAACTTTCATGATAGATAAATATTATATCCATTTGACAGATTATTAAGACAAAAAGCCTACTTTTTGCGCTTTAAAAAGATCTCTTACAGCCGGGTGCGGTGGCGCATGTCTGTAATCCCAGCACTTTGGGAGGCCGATGTGGGTGGATCACGAGGTCAGGAGTTTGAGACCAGCCTGGCCAATATAGTGAAACCCCGTCTCTACTAAAAATACCAGAAATTAGCTGGGCATAGTGGTGCATGCCTGCAGTCCCAGCTACTTGGGACGGAGGAGAATAGCTTGAATCCGGGAGACAGAAGTTGGAGGTTGCAGTGAACCAAGGCTGTACCATTGCACTCCAGCCTCGGTAACAGAGTGAGACTCTGTCTCAAAAAAAAAAAAAAAAAAAAAAAAAAAAAAAAAAAAAAAATCTCTTACATTTGTAAAGTGAGATTTACTGAGACAAAATAAACGTATTGGAATTCTTCTTATTCTGGTGTACGACTGAGACCATTGCTAGTAAGAACAACAAAGATACTCACTGGAAGGATTGTTGGTAACTCATGAATCTAAATGAAGAAATCTGGGACTAAGCTCAGAAAATGGGTAGATACCAAAGCAGGCTAGGTAGCAGAAGCTCAGTAGACAATGCCACATATATGGCCATCTTTGACATTGCTATCACTGGAAATTTTCGCTGCCACTCTTGGACTCAACACCACTGGGAATGACTTCTTGTCTTTTGTCCTGGTATCACTTTAGAAGTGCTAACATGAACATCAAACGACTGGCTCTATATCCCAGGAGTTGAAGTGAAAACTTTTTGATCCCTCTAAATTTGTGTTAAGACATGGTTAATAACTCAAAACAGGCCAAAGGGTATTTCCCCAGAAAAAGAACATTTAGATGATTTATAGGCAAAAGTAAACAAAAGAATCTGACAAATGTACATCTACATTTTTCTTATGATACCAACACCTCTCACTACTCCCATAAGGTGGCTCAATCCTAATATAAGTATTCTTTATACAACTACAAAAGCATACATTTAAACATATACATTTTCTCTATCCACTTCTCTAAGGGAAATAACTCAAAGTCTCATTAGTTACTACATTCAGCTTGGAGCCCAGGATCACTGTGCAATGGCCATTATGCTCCAGTTCTATTATGATACTTCATTAATATTATATGGAATAGAGGAAATGGAGAGGAAGAAAAAATATAAAGTATACAAATGCATTCGTGATAAAACATGAAGGCAATATGAGTAGAGGTTGTGATCTTTATTTCTGTATATATTTATGAAGCCATAGTTAAAATGCATTACTTTCCACCTCCACCATCTCTTCAAGGTACTTTTGCCTTCAGCCAACAATTCACTATAACAGGCTTTACCTGGTAGGCTTACCCAAATATTCTTTCCTGAGAAATACAAGCCCTTGCTTGTAAAGTGTTGAGGCAGCGTTCCATTAACTTTAGCTCTAGACATGGAAGTATATGGAGATGTTCCAAGGGATAGCTGGAGCTCTATCTGTACTCCTTCATAGTTTTATTGTGTGAAAACTCTGTTTCCCATTGATAATCAGACACTTACTGGGAAAAGTAAGCCTAGAAATTCCCTGGTTAAAGTATGGGCAGGAACTTAGCAAATCCAGTGGCACAAAACAAAGTCATGTTAGAACACAGAAAGAATCTGGAAGAACTTCTGGTAATACAGCCATAGGAAACTAGTAGTTTCTCTCCTGGAATGTTGAGCTGCAATGGCAGTGAATAATTTATAAATTACCTCTGTCTTAGCAATATTTCAAGATCCAGAATCATGGGCAAGAATAAATAATCAATCAGGTGCCCTCACTGTAGCTGAGTGTAGGGGGAGGGAATGTCTGATACCTTTAGCCCCATTGTGAATGACAAGCAAGTTTCCTCCTTAAAAACCCACAAAGCCTACTAATACTTTGCCTCATAAAACCGAGAAGCCTCACTTGCCTAAAATAAGATAGGGAGATAGGTTACTCCCTTTCCACTGCTGCATCCTAGTTCAAACCCTGTATCTGTACCAGTATAAAAATGGGATCTCTTCCCCAGTATGAATGTGTTTGCTGCTACTTATGCTAGCTAGAGTCTGCTGAATCACTCTGTATAGACTCAACCATTATGATATATTAATTACAATAAAACTGTTGGTCAGAAAATGTATATGTTTGAATGTATAGGGTGGTGCTCGTATGTCTCATTTGCTTTATGTGCGAAAGTTATCATAGGATTATGGATGAAGACAAAGACAGGAAGAGCTCAGCCAACAATTGTTTAAGTGTCAGTGACCCAGAAAGTGACAGGGTAGGGTGAAGGAGTTGGGTGAGAAGCAAGAAAAAGAGATCAGTAAACAGAACAACATGCATACATACATATACCCCTAAACCTAGAAAAACAACCCAAAATATTAACAGTGGTTATCTGTGGGTCATAGGCTATTACTTTCATTTTATAATTTAAATACATTTTCTACTTTTCAAAAATAATGCTGCTATTATAATTGAAATACAATATTTTAAATTGTTATAGTGACTCAGAAGAAAGTGTAAAATACATCTAATTGGAAGGATTAGACAAATTTCTATGGATCACAGTGTTGGGGTATTAGATTTCATTAAAAATTATGCAGGTGACATTTGTGATATGGAGCGTATCGGCCAGGAGTGAAAAATAACTGGAGTCAAGGAAGAAGTCATATAATCATGGTTTTCAAGAACCATTAATGTTCTAATTTGAATGGGATGGGACGTGCTATTATAGGTCAAGCATCCCTAATCTGAAAATCTGAAATCAAAATGTTCCGAAGTCCAAAACTTTTTGATACCTGACATGACACAAGTGGGAAATTCCACACCTGACCTCATGTGATGGGTCACAGTAAAAATGTGGTCAAAACTTTGTTTCATGCACCAAATTATTGAAAATGTTTTATAAAATTACATTCAAGCTATGTGTACAAATGTATATAAGACACAAATGAATTTCATGTTTAAATTTTGGTCCTATCCATAATATACCTCATTATGTATATGCAAATATTCCAGAATTTAAAAAAAAATCTGAAATCTGAAACAATTCTGGTCCCAAGCAACTTGGATAAGGGATGCTCAATCTGTAGAAGATAAATACCAGAAACAAATCAAGAAATATGGTAGCGCTTCTAAAGAGAGTATTTGAGGTAGAAATAATATATTGTTCTTTAGACTTTCTTTTATTATGTATGTGTCTGTACATATGTGTGATCTGTGTCTGTGTGGGTGTGTGAAATTTAAAAAAAATCATTCTGCTTAAGTCTGTAATTTGCACTGAAGGTAAGAGTTACTCTATGAAAGAGTGCAACAGAATTCTAAGAAATCTTTTAAAAAGTGCTGGCTGAAAGGGTAGGAATAGGAAAACAAATTAACCAACAATATACATATTGCTTTCTAGATTTAACTAAAAAAATTTTTTTAGACATAAGTGATCTGAATAATGAAGTTAAAGGCAGTATAGGACACTAACACCCAGAACCCATAACATTTAAAACTTTACATGGGCTATAGTATGAGTAGACCTCGGTCTCCATATTTCTGTCTTCAATATTGGTTTTCTTACTACCCCACAAAGCCAGTACGATACGTTGGGTTTTTGTGATAGTAGCACTCCTATTTTGGTAACAAGTTCTCTACTGATTAAATCACTCATAGATGCTGGCCTAATATAGTTGATGTGGTTGCAAAGCCCTTAATATAACTGAATTTTCTTTTGGATGATGTAAAGTACAAAACAGGTATTCTCTATCATACTCCAAACAGGGATTTAGGAGGCCAGGTTCTTTCTATCTAGGGAATTTTTTAAGCAATAATGTTTTAAAGGCTTACATATATAACCAGTGAGTATTAAAGAGAAATTTTGAATAGCATTAGCTACATCGTATTTAGTGAACAATGTCATAATTATAGTGAGACACTCATCCTTCTAGATATATGAAATCACTATTGAAAATGGATGCAAATTTTACAAAGGATTTTTCTGTCTTTTTTAACAGTTTATTTTTCAAATTTTCTACCATTGGTATGTATTAAACAGACTTATGGTTAATATATACCATTTCTGTATATTTTATGATTCCAATATATAATTATATGGGTTGTCTCTTGCTTCTCTCCTCTGTCTTTTCCCTGTCTTCACATGTATACCAAACAGGGCAAACCCATCAAAAGTAAATATACAAAAATCTTACAGTCTTCAAGGAAGGTGATAAGAATGTTTAATTTACTTTTCATAGTTCATATTTTCTGAATTTTTATAACAGCATATATCACTGACAAAATATTGAAACCATACTTTAAAAAATAAATTCAGAAATTGTTTTAACAAAATAAGCAGGAAATATATAAAAGCAGGTAATAAAAGTCATCAACGTACACAGTGTCTTAATAAAAGTCAGCAGTTGGAGTAGAAAT
The DNA here is from genome assembly GCF_000001405.40 of Homo sapiens. Lineage (NCBI taxonomy): Eukaryota > Metazoa > Chordata > Mammalia > Primates > Hominidae > Homo > Homo sapiens. Next base: position 74,026,454 of record NC_000001.11, read on the forward strand.
TACTATTCTAAGGTTTCCAGAAAAACCTAAATTAGCTTATGAATTGCTATATTTAGAAAGAATATGAAACAGAATATCAGCAATGTCATTGCAACATTGTCTGCAATACATTAAATCAGTTTAATTGTTCCTTAGGCATCTGATCTAAGAAATTTTTCAGAGGTGCTAAGTCAACTTTAAGTTAAATTATGACCAATAAGAGAAACATTTTAACTAATCTTTATATTTTTAGAAGACTTATATATAAATCCATCTTGTGATGTAGAGTATTTCTTGCTTTAGAGTATTATTTCAAATTCCTTCAACTAAAAATAATGACTATAATTTAAGATGATCATAGGATGTGATCTGGCATTGATTCATTTTATCAGTCCATTGGGAACTTTAAAGTCTAAATTTGTTTTCACAATTGCTACTTTTGTTTTAGCATCTTGAAGTCTTTCACAGGCTTTTTCAAAGGCAATCATATCCATAACAAATTTTTCTTCACAATGTCTTTTATATATTTCTTGAGATCTAAGAGGAGAAAGAAAGGTAATAGAATGAGATACTTTTAAATACTGAAACCATGGCAATCTATTAGACTATTAATGATAATAATTAGATGTCTTCGAAATAGGCATATACAAGTGAGAAAGACACAACTCCATTTATATAACTTGGTTATATCATTAAACAATACTCAGACAAGTATTTATGAGATATCTATAAGCTATAATTAAAAATTCTCACAAACTATGGCTTAGATTTCCAAAGAGGCATCTAAACTACCCTATGTCATCACCTAAAATACATCTCCTTAAGCCTCACTAAACCCAAGCTACTTCTTCGACTCTGTTATGGTCTGAATGCATTCCACCATATTCATATGTCAAAGTCCTAACTCCCAGTGTCTTTGAATGTGACTATTTGGAGATAAGGCCTTTAAGAAGTAGTTAAGGCTAAATGACATTATATGGGTAGGTCCTAATCCAATATAATTTGTGTACTTATAAGAAGAGGAAGCAAGAGCAGAGATGTGAGTGTACAGAAGAAAGGCCATGGGAGGACACAAGGCAAAGGTGGCCATCTGCAAGCCAAGGAGAGAGGGCTCAATAGAAACCACACCTGCTGACACTTTGTTCTTGGACTTCCAACCTCCAGAACTGGGAGAAAATAAATTACTGTTTAAGCCACCCAGCCTGTGATATTTTGTTATGGCAGTCCTAGTAGACTAATACCCTGCCAAACCGGGGAAATGTCACAGGTCTTAGGAGATTTCATTCATTCATCCTTATTTATTCAACAATTATGTATTGTGATGCATGGCACTAACCTTAGATGCTGGAGACATAAATATGACATGATGTAACTACATGAAGCTTATCAAAAGTTAAGAGAAATAAATGTATATAAATATACAAATGAGATATTATGGTTCATCGTGAAAACATTATGTAACAAGTCAGAGTGAGGAAAAACTTGAGTAAAAACTTGGTAAATATAAACTAAAGAGCAAGGAGGGGAAGATAAAAAAAAGTTTAAAGTTAAAATAACCTTTGAACTGAATCTTGAAAGATGTGTATTTTCCAGTCAGAAAGTGGAAGAGAATTTTGTTCAAACTATTTTTATATCACGAACATGGTCAAAACAAAGGTAGAGAGGGTAGCACAGCTTGGAATGCTCCAAGAACTGGCATCAATCTAATTGTCTGGGTCTTACAGTCTGGGAAGGAGAACAAGGCAGCAGGCAAGGCTGGAGAAACAAATTTAGGCCAGATCATAAAATACTTTATTTATGTGTAGGTATACTCAGAAATCTGAAGTTGAGGAGAAAAAGAGAGGGTGAAGTCTAAAAAGCCTGCAGCTTATTGATGATGTGATTTTAGACAAGATATTCATGTTCTTTCTCTCTCATTTTCTTCATTGTTAAGGAGATAACCTAACTCATAGGGTTAGTAAAGGACTAAGTGGGTTGATACATTAAAAATTCTTAGGTGAATGCCTAATATTAAATAATTAATTTTACTGGATGGATAATAGTGGCCTTCAACAGAAAGAAATGTAGGTAGAGCAACAAGACGGGAAGAAAGATTAGAGTTCTGACTGGAAATGGTTAGTGTTAAGAGCCTGCTTATTCATGTGGTGATGCCCAGGGTGTTGAATATAGAGAAGTGAAGGCTTATAGTTAAGAGTACAGGTAGTAAAGCCATTCTGCTTGGCTCTGAAATGTATTGTTGGTGTGATTTTAGATAGGTTATTTAAGTTGTCTCTGTATTATTTTTTTTCATCTTTATAAAGAGGACATTTCAACTCACAGGGTTTAGTAGGAAGTAAATAAACTAACACATTTAAAATCCTTAAAGGAGTGCCTAGCATTTAATAATCATTTTAGTAGTAGCTAAAAGTTAGCTACTAGTACTATAAGCCTAGAAATCAGGAGAGTAGTCAGGTCTGGACGTGTAGCAGAGTAGAAATCATAGCAAAGGAATCTTGCACATGTAATTAAGGATAGTAATTAAGTCAATAAATGTACTAAAATAGCCCTCTTACAGATAAACATTATAAGCTGTGAAGAAAATGTAAGTAAAATAACTATTTAAAAGTCTTAAAGATTTTTGCACATTGATTTTGTATCCTGAGACTTTGCTGAAGTTGCTTATCAGCTTAAGGAGATTTTGGGCTGAGACAATGGGGTTTTCTAGATATACAATCACGTCATCTGCAAACAGGGACAATTTGACTTCCTCTTTTCCTAATTGAATACCCTTTATTTCTTTCTCCTGCCTGCTTGCCCTGGCCAGAACTTCCAACACTATGTTGAATAGGAGTGGCGAGAGAGGGCATCCCTGTCTTGTGCCAGTTTTCAAAGGGAATGCTTCCAGTTTTTGCCCATTCAGTATGACATTGGCTGTGGGTTTGTCATAAATAGCTCTTCTTATTTTGAGGTAATTTATTGAGAGTTTTTAGCATGAACAGCTCTTGAATTTTGTCAAAGGCCTTTTCTGCATCTATTGAGATAATCATGTGGTTTTTGTCTTTGGTTCTGTTTATATGCTGGATTACGTTTATTGATTTGAGTATGTTGAACCAGCCTTGCATCCCAGGGATGAAGCCCACTTGATCATGGTGGATAAGATTTTTGATCTACTGCTGGACTTGGTATGCCAGTATTTTATTGAGGATTTTTGCATCGATGTTCACCAGGGATATTGGTCTAAAATTCTCTTTTTTGTGTGTGTCTCTGCTAGGCTTTGGCATCAGGATGATGCTGGTCTCATAAATTGAGTTAGGGAGGATTCCTTCTTTTTCTATTGATTGGAATAATTTCGGAAGAAATGGTACCAGCTCCTTCTTGTACCTCTGGTAGAATTCGGCTGTGAATCCATCTGGTCCTGGACTTTTTTTGGTTGGTAAGCTATAAACTATTGCCTCAATTTCAGAGCCTGTTATTGGTCTATTAAGAGATTCAACTTCTTCCTAGTTTAGTCTTGGGAGGGTGTATGTGTCAAGGAATTTATCCATTTCTTCTAGATTTTCTAGTTTATTTGCTCAGAGAGCCAAATCATGAGTGAACTCCCATTCACAATCGTTTCAAAGAGAATAAAATACCTAGGGATCCAACTTACCAGGGATGTGAAGGACCTCTTCAAGGAGAACTACAAACCACTGCTCAACAAAATAAAAGAGGACACAAACAAATGGTAGACTATTCCATGCTCATGGATAGGAGAATCAATATCATGAAAATGGTCATATTGCCCAAGGTAATTTATAGATTCAGTGCCATCCCCATCAAGCTACCAATGACTTTCTTGGAAAAAACTACTTTAAAGTTCATATGGAACCAAAAAAGAGCCCGCAATGCCAAGTCAATCCTAAGCCAAAAGAACAAAGCTGGAGGCATCATGCTACCTGACTTCAAACTATACTACAAGGCTACAGTAACCAAAACAGCATGGTACTGGTACCAAAACAGAGATATAGACCAATGGAATAGAACAGAGCCCTCAGAAATAATACCACACATCTACAACTATCTGATCCTTGACAAACCTGACAAAAACAATAAATGGGGAAAAGATTCCCTATTTAACAAATGGTGGTGGGAAAACTGGCTAGCCATATGTAGAAAGCTGAAACTGGATCCCTTCCTTACACCTTATACAAAAATTAATTCAAGATGGATTAAAGACTTAAATGTTAGACCTAAAACCATAAAAACCCTAAAAGAAAACCTAGGCAATACCATTCAGGACATAGGCATGGGCAAGGACTTCATGTCTAAAACACCAAACGCAATGGCAACAAAAGCCGAAATTGACAAATGGGGTCTAATTAAACTAAAGAGCTTCTGCACAGCAAAAGAAACTACCATCAGAATGAACAGACAACCTACAGAATGTGAGAAAACTTTTGCAATCTACTCATCTGACAAAGGGCTAATATCTAGAATCTACAAAGAACTCAAACAAATTTACAAGAAAATAACAAACAACCCCATCAAAAAGTGGGCAAAGGATATAAACAGACACTTCTCAAAAGAAGACATTTATGCAGCCAACAGACACATGAAATAATGCTCATCATCACTGTCCATCAGAGAAATGCAAATCAAAACCACAGTGAGATATCATCTCACACCAGTTAGAATGGCGATCATTAAAAAGTCAGGAAACAACAGGTGCTGGAGAGGATGTGGAGAAATAGGAACACTTTTACATTGTTGGTGGGACTGTAGACTAGTTCCACCATTGTGGAAGACAGTGTGGCAATTCCTCAGGGATCTAGAACTAGAAATACCATTTGACCCAGCCATCCCATTACTGGGTATATACCCAAAGGATTATAAATCATGCTGCTATAAAGACACATGCACACGTTTGTTTATTGCAGCACTATTCACAAAAGCAAAGACTTGGAACTAACCCAGATGTCCAACAATGATAGACTGGATTAAGAAAATGTGGCACATATACACCATGGAATACTATGCAGCCACAAAAAATGATGAGTTCATGTCCTTTGTAGGGACATGGATGAAGCTGGAAACCATCATTCTCAGCAAACTATCACAAGGACAAAAAACCAAACACCGCATGTTCTCACTCATAGGTGGGAATTGAACAATGAGAACACTTGAACACAGGAAGGGGAACATCACACACTGGGGCCTGTTGTGGGGTGAGGGGAGGGGGGAGGGATAGCATTAGGAGATATACCTAATGTAAATGAGGAGTTACTGGGTGCAGCACACCAACATGGCACATGTATACATATGTAACAAACCTGCACGTTGTGCACATGTACCCTAGAACTTAAAGTATAATAAAAAATATATTTAAAAAAGTCTTAGAGAATGAGAAATATGAAATAATCAATTATATCATTATATCCATGTATACCAATGTCAAACAATTGGAAAATAAAATCAAGTGATTCCACTTACACTGTGACCAGAAAAGCATAAAATATTTAGACATAAATGTAATAAAAGATAGGCAAGGTCTATACCTAAAAATGATAAAATATTGCTAAAAGAAATTTAAAAAGATCTAAATTAATGGGGAGTTATATCATCTCAGAGATTATAAGATAATATTATGATGTCAATTTTTCCCAAGTGGATCTATGGATAAATAAAATTACAATTAATATGCCAAGAGCCTCTATGATAGAAATTAGAAATTAACATTTACATTTGTTTTAAATATATATTAATTTAATTCAGATTTATTTTAAATGTGTTAAATTTAAATGTTTTGAATTTATTAAAATTTAAATTTATATGAAAATGCAAAGGTCCTAGAACAACCAATACAATCTTGGGAAAACAGAACAAAGTTGGAATCTATTTTTCATTCCACATAACAATTTACCCATAAATGTATTGGCTTACAACAACCACCTTATAATACCTCATAGTTTCATTAGGTCAGAAGTCCAGGCACATTGTGGCTAGTTGGGTTTTCTGCTTAGGTCTCACAAGGCTGAAATCAAGGTGTCAGCCAGAGCAATGGTTCTCATTTAGGTCTTGGGTCCTCATCCAGATCAGTGGTTGTTGTCAGAATTAATTTTATCATCACTCTTTCCCTGTGCTTCCCTCTATTTTTAAGTCAGCAATATCATGTAAAACCCTTCTTATACTTTGAATCTGATGTTCTCTTTTGTCTCTGTATTTGAAAGGCTCATGTGATACATTGGGCGCATCTGGATAATCCAGAATAATTTCCTTATGTTAAGGTTAATTAAGCAATATTCTTAATTACATATTTAAAGTCCCTTTACCAACACATTCACAGGTGTGCTATCTCATCATATTCATAGTCCTGGGAATCAAGGAGGGCATGGTATCTATCTTCTTGGTAGCCATAATTCTGACTAACACAGCAGCCTTACATTACTTGATTTTAAAGATTATAAGAATTATAAGAGGAGAGTTTATTAGCTTTTTACAGAAAAATGGAAACCTAATCATGAGACAGCAGAAAAGGAAACTGTGGTAAATATAAAATATATAGAATTTTATAAATATGGATATAGGAAGTTGAATGAATTAAAGCTTGAAGTCCTAAAATTTCGTTGGGAAATAGATAAATTATCTTGTTGAGAAGGAGAGGCCATAAGTGGTGTTTGAATAGAAAGCTGTACTGTTGAAGATTTTAAATGGCTCTTGTAGGTAACAGGAGAAAGAGCAAGCAACTGTGGGAGCAGCTCAAGTTGGAGACCATAAAATTAATATTGGCATAAATCTGTGGGGCATTGATTTCTTCTAGACATTTTTATCCAAATACAGGAAATAAAGATAGATAGTTGAAATGTTCCAAGGGTTGTAAGGAACATTTTAGCATAATCAAGGCAATGAAATGAAAGAACTTTAGAGACACTGGAGAGAATGGACAAAATAATAATTGAATTAAAGAACCTCGGAGCCTACACTAGAAATGAAAATAAAAGTGTATAAAGGAGGTTATTTGATGGATGGGTGTCACCATATATTTGGAGGATATGTGTGGTGGAAGTAAAGGAAGAAAGGAGTTGAGGAAGAAAGGAGTTGAAAAGATAGATTTTAGTTATAAATAAATATATAGGAGTTGAAGATTTAAGAGGTGGGGCAGTTCCAAGTGATAAGAGGATCTTTGTATGTGTCTATGGAAATCAGTTTATTAACGTCCGGTAGGATAAAGATTGTTGGTGTCCAAAAATGTTGATATTAGGTAATTGGGAGGGCTGTTCTTATGAATTTGGAAGTTAACAATGATTATGGCAGAAATTGGATGGAGAGAAAAAGCTTCATAAGTCAAAATGATGTAAAGACCACAGTAAATGAAGATGGTAGTATGGGAGGTCAATTGATGACCAAATAAGGACAAGTTGAAGATGATGTAATTGAAAAACCACTTTATTTTCTAGCTCTTCCATGCTAAGTGATACCCTACTTCAAAATGGACACCCTGCTCTCCTGGCTTGAACAGTATCATCACTTTCTCAGAGTACAGACATGAATATCTTAGAAAAACCCCTGACTAGCTTTTATCTGATACATAGATTCTTTCATTTCAAAGTCTATCTTTAATTAATGCTTAAATACTCCTGTGGGTATTTTATTAACTTTCTAAATTAGAGCTTTATGGTTCCCCTTTTTTCTTTTACTCTTTCTCATTCCACATAGCAGGATTAGGGAGCTACATTCTCAATAATGACTTCACTAGTTATGGAAATTTATCAGAATGCTTTTAGGTCAAGAGAATAAAGAATCATCAGCGGAAAAAGTATCAGAATTGAAAAATTTCAGAAGTCTCCAGTTAGATTTCACTTTTTGATCACATCTTCTTTCTGTATATTGATACCTAATCTTTATTTGAAAATATTTAGAGTAAAACTCAAAGATGCCTACTGGAACATACTACTCGCATAACCAAAACATTGCCCTATTCTTATGTGCTCTGCAGGTTAATACTTTTGCAGTAGCTTATGAGAGAAGATAATTCAGTTAACATATATTAGGATGCTTGTTTGAGTCTGTATTCTTTAAAAATTAATTATGGCCAGATATTCATTTTACTGTGAAAAAACTAAGCTGATTAAATTAGATTGATTTGCACTAGATTTGTATTTCAATACATACTAGCTTTCATTTTCTTTTCCAAAATACTTTTTTAAATTAAAATAAGTTATAGGAAATATTTCCAAAGCACACACAGACACACACACACACACACACACACACACACCACAAAGTGTACACTAAAGAAAATGATTTTAAATATGGAGGGGGAAATAAATAGTATTTTTCATACGTAATAAAGTATTACATAAAACACATCAGTAAATAGCTTAAATTGCTTATAAGTAGGAAAAGGCAAATGCTTTTTTTTATTTAAAACTTCTTTCTAGCACAGGCTTTTAAAAACAATGTTGTTTAAAAATTTAAATAAAATAAGCAGTTCTGAAGATCTCTAAATGTTTCTATACAAGCCTTAAATATGTATGTACATAATTTGGCCATTTGAAATAGCACTAGGATAAAACTGTGGCTGACCAGTTTCAATCTAATATCAGAGAAAAAATGTGTGAAAGACTTTGAAAGGGTAAAATAAAATTACTAGGAGTCCTGGCTAGTACACCCTTCAGAACTATCTGTGCCTTTCAATCTCCGTGAACAATTTTACAACTCTAAATTAAGAAAAACTGTGAGCAATACAAATGATTCTTCTTTATAGAGATATAAATAATTGTGTTCAGCTAAGTTACGTTTGATTATTGCCCAGTGAATATTGACTAGTTTTGCACCTATCTGTGAATTTAGTTCAGCATTTTTGATTGCCAATATCAATATAGACATAGAAGTAGACATAGACATAGACATAGATATAATATATAGATAGATAAATGTTCTTTGAATTCTCATAACTGATTTATTCTTTAATGAGTTAAATGATATCTTTGGCATGTGCTCATTTTATATTTATATGGGTCATGGTTTTATGTTCTTAAAAATGTTCCTTGGCAATTAATAAAATTTAAATTGACTAGCTGTAAGTTAAAATATTTTGAGTCAACAAAGCTCCTACTTTACCAAATTTGGTTTAAAACTTTAAAACCTTCACCATAAAACAATTTCTATTTTTGCAATTCTTTGAGAAAGTTTTGTCCAAAGTGTGCCCTAAGAATTATTTTCTGAGATATTTCTTGAAAGGAAAGTTTTATGGTAAAATACATGTGTAAAATGCAATATATCTTTCTGGTAGGAATCCTAATGGTCTTTACTGCACAACTGTCTACTGAGACTTAGAGGCTCTTTTTAATCAAGTTGATGTTTCTCAAGCAATTGCACTGTCAACTACTCTTCATAAACTTTCTGCTATAGGTACAGGAATATTCACGATCTCCTTGATCTCCCCTAGCTTTACCTATTTTGAACTTTCCAACTTTGCTTATCCTCTTCTCCTTGCCTCACCTCTCTACTATAATGGTCTCCTCTCACCTCTCTGCTTTTCCAATGTGAATCAACAATTGTACTTCTCCTACTACTATTTTTTGTAACAATTGAAATGTATGCTTATGTTTGCCACTGGACTGTGAGTTCTTAGAGGATCAAGAATATCTTATTCATCTTTGTATGGCAGGGCAAGGGAGAATTTAAGTGAAGTAACACTCTGGTTTAGTTAAGGCTTCTCTTTGAAGGTTTTGATTTTGGAGTAGCAAAAAATGCTGCCCCCAAATATGGCACATTGGCACACTATGTATTTTAAGCTGAAGGAAACTGAGAAACTTGCAGAAGCAGAAAGATTGCTCTCAACTTCCGCCTCCTGTCTTTTAAACACTGTGACAAGTGCCATGCTTTAAACCATGAGGGAAGGAATATTATATAGAAAGGCCAAGAAGAATCTGAACAAACAGGCCTTGCTTGGTACCCCTCATCCCCAGTTTATTACCATTAGGTCATACCCTTTTCTTTTTGTTCCAATCATACTTCTACAAAATTGTCTATTCTTCATCAAATCTAAGCATAAAAATAGTTGTCCCTGGGTCTTCATTTTAGAAAGCTTCTAGGTCACATAACATTTTGATGAAATAAATTTGTTATGCCTTTTTCTTGCTAATCTGTCTTTATTATAGAAGTGTCAGCCATAAACCCATTAATGTACCCGAAATTTTAATTGTCTATTCGTAATGTTTGTGTTATTGCTGGTATTATTATGTAACTCTGTTAATCTCATTGCTTTTTGCCATATTTCCCACCTCAATTTTCAGTTTCTTGGGCCAAATGATCTTTACATGACTACATCACCTGTAAGAGAACTCTTCAAGAGCTAGAAATGAATTACTACTTGAATTATTTGAATTGAAGGTAGGTACTACTTAGTAGAAGCACCAATGATCACAGAGGGGCAGAAAAAAATGTGCAGGGCAAATTTACTGCCATGAATTAAGCACTTGTACTAAGAAGTTTACTTAGTCTAATGATTAGTGAAGCTACTTTCGTAACTTGGTTAATTACATTTTTACTCTATGTTTAATATTATTCTGATTATCTTCATTGTAAAAGCATTTAGAAAAAATATACATTGCTTCTTATTCTAAATGACTTAAGTACAAATATGTAAAAAGCACTCTCTTCTCAGTGGTTGTTATATGACTTAAATGAGTTTATATACAACCTTTACTAATTGAGGTTCTCGCCTATTTTCCTCAAGAAATGTGTGTTGAATAAATTTGTTAACTAGGTACTATACTGGGCATTGAAATAGAAAGATGGAGTGAATAATACAAAGACTTGATTATTTTCTTGAGGGGGTGGGGCCAAAATGGCTGACTAGAAGCAGCAGTGATTGGAGGCTGTCATCAAAAAGAACCATAACTGCCTCCAAATCCTGCACTGGCAACTGAGGTATGCAGGGTCTTCATCAAAACTGACTAGGGCCAGGTGAGGTGACTCACACCTGTAATCCCAGCAATTTGGGAGGCTGAGGGGGACGGATCACCTGAGGTCAGGAGCTGGAGACCAGTCTGGCCAACGTGGTGAAACCTTGTCTCTACTAAAAATACAAAAAACGGCTTGGTGTGGTGGCGGACGCTTGTAATCCCATACTCAGGAGGCTGAGGCAGGAGAATCATTTGGGAGGTGAAGGGTGCAGTGAGCCAAGATCATGCCATTGCACTCCAGCTTGGGCAACAAGAGTGAAACTGTGTCTCAAAACAAAACAAAACAAAAAACAAACAAACAACAACAACAACAAAAAACAAGAACTGACTAGGCAGCTGGTATGACCCATGGAGAGGAAGGAAGAGCAGTGTGCTGTGGTGGCCCACCTAAGAGCCACACGGGGCAGGGGAGCCCCCACACCCCAGTCAAGGGAGGTGGTGAGTGTGCTACCCAGCCTAGGAAACCGTGCTTTTTCCATGGAACTGTGCAACCCAAGGATTGGAGGATCCCACTCATGAACCCATGCCACCGGGAAGCCATGCAGATTCTCAACAGCCACTCAACTAGAATCTGCTTAAGACTCCCAGGGGAGGGGCAACCAGCACCACAGCTGCCGCTGCCTAATGTCTAAGCTGCCTGAGGTCCTTAGGGGAGAGGCACCAGCCAACACTGAGACTGATAGCTGCCTAACACATTAAGCTCCCAGGGCGGGTATGGGGCAGCAGCCATCTCTATAGCTCCAGGATATGCTTTTCCCCTGATGGAGCCAGGGAGTCTGGATAGCTTCGTCCCAAGAGGTATCCCCCACAGCCCAACACACCGGCTGTGGCAGACTGCAGCCAGAATGCCTCTTCAGGCCTGAACCTGACCCATCCCTCCTCACTGGGTGGGGTCTCCCTGCAGGAACTCCAACAACTCCAGCCAGGGGCTCAGGGACAGAAGCCTGATCTCCCTGGGCCTGAGCCCCCAGGGTGAGGGGTGGCCACAGTCTCTGCAGACCAGCAGACTTAACCTTTCCTCCTGCTAGTTCTGAGGAATCTGGGCAGCCCAGACAAGTGGGTTTCCCCCCCAGCAAAACACACCTTTCACCAAGGGATGGTCAAAGTGCTTCGCTAAACAGGTCCTGCTCCCTGTGCCACTCAACTGGGTGAGACTCTTAAACAGGGATTGTCAGACACCCTATACATGAGCATTCCTACTGAGATCAGGTAGGTGCCTCTCGAGGTCAGAGATCCCAAAAGAAGAAGCAGGCACTCATCTCTGCTGTTCTCCAACCTCCTCAAGTGACATCTCCAGGCACAGGAGTGAACCAGATGAATAGTGCTTGAAGCGAACCTCTGGCAAACCTCAGCAGCCCTACAGAAGAGGGACTTGACCATTGAAATAAAAACAATCAAACAGAAAACAACAACAATAGCATCAGCAAAAAAGAGTTCCCAACTAAAGCCCTATCCAAGGGTGAGCAGCCTCAAACATCAAAACTAGACATATTCATGAAGATGAGAACGAATCAATGAAAAAATGCTGCAAAACCAAAAGGCCAGAGTTCCTCCTCTCCTCCAAATGATCATAATGCCTCTCCAGCAAGGGTGCAGAACTGGACAGAGGATGAGATGGGTGGATTGACAGAAGTAGGCTTCAGAAGGTGGGTAATAATAAACGCCACTAAGCTAAAGAAGCATGTGCTAAAGTTCTTAGCAAAGAAGGTAAGAACCTTGATAAAAAGTTAGAGAAGGTGCTAACTAGAATAACCAGTTTAGAGAGGAACATAAATGCCCTGATGGAGCTAAAAACATAGGACGAGAACTTAGTGAAGCATACACAAGTATCAACAGGTGAATCGACCAAGTAGAAGAAACGATATCAGAGTTTGAAGACTACCTTGCTGAAATAAGTCATGAAGACAGGATTAGAGAAAACAGAATGAAAGGAATGAACAAAATCTCTGAGAAATATGGGACTATGTAAAAAAAAATGAACCTATGACTGACTGGAGTACCTGAAGGAGATGGGGAGAAGGGAATCAAGCTGGAAAACACATGTCAGGATACTATCTAGAAGAACTTCCCAAACCTAGCAAGAAAAGCCAACATTCAAATTCAGGAAATACAGAGAACACCACTAAGATACTCCATGAGAAGATCAACCCCAAGACACATATGGGCAGCCAGAGAGAAAGGCCAAGTAATCTACAAAGGGAAGCACATCAGACTAACAGTGGACCTCTCAGCAGAAACTCTACAAGCCAGAAGAGAGTGGGGACCAATATTCATCATTCTTAAAGAAAAGAATTTTCAACACAGAATTTCATATTCAGCCAAACTAAGCTTCATAAGTGAAGGAGAAATAAAATCCTTTCCAGACAAGCAAATGCTGAGGGATTTCATCACCACCAGGCCTGCCTTGCAAGAGCTCCTGAAGGAAGCACTAAACATGGAAAGGAAAAACCGGTACCAGCCACTGCAAAAACACACCAAAATATAATGACCAATGACACTATGAAGAAACTGTACCAACTAGTGTGCAAAATAACCAGATAGCATCATGATGACAGGATCAAATTCACACATAAAAATATTAACCTAAAGTGTAAATGGGCTAAATGCCCCAATTAAAAGACACAGACTGGCAAATAGTATAAAGAGCCAAGACCCATCAGTGTGCTGTGTTCAGGAGACCCATCTCACGTGCAGACACACATAGGCTCAAAATAAAGGAATGGAGGAACATTTACCAAGCAAATGGAAAGGAAAAAAGAAAAACAAGCAAGGGTTGCAATCCTAGTCTCTGACAAAACAGACTTTAAACCAACAAAAATCAGAAAGACAAAGAAGGGCATTACATAATGGTAAAGAGATCAATGCAACAAGAAGAGCTAACTATCCTAAATATATACGCACCCAATACAGCAGCACCTGGATCCATAAAACAAGTTCTTAGAGACCTACAAAGAGACATAGTCTCCCACACAATAATAGTGGGAGACTTTAATACCCCACTGTCAATATTAGACCGATTAATGAGACATAAAATTAACAAGGATATTCAGGACTTTAACACAGCTCTGGATCAAGTGGACCTAATAGACATCTACAGAATTCTCTACACCAAATCAACAGAATATACATTCTTCTCAGTGCCACATGGCACTTATTCTAAAATTGACCACATAATTGGAAGTAAAACCATCCTCAGCAAATGCAAAAGAACTGAAATCATAGCAAACAGTCTCTCACACCACAGTGCAATCAAAGTAGAGCTCAGGATTAAGACACTCACTCAAAACCACACAATTACATGGAAATTGAACAACATGCTCCTGAATGACTCCTGAGTAACTAATGAAATTAAGGCAGAAATCAGTGTTATTTGAAACCAGTGAGAACAAAGACACAACATACCAGAATTTCTGGGACACAGCTAAAGCAGTATTAAGAGGGAAATTTATAGCACTAAATACCTACATTGGAAAGCTGGAGAAAGATCACAAAATGACACCCTAACATCAGAATTAAAAGAGCTAGAGGCCGGACACGTTGGCTCATGCCAACTGAGGTTGATAGCACTGGTCAAGAGGCTGATGATGATGCCATTTGTGATAATAAGAACAACTCATAACTAAGAGGTAGATAGGTTTTGTTGCACAGGTGGAGAGATGGGGAAAGACAGAGTTATTTTATTGCCTTATCTTTGGTAATATATTAGTATATTATTTGTTCTTTGTTTTAATTTTTCAAAGTAGAATGTACTATGTTACAAACAGCATACTAATTATTAGGTCTTAAAATTTAGCATGCAATATTCACATGTAATTGACTTTAATGCCTCTGTTATATCTAAATTGTACCTACCTAACTTTTTTCATTTCTTTAAGTAAATTCTTTCTATATTTTTCTGCTTTTAGTTTTTGCTTAACAATCAGGCTTTTCTCTTTTAGGACAGCCTCATTCTTCTCCAGTCTGTCAATTTTAAGTAGTCCTCTGGTCAAAAGAGTGCGCTCATTATTTAAGTTTTGAACTAATAAACGCTCTGAAGCCTTTTGGGATTTTTCTTTTAGAAACAGAGCTTTTCTCTCTCTAGCTTTTTCAAGGTAGTTGAATCTGTTTTGCCAAACTTGTCGTAAACTGTTCTGAATTGTCTCTTTATTTTCTTCAATTAGTTTTTGTGTAGCATATTTTTTCTGATTCAAATGTTCATTAACAGCTACTCTAACTCTTTCTCGAGCAACTTGTGCCATGGCTACAACTCTTACTTTTTCTTTATGGTATTCCTGCTTCTTTTGTTCTGTGTAATATTTGTCAATATCACTAAATGTTCGGAGTTTCATACCAGCTCTTTGTGGTGCAAAAAACTCTTTCATACTCCGCTCCAATCGTATGTCTTTTTTAATGATTGGCTTTGGATGAGTAGTATAGATTGGCTGAGGATATGCAGGAAAAAAATGTTGTTTTTTCTCTCTCAATACTGCATTATTCTTCAATGAACCTGAAGTGTATATGGGTAGTTTGAAAACTGATATCCTAAAACTGGTATCCAATTTTTCATCCACAATTTCATCTTCAGACTCCTGACCTACATCAAACAGAAGCAAATATTATACATTATACAAGAGCTAAGTACATTTTATTTTCTCTCCAAATATATCAATAAACTTGATAAGAACCTTTTATTTACTTTACTAAGAAGAATTTTTCCCAAGTACCTTTTCAACTTGTGATTTAATAGTAACTTTGGAGAAGAAAATCACTATTAAAACATTTTCACATAGAAATGCACTGAATCTAATTCTTATATTTTCTGTATTATCTTCCACAATTACTTAACTTGCAGTGACTCAATAGCAGCAACTTATCACATACTTAGTACTACTTAACCACACATATTATTTTTTCATATAGTTTGCTAAAAGAAACAAAGTTTAATTAAGCAAAGAATAATTCATGAACTGGGTAGCACTGAGAACCAGTGAAAATTTAGAAAACTCTGCGTAATAAATGAGCAGGGAGTATTTATAGATAGAAAATGGAAGAAATATAGAAACAGCTTGATTGGTTATGGTTCAATTTTGCCTTATTTGGACATAATCATATCAGTTGGTGGCCTGTGATTGGCTGAAGCTTGACTGCTGTGATTGGCTATGACTTAGTTATCTTTTACAAAAATATACCTGTAAGTTAGGCTTTCAGTTTGTTTACATACTAAGTTAGGTTGCAATTCATTATGTAAGGACTCAAGGAACAGAGGCAGCCTTAGGCCACATTTAACAAGTTATTAGTATGTCATATTTGCAAAGGGCATTGTAATCCATTTTACCTTATTTTTCTTAACTCTGGTGGAAAATAGTAGCAGCCATCAATCGTTTTTCCCTTTTTTGGACAGACAAAATTACTAAAACTCTTAGCTTCCTTTGCTTTCCTTTGTGTGACCATGGGCTAAGTCCTTTTTAATAGAGTGTGAACACAATTGTTATGTGTTATTCCTTGTCCAAGAGATTGTTTTAAGAAACAATGTGCACCTTCTTTCCACTACGTAGAGATGAGAATGAAACCCCAAAAGATGGTGGAACCATAAGATAGAAGCTGCCTGCCTGCCTGAATCACTTGTTGAAAAAACTTCTCATGGACCAGAATCATCCAAGTTGGGTCATTTATGAAGCCAGAAATCAAAAGTAATTATGTTTCAGTCAATATGCATTTCTGGGTCTATTTGTTACTATACCCAACCTAATTAATACAATAAATTGAATCACATTGTTGTTTGCATATTTACTTTTTGACAAACCTACTAATGAATTCAGAATCAGGTGACAAATACAAGTATAAAAGTTATGCTTGTTAATTTAGGAGAAAAAGGTGTTTCTTGATTTCTTCCACTTATTAAAATTACATTCCTGCTAACTCTAGTCTACAAGGGTTTGATCTTCCTTAGAAAATTACCTTGTCTTTATGTGTAAAAATGTCAAATATGATGCTGGTGGTTTTATGGAAGTTAAGTGAACTATGAAGAAGGGCAGGGCTTGTAGTCTAGACGGACAGTAGAAAATAATTGAATAGGCAAGATTTTCACGAAAGGCTACAGGAGTATCAACGTTGGAAAAGTAAGTAAATTCTACAGCAAAGTAGGAAATCAAGTCTAGCAAATAGAAAAGGCAGTCCATCAGGATAGAAAGCCAAAGTGTCCAGAAATAAACACTAAATATGTGTGTCCAAAGCAAGAGACTGAGGAGCCAAAGTGTCAAAAGTCAGAGTCTCTCATTAGTTGGTTGAACATAGTCCCATTAACACTTTTAAAAGTCTCCTAATTTCTTTCTCTGTTTTCAGAATCTCTGTTTCAAGAAATCACTCACTGCTATATTTATCTTTCTTAAGTAGGGTTCTAACAACATTGTACCTTATACACAAACAAAGGAAGACAAAATCTTTATGGCTTTCCACCCATAGTCTGAAGAATAGTTTCCATTTTTGGCCTAGGATTATATAATACCAGAAAAGAGCGACATATTTTTCCCCAACATATGCATCATATCTTATCATCATTGGGCCTTTGCTTCTATTATTTTAAGTTTTGCTCAGTATGCTGTTTTTCTTATCTGTATCTGTTCATATTCTATGCATTCTTCCATGTCTTTTCACGTCATATTTTCCTTATTGCTTAAAAAAGAATTCATATGTTTTAAACTATCACATATGTTTTTCCTGATAGAATTAATCATATTCCACTTACATTAAAGCTCTATGTAGTAGTTTTTAGCTATAGGATCGAACTTGATATAACCTTCTTATGAGTAAGGATCTACTCCTTTGGTCTTTGATGCTACATTCCCAGCCCCTAGCCTACTATTTTGCACAGTTTGGTTTGTGCAGCAATGTAGTTTAGATGTGTGTCCCCTCCAAATCCCATGTTGAAATGCAATCCCCAATGTTGGATATTGGGCCTAGTGAGAGGTGTTTGGGACATGGGGTAGACCCCTCATGAGTGGCTTGGTGCCCTCTCGTGATAATGAGAGAGTTCCTGTTATGGTAGTTCATATGAGAGCTAGTTGTTTAAAAAAGTCTGGCACCTCTGTCTTCATGTGATATGCCAGCTCCCACATCACCTTCTGCCATAATATTAAGGGAAATTTATAGCTCTAAATGCCCACAGGAGAAAGCAAAAAGATCTAAAATTTACACCCTAATATCACAATTAAAAGAACTAGAGAAGAAAGAGCAAACAAATTCAAAAGCTAGCAGAAGACAAGAAATAACTAAGATCAAAGCAGAACTGAAGGAGACAGAGTCACAAAAAACCCTTCAAAAAATCAATGAATCCAGGAGCTGGATTTTTGAAAACATCAACAAAATAGACCACTAGCCAGACTAATAAGAATAAAAGAGAGGAGAATCAAATAGATGCAATCAAAAATGATAAAGGGGATATCACCACCGATTCCACAGAAAATACAAACTACCATCAGAGAATACGATAAACACCTCTATGCAAATAAACTAGAAAATCTAGAAGGAATGGATAAATTCCTGGACACTACACTCTTCCAAGACTAAACCATGAAGAATTTGAATCCCTGAATAGACCAATAACTAGTTCTGAAATTGAGGCAGTAATTAATAGCCTACCAACCAAAAAAAGTCCAGGACCAGAGGGATTCACAGCCGAATTCTACTAGAGGTACTAAGAGGAGCTGGTACCATTCCTTCTGAAACTATTTCAAACAAGAGAAAAAGAGCGAATCCTCCTTAACTCATTTTATGGGGCAAGCATCATCCTGATACCAAGACCTGGCACAGACACAACAAAAAAAGAAAATTTCAGGCCACTATCCCTGATGAACATTGATCCGAAAATCCTCAATAAAATACTGGCGAACTGAATCCAGCAGCACATCAAAAAGCTTATCCACCACTATCAAGTCAGCTTCATCCTTGAGATGCAAGCCTTGTTCAACATATGCAAATCAATAAACATAATCTAGCACATAAACGGAACCAGTGATAAAAGCCACATGATTATCTCAATAGTTGCAGAAAAGGCCTTCGACAAAATTCAGCAGGCTTCATGCTAAAAATGTTCAATATACTAGGCATTGATGGAACGTATCTCAAAATAATAAGAGCTATTTATGACAAACCCACAGCCAACATCATACTGAATGGGCAAAAACCGGCAGCATTCCCTTTGAAAACCGGCACAAGACAAGCTTGCCCTCTCTCACCACTCCTATTCAACATAGTATTGGAAGTTCTGGCCAGGGCAATCAGACAAGAGAAAGAAATAAACGGTATTCAAGTAGGAAAAGAGGAAGTCAAATTGTCTCTGTTTGCAGATGACATGATTGTATATTTAGGAAAACCCATCATCTCAGCCCAAAATCTCCTTAAACTGATAAGCAACTTCAGCAAAGTCTCAGGGTACAAAATCAATGTGCAAAATACACAAGTACTCCTATATACCAATAAAAGACAAACAGCCAATTCATGAGTGAACTCCCATTTACAACCACTGCAAAGAGAATAAAATACCTAGGAGTACAGCTAACAAGGGATGTGAGGGACCTCTTCAAGGAGAACTACAAGCCACTGCTCAAGGAAATAAGAGAGGACACAAACAAACGGAAAAACATTCCATCCTCATGGATAGGAAGAATGAATGTCATTAAAATGGCCACACTGCCCAAAGCAATTTATAGATTTAATGCTATTCCGATCAGGCTACCATTGACTTTCTTCACAGAATTGGAAAAAACTACTTTAAAGTTCATATGGAACCAAAAAAGAGCCTGCATAGCCAAGACAATCCTAAGCAAAAAGAACAAAGCTGGAGGCATCATGCTACCTGACTTCAAACTATACTACAAGGCTACAGTAACACAAACAGCATGGTACTGGTACCAAAACAGATATATAGACCAATGGAACAGAACAGAGGCCTCAGAAATCATGCCACATATCTACAACAATCTGATCTTCAACAAACCTGACAAAAACAAGAAATGGGGAAAGGGTACCCTAATTAATAAATGGTGCTAGGAAAACTGGCTAGCCATATGCTAGCTGAAACTGGATCCCTACCTTACACCTTATACAAAAATTAACTCAAGATGGATTAAAGACTTAAACCTAAAGCCATAAAAACCCTAGAAGAAAACCTAGGCAATACCATTCAGGACATTGGAATGGGCAAAGGCTTCATGACTAAAACACCAAAAGCAACAGCAACAAAAGCCAAAATAGACAAATGGGATCTGATTAAACTAAAGAGCTTCTGCACAGCAAAAGAAACTATCATCAGAGTGAACAGGCAACCTATAGAATGGGAGAAAAATTTTGCAATCTGTCCATCTGATGTAGGCCTAATATCCAGAATCTACAAAGAGCTTAAACAGATTTACAAGAAAAAAAACAAACAAACCCATCAAAAAGTGGGCAAAGGATATGAACAGACATTTCTCAAAAGAAGGCATTTATGTGGCCAAAAAACATATGAGAAAAAGCTCATCATCTTTGGTCATTATAGAAATGCAACACAAAACCACAATGAGATACCATCTCACACCAGTAAGAATGGCAATCATTAAAAAGTCAGGAAACAACAGATGCTGGAGAGGATGTGGGGAAATAGGAATGCTTTTACACTGTTGGTGGAAGTGTAAATTAGTTCAACCATTGTGGGAGACAGTGTGGCGATTCCTCCAGGATATAGAACCAGAAATACCCAGCAATCCTATTACTAGGTATATGCCCAAAGGATTATAAATCATTCTACTATAAAGACACATACACACGTATGTTTATTGTGGCACTGTTCACTATAGGAAAGACTTGGAACCAACCCAAATGCCCATCACTGATAGACTGGATAAAGAAAATGTGGCACATATACACCACAGAATACTATGCAGCCATAAAAAAGGATGAGTTCATATTCTTTGTGGGGACATGGATGACACTGGAAACCATCATTCTCAGCAAACTAACACAAGAATAGATAACCAAACACCACATGTTCTCACTCATAAGTGGGAGTTGAACAATGAGAACACATGGGCACAGGGAGAGGAACATCACATACTGGGACCTGTTGGGGTGTGATGGGCTAGGGGACGGATAGCATTAGGAGAAATACCTAATGTATCTGATGGGTTGATGGGTGCAGCATACCACCATGGCACGTGTATACCTATGGAACAAACCTGCACGTTCTGCACATGTACCCCAGAAATTAAAGAAATTAAAGTATATATATATAAAAAAGAGGCCTGATAGAGGTCCTTCACCCTCTACCATCTGTGAGCACACAGCCAGAAGGCACCATGTATAAACCAGAAAGTGGGTTTTCAACAGACACCAAATTTGTTGGTGTCTTGTTCTTGGACTTCCTAGCCTCCAGAATGATTTTAAAAAATCTGTTGTTTATAAGCTACCCAGTTTATGGTATTTTGTTATAACAGCCCAAATAGAGCCCCAACCCCCAGTGTGGCTTTATTTGGTAGTGGGACCCCTCAGAAACTGATTAAGGTTAAATTTGGTCATAAAGTGAAACCCTGATTGAATCAGGTTAGTGTTCTCATGAGAAGAAATATCAGATAGCTCACTTTCCCTTCTCACTATGCACACATATCAAAGAAAGGCCATATGGACACAGCAAGATGGTGGTTTTCTAAAAGGCAGAGAGCCCTCACTAGAAACTTACCATGTTGGCATCCTGATCTCAGACTCAGACTCCAGAATTGTAAGAAAACAAATTTCTGTTCCTTAAGTCACCCAGTCTGGAATTTTGTTATGACAGCTTGAACAGACTAACACAAAGGAAGTTCCCTCTCCTGAATTTTTAAGTAAAGTTGCCCAACTGGTATGCTGTGGCAAACTAGTGTGTTATTAATGGATAATAGGAGTGCTCAGAGACATTGATCACCCTGGGATGGTTATTTATTTCCATTTTACTTCAATTTTAATTGATCCTAGCATGTCAATAATTCTTCTAATTTGGAGAGGGGAGTATAATGTTCCTAGAATGTCCAAAATGTGACCATTTGTCCAGTCTTGGGTCTCATATCTCAATTTCATTGTGTTATTAATGTAACAGATAACAATTTCCCCCATAACCTCCCAGCAGCTACTTAAAATTACATATGATCTCAGTGAACGATTAAGTAGCTTCTGGCTTCCTAGAATCATTTTGATTCATTCACCAATTAATTCATCTATCTATCCTTCCATCCATTCATTCATATTTTAGTAGCTTGCAAATTCTATGGAAATTCAGGGATCACAAATATAAAAGTTATTATTCAAACTTTCTTTAGTTCTTAACTTTTTATGTAAATTTTTTTTCCTTTGTGTTTGAGAGTTGTTTTCCATGAATATTAGCAGTCTGTCTTTACTCGTAAATGTTTTCTTTGTTAAATATAGAAGTCCAATAATAATATAATGTGTGAACAGTGTATACATAAAATTGAATGTTTGTTGTGTATAAGACACTTTTCTAAACAAAATACATGAGGTATTTACTAAGAAATGCACTATCCCAGGGCTCATGAAACTTCTAGTGGAGAAGATGGATAACAAATTTATAAATAAGAAAATATCAAATAGAAATAAATGCTCTGATAAAAATTAATTGGCAGTGAGAGGGTCTAGTAATTAGATTGGGTGGATAGGAATGGGTTTTTAGAGGATATCTGATTTAACCCTAGATGAGAAAAGATAAGTAAGAACAAGCAAGGAGAAAAAATGAACATTCCAGAAGAAAAGAGAAGCTAATATAAAGGCAGTAGACAGAAGCACATTTAGCCTGCTAGGGATACAGAGAGAAAGCCACCTGAAATCCACTAAGTAAGAGGAGAGTGGTGCTGGAGACGCTCACAGAGGTAAGGCAGGGGCCAGATTCTATGCGGCATGGTAGGTCACAGAATAAAAGTTTTGGATTTCATTCTGAGATTTGAAGTCGTTGAAGTAGGGGACTGATATGGTATGTGATTTACCATGAAGACAATGGATTTGAATGTGGACCGTAAAATTCTAAGTAGGGGACTGGTTAAGAGGCTACTCTAGTGGCCCAGGTAAGATTTTATGATAGGAAGGGCCTAGATGAAAGCAATAAATTCACAGAGAAGTAGAAAGATTTGGCATATGTTTTACAAGTATAGTCAGAAGGGGCTGCTGATAACTTAGATAGCAGAAGTGAGAAAGAAAAAAATCAAAGATGAATGGTAGCATTTTGGCTTGAGAAACCAGGTGAATGGTGATGCCATTTGCTGACATGGGAAAAACTGCAGGAAAAGCAGATTTGGTGAGCTAGAAGAAATATTTTTATATGTATTACTGTTTTGCAGTTCATACTTTTCATATTTAAACACATAACTAACATTTTCCTAATTCAACGTCATATTCAAATTGTTTATATTAAAAAATCATTTAAAACTTTCACTAATGTAATGTCATTTTAAAGTATTTTATTCTTAAAATAAAATCATTTTGAACAAATACCATTTATTTCCATTTACATGATTCCTAGTAATACTCAGGTTAAAACTGAGGAAAATGACACCTTTGTGTCTTTTTTTTCTTTTTTTTTTTTTTTTGAGACGGAGTCTCACTCTGTTGCCCAGGCTAGAGTGCAATGGCATGATCTCAGCTCACTGCAACCTCCGCCTCCCGGATTCAAGCAATTCTCCTGCCTCAGCCTCCTGAGTAGCTGGGATTACAGGCACACACCACCATACCTGGCTAATTTTTGTATTTTTAGTAGAGATGGGGTTTCACCATGTTGATCAGGCTGCTCTCAAACTCCTGACCTCATGATCTGCCCACCTCGGCCTCCCAAAGTGCTGGGACTACAGGAGTGAGCCACCACACCCACCTTGCATACTTTTTAAATAATAATACCAGATAATACTTGAAGTACAGGTTCTCCTTTCTCCAGCCATAACTTCCACAAACTGAATTTTTTGACACAAAGGCAACAAAATGGCTTGTTTTAGATATAGTATTAAAGAAAAGCTTGCTAAAAAGCAATTATTCTTATATTTATACCTTATATGTACCTCTCAACTTAAGAGCAAAACAACTGGATCATATCAGCCAATTTACTTTCAGTTTTCTGAACAGATAGTTGGATCTTTTAGGACTCAGAGCAACACAGAAGCCAATACCATTTGTGGTCAACAGAGCTTGTTTGATTCTTCTGAACGTATTGCAGATTTATGAACCATCTGTGAAGAAACAAATGGTCCAAACCTATTTAAAATCAGCATAGCTGTGATTTGAATGCTCACAAGTGGGTCTGAAGCAGTTGCTTTCCTCAGCAAACTGGCCTGACACCTTTGCACAAGCTTATAGCCTTATGTGATACATAAGCTTTAAGTTTAGGTGAAGCAAAGAACAGGAAAATAAGGAAAATGAAACGAATATAAGGAAGAAAGCAGTGGCATAAACTTCTGTCACGTACTGAGTTCTTCCTGATTTGCTAGATGCAAAAAGTTCACTTATAGCAATGGTTGCAATTTCTTCCTATTTTCTTAGTAGCAAATGTTTTCAATGAAGTCTCTCCCATTACACACGCACATATACTCTGGTATAAATGACTTATCTAAGATATGGTATAAGATCACCATAATAAAGAATATAGTTTATGAAACATCTTACATCTCACATGTAATAAAGCTCTCCTGGGGATTTATTGTAATAGAATAGAAAATTACAGAGATGCACAGGCGTTACCCCTCTCACTTTACATCTTTAATCAATTTCTGAAAATTAGACATTCTGTAAAGAAGTGCTATGCTGGAGCCTATTTCTTTATATTCTACATGGGAAAATTGTAACACATTAAATGTTAACCACCAACCCTTATTGGATTTCCAAAAATGAAAATAGAGCATTAAAACATTAAAGCAGGAAAACACACTAAAACATGAATTTATAAGTACCGTTCACACTAATGTACAAATTGCTTAAAACATTGCTTTTTGATTATCAGTTATTAAGGCTGCTTACAAATAGTATCCATTGCAATGATGTGACTGTTAGTGACAACGTCTCAAATAGCCATACCTATTGTTGACATTTGGCATGCTTTAAAAGTTCCTACATACGATTTTAAAAACATCCGTATTGAGATATACTTAATATTCCATATTAGTGGTATATTAAATCATTAAAGTGTACAATGTAATTGTTTTAATACATTTATAGAGTTGTGCAACCATAAGTTATCACCACAGTCTAGGTTTAGAGCATTTTCATCACCCCAAACAGAAACCCCATACGCATTAGAGTCATTCACCATCCCCTGTCTCCTACCATCTCCCCCACCTTAAGCAACCACTAATCTACTTTCTGTCTGCCAGATTTTCCTATTCTGGACATTTCTTATAAATGCAATCACACAATATGTGATCTTTTATAAGGGGTTTCATTATTCTAAGGTAGTAAATTACAGCTTTATGATACGTTCCCTTTTAAAATTTGCCTTTTATACAGTTTGCCTTCGCCACTCCACTCTGAGTTCTACCTGTCTGGTAATTTTAGGTAGAACAAAATATTTAAACCAATTTCATACCTGGCCATAAAGAGTGAAAAAAATAGACTGGGCAAGTTTGACTTAGGATTAAGGTCAAACTTTCTACAGGTTCCTGAATAACTATGAATCAGTCCGTTAATAATTATATTATTTCCCTTTTCCCAAGCTTACCATTTCTTTCATCTTCTAAGGATCATGACGCTTCAATCTTTTTTTCCTCTAAGATCAGGATCTTAATTTGAAGATCTAAATTTCTCTACTTGATATCTTAGGCCCAAATATGTGAGTTCCACCAGGACCGCGCTGACTACATAAGTCTTACTAGTCCGATGTCCACTGAAACAGTGCTTTGGATCTAACTTTCTCTTTTTTTGAGCCATTGGACAGCTACAGCCACTGTTGGATAGTAGTTAGGGTGAAAAACCAGGAGCACAATCACTTGCATATCTGAAATGCCACATCCTATCATTTCAGAAAGTAACTTCATGGAAGTTACTCAAATTCACGATGCCATAGTTTCTTCATCTATAAAATGGGAGAATGAAAGTGCCCACCTTATAGATTTGCTGTGAGGGTTGAGTGAAATCTGCTTGGCACTGAGGAAGAAATTATAAAATTTAGTTGTTCTTCTTATATCAGCTCTCAATTTCATTTTTTGATCTAAAACTTCTTATGTTCTCGATAATGGTAGACATCTCTAATATCCTCAAAAGCCTTTCTCACACTGCTTTTCTCACACTCTGGGCAGAGAGCGGTTATTCATTGGAGAAGATTATAAGCCAATACAGATTTACTATCTTTATCTGATATAATAAATTTTGCTTAATCTCTTATTATATAACAATTACAAATCCCTCTCTGAGCTCTTCTCTCTGTGGAATATATTCAATCTGCAGTTCCTTTTTTTCATAATGTGTATTATATCTGACTTCTTTAAAACAAAATAAATTCTAGATTGTAGGAATCTTACACTTGATCTTAAGTCTTCAATTAATTTTGATTTAACAATTTCCTTGTTCACTATTCTTTCTGGTTTTTAAAAATAACATCTTCTTTGAGATACAATTCATATGCCAAAGAATGTATCTTTTTAAAGTGTACAATTACAATAATCAAAACAGTTTGGTATTGGCAAGAGTATTGACAAATAGATCAATGGAACAAAGTAGAGAGCCCAGAAATAGATCTGTCCCGTGATATAGTCAACTTATCTTTAACAAAAGAGCAAAGGCAAAACAATGAAGTGAGACAGTCTTTTCAACAAACGGTAATGAAATAACCGGTCCTCCACATGCCAAAAAAAAAAAAAAAAACAAATTAATCTAGACATAGACCTTACACCCATGACAAAAATCAGTTTGAAATGGCTCATAGATTTAAATATAAAATGCAAAACTATAAACTCAGAGAAGAAAATGGAAGAAATCCTATATAATTTTGAGTATGACAATAACTTCTTTAAAAAAACCAAAGTTCCATGAAAGAAATAACTGTTAATCTGGATTTCATTAAAATTAAAATTTCTGCCCTGCAAAAGAGACTATCCAGAGAATGAGAGAGCAGCCACAGACTTAGAAAACTATTTCAAAACACACAGTTGATAAAGAACGTTATTAAAACTCAACAATAATAAAATAAACAACCAGATGAAAAAATGAGCAAGGGGCTGGGTGCACTGACTCACCCCTGTAATCTCAGTACTTTGGCTAAGGCAGGAGGATTGCTTGAGCCAGAGTTTCAGGTTGCAACAGGATATGATGGCACCACTGCACTCCAGCCTGAGCAACACAGCCAGACCTTGTCTCTAAAAGCAAATAAATAAATAAATAAACAAATGGACAAGAGACTTCCTTAAAGAAAATATACAGATAGCAAGAAAGTATATAAAAAGATGCTCCACATCATATGTTATTAGAGAATTGTAACTTCATAAGATAACACTACACACCTACTAGAATGGCCAAAATTCAAAACATTGACAACACCAAATACTGATGAGGTTATGGAACAACAGGACCTCTCATTCATTGCTGGTAGGATGCAAAATGGTACCACCACTTTGGAAGACTGGCAGTGTTTACAAAACTAAAGATATTCTCACTGTAAAATCCAGCTGTCATGTTCCTTGGTACCCATCAAAATGAATTGAAAACTTTGAAAACTTGTGTCTGTACAAAAACCTGCACATGGATATTTATATTTAATAGCAGCTTTATTCATAATTGGCAAAATATGGAAACTACCAAATATACTTTAGTAGGTGAATGGATAAATAAACCTTGGTATATCCAGACCATGGAATATTATTCAGTGCTAAAGACTTGTGCTATCAAGCCATAAAAAAAAACCACGAAAAATAAATGCATATTATTGAGTGAAAGAAGCCAATCTAAAAAGGCTACATACTGTATGATTCCAGATACTGGTATACAATATGTGTGAACAGGTAAACCTGTAAATAATAGTAAAAACATCAGTGGTAGCCAGGGATAAGGTGGGGAGGATAGGATGAATAAGGAGTGTAGAAAGGATTTTTAGGGCAGTGAAATGATTCTAAATGATACCGCGATGTTGGATAAATATCATTGTACGTTTTTCAAAACTCATAGAATGTACACCAAGAGTAAACCCTAAGGTAAATTATGATCTTTTGCAGATAATAATGTGTTAGTTTAAGTTCATCTATTGTAACAATTGTACCACTATATTATATGTGGTGTGGGATGTGGATAATGAAAGAGGTTCTGCGTATATTGAAACAGACTGTTATGGAAAAATCTCTGTATTTTCTGCTCAATTTTGCTATGAACAAAAACTGTCCTAAAAGTTTATTAATTACAAAAAGGAAGAAAACACAAATATATATATATATATATCTATATATCTACATACACATACATATAAATACACACATACATACATACATATACACACATACATCCACATTTTTAATGCATGTGTATATATGTATATATTGATGTGCAATTATAAATATAATTTAAAATACAATTATGAATTACAACTATAAATTATATAAAATGTATAATTGTATTACATATTATGAATTATATAATTATATAAAATATTATAAATATATAATTATATAAAATTTAAAAATATATTTTAAATAATATGTAAATATAAATATAGCTTATATAAATACCCACATACATATTAAGTGTGTAATCCAGTGGGTCTTTGCCACTTTTTATCACAGAATAACACAACCATCATGACATGTATGCACATACATACACATGCATACATACACATACACACACATACATACATATACACTTTATATATATATATATATATATATATATATATACACACACATACATATAAAGGGTATGATTCAGTGTTTTTCTGACACTTTGTCACAGAATAATGCAACTATCATGAATACCTAATTCAAGAACATTTTCATCACCGTAGAAAGAAAGCAGGTATCTATTAGCAGTCATTTCTTGTTCCCCCCTCTCTTCTGCCCCTGACAACTACAAACCTATTTTATATCTCTATAGGTTTGTATTTTCTGGGCAATTCATATACATGGAGTCATAAAATATGTGTTTTTTGTGTCTTCTCTCTTATTTAACATGTTTGCAAGAATCATCCATGTTGTAACATTTATCAGTATTTCATTCCTCTTTGTAATTGAGTATCATTCATTATACATATTCATTATATGCCCAGGACTGGGCAATGCATTTTTTACTTACTGGTTGATGGATATTTGATTTTTTTATTTGTTTCCACCTTTGAACTGCTTTAAGTACTGCTTCTTTCATATACAATTTTTATGTGGACATATGTTTATGATTCTCTTGGCTATACTGCTAGAAATAAAATTAGGGGTTCATATGGCAACTGTTTAATGTTTGAAGACTGCCAATCTGTTTTTCAAAAGTGGCTGTATCAGATGCAGGAAAAGCACTCATGAAATTAAACACCCTTTCTTGATAAAAATTGAATAAAGTCCTGGCATGTTGGCTCACGCCTGTAATTCCAGCACTTTGGGAGGCCGAGGTGGGCACATCACGAGGTCAGGTGATCAAGATCATCCTGGCTAACACGGAGAAAGCCCGTCTCTACTAAAAATACAAAAAAATTAGCCGGGTGTGGTGGTGGGTGCCTGTAGTCCCAGCTACTCAGGAGGCTGAGGCAGGAGAATTGCTCCAAGTCGGGAGGTGGAGGTTGCAGTGAGCCGAGATCATGCCACTGCACTCCAGTCTCGGTGACAGAGTGAGAATCTGTCTCAAAAATAAATAAATAAATAAATAAATAAATAAATAAATAAATAAACTCAACAAATTAGATATAGCAGGAACATACTTCAACACAGTAAAGACCATATATGACAAAACCATAGCTCATATCATACACAATGGGAAAAATTTTAAAGCTTTTTCTGTAAGATCTGGAAAAAGATAAGGATGCCCACTCTCACCACTTGTATTCAACATAGTACTAGAAGTTGCAGCCAGAGCAATTAGGCAAGAGGGAAAATAGGGATCCAAATTGGAATAGAGAAAGTCAAACTGTCCCTCCTTGCAGATGACATGATCATACATATAAAAAACTAGGAAGACTCCACCAAAAAACTCTTAGAACTAATAAATCAATTCAGTAAAGTTGCAGACACAAAATCAACATACAAAAATCAGTAGTGTTTTAATACACCAATAGTGAACTGTCTGAATAATAAATCAAGAATGCAATCCCATTTACAATAACTACAAAAATAAAATAACTAGAAATAAATTTAACCATGAAAAGAAAATATTTATATAACATAAAATACAAAATACTGATGAAATAGTTTCAGGAACACAAAAATAAATGGAAAACTATCCTGTGTTCATGGATTGTCAGAATTAGTATTGTTAAAATGTCCATACTACCCGATATGTGTCCCCAACCAAGTCTCAACTTGAATTGTTACCCCCACATGTTGAGGGAGGGACCTGGTGGGATGTAATTGGATCATGGAGGTGGTTTCTCCCATGCTGTTCTCATGATAATGAGGAAGTTCTCTCAAGATCTGATGTTTTAAAAGTGGCAGTTTCCCCTGCACTCACTCTCTGTCTCCTGCCACCATGTAAGATGTACCTTGCTTCCCCTTTGCCTTCGCTATGATTGTAAGTTTCCTGGGGCCTCCCCAGCCATGCAGAACTGTGAGTCAATTAAACCTCTTTTGTTTATAGATTACCCAGTTTCAGGTAATATCTTTATAGCAGTGTGAGAATGGTCTAATATACTACCCAAAGTGGTCTACAGATTCATTGCTATTCCTATCAAAATACTAACGACATTCTTCACAGAAATAGAAAAAAATTCCCCAAATTATATAAGATCCTGAATATCCAAAGCAACTCTGAGCCAAAAGAATACAAGTTACTATAGCTTTTTAGTATATTTTAATGTCAGGTAGTGGAAGCATAGTACCTGACATTAAAATATACTAAAACGGTATAGTAACCAAAGCAGAATGGTACTGGCATAAATGGAGACACATAGATCAGTGGAACATAATAGAGAGCCCATAAATAAATTCATACATTCACAGCCAACTGATTTTAGACATAGGTGGCAAGAATACTCATTCAACAAGGACAGTCTTTTTAATAAATGGTGCTGCAAACACTAAATATTCACATGCAGAAGAATGAAACTAGACCCCTATCTCTCACCATATAAAAAATCTACTCAAAATGCATTAAAGACTTATATGTAAGACTTGAAACTTTGAAACTACTAGAAAACAAAAGAGAAATGCTGCATGACATAGGACTGGGCAAGGACTTTTTGAAATAGACTTCAAAGGCACAGGTAACAAAAGCAAAAATAGACAAATGGGATTACACCAAACTGAAAAGCTGCTGCACAGCAAAGGAACCAATCAGCAGAATTGGAGAACATATTCACAAACTATACATGTGATAAGGGGTTAATATCAAAAATACATAGGGAACTCAAACTCAATAGCTAAAAAAACAAGCAACCCAACTAAAAAATAGTCAAAATCCCTGACTAGACATTTATCAAAAGAAGATATAAAACTTGCCAGCAGGTATATGACAAAATGCTTAATATCACCAATCATTAGGAAAATGCAAATCAAAACAGTGAGATATTGCCTCACCCCTCTTAGAATGGCTATTATCAAAAAAACAAAAAACAAAAAACAAATACTAGTGAGAACACAGCTAATGGAGAACTCTTATACACTGTTGGTAGGAGCATACATTAGTACAATGACTATGGAAAATAGTATGGAGGTTCTTCAAAAAACTAAAAATAGAAGTATCATATGATCCAGCAGTTCCACTACTGGGTGTTCATCCAAAGGAAATGAAATTAGTATTCAGAGACATCTGAACTCCCATGTTTGTTGCAGCACTATTCACAATAGCCAAGAAATGGAATAAACCTTTGTTCATCAATAGATGAATGGATAATGAAAATGTGGTATATATACACAATGGAATATTATGCAGAAATAAAATGGAATGAAATCTTGTCATTCGCTACAACATGGATGAGCTTGGAGAATGTTATATTAAGTGATATAAGCCAGGTACAGAAAGACAAATATTACATGTTATCTTGCATATATGGAAGCTAAAAAAGTTTGTCTCATAGAAGTAAAGAATAAAACAGTGGTTTCCAGAGGCTGGAGAGTGTTGGAGAAGGGAAATAGTCAGAGGTTGGTTAACAGATACACAAATAGATAGGAGGAATAGGTAAGTTCTAGTGTTTTGTAGCACTGGGGAGTGACTATCATCAACAACAATTTGTTGCATGTTTTCAAATAGCTAGAAGAGTGGACTTTTAATGTATCTAACACAAGGGAATGGTAAATGTTTGAGGCGATGAATATTCTAATTATGCTATTGATCACTGTGCAATGTATATCTGTGTTGAAACATCATACTGTACCCCATAAATATGTATAATTATTATGTATTAATTACAAACAAAATAGAAAGTAAATTGATGTATCATTTTACATCCAGCAATGTATGTAAATCCATCTGTAATCCACAAAGTTTCCAATTTCTCCTTATCTTTGCCAACCCTTTGCACTGTCTGTGTTTTTTATTATAGCCATCTGAATGGGTGTGAAATAGAATCTCATTAAATTCTTTATTTGTATTGCCCTGGTGGCCAAAGATGTTGTAAGATATTTTTAATATTTCTGGATACAAGTCCATAGCAGATATGTTATTTGCAAATATTTTATCTTACTCAGCGAGTGTCTTTTCACTTTCTTGATGGTATACTTTGAAGCACAAAGTGGTTTATTTTTTCAACTTTGATGTGGTTCAATCTTTCATTTTCTATCTGTATTTATTTGCTTCCTTTTTTTCCTTTTCTTATTATTTTTGGCTTATGCTCCTAGTGGCATATCTAAAACATCGTTGCCCAAGTTAAGGTTACAAAGGTTTACTCCCATCTTCTCTTTTAAGACATTTATAATTTTAATGCCTA
The DNA here is from genome assembly GCF_000001405.40 of Homo sapiens. Lineage (NCBI taxonomy): Eukaryota > Metazoa > Chordata > Mammalia > Primates > Hominidae > Homo > Homo sapiens. The sequence continues at coordinate 74,059,379 of NC_000001.11, forward strand.
TGTTTAGATCTATGATCCATTTAAAGTTAATTTTTGTACATGGTGTGATGTAGAGATCCAACATCAATTTTTGAATGTAGATATATAGTTGTCCCAGCACCATTTTTTGAAAAGACTATTCTTTCCTCAATAAATTATCTTGGCACACTTGTCAAAAAGTTGTATTGCCTTGATCTAAATGTCTTTCATTATGCCAGTTTTCACATTGTCTTAATTACTGTAGCTTTGCAGTAAGTTTCAAATCAGGAACTGTGAGTTCTTCAAATTTGTTTTTATTTTTAAAGATCATTTGGTTGTTGGAAATCCCCTACATTCTATGTGGACTTTAGGATCATCTTTTCCATTTCTGAAAAGAAAAAGCATTGAAATTTTGATAGGGATTGCTTGTATCTCTATATTGCTTTCAGTAGTAATATCATCTTAATTTTAAGTCACCCATTTTAAGAAAATGAGTGTCTTTCCATTTATTTAGATCTACTTTAATTCTTCAGTATAGAAGTCCTGTACTTCCTTCATTAAATTTATTCCTAGTTATTTTATTCTTTTTTGTTGCTATTATAAATAAAATTGTATTCTTAAATTATTTTCAAATTATTCGCTATATAATTGATTTTCAAATATTTGCGTATTTTTATACTTCTAGGAAAGTGTTCATTTCATCTAACATAAAATTTCTTTGCATATTGTTCATTGTATTCCTTTATCATCCTTTTTATTTCTGGAAATTTTGTGGTAATGTCCCCTGTTTCATTTCTGATTCTAGTAACCTGAGTCGCCTTCTTCTTCGTCGTCATCTTCTTCTTCTTCTTTTTCTTCTTCTTCTTCTTCTTCTTCTTCTTCTTGTTCTTCTTCTTCTTCTTCTTCTTCTTCTTCTTCTTCCTCTTCCTCTTCTTTCTCTTCCTCCTCCTCCTCTTCCTCCTCTTCCTCTTCTTCTTCCTCCTCCTCCTCCTCTTCCACCTCCTCCTCCTTTTCTTCTTCTTCCTCCTCCTCCTCATCCTCTTCCTCCTCCTCATCTTCTTCTTTTCTACTTCTTTTTTTCTTAAGGTGGAAAGTTAGGTTATATATTTGAAGTATTTTTGCATTTTTAATACAGGTGCTTACAGATATAAATTTCATTCTCAGCACTGCTTTAGCTGAAACTCATAAGTTATTTTTGTTTTCACTTACCTATCTATATTTTCTAATGTCATTTGTAATTTTTTTCTCTGATCCATTGGTTATTGGAGAGAGTATAGCTGGGTGTGATGGTGCATGACTGTAGTCCCAGCTAATAGAGATCACTTAAGCCCAGGAGTTTGAGTTCACAGTGGGCAACATAGCAAGACCCTGTCACACACACACCAAAAAAAGGTAGGAGGAACATCTGCCACCAAGGGACCAGGACATCAGGAAGACCGGTGCACTCCAAGCAGATCTTCAGAAGGAAGGCATTGAGAGTGGACAGAGAGGAAACACTGCTAGGTTGAAGGGGCAGGAATCTGGGACCTCTGCATGTAGCTACCACACATCAGGACTCATTTTGACCCCCAGTGACTTCTGGGGAAGGAGTGAGTTTAGCAGGCAAGAAGCGTCCCACTCTCACCACAGACCTCTGGAATTCTGGCAGCGGGAGATGTCACAACTTTCAAGGACACTTGAGCTGGCAGGGAAAGCTGCTTAGAGAGGTGGAGGGGCAGGACTTGATCTGATATATGACCTCAGCAAAGTTTCAGGATATGAAATCAATGTACAAAAGTAATAACATCCTCATACTCCAACAACATCCATGCTGAGAGTCAAATCAAGAGTCCAATTCCATTCACAATAGCCACAAAAAGAATGAAATACCTAGGAATACAGCTAACTGGGGTGGTGAAAGATCTCTCTCATGAGAATTATAAAACACTGCTCAAAGAAATCAGAAATGACACAAACAAATGGAAAAACATTCCATGTTCATTGATAGGAAGAATCAATACTGTTAATCAATATTGTTAAAATGGTCATATTGGCCAAAGTACTTAACAGATTCAATGTTATTCCTATCAAATTATCAATGACATTCTTCATTGAATTAGAATATTTTAAAATTCGTATGGAACCAAAATACAGACTGAATAGCCAAGACAATCCTAAACAGAAAGAACAGAGCTGGAGGCATCACATTACCTGACTTCAAACTATACTACATTTGCAGAAAATGAAAACTCGACCACTTCCTTATACCATATAGAAAAATCAACTCAAGATATATTAAATACTTAAATGTAAAACCTAAAACCATGAAAACCCTGAAGGTAACCTAGGAAATACCATTCTGGACATGGGACCAGGCAAAGATTTCATGATCAACATGGTAAAAGCAATTGCAACAAAAACAAAACTTGACAAATCAGGTTGGGCATGGTGGCTTACACTAGTAGTCTCAGCAGTTTGGGAGGCCTAGTCCGGTGAATTGCTTGAGCTCAGGAACTGGAGACTAGGCTGCATAACTTAGTGAGACCCTCTCTCTACAAATAATACAAGTATAGCCAAGCTTGCTGGCACATGCCTGTAGTCACAGCTACTAGAGAGGCTGAGGTGGCAGGATTCCTTGAGCCTGGGAGGCTGAAGTTGCAGGGAGCTGAGATCATACCACTGCACTCCAGCCTGGGAGACAGAGTGAGAGTTTTTTTCAAAAGAAAATAAAATTGACCAATGGGACCTAATTAAATTAAAAAGCTTCTTCTGCAAGGCAAAATAAATTATCAACAAAGTAAACAGACAACCTACAGAATGGGAGAAAATATTTGCAAACTGTGAATCCAACAAAGGTCTAGTATCCAAAAACCTATAGGGAACTTAAATATACAAGTGAAAAATAACCCCATTAAAAATTGGGCAAAAGACATGAAAAGACACTTTTCAAAAGAAGATATATATATGACCAACAAGCATATGAAACAATGCTCAATATCACTAATCATTAGAGTAATGCAAATAAAAACCACAGTGAGATACCATCTCACACCAGTCAGAATGGCTATTACTAAAAAGTCAAAAAACGACAGATGCTGCCAAGGTTGTGGAGGAAAGGGAAGGCTTATACACTGCTGATGGAAATGTAAATTAGTTCACTCATTGCAGAAAGCAGTTTGACAATTTCTGAAAGGACTTAAAACAGAATGAGTACTCAAAGGAATAGAAATCACAGCACTATTCACAGTAGCAAAGACACAGAATCAACCTTAATGTCCATCAACAGTAGACTAGATAAAGAAAATGTGGTATATACACAACATGGAATACCATGCAGCCATGAAAAAGAATGAGATCATGTCCTTTGTAGTAACATGGTTGGAGCTGTAGGCCATTATCCTCAGCAAATTAACACAGAAACAGAAAACCAAATACCACATGATATCACTTATGGGAGCTAAACATCAAGTATATATGGATACAATGAAGGGAACAGCAGACATTGGGGCCTACTTGAAGGTGGTGGGTGTGAGGAGGGTGAGGAGTGAAAAAATACCTATCGGATACTATGCCTATTACCTGGGTGAGGAAATAATCTGTACACCAAACCCATATAACATACAATTTATATATGTAGTAAACATTCATATGTTCCCCTGAACCTAAAATAGAAGTTAAAAATAGAAAGTAAAAACAATTAAATAAAATAGATACTCAAGTAGTCCTAAAATAACAACCACTACCAAAGCAAAACAAAACAAAAAAAATCAAAACAAAACAAAACAAAACAAAAAACCCCAAAACCAAACAACAACAACAACAACAACAACAACAACAAAACGAGGAAGGGTGTTTCCTAATTTACACGTATTTGTATATTTGTGAGATTTCAAAATTTTCTTCTATCATTTCTAATGTAATCTCATAATGAATAAAGAAAATGTTTTGTATCATTTCCATCTTTTAAAATTTCTTGATTCTTTTCATAACGTGGTATACTTGTATATGGTTTAAACTGGAAAATATTCCAAGCACACTTGAGAAGAATGTGTATTCTGCTATTGATGAGTGGTTTGTTCAATGTGGCTGCTTTAAATTGTTGGTCAAATCTTCTAGGTCCATTTGGATCTTCTACCCATTCATTGAATCCTTTATTCAAAGTGGTGTATAAATGTCTCCAATTCTTATTGTTGCATTGTCTATTTCTCTCTTCAATTCTGTCAGATTTTGCTTTCTGTCAATTTGGGGTTTCTATTGTTATGTGCATATATTTTTATATTTGTTATATATTCCTAAAGTGTTGACTCTTTCATTATTGTGACATGCCTCTCTTTATTTCTAGCAACACTGTTTTTTCATTTTAATTTTTTTGACTGACATTAATACAGTCCCTCCAGTTCTCTGATGATTGCTGTTTGCATGATATCATTTTCCATCATTTTAGTTTCAAATTACATGAAACTTTAAATCTAAAGTGTGTTTGCTTTAAAAAGTATGTAGGTAGATTGTTTTTAAATTAAATCTGGCAATCTGTCTTTTGATTGGATCTTTATCAATTCACATTTAATTTTATCTTGATATGGTGTGTGAACATTTTCTGTGGCACCATTTTAATTATTTTAATAATTGTTTAATTTTATTTTTGAGCCATATTCTCAGGGGTCACTCTAGGGCTTGCAATAGATATATATCTTAAGTTATCAAAATGACACCAGATTTCCAGTAAATTCCAGTAAAATATGAAAACTTTACTCTTGCAAATGTCATTCCCCACTTTTGTGCATATTTAGATACTATATATAATGTATAATGTCTATATATGGTAAAAATATTTTTGTAATTATACTGTATATATATTTAGAAAGTTGATGAAAAGTGGAGAGCAAGTATATATAGTCATAGAGCTTGTTATTATCTTTTTTATTTACCAATTTTTATCCTATTTCTTTCTGTAGGCTTGTTATCTTACATCATTTCATTACTCCAATATAGCTTTGTTACACCTGCCTCCTTTATGCTGTTATTACCAAATATATTACATTACTATATGTTATATGGCCAACAATATAATTATGTATACATATTGTTTTATTCAGTTGTTTCTAAAGTAAGTTAAAAGAGAAAAGGAGAAGAAAGGTGCAATTACATTGTGTTTTATAATTACTGACTTTATGACCTTTATTAGCACTCTGTTTTTTCATGTGGATTTGAAATACTGTTTGATGCCACTTGCTTTCAACTCATGGAACTTTCTTTCATACACCTTCTAAGGCACATCTTTTAGCAATGATATCTCTCAGCTTTCATATATCTGGGAATGGTTTCATTTCACCTTCATTCATCTGGAATGTCTTTATTTCACCTTTATTTTTGAAAGACACTTTTTCTGGATTTAAGAATCTTGGTTGATAGTTTTCTTTCAGCATTTTGATATTATCTCACTGCCTCTGGCCTCATTATATCTGATGAGCAGTAAGTTATTATTCTCATTGGAGTTCCTTGCATGTAATGATTTGTTTTTCTCTTACTACTTTCAAAATTCTATCTTAATATTTTGTTCTTAATATTTTGATTATAATGTGTCTGGATGGAAATATTTTTGTATTTATCTTATTTGGAGTTTGTTGATATCCTTAAATGTGTAGAATACAGTTTTTCAACAAATTTGGAAAGTAACTATTTTTTCAATAGTTTTTCTTTCCCTTTTGTCTCTTTTCTTCACCTAGTTCTCCCATTACATTTGGCTACTTAATATTTTCATATATTTCTCCAAGACTTTGTTCACTGTACTTACAATCAAAGAACTGCAGACTATCACAAGATAGCTGGCACTACAGAAGACTTCTAGTACAACCAAACCAATTATTTTTATTGCCTTCCTTATTCAAAAAGCTCAACAAATGTTCATCCCAGCTTATGCTTGCATATCTTCAGTGAAGGAAGTGACTAATTCTTAAGTATTTCATTTTGATTTTATGCTGGTCTAATTTTAAGAAAGCTTTATATTAAGGAACAGTCTCCCCTTGTTTTGATTCCAAGTCCCCTTAGCATCATAATTACCCTTCTCTCTAAAAGCTTCTGTTAGTTATAATCATTTTCAAAGGTGAATCATAATCCTAGAAGAGCTGACATCAGAGTAAAATAATAGGTTTTTATCTCACTGTAGATGCATCAATTCATAAAGCTGAAGTTATATCAGATATTGAAGAGGTACAAAATACACTGTTCCTCCATAGTTAACGTGAGGTCAATTAAAAGTTGGATGTCTTCACATGAATTTGCTTTAAATCATATATCGTTTAATCTGTGTTTGAATAGAATTTTTTAAATGGCACACTTATATTTGCTAAAAATTTTATATTCCTGGGTTTAGCTCTTTCAGTCTAAATATTTGTAATTTTATTTTTTATTAAATATTAGCTCACTCTTCTGGCCTCATAAAATGTATAATCATGTTGTTTGTACCTAATTCTAATATGGTAATAAACAGAATGATCCTGAGATAGCCCCTTAAAAAGCTAAGTTCAGGTTAACGTTGAAGCATTTATAATAGTTGTTAAGTAAGATTATTCAACTACATAAAAACTGAGGCAGGGCACAATGGCTCATGCCTGTAATCCCAGCACTTTGGGAGGCCGAGGTGAGTGAATCACCCGAGGTGAGGAGTTTGAGACCAACCTGACCAACATAGTGAAACCCCATCTCTACTAAAAATACAAAATTAGCTGGGCGTGCTGGTGCATGCCTGTAATCCCAGCTACTTGGTAGGCTGAGGCTGGAGAATCACTTGAACCCGGGAGGCAGAGGTAACAGTGAGCCAAGATCATGCCATTGCACTCCAGCCTGGGCAAGAAGAGAGAAACTCTGTCTCGAAAAAAAAAAAAAAAAAGTAAAAATGTACCCATACCTTAATATTTTCTATTTTGTCCTAAGATTATTAAGAAAATCTCTTAAATTCAAAGATCTCTAAAAATCAAGATAGCCTGTATATTACATAAATAATTATTTGAACACCAATAATAATGAAAATTAGATTTATTTGACATAATGTGTACTTAGTAATCCCCTATGGGCTTCCATTTCTTATCTATTTTCTTTCTAAATTCTCAAAAAATATTATACAATAGACACATTTTTTGGTATAACCACAGCTACTTTTCATAATACATTTCAGTTCTATGGGTATATGAGGTCTAATAACAACAATAACAGCAGCAGCAGCAGCTAACATTTATTAACAATTATTCTGTGCTAGATATTTTACTGGAAAATTGAGTATACACATGTGCTAGACTTTATGTCAAGTACTATCCATGCATTCTCTCACTTAATTTTCATAGCCTACTTATGAAATATATGTTTTTATTATAGCTATTTGATTATAATAAAAGTCCATCACCATGGTTAGTATATTACTCAAGATAATTAACACTAGATGCCATGGCAGACAAAACCTAAAATCATAATGGTTAACAAAACAAAAGTTGATTTCTTGCTCATTCAAACCTAAACTGGATGGGGCATTCTTCGTATGTAGTATAGCTAGACCATCTGAAACATAAGCTAGCTCTAGGGATGCTAAAGCAACGAAATAAAGAGAATGGTATGCTTAGCCCAGAAGTGACACACTTACTTTGAGTCAGAATTTATTAACCAGTAATAAATTATGTCACCCCAATTAAATTTAAGGAAAGCTAGAAAATGTAGAGAAACAAGTAGAATACTTTGTAAGAACAAAATTATTGCCACAAGTCACCAAAGATCCTTTGATCCCTTTTCGCCAAACATTGAACACACTCCTAAAAAATGACAACTGAAATCCCATCAAGTCCAGAATCTCTACGTGTGCAGTATCTCTCAATCAGGTCTGGATAAGTTTTTAATCCAGAGACTTATGAATTAAAAGACAAATCATCTGCCTTCTGCCCCACCCATTCTTATACACTTAAACATACAAAAGTGGAAGAGGGAAAGACTAACCACAAGTGGAAGTACACACTCTGTGAACTTCTCCTACCTTAAGGTACAGGTGGTTCCTGAATTAATCCCTGATTCTGCTTTCCGTGTGGAGTTAGTTCTCTTGCCTTCTGAATGTGTGGAGAATTACGGAATTGCCTACCTCAGAGGCTACAAAAGCTTTTTCAGTGCACTTTTTAGTGCTGAAGATGAAGAAATCAAGTGTATATTTAAGTCTTGAATGCTCAAAGGTATTTTAGGCTAAAATTCTCTGGTAATCCTTCTCTGTTAAAATTATAGATATCTGATCTATTTTCTTCTGTGAGTTCCATATGTGGTTGATCACAGTAAAAATTCTTTTGGAGTCATATGTAGTTTTCATATCTGCTTTTTTTTCTTAATTTCTTCCCACAATTCACTCTCTAGCAATTTAATGGAAGTTACTATAAATCTGGAATAATATACGGGAAGCCCATACGCTTAATCTAAACTGTGCTGTGAGTCATAATTTTCACTTAAGTTTGCGCCCTTGTCTAAAAGACTTGTTAAATTTATTGTTTTACTATTTGTTATTTAGAAGCAGACAGCTTTCCATATGTGCAAGGCCCTAATTTTGGAGGTCTTCTTTTTCTTTTATTTTGTCTTGAAAACCAGCTACTTTTCTGAGCTCTCTTTTTACTATAAGGTAACTTGCCAAACATAGTCAAGTACAACCAACACACAGAATCAATATTCCGTCTTCCAGCTTCTTGCCTTAGAGACATAAATTAGTAGGCACATAGTTTGCCTTCCAAGTTATCACGGGGAAATTCTTTGCTACTAAATAACTTGGACTGCCATCATTTCAGCCCCTGATATCAATTTTTTCATCTCCTATAACTAATCACAAAGATAAGGCCATATTTTAGGTTTTATGTTATGATACTAATTTCTGTATTTAATAGCATAATTAATCCTAATTTCCTTCACAGATAAACCCTGTAATCTCAACAGTTTAGTACAGTGAAGATTTCTTTATTTCTCATCTAAGAATCAATGTGGGTCAGGAGGACCTTGCAGCTATATTAATGGAACATATGGCCTCTAAGATCTGCATAGCAGGGAAATAGAACAATTCTCTTAATTTCTTTTACTCTGAAATGATCACTTTTACTTTTGCTCACAGTCAAGTGGAGAGACTGATCACATAATTTTTACATAACTGCATGGGAAGCTGGGCAATGCAGGGGAGCACATGGAATATATGGTACCGGTGCTTATAATTACAAAATAAATTCAAACATATCTGATTTAAATTTCACCTTCTTCCTCTCTGTTCTCAGTAGTAAAAGTATTTAAAATATTTTAAAAGCAATTTGAAATATTACATAGATACAAAAACAAAATACATTTTTGGTTTGTTTGCATGTTTGCTTTTAATTTAACATCTGGTGGCAAAGATTTCTAGTCTTATATGCATGAGTATGCCTTAATTGCTCATCTGGAGTAATTTAGTTGATATTATTTTATATCCTAGACTAAAATTCAGTCATTCCAGCAAACAATTTAGGAGAATGGTAAAAAAAAAAAGCACTGTTAAAATTGCATAAAGCACAAGTGGATTGAGATCAGAAAGGTGACAAATTGGATGAATTTGGAAGAAAAATGTTGGAGGCAGAAAATGTAATGTGTTTCAGTGGAAACCATAAAATCACCTTTAGAGTATTCGTTTCAGATATAAGTGGATTTGGAGCAAGACAAAGTATATAATGAAGGTAAAATAACTAAAGACTGCATAAATCTGATCACAGGCAGGTTGATACAATGACCCTCAAATAATTAAACTTTTGACCTTTTTGGCTGAATAGGAAGTAGCAGTTTTGTTCTCAGAAATATCTTTTATGTAACAGCTGGCACTTTCTGGAAAGTATTTGAATTTACTTCTTTACAACTGTATCTGAAATATGAATGGTCCTTGAAATGGCTATAGAAGATTGGCCCATTCTGCAGCTATACTTATTATAAAGGGTTAAAAATCACTAACAGAACACACACTTTTAAGGTTTCAATTTCAGTCTTGTATGCCACATCTTTTCAGTATAAATCAAGAAATTTGTATGTTAATTTCTAATACTGAAAATGCTTCTTACAGCAGCCGATGAAATAGGTATTCATGAAGTATAGCATTATTTAAAAATGTCTGACCTACAGTGTTATATCATTTTTGTAGAGAAAAATAAAAAAAATTGGATAAGCATTATAAAATGAAGCTAGGAGAAATAATAGCTTTAATTTAAGTTAAAGAAGATAAAAGCACCTATTATTACAAACTAGCTAATTAATAAAACAAGAATTTTGGATAATATTTATAGCAAAATCAATCAGCAGCTAAAATGTCACATACAAGTAAATTACCATTTATTTGATAATATAAATGAGACAACATAATATCTATCCTTAGTCACAAGCTACAAGTAGGTGCATGGAGACTTTGAACTTCATAATCTTCCAAAATTTCCACTGAAAATTGTAATATCATCCTTACAATAATATGCAAGCTCCAAGACAGTAGGATTTCATATGCCCTAGTTGAATTTTGAATGCCTAGGGCTGATAAAAATATTTATGTAGTATCACTAATCATTAAAGAAATGCAAATCAAAACCACAATGAAATGCCATCTCGCATTAGTCAGAATGGTTATTATAAAAAGTCAAAAAACGACAGATACTGACAAGGTTGTGGAGAAAAGAAAAGGTTTATACACCGCTGATGGGAATGTAAATTAGTTCACCCACTATGGGAAGCAGCTTGGTGACTTCTGAAATAAAACTTCAGAATTACTATTTGGCCTAGCAATTCCATTATTGGACATTGGACATATACCCAAAGGAATATAAATTGTTCTATCATAAAGACACATGCACACATGTTCATTGCAGCACTATTCTCAATAGCAAAGACATGTAATCAACCTAGATGACCATCAATGGTAGACTGTATAAAAAAACGTGGTACATACACAAGATGGAATACTATGCAGCCCCCAAAATAATGAGATAATGTTCTTTGCAGCAAGATGGATGGAGCTGGAGGCCATTATTCTAAGTGAACTAACACAGGAACAGAAAATGAAATACCACAGGATCTCACTTATAAGTGGGAGCTAAACATCAAGTACATATGGATACAAAGAAGGGAGCAACAGACACTGGGCCCTACTGGAGAGTGGAGGGAGGCAAGAGGGAGAGGATTAAAAAAATATGTATTGGGCACTATGCTTACTACCTGAGTAAGGAAATAATCTGTACACCAAACCCCTGTGACATATAATTTACCCATGTAATAAACCTGCATATGTACCCCTGAACTTAAAATGATATATATATGTATATATATAATTGTGTGTATATATGTGTGTGTGTGCATGTTTAGTAATAACTTATGATTTAGTAAAAAGAAATCTAAGCATAATAAAATACCTCTCAATTTCAAAATCTGTTGAAGGGGCAGGAGGAAGGAGTTAAACTATCTGTCCAACAATCCACTCATTTTGTTTATAAAATGAGGGCATGTAGGAAGAAAAGAAGACTGTGATGTAATCTAATCTCCATGTCAACTGGAACTCCAGAAAAAATAGAGAAATTATATTTTTCAGGAGAAAGACACCTTACCTATTGCATGCCTTTAGCAGGGTGGTCCGTGGCTAAAGATTATTTATATATATCAATATATATATATAACTGATTCCTTGTCTTTGCTATATATACATATATATATATACACACACACACACATACACACACATTATATATATAACTATACAAATTTTATAGTTATATATATATATAGGTTGTTAGGTAAATTGTTTGTATGTATATATAACTATCTATTGTCTATCATCTATCTATGTAGTTATATATAGTTATATAATCTTTTAGAGACAGGGTCTCGCTGTGTCACTCAGGCTAAAGTGCAATAGCATGATCATAGCTCACTGCAACCTGCAAACCTCAAGTGTTCCTCCTACCTTGGCCTCCCAAAACTCTGAGATTACAGGCATGAGCCACTGTGCCCTGCCAGGATTGCTTCTGTTAAATAAACACAGAGTCTGTAAGGTGTGTTCCCTGGAAAATGTCAATAAACTACACAACCCTCTGGAAAATAAAATGAAAATATTTTGTAATGTAAACACTTGCCTCCGTTGGAAGTAAACTCATAATCCTCACTAGAGACTTTGTTTTTCCAAGTCAGAAGTGCATGTTCTCCAAGGGAAGAGAGGACCTAGAAAGCTACCCTTGATGTCCCAGATGTCTCCTTGTTTCATTTGAGTCTTTTGATTGTATCCTTGATGTTATTAGTACAGTTTCATACTGAGATAAGATCTTTGATTTGTGTCATTCTAATTTGATAAGCCAATCATGTTAAACTGACTTATGAAGAAGAAAAAGAAAGGCACATATGTTTTGTATAATAATAAAATATCATTTAGACTGGAGCATGTTCAAGACTGAAAGGCACTGTTATACACCAGGACAACAGGCACTAACTCAGACTCTCTGGGGCCAAACTGGGACATGTAGTTATAGTACAAATAGCATGGGTCCCTTTCATTAGTGTATTTATCTAATAAATATTTTAAAAGTTTTGCCAACTTTGAAAGTCTAGGTGAGAAAATGGAATAATATGGTCCCATATGGGATTTGTAATACTCAACAATATATTAATTATTCAGGCTGATCTTATATTAACAATATAAGGATTAGAAAATACATAGAATAACATGTTATTTTCATTTAAAAATTAACAAATCATATATTACTTTTAAGGGTAGTTTGATTATCACCATTATATTTAGCCACACAAATATCAGTATTTAAGAATGGTATCTAAAAGTTGGAATTATGGTAATAGGTGATATGAATAGCACTCAAATTAATCTATACTCTGTCAGAAACATTAAGCATCGCATATATCTCAAGTAAGTCTTATATAATGTCTAATGTTTAGGAATAGCTCAAGGAATGAAGATACAAAAGTGTGCAAGATATGTAATTGATAATACCAGAACCATTACTTACTGAGGTGAGCTTCTCTTGGAAATTTTAGAGGTAGTATAAAATCTTGCATATTAGCTAAATTATGTGATTCTTGTTCTTATCAACTAATTTAAGGACCATAGATGGGCTTTGGTGATCCCATGAACCTCCTAAAATTATAAATAAAATGCTTTTGTGCTCATATATATATATATATTTTTTAATTGAGAGATTAATGTTTTTATCACGTTCTTAAATTTCTTCATATTTGGGCTTGTGAACAAAGAAGAAAAAATAATCAGTGCTCAGGAGTAATAGTATCTAGGAAATAGGTCTACTGAGAGATGATCCATATGGTGGGGCAATTTATGCTCACATTTATGCTCTGATTATGAAGAGATCTGTAGCCTAGTTGGAAGTAGGTACCTATTAGCAGACTGAACCATTTTGAAAAAAAATTTAATCCACAGTCATTCACTCAAATTCCCTTTACCTTAGAAGGCAGGAGTAATATCTAGAATTTATTATATCCAAAATTAACTTTGTGTATGAAGTTTTGATTATTCGAATATTCTGACCATAATGTTCTTTTATAATTCATACATATATATTAAATTTTCAAAGTATAAATATAACAAAATATTGATAACACTAAAAATGCTTTTGGCTCTTAATTTAGAATTTTTGATACTCAGAAGGTTGATTTCTTTCTTTCAATGCCTTGAGATTATTGAGAGCATAAAAAGTGTAAAGTTTAAAATACCTCAAAAGTGTTAAATATTATCAATGTTTTTACTCCTTTACTTCCATTCACTCTTAACCTTCTCCAACATGGTTCCTATCTCTGCTCCTTCGCTGAATTTGCTTTTGTCAAGGCCACCGTTGATATCTATGTTCCAGATTCAATAAATACTATTTAGTTTTCATATTCCAAGACTTTTGGCCAGGCAAGGTGGCTCACGCTTATAATCCCAGCACTTTGGGAGGCCGAGGCAGGCGATTGCCTGAGCTCAGGAGTTCAAGACCAGCCTGGGCAACATGGTGAAACTCCATCTCTACAAAAAATCCAAAAGATAGCTGTGCATGGTGGCTTATGCCTGTAGTCCCAGCTACTTAGGAGGCTGAGGTGGAGGATCGCTTGATCCTGGGGGGTCGAGGGTGCACTGAGCCATAATCACTCCACTGCACTCAAACTTAGGTGACAGAGTGAGACTGTCTTAAAACAAACAAACAAACAAACAAACAAACAAACAAAATAAAAAGACCACACACACAAAGGCTTTTCAGCTGGCCTTCAACACAGTTGAACAGTCCATTCTTTAAAAAAAAAAAAAAACAGTTTTATTAAATTAGTACATGTGTAAAATGGAGAACTGATGAAATAAAGCCACTGGCAATGAGGATCTAACAGAGTTTGACCAATTCATATGCAAAGAAGAGAAAATCAAATGGGATAAAGACACCATCATGGGATTAAAAAAGAAAGATTTGAATGTTTAAGAATTAGGAGAAGCCCTTGAGAAAAATAAGACCTTCAAATGATTTTACAAAAGTGATTTTATGATTCTTCTGTGAAAGATAAAGAAAAGTTTATCTAATCATGACAAATTTTATCAGAATAAATGTTGTAAAACAAAATCAAGATCACATTTAAAACTAAAATTTTATCAGCAATAAGACAATAGGCATTTTTATTCAACAAAAATGATTATGACCAAAGTCTGAAAGAAATTTAATAATTTATAAAATTTAACTAATTTGTAATAATTATTCTGATACTTGACAGATTTCCTGAAGGAGGTACAATGCTGACATAGCCATACAGTAACAAAGCTATCAGTTCAATGATTCTTCCTAAAAAAATTTCTCCTAATTCCCAACTTCTACCCCAAATGAGGTTCTTGATATCCATAAAGTAACCTTCTGAATATGTATATTTAGAAAATGTTGAATAAGATATGATTTTTTAACATTGCTGTAATATTTTTAATGGGAATAGAGAATACATAGAGAAAAGTGCACAAATCACAAGTGTATAGGTGGATGAATTCTTCCAAAGCATGTAACCAACACACAGATCAAGAAATAATATTATCAAAATCCTAGATGCCTGTCTGTAATTTCTTCCAGTCACTACTCCCCTATGAAGATAATTATCATTTTTTAGCTTTTTATACACGGATTACATGTACTTTTTTGTGTCTGGCTTCATTTGCTCCAAGATATGGATATTTTATCTAGAAGTCTCAACATATATTTCATAGACTTTTGGATTTATACTTGCAAATCAACATGCCCAATTTCTAATTATATTATTTACTCTTCATCAAAATATATTTATTAAATATAATTAAAAATTCATATAACTAACCTTTTTGAATGAGATGTCTTGATGTTTTTGATTTCATGCCTAGATCTTTTGGTTTTAATTCACATAAAATAGATGACACATGTTTTCTGTGTTCACTGGAATTTTTTAAATCAACAGGATAATATATATTCTGTGAAAATAAAATAAAAGCAATGACAATGATAATATCTCATGTGTTTTAGAGTTCTTCAAGGGTTTTCACATGAATTACATTATCATGATTGATTTTCATTTAAAACATGAAAACAAAAACCTGTGAGGTAGGCAGGGTTAAGAAAAAAATTTAAAAAGCTCCATTGTGTATAATTTTAACAATCTGTCATTCTACTAATATTGTACCTTGGCCAATGCTGTGAGAGAGATTGAGGGAAAGAGAGACCTGCCAGGAAAGTGCTGTGACAAAAGGAACAAGGGAAGAGGGAAAATAAGGAATAAACAAAGAGAAGCAAGATAGTGTTCCCCAGAAAGCCTGAAGGAAGATTCAGAGTAATAAAGGGAGGTACAAAATTATTTCACAGAGCACTAAAAGGCAGTAACATGGGGGAGGAAAAGGAGGGACAATAACAGGAAGAAAGGAAGGGAGAAACGGGACCAGAATTATCACACATGTTAAAACTACAAATGGGCCAGGCACAGGGGCTCACACCTGTAACCCTAGCACTTTGGGAGGCCGAGGCAGGTGGATCACCTGAGGTTAGGAGTTCGAGCCCAGCCTGGCCAACATGGCGAAACCCTGTCTCTACTAAAAATACGAAAATTAGCCAGGTGTGGTGGTGCATGCCTGTAATCCCAGCTACTCAGGAGGCCAAGGCAGGAGGATTACTTGAACCCAGCAGGCGGACATTGCAGTGAGCCAAGATTGCACCATTGCACTCCAGCCTGGGCAACAGAGCGAGACTCCGTCTCAGAAAAAAAAAAAAAGAAAAGAAAAAGGACAAATGGATCAGCTATGTGTGGGAAGAGTAGCAAGTAGCTTCATGGGGAACAGAGGCATTGTCAAATGTAAACTGTATAATATCTGTGAACTGGTTGGGATGTTTTAGTGACAGTGTTATCTGTTTTCCTCTTCACAGTTCATCCAGGACTGTTACGGAGCTTTCATCAGGTTATCAGGGACATAGGCTCTTTCAAAATTCCTTTATCATCTCTTACTGTATCTGCATGGGTACTATCCTCAAACTTTTCACATGAGTGAAAATAGCTACTAGAGCTCCAAACACCATTTCAGTCAGAAGTTGGAGGAAAAGGGAAATGACAAAAGGACACAGGCCCTGTATCTTAAGGAGCTTTTCCAGAGGTTCTTCAAATAACTTCTGTTTAATATCTCATTGGCCCCACATCCGGCTATGAAGGGGAGGGTAAAGAATAACGTATTTTGCTAGGTGTTTTGCTGCCTGGAATGAAATTTGGGCCCGTTACCATGACAGAAGAAAAGAGTAGATATTGGTAGGCAACCAATAGTCCATCAGAGAAAAAGTTCAGAAGCTTAGATGAGGGTATGTGTTTACATATTAAAAAACTTTCTCGGGATATGATACTTTCTTTGGTAAGAAACACTGATCTGACTTCTGAAGACTCACAAATATTTAGTTTCCATAGATCTTTCTGAGATCTTTGGTTTTGTGTATTTGTTTCTGGAACATTTACATAGCGCTTATCATTTGCTATTGTGAAGTTCTTTATGGATATTAACTCATTTAATAATCAAAACAACCATAAACTGAGCTCTTTCACATGGACATCTCATACTCAAGAGAATCAAAACAATATTTTTTTCCTCCAAATATATTAGTTCTTAGTCCTAGTTTCAGTGAATGGCACCACATTCATTTAAGAAGAAGAAAGTCAGGTAAACTCTCTGATATGTCACAGCTGACAGAATTTTGAAATAGAGAATTCATCCTCACATTTCCCCCATTACTTCGACCTGTTCACTTGTTCAAACCTCCTTTATTTGATGATTTAGAAAAGACACTTGGATATGTGCCTTGGTCCCCTGTATTTACAATTTTCTTAGTTTCTATTATTTAAATTTTATATGTGATATTCTCTAATTTACTTATCAAAAACAATTTGTCTCCAAGCAGTGACTCATAGGGTAAGGGCTTTTTAATGCTCATTATAGGTGTTAAGTATCATCTGTTCCTGGAATAAACCTGTTTTTATTTTTCATTTAAAAATTCTTCACTCAACTCTTACACAAGACAATTTCTATTCACTCTTTATGTGATAAAATCACCTCATTTTGCTAGAAACACAAATAAGTACTTTTAAGCTCATACATTCTCTTTACATTTAAAAATTTTTCAATGTTGCCAAGGATAATTAAAATTTAAGAAGTCACAATACCAAAACATATTGTCAAAATATGACACAATTTTAAGTAATGCTGCTTCTATTTTCATTTAGGCCCTGGTTTTTCTATTAGAGAAGTATGACAAAATACAATGTGTGGCACTATTTTGCAATTCCAGTCTGTAACAACAACTCTAAATACTTTTTCAACCTCAAATTCTTCTGCAAGTCCTCTTCAAGTTGCATGATCACTCTCGTATTTTCCTACTTCTAAGAATTTTGCTCTATTTGGAAACTTCTCTCTGTTTCTGCCTCCTAACGATGCAATTCATCACATGTTGAAAATCACCTCAAATTGCATTTGAACCATAGAAATGTGTCATTTCTTTCTTCTATATATCTCACTTTTATCCTACCCATGATAAAATAATGAGTATGTTCAGTGATCCTGTTTCCACTAGTACTTACACCTTTAGATTCCCCTGAAAAAAACAAGAACCCCCCCCAAAAAAAATCTGTCAAATTTGAGATATCCAAACTCTATCACAAATACAGTTAATTTATAAACTCATGAAACGTAAAGGGTCAGAAATTAAGTAGACAGCTAGTTAGCTCCTTTTAGAAATATATTTTCTTCGTTTCTCCTAATTATCCTTTTTCATGTATCTGGCTGTCATTGCTTGCCACATTTTATAAAAATATTTCCTTCCATGTTTTTAGAAAAGAAGAATTCATGACAAAGGGTACATATATGACAGGGGAACAAATCTACAGAAAGATGAACAAAAAGTTTAAAGCTCTAAAGGAACTGAGGCTTACACAAGCTGCAAAAGTAAAGAAATGGGCTTTTCTGTTATATGTAATGCAAGAAGGGAAAGAGAATGTGTGCACTTACTGATAGATCTTTGAGCTCATAGAGAAGGAAAAGTTATCAGAAGACTGGGAATGATCTAATAACGATCTTACTTTCAATAACAGAAAGTATATTTGATTAACTACCCTACTTTAGACTTAACACTGGTCCTCAATAATTGCAGAAAATATTTTAAGGATATTTGGTAGCACTTAGTAAAGGAATAATAATCAAGGAATAAGTTGACAATAAACTAATTATATCAAATACAATTTCATTTTTAACAAGGTCAAAATTAATTCAGGTTCAAATATCCTTCGCATGGTAAACCTGTATTCAGCAGTATGTTTGATAAAATCTTTCATTACTTTTAGATAGAGATCAGAAACGTTGAGTGACCATGAAAGACTGAAGATTAATAAAATGATGCCAAGCTGAAGGGAGGTATCTAATGTCATGATACATGGTTCTGTTTTCAGCTCCATTCTGGTCAACGTTTATATAAATGAGAAGTAAAATATAAAAGAAATGCTTGCTACCTTTTCCAATGAGATAGTAAAAAAAACAAAATCAATTAATACCAAACAAAAATCTAAGATAGTGTCAACAGCCTGGAAGTAAATTAAGCAAATGAAGTAAAATAGAAATAAATATTGCAGTTGGGCAACATACGCTTAATCACTGGGATACTTGGTGGTGATTTTAAAACATGCATGATAAGACATATTATATTATATTTATAAAATACGTTTTAGTTAAAAGTAAATTAGTTAGGAATTTGTTATGTGATGTGACCCTAAGCTGTATTAAGCATTTCGTTGAGAAAGAGAGAAGCAATAGTTTTACCATATTCACTTCTGAAGAACTATGTCAGATCAGGAAAACATATCTTCAGATGATTTTGGATAACCTGGAACATGAATAGTAAGCAGCTTACCTACTGAATTATTGTGAACGTAAGCCCTATATAAATAGGCTATAGATAAATCCAGTATAGAGAAAAGATAAAGGGAGATTCAGAGTCCCTATTTCCTCCACTATCCATCTTCTTCATTTTGAAAAATAATGCAGAAAAAAATAATTTTTTGATCAACTCAGAAATACTTAGAATTTGTTATTTAACCCTTCTTCTGAAACCTTATGCCTAAGCTATCAGCAAATCTTGGCAAGGCTACTTCCAAAATATATTTTAAATATGCTTCCTTCTCTAAATTTTCAGCTACTTCTCTATTCTACAGCTATAATTGTCTATTTCTGGTCAATCACAAATGCCTCTTATTGGACTCTGCCTTCACCATGGCTTTTATAATATACATTTTCATTTGTCAAAATGTAAATCCAATCATGTTTCTCTTTTAGCTTTAAGTCCTCCTACTGTTCAAGATGCTAAGTCCTTTCTACGAGGTATAGAACATCATCAAAATATGGCTCCTCACCACACAGCCAAACTCATCTCATGCTACTGTTGACTTGGTTTATTACAGTCCTGCTATACTAGATTTAATGCAGACTCTTGAACAAACCCCAAACAAAATAAGCTATTGCATGCCTCAGGTCCTTGTGTAAGATCTTTCTTCTGCCTGGAACACTCTCCTTCCCAAAATGTGCATGGCTAGCTCCTTTTCCTTCAGGACTTAACTTTAAATATTGTCTCCTCAGAAAAACCATCCATAACAATCTTATGAGAAATAGTCCTCCTCCTATTATTCTCTATCTCAACATCCTACTTGTTTTATTTATAACATTTATCACAATTTTGTTTGCTAACGTAGGTTAAGATTTGTTTTGTTTTGTTTTTTCCCTAGAATCTAATCCACAAGGGCAAGGACTTTTCTTTTCTTTTTTACTCAATGCTGAGAATGTTCTCTGACACTCAATAAATACTCAATAATTATTCATTAAATGCTGAATGAATATAGCCAAAGAGAAATAGCAGAAGGAATGAGTGGAGATTTAGAAACTTCAGTTCAATATGATGTAAAACAAAGCTCCATTCTTTGGAGACAGTCCAACAACCAGAAATAATTTTAAAAGAAACGTATAGCTTGTATTTTCTACAGGACTTTGCCCCAATAACACATTCAACATTCTCTTCTTTTCTTCCTGAATTCTTTCACATCTTTTTGTTACTCCAAAGCTTCTCACTCAGCAACCCTTCACAACTCTTGCATCTCTTTATAAACTGTTTATCACGATTCTCTGAATTTAGATTCTCTGAATTTTTTGGTGTTTCTATCAACTTATCAATTTCTGAATTTGTCACACACACAAAAAGCATAAACATAAACATGTGGTAAGAATAATTATATCTTTAGTCAGATACATCTATCTACCTGTTCTGTTGATTCTATATCACACACAAAAAAAACCAAAACAGCAATTAAAGAGCCATCCTTAGGTAATTCAGAGTGAAGAAGCTAAGAAAAGATAATCTATAATAGGTATAGAAGTGGGGGAGACATAGTATATTAATAAATCTCATCTAATCATAATAAGAATTTCTCAGAGCATTATTGAAAATTGGAATAGATTATCTGAGGAGCTATAGAACTCTCCACAATTGACAAATTGAATAAGTACCTGGTTATAAAAGTCAGATGGATTATGGTACTAGATATGTATTTTCCCAAGAGAGATAATGATTTATCTTTAAAAATTAAGGAGCGGTAGCAGTGGTAACCATTGCCTCTATCTTCTTTCTAGATCAAGAATAAACACTTTACACTGAACTCTGCTGTCTTTCAAATTCAAGGTGCATTTTCAACCCTTCCTAGTTTGAGTTTCCCAACTTAGCCTAGTTAGAGCTCTAAAAAATTGTAATTTTGTTTTCACATTCTGAATGATACAAATCAGAGTGCTAATCCAGATCTTACCTTTTCCAGATAATACTCAAAGAGATTATACTAAAACTCAAACAAAAAGAGTCGCCTTTATTTGTTTGAATGAAAATCGTTAGCTCTAGTGTCTGGCAGCACAGCCTCTCATTAACATAGTATGCAAAGCCTTCACCTTAGGGGGAGGTTAACGTGTACAGCAATCCATGTATGGCAAGTAAATAGGGTTGTCCTCAAAGTGGGTAAACTATAGAGTAGCACTTGGACTCTGCTTTCAATAATAAGTACTGGCTAACAAGAAAAACCATGGAGAAAGGAGCATGGTTCAAATGGTTTAAAATGAAGTTTTACCAGAAATAGTTACTAAAAAGTAACTCTAAAAAGTTACTTAAAAAAGATAACCCCTTTAAGTGACTGGCAGGTTTAACTGAGGTTTGAATAATTGCTACTATCCTGCATTTGATATCAATCTTACTTTATCTTAAGAGAGTGAACTAGAAGTGATAATACCCTTGATACGCAGGAGAGAATCCAAAAAGAATAGCCTGGATAAATAAACACAGGAAACATATAGTATAAATAAAAGAAATGTGACATTTCTCTTCTACACACAACTTAGCCAAGAAATGAGGGCACCTGAATATTATATTATGCTGCAAGTGTCCAGTTTAAGAACACATGACAAAAAAGATAATAGAAAGCTTATGTTCCCTCAGTTCAAGAATGGTCTAATAGTCTAAGGTCTATCTTTACTAAGATTGGAGGCACCAATGTGTAAATTAATGATGCCTACTCTTAGCTACACTACAGTGGGCACTTGGTAGTAGCCTTTGTAGAACCCAGTGAAAAAGAGATGTTGCAAACTTCCATGAGATTTTAGAGCAGGTTATAGTTTCAAATTGAGGAAAAAAACAATGCTAGTTTGTGTATTGTAGTAATTGATACTAGGTGGAATAAGTAAAAGAAAGGACATGGGGAAATTTCAGAATATATAGTTTTCATTTTATTTGAAAATCTCTCCAAAAATGTATTTGATTAATTTTTGTTTACGTTTCAATACAATTCTATTCACAACCCTATTTTTCTAGTACGTGGATTACATTATCTAGTAGCTAACATATTATTAGTAATGATTAAAAATAATTCTATATCTTTATCTAAAGATCTCATTTTAAACAGAGTATAACTCTCCCTTAAATAATTAATATCATTGTTTATAGCCTTCAAAGCATTCGTTGCATTCTACTTTATATCATAGTTATGTCCATTGCTCACCCCTAGTAAAAATTACTCTCTCTGAGGACTGAGGTTGTGGTTTACTTATCTTGATATTTCCGCACCAGTTTGATTGTATTCTTCAATCTGTTGTATTATCAAGTCACAAACAACAAAAAAGGATAATAAATTTGATTAGTTTATTCAACAACTATGTATTGAATGGCAGCTATATCCATGGCATAATATTAAACATAGGCACAAAGTTATTATTAGTAAATATTTAAATTATGTCTTTTTCAAAATATTTCATAATTTACTGATTATTTCCCTATGTAGATGTGAAAACAAGAAAAAAAGGCATTGAAAGTGAGAAAAACATAGTAGAAAGCATAGGCTAAATTCTTAAGCTCCTGATTAAAATCTGCATTTTATTAAACCTCATGTTTTAGGCCAATTAGTTACGATAATATTTTCAATTTATAAATCTAATCATTTTAATGAAAGAGACATACGTATATGAGTAATATGAGTTTACACTGCTTAAGTAATTTGCAATTCTGAAAAGTTCATAGGGTCATGTAAAATTTAATGATGGGCAATAAAATGGAATTTTCAAGAGGGAAATTCTTTTTTCTTAACAATAAAATACATAGCTCAAGACTCTATATTTCTAAGTATATTTGAACAATGTCTATATTTATGAAAGATTTAGAAAAAAGCCACAAACGGGGACTTGCCAATATTTTATTACTGATTAGTTTGCTCTTACTTTACCTAAACACCTTAAGTAATCCAGCAATTTAGAATTTATGTGTTTTAAGTTTGAGTTTGAATCTGAGGAGGGATTTATATTTTTTCATGAGAAAAATGTCTCCTATTAACAAAGTAGCTATATATATATAATTATATCTCTAAAGTAAGGCATATTACAATCTACTTGCATGTACTTTATAAACACATATTGATAAATTATGAAATTGACTCAATAACAATTACTTGAATAATATTTTCTAAAATTGAGGTTTTATCCCCCTGCAACTTGGAACAATATATTCATTTTAGGATTTCAGAATATTTCTTAAGTGTTACTTCATGTAAGTTTTTATTACAATACTGAAGCCTAAAATGACTGTCTCATATGAAGTATAGTTATGTTTCTTCTCCGCCAAATGCCACATGTATCTCTAAAACTTCAGGGACTCTTTTTATCAAATGATGGATTATATAACAAGGCAGAAAATACACACACACAAACACACGTGCTTATGTATGTACATATATATCTCCTGAGGCTCAGTCTCAGTAAACTGCTATCACTCACCCAAGGTAGGCAGCCTGAAAATTCTACAGCCTCAGTACAAATCTTAGTCTGTTTCACTCCACATTGTATTCAGCATAGCTTGCTTAATAACTTTATGCCTACTGCTCTGGTCAGAAATATTTCAGCCACTGCCCAAATGTTAATTATTTACAAGACTCCAATATTCCGGGGACTGGATAAGGTGACTCAAAACTGCCCTAGTTGGCAAACCATTTCTACCAACAAGCTTATTTTAAGTTCTTAAGCAATTAAGGCAAGTGTTGTCAGAATCTTGTATATTTTATTTTTAAAGGCCTTAATATAAAGAAATGCCTGCAAGTGACTGTAAGTCTCTCTGGGCTTTGTAGGTGAATTTTGTCAGCAAAACCCAGGCTTATATGGAGTATCTAAAAAACTATCTTAACTAGACCAGAGAGCATCAGTGTGATTCAATAGTTAATATTTTCCTTCCAAGTCATGCTGCCTAAATAAGTTTTGAGAAAATTCAGTGCTGTTGATGTATAGGTAAGTCATAAAACACAAATCTTTGTCATTTAAAGCTTATACCAATATTGAAACACATTGAAATAGCCAATCTCTCTTACATTGAACAAATAAAAATTCATTCTAAGTAAGTGGTAAAGAATGGTGCTTTTATTGATCTTATTATCTTTTTCATTAAAAAAGGATGAACAGCTTAAAAGTTTTTGCATTAGCAGTCTCTGCAAAGCAATTTTTATGATGGTATGTTTCATTCAATTTAAGAATTGTAATGTTAGCTTTCTTATATGAGGAAGGAAATAATATCATGAACATTTTAATGCAAGTTTTAAAGTGTTAATAAATGCTAGCTTGAGTGAATTACTAAGTGTATTTCTCTTTTCAACTTTACACTTATCTTGTGTGTACAGCTGATATCCCTAGTGTCCAATCAGAGACAAGTTTTCATCCTGTTGTCCAATGAATGATGTGCATAATTCCTTTTGGCACTGATGAGAGATGAATACACACATCCAGCCCACTTCAGTGAAAATTGACCCATAATTTTTTTTTATCCTGAAGAAAAATACAGTAATAAAGTTTAAAGATGGAAAAAATCAGTTAAACTCTTGAGGTGTACCATTAGTTAACAATAATCAGCAAACATTACATTTTGCCTGGAGGACAGTGAGCTCAAGATTTGCTTTTAGGTGCTCATGAATTCTAATAATCTTGGCTCTCCAAATGATAGCAAGAAACCTAAACATGTGAATTTTCACATTTCAATGAGCTCAAAAGTTAAAATTCAAAAGGACAGACATACTTTTTAATTATTTTCTTCTATCTCTACTGTCCCCAAATATTTTTCTTGTGAAACGAGTGTATGCATTTCTGATAAATATTTAGCAGTTGAGAATATATATTTATTTCCCACAGAAAGACAAAAAGTGCAGATCTTATGTAAAACTCCAATGCTGTCTCTCTAGTAGTATTATCAAGATAATACCAGAATTCTAAGAATTAAGGGGAAAATGACTTGGCATACTGAGGCAGACTAATTGTCATATATACCAAGTATTTTACCTTTAATAGTAGTAAAAAGGAATATGCCGTAAAAAGTTGTTTATCCACCAAAACATTTTAATTTTCTTTAATAACCCTTAAGAATCTACTATTCATTAATTTATCTATGTGATTTATTTTTGGTCTGTTAATATCATCAGCCTATAGAATTTCCAGAATAATGAATTTCATTATAATGACCACGGTACTGGTAACCCCCTTACTTTATCTATCTTTGAAGGGTATTCCAAGTTCTACTATAACAGGACTGTCAAGAAAATCAGTTTTATTTCTATAGCTCATAACTTTATGTTTTATTCTTTGACTTGCATCTTATAATGTTAATGTATTTTCTTTCAATGATTCCCTTCAATCTTCCCACCCACATACAAATATCACAATGATAAGCAGATTCTGTCAGCTATTATTTTATATTAGGGCAGTAGAATAATGTTTTCACAAAATATATGAAAATGATTATGTGATTTATAAGTTGTAACTCAAAACAATATAAATAGAATTTGGATTCTGCTTTTTAAATGCAACAGATACTATTTTAAATAAATAAATATTTTTTGAGTGCATCCTATGTGCGTATCACTATGCTAAGTACATGGTGGCAAAAAAAAAAAAAAAAATAAAACACAACCTGCCATAAAATGGCTAATATTTTTAGTGTAAAAATGTTCATATAGAATAGTCACCTTAAAAGGAGGTCGAATATAAATAAATTTAAATAAAGACATAAACAAACCTGAATAACATCAGAGAGAGACTAAT
This sequence comes from Homo sapiens, assembly GCF_000001405.40. Classification (NCBI taxonomy): domain Eukaryota; kingdom Metazoa; phylum Chordata; class Mammalia; order Primates; family Hominidae; genus Homo; species Homo sapiens. The sequence continues at coordinate 74,085,483 of NC_000001.11, forward strand.
TTCCCCTAATACTAAAAGTGATCTTTACTAAAAGAGAATGAATCTTCATTCTGGATGACATCAGAGACTATGTTATTTTATTTACCATTGCAAGTTGAAGTGAAGAGGGAAAAGATAAAGAGGTACAATCTTGGAATAAATTATTCCAAAATAAATTGAAGTAGTTACCAGGAAGGAGGTTTTAGCCTGGGAGCCCAGAATTTAATTTAAGGCAAATGAACAAAGGCTTTTAGTGCCTACTTTAAGATAGCATAATTGTAGAAAGAAGGCAGTGTGCTGGAATGGAGGTGAAGCAGAGAAGGACATATAGTGATGCTTTTTATGTCAGACCTATCTGTGAAAAAGACTTTGCTCTCAATAATTGACTGATTGATACATAGGCACTAAGATCAAACACAGTTAATTCTAACACACAATTCTAATAATGGAATCTCTCACAATATGCAGCCATGGTTTGCTTCTGAGAAAAAAGCTGCTGGTAGAAATAATGCTCCATCTCTGTAATCACCCTCTCCATCCTTCGGAGCTACTAAATCAACAAACAGAGACCCCACTCTCTTTCCAGTTCTAGTACCTGTGACAGGAGCTATTTAAGTGTCTTCAGGCCAAAATTTAGAACTCTTGATAAATTTATCTTTGTGAACAGCCTAACATATAATGCTGGTAGTTAGGTTTTTACCTCATTTTGAGACTTCATCACCCCTTTCTGCCTTTGCAATGTTTCCCAGTTTCTTCAAACTTGACATCTGCCTTGAGCCATTTCCTAAGCCTCTATTCTACCTATCCAGTCTTTAGTCCGAGTTTTCTTCTTAAGACAATACTTCAGCATGGTGTCTGGGATTTGATACCTGATGACAGATTCCATTAACCGACTTTTAATCTTAACCTGGTCCAATTTCAATGTTGCTAAATGCTTCATGACAGTTGCTCAACTCTTTCTTGCCATGTGGACAATGAATAGAGCTTACAGTACTCACTGGATACCAGACTGATTCTCTTTTTCTAATTCCTAGTGCTATAACCATTCTGTCTCCTGTACTGTCATACTAGCCCAGTCCAAATTCTTCCTTAGTTTAACCTATTGTGTTTTAATTAATATACCATCACCTGTGAATCTCAAGATAAAGTGTATGTTTAAGTTTTAATATGAGTAATAGGCTAAAAGCTCTAAAAGTTATCAAAAGATTGAGCTCATTGGAAAGCATCTTAAAGAAACTGGGAACATGAGTTAGGCAGATGTAAAAGAGTAAATAATACTTAATTTACATTAGGAAAACATGAGGCAAACAGGTAATAATGGACAAAAGACTAAAGAGAATGGTGAACAGACAACAAAAAACAATTAAACAGTAAGCCAAAACACCCATAAACTCCTGTAATCTATAATCCTATTATGCTCTTTTATCTAGGCTCTAGGAAGTTTTCTACACTATCTTGTCATCTGTAACATTTCACCACCTACAAAACTTTAGGCTGACAGGTGTAAGAACTTACTCTTTACTCTTTCCTTCATATCTTAATTACAATTAAATAGCAATCCTAACATTTGGTTGCTTATATGGAAGATTAAATAATAAATGTAACTTGTTTACTCAAAGTATTTTGATAAATATTATGCATATAACTCCACAACTCCACATATGGTATTAAAATATATAGAGAGAACTTTTATTGCCAAATAATCATTTTGAGTGCTCAGGTGAAATTAAAATGTTCATTAACAGCCCTATCCACTTGTTTCCACATTTTGTCTCATACATCTCTATGTTTAAGATAATTTCCTTTCCATTAACACATTTGCCAAGCTAATTCTCACTTCCACAGTTTTGATCATATAGTTTTCTTAGTTAGCATTTTCCTTCCTCTGTTCTTCTGAATAGTATTATTTAAAATTTTATCTTTTTTTTTTTTTTTTTTTTTTTTTTACTTTTTGGCTTTCATTTTTTTCAATGATCCACCACAGAGTTGGTGTTTAATTATATAAACGTATTGGTCTCTATTTCATCTGTATTCCTCTATTACCTCATCTAAAATGCTATTTCATAAAAAAAAATCTACCCTCTTTAATTATCCCATTGCATGTTGAGGTGAAAAAGGCACATAAGAGCATAGAATGTGAAATTTTTAGCTAATCTTTAGTACTTATGTAAAAACAATCTGTGTTGATATCTGTATTGATACTTATATCTATAAATTTGTGTGAGTACCTATCTACGGACCTTTAAGTATATGAGCAAAACTGATTTTTTAATTATAAAGACCATCATATTTGCATTATACTGTGTGGCCGAACAGTGGGATAAATCAGTATTTCTATAGGTAAAAAAGTCATCAGGCTGGGGGCCGTGGCTCACAGCTGTAATCTCAGCACCTTGGGAGGCTGAGGCAGGTGGATCATGAGGTCAGGAGTTCAAGACCAGCCTGGCCAATACGGTGAAACCCTGTCTCTACTAAAAATACAAACATTAGCTGGGTGTGATGGCGCCTGTAGTCCCAGCTACTTGGGAGGCTGAGGCAGAAGAATTGCTTGAACCCAGGAGGCAGAAGTTACAGTGAGTGGAGATTGCGCCACTGCACTCCAGCCTCGGCAACAGAGTGAGACTCCATCAAACAAACAAACAAAAAAACAAAACAAAAAAAAACAATTGTCTCTCAGATATTTGAATATTCTTTCCATATGTCAACTCTCAGAAACTAACTCTCCACATAGATTTCTATCCATTATGAGTCTAAAAATTACAAACATTTCGTAAGTTTTTTCAGAGAAAATAACACAACATTCATACACATGGGAGGAATTATTTGCATGTTAATTTCTGAAATTTATTATAATGACATAAAATGCTTACATTTTAGGATAATAGATTTAAATATTAAGCATAAAACAATAACAAACTATACCATTGAAGATTCTTAAGATTTTTTGTCCTTCAGTAGTAGCATACCTTTTAAATAATATAAATTATTCAATGCCAAAATTATATATACAGACATACGTATCAATAAAATAGAACTTAGAGTCCAGGAATAAATCCTTCAATATAGTCAATTGAATTCTGACAACAGTACCAAGATAATTCAATAGAGATAAGAAATTTTTCTCAACAAATGGTAGTGGGACAAGTGGATATCTATATGTAAAATAATAAAGTCAAACCTTTACCTCACACCACATGAAAATTAGCTCATGATAGATTATAGGTCTAAATATAAGAGCTAATACTATAAACGCTTAGAAGAAAACATAGAAAAAAAATCTTTGAGGCCTCAAGTGAAAGAATGGTTTCTTAGATATGACACAAAAAATAAAGGCAACAAGAAAAAAATATAAATGTAAGTTTACCAAAATAAAAAGCATCTGGGATTTAAAGAATACCATTGAGAAAGTGAAAAGACAACCCACATAATGAGAAAATAACTCACAAATTATATATGTGATAAAAGATTTGTATCAAGAATATGTAAAGAATTCTCACAACTCAATAATAAAAAGATAATCTATTATAAAATGATCAAAGGATTTAAATAGACAGTTCTCCATAGAAGATATATAAAGGGACAATAAATACACAAAAAGATGCTGGCATCATCAACTGCTAGGGGAATGCAAATTAAAACCACCATGAGATTACTTTGTATCCTGTAGAACAGTTATAATCATAAAGACATAAAATAACAAGTATTGGTTGGGTTTTGGAGAAATTGTAACTCTCATGCATTTATCATGTGAATGCAAAATGGTACAACTGCTATGGAAAACTGTTCGGCAGTTTCTCAAAAAGTCAAGTGTAGAATTACCATATCATCCAGTAATTTCACTTTTAGGTATACCCAAGAAAACTAAAAACATATATTCATTCAGCAATTTGTACATGGATGTTTAGAGCAGCATAGTTAAAAATATCCATAAATTAGAAGGAACTCAACGAATGAATGGAAAAACAAAATGTGGCATATCCATACAATGGAATATTATTGAGCCATAAAAAATAAATGAATTGTTGATAAATGTTACAACATGTTTGACATGAGATTTGGGCAGTGAAAAAAAGTGTTTCAACATGGATGACTCTTGAAAACATTATACTAAGTGGAAGTAGCCAGACATAAAATAACATATATGCATGATTCCGCTTATATTAAATGCCAAGAATAGACAAATTAATGGAGAGAGAAAATAGATTAATGTTCCCAGGGGCTGTAGAGAGAATTTCTAATGGGTATGGGGTTTCTTCTGGGGAATAATGAAAATTTTATTTAATTAGTGATGATCGTTTCACAAATTTGTGAATATACTAAAAACAACTGGACTGGACACTTAAAATGTTTTATTTTAATGGTATGTGAATTACATCTCAGTAAAGATGTTTTTAAAAATGGTGAAGTTGGCAATGTAGCTTCAGTAGTGTTTCTCAAAATTATAACAAAATGTAAACAATGTGAGATACCAAAGATAATTAACATAATAGCAAGAGACCTGAGAAAATTATTATAATTTTTCAGGCAATTTAGGATTCACATTTTCAAAAACTGTAACACTTTTTACTATTTCTAGTGGTAACTCAAGAATGTAAAAAGAAGCCAAGTAAATATGAATTTTACTATGTTTTTACTGTTTGATAAAACTGAAGCTCAAAATAACTAAAATGCAGAAAACAACATATTTATCATTAATTACTAGCTATAACACTTCCAGAACTTTCATTTAAACTTGGTAATAGGATCTTATGCATTTTCTGTCTTTGGGGATCCAAATATAAATTATTTGATGGCATCTACAGAATTATAATAAATCAGGATTCAAGATAGACTAGTCAGAATGGAATAAAAAATCTACAAAATAGTTTTTTTTTTAAAACTGAAGTGCTAGGAAGATGAGAAAACTATGAGAGAACTTTAAAACTTAAAAATAAATTATAAAATCAACACAAAGTACATCAGATTTAGTATTTAAAATACAGCTAAAAAGAGATAATGATTATCAGGTCAAAAGAAGACTGTACCAGAAATACTTAGTAATGAAAATAAAATTTGGAGAGTAGAGACATCCATAACCAGGACTGGTAAAATATAAATTTGGACTAATTCTCAAGTTTCAAAAAGCCTTATGAAAGATTTGTTTAGGCCAGGCATGGTGGCTCACATCTGTAATCCCAGCACTTTGAAAGGCCAATGTAGGAGGACTGCTTGAGCCCAGGATTTCAAGACCAGCCTGGGCAACAACCTTGTCTCTAAAAAAAAAGTATAATAATAAAATTTAACTTAGCTGGGTGTGGGAGTGTGTGCCTGTATTACCAACTACTAGAGAGGTTGAAGTGGAAGGACTGCTTGAGTCCAGGAGGTCAAGATTGGAGTGAGCCATGAATGTGTTACTTCACTCCAGCCTGGGCAACAAACAGAGTGAGACACTATCTCAAAAAGAATAAGTAAATACATAAATCAAAATAAAAAAATTAAAAGTCTTTTGAAAATTAGGAAAGAGCTACCAAGAAAGCTAGGACTTATCAGGTCAAAATTTAAGAGAAGGCAAGATCCCCCAAAGGTAAGTCCTCAAAGATGCTTTTGTTCTGATAAAATTTGCAGATCAGGAATAACTTTGGTGGCTCAAGGAGATCAGGAATCAAAAATCAAATCCCATGTTCACCAAAGTAGAAGGTCCTGTCCATAGTGAGCTGGAAACTCACACAGCTACAGCATGATACAAGTAAACATGGAATAAAACAGGCTGTAAATTAAAATGATACCTGAATAATCCATAAAATCTCGAGATTTAAATTGTGTCATGGTCAAATATTGGTGGTGATTCAGTTTCTAGTGGTAGAAAATGGAAACACTATCTGGAGGAAAGTACCTTCATTCTAAGGCCTAAAATTTTCACAATTGATATTTCAAATACAATGAGCAGTACACAAGACCTGAGGTATCAAATGAACATGAACAAAGACTATAGAGTTACTCTGCTTATTATTTTTCAATAAAGAATGAACAATTTTGATATATCTGCAGGAAAGAACAAAAAATTAAAATTTATTGATTAAACGTAGCTAACAAGAAAATTAGTGAACTGGAAGAGTAATTGAAAAAAATTTCAGAAAGCATCAAAGAGAAACCAAAAACAAGTGAAATTCAAAGAAGAGAAAAAGAACCATAGAGAATACAAGCTTATTAGTAAAAAGTAACAAACATCCTATAGCAAGATTTTTGACATCAGTGCAACCTAGCTTTGCTTTAACTGTCTCAGGCAAATAAATGTCTTAATAATTCAAGTGGAAAGTATCTATTTTATTTTATAATATTTTATTATAACATTCTACCTCCATTAAATACTTTCTTTACTTCTTGATTATTTTCTATTGCTTTGCCAATTGCTTTCCATACCTACTCTGCAGCAAAGACTTATATTTGTTCTTTAATATTCGTTTACCTTTGTTTTCATAATAGAATCTCTGATTTTTGTCTGGGCACATTTCTGCTTAAAATAATGCCTACATATTTCAGCCTTCCTTGCAGCTGAATGTAATGATAAAACCAAAATCTAGCCAAAGATATATTGTGTGGCATCATTTAGAAACCTTACTTAAAACACATCTGCAAGTTCCCTCACACTTTTATTTTCTATCTCTTCCTCTTTCTTGATGGCTGGAGTGTGCATGTGATGGGTGGAGTAAGTGCAGTCATTTTGGGTCATGAGGTACTATTTGACTGGAGGTCATGTTCAGAAAAGCATGAGATAAAAACAGTCAGTCACTAAGTACTGAGTGAAATAGTTCCATAATATCAGTCCTAGACTGTATACCTCTGGAGTTTTACCTGAGAGGTGAACAAACATATTAGTATCATTTTAGATCTTTATTACACATAGCTGAATCTAATTTAAACTGATAGCAATATGGTAGCTGGAAGTGGGATGGTACAGATGAAAGAAATGTAAAACATTTGACACCACCTTAGTACAGGAGATTGGGTGACCAGTGATAAGGACTCAAGATATTATAGGCTGAAGAGCTGGTGACCCTTGTTATTATGGCTTCAAAACATTTTCACTTTGGAAGGCAGGCTACATGCTGACTGAGTGTGTTGTGTTACAGAAATTTTCAAACAAATACCGTAATTGAGTGTGTCTTAGATGTTACTTGTAGCTTTTATTTAAGTCTTTTGAGAGAAAAAAAAATCTGGGTTATATCTAGCCAGGCTGAAATAAGAGATGGAAATAGAATAAAATTTTTGATAAGGCAGGTACTCTTTGAAGTCTGCAAGTTAAGCTTACTGAGATTCTAGTGATTCAGGGCCTTGTGTAGGTGAAAAAACCAACATCTCGTTCCTCAAATTGAAGCGGTTACAATAGGGGACTTCAAAGTAGAAATAAGACTTATATACAAAGGTGTAAATGTCTGCAGGAAAGATGAGATTAAGAATTTTGTCTTCCCTCCAACACCCATTGTTTCAGAAAGTTCACCTATGGTCACTATCGTTAATTTGGAAGAGAGGAAAATGAGTAGAGAACAAAAACCAGTAAGTGAAAGATCAGAAGCTTCAGGATTATAAACAATGTCTAAACAAGATCTTTCTACTTGCTTAAGGATAGAAACTACTGACATCAAATAAATCAGAAGCATACTAAGTTTTTGAATGAAATGTATTACCAAAAAAAAAAAGTCTGTCCTAAAAATACCTGTGGTTCTTCAATCTCTATAGCAACCCACAGGCCCCTAAATCTATTAAGACTATGAAACTCCAACACTCAGGAGGAACAAATTCCCTAATACCTAATTCTGATGTTGCCATAAATATGAATAAACAGGTAAGATGTTTTCACAGGGAAAATATAGGAGATTTTTCCAGATGTGTTTACTCTATTTCAAAAGAAGAGAGTGTTTACTATTCCTATCAGACTGATTTGGTAACTGCTATGGGGGCAGAAACAACTGTGTTTCCCTTTTCCAAATTAGAGTTTTATTATAGGTATGCTGTTTCTATGCCACTTTATATGCTAGGTATGTATAAGGTGAATATTTTATAATTTAGCTATAGGTTGCTAGACTATGAGTTATATCTTGTCTAAGTGAAGCAGACTGGACATCTACCAATATAACGATTGGAATTAAGTTTAGCTGCAAGTAGTGACTTATTCAATATAGGAGTACTTCCATCTCACATGAATATCTGAATGTAAGAAGACCAGGGCTGGTATGAAAACTGCAATTTTCTGTTATCCAGGATACTTCCAAGTTTCCACTCATTCATGGTCTAAAATGAAGTTCCAAGCCACAGAATGAAGGAAGGCAGAAAGAAGAGACAAAATCCATTGCCAACTGTCTTTTGGGGACATTTCTCAGAATCTGCCAAATACTTCCCTTCATGACATGGTTTGATGAGCTGAATAAAGGGCTGCCAAATCATCTATGTCCTAATCCCCTGAACCCTGTGAATGTCACCTTATATATTAGTTGGGTAGGGCTTCCATAGACTGACTGGCTTAAAACATAGTCTTTTTTTTCTCACAGGTCTGAAAGTTGGAAGTCCAAGGTAAAGGTTCCAGCTGATTCAGCTTCTGATGAGGGCTGTTACTGGCTTGCCGATGACAACCTTCTCACTATGTCCTGATATAGTCTTTCCTCAGTATGTGCACATGGGGTTGGGGGAGGGGGAGATTCTTAATCCTATCAGGTCAGGACCCCATCCTTATGACCTCATTTAACCTTAATTACTTCTTTAGAGTCCCCATCTCCAAATATAGCCACACAAGTTTAGAATTTCAACGTATGAATTTTGAAGGGACACATTCAGCTCATAACACTTTATAGGCAAAAAGATATTTGCAGATGTGATTAAGGATGTTGAGATGAGTTGATTATTGTGGTGTGCCTGATAAAATAATAGGGGTCTTTGTAAGAGGGAGGCAGGACATTAGAGAGGATGTATGTAAGAGATGAGATGACAGAAGCAAGAGGTTAGGGTGATGTGAGGTAGGGGTCACAAGCCACAGAATATAGGCAGCTTCCAGAAACTAGACTAGGCAAGAAAACAGATTCTGCCCTTTGAAAAACATCAGCCATGTAAACACTTTGATTTAGTCAAGTAAAGCCAATTTTAGTCTTCTGGAACTATAAAGGAATGAATTTATCCCATTTTAAGCCACCAAATTTGTAGTAATAGAAAACTAATATACATGCCAATACTTAATTGCTAGAGAAGCTGAGAAATGCAAATTAATCCAGACAGCTAAAATTTGGGGATGCTATTAGAGAGGAAGAGAGATATGATAGATATTAGAGGGCAAACATCACTTACTGCCACAACCAGAAATGATGGAATTTTTTCTGACTATTATAGTGACATAAGCTTTTAGGTTTGCTCCCTTTGGTAGAGGCTTTGTGTTCTGTTTTTGGAAAAGGTACAGGCAAATGTTTGAAATTGTCCTTCAATAGTCATTCCAATCTTATTCTATAATAAAGGAAACTCATGTTTTAGCTGGGCATTTGGATGATCTTAATGAGACTTTATTTCTTAGCCTCTTGTAGCTATGAGCCCAATTTGTGGGGCCTACCAGATATAAGCAGAGTGTTGCATGGCAGCTTCTAGGAACTTTCCAAAAGTAAACACAATAGCTGTGACCTCTTCTTCTTTATTTCCTCTTCTTTCTGGCAGGTTAGAATGAAAGCATAATGACTGGATCTGGTGAAACTATTGTGGACCACAAGAGGACCTGCAAAATAGAGGCCATGTATGCTGGAGCAACAGGATGGAAGGAGTGAAGAACTCTGAGAACATTATGATGCAGAGTTGTTATACCAGCAATGCACTGTCTATCTCTTGATTTTTATGTGAGAGAACAGTTGTTTTGTTTACATCGCTATTAGGGATGATTACTCCCAATTCTAACTATTGCATTCTCTTCCTTCTTTATTATTTCTCTCATAGAACTGTTCATGTAAATTTTTACTCGTGTCTCTACATACATATCCATAACATGTATAACAAAATTTTGTCTTTGAAAATGTAACATTAGTGAAGTTATTTAAAGGCATATGTGTTGTGAACTATTATAACTAAGATATTGGGAAGGAAATTTGTTAAATATATTATTCCTAAATCTCATAAGCAACTTACATTAAGCACAGGAATTCTAGCTAATGAGTAAGAATGCTTTTTTATGTAGACAGTATATTCAATATTGGATACTTTTGTACTCTAAAATCATAGCCATATATAACTAAACCATGGTCACATGGGAACATAGTAAATAAAAAATGTAAAAATACATTTAGGTCATTACTGCTAACTTATAAGTTTATCCAAAACATTCCTAATCTAAGTGTTACTTTACAATCATATAGTTATATTTAAAAAGAAATGATAAAAATTATATCTGATGGAGATGTTTAGCAGAGGGTCTCAAACTTTTTGGTCAGAGGACTCCTTTATTTGCTTCAAAATTATGAGGCCCCTAAAATCTTTTATTTATGTGTATTATATTCTTTCAATATTTACCATACTAGAAATTCAAAGTGTAAAAAGTTTAAAGTATGCATTAATTTATTTAAAATAACAATAAGAAACCCATTTTATTTTCATGAAATTACACACTATTATAAAACAGAACTATATTTCAAAAAAAATAACTGTTAAGAGTGGAACTGGTCTATATTTTTAAGAATAGATTTAGTGTCTGGCTTAATAACCCAGAGATTTTCATATCTGTTTATATATTAAATCTCTTATTGTATCATGTCATGCAGCCTCTGGAAAAACTCCATGATACAGTAATGGGAGAATGAGAATCAAAAAGGAAAATACTGTTTTAGTATTATTATAAAAGCTATATTGGTATGGTGGATCCTTTAAAAAGATTTCAGGAACCTAAGGTGGTCCCTGAACTACACTTTGAGAACCACTATTATACAGAATAACTACAAAGATAAATCTTACAAAACTGGACCAATTATAGGAAAGCCAGTCAAAAGGCAATTATAGGAAAGCCAGTCAAAAGGCATGAAAATTCTCAAGGTTATAACTTCCTCCTTTGGCTTGGAGAAGTATAATCGTCTGAAGCCTTCTCGCAACTCGTTAAAGTCATTCTCGGTCCAGCTTTGTTCCATTGCTGGTGAGGAGCTGCATTCCTTTGGAGGGGGAGAAGCGCTCTGATTTTTGGAATTTTCAGCTTTTCTGCTCTGTTTTTTCCCCATCTTTGTGGTTTTATCTACCTTTGGTCTTTGATGATGGTGACATACAGATGGGGTTTTGGTGTGGAGGTCCTTTCAGTTTGTTAGCTTTCCTTCTAACAATCAGGACCCTCAGCTGCAGGTCTGTTGGAGTTTGCTGGAGGTCCACTCCAGACCCTATTTGCCTGGGTATCAGCATAGGAGGCTGCAGAACAGCAAATATTGCTGAACAGCAAATGTTGCTGCCTGATCGTTCCTCTGGAAGCTTCGTCTCAGAGGGGTACCCGGCTGTGTGGAGTGTCAGTCTCCCCCTACTGGGGGATGCCTCCCAGTTAGGCTACTCGGGGGTCAGGGATCCACTTGAGGAGGCAGTCTGTCTGTTCTCAGATCTCAAACTCCATGCTGGGAGAACCACTACTCTCTTCAAAGCTGTCAGACAGGGACATTTAAGTCTGCCGAGGTTTCTGCTGCCTTTTGGGGGAAGTTTGAACACATCACAAAGAAGCTAAAATCCTTGAAAAAAGATTAGATGAATGGCTTACTAGAATAACCAGTGTAGAGAAGTCCTTAAATGACCTGATGGAGCTGAAAACCATGGCATGAGAACTACATGACAAATGCAAAAGCTTCAGTAGCCGATTCAATCAACTGGAAGAAAGGGTATCAGTGATTGAAGATCAAATGAATGAAATGAAGCGAGAAGAGAAGTTAGAGAAAAAAGCGTTAAATGAACAAAGCCTCCAAGAAATATGGGACTATGTGAAAAGACCAAATCTACGTCTCATTGGTGTACCTAAAAGTGACAAGGAGAATGGAACCAAGTTGGAAAACACTCTGCAGGATATTATCCAGGAGAACTTCCCCAGCCTAGAAAGGCAGGCCAACATTCAAATTCAGGAAATACAGAGAATGCCACAAAGATACTCCTCGAGAAGAGCAACTCCAAGACACATAATTGTCAGATTCAACAAAGTTGAAATGAAGGAAAAAATGTTGAGGGCAGCCAGAGAGAAAGGTTGGGTTACCCACAAAGGGAAGCCCATCAGACAAACAGTGGATCTCTCAGAAGAAACTCTACAAGCCAGAAGAGAGTAGGGGCCAATATTCAACATTCTTAAAGAAAAGAATTTTCAACCCAGAATTTCATATCCAGCCAAACTAAGCTTCATAAGTGAAGGAGAAATAAAATCCTTTACAGACAAGCAAAAGTTGAGAGATTTTGTCACCACCAGGCCTGCCCTAAAAGAGCTCCCGAAGGAAGCACTAAACATGGAAAGGAACAACCAGTACCAGCCACTGCAAAAATTTGCCGAATTGTAAAGACCATCGATGCTAGGAAGAAACTGCATCAACTAATGAGCAAAATAACCAGCTAACATCATAATGACAGGATCAAATTCACACATAACAATATTAACCTTAAATGTAAATGGGCTAAATGCCCCAATTAAAAGACACAGACTGGCAAATTGGATAAAGAGTCAAGACCCATCAGTGTGCTGTATTCAGGAGACTCATCTCACATGCAGAGACACACATAGGCTCAAAATAAAGGGATGGAGGAAGATTTACCAAGCAAATAGAAAACAAAAAAAGGCAGGGGTTGCAATCCTAATCTCTGATAAAACAGACTTTAAACCAAAAGATCAAAAGAGACAAAGAAGGCCATTACAAAATTGTTAAGGGATCAATTCAACAAGAAGAGCTAACTATCCTAAATATATATGCACCCAATACAGGAGCACCCAGATTCATAAAGCAAGTCTTTAGAGACCTACAGAGAGACTTAGACTCCGACACAAAAATAATGTGAGACTTTAACTCCCCACTGTCAACATTAGGCAGATCAACGAGACAGAAAGTTAAAAAGGATATCCAGGAATTGAACTCAGCTCTGCACCAAGCAGACCTAATAGACATCTACAGAACTCTCCACCCCAGATCAACAGAATATACATTCTTCTCAGTACCACATCTCACTTATTCCAAAATTGACCATATAGTTGCAAGTAAAGCACTCCTCAGCAAATGTAAAAGAACAGAAATTATAACAAACTGTCTCTCAGACCACAGTGCAATCAAACTGGAACTCAGCATTCAGAAACTCACTCAAAACCACTCAACTACATGGAAATTGAACAACCTGCTCCTGAATGACTACTGGGTACATAACGAAATGAAGGCAGAAATAAAGATGTTCTTTGAAACCAATGAGAAAAAAGACACAACATACCAGAATCTCTGGGACACATTTAAAGCAGTGTTTAGAGGGAAATTTATAGCACCAAATGCCCACAAGACAAAGTAGGAAAGATCTAAAATTGACACCCGAACATCACAATGAAAAGAACTAGAGAAGCAAGAGCAAACACATTCAAAAGCTAGCAGAAGGCAAGAAATAACTAAGATCAGAGCAGAATTGAAGGAGATAGAGACACAAAAAAAACCTTCAAAAAATCAATGAATTCAGGAGCTGGTTTTTTGAAAAGATCAATAAAATTGATAGACCACTAGCAAGACTAATAAAGAAGAAAAGAGACAAGAATCAAATAGACACAATAAAAAATGATAAAGGGGATATCACCACTAATCCCACAGAAATACAAACTACCATCAGAGAATACTATAAACACCTCTACGCAAATAAACTAGAAAATCTAGAAGAAATGGATAAATTCCTCGACCCATACACCCTCCCAAGACTAAACCAGGAAGAAGCTGAATCCCTGAATAGACCAATAACAGGCTCTGAAATTGAGGCAATAATTAATAGCCTACCAACCAAAAAATGTCAAGGACTAGATGGATTCACAGCCGAATTCTACCAGAGGTACAAGAAGGAGCTGGTACCATTCCTTCTGAAACTATTCCAATCAATAGAAGAAGAGGGAATCCTCCCTAACTCATTTTATAAGGCCAGCATCATCCTGATACCAAAGCCTAGCAGAGACACAACAAAAAAAGAGAATTTTAGACCAATATCCCTGATGAACATCGATGCAAAATTCCTCAATAAAATACTAGCAAACCGAATCCAGCAACACATCAAAAAGCTTATCCACCATGAACAAGTGTGCTTCATCCCTGGGATGCAAGGCTGGAACAACATATGCAAATCAATAAATGTAATCCATCATATAAACAGAACCAAAGACAAAAACCACATGATTATCTCAATAGATGCAGAAAAGGCCTTTGACAGAATTCAACAGCCTTTCATGTGAAAAACTCTCAATAAATTAGGTATTAATGGGATGTATCTCAAAATAATAAGGGCTATCTATGACAAACCCACAGCCAATATCATACTGAATGGGCAAAAATTGGAAGCATTCCCTTTGAAAACTGGCACAAGACAGGGATGCCCTCTCTCACCACTCCTATTCAACATAGTGTTGGAAGTTCTGGCCAGGGCAATCAGGCAGGAGAAAGAAATAAAGGGTATTCAATTAGGAAAAGAGGAAGTCAAATTGTCCCTGTCTGCAGATGACATGACTGTATATCTAGAAAACCCCATCGTCTCAGCCCCAAATCTCCTTAAGCTGATAAGCAACTTCAGCAAAGTCTCAGGATACAAAATCAATGTGCAAAAATCACAAGCATTCCTATGCACCAATAACAGACAAACAGAAAGCCAAATCATGAGTGAACTCCCATTCACAATTGCTTCAAAGAGAGTAAAATACCTAAGAATCCAACTTACAAGGGATGTAAAGGACCTCTTCAAGGAGAACTACAAACCACTGCTCAACAAAATAAAAGAGGACACAAACAAATGGAAGAACGTTCCATGCTCATGGATAGGAAGAATCAATATCATGAAAATGGCCATATTGCCCAAGGTAATTTATAGATTCAATGCCATCCCCATAAAGCTACTAATGACTTTCTTCACAGAATTGGAAAAAACTACTTTCAAGTTCATATGGAACCAAAAAATAGCCTGCATTGCCAAGACAATCCTAAGCCAAAAGAACAAAGCCGGAGGCATCATGCTACCTGACTTCAAACTATACTACAAGGCTACAGTAACCAAAAACAGCATGGTACTGGTACCAAAACAGAGTTATAAGCCAATGGAACAGAACAGAGCCCTCAGAAATAATACCACACAACTACAACCATCTGATCTTTGACAAACCTGACAAAAACAAGAAATGGGGAAAGGATTCCCTATTTAATACATGATGCTGGGAAAACTGGCTAGCCATATGTAGAAAGCTGAAACTGGATGCCTTCCTTACACCTTATACAAAAATTAATTCAAGATGGATTAAAGACTTAAATGTTAGACCTAAAACCATAAAAACCCTAGAAGAAAACCTAGGCAATACCATTCAGGACATAGGCATGGGCAAGGACTTCATGTCTAAAACACCAAAACCAATGGCAACAAAAGACAAAATTGACAAATGGGATCTAATTGAACTAAAGAGCTCTGCACAGCAAAAGAAACTACCATCAGAGTGAACAGGCAATCTACAGAACAGGAGAACATTTTTGCAATCTACTCATCTGACAAAGGGCTAATAACCAGAATCTACAAAGCACTCAAACAAACTTACAAGAAAAAAACAAACAACCCCATCAAAAAGTGGGCAATGGATATGAACAAACACTTCTCGAAAGAAGACATTTATGCAGCCAATAGACACATGAAAAAATGCTCATCATCACTGGCCATCAGAGAAATGCAAATAAAAACCACAATGAGATATCATCTCACACCAGTTAGAATGGCCATCATTAAAAAGTCAGGAAACAACAGGTGCCAGAGAGGATGTGGAGAAATAGGAACACTTTTTATATGTTGATGGGACGGTAAACCAGTTCAAGCATTGTGGAAGACAGTGTAGTGATTCCTCAGGGATCTTGAACTAGAAATACCATTTGATCCAGCCATCCCATTACTGGGTATATACCCAAAGGATTATAAATCATGCTGCTATAAAGACACATGCACATGTATGTTTATTGTGGCACTATTCACAATAGCAAAGACTTGGAACCAACCCAAATGTCCAACAATGATAGACTAGATTAAGAAAATGTGGCACATATACACCATGGAATACTATGCAGCCATAAAAAAGGATGAGTTCATGTCCTTTGGAGGGACATGGATGAAGCTGGAAACCATCATTCTCATCAAACTATCACAAGGACAAAAAACCAAACACCGCATGTTCTCACTCATAGATGGGAATTGAACAATGAGAACACTTGGACACAGGAAGGGGAACATCACACACTGGGGCCTGTCATATGGTGGGGGGAGCGGGGAGGGATAGCATTAGAAGATATACCTAATGTAAATGATGAGTTAATGGGTGCAGCACACCAACATGGCACATGTATACATATGTAACAAACCTGCACGTTGTGCACATGTACCCTAGAACTTAAAGTATAATTAAAAAAAAAAAAAGAAAATTCTCAAGTTTGTAAGAGTGCATTTGGAGACTATCAAGAGGACAAAGTAGATGAGAAAAAACATTCTTCATAGTTTATCGCAGATCAAGAGGGAAAATAATATTTAGAAAAGAATAAAAATGAAACTGCTACTCTCCAAATTATTCGATACTGATACAGTATTATCTTCACTGAGTGGTAAATAAAGGTATAATGTTGAATGTTTTCATTAAGAACTAATTTAAAAATTGCCTAAGAACTTGAATAAACATTTCTTCAAAGAAGACACAGAAATGCCTCAAAAGTATATAAAAATGCCCAATGAAACTAATCATCAGAAAAATGCAAATCAAAACTGCAATAAGATATTACCTCATATCTGTTAAGATGGCTATTATAAAAAATAGTAAAAGACAAGTGTTGGTAAGAATATGAAAAAGTTGAAACTCCTTTGCGCTGTTTTTGAAAATGCAAAATGACGTAGCAGCTACGAAAAGCAGGATGGAGGTTCTTCAAAGAATTAAAATTAGAACTATGATATGATTCAGCCATCCCACTTCTAGATATTTATCCAAAAGAATTGATATCAAGATCTCAAAGACATGAACACTTCCTAGTTCCTTTCTCTTACTCTTTCCCTTTCCTAGGATGCATTGTGTCATTTGATAAACCCTCTGTTCAACTCTCTCATTTCCCCAGTGATCTCTCTATTGACTTTGGCAATTCACACAGCTTTTTACCTCAGATTATGTATTAATCTAGCACCCACTTGCTGCTTTTCAAAACCAATTCTGCAATTACTTGGCTTGAAACCTTTCTTATCCACATATATGGAGCTAGGTATAATAAATGGTGTCAAAGATGGGTTTCTCCAGAAAGGGCTATAGCCTCCCTTCTAAGCCATCAATATTGCTTCCTTGGACCTTAAAGGCTGAACTACAATTATCTTTAGCCTCTGGTAGCTCTAGTATCTTCTCTATAGATTCTTCTGACAAATATCTTATACTTCTACCTAAGTAGACACTAAAAACCACTACTTCTCAGAATTCCTAATACTCAGAACAACTCCAGCTTCTTATATGAGACCCATTAGTTGCAGGTGGCTGACTGACTAAATTGTACTTCATTGTTTATATTTCCCTCATTTCCATTCTTTATAAAATCAACCTCTGCCCAGTGAGATTTTTCTAGCTCTTCCCCATCCCCTACAAGTTCCAGCATAGAACTTGATTGATTGCAAGTTTGTAGGCCTTATGCTTTACTACAGTGCCTGGAATATTGTAAATATTCAGTAAATATCTATTTAAAATAAATTGCATTACTGGTGGAACCCTAAAATGAGAGTTATACAATAACAAAGGACAATTTTTAGAGTAGATGTAAGAATGTCATCACAAAGCTCATTTCTTAGCATTAGTTAAGCTAGAACAAATCCCAGAAACTGAATAATAATAATATTTTACTTTCCAGCATAAGGAAACACACTATTTCACAAAACAATGACATAAATTGACCCCCAAAATAAATAAAAATACTTAAACATATTTTTTAGCATTCCATATTATAAAAGAAGGTGACCAGTTCCACATTTGCTAAATCTCATAGAGAATCAACTCCTTCACTATTTTCTTAGTATCATTTTCTGTTGAACAAGATAAAAAAGAAGATGAGTAGTAGCTTCAATATTTTGGCTTGTAATATTATGGAACTAATTATTCTCCCTCTGTCCTTCCCCCCCCCGCCATATTTACCTGAATTTAAAGTAGACATAAAATACTAAAAGCAATCAAATAAGACTAGTTCTTGATGTATGAAATTACAGCAACCTCACCGTGACTTGCCAGCTCTGTTCTGCAACACTCTAGTCAAAGCCAGCTACATAGACTGTGATGTAAATGCACTCCTGTGCTACGCAATGCAATAGTCCTGAGTAAGGTGAATCCTTCTCTTTCCTCTCTTATATAGGACAGGTGACAAATTATCTCATCTTTCTAATAGTAAAAGGAAAATTACATCTCACCAAAGAATATACATAGATGGTAAGTAAGCATACGAAATGTTCAACATCATACGTAATTAAGGGAATTATAAATTAAAGCAACAATGAGGTACCACTACCAACCTATTAGAATGACCAAAATCCAAAACACTGACAATACCAAAAGCTGATGAGGTCTTGTGTAGCAACAGGAACTCTTATTCATTGCTGATGGGAATGCAAAATGCTACAGCTGTTTGTATGACATTCTCGTCATACAATCCAGCAATTGTATTCCTTGGTATTTACCCAAATGAATAAAAAACATGCCCACACAAAAACTTGCATACAATATTTGTAGGAGCTTTATTCATAATTGCCAAGACTTGGAAGCAAACAAGACGTCCTTCAACAGGTGAACGCATGATCTTTCATACAATGGAATATTATTCAGTGCTAAAAATAAAATGTGTGCTCAAAGCCACATGAAAAAGGCATAAAGGAGACTTAAACACATATCACCAAGTGAAAAGAAGCCAATCTGAAAAGGTTACATACTATATGATTTCAACTATACGACATTTCAGAAAAGGCAAAACTGTGGAGACAGTGAAAAGATCAGTGGTTGCCAGGGGTAAGGTAAGAAGGATTGGCAGAGTACAAAGAATTTTTAGGAGAGTGAAACAATTCTGTATACTACAATAGTTTATACATACAATTATACATTTGACAAAACCCATAAAGTGTACAACACCAACAATGAACCGCAATGGAAACTACGGACTTTAGGTGATAATGATGTGTCAGTATGGGTCCATCTATTTAATAAATTTACCACTGTGGTGTAGGATGCCAATTGTGGGGTATAGGGAAACTCTCTGTACTTCCCACTCAACTTTGTTATGAAACTAATACTGCTCTAACAAATAAAGTTTATGAATTAAAAAGAAGAGAACTGATGATGTGGCATAAAATATAAAACAGAGGTACCTGAAGGCAATATTTCTATATTTATGTTATCAAAAAAGTAAGTAAATTTTTTGTTCACAATAAAAACGTTTTTATTTTGTAAATAAAACATATTTGAATTTTTAAAAAGATGTATAAACCTTTAGAAAGCAATAATTATCTAAAATTGTATTAACTATGAACACTATTAATATCTTGCTGACTATACCTTAATGTATTTTTTCACATCTATGTGGTGTGTGTGTGTGTGTGTATTTTTTTTTTTTTTGAGACAGTCTTGCTCTTTTGCCCAGGCTGGAGTGCAGTGGTGTGATCTTTGCTCACTGCAACCTCCGCCTCTGGGATTCAAGTGATTCTCATTCCTCAGCCTCCCAAGTAGCTGGGATTTCAGGAGTATACAATCATGCTCAGCTAATTTTTGTATTTTTAGTAGAGATGGGGGTCTCACAATGTTTGCCAGGCTGGTCTTGAACTCCTGGCCTCAATTAATCTATCCACCTTGGCCTCCCTAAGTGCTGAGATTACAGACGTGAGCCACCATGGCTGGCCTATGTGGTATAATTAAAAAGTTATCTTGTTGCTATTTTTGAGTCCTTATTAAAATTATAATAGATTTAAATACAAACAGCTCATCAGATTTAAAAATATATATTTAACCTTTAGAATAATACATCTAATAATAATTAATGGAAAGGGTTCACAGGGAGAATTGTATATGAGAACATTTAATTTTATTTGATCTTACAAAATGGCACTCAACATAGCATGTATATAGTTCCATGAGTCTTATTTATAGGAAAAATTAATCTTTGGAAGCAAAGCAAAAGTAAATAAAAATATTCTAGAATTCAAGCAAATCAGCAGTTATAAAACAAATCTTACTTTAGTAGAGCTGAATGCCAGGTTATTTTATGTCAGGTGTTTTCTGGAGGTATACAAAGCCATAGAGTACAAGATGTGAACATTCAGTATGTTAGAAGTGGTTCCGAGTAAGAGATGCCTTTCAGAGAGGTTGTATATGGTTACCCTATAGATAGCTTTCCTCCTTTGCTGATAACCAGGGAGAATCAGGCACCCTCTCCAGAAGATTAAGACAGAGGGTGTGAAATTCCAATTTTCATGCCTCAAGGAGAAAGGGTATTGCTCAAGTTCTAAGAAAAAGATTAGATCATTATCCTAGGAAGTGGACTGTCAAAAAAGATAGAAATTCACAACATATAGACTGATTCTTTTCTTTCCACATGGTTGAAGCAGTAAAAGTTTCTGGCCATCACTTTCTTACTTCACAGATGCTTTCTCTCCTTCCTTACAACATAGGAACTAAATCAGCACAAGGAAGCTTCCGATGTATGTGGCAAGGAGTGGGGATGGCGGGGGGAGGAAGGGAGGGGAGCTAGGCTGCCTCTAACATAAATATTTTGGGAAATGCCCCCATCTATTTCCTTTTGGCTCCCATGGGTGTGAGTATCTCTCACACTATATTCCTTCTAAATTCATGTTTGAAATATAGGAAGTAGATGAAAGAAGACTATTTATGCCAACAAAGTATAGGTAATAAAGGAATTACCACACAGTCCAGCCTAGGTTACTTACTATAAGTTTATAAGGAATTTGAAGTCAAAGCCCCGGTGGGGTATTAGTGTGTTTGCTATTACTCCCTGAACATATATTTTGCTTAGAACAGCAGTAACCTCCAAGGGAAAGGATCAACGATACCAAAGCCGATTTTAAATATCCTTAGGCATCCTAGCAAAATCTTTCATATTAGTATTCAGATTTTCCTAAAATCTATCATAATAGTATACAAGTTTTCCTTCAATTGGATTTAATTGAACTCCCACAGTTCTGTATTTATGCCAGCCTAATCTGTACCACTCACAACCACGCTTTAATACCTGTAAGCCATGGAAAAGTAATGTCCCTAGTAAGTGTCTAGGAAGTGTTCCACATCCTCCATTTCTTCTATTCTGACCCAGCTGCTTTTGTCAAATTCACTCCTCACGGCTTCTGACTTCTGGTTCTCTATCTCATTTACAGTTAGTTCTTGCTCCATAAACACTGGATGTTTATTTGAATATCTAGTTTTGCATCGTGGTATTTCCTAAGTGAATGTAGCTTGAACTCACTCCTCTGTCTCTTCGCACTTTAGGTTCCATAGTTATGGGAATTATTAAACCCTTTAAGTCAAGCACGTTTTATTCCCAAACAGGAGAAGATTCAGATACTGATTACTTCATCTAATTACTGAACCTTGAATTCTATTCTTGGCTAATCCTTTGTATTGTTTTGCTCATGGCATGTTTTGTTGTTGCTATTGTTTTGTTTTTTATGAACTTTCAGTATTAAATGTTCATGTTTTCTCACCTCCACCCCTTTCCCTACTCCTTAACCCTTTCACTGTTCCTTTAGATTTATCAATTATCACTATAGTTTCTTACAAACCAAACTCCAAGGCACAAGAAATCAGGTAGCTCACTTAGTTGATATTATTATTTTTACCACTCAAAATAATACAAGATAAAAGAATAATAAGTGAATAAAAATAATACATAATGAATAAAAGAATAATATGTAATTATTATATAAATAATAAAATAAGAATAATGAAAGATAATAATAAGAGAATAATATATCAACTAAGTGAGCTGAAGAGGAAACTACAAATGAAGCCAGCAGAAGATTGAAGGACAATTTTATATAAAGAAACTATTCATCAAAAAATAAAACTTACAATTAAAAATAATTTTAATTACTTTAAGAAATTGAGATGAAGACAACTTCTATAATATTCTATGAATGGTGGTTATAAAAAATAAAAATGCACAACACAATGTACATATTTATCAACTATGAAAGAATAGTTCTTAAAAAGTAACATTAATAATTACACATTTAGCAGAATTATTCAAAATACAAGGGAGATTTCAAACATTCTTTATAATAAATTTATCTTGAAAAAACTTCATAATATTCAAAATACTTGCAAAACCTTGACAATGGTACATTTTATATAACTTTATACATACTAAAAAATCTTTGGAAAATGAATATTTTATTTGATTTCATGCACATATATATTTGCTTGCCACAACAAAATATATACACAAAATATATATTTATACACAAACACATTGGTTGTCAATATATTCAAATTAGTTATAATTACACAACAAATTGGTTATCAGTATACTGATATCATACTCTCTAATCATACTCCGAAATCATACTCTGTATAAAGTATGTAAAAAAGCAGGTGGTATGCTCTGAAATCCAGTGATTTTATATTCTACACAGAGGGTCAAAACATAATTTAGATGAACTTTATAATTTTATAATACACACTATCATCTGGAGCAAATTAATACTGTTGGCACTGAGTGCTGATGAGGGACAAGTTTTAAGTAGAATATGTTTGCCTTTTGTATCCTATGTTTTTATTCAATGAATAACTTTCACACGATTTAAGGAGTTGAGAACATTACTATGCTATATCTGGAACACAGGTGTTCATTTGCCTTGAAATAAGACTAATGACAGTCTGGACCTTTTGTATTGCCTTCTAACAATGCTAATGTAATAGAAATATTTGTAGTTTAGGCTACTCAAGCAGAGAGCCACACATGAAGGAGCTTATCACAAACTAAGTGCTTTAGAAATTATAGAATGTTCACTCCAGTTAATTCTACTATAATGCTAAGTATTCATTTCTACCATTAATTAGTGTCCAAATCAAAATAAAATTATAAAGATAAAAAAGCACAAATTCTAGAGTCAGAAGACCTGGAGTCCGATCCTACCTATTAATTATGTAGCTTTTGGTAAGTTAATTAACCTCTATGTCTCTTAGTTTTCATATTGGTCAAAATGAGATAAAAAATATCTATCTATGGTGCTACAGAGAATAAGTTACATACCACTTGCAAAATGTCTAGCACAGTGCCTGGGATATAGTAGGCATTCAATCAACATAAATAAATTTCTTTCAATTTCCACTGGGTCCTCAAAGCAATTTATAATATAGCATAAAACCAATGAATGAATGTTGTATTATAGAGTTCCCACTCTTTAATAAACTAAATATTTATGTTTTCAATCACTGAGAAGTGGTTTTTACGTTATTATTACTACTTGTAAAAACTAAATAAAAAATTATATATATAAAGCATAAATTATTAAATGGTTGTGGTATACTATACTATAGATGCACCACAAAAATATATTTGTATTACATTACTATATAACTTTTTTCAATCAAAAAATATAAAGCAGGATATTAACAATGTAATGAAGGACATTTAATAGAGACTGAAGAAATAATAGCGCTACCTAAATCATAACTTTAATATCTTAAATACATTTCAAATAAAAATAATAAACTAATTATACTTACATGTTTCCAATATGCAAGCTTTCCTTTTATATTAGTTTCAGGTTTGAAAAAGAGATCCTTAAGGAGCTTATCTTCATACCCTTTGGTTATGTAAATCCATTTTGCTTCATATCCTCTAATAATTTTTTCCTGCTGTTTTTTTTTGTGGAAAAACACAGGGCTGAATATAAGGGGAGGGGAAAACTATTTGTTAGTTTTTTGCCATTAAAAAACATGAAAATTAGTCATGAGTTCACTTACATCTTAGAAAACATAGTGTTAAATTGAATGTAATAATATATTTATTTTCATAGTAGTGTTATATAATGCTACTTAGTAACTAAGATTTGTTCATCAACATTCATCAGAGGATAAATGAATGCTGAGAAATTTCAGCTGATATGAATCTACAAACAATTCTGTACTTACATCTGGCTAAGCATTTTAATAAATAATGGGAAGGAGAACATGTCTAAATTATCTATAGAAACATAAGGTAAACAGTGTGAAGTTATTTTTTTTCCAAACCTAGTGAAGAAGGAACTTTTTAAATGAGGTAACAGTTATTACTATATCACAAAAATTATATTTGTACTTCATTACAAACTAGGAAATATACTCTAGAGCAGTATGTCTAACATAATATAAGCCAGAAATAATTTTAAGTTTTTGATTAGCCACACTAAAAAAAAAGTTTAAAAAACAGGTAAGCTTAATTTTAATACTATGCTTTATTTAACCCAATAGATCAAAAATATTACCCAATAAATGGCATCTACAAGCTAACATCATACTCAATGGTCAAAAACTACATGTTTTCCCTCTAAGATTAAAAACAAAGAAAGGATGTAATCTTTCATCAAACCTACTCAATATTGTACTACAATGCCTACTGGTCTAATAAGGCAATAAAAAGAAAACCATAGACCAATCTCACCTTTGAAACAGGCACAAAAATTCTAAATATTAGTGAAAAGAATCTAGTAATGTAAGCAAAGAATAATAACACTATGATCATGTATTGTAAAACTCACTACGTCAACAAATTAGTGGAGGAAAAAAGTGTGATTATATAAGTACACACAGGAAAGTCATTGGATAAAATTTAGCAGCCTATTTTATAGAAAAATCTTTGTAAAACAGGATCAAAAGAAACCACATCAATATCACGGAGGTGATTTACCAAAAATCAGTAACATCCATTCTGAGTGATAAAATAATCGTTTGAAGTAAAATGATAAATGAGGTAGATGGTTACCATTATTACCATTATTATTCAATAGGAGAAATAAAACTAGGAATAACTGAGGAAAGCAATCTTCTCACTTCTAAGATGTTTTAAGCAGACTCCACCTATTTACTCCTTCATTCAAAATATTTGTATTAATGACATACAAATTAGTTAAGGTAAAATATACTAAGATAATACAATTTATAATAATTTAAATAAGGCCGTTTACTTTCTCATGCTGACCAGTCTAGGCTAGTGGAGTAGCCCTGCTCCATAAAGTCATTCGATTTTGTTTTACCATATCCAAAATCACTGCCATCAGCTACATGATGAATGCACTCTAGCCCATGGAATAAGGAAACGTGAAAACAAAGGGGGAGCAATAACAATTTAAGCACATAAAATCGAAGTTGTACTCATTACTTCTGCTCACTTTCCAATATAACAACAACAAAAAATTGTAGTCTGATGAATATACTTAGTCACGAGAGAGTGTGAATACAATCTCTAGTTTTCAGTCAATTGCCAAAAGAAAAGAAAAGAATGGATGTTAAAGGGAAAAGTAGTCTTCTGCAAATGCTCAATATGTGCCCTGTGAAGAGAAAAAAAAAAGTTTCTACCATGATGAAGCTTATATTCTCTACTATGTAGAGACAGATAGTATATAAATAAAATACAAAATATATAATAAGTAAATTGCTTTTTACATAGTCTGGTCTGGGATAATATTGCTAAGAAGAGACAAGATATAGCGGGCATCACAGAAAAAAAATTCCAGTCAGAGCAAATACCAAGTGCAAAGAACCAGGCAGAAGTATGCTTCATGAGATAAGACCACATTTGGCATGTCTGAAAAACAGAAAGAAGGTCACTGAGATGGAAAGTCATTGCAGAGCTTTGAGCAGAAGAGTGGCTTTGAAAAGGATCATGTTGGGGAGATGATTTTCTGGAATAGAGATGTGAGAAATTCTGTGGAATCTCTTCCCAGTGAAACAATATCTAGTGGAAATTATTTTTTTAAGTTATATATCTCTGGAAATTGTCCAAAGGGCATACAGCAAAATAAACATCTATTCAAGAAAATCTATTACATCTCAGTGTTAACAGTGAATCTTTGCCATTTAAACCACAATTTTCTCTCTTCTTTCCTCCCTTCCTCCCTCAACCCCAGTTCAGTATGACAGAAGTTCGACCCTGAATAAGTACAGCCAAGAACATAGGATCCCTCTACTACTGGGTCCCAGTTGAGGGCTATGGTATTTTCACAAGAAATGCATAAATTTATCTCACATCCCGATCCTACCTCCATGTTTCAGAGATATTATGTCAGGAAAGAATAGTTGAGAGGTCTGGGGCTTTCTTCATCCCTCCAGCTCCCACTGATAGGCAGAAGCTCTAATCAAGGTGCAACGGGGAGAGAATACTGGAGCCCTGGTAGCCCTTACTCCAGATCACTTGTAAGATAGCGATTCTGAGACAGGTGAGGCAAGTTGAGAAGACTAGAGACTGCTGTCACAGCTGAGCACTCTATTTGTGAATGTCACTCTGAAAAAAGTGAGCCACTGCCTCCTCCTTCTGATCTAGGACAGTGGCACAGTGATTTTGCCTAAGGATAAATGTAGCCTATATGAACATAGAACCTGAAGTGCTCTCCTCATCCTCTCAAAGTGAACTGACTTTATGAAACAGAGTGTGGAGAATTTCAAATCTAAAGGCACTGTTAAAGACAGTAGAGATTATGATGTTAAGCAATTAAGAGGAGGATGGTAGCTCCATGAGACTAAAAAGGTAAACTGAAGATCAGGTTGAAGTTTTCCAGAGAAAAACAGGAAAAGAGCTAAGAAGAATATCGGGATTAGAGCAAACAGCAAAAACTGGCCTCAAAGATTACCCTGGAAGGGGCCCCAACATAAAATGAATCAGACAGTGGGTCAATTTATGTTCCAGAGCATTGTTAAAGACAATAGAACAATCAACCAGCAATTAGTGGAGGTTGACACTGGGTTTGATACTAAAAAAGTTCAGACAGCCTAACAGGGAAATCAGAGAAGACAGTCAAAGAAAGCTTATACCACTGTCCTACCAAGAGCAACATAGCTGGCCAAATAGCTGACTATAGCTGGTGCACGCTCTGAGGAGCAATATCAGAGGCTTGCACAATGCAGGGAAAATAGACTTCACTAAAATAGTCCAGCCAAATTATTAAACAAATAAACAAATCACAACAAGAAACTCTGGGTGGGGCTACAGTATCCCGGATTGTTACGATACATTACCTAAAATGTCTAATTTTAAACAAAATGTTATTAGGCAAAGAAACACAAAAATGTAAATTATATACAAAATAGGGCAGACAACAGAAACCAACATAGAAAGGGCCCAGACAACAGGCGAAACAAAGACTTCAAAGCAGATGTTATAAATATGTTGAAAGAAAATCAAGCTTAAGTAAGTAAATACACTTAAAAGAAATCAAATACATTTAAAGGCATGACAACAATGCCTTTTCAAATAAAGACTATCAGTGAAGACATAAAAATAATTTAAAAAAAACCAAAAATTTTGCAACTGAGAAGTACAATAACTGAAACAAAAAAATTTTACTATGGTGGCTCAACAGATTATGCTGAAAAACAGAAATAAAATGAAGACAAGTGAACAGACCCACAAAAAGTTGAGGGATACAATTAAGTCCACCAGTACAAATAATGGGAGTACAAGAAAATAATAGAGACAGAGAGAAAAAGGCAGAAAATAAATATTATAATAATGGCTAAAAATTCTAAAACTTGATTTTGAAAAATTAATCTACACATCCAAGAAGTCCAATGAATGTAAAGAGGTCCACGTCCAGACACATCATAGTAAAATTATTGAAATCTAAAGACAGAAAATCTCGAAAATGTCTTCTTGAGCTCACGAAAAATGATGAGTCATGTCCAAAGGAACCCCAATAAAATTAACTATGGCTCTCTTATGAGAAACAATGGAAGCCAGAAGGCAATAGTATGACATTGTCAAAGTTCTGAGAGAAGAAAAAGAAGAAAGAAATTCAATTAACAATCTTAAATCCAGAAAATATGATCTTTCAAAACTGAAGGTGAAATAACAATGTTTCCAGATCAATACAAGCTAAAATAATTTACTTCTAGCAGCATGCTTTTTACGAGCTAATAAAGGAAGTTCTCTTTAGGCTGAAGTCAAGAGACCTCCATGCTTTTTAAGATTAAAAAAAGCAGAATGCTGGCAAAGGTAATTATGTAATTATTAATGGGTATAAATGCATATTTTTTCTCTTAACTAATTGAAAAAGTAATTATATAAACATATATATATAAATCCCCTCTCTCTTTCTCTATCTCTCTCTCTATATATATACACACAACTATATATATAATTGTATCATTTTATGTGTATATTGTTATATATATACACATATATATAATTGTATTGTTGGATCTATAACATATAGAAACATATCTGACAATAAGAGCACAAGGAGGCAGGTGAGAGCAAGTTGGAATAGTGAAACTACCTCAAATGGTAGCTCAAATCCACAAAAATAAAGAGAACTAAAAATGATAAATAGAAATATAATATAACAAACTCTATGAATATATCCATTCATCTTTTAGTTTCTTTAAAAAGCTTACAGTTTTATAATGTAACAATTATAGTCACAAACTGTCGGATTTGTAACATGTATAGATGTAATATGTCTAATTTAATAGTACAAAAAGTGGGGAAAGGGAATAATGCTATATAGAAGTAATGTCTCCAAATCTCACTAGACTTAAGTTAGTATAAATATGAAGTAGACAAGATAAGTTAAAGTGTATATTGTAAGGCCTAATAAAAGCACCAAGATCATGCCTGTAATCCCAGCACTTTGGGAGGCCGAGGTGGGTAGATCATGAGGTCAGGAGATCGAGAGCATCCTGGCTAACACAGTGAAACCCCATCTCTACTAAAAATACAAAAAATTAGCCAGGCGTGGTGGCAGGCACCTGTAGTCCCAGCTACTCAGGAGGCTGAGGCAGGAGAATGGCATGAACCAGGAGGCGGAGCTTTCAGTGAGCAGAGACGGAGCCACTGAACTCTAGCTTGGGCAACAGAGCGAGACTCCGTCTTAAAAAAAAAAAAAAAATGCACCAAGAAAATCACTAAAAACATACAATTAAAAATCAATAAAGAAATGTAAATGTTAAGCTATAAAATATTCACTAACAATAAAAGCTGTAAAAGAAGAGAGGAACAAAAAAGATATAAGACATATCTGTGAATAATGTTAAGATTTAAGTTTATTTTAAAATAAATTCCCCTTTTATTCTTAATATTTTATACAATTATATGATTAATTTTACATGGCTCCTATTTTAAATATAATCTTTAATTTTATTTTCATTTTCTTTCTAAAATATACTATCTTGTCGAATGATTTATTTTTTATAATGTCTGAAAGAAAGTAAACTCATAGAATTGAAGCGGTACAAATCATTTCCACAACCTACAGATATTAAAACCTAATTTTTATCTCAGAAGAAGTATTTATTCACTCTTTCATGAATTGCTCAATCATTCATTCATTCAAAAAACACTGTTCTAGACTCTAAGGACCTATTGATTAAAAATCCAAAGTCTAATGATGTTTAGATTAGGAAAACTTCTCAATGGAAGATTATTTTTCTCTTATGATGAATTATAAGGACAAAACATTTAAATTTAACTTTTAAAAACATCAATTATTTAATCTCAACATTTCTTTAATATTTCCATCTCATCTTATTTTTACTGGAGACTCCCTAAATGACATTCTAACAGGAAGTGGCTTTTTAATGAACTACTGGCTGGAGGAATTCAGGAATTATCTGGTTGCCTTAGCAATTAAAACTCTCATTACAAAATAGAAAATAACTCAAGAGTTCAAAATAAAATGGGGTGTTTGTAAAACTTTGCTTTGCCTTCAATAAGTAAGTGGCTTCATTAATCCATTAAGATCCTGGCTGGACAGTGTGAGACAGTCCAGATCTCAAGATCAAGGTAACCTAGCCAGAAGACAGGGGTCTTGGATCTTTCATGAAATAACTCAGATTTACTCTAATTTTCCAAGAATAAAGGCTAAAAAACAGGAGAATTTTAAAGTTATGTTATATATTACAGTTTAGCTTCAGGGTCATGAATCTATACTGAGAAAAATACCCATAGCTTTCTTCAGATTCCCAAAGGAATCTGAACCCTCCCACCAAAAAGTCAAATGTTGGAACAGGTGTTAAAACAACTAAGAATGTTCTAAAAGAGAAGAAAAACAAGACTTGATGACAAAAACCAAATATTAAACGCTTAAAATGCATAATGTAAAATAGAAAATCAATACAAAGAACTAAAACAATATAAATGAGGACATTATTCAATTAAAATAAGTCCAAAATATACATTCTTTCTTTTTAAAAATCAAAATATATTGATTTTAAAAACCTGAAAACAAAAAACCCCACTACAGCTTAAAACAATAAAACAGAAGAATTCTCCAATATAGACGTTTTTCCACAGCAGAGTACCCAATATTAGAGAAATGTGTTGGTGTAGAGAGAATACCAAAAGAATAAAAAATAAAAATCCATACACTGCCCTATACCTGGAGCTCTTGCCCTTGCCCACTGAAATTAAGGTAATAGAGTTTCACTGTGTTCTTTTGTAACTTTGGAAATATGAGGTCATGTATTAAAGAATACTATCATGGCTTGAAATTTGAAGGCTAGAAAACCAATATAAGGGTCTATTAACAGTTCTCTGAAATGACAACATACAGGCAATCAGATATAAGGCTCACCCCCACTGAACCTGTCAAAGGGTGAGATAATAACTTCAGCAATTTCAGAAAAAAAATTGAGATTTCTTTCTATGGTATTAAATAAAAAACAATTGGATTAATTATTATTTTACAATTCAATACACAGGTATTATTAACTAAAAAATATTAGATAATTTTTAAGTTTTCCTCAAAGTTTGTTGCTAATTACCTGGGTTCAGTAGAAAAATACAAGGAAGTGAGCATCAAAATTCAAAGGAAATGTTGATCACAGTAATTTTTACATAAGAAAGAAGATACATATGTTTAGAATGCTTTAAAAGTATCTACAAAATGCTATCTGCAAAGAGCTTTAAATTTACATATTAATGAAAAAATTTAAGCCATTATGTATTAAGATTTTATGATAATAGGTAATATACCATTAATAAGGTATAAATTGCAGAAGCATGAAGAGCCAAACTTATAAAGACCCATAATTCAAACGATTATTAATTTAAAAGAGTAAATCTGCCCTGTTATGTACTTAGTCTTCAGCTCTATTTGTCCTAAAAAGGAAATGATTAGTTATAATGTAGTGCCACCTTTTAGTTCTTTTCTACTGTAAAACAAAGAAAGGTATATTAAATTATTTAAAAAGAATCATCACAATAATCATCACAATCAGTAAAGGAAAAGTCACTATCATTTTCAGAACATTTGTATATCAAAATATTTTAAATAGAAGTTATCCAGAACTGATGATAAAAGGTGATTTTCCAGGTAACTTTGGCAATGGTTGAAAGTAAAAATATAGATAGATGGAAAAGATGTGTATATTTTATCACAATTGGAAATATTAACTTTCAACATAGCCTTTAAGAGCTACCTCCAACCACCTTCATTCCTGTGGCTCATTTCATTAAATAAAGACTTGACTTAATGACAAGAGTCTCATGTAAAAAGTATGAAGAAAAGATAAGCAAAGTATGAAGAAAAGATAAGGCCTTATTATTTGTATTAACAGTAGTACAATTATTAGCAGAAATAATAGAAAAACAAATATTGTCTTGATAAGATTAATAATATACCAGCTTAGTGAGGTGGCTCATGCCTGTAATCCCAGAACTTTCGGAGGCCGAGGTGGGCAAATCACTTGAGGTCAGGAGTTCCAGGCCAGCCTGGCCAAGGTGGTGAAACCTTGTCTCTAGTAATACTACACAAATTAGCCAGGCATGGTGATGCACACCTGTAATCCCAGCTACTCAGGAGGCTGAGGCAGGAGAATCACTTAAACTCAGGAGGCAGAAGTTGCAGTGAGCTGAGATCGCACCACCGCACTCCAGTCTGGGTGACAGAGCAAGTTTGTCTCAAAACAATAGTAATAATACACCATATAACTAGCAATTACTAGTATCAGTAATACAATAATAAAAATATAATTCTATATATCCATTGACCTGGCAAATCAAATTCTAGAAACTGTTTATAAAGACATTATAATGGATATATAGACATATGTAAATTTACAGGGTTTTGTCCCTATCTTTTTATAATTTAGAGAAAATAGAAACCATAATAATGTCCACCAAGAAGGGAGAATTTACCTAAATAAAACATAACCATTTAAAAGAATACATTTAGCTATTAAAAATTGTTATGGAATAATATCTAATACTATAGAAAATGGAACCAACCCTATTAGAAAATAGCAGGCATAACATACCCTTTTTTGTAAAATAAAAATACACTCACATGTATATGTACACATTTTTAAAATTGTATACACACACACACACAATTATCAATCATTACTACACTCTCGCTTTTACAGACCATTGCACAGGCACCTACCCATACATTTGGTTCCACATTTTTCCCTTGTTCAAACGGACATAAACTTTTGCCCTTGTTTTTTGCAAAAAAAGAAGTTTGTTAAATGTATTTTTTTTGTAACTTGCTTTTCTAACTTAATACATTTCTGAAATCACTCAAATTAAATTTTAGAACTAACCCATTACTTTTTAACAACTGCATAATATTTTATACTGTCTTTGTATCCAGTTTTCAACAAAGGACACACATAAGTTTTTCAAGAGTTTTGCCACCAGAAATAAGACAGTATCTCTCTTGCTCTCTTTCTCTCTCGGTCTCTTCCCAGCCTTCTCCCCAACCCCACTACCTCCCACACACACATTTTATTTTTGTAGTATAAGTTTCAAGAACGGTTATTGCTGGCGTAAGAGTGTATTAGTCAGGATTCTCTAGAAAAATAGAACCAGTAGAAAAAAAATATAGAGATATATATATAGAGAGAGAGCAAGAGAGATTTATTTTAAGGAATTGGCTCACACAATTGTGGAAGCTGGCAAGTCTGAAATCTGTAGGGCAGGCCTGCAGAGAAAAGTTGATGTTGCAATCTCAATTCCAACTCTGCAGTCTCAAAATTCAGGCAGGGTTTCTATGTCGCAGTGTTGAGGAAGAAATGCTTCTTCAAGAAATCTTGGTCTTTGTATTTGAGACCTTTAATTGATTAGATGAGGCTCACCCACATTATGGAGGGTAATATGCTTCACTCAAAGTCTACAAATTTAAATGTTAATCACATCTAAAATTCTACCGTTATAACAACATCTGGGCAGGTGTTTGACCAAGTAACTGAGCACCGTAGCCTAGCTATGTTGACACATAAAATTAAACATTACAAATAGTATAACACTTTAAAAATTAATTTTAGTAAAAATTGTCATTTTATTTTTTAAAATGGTGATAGCAATTGTCACCAGCAATATAATTCCCTTTCTCTTAAATCCTTATAAGAACTATTATCCCACTTTAAATTTTTTTTCAAATTAGGGAAATATATCTAATTGCTGATATAATTTGCATACTCTTGAATATTAATGAGGTTAAAGATCTTTTGATATGTTGGTTGGTAGTTTATATTTCTTCTTCTGTAAGTTGTCTATTCACATCCTTTGTCCATTTTTTTCTGACTCATTTTTCTTTGCTCGACTACTTTATATACAAGCTATTTATATGTGAACATTTTCTGATTTGTATAGACATATTCTTTTGAAAGTAGTTAAATACATTTTCTCCATATATAGGTCACTTACAGTCTCCCCCACAACAACGTTACAAAAATATACAACTTAATTGTCTTCTAATGTCCTATATGTAATGTTTTAACTCATCTGAAATATATTTTTGTTTATGGGTGTACAGTAAGAAAACAAATATTTTGTTTAGAAAGATAAACAATTTTACCACTATCAATTATTAAATAAATCATCCTTTCCCCACCAAATTAAAATAATACTCCTATCCTACTTTGAGATTCCCTTATATACACAGCTCTTTTTAGGGGCCCTTGTTATTCTGTTCATCTGATTTCTCTATCCCTGTGCCAATAAAATCATATATCGATAAAGTGGCCTAAAAGTAATTTTTAATATTTGGAAAGGCATATTTCTTCAGATGTTTCTTGGATATTACAAAGCATTTAATTTTCCTTCTCTGGAACTTTAAAAGCATATTTCCCAGTATCTCTACAAAAACAAGATTGTAATTGAAATCACTTATGTTTAAACATAAACTTAGAAAGGATGGTTATTTGTATTATACTGAATTCTCACACAGAAATATGGTATTTATTTATATATGTTCAGGTTTTATTATTTGATAAAAATTATTATTTTCTTCACATAGGATATTTATTTTTTGTATGTTGTTTTTTTTTTTTGACATGGAGTCCTGCTGTGTCGCCAAGCTGGAGTACAGTGGCGTGATCTCGGCTCACTGCAACCTCCGCCTCCTGGGTTCAAGTGATTCTCCTGCCTCAGCCTCCTGAGTAGCTGGAATTACAGGTGCATGCAACCATGCCTAGCTCGTTTTTGTATTTTTAGTAGAGACAGGATTTCACTATGTTGGCCAGGATGGTCTTGATCTCTTGACCTTGTGATCCGCCCACCTCGGCCTTCCAAAGTGCTGAGATTACAGGTGTGAGCCACAGTGCTGGCCTCTATGTTGTTTCTTAAATATTTTCCGGTTTTATTAACAAGGGGAAATATAAAATTTTCCATTTATATGCAATTGGAATTTTGTTAGTATGAAGAAAAACATCAATTTTTATATATGCATATTTTGTATCCAGCCACCAGCCAAATTTTTTAAATCTACTAATCTCTTTGATTTACCATTCATATTAATACATTATATAATAATCTAATTTCTTTCTTATTTTCTAAACATGTGGCCAGATTTATCTTATGTATGGCCTTAACTTGAAACTCCAAAACAATGTTAAAAACTTTAAATTTTAAAATAAATGATAATATTTAATAAATAGCTCAGTCTTTTAAAATTATTTTTATTAGAAAGAGTGTTAATTTTATTAAGTTACTTTTCGGGCACTCAATAACATGATTACATTTTCTCCATTAATTAATTGTATTAATAAGTTTCCCACTTATTATCCCTCGATTCGTGGACTAAACTTTACTTGGTCAAATTTATTAAACCTCTCATATATTGCAGAACATTATGATTGATTAACATTTAACATTTGTGTCTACCTGTGTTCCTGATGCTGGGCAGTAACATTTTTATTACCCTGTCATGTATTAGAATTAAAATTGTACCAACCTTATAAAATGAATAGGTATTTAAAAAACTTTTCCTATGTGCAGGAATAATTTAAACAATATTATAGTCTTGTTCATTAAAGATTATGTGGAACTCAGAAATAAAACTACTTGAGAATAGTGTCTTTGTCAATGTTCATTCATTATTTTATTGTTTGCTTATTGGTCTACAGAGATATTATACTCACCTTGAGTCCATTTTGATGGTTTGTATTTGCTAGATATCATTCTTATTTTGGCAGATAAGTGCCATCCAACTTTTCCATGTCATGGCAAACAAAGAAAATGATATTATTTGTTTATTACTGAAAACAAACCAAGTAACTTGTGGCTGGAAGGGACCTGCCAAAAAGGTGCAGAGGATTACGGCTGCCCTAGGCTTGCGCTGACTGCTGAACCATAACCCCTTATGGGCAAGACTATGTGGCACAGTAAGCTAGTGAGAAGTTTTTCTCTAGACTTTAATATTTCATAGTTTTGTAGGCTAGTCATCTATATAATTTTAATCTTATTAGTAATTTTGGTTACAGATCTTCTCATTACTTTTCTGTTTTTTTAATTATACTTTAAGTTTTAGGGTGCATGTGCACAACGTGCAGGTTAGTTACATATGTATACATGTGCCATGTTGGTGTGCTGCACCCAGTAACTTGTCATTTAACATTACATATATCTCCAAATGCTATCCCTCCCCCCTCCCCCCACCCCACAACAGGCCCCAGTGTGTGATGTTCCCCTTCCTGTGTCCATGTGTTCTCAGTGTTCAATTCCCACCTATGAGTGAGAACATGCAGTTTTTGGTTTTTTGTCCTTGCGACAGTTTGCTGAGAATGATGGTTTCCAGCTTCATCCATGTCCCTACAAAGGACATGAACTCATCATTTTTTATGGCTGCATAGTATTCCATGGTGTATATGTGTCACGGTTTCTTAATCCAGTCTATCATTGTTGGACATTTGACTTGGTTCCAAGTCTTTGCTATTGTGAATAGTGCCGCAATAAACATACATGTGCATGTGTCTTTATAGCAGCATGATTTATAATCCTTTGGGTATATACCCAGTAATGGGATGGCTGCGTCAAATGGTATTTCTAGTTCTAGATCCCTGAGGAATCGCCACACTGACTTCCACAATGGTTGAACTAGTGTACAGTCCCATCAACAGTGTAAAAGTGTTCCTATTTCTCCACATCCTCTCAGGCACCTGTTGTTTCCTGACTTTTTAATGATCGCTATTCTAATTGGTGTGAGATGTTATCTCATAGTTTTGATTCACATTTCTCTGATGGCCAGTGATGATGAGCATTTTTTCATGTGTCTTTTGGCTGCATAAATGTCTTCTTTTGAGAAGTGTCTGTTCATATCCTTCGCCCACTTTTTGATGGGGTTGTTTTTTTCTTATAAATTTGTTGGAGTTCCATGGTACTGGTACCAAAACAGAGATATAGACCAATGGAACAGAACAGAGCCCTCAGAAATAATGCCGCATATCTACAATCATCTAATCTTTGACAACTCTGACAAAAACAAGAAATGGGGAAAGGTTTCCCTATTTAATAAATGGTGCTGGGAAAACTGGCTAGCCATACGTAGAAAGCTGAAACTGGATGCCTTCCTTACACCTTATACAAAAATTAATTCAAGATGGATTAAAGACTTAAATGTTAGACATAAAACCATAAAAGCCCTAGAAGAAAACCTAGGCAATACCATTCAGGACATAGGCATGGGCAAGGACTTCATGTCTAAAACACCAAAAGCAATGGCAACAAAAGCCAAAATTGACAAATGGGATCTAATTAAACTAAAGAGCTTCTGCACAGCAAAAGAAACTACCATCAGAGTGAACATGCAACCTACAGAATGGGAGAAAAATTTTGCAATCTACTCATCTGACAAAGAGCTAATATCCAGAATCTACAATGAACTTCTCGTTACTTTTCTAAAATATTTTTTTCTGGCCTGGGCCTATTTCATTAGTCTTTTGAGAGAATAAACATTTAGCCCCCACTCATTTGTGGGAGCTAAAAATTAAAAGCATTATTTCCTAACTCTAGTTTTTTTGTTCAACTTCTGTGTTAATTTTCCATTCCAACTTTTATTTACTTATTTTTAAATTTTTAATTTTTGTAGGTACATAGGAGGTGTATATAGTTATGGGGTACATGAGATATTTTGATACAGGCCTATAATGCATAACAATGTCATCAGGATTAATGGGGTATCCATCACCTCAAGCATTTATCCTTTCTTTGTTTTACAAACAATCCACACATATTCTTTCAGTTATTTTATAATGTACAATTAATTATTCTTAACTATAGTCACTCTGGTGTGCTATTAAATACTAGATCTTATTCATTACATCTAACTGTATTTTTATGCCCATTAACTGTCCCCATTCCACCCACCCTACTACCCTTCCCAGCTTCTGGTAACCATCATTCTATCTCTACTTCCATGAATTCAACTGTTTTAATTTTCAGCTCCTATAAATGAGTGAGAATAAGCAAAGTTTGTCTTTCTGTGTCTGCCTTATTTCACTTAACATAATGACTTCCAATTCCAGCCATGTTGTTGCAAATGACAGGATCTCATTCTTTTTCTGTGGCTGAATAGTATTTCATTGTGTATATGTACCACATTTTCTTTATTCATTCATTCATTTGTTGATGGACACTTAGGTTACTTTCAAATCTTGGCTATGGTGAATATTGCCACAATAAACATAGGAGCACAGATATATCTTCAACAGACTGATTGCCTTTACTTTGGGTATGTCCTTAGCAGTGGGAATGCTGGATCATATGGTAGTTTTTGTAGATATTTGAGGAACATCCAAGCTGTTGTCCATAGTGGTTGTCCTAATCTACATTCCTACCAACAATGCCAATGTCAAATTATACTACAGAGATATAGTAACCAAAACAACATAGTACTGTCATAAAAACAGACATCTACAGATGTCTCTATATCTGTGCCAGCATTTGTTTTTGCCTGTCTCTGATAATAGCCATTTTAAATAGGGTGAGATGGTATCTCAATGTAGCTTTGATTTATGTTTTTCTGATGATAAATTATATTGAGCACATTTTCATATATATGTTTTCCATGTATATGTCTTCTTTTGAGAAGTGTTCATTCAGAACTTTTGCCCATTTTCTAATCAAATTATTAGATTTTTTCCTATAGAGTTGTTTGAGCTCCTTATATATTGTAGCTATTAATTCATTGTCACATGGATATTTTGCAAATATATTATCAATTTCTGCAGGTTGTCTCTTCATTTTATTGTTTCCTTTGCTGTGCAGAAGCTCTTTAACTTTATGTGATCCCATTTGTCTAATTTTGTTTGGTTGCCTGTGCTTGTGGAGTATTACTCAAAGCTTGTTGCACAGTCCAATGTCCTGGAGAATTTCCCCAACGTTTTCTTATAGTAGTTTCATAGTTTGAGGTATTAGCGTTAAGCTGCAAATCCATTTTGATGTGATTTTTCTATATGGTCAGAGATGGTGGTCCAATATCATTGCTCTGACTGCAGATACCCAATTTTCCCAACACCACTTACTGAAGAGACTGTCTTTCTCCAATGCATGTTCTTGGCACCTTTATCAAAAATCAGTTCACTGTAGATATATAGATTTGGTTCTGAGTTCTCTATTCTATTCCATTGTTCTATATGTCTGTTTTTAGAACAGTCCTATGTTGTTTTGGTTACTATATCTCTGTAGTATAATTTGAAGTCAGGTAATATGATTCCTCCTGTTTTGTTCTTCTTGGTCAAGCTGACTTTGGCTATTCTGGGTCATTTGTGGTTCCATAAAAATTTTAGGATTGTTTTCTCTATTTCTGTGAAGAATGTCATTGATATTTTGGTAGGGATTGCATTGAATCTATAGATTGCTTTGAGTAGTATGGACATTTTAAAAATATTAATTATTCTAATCCAGGAACATATGTATTTCCATTTTTTTTGTATCCTCTTCAATTTCTTTCATCAATGTTTTAAGTTTTCATTGTAGAGATTGCTCACTTCTTTGGTTAAGTTAATTCCTAGGTATCTAATTTTATTTCTAGCTATTGTTAATGGGATTAATTTCTTGATTTATTTTTCAGATTGTTCACTGTTGGCATACAGAAATGCTACTGGTTTTTCTATGTTGATTTTGTATCCTGCAACTATACTGAATTTATTCATCTGTTCTCAATTTTTTTGGTGGGATTTTTGGGTGTTTTCAAATATAAGATTATACCATCTGCAAACAAAGATAATTTGACTTATTCCTTTCCAATTTGAATGCCCTTTATTTCTTTCTTTTGCCTGATTGCTCTAGCTAGGACTTCAAGTACTATGTTGAATAACAGTGATGAAAGTGGACATCCTTGTTGTGTTCCAGATCTTAGAGAAAAGCCAGTTTTTTCCTATTCAGTCTGAATCTAGCTGTAGGTCTTTAGTACACAGCTTTTATTTTGTTGAGGTATGTTCATTCTATATCTAGTTTATTTAGGTTTTTATCATAAAGGGATATTGGATTGTGTCAAATGCTTTTTCAGTATCAATTAAAATAATTATATAATTTTTGTCCTTCAATTCTGTTAATATAATGCACCACATTGATTGATTTATGTACGTTGAACCATCCTTGCATTCCTGGGATAAATTCCACTTGGTGGTGATGAATGCTCTTTTTAATGTGTTGTTGATTTTGGTTTGCTGTTATTTTGTTGAGGATTTTTGCATCAATGTTTATCAGGGATTCTGGAATGTAGTTTTCTGTTTTTGACCTGTCTTTTTCTGATTCTTTTATCAGGATAATACTGGCCTTGTAGAATGAGATTGGAAGTATTCCTTACTCCTCTATTTTTGGGAACAGTTTGAATAGGATTGGTGTTAGTTCTTCTTTAATTGTTTAGTAAAACTCATCAGTGAAGCCATCAGGTCCTGATGTTTTCTTTGCTAGGAGACTTCCTATTACAGCTTCGATCTTATTACTTGTTTTTGCTCTGTTTAGGTTTTGGATCGTTTCACGGTTCAATCTTAGTAAGTTGTATGTGTATAAGGATTTATTCATTTTTTCTAGGTTTTCCAATTTATTTGCATATAGTTTCTCATCGTATCAACTAATAATCTTTCGGATTTCTGTGGTATTGCTTGTGATGTCTCTACTATCATCTCTGATTTTGCTGATTTGGGTCTTCTCTCTTTTTTTCTTGGATAATCTGGCTAAGGGTTTGTTGATTATATTTATCTTTTAACCACCAATTTTTCATTTCATTGGTCTTTTGTATTATTCACCTCATTTCAATTTCATTTATTTCTGCTCTGATCTTTATTACGATCTTGTCTTCTACTAATTTTGGGTTCCATTTGCTTTTGCTTTTCTAGTTCTTTAAGATGCATTGTTAGGTTGTTTAAAGATTTTTTAATATATCTGATATTGGTGCTTATAGCTATAAATTTACCTCTTAGTAGTGCTCTCACTGTATTTTATAATATTTGGTAGGTTCTGCTTCCATTATCATTCGTTTAAAGAAATTTTTAAATTTCCTTCATAATCTGCTCATTGACCCACTGGTCATTCAGGAGCATATTGTTTAATTTCCATGTGTTTGTATAGTTTCCAAAATTCCTCTGGTTGATTTCTAGTTTTATTCCATTGTCATCAGAGGAGACACTTGATATAATTTCAATTATTAAAAAAATTTTAAGACTTGTTTTGTTGTCTAATATATGGTCTATCCCTGAGAATGATCTATGTGCTGAGAAGAAGCATGTGTATTCAGCAGCCACTGGATGAAATGCTCTGTAAATATCTATTAGGTCTATTTGGTCTATAATGTAGTCTAAGTCCAGTGTTTCTTTGTTGATTGTTTTTGTCTGAGTGATCTCTCCAATACTGAAAGTGGGGTGCTGAGGTCTCCAGCTATTTTGGTTTTGTGGTCTAGCTCCCTCTTTTTCTCTAATAATATTTGCTTTATATATTTGGGTGCTCCAGTGTTGGGTGCATATATATTTAAAATTGTTATATCCCCTTGCTGAATTGACCTCTGTACCATTATATAATAACCTTCTTTGCCTCCGTTTATAGTTTTTGTATTGAAATGTATCATGTCTGGTATAAGTATTCCTGATCCTTTTTAGTTTGCATTGGCATGGAATATCTTTTTCCATTCCTTATTTTCAGTCCATGTGTGTCTTTATAGGTGAAGTGTATTTCTTACTGGTAACCAATCATTGAGTCTTGTTTTTTCATCCATTCAGCCACTCTATGCTTTTGATTGGAGAGGTTAGTCTATTTACATTCAATGTTATTGTTGATAGGTAAGATTTTACTCTTGCCATTTTGTTATTTGTTTTCTAGTTGATTTGTGATCTTCTCTTCTTTCTTTCCTGTCTTCCTTTTAGTGGTATGTTTTAATTTCTTGGTTTTTGTGTGTGTATCTGCTGTATTTTTTTTATTTGAAGATACCATGACCCTTGCAAATGATATTCTATAACTCATTATTTTAAACTGATGACTTAATAATGATTGTATAAACAAAAAAAGAGAATTGTAATAAAAATTCGACACTGGACTTCATCCTTCTGCTTTTTAACTTTTTGTTGCTTCTATTTACATCTTAGTATGCTGTCTATGTCTTGAAAAGTTGTTGTAGTTATTATTTTTGAATAGTTATCTTCTAGGTTGTTTTTACTCAAGATATGACTAGTTTAGACACCACAATTACAGTGTTAAAATATTCTGTGTTTTTCTGTGTACTTACTATTACCACTGAGTTTTGTATTATCAGATGATTTCTTATTGCTCATTAACTTCCTTTTCTTTCTGGTTGAAGTACTCCTTTTAGCAGTTCTGGTAGGCAAGTCTGGTATTGATGAAATCCCTCAGTTTTTGTTTGTATGGAAAATTATATCTTCTTCCTATATGAAGGATATTTTTACTGGACATACTATTCTAGGATACAGCTTTTTTTCCTTCAGCACTTTAAATATATCCTGCCATTCTCTCCTGGCCTAAAAGTTTTCCACTGCAAAGTCTGTTGCCAGATATATTGGAGCTCCATGTATGTGAATTGTTTCTTTTCTCTTGCTGCTTTCAGGAATTTTTCTTTATCTTTGACTTTTAGGTGTTTGATTATTAAATACCTTGAGGTTGGCTTCTTTGGGTTAAATCTCTTTGGTGTACAATAGCTTTCTTGTACTTAGATATTGACATCTTTCTCTAGGTTTGGGAAGTTCTCTGTTTTTATCTCATTTTTTTGTCTCCTCTGTATGTTTTGTGATGGCATGTCTTAAAGCTCACTAATTCTTACTTCTACTTCATTAATTCTTCTGGTAAGAGACCGATTTACTCTTCAGTATCTCAATTGCATTTTTCAACTCCAGAGTTTTTGCTTCATTCTTTTTAATTATTCAATATGTTTGCTAAATTGATCTCATAGGATTCTGGACTCCATCTCTATGTTATCTTGAATATCTTTGAGTTCCCTCAAGAAGGCTATTTTAAATCATCTGTCTGAAAGTTCACATATGTCTCTCTCAACAGGATTAGTCCCTGGTTCATTATTTAGGTTGTTTGGTGAGGTCATGTTTTCCTGGATAGTCTTGATGCTTGTGAATGTTTATCAGTGTCTGGCCACTGAAGAATTGGGTATTTATTGGACTCTTTGCAGTCTGAGGTTGTTTGTATGTGTGCTTCTTGGGAAGGTTTTTCAGATATTTAAAGGAATTTGGGTGTTGTGATCTAAGTTTTTGATCTCTGTAGTCATATATACATTAGGGGGCAACCCAAGCCCAGTAATGCTGTGGCTCTTAAAGATTCATACAGGTACTTCCACGAAATTCTTCTTGGATAGTTCTGGAAGAATTATCTGGATTGCAAAGCAAAAACGCTTGTTCTCTTCCTACTTTCCCCTGGATAAACAGTCTCTCTCTGTGATGAGCTACATATAGTTGAGGAAGGGTGGCATAAGCATCCCTGTGGCCACCACCACTGGAACTGTGCTAGGTCAGATCTAAAGCCAGCACAGAACTGGATCTCAACCAAGTCTTTCAGTAACCACTGCCTTGCTATTTTCTATGTTCACTCGAGCCTGCAGAGCTTTAAAATCAGCAGTTGGTGAAGCCAGCCAGGCTTGTTTTCTTT
Source organism: Homo sapiens (assembly GCF_000001405.40). Taxonomy (NCBI): domain Eukaryota; kingdom Metazoa; phylum Chordata; class Mammalia; order Primates; family Hominidae; genus Homo; species Homo sapiens. Next base: position 74,129,186 of record NC_000001.11, read on the forward strand.
TCTTCAGTGTGGCAAGTTCCCCTTGGTCCCAGGTAGGTCAAGAGATGCCATCCAAGAGCCAGCACCTTGAGTCAGTTACTTTAGGAATCTACCTGTCACCCAAGCCACAAAACAAAGTCCTTCCCTACTTCCCTCCTCTACCCACAAGCAGAGAAGTCTCTCCCTGTAACTATCACCACCCCAGTTATGTGGTGAGTGAGTATTACCTGGTTACCTCTGATGTTTATTCAAGGACCCAGGGCTCTTTAGTTAGCTTGTGGTAAATGCTGCCAGGCCTAGGACTCTCCCTTCAGTGAAGTGAGCTCCCCTCTGGACCAGAGAGGGTACAGCAATGCCATCTCAGAGCCAAGACCAAAGCCTGGAATCTGAGACCCTTGGTGCTCTACTCTGTTTGGGCCAAGCTGGTACCTAATCTGCAAGATGAAGTCACCTTTTCTCTCCCTCCATTTTTCCTCGAGAAGAAGGAGTCCCTAGCTATAGCCACCACAGCTGGAAATGTGCAGGGTCACATCTGAAGCCAGTATGTCTCTCAGTCTCAACCAAGGCCCACCATGAGTACTGCCTGGGTACCACTGCTGATTATTCAGTACCTAAGGGATCTTTAGCTAGGAGATAATGAATCCTTCCAGGACTGGGTCTTTCTCTTCAAGACAGTGGATTCTCTTCTGGCCCAGGGTATGTCTAGAAATGTTGTCCAAGAGCTAGGTCCTGGAATAGGGGCCTCAGGACTCTGCCTCATGCCCACTTCTACTGTGGGTGAACATGTATCAAAGTTGCCCCCCCACCAAAAAAAAGTCCTCCTTACTTATCTCTCTCTTCTCTTCAAACAGAAGGCAGAAGTCTCTCTTGGAGTTGCAAGCTATGTTGTCTAGTGTTGGGTGAGGGGTGATGCAAACCCTCCCTTGGCTGCTTCTCTGGCATCTCATTTGGTTATGCTCCCCTGTCAACTCCACTGACTCTGAGCCAGCCCAGCACCAGGACTTGCCCACAGATTGCAGACTTTGTGGTCTAGACTGCCTTTCAAGTTAATGTAGGCCTCCCCAGAGCACTTTAGCCCCGGGTAAGGTGGTGAGGCTTGTTAGAACTTAGGCTCTGACCACTGGGATGAGCAACTTCCCTATGGCTATGGCTGATCTCAATGCACATTCCATGAGCACTGGCTGAGTTCCACCAAGTGCCACTTTCCACTGTGACAGGGCAGCACTAAATTTCAATGCAAAGTTCCACAATTACTGTGTTCTCACTCTCTCCCAAGTGCAGATTCTCTTTCCACGCCATGTGGCCACTGCCAGAGTGTGGGGGAAGGGTGATGTTGGCAATTAAGGACTGGCTTTCCTACCCTCTTGAGTGGCTCCTTCATTGATATGAAGATAAAACCAAATATAGTGATCACTCACTTGATTTTTGGTTCTTATAAATGTGATTTTTTTTGTGCCGATAGTTCTTCAATTTGGTGCTTCTGCAAGGAGGATGATCAGTAGAGGTTTCTATTCTTCTACGGTGCGTTACCTCTTTCAATCAGTATTTCTACTTTTAAGAGGTATTGTTGTTTGTTTTTAAATAAAAATCTCTAAAGGCCCACAAGAGAAAGCAGGAAAGATCTAAAATTGACACCCTAACATCACAATTAAAAGAACTAGAGAAGCAAGAGCAAACACATTCAAAAGATAGCAGAAGGCAAGAAATAACTAAGATCAGAGCAGAACTGAAGGAGATAAAGACACAAAAAACCCTTCAAAGAATCAATGAATCCTGGAGCTGGTTTTTTGAAAAGATCAACAAAATTGATAGACCACCAGCAAGACTAATACAGAAGAAAAGAAAGAAGAATCAAATAGACACAATAAAATATGATAATGGAGATATTACCACCACAGAAATACAAACTACCATCAAAGAATACTATAAACATCTCTACTCAAATAAACTAGATATCTAGAAGAAATGGATAAATTCCTGGACACATACACCCTCCCAAGACTAAACCAGGAGGAAGCTGAATCCCTGAATAGACCAATAACAGGCTCTGAAATTGAGGTAATAATTAATAGCCTACAGACCAAAAAAAGTCCAGGACCAGACAGATTCACAGCCGAATTCTACTAGACGTACAAGGAGGAGCTGGTACCATTCCTTCTGAAAATATTCCAATCAATAGAAAAAGAGGGAATCCTCCCTAACTCATCCTATGAGGCCAGCATCATCCTGATACCAAAGCCTGGCAGAGACACAACAAAAAAAGAGAATTTTAGACCAATATCCCTGATGAACATCAATGCAAAATTCCTCGATAAAATACTGGCAAACCGAATCCAGCAGCACATCAAAAAGCTTATCCACCATGATCAAGTGGGCTTCAACCCTGGGATTCAAGGCTGGTTCAACATATGCAAATCAATAAATGTAATCCAGCATATAAACAGAACCAAAGACAAAAACCACATGATTATCTCAACAGATGCAGAAAAGGCCTTTGACAAAATTCAACAACCCTTCATGCTAAGAACTCTCAATAAATTAGGTATTGATGAGATGTATCTCAAAATAATAAAGAGCTATTTATGACAAACCCACAGCCAATATCATACTGAATGGGCAAAAACTGGAAGCATTCCCTTTGAAAACTGGCACAAGACAGGGATGCCCTCTCTCACCACTCCTATTTAACATAGTGTTGGAAGTTCTGGCCAAAGCAATCGGGCAGGAGAAAGAAATAAAGGGTATTCAATTAGGAAAAGAGGAAGTCAAATTGTTCCTGTTTGCAGATGAAATGACTGTATATTTAGAAAACCCCATTGTCTCAGCACAAAATCTCCTTAAGCTGATAAGCAACTTCAGCAAAGTCTCAGGATACAAAATCAATGTGCAAATATCACAAACGTTCTTATGCACCAATAACAGACAGAGAGCCAAATCATGAGTGAACTCCCATTCACAACTGCATCAAAGAGAATAAAATACCTAGGAATCCAACTTACAAGGGATGTGAAGGACCTCTTCAAGGAGAACTACAAACGACTGATCAATGAAATAAAAGAGGACACAAACAAATGGAAGAACATTCCATTCTCACGGATAGGATGAATCAATATTGTGAAAATGGCCATATTGCCCAAGGTAATTTATAGATTCAATGCCATCCCCATCAAACTACCAATGACTTTCTTGGAAAAAACTACTTTAAAGTTCATATGGAACCAAAAATGAGCCCGCATTGCCAAGTCAATGCTAAGCCAAAAGAACAAAGCTGGAGGCGTCGTGCTACCTGACTTCAAACTACACTATAAGGCTACAGTAACCAAAAGAGCATGGTACTGGTACCAAAACAGAGATATAGACCAATGGAACAGAACAGAGCCCTCAGAAATAATACCACACATCTACAACCATCTGATCTTTGACAAACCTGACAAAAACAAGAAATGGGGAAAGATTCCCTATTTAATAAATGGTGCTGGGGAAACTGGCTAGCCATATGTAGAAAGCTGAAACTGGATGCCTTCCTTATACCTTATACAAAAATTAATTCAAGATGGATTAAAGACTTAAATGTTAGACCTAAAACCATAAAAACCCTAGAAGAAAACCTAGGCAATACCATTCAGGACATAGACATGGGCAAGGACTTCATGTCTAAAACATCAAAAGCAATGGCAACAAAAGCCAAAATTGACAAATGGGATCTAATTAAACTAAAGAACTTCTGCACAGCAAAAGAAACTACCATCAGAATGAACAGGCAACCTACAGAATGGGAGAAAAATTTTGCAATCTACTCATCTGACAATGGGCTAATATCCAGAATCTACAAAGAACTTAAACAAATTTACAAGAAAAAAACAAACAATCCCATCAAAAAGTGGGCAAATATGAACAGACACTTCTCAAAAGAAGACATTTATGCAGCCAACGGACACATGAAAAAATGCTCATCATCACTGGCCATCAGAGAAATGCAAATCAAAAACACAATGAGATACCACCTCACACCAGTTAGAATGGCAATCATTAAAAAGTCAGGAAACAACAGGTGCTGGAGAGGATGTGGAGAAATAGGAACACTTTTATACTGTTGGTGGAACTGTAAACAAGTTCAACCATTGTGGAAGACGGTGTAGCGATTCCTCAGGGATCTAGAACTAGAAATACCATTTGACCCAGCCATCCCATTACTGGGTATATACCCAAAGGATTATAAATCATGCTGCTATAAAGACACATGCACATGTATGTTTATTGCGGCACTATTCACAATAGCAAAGACTTGGAACCAACCCAAATGTCCAACAATGATAGACTGGATTAAGAAAATGTGGCACATATACACCATGGAATACTATGCAGCCATAAAAAATGATGAGTTCATGTCCTTTGTAGGCACCTGGATGAAGCTGGAAACCATCATTCTCAGCAAACTATTGCAAGGACGAAAAACCAAACACCGCATGTTCTCACTCATAGGTGGGAATTGAACAATGAGAACACTTGGACACAAAAAGGGAACATCACGTACTGGGGCCTGTCGTGGGGTGGGGGGAAGGGGGAGGGATAGCATTGGGAGATATATCTAATGTAAATGACGAGTTAATGGGTGCAGCACACCAGCATGGCACATGTATACATATGTAACAAACCTGCACATTGTGCACATGTACCCTAGAACTTAAAGTATAATAATAAAAAAAAGACAAAGCACATAATCCTACCAAAAAAAATCTCTACACTTCCTTATAAGTATTTCAGCTGTATTTTGTCTTATATGAAATGACACTCAATGCTTTTTTTAACTTTATATTTGAATTTTTATTTGATTCAAGTATTATTTATGAGAGTATTTTTTGATTCCCAGGAAATTTTGACATTTTTATTACTCATTTCTAACATTATTGGAGTAAGAGTATCTGATCTTCAAAAATTATTTCTTAAAATATAGAGGTCTTCTGTAATGGCTGAGTGAGGGACTTGGCAACTCCTCTTTCCAAAGAGTAATTGTAAAACTGAACAAAATTTCCCAAAATTACCATTTTAAGACTAGAAATTCACTAAAGGCATATAACCAAATGAAAAGTCTTTATTGATGAAATGATAATAAATATAAATAAGAACAGTGGGGAGTTTGTAGCATTTTAGCCTGGTGCTGCTCCTGCTACCAATAGCCCCCCATAACCCCTACCACTTCTACCTACATGGTGCAAAGGTACTACTATGGCATAGCAGACTGAGAGCAGATTGAAGTGACATCAGACAGTAACTTCAATTCACAGGAAGAAAACATGAGTAATAGAAATTATAAATACATACGTTAATTTCAAAGAGTCTATAAGTATATATTCCCTCCTCTTAATATCTTTAAAAGCAATAACTATAACACTCTTTTCTTGGGTTTAAATTACCATATATAGATGTAATATAGAGCAACAGTAGGGCAAAGGAAGGTAGAGGGATTTAAGTTTTACTGGAGCAAAGTTCTATATTTTACTGAAATAAAGGTACTATTAATTTGAAGTAAAATGTGATAAGATACATACTGTAGTACATAGAGCAACCACTGAGAAAATAACAAAAAACACAGTAAAAAGCAAGAAAGAAATCAAATGGTACAGTAGAAAATACCTGTTTAATATAAAAGAATGTGGTAAAGGAGAAATACAGGGAAATACATGTGATATATAAAAACCCAAAGGAAAAATGGTGGATGTAAGTCCAGCTATATAAATAATAATTTTAAATGAGAATGGATTAAATATTCCAATTAAAAGACAAATGTTTTCAGATTAACTTAAAAATAGCAAAACGTAAGTTTCTAACTACAATCTGTCTACAAAAGAAACTTTAAAATTCAGAGATGCGAATCAGCCAAAAGTAAAATAATGCAAAAATACCACAATAAGAGTGACTATAAGAAGCTGGAGTGGGTATTCTAATATTAGACAAAATAGACTTTAAGATAAAATATGTTACTGAAACAAAGACAAAAATTTTACAGTGTTGGAAATGTCACTTCATCAGGTACACACAACAATTCTAAGTATGTATGTACCCAACAAAAATGAGACTAAAATATATGATGTAAAAAGTGGCACAATTGAGGGAAGAATTACACAATTCACCAGTAAGAGTTGTGGACTTTAATGCCACACTCTAAATAATAGACAGAATGACAACACAATAAATCAACAAACATATAGCAAATTATAGGAACTCTATCAACTAACTTTACTTAACTGATGTTTATGGAACAATTCACCCAATAGAATGAAATTTCTTCTCAATCACATGAAACATTCTCCAGGATATATCTCATAACAAGGCTATAAATAAGTCTCAATAAATTTAAAATAATTGAAATCAACAAAGTATGTTCAGTAATCATGGTAAAATTAAATAAGAAATCAACAACAGAAGAAAATTTTGGAAATTCAAATATATCTGGAAATAAATTTATTATTTCTCCATAACCATGGGGACAGGAATAAATCACCAAAGCAATTATAAATTATTTGAGTTGAATGAAAACACAACATATAAAACATTATGAGATGTAGCTAAAGCAGTGCTTAGATGAAAACATAGCTGTAAATGCCTATATCAGAAAATAAGAAATGTCTCAAATCAAAATCCAAACTTCCTCTTGAAAAGTGTGAGGTGGAGTGTGGAAGGAGGGAGGGTAAAGGAATCTCATAGCAAGCAAGATTGAAGGAATAAATATGAGAGAGGAAATCAGTGAAATAAAAAACTAGAAAAATAGTAGAGAAAATTAATAAAATCATTGATTCTTTGAAAATATCAACAAAATGGCAAACCTCTAGGTAAGCTAAGTAAAACAAAAGAAGGCATATATTACGAAAATAAAAAAGAGACCACATTACTAATGACCTTACAGAAATTAAAAATATCAAAAGAAAATATGAGAAATAGTATTATGCCAACAAATTGGAAAATGTAGATGAAATGGATGAATTCCTTAAAAGACACTAATTACCAAAACTAACTTAAGAAGAAATAGAAAACCTAGATAGATCTGTAACAAGTAAAGAAATTGAATTCACAATTTAAAATGTTCCCATAGATAAAATCCAAGGCACAGATGGCTTCACTGGTGAATTTTACTAAACATTTAAGATAGAAATAATACCAATCTTTTACATACTCCTCCAGAAATAGAGAAAGAAACACATCCCAATTAATTCTGTAAGACCACAGTGTTCCGCCATCATTCCAGATGGTGGCTACACAGAAAGTTTCTTAGCACAGCAGTGAGCATCATTCCAAGGTACCTCTCTGGAACCCTACTAAGCAGCTTAACGGCAATTTCAAGAATAAAGTATTGTTCAAGAATCCATAAAGAAGAAATAGATCTAATTATATATATATTAGAAATAGCAAAAAATCATCAGGGACTTTGATTTTGTTGTTGGAATTATTCCCTAATGTGAGCATTAATGAGTTTTATCTACCTTCTTATCCACCATTCAAAATTTTTCTATTACTTTGGTTATTCCAGTCAATTTCTCAGAGGCAAATTGGGAAGACTGTTCTTAGTAATTATTTTGCTAACTGTAAATGCAAAATTTCCTTAGCATTCTTCATTCCTTCCACTCTCTTCACTATCATTCAGTAGAAATTATTAAGGCTAAAGGGAAAACCACTTTGATTCATTTTATACTGCAACTCAAACCATAAACAGTTTAAGTAGAAAACTTTTAGAGTCTTATTTGCTGAACCTCATAACGGTTCTTTATTTATATCTTCAAGCACTGAATTAAGTTTATTATTTTACTGCTGTTTGTTAAAAACATGTTAAGTATTTTACAAGTATAATATTTTTGTCTATTTCTTGCATTCATGATTGCTTTTGTTTTCAACTTTCGGTTCCTAAGGGGCAGGAGACATGCCTTTACAATGATCTAAATAAAAATCATATATACCTAACAGACAATATATCTAGTATAATTACAGGGGGAAAAGCATCTCCTCTTTAAATTTTTTTAAATTCACTCCTATTTTATTTGCAACACTTTTTAAAATTAAACAATCAACCTAAATTGCTACTGCAGATTTTACATAACCAACATCTTTCTATATACTATAAAAATAGATATGAACAGACACTTCTCAAAAGAAGACATTTATGCGGCCAAAATACATATGAAAAAAAGCTCATCATCACTGGTCATTAGAGAAATGCAAATCAAAACCACAATGAGATACCATCTCATGCCAGTTAGAATGGCAATCTTTAAAAAGTCAGGAAGCAACAGATGCTGGTGAGGCTGTGGAGAAATAGGAACACTTTTACACCATTGGTGGGAGTGTAAATTAGTTCAACCATTGTGGAAGACAGTGTGGTGATTCCTCAAGGGTTGAGAACCGGAAATACCATTTGACCCAGCAATCCCATTATGGAGTATAAACCCAAAGGATTAGAAATCATTCTACTATAAAGACAAATGCACAGGTATGTTTATTGCAGCACTGTTCACAATAGCAAAGACTTGGAACCAACCCAAATGTCCATCAATGATAGACTGGATAAAGAAAATGTGGCACATATACAACATGGAATACTATTCAGCCATAAAAAAGGATGAGTTCATGTCCTTTGCAGGCACATGGATGAAGCTGGAAACTATCATTCTCAGGAAACTAACACAAGAGCAGAAGACAAAACACTGCATGTTCTCACTCATATGTTGGAGTTGAACAATGAGAACACAGGACACAGGGAGGGGAACATCACACACCGGGGCCTGTCAGGGGGTGGGAGGGTAGGGAAGGGATAGCATTAGGAGAAATACCTAATGTAGATGATGGGTTGGTGGGTGCAGCAAACCACCATGGCACGTGTATACCTGTATAACAAACCTGCATGTTCTGCACATGTATCCCAGAACTTAAAGTATAATTTTAAAAAAAAAGGAAGAAGAAAAGAAATAAATATCCTGGCTCTTTTGCTTCCTTTAAAAAAACAAACAAACAAAAAAAAAAAACAAAAAAACAAGGCCCTGACTTCATTTCATGGTAATGTGACCTGGATGTATGATTACAAGTATGGGGTAGAGGTCAGTACAGATAAGCATAAAGACCTTTAGCATTTTTCATTTTAAAGACGATCATGTTTATAGCCAAATCACAGCTCATAATTATCCCAGGTCACAAAAAGTCTATTTTCAGCTATTCCTTCTGAGTAAACTGGGGCCAAAATGCCCAGACTGTCTCCAAATATCCTTCAATCCATTACCAGACTTACATACTTACTTTTTGGTGTCCCATGGGCAGGGTCTGACCCAGAGTTCAGCTAGGCATGTCAAGTTGAATGTCTGTTGTCTCAATATGAGAAACAAAAGGAGAAAAACTGCAAGTGGAACTCTTCAGGAGAGTGAAATGGCCTTTGTTTAAACAAAAATCCTCTCTTATGGCTGCTTTCAAGAAAGCAGCCAGCGAAGACTGTATTTTGAAACAAGTGGATTGAGAAACTACATTTTTGGACTCAGAACATGTTGCAAGTTATACTTGTAATGGGAGTATTTTTCATTTTAAAGATGATCATGTTTATACTCAAATCACATTTCATAACTCCCAGGACTACATGGGCTCCAGGATGTAACTGGGTTACATATGAAATTCAATTATCTGTGATATATCTGTTCCTCTCCAAGCACCTTCCCTTCCTCTCCAATACAGCCCCCAGTCCACTTATCATAGAAAATAGGAGAGTGGCTGGGCGTGGTGGCTCATGCCTGTAATATGTCACTTTGGGAGGCCAACACTTGAGGCCAGGAGTTTGAGACCAGACCGAACAACATAACAAGACCCTGTCTCTACAAAAAATAAAGAAATAAAACACAAACACAAAAAATGTATTTATGTGTATATATATATATATACACATATATGTATGTGTGTGTGTATATATATATACATATATGTATGTGTGTGTGTATATATATATATACATGTGTGTGTGTATATATATACACACATACATAAATGTAAAATGTTAGGCTGTAAATGATGAAAATATGATGGCTTTGGGGAAATAAAATGTATAATTTGACTTCAAACTTTTCAGTGGAAAGAAGGAAGGGAGAAAGGAAGGAAGGAAGGAAGGAGGGAGGGAGGGAGGGAAGGAAAAAGCGAGAAGCTAGGAAGGGAAGTAGTGAGGACTGGCCGCTATCCATGCAATTGCATACACCAAAATTTTTAGTGTCATCCATCATATGCTTCTTTTTCTCACCATAACAACCACTACCCATTTGCTCACCAAATTCTCTAATCCTCTGTATTGTACCCATAAATACCTTTATCTGATCCCTACATCTATATTTTATTCCAGGCACTTATGACTCACCTAAACTATTTTAGTAACCTAGGATTGATGGCTTTAGTCTTCCCTCATTAAAACTTTTATTCCACATAACTGTAGAGTAACATCCCATGGCATCTCTTCTGTGCTTAAACACTTGTAATGGCTTGCCACTACTTATAACAAAGGATAACATTTCTTGATATAAATACTGACTATATAAAAATAAAAATATTAATGTCTTATTATAACCCATAGATAAAATTATAGTATATGACAAAATAGCATGAAAGTTGAAAAGGAGATATAATGAAAATAGAGTTCTAAAATTTTTATATGGTCAAGAAGAAGAGTAAAGGTACTAATTAAATGAAGATATATTAAAGTAAATAAGCATATTTTATTTGCTAGGATTACTGATTCTTCAAAATTGGAAATATAGAGTGTATCTTCCAAAACAGTAGAGGGGGAAAACATACAACAATAAAAACTAAATTCCAAAGAAGGCAGGAAATATGAGGGAGAAAATTTACAGAACAGGAGAGAAAAGCAAAAAGCAAAAATAACACAATGTATTTAATACCCCAAACATCAGGAATAACATTTAATGTAAATAGTCCAAATATGATAGTTAATATAAAAATTGTCAGACTGGGTTTAAAAAATCAAACTCTGTTATTTATGAGCTAGATAGACAGATAAAGATAAATATACAGAAATATTATAACCAAATGGATAGAAAATAAATATGCAAAAACTAAATACAAAACAAGCCAGTGTAAATACATCTGATAAAGTAAACTTTAAGCCATAAAGATTACTAGATGAATTGAGAGTCATTTCATAAAGATAAAAGGTTCAATTGACTGATTGACATAATGATTTTTAATTTTTATGCAACTAATAACATAGTTCAAAATATGCAAAACAAAATTTGACCTAACTATAATGAAATAATAATAATACATCTACAATCACAGTGAGAGATGTAAGTTCACTTCTCCCAGTGACTGAGAAAACTAGTAATCCCAAAATTAATAAGGAATAGAATAGTTGAACACCACCTAACCAGTGACCTAATAGAAACACAAAAAATATCTTAGCCAATAACTATAGAGGACACTTTTTTTAAGCACACGTGAAAAGCGTGGGCCATATGCAAATCTCAATGAAATTCAAAGTCAAAGGACTGAAATCATATAGGACAGGATTTCCTACTGCAAGGAAATTAAGCTTGTTTCCCCTGCCCTAAGATATATTCACACCAAATAAGTTATTATCATATCAATGTGAAATGTCCTTCCCTACCTCAATAACTTTACACATCCTACAGTTTGACTAGAATTAAACCCTTTACAACTAATCCCACTCTTCTGGCACCACATCCCTTCCAATATAAAAACATACATACATTCCATACTTGATGAAATTTTTAAATTTTTGAAAAAATTCATGTAATATAAGGTCTATGAAGTCTTTCTTGACAACCTCACCCAATCAGAATTAATTGTATACCCACAAAGTTGGCTGAATATTTGTCTACTGTAATATTTATCATAGTAGATAAAATACTGTGTTTGTTTGTCTGTATAATTGAACTATTATCTTCTTATGATTAGGAATCATAATTTGCGTCTTTTTACATTCTCAACACCTAAAACACCTAAAGCACTTAAGACACAGCAGGCAACTAATATGCTAACATCATGGAACTAGGTTTTCTTTGGCTGCCAAGATATTCTTGTTGTCTATTCTGATTTATATCTCCAATAGTAAATTTTAAAAAATATACTTCAGTTTCTTAATAGTACATGATAGATTATCAATTCAAAATACAAATAAGCTGATGATTCTAAAAATAAGCATGGATAGATGGCAATGTTGCATCTATAAAACACGGTTTGAGCTAATATTTTACACAAAAGTATAACTATGGCTTTTTCAAGAAAAAAAAATCAGTTTGCCTGTATTGCCACAAAAACAGTAGCTAGAAAATATGGACAGATATATTGTTTGAATTGTTTCTAAAAATTTTAAAATTTCTAAATGTTTTGAACACACCAATGTAGACATTAGCTTATTCAATAATTATTTATTAAGATCTGGTATTTTTAAGATGCAGATAATTTAACTCAATACTTTTTATTTCTAAATATGTATTAGATACGTATTTTGTTTGATAAAAAATGTTCTGATTTTTACAACAATTTTATGTCACTTTTATCCAAAATTATGAGTTATATAAAACTAAGAAAAAAACACAAACAATATTATTTTGGTAAAATATTGGGCTCATTTTGTTGCTTCATGAAAAATTTTCCTAGTCCACTTTTGTTTTCCACTATTAAAAGATAACTGGAGTATCAACTGAAAAGCAGTTTCATAATTTAATCCTGGAGAGATTAAACTGAGTTACCACTTCTTCCCCTAAAGAATTCTCATTATTTTTAAAGGTGCTGAATAATATTATTCTGAATAATATTCCATTTATACACACACACACACACACACACACATATTACACAAACATATATAACAATTTATCTGTTTATTCCTTGATGGACATTTGCATTGATTCTGTATCTTGGCTATTGTGAATAATGTTGCAATGAACGTGAGAGTGCAGGTATCTTTACAAGTTGGTGATTTCATTTCCTTTGAATTCGAAAGACTGGGGTTGAATTGTTGCATCATATGGTAGTACTATTTTAAGTTACTTTAGGAACCTCCATATTTTTCCCACAGTAGCTGTACCAGTCTCTATTCACACTCATAGTATCGCCAGTACTTCCACTTTACTAAAAATACTGCTTCTCAAATTATTAATTATCCCATCAAATGAGATAATGAAATCCACATACTACTCAGGAATTGTTAAAGCTTCAATTTTAGCATATTCTCCTCCTAATAGTGTTTACCTACTTTCCCAAAGCAGAGTTAATCACACCACACCCAGTCCACTTCAACCAAGGAAATACTACATTGTAATGTGACTTTCTGACTTTGCAAATTAGGTGGCCAAACCATTCTTCGAGTAGGTAGCCAAAGCCTATGTAAAGGTAACAGATATAAGGCTGACTGTTAAAGTAGCTTAAATTTCAGTGTCATATATTATATACAATTTCACATGAATTTTGTATTTTTAAAGGGTACTTATTCCTGGAATGGCCACAAATGCTTGCTTAAAAGAGTCAGGGGTATATTCATCTGAACCCATAAAGAAGCAGACAGAGGCGATCATGCTGTTACATCTTGAATCATTAGGGCATGCGTCAAGGCCATGCCACTTATTTTTGCAGCTCCTGAAACTTGCTGATGGATGTACTATTCTTGCCTTAAGTGCAGGAAGACCCACAGATTATTGGAATGAGCCCACCCATCTTTTTATGACTCCAGTCTTCCAGTAAGTCTAATGAGGACAAGAAGATAGCAATAAAGCTGTCTTGTATGTGTATCTATGTAGAAGCCCATTCATTTTGAAAGAAAGCAAACACACAAAATATTCTGCTCCTAGTACCACTTCTGAAAAATGGAAAACTGCTTTCTAATAAGACTAATATAAACATCTATTTTTTATTCTGAGTTTCAAATGAGTCAAAATATTTTGCAAAGTATTAGTGCAATTAAAATTATTTGAAGTGAACTTCAAATAAAATAAAGAAACAATTCAGTCCAATTCTGACAACTTCAGCAGAGTCATTATTCAACTGGGTAAGATGAACGGGAGACACTATTTTATGGATAATATTTAATTATGAAAATTGTTTACCCAGTCATAAAATGTTATTGATTCTTTAATAGTATTTTAATAAAGATAGTTTTTGGTTGACAAATAGTAGAAGAAAGCACATCTGTGTTCCAAGATAGCATTGAAAGAAGTAAGGTAAATTTTGAAGATGCAAAATTTAAATAGTATTGCCTTGAATCTGTACTTTGTCGTAACAGATGGTCAACAATCCCTACCATATGCAAAGCTAGACAATATTTTAAATCATTGTATATATCCAGGAAATTCACTGTATGAAACATTTTTCACGCAAATGTTGGCATACATTTATTATTTAAAATATAATTTTCTTTAAGAAACTTGTGCTACTGGTATCTTCAATATACCTAACTTTTAAGGTAGGAATTAACCTAATCTTCATTATACATAAGTAATATAATCATTGTTGAACACACTCAGCATTCAGAATTACATAATTTACTATAACAAATTATAATAATCTTTTATATATTATATATTACAACTTTTTATCTCATAATTCCAAAATGAAGTCTCAAAACCCAGGTAGCTAAGGTAACTACTCTTGGCATATTAGATGTATTACTAAAAAGTTGCATATAATGCTTTCACATTAACAAATTATATTAAGTACATTATAAATGTTTTATACTTAAATCTTTAAGGTGAGTAATTTTAAATGAGACTAATCATTTCCTGATTCATATAAGTTGTGATAATGCTATTTTGAGTATTATAATAATTTATATTCCTTTAAGAACTAGTGAAGCATTAACGATGTACATTTAAAATGCATAAATAGATGTTGGTGTTTAAAGTTTTGACCTCAGAATCAACTATGATCCATTTATTCTTTACCTATTTGGGCACCTTTCAGTTAGTAGCTCTTGTTTTTTCTCTTTTCTCCTTAACAAAGTGCCCTTAAATTTGAAAGACAAATTAGCTAACTTCCTAGTCCTGACCTTTGGTCTAATTTCCTAGATTATAATCAGTGTCCCTTCATTTGACAAGGAGTCTTATTTGCAACCATATTTGGCATAATCCCAGGATATCCACATATCAAATACTCCCCAAGTAATCAACAATGCAGATTTCTAAGTTAGTTATCATATAGAAACCTAATCTAGAACAAATTTCTGTAGTCCAGTTTAACATGAAACATTTCTTTATTTTCAATAGATTTTATATTTCAAGGAAACTAGATTAATATTTTTCTATCAACTTAAAAATTAGAAAAAAAATGTTTTTTTTTTCTCGCTTTCTTGGACACATCTTCAAGCAATCCTTAAATTCAGAGGACTGTAACAGTCTGTAAAAAAAAAAAAAAAAAAAGCAGCAAAAAAAACCATTTACCAAATTATCTCCATTGTATCTTCTGTAGCAGTCAGGGTTAACAAACTTTTTCTATATAAAGCTAATTAGTAAATATGTAGGCGCTGGAGTGTACATATGTTCTATTGCATATTTTTCTTTTTTTTCTAACAATCCTTTTAAGTTATAAAAACCATTATTCCTTCTGCACAGGCTATATCAGATTTTTCCTGCGGACTATAGTTTCCCAACCTTATATCTATATTTTATCCTAATTCATACATGTATGTGTACACACACACACACACACACATTTTTCTCCCATATGGCCTTAGAAATTTTTGAGGAAAAATGAAAAATAAATGCACATACACACATATACATATACAATTTTAAATTAAATTTAAAATATTTTTACCTACAGAAATATTATAGAGACCCCAGATCAATCTTGCTTATTATGATAATATGATCTATGCATACAAAAATAGATTAATGTACATTTAGTAGAGGTATACAACACCTGAAAATCCTTCCATTTTGGGTACCTCTACTAATGTTGTTATCACTAGCGTATGAATGACTTAAGAAAACAAATTCCATTTTCCATTTTCCTAAGAGCTAAGGCCACAGTCATATGACTTAGCTTAACCAATTCGGTGCTTTTTCCCTGGATTTTTACTTGTCAGGGACAATCCAAATGCACAAGGACAACAAAAGGGTATTCATGACAGCTGCAACAGAATAATGGGGAGACAAGTAGCCAATAGTAACAGTAAACTAGGAATGCTCTCTGGTGGAGTTGGCTCTGCCATGCTTCTCACTGCTGTTCCTTTTCCAAAGCCAGTTACTCTGTCTTCCTGAATTTTTCGTGAGCTTCCTGAAAAACCTCTAACAAATTCTATTATTGTCTAAGTCATTTACAGTTAGCTTCCGCTGTTTGCAAGTAAGAACTCTAGATACTACACAATCTAATCTTCTAAATTTTATGTGAGAAGGATTTAAAAAATTACTTGCTTTAATCAATTATGAAAGAAATAACTCATTAACTACTCATCAACAAAATAATCAGAAAAACATCACAAGTATACTAGGCCTACAATCCAAATTTGAAAAGAATTTTGTAAAATATTCCACCACTAAAATATAATGAATTACTAATTTTTTTCTTAATTATATTTGTATTAAGTATTTAAATGTAGTATTTTCTCTTCTTTTTATCTAGTTTTAAAAATAAATCCTCAATTTTCTCTATCATATCTATGAAGTAATTATATTTACCTCACAGAACTGCTGTGAGGATCAAATGAGTTAATAAAGACAAGTGTACATTTAAAATTTCCAGCAAAGTATACAGTTATATGCCATATAATGATGTTCCAGTCAATGACAAACTGCATATACACTGGTGGTCCCCATGAAATTATACTACCGTACTTTTACTCTCTTTTCTATATTTAGATACACAAATATTTATCATTATCTTACAATTGCCTATAAAATTTAGTATAGTAATATGCTGTACAGATTTGTGGCCTAGGCTACAAATACGCTATACCACCTAAGTTTGTCTAAGTGTAGTAGGCTATATAACCTAAGTTTGTCAAAGTACTCTCTATGGGTTCACACAATGACAAAATCACCTAACAACATGTTTCTCAGAATGCATCCTTGTCATTAAGCAATGCATGACTGTATTTCAGCAAAAATAATCTATTAGGAATAAAATAATTATGTTATTTATAATGTAAAATCATATACAATGTTAGTGTACCATTATATATGTTCCATGATATGCCACTATATATGTGAAAATAGTAATTCTATTAAAATATAAACTCCACAAAGGCAGTGAATTTAAATGTTTTGTCTGCTGTTGTGTCTTCAGGACCCAGAAAGGGCCTAACTTATGGTAGGCACTCAATAAATACTTGTAGAATGAACTGATCGATAAAAATTAATAATTATATCATGCCTATAAGGCAGGTAGTGCACATTTGTATATAATTTCATAACTTTGCTATGAAAATTTTATTAAGAAATAATATTTCCCAAGATCTAGCAAGTGCTAGCAGAATAATACAAATTATTTTATTTTATTTTATTTGGTTATGATCCATGAAATATGGGCCTGAGTCCTGTGTCTATAACTTACAAGTTTTGAAACCTCAGGCAAGTTATTTGGGATTGTTTATAGGATCAAATGAGGTAAATTACATAAAATGTCTGGCACACAGTGCCAAGCCAGAACTTGAATAAATTATCTGATGATTCTAATCCACTGTCAACTTTGAATAACACCAAAAAATTCACAGTAAGTAGGATAGTTGATTAGACCTAAATAGTTAATATTGTTTTATAATAAATAAAATAGTCTTTATAAGAGTTCCCTATGATTGGTCAGCCAAGGCGGCTCATACTTGTAATCCCAGCACTTTAGGAGGACAAGGCAGGCAGATTGCTTGAGCCCAGGAGTTGGAGACCAGCCTGGGCAACATTGCGAAACTCCATCTCTATAAAAAATACAAAAATGAGCCAGGCATGGCAACGCGTGCCTGTGGTCCCAGCCACTCAGGAGGCTGAGGTAGAAGAATCGCTTGAGCCCAGGAAGGTGGAGGTTGCAGTGAGCTTAGATAACACCACTGCAGTCCATCCTGGACTACAGGTAAGACTCTGCATCAAAAGAAAAGAATTGCCTACGAACAAGAAAAATTAAAAAGCAAATTTAATTTGGTACACTTAATCTCTAAAATTTTCTAGGCAACAAGAACATTCTAAAAAAACTCCATATGAAATAAATAAATTTTTCTCTTTTTATCTACTCTTTTGCTTTGGTCAACCATGAAAGATTCTAACTCATGATAAATAAAAACATTTTAAGGTATTTTTCAAACCCAATTAATTTGATGTTTGATAACATAGGTTGCTACCCTGACAATCATAGTAGAGAATAATGATTTTATGTCAAAATGCTAATCATTTCAGAAGAGCTTTCCAATATCAACCCAATGTCCATAAAATAAAGTGAAAGTGTCAGAAATATTAAAAATTTAATTTAAAAGGCATGTATTATTGATAAAAACATGTTTTGGATACAGTTTTAACTGTTAGTCTGAGGGGGATTTCCTTATATGTGACTTGAGGCCTTTCTCTTGCTGTCTCTATCATTCTCTCTGCTTTTGTCTTTTGTCAGTTTAACTATAACATGCCATTGAGACGACCTTTTGGGGTTGAATCTTTTTGAGGACTTTTAAGCTTTCTGTATGTGGGTCTATATGTTTTGCAAGACTTAAGATGTTTTCAGCTATTATTTCATTAAATAGGTTTTCTTCATCTTTGTCCATCTCTTCTCCTTCTGGGTCTTTCAAAATGTGAGAATTTGGTCACTTTAAATTTCTCATTCAACAAGTCATGAATTGCTTTTCTGATATCTTTGTATTGTTTAACTGTGTTCCTTTATATCTCATTGAGTTCCTTTAAAATCATTAAAAAAATTTTTCAGCCATTTCAAATATATTTTTTCCTTTGGAATCTGTTTATAGAGATTTATTGTTTCTTTGGAGGCATTATGTTTCCTGCTTTTTCATGTTTCTTGTGTCCTTACATTGACATCTGTACATCTGGTGTTAACAGTTGCTTTTTCCAAATTTTGTAGGGAAGTACTTTTTGTTATAGATGCATCTACAGTGTTGGTTGGATAGGATGCTTTGACTTTGAATCTGGTGGGTGTAGTGGAGTAGTCTCAGTATAATTTATTTGACCATAATTAGCATCAGAAGTATCTGTGAGTTCTTCAGTGCCTGAGGCTGCAGTTGCTGGTAGAGGCTGTAGCAAGACTTTGCTGGTGACAGAGACACCAGTCAGGCCAGTCCTCAGTCACCAGTTGTGGCAGTGGTGGGCTAGACATGCTGGTCCTTAGGCCTCCACATGGCATACATGGGTGGCAGTAGTTATGGTTGTGGTTAGGCCAGTCCTTGGGCCTCAAGGATGTTGTAATTATAAAAGAAACAGATAAAGAGATGCATAGGGTGTGTTGTGGGGGAAGAAGCATGGAGCTTTCCTTGAGGAACCTTCACTTGTTCAGTTATTCAGTGAAAATTCTGTTTTTAAAGTACTCGTGAGATAACGTTAGATCCATCTAGATAATCTCTCCTAAGGTCAACTGATTAGTAAGTCATTTTAATTACATCTGCATAATATCATTTGTCCTGCAACATAACATGACCATGCGAGTAACACCAGGGAACAAAAGCCATGTGGGTCACCTAGGAATTCTGTCTACCACATGTGAGAAGAGATTAAATAAGATCAAATCTTTGTTACCTTGAAACCATGCCAAGTGAGGACACAATTGGCTTATAATAGGCACACATTTTAGTCAACATGGTTCCAGGCAAAAGGGAGGAATGCCCATGGTGTTATTTTCCTCTTTTAGTCGGTTAATATAAGTGATTTTCTAATGTTAAATTAACCTTGTATTCCTGGAATAAATTATATGGTTATAAGGTATTATTTTTTCTATATCATTGGATCTAATTTTCTAATATTGTATTCATGATTTTTACATCTGTATTCATGACACTGACCTGAAATTTTCTTTCTTGTAACGTCTTTGTAAGATTTTGATATTAAGGTTTTGTTGATCTCTCAAAATAATATGTAAAGTGTTTTCTTTTACTCTCTGGGAAATTTACGTAAGATGGCATTATATTTTCCTTACATGTATAGAATCATGCATCAGTAAATTCATCCAGGCTCAATGTCTCTTTGTGAAAAGCACTTCAAGAATGTGTTCAATTTTTTAATGTATGTACAACTATTTAGTATTTTTATTTCTTCCTTTGTCAGCTTGAAAATTGTGTTTCTTCACAGAATTTTTTCATATCACATAAAAAATTGTAATTTTTGATATAAAGTTGTTCTTATTCTCTTTCATATCTGTAGACTTACAGCAATGTGCCTTTTTAAATTCTTTACGTTGGTAATTACTCTTTGCTTTATCAGTCTTGCTGGAGTACTACCAATTTCTCTCCACAAATAATGAATTCTTAAATATATTAATTTTTTCATGTGCATTTTCTCATGTTTATTGTATATTTGTATTCCATTTCATTCATTTCTGATACTACTTTTCTTATTCCCCTTTACTCTGTTTGGGTATAACTTCTGCTATTTTTCTATCTTCATGAGACAGATGCTTAGATTCTTGATATTCTAGCCTCTCTCTTTTGTTCATACATGCATTTGTAGCTGCTAGGCAATAGTTATTATTTTGTCTTTTGCTTTCAAATATTCTGTGGCAAAAACTGCCACTCAATTCCAATTCTCTTTTTAATCCTTAAAACAGTAGCCAAATTTCATACAGGTGACAAAGTGATCAGATAAAAGACCCTATTTCTTAGCTGCCAGTGTACCCATACAACTAAATTCTGGCCAAGGAAATGTAGGAAAGGGGAATTCTGGCTAACGAAATGTAGGAAAAGAGAAATGCAGTATATCCGGTAAGGGTGATTAAAATTGCTGTTATAATCAGGAGATGTGCCCCTTTCTGCCATTCAGTATTGCCTGTCTTCCAGCATAAAATCAGATGTAAAGATTGGAACTCTGGCAGCCATTTTGACCATAAATGACCTTGAAGATAAAACACACAAATTAGAAAGGTAGATTGAAAAGTTAGAGGAAGGTTGGATCCTTGATTTTGTGCAGTATCACAGGCCTGGACTTCTTGAACCACAGACTCTTCTCACATAAAAAACAAAACTTCTGCCTAGTTTAAGCCAAGATATTGGGGATCCCTCTTACATAGAACTGAATTGAATAAGTAAAACATACAAATATATTATTTCTTCTTTTTTTAATTATCAAATTTACTAAAGCTTCAGGAAATTGTAATATATAGTGATGATTATGGGCCTCCTTATCTTGCTCCCCATTGGATAAGATAACGTACTATTTTGCTATTATTTTCCAATATGTATATTAATGTATTTTAATCATATTTACTGGAAAATGCAGTCTAAGTATCTTAGACTTTTCTCGCTTCTGCTAAAACCTAGTTTATTATAGCCCTAGCATTTAGATGGTTCCTACATTAACATTACCTGCAAAAAGAAATTTGCAACCATACAATCAGACAATCAGAGTTAAACATTTTTCCTGGAAAATAAGCTGAAATTTGTCTTTCTAAAACTTTCACTCACTATACCTGATTCTTTTATCTATTTTACTTACAGAAAATATTCAACAATTTGAGGTCAACTATTTGAATTGCCTTAAATTTACTCTTCTGATACTTATATATCCAAGTTCCCCTAATCATACCTCTCATGATATGACTACAGGATATTTCATTTCTCTCCACCTTATATGTTTTAAGAAATAAATATTTATTTAATAAATATCACCTAAAATGTGAAAGTCACAGAAATTTAGTTTGCCAGAAATAGTTATTGAATGATGCTTTCTTTTTTTTTTTTTTTTTTTTTTTTTTAGATGGAGTCTTGCTCTGTCACCAGGCTGGAGTGCAGTGGCGCGATCTCGGCTCACTACAACCTCCGCCTCCTGGGTTCAAGCAATTCTCCTGCCTCAGCCTCCTGAGTAGCTGGGACAACAGGTATGCACCACCATGCTCAGCTAATTTTTGTATTTTTAGTAGAGACGGGGTTTCACCATGTTGGCCAGAATGCTCTCGATCTCTTGACCTCGTGATCTGCCCACCTCAGCCTGAATGATGCTTTTAACATGTAAACACTACTTTTTAAAGGCACTGTGGGATAATAGTTATGGCAGTGACATAGTTTTCTAATTTCTCCAGATTCCTTCATAGAAACAAACATAACAACTAGAAGGCAAATTTTTTTAAATATCTACAACAGTACTATGTGACAAGGTATCCTCGGGAAATCTAAAATGTGAATGAATGGGGAAAAATCATAGACAATTGTAAGCCCACTGCTGTGTTAGCAATTATTCAGGAGGAAACAGACAAAAGTAATGAGGCATTTGATGGATAGAAACAAAACAAATAGAACAGAAGCTAAATCCGGGGTGGGGGGGATGGGCATTAGTGTGTGAATACAATAAATAAAAAGTCTATGGTAAGATCTAAAGGATCTGAAGCATTCCGGGACTCTAAACCCCCAAAACTAACCAGCCAAAACTCTCTTACAGGTCAAAGCCCAAAGTGAGGAGAATTTCCTGGGAAAATAATAGTAATTGAGTGGCAGAGAAAAACAGTGAAAAGAGAGAGCAAAATATCCACATTAACAGGGAGGTAATAGAAACCACAGTCAGAGACAGCAGAAAGAGAACCACGATACTGTGGATGCTACACAAACACAATAGGAGTAGTTTTAAATACTAAAATAAGAAAAGCTTTTTCTTAAAGTTCAGAAAAACTAATTTTATAGAAACAGCAATGCAGAAAAATCACTATCTCGTTCTTTACAGAATTATAATAAGAAGAAAGTAAAGAGCATAACAATATCATTGTAGACAATGGAAGCAGGCCAGAAAGTGAACCTTATAAAAAATAAAAATAAAATTACACCTATTATTTCAAAATGAACAAAAAGATAGCAAGAAAATTATATAAGACATGTAAGAGAAAATTTAGAAATGCAGTGATAGAAATGAGAAAAAAATCAGTATTTAAAAACTAATTTTATATATAAAGACTAAACCAGAAGGATTATAATTATAAATGAAAACAACAAAAAATTTCCTAAGTGAAATAGACTAAAATAAGGAATATTTTTAAAATTAAAAAGAAAATCAGTAGAAAAAGAACTACCATCACTATGATAAATGAATATGAGTAACTATTCAACAAACTATTTCAACAATATATCTCCAGTCTAATCATTAAAAAAATCCTGCAACAAATCTTGAATTGTATTAAATACATTGTTGATAGTAGTGTGTAGTAGTGACTATGAAACTATTTTGTGTATATTGTAGGATTAAGCTAATGAGTAAAATTAATAATGTTGGCAACCAAAATTCAAAGGGAAATATAATGTTGAATGAAAGCAGTGAATAACCCTCTGTGTTGGATTAACATTTGGGGTGTTAACATGAAATTATGATGGAAAGAATAATCCATATTCTGTCTGCTAAAATGAGCTAGGAATAATGACACCCCAATAGCAATGAATACATCTAGTTTCTAGATCTTACTTTCCAAATACCATTCCTTACTGAAAGGACTAGAGCTGTTTGGAAAAGCTGACTTCAGGGGTGTTGTTAGAAAAGTAAAAGGAGCATGGAATTTGGAATGTGTTAATACCGGAACCTGATATTTATTTACATGCGGTTTCATCTCTTCATAACTGACCACAAATGACCAACACAAAATGGCTTTCTAATATTGATTCATATATTAGCCTCCCCACCAAGTTTAAACTCTTAATGTTTCATCTGTAAAACAGAAAATACAGAAAGACTCAAAAGCTCTGTTTTATTAAATAATATAATGGATTAATGTACCTAACATGGTGCTTTACATATATTGCACATTCAATAAATTTTGTTTCCTATATTTTTTCCATTCTTTTTCCTTTTTTACAACCCATCAAGACAACCAATAATCCTCCCCATGATCTCAGTATAGCTGCCTTTACGTAGGTTTAGGAGGCTATCAATCTAATTACAACATTTCATTCTAAGAATAAAAGTATACTTTCCTTATATTGTATCACCCGTACTAGAAATACTACCACTCTAAAAGATAATAGCATTAATCATAATAATTTTATAAATTTTGGCCATATATATTTCAAGTACTTAAAGTTAAAAATTTCAAAGTACAAAATATTTGGGTGTGAGGAGACATTTCTCATGCCTAGAAATAGAGACACAAGAAGACTAATCACTCGGACCCTAGGTTGTGGGAATCTATAGTTGCCTCTCAGGGGAGCTCTTCATATTTCCTAATTCTTACTTTCACCTTTCCATGCATGAATCCAGATCTGATTTCAGCTCCCACTGTCTCTCCATTTGTTGATGTATTAATCAATTCAGAAAGTATTTTTGAGCACCTAACATGTGTCAGGCATTCTGTTACATATTAAAGATACAGAGTGGAAAACAGAGATACAGTCTCATAGAGTTTATAGTAAATCTGGAGATATAGGTAACTATAGAGACGACTATAATACGGTATGGTAAGAGCTTGTGATAATAAAAGTATGTGAAACACATCAAAGAGGCAATATCCCAAACATTTGTCCTAAACAAATAGAAAGCCACTGGAGGACTTTAACTTGGTGAATAAAATGATTAAATTTGTATTTTTGAAAGATTACTGTCTGCATGCTGGAAGGGAGCAAGAAATCCAAGGAAAATTTCCCATGGGGCCAAATAACACAGAGAGCACTAAATATAACAACAACAATGATAATTAAATTTTTAAGGCTGGGCGCGGTAGTTCACGCTTGTAATCCCAGCACTTTGGGGGGCCGAGGTGTGCGGATCACGAGGTCAGGAGATTGAGACCATCCTGGCTAACACGGTGGAACCCCGTCTCTACTAAAAATATAAAAAATTAGCCGGGCGTGGCGGCGGGTGCCTGTAGTCCCAGCTACTGGGGAGGCTGAGGCAGGAGAATGGCGTGAACCCGGAAGTCAGAGGTTGCAGCGAGCCGAGATCGCGCCACTGCACTGCAGCCTGGGCGACAGAGCGAGACTCCTTCTCAAAAAAAAAAAAAAAAAAAAAAAAAAAAAAAAAAAAAAATGTAATATCTACTTTTGTCAGGTGCTAAGAGCATTATATTGATCATCTCAATTCCCACAAATAGAAATAAGTACTTTTTTTATCCCCTGTTCTTTACAATTTTACAGATAAAGAAATTCAAGCCCAGCATAGATAAGTAATGTAACTAATGGAACAGAGCTTTAAAGAGAGAGAAAATACAAATCATCTTGTCTTGAACCCTGCCATATATTATTACTGAAATCTCTTCCTGCAAAACTCTCTATTCATACATGCTTAGTTTTTAAAGATTGTTCCCATGAACAAAGTTTTTATCTCATGTTACATGAGCGTCAGTGAGAACCTTCATTCTACCAGAGAAAAAAATCCCTGGGAAATAACCTAAAAACAAGACCCTTTAATTAGATCTGTATTTAATATAAAAAGCACATTAAATTCCAATGCAAAATAAAGACAGAATTAATATTTTAAATAAGTATGCACTTTTCAGCAACTGCCTGATTGATTCTTTTGCACCTCCTTTACTCAGGTAATTTGACTTGTCTCCAATGTGAGATTATGTTCTCTCATATTTTGACCTCAGTGTGGAAAATTATGTGGAACCACTTCCTCAGAAGTCGGAGGCACTGTATTTATGGTCAGTTTCACTACTTATTCCTCATACTTGTTTCTCTTTATCAGGACTATTGCCACCTATGATTTAGCATATATTGGCTTGTGCTGGAAGGCATTACATCTCATTGTGTCTATCTTACCACAGAATGTTGAATCTCATTTCAGTGAAACTTCCTAATCTTGCTTTATCAACAAATGTCTGTTTTCTTATTCCAGATCTACGTCAATCCTATCTATATTTCAGGGCCAAATTTCATTTCTATCTTCTGAACTTTACCAATTAGAATAAGCTATATGAATATTTTCATTTAGTTTTTCATATGTTTGACATTTGGTATGACCAATACTATAAATTGATGACAGAGTATCCTATCATATCTCTGCAAGTACAATGTTGAGAAATTCTAGCAAAAAGGTTTCCATTTATTTGCAAAGCTTAGCTACTGCAAAGGAATGCAAGGAACAAGAAAAGAGGAAA
Source organism: Homo sapiens (assembly GCF_000001405.40). Classification (NCBI taxonomy): domain Eukaryota; kingdom Metazoa; phylum Chordata; class Mammalia; order Primates; family Hominidae; genus Homo; species Homo sapiens. The sequence continues at coordinate 74,155,352 of NC_000001.11, forward strand.
AGACAACTAAATAAAGGACAATATAGATTGACGTGGTAGCAGATGTGACAGCAAAATTGTATTCGCATCTAAATAAAATATAAAATCTTCCATGTATGTTCCATGTTTTATATTCTATTGTATCCCATTATATAATCCATGGCTTACATTTGTATTTATATGGTAAGTTGAAAAGAAAAAATAAAATATCAAATGTTGATTATGTTAAATATTATATTACTATAGAGTCTGTGGTATTTTTCTTAAAGTTAGGTTAAACAGACTATACCATTTTAATGATAGAGAATACAAAAATGCAAATTATTGGAGAATTGACTTCTTATCATTTATTTCTTCACCTTCTTATTTCAATATTCAAATGGTAAAGAAAACAAAACATACCTCAAATTTTTTCTAACTAAGAAACCACGTATCCATCTTTGAACAATCAAAACTGGTGAATTATGAGCCAGAATTGCATTAATTTTTGAAGTAATATGTTTAATATTATTAATTTCCTCTTCATAGGTTGTTCCCTGTATAAAGAAAATATAATTAATAATTTTTATCTTTCATGAAAGTATTTTCAAAAGATATTTTAAATTTGGTAATCTATTGGTTTAAATAAACTAACAAAATGTTCACAAGGTCTTACAGGCATTATAGTTAAATTATGATATGGTTGGATGTTTGTGCCCTCCAAATCTTATGTTGAAATGCAATCCCCAATGTTAGAGATAGGGGCTTGTGGGAGGTATTGGATCATGGGGGCTGTTCCCTCCTGAATGGCTTAGTGTCATCCCTTTGATGATGAGTGAACTTCTTGCTCATATAGTTCACATGAGATCTGGTTGTGGGACCACCCCTTCTGTCTCCTGCTCCCTCTCTCACCATGTGACTTGCCTGCCTCCCATTCACCTTCCACCATGATTGTAGGTTTCCTGAGGCCCTTACCAGAAACAGATGCCAGCACCATACTTCCTATATACCCTATAGAAACATGAGCCAAAATAAACCTCTTTTCTTTATAAATTACCCAGCCTCAGGTATTTCTTTATAGCAATGAAACTGAGTAATAAAAATAATAAATACATTTTTATTATTAGAGTAAAAGAACAATAATTAGTAGCATCAAGTAATTTCAATTCTCTACACAAAACATAAGATTCTTGATGATAACTTTTTCCATTAAAGATTATTTTCCCAATCTGATAATATATGTATAAAATTTTAACCATAATCATTCTGCTCTCTAAATGGTAGTGGCACAAACAGGTGTCCAATGAAACTGCAAATACTCTGTCAGCCCCCATAAATAAAATTGATATACTTTGATTCATAAAATAATGTATAGTAGTTAAAAATTTTGTTGTAGCTTAACTAGAATGTTGGACACTTTTATTGGAACACAGCAAATTATCTTGGAAAAGATCCTGTATTGGCTTTGAGAAAGATCTCCTTTCCTGAAAATTTTTAGATTTGAGATCGTAGGCTCAGTATATTTCATTGACAACTTGACTGGTTAGAAATAAGGTCACTGTTTATGTTTTGAATGTAAGATAATGCATTAAAAATACTGACAATTGCATTGTTCATGAAGCACCTCTTCTGAAAATTATCAACCCTATTACACTTAAAACATACACCTTTTCTGCATATACACTCAATAAAAAAGTTTACAGGAAACAAAAAAAAAATCACAACACCTTGCAGATTAGTGCCGCTTCCGATTTATACTTTCAAACACTCATTGCTAATTATAAACTTATTTCCTTGGCTCTGTCTTTATTCTATTCCCAACATTAGCTACTGAAAACCTTTGACACTATTCGATACTCTTCCAGTCCATTCCCTGGAGCTTCCTAAACACTCTGCTTCTTTTTTCACAGAGAAACTAGAGCCATCAAGTCTGAACTCCATCAATTAACTCCCCTCCATTCTCTGTAAATTTAACTATATTCCTATCTATACTGAGTAGAAGTGCCTTCTACTCAAACTTAAAACAAGAAGTAACTCTTTTTTTGTCTAAGATTGGCACTCTATTATGAGTCTCATATCTGTTTTCTAAGGCTCTCCCTCTGCTAGCACTATCTGTTCATATATAAAGATGATATAACTTTACCTATCCTTAAATCCTAACTCTCAATCCTTTATATCTAACTTTCATTAAGAGCCCAAAATCTAGAAACAGAATTCCATGTTTGTTTCTCCCACTTTCTTTTTTTTTGTTTTGTTTTTCTATCTCTCATTCCACTGGCTTCTATCCCTATCATCCAAGGGCACTTTTTTAGAGTTAACATTGGACATTCCCTCCTTGAAACACTTGCCTTAGATTCTGTACTACACTTCTTTCAGTTTTCCTCTAAATCTTGTTTACTTCTGCACTTTAAAAAAAACTATATATACCATGTTTATCACTTCATTGTTACATTGAAAGAATTTTCTCCATGTTGCTTTTTAATCTCTACACATCCTCCAAATGACCACTTCTAAGTTCATAGCTTGAACACTCACTTTTGTGCTACAGACTCTCAGATTTCTATGTTTAGGCCTGACCTACGTAACAATATAGTCAAACTGATATCTAACTAAATACAACTTTCCCAAATATGAATTTTCTTTCCCAACCTGCTTTCTCATATACACTACCTTAGTAAATGGTACCAGTGCCCACAGTTGCCTAAACCAGAAACCCTGGAACCATCCTAGGTTCTCTCTTTTTTTATGCTTCCTGGCATGCAAATGTTACTAGATGCAGTACATTCAACATCCCAAATATCAGTCTTACCTCTCTTTTTCTTCTATTTTCTGCCATTGCTTTTCCTATGTCTTTAACACCACTTCCGTAACTTACTAAAATTCTCCTAACTTATATCTTCATTAATTCCTGTTCCCCCACTTTCTCCAAACCATAAAATGCACTATTGCTAGATTGAGCATTCCAAAATGTAAATCTTATCATATGACATTCTAGATTAATATATTTATTGGCTTGCCAATGAAAGACAAATTACAAATGTCTTGGTTTGCCACACAAAGTCCTTCTTGATCTAGTCCCATCCTAGCTCCTTAATCTCATCTCAATTTATCCTACATAGAATTACCTGATAATCAAACTTAAATGCTTTTTGCCATCTGTATTTCTTGAACTGCCTTTTTCAATGATTTGTCTCACAATTTTAGTCTTTGGGAGACTCAGTTCCTTCCCCCAAGAAGACTTTCTTGATGTTGATCTGCATTCAGTGTCTTTATACAATATTATCCTGTGTCGTGTGAAATAATTCATTTGTCACTCTCGACAATGTTGAGTTTTACCTGACCCCTGTGTTCTTGGAAAACAGTGAAAGTTAAGAAATCTCCTCAGTCCTTTGTTTCAGGAAATGGCTTACTGAAAAGAAGCACCCTGCTCTTTATGACTGACTTAAATAATACTCTTGGATGCCTTTCTTGTTTGTTTATAACAAGACCTGACACAGACCTTACAAATTCCCATTCTTCCCTTCTTTAACAATTAGCTGAAAGGTTTTGTCCCCACCAATCAATTGGAATAAAATATTTGTTAGCCCAACTTTAGTTGAGATTATTTCCTTCCCCTGGGCCCCTGAACTTTGGCCCACCATCAGCCCCAGCCAGCACACAGTCTCCCTTTAACAGCCCCTCTTAAGAATAGGTTTTTCTCAGGGTAAAACAGTCTGTGCTCTAAGGTCAGACCATACCACTTTTCTTCATTCCACTTCCCCACATTCATTTATTTATAGTCTTGTTTATTCCTCCTTATAAATGAGAAATTCTTTTGCCTAACCATTATGACTTTTGCAGATCTTATGGTCAGAACATTCTCCACATTGTAATAATCCCACTCTGCCTATTGCAATAGTTCCTTTCCCTCACGTGCAATCAGCTTTTTGAATAAGGTCTCTATTTATTAATCCTGATGTTTTTAGCTGACAAATTATTCTTTAATGCAATCATTGGTGTATCTTCTCCATATAAGCTCACCAAATTTAACAACTCTTCATCCTACATATCTGGACTAACTGAGATATCTGGTCTATAACTGGCATTTGATTATCAATTGACTGTTAAAATACTAAGTAATCATTATCGTTGGCCTCCAAGCGTGACTTAACAATGTCAATCAATTTATTCTTGTAACTCAATTATTTTGCATGGCTACAAAGACATCACACTCTTTTTCTCCCTTTTAAACTTTTCTTAGTCTGTTTTGCTGGTTCATTTTCTTCTGCAAACATTTAAACATTTGATTTAACTTAGATTTTCATTCTTTTTCATCTTTCTTGGCTAACTCTTCTCAAGTGAAAACCTTCCTTGTAATATCTTACTGCCTCACATACCTAGATTATCCACATAGCTGTAATCTCCTGTCAGACATTCTTTCTTAAATTACAGGCATATAAAATAAACTTCCAATTCCATTTATTTACTTTGATGTCAAAACTATAAATAATTATCTCCCTAACTTGAATCAATCCACACTCATATTATATTATCTATATAGTCATAAAAACGATTCTTCGTCGTGTCAACCAAGTAATAAACCCATATTCCTCTTTCTCTCGCACCTTTTTCCATTCAATAAATCACTAAATTCTATCAAATAGCCCTTCAATCTGTTCCTTATACACTATACCTGAACTATTATAATAGACTCCTAATTCCCCTATATTCAATTTCCCTCCACTCCAAAATTACAGAATACAGGATGATTTTTCTAGAATAAAAATCAGGTCATATAAATGCCTGAAATGTTTCCCCAAGATCTTGCAAGATAAAGTCCTGTCTCCTTAGTATTACATATAACACCCTTTGCTATTTTAATCCCGTTTTTGTCTCCAGCATCATTTGACATGCCCAAACATATCCTCTAAACTCCAAGAACACGAAACTACTTGTTGTCACTTGCATGTGCCAAGCTCTATCAATACCTCTGTGCCTTTGCAAATGCTTTCCACTCTGCCTCACAGGCTCTTCACTCATGCCAACACCTCTATTTGCCTAGTAATTTCTTACATTCAAAAAATTCATCAGAAATATAAATACTTCTGCATTTTTTCCTGTGATTAGAGAATTGAACTTCAAAGATTTTTAAAGAAAATATATGTACTTTGCTCACAGAATTTTTCCCAGTACTCAGATTCATGGTGTTTTATCCATTATTTCCTGATTATTGCTTCTCCTTTATTTGCTTTAATTTTCTCTACCGTAATTCCATCCTATTTATAAATATTACATGAATGTCTACATTGTTTCTCATAACTTTATGTATTTATTCTCATTTTGGTGAAGCCACTCTGTCAAAGGTCAGTTTCTCATATTGAATTTTTTATTTAGCTTATCAACTATTTCAGTTATGTGGCTGAGTCTAAGTTCTTTTCTGAAGCTCCTAACTGCTCTCACACGAGTCCTATCATATACCATTTGATATTTATTGTAACCCTGACTGTACTTGAATCTCTCCATGAAACCTATTCTGTAGTAATGGATCCTGTCACTTGTTCTATCGTCACCCTGAAAACATAGAGGGTTTTGCAGAATTTCCTCTAGTTCCTGTGATTTTATAATATTTTTCAGGAAGAATAGCTTAAAGTCAGGCTGCCTTAGTTTCTTCTTTTGATTCAGTTATGTCTTAGTCCATCTGGGTAGCTACAACAAAATACATAGTCTGGGTAGCTTATAAACAACAGAAACTTATTTCTATCAGTTCTGGAGGCTGGGAAGTCCAAGATAAAGCTACTGGCAGTTTTAGTGTTGGATTAAGGCCCATTTCCTGGTCCATAAATGGTACCTTCCCACTGTGTCCTCACGTAATGGAAAGGGGACGGATCTCTCTGGGGCCTCTTTACAAAGAACACGAATCCTATTTATGAGGGTTCTACCCTCATGACCTAATCACCTCCAAAAGTCTCCACCTCCAAATACCATCATATTGGAGATTAGATTTTAGCATGTAAATTTTAGACTGGCCACATTTAGACCATAGCAGTCTCACCTTCATCGTATCCGACAAAAAGTCTTTGCTATGTCTAGAATTATCCAGAGCTAATAATATTTTGTAAGAATATTATCTTTTACTAGTTTCTAGTATAGATGTGATTTCCACAAATCTATATGTTTGTTAATTACATTTGTGCTCATGATGCCACCTGTGGCTTAGGATTAAAGGGGTTGAGTGTAATGATGTAAAAGTGCATAAGTGGTGGCAAGGGGATGGGGGTAGAAGTGTTGGAGAAGCAGAAAGAATACAGGAGGGAATTTAGATGATTAGAACCAAGTAGCCCTGGTCAGAAGCAGTTCTCATCAGTAGAGAAACATTAAGCTCATATTGCAGTTTACATCAGAGTCCTGCTTCTCACTGAGTCATGAAAAATTCCTTCTCATTAAAGAAATAAACAGAATATTCATCAGCTCTGGGTAGTATGAGTGTCCCTTCCAGAGAACAAGTAAACTCCAGACAATACTTAAGCTTTCTGATGTCATAAAACAATGATCTTGAAAAGTAACAATAAAGACCCTGCAAAATTTTACAAATGCCATAAACCATTTGATGTCTGAAGATGAAGGAATCCTCTTTGTAAAATAATAATAATAATAATAATGCATTCCCTCCATTAAAGAAGTGACGGCTCTGAAGAAAAACTACATTTGTTTAAATCTTAGTTCTACCACTTGCTAGCTGTGTATTATAGGGTAAATAACCTATCTGTATCATGTTTTCATCATTTGTAAAATGGAGATAACGATGGTACAACTCACTGGGTTGTTGTGAGGTTTTAAGCATGCAAACAATGTTATCTTTCAACAGTTTTATAGCAATACTTAAAATGATATAGTGTTTTAGGGTTTATAAGGGACTTCTACATACATTATTATATTTGATACTTACAAAATTTTATCTAAAAAGAGACGTGTACTAATTAATTTATCCAAACTAATATAATGTAAAATTATGAAATCAACAAATTAACTATAAAAGATAATCACTACAAATGTTTTCAATCCAATCAAAGGAATTATAGTAAAGGCTTAGCAAAGAACAAAAGATGCTTAGGCAAAAAACTATCAACAATCAATAAAATGATTGGTAGAATAATAGAAATTCTATACTACGTGCCTGAAATGAAACGGGCTATTACTAATCCTGGAACGAAATAGAGTGAGACATGCAAAAGAATATTAAGGACTTTTATAATTATGACTCATATGGATGACAGTGTTTTGCATGTCAACAGTAAGAGTTGTTTAAAAACTAATTCTAAAACTATATGCTAGTCACATTGTATAAAATGATGCAAAACAATTTCCCAATTAATTTGACATTCTAAATGCATATTGTACTTATATAATTTTTATCTTCCCTACTTCCACGTTTTTAGTTCTACGATCTAGTCCATAAAGTTTATCTTTTTCTATTTTATTTGTGAATATTTTCCATAAGAATATTTGATCTCATAGAAGTAAAATGTAGAACAGAGGATACTAGAGGCTGGGAAGGGTAGAGGGAAAGAAGAGATAGGAAAAGATTTGTCAAAAGACAGAAAATTACATGTACATAGGAGGAATAAGTTCTAGTGTTTATATCACTGCAAAATGACTATAGTTAATAATAACATATTATATAGTTTTAGATAGCTAGAAGGAAGATAGTGAATGTTCCCAACACAAAGAAATGATAAATGTTTGAGATGATGAATATGCTAACTATGCTGATTGGATCACTATACACTATATATTTTGAAACACCATGAATGCCATAAATATGTACAATTATATCAGTTAATTTTTTTTAAAAATCCAAATTTGGCACACATTTTCTCAGCATATTTGAAAAGTGTAAAACATACCAATCCCATAAGTGTTTATTTCAAATAAAGAAAAATCATATCATTTTTACCTTTTTATTTATTCTTTTAATATTATGTTCACTTTAATAGTCCCACAAAATGGTAAAAAATCTGTGTGAAACTTCCCACACTAGCATGGAATCTTTTGCATTATTTAAATCAGTATTTATAAGGATCACTTGGTAAACACTGAGGTACAAGATGGCTGTGTTTTATTAACTGTAAACCCAGGGCATAGAACAAAACTGTAACATAGTACATAGTAGTTATATAACAAAAGTGAGTACTCTAAGTGTGCTAGGCAGTGAAAATATAATTTTTCTATTGTTGAAATAATTTTATATAAGTAGCATTATTCTATGGACATTCACACAGATTGCTGCATGTGTATCAATAATCTGTTAATATTTCTGGTTGAGTACTATACCATGGTAGGGATGTGTCAATTCATTTAACCATTCACTCATTGAAGGACATCTAGGTATTTTCCAGTTCGGGGCCATTACCAATAAAACTGCTTTAAACACTCATGTACAAGCTTTTATGTGAACATAAGCCTTCATTTCTCTGGGATAAATTCTCAGTATTGCAATTGCTGAATCATATGATTATTCCATGTTTAGTTTTTTCAGAAAATGTCAAAATCTTTTCCAGAGTGGCTGTACTATTTTATTTTCCTACCAGTTTTGCTGCATACATGCCAGAATTTATTGTCACTCTTTTTTTTTAATTTTAGCCATTCTGAATAGTATGTAGTAATATCTCATTGTGGTTTCAATTTCCATTTCCCTAACAGCTAATGATATTGAATATTTTTTCACGTGATTACTTTGCCATCTGTATATACCCTTTGGTGAAATTCCTCTTCTGGATTTTGTTCAATTTTTAATTAGATTGTTTCATATGTTTTTGACGTGTGTGTGTATGTGTGTCTGTGTGTGTGTGTTTTAAGGCTTGAGAGTTGTATACATTTTCTATATACTAGTCTTTTTTCAGATACAGGGTGCTATAGGCTGAATCGTTTCCCCTCAAATTCATATACTGAATTACTAACCCCCAATAACTCAGAATGTGACTGTATTTGGAGATAGAGTTCTAAGAGGTAAATAAGTTAAAATAAGACCATATGGGTGGGCTCTAATACAATATGACTGGTGTTCTTTTAAGAAATTTGGACACAAACACTTTCACAGAGGAAACACCATGTAAAGACAGGGAGAAGAAGAGCATCTACAAGCCAATGAGAGAGTCTTCAGAAGAAATCAACTTTGCTGATGCCTCAATCTTGGATTTCTAGCCTCCAGAATTGTAAATAAATAAATACATTTCTCTTTAAGCTACCTAGTGGTACTTTGTTATGGCAGCCCTAGCAAACAAATACATAGAGTTTGCAAATACTTGCCCCAAATCTGTAGCTTATCTTTTCATTCTCCTAACAGGGTCTTTCATAGAGCAAAATTTTTGAAAAAAAATTTGATTACATGCATTTTATCATTTATTCCTTTTACAAAGTATGCTTTTGATGTCAGGTCTAAGAATTCTGTCTAGTCCTAGATGCCCAAAAGTATTACTTTTCTAAAATTCTGTAACTTTACATCTTACACAACTGCTTGACCTATTTTGAGTTAATTTTTGTATAAAGTATGAAACTTAGACTGAGGAGTTTTGATGTTATTGGTCTTTTGGCTATGGATACCCAATTGCTCCAGGACCATTTATTGAAAAGACTTTTTTACTTCATCAAATTACATTTGTACCTTTGCCAAAATTCATTTGGACATATTGCATGAACCTATTTTTAGGTTTTATTTTCTGTTCTATTGATCTATGTGCCCATGTGTTATCAATACCACCACAGTCTTGATTACGATAGCTACACGTGTCTAAAAATAAGGTAACTGATGCATCCCACTTTTTTCTTGTTTTTCTAAGTTCTTTTAACAATTCTAGTTTGTTTATATTTCCATATAAAATTCAGTATAATCTTGACTACATCTACAATCTTATGGAATTTTGATAAGAATTGCATTGAAGCTGTATATAAATTTCGGTAGAATTGAGATCTTTATTTTTATTTTTTAAATCAGTGTTATGTAGTTTTCAGCGCAGCAGTACTGTGCATGTATTGTTAGATTTATATATTAAGTATTTCATTTCTTTGAATGATGATAAATTGTATTTCAAATTTTGGCTTCCATGTGTTCATTGCTAGTATATAGAAATATAATTTTTGTATGTTTATCTGGCATACTGAGACAATGCTAACCTTACTTATTAGTTCTAATATATTCTTTGTAGATTCTTGAGGATTTTTTACATAGGTGATCATTTGATCTGCAAATAGAGTTGTATTTCCTCTTTTCCAATTTCTTTTCCTTTTGTTTCCTTTTCTCACCTTGTTGTACTGGCTATTTTCTGGCACTATGTTGAAAAGAGAAGTGACAGTGGACATCCATGCTTTATTCCCAATAATGTGGGAAAAGTGTTCTTTCACCATTAAGCATAATGTTAGTTGTAGGTATTTTCTTGATGTTTTTCCTCAAGTTGAGGAAGTTGCCTTCTAAACATATTTTTCTGAAAGTTTTTGTCACAAATAGATGTTGAAATTTGTCAAATTTTTTTCTGCATGAATTGGTATGACATCTCTTCTTTAGTCTTTTAATAAGGTGGATTGCATTTATTGGTTTAGAATGTTGAACCATCCTTGAATCCCTATACTTGGTCCCACTTGATCATAGTATATATTTTTATATACTGCTGAATTGTATTCGCTAATATTTTTAAAGATTTCTATGCTTATGCTCTTAAGGAATATTGATCTGTGGTTTTCCTTTCTTGTGCTGTCTTTCATTTTGGTATCCAGATAATTTTAGCTTCATAATATAAATTAGGAGGTGTTCCTTTTTTATTTTTATTTTTTGGAATATATTGTACAGAATTGGTGTTACTTTTACATGTTTGGGATAATTCTCCAGTGAAGCAATCTAGTCTTGTATGTTTCTCTTTTGTGAATTTTAAAACTATGAAATCAATTTCCTTAATAGTTATACAATTATTCAAATTATCTATTTCATGGTGGGTGAGTTTTTGTAGTTTGTGTTTTTTTTTCTGTAGAAGTGTTTCATTTCATCCAGACTGTCTAGTTTACGTGTGTAGAATATTTAGTATTATTATTCTGTTAACATTTGCAAGGCCTGTGATCTCCCTGGTTTCATGCATGATGTTGATAATTTGTCTCTCCCTTTTCCTTTGTCAGTCTTGACAGGTTTGTCAATTTTATTCACTTTTTCAAAGAACCAGATGCTTGTTTTCCTAATTTTCTCAACTTCTTTGGTTTTTCAGTTTCACTAATATTCACTCCTTATCATTTTGTTCCTTCTGCTGGCTTTGGGTTAATTTTGCTCTTCTTTTTCTAGTTCTTGAGTGGGAAGCATAGATCATTGATATGATATTTTCCCTCTTTTCCAATTTAGTGCTATAAATTTTCCTCTAAGCATTGCCTTAGCTGTGTCCCACAACTTTTAAAACTTTGTATTTGTATTTTTATTCAGTTAACCATTTCTTTATTTCTTTTACACCATCCTCTTTTGGGCTAAGGACATGAATAGACAATTCTCAAAAGAAGATATACAAATGGCCGACAAACATATGAAAAAAATGCTTAACATCACTAATTGTCAGGAAAACACAAATCAAAACCACAAGGTGATATCACCTTACTCCTGCAAGAATGGCCATAATAAAAAAATAATAATAATAGACGCTGGCGTGGATGTGGTGAAAAGGGAACACTTTTACACTATTGGTGAAAATGTAAACTATTACAACCACTATGGAAAACAGTGTGGAGATTATTTAAATAACTAAAAGTAGATCTACCATTAGATACAGCAATCCCACTCCTGGTTATCTATCCAGAGGAAAAGAAGTCATTATACAAAAAAGATACTTGCACTTGCACACAGATGTTTAGAGCAGCACAATTTGGAATTGCAAAAATATGGAACCAGCCCAAATGCCCATCAATCAACAAGAGGATAAAGAAAATGTGGTATACATATACCATGGAATACGACTCAGCCATAAAAAGGAATGAAATAATGGCATTTGCAGCAACCTGGATGAAATTGGAGACCATTATTCTAAGTGAAGTAACTCAGGAATGGAAAACCAAATATCGTATGTTCTCACTCACAGTGGGAGCTAAGCTATGAGGACTCAAAGGCATAAGAAGGTGATAGGTTCATAGGTGCAGCAAACCACCGTGACACATGTTTAACTATGTAACAAACCTGCACATCCTGCACATGTACCCCAGAACTTAAAATAAAAATAAAAATTAAAAAATACGACACTCTAAACTTCCACATATTTTTTTTTAAAGAATGATACAATGGACTTTGGGGACTTGGGGAAAGAAGTGGTTGGGCTGGGGGTGAGAGATAAAAGACTGCATACTGGATATTGTGTACATTGCTCTGGTGATGGGAGCACCAAAATCTCAGAAATCACCACTAAAGAACTTATTCATGTAACCAAACAGCACCTGTTCCACAAAAACCTATTCAAATGATAAAATACACTAAAACCACTGAATTGTACAATTAAAAACATAAAATAAACACACACACACACACACGAAAGAATTCCTCCTTGACTAATGGATTTATTAGAAATGTGTAATAGTTTCCAAGTGTTTGGAGATTTTCCTCTTATCTTTCTGTCATCAGATAGCACACCCTGTATGATTTAAATTCTATTAAATTTATTGATATTTGTTTTAGGGATAGTTGCTGATATTTGATTTAAGGATATATATAGTCTGTATAGAATTTCATGGACACTTGAAAAGAATGTATATTTTGCTGTTGTTGGGTGGTGTTCTATAAATGTCAATTACATACTATTGGTTAATAGGGTGCTCGTATTTTCTATATATATCCTAATTTCATATCTAGTTGTTCTAATTTCCTGTCTAGTTGATAGAGAGAAGTATTGACATCTCCAACTATATTTGTAGATTTGCCTATCTCTCATTTCAGTTTTCTGTCCATATATTTTGTTGCTTTATTGTTTAATGCATCCCCATTTAGAATGGCTATGCCTTATTAGTAGATTGAAACTTTTATCATGATATAACATCTCTCTCCACCTCTGATAATTCCCTTTGTGCTGAAATTTCCTTTATCAGATATTCATACAGCTACTCAATCCTACTTTTAACTAATTTTTGTATGATACATATTTTTCCATCATTTTATTTTCAATTTGCCTATAACATTCTATTTGAAATTAGTTTATTGTTAACAACGCATAGCTGAATAAAGTTTTGAAGCCCAATTTGCCAATCTCTTTCTTATAACTGGCATATTTAGACCATTTACTGTAAATTTTAATGTAATTATAGACAGGTTAATGCTTAGGACTACCATTTTATTTTTTGTTTTCTGTTAGATTCCTGTTTTTTTCTTTCATTGTTTTCTTCTCTTGATTTCCTATGGGTTACTTAAACATTTTTGGAATTCCATTTAGATTTATCTATAGTGAGGTTTTCTCCCTCAGTTTTCCTGACATATAATTAGCATACACAAAAAGCCTAAACATAATTATGTATGGACATATGTATTACTTGTGTTACTATGTCCATAATCAAGGTAATAAATATATCCATCACCTCTAAAAGTTCTTTTGGTTGTCTTGTGTCATTTTTATTTTCTTTTGTTTGTTTGTGGTAAGAACACTTAACATGAGATCTACTCACTTAATAAACTTTTAAGTTTACAATACATTATTGCAAGCTTTAGGCTCTATGTTGTACCACAATTTGTAGGAACTTCCTCATCTTGCATAACTGGGTATTTGTAAACCTTGAACAACACTTCCCACGGTGTCCTCCCTATCCCCTGGTAAACATGATTTGATTATCTACTGCTGTAAATTTGACTATGTTAGATGCTTCACATAGGAGAAATCATCCGGTATTTGTCCTTCCATGACTGACCTGTTTCACCTTGCAGAGTATCTTTCAGGTCCATCCATATTGTCACAAATGGTAGGATTTCCTTCTTTTTTTAAGGCTAAACAATATTCAATTGTGTATGTATAGTTTATTTCTGTATTCATCTCTCCGTGAACGTGCAGGCTGTTTCTGTCTCTTGGCCATTATGAATAATGTTACAATCAACATGGAATACTGTTTAAGATCCTGATTTTAATTGTTTCTTATATAGACCCAGAAGTAGAAATGCTGGATCATATGATAGCTCTATTTGTACTTTGTTGAGAAACCTCCATAATGTTTCCATAATAGCTGTACCATTTTACGTTGCCACCAACAGTGTACAAAGGTTTCAATTTCTCCAACACTTTTTTTTAAGAGACAGGGTCTTGCTCTGTCACCCAGGCTGGTGTGCCACTGGCAAAATTGTAGCTCATTGCAGCCTCAAACTCCTGGACTCAAGCAATTCTCTCACCTTAGCCTCCCAAATAGCTGAGACTACAAGTGCACGCCACACCTGGTTAATTTCTTAAATTTTTTGTAGAGACAGGGTCTTGTTATGTTGTCCAGGTTAGTCTTGAACTCCTGGCCTCAAGTGATCCTTCTGCCTCAGCCTCCCAAAACACTGGAATTACAGGCTGCTTTGTTGTGTTTTAATAATAGCCATCCTAGGAAGTATGCAATGGTATCTCCTCATTCTTTGATTTTCATTTCTCATATGATTAGTAGTGTTATCTTTTCATATATCTTTTTTATGTATTCATTTTTATGTATTCTTTGGAGAAATGTCTATTCAAGTCTGTTAACCATTCCTTATTCGGGTTATTTTTTGTTTGTTTGTCTTTGCTATTAAGGTATAAGAGTTCCTTATATAATTTAGAAATTTACCCCTCATTAAATAAATGATTTGCCAATATTTTCTCCTAGTCTATAAGTTGCCATTTCACTCTGTTGATTGTTTCCCTTGCTGTGTAGCAGCTTTTTAGTTTGATGTAGTCTTAATGGACTGTTTTTGCTTTTGTTGATTGTGTTTTTAGTGGGATATTGGAGAAACCATTGCCAAGACCGATGTCAAGAAGGTTTTCCCCTTTTTCCTTCTAGAAGTTTTATAGATTCAGATCTTACCTTTAAGATTTTAATTCTTTTTTGAGTATAGTGTAAGACAAAGGTCCAATTTCATTCTTTTTGATATGGATATCCAGTTTTCTCAACATCATCTATTGAAGAGAATATCTTTTCTCTGCTGTGTATTCTTGGCACCCTTGCTGAAAATTAGTTGAACATATATCCATGGGTTTATTTCTAGGTTCTGTATTCCGTTCTATTGTTCTATATGTCTACTTGTATGCCAGTACTACACTGTTTTAATTACTATAGATTTGTAACGTATTTTGAAACCAGTAAGTGTGATGCCTCCAGCTTTATTTGGTTTTTGTGTTTGTTTTGCTTAAGATTGTTTTGGCTATTCAGGATCTTTTGTGGTGCCATATTAATTTTAGGATTTTTTTCCATTTCTGTAAAAAAGTACTTAGGTATTTTGATAGGAATTGATCAAATCTGCATTGCTTTGGGTGGGATAGACATTTTAACAATACTAATTTTTTAGTCCATGAACCCAGGATACCTTCCAACTTATTTATGTCTACTTTAGTTTTTCCATTAGTGTTTTATAGTTTTCAGTGTACAAGTTTTCACCTCCTTGGATAGGTTTATTCCTATGTATTTTATTCTTTCTGGTGCTATTTTAAATGAGATTGCTTTCTTAATTTCCTTTTCAGATTTTTTATTATTAATGTATAAAAATGTAACTGAGTTATGTGTAACTTTACTAAATTCGTTTATTAATTCTAACAGTATTCTTGTAGCATGTTTTAAGGTTTTCAACATATAAGACCATGCCACCTGCAAGTAGAGATAATTTTACTTCTTCCATCCTAACTTTCATGGCATTTATTTATTTGTTTAGTCCCATTGCTTTGGCTTGGACTTCCAATACTATGTTGAATAGAGGCATCTTTACCTTGTTCCATATCTTAGGAAAAAAAACTTAAAAGTTTTTCACTGTTGAGTATGATGTTAACTGTGGGCTTTTTATATATAGTCCTTATATTGCATTGAGGGAAACTCTTTCCATACATAATTGTTGAGAGCTTTTTTAATCATAAAAGGTGTTGAATTTTTGTCAAATGTTTTTCTGCATCTATGGAGATAATTGTGTGATTTTTATTATTCATTCTGTTAATGTGGTGCATCACATTGATTGATTTGCATAGGTTGAACCATCCATGGCTCCCAGAGACAAATCTCTCTCAGCCACAGTGTGTGATCCTTTCAATGTACTGTTGGATTCAGTTTCTTAATACCTTGGTGAAAATTGCTGTATCCATGTTCATCACAGATATTGACCTGTAGTTTTCTTGTGTTGTTTTTGCCTGGCTTTGGTAGCAGTGTAATGCTGGACTTATAACATGAGTTTAGAAGTGTTCGCTCTTCTTTTTGGGGGGCAGAATTTAAAAATAATTGGTATTAATGCTTTAAAATTCATATATAAAGCCATCTGACCCTGGACTTTTCTCATTAGAGAGGAATTTGATTACATAATCAACCTCCTTATTTGTTATAGGTATGTTCAAGCATTCTATTTTTTCTTGATTTATTCTTGGGAGGTTGTATGTTTCTGGGAATTTATTTATCATTTCTTCTAAGTTGTCCACTTTGTTGGAGTATGTTTTAAATGAGTCTCAAAATCTTTTTTATATCTGTGGCATTAATTGTAATGTCTCTTCTTTCATTTCTGAGTTTAAGTCTTCTTTTTTTCTGTGTTATTATTGCTGAGTTTGTCTATCTTGTTTGTCTTTTTAAAAAGCCAACTGAATTTTGTTGAATTTCTTTGCTATTCCGTATTTCATTTATTTTTGCCCTGATCTTTGTTTCTTTATTTCTGCCAATTTTAGGTTTAGTTTGTTAATTTTTCTAGTTCCTTCAGGTGTACAGTTGGTTGAGATCATTTTTTCTTTTTTAAAATAGATTTCACTATAAACCTCCCTTATCATACTGCTTTTACTTTATCCTATAAGTTTTGGTAGGTTGTGTTTTCACAAATTTTAGTAAGTTCATTTTCACTTGTATCAGTGTTTTATAATTTCTTTTGATTTCTCTTTTGACTCAATAGTTGTTTAATTTCCTTGCATTTGTGAATTTTCCCAATTTCCTTTTGTTAATGATATCTAGTTTTATTCCATTGTGCTTAGAAAATATTCTTGGAATAAATTCAATCATTTTAAATTTCTTAATACTTATATGTGACTATGTCATTTATTCTAAAGAAGGTTCTGTGTGTGCTTGAAAGGAATGTATATTATATTACTGCTGGATTCTGTGTACATGTCTGTTAGGTATATTTGGCCCCCAGTGTTATTCAAGTCTGCTGTTCCCTATCAATTTACTTTCTGGATGATCTATCAATTGTTGAAAGTGGGGTATTGAAGTTTTGTATTATTGTGTTTCTGTTTTCTCCTAATAACTGCTAACGTTGCTTCATATATTACATAATTTAATGTTGAGTGCAAATATATTTATATTTGTTATAGCTTCTTGTTGGATTAACCCTTTTATCATTATTTGATGACCTCCTTTGTCTTTTGTAAGTTTTTTAATTAAAGCCTACTTTTTTAATAAATGTAGACACTCCTGGTATCCTTTGGTTATGATTAGCAAGAAATATGTTTTTCCATTTCTTTCCCTTCACCAATATGTGAGGATTTAAATCCAAGGAAAATCTCTTGCAGACAGCATATAGTTGGGTCTCGGTTTTTTAAAAATCCATTCAGGCCAGGCACAGTGGCTCACGCCTGTAATCCCAGCACTTTGGGAGGCCGAGGCAGGTGGACCACGAGGTCAAGAGATTGAGACCATCCTGGCCAGCATCCTGGCCGTCTCTACTAAAAATACAAAAAATCAGCTGGGCGTGGTAGCGGGCACCTATAGTTCCAGCTACTTGGGAGGCTGAGGCAGGAGAATGGCATGAACCCAGGAGGTGGAGCTTGCAGTGAGCCGAGATCACGCCACTGCACTCCAGACTGGGCAAGAGTGAGAGTCCATCTCAAAAAAAAAAAAAAAAAATCCATTCACTCCCTCCTTATCTTTTAACTGGTGAGTTTAATCCATTTACACTTAAAATAATTATTAATAGTAAGGCTAATGATTACCATTTTATTGTTTTGTTTTGTAGTTCTCTTGTTCTTCTTCTCTTGTAGTCTTTCTCTGTGGCTTGATAATTTTTATACTGCTATGCTTTGATGCTATTTTATCTTTTGTGTATCTACCATAGGTTTTTTCTTTGTTATCATGAGGTTTGTATCAAACCTCTTAATAAAGTCTATTTTAAGCTGCTATAAATTATTGTCAAACACATGTACATTTCTGCACTTTTACTGTCCCCTCCCATATTTTGTCACTGATATCATACTTTTCATATTGTATATTCAGTAACAAATTTTGTTTAGACTTAATATTTTGTTTCAATTGAAACAATAAAAAATAATAATAATAAAATAAATTTTGTTTCAATTCAAAAAACTTCCTTCAGCACTTCTTGTAAGGTAGGCCTAGTGGTGATGAACTCCTTCAATTTTTGTTTATCTGTAAATGTCTTTATCTCTCTTTTATTTTTTGAATAAGCATTTTGCTAGGCATAGTATTTTTGGTTGTCACGTTTTGGGTTTTTTATTGTTGTTTATATGGTGTTCTGAATATACCATCTCATTTTCTTCCAGCCCACAAGGTTTCTGATGTATCTTGATGTAAATTTCTTTCATTTCTATCTACGTGCAGATTTTTGGGCTGCCTAAGTATAGGTATCCATTTCTTTCTCCAGATTTGTGACGTGTTCAGTCATTATTTTATACACTTTCTTCCCTCTTTTCTCTCTGTCTCTCTTAACTTTGTAAGATATCCATAATGCGTTATATTGTTTTACTTGATGGTGTCTCATCAGTCCCATAGAGTTTCTTCACACTTTTTTTTTCTTTTCTTTTCGTCTCTCTGACTGGACACTTTCAAATGACCTGTCTTTAATTTCACTAATTCTTTCTTCTGCTTGACTGAGTCTACTGTTGAAACTCTCTATTGAATTTTTCAGTTAATTCATTATAACACTGAACTCTACAATCCCCCTTCCGCCCTTCCCCTCTTCCTTCCTTCCTGTTTTTGACAGGAGTTTCACTCTTGTTGCCCAGGCTGCACTGCAATGGTGCGATCTCAGCTCACTGTAACCTCTGCCTCCCAGGTTCAAGCAATTCTCCTGCCTCAGCCTCCCAAGCAGCTGAGATTACAGGCACCTGCCATCATGCCTGGCTATTTTTTTTTTTTTTTTTGTATTTTTAGTAGAGACAGAGTTTTACCATGTTAACCAGGCTGGCCTTGAACTTCTGACCTTGGGTGATCCACCTGCCTTGGCCTCTGAAAGTGCTGGGATTACAGGCATGAGTCACTGCACCCAGCCTACAACTTCATTTTGGTTAATGTTTTCTATTTCTTGTTGGTTAATAGTTTCTATTTCTTTAACATCCCATTTTTTATGTATTGTTTTTCTGATTTCATTTAGTTATTTGTCAATGTTCTTTTGTAGTTCACTAAGATTCTTTCAGAATATTATTTTGAATTCTTTGTGAGGCAGTTAGCAGATTTCCATTTCTTTAGGTTTGGTTGCTAGAGAGAGCTTTATTAGTTTCCTTTAGTTTCCTTTGATGGTAGAATGTTTCCCTTATTCTTCATTGTCCTTAAATACTTACGTTGGTGCTTGTGCATTTTAAGAAGCAGTTACATCTAAAACAATCTTCTCATCTTCATAGGCTGGCTTTAGGAATTAAAGGTCTTCACCAGTCAGTGCACCCTGGGATTCTGGGGCTCTGACTGGTGTCTATGGCTGGTGAAGCCTGCTGACCAGCGTCTACTGGCTCTGAAGTCAGATGAGGCCGATGGGGTCCAAGGTCAGGTGAGGCCAGCTGGTCTGCTGGGGCCAAATGGAAGAAGATGTTGTTAGGTGAAGATGATGACAGGTCTACAGTCAGTCAAGGCCAATGGTAGGGGCTATGGGGCTACTGCCAATATCTGTTTGCCCACCACTAACAGCTCTACCCTCCCCCTTTTTTTGTTGTTGTTGTTCCTAGTTGTCCCGTGATGATTTAGCTGTGCTAATTCTCCCATATTCTGACTGAGGCAAGATAGAAGTGCACTTCTCAGGCAACACCCTGAAATGCTGAGGAAAATGAACATTCATCTCAGACTCTCCTTCCCCCACTGGATAAATGGGAGGCCAAAAAGATCCTTCTCACTGTGATGCTCTGCTAGCTTGGGGAAAGGGTGACACAAGTAAAGTAAAATTGTTCCTTTTATCCTTTTAACATTCTTCCCCAGATTTTGCACTCTACTGGGTGCTGTAACCTCTCCCCTGGGTTCTGGAATTCTCACAAAGGCATTATTATCCATGAATAGTTACTAAATTGGTGCTTCTGAGGGAGGGCTAGAACTGAGAATCTCCTATTCTTCCATCTTGCTGACATCACACTCCTCTCTATATATTGTTTTTGTATATCTCTTTGTACAGCTTTCTTAGTAGATGCTTTAACATACCACAGTCAACTAATGTCACAACCATGTAATGTCACTAATTTACCAGATCAGGTGAAGTATGGAAACCTTATCCCTCTTAACATCCCTTTACACTCCTGTTTATAATTCTTAAGTATACATTCTATATATATTTAGAACAACCTGAGACAGTGTTATAATTTTTGCTTACACAGTATTTATAATACTCAAGAGAAAGAAAGTGTATTTCGTTTACCCATATTTTTGCTTACCATGTTCTTTCTTCCTTCCTGATATTCCACAGCCTTCTTTTATCATTTTCTTTCTATGTAGAGCGCTTCCTTTAGCTATTATTTTAGGGGAGGTATGCTAGTAATAGATTCTCTTAGTTTTCCTCTATCTGAGTATATATTAATTCCTTCTTCATTCCTGAGGAATATTTTCATTGTCATAGAATTATGATTTGATAGTGTTATTTTCTTTCTGAGCTTGAAAAATATTTTGCAACTTGCTTATATTCTTTACAGTTTTTGGTGCAAAATTTTGTCACTCTCATTGTTTTTCACCTATAGGTAAAGTGTTGTCTTTCTTGTTTTCCAGATTTTTTTCTTTGCCTTCAGTTTTAAGAAGTTTAATTAAGATATTTTTTGGCATTGGATTTCTTTGGGCTGATTTGGGGTTTTCTCAGCTTCTTAAATCTGCATTTATGTCTATTGCAACATTTGGGAAGTTTTTAGCCATTATTTCTTAATCAGGCACCTTTTCAGTGCTGCACTCTGTTTTCTCGAGACTCTGATGACATGAAAGTTATATCTTTTATTATAATTCCATGGATACCTGAAGCTATGTTCATTTCTCAGTATTTTTTTTTTCTGTTGTTTATGTAGGGGTTATAGCTCCTGTGTGGTCTTAATTGGCACAGCTTTAGGGGTAGCCTTGTTATCACCCAGCAATGGTAAAAGTCTTGATCTCCATTAGTGTCAGAGGAGTCTGACACCACCTCAGCAGGGAGGGGCAGGAATGTTGTACTACAATGGGTTAGTAAGGGCTTATAACTGGCCAACAGAAATGAAATCCCTGGTTCCTTACTTGGCCTCCTTTGACATCACCCTACAGGGTGTTGGGTTGCTTCACTTGAGTCTCAAAAAGGTAGAGGTCTAAACTCCCCACCCAGACTTTGCTGCATGGGCGAATGTGAGACCACAGATTTTTCTGTACTTTGACTGCAGTAGAGTGGTTATTTTCTAAAAGTTATCAGTCTTGCTATGTTGATCCTTTCCTGTTCATTTAGATAGAGAGAGCAGGCTTCTGTTACTTTTTTTAATATGTATTTTTTTGTTTGCACCCTTTGTCCCTTCTGTGTTGCTGAACTTTGTCAGCTTCAGGTTTTGGATATATGAAGGTGTAGGGGTTCTTTCAGCTGCTAAGTATGTCTATGCCAATTATGTAGGCTGGCACTGGGGAAATGACTGGCCTAGCCTCCCAGCCTACATCTTTCTCCTGTGCTGGATGCTTCCTGCCCTCAAACATTGGACTCCAAGTTCTTCAGTTTTGAGACCCAGACTGGATCTCCTTGCTCCTCAAGCTTGCAGACAGCCTATTGTGGGACCTTGTGATCATGTAAGTTAATACTTAATAAACTCCTCTTTATATATATATCTATCTATCCTATTAGTTCTGTCCCTCTGGGGAACCCTGACTAATAAAGAAGAAGAAAAACAAACCAGGAAAATGAAGAATTTACCACTGTGTCATTCCTTGCGTTTCAACTGTTCTATCGAGTCTGCCTCTTCTCTTTACCTTTTTAGTCTCCTGATGTTTGTTTTGTGTATAATTTTTAAGATATTAATATGTTTATTACATATAATATCTTAAGGAATTATATGTTTTACATTATATGTTTTAAGGAACATATATTTTAATGTTTTAGGGAATTAATATGTTTATTACAGATCATACAATTTAATTATATAATACATAGTAATTACTACTATATAATGTCCAGGATATTTAATTGTACTTAGCTAGAGGAATATCTACTCTATCTTCTTAGAAATGCAAGCCCTATGTGCTTATTTTTCCACACATAATTTGTTGACATAAAAATGTTATGTTTTCCTTCCACTATAATATTTTCTATCGATTTATTCTTATATTTATCAAAGTATTTATGGTATATGTTTTTGCATAATACTATTGTGCACATTAATGGTCAGAACTAAAATATCATTATTGTGGCAGTTACTTTTTATATCAATGAAAGAGTTCCTATCTATGCCATTTAATGCTTTATATACTGAATTCTACATTGTTTGAAACTAATGTTAAGTATTTGCTTTGTTCTACTTAATATATATTTGCTTAGCATTTTATGTTCATCTGTTCACCATTACTTTGGTTTTTGGAATCAATCTTGCCAATAAACAACTTTATTTCAGTTTTTACATTCATTTATAATACACTTACAATTTACTTACATTTACATTCAGGTAACATCCATAAATGTAAACATGTAATTTTCATAAGCCATAATCTTACTTTTGACACTTTTATGGTTTTTTTCATATAGACTGTTTAACTGTATATTCTTTTTTATCTTTTGTATTTTTTGAAAGCAAAAACACGTTAAATTTTACAAAAATTATTTAATCTATATTACTCTATTGAGTGAATTATAAATTTACTTTTAAATAGTTTTTGGTAATTATACATATGATTTTTATATTTTGTTTGACATTTACATTAAAAGAACAAATGGATGCTAAATGCTCAAGCTAAAAATCTCTACCTTAAAATATCAACCTTGTACTGCATTATCAATTTGTTTTTCTCTGTGTGACAGAAATATTAGTTGCCTTACAAGAATCTTCCTTCTTTTTTATTAATAGAATATTGGTTTTGTTTAGGAAGTAAATGTGTCCACTTAAAAATACTCATCAAACCAGATTCCATTCTACCTAGTGGTAGTCATGTGAGGCAGTTCCAGTCATAGAAGTCTATCAAGTAAGACATTTGCAGGAGCTATTATTTCCTAATATAAAATGAACGGACTTCACTGGCATGTGATTTTTGTTCTCATCAATCCCTTTTTTCTGCCCTAAGCACATTCTTGGATGTGAAGTTCATTGCCTATGAGAGGTAGGGGGACTGTTCACTTGCTAAAGGTGGCAGAGCAGGAAGCTAGAATAAACTTGGTCCTTCATGATTTCCTTGAGCAACTACAAGGAAGGACTTCCTATATCCTAACTTTCTGTAACATGATGAAAATAAAATCCTTGTTTAGATGGATTTCTATTACATGTAAACAAAACGCAATACTGGCTGATAGCACTGGTTTCTTGCCCATATCACTCTGATCTTTAAAAAGTTACATATATACAACAATCAAAATATAAATATATATCCTTCTATGATATGATTTTAGATAACTAAGCACTTCAAATTTGTAAAGTTACTTTGATTTCGTATAGCAAAGAAGAACCCATGCTTCCTCGTTTTTTTCTGACTCAAAAAATAAAGGTTAGAAATCATTTTATGTCACAATTAAGGATAAAATCCTTCTGGATATTTTTATTGTGTTATAAGGCACAAGCTTTAATTACACTATTAGATTTGTCTCTTTTCAAATGAGCATATGCTTCTTTAATTTCTATATTCAAGCTCTCCTTGAATGTAGAATACCAATTATATAAAATAATTGTGTGAACTCTTACAAGGCTCATTATTTTTCTGTTTTCATAATATTCTTATACTCATTAATAAGTGCAATGTTCTAAAACATATATTTCAAACATTACTAAATAATTATCTCCATCGGTTCATATTTATTCCTTCTCAAGAGTTATTTTTGTTGCTGTAAATTAAATAAAATACAAAACATTTCAATGATCAAAGAATAATCAAAAGAACTTTGCTTAGTGGAAGTAATGAACACAAATTTATAGGTGGCCTCAAAAATTGTTATTCAAACAGATTTCTTTAAATCTTCACAACTCATAAAAATCATGTCAGCATTTGGTATGCCTATATCTCTTTAAGTCTTACTCCATTTGTGTTACCGTCCATTCATACTTCTTCACAATGATTTTCTCCAATTATTTCTTCATTTATGACATTTTCAGTCTCTTTCTCTTTCTAATCAAAACTCATTTATCCTCAGTTTATAAATATGGTAAATTATATATTTGGTAAGTTAAAGTGAGGCAAGTACCACTTCACTTTAATAAATCTTTCATAAATTCTATTTCCTATAGTTAAAGCTTTATTTTTCTTCTGTCCAAAATATTCTCAGTAAAGGTTCTATACTTGGCAGTTATATATAACCCACCACAATTTCATGTCCAACAACTGCAAGCTATTGAAATTCTAAAGATGCGACATCCTCTTTACCATAAAAAATTCTTCCAATATGTTTTTTTCTTTTCTATTTAATTTTTTTTTTACTCTTACCTGCTGAGATCAATTATCCTTTATCTTCATTGGTTACACTGCTTTCTACCCACAAAATGAGACAGTGCCCCAAGGTTGTGTCCTTAGTTTTCAGCCTTTATTGATCCCTGTATTTACCTGAGAGAACTAGGCTTTAACTATGACCCCAAGCAAATACTCCTGAATTTACAATCAAGTCCAGAACACTATTTCTGAATTTTTGTTTTTCATTTCCAATGTCTAGTTATTATTTCTTCTTTAATATCCTGCCTCAAAGAAGTATGACCAAACTTATCTTTTCACCAAAAGTCTTTAAGTGCTGCCATTTCTGTTAAATAAGTTCTTTTCTGTCCCAGTTATCCAGCTTCAAAATAGTAGAGGAGTATTTCCACACTTATTCTTCTCCTCTTTCCACACTCAGTGTGAAAAGTACACTCAAATCTCTGCACTGTCTGTCATTTGTGATGCAATGTTGACTGCAGACTTGTTGAAATCCCACCTCATGACTCATTTGCTGTCCAATATTGGGTAAGTTCCTAAACCTCACTATGCTTCATTTTCTCCTGTAAAATAAGACTAACATTTTTCCACATCCAAGGAAACAATGAGGAATAAATATTCTTCAAAAAGGCCTTCCCCATCCACCCTAGCTAATGTAGCCCAAATCTCTACCCCTTTCAGTCTGTGTTAATGCCTTACTTTCTTTTCTTTAGCAACTAACACTAGCTGACATTTTATGGTTGTTTAGTTTTATTTTTGTTTCCAGATTTGTCTATTCTCTGTGCCTTTCCCTTGGACTTAATGAGGACAAGAATTTTGTCAGTATTATTTACCACTGAATCTCCAAGTCCCAGACAGTCCTTTTCATATATTAGGTACTCAGTATATACTTGGTGAAAGAATGAAGAAATAAAATGTATAAAGCGCCTACCACAATGGCATTCACTGAATATGTGTCTGTCCTCTACACTGTGTTCTTTCTTCTTTATTACTGGTATCTGCCTATATCAATCCTAATCACATCATTTTGAACCTACAGTAATTGATCCCCTTGCCCTCATTTGGCTTCTATCCTCCATTAATCTGCTAGCAAAATGTTGGGTTGATCACCTTTTAAAAACCTTGTCAATACCATTTATTCATAGAGCACTTACTATGAGGGACCTACCCTAATTTTCCTACTCAAATAATTTCAATTAATCTTCATTATATTCATCAAGTCTAAGCTCTTTAGTAGGTCATCCAAGTTCTTTCTCAATGCCCACTGCCCAACTTTCCATTACTTCCTTAAATGAATCTGTCACTTCGATTATCCTTAAAAGGGTCATGCCTGTTGCCACCTTTCATTATGCCATACTACGCAACTGAAGTACCTAAGTGAAATTCTTTATTTAGGGCCCAGGTTAAGATATCAGACTTAAATACTACCTTGTTTTTTATATTTTTAACTATTAGTACAAAATTATTACCAAAATCCTAAATTTTTAAAACTATTACAAAATCACTAATATGTCCCTAATTAAAAAAATTATATGCAGTAATAAAATTCTTCCAACTTTGTAATTTTCAGTTTTTCCACGCATAATCACTGTTCAATGTTTATATATTCTTTTAGATATACTCACTGTTCAAAATTATGTTCTATTCTTCCTCAAAATTTCTACACACATATATGTGACTTCACATATCTTTAGAACATATTACAAACATTTCCTGCAACTTATTGTTACTATATCTTGTACCTAATTTAACCCCCTCTTTTGAACTCTTAAATGATTTGTTCTAATATTTATTCATGTGTTATAAAGAACGTTTCCTTATGTTTTTGTAAATCCACTTAATTAGTCTGTATCCGTTAACTTGGTATCAACTTTTCACAATCACTTCTTCTAACATTTTATAAATCAATAGATAATGATGGTTTTATCTTGTCAAATAACCAAATCAATTGTGTAAGAATTAAATATTTTATCTTCTAATAATAATCTAAGTCATCCTTTAACGCTCTTAAAAAACATTAAGTATTTCTCAATGGAGTCTTTCATATACCAAATTCTGAATAAATTAGAGATTTACTTTCAATTTAAAAAACAAAAATTTGTTTCTCTACAATTTGATCATTTCAGGCTTTGTTTAATGTAGTTGGCATGCAAACTTTTATCAAGTTTCAGATAGAAAGACATTACAAATATATTCATTGGTTTATATTATTTTATATAAATGATGCAAAAATATTAAAAAGTTTATATAATTTAGATATAGAACTCAGAAGCTAAAATTTCCCTTTTATACATTTAATTAAAATGAAACCCTAAAGAAGCCAATTACCTTTCTCAAAGCTGGGCAGAAATTAAAGAAAAGTCGATGGTTACATGCTTTGAATCTTTCAGGAAGATGCCAGTTCTGAATTATTTCTTCATCAGAAATCACATGATGATCCAGCGCTTTGAGAGGCCATATACTGTTAACAAGAACATGTCTATATCCTTTTTTAAGGCTTACTGGACAATCAAAC
Organism: Homo sapiens; assembly: GCF_000001405.40. Taxonomy (NCBI): domain Eukaryota; kingdom Metazoa; phylum Chordata; class Mammalia; order Primates; family Hominidae; genus Homo; species Homo sapiens. Next base: position 74,182,725 of record NC_000001.11, read on the forward strand.
ATAGTGAGGGCAATGAGGGTTGGACAGGCAGATAATACACATATATTCTTTAACTTTGCAAACCCATTGTCATGAAGATAGAGTAGTTTTAGGTTCTTCAATCCATTCCAAAATTTGGTATTTGGTAGACTCTTTATCTGAAATATTATTAAAAATCTTTTAAATTCCAAAATTACTTTTTTCGAATAGCACAGAAAATGGTAAAATATTACACATATAAAATTCAATATTCCCCAAATAGCAAGTTTCTAATTAATAAGCAAACAGAGTATTTATAATTATCCAATGATGGCCAGTTGAAAACCATAATACACTGGGTATCTGAGATAATTTATTATTATTCGCATAGTAAAATGCATAACCATACTTTTTTGTTCAAAGAAAATTTCTTTGTAATAGGTTGACTCTTTAAACTTTTCTAAAATACTTTCCTTACCTAAGGAAAATTAAGGAATCATGAGGCATTCTTAATCCAGGCTATAGATTTAAGAAGTGAAACATACCAGATTACACACTATTTATGTATTTTCATTTACATCAAAGTGTCCGTATTTATATACATCTTACATGCTTTTAATTTATTGTTAAATTTTTGTTTATATTTTAGACAAAAGACCATGTTGAAGAAATACTGTGGATAGGTAACATAAGTACTTATTATAAGACTGAAATTTCGTTTATATGCAAATATCTGAAATGGCTATTGCTTACCTGATTTCCATGGAGATCAAGTTTGATTAATTTTATACAACTTTGAAGTGGATGAATATCTGTAATAAAATTGTTTGAGAAGATGCATACTCTAAGAGAGATGCAAGACTGCAAATTTTCCATAGACTTTAAATGAAGGCCATTGAACTTCACAAAAACAAAATCTTTTTGACCTTCTCTTATGTTTTCATTATAGTGACTCCATTCTTCATGACTGGTTAGCTCTTCTGTGACTGTTCCATGAAACATCTAGGAAAGATAAGAAAGTGCTTTGATTTTTTTTTCCACTTTCAAAAATTTACCTGAAAACAAACAAAATTTTGCCAAGAGATAGCGCAAGTAAAAAGTGTTATTAAAGTTAAAATTTAAAAAAACTCATTCTTATAGAACTTTCTATCCCAAAATAACTTAAATATCTAACATTTCAATAACAGCCAATCAGAATGTTATCACTGCCCTCACCAGTGAACGAACTAATTAGCAAGAGGAAGACAAACTTCCATTTTCATAGAATATTTGAAAAATTCAGTGAAGAAACTGAGATAAAATCATCCCTTCTAGACAAGACAACTAACAACAAACAAATGAAACCATACTTTATATAACTCGTATGATAATTTTTGTTAAAATATACTGTTAAAGAAATACACTGAATAATAAACAAGTCAGGAGAGTGATAATCTTTGTTAAAGAGGCTAAACAATGCAGCCAGATAAAATAAAGGTGCTATACAGGCCTTCAAATGTTATCAACAATATTTGTGTCTTACAGAGAAAATTTGTTGTCAAAATATTTACATTCAATTCAATTAGGAAATTAGGCTCAGAATTCTAATAGCTTTAAATTTTGACTACTTAAATTTATCTAAAATATTTGGATAAATGGTTTTTAATATAATTTTACACAGTATTTCTCATATATGTGAATTTTCACTTATTAAGAGTAATTTCAGCTTTCATAAAAGGTAGTCAGTGATAGGTGAGAAGAGAATGTATGAGCTGAAGTGGTCTATTTGGAAGTATGTTTTAAGATCAACATTCCCCAATGGAAGAATCGATTTCTACGATGTGCAGATAAACTAAATCAGTGTGATTCAAATGAGAATAAATGTGAAAATCCAGATACACTCTTGTACTCTTTCAAGACACTGGTTACTTTATATATCACAACCAAGGCCTAAAACTAGAATCCTCCAGCTCTAAGTGTCAATGAATTAATTAGAAGGCAGATTCATGGGCCCCATCTCATATCTACTGTATCAGAATTTCTGGGCTAAGGGCATAGGAATAATGTTAACAGGTGATCGACGAACACCTTATGAAAGATTAGCCTCAACTACAAGTAAACCAGTCTTAAAAATATAGAGTCAGATATGGAATACACAGATATAAATAAACCTTTACAAATTAAACTCATGAAGCTCTATTGGTGCTGGGATGTAGGATAATATACACATCATTTGGACTTCCAAAATAGAAAAGATATAAGTCTTTCCTCATTTAAAGAAAGCTTAAATTTAAGGTTCCTCCAAGTCTTTAGAAAAATAACTCATTTTTTAAAGTACTGAATAACATTCCATCGCATGGATGCACTATGGTTTGGTTTATTTATCCATTCACCTATTGAAAATGTCTTGGCTGTTTCCAACTTTACACAATTATGAATAAAAGTGCTATAAAAATTTATGTGCAGGTTTTTGTGTGGATATGTTTTCAACTTACTTGGATAAATACCAAGGAGTTTGTTTGCTGAATCACATAATATATTTCATTTTGTAAAAAACTGCTACTGTCTTCCAATGTGGTTGTACCATTTGGACTCCCACCAGCAATGAATGAGAGATTTTATTGCTCCACAACCTCACCAGTACATAATGTTGTCAATGTTTTGATTTTGGTCATATTAATAGGTGAATAATGGTATCTCATTGCTTTAATTTGCAATTCCCTAATAATATATGATGTTGAGCATCTTTCATACATGTGGCTTATTAGCCACATGTATATCTTCCTTGGTGAGTTATCTGTTCAGATCTTTTGTCCATTATATTTTGATTGTGGTATTGTGTTATTGTTGAGTTTGAGTACTTTGTATTACTTCAGATACCAATCCTTTGTCAGATATGTGTTTTCCAAAGTTTTTTTTTCCCATTCTGTGGCTTGCCTTTTCATTTTCTTAATTTTCATTTCATTTTTAGCTCATAAATGCATAAAAAGTCCTTGAAAGGGCCGGGCGCAGTGGCTCACGCCTGTAATCCCAGCACTTTGGGAGGCTGAGGCGGGCGGATTACCAGGTCAGGAGATCAAGACCATCCTGGCTAATACGGTGAAACCCCGTCTCTACTAAAAATACAAAAAATTAGCCGGACGTGGTGGCGGGCGCCTGTGGTCCCAGCTACTCGGGAGGCTGAGGCAGGAGAATGGTGTGAACCCAGGAGCGTGCACTCCAGCCTGGGCGACAGAGCAAGACTACGTCTCAAAAAAAAAAGTCCTTGAAAAACCAACACCGATCAACATGGAACCTCAGAGATCTCATTTCTTCACATAATGCTAAAGGTGGCTTTATACTGTTAATCATGGCATTAGTACACAAATTATATATATGTACACAAAATTATATATATAATTATATTTAATATATAGCTATATAAATATATATAAATATTTTTATTTCAAAGGATTTATTTCTCACATTGATTATTCCATCTCTTAACAGTCTATTTTGAAATTTCTTTATGAAGATATTATCTTCTTCCTGGCATTTATTTTCAGGGATTCTCAACAGTGCTATTAATCAAATATAGTTAGTAATGTCTATAGATTCATCCACCAGGAATAATTGTTTATTTTAAACCTTCTGCATTAATGCTATCTATATGCCATTTGAACATGCCAATGAACTACTAATGGTATTATTCCAAAGTGGAGTTTTTTCTATTTTCCTTACTGATCTCAGATATATTAGAGAATTTTCCAAAATGAGAGGTTCTACACTTGTGTGAGACATTCAAATTTTAGCTATTAGATGAATAACCTTGTTAGTAGCTTTGTGACATTAACAAATACTGTTGTAATGAACCTGATAAAATAACATTGTCCCCTCCCACCAAAATTCTTAAATATGTTCAAATATTTTTCTACATAAAATTTGTAATATATAATAAGGGAATTGGTATGATTGGCACTATTGCCTCACTTGAAAACTTCTTGTAAATAAGACATAGAGTTTGAGGAAGAAATGAAATATTGGTTCACACAAATCCAAATTTGGGATAATGCTCATGATATTACTTAATTCAATGCCTTTTTTTTCCATTTTGTACAACAGTTTACTTTTCAGTTTCAATCAAAAAGATGTCTATTAGAAAAAAAATTGTAAGAATTAAGTACTAGTGTAATTAAGGATATATTAAATTCAAATTTGAGATCTTTTTGATGTTACTTAATGCAGTGTCTTTTCCTCCATTTTGTTCAACTGCCTACTTTTTAGCTTTAATCAATGACTATTATAAGCAAGAAAAAAAATCACTAATCATCAGGGAAATGTAAATTAAAACCTTACTCCTGCAAGAATGGCCATAATTAAAAAGTCAAAAAACAATAGATGCTGTCGTGGATGTGGTGAAAAGGGAATACTGCTGGTGGGAATGTAAACTAGTATAACCACTATGGAAAACAGTATGGAAATTCCTTAAGGAACTAAAGGTAGAACTACCATTTGATCCAAAAATCCCACTACTGGGTATCTATCCAAAGGAAAATAATTCATTATATAAAAAAGACACATGAACATACATGTTTATAGCAGCACAACTCACAATTGCAAAGATATGGTACAAACCTAAGTACCCATCAACTAATTAGTGGATTAAAAAAATGTGAGAGAGATATATAGATATATATATATAGGTATATGTTTACACACACACACACACACACACACACACACCATGGAATACCACTCAGCCACAAAAAGGAACAAAACAATGTCTTCTGCAGCAACTTGGATGTAGCCCAGAAGGCTATTATTCAAAGTGAAGTAACTCAGGAATGGAAAACCAAATATCATAAGTTCTCACATATAAGTGTGAGCTAAGCTGTGAGGATGCAAAGGCCTAAGAATGATATAATGTACTTTGAGGACTCAAGGGTGAAGGTTGGGAGGGTCACGAGGTATAGAAGACTACATACTGGGTACAGTGCACACTGCTTGGGTGACAGGTACACTCAAATCTCAGAAATCATCACTAAAGAACCTATCCATGTAACAAAATAGCACCTGTACCCCAACAACTATTGAAATAAAAATTAAAAAACAACAAAAAAAGTCAAAAAATAACAGATGCTGGTGATGTGGAGAAAAAGGAACGCTTATACATTGTTGGTGGGAGTGTAAATTAGTTCAACCATTGTGGAAGACAGTGTGGCAATTTCCCAAAGACCTAAAAACAGAAACAACATTTGACCCAGCAATCCCATTACTGGGTATATACCTAAAGCAATAAAAATTGTTCTATTATAAAGACACATATACGTATGTTCACTGCACCACTATTCACAATAGCAAACACATGGAATCAACCTAAATGCCCATAAATGGTAGACTGGATAAAGAAAATGTGGTACATTTACACCATGGAATACTATACAACCATAAAAAGAATGAGATCATGTCCTTTACAGGAACATGGATAAAGCTGGAGGATATTATCCTCAGCAAAAAAATGCAGGGATAGAAAACCAAATACTGCATTTTCTCCCTTATATGTGGAAGCTAAATTATGAAAACACATGGACACATAAAGGGGAACAACACACTGGGGCCTACTAGAGGGAGGAGAGTGGGAGGAGGGAGAGGATTAAGAAAAATAACTAATGGGCACTAGGCTTAACACCTGGGTGACTAAATCAATTGTACAACAAATTACCCTGAAACAAGATTACCTATGTATCAAACCTGTACATCTATCCCTGAACTTAAAGCAAAAATTTAAAAAATCCAAACTATTAAGAACCCTGGCTTCTTAGTTAATGAAATGTGCTAACCTGCTATCTTAGGATGTTACACTTCTCTCTCAGTGTAACCTTCTTTGGCAAATTATTGTCTAGTCATTATTTAGACTCTGATTCTATCCACACATCCCCAATTTAGTGATTACATATTTATATATGTTATTATTTAATGGCCCTGTTTTCCACTAAATTATATGTACCCTGTGAACAGAAAACTTGTTTTATGGTTAGGTAGTTTTTCAAATTTTTCCATAGGACCTGAACTAGAACTGAGTCAGGTTTCAATAAATGTCTCTTTCATACACATGTCTGTCTTTTCCTTTCCTCAGAGAAACAGCAAACTATGGGGAAGGAACCTGTAAAAGACTTCTAAGTACAAATGACAAAGTCTCTCCCATTTCGGTAGAAATCTATTGTAAATTCCTTTATTTTTAATTCTCCACAGCCAATAATCACTTGCAAAACAACAAAAAAGGTTTATTTTTCAATTATTTATGTAGTGTAACAAATCACTCCAAAATTTATTGGCTTAAAATAACCATCATTTTGTTACTCTGAAGATTCTGTGTGTTGACTCAGTTGAAGTAAGCAGTTCTCCAACTGACAGTGGCTGAAGCATCAGTTAGTTCACTCCTCCAGTGAACTGCTGGAAGGTTAGGTTCAGCTGGAATGCTGAGATGAACCAGTCTTTCTTTCCATACTGTCTCAGGACCTCTCTATGTTGACCTGTCCTCTCCATGTCATCTATCCATGTGTGTCTGAAATAGGGTAGCCAGACTTTCTACATGCTTAAGGGCTCCCAAAGCATAAAAGCAGAACCTGTCCAAACTTCCTAAGGCTTAGGTTCAACTGAAGCGTCTCCTCAGCCACATTCTACTGGTTACGACAAGTTCATTTTATTTTTCAAGCACCCTATAAACTAAGTACAGAAAAAGGAAATGAAATGTAAGTTGTTCTGAGATTGGTGATCTCAAGTAAATTATGTATGCTGTGCCTCAGTTTCCTTATCTGTAAAAAGAAGATAATAATAACAGCCCATAGAATTTTTATGAGGACGAAATAAGTCAACCTAAAGGGTTTAGAACAGTGTTTGGCACTTAATGATATGGTTGGGCTGTGTCCCCACCCAAATCTCATCTTAATTGTAGCTCCCATAATTTCCACTTGCTGTGGGAGAGACCCAGTGGGAGATAATTGAATGATGGTGGCAGTTTTCTCCATACCGTTCTTGTGGTAGTGAATAAGTCTCATGAGAGCTGATGGTTTTATAAGGGGAAACCCCTTTTTCTTTGTTCTCATTCTCTCTTGTCTGCTGCCATGTAAGATGTGACTTCCACCTTCTACCACGATTCTGAGGCCTCCCCAGCCACATGGAACTGTGAGTCCACTGAGCCTCTTTTTCTTTATAAATTACCCGGTGTTGAGTGTGTCTTTATCAGCAGCATGAAAACAGACTAATACAGTAAGCACTACAAAATTAATTGAATGCCTAGTTCCATTAACAATTCAAGATAAAATATATGCTTCAAAAAGTGTATCAAGGGACCTGCAGTTTCCAGTATGGCATGTAAGGAGCTTGGAGTAGTCACTCCATCCTAACAACACATTAGAAAGCTGAACAAACTAAAAATCAACAACTTTTCTTAGCTACACAAAGTAAGGTCATAGGGTAAACTGCTGACCACAAAATTGGAGCAACAGACAGGCAGTACAGAAACTCATCAGGAACAGACACACAGATGTCAGGGATGTTGGAAATATCAGACTGGGAATTGAAAACAACTAGGATTAATATGCTAATGGCTCTAATAGAAAAAGTAGGCAACATACAAGAACAAATGGATAATGTAGGTAGAGAGATAGATATTCTAAGAAAGAATAAAAAAGAAATGGTAGAGACCAAAAACATTATAACAGAAATGAAGAATACCTTTGAAGGGCTCATTAGTAGATGGGACATGACTGATAAAAGAATCTCTGACTTTGAGGATATGTCAACAAAAACATTCAAAACTAAAAACCAAAGAGAAAAAAAAAGACTGAAAAAAAACATAACATTCCAGAAGTGTGGGACTTCTAAATGTGTAACATACGTGTAATAAAAATGCCAAAAAAGGAAAAATAGAAAGGAATAAAAGCAGTATTTAAAACAATAATGAATGACAATTTACTCTAACATCGGACACTAAGCCACAGATTCAAGAAACAGAGAACATCATGTAGGATAAATGTAAGAAAATAAAAAAAAAACAACCTCACACCTAGATAATTAATATACAAACTTCAGAAAATCAAAGGTAAAAAAAAAATCTTGGAAAAAGCCAAAGAATTTTTAAAAAATCTTACTTATAAAGGATCACAGATAATAACGACATTTGATTTATCAGAAACCATGCAGGCAGAAGATAGTGGAGTGAAATATTTGAAGTGTTAAGAGAAAAAAAACTCACTGACCTAGAATTTATAAGGGGAAACCCCTTTCACTTGGTTCTCATTCTCTCTTGTCTGCCGCCATGTAAGATATGCCTTCCACCTTCTGTCATGATGCTGAGGCCTCCCCAGCCACATGGAACTGTGAGTCCACTAAACCTCTTTTTCTTTATAAATTACCCAGTGTTGAGTGTGTCTTTATCAGCAGCATGAAAACAGACTAATACAGTAAGCTCTACAAAATTAATTGAATGCCTAGTTCCATTAACAATTCGAGATAAAATATATGCTTCAAAAACTATATCAAGGACACTGTATGGTGCAAAATTATTCTTTAAAAGTGAAAAAGAAATAAATTCTGTTAGATAAATATTGAAGTAATTTGTTGTTGGTAGGCCTGCCTTGTAAGAAATGTTAAAAGAAGTTCTGAGAGAAGAGAAATGATATAGGTCAGATACTCATATCTATGTTAAGAAAGAGTGTTGGGAAAGGAACAAGTGAGGATAAAATAAAAATCTCTTATTTTTCTTATTCTTAGTTGAATAATTTGTCCAAAATAATAATAGCAACTAGTTTTATTTTAATTCATCCAACAACAACAGAATATACATTCTTTTCAAGCTCACATGGAGCATTCACTCACCAAGACAGACCACATTCTGGGCCATAAAACATGCCTTATCAAATTCAAAAGAACAGAAGCCATGCAACATCTTCTCTCAGACCACAGTGGAATTAAACTAGATATCAATAACAGGCAAACAGCTGGAAAATTCCAAAATACTTGGGAGATTTATAAACACACTTCTAAGTAACACATAGGTCAATAAAAATTTAAAGATATTTTGAACTAATAAAAATAAAATGTAAAATTTAGCAAAATTTGTGGGATATAGTACAAGCAGTGCTTAAAAGGAAATTCATAGCACTGAATACATATATTAGAAAAGAGCAAAGATCTAAAATGAATCATATAAGCTGCCATTTCTAGAACTTGAAAAAGAGCAGCAAATTTAATCCAAAGTAAATATGAGAAAATTTTTCTCATATTTTTCAAGAAAATTGTAATTCTTAATTATATTCTCAAATATTCTGGGAGGAGGGGCATATTTTATCATCATCTCATTCCAGAAGAGTCCATAAAGATCTATAGTCTCTATAAAAAATAAATACTCTACTCAGATTATATGTAGGTTCTTCTACAATGTAAAGCATCTAACCATTAACCTGTAGTTCACATGTTTAGTGAAGAGTGGGGAGGTCTTTCCATATACTCACTGTGGTTACTTTTACCATGCAATAATAAATCTCACTCCAAAATGTATCCTTTCCTTATCTGTTAGGACATTCAGAGTTAATTTTTTTCCAACTTTTATTTTAGAATCAGGGAGTACATGTGCAGGTTTGTTACAAAAGTATATTGCATAATGCTGCAATTTGGAGTATGAATGAATTTGTCACCCAAGAAGTAAGCATAGCACCCAACAGGTAGTTTCTTTTCAGCCCTTACCTGTCATCCTCTCTCCCAATTCTTGTATTCCTCTCAAATACCAAATCTTATCCGAAATATGTGTCTAAAAACATATTTTTCAGTTCCTCTTTACTGATTTTTGTTTCATATGTATTCAATATTTTAAAATCTTCTCAACTGGTTTCTTTTTAGTTGATGTGATATGAACACTAAAATAATTTAGTCTTATAAGCAGTCTTCCCCATACACTATATTAATTTACATTCATTTTCTCTATTAATATTCACCTCTGCCAACAATATGTATTTGCCAGTATATAAACAACCTTAATATTTTTAAAAATTACAAAACAGAACATAATAATACTGGTTATTGCTATTAAAAGGAAAGATTAACATGAGTAATAAATTACAGAAAAAACTAGTATTCTATATTCAGAATATAACGTATGTGTCAGTTATTTATATTATTCAGCTACATATTCTGTCGAACTTTCCAATCATTATGGAAAAGTGGGGATTTTTCATATTTTGTTTTAACTACCACATGCAGCATTTCAATTTTGTTTCTCATTATTTATTTATGTTGTACATCTGAAAACTGGAATAACTCAAATGACCAGGCCCCAGAGCATGTCCCCTGAATCATATCATTGCAGCTATGGGCCCATATGATTCTACTGCCTACCAAGGGAAGCTAAAAACCACTACAATTGATATATCCTCCTCTACCAAGTTGGAAGCCCTTTACCACTTGTTGCAAATTTAAAATATGCACATAGAGGAGGAATCTAGTCACTTTCATTCATTTTAGACTTTGATAATTTTATAACTATTTTGTGAAATGTATATACACATTTGTAAATTATCAAGTTCAAATAATAATATAATGTTCAAAGGCAAATTAAGTATAGCAACACGTTACAGAACGTATCAAGTCTCCAACCACAGTTTCAAAGAAATTCTGCAGTTAAAAATAAATCAGTACCATTATCAGCAAACCTTTCCTTAGTTTGTATCAACTAAAGTACCAATTTAAAAATTATCCTACATTTTAATTGCACTATATAAACCATGTCTATAAAATAAAATGCACATCAGTTATATCTCATCTTCACACCCAACTTTGATGGCAAACACATTAAGTGTAACTATACAAGGTTATAACTCATGAATATTTAAATTAAATATTAAGAAGTAAAAACTATTTATTTTGTATATTTATTTCTTTTCCAAATGTGATACATAATAAATATTGGGAAAAAAGTTTTCAAAGAAAGTCTTTGCTGAGTGTACTAATTACCTTTAGACTTAACACTTATTCACTGAAGCTTTCAGATACTTGGAAGACAGATCATCATTATTTTAAGTAATATATTAAAATATTAGATTTGATGGTCTACATGAAAGTAATTTATTTTATAAGCATGAACTATAATATTAGATGGAAATCTGAATACTAGACTCCAGAATTATCACAACAGCTGTTATCTGCATATAAAATCAAATCATAAAAAAAGAATAAAAAGTCTTAGTTTTTAGAAAATCTAATTGTAAGGATTCTAATCAGTAACATTTTATACATATTGTGATTACAAACTATTTTTAGTTTAGAATGTCTGCAACATATTAAGTGCATCTCTATTAACAAAATAAAGAAATTATATTTTTTAAATACTTTTTATTTGGATAACAGATTTGTTAAGTAACGACTGTTTTAATAAAGAATTGCCATGGGCCGGTGCAGTGACTCATGCCTGCATAATCCCAGAACTTTGAGAGGCCAAGGCAAGAGAATGCTTGAGTCCAGGAGTGAGCTATGATCTGCCATTGCACTCCAGCATGGGTGAAAGGTTGTCTCTAAAAATAAAAATCCTGTCTCTAAAAATATAAAAGAATTGCCATAATTTTATATCACAGAAAAAATATATTTTAAAAGTTAAGAAGGGGAGAGTCTAGTAGAACAGTCAGACTAGTACATGTGTCCTGGAAAATGAACACAGAATATAGTGCATTTATAACTTAATATAAATAACCTTGGTAGCACAAAACATTATATTTTCATGGCATATTCTATATGTTTTCAAATGACATGAAAAGTCATTCAGAACAAGGAATCAGAATTCATTTGTAATTATAACTTTTTTTCTTTAAATATATTGGCTTTTTGAATTTTAGAAGGTTATATACTTCTGTTCAGAAAAAAAGCTTTTGTGAGACCTCATTTTTCAATTTTTATTTTTATTCCAACTTGGAGACTGCAAAAGCATAAGCCTGAAAAAACTAAAAGGTGGTGAGCCAGAAGATGGATATTAAACAGCCAAAATTAATAAAAACATTCACAGAAAATAATCTGCACAGAAATCACAACCTCTTAATAAAGAAATTAGCACGACAAATATTTCTTCTAGCCCAAAACATTCCTTGGTTAGCTTTCATAGAACAGATTTTGGATCTCCTAAAATTAAGCCATTAATACCTTTTTCTTAAGTGTCATAAATATTGTATTACATTAATTAAAATTTAATTCTTGACTCTACTAATTTATATTCTTCAACCACTTGCCCTCTCCCTATCCCTTTCCCCTCCCCGAAACCTCATCCTGGTATTTGGACAAAGTAGATTATGATTACACTACTGGGGAACTCCATTTGGAAAAAAAATCTACAAAAATACTAAGGGAGGAAGTATAATAAAAGTTCAGGGGTGGGAGAATGTTTCTCTGCACTACAGAAAGTTGAGGGGTGTGAGGGTTCCTCCAACAGGGCATAGTGAGAAAAAAAATATTTAAGAAATAAATTGAGAACAGGCTAGCTGAGTAAATAAATCGAAATAAAACAAACTGCAAAAAGACAATTTTTGCTTTCGTTGCATGTCAGGAAGGGTAACAGGAGGAAACAGTGGTTAAACAGAGCCATGAAGCACAAGGACTGGAAACAAGTACAGCCCTAGCTTGGCCTGACCACAGCATGCACTACGAGCTCCACAGTATATAATCCAGGACCCTATTCATTTGGCTTCAACTTCCTCATATAAAGAAGGGGGGAAAATTAAAACATTCTTCTCTATAATTTCCACACAACAGTCATAGTTATATGCCTGTAGTAATAAAAAAACAGTGTAACTGGCATTAACTGTAAATGGGTTGGAAGACATTTTAATGGGGGGATGAAAATGTTCTAAACCTGTACCTCAATAAAGTTGCTTTAAAAAATCTATCTCATTCTTCCTTATGGCAGCTCTTCAGATACTCTCTACTCTCCTCCTGGAAATAAAAAGCCCAAATGCCTCCACAGAATATAATTTTTCAATTTATTATAGTCTAGTATGTTCAACATCTTTTTAAAAATGTGGAATCCAAAACTAAACAGATTATTTCCTGTGTGTTTGATTTGTGCAGAATTAATGGGCTTACAGCTTGGCTGGATTGATATATTTTACTCTGGTAAAATGACATTCTGATAAATACCTGGAAAAACTCTGTGGCGAATTCTCTAGTATAATAATACTCTGGTAGCTTAAGATGTTAAACAGTCATATCACACTGTTTTATTATAGTGAATATGAACTTAAATAAAATCCCTAAACTTTTTTTGCCTCCAACAATCAACTGCCACGGAAATTTACTCCTACTCATATATATAGTATTTTTTAATTTTTTTTTTACTAAAAATTAATATTAATGAAAATTTGAGAAAAGAAAGAAAACAGAAGCCATAGCTGATAATATGGTATATTTATTTCCAGCAAATTTTGATTGCATGATATAGTCATATTGAGAAAAAATAATATCCAATTTCTATGGCCATCCTTCCCAGATCCAAGAAATACTCTAATATTCTGTATGATACCGTCCTAGATCCAATAAATACTCTATTTAATATTCTGTATGATAGAATCTAACACATCACTCTGTTTGTCTCCTCACAATTGTTACCACTGGATTTTTTATTTGGTTACTTCTTCCTTCTTTATTTCACCTTATTAGAATATACAGACCCCAAACATATAGGCTCTGCTGACCTTCACTCCCTTGGGACCTCACTTAGTTCCACAGTTAAAATTAATTCTATCTTCTTGCTGACAATTCCCAAAATTGTATCTCTAGCCCAGACCTCTCTCCTGAATTCTAGACTCGTATGTATAATGCATACAGACACATACACACACAAACTTCCATTACATATTCACTGCATACACATGTCTCTTTATTCCACATGTCCAAAATCAAATTCTGGACCCTATTACCCCAAAAACCTTCCTCAGTCGGAAACTTACCCATCTTAATTGATGGCCAATCCATCCCAAGGCAGTCATTTTGACTCCTCTTTTTCTCTTACAGTCCACACCCATTAATTCCATCAGCACATTTTATTGTTTTTGTCTTAAAAATATATCCAGAATCTGACCAACTTCTCACCATTCCCACTGCTACCATCCTGGTCAAGCCTTCACCAGCTCTCACCTGCAATATTGCAGTAACCTCCAAAGAAGTCTCCCTGCTTCTATCATTGCCTCATCCCCCATTATAATCTATTCTCCTATCTCCGAGTGATCTCTTTAAACATAAGCCAAGTCACTTCAAAACCCTGCAATGGCTTTGTTTCCCTCAAGAGTAAAAACCAAAATTCTTCCTATGGCCCTTTGTTCTCTCTCTGACCTTCTCTCGCTACTTTCTCCTTTGGTTACTTTCACTCAAGTCTCTGTATTTTCTAAATGTTCTTCAATAAGATACTGTTTTTTTAATTAATGAAGTTTTAAATGTAAAACTATGAAAGAGTAATCTAATCTGCCATTTTATCCAAATGTTTCCACTATTAGAACACGATTGTATAACAAGTCTGAGAAGAAAAACTAAGTAAATTTATGACAAGAGTTTATGGTGCCCTGAATGTCTACGTACCTAATGAAGACGTTGATACAGAGAAATCGTCTCAAAAAATCAAACGGTATGGTGAAATACCACAAGTTCTGGGTTTGGGATTGAAATATATTTCTTAAATCTTTTATTACTTACTAATTGTGATACCTTGACTAACTCACTATTCTCTGATTCAGTTTTCTTCTGTGTAAAGATGAAGTGGTCTGTAAAACCAAGAAACCTCGTGTTCTATAACAGGAACACCTTTATATAGCTACCCAAAAAAACACCTAAAAAGGCTGACTTATTCCTAAGAGTGTTATTGAACATTCTAGATTAATCTGCATATACAAAAGAATGCCAGAGAAGAAACCAAAATACCAAAAATATTTGGAGCCTGGTTGCGGACTGAATTTTATACAACTTTCAAAGACACTATTTGAGAGGCTGTCGTGTGTAGCCTACTAAGAAAAAACAGAGGGGTGGGGTGGCTCACTCTCTAGGAACCACAAACTTAAGGTTCCTAGAAAGAGCAGAGATTTTAAATATTCAGACTGTGTATGTATCATGACCCAGGGTTGGGGGCAGATGGCCCGGGGTGGCGGGGGAAAGGAGAGATGGCGGAGATCTTCTATCAGGCTATCCTGGGGAACTGCTCCAGGCTGAAACAAACCACCAGTTAGGACGAACCGCCTTTGATGTGAAAGCTGGGAAGCTAGAATGTAGTTTCGCCTTATCCTTAGCGGGTCGGTTCTAACAATTTTGTCACCCAAACTGAACCACTCACCGGGTCAACTGGGCTGCAAGCCCTTATGAGTTGGAGACAAGTGGCCCAGCCCCAACACAGTCAGACAAATCGCTGGGCGGCCATCTGCTCCTGAGACCGTTGCTAGAGAAACAAGACAACATCCAAGTTCTCCACATCATGGTTTTCCGGGCGCCAGCCAAGGCGCTCCGGGGGCGTGGTTACGTGGGCGACGCACGGAGGGGGCGGGTCAGAAACAACCGGGCGGAGGCGCACCCCAGGGCGCATGCGTGCTGTGCGGCGCGGTCTCAGGGAAGGTGGGGCTATGGCAGCTGCTAGGGACCCTCCGGAAGTATCGCTGCGAGAAGCCACCCAGCGAAAATTGCGGAGGTTTTCCGAGCTAAGAGGTACCAGAGAAGGCACCGGAGTTCTCCTGGGCAATGCAGAGGGAGGGTGCTTTTACGTGCCAGGAGGTTTGCTGGACTGTCACTTCCCGTTTACTTCTCATCTGTAGGCCTATGACGCTCCCCAGGAGTAGCTAGCTAATAATCCTTTTGAGTTTTTTATTCTTTTCACTGTCCCTGCTTGACATGCTTGTTGCTTACTTTATTCTTAGTAGTATAGATATTAAAAATGAGGGCGGAGGAAGAAGAAGAAAATCTTACTAGTGAAGTTATGCATTGATTAGCTCATTAATAAAAGTTGCTTTAAATAAATCTAAAAGATACGAAGCACAGTATTTTGAACTTTATGAGTAGATGCCAGCCCCCTATCTACTTCACGCTTTACATTACGTTCATCTACTTCTGTAATGTAACCGTTTGTTGAGGGAGTAACAGAACATGGAGGAATTATGGATTAAAAATTAAAAGGAAGAAATTTGTTATCAAAAAATTGGCTATGACACTTAATCCCTGTACACCTGTCTAATAAAAGTGATTATATTTGTGTTGCAGTGACTGCTTAAAAAATACTGGGACTAATTCTTGGATAACAGTAAAACTTTCAGGACTATTAGATTCTAGCTGACAAGTTCTGTTTGTTAACTAATTAAAATGCTAAATCATTTTGTTTATCAATAAAGAGATTCCAACTGTCTACTAAAAGTGCACACTGTCTTTTAAAGATGTCATCAGAGAGTTGGGACCTTCTGTTATCCAGAATTTTATGTTATATTCTAACAGCCTATGTAAGTTTGCATGGTTCATCTTAAAGTAATAGAAAATAAAGTACCCACATTTATAAACAGCAACATTGAGGGAAGGGATCTTTGGGTTGTGTCTTTCTTAGTCACCTAACACCAAGTGTCCGTGATACATAAGAATTGATTTGCAAAGCTGGAGATTTGTTTATGTTTATCTCCTCTTCTTATTGAAGAATTGAGGCAATAGTCTTTGGCAAGTTAAAAGTCGCTCTCTTAATCAAGAAACATTATGTCATTCAGAATTTATAATTAAATTGGATTGCAAACCATAAAAGGAGGGAGTGATCTAAAAGAAAAAAAAGGAACTTGTGAACAGTCTTCATTATAACTATTTTGAATCGTATTAATGCACCACTAATTATTCCCTAACTTTCAAAAGCCAAAGATACATTTTGGAAGATGATAATGGATATTACCTTCTTTATCATCTTTCTCAATAGGCAAACCTGTGGCAACTAGAAAATTCTGATAATTTTTGTTTTCATTTCCTTGCTTTTTCCAAATAGGCAAACTTGTAGCACGTGGAGAATTCTGGGACATAGTTGCAATAACAGCGGCTGATGAAAAACAGGAACTTGCTTACAACCAACAGCTGTCAGAAAAGCTGAAAAGAAAGGAGTTACCCCTTGGAGTTCAATATCACGTTTTTGTGGATCCTGCTGGAGCCAAAATTGGTACGCGCTTTATGGTCAGTTTTATAATATAGGTCCTAAGCAGAATAATCATTGAAGAAAAGGTTTCTGTGACTTACAGTGTATAAGCTGCATATCTCTACCCACAGCTTTACAAACTTTAAAATTTGAACATAAATTGACTTTTTTTAGAAAGATAAAAGGAATAGCAACTGTTCTTACCCATTATGACTTACCTTGAAAAACTTCCAGAATGTTACTTAAAAGAAAATTTTATTAGTTTTAATGAAATTCACACTATTCAGATAGGAATACTCCTTTGGACCTTATCAGTAGAACCCTTGAGGTCCTCTCCACTCCAGAGTTCCTCCAGCAATTTACATGAAGAAAGCAATTAGTGGGAAAAAATACTCTTGACCTCTTAGGGACATAATGCAGAATGCAAAAGAACACTGTCACATGGCTTAAATATAATACATATATTTGAAAACCCTAGTTTAGGTCAACTTTGCCCTTTGACCGTCCATTGCAAATAGAAATAAATGCTGTTTTTCTGAATGCTCTTTTCTATGTGATACTTAAAGTTGAAGCCCCCTGATACCAGAGATAAGATATCTGTATATGACATTAATATGACATTAGCATTATTCTAATTAGCCAACATTATTTTAATCCTTACAACTATGAGGTCAGTACTGTTATTATTTCTTTTTTTTTTTTTTTTTTTTTTTTTGAGAAGGAGTCTTGCTCTGTTGCCCAGGCTGGAGTGCAGTGGTGCGATCTTAGCTCACTCCAAGCTCCGCCTCCCAGGTTCAGGCCATTCTCCTGCCTCAGCCTCCCGAGTAGCTGGGACTACAGGTGACTGCCACCAGCCTGGCTAATTTTGTTTTTGTATTTTTTAGTAGAGACGGGGTTTCACCATGTTAGCCAGGACGGTCTGTATCTCCTGACCTCGTGATCCACCTGCCTCGGCCTCCCAAAGTGCTGGGATTACAGGCGTGATATTATTTCCATAGATGAGAATCTGAGGTACTCAAGAGTTAAGTAACTGGCCCAAGATAACTAGTGTGGTAGTTATATTTAAGATTTTTTTTTGGGAATCCAAGTTCTAAAAATCTTTTTTCGAAAGGAACTCTAACTTGTGTTTTTGATTGTGTCATTTGGGAGAATTATTTAAATGGGCTTTGTGATTTGTAACTCTGTATGAATGTTTATATTTATCAGTCTTCTAGTGTTACAGATTGTGTAATTGATTCTTCTTTCTTATAATTACTATTTTGGGGAGAATATTACCTCATCATTTATTACTGAGGGTTGTTGTCTGGGTTTCATTGCTAATTTATTGATTGGTTGTTTGCTATGAGATGTTTTTAATTTTGTTCTATTGCCAATACCTTTGATGTCCATCTATTTACTTATTCCTGAAAGGCAAATCCTTAAGGTTATATAACACCTAAATTTACTGTCATGACAAAGTTTTAGTAGGTTTCTATTAAATAAATTGTGCTTTTTTAACTTTGTTTTTAAGGAAATGGAGGATCAACACTTTGTGCCCTTCAATGTTTGGAAAAGCTATATGGAGATAAATGGAATTCTTTTACCATCTTATTAATTCACTCTGGTAATGTTATACTTTACTAATTTACATTTTCTTTTTAGTCTTCCACCTTTAATACTTTAGAGACTTTTTTCTTTCTTGCAAACACTTTCCTTCTTTTTTAAAAGAATCTTTGAAGTTATTCTGCTTTGAAAACAAATATTTTATGATTTTCATGACTTTTTTTAGGTTGTAAGTAGTATAGTGATTTTCACAAATTTTACTCGTAAAATTGTAGATCACGTATATCGTCAGTCTTTTATGAATATTGTTTTGTTTTGGGTATGTATATAGAAAATTATTTTCCTAAGACAACTCATTCAAATATGAATAGTTCTCGGGAATACTTTAATGGGGATTTTTCTTTTAATTTTAATTTGTATTTTAAGTTCCAGGGTCCATGTGCAGGTTTGTTACATAGGTAAACGTGTGCCATGGTTGGTTGCTGCACCTGTCAACCCATCACCTAGGTATTAAGCCAGCATGCATTAGCTATTTTTCCTAACACTCTTTCTCCCTTAATGGGGATTCTTGCTTTGAGGGAAGGGTGGTTTAACACTGTCATTACTAGACTTTTGCCAGTACTTTTTATCTTGCATTTTTGTGTGATTATTGATAGCCAGAGGCCACAATGCTTAAAAATAAAAGGAAAATGTGACAAGATACAGAGTGGACAAGTAAATATATAAAAGAGAAATCACACACACAAAATAAGACATTTTAAAACAGAAAAGTAGGAAGGACATGGTCTCAGAATGAAGAATAGCTTTTTAAATTGAATACATTTAGTTGTGTGAAAATTTTGGTTACATGAAAACCTTTGTTGTTTTTCTATGTATGTTAAGGGGCTAATGAAAACTGTCATGAACTGACACCAGTCCAGGGACAGGTATTTTAGAATTATTCATCTACATGGCTTCCAAGGCACTTTTTCATTCTTATGATTTACATACAAAACAATGATTCTTTGTAAAGATGATGTCAAAGTAAAGCATCCAAGTTCTGGTTTGAAGCCTAAAAATGTGTAAAACAATCTAATTTACAATTTTATTTAAGAAAATAATTATTATCAGTTTAGTAAAAATTAAATTAGATACCAGGAAATGCATAGTTAGATAATTTTTTTATTTTTATTTTTTGGAAATAGATAATTCTTAGTGCTAAACTTGACTATTGGCTGCTCTTTGAAAAAAGAAAAAAACAGAAACTTATTAGCTCTCTTTTGTTGAACAATGTACTGTGTGCTGCCAAGTGCTTTACAGGTATTATTGATCTTCAGTAATAAATTAACCTTAGCTTACTATAACATTTTTACTTTATAAACTTCTTAATTTTTTTGACTCTCTTGTAATAACATTCAGCTTAAAACACAAACACTGTACAGCTGTACAAAAATATTTTCTTTATATTGTTAGGGTTTATTTTGTTGTTTTTATTTTTACTTTTTAAATATTTTGGTTAGAAATGAAGACACAAACATATTAGCTTAGGCCTACACTGGGTCAGGATCATCAGTATCACTACCTCTATAGTCCTACTAAAGTTCAGGAGCTGTCATCTCCTATGATAACAATGCTGCCTTCTGAAAGACCTCCTGAAGGACCTGCCTGAGGCCATTTTATGCTTAACTTTTTTTTGTATGTATCATATGAATTTATTCTAAAATAACAATGAAAAGTATAGTATAGTAAATACATAAACCAGTAAAATAGTCATTTATTACCAATTATTATATACTATATACATAATTGTATGTTCTGTAGTTTAGTAAACTGGCAGCACAGCAGGTTTGTTTATACCAGCATCACCACTTGAGTGGTGCATCGTGCTAGGACTTTACAATGGCTCCAACATCACTAGGTGATAGGAATTTTTCAGTTCCATTATGATCTTATGGGACAACCTATGTATATGCTGTCCATAATTGAGCGAAATGTTGTAAAGAAGCAAGTATTTTAGCATTAGTATATTAGTTTTCTATAACTTTTATTTTCTGTGAAGTAGATTTTTTTTTTTTTTTGAGATGGAGTCTGGCTCTGTCGCCCAGGCTGGAGTGCAGTGGCACGATCTCCGCTCACTGCTGCAAGCTTCGCCTCCCGGGTTCACGCCATTTTCCTGCCTCAGCCTCCAGAGTAGCTGGGACCACAGGCGCCCGCCACCACGCCCAGCTAATTTTTTGTATTTTTAGTAGAGATGGGGTTTCACCGTGTTAGCCAGGATGGTCTGGATCTCCTGACCTCGTGATCTGCCTGCCTCGGCCTCCCAAAGTGTTGGTATTACAGGCTTGAGCCACCGCGCCTGGCCTTCTGTGAAGTAGATTCTTAATTAGAAGTCTAAACATGGTTGAAATTTGTTGTTTAAAATGTAGATACAGGCTGGGTGTGGTGGCTCACGCCTGTAATCCCAGCACTTTGGGAGGCCGAGTTGGGTGAATCACCTGAGGTCAGGAGTTTGAGACCAGCCTGGCCAACATGGTGAAACTTCGTCTCTACTAAAAATACAAAAATTAGCCAGGCGTGGTGGCAGGTGCCTGTAATCCCAGCTACTCGGGAGGCTGAGGCAGGAGAATCGCTTGAACCTGGGACACGGAGGTTGTGGTGAGCCAAGATCGCACGTCACTGCACTCCAGCCTGGGTGACAGTAAGACTTCATCTCAAAAAAAAAAAAACAAATGTAGATGCAACATCATGTTTTGGGCCGTGGTCCTTCTTATTTGTTATACATGTAATTCAAAACATTTCACAGATTCTACAGTATATTTAAATTTTTTCCTGACCTACAGTTTTTAAAATTGTCTTATATCAAATGGCAACAAGAAAATTTCTCTTCGAATTTTTAATTTGGATTTCATTATTCTTTCCTGATTTGCAGTAACAAGTGGCATATATTAAATATCGTTAAATATATTTTGATTTGTAACTTATGGGTTATAAAACCCTGGGGTTTTGAAAATTTTATAAATAATACTGCATTTTTAAATGGTTATTTCGTTTTAATTTTATAGGTGGCTACAGTCAACGACTTCCAAATGCAAGTGCTCTGGGAAAAATTTTCACTGCTTTACCTCTTGGTAACCCCATTTATCAGATGCTAGAATTAAAACTAGCCATGTACATTGATTTCCCCTTAAATATGAATCCTGGAATTCTGGTTACCTGTGCAGATGATATTGAACTTTATAGTATTGGAGAATTTGAGTTTATTAGGTTTGACAAACCTGGCTTTACTGCTTTAGCTCATCCTTCTAGTTTGACGATAGGTACCACACATGGAGTATTTGTCTTAGATCCTTTTGATGATTTAAAACATAGAGACCTTGAATACAGGTCTTGCCATCGTTTCCTTCATAAGCCCAGCATAGAAAAGATGTATCAGTTTAATGCTGTGTGTAGACCTGGAAATTTTTGTCAACAGGACTTTGCTGGGGGTGACATTGCCGATCTTAAATTAGACTCTGACTATGTCTACACAGATAGCCTATTTTATATGGATCATAAATCAGCAAAAATGTTACTTGCTTTTTATGAAAAAATAGGCACACTGAGCTGTGAAATAGATGCCTATGGTGACTTTCTGCAGGCTTTGGGACCTGGAGCAACTGTGGAGTACACCAGAAACACATCAAATGTCATTAAAGAAGAGTCAGAGTTGGTAGAAATGAGGCAGAGAATATTTCATCTTCTTAAAGGAACATCACTAAATGTTGTTGTTCTTAATAACTCCAAATTTTATCACATTGGAACAACCGAAGAATATTTGTTTTACTTTACCTCAGATAACAGTTTAAAGTCAGAGCTCGGCTTACAGTCCATAACTTTTAGTATCTTTCCAGATATACCAGAATGCTCTGGCAAAACATCCTGTATCATTCAAAGCATACTGGATTCAAGATGTTCTGTGGCACCTGGCTCAGTTGTGGAGTATTCCAGATTGGGGCCTGATGTTTCAGTTGGGGAAAACTGCATTATTAGTGGTTCTTACATCCTAACAAAAGCTGCCCTCCCCGCACATTCTTTTGTATGTTCCTTAAGCTTAAAGATGAATAGATGCTTAAAGTATGCAACTATGGCATTTGGAGTGCAAGACAACTTGAAAAAGAGTGTGAAAACATTGTCAGATATAAAGTTACTTCAATTCTTTGGAGTCTGTTTCCTGTCATGCTTAGATGTTTGGAATCTTAAAGTTACAGAGGAACTGTTCTCTGGTAACAAGACATGTCTGAGTTTGTGGACTGCACGCATTTTCCCAGTTTGTTCTTCTTTGAGTGACTCAGTTATAACATCCCTAAAGATGTTAAATGCTGTTAAGAACAAGTCAGCATTCAGCCTGAATAGCTATAAGTTGCTGTCCATTGAAGAAATGCTTATCTACAAAGATGTAGAAGATATGATAACTTACAGGGAACAAATTTTTCTAGAAATCAGTTTAAAAAGCAGTTTGATGTAGAGATATTTTAAATATTGTACACTTTGCCTTTTTGAGTAACATTCCAGAGATAGGTATTTTTTGTAGGCTGTTTCACTGAACTCAGTTAATGAAAACTGTATTAACATAATTGTTGTAGCATAATATTAATAGTGCAAAAGTACATATAAGTCATTTTGATGAAAAATATTCCAAGACTAAGTTGAGAAAAGAGATACTATTTTGGATGTGTATCAGTATTTTTGTTTTTAATAATGATTGATTTGTGGAGCATTGTTTTTTCACATAATTAGTTTTAAAGGTAATTTTCTAAGCATACCTTTGGAATTTTTCCATCTTTTTTGAGGCTTTTGGTCCAGTGAAGTTCTAAGTATTCACTGGCACTTCTCTCCTCAACTGTAATTCTATTTTTAATAATAAAAATGGCATACTGTAGGGTCTTCAGAGTAGTGTAGGAATACTGTAGAAATACTTTTTCAGAAACGAATCCATAGCTGACAAATTCACTCAGTGCCCAATATATTGTGATTATTTTCGTTGATAAAGAACTAGATACAAAGACCTCTGAAATTGATGATAAAATTTGTATCTCATTAATTTTATCAAAATGAAACTAAAAGTACATATGTATTATACACTTGAACATGTGTTTGTATATCTTTAAAATTTTCCTTTATGTTCCATTCCATAGGAAAACACACATATGCACACAAAACTCAGTTATCTGTGGGGAAAGTGGTAGTAATAATTGAGATTCATCAATAATCATATAATTTCACTATAGACATTACTTGCATTATCTCCTATCAGTCCTTCTAACAAAACTTCAATTACCAGATGAACTGACTTTAGTTTTCATCTTATTTTTTGTCCACATGCTGGTGATGCTGAGAAACAATAATTGGCCCAAATGCAGACATCAAGAAGCAGGCAGGAAAATGGAAAAACTGAGATAATACACAGGTGATAAACAGTTTCGAGAAAATAAAAATTGGCTAGAATCTCAAGTTATGTGTTTCTATATTGGTATAAGCATATAAGTGAAAAGTCTTATAAGTGTAATAGAGAAAAGATTTGTCAGTGTGTTTTTTTAAATGAAATAACTAGTCTGTGCTACTTTATGTCAATATAAAAATTGGTAAACTAGAAGTAACTTGTCCACAACCCTCAGTTATGATACTTATGTGCGTGTTTTTTTTTCCAAAGTTTTTCCCAAGGAGAAGATACAAATATATGGTAGCTATTGTTTAAAAATGATTGATTTACTTGCAGATTTTTCAGAGGATGTTATGTCTTTGTCATTCATTAAATGTTCAAAATTGTAGTTTTACCAAATCTGAAGTGCCATCAGTTATAAGAATCACCATTATTTTATGTTCCATTAAGAAAAACACAATAAAACATGACACTGCTTTTTTTGTTACTTGAAATTTTCATATTTATTGGAGAGCTCTTTTAGATGTTTTTAAATACAGATTTTTATTTAACCCTCTTGCATATACATATAAAATAACAAAAAAATAAAATATTGAGATATCATCAAGAAATTTCTACAGCTTCACATTCAAACTCTTCAGCACTTTCAGAGCTATTGATATGCATATGTCCACCTAGTACCATCTTCTCTGCTTTCAGAATTATTGGTAAGGCTGCATTTCCTGAGTGCTCTACCACACTTATGTCTGGATTTTTTTTACCCAGCTACAGACCCACACTCCTGCAAGATTTGATACCCTTCTATTTGGCAAAACTCAGTTTCACTTTTCTTTCAGTTTAATCACAGGTCCTTAGAAGATCGGACCTGTGATTCTATTCAAAGTCAGAAAGAGATTTCTCACAAATTGACGTCATATTAACATGTCAATATGAAAATTAATTGTTTGGTAAACCAGAAGTGACCTGTCTGAAGCCCTCAATTGTGGTATTTGTGTGTTTGTTTTTTCTTTTTCAAGATTCTTTTTAAAGAAAATATATGGTAGCTGTTGTTTAACATTTATCTACTTACAGAGCGTTCAGAGGATGTTATATGTTTATTAAGTGCTCAATACTGTATTTTAACCTAATCTGAATTTTAATCATAATCCTGTACAATGCATGGATTCTGGTTGCTTTGAAATGGTTCTGTTCAAAGGACTTATCAATGTCTCTTGCTTTGAGATGTATTGCTTGGTGTGTAGTAGCACAAACGTACCACCAATAATGTACCTAATTCAACTGAAGTGACAGTCATATACGCAGATATGACCAAGTTCACATGTGAGCAAGTAACAACTCCATGACTATTGCTGCCTGGCTAATAGCTATTATACTATCATTTGTAAGGCACATTCTGTTTTCTGGGGTGTCGAAATGTGGATAAAAAAAGATGAATTAGGAATGATTCTAACCTAAGTATGTGTTTTAATAAAAGGATCTAGGCAAAAAAAAAAAAAGTAAGTCACTCCTAAATTTAATCCCTGAATAATGCAGTGTACATGATGATAGAGGAGAAGTGTGTTTTTGATAAGAAGTGACTAAATTTTGTGACAATCTTAATTTTTTAGGCTTTTCATTTAGTCTTCCAATAAAGATAATTTTTTTCTGAGTTTTATCAGCAGTAGAAAAATAAGACCTACATGGATAAGTTTGAAATTAAACATTTTGTCTCATTTTATAATTTTTATTTTTATGAAATCATGGCACTTACATCATATACTCAGGTGTGTAAAAGCCTGCTATTTGTAACTATAATCCATAAACTTATTGATGATTTAATAACTATCAACAAGGGCATGGGAAAAATTCAACATTTGATAATAATCTTTTACCTTAGGCATTTATTCTCTAAGCAAAGCAGAAATAAAGGATATGTATCAGTGTATACTGATTGAAATAAAGCTTTAAAAATCCAAGTGATACTCTGAAATTGTCAAAAGTTTAATGGCATGAATCCAGGATTAATTCCCATAACCTGTGATGATCTAGTCATCTTCTGTAGCTACATAGTACTCCTAATGTTAAGATTACCAAATTCAGCAATAAAGCCAAAATCAAAACTGCCTTCTGTCACATATAGCTGTTAAGTAAACTACACAAAATCAGAGTTGCTGTTTACATACATCATGATGCCGTCTGGACTTGAGCACCTTGGCGGCTCAGGATTAAGGCACCTCAGTCTAGCCTAGCAGAGTTACAATGGAGAGAAGTGAAAACTCATTAGTAGCTCAAAACAAGCTAAAGGATTTCAGATGCTCTTTTTCTTGTTCATCTAAATCAAGTCTTCATCTGTGTCAAGAACTAAATTGTTAAAGACCTTTTTAATTTGCTTAGTGCAAGAAAAATAATAGCAACCATATATCTAGTTAACTTGAGTCTTCTGTGCCTCTAAAATTTTGTTTAGAGAAAGCCTATTTCTATTGAGGTTGAGGAACACAATTCTAATACTTAGTAAAATTATTAACATTCATTGCATTTAACTTTGTCGTATTTTCCTTCCTCCAATACTAGTGTGCCAAATTCTGTAACATAGTAGCATTTTTCATGCTCCCATTTATCTGTATATACAGAAACTTCTGCTTAGGTTTTTTTTTATATATAAAGAAAGTCTAGTCATACCAGTTTGGTTGAAGAATACTAATTCTGTCCCTGGAAGAGCTGTCTACGTGAGCCACAACAAACCAAACTTGCCACATCATTCAAACTTGCCAATTTGGCCGTAGTTTAGTAGATGACAACTTTGGGTCAGGTTAATATTTGGGGAAATGGAATAATAAAAGCTGCTGATTTTCCTACTGTATTGCTACTTGGAGGATTGGAGGTGTAGAGGGAAGATGCCTGTAAATGAGTCACTGTTATCACCTACCTGCACATCAGCTTGATTGTTGACACTTATGTCTAAAGATGTTCATCCCAAGAGTATTATTGTGCATGCAAGTAACTGATTGATACTAACGAGTTAACATTTTATTTTGGGCTGCTTGGACAAAAAGTCTTATCTTTTTGAAGCCTCTGGCTGCAGGGATCTCTTAGCCGTTGCACATATAAATTTCAACCATTCACACAGAGCAATTCATTTCTGATTGCTGTAGACTAGTGCAATCCATCTGCTAGTGTCATTTCCTAGCTATCTGTGCCAGAATTACACTCCTTCAATTGTGCTTCAGTGCATTTCTGAAACAATCTAAACTAAAATGTCTGTATTCTTTGGCCACTGGCTTATGATGTGTTACTGATATGCTTGTTGAATCTCCAGCCTCTTTAACACTTTTTAAAATCTTTGTTACAACCAACACATCATAGCTAAGTAATCTGCACATGTAAATGATTTTTTTAAATTTCTTTTCTTACCAGTATCCACTGTTTTCTCTCTGTAGCACATTCAGATGGTTCAAGTGAGTTTTAATTTACCACTTCCTTGTAGGAGAGTGTCACATCGCCCAGAATAGAATTAAAGCATTTACATCTTGAGGCAAAAAAATCTTTTAAAATACAACTATGTAGAAATCAAGTAAGTGTTCATTTCATTTGCAGGTTTAGAAATGTTGCACTGCTTAATGAAGTTTTACGTGAGTGGTTTCTTACCTATTATTTTTAGCCTTGGGGTTTGAGAAAGTAAATTATGTCCATCAATTTTCTGTACTTTAGAGAAGTTTCAAATATTTCTAGAACTAGAAAACTTGGGACTACACAAAGAAATAATTATGATTATATCAGGTGGCCCAAGTGCAGATTTTAAATGTACAGGCACACTGACAAAGTCATAAATTAAAAATGCACTAATTATATATCACTGGGATCAATCTTTAATGAATTGAATAAGAAAGATCACTTATGACTGGTTAAAGTTGATAGAGCTTCTAATTAAGCATTATCCAGTCAAATAAAGAGCTGTGTATGGAAGCCAGCCTATGAGGAAGGAAGGAAAAAGTTTTAGAGTAATTCTTTTTTACTTGTTGCAACAGCTGATTCTTCAATACAAAAGAAATATTTACTTTGATTTGCATTTCTCTGATGGCCAGTGATGGTGAGCATTTTTTCATGTTTTTTTGGCTGCATAAATGTCTTCTTTTGAGAAGTGTCTGTTCATGTCCTTCGCCCACTTTTTGATGGGGTTGTTTGTTTTTTTCTTGTAAATTTGTTTGAGTTCATTGTAGATTCTGGATATTAGCCCTTCGTCAGATGAGTAGGTTGCGAAAATTTTCTCCCATTTTGTAGGTTGCCTGTTCACTCTGATGGTAGTTTCTTTTGCTGTGCAGAAGCTCTTTAATTAGATCCCATTTGTCAATTTTGGCTTTTGTTGCCATTGCTTTTGGTGTTTTAGACATGAAGTCCTTGCCCATGCCTATGTCCTGAATGGTAATGCCTAGGTTTTCTTCTAGGGTTTTTATGGTTTTAGGTCTAGCGTTTAAGTCTTTAGTCCATCTTGAATTAATTTTTGTATAAGGTGTAAGGAAGGGATCCAGTTTCAGCTTTCTACATGTGGCTAGCCAGTTAGAGGATGTGGAGAAATAGGAACACTTTTACACCGTTGGTGGGACTGTAAACTAATTCAACCATTGTGGAAGTCAGTGTGGCAATTCCTCAGGGATCTAGAACTAGAAATACCATTTGACCCAGCCATCCCATTACTGGGTATATACCCAAAGGACTATAAATCATGCTGCTATAAAGACACATGCACACGTACGTTTATTGGGGCTCTATTCACAATAGCAAAGACTTGGAACCAACCCAAATGTCCAACAATGATAGGCTGGATTAAGAAAATGTGGCACATATACACCATGGAATACTATGCAGCCATAAAAAATGATGAGTTCACGTCCTTTGTAGGGACATGGATGAAATTGGAAATCATCATTCTCAGTAAACTATCACAAGAACAAAAAACCAAACACTGCATATTCTCACTCATAGGTGGGAACTGAACAATGAGAACACATGGACACAGGAAGGGGAACATCACACTCTGGGGACTGTTGTGGGGTGGGGGGAGGGGGGAGGGTTAGCATTAGGAGATATACCTAATGCTAAATGACGAGTTAATGGGTAAAGCACACCAGCATGGCACATGTATACATATGTAACTAACCTGCACGTTGTGCACATGTACCCTAAAACTTAAAGTATAATAATAATAAAATAAAAAAATTAAATATTTACCATGAGTTCAGTGAGAAGAAGCAATTTACAAAATTAGCCATGTTTCTAGTGTCTTTGAGTATGTATCTCTAAGACTACAAACGTGCTGGAATTTTCCATAACATAAAAATAAACAAAAACAAAAAACAATACTTCTCTTAGCCATATTATTTCATCAGGAATAGTCAGCCTAGTTTCATCTACAATGAAACCGAAGTTTTACTAGCCATCATACCCAACACTGAATTCTAGATTCAGATATGTACCTCCCTGCTTCGTATCCCTCCCTTACTGGAAAAAAATACATAGGCATCTCTATTTGGAGAGCTCTAATCTTCTATCAATTAAGGTAATCTTTTTCATCTAGATAAATGACACAGCCATTCACCAAATTGCTCAAGGAACAAACCAGGAAATTTTCCATGACTCTTCAGGTACTTCCCCTCATCCTTTTCATCCTGTTTTCAACAAGTGAAGTCTATGTATGAAAAACACAACCAAAATCCATCAACCTCTCTCAACTTGTTGAGCTACCACTGTTTTCTAGACTAATGGAATAGTTTTTTTTTTTTTTTTACATCCCACAATGCCTTATTGTGTGCAGTAATAACAATGATCTGACTTTTATAATTGCACATGAACGCAAAGTTGCAGAAAGCCTGCAAAGGAAAGATTTAGAAGATTGGCATTGGGGTGTATGAGGCATTGAAAGAAAAAGGAATACTGTGGCCATCTCAACCTTACTTCACTAATTTGGTACTGTTTTTGTATCCCATTTTGCTCCCCTGAAGACTACCTTTTAGGACAAAGATTCATACTACTTTCTAACATTCTACACTTTATTTTCTCCATGAAGTTTTGCCTGGTGATAGTCTGCAATCTCTTTACCACCCACATTGTTGTTTTTTACCTTTTTCATATTTGCTATGTGTAATCAGATGTCAGCTGGAAATCTGCTTTCCCTTTAGATGTAGGCAACATTAGTTGAGCCTCTATTCTAAACCCCAGAGATGATGTCAAAAACTTCTCTCAAATATCTGTGAAATTCCTGAAGATCATATATCTCCATAATTGCTTTGGACTGTAAGCTTCCATTTCTGGTGAGTTAGTTCTGTTTGGGCTTGCATGTGATTTTCTCACAATTCTATGAGCTGAGCGCCTATTTTTCACTATGTGAGTCTCAAACTTTTCCTCTTTCCTGCAATTAGGGCATCACCATATCCTCTCCAGAAAAAGGCCTTCTCACACAAATTTTGTGTGTAGCAAATTTCTCTGAATCATTGGAGCTAGGGAGGAAGTTGCTGGAAGGAAAGAGAAGGATACATATCAGAGCACAGCATTAAGTAATAATTGTTCTTAGAAATCCTTTGGCATCTTCATCTCCAAGACTTTCTTCACTAGCTATTTTTTTTATAATCCAAAATTATGTCTAACTTTTTTTCTCTTCCTCAGACCAACTTCTTCCATCCCCTTACGAGATATGCACACGTTGTTTACATTGTAGACATATAGCATTTATCTCTTCTTTCTCTTGTGTCATTAGTTTTCTTCCTTCAATGAATTATTCTCATCAGTACACTAATATTCTGTGATTTTTCCAGTTTAAAAAAAAAAAACCCTTCACTACACTTCCTTCAGGTATTACTTTATTTCCTTGTTCCTTTTACACTAAAATTTTTAGAATACATTGTCTGTTTTTCCATTCTTCAGTTCCCGTCTTCCTATTTACTCTTCAACCCAATTCAGGCTTTTAGCACCCCTCTCCATTACCACTACTCCATTAAACTTGTTCTGAAGATTTCCAGTGCTCTCGACTTTGCTAAATCCAGGGGTCATTCTTGGTCTCATCTTCTTGCCCTTTAAACAGCATTTATCTCAATTGATTACTTCTTTGACTTGCATTCTTTACCTGGATGCAAGGAACCCCACATTACTGGTTCTTTTTCTAACTTTCTGGTCACACTTTTTAAGTCTCTTTAACTGATTTCTCCTCATCTTCCTCACCTCATATCACTAGAAGGTCACAGATATTTGTATTTGAATTTCTCTATCCACATTCACTCCTTTGGAATACCATCCATTTTCATAGCATCTATGTGTTATCAATTCTCAAATCTGTATTTCTCATTATCAAAATGTAACTCTCAAATTGTTAAAATATGAATCCATAAATTGTGAACATGGGTCAGAATTTAATCAGTGAGGAAGCCAGCAGGATTATGAAGTTGATTTTTATATTGTTCCAGATGCTACAAGGAAGAAAATTTATATACAACATTATAAAGAATTTTTTCCAATAACAGAGTACATTTTCTTATGAGATAATAGGCTTAAAAGACAATTTAGCAAGAGTTTTCTCAAGAAGTTCTTATTTTAGATAAGAGGTAGGATTGAGGCAGGAAAATAGGGCCTGGAGGCAGGGAACGTAAGGCCAATTCACACTTAAGCTATGACAGGAAATATCCTTTTCATAGGGTGTATGCAGAGTAAATAACTTTGTAACTTTACTTCTTCCTCTCCATTTACATATGGCATACACCAAGTAACCAGTGGAAATCTCTAGAGGGTATTTAAACCCCCACAAATTCTGTAACGGTGTCCTTGAGCCCCTATGCTCAGGCCCATTCCCACACTGTAGAGTGTACTTTCATTTTGAATAAAGTTCTTCATTCTTTCTTTGCTTTGTGTGTTTTGTCCAGTTCTTTGTTCAAAATGCCAAGAACCTGGTCACTCTCCACCAGTAACAGGATTAGATAATGACTGTGGGTTGGATTTCCTGAAAACCAGAATCTGAGATGTACTTTAGAATGCAAAATATTTTTAAGGAGGGCCTGTGGGATTAATACTTGTACAAGGAAGGGGAGAGAGCAAAACAGAGTAGAAGAAAGTGAAGCTGAGATGCAATCCCAAAGACAGCCTTAATTGGCTAATCCCAAGAGGAGCTCTGGATATTAGAATAGCACTTCAGTGTTTCCCAAGTTGAACCTGATTGGCCAGGATTTATACCACACATCAATTATCTTTTCTCAGGTGCCCAATTGATAAGGAAGACAATGGACAAGATATCTCTTTAGGAATAAGCCAATCTGTGAAAGGGGGCTGACCAATGAAAGCTGTCTACTGACAGCACTTGCAGTAGCTGAGGTAACAAGCCCTTCACTGAAGAAGCAATATGGGTGCCATCACAGTGTCCACCACAATAACATTATAAAGTCCACTCAATTCCAAGATTCAATTTCTATATGTAACTATTTTAATGAAACATTGTTATGTTTTAATTCAAGTTGAATTATGACTTCCAAACTAATCATGCAATATTGTACATATTTTAAGTGTACCCAATCCAAGAAGAAACTATACTTTAGTAGATATGTCAATCATTGATTTACAGAAGCTTTTTTTTTGTAATACTGTCACAAATCTACATGATAATCCCTAGTGCCAGATTTTACTTTTGACTAGCTGAGCAAGCTAAAATATTCATAAATTCACATGAAGCCAGATGGCTTCCCACTGAATATGCATTTGAATGATTCCTGTACATTATTTATTCCAAGAAGTGCACAAAATATACCATCGTCATAGTAGAGATTCTTAATAAGTTTGTTTCAAAAAGGAGTCAAGGAATAACAGGTGTCCAGTGCTAACTATATTTTGGACTGAACCATGATTCTATGTATATTTGAGAATTACTAACAGCAGATTCAATATAGTTAGTTTCTATTAGTCTCTGAAATATCAGGAATCTGAAATAAGGAAGGTTCAGCAAGAATGACTAGCATTTTGGAAAAAAGAGGATTTAATGTGGCTAGCATAATTTCTTAATAATTTGCTTAGTTCTCTAAAATATTCAAATGTACAACACAAAGTATTAACCATTTTTGTCAAGTCTATCAGTATGTTTTTAGGGGTACTTTTTTCAGGTTAAAATAACAGATGTGAATTTGAAATGAAAATATAACTTAATCATTAAAAGCTTTTTCTCCAACATATTTGGGGAGAGAATAAATGAAAATAGTATTTTTTTCTTTTTTAATTCATAGAGTTTTCCTTTCATTTAAATCTGCTGTGTCCCTTTTTAAAGTTTCCTGTTCTCTGGACATCTGTCATCATTGCTGTCCCCACCTTCCATCTTCTGTTTTTTTCCTTCAAATGTGGTAATCAATGTTGTTTTGTAAAACAAATCTAACAATTCTACTATCTGAAGTCAGGATGGATATGCTTCTGATCCTTCTTCAGTGTTTTGTTGCTATGCTTTCATGTGTATCTGATTGACTTTGTTTGTTGGTCATTGTCCTTAGCAAAGTATTTGCAGAGGTTTCCCATGGCCTAAGATGAATGGACTCTCCTGTAGAGGCTTTGCATTTGCTTCTATCAGGAGACCAGAGAAGCATTGCCACTTAAGAGCAACCTCAGATTAAGTTCAAGAGTGAGCTTTTCTGACTTAGAAGGCTCTGTATAAATCCAAAGTGAATATTTTTGTAGCAATAATTGCTCAGGAACCTTATTTTACTTTCTTCTCTTTTTTCCTTTCTTCTTCTTTTTTTAAATTTCTTCTGCTCTGCTTAACAGCAAGGCAAGCTGCTTGACAATTCTTTGGTTTGGGATAAAGGAGGACATATTTACTTCTAGCTGATACTTATCCAAAGGCATATTTTTGGGAGGCTTTAGATTATTAGGGTGTCAAAGACACCCTCTAAGAATTTCCGACCTGAGGAAACACTTGGCTACCCTCTGGTTCCTTAGAACCTAAGTTTAAATGTGTGCTTTTGGAAAATTCCTCAGGGCAGAAACTTACTCCATACGACCTACATTTCTTATACAAAGAAATATCCACTTATATCTCTGTGTTTAAGCATTTTCCTGAAATGGTTTGTGTATACAACTTTATGGTTTTTAGTTCCTCATTGTTTTTTGCGATTATGACTTTTATACTTAGCATTTAAAATCAGTCCATTATTCTCACTTATGTGAAACATAACTCTAGTTCTGTATTATCTTATTGACTTATTATCCAACATTTTCACTAGTGATATATTTTAGTTAGTAGAGGGTATGGTATGTTAGTGGGGGGGATAGTACTAGTAGATGATATATTTTTATAATGAATGTTACAGTCATGGAATGTAATGATTATGAAAATGCTAAACATATGAAGAAAAAATGAGGAATAAAGTAAATATTTATACCCTTATCCCTTTTATCCCCCATCCCATAAGCCACATGACGGAGTAGACAGCTCAGCACCTAGCATGATGCTGCTATGAGATGATAAACCATGTTAAATCTTTTACAGAGCAGGTCAGAATAAACATAAGCAGACAAAAGTATGTTAAATGTATACTTTTTGAAATAGGAAATAAGCCTACAAAATTTGCTTTAAAAAAGTTACCATTTATAGTAGATAGAACACATAGACCAGTGTTAGACCCCCTCTGACTTCAAATTATCACAATTTGAAGTTAATTATGTGCCAGGATATTTGATCAGCACTAAGAATATTTTATCCCTTGCTCTCAGGGTTCTTCCAGTTTAGTTGAGGATAAGATAGGAAAAAAAATAATTGCAATAATTCCTAGGTAGAGCTACCATAAGTAAGGCATTTGAATAGTCAGCCAAAGAGACTAACAAAAGCTACATGATGAGGAAAGATCTCTTAGTTTGGTACGCGAGAGTGCTCGGTGCATAACAAAGTCTGAAAGAAACCCAGTCAAAGTGTAGTGTGTCACTTCAGAAATCACATGGAAGTGTAAGAGTGGCTTGGGAAAAGGTCTACACTTGATTAATTTATAGTATTTTATATAAATATGCAGATAATTTCATATTTATATA
The DNA here is from genome assembly GCF_000001405.40 of Homo sapiens. Taxonomy (NCBI): domain Eukaryota; kingdom Metazoa; phylum Chordata; class Mammalia; order Primates; family Hominidae; genus Homo; species Homo sapiens. Next base: position 74,217,764 of record NC_000001.11, read on the forward strand.
AATACACAGGTACCTTAGAAATTAAACCTCTGACCAAATTATGATTAACAATTTATTTCAAAGAAGAGGAAAGAAGAGAGAAAGTCGTATGTGTTTATGTGTGTGTATGTAATATGGGAGTGATATTCCCAGTATTTGGCTACCAAATGACAAAATTGAGTTTAGACATTGATGAATAGTAATGAATAAGGAAACAAATAATAATAATAATTAATGTCTTCCCACAGATCACTTCCTAATAAAACACTGTAAATTAAAGGATATGGTAATTTATGTGATAGCTTTGCTTAACGATAAGCAGCACTTATTGAACTGTGTAGAACTGAAACAAAAGAGAACTGGAAAAGAGAAACTTCACAAATGAATTAACATAGTACAAATATTGTACAGCAGTTTATTTACTTTGAACCTGAAAAAATTTAATTAGATTTCAAAACCTTATAAAAACCTTATTTTATGTTCTCGTTAAAACACATATTTCTTGGAAATGATTTTGTTTAGACATGAGTAGGTACTTTTGTCTTTACAAAAGTTTATCCTTATCTGTGCTGAGCTAAAAATTCAGTATACAGCTGGTGTTTTGATTGATACAGTATAGAAGTGACACCACATATTATTATATCAGTCTGATTTAAAGAGCTGAAAGAAGGTGTTTATGGAGTAAACTACACTGCATAAACTTTTTTTTCATGGCTCTTAGTAGAAAAATAACAACAGCAACGACCAAAATATGTACACAAATGCACATTTTATATTTCATAGTCAGACATTAACTAAACCAATAAAACAATCTTCAAAGATTTTTATTGCATAAAAACAAAATATAACTTTCTAGTTAAGCATTAAGCTCAACAAAGGAAATGTATAAAAATGAAAAAACATTTTAGCTTTGTTCCTAGCACTGCTATTAACTCACCGTGATATTCATTAAACCAAAAGTCAAATATATGAACAGCAAGGGCCACTGGGCATTGCAAGTCTGAAATGGTGTGCTAGAAAGTGTTTTGAAATTTAAAGGAAAAGAAAAAAAAAAACCTTCCCGACAGGTGAAAATAAGCCTCCTATTCAGTTATGATATCTAAGAAAATTTAATGGAATTATTAAAGGAGCACTTACAGAATATGTGCAATTACTTTCTTTAGATGGGACAAATATATTTCATAACTGATTTCTTCATTTCCAAGAACAGTTTTATTTCTTTGATCTTTCTTTCATGATAATGAGGTAGATGTGTACAGGATTGAACATTACATTTCAAATGTAATCCCAACAGACTTGCAACAAGCAAATTTTTTATGTTATTCTTTATAAAATGATACCTCTGTTTAAACCACTCACTTTCTTCAACATACTATGAATTCATATATAATTTGTGTATTTCTCCCACTTACAGAACACTGGCTTATACCACTCTTCAGGTACTTCTCTCCTCCAATAATTATATTGTGTTTTTGTGGGGTTTTTTTTTTTTAGCTTTTCTAAGTTCTTTTGGTTTGATTACATGTTTCTTTTTGTAACTCTTTTTATCTTTTCTGTTCATAGTTTCTACCATTGCTGCTACTTTATATAATTTCTCTGTCATTTGATATTTATGACTTTGCCTAATTTAGCCTCATCAATTTTTAGTCCCCAAAAAAAATCCAAGATGAAATTTAAATTACTTTGGTCCCATCAATTTTGTTTAATTTGTTTACTGTGTAAAACAATAATAGAGATTTTAATGAACATCATCTTAATAAGTTTTCTAGTTCTCTGATGTGATATAATCTAAATTGTGTCCAGACTCTTGATTTATCATATTTTAGATATTAAATTGTTATTTATTTTCCCACTGTCTAAGATTTTTAAAAATCTACAAGTAGCAAGACTTATTGCAAATCATGCCAGATTCAAAAATCCTTCTGTACTACTAGCCCGATTAACCCTTTCTTCCTCTTTCATAGCATGTGGAAGTTTTTTTTTTTTTTTTTTGATACTCATCAAAAGCTACTTTGTAAAATAAGTTAGTTAGATTTTTGAATATCAAATTAGGTTGTAAGCTCTGTAAGCAAGGGCCCTGCCTTATACTTCCTTATAGACAAGCTGTGTCAAACCACTTTTTGGAGTTTTATTTTATTTCTAATTCAAGGACCTAACCTCAGCAGATTCTGATTTAGTTGATCACGAGTAGGTTCTTGTAATTGTAGTTTGTAAAATCTCCCTGAAAGTCTGGTTTGTAAGTTATTGCTAGAACATCAAATCCCTTGTATAAATTACTAATGCTAGCAACTCCAACTAATGCAAAAACCTCTTAAGGATTACATATACAGGAAGATGAGGAAAACAAAGAGACTAATATTTGTGTGAATTTTCCTTGCATAGAATTTCAAAAGCCTGTAGTATTTAGGCTGCAGAATTGCAATGGCCTACTCTAGTTTCACTTTACCTCTTTTCCGACCTTAGCAATATTCCTCTTACTGAAGGAATGTATTCTAAGCAATTCAATTGGTTCAGTCCCTTTCAGTTCAGTTCAATTTTATTCAGTTCAATTCATTCCAAAACAATTAAATTTATGTCTATACTTATAAGGAACTGTGGTGGGCTATTTCAAATGCAAAGATGCCTGCATTCAAGTTACTTATTGCCTGGGAGGAGGGATAAAAGCATTAATTCTATATTCTATAATAAATCCCTTAATAGAAGCAGATGCTGCATGGATAGCAACTTAGAGTAGGATTTAAATGTGTTTAATTTCTTGCCTATTCTTAAACTACATATATGTATTGTATATATGTATATATATTTATGTAATGTATACATTGTATTATATATAGTATATATGCACACATATAAAATTATAGTATAAACTTACCAAATATAAATATGTTTAGTCTTCAAAATGAAATAGTTACTAACAGCCATCTTCAGTAACATTAAAGGATGCAGCCCTGATAGATCATCTCAAGGTGACTTTGTAAATTAGTACATGTCCAGACTCTGTAGAAGAAATGAGTTTTATATAATAAGTCAAAGAGAGAATATATAGTCTTTAGGGGACCCGAACATAACTATTGTAGTTCACTAATAGGTTAACTGTTATATAGCTGCACCGAGCATCATGGGCAATGAGAGTTTCAGAAAGATAATGATGGAGTTAATTTGTGAAAACTCTCATGTGATAATATGCATTTCTCTCTCGTTCTGATATGCTTAAGGCCTACACATTTTCCAAATGCCGTGTTACCCTTTACCATAGGCCCTATCATTTATTCTCTGGCTGTATATATGAACTAGGGAAATATGGGTGATAATTTTAGGTAACTATTTGTGTACTCAGACCTAGACCTCAACCTGGGAAACTCCGGCCAGCAGTTAGGAAATGATAACACATGGTGAGCCAACTTAAACAAATAGACTCAAGACTTGTAATCAAATCCAGTATATTCTATTATGATTTAATAAACCCAGGCATCAGAAACACCACAGTTAGAATTGTCTTTGCATCATTTGCTTTGGACCTCAAGAGGGGGTGACCTTAAATTATAAAGTTACTGGTACGGGAAGAATGAGACCCCCGGACAACACAGAGGTGCTTCTAACACCTTTGCATGTACAATTTCCTTATGTAATTCAGAACATGCCTCTTAGTATTGATGACAATTTCATTTTTAAAGTTTCTAGCTTGAGCTTAAGTCCATTAATTCACAATTTTTCTTCTCCATTAGTGTGAACTTCATGTGACCAAATTATGGGTTTAAGAGACAAAAAAGGGTATGAGATACAACGGGAGCAGCAAGGACAACATGGCCAAAATGTTCTGTGAAGTTGGTAAAGACTCCTCAGAACAGCTGACATTTTGAAGCAGGAATATGACTTTCCTGGAGATAAAGGCAAGAATACTAGAGCAATCACTCTCCATATTACCAGACAAGGAAGTACAATTTAGGCTTACTAGTAGCAAGAACTCCTAAAAATGGCTTTCTGTGAAAACAAGTGGTCTTGAAATTCATAATAATTATAGTCTACTCTTGATAATCCATGTTGAAGAAGGGGAGTACAGTTGTAAGGAAAACATGAAGTTTTTCACAAATTGTAATTAAAATGTAAATCTTTTTGTATATACTTAGATACTAAACTTGAATTCTGGTTGGGAAGGGTATATTATTTGGATGCCAATAAAATGAGATATAAATCTATGAGGACATATGTTGAATTGGAAGCACTCAACTTGGGTTTATTATTAAAAGTCTGCCTGGCATTAAGGATGCACTCAAATATTACTTGCTATAACAAGTCCCTAAATAATTGGCTTCAGAGACAATAGTCTCTGCAAAAAGAAATCAGAAATCTGTGTGACCATACAAACTGCAACTTTCTATTAATTCACCAAATGAAATGTGTTGATCCACTAATGGGGTTATGAATGAAAGCTGAGTTTTTTTTTTTTTTTTTACCCCAACAGCATTATACTAACTCCTAGCACTCCTTTAAATTTTATGCAAGATGTTAAAGATTATATATGTGGAATTTCAAGTATGAAAAGAGCCAGTCTAGCTCCACAACTAAATATACAATGTATAGAAACAAAATACAATTGAATCAGAGTTAGTTCTTATTGGTGGAGTGCTGAGCTTGCCAATACGATGAAGGAAGATCATGAACCTTTGCGTACACACAAATTGCTAATGCTATTTCTGCCACTGTTATAGAGAATGGTGACAAGGGGGTTAAAAAACATAGTACATGATAACTATAATCACCATTCTGGCATTAAGAAGATATAGGAGAAGATGTAACAAAAATAATGGTAACTACAGACAGAGAGCTTACTGAGACTTTCTCTGCTTGGCGGGAATAAGCAAAGAACTGGTCCTATGGAATCACTCATCATGCTAACTCAAAGATCTTACATAAACCAAGAGGCATGGTGCTTAGATAATGCTCTTCTGTCTCAGGGCCTTCAACTTTTTTTTTTTGAGACAGGGTTTCGCTCTTGTTGCCCAGGCTGGAGTGCAATGGCGCGATCTCGGTTCAGGCATGGCATTTCCCTTAAAGTTGAAGAACTACCAGGACCGATTTTAATTTTAAGTGGCCACAGTGTAGCAGACACAGCAGCTTCCTGCTTTCTCTATCACTGGAGTCTGCTGCAGTAAGCAACAGGGAATTAGTCACTGAGTCAACAAGGGGGAACCACCCAAACTTGTTTATTTAATTTTGCTACATAATAGCTACATATCTATGGATTCTCTAACAACCACATTATATAGTCCCACTTTTCAAATCTTTAAATAATTTGTCCTGCCTATATCAAAATGTATTTCTTTTCACTTTGAGGAACAGCCACAGGTAGATAATTGACAAGTGAAAAGAAAACTCTCAAAAAGAAGAGGAAAGAGTAAAGAGGACTTGGTCATCCATCTTCGATACCAGCTCAGTCACGGTAGAATATGGCACCAGTCAGAGTCATGAGGTGCCCCTTCTAGGCTCTAGCTTCAGGACAACATTTCTAAACATACCCTGGGCCAGAAACGAACCTGCTGCCCTGAAGGGAAGGACCAAGTTTTGGCAGGACCCATCACCTGCTGACTAAACAGCCTTTGGGCCCTGAATAACCAGCAGTGATACTTAGGTTGTATGCTGTGCACTTTGGGTGAGACTCTGAGACTTGCTGGATTCAGATGAGACTCAGCACTTTTCCAGCTGTGGTAGCTACAGGGAGAGACACCTTCTACTTGAGAAAAGCAGAGAGAAAATAAAGGGGACTTTGTCTTGCAGCTTAGGTATCAGCTCAGCCACAGTCAGGAAGAGCACCAAGCTCTTAAGGTCCCTAATTCCAGGCCTTGGCTCTTGGACAGCGTTTTGAGACCTGCCCTGGGCTAGAGGTGAGACCATTGCCCTGAAAGTTGAGTCCCGGGCCAGGTGGCATTCACCACAAGCTGACTTAACAGCCCTTGGGTCTTAAAGGAACATTGGCAGTAGTCTGGCTGTACTCCTCATGGGCCAGTGATGGTGGTAGTCACTGTGTGACGTTCCTCTGCCTATGGAAAGGGGAGGGAAGAGTGGAAAAGACTGTGTCTCATTGTTTGGGTGCCAGCTCAGCCAAAGTGCAATAAAACACCAGGTAGACTTCCAAGGTTTTGACTTTAGTACCTGGCTCCAAGATGGCACCTCTGGACCTGCACAGGACCTGGAGAATCTTGCCATCCTGAAAAGTAGGACACAAACCTGATTGGCTTTCCCCTCCTCCTGCTGATTATAGAGCCCAGAGCCTTGAGTGAACATAGGCGGTAGCCAGGTAGAGGTTATAGTGGATCTTGAGTGAGACCCAGTGTGAAGCCCCAGTGGTGGTGGCCACAGGGATGCTTGTGTCATCCCACTTCCAGTTTCAGTCAGCTCAGGACAGAGAGAAAGATTTTGTTAGTTTGTGAGAAAGTAAGGGAAGAGAACAAGAGTCTCTGCCTAAAAATTCAGAGAATTATTCCAGATCTTATCCAAGACTATCAAGGTAATACCTCCACAAGTCTCCAACAGTTATAGCATTAATAGGCTTGGGGTGCCCCTGAATACAGATGTGGCTTAGACAACAACACCCAAGTACTTTGGAATACCTGGAAAGTCTTCCCAAGAAGAACAAATACGAACAAGCCCAGACAGCAAAGATTACAATAAACACCTTACTCTTCAATGCCCAAAGATGAATATCCACAAACATCAAGGCTTTTCGGGAAAACATGATGTTGCCAAATGAACTAAATAAGACACGAGTGACCAATCCTGCAGAGACAGAGATATTTAATTTTTCAGAGAATTTAAAGTAGCTGTTTTGAGGAAACTCAAAGAAATTCAAGATAACACAGAGAACTCAGAATTCACTCAGAGAAATTTAACAAAGAGATTGAAATAATTTTTTAAAAATCAAGCAGAAATTATGGAGTTTAGAAATGCAATTGGCATATATTGAAGAATGCATGAGAGTCTTAATAGCAGAACTGGTCAAACAGAAAAAAGAACTAATGAGCTTAAAGACAGGCTATTTGAAAATACACAGAGGAGACAAAAGAATAAAAAAGAATGAAGCATGCCTACATGATCTAGAAAATAGCCTCAAAAGGAAAAATCTCGGAGTTAATGGCCTTAAAGAGGAGGTAGAGAAGGAGCTAGATAGTGATAAAATATCCAAAGGGATCATAACAGAGAACTTCCCAAATCTAGAGAAACACATCAATGTCCAAATACAAGAAATCTATAGAACACCAAGCAGATTTAACCCAAAGAAGACTACCTCAAGGCATTTAACAATCAAACACCCAAAGTCAAGGATAAAGAAAAAAATCCTAAAAGCAGCAAGAGAAAGGAAACAAATAACATATAATGGAGCTCCAGTACATTGGCTGAAGACTTTTCAGTGGAAACCTTACAGGTCAGGAGAGAGTGGCATAATATATTTAAAGTTCTGAAGAAAAAAAAACTGTTACCGTAGCATAGTATATCTGGTGAAAATATTCTTCAAACTTGAAGGAGAAATACTTTCTCAGACACACTAAGGCTGAGGAATTTCATCAACACCAGACCTGTCCTATAATAACTGCTAAAGGAAGTACTTCAATCCGAAATAAAAGGGAGTTAACGAGCAGTAAGAAATCATCTGAAAGTACAAAACTCACTGGTAATAGTAAGTAAAAACACAGAATATTATAACACTCTAACTGTGGTATGTAAACCACTCAAGTAGAAAGACTAAAAGACGAGCCAATCAAAAATAACTACAACAACAAATTTTTAAGACATAGATAGTACATTAAGATATAAATGGAAACAACAAAAAATTAAAAGTGGGGGCACAAGTTAAGGTGTAGAGTTTTTATTTGTTTTCTCTATGCTTATTTGTTTATGCAAAGAGTGTTAAGTTGTTATCAGCTTAAAATAATGGGTTATAAGATAGTATTTGCAAGCCTCATGGTAACCTCACATCAAAAAACATGTGGTAGATACACAAAAAATAGAAAGCAAGAAAACAAATCATACCACCAAAGAAAATCACCTTCACTGAAAGGGAGGCAGGAAGGAAGATAGGGAGAGAAAATCACAGAACAACTAGAAAATAAATTAAAAAATAGCAGGAACTAAGTCCCTATTTATCAATAATAATATTGAATGTAAATGGGATAAACTTTCAAATTAAAAGACATAGACTGGCTGAATGGATGGAAAAAAAGACTCAATAATCTGTTGCCTACAAGAAACATACTTTGTCTATAAAGATACATATAGGCTGAAAATAAAGGGATGAAAAAAGATATTCTATGCCAATGGAAACCAAAAAAGAGCATGAGTAGCTATACTTATATCAGAAAAAAATAGATTTCAATACAAAAGCTAAAAAAAGAGTCAAAGAAGTCATTACATAATGGTATAGGGGTCAATTCAGCAAGAGGATATAACAATTCTAAATATATATGCACCCAACACTGGAGCGCTCAGGTATATAAAACAAACTTTGTTAGAAGTAAAGAGAGAGATAGGCCCTAATACAATAATAGCTGGAGACTTCAACACCCGACTTTTCAGCACTAGATAGATAGTCTAGACAGGAAATCAACAAAGAAACATTGGACTTTGTCTGCACTATGCACCAAATAGACGAAATAGGTATTTACAGAACATTTCGTCAAATGGCTTTGGAATACACATTTTTTCCCTCAGCACTTGGGTCATTCTCAAGGACAGATCATATGTTAGGTTACAAAACATGTCTTGAAACATTCACAAAAATTGAAATAATATCAGGGATCTTCTCTGGCCACAATGGAATAAAACTAGAAATCAACATGAGAAATTCTGGAAACTGTACAAACACAAGGAAATTAAACAATATGCTCCTGAATATTCAGTGGGTCAATGTAGAAATTAAGAAGGAAATTGAAATATTTCTTGAAACAAATGTTAGTGGAAACAAAATATACCAAAATCTTTGGGATACAGCGAAAGCAGAACAAGAAGGAAGTTTATAGCGATAAGTGCCTACATCAGAAAAGTAGAAAAACTTCAAATACACAGCCTAATGATACACCTTAAAGAACTAGAGAAGCAAAACCAAGCCAAACCCAAAATTAATAGAAAAGAAATAATAAAGACTAGAGCAAGAAAAATGAATTTGAAATAAAATGTCAATGAAACAAAAAGGGTTTTTCTTGAAAAGATAAACAAAATGTACAAACCTTTAGCCAGGCTAAGAAAAAAAGAGAAATGATCTAAATAAAAAATGAAAAAGGAAACAATACAACTGTTGTCACAGAAATTCAGAGGATCATTATTGGCTACTATGAGCAACTATATGCCAATAAATTGGAAAATATAGAAGAAGTGAATCAATTTCAAGACACATACAACCTACCAAAATTTAACCATGAGGAAATCCAAAACCTAAACAGACGAATAACAAGTAAAGAGACCAAAGCAATAATAAAAAGCACCTCCCAGCAAAGAAAAGCCTGGACTCAATGGTTTCATTGCTTAATTCTACCAAACATTTTAAAAAAGAAATAATACCAATCCTACTCTAACTGTTTGGAATAATGGAAAAGGAAGGAATACTTCCAAACTTATTCCATGAGGCTAGTAGTACCCTGATACTAAAACCAAAGACCTGTCAAAAAATGAAAACTATATGCCAGTATCACTGATGAATATTGATGCAAAAACCTTCAATAAAATACGAGCAATCCAAATTCAACAACACATTGAAAAGGTCACCATCATGACCAAGTGGGATTTATCTTAGGGATGCAAGAATGGTTCAACATATGCAAATCAATTAATGTACTACATTGTATCAACCAAATTAAGTACGAAAATCACATGGACATTTCAATTGGTGCTGAAAAACCATTTGCTAAAATTCAACATCTTTTCATGATAAAAATCATAAAACTGGATATGGAAGAAACATACTTAAACACAATAAAATCCATCTATGACAAATCCATAGCTAGTATCATTGTAAATGATAGGCTTTCCTCTAAGATGTGGAACACAAGGATGCCCATTTTTCACCACTGTTATTCAACATAGCACTGGAACTCCTAGCTAGAGCAATCAGAGAAGAGGGAAAAAAGGACTTCGAAATTGAAAAGAAGCAAGTCAAATTATCCTTATTTACACATGATATGATCTTATATTTGGAAAAACCTAAAGACTCCACAAGAAAACGACTTGAATTGATAAATTTAGTAAAGTTGCAGGATACAAAATGAACATACACAAAAATCAGTAGCATTTCTCTATGCCAACAGCAAACAATCTGAAAAAGAAATCAAGAAATTAATCCCTCTTATAGTAGCTACAAATAAAATTAAATATCTAGGAATTAATGAAAAAATTGAAAGACCTCTACAATAAAAACTAAAAAACATTGATGAAGGAAATTGAAGACACACAAAAATGAAAAAATTGTCCATGTTTGTGAATTGAAAAAATTAATATTGTTAAAATGTTCATACTACCCAAAGCAATCTACAGACTCAATGCAATCCCTATCAAAATACCAATGACATTATTCAGTGAAATAGAAAAAAAAATTTAAAATTTATATGGAACCACAAAAGACCCAGAGTAGCCAAAGCTATCCTACGCAAAAAGAACAAAACTGGAGGAATCACACTACTTGACTTTAAATTATTCTACAGAGCTACAGCATCCAAAATGGCATGATACTGGCATAAAAACAGACACATAGATGAACGGAACAGAATAGACAACCCAGAGGTAAATTCATACATCTACAATGAACTCATTTTTGACAAGGATGCCAAGCACATACATTGGGAAAAGGACAGTGTCTTCAATAAATGGTGCTGGGAAAACTCGGTATCTATATGCAGAAGAAAGAAACTAGACCTCTATCTCTTGCCATATAGAAAAATTACATCCAAATGGATTAAAGACTTAACTACAAGACCTCAAAGTATGACACTACTAAAATAAAACATTGGGGAAACTCTCCAGGACATTGAACTGGGCAAAGATTTCTCAAGTAGTATCCCATGAGCACAGGCAACCAAAGCAGAAATGGACAGATGGGATCACATCAAGTTAAAGAGTTGCTGCATAGAAAAGAAACAATCAACAATGTGAAGACAACACACGAAATGGGTGAAAATATTTGCAAACTACCCGTCTGATAGGGATTCATTAATATCCAGAATTTTATAAAGAGCTCAGACAAGTTTACAGGAAAAACATCAATAATCTTATTTAAAAATGTGCAAAATATTTGAAAAGATATTTCTCAGAAGAAGACATACAAATGACAAACAGGCATATGAAAAGGTGCTCAACATCATTTATAATCAGGAAAATGCAAATCAATACTACAATGAGATATCTTCTCACCTCAGTTAAAATGGCTTATATCAAAAAGGCAATAACAAATGCTGGCAAGAATGTGCAGAAAAGGGAATTCTTGTACACTGTTAGTATGAATGAAAATGAATACAACCACTATGGAGAACAGCTTGTAGTTTCCTCAAAAAAATAAAGATTGAGCTATCATATAATCCAGCAATCCCACTGCTGAATTACATATACAAAAGAAAAGAAATAAGTGTATCAAAGAGATAACTTCACTCCTATGTTTGTGGCATCATTGTTCACGATAGCTAAGATTTGAAAGCAACCTAAGTGTCCATCAATAGATGAATGGATAAAGAAAATGTGGTACATAAATGCAATGGAGTACTACTCAGCCATAAAAAAGAATGAGATACTGTAATTTGCAACAACATAGATGGTATTGGAAATCATTATGTGAAGTGAAATAAGCCACACACAGAAAGACAAATTTTGCATGTTCTCATTTATTTATGGGAGCTAAAAATAAAAGCAGTTGAACTCAAGGAGATAGAGAATACAAGAGTGGCTACCAGAAGCTGGGAAGGGTAGCAGGTGGTGGGGTTGGGGATGGTTAAGGGGTACAAAAAATAGTTCAAAAGAACGAATAAGACCTAGTGTTTGTTAGCACAACAGGGTGACTACAGTCAAAAATAATTTAATTATACATTTGAAAATAACTAAAAGTTTCTAATTTGATTGTTTGCAACAAAACAGATAAATGCTTGATGGGATGGATACCCTATTTGCCCTGATGTGCTTATTACGCACTGTATGTCTCTATCAATATATCTCATGTGGCCCTTAAATATATATATATCTGCTATATACCCACACAAATTAAAATTGAAAAATTAAAAAAAAGAAAATAAAAATTGAGAAAAGAAAAAAAAACTCTCAAATAAGTAGAACTATTATTTTGTTTTCCCTCCCCCCAATTTTTTATGTTTGTTTATTATACGATTTAGAAACCTCTAATTAGAGAAACCTCTAATTTTTAAAACAAACAAACATAAAGTTGATTACATTAGATTCTAAATAACATTTTTAAAAATGTTATTTGTCCAAAACAATAATTAGTTATTAATTGAACTATAATTATCACACAATATCATTTTTAAGCTGGTTAATTAACTCTTAGGATGGGTGAAGAAAGAATTAAGAAGGAACGGAAGTGGCCTGAGTCATGAAGTTTAGATTATTCTGATTATTTTAATTCCTCAAAGAAACTTTTTCTGATTGAAATTTAGCCTTTAATAGATGGACTTTCTCATGCCAATCATGTATATCTCATCATAGGACAAATACTGCATTGCGGTTACCTGTTTACTCATGCATCTCTGGCCCCATGAGCTCTGTGGATTTCTTGGTACAATACGTATTTGTTGAATGGATAAATGGACTGATCAGTTCGTAAATTGAGCTAGACTGACAATTCAAAGAAGTCATATAAATTTGGAAAAGAAATTTTAGCCAGTTACAGAAATGTGACTCTTACCTCTATTTAATCTAGATTATTTAATCAACTTTATTTCATGTTTACCCACCAACAAAGGAAATCACAGGAAAAACTATGATCTTTGCATTTGCTGTTATACTTTATTGGACACAGAAATAGCAATATTGTTTATTCCTTTTTAAAATATACTCTGACAGTTAAAGATACTGAGAACACATACTTAAATTACTGTGACATTATATTATCATATTATAAATATATATTCATTATAATGTATTCTCAAGTCTTACTCATTTTTGAGGATTAATCTGAATATTACCTCAACATGTTCAGACTGATGATGGTGATTTATACATCATCCAACATACTAAAAACTTAGATATTCTAGTGAAAAAGAAAGAAAATTGTTTGATAAATAAGACTCTTACAAATTATGCTTGTTTAAATGCAGAAACACATTATTTAAAAGAAAATTAATCAAATAATTGTGTGCACTTGAATAGTTGTATGCATCTTAGGCAATGGTCAATTTATTTTTAAAATAATTTTATTTCAACACAAATTATTTAATCTTTATTAAAAATAAAGGAAAAAAACCTAAATATAAACTAACTAGTAATTCCACCTTCTTATGTTTAAAGCAATGATTAATTTGTCAACCAGATGCAACGCATTGAAACTCTATGCTTCCCCAAAACATGGAAATATATTAATAAGGACTAATATACAATGAAGAAATTATCAAAGTATAAATTAATTCAACTTCTAAATGTGATAATAATTGTTCCAAGTGCATTAGTTTGATTTCATGGGATACATTTTCTTTTATCATTTCTCTGTTGGAACCATAAAGGTAGAAGTGTCAAGGTCAATTTTTACGTTTTTCATTTTGAAAGCATCCTTTTAAATCTTTATAAAGAAATCAGTATAAAATAAATATAAATAGCAGATGCGTAAGTGTAGATTGGGATAAATAAATCGTATAAACCCCAAATAAAATAATGCAGAAAGAACATAAGTGGGTTTATTGAAGGAGTATTAGAATATAACTATTTGTATGCAGAAGTGGTCTGAGAAATCAGTTGAAAAGACAGAGGCATTAAAACTAGATTTAGGCAATTCAGTAGAATATCAAACTTAGTTGAAACAAAGTAGTTGAAGAAATAATATTTCATAAATGTGTTCTGACATTTTCTAATGAAGAAACGAGCAAGCATAAAAGAAAGAAACCTTACTATTAATCATGTATTTGAGTTGGCTTTTCTTTATAAATTATTAAATTTCCTTGAGTACTTCAAATGCTCTTTTTAAGGAATTATTATTTTTTGCATCATTTGTTTTATATTTTTCCATAATTTTTTAAATTAATATTTTGTTAGAATTGTTTTCAGTTTACAAAAAACATGGATCAGAAAGTACAGAGTTACTATATACTCCCCCTACACACACACAATTTTTCTTATTAACATCTTATATAGTATATTTGTTAACATGAATGAACCAATATTGATAAATGATTTTTAACTAAAGTCCATAGTTTACGTTAGTGTTGTGTAGTTCTATGATTTTTGCCAAATGGATAATGTCATGTATCCACCATTAGAGTATCATACAGAATATTTCTCTACTCTAAAGATTTCCTGTGCTTCACCTACTCATCTCTTCCTCTCCTCTACCCCTGTAACCACTGATCTTTTTATGGTTTGTATAGTTTTGCCTTTTCCAAAATGTCATATAGTTGAAATCACACAGGATGTAGCCTTATCAGACTGGCTTATTTCACTTAGTGATATACATTTAAAGTTCTTCCATGAATTTTCATGGCTCCTTTCTTTTCATTGCTGAATAATCTTCCATATTCTGGATATACCACAGTTTGTCTCTCCATTCACTTATGAAGGAATATCTTGGTTGGTTCAATTTTTGTGAATCACTTTTAAAATACGAGACTATACTTGCATAGCCAAATCATGTATTGCCCCAGGAATTACCACAGGATAGAACTCTTTGATAATCTGAAGTAATCTTTCTTTTGTTTTTATTCTACTTATCTCTTTTCTCTTGCATGAAATTCAAAGGTAAAAAAATTTCTGTTAAGTAGCATCTCACTTTAAGCAACCTTAAAATAGTGCTTCTTAAATGATGCTCCAAGTAGCATCTACATTAGAATCATCAGAGTTGCTTGTTAAAGTTCAGATTCCTGGGCTCTACTCTTGATGTACTGAATCAGAATTTCTGGGGATGGAGCCCAGGTTTCTATTTTTTTAAACAAAGCTCCTCATGTTGCCTACCCTCACTAAACTTTGAAAGCAGACTACTTTTGTAATCAAGTTGTGTTTTTGATAATGTATGATATAACATGCTTTCTCCACTTTTGGACGTCTCAGGACTGGGGAAAGTAGGATTCAACTTAGAGTATGTGGCCAACTCTTTATTAGAAAGAAGTACTTTTTACAGAAATGTACTGAGTATTAGGGAAAATATTTTTTGATTCTATGTTGTTTCTTTCCAACATTCTTTGGAAAAGGAATGCAAGGATATTATCCTGGACCATTTACATTTCCAGCATTTCTTCATCAGGCTGAAGGTACCCAGAAAAAATTACTCTAGTACCTCAAACCATTACCTAGATCCACATTCTTAAGAAGGGCTTAGAGATAAATATTGTTTCTTTCAAACCAGGAAACTGTTATAGTTCAATAGTGGTTAATATTTTGGGTAATATTTTGAGTAATTTTCTGCATTTCTTATATTGCTATCGTTTCATTTTATTTCCAGCAAAATGTATTGCATTAGAATGTGGGAGAATTCAACTGAGTTGCTGATTGGATTTTCAAACTCATCGCAGAAATCACACCTTTGAAAGCCAAAGCTTTCATTTGTAAAACCTAGGCTTTTTAAGAGAATAAAAGTATTCTTGAAAATCAAAAGGAAAAATTCTAAAAAGCAGTACATCAGACTTGTGTCCCAAGCAGGAAATTAGAAACACAGTGGAAGATGATGTAAGAGCTAATTTTTCCTCCATATGTGGAAAACATACATGTACACACACACACACGGATGGAAGATCCGAGATATTAGAAATAAGAAAAGAGATCAAGAAAAATATATTTAGTTGTCCTCTAGAAGGCTCCCATCTTTGTCCTTCTGGATTCAGAGTATAGAAACCATGATTATTTTAAGAAACTCTGAGAGGAGAAAGAGCTGGTGCATTATTTCCTAAAGTGTAGCCCTGGGAGATTGCAAGTCTTTTAAAGAAAGCTATCCAGTATGGTCTTCAAGATAAGGAAGAAGAGATTAAGCAGGAAGGTCCCTGGACAAAACAAAGACTTTCCAAACTGAGAAAATGGGGGTCACAGAAGTGCTTAGAGAAAGCTGGTGGAACTGAAGATGTCTGGTTTTCAAACAAGGAGAATGTAGAGTGTATGGACCAAGGTAACCAGATGCCACTGCAGTATAGCAAGTATCAACAGCTGTGGTAGGCATGTACTGATAAGAAGGGAAAAGGAGAATATGTCCAGATGAGGACAAAAAGTGTCTATGAAGCCAGACACCTGATGCGCCAACTATATCTCATCAGTCTGGAAGCCTTACCTCTGAAACTTCTATTACTTTTGCTGAGCAAAAATATATGGTGAGTCCTAACTTTGTCTAATCATTTATTCAAAAAGAGAGTTGTTTGAACATTTAACTATAGAAAATATGAAATCTGTATCTGTTAAGTTAAAGCTATATCCTCTGGATGTGAATCTGAAGATTAAAATTTATACTTTCTAGGTATAAGAAGATTATCTGAAATAAATATATAGTGAAAAATTTAATGTTTTCTTTCTGGGTTTCCCATTTATTCTCCATCATAGACTGGGTTCTTTATATCAGTAGAAATAGGCATACAATATGCATACAAAGAGAAATGTCCTAATAAAGTAAATGGAAGGTGCATGAAAGAGAAATTCTGGAAGACAAATCAATAATATCTAGCTTGGATATTAGAGTCACATGGTCAGAACTGATTCCAGACTTCCAACTTACTAGTAACTTTGTGTTTTCTCATCCATAATTTGTGAATAATATCTACCTAGCAGCACTGTATGTATGAGATTAAATAATGAGATATATGTAAAGCATGTAAACTAGGGTCTGACACATAGCAAATGCTCAATTTTCTTATTCTTAATCTTACTGTTCTTGTCATTTATTATTTTACGAATTGCTATTTGTAGAACTTAATGTTTTACATTCTGATCTATGATTCTTATGGTCGGAATAATCCACAATAGTATAAATCTTGGTCTATGTTGAGAATTTCTTCATACAAACATAATTATGTAGCTCTTATACAGGCCAAACCTGCATTCATTTCTATTAGTTATATGCTAGAGGTAATGAATTTTTATTATTTATTTATGTATGTAGACACATTCTATTACCACTCTTTACCAACTGCCATTATTTTGGCTTAGGAGAAAATGATCTTGAAAACAGGTCTATGTAGTTTTAACAGCTCTTTTGTGAACTTCGGATGTAACTGAATCATTTTCTAGATTTATCTGTTAAATAAATGGTCCATGAAAGTATGTATGGGTAGATAATTGATGGAAGCAAATAATCCTATTGAAACATTTGCTATTTATTTTTGATACAGTTCTTTTAAACAGACTGATTAGTTCCCTTTATGATTTCACCCTCGAAAGCACACACGATTTTGTTCTTTATCATTGTTGCATGACATTCCATTTGGCAGTTGGGCTTATTTTTAGCCAGACTATCAAAGTATTTTTCAACTGGACTGTCACTGCACTTGAACTTGGAATCTTATAACTTGAAGAACTGCCCTGGAGAAAGGAAGAAACTTATAATAAATGGGAAATTATAAATCTAGACCAACCCAAACTTGTACTGGTAATTATTCTAATTATTCTTATTTCCTTAAGTGTAATATGGTTCAATTATAGTTACTGATAACTAACAACTCATTGGAATATGTGTTAATTTGTATACGGAAGATAAGGCAGCATGTTTTGTGAAAGTCTTTGAAAAACTATCTGAACTCAAATTATTTTTTTCTGAAGATCTTTATAGGAAACAAGAAATTTCTTACAAAAATATTATTTTAGTTCCTTGGTATAATGTTACAGAAAAAAATTTGGAATATTGCTGAATGTAGGGATTTTAGAATTATATCTTAAGTATCTAGTATTTAAAAACTAAAAACCGTCTTGCAACTAGAGATTGCTATAATTAAAATGCAATAAAATCAAATGAAATAAGTCAAATATATTTTTCTATGTAAATATATTATCCAATATCGAATGGGTTCTTCATTACTACAATTCAATATGATTGCATTTTAAATATAAACATCTGCATTTTAAACACACAATCAGTAATTTAAATTAAGTATTGTAGAATCTAGAATAAAAAACAGTTTTGATTACTTGTATGTTATGATCTGTGTCTACATTTTGCAAAACACAACTATGAATCAATCTCATTTGTTCTTCTTTACTAGATGAATGGAAGAAAAAAGTCAGTGAATCATATGTTATCACAATAGAAAGATTAGAAGATGACCTGCAGATCAAGGAAAAAGAACTGACAGAACTAAGGAATATATTTGGGTAAAGTTGTAAGAGTCATTATTTCTTTGTATAAGTGTCTTCAGTATTCACCTTATTTTTTAAAGTATCTGTATATTTTTTAAACCCGTAGAACCTCAGACATAAGCAGTCATGTTCTAAGCCTTAGGATGTCAGATTATCTCTCTTTGACCACTCATATAGCTCTCAAAATGCAAACATAACATCTCACCTCCTTAAAATATAAATTGTAATCTGCCATCATTAAAGTTTAAAAATAAAAACCTAAAGGCTAGCCTTTGAATGCAAGCTATTGTTGATCTCAGTAATCTTCTCAGGAATTAGATCATTCTTGTAAACCATGCCGGCAATGAAAAGCAAGATTTTTCTTCCCACATAGTGGTCGCATATTGGCCACATTGTTCTCTTTGAACTATGACGGTAAGTCCAATTTTAACAAACCCTCTGGTCTCTTGACATTGAAAGGCTGTCCCTTAATGGAACTGAGTATCATTCTGCCCCTGAACAATCATATAACAACATATAATATTGCCTTCAGGATTTCAGTAGATTTTGTTCCATGATAACAAGAGAAAAATAATCTAAGTGTCACAACCTTGGAAGACACAAAATGTTCAGAAAAGAGGAGCAAGACCCTTATATACACAAAAAGCCTTCTGGTTAAATTGAATCTGACATTGAGAAACTAGATGCCCATTAGAGGGTCAAGAAAGTTACCTGCCTGACTAAGGAAAAGTTCCATATAGGCCAATTAGCCATGTTCATTTATAGCTGTGTTATGTAATGCACTCATGGCAAAGAACTCCCTCTATTTTACTTAGAAAACAAGTGTAAAGCAATGACCAAATGACACATCTTTAAAATAAAATTTTAGATATAGTAAACATATAAATATCACATAATTGGCAAATAAAATCACCCATGTATAATATAGTTTATATGAAATTCGTCAATGGATGTAACAAGGCTTTCACAAGTGTTCAACTTATGGTTCAAAAAGTAGTTGGTTCTCTTTATAGTTTGGCCCAGGATGATGAACTCAACACTGACACTTGTGATGAGATACCACTGATCTGACTTTTGCAAGTAGTATCACATGTTGAGATATGGAACTACATTTGAAATTCCTGTAGAAATATGACTGGCATGTTAGTACAGTAGAATTATAAATATGTATTTGTTTTGTTGGAAAAGTATGAATATAGAAATTAATCATAAACATCTAGCTCTTATTGACTTAAATAAATATGCTAAATGAAATATGATTACATTGAAGAGATTTTCCTCAACTTTTAAAGGTCAAAGCCTCAGTTATTTAGTATTATTTTTTAATTTAGAAAGTATTGAGCACATAGGTGAAGGCTAGCTTAAACTAGATGTATCCAAACCTGAATATTAGGATTAACAATGGATTTAAAATGTAGGTTCTTTCTGATACCACATCGACAACTACAAGCTGTTTTGACAACTGCTATAATGGACTTTTCCTGTGTTTCTACTAAATGCAACAAATGTGACCTTCTTTTTTCTGATTAGCATTGGGGGTGAGATGCAGGAATCTGTGTCAGGGAGCTTACAGTCCAGAATTTGTTGAGTGCCAGCTCGTATTCAAGTGTTGTTCTGGATACATCAAATACAAGACATTATTTAATCTATAGTCATATGTAGATTGTTGTCATTTCATGTGTGCCGAATAATATTAACTCCGGTGGATGATAAACTAAGGATTAGAGACAAGGCAGTGGGAGTTGTCAAGTCACATGGTCAGTAAATTCTGGAATGTGATTTGTGTCAAGGTCTGCCTGACTCCATAGATAGCGCTCTTCCTACCATACCCTGCTTACAAAAACAAGATTTAGGTCCTGATTTATTCATTGATTTTTGGAATCATTGTAGATAAAAAGCATAGTTAAGTAAAGGTGTGTAGGCAAGAATGAATGAGTACCATAGAAAGTTTAGGAAAAGTGAGAAAAAATAATGTCTTCACCATATTATCTGACTTGAGTAAGAAAGCTATGTGAATCAATGTAAGAATTTTGGAGTCATACAAACATGGTTTTAAATACAGCTTCTTCTATTTATAAGCTGTATATCCATGGATATGTTTTTTAATCTCCTTAATCCTCATTTTCATCTATAAAATGAGGTGAATAATAATCACCTCACAGGATATTTTCAAAATGAGGTAAATTAAATACTAAGTACAGGGCCCAACCCATAGTAAGCATTGAGTAGTTGGAAATTTCTATTATCATGATTGATTGGATAAATAAGGACAGTTTGAAGGATAGAAGACTTATCATAAAGTGAGAGTAACAAATAGCTTATTAAAAGTTAGAAAGAGTGAAAGTTTTTATGAAGAGGATGATTTCAAAATTAAAAATGTAAAGTATTAGCACAATTTAGGAAGATGCCGAAATCTGAAATATAGCTTTTAATGATTTTGATTGAAAGGGATTTGAAGAATTTTGAGACTAGAGTATTAGAAGGCTAATCAAAATGGCTATCAAATTTACTGAGGATAATGGTGAGACATTTTTGGAGAGAAAGACCAATAGCCTGATGCTGATGACATTAAAGAAGCTACAGAATGTGATGATAAGGAAGCTGAGGAGAGGATTATCCAGTCTAGAATGATGTTTCTGCAAGAACTAGGGGCCTCTTATGTTAATGGAGATGGAGACTGTAGTACTTGCTAAAATTTTCGATTCCATGACTCCACCCTTTATCATGTGAATCAGAATCTCTGGAGATGTCTTCCAATAACCTGAATGTTTAACAAGCTCCCCAGATAAAACTATGCATAATAAAAATGATACTTCTAAAGTTTGAAAACTATACTTCTAGAAAGATATCCAAATTGCACTGAGAACTCTTTGCCTGAGGTGATATTAGTGAAGGGATGAGGAATATGGGAACAGAAAGTAAGCAACTGGTGTGGTCTAAAGAGAGTCAAGAGAATCAAAAACAAGCAAGCAAAAACAGAATAATCTGCTTTTGTCTGATTTCGTCAAGGTAGAGAGCATAATCTGGGAGAAAAAAGTGAATTGCTTCCAGGGCAGAGTTCTAAGGATTTTCTTTTCTTTGGAATAAAATGATGGATGAAAGAAAGAAAAGAATAGTGTGCTGAGAATGTAAATTGTCTTACTCACTCATTCACAAAATTTTAAAGGTAGTTGGGAAGATCAAACCTAACACTGTATGAAATGACATTTAAATGAGTATCTAGAGCATTATAGGTGCTAAATAAATGTTAGAATCTCATTACTCACCCTTATTCATTTGTCTTATAAAGAGCATTCCTGTGATAAACAATTATGTTATGTTGCCTGACATCAGCCTTTCTCTAAACATTTAGATAGCAAGGAGACTGTATACAATGCCCAAAAAGGAACATTTAAACTAGCATGAAACGTAAAGGATCACTGATGTAAACAGTTTTTCATTTGCTAACCAATTTCTTTATGGCATTCCCGGTAGATGCTAATTTCATTCATTATAAGAGATTTTTCACCACATAATACACCATTGCTCTATCAGCTCGAATACACAATCTTCCTGGCATAGCTTTTACCCACAACATAATAAACAGCAATATAGTGCTAAATGTAAGACAGAAAGAGCTAAATAGTTATCCTGCTTATGCCAATTTATAGCAGCTTTGGAATGGGAGCTTGATGTGGGAGAGAGGGGAAATGGAAATGGAATGTTCTTTCATCTTCTGCTATAAAGTTGCATTCACTCATAACTTTGGACATTTGTTTAGGTAATGGATTGGTGACAGGAAGAAATGAAGAAAAAGAGAAGGCAGGAGGAGAAAGAAAGACAGAAAGGGCACCTTAGAGTACCATTGTCTGATTATATCCTCCTCTGTGCTGCCTCTAATCTTTATCAACATAACAGCACTTACTACATGGTGTTGTTTTTATCCATTTATAGGTCTATCTCCCCACTAGTATATGTGTTCATTAAAGGCAGCTTTTTTTCTTATTTAGCCTTATTTATATTTGTACTTATTTGTAAAACAAACTAATAACTTAGGGCTTACCATATGCCAGAAATGCTTCTACGTATCTTTTTGTGCATCAGCTTATATAATCCTAATGGTGTATATGTAAAGTGCTTTAGCACAGTGTCTGGCACATGGCAAACCCTCAAAAATGTTAGTTAACACTTAATCATTATTGTTTATGTTAACAACCCTCTGAAGTAAGTGTTGCAATTGCCATGTTATACCTGGAGAAAATGAGGCTAATCAAATTAAACTGGCTTGAACTAGATTAAACAATTTGTATGATTTACCTAGGATTGCATCCATCTTTATTTGATTTCAAAATGTATCATATTCATAATCTTGGTTATGAATATTATACAACCTTTTTGAAAAAACTATGGAAGTGATGGCTCTCCACATGTGACTTCAAATGTTTTCAATTAAATTATTTTGTTTCAATAGTTTTTATCATAATAAATTTTAAGACTATGTTTTGCTAATTTCATTGTCAAGCCAAATTTGTATCTGCTTAATCTATAATATGAAATTTAAAACCATGAGAATACTCCAGAAAAGTTATAATTTTTCTTTTTCTTTTTCTTTTTTTTTTTATTATACTTTAAGTTTTAGGGTACATGTGCACAACATGCAGGTTAGTTACATATGTATACATGTGCCATGTTGGTGTGCTGCACCCATTAACTCGTCATTTAACATTAGGTATATCTCCTAATGCTATCCCTCCCCCTCCCCACACCCCACAACAGGCCCCCGTGTGTGATGTTCCCCTTCCTGTGTCCATGTACTCAATTCCCACCTGTGAGTGAGGACATGCGGTGTTTGGTTTTTTGTCCTTGCAATAGTTTGCTGAGAATGATGGTTTCCAGCTTCAACCATGTCCCTACAAAGGACATGAAGTCATCATTTTTTATGGCTGCATAGTATTCCATGGTGTATATGTGCCACATTTTCTTAATCCAGTCTATCATTGTTGGACATTTGGGTTGGTGCTTAGTTCCAAGTCTTTGCTATTGTGAATAGTGCTGCAATAAACATACATGTGCATGTGACTTTATAGCAGCATGTTTTATAATCCTTTGGGTATATACCCAGTAATGGGATGGCTGAGTCAAATGGTATTTCTAGTTCTAGATCCCTGAGGAATCATCACACTGACTTCCACAATGGTTGAACTAGTTTACAGTCCCACCAATGGTGTAAAAGTGTTCCTATTTCTTCACATCCTCTCCAGCACCTGTTGTTTCCTGACTTTTTAATGACTGCCATTCTAACTGGTGTGAGATGGTATCTCATTGTGGTTTTGATTTGCATTTCTCTGATGGCCAGTGATGATGAGCATTTTTTCATGTGTCTTTTGGCTGCATAAATGTCTTCTTTTGAGAAGTATCTGTTCATATCCTTTGCCCACTTGTTGATGGGGTTGTTTTTTTCTTGTAAATTTGTTTGAGTTCATTGTAGATTCTAGATATTAGCCCTTTGTCAGATGAGTAGATTGCAAAAATTTTCTCCCATTCTGTAGGTTGCCTGTTCACTCTGATGGTAGTTTGTTTTGCTGTGCAGAAGCTCTTTAGTTTAATTAGATCCCATTTGTCAATTTTGGCTTTTGTTGCCATTGCTTTTGGTGTTTTAGACATGAAGTTCTTTTCCTTTTTTTTTTTTTTTTCAGACGGAGTCTCGCTCTGTCGCCCAGGCTGGAGTGCAGTGGCGCGATCTAGGCTCACTGCAAGCTCCGCCTCCTGGATTCACGCCATTCTCCTGCCTCAGCCTCCCAAGTAGCTGGGACTACAGGCACCCACCACCACACCTGGCTAATTTTTTGTATTTTTAGTAGAGACGGGGTTTCACTGTGTTAGCCAGGATGGTCTCGATCTCCTGACCTCGTGATCTGCCCACCTTGGCCTCCCAAAGTGCTGGGATTACAAGCATGAGCCACCGCGCCTGACCCAGAAAAGTTGTAATTTTTAAACACTATGACATCAACATAATCCAAAACAACTTTTTTGGCATTGAGTAGATACATCTTGGTCAGTAATTACAGTGCCTCACTTTAAAATTGACTAGGTTTAATTATGTACAAAAAAGTGGTCAAAAGAATGCTCTGTTCCATTAAATAGTCACAATGTATAGAGGAAATAAAAAAATGTTTTCTGAGATACACCTTTTTGTACCTTTTCTCTCTGAAAAGTTCATCTGAGGCCTGTTGCATTCCACTATACTCATCCTTAAAACAAAATATCTTCTAAAATTATTGCACTATAGCCAACTATGAAATTTGGCTATTATAAGATGAATAGCACTGGAAACTTTTCAAGCTGATCTTATTTAAGAGGAGTAGACCCTTTCTGTCAAACTACTAAGTAGGATATTGAAGGGGAAATGTCATCTTATAATTAACATAGAATGAAAATATTATTTGGCATGTTTGGTAGTGTGTTTTGCCAATTAGCCACAAAACAAAAAATAAGAATCGTCAACAACAAAAAAAACCCTCAAATCCAAAAGGAAACAAAGAATTCATAATGCCCTAAGTCAGTCTATTTCTCTAATTCTTTTCTTGTTTGTCCAGGTAAAACTAGTTAAGAACCATAATTTTACAGGAATATCTTGTGAAATCATTGAGAAGCAACTTGACCTCAATCTCTCTCTGCCTCTCTCTCTCTATCTCTCCCTATTGTTCTCCCTCTCCTTCTCCATCTGTAGCTCGCTATCTTTCTATCATTTTCTCTCCCCCTTACCCTTCATCTCTTCTTCTTTTCCATCCTGTACCTCCATGATTCCTTCTTTCCTATCCCTGTTTTGAAGAGCAAAACAATACAAAAACAGTAAAAATAATATCAATGCCTTAATAGAAATAACTATTATAGCAGCTAATATTTATAAAAGCTTTACAAGCTCTAACTTATTTACACTTCACAACAATCTTATAAGATAACAATAATTATGCCAATTTTATCATATCTGTCACTCTAACTATAATTGTTTATTGTATGAATGGCTGAATAAATGAATATACTTCACAGTATTAGTTTGCAGATTTTATTTGCAAGATATCAAACAAATATATTTCTGGATATTTCTTGGAGATATATATTAGAAACAGATCTTATTGATATAGTCTGCTTCTATTGTTTGGAGGGCATGGGGCAGGGAAGAATCTGCAATGAATAGGCAAGAAGTTGCAACTAGCCATTTGAAACTTAAATGATCAATTTGGGAAACTAGACAACCCATAAAAAATCCTTACCTTCTTTCTACATTCTTGGCTTTTCCCTAAGTTTTAACCAATGAATTAGCTTTAAAATATATCTACCTGTCTGAATACCTTGGAGAGCAGTGTGTTACTTTTTGGCCAACTGTTCAAATGTTACATTTTAATAAGTTCCCACTTGTGGTCATGTTAGATATCTTCTTGAAAGGATGAGGTCATGAAAAAGAAGTTTAATTGGATCACAAAACTGCACACTTTTCTAGGTCAAAGGTAAAGGCTAGGAAAAGAATTCATTATGCTACAAGAAAGAAAGTAACCTTTGGGTACAGAACTATCATTTTTAATGATTAAGAACAGCATTTACTATTAGAAATATATTCATAATAGTGGCTTTATTTTAATTAGGAACTTCATTCATGCCCCAGCATGCACTATGAACTCTTTAGGATATGTTAAGTTACAGTGTGGCATGGCAGGTGATGAAAAATGTAAGGGGAAATTAAAAAATAAATTGAGCTTAGGGTATTAGAATACATAAGTGATGCTCAATTGGCAGTGAATTTGACATACACAGTTACTTTAGAAGAGGCAAAAGAAGAGAAAATGGAATTTCTCTCCTAGGAATGATTGCTTAAATATCTTGAATATTTTAATTACATGTTTCAAAACAGAAACGTTTGACTAGAAGTTAATGGGAAGTGAGAATTAGGATTCAAATATAGCCCCCAAAGTAACTCTCATTTTAAAAATGTACATTCCAGTTATTAAAGTTGAGCTAAAAATTGTACTATTAAAAATCACACTTGACTGCCAAATATTATAGGAGTCTATTCTCTGTTGATTCATTTTGTTGACATTAAGAGAAGCTGCATGAGTTCAAGGAGGATATAATTCAAGAGGAGAACAAAAGCAACAAGCAGCGGCTCAGTTTAAAGCAAGGAACTCTTTAGGACTCTATACTGAGTCACTTATAGATGGTAAAGTCTAGTTCAAGATTCAGTTAGCTGAGGAACAATTGTTGAATAAAGAGTCATTAATTTTGCTTTCAATTTTATTTATGTAAATGATAAACATTCATCTAGTGCCTTTCTTTTTTAAAAATAAAGCAATGGACCCTGGCATCTTGTATTTTCTGTTTATTCCATGTTCATTTGTTTTGCAAAGCTGATCAGAGTATTAGATATCAGGACGAACACAGCAGTCAATTTCAGGATTTTATCTAGTATGTGTATTTCCAGGACTGATGCATTCAAAGGATCCGGGATTTAGTGAGTAGTTTATATCAAGGAGACTCTTGAAAACAACCTGAAGTGAGCCTTAAGAGCAGAAGTGAGGCGTATAGTAGGTGTTTAGCAGGTGTTGTGCCAGACTTATTGAATGGATCATCAAATTTAGATCACAGAATAAGAAAGCAATTGAGTTTACCCTCTCAAATAAAGTGATTTTCATCTCAACTTTAACTTTTTACCCTCCTTTGCATTTTTCATTCTTTGAGTCTCTCCACTGTTGAAAATGTAGTAATATTAAAAGTTCGAGAGATCAAGTTTAAATAAGAGAATCTCATGTGCAGTTCTGTGTTCTATGTATAATTTAAACTTTTCAGAGCACCATGATGAATAAAAATTATGTATACATAGAAAACAGACATCTGAAAGTAAACTCATTTCACTCACACACAAAATCTCACATAATATCTACGGAGAAATTCAGGAAAATCCTTCCAAAAAGAAAGGTGGGGGGAAGTAGCATCTGATAAGATATTGGAAAAAAGAATATAATCCCAATGTATTACAACTTCTGCCTGAAGCAAAGTTCTCTTGTACTCTGACTGGGTCAGATTTCACAGATAAAGGTCTAAACTCTGGTAGGGTACTCTGATATAGTCCCTGGTGAGAAGTGGAGTGATTCTATTAATGAAATCCTTGTCTTTGTCTGAACAAAGACCATTGCCCCAGGAGGGCCCTTGAGAGCCACAGGTAGCCTTTCAAAAGGAATGTAAAGCTAAAATTCTCGACCTCTTGAGGTCCACGGTGCTCCCAGGACATTTTTCAGTAGAAATGAGATCATATCCTTGGCTTCACAGGTCAATTTCAAGCTGCCTCCTGCCTATTTAAATCTCTAGCAGCTTTAGAGAGATAGCATAGTATTTGGTGAGTGAGCCAAAGTTTCATATCACTTGTAAAGTACTTACACTTGAAAGGTACTATAAATTCAGAACATTATCATCAAGGCATCCAGTTAAGAACATCAAAAGCTATTGGAATTTTAAAATAGAAAAAGAAAAAGTGCTATTCTCCAGGGTACTGCTAAAAAGAGAAAGGCTCTAAATCCAGGGTCATTGAAGAACCTCAGTGAAATGCTTTAATTAGAAATGGCAAGCCTTGTGGTTTATTTTCACAGCCATGGGAATGCAGTATTCCCAAACTTTTTTTACCCTCCTACCCTTCTTGCTTTCTGTGTTCCCCTGCAGCAAAACACATAGACATGCTTACTAATACTGGGAAACACACCTCAACTTGCTTTGGAAAGCCTTTTGTGGAAGTACAATAAACTCCAGTGTTTATAAATGTTAATAATATAAGAAGGGGGTTCAGAATTTCATGAAGATAGTTAAGAATTTAACTCACTTCTATCAGCAATTTCCCTCAGCTCAAAAAATACTGCAATCAAAATCATTTCTGATGAAAATGCCACTGTTTTAAATGTCTACTTATAATAAAATGAGCCTACTTATAAATGATAGAGCTATTTATGGTATGGCAGTAACTTCACAAAATAACATGATTCTTAGAAATGTGTGGTCTTTGGCCCAGCCTGGCTTTTAAACCCTCAAAGCCAAATATATTATGGATGTCTTGGAAGAAAGTAAACTAGGTACTTGGAACACACTTGGAAATGCAATCACAGGTCACAGAGGTCTTCTTTGTGGTTATGACTTCAAATAGTAGAGGTATTCAGCGGAGCTGAACTCTGCCTTTCAAGCTAGGTAGATTGGATTTTTCTCTTAAAGTTTGTAGGGAATCAGTGTCCATAAATAAAAAGGGAATGAAAACTGTGACTGGAAACTGAGAATGTTGATGGACAATGATTCAGCTCTGAGCTGCTTCGGCTTTTCTTCCCTGGTCTTTCTATTGTCCAGCAAATGAAACACACTATAAAACCACAAGAAAAAAAAACAAAGTATTGGACTGGGGGAGGAGAGAGAGGCCTTGTGATCCTAAGAAAAACTATGTAACCAGCAGCCTAAGCAAAACAGGGAAGGATGCACATTCTTCTGAGCTAATCATAATGAACTTAATGGCAAATACTGAAAGAAGAAAAAGCTTTGGAGCTCTTCTGTAGCAATAAACACCTGAGAAAATGCAGTTTTTCAATATGTATGTCCAATATTGTATAGCAATACCTGTTATGTTTTGCTGTTTTCAAAGTGGAAAAAATCATTTCATCAGTGTGGTAATCCTTGAAAGCCTCATTCTTATAGTTATACCAGGATTCAAATCCTATCATGACTCTGCCTTTTAAGTAGTTTGTTCTTTTTTTCCAACTTGGGCAAGTTATTTAACCTATTTAAGCTTCAATTTCTTCAATTATAAAATGAGTAAAATAATATATGTGACAATATGCATGACTTTGTCCTGTTGTGTCCGGAATTGGTGGGTTCTTGGTCTCACTGACTTCAAGAATGAAGCCGCGGACCCTCGCAGTGAGTGTTCAGTTCTTAAAGATGGTGTGTCCGGGGTTTGTTCCTTCTGATGTTTGGACGTGTTCCGAGTTTCTTCCTTCTGGTGGGTTTGTGGTCTGCTGGCTTCAGGAGTGAAGCCGCCGACCTTCGCAGTGAGTGTTACAGCTCTTACCGCGGCGCATCTGGAGTTGTTTGTTCCTCCCGTCCGGAGTTGTTCATTCCTCCCAGTGGGTTTGTGATCTTGCTGGCTTCAGGAGTGAAGCTGCAGGCCTTCATGGTGAGTGTTACAGCTTATAAAGGCAGTGCGGACCCAAAGAGTGAGAAGCAGCAAGATTTATTGCAAAAAGCGAAAGAACAAAGCTCCCACGGTATGAAAGGGGACACAAGCAAGTTGCCGATGGTGGCTGGGGCAGCCTGCTTTTATTCCCTTATTTGGCCCCACCCACATCCTGCTGATTGGTCCGTTTTACAGAGAGCTGATTGGTCCGTTTTGACAGGGTACTGATTGGTGCATTTACAATCCCTGAGCTAGACACAGAGTGCTGATTGGTGCATTTACAATCCTCTAGCTAGACATAAAAGTTCTCCAAGTCCCCACCAGATTAGCTAGATACAGAGTGCTGATTGGTGCATCCACAAACCCCAAGACAGACACAGAGTGCTGATTGGTGCATTTACAATCCTCCAGCTAGACATAAAAGTTCTCCAAGTCCCCACCCAACTCAGGAGCCCAGCTGACTTTGCCTAGTAGATCCCACGCAGGGGCCGCAGGCGGAGCCGCCTGCCAGTCCCACGCTGCGTGCCTGCACTCCTCAGCCCTTGGGTGGTGGATGGGACTGGGCACCGTGGAGCAGGGGGTGGTGCCCGTCGGGGTGGCTCAGGTTGCCTGGGAGCCCACGGGGGTAGGGGGGTGGAGGGGCCTTGGGCATGGCGGGCTGCAGGTCCTGAGCCCTGCCCCATGGGGAGGCAGCTGAGGCCTGGCAAGAATTCAAGTGCAGCGCAGGTGGGCTGGCAGTGCTGGGGGACCCGGTGCACCCTCTGCAGCTTCTGGCCCAGGTGCTAAGCCTCTCACTGCCCAGGGCTGGTGGCACCAGCCTGCGGCGCAGAGTGTAGGACCCACTAAGCCCACGCCCACCCAGAACTCACGCTGGCCTGCGAGCACTGTGCACAGCCCCAGTTCCTGCCCACTCCACTCCCTCCACACCTCCCCACAAGCAGAGGGAGCCGGCTCTGGCCTCGGCCAGTCCAGAGAGGGGCTCCCACAGTGCAGTGTCAGGCTGAAGGGCTCCTCAAGTGCAGCCAGAGTTGGCACCGTGGCCTGAGGAGGTGCCGAGAGCGAGCGAGGGCTGCTAGCACGTTGTCACCTCTCACTGTGGTGAGGAATAAGTAAGATTAAGCGCTTACTACAGTATCTGGCATGTGATATGCAATCAAAAAATGATTATTGCACTGTTGTTACCATTGCCAACTTCACTGTGAATATACAACTTTCTTTTTGAAGTATAACTCTTGGGATAATTTTAGCATCATTTTTGTTGAGGCTTAGAAAATTACACCTCAAAATGAAGGCCTTACAAGCAGCCTTAGAAGCCAAACTTTCTCTCTGACCTTCTCCTGTCCTCTTGTCTCTGGCCCCTCATTTTCCCCAGAGGGTAGCCATAGAGACTAGAATCCCTCTCCCCTCAAGGCAGGTCATAGAAACTAGAACTTACAGAGTTATTCCTGTATCTTTGAGTCTTCATTCTGAAGGCTCTTATGTCTTGTATCTCTTGTGCCTTTTAAAACTATGATCAAATATATTTTATGCCTTTTCTTCTATTAATGTCCCTTTTGTCAGTTGATTTCAGCAAACCTTCAGAGAGGCAAAGGGGAAGGTCTTTCTTGGCCCCTATAATTTCATGCCATATTTGACTTTTCTTGGCCTTTTATATTTGACAACAATTTTCTGATTTCTGATTTCCTGATTTACATAATAATCAATTTTATATATGTATTATGTAAGTATTCCCTACTAACAGTGACTCTCAGGTTCCTAGATGATGTCTGACCTTGGTTTTACTTGTCTTTAAAAAGTGCCACTAAATTCGCTATTGTGACATCTAGTAGCTGTCAGTGATTCTGGAGCAACTATTGGAATCATAGTGTTATTTCTGGTGACATCATTACAATGTAAAACTACAGAATTTCCTCTCAATTTTAATTCTTCATATAGAGGGTTCAAGATTCTTTCTGTAAGTGCAAAATAATCTTAGAAAAAATACATTTCTGAATTGATAGTAACAGGATTTGCATTTATAATTTTCAAATGAAAGACAATATGCTAAAAGATGAATTTTGTGATCATCTGTAACATGTTTTTTTCAGCTCTGATGAAGCCTTCAGTAAAGTCAATTTAAATTACCGCACTGAAAATGGGCTGTCTCTACTTCATTTATGTTGCATTTGTGGAGGTGAGTACTTGAAACTTAGTACTTCTTAAACTGGTTATATGTGTATATCGTCAGTGACTTGAGCTGCTTAATAGTCTGCAAAAGAATTCTATTCATACTCAATTTTCCCTTCTGCTTTGCCTTTTCCAACCTTGATAATCTCAGTTTAGGCAGTAACTATCAGGCAGAATATTCCAATTGATTTAGCTTTAAATATAAGCTTCATTGTGTTGCTACCGGAAACCAAGTCCCTCAGTTTGCTTGGAAATCAAAAAGCACTTTTCAATATTGGGCATGCCAGTCAGGGATTAACTTAAATTCAGAAGCACTTAAAGATTCCCCAAAATATCATCAAGCAGTTGCTTCACAATATTCAACAAGAGTATGTGGAAAAGTGATAAATGCCAAAGATAAGATCTAAAAGTGAAGATTGATCGAAGTGAAGATTAAGAGTTTAATTTGGCCTACACTTTAGTTTGTTTTGTTTATCAATGTATCTCAAGTAATTTGAATGGTGCCTGGCCTGTAATAGCCACTCAGTAAAGTTATTGAATTAATGAATGAACCATTAATATTTATTTTGTTAATCCAAACTAAATTCATTGAGCTTAACTTCTTAAAATGGAACAGAAATGTGTAAGTGTCAACTCTAACCATATTCCTTAACCATTTCTCCCAAACAAACCAAACAGACTCTGCTTAACAGATTGTTCTCTCAACTTCAAACGTGCCTTCCCAACCTTGGTTATATCCTTCATATTTCTTTGATCTAAATAAGCTCTACTGTTAATAATGTTCAGATAAATCCTCTACAATTAGATTTTTTAATTTAAGCTTTTTCACTAATAGTTTATTATGGTGAATTCTCTTATGTGTTTATGTTTCAAAACCATCTGATGATGAGGGTACTAAATAAAAAATCTAAGACAGAGTCAAAATACACAGCATTTGAATAAAGTTTTATAAATGGAAAAGAAATATCCCCTAGTAAGTAAGGTTGTCAATTAATAGAAAACTTTACAAATGGCCTGCAGAACGCAGCTTGACATTTTTATACAGCTGTATGGCATTTATCATTAGGTCAAAAAGAGTCTCAAACTCACCCCATCCCCACAATGATTTAGCCTTTTTTCATTTTTCTCTTTAAGGCAAGAAATCACATATTCGAACTCTTATGTTGAAAGGGCTCCGCCCATCTCGACTGACAAGAAATGGATTTACAGCCTTGCATTTAGCAGTTTACAAGGTAGGACACTTTAATTCCCATAAACACTGCATTGGAACTAAGGATAGTGTGTATCTTTAGGCTTTTTTTTTTTTTTTTCAAATTAGTAATCATGGAAAATTTTCAGTGACCAGAGGCGTTACATTACTAAAGGACTTCTTTCTCTTTATTGAGCAGATACCTGCTGCATACTAGACACATACTCTTTTTAATGCTTTCTGTATTTAACTCATTTAATTCTCACAAGAACCCCATGAGTGAATATGATTATTATCCCCAAGGTTACATGGTTAGCCAGGGGTTAGCCAGGATTTAAGACAAGGCAGTCTAGTTCTGTTGCCAAAGCTCCTCATCAGAACACCATGATGCCTCTGTGCAGAGAGAGATGAGGTTGTATTTAAAGACAAAAGAAGCACACTGAAGCTGTATTTCTTTACTGCAAATTTTTCTTAAAAAACCTTTTTGCTTTAGCTGTTTATTTTCTTATATTAGCCCCTGGCTCCAACCTAATCTCAGCACCTGATAGAATAATAAATATAATAGTGGATTGGACAAACTGGGATACTTAGTGTTGGAATTGAACCTTGAGATTTTCATAAATATAAATTTATAAAACATACAAATTATATTATGCATTGATCATTTTATAATTATAATAACAATTTCTACTTTGTATTTATTATGAGCTAAATATCATACTAAGTTTAATGTATTTTAGTCATTAAAATAACTGCATATTAGGATTTACTTTACAGAAAATGCAATTAAAGACTAAAGTAGATACCTGGACAATATTAGAATAGTGATT
This sequence comes from Homo sapiens, assembly GCF_000001405.40. Classification (NCBI taxonomy): domain Eukaryota; kingdom Metazoa; phylum Chordata; class Mammalia; order Primates; family Hominidae; genus Homo; species Homo sapiens. The sequence goes on from NC_000001.11 coordinate 74,251,557, forward strand.
AAAGTCAAGTACAGTTGGCTCATTACTCCCAGAATCTTATTTGTATATTGCGTATTTTGTTCTTTCTCATTTTCAAGCGAGTCTGTGACAGAATTTTATTTCAGTTTTGTGTGTGCACGTGTGGGAGGAGGGACAACTTTTTGCTTGTATTAGGAACCCCCTGCACTATCTCCCTCCCCCAACTGCTAGAGAGTTTGTCATTGGGAGGGAAGAGGACCTTATTTTCCCATGATCTAGCATCACAAATTCCTGTAATTCATAGCGCAAATACTCTAAAGTTTCATCTCTTTTCATGCCCAGTCAATGCCTAGTCAATTCTTCTAATTCCTTCTGGGAGAAAGCCTCAGTTAAGTGCTAAATTGTCTTTAGTACCTGTTAATTATCCTGCTAAACTATGAAACATTCTGAGTTTCCAGTGTAGAAAACAGCATCTGATGTTGACTTTTCTTCTGAAAGGCAGGAGGTGAAAGTAGAAGAGCTCCAAGGAACAGGAAGGTAGTGAATGATAGTCATGGCACTGTATGAAACCATGAATTCTGAACCTCACCGTCTGGGAGATTTTTTCTGTATTAGTTCATTTTGCAAAGATTTAGCATGACATTGGCACACAAATGGGTTCTGAATCATTTAGTCCTACAATATTTAGAGAATATATTTCTTCAACCTCTGTTTATAATAATTAAATTTCCACTTTTAGAGTTTTCTTTGCTCTATTTTTATGTTTTTTTCTATTTTAGAGAAGGGTGCATAAACTATAACTTTTTCATAGCAAGTTTAAATGAAAATTTAGATTCTTGGGAAACAAAGCAGGCAAAAATATTAAAAGGCCATAAGAAAATGCATAGTTATTTTGCAAATTTCTTAACAAAAGTGAAAAACAAATTAAAGTTACTATTTCATTTTAAACACAAAAATAATATAAAGTAGTTGTGTGTCCAGAATTGGTGGATTCTTGGTCTCACTCACTTCAAGAATGAAGCCAGGGACCCTCGCGGTGAGTATTACAGTTCTTAAAGGCGGCATGTCCAGAGTTTGTTCCTTCTGATGTTTGGATGTGTTTGGAGTTTCTTCTTTCTGGTGGGTTCGTGGTCTCGCTGGCTATGGAGTGAAGCTGCAGACCCTCGCAGTGAGTGTTACAGCTCTTAAGGCGGCACGTCTGGAGTTGTTCATTCCTCCCCGTGGGTTCGTGGTCTCGCTGGCTTCAGGAGTGAAGCTGCAGACCTTCGCGGTGAGTGTTACAGCTCATAAAGGCAGTGTGGACCCAAAGAGTGAGCAGTAGCAAGATTTATTGCAAAGAGCTGAACAACAAAGCTTCCAAAGTGTGGAGGGGCACCCGAGTGGGTTGCCACTGCTTGTTCAGGCAGCCTGCTTTTATTCTCTTATCTGGCCCCCACCCACATCCTGCTGACTGGTCCATTTTACAGAGAGCTGATTGGTCCGTTTTACAGAGAGCTGATTGGTCCATTTTGACAAGGTGCTGATTGGTGCATTTACAATCCCTGAGCTAGACACAAAAGTTCTCCACATCCCCACTAGATTAGCTAGATACAGAGTGCCAATTGGTGCATCCACAAACCCTGAGCTAGACACAGGGTGCTGATGGTGTGTTTACAAACGTTGAGCTAGATACAGAGTGCTGATTGGCATATTTACAATCCCTCAGCTAGACACAAAGTTTCTCCAAGTCCCCACTAGACTCAGGAGCCCAGCTGGCTTCACCCAGTGGATCCCGCACAGGGGCCGCAGGTGGAGCTGCCTGCCAGTCCCACGCCATGTGCCTGCACTCCTCAGCCCTTGGGCAGTCAATGGGATGGGGCACTGTGGAGCAGGGGGCAGCACGCTTTGGGTAAGCTCGGCCATGCAAGAGCCCATGGCAGGGGGTCGGGGGGAAGCTCAGGCATGGCGGGCTGCAGGTCCTGAGCCCTGCCGCACGGGGAGGCAGCTATGGCCTGCTGAGAAATGGAGCACAGCGCCAGTGGGCCGGCACTGCTGGGGGACCCGGAGCACCCTCCGCAGCTGCTGGCCCGGGTGCTAATCCCCTCACTGCCCGGAGCCGGCAGGACTGGCCGGCCGCTCGGAGTGCGGGCCCGCCAAGCCCACGCCCACGCCCACCCAGAACTCTAGCTGGGCCGCAAGCCCCGCCGTGCGGCCCCAGTTCCTGCCCGTGCCTCTCCCTCCACACCTCCCCGCAGGCCGAGGGAGCCAGCTCCAGCCTCGGCCATCCCAGGAAGGGGCTCCCACAGTGCAGCAGCGGGCTGAAGGGCTCCTCAAGTGCAGCCAGAGTGGGCGCCAAGGCCGAGAAGGCACCAAGAGCGAGCGAGGGCTGCAAGAGCTGCCAGCACGCTGTCACCTCTTAGTTGTTCACACTACCAGGCATTAAACCTAGTAACCATTAAATGCATTAAACCTACTTCTAATTATCCCTTGACAGAACTACTCCAGTAAGTATATAATTCATTTTGGGCTCCAGTTCCCTTCCCCCATATAGTATTAATAACTGTTTAATTTTAATATTATTTCAAACTTACAAAGACAATTGCAAGAATAGTACAAGAAACTGCTTATCCAGGTTCATTAACTGTTTGCATTTTGTCCCATTTCCATTATTTTTTTTTAGAACCATTTGACAGTAAATTGTATAAAACATGCCCTGTTGCCACTTCAGTCTTCATTTCCTAAGAACAAGAAAATTCACTTACATAACTCCAATGCAATTATAAAATTAAAAAGAACATTGAGATGATATTAACATTGATAAGATATGATAATCTATAGTTCAAATTCAAGTTTTATCAATTGTCCCAATTGTGTCATTTATAGATTATATTTTCTTGTCCAGGATAGGATTCAATCCACAATCATGCATTTTCAGTTTTCTTATTTCTGTAATCTCCCTTACTCTGAAAGAATTTCTCACCCGATCCTTGTATTTTTTTATCTTAATATTTTTCATGCATACCAGTTATTTATACATATTTCTTTGAATTTTTTTGGTATTGCAATCGAATTTTATTTTGTTCATAACACTCACAAAATGAATAATGTAACTCTCCCATCCTTTTGTTCACTACATCAAATAGCTCTTTCAATTATACACCCTGGCATGCTGGGCCTGACTCATTGTTAGAGGAAAGGGGTCCCGATCCAGGCCTCAGGAGAGGGTTCTTGGATCTCGCGCAAGAAAGAATTCAGGGCGAGTCCACAGTGCAAAGTAAAAGCAAGTTTATTATGAAAGTAAAGTGGTGAAAGGACAGCTACTCCATAGACAGGGTAGGATGTTCCTGAAAGTAAGAGGAGGAGCACATCCACCCTAGGTACAATGCTCATATACATGGGGAGATGTGTTCTGCTGCAAGGGTTTGTGATAACATATTAATTTTCTTAATTGCTATATTTTGCAAGAATCGATATTATTATCTTTAAAGCAAAATTAGGAATGCCTTTGTTCTACAGATATCAGGATATCTGGACACTCCCAAGTCTGGGTCTGTTCAGTAAACATTATGAACTTGTTCTTTAACTGTAAACATCTAGAGGTTAAAAATGCCTAACTTTTGGGAGGCCGAGGCGGGCGGATCACGAGGTCAGGAGATCGAGACCATCCCGGCTAAAATGGTGAAACCCCGTCTCTACTAAAAATACAAAAAATTAGCCGGGCGTAGTGGCGGGCGCCTGTAGTCCCAGCTACTTGGGAGGCTGAGGCGGGAGAATGGCGTGAACCCGGGAGGCGGAGCTTGCAGTGAGCCGAGATCCCGCCACTGCACTCCAGCCTGGGCGACAGAGCGAGACTCCGTCTCAAAAAAAAAAAAAAAAAAAATGCCTAACTTTCTGAGAATGTAACCCCGTAAGTCTCAGCCTCATTTTCCTATTTTCCTAGCCCTCACTCAAAATGGAGTTGTTCACTCTGGTTCGAACGCCTCTGACATCATGACTGTATATTTTCTAATCAATAGAGTAATCTCTGCTTTCATTAATAAAAGTGAAGCAGATATTTAGCTATTTAATACCACATGAATGATTAATCCTCATACATCTTTTTGTTTTAGTTTGTTGAGTTTTTCACAGTGTTTAGTTTTATTGAGGTTTAATATATACCAAATACAATTATCAATTTTAAGTCTACAATTGTTAGCTTTTGAAAATGTATGTAATCATGTAACCATCATCACAGTCATGTTATAGGACATTTCTACTATACCAAAAAGTTCCCTCATGCCATTTTGCAGTCAGTCTCCTTCTCACCTGGTCTCTGGAAACAAGTGTTTTCTGTCACTATAGTTTTCTCTTTTCTAGAATTTTAAATAAATTTATTACATCCAGTATGTTTTCTTTTCTATATGGTTTCTTGCACTTATCATAAGGCTATTGGGATTCACCCATGTTGTATATTCTGTAATTAATGCTTTTCTTGTAGAATTGTATTCCCTTATATGGATATACCACAATTTACCATTTACCTGCTGATGGACATTTTCCCAGATTTTGACCATTATAAACAAAGCTGTTCTGAACACTCACATACAGGTATTTGTTTGAACATATGTTTTTATTTCTCCTGGGAAATACCTAAAAGTGGAATTGCTGAGTCACATAATAAGTATATGCTTAATTTTATGAGAAACTAACAAACTTTTTAACAAACTAGCAATTCCTTCCTACATTCCCATCAGCAAGGTATGAGAGCTGTAGTTTTTTCACATCCTTTCCGGCACTTGGTGTGGTCAGTCTTTTTTTTTTTTTTTTTTTTTTTTTTTTTTTTTGGCTATTCTATTGGATGAATTTTAGTATTTCATTATAATTTTAATTTGCATTTCCCTGAAGACTAAAGAGGTTGAATAGGTTTTTATGTGCTTATTAGGCATCCTTTATTTTTTAATGTAGTGTCTGTTAAATCTTTTTGCCATTTGTAATTTTGTTTATTATTTTCTTGAATTGTGAGGGAACTTTATCTATTCTAATACAATTCTTTTCTTGAATATACTTTTGCAAAAATTTCTCTCAGTGTCTGACTTGCCTTTTCATTTTCATAACAGTGTCATTTGAAGAGTAAAAGGTTTTTGCATTATTTTTAAACTTATGACTGTAGTGATTACCATACAGTTATAGATTCTCAACATTTCATAGTCCACTCCCTGCAAATGTTGATCTACTTCACTTAAAATATAAGAACCTTCCAGTAGTATAGTTTCATTTTATCTTCATTCTTTGTGCCATTGTTGCCATATACATTGCATCTATACATGATAAGAACCTAAATATATTATTAGAATTTTTGTGTTAAACATTTATATCTTTTAAAGAAATTAATAAGAGAGAAAATATGCTTTTCGGAAGTTTGATTATAATAATCCTACATATGGTTTTCTGTATTTAAAACTCTTTGAGATTCACTGAGTTTTTATATCTGTAAATTTATGGTTTCATCAAATTCAGAAATTTTGACCATTAGTTTTTCAAATACATATGTTAGATTGTTTGATAATTTTCCACATATCACTGAGTCTGCTTTTTTTCTTCCTTCTTCTTTCTTTCTGTTCTCCAAATTAGATTATTTCTACTTATTTGAATTCAAGTTCACAAACCACTTCTCTGCCATCTCCCATCTGATAACAATCCACCAGTGAATTATTCATTTTGGTTGTTTACTTTTCCGTTCTAGGATTTTTATTTATTAAGATTAATTAAGATATAATTTCAATTTCTCTGCTATGATGACACATCTGTTATTTCATTTTTCCATATTTTCCTTCAAGGTTTTGAACCTATTATTTGTGACTACTTTAAATGTCCAATCTGCTGTTTTCAACATCTAGATTAGCTCAGTATTTGTTTCTATTTCATGTTGACTACAGGGCACATTTTTCTGTTTCTTCATATATCAATTAATTTTTTATTGAAAGCTAGAAATTATGTATTATGTGTTATAGGAAATCTTTATCATGTCATCTTCCTTTAAAGAATGTTGAGTTTTTTTTATGTTTGTTTTTCTTTCATTTTTGGCGGGTAGTTACACTTCTGGTGGATACATTTCAATCAAATCAGTCTTGATTTGATTTTTTGTTAGGCTGAAGGTATTTCAGTTTGAACTTAGCCTCTTGGCTTACCTCTTTTTTTTTTTTTTTTTTTTTTTGAGGCGGAGTCTCGCTCTGTCACCCAGGCTGGAGTGCAGTGGTGCGATCTTGGCTCACTGCAAGCTCCGCCTCCCGGTTCAAGCCATTCTTCTGCCTCAGCCTCCGGAGTAGCTGGGGCTACAGGCGCCCGCCACCACGCCCGGCTAATTTTTTGTATTTTTAGTAGAGACGGGGTTTCACCATGTTAGCCAGGATGGTCTCGATCTCCTGACCTTGTGATCCGCCCACCTCGTCCTCCTAAAGTGCTGGGATTACAGGCGTGAGCCACCGTGCCCGGCCGCCTCTCGGCATACCTCTTATTCCTAGCATGTGGCTCTCACACCTGAACATGGTGCTTACTCCTAAAGTATGATTTTTTGGCATGTCACCTGAATTCCCAAGTCTCTCAGTAAAGTCTCTTCATACCAGCTGACAGGAGTTCCAAAATCCCCCCGTACTACATGACCTCCAGTATCACCACCATTCACCTTTTAGCAATAAATCAGGTGATCTTTTCTAGATCTTCCAGAATCTTTCTCTGTGCTTGTGCAGCCCAGCTCAACAATACATAATGGATCTCCATGCAGATTTCTGCAGTGCCCTCTCTGTGCAGCTTCTTCTTCTCGGTTACCCTGCTCCACAAATACAGCCCCTTCATAATATCAGAACTCTCATTTACACTCTTAACTCAGTGAGACTTCCTATTATGCTTTGTGGCAGAAAAGTATTTCAGGCAGAAAACCATGGCAATCATGGGATATTGTGTGACTTGCTTTATATCTTTCTCTTAAAGGACACAGCTGTTTGCTCATGCTCTTCAGTGCTTGAGAACAGTTATGTCATATATTTTGTTCCATTTTGTAGATTTTATTTGCCAGTAGAGAAAGTCTATATAAGTTGTTCTGTCATGCCCATATCTACTTTTGCATTGCTTCCAAAATGATCAGAATGAAACAAAAATCTATGATATCATTGCTCACTTTAACACTTACTATTGTCATCCATTGCCTATATAATGACATTCAAACTCCTAAATATGAGACTCAAGATCCCTTAATTTATAACTTTTCTGGAATCACTTTCCATACTCTTTTCCTGTAGTCTCTGCCTGTTCAACCCTAATGGTTTTCAATGTAATGTGCATGAGGATCATATAGTAACATACGTTTAAAATGAATATTTCCCTTTCTACTTTACTCTCATTTAAATTGGTACATCTAGGGTATTCTAGGAATCTAAATTTTTAACAAACAACCTAGGAATTTTGATGTAAACAATCTAGGTCTACATATTGTGGATTACTGTTCAAGCGTGGCAACTCAAATTATGGTCACATGATCAGTAGCATCCACCCCAACTAAAAGATTTCAGAAATGCTGCTCTCATTTCCTTTCCAGCCCTATTCAACCAGTACTATTCAGGCGTTTCTAGAGAAATTTAACCAATAGGATTAATGGATCTATCTATCTATCTATCTATCTAATCTAGAGACATATTTATTATAGGAACTGGCTCACACTATTATGGAGCCCAAAAGTCCCACGATCTTCCGTCTATAAGCTGGAGAATCAGGAAAGCTGATAGTATGATTTGGTCCATGTCCAAAGACTTGAGAACCAGGGGAGCCTATGGTGTAAATCCTATTCTGAGTCTAAAGGCCCAAGAACGAGGATCAGTGATGTCTGAGGGCAGAATATGGATGTCTCAGCTGAAATAAAAACAAATTCACCTTCCCTCTACCTTTTAGTTCTATTCAGGCCTTCCAAAGATTAGATGATGCCCACCCATATTGGTGAGGGTGATCTTCTTTTTCAGTCTACTAATGAAAATGCTGGCAGGGCATAGTGGCTCATGCCTGTAATCCCATCACTTTGGGAGGCTGAGGCAGGTGGATCACTTGAGCTCCGGAGTTTGAAACTAACAGGGTGAAACCTTGTCTCTACTAAAAATACAAAAATTAGCCATATGTGGTGGTGTGCGCCTATAGTCCCAGCTACTTGGGAGGCTAAGGTGGGAGAATCACTTGAAGTCAGGAGGTGGAGATTGCATTGAGCTAAGATTGTGCCACTGTACTCCAGCTGGGCAATAGAGCAAGACCCTGTCTCAAAAACAAACAAACAAACAAACAAAAAACTAATGCCTTCTGGAAATACCCTCACAGACACCCAGAAATAATGTTTTACTAGCTAACTAGGCATCCCTTAACCCAGTCAAGTTGGCACCTAAAATTAAGCATCACAACCAGAATGTACATTTTTAAAAAAATCTCAGCTGATGTATTTGTAGATTAAAGTTTGAAGATTGCCATTTTAGATAACTCCATTTTTTAGGCCAAACAGTTCCACATGTCTTTATTTTTGTTTTTATAATTTCTTCTGCTTAAATATTTTTTAATTTCTTTTCCTGATGCAAAATTATTACTTATTTAAAACCAAGATAAACTGAGTTTTATTGAACTCGCAGACAGAAATTATTGCACTCTCTTTTGGGTTTCAGTTATTAAGTTTACATTATCTTTTATTGTAGCACTTATAATTATTTATTTATTTGCATATTTCAAATGTTGGTCTGTGAACTTTGGACACTGGGACTAAGTCTTTTTCTTTGATTCCTCAGTATATGTGACCTGTAAAGGATCCTTGAGAAATACTTGTTTGGAAATTAGTGAGTGTCCAAACATTAGAACAATACTTGACATTTGTTGATATTATGTAGCTTAAGAAAGACTGTCAGCTTAGAAGCTAGAATACTTCTGTTCATATCTCAGTTATGAGACTTGCTAATTATGCATATTTAGGCAAATTGAGTTTTCCTTATGCTCCTCAATTTTCTAACCTCTAAAATGAAGCAGATAGAATTATCTATTTTATTGTGTAGTTTAGAGTTTTAAGGAAACAAATCATATGCAGTACTTAGCAAAATACCTAGCATATAGTTAATACTTAATAAAAATTAACCATTATTGTTGTTGAACTCTAACTTTGACAAACATTTATTGGAAACTAACATGTTTTTCATTTTGCATAGAAAAATTAAAAGAAATGGATTGGATTTTCTGGATTATTACATTCTAAAGAGATGAGAAAAGGTAATCCTAACAATATAAAAGAAATGGCATCTATACTTAGATCAATGGACTACAAACATCTTTTATCACGTCCTCTATAAAATTAGCACTCCCAAACACATATATGTGTTCATAAATTATATACATTAACAAAAAAACCCATCAGTTAATAGCTTAAGACAAAATCTACTCTTTGGAAAACAACCAGTGTTAAAGTTTGTAGCTATACATTTATATTTCAAATAGCCTTTTTGATAATATAAAATATTTTGACAAGTTTATTACAAATATGATTAGATTAGGAAATTGATTTATATGAAGCTCAGATTGGTAGAAAAAAGTACCAGCTTTTTCTTTGCTGCTTCTTACCTTAGTAATATATATGTTGTGTATTTTCTTCACAGGACTCTTTTAAAGATACCTGCCAATTTCGTCTATTCAGTTGAAGTGTCTATTCAGTTAAAATTTGATATTAAAATTTATAATCCCACTTACTTTGGCTCACATAAGCTACAGCACATCCCCAATAACTAAAAGCTAAGAAAAAAAAAAGAGTGAGAGGCAGCTCTCAGTCCTTTCCCATGTAGAATTTTAAGTATATATTATACTTTGGGTACTATATGTGACATATGACTAGCTGATATATGAACTGAAGCCGCCAGTGTAAATTTACATGTTAAACATGAATGAAACTTCATTTATCTTTATATATAAATGTATATAAGCAGATTTTCTAATTCTTTTTGTACCCTAATGAATTTTATTACAAGATTCCTGTCACATTTATATCCCTCTATAGGGCATACTTCTTTAGGTGGTATCTAAATTGTATTCCTAAAATGAAACACAAGACTTTGGGGAAAAAATTGAGACCTCTGATATAGTTTAGAAGATCTTAATTGAGAAAGCTAATGAACAAAATCCTATTAGACCATCTAATTTAGCCTTACATGTAACTCTCATTCAATACACAGACAAGCCACTTAGTGAAATTTCTTTAGTGAGAAAGAAGTAGCATTTTGATTCATTAACTTATTTTTAACATTTCGTATGATAAAAGCAGATATTGAATGGTAATGGTCATTTATCCCATCCTATATATTTCTTGCAAGATTTAATTCCTATCATTCAGAAACAACTCATTTTATATATGTATTACAAAAGGGAAGGACATGAATGGGGGAAAAATCGAATTAAACCTATGTTGCCTGGCTTACCAGACCTAGGTATTTTTTGCTACGTAACTGTGCCCATCAGAAAACTCTGACTTTTCTATCAGTGGCGATTCGTAGCCTGAATCATTGTATTAATATCTTTTATCCTGACTTTTTTTTTCCTCCTTAGCACATATATTTGATTGCAAAGTTGAAATTTTCAACTATCCTGAAACTAAAGACCCAAAGTAAGTGTTTCATAGTTTCTAACTGCTGTCGATTTAGACCAAGGTTCAACAGCCTTGGCACTACTGACAATTTGGATTGGATAATTCTTTGCTGTGGGAGGCTGTCCTTTGTGTTATAAAAATGTTTAGCAGCATCCCTGTCCTCTGTTCTCTAGATGAGAGCAGCCACTTCCCTCATGCCCAGTTGTGAGTACCAATAATATCTCCAGATATCACCCCTGAGAGGCAAAAATCACTCCCAGTTGAGAACAACTGATTTAGAGGACAGATTTCAATATTCATTAACTTAAATGGATTTTTTAAATCTTAATTACCTTTATATTTGAACAAATAAAGTTTCCTGATTAAAGACTGCATTTTCCCTAAATGGGAATTTGACAAGATAGTAATAAGAAATAATTTGAAGAAAAAAAAAACTCAAAAAAAAAAGAATCCCACTTTTTGCATATTTAACTAAATTCTCCAGTTAGTGATGACTTTTAAACACTTTAATAGTAGATTTTCACTTAAGAAACTAGAGAAAATTTTTACTCATAAATTACAGCAATCATTAAGATAGCTTGTTTATATGCAGATTTCCCTTTAGTAATGAAATATTTCATAATCTCTTTCTAAATGAACACATTCTCAATAAAAAGTTAATAGGATCCTAGCTGAAGATGGTAATTTGCAATTTATGCTTCAATTCTTACACCAGACAGTAGTATTTCCTGGAAAACCTTCCCTGATCCCTCCCAAGTTTGGGTTAGGTATTGCTTCATTGTACTCTCTTAGCTCCTAGTACTTACTATGCTGTGTATGCTACTGTATATTATTACTTAGTTAAATCTTTATATCTTCCTCTATATTAGCGGTCACAATCTCACATATTTTAAGGATGACATAAATAAATGAAAGACAGACAATGATAAATGGGAAGTAAAACTCAAGACTGAATATTTTTGAGATATGAGAGAGTGGCAAAGACTGTGGTAACTTAGAAAACATATGCCCCATGTAAAGGGAATGGTCACTCTTCAGCTTCAGCTAATCATTGTCATGTAAAAATGTAGACCCATTATTTCCCAAAATTTCAGAGAATCATAAATTATGTGAAGTTTCCTAATATTTAAATGCTGGCCATTAATGCAGATTTTTAGTCATAAATACTCAACAGGCTAAGCCATATATATTTCCATTCCTCTTGTAGCCTGTTTGTAATCTCTGATAGTAATTATGAGCATCATCAAGGCAGAGACCAGATCCAAGTTGCTTATCATCTTATTCTGAGTGCTTAGAACAACGCTTGATATATATACTTAATAAATTGATGTTTTATAAGTGAAGAATGAAGTTATAGTTCTCTGGTAACTGGGGGGAAGAAAAGTGTTTCAAAGGAGGTAGGATGAGGTTGACAGTGGGCAAAATGGTCCTATTTGGGCCATTAGAATAGGAAATTAGGAAATTGTCAGATACCTCTTTAAGGGATATTTTAGTAAATTTTGGGGAGAAGAGGATATAAAAATGGGTTGAAAATAAATACAGTTAGGGAAATGGAGGCAATAAACATTAATTTCTCTTCCAAAAAGTATAAGATTGGGCAATATTTGAGGAATGGCCAGATCAGGAAGGTTTCTGAAACAGCATTGTCCTATCTTTTTAAACTCTTGCTCCTTAAATAAACATAAAAGTTCAGAGTTTATTTAAATGTTATTTTTAAACTTTAAAATAGATATTATGTTATAGCTAAAAACAAATTTAAAAAATTAGAATATTCATTATGCCTTTTCAAGTAGCATGTATTTACTTCCCCCGCCCCACTGCAATAGGTAGAGATTCTTATTATCCTCTTCCTGTTAAATCATCTCTATATTATTAAATGAGAGATGATTTAAGGATGTTCAAAGGCCAATTGGAGGCAGCCTGCAGGAATAAATACATTATGGAAAATGAGAAAATAGAAGAAGGAGGGATGGCAGAGGTGAGGGGAAAAAATAGGTCCAAAGCAAGGGTACAGATAATCTAAGAGTATGTTACTTCTCTTTTTTTCTTTTTTTTTTTCCAAAATTTCAAGCAAAGTCAAGTATTTCCACCACACTGAAACTCTTAAAAACTGATATCTTTTGTGAAAATAAATCCAGAATTGTTTCAACAGGAGACATATAGGTATGAACCTTTGTGAGTTGAGCAGTTATTTTCATACTGATTAATGGATACTTTCACTGGGGATGTCTATGATGCACGAGGCAGCTCTAGTCCATTAAATTTTAATGCCTAGAACTAAGTGCATTTCATACTGAAGCCCTGAATAGTTCCTTGTCCTAAAGGAAAACTTAATAATATTCTTCAAAGCCTCCAAAATTACTTTTCTAAAAAAACCTTTTTCTTTATAAAAACAAATAAACTTTAACAATTGCTATGCTGGTGAAGAAAAAATATACTTAGAGAAACATTTTAAAAACTTTTATTTATATGTCCCTATTTTATATCCAGAAACTTAGTTTTCTTTCCAATCAAAGTTCAGCTCCTTCTTGGAGTTTGGTATGACACTTCAGGGAATATTAGAGGTGAATAAGGTATTACAGAAAAAAATTTAGCCCAACTCTGTAACCCTGCAGATAAAGAAATGGAAGTATTTTATGACTAAACATCTCTTGGGACAGAGTGGACTAAATCATAAGGTGAATATTCTCATAGAAGTAGGCCAATCTTGGGGGTGATACATTTAATATGAATATAAGCTTACACCTGTAAGTATCTTGAGTTTATAAGCATTTGCACATACATTATTTCATTTGATCTTTATTACAATCTTGTAAGGTAAGTAAGGTAGGTATTATATTTCTTTTTATAAAAATGAGGAATATAAGGTCAGGGCTGATACATGAAAGACAAATTATTAGCAGCTGAAGGGTAATTGGTGGGGAGGGAGAAATAACATGATGTATTAAGAAAAGCATAATATTAAAAATCAGAAGACCTGATTTCAAATCCCAGTTCAGCCTCAGTTTAAAGTTACATTAAAGAAACACATTTTATGCTATGGAATGCCAATTGGGTTCTCTAAAAAGCATTCTCTGAAAAGAATGTAGGAGTACAAGAGGTTTATTTAAAGGTGACACCTGTGAAAGGAAAAGGAATGAAACAGAATTGGTTATGAGGTGCCATCAGATCCCAATACAGAGCTGCTAAAATCTCCGCCAGCCCATTGAGGAGCTCCAGAGGAAAAATTGCCTATGAAAGGAGTGCCACACGGGCTAGAAATGTCGAGGCCCTTCTTTTACCACCACCTTACTCAGTCATTGACTGGGAGTAAGGTCCACCCTGAGAAGAGACTGAACACAGCTCTAATGCTGCAGTGGGTCCTGAAATAACTGAGAAAGCTGCCAGTGAACTACCATCCTGCCACACTCTTCATAAAGGGAGGTCTCAGTGGCATATCTATTTCTGCCACACATGAGGAAATGCTCATGATTCTATAATATATGAAAAAAGGAAATTACCTATATGTAGAATTAGATCAATAGTGTACATAATAACAATTATTATGTGTCAAGCATTGTACTAAATGAATTACAGCATTATCTGATGTAATCCTCACAACAATGCTATGAGAATGATACAATTGTATCTTCATTTTACAGACAAAAACTGGACAGCTCAAAAGGTTAAGAAACATGTCGCAAATGTAGGAAGTGCCCATCAATATTGAAACACGAGTTTGCTTTGCTGGGATAGCTTGTGCTCCATCTGGTTGCACAAACATATGTACATAGGACAAAGAATGGAAGGGAAAATACACACATAAATAATAGTGATTATATGGTAGTACTATGGGTTATTGAATTATTTATTCATTTTCTTTGTTTTTTACATTTTCTTCTCTGAGGTATTCTGGTTGTCTGTTGAGGCATAACAAACTATCCCAAACTTGGTCTTCTAATGCAACTATTTTATTATTCTCATGGATTCTTAGTTCAAAAATTCAGACAGGATGCCGTGTGGATGGCTTGATTCTGTCCCACAATATTTAGAGCCTCAGCTGAGAAAATGTGAATGAATGGGTTTATTCATCAGCTGGTAGCTTGGAATTCTCTGGAGGCTTAACACACTGACTGGAATAAGTGTAAGGCTGGACTTAGCTAGAACAGTTGATTGGAGAGCCTTCATGTGCGATGTACCTTCTCCATGTGGCCTGCATTTTCTTATACCATGGCTGACACAGGTTAGTCAGATTTGTTACGTTATAGATCAGGGCTCCCAGAGTGTGTTTTTCAGCAAACAGAAAGGAAGCTGTGTGGTCTTCTATGTCCTAGCCTTAGAAAAGAAACACTCTGCTCCACGCTATTGATCACAATCCACCCAGGTTCAAGGGGAAGGGGCATAGATAGCAAATATCTGTGGGTTGAGTATAGATGAATGCTCACCATGTTTTAAAACCACCAGAAGGTATATTTTGTCCATAATCAGAAGAAAGTACATTTTTATACATCAGTTTCTTTTCTATACTGAAATAGAGTTGAAATTTTTTTGTTTAATAAATAAATTTTAAAAATGGATGTAATATGGTAGTAGAGGATTTGAGCTCTGTGATATAGTGGTTGCTTATCTTGGCTTTATCCATAGCAATAATCACAGAGCTAACAATAAGGCAGGATATTAAGTAAGCATTGTTTTAGAGTTTTATGGCTAGTACAGAGTTGCAGTTACTACCATTACAAAATATTTTTATCCATTTACATACATTTTGGGAGATCTATTCTACCTCAAATTCTATTTCTCAAGGATATAGCTGGAGCGCTTTTTTGTCTAAGCCTCATTCTTCCACACATGGATTTTCTTCTGCTTAAAAATAATAAATATGACACACACAAATACATTACAAAGAGCTTATTTATCTCACACTTATAGGGTGCCTCTGTGTGTCACATTGAATAATAATGCTTTAAATTTGGCTAGAGAGTGCATAAAGGAAACTTGTCAGTTTCCACAAGACTCTTTTCTAAACAAGTCTTAAGAGACTTTCTTTTAAAAACATTGCCATTAGACATTTCTTATATATGGTAAACTGCAAGCAATAAATGAGATCAAACTTAGAGTATTCAAAATTTGCCTAATATTTGCATTTTACAGGAAAATTTTTTCCAGGAGGTGTGTACCATATTGCTGACTCTTAAAATTATTCCATTAGGACAAAATATTCCAGTAGAGTAAGAGGCTTATCAGTTAAATACAGCAAAAGTATGTCCTCTCAAGTTTTTCCTTGAGACTCGATCAGGAAAACCACTATGGAAAGTCAGAAGTGAAGTACAGACGTTGGAGTCCAACAGACCTGGGTTTGCATCTACCTTCAACACTTACAAAGTAAGGTTCAGTTAGCACTTTAAATTCTTTGAGCCTGAGTGACATCGGCTATAAAATAGGGTTAATAATTATTTTCTCTCATAGGTAAATTGTGAAGCTTAAATGAGAGGATATAGATAGAACATTTTTCATGGAAGTTGGCTCATAGTAAGCAATTTATATGCAGCAATTACTGCTTTATGTTTATTATCTTTAGCATAGCTGCATAAGATAAAAGTTTTATTTTGGCAGTATTCAGTTAAAAAGTATTTAGATCAATTAGAGGTCAATCTTGAGAAATCCAACCAAGGTATGAAAGGATAAATTATTACTCTTAACTTTTGACCTTACCATTTGCCCATTCTGAAGGAATCCTAATATACTTTAAAAAAATTCCACAAATATTGACTGAATAAGGAGAAAAAACAAAGATACTTGAAGAAAGGATAAATGTGTGTTTACTAAAACTGCCTAATAGATAAATGTTTCACATGCTCTGTGATTTACATAAAATTTATTTTAATTTAGCCTAGTACAGTGCTTGTCATAAAATAGACATTCATTAATAAATATTTGTTGAATAAAAGAGTATCCATCTTTCTACTGATTTATACAAGTTATTTATGTATTAAATATGTAAACAATTTGTCAGTTTTATATGTTGTGAATATTTCTCCAACTCGTCACTTGCCTTATTGTGTTTTTAACACTTTAATTTGCTCAAATCTATCATATTTTCTATTTAAAATATAACTTTATGCTTAAAAAGACCTTCCCTACTACTCTGCATTGAAATTTCTGACCATCTGCAGGGAAAATGTTTTAAGGCGATGTTTTTCCTATTTATCTCAAGACTAATCATGCCTTTAGCCCTCACCAAGATTATTGGTAAAGTGAGAGTTAACTCCTGTGAACTGTTTTCTCTGGAGGAGGAATTCTCAGTTTCTGGCAGCCTATCCATGGCTAAACTAGTAGACGTTTTCTCGCTTCCAGTACTGGTACAGCCTTTTTCCATGTTTTATTCCTTTGTTTGTTGCAGTGCCTAACTCGTGAAGCAGAGGGAGTGGAGTTAGGAGGAAGAGGTAAAGGGAAAGGAGAAAGAGAAGCTAAGTGATTAAATCAAATCAATATTTTATTTGGAAGGTACTATAGGTATTATCAGAACAATTTTAAGGTGGTTACAATTACTCTTTTTTTATATAATCAAGGAAATTAGCAAAAAGGAGTGACAGAACTGCTCCAGTGCACATAGTCATTGTGAGAGCTGAAATTCTAATTAGGGAGGCTAATTCTATGACCTGCATCTTAACCCTGCCTTATATGCAGCTCAAATTTAACATGTGAAAACGAAACATTTTACTTCTGCCTCAAAATCTGCTTCTTCCTGGTTCTTCCCTATCTCTCTATCATTAATTTCCCTACTACTTATTGCACTTGGAAAAAAATCCAAATACCCCATACCATGGCCTAGAAGGCCCTGCAAGATTATACATCTTTGACCTCATCTTGAAAATTTCTTTTCCTTTGTTTAATCATTTACTCAACATTGGCCTTATTGCTGGTCTTCAAACACAACAAGCTTATATCTGTCTTTCGACTTTTGCACTAGCTATGTTTCATATTTTAATACTTATCCTTGAAATTGTGACTTTTTGCCATCTACCATTTATCTCAAAAGTCACCTCTGCAGTGAAGCTTTCCCTGATTAACCAGTTTAAAATAGCCATCTAATCATTTGTCTATTTTTATCTCATATCAGTTGGTACTTTAAGCTACTGTATAGCAATTTCTTATTTGTTTACTTTTTGTCTCTCCATTCACGTAAACATAGTAAAATATAAGCTCTGTGAGAGCAGCGATTTCACTATCTTTACTCACTGCAGTGTCACCACTGCTCAGAAAAGAGTTTGAAACACCAGATATGCTCAATCAATATTTGTTTAGCATATAAAGGGTATATTGAAAAGAGAAATGCATAATCAAAACTGGGTGTAGGAAAATGTATCTAATTGTATGCAGGATGGACTGCAATGGGAAAAAGTATTAGTTGAGGAGACTAGTTAGGAAGCTGCGTAATACAGAGGATGATGCTAGAAATAAGAAGAAATGTGAGAAGTATAAGTCAGTTAAAACCAGTAGAATTCTGAAACTGAGCTGAAGGGACTCTAGGTCCCTTGGAATAAAAAAGTGCCATTCATATAAATAAGGAATGTTAGATGACAAGTCAGCCTGGGAAAATTATAAACGATAATTATAAGAACAATTTCAAATTTTGCATTTGAGATGCCATTGATAGGCAAAATATATGGGACTCAGACTTAGCAGAGAAGTCAGGACCAAAGATGCATTTATCAGATTGTATAATAATTACCAAAGTGGCATTTAGGAATGGGAAAGCAGCTTAGGGCTACATTTCCAAATCATACACTTTTAGAAGACAGTCAGAAACAAAGAATAGGCAACAAAAAGGAATCAAGGAATGTATAGTTTTAGGAAAGCAAAGGAGATAAGAATTTTGAGAAGAAAGAGATGATCTAATCATAGAGAGAATGACTACAAGGACACTGGATTTGATAGTTTACCTTTAGAAATTGAAGAAGTGATTTCGGGAGACTGGTGAGGTCCTTAATGCCTCAGGTGGAAGAAACAGTCATGGTGACTTCACCTGGTAATACGATGAAAAGAGATGTGGGAAATAAATCTGCCTTAGTGAGGAGTAGTGTGAGAAAAGCAAAATTCAATGTAGAATAAGTATGGTGAACTCATTTGAGATTTATGTGGAACTTGGGTATACCTACCTAAAGATTGCTAAAGAAATGAGACTGCAACTGTCAACAGATTCAATATCTTTTTTCAGAAGGCTGGAAAATGAAGGGAATAATAGAGATAAAATCAGCTTAGCTTCAGTGGGAAAAAAAAAACAAAACTTTTTTTTTAAAACGGAGAAAACATAAGTTTATAGTTCAAGCATATAGAGCCAATGAAAGAAGAAAGGTTGAAGATGCAATATTTATTTCACTTTCTTGGGAGAGCAGGTAGAAAAACGGGAAGATTTGGAGACTATAACATTAATTTTACTATTTGTAGCTCTTTACCAAAGTTTTTTCATTTTTTAGAATTTCTTGTAGGCCTTTATGCAGGTGTGACAGCATTAAGAAATCAAACTTTGCCTTTTAATGGTAAAATTTTCTTAACAAACAGTATTTGATGTTATATGTATGTAAGTCATAAATGCACTGGCCTATCTTATGACTTGACTTTATTGCTACTTGGTGTGTTGATAGACCAAATATTATAGAAGTTGTGGTTTAAATTCCTACTTTGAGGCTTAAACATGGAAATCTTTGTATAACAAAGATTAAATACAAAACAAAATTACATATTGAATTTCAAAATAAAAATTCAATGACTGTTAATTGCTATTAATATTATAAATATTATTTCATGTATCTCCAAAGGCAGAAATACAATACAAATAATATTATAAAAAAGTAAGAATTACTTTAATTGTTGCACAAATTTTTCAAATTTGGAGGCTCAAATAATAGTTCTAACATATTCACTGGTAAAACGAGTCAAGTTAAGAAAGATATTATGAATTAATTGTGCCTAGATTTAATGATATTATTTATTAGTAAGAAGAAATTACTGAACTATCATGAAACAGCCTACTGGGCTGCATGTACTTTGTTCAGTACTTGGTTCATACTCTCTTCTTAAATGGCATATTTCATCCTCATCTCTAAAAGAAAAAAAATAAACCTTTAAACTGTTACTGTAAATTCCTGACCTCACTGGGAGTTAATTCTAGTTGCTGGAAAAGCATATTCATTGGAGTAACCTACCTGTAAAACTGAGTTTGTGGTTGCAAGAGTCTCACCATAGGTAATGTCCTTTCTGTCTTTCTTGTTCAAGCGGTAGAGGATTGATTAGAACTGAACACCTCTGTCATTTGGTCCTACTTTCCACCATCTGAGAACTATTCTCTGGTATCTAATGTGCTCTTATGCTAGAAATCACACTTAAGTTTCCTTTGAGCACCTGAACTGGCTGATAGGCAGAAAATCAATACATCCTGTTGCACAGCTTTTGAACCTGTTATTAGCAGAAAAGTAACACTAAAGATATGTTTCCTTACAGGATAATGCAGAATTGATCACTTCTCTGCTTCACAGTGGAGCTGATATACAGCAGGTTGGATACGGTGGCCTCACTGCCCTCCATATTGCTACAATAGCTGGCCACCTAGAGGTAAGTCATGCCTTTGGCACCTGTGAAAACAAAGGTTATTTACCTTTTCGGTTGTTGTTCTTAACTGTTTTGAAATACTGTCTTTGAGACTTTACAAGTTGGTTTATTTTTTAGCTACTGAACACATTGGGGTAAAATTTAGCTGTATAAATGAGCTTTGGATAGTCAATTCAGTCAATTTTCTAACAGTGTATTTAATCATCAATTAACATAAAGGTAGCTAGATATACAGAGGCTTTATAGCAGCTCAGTTTCCACAACTTGCTATTTTAACCTTGGGGAAGTTACTGAATCTCATGACCTCCCTCTTTTCTTCACTTATAAAATAGGAATATTAGTAAGCCTATTATAATGATTAAGTTAGATAATTTATATAAATCACTTTGTAGTTTGCTTAATGCAGAGTAAGGACAAAATGAAAAATCATTCACTCATTCATCTACTTATGTATTACTTGAATGAATATTTATTCATCACCTATTATGCACCGGATACTGTTTTAGATGCTGGGATGACAGTAGCAAGAAAGTCAGGCAAAATTTTCATTTTATAGAGTTTAGCTGTAAAGAATAAAATAGACAATAAAGACAAGAAAATATTACATAATTTTAATTAGTAGTGAGTACCATAAAAATAATAAAGTGAGGTAAAATGAAAACAACGAGAGAGAAGGGGGCACTATTTAAAATAAGCTGTACAGTAAATATCTCTGAAAGGAGGTCATATAGGAAAAGAGATTTAAATATATTGAGAATGTCAGCCATGTAAAAGGAGAGAAAAGAATTTCAAGCTTAAGGAATGGCACTTGCAAGGACCCTGAGGCCTAAAAAGGCTGGGTGTGTTTGAGGGACATGATTGAGCCAGAGTTGTTAGAGTGGAGTGAGCGGAGGAAGAATGATGAAGACAAGGTCTGGTGATGAATGGTTCCAAGCCAAATCACACAGTGTTTTAAAGGTCATAGGAAGGACTCTGGATCTTGTCTTAAATTTAAAGTATTAATTTTATATATCCTATTATGGGAAGGACTTCCATTTGCATGATTTGGCTAACTTCACAAATCCTCATCGAATAGTTTTTATTGCCGCTGCCATTTGATAGATATAAAACTAAGGCTCTTATATAGTAATTGCCTTGACAAATTACAAAGCTATTGAGGAAAAGAGCCATGTTTGGAATCCTGATCATTTTACTCAAAATCCCATGATTGTCACACTCTATCAATTGTGGAAACACCAATAGCTCAACAATGTAAAAGATGAGAAGTCTGACATCCTTATTATTAAATAGTTATGTTCCCCCTTTTAGTCATGTTGCAATTCAATTATACCTTCTTCACTAATACACACACATATACGCACACAAACTGTGAACAAATAGAGCTGCATATAAAATTATACTTGAAGCCTGTAAAACAGAGGTGATCCATCTCCCTTAACAGTGTCACTTCAAAGGGCTCTTACATTCAATACAAATTAAAATATCTCGTTGAGAGCAAAATAGTTTCCTTCATGTTGACATTTCCACTCCTTTCCATATCACCTTATTTCCTGGAAAATAAATCCTTTTAGTGAGATTCATTGTAAATATAGGTGAGTTTGTGTTACTTATGAGGAAAGGGGAAATTCCATTAGATTCACCTAAATATAAATGTTTTCCAAAAAAGAAAGAAAGAAACTGAGGCCAGTGATAAAGTAAATGAGTGGTAAACATTAAGGGATCTGGGTGAAATAATTTATGAGTTAGACACTAACTTCTAGTAAAACATGATCAACCTCTTAATGCCAGGAAAATTACAGACTATGTCTTCAAAACAAAATCCTTTTTTTCCTAATGTTGTTTTGATGATAGCATTACAATGGCTTCTAAAGCAAAGTGGTTAAGAGCTTAGTTTCTTCATCTCCTATTCAAATAGCTCTGTTTTCTTTCTTTCTAAATCATAATATGGAAGAAGGTATTATATTGATTTTACCAGACTTAGGGCAAACTTCACCAAAGTATTCCAAATAGATCTCTACTCTTGCCTTGCAATTCTTCATGGGTTTTCTAATTTTCCTCATTAGCTGATATTTGATGACTTTTATAGTCAATAGCTAACACTGCAAAAAGCAAGTATAGATACATTAGCCTTTATTCTCTTCTTATATGGGGGACTAATTAAATTATTGATCAAATAATAAAGAAAAGGGTATCCAAAACTATCTAAAATAATTATATTCAAAATGAATATTTTTGTTGGAGTATTTCTTTGAAAACTATTACCATTGACTTTTGACCAATGTGGGAGTTAGGAGCACTGATCCCCTGTACAGTTGAAAATCTATATATACATTTTGACTACCCTAAAACTTAATTATTTATAGCCTACTGCTGATTGGAAGCCTTATTGATAATATAAACAGTCCATTATCATGTATTTTTAATGTTACATGTATTATATACTATATTCTTAAAGTAAGCTAGTGAAAAGAAAATGTTATAAAGAAAATCATAAGGATTAGAAAATATATTTACTATTTATTAAGTGGAAGTGGATAATCATAAAGGTCTTCATCACCATTGCCTTCACATTGAATAGGCAAAGGAGGAGGAGGAAGAGGAGGGGTAGGTTTTGCTGTCTCAGGGGAGGCAGAGATGAAAGAAAATCCATGTATATGTGAACTTACATAGTTCAAACCTGTGTTGTTCAAGGGTCAACTATAATTGTAGTAAATAGTCACTGTCAATATATCTTTACCCATACGTGTGAATTCATTTAACATTTTTTCAGCCCCTACTTTGTCTATAAATGGTTAGAATATAGAAATATAGGAATGATACAACAAAATAAGACATAGATTTTTCCCCTAAATATTCTGTAATGCAACTGGGCACACAAAATAAATATGCAGAAAAAATATATAAGCAATTCAAATGTAAAACAGCAATATAGTTATAAGTAAGGAGTAGGATGGATGAGAGTAGGTTTGATAATTGGGAATACAGGTGTTCCTCAACTTATGATGGGGTTATATCTGAGTAAATCTATCATGAGTGGCAAATATCATAATGGAAAGTGCATTTAACACACCTAGCCTACTGAACATCATAGCTTAGCCTAGCTGACATTAAATGTGCTCAGAACTCTTACACTATTCTACAGCTGGGCAAAATCATCTAACAGAATACCTCTTTTGTAAGAAAATGCTGAATATCTTATGTAATTTATTGAATACTGTACTAAAAATGAAAAAGCAGAATGGTCGTATGGGTACTCAAAGTATAGTTTCCACTCATATGTATCACTTTCACACCATTGTAAAGTCAAAAAATTGTAAGCTGAACCATCGTAAGTTAGGGATTATCTATTATTAGAAACATAATAATGTAGAGAAAATGTCAGAGAACACAAAATAGAAGAGTTAAGAGTTCAGTGAGGATAGAGATTGTATTAGTCCATTTTCACACTGCTTATAAAGACATACCCGAGACTGGGCAATTTACAAAAGAACGAGATTTAACTGGACTTACAGTTCCACATGGCTGGAGAAGGCTCACAGTCATGGCAGAAGGCAAGGAGAAGCAAGTCACGTCTTACATGGATGGCAGCAGGCAAAGAAAGAATAAATGAGACGAAAAAGCAGAAACCCCTGATCAAACCACCAGATTTCCTGAGACTTATTCACTGCCACGAGAACAGTATGGGGGAAACCACCCCTATGATTCAATTATCTCCCACTTTGTCCCTCCCACAACACATGGGGATTATGGGAGTACAATTCAAGATGATATTTGGGTGGGAACACAGAGCCAAAGCATATCAGAGATTAATGTGGACTCAAAGAGTTAGGGAAGGAGTTATGAGAGGGGATTTAAAATTGAACTAGTCTAAAGAATGATGAGAACTAGACAGCAAAAATAAGAGGGATCTGGCCCAAAAATAGGAAGGAAAGAATGAGATAAGCACAGTAAGGGACAGTGAGTAAAATGATAACATGAAACAAATTGTGAAGAGTCCCTCTAGGTAAAATTAGGTGTTAAGAATAGACGAGACTAAAGAAACTTGGAGAGTAGAAGTCTAAGGCGTTTAATTTAATGCAAGAAGCAATTACTGTGGTTTACAATGTATAACACAATTTCTGTGGTTTACAATATATAACACACAAGAGTAGATGGCATGGCAGATTAAGAGATTAGTAGAACACAGAATTTCTCACTCTTTAAAGAAAATTAGAAGAACCAATGTGATTTTTCCCCCATAGGAAACAGGGACTAATTGAGAAAATATTTCAGCAAGAGAATAATTGGAGATTTGATAAGTAACATGTTTAAAAGGATTACTTTACTTTGACTGCATGATTTAGCATGAATTCTAGTGCGATTACATGATGATTAAACAAAGAAAGATAAAAGCTTGGGTAAAGGATTCAATTTGGAGGAAAAATCAATTAGCTCCACACATGTTGATTTTCTGATGACATCCAAATTTTCAAGTGGAAATGTTCATTAATCATTTAGAAACATACAAACGGCATTTAATGGACACATTTGGGTTTAACGTAAATTTTTAGAAATTATATATAGAGAGGTAATATTTAAAACCATAATAACAGCTTAAAGTTGTATATTGGGCATAATGGATGGTCATAGGACCGAGCCTAAGAGAATCTCCCCGGAGACTTAAGGAATTATTAAATAAGGAATTATTGAAGGAAACAAAGAATTGCTCAGTGATATGGAAAGGACTAAGATTATTTTAATATTGCAATTAGGAGAGTTTCAAGAGTTAAAGGATCCCAGGTATCAAAAAAGTTAGTGCAGAAAAGTAGAGCACATTGGGATAAAACACACATCGAGTATTTCCTTACTATGCTAAAAATTTAGGTGCTTATTCCACTCCTATTTTTTATTATCATGGTTAGCAGAAATAGCAACGGATCAGTGGGTGTTCTGTTTCATTACTAGTCACTATCTTTTATTGCCCACCTTTCTCTGTGAAACAATAGCTGATGCTAAGTCTGACAGGACTCTTTGTCTCCACATATCAAATTCAGACCTTCCATTAGTGTCTCAAGTGTGTTTGTCCTCCCATAATTGTGAATTCTATTAAACAATCTTACAATAAAATTTACATTGACTAGGCAGCTGTCTTCTTCAATAATAGAAGAGAACATGTGCTGCAGATTCCTAGACATGCTGACTACAATTTGGGACTCAGATTTAAATTTACTGTGCTTTGAAGAGTAGGCAAATATTAGTTGTCCCAGGTCTCAATACTTCTCTTTGACTGATACATCCATCTATCAATACATTTGCATATGCTTCTTTGTACAAGGCCTAAGATCCTGTCAGCAATCAATAAACATGCATTAAATCCTCTTTTTCCCTTTAGGTTTGGGGAATGTGAGTCATACGCTTTCCCAGGCATGGAAAAGGAAAAATATTAGCTAACATTTGGTGGTACTTTATCATTCACATACATTTGTCATTTGGTTGTTTTGTGAGATAACTACTGTCAGACTCAGTTTATTAGTGAGGAAACTGAGGACTGGAGAAGCTGAATGACATCTACATGGGCATTCAGATGATAAATAAATAAGCTGGATGGGACTCCAACCTGGGGATCTACCTTCACATCTGTAGTCTTATACATAAAAGAGCGATTACTCCCCAGAGACTCTTCTGTTTATTGCTATAACACAGCTTATACCCACAAGACACAAAAAAAGTATTTGGAAAGTGAAAAAAGAAACGGAATATGTTACTATATAAAGCCCAAGCATTACTACATATACGATTAAAGCAACATTAAATGACTCAAAACTAATTTCATAATGCATTCACTATATGGGCATAACCTATGGAAGTATAATGTAGGTATATGAGCACACAACACACACACACCTCAAGTGTAAAACACTTTATACTTAAATAACTCCTTAAAAAGTTGTTACTCTGGTGTTACGTGCTGTAGTTTCTGCAGTTGCCATAAGTCAAATCAGTTTTCTGCAGCCGTTGACAACTGTTTGAGCAGTGAACAGAAAGGCATGCAGCAAACATGTAAACCAATGTGTAATGTATAGAGGTTGTGGAGTGGTTTTCTTATTACAGAAAAGTGTACTTTCATATACACCTTGTGAAGGTGAGCGTATTATTCATAGTTGAAGTTATTCTATCCTACCATATCCCATTTTCAAATTGTAAACACTTATTCAATCACTGCTTCAGAAATGCTTCCCAGTTATTTTGGAACTTATTTCTGATTTCAAGGTAATGCACTCAGTATTGTTTCAGTTCATTCTTTACTAAATCATCCAAATGTTTCAGTAGAGAATTTTGTTTACCAAGAAGCCTCGGACCCTGTGTAAGTTATTTTTTAATAATCGCTTTAGTTTCCTCTCCAAAGGCACAAATGACAGAATGCTTAGAATTATAAAATATGGTTTCTCTCTCTCTCTTATTTTTAATTTTTTAGAGAGAGGGTAGTCATGAGTTTTTTACCTAAACAGTAGCAAGTCTGCCCCAATCTTGTGAATAGGCAATAGTCCCTTGTGAACTCCATTTGGAATCAGAACAAATAATGAAACAAAATAATAGTTAATGCTTTGAATAGATAACTTTGTACTGAACATATTAATTGACTTGATCCTCAGTTGAGAGCTCTCTCACTCACTGTGCTGTACTGCTTCTCTCCTGATCCAAACAGTAACCTCTCAGCTCACCTGACCAGAATTTAAGCTTTGGACATGATACACAGAAGCTTAGAATATGTCAGGAAAACATGCCATATCTGCAGATCTGAACCCCCTCAAAGACTTAGCACATTAAGATATTCTGGTGCCTTTTTGTATGGTCCCCATTCTTTTGGGCTGTATAATTTTTCTCTAAAATTTCTGCATTACATTTTAATAGCTTTGTTGAGATAAAATTCATATACCATATAATTCATCCATTTAAAATGTACACTTCAATGGTTTTTAGTATAGTTGCAGAGTTGTGTAATCATCACCAAAATCTAATTTTAGAATATTTTTGTCACCCAAAAAGGAAACTTAATACCCATTAAGTAGTCAGTCCCACCCAGCCCTCACTGCCAAGACAACCATGAATCTACTTTCCATCCCTACAGATTGGCTATTCCAGACATTTTATATAATTGGAATTATGTAATGTGGTCTTTTTGTGACTGGCTTCTTTTATTTTGTGTAAAGTTTTCAAGGTTCATTCATTTTCAGTAAGGTTGATTTCTATCAAAATTATGTTATAATTACATATGACTTTATTTAGCAAAACAGAAAAAGATACAGATTCAACTGATAGTGTAAATGCAATTTCTTTCTACTACCTGTCTATTTTCATTATAAATCAATGCTGGAAGGAAATCTTCAACTAAAACTTCAAGTCCCCAAACTACACTTCTAGTCACAAAAATGTGCCTAAATTATCAGACTAGGAACACCCCCATGAGAGAAAGTGGCTAAATGGGGTATCTTCCTGAATGGGCAGGCCACCTCTTACCTGGGTATTGGACAAGGCCCCTACTCCAGACGATTAATCCTCCTTCCCACCACAGGCTCACTCTTTGCATTCTTAGGCAGTTATGACTCTGTAAAAATGCAAAAGTTTCTAATGCTTCAGTTGCGGTTAGCTTTTTGTAGTTAAAATTTTAGTAATCAGTTCATAGGCTAAAGCTTTGCTAATCAAAGTCTGATTTATTGATTAGCAATATAGTATAACCAGTGAACTTCTTTGAAAATAGAATCTCAAGACTACCTCAGACCTGCCTATAATTAGCATTTTAAGATTTCCAGATGATTCATATGCATATTCAAATTTAAGAACCCTCCCCTAAAGAGTATTAGAAGAAATTAGATTTAAAAGAGATATCTGAGGAAGATAAATAGAAACAATGAATGAATGAATGAATGAATAGAAAGATGTAGCTTTCATTTGTTTTGCTTTACAATTTGCTTTTGGTTGGTACTGATTTAAGTGCTTTAGTAACTATTAAAGTGGCATTCAGGGCTCATTCTAGAGCCCAGGATCATAATCACTCATTGTGCACAATATATGCCTAGTACTTCACACATTGTGGGTGCTCTAAATGTATGTTATCTCTCTTTTCCTTTCTAAGATATAAAATTTCATAGTAGTAGTATTAAAATAAGAAGAAAGTTATAATGCAATGGAACTACAACACAATAATTATAACGTAATAAATAACCCAATTGAAAAATGGGCTGAGAAAGAGGCAGAGCAAAATAGCTGAAATGAACTCCCCAGCAATCGTCCCCTTAACGCCCCACAGGATAACCGAGTTGAACAACTGCCCAGGCAAGAAAGCACCTTCATAATAACCAAAAATCAGGTGATGATCACAGTGCCTGGTTTTAACATCAAGAAAAGAGGCACTGAAGGCTGGGTGCGGTGGCTCACGCCTGTAATCCCACCACTTTGGGAGGCCGAGATGGGCTGTTCACGAGGTCAGGAGATCAAGACCATCCTGGCTAACACGGTGAAACCCCGTCTCTACTAAAAATACAAAAAATTAGCTGGGCGTGGTGGCAGGTGCCTGTAGTCCCAGCTACTCAGGAGGCTGAGGCAGGAGAATGGTGCGAACCTGGGAGGCGGAGCTTGCAGTGAGCAGAGATCGTGCCACTGCACTCCAGTCTAGGTGACAGAGCGAAACTCCATCTCAAAAAAAAAATAAAATAAAATAAAAAAGGAAAGAAGCACTGAAGAGGGTGGGAAAGACAGTCCTGCATTACCTAAACTCTTCCCCACCTCCCCACTAGTGGCACAGCATGGCACAGAGAGAGAATCCATGTGTCTGGGAGAGAGAGAGAGCAAAGTGATTGTCAGACTTTGCATTGGAACTCAATGATGGCCTATCATAGTGAAAAACAATACAGGGCAGAATTCTGCCAGCCCCCATGGAGGGAGCATTTAGACCAGCCTCAGCCAGAAGGTAACCCTCCACTGCAGCAGTAGGAACCTGACTTCCAGCTAGCTCTACCATTGGTTGACTACAGTGCTGGGGTCCTGAAAAAATTTGAAAGACAGGCCTCAGGGACTACAGTACTTGGGCAAGTACTGATGCTCTTCTGGGCTTGCAACCAGTGGACTTGGGGTGCACGTGACCCAGTGAGACACCAGCGGTGGTGACCAAGGGAGTACTTGCATCACCCATCTCCCAACTCTGTGCAGTGCAACTTGGGGAGAGACTTCTTTTGCTTGGGAACGGGAGAAGGAAGAGTATAGAGGACTTTGTCTTGCAACTTGGGTAACCAGCTCAGCTACAGTAAACTAAAGCAACTAGCAGACTCCGGAAGCCCTCTCCTGATTCCAGGCCCTGGCTACTGAACAGCATTTCTAGACCCACCCTGGGACAGAAGGGAACCCAGTGCGCTGAAGGGAAGGACCCAGGCCTGGAAGGATTCACCACTTGCTGATTAAAGAGCCCTCAGGCCTTGAATAAACATGAGTGGTAGCCAAGAAATAGTCACCACAGGCTTTGGGCAAGACCCAGTACTATGCTGACTTCAGGTGTGACCCAGCGCAGTCTCAGCTATAGGAAAGTAATTTATCCTCCCTTGGCCTCAATTTTCTAGTTTTAGAAAGTGGATTATACTATCACCCACAATAATAGATGTGTGTGTGTGTGTGTGTGTGTGTGTAATGTCAATATATGTCAAATGCTTAGACACTACCTAGCACATAAACTTTAGGAAAGTTAGCTCTCATTTTTATTTGTTCTGTTTTGTTTCTGATTTTACTGTTATATAGTTGTAAAGAAAAAATGTGGTATCCTAGGTAGGGTAAAACATTAATGTACAATTTAACTTAGGGAAATTTAATGTCCCCATTATATTGAGTCTTCTGTTTCAGAGCAAATTCTTTCCATTTATTCAAGTTTCTTTTTCGATCTTTCAGCAGAATATTCTTCTCATAAATTTGTTAAAATTTATTCCCAGGTATTTTATCTTTTCATTGCAATGTGAATGACATTTTCTAGTTTGTTATAGTGTGTGTATCCTATAAACACACTATATAAAACATATTAAAAATCAAGAAACATTGGTTCTTGATATTTAAGTTTAAATCATTAAACTTACTGATTTGTTTTATCATATGGTTTAGATGAGTCTTTTGGAACTTCCTGGTTTACAATTAAATTCCAATATATGGTGATAATTTTGCTTCCCTTCTGATAATTAAACATCTTGTTTCTCTTTTTCCTAATTGCAGTGGTTGATATTTTCAGAACAATTATCATTTTTCAATTGAATTATCATTGTACTCCTGGAATGAAACACAATTGGTCATGGTACATTATTCCCTTAGCTTGCTGCTAAACTTGTTTTGCTAATATTCATAAGTGAGGTTGGCCTATGGTTTTCTTTTTTGTATTATGGCATTAGTTTCCAAGGCTGCCAATAACAAATATCACAGACTGAGTGAAATGTATCTCACTGTACATTACAGTAGAGTTAGATTAGAACACAGAGACCAAGATGCCAGACATGTGCACACACAGAGATATGACCATGTCATATCTGCTACTGCTACCATGGCCCATCTGCTACTTATCACTTGTTCATGTACAACTATACATTTCTGTACAACAGAAATATATTTTCTCACAGTTCAGGGCAATAGAAGTTCATTATCAAGGTGTTGGCGAATTTGATTTCCTCTGAGGCCTCTCTCCTTGGTTTGCAGATGCATTCGCTGTATGTTAACATGCTCATATCTCTGTGTGTGCACATGCCTGGCAGCTTGGTCTCTGTGTTCTAATCTACTCTTTTTATGAGGTCACTTGTCATATTAATTAATGCCTACCCTAATGACCTTATTTTAACTTAATTACTTCTTCAAAGGCTCTATTTGTAAATAGTCACATCCTGAGGTATTATGGGGTTAGGGCTTCAACACGTGAATTTCAGGGGACACAATTCCCCATAGCAATTATCCTTGTCAGATTTTGAAATAAATGTCATGTTGAATCTGTAAAAATAATTTGGAAGCTTTTCTCTGTCTCTTTCTGTCTCTCTCTTTCTCTGAATCTGTTATGTAGCCTGATGTTGTTTTTATTTCACACAATGCATCAATATTACCTTGTCTCTGATAAGTCTCCCAAAATTTCACAGGCAGAGAAACAAGTCCTGTTTCTGTAGGAGACCACCAATATGCACATCTCAGACTACCATAATTTGGATATGGAAAACATCGCAAGGGCCAAATATGCCAGCCGATGCACATCATTATAAATTATTGTTTCAATATCAATCTAGGGAATGTCACTAATGATTGATAGGTATTATAATCACCATTCATTGTCATTAACTTTATAGGTTTCCATACTTGGTTTTTGTAGTCATGTGCAGTTCCACAATGCCAAAACTTGATATACCTTCATTTTAAACAGTTAAGTTTCTAAAAGTAAACCTTTCTTTTACACATAGTCTTAAATATCTAAGACTCAATTTAAGAACACTGCATATTCTGTGGCATTCGAAAATGGTTTCCTCGGGAGTTGAAACCATAAACTCTATACCCCATTACTGAGTGTGCCCTATGTTACAGAATACTCCTTATTAAAGGTGAAAAAGCAATCTACTACTCTGCAGGCTTTTGGTCTGGAGATAAACACAAGATCATAGATCATGTATTATTATCAGTTATTTTAAGGTCTCAGAGCAATTCTTTAAACATGTATCAATTGTAAGGAGTAATATAAAAGGACGCTAGCTTGTCAATTTCTTTTTGTCACTCAGGTCTTTGGCATAGACTCTGTTAGCTTTATTAAACATTAAGTATTGCTTTCAGGGTGAGGTAGAAGAGCATAAGCAAGAAAAGCTTTATAGGCTAATAAAAATGTAAATGAGATGTTCATCAGCTTGCTGCCCTGGAAAATGATGGAAGAAACATTACCTGAAAAATTAGATTCAACGATTATTGCTAACCAAATCAACCTGATATGAGAAATCCCTTTGTAACCATTTGTGTTAATTTGCATCCTTATGTCAATCTTTCTATGCACTGAATTTGCTTCCAACATCCTAGGTCCTCTATACATATATATGTAGATAATGTATATACACATTTTTATATATACATAGAAATATATACACATATTTGTATAATTCATGTTATTAATTAACATGTATTAGCTAAACAGAAATATTTCTGTTACATATTTGCAGCAGTTGGTAAGAAACGCCTATATATTTTAATTCGTCTGCACTTAGCCTTCTTTTTGCACACCATACTCCTTACAAGGAATTTGAAGACTGAGTTGTAAATCAGAATTTCTATAGCTTGTTAAAGTCACATCCTCAGAGTTTGGAAACCTCTGAGCTCACTATGTCTCAGGAAGACGGGAAATTCTTCTTCTTCTTCTTCTTCCCCTTAATTAGGAATACATTGTAATAATAATATTTTCTATGTGACCTTTGAATACAGTAGTAAAATAACAAGTGGGGGCTACTTACTTTTCTCAGGGATGATTCATCCTGGGATGGTGTTTAGACAGTGGCCTTTGAGTATTGGATATTCTATAAACATCGTGTGAGTTGTTCTTCTTGATGACTCCCTTTAGTGGATCTCCGAAGACCCTTTAGAAGCTTGCTGAGGGTGGGATGGAGGAAGAGGCTAAAGCCCCCATAACTGACTCTCAGCAACTGTCCTCTCTCACAGAATCTCTCTTTTGCGGTGACCCTTAAAGGCACTTGGCCCATCTGCTACTTATCACTTGTTCATGTACAACTATACATTAGGCCAATATATTAGGTTGGTACAAAAATAAATGTGGTTTTTGCCATTATTTTTAATCTAAAAAACCTGCAATTACTTTTGCACAAACCTAATAGTTATTGTAAAGGATGGAACTTTTAAGCAAGGCACACAAAACCTTCTAAAGTCACTCTGAGAAGCAATTCAGAGTAGCCCCTTGCTGCATCTTTCATTTTGCAGCCATTTTACTCTTTTCTCTGCCCTAAAGCAGATCTCAGGTTACTAACTAACCCATTTATGCCAGAGGTTGCACATTTTTTTGTGTGAAAAATCAGACCTTGGCGATGACCTTGAGAAGTAGGATATAAATAACTCCCACAAGCTTAGCGTTCCAATAATGGAACACTAGGCATAAATGGGCTAACTCCTTCAGCTCTGGGCTGAGTTTCTCACAATTACTGCAGATCTCCACATCTGGGCAGGTCCTGACAATAGTTAAAGATTTTTTTTCTCATAATTTGTCCTGAAAGGACATATATTGAGCTATTCAGGAGACTTGAGAAAAGTTCCAAGTTAAATAGGATAAAGGGCAATGGATACACATTTTTTGTTCAGAAATATAAAGATTATTCTTAGTTAGAGGTGAATATGTTCCTTCACTGTTCTCTGAATTCATTCTGTCATTCTGCTCCTGGACTTCCTACAATAGTACCTTGACTTATAAGGCCCGTGTCCAGATCTTTTACAGTCCACTTCATTCAAAATGCTCCTGAAAAATTCAAGGGACTCACTAACACATGGCTTTGGTAAAGGCATTCTCCTGAACAAAAACCTTTCTGACCTCAAAATACACCTAGCAAGGGATTTAGTGGTGATAATCTAGCTCTCCTACCTTTTCAGCCCTGGATCTTTATGCTCTTTATCTTGCAAAACATGCTCTAAATTAAATTAACTGCTACCCATTTGTATGCCCCGTGTTTCTACAACACTATAGTCTCTTTATGGTTCACCTTTTCTACCCATCCCCAAAGCCCAGATGAAATGCCACTTTCATGAAACTGTTGGATCCATCTATCCTGAAGTTTTTCTATGCTCTGAACAACCACAATGTTTTTTTGTACCTTTCTAATAACATGTAACACCACCTGTTTCATGAGCATAGTTTTATTTGATTATTTTATTATACTCTTTTTTGAGCACAGGAACTGCACACTAGAAATCATCATATTTCTCACAGGTTCCAATATTGTGATTTTTGCATACAGTAGATTTTTAATAAGTTTCTGTCAAATGACTAAACTAATAATTATTCAAGTGTTTTAGGAATTAAACAGAATGAGGAAAATTATTTCTACTCTCCATAAAAGCAGAAGAGATTATAATGATACGTTTCATGAAGAAAGTAGCTTACAAAATTACAAGCAATTTTCATGAATAACTTCAAACAAATTAGTCTTAATACCTATAAAAAGTATCACAGCCTTAAAAAAATGATGACAATTAAGTGATGTCAGCAGTATGGCAGAATAGGTGTTTCCATTGCTTGTCATCTCACAGAAATATCAACTTGAAGAACTATCCACACATAAAAATACCTTCACAAGAGCTAAGAAATTCAGATGAGAGATTATGGCATCTGAATGGAGCAGAGAAATCAGCAAAGACACATTGAAGAGGACAAGAATAGTTTTACATTATGCATGTCACCCTTTCCTAAAGCCTATGCAGTTCAGTACAAATAGAGATAGCCTCCATGTAAAGGAAAAGAATAAAGTGAGTCCCTAACTTCATTGCAGGCCCCAGCACCATGCCTACCCCAGTGGATTCCAGAACCAGGCCAGTCCTCATGTCCCCAGACCTCTCTCTGGCCCCCATGGACCCAGCATCCAGGCCCATGTCGCTGCCAAACTAGCCCCTGTAGCCTGTGGCCTCAGGCCTCAGGCTCATTCTAATATCAGACCAGCCCTCACAGCTCCAGGCCTGCTCTGGGCCACCCCAGTGCCAGGAAGGCCCCCATAAGTCAGGCTGCAGGCCAGCCCTAGTAGTCCCAGGCTACTAGGGACTAGAGTTCATGTAAGCCCTCCTACATGAACTCAGGTACGAGGCTCATTCATATGGACCCAATGTCCAGGCCCTCCCCAGTAGACCCAGGCTCCAGGCTTGCCCCTACAAAAAAAGACATCAGATTGACCCCTGTGGACTTAGGCACTAGGCCCATGAACCCACTGACCTAGGCAGCAGGCCAGCCTGCCTGAGGACTCCCGTGGCAAGCCCACTGCAAACCCCAATGGATAACCTGGTCAGAATCTCTGGACAAGCTGTCTGGTGAAGGGCTTTCCTTGCCAGTCTGTAAAGACTGGAAGAAGTGTCTACTTCAAATGCACAGATACCAATACAAGGCCACAAGGATCACAAATAATTAGGGAAACATGATGCTACCCAGGAAACAAAGCACCAGGAACTGACCCTAAGGAAATGAAGATTTCTGAACTGCCTGGCAAATAATTAAAAATAATCACCTTAAAGAGGCTCAATGTGCTCCAAGAGAACACAGATATCAGAAGTTCAACAAAGAGGTAGAAACCATAAAAAGAAATCAATCAGAAACTCAGAAGCTAAAGAGCACAATGATTGAACTAAAAAATTTCACAGAGAACTTCAACACAAACTTGATCAAGCAGAAGAGAGAATCAGCAAGAAAAAAAAGAAACTAAGGAAAAAAACAGGTCATTTGAAATTACTCAGATAAACAAAAAGGAGAAAAAGAATGACAAACGTGGAAAAGCCTACAGCACTTTTGGTACATCAACAAGTAAACCAGTGTATGCATTATTGAGGTCCAAGAAGAAACAGAGAAAGAGAAAGGGGAAGAAAGCTTATTGAAAGATATCATGACAGAAAACTTTTCAAGTTTGGAAAGGGAAATGAATATCCTTATCCATGAAGCCCAAAGAACCCCAAAGATACAGAGATATTCACTGAGACACATCATAATTAAATTCTCAGAAATCAAAGACAGAGAAAGAATTTTGAAAGCACCATGAGAAAAGTGACTCATCACATATATAAGGGTATAAGAATATTTATTCAACAAAGGTGGCAGGAACACACAATAGGAACAGGACATTCTCTTCAATAAATGATACTGAGACAAATCAACTCAAAATTGACTAAAGACTTAAATGTTAAGGGCTGAAACTTTAAAACTACTAGAAGAAAACATAGAGAAAAGCCTTTTTGAAATTGGTTTGGGCAATGATTTCTTGGCTATGACCTCAAAAACACAAGAAACAAAGCAAAAAGAGATTAACAGGATTGCATCAAACTAAAAAGCATTGGCATAGCAAAAGAAACAATCAACAGAATAAAGAGACAACTTATGAAATGGGAGGAAATATTTGCAAACCATACATCTGATAAGGGGTTAATACTCGAAATATATAAGGAATTCAACTCAGCAACTCAGTAAAAGGACAACAAATATTCCAATCTAAAAATGTGCAAAAAACCTGAAAAGACATTTCTCAAAAATAGGAAATACAAATCGCCAAGAAGTATATGAAAAAAATGCTTAATATCGTTAATTATCAGGGAAATGCAAATTAAAACTACAATGAGATATTACCCCATACCATTATAAAATGGCTACTATCAAAAAGGCAAAAAATAGCAAGTATTGACAAGAATATGCAGAAAAGTGAAACGGTACAGCAGTTATGGAAAAGAGTATAAAGATTCCTCAAAAAATTCAAAATATGACTACCATGTGATCCAACAACCTCATTTCTGGGTATATATTCAAAAGAATTAAAATCAGCATATTGAAGATATATCTGCATTCCCATTTTTTAAAAATGGTGTCTCATTCTATTGCTCTCTCATTCGTATTGCAACATTATTCACAATAGCCAAGATGTGAAATCAACCAATCAACCTAAGTGTCCATCTATTTATGAATGGATAAAGAAAATGTGGGTATAGAATAGTATACATATCATATATGTGAATATTATTTATCTTAAAATGAAGAAAATTCTCTCATTTGCAGCAACATGAATGAACTGGGAGGACATTATGCCAAGTGAAATAAGCTAGGCACAGAAAGACAAATGCTTCATGATCTCACTTACATGTAAAATCTTAAAGCCTTAAAATTACAGAAGCAGAGAGTAGAATGGTGGTTGCCGGGGGCTGGATGTGAAGAAACAGGGATGCGTTGGTCAAAGGATACGAAGTTTTAGTTATGAAGAATGAATAAATTCTGGAGATCTAATGTACAATGTAGTGTTTATAATTATTAATATTATGTTGTATACTTTAAATTTGCTAAGAGAGTAAATCTTAAATGTTCTTACCACAAAAATTTAACTATGTGAGGTGATGGATATGATCATTAGGTTGGTTGTGGTAATCACTTCACAATGTATATATAAATCAGTCAAAGCATCATGTTGCACAAAATAAATACATACTTTTTATTTGTCAGTTATACCTCAATAAAGGTGGAAAAATAAATTTTTAAACACTGAATATAGGTAAAGCTAAAAGTTATATGTGGGGATATGGGGAAAGAGTGTATGTTGTGGCTTGGAGCAACAAGTAAAAGGATTACATCTTCATCTTCCACATAGTGTGGTTAAACAGAAAAAAAATAAATATTAAAAAAATCAATTATTTTTACATTGTGTATATAAATATCCAAAGAAGCAGCTAAATTAGTCAAAGTGCTTATCTTTGGGAAATAATAATGGAAGGAGAAGTAAACCAGAGAACTTTGTTTTTCAAAGTTGACCTTGTAGAACCATTTTTGACTTAAAAAATGGATATATGCTGTTTTGATTTTTAAAAATTAATTAAAAAATGATGATCACATTTTGTCTTTAAAAATTTTTGTTTAAAACGTATCCATTTCTTCTCCCCATTTAATATATCTTTTGACCATTTAAAGTATAAAAAAAGAATTTGGACTTAATCTAATGAAGAAGTTTGACCCTAACAAAAGAGAGTAATGGGGTTTAAATTTATGCCACTCTACAAAAAAGAAGTCGAACTCACCCATAGGTAGTGTCATTAGTCTTTTAGGTCTGCATGCCTCTCTCTATGACTTTTCCCAATCTTTGTTTTAATCAATAATCTTGTCTCCAGTCTAACATGGGAATTGTGCTCTCTGGCATAAAATGGGCTACTGAATTACAGTCCTGTGCTATATCACACAGCCTTGCCATTGATAGCATGGAAATACTTCGAAATACTGCTGTCAAAATTTGCAAACTGTCAAGATAAATAAGTTCATTCAGATTATTTATATCTGCTGTTTCTCCCCCTAACCTCATACTTAGAAAATTATATGTGTCTAGTCCTTCTCCAACTTGATTTTATGTCTTTTAGCCTAATACATTGGCAAACCAAATGCATGACTCTGACACCGATAATACTAAGAAGGGCTGAAATGAATTGTTAGAATGAGAGACAGTCACTTTGTTTAGAAGGGAGTGCTCCATGAGCAGTGTGATAACATAGCTCCTTGAAAATCTAGTCAATCACCATTTTATAGTAAAAGCCTATGAATTTTTGTAGCTTGGTGTCTTATTGTCTCTATTCAATAGTTGCTTCTAACTTTTCTGGGCATCCCCAGAAAAGTGGAAACCTCCTGTGAATGAGGCAAATTTAGTAACCTCCAATTAATCAAGCACACTAAGCACATACCACATCTGCAGGAATAAACTAGGTATGGGATTAAAGAGATGTATAGAATTAATTCTTTGCTTAATGTATTTTGCCATTCTATATTTCTTTTTTTTTTTTCAAGAGAGCAAGTCTAAGTCCTCCCTGGAGAATTGTTGAAATAATGCCTAATTTAGGTAACTAAGCATTTTAAGCCTTTCTACACTTTTATAATATTTGTAATTGAAAAAAACCCAGCACCAATATATAAATAATTAATTTACCTTTGAAATACTGCTGTCAGAATTATGATGCAAACTCTGCATCACATTTTTGCATACCTTTTAACCCAGGAAATTCACTTCTAGAAATTTATTTTACGAAAATAATAAGAGATTGAATTGCATGGGTGTTCATGCAAAATAAAAAAGTAAAATGCTCTAAATGCCCAGCATTAAATATTGATTAAATCAAAACAGTGCATGGATATGGTGGGACACTATGCTATCATTAAACATGACATTGTACAAGATTATACATTGACATGAAAAGACACATATAAAGACTTTGTGAAACATGTATAATGTTATTTAAGCTTTGTTGTGACACTCAAGTTTTTTCTTTCTTTTTAGTTTTTCTTATTACTAGAATGAATGCATTTTCTTAAATATTCACCTTTACAGAAGTGACTACACAATTAATGGCTACACACCTCTCCCCACTTATTTCTGCCCAAAGACAACTACTGTTGACATTTTGGTGGATATTCTCCTAGGTTGTTTCATGTATGTCTTTTTCAAATGTAGGATCACACTAAATGCTTCTGAAGCATACTTTTCTTATTTAAAAAATACAGCAGACAGCTTCTAAGTGTGCACCATGTTCTTTTGTAAACATATGTATTTTAAATATATGCACACACATAAAGAGAGAGAAAGAGGCTGTTTAAGGAGTAATTGTTAAGTGGATATGCATGCAACGACCACCAGTTTAAGAAGTAATTTCTAGTTCCCCGGAGAATCTTCATGAGAACTTCTGATTTCATATCTGTCTCCTTCTTCTAGAGTAATCCCTCTCTCTCTATGGTAACTATTCCTTTGCTTTCCTAGATATTAAGTATATGTAAATGTATGTGTAACTCTGTGAATATGTATCTCTGTATAAAATCATTAATTAAATATTTTTAATTTTTTCTGTTCTTGAACTTTATGTAAATGAAATCAAAGGCATATTTTTGTGACTTTATTATTTATTGTGACTTCTTTGTGAGTGATCACTTATGACATTTTAACAATTTTTTTATGCATGTGGCTGTTACATAGCCACATAATATATGTTTACATAGGTCTTATGTACAAGGGAAGGTTCTAAGCACATTATACAGATTATCTTGTTTTATGTCGGGAATAGGTATCATTATTCGTTTCATTTTACAGATTGGGAAACTGAGTTCCAGAAAGGTTAAATAACTTAATGTAGGTCACACAGCTAGTAAGTGGTGTAGATTATATTCTATCCTAAGTTGACTGACTTCATAGTCTGTGATCTTAACCATAGTTCCAACCTGCTTTCTGTTACAGATGAGTATGCTACAGATGCCTTCTGCTTATTTAGGGTTAATGCTTTCATATATTAAGAATCCCCCAAGACTCAATTTCATAAAGATATTTTAAATTATTATCTTAAGGTTTGATGGTTTGCCTTCAGTATTTAAGTGCTTTACCTACCTAATATTGATTCCAGTCTATGGTACAAAGCATGGGTTTAACTTAATTTTTTGACATGTTCAATTGTCTCAACACCTTTTATTAAAAAGCTTATATTTTCCTTATTAATAATATACAATACTAATTCTGTCATATATCAAGTGTCCATTTAATTGCAAATCTGTTTCTAGATCTCTGTTCTGTTCATTTATCTACTTATCTAGTCATGCAACATCCTATATAAAGTTGTTCAGAATAGTCTCTTAATAATTTTAATTTTCTACCAATAGTGGCATATTCTTTTTTATTCCTGATACTGATTATTTTGGTCTCTCTTTTTGTCGGTCTTATCAGAAATCAGAAGTTTAGCAATTTTGTGTCTTTGCAAAGAACCAACTTCTGGCTTTGTTGAATTTCTCTAGTATTATATGTTTGTCTTTTTTTTAATCAATTTCTGCTTTTATCTTTCTTAACTTCATATAATTTCACTACTGTTTTTCTAATTTCTTAAGATGGATGCATAGCTTAGCTTATTAATATTTAGCCTTTTTTTTCTAACAGCATTTTAGGCTACACATTTGTAAGTTCTGTTTTTGGCACATTTAAGTTGTAATATATTTTGTTACTGTTCAGTTTAAAACATTTTTCCTTCTACTAGAAATTCTTTTTGGACCCATAAATTATTTAGAAGTAGGTTTCCAACTTTACAAACTTAGTGTTTTTAAATTACCTTGATATTGATTTTTAAGTTAGTTGTACTGTAAGCAAAGAACTTCGTCATTAGTTTTCCAGTATTTGAAATGCATTGAGTGCTGCTGTAAGGGCCAATATTTAGTCAATTTTGTGAATGTTCCCTTTATTCTTGAAGTGAATATGCATTCTGCAGTTGTTTGCTACACAGCTTATAGGTACAAATTTGATCAAGGTCTTAATTGTGTCCTTCATGTCTTTCATATCTTTATTGTTTCTTGTTGGCTTTATCAATTTTGTGTTAAAAATTTTTCACCATGATTGTAGATCTTGCTGTTTATTGTTGTAGTTCTATAAGGTTTTGCCTAATATATTTTGATGCTATGTGTTATTGATATAAAATTTAACATGGTTTATAGTTTCCCAGGGTGAATTAATGAATACATTACAATAGATTGAACTTCTCTATCTCTAGCAATGGTTTACTTTACCCATGAAGTCCAATTTTTCCCTTATCAATTTAATAATATGTGACTTTATTGCTTAGAATTTATTGGACATATCTTTTTCTATACTGTTATTTTAAGACTTCATAACTGTTTTACTTTAAAGGCATTTTGTAAATGGCATATAATTGAATTTTATTCTACCCTAGACAGATATTCTTTTGCCTGAAAGATTAATTCACTTTTATTAGATATTATTACTTACATATTTGGAGTTGAATCTACCAACGTATTTTGTATTTCCATTTGCTCCATCTTGTCTTACGTCAAATATTAAGTGCCTGTATATGTGATGATCTGTTTCTAGACTCTATATTAACCTACTGTTCTATTTGTTTGTTGTATGTGAGTACCACTGTGTTTTCCTTGCTGAAGCTTTACAATGAGTTTTGACATCCAAGCATATGAATGTAATAATCTTCTTCTTTAAGATTTTCTTTGTTACTTTTTCGCTTTTTACATTTTATTATATATTAAAATCAGATTGGTAATTCTGTGATTTTTGATAGAACTATTTTTTAAATTTAAATTAAAATTTTCATTTGTTTCTTGTTGCTAATGAATAAAAATATAATTTTTGTACACTGGCCTTGTTTCTAGTGATTTTGTTTAATTCACATTTTAATGATTTATATTTACCATGGGAATGATTCGATTGCAAATAGATTCTTCTGTCCTTAGTTTTCTATTTCTTTTTCTTTCCTTATTTCATTGGCACTCTAGAACAATGTCAAACAGAAATGGTGACAAAGAATAGACCTGTTTTATTCCTGATTTTAGGGATAAAATTATATTTCAGCATTAGCTATAGAGTTTCTATAATTTTGTGATTATTTTCTAAGTATGTATAGACATTTTTATCACATTAAGAATTTTTTCCTTCTATTGTTTGCTAAGAATTTAGTCCACAATTACTATTAACATTAAATTGTTATCAAATATTTTCTCATCTATTGAGATCATTATGTAATTTTCTTCTATTATTTCATTAATATGCTAATTTACATTGGTTTTGAATGCCAAATTAATTTTGGATTCCTAACATAAGTTGCACTTTTTCTGACATGTCATTTTTATACTCGTTGAATTCAGATTGTTGATGTTTTTATTTTTTAATTTACAAATAAAAATTATATATATTTATGGTGTACAACATGATGTTTTGATAGATTCTTGATATTTTCTTTAGAATTTTTGCAACTGTATTTGAAAGACATTGTCCTATAATTTATTTTCTCATAATGTTAGAAAACCCTGGCCTCATAGAACAAATTAGAAAGTTCTATTCTTTGGAAAAGTTTGTGAAGATTTATGTTATTTCCTCCATAAATATTTAATAACATTATCTAGTAAATTTATCTAGGATATGGGTTTTCTTTCTGGAAATGTGTTCAAATTATGAATTTGATATTTTCAGAAGATATGGATAGTGGTTTGTGGGAATCTGTTGATACTGACACTGGCTCAGGGTGCATTTTGCACACCTCTTTCTAACTCTCTCCTCAGTGATGTCATGCAAGTAGCTTAAAATTAGCCATTGTGGAAATATTTACAACACAAAAATCAAAAAAAGTGTGGCTTATTTTTTGAGAGCTGAAGGAAAACTTAAATGTTTTCACTTCTTCCTATGTTCATTTTTTAAAGTTGTGATTTCCAAGGCATTTGATTATTTCACCCAAATCTCCAAATTTATTGGCATAAATTTGATCATAAGTGCTTCATTATATTTAATGATCTGCAATAA
Organism: Homo sapiens; assembly: GCF_000001405.40. Taxonomy (NCBI): domain Eukaryota; kingdom Metazoa; phylum Chordata; class Mammalia; order Primates; family Hominidae; genus Homo; species Homo sapiens. The sequence goes on from NC_000001.11 coordinate 74,294,730, forward strand.
TGATCTTTTTCATTACTAATATTATGTATTTGTTCCTTCTCAATATTTTTCCTCAGGTATCTGGTCAGAAATTTTTCAATTTGTAATTATTGTTTGTTTAAAAACCTTTTGTGCTTTTGTTATCTTCTCTATTTTTTTTACTCAATTTCATTGTTTTCTTCTTTTTAACTGTTTCTTTTAGTTTTCTGGGGAAAATATAACTTGGAATTTTTTCTAACTTCTTAAGATGAATTATTAGATTATTTATTTTCATCCTTTTTTTATTGTTTAATATTTACATTTAAGACTATAGTTTTTCATTTAAATACAGGGTTAGTGGTATACCTGAATTTTTATATATTTACACACTCATTCACTTCAAATATTTTCAGATTTCCATTATTATTTGTCTCATGGGTCATTTATTTTTTCATTGCTAAATTTTCAAACATTTTGACAGTTACTAATTATTTTTTTACTTTGATTTGCAGTATAATTGCATTATGCTCAGAAATTATAGTTTGTATTATTGCAATGTTTCAAAATTTGGTGAGGCTTGCTTTATGACCAAGCATATGGTGGATTTTGGCAAATGTTCTCTGCATACATGAAAAATATGTCCATTCTTCAGTTCCTGCTTTAGTTCCCACTTAGGTAATTTTTGTCAATCACATTTTAAAAATTGTCTGTATACTTACTGTTTTACGCATTTGTTCTATCAGTTAATAAAAGAGTTGCTTTAAACTCTCCCACTATAATCATGGATATCTATTTTTTACTTCTATTTCTCAATATTCAAATTATATATTTTAAGCCTATAGTAATAAAATGCCTGTTGATTTAGAATTGCTATATTTTCTTGATTAAATGGCTCCTTTTAAATTATAAAATGTCCCTTTTCATCTTTAGTAATTCTCTTCACCTGAATTTCTACTTTATCTTTTAGCAATATCACTATGCCAGCTTTCTTTTGAATAGTGTTTGCATGACATTTTTCTTTTGATCCTTTTATGTTCAAACTTTTTGCATCTTTATATTTAATTGTGTCTCTTGTAAGAAATATTCGTATTTTAAAATTTGAGACTAATAATATTCCGTCTGTTTATTTAATATTTAATTTATTGGATATATTTGAATTCAAGTATATTGTTTTATTACTTGATTTTGTTGCTCCACCTATTGTTTTTGTTCATTTTCTGTCTTCTTTTAAGTTAAGTATTTTTACTGGTCTCTGAGTGGTCACCTTAGAGATTATACTGTGCATTCTTTACTCATTATAAATTTGGGCCGGGCGCCATGGCTCATTCCTGTAATCCCAGCAGTTTGGGAGTCCAAGGCGGGCGGATCACAAGGTCAGAAGATCGAGACCATCCTGGCTAACACTGTTGAAACCCCGGCACTACTAAAAATACAAAAAATTAGCCGGGCGAGGCGGCGGGCGCCTGTAGTCCCAGCTACTCTGGAGGCTGAGGCAGGAGAATGGTGTGAACCTGGGAGGTGGAGCTTGCAGTGAGCGGAGATCGCGCCACTGTGCTCCAGCCTGGGTGACAGAGCAAGACTCCGTCAAAAAAAAAAAAAAAATCTGATATAACATTGTTCATTAAAGTATAATTAAATTTGCTACTTCCCAAACAGTGAAAGAGCTTTAGGATACTTTAAAGTATACCTCTCACTTTCTTTTATTCTATTTTTGTCATATATTACCTTTTTGTGTATTTATTTAAAATGCTATGTCATAATTATTATTTTTAATATAGACTATTTATTTAGCTTTAAACATATATTTACCCTTTCCATAGCTATTTATTCCATTCTGTGTGTCTGTTATTCTCTCTGGAGTCATGTTGTTCCTGCTTGAAGAATTTCCTTTAACATGTTCTTGAATATTTCCTTTAATGCACATATACTGGGGGTGTATTTTCTGGTTTTGCTTGTTAGAAAAAAAAATGACTTATTCACTATCAATTTTGAAGGATATTTTTAGTGGTTACTGAATTCCGGTTGGACAGGAGTTTGGTCTTGCTTGGTTTTGTTTTCATACTTTAAAGACACAATTCCATTATTTGTGTCAAGCAACCAATCATCAATTTTACTGTTGCTTATTTGATAGTATTGTGTCTTTTAAAAAATCTTGCTATTTTAAATTTTTTTCCGTTGGTGTTATCAGTTTTACCATGATATTCCCAGTGATGATTTTCTTTTTATTTGGAATCCTTCAGATTTGTAGTATTAATTGAATATGTGGCTTCATGTATTTCTTCATTTGAGAAAATCCCTCAGGCATTTCTTCATTTCTTCATTTGAGAAAATATCTCAGGCATTATCTCTTAAAATATTGCTTTATGTGCCATTCTCTCTTTCCTTTCCTCTTGGGACTTGATTTTTTTTTAATTTTAGAAATTTTTTACACTAATATAATACCTTCCCTGTGTTTTCTTTTTCTCTTTGTCTCTGTACTTCAACATAGATCAACACCATACAGTAGAAGTTTCTGTGATGGTGGAAATTCTGCGCTGCTCATTTGGTTACTGTAGTCACATGTTGAATACTTCAAATGTAGCTAGTGTGTTATGGGCTGAACACTGGTATTCCCCCTGATATTCGTATGTTGAAACACGAATCCCCCTTGGGATCATATTTGGTGGTGGGACTTTTGGGAGACCGTAAGATCATAGTAGTGGAGCCCTCATGATGGAATTAAGAAGAGGTAAGAGAGAGCTTGCTTCTTCTCTCTCTTGGCCATGTGAGGAAACCAGGATGAGGGCTCTCACCAGAACCTATCCATGCTTGGCATCTTGTCCAGTGTGTGTGTGCGTGTGTGTGTGTGTGTGTGTGTGTGTGTGTGTATAAATATAATATTTTCTTTATCCATTCACCTGTCAATGGACATTTCAGTTGTTTCCATATCTTGACTACTGTGAATAATGTGCAATGAGCATGGGGGATACAGATATCTCTTCAAATACTGATTTCATTTATTTTCATTTGGGTTTTCTCATAGCATGTCAGGGTAGTCGTATTTCTTATAAGGTGCCTCTGGTCTATAATTTTTTGTATTTCAACAAATAAATAAAAGCTACATGGCCTTTTATGACCTAGCCTTGAAAGTCACATAGCATCACTTTTATTGTACTCTATGGTTAAAACAATCATAAACCCATCCAGTTTCAGAGGGAGGAGAAACTGACTCAACTTCTCAATTGGAGAGTTTCAAAGAAGTTGTCACTATTTTTTTTAGCCTCCAAAGTCTGTTATTTGACTATAATTTATTTACTTTAATCCCATATGCAAAATACATTCTCCTCTTCAGTTTCCCTCCCAAAATCTCATTCCATTACCACACTATGCTCAGATTTCAGGATCTCATCAAATAAGTCAGGTCTAAGTGTGAATGAGGATCCACAGTTTACTTCCTCCACTATGGTTGATCTCATTCTGAATACTAACTAAAGATATCATTTATTTGCCTCTCATATACTCAGCATACAATAGTAGAGTAGGCATAGATATACTTATTCAAAAAGTAAAAATTAGAGGCACACAACATGTAACCTGATACTGAGTTTGAGTATCTTCTTCTCAAAGACTCAAACACTGCAACATAGTCAGGTAGTGTAAATAGTAATGAATGATTGCAGTAAAGTTGTAAGAGCTCTTGGTTACTTATATGAATATATAGGTAAGCATTTTAAAATAAAGAATTGTCATTTGTGTATGTCCGATTTAAGTATAAATGTTTGCACAACTGCAAATTGATAATTGAAATTTTTATCATGATATAAAAATTACACTGATCTTTTGGTCACTCAAATTTGAGAGTTAAATCATCCAAATTTTGAGCTATCATAAATCTGCAATAGACTTTGTCCCAGGTATCTGGTTAAATCATCTTCTGCTGTAGGTTTTTCTCCTTTTCAATCCTCAAATCATAATAACTTTATACTTAATAAGTTTGGACGATGAAAACTGAGGCCTCTTTCACACATACTATATATAATATACTTCCCTGCCTTATGCGGGAGTTGCATCACGGAATAATATTGTGAGGATAAGAGACATGTAGACATCTCATGGCTAATAAATTTTCAACAAATATTTTAGTTGTTTTAATTTTAATTCTGAAGGAATCAGAAAGTGTCCATTTTGGTTTATAAAAAAGCATCAATGTATCTTCTAAAAGTGCCATAAATAAGATACCAGTTGGCAGATTTATTGTTGATCTATGTTTAATTTAAACTTGTTTTTGGAATATAGGAAACACGGTGAAAGGAAACTGACAGCTTTGAAAAGATATATCATCTGAAACTCTATACTACATCACTCATTTTAAATTAAGACTTGATATTCTTCCTGAATTATATTAGAGGTGGAAAGAGACAGAGTGAGGTTTTGTTCTTCAGAGTGGGAAAAACAGAAATTAAAAACCTCCTGAATCATTGATTTCATGAAATATGTCAAATTATTTGCCACTGTAAATGTAGCAGCCTCTACCCTGAAGCGTGCTGATTGGTGACAAATATATGTGTTTAACTGCTTATGGTTACTGGCTTTTGCATCTTTGTGACAGAACATTGAAGTTTATTTTTTGTTTAGAGAATTTACCAGTATACATGAGTGTAATCCTGTTTATCTTGCTATTTTAAATACGTTGTTAGTGTAAGCGTAACATTTTGCAAACATATATCAAATAAGTAGATTAGAATCTTGAAAGACTTTTTTGATACAGTAAATTTCCATGCCAACAGTATATCATTGGCTGAACTATTGTGAAATAAATGTAGCACAGATGAAGCCACCTATCTTTGAAAACAACCTGTATTGAGCGTTTTCAGTATGCCAGGTATTTTCTAAGCACTTTACATTGATTATCTCTTTATATTATCATAACTGCAAAGATAGGTGGTATTATTATCTTCATTATAAACATGAGGAAACTAAGTCACCCTATTGAATGTGAGAATATTCAAGGTGAAGGAAACAGCATAAATAAATTCACAGAGGCAAGAAGCATCATGGTGTATGTAGAAAAATACTAGCAGTTTTATGTGGCTGGACCTTGAAGTTTAACATAACAGGGTTTGGAGAGGATGCTGAAGAGACAGGCAGTGGCTCTTTTATGAAGATATTTGTATGTTATCTTCTAGAGCAATAAGCCAATATTTGCTACATTGTATTAGCTAAATTATTAGTTTATATTTACATATCAACAAATACATACTGTTAAAGATGTACTAAATGGCATATTCATTAAAATTTCATTCATTTTTGTTCATATTCAAGAAGTTTTCAAAACTTTCTAGCTAATTTTATAACTTAGAATCCTATATATTTGCGTCTACCTTGAATTCACTCTTTTGGCTTTAGAATTATCTTCTTTCTTTATCACTTTTGTGGCAGGATTAAATGGCATTTGTCATAATTTTCAAGAAGCAGAAATCTAAGCAACACACTGGACATTTAGGGACATAGTAAGAATGAGAAAATACTTCTGAAAAGACTTTTACTTGGCCAGAGATGCATTAGATCAAGTTTATGGACCACACGATTTGTTTTTCTGTGAGAAAAAATGACTTTAAACAGACACCTACATATGTGCTCACATAGTCATATATTTTACAGTCTATTTAAGTCATTGTATCAGAATCTCGCTTTCTAAGGGTTTTCTTTCAACATAAACATAATTTTTAGGGTTTTATTTAAATATAACTAAGATATATGTTATTGCTGACACTGATGGGAAACTCCCTGAATGGAATTACAGAATTATCATTTTGATGTTAGAAGATCGAAGCAAATAAATGATTTACTAGAGGACAAAGTGAAAGGCAGAAGAGAGCCTAGAGAGCAATATAAAATGCAAAGATCTTAAGCCTAAAGCTTTGGAGCTCAGAGTTTAGTAAAGACCATTCTCCCACTAAAATGTTGAAATAGGATTGAGCAGAATTATTCACAATTCCTGTCCCAGTTTGTAGCTTGTACATCTATTTCATTGTATTTCGTGCATAGACACCAGTTATGAGGCAGTACACTGACTGGTTAAAAGTGTAGGTATGCTCTGGAGGCAAACAAATTTAAATTTAAATGCCAGTTTTGTTGTTTGCTATCTGGCTAGCCTTGGGTGGGGATGAGGTGCTTACTTTATCAAACTCTACATTTCTTTCTCTCTAACGTAATCATAATAACAGGATTGACTTGTTATGTTGTTTTGGGGGAAATGTAACTAAAGAGCCTAGAACCATGACTGATACTGATCTACGAGGTTCTATCTCCTTAATTAAGCATAAATATGTCAATAAAGTGTGAATGTGCATTTCTATGGAGAGATATGCAAGATTTATCTTAAGGATATGACTATGTATAAAATACATACACATATTTCTCTCTTATATGTGTTAGTTAAAAAGGGTAAGGCTGGGTGTGGTGGTTCATGCCTGTAATCCCAGCACTTTGGGAGGCTGAGACGGCGGGATCACCTGAGGTCAGGAGTTTGAGATCATCCTGGCCAACATGGTGAAACCCTGTCTCTACTAAAAATACAAAACTTAGCCAGGCGTGGTGGTGCACGCCAATAGTCCCAGCTACTAGGGAGGCTGAGGCAGGAGAATTGCTGGAACCCAGGAGGCAGAGGTTGCAGTGAGCCGAGATCGAGCCACTGCACCCTAGCCTAGGCAACAGAGCAAGACTCCATCTCAAAAAAAATGATGGGGAGGGGGTTGATATAGGAAATTAAGAATGACCCAGACAATCCTAGAAAAGGTAAAAACAGAAAAAAGATCAATAGCTATCACATCAAATAGTTACATGGAGAGTAGGAATAACTGAAGAATTTCAACTTTATAGATTAGTCACAAGTCCCCTAAAAAAGACTTGATTGCAGAGAATTGATCCATTGTGTCCTGGGAGATATGGCTTCTCAGTGACCCTAATGTAACAGAGCAGCTAACCAAAATCTATGTTCTTTTCTTCCTCCTGGACATTCAGGAAGACTGAATTTTCCTGTCCCACTCACAGTTTGAGGTGGCCTTGCAACTGAATACTCAATGAAGGAGGGGTGCACTATTTCCAGGTGTGGCCTTCAATAACCATACTTGCTTTTCCATGCTATTTCTCCTGTGGTTGACTAGAATAAAACTATCTGTCAGAGGAACCTTGGAAACATTTTAGTAAAGACAGCAGTGACTTCTAAATGACTATGTGGAGGAGAGCCAACATGCCAACCTATTTACCAAGTGCCTATTGGTAAATGTGCAAGAAATGAACTTCCATAGCATACCTTGTTTCACTGCACTTTGCTGTATTGTGCTTTACAGATGTTGCATTTTTATAAATTGAAGGTTAGTGGCAGCTCTGCATCAGTCCAGTCTGTCGGCATCATATTTCTAAAAGCCTGTACTCATTTCATGTCCCTGTGTCACATTTTGATAATTCCCACAATATTTCAAACTTTGTCAATATTATATCTGTGATGGTGATGTGTTGCAATTGTTTTGGGGAGCCATAAACAGTGCCCAGACAAAACGGTGAACTTAATACAAATTTTATGTATTCAGACTAATCCACTGACAGGCCATTTTCCCATCTCTCTTTCTCTCCTTGGGCCTACCTATTCCCTGAGACACAATAATATTGCAATCATGTTAATTAATAACTCTACAATGGCTTCTAAGTGTTCAAGTGAAAGGAAAAATCACATGTCTCTCACTTTAAATCAAAAGCTAGAATAATTAAGGTCAGTGAGAAAGATATGTCAAAAGCTGAGATAGGCCAAAAGGTAGGCCTCTTATGCCAAACAGCCAAGTTGTGAATGCAAAGGAAAAATTCTTGAGGAAAATTGAAAGTGTTATTCCAGTGCACATATGAATGATAAGAAAGCCAAACAGCCTTATTGCTGATACGGAGGAAGTTTTAGCAATATGGATAGAAAGTCGAACTAGTCACAACATTACTTTAAGCCAAAGTTTAATACACAGCAAGGCCCTAACTCTTTTCAATTCTATGAAGGATGAGAGAGATGAGGAAATGCATAAGAAAAGTTTGAAGTTAGCTGAGGTTGGTTCATGAAATTTAAGGAAAGAAGCTATTTCCATAACAAAAGTGCAAGGTGAAGCAACAAGTGCTGATGTAAACACTGAAGCAAATTATATTGAAGACCTGGTTAAGATAAGTGATGAAGGTGGCTACACTAAAAACAATTTTTAATGTAGATGAAACAGTCTTATATTGGAATAAGATGCCATCCAGGACTTTCAGGCTAGAAAGGAGCAGTCAATGCCTGGATTCAAAGCTTCAGAGGACAGGCTGATTCTCTTGTCAGCAACTAATGCAGCAGGTGACTTTACCTAGAAGTGAATGCTCATTTACTATTCTGAAAATCTTAAGTCACTTAAGAACTGTGCTAAATCCACTTTGCCCATGCTCTATGAATGGAACAACAATGCCTGGATGACAGCCCATCTGTTTACAGCATGGTATACTGAATTATTATTATTATTATTATTATTTTGATATGGAGTTTCACTCTTCTGCCCAAGCTGGAGTGAAGTGGCATGATCTTGGCTCACTGCAACCTCCACCCCCAGGTTCAAGTGATTCTCCTGCCACCTGCCACCATGCCCAGATATTTTTTTTCTATTTTTAGTAGAGACAGGGTTTCGCTATGTTGGCCAGGCTGGTCTCTAACTCCTGACCTCATGTGATCTGCCCGCCTTGGTCTCCCAAAGTGCTGGGATTACAGGCATGAGCCACTGTGCTCAGCCGGTATACTGAATATTTTAAGCCCACTGTTGAGACCCACTACTCAGGGAAAAAAAATTCAATTCAAAATATTACTGCTCATTGGCAACATATCTGGTCACCTAAGAGCTCTGATGGAGATGTACAAGAAGGAGATGAATGTTGCTTTCCTGCCTGCAAAAACAATATCCATTCTGTAGCCCATGGACCAAGGAATAATTTCAACTTTCAAGTTTCATTATTTAAGAAATACATTTTGTAAGATTATAGCTGCCATAGATAGTGATTCCTCTGATGGATCTGGGCCAAGGAAATTGAAAATCTTCTGGAATGGGTTCACCATTCTAGATGCCAGTAAGATCATTTGCCATTCATGGGAGGAGGTCAAAATACCTACAGTAACAGGAGTTTGGCAGAAGTTGATTCCAGCCCTCAAGGATGACTTTGAGGGATTTAAGACTTCAGTGGAGGAAGTAACTACAGATGCAGTGGAAAGAGAAAAACTAAAATTACAAATGAAGCCTGAAGGTATGATTGAATTGCCAGACTCTCATGACAAAACTTGATTGGATGAGGAATTCTTCTTATGGATGAACAAAGAAAGTGGTTTCCTAAGATAAAATCTACTCCTGGTGAAGATACTGTGAACAATGCTGAATTGACAAGAGATTCAAAACATTTCTTCAACTTAGTTGATAAAATAGTGGAAGTGCTTGAGAGAATTGACCCAAATTTTGAAAGAAGTTCTACTGTGAGTAAAATGCTATTGAACATCGTTTGCTACAGAGAAATCTTTCATGAAAGAAAGAGTCAATCAATGTGGCAAACCTTAACATTGTCTTATTTTAAGAAGTTTCCAAAGCCATTCCAATCTTCAGCAACACCCACATCAGCAGCCATCAACATCAAGGCAGGATCTTATAGGCAAAATGACTACAACTCACTGAATACTAGGATGATGGTTAGCATTTTTAAATTTTTTAGCAATAAAGTGATGATGATTATTATTACTATCTTTAGACACAGGGTCTTGCACTGTCACCCAGGCTGGAGTGCAGTGGCACAATCATGGCTCACCGTAATCTTGAACTACCAGGCTCACATGAACCTCCTCACTCAGCTTCCAGAGTAGCTAGGACTATGGGTTTGTGCCACCATGCCTGTCTAATTTTTATTTTTTTTTTATAGAAATGGGGTCTCACTATGTTTCCCGGGCTTGTCTCAAACTTCCTGCCTTAACTGATCCTCCTGCTCCAATCTCCCAAAATGCTGGGATCACATGCATGAGCCACTGAACCCAGCTGACAATAAAATATTTTAAATCAAGGTATTACATTGTGTTTTGAGAAATAATACTGTTCATACTTAATGTAATACAGAATAATGTAAGCATAACTATTTTGTGCACTGGGAAACTAAAAAATGTGTGTGACTTATTTTATTGCAAAATTAATTTTATTGCTGTGTTCTGGAACCAAGCCTGAAATATCTTTTAGGTATGCCTACGCTGGATTTGAGACATGTATTTGTGAGTTCATTAGTTACAGTAGCTAGTATTACCCTATTTTAGTTATTAATTATAATAATATGGTAATGAGATATAATGGAATTTAAAATAAGCTAAAGTAGGATATCAGATATCTATTCTTGTTGGACTTTGAGTAAGAAAAAGAGGCATAGGGAGAGGAGTTACAAGTAGGAAAGGGATGTAGAGAAGGTGGGGACCATATTCATGTATTGTGTTTTGGTCAAATTGACAATTTTGATGTTGATTATCAGGCAGGCTGCAAGTAGTGAGGGGTTCTCTAAGAGCCAGGTTGAAGTGACCGCACTGTAGAAGCCTACTTCAGGACTCATTTGAAGCTGACTCACACAGACATTAGGATCAGGAGGTTTTTGGAACATGCTTTCAGGATCAATACCCATGAAGAAAAATAAGGAACCAGTACTGAGCTGGGAAGAATTTGGGTTGTGATGCAGCCTCAATGAAAGCCCAGTCAATCCCATGAAGAGCTCAGAAACTAGAAAACCCTTGAAGCTTTTCCAAGCTGTAAGGAGGGAGCTGTGCTCTTATACTTGCAAAGCAACTAGTCGTTGGTCTCTTTCTGCCAAGTGGAAGGGGCACATGACTTTGAGCAAGGCAGCCGTCTTCAGCCAAGGCAAATCCCCAGAGTGAGGCTGACAGCTAAGGGCTGTGCTGTCTGCTCTTGGCCCAACAGTATTCCCAGAAGCTTGGGGAATACCTTCTTCAGCTATTACAAAGCCATCTCAGTTGATCAAGACCTAGATTCAGTTGGTTAATTTTTAAAATTTGCAAAAGAAAGAACTCATTAAAAATACATATTATAGTTCAATATTTTGTTTTAATTTAATATATAAAATACACATTTATTGTCATACTTTTAATATGGAACCAAAGCTTATTCTTTCTTCTTACTATTTTTAAAATTTTAGTTTCAGGGGGCACATGTGCAGGTTACATGAATATATTGCATAATGCTTGGGTTTGGGCTACTGAATCCATCACCCAAAAAGTGAACGTAGGTAGTTGTTCAGCCATTGTTCACCTCCCTTATTCCTCACTTTTGGAAACCTCAGTGTCTATTTCCATCTTTATATCTGTGTGTCAATTGTTTAGATCCCTCTTATAAGTGAGTACATGGAGTATTTGATTTTTTGTTTCTGAGTTAATTCTAAGTGTTAATTCACTTAACACTTAATTCACTTAAGATATGGCCTCCAGCTCCATCCATGTTGCTGCAGAGGACATAATCTAAACTGGCCATGTAATATTCCATGGTACATATGTACCACATTTTCTTTATCCAATCCATCATTGATAGGCACCTAGATTGATTCCATGACTTTGCTATTGTGAATTGTGCTATGATAAACATATGAGTGCAGGTGTCTCTTTTGTTAGAACAATTTATTTTCTTTTGAGTAGATACCCAGTAATGGGATTGCTGGATCAAATGGTAGTTCTATTTTCAATTTTTGCAAAATCTCCAAACTGCTTTCCACAGGGGCTGAACTAATTTACATTCCCACCAACAGTCTATAAGTGTTTCCTTTTCTCTGCGTCCATGCCAACATGTGTTAGTTTTTGACTTTTTAATAATAGCCATTCTGACTGGTGTCAGATGGCATCTCATGGTGGCTTTAATTTGCATTTCTCTGATGATTAGTAATGTTAGGCATTTTTTCATGTTTCTTGGCCACTTGTATGTCTTCTTTTAAGAAGTGTCTCTTCATGTGCTTTGCCTACTTTTTAATGGGGTTATTTTCTTGTTGGTGGTGATTTAAGTTAAGATATTAATCTTTTGTTGGATGCATAATTTTTTAACATTTTTCCACATTCTGTAGGTTGTCTGTTTACTCTGTTGATAGTTTCTTTTGCTGTGTAGAAGCTCTTTAGTTTGATTAAGTCCCACTTGTTAATTTTTGTTTTTGTTCCATTTGCCTTTGAGGTCTTAATCATAAATTATTTGCCTAGGTCAATTCCCGAAGAGTTTTTAACCAGGTCTTCTCATAGGGCTTTTATAGTTTAAGGTCTTACACTTGTCTTTAACCCATCTTGAATTAAGTTTTGTATGCAGTGAGAGGTAAACGTCCAGTTTTATTCTTCTGAATATGGCTAGCCAGTTTTTCCAGCACCATTTATTGATTAGGATGTCCTTTCTCCATTGTTTATTTTTGGAAATGAAAACACAATACTTGCTACCACAAAAGCACATGTAAGTACAAAGCCCACAAACCCTATAAAGCAACTATACAATTGAGACTGTAGAGCAACTAGCTGCAACACTATGACAGGAACAAAGTCTTACATATCAATATTAACTTTGAACATAAAGGCCTAATTGCTTCTCTTAAAAGACATAGAGTTGCAAATTGGATAAAAATCGAGACCCAACTTTATGCTATATTCAAGAGACCCATCTTGCATGTGATGGGTTTACTTTGACCCCTTAGGCTCAAAGTAACAGGATGGAGAAAGATCTGTCAAGCAAATGAAAAATGAAAAAAGAGCAAGGGTTGCTATTCTTGTATCATATAAAACAAATTTTAAACCAACAACAGTAATAAGGGACAAATAAGGGCATTATATAATGATGAAGGGTTCAAATCAACAATAAGTTTTAACCATCCTAAATATATATTCACCTAACATTGGAGGGAGCATGCTTATTTGTAAAACAATTACTACTAGACCTAAGAAAAGAGATAGACAACCATTCAGTAACAGTGGAGGACGGCCAGGCGTGGTGGCTTAAGCCTGTAATCCCAGCACTTTGGGAGGCCGAGGTCAGGAGATCAAGACCATCCTGGCCAACATGGTGAAACCCAGTCTCTACTAAAAATTCAAAAATTAGCTGGCCTTGGTAGCACATGCCTGTAATCCCAGCTACTCGGAAGGTTGAGGCCGGAGAATCACTTGAACCTGGGAGGCAGAGGTTGCAGTGAGCCGAGATTGTGCCACTGCACTCCAGCCTGAGGACAGAGCAAGACTCCATGTAAAAATATATATATAATAGTAATAATAGTGGAGGACTTCAACATCCAGCCTGGAGACAGAGCAAGACTCCATCTAAAAATATATATATATAATAGTAATAATAGTGGAGGACTTCAACATCCCAGTAATTGCATTAGACAGCTCATCAAGGCAGAAAACCAACAAAGAAATTCTGGACTTCAGTAGCACACTTTACCAAATGAACCTAATAGACATCTACAGAATAAGCCGCCTATCAACCGCAGAATATACATTCTCCTCTGCACAGGGAACATCCTCTAAGATTGACCATAGGCTTAGTCATAAAGCAAGTCTTAATAAATTTCAAAAAACTGAAACTATACCAAGCATCTTCTCAGACCACAGAGGAACAAAATTAGAAATCAATACCAAGGAAAACTCTGAAAACTACACAAATACATGAAAACTAAAAAACTTACTCCTGAATGACTTTTGAATAAATAATGAATTAAGGCAGAAATCAAAAAATTATTTGAAACAATGAAAAGACTCACACCATATCAAAACCTCTGGGCTTCAGTAAAAGCACTGTTATGAGGAAACTTTATACTGGTAAATGCCTACATCAAGAAGATAGAAGGATCTCAAATTAACAGCTTAATGTCACAACTGGAGGAGCTAGAAAAACAAGAACTTAACCTAAAGATAGAAGAAGAAAAGAAACAACTAAAATCAGAGCAGAACTAAATTATATTGAGACCAAAACAATATACAAATAATCAATGAAATGAAAAATTGGCTTTTGAAAGGATAAACAAGATTGATAGGCCACTAGCCAGATTAACAAAGAAAAAAAGAGAGAAGACTCAAATAAGTGAAATCAGAAGTGACAAAAATAACAACAACTGATTCCACAGAAATACAAAAGATTCTAAGGGACCACTATAAATATCTCTGTGTACACAAACTAGAAAACCTTGAGGAAATGGATAAATTCTCAGAAACACACCACCTCCTAAGACTGAACCAGGAAGAAATTGAAACCTCAAACCAAACAATAAAAAATTATGAAACTGAATCAGTGATAGAAAAACTACCAACCATAAAAAGCACTGGACCAGACAGATTCACAGCTGAATTCTTCCAGGTGTAAAAAGAAGAGATAGGCCGGGCGCGGTGGCTCACGCCTGTAATCCCAGCACTTTGGGAGGCCGAGGTGGGCGGATCACGAGGTCAGGAGATCGAGACCATCCTGGCTAACACGGTGAAACCCCGTCTCTACTAAAAATACAAAAAATTAGCCGGGCGAGGTGGCGGGCGCCTGTAGTCCCAGCTACTCGGGAGGCTGAGGCAGGAGAATGGCGTGAACCCCAGGGGGCGGAGCCTGCAGTGAGCCGAGATTGCGCCACTGCACTCCAGCCTGGGCGACAGCGAGACTCTGTCTCAAAAAAAAAAAAAAAGAAGAGATAATATCAATCTTACTGAAACTATTCCAAAAAAATCAAGGAGGAGTAATTCCTCCCTAACTCATTTTAGAAAACTAGTATCACCTTGGATACCAAAATCTGGCAAGTACACAACAAAAAAGTAAAACCACAGGCAAATATTCCTAATTAACATATATATAAAAGTCTTCAACAATATACTAGAAAACTGGATCCAGCAGCACATCAAAAGGATAAATCACCACAACAAAATGGACTTTATTCCTGGGATGCAAGGATGGTTCAACATATGGAAACCAATAAATATGATCCACCACCTAAACAGAATTGACAACCAAGAACAAATTATCATCTCAATAGACACAGAAAAGGCACTTGATAAAATCAAACATCCCTTCATGATAAAAATCCTCAACAAATGAGGCATTGAAGAAACTTACTTCAAAATAGTAAGAGCCATCTATGACAAACTATTACCCAACATCATACTGAAAGGGCAAAAGTTGGAAACATTTTCCCCAAGAACTAGTACAAAACAAGAATGTCTATTCTCACCACTCCTATTCAACATAATACTGGAAGTTGTAGACAGAGCAATTAGGCAAGAGAAAGAAATAAAAGGCATCTAAATGGGAAAAGAGGAAGTCAAATTATCTCTGTTCACTGACCATATGATTTCATATCTAGAAAACCCTAAAGATTCCTCCAAAAGACTCCTAGACCTGATAAATGGCTTCAGTAAAGTTTCAGGATACAAAACTAACATACAAAAATCAGTAGCACTTCTTAATACTAATAATGTTCGAGCTGAGAATCAAATCAAGAATGCAATCCCACTTACAAGAGCCACACACAAAATAAATACATAAATAAAACACCTAGGAGTACATCTAACCAAGAAGGTGAAAGATATCTACAAGGATAACTACAAAACACTGATGAAATAAGTTATAGATGACACAAACAAATGGAAAAATATTCCATGCTCATGGATTGGAGAAATCAATTACTAACATGTCCATACTGCTCCAAGCAATCTGCAGATTCAGTGCAATTCCTTTCAAATTACCAATGTCATTTTTCACAGAAGTAGAAAAAAATTCTAAAACTCACATGGAACCAAAAAATACCCTGAATAGCCAGAGAAGCCTAAGCAAAAAAGAACAAAGCCAGAGGCATCACATGACCCAACTCCAAACTATACTACAAGCCTACAGTAACTAAAATAGTTTGGTACTGGTACAAAGATAGGCATATAGATTAACAGAACACAATAGAAAACCTAGAAATAAAGAATAAAACCATACACTTACAATTAAGCTTTTTTCTTTAAATGCAAGTTGTCAGGTGGGTATTCCTCTTTGTTGATTAAACAACACTTGTAATGGATTATTGTTTTAATGTTTTTTAATGAACTAAGAACTTAAAGATACATGCAAAGGTATCTGAATTTAGAATCTTGGTAAATTTTTTTATAACTATGTCTTCTATCTTTTAGATACTTCTTGTTCACTTAACTTCAGTGAAAGACCACCTCGTTCTATACAGAGGATGGCCAAGTGCTATAACCTCTACTACCTCACTGTACTTTCCTCTCAGTACTTACAGACAAAACAGAGCTAACCTTAAGAAAGCCCTAAGTCAGTTGGTCCCCAGTTAAACATTATTTCTCTTAAAGATATATGTTTCAAATTGTAAATCAGCTTGTTGTTGAATAGATTCATTTTTTGTTTTTATTGTTTTTGCAGTTAACCTCCGGCTGCAAGGATCATTACTTTTGAACTATGTATTGAACTATGTATGGTACATGGCAAATTTGGAGATATTTGATATTTGAAAACATAACTTTTAATCATTATTCTTCTTTCAGAAATGTGAGCAATTAGGAGTTAGAGTGAGTTATACTAATACGTTTTCAGTTGTCATAATCATATAAATTAATTCAGAACTTGTAGGCTTCTAGCTGTCAAGAAAAAAAATCTGTCATATACAGTGAAGATTTTTAAAAATTATTATCTCTAATTAGTTCCCTCCTTATTGAAAAAAGTCATTATTCCAATTATAAGTCCCCTTGGTTCTAATGAACTAGGGCTAGGATTCCATATGTAACATCTTGTATTTTTCTATGAAAATAGCTTAAAATATATTAACACAGAAGAATATGAAACATGAAATATGACAAAAATAGATTCAAGCCTTTCTTCTCAGGATACATTCCCAGGGCACATTTCATGAAGGTATCAAGAACAGTAAATTGTTTTTAGTGTGCTTAGGAAATGTCTGTTATCTGGTCCGAATCTGAAGTCTCTTTGTTCTTGGTGACATTTTATCATGTAAATGGGAGTGAGTCTTGCCACAGGTCTGCAAATGAAATTTTAGCCTGTTTGAGTCTCTCCTCTGAATACTGAAATTTTGTGCAGAAAAATCCTTTGCTTTTTATATAAAGGTATTTGATAAAAGATTATTATAATGTATATTTTTGTTGGTGTGTATTGTGAAATAATTTACAAACTTTATAACATTCTGGCCTAATCATTAGTACTTTAAATATTAACTATGAATATTTGTATTATGCCTCATTAACATTATAAAGTTAACAGCCTTTAAGTTTGATAACCTGTGTGATTTCCATTTCATGTAAGTTGTATTTAGATTCTATGAGTTCTCTGCTCCCTTGCTCTTTTAGAAGATGAACAGCTTTTCTGGGAATGTTGGTTACTATACTTCTTGGGTTGAAAATCACTTATGTTTATTCATTCATTTTTTAAAAAATTATAAAGCATATGGACATGGAAAGAAAGTCGGGGGGAGATACAAATACAGAGAAATTGTGGAACCTCTTTTCTGGAGATTATTAAAAGTAGGATAAATCACTATCAGTCTCATTTGTTAAAAGCAGTCACCTGCCAAAGAGGGCAGTGCCTGGAGGTCCTCCTAGCTTCTTGGTAATCCTCTACTCTGATACATGTTCAACAGTCTTTGACATTGGCTGGTTTGGGTCCAGGGCAATGCTTTTGTTCAGGATACAGGGTTTATCACAGAATATGTTTATGAAATTGCAGCAGAGCTGAGTGTTAAGGGCAAACAAAACATAAGAAAAAGATAAACAGGGTATCTTCTACTGAGATTATTTATGACTGATCTTGCCTTTGCAGGCTGACTGGAAGATGACAATGAGATCTTGTATATTTTTAATCAAAATAAACACAAAGCCGAGAGGAATTTAAATTATTTAATGAGGAGAGATTAAAACAGGAGGCTGACTTCTGATTATTCTGGACTATTTTCTAATTGGCAAAACTGTCCAAGTTAAGCCTTATCAATGATCCTTTTGGCCACCTCTGTCTTGATCATCACCTTGCTGGGATGGTTAGGAAAAGAAGAAATCCTGACATCTCTTCTTTTCACTAGCTACCAATTAAAAATTCCGCATAGGAGAAAGGGGAAATCTTAAAACGGGAGTTGAGGGTTGCTGTTTATTTCCTACAATACTGCTACTGTCTCTTCTATTATTGCCCCTGTTATCTTTGCCCCAATTTTTAAATCTTTGCCTTCCTTGTTTCATCAATGCGGCCACCTGAGCTCCCATGGAAAGGCTCAGTTCTGTTTTAGAACCAATCTGTACCTAGGCAGACAGTATTCAAACAGCCTCAGTCACTTTTTAATCCAGTCTTTTTCAATGAAATTGAGAATGGCTCACTGTCTTGGATCCTAGAGCCTGGGATTCTTCTGGTTTATATCTTTGGAACTTCCTTTACCTCTTTCCTGGATAGCTCCTACATGTTCTCCTAAGATGCAAAATTCAATACAGGCATTATCTCTTTGGGGGACTCACTTCCCATCCCCTCATCCAGTCCCTCCTCTTTGCTCCATAACATGCGATTTATCTCTACCGTTCTTCTCTCACCACGTTGACATCACATATTTTATTTATCCACTCTATACAGTAAACCTAAATCCGGGACCAGGCCTGTCTATCTCCTGTGCTTGGCACAGAGCAGGCATTCATTAGACACTTGGAAGATAATTACAGGTTGACACAGTCTGAAGCCACCCTAGACTCATAATTTTCTGACACCAATTCCCAGGTCTGGCTTTCTGTTTAGGCTCCTCTTTTCCTGTCTTCATTTGGTCAGGCATTTTCCTAAACCTGGAGTCTTGGCTTTTAGAGCCTCACTAAGGTTTAGCAGATTGTCCAGAGGACAATCATCTGCCTGCTGGACTATAGTAGTACTCTTGGGACTCCCAACTACTGCATTCCCTCCATAGATCTAGCACTCAGAGTTGCCCTACAGAGCTAGACTTGCCTTGCTTTCAGACATAGTGCTGAGCATGATTTGGATCCTCTGCTGTCTCAGGGCCTGCCTGGTGAAAAGCTATTCTCTGTACTCTGTGTTGATGCTTTAATCTTAGAGCTGAGGAGTGAATATTTATGAAGAATTTACTTTAGGTAGGGCTTTTGCTTACTTTATTATTATATCATCAAATTTAATCCTCACTTAATGTTATTGATGAGAAAAACAGAGATTAGGTAAATTGTACCAAATCATACAGCTGTTGTTTCAGAGTCTAAATTTTAACCTCTGATAAGACTGAAGTCTTAACCGATATTCTGTAGAGCCCAAGAGAGGGAACCTTTAAGAATATTACCTCAGGGAAGCTGACAGGAGAAAGTTCATTATATATATATATATATATATATATATATATATATGTATATATATGTATATATATGGATTTCAAGTTCTAAAGTTGGCCATTTAAAAGACTTATTCACAGTATTCCCCATATATATATAAATATATATATATTTAACTTTTATTTTAAGTTCAGGGCCTGCTATATTTTTTCATCCATCTTTGGTGATCATTTAGAATATTGCTAAGGGTATATTTCAGAAGAACTAGAAAAGAAAATAGCTGTTTTTCAAAACTTTCAAGGTGTTTTCTTGGTTGATTCTGATTAGCACTGAAATTTTTTTAACTCAAATTTTCTTTAACAAAGAACATTTTGTCAAAATATTTACAACAAATAAAGTCGCTTTCTTTGTTTGTATCTATCTCATTTGCATATTATTGATCTGCTTAAAAATTTGACTAATTTACTTCTCTGAACAGGCTACATAATTTTCAGATCTCAATGAAAAAAATGAAAGTAGAGTCTCTTGTTTAAAAATGGGGGTGTGGACAATTTCAAGACAGCAACAGCAGAACATTAAGTCATGCAGGAAGTCACCCTAAGTACAGCATCCTTTGCAACTGCTTGGGTTGCACAACTTGATGTCATAAACACATTTATAAATATTCCTGAAAATGTTCTTAATAGAGAAGTGATCAAAGTCATAATAAAATGAAATGCTGATAGTGAAAAAATATATATGTAATTGTCTTTGTTTCCTCTAATTTGATTACAATTTGGGTAGAAACATGTTTGTAGTTAGATAATAGTGAAGAGACACCACAGGCTCTTAAACTATAGTTTACATTTTGCTAGAGCTTAGGAAAATGATTTGAGTCATTTATATCTTATACTTAGGAAATAGGTCAAAGGAAGAAAAGCAATTTGAAACTTTTGTTTCTACCTCACTCCCTGCCTATTTTATTATGAAAAAAATCATGAAATGCCTCTACGAAGCCTCTGTTAATTGTGACCAAAATTCAAGCATATGAAGAACATTACCGGAAAGAAAATACAACCCATTATAACCTCTTTGTTACGTGAATGCTGCATATACTCTGTGATTTGCATACAAGTTATTCATGGACAGAAATTAGGTTTTATTTTGATTTAGTAATGTGAATTTGTCACATAATGAAAGAGAGCTTATACCAGCAATTTTACAAGTAAAAGTGTCTTTAGAAGAGAAAAAGTGACCAGAAACAGTGAAGATTCCATTATTAGTCTAGTTTAAATACTATTTCCAAGACTGATATTTAAACACATTATGTATTTTCAGCCCAGTGAAGAACCATTAGAGGATGAATAATATATTTATTGTGTATTTAAAATGTATCACGTATCTCCAAGCAGTAAAATGTATTATTATTGTGTATTTCAGTCAACCAATTAATGCCTACATTTGTATATTACAATGTCAGAGAATTAGTAAGCTGGATGGAGACTTGGTTTGGTAAATGCTGTAGGTTTGGTTCTCTTGGTGTGATTTTGACAAATAAAACCAAGTTTTTGGTTTTTTTTTTTAACTGGATTTGTAGGAAAACAAGATAGCTTGCTCCATTATTATTGCTTTCCTAGAGGCAATTTTGCAGCTATGATTATAAATAAACTTCTATTATCAAGTCTTATTTCCCAAAAGACAGGGGGAAAAAATCTATCATCGATTCTCCTTTGTGTTAGTTTCATAGTTTCTGGCAATATGTAAACCTTAAGAGTTCATGCTATCTGTTTAGACTTTTTAAAGCTTATCTTGACTTTCTAGAAGATTTCTTTTGTGTTCTACATATTTTTCTTCAAGGAAATTTATACTGTAGGAGATATAAAAATAGACTAGGGAAACAGCAAATCAAGTTAATCAACACTTATTGACCACTATGCACAAGGATATAGGATAATTGTAGAAATTGAAAGAAGTATAAAATATAGCTTTATGCCATCTAGGAATTTACAATCTGCTAAAGAAATCAAAATTTGAAATATAATTATATACATTCACTGATTCTTTTACACAATTATTAAACAAATATTTACCAAGCAACTAATAGGTTCCAAGATCTGTGTTCAATGTTGGTAATTTAATGGTGAATAAAATCGCATATAATTCCTAGCCTCACCAAGCTTATGGTCTAGTGAAAAAGACTGGCAATCAAATAATCAACAAGAAACATAAAACTGCCACTAGGATAAAAGCTGTGAGAAAGATCACCATGATGCTATGCCTAAAAGAGGGTAACTTGATCTCCTTTCCTCTGCCTTTTCTCCATTACCCTGTTTTGACATAGTAGCCAGAATGAGATTTTTAAAGTCTATGAGATATGCCACTCTGCTGTTCCAAAGACTTCCCATATTATTCAGAACAAAAGAACTCATTTCCTTTCTAACCTTCATCTCCACTCTTTTTATATTCATTCCTCTTCAACCTTAAGTTTCGTAAGCATGCCAGGCATGCTCCTGCCTTGGGACCTTTGACCTGCTTTTCTCTACCCGGACTTTTCTTCTTTCTCAGTTACTGAATGTCTTACTCCCTTACCTTCATACAGTTCTGGTTCAAATGTAGTTTTCTCAGGGAGGCCCTTCCAGACCATCCTAGCTCTGATACTGTCTAATTGCTTCCCTCTTTTATTATTTTTTTTTTAATTTTTATTTATTTATTTATTTATTTTTGAGACGGAGTCTCTCTCTGTCGCCCAGGCTGGAGTGCAGTGGCACGATCTTGGCTCACTGCAAGCTCCACCTCCTGGGTTCCCGCCATTCTCCTGCCTCAGCCTTCTGAGTAGCTGGGACTACAGGCGCCTGCCACCACGCCCAGCTAATTTTTTTTTTTTTTTTGTATTTTTAGTAGAGACAGGGTTTCACCATGATAGCCGGAATTGTCTCGATCTCCTGACCTCGTGATCTGCCCACCTCGGACTCCCAAACTGCTGGGATTACAGGCGTAAACCACTGTGCCCAGCCTCCTTCTTTTATTTTTCTCCAGCACTGATCATTATATAACACAGTCTATCTTTTATTTCCTTTTCTTTACTGCCTGTCTTCTGGCTAAGATATAAGCTCAACAAACACACATAACTTTGTTTTTGTTTTTCGTTTCATTATTCTCAGTTCCTAACACAGCATCTGCCTGCCACATAGGCAACACAATATTTGCTGAAAGTATATATCCATGGTCATGGAGGTTGGAAGAGAATCACTGAGGAATTGATCACTTGGCTTACAACCTGAGAATCTGAGTAGGTGTTAGTCAAGTAAAGAGAGGAAGAAATAATAATTATAGTATTAGCTGTAGTAGTAACAATTACATATAATGCTTACTATGGATTAAGTGGCTTACAAATATTAACTCTCAATCTTTATAACTGCCCTGCAAGGTAGGTAAAATTATTATTTCCACTTTAGAAATAAGAAGCTGGGGTACAGAGGGAGATTTCTGGGGAGAGGAAATCTAGGTGTAAGGAAATAGCAGGTATAAGAGCTTTCTGGCTGGAGGAAATGCAGTGAGGACACATGAAAAGAGGGTATGTCAGGAACTGAGTTAGGGAATATGGTGGAATGGAAGCCTAGAGAAAATGGCCAGGGACCAGGTGACTAGGAGACTTATTTGTAGAGTGACCACATATTCCTGATTCTTCAGGACACTCCTGCTTTATGTCTGTTTTTCTGGAGTAATTAAGTCAACCCTCTTTTATTCTCAAAGGAGGTTTTCCAGTCTGGGTAGTGGGAATAGAGTCTATCCCTGGACCTGTGTCAGCCCTGGGCACTGTTGCCACTAATTGTCTCTGTTGGTCCATTTCCCAATCAGTAGTAGTTTCTTCAGATGGACCCGCTGATCAATGCGCTGCTGAGTCATCCAGGGGAACCCCCTGCATATCTCTGCTGTTCTTTCTTTGCACAGTTTTCTTGTCTTTGCTAATCTATTTTATGAACTATAGCCACCTCGCTTTCTCCAGACTCTCAACTATGTCTTCTCAAGAAAGGTAGTTTGCCTAGGTCTGTCTGAATTTCCCCTTTTATATCATGGCCTGGAAACTCTCTAAAGATAATAAACTGGGGCAATTGTAGGGCTCATCGAATTTGTTCTCATCGCCTAGGAACTATTGTCCTTCATTGCCTGATGTCCAATTTCATTTGTTGAAAATTAATGCTTCATACATTTAACCCATTTTGAGATTGTCTCAGGTAAGAGTAATCCAGTCCCTGTTACTCCATATTGGATGCATGAAGAAATCCCTAAGGAGCTATTTTAAAATGTAGATTTGTGGTATTGAGAGATTCTGATTCAGTAATTCTGGAGGGGATATCTGTAATAAATTCTTTTTAAAAGCCTCAGTGTGACTCTTAGGTTACCAGGATATTTAATCACTTGTCTAGATAATTAATTCAATAAAGTTCAAGGTCTAAGAAGGCTTTATGAAGAGAGTACACTTCGAATTAGATTTTAAGAATGGATTGAATTTGGCGGGCACATGCTCTGTGCCAGGTGCCAGTGGATGAGCAAATGTTTGAGGAATGGATAAATTGTTTGATCCTCCCCTGTTTGCTTAGAAAACTTCTATTTCACGTTTTAGGTTTATACCTCTCTATAGCTTTCTCTTTCTTCCCCAGACAGAATGTAAAATGTACAGCTTTTTGCCTTTGTTGTGATAGTTCACACATTGTCATCATCAAATTTACATGTACCTTATATCATAGTTATTTTGTTTCTTCCACTAACCTGTATGTTGCTTTGGAGTAATTAATTTATTTTTGACCCCCAGTGCCTAGCACAGTGGTTAGAATAGCTAGGTACTCAAAAATATTTATTGATCTGAGCTGTTGCTCCTCTTTTAATATTTACAAGTAAGTCGTAAGTAACTATTCCAATGTAAAAGTCATTTCCAACCTGGGTGTTTTAAATAGTGAATTGAGAGGCACAATAGTATATTAAACTATTTATTGTTATATAAAACATCACCCCAAAACTTTGTGGCTTAGCAAAACAAACATTTATTATACTGCAGTTTCTATAGGTCAAGAATCTTGGAATGGCTTAGCTGGATCCCCTGGCTTAGGGAGTATCTCTCAGAAGACTGCAGTAAAAGTGTCGGGTGAGGCTGTAGCCATGTCAGTGAGTGTTTGGAAGATAATCCACTTCCATGCTTCTTCACATGGACTTTGGCAGGCTTTAAGTGCATACTTGCTGCTATCCAGAGGCATCAAAGTTACCATGTGTTTCTATCCATAGGGCAGTTCACAACAAGGCACCTGAGGGAGAGGTCAAGAGAGTATAAGACAAAATCATAATCTTGTTGTAACCTATTCTTGGAAGTGACATTTTATAACTTTTGTATATTTTAGTTGTTAGAAATAAGTCATTAATTATGTCAACCCCAAACTCAAGGGAACTACTTAGCCTCATGTAGAAGCAATACCACTTATATTTTATCCAAGACAATATCAAATATATAGAGAGATGGATTCATAGAGAGATGGATTCATAGAGAGATTACTTGTTATGTCTCGAAGATATGGACTCCATTACCCCAGGAAACTTAGCATGATGCTATACTCATGTTTTGGCCTCATCTTCATCTAGGAGCAAACATGGCCTGGCAAGTAGATATGGTAGCAATGCTATTCTCCAAAAAGTAACAACTCTTTTCTGTGGAACAATGATTTTCAATATGTATTCTCTGATGTCTAAGGTTCCAGTGGTACCTTGGAAGTCATGCAGGGAACAAGAAACGGGTGCTGGGTTATGCCCCCTACTATTAGGTGCCACCTAGCTCTACTCTGTCATAGTACTCAGGTTGAGTTCTGAGTTCATTGAATAAAAGTGTGAAAATATTTGAAACTTTTGGAAAACTTGGCTCCAAGAGCAATGGTTTTTGACCATAGCATAGCATAGCAGTTTAGTCATATGAGCTCTGGAGCAAGCCTGCATAGTGTGTTTGTATACAGGTTCTGCCATTTCCTAGCCATGTGTTGGGTTATAGAAGTCTGGGTTTGAGTCCCATCTGCAATTATATCTTGTTCATTTCTGTTTCTGAAGCCAAAACTACTTGGGCGCGTGTGATATTGTGCTTCTTTTTATTTTTATTGTAGGCTTCTATTATTTAGCCACCCTGTATTTACCTTAACATGGTTTAATATAACCAACGGAATGGTTGATACATTTACCACCATTATGCTTACTATTTTCCTTCCCAATAATAGGTTTCTGACTAGATGATGTGTGTTCTTCATTTTGATAAACTCTTCCTCAGAAAGAAAATTATCCATAATCCATTTCTGTATCTGTCAAAGCATAGTGTTTCATAACCAGTTAAACATTTTTACAACTGTGGAAGCACCAATTTCATGGAATCACTTATTCTAAAATTTTTGCAGACCAACATTTTCAATTTTATTGTTAAATAGTCTGTAAGGTACAACTGATTACACACATCTGCTGTCCTAAAATAAATTAAGAAAGTATCTTGCAATATATTAAATAGTCAGTTTTCTGGTTTTATTAATGAAGGAGTTCCAAAAAAGGCACACACTTCATATTCTACACATGTACTTGCAACAAGATTAACCCTTGAGCCCAAGATTTAATTGTTAATGTTGTCTTTTTTGTTTTATATTCCAGCTGCTTGATACTCATTAACCAATGACATAACGTTTAGAATTTTTATTACTTAGTCTGTGTAAGACGCAAAATCTTTGTGTCCCTTCTTATGTCTTATTAGATGACTCCAACTCACCTTTTGAGTGTAATTTAGAAGTTGATTTTTCAAGTAGAGGCAAATCACTTTGGTTTTCAAAATACTTTTGGCAGAAGATATTTTTTCTGAAAAAAGAGAGGAACAGGTGAGTTGAGTAGGGGGGAGGAAAGTCATGAAAAAAACTGTTGTCAGATGCTACTTTCATTCCTCTGTAATGTGAGGTTGAAGATAGGTGCAATGTGAGGAGGAATGTGAGAAGGAGGGAGTTTAACTTGTACTCCAGTTTCCAAGTTTGAGCAGTTGCAATGTAGTGAAAACTGTGGGGCCTGTGGCAATTTATATAAATAAATCCCTAAAACAGAATTTTGGCTTTTAAAATGCATAGAACATGATGTGGTCATAGCATCATGAACATTGAAAGCCTGTTTTCTCAGCCAGGGACTTTAAAATAAGAGCTCCACATAAGAGAATGATGGGGGAAAAATGTATACATCTAATGAAGCAAATAGCACAGCAAGATGATGGTTAACTGAACAACACAGAAAATCTGCCTTTCTTTTCTTACAAATATCTCTTTGGTGGGCTCCCTTGACAGGCATTCTTTTGTTCTCTGCTTCTTAGATGAGTCTTTTCTTTCGCTTTCTGGCTCCCTTCCTCCCCAGTTTTAAACCATAAATATCCTACAAATATCTCCTCTTACTTTAGTGAAAGGATGTTACTTGCTAGTTTCAATTATTACCTCTATAAAATGATATCACTTGTATCTTCAGCCTTGCCCTCATCTCACTTCTCCTCCCTCTCTCTATCCATCAGCTTTTCTGCTTGTATTCTCATCACTTCCTGAGAAGTGATGCTAAATTTATATAACTGATGAAATTATTTTATATACATAAGTTAGTGTGTGTCTCTAAGTTTTATTTCCATGACTTTTTAGAGCTTCCTTTTAATTTCTTTTATGATATTATCTTGTGGAATCATCTTCTGTGTAATTTTAAGATCCAATTTAATTTTAACCTGTGATAATAAGAGAAAGATCACATAAAAAGACCTCATTTCTGTGACAGCCTGAAGAAACTATTTTCCAATAGATTTTTGTACTCAAATACTTAATTAGAGATATGTCAAGAAAATAATAGTCATTACAAAAATATTCAACCAATGTTATAACTGAAAAACTCTGTAATCACATGACATAGAGAAATCTCAGCTAACGTTTGTAATGGTTGTCAAGGAGTGGAGATTATATAAATATATAAATTAAAAATAGAAAAGCCTATAGAAATTAGAGCATAGAGTCAAAAAAGGGCGTGGTAACTCTAAAGCAAATGTTACCATCTAAAATGCTTTCTAAGCAATATAAGCCTTCAATACAAATGGGTAAACAATTCCTGGTAATTTTAATTGACATAGCTTTCAGTTCATTTGTTTGAAACCTTGAGAATTATGTTCAAATCTTGATTGAGAGATTGACCCCAATGGAAACAGTTTGTGGTGTTGAATAAGAGCACAGTTCTGCCAAGGGTAACCAAAATAAACTAGCTATTACAAGTAATTAAGAGACAAAAATTCAAGGTGATTTTCCTACTTTGTAAGTTCATGAAGTAAACAAAGTTTTATCTTCATGTTCATCTCCCCTTGTAGGCATCCTCTTTTATAGTCATTTGTTGACCATTTCTTCTCATCTTTACTTATCACCAGCCTCCCATATGTTGTCATTCTGACTAATTCTACCTTTTTTTTTTTTTTTTTGTCATGGAGTCTCACTCTGTTGCCCAGGCTGGAGTGCAGTGGCACCATCTCGGCTCACGGCAACCTCCACCTCCCAGGTTCAAGCAATTCTTCTGCTTCAACCTCCTGAGTATCTGGGAGTACAGGTGCACATCGCCACGCCCAGCTAATTTTTTGTATTTTAGTAGAGATGGGGTTTCACCATGTTGTCCAGGCTGGTCTAAAACTCCTCAGCTCAGGCAGTCTGCCCACCTCGGCCTCCCAAAGTGCTAGGATCACAGGCACTTTGCTGGGCGATTCTACCATCTTAATATATCTGAAATCCATTCTCCATCTCCAGGCCAACACTACTACCTCAGCTCATTTTATTCTTATCTCTTAAAAACAAAACAAAACAAAACTTACTGCAGGATGTTACTCACTGATTACCTGTTTCCAGTCTTGTTCTTTCTTCAATCCATTCAATCCATACAGTTTTCCTAGAAAGATCCTTCTAAGATGCAAATTAAACATGTTTTACTCTTTCTTAAAGTCTCTTGGTGCATCTCTATATGGAAAAATTGCTAAAATTCTCATTTTAATATATAAGACTCTGCAAGACCCTTAACATATGACTTAGAATATGTTTAACTTTTTTTTTCAGTCAAGTGCAAACAATTATATAATCATGGTCCTTTTTACAAATATGCTGGTAATATGACTATCACTGAACAACCTTTGAAAAGCTGTCTCCACAATAGAACTTTCTGCAATGGGAAGGAATTACTAGCTGGCCCCAAATAATGCCACATAAGACAAAAAGCAGCATGGGTGCCTTTTGGTGCCTTTGTGCTCTCATAAACCTGAGTTTAAACTTAAGTGTTTTTCCTTACAAGCTGTAAACCTCTGAGCTTCACTGTCCTTATCTTTAAAATGCGGCTATTAATAACAATTCAGTATGATTGTTGTGAACATTAAATGAAATAGATATTCTTGGCCCACTAGCACACATTTTTTTTTTTGCCTTCTAATGCTTCATTCAAAATAACAAGAATCAAAAGGCAAGTGGTAAAGATTTGATCAATGCAAAGACAATATCAGCCGAGGGCAAAGGTGGCTGGGAAATAGGGAAAAGATACAAAACAGGACTATCAGTTGCCAAAGAAGGTAGATCCAGTATTGGAGGAAGTCTAAGAAAAACACGTGTGTGTGTGTGTTTGTGTGTGTGTGTTTCTAGTAGCAGGAGTAGAAGTAGTAGTCTTAGATGAAATCAATCAAGGATATGTAGAGCAAAATATCTATAGCTATCACTTCTGGAATATTTATTCTTATATACTAAGCATTGTGCTAAGTGCTTTACATGTATTAATTAATACAAAAGAATTACAGGAAACAAAGGAGAACAAAAGGAAACACAAATGTCAGTGAGGAAAAGCAACACTTAAGAGATGAACCGAAAAAGCCATTTCTATGGAGGAATAATAATAAGTAGGCAGAGAGGTAGAAAGAAAACTCGAAAATTGTGGTGTCAAGCAATCTAAGGGAGAATAAAATCTTAAGGAAGAAGTAGACAATAGTAACAAATGCTGGATAAACAGTCAAATAAGGAAAAGGTCATAATTTGGTCTTGAGGTCTCCCTCACAAGAGGACTATAAATATTAGTCCTGCCCTGACAGGGCTTCAAGATAAAGCTACTTCTTTATCTTGGCAGATAGCCAAATACCTAAGTGTCCAATTTGTGACCAGTTGCTTCTCTCACAGGAAACTTGTTGATATTTACAGACCTCCTTGTGGCTCTTATCTGACCTGTGTCCAGTATTTTCCTACAAGGAGGGTCACTCTTTAGGAGAGCCCTGACTTAGAAAACAGGCTCAATATGTCAGTCAGGTGAGATACAGAGGAGGCAACTCAACAAAGCACATGAAATAACAGAAGCTGTCAACTGCAAACAGTAACATAGTCATGATCCTTTTTACAAATATGCTGCCAATATGATGATCACTGAAATACCTTTGAAAAGCTATCTGCTCAATAGGACTTTCTGCGGCGGGAAGGAATTACTAGCTGGTCCCAAATAAAACCACATAAGACAAAAAGAAGCATGTGTGCTTTTTGGTGCCTTTGTGCTCCCATAAACCTGAGTTTATAAGATAAACTTACAGATCTCAGAAAGAAGAGGGCAGCACACCTTACAGGGCCAGTGGGAAGTGGGGCCAGGGACAGTTCAGGACACATACACTCAACCAGCACGTGGGGAGCAAGAGAGAGAAAGAGAGACCATTATGCTAAAGCTTTTATTGGGTTCCAATAAGGATCCAACAGTTACACAAGTGGGTTTCCTGAGGGAAGTTCTAATTAATGGCTTTAGAGTAAGCAGGCACTAGCTCTGTGGGGCCTTGCTGTGATTGAGAGGGATCACTGCTGCTTATCTGCTGCTCAGTTGTGCTAGGTGTGAGCATCAGAGGAGCAAGCCAAGTAGATTATTGTAGGAGATCGATCAGAGTGGTGGGAGAAACTATAGGGAAAGGAGCAGACCTTCTGAAAGGTCAGAAGGCTCTGCATACCTTCGGGGAAGAATAAGCTGAAGTCAGCTGTTCTCTGACACTGAGGCAGAGGGCAAGGAGTAGGTACAAGTAAGTGTGGGGGAATTAATCTTAAACAGGCTTGTTTATTTATGTTGACCAGGAACTGACCTTTGATCATCCGCATGCATGAGTTTCTGTGAAAGGGGAACAATAAATGTTACTTACCCACAGACTGTGTTTGCTCCAGGCTTTTGGAGTTATGTCTACACTGAATAAAAGCAAGCAGCTTGCACTTTGGCCACTAGAGCCCTGCAGACCCCTAGCTGCTCTTACACTGCATACCTGTGTCTGAGTACTCCCCTTTCATCCATCGCTCAGCCAGGTCTGTGGGACGGACCTGGTGATTATGTCTAGCTGTCCCATAGGGAGAGGGTCACCAGGAGATTGTCATACATGGCAGGTATCTGGATCAACTACATTGAGGAACTGGGAAGAGGCAGAGAATTAGAAACTGTGTCCCTGGTGACTAAGTCCTGCTTGTGGTATAAGAAAACTTATATTCAAAATGAATCCTGAGAAAACGTAAAATTATAAGAATCCACTACAGGCTAAAAAGCATCCATGAGAATGGGCAATTAGGGGGCCTTTGATGTCATTTTCCAGAGAAATATCCCTGGAGTGGTGAGTTCTAAAGACAGATTGTAGTGGGCTGAGGAGTGAATAGGAGGTGAGGAAAGGTAGAGGAAAGTTGGAGATGACTCTTTAAAAAATTGTCTACGAAGTTTAGGAGGAAGGACAATAGTTGGAGGGGACCATAATTGAGAACTGGTTATTGAATGTCAGAACTGAAAATAACTGGAAAAAATATCAATCCTAAATCAACTTTCATGCTAATGTCTTTAGGATCATTTTGAATTGATAAGTCATCACTTTGGAAAAACAATTTTTCCTCTAAAGCTTTACTAATGCAGATTTTTCCACTAAATGGAAATGGGTGTCATCCCAATACAGCTTCATTGTTCTTCTCTCTATAAATCTCAATAATAAAGGTGAGACACAGGCATAGAGAAGAGAAAATTGTAGCTTTAAGCAAACTGTAAATCTTAAGGAAAACATTGGTATAAGCATGAATTTGAAGAAGATCCAAAGAAATAATAGAAAATAAAATACCACTTAAAGCAAAGAAAAATTTAATTTCCAAGTGTAGATATTTATTGAAAGTCTGCTAGGTATGAGACACTGTATTTGGTTTGGCAATTTCAACTGAGATTGATTGCCATTTTATTTCATCTAGAATTTACCCTATTCTATTTTCTCTTCCATGGGACATTTGGTTCCTCTTTATACGGTCATTCTTTTTTCTCCTTTAACCCTGCCCAATGACTTCCTTAAAATAAAAGAGAGGGAGCTAAATGGAACCAAGTCAAATAAGTTAAAGTTATACTGTAGCAAAAACATTTAACAAGAAATAACAGTGAGGCCCTTTGTTATTATAGGCATTACTTTTGGAATTTCTGAGATTTTAAATAAGGTCTGGCTATTTTAGTTATAAGGATTAAATTTCAGGGCCTCAGGTGAAAAATCCTTTTACCTGGAGTCAAAACTTCTTACACTTTATAGAGACAACTTTGGAACATAAGTTTAAAATTTTATGAAAGAGTGATTTACCCACAGTGTTAATTACCAGAAAGATTACATTGTGTCACTAAGTTTTATAGGCATTCAGAAAATAAGTGATTAATACAATGACCTATTTTCAAAAGCTTTTCATGGAGAACATGAGAACTGAGCTTGGTCATGAGACTGGGTGTGTGGCAAACAGAGAAAGAGAAGGGAAGACATTCTAAAAAGAAAAAGCAGGCTCATGCCTGTAATCCCAGTACTTTGGGAGGCCAAGGTGGGCGGATCATGAAATCTAGACCATCCTTGCCAACATAGTGAAAACCTGTCTCTACTAAAAATACAAAAATTAGCTGGGCGTGGTGGTGCACAACTGTAGTCCCAGCTACTCAGGAGGCTGAGGCAGGAGAATTGCTTAAACCTGGGAGGTGGAGGTTGCAGTGAGCCGAGATTGCGCCACTGCACTTCAGCCTGGAGACAGAGCAAGACTCCGTGTCAAAAAAAAAAAAAAAAGGAAAAAGAAAAAGCAGAATGTGCAAATCGTGTTTAAATTACAAGCTAGAAACTGGAGGAACTTCACTTGGATGTTTTTTGAGAGTCAACTGGTAAATAAAAATATTGTAAAGGGTAATTCATACAGTAATTGTTATACTATCAAAATAAAGAGCTCTGACTTATTTTCTGTGCTCATAAAACAACCACTTAATGGGAGACAATTTATAGTCCTTATCCTTCCATCAGTGAAAAGTACCAAGTTACCAGCCCATATTTAAATCTTAGTTCTTTGATAATAATACTACTGATATATATATTTAATAATATTTATATAGATATATTTTATAATACTGAGATATAAAATACTGCTACTGAGATATATATATATCTCAGTATTATTCTTATATATGTATTTCAGTAGTAGCATTTAATATATATATCTCAGTATTTTATATATTGAGTATATATAATATATATCTCAGTAGTAGTTTTTTAATATATATATATCAGTGGTATTATTATATATTACTATTATATTAATAGTATTATTATATGTCAGATATGTCTTTTTATATATCAGTACTATTATTATTAAATATAATCATATATTTATATAAATATATATTCTATACATTTAATAATATTAAACACATATTTAATAATAATATTAAGATGTATATTTATGTCAGTTATATAAATCTAAGTATGATACAATTTATATCCTTAAAGTGTTTAAAGATTTATATCCTTAAAGTATATTAAGATAGCTGTCATAAAATCTGTTTCTAGTTTAAAATTTTACTAGTTATTTTTTTCTGAGAAAAAAAATCATGACCATATAGTCTCACAAAAAAATTCAAAATAACAGAATATATACCATGCAAAAATGTTAATAATATATTTAAAACTCCAATAACAGGTCTTGGAATATAGCAAACACTTGAGATTTGCTGAAGGTTAATTTGAAATCAATTATCAATAAATGTTTGATGAATTGAATTATTTAAAAATTCTATCATATAATTAAGTCCTAATTATTAATGTTTATATTACCTTATGCCTGGTGGCATATATACCTTCCAAATTTGTACTTTAACTGTACTGGAAATACATCCAATTTAACAATTATTGGATGCCTATTACCTACCTACCATAGTAGGGAACAAAATAGATTCAGTCTGTGACTTCACAAGAGTTTCATGTAGTGGAAAGAGTGTGAAGTTGATTTACCAACTTTTTCAGGTTCTGAAGCAGATGAATCATGAGTAAAATAACTTGATAGGTATATATTGAAGCCTAAATGTTGGTATGAGTGTACTTGTCTTAGTCCACGTGACGGACAATATACCATATTCCCGTTAGAATGCTGGGAGATACTCTCCCCATCATTACTCCAAAGGTCATACAAATTAGTACATGAATTCTACTCATTAGCTAAAATCAGATAATTCTAAAATGCATTGCTCTCAATGGTTAAATATTTTCTTGAATTTTAAAACAAACTAAGTAAAGCCTACAATTCAAAAATGACTCTGTATGGTTTCATTAAAACTTACATTTTGACACTTTCTCAGAAAACCAACACTTCATAATTAATGAATGTTCAGCCAAATGTTGACCTTCTGAATAACTGGAGAAGTGCAAACTTAGGAGGAAAAAAAATGGCTTTAAACTGTTTATTAAAGCCTAAGAACTCTTATCTTTTAGAATGAAAGTTGTGGAAGCATGCCTAAGAAATTGGCTCTATAGGTTAACATTTGAAAGTCCGTTTTGCATAAAAATTCATGCTGTCTACTTTATGCTATATTTAAAATAAGAGGAATTGTAAAAAGCTTAATCTACCTTGATTGCTAGGGGCCTCCTTCAAAGGTTCCTGAGATTCCCAGGCATGTGAAGCCTAAAGATACCAAGCTCTTGTTATAAATGGCTTCAGCATTCATTTTCAGTCTAAATCTATGGAGCCTCTACTGACAGATGGCTTCTTCCTATCTGGGATTGAATTAGTTACTTTATTTACTTAAAGGTTAGTGTTAATAAAATCAAGGTCAGAGGAGTGGACTGGTAAAAACAAGATTTGATGTCAAACAGACCTGGTTTTGAATTTCACTTCTGCTCCCCAGAGGTTCAGTTTCTTCATCTTTAAAATGGAGAGGAGCACCTCTTTCTGTGTTTTGGCATGAAACAGAGTAGACTTTGATTACCACTGATACACTTGTTTCTGGGCCTGATACATAATAGTCCCTCAATAAAAGCTCATTGTGGTTTTAATTTTTGTATTATAAAAACAGCTCACTGTACACAATGTGTATTCTCCTGATCATTAGTCAGCAATATTCAAGTATTAACAAAGAAAATTGTTGTGAGAATGTATAGAAGCCTATGTACCTGCTTATATTTGGACCCATCAGAAATTTCGGATTTTTCAATAAAAATTCGTGATTTTATATGACAACTATTAGCATCTCCAATGCTATCCCCGAGTGAATAAATTATGAGGTAAGCATGTAAAATAATAGTTTTGGCTCATATTTGCTCAATAAATTGTGTTTAATGGATGAATAGGTGATTAAAAATTAACTATTTCAAACTATGAAGCACTCAGAAACAAAGCTTGAGGCAAGAGACTAAAGATTTAGTTTCCTATTGACACTGACTTGCTCTATGACCTGGAAAAATTTCTTAATTCCTGGTTCTCCATTTTTTTATCTTTAAAATGTAAGGGTTTGATATGTAATGTCCACAGTCCCTCCCTAGTTCTGTAGGTCTATGATTCACACAATTGACAAAACATGACTTAAGCGGCAATTTGTTCATATAAACAGAAGAGGTGATAGGACATAAGTCCCTTGAGCTCTTAAATTCCATCTTTCTGTTTTCTCTTCTAATAGACTTTTGAAAAAATTTCAAAATGTGTAATATTTGACCAACTGAAGAATAGACAGTACATTAGCAAAGTCCACAATGAAAATGAACACATTTGAAGGAAATTATTTCAATGTGTTGAACAGAAAAGAGAGACTCGAAGACAGGTATTTAGGAGAAGAAATTGGAAATATTAACAAGTTTGTTGTGAAAGGTAGCAAAATATGCTTCCCCAAAATAGGCTACTTTGGCGTATTGATTATTTTGAGCTACAGAAAATTGAAAAGAAACAGATATAGGAACTCTTTGCTCTCCCTCTATTTGCCTAAAAGAGGGACATAAATTTATGAAGGATTCCTTTCTGTCTTCTCTACCAGAAAGGATAGAAGTTAATCACAAGAGATAACTCTAGACACTTATCAGCCCAGAGAAGTCACCAGAGGAATCTATATAAGAAACTTTGCTAAAACTAACTTTTATTTTCCATTAGTTTCCTCCATATATTTACCTTCCCCCAATTTGTTGCCAGTAGAAGTTCAAAGTTATTTTTCTTTGTCTTATTACTGCTCTACAAAGTTATTGTAAATTTTTGTTAAGATTATAGATGAGACCAAGTTCTAACTACTACTTGGAGTTACTCATCACTGAGTAGTCCCATTTATGTGCAATACACATGTTAATAAACTCCTGATTGTTTTTCTCTTATTTATCTGCCTTTTTGTCAGTCTAATTTATATGGCCTCAGCCAATAAACCTAAAATGGATAGAAAAAATATTTTTTTTCTCCCCTACAAATACCAATCTATGGCTTTCCATGATGACAATTGGCCAACAGTTCCTGGTAGGGTTTTTCATTTGTTCATTCATTTCTTCAACAAATATTTATTGTATGATTGTTATTTGCATGATCACATGCTAGAGTAAGAGTATAAAGATGAATCTGACATACACTTTGTCCTTAAAGAAATTTCTCTTTAGTAAGGATGGTAAGGTATGTATATAAATAGAAAAATGTTCTAAATTATATGAGTGAAAGTTATATGAGATTTATGAGAAGGTAACATTTAATTTCAGCCAGGCAGATGGCAATGAAGGGAGGGAAATTGAGGAAATCTGGGAGGAGATGGCATTTTAGCTGGAGATAAAGCATGAATATATGAGGCAGAAGGACATTTCTGGCTGAAGAAATAATGTGAACAAAGCCTCAAAGGAGCAGGAAGCTGGATGCAGTTTGACTCTACAATTGGGTTTAGGAAAGAGACTAATGAGAAATACATTTAAAACAAACACTGTCAGATTGAAGGGACCTTGAATGTCATACTAAGGAAATTTAGTCTTTATCTTTCATAAAAAAACAGGACACTGGAGGTCTTGGATAAGGTGGATGGAAGAAAGTTGTGTTTTAGGGTGGCAACTCCTGATGAAGATTTGTGCATGGTGGTTGTAAACTGAATCTTAATAGGCAGATAACTCAACTGAAGTTCTTAACCATAATCATTTTCTTGTCCAGGCTGCTGATGTGCTGTTGCAACATGGAGCTAATGTCAATATTCAAGATGCAGTTTTTTTCACTCCATTGCATATTGCAGCGTACTATGGACATGAACAGGTAAGTCTGACAGTAGGATTTCCAAAGGTTAGGTGTTGCTTAAGTGTAGGCTTTTGTTGAATTGTCCTAGCTTCAAAGAGTTTATATTTAAAATATATTTGAATTATTTTTGCCATATTCTCATCAACCCATCCTTGAGGAGCTTGTAGATCCATATAAGCATTACGGTTGTCATGTTACTCATTTTTGCTGATGATCTTATTACACAAAGAGGCAGAAAAGTACATTGGTAAGTGTGTGGCCTCAGGAATCAGTCAGCCTAAATTTGAAAAATTCCTAGTGTTTTGACCAGGTGTAGGTTATGTAATCCCTCTGATCTTCATTTATTCACCTATAAAATGGGGAAAGATATTAATTATAACCTCATAGGGTTGCTGTTAGGATGCAATATAAATTGTTTGGAAAATGCTCAGTAAATATAGCTGTGATGATGCTAATGGCAATAACAATAAAACAACTCATAAAGGCTCTATAAAAACAATTACTAATGTGCTTTATAATTTACTTTAAATATGTGATTCTATAACAGGTCCATATTTATAAAATTTTATTTTCTGTAATAATATATATAGAAACTTTAAAGTTTTTAACATACTTTTGTTCAATACATGATTTTTATTTAACCTTCACAACTTTATGAAATTAATGAATTGCCACATGACTGAGCTTATACTATGGGATAGGCACTATGATAGAACCTTTATCTTTTTTTCTAATTTTTCCACAACCCTGAAATTGGCTATTTGCCCTTTTTTTTTTTTCTTTTTTGTGAGACGGAGTATTGCTCTGTCGCCCAGGCTGGAGTGCAGTGGCTCGATCTCGGCTCACTGCAAGCTCCGCCTCCTGGGTTCACGCCATTCTCCTGCCTCAGCCTCCCAAGTAGCTGAGACTACAGGCACCTGCCACCACGCCTGACTAATTTTTTGTATATTTAGTAGAGACGGGGTTTCACCATGTTAGCCAGGATGGTCTCGATCTCCTGACCTCGTGATCCTCCTGCCTCGGCCTCCTGAAGTCCTGGGATTACAGGTGTGAGCCACCATGCCCAGCCTATTTGCCCATTCTTATCAATGGTATACATGAAGCTCAGTCAGGTGAGGTAGCATGCCAGAGTCATGCGCTATTAATAATAAATAGAAGAGCTGGAATATGTACTCAGTTCTGTCTGATCCCAAAGCCTATATTGTTTTGCTGTACCAAAGTACCTCTTCTTATTCTTCTTCAACCAGTGAGACAAATTATCAAGTCCAAACAATTTTCCTAAATGGAGAAGCCAGAATTCAAGGCAACATTTTCTAACTCTAAAGTCTGCTGATTTTCAACCTTAACATATCAAAAGACAAAATTTCTATGTTTCTTTAAAACACTGCCCTTTGACAGTGAGAATACTCAAGGAACTGAAAATAACAAAAAAAAAAAAAAAAAAAAAGAGAGAGACAGAGAGAAATACAAATGTAACTGGATAACCGAATATAACTGTTCATTGAATACTCCATTTTCACTCTTCCTCACTTTGTCTTTCTAGACTCATTCAATTGTAGGTTAGAATTATACCTTTTTACCTTCCTGGAGGTCATGCCACAGCACCACCTGAGGGTTCCAAGTTGAAGATCAAACTTACTTGTGTCCCTGTGCTCAATAGTCATTGTGCCTTTATTCCTCTGCTAGCTGGCATATGCCTGGACACTCTAAGACCTGTGAAGCGTGACCTATAGGTAGGAAGATTGCTTATTTCATTGATGTGCTGCTCAGAGTGCACTGGAGTGCAATGAAGAGCTGGGCACTGAAAATACTTTTAGAAGTACAGGCCCAAAAGCACAAGTAATGGAAAAATCCCATCATTTCCTAACCTCAGGCACAGACAGGATATATACAATGCATATTATTTGTAGAGTCATCCTCTTTGACGATTAACCTCATCACCCAGCAGAAACATAAAGAGCCTGTATGCATGTTGGGTGGAGAACTAAATTTGTTTACTTTCCCTGAAAATATAGTCACAGTCTTATAAAATTATGCTAAAATGTGGATGGCCTTTTTATGATAAGGGACTCACTTTCTGTGTGTGAAGGCAGCACATAAGTAATTTATGGAGGCTATTGTCATTTGCTAAAATATGCTGACAAGGAGAATGGTACATTCAATATATAAATGTACCTAATGTGCCATGTTCCTTGTCATTTGTTTATTTACTTATTTTTAAGTGGAAGAGTAGATGTTTTGCACCAAGAGCAATATTTCCTAGGTATGTAATAATAGTCCTTAATAGACAATCGATTTCAGAGATAGTTTAAATCAGTCTATTATAAAGTCACATAATCAGAATATATGGAGTCTGTGTAAGTGGAAATATCTGCTTAGGCATGCAAGGTTCTTGAAACTAAACTTCTGCTGTTCTGATTTCACCTGAATTAAGTCTTGATCTGCCCATTAGCCAACAAAGAGATAAAATGCACATGCTCCAAGTTGGGGCTACCACTTTTACTAACAGTTATTGAATGCCAGGCACTTTTCTGAGTGCTTTTCATGCGATGACTTATTTAATCCTCACAACAACTCCAAGAGGTAGAAATATTATTATTCCAACTTTAGCAATGAAGAAGCTGAAGTATCAAAACTATAAACAATTTGTTCAAAGCAATATAGCTGATAAGTAGAAGACTGATTTCCAAACCCTTGCTCTTGTCTATTGTACTCAATAGGAACTCAGTTCCCCACATCACACCCAGCTAATATTTTCTCTAGAATTTCTCTCAAATGTCTACCACATTCTTGAGAGATTTATACTCAAGACATGGTTATTTGCTGACTCATGGGAAGTAAAAATAGTTTTAGAGCTTGAATTCACTTTTGTGCTGACACTTCAGTGGTCAAGACAATTGAGAGGGGTCAATTGCTATTTGAACCCTAACTGCTATTTTAAGGATTCAGAGGCATCCTAACTTAACCTTAGTATCACTGAGGTGACTTTTGAAATTCTCAGGAGAGCCAATATCAAGTTTACAGAAGTTATTTGGAAAGTTCTTAAGTATATATATAAGTGACTCAAAGGAATTCCTAAATTACCTGAAACAATCGCAGGAAGACTCCCACATGCTTCATTACTTTATCCCTCTCTGACCCTATGGATGTAGAGTCTCAGTTAAATGGAGAAGATGCCAGGGCTACTGTTTCTATCTCCAGTTCACTCACATATCCAGAAAAAGACCCATATGACTGAAGCTGCCATGAAAATCAAGAATCAAGTCAACTACCACTGGCTCTGGCCAGAAGGAGACTTTGGAAGAGATCATTCAGAGAAGATTCTGCATGACTCTAGAGAGGATTATTTATGTAAAGTGAAGACCTACATTATGAAATTGACAAGAGAGTTGATACTAAAGAGAGCAAATGACAAAAGTAGGTTTTCAAGGTCAAAAAATGTGGAGATGATTTTTAAAAAACGTTTTCAAAGCTCCCTAGCATCTCATCTAGCCCCACATTAACTCTGAAACAGAAATGGTAAACAACATTGTCTCAGTTCACCAACAAAAATAAAAAATAACATTTACAGAACAAATACTGTATGTCAGTCATTGTGCTATGCACTTTAAACAAATTCCTAATCTAATCCTCATGACAACCCATGAGTTAAGTCTTAATATTATTCCCATTGCACATATGAAAAAACTTGGGTATAGATAAATTAGCTAATTTTTCTCAAGAACACAGAGCTGATATAAATCAGATTCTAGATTCGAATCT
Organism: Homo sapiens; assembly: GCF_000001405.40. Taxonomy (NCBI): domain Eukaryota; kingdom Metazoa; phylum Chordata; class Mammalia; order Primates; family Hominidae; genus Homo; species Homo sapiens. Next base: position 74,335,293 of record NC_000001.11, read on the forward strand.
AGGACTATCTTAAACTGCACCTTAACTCTTAATCAGTATATGATATTACCCCTCACGTTAACAACATAAGGTCAGTAGCAGGCACTATTGTTTGCTTAGGCAAAGCTATCATTTCAACTATTACCACTTTGGGCCATATATTTTTTTTCTTCCTTGCTGACTCCTTATTTTATTTCACTGTTCAACCTCTCTCCTAGAGGTTGTGCTTAGAGATGCTCCTATCCCCAGCCACTGTGTGTTAGATCTTAATTAGCTGAAGCCACTCACAGTAAATCTTTCCCCTTGCCCAGGGATTGGTTTAGAAAGTTGCAAATGACCTAGTCCAGACTGAAGAGATATGGGAAGATGGTTTCTGGAGAGTTTTTAAGAAGGAATTTCTATATTTAAAAAATGGTCGCTTGTTCCAAAAGGTAGAGGTCATCTCCTGCTCTACCCTGTGAACTTCAGTTTGTAATGGCTGGAGATGCTGCAGCTCTCTTACTACCATGAGTTGATCTATCCTACTTGCTGAGCATGGCAGAACAGAATGACAGAAAGAACTTGAGTTATTAAGCTGTTGTATTAATCAACCCTAGAATTGTTCCAGTTTTGGACTTCTTGCTAGGTGATATAACAATAAATTTTTGTGGTTTAAGCCAGTTGTGTTCTTGTATACTGCCAAAAGTTTTGCATTATTGTTTGAATTTTTATACTGATTTCAAATGAATAAATCCTTTAGGTAACTCGCCTTCTTTTGAAATTTGGTGCTGATGTAAATGTAAGTGGTGAAGTTGGAGATAGACCCCTCCACCTAGCATCTGCAAAAGGATTCTTGAATATTGCAAAACTCTTGATGGAAGAAGGCAGCAAAGCAGATGGTAAGATTATATATTTAAAAGACCTTTGCTATCATTTGCTTTATGTATACCTTTTACTTGTACTTCTCTTACTAGAGAATAATCTTGAAGTTGACTAATCCTGTAGTCATGTACTTATTTGCTCCACAAGTCATAATTCATCTTTAATATATTTATCAGGCCTACATGCGAATCCTTCTTAACATGTTTTAGCTCAATTCTTTTTTATTTTTAATTATACTTTAAGTTTTAGGGTACATGTGCACAACATGCAGGTTAGTTACATATGTATACATGTGCCATGCTGGTGCGCTGCACCCACTAACTCGTCATCTAGCATTAAGTATATCTCCCGATGCTATCCCTCCCCCCTCCCCCCATGCCACAACAGTCCCCAGAGTGTGATATTCCCCTTCCTGTGTCCATGTGATCTCATTGTTCAATTCCCACCTATGAGTGAGAATATGTGGTGTTTGGTTTTTTGTTCTTGCGATAGTTTACTGAGAATGATGATTTCCATTTTCATCCATGTCCCTACAAAGGACATGAACTCATCATTTTTTATGGCTGCATAGTATTCCATGGTGTATATGTGCCACATTTTCTTAATCCAGTCTATCATTGTTGGACATTTGGGTTGGTTCCAAGTCTTTGCTATTGTGAATAATGCCGCAATAAACATATGTGTGCATGTGTCTTTATAGCAGCATGATTTATAGTCCTTTGGGTATATACCCAGTAATGGATGGCTGGGTCAAGTGGTATTTCTAGTTCTAGATCCCTGAGGAATCGCCACACTGACTTCCACAATGGTTGAACTAGTCTACAGTCCCACCAACAGTGTAAAAGTGTTCCTATTTCTCCACATCCTCTCCAGCACCTGTTGTTTCCTGACTTTGTAATGATTGCCATTCTAACTGGTGTGAGATGGTATCTCATTGTGGTTTTGATTTGCATTTCTCTGATGGCCAGTGATGATGAGCATTTTTTCATGTGTTTTTTGGCTGCATAAATGTCTTCTTTTGAGAAGTGTCTGTTCATGTCCTTCACCCACTTTGTGATGGGGTTGTTTATTTTTTTCTTGTAAATTTGTTTGAGTTCATTGTAGATTCTGGATATTAGCCCTTTGTCAGATGAGTAGGTTGCGAAAATTTTCTCCCATTTTGTAGGTTGCCTGTTCACTCTGATGGTAGTTTCTTTTGCTGTGCAGAAGCTCTTTAGTTTAATTAGATCCCATTTGTCAATTTTGGCTTTTGTTGCCATTGCTTTTGGTGTTTTAGACATGAAGTCCTTGCCCATGCCTATGTCCTGAATGGTAATGCCTAGGTTTTCTTCTAGGGTTTTTATGGTTATTAGGAGCTCCAGTGAAAGTAAAGAGTTCTCTTAGATGAATTAGATGTCTTCACTGTTGTTCACTAATCTTTTATAAATTGAGACATTATTTACTTCTAGCAAATTCTGAAATCTTAAATATATAACCTGATGAATATTTATGTATGTATACATCCATTGAAAACCACCCAGATCAAGATTTAGAATATTTAATTACTCTGAAATTTTCCCTTATCTTATCTTTCCCTTCCCTTACCTCATCTCAGGTAAATAGACTTTACCACCAAAGGTAATTAATATTCTGGCTTTTATTGCTATATATAGTTTTGTCTGTTCTTGAAGTTTGTATAATTTTGTGACTGGCTTCTTTTGCTCAACAAGATGATTTGGACATATATCCATGTTGTTGTATGGATCGTAGTTTGTTCTTTTATATTGTTTATGATTGCATGAATATACCATAATTGGCATATCCATTCTTCTCCTAGTAGACATTTTAATATTTCTAGTGTTTTTCTATTATGAATACAATTGCCAGTAACATTCTTATTCACGTCTTTTTGTGGACATATATGTTCATCTCTCTTGAATATATATATAAACACACATATATATATGAGAGAATTGATAAATCGAAAGGTAATAATGCATATGTTTAATGTTTTAGGAAATTTCTAGACAGTTTTCCAAAATGTTTGTACTATTTTAAAATCTTTCAACAATATATGAGAATTTCAGTTGCTTCCCACAGCATCCCCAATATTTGATATTATATTACTATACTTTTTAATAGAGTTTGAGTGTGATCCATTTGGGAAAAAGAAAGCTTTAGAATACATAGAAGGACTTCAGAATCAGTTGATAGAATAGAATTTCCTTTCATTTTTATTTTCTTAATTATAAAATAAATTTTGGAAAGTTTACTATAGGTATTGAAAAATTTCTTTTTTTCGCTTTTCCTCACAAACTTTATTTTTTGACAAAAATTCACTCAGAGTTGCGTCTTGCCATTAAATTCTCTCAGGCATATCCAACATTCTTCCATCGACCCCCAAGAGACCTAATTAAAAGCCCAGCTGTAAGAACTGCTGGCCTTTGCAGCGGGAACAATACACATTTCCAAAAGGACATGGTTGTCAAATCTCTGGAACTGCCAGTTCCTTGGTTCAAAATTCAGATTGATATTTAGTTAATAAAGCTAATCAATGTTTTTTATCTACCCATAAGGAATATACAAAGTATCCTAGAGACAACCGTGGCAAGAGACTAAGGTAATTTCCAGTTTCCAAGTTGTAAACAAGGGCCACTTTATTTCGTAAAATGTAAGAAACATAGCTTGCATTGTTTTCTATACGCCAGTATGCAGTAACTCAGGCAGCTACTTTAGAGCATTATTATAAACAACCTATGTTGTCAGGATGTAAGGAATGCTGTTCCTTGGACCTTGTTTAAGCAGTCTGTTTCATTTTGTTAGTCTAGAATAGGCACAGGTACACCTGTGTGAACGACTAAACACATAATCGTGTTTTTGAAACTGCCTCACTCTTCCAAGGGGTCAGGAACTACATCACTTTTTCCTTTCATTATTGATGCCAACCTTAGCTTTTTATTCCTCTGCACAACTCCAGAGCTCAGTAGTGTCAAAATGAATGTCATTTATGATCAGCATGTCTCTTTCAGTGCAAAAGGCATTGAAATGTGTAATACTACAACCATATTCCCCTTACATACCAGCATCATATGATACAATTTTTAACATTTTCTTTTTGTTGCACGCAAGTATTACATGCCTCTTATTCAATTATTTTATAAAGTCAAGAGACGGCGTGACTCACATTTTTAAGTATTTTTATTTCTTTCTAGTACACGCTTGATATTTAAGTCCCATTTGTACTTCAACCAATTGCAAAAAATAAACCAGAAGATCTGCTATGCCAATGGACACTGTGCAGGACTTATTATTAGTTAGTTCACTTATTCTAAAATGTAGCTAAGCCTCCAAATGATTAATTTTAGATCTGGACCCTGCTTGTGGTAAATGGACATAGGAGAAAGATTAAATAAATGACCCCAAAGAGAGTACAATTTGAAATCCAGTATTTACAGTATGTTTCCATGGTAACAGAATGTCACAAATGAAAATAAATTCAGGTTGCAAAATTACCCAAAATGTAATTCTGAAAGCAGCCTCTTTGGTTCAGCATGTTTGAGAGGCTGACCTATTCAGTTAGGTATGTTTTAAGTCTCTGTTTTGCTTCTTTGTATCTCTTAGGGTAATGAAAAAGGAGAAATATAATGCCCCCTAAATGAGATTGAAAAGGTTAAAATATTGATGGACTGAATAAGAAAAAAAAATGGTGATACAGCCTTCAAAATATGCCATTTTGATAATGTTAAAAATTGAAAAAATTAAATTTAGAATTAATAATTTCTGTCATCTTAATCATAAATGCTATATTTCTTTAAAATAACACAATCCTTGCAACTGGACAGAGCTGGATATTACAGAAAGCCACAAAAAATTCCTAGAACATGTCCAGCCATAGGAAGTGTTTTATTTTTTGAAATATAGCTTGTTGGATGTATTACACAGATCTGTTACTGAAAGCTTATTAAAGACAGACCTGGGAGTAATTTTAAAGATCTTATAGGACCTGCTGACATTGCTTGGTCAATCTGGAAAATTTTATTTTATTTTTAGGGTCAATAAGCGGAAATAAAGAAGAAACAGCACCCATTCACCCAATATTCAATATTTCTTTCAAAAGACATCACTATCTACCTACTCTCTTCAAAACAGAGCACCAGGAACTAGATATTTTCCTAATAATGATTTACATGTATTTTTTGTTTTAAATTCTCCTTTATATGTTTCTCAATAAGATGCTAAGTTAGAGCAAATAGAATGTTATTCATGCATTCAATTTTTCTAAGATATAATAATATATTTTCTTTTTTGTCTTTGCAAATTGGTCGAAGACAAAACTAAATACATCACAATGACTGAGGCAAAAACAGACATGTATACGCATAAATTCTATGTCTGATTCCATATTTGTCCTGGCTTGTTCCTTCAGTTGGTATTTACATCTTCTTTGATGGGAATAATGTTTCAGCCACTGTGGATAATTCACCAAGTAAATAACCTAATTTGAAGTTTACTAATTCAATTGGCGAGGGATACTGGGTGGGGCCAAGGATGGCCAAAGGCAAATTATAAATTAATAGAAGATTGCACTGCATTCTGCTTTGCATTTTTCCTTCTGAACCTTAAGAATTCTTATGTCACGCTCCAGATGCCCTGGACCCCTAACTGTTCTCAAGCATTGACTTGTGGCATTGACTATCCCTGGCTTAGAACAGCATGTGAACAAAGGAAAAGCTTTTTTAAAAGGGAGATAATCAGAAGAACCAACATTCTTCTGAATGAAAGGCGTCTTTTTGAGCTGCTCATTAATAAAAAAAGATTCAAAGGTTTGTTTGTAATAACAGCCTTGGGAGGAGAAACTCAGTGACTTTGTTAAAGATTTCCCTTTGGCTTAAAATCTTGCAGAACAATAAAATGAGGATGATTGTTTACAAATATAGCAGCTACAAGGCCTAATTAAGACCCTGTCTAGATTGACAAAGTAATCAAACAATAAAACAAATGGCTTTAGAGCAGTTGATTCCATTATTTTAGTTTTAAAAATTATTAAAGCCAGATTAGGAATTGAGCAGTTTGATGTTCAGTTGTTTTTACTTCAGGACTGTAATTATTGACTGTTTAACTAGACTGTAGGTTATTTGAGAGTATAGACTCTGCATTTATCTGTTATTAGCTTTGGACACAGCAAATTTCTAAGATGGACATTAGTAAAAAGGTTAAGTAATATTTATTAAATGTCTAGTATGGGACAAGCATCATGCTAGATAGACGCTTTCCAATCATGATCCTCTTTATTCTTTTCAGCATCCCTGGAACAATGATCTTATTATATCCATTGTTACTGATAAGACATCCATACCTCCAACAGTAGCTTAATGGCTAATACATAGTGATCACTTGATTCTTGTTGAGGAAAGAGAGTGTATCTGTCAAGTTTTTTTGTTTTTGTTTCTGTTTTTTTTTTTTTTTACTTTCAAGTATTAGAAACTAACTCTTGCTAATTTAGGCATAAAAGGAGTAGATTAAAGGATATTATGTAGCACACAGAATCTTCTTCCTCAGAACAGAGTAGAAAGCCATGTTTGAAATTCTCACAGTGAGGAACAACATCCAGAATCATGCCCAAATGTGGTCCTGTGAAGATGCACTGCCACCCTTGCTAGGCACACATAAACTGTTGTGCTTCTGATGCCAACAATGCAGGGCATTGAATCTGTGGCTGGAATTGCTACCATGGGAAATTGGATGGAGCTACTGCCACCACTGCCACATTGCCAAGATAGATTAGGCCCTGCATTTTACGTCATCAGCTCTGAAGTCAGAGTCTCATATGATGTGTTGATTGGAGGAGTCTACAGATAGGTATCCAGACCAGGGAACTGTTGAGAGTAAAAGTGTCATTATTAAGAATTATTCCAGGATAACAAGCCTAAACCAGGACATATGGTCACCCTCTGCTATTTCTGTTCCCTAGCTGCAAACAGATCTTGGAAAGCACATTTTCTGCTTCTGTGATAGAATGTGGTCTTGGCTTCTCATTAATACTTGCAGTATACGGAATTACCCAGACGTGAGAAGAGGTTATAAGGCTGGGTGTTTCAACGAGAAGGACACATGTCTACTACTGAATGAAGAATTGAATTTTAAATAACCTGTCTAAAGTAAAAGAATTAATGAGGTCTGCCTAAGTCTAAATTGCTTTTCCCTTCATGATACCATGCTTTGCATACTGTAGTATGGCAATTTTCAGCTAAGGATATACATCAGAGCTGTTTACAACAGTGTTGTAAACATACAGATTGTGGGGCCCCACTCTAACCTACTGAACCCAAATCTCTGGGAATGGTGCTGTGGCCAGGATCTGTAATTCTTAACATCATTCAGATAGAAAAACAATCAATTTGAAATGTGATCCTTGTAGAAATAAGGCCACGTGTACCTTTTGGATGCTATTAGTTTCCCGAACTGTTCCACTGTGTAAGATAGATTTGATTTGATGTGTTCCATAGAATTTATGGAAGCTAGAAGGAAACCTGTTTAATGTGGTAGTAGGCAATAGAATAACATTAAAATTTTAAAAATTGGTCGCCCTTAATTTCCTTTATGATTATCATTAACTGGCAATTTCCAGGAATCACTCAGGCACTTAGAAATGTCCATGATACTATACATATGAAGGTTGAGAAACAAACAATTCTAGATAACATATCTTTTTCTTTCTTGCTGATAACAGTGAATGCTCAAGATAATGAAGACCATGTCCCACTCCATTTCTGTTCTCGATTTGGACACCATGATATAGTTAAGTATCTGCTGCAAAGTGATTTGGAAGTTCAACCTCATGTTGTTAATATCTATGGAGATACCCCCTTACACCTGTGAGTATTATGTAGCATTCCATAGGTTCTCCAGGTATACTGCATGTACTTGCTTACAATATTAACAAGATATTTTCTTCAAATCTAGGGCATGCTACAATGGCAAATTTGAAGTTGCCAAGGAAATCATCCAAATATCAGGAACAGAAAGTCTGACTAAGGAAAACATCTTCAGTGAAACAGCTTTTCATAGGTAAAAGAATATTTAAGTGCAATAGCCACTAAACTTAGCTGACACTCTAAAGCACCTGAAGTTGTGGGTATAAAGCAAGAACAAATAGTGGCAGATGTTGCAATCAGAGAGCAATAGCAGAGGTAGGGCAGAGGACAAAGAGCCAGAGCTAGATGCATGGAAGAAAAGGTGGAGGCAGATGCTGCAGTCAGTACAACAGATGGGGCCGGAGCCAGATGCTGTGTTCCTGGCAGCAGCCACAAAGACAGGGACTGATGTTGCCAAGGCAACAGGCATATCAACATCTGTAAGCATATTGCTTCTATTCCTCTTCACTCCATGGAAAGCTGCCAAAAAGGGATGTGCCCATAATCCTCCTCCAACAAGAATCTCATTACCAGAATTCATCAGCATTAAATGTGACACTTGTTTCCTTTCCACTTAAACCTTATGTGAAAATGTGTCTACCTATCTAAAACATCCATCTGTCAGCCTGTAAAAGCCTAGTCAGGGTGGCCACTCAGATACCTAAGAAAGCATCAGCTCTTCTCTAGGAATTCGTGAGAGCCCTTTACGGTGTGCTCTAGAAAAGCACACTGAAGGAACAGCTGGGATTAGAAAAGTTGCAACCAAAATAAAAAGAGAGAAAAAGAAAAGAAAGAAAAGGTTGCTAATAAGTCAGAGCTATAGTTCCCTAAAATGCCCAAAAGGAAGGTGGATGTTTTATAAAATCTAAGGCTTTCATTTTTAATGAGTAACTATTTTGCTAAAACAGTAAAAGCATAGTAATTTATATTTAGTAGATCTTGAAAATTAGTCCATTTGCCTACACATTACATATGTTTCCATTAGTTTGTAACCTCTAAAATTGTATTTGAGGCTAATTTGTTGTTCACATAATGTTTTTGTATTGCATTGATGAATAATAAAAATGAGGAGATTCTCTTTATTTCTTACCAAACTAAAATTAAGCTTGTGCTTCTGCATCAGGCATCAACCTGTCAAATTTCACATACATTTCCAGATTTTTCTTGTCAACCAAAGACTCAGTCAAACAAGGGTGAAGTAAAACCACCATTTATGGAATAGTGACCATATGCCAGATGATTCGCATCCATTATCTCATGTAATCCTTACAACATTTTATGAAGTTGGATTTATTATCTCTCTTTTACAGAAGAGAAAACTGAGGCTCAGAAAAGCTAAGTAACTTGCCAAAGTTTCTTATGGATAGAAAATAATGTTGCAAATGGCTACCTAATTCTAAATCCTGTGCTTTTTACATTTCTTCATGTTCTAGTACCAAAATATTTTGTCTGTTTTCTACACACTCAGTAACAGAACAGATGCAAGAACTCCTTAGATCATACCTTCAGTCAAATGGATCAGTGGAATCTGTCCCTGCAGGGGACAGTTGGCAGAACTGATATGTACTGGTTGCTGGTATTCTCTTTCCGTTTAGGTCATGCCTGTTACAGCTGACACCTCAGGCTAGTTTTCAAATCATTTTGCTACTTCATGCACTAAAATTAAAACCAACTGTAATCAGAGGGTGACTGTCACCTCCAAAAGATTGTTTATATGAGAAGATTTGTAAAGTGAGTTGAAAGTATATACCCAATTGTTTTATTTCGTGTAAGCCTGTGGCTACTCAGAGTAACAGATTAATGTTTTTGTTATATTCATTTTAAGCAAATATTTATAAAAGAAACTCCTTTTACGTGAGGAATTCACTCTGAATATGAATTTTTTATGTACATAGTATTTTGCACAGAGTAAGCACTCAGTACATTTCTGTTGTGGTTTTCATATGTATACACACACATATACAAATATATATGTATATATATGTACACGCATACACGTGTGTGCATGTATATATGTGCATGTATGTATGCATGTATATATGTGTGTACACATGCACATATATACACATATATGTGCATATATTCAGAACTCATTATCTGTAAGTAGTTTCTTTGAAAAAGAGCAATGAATCAATATTAAATGTGTACTGTTATGGATCGTATTTATAATGCAAATAGTTAATGATGATATGATATATTGCACTGAGATGGTAGTTTTTTTATTCACTCAATAATTCAAGAAAAAGTCATTAAAGACCTACCTTGTATTGGTGCTACTGGGGACATTAAGATGACAGGATTCTTTCAGTCCTTAAAGGAGCCCTATTGTAAGGTATCAAAGTAAACAGAGGTGTATCCAATACCATATTACAGTGTGATAAGCAGTGTAAGATTGAAATTACAAAGAAGCAGAGGGGTCAGCAATGAATTCTGCCTTTGGTTCATTAGAATACTTCATATTCAGTTTAATTGGATAAAGAATGAATGATATTTCATGAAAGAAAAATGACTTAGGCAAGCTTAGGCAAGGCCATCCCAGGAAGAGGAAATGCTAAGACCCAGTGAACTCCCTCTTTTTTTCTAGAACCAAGTCCCTATGCCCTTCCTTTAGCCATTATTTAGTTGGGGCTTTGCCCAGTGCTAGTTCTTTCCAGTCAGTTATTACATACCTCATATCTCTTCATGACTTGAATGTAGAGTATTGTTAGTTAACAAGTGATAGCAAAAGCAGAGGTATGAGGGAAACTACAGGAAAAGAACATTTATGAGAATTACTAATCAAAAAGTTAAATCCAGTAGTCATTACTAGGCATGCTAATTTCATACAAAATCTTTTTCTCAATGCATCTTAGCTTTCCCAGTAACCAGTAGAAATCAGAATTTCAGATAAGTATTTCAACAAATCTGTGTGCAAAATTTGTCTATAAAAATCTTATTTCCTTGCATCTTGAAATTTATTAATTTTTCCACAAATACTTTCTCACACCTGGAAAGAACTGATAATGAAAGGTCCTCTACAATTTGTAATGTGATTCTATAAGCATTAATTCACTTGAAATTTCAGCAACAATTTGGCACATTGATAGGGTATTGTCTATTATAGTTTTATAGATGGTAAAACTAAAACTCACAGAGGTCAAAGAACTTGTCCAAGATCCTCTGGTTTGTGTGTGGCAGAATTCTGGATTTTGAGTCCACAGCTAATTCTCCTTCAGTAAAATGAAAGCTTTGAGATCTTATCCTCTGGTCAAGAAGTGTTTGGAGAGACAGTAGATGGTTTTACCAGGAATCATTTCAGACTGTGACCTGGATTTGACTAAAACTCTCAGAACCCTCCTGAATTTCTAATTTGATTGTCCTGCAGAATATTTCCGAGGTCCTGCAGCTAAAAATGCAGGGAACTCTTATATCTTATCTCCTTTTATGAAAAATGACTAATATCCCTGAAAGCAGTTGATAAAAAACACTGGAAATTTTATACAGCTCTTTTCTTAAAGTTCCAGATGTGAGAATCTTTAGGATTTTCTCACCATATATCCACATTTTAATTTAGCCTTTGTAGATGGTGCTTGTTTATTTTTCATCACCTCCTCCCTTCTCTGTTTCTTTGGCTCTCTTATATACATGTGTGCATCTAGAATGCCTGGCATAATCAGGGCTGCATTTGTTTGTTAGGACTGTCATAAAGAAATACCACAGACTGGGTGGCTTAAGCAACAGAAATTTATCATCTCACAATTCTGGAGGCTAGAAGTCCAAGATCAAGGTGTCAACAGGTTTGGCTTCTCCTGCAGCCTCTTCCCTTGGCTTGCAGATGGCTGCCTTCTTGCTGTGTCTTCACATGGCTGCCTCTCTGTCAATGTCACCTGTGTCTTAATCCCAGATTCTTCTTATAAGGATGTCAGTCATATTGAATTGGGGCCCACCCTAATGACCCCATTTTAAATTAAATACCTATTTATTTATTTATTAATTATTATTATTATTTTTCTACTTTAAGTTTTAGGGTACATGTGCACAACGGGCAGGTTTGTTACATATGTATACATGTGCCATGTTGCTGAGCTGCACCCATTAACTCCTCATTTATCATTACGTATATCTCCTAATGCTATCCCTCCCCCCTCCCCCCACCCCACAACAGTCTCCGGTGTGTGATGCTCCCCTTCGTGTGTCCATGTGTTCTCATTGTTCAATTCCCACCTATGAGTGAGAACATGCAGTGTTTGGTTTTTTATCCTTGTGATACTTTGCTGAGAATGATGGTTTCCAGCTTCATCCATGTCCCTACAAAGGACATGAACTCATCATTTTTTATGGCTGCATAGTATTCCATGGTGTATATGTGCCACGTTTTCTTAATCTAGTCTATCATTGTTGGACATTTGGGTTGGTTCCAAGTCTTTGCTATTGTGAATAGTGCCGCAATAAACATACGTGTGCATGTGTCTTTATAGCAGCATGATTTATAATCCTCTGGGTATATACCCAGTAATGGGATGGCTGGGTCAAATGGTATTGCTAATTCTAGATCCCTGAGGAATTACCACGCCGACTTCCACAATGGTTGAACTAGTTTACAGTCCCACCAACAGTGTAAAAGTGTTCCTATTTCTCCACATCCTCTCCAGCACCTGTTGTTTCCTGACATTTTAATGATTGCCATTCTAACTGGTGTGAGATGGTATCTCATTGTGGTTTTGATTTGCATCTCTCTGATGGCCAGTGATGGTGAGCATTTTTTCATGTGTTTTTTGGCTGCATAAATGTCTTCTTTTGAGAAGTGTCTGTTCATATCCTTCACCCACTTTTTGATGGGGTTGTTTTTTTCTTGTAAATTTGTATGAGTTCATTGTAGATTCTGGATATTAGCCCTTTGTCAGATGAGTAGGTTGCAAAAATTTTCTCCCATTCTATAGGTTGCCTGTTCACTCTGATGGTGGTTTCTTTTGCTGTGCAGAAGTTCTTTAGTTTAATTAGATCCCATTTGTCAATTTTGGCTTTTGTTGTCATTGCTTTTGGTGTTTTAGACATGAAGTCCTTGCCCATGCCTATGTCCTGAATGGTATTGCCTAGGTTTTCTTCTAGGGTTTTTATGGTTTTAGGTCTAACATGTAAGTCTTTAATCCATCTTGAATTAATTTTTGTATAAGGTGTAAGGAAGGGATCCAGTTTCACCTTTCTACATGTGGCTAACCAGTTTTCCCAGCACCATTTATTAAATAGGGAATCCTTTCCCCATTGCTTGTTTTTGTCAGGTTTGTCAAAGATCAGATAGTTGTAGATAAGCAGCATTATTTCTGAGGGCTCTGTTCTGTTCCATTGGTCTATATCTCTGTTTTGGTAGCAGTACCATGCTGTTTTGGTTACTGTAGCCTTGTAGTATAGTTTGAAGTCAGGTAGCATGATGCCTCCAACTTTGTTCTTTTTGCTTAGGATTGACTTGGCAATGCGGGCTCTTTCTTGGTTCCATAAGAACTTTAAAGTAGTTTTTTCCAATTCTGTGAAGAAAGTCATTGGTAGCTTGATGGAGATACTATTGAATCTATAAATTACCTTGGGCAGTATGGCCATTTTCACGACATTGATTCTTCCTACCCATGAGCATGGAATATTCTTCCATTTCTTTGTATCCTCTTTTATTTTACTGAGCAGTGGTTTGTAGTTCTCCTTGAAGAGGTCCTTCACATCCCTTGTAAGTTGGATTCCTAGGTATTTTATTCTCTGAAGCATTTGTGAATGGGAGTTCACTCATGATTTGGCTCTCTGTTTGTCTGTTATTGGTGTATAAGAATGCTTGTGATTTTTGCACATTGATTTTGTATCCTGAGACTTTGCTGAAGTTGCTTATCAGCTTAAGGAGATTTTGGGCTGAGACTATGGCGTTTTCTAGATATACAATCATGTCATCTGCAAACAGGGACCATTTGACTTCCTCTTTTCCTAATTGAATGCCCTTTATTTCCTTCTCCTGCCTGATTGCCCTGGCCAGAACTTCCAACGCTATGTTGAATAGGAGTGGTGAGAGAGGGCATCCCTGTCTTGTGCTGGTTTTCAAAGGGAATGCTTCCAGTTTTTGCCCATTCAGTATGATATTGGCTGTGGGTTTGTCATGCATAGCTCTTATTATTTTGAGATACATCCCATCAATACCTAATTTATTGAAAGTTTTTAGCATGAAAGCTAAAAACTTTTCTGCATCTATTGAGATAATCATGTGTTTTTTGTCTTTGGTTCTGTTTATATGCTGGATTACATTTATTGATTTTCATGGGTTGCATCCCAGGGATGAAGCCCACTTGATCATGGTGGATAAGCTTTTTAATGTGTTGCTGGATTCGGTTTGCCAGTATTTTATTGAGGATTTTTGCATCAATGTTCATCAAGGATATTCGTCTAAAATTCTCTTTTTTTGTTGTGTCTCTGCCAGCCTTTGGTATCAGGATGATGCCGGCCTCATAAAATGAGTTAGGGAGGATTCCCTCTTTTTCTATTGATTGGAATAGTTTCAGAAGGAATGGTACCAGCTCCTCCTTGTACCTCTGGTAGAATTCGGCTGTGAATCCATCTGGTCCTGGACTTTTTTTGGTTGGTAAGCTATTGATTATTGCCTCAATTTCAGAGCCTGTTATTTGTCTATTCAGGGATTCAACTTCTTCCTGGTTTAGTCTTGGGAGAGTGTATGTGTCGAGGAATTTATCCATTTCTTCTAGATTTTCTAGTTTATTTGCATAGAGGTGTTTATAGTATTCTCTGATGGTAGTTTGTATTTCTGTGGGATCGGTGGTGATATCCCCTGTGTCATTTTTTATTGCGTCTATTTGATTCTTCCCTCTTTCCTTCTTTATTAGTCTTGCTAGCGGTCTATCAATTTTGTTGATCTTTTCAAAAAACCAGCTCCTGGATTCATTGATTTTTTGAAGGGTTTTTTGTGTCTCCATTTCCTGCAGTTCTGCTCTGATCTTAGTTATTTCTTGCCTTCTGCTAGCTTTTGAATGTGTTTGCTCTTGCTTCTCTAGTTCTTTTAATTGTGATGTTAGGGTGTCAATTTTAGATCTTTCCTGCTTTCTCTTGTGGGCATTCGGTGCTATAAATTTCCCTCTACACACTGCTTTGAATGTGTCCCAGAGATTCTGGTATGTTGTGTCTTTGTTCTCGTTGGTTTCAAAGAACATCTTTATGTCTGCCTTCATTTCGTTATTTACCCAGTAGTCATTCAGGAGCAGGTTGTTCAGTTTCCATGTAGTTGAGCAGTTTTGTGTGAGTTACTTAATCCTGAGTTCTAGTTTGCACTGTGGTCTGAAAGTCAGTTTGTTATAATTTCTGTTCTTTTACATTTGCTGAGGACTGCTTTACTTCCAACTATGTGGTTGATTTTAGAATAGGTGTGGTGTGGTGCTGAAAAGAATGTATATTCTGTTGATTTGGGGTGGAGAGTTCTGTAGATGTCTATTAGGTCCACTTGGTGCAGAGCTGAGTTCAATTCCTGGATATCCTTGTTAACTTTCTGTCTCGTTGATCTGTCTAATGTTGAGTGGGGTGTTAAAGTCTCCCATTATTATTGTATGGGAGTCTAAGTCTCTTTGTAGGTCACTAAGGACTTGCTTTATGAATCTGGGTGCTCCTGTACTGGGTGCATATATATTTAGGATAGTTAGTTCTTCTTGTTGAATTGATCCCTTTACCATTATGTAATGGCCTTCTTTGTCTCTTTTGATCTTTGTTGGTTTAAAGTCTGTTTTATCCAAGAGTAGGATTGCAACCCCTGCCTTTTTTTGTTTTTCATTTGCTTGGTAGATCTTCCTCCATCCCTTTATTTTGAGCCTATGTGTGTCTCTGCACGTGAGATGGGTTTCCTGAATACAGCACACTGATGTGTCTTGACTCTTTATCCATTTTGCCAGTCTGTGCCTTTTAATTGGAGCATTTAGCCCATTTACATTTAAGGTTAGTATTGTTATGTGTGAACTTGATCCTGTCATTATGATGTTAGCTGGTTATTTTGCTCCTTAGTTGATGCAGTTTCTTCCTAGCCTTGATGGTCTTTACAATTTGGCATGTTTTTGCAGTGGCTGGTACCAGTTGTTCCTTTCCATGTTTAGTGCTTCCTTCAGGAGCTCTTTTAGGGCAGGCCTGGTGGTGACAAAATCTCTCAGTATTTGCTTGTCTGTAAAGTATTTTATTTCTCCTTCACTTATGAAGCTTAGTTTGGCTGGATATGAAATTCTGGGTTGAAAATTCTTTTCTTTAAGAATGTTGAATATTGGCCCCCACTCTCTTCTGGCTTGTAGAGTTTCTGCCGAGAGATCTGCTGTTAGTCTGATGGGCTTCCCTTTGTGGGTAACCCAACCTTTCTCTCTGGCTGCCCTTAACATTTTTTCCTTTATTTCAACTTTGGTGAATCTGACAATTATGTGTCTTGGAGTTGCTCTTCTCGGGGAGTATCTTTGTGGCGTTCTCTGTATTTCCTGAATTTGAATGTTGGCCTGCCTTGCTAGATTGGGGAAGTTCTCCTGGATAATATCCTGCAGAGTGTTTTCCAACTTGGTTCCATTCTCCCTGTCACTTTCAGGTACACCAATGAGACGTAGATTTGGTCTTTTCACATAGTCCCATATTTCTTGGAGGCTTTGTTCATTTCTTTTTATTCTGTTTTCTCTAAACTTCTCTTCACACTTCATTTCATTGATTTTGTCTTCCATCACTGATACCCTTTCTTCCAGTTGATCGCATCGGTTACTGAGGCTTGTGCATTCGTCACGTAGTTTTCGTGCCATGGTTTTCAGCTCCATCAGGTCCTTTAAGGACTTCTCTGCATTGATTATTCTAGTTATCCATTTGTCTAATTTTTTTTTCAAAGTTTTTAACTTCTTTGTCATTGGTTTGAACTTCCTCCTTTAGCTGGGAGTAGTTTGATCTTCTGAAGCCTTCCCCTCTCAACTTGTCAAAGTCATTTTCCGTCCAGCTTTGTTCCATTGCTGGTGAGGAGCTGTGTTCCTTTGGAGGAGGAGAGGTGCTCTGCTTTTTAGAGTTTCTGGTTGTTCTGCTCTGCTTTTTCCCCATCTTTGTGGTTTTATCTACCTTTGGTCTTTGATGATGGTGATGTACAGATGGGTTTCTGGTGTGGATGTCCTTTCTGTTTGTTAGTTTTCCTTCTAACAGTCAGGACCCTCAGCTGCAGGTCTGTTGGAGTTTACTGGAGGTCCACTCCAGACCCTGTTTGCCTGGGTATCAGCAGTGGTGGCTGCAGAACAGTGGATATTGGTGAACCGCAAATGCTGCTGCCTGATCGTTCCTCTGGAAGTTTTGTCTCAGAGGAGTACCCAGCCGTGTGAGGTGTCAGTCTGCCCCTACTGGGGGATGCCTCCCAGTTAGGCTACTCGGGGGTCAGGGACCCACTTGAGGAGGCAGTCTGCCCATTCTCAGATCTCAAGCTGCATGCTGGGAGAACCACTACTCTCTTCAAAGCTGTCAGACAGGGACATTTAAGTCTACAGAGGTTATTGCTGTCTTTTGTTTGTCTGTGCCGTGCCCCCAGAGGTGGAGCCTACAGAGGCAGGCAGGCCTCCTTGAGCTGTGGTCGGCTCCACCCAGTTCGAGCTTCCCAGAAGCTTTGTTTACCTACTCAAGCCTGGGCAATGGCAGGCGTCCCTCCCCCAGCCTCGCTGCCACCTTGTAGTTTGATCTCAGACTGCTGTGCTAGCAATGAGCGAGGCTCCGTGGGCATAGGACCCTCCAAGCCAGGTGCGGGATGTAATCTCCTGGTGTGCCGTTTGTTAAGCCTGTTGGAAAAGCGCAGTATTAGGGTGGGAGTGACCCAATTTTCCAGGTGCTGTCTGTCACCCCTTTCTTTGACTAGGAAAGGGAATTCCCTGACCCTTTGCGCTTCCCAGGTGAGGCAATGCCTCGCCCTACTTCGGCTCAGGCATGGTGCGCTTCACCCACTGTCCCGCACTCCCCAGTGAGATGAACCCAGTACCTCAGTTGGAAATGCAGAAATCACCCATCTTCTGCATTGCTCATGCTGGGAGCTGTAGACTGGAGCTGTTCCTATTCGGCCATCTTGGCTCCACCCCTCTTAAGTACCTCTTTAAAGATACAATCCCTAAATACAGTCTCATTGTCAGGTTATGGGGGTTATAACTTCAGCATATGATTTTTCGAGGTGTAGGGGAGAGGGCACAATTTAGTTCATAACAAGGACCTTCTATCTTTCTTGTTTTATGGTTTTTTTTTTCAGTGCTTGTACCTATGGCAAGAGCATTGACCTAGTCAAATTTCTTCTTGATCAGAATGTCATAAACATCAACCACCAAGGAAGGGATGGGCACACTGGTAAGACTGTGGTGAAAACACCACTAGTTCTATATGCTTATCAATGATTAAGAATAATGGTATGCAAAGGGATGTGGGGGCATTGGGAGTGCTCAACTCCAGTGGGAAAGGGTATTTTATCAACTGCCAGCATTTAGAATTGATAATGACTGATAATAATAAAAAGCAGACTGACTTTTTGGTCAATTTTATTATTGTGTTAAATTATTTGCAGTCAGTGCATCCTCTTATGGCCAGCACTAGGGACAGACTGACCACACTGCTCTGCCCTTGATTTGGTGATCAAAAAAAAAAAAAAAAACCTGTGATGGGTCTTTGTTCCTTTATTTGTGTAAAGATGCTAACATTTGTTCTTGGTAATTACAGTGGATGTAGAAATACTATAATTGTACTGAGGAAAAGACAGTCTCTGTAGAAGGTTGAGTACAATATAATACCCGTTTTGCTTAAAGTGATGTCTCGTTTGGTCAATAATAAAATTAGTTCTTTATCAAAGAAATCAATCCTTACTTCATACCTTTGGAAATAATGCTATTATGTGGTGATGACTGTCTTTTGAAAATTGGGGAGCAGTTTTTCTTTTTTCTCCTTTTGTTCTTTCAATTCTTTTCTATTACAGGATTACACTCTGCTTGCTACCACGGTCACATTCGCCTGGTTCAGTTCTTACTGGATAATGGAGCTGATATGAATCTAGTGGCTTGTGATCCCAGCAGGTCTAGTGGTGAAAAAGATGAGCAGACATGTTTGATGTGGGCTTATGAAAAAGGTATATTTTTAATCATCGTGTCTCTATAGTGATACATTGAACTGTGTGCATAGATTATGTCAGTGCATCAATAATTACTTTGCTTGCATGACTTGAACACTCTCATTTCTTCTGTAGATTTTACTTGAGTTTCTGGGGCCTTGGATCAAAGAGTCCAATACACTGTAATCAGAGAAGGCAACTCCTAGGCTGCAGATGAACCAAAGGCATTCTCAGTATTGGCACTTTGAAAAGGGAATTGTCACATTTCTAAGTACCAGAGAAACAAAATTGTGATAGATAATGATAGTAGAGTGGGCTCAGAGCTAGTCTTTATCTCTTATATGGGGGAATTTTCATGTGGTTTCAAATTTATAAGAAAGAAGTACAAGGGGGGGGGAAAGAAATATTTGTCAGATCTAACCCTGCTGACAATGCTTGTGCTAGAAAATGTGAGGGACCCAAGTGTAAACTTATTTGAATATAAACTTATTTGCTTAAGTATAAAATTATCTGAGCTCAAAGTGGTGAAAGCTTGAGATCTGGTATGAAAACAACTGGGTTTAAATCAAGCCATATTATTTGATCTTGTGCAAATTATTTAATATTTCTGAACTCCATTTTCTTCATCTGAAAAATAAGGATTATAAATTCTACTTTATAAGATTGTAAAGATTAAATGAGATAATATACGCAAATTGCTTAGAACAGTGGCTGACACAAAATAAATGCTAAGTAATTGCTATTTTAGTGTGATAACAGTGGGACTACTAGTAGCTCAGAAATAAAGATGATTGATAACAAATTCATCATTTCAAGGGAGAAGTAACTGAAGACATTCAGATGGTGAAAAGCATCTTTGTAATTGTTATTGAGATATATTTGCCTCATAAGCAAGCTCTCCATATACACATACACTCCTAAGGAGTTTAGATTTTTAGGTGATATGAAAGAATATATATTGTCTTTGAAATTATAGGTTATAATTGAATACTATAAAAAAATGCCAGATTTTAAAGTCACATTTTAATTGTTATTTTAACTTTTGATGACTGCATTGTCTTTTTACAATATTAAAAATGTGTAAAGAAACATAGTTATCTTTTTAAATACTCAAATCCTAAAAGATTGTACTGAAAATAACAATTATTAAGCTATAAGATTTCCTAGCCTACCAAGTTGATTCGAAAGGTTTTCTGACTAAAGTGGGATATGGGCCAGGCGCGGTGGCTCATGCCTGTAATCCCAACACTTTGGGAGGCCATGGTGGGCAGATCACAAGGTCAGGAGTTCAAGACCAGCCTGGCCAACATGGTGAAACCCTGTCTCTACTAAAAATACAAAAAGTAGCTGGGTGTGGTGGCAGATGCCTGTAATCTCAGCTACTCGGGAGGCTGAGGCAGGAGAATCATTTGAACCCGGGAGGCAGAGGTTGTGGTGAGCTGAGATCATGCCATTGCACTCCAGCCTGGCAACAGGGCGATACTCCGTCTCAAAAATAAATAAATAAATAAATAAATAAATGAATAAATAAATAAAGTGGGATATGAAAGTCCATCAATGAAAGGAGAAATGTAGTCTGATGGATGAAAATGTAGAGCTGTTGTAAGCATGCAGTAAGCGTATAGACAAGGAGAAGGAAAAATGTACAGGTCTGAAGACTGCTAGTAGAAAAATGATGTGGGAGTTACTTTAATAAAGACAAGTGAACAGACATAGAATATTAAGTAATAAGTTAGATATAGGCTTGCTGTATTTTGGTGGGCTTATTTTGCTTTTTATTTGAATATTGTATAAATACAAACATATATATACCTTTGCACATATTATAACCATATAGGTCAATGAATTTCACAGATTGAACTCACCCAGCACCCAAATGAAGAAACTGAACATAACAAGTCCCCTAAAAGCCCCATTGACATTCTCTTCCAATCACTCCCCTAAAGAGGTTACCACTGCCTTCTTGTGGCATAGTCGTTTTGCCACTTTCTGCACTTTATATAAATGAAATGCTATGCTATGTACTTCTTTGTGTCTGGCTTTTTTCAGCCAACAATATGTGAGATTCATTCACATTGTTGCAGGCAGTTGTAGATTGTTCATTCTTATCATTGTATAGTATAATGTTTTGTGACTATATCACAATTTTTTAATTCATTCTACTGTTCACGAGCATTTGGATAATTTTCAATTTGGGGCTATTAAGAGTACTGTGTTATGAACATTCATATATGTAGATATATGTCTTTCGTTGAATATATGGTTGCATTTCTATTAGATATAAAGGTGTTCTACTTTGTATTAAAAAATCTAGGTAGCTCTATATCTTAATATCAATTGGAAAATCTTAAATTTTCTGAAATCTCAGGAGGCCTTACTAAATTCTACCTCCTCAACACATTGCATTTATTCAAGTGATTCTCAGACAGTGACTCTCAAGAAATGTTAGCTTCAGTGTAAGACTGTTTACAAAGCATTAGTCTTCCGGAAGGCAGCTCAGAAATTGCTGCTGCAGCTATCTCTTCACAGAGGTTGGCTTTGTTTGTTTTTAGCTGATTGAGAGTGATAGTTGAAAACTGGCTTTACTTTTATTTTTCATGGAATTCCACACTTCTATGAAACAGTGAATCATTGTGTAAGCTTCTAAGATTTCCTATGAAATGTCAACAAAGATCCTTTAACTTAGAGGACTTGCCCACTGGCCTCTTCAACATATGCTGTATTTGTCACTGTATTTGTTCAAACTAATGTGCCAGGCATCAGTGTTGCATTCCATTATTACTATGAATTTTAACAAATTGAATGTTGTTGCTCAGAAGACAGATGGATGTTTTGCAAATGTTCTAGGGCAAAGCAAGTCAAATGACAAATGGAATTGTTGCTATTTTTCTCTTCCTAAAAAAATGTTGCATTGTTTTCATGTGTTCAGGGAGAACTGAAGTGGCCTTGTTAATATTGTCAGCAGTGCACCTGTCCCCGTATCCTTTGAAACAAGAAGTGCTTCCCTGCCTCCTTGGAGAGGGAATCACTATATTAATTGATATAGCATACTAAGGAGTTCCCTGAGCAATTTGGAGGTAAAGCTGAGGAAGGACTAAAACTCTACTTGATGTAAGAATGGCCCCATCATGGTTTACCATGTACCCTATCCTATCCCGGGAGAGATAAACAAGAAGGGAGCTTCACAATCAAGGGTGTCTATTTGAATAGGTCTACTTTTGGATACGCCCAATTTAAATAGTTCATCCTAGTCTAATCTCTTAACAGAAAACCATGCAGTCTTTCTCAGCAGCACCCGTCTCTATCTGAATGGCTCTAAGCCAAATTTTTCACCTGACCCAAGCTAAATTTTAGCTGACCTTCTTTCTACTATTCTGATATGGCACATTGAAGTGTGATTTGGAGTTCTGGAAGAGTTATATATTCTCTTTTGGAATGCTTTCAGAAAAGGGTTTACTCACTATGGTTCCCTGTGGAATCAGATATAAAGAATGCTTTCTATTTGCATAGCCCTTCTAACCTAAATATATCAAAATCAATCTTGAAAATAATTTTCCTGGTGACCGTCATCCTACACAGAAGCCACTGTTTAAGTTTCAATATTTATCTGCCAGAGTGCTTAGAGCTCCAATTTTACAATATTTAGAGTGTCTCCCCTCCCCATCTCTCCCCTTCTTCGTTTCTACTATTCCAATCTGAAAGTGTAGCGATCGCTGTCTCACTCACTTGGATTTGTTCTGCCCTTTTCCTGTGGTACAAAGGACCAGCATGAATCAATTTAAATTGGTCAGAAGAAATAGCCAGCAGCCTGCTTATGTTCAAATCCTCTGCCCTAATCACCAGTATGGAAAACCCATTGAAAAGACCTACACATAATCTTACATCCATTGCATTAAAGATGAAACTGCCGAATTGAAAAGATCTCAGCCAATTAGAATTGAACACATAGCTCAATAGTGTGTCTGGCAGTTAGATTTGAAAAGGCTGCCTTTGACAAAGAAAAGCACTCCTATATGTCAGGCTGTTTAGGGTCAGAAAATAACCTAAACTAGAAACAGAACTAAAAACTTCTTATTCGTTTCAGTACTGACACCAGTTAAAGTAATATACAGAGGCTCCTATCACAATATCAAATTACCCAGAATACAATATTTGTATACAGCAAAGGCGCCTAATTCACAGTGACAGGAAGCTGGAGGTGGAGAATTAGTGAATAAGGGAGCAAAAACAATAAAAATCAAGGCTCCTGTACCATGATATATACTTTGTTCATTCCTTTTGACAAGTGTAGTATTGTGTGAATTATTTGTAGTAAATGTACTATAGTGTATTCTCTGAAAGTAATGAAATCTTACAGTCATGAGTTTCTACAGTTTTTAGACAGTAAAAAAATAACTGAGAAATGAGGGTGGGAGAGGAGTACAAGTAAGAAGAGATAGATTCATTAAATTATTTGATAAATTTTCACCAATAGATTATGAACTCTCAGGCTTTTTCTATATTGAATTCCTATCTATTTCAAGTTTAGTTACTTAGTTTAGTGATACTGGTTTAGTGTGCAAGAGTGGATTGGGGTAAGGAATCCATGTGTGAATTTTTGTTTTCGTATACTGGTTATCTTCTTACATGTTTAGCTGCTCTCTTTTAAAAAAAATAAGTAAGTAAAATAATCTCAACTGTCATTAGAATGGAAAAACCTTCATCATTGCAGGGAGATAACTCACAAAAATGTTTTTGAAATATAATAACGTAAGAATTCACATACTTAAAATGGATAGTAAAAGAGAACTTACATTCATTGAGTATCTTTTACAGATGCATATATATGTATATATAATTTAATCAAAATAACCCTTTAAATTTTTATTATCTTTGTTTTATAGATAAAGAGATTAAGACTTAGGGCTGCTAAGTCACACTTGCCCAATCCATGCAGTTGTTGAGTAGAGAGGCAGTACCAAATAGGAGGTCTGTCTTGTTGTAGAATTCAAGCTCTTACCAACACACTGTAAAATTAGATCTAAGCCAAAACTCCATCCTTATTATTTAATGACCTTGTGCAAGGCCTTTAACCTCTTTCAGCATTTACCCTCAAATTCAAAATGAGGATATTAATAACCACTTTACAGAATTCTGACGAGGTTTAAGGATAAGATTTAAGTGCTTGGCACATAACAGAGTCTCAATAAGAATGGCGGCAGCTCTTATTGGTAAGTGCAGAGCAGAGATTCAATCGAATCCACATAACTCCCAAATTTCATGGTCTTTCCTAATTTATAACATGTACAGTTAGAAATTTTAATATATTAGGATAATAGGAATCCGCTATAAACCCTCTGATGAAGGGCTTATATTCCTGCCAAACGCCTCTGGACAATCCCTGCATATATAAAAGTGTGTGTTGTTTTGTTATATTGGTATTTCTTATTTATGGCTCAAGTTATACCATTAATTTTAAGCCTCAGAACTGAAGCAAAATAAAGGAGATTTTGAAAATAACTAATCAAAATATTATGAAAGTAATCCAAAGACATTATTCTAATGTGCGTAGTTGCATGCAAATACATAAAACAATATTTTAAAACTATAGCACAAATTTGCAAGCCTCTTTCCTACAGCAGGGTTTTTCTCCACAGTCAAGGAGGAATGTCAAAGAATTTGTGATCATATTTTCAAACCACCATACCAACTGACTGCTTGATTTCTTTGCTTGGATATCTGAGGACCCTGCAAAACTCAACAAGTCCAAAATTGAACTTAACATTTTTTTTTGTCCTCATGATTCTCTTTCTTGTACTATGTATCCTTTATTCAATCAGCCATTTAATGGTATTACCATCCACTTTGTCACTTAGGTCAGAAATCTTGAATGATGCTTGATTACTTTTTCCTCCTCAACTTCTCCTCCCACCACACATCCTATCGATTCAATCAAAAAGTCTTCTTTATTTTGCTTAATAAGTACATTTTTAATCCATCCTTTTTTCTTTTTTTTTACTATCACTATTTTAATTCAGATCCTCATAATACTTCTTCTAATCCATTTTAATAACCTCATAACTGCCCTTTTTTGTCCTCAGCATTTTGAAATTTTCCAACTGTAGACTGAGAGATATATTCAAGGTGCAAATAAGGCCGTATTATTCCCCAGTCTAAAACCTTTCTCTGATATACTGTCACCCATAAGAAAAAGTCTCAGCTTGATATCATAACACACAGAGACTTTATTGTCTTGTGTACTTCTTGCCTCTTGAACCTCATATCCTCTTACTCCTGTTACATGGGCAACCCCACATGCCACAACCATCATCATATTCGCTAGATCACCAACATTCACTCAGTGTTCACTCTTTGCCATGCTTGTTCTAAATACTTCACATATATTAACTCATCAAATCCACATAATAACCCTGTGAGGCCGTGTCACTTCACATAATAGGGATAGTATAAAACTGCTCATTCATCCTTACATATGTCATGTTATTTCATGTTTCCAAGACTTTTACATGGCAGTCCAATCTGCCTTTATGTCCTCTCTGTCCTCTCCATGTCACCCCATTCTTTAAATTTCTGATTGCCACTTGGTCTTCAAGACTTAGTTTATGGAAGTCTCCTAGTCTTATTGAATATTTCTAGAAAGTCTTCCCTGACATTCCAGCCTAGCACATACATCCTTTCTTTATATTTTATTTTGTTATGTGCACATCTCTTTCTCTGTGTTTACCACTTTATACTGAAACACTCTCTTCTCTTACCAAATTGTAAACTTCTTGAGAGCAAGCATTTGGGCCTTTAATTCATTGTCTTCCAAAAATTTGAATTCAGTGGATGACTCCTAATAGATATTCATGCTTGTTGAAATCAGTAAGAGAGACAGGAAGAAAATATTTTAGACAACATTCTTTTCCATGTTCTGCTACATGGCATCTGGTGAGTTGATATTCTAAGAAATACTAACTGTCACTTTTCTGTTGTCTCTGTAACTATTTCTGTAAATATCATAGGTTCCTTATTAACTGCACAGTCCTAATATTCAAATAAACAGGCAAAATATTTTAAAATATGTTCTAAAGCTCCTCTTTCCATGCATTGGAACTGCAAAAATTTTCTTCTGGTTGGAATGCTTTTCTCCTACCTTTTTGCTTAATGAGTTTGTCCTCATCTTTCAAGTTGAGCTTAAAAGACAGTCTCAACTATCCTGACTCTTCCAGACTGTTGTAAGATTCACCATTATACACATTCACATCATGTACCTTTTCTTCCTAGAGCTTGGCTAAATAAAATTTGAGTGAAATTATATTTATGTAATTTTTTCCACTAGATAGCATTGAATATAAAAGTAAATAATATTTCTTTTTCAACCCTCTCACTCATACCTAGTATCATTCATTCGTTCAACAAAAATGTATTGCCAACCTAATGTGTGACAGACACTGTGCTAGGAACAGTAAAACAGATAATACCTCCCTGATCTTAGGGAGTTTGCATTTTTAACTTGAAGACACAGGCTGCAAGCAAGAAAGCAAATAGAAAATATGGGTTAACAATAAGTACTATGAATAAAATAAGAAGGAAATGCAATGGTGAACACAAAATTCAAGGATACTATCTAAAATTGAGTAATCATGGAAGGGGAAGGTCTCTCTGGGAAGGTGTTATTGGAGCTGGCCCCTCATAGGTGCACAATGAATATTTGAGGAAGAAAAGGAAAGAGAAAGGAAAGCAGAATGAGAAAAAGAGAAAAAGGAAGGATAGCTAAATAATTTAGTTTGGATATAAAAATATCTTGGCAAAAGCATTCATGCCTGTGGATTCTTCTCTTAAGGTAAAGGACCAGTGACATCCTTACTGGGGCCTGCTGATTAAGGAACAAGAATAATGGGTCAAAGGGGATGTGAGTTCCCTCTCTGTGATATAAAATTAGGACATCTTTCATATTTAAGTGATGAGAAGATGTAGCAAGCCAGAAATTTTTGTCGCCTCTGATCTAATAATGAACAGTGTATGGGACCAGGGTGGTCAGGAGGAAGGTGAGCCATTGAAGGGCAATTGTCCAAAGCCACCCTCTGATTCCACTTTTCAATGCTTCTGGAAAGTGAGTTTTTAACATAATGGGAAGGGGATATATTAAAATATTGAACAAAGCCTAATATTTATCATTACTGTGAAAGTTTGATTATTTGGGCCAGGTATAAAGTAAGGCCTAGTCTGTTCCTTTGATGACCTGAGCATGTGAGACATGAGGTCAATGAGAATTCCTTCTGTAACTGAGACTAAATCTCCATGTTCTCTATACAGCCGTGAACCCAAAGGGTCTCTGAGTCACCAAATCATGGAGATCTTAGTACTGGTGTCATTTACCACTAATCTCCAGATCTAGTTCTTAAAATATTCTCAGAGCAAGAGATTAGAATCAGCTTTCATTGTTTTTAAGTTAAAATTGTGGGGGACAGAGAGACAACCTTATAGGGAGATAAATTGTACTTCCCTTCTTGAATAATTATAAAGCATCTATTGTATATATGACTATGATGTAGATATTAAACTGTCTTTGTAACAGTCTCTTGGATTGACTTGTCATCTTAAACAAAACCTAGGTTTTAAAATAACTATTAAGAAAGTTGAAAGCAAAGAGGATTTAACAGGGGGAGAAATCACACCAAATATAAGAAGTAAAGGAACACAAATAGACAAATTAAAGGGAAAGCACTGAATTTGGAGAATACACACAGGACTGAAAGAGTGAGGAGCAGGAAATGAAAGAGATTTCAAGCTGGGAGAAGAATCACATTTGCCAAAACCCTCAGGTGCTCCAGTGAATAATACTCTAAAAGTGCAGATCATCATTAGAGTTGCATTAGGCTAATAACATAGCGACCTTCTATTTTGGTAAAATGCTTGGGTGTAGATAGTAAATTCTTAAATATAGGAAAACATTTTATTTAATTAGTGGAAGTTTGATTATCTCTGGAGGTATTCCATTAGTGTGCCTTGGTTATCTGGGTGTATCCATTATCAGGAGTTTGGCTTAACACGTCCATTTAGTGAGCTCCATTAAGGTTTATTTTTCTGCCTAACTCCTTGTGGCCAAGTGTCCAGGAGCTGGGCTTTAGTGGGTTTTGGGTTTCTTTCCATGTACTTTAGTGGCTTGTCAGAGCAGTTGTAGTCATGGAAAATTTCCCATACGTGGGTGCCTTAGCCCACAGTTAGCATGAGGGGGGAAATCAGGCAGAGATGCCTTCCAGAGCTGAGGGGGCCTCTTGGCATTTTCCTGGCAGCCTCATGCTTATCATCAGCCAGAACCCAGGCACTCATTAGGCTCTTGATGAAAAGCATCCCAAAGAAAATGCCAGCAAATTGTGCCACTGTGCTGGCAGGAAATGAAAACTGCTCAGAGCAAGTGGAGCCAAGAGAGCTGTTGAAATGAAAGGTAACATCAAGGGTGTGATCACTAACTCACACAGGCGCTCAGGATTCAGGATGCAACTTTCTGCTTCATTGGGGAAAGCATGAGGCCCTCTCATCTGTCAGCCGATGTCAATTCTATATAGGGGCTGAGATAGACTGGAAGGTGGGCTCTGTGAATTAAGCTTTGTTGTGCTTGGGTAAATGTAGGGGTTTGGGTTGTTTTTATTCCCCCAAGAAGTGTCTCCTAGGAAAAACAGAAATAAGAAAAAGTTTTTGTTTTTGTGTTTTTCCTGGGCCCAAACACTTGAAGACCAAATTAAGTAAAAGGAAGATTCCAAAAGCACTATAGGTCCTATTAATGTGGGATTAGACAGTGTGAAGGGAGGAAAAAATAAATAAAAAATAAAAAAAAACCTTAGAATCTGTGACTCTAGCAAGGAACAGATGAGGGGTATTATTATTATTATTATTATTATTATTATTATTATTATTTTAGAGACAGGGTCTCACCCAGGTCTAGCCCAGGCTGGAGTGCAATGGTGTGATTGTAGCTCACTACAATCTTAAACTCCTGGGTTCAAGTGATTCTCCCACCTCAGGCTACCCAGTAGCTGGGACTACAGGCAGATGCTACCATGCCCCACTAATTTAAAAAAAAATTTTTTTTAGAAATAGGGGTCATGCTATGTTGCCCAGCCTGGTCTTCAACTCCTGGCCTCAAACAATCCCTCCACCTCAGCCCCACAAAACACTGGGGTATGAGTCAAGACACTCAGCCAAATTTTAATTCCAAAGGAATTTTTGGTCTTTAGTACTACTTTTATCCTGAGGTTAAAATGGCCACCAAAGCTAGAAAAGAAAATGCTCAACAGCAGGCAGCACCAACACACAAGCAAGGCACAAGCACACTGAAATATTCATGAAACTGGATGTGGTAGGTAGAGTAATGCCCCCTCAAAGATGTTCAGTTCCTGTTCACTGGAACTGTAAGCAGGCTGCCTTACATGGGGAAGAATCAAGGAGGTAGAGTAATGCCCCCCGCCACCCCCAAAGATGTTCAGGTCCTGTTTGTTGGAACTGTAAGTAGGCTGCCTTACATGGGGAAGAATCAAGGTTGTTATTTAGCTGACTTTAAGAGATAGATTATCCTGGATTATCCCAGTGGGCTCATTGTAATATGGAAAAGGGGGGCAGAAGCAGAGGTCAGAGCAATATGATATGAGGACTAAGCCAACCATTGCTGGCTTTGAAGCAATAGGAAGGGGGCTACAAGCCAAGGAATGTGGGTGGCCTATAAAACTTGGAAAAGTCAAGGAAACCAATTATCTCCTAAGGCCTCTAGAAAGAAATGCAGTCCTGCTGACACCTTGATTTCAGCTCAGAGAAAACCATGTTGAACTTTTGACCTCCAGAATTATAAGATAATAAATTTGTATTGCTCAAGTCACTATGTTTGTCATAACTAGCAATAGCAGCAATAGAAAATGAATACACTGGTATTTAGAAGATTCGTCTGAAATTCCAAAAAGGAGTTTCCAAGTTCACCTACAATTCTTGGGGCAAAAAGTAAAGTGTAAAAGCAGTGACAAGACCCAAAATGCACACTGATGTGTTAGAACTGTAAGGCATATTACATACATCATCTTAGTTAATCTTTACAACAATCTTACAAGGGTGGATTATCGTTTCTAACCTGTAGATGACGATCTTTTTAAAAAGTAAAACAGATCATATCCTTTAACTAATTAAAATGCTTCAGGGGCTCCCCATCTCGCCTACCCTACACGAAAATCTCATCTCCTTATCCTCACCTGTAAAGCTCTACATCAGTCGCAGTCAAAGTGCAGATTGCTGATGAGCATCACCTGGGACCTTGTTAGAAACACAACACTCAGCCCCTACTACAGACTTTTTCAATTGTGATCTATTGGGACAGGGCTTGGGAATCTGTTTGAACTTGCACTTCAAGTGATTCTTATACATAGTAAAAAAATTTGAGAAGCACTACTCCACATGAAGTACACTTGCCTACCTCTCCAACCAAATCTGATACCACTCTCATCCTTGCTTGTGTAGCCACACTGGCCTTTTTTCATTCTCTAAACATGTTATGTTTGCTCCCATCTTGGGACTACTACATTATCTATTCTCTCTGCCTATTAGGTGCTTCCCCTAGAAATTAGTTTGTTGGCTAATGTCCTTAAATTAGTCTTAAGGTTTCCCTGATCGTGAGCTCGCTGCAGTCCAAAGAAAGAATGCCAATGGGACTGCCCCCCACGTTATTTCATTATAACTTATTCCTATGATTTGAGAAAATTAGAGATCCACCAGTCATGAATAGAAAGCTGGAGATGATAAGAAAATAGACACTAGTTTTTAACTATGTAGATTTAAGTTTTGCTACCAGTTTTAGCAATTGTAATCACAATGCTTTTTTTTTTTTTCCTCGAAGAATCTTAGCCTTGTTACCTTTGGAAAAGCTTTTCGTGTTTGTAAATACCATGATTTTTCCACCTCATGATCTTGAATGCACTGTTCATTTAAAGTTTTTGCGGAAGGGAAGATTTGAAAGGCAAGCAAATCTCAGCATATACTCTCTACATAAGCTAGATGTATGCTTAACCCATGTTAACTACAGATCCTTTGTGATGGATAAGTATTTATGCTTTTTCAATTCCTTAAATTTACCAGTTTTACAATAAGCTCTGTTGTATTTCACAAATCCTATGGCAACATCTTTAAGGTTGGCTGTTTTTCTCTTTTGTAAATTAGCTTCATAGATTATTTTTATAGTGAACGCATTAAAATAGTATTGAAGTTTAATTTTATTGAAAAACATTGCATTACTCAGAGGATCATTTGGCATTTTTTATCCTTCACAATCATAAGCCCCTAGTGTAACTAGTAAACACTAGATTGTTGGTGGTGTTATAATAGAAAAGTATTTCTCATATAGCACTTCAGGGTGGGCATTTCTGGTCAGTGGATGGCTTTCTTCCAACCCTCAGAGCTTCAGAGCCTTCTGCATCTAGCCAGCAAATGGGAAGAGTAGAGAAGGCTCACCTGTTTCTTAAGGCACAGACCTGGAAGTTACTTCACTTTTGCTCATATTCCCTTCATGAAAATATGTCGCAAGGCCACAGTTGGATGCAAGGTACATAGGAAAATGTCACTGGGTGGGCAGCCATTCCCAGTGACAAAATCACCCTGTGAAAGAGGAGTACAAATATTGGCAGGCAGCCAGCTGTCTCTAAAAACCTATGTAAATTATCTTAGTGCTGCATAATACTACAATACTGAATCAAATGTACGCTCAATCACAGCAAATACATCTCTCTTTCCTGATTACTGTATGTACTTTTTGCCCTTTTAATAGTGCCCTTATTATATATTCCCATAGTACTTAGTATTGCCTTATTTAGAAATCCTCATCATTTTTCTGATTATTTGTTCAACTACATTGTAAGCTTCTTAAGGGTAAGACCATAGTCACTTTGTTCACTGCATCACCAGTACCCATTCCCAGTAGAGTGCCTGACATAGTGCTTCGCATATGGTAGTCTTAAGAAATCATTTTGAACCAAAGAATGAATGAACTAAATTTCTATTGCAATACATTACCTCTTATGATTTGTCCTATGTTGTAAGCTACTTCCAATAATTTTTGGATTTGAGAGTAGACTGAATAACTTAAACAAAATTTAGGACTCTTTGTTCTTTGTATCTTTTCATAAAGGGCATGATGCCATTGTCACACTCCTGAAGCATTATAAGAGACCACAAGATGAATTGCCCTGTAATGAATATTCTCAGCCTGGAGGAGGTACCCCTTTTCTTATTCAGTTTTCATTATTGTATAATATATTGTGCCTAAAGGTAAACCTGTGTTTCTGTTACTATCATTCTTTCAGGGGTTAGGGAGGAGGGCATAGCCTATGTCAGATTAGATTTATTTTAAGTAACCTTATGTCTGGGAGAGGCTGAACATAAAGAAGCCTCCATTTCAGCTATTTTCTAACTCACCAATCTGCAGCTCCTCCAAGTTTAACATTTCCCAGACTGGATGTTTATGAGGCTTGTGCATGACTAGGAAGGCCTGGATAAGCTGAGAGCAGTCATTTTCCATTTCAGTAATCTATTACTGAATACTCATATCCAGAGACAAATTAAATCTGCTAGAGTCTGCTACAACTTGGATTTTCTAAAAAATCTTTTTATGCACTTTCTAAATAAACACTTGCAGTACAATTTCAGTATCCAGAGAAAGATTTGGGCCTGAAGCGATAGTTTTACTTCGTTTCGTCACCTGCTTATTTTTATAATGTTGAACTTTTATGTAGAAAAAAATGATCGCTACTTTCAACTCTATTATATAATTTAATTTCTAGATGGCTCCTATGTGTCTGTTCCATCACCCTTGGGGAAGATTAAAAGCATGACAAAAGGTACCTATAATCTGGGACAATTGTTATATTTAATTACTAAGGATAACTATTGCTTCAAATGTAATTTTCAATTTTGTTTTACATATTACAAATGATGACTATTTTACAAGCACAACAAATATTATTGACAGACCGTTCTTTTCATAATTAACCTTACCCTTTATCTCCTTTCAGTGCATAAAGATATAATAACAGTGAAAATTTCACATAACTATTAAAGAAAAATCAAATTCTCACTGGACTGTTTAGATGTTTCTGTTTTTTATAAAAATGAATTATAAATATTAATATTTCTTTAAGGAGAATTGGGACTAGAAAACATATGTGAAAAAATATATATTATTTTTCAAAATATCCCCAATAAGTAATACTTTGGGACCATTTTTGAATGTATGCTTCACACAGAAATGAATAACATTGGACCAGGAAAGTAAAAACTTTGATTCAAATGTAAATATATATTTAACTATTTGGAATTTAAATTCCAAATAGTTTCCTTAGAATGTAGAATGAGTGTTTCCTTAGAATGATTCATACGCTTATTTCCTGTCATTTAATTGGCATCCCTTTGAGGTTAGTTTATGGATATTTGGCTAAGCCTATTGGAATAGACTGAAGAGAGTTACCAGATCAGAACCTTTATCATAATGTGATACGGACTGGACTCCAGGGTTGCCATGTCATGCAGGAATAGATCAGGAATAGACCTTCAGCCCTGCTAACAAGGAGTGAGTAGATCAGGAATAGACCCTTAGCGCTGGTAACCAGATCAGGAATAGACCCTTAGCCCTGGTAACCAGATCAGGAATAGACCCTTAGCCCTGGTAACAAGGAGTGAGTAATCAAGACATAGAACTAACATGATTTTAATGCAGGGGGGTAGGGATCATTTGGGTTAAGGTTTTAGCATCTTTAAGTAGTCAATTACAGTTGGAAAATTAAAAATTAAATGTTATTAGGAAATTATGTTTTTAGTTAAATATATATATGCACATGTATACACATCCATGTGTGTGGTTTTTACCTTAAAAAATAAAATGACAATTTCTCTTTGCAGAGAAGGCAGATATTCTCCTCCTAAGAGCTGGATTGCCTTCACATTTCCATCTTCAGCTCTCAGAAATTGAGTTCCATGAGATTATTGGCTCAGGTAACCTAAAATAAATAAATAAATAAAGGTCCGGTTTAGTTGAATGAGCTTAAGTTAATATGTGTTTATTTATTTATTTTAAACAATTGTAGGTTCTTTTGGGAAAGTATATAAAGGACGATGCAGAAATAAAATAGTGGCTATAAAACGGTAAGCAAGCAAATGAAAAAATTTAACATCCAGGTGGAATTGTGACCTTTGAGAAGCATGTGCATGGCAAGCCCCTTGTTTGGATCCATCTGTTTACTGAAGATTTTCTGTTGCTGCCATTTCCAGTTATCGAGCCAATACCTACTGCTCCAAGTCAGATGTGGATATGTTTTGCCGAGAGGTGTCCATTCTCTGCCAGCTCAATCATCCCTGCGTAATTCAGTTTGTGGGTGCTTGCTTGAATGATCCCAGCCAGTTTGCCATTGTCACTCAATACATATCAGGGGGTTCTCTGTTCTCCCTCCTTCATGAGCAGAAGAGGTATGGGTCTTTTGTTCTGATTTATCCTTGGACATTCCGTAGAAACTACTCTTGCAATACTTCAGAGGGTTTCCCATTGGATGAGCCTTCACCTTTTGAAATCTGAGTGCTGCTAGCAAGTGTGTCATTTTTAATATCGCTAATAATTTATGCCTAATAACTGTGTTTCAATGAATAGAAATACTTTATGCTTTCTTAGCAGAAATTCAGTTGAAGATAACAAATTTAAGGAATTTAAATTGGAAACTGGAGCTTAAAATAATTAGGCTAAATTTGAAATACTGATAAAGAAGATATATGTAAGCTCAGAATAAAATAAACTTTTAAAAAAGTGATCTTGAACAAATCCAATGTGAATTCACTTTCTGAGTTTATGCATATAGTAATTAGAATGTAGTTTCATACAGTGATTAAAATAGATTTCATTTTACAATATTACAAAGAAATTAAGTATAGTATTATAAATAAATTATAAAACCAAGTATAATATCTTAAACAAGAGATGCTGTATATCTTAATTGATTCATAATTAAGCATTTTCTGATGTAGGAAAGCTATTCAGATTTGTTGAATTTCTAGCTTAACCTTCAAGAAACAAAAAATGGTTAAGATGATATAAAATAACAACTCTTACACATCATTTGCTTTTTTGATATTCGTTTTGACCATTTCATCTCTGTTAAATCTATTTTTAAATTCTAGGATTCTTGATTTGCAGTCTAAATTAATTATTGCAGTAGATGTTGCCAAAGGCATGGAGTACCTTCACAACCTGACACAGCCAATTATACATCGTGACTTGAACAGGTATTTTTTTCCTAAATAATGAACTCAGAAGGGTATGACTAACTGGGAGTTTAAGACAGATTTCAGTGAAGATACATTTTAGACTTATTGCAGATCAGGGTACTCTGTGGTTAAGAGGACAGGCTACCATAAGCTTAGGCGATAGAAAGTTTTGTCATTGTCTTTTAAGGAGTAGAAAGCTGTATAACTGCTTCTCAGGGATCTTTTAAATCTATGAAGAATATTCACAAATATAGTAATATCTGTAAGATGCACCAGCTAACTAGTTCCCAGGTCAGTAAGGTCACATCAAGCAGTGAGCTAAATGGCTATTAAAAAAATGATATGTCTCCTATAAAGTGAAGTGTTGGAGTAGCTCCTGATATAAAATTATCTGAAACGTACTTTGTGCTACCGTAAATTCAGCTTAACCACAACAGCTTATTTACCTAGTTATCAGGTAAAGAGGATTTCATGTGAAACAAATATAAAATCAGAGTGTTCCAGTGGTGGAACCCCAAGTGACCTCAAAACTTTTCCTAAATAGTGAAAACTTTCTCTGAGTAAAGTCTTATAGGAAAGGCCAATATACAAAATGGAGCAGTGTTGGGTGAAGGTAAAGTGGGGAGGAGAAAACTCTATTTACTTCCCATTTCCCACTGCTAAGGAGAGAGATTCCTGCACCACCTCTGTGGAAGCCCAAAGGTGCTGTAGAGAATAGTTGGACAAACACTGATTTAGTTTATGAAGCAAGTCAGATTATTCCACATCAATCACTTTCATTTTATGATAGTCAATAAGATTCAAATAGATTGTGTATATAGTCCTTTATAGAAGCTTTACAGTTCTGAAGCTAGTAAATATTGATTACTCTAGTCAGTCATTTGGTCAACAACTATGTTTGAACATATATGTTTAAAGACTATTTTCAGCACAGTAGAGCTTACAAAGTGGGACGTTCATAGACTACATTCAGGGAGTTTTCACACTCTATGTAGAGGAGAAAAATATTTACCTAAATGTATTTGAGGTATAAAATAATAAGTTATATACAAGATTTAGTACAAAAATTTCAGGAACAAGAATATTAATTGCTTCTGAGGATTCTAACAACAACTCTATGGAAGGGATGACATATGAGCTTGGTCCTGAAAGATGGGTAGTTTGGAAGAGCATCCTATAGGCTTAGGGAAGACATAATAAAATGCATAGAGATTAGAAAGTTAAAGGTATATATAGGAACTATAGTTTCATTTTAGTATACAAAGTGTATAAATGTATGTAATGTGTATAATGTAAGAAGTGGACAACTGGAAAAAGGTATAGAAAAATAGAAAAAGAGCACAGACACCAGTGAATGCTATTACTAAGGTATTTCAGATTTTTTTTCCTGTAAGGAGACCATAAAGAGGTTTGAGCTGAAAATCACAAATTTGGAGCTATATTATTGAAAGATGAATCCAGCATCTGGTAAAATATCAACTTGAAGGGAAAGTCAAGAAACTAGTGAGGGAGTTGTTGCAGTAATCTAGATAAGAAGTAACGAAAAGCAGAATTTCACCGGTGGCAGTGGATATGAAAGGAAGAGACATGTCAACTTTAAATAACAAAATACAGAGTTTATTCAAGCTCAAAGCTTGAGGATCATTACCCATGAGCATGGACTCAAGTTGTCCTGAATACATACTCCAATTAGCAGTGGTTACAAGATAGTTTTTAAGAAAAAAAAAAAAAAAAAAAAAAGCAGTTTTTAAGTTGTTTACAAAGAATTTACATAAATAATATAAACTATTGATTGGTTGTACCTTGTTCTTTAATCAAAAATTATAGGAACATAAAGATAATGGGTAACACAGCTAGTCAGGAACAAAATACCTTTACACTATTGCCCCAGGGAAATGGAGATTGGAGAGATGACTAAAGTCCCATGCTCATGTCTCTCTGGGCCTGATAAATTTTGTGTTGCTCATACAGCTCAGACTGCCCTCAGCTATTTTTCTCTTCTCAGATAGATATGAAAGATAGGAGAGATAAATCAGATACGTGAGTGGTAGAATCTTAAATATTGAAAGTAAATGTAAATAAGTCTCAATCTATTTATAATTATTTACTAGTTTTCACATAAAAGTCATTTCTTAATTTTTAGCTATTAGTTCTTTACCTTTCTTAATTTCAAACCAAACATTTACGTTAACAAACATTTAACTATTTCAGACACAGATTTAGATGATAAATTAGCATAATATAAACCGATGATTTTGAGTTTTAAGAGTATTATCTTTCCATCCCAAACATTTTTGCACATGGTATTAAAACAAATGAGTAATCATTGCAATAAGTAATCATTGCAAGTTTTCTCTAGCTGTAACTCTTCATTTGTGGGGCCATTATATATTCTGTTGCCCTGAGTTATGTGCAAGTTGTTACCACCAGTTGTCAGGCAGGACCAAAAATATAAATGTTGATTAAAATAAAAACAGAACATTTACTATATAGCTGATATAAGTTTATATCTACAATTTTTGCTGCCTCTAATCTAACCTAAATGCTTAATTGCATCAAAAAGTTTTTAAATCTTATGAAACACCATTTTGTAGGTGCCTTCATTATGACAGAGTCCCAAACTATTGTATCAATTATTTGTAGACTATTTTCTATCAATCTTTAATCTGGTAGCAACAGCAAAACATTGTTTTTCAGATGCATGCATATGTAGCATTCTACATGGCTCAAAAGAGCCTGGGTCCTTTCCCTCAGAGAGCTTACTGCACTACTTGGCAAATAAGACATATGCCCAGAAAGCAACTAGAGTTCCACTTTATATAGAAAATAATTAAGGGTCAAAATGATGAAAGAGCAACTTTCAGAGGATTTCAAGTAAGTCAAAGATGAAAGTTGAGTAGAATGCTTCTTAGCCTATGTGGAGCTAAACGTAGAGTTTGAAGAACAGGCATTAATCTTTTCTCAGGCTTTTCACAGCATACTAACCTCTGCTTTAGCATGGTACCTAGAAAGTCTCACTCAAAGAAGTAGAGAGAAAGATGCACATCAGAGACTGGGAAACTCATACACTTATTTGCATTTGTATTGACATGGTGTGTTTATATTTTTATATTCCCCATTAGCCTGGGCAAGTCAGGGTTTCAGGGGCAGAGACTGCTCTCTTCATCTCACATTTTCTGAACTAAGCATTGTGTCTTACACAGAGAAGATGTCTAATTAATATTTTTTAACTGAACCAAATTATTGTGGATTTCTATGAGTGTCATTTCACGAAGCAATGACCTAATTGGTATAAGTATGACTACTTGTGTATAGCATCCAACTTGCCCAATAACTTTTATAATTTTAAAGGGAAAAGGATGTTTGAGCCCACGGGATGGGGCACTTTTATATTTGAGTTTGTGGTTGTTGCAATTGTTTGAGTGAAAAAAAAGAACTCTACTTTTCCCATGGCAAGCAAAGCCAGCTGAGGGTTTGTACCATCCAGTTCTGAAAGTTAATTTTGATCTTCAGTAAATGTCCCTTGGCATCTGCAGGGGATTGGTTCCAGGACCTCTCATGGATACCAAAGTCTGAGAATGCTCAAGTCCCTGGTATTAATTGCTGTAGCATTTGCATATTTCCTATGCACATCCTCTCCTGTACTTTAAATCATTGAAAGAGTACCTATAATATCTAGTACAATGTAAATGCTCTGTAAATAGTTTTTGCACTATATTGTCTAGGGAATAATGACAAAGGAAAAAGAGTCTATACATCTTCAGTACAGACACAATCTTTAAAAAAATTTTTTGATCCATGGTTAGTTGAATCCACAGAAGTGAAACCTATGGATTTAGAGGGCCAACTATATATACTAAGGAAAAGTTCAAGGAAGGAGTAAGAAAGTAGTTATTTTCAATGTAAATGATGATAATGATAATACCTACCATTTATTTATCACCATATGAAAGGAGCTTTGCTAAGTTTTTCATGCTTTCATTTAACCACGCAACTCTATGGGATAGTTGTTATTATTTCCATTTTACAGATAAGGAAACTGACTAAAGAGACTAAGTCTGTAGTATTCTGTATCTTCTACTGTAACAACAACAACAGCAAAACCATGTGAGAAGAGAGAGATAGAAGGAGCGTACTGATGATATTGAATGGGCATCAGCAATATTTATCAGCCTTACTCTCTGTACTTTAATCTTTTAAAAAGTCAATTCCTGTGACCCAAACAATTTCTCATATCATCTTATGCTTCTGTGTTCCTGCTTTATTTCTTCTTTCACACTCCATGTTCTGCTGGTGTGGAACAGATGTTGCATAGAAAGCATGCAGATAGGTTTTGTTTGGCCCATAGTGTTTAAATATTTTGAAAATGTTCATAATTCAAGCAGGAATGTACCTCTCTAATTTGCTGTAGACCTCACCACCTACCAACTTATATTTGGTCTAATTTATACATTCATTTTGTGGCATTGGAGTTTGCTAGTCATTATTTATAGCTTAAAGGATTTAAACTTTTTACTTAATACTAGAAGCTGTGTGTTTTTCTTGGAAAAGTATATTTTTCAAATTGTTTGACACTGAAGCAGAAACATCACTGCAAACATACATGGATCAAATACATGATATTCTCCTTCTATAAAGATATAGTATTATATGTTATATTAACACTGTAAGGAATTAAATAGTGATAACCTCCATCACAAAGTGCACATGGCATTCACATGAAATATGTATATGAAATCATTTTATAAACTGTGAAGCACCATACAAAATGCATTTTTTATTACTCTTAATTCCTCATTTGTTCCCTTTAATATTGGGGATGGAAAAACACTCCACAATTAAAACCACCTTTGCAAAAACTACAACTGAGAAAATTATGACTGAAAGATCTGACTTGACTCCACTTTGCTTCTAACCTGCAAGCTGTTCTTGTTCATTCATGGACATAGGCCAAAATAACTTTGGGAGGAACTTGAAACTAAGACAATAATAGCCCTTTCACAAAACAAACCTCTTTCCTGCCTGGGGACTACACTACCTTCATAGGACTAACAAATTAGCCACAAGATTAGAAATAATGGTTTAGGAATCACATAGCTGGAGACTGAAAGATTAGAAACCTCCCCAGATTGCTTCTGGGGATAAATCACTATTGCAAAACCTAAGATCAGTGCTTGAGATATTTTGCAGATGCTGTACAGGATGGCTCAGCTGCTACCACCCAGACTGATAAACTGGGTCATCTGGTCTCCTGGCCCCAGGAGACTGACTCAGCATCAAGAGGACAACTTTGACACCCTATGATATCATCTCCAACCCAACCAATCAGCAGTCCCCACTTTCAGACCCCTACCCACCAAGTTTTCCTTAAAACCCCCATCCTCAAGTTTTTGAGAAGACTGATTTGAGTAATAATAACACTCTTCTCTCCTGTACAGCTGGCTGTGCGTGAATTAAACTTTTCTCTATTGCAATTCCCGTCTTGATAAATCAAATCTATCTAGGCACCGGGCAAGGAGAACCCACTGAAGGGTCACAACGATATTCTCATACATACAGAGGTTTTTTTTATATGATATAACTAATTAGTTTGGGGTCTAGATCTGAGAAGGACTCACCGTTTTTGACTGTCAGCTTATTCTAGTGGGTATAAAGGAAAATAATGAGTGATAATTTTAAAATAGCCAACTTTCCAATGACAAATGACAGGTAATTTAAAAAGACAGAGCTGTTATGAGCTAAAAAAATCTTAATTTTGAAGATGACATTTAACTCAAATAGTGAAGATTTTAGGAACTGCCAAAGAAAAATATTATTGATAGAAAATTATAATAGTTGCTTTTAATTTGATATATGCATTTGCCTCTCAGTTGAATGCAAAATATAAAATTCCTGCATGTAAAAAAAACACAACAATTAAGTAAAATAAACAAATTGTTAATTTTCTAATTTGTGTTCCTCAAATTCCATGTATTATAGAGTCCCTCTCCCAGCTATTTCTTTAACTTGTGACTTTTCTAATAAGTGCTTAAACAGAAAGAATTCTGCATCCATTGGCAAATATCATCTTCAGGAGACTTCTGAAGACCTATATGCAGACCAATTAACTGATTATATTACCATACTTATAAAAGTCCTGCAAGAGAACCCATTAAAACTCTTATGAAATCCTTGACAACCCTGTATCTGTGATTCTCTAGTATAAAACCAGTCATCACAAGTAGCATTTTAAATTTTATCAATTATTTTTACTCATTTGCACTTGAAAAATGTCAATTAATTAAATAATATCAAATACTTATTGAATACATGATATGATCTAGGGTCTATGCTATGCCGTAGGGGTACAGGTGAGAAGGACAGATCATAACACTTTTTCCAGCAGAGCATAGAGCCTAAGGAAGCATTTACAAACTTTCCTGAAGAATCATTTGGGGGCCTTCATTAAAAAAAAAAATAAAAGATTCAAAGACACTGAAGGGACTGACTGATTCAGCATGTCTTACGTTGGGCCTGAGAATCTACACTTTTAAACAAGACTACCAATTAATTCTTATGACCTAGGAGAGGAAACATTGTTCTAGTGCAGTGGTTCTCAGTTTGGCTGCACAGTATCTAAGAGAACTTTAAGAAAATCCTGATGCTGATTACATCAGAATCTCCAGTCTTGGGGCCTACGTATCATATTTGGAGAGAGAGCACTTCAAGTTATTCCAATATCTAGGCAAGGTTGAGAATCACATTTTAGTCTGATGTCAATTATTCCTCTTGATCATTTGCCGTATAACTTCATTCTTCTCTGCTGCCAGAGTAAAGTGGGAATATTAGGGAATCAAGTCACAACGTAACTCCAAATGTTTTCAAAGTAATCACCCTAAAGTCAGTCTAATTATTCATTCATTCGTACATTTGTGTATCGACTTACTCAGTAA
This sequence comes from Homo sapiens, assembly GCF_000001405.40. Classification (NCBI taxonomy): domain Eukaryota; kingdom Metazoa; phylum Chordata; class Mammalia; order Primates; family Hominidae; genus Homo; species Homo sapiens. The sequence continues at coordinate 74,377,307 of NC_000001.11, forward strand.
TGAATGTCAAAGACAGAGATCCACACACCCATGGTACCTATGGCACAGAATAGGTCCCAAGATTTGGCAGTTTCCATGGGAGTTGTACCATACAAGGCTCCTCCAGAGAAAATAACTTCTAATTTATGAATGACACTAGAAAATTCCCTAGAGTGTAGAATCTTCACAAGTAGCCAAAACAGATACAAAAGTTTCAATACCAGACAATTATATTGCACATGGTTTATGTAAGTACTATATATCCATATAATACAGAATTATATGTAATAAATAGATACACATATAAAGAGAAGGATTCATATATATGTGTACATATTCTATATTAGTCTAGGGTTTATAGCCTTGAATACCCACATGAACTGCAGTGTGCACTGCAGTTGTCTGATATTAAAACTTTTATTTCTGTTTCGGCTATCTGTGTAGATTCTACACTCCTGGGAACTTTCTGATATCACCCACGAATTCTAAGTAATTTGCTCCCAAGGAGCCTAGCACAGATAACACAACTCCCATGGAAACTGCTAGATCTTTGGACCTATTCTGTGCCATGGGTACCATGGGTTTGTGGATCTCTGTCTTTTTAATTCACTATTATATCAATGCACATATAAGTATACATATTTATATATAAATGCCCATATAAACAGACACATTTCCATATGTTTTCGTAATGCTTCCAGCCTTTTAAAACTAGAAGAAAGAAGTCAGCTCTACAGAGGGTGAGTTCAGGGATGATTTTCAAATCTCCTCAGCATGAGAAATAATCACTATCATTTGGAGTACATAGAAGAAAAGTTAATTCATAATATACAATGGATGCCTTAGGGATTAGGGCTACCTGTAGTTCTGAAATGTTTATGTCCAAAATTGTAATCTGATTTCAGATTTTCAAGTTAAAATTTTTCTTAAAAAAGCAATCAACTGCAATCAGATTCAATTTTATTACTGCTTTGAGTAATGAAAAAACTAAGCTATATAATTTATTAATATTTACAATATGAAATTCAGATTAGTTAGGGTAGTTTATCTGCTGTAACGATAGAGTCCATAACGTATAATGGTTCCAATACAATTGAAATTTGCATCTTGATTGTGTGGATGAACAAGTTGTTGAGGCGGTCCCTATCCATGATGTTACTCAGGACCCATCTTCAACGTGTGACTTCTAGGGGGTCAACCAAATTCAAGTGAGCACTAATGAGGCAAGAATATATAAGATGTACATGACATGTTGTATGGGCCAGGCATTAGCATGGCACACATTTTGTTGTTGTTGTCAGTTTAATTTTATATATATATATATATATATATATATATATATATATATATATATATTTCATTTCATCACCTCAGCTAATCCCCAAGGGCATTTACACAATTCATAATGACCAATGTGACTTGACAGTGACGCTGAGGGCTTGGCATTGGGTGATACAGTCAGCTCTGTCTTGGTGGCACCATATGAGGTCCTGGGAAATGTAGTCTAGCTGTGTGCCTAGAAGAAGAGGAAATGAGTTTTAGTGGTCAGCCAGAAGTCTGTGCTACATTGACCCTATGTATACTGGTGATAACAGGTAATAGGTGTCTGAGTAATGGTTATAATTAAGAAGGCTGATCTGGATTTGCATGAATCAGTTATACAAATATAATGTTAGTTGCATACTAAATATTTTTAGTTTATTAATGTATTTTCACAATTTATGAACTAATAGCAGTAATTGGGAAATGAATGAAAACTACTTAATAAAGCATGCTATATATGAATTAATTTTGAAATAACTCTTCTCATTCACTTTTGTTAATTTAAAAGCATGAGAATAGCTTTGGGAGTGTGGCAACATATGTCTATGAATCAAAATGTGGTCCAAGAAGAAAAACCTCATTATGACTATGTCCCTGAATTGAAATATGGCTCAAGAGGAAAAACATATAACTATATAAATATAATAGTATGAAATAGGCTATATACATTTTAAAACATTGTCATAATCTCATGCACTATATGTCAGTAAACACACATACACGCGCGCACACACACACACACACACTTTTTTTTCTTCAGGAGTAAACATTAAAATAAAAAGACTATGGCCACTGTATTTAGAGAACCTTGTACCACACCCAACAGAAGGGGCTCCTTAACCACTTAGTTCTACAAATTACTCTAATCCTATTTATGAGCTGCACTCAGTTGTTGGTGTCCAGTCATAATTTCTATCCCCATTTCTGACATGCTCAGTTTCCATATTATGAAGTCAGTCTGTCTGTCTGTCCTCAGCAACCTGAACCTCCAGAAGAAACAGTGAGTTCTCTCTGACTCAAGTTTCTACCCATTATTTCCACAGAGATTCACTATCCAACTCTTCCTGGTTTTTCTCTGAGGGTAGATTCATCCCTGCCTCCTCGACTAATGCTCATAGTTTCCAGAGGGCCAACTGTGTCCCAAACATTCTCATGACATTTCACTTTGGTTAATATTCTCCCCCCTATACTTCACTACTAGAATGTCCTTTAGTCCTGAGTTGTCCTCTTTTTGTCTCCCTACAGAAATAGCTAAAGTTTCCTCCCAGGGCCAGTTAAAATGTTGTTCTTCTCTCATCTGCCTTCATTAGGTCTCATTTAATTTTGGCTGCATTCACCAATTCTAAAAATAGTGCTCTTACTTAACACCCCATTAAGTAAATTCCCTTAGACACACTCCCTTTAAATGAAAACAGGTATATTTAAGTCAGAAAAAGTCATTCGTTTTCCCCACACTATCATATTGCTTGCATAAACCTGGACAAATTTACCATCTCTTACAGTAGCTCCCATCAGAATCTTTGCCTCATTCAGCCCAGACAGACAAATTCCCCAATCTCACATCTTCTGTATGCCATTTGAAATGCTACACAAGACGATGTGTGTGTGCAAATAAATGTATCTGTATAACAGCACAGAAAGGTACTAATTTGACCAAAACTAGAAATCCTGCGATACCAACATTTACTTTTTATTTGCTATAAAAATAGTGCTACTCCACACTGGAACCTGGCAACAGGATTTCTTATTCCAGTGCGTTCTTGTGGTTGAAGTGGTTCACTCTGCAGCCTCTTTCCTTAATACAACACTCACACGGTGCGAATGCTCAAAGCTAGCGTGGTAACTGTACCTTCCCTGTAACAATGTCACCTTCCCGCACCCACAGACTGAGCGTGGAAGGGAGAAGCGACGCCCCTCCTGATCCTCTAAAACCTTTCAAATGCTTTCCTGTAACTGGTGGTGAACTCACTGGCCTGCAATTTTCTGGTGTTACTGGTTTCTTACATTGCCATTTTCTATTCTTTGGGGATATGGCCTGAATAAAGTTGGCTTTTGAAAATGTCAACAAAAGCTTTTCTCTGTTTGGCTTCGTTTCTTCTCTGCTCTCATTTCTTGGGAGGCACTGTGAATGCCCTCTTGGCACCTTGTCGATTTCCTAAGCAGCTAACCTTTCAATAATGATATTAATGCTGCCGTGTGGTAATCTGTGCATTTCTCACTTGATCGTTTTCAACCCTTGCTTGCTGAGATTGATTTGTGTTGTTGTGTTCTTAAGATTCTGGAGTTTAATTGAGTGCAAACTGACTAGGGACCCAGAAACAAAATTTCTAGCTAATAAATGAGAAACAATCTTAATAAGTGGAAATTTGTTTCTAATTGAATTTCCAAGAGCTAGCTATACTTTGAATTTGGCCTTGAAAAAGAGATACAGATAATTATAAACCTTTTTAAAGTCTCATTTAATATTTTCTATTTCAAAATCCTCCCTATTTGGAAGAAAGTTTCTAAATAATGTTAATCTTCTCTGGCTGGGACTACAGCATGGATGCCTCTGGGGATATGTGTTGATGTGGGCTATCACCCTATTGGAAGACCACAGGAGAACTAATTGACGGCATGGGCTCTGAAGCCAGACTAAGCATGTTCACATCCCAGCTCTGCCACATTTTACCTGTGTCCTTGGTCAATTTATTTAACATATCAGTTTTCTAATTTCCAAGACGGTTATATTTAAATGCCTACCTTATTGGATTTAAATGAGAAAATACATTAGCATTATTAGCATTATTTTTCTTCTTTATTCTTTCGAAAGAATCTTTTCACTATTAAATTTTCTTGCATGCCCTAGTTGCCCTCCTGAATTAAATGTTTCTAATGATCTAGCTCTCCTTTTTTATTGTATTACACAAACTTTGCTTATAATATCTCAGATGGATAATTTCTTCTTGCCCTAAAGATCTGGGAAATAATTGGATTGTTTTACTGTAGATCTCTTTCTATAGAGAAGGTCAAGGGGATTCAAATAACAGATTACTGCCTTCATTAAGACCTCTCACTCCTTCTTGGTTCGAACTTGAATCAGGGATTCAGTCTGATACTCCCATTAGACAGAAGCAGATCTGGAATAGAATTTGATTAAAAATGTAGCTGAGGGTTAGCAAGGTTATTTGATTATCCAAGATCCTTCTCAGTGATTCTTCTTCCTAGGGCTCCTTCACAAAACTTAAAGGTGCAATTTAAACACCATCCACTTAGACATTCAACCATTATTTATTTGGAAACATAATGGCAGAGAAGGGGAAGTATCATCAGAGGCACATTCCAGAGACTAAAAAATCCAAGTAAGAGAGGCTCTATTTTTGCAGAGGATGTGTATAGCACCTATGTGGTTAGGCACCTTTTCTTCTCCATACTCAAGTAGCACTCAGCGACTCAACTCAGCAGTTGTCCTTCCGACCATAAACAACCAGGGAGGATGTTTTCAAAATTAGCATTGAGAAAGTTGTCCCTTATCCTTCCTTCAGTAGTGAAAGAAAAGGAAGAATTCATCCTATCACACCTTTTTGATTCCCAAGAGACAATTCTCAATCGTTTTTGTCATTTCTATTCATGTTCTTACTGTGTTGCTGTTATGTCACTTGACGTTTTTCTGCTTCAGATTTCTGATTTACAAAATGGAAATAATGATGTCCATGTCTACCTTTTCACAGAAATACCCTTGTGATTAATAAGGGTACCAGGACAACAGTCAATGGAGGATTTTAGAGAAAGATTCTGCAAGAGATATTTGTATACAATGTATATTAATTACATAAAGCAGGGTTACCAGAAAGTCTTGGACTAAGATTCATTTTGTATCCAGCTGCTGCATCAGTACTATTTGCAGAATAGTCTAGATTATCTTTCTCTAACTGAAGGTGAAAGGTTTTGTTGTTACTAAATGATGTGGGAAACAGCATAGTCCCTTTCTGAAAGATGCAGTGTTTCTTTGGCCAGCATGGAGGAAAGAGCATGCAAGCTTCACAGAATGATTAGAACTCTTTAATCCTGGATGGATGGTCTTTGTATCAATTATGTTTCAACCCTTGTATGTGAAGAACTGTATTCTCAGTCACTAAACCCTCATTTAATGGTTTTAGCAACCTACAGAAAGTTAGTGAAAAGCATGCCTGGTGCCATAGATGAAATAGTGTTAGAGCGTTGATGATGTCTGCCTTCTTTTCTTTTGGGAGGGAAATCCCCCTTCTAAATTCTTAAAATAGAGTTGGCTTTCATTAAATCTATTCAGAGTTAAGGGTCTGGGGATCTTGAGTGACCTCTTTCTTTGGGAATGGAGCACATTTTAATAAGCTTTTTCCTGTCCATGGTCTCTGAAAGACAGCCTCTGGCAGACCTCCTGAATTGCTGGGTTTTTTAAAGGAAAGGATTGATTACAGGCTTCGAATTCTTTCTCTTTCTTTAATTTCTTTTTTTTTTTCTTTTCATACAAAGAATGTGAAAGACATTCTGAGTCTTCTTCTGTTGAGATATGGGTGGCCTTGCAGGCAGACATTTAGCATTGAACTTTTATTAATTTTCTGTGGGTTTGACAAAGTTTCTTCTTTTTTGCTTCCTAAATATGAGTGAGGCTAAAGAGCTGTTACTTGCCCAGCTTGTTCTTCAGCACTGTAAGTGCTAGAGAGGAAAAAAAATAGTTTTTTTGTTCTTATTTTGTTTTCTGGCTTTCTTGGTGGAACTGCCTCTATAGCCTTCATCTGAAAAGCTTCATTTATTATAGCTCTTAATACATGCTATTCCCTCAGACACAAACATTCGCCCCTGCCTTACCTCTCTCTTCTCTGTGCCCCTCCTCACACTTTCTCCATAAAACTTTCCTTCTAACTCCTGTCTATCCCAAATGCTTCTTGCAGGAAGCCCTCCTACACGTTCCCACAGCACATCAGACTCTTGCTTATTTCAGGAGAGCTCTTCTCATGCTATTAAAATTGCTCATGAACTTGAGAGTGTTCCCACTACACACTAAGCTTAATTGGTACAGGAGCTGTGGATTTTTCACCATTTTATTCTCAGTGCTTTGTACAATGACTGGGGCCTAATAAAAATTCAATTAATATTTGTCAGATGAATGAATTAATAATAATCAAGAAACATAAGGATAACATATATTAATGTTCTTTATGCCAGGTATTGAACTCAATGCTTTACAGAGATCATCTAATTAAATCTTCGTAGCTCTATATGATGACAGTTTTGAATACATAATGACAGAAAAAGGCTAAAAAGAGACTTAGCAAATCATCAAGGTGATAAAGCTGGTAAGTGACAGACTAAGGTTATTACACACACTAGATAGTTAGGTAATCCAAAATATAGGAATGTATAGTCATTTAGCCCCACAAAACAGGAACAGTAGTCAGATAATCCAAAATATAGGGATGTATAGTCATTTGGCCCCACAAAACAGGAGCAGCACTGACTGAATAGCAATGCAATGTATTTTTCAGATCACCTTACCATAGGAGCTGTACTTTCTAGAATTCATAGCTGAAATGAGAAGGTAGTTCTCACTTAATATTGAACAATTCTGTGGCATTTAAGAGTGTGAAAGTCATTCTTTTGCTCAATTAACACGCTATTCCACAAGTCACTTCTCTGGCTATTTTGTGCTGTAGATAATTATTTGCATGCTAGTCACTAAAGCCTGCCTATAAAAAACAATGAGAAAGGGAAAGACAATCAGTTGTTTGACTGATCTGATTTTCTGTTTTACTTAGGTGAAAAGTTAGTCAAACAAACTCGTTTTGCAATGTAGCTATAGCTCAAGACTATCTGATGCTTTTGAAGAAAAATACAACCTCCTGAAATTTTAGTGATTTCCAGCCACTACTGACCATGTAAATTTGAACCAATACTTGCTTTTTCTAAATCAATTGATTTTCCTTCTCACAGGCAACATTTTATTTTCTAACCTGCAGCATTTCTATGCCTGACTGGAATATTTTTGCATTTGATTAGTGTTTTCATTTGACTTTCAATGAGGTCTCAAAACAGTTTGGCTTGTCACAGTCAAATTATTTAAATATTCCTCTGAAAAGAGTATGTGGGAACTAAAATCAGATTCATGTGAACCTGAAAAAAACAGTGGCAACGTTTCCTGAACTTGTTAAATTTTTATGTCTAAATTAATCATTTCACAATTTTCTTTCATGTTGATGTTCAGCTTCTTAAATATAGTGATTATTGGTTGCCTTAATGGAAAACTTTTAATTTTTAGCTGACCCAGAAGTTGGTCTCTGATAAGGATTTTTGTTATTTTTAAATATTCCTTATGGTTTCAACAGCACCGATATATTGTGCCTTCTACTCATATTAGTAAAACTTATTTTAATTTATCTAACCCATCCTTTTCACTTCTCAGCTACTCCTCACTCCTCCTAATTGATCAGAATTATCTCAATTATGGGTTCAAATATGGTCAACATTCTCTGCCTACATTCCACTTATGCCCTGTGAAAGAAAGCACACGTAAAATAGTACATACCATATTATCCCACTTGTATATAATTTTAGAAAATGCAAACTAATCAATAGAGTTGAAAAGATTAGTGTTTTCCTAGGGCTGAGGTATAAGAAAGGAATTGATTGCAAGAGGGACCATGAATCTTTTTGGGGTGACAGAAATATTTTTTGTATTGATTGAGATGGTGGTTTCACAGGAGTATATAACTGTTAAAACTCATCAAATTGTAGTCTTTAAGTAGATGTAGTTCTTCCTTCTCATGTGGATACAAGTAAACTGCCTAACATGGGTGGTAAATACAAAAATGTGAAAATCTTAGAAAGAGGTATGTAAAGTAATGTGAATTGGCACCTTTCCAATCATGAACAAAGGTATTTGTCCTTTTCAAAACCTTAAAAGGGAGAAATAATCATCTGCCAAATAATTTCATCAAGGATATCAAAAACAATTCCAGCTAAAGGAGAAAAATCAACATAACTGAAATGGAAGAAAAAAAGGTTTACTAAGATGGCATTGATGAATACAAACCTGTATCACACTGAGGTCAACATAGCTGTCTGCAAAGGTTAAGAGTTCAGTCCAAGCACCATAAACACTGACAGGAATGAAGATGAGAGAGTGCCTTTGAGACTGTGCACTTACTTTCTATTCTTGTAGGTTCTGGTCTGATGCAAAAGATATTCAATGACAGAAACTACTCCTTAGCCAAATATGAAAGTGCATAAATTGGATGGCAAAGGAAAGGCCTAGAGTATTTATATATCATCTGATATGGCTTGGTTGTGTTCCCACTCAAATCTCATCTTGAATTATAGCTCCCATAATCCCCATGTGTCGTGGGAGGGACCCAGTGGGAGGTAATTGAATGATGGGGATTAGTCTTTCCCATGCTGTTCGCATGATAGTGAATAAGTTTCATAAGATCTGATGGCTTTACAAAAGGGAGTTCCACTGTACACATTCTCTTGCCTGCCACCATATAAGATGTGACTTTGCTCCTCATTTGCCTTCCACCATGATTGTGAGGCCTCCAGCCATGTGGAACCGTGAGTCAATTAAACCTCTTTCCTTTATAAATTACCCAGTATTGTGTACGTCTTTATTAGCAGTGTGAGAACAAACTAATACATCATCAAACAACTGGTAGATTGAAGACTTCAGACCTATTCAGTATTGAAAACTGGCAGATATAACATCTGAAAAGAAAAAAAAAAATACCCTAAAATCATTCCATTTATTCAGAGTAATGTGTTACTAGATATGCAACACTGAAATGTGGAGCATGGGAGTGCAGCTAGAATAAGTTTTTCCTTTTATAAAATATCATTTATGAGAAAATGCATCTATGGGATCTAATGAAATTTGATACAGTAACTCAGAAAAAATACAATAAATTAATTAATTTACAATCAAGTTCAAGAAAGGAAGCCATATAAATAATATAATTCATGTGTAATAAATATAAAATCAGACTTCTTCAAAATTAGAATTGTGGGGCACTTTTACATAGTCTCAACAAGTGAAAATTATATATCAAATAACTGGTCTGTGAAAAATATTTTCTTTTGTACTCTGATCCAAGGTCAGCTTAGCCCAAATTCAGACAATTGGGTTGGACAATTTAAAATTAGTTGACAGAAAGAAATTGGTAGTGTGAAAGTTAAAACTTCAAAATAAACATGATGAAGGTATTTGTGATAAATTAAATCATCCCTTGATGACTATAAATGACTCACAGAAATATAGTTTACATTGATCTCATTTGGACAGTAGTTTACTTACTTTGCTAACCTTAACTGTATATTAAGGATATGTACTCATTGTCAAGACAAGGGAGATTTGGGAATTTCAGAGAGCCATTTGTTTACTTGTAAATGTTAAAATTTCTATAGACAGGCTACACAGTATATATTATCTATATTCATTCTTATTATTTGGCAAATACATTTAACAGATAGTTTTTGCTGAAAGAAAGCTGTAATTGTATAATTTCCTATGCTTACCTTTGTTCAAATGTCTCAACAATTGAACAATACAAACAATTTATGATACATGTTTTCTATTGTGCTTCACATTCTTTAGAATATGTTAAGGAAAAGTGTGATCTTCTGGTATGTAAAACCTACCATGGTGAGAACAAAGAATATACTCTGGGTCAAAGAAACCAAAAAAAGCAATTAAAAAAGAAACAAGCGAATACATTTAAAAATTCATATTTTCAGCATTTGATTAGTGAAGTGCCATGAAAATCGTATTTTGGTCAAATGTTTGTATAATCAGCAAGAATACACAACTTTATACACAAGAAATTCCTGCTTTGAAGATTAAGCTTCATAGCTAGGATTTGTTTCAAAAAGAGAACCATAGGGACTTCCCAAATTGAAGCCCATGTCTCAAAAGCTGGGCTTGGCTTGCCCAAAAAAGCTTTCGGTATCATTTCTTATAAAGGAATTTACCATGAGCTTTGGTCAACAATACAGAGATTAGGAATCAAGATGGCAGTTTTAACAGTAGTGGAAAAATAAAAGAGAACCTGTAACCAAAATATAGCAGAAAGACTGTGCACTTTGAAGTCGGCGGTATCGAGGCGTAATCCCAGCTCTGCCACTTCAAAACACTGCAATGATTAACAAGTTATTTCTAAACATCAATTTTTTCATTATAAAATAGGGACAATATCTACCTCATAGTGTTTTAAAATAGCTAGCAGTGTCTGGCACATAGTAGATATTCAATAAATGTTAGTTCTTGGTCCCTTTATCTTAAATGGTTCTAGAAATAACTTGTTTGAATGTGTGTTTATTAAGGTATCAACTCTCATATCTTTGTTACAAGTAAGTTTCAAATAATACCTTTAAAGAACACTTAAGGCCGGGCATGGCAGCTCACGCCTATAATCCCAGCACTTTGGGAAGCTGAGGTGGATAGATCACATGGTCAGGAGTTCGAGACCAGCCTGGCCAATATGGCGAAACCCCATCTCTACTAGAAACACAAAGAGTAGCCAGGTGTGGTGGCGCGTGCCTGTAGTCCCAGCTACTCAGGAGGCTGAGGCAGAAGAATGGCTTGAACCTGGGTGGCAGAGGTTGCAGTGAGCCAAGATTGCACCACTGCACTCCAGCCTGGGTGGCAGAGCAAGATTCCGTCACAAAAAAAATAATAATAATTTTTTTCTGTCTTCCCACTCTCCTACCCAACAAATATTCTTCCTCTTGATGGCCACAATATGCTTTGTTTACATTAATCATCTCGAGAAATAGCAAGAAACAGTGGAAAAGGAGGAGGAGGAAAATGCAGATGCAGTGACAATTCAAAGAAAGTAATAGTCCAAGGTCAATATTAAAAATATACCTTTTAACAGTCAAACCACAACTAATCAGTCTCCCTCTCCTCATCTCATCCACAACATCGGACTTCGTCTTTTCTCAGCCACCTGAGATCTGATTAGGTAGGAAGGAAACATTAGGTCACCAGAAATAATTTGTGGGTTGAAAATTGAGAATTGACATGATCCTACTTTTAACTTTATATTTATTTATCTTTCTGACTTATCTGAAAAATATAACAAGGAAAACGGTTCTCATATTTGAATATTTTCCTGGTATTTTATATTTATTTTTATTTTTTGATGCTTGAAAAATATACCATCAAACTACAGGTACAGAATCTCATACTAACCTTCCATACTGCCAGAGTAACATCTCTCAGGAATGTCTCCCCACCTCCAGGTTTCAAATTAGGCAATAAGTAGCTGGGAAGTCCAGCACAGTACAGGAACTTCTTGCTAGGAATTCTTGTGCACCATCTGTGACATTCATGTGCTGCCTGCAACAGGCAGCTAACACAAATATGTAACCATCCTCAAAGCACTCATGCAACTGAGAGTACTTTGTTGGATGAAGAGACCATGCCCCGACCTCAGTATCAGCTAACTGCAAGGGAACAGACCACAGATACAAGACTCTCTGGCAGTGTTATGGAGAGTGGCTTAGTACAGGAGCATTTGCCATAGGTCAGGAGGAAATTAAAATAGCACAAGCTGGAAGTAATGAGTGTTGGATCTGAGACGGAAGCCATGGGAAAGCAAAGGAATCTAAAGATTACAGATTTATGGTAGAGGTGAAATTGACTGGATCTGGTAACTGATCCCAAGTAAGGGTGAGAAGAAGAAAAAATGGAAAGATGTCAATCAGCCTTGTTGTCAGGGTAGATAATGATGCACACAATAAGATGCACATAAAGATGTTGAAACTGATTTCAACCATTTTGTTTGAAATGCCAGCTAAATAATCGTCTTTATAGGAAACTGTGAAGAATATGGTAGAGGGCATTTGGAAATTTCATGAACCTTAGTATCTTTTAGAAGCTTTGTTTGATACACCTCTCCTCTTAGACCAGGTTAGGTACTGCCTTTCTGTGTTCCTATCACACTTGTTTTCTTCCTTATCTTAACACTTATTTCCTTTTATTGGAACTTTTTAAATTCTGCCACCTCACTTAGAATGTAGGCTGGGCAAGATAAAGGACCAGGACCATTTTGCTAACCTTAGTACCATTACACCAAGCATAGAGCCTAATAAATAGAAAGTGTTGAAAAACTGTTGAATGATTAACCATTCATTTAGACCCTTTAGAAGTTGGAAAGGGCTAGATGTAAATTTCAGGAAAACAAAAGGTTATAGCTGTGGGATTAAATGACTGCTTCATGTAGAGAGTTCAATTAGAAATAGCAGTGGGGGTAAAACATTAATACAGGATTAGGAGCCATTAGGAAAAGGAGAGAGGGGTAATCATGGAGATAAGAGAAAAGGGACAATTTTAGATAGTACAAGATGTCAAAAGTATCAGTTACCTTAAAAAATCTAGGACACTGGGAGAAGATAATGATATTAGAGGCATTTGAAAGGTGGTGGGCAATGAATAGCACTGGCAGAGCAAAAATAAAAGGTCTCATTATTAGTCCAAAACTGGGAAGAATGAGTTTGAGAAAAATGTAGAGAGCATCTTCATAGCTCCTATAATCACTGGATTCTTTAATTCAGTGTTTTCCTAAAGGAAAACTCTGGAATTCTGGTCAAGTGAGATATGCCATGGAAAAAGACTCTCTGATGAAAGAAGTCTGGGTAAGATTGAGTATTATCTCTCACTTTTAGGGATCCTGAAAATTAATTAGACTTACCCATTAACATACAGAGAAAATCATATTTCCTGGACTTTATTTTGAGGTACTCTGCTTTGATTGTGTAACAGCAAATTGGCTTATATTCTCTAATTATAAAAGGTACAGGAGTGAATATTGTCAGTATTTAACTCTGAAATGTTTCTGGTTCAGATGACTCTTTGGAAGTGATATATTCATTGAGGTCATCACAGTGCTTTGAGCAGTAGTGATAATACTGTATTTTAACGTTTCTTTTTTATTTTACCAAGATTTATTGTGCACCTACTATCTACCAGGCACTGTGCTCAGTACTGAGGTTATAGGATTAAGTAAGATGGCAAAGGTCTCTGCTTTCATGAAGCATACAGATTACAAGTGGGTAGGAGAGGTAGGGCAGGAGGAGACAGATAATAATATAAATAAGCAAGGATATTTTAGATATGGTAAGTGCTGTAAAATGTATAGATGTGAGAGTAAGTTATTAGGAATAGAGAGACTAATTTTGATTGTTGGTTATGAAAGCCTTCTCTGAGAGGGTGACATCTGAGCTGAGATCTGAATAATCCAAAGCAGCTCCATCCTGGTAAAGATATGGGTGGGAGGTTATCCCAGAGAAATAATGAGTCAGCAAGTGAAAAATCTCTAGGTAGGAATGAAAAAAATATATTTTTTTCCGAAAAAAAAAAAAAACTGTGTGACTGAAACACACTGGATAATGAAAGTGATAGAAAGTAAAATAAAATAAAACTTTAGCAAAAGCCACAACATGTATGTCCTGTGGGCCATTTTTGAGCTGAAATCTTACTTTGAATATGATAATACACCATTGAGATGTTTAAGCAAGAGAGAAACATGGTCTGCTTTATTTATTTGTTCATTCGACAAATATTTGGACACTAGAGATACTGCAGTTGCCAAAACAGATCCTGCCTTTATGGAGGTTATATTTTATTAGATTAATACTAGAATATTCTGAATGTATTAGGGAGAAAAGGGCAAAAATGAAAGCTGAGAGAGCAGTTGGGAATCTATGGTGACATTCCAAGTGGCAGATGAAAATAGATTGGAATAGAATGGTGACAGTGGACATGGAGAGAAAGCAATGGATTTGGTGGGTTTTGTTTGTTTGTTCGTTTAGGTAGAGTGTACTAGATACATATAGGAGATGAGGGGAAGAGAAGAAATAGGCAGACACAGGTGAGATTTTTGAGACGTTAGTTGGGAAGTAGCTTTTGGGAAATAAAAACCAAGAGGTCTTTTGTGGCCATTTTAAATTTGAGGTGCCTGTTAGACATTTAAGAAGAGACCTTCAGAAAGCAGTTGGAAATGCAAATCTAAGCTCAGAAAGAGACAAATACTTAAATTATACATTTGAGAGTTTCAGCAAATGGATGTCTTTTAAAGCTATGGAGTAGATGAGATCATTTATGGAGAAAGAAAAGAGAAGAGAAGAGGACCTAAGACAGAGGAGTGGGTGCTCTCAGAGAAGACTGAGAAGGCCTGAGAAAGGGAAAAAGGAAAGCCAGCAGCAAATGGTGCTATGGGAGCTGAGAGGGGAGCATTTTTCAATTAGTCAGAAGTTATCACTATGCTGAATGTACATGATAATTTAAATAAGATGAGCAAAACATTCAGATGGTCCTTGATTTAGGATGGTACAGCTTATTATTTTTTTTTTTTTTTTTTTTTTTTTTGAGACGGAGTCTCGCTCTGTCGCCCAGGCTGGAGTGCAGTGGCAGGATCTTGGCTCACTGCAAGCTCCGCCTCCCGGGTTCACGCCATTCTCCTGCCTCAGCCTCCCAAGTTGACTTCACAATAAGTTTATCAAGATATTAAATGCACTGTCCACTTAGGATATTTTCCACTTATAATAAGTCTGTCATAAGTGGTAACTGGATTGTAACTGGAGAGGGCTGTGGGTCAGGGAGGGATTTGAAGGATGGGAGCTACTAGAGCCGGTGTCCATGATAAGGGAATAATCTGGTACAGAGGAAAAGTAGATGTTGCAAAATAGAAGGATCTAATTGTGTGAACAAAGTCCTAGCACTTGGCTTAGGGCCTGGCAGAGGTAGGAGCTCAGTATGAGCCTGCTGAATTACAATAAATTACTTAAACTCAGCAGGTAACAGAACTGGGATTTAACTCCTCGTCTCTGACTCCTAGTTTAGTTCTCAAGTCACTAGACCGTGCTGTCCATAGCCCTTAGTCCAGTCTACTTCTCATCTATAAAGTCATTTCTCCCAGGTTCCATCAGTAACCCTACTGCTTTAGATGCAGAAACCCCTGATTCAATTTCTTGCTGGAATGGATTTCTCACAAATAAGGATAATCCTCCATTTCATGTTTACTCACTTGGTTGACTTCCTGTTTTCCACACTCTTCCCACAACAGGCTTTGCAGTTTTTATTTTCTGAGACATTCCAATAAATGAGAGTTGGTATTGTGACCGAGTACCTCCCGAAATGCATAATTTTTCCCCTTTATCATTTTTGAAACGAATGAATGAATTGCAAAGGAGCTACATTAATGAGATGTTTAATTTGAGGTTTTAATTTTGCAAATGTTGGGAAGCATAATTAAGGTTCAGGCAGTATCATAAGTGTCTTCAGGAATACAAAATAACTGTTTTTGCATCTAGAGTTTCTGGGAACATTTTCTGCCTAAACACAAGCCACTTATAGCTGTTTTCCTGTGTTCTAAAAGCACCCCAGGCACTGTGAAGACACAGAACATGTGGTACTCATAGAGGTGGCAAATAATCAGCATGGCTGTCATTGTGACGATTAGCAGAAAGCAGTGTGCTGAGAGGAGTGAAGGTATAGGTGAAAGGCAGCGGGCACTGGCTTATATTTATTTTATTCTCATAATTGCAGGGCAGTTTTCTTCAATTTTATTCTATATGCTATCTCAGATCATTAAAGCAGTGGAGAAGGACAGGAATATTGAGTTAGTTAGGGATATAGATAGGATGGAAAAGCATTCTGGACAAAAAAAAATGAGCATAGAAAGGATTTGAAAACTTAAGAAACAAATTATTCTCAAGCATTTTCTTTGTATCAGCATACCATATAATTTAAAAAAAAGGAGAAAGAAAAATTTATATGGGCCTGGAACATCTATCAAAAGAACGTGAGCTTACTTTATGGGGTGGAGAAAGGGCTACTTGTGTTCAAGCACCTGAAATCACTGTTTCTTTAACAGACCACAAAAGGACTAGAAATAGAAATTAATTTTCCAGGCAATTTCTATCTCTTGTGCTATGTCTAAACACACAAGCCAGTTTGAACAAAAAATAAGGTGGATCAAGTAACAAATATTTACAAAATTGCTATTTTGACTTTTTTTGGAATAGTATTATACAGCAGCAGTACCCAAACTTTTTGGCACCAGGGAGCAGTTTTGTGGAAGACAATTTTTCCACAGAAGGTGGGGAAGTGGGGGATGGGGGCCCTGAGGGGAGGCAAGGCCAGGAGGGGAATAGTTTCAGGATGAAACTATTTCACCTCAGATCATTGATCATTAGAGATTTGCTCATAAGGATCACACAACCTAGATCCCTTGCATGCATAGTTCACAATAGGGTTTGTGCTCCTATGAGAATCTAATGACCCTGCTGATCTGACAGGAGGCGGAGCTCAGGTGGTAATACTGACCTGCTTGCCACTCATCTCCTGCTGTGCAGCCCAGTTTCTAACAGGCCACAGGTTGGGACCCCTGTCATACAGCCATGGGATAAAAATAGTGAAACTCTATTGATTTATTGGACTTGTATTAGGGTAAACCGTATGAAACTGCCTTTGGTCAAATATTGATCAAAATGGTTGCAAATCAACAATATTATCTGGTTCAAGGTAATGCTATCTTTAAGCTAATGGGAAAACCTCCTCTTATGATCAAAATCAATTAATATGCATTTATTCCATATTCAGGACTGCACCAGATGTTTCAAATCAGTGGTTAGAAAGCTTTTAGGTGTTGCAATCTCTTTTAGTATTAAAAATTAGGAAGACCTCAAGGAATGCTGTTGAATTTTTAGAGTCTGTCTCTTTTAGAGCGTGCTTAACCATGCTTCCCTAAAGTGAATAACTCTTATAAATAATTTTTATATTTTATTTACTATATGAAGGAAATAATGTATACAGTGGTCCATTTCCAAGACAAAGTGCCTTGAATAGGCTTAAGTCAGCAAACTACAGAAGAAACAGGATATACTAGGCCCCTGCTGGATAGCTGATGCCTGCTTGTCAGCAACCCCCTTTCCCCCCTTAGCTGCCCTCACCCAAACCAAAGAAGTTTAGTCTAAGATGAAAGTTTACTAGCCTGCAAAATAGCTCACTTTTGTCTGTTCTATTCAGCCTGCCCAGCTATTTAGGTCGTAAGTCAAATACTTGAAAAGCCTCTGAGCTAAATAGGATTGCAATGTATTGTGGGCTGCAACAAAATGCAGCAGGACAACCCTAAAGAAAACACTTAGGCCGGGCGCAGTGGCTCACGCCTGTAATCCCAGCACTTTGGGAGGCTGAGGCGGGTGGATCATGAGGTCAGGAGATCCAGACCATCCTGGCTAACATGGTGAAACCCCGTCTCTACTAAAAATACAAACAATTAGCCAGGCATGGTGGCGGGCACCTGTAGTCCCAGCTACTCGGGAGGCTGAGGCAGGAGAATAGCGTGAACCCGGGAGGTGGAGCTTGCAGTGAGCCGAGATCGCGCCACTGCACTCCAGCCTGGGCGACAGAGCAAGACTCCATCTCAAAAAAAAAAAAAAGAGAAAACACTTAAAGCCCCTACACAACAACTGATAGGTGACATCCGGGAAGACTGTGACCCCCATAGTACCCAGCCTATGAGGAACCAGGGACTACTACAAGCAATTTAGGGGATAAATTGCTTGTTGTAACCATGCTGGGGGTGCCTGAGCATCAGACACCTGATCTTGCAAGACCATCATTAAAAGTCTCACTTTCAGTGTTCTCAAGGTCTCTGAGTCCCTTCTTTGGGTTTGGACAGGTGAGTTTATTTCTCAGGACCTGGTGGCCTATATGGGGAACTCTGCCTGCATGGAGTGGGACTCCAGCCGAGAGGGGAGATGCATCCCACCTGATTTAGGTGGCCTGCTCTGCCCAAGTGTCTTGTCTCCCTGCAGAACCCATAGACAAACCTGAGACTGTTATTCAGGAGATGATGAAAGTGACACAGGGAGAAAAGCTGGCACCCCAGCAACTGGGCAACCTCGTGTTTGAGCCAAGGTAGGAAAACTGGACTATGTGTACTGCCTTGGTGGTTCAGCATTTTCAGAGGTTGAGTGTGTGTGACTGAGATGTATCTAAGATACGAAGCGAGTGCAGAGTCCCAATCCGTGGTTATGTCCTCCCACAAGGGAAACAGCTGGAGACAGATGAAGTGATTCTCAGGGCATGCAGGAAACCTCCAGTGCGGGGGCTGAGTACACAGGGAAAAGCTCAGACACAGAGACTAACTGAAAATGTGAAATAAGAATTCTAGGCCTAGGGAACAGAGGAAAGAGGGAACTGAAGAGACTCCCTCTGAAATTCCCCCAGAGGGAAAAGCAGAAGATGATAAAATATTGCTGTTTTATCTGGCCCAAAGAGCCCATTCATCAGCCTTTGGGCTCTTGGCCTAAGTTTGGCTCAGATGAGGATTGAGTGTGCCAAGCTTTAATTCTTTATGTGAATAATAAAACCCCATCCTCACAAGAGGAGATGGGTTATGCTCTTTGTTGGATTAGTGAATTAACCCTCATGCTCCCCCTTAAAGAGGAAGAAAAAGAGCGTAATAAATAGCCTTCTCTCAATGAAAAGCTCTGGGATCCCCTAACATGCTTGCCCCATCTCAAACATCTCACAAAGTAGAGGACAGGGAGATCAGAGGGCAGCAGGAAGGCCAGAGTAAGAGTAATCTGGGGGTCATGAAGGAGCTAAACCCAATGCTCCTTTAAACCCTTATCCAAACTTGAGGAAAGAATTAGAAAAATGTAAGAGAGACATTGAGAATTTCCCCGTTCCTTCTAAACAGCAGATGTCTAACAGGTACCCTCTTAGAGAAGTCCCTGTGGGACAGGGAGAAGTTGGATTTGTGAGTGCACTTCTAAAAAGTACTGAGGTTAGGAATTTTAAAAAGAGAATGAGGCCACTCTTGGAAGATCACCTCGGTTTATCAGAGCAGCTAGATTAATTGTTAGGACCCAATTTTTATACTTGGGCTGAGATAATGTCAATCATGAATATTCTGTTTACTGGGGAAGAGGGGAATGATTAGAAGGACAGCCATGACCATTTGGGAGAGACAGCATCCGCCCGGGCAAGGAGTCCTGCCAGCTGAGCAGAAATTCCCAAATGCACATCCCGGATGGGATAATAATGACCCCAGGAAATGGGTTCAAATACAAGTCCTTAGGGAGCTAATAATTAGAGGGATTAGAGTCCACTCCTAGGGCACAGAATGTCCCAAAAGCATTTGAGAACCAACAAGAAAAAGAGGAGATTCCTCCTGCTTCTGCAGAGGCTCAGGGATCAAATGAGAAAATATTCAGGATTAGATCCAGAGGACCCAGTAGGGCAAGGCCTCTTAGAGGTTAATTTTGTGACTAAAAGCTAGCCTGATATTACTAAGAAGCTGCAAAAGACTGATGGATGGAATGAGAAAACGATTGAGGAATTACTGAGGGAAGCTCAGAAGGTTTTTGTAAGGAGAGAAAGTGTTAAGCTGCTGACCCTGAAGGCAGGGGAAAGCCAGCCATGCAGCTGTGTGTGGGAGCTGACTGCTGAAAGTTGTTGATGAAAGCTGCTGCTGAAATGACACGGGGGAGCCAGGGCACACCACAGCTCGGCTCAGGCACAGAGAGAGAAAGAGGAAGAAACCGAGTATGAGGGAGAAAGGAAACATGATGACAGAGAGAGAGACAGAAGAAGAAAATGAGTGAGAGAAAGACTGAAAAAGACAGAAATTAAAGAGATACACAGAAGGTGAGACTGGAGAGAGAGAGATAATGTAAAAGGAAGAGTACAAGAGGAAGAAAGAGAAAGAGAGAGAATGGCAATAAATGACAGGAGGCAAAGAGACAAAAGTACAAGTAAGCAGTAGCTGCCACGGCCCTGCTCGTAGAGGAGAGTAGAAAGCTGACCTTCATCAGGGCCCTGGTAGTGAGCACCCTACGTTAGGTCAGGAATATATTAAATCAAAGAGCTGGAAGATGCTTGACTGGTTCCCAAATTTTAAAATATGAAGCCATATTATTATAAAAAGATAATTTGTCTTAACAATAGATACTTGCTTGAATTCAGCCAGTTTCTTATGAAAAGGAGAGGAAAATGAGGAGGCATCAAACCATAACTGTTTAGATATCAGAGTGTCAAACTCACCTTAGAGCAAACCTTAAAGAAACTCCACTACATGATGGGATGAGTCTGTTTGTGGATGGGTCATCCCAAGTGATATGCAGCATATCATATGTTATGATAGCATAACACAATGGCTATGCTGTCATTGATGGAAACAAACAATCTTTATGTGAAAAAGGTAGATTACCCAATAACTAGTCAGACCAAACCTCTGAATTATGTAGGCCCTAAAGCTCCTAGAAGGCCAAGAAGGCGCTATATATAGTGATTCCAAATATTCCCTATGGAGTGCTACACACCTTTGGAAAGATCTGGACAGAGCAGGGCCTAATAAATAGCAGGGGGAAAAAATTAATACATGGAGAACTGGTTAAAAACGTTTTAGAAAGCCTCCTGCTTCCAGCAGAGGTAACCACAGTTCATGTAAATGGCCATCAGAAAGGAAACACTATAGATGCTGTAGGAAACAGGTGTGGGGATAAAGCTGCTAAGCAAGCCTCCCTGGAGGAAGAAGTTAAACTGTTTAGCCTAATCCCAGATATTCCTAGGATGGTATTCAGACCCTAATTTTCTAAAAAGGAGGAAGAGCTGAGCAAGATACAGGCCACCCAAACTGAGGATGGGAGGTGGATGCTCCTTGATGGAAGAGAAGTAAGCAAACCCATAATGAGAGAACTGATGTCCAAACTGCATAGGAGAAGTTATTGGGGTCCCCAGGCCACGTGTGATGCAATACCAAGAATTATGTGTGTATAGGGATTTATACCCTTGCTAAATAAGTGTGTGGGGGTTGTGCGACCTGCCAGACGATAAACAAAAAGGTAGTTAGAAAACAGACTACCAGAGGGAGACCTCTTGGGTTAAGGCCATTTCAAAGCATTCAAGTAGATTTTACAGAAATGCCCAAAATAGGGAGACTAAAGTATCTACTGGTAATGGTAGACCACCTCTCAGGCTGGGTGGAGGCCTTCCCCCTCCCAACTGCCACTGCCGGGAATGTGGTCAAAATAATTTTAGAACAAATTATACCCAGATTTGGCCTGATAGAAAATATTGATTCAGACGATGGGAGCCACTTTATCTTGAGGGTGCTAAGAGGAATTATGGAAGGTATACATATTAGATGGGATTACCACACCCCTTGTTATCTCCCCTCTTCTGGAAAGGTCAAGAAAATGAATCAAACTCTCAAAAAGCATACTACTAAACTAATCTTAGAAACTAAAGGCTGAGTATGGTGGCTCACCCCTGTAATCCCAGCACTTTAGGAGGCCAAGGCGGGTGGATCAAACTCAGGAGTTTGAGACCAGCCTGGCCAACATGGTTGAAACCCCATCTCTACTGAAAATACAAAAATTAGCCAGGCATGGTGGCGGGCGCCTGTAATCCCAGCTACTCAGGAGTCTTAGGCAGGAGAATCGCTTGAACCCGGGAGGTGGACGTTGCAGTGAGCCGCCCAGATCATGCCATTGCACTCGAGCCTGGGCAACAAGAGCAAAACCCATTAAAAAAAAAAAAAAAAAAAAAAACACCCAAAAGCAAAACTAAAATGCCTTGGACCAAATGTCTCCCAATAGCACTCCTTAGGATTAGGACAACCCCAAGGAAAGACTTGGAATTTTCCCCTTACAAGTTATTATGTGAACTCCCGTATTTAGGTAGGACTACTGACCTTCCTAGTGTGGAAACCAAAGACCAATTTTTAAGAAATTATATACTGGACCTATCCTCCACACTGTCATTCCTTAGGTTGAAAGGACTTCTGACTCAAACCCCACCTCTTGAGTTCATGGTTCACCACTTTCAGCCTGGTGACTCAGTGTTAATTAAGACTCAAAAAGAAGACAAGCTCCACCCATGCTGGGAAGGTCCCTTTCAAGTGCTCCTGATCACTGAGACAGCCTTATGAACAGCTGGGTGGGGCCGGGGGGCGGGCGGTGGACACATTACACTCGAGTCAAGAGACTGGTAAAAGAATCCCCAGATGGAAGGGAAAAGGATGAATGGGAAGTGTATAGATCACCTAAGGAACCCTTAAAGCTAACCCTAAGGAAAACCCAGAAGGAAGCTATGGGCAGGCTCTGTTATTGGGGGTGGATGTGGTTAGGATTAATTCTACTACCAAGAGTGAGAGGGTTCACAATTATTGGATGGAGCACAATAGAAAAAGAATATCCAATCAAACTAATAGTCAACATAACTAGAACCTTCACCCCTCAGACCATAAAATTTGATGTCTACCAAGTCTTACATTGTGGGAATTTAGGGAACCAAAGGCAGATGTCACAAGCAAACAAATATCTATGTCCTGAAACAGGTCGCTATTGGGGAAAGCCCTGTGCTGGCTGGAATGAGGTCTAGTGGACCACCCAGTTTTGAGGCTGGGTGAGCCATTCTTCCAAAAACAAACCCTTAAAGAATAAAATACATTTGTATAAGGGCCCTATGCCACCTAACTGTAGAAATTTATAATGCAATCCTATATTAATTACCATAAACAATCCAGCTACTCTAGACCAGGAACCTTGGAGGTATGGATTAGGAATAGACATCTGAGGAAGGGATCCCATGGGATGGTTAGCTTTTAGGCTAGTCACCAACTCCACCCAAACCCACCTAGGATTACTATAACTACCGATCCCACTACTTCCTTTAATCCACCATACAATGACCCTAAGAGAGTAGAAATAATTAAGGTAACTGACTTGAGGCTGACTTTACAAATTTAGACTGGATATGGGGATGTAAATACCTAGGTTGAATGGTCCAAATTTTCGGTACTAGCTCTTAATGAGAGCAACTGTTATGCATGATCTCCTGGGCGGCCTGAGGCACAGGTGGTTCCATTTCCCCTAGGATAGTATATCAATCGCAACCAAATGCACTGCATGTTGGCTCTATACTAGGACAGGGATGCATGGGGAAATGAGACTTGCAAAAGTCTATCATTGCTCTTTCCCACCTTGCAGAAATCAGACCCTACAGCAATTCCCTCCTTCTCCATAGGAAATATGAACCACTCCTCTTGCTTCTCTAGGGAGGGGGCAGAGTTCAATAAGCTCATGAGAGAACTCTCAACTTATACCCACATCCTAAACATTACTGGTGAGTCAAACAAAGGCAACTACTTGACTCTTCATGTACCCCAGGCTGATGTCTGGTGGTATTGTGGAAAGAGGAACCTCCATGAGCTACTACCATTCAATTGGACTGGGATTTGTGCCTTAGTTCAATTGGCCATTCCATTCACCCTGGCATTCCATAAGATTCCTGAGAATCCACATGGCCACCAAATAATTTTAAGTCTAAGAGAAAGTTGACCTTGGTAGTACTTGGAAAAGGGATGTCAAGAATATTGGAAAGTTTTAAAGTCTTTAATTCAATATTCACTTTCTTACTTTTCAAAGTTGACAATGAGCCTAATACTAAAGGCAATTTTTAGGTAGTTGTTCTGTACTGGCAAAGGCATTAAGTAAGTGAGGGTAGCCTCTATACCTATAGAAAAGCTTTCGTAGAAACATAGATATCTTCCTATAAATCATTCAAGCCCATATGTGTGCATGCATATGACACATCAAATGCCATATATGGTTGATTTTCTAGGTCATGCAATTCTGGTACTTTGTACAGTTCTTTGCAATGTTCTAAAGCTTTTTTTAATGCATTCACAGTGGGAAGAAAAATGTTTTTCAAACTTTTTATTTATTGGTTTCAATACTTTACTGTATAATTCAGACCATTGTTATTTACAAGTGGTATTGAATCTTTAATAACACTATCAGTGAGAAGGCATGTACCTGTCTGCATTTTGTAACAAAAAAGAAAATATATAAATAGCTTGCCATTGTTTGGTAAATTCTACTGTTCAGTTATTGGGAAGCTAAATAATCCATACTCCATTTGAACAAGTTAGAAAAGAATATTTAATGAGCTACAGAGGGAAGTACTTTTAGAGTACTAAACATTTTCACAAATGTTGCTGGAGAGGCAATTGCTCAAATATAATTCTCCCATTAGGAGGTTAAGAGAGATAATAACAGCTTAACACAGAGAAAATAACAGAAGAAATAAGATGTCAAATATGATCAGATTCGTCTTTGCCATGTAAATTCAAACCATAAAATTGCTATGTAATTAATTCAAATCTCTTCTTATTTTATGTTTCAATATTTAATTCTTCAAGCAAAGGTCTGCCATTACCTCTAGGATCTGGATCACCCATAGTATTTGCATCTGGAGGGGAGCTCATTACTTTAACAGGGAAGAATGCAATTTCAGGTGTATGCTTACTTCTGCCATCCTAAAAGGTATTGATGGAAATGATACAAAGTTAAATTTTATATATATATATTTTGAATATTGAATAATAAACTTAAGTTGGAATAATCTGGTTCTCATCCTTTAGAGTTTTTTAGTTTATTTCTTCATTTTATAATAGCTAAATTTTGTTCCACCATAAAGAATTATCCAAGTGTAGACAGACAAAAACACAACGGGGTCAAGTGATCTGACTTCTTGAATCAACTCTTGCAGTAATTATGTGACTTTTGAAAAGGATGGAATGGGGCGGTAGTAAGAAGTTATTTCAGTAGACAACCCAGGAAGCCTAATGCCTGCTTTCATGGTGATTATACTGCTCTTCTTTTACAAGTTCCTCAGGAATAGTTATGTAGAGAGAACTATGACAAAGCAAGGAATAGTAAGATATTATTAGCTGTGGATCTACCTCCAAAACCCACTGAAAAAAATGTGTTTCTGGTTTGGACCATTTGGAGAAAACTCATTTTTCTCCTATTCTGGAATTACACGGAAGTCTTGAACCATGGCAAGTTGAATCAAAACTCGAATGTGTAATTATTACCCCTTCCCCAATACTGATATGTGATTCCATGGATTAGACTTGCCTATTTTTAACTCTATATATGTAGATTCATAGACAATTTTCATATCTGGTTTATTTTGTTAAACTTTTTTGGTAGAGTCTTCAATTTTAACATTTTAACCCACTTCTGAACTATTCAGGTTGCTGGCAGAAACAGTTCTTGTGGTTGTAGGACTGAAGTCCCTGTTTCCCTTCTGGCTATCAGCTGGAGGCTTCCCTTATCTTCTAGAGTAAGCTTGTCCACCCCACAGCCCACAGGCTACATGTGGCCCAGGACAGCTTTGCTTTGAATGTGGCCTAACACAAATGTGTAAACTTTCTTAAAACATTATGAGTTTTTATTTTTTTTTAGCTCATCAGCTATCATTAGTGTTAGTGTATTTTATGTGTGGCCCAAGACAATTCTTCTTCCAATGGAATTTTAACAACTCTGTAGTATTCCACTCATATTCATAATATGAAATTCCATCATTATTTTTTCATTCTAATGATGATAGATATTTAAACTATTTCTGTAATAAGAATATGCTACTCTCAGCATTTTTTACATGTCTCTTGGTGTGTTCTATCTATGTGCTTCTGGGTATTTTATTTAGGAATGCAATAGGAAGATTTCCAAAGAGAAAAAGTGACCCATAATTCTGGAGTCACATCTCCTGGTTTCATTCTCATTCTGGATCATAGCCCCTTAATTCTTCACTGTATTTAGCTGTTTTCGAACCTTCAAAAAATATTTTATACAGTTCCTCTCAGAAGTAGTTTTCATCTGTTATTATCAATAGTAAAAATCTCACGGTACATCCTCTTTAAGTGATTTTAACTTATAAACATCAAGCTTGAGGTTCATAAAATAGAGTTATATTTTGTTCCAAATTTTCTAGTTCTGAAGTAACATTTGTTCTCTCCCGTGTTACTGCCAAACTTTCAGTATGTCAATACTAATTAAATTAGACATCATTGAACATAAAGTGGGGTTCAATAGACATTTGATTTATTATTATTGTCTACTATTAACATTAGATTCAAACCCATAACAAGTAATCAGAGGGGCAAAAACAATACTATACTGGCTGTAGCTACCAAAATATATACATGAAAAATGAAAATGAACCAGTGGCTTTGTTTACATAAGCTAAATATTTGTATTTGGGGACACACCTAGATAATTGACTGAAGTTTCATTCTTATATGAATCTTTGGCATCATGTATGCAAACTCATGGAACTTCTGCTCCTTGTTAAGAATTCTTGTACATAGTTAATGAGAAACATAGTTGAAAGACTTGGCTGAAGTCCATGCTAATCACATTACCATGGATAATGAAGAGAGAGCTGAGTATTTGTTTTTAAATTTTACTTCTTATGCTTCATTTTGCCTGCATCCTGTTCTTATTACCACCATTAGAGTAAATAATTGAAATTTCTTCGGTCCTTTTTATGTGTTGTCTATTTAGTAATGTGTGTTAGTTAAGAACCTGGACCCCACTGCCCACCCCAATGTCCTTTAATTTGAGCTGGATTGACTACTTCATACATAAAAAGTCAGGAGATTTGGATATAGATTGTAAGAAGAAAATGCCTCTCACCTAAGAACAAGAGGTAATGTGTATCTGAGTCACCTAGAAAGCTTTCATTAAATATGAATTATTACATCCATCCTTTTCATCACCACCAAGGGTAAATCAGAATTTATATCTTCCCCATCCCCAAACCTATCAAGACCCACAACCTTAGGAAATATTGGCTCAATATTGCTGTATGAGTTGTTTTTTGTTTCTCTATCTATTGCTCTATCCCTTCTATCTCTTCTTGCCCGTTTAATTTCATCAGGTTTGACAGCTTAACTTTTCATACCCAGTTTCTCTTAACTTGTCTCCTTCCTCCCAAGAACTTGATATCTTAAATATTTGACTGTGCTTGCTAAAATCTAAGTCACCCGTCTAATTCTCTTGGCCTATGACAGTAGTTCTCACACTTCAGCATACATCAGAATCATCTGGACAGATTGTTAAAGCACTGATTTCTGGACTTCACTCCTGAGTTTCTGATTCAGTACGTATTAGTTGGGGCCAAAATATTGTATTGCTAACAAGTTCCCAGGTGAGACTAATGCTGCTGATTTGGGAACCACACTTTGAGAACCTCTGGCCTATGCTGATCTCCCAGACTATGGACTCATTTTACCTAATTTCACTTCTCTATGCTTCATCCTCTTTATGAATCTCCTATAATTGTGGCTCTGATTCTTATTTATGTTTATAGACCACTATAATCCTGCTAAGTAAACTCCTGGTTATGATTCCGCTTCTCCTAGCCCTAAGGGGCAACCAGAGCTCTGTTAACTGATTTGATGATTGGTTGCTTCATTTATTCATATTAATTTCATCATTCAACACATATTACTTAATGCCTAGTATGTGGCAGTCGTTGACTATATAAGATTTAAAAATATTATTTTTAAGAAGTTTACAGTTTAAAAAAAGAAAGACCATTGAGTGAACTGACAATGTCAACAAAATCAGTGTTTTATGACAGTGTTAAGCATTGGCATCTACAGAAACACAGAGATGAGAGCTCTAACCCTGCCTGGAAGATAGTACTGAAGGCTTCTAGAAAGAGATGGTGGCTAAGTTTAGCTCTTAGGTGCCAGTTGGATTATTCAGGTGATGAGTAAAGACAAGGCATTAGAGACGGGGGAGCATATACAAAAAGTTGTGGAGAGCTTAGGTATCTCAGTGTGATTGATCAAAGAATATAGATATGAGTCTAAAAAAACCATGAGGCTGAAGTATGTGCCAAAATACGCAGGGTGGTTTAAACCAAGCAAATGAGTTTTGGAACTATGAGGAGTCATTAATTTTAAGCAGGTAAATAATATGACCCTCTTTACATTTTTAGAATTGAAAAGTGGTAAATAAACTAGTCTTAGGTGATAAGCAATGATCTAAGTGAATGATAATGAGAATAAACCAAAGTAGTGAAAACTGATATGCGGAGAACTAGAGAGGTTTTTAAAACTGTTTACAAAATAGCACTTAAAAGACTTCATGACACAGAGAAAAGCACCAAGGATTATCTCACTGTCTTTATGACAGAACCAACTGGCACATCAGGAGGAAAGATTAAAGAGGCTAGTTAGATGGGGGAAAAAATGAGGATTAGAGAAAATGTTCTAGAAATAGAAAGAAATAAACATGATTTCCTATGATCAACTACTGGGCTCCCTGTAAACAGCTTTTAGTGATGTTAGAATAAGCCAACTGAGGTGTTATTATTCTCTTGTGATTTTCAAAAAGTCGGTTGAATACTAATCTGAAACTTTTACATGTGAACATTGGACTTTTGCTTACTATAAGCATGTTCACATTTAGTTATATTCACGTATTAGGTTTTCCTTGCTGGTATAACAAATAACCACAAATTTAGTGCATTAAAGCAACATACATTTATCATCTCACAGCTCTATAGGTTAAAAAGCCTGGGCTAATTTATTTGCTCTGGGTTTTACAAGGCCAAAATTGAGAGATGGGTCAGTTGATCTCCTATTGGGAGGCTCTTGCTGGAAAGAACCCACTTCTGAACTATTCAGGTTGTTGGCAGAAACAGTTCTTGTGGTTGTAGGACTGAAGTCCCTGTTTCCTTTCTGGCTATCAGCTGAAGGCTTTCCTTATCCTCTAGAGTAAGCTTGTCCACCCCACAGCCCACAGGCTGTGTGTGGCTCAGAATGGCTTTGAATGTGGCCCAACAAAAATGTGTAAACTTTCTTAAAACATTACGAGTTTTTTGTTATTTTTTGTTGTTGTTAGCTCATCAGCTATCATTAGTGTTAGTGTATTTTATATGTGGCCCAAGACAATTCTTCTTCCAGTGTGGCCCAGGGAAGCCAAAAAATTGGGCACCCCTGCTCTAGAGGTTGCAATCCTTGCATGTGGGCCCCTGCATTTTACAGTCAACAAGACATTTTGAATCTGTCTCACACTTTAAATCTCCCTAACATACTTTACTGTGTCTCTTCTGCCTTCAGCTCCAGAAAGTTCTATGTTTTTAAGGCCTCTGGTGATTAGATTGGGACTACCATGATATTTCACAATAATCTCCTTATTTTAAGGCCTGTAACCTGAGTTACCTATGCAAAGTTATTTTTGCCATGTACAGTTTAACACATTTATAGGTTCTAGGGATTACAGTGTACACATCTTTGAGTGGCCATCCTGCCTACCACAGTTCCTATTAAGGCTTTACATCTACTAAGAAAACAGAAACCACAGTCAAGTGTGAATGGCCTATGCCATTTACTATTATCACTGCAGAATGTCTCCGCTGCTGTTCCAAAATGACATAAAGAACCTCCAGAAATGTCCTACATCAAGCAAATGATTTAAAGATGTGCTCTTTGCCTCGTTTCTTCCTTATCCTCTTCTGGCACTCCATTTGTCAAAGTTAGTGTCTTTGGTATCAGTGAAAATGCATTCCCATCCAAGCCTTCCAACAATAAATCTGTTGTCAATTTGAGCTATTTTTAAGCTAATGAATACACAGGATTAACATGTATATTTGAAGGCATGATGTTCAACAAAGCCAAAGTTAATAGTACAATCAGTGAAGATTATTCTGCTAAAATTTTTGCTATCTCCTCTGCACTTAAAATAAATGAAAAAATATTCAGCTAATGATAGTGTGGTTAATATATACTAGGAAGTCTACCAGGGGCTTCTAAGATTGAGAAATAATGCTATTAACTCAGAACTCCTCGGAAGATATAATTGTATAAAATCTTTTATCTTGGTTGTTTTGCTACTCTGCCATGCAGCAGGGATTTCTGCCATATCAGATACAAGGAAATGTGATTCTGATGCCTAAGTGTAAAGGAAATAGTATAGAAGTTATCAATAGAAAATTAAATTAGCATTAAATTATACAAACGTTTTTTTATTCAGGAAATAATTTTTAAGGTCCTATGATTAAAGATTTGCATTTGGCACAGTCATAGATTTTGTTGTATTGTTTTTCTGAAAATACATATTTGAGTGGAATTTGGTCTGACTCTTTCTGTCATCTTCAGATTTACACTTCTTCTCCATTTTGAAGTACTTATATATTTCCTTCATTTTGAAGTGAAGATAATGCCTGACAGCTGCTGATCTTATACTTGACTTTAAGTGAAGAGGAGATACCTGGTCTCTAAACTACATCAACTTTCTGTGCTATTTGTACAGAATGGTACAATTTAGAACCTTTTTCTAGGTCCCAGCCAAAGAAGATGGTCTAGATCTTCTACAAAGTGATGTAAGGGGATACCACTTATGATGCCTAGATAATAATATAAAACTTTAGCATTATGAAAATCACCTGCTCCTTTTGCAGACCCTACAGGTATATGCCCATGGTTATCACCAATTTTTCCTTTCAAAGTTCCATAATGTCACTCGTCCTCATAGATCACACTCATGAATTTGACCTACTATTGTGGTCACTGCTTATAACACCACTACCACTCCCATACAGTAACAATCTTTCCCTAAGAAATCTCAAGACTCCTGGAGAACCCTTCTCAAACACTTCAAGTTGCTTTTCTCTAAATATCACCACATACTTAATAGCTAGATGTGAGCACCCTTATGTCACATAAAACAATCTACCTTGTTTCCACGACAAAATACAGTGCATGGGTAGGACATTGAATGCCAAACCGATGACAATTTTCAAGTAGGGATAGGCTTCCTTATGAAGTGCTGGCTTTCAAAAAGACCTTAGTGATCACTGAAACTCATTTACATATACCACCTGTTAGCCCATGGACTAAATCAGCTCATTCCCTTTTGTGCACTCTTGCTTTCTTCTATAAAAACTGAAGTTAATATTGCTGGCTTCATAGCATTCCAGTGAATAATAAATGAAGATTTATCTCCAAAATAACTTCCACATTGCCCAATGTATAACAGATAGCTAAACAATGTGGTTCCTGCACTCAGTTCTCTCTTTCTTGTTTTTGTCAGGCTTGTGTTCTGATTTCCCCAGTTATTCATTCTTTCCAAGAAATCTAAGTCTGTGTGATACATTTCATCTGCCCACAAATCAAGTTCAGAAAAGATAGACATTCTAATTCTGGGTTCCCTGTTGATCATCAGTTACTCAAGTTAGTCACAAGTCATAGGCCTAGAAAGTTAAATCCTTCTTTATTTAGTGTACCTGGATTTTTAAAAAGCAAAAGTCCCTGCTTCAAATCCAAATGCAACATGGTAATGTATTGTCAGAATCCTTCAGACTAAGATTATAGTTTAACATTTAAGTAGATAATTTCATAACGTAGGTCTGTATAAGACATTTTGTTGTACTATTTTGTAGAAAACCTATTTAAACTCATCACACATATGCCTTAATTAGAAAAAGCTTTGTCTTCATTATGTATAAATGTAGAAGACTTCAAGAAAGATGACACTCATCTAATGCCTCCATATAACAAAAAAAAAAAAAATAGAGTCTTCTTAAAGGTACCAGAATTAACTATTCTATCAAATAAAATTACATTGTCATGGCACTTTGCAATTTATAAATACTTTTCTATTCATTATTTATTTGATCTTCTCAACATCCCTATAAGATAGAAAAGACATTTATCACTGATTTGCACTTGAGGACACTGAGGTTAAGAGAAGTTATATTAATTGCCCAAGGTCATGTAACTAGGAAGTCCAGAACCCAGTATTCAAACCTAAGTCTGACTAAATAAAGACAGAGCCCAAACTCCCCGCTGTTATGACAAAGAGCCATCCAAATCTCCTTACTCAATAAGCAGTGCTCTTTTATCTAATCTGTGTTACTACCTTGCTACCTTTTTTTGAGGTTATGTTTAAATATAAAGAAGCGTTCTTTATTGCTTTGATTTGCTTAAGATTCCATGCATAATACTTTGAACTGTGTATTCTACAATATGTAAACTATTTTATTTTCTATTTGTTTCTTTTTTTTTTTTTTTTTTTGAGATGGGGTCTCACTCTGTCACCCAGGCTGGAGTGCAGTGGCACCATCTCGGCTCACTGCAACCTCTGCCTCCTGGGTTCAAGTGATTCTCCTGCCTCAACCTCCCGAGTAGCTAGGATTACAGGTGTCTGCGACACACCTGGCTAATTTTTTGTATTTTTAGTGGAGATGAGTTTTCACCTTGTTGGCCAGGCTGGTCTCGAACTCCTGACCTCAAGTGATCCACCCACCTTGGCCACCCAAAGTGCAGGGATTACAGGCGTGAGCCACCACGCCCACCTTTTCTTTTATATTTATTATTACATTTGTGCACATCTCAAATTGTGGGGTGTAGGGATTTTATATTTTTTATTATTATTCTTTTATTGACAATTGGATAAGTTAGTGACTTTACTATGAAAGTCAATGAGTGAGGTTGCACCAAGATTCCAACTGATTCAGTGATTACTCTTAGAATCTGTAAGAAACATGGGACTTAAGGAAATAGTTTAACCCCTGATCTCTGCCAAATATGCTAAAACAAAAAGATAGTTAAGCTGCAAGAATTTAAAGCATACATGTAAGAACAATTTTGTTTTAAAATAATTATTGAGTGATGAATATAATACTGGAATTCTATATGACAAATTAATTCTGATAAAATATACAAGAGGACCCAGGCTGTTAACCACATCAATAAAGGAAGTTTCTATTTTTTAATTATATGTTGCCATTTATAGAATCCCATTTTAAATTTTAAAATTAAAGTATTATTAATCCCTAATTTCTTGTTTTAAAACTGGAACTTTAGCTGTCCCAAAGAGCTTATATTAATTTTCCAAAATCACGCAACTAGTTAATGGCAAACTGAGATTAGAACTAACATTTTCTAACTCTGATTCTTAATCCAGTGCACTTTCCACTACTCCAGGCTCCCTCAATATATGAATCTCCAAATTTTCATAACACAAATGTGTGTCTCTTGAGAAATAAGAAGATATTAATTTCTAAAAGGATAAAATAATCTAGTTTTATTTGTGTTTCACTGCTTACCTCAAGTTACACTACAATTCTTTCATTAACCTGGTTTCAGACCTTGTCTAATATTTCTCGAAGAGCTCATCAGCTGCAAAACTAAACCATGAAAGACTAGATAGAAACTTGGCATCTAAGAAGAGAATTTTTTTAAAGCCTGGTATTCCTTCTAAGATACACTAATGTAATAGCCAAGATGATGAGATAACTGTGAAAAGCCAGTAGGGGTCTTGAATTGAGATGTATTCTTTGAAAGCCTAACTATGCTCTTATGGTGCTCTCAAAATCAGTGGTGCCTTATGAGGAATCACAGCCTGAGACTGGCTTTGAATGATCTCACCAAGAGTTTCAAACAGACTGATTTCTTTCAGTGTTCACTTGTGTCCTGTGGTGATTAAGAGATTGTTGAAAAGCAAAGGTTTTTCTCTTTAACAAAGGGTGGATTATTGTGGAAATAATTTTTTTTGTCTTTGTGTAGTCATACCTTAAAGCATACATTGCATGCTAAGTTTCAGGGCTCAAAAAGTTCTAATGATCTTCCACATTTCAATTTTATACCATAAAATTGAAGTTGCTGGCAAAATGCACAGCATCACTGGTTTTATCAGCTCCCAGGCTTTTATGATGTCTATATACTGTAGATTTTTATATTTGAAGATTTCTCAATAAAAGATAATAGTGTGACAATTTCATTAAATAATAAGCATGGCTGTAAGGCCCCTGAACAGGTAAGGCTCTATTTAACTGCTAATTATCATCATTATAAACCATTTGGGATGCAGCTAAGTGCGGATACACTGAGATACAACCTTTTTATCTAAAAGAGAGGATAATAACCATGGGTAAAACTTGTTGGTTCTTGTAAGTATCAACCTGAGATAACCCTCAATTAGAAATTTTTATATACAAATGCAGCCAAAAGGGGTCTAACACATAGGTCAAATAGGTAACAAACTATTTGGTGTACATTGAAGAAGGACCCCCTCCCCCACCCTGACACACAGGTCTTGTCCAGAAATAATGGCCTTAAAGACCCCTGACTGCTGCCTGAAATTCTGCTAATGCATTTATTCACTCACATTTTTTGATTGCCTACTATGTGTCTTACACTGAGGGGATAGAAAAATGAATAAGAAACAATTGCTGCTTTCTAAAAGATAGTAAGATAGATAAAGAATGGAAACAAATAATAATTCACAACAAAGAAAATAACACGGGATATAGATAAGGTAAGGAGATATTAACATTTAAATGTTGGAGGAGTGAGCATTGAGGAGGAAGAAGAAATAGAGACAGTGAATTTGAATCTTCTCTTGAAGGCTGGACAGAATTTAGACACATAGCTATGTAGACATGGGAGAAGGGGCATTCCAGGCTGAGAGAATTGGGTAAATTAGAGTTGTTTGTTATTAAGAAATATAAAATAAAATAGTTTACATATTGTTCAATACATAGTTCAAAGTATTATCCATGGAATGTTAAGCAAATCAAAGCAATAAAGAATCCTTCTTTATATTTAAACATAGCTACAAAAAAGGTAGGAAGGTAGCAACACAGATTAGATAAAAGAGCCCTGCTTATTGAGTAAGGAGATTTGGATGGCTCTTTGTCATAACAGTGGGGAGCTGGGCTCTGATTTGTCTTCCTCACATCTAATTAAATCTCTGATTTGCATCCAGAGTAACTTTTCCAGACTATGTAATTAATTCCATTATTCTTTGGTAGATTGTTATATTAATCCCCTCCCCCACTCCAAGGAATCATGCCTCCTGGTTATCACACACTTTTGTAGTCTGTTCCTACCCTGACTGAGGACTTAGACAAGTGACTTAATTTAGGCAAAGAAACACCAGCAAACACGACACAAGCAGAGGCTTGATATATACTCATTCATAGGAATTTGCCCTCTGGAATACTGCTATTACCATGTGAGAAGCCCAAGCTGGGAGTAAGGAGGAGGACGTGGCTGCAGCCAGAGTAGGAGGTTGCTAAAGATTTGGGAGTTTTAAGATACCTATTAAATATTGTCTCACGTTGACTCAATGACATCAGGCCACATAATTTTGTACTGTTTTTTCATCACATTCAATCCTTGTTTTTCTTTTTGAGATGGAGTCTCACTCTGTCTCCCAGGCTGGAGTGTAGTGGCGTGATCTCAGTTCACTGGAACCTCCCCCTCCAGGGTTCCAGCAATTCTCGTCCCTCAGCCTCCTGAGTAGCTGGATTTACAGGCATATGCCACCATGCCTGGCTAATTCTTGTATTTTTATTAGAGATGGGTTTCACCATGCTAGCCAGGCTGGCGTCGAACTCCTGACCTCAAGTGACCTGTTTGCCTCGGCCTCCCAAAGTGCTGAAATTGCAGGCATGAGCCACCATGCCCAGCCCATCACATTCAATCTTAATCCCCTCTTCTCTAAATGTACACCATAAGTTCTCTCTTGTTCAGGTAAGAAAATATAGGTAACTCAGTGAAAGATAGTCATTGTGGGTAGAAAAGAATACAAAACAGGTGTTATTAGTGATGTCAGGTTAACAATGCCACCTTCATGAATTGATTATTGGTAATTAATTCAGTCATCTATGTGTTTATTCTTTCATTCACAGAGTAGTCATTTATTTAAACATTTATGAAAAGTTTCCCATGTGCTGGACACTGTAGGAACAGAGAAAGGAATAAGACAGGCTCTTCTAAAAAGCATAGAAATAAAAGTCGATACACTCAGGCTTGTCTGAAACAAATGAGAAATTCCTGGATATTAGTATAGAACAACATTAAATATAATTTATTCATTTTAATTTTCTAGCATCTTCTCAATACAGTCACACAATACATTGCACTTTACAAAGAACATTTCACACCTCTTCTTAATCCCAAGCTATATTAAGAAAGCTATTGTTTCTGAAATAGTGGTAATCAATTACAAAGGTGTTGTTACGGTAGAGCCACATATTGTTCCTAAATTTTAAGAATATTGTACAGTCTGATATGTTAATGTTTAAGAAATTAACTGATATCTTCTGATAAAATGTATTTAATCCACAGTATCTGTGCCATTACCTTTAATAAAACTAAAATGTAGCAACTTCCATAGAAGTTGATTGGAGGCACTTTAATTCTGTATAAAGAACGTTGCATACTTTGAATACAAGCGCCGAAAATTTACGATTATAGTAGTATTCTACATTAGACTTGGTGTTTTAGTGTGCATCCAAATTATTGTGTTATTTCATGTTATTTCTTAATAATGTTCCAAGTGTCTTTCAGAGAGAATAGAAAACAATGTGCCAAGTTAGAACAATACATAGATTTCAGTAAAATCAGTTGCAATCAGTTCTTTTAATGGTGTGATTGCAGATGATTTAACGTTGATATATTTATCATTGCATTTAGAATGCTTTAAGATACATATCATGCATTGGATTTCACAACGAGTACATCATTTTCCATGGCTATTTGCTGTATGATAGCAGAATAGGAGCACTCTACAAGTTTTCACCTCATTAAAACCTACTGAAAAAAATGAATGGATCATCAAATACATACAGAGTGACAATTTTATAACGGAGCTATTGTGTTTATTAGTGTTGCATTTGTGGCATCTGAATTAATCACGGATTTAAAATCCTATGAAATTTTTACTTGAAAATATTCTGTCCATATATAACAATCTATGCTGGTTAGTTTACAATTTTGATTAATAACAAATCATTCTGCATTTTCTCTAAAATTTATACCTTGACATTGTGATGTAAGAGTCTAATAGTGTTTCATTTTAAAGAATAAAATATGCATGGAGTTTCATATGAAGAAATTATAACAATAAAATAAACATAGGACCATTTATCTGGCATACTAATTTTAACCTTTATTACATCCAGTTATACTTGGGATTGTGATTCTGCTCATGAACTGGTGTCAAGCAACGGATGGAAAATTTTTGAGTAGTGTTGATGCCTTTTAAATTGTTGTGCTTCTCTTGCTATTCAGCAATGCCCATTTTGATGTACCTGTATATTAGCATATATAAATTGAACTTAGTTTAAAAATATTAATTGCTTGTTTTAGGGCAAATGCTATGTTGGTACAAAGGATCTACGTTGAAAAATATATCTGTTCTGTCATCATTGAACTTGAAAGCTTATAAGAAAGATAAGCAAATCAATAGGTACCAAAGACATCTAACCATTCAGGAAATTCT
Source organism: Homo sapiens (assembly GCF_000001405.40). Classification (NCBI taxonomy): domain Eukaryota; kingdom Metazoa; phylum Chordata; class Mammalia; order Primates; family Hominidae; genus Homo; species Homo sapiens. The sequence continues at coordinate 74,414,729 of NC_000001.11, forward strand.
GTCAACTCTCTTGAATGTATGTGCAGAATTAGACTGTTTCTCACTATCGGCATCACTGCCATCTTGATCCAAATCACTCTTAATCACTCACCTGGACTATCATAGTAAATTCCTGATTCATCTCTCTGTTTCTATTCTGGCTCCTCCCAACCCTTTGTCCTAACCTCAAAAAAGTAACAAAAGTCATTAAAAAAATAAAAGTCAGATTATGTTACTCCTACACTCAAAACCTTCTAATGGCTTCCTAAATCATTTGCAATGTAAGTCAAAATACAATTGTCTAGAAGGCCCTATGTCATCTGGTCCCTGTGAAAACTCTGACAAATTCTTTCTTTCTGGTTTACTCTATCCCAGCCACGACGGGGCCTCTATTTTGTTCCTGAACACTCTAAGCATGCCCAATTTTAGGCCTTTGCACTTGCCGCTCCCTCAGGTTGAAACAGTTTTCCCCCAGCCCATATGGCTGTCCTTCTCATTTCCTTCCACACTCAAATATTATCCTATTAGTGAGTCCTTCCCTGACCATTATAGGTCAAATAGCCACCCCCACCCTTGCAGCTTTTCCTGTTTTTCTTCTACTGTGTTGTATTTTTCTACACATAGCTTACATCTCTCTGACCCATCATTCATTTATTTGTTAAAAGTTCATTGTCTTCTCATACTATATGTAAATACTGTGAGTATAGAGATTTATGTATTTTGTTCACTGCTACAGCTATGGCTTGAAAAGCTGTCTATTTTTCTAACATTTATTATTCCTGCTTTCATTGTTTTCACCTGTTATGTTTATTTGGTAAATCTTTCTTACTTTTTGAAAAATCTTTCTGTAAAAATCTTTGTCTTTTAATATTTGTCTCTAATAGAATCACATTTGTTATTATAACTTATTAAATGTTACTAATTTCTGATTTTTATACTTTCTACTTTATTGACCTTTATGCTTTATATATTTATACTTTTTTGATATTTTCTTTTTTATATCTTTCCTATATAGACTAAATTTTCTTTGTTTTTTTTTTCCCCAGTGATTTGAACAATATATATCCCGTTCTTGGTTTTAGATTATGGTCATCTTTATATTTTTATAAATTATTGTTAAATCTACTTTCTCTACATAATATGAGTGAGATGAGAGTCCTAGCTTTTTGCCAAGCTACAGCTACTACTGGTATGCAGACATTCTGGTTTGCCTTCCAGAAAGGAATATGCTTTAGATAATTGTCATGAGGAGTTTTGTGGACACAAAGAACAGAAAGAATCATCAGTGTGGGAAGGGGAAGTCTTCTAGGATGACCCAGTCTGAGACTGATCCCAGGCTCCACCTCAAAATTTCAGTTCTGAGATCTTTGGAGGAAGGTGCTGTACGTGGGAGTCACATTTACCCTTTTCACCAGAGTATCTCTGGTTCTCAAGCGTCCAAATATAGCACATGACTGGGGAAACCTCTTCTTGCTTTGGCATGAAGCATAGCATAGCACCAAAATTCAAAGACGTGAGGAGTTTAAAAAGCAGAGTCAAATTTTCAAGTGAAGGATTCATAGCAAAGTCGGGTGATAATAAACTTGTATGTCATTGTAGGCACTACCAAAAAGGGACCTTAGTGACGGGCTACACTAATGATGGAGAGTAACGAGCAGAGCTGAAGAAGGAGCTGTGGAACTAGCACAGAGCAACTGAAAAGAAGTCTTTGTTAGCATGCGTGACATAGTTTGGGGTGCCTAGAAGTTATTGGAGTAGATTCTCCCAAAAGGTAGAGGCTTTACACTAGTAGGTGTGACAGTGGGAAGGTGGCTTACATAGTCAAATCCAAGAACCAAATTATAACTTTGCATTCCCCTGATAAAAAGCAACAAAATTAATATGCTTCTGTTTCCCCTTCCTCTTCTATTCATTATTTTCCAGTGTAATTGAAATTAGATACATGAATTTTAATTGATTTTTTTTCTTATTCTTACATTAAATATCTTCTTTTTCAAGAATAATTTTTGCCCGTACGATTTAATTTTGTCATATTTACCACAATCTTTTAGAAAAATGTTTGACTGGTAGTAATGTTATCTGGAATTCTTTTATACTATGTTTTCTTCATTTCTGTCTTTCTATTTTCTACTTATTTCTTCCAAAATATATCTTTGTGGAAGACTCCATGGTGTGTGTATATTTTTAGCCTTTGAATATCTGATTATTTCCTCCCATTGTTTTTAGATAGACAAAAGACTTGACTAGGGTGTCTCCAGCTTTTACTCTCACCTGAACTCCAGAATCCTATGGCTATCTATGGTCATCTCCACTGAATGTTTAAAAGATATCTCTGTTAATATGTTATATAAGGTAATTGTGTAACATATTAACAGAGATATCTTTTAAAAATTGAAATTTCAGAGAAAAGATGAAAGAGAGAGAAATGCGTAATAATGGCATTTTGATTATTCAGGGAAATATACTTGTTCTTAGGATATATGTGATGAAGTATTAGGTGTTGTAGCAACTATGAAAATGTACTGCTCAGATCTCCTGTAGACAGGAGCAGAATTGACTGCCGTGTTGGCTATATTTCATGTACTTCCCTGTTCAAGCCAAGGTACCCTTCATGCTGCTTCCCGTCAGTGGCTGTGCACAGTAGGTGTACTAATGCAGGCCCATGTCCTCAAGAAGTGGGACCCCATTAACAGATGACTTTGGCTCAAGACTTCCCATTGGCCTGGCCAAAACTTACTTAGAAATGTGCTGCGTTCTGAAATTTTTCTCCCTAATCTCTTCTTCTCTCTGTTCTTCATAGGAGTCTCAAGTATCTCTCAGCCTTCTTCTGCTGCCCCAACCATTTGTTTCTCACAGCTCACACAATATATCTCTTGTAAGCCCAACTTATACTGGCATCTAATTCACAGAGGGTCTGAACTAACAGGGTTACATGCTATGATGTCCAAGTAGTTAAGGAGAAAAGTGTACGTGTTTGTGTGTGTGTGTGTGTGTGTGTGTGTGTGTGTGTGTGTGTGTGTGTGTGTCAGAGAGAGAGAGAGAGAGATGAGAGAGAGAAAAGAATAAAAGGAAGGAAGTAAATATCTCAAAATATTAATAATTGATACATTTAGGAGAATACTATGTGTACTCATTGCATTATTCTGTTTTAGATTTGAAAGTTTTTAAGTAAAATGTGGCTGCTAAAAAATAAAAATCTAAAAATTACAAAAAAAGATACATGAAGCTCAACATGTGTATTGATGAGACATCTATTTCCAATTTCAATGTCTATTCTCCTCAGCAACAAATCCCTGATTTTATTTGGGGCACATTGCATCCAGCCTAGAATTTTATTTCAATTAAAACATCATCTGACTCTTACATTCAAGCAATGGAAATACAAGTAAACATGTTATATGGGACTGTGGGAAGTCTTCCTAAAAGGTAGGAGGTCTTTCCTTTTCACCCTCTCCTATAGGGCTTCCTGAACTATGTATGTGATTGCTAGAGCTCAAGCAGCCATCTTTGAACATGAGGCAGTGCATCAGAAAGAGCAGAGCAGCAAGAAAGAAGGCATCTCAGTTCCTAACGAATGAAGTCACCACATCAGCCATAGAAGCCTGCCTCTAGGACTCTGAAATAAAAAAGAGAAATAAACTCTTAGTTTAAGAAGTTGTTATTTGGTGTCTTCAATTTATTTAGACAGCTCATTCTAATGCTTTTTTTTCTTTTGTGATAATTTATTTTAGAGTTCTCAGTAGTAATTTTAATCTTCAAAAACTTATTTGAGGTGATACTGGATTTCAAAAGCATTGTCAAAAGAATTTTATTATAGTCCAATGTGAATTGTCTATCTTTATTTGAATATTAAATATTATAAAGTAGTCAATTTTACATAGCAAAGAGCGTTTCTAATTGGGTAAAAATTTACGGAAAATGGTTGGCATTTACAGCTCAACCTAATCTTACACTGATATTCTGTCCAAACTAACGACTCAATTTCCATCTTAACCTCCAAAACAAAATTCTCCCTAACCCATTCTTCTAGATGTTCAAGAAAAAAAAAACACATAAAAATCATCATAAACTCCCTTTTATTTAAGTCAGTTTCTTTCTTAGATGTTTATAGGATACCTTCGGTCATTGCAATGTTTTATAATTCACTATGATATGCTTAGTTGTGGCTGATTGCTCCTACTTAGCAGGTGGGTAGTAATCACAAAGAGGCATTTAGATGCTTTCTCATAGTTCCTTCTTGTTTCTGCTGTTGCTGTTTTAAAGTTCTGGGTTTAAATTAACAAAGAATTATTTTTTAACCAGTCCATCTATATTAGTTTCCTGTGGCTTTCGTAACAAATTATCAAAAGTTGGTGGCTTAAAACAACAGGAAGTTATTCTTTCACTGTCCTGGAGGGCAGATTCAAAGTTAAGGTGTCAGGAGGGTGGTTCTCTGTCTAGAGGCTCTAGGGAAAATTCTGTTCCTTTCCTCTTGTTTCTGGTGGTTCTTGGTCATATCACTCCAATGTCTGCCTCCTTCTTTGCATCACCTTCTCCTCTGTGTGTCTGTGTCTTCTTCTTTTCAATCTCTTATAAGAACACTTGTCATTGGATTTAGGACCCATCCAGATAATCCAAGATGATCTCATCTCAAAAAACTTAATTACTTAATTACTATAAAAACCTTTTATCCAAATAAGATAATATTCACAAAGTCTGGGAATTAGGAGGTGGTCTTATCTTTTGAGGCCACCATTCAACTTACTACACTATCCATGCTACAATTAGGGGTGTTTTCTTTGAAAGATCAGCCAATCACCGATTTGTGCTATTGTGTATTGAGTGCCTATCATAGTGCTACTGTGAATTTGTGTGTATGTGTGTTTGTGATGTGTGTACATTGTGTAAGTGTTTTGTTTTTCTTTGGTGCTTCAAAAGGAAGTTTGAGGGTACCCAAAAGCCTGTGTCTACAAACTAGATATTCAGCATATATATGAAATTATATAATCCATTCTTTTTCAGGCAAAAGTTTCCATCTAGTTCTCTGCTCTCAGGCAGAAAATTTGGATAACCTACACAGGATATTATCAAAGTAGCATAACAAATGAAAATTGCTGACAAAAGCTAAATATGCTTTCATTTATGCATTAAACACACATCTCTGGGATGACTATGATGTTCCAGGAATCATGTTAAGTATAGAAATGATTAAGATACATAAATATTGTATTCACAGATTTCATAATGTATTAAGAGGGTGTGATACAACATAAATGGCTATACATCAAAGAAGAAAATAATAAGGATCTGAGGAGAGAATACATTCAAATGGCATGGGTGTTAGGAAGAGCGATAAGAGAAAAGACAAAATAATTTAGGGGAGACATGCACTTTGATTCCTTAGTATATAGATATGAAATGAATGAGTAAATAGATTTGGATGCATTTTTTATGCATTTGCAACTACAAGAGAGGTAGAAATCTGCGTAGTAAAAGCCAAAAATTAACTAGAAGAAGTTCTCCTATATTTGGAGGAGTAAAACTGCAAATAAATCATTTGCTATGTTTAAATTAATATATTTTAAAACTGCTGTTTGAAATTTAACATTTTAGAATTCACATAATTCATTCTATGCACCTATTTGTTCAAAGAAAAGGAAGAAAAGAACAATGTAGGACTCTAGAAAGACTGCCAGAGGAAGGTACTGGGATTTGCTCCCATGCAGTGTCTTCCTTGAATTTCACTTTGCCTTTGAGGATGAGAACAGGGCTTGAGAAATACTTCAAAGTGCTTCTCTGGCCAGCTATGTTTTGCCAAGCTCTCACAGCTTTCTCAAAGCTTTCAAAATTATTAAATACCAACATACATCTCCTACACTTTTACTTTATCAGGAGAGAACACTGCAAGCAGCATCACAGCCTTCAGAATTCTTTATCATGTCATTAAGCAGCTGCATTCAAACTGCAATGCTTCCACTCAAGCCATAACAAGGCAACGTTGACATTAAGATGCAATGTTCCGCAGATGCCAGTTTTAGCAATAGCTATAATAAGTGTCAGAGAACATTATCACATGGTAACTCTTTAAAGTTGGGAATGTGACTTTTATCAATCTTTGAAACTAACTGATTTCAAATTTACATGCCACCTTAGATAGAAAAGAATGGCTGCTTCTTATCTATATTGTCAGGAATTTTAATTAGTTTTGTTCTTTTTCTTATCTTAACCCATTTATGCTAGAGGTTGCAATTTTTTGAATTTTTGCATGAGTGAAAAATCAGACCTTGGCGATGAACTTCAGCAGCATGATATAAATAACTCCCACATGCTTAGCGTTCCAATAATGGAACACTAGGAATAAGTGGGTTTAAAAATATCTTTTCTCTATCCATAGTCAGCATCAGTTACTTATCTGCTTTTAGGTGGAAGAGCAATTACTGGAATTGTCTTGAGTCTCTATGAAGTTTAAAGGCTCTTCCTGATATTTGACAAGCCCCAGAACACTGCCAGCATGAATAACGTTTACTGAATGTCCAGTGTGTAAAAATCAAAATCAAAACCTTACTGACTTCTAATTGCGAAGATTTAAAGAACTGAAAGGATGATTCATGTTTTAAAGGTGTTTACAGCCAAGTGGGCGTTCAGAAGTACACATAAGTGATGAATGATTACATTTGTATAGTGCTTTGCAAATTACTAAAAGGTCTTACAGACTTATTCCTTAATCTTTACAATAATCTGGCAAGGTAGCTCTTAGAGATAAGAGAAATTGAGGTAACATATTTAGATATAAGCAATTTGAGGTAATTTTTTAAAAAAGAAAAGCTATTTATTGGTAGAGCTGTGGTAAAGTCTAAATCTTTTTTCTCTAAATTCACTGTTCTTTCTACACTATAATATGAATTAAATGCTGTAAGAACTTAAACCAGAAAGAAAAATGATTGCAAAATGAGAAAATGGTAGATACTTCACAAGGATGAGTGGCTTAGCTTGATTGCTAAGGATAAGAGGACTGACATCACCCGAATATCTGGCAGGGGTAAAGACATAAGCCATTCTGTGTCATTGAGGAAGGGGATGTGCTGGGCCTTCTCAGGCCCACTGTGTAGCATACCACCCTCAGCACTCTTAACATGGAATGGCCTCCTGGTCACCAAACTCCCAGGTTTTCAACTTTCTGAATGCATTTTTCCAAGTTGGTTAAAATTTGAAAAACCAAGAGTCACATGCAACTTAGGGAGGAAAGAAGAGCCCTGGATTGCTTTTATTATTATTATTATTATTATTATTATTATTATTATTATTATTTATTTTAGATTTTTTCAGCACAATTACTTCTTTTTAGAAACCTACTCCTCATAATAAAGGGCATTTTAAATTGAGGAGATAAATATATACTCACTCACAGCCTTTAGAGCCATAATGTGCTAATACCTTCTACAAGAGTTAATGTCTTCAGGAGATTTCTACCTAAGGTTATGTATTCTTGTTCTCACTATTTAAGAGTGTTCACACATCCCCTTTACCGGAAATAAAGTGAAGGTATATGTGTATTTTTTATCACTCTGTGAGGAATATCTCATTTGATTTTTTTATTTATATCCTATTAGAAAGCAACCAATTAATTCTCCAATGCAGGTATTTCATTTCCATTATTTATTTCTTTACTGAAAAAACACTATATGTCAGGTTTATGCTAGAGGATTTTTTCCACAAGTATTATTTAATTTCATCTTTATTAAAAATCTCACATTGCTAAAGAAGAGAAATGTGAAGCTCAGTCAATTAATTTCTTCCCCCAGATCACTCAGTGAACTAAATGGCAGAGCTGATATTTGAACCCAAGTCTCCACTTCACAGTCCCTTACTCATTCCACATTCCACAAGAGCTCTCTAACCAAACTTCAAGTGCCTGAGTTTAGGGCCACTTCAACTCATCATCTGCTGGAGACCAGCCACTGAAATTAATGTTTGCATTTGTTTTCTTGACTATACAGGGTATGTGGGTAATCTTTATAAGATTCTTGTTTCCATTACCATGGAGTTAAATAGAACAGCTATACATAAATCAAGACAAAAAAAAACCCACTAAATTCTTTAGGAACAAAATGTTCTTCAGCAGGGATAAAGCACAGAATACAAAGTATCCACAATGTGCTGGATAGCTCGTAGACATCTTTAGAATACTAATCATGTGTCACTTCCATGATGCATACAAAGTCTCAGCAGCTATTGGTAAACTTGGATAAAATCACTGGGTAACTTTCGGCTTTGTCTCAGTTGGTGGATTCATGAGTAACCTGATCACATAAAGACATCATCATGAAATATGCATAGGGTTGAACTGTTTAGTCACACATCACATTTTCTATTAACACATTCTCATTAGATTTTCTAAACACTCTCAGGGTAATTCATCCTTTCACGCTTCAGCTTATCTCCTCCTTCAGATGCCAAAGGTCGCTTCCACCACCACTTCCCCTCCCAGCCCTCCCACAGGTACACACCTCACCTCTCCCCTTCATGTGGCCCTCTTTCTTTTGTCTCTCCATGTTCCAGACTTTTCCTTAATCATCATTTTTTTGTGCCCTTTGTTGCACATACTTTCTGTAGCTTATAGACTGCGCTCTTCTAACACTCATTCTCCTTACTTCCACTAAAAACAATATTCAAAGCAGATGTTCCCAAATTAATTCAACAAATTAGAAATCTAGGCCATACTTTCTAATTTAACTTGATTTAAATCATTCTGTATGACCCTGTCAAAGCATATGTGGAGGAAAGTAAATGAATTTAGAAACCAGAACAATGTGGATTCTAATCATAATTCTGACACTTTATCAAATGTGTGACCTTATACCTCAGTTGTAAAGATGAAGTATTAATATTACCATATAAGGTTACTGTGGAGACTAAATGAGATGAGGCATTCAAAATATCTCGCTGTGTTACCATACCGCAGTTGCTTAACCTTTCTTTGATTACATTTCTTCATATGGTTTAACTGTTTAGTCACACATCACATATTCTCCTTACACATTCTCATAAGATTTTCTAAGCACTATCAGAGTTATTCATCCTTTCATGCTTCAGCTTATCTCCTCCTTCTTCATATGTAAAATTGCATAATAATTATATATCTCATTGGGTTGTGTGAATATTAAACTGGTTAACATATGTTGCTTACAACTATGCCCCGCACAGAGTAATACTTATCATTATAATTACTTAATACCTAACATCATGTCTACCATTGAAAGGAGAGCTCCTGTAGTTCTACAAATGAGATATTAGAAAACAAAGTCTTAGATTATTGATTTGTCAAGTGGAGATAAGTGCACACTATCGAATTGAGTAATACCTAAAAAGCATAATGGACACATTAGAATAGATAAGAAAATAGAATTGTTAGGACATGGTGACATTTTATGAAGGAGCTGAGAAAGAGGGAGGAATCAAGAACAGCCCCCAGTTTTTATCTGGGTAACTAAATTCATGGTGATGTCCTTCACTAAGAGAAAAGAAACAAGCTTTGGTTGAAAAGAAGGAGGGCTCAAAGGCATTATGTGGTATGATATAAAGCCTAAAAGATTCCACTGGATTTAACCACACAATAGTTTACGTTGAAAAGGTTTATTGGAGTAGTAAAGACAAAATGAGACTGTAGTGGATTGAAGAGGGGATGGTCAGTGAAGATGTAGAAGCAGAAAACCCTTTAAGAATATTGATTATAAAGAAGAGAGAAATAGAGGCTGGACACAGAGGCTTGCACCTGTTATCCCAGCACTTTGGGAGGCCAAGGTGGGTGGACCACTTGAGGTCAGGAGTTTGAGACCAGCCTGGCCAGCATGATGAAACCCCATCTCTAATAAAAATATAAAAATTAACCAGGCATGGTGGCAGGCACCTGAAATTCCCACTTCTTGAGAGGCTGAGGCAAGAGAATCCCTTGAACCCAGGAGGCGGAGGCTGCAATGAGTTGAGAGATCTTGCCACTGCACTCCAGCCTGGGTGACAGAGTGAGTCCATCTCAAAAAAAAAAAAAAAAAGAGAGAGACATAGTATGTTTCTCAGAAGGTTGCTTTGAAGAGTCAAGATGTAATATCAGTAACTATATTGATTATTCACAACCATAATGTTTCTTGAGCTGCTATAATTTGCTCAGATTGTAGGGGACAAATGATACAAAGTGGCTTAAGAATAGTTTTAATCCACCTGGAGAAATATGAGATCTGTGCAAAGAGAAAAAAAGTAGTAAGAAGAGAGAACATATACTAAGTACCAAATGTATGGAACTGAAAATAGTTATAACCATTTAGTCTCAATTGGTGCAGGCTAGAATATTTGGGTAAAGATTCAAACAGCAGGCAAGACAAGCTTGTTTTAAAATAAGGACGAGGAAAATGTTGGTCAGGAAGGGCATAAGGCAGAAGTCATTGGTGTGAGTAGAGCTTCAGGCAGAAGGGCCTGGCTTAGGCATGGCAGTCAATGATTAGAGGGATAAAGTGAAGAGTGTTTATTCAGCTCATTTCCTCATCTTTACTGGAAAGGTGAGTTTATTGGAAAGCTGTGTCCTGCACAATATCCAGCAATGTAGTAAAAGCCAAATAAATATTTCATAAATATTTATTGAGTAAATGTTGAATATATAGAAAACCTGTAGATAAGAATTTTCCTGGAGTAACACTAAAAGGGAAAAATTAAGGTTTTAAGTCTCAGCAAGTTTATTTTGAGTCACAAATTGGATATTTATACAAAATATGAAATAACAATTTGGTCTGATAACTAACGAATTCAATTCTAGGGAAAGTTACTGCTAAATATAACCACCACATAAAATTCTCCCATTCTTCTCATTCTTTCTTGCCCTTTACTCCTCCAGTGTCAGGAATACATTTTAATTCAGTATGAGTTTGTTGGTTACCAATAACTCCCCTGGCATGGTTCTTGCTTCGGTGGAGCTTCTAACCTTACTGGAAACAAATACTATGAAAGCCGGGATGAGAAGAAATAATCGAGCAGCGTCCTGAAATATGGGGATATTTATTTAGAGAAAAAGTTGTAAGTAAATTCAAACTTGGAGGAGACACCATGAACAAAGGGAGGGAGAGAAGCAAGAAGGAGCTAGAGGGTATTCTGGGGACAGTCACACAGCATTGACGAAGGGTTAGAGCTAAAATAGCCCTAAACCATCGTGGTTGATAACTTCCATTCCTGTGACTAATACTTCTAGCTCACAGGGATAGACTGTCTGGTGTCTTGAAAAAAATAAACAGCTTCTCAGCAACTGAAGAGACGCTGAAAGGTTCAGTGAATTTAAAAAAAAATAGTTATGTTCATTTCTTGTGAATTTTCAAAGTGTCCTTGATGGAAGGCATATGGGACTAAGTACATTTTTAACCTGCCCTTTTGCAGAGACATGGGCATTTAGTTTCCCTGTGTTCGCTAAGGGGAGATGGAGATACCATAGTAAAAGCTATAGTTTCAGATTAGTCCAGTAGGTAAAAGCAGTTTCCTTTCCTGAGTTACCAACAAATCCCCACTTTGCAAGGAGCTGCAAACAAATTCCCCTGAAGTCATACTTTTAAAAACACTCATTTGTGGCTCCTTCTGAGAGGTTAAAAGAAAACACTCCTTAGAGGTCAAGCTCTGCAGGAGCAAAGCCTCTGCTCGTCAGAGATAGAGCTGCTTTGCCTGCTCTGTTGGGGTTGCCCAAGTCTGAGGCTTCTCTTCTTAATACAGAAAACCTTGTTCGTTGATAAAGCCCAGCTCTCCTCACAGCTGTTATTTTTAAGCTCAGCCCTCGTCTGCTTGACACATGTACACCTACGCCAGGGTCTTCTAACAGGAAACTTGGCACACAAAATGTCAATGGCATCTCTTTTTTTCTATCTTACTCGTCTTTCGTATAGTTCTTCCTTTATTCTCTCCTCTCCCTGGCCTTGTTTTGTTTCCCTCACCTCCCCATTAGTGTCTAGGATTTAATTTTAACATGCAGAGATGGACAGTATTAACAGACCTTTTATGTCTGGATGTTGAATAGGTGCTCAGAAGGTCCCTGGCACATTGCCAGAGAGTTATTCTTGGATCTGGTTTCTTAAATGTAAGTGAGAAGAATCCGGTGACACTTCTGTGCAAATAGATGCCCTGTAGTTAGTGCCTTTAGCATCTGTATCTCCACATTTCACATAGGCTGTAGACATGCTTAGATCCTCAGTTCAGGGAAAAAAGAGTAAGTAATATAGGAAAAAGAATAGTTGTTAGTCAAATGATTCATTAGGTGGCCTTGGGAGGAAAAACAGCTCTTCCTTTATAGAATAAGGGATCATTTAATGATCTTTTCCTTTCAATTCTAAAATATTGCTTGCTATATCTCCTTTTTTCTGTCTGCTACATTTCTGCTATGTAGATTTTCATATTGTTTTCCTGCCTGTCCTTTGTTCTGGAAGACTTGTGTTTGCTCATCACATGTAAATGTCCAGTGCATTTCAGGGCTTTATGTACAGAGTAGGGATTGCATAGAGACTTTATAATTTTTAGTATATTCAAAACTGAATATTCAGAAAGGTGGCTAGGAAGCAGTATTTATGTAATAGTTAAAGAGCAAAAGTTGGAAACTTTTTTTTTTTTTGGCTTGATGACTTTATTTTAGTAATCAGACTAGCTAATTATTACCTTTTCATACTTAAATGTAACATATCTTTTGCCATCTTCTTTATTCTCTAAGGTTTTGACTATATGCTTTATGGGAAAAAAATCTCCCACATTGTTCACCTGTGACCACCAAATCCAAGTTTCACAACCAATTGTTGGAAGTCAAAAACCTCTGTTCATCCACGGTACCAATGCACTAGAGAAATGTTAGTCCTTATGAAGAAAAATTGCCAATTTTGTTCCAATATCCTTCCTCCCTTTCTCAATTTTAAATTTAAAAAAACAAATTATATATAATGAATACATAGCTGTCATCTCCTGTGTTGTTACCTTGATCGTCACTTCAGCATTCAAAAATGTTACATTTTGCAGTTTGCATACCTAAGATTCTTCATAAGATTATACCATGTTAAGATGAATAAGAAATGACTGTAACCATACATAGAAATGAAAATTATACTTGCTTGTTCATTCTAGAGCACTTGCTCATAGAAACCTCAGAATCAATAGCATGCATGTATGTGGTTAGATTTATTTAGTCATTATCACTCTTCCACTTGCTTTTTATGGTGCTGAGCAAATAGTAAGTGAAGAGTATGAGGTTTTTTTTTTTTCACGTTACCCTCAATAAATGGGTTTAACCACAATACAAATCTTATAATCCACCTCTTCAATCCCACTGGCAGTGGGACAAATCCACTAGCTTTAGAGGTAAGCCTTCAAATATACTTCTACTGACAGGTTGAAGTTTGTTTTAGGAAAAATCAAGGTTCTACAATCCTTTGCATTTATTGGAGTTTTCAGTTTCCATGGTTTCCAAGAGTTCACTGAAATTAGGCTTTCCATGTTTAGAAGTCATGATAGGGGCTTTGGTAAATTCCTTTTCTCTAACCTAGATTATGTTTAAGATCTGTGTATTGCTATTCCTGGATGAGTATTGGGAGCTATTGAATGGTCAACACAGCTCTTCACCTGCATACCTCCTCTACAGAACCAAGGGTATATACGAGGAATTTCAAGGCAATCTATATGAAGTCAAACTAGGGTTGTTTTCTGGGATCATAAAATAATAACATCACAATTTGTATTTGTAGTGAAGAACTGCCTTCAAAGGGATTAATGGGGAAGTCTACATTTGAGGTTCTCTGGCCTTTGGTAAGGAGGGGAGTGCCCTGATAAAATAACGTCTAAAAAACAGACTTCCATAGGCTTCATTTATCTTGAAGAAAATTCTTCTGGACATGGTAGGAGTCTGAAGTAGTTTATGTTAGGCCCCAAGGTACACGGAGGTGTCAAGAATGTAGGATGAAGTGGCCTGAAGCAGGGGCTCATGCCTGTAATCCCAGTGCTCTGAGAGGCCAAGGAGAGAGGATTGCATGAGGGCAGGAGTTCAAGACCAGCCTGGGTAACGTATTGAGATCTCATTTCTGCAAAATGTTCAAAAATTAGCCAAACATGGTGGTGTGTGCCTGTAGTCCTTGCTACTCAGGAGGCTGAGGTGGGAGGATTGCTTGAGCCCAGGAGTTCGAGGTTACAGTGAGCTATGATCACACCACTGCACTCCAGCACTCCAGCCTGGGCAACAGAGTGAGACCCTGTCTCTGTAAAAACAGAATGTCGGGTGAGGCTTTATTTGGCCATGAACTTAAAGTATGCGATATCTCATGTTACTGTACAATTGTTATTATGTTTCTATCTGCAGCCCAAATTGTGAAACAGCCTCAGGTAGTTCCTGACAGTCCAGTTACCACATAATATACATGAATAAGGAGCTAATCTCCCTGAGCCCAAACGTACTGTCTCTGTTATCCTGGGGCTCAAAACCAGGACCTCCAGCAGTTATCCTCAAGAAGATAATGACTTTATGATCAACAATTGTTACCTAGCTATGTAAGAAGCAGAGATTAGATAAGTAGGTAGGTAGATAGATAGAATCAAATAAGAAAAAGACCAAAATAGGAAGCATATGAGACTATATTTGCAACTACAAGGAACTGATCTAGATGACTTGGAAGAGTTTTTTAGGAAAGGGTACAAAGATCCAAAGTAAGTGGATGTGAATTGCACCTCAAGGGTCTAATCAGCTCCTTGAAACAAATTGGAATCAGTTCAGTGTATGGGAGTCTTATGTTCAGGTATCCCATTGAGTTTGGCAGTGGCAGCTGCCAAAAGTTCATGAGGGGTTTTCAAGGAAGACTCAAGAGAAGAGAAAAATGTAGTTGCCTATGCTGAAGGTCACCAAGGTAAGACTCCCCAGAAAGGTCTGTGGCAGGAAGAGAGTTCTGAGCCATCACATAGCTCTAAGGGCAAAATATGGCAGCCAGCAGATCGGAAGACCAGGACTCCTTAGCATCAGGTTTGAATGATTGCCTGTCAGGCAGATGTGTTTGTAAACTAATGACTTTCACAGTGTGATGAGATTGAAAATGAAGCCTAATTGCTTCCACTGATTTAACCCTTGGAATGCTTCCAGGCATGCTCACAGCCATGTGTCTTTAATCATGTGAGTTAATCACCTTCAGGGATACATCAGAAAACAGTGGCTTATAGGAAGCCTGGGAAGCATTGCAGTTGTGTTATTAAGCCTGCACTTCTGGGGGCTGTCATCTCTTCAAATAAGGACGCTGAGAGGTTGGCCGTGGTGCCCTTACACTAGTTTTTGTTAGTAACAACTGACATAGGCAATTACAGAAAAAATGAATTAATATTTATGAATTTTTAAGTGACTTTAAAGAACTCCTAATGGTAGTGGAGTGAAAGTAGCAAGTCACCTTGATCCTTCTAAGGCCACCATGAACTTCAGTCCAGCTCTGGAAGAAAATCAGAATTGGAAAGTGGTCTAATAATCAGGCCAGTCTGATTAATAGTGACAATTAGTATTGGACTACAGTGCATAACCAACTGATTATGAATCATTCGAGCACTTTAGGTAAATTTTCAATACAGGCAATTAAAATGAAAAGACTCATGATCCTTACATAATGACTTCATTAAATTAATTCAATTCTGAGGTTGGGGAAAATTTTCTTTTGTAGAAAGGAACCAGCAGAATTTAACTTCCATTCACTTTTGGTTAAAAGAAATCTGGAGAAAACATAAGATTTAAACACAACACACACACATATGCACACACCACTTTGCAAACAGCTTATTCATGTCTGAATGTGAACCGTGTTACTGAGGAAGAAAGAACTGAAGGTCAGAGCATGGATTCTATTCACATCGCTTATTCAGATGAAGTAAATCTTGCCCGCAGTTATATTTTGTATTCCACTAAGTGCATGCATTGTTAAGGTTAAAAGAACATTATTGTGGAGTAATCTGTGAAAGACAGACACTTCAAAGAGATAAATACTCACTTCTGTTACATAAACAATTAACTCAAGTCATTTGCTTCATGGTAAAAGACAAAGCTAGAGCCAAATCCAAATACTGTGGTATCAGTGCAGTCAGGGGAACAAAGATTCCTTTAAGTGAAACACCGTCATTCAATCAAAGCAGAAATAGTTTTGGAGAAATAGACAATAAGAGTGGAAGGAGAAGAGACTCTCTAGGACTAAGAGTGACTTGAAATATTCCACAGTAAAGTCTGTCTCTATTGTGAGTTTTGAGTCAGAAAGTCACTTTGCTTCCAAGATTCATTACTTAATACCTAATGTATACAGCTTTATTGTTTACAAAAGTGCATTTGCACTTAAGTTGTACAGACATGCTGTAAGCTAGGTATTATGTGTATTAATAATAGCTAATACTTATTTAGCAGTTCAGAATTTGCCAAATTCCATCTATCTCTTTTTCATTTTCTTCATTCCTCTTACAATTTTTGAAGATGAGAAAAAGAGTCTCAAAAAGTTAAAGTATTATAATTTGGCCAAAATCACAGGACTAGTAACAGCAAAAACTAGGTATTAAGCAGTCTTCTGACTATAGGTCCTCTTTCTATGTAGTACCTCCTGTTCCTCATATTTCTTAAGACTATTTTTTTCTACTTGGTTAATGATCTTTTTTATAATAAATTCTTACATTCACTATATTATTTTCTAGGTATCTCAGAATGAAAACCACTTTAAATTTTAGATTATGTACCTTGATCTTTCTTTCAGTTTGCATTTCATTCCCAATCAGACCACACTGTCTTTCTGAAGGCATACACTGCAATTTCTAGCACAGAACTTAGCCTTCGCAGCAGAGATAGTAAACTAAGTCAGTAATTGGTTGAGCTAGAACCTCAGCCCAAGTCCTAACATCTGGGGCAAGGAGCTGAGGAGACTAAGGAGCAAGAGATGAAAAGAGATACATTACAGTAAAATGTAGAGATTTGTTCAGATCTCCAGATTAGTAAATGCGCTTCTAGCATATCATATCTCCTATAAAGCAGCGTGATCAAAAGGAGCAATAAAGCCTTCTGAGCTGCTGACACTGCAAGGTTGGCTGGGCACGCTCTTGAACTAAGTAACTTGCTTCTGAACTTAAGCCTCACTTGACGCAACAAAATTGCAAGTTAGCAAACAGCATGGAGTATAGAAATCACACTTATTTAGATGAAATCAAAATGTTAAATGCAGAAATGCTAAAAATTACTCTAAGCATAAAGGACTAGTTGACTTTTATCTACTTAAATTCCTTTAATGGTCTTTACCAAACTTGCTGTTATCTAAAAAGCATTCCTCAGTGACTCTTCACCCTTGAAGATGCTTCTGGAGAGTTTAAGATGCAAGTCTGTGTATGTGTGTGTGTGTGTGTGCACACATGCATATGCACAGCTTATGTGTACATGTTTGTATATTATAGTATAAGTATAGTATAAGTTAACCATTTTCCTTGACCTCAAAGGTAAGGGCTAAGGCGCTAGCTCAACTGCAGGTTTGCTTATCTGTCAAATCAAATCAAATTTTGCTGATTTGCCAGATTCAAATCAGAAGGATCTGACTCATGGGGCTGTTTCCACGAATGTTACAATGCTCATGAATATGCTCTGCAATATCATATATAACAGAAGACTGCCTTTCTCTCAAGATTTTATAGAAGAGCAAATGGATGTAAATAAACCTCTTGGGTGGTCTTTTGAAGGAAAAGAAGTCTGAGAATTCCCGTCACCCTTCTATTTCTCTCTTCTGATCCTGATGATTGTCTCCCTGGTGTTGACACTCTTCATGTGCCTGGCTTACTTCCCAGGTCAAATTGCACTTTCCTTGTTTGCAGTGATTATGCTTCCTTAACCTACATTTCTTTAAAGAGCCTATGACATAGCATCCAATCTCTTGAAGGGAGGAAAGTTAGACTTTGCCTGCTTTACCTTGGTGGAACAGAGGTATATTGGGTTTATTTCTAATTAGCTTATTGATTTCAGTCTCATTACCTTACAGTAACATATTGAAAACAGGTATTTTGGGCACTAGCTGGTAGGCCTGACTTCACCTAAACAAGATTTCTGGAATTTCTTTCCAGACATCTAATTATAGCAGTCCTGCATCGTCCTTTGGGTATGGTTGGTGTGAGAGTCAGCTTCTCCTAAAACAGGAAAGTTTTGGAGACTGAATCCTGGCTCTACCTCTTCCCAGCTATGATACAGGACACTGATTTCACCTCTTTAGCCTCAATTATCCATCTGTAAAATAGGTATGCTAATACCATCTCCATAGTGGCTCCATGAGGAATGGAAAAATGTTGAAAACACCAGTGCCTGCTCACAGGAGACCCTCACTCAATTTTACTCCCTTCTCTCTGCACTGCCACCATCTCTGTCACTGCTCCCACATTCCCACAATCTTTACACTGCTCCTCACTTGTAGTTCACGACATCTCTCAGTAATAAACTCTTGAACTCACCTTTAATAATAATTGTACCACTTCTGTTGTCCTAGCTAGCTTCAGCTCCAAGCTCTTCTCCTTCCCTGGTATCCTCAAACCTGACATTGCTGACCCTTCACACAACCTCCCTGATTTTAAAGGCTTTGACTCTGGGTGTGATGCCCACTGAAGCTGTCACTGTGACTGATTAGCACAGGTTCTGCCAGCTTCAACCCTGCCTGCCCCCCTTCATGAACTTCACTCCATATAGGAAGCACGGCTTACTTCAAAATGGAAAAAATGTGTGAAAGAATCTTAGAGATGGTATTACAATTTAGTTTTCATTATTACTGAGTGGTTAGAGAAGGAGTGGACAAATCCAAGACTATCTTGAAGTGAATAGAAACTTTCACTTTATTCTAGCACTTGCTAAGTTGCTCTCATTCTGCAAAGTCACTTTCACAGCATCCTTTTGACATTTAGACCCATTATTGCTATGAACTCTCATTGTCCTGTGTTCCTAAACTGTCACTGCATCCTTTGTTTTGTTTGACTTGTTACTGTTTTTTATAAGAGTTCATTTTGAATGTGACCTCAATGTGATAAATGTTATAGTTGTTTATCAGGTGGGTCTAATCTTGCCAAGCATAACTCTGACTCAAGTTCCACAGACTCCCAACTAAGCCACTAGTTTATTCACAAAAGTTGCCAGGTTTTCTGGTTATATGGCTCTTTCTCACTGTGTATATTATTGCTCTTTAGTTAGAAGACAAAGCTAGAGTTTTGGAGGTTATCTTTGTTTTTGTTGTTGTTGTTGTCTTTTAGTCTCTAATATTTAAACTGCTCCCAGATAGGCTCCCAGATATAAACTGCTCTCAGATATTTTGATGGATCCACTCTACTGCTTTCTTTTTTCTACTCTACCTTCGCACTTTAGTCATTTGGTAATTGCATTCTAAAATTATTTGGAAATAACCAGTCTGTGATTTCAGAGCATTAAAATATATGCATAAAAACCTGTACTAGTGCCTTCTACATCCTGCATCAAGTCCAGAATTGTTCTCTAATTTCAAATTCCCTAGCAATTCAACACCACTTTCACCCAAATATTCCCTCATTATTTTTTAGCATGCACTCTCTGATTTAGTAAGTACATTTTTAGTATAATTCCTATTGCATACTACACACACTCCCAACTCTTGCCCTTTGCCAAGATCTTTCCCCAATCTAGAATTCATTTCCCCTTTGTCTCTTCCAGCCTCATCTCCTTTACACTACCGTATAAATTCAGTCTTTGCCTGTCTTGTTCACCACTATATCCCAGTATAAAGAAATTTTCCTGGTACATGATAAAGTCTCAGCACATATTTATACACTTACTAACTGACTGTTCTTCAAAGCCCACTTCAAAGCTAATCCCTTTCTTAACCCACTCTATCTAGTAGTACAGCGTGTAGATGCAATTTTCTTATTGCATTTGAACTTCCAGAGAGCTCCTGGTGCTGTAGAGTTCTCTGACAGGACAGTCTGATTCTCATCATGTGTATTAATTAGTAATTTGTGGTTAAAGACATCATCTTGGAGGTCCCTGTTTTGTTTGACATCCTGGAATACTTCTACACTGCGCTACTGCAAGAAAAATGATTTTAACATATTTTAGATTTTCTGTAATTTAAAAGAAGATTATTTATACTCCAAAGATAAAATCAGTAGCAATTACAAGAGAAGTTCAAAAGTAACTTTTTTATAAATGTCAAGTCAAGGCGGGAAAGCAATTATATAAAGTGATTCAATATCATATTGGACTCACTCAAGATTAAGAAATAGTGGCATTTTTCTTGTTTTGACCATGAAGCAAAATAGTTAAGGGT
Organism: Homo sapiens; assembly: GCF_000001405.40. Classification (NCBI taxonomy): domain Eukaryota; kingdom Metazoa; phylum Chordata; class Mammalia; order Primates; family Hominidae; genus Homo; species Homo sapiens. The sequence goes on from NC_000001.11 coordinate 74,435,002, forward strand.
AAAGGAACATTATGTAATTTATTATAAAATAAATATAATATAGCCCATATGCACTAAAAAAATCCAGTGGCAATCTCCTAATACTGAAATGACTCATTTACAAGCCAAATGTAAAATGGGCATCAAAGACATATGGTAAGAAGCATTCAAAGACAATCTTGGACTATCATATGCATGTCTGTAAAATAGTCCACAATTAAATTTACTAATTATGGGGAAGAGTAAGCTCTCTTTGGACTATCTCAGCTTTGATTTACTTCTTAAAAAGGACACTCTTTTTTCTGCCCTTATTGAGGTATAATTAACAAATAAAAGTTATACGTATGAGGCACAAGGTGATGTGACATATGTATACATTGTGAAATGATTACCATAATCAGGCTAATTAACATATCTATCCACCTCATATGGCTACCTTTTTGTGTGTGTTGTGAGAACATTTAAGATCTACTCTGACACTCTTCTTAATCTAACTTGAATTCTTGGTTGAAGGGGGACTTTGGTGACCTTTATGCTATTCTCCTCAAAACCTTAAAAAGTGGTTTAGTTGGCATCATTTCACAGATCTCAAAACACTCCTTTGTGCTGAGATTGTATCTAGAATGTATTGATCATGGCATTTTCCATAGAGAATCCTTTTGCTACATTCATTTCAGGCCTTTTCTTGAACTGTCCTTGTGCCTAGGGTTCCAGCAAGCTGGTTCTCTTGCTCTGACTCTAATACGCCCATGATGCTTTTCACTCTTTCCTTGTAACCACAATTGTGTTAGCAAATGAGCCTCAAGGAGCTGAAAAACTGATCTTCAGCTGATGGGTCTTTTTGACAAGTTTAGAGGGTTTGTCTAAAGTAGGAATTCTTTATACATTCAACATTAGATAAAGTATAAACATGATTACATTTTATAAATAGCTGTTTTGAATCAGCAAAACTAAAAAATTTTGATTTAGCCCTTTGGGGCCCATTTATTCTCTAGGGCAAACAAATGATGTCTATGGTCCTCTTCTTTGAGGGGCCAATTAGATTAGGACATAGCAAAGCTTACTCAATGTCTACTTTTTTTTTTTTTTTTTTTTACAGTCACAATATTCTTCTCTATGAGGATGGGCATGCTGTGGTGGCAGATTTTGGAGGTGAGATACCCCAAAATGGCATCCTTTTTTTCTTTGTTCCTAGCTGGTACAATATGGTGCCTGATATTGTACCATGAAACTGAACACTGAACACTGACAGCTATACTACACTGAACACTGACAGCTATCCTACCATAAATCATTCAAATTTCAATGACCCTACATTTTGAAACTCTGTCATTTATTTCTAGTTTTTCTTCTTTCTTATCTCCAGCCAAGAGAAGGGAAGTGAGAATTTGAATAAGACAGAAGTCTCTTGAGGTTTCAAAATTTTAACTGTGATCTTTTACCTTGGTTTTAAGATATTTCCTTTGACGTGATTTATTTTCTCTTTCCCTCAGAATCAAGATTTCTACAGTCTCTGGATGAAGACAACATGACAAAACAACCTGGGGTTTGCTGCTGCTTGTGTTTCCTATAATTATAAACCAATTAAAATATGTAAACTCAGCATGAGAGGACGTAAGATGAGAGCAGTTTTAATTGGAAGAAATGTCATTGTCTCAGTGTTGGGATAATGGCTTATGTCTTTATTTTTAGTAAGCTGTCAAAATAACTATCTCAAGGCTCTACTAGAGAAATAGATAAGATATATATTTGGAAAACAGTATGGATAAAATAATACAGAATATGTTTCAAATATAACTGAAAAGAACGTTGTGGGCATGGATCTTTTCATATTTAGATCACCTAACTACTTATAGTAAAGTAAACATTTAATAGGGAACTCACAATAAAATTAGTAGTTCATCAGCATCTATTAACTATTCATCGTTCTCCACTTTAACATTGTAATGTAATAAGTGGTATATCCAAGTATTAATGTTTAAGTAAAATATAAATTATAATAACTGAAGCAAGGATAATTGTACTCAAAATGTCTGCAATTAAATTCATTACCTGCCCTCTCCTTCACTCTCCCCAATCCCTCCCCCTGAAAAAAAGTAGACTTCTCTTTCTGGACTACTTGTGATAACTAATTACCTAAGGCTGGAGTAATTTTTCATTCTTTCCCTTTCCTGCTTCTACTTACACTCAGTCACCTTTTCTGGATGTCTCTTTCTTTTCTTTAAGTTCATCTTAACCTCTTAAACCTCTCACTTCCTGCTGCTTCAGTTCAGATTCTCGTCACTTCTTTTCTGGACTAGTGTCATAATAGGCTTCTAACTCCAGTCCTCTCTTCTTGTTCATTTTTTGCATCATCAACTAAGTTCTCATTCCTATGGAGCTAATATTCTACTGGAAGGGGATAAATACTGGACAAATTAACAAAATATATCTCAGGCAGTGATGAGTGTTATGAAGAAAAATAAAAGCAGAGTAAATGAATGGAGAGTGATGAGGTTGACATTTAGATAGGATGAAGGAAAACGTTAACATTTAATAAGAGGCCTGACATGGGAGTAATCTACATGGGGGGAGAGCTATGCAGGTGGGGGCAATAGTAAGTGCAGAGGTCCTGGGGCAGGAGAGTTCTTGGTGTGTTCAAACTAACATGGCTGGAGTGAGGTGAGCAAGGAGGAAAGTGGCAGTTTATGAGGTAAGGGAGGTGGGAACAATAAGTGATCTTTTGGCAGGACACAAAGCTCATCCCAGACATGGGACATAGAGGCAACTAAATTAGTGGTCCTCAAGCCTAGCTGCACATTAAAATAAGTTTAGAAACTTTTTTTAAGCATAGTGCCCGAATCTGATCCCCAGAAATTATGATTTTATTGGCCTAAGACTGATCTTGAGTTCCTGCATCTTTTAAAAATTCCCCCACATAATTCTAAAAAGCAGTTAGTTGAGACTCTCCAACTAAATAAGCTTTTGTTGAATGTAATTAAATTGAATTTAACCAACAGCAAATAATATTAACTCTCTTATTCTAGCCGCATAGTCTTTAAGCACAGCACTAATAAATAAATAAATTAGTGCTAATAAATAAATTAGTGCTGTGCTTAAAGACTATGCTGCTAGAATAAGAGAGTTAATTTGAAATTTATTTTGAAAGCTGTTTTGTTTCTCATTAGTTATGTGGCTTTATGTATGTTATCTAATCAGTCTATGACCCCTCTGTGCAAAAACGGGCATACTGTGTACCTGCTCCCACATATACAATGTTGTGACACAATGCATAATCTGCTATAAAAATGTAGACTCTTTGGAATGTGGAAGCTCATGCAGAAGAATTGCATATGAGCACCATAATAAGAATAAAGATATTATTGGAAAGCTGTAACTATGCATGGTTTCAAAATAAGGTGGACATTTCAAAAGAATTAGCAACCAACACTACACACAAGATTTTGGTAAGAGTGATAAAAGAATAATGGTTTCCTTCAATGGACATTTAAAAGTGTGTAGCAAAGTTTATTAATAAAATAAAGTGCAATGAGGATTTAGAACTGGGAGGGTGTGGCTCCTCTGTTTTGTCCTTGAGGAATCTGAGGTCCAGGAAACATGACATACTGAACAGCTACCCAGAGCTGTTCAGTAAGTGGTAGAGCCAGAACTAGAATTTTCATCTCCTAACTCTAAATCCAGTGTTCTGCGCCCTAAACTAGAAATCAACCAAATTTATGCATTTGCATCCCAGAATGGAAACTAATTTTTTTAACTGAAAAATGTGAAATTACAAATGAAAAGAATGTAAATAATGTCATCGAAACAGAGGCTAGAACTTTGTACGGAGGGACTTGTAATATTTTATGGGCTTCCTTTCTGGAATATTGCACAAACAGCATTCATAAATAGCACATCTGGGCAGAGAAAGTAAGACAGACCTGATCCAGCCAGTGATAAATCTACTTCATAGGAATATTCTAGGAACTCCTCGGGAGCCATTTCTCTCCTCAGCCATGAGCACACTATTTATGGGCCTAATTTAGTAACTTCCTAAATTACAACCTGAAGACTTGAAGGAGGTGCCTCCCACAGTGTGTGATTCACTCCCAGGGAGACATAGGGTCCCTGGATGAATCCATGGTTGGCTATTCTGAACCTTGTAAGGCTTCTAAGGGAGGAAGATGTTTATAGATTTAAAAAAATAATGCTGCTTCTCATTGTATAAGAGGCAGACTTACTTGATGATTAATTACTTGTGTGATGTTTTAGGAAGAATTATGAACTTTATGATCTTCCAATGATTAAAAAATGCCCTTTGAGGAACTGAACAGCCACAGTAAACACACTGTGTATGTATAAACATGTTTATTGCACACACTGAGGGCAATATGTATGGATGTTAATTTATATTTATGCCTTTTGAGAGCATCGGGAGAACACAGTAAATTCTCACTAAGAAGAATGCTACTCTGCAGTGGAAGAACCAAACACTTGGTAAATGGCTTGTGGATGTTTCTTGATGTGCAGAACCTCCGTTGGATGGCTCCTGAGGTGTTCACGCAGTGCACTCGGTACACCATCAAAGCAGATGTCTTCAGCTATGCTCTGTGTCTGTGGGAAATTCTCACTGGCGAAATTCCATTCGCTCATCTCAAGCCAGGTAAGACACACTGCAATTGAAGTTTTCCTGTTTTACAGAGTTCACTGGATTTTTATAACTTCAAGAAAATTTTTTTTCACAAAATGATTAGTCTCAGTGAGATGGCAAAAGAGGAGGTAAGCAAACAATCTTAAATTGTTTTAAGGTGTGTGCCCAACCCAGAAAATTTAATGACTTACCTGTGATTTCAGACCGAGACACACAGAAATGCAGGTATATTTTATTAAAGTTTGGGACTTGATTTATTGATTGTTAATAAAACAAGCAAATAACTATGATCATGTGGCATGTGAGAGCAAATAAGGTGGACAATGTGATATTTATTTTTTGAGGTGAGATTTTAGAATTGCCCTTTTAACATGTATATAGGGATAAGAAAGTAGTAACACAGAAATAACCTGTTAAGGCTGCTCTCTGCTTATCTCACATCATAAAAAAGAAGATGGGTTTTCCTAACGTTTTTGTATTATATGCATATATATATATATGGATACATTCTAAAAATGGGGCATGCAGTGAGTCTGGCTTTCATTGATGATACACATTATGCTTTGCTCATGTGTAGAAAGTGAAGGTGAGGAATCTAATCACAGGTAAAATATACACATATTTTAGGTTTAAAGTAAACTTCATTTGCATCTATCTCTCAATTGCATTTGGATTGCTTTCATATCTTGTCACACTAGACAAATCTCCTTAAGGACTTTGCATCCCTAAAACTTAGCACACTTGTAAAGTAGTTGTCAAATGTAATCATAAGTAATTTTAAATAATTATATTGTAATCTCCTAATGGCCACCCTACAACAATATATAAGAAGGATAAAGTCAAAAGAGATGTTACTTAAACATCCCTTTTAACAAGTTAAAAGTCTTGACCAAGATCAAAATATTTATGAGTACTCATGTACAGAGAGGTAGCCACATCTCATCTCATACTCTATTTTGGAGTTTTTTTTCCCCAACCTACCATATGGTCTTTTAATTACACCCTGCATAGCAGAGTGCTTTTCACAGGTTATGTGCTCTGTGCATAGTTTGTTAAGCGTAATGATGATGTAATTGTCCTAATTTTTCTCTACATATTTTCTATAGTTTTAAATTAGACTTAGCCCTTATTATAGTGTGGATGTGTGGACTCTATTTTGAGCTGTACCAACATTGCCATTTGTAAGGTCTTGTTCTGATCTCTTTCCTTCTCTCCACTTCTTAGAGTGTGCATCCTGATAAGATTGATGGATATACAGAAAATTGATTATAATTTTAGATGTACTATGGTGTTTTTTCGTAAGAAAGAAATACAACTCCTTTTGCTTCATCCCCTGTGTCAATCCATTAACCTGGCCCTGTTTATTTTACCTTCTAATACATGGGTTTCTCTACCACTTACCATCATCCACCACCATCGTAGCCCAAGCCATCTTTCCTTTAAACCACTGCAATAGTCTTTTTAAAAATAGGGTTTATTTAGGCATAATATACCTGCAGTAAAATTTACCTTTCTAGGTTAACACTTCAATGAGTTTTAATAAATATATACAGCTGTATAACCACAATGGCAATCAAGATGTATAACATTTCCATCACTCCAAAAAGTTCCCAGTGCCTGTCTGGGATCAATCCACTTCTCACACCTCCAGCCCTTGGCAACCAATGACCTCATTTCTGTCCGGATAAGCTTACTTATATACCAATGTCATATAAATGGAATCATGTTGCTTCATTTATCAGTAATTTATTCTTTTTCACTACTTTGTAATATTTCATATTATAGATGTGCCATGATTTATTTATGCATACAGAAGTTCATGACCATTTGAGTTCTTCTCATTTTAGGGCTATTAAGAATAAATCTGCTCAAATAATTGAGGCTTTTGTGTGGTTGTTTTTGTTTCCATTGAATAAATGAGTAACAGATGGATTGCTACATGTTATAATAAGAGTTTTTCCAAGGTGTCTGTACCATTATGAATTTCCAACAGTAGTCGGTGAGAATTTCAGTTGTTTCACGTCCTTGCCAGCACTTTGAGTTGTTTATTTTTAAATATATATGTATATATTAGGCATTTGAGTGGGGGTACATGGAACATCATTGTGATATTTACATTTCACTGATGACTAGAAATATTGACACTTTATGTGCTTGTTTGATATCCATATTTCTTCTGTGAAATGTTTGTTTAAATAGTCTCATCATTTAGTTGTAAGAGTTCTTAGATTATAGGGATTATAGGGAGAAGTACTTTATCTGCTACATGTTTTGCAAGGATTTTCCTGTAATCTGTGGCTTGCCTTTTTGTATTCTCAGCAATGTCTTTCAAAGAGCAGATGTTTTTAATGTCAATGAAATCCATCTTATGAAAATTTTAAATCAATTTGTATCCTATCTAAAAATATTTTTGCCTTACTCAAAGCCATAAAAACTTCCCCCTATTTTTTTTATAGAAGTCTTACAGGTTTAGGTTTTATATTTATAAGATCTATTTTGAGTTCTTATTTTTTTAAAGTACCCAGTTTGGGTTGAATTTGGTATTCTTTGGTTTATTCCTTTGTTTTTTTTAATACAGATGTCCAATTCTTTTCTCATAATTTTTCAAAACTACTATCCTTTCTTATTAAATTATTTTGGTACATTTTTCAAAAATCAGTTGACCATATATGTATGCACTTATTTCCAACTCTATTCTGTTTCACTGATCATGTGTCTACCCTTAAATCAATACCACACTATCTTACTATATTATAGTGAGTCGTGAAATTAAGTAATGTGAATCCTCCAACTTTGTTCTTCTTTGTTAAAAAGGCTCTGGCCATCTAGATTTTTTTTGCTTTTCCATATAAATTTTAGAATCAGCTTGTCTATATTCCTATAAAAAGCTTGTTGGAATTTGATTCGATTGTATTGAATTATTAGATCAATTTGGGAAGAATGAACATCTTAACCGTGTTAGTCTTCTGCTCAATAAACATGGTTTATCTCTATCTTCACTTAGGTCTTCTTAAATTTCATACATTACATAATTTGTTATATATTTTAGCATACAAACCTTGCATATTTTTATTATACTTATCTCTATCTATTTTGTGTCTCTTGATATATTGTAAATGTTACTCTTAAAAATATCAATGTCCTAATTGGAAGTAAAACACTCCTAAGCCAATGCAAAACAACTGAAATCATAACAAACAGTCTCTATGGCCACGGCACAATCAAATTAGAATTTAAGATTAAGAAACTCATTAAAAATCACACGACTACATGAAAATTCAAAACCTGCTTCTGAATGAATCCTGAGTAAAAAAATGAAATTAAGGCAGAGATCAAGAAGTTATTTGAAACCAGTGAGAACAAAGAGACAACATACCAGAATCTCTGAGATGCAGCTAAAGCAGCGTTGAGATAAATTTATAGCACTAAATGCCCACCTCAAAAAGCTAGAAAGATCTCAAATTGACATCCTAACAATTACAACAAAAACAACTGGAGAACCAAGAGAAAACAACCACCAAAGCTAGCAGAAGAAAAGAAATAACCTACATCAGAGTGAACTGAAGGATATAGAGACACAAAAAACCTTTCAGAAAATCAATGAATCCAGGAGGTGGTTTTTTGAAAAAATTAATAAAATAGATACACCGCTAGCTAGACCAATAAAGAAGAAAAGAGAATAATCAAATAGGCATAATAAAAAATGATAAAGAGGATATAATTGTGACTCCACAGAAATACAAACAACCACCAGAGAATACTATAAACACCTCTATGCAAATAAACTAGACAATCTAGAAGAAATGGATAAATACCTGGATATGTACACCCCCGCAAGACTGAACCAGGAAGAAGTTGCTTGCATGAATAGACCAATAATAAGTTCTGAAATTGAGGCAATAATAAATAGCCTATCAACAAAAAAAAGCCCAGGACCAGACGGATTTACAACTGAATTCTACCTGAGGTACAAAGAGGAGCTGGTACCATTTTTTCTGAAACTATTCCAAACAATTGAAAAGGAAGGACTCCTCCCTAACTCATATTATGAGACCAGCATCATCCTGACACCAAAACCTGGCAGAGATACAACAAAAAAAGAAAACTTCAGACCAATATCCCTCATGAATATTGATGCAAAAATTCTCAATAAAATACTGGCAAACCAAATCCAGCGGCACATCAAAAAGCTTAGCTACCACAATCAAGTGGGCTTCATCCCCACGATGTAAGGCTGGTTCAGCATATGCAAATCAATAAACGTAATTCATCACATAAACAGAACTAAAGACAGAAACCTCATGATTATCTCAATAGATTCAGAAAAGGTCTTTGATACAATTCAACATCCCTTCATGTTAAAAACTCTCAATAAACTAGGTATTGATGGAACATAGATCAAAATAATAAGAGCCATTTATGACATACCCACAGCGAATATCATACTGAATGGGCAAAAGCTGGAAGCATTCCCCTTGAAAACTGGCACAAGACAAGGATGCCTTCTCTCATTACTCCATTCAACATCGTGTTGGAAGTTCTGGCCAGAACAATCAGGACAAGTGAAAGAAGCTAAGCATATTCAAATAGGAAGAGAGAAAGTCACACTGTCTCTGTTTGCAGATGACATGATTCTATGTCAAGAAGACCACATTGTCTCAGTCCAAAAACCTATTGTCTCAGTCCTTAAAAACCTATTAAGCTTTAAGCAATGTCAGTAAAGTCTCAGGATACAAATCAATGTGCAAAAATCACAAGCATTCCTATACACCAACAATAGACAAGAAGAGAGGCAAATTGTGAATGAACCTCTCACTCACAATTGCTACAAAGAGAAAAAAAAACCTAGGAATACAACTAACAAGAAAAGTGAAGGACCTCTTCAAGGAGAACTACAAACCACTGCTCAAAGAAATAAGAGAGGACACAAACAAATGGAAAAACATTCCATACTCATGGAGAGAAAGAATCAACATCATGAAAATGGCCAGACTGCCCAAAGTAATTTATAGATCCAATGCTATTACCATTAAGTAACTATTGACGTTCTTCACAGAATTAGAAAAAAAATTTAAATTCATATGGAACCAAAAAAGAGCCCATATAGCCAAGACAATCCTAAGCAAAAAAAATAAAGCTGGAGGCATCATGGTACCCAACTTCAAACTGCACTACAAGACTACATAACCAAAACATCATGGTACTGGGAAAAAAAAAAAAGACACATAGACCAATGGAAGAGAACAAAGAACTCAGAAATAAGACCACACATTTACACATCTATAACCATCTGATCTTTGACAAACCTAACAAAAACAAGCAATGGGGAACCCTATTTAATAAATTGTGCTGGGAGAACTGGCTAGCCATATGCAGAAAACTGAAGCTGGACCCCTTCCTTATATCTTATACAAAAATTAACTCCAGATGGATTAAAGACTTAAATGTAAAACCCAAAACCATAAAAACCCTAGAAGAAAATCTAGGCAAGACCATTCAGGACATAGGCATGGACAAAGATTTTATGACAAAAATGTCAGAAGCAATGTGGCAAAAGCAAAAATTGACAAACGTGATCTAAACTAAAGAACTTCTTTTTTTTTTTTCTTTCTTTTTTTTTTTATTATACTTTAAGTTTTAGGGTACATGTGCACATTGTGCAGGTTAGTTACATATGTATACATGTGCCGTGCTGGTGCGCTGCACCCACTAACTCGTCATCTAGCATTAGGTATATCTCCCAATGCTATCCCTCCCCCCTCCCCCCACCCCACAACAGTCCCCAGAGTGTGATATTCCCCTTCCTGTGTCCATGTGATCTCATTGTTCAATTCCCACCTATGAGTGAGAATATGCGGTGTTTGGTTTTTTGTTCTTGCGATAGTTTACTGAGAATGATGATTTCCAATTTCATCCATGTCCCTACAAAGGACGTGAACTCATCATTTTTTATGGCTGCATAGTATTCCATGGTGTATATGTTCCACATTTTCTTTTTTTTCTTTTTTTCTTTTTTTTGAGACGGAGTCTCGCTCTGTCGCCCAGGCTGGAGTGCAGTGGCGGGATCTCGGCTCACTGCAAGTTCCGCCTCCCGGGTTCATGCCATTCTCCTGCCTCAGCCTCCCAAGTAGCTGGGACTACAGGCGCCCGCCACTACGCCTGGCTAACTTTTTGTATTTTTAGTAGAGACGGGGTTTCACCATTTTAGCCAGGATGGTCTCGATCTCCTGACCTCGTGATCCGCCCACCTTGGCCTCCCAAAGTGCTGGGACTACAGGCGTGAGCCACCGTGCCCGGCCGTTCCACATTTTCTTAATCCAGTCTATCATTGTTGGACATTTGGGTTGGTTCCAAGTCTTTGCTAGTGTGAATAATGCCACAATAAACATACGTGTGCATGTGTCTTTATAGCAGCATGATTTATAGTCATTTGGGTATATACCCAGTAATGGGATGGCTGGGTCAAATGGTATTTCTAGTTCTAGATCCCTGAGGAATCGCCACACTGACTTCCACAATGGTTTAACTAGTTTACAGTCCCACCAACAGTGTAAAAGTGTTCCTGTTTCTCCACATCCTCTCCAGCACCTGTTGTTTCCTGACTTTGTAATGATTGCCATTCTAACTGGTGTGAGATGGTATCTCATAGTGGTTTTGATTTGCATTTCTCTGATGGCCAGTGATGATGAGCATTTTTTCATGTGTTTTTTGGCTGCATAAATGTCTTCTTTTGAGAAGTGTCTGTTCATGTCCTTCGCCCACTTTTTGATGGGGTTGTTTGTTTTTTTCTTGTAAATTTGTTTGAATTCATTGTAGATTCTGGATATTAGCCCTTTGTCAGATGAGTAGGTTGCGAAAATTTTCTCCCATTTTGTAGGTTGCCTGTTCACTCTGATGGTAGTTTCTTTTGCTGTGCAGAAGCTCTTTATTTTAATTAGATCCCATTTGTCAATTTTGGCTTTTGTTGCCATTGCTTTTGGTGCTTTGGACATGAAATCCTTGCCCATGCCTATGTCCTGAATGGTAATGCCAAGGTTTTCTTCTAGGGTTTTTATGGTTTTAGGTCTAACGTTTAAATCTTTAATCCATCTTGAATTGATTTTTGTATAAGGTGTAAGGAAGGGATCCAGTTTCAGCTTTCTACATATGGCTAGCCAGTTTTCCCAGCACCATTTATTAAATAGGGAATCCTTTCCCCATTGCTTGTTTTTCTCAGATTTGTCAAAGATCAGATAGTTGTAGGTATGCGGCGTTAATTCTGAGGGCTCTGTTCTGTTCCATTGATCTATATCTCTGTTTTGGTACCAGTACCATGCTGTTTTGGTTACTGTAGCCTTGTAGTATAGTTTGAAGTCAGGTAATGTGATGCCTCCAGCTTTGTTCTTTTGGCTTAGGATTGACTTGGCGATGCGGGCTCTTTTTTGGTTCCATATGAACTTTAAAGTAGTTTTTTCCAATTCTGTGAAGAAAGTCATTGGTAGCTTGATGGGAATGGCATTGAATCTGTAAATTACTTTGGGCAGTATGGCCATTTTCACGATATTGATTCTTCCTACCCATGAGCATGGAATGTTCTTCCATTTGTTTGTATCCTCTTTTATTTCTTTGAGCAGTGGTTTGTAGTTCTCCTTGAAGAGGTCCTTCACATCCCTTGTAAGTTGGATTCCTAGGTATTTTATTCTCTTTGAAGCAATTGTGAATGGGAGTTCACTCATGATTTGGCTCTCTGTTTGTCTGTTGTTGGTGTATAAGAATGCTTGTGATTTTTCCAGAATCTACAATGAACTCAAACAAATTTACAAGAAAAAAACAAACAACCCCATCAAAAAGTGGGCGAAGGACATGAACAGACACTTCTCAAAAGAAGACATTTATGCAGCCAAAAAACACATGAAGAAATGCTCATCATCACTGGCCATCAGAGAAATGCAAATCAAAACCACTATGAGATATCATCTCACACCAGTTAGAATGGCAATCATTAAAAAGTCAGGAAACAACAGGTGCTGGAGAGGATGAGGAGAAATAGGAACACTTTTACACTGTTGGTGGGACTGTAAACTAGTTCAACCATTGTGGAAGTCAGTGTGGCGATTCCTCAGGGATCTAGAACTAGAAATACCATTTGACCCAGCCATCCCATTACTGGGTATATACCCAAATGAGTATAAATCATGCTGCTATAAAGACACATGCACACGTATGTTTATTGCGGCACTATTCACAATAGCAAAGACTTGGAACCAACCCAAATGTCCAACAATGATAGACTGGATTAAGAAAATGTGGCACATATACACCATGGAATACTATGCAGCCATAAAAAATGATGAGTTCATATCCTTTGTAGGGACATGGATGAAATTGGAAACCATCATTCTCAGTAAACTATCGCAAGAACAAAAAACCAAACACCGCATATTCTCACTCATAGGTGGGAATTGAACAATGAGATCACATGGACACAGGAAGGGGAATATCACACTCTGGGGACTGTGGTGGGGTCGGGGGAGGGGGGAGGGATAGCATTGGGAGATATACCTAATGCTAGATGACACATTAGTGGGTGCAGCGCACCAGCATGGCACATGTATACATATGTAACTAACCTGCACAATGTGCACATGTACCCTAAAACTTAGAGTATAATAAAAAAAAAAAAAAAAAAAAAAAGAATGCTTGTGATTTTTGTACATTGATTTTGTATCCTGAGACTTTGCTGAAGTTGCTTATCAGCTTAAGGAGATTTTGGGCTGAGACAATGGGGTTTTCTAGATATACAATCATGTCGTCTGCAAACAGGGACAATTGACTTCCTCTTTTCCTAATTGAATACCCTTTATTTCCTTCTCCTGCCTAATTGCCCTGGCCAGAACTTCCAACACTATGTTGAATAGGAGTGGTGAGAGAGGGCATCCCTGTCTTGTGCCGGTTTTCAAAGGGAATGCTTCCAGTTTTTGCCCATTCAGTATGATATTGGCTGTGGGTTTGTCATAGATAGCTCTTATCATTTTGAAATACGTCCCATCAATACCTAATTTATTGAGAGTTTTTAGCATGAAGCGTTGTTGAATTTTGTCAAAGGCTTTTTCTGCATCTATTGAGATAATCATGTGGTTTTTGTCTTTGGCTCTGTTTATATGCTGGATTACATTTATTGATTTGCGTATATTGAACCAGCCTTGCATCCCAGGGATGAAGCCCACTTGATCATGGTGGATAAGCTTTTTGATGTGCTGCTGGATTTGGTTTGCCAGTATTTTATTGAGGATTTTTGCATCAATGTTCATCAAGGATATTGGTCTAAAATTCTCTTTTTTGGTTGTGTCTCTGCCCGGCTTTGGTATCAGAATGATGCTGGCCTCATAAAATGAGTTAGGGAGGATTCCCTCTTTTTCTATTGATTGGAATAGTTTCAGAAGGAATGGTACCAGTTCCTCCTTGTACCTCTGGTAGAATTTGGCTGTGAATCCATCTGGTCCTGGACTCTTTTTGGTTGGTAAACTATTGATTATTGCCACAATTTCAGCTCCTGTTATTGGTCTATTCAGAGATGCAACTTCTTCCTGGTTTAGTCTTTGGAGAGTGTATGTGTAGAGGAATTTATCCATTTCTTCTAGATTTTCCAGTTTATTTGCGTAGAGGTGTTTGTAGTATTCTCTGATGGTAGTTTGTATTTCTGTGGGATCGGTGGTGATATCCCCTTTATCATTTTTTATTGTGTCTATTTGATTCTTCTCTCTTTTTTTCTTTATTAGTCTTGCTAGCGGTCTATCAATTTTGTTGATCCTTTCAAAAAACCAGCTCCTGGATTCATTGATTTTTTGAATGGTTTTTTGTGTCTCTGTTTCCTTCAGAAAAGAGTCAAGACCCATCAGTGTGCTGTATTCAGGAAACCCATCTCACGTGCAGAGACACACATAGGCTCAAAATAAAAGGATGGAGGAAGATCTACCAAGCAAATGGAAAACAAAAAAAGGCAGGGGTTGCAATCCTAGTCTTCGATAAAACAGACTTTAAACCAACAAAGATCAAAAGAGACAAAGAAGGCCATTACATAATGGTAAAGGGATCAATTCAACAAGAAGAGCTAACTATCCTAAATATATATGCACCCAATACAGGAGCACCCAAATTCATAAAGCAAGTCCTGAGTGACCTACAAAGAGACTTAGACTCCCACACATTAATAATGGGAGATTTTAACACCCCACTGTCAACATTAGATAGATCAACGAGACAGAAAGTCAACAAGGATACCCAGGAATTGAACTCAGCTCTGCACCAAGCGGACCTAATAGACATCTACAGAACTCTCCACGCCAAATCAACAGAATATACATTTTTTTCAGCACCACACCACACCTATTCCAAAATTGACCACATAGTTGGAAGTAAAGCTCTCCTCAGCAAATGTAAAAGAACAGAAATTATAACAAACTATCTCTCAGACCACAGTGCAATCAAACTAGAACTCAGGATTAAGAATCTCACTCAAAGCCGCTCAACTACATGGAAACTGAACAACCTGCTCCTGAATGACTACTGGGTACATAACGAAATGAAGGCAGAAATAAAGATGTTCTTTGAAACCAACAAGAACAAAGACACGACATACCAGAATCTCTGGGACGCATTCAAAGCAGTGTGTAGAGGGAAATTTATAGCACTAAATGCCCACAAGAGAAAGCAGGAAAGATCCAAAATTGACACCCTAACATCACAATGAAAAGAACTAGAAAAGCAAGAGCAAACACATTCAAAAGCTAGCAGAAGGCAAGAAATAACTAAAATCAGAGCAGAACTAAACTAAAGAACTTCTGCACAGCAAAAGAAGCTATCGTCAGAGTGAGCAGACAATCTACCAAATAGAAAATGTTTATTATCTATCTATCTGAAAAAGGTCTAATACCCACAATCTACAATGGACTTAAACAAATTTACATGAAAAAAAACCCATTAAAAAGTGGGCAAAGGACATGAACAGACATGTCTCAAAAGAAGACATTTGTGCGGCCAACAAACATACAAAAAAACGCCCAACATCACTGATCATTAGAGAAACGCAGATCAAAACCACAATGAGACACCATTTCATGCCAGTCAGAATGGCGATTATTAATAAGTCAACAAACAACAGATACTGGCAAGGCTGTGGAGAAATAGGAATGCTTTTACACTGATGGTGGGTATGTAAATTGGTTCAACCATCATGGAAGACAATGTGGTGATTCCTCAAAGGCCTAGAACCAGACATATCATCTGACCCAGTAATCGCATTACTGGGTATATACCCAAAGGAATATAAATCATTCTATTATAAAGATACAGGCATGCTTGTGTTCAGTGTGCAGCACTATTCACAATAGCAAAGAGATGGAATCAACCCAAATGCCCATCAATTATAGATTGGATAAGGAAAATGTGGTACATATACACCATGGAATATTATGCTGCCATAAAAAGGAATGAGATCATGTCCTTTGCAGGGACATGGATGCTGGAAGCCATTATCCTCAGAAAACTAACACAGGAACAGAAAACCAAACACCACATGTTCTCACTTATAAGCGGGAACTAAACAATGAGAACACATGGACACAGGGAGGGGAACAATGCATACTGGGGCCTGTTGGGGAAGGCAGGGGGAGGGAGAGCACCAGGAAAAATAGCTAATGCATACTGTGCTTAATACCTAGGTGACAGGTTGATAGGTGCAGCAAACCATCATGGTACATGTTTACTTATGTAACAAACCTGCACATCCTGCACATGTTTCCCGAGAACTTAATAAAATAAAATGAATCAATGTCCAATTTTTTGCTACTATTAATATATAGAAATATAATAAATTTTATTGCAATCTAGTACCCCACAAACTTACTAAATTTACTTCTCCATCCTAGTTCCCTTTTTTATACCTTCTTTGGGATTTCTACATAAATAATTATGTCATCTGTTAATAAAGAATTTTCTTCCTTCCTTCCTTTCTTTTCTTTCTTTCCTTCCTTCCTTCCTTTTCTTTTTCTTTCTTTCTTTCCTTTCTTTTTTCTTTTCTTTTCTTTTCTTTTCTTTTCTTTCTTTCTTTCTTTCTTTCTTTCTTTCTTTCTTTCTTTCTTTCTTTCTTTCTTTCTTTCTTTTCTTTTCTTTTCTTTTCTTCTTTTCTTTGCCTTTTTGAACAGTCAGGGACCTCCAGTACAATGTTGAATTGAAGTGGTAAGATATATACCTCAGATTTGTCTATTTCTCAAAATGTTTCATCTGCCATCACCCTAGTGCAAACTGCCAGCTTTATCATTTGAACTTCTGAAATTGTTTTTGACTGTTCTTTCTTGGTTTATTTTTGTTTTCTTTTCCTCTCCAATCTCTAAACATCCACTGAAATAATATTTTAAAAACATAAACCTGATATATTACCATTGCTTAAAATTATTGTATGGCTTCCCATATTCTTAGCATTAAATCTCAAAATTCTTATGTCCTGTAAAACTCTCCCTGATTCTGTACCTCTCACATTACTAACATCAGTTCACTTTCTGCACTCTCAGTATGTTGCATTTCATCTGACCTCTAGGCATTTTCACAAGTTCTGTTTCCTCAGTAAATGCAATTAATGATGACTACCACAAAAAATTACTGTGAGCATTCAATGAGATTATGTTTGTGACCACACTTTATAAATTGCAAACTCTCTGTAACTGTAAGGTGCAAGATTAGGAAAAAGTGTAATACAAGGTCAAGGCTCCTTTTGATTCTGTACTTCAGTGGCACTCTCGTTCTCTAGGTGGCCCATGTAGAAACTTCAAAGTCATCCTTGACTCCTCTTTAGTCTCGTTTTATTTATTTCTCTCTTTCTTTCTTTTTAAAATTATTTTCCTATTTTCAGTTCTACAGTTTATCTCTGAAATCCATCCAGTTATCTCCATCTCCACTGCTACTTCCTTATTTCACATGTCAAATACAGCACATTATCTTAAATAGTATCCTGCCTTCAGCTTTGCTTATCATCTTTTTTCCACCAATCACTAGATTTAGCTTTCTAAAAATGCAAATTTGAACATAGCACTTCTTTGACTTAAAATTCCCAGTGTTTTTCTTTTGCTCTTAAGATAAAAACAAAACATCTTAAAACAATCTTCAAAGCCCCTTATGATTATGTCCCTGCCTGCCTCCCCGGCCTCCATCTCACCACATGCAGCCCGTCATCCAGAGTCATCCCAACCACAGGAAACTTTCATATCCCCAGCATGTGTCCTCTCACCTCCATGCCTTTGTGCACATTAGTCTCTTTGTCAGAGACACTCTTCTCCACTTTTCATTACAGCAACTCCAATTTATTTTTAGGTCTTAGTCTAAATATAATTTCTTTCCAAAAATCTTTCTTAATTCTCCAATATCAAGTGCAATTTCCTCCTTATCCCAAGTTACCATTTATCATTGCATTTATCACATTTTACTCACAGTTTTGTAATTTTCTCTACTTCATTAGACTTTGCTAATTATAAACTAAATACTTAAAAAAGGTAAAAATGTCCCTGAGATTTTAGTTCATGGACCCCAGAAATAGTTACCCACTTTAGAGGGAGAATATTATTTAATAAAAAGTTGAAAGTCTTGCCTAAGAGTATCTTTGTTCCAATATCCCAGATATTAAAATGTATAGTACTTTATTGGAAAGAGATTTTGTTTATGATAGATGCTGAATTTTTCAAAGTTGGACAGTTACCATGAATCAAGAAACAAGATGTCTAATATCATTTCAGTGGTTAGGCCATCTAGCATATGTTCAGCAATAAATTATGTGAAGCATCAGATTCAATATAAGCTACATATTAGCCATTTACAACGAGGAACGAATCCATGACTGCAAAGTGAGACAGCATTATCAATTATGGTAGTAGCAGCATTATACAGGACTCATCCTTCTGGATTTAACAGCATACTACTTCCTGGGAAAAATATAAACAAAGAACACCAATATTAGCATTGACTCCTACACAAGTGATAGGGATACATTCAGAAAAGCTTGAAGTTAGGGTCTCTTTTGCATCTCACATGTTCAAATTAACCTGTAATCTCAGGTTTAGGAAAACTGAAAAACCATCACATCCACCACCTTAAAGGTCAAATCAAAAAGATCAAATGCCCACAGGACCATGCAGATGCTCAAGGCAGAACAGTGTGATGAATAAGAAATCACGTGCTCTGACTCACGCTCCAGCCAAACAGCGCTGAGCAGGAACGTAGGTATACCCACGCTGACCATATCAACTAATTTCTTTCTGCTCATTAATTAAGAAATCTATACATTTTTTAATGTTGGCAATTAATTCAGCATTTTAAAGAAAATATGTTTCAGGCTAACACCGTAGGGGCTAAAGAGAATTGGCATGTGTCTTGCGACCTTGTGCAATTTATTTAACCTATCTATACCTTAGTTTATTATTTTTATTCTTAATTCTTTCTTTTATGTTATTATGGATACATAATAATTGTACATATTTATGGGGTACATGTGATGTTTTGATTCAGGCATAAAATGTGTAATGATCAAACCAGAATAATAGGGATATCTGACTTAAGCATTTATCATTTCTTTGGATTAGGGACATTCTAATTCTGTTCTTTAGTTGTTTTAAAACATACAATAAATTATTGTTAACTATAGTCACTCCATTATGCTACTGAATACTAGATCTTATTCATTTTATCTAACTGTACTTTTGTATCTATTAACCATTTCCACTTTATCTCATCTTCCCCACTACCCTTCCCAGCCTCTGGTAACTATCATTCTACTTTCTATCTCCATGAGTTCATTTTTATTTAAGCTCCCACATATGAGCGAGAACATGTGATATTTGTTTTTCTGTGCCTGGCTTATTTCACTTCATATAATGGCTTCCAGTTCCATCCATGTTGTTGCAAATGATAGGATTTCATTCTTTTTATGTCTGAATAATATTCCTTGTGAATATGTACCACATTTTCTTTATCCATTTATCTACTGATGTACATTTAGGCTGGTTCAAAATCTTTACTATTGTTAATTGTGCTGCAGTAAACATGGGAGTGCAGCTATCTCTTAGATATACTGATTTCTTTTCTTTTGGATATATACCTGGCAGTGGGATTGCTGGATAATATGGTAGTACAATTGTTAGTTTTTTGAGAAACCTCCATGCTGTTCTCCATCTCAGTGACTGTACAAATTAACATTCCCACCAACAGTGTATGAGAGTTCCCCTTTCTTTGCATCCTCACAAGCATTCATTTATTTTTTAAATGGACATAATAATAAGACCTACTTCAAAAGGTTAGAGCAGTGGTTGATAATAATAAGCACTCAGTAAATGTTAGGTATTATTATTATTATTATCTTTAGGCCACCACTGAGTTCTTTCTTTCTGGGCCAGGAACTGTGCCATAGTAAGCAGAAAATAAAGAGGAATAGGTCGCTGACCAGGCCATCAAACTACTCATAGTATAGAGAATGAGTGACAGAAGCAAAATCAGCAGAGTAAGTCTCAACTAGAGAGAAGCACAGAGGACTAAGGATGCTCCCTGGAAGGGCCTTTTACCCAAACTGGAGGAAGTAAAAGGATATCAGGGAAGGATTCTTAGAACAGATGATACCTGAATGCACTTTTAAAAGATGACTACTAGTTAAATAGGTAAACTATGAAGAAGTGAGGAAGATGATCCAGCAGAAAGCTGTATCAGCAAGGTCCAGAGGCCTGAGAAATCCACATATAGTTCAGTAGGGATGAATCAGGGAATACAAGGACATCAGTCAAACAACACAGACTATAAATGTAAAACTGGAACCAGATGTTGAAAGTCCTTGTACAAGTCAGGGTTCTCTAGAGAAGCAGAACAAGTGGAATATATCTATTTATATGTGTAAGAGGTGATTTATTGTGGTAATTGACTCATATGATTATGAAGACCAAGAAATCCCACAATATGCTCTCCACTAACCAGAGAACCCAGAAAGTCAGTGATGTAATTCAGTGTGAGTTCAAAGTCCTGAGAATCAGGAGGGTCACCACTGTAAGTTCCAGACTCTGAAGGCCCAAGGATCTGAAGTGCTGATATCTGAGGTCAGGAGAAGGTGCATGTCACAGCCCCAGAAAAGAGAGCTAATTCACCCTTCCTCTGCCTCCTCATTCTGTTGGGGCCCTCAAGGCATTGGATGATGCCTGCCCACATTGGTGAGGGTGGATCTTTTACACTCAGTCTATGACTCAAATGCTAATCTCTTCAAGAAGCACCCTCACAGACACACTAGAAATAACAGTTTACCAGCTATCTGGGTATCCCTTAGCCCAGTCAAGTTGACACATTTAATGAACTATCACAGGCCTTGTGTGTGTCATCAATGGAGGTCACTGCAAAGTTTTAAAAAGGAATATAGAACAACTCTTATTATTATTTTAGAATGCTTCTCTTGTAACAAAGCAAAGGCTGGACTGGAGAAATTCAAAACTGGAAGCAGGGAAATCAGTTCATCTAGAAGAAATATCTATTACGTTAACTGAAGCAGTAGCTTTGAAAGAGAAAGGAGATATTGGTTTAGGGAGATTTTAATAGGACTTCTGAATGGATTGAGGTGGGAGCACAAGGGAAATGAGGAGGTCAAGAAAGACTTCCAGGCTTCTGGCTTAACCATCATGATAATGATGGATACAAGAAAAGGAGCAGATTTATGAGGGAAATTATCAGATTAGGAGGAGAAGGAGCCAAGGTGTGAAGCCAAACAGATAGAGAAGAACCAGGCAAGATGAAAAATAAGCAGGCACAACCTGGCAAATAAGAGCTGTCCTCAATACATTTTAGAGAAAGAAATCAACACCTGCTTCCCAGATTTCATTTCTCTCCTGGGCTTGTCTCCTCTGATACATCATGATCAACTAAAGAAGAAAGCTGAGATGAATTAATCCATCAATATGTATTGTATCCATTCCCATTTCCTTATAACCAGGTACCCAGATTTGTGGATCACTTTCAAATTATAGTCTGGGCCCAAAGAAGAGAGTCTCTTGTTTTCTTTTTGTTTTCCTGTGTGACGCCAGCTGGTTCACAAAGAGATTTAACTCTGTGTCCTGGGATTCCTTAATGCCAGGCTCTTAGTAGTCTAGGATATAGCAGTAATTTAAGAACATCTGCCAATTTTTTCTAGGCAGGTTTTGGTGAGACTTCATATTGAGACTTTAACTCAGAGTTGCAAACTGGAAGTCCAGGAACCAAATATGGCTTGCAGACTTTTTTATGTCACATATGGTATTTAAAAATATGAATTAAAGTACATTTAAAGACACAGATATTCAATAGGTCTCATATTGGTAGCCATTTGAGTTTACTACCCCTCCTTAAATATTAGATGATTATGTCCTTTTCCACATATTATTTGGACCCTAAAGCATTCTGGATATAATAACTTCATAGGATACAAACACACTGATGATGTGGACTGTTCTTTGACAAGCGGCAGGAAAATAGGAGTGAGCTAAATTTCTGAAATCTTATGTTTATTGTGCTAATCCTTATCAGTTTATCACTAAAAGGAGTAGAGCCAACCAATCACCACGCAGATCACTGGAAAGATTAAATCAGTCCAATAGATGGAGATATTTCTATGAATATAGCTGATATTAACATTCCAATATTTCATTACACTGACAAAGATTGCAATGAGAACAGACAATGGAACAAATTAATCTATTCTTCTGACAGTATGTAATGAGAATGGGATGTGGTTTAAAAAATTAAGCCATTCTTAGTGCAATCTCAAGATTGCAATCTCATGGTCTCTCTCAGATGCTATACACTCTGGTGATACGTCATTGAAAAGTGTCAGTTTAACAAAGAATGTGTCTTAGCTCTTGCTGGGATTGTAGAACACATTTGCTTTGTCTCACCGCAGCCCTGCCCATTAAAAACAATGAAGTAGAATCAATTATACTTTTCAGAACACACATAAACACAATCAAAGTTGAAAAATTAAGATACTTCTGGCAATTTTATATTGGTCAAAACTTACTAACAAAATATTGTAGCGTATTGCTCTCTTTTTAATCTTTTTAATGTGAGTTTCTAAATTTAATTTTATAAAACAGAAGACAGTGAAAGGTTACTTTAGGGATTGAGAATCTAATACTAACTTATCCGTAAGTGGGGTATAGATAATTAAGGCTGTCATGGAGAGCTGCACAGTCATTCTCTCTGCATAGTCATATTGCATTATGAGCTGAGCCTTATGACCAGTGAGATAGGTTGTAGCCTTAAAATTTGCAGTAACTCAATGTAATATTTTACTTGGTATTCATACCCAAAGAGAACCTAAAAAGGACCTAAGTTGACTGGTGTTCTAAACAAAACAGAAAACATACAATTATGTTTTTTATATCTAGCTCTCTAGGTTCAAACCAAAAAGAATTGGTAAGACTTTTAGATGTGCAGATGATGATAATAGCAACAACAACGCAGCTACACTTGTTGAGAGCCAACAATGTGCCTGGAGCTCCATGTATACTATCTCAGTTAGTCCTACTAACCTGTGGGTTAAGTTCTTTTAGGATAAGACATTTGCTCAATGTCACATGCTAGTAAGAGGGCAGTCAAGACTTAAATACTCAGGTTCTCTGTCTTCAAAGCCCATGTTTGCCACGATTATACTCTGTCTTCCCTGCTTCATCTTACATTTAGCAAAATTAATGCTCATGAGGCAAATTGGTTTAATTAGTATCTCCCAGAGAGTTTACAGCAAAGCCAGACTGAAAATTAGACCTCCAGATTTCCTTGGTAAAGGTACTTCTTATTATGTCACTCTGCTTTAATTTATTGAAGCACCTCCTCCCATATTTTTGAATGAAAGATATTATATTGATTAAATTTGCCACTAGATTTCAGTAATTTACCTGCTCATGTTGTCATCTAGAATTAAACTAAACATTATATTCACTCTACAGTGTTTCTTGATGGCTAGGCATTGTGCCCTATTCTCTAAACATAATAATGAATAAGATATTTATTGCTGTTAAGCTATCATCTTCATTCATTTATTCAATAAATGTTACTGAGTCCTATATACCAGAATTTATATGAGTTCCAGTTAAATAACACTTTTAGTGCCTATGTTTTTTAATTGTTTACTGTTATTCAACTTCTATTTTAGATTCAGGGGGTACATGTGCAGGTTCATTGGTATATTGTGATGCTCAGGTTTGGGTTATAGATCTCATCACCAGGCAGTGAGCATAGTACCCAATAGGTAGTTTTTCAACTTGCCCCTCTCTCTCCCTTCCTCCTCTAGTAGTCTGCAGTGTCTATTGTTCTCATCTTTATGTCCATGTGTACCCAAAGTTTAGTTCCCACTTATAGGTGAGAACATGTGTTATTTGGTTTTCTGGTCCTGCATTAATTCCCCTTGGATAATGACCTCTACTGTCCACAATAGCAAAGACATGGAATCAACTTAGGTGCACATCAACAGAGGATTGGATAAAGAAAATGTGGTACATACACACCATAGAATACTATATGGCCATAAAAAGAACAAAATAATGTCCATTGCAGCAACATGGATGTAGCTGGAGGCCATTATCCTAAGGGAAATAATGCATACCTTTTGAATACCTATTAATAGCCAAGTACTGTGCTAGGCACAGAAGATACAATGGTGAAAAGACACAGTCCCTGACCTCAAGGCATTTATGATCTATATGCACAGGCAGACAAATAAAGAGGCAATTAAGTATAATACATGTTATGATAGTACAGGTTGTTATGGAAGTACATAGGAAGGGTACCCAGGAAAAGTCAATCAAAGATAAGAGCTAAATGACAGTAGATGTTACGAAGGAAAAAGAGGTAGGGGAGAACATTCCAGGCAAAAGGAATCGCATTTTAGAATTAACAACTGAACCATAAAATGCAGTGAAAAAAACTAGGCATTCACATATTTCTTATTTATTCATTTACCAATTTTCATTGAAAAAAATAACACCAGATTATTTTTGGTTTATTATCACTTACATAAAATAGTCAGTACATTTTGACAAATGAATACATGAATGAGGTTATCACATGTTGTGCTGAATGCCTGTTCTGTAGCTTTTCACTGGTCTATCACTTTTGAGAAACAACATACACAATCTCCATTCATGTCTTTTCTTTTCTTGATAAAGTATCGACAAACAAGGGAGAAGTTGAATCCACAAATTGACACCATGGTTATATAGACTCTGCAGCTGACTCACAATACTGGGTTTAACTCTTGTTTTTCAGGATAATGAGAGTGCAAGCTATGCTCTAGAATTATGTTGTTTAATATGAAAGCCACTTACCATGACTATTTAAATTTATATTAAATAAAATTAAACAAATTAAAAACTCAATTTATCAGTCACACTAGCCACATTTTAAGTGCTCTGTAACTTTATGCTATCATATTTAACAACATATAACTTTTTTTTTTTTTTGAGACGGAGTCTTGCTCTGTCGCCCAGGCTGGAGTGCAGTGGCACGATCTCGACTCACTGCAACCTCTGCCTCCCAGGTTGAAGTGATTTTCCTGCCTCGAGTAGCTGGGACTACAGGCGCCAGCCACCACGTCCAGCTAATTTTTTGTGTTTTTAGTAGAGATGCGGTTTCACCGTGTTAGCCAGGATGGTCTCAATCTCCTGACCTCGTGATCTGCCGCCTCGGCCTCCCAAAGTGCTGGGATTACAAGAACATTTTTATCAGTGTAAAAAGTTCTATTGGATACTCCTACTCTAGATCTAGGTTATTATTTCTACTAAACTATTGATAAATATTTCAGGAGACTGTTGAGAAATAATAGTTGCTCAATAAATAGTTATTAATATTTTTAAATTTAGCTTTATTCTCCTTTAATGGCAAAGTCTCATTCTTTAAAGTAGAAACCAACATTTACATAAATCCTCTAACATATTTTTTGTAGCAATCAAGGTAAAAATTTGATTAATGGGCTGACAATCTCCTTCCTGAATCTGTAATACCAGAAAATTTCCCAGATGTTAGTGTAGCATGGCTGCTTAGGCAAGACTGACAAAACAATCTCAAGGTGACAAATTTCAATTTCATGACCCCCTCATGTTACATTGCCCACTTTCTGGTGGAGGCACTAATGAGTAGCATCACTGCCAAGAGTGCTTAAAGCAAAGGGGAGGAGATGCCAAGACTTTGCAGAATCTACTTTGAATAATGAAGAATTAAATATCATTCATCTTAAACTGATTTTCCAGACACACTGCCAAGAAGCAAACAAGTAACTCTATATTTTTGATACCAGAATCTAAAAGAATTTCAAAGGGGGATGGTTGGCACCTGCATCAGAGTTTAACTCATTTTATGACTAGTCCCTCCCCACCCATTAGACTATGCACAACTATTTTAAATGTGCTCACCATACTGGCTTATGTACTTACAGCTACACCAGCTCAACAATATCCAAATGATCATAAGGTAACAAAGTGGAGTTAGAAGATCAGTGATTGCTGAGCACCAGTTTGTTTGCTTATTGATTTACCTCATCCCAGAAATAATTTAAAAATAGTCAAGAGTGGCCCAGCATGGTGCCTCACGCCTGTAATCCCAGCACTTTGGGAGGCCAAGGCAGGAGGATCACGAGGTCAGGAGATCGAGACCATCCTGCTAACACAGTGAAATCCCATCTCTACTAAAAATACAAAAAAATTAGCTGGGGGTGGTGGCATGTGCCTGTAGTCCCAGCTATTTGGGAGGCTGAGGCAGGAGAATCACTTGAACCCAGGAGGCAGAGGCTGCAGTGAGCCCAGATCATGCCACTGCACTCCAGCCTGGGTGACACAGTGAGACTCTGTCTCGAGAAAAAAAAAAAAAAAAAGAGTAACCAGTGAAAGTACTCCAAAATGCCTAATTTTTTGTGACACAGAAGACACATTTAATAAGTAGTGACATATTTGATAAGAACACAATCTAAACAACAAAAAAAATGAGTGGCTATATTTACCTCTGAAATTAGTAACATGTTTTATAAAATGAGAAAACCTAATTCTGGTGCAGATGTATTGATAACCCTCACACACATGCTGTTGAGAGTATAAATTTAGTACAACTGTTAGAATAATTGTTGTACCGAAGTCTTTAAAGTAGTTATGCCTTTGGCACATCATCTTCTCTCCTCAAAATATCATAAATGAATAATCTATGAAATCTGGCAACTCATGTTGAAAAGATATTCTTTGAAGTGTTTACACCCAAATTTGGAAAAACCTAAAATTCGGAAATGATTAAAAACTAAATGCAGAGTCATTAAAATATGTTAACATAAAGTGTTAATAACATGAGAAAATGCTTCATTGCTTAGATTAATGCTTTAATATTTAGAAAAAACAATTACATAATTGTATATTGACATAAGGTCAATGATGTAAAGTATAAGAAATATGTGAAATATTTTAACAATGGTTTCTTCTAAATGATAACATTTATTCCTTCTAATTCTCTTAATTTTTTAAACTTCTACAAGGAAGAAGTATTAATTTACAATTGGCAAAATTAGGTAATCATTCAGAATAATCCATAAAGTGTTGATCAAATCACATTGCATATAATTTCACTAGGCCTACTGAAAGTGTATGGATAAACAGAATTTGATGGGAGTAAATTTTGGTAGAGTAGAGGTAGTAGTTGTGGCTTATATCTCAAAAGTCATTAAGATATAGACAGATGCTTACAATACCACAATCTAAAAGACAGGCAGCAGCAATGTCCTGGAACTTTATCCTCTCACTGATGCAGAGCAGTTTTTGTGAGGAATAGACAGGGCATCATGTGTTGATTACAGAGTATATTTATTATAATGTGTGCTAAAGAGAGCATGGATTTTGAAACAAAAGACTGCACCAAACATTAGTTATATGTAAAATGTTTATAAATTAAAAACTAGCTCCACACATAACAACAACAACAACACCTACTTTGCATGGTGGTTAGGAGGATTAAAGGAGTTTATGTAGTTATCTACCATGATGCCTGATACAAAATGCATTCAGTAAAAGTAGCTACAAGCTTGGTTTCTAAGGGAGTATAGAAATCATTAGTTGCAGAACAGGAAATATTTAGCAATCAGGAATCTACAGTGAAGTTCTAAGAATCACAAAACAGTGATGCAGACTTTGAGATGAGCGATATTCAGAAATCCATGCAGGCAGGCAACACGACAGACTTCAATCAATGAGTATTGTTAGCTAAAATAAAGATGTGAAGTGTCCAACAGAGTTTTAAAAATAATAACTACTTTATAAATATTAAAAATTAAAATCCCAACAACTTTGTAACCAGTAATAGGATTTAAGCTTTAAAAAAATCTACTTTGCTCAAGTGATACAGGTGCTATGAGAAGTGCAAATTTCAGTGGTATTCCATGTTTACTACATACAATATAAGCTCTTTAGCCTGGGATTTATGGCATTATACAGTCTTGTTTAATCTGCCTTTCAATCTTTACTTCTTATAATATCATGTACATACCCTATACTTCAGACAAACAAAACTACTTGCTCCTTGCATATTCCTTCACTCCTTATAAATGCCCTGTACTATTTATTGAGTCTGAAACCAAATGAATAAAGATAAGTTTGTAGTATCAAATTATCCATCACTTTCTTTAGACCATTGGGGGAAAAAAGCCTAGAGGTCTCTTTGAATGTCTGCTGATGTTGCTCAGATTGATTTTTAATGCCTTTTTGTGTGTGTGTGTCTTCATTTGTTGCTTGAAATAAACATGTGAATTTCAAAACTGACATGACCATTTGGTTTGCAGCGGCTGCGGCAGCAGACATGGCTTACCACCACATCAGACCTCCCATTGGCTATTCCATTCCCAAGCCCATATCATCTCTGCTGATACGAGGGTGGAACGCATGTCCTGAAGTGAGTAATTTTTATTTCCTCTTAGAAAATGTGTTATGGTCAAAATCTGTCACAAATAGTATAACTCCAAAGTCTACTTTCAGTGTGTATTTTAAGACTGTCAAGGCGGGAAGACTGATTTGCCTTCTGCTCTTTAGTCTCTAATTGCCTCAAGAAGTCTGAGTATCTCATATTTCTTAGCTGCTGCTTTCTGATTTTGAAACGTTTCTCACAACTGATTAGTAAAAGAGAGACCAGGGTATGACAGATGACTCACAGTCTCATCTCAGCTGCAATTTTTATTAACTACGCGTGAGCCACACTTAGTCATTTTCTGAAGCAAGAAATTTGGCACAAGATGGATTTGTGTTGGCTTTTAAACATGAGGCAGGCCTCAGAATAGGTGGTCTTCAGTAGCACTGGCTCACGTAGGAGGCAGAAGACCTGGGTCCTAATCCCTCTCTAACTTTCTGAGTTGACAGTATTATGATGTGGTTAACAGCATAGACTTCGAATTCAAATGGAGTGATCAATGTTATGGAAGGGATATTTAAACAGTAAAATAAATTTTTAAATACGGTCATAGGTCTAAAAGAATAGAGAGGGAATAGTCATATTATCACAGAATGAAATTCCAAACAATCCGCCTGCAAGAAGGGATTCTTAAGTGTGCAGACGGGTTATGTCTGCTTTGTTCTCAGAGTGTCACCGAGGAGATTGCACAACTTCTTTCCTAGTAACACAGTTCAGTCCAGTGTCTAGTAATCCTTCTGCCAGTATATTTTGTTGTCTATTAAAATCCTTGTGTTTTGATATCAATCGATTCCATTGCTCAGAGTGGAGAGTATTAGTTTGCATTCTTCACAATGGAGGACCTCATATGTAAAGACCTAATGGTTCTTATTTTTCCATCCTAAACCATCCTAGTTATTGTCCTCTTAAATTATAACTTTGTTTCTGATCCTTCCTAGGCACTTTATAGCTCTTCAACAAGAGAATAAAGTGAGGCTATTATTTCAGGAAATATCTCACTCAGGAGAAATAAAATAGGCCCCAGTCCAGATGTTTGAAAAGAGAATGCAAATTTTCCATTCTTTTCCTAAAGGCAAAATCCAGACCAAGTCATTACCCAGTCTCATCTGTGTACACAGAAACTCTTAAGAAGAAAAATGAAGATCGTTTTGGGATGTGGATTGAGTATCTCAGAAGATAACCTCTTATCCTGGCCATTCAACCTGATGTGTTACATGTTTATTTGTTTAGAATCTTCCATCACTACCAAAATGTTAGCTCCATGAAAGCGGTCCTTTTTGTTTATTTTGTTCACTGCTATAACACTAACATCTAAAGCTGGATGCTTAAGAATGTTTGTTGAGTAAATGAATGAATACCAGTATTGCCTATCAGTGCCTTCAATCTCTGCATCTGAATTTTGATGTCCAGAAAATTTCATCTTGAAAATTACATCACATAAAATAGTTTAGGAAAACATTTTCTTGTATTTCAGTGTGAACCTCAGAAAAAGTATGTCAAGCACCTATTCTAGAATTTCCTTCTCTCTGTGGGATGTGAGCTATTGAGAGATGACAACGTGCTAGCAGCCCTCACTCACTCTCGGGGCCTCCTTGGCCTCGTAGTCCACTCTGGCCACACATGAGGAACTCTTCAGCCCCCAGCTGCACCGTGGGAACCCCTCTCTGGGCTGGCCGAGGCCGGAGCCCACTCCCTCAGCTTGCGGGGAGGTGTGGAGGGAGAGGCGCAGGAGGTAACCAGCTGGCGCTCGGGTGCCAGCATGAGTTCCCAGTGGGTGCAGGCCCCATACTTGGAGTGGCCGGTGGGCGCCACTCCAGGCACTGAGGGGCTTAGCACCTGAGCCAGCAGCTGCAGAGGGTGGGCCAGGTCCCGCAACACTGCTGGCCCGCCCGCACCGTGCTCAAATTCTCACCAGGCCTCAGCTGCCTCCCCACACGGCAGGGCTTGGGACTTGCAGCCCTCCATGCCCGAGTCCCCCCCCAACCGTGGGCTCCTGCGTGGCCCGAGCCTCTCCTATGGGCACTGCCCCCTGCTTCACGGCACCGGGTCCCACCGACCGCCCAAAGGCTGAGGAGTGCAGGCGCATGATGCAGGACTGGTGGGCAGCTCTGCCCACGGCCCTGGCCAGGTATCCACTAGGCAAAGCCAGCTGGGCTCCTGTGTGGGGTGGGGTCTTGGAGAACTTTTATGTCTATCTAGAGGGTTGTAAATGCACCAATCAGCACTCTGTGTCTAGCTCAGGGACCGTAAACACACCAATCAGCACCCTGTCAAAACGGACCAATCAGCTCTCTGTAAAATGGACCAATCAGCAGGATGTGGGTGGGGCCAGATAAGGGAATAAAAGCAGGGTGCCCAAGCCAGCAGCAGCAGTAAGCCACTCTGGTCATCTTCTGTATTGTGGAAGCTATGATTTTTGCTCTTAGCGATAAGTCTTGCTGATGTTCACTCTTTGGTCCACGCTGTGTTTATGAGCTGTAACACTGACCCCGAAGGTCTGCAGCTTCACTCCTGAAGTCAGCAAGACCACGAACCCACCAGAAGGAAGAAACTCCGGACATATCTGAACATCTGAAGGAACAAACTCCGGACACGCCATCTTTAAGAAGTGTAACACTCACTGCGTGGGTGTGCGGCTTCATTCTTGAAGTCAGCGAGACCAAGAACCCACCAATTCTGGACACACTATGACAAAGTTTACCATCAAATAACAATCAAGGGAATCCCTTTTTCTTTGATGAAGTGTCTCTTCATAATTATAGATAACAGGCATGTGGAATTTCTAATATCAATGTAAAGATAGGTCATTGGCAGGTTCTAAAAGCATTTTTTGGGTAGGATGGATGTCTCAAGCAAAGAGTTGGGAAATGACAAACAGAAATTGGAATATGGCCAAAGGATACTGTTAAAAAAAAGAAAGGATAAAAATCGATTGCTTAGCAGAAAAGTTGTACTGTTAAGAAGTGAAGTTTGTCAGCACGGAGTCTTTGTTCTGCTGATGAGATGAAGAGGGGAAGATGAAGAAAAAGCATATTAGGAAAGCAAAGTCTTCAGCTGGCTTGAGATATGTGGGTCTGCCAGTCAGTTGAGCCTGACTTGGCTCTGGTAACCACCTCAGGATAATGAAGTTGAGCTGCTTCTGTATGTGACTCACTTGAGTCTTTCTTAATTGTCCAGTAAGGTCTTCATCATGTTAGCAAGCTGAGTGGCAAAGAAAAGGGAACAGTGGGCTGTTTTTCATTCTTTCCTTCAACAATTATTTGTTGAGTTCCTACTGTATACCTCCTAGGATAGGGGAAAGGGATTCAATAGAGATGTAAACTCTTAAATGGAGTTTAAGACCTGCTAGTTATATGGAGATTGATTGAATAAACATTTTAATGATTCTATAGTTAACTGCCAAGGTTAAGAAAGACAAAACTCTGTGAGACTATATACTAAAACAATACTACTCGCAAGTTGGGGGACAAAGACAGAATGCAGGTTAGTGAAGGCTTCCCAAAAAGAGTAACACTTGAGCTGAGGCCATAAACAGTAGTTTTCTGAAAGAAGGCGGCTTGGTGAGAAAGAAAAACAGTCTAAGCAACCAGAACATACGAAAATTCATTAGGAGAACAGATACAAGGGAAAGACTAGTAGCAGTTGCAACATTGTAGCCATGGAGAGGTTAAATCTCTGTATCAGGCATTATTTGAAACAAGTTCATCTTTAGATGGAGGACACTAACATCATGCTATTCTGGTCATTACTTTCTAGGTTATCAACTGTGCTTCTCATTTTTTCTTGCATATCTGTCTTTACTTCATTCCTTGAATTTGAAGCACAGTATTTTCTCCAGGATGTCTTCTTAGTCAAAACTCATAAACTAGAACATTGAGGAGAGTAAGAAGAATAGTCTATTGAAGATGGGAGAAGGTTGGAAAACAGTAAGAGGTAGAAAAAAGCCTGATACTAGATAGTGACAGATTTTGGAAACTGGAACAGGAAATTTGGACGTGAAATTATGGCAATTATATTTTTTTCTCTAAAGGAGTGAAAAGATAAAAGTAATTTTTTAGGAAGTTCATCTGAGTTTGATACAAAGGATTTATTTACTTAAAAAAATTGTAGTTCCTACAGTAAGGCAAACACTGAATTATCTTGTAATGCTCATTGGAATAGCTAAGCATTGATTCTTAATATGTGGGCTGCAAACTATGTATTCCAGATTACCCTGGAAAGTTTGTTGAAATGAAGATTCTGGGGCCCTAATCTAAGTTTACTGAATTAAAATCTCTCAGATGGAGCCTGAAACTCCACAATTTAACAAGCGCCCCAGGTGATTTGTGCCCAACAAAGATAAAAAATGAATGGGTTGAAACTCAAGCAAAAGACAATGAAGTTGGAGCAGCCAGCTGGACTGCTGTTTGAGTAATCCAGTTGATTACAACACACAGACTACAATGGTTACCATGGAGATTCAAGGGCAAGGGTAAACCTGAGAACTATTTCAAAGGAAACATCATAAAGAGGTAAAAGACTGGATTTCAGAAATGGAAGAGAGAAAAGAGACCAGGAGAACTAGGATTGCTGCCTCCTGAGAGTCAGTTAGTGACCAAGAGTACTCATTAGGCCTCTAGATATCAGGGATATTCTTGGCAGTGAGAGCAGAGAGAACAAAGCTAAAGGTGCTGAAGTAAGGTGACAGCGCTTTAAAGAAGAAGAAAAAAAAAAAGGAAAAAGAAAGATAGCTACCAAGAAAAAAAGTGACCTGGTCTACAAAGATGAAGAAACTGTCGATTAGGGTGGAATAAACTTATCATGCAAGAAGTTGGCATAGATACTCGTCTCACCTTAAAGGTGCTTTAAAAATAAAGTGGGGTCAGGCAAGGCAGATAGGTGGCATAGCAGTTAAGCTCAAGCAGAGATAATGAACAGAAATACCAGAGGAATTAGGATTAAAAGCAATAAAGTCTTGAATATTGGCGAGAAAAGATGAAGAAGAGAGGTAAGAAGTTTAGGAATTTTCAAAATAAGAAACTTAAGTTATTTCCTAGCAACTCTGAATAGGAAGGGAAACAAAAGAGGCGGGGTATGTAGGCAATATTTATGTTGTTCTAATCTTATAAGGTTTATAAAGCTTATTTATTATTATTATTCTACCAAATGCAGATATAAAGATGTATAGACCTAGACAGGTGTAGAGATAGGAGAAGAGGAAGTTTGTTTCCCTTTTAACATTTTTGTTCCCCTACTAAAAAATGTAAAATATTATAATATTCTAAATTGTGAAGGTATGCTTCAAATATTTTTTACAGTGGTCTCAATAATTAAATTATTTGAATATATCTATATTTTTCAAATAAGCATGGCTTTGAATGAGACATGTTTGTTCTGTTACTGTTTTTAAATTTAATATTTATATTCACATTTAATTCCAGTGTATAAGGAGGAGTTCTCACTCCAAACAACAGTGGCATGCGAAACCCAAGAGATCAGACCTTGAAAGCTATGCACTAATAGGTTATTTAGTTTTCAAAATCTTAAATTAATAACAATTGGCAATAAAGCTCATTAAAATTCCTTTTGTTCAGGATCCATTGTGTCGATCTTCAAGCCCTGTTCTTCTAAAATGATTGAAGCTGAGATCTCCACCTAGTGGATATATAGGATTTTGCAGATCTTTATGGGAACAGCCAACTATCCCTGGAAATCCTTAATTTTTTTCTCTTAGAGAAATAACAAGTTTTAAAGACTTCTACTTAAATCTGGGATGATTGTCAACAGGACAATTGCAAATGTATGAAACATACCAATATGCATATCAGTTACACTACAGTTAACAAAGCTGAATTTTTATTTTCATACTATAATTAGGAAAACAGATCAAACACAAATATGAATATATAATTATCCATGTAGAAAGCAATATTGTAATACCACTAATTGAGATATGTATAATAATTTACATGAAATAAACATCAAATGTAAATCTGCTCAAATACTCTTCTTATGTAGTTTTTCATTTGTTTAAGGCTTTTTTTTTTTCAATGTTTGCTTGCTTTTGCAAGACTTGGCAAAACTTTTCTTACTTGTTTTTTCATTCCTTAGAGAAGCATACTCAGTTAATTGTGTCAGACGTATCCTATGACTCCATCTTTGATTTTTGTCATATATTCAACTCTGGTTTTATTTTATTGATAACAAAGAGTTACTGAGGACGTTGTTGTCCTCCAAAATGATCCACTTCTAATGCATGCAAAGGCTAGTGGGTGTTTGTCCTCTTGAAGAAAGCTAAAGTAGAAAAGGATTATTATTTGAGTTATTTTGTTCACTTTATTCTGTTTCTAAAGGTGATGTAGTAGCATATTCAGCAGATGGTGGATACAGTACAGGTTTTGGAGCAGAGTTTTCAGCTTCATTTATTCTGCTAGGAACTAAAAACACCTCATTTTCTGCCTCAAAACTGTCTTTTAACCCTGGTAAGAAGGAAAGCGCTTCATGTGTCTCCACTGTCATTGCGCCTTCTTTATGTGCACTATCTTTATCTGGTTGAATATTTTGAACTTCTCTAAAATTATGTACATTACTGTTAACTTCAGGATCTACTTCACTGCAAAGTATTCTATTTTGGGTTTCATGGGAACTTGTGATACTTAAATCTTTAGCTGTAATGGTCTCCTCGGCAGAGCTTGCATCATGTAATATATATTTTTCACTTGTTCCATTTTCCCAAGTTTGCTGCCTTTCTTTTGTGATGCCTTTTAAGGTCATTTGTGAGATCTGAGTTAACATACTAGAATCTGTCTTGCTTTCATCAAGCATATTTTTCTCTTCTTTCCCTACTATTTTTATCTCTAGTGCTTCAGTGCCGTCATTTCTGGGCAATGCATTTGTGCTGTCAATTCCTTTTTCGCTACTATTGGTTAGGTGCCAAACGGCTTGACTACTAACAGGAGAAGTACTGATATCCTTGGGAAGTTCTATTCTATTTTGGTATGGAATTGAATTTGTCTTCATAAATGATAGGTTGTTCTTGGATTGTGTTTGGGGAATGAGAGAGGAATCATAAGTTTCTGTTTTTGAAAGTTTTTTTTCTACATCATTTTCTTCCTTATCCATAATACAATTTTCCACAATTTGATGTGATATTTGGGGTTTTGTCATTAATGTTTTTTCTTTATTTTCAAGCTGTGCATGACTTGAATTTTGCTCTCTGTGTTGTAAGGCTTCATTTTGGTCTAAAGTGTATTCCTTGTTGTAGCTGTCAGTCTTGTGAGCATCTAAAAGTTGTGTTTGATTCCTCGGGGACAAAGAAAACTGATTTAACTCACTGGTCTTTGATACATTCTGTCCCATGTGCTCAGTGGACTCCGTTGTCCCTTGGTCAGTAGCCCTCCTGGAATGTTGGAATGGTAAAACATCACTTCCTGTATTTTCCCAAGTAGTTGCTAAATAACTAAGCACTTTTGATTCAAGCTGAGTTGCATCTTCCATTTGCTCAGTTGAGAATTGAGAATGTGAGTGCCTGTGCTCAGCATCAGTGGGTGTAGGTTGGGGCAATTTTGATGTGTTTCCATCAGGAATGTGGCCAGCTGAGTAACAGCTGCTTTCTATAGAGCTCTGGTTGACTACACGCAAGTTGTTAGCACTGAGCAGGGGGGCACGTTTAGTGTTTCGTTGATAATATGGGGTCTGCTTTGAGTCATGTTTCAGAGGCAGCCTCTTTGAAGTGAGTCTAACATAGTTGCTACTCTCTGACTGTTGAAGAAAATCTGCAGAACACACAGTATTTATTTTGGCTTCTGTCTCAGAAGTTTTGGATAATTTCTTAGGAGGCAACAATACCTGCTTGCATTGCTTTGGGAGACTTGACAAGGATTTTTCTGGATGGACTCTGACTTTTCTAAAAGGATGTAAATTTAATTTTAAGTTTTGTCCTTTAATTTTCCCTTTGAGGTCAGACTGAGGGGTTCTCTTCCTTTTCAGAACCCATGAATTAGTAAACCATTTTTCTCCTTTGTTTCTCTCCCCAGTGTTGCTAAATTTTTTAACATCCAACTTAGTCAGTTGGTTACTTTGATTTTTCTGTCGTTTCCAAGGGGTTGATATTTTGGGTGACATCATCGACCTATTTATTTCTACTAAATCAGGATCATGGAAGATAACCCTCTTTGGGGAATATGCTTTCTTGGTTTTTGTTGATAATCCTGATAAATCTATGTTGTCCTCACTCATAAGAAATTTTTCTATTGCACTGTTAATTTGGATTTGCTCTTTCTCAGGCTTTGAGTGTTGTCTACGATTTGGCTTCTTTTCTTTCATGTAATCTTCAAATTGCTCACAGGGCACATATTTACAGATAAGAGAATTGTTTGGCTGAAAATACCTAGGTTTGCTCTGTTTTAACAGTCCACAAGGATCATCATATTTTGATCTATTTTTTTGTACGATCTTTTGTACATAGTGTTCCTCAGGCTCACAAGGCTTGGATGATGAGCTTGTAATAAAATGTCTTTGCCTATGAGGGTGTAAGCCATTGTCTTCTTTTTCTATTGGAGGCTGCCATGATTCATTTGTTAAACGCTTCTCAAGACTTTCTCCTGCCAAGGCTGAAGCGGGTGTTGCATATCTTCTTCTAAATATGTCACTGCTGATATCTGTGGAACAATAAATGCAAGAATTTAGCACTTAGCAGAGTTTTATTACCCCAACCAAACAGATGCGTAGAAACCTTATGAAAAGTATAAAACTGACTCCTCTGATAATTGCAGTTCTTCACTATTTCCTAATTTGTAACCAAACCTACAAAGGACATTTGTCAGTCCCATATGTTTTGCAATGACACTCTTTATGGTCACACTGCAGTCAGTTGCGATGCTGACTTAAAAGTTGTGGAGTTAGAAATATAAATGTTATTTATAGTCATATATCTTTAGTTGTTGGTTAGGTTAGCTTTAAATATGAATAGTATGTAAATCCTTTGTAAATGGCTATAGTAATTTTTTCCTGAATTCATTTCCCATTTGCAACTTAAATATTGGGCAGAACATGGGTGCAATATTGAGTAATGTTCAGGTTTCAGATAATCAATAATAAGATAATAATTTGACAATGAAAGGGAAATACTTGCAATACTATTGACTCAATGAAAGCAGAGACCATATCTGTTTTATTTCCCATAACTTAATAAAATGTTCATTAAATATTTGTTAAATAAATAGGTATTTTGAAATATAGCCAGGTTTGTGTGGCAGCAGTCTTTACCTGGGACTTTTAAAATGGTACAGATTAATATAATATTTAATCTTATTAATCTTATAACTTCTTCTGCTAGCTTCTTTTAAATGTCTGCCTGCAAATTCCTCTTCATGTTACAATCTTTCATTTACTAAAGGAAAATAGTACATGATGAACCATTCAGAAAGGAAGCTTCCTTTGACTGTTTGGGGACAGACCATATCTACAGCCCTATAGGCACATGTGGAAGAAGGAAACTTGTACTGGCTTCTTCTTAATGTCTGCCTCTAATCTCCTTTTACACATTAAATAATATTAATGACAAAAATAATAGTAATACCATTAATTGAGCACATGCTAAGAGCTAGGCATTGTGCTCATAATGTACGTTCATCATCTCTTTTAATATTCACAAGAGACGTGATCCATTGGACAGATCCTACTGTCTTATAACTTTTACAGATGAAGGAATGAGCTTTAAAGAAGTTGAATGCTTTCCCGTAGTCACACATCAGCTAAGTGTTGAAACCAAGAATTGAACCCAAGTCTATCTGACATTAAACGACCCTATTGTCTTAACCACAATGCATCTAAAATTTAAAATTATTTATTAGTATACTTTCTATTGTTTCATGAAATTTTTTCATCCAGAGGAAGAAGTTTTTTATTCCATGAGAAAAAAGGAAATCTTAACTGCAAAACATCTTAACCGCAAAAAATCCTAACAGCACTATTGCTATTTAAAAGGCTATTTTTTTTTTTCATTTTTAACATTGTTAGGTGTTAGGCCTCAAAATTAACTTTTAGTAGACAGGAGATGTACTCTCAGCTCCTAAGGGTGGGGATACTCCATCTCCAATTTTCCCCAAGAGGTAAACTAAGTTCCAGACTAGCATCTAATTCCAATCTAAGATCTGCCGTCAACATTCTGGGTGACCTTGGAGAAGCTGCTTGTTCGCTGTGTATTGGAAGGTTGGACTAGATGGGAGCTTTATGTAAGTAAACAAATTATGTTGGGGAAAGAATCTGTAGCCTTTGTCAGAGTCTCAGAGAGTTCTGTGACTCAAAGATAAACATTAAGAACTATTAGTCTAGATCTAAAGTCCTCTCTACACTGGAAAGTCTATAATTCTTTTTCCAAGTCAGAAGGCATAATCAGAGTGGCAATTTTTCTTTACCGATTTCTGTTCTGGAGCAGATGTGACCTTGGCTGTTTTCTCCTCAAATACCTGCCCTCTCTAGTTCTGGTACAATGCCTGGCATAGAGCAGAATTTCTGGTATTTCTTAAAAGTATTCATGTTAATCTGACAAACCAGTGTTCTCAGTGTGAAAACAACAGACTGGGTTTTAAATGGTTAAAAGAGCACATCCCCTTCAGTTATAGGAGTTTCCCACAGAGAAGTTCAGGCATTGGACAAAGTTAAAAGATGAAATGAAAGATCTGCCTAAGGTATGATTCTAATGAAAGGGTAAGTGCTTATTTCTTTATAAAATAAAGCCAGTCTGACCTGGTTTCTATGGCATATGTTTCTTTCCTCAGCCATCCCTCTGTTGTGTGAAATCATCAACCCCCAGACACTGGTAAGAACTGGAGTGTGGGAATGCAATGGAATAAACTCACATCCTACCTTATAACATACGTGAAATAACATATGGTTTTATTCTTATCCAGTCGCCCCAAAATGCATCCTTAGGGCCAGACCCCTGTGGTAAGAATTTCTTGATACAGCACCTCTGTCATTCATACTCTTAGAGAAAGCTCTGCTTGTTGTGAACCAATTCAAATAAATGACAGGAACCTCTTTACAGAGCAGCTGTCAACATTTTCACTGCTGAGCCTGAATGCGTAGCCTTACTATTCAGGAAGAAAAAGGAAGACGTTTAATTCATTGCCTTCACCTAAATATTGACATCGCCCATGTACAGTGGGTAGATGTCACGGCCAGATTCACTTGGCTCCCAGTGTGGGACAATGAATTAAGTCCTGACTTTCCCTGGACTGGGAAGTTATCATCCCTGACAGCTCAGCAAGCAAAGTACGTTTCTTGACATCATTCCTGAAATGAATCACTAGCATTAGAGGGCCCATTCTTCTAACATGTCATGCTCTGGGAAGGTTGCTTACTGCAGAATTGGCATTAGAGCTCGAAGGATGTTGGAATAAAAGCTGATACTAGCTATCCCATAGATCTTAACAGCACTATTGCTATTTAAAAGGCTACTTTTTTTCTTTTTTTAACATTGTTAGGTGTTGGGCCTCAAAATTTACTTTTAGCAGTCAGGAGATGCACTGTCAGCTCCTAAAAGTAAGAACACTTCATCTCCACCTCAGCCCACACACACACACACACACACACACACACACACACACACACAGTATTTTTAGAAAAGGAATAGACTAGTGCTATAGTGATTTTTATAGTATTTCCTGTTGAGGAAATTAAAGGAGGGAGGCTCCCTCCTTCAAAAAGAATTAAACGGAGTGGGATTTTCTAAAACAAGACAAACTCACCTTCTGTTCTTATTATATGGTGTTGCAGAGTTTGAGGCTGGACTTCTCCAGGCTCAAGATT
The DNA here is from genome assembly GCF_000001405.40 of Homo sapiens. NCBI lineage: Eukaryota > Metazoa > Chordata > Mammalia > Primates > Hominidae > Homo > Homo sapiens. The sequence goes on from NC_000001.11 coordinate 74,475,356, forward strand.
CCATAGCTTTTGAACTTTCCTTGGATTATATGTTGTAAGTAAGCCTGCTTCATTAAAAGCTCTCATATTTCCAGGAGGCTCTGAACATTCCGAATGCAGCAATCTACCATCCTGGCAAAATAAAGTGCTGCCTACCCCACGGTCTTTCTTTTTCAGGTTTCTAAATGATCCGTCAAGGGTTGCAGACTCAGAGGCCGATGTTGCTTGATGGCTATTTTCCTGTAAAAGTGGCATTTCTTTTCTGGACCCCACAGTGGACATGACCTTTATCTCGTTTTCCTGAGTTAAGTGGCAGTTGCAGTATCCCTTAGTGTGGTAATTTCTTGCCTCATGAGCACACAGGGGTTCATCGAAGGTTCTGCAACAAAGGTTTTCTGATGTGTGTTCATTTGCTTTGCCTTGGTGGAGTTTCCAGTTAAATACAACTAAACCTAGGCAAGTGAGACCAACAGCTCCTATGACAAATAGAGAGACCATTAAAAGATAACATCTTGGGAAGAAACACATAAATCATCAAATGTAAAAACCACAAATATAAAGGTTAATGGCTTGAAAGATATCAGAATGGGTAGGAAGTCCTTCACCATTTGGAAAAATATCAGTCCAGACAGAGGCTACCATTGACATTGTTCTGCTTTCCAATTTGGATCTTTATACCTATTAAAAATTATAAGAAACAACACCATCTGGAATCTCTTTGGTAGAAAAAAAGGCTGTTTCATGAACTGAAACTCATTTAAGATAAAACAGTTCCTGCAGTAACATTATTTTTTCGGTCTACGTCACCTCCTTTTATGAACTCTCATAATAGAGTGAATGACTTCTAATCTCAGACTGCCTGGTACTGTCATTTCATGTTCTATGTAGTTTGTCCTCTGAATAAAATTGCAAGATCCAGTGTTTCTCAAACCCATGTGCCGACTCTAACCTGTTTCTATTTCACTTTTTCCTGTCTTGACAAATGGCATCCTCAACCACCTAAATGTTCAAACCAATGTCCCTGAGTCATATCCTCATTATCTGTCTATCACAATGATTTCCCTTGTTTTTTCACCCTTATGAGGTGTATTATTCTGTTTATTCATTCATATGCTTGTTCGCAGACTGTCCTCCTCTGCTACAACTGAGCACTGTGAGGCAACACATCCTTTTAGTCCTGTTCAACATTCTATCCCCAGTGTCCACAACTCTGAGACAAAGGAGGCAGAAATATTTATTAAATATTCTTAAATCAACAGAAGGGATTCTGTTTATGAATTCTGATAATGAAATCATTGGTGATCTAATCTTATAAATTCTCAAGATGTGATTAGGAAGATATGGTGTCAGTACAGATTGAATAAAGAGATCTGTGCCCTAAACCCACATCTGCCTGAGGACAGTGCCCTTTTCTGGAAATAAAGACAGCATTCCAGATTCTTTGACTGGCTACACCATGTCTAGTTTTATCCACTGGAGACAATATTAATGAAAACATATTTTTAAAACTTAAATGAAAAGGGAGGGTATCAGGTCATGATTGTTTCTTTTTTTTCTGTTAAAGATGAAGAGCAAACATGGAGAATAGCAGTTTCTGGTAAAATCCTCATACCATTGTATAGTTTACCATATCTTGAACTCTTAAATCTATTTTAATTCATTTGCCAACAATACACTCTTGGAAAGTGCTATAACATATTGAAGCAATCTCTATTAAAGGCACATTTTTAAAGTTGTAGCAAAATTATGTAAATAATAATCCTTTTATTGACAGATAGATTCTAGAGTTTGAATTATCCCAAACAAGGATTTTGGTTTTAAAATGTTAAAGAATATATTAAAAAATTAAAAATTAGAACCACTCTTTAACTCATATGGGTAAGAAAACTCAAGATTCAAAGCTATATTCTGACACTTTTCTTGGGTATTTTCTAATTCCTCTAACACTTATTTTTTTTCTCCTTTCACAAATGAGGATAACTAATACTACCCAGGGATTAAATAATATATGTGACATGTTTAATACAGTGCTTTGATTCAGTGAATGTTCATTGTGATTTGTGATTATTATTACTGAGCTACCATTGTTTAGGTTTTGCATTGCTCTATTGGTTCCTGGAAGACTCACCTGTCAGGAACAAAAAAATCCAAAAAATAAATCATTATGATGATATTTTAAATGACTAGTGCAGTTAGTAGACCAAATAATGAAGGAACAAAAGGGCTAAGTTTTCTTTAAGACAAGAATCAGCCACTGAAATGAGAGTAAACATAATTTGATTATAGGATACAGTTTCTCCTCTAATTGTGTCTGAATGGCAGGGACCCACTCACTCCCCTGCTCTTGATACTAGGTATATATCTGTATCCCATTACCAGTCAGGTATGGTCACTTTCCATTAGTGCAGAAAGCAAAAGCAGCAAATGAAGCTTGTAGGCAGGCGGAATGTGCTATTAAGAAGACGTTTGAATTTTCTTTGCCATGGGCATTGTTTCTATTTTTAAAAAGTGTTCTAACAATCTACCTGTGTTGGCAAGAGAAAAAGGGAAAATTAATGATAAGTTCTTATTGAAACATTAGAAACACATTACAGCTTCATAAAAACTTTTTATCTACCAGTTCATAGTGTAAGTGTCAAGATATTAGTGTTTGATGCCAAATAACCATTTATTAGTTTTAAATTTACAAATATAGCTATTTATGTTCTTTGGAATTTTTATGACTTAGATATAGCTGAAGAAGAAAATGGTCTCATAGGCAAAATTATAGTTCTAAGTGTTTTTCCCACAATCTAGAAGTATAGATAACTCACCACACGTGTGCTTCAGAAAGAGTGGAATCTTAATGGAGCAAATTAACATCAAAAATCAGAGTCTTTTTAAAGAAGAATCTCTTCTCAAAGCACTACAATTTAACAATTATTTGATGAAAGATATATTAGTATGATAATTCACACCAAAACTTAACATATATGTAATCATATTTATAATTTATCAGAATTTATTCATGTATATTAAGCTCCCAGTCATTTTGACAAAACTTTTGGAATCTTCTAGAATTTGTATTCATCTCAATACTAATAAAGAACTGTTAATGTAGCTAAATATATTTCTGAATACATATTTCTGAAAACAGATGTAAAAGTAACTAAAAGATACTAAAAATTGCTCTATTATAATATTTCCAAAACGATGTCCTCTAGAACACAAATTCAATGAAATCCTCTATGAAAAAAAGGGATCATGGCCAAATAAGTTCAAGAAATGCTCCATATCACACCTTCTTCTTAGAAATTTATAGTGCTTATTAGAAAATGAAAGGTTACGAGAAGTGCTGCAGTGAGTATACCTGTTTCACTTTGCTTAACTTAGTACCTTCTAAACCTATGTGAACCCCACCATCTATTGCCTATGCGTGCATCTGTGTGTTTTTATTGGGATATCTATTAATTATCCACCAGTGCTAGTATTCTAAGAAGCACATTTAAGGGAAACCTCTCTGCTGCCCTATCACTTATGTCTTTTATGGTAAATTATTTCTTAGCACATACAATTACTGACATAGTTACATGGTTTTTAAAAGAATTTATTTTCCTAACATTTGAATTTCCTTCCAAGTGAGTTGGATTACTGCTGATGGTAGTTCCATTGTCTATACCTGATGCTGGTCTCCATCTATTCTGATTAAAAGTGTAATTGTCAGGAAGTAAAAATACAATCAATTAATTCACTAGATAACTGTTACAGAATAATGATTTATAGCACATATTTAAAATACGTCAGTCTTGGATGCCATTTGTTGGTCTCTGGTCTCTCTCTCTTTCTCTCCCCACCCCCTCATCACCATGGTTACCCACAGGTGCAGAGGATTTCACCATGCACTGAGAGCATAGAGGAAAACACACACATCGAGCTAGATAACTTAAGAAATCTCATGCATCTTTGGTCTTCAACTAATGACACTAAGTGTCATTTTATATTATTCATCCAGTGAGATGTAATGATAGCTGATGCATAGTTTCATAAATTTTAAATTACAAAAAATATATAAAGAATTGCATATTATCCTCCCCTTAGTTGGTCTGGGGAAGTATGGGCCAAGTTTACATAGAGTTGGACAAACAGAAATCTTAGAAGAATTCAAAACCACCCAACAGGAGGAAAACCAAGGCACAGAGAAGTTAGATAATGCATCCAAAGTCACACAGCTAATAGCAGAGCCAGGATTCAAACCTAGGTAATCCAACTACAGAGCTCATTTATTTAACTACTATGCCATACAAACACTGCAGACTAAGATATATGAGATTGCCATAATAGCATCTCTTCGTCCATCTGTGAAAGCCCTCTGACTCTTACTATACACCATGGAGAAGCACACAAATGTAAGTGCCTTGAGGAAAGAGTCTATGTCCCATCAGTTTTTAAATATCTATCTCCTAGTGTCATAACAAATGCACTAGTACTCTTTGGTGAAAGGATGATTGATGAAATATAGATATTATTCCTGTATTATACACAAGGAAACTAAAGTCTAAATAGCAGGTTAACCTGTTCAAGGTCACCAATGCTATTTATACCAGGGCTGGAGCCCTTGAATTCTGGTCCAGGGCCCTTTCCTCTATGTTAGACAGCTTCCCTGAAACAGGAAATTCTTGCAACCTGTGCCAAATCAGCTAATATCCTCCCACATCTACTGGCAACCTCTCCTTTCCATAGCCCTGGCAACCAAGTGTCTGAGATAAGCATCACTTAGCATGCTGCAAAAATATGGACAAGAGAAGAGAAAAGAGGAGGGCACACTTCTCCCCGGCATACCTGCGAAGCCAAGGACAGTCAGCAGGGCCACATCTGGTCCTGGGAGGAGGGGACTTCTGTCCTTTAGAACCAGAGTGAAGTTGGGAGCTTTGGAATCACAGTTGGTCTCAGACAGCCTCAGCACACTCTGTGCAGCTGCCACAGCTGCGGTAGATGGCTGGCAATTTAGGTCCTTGGCATTCCTGAGCGTGTGAGCAGAAGACTTAATGTAGTTTCTTAAAAACCGAGCAAGGGGATGGAGATCACAAGTGCAGCTCCACTGGTTCTTATCTAAGCTCAGAAGGATTAACTGCTTCAGTGGAGTAAACACATCCGGCATGTGGGCTAACCTATTTCGGGAAAGGTCCACTTCCTGTAGTTGAGGCAGGGGCCGGAAGGCATCTTTCCCAATGTAGGAAATAAAATTGTTGGATAAATCCAGATACCTGAGACTGTGGAGATTCGTGCCTCCGAAAGAACTGTCTGTGAGATTAGTAATCTGATTCCCATCCAGCTGGAGCCGGGTCAGGCCGCTTGTGTTTCGGAACCAAGACCCTCGTAGGGTGCGGAGAGCATTATTGCTCAGCACCAGTACCTGCAGGCTGTGAAGCTTGCTGAAGGTGTGATCAGTGAGCGAAGAGCTGGATATTTGGTTGTGCTCCAGCAACAAGGTCCGCAACATCGTAAGCCCATGCAGGGCATCTTCCTGAACATCCTCGATACCATTTCTGCTTAGGGAGAGCAGGGCAAGATTAAACAAGAGAGACAGGTTTGTGCTCTCAATAGAGGAGAGATATCCATCGGTGATGATTAAAACCCTCGTGGTCATAGGGGCTGCTGTGGGGAAAAAAGCACAGACTAGATGCAGGGTACACATGAGTGGGAGGGAGGGGGTATGGTGGAGAGCAGAGAATCAATATCCTCTGAGCAATCTTATCACCTGGGTAAAAACAATAAACAATACAAAAAATGAAAATGATTTTCTGATTTCCAAATTTGAGGGGAAGCTGGCTATATATCAAAATGATGGATTTTTATATTCTTTGCTGCTGTGACATGTTTGTTTGAGAAACATAAACCCATCTGTTACTTTAGATGTCAAAGTTAATTCATTGTTTCGGATTATCTTCATCGATGTTATTTTGAAGGTGTCTTTTCAGGCCCTCCCTCCGAGGCTATGTACTGACCTGATCTAGCCCTGCAGATCCAGGACAGAATCAACTAAGAGCTGAGCCTGTGTCTGACCCCCATAGTCAGTGTTCCATAGCAATGTGTATTTATGCTGTGAAGTCAATCATCTTTTCTCCCAAAAGTAAAGGTGCGAGTTGGGATGGGGAGAGTGAGAAGGAGCATTGATTTCTGCTTTCTAGCCCCAGGCTAAAAGTTGGCAACTTGGTAAGGATATATATTCAATCCAGACAACCCAAGTACCTGTCAGTGGGGTTCTCATTATAGTCTGGGCCATCTTGGCCTCCTGTCTAATATCTGTTCCCTCCAATGAAGTCCATCATGTGATGACAGGTGGTACTCAGGGCTTCCAACTGTTAAATCCCTTCACCATAATCACCTCAGAGCTATCACTGCTCTGTCATTAGAAATCAAAGCATTTTAACTCAATAAAGAAGTATTATAATCAGGAGTCATTGTAACACATCTTTATCATGCTAACATTGTTTTGACTGCAAATGACAGTGTCATAAGGATAGAGGAGTCCATTGTCACTGGGAGGTCTATAGGTGATATTAGAATAGTCAACCCCAGGGAAGCAAATCACAAATCCCTTAGGAAATTCAGACTGCATCGCGGAAACAAAGAGATTAAAAAATACGTAAAAGACAAAAGATTCTCAGAGTGCCTTCTTTTGGAAGAACTGTTCTCATCCCTGCAGCACAAGCAAGCTTAAATCCTGGTGATTTTTTCAGCATTTATGATTGATTATTTGGATTCTATTAATTCTGGCCAGTTCGGCATTTTGTTTCTCTCATCATTGTTTTAGATATGGGATGAAGGAGGTTTGTTTTCATGGGTCCCCAGTCCTTTAGGGATTTACTGACTCTGAATGAGCAGGCTATTATTTCTGTCAATTACTTCTTGTCTAGGTCTAGACAGAAACCCCACTCACAATTCATCCATTTTATTCTCTGTATTTATGAAATCTAACTTCACAAATATGGTGTTCTGTAAATGAGAAGGGGGATATAGAGATGCAACAATGTAGATGAGAAATATTTGTTTCTTACAGACATCAACTGTCTCTGATCAGGAAAAATAAATGTAGTGAAGTCAAGAAATCCATTTTAGATGGTGAGAGTTTAGTGTTAAAGCATTTTCAATACTGATTAGAAACGATATACACATCAACTATCCATGAAAACCTCTCTGTCCTGTCAAGGATGGTGACAACATCTACCTCCTAATTATCAGAGTCGTGGGATATTAGAAATGGAAGAAATTATCCTCTTCCACTCTGTCGTAACTCAAGCTTGTTTATGGAAATTTTCCATTGGCAGAGCTTATAGCTTGTTTATCTCTTCTTGGATATCAGGATGTAAATCACATTCTCCTCAAATTTGTTAATAAGGTGTCTTATTAAATTGTTGACTTAAGCAAGCAATATGTAATGAATACAGGCAGTGTATCTTGTTAGCATTTCTACAGCTCATTTACCACCAATAAAAAAAGACCAGACTTTCAAAATGAGACGCACTTTGATAATAATCTGTTTCACTGGTACATCACTTAATCTTACTAATGCTGAACAATTGCAGTTCAGGTTTCTGATTCATTGATATTTCTTCCAGCTGGTGGTAGAGTTCAAATCTGCACAAAGTATGTACAAAGATATTAAAGTGATATATTTGTTAAGTGTGTAGCTGGATAAAATGGTGATATTCTTTTGCAATAGCAAAATAACTCAGTTACCTCTGAAGGTCTTTAAATAGTTTTGATTGAGACCATCAGGAACAGGAAAATAAAATATTGCCAGTCTCTTTAGTCATTGTATGAAGTGTACTCATTAAAGGGTTACCTCTTAAGCTGAGCCCAGAGAACAGTCAGTACAATGAAAGGTATGGCAACCAATTTTCCAGGTACACTGAGCACTGCTTTTTAGAGTTATTAGTTTTATTACCTACTATATAGGTTAGCTGGTGACAGAGGGTTACATCTTTGGTGCACACCACACATGACTCAGGGCAAGCTGCCACCAACCGCAACATGATGGCAAAGAGTACCAGCCATCCACCTGAAAGGAAAGTAGAGGGCAATGTATATCATAATGTTGGCATTCACTGTCCATTATTTCTGTACATACAGGTCATGAGGCATTTTGGTAATTTCTACTGTTCAATGAGCATCTTGGTGTTCTCTTAAGATGCCAGGTAAATAACTACATTCCTTAATTTGCATAGAATTTAAACTGAAATGTTAAAGCATTTGACTATAAATTCAGAGAGCTCACATCCAGGGCATATTTATTAGTATTTTGAAAAAATTAAGTTACTTTGCAAAACAATGTATAGTTTGTAGTGCTTTCACCAAACATTATCTTACTTAGTTCTTTTAATTCTGCAACCCAATTGGAGACTAAAGAAACAGCTCAGGATGGTTAGCAAACCATCCTAAATCACATAGCGGGTAGGTATTTAACCAAGTCTTTTAACTTTCAATCCAGTGTTTCTTCTAGTATGCAAAGCTAATCTCAGACACTGAGTCTTACATGATTACAACTAAATTCTTACTCCTTATAGATTTAAATGCCACACCTAGGGAGTGAGTATGATGTCAAGATTAAGCTCACAAGCTCTACTTAGCTTTGAATTCAGCTCTGTTTTTACTGACTATATTATCTTAGAAAAAAATATTTCTTTTTATTTTTTGCTTTTTCATGTGTAAAATAGAAATAATAAATGTCTACAGTACAGAGTATTATAAGAGTTAAATGGGTACTCTAAGTGTTTAGTAAATGTTAAACTTTACCTTTATTTTAAAGCTTTCTCAACCCCCCAGTGAAATATTTAACATCATTTGAATTTTATGTTCAAAAAAGACAATTCATTTATAATATCTTCCCTGGTTGATTAAAAAAAAAAAAACAAGGAGCAAATTATAATAAAACCCTCTACCTATATAATAAGATAGTTTGAGAACAAAATAAAATGTAGAAAAAACATAAAATGATTAATTCTATCATTTGTTCAACAAGCATTTGTAGATCACCTTCTGCATGCTAGGCACTGCTCACAGTACTGGGCATAGAGCAGGGGCTGACAAGCACCTGCCCTTGTGAAGTGTACTTTCTATAAAAGGATATAAACAATAAACAAATAATATAAAATATGTATTAAGTCATATGGTGATAAATGCTCTAGAATAAATAAAACAAGAAAAGGAGAAGATCGCATTGACTCGAGGGCTCTAAATATGGCAAACAAGGAAAATCTCTCTGATAAAACAACATTTGAACAATAAGCTGGAGAAGGTGAAGGCATTAGTGTGTCATGGTGGAGAGGATCCAATGCAAAGTTCTCAAGGGCATGAGGAGGTTGGTGTGATGACCAGAGTGGAGTGTGTAAGAGGAAGAGTAGGGCACAGAATCATAGGAGCAGGTTGTTGTATACCTTAGAGATGAATGCAAAGACATAGCGTTTTAACCCAAATAACATGGGAAGTAATTGGAGGCTATAGTGAGTGGCATTACTTGGTCTGATGTCTATTTTTAAAGATCATTTTAACTACTGAGTTGGGAACTACTTTTAGATAAGCAAAGAACATAAGTAGCAAAAATAGGAGGCAATTGTAGTAATACAAGGAAGGGATGATGTGGTGTAGAGAAGGATGAGAGGTAAGCATATTCCAGATGATTTTTTATCATAATGATGCAATTTAATTTAACAAATTTGAGCTCATTTAACCTGTCTGATGGAATGTGCTAGGTGTCTAAGAGTAAATAAACCATTGTATCAAAGAACTTTCTAGCTAGTGATAGACATGTAAATACCTATCTATAACACAAGGAGAAACGAAGTAAATCTAAATGCAAGTGAATAATTACTTTGTGGAATAACTTGGATGCTTTAAGAAGGATGTAGCTCTTGAGTTGGGCCTTGCAGAGTACAGTGAATTTCCATGGGCAGAGAATAAGCATTAGGTAATTCCAGTCTGAGAAAACAGTAAGAACAATGCCCTGCATGGGGCAGCAGATCTAATCTCAGTTCATTTATTTTAGTCCTACCTGGCCGGTTAGTCGGCCTCATGGATGTGTGGTTCAGGGGCAAACCAGAGATTGAGGTAGAATTTACACACAGACTCCAGGGCTTTTTCCAGGATCTCCTCTCATTCTCTACTGCGTATTTGTGATAAGCAGGATTCTAACATGACCTGCAAGATTCCTGTCCCCTGGTGTACATGCCATGTAGAATACCCTGTCCTTCAGTGTGGGCAGAACCTGTGAATATGATGAGATATTACTCCCATGATTATGTTTCATCATATGACTAAAGGAAGATTATCCCAAGTGGGTCTGACCTAACTGGGTGAGCCCTTCAAAAGCAGAATAAGTTTTACAGCTGGTCACAGAGTGGAAGTCAGGCATGTGCCCTTGCCGGTTAGGAAAAAAGCAAATAGCCATGTTGTGAACTGCCTATTTGGCAAGCAGCTGTAGGCATCCTCTAGAATTTGAGAGTCATTTCTGGGCAACAGATGGCAAGAAAACAGACATGTGTCATACAACCACAAAGAAATCAGTACTGCCAACAACCAATGCGCTTAAAAGAGGCCTTGAGCCTCAGATGAGAATCACAGTGCCTGCTGACTCCTTGATTTCAGCCTAGTGAAACTCTGAGCAAAGGACCCGGCTAATCTATACTGGACTCCTGACCAGTGGAAACTGAGATAAAAAATGAACATTGTTTTAAATCACTAGGTTTATGGTAATTTGTTATAAAACAATAACTAATACACTCCAGTTGCCCTGAATTCTGTCCTCTGTTCCTTCAAACAAGCAAACCATCAGAATTTTAATTGTTTCCTAAAATGCAGAAGTGGTCTACCCTCAGGCTAAATGCTATAAAGAGAGAGAGAGAGAGAGAGAGAGAGAGAGAGGTGGGAAATATACTAGTTCCTTTCTTCTAAGTGACTCACTCCCCTCCAGGATCTACTTGCTTTTATTAACTTTCCAGTGCCTTCAGGTAGCTGTCATTTACATTTTGTCCAGAGTTTCTCGTTGTTTTCTGTAGGAGGGTTGATCTAATATAAGCTACTTGATCATTCAGATACTGAATGGTAGTATCAATATAATTTGCTGGTATATAAGAGTAAAGTATGATAGAGTAGTCAAACATCATCACTTTTTTTGTGTGTGTTTTTTGTTTTTTGCTTTTTTTTTTTTTGCCTCTGCAAGCAGAAGGATGGAGTTTCCATTTACTGAAATGGGAAAGGCTATAAATATAATTAATTGCATGTATGAGTTTAGAGTTCAGGAGAAAGTACTGGGCTAGAGATAATAATCTGGAAGTTGTTTTTTAAAGACATAAGACTGAATTAACTCCTCAACAAATTAATTTTAAAGGGTAAAGAGACTCAAAGACTGAGTCTTGGGGCAATAAAAAGCTTAAAGATAAGGAGGAGAGATGAAACCAAAAGAGGAGACTAAGAAGAAGCCAATGAGCGCAGAAAAAAATAAAATAAGAAAATGGTGTCCTCAAAGCCAATTGAAAAACATGTTTCAGGGACAAAGGAATTGTTGCTTATATTTAATGCTATGCCAAGTGAAATGACCACTGAGATGTAACCATTGAATTTAGCAATGAGATCTTTGTAACCTTGACAAGGGCAGTTTCAGCAGTGTTGTAGGAGAAAGCTTGATTAGGATGGATTGCAAATGGGAGAAGGGGAATTAGAGACCGCAAATTTGGATAACTCTAGAACAATTTTGCTGTAAAGTAAACAGCAATGGAACAGTAGCTTGAAGGAGGACGTTAAGGGTTTTATTTTGCTGTTTGTTTTTAAGATAGGAGAATGTATAGTATGTCTGTATGCTGGTGGAGATTAAACAATACAGAAGGAACATGAACGATGCAAAAAAAAATGGATGAGAGAATTATTGCTGGAGCACACAAGTGAAGGAGTTGGCCTGAGAATCAGGCAAATTTCATCCACAGAAACAAAAGTGAGGGCAAATTATGTAGGTCATAGGTGAGTAGGTCAATGTAGTAGTGGGAGCTAGAGGTTTAGGAGAGAGGAAAAGGTACAAAATAGCCATCCGAAGTGTGAGAGAGTGAATGGACTAGAAATATGTAATAGGCTCTCTGAATAGTACTGACGGTCCATGGGAGATTAGAGGGTCAAGATTTTGAAGTGAGACCAGGCAGAATGGATTCAATAAAGTTTAGGATTCTTTCAGTACTGTACCAAATGCAAGATGAAGCAAGGGAGTTGAGGATGTGTGGAAGGGAGTGATAGTTGGAAGTGAATCTAATGATAAATGTAAATGAAATATAAGGTAAAGGGAAAGTGAGTGACAGCGAAAAGATGATGAAGTGAGCAAAAAAACAAGTAGGGAAAAAGATAGGCAGATGGGTAGGTAGGTAGAAAGAAGAGCATCTACTTTAGGACATATTTGGAACTGCTCGTAATAAAAAGCTCTTGTTTTATTTTGTTTTGTTTTAAGTGGTAAAATGGCTTCCAAGTACCAGTGTGATCAAAGCTTGTTGGAGTCAGGTTTCTAGAGGAAGTGAGGTAGAGAGAAAGGGACAGCTCAGAGAGTTGTCTGATAAAGATTGAGAGGTTAAAGAGCATGGAGGGGTGGAGGCATTGGTCATGACAGGGTCTAGGGTATAACTAAGGGGCTGAGTGACTAAAGGAGTTTGGAGGACAAGCTCATTGGAGAAGAGTAGGCAAAGGAACCCAGAGGTCAGGCTATTTTAATGATCATTTGCATGGATAATAAAAGTACAAAGAGTAGTGTTAGAGAGTATGAAGTAAGCCAGTTTTTAAAATCCCCAAAGAATGAGGGGGTGTGGCTAGACTCTGGTGGTATAGCCTGACAAGCTGGTGGTGTTTAGAGGAGAAACCATTTGGAAGTAGCAGTGACAGCAAGGAAGACACAGGGTTTTGCTCACTCCACTGCTCCCACTGCTCCCACTGCCCCCACCAACCTAGAGATACAAGGAGTATGTGAGAGGAAACAGCTTATAAGGGAAGCAGTGTTCTCAGGGGTGGGCTAGATAGTAAGGGAGAAATTGTTCTACTAAGAATCTAAATTATTTGGTTACTGAACCTGAATGTTAAATTGGGCTCTCCACCTCCTGGCAGTGAAAGTTTCAAAAAAGGAGAAATGATAGGGTGTATAGTTTTAGGATCTGACAAAAGAAGACAATTTTCTCAGAAGAGGCCAACATTTTCTAAAATTCCAAGAATTTTTCCAATAATCATTTTTATATCCCTTGCAACTGGAACAAAGCTTGAAATATATTTGGAATAAACTTTTTTTTAACCAAACTCGTCTGACACAGAGGTTCATAATGGGCAATATTTTTAATGGCACTGTCTGAAGGTAAAAAGCTTACCTTAAACCCTAAAGTAAGGCATAGTCCTGAGGTTTCTATCATCATCTTAGTTTTGAATCTGAGATGATCTTTTCAAAAGTGAAGTTCATTATAAATCTAGCCTTAGCAGTTCTTTTTATACACAGTGTGCAGTGTATTACAAGGCACTGAGATAGTTAATAGTTTTTAGTATTCACTATTATTCTTTCATTTTGAAGAGGAAACCTGCCATTTAAAAACATGCAAAGCTAATTAAAGCTTTTCCACTATTTCATTATCTGAATGTAGTTGCAAATTCTGACTTAAAACTCTTATCAGAGGGAGACTCAACATCTCTCCATGAACAGCAAATGAACATTCAATTAACACTTCAATAAAAGTGTATTTTAAATAAAAATATACTTTATTGTTAATCTCATTCTTTACAAATGCTAATACCCAATTTTAACATCCAAAGAGAGTCTCCTTCCTTTTATTCTTAAGGGAAAAAAGTTCTTTTTTCTATTTACAGGGAAGACCCGAATTTTCTGAAGTTGTCATGAAGTTAGAAGAGTGTCTCTGCAACATTGAGGTAAAAGCTTTAGCTTCTGAAATATGTCCATAAAAAAGCCCTGCATATCCAAGGCTGTCAGGGAATGTAGATGAGCTGGTGCTTATGAAAAGTTACTGTGAGGACCCATAACTCCATCCATATTTGCCCTATTCATTAAATTCCTATGGTGGAGCAGAATTAGCTGTATCTACAGGGACAAAGGCAAAGTCAGAGTGAATTCGAGACCTTCCAACAAATAATAGGGCAGGCAAATGGACACAGTCATGCTCAGCTTAAAAATTGATAAGTAAAAATTGGAAAGTATAACAAATACATTAGAAGGTAATTATTTAATCAATTTTTATGCAAAAATTCTTCATACAGAGATTTGTAAGCCATTGTTCATTTACATTCAATGCGAAAAGAAAAATTATCAATAAAATATGTTCATAAATTAGTTGGAATGCATTGCTTTCACACCACATATATGTTGCTTAATGTGATATATGTTGGTAATCAGGCTAATGGAATTTTCTTGCCTTATTAAAGCTGTTTGCTTTAAGTTTCTCTACAATTGCCTTAATTTTCTACACACCTGGTCAAGAGATAGCATTTCAAAATAATCGAGGGAGCTAAAACATGCACACTACTTGAAAAATAATATATTCTCAAATGGAAATAAGTGTTACTGGTGGAGGAAGACATACATCACACATAGAGGATCATATATGCATTTGCATATGCAGGGAAGGGGCAACAATAGAGAGAAATAGCATCAACCTGAGATTGCACCACTAAGTCTCAAAGTGGAACCATCAAGAAAAGCAGGATTTTTTTTTCTAAAAAAAAAAAAAAAAAAAAAAAAAACTCAACTAAGAGTCATTGGACCTAGTCTATTGGAAAAGGATTTGCAGTTACAGCCTGCAGTGAGTGGCTCTGTCTCATGACTCTTTGCTGGAATTTCTAAAGAAAACTTTTGTGTAAAAAGAAGCTTCAGTGTTTAGACCTAAGATCCTCTTTCCCTTCTCTTATTCAGTACTGGGACTTACAGAAAGTGGGGAGAAGTAGTCATATATTTGGTGGGGCTTCAGCAGCCCCTGTGGACAAAAGCATCTGCCAGAAGCCTTGGGTATTAAGAGACACCTTCAAGACTTGAATTTAAAATATCCTCTCATTTTGAAACTTAGGGTTTGAGTGAGTTTGCTTCGAGCCTAATGGGATAGATATATCTGGAGGTGGATTCCAGAAAAAAGGAATCCACCATGATAGGATCTACAAACATGATAGGATCTACTAAACTAGCTTGTCTTATTGTAATATATTGATCAAGCCTCTTATTTATACTCTCTCCCCAAGGGAGAAGATGAATGGGCTATATGCTGACAGAGTTTGCTGGACTGAGTTGCACTAATTAACAGATGAGAGTCAGCCTAAAGAGGCTTGACTTGCGCAGTTTCATAAGACCTTATCCTCTCTATTCTTCAACTTTTCAGTCAACGGTTTAGATCAAGGCCAAGAGGGAGCTACTCATCCCATGTGCAGATATAATCAAGTTAAGAGGGACAGAAAGTATTTGAAAGCAGGACCCTAGATCTTGGAGGATGAAGTAACAGGACATGTCTAACAAGAATAATTTTAACAGGAATACATATAAATATAATGTCCTGCAGCAGAGCCAAAGAAAAAATAATAAAAGTATCAAATGGTGGAGACCTGGCTTAGGAGCATCATGAATGCTAGTGGATAATAAGCTCATTGGGAGTTAAAATATAAAGTGACTGTCTTGCTGCAAAATAAAAGATATGATTAGTCTTGTTCTGAAATGGCAAAGTGGTATCCAGTTGTGTCTGTGAGCCTTTTAAAGGAATAATTAAAACTGGGATACACATTTTAGAAGAGAGAGATTTGAGTGGTGAATAAGCTGAAAATCACGTAACATGAAAACCGGTTGAAGGAGCTAATGATGCTTATCACAGAAAAGAGATAATTAGGGTGAGTCCAACAGGTTTTTGTTTGTTTGTTTGTTTTTGAGAGAGAGTCTCGCTCTGTCTCCAGGCTGGAGTGCAGTGGCGCAATCTCAGCTCACTGCAACCTCTGCCTCCCAGGTTCAAGCGATTCTCCTGCCTCAGCCTCCCCAGTAGCTGGGACTACAGGTGCGTGCCACCACTCCCAGCTAATTTTTGTATTTTTATTAGAGACGGGGTTTCACCATGTTGACCAGATGGTGTCGATCTGTTGACCAGGATGGTGTCGATCTCTTGACCTCATGATCCGCTCACCTCAGGCTCCCAAAGTGCTGGGATTACAGGTGTGAGCCACCACACCCAGCCAAGTCCAACAGGTGTTTTAAACATCTGAAAAACTATCACATGGTAAAGGGAGTGGCCTGTTCAATATGGGAAAAGACTTGCCACACATTAAAGCATTTTTCGTCTTATAAAATTGATGTATTCTTGGAAAAGTGTGTAAATTCATTTTACATGAAGGGAATAATTTCATGTAAAGGGAATAATTTTAGCTATGATTTAAAGGAACTCTGCCATAAATCTTATTGCCATAGTGAAGAATGTGAAGAATCTTTTGATCATTGAATAATAACCTTCTAAATATATTTTATGAATCTGAGTTGGGCCTACTGTGTTTTTAGAAAGATGAGCATAAATTTAACAGGCCAGCTCTCAGCACAGAACTGGGTCAAAAAAGTAAATTAAGCTAGGCAGATGTTGCCACTAGACTTTTTCCTGAAAGGAAAAGCCAGGAGCAAGCTGAGTGAATAGAAATTAAAATATGGGAAACCTTGGAATAGAAAGTTAAATCCATATTTTATGTTATGTCTTCACACCTGTTGGAAGTATTAAACAATTGAAATTGCCCCTCCTCCACTCAGCTGATGTCTCCTGCATCAAGTAACAGCAGTGGGTCTCTCTCACCTTCTTCTTCTTCTGATTGCCTGGTGAACCGGGGAGGACCTGGCCGGAGTCATGTGGCAGCATTAAGAAGTCGTTTCGAATTGGAATATGCTCTAAATGCAAGGTCCTATGCTGCTTTGTCCCAAAGGTGAGTGGTAATATAAGCAAATCTCACAGTAAAGTCTTATTTCAGAATCTTATCAAGACAGTCAACTGATTTGATTACTATTAACAGGGTTTGATTACCCCCTGAAAAACTTTGAAAGAGGAGTTTTCAGCCCATTTTTCTTACGTTATGACTAAAAATTAGAAATTTTATTATCTGTTAGCCTAGGTCCTCTAGTTGCAAGTAACAGGCATTAACCTAGCTTAAGTAAGACACGTCTATTTCAGAGCAACAAAAGGGATTTATTAAAAGTATTCTGAAGCTATTTTATGGCATCCAAGCAAGAATTCCTGTGTGGAAACCAGGAAACAGCTTTGAGGATCTGAGCAACAGAAGTTCAGCGTTCTAAGAATTACCATATGACCCAGAAATTCCATTCCTAGGAATATACCCTAAAATTGGAAATAGGTACTTAAACAAATACTTGTATTCAAATGTTTATAGAGCAATATTTATAATAACCAAAAGGTGGAAACAACCCAAAAGTCCATCAACCAATGAACAGATTGATAAAACAGGTTGTCACAACAAAATACCATATACTGGGTACATAAAACAGCAGAAATGTATTTCCGCAGTCTGAAAGCTGGAAGTCCAAGATCAGGTTCAGCATGGTTGAGGTTCTGGTGCGGGTTCTCTTCCTGTTTTCTAGAAATCCACCTTTTTTTCTCTGTCCTTATAAGGCAGGGAGAGCTCTAGTGTCCCTTTATCTTCTTATAAGGGCACCAACTCTACTGGATCAGGGCTTTACATTTATGACTTCATTTAACCTTAATTATCTCCTTAAAGGCCTTCTCTCCAATTTAGTCACATGGGAGGCTAGGGTTTCAACATATGAATTTGAGGAGGGTCACACTCCAGTCCATAGCAATAGGTAAATCTATAAAAACAAAAAGCAAATGGGTGCTTCTAGGGGATAGGGAGGAGGGAGAAATTGGGAGTAAATGCTTAATTGTCTCCCAGTTTTATTTGGGGCTGATGAAAAGATTTTGGAATTAAAATGGTGGTTGTAAAACTGTGAATGTACTAAATACCACTGAGTTGCTAGTTTTAAAATGGTTATTTCTATGCTATGTGAACTTTACCTCGATGAAAACAGAAGCAAAAACAAAAAGATTAAGCAAAAAGGTAAGTCAGAAAAAAGAGAAAAAGAAATCAACATTCTTTCATAGCTAGCTCTGCCATTCACATGCCCCAGTTCCCAATAGATAGTCTCTTTGTCTCTCAGCTTAAATGTTAAGTTTCAAAGAGAAATATATCTGTCATATAATGCTATAATAATTCCGTATAATAACCCATCCCAGAATTCAGGGATATACAATCATAATCATTTATTTCTTGCTCACTTGTTTGTGGGCTCATTTTGGATGAGCTTGACTCTGAACTACAGATTGCGTTCAGGTCTATTCCTTGGGTCTATCAACCTCCTTGGACACCCACATAGAAAAATGTACTACCTGGGGTATATTCTTCTCACAGACAAAGGCTAGTAACTCAAGAGGACAAGCCCAAATTTACATGCACATTTAAAGCCTTTGCTCAAGTTGTATCCTCTGACAACATTCCATTGGCAAGTTTCACAGCTGACTTCAACATCAATAGGAAGAAAAAATATACTTGATTTTTAGTGGGAAGAATTGCAAAGCCATATGGCAAAAGGCATGGGTAACTGGAGTGGGAATGGGGTCATAGTTCATTAATATAAATACGGTTGTCAGGGGCCCCTGTTCTAGATGGGGAGCAAAGAAGGCAGTCACTGTGAGCTTCATAGATACCCTGAAGAGTGCATACTTTCCAACCCATGGAAGACCAGAAAAGACTAGTTTAAAATCTTTCTCCGTCCACGTGAGCACCAAAGCATTTGCACACGGCCCAGTTACACATGCACACTCACACCCACACCTGCATATACATACACACTCATACACTCCATTATCAGAGTAAAGGTTCTTAAGTGGGAAAAGATTATCTGGAGTTAGCAAGGGTTTCTATACAATCTACAAATTGCAATTGTTGCTTTTTTAGCTGTAGTTATTATATTCCTGATCTGATAAAGGAGTTGCAGCTGCAGCTATGAAGAGATGGGACTCTGATTCGTGAAGTCTTTAATCTATAAAATGTCATGAAATTAAGTATTAGTAGGTTTGATTGATAACCACACAAACTGGACACCATTTTTTATTGGATTTTAGTCTCTTGTATAATTTCAAAAGGACCCATAGGCCAAGACTACATTAGATTTGGTCACATCATCATCTTCCAGTTCTATCTTCTGTTCTTATTCTCTACTTGTGTCTTTTAAAGCTATTTCTCTGAACAGCCAGATTTTGATATTTCTAAAGCACAGTCACCTGAGGTTTGTCCACTTGAGACAGAGGTTAAGAGGATGAGCTGTGGAATCAGACAGATGTGAAGTTAAATCTTGGCTTTGCCATGTACTAGCTCAATGACCTTGTCAAGTTATTTAAATCTCACATGTAAAATACTGATAATAATACCAGATCTTAGAGTTGTTTTAAGGAGAGGTACTATTGTCATAGCAGTGACAGTACTTGATTGAAAGATGCCAGCAGAACCAAGCAAAGAATATAGGTCCAAAAATGTAGGCAAGTCACAGAATTTACAATACACGGAGAGCTACACAGAATAGGAGGCACAGCAGCAGTCCCAGTTAGGCAAATGAAGGGTGGAGGGGACAGAGCTTCTCTAGCCTTCAAGAATCTAGAGATGTATACCACTACTAATTTTTCAAAAAACCTACATGCTGGGTGAAAAAACCCATCAGCTTTTTTGAGATGCTCCTTTTGATATTCTCATAAAGTGTTTTATAGCCTTCTGGCCCTTCCTGACTGTTATGGAACTCTGATAAGGGTGTATCTGTCTGCTAGGTGCAAGTTTCTCTTAACAGCATGGCATTTCCCTGAGGATTTGCTGTGAGCGTGCATTCAAGGTCAGTTTGTTAGTACCATTCCTCCGAGTAAGCTCAATCCTTGCACTACTTAAAATCAACTCTAGGAATCGGTAAAGCGTTTAGCTAAGTTTTAAAATGTGTCAAAATAGAAATTATGTATGTTCTATTCATTACTGTATCCTTAGTATCTATCTAGCAGTATGATTGGCATAAAGTCAGTAAGAAATATTTGTTGGGCAGATAAAGAATAAAAAATTGGATAAATTGGCTCAATAAACAGGAATTATTTTTCACTTGGTGTGTAATCAGTGAATGAGCCTTAACTATTTTCTCTTTTCTTTCCATTTAAATACCTGTCACTATTGAACATCCTGGGCACTATTTTAAACACTTTAAATAGTCATCTAATTCAGCCTTAGGAAGTAGGTATTCCAATTTTTATAGATGAGGAAACTGAGGCTCATAGAAAAGGTAAGCAACTTTCCCAAGTTAATGGAGAGTAAGTAAGCAAAGCTGGAATTCTCACTCAGGACTCTCCTGTGCTTTCTGAGTTTCTCTGGCATAGGAGATGCATGTTCCAGAAGCTTGAAATATTTTGCCAATACTTGTATTTGCTGGACTTCCAGTTTCTCCTGGAAGTCAATCTGTGAATAACTTCGACTATTTCTCCCAAGCCTGCCTTTTCAGCTTGTGTATATGAAGGCAGAGGAAGTGAGAACAGCGATCAATAGGTGTTTAAAGTCAGAGAGCCCAAGGATATAAAAATTGATGGACTAAGTACAGGAGGGCCATGAGTTTAACAGCTTGTGAGACAGTGGTTCTCAACTTTGGCTGCACATTAGAATCATCTGGGAAGCTTTTACAAGTACCAGTGCCCAGGACCAATTAAACCAAAACCCATGGGGTTGGCACCCAGGCATCAGAATGCTTTAAAGTTCCCCAGGTGATTCCAATATACATCCAAGTATAAGAAACATGCTGAAAGAGAATGATACGATGCTAACCTGCCAGTCATTCTGTAAGAAGGGGATGCAGCTAATGAGAGAGGAAAGAGAAAGCCAAGGTGAAATACCATCTGTGACCAAAGGGGACCATTTTGATGACTTATTACGTGCATCATCCCTGCCAAAATTCCTTACAATGTACCACTAACTTCTGATCTTTGGATTTCCTAATTAATTCAAGTTACAGAGTTAAAATGTAATTTTTTAGTATAGCATTATGATTTTGAAAAATCAGTACAAGGTTTTTCCTATAGTCCCTACTAATGTATGGATGTGGGGACACCTCAACACTGTCTTGAGAAATGATGCATTTACTTTTCAATTTTTGGTCATGAAGTTCACAGATGATAGGTTTGAGTTTTGTAATGCTTGATTTTATGGGGTTTTTGGTTGTTTGTATATTTGTTTCTAATTATTATTATTCTTTATAAATAAATTTAGAGGTGCAAAATTGTGTCAGAGATTTTCTCCACAGATAATAGGAATTCCCTAATTCCTATCAAAACCATAACTTGATAAAATCTGAGATTGAGAAAGGCACTCTTGAAGTTCTGCCTCTTTTAAAATATTTTGTGCCTCTAGATATATTTGGAAAACTAAGCATGTGGCAGTTGCTCCTCCCACAGGGTATGAAATCCCATCTTGTACATGGATTACATCATGTAAATTTAGAAATGACAAACTGATACACAACCTTTCAGATGTGAAAACCAATTAGTGTTTATGTGGGGCTGGGCTCTAAGAATAGAATGATTTGACCTAGTTAGCTGTCCAGAAGAAGAAAACCAGGGATCCAGAGTTTGGAACTGTAAAACAGATACATTTGGGATTAATTTTTCACACTACAAAAGGGTCCATCAAAGGTTTCTTTAAATAGCTTGCCTAGTGCACTTAGAATGGAATGCAGTTTATAAAAGTTGAATATAACTTATAAAATTTTAATTTACTCAAAGTTTTTCTGGGTTACAACAATTGTGTAAGATGATAGCACCATGACACTGATGTTCCTAGGAAGAATGAAGAAGGGAGAGCAGCAAGGGGACCGTGTCCATTTGCTTCAGTATAGCAGATGTTTACCAGATAACAGTGGCCATGTCTCCTCCTCATCACCCCAGGTCAAATACTCCCCTCTTTCATCTACCACCTCTCTTGCACTCTTTTTTGTACTAAAATTTTCAAATATTCCCTTTTCTTCCAATCTTTCTATCCTCTCTCCATCCCTAACTTCTTGTCAACTCACCACAATCAGCAATTTCAGCACCTTGCTCATGACCACTGTAAATGTTCTCAAACATTGCTTCCTCTTTCCATGGGTCTTCTTGTTGTTTCTACAATCCCATGGCTTCAACTCACACCACATACATGCACACACACACACACACATACACATGCACACACACACATCTACACACACATACATTCCTCCACACACACAATTGAACCCCAGATCATTTATTCAGCCTTGACCTCTCTGCTTCCTAGCGTTTGCAACATCTTTAACTTCTCTCCTGTTCCAGCTTCCTCATGCTCTAACCCACCTACTACCATCATAATTTTTATTATGTAGAACTCCAATTCTAATTATATTATTTGCATTAAAACCTTCAATAATTCTCCATTGCTTCTAAAATTAAGTGAATTCCGGAGTCCAATTGATTCAGGAGTCCGAAATCCTCAGTGATACACGTTTTCATCATACGTTCCAGTGGTTCTAAACAGAGAGTGATACTGTCGCTCTCTCTCTTCTCAGATGCATCCTAGGCTTTTTGAACTGTGGGAGGCTTTTTTGTTTGTTTGTTTGTTTGTTTTTGTATTCCCAAGGACTAAAGAGATGCTATTACCATTTAGTGAGCTGGGACCAGAATGTTGAGGTTTCTCCAATGTTTTGGGCAATCTCAAAAAACAAAAAATTATCTTACACAAAATGACAATAGCATTCTTGGAGAGGAAAACTACAGACAAACTAGAAGTTCCACTAGTTCCCATAAACACCCCATGTTTATCCTACCATCAACCTATCACTGTATCTTAACAGTTTTTTTAACCTTGACATCCCCCTTATCTTGTCAAAATATTAACCAGCCTTCAGTAATTATCTCAATCAGCGTAATCACTATGTCATGAAGAAGTATTTTCTGGGGGCTACCCCATCTCGATTCATGCCTCACTAAAGACCACAGCACTCTGTGCCACGTTATAATTCATGTTATTTTTTCTTATGTGTCTTATTCCCTATTAGATCATAAATATGTTAAAAACAGAAATTCTCTTCTTTTTTGTTTTGTTCAGGTGCCTACAATATCTCATTTATTATTTAATTGCATGTGGTGAATATTAAATATTTTTATTTATAATAAACTAGGAAAATTATTAGTTAGGCTGTAAATACCAGGCTTTGTATTTCTGCAATTTAAGTGAGTAAAACTCTGGCATTCAGATTTTTTTGACTCCTACATTCCTGTCAAGTTCAAATATATTCTCATCCAAAAATAATGAACTACTAGATATTCCACTACTTTTCCAGTCTTCCCCCCGACTATTAGCACACTAAATGTCAATATATTTCTTTTTTAATTACTAAAAGGATAGAATATAGGTGACTAAGATGTGTGAGGAGAAAAGTGACTACCACATTCATTCCCTGTGTGTTTTTTAAAAAAAATTTTAATATTTAAAACTTCTATAACAAAAGGTAATGTTCCTTCAAAGGTAGATTTCATGTGCAGAGCATTAATATGACGCTTATTTTAGCATGAAATAAAAGCAAAACATAATATTCTGATAAATACACCAATTATTGACTCATTCATTTTATATTCTATTAATGTGAATCTTCATTAGAGAAATGAATAAATAAACAAGCAAACCAACAGAACAATGGACAGAAACATCCCAGGAATGCAGGTGCGTGCACACTGGGTTACAAGGGACAACCAGCATGCATTTCCCTTGAACTCAGGGTCTTTACTTTTCCTGCAAATGGGACCATGTCTGATTATTTATTATGGATGAACACTTTACCTAGAATTTTTCCTTGGCTCAAGCAATCCTCCTGCCTGAGCCTCCTGAGTAGCTGGGACTACAGGCATGCGCCACCATGCCCAGTTAATTTTTAATTTTTATTTTTGTAGAAACAGAGTTTTACTATGTTGCCCAGGCTGGTCTCCTAAGGTTAAATGATTCAGCTTCCTAAAGTGCTGAGATTATAAATATGAGCCACTGCACCAGGCCCCACAATAACTTTTATTAAAGTATGTTGTTGTAATTGTTCTATTTTATTATTAATTATTGTCAATCTCTCATTGTGCCTAATTTATAAGTTAAATTTTATCATAGGAATATAGGTATAAGAAAATATTATACTGTATATTGGATTCAGTAATATCTCCAGTTTCAGGCATCCACTGGGGGTCTTGGAATATATCCCTGGTAGATAAGAGGGGAGGGGGCTACTACAATTTTTATACTCAGCTTGTATTTCCCACCAAAAAAATGAGATTTTGATTATAGATATTTAAGCCTATAGGTCAATATGAAAAGATCTGACATCTTTATAATATTGAGTTCCCCTTACCATGAATGTAGTACATTTTTGCATTTATTTAGATGTTCTTTAATATCTTTTAGTAAGAGTTTACAATTTTCTTTATGGGGTTCTTATATACCTTTTGTGTGATAAATAGTTACATCCATTGTGACTGCTGAAATCGTTTGGACTAATTGCAAACATATTATTTTATTCTGTCTAGTATTTTTTCTCACCCTATCTTTCTATCTTTTTTCCTTTCCTTTGATTATTTGAATATGAGCTATATTTCTATTCTTTGGTGAGTACCCCAGAAGCTTTAATATATTATTTAAAATAACTAATTATATTTTTAATATGTTTGTCTTATTCTTAAATGAAAGATCTTAGACCATTTTAATTAAAATCATTCTCTCCTGACCTCTATAATACCTCTTTATTTTAATTTCCAGTATTTTATCTTCATCAAGATTTTATAAATTCCATAATGATTTCATTGTTTTATACAACTATGTTTTATTTAGGCTTACCTCATGTTTAATGTTTCATTGTTTGTTATGGTTACATTTCAAATCTTTCTTCTAGTATCATTTTTCTTTTCCATAAATGCACCTTTAAAAATTATTTAAGCCTTGGGAGGCCGAGGCGGGCGGATCACGAGGTCAGGAGATCGAGACCATCCCGGCTAAAAAACGGTGAAACCCCGTCTCTACTAAAAATACAAAAAAATTAGCCGGGCGTAGTGGCGGGCGCCTGTAGTCCCAGCTACTTGGGAGGCTGAGGCAGGAGAATGGCGTGAACCCGGGAGGCGGAGCTTGCAGTGAGCTGAGATCCCGCCACTGCACTCCAGCCTGGGCGACAGAGCGAGACTCCGTCTCAAAAAAAAAAAAAAAAAAAAAAAAAAAAAAAAAAAAAAAAAAAAAAAAAAAAAAAATTATTTAAGCCTCACTCTGTTGGAAGTAAACAAATGAAAAACACTTATCTTCCCTCTTTTTTAAGATATTTAGTAGATAGAGGATTTTAATTGTTCAGTTACTTTTTTCCCTGCACCTTCAGGGGGAAAATGCTATTCCATGTTTTACTTTCTTTGTTGCTGTTAAAATTTCATCTATGAATCTAATTGTTATTTCTTTTGTTTTTAATCTGCCTTTTAAAACTGCTTTTAGAAGTCTTCTTTATCTTTGGTATCCTACAGTTTAATTATGTTGTGTATAGATATAAATTTATGTTTATTTATTTTACTTGTGATATATTATGTTTCCAGAATTTGAAAATTGACATCTTTCATAAACTCTGGATAATCCTCAGCTGTTGTCTCTTCTAACATTTCTTTATTACTTCTTCTTTAGTATCTCTTTCTGGAATTCTAGTTGGATATTTTTTAAAGTTTCTCACTCTATTTTCCACATTTCTCAATCTCTTTTTAAAAAATATTTCCCACCCTTTACTTTCTCTATCCTGCTTTCTGGGTAATTTTTTCAGATCTGTCTTCCAATTCACTTATTCTCTCAGAAGCTGGATTTAATGTGTTGTTTACTTTGTTCATTGCATTTCTAATTCAATTTATTTCTAATTTATATTCCAGTTCTAGAAGTTGCATGTCATTTACAATTTTACAGGAGAGTTTAAAAAAAGCTGTAGACCTGCTCCATACTTTTCTTCTTTTATTTCTTCAAACGAATTTTATCTGGAGACATTAATACCTCAAGACCAACCAAAACTTCAACTTGGAGGGTTTTTTTTGTTTTGTGTTTGTTTGTTTGTTTGTTTGTTTGTTTGTTTTTTGAGACTGGCTCTGTCACCCAGGCTAGAGTGCAGTGGCACAATCTCAGTTCTCTGCAACCTCTGCCTCCTGGGTTCATGCCATTCTCCTGCCTCAGCCTCCCGAGTAGCTGGGATTACAGGCACGCACTACCACGCCCGGGTAATTTTTGTACTTTTTTAGTAGAGACGGGGTTTCACCATGTTGGTCAGGCTGGTTGTGTATTCCTGACCTTGTGATCTGTCCACCTCGGCCTCCCAAAGTGCTGGGATTACAAGCATGAGCCACCGCATCCGGCCAACTTGGAGTTTTTCATAGAACACGTGTAGTAATAATTCTGCTTTAAACTAGCTTGTATGTGGGCTGGCAGATGAGACTTCTGAGGGTTATATATATATATATACATTTTCTTTTTCTCACTTTACCTGGAGCCAGGAATAATGTAAGATATTTATCCTCTGCATATCTTTATGTAGAGTGAATTTTATTTTTTCTGATTTACCTAATCTGGATGTTGCCCTTTGAAGATTTTGGCTTTATACAGGTGTTTCTTATCTGACCCTCCACCTTGCTTGGACCCATGATGTATCTCTACCATATAATCTATTAAAATTCATGCTATAGGTCAACAAGAGTCAGTATGAGAACTTCATAGCACTTATATTTACTTGGAGTGATAATCTTAGAAAATCGTTTTCTTTTATATTCATACCCATAGTAGATTGTAAACATCATGCAGGCATAAAATGTCTCTCCTTTTGCTGCTGTTTCTCCAGTACTTAGAACAGTGCCCGGTACATGGTAGGTGCCAAACACCTATTTGTGATGTACATGAACATAATGACTTCCCACAAACATGATGCCATTGAATTCAACAATCTTGTGAAGTATGCCTCATGGTTTCTATTTTTTAGATAAAACAGAAACTCAAATAATGTAAGCAATGCATATAACTATTTAGTAGAAAAAATGGTAGTTCATAATTTAATTTGGGCCTGTCCGGTAGTGTTTTCATTACATCATGCTATCTCTGGAGACTTAACTTTGCCAACATGTTTGCCAACACCAGAACGTTATGTCAAGTTTGGGCTTTGAAGAGAATCAGCAGGGAGCTATCCAGAGTACTGAACTACCTCGCACTTAAACTGCCAGATCTAGTGGAACATACTTCCCTCTGTCTATGGCCAATAGCCTTTGATTGGAGGGAAATTTCCCTTCTCACTCTAACTCTGATAGTAGCCACTTTGCCTCAGCTTATGCCTCCTGAAGAAACACTATAAATCACCTGCCTGTGCTGATACAGACCCAAACTGAACACAACTCCACAGCTGCTGCCTCGTTCACAGGCGTGCCGTGGACTCCCTCTGTATCTTCTTCAAAACAGCCTCTCCCAAACAGCCTCACTCTCTGACCACATTTGTAAAAGTAGCGACAACCAATCAGAGCACATAAAAGGATGAACTTCTTCCTTCTAGGAACTTAACTGAAGTGACACTTGTGGACTAGCTTTGAGGATAGCTCTACTTCAGCATGATTTCTTTATGGAACTGAGTACACTGTAAAATTAGGCTCTTCTTTTCACTTCCTCATTAAACGTACTCTCCACTGTGGTAGCCAAATGCAGTCAATGAATGAAAAAAACAACAACAATCTTTTAGCTGACATTTGTGGGCAACAATTGACTTTCTGGTGATGAAAGTCCAAGAGTTTTTCAGGGCCAGAAATGAAGAAAAAGACCACTCTTTCTCATGCATAAATACAATAGGGAATCAGCATCTTTTAGCTAATTCTACTTAGAAATAATTTTAATATTTATAAATTTAATAAAACCAAAAAGGGTCTTTGGCTTTCTAACTTATATTTTACTTATTCAAAGAATGCTGATTTGAAATATGATATCTATAGAATTTACAAAAGACTGTAGTGCTTATTGGAACATTATATTAGTATCTAACCCTCACTTCAGCAGTGTCTTCTGAGCTTGTAGGAAGAGTTGTCTTTCTTACTCAGTGACACTGTTGACTTAAGTTCTATGGATCTTGTATGTATAATGAGGAGAACAAGATGTTGCTTGCCTAAATCTAGGGACAAGACCATTTTTTTTTAGGATAGCTATCATCTCTGAGACGTAAAATTTTTATGACATGCACTTCCTGAACGTCAGTTATCAAGCTCATTAAGGGCCTGCAGTGGCAAAATATAAAAGGCAAAGGAGAGAAGCTAGAATCTAAGCAAGTGCCACGATGCCTATCAGTTGCCTTTTATCTCTTTCTTTTTAAGCTCATAACTTCTTGAAATGCCCATAGGTTTTACTAATTAACAAAATCAGAAAATCTCCTAATGTTGTGGTGGTATGGGGCTGAAAAGGGAAATATATAACTATGCATGTTGATGTGACAGTGTGAAAGTGTTTGGTATACCTCATTATGTTCCTGAATGCCATCTTATATAGATGGGAAAATTAAAGAAAGTGGGGAGTGGTCTTTCACAAAGTTAAAACTATCTCCATGAAGATCCAAACAATAAACACAGCCATTTACTATATTTACATAACACCTCTTCACCGCATCCCTAGGTGCATACCCAGACAGCACTATAGTGAAATATACAAGCAATTCCCTTATGCACACATATACACGAAAAGTGAAAGGAGGGCTATAAATTGATTGCTAGTGCCCTCTGCATTGCATGCTTCTGGTATCTTACAAATCACCAGAATTGGACATAGTCTGTGATGAAAGGTGATAGGGCTCTATGTTAAGAACTCCTTTTCGGCTGATGTGGACTAAAGTAACCATGTTAGCTGCTTGTTTTTAGCTGCCTTGCTCTCTAACGCCATCTAGCAGTCAGTTGCCAAACCACGAGTGAGGCCTCCTCCAGCCCTCCTGAATGCTGTACTAAGGATAGAGGCTTGGAGACTTCACGCCGAACAAAGGTGTGCAGCCTCAAAGTTGAGGAGCATGTGAAAAATGTCAATCTTTTCCTTCACTTTTAAAACCACCCTTAGTTTGAAACAGCCTTTCGCCATGAAAAATGTAAAAGAAAGAACATCAAACAAAATATTCTGTTCAAAAGAGGAGGTGATGAAAATGGAAAATTAATAAAAGTCAAGATATGAGAAGAGCCCTACGTGTGTAAAATTGACACCTTTAAAAAAAATTTAAGTACCTGGATTTATTGTCACACATAAAAGATTTGCATGAAAAGAGTGAGCGAGTGACATATTTAGGTTACAACATATCCACCTGAGAGAGAGAATGAGATGCAGCTCTCACCGTGGCTATTCTGATGCTGTAATTTCGTGTTCTTTTCTATCCGTCAGCAGTGCTTGTTAGCGACCTAAAATGCACTCCCTCCTAACCCAAAGGGCGAGCCAGAGTGCATTTCCCTCTTCAAGCGTTTTGTAATACTAATTAACTAATTCCCAGCCACATGAAGAGAACCTGCGAAGATTCGCCGGAGGCAAACTGCTAAATAAATGGTGACAGATTTCTCAGTTTTCAATTAGATGAAATGACATATTGGGACAACGAATGGCCTGACTTTCTAGTGATGAGAGTTCTATGAGGTTTTCATTCCTGAAAATGAAGAGAAACCCTCTCCATTCATACACAAAGGAGGGCCCGGGCCCACTCTTAAGCACATCAAAGCACACAGATCCCGCCTTTGGCAGTTGCGTGTGTGTACAACTGAAAGTAAGACTTGGCCCAAAAATGCTGCTTTTGAGACTGCTTCTGCTGTCCTGAAATATCTGACAGGACAAGCACAGGGACCAAAGAGAACAACCGGCCTAATTAAATCTATACAGGCAGCACTGTGTTCTGTTCATCCTCCCTGACTCCAGCTCTGGCCTCGCCCTGCTCCCTCCTGACTCCAGTATTTGTGTTGCGAAGCTGAATCTCTTGCTAGCATGGCAACTGTTGCTATGTTCGCAGCAATAAGAAGTGGGTGATGCTGGTGTCTCTGTAATGATTCAGATACAAGAGCAATGATTTCTAAATAGATTTCTGAAGCAGCTCTTACAATGGCTCTGAACAGTTTAACAGGTTTAATTCCTCATGGATTGTTTTTTCTTTTTTTCACCTTTAACATCTTCCATGTGGACTATATCTAAACCTCATATAATGCAAAAATGGCATCGTTCTTCCTTTTGCTTACTCGTATTTGAAGCAGGAATTTTCTTGTAAAAAAACACATTAAACCAGTTGTCATTTCTCATTATCTCCTTGGAACCTATGAGATGGAGTTTTTCTTGATATTTAGTTAATGGCAACTAACGAAATCTGAAAAAATACTGGACCCAGGAAGAAAATAACTCCTGAATTAACCAAAGTGGAATGAAAATCTTCACCATTAATATTTGTGATATTAGCTGAACATTTTTTATTAATGTGCAGATGTTTTAAAGGCCTCATCTGCAAACGAGTACAAAAAATTTACTAGTGGATATATGTTTGCCACCCTGACTTCTCTTTCAAAGAGAAAGTAAAAAAATGAAATCACTTTTTGTTTTTTTGGCCTTCATCAGTCTCTTATTTGCCAGCCCAGCCAGTGTTAACTATGCCACTAAGTGTCACCAGATGCTAACACAGCCCGGGTCCTAGGGGGATATGATGTAGATAATATTGCCATGTGCACTGATGGCAATACAGACCTGGCCAAAGGATAAAAAGAGAAGACACGTTACATGTTTTGATCTGTGACATAGAACAGAAATGTGTATTCAAACATAGACACTTAGTATGTTCTAGACGCTATTGTGCATTTTTTGTATGCCTGTCGTAGCACAGACTTATTACAACTCTTCTACAGCTAAGAGTTATTTATCAGTATTCTACAAATGAGAAACTGAAGCACAGAAAGTATAAATGGCCTGCCCAAGGCTTTGTAACTAGTAAACAGCAGGGCCAAGATTTGAGCCGAGATCAGCCTGATTCCAAAGCCCATGATTTTTTTACTACTTGCTGAGCTGCTATAGTGTGAGACAAGAGAGCTGCTCTCATACTAATCAGTTGTGTGACATGAGCAAATCCCTTTCTGCCCTGGGTTTTAGGATTATCATCTATAATGAGGCATTTGAATTGGATGCTTGCTATTCAAGCTGTGACTCACAGACCAGCAGCTCTGGCATCACCTAGGAGCTTGTTAGAAATGTACAATCTCAGGCCCCACACCGGACCTGCCGAATCTGCATTTTAACAAGATTTTAACAGGCGACTTGCAAATATACAGTAACCAATCTCTGGGGACCTTTTAGTTTTAGTGTACTGTATTTAGAATGTCACCTTGCTCTTATCTCTTTCTAGATTTTTTTCCTTCTCCAAGGTTGTTTTACTGCTCCCTATGAGCATTCCTAATCTCATTCTTACACTTGATGGAAAGATTCACTGTCTTCTCGGAAAAGATTTATCTATCTTAATTCATTTACCACTTTCTACTTGGTATCATGTCTCTGTTGAATAAGTTTCTTGAGGGGGAGAGCCATTCATATTAAATAATTTCATATCTGTAATACCAATTGACAAGGTTCATTAAACTAAAGAAAATATATTGAAAGGAATGTTGAACAAATTATTATCTTAATTTAGTTACAAATATTACATAGTGTGCTGATCGCAAGATCCCTGTATTATTCATTACAAATATTTCAAGGCAAGCACAATCCAAGTTCTTTAAATATAGGTCCAGGAAAATTTGCAAATATCACACATGATGAGCAGTTTTTAAATTTCTTCACCCCCCCCCCATCTTTTTAACACAAAAATACATAAAGGATTCAATTAAGACCAAGTTCAATCCCAATGTCTCCTCCTGTAGGAAGTTGTCCTAAATACCCTCAACTAGTTACCCATCATGTTTGCTGTTACTATATTCTGTACAGATCCCATCAGAGAATAGAAACATTATTGTAATTATTGATGTCTTTGTATGTCAATTGCCATACACACACACATGCGCACGCACTTACACACAGAGTAAGCTTCTTGAAGCCAGGAACTGTGTCTTTCATTTTTGCATTGTTCATATTTATCACAATGCTTGGCATATAGTGTGATGGATATATGTGTATTGAATGAATGAATGAATGACTCAATCAATACAAATCTTTCTGGCCCCAAAGTCTCTTTTTTGCTTTAATGTACTTCTTGTTCTCCTTCACATTAGGATGGTTCACTGACACCAACAACATGGAGATGCACAGTTCTATGGTGAGAATTTCAAAGAACTTGTTTTAGCCATGTTGGTATTCCCTACTAATATGGTACTTTAGTGTACTATGGCATGAGCTACCGTCATCCAGGAACATGGGCTCTGAGACTTAGGAACTTAAGTACCTTTGAAATTACAAAGGCTGAAAATTGAAGCAGCGTTTGTATTTTTTCCTCTCTGGTTAGTCAGGTGTTCATTCAACAAACATTTGCAGAGTCCCTATATTGTGCTGGGAGTTTGCCAGGAACCAAAGATGCTGAAAAGCAAACATAGTATAATATTTCTACCTTTAAGTAGTTTGTATGGAAAATAGACCCCAAATGTATTATAATGCAATGTGATTGTATACAATGACGGGCACACGACTCTAGTGTATTCTAACACAGACGGAGGCATTACTAAGAAAAAGGAGAGGCAGGCATGTGGATAGCTTCTTGCAAAAGGTGGCCTTGCCAAAGAGATGCAGAAATACCTAATGTAAATGATGAGTTAATGGGTGCAGCACACCAACATGGCACATGTATACATATGTAACAAACCTGCACCTTGTGCACATGTACCCTAGAACTTAAAGTATAATAAAAATAGTAATAATAATAGCCATCATAAGTGTAACCATACTGAGTTCTTATTTTGTACCAGATAACAGGCTATGGTACTTTAAATGTGTTATCTCATTTAATCTTCATAAAAATAAAGAAGGTATTATGATTTTTTCAATTTCACAGATGAGAAAAAATAAAGTCCCCAAAATACAAGTGGCAAATGCCTGATGTAGGACTTAAACCTGGCCAGAGTAGTTCTAGAACTGGTGAATCTGGACACCAAACTCCACAAAAGACAGAGAGAAAAGGGTTAAAAAATAGCCCACAGGCCAGGAGGCAGACTGCATTCAGAGGATAAGTAGCGAATCAGTCTGCCAGAGCGGTAGCATGGGAGACTGCACACAAACTGAGAAAACCAACAGCAAGCTATAGGTCAGAGCCCAACCCGGGGCATATGTCTGGTAGAAGGGAGGCTCAGGAGGAAGGGTGCTTTGCTGATAACATAAGTGGGAGTTAGTGTGCTATACTGGGAAAGAGCTTGCATCTTGAAGCCAGAGGTATGTGTTCTAATCCCACCTCTGCCTTTAAGAACAGTGTAAACTTGGGCCTCAGTAACTAAAATAGGGACCATAATATTACCTTGTCTGGTTTTTACAGGGTCTGCAGAAAATTCATATAAAACACTTAATATCATCCCTGAGAAACTTATGTTGTTTTGTTTTAAACTAAAGATAAATGTCCCTATTTCACAGTTCTACCC
Source organism: Homo sapiens (assembly GCF_000001405.40). Lineage (NCBI taxonomy): Eukaryota > Metazoa > Chordata > Mammalia > Primates > Hominidae > Homo > Homo sapiens. The sequence continues at coordinate 74,509,003 of NC_000001.11, forward strand.
ACGGATGGATAAACCCCTTTCTGAGGGTGAGAAATGAAAGCCTGTGTCTATCTGAAATTCGGGATCCTTATTCAGACACTTTCTTCTTCTTTTTATCACTTATTCTCTTTGAGATAGTAGAGCACTCCTTTTTCCTCATTAAATAGCAGCTTTACCCATAAATTTCTCACAGCTTTTCCTTACTTATTTACACTACTTGATTGTCAAATTTGACAGTGTTGACCATTCCTCAGTCAAGTTGCCATTTGGAATAACTTAAAGGTTTCTGGATGTTTTCTACCCAGCAGCTATTTATGACAATGACAGAAATCAGGAAAATGACATTTGAGGGTTTCAATTTTTCTCTATAATCCCTGAAAATAAAGCGATAGTCAATTGTGAATGTGGCTGCTGAATGCTAGAGTACTACATAACAATAGAAAAGATTTAAGATGCTTGAGAACTAACAAATCTAAATTTATTGGTTTTACACAAATGAATGATTTTCATTTTATTTTAAAAATTGTCCTTTATTGTTTAGGGCAAGATAAATCGTATACTCTTTTCTTCAATAATATTTTATCAGATTAACATAGAGGACAATGAATTATGAAATTATGAAATAAATAAAATTGAGGACAAAGCACCAATATTAAAATGTTGATTGTTGTTTTTGTCATGTCATATATGTTAAGGAATAGAGTGTTGTGTTTGATTTTGAAAGGTACCTATGAACTGCTTTCTGGTTTTGAGTGATCTGAATTTCTTTTTTTTTTTTTTTTTTTTTTTTTTTTTTGAGACAGGGTCTCACTTTGTTACCCAGTACAGTTGTGCGATTATGGCTCACTGCAGCCTCAACTTCCCCAGGCTCAGGTGATTTTCCCTCCTCAGCTCCCCAAGTAGCTGGAACTACAGGCATACGCCACTGCACTTGGCTAATTTTTGTATTTTTTGTAGAGACAGGGTTTCACCAAGTCACCCAGGCTGGTCTTGAATTCCTGAATTCAAGCGATCTGCTTGCTTTCCAAGGTGTGAGCCTATGCGCCCAGCTTGAATTTCAATGTCACAGATTTTCTATTGCTTGTGTATTCTTTGGGTATTTTATTTCTTTTGTAAAAGGTAGACAGTTCTGAGTTTAAACATGACTTAGAGATGTTTAACTACATTTCTTACCCCCTGATTTTTACTTCCTGAGATCAGTAGTAGAGAGGGCAATCAGTTCTCACCTTTTAAAAAGATCTGAGGCCAGGTGCAGTGGCTCACGCCTGTAATCCCAGCACTTTCGGAGGCCGAGGCGGGCAGATCACGAGGTCAGGAGATCGAGACCATCCTGGCTAACATGGTGAAGCCCCGTCTCTACTAAAAATACAAAAAATATTAGCCGGGCATGGTGCCTGGCGCCTGTAGTCCCAGCTACTCAGGAGGCTGAGGCAGGAGAATGGCTTGAACCCGGGAGGTGGAGCTTGCAGAGAGCCGACATCGCGCCACTGCACTCTAGCCTGGGTGACAGAGTGAGACTCCGTCTCAAAAAAGAATAAAATGAGAAAAAAATTATTGAGAGATTGTCAAATCTCTTGAATTTTTAAAAAATTATTGCTCATTAAATTAAACAGCACCTTGTCTATAATTTGTTCAAAACTACCAACTACCAGATCTATGTGTTATACTTTGTTAAATAAACTTCCGTTTCTCTTTGGGAAAGACATATATAGGATCTTGAACAGTATATAAAGTTTAATTAAATATGGCTAGCATTGAAAAGTTCATGGAATTAATCAACTAGCTCACAAATGTGTGTTGATTTCCCTCTAGGTACACAGCACTGTGTCTGCCCCTACCCAGAGAGGCCCAGTATTTTGATAGCTAGTCTTGTATTCTTGTATAAAGAGTTTTAGCAAACTGAATATGCTTTTTTTCTTTTTTGAGACGAAGTCTCACTCTTGTCCCCCAGGCTGGAGTACAATGGTGCGATCTTGGCTCACTGCAACCTCTGCCTCCCAGGTTCAAGTGATTCTCCTGCCTCAGCCTCCCAAGTAGCTGGAATTACAGGCGTCTGCCACCATGCCCAGCTAATGTTTGTATCTTTAGTAGAAACAGAGTTTCACCATGTTGGCCAGGCTGGTCTGGAACTCCTGGTGATCACCTCAGGTGATCCATCCGCCTTGGCCTCCCAAAGTGCTGGGATTACAGGCGTGAGCTACCGTGCCCGGCCTATTTTTTTTTTTTCCGAGATGGAATTTCGCTCTTATTGCCCAGGCTGGAGTGCAATGGTGCGATCTCGGCTCACCACAACCTCTGCCTCCCGGGTTCAAGCAATTCTCGTGCCTCAGGCTCCCGAGTAGCTGGGACTACAGGCACACGTCACTACACCCTGCTAATTTTTGTATTTTTAGTAGAGATAGGGTTTTGCCATGTTGGCCTCGAACTCCTGGTCTCGAACTCCTGACCTCAAGTAATTCACTCTTATTTTCTTTATTTAAAGAATTAACAATATATTACTTACAGGTGGAAAACACAAATGTATGTGTCATTTTCCCTATTACGCTAGCCTCTTCACTGATCTAATTCCATTGGATATGCATTTATCTATCATTTATTAAGCAGCTCTTATATATTGAATCATGTAGTAAATATTGGACACCCAATGATGGATTAGAGATCTCTTCAGTCCTGGGGGAATTCACAGTTTAAGGGAGGAGGTCAGAGAAACACACAGGAAGATAAGTACTGAGCCATGTGTAGGAAGCCCTGTGAGCCTGAGAAGAGTCAAGGTAGGCTTCCCAAAAGCCATCCCGTTTCACTTGAGTTTGGCAGAGTTAACCAAGCAGAGAAAGGAAGAAAGAGTGTACTAGGAAAGGGAAGCAACAGGGACAAAGGCAGGAAAGTGGGAACCTGCACAGTACATTTGGGAACAGCAAAGGGTTGAGTGTGGGTAGAGCAGAAGCTATAGATGAGGATCTAAAGTCAATAGAAGTAGAAATAAAAGAACATGGAGTCAAGTAAGTTCAGTACCCAAGGAAAATCGGAAGGAAGAGGGCAGCTTTCCTTCATGCAGCTTCCCTTCCAGTCACTGAGACCTCAGACTCTTCTCTTCATTCAGGCAGTGAGCATGAAAAGATCTGGATGGGACTGGATATAGCAGCCACCAGTCTTTATTGAAATAGCCCTGGGGCATGACTCGAACCTGTGAGGGACCATAAAGGGGCATGATTTCTGCAGCTGTGTTTACTGTCAGTGATTGTACAGACTCAAACATGGAGCTAGGGATAATATGGTAATCTAGATGAGACATGAGTGACATAGACACAGTAGAGCTCCACCTTGAACCCAAGATTGGCCCCTAGAACTGTGCAAAACAGGCAACACTGCAGGGTGGCTCATGGCACTCAACTATTCCTGCACTGATGACATTCCTGTACTGATGACATCACCCACATGATCATCTGTTTATAAGTCTGTCTCTTTAAATGGTGAGGAAAGAGAAATAAAGGTGTAAAAATCCAGCCATCATAACAAAAACACCAAAAGAAAGAAATTAACTTACCCAAAGGTCTCACAGCTTGTAGTTTGTGAATCTCTACATTAAAAGGTGGATGATGAATCTGAGACCTACTGAGTTAACTGTCCAGCATCTCAGCCATATGCCTTATTCCTCTTTATATGCATCTCCACTCCCACACCACCCCCTCCTGGCTTCATCCTTTAGTGCCTGGAATAACGCCTGGCACATGGTAGTTACTCATCAGAAGTCCACTGAGTGAAAGAACAAACACCTACCACTGACGGGTTGCTATTTATACCATTCTGTCTTCACTGTTGGGAGCTTCATACTGTATTCTTCAAAATGGGCACCCCCTGCAGCATGCCTCACTCTACAAGGAAAACTTCTCTGTTAACAAGCCTTATGATGGGGTCACTATGTGATCACCTAAAGCTGGCCTTTTCTGTCCCTCATCCGGGTAAATGGCTCACCGTGGAAAACTATAGACGACTTTTGCCCTTTCACTAACATTCCTCTTGATAAGACACTTAAAGAGGAAAATAGTCTTGACTCTTTAAAGTTGATGCCAGTTTGGGGCTGTTAACAAAGTCAAGGGATTCTGTTGTTAGAATCAACCTAGCACACAGCTTGCTCAGTCGATACTGTTTCACTGGCCTGAGATTACAGCAGAGGTAGGTGCCTAAGATGAGGAAATGGTTGTGGAGAAAGAGTCCGAATGACCCAGAGGTCCACGTGTGCTTTCCTAGTTCGTTTATTCAGCTGATATTTATTGAGAAATTATACCGGGATGTGGAAATTTACTGAGTCCCTGTCCTTTCATTATTTTAATCCAGTGCACTAGGTGTTCTTATCAGAGTGAGTCCATGAAATGTTGGGGATGCAGGGGCACTGGTAGTAGGAGTTGAGAACCTGATGATGACTGTCTTTGCAATGTTCCCTCAGAAGAAAAGGTTTGTGCAGAAGGCACATCCCACTTCAGACTCCTGCACATCTGCAGAGAACTTTGCATTCTCACTGCAAGAGGAGTTCCTCTTCCTTTCATTTTTCTTCTCTTTGTCTTCCTTTTTTTCTCTATGCCAAACCTAAGCAAATCTGCTTCATCCAGAGGCAGCTGGCGCTACTATGTGGGAGTGTTAAATGTTTAACATCTTGTCACTTGCGTAACTGATGGAGTCATCCTTTTTGTTTCAGAGTTTCATGTTTAGGGGTTGAAAAGCTAGATTGATGAGCATTACCAGAGAGAAATATTTTTTGGAAAGTAAGTGAAGCTGATGACACATTACTTTACAGTTTAGTGAATTTCAGCAAATCTAATTCTATTATCCTGTCAAAGTTTCACAAAAAGGAGACCTGAAAGCATATTTTAGATGAATCTTTAAAGATTTCAAGAAGCCACAACCGCATCTGCAAAGCTCAGATGCATCTGGTGCTGACAGACCTTTGTTTTTCTATAGACTAAGGGGAGTAAATAATCTTCCAAAAACTAATTAAGTAAAGTTATCTTTGGTTGTACAGTGCCTGCCTCTCTCTCCCTTGAAAAGGTTGTCAGCCAGTAAACGATAACTGCGTTTTTCAATTCAAAGGCTATTCGAAGTTTGCATAGCCAAATTTACCCAGGCACACCAAAATAGAAGCTTCCTTTATGAATCATAGAGTCTTGTAATGCAGATTTTATAGAGCATTTAAAGCCAGATCATTTATGTCCTTGTTTATTTTCACAATCAAGTATAAGATACGGTCTAATAAATACATTCTGACCAAAATGCTAGGAGCAATTGTTTTAAAGCGTTTTCACACAATTCTATGTATTTGTCAGAGGCTTACAAGCTGACAAGCTGAAAGCGCTTTGTGATGCTTTTGGCAATTTGTGTGATTGTGTATACACTTGCACAGAAGTTCCTTATCGAGAGGAAGCATTTAAGTAAAAAGGGGAGCATTAATGAAAAGGTCCATTTTAATAGAAATTGCTGTTGTTCTCTACTATCTAACAATTATTCACTTAAGAAGAAAAGTCTTGATAGAATTTATTGAGAACCTACTATGTACTAGTACACATATTATTAATATAATATCCCCAATTATTTGCTAGGTAGATATTATCTCCATTTTGAAGATGGGAAAACTGGTCAAAACAGGAAACATCTTCTGAGATAGTAAGGGGGGAAGCTGGGATTGACTCCAGTCTATCTAATCCCAAAGCCATGTGTGCTCTTTTTAGGACACCATAAGAAATTCTGTTTGGAACTCATGATAAAAAACAAGATCAAGACTGTGGTAAAAATGTGAAGGGGTATTGTGGGTTGAATTGTATCCCCCAAAAAGATATGTTGAAGTCTCAGACCCTGGTACCTCAAAATGTGACCCTATTTGGAAACAGGGTTGTTGCAGATGTGAGAAGTTCATAGGAGTTTATACTGGAGTAGGGTGGGCCCTTAATTCAAGATGACTTGTGTCTTTATAAGAAGAGCACAAAGACACGCAGAAGAATGGCATGTGAAGATGATGGAGGCAGGGACTGAAGTGCTCTACCTAGAAGCCAAGGAATATAAGGATCGTAGCCCTCACCAGAAACTAGGACATGGGCACAGAATTTTCCTCAGAATATTCCTTCAGAAAGAACCAACCTTGCCAACACCTTGACTCTGGACTTTTAACCTGCATAACAGTGAAAGAATACATTTCTGTTGTTTGAAGCCTTCAGGTGTTTGGAACTTTCTTATGGCAGCCCTAGGAAATGAATACAGAGGATGACATAACTTCATAGAGCTTAGGAAGAAAACAAACTCCAGACTGAATGTTAGGTCAGTGCCCTTCCTGAGGGTCATAGTCATGTTATTTTTCCTTCATCATTTGGGACTATGCGGAAAACCCACACCTAACCCAGTATGAGACTTGAAAGACATTTTTTGGTGCTTTGTCAGAAAATAAATATATGGTTAACCAAAGTTAAGGTGAAATTCTAACGTTTTATCATGCCAATACATATAGAAATGATACTAGGAAAGGGTGTGCTATTTGACTGAAGTTTCTCTGATGGTTGCTGTTGGCAACCAGTTTTACAAGAGGCACAAGTCTAATTAGGGCAGAAGTCAGGAAGAGATTGCAAGTAATTGAGGTCAGACATAACTCAGGGTGGGCAGGTGGCTGACATCCGATGTAGTCAAACTAAGGGGATCATGGTTTGAGGTGGGCAGACACAACAGGTGAGGGATGGAGACTGAACACTGATGGAAATAACTAAAAGCTGAATCTGGCAATGACATTCAAGTAGGTCAAAAAATAAGTATGATAAAAGCTAAGGGAAATCTGAGGTTTTTCTCTTCAGAAGCCTAGTCTTCCTAAATTGGCTATTTCTTTAGACTGGAGATCATTAGTTATTAAAAGGACTATACTTACACCTGCCAACCTAATGCCCCATAGTGCCAGTTTACCTCCTGGCTGCCTTCAAGGTTCTGATGTCTGACTCAGTTGAGAAGAAGGGACTTGCCTTTGCAGAAAATGTAAATGGAGAGAGTAGTACTGATGTCTTTAGGAGCCTCACTAGAGGGGAAGGAAAGGACAATCAACTTACTGGTGAAGCCATCTTCTGTGGATCTTTGAGTTGGAACTAGGCTGAGAATGTAGGTCTGAAGTGCAAATCATCCCTGTTCTTATTGATAATAACTCTGGTATTTCAAAATTTTTAAAAATATGGTCATTTATTTCTGTTCTGAAATTTCCCATTAGCCAGGAAAAAAAATTTTGACTAATGTTGAAGACTACTCAATGAATGTTGCTATCCATTTGTTTGTTCACTCATCTGCTCAATCACTATTTACTTGGATGGGGAAGGGATTCATAATTTCTAGATATGTTGCTAAATGATGAAAATAAAGGAAAAATAAGACATGGTTTCTGACTTAAGATGAGAATAGTTGAGTCAGGAAGGCAATATCAAATCCGTACAATACAAGGCATGAGGTGTCACAGTAAAGAGATGAAGTCCTTTTACTGTGGGGCTTAGTATGTGAGAAAAACTGTGAGAAAGAAGTTCATTGTGTGTAGAGCCTGCCTATATGAGGCAGGGAGCAATAGAGGATGAGGCTGGAGAAATAGACCCAGGCCTGCTGCTTGAGACCTGGACCGTGGGACCTTGCTACTATGGGCCATGGGACCTCAACAGTAAGTGGCATGGTCAGCCACGTTTAAAAAGAAGGACATTTCCACAGCTTGGTTGAGGATGGCTTGTATATTCCCCATCACTAATTCCAGCATTATTTCTCCAGTAGTAATAATGAATGTGCCCTCATATAGCCACATTTCCCCAACCCTTATTATAACAAGTTAAGGCAGCTTACTTCTGGGATTTTTCAGTGTTGGAATATTCTACATAGATGAAATGCCCTTATTGCCAGTTCACAAAAATGATATCAACAATTGTTAACTACATGATAGACAGTATTTTCTCCAGCAACCTCTCTACAGAAGTCTAAAAGAAATATTTACAGTCATGCTCCCATGAGCATCATTATGAGAAAACACTGATAGCAATTCAAAAAAATAAAAACAGAAACATTCTTGTCCCCAGCTCTGTTGATGGGGATTATTTAATTCAGCTTTTCCCCCACCCCTATTTTGGTAGATGCTGTTCATTATTATGTATTACACAAATCATTCTCAACACCTGTGGGCACTTTCTATATGCAACATATCTTGTAGGGGTAACTCTTTAAAAAAAAAGGTTAATAACATTAATCCAATTTTACAGATGGGGACAAAAGACAACTGGTTTATTATATTCTGTCAGGTCAGATAGTAAATCAATGCCTCATTAACGTTCATTAGAATTTTCACTCCATCCAATTTCAAACTAAGCTTCTTCTTCCCTAAGGAACTTAATTAGTATCAAAAATTTTCTGGCATTAGCTCCTCACTGATTCATATGTCAAACCTTCAAACACTTACTTGAGCAAGGTACTGTGCTGGTGGTACCAGGCTGGACAGGAAATGGTAAATGGGTCAACTGAGCCAGCATGTAGAAAGCATTTAGAATCAGAGCAGGAGTAGCCTTTAATAATAATTGTTAGTAATAATGGTATTTATGGAGAACTCCACATGTGGGGGCTGTGTGCTAAGCATTATGTATAATCTGCTATGTCCAACTCACAGTGGCAACCTCAATTAGGTTCTATTTCATTGATGAGGAAGCTGAGGCTTAGAAAGTGTCTTGTGTAAAGAGTACGACTGGTAAACCGAAAAAGGATTTGAAACTAAGACATCTTAGTTCATCGTCTCAATCACAAAGCCAGTGGCTCTCAAAATTGAAAATGCACCAGAATCACCTGGAAGATTTTTTAAGGCAAAAACTGCTGGGCCCACTACCAGAGTTTCTGATTCAGCAGGTCTGATGTAGAGTGAAACATTTGAATTTCTAACCAGTTCCCAGGGGAGGCTGATGTCCCAGGCATCACACTTTGAGAACCACTGCTCTAGCTAGTACTTAAAGTAACAATCTTTGACTGTGGTCAGCATACGGTGGGAAGTCATTCAAAGTTTTTGAGCAAGCGATGACCTCGCCAGAATAGCACTTTTAGGAGATTAATAGGGCAGCCGTGTGCAGGTTACTAGAGGACAGATGGTGGACCAGGAGGTTCCCAGGTAAGTCAAGAAGAAGCAAAGAAATGATAATAGATGTTGAGAAATATTGGCCCAGTGGAGTAGATGGAGAGGGTTTGCTGATCAATGGAGGAAAAAAGAGTTGTCAGATGTGACAGTCTGCTTTTCAGTCTGGATGGCTAGAAGAATCATTAGGTCATTAACAGAAATTGAAAGGAGTTCTTCTTTTATATTTATTTTCATCTCCTATTTCCACATAGCCTCTTACTGTTCACTCCTTTCATTGTTTTTATTTATGAGATTTCCACAGCATTTTCGTTCTTCTTCTTTACCTAAAGGGACCAATGTATCTAAAGGGCAGTTATAGACTCTTGGTTGCTTCTGAGATGCTTTTCTTACCTCAAGGATCTCTGATTCTCCCACCTCAATATGCCTTCTTTTTAGGGTGGCTCTATGGTTCCCACTGCTTACAGATCTCAGTGGATTCTACTAATCGTGACGAAGCTTATGGTTCCCGTGTTTCACCTGATGCCTGCCTGGGGAGCACACTGTCAGTGCAGAGGCTTCATAATGCATCGCTAATAGTGTTTTCAAAACAATATCTGTTTTTTAAGCTCAAAATTATTATATTAGTGTTTTGAACACATATTTTGCTTTTATATAATTTATTTCCATAAGTAAAGGGTGTGTTTTTAAAACAACATTTACAAATATGGATTATTTAAGGAGTATTTAGTCTTCAATTTAAAACAAATTACCTTACTTTATTTTTTATTTTATTTTATTTTTTTTCCCCTTTTTTTTTTTTTTTTTTTTATTATACTCTAAGTTTTAGGGTACATGTGCACATTGTGCAGGTTAGTTACATATGTATACATGTGCCATGCTGGTGCGCTGCACCCACTAATGTGTCATCTAGCATTAGGTATATCTCCCAATGCTATCCCTTCCCCCTCCCCCGACCCCACCACAGTCCCCAGAGTGTGATATTCCCCTTCCTGTGTCCATGTGATCTCATTGTTCAATTCCCACCTATGAGTGAGAATATGCGGTGTTTGGTTTTTTGTTCTTGTGATAGTTTACTGAGAATGATGGTTTCCAATTTCATCCATGTCCCTACAAAGGATATGAACTCATCATATTTTATGGCTGCATAGTATTCCATGGTGTATATGTGCCACATTTTCTTAATCCAGTCTATCATTGTTGGACATTTGGGTTGGTTCTAAGTCTTTGCTATTGTGAATAGTGCCGCAATAAACATACGTGTGCATGTGTCTTTATAGCAGCATGATTTATACTCATTTGGGTATATACCCAGTAATGGGATGGCTGGGTCAAATGGTATTTCTAGTTCTAGATCCCTGAGGAATCGCCACACTGACTTCCACAATGGTTGAACTAGTTTACAGTCCCACCAACAGTGTAAAAGTGTTCCTATTTCTCCGCATCCTCTCCAGCACCTGTTGTTTCCTGACTTTTTAATGATTGCCTTACTTTAAAAGTGTAATTTTTGAATTGATTTTTAAACTAAAATCATAAGAAAGCCAGAATAGAGATAAAAACTTCTAAGAATCTTTTTTATAAAGTAAATAGTCTTACAAAATAACCCCACAGAATATATCTTTAAAAGAAAATTACATTTTATACATGAAATTTTTCTAATGTGAGGACAAGTACCTATAATGAAGATATGTTATAGTCAAGCCAAAGCTTTAAGTTTATAATGTGTGTCATTCAGAGGTGAAGGGAAGATTGAATAGTCCACAGGGTCCCTGTGGCAGTGTGGGTGTCCTATCTGTGGGAGCACAGATCCACCTTCTCTGCTCTGGATGCCCTGACTGGACAGCATGTTCTTACAGCTATTTCTCCTTTGGATACTGCCATTTTCTCTGTGGGATCTTGCCCAAGCTCATTTATGTATTTAATTTTTTATTTCCATAAGTTTTTGGGGAACAGGTGGTATTTGGTTGCATGAGTAAGTTCTTTAATGGTGATTTGTGAGATTTTGGAGCACCCATCACCTGAGCAGTATATGCTGAACCCAATTTGTAGTCTTTTATCCCATACCCCCTTTCCACCCTTTCCCCGATTCCACAAAGTCCATAGTGTCATTCTTATGCATGTGCATCCTCATATACCTTGATTATAAATGATAATTCAGTTTTTCAAAAAATTGACTCAACTGGAATCTTGAGTGTGAAATTTTAAGATATGGCATTTAAATACACGTACAGAATTGAAGTGACCTCGCTTCCGACTTTTCTGAAGAATTTGAGACTACTTCGCGTGAGTTCCACCACCTTTCTTCCTCAGCCCCTCCAGTCTCTCTGTGACTCCATGGATTCTCCTCTCTTCTCCTTGGATGGAGAAATCGACCTTCTCATTTCTGAGGCCCATCCATCCATCTGTTTCCCTGTTACCTCTTCTGCCTCTGGCTCTTTTTCCCTCAGTCCTTGCTTGTCTCTTTTGACCTTTTCCTTCCTCCCTTTCCAAAATTTTTGGCAAAACACCAAAATTTTTGTCTCACAACTTCAAAAAAAAAATGGGAAAAATCAATCCTTCTTTAAATATTAACTGTATGGTCTGCTTCCATTTTTAAGACACTGAGAACAAAAGAGAAGGAAGGGAGGCCTGGGGCATACTATGTGGTATTTGGGACTTGGTCTATGTGGCGGTGATAAAGAAAACAGTCCCCTTTGAGTTGCAACATGTGGGTTGCAGCTGGGGTGGGTGTAACAGGGCTAAGAAGCCCCTTATGAAATTTAGATCTGGAAGGTACATATGGAGCTGGCTCATCTTGGGGAGGATTGCTTGGAGCTTTAATTTGCACAGTTGTGAATAGTGGTGACATGGGAGCAGAGGTGAAGGGAAGATTGAATAGTCCACAGGGTCCCTGTGGCAGTGTAGGGGTCCTATCTGTGGGAGCACAGATCCACCTTCTCTGCTCTGGTTGCCCTGACTGGACAGAGTGTTCTTACAGCTATTTCTCCTTTGGGCAACAGCTTCAACTTCAGAATATTTTTAGATAATGTCCTCTCTCCATCACCACAGAAGTTTGTAGAGCTGAAATTAGGATATATTTGGAGGTTGTGTATTGTAGTTATAAGGAGCATGTGCTCCCAGTAGGACTGGCTGGGTTCACATTGTGGCACTGCCATTTTCTCTGTGCGATCTTGCCCAAGCTCATTAACTTCTTTCTAGTTGCTCTTTGCTTCCTAATCTATAAAACAGGCATAATAATGATACTTACTTCATGGTTATTATGAGGATTAAATGAAACAAACTATGTAAGTCACTTAAAACAATACCTGGCACATAGTTACTGTTCAATAAATGTTAACTATTTTATGAAATATGTATTCTAATGCAATAAATCCTTACCTTATCTCTCTCACACACACACACATGTAAACGCATTATGTATGTGTGTATGTGTATATATATATATACACCTATATATACATATATGCAGTCAAAATTAAATGCTACTATTTCCATAAAGCCTTTTTCTGCGTTCCTTTATTTAGCAAATGATTGGTAAAGACGCACTATATTCCTAGCATGGAGGTCACAGTGATCAGCAAGACAGCCCTAGTCGCTATTCTCGCAGAGTTGGTGAACAAGCCATTTCAGCAAAGCGTGATAAATTTATGATAAGAAGGGCACAGGGTCTCATAAATGAATACATGAATGAATAAATGGGTGAGTGAATGTTTCTTGCTATTTCTACTGAAATGTTAAGTGTTTTGATCCCTGAGAATAAGTCAGAATTTCTTTAAAGCCTGTGCTGGTCTATTCATAATGCCATTTCTGCTATGAATCATAACTACTCAAAAGCCCAGAGTGATTCTGGGGCTGCATCCAACTGTTGTTAATCTTCTAAACAGGTAACTGAGATCCAGGTAGAGTAAAAAAAATTCAGATGAGGGAGATATATCAACATCCCTTCCAGTGATAGATGACAGACAGTAATTACTATCTGCCTTATCACTTTTCCAATTCTCTCATGCTGATTCGCTGGCCAGGGATTGTTCTTTTTAAAAAAAATCTGGTTCAGGCACTATTGGAAACTTAATATAGCAGGTGAAGCATTCAGACCCTTGATGAATCAGGGCCAGACACAAATACAAGGTTATAGACTCAGGGGCTTCAAAGAGAGACATTTAGGACAGATCTGCTCTTGGAGCTGCTGCTTGTACTTGCTAAGAGCCAGAATCCAAAGGATGCAGCTGCCGCAAATGTGCATAAATAAAGGCAGTGAGTTCCTAGCATTCCTATGGGAACCTGCAGCAGCTCAGATTACCCGTTCCCTAGACAGGATTTCCTTTCAGCTTGGTGTCTCATATTAAAAGGTAGACCAAGGAGTACACTTCCAGAATGGTGCTTGGGGAATACTTGTAGTACGAGTTGCATGACTAATTCTCCCCACGCAGTATAGAAGACCTACTCCTGAGGGTATTATACATTTAAAAAGTAGCATGAAAAAGAGAGAATCTGTCTTTTTCCTGCATATTCCCAAAATGTAAGTAGCTGTTTTTCTGGTCCCTAAGGTGTATGTGTGTGTGTGTGTGAGAGAGAGAGAGAGAAAGAGAAAGAGAGAAATGCCCCAGGAAGCAATCCCAGAATAACATGATTCATTTTCTGATTGGAATATTGATCATTTGATTCAAATCTGGATTAAAACTGGTGTATTTCTTAGGTTGAAAATCTGTAGTCTTTTTACCTTAGCCCCTGGCTTTATGGAAACTTTACCTGTAGAAGGAATTCAAGATTAAACTGTGAACACATAAAATCCAGCACTGCGTGATCCAAAGCTTCAGTAGGTTCATGATCAGAAGCCTACACTTCTAACTCCAAGCCCAACTGCCCACTGGAAATTGAAGAATCCAAATTACTAATGAGAGGGGAAACCCCATGCATTCACTACAGCAGATCACAAGGTTTCTGTAATACAGCCATGTTGTGGAGCAGAAAAGCAGTGAGCTTCAGTATAGGTTCTGTCTGATTCCTCTCTTCCCTCTTACAGGCCAGGTGACCTGAGGCAAGTTGCCTGACCAATTTGCCCTCAGTTTCTTCAAGAAAACAATATATATAATAATACCGATACCACACAGTTGCTGGGAAGATTAAATAAGGAATTGTATGTGAAATAAATTTTCTAACACCTATGATTTCAAAAAACACATCTATAGACATTATCTCACTTGATACCTCATAGTGGATTTCTAAAGACATGTATCATCAAATTTTGAGCATGATATTTGTGTTTTTCTATACACATATCTAAGAGAACAAGCAATTTTTTTTCCTTTATTGTGTTTGTGTATTCAAACATACTTGGCTGATGTATAAGATTTTTCTTTTTTTTAATTTTCTTTTGAAATGCCCAAAAGCAACAACAAGAAAGAGAGAAAGAGAAAGAGACTCACTTAAAAAAAAAGGCCTCAAAGTTATAGGCTATGCCTGGCCATTAGCTGCTTATAGTAATTTCGGTGAATATTTAGACTTCAGCTCTGCCCTCTTCATGAGTCTAGCTTTGCAGAGGTTGAGCTCCTACTGTATGCCAGGCCCTGAGAGTTGGCAGTGTCTGGTCTGGTATGCAGTAGGTGATCAATACCTATTTGTTGGTAATTGCTAATACAACTTTGAGGTTTTCTTTGGTCTTGGGGAAACAGTGCCCTGTGGCATGTGGTTTTCTTTTTTTAAAATTATACTTAAGTTCTGGGATACATGTGCAGAACGTGCAGGTTTGTTACATAGGTATACATGTGCCATGGTGGTTTGCTGCACCCATTAATCTGTCATCTACATTAAACATTTCTCCTAATGCTATCCCTCCCCTTTCCCCCCACCCCCGACAGGCCCCAGTGTGTGATATTCCACTCCCTGTGCCCATATGGAGAACAAGGCAATTCCATCAAGCCACAATTCCAAAGGCATGACTGAATGTGGAGTTGTTGCTTTCACCAAAAATTGTTTTTGCAAAGCATTGACATTTGTCAAGAGCCTAACTGTGGCCAGCCACAAACACAGTCCAGTAGTATTTGTGGCAGTGCCCACAAAGGCTCCAGTGAATTCTTCTTTGTGAAAAGTCTTTAAAACACAGAGTAACCATGTAGCAATTACCATCAGAAGTATTTAGAGGCATTCTGAAGAGTCTGTTGGGAATTTTAACAGCCTGATCTCTGCCCCATTCAGATGGTTATGGTAACATGCAAAGTGAATAGCTCTGTGGGCCTGCCAGAAACAGAGGGGGCTTGGCCCATTAGATAGCAAAGTGCAAGTCTTCTGCACCTGACACTGTGCGGACTCCAGGGCTGCTGTGGAGTTTCACTGGCTGTGGCCACAGCTAGAGTATGTAGGGCCAACTGGTGACTAACTGTGGAATCTCCACACAACTTCTCCCTATTAAAAAATTGCACAGGAAAATGCATTAGGAAAAAGTCACATAAATCTCTTCTGGAATGATGCTCATAAAAGATTTGTCATTTTTCTTGGTTCTAAGAGCAATGGGCATACTTTAATCTAATGTATTCATTCACTTAGCAAATACCCAAAGCTTTTACTTTTAGGTTCTGGAGATACAGCAGCAAATAAAACACAGAAAATAATCTCTTCCCTCGTGGAGGTTTTATTCTAATGTGAGAAGAGTGACAGGCAACTTTTTAAAAAAGTAAAAAAAAAAAATGAAAAAGAAAGGAAGTAAAGGGGCTGCCTCATGAAGGGGGACAGGCCACTGGTAGGACTTGGAGATTTACTATGATTGAGATGCATGCCACTGCAGGGGTTTGGGCAGAGAGGTAACATCATTAGGATTGTTTCTAAAAGGATTGCTCTGGCTGAGGTACTTTGGGGCTGGAAAGAGAGGTAGCCAATTAATTTGCTTTTTTATACCTACTTTCTATGCATTCAATTATATAGTAAGTATTTTACTTAGCATGGGCTATGAGCTGGACACTGGGGAAAGAGACAAAGAATGAAAGATGAGATTCTTCAGTGTGATAAAAAACATACTAAAGAGGGCACTTAACCAAGTATTGGGGAGAGAGAAGCTGAGGCCTGAAAGATAAGTAGCATTATTCAGTGGAAGAGGGGAAGGAAAGAATGCAGCAGGCATAAATGAGAATAAGAATAATAACAATAATAAGGTAGCTAATACTGAGCACCTCCTGTGTGTTAGGGATTCTTCTAAGCGCTTTGCGTGTATACCATCTCATATAATTCTCACAAATACCTACATGTGTGATAAGTATTGTTATTGTCCTCATGGTACAAAAAAGGAATGTGAGGCACAGGAAGGTAAAAAATTTTGCTTAAGGACAGCAGCTAGGAAGTAGAGGTGCCCAGACTGAAAACTAGCTCAGTCTGATTCACACCCTGAGTCCCTGACCACTTGGCCAACTGCATAGAACATTGAATCTGAGAGATGAGGCTGAAGAAATGACCAGGAGCTCAGTTCAACCAAATTTATTTTTAAAATAAGTGTTGCAAGTAAACTCTGTGCCCAAATGCCAAGGCTACAGAGATAAGTAACAAAGCATGGCTCCTAGTCTGAAGGAGTGTGCTTCTGGTGTGCCACATATCAAAGCTTAATAAATAACCAATATAAATATGACCATGGAGGCCTGGATGTGCACAAGGCCACAGAGAACTTCTTACAGCATCCACAGTCATGGTCTTGTCAATACAGAAGCCGGGAGCAGCAGTTGGCCCAGCAGGAAATGTCAAAACCTGGGTTGCCCCAGGATTCAAAGAGGCATCACAGCACATCACACCAGAGTGGGGTAAGAACCCCCACATTACTGGCAAGAGAAGAGGTTTTCAATGAGAGCAAGGCACCCCAGCTACATAATATCATTTTGTTATTCAGGGTCTGACAGCAAAGAATACACAGAGGAGGAGAGGAAAGCTTTGGTGTTGTGTGATGAGGCAAAGGGTCCCAGAGGTTTGGTATACATTCGCTTAAAACAAAACAAAAAAAACAGTGCTTGTAATTTTGTAACCTCCTTAGGGTATTTCAAATGGTTTGTGAAGATCAATGTTCTGCATGTTCAAAGAGTTTAGGGAGTTTTAAAACCTTCCCATGCAGACTGGCTTGTCATAAAGAACAAAGGAACATGGAATTTCTTGCAGGGATGTGAATTCACACAAAGGAGCCCAGAGATCTAAAATCAACAAAGATGGCCTTTGAACTTTCCTCAATCCAAAAGGGGAAAAGAATATGTATTGCTCTGTGGGCTCCAATCTAGTTGCTGCTTTTATCTTCCATCAATAAAATTGGTTTTGTGATTTTTATTTATGTAACTACCCAGTGGCCATTGAGTATAAAGTAGTGATTAAAAGCTTGGGCTCAGATGGACCTGAGTTCAAATTCAAGTTCTACGGTTCTTATAACCTGTGACTTTGGCCAAGTTAGTTGAGCTCTCCAAGTCTCAAATTTCTCAGCTATAGGATGAAAATAAGAATATCATCTTCTTCATTAGGTTGCAATGAAGGTGACGTGAGAATGCAATTTCTACATGTCTAATATGTGGTAAACACTAAATAAATATAAATTGGATATTTTTTTCTGTTTTCCATTAGCTCATGCATTTTAGTCTTTAACATTCCTCTCCTAGGAGAAGCTATGAAAATCTAAGATGAATGGAGATCCTACATTCACTGAGATATCATTGTTTGGCCCAAAGGGAGAAGGCAGCTTAGGAGAGCAACACGTATAGGACTTATCTGACACTCTAAAGAAGAGATTGGTAAACTACAGCTCATGGGTAAATCCAACTGCCTGCTTGTTTCTGTAAAGTTTTATTGGAATACAGCCACACTCATTTGTTTACATATTATCTATGTCTGTGTTTGCACTGAAACAGCAGAGTTGAGTAGTTGCAAGAGACCATATGGTCCACAAAGCCTAAAATATTTACTGTCTGGTCCTTTACAGGAAAAGTTTGCTGATCCCTGCCTGCTCTAAAAGCATAAAAATCTATATTTGTTCAAGTCACGTAGCCCCAAAACTGTATACATTGGAAATCCATCTCCTAGTGGAAAAATATGAAGGCTACCTTCAGGTCACTGTAAACAGTTTTACTAGCCCGTGCCAGGTGCTGTGTGAAGTGCCAGGCACACGGAGACTCATAAGGCTCATCCTTGAGCAGTGGCTAAAGAAATGAAAGGAGGTTCACCAATGACCACAAACTTTGTTAAAAAGAATCAGAGTAAACAGACAAAGATAAACATGAATAAAATTGCAGAGGAGGAAACATCATTCATTCATTCAATCAATCATTTCTTTAATCCATACTTACTGAGAAACAAGGCATAGTAGAAAATAGGAAACACAAGATTAGATGGAGTGGTAAATGACAAAAACAAGTCTGCCGTAAGGAGACTCTGAGAAATGCATTCAGCAGAGCTAAAAAGCAGATGTGGGATTTATAAGGCATGAGCAAAAAAGGAGAACCAGAAAGCCACTATGGTGGATAGGGAGGGGAGACAGGGCAGACAGGGACAAGATGAAGTTCCAGAAGGAGGTAGAGGCCAGGTCATGAGGGCTTTATCAGCCAGGACAGGGTGTTAGGGTGTTGATCTACATGTGTTGGGCAGCCACTGAGGGATTGGAATCAGGGAGGTGACATAATCTGATTAGCATTTTAAAAATTTCACCATTGTTACTGTTTTATCTCTTCCCTTCCCTTCATGAATGATTTAGTCCAAAACCATTGGACAGGGCTGAGTAAGGTGGACTTCCCCAATGGATATGGAGCAGAATGTCAGAGTCCAAGTAAGGTGTGGAGAATGTCTATGTGGTGGATGGGAGTGGTGGGTGGCACTGCCTGGCAGAGGGTGTCAGAACAAAAGTGGGAGAAGGAAAGGGTTTCCACAGGAGGTTGGGGCTGCCCGGCCAAGGTGGTAGTGCTTAAGTATGGTAAATAAGGTAGTCACGTGGGAGAGTACCCTGACAGAGGAGATCAGAATCGAAGCCCAGGAAGAACGTTATGTATGAGAAGGGTGGAGAGAATAGTGGCTCAAGTAAGGCCAGAGCCCAAGAATGGTAAGCAGGACATCCTACAGAGTAGTGCCACTGTGGTTCCATGCAGGCTAAGAAGGACATGGGCACAGGAAAGTGCCTGGTGGAAGGAAGTTGGAGCATAAGGGTGGTGAAGAAGGTGTACGTGTGGGCAGGCAGCCCAGTGCAAGGGGCTGGAGCCTGAGCAGGGTGAGGAGGGCATGGCATAGGGACATAGTACAGTGCTGAGTGCTGGATCCCCAGGTAAGTGAGGAGCGGACCCACTTGGGGCAGGCAGGTGGGGAATAGGCGGGTAGGTGTCAGAACACATGAGAGTGAGGAAGCCTTCTGCATGGGTGTGGGATATTGGAGCCCCCGTGGGTAAAGGAGGATATTTGTGTGTGTGTTGGAGTGGGGAAAGGGTACAACAGCAATGGGAGATTTGTACATTCAGGGACAATGATCAAATAAGTAAATATATTTAGGATAATGGGAGCTAGGTTTCTCACTGTCAGAGAATGGTGTGAATATGGAGAGAATGAAAACTAGAGTCAACTCTGTTGGTTGGTTTGGAACTGGAGATGTTGCTGGAAACTTATGCTTTGACAGAGCAAAGTCTTAATGTGTTTACACACCTATGTATGCTCATGCATATGCTCTAGCTGTTTCTGCTAAATGAAAGCACCTGGGAGGAGCGGCACTTCAACTGCAGGAACACACCTGGCACCTTGATCCTCATTTCCAAATACTATTATTTACCAAAAGGAAACAAGGCACTTGAAGAAATGACAGACTTTAAGGCTGACACAAGGAAGGTACAAAACAAGAAAATAAGCCTGAAACATCTTGCACCAGAAAGGAGAAAGATACAAAGAAAGATGGTGACATAACAAAGGAATACATTGAAGGCACCCCAGGTGGTCAACTATGAGTTAATTTGAGTATAAAATAAATGATGACAGTGACATCAATAATATTGTAACTATAAGTTCATATAGATATAAATAAATGATAGAAGTAAATAAAATTTGGCTGAGATGCAGAATATTTATATAGTCTCAAAATACCTCCTCACAAAATACTTATTAATTACAAAGAGAAAAAGAGTAATTTTATAGTGTAGAAGCCTATCAGACATCACTCAATCAAGTAATCAAAATTAACAACACAATAATGGGACAAATCAAAATGTGATGGGACACAATGAAAGAAACAACATCCCTTCTGTGATACTGCCCTCCAAAGATGCATAATTTGAATCTAATCATTAGGAAACCTCTGATAAAACCAAATTGAAGGACATTTTGCAAAATTACTGGCTTGTCATCCTCAAAAATGTCACGGTTAGGAAATTCAAGTAGAGATGGAGAGACCATTTCAGACAGAAAGAAAATAAAGAAACATGACAATTCAGTGCTGCATGTGATTCTGAATTAGATTCTTTTGCTATAAAAAGCGTTATTGAGATAATTGGCAAAACTTGAATGGCGTCTGAGAGTAGATGGAAGAATCAAATGATTGTATTTTGGTTATGTAGGAGGATGTCTTTATTTTGGAAATACACTAAAGTATTTGGGAGATGATGGGCATTAGATTGTCAACTTATCTCAAATGCTTCAGAAGAATAAACACTGTATAATTGTGGCAACTTTTCTTTATGTTTAAGATAGTTTTTAAATGAAAAGTTTTTTTAAGAAAGTTCATATATTCACTTCAGCCATTTGATTCCAAAGTCTTTGCACATGCCCCTGCTTTGCTCTCTCCCTGGATGACCCCACCCCTTGTGAACCAGGGCTTGTTCTTCATTTTCTCTGCTTAGGGAGAGTGTCCTTAGAGCATGTCCTTTCTCCTGTGTTGAAGTTTACCTGTACATGCCTATGGGTTTTTTTCCTTGTTTTGAGGCAGGGTCTTAATCTGTCACCCAGCCTGGAGAACAGTGGTAGGATCACAGCTCACTGCAACCTCTACCTCCTGGCCTCAAGAGATCCTACTGCCTTGGCCTCCCAAAGTGCTGGGATTACAAGCATGAGCCACTGTGCCAGCCGTTAGGTGTCTACGTTTCTATTTACCCCAGAGGGTAGGGTCTATATCCATCACACTCATGTCTGTATTCCTAATATATAGCACAGCTCCTGGCATTGTGCTTGATAAAAAGCCATGGAAAAAGGAAGAGAGATAGGGATATAGCCATAACTTTGAGAATCACTTCTAGAGCCAACAGGTTTAAGTTGAGAAAGACTTAATAACTGCCTGGCTTAGGTTTGAATTACAACTGGGTTATCTTGGGTAAGACATAGTCTCTCTGAGCCTTGGTTTCCTCATATATAAAATGAGTTGTTAGGTGGGGCAAATTTTGTAAGTTTTGTAAAGTATCGAGTAGAGTCCCTGGCGCTTAGCAGGTATGAAACAATTTTGTTTTCCCACTGTCCTTAAAAATAAAAATAAAAATCATCAAATAGAACTAGAAGATCAGAATTCTAGGTTATAGTCTTGATTTCACTACAACCTTGCTATATGAACTGGGATAGGTTATTTCAATTCTCAAGGCCTCAGTTTCCTTCTTGGTAAGATGGTAGGTGGGAAAATGAGGAAGTGAGGAGTGGGCCTTATCACTGTCATGCTACCAAGAACTCAAAAAGTTTTTTTTTTTTTTTTCCTGGATGATAGTATAGAAGGTGAGGGATATGAAAGATTTTGCTATAGAGTATGTTCCTCAGTTTTAGCAGTCAAGGCATGCAAAGTCTGCCTCTTAATGGTTTGCTCAGCTGACTCATTTATACCTGCTTAAATTAGTAGGTAAATTGAGAGGTGGTAGTGTTGTTAGGTTACTGTTGAGCCTATTAATAATTTATGAGCCATCAAGGAATTAATACACACTTTAAGTTCTCACTGCATTTTTCCTTATTCATAATTCTTTGCCTAATTGCTTTTTCCTTTAAAAATGGGGGAAGCTGAGACCTTGGATATTTGCCTAATGGCTCAAGCAGAACCATGACCTGGTTGCCAAGTCTTTCAGTTCTTTTATAGCCTGGGGACATTTGCCATTGAAAGAAAACTGATGGGTTTGATATTCCTGAAAGAGATATTTTGCACTAACCTCTGGCCCCATTAAATGCTTTGGCACTTGCCCATTCTCTGTAATGGGAGCAATAAATTTGTTTCAATTTAGGACATTGTCAAGTAGGAAATATTGACAAAAACAAAATAATGCTTTGAAAACAGCCAGGATGAAACCATGAATAAATAAACATATTGAACTTAACTGATAAATTAGCAAATGGCCATTCATAAGAGTCTGACTGGACCATTTCAAAGTTAGGCCAAGTAAATTCCTGTCTCTAATAGAAATATCATCTTACTCTTTAGGCCAGAGGAAAGGTGGGCTAAGAGGAAAGGTGGGCTGCATGGGAAGACACTGCAAAGCATAGAAAGGCATTTACCCCGTCTGACAGATCTGTTTTAAATAGATCTGTTTTCAGCTAAATGCCAAAAGGATGAGCCAGATGACTCTAGTAGCCTTTTCTATGGCAAGAGATTTATTATCCTAGTGTAAACACCTTTATTAGGCATTTCAGCAAGCTGTTTCTCCACCTTTTCTTTGTATTAGTTCCTTAGATTGGGGCAAATAACTGAAATTCTGTTTAAGTATTATTGTATGTGTTTCCTTTTGAGTATAAGAGATAACTTCTAAGTTAGAGATATTCCTCTTGAAGAAGGGGATAAGTGTGCATATGGCATTGATCCTTGTGCTAATATTATCACATAGGTAACATTGTTATGACAGACGGCAATAAACCACAAAACATGTTTGCAAACTTGTGAGGCCTTAAATGGTGTTGCCTTATTAAAAATCCAAATGGCTAAATCATCCAGAGTACAGGTAGCCTGAGGGCATTGTTAGCTGCATAAAAACTAATTGGACCAATTTGAATGGAAGAAAATGTTGCCTGAAGTCTTTAATCACACTGATAACCTAATGGTTTTCTGCTCAACATAGCCCAGGCTGTGTTTAGGAAGATGAATCCATGCATGCAGCTTAAAAAATTTTACACAAGATCAGAGGGTTGAGAGGAATAATAAATTTCTCATTTAGAAAGTTTAGTGCATGTGTATCTCATGTTTTAGCATCATAGCAAGGTAACAGCAAGCAATTGTTGGATAAAGGAAAGTATCATTTTTTTAAAGATGAAGCAAACATGAGAAAGCTGATTCTGATTTTGCTCTGATTATAAGGGATGTTTCTCTAAGAAGAATTTAGCGTTCATCTTTATGTGCAAATAATCCAAAACCCTTTAACTTATTATCAGCTCTGTAATTCAATGAGCTCCTGAAATGGTAACTGAACAATAGTTTGACACGTGCTATTATTATTTTTTTCTTTTTTTTCTTTTTATTTTATTATTATTATACTTTAAGTTTTAGGGTACATGTGCACAATGTGCAGGTTAGTTACATATGCATACATGTGCCATGCTGGTGTGCTGCACCCAATAACTCGTCATTTAGCATTAGGTATATCTCCTAATGCTATCCCTCCCCCCTCGCCCCACCCCACAGCAGTCCCCAGAGTGTGATGTTCCCCTCCCTGTGTCCATGTGTCCAAAACAGCATGGTACTGGTACCAAAACAGAGATATAGATCAATGGAACAGAACAGAGCCCTCAGAAATAATGCTGCATATCTACAACTATCTGATCTTTGACAAACCTGAGAAAAACAAGCAATGGGGAAAGGATTCCCTATTTAATAAATGGTGCTGGGAAAACTGGCTAGCCATATGTAGAAAGCTGAAACTGGATCCCTTCCTCACACCTGATACAAAAATTAATTCAAGATGGATTAAAGACTTAAACGCTAGACCTAAAACCATAAAAGCCCTAGAATAAAACCTAGGCATTACCATTCAGGACATAGGCATGGGCAAGGACTTCATGTCCAAAACACCAAAAGCAATGGCAACAAAAGCCAAAATTGACAAATGGGATCTAATTAAACTAAAGAGCTTCTGCACAGCAAAAGAAAGTACCGTCAGAGTGAACAGGCAACCTACAAAATGGGAGAAAATTTTCGCAACCTACTCATCTGACAAAGGGCTAATATCCAGAATCTACAATGAACTCAAATTTACAAGAAAAAAACAAACATCCCCATCAAAAAGTGGGCAAAGGACATGAACAGACACTTCTCAAAAGAAGACATTTATGCAGCCAAAAAACACATGAAAAAATGCTCACCATCACTGGCCATCAGAGAAATGCAAATCAAAACCACAATGACATACCATCTCACACCAGTTAGAATGGCGATCATTAAAATGTCAGGAAACATCAGGTGCTGGAGAGGATGTGGAGAAATAGGAACACTTTTACACTGTTGGTGGGACTGTAAACTAGTTCAACCATTGTGGAAGTCAGTGTGGTGATTCCTCAGGGATCTAGAACTAGAAATACCATTTGACCCAGCCATCCTATTACTGGGTATATACCCAAAGGACTATAAATCATGCTGCTATAAAGACACATGCACACATATGTTTATTGTGGCACTATTCACAATAGCAAAGACTTGGAACCAACCCAAATGTCCAACAATGATAGACTGGATTAAGAAAATGTGGCACATATACACCATGGAATACTATGCAGCCATAAAAAATGATGAGTTCATGTCCTTTGTAGGGACATGGATGAAATTGGAAATCATCATTCTCAGTAAACTATCACAAGGACAAAAAACCAAACACCGCATGTTCTCACTCATAGGTGGGAATTGAACAATGAGAAGACATGTGCTATTATTAAATGGAGTGTGTTTTAGTAGAAAGAGTATGGAATGAAAGTCTGAAAAACTTTTGTTCAAGTTCAGTTTCTGCCTCTGGCTAGCTCTGTGAGTTTCTGCAAGTCATTCGAACTTTCTGAGCCTGACTTTGCATCCCCAAAACGCCGGTGAAATTAATTCCTTCCCAGACACCCCACAGGGGTTTTATAAAAATGTTACAAGCTAATCGATAGAAAAGTATATGAAAGCTATAAAGCCTTCTGCAAGTATAAGCAATTATTATTATTATATCATAGTAGAACGTAATGTTCTGGGTCTCTTTATTTAAAACAATTCTCTGTAATTGTTTTAATTTCACTCTTAACTTTCAAGCCATGTAAAATAGTATACGTCTGTTATAATTCACCAAATCAAAGTTCCCAAGTTTGCAAAAGCCACGCTCAGAAGAATGTGATTTTAAAAAAATGATTCCTTTTGGACTGCATACCCATCTGAAGTCTTCTTTGGAATGCAATTCAGTCAGAAGCAATTGTGGCACTAGCAAATATTCTGAGAATTCATGAAATCCCAAAGCCAAAACCATGATTCATTGCTCCAATACCAAAAACATTTGGCAGGCTGTAGTTTGGAAGCCACAACACTGTCTGTTTTTAAGGCTCTAAATGGGGCCATTTGGATTCATTATGACACTGCCTGGTCCCACCACACTAGAGAGATGGCACCAGAATCTCCCAGTCTCTTCAGACATTATTTTTCGTATTTCTTCTTGGGACTTGCTTAACAATATATCTCTTTGGATTAAATTACATAGAGTTTTAGGAGTATCTCCTCTATCTTGTAAGCATTGCAACATGAATATTCTACAGATTTCTTTTATATAAGAATTCTTGTTTAGCAGTTCTGGATTTCCTAGTGCCAGCCTTATACAACCTGTCATTCAAATCCTTAACGATGGGTTTATGTGAAAGTGGTTTCTCTACAGTTTCCTCTGCTTCATCTTAAATGGAAATGTAGTTCCTCCTTTGAAATGGAGCACTAAATGCAATGGTTCCTTCAGGCATATAGCACGTTTCAGTTACCATTTCAAATGAAATGTATTTAGACAAAAGCTACTAACAGCACACTGAGTAGCAGTGGTAACGTATAGCCAGATATGCTGTGGCATGTATGTAAAAATCAGGCATTCAGCCCTGGCCAAATGTTGGACACGTCAGATAAGGAAGCTAAAAATCTCCTGCCTAAATGAGGACTGTGTAATTTCACTCTGCCTTTCCAACATGCCAAAGCTAGCTTCTCAAAGTCTGCATGATTCATGAATGCCTTATAAAGAATCATAGAATTCTGTGGCTCACACCTGTAATCCAAGCACTTTGGGAGGTCGAGGTGGGTGGATCAACAGGAGTTCGACACCAGCCTGACCAACATGATGAAGCCCCATCTCTACTAAAAATACAAAAAATTAGCCAGGCATGGTGGCACATGCCTGTAATCCCAGCTACTCTTATGCTGACACACAAGAATTGTTTGAGTGTGGGAGGTGAAGATTGCAGTGAGCCGAGATTGCATCACTGCAATCCAGCCTGGGTGACTGAGAGGGACCGTGTCTCAAATCAAACAAACAAAAAAAGAATCACAGAATGTAAGAAATGGAGGAATCTGGGACGTCACTTGTCACATCTTGTGACCTCCAGGTAGGTTCCTGGATCCCTCTACAGCACCTGGAGCCAAGAGGTGCTTCAGTCCTTAGCTTACAGACTTCCAGGGATGGAACAGTATCCCCTACTAGAACAATTCAATCTATTTTTGGACAGTTCTAATCTTAGGAAATGCAGCATTTTGTTTTAATTATTGTTGATGTCTAAGGTTCAACTTAACTCTGTGGGAATGTCATCTATATGAAATACCTTCACCATTTGAAGACTGTGTCAGTTGTCGATATTCAGTCAGTCACAATTGAATCTAACCACTCGTCATCTGGAACAGATCTCCCCTTCTTACTTACAAAGCAGTCAGGAGTAATTCTGTCCAACACTGTGCTAGAATCCAGCTGTATGTTCTAGCCTATTGATTTCCCCTTATTATTTATCTTCATCAAAAAAATAATAAAGTAAATCTAGAATGATTTTCTTTTCTTAATGTATCCATGGTAGCTCCTAGTAATCAGTGTTTTTCTAAGAGTGCAGAAAACTTCTGTTTAAATCATTCCTTTCTGAAGCTTTGCCTATAATGTACATTAACTCACTAGCCTAGTTTGTAGGCTGTCTTACTCCTGCTTTGGGGAGTTGAGTCTATATTTGCATATATTATCTTCTAGCACTTTTCCCATTCTTCTTAGCTCTTCTGTCATTAGTTTTAAATGCCCTGGTTCATGTCTTTACCTAGGGTGCATTAATTCATTCACAGACAATGTGACCATTTGCAAACAGGCTAGTTTGTTCTGACAAGCCATGGCCTAAATGGCATGCACACTCCAAAATACAGTTTACATATTGTGGATTTGAGTGTGAACTGGTCTAATTGGCAGATGTTCACTAGGACATCTATACCCCTAAAGCATGAATTAATTAGTAAAAATATTTTTTAAAAATTTGTTTCTGTTCTTAATTTTAATAAATTATTCATATCCTAATGCACCTTTATAAAAACGGTGACTGATGATCATTTTTATATTTATGTATACATCATGGAGCTAATTTGAATTAGCACTAAAATAATATATACTAATATAACATGGTAGTATGCAAAAACTAACCTAAAGACTATGTTATTCTCTTTTCATAAAATAAAATTTCATTTTACATCCACAAAATTACCCATATAGGAGCTAATAATTCATATATATGGCTATCTATGATATATATCATCATCTTTTTAGCATAAAGAAGACTACCTAGTTGACCAGCAATGTTGAAATACTTGCAAAATTGAGTGCTTTCCTTACCTGTCATTAGCTTGCATTTACTTTTGTTGAATTCCTGAGGCAGCTGCATCACTGTATTTTCACTGACCACAATTTCAGCAAATAGAGGTCCTGATGAATCTTCTAAATCCGGGCATCTGTGAAATGCTTGCTGAAGTCTGGATGCACATGGGTGGAAACAGCTAGTTCCATTGATCAGGGTCTGGTTTCTTCTGTTTTGTTTGACCTGGCATGGGTAGCTTCCATCTGTCTGTCATCCTAGAACAGCATCTGGAGCCAGCCTATGTGGTATCTCTTGGGCAAAAAGGTTAAGTCGTTTGACATGGATTGCATTTAGCAACTGAACAAACAGAGCAGCTTGGATATGAGCTTTTATTCAGAAGAAACCAGATAGCCATTTTGGTGATAAAATATTTATTTCCTATTATCTTGTGTTGCCAAGACTACTTTGTATAGTACATTTCTTAAAAGGAGATAGAGTTCTAAAGAAGTTAGGTATATTAATAAGGGAAATTGTATTTTGAAAAATGTCTTGAGTGATATTCTATTGCCATATTTATTGTTGATTGAGAAAACATTATGTCCCATTTAAGCCAATACTTTGTCTTCTTCTTAAGTATTGCTTTCTTCTAAAAAACAACATCTCTACTCTATAGCTTAAGGAAGTGAGGCCAAAGATGCAGTCATTTTTAAGGCAGGTAGAAAGAATTAATCAGTGTGAACTGATGTTAGCTTTCAGGAAAAACTGATGTCTCCAAATGAACATTTTGTAATAATTTAATTTTATTTAATTTAACATACATACTTTTATTTTAAGTATTTGCAGAGTACTGGCTAACCCCTGTGGGGAATCTAAAGATGTCAGACATAATCTCTGACCTCCAGGAGCTATCTGTGTAATGAGGTTCACTAGCATACAAATACAGATAATTCTACCCTAAGGCAGATTCTGATGGGTACTGTGATAGAATTATCACGTTCTAGAGGGGTATGGAAGAGGAAGAGGTTAGTGCTGACTGGGAGTTTTCAAGAGGGCTTCAAGGAAGATGCCAACTTTGAGTTGGACCTTTATTGAGTGCTTACTAAATTTCAGCAATGTTCAAAGTGCTTTAAATTTATTAACTCTTTTAATTCTCATGATTAACTTTATAAGCTAAGTCTTGTTATAATTCCCATTTTATAGTTGTATCACTGAGGTATGGAATAGTTAAATAACTTGCCAAGATAGTAAGTGATGGTGTCAGGATTCAAATTCAAGGAGTCTGGCACTAAAATGCTCATTCTTAACCGTAGCACTATACTGCTTCCTGCCAGGGATAAATAGGCATATTCAAGCAGTTGAGAGTGCTCAGCCATAGTCATAGAGAAAAGAAAATTGAGGAATGTTTGCAAAATTCAGTTTTTTAGTCTGGCTTGAACTTGGGTAAAAAAATAGTTGAGGAATTGTAGAATACAAGACACAGAGACCCAAGTAGGGCTATAGAGGACTTGGTATATCGGCTTGGGGAATTGCAGGGGAATGCTGTGGTAAGGCTTTTATTATAATAAGACCCTTTGGGGGGAGTATTGAATGACTGGGGGGTAGAATGTCATTTAAGGATCTATTAATTCTATTAAATGCTCCAAAAACTCTTTTTTAAGCTTCTCTTATGTACCAGGCACTGTTCTGAGTGTTGAAGATATAGCAGGGAACAAGAGAAACAATTCCCCACCCTCATTGTGTGGAAAGAATATGGAGGGTGTATAAGTAAACAGATAAATAAACAAGATAATTTTCTATAGTTCTGAAAGAAGGAAATAAGGCGATGTGATGTGATAGAGAGTGGCCATGGGCAGAGGAATAGTCACTCAGAATGGTGGTCAGGATCTATTCTTGGCTCCTCTGCCATTCAGGCCTGAACTGAGGCCTAAATTGCAGAGGAGGCAGTCATAGATGAAGGCAGGGCAAGTGTTCAGCAAAAGGGGATTTGCGTTTATTAAGAAGAGCATTGCAAGCAGCGTTAACAAATGCAGAAGCTCTGAATTGGGAAAGAGCTTGGAGGGTTCAAGAGACAGAAAGAATGCCAAAAAGAAGAAGCATTTAGCAAAAGATGTGGAGAAGGGTATGGGTTGAAGTTTGAGAAGTAGGAAGGACCAGAACCTTATAGGTAGAGCATTTGTATTTTATTCCAAATGAACTGGGAAGCAATTGAAAAGTTTTAAGTAGGTGAATGATGTAATCTGTTTATATTTTGAAAAGATCACCCTAGATAATATACAAAGAATGGACTATATAGAGACAGAAGTGAAAGCAGGAAGATCAATTAGATGGCAAACTGCAAAAGCCCAAAGAGGAAAAGATTCGTCTAGGCCTTGAGGCTGGAGAGAGATGGATAGTTTAGGATTATATTTTGGAGGCAGAGCTAAAAGGACTTGAATTGAGTGAGAAATGTGAGGGAAAGAAGCTATTACCAAGGAGGACTCCAATAATTTTGGCTCAAGGTAACTGAACGATGTAATACTGGTAACTGAAATGGAAAGAACTGGCTTGGGTGCTGGGAGAATTAAGAGTTCTTCTACAGTCATGGTGAAGTTCTGGGGGGAACTAGGGTAGTTGCTTTGAGAATGACAAATGATGAATGGATGCTAGAGAGATTATAGATATACAATTAACTGACTGATGTAGTTAGATGCTAGGATGAAGATTTTGATAAATTCAGGTTTTGAGTCAGATGAACTGGGAAGGAAGTGACCCCATTTACCAAATCGGCAAAAGAGAAGGAGGAGTTTGAGAAAGGAGAAGGATCAATACAGAGTAGGAATCATTAGGAAATTCATATTTGATAGTAGATAAACACATCAGCTTTGGAATCTAAAAGATGAGGATTTGAATCCTGGATGAGCTGTTAGCAAACCTGCATGACAAGTTACTTAATTGTTCCAGTGTCAGTTTTGTTATCTATAAAATAAGGAAATGATATTATATTATATGTAAAGCGATATATATAAAAACAGAAAAGAATCATGCAATGAATATTATCACTATATCTTATTATCATAAAAATAATATAATAATAATACTTCTTGGGATGTGTTTTATTTATATTATTACTAAGATAATAATGTTCTTGTTTTAGTTCTTTTTAGTAAGGATTACAAGCACAAACTGGAAATTATTTATGTTCTTTTCCTATTTTACAGGTAAATAAACTGAGGCTCAGAAAGGATGGCATACCCAAGGTTATACCGCTAGAAATTGTAACCTATGCTTAAGAGCCAGGACTCACACTTGGATATGACTTAAACCAAATAATTCTGAACTCTTCCCCAACTAGTTACTGTTAAGATAAAAGCTGCTTTGTATCACTTTGCCATTTCTCTGGGATCTATGTTGAGTGGAAAAATTCTGTGTTTATAAAAATGTTATTATCAGATCACCATACTGTGAAACTGTGTTTTATTAATTTTCCAGTGCTGGACAATATTCCTCTCAAGGTCTGTCTTTGGAGGAGATGAAAAGAAGTCTTCAATACACACCCATTGACAAATATGGTAAGTAGGCAGATTCTTTAGGTTTGTTAAGAAAACTACCCCTAGGAAGGTGATGTCTATTTGACAAAAAGGGAGAAAGCATTGCATATTGTAATATCCAAAATGACAGATGCTTTAAAAATATAAAAGTATAAAATTTGATTTTATATGTCTTTTATAACTCATTTACCTTTAAGGTTAATAATGTCTGTGTGAGCATGTGTGAGTGTGCATGAGTGTGTAAGTATATGTGTGATTATGTGTGAGTGCCTGTATGTGTTTGTGTACATAGAAAAAAGTACAACTCTTTTTTTAAAAAAAAAAAAAAACTCCTTCCTCTCATGATATTCCGAATACTTTGTCAACATTTTATTAAGTCCGTTGCTTCTAAGCCCCACATTAAGTGTGTGTGGGTAGGGAGAGGAAAAACAAGAGATGAATTTTCACAATTACCTAATATGTTGGGAGAGCTGTTCCCCTTTTAGCCAAGCACTCAAGGGTAAAATGCAAATCCAGCCATTCCTTCAAACAGCTGGAGAGGCAGTGAGGGGACAGTTTGATGGGAACCATTTTACACAGGACTTCTTCAGAAAGAATTAATAAAGCTCTTTGAAATAATTAACAAAGTTTTTTTCAGGCCTCTGGAAGCCAGAGGATGGACAATTGCCTTTATCATCAGCTGCGATATCAATGTGTTAGGGCTGGGATGTCCTTTTACCAACCTTTAAGCCTGAGAGGCACTATGTTTAATTGGAATTTTAGCACAATGGGCCCATTTATCCATTGCAACTTCCTTTGACTATTTGAAGGACTGAAAAAGTATCTGTCAGTTAAAGAGATCAGATTTATTATAAGAGCTGGGTTTGGGAAAGAATAAATTAGATGAAGTGAGCCTGGGTAGGGGGCAATAGACCTGGGAGACCCTCGGCTTTGGGATCCTCACCAATTCACCTCATCTGCAGAGACTCATTACCTAAGGCATTAGAAACCTTTTAAGAAACAAAGAAAAATGTATGTTCTGAATAGATGCAAACAAACTATTTGGGCACATTTAAAAAAGGGAAATTTTGTGCTTCTGACTCCCAATACATATCTAGAATGCAGATGAGTGCTTTTTATCATCAGTTTTACAACATAATTGGCCAGTCCAGTAACAGATCCTTTTGAGGGGGAAAATGCACTCCAAGTGTCACATCCTCACATTTTTTTAATAGACATAATATCTTTTCTTCAAACCTTTACAGATGTAACTTCATAAACACAAAACATAGGGCATCCTTTGAAACATTTGCTTTGACCAGAAGTCTTCCCTTTTGTGGTAAGGTTTCAAGATGAAGCATTTCTTTAACTTAATTTGTTTCTTAAAGAAGAATTCCCCCAAGATGGAGAAGTAAGAGAAATGTGATGTAATAATGCAAAATTTGGGTTTTCCTATGCATACCTGTCTCAGGGATGAAAGAAAACATGGAGGGTGTTTGGATGGAGTGAGAGTACCTATAAACAAAGAAGATACATTCGATATCTCCCATTAGGAGCATCACATCATACAAGAAAGAACGCTTTAATTGCCCTTTATTCTATTTCATAAACTGATCGCAATATAACAACAATTTTATGAGCTTCTTCTCCCCCTGCTTTGCCGCCAAAGAGCAGAGCTCGAAAATGGAGATAAAATGAAACACATAGCTGTTTTCTCTGTACTTGAGACCTTTTACCTTAAAGTAACAAAACATTCAGACTTGGTTCAGTCTTTTCCTAAAACCTATGGTCAAATTTCAGTTGAGTTCTTCTTAAACTGAGTGGGTCCACAATCTGACACATCTGTTCTTACCTTCTGGCAATAATGACATCAATAATAAATGCTAGCCTCAATGCCTTACTGATTTTGCTGATCATTCCTGAGGGTAGAGCCCACCCACCCTTTGGGGACATATGTCCACAATCAAATTTCCATTGGAGTCCTGTGGGGCAAGAGGCACTGGAACATCACAGGCCAGTAAAATTGCATGTGGTATGTTAGAAAGCTGATTATGGTCATAAAAGTATTACAAGCTTATGGAAGCATCTACCTATGCCTGAAATGAAGTCTCATTTTTAGCCTGGATACAGTAAATATTTTGCTGTAGAAGGTAGATTTTGTTTTAGTCTACACAGAATTTAGATCTGCTGATATGTATCCTACTGCCCCTCATCTCATCCTCCCCCATCATAACCTTCCTCACATCTGACCAGAGCCAGTCCCAAAAGAGGTGAGTGAGAGAGACCAGTTGACAGGAGTATCACTATCAGTGGCATTTTCTCTTAAGAGAGTTTATGTGCTACCTAAGATATTTTGACAAGAGACCTTTCTTATGAAAATAAATATTTCGATCCAACTGCATACTGCTAGATGTCTTAATGAAAATGTAGATGACTGGGTTGGTTATGAAAACTCAGCTATCAAAGGGGAGCAAAAGCAGCAATAGCTATTGACAAATGTGCTCACTTTCATGAAGCAATGAATGGCTTTCTTGCTTCAGAGTGAAAAGAAAACTGCTTCCCTGTACATAGCTCTGTGGTTCTCTTGGACAGTGGCCTGATCCTGAGCCACTAGTTTAATTCTCTGGACACATCCAAGGCTATTGCTTCAAAGGGCATCAAATGCCACTGGTATTTAGACCTAAGAATTTTATGTACCTTTAAAATTTGGGCTACCAGGGAGAAGAAACAAACAAAGCCATCTGGTTTGAGAAAGAAAGGCTCTTTCCTTTTCCTTTTCTTTTTCTTTTTCCCTTTTTTTTTTTTTTTTTTTTTTTTTTTTTGAGATGGAGTCTTGCTCTGTTGCTAGGCTGGAGTGCGGTGGTGCGATCTCGGCTCACTGCAACCTCTGCTTCTCGGGTTCAAGTGATTCTCCTGCCTCAGCCTCCTGAGTAGCTGAGACTACAGGCACATGCCACCACACCCGGCTATTTTTTGTATTTTAGTAGAGATGGGGTTTCACCATATTGACCAGGATGGTCTCGATCTCCCGACCTCATGATTCGCTCTCTGGGCCATCCCAAAGTGCTGGGATTACAGGCATGAGCCACTGCACCTGGACTCTTTCCTTTTTCTTTACCTTCCTTTTTATAGCCATCTTTTGTTTAGCATTCACTGGTATCAGACAGTGCTAATTGTCTTAGGTGCATTGCCAACCTTATGAATAAGTGCTATTGTTTCTCCCATTTACAGATGAACACACCGAGGCATAGAAAGGTTAAGTTGACAAAAGTCACAGAGTCAGCAAGTAGTGGAATCCGTGCTTAAACCCAGATTTGCCTGACGTGAAAGCCTGTGCTTTTAGCCACCCTGACATGCCATCTGCCTGAGCTGTACCCCTCTTTACTCCAAACCCAAAATGCCACCTGGCCAGCTTGGGTCCAAATTAGACATTAGTCATTCATATTTGCCTGGTCTCAGCTCTCTGTTTTCATTGTAAATGTTGCTTGTGCTTTGCAACTACTCACCAGCAACCGTTGTCCAGATTGTCTGTTCACATGATCTGGAAGACCTGCCTGGTTCAGGCTGGTTATAAAAAATTGGGGGATGTACTGAAAGACTAGTAAGTAACAACTGAACTTCTTTTCTGATGCAGGCTATGTATCCGATCCCATGAGCTCAATGCATTTTCATTCTTGCCGAAATAGTAGCAGCTTTGAGGACAGCAGCTGACAGCATTCGGCGTATACCTAAGGAGAGTTTTTTCCCCGAACTGACAGCAACGATTCCAACCACGGCAAGCTGGCTTCCAACTATAACATTTTACTCTCAAAGGTCTCCTTAAATTGGGCTTGTTTTTACTTGTCCTATTTAATTCCCCACTATTAGCAGGCTTTGGATTTGTGCCTAAGGAATAATATGCAAAAGAACCAAGACAGAATGTATATGAAGAATTGTTTTTAATTTTGTAAATTAAAAAAAAATTTAGATCGTTACTTGGAAATGGAGCCTAAGTCTGTGGTGGACAGATAATAATTATGTTTTCCTGGGCTGAATTATGTAGACTTGTGTTTGACAGCTATGGGTTTATTTCTTAGAACATTGTTCATTTTCTTTTCTCATTATGTTACTTCTAGTGTTCACCTCTGTGATTAAAGATTCTTTGGTGAAATAGAAAATTGATTTATGAGTGTATTTTATTTCAACAAGACTTCCACTAAGTATATTTTTTTTCCAGCCATATTGGTAAAAACAGTAGCAACTTTTAGGTCAAGAAGCTTGCAAAAATATAGCACTAATTTAGTCCCCTTTCCATGTCATGCCAAGTGCTCCATGATCTACTTAGGTAACCTGTTGCTCTCAGAACAAGAGGTCGTAGATGTATCGGGTCAGTTGTGAAACCAGCCTATGCATGCAAACCTGCCATTTTTTTATACTAGAGTTTTGCACAATGTGGTGGGAGAATACCTAAGGTGCCTACTGCCTTCGAGAAATGAGAAATCTGCCCTCCATACTGGTTCCTAGTTGGAAGACAGGAATGGTTCTATGAGACAAAATAGTTTTTCCATTGAAAGACAGATGGGAAAAAACAGGGAGGAAACTATAAAAATTGAAGGATAATTGTGTGTTTTGATTTTGGCAAGATAAATAAGGTTAGCAAAGGA
The DNA here is from genome assembly GCF_000001405.40 of Homo sapiens. Lineage (NCBI taxonomy): Eukaryota > Metazoa > Chordata > Mammalia > Primates > Hominidae > Homo > Homo sapiens. The sequence goes on from NC_000001.11 coordinate 74,544,915, forward strand.
ATCTTGGATATCCTCTAAATCAAGGTTCCTCAACCTTGGCACTGTTGACATTTGTTGAGAGGGTGGGGGGCTGTCCTATGCATTGTAGGATGTTTAACAGCTTTGTGGTCTCTACCCGCCAGATGCCAGTAACATCCCCTATGATAGTTAATTTTATGTGTCAACTTGACTGGACCATGGGATGCCCAGATATGTGGTTAAACATTCTTTCTGGGTGTGTCTGGGTGTTTTCTTAAGAGATTACCATTTGAACCAGTAGACTGAGAAAGGCAGATAGCCCTTCCCAGTGTGAGTAGCATCATCTTATCTATTGAAGGCCTGAATAGAGCAAAAAGGTGCAGGAAGGGAGGATTTGCTCTCTGCCTGACTGCTTGAGCTGGAGCATCCATCTTCTCCTTTCCTTGGTGCTCCTGGTTCTCAGGATTTCAGACTCAGGTTGGAATGTATACTATTGGTTCTCTAGCTCTCAGGCGTTTGAACTCTACCACTGGCTATGCTGGATCTCCCGTTTGTAGAGAGCCGATCATGGGACTTCCCAGCCTCCGTAATTTCATATATCTATATCTATATCTGATTGGTTCTCTTCCTAACAGAGAACCCTAATGCACACACTCCCAAGTTATGACAATCAAAAGTGTCTTCAGACATTTCTACATATGCCATGGGGGACAAAATTGCCCCAAGTTGAGACCCACTTCTCTAAATTCAAAGAGGATAACCACAGGCCTAAAGAGCAAACAAGGAATTTAGAGCCTGACTCTGGCTGGCTGCATTTAGGCATACGTGCTTTCTCCTCCTCCTGAAGTAATGTGGATTCATATATAAATGGAATTGGATAATTGGATAGTAGAAGTGCTGATTGCTCCCTTAGATATCTGTGGCAAGCTCCTCTCTCCTCCACTTCCCCCTTGCCAGTTAGAAATTATGTTTCTAGAGGGCAATTTCTATCAGAACAGGAACACCACCTTTAAAATCCCTTTGAGCCTCTTTTTATGACTTATGGTTGCAAAGTCACAAATCCTAGCATGCTCTGATTAGCTTGTGGATAGCCCAGTGTAGGTTCAGAGACAGAAATTAAAAGCAACTTGGTACTTCCAACTAGATTTATCCTCTTTTAGCCTCCAGCTTTTTCCATTTCCCTACCCAATTATTCTGGAGTCGCAGGTACTCTATCCCACCAATCAGATTCCCAAAGGACTTTATAATAAGCAGGACCGAAGAACCTGAAGTGACTGCTCAGGCATAAACCCTTCTGGCAAAGACAGAGAAGGAGAAAAAGAAGCTGATTAAAGAACACCTGTCTCCATAGCTTTCCCCCTATTCCTTTGCTCTAGCTACTCTAGGAAATGAACCAGCACTTAGCCTGGGATACTTTGGGGCTTAATCCTTTCATGAGTTGAGTTGAAAGAAATACCTTAGAGAGTTTTTTTCAAAAGATAGTTTTAACCAAAAGAATCACAGTATACATAATGCCAAATGTGTGTATAGTCAGGGCTGTGGACAGTGCTGGGGTAACTCTGGCTGGCTGCATTGAGGCATACCTGCTTAGGTAACCCCAGCCAGGTGCTCTCCCAGGTCATATCCAGAGGGAGGATTGTTTGCTTCTGAAATGCCCCTCTTTTAGAAAGAGATTTTCTAGAACAGATTCGTCAAGATCTCTTTCTTTGCTTCCTCTAATTAGCCACCTCTTCTCTTCACACTGCATTTCCTGATGTTGCTGCTTCCCTCTGGCTCTTGTCTTGTCAAATATCTGCAAATAATGAGACTAATGTGTCTTGATTCCTGAGAAGGAGAACCTTTTCGCAGATTACAACCTGTAGCTCACAAACCCTTTTCATTACTGCACCCTTAATGGGGCCCAGGGATCATCTCAGAGCTTGTATCAAGACCATGGGTTTTATGAGGTTTTTTTCTTCCTTGCTGAAAAATGTCGCACTAATTGCTTTCTTTTTCTTTCAGAAAAAATGAACTTCTAAGATTATGTTTTTGCATGCTTAGCACATTAAATTTCTTTCTACGTGCATGCAGCACTGAGCTCGCTCCGAAGATGTTCAATTAACTGTAATTGTAAGCCAAATTATAGCAGCACCAGGAAAGAGTTATTCCAACAGAGTGATTATTTGGGTTAAATTATTTCCAAAGCTGACATTTCCCTAGGAAAGAGAAAAAATGGGTGCTTGTGGTGGGAGAAATGGCTAATGCTAGACAGTCCATCTAAAATGAAGTGTCTGATTTCTCTCTCTGTTTCTTTCTCTGTCTCTCTCTCTTTTTTTATTTTTCCTTTCCCTTTCCTCCCTCCTTCCCTATTTTATTTATTTGTTCTCCCTTTCTTTAACAATAAGCAGTGGCTTTGGAGTCACTCAGACCTGTCATAGTAGTTGTGTGACCTTGGGCAAGTCACTCAACCACTCTGAGCTCCAGTTTATTATCTGTAAGGTGATTGTAATAAAATGTATCTTTTTGGCCCGGTGTGGTGGCAATCTCAGTACTTTAGGAGGCCGAGGCAGGCAGATTACTTGAGCCCAAGAGTTTGAGACCAGCCAGAGCAACATGGTAAAACCCTGTATCTACTAAAATTACATTAAAAAAAATTAGCTGGATGTGGTCGTGCACACCTGTGGTACCAGCTACTCAGGAAGCTGAGGTAGGAGAATCACCTGAGCCTGGGAGGTCAAGGCTGTGATTGTATGACTGCTCTCCAACCTAGATGACAGAGTGAGACCCTGTCTCAAAAACAAACAAACAAACAAACAAACAAAAATTTATCTTGTAGATTTGCTGTAAGGGTTTCAAATGATGTAAAGTATGTACTATGGTTCCCAAAACGCCATAGCAATTTTCTTTCTTTTTTTTTTGAGTTGGAGTCTCGCTCTGTCACCTGGGCTGGAGTGTAGTGGCGCAATCTCAGCTCACTGCAACCTCCACCTCCCGGACTCAATCAATCCTCCAGCCTCAGCCTCCCTAGTAGCTGGGACTACAGGCATGCACCACCACACCCAGCTAATTTTTGTATTTTTTGTAGAGACAGGATTTTGCCATGTTGCCCAGGCCGGTCTTGAATTCCTGGGCTCAAGAGATCTGCCTGCCTTGGCCTCCCAAAGTGCTGGGACTACAGGCCCAAGCCACCAGACCTGACCAGCATATGTTGTTGTTTGTGTTATTGTTATATGACCATGCATCCAAAGAACTATATTATAAAAGGAGAGCATGAAAATAGTGAAGATTTTTTTCTCCATTGTAAAAATAACTATCAATGTCCCTAAAAACCTCATCTTTGCAAACAGCAAGTTGGAGAGCCTACACCTCTGAGGCAGTTTGAGCCAAGATCCAGCAGACCTTAGACAGCAATGCCTTGTTTATCCTAAAATTAAATTAGAAGACAAATCAAATCCTTTCAGCCAAATACAAGAACCAGAAAGGATTCCCCAAGCAAGGGGGATGCTAAGTGAAAATAGAAAGAGTATACACTTGTTGAGCACTATTATGTGGCAAAAATGGTTTAAAATTACTTAAAATATAGTATTTGGCCTAATTTTCTGCATAGCCCTGGGAAGAGGGGATTATTATTATTATTATTATTATTATTATTCAAGTGGGGAATCAGAGAAGGAAAGTAATGAATCCAATCTCGCATAGAGTAGAGGCAGGTTTCAAACAACTTTTTTCTTGCACTCATGTCCATGATTTGTTCATTACACAATACAGCCTCCACTGTGAGGGAGGAAAAGATAGAAAAATAGCACATACTCACAATCCAGAATTGTGATAAAAATGAACAACTCTGCAGTTCTACAGTCCTGAGGAAAATTTGGAAACTATCACAGGAGAAGTTTCAGGAGCCAGAAAAACCTTTTCCTGATTGCTACAGCTTATTATTGCAAAGTAAAACCAAAAAAATAATAATCATTATTTTCCCTGTTGTAATTATGGAAGAGAAGGGGCTGGAATAATCTTAAGGCTCAAAAAAAAATGCATTGTTATTTTCTAGGCAGAAAGAACCAAAAATGATTGACAGAAACAAGACTCTCACCATGATAAGCAAGAACAAAAAAGTTATAAGGGCAAAGCACAGCAATTAGGGAAGCCAAGGAGTTTCACATTTTCCTTTCCTCATTAGCACACTGGGTAGGGAAATTGAGGAGAGAGGGTGTAGCCATTACCAGTAGGATTTGAATACCTTATTTTTTCCTAGTTTTGTTTTGCTTGCAGTTACTCAAGCATGCAGACTGAAGAGCTCCCCCTGATCAATTTGCTTCCATATTTCAAGAGCCACAGGGGCAAAGATGAGCCATTTGACATGTGCAATCCCTTCACTGGGTATCAGCTCAAGACTCAGCTGCAGCAATAACAGACTGTGGTCCAAGACTGTCAGCTCAATTAGCACCATATGCAAAACATGATGGAGAAGCAAAGTTCCTCTCTCTCCTTGGACATCCTACTTTTGTGAGGCTAACTAGAAATAAAAAGAGCAGGGGTTGCACATTTCTCCTCAGGCCAGAGATCCAAGGCGGCACAGCAGCTGACCCAGTGCCAGGGTGCTAATTAAATTAGGCTTCTTGAATTAAAACACTGCCACGGGGGCCAGGCCCTGCTGATGAGGACATGTCTCCAAAGCACTCCCAGCCTAGCTTTATGTTTAATTAGTGAGATAAAAAGAATATTATCTCAAGTATCTGTCTTTTAACCAATGGGCTCATACGCAGAAAAAAGTTATCTTTACCATCTTTAAAGAAGGTTTTTAAGCGCACTAATTTCACTGACCTCCATCTCTTCTTTTATCTCAACTAATCAGGGAAGGGTAAGATTGAAGCAGGACCATGATATGCAATAAAAATAATTTGAATGTAGGTTTGCCCTTCAGTTTTTTACTTATAATAATCCATGGTCTGCTTAACACCACTTCAAAAATTAGTCCACAGTGAAGAATATCAGGCTTGTCTTTAAGACTATTTTTTTTCCTTTCCTGAAACTCAAAATCATCTGAGGAATAAGAATTAATGTTAATATTGAGGGTACCTTGAGGTGATCAGAATAAAAGTGAATGAACGCCAGATGACACATGTTTGCCCTATACAGTTATGGAACTATAAAAGGTGGAATAGCATAGAGCAGTTCTTAAAATTTAGCCTGCAGCAGGATTTGTAGAGGGCTCATTAAAACACAGGTTGCTGGGCCCACCGCCAGCATTGTGGAATCAGAAGCTCTGGACTGGGGCCCAAGAAATTGTATTTCTAACAAGTTCCCAAAAGATGCTGATGCTGCTTGTCCTGGAACCATACTTGCAAAGCATGTGCATAGTTGTCAAGGGCATGAGCTTTACAGTTGGGCTTGAGTGAATGTCTGGCTCCCCCCATCACTGTGTGACCTGTGCAAACATGGGCAAGTTACTTCATTTTTCTCACCTCAGATTCCTCATCTGTAAAATGGAGAGAATCATTCTTACCTCAGAGAGAGGATTAAGTGAAATAATGCATGAAAATCACTTATCACAGGGTCAGGCACATGATAAATGTTCCATAACAATTGGCCATGCTTGATATAACATGACTGAGAGAGGAATCAACCAAGCACTGAGGGCTAATTATTTATTTCCTGGATGCTAAGAAAGCATTATGGCTTGAAAAAATTTGAGTGTTTGTAAGATAAGCCCTAAAGTAAGATGCTGCAATGGAGGCTCTACAACAAAAAGAATATGAAAGTAACACAAAAGCACAATCTTATCTGGATACAATTATAACTAGATTTGCAATACAGTTAAACAATTGCTAATATCTTTATGGAATATATAGTAGACATCTTTTAGATCCCACCTCAGATCTTGGCATCACCTATGCCCTTGGCCGTTAAGCCACCCACCATTACCATAACTAACTTCATGTGGACAAAACCGCACCATGTTCACCTAAGGGCAAGGCAGGTCCCTATTGCCTCTTGCTCTGTTCCCTGGAGCTCTCCTGTTGCCTTGAGGAGAAGTATTCCAGGTCTTCCCAGCCTTGTGGAGACCAAAGCCAGGAAATAAATTCTTTCCCTTCTCCACAGCACCCCATTGTCCTGAGGCACAGTCATGTTTACAGCCTCAGAAGACAATTCCTTGAGACTGACAATCAGTTGCCCTGGGTCCCAAACAGCATCTAGCTCAATAACACACTGTAAGATGTGCTCTCCCTCCTCTCCCTTCTCACTCTGACTTTCCTCCTTTCAATCCTACTTTTATAGGATTGCATGCCTTAAAAAGTAGCAGTTTCTGAACTTTGGCCTCAGGCTCTACTTTCAGGTGGGACCAAACTAGGATAGACAGTATAGAAAGAAATTTTCACCATCAGCTCCTCCTTAGTAAGGAGTGGTTTGTGGAATGAAGGAATAAGTGAATTAATGCTCAAATGAGAGTAAGAATGAATCAATAAATGAATGAATGGGTTTAGTTGGATGTTAAGATGAGATTATATTTTTAGTCTTGTTTCTTTCAGGCCCTGTGACATCTCCTGTTGTCTCTTTTTTACTGTTTCACAGTCTCTTACATGTGGCATGTTGTACTCAGCACTGCTGTGCTTCATCAACCCCACTGCAGTCCGGCTATCATCAGCAAAATTAGGGGGTGTTACTAGGAATTTGCTGCCTTTGCTCTATCTATTTCCATGAAGTTATTTGTTTCCTCTCTCTCCCTCTTTGTTGTAGCTCTTACTCTATTAATCTGCTTACTCACTTTCCTACTTTATTAGAATATTAATATTTAAACTTCACATTATTAATAGTATTCTTGATTTGCTTGATCCATGTCTCCACAAGGTGGCAAGGACTTTTTACCTGTTTTTCAGGATCTTCTGTTATTTGCCTGAAAATAATTGGATTCCTGGTGTGGTCTGGAGGATACTAACCCCCCAAACAAACTCTGTCTTCATGGTGCTTCTTGTTCCTTCCTTTTAAGCATACCTCACCACCCTAGAGGACTAATGAGTACAATGATCTGTCATTACTTGTACTTTTAAGTCTTCAATACTCATTAACCTGGGCCTCATGCATTGTTTTTTACCACTAGTCCAGGAAGAATCAGGAAGCAAACACTCAAGTTTTTCTATAGGAAAAACTGCACCTACCCACCACCTTATAGTTTCTCCTTAGTTACAGTAATTGCCTGCCGATCCTTCAAGCCATAGTTCTGCACAAAGAGAACAAGGAAACTAAATAAAAAACAGAATGAAAGACTGCTGGATTAGTCTGGGCACGGTGGCTCACACCTGTAATGCCAGCACTTTGGGAGGCTGAGGTGGGAGGATTGCCTGAGGTCAGGAGTTCTAAACCAGCCTGGCCAACATGGTGAAATCCCATCGCTACTAAAAATACAAAAAAATGAGCCAGGCCTAGTGGCTTGTGCCTGTAATCCCAGCTACTTGGGAGGCCTAGGCAGGGGAATCGTTTGAACCTGGGAGGCGAAGGTTGCAGTGACCCGAGATCTTGCTGCCCCTGCACTCCAGCCTAGGCGACCGAGTGAGACTCTGTCTCAAAAAAAAAAAAAAAAAACAAAAACCAAAAAACAAAACAAACAAAAAACTGCTGGATTGGAAAGGTACCACGTTAAAGGTATCGATAAATACTAAAATGCAAAGTAATAGCAACACAGGATTGTTATGCTCGGTGGAACCCAACTGTCTAAAAGGTTTTTTTAGCATTCACTTATTCACAAAAAACCTTTCACCTCTTGTTATACTAAGTCAATGCATTCTATGGCCAAGTTCAACTGGTCAAATCTAGCAAAGCAAGCACATTTTTAAAAATTTTAGTAATTAAAATAATTGCTAGCTAAGAAAAGACTGTCTCAGTTAATTGGTGTCCACTGAAGAAACATTAAACTTTAGGGAAAATGCATGTTTAATAGAAGTAATAAGTTATTAATACGAATGGAAATTCTGCATAATGTAAAATAGTGAGTAGTGGAAACTGTTCAAGTTGCTTGCCTAAGCTAAATTAGTATGTTCCTTTCCCCACCCTGTCCATTAAGCTGTTAATTGATTTATATAATACAGCTCAAGAATCACAGAAAGATATCCCCTGTTTGCAATTTTTCCATCAAATGTTACTGCTGTATCAAAAATGATTATTCATAACACAAGCCTTCTTTGGAATTAATCAGAACCACATTGCACAACAAATAGGAGTGTCTATAAGTGTTTACAAATGTTCTTACTCTGGTTAAAAGATCCTCTTTCATCCCCTCATAATTTTAAATAATCTGCCTTAACAGTCATGTTTTCACTTATTTTTATGTATTCCATAGAGTTCATTTTTCCTGTGGTGCTAATTTATGGTGTATGTTTGTAAAGCATGGCATTAATAACTATCCAAATAACACTATTCATTTAAAAGGGGCTATTAGTCATGTCTCCAAGGAGAAGATGATTGGTTTTCTGTACCCTTATATAGCTGCATGTCACCCTGCCAGGTCACTCAGGGATTTCATAACAGAGTACACAACAGGCAAATGAATGTTTGTTATCACTAATTAGAGCTTTGGCCCACAATGCCTTTGGAGAACTACAGCAAACTGTATGTGTCACAAAGACTCCTGTTTCTCCATTCTTTTCAGGTCTAGTCAGAGACAGGTACAACATTCTCCTTCATGTCTCCCTTCCTCTAGGCCTTACTCTACTCTCTACTTTGATTTTTTAAAAATTTTTACATTATTATTTATTTTTCATTTTTGAGACTGGGATCTCACTATCTGGCGTAGGCCAATCTTGAACTCCTGGACTTAAGGGATCTTCCTACCTCAGCCTCCCAAATAGCTAGGATTACCACCACTGTGCTAGGCCCCCACTTTGGTTTTTTAGAAAACATTTTTTATTTTATATAATAATTCACAGGAATTTGCAAGATACTGTACAGAGAGGTGTTGATATTCATCACTCACTTTCCCCAGATGGAAT